>NC_000010.11:57870368-62870368 GCF_000001405.40 Homo sapiens
GCAGGTTTGTTACATGGGTAAACTGCATGTCACAGGGGTTTGGCATACAGATTATTTATCCACCCAGGTAACAAGCATAGTACCTGGTAGGTGGATTTTTGATCCTTGTCTTCCTGCCATCCTCCACCTGGTGTCTATTTTTTCCTTCTTTGTGTCCATGTGTACTCAGTGTTTAGCTCCCACTTGTAAGTGACAACATACAGTATTTGGTTTTTAATTTTTGGTTTTCTATTTTCCATTTCTGTGTTAATTCGCTTGAGATATGGCCTTCATCTCCATCCATGTTGCCACAAAGGGCATGATTTTGCTCTTTGTTTTAGCAGTGTAATATTCTATATGTACCACGTTTTCTTTTCTTTTTTCTTTTCTTTTTTTTTCTGAGATGGAGTCTTCCTCTGTTGCCCAGGCTGGAGTGCAGTGGCGCAATCTCGGCTCACCGCAACCTCTGCCTCCTGGGTTCAAGCGATTCTCCTGCCTCAGCCTCTTGTTCCCAAGTAGCTGGGCTTTTTTTTTTTTTTTTTTTTTTTTTTTTTTTTTTTTTTTGTATTTTTGTATTTTTGTAGAGATGGGGTTTCACCATGTTGGCCAGGCTGGTCTTGAACTCCTGACCTCAGGTGATCTGCCCGCCTCGGCCTCCCAAAGTGCTGAGATTACAGGTTTGAGCCACTGCGCCCGGCCACCATGTTTTCTTTATCCAGTTCACTGTTGATGGGCATTTAGGTTGATTCCACGTCTCTGGTGTTCTTCATACCATTTTTCATAAGGCTATTCTATCCCCAATTAATTGCCTTGTCACTTTGGATGAAAATCAATGACAAATATGTACGGATCTATTATTGGCCTCTCTATTCTGTTTCACTTACCTATATGTCTATCCACATGCCCATACAAGATTATCTCAGTTACTGTAACTTTATAATAAGTCTTGAAATCTGGTAATGTAGGTCCTCCAATTCTGTTCAGCTCTAACAAAATTGTGTTTGTTATAGTTGTAATTTTAACTCTAGCTGCCAATGCATTTTATATTACATTAAGCTCATATGTATTAACCCTTACTTTGATGTTTTCATAGGATTAAATCAATGGATATAAAGAAGCATAGGAAGAGACACAGCACCTTCTTTTGGGTCTGCAGAATTATCCATTTATATTTACCTTTTTCGGCATAGCTAAGTCCTTCAGTAGCTTAACTGCTTATGGCTTATGTGTTATGGTTCTGTATCATTGCCCTACATATTAAACTACTATCACATAAGACTTTCACTTCTGCTCATTCGCAATGAATCTCTGCATTGTAATTGTATTGCCTGTCCCTGTAATCTCTCAAAACTCAATCTCCTGGTGCTTTAAACATTTGAGTTCCTTTAAACTCAGACTACCTGCTGTCAGTGCCTATTTCCTAATCTTAAAAACAGCATCTGAGGTCTAACCTCGCCAGAGCTTAGATGCCAAATAATCACCTTTATGACAGTACAAATGCCACTGCACATTTTGATGGCGCTCTCACTGTGTCAGGACAAATCCAATTTCTCATCTGCTCCCACTGGAAGCCTCCTTCTTCCTTATTGATTCATAACTTATATTTGCTATTATGAAGCCTCCCTTCTATATATCATTATATGTATTTTCTCAAGGTAAATCAGTATGCATGGTTTGCATCCATCCCCAATTATTTTTTTTAATAAAACAAAGGCCAAAAAAGCAAAAGGATGGTTGAATCTGGGTGCTCTGTTTTGAAGGGTATGTATACTCAATTATTTCCAAGGAATGAGATAAACCAAAAAAAATGTATATTAAGAGCAGAGGGAGAAGAGAAGAAGGAATATCTTTACTCTGGAAATAACAAGAATGAAATGACAGTCAAAGGAGCAGAAATCCAGATAAACGAGAAGAGTCTCACTTGCATATTTTGACTCCCAGAAGCCTCTTCCACAGCCTTTTCTCAAATGTCAAAGTGCTATTGTTATTTGTCAGTACTCTAATGCAACTGAACCTAGATCTGAAACCTTATGACCCAGCCTCAGTAACCTCCAGTGTAACTGCACAGGTCACCACTTCGATTTTATTCTGCAAATCTACCAGACCTTACATTAATGTCCATGTCCTTAAAAATATAGAGGGTGTGACTCATGGCAGAAAAGTTAAAGAAGAAATATATAGAGAGAGAAGAAATATATATAGTCTATATTTCTCTCTATATATATATCTATAGATAAATCTCAATCTCGATTGAAATTTGCAAATAAATGTTTAATTCTAACTAAAATTTAAAAGAAAAATTTCCTAAACCAGAGTGAACTTATTGTCCTTAACTATGAAAACTAAAACCCACTTCAATTTTTTAGATTAAACTGTTTTTATTTTAAAAATTTTCCACCAATTGTTTCTCTTTTTTATTTTACTCCACATGCTTAGAAGAACAAACTTGTTGAAATAACCTTTCAAAAATAAAAGGATCAATCAGCAGAGGAGTGTTTTATTAATTGCATTACATAGGAAATTAAATGAGATTTCAAGTTCCATTCAGAATCTTCCAGAAAAGCATAGTTCTATTCCAGACTCCTGCTATAGACAAAAATGAATAAATAAATAAATAAATAAATAAACAAAATGTATAGGGCCTTCTACCTTGTACCAGTAGATTATTTTTAAAAGTTATTGTCTTAGTTCCAGGGGTAGTTACTAAGAATATACTTCAGATTGCCTATATGTACAGCTATGCTCTATCCTAAATAACGTAAAAATAAAGTACATACATCCAACACTCACTCTGCCAGCCTGTGTTAGTTGATATGAAAAATTTTCTTCATTATCTTCACTATAAATGGTCTTACATGATAAATAACACCCACTTTGAATGCAAAACAGCAGTCATTCCAAATTCAGCTTTGAAAGCTAAAGATATTGTGGCATGACTCATTTCTGATCATAACAGCTCATAAAGTTGATGAATAAACGCATTTTTAGGGCAAAGCAAGGACATAAAGCCACCTAAATATATATTAGAAATTCTGTACCTAGAAATGAAAGCTGGGTGATTTTTTTCATTAGCCATTCATTGTTATTAAGGGACAAAATCAATAACAAATGTATTCAGCCAACTGAAATGCAATTTGACACAATTTCATGTGGGATTTCACTTTCATAGTTTTTCATCCCTCCCCCTCAAAACTTTTAATAAAAAAACATGATATGCTCAAACTCAAGACAAATATAAAGCCTGAAATCATTTCAGCCTTTGAAGAACATTGAATGAATTCACTGTTTTACAGCTGGAAATTTTCCTGACTAAAAATACTATTTTCTTCAAACCATAGGCAGTTTATAGGGCAGCAGATTATTGACATGCCTGGAAGCTGTCAGTGTGTGGGGTTATGTTGGTAAATAACTTCAGAGGGCTCACCTGAGTGTTATGACCATTTATAGTCTGGTTTTATGTCTATTAAAAGACACTAACACAGGAGCAATCAGTAATCCTCTTGATATACTTGTATTATTATCAGGAGTCTCCAAAGATACTCAAAGAGCTAGATGAAAACTAAAGTTGCTCAGTCAATTATCAGTCAGTGGGTAATAATTTCACTTCAGGTGTGCTTTCTGTGAGTGGGTCAGGGTTTATTTACAAAGTATAGCATATTTTCCGTCAGCATTCCTATATTAAAAAGCCTTGTATATCCATGTTCCATTTCCAAACCAAGCTATAAACTATGCTCAAGTCAGTTCATACTAAAAAAAAAAAAAAAGTCATTTTAACATAGATGACTTAAAAAAAAAAAACCATTGTTCACTTGTGAGTTTGAATGAAAAGACAGAACAAATTTTATAATGAGAAGCATCAGTATTCTCCTCAGTTTCAATGCCAACAATTCCACTCCTCAGAGGTCAATACTTTCAACCGTTTCTGTCTTCACCTATGGTAGTCACCTCCAAAACAGTAAATAAATGCTTATTTTTCATTTTTCTTTTTGTTTACTTTCACCAACCTCAATTTACTCTCTATTATTTTTTAAAAACTAAGATTTTTAAATTATACCTTTTTTCTTCCTTTCAATTTTTAAGAGAGATAAAAATATTTAGCTTTTCTATTGGTTGCCTTAGTAAAGTTGAATAATATACCTAAAATTCTATATATTTTGCTATCAACTTTCAATAACAGCTCAGAGGATCATTATGTAAAATATTATTCAATTATTATTTTTCTTTCCACCTGTCTTCCCAATTTTGATCTTCCAACTTCTGACCTTTTCTCTATTTTTACATTGTAAACATTAATAGCATATACATTTTATTTTGTAAATATAATTACATAATACATGTTTTGACTATAGATTAATTGCAAAACTTTGAAAAATAATAAACGAGGTTACATTGACATGTCCATATAATGATTGGTTCCTAGCAGAAAGATCAAGTCGATTATTCATGGAAGCTATAGAATAATAACTGGTTTTGTTTCCTCTTAGCTGAATAGCAAAGTTTATTGGTCTGTGTCTAATGGAAGGGGTTTGTTGCCTAAGAGGCTAACTTTAGGATGCAGAAGCAGTAGGCTAGCTGATAGACTGCCCTCTACAATTCCAGGTGTTAAAATGAGAAGCGTTTCAGTCTGCAATGTCAGCATTCATGCTAGTGTTCTCCTTTAATTACTTAGAACAGTGGTTTTCAATGTGCGGTCACCAGACCACTAGCGGCAGCATCACCTGAAACTTCTTAGAGTTGTAAATTCTTGTTGTCCACCCAGAACGACTAAATCAGAAACCCAGCAATCTGTGTTTTAACAAGATTGCAGGCAATTCTGATGCAGGCTAAGCCTTGAAAACCACTACTTGAAAGGAGATCTCTAGGGTTTTGCAAGGGCTCAATATGGCATGTGACATGCAGAAACAGGATAAAAGGAAGAAGGCCTGATTGAAACAGGTGGTCTAGACCTTTAATTACCAATGCTCCCATTTTGAGCCCTACCCTTCACTCTTGCCTTTAAAACCATATTGCTCAAAACTCGAGTCTTTTGTCGGGCTCCTTACAATGATGTTCTGGTAAATGCTTAACAAACAGCTATTGGAGGATTGGGGGTAGGGGCAGTGAGATTTGTCCACCAGCATGGCCAATTTCAAGCTACCACCGTGACATCTCTGTACTTGCAGTTGGGAAAAGATGAGCATAACTGCAGACCCCTCTGGCAGCTGGCTCCACCACACCATGGGCTCCCAAGGAAAACTCATTCTCATGCAACACAATTGGGCCTGTTTTCAGCCCTGTTTCTTCCACTGACATGCCTTCATAAGCTTTCTCTCTTCCAGAAATTCTGTTGCCATCTCTTTCAACTGTTGACCGTTTATCATTCAGTTTTATCACCTTTTATGTTTCTTTACTAGCATTCCACTGCAGTTTTAAATGCATGTGTTCAGTCTACCATCTTAAAACAGAACCCCAAAGACATATTAGTAGCCAAAGTATAAACTAAAAATAACATAAACCAATATACAGCTTATGTTTGATATTAAAATTTTATGGGGGATAATTAGAAAAACATTTCCAATTTTTTTTTTGTCCCTGTAGAGTCAGCAGGAAAAGGGGAATCGCCCCACAGTGGTTAAGAAGTTCATAAGAATATAATTTGTAATTTGGGCCTAAATTGAGAAAAAACATGCCAGTTAAGAAAGCCTAGGTTAGACTACAATGACAAATGACCTCAATATCTCAGTGGTTTACAACCAAAATTTATTTCTGACTCATGCAACACGCTCACATGGATAGGCTGTGGCTCTGTTACATGTCATCTTCACTCTGGGACCCAAACTTTGGCTATGGCAGAGGGAAAATAACTTGGGGTCACACGCTGGCTCTTAAACCTTTTGTTCAGATGTGACACATGTCACCTCTATTCACATTTCATTGGTCAGAGTAAGTCACACAGGCAAATCTAATGCCATAATCCTTACCCAGAAGGGAAAGCAAATAAGTGTGAATATTCCTCAGTCTAAAACACTTGGAGTAATAAGAATAATACCTTCCAGTAGATCTTACTTCATGAAATTTACTGCATTTTCTACATATATTACTTCATTTTGTCCTTACAAAAAGTTTGTGATATAAGAAAGGCAGTAGTGATCATATCCATTTACATTTACATAACTCAAAACAAAAGAGCTCAGTATTCGAAGAATTTACTTTCACTTGGAATTGTCTAAAAATGGTCCAAGTTCCTTGGCTGATACTGAGTTCCCCATCATTGAGAGGAGCCAAACAGAAGCCATACAACAACTTAGTGCCAATGCTGAAGAGGAGATGTAAGGATCCTATAGGTGACTAACAAGATGACCTTTAAGATCTCCTTTATCCAGGAGAGTCTATGGTTCTACAAGTCATCCAAGTTCACAAAGCTATTAAGTGGCTGGCCTGTGGCAAATTAACATGTATACAGAAAGAGGGAAACAAAGCCCAGTGTAATTCATTGACGTTGAATTCAGATTTTTTTGTTCTGATAAATAAACGTTTGAAAAAGTTCTGTCACATATCAGTTCTTAATCAGTATGCATCAAATGTCTGTTGTTGGTTTGGTGACAAAAATGCTATGAATTATTGCTATGTATTATCAAACCTTCCAAACACTCTGGGCCTGCTGCACTGATGTGGTTCTGAATAAAATACAGGGATATGGGCACTAGCCTGTCTATCAGTCCCCCAGACACAAACATTCTCTTGAGTAGAACGATAAATAAACAAATGTTCCACTAGAGAGCACAAAACAAGTAGAATTATATGTCATTTCTTAGGAAAGATTGTCCTTGAACAGATGAGTTGCACAGAGGTCTTGCATTTTAAAGATATTTTTAAGACTTTATAAAGAAATAATCTACTTGCTGATGACTGTCTTTCCTCCCTTTATTCTCCCATGAGGTTTTGGCTTTATTAACACTGATTCTAAAGTGCTGTGATTATAATATGGTTATTTGATATAGTGATCTGAATATAGCACTTGTCAAATGAAAATGTAGCACTGATATAAAAATAGAAAAAAAACTAATTTTACTATTTTAAGCACTTTACTAAAAATAAAAGACCCATCATTTTCACCTGATCATTCATTATCAGAGCTCAATCAACATAAAAAATGCAAAGAATGATATGTATCTGCTTACTGTAAATGCATTCATTCATCATTGTCTGTTTCATGGTTTGGGACCTGTGATTTTTAATATTGAGTGTCAATTTGATTGGATTGAAGGATGCAAAGTATTGTTCCTGGGTGTGTCTGTGAGGGTGTTGCTAAAGGAGATTAACATTTGAGTCAATGGACTGGGAGAGAAAGACCCACCCTCAATCTGCGTGGCCACAGTCTGATCAGCTGCCAGTGCGGCGAGGATAAAAGCAGGGAGAGGAACATGGAAGGACTAGACTGGCTGAGTCTTTTGACCTCCATTTTTCTCCCATGCTGGATGCTTCCTGCCCTCAAACACAGGACTCCAAGTTTTTCAGCTTTTGGACTCTTGGACCTTCAACAACAGACTGAAGGCTGCACTGTTGGCTTCCCTGCTTTAGAAGTTTTGGGACTCACACTGGCTTCCTTGCTCCTCGGCTTGCAGATGGCCTATTAGGGGACTTCATCTTGTAATCCTGTAAGTCAATACACCTTAATAAACTCCTCTTTATATATACATCTATCCTGTTGGTTCTGTCCCTCTAGAGAACCCAACTGATACAGGACCAAATATCAGATAAAAATTTTTGTGAAAAATTTAAACAACATTCTCATCTTCCAAGAACAAATATTCAGCATTCAGAAACACAAGATTCAACATCTCCTCAGGATGTTGGCTCAGTTGATCCAGAGGCCACTGGTGACAACTAGCACCACAGTGTTAGCAAATGAAATTCTTTTCAAGCTGGTCCTTAGCCAATGACCCAGTAAATTATCTTCTTCAAACTCAATTTTAAGTGAGGCCAACCATTTAAAACTGATTTAGGTTTTGGCTCCCAGGAAGTCAGAAGTCATGAATGGTACCAAACTGAACAGGCTGTCCAGAATGCATTGTCTCTGCCAATATTCCCCTCAGTTATTCCTCCAAGTTATTTTCCAAAGACATGAACTTTGACCTGATTCTGGACATAGTTTGGATATGGCCAATACCAACACCTTCCTGGGAAAAACTCATGTCCCACTGTACAAGTATAACCAATTAGGAAACATAAATATGTATCAGTCTGCCTTACTCTGCTCCCAGGAAACAGTTCTGAACCCCAGAGTGGTGTTTTCCTAATGTAGTAGCTGCTGAGGTGTATAGAGCCAGGAGAGGTGACTCGATGCTCAGACACAGAAGTCTGAAAAAATTACTCTGTGGTTGAAATCAATCTAGTTTCTGCAGAATCCACTGGTGATTTTTCTGGTGAGGTTTAAAATTCCATTTTACTGTATTTGACACATCCAAGCTCAAATAAAGAGGACAAGGAGAAGATTCATACCTCATAAGGAATAGGTCATATATTTTTAAAAGCTTAGATGACTCAGAAATGCTTCTTTCAAATCAGTCTTTTAAAAAGAGGGGAAAAAATAAAGCTGATTTTACTGGGAAAAATATTCCATATTTAATGTTTTAAAAAATAATGAACTCTTTTATTATGAAAGTTTATGTTTATAGGTTTCAGACTGTTTTCCAGGTTGACCATTTACACAACCAGTTCTTGTTTCCACAAGATTATATCATGTAAATATTCCTTTCTAAACCAAATAGACCACTTTTATATTCTAGTGTGTTAAGAAATACGAAGCAAGGATTTTTTTACTAATACTACTTGACTTAGGTGATTTTCTTTGATGTCTACTTACATAATTAAATTAGAAATTCTCAGTCTTGATTTTCTGCTCTCCCTACAGATCAGCAGCAACTCATTTTTTAAATATTTAGAGACATGTATTTCTGCAATTACTAGAATAAATCAATGAACACAAGCCTAGAGAAAAGCAAGATTGCATGAATATGTCTTTCTGCATTTAAATCCCAGGTCTGACACTGCCTTTTTGAGTGCCCATTGCGAAAACACTTAATCTCTCTGTGCCTCAGTTTCTTACTGTCAAAATGTTGGTTACAATAATAACTGCCTCCTAAGGGTGTTTTGAGGTTTAAATGAGATAATATGTATAATGTGCTTAGAGCAGAGCTTGATGCCATGTAAGTATTTGTTGTATAATCAAAACAAACACAATAGAAAGCTATGATCAAGATATGTATAAGAATTTTGTATATTCATTCAACTTCTATTCAAAATGTATTAAGTAATTACCAATTTTACCTCTTCTAAGATCTGCAAAATTTGCTTTCTTCACAAATTTTTAACTGTGTAACCTTGGACAGGTTATGTAAAATCTATATACCTCAGATTCTTCATCTGTAAAATGGAAATAATAAACAGTATACACATGATAGAATTATATGTAATAAAATTATACTAGTAAAATGTCTAATAAAGTATTTGTCATATGGTGAAAGCTCAGCATATGTTAATTAATATTAATACTCTAAATCAATACCTGGATATATAATAAATATGGTGTTTTATATTAGCGATGAGCAGATGGATCACCCAATAAGTGGTATGGAGGCAACCATCATTTAAGAATGTAATGTGAGTAGACTTTTACATTACTTCTTACACCAAAATAAGAGTAAATGTCAAAATTAAGTCATTAAACTACCTGTCGGAAATGTCGGTACATTTTTTTAAATCACACCAAAGCACAAAGAACATGGAAACAATCATTTTAGGGATCAGACCCTTTTGTGTAAAATATCATATATTTGCAATCTAGAGAACCATATAGTTTCTGTTGCATATAGTCAATTCTACTATTCTAGCAGCAAAGCAACTAAAGATAGTAAGTAAACTAATAGGTATGACTGTATTCTAGTGAAACTTTACAAAAATGTGCTGAAGGCCATTTTGGCCATAGAGCTATAGTTTTTCATTCCATATCTATTTTATTCCAGTAACCTAATCAAAACCTACACAAGATCCAGTAAAAATCATATTGGCTTACCAAGTTTGTCATATTAGCTTGGGTCTAGACTCTGCAGAATGTCATGAAAAAGAAATCATGTGTTCTCTACCTTCAAGAACTTCATAATATACTCAAATGAGTCCAAAATGATATAAAAAGTTATAAAGAAGTGCATAGATGTGTGTTTGAGATTATATATGGTTTGTAGTCAACTCAGATTATGTCAAAACTTGAAGAGAATTACATGAAGTTCAACTGAAAGATTTCCCAATGGGATAGTCATTCTATCTGTGACTCATTTTCCATGGGCACCTGCCAGTTTTTCTTCAAAAATATGAAAGAACCTGAAGATTTAATGTTCTTTTATAAATTAAATCAATTATATATGTAAATTATGATACATTTTATTCCATATATATTTTAAGAATTTTGTTTTTAAGAGCTCCAAACATGAAACTATGCTCTCTGGATGTTCCTTATGAAATATCTGAGACAGAAGCATCTTAATCCCATTTGTTCATGTTTTTCTTATCCCATAATCAGATAATGTCTTTCATTTCTTTTGCCTTAACTAATTGGATGGTAAATTGATTTTCTGAAATGTAAGCCTGAGTTATCCCTCAATTAACTTGTTAAATTAAATATCAGCTGTGCCATCAAGGAATTCTTTCCTAGTGAACCATTAGGTTTTACAAGCGTTATTCAGTCTGTTCATTCTGGCATGACAAATATAGTACTTTGTGCATCAAACTTTTATAAGCTGTTTATTAACCTGTAGTCTAATTCAGCTTGAGAATATAAGTTTTGTCCAAGGGGAAGAAGGAACCTCTGTGATGTGCATTTGAGGAATGGCAAATCCACACTGTTTTGATACTTCCAGTTGCCATCTCAAGTTCTTTATCACCATCTCATTTAGACCTGCTATGAAGGTGTGGCTTGATGCAATTTCTAATTCCCACAGAAGTCTCTATTTTTTCCCACTGCAGAAGACATATGGTTATTGACTCCAAATGTGATTCACTATAATCTTGCCACACTGGGCTTCTTGGACCCCAAAAGTCATTCCTGGATCTTTGCATTTGCTATTTTTGCTGTCCGGAAAACTTTACCTATGATTTTCTTTTTAGTGAGTCTTGTTAGTGAGTAGTCTGCAGTTCTTAATCTTTAGTTCCTTGAAGTACTTTTTCCATATTACCTAATCTAAAGTTGAAACACGTGCCCTCTATTGATTATTATCAGATCACCCTATTTCTTTTTATTACCATTATGTGGAATTATCCTGTTTGTTGGTATATGTATGTGTCTATTTTATGACTCTCTTAACCAAAATGTAAGATCCATCCATGATAGCAAGTGTTCCTGTTGTAGTATTCTTTGTTGCATCTCCAGCTCTAGCTCCTATATCTGGCACATTGTAGGTCCTCAATAGTCGGATAATACAGAGAAAGAAAAAAGGAAAAAAGAAGGAGAGAGAGAAATGAAGGAAAAAAAGGTGAAAGAAAAAGAACCAATAGACAGATAGTAGGTAGGGTCAGTTCAGCTTCTTCTGGAATTGCCAAAGCCACATGAACTCTAAAGATCCCATTCTTACCTCATTCCCTCTTGTAGGACAAAAACATGCTTTAGGTTTTAGATGCAAGGCTGTTTCTCTTAGGGAAGTCTCCTGTACTGTGCCAATATCTTAGAGCGAATACTTTGCTTTTGAGTTCATGTGCGTGTGAGCTGGGGAGACTCCTATTCTATTTAACAATTTATTGATTGCCTAATAGTTCTAGGATTTTCTCAGCCCTCTTATTTCCTGCTTTTCCTTACTTAGGCCCTCTGACCTTTTCTCAACCCATATGTCACTACAGAAAACAAAATATGATTTAAATAACCTCTTTCCATTTTTTGTTTTGAATTTTGAGCAAGAAGATCGATTACCTCTATGATTTTTTTTTTTTTGTATTTTCAGTTAGCAGATTTTGTCATTATGGCACCAAAGAATTTGTCTGTTAACTTTCTTTTCCATATTTATACTAAACTGTCTGGGCACAGTGGCTCATGCCTATAATCCCAGCACCTTGGGAGGCCAAGGCGGGCAGATCACTTGAGCTCAGAAGTTCCAGACGAGCCTGGCCAAAGTGGCGAAACCCCATCTCCACTAAAAATATAAAAATTAACTAGGCTTGGTGGTGCATGTCTGTAGTCCCAGCAACTCAGGAGGCTGAGGCACAAGAATGGCTTGAACCTTGGAGGCGGAGGTTGCAGTGAGCTGAGATTGGGCCACCGCACAATCTTTGAGATAGAGGCAGACCCTACCTCAAAAAACAAAAACAAACAAAAAAAACTCCAACAAATTATTTGTGCACATGATAAGGGCAAGGATGGTAAGTGCCATCAGAAAGAATAGCAACACTCTGATGTCAATGACTGTGTTGGACTGCTGCCCCCTGGCATTAATATGCCTATTATACCTGTTAGCTGGCTGACGTCACTTTCTACTTTGTAGGCAAATCAACATTCCAGGTCCTAGACCTGACAGTTTGTCCTATCCCCACGCATATATTGATGCAGATATCTCTGAAAACATTTTCCCCAGTCCCAATTAAGTTGAAGGTGGTCTAGCTAAGTCAGCTGGTCATGGGGTTTGGATGTGGAGCTAGAGCTGGTATGGTGACATGTCCAAGTAAAGTTGATTTAAAATCTTAAGAACTAGAGGATATATCAGAACCAAAGTTTTCAGAGAACGCAAAAGGCTCAATATTGGGAACTTCAGTTCAATCACCAAATTTCAGAAGTCTTCTTGATGCCCTGCTGATTCTTTGAATTGCTGATCCTTCTTTGGGAAATCTATAGGGGTTTCCTACTTAAACTGGGTCTACCTGAAATGTGGTGATAATAGTATTACCTTGACTTGGACAATAAGCCATGTGCATATTCCAGTGATCCCAGACTTCTCTAGTCTTCAGAATAGCCTGATTCTTCTAATCAACCTGGTGTGAAATTCACTGGCTGATGCATGTTTATGCTTTGTAACGTTTACTTGGTTCTTAGTCACCTGTGTCAAATGACATGTTCCCATCGGCAACTGGTTTGTTGAAATACACCCTCTCCACAGCGAGACATAATCTTGGAGCATGAATATATGGGAAATGATACTAACAGATACTAACACTTCCCATACTATGCCTATAGGCGATCACTCTTGTATATGAACATGCCTAATAGACACTTATTACGTATGAGTTTTTAGGTAAGTTGCCTGTACACATAATGATATTGTCATTTTTAAATGTGTAGTACCTTGTTTTTCTGTTTCAGTGAATTTAAAATTCTGTAGCAGAGTATTTTGTTGTTAAATATCAATAACTAGCAGATAGAGATATAGCCTTCATAAAGTTATACCTTTAGATTCCTTCCCATTTTCTGCCGCAAGAATTTGTAATGTTGAGTAAATCTTGCTAAACTTCAGTTTTTTATCTCCATAATAGGCATAATGATATCATGCCCTATCTCACAGTTATTATAGAAAGCAAATTAGAATGAAAATCACAAAGGTACTTTGAAAATTTTAAAATTTTCTACCAAGTAAAAATAATATTTTAACTTTTCAAGGCACATCCAAGTATAATTGTTGTCATCATTGCTACCAAGAAAATAATGTTTAATTTTTTAAAGCTCTTTTTTTCACTGTCACTATTCACACAAATCAATTATATTAAGGGGCCAGAGAGAATAAGAATAGCCTGTCTTTCAAGTCCTTTATTAATGAACACTAAATTGACATGCAAATCATGTACAAAATAATTTGATAAAAATAGATTTTGTTAATTGGTTTGGCTTTGACCATAAAATAACCAACACATCTAGTGCATTAATTATCATGAGCTATCCCCAAATGTTGCAAGTGAATCAGTTGTGTGATACACATCAATCATTAATACCAGTCACCACACAGACATGGCCTTGGACTTAATCCTTTAGACACTATGTTAATTTTCAAGATGATATTAATTATGTAACAGTACTTTTGCCTTCAGGCAAGTTGTTTTTATTTATCAGAGAACAGGGGCAATTCTGTGGTTTCTTAGCTGGATGAGTGACTATAGAAAACCCTTTAAAAACGTGAATAAAGTCAACATTTGAAGAATTGTCATATAAATATAAGAAATTATTGCCCCAAGAGATAAGAAATCTTACGCTACTGAAATAGAATCAAGTCACTGGCTGTAAAGCACCAAGCACACTGACACATTTTGTTATTGTAATTTTATGTGGAATTCTCCAAGGACATTTGGTATATCACATTACAAGACTGCAAATAATTTCTTAACCTTTAATCAAAAAAACTGAAAAATGTTCCTCCAACCTACTGCCCTATTTTATTACAAAGAAAAAGCCTTTGCTTAAAGCTTTGCTTTGTTTGCAAATCAAATTATCCATTGTAAAATAACATTGAAATTTATAGCATATTAAAATTATTCTCTCAGGAATTATTTTCATCATATTACTGAGAATACAATACTATGACTCAGTGGAAATAAATAATTCACTAGCAAGTTATAATGTCCTTTTCTAAATTTAATTGTCAAGGCTGAGATAGGATAAACTGCTATGGGGGAAAGCAACCTTAATATAAGAGTCATTTTTATAAAGACACAGAAATATTAAGCATTCAAATATATGCAGAACGTAAATTTATAAAGGCACTGACAAAAGTAGCTAGTAAAAGATAATTTTACACTTGTGTGAAAAAGCTACTGCTTAACATTAGTGTTGTATCACCTGAGTAGGCCAACTTACAGTTTGTCTTTACGAAATGAAGAGTTTACAAGGGCAAGATAGGGAATGGCTGGAGAAAAATGAAGATTTAAAATGCAACTAGCTCTCCAAAGATTAAGGTGAATGTTATTTTTACAATGAAATAAAAACAATAAATATTCTAGGCAGTCAAATACTTTTGCAAATAATTTTCACTTTTTGTATAATGTGGGAAATTATTCTAATGATATTTTAGTTGGTAAATGTTTTAATAAAACATTTTTACCTGAGGTCTAAAGTCCAATATATAAATATTTATCTTTCAAACAGAAAAATTGTTTCTCAACTCTTTGAGTTAAACAATAATCCACTTCTATGTTCTGCATCTAGTAATCATTACATTTCAGTTTAAAAGCTTATCAGTCAGGGTTCAATTACTGAAAACAAAATGCATTCTAACTGATTTAAACAGAAAGGCTACTGAATCACTTACAGAAGACTGATACCAAACCTGGCAGAGACACAACAAAAAAAGAAAATTTCAGGCCAATATTCCTGATGAACATCGATGCAAAAATCCTCAGTAAGATACTGGCAAACCGAATCCAGCAGCACGTCAAAAAGCTTATCCACCACGATCAAGTCAGCTACATCCCTGGGATCCAAGGATGGTTCACATACACAAATCAATAAACGTAATCCATCACAGAGCCAATGATGAAAACCACATGATGATCTCAGTAGATGCAGAACAGGCCTTTGATAAAATTCAACACCCTTTCATGCTAAAAACTCTCAATAAACTAGGTATTGATGGAACATATCTCAAAATAATAAGAGCTATTTATGACAAACCCACAGCCAATACCATACTGAATGTGCAAAAACTAGAAGTATTCCCTTTGAAAACCGGCACAAGACAAAGATGCCCTCTCTCACCCCTCCTATTCAACACAGTATTGGAAGGTCTGGCTAGGGCAATCAGGCAAGAGAAAGAAATAAAGGGCATTCAAATAGGACGAGAGGAAGTCAAATTGTCTCTGTTTGCAGATGACATGATTGTATATTTAGAAAATCCCATCATCTCAGCCCAAAATCTCCTTAAGCTGATAAGCAACTTCAGCAAAGTCTCAGGATAAACAATCAACGTGCCAAAATCACAAGCATTCCTATACACCAATAATAGACAAAACAGAGAGCCAAATCATGAGTGAACTCCCATTCACAATTGCTACAAGAGAATAAAATTACCTAAGAATACAATTTAAAAGGGATGTGAAGGACCTCTTCGAGGAGAACAACAAACCACTGCTCAGGGAAATAAGAGAGGACACAAACAAATGGAAAGACATTCCATGCTCATGGATAGGAAGAATCAATATCAAAATGGCCATACTGCCCAAAGTAGTTTATATTCAGTGCTATCCCCATCAAACTACCATTGACTTTCTTCACAGGATTAGAAAAAAACTACTTTAAATTTCATGTGGAACCAAAAAAGAGCCCACATAGCCATGACAACCCTAAGCCAAAAGAACAAAGCTGGAGGCATCACGCTACCAGACTTGAAACTATACTACAAGGCTACAGTAACCAAGACAGCATGGAAATGGTCCCAAAACAGATATATAGACCTATGGAACAGAATGGAGGCCTCAGAAATAACCCCATACGTCTACAACCATCTGATCTTTGACAAACCTGACACAAACAAGCAATGGAGAAAGGATTCCCTATTTAATAAATGGTGTTGGGAAAACTGGCTAGCCAGATGCAGAAAACTGAAACTGGACCCCTCTTACACATTATACAAAAATTAACTCAAGATGGATTAAAGATTTAAACGTAAGACCTAAAACCATAAAACCCTAGAAGAAAACCTAGGCAATACCATGCAGGACATAGGCATGGGCAAAGACTTCATGACTAAAACACTAAAAGCAATGACAACAAAAGCCAAAATTGACAAATGAGATCTAATTAAAGAGCTTCTGCCCAGCAAAAGAAACTATCATCAGAGTGAACAGGCAGCCTACAGAATAGGAGAAAATTTTGTAATCTATCCATCTAACAAAGGGCTAATATCCAAAATCTACGAAGAATGTAAACAACTTTACGAGACAAAAACAACCCCATCAAAAAGTGGGTGAAGGATATAAACAGACATTTATCGAAAGAAGACATTTATGCAGCCAACAAACATATGAAAAAAAGCTCATCATCACTGGTCATTAGAAAAATGCAAATCAAAACCACAATGAGATACCATCTCATGCCAGTTAGAATGGTAATCATTGAAAAGTCAGGAAACAGCAGATGCTAGAGAGAATATGGAGAAATAGCAATGCTTTTACACTGTTAGTGGGAGTGTAAATTAGTTCAACCATGGTGGAAGACAGTGTGGCAATTTCTCAAGGATCTAGAACCAGAAATACCATTTGACCCAGCAATCCCATTACTGGTTATATACCCAAAGGATTATAAATCATTCTACATAAAGACACATGCACACATATGTTTATTGCAGCACTCTTCACAATCACAAAGACTTGGAACCAACCCAAATGCCCATCAATGATAGGCTGGATAAAGAAAATGTGGCACATATACACCATAGAATACTATGCAGCCATAAAAAAGGATAAGTTCACGTCCTTTGCAGGGACATGGATGAAGCTGGAAACCATCATTCTCAGCAAACTAACACAAGAACAGAAAACAAAACACTGCATGTTCTCACTCATAAGTGGGAGTTGAACAATGAGAATACATGGACACAGAGAGGGGAACATCACACCCTGGGGGCCTGTCAGGGGGTGGGGTTCTAGGGGAGGGATAGCATTAGGAGAAATACCTAATGTAGATGACAGGTTGATGGGTGCAGGAAACCACCATGGCACATGTATACCTATGTAACAAACCTGTACATTCTGTACCTGTATCCCAGAACTTAAAGTATAATAAAAAAAAAATAAGAAAAAATACTAGAGAATAAAAGAAAAAAGAAAATTGAAATGTTTTTGCTGTTGTTTTGTAGTTCTCTATGACTCTTGAGTTTATTTTTGTCTCAGTGTCTCTCACCATGAAATCATAGCTATCTTGCTCTGAATTGATTTGTAGTTTTATAATATAAACATTGTGTACCGTAAATTTATCAGGTTTCCTGATAAACATAATTTTTAGACTACAGTAACACAGAACAAAGCTATATCTTTCCTAAAATTTTTATAGTGTTGTTTTGTAGACTCTTTTTGTCAAAAGATAAGAATATTGGATGATAGCCCTAAAGAAAAATACTGCCTTTATTTTGTGTTACAACTTGACTGCAAAAGGATTCAGTATCATGGTAGACAGACATGCGATATGGATATTAGAGTTCTGCAATTGGATGAAGAGGAACGCCATCTCATTTCTACCAGAGCCCATGATATTCTCACTAGAATAGTTTGAGTATTACTCTCATCCAGGTGACATATGTGAACACTATATACAATGTCATGAGTTCTTTCATCTCTTTTGAGAAGGACATAATAAAGACAAGAAGATATACTGGACAAATACATGAATGCAGGTTTTTCAGATAATATGCAGAAGTCCCTGGAGAGAGGGAGAGAGAGAGAGTGTGTGTGAGTTAAGGTCATCCACCAAATACTGCTCCATATTGGTCTTTCCATCAGCAGTGGATGTCTGTCTTCTCTTTCTTTGCATAACACTCTATCTTTATCTCTATGAAAGGACTTTTGCATTACAACCTTATTGACTATTTTAAGCCCTAAATATCCTTGTATAGTCAAAAGTCCCCCACCAACAGTGAAACAGAATTTAAATATACTATCTTTGTCAGCTGGCCTAAGGAGCAGAAGAATTTTAAATATGATAGGGCCCCCCGCTTGCTCTGCTTTCTTGTCTTCCAGTTCAAATTTTCCTTAACCCTCTCATTTCCCTTTCTTTGATGTAGAGCCATTTTGCATCTTTGGTCTTATGGCTTGTTACAGACTTTTTGTAACTGGAATACAGAGATAAAAGATATTCTACAAAGTCAGGAACACCAGAGCTATATTTATAGAACATTTGCAAAACTTATTTGGGGTATGGGGTAGAGATGCGTATCAAAACTTAAAGAGTCAGGGCCGGGCGTGGTGGCTCACACCTGTAATCCCAGCACTTTGGGAGGCCGAGGTGGGTGGATCATGAGGTCAGGAGATCGAGACCATCCTGGCTAACCCAGTGAAACCCTGTCTCTACTAAAAATACAAAAAATTAGCTGGGCGTGGTGGCGGGCACCTGTAGTCCCAGCTACTCAGGAGGCTGAGGCAGGAGAATGGCATGAACCCAGGAGGTGGAGCTTGAAGTGAGCCAAGATCGTGCCACTGCACTCCAGCCTGGACACCACAGTGAGACTCCATCTCAAAAAAAAAAAAAAAAATTAAAGAGTCAGATATAAGAGCCTAATAGTGAAAGAAAGAACACACATTTCAAAACTATAAGAGAATACAAAATATTTACAAAGAGCTCTCAAGGAAAGAAGAAATTGGTATAATATTAAAGTCATTATGAAGAAACAGAAGGGTAGAGACTTTTCAGGCTATGCTTATTCGATATATTACTAAAAGTATGTATGATAATCAGCTTTATTAGACAGAGAGAGAACAACAGTTGAGAGGTATGTGGTTGAAATTTTAATAACATAATAAAGCCACACACATAATGTGATAGTATCATTGCTTCTTTTGTTCTAAGCATGTACATTCTCTTCAAAGAGAGTGTAAATTCATTACAGGTAAATTCCCATTTGTGCTATTTGAATTTGTATGACTTTTCAGAGACATTATATAGAGTTGCTACTTGCCATTAAGGGAGTGAAAGAAACCTCTAAACAAGATATGTAAAGATAATCCCCATGTTAAACTGAAAATGACAATCTAATATGAAATTTTACCAAGTAGATTTAAAGGAAGTCTTTATCTGCAAAAGGAGATATGAACTAGCACAAGTTGGTCTTGTTGAATCCTTTTATGGAATGTCTCCAGATATTTCTATCTTTCCTTGAAGACTTTTTGTATTTCTATAAATGTGTGGTATATTTTGAAGTCAATGTCAATGACACACTCACATGAATCAACATAAAGGTAATTATTCTGAGTTAAAAGGTAGAAAAATACCAAAGTTCATGAGATTAAAGAGTATTAACAATTTTATTTCTAAAAGCATCACAATTTGGAATGGAGCACTATAAAAATATGATTTTGTAAAGTATTTCATTTTGAACATATAAATATGCCACGTAGAGTGATTTTCGCTCTTTATAGGTTTAAATTTAGTCAAGAAGAGCCAGACAAAAAGACCAGGATTTGGAATCCTCTGAGAACACAACACTAAATCAATTTAACATACCTGTTAAGTGTTTTAGACACAAAGTCAACTACCAAGACCACAGTCGAGGAAAAAAAGAACAGTTGCTGCAAGAAACGATATTTACCATAGTCTGGGAGAAAATTCCAGGGACTAGAACTCAGATTACGGTTGACCCTTGAGGAATGTGCAGATCATGGGTGCTGATCCCCATAGTCAAAACTCCATATATATCTTTTTATCCCCTAACTACTAATAGCTTACTGTTGACTGGAAGCCTTACTGATAACAAAAAGAGTTGACTAACACATACTTTGTATGTTATATGTATTATATATGGTATTGTTAATAAATAAGCTAGACCAGGGGACCCCTCCCCCCCGGGCTGTGAGCCGGTACCAGCCTGTTCCCTGTTAAGAACCGAGCTGTACAGTGGAGGTGAGTGGCAGACTAGCGAGCAGTACCACTTGAGCTCCACCTTCTGTCAGATCAGCAGTAGCATTAGATTCTCAATGGTGTGAACCCTATTGTGAACTGCGCATGCAAGGGATCTAGGTTGCAAGCTCCTTTTGAGAATCTAATGCCTGATGATCTGAGGTGGAACAGTTTCATCCCAAAACCATCCCCACCACCATCTGTGGAAAAAAATTGTCTTCCACAAAACTGGTCCCTGGTGCCAAAAGTTTGGGGACCACTGAGCTAGAGAAATGAAAATGTTATTAAGAAAATCATACGGAAGAGAAAATATATTTAGTATTCATTAAGTGGAAGTGGCTCATGATAAAGATCTTCATCCTCATCATCTTCATGTTGAGTTGTCTGGGGAGGAAGAGGAGGGGTTGGTCTTGCTGTCTCAGCAGTCATAGAGATGCAAGAAAGTCCACGTATAAGTGGACCTGCTCGGTTAAACCCACGTTGTTCAAGGGTCAGCTGAATTTGATTTCTAGCTTCCTCTGTTAACTGTTCATGGGGACTTGGAATATCACTTGAATTTCTGATACTGTCAGCCGTAGGCATCCTGCCTGCCTACATCACATGGATGAAATAGAAATTAAATTAGAACGTTGACATAAACATGCTTTGAAAATGTCAAAGTATTTGGCAATTGTAAATTTGTAGCAATAAAGAGAGTGAGCCTGCCTGGTCTGTTTCCTGCCAATCCTCATAGATACCATCTCCCACTGCACTGCCCTTTGGCCTCTGGGCTCCAGCCAGGGGCCCACCTTCTTTCAGTTTCTCCCTTCAGTCATACATATGTCACCCTCTGCGGGCTCTTAGCTCATGATATTCTTTCACTTGGAACGTGTTTCACATACATGCACCACCCTCTTTTCAGCACCCTCTATTTAGTCCATTTCTATTCATTCTCAGGTTTTGCTTCAAACACTACTAAGGGAATCTTCTTAGACCTATCTTTTGAAAATAAGTCAGGTCTCTCTCTCATAGATTAAGATCTCATTAACTTTGCTTCAACACACTTGTTCCAATTTTAATCTTCCATTCATTTATGATTATCTGCTTGATTTTGCCTTTCCCACTAGTTTGGATGAAGTAGAGCAGGATGTGCTCATTACTTTATCCCCAAATCTTAGTATAGCAACTGATACAATTAATAGCTCAGTTAATCAGGGGAGTAAAGTACAGATATCTACATGTTTCACTTCCTTATCACATTCAGATTATTTGCTGAAATGTCACCTTCTTAGTAATGCAATTTGCTATGTGATGTGCAATTTATAATCTGTCTGACATGAATCTACTTATTCTGGAGCTTTCTGCCAGTTATTTCTTCTCTCTAGCAGTGATTCCATGTTGCCTTCCCCTAAGAAATACCACCTAAGTCATTTTAATTACAATGGATTTATTTTTCACTATGTGGAAAATCTTATGCTAATTACATTGACTTTGAGGATGAGTGAGTACAAAAATATTTAATTCAAATTCACTTATCTCAAGGAGTTTACAAAAAGAGTTATAATATATTTCACTACGATATATGCTGAGAAATATACTAAATCTTTGCTACAGAGGTTTTGTAGATACAGAGCTGATGTGGTAAACAAGAAATGTCCCCAGTATAGGCTTAATTTAACTGAACCAAGGCAAATGGGTGGACAACCAAATTGCCAATCAATAAATCTTTAAATCCACCTATGATCTGGAAGTCTCACCCCACCTTAAGATTTCCCATCTTTCTTGGCAGAACCAATGTATACCTTACATATATCGATTTATGTCTTTGCCAGTAACTTCTGTCTCCCTAAAATGTAAAACCAAGCTGTAAACCAACCATGTTAGGCACATGTTCTGAGAACCTCCTGAGGCTATGTCACAGGTCATAATCAAAACAAACTTTTAAATTGATTGCCTTTTGTCTCAGATACTTTTTGGTTTACATTGACAATATTAAGGATTCTTCTGGAAGCCAAAATTCACTTCTAACAATTTCTGAACGCATATCAAATACGTAAATAGAGACAAAGAAAACCACATATATAATTCATTAGGATTGATTAATGAAGTTATTTTCAACTAATACAACAGAATTCATATATTTAAAAAGAAAAACTTTTTCTTAAACTTCCATGCATCTACTGTCAATGAAAACAATCAAACTAAAATATTTGGAAAGATTTATTCTGAGCCAAGTGTGGGTGGGCATGACCCATGATACAGCCCCAGGAGATCCTGAGAACATGTGTCCAAGGTGGTTGGGATACAGTTTGCTTTTATACCTTTTAGGGAGACATAAGACAAAATCAATACATGATGTAAGATGAACATTAGTTCTGTCCAGAAAGGTGGAACAACTCAAAGCTGGGGGATGGGGTGGTGTCCATGTTATAATTGGATTCAAAAATTTTCTAATTGATAGTTGATTGAAAGAGTTTACCTAAGACCTGAAATCAATGGAAGGGAGGGTGACTGGGTTAAGATAAGGGGTTGTGGAAACTAAGGTTCTTATTATGCAGATGAGAGGAAGCCTCCAGGTAGCAGGCTTCATAAAGAATAGATGTAAATGTTTCTTATCAGATTTAAAGAGGCTGTTGTGTCAGTCTAAAGGTGTCTGTTTTAAGGTTAATGCTGGTCAGCTGTGCCTGGATTCCAAAGGGAGGAAGGCATAATGAGGCATGTCTAACCACCCATTCCCATCATGGCCTGAACTAGTGTTTCAGGTTTACTTTAGAATGCTCTTGGCAGAAAGGAGGTGTCCATTTTGTTAGTTGGGGGGCTTAGGATTTTATTTTTTGTTTACACTACAAAAACTAGAAAGAGACTTATCAAATATTATCTAGGAAAACATTTACAAAGTTTTTCATTAGGATTTGTTATATTAAATATTGCTCTTGTAGTACTTGAAAATTATTCTTTCTAGTAATTTTAAACATTTTCTTCATAATCTTTATGTTATTGTTAGCCAATATTTATTTATTTATTTATTTATTATTTATTTTTTGAGACAGAGTCTTGGTCTGTCACCAGGCTGGAGTGCAGTGGTGTGATGTTGGCTCACTGCAACCTCCGCCTCCCAGGTTCAAGCAATTCTTCTGCCTCAGCCTCCTGAGAAGCTGGGATTACAGGTGCACACCACCACACCCAGCTGATTTTTTGTATTTTTAGTAGAGACAGGGTTTCACCATGTTGTCCAGGATGGTCTCAATCTCTTGACCTTATGATCCTCCTACCTCAGCCTCCCAAAATGCTGGGATTACAGGTATGAGCCTCTGTGCCCAGCAAGCCAATAGTATCAAAATAACTGTCAGTGCAACTACTGATTTTCAAGCCTTTGAAAAAACTGTTAACAGTGAAAAAATTATGACAGTGAAAGAGATCTGATCTAACCAATCCCATCTTGCCTTTAATCTCCAAACCAACCTTAATCATTCTTGGGCTTAGGCCATGCTAACTTTGGGAGACATTTAACTTTTACAGTTTAAATGATAACAGCCCTTCCCCAAAACTAAACCATCTTAATAAAGCCAATGAAAGACCACCAGGTTAGGAGGATGAGAGGAACCTGAATTTTGCTAAGGCTAAATTAAATTCTGCTAAGGCTAAATCATAGCTGTAAATGATTACCAGCCATTATTCCAGAGGTCACAAAATATGCAACTTCCCTAATGACTAACTTCATTCTTGAAGAATCTAAGATTGGCCTTTTGAGAGATCTTTTCAGGTTTTTGCATTTCTGATGACAGGTGGCTTCACCCTGACCTCCAACCAACAAAGGGTCCTATGAACCCACCCAGAAACAAACTCCCTGGCCTGCCAAAGTGTTCTTGAAAAACCCAAGCCTCCAAATTTTCAGGGAGATTTATTTGAGTAATAACTCTATCTCCCATGTGGTGTGGCCGGACTTGTGTCTATTAAACTCTTTCTTTGTTGCAACACAATGGTCTCTGTGAATTGGTTTTGTCTGTGCAGTGGGCACAAAGAACACATTGGGCACTTACACTTTTAAAATTAGAAATTCTGAATTTAAACATGAAGTCCTTGCCCACACCTATGTCCTGAATGGTGTTGCCTAGGTTTTCTTCTAGGGTTTTTATGGTTTTAGGTCTAACATGTAAGTCTTTAATCCATCTTGAATTAATTTTTGTATAAGGTGTAAGGAAGGGATCCAGTTTCAGCTTTCTACATATGGCTAGCCAGTTTTCCCAGCACCATTTATTAAATAGGGAATCCTTTCCCCATTGCTTGTTTTTCTCAGATTTGTCAAAGATCAGATGGTTGTAGATACGTGGCATTGTTTCTGAGGGCTCTGTTCTGTTCCATTGATCTATATCTCTGTTTTGGTACCAGTACCATGCTGTTTTGGTTACTGTAGCCTTGTAGTATAGTTTGAAGTCAGGCAGCGTGATGCCTCCAGCTTTGTTCTTTTGGCTTAGGATTGACTTGGCAATGCGGGCTCTTTTTTGGTTCCATATGAACTTTAAAGTAGTTTTTTCCAATTCTGTGAAGAAAGTCATTGGTAGCTTGATGGGGATGGCATTGAATCTATAAATTACCTTGGGCAGTATGGCCATTTTCACAATATTGATTCTTCCTACCCATGAGCATGAAATGTTCTTCCATTTGTTTGTATCCTCTTTTATTTCGTTGAGCAGTGGTTTGTAGTTCTCCTTGAAGAGGTCTTTCACATCCCTTCTAAGTTGGATTCCTAGGTATTTTATTCTCTTTGAAGCAATTGTGAATGGGAGTTCACTCATGATTTGGCTCTCTGTTTGTCTGTTATTGGTGTATAAGAATGCTCGTGATTTTTGTACATTGATTTTGTATCCTGAGACTTTGCTGAAGTTGCTTATCAGCTTAAGGAGATTTTGGGCTGAGACAATGGGGTTTTCTAGATATACAATCATGTCATCTGCAAACAGAGACAATTTGACTTCCTCTTTTCCTAATTGAATACCCTTTATTTCCTTCTCCTGCCTAATTGCCCTGGCCAGAACTTCCAACACTATGTTGAATAGGAATGGTGAGAGAGGGCATCCCTGTCTTGTGCCAGTTTTCAAAGGGAACGCTTCCAGTTTTTGCCCATTCAGTATGATATTGGCTGTGGGTTTGTCATAGATAACTCTTATTATTTTGAGATACATCCCATCAATACCTAAGTTATTGAGAGTTTTTAGCATGAAGGGTTGTTGAATTTTGTCAAAGGCCTTTTCTGCATCTATTGAGATAATCATGTGGTTTTTGTTTTTGGTTCTGTTTATATGCTGGATTACATTTATTGATTTCTGTATGTCGATGTCTAAAACGCCAAAAGCAATGGCAACCCAAGCCAAAATTGACAAATGGGATCTAATTAAACTAAAGAGCTTCTGCACAGCAAAAGAAACTACCATCAGAGTGAACAGGCAACCTACAAAATGGGAGAAAATTTTTGCAACCTACTCATCTGACAAAGGGCTAATATCCAGAATCTACAGTGGCCTCAAACAAATTTACAAGAAAAAAACAAACAACCCTATCAAAAAGTTGGTGAAGGATATGAACAGACACTTCTCAAAAGAAAACATTTATGCAGCCAAAAAACACATGAAAAAATGCTCATCATCACTGGCCATCAGAGAAATGCAAATCAAAACCACAATGAGATACCATCTCACACCAGTTAGAATGGCAATCATTAAAAAGTCAGGAAACAACAGGTGCTGGAGAGGATGTGGAGAAATAGGAACACTTTTACACTGTTGCTGGGACTGTAAACTAGTTCAACCATTGTGGAAGTCAGTGTGGCGATTCCTCAGGGATCTAGAACTAGAAATACCATCTGACCCAGCCATCCCATTACTGGGTATATACCCAAAGGATTATAAATCATGCTGCTATAAAGACACATGCACTCGTATGTTTATTGCAGCACTATTCACAATAACAAAGACTTGGAACCAACCCAAATGTCCAACAATGATAGACTGGATTAAGAAAATGTGGCACATATACACCATGGAATACTATGCAGCCATAAAAAATGAAGAGTTCATGTCCTTTGTAGGGACATGGATGAAACTGGAAACCATCATTCTCAGCAAACTATCGCAAGGGCAAAAAACCAAACACTGCATGTTTTCACTCACAGGTGGGAATTGAACAATGAGAACACATGGACACAGGAAGGGGAACATCACACTCCGGGGACTGTTGTGGGGTGGGGGGAGCGGGGAGGGATAGTATTAGGAGATATACCTAATGCTAAATGAGTAGTTAATGGGTGTAGCACACCAACATGGCACATGTACACATATGTAACCTGCACATTGTGCACATGTACCCTAAAACTTAAAGTATAATAATAATAAAATAAAATTTAAAAAAAAGAAATTCTGAATTTAAAAGATTTAACTAGTGATATTGTAATTAGTTAAATTTATTTCAGTGTCTTTTATATAAAAACAAATCAATTTTATAAGAATTATACTTTACTAGAATGAAATCATACTGTCATCAGAGCTGATCTTTTTCATTTGAAAGTTTCTCAGTTTACATAGAAAGATTGCAAGTGCACAGCCATGGCCACATAGAGCTTGGGATGTAGCAGAACAAGCCACAGACAAAACCCCTCAGACACCAAGTTAAAGAAGGAAGGGCTTTATTTGGCTGGGAGCTTTGGCAAGACTCACGTCTCCAACAACCGAGCTCCCTGAGTGAGCAATTCCTGTCCCTTTTAAGGGCTTGCAACTCTAAGGGGGTCCACATGAGAGAGTCGTGATCGATTAAGCAAGCAGGTGGTACATGACTGGGGGCTGCACGCACCAGTAATCAAAATGGAACAGAACAGGACAGGGATTTTCACAACACTTTTCCATACAATGTCTGGAATCTATAGATAACATAACCGGTTAGGTCAGGGGTCGATCTTTAACCAGGCTCAGGATGTGGCACCGGACTGTTTGCCTGTGAATTTCATTTCTATCTTTTAGTTTTTACTTCTTTCTTTGGAGGCAGAAATTGGGCATAAGATAATATGAGGGGTGATCTCCTCCCTTAGGGAGATCTTTGTCAATTGGAACATGCCTGAAATAAAAGCTGATTTAACAGAGATAAACTAAGCTGATTTTAGAAAAGCCTTTCCAGTCAGTCAACAGTGCCGGAAACCTGTGAATGTGATACAGGAGGTAGAAATAAATTATTTAGGCAGATAGTGAGGGAAAAAGAGTCCTCAGCAATGCTGCCCTTTTAACAAAAAGCAGCCCCCAAAATCATTTCCTTTCTAACAAAGAGCAGCCTGAAAACTTGAGCTGCAAACATAAATAAGGAAGCTAGAAGCTTGCACAGGGGAACGCCGGCAGCTGTGCCAATAGAAAAGGGCTACCTGGCTTCCAGGCATATCCAACATGGAGGTTCCATCTTCTCTTTTTTTGTTACCACTTGTATAGTAAAGGAATGGGCAACATGGCGCAGGCCAAGCAGAGAACCTGCCTGCATAATAAAAGATTAGGGTAGGGGCAGCCAGAAATTCACACCCTATGCAAATGGCACACCTAGTCCTAACCAGTTTTTCACACCCTATGCAAATAGCACACCTGGTCTGACCAGTTTTTCATGCCCTATGCAAATGGCACACCTGGCCCAACCAATCTTTCATGCTCTGTGGAAATCAGACACTACCTCCTCACCAGGCATCTATAAACCCCCTGCATTTTACCACGAATCTGGCAACCCATTTCTCCAGGACCTGTCTCTGCAACAGAGAGCTCTTTCTTTCACCTACTAATCTTCTGCTCTTAACCTCACTCTTTGTGTGTCCACACCCTGTTCTCCATGGCCATGAGACCACAAAACTTGGGTGATACTCCAGACAACAAGGCTGTTTCAAATGCAAGCATCCTCAAGATAACTTTGACACTACACATCTTAAGAGGTGACATTTATCAAATTCCAAGGAAGCAGTTATTTCATCTGATTTAATAACCATGTCCTTATTACCCTATTGATGTCTCCAGACAGCCTGGACCCCAAGATATTGTTACCAGAAAAAGGTCCTAATTCAGACCGCAAGAGAGGGTTCTTGGATCTTATGCAAGAAAGAATTTGGGGCAAGATAACAGAGTAAAATGAAAGCAAGTTTATTAAGAAAGTAAAGAAATGAAAGAATGGCTACTCCATAGGCAAAGCAGCAGTTTGGGCTGCTGGACTAAGGATACTTATAGTTATTTCTTGATTATATGCTAAACTGGGTGGATTATTCATGAGTTTTCTGGAAAAGTCATGGGTAATTCCTGAAACTGAGGGCCCCTCACCTTTTTAGAACATATAGGGTAATTTCCTGATGTTGCTGTGGCATTTGTAAACTGTCTTGGTGCTGGTGGGAGTGTCTTTTAGCATGCTAATGCATTATAATTAGTATGTAATGAGCAGTGAAGATGACCAGAGGTCACTCTCTTTGCCATCTTGGTTTTCATAGGTTTTGGCTGGCTCCTTTAACACAACATGTTTTATCAGCAAGGTCTTTGTGACCTATACCTTGTACTGACCTCCTATCTCATCTTGTGATTTAGAATGCCTAACCTACTGGGAATGCAGCTCAGTAGGTCTCAGCCTAATTTTACCTACCCTATTAAAGACAGAGTCACTCTGGTTCGAATGCTTCTGACAGTATGGCTCCCTAAAGAGATGTACAAAGTACCTGAATAACGCCTTATTAGCCAGAGCTGAGAATAACTATCCATGGATGGAGTTAGTTTTAGCTGGAAATGAGGATTTATTTCTTTTTCTCTGGTCCAGGTATAAGTAATACTACATTTCTTCTGAACTCTCCTGGTTTGCCAGAAACAAAGTTTGCAGATTTATTGTTCAATCCTTTTGCTTTGGTTTTATTATTATATAACTTATTTTCTGTGTAAATGAATGGCCAAACTATTTTCTTTACTGAGAAGCTATGGAATTAAAGTATTAATGCTCTGATAAAAAGACTTTAATTTCTGACTTATATTTATAAGACCAATAAATCTTTCCACGAGGCTGCATTGCTGGTGGAAATATAAATTGTTATAACCTTTTTGAAATGCAGTAAAGAATTAATCAATTCAAACTTCTGTGATGTTATATCATTTCTGGGACATTATCCCATAGATAAAGGCACTACTACAAAAAATACACAGAAAGGAAAGTTTATAGCATCTATGTTTGTAGTGCAAAAGCAAAACAAAACACTAACACAAAAAAAGGTCAATCAGTAACTGAATGGTTTGAATAAATGTGCACCCATCCCACAATATACCATGTACTTATTTTAAAAAGTAAGTTTTCTTCCAATTCCAGCAAAATAATAAAGTAGATCAGCAAAAAAAGAAAAGAAATCCAGGTGCCAGAAGCAAAGATAAAGCTGAAGTGCAGAGCACTGGTCATGTTTGTTATGGTACAGCAGCAGCCCTGGTGAGTTATTGGAGCTGACAATGGCTAAGGTTTAAGATTTAACACCCTCACAAAGCAGGAGAGCAGGCCTCAGGCTTGTATCAAGTAGGTGAATGGAAATAAGCACCTTGTAGAAAGCTGGGTACTGGATGGGCTACAAGCAAAGTGCAAGAAACATTAAATGACTCAACTCACTGATCCAGGGTAATAACAAGGAAGGTTTGACAGATGCCCTCAATGCCCTCTAATAAAATGGAATTGCCTGCAGGTTTGGTATGGATTTTTGGCTTGGTGGGTGAATAGGGCAAGCTTGAAGTGTTAGAGAGAATGCCACTCAGAAGTGCCCCAAACCAATGATGACCAGGGAGTCAGCCTACAAACATCTTACCATTTCTTTCTTTGGCTGGGATAACTCTGGGATACGGTCTGCATTTCATCTAGCAAGATTGTGTTCCACTTACCCACTTGGTAACCTGATTGTTAATCACTCTTTGTTGGTCTACTTCGCTTTTCTGTCTCAACTTCATCATTCTCTTAGCGGTGTTAACTTTTCAAATAAACTATTTGCATTCGAATCCTTACTTTGAGATTTTCTTCTAGGGTATCCTAAACTAAGACATTTTGGGCTGTCCCAGATATAGAAGGAAAATACAGTTCTCCTGTGGGAAATTATAGGTACAACTTCCACTGGCTTGGATGCAAATTTACCTATGCACGGGTGGTACAAAGAAACACCAAGCCCACAAATTATTTTTGAAAATCAGGAAAAAGCAAGTGATGCTCTTAAGGTAGCAGATAAAAGCAAGTCAAAACCATTCCAGTAGAATGTTTCCCAAAAATCTGCCATATTTCCCTTCTCCAAGAAAGAACATTTTCGTGCTTAAAATGAGTTCTTAATATAACATTATTAAAATCTACAAAGAAACAATCTACCATTAGTTAGAGTCAGAATGCAAAATAAACATGGATTAGTGTCCCCCAAAACCTGAGAGAATAAAGTGACAATTTAAATGACTCCATAAAGTATCTTTTAAATTATTAAAGAGGAATTTTTTAAATTACAGAAATACTAAGGAAAATATGTAAGATGATGATGATGATGATAGCTAACTTTTACCTGTGTTTATACAGCAAAATCATGTGCAGTCCTAGGGGAGTAAATAACTTGGTTTTTGTTTACATTTATTGTTAGGTGCTAAAACAGTGAAATTGGTTTTCTCATGATAATAAATGTATATACATCACCAGGCTTTTCAACATAGTACTGGAAGTTCTAGCCACTGCAATAAAGCAGGAAAAACAAATAAATACATACTGGAAGGAAAAAAAATAAAACTACCCTGTTTGCAGACAACAAAAAAAAAAATCCCAAGGAAACTTAAAAAAAAAAAAAACTCTTAGATTAGTAAGCAAGTTCAGCAAGATTGCAGGACACAAAATAAGTGTGCAAATATATAAATTGCTTTTGTATATGCTAATAATAAACATGTGAAAACAAATCAAAAACAATGCTACTATCTAAATTGATCTAATGAAAATGAAATACTTATGTATAAACCTAACAAGATGTGTACAAAATTGTGCAATAAAATTACAAAATAATGATTAAAAAATCAAAATAAATCTAAAAAAATAGGTGTATTACGTCCATAAATTAAAGGGCCCAACATAATAAATATGCCAATTTTCCCCGAATTGATCAGTAGGTTAAATGCAATTTCATTAAAATATCAACAAGATTTTTTGTAGACCTAGATGAACTTATTCTAAAACTTATTTGAAAAGGAACAAGCCCTAGAATAGCTAAAACAATCTTGGAAGAGTGGGGAGAAGCAAATTTGAGGGACTCATTCTAACCAATGTTAAAGCTTGCTATAGAGCTACTGTAATCAAGACTGTGTGGTAGTGACAAAAGGACAGATACATGGAGCAAAAGAACAGAATAGGAAACCCAGAAATAGACCTATACAAATATGCTCAATTGATTTTTGACAAAGGAACAAAAGTAATTCAATGGAGAAAGGGTGACATTTTGAGAAAATGGTGCTGGAGAAATTAGATATCCATAGACAAAAATAAATAAACTTTATCCTGAGTCTCATACATTATACAAAAGTCAACTCAAAATGGATCATGGACTTGAATGTAAATCAGAAAACTATAAGACATCTAAGGGAAAAAAAACTGTAAGAGAAAAGCTTTGAGACCTAGGGATAGGTAAAGAATTTATCATAACACCAAAGACATGATCCATAAAAGGAAAAACTTGATAAATTTTACTTCATCAAAATTAAAAACTTTTGCTCAGTGAAGAGAATGAAAAGGCAATCCACAGACTGAGAGAGAATATTTGTAAACCACTTACCTAACAAAAAACTACTACCTAGAATATATAAAGAACTCTCAAAACTCAACATTAGAAAAACAAAAACTTCAATTGGAAGGTAGACAAAATATAGGAGCAGACATCTCAGCAAACAGGATGTACAGACAGCAAACAGGCATGTGCAAAGGCATTTAACATCCTTAGCCATCAGAGAAATACAAACTAAAACCTCAATGAGTGATTACTACATGCCTGTCAGTATAGCTAAAATTGAGGTAGTAACATCATCAAGTGTTGGTGTTAAGTGTAGAGAAACTACATCACACACGCATTGTTGGCAGGAAGGTAAGATGGTACAGCTTCTGGAAAAAAGTTTGGCAACATTTCTTTTAAAGCTAAAATGCAATTATCGTACAACCCAGCAATTGCACTCTTGGGCATTTATCCTGGAGAAACTAAATCGTATATTCACACACAAAGCTGTACAAGATTGTTCATAACAGCTTTATTCATAATATCTTAGAACTGGAAATAACAAATGTTCTTCCACGGGTAAATGCTTAAACTGTGTCACATCCATATTGTGGAATACCACTCAGAAATAAAAGGAACAAACTATTGACAGATGCAGTATCCTAGATGAATCTCAAGTGAATTGTTCTGAGTAAAAAATTCCATTTCCAAAAGGTAATATACTGTACAGTTCCATTTATATAACATTCTCAAAATATTTTGGAAACAGAGAACAGATTAATGGTTGGCAGAAATTGGGACATCAGGGGAAGGAATTGTGGGGAGGTGGGGATAGAAGAGCAGGAGGGATCCTGTGGTGTTGGAACTGTTCTGTGTGTGAACCGTGGTGGTGGATGCACAAGGCTACACGTGATAACAAAGCTAAATACACACACACTTAACATACAAATGAGTACAAGTAAAAACAAAGAAATCAGACTAAGATCAATGGATTGTATCAATGTCAATATCGTGGTAGAGATATTGTAGATATACTTTGCAAAACATAGTCACTGGTGAAACAGGGTAAATGGTACAACAGATCTCTTTGTATTATTTTTTATAACTTCACGAGGATCTACAATGTCTCAAAATAAGAGTATAATTTAAAAACAAAGTAATGAATACTCAAAAAAGTATACAGAAATGTGTGAACTGAAGCAGAATTCATTAAAAATATATTTTGCAAAACAGACCCAGTTTTCTGCAATTACTGTACTCTAGTTTGCAATAGTCTGAACCAGAGAACTTCTTGGGAAAGGCTTACAATGTACTTAATAAAATAAATAATAGTAAATAGTACCACACCATAGCACAGTGATTAAGACCATGAAATTTCTTGGCTGTATTATCTTAGGAGCAATACTTAACCTCTCCAATTTTCACTTTTCCTATCAGAAAATGACAATCATAGTATCTAATTCACTGGGTGTTATGAGCACCAAAGGAAAGAATACATGTAAAGCACTTGGTATAGAGTTGGCAAATAATAAGAATTAATTAAACTTAAATATGGCTTATTTATATTTGCTGTGGTGTTTGTTCTAGTACTAGTATGGGTTATATTTGGATTTAGAATATCAGTTTACTTCTAAATATCAGTTCACTGGGACAAAAGGTCTCTCTCTCTCCTCTCTCTTTCTCTCTCTCTCTCTCTCACACACACACACACACACACACACACACACACACACACACACACACTATTCAATTTACCAGAGACAGGTTAGGTACCTGTGACATAGAAATTCACTTAATTTTTTTATTTTAAAATGTACAGTTATTATTTACTATAGTAACCCAACTGTGCTATCAGATAGTAGTCTTATTCATTCTTTCTATTTTTTGTACCCATTAACTATTCCCCTTGCCCCACTCCCCAGGCCTCCACTACCCTTCCCAGCCTCTGGTGACCATCCTTGAAATTCACTTAATTTTTTTTCAGAATCTCAGGGTTCTGTTTTCTTCTCTAGGAGAAATACCTTTGCATATCAAGTCAAGTATGAAATGATACATGGGCACCAAAATTAATGTGCACATTTCTGGTATATTCCAGTGATATTTCAGAGACATTTAAAGATAAAAATCCATGAATGCTGCCAGGTGGCCTCACTCCTTATATATCTTGTATATCAACACTTACTATCCACTTTAATGCTCACAACAACACTATGGGGTAGGTGTTATTATTGTCATTTTACAGATAAGGAAACTGAGGCTTAGAAAGATTAAGAAACTTGCCCAAGATCAGACAGCTAAAACCTACAAGCAAAACCTTAAACACTCATTTAACCAACTCTAAAGCCAAAGGTCTCAAACATTCTATAAAAGTAAATGTCAAATCAGAAATTTATAAACTTTTATAAAAGATTTTCCACTCTCTTGTCCCTGAGGTGAAATACAGGCAGTATTTCACAAGATGATAGATACACTCTCAAAATTTAAAACTTGACTTACCGTAAAATGATCCGTTTGGCAAATGCCACAGGAGAACTGACTTACATGCACACATCTGTGTGTGTCTGTTTGTAATGAAAATTTTATTGGCCTGGTGATTTTAGATTCTAGTATATTAAAAATATAGTAAACTATTTTATGCTAAAAATACAGTATACTACCTTATGACCAGCTATAAAAGCCTTTTGGATTCTAAGAATTGTTTCAGATTGGCCTAAGGCCTCAAACCCTAATAGGAAGCAGAGTGGTGACCTAAAAACTATACTTGGCCTTGATTCCTAACTTTGTCATTTTAATAACCTTCCTTGTGCTATATACATCATTTGTCTTATCCCATTTTACCCTAAACACAATCCTTTAGGGAAAGTACTTTTAGTATTGCCATTTCACAGGTAAAGAAAATGATGTTTTAAAAAGTCATGTACGCTGCCTGAGGTGACAAGAGCTCAGTATTCAGATTCCAGAGTCAAGTCAGGTGGCATCACTCCACAGCCATATTTGTGGCCACTAATGACTTCCTGACTCTTTTGCCCTCTCCTGACCTCAGCAATTTATGTCACCTCTGTAAGCTTCAGTTTGCTCATCTATTAAGTTTTAAAATAATACCTTCCCTAAAAGATGTTTCTGAGAATTAAAAAAGATAATACATGTAAATCACATTAACTACAAAGAAATGTAGAATCTTCCCACTGCCCATCACTCACACTGTAACTGCCAGTGTCCACCAATAGAGAAATATGAACTAAGAAATTGATTCTAAATATACAAAAATAGAAGTATAAATAATATATATTCCTCCTGGGCTATAAGAATGAAAAGCCAGAATGTTCTCCCTGGCTTGCACAACACTGGCTGTTTCTTCCTTGGCCCAGTCCTACTCCCAGAGCCAGAACATAAGCCAGATAGCTCTGATTTTGAGCATCTGTTTGCTCCTCCATCAGTCCCCACAAGGAAGGATATGAGCTTTCTGTTGCCTTAGTTAATCCTTTGAACACAAAGAAAATTCCAAGGAGATTTTGTTGCGGTTCCTTTTTTATGCATGGAAGCACTCAGCCTTCTGTCACAACTTTACCATCTGTCAATAAACGCTCTTATGAATCCATGTTCAGCATTCTAACAAATATGCCCCCATCTCTGCACACAAAAAAATAATCTGGAAATTCTGGTCCCAAACAGGAGGATTAATGAACAAGGGATCTAGGGCATAGACAGGCTTCCATCAAGGAAGACTGAGTTTTGGTTCTGCGATGATCCCACAGAACATCAGTTAACACAGAGAAATGTAAATTGCTGTCCATGTACAGTGAATGCTAAAGATGACAATGAGCAGATGTTTCTCTTCACTCCTGGAGAAATGGTCATCTGGTTTATCATTTCTTCTTGACCAGCCAAAGCCCAATGTCCCCAGGTCTTTTGCTTTCATTTTATCTCAACATTCTCTACACTTTGCCAGTCCTCCCTATATGACAGCTCTGGCTGTGACCTTGGAGAACTGTTTCCAGGTGGTCTCCAGGGATTTTTACTTCAATGCTCTCTGCCAATTTCAAGCACTTTATGGATTATATGTATGAAGCCAACTTAAAAATTCATAATAAATTCAAATTTTTAAAACCTAGCACCACCACTCATCTCATTGACTGGCATTATTTTATATGCATTTATATACATTCGTTCTGTATGTGGCACAGACTAATATTCAATAAATTCTAAAGTAATGAATGAGTATCAGAGCTAAGTCTATTCATTAGCTACTGACCACTAAAAGTAAACATTAAAGAAATGTTTGTTGATACTTTAGTTACAAATCTGATAAAGTAATAGTTTCTGGACCCATTAAGATTTAATTGAAATCTCAAAGTTAATTGAGTTGTACTAGTGTTGGTGGTTTAGAAACTAAATAATAAAGTTGAAATGTGCGAATCTGCTGATGATTAATTCACATTAGACATAAGATTAAATCATTAAACTGCCTTAGATATTTTATTTTTGACTCACAAATAAAAATGAATGCATTTGTCATGATTTAACAATTTGTAGAGTCTACTTTTTTCTGCCTTAAATCAAGAGTTAAGTCATTGATAACATATTTTAATCAACTTTTAACTATTGAATTTTGATAGTTTATGAGCATTCTGTAAAAATATAAAGATCTAGATTTAGAACACATTGGTGGTTATAACTATTTAGGAACTCAACACTCATCCTATTTTAGTAACTCTGGAAAATGAGGAATTATTATCAGTTTTCTAAATGGACTCTCATTTATCTGATCTTTGAGCACCTATTGTTCTGGATTGTATGGATTCCATATTGAACAGAAAAAGGACTCTGTCTTCAGAAGTGAACATTCAGCTGAGTAGCACAAGGAAAGGCAGTTATTACAAGCAAAATTTAATTAGGTTTTTACTCTTATTGGTTGTTTCTTCCTCTTTATGTTGCTCATATTCTTTGTTCACGTTTTGAACATTGAAATGATATTACAAATCAGAATTCATGATAGCATACCAATGAATTCTGGTCCCAAAACCCAAGTAGATTGTGATAAAATTTTTCCTTGATTAGAACTAACCTCTAGTTTGAGAGTGCATTGGATTTCATTTAATAAACTATGGTGACTTGTGCTTAGTGTATGAACCTTAACATTTATAATAATTGCCAAACTTGCCTGATGTCTAATTCAGTTGTATTGTTAATATATTAACAATCTAATTATGGCAGTACGGTATTTAATCACATTTAATTATTTTAAATAGATATGCATTGAATAAAAAAATTGCTACAAAACAAAAACATGTTCACATAAAAATTAATAGCATATTTTGTGTAAGTTCATTGCAATTTGACATTTGCTCTGATTGACAAGTCAAGAGTGATTTGTTCCTGGAATAGCTTAGTTTATTTTAGCAGGCTTTTTTTTTTTTTTTTTTTTTTTTTTTTGAGATGGAGTCTTGCTCTGTCGCCCAGGCTGGAGTGCAGTAGCACGAATCTTGGCTCACTGCAAGCTCCGCCTCCTGAGTTCACGCCATTCTCCTGCCTCAGCCTCCCTAGTAGCTGGGACTACAGGCGCCTACCACCACCCCCGGCTAATTTTTTTGTATTTTTAGTAAAGACGGGGTTTCACTGTGTTAGCCAGGATGGTCTCGATCTCTTGACCTCGTGATCTGCCCACCTCGGCCTCCCAAAGTGCTGGGATTATAGGCGTGAGCCACCGCGCCCGGCTGGAGTTTCGCTCTTTTTGCCCAGGCTGCAGTGCAATGGTGGATCTTGGCTCACCACAACCTCCGCCTCCTGGGTTCAAGAGATTCTCCTGCCTCAGCCTCCCGAGTAGCTGGGATTACAGGCATGTGCCACCATGCCCGGCTAATTTCGTATTTTTAGTAGATACAGGGTTTCTCCATGTTGGTCAGACTGGTCTCGAACTCGCGAACTGAGGTGATCCGCCCACGTCAGCCTCCCAAAGTGCTGAGATTACAGGCATGAGCCACCACGCCGGGCTGCAGTCTTTTTTTTAAAAAACCATCCAATTCAAAATTCATTTATGTTCAGTCACATAAATTGTGACTTGTTATTATAAGTTCCATATTTTAACAACCCAAATTATTATCTTTCTAACCATTCCCTGATTACTTCAATGGACCAAGATTTGTTAAAATGGCTAAATATCCACATGCAAAGAAAAAATAGTAAAGTAATATATAACAGGAGTTCTGCAATAAGAAAATATTCATAGTTAATTTATCCCACTTCCTATTTACATGACAGTATATTAGAGACAGTTCTATTGATTCAGAATTTCTTATATTTTTACATCATTTACTCGATTTCTCAAGGTCTACAAACAAGTTACCACTATCAGTTAAAAATCAGTGTTGCCAGTACTCAATTCAAATATCTATCCAACCACACATTTGATGAAAAAAATTTAGCAGAGAACAGGGAACATTGTCCTAAAATAGCACTATTTAAAAACAGGGATTTTTTAAAAGTCTATATCCATTATACCCATGGCCTTTGTGCTATTCTTGTGACTGAAAGCAACAAATTCGGACCTTCAGGAATAGCAAAAGGAAGATATAAACATTTAATCATTTGGGAGCAAGACTGCAGGAAAACGTGCCATTACCCAGAACATTTATCACCGTTTGATGCAGTGAACATTTAATGTCCAAAATTGTCAGCAATTTTTTACAAGAAGCAACAGCTGAGAAATGCCAAAATCTATTTGATTTGAACATTTAAGTTGTATCTCAAGAACAACTTTGTAGAGAAGTTGCCAGGATCATTTCTTAAAAATAATTTCTGTTTAATTCTGTTTGGCTTCATAGGAAAATTTTTATGAGATTTGACAATTACAGTTTTTTCATAAGAGCTATAGTAGTATACCAAAGAAATTATACCATAAAAATAACTTGATAATCAGTAGAGAAATATTAAAAGCTTTGAAACAATATTCTAAATCCTCTCTTTTAGTACTAGAATATAAAATACAGAATTTGAAAAAATAACTATGAGAATCATGAGAAAATGTCAAGAGAAGGTCTAGGGCCTTCTCTTATGGAGGCCTACCTCCATAAATGTTATTTGTGAATGACTTTGGGTGACAGTGGTCCCCCTTTGTCTACCTAGGATACAGTCCAAGACCGCCAATGTATTCTTGAAACCACAATGGTACTGAGGGCTTTGTATACTAGGATTGCCCTATACATACATAGGTATGATAAAGTTTACTTTATAAATTAGGCACAGTAAGGGGCTAACAACAATAATATAATAAAATAGGTCTGTTACTATAATATACTGTAGTAAAAGCTATATATATGTGGTCAGTCTCTCTCCCTTTCTCTCAAAATATCTTATTGTACTCATCCTTCTTCTTCTTGTAATGATATGAGATAATAAAATGCCTACATGATAGGATGAATTGAGGTAAATGATGTAGGAGTTGTGACATAGCACTTAAAAGTTATAAATTGTTTACTTCTGGAATTTTCCATTTAATATTTTTGGACCACAGCTGACCGTAGGCAACTGAAACCATGGAAAGTGAAGCCATAGATAATGGGGGACTACCGTATAAGTGTAAATCTCATTAGAAACAGCCAGGAAAGAATAAGATAACTAGCTTAGTTAACTAAGAACTTTTTGGAAAAAAATAATTTATAAGTTTCTCCATTTCACTAAGGATCCCAAAAACACATATGAGAACTAGAAGACTAATATATGGGCAATTTGAAGGGTATCAGTTTGAAATTTTGGAAACTTTGGAATCTTTCGTCATGGCATCTTTCGGCAGTGACATAAATTGGGAGACTGTATACGTATGAATCATTATTGCCAATAATAACCCAAGGAAGTACATAGCTAATCTCTCAAATTAAAACTGATTTTAAATGACTCTAGCAACTTTTCTGTTTAGCTGAAAACATAGCCAATTGCTAGATTGAACATTTTTATGATGAAAATCAAAAATACTATTTTCTAAGGCTTAGTTATTGAAAAACACGTATGACACAACTTTTTCTATATGTCAATGATTCTTATTGCTTCCTTTTTCTTAGGCTTATGAGAGGGATGGTGAATAACACAAAATCTAGTGATGTTATTTATTAATGTTAGCAGTATATAATGTATGCAGGTTTGAGGCATGTGACTTCACATGATTGAGTTTTAAGTACTAAGTGGGCTTCCTAGACAAATTTCATCCTTTCTACTACTGTGAATTCCAATCTCCACCAGAAGCCACAAAAATATATTTTCTGCTCCTGATATTCTGGGGCAACAATTTATCCTGTATAAAGATCTGAGAATTTCCTGTCCTATAAAAAGGGCGAGACTTTTAAAAACAATTTATCTCATATAGCTGTGTCACAAAGTGTGAGACCAAATTCTTCTTGATTTATAACTATAATAGGCACAGAGCAGTATATTATAAAAGATATTGGTTTCCAAATATGCTTAGAACATATTCTTTATGACTGGATGTATTTCTTTCCATTATAGTCAGCGAAATATGACATACACTTCAACTGGCTGAGAAAAAAGAGCTATATCCTCTATCAAAGACAAATGGCTAAAGCAGAACTCTCAGATTTTCCTATAGAAGCAAATCTTTCAGCTGATTTATTTGGAGGCACTGTTGTTGTCCCAAACTTTATAAGGTTAAGGGAAATGATCTAGTGAGAGCTTAGGTAGATTCCGAGACTTTATTCAAAAGTAAAATATTCGATGTTGTCATCAAGCAGATCCTGTAAGTTATTCTGTTGATTTTGAAAACAAGATAGGCATCAGATTATTTCAAACTTTTCATTGCAAATAAGAAGTATCCATCTTGAATGAGCTTAAGCAGAGAGTATATTAAACATAAGGATGCTGGTTGCCTCAGAGAAGCCAAGTTGAGGAGTGGACCGAGGCCTCCACAACAAGCTAGAACTCAGGACTCAGAGCACCATCATGGCTACTCTTGCTCTTCTATGCACTCCTCTCTATAAATCTGCTCTGATCTTCTCCCCTTCCCTCCCTCTAATTCCACTTATCTCTTCTCCAAGACCCTCCCCTGACACCCAGTCTTGGATCAGTCTTGGACTCTGGACTTAAATGGAGGCAAATAATCTCTCTTCCAGAACTTGGGAGCTAGGATTGGATCTGTAACACGTAAATTGTAAGGGATTTAAACTGCCATAATGCCATTCTTGTCCATAAAGCACTTTAGTCTTCATCTTACATGACCCGCCTGCAACATGTAAAGTGATCAACTACTACCTGTTTCTTGGAACTCTCCATCCCTACTTAAAAATTCAATTTAACATAAATAAGATTTGTATAAAGCAGTGGATGCCACCCAACCTCGATGAACCTACAGATCTAGATTATGAAAAGACCAGAGGAAGTAGGAAATATTTCCATAGTGTTGTTATACGTATTTCCTCTTCCCAACCTTACAGGGAAACATAAAATTCACAGAAGTTAATGGCAAAACAACCTTCAAAGAAATTTTAAGGATCATAGTATTTGCGAAGCACCTCGCCAAAATGTGGGTTAGAGAATCAGGACAGTAACATACATGGAAGGACAATTAAGTGATTGAATAAACCAAAAGCTAAATATGAAATGAAAATGTCTGGTTAAGATTTCCACATGAAATTTTAATTAGCTCTAGTAATGAATGTTATTTCTAATGTGTAAATGTAAACATACTGCCATGGAAAATGTACTTGAATGTTTAATTAGGAGTTAACTTTGTCTCACTCTCAGTTTGGATTGTTAGTTAATATCCAGTTTTCATAAAATCTCAGTAAATAAACATGGTAGAGTAGAACTCCATGAAATAATAAGAGGTAAAGTTTAAATGCACTTTTACCAGTTTCTACTCAGGAGTTTCCAAATTTATTAATTAAAAGCATCACTGAGACAGTCCACATAAATACATCCATTATTGCCATTTAGGAAATTTATGCTTATAGGTACCAAATTTGCATGCTATTCATAGTCCAATTTTTACTTAATTAAAAATTTGGAAAATTAAAAAATTATGCAATGACTATGTCTAAAATTCATCAACCAGCAAAGCTGAAATATAGTATTGTCATTTTTAGAAGTTTCCTCCAGAAAGGTATTGAGGATTAATTAAGGATAAAATTTTTAAAGCATTAGGCCATTTCAAGCATCTATATAGCTAATAAGATTTAGACAAATGTGGCTTTATGCTAACCAAACTGAAATTTTATTCAAGAAGCAAAAATAAATTAATATCTACAAATGCAGTTAGAAATAGTCTGCAAAATACTAGATTTATGAAATCTCTTAAGCAGCCTCTAAAAAACATGGTGTGAGATTACATTTTAGTTTTGCTAATATTAAAAACACAAGAATAGCTTTTCATGGGTTAGCTAATTAAGCCAAATGAAACAGAAATCATAACATATAAACAAAATTACTTATATCTCAATTCCTTTATCTGATTGTGTATATCAATGTCATTATGATGTTGTGAAGCACAAATGCCAAAATGCCTTGAAAGTATATGATCATTTTCCCCTACGTGAGTCAATGTATTGGACTCCGTATTGGCTGTTTCAGAGTTAATACCATGTGTTTACCAAATCCTACTTCCATTTCCTCCTGGGCCTACAATTAGACTACATTCCCCAGTCTTCCCATGTGTTTGTAATCTAAGAATGGCAATTCTATGCTTGAACTTGGCTAATTAATGGATTTTAGAAAAATGCACTGCATACTTTTTTTCACTTTCCAAGTTTTTAATTAAATAAAAATTGGACTATGAATAGCATGAAAATATGATGCCCATAAGCATGAATTTCCTAAATAGCAATAATGAATATTTTTATATAGATAATTTCAGTGATACTTTTAATGAATGAAGTTTGAAATTTCTGAGCTATAACATGTAGAAGTAAATCTAATGTTTAATTTATGTCTTCAATGGAATGTGTGCAGAAGTGATGTCTGCCACTTTCCAGCCAGACCTCGACAATCCTCCTGCATGGTCTTCCATACAGAAGCACATTGTCTAAATCTTATTAGCTATATAGATGCTTGAAATGGCCTAATGCTTTAAAAATGGTCAGCTGTCTGAAAGGACCCAGTGTAGAATACTGAGGCCCTAGGAAATGGTGGAGCCACAAGAGGAAAGAAGCCCAATTTCTAAACGAATATACAGAGAAAAACCCACCATAGCACTACACCGTACGGTCCGATGAGTGAGAAACAAAATTGTACTTTATTAAGATTTGAAAGTTGTAATAGCAGTTAGCCTGTGCTGATTTAAGAGCCTGACTTATGTCTAATAAGTGTATCACTGACCCTGGGGAATAATAAGCTGGAGACTTAAAGCACGTTAAGTCCAAACCCATTACCATCAATGGGAAGTAAGTACACATGTAGGCTCGAGAGTTTCATTGCCACACAGTAATCTTTTATAAAAATGTGATTTAATAAACAGCAATGGAATAATAATAGCTATTTAATATACATATGAGTCAGACACTGAGTCAAGCACTTGACATGCATTATCTCAATACATCTTCATGTCACTGTATAAGATAAGCAAGATTACCACCCCTATTTCATAGGTGGGAAAATTGAGTCTCAGAGAAGTTAAATACTGTATACATGGCCATGAAGATCATAACTCCAGTTAACCGTTGAACAACACAGGAGTTAGAGACACTAATACTTTGTGCAGCAGAAAATCTATGTATGACTTTTGACTCCCCAAAAACTTAACTAGTAATAGCCTACTTAATGTTGACTGGAAGCCTTACCAGTAACATAAACAGTTGAATAGCATATATGTATTATACACTGTATTCTTACAATAAAGTAGTCTAGAGAAAAGAAAATGTTATTAAGAAAATCATGAGAAAGAGAAAATATATTTACTATTCTAAGTGGAAGTGGGTCATTATGAAGCAGAGTCATTCATCTGGGATAAATACCCAAGGTTCGTTTTCTCACGCCAAGGAAATCAAGGACACGGACACACAAGAAGTGTGTTTAAGAGCAGAGGTTTAATAGGCAAGAGAAAAGAGAAAAGCTCTCTCTCCTGCAGAGAGAGAGGAGCTTCAGAGTGGGTCTTCTGGTTCTGTGGTGAAATGCACAGGATTTTATAGACGAGCTTGAGGAGGCGGTGTCTGATTTACATAGGGCATAAGAGATTAGTCGGACCAGTTGTGCCCTTTGCATAGCATGCAAAGAAGCTGGCAATCCCACACTAATCTTTTAGTATGCAGATGGAGTCTCTACCTGGCCGATGCCATGTTGCCTGCTTTTTACTGCACACATGGCAACAAAGAAAAGGGAAGAGGGAACCTCCATGCTGAAAATACCTGGCTTCCAGGTATCCCTTTTCTATTGGCAAGCTTTTAACTTGCTTATCTATGCTTGAAGCTTGATTTTTCAGGCTGCTTTTTGTTGGAAAAGAAATGATTTAGGGGCTGCTTTTCCTTTAAAGGAAACCTTACCAAGGACTCTCTTACCCTATCTGCCTAAATAATTTCTAGCTCCTGTATCAGTTATAAAAATCTTCATCTTCATTGTCTTCACATTAAGTAGACTGAGGAGGAGGGATTGGTCTTGCTGTCTCAGGGGTGGCACTAGTGGAACAAAGTCTGCTTGTAAGTGGGCCCATACAGCTCAAACCCATGTTATTCAAAGGACAAGTGTAGTTTAAAAATTGTTTGAACCAAATCTATCTGACTCCCAACCTATGCTCTTAACCACTTGAGGAAAGAGCAGGATAGAGAAACAAGGATAGCAGGGATGACAAGCAGGACACCAGCAATCTGAGTCCCTTCGTGGCATAATTACTTCGTCATTCTGGACCTCAGGTTTCTAACATGGTCTTTCATCTGTCCCTTAGCTTTGAATAGTGGTATTTGGGCATTCTAATTCAGAACTAGGATGTTTGAAACTGCTCAAATATCAACCTCTTTCTAAATCAAGTGTTCTCATACTGATGAGCTATTTCTTAAAATAGAAAATATTTCAGAAAATTCTAAATTTGGAAAGTTGACATAAAAAAGAAGCTGGTACCCATACCAGGTAAGGGAATGTTTATAACAGAAGGTAATGTTTTTGGTCCCTTGGAAAGAGACAAGCAAAAAGGTTATACTTAGGATTTAGAAACTCAGGCTTATAATAAACAATGAGTCAAAGATAATGTGTGACAAAGAAATTTGAGACCTCGCCTGAGAAACTATTTCATCGGTAAGCCTGAGAACCACCTACACTCAATCTTAACAATAAAGAAGCAACTGAAATAAGCTCATTTTCTATGTATCAGTCTTAAGGAGGAAGGGCCCATCAAGAAAACTTGGACTCTGTCTAATGGGACAGAAGTGGCATTTCATGCCTTATGGAATGTCTTCAGGGAACATCTTGCTTTTCAGAGGATTATTTGAGACCCAGCTCAATATTGACTACATCTCCTATGAGAACAAGTCAAATAATGGGCTCCAAAAAGAAACCAAGAAGGATCTTCTATACATTATAAGTCACAGACATCTTGGAAAAAAAAAAAATCCTTTCCAGAAAAACTGCCTACCAGGGTCACAGTATCGGAATAGGGATATGGATGACTGCTCTACACTATCTTTTTCTATTTTCTCTTTAATATCTAATAAATTTATTTTCCTTCTGGGAGGTGGCAGTATTAATAACTTTTAAACTGAGTACAACATGTGAGTAGACAAGAGATAATCAAAATGAGCTGTTTGTAATATATTAAAGATAATCTAAGAGTAATTCTACTGTACCTGGATACACAGACTTTGTTCACATATAGATCTTTTACAGAGCATTCCACTTAAAGTTGCATGATTATCTACATTAAGATTCCCTTGTTGTTGTTGTTTTAAAACAAACAAACAAACAAAAAACTTTCAGGCAAATATAAAATTTTCTATAAAAATCTTGACCTAAGAAATATGTAGCCAATCTAAACTGGAATCTTATGTTTCCTTATAACAATGCCATTTATATTTTATAATTTAATTTGGTCTCAAATAGTCTTATTGTGATTTGGGATTGTTGTAACATTCTATTTTAAACAAATTGAGTGCTTTTAAAGTATACCTTAATCCAGTTTATTTTTGAGCCATGTTTTTCTATTTATAATGGATATTTACACAAAATAAACTGATCTTTCATCTGTCCTTTAGCACTAACTCTGCTTCTGAATGCACATAAATAGCTAAAAGTGCCAAGACAGAAAAAACAATAAAATAAAGAAAACGATAAAAAAAAAAAAAGGAGTACAAATCTGCCTGGAAATAACTTCTGTGGGTAAGAACAAAATGTATGAAAGGATTCTCAGAGGAGTTCATTGCTTTATATAATCACTCTATAAAAACATTTCAAATACCATGAACAGCAGCATCCATCTCAGCTGTAATTGTCACACATCCCACTTGTAATACAGTTGAGATCTCTTCCAATAATGTTACTACCAAGAATATGAGATGATAAACCCAGCTAAAAGCCATGCCAAATCTGGCTTGGATCAAGTTGAGTGGCAGTAACTCTTTATAATATGGAAAAGAAGGAAAGAAGCTTTAACTTTCTTAATTGGATTAAACTCAAAGGGGAAAGATATTTATCTTGTCTACCTTGCCTGTCTAAGCTACTCAAGCTATCACTGTCATCAGCACTTAAGTTCTTTCCCCAGCCTCAGTCAGCAGCTGTTCACTGCTCACACATATTGGTGCCACTTTCCTGCTTAGAAATATTTTAGGAAAACACTTAGTGGCATTAGAGATTTTGCCCACTGTTAAATGCTTACTATTCAGCTTTTCATTACACTCAGCTACAAAGACCTCAGGTTGAGGAATGGCTCATTTGCCCACATAATTTTTTAAGGATCAATTCTCACATTCTTTTAAAAACTTATTTACTATCTATATAGTTAAAGTCTTAAGGATTTTAGCTTTAAACCTCAATTTTTTTTTGAGATAGGGTCTTGCTCTGTTGCCCAGGCTGGAGTTCAGTGGCCTGATTATGGCTCACTGCAGGCTTGACAACTTGGACTCAAACAATCCTCCAACCTAAGCCTCCCAAGTAGCTAGGACTACCAATATGCACCCCACACCCACCTAATTTTTGTATTTTTGTAGAGATGGGGTTCCATCATGTTATCCAGGCTGGTCTCAAATTCCCAGCCTCAGGCAATTCACCTCAGCCCCCCATGTGCTGGAATTACAGGTGTGAGCCACTGTGCCCAGCTTACACATCAATTTTTATATCTGTATCACATCTGGCAAGGTACACACTCACTCAGAATTTTCCTTCACACCTACCTCACCAAAATATGCTCAAGAACACTACATGAAAGTATTAAATATCAATGGGAAAATAAAAGGTCTAAATAAGTGAAGAGATTTATCACATTCATCAATTGGAAGACTCAATATTTTCATACATCCATCATAATTAAAACTTTTTTTCTAACTATATGATTAGGAAAGTAGAAAGGCAAGCTATAGACTGGGAGTAAATATCCTCTATACACATATTTAACAAAGGCCTATAATCAGGATATATTTAAAAATTCAATGATAAGAGAATAAACAATAAAAGCAGAGTGAAATACTTGAATATATACTTCATAAACAAACATAAAAGTTACAAGTAAGCACATGAAAAAGTTTTCAAAATAATTTGTCTTCAGGGAGTTTAAGTCAAAAGTACAATGATATATGGCTTCATACCCTCCAGAATGGCTGAGGTTTAAGACTGACTACTGACAAGTGTTAGTAGAAATGTGGAACAATTGGAACTCCCAGGGATTACTAGTGGGAGTGATAAAAGTGAAATCGTTTCACAGTTTATTAATCATAAAGTTAAAATTACTCTGCATATTACTTAGCAAACACTCTAGATATTTACTTGAAATATATTAAAACATGTTCAAACAAAGACTTCAACTCAGAGGTTCATAGCAGCCTATTCATAATAGCCAATAATTGGAAAGAATACAGATATCTTCAACAAGGGGGTGCATTAATACAATTTGGTATATTCACACAGTGTAGCACCACTCAGCAATAAAAAGAATAACCATGGATAATCATGAAAGAACTTGGATAAAAACAAAGATTGATAAAAAAAGTAACAACATGGGTAATCTCACAGACATAGTGCAGAGAGAAAGAAGAATGAATTATTTTTTCAACTGCTTATGCAAGGATTCCGTTTATGTGAAATTCTAGAACTGGCAAAATTCATCTATTGTTTTACAAATCAGATCAGTGATTGCCTGGGATTAGTTGAGATGTAAGCCACTGACTCAAAAGCACACGAGGGAACATTCTGGGCACAAGGATATGTCCTATATATTAACTGGCTTGATGGAAATTTAAACACTGAACTGTACACTTAAATGTGTGAATTGTATTGCATGTAAACTATACAGTAATGATAATAATATAATGAAGTATAGAACAAACAATATTCTCCTTGATTAGTGGATCTGTGGTCAATCCCTGAGCTTCTAATTCTGTGCTAATGGAACAATTTACTAATGGATTAAACCTGGAAATGCTATTGTTAGTCATCTTTTAATAAGAATTACACACATTTTTTTCAATAAAATACTAACATTATGTATAGCTGAGGTATTTAAGTTAAGAAACTACATGCAAAGTTATAAACAATTACAAATTATCTCAAGGCCATTTCAAAGTCTTACTGCACTGAAACCAATTAAATCAATATGCAGTTGACACTTGAACAACACAGGTTTGAACTGCACAGGTCCACTTATACATAGGTTTTTTTCCAATAAATATATTGGAAAAATTTTTGGAGATTTGCAACAATTTTTCAAAAGTTGCAAGTGAACTGTATAGCCTAGAAATATATTTAAAAAAATAAAAAGTTAGATATGTTATGAATGCATAAAATATATATAGATATTGGTCTGTTTTATCATTTACTACCATAGAACATAAACAAATGTATTGTGAATAGTTGAAATGTATCAAAACTTATGTACACAACATTCACAGACCATACATGATGCCATTTGCAATTGTGAGAAATGTAAACAAACACAAAGATGTAGAATTAAATCATAACTGCATTAAATTAACTATAATACTGTATATACCTTACTACTGTAATAATTGAATAGCTATCTCCTCTTGCTATTGTGGTGAGCTCAAGTGTTGCAAGTATCTACTTAAAACACTGTGTGATGCTCATCATCTCCATGTGAGCCATTCATCTCTCCAGTATATCGTGTATTGCAGTAAATAGTGATCTCTGTTGGTTCTCATGTATTTTTCATTATATTTCAGGCAATACTTTAAACCTTGAATATCATCATCAGACCCATACAAAGTGCCATTAGTGATGATGGAAGTACTCCCAAGAAGCAGAGAAAAGTCATGACATCACCAAAAAATAAAGTTGAATTGCTTGATATGTACCATAGATCTATGTCTACTGCTGCAGAGACCCACCATTTCAGACAAATGATTCATCTTGTAAACAGACAAAGTAAACATACAGAATCAATATTGCACAGTACCATAAATGTAATTTCACTTCCTTATGATTTTCTTAACATTTTCTTTACTCTAGCTTACTTTATTGTAAGAATACAGTATACAGGGACTTCAAAAAGCTCATGGAAACATGGATAAAAGATAAAACTAAAAAATATAAACTTTTCAACATAAGCTTCTGCAAGTTCAAGATACTTTTTAAAGCAATAATTCCAGACATTTAGTTCATCCCTAAAGAACTAAGAATCTTTGGATTTTAACCACATCTATGCAGTCTTTATTACATAATTAACTGAAGAAAAATGGGTGCCATTTACAGATTTTTTAAGATTAGGAAACAGAAGTCAAAACGAGCCAATTCAGGACTGTAAGGTGGATACCTAATGATTTTCCATAAACACTGTAACAAAATTGCCCTTGTTTGATGAAAGGAATGAATAGGAGCATTGTTATTGTGAAAAAACACTCTCTGGTAAAGCTTTTCTAGGCTTTTCTGCTAAAGCTTTGGCTTTCTGAAAACATTCTCATAATAAGCAGATGTTCTTTGGCCCTCCAGAAAGTCACCAAACAAAATGCTCTGAGCGTCCTCCCAAAAACTGTTGCCACAATTTTGCTCTTGACTGGTTTGCCTGTGCTTTGACAGGATCACTTCTACCCCTTGGTAGCCATTGTTTTGATTGTGCTTCATCTTCAAGATCATACTGGTAAAGCCATGTTTCATTTCCTGTTACAATTCTTTGAAAAAATGCTTCAGGATCTCAATCCCACCTGTTTAAAATTTCCATTGAAAGCTCTACTGTTGCCTGCAGCTGATCTAGGCACACTTTTGGCATCAGTCAGGTGTAAATTTTGCTCAGCTTTAATTTTTCAGTCGGAATTGTGTAAGCTGAACCAATTGAGATGTCTGTGGTGCTGGCTATTGTTCTGTTATAAATTGTCAGTGCACCTCAATTAGGGCATGAACAAGATTAATTTTTTCCTCACTAATTAACGTGGATGGTCTGCTGTATCTTTTAAACTGTGGATTTTATCTTCAACATCTGCTTTCTTAACACAAATTATACATTTCTAAAGTGCTAATTTCTTTGGGGCATTGTCCCCATAAACTTTTTTATAAAGCATCAGCATTTTCATCATTCTCCCACACAAGCTTCACCACAAATTTGTTCTTGCTCTGACAGAGTCTCTTCTGAAACTGAGGTCTTATCTTCAGTGCCTCAAACTAGATCCTGTTCAGACATGTTACAAGATAGCATGAGTTTCTTTTGGTGCAAAAAAGTTTTGAAATCTATCCTTAGCTTTTTCATAATATACAAATTTTTCATGAACTTTTTGAAGATCCCTTATGTAATACATATAACATACAAAATTTGTGTTAATATATTTTGTAAATATATGTGTTAATATATACTATATATAACATATATATATCCCTTACATGATACATAAAACATACAAAATATGTGTTATTTGACTATGTGTTCAGTAAGGCCTCTTGTCAACAACAGACTACTAGTAGTTAAGTTTCGGGTGAATCAAAAGTTATATGAAAATTTCCATGCAGTAGACCCAGAGAAACACAATTACTGCTGTTACAGTTTATTTAAAAGAGTTTTTGGCTGGGCACAGTGGCTCACGCCTGTAATCCCAGCACTTTGGGATGCCGAGGTGGGCGGACCACGAGGTCAGGAGATCCAGACCATCCTGGCTAACACGGTGAAACCCCGCCTCTACTAAAAATAAAAAAATAAAAAAAATTAGCCAGGTGTGGTGGTGGGCGCCTGTAGTCCTAGCTACTCAGGAGGCTGAGGCAGGAGAATGGTGTGAACTCGGGAGGCAGAGCTTGCAGTGAGCCAAGATCGCGCCACTGCACTGTAGCCTGGGCAAGAGAGAGAGACTCCATCTCAAAAAAAAAAAAAAAAAAGAGTTTTCAACAGTGTATGATGTTATCATCTTAGAATTGATGGTCTTTTGGGGGATAGGTTAAATATGTACATTTGCATGATAATTCTTATTTTAATAGCAATGTTAACAGGAAAGTAAAAGAAATATTTCTTTTGTCCATGTCTATGAAAAAGTGAAAAATAAAACCAAGAGTATTTTTTAAATGGCAATGCACACATTTCTTTACAGTAGTCCCATCTTTCAAAATGCAAACCAAGCATGTCTGTGTCAAAGGAATTAATCTGGCTGCTATACTCATGTTTCTTGTCGGCTGCTCTATTTGTATAACCAGCCCTTGCTTCAGAATATACACAGGAAGCGGATGGCAGTTCTTGCTCTCCTGGTCCTTAGAAACAAATAACAACTAGGAGCTTTAAAAAAAAAAAAATACAGTAGGCTGGGCACGGTGGCTCACGCTTGCAATCCCAGCACTTTGGGAGGCCGACAAGGGCAGATCATAAGGTCAGGAGTTCCAGACCAGCTTGTCCAACATGGTGAAACCCTGTCTTTACTAAAAAAATACAAAAATCAGCCGGGCGTGGTGGTGCAGGCCTGTAGTCCCAGCTACTCGGGAGGCTGAGGCAGGGAAATCCCTTGAACCTGGGAGGCCGAGGTTGCAGTAAGACAAGATCGCACCACTGTACTCCAGCCTGGGCGACAGAATGAGATTGTGGCTCAAAACAAACAAATGAAAATAGAGTATATAATCAAGTCAATTCGACTTTAAAACATTTGAAATATTGTTTTAAAAAAAATTGTAGAGAAGAGAAAGTCCCATGTTAACTAACAAGTTTGAGGAGTTCGTTGACATGTTCTAATGGTTATTTTTAAGTGATTATAACAGACAAGCATGGTATATGTTTCCAAAATATGTGTGTCATCTAAATCCTTAACAAAAATTTTTATTTACTATGAAAAAAGAAGAAAAGAATGTTAATAATATTAACTTTATTACCAGGTAACATCCATGGAGAAAGATAAATGTATAAAAATAAAAGACACAGTAACTAGTAGCTTCAGACTTTTATATAAAAGATATGTAACTTCATTTGATAATTCACAATTATACTACTCATTGAAGAATAGGAATCGATGTTTTGTCACCTCAAAACATGATAATTGAAACTAGAAGCCTGTCACTGTGTCATAAATAACATATTGATAAAAGTGTACATAAATGTACATAAAACATGAGACATTATTGTCAAAGGTCCATCTTTTCATATTTATGTTTGTATGTATGTGTAAATTATTTTAGAATGAGCCTACAACAAAAGGAGAAATTTTAACCCAAAATAAACTATGATGGGAAAAATCATTTAACATTCCCTATTTGCATAGTCCATACTATATTATCAGTCCTTACAGGAAGTCAACAAAACTCAGTGACATAAAGAAACAGATTCTTCATTTTCTAACTGTAAAACTGCTAACCTTAAGAATTAAAGATAATGTTTTCTTCTCATCTAGAAAAAAGTAGAAGTATTTTATAGGAAACCATATTGAGTATGATATATTTTTTAGTTTTGTTAGGTTCTGGCAACAGAATATGTGTGTGTGTATATATATGTATATATATGTGTGTGTATATATATGTGTGTGTGTGTGTATATATATATATGGTCTATCCCCCAAAAGATCATCAATTCTAAGATGATAACATCATATACTGTTGAAAACTCTTTTAAATGAACTGTAACAGCAGTAATTGTGTTTCTCTGGGTCAACTGCATGGCAAATGTTGCGTGAATCAATACATCATGAGAGGTATACAATTTATCTTTGTGTGATCCACAAGAAATTCAAGTGCATAATTAGATTATCCATGGCCTGTCGAAAGAACAAAATAAATAGACCTTGTTACCTGAGAGAAAGAGAAAGAAATGGAATAAATATGAGCCAAAGTGGCAAGGTGCTAGAATTGTCAAAAGGAAAAATATTTCTTTAGAAAGGACTGGGAGCTACAACACTAAAGAAGTAATGAGGTCTTACTCTTGCAACTCTAGAGTTGAGATTTATATCTCTCATATATAGTATGATTAAGCTATATATAATACAGCATTTATATATTTTATTATATAGTTGGTATCATGTGCATAGACCATGTCTAGAAAAATACAAATAAAATTTAACAGTGCTTTACTTGAAGAAAACTGAAAAAAAAAAAAAAACTGAAGGATTTTTAACTCTGTATCATATAAATGTCTGGGTTGTTTGATTTACTATAATAACTTTTATAATTTAAAAAAGTTTTTTTTTGTTTGTTTTTGTTTTTGTTTTTGTTTTGAGGTGGAGTCTTGCTCTGTCCCCCAGGCTGGAGTGCAGTGGCGCGATCTTGGCTCACTGCAAGCTCCACCTGCCAGGTTCACGCCATTCTCCTGCCTCAGCCTCCTGAGTAGCTGGGACTACAGGCACCCGCCACCACGCCCGGCTAATTTTTTGTATATTTAGTAGAGATGGGTTTTCACCGTGTTAGCCAGGATGGTCTGGATCTCCTGACCTTGTGATCTGCCCGCTTCGGCCTCCCAAAGTGCTGGGATTACAGGCGTGAGCCACCACGCCCGGCCAAAAAAAAGGTTTTTAAAAACCTGCACATTTAAAACCATTGAAGAAAGACACACATCAAAATGGGAAAGTCTTTGGGTGGTAGAATGGCAGGGAATTCCTAAAATCTTCCCTCTATTTTTTCTTTAGTATTGCTTTTCAAAGTGAAAAGTTATCCAAGTGATGACTTAAATATGCAGTTTGATACTATGTTTTGGTATATATACAATATATGCTCATTCCTCCTTTCTTGTGTCTGATTTTTTTCTCTAAGCCTCAGAAAATGCTCCCAGTCATAATGTTTTGAGTAACCCATTCACCTTTCTGTTTCTGTTGGCATAGATCTCAATTCTTGCCTCTGATATCCTGATTGAAGATACATCTCACCCCGTTCCTCTATACAATTACAGCCTCCATTGCTTGCTGTTTCTATTTCTTCATGTAAATTTCTTTAATTTTGCCTTTAAAGCAAATTTTTTTTGAAAGAGTAAGAAAAATCTTCACATCCTTGGTCTGACAATCTTGCTTTGTTGTTTGCACAACAAACAGGTTCCCAGAGTGGTGGAACCTGTCACTCAGCAGTAGAGATTTCAGCAGTAAAGGTTTCATCTCTGTTTATGAAGCAGAAGGAGTTTATTGCCTTTCACATCCTCTGCAGTCATGGGATTATCACTTACAGTGTTCGCCTGTTTGAAAAATGAGATTGTTGCTCTTGAGAACCACAGGTATGTGTTTGTCTCAACACGGAGAGATTCATAAAATAAAAAGAGGATATAAACCTTATGCTGAGACATTGACTTGGTTTTATTACTAGCTTCAGAGAAAACATTTCTTATTTAAATACTAAGTGAGATGTAAAAGAAAATATATGAGGATATATAAGTGAAAGTTTGTAAATATTTCTAAAGAACATATATGCAAATCATTTTTCTAAAACTTTTCCAATTTAGATTTACTTAAATATTTTCCTATTTTATGTTAGTACCTCTCTATATTTTTATGTCATCCGTAGATCTCAAAGGATAAAGGAGAGACTTTTTAATCAGTCTTACTTCACAGAAAATAAAATAGCTGCTGTTATTCAATTAATGTGACATTGAATGTACTGACAGAGTTTCTTTGGCTTAAATAATTTAAAATCAGGTATTTGGGAATGATCAGATTCATGTTTCTAAGAGAACGTATCCCCACTGCTACATATTGAATAGTGTATCTTCACCAAATTCATATGTTGACATCCTAATCCTCAATGTGATGGTATTAGGAGCTGGGGCCTTTGGAGGGTAAATTAAACAATTGGGGTACAATCCTCAAGTATGAGATTAGCACCCATATAAGAAGAGTAATAAGATAGCTTGCACCTCTCTCTCTGCTCTCAGCCATGTGAGGACAAAATGAGAAGAAGATGGCCATCTGTGAATGAGAAAGAGGGTCCTCACCAAGAACCCAACCATGAGGCACCATGATCTCAAGCTTCCAGCCTACAGAACTGTGAGAAATAAATTTTTGTTGTTTAAGCCACTCAGTCTATGGATTTTACTGCATCAGCCCCAAGTGACTAAAACACCCACTTGTTTTCCTTAAAATGTTACAGATGCACATAGTGGTAAAACTATTTCTCTGCTCTTAGTAAAAAACTGACTTTTTCCCCAAAGTGTCCTCATATAAAGTTACATTATTTGAAAGTTTTCAAAGCAATAGAGACCTGTCAGAAAAGGAAAAAATAGCAAAGAAAAGAAAAAGGTAGGCCTGGTGCGGGGGCTCACGCCTGTAATCCCAGCACTTTGGGAGGCCGAGGTGGGAAGATCATGAGGTCAGGAGATCGAGACCATCCTGGCTAACACAGTGAAACCCCGTCTCTACTAAATATACAAAAAATTAGCCGGTCATGGTGGCAGGCACCTGTAGTCCCAGCTACTCAGGAGGCTGAGGCAGGAGAATGGAGTGAACCTGGGAGGCGGACATGCAGTGAGCCAAGATCACGCCACTGCACTCCAGCCTGAGCGACAGAGCGAGACTCCATCTCAAAAAAAAAAAAAAAAGAGAAAGGTAACATCTGCTGTTGCAGAAGAAAGCGCTGTTATACATCAGTACTGGGAATTTATCTTTTTGGATTGGAATGTGGCAGTGCCCATTAAGCTTTTATTAAGCGCAATTTCAATTGTTTTGACTCATTATTTGCACTTTTAGAAAATTTCTTCTAAGGTAATCATTTAAAATATTCACAGAGTTTGCTAGGAGAAAGCATAATAAAAAATCTAACAGAATTTGGAATTTGATATAAATAAATATTTAATAAATATACTATGGAAGAACACACATTTTATTCAAAAACACAACATGCCATCAGTTCAAATAGTGTAAATGAATATGTGGTGACAGTGAAAGCCATAAAATATTAACAGAAAATAGCAAATTACAAACTGTATATACAGTGCAATTTTATTTTTTCTAGTATTTGCATAGAAAACTTATGTACAAAAATGTTAACAATATCTCTGTGTAATGGTTTGTCATTGTCATCATCACCATCTACATTCTTGCATTGCTATAAAGAAATACCTGAGCCTGGGTAATTTATAAAGGAAAGAAGTTTAATTGGCTCATCGTTCTGCAGGCTGTACAGGAAACATGGTGCTAGCATCTGCTCAGCTTCTGGGGAAGCCTCAAGAAGCTTACAGTCATGGCAGAAGGTGAAGGGGAAGCAGGCTATTCACATGGCAAAAGCAGGAACAAGAGAGAGAGTGACTGGAGAGGAGGTGCCACACACTTTTAAATGACCAGATGTCATGAGAACTCACTATCACAAAGACAACACCAAGCCATGAGGGATCCACCCCCATGACCCAAACACCTCCCACCAGGCCTCACCTCTGGCTCTGGGGATTACAATTCAACATGAGATTTGGGTGGGGACAGATATCCAAAGTATATTACCATCACCATCATCATACTTTTCATACTTTTCTTGAATGAACATGTGTTTATATCTCTGGTACTGACCTCTCTTCCCTGAGCTCTAGTCTCTGTGACTCTCCAGACTCTATTTGATATCTTCATTTGGTAACCTATTATTATTTTATTCATTTTTTAATTTATTCATTTATTCACTTACTCATTCAACAAATATAAAGAGAGAGCCTACATTATATCTCAAGCACCTGTCTAGGCATTGAGTATTAAGCACTGAAAGAACCAAGTAGATAAATATCCATACCCCCTGCCTCCCCCGCGATGTAGCATGCCTTCTAGTGGAGATCTGTCTCAAGCTTACCATGACAGTAAGAGATGCCTTGATTTTCTTCCTAATTTAGTACTCACTCTTCTCCAACTCAGCAAAAGACCTAGACATTCATATCTACTCAGTTTCTCATGTACTCAAACTTGCTTTTCTATCAATAAAAAAAGAAAGTTCTTTATAATTGAAGACATTTTTATGAGTGAAATAGGATGCTGAAAACCGGCACATGAGACACTGAAGTAAACTAGGAGACACGTCCTGGAACAGCAAAGTCAAAATGAGAAAAGAGACCCAGAATAGCTTATGTTCAGGGAGGGAGGTGAAAGTTTGCCAAGTGTTCTGGCAAAAAGCCTCACCATTTCGCTCGTCTCACTATCCACAGACACACCTCCATCATCCATCTTAAATTATCATCTTAAAAGCATCAGTGATAATTAAATAATGTTTCTGTCACCATAGAAATTCCAAGATTCTCCAAGTACCCCTTACCACTGAATTCTAACCCCATTGGCTCCACACATCCCTTTTTCTAACATTATTTCTGTCCCTCTCCAAAGTGCCTTTTAGAACAAAAGGTCAAGCCACAACTTCTTATTCCAACATTCTTTCTTGTTACAAGATTGGTTGACTCCTAAAGATCCCTTCAGCCCTTACAGAACATATAATTTTATCTTCATTAACATATCCAAGGCATTCTGCCACTAGAAAAAAAAAAAACAGGCTTTTAGAATCTCACGTCATGAGGCTACACCATTACTACTTCTACATGTTAAAGTCACAATAAGATCCCTGACTTGTTTCCGAGAGGTCCTTGAAAATTTTCACTCCTGCTTCTGAGTTACTTTCTCAACATTGCTCCTGACATAATTCCTCATCATTTGCACAACCATGGGAATGGATTTTAAAATGGCATAGAAAAGATATTGTAAATTCATAGGAATTATTTTTCCAATACTATCTCCTATCCTCCCATTATCTTGGCTACTCATTCATATAGTCACATATTAGACCAGTGCATTCCAACCATTTTCACGTCATGCATGCAAAGAAGGTGATTGTATGGCACATCAGAGGAATAGGAATAGGAGAAGGCTGCTCTTGGACCTGAGGGTTCTGGCCACTTCAGGTTTATCTAGCTGTTTGAGGGGCTGAGCAGATTAATCACTGTGGTAAAACTATAACCAATTTTTGTCACTCTAATTGGAAAGCTCAGCATAGAGCTTGTCATTACTAATAACTTCAACCCCTTCCATGATACTGATTTCAAGCATCCTGTTGTCCGATCATACCTCCAATCATTCCAAATCATTCTCTAATACCCAAATCCAATAATTCTTCAACCCCACTAAAACTAATTATTCAATAATTCACCCACCTTTATTCACTGTTCATTCTTTCACATTCTTATTTTCCTCTTACTTAACTGAAAGTCCATGCTCAAATGCTAGTAAACCCACCTTTATGTATCATCTCAGATCCTCTGCCTCTCTCTACTCTAGCTTTGGTTAAATTAAGGTCTGTCTCTCCTTCATACCACACTGTTGAATGTGGCTGGAGAAGAAGATAGCTGACTCTTCTCACTATACATGTGTAACCATTGACCCCAAATGGATTCTAAGTATTCTGTCAATGTAACCACTGACCTCAATATGTATTTTCCTAGTCATCCATACTCTTACTCTCCTAGAGTATTTTTTCCTCAGACTTCTAATATCTCCTCCTATATCCTCATCCTCAGCTGGTGAGTCTACTTCCCAGTTTACTGAGAACACAGAAGAAATCAGAAGATAGCCTCCAGAGTTCCTACCACGATATCTAACATTTCCCACTCTGCCCAGACACCTGAATTCCAATGGAAGAACTGATTTGAAGATAACCCTCCATGGTTCCTACCACGACATATAATATCTCCCACTGTGCCCATAGACATGTGGACTCCAATGGAAGAACTAACTTGCTCCCATGCAAGGTCAGTGTCTCTACTGTACTGTGTAGTCTAATCCCCTCTCATCTACTGATAGAGGTAGTTCTAACTATTATTTCCCATACAAATAAATGATTTGTTTCTCTCATCTGGGAGGAAAAAAGAGCAATTTCTTCAATTTTGGAAAATCCTTAACTACCCTTTCAAATATTGCTTCTCTTCCAAGGCCTTAATTTCTCATCTTCAGTGTCTCCTAGTAGACAGATGTTGGAGTCATCCAATTAGCCCTCTTGTCTCAACGGTTCTTTCACATTTTTTAACTCATTTTTTAACTCTCTCTTTCTTTGTGCTATGTTCAGGATGAATTCCTCAGTACCATCTTCCAGTTTACTAATCTTTTTTAATTTCTGTACCATCTACAGTTTATTTCACCTATTGAATTTTTATGTCAATGAATATACTATATAAGCACTTACATTAATTATTTTCTTATTTATCCTCTATTTTTATTTTATTTCTTATTGGTTTTATTTTATAACTAACTCAAGTTTCTTTTAGTTTAAATGGAAGTGATATCTTCATTTAATAATGTGCAAACCCTAAAAGCACGCTTAACCTAAGTACTTAACTACATTTTAATTTAAAAATATAATCTGGTGTAAATTCACATTCCAAATATTGATTTTTCCCAAATATTGATTGTGTTATCTTCCTCCACATTATATTCTGTCATTAGTTTTAGAATTTGGATTTGCAGGCTGATTATAAATAAAAGGACTGAAGCAGGGGAGTTTTACATGTTGGTCCATCCTTTTCCAAAGGATTTGAAGTTACCTGAACCCAGCCCCCATGCCCTTAGTCAAGAATCAGGTCTTGTACTGGCATTTTAGTAATTCAGTCCTGAAGTAATTTGGGGTATGTCATCTGACTGGTCACTAAGCCACTAGTCAGCTTATTCAGTTACTGGCAAAAGGCTGGTATGTGCCACTTTTTAAAAGGTGAGACAGCTCTTTTGAGACCCCCTTCAGAATCAGAGGGGGTCCCTGCCCCATTGCTGAAAATGATCCTGGCCCTTTCCCCTTATTCATAAGAAATACTTTAAATCTTGTCAGGAATTATAGGATCTAAATTCCCAGATATCACCCCCTACTTCCAGAATGTTACATTTTCCTTCTATTTGCTTTGCTAGGGTTACTTCATTTTTTTTCTTTTATCTTCTTTAATAATATTTTTAATTCTGGAAGAGGTACAAAGCAAGATGATAAAGTAGGACTCTCCAACAATCATCCCCCTGCAGAAGCATCAATTAGAATAACTATCAATGCACCAAAATATCTTCATAAGAGCTAAGGAAACAAACTGAAGGATTACAATACCTAGTTATAGCACAAAAATGAGAAAAGACACATTGAAGAGGAAGAACAGTTTTACATGACTCATGTCACCCTCTTTCAATCCCAGGCGGCACAGGAAAATACAAGTCAAACCACAAAGAGATATCACCTCACAACTCTTAAAATGACTATTATCAAAAAGCCAAATGATAACAAGTGTTGGTAATGAGGTAGAGAAAAGAGAACACTTAGACACTGCTAATGGGATTATAAACTAGGACAGCCATTATGACATTATGGGAAGCAGTATGAGGGTTTCCCAAAAAACTAAAAATAGAACTACCATATGATCCAGCAATCTCACTACTAGGTATATAGACAAAGGAAAGGAAATCAGTATGTTGAAGAGATATCTGCACTCCCATGTTTATTGCAGAACTATTTATAACAGCCCAATATGGAATCAACCTGTGTCCATCAATGGGTAAAGAAAATGTAGTATATATACACAATGGAATATTATTTAGCCCTAAAAAAGAAGGAAATGCTGTCATTTGCAAAATGAATGAACCTGGAGAACATTATGTTAAGTAAAATAAGCTGCGCAGAGAACGACAAATACCACTTAATCTCACTCATATACGAAATCTAGAAAAGTTCATCTTGCAGATGTAGAGAATCATGGTTAGCACAGACTGGAGATGGAGAATCTGTTGGTCAAAGGATAAAAATTTAAGTTCAATAGGAAGAATAAGTTAAAGAGAGCTATCATACAACATAATAACTATAATTAAAAATATTTTATATTCTTGAAAAATGCTAAGAAAATGGATGTAAACTGTTCTTACAACAAAAATGGTAAACTATTTGAGGATATGAATATATTAATTAGCTAGATTTAGTCTTTCCACAGTGTATATATAATTCAAAACAAGATGTTTGTACAATGTAAATACAATTTTATCTGTCAGGTTGAAAAAAAATTTTTTTTAAAGTTTAATTATTTTAATTTTTTGCTTACAAATTAAAGTGCTCAGGAAAATGAACTTGCCCCTGAATAATTATTCTAGGTTTCATAATTTTATTATATAGTGCTTTATCATTATCCACTACAGATTTTTTTTCAAATTCCTGTTTGACCAAAGATGTATAAAGAAAAAATATTTAAAATGTTTCAGTACTTTCGTTTTTTTCAAGTTTTTTTAAAACTTTTTTCTAATCTTATTATACTGTGCATAGATAGCAGTTTTCTACTATTTTTATTCTTAGAAATTTTTAACATATTTAAGTCTTAATATGTGGTCAATATTTGTAAATATTTCACAGCTGTAGGGAGAATGAATAATGTATTCCCTGTTACTCCAATATTGCTAATAACATTCCCTACTTAATACATATAGAATTTGAAACATATCTACTAAGTAAAACTTAGTAATTATGTTATTTAGATCTTCAAACACTTACTTATTTTGTTTTTCTTCTTAACCCTCTATAAACTGAGAAAACCACTTAATGTCTCACACTACTCTTATCTTTGTGTTTATATGTCTTATGTATTTTGATATGTTATTCTTTGTTATATATACAGGTCATGATTTTTTAATTCATACTTTCATTCATTTCATTCATTTACTCATTCACTCAACAAGTATGTATTGAGTATCAAGCACATACCAGCTGCTGTTTGGGGCTCTAAGGATGAAAGAGTAAACAAAAATAAAGAAAAGAGATTGTTTTAAAATCTGCTTCTGAGTAGTTTATGCTCTGGCAGAGGGTAACACATGAAAAAATGAAATGAAATATTAAAATGAAAATCCATTAGACATTCATAAAAATTAAAAAGGAAAAGGAAACAGAAAAGTGATAGGCAGTGTATGAATAGGAGAATCGCTACTTAATATAGGGTGGTCAAGAAAGGCATAGCTAAAAATGTTATTTGATTGCCCATTTGAAGACGGCGAAAAATTATGATTGAAGATATTTGTAAGAAGAGCAGATATCTTTTAAATTTCTTTAGTTAATAAGTGACTATATCTAATTTATATTACTGTAACAAATATAATCAGTCTGATATTATCTTTTTGTTTAGGATTGTCTTAGCTATGCAGGTTCTCTTTTGTTTCCATATGAACTTTAAAGTAGTTTTCTTCCAATTCTGTGAAGAAAGTCATCGGTAGCTTGATAGGGATGGCACTGAATTTATAAATTACCTTGGGCAGTATGGCCATTTTCACGATATTGATTCTTCCTATCCATGAGCATGGAATGTTCTTCCATTTGTTTGTGCCTTCTTTTGTTTCCTTGAGCAGTGGTTTGTAGTTCTCCTTGAAGAGGTCTTTCACATCCCTTGTAAGTTGGATTCCTAGGTATTTTATTCTCTTTGTAGCAATTGCGAATGGGAGTTCACGCATGATTTGGCTCTCTGTTTGTCTGTTATTGGTGCATAGGAATGCTTGTGATTTTTGCACATTGATTTTGTATCCTGAGACTTTGCTGAAGTTGCTTATCAGCTTAAGGAGATTTTGGGCTGAGACGATGGGGTTTTCTAAATATACAATCACGTCATCTGCAAATAGGGACAATTTGACTTCTTCTTTTCCTAATCGAATACCATTTATTTCTTTCTCCTACCTGATTGCCATGGCCAAAACTTCCAACACTATGTTGAATAGGAGTGGTGAGAGAGGTCATCCCTGTCTTGTGCCAGTTTTCAGAGGGAATGCTTCCAGTTTTTGCCCATTCAGTATGATATTGGCAGTGGGTTTGTCATAAATAGCTCTTATTATTTTGAGATGTAATCCATCAATACCTACTTCATTGAGAGTTTTTTGCATGAAGCACTGTTGAATTTTATCGAAGGCCTTTTCTGCATCTATTGAGATAACCATGTGGTTTTTGTCATTGGTTCTGTTTATGAGACGGATTACGTTTATTGATTTGCGTATGTTGAACCACCCTTGCATCCCAGGGATGAAGTCAACTTGATCATGGTGGATAAGCTTTTTGATGTGCTGCTGGATTTGGTTTGCCAGTATTTTATTGAGGATTTTTGCATCGATGTTCATCAGGGATATTGGTCTAAAATTCTTTTTTTGTTGTGTGTCTGCTAGGCTTTGGTATCAGGATGATGCTCGCCTCATAAAATGAATTAGGGAGGATTCCCTCTTTTTCTATTGATTGGAATAGTTTCAGAAGAAATGGTACCAGCTCCTCTTTGTACCTCTGGTAGAATTCAGCTGTGAATCCGTCTGGTCCTGGACTTTTTTTGGTTAGTAGGCTATTAATTATTGCCTCAATTTCAGAGCCTGTTTTTGGTCTATTCAGAGATTCAACTTCTTCCTGGTTTAGTCTTGAGAGGGTGAATGTGTCCAGGAACTTATCCATTTCTTCCAGATTTTCTAGTTTATTTGCATAGAGGTGTTTATAGTATTCTCTGATGGTAGTTTATATTTCTGTGGGGTCAGTGGGGTCTGTGGGGTCAGTGGTCTATTTGATTCTTCTCTCTTTTCTTCTTTATTAGTCTTGCTAGCAGTCTATCAATCTTATTGATCTTTTCAAAAAACCAGCAAGTCCTTAGAGACCTACAAAGAGACTTAGACTCCCACACAACAATAATGGAAGACTTTAACACCCCACTGTCAATATTAAACAGATCAACGAGACAGACAGTTAACAAGGATATCTAGCACTTGAACTCGGCTCTGCACCAAGTGGACCTAATAGACATCTACAAAACTCTCCACCCCAAATCAACAGAATATACATTATTCTCAGCACCACATCACACTTATTCTAAAATTGACCACATAATTGGAAGTAAAGCACTCCTCAGCAAATGTAAAAGAACAGAAATCACAACAGTCTCTCAGACCACAGTGCAATCAAATTAGAACTCACGATTAAGAAACTCACTCAAAACTGCACAACTACATGGAAATTGAACAACCTGCTCCTGAACGACTACTGGGTACATAACGAAACAAAGGTAGAAATAAAGATGTTCTTTAAGACCAATGAGAACAAAGATACAATGTACCAGAATCTCTGGGACACATTTAAAGTAGTGTGTAGAGGGAAATTTGTAGCACTAAATGCCCACAGGAGAAAGCAGGAAAGGCCTAAAATCAACACCCTAACATCACCATTAAAAGAACTAGAGAAGCAAGAGCAAACACATTCAAAAGCTAGCAGAAGGCAAGAAATACCTAAGATCAGAGCAGAACTGAAGGAGATAGAGATGCAAAAAACCCTTCAAAAATATCGATGAATACAGGAGCTGTTTTTTTTAAAAAAAAGATCAGTCTGATACTATCTAAATATAGTAGATGACCATTAGAACCATATTTTAATTAATGAAGTGATAAAAAGATTTTCTGATTTTATGTTTTCCTTTTGCTTGCACAGTATCTCCTCTCTACCTCATTTGAGGAATCACTTAATTTATTTTATTCTCACCAACTTCCTCAATAAATTTGGAAGAATACAGTTTAATTTTTGAAGTAATTATTACTTTAAATATATATAACTTTCTTAAAACTATATTTCTCAATGTATCAACTTCAAAACACAACTTTTCTTTCTTCCTGACAAGAGATGAAGAAAACAGTAGAGCATATTATAGTTTTCCTCCTACACACTTTCTTTTCCAATGTCTACTTTGGTTTTTGGCTCTAGTGCAGTTTTACAAAATCATGATTTTCACAGCACGTAACTTTTTTTCAAAAACTTTAAGTTATTTTGTTTCTTACATATAACTCTATTTTAAATAAAACCATTGCTCGCCATAAGTTCTTTTTTAGTATGGATTTTTCATTTGCAATTTTAAAACATTTTGGTAAATGTTTATAAATTCAGCTGAAATATGCCATCAGTAAGATTTTACAGGAGGGAGAATTGGCTTTTGAAAAGTTTTAGTACATTTTTAAACATTTTCCTATTCCCTTTATTCATGAATAATACAAAAGTTGGACACAGAATTTCTGGTTCTCATAAGTTTCTCCTCAAAAATCTAGAGATATTGCTCCATTATCTACTAGACTCAGAAGTTGCTGAGAAGGTTGAGGCCAGCCTGATGGTATATTTCCTTTGTAATTGGCAGTTTCTTGTTCCTGGTAGATTGTAGGATTCTTTCTCAATCCTACAGTATTTTTCTCAGTGTGGGCTACTTTCTTGAAATATGGTGAGACTTTCCTTCAGACTCAGGTCTTCGTTCATTTTTTGAATCATTTTAATCTTTTTCTGTGCCACTTTAACAAATGGAGAACATAACGGTTCTCCATTTGAACATCAGAAACACAAATAATACGTATGTTGGTTCTTTGCTTTCTTTCCTCAATGTCCATTATTTCCTCTTTTATCATTTTTAAATATTCATTTTATATCCTACCAGGGAGAGTGTATATGTGTGTATGTGTGTGTGTGTGTGTGTGTGTATGGTTTCCTGCCAATCCCACAAATGTGATCTCCTTTCCCCAGTGTTAATTCTTTTTTTTTTTTTTTTATTTTTTTGAGACGGCGTCTCGCTCTGTCACCCAGGCTGGAGTGCAGTGGCGTGGTCTCCGCTCACTGCAACCTCCATCTCCCAGGTTCACACCATTCTCCTGCCTCAGCCTCCCAAGTAGCTAGGACTACAGGTGCCCACCACCACACCTGGCTAATTTTTTGTATTTTTAGTTGAGATGGTGTTTCTCCATGTTAGCCAGGATGGTCTCGATTTCCTGACCTCGTGATCCTCCCACCTCGGACTCCCAAAGTGCTGGGATTACAGACATGAGCCACCACGCCCGGCCTTTTTTTTTTTTTTTTTTTTTGGAGACAGGGTCTTAATCTTTTGCTCAGGTTGGAGTGCAGTGGCCTAATCATGGCTCTCTGCAGCCTCCCATGCTCAGGGGGTCCTCCCACCTCAGCCTCCTGAATAACTGGAACTACAGGCATGCACCACCATGCACAGATAATTTTTGTATTTTTTGTAGAGATGGGGTTTTGCCATGATGCCCAGGCTGGTCTCAAACTCCTGGCCTCAAGCCATCTACCCACCTGGGTCTCCCAAAGTGTTGGAATTACTGGCATTAGCCACTGCAGCCGGCTCCAATGTTAATTTTATTTATTATTTATAATGGGGTTTTAACTTCTTCAGTGGTCTAAATTTTCTTCTTTCTTCCTTGACTCATCTCAGTTCTTTTTAAATTTTAATTCTATTATCTTATATCTTCTTAGATCTCTTGCATCTTCCATTTATTTTTAAGCTTACTTCAGTCTCTTTTCTCTTGAATTTCCTAAAAATGGTCAGAAATTGTTACTAACTTATTTTATTTCTCATAGTTAATCTTTTTAATGTTATTAACATGTCTTTTGCATGCTTCATCCTTCTCCTTTATTTTCTACAGATTTTTTTCATAAATTTTATATATTTTAATTTTCATCTCTGAAGTGAGAAATCTTATTCCAGGCCTATTAATTGCAAAGCAAAACAAGGAGAGATTTACCTTAGTCCCCTCTCTAGTTACCTGAATAGAGTTTGAATTCTCCTGTTGAAGATCTAGACAAAGTTCTGGATAAGAAAGATTTGTATTCTATCTTCAGTCACCAAGGTTCTCAAAATGAACTTGACTGGAGGATGAAGGAGAAGTTGAGGCAGACAATTACGGAAGCATAGGATGTTTCCTTCAACCGCTTTTTCTTCAAATATAAATATTCCACCAGGCACGGAGGCTCACACATGTAATCCCAGCACTTTGGGAAACCAAGGTGGGCAGATCGCTTGAGCTCAGGAGTTTGAGACCAGCCTGGCCAACATGGTGAAACCCCATCTTTACTGAAAATACAAAAATTATTCACATGCAGTGGTGGGTGCCTGTAGTTCCAGCTACTCGGGAAGTTGAAGTGAGAGGAAGCAGGGGTTCCAGTGAGCCAAGATTGCGCCACTGCACTCCAGCCTGGGCGACAGAGTGAGACACTGTCTAAAATATATATATATATATATTTATATCTCCCATCCAGGTTTATATGGGGATTCAATTCAAGTTTTAGTGATTCCCTAGATTCAGGAGGCCAGATCAAGTTTAGTGTTCATAACTAACAGGATTCACAGTCAATTTGTGCAAAGACCTATGCAAAGATTTCATCATTATGAAGCCCATCGAATATTTACACTTACTTCTTGCTAGAAATTTAATGGCACATCTCCATTGTTCTCATTCTTAATTGTCCTGTTCCTCTAAAAGAAGGAAGTGGTCCTTTGGCAGGGAATTCTGGGAATGTACTTTCCATTCTCGCAGGATCAGCTCATGACCCCGTTTCTAGCTAGAAATGATGTATACAGCCCTTCAGAACATTCTCAACCAATTCCTGCTTGCGTCATCACACTCATGATTAAGGGAGATTTCTATATTCCTCTATGCCTGGCAAATAATGTTGAAGGAATATATTACAATGCCAAACTCTCAAACTTTGAATTGCTTTAAAATAACTTGGGATATATGTTAAAAATACAGGGTCCCAGGCCCTCTCTCAGAGGTTCAGATGATCTGGGCCTGAGGTGAAGCTTTGGTGATACTGAGGCAGATTGTTCATGGATTGTGCTTTGGCAATCCATGAACTGGCATGGTGGAAAGAGCACTAGACTTATAGTCTGACAAAGCTGAGTTCGAATCACAGCTACCACCATCTGAATTTGGACAATTTACCTTCCCTAGCCACAGAATGACGATAATAATAGCGGCATCAGAAGTGTTGTAACATTAGAATAAATGTGGTCATGGACATGCCTGATGATCCACCTGATGCTCAAAAATATTCCTCCTCCCTCCCTTCCCTAAATTGGCAAACCTAAACTTACAAAGTGGCAGCAATAATGACACAAACATGTGGACACTATTTTATAAAGGGCGGAAACATTTTTTGGCTTTTTTATCCCTGCTCTGTCACTAGGGTGTAGAAGAATTCCTGACACAGGCACTCGATAAATACTTTTTAAATGAATAAAAGGGGAAGATAACTTGGAATCTGAAGATATGAGGTAGAAAATCAGCCTTTTTGGCTGGGTGCGGTGGCTCACACCTGTAATCCCAGCACTTTGGGAGGCCAAGGTGGGCAGATCACGAGGTCAGGAGATCGAGACCATGCTGGCTAACACAGTGAAACCCTGTCTCTACTAAAAATACAAAAAAAAAAATTAACCAGGCGTGGTGGCAGGCGCCTTCAGTGCCAGCTGCTTGGGAGGATGAGGCAAGATAATGATGTGAACCTGGGAGACGGAGGTTGCAGTGAGCAGAGATCACGCCACTGCACTCCAGCCTGGGCGACAGAGCGAGACTCCATCTCAAAAAAAAAAAGAAAAGAAAAGAAAAGAAAAGAAAATCAGCCCTTTTTTATACTAATTCTAATCTCTCTGAGCCTCAGGGTCATTATTTATAAAATGGAGTTGAGAGAGCCTACATTATAGGGTTTGGGCAATATTCAGGTGAGATAATGTATGAAAACTCCAATGTATTATATCAATTTCAGTTATTAGGATACTTTGTATTACATAAATATATATACTTTTAAGTGGCCTTTTATTGGCTACTAATAGAAGGTGGTCTAAACTAAAGCAATTTTATTTTTTCTCAATCAAATATTTCACCATTTTTTAAATGTCTAGTATATATCTAGAAATGTCTTAGGTTTTATGAAGAAAATTAAAGAAGTACGGGACAATTCCTGCTCCTGAGAAGGGCAACGGCAAAATGTGTTAAAGATGAGACATATGAACTAAAAAGCAAGGAGTCCATGATTTTTTACTGGAGAATCTAACCAACCAGAAAGACTAGATAGCTATTTTTTGAAGATATAAATTCTAAAATATATAATATAAAACAAAAGATTGCTAAAAGACTGATTTATAACAAGAAATTTACAGGCTTCTCAGCATTATGTTGTACCTACTTGGAACAAAGTGCAATTTAATTTGTATTTGAGCCTGAGTAGAATATTAATTAAATCCATGACCTTGAGTCACTTTTCATTTCTCAGAATAAACAAAGGGAAGAGGTGGTGGGAAGTATCTGTACATACATGGCATTTCAAAGAAGCAGTCATCATAAGTATGTATTCACTGCCTTCAGACAGGAAGCATATAATGATTTTTGTTTCGTAGGCACAGAATTTTTTTTATTTTAAAAAACAGAAGCAGATAACATATATCACTATCTTTGAGTGCCAGAAAGCATTTTTGTTATAGTTTATTCATAGCTACTGGTCTACAGCCTCCAACTGGAATACATTTTGTGTGTCTACATACACATTCTAAGCATATAATATGCACCTAATAAATATTGAGTGATCAAAATGATGGCATAAACTCATAGAAACTATACTAATGGCCAGTGAGGGGGTATTGTTAGCCAATAACACCTTGTTGAAACAAAGAATAACCAGCCTATCTGCTTCCAAAGCCCTATAGTGGATATACCTACCTTCTATTTTCTTTTACTTACTGTTATCTTGTTTTTACATTTTAGCCTAGATGATAAGCACAAAATTATTCTATTAATAAAAAACTTCAAGCTTCAAGGAGTTAATTCTCTTACTTGAGAATGTCGAATGACCTACAAAGTCACACAAGCACTAGCTGACAAAGCTGAAATTCAAACCTAAATCTCCTAACTCCATACACAGAGCTCTTTTCCTGCAAAGTTTGACTGGCAAAGTAGATGTGCAGATGGAAGATTCTTATTGCCTCTTTGAACATTAACACTCCAATGTGAAATTCTTTCAGCTGTGTTCAAATTGTGTGCAAATAAGGCAAACACCAAGGAACCAATCCAGCTGTTTCTCTACCTCATTTCCAATTCTGTATGTCATTAACCATTTTTATCTATAAATTTGTTCTGACCACAAGGTATCCCTGGAGTTTCTCTGAATCTGCTGTAATTCTGGGGGCTGCTCAACTCTCAAATTGTTCACTGCTCAATTAAACTTCTTTAAATTTAATTTGGCTGAATTTTTTTTAACATTACAGAAGTAGGAAATCTAATGCTGAGATGGTGGCTCCAAAATCATCAGTCATCCATACTCCTAGTATGTTGCTAAATCATCCTTACCACTTGGCTTTGATTTTCAGGGTTGACTCACTGTCCAATTTGGTACTATAACTTCAGCCACAATAAATGTATTGCAGGTAGAAAAAAGTAGAAGGATGGAACACAAACATAATCTGTGTCATAAAAGTCAGCTCTTTCTCTTTAAAGAGTTTCTGGGAAGTCTTTCTCAGTGATTTCTACTTACATCTCACTGGTCAGAACTCTATCAACTGACCACCTCTAACTATAAGGGAAATTAACAAATATAACATTACATTGTTTTCATTAAGATAGAAAAAGAAAAAATTGATATCAGCAAGGCAACAATTCTTGCACCATCTCTCCTTCTCCATCTCTCATACTCTGTCTTCCAGTCTTTCCACTCCGTTTCTCTGTGTGAGATCTATTCTACTACAGGCTTTTTCTTCATAATTGGAAATATGGCAATCAACTTGCATTCCCCAAGGATGAAAGCATGTCTTCCTTGTAAGCCTAGGTCAAATCCCAGGGGGCAATCTGATCCTACTTTGACCGCTACAGTCCTCCCTGATCCAACACCCATGCCTGGGAGATTGGAGTGCTCTGATCGTTCTGTCCCAGGTCAAGTGCCTCTTCCTGAGGCTCAGAATTTAAATTGTCAGATTAATCTCACCCGTATAGCATGGAAAGGACAGGATGATCCTGGAATGATCTTAAAGACCCTCAGCACATTTCCAGATGATTACAAATAATACAAATAATAAATTGAATATAGAATATAATCAAAAGGTAAACTGAATGCTTTGAGCAAAAAATATGCTGATCAAGGACAAAAAGAAATTATGGTTTAAGTGATTAATGAAAAGTTCATATGCACTACAAAACTTGGGAAGGATTAGTATATATCACTATTGACATTAGTAGGATTTGAGAGCTGATAAAGTATCCAGATTAGAGAAACAGCAGAAAGAAATAATGAGCCTAGCATATTCGGGTATTATGAATAAAACACCCTCACTAAGGTGGAAAGTATAGCACAAGTTGTAAAGTAAGATAAGAAAAGTGAGAATGATATTCAAAATACTTTACCATCATTACAGCTGAAGGAACAAGCATTGTAAAATGTCACCCCAGGGATACACTAAAAGGTACAATTGCAAAGAAATGGGAAAAAAATATATAATCAAAGAAATAATTCAAGAAATCAAAGACATGAGTCTCTATACTTAAATGACAAAGTAATTGCCCAGAATAATGAATGAAAATAACATCTGTTCCAAAACACATTGTTATGAAATTTCAAAACTCCAGACATAAAGGAAAAAAAGTTAACCTTCCAGAAGGGGAAAAACAATCATCTGACATCAGGAATAAAAATGAGTTCAAATTTCTCAGAAGAAAATTTAGAAACCAGAAAAAAAAAGAATAAATGCCTCAAAAATCATGAAAATTATTCTATACCTAGCCAAATTACCATTCAAATAGGAGCAGAATAAATGGAATTCAGAAATGCAAAGGCAGAAAAGTACTTACTGTGCAATCTTCTTAAAAAAAACTAAAGTGCCCAAGAAACAAAATGAAGGAAAAAAATGATTCTTAGATTAAGAGTCTTAGGTTAATCCAGATTGGAGCAGGAGCTCCAAGAGTGTGGTCTTCAGAAAAGGAAATGATGAAACTAATAGATAATATAGCTATTTTCATGATGTTAAAAATTTCCAAAAATGTTTTACAAATTAACAGGATTATAAGTGTATACATTTGAATGACATGATAAAAAATTTAAGCAAAAGAAAATATTAAGCAATTATCCATTAAATTTAACAATGGAACATTACCATTTTTGAAGGTCATAAATAGTCAATATTGGCAATGCTAATATGTTCCACCTAATAACCCCTGAGATGTGGGTGTAGGGAAAGAATAATAGACATGTCTGAAATTAACAAATGGAAAGAGAAGGCTAAATAGAATATTTTAGAAAAATAGAGTTAAATACCAAAAGAAATAACTTAAGAAGTTAAAAATGGTTATCATAGAGGAACAGGACTAGGGGGTGGGGGGATCTAGAGAGAGACTAATTATTATATCTTTAGAACTATTTAACTCTGAAAATTATGTTCATAAATTATTTTGATGAAAAATATTTTCTAAGTAAAATACAGTTTGAGAAGTTTATATTTAATATTTTTGTAATAATACAAAATTAGAAACAGGAATTGCATGAAAGCATTCCAAATTGTGAAGATGACCATCAAGGTCCTGCTATTTAGCTTCAGTGTGCAGATTACACTACTAATGTAATACATGAAGTCAGACCTTTCCTGTGGCCTCAGATTTTCAAATGGATATTTAAAACTTCAAGCAAAAAATGTTAAGTGCTCACATATTCCAAAGAAATGTACAAGATCATTTAGGTGGAACTTGCTAAGAGGTGACCCAGAAATTTTATTTTTAAAAACACAAATTTTAGAAATATTTGACAAAATACCATCAAGGTCTGTCAAATGTTTGCATGCCCTCAAAATATAAATTCTTTGATGACATGCATAAATGTTCTTTTACTAAAAGTGCGCCATTAAGAATATTGCACAAGGAATCCTTTTAAAGGAGTAATATTAAAGACTTTTTAAAAATCTGTAATACCATTTGACACATAATACACAAATTGCCTGCAAAATAATTTTCAACATAGTTCTATTTTAATTAGTGCCAGCCCAGAAGTCAAATGATTCTTTATAAAACGTTTGAGAAGTAAATTGCATTATCGTGAATCACACAACCACTATGCAGCATGGTGATAATGTCCCATATATCAGAAATGACAGCCCATTTTCCATCCGCTATTATAGAAAACAGTACAGGTTATATAAAGTCATTGCATTTTCTAAGTTAATGCCACATTCTAGAGCCAACCTGTCTCCTACTTTGTCAATGTTTCCCAAATGAAACAAATAAGGCTGCCACTGGCTCATGCAGATAACACCTTCCTGCTGGTCTATACATTTTATCATTGATGTCTTAGGCAGTTCACTGAGGAAAAAATGGACTTTGTCACTGCTTATAGGTTTTCCATAAGAAAATTGTTTTCCATAAGAATTGTATCTGCCATCAGGAAATGACTGCATATTGACCTGTCTCACTCTTTTGGAAGAGTCAAAGGACTCTTCCAAAATCATAGTGTTTGTATATGATGAAGATAATAACAGAACCCACCTCAAGTTTTGAGAGTTATAAGTGAGGCAATGCAAAACACTTAGCACAGTGTCTGGTACATAGTAAGTGTTCAATGAATATTGCAACTATTAGTAGTATTTAAACTGGGGAAATACTATGAATAATTAAACCTAGGAAAAGGTAAGCAAAGCAAGAACTCAAGGTTGTGGGCTTGTCCTATTGCTAGACTTGTCTCTCTAGGCATTTAAACGGGTAAAATTTTAAAAGAGGACATATTGCATAAAAATGAGAGTAGAGGGCTGGGCACCGTGGCTCATGCTCACAATCCCAACACTTTGGGAGGCCAAAGTTGGAGAATTGCTTTAGGCCAAGAGTGTGAGACCAGCCTGGGTAACACAGCAAGATCCCATTTCTACAAAATTTTTTTTTTAAACTTAGCCAGGTGTGGTGGCACACCCCTGTAGTCCCAGCTCAGCAGGCAGTAAGGCGGGAAGGTTGCTTCAACCCAGGAGTTTGAGGCTATAGTGAGCTATGATAGTGCTTCTGCACTCCAGCCTAGGAGACAAAGCAAGACCCTGTCTCTTGAAAAAAAAAAGAAAAAAGAAAAAAAATGAGCGTGCAGTCAGGGACATAACAATTACATACCTTCTACAGAGCTTGCGGTCCTGAAAACAGAGGATACTGTTGTAAGACAAGTATCTGGGACGTGTATTATAAGGGGTAAAGTGGGGGCTTCACCTTTGCATTCAAAATTTGCAAGAAAAGTTTACATATTTTTATCTGAGAATGTTCCTCCATAATTCCATAATATACTGCATGTATAAATATCACCCATTTCAGCTAATCACTATCAAATTGCAGGTAGCACCCAATTGTTGAAACCAATTATCCAACTTAAGGTATTTTACTATATAAGTGGATCTGAAGTACTAAAAAAAATACAGGAACCTTCATTTCTTTTCTCCAAGGAGACAAGTATTCCATGAAGAGGCTTAGAATAACAAGAACCAGAAAAATTGTTAGGATTTGATTTTTTTTTTTTAGGAAGGATGCTTTTGCAGTCATTAAACCAATATTTTTTAGCTTCTTCTGTGTGCAAGATTCTATTAATAAATTATTGCTTAAAGGCCATGTTACAGGACCCTAGTTTTCTCTTTGGTAAAATTTCTGCCACAAGACCCAACCCACCAAAAAGGCCACCAGCCAGAGTCCCCAGTAGGATCCCAGTCAGTATAACTTTAAAGGTGATTCAAAGCATAAAAATGCATTTCTGCATCTTATACCATTTATTGTACTTAATTTTAGTGTCAAATTCTTCAGAGTTTGAGTACAATAGGGACTAGGAACAAAATTATCTCATTTAATTCTTTCAATGGCGTGACAGGAAAAAATCCCACTTTTGTAGAGGAGGAAGTTGGTACTAGCAGAGATGAAATTCAGCACTAACTCCAGAGCTCTTCAACTCTTCATTATGTTTTTTGCTTGTACCTTGATTTCTCCATCTACACCAGAAGCATAGTGGCACCTGCCTACAAACTAATACTGTGTTAGAGTAAGTGCACTGCATAATTGACACAGGATACTGTCATCCTGAGAATCTCTGTGATTGTAATGAAAACCTACATCTCAGGGCCTCACCCAATATGTATTTCACTAAAATCTCTGGGACTAAAGGTTCAGGAAGTGATCTATTAGGTTAATAGGGTACTTCTAAAGTTCGAACCATTTTGTGAATTCCTTAACTAGATTAAAGATTTTTTGAAATAGAAAAAACAGAATTGGTTTAAGAACAAATGGAACCTGTCTATAATAGTCAAGAAACAGATGTACAATAAATTTCTGAAATGTTCGCAGTCAGGAAAGGTGTCCGATTTTGCAACATATCAAGTATCAATGTCCATAATTGAATAAACATGATAGGAATTATTGTGAGGTCATTTTCAAACTAAATTCTTATTTCTTTCTACCATGATGTAAAGGATACAGTGAAGTCCTAGAGAAATAAAGAGAAGAAACAAAAAGGAATACAGAAGAGAGCAGAACACACAGGGAAATAAGTCATGTTGCAATATGTGCTAATTTTTTAAATCTTGAATTCCAATTAATAGAAAAGGCAACACATTTGATATGGTTTGGCTCTGTGTCCCCACCCAAATCTCATCTTGAATTGTAATAATCCCATGTGTCAAGTGGGGCCAGGTGGAGATAATTGAATCATAAGGACTATTTCCCCCATATTGTTCTAACTATAGTGAATAAGTCTCACAAGATCTGATAATTTTATAAATGGAGTTCCCTTGCACACACTCTCTTACCTGCTGCCATGTAAGATGTGCCTTTCTCCTCTTTCACCTTCCACCATGATTGTGAGGCCTCCGTAGCCATGTGGAACTGTGAGTCCATCAAACCTCTTTTTCTTTATAAATTACCCAGTCTCAGGTATGTCTTTATTAGCAGCATGAGAACAGACTAATACAACATTTCATAAAAGTTGTTTCTTAAGCCTTGGTACCTAAGTGCAAACTCTGAATAACAACATATAGAGAAACTAAAGATTTTAAAATTAATGCTAAGATCCTTGAAACAATGTGTGCAATAGTAGAGGTAAGATGCATACTAGAGAAGAGAAGCACTATACTAAATGCAGATTCAGAAAACTGAAAGAAAAAGATTAAGACAAGGACACCTAAAACTAGAAGGACTACGGTCCTATAAATAACACCTAAAACTAGAAAACTGGGGTCCTATAAATAACATGGCCTTAAAGCTGCAGCCACCTCCAGCTGAGGTTTTCATTGGATTATAAAGTTAAAAAAAGTGGACTGGATATTATGGTTATATGTAGGTATCTGTTAAAATTAATAGATTCAGTAAGCTATGCACAATTCTTATTATAGAGTTACTGTTTAATGAATTACAATGAATCCCTTTTTTTGACATTAAAGTCACAAATTAAAGAATCCCTTCATCTATTGCTAAAAATCAGATGTCCAAACCAGATTAAGTGAGTTCTACTTCCAAGGTTGACTAAACTTTTACAGGACTGGCCTTCTCACAGGTAACAACTATAAACTCTAGAGAAAATTACTCAAAATTAAATGAATTTATTAGAGAGCAAACAAAAACAGGCATATTCTCCAGGGGAGTTGATATTTAAAAGACAAGACCGAACTGTGAATTCCCTGATTTAAGTGCTTTTAGCATGTCAGTGCCCTGCTTAGTGGCTAAAATTCCTGTAGAAAACACATTGTCTTTCTGAGTTGGGAAGAACCACAGCCACTAAAAAGTGAAAGGGGACAACTGGAAAAGAGAAATCCAGAGAGGGGGAGCCCAAAATTCTATGTCTAAATTCTGCCCAAGTCACTGGTGAAACCTTGAAAAGTGCATACATGAAACAGATTTCTAGCAGCCCAACTAAGATTAAAGAAACGGAACTAATAACTGAGCCACTATCCAAAAGTCAGAGTTATAGTTTGAGATCAACCAAATAAATCACTGGCTAAACAGATTAAAGAGGATTTAAATCAAGGGAGAATTGAATCATGTCTATGAATGTAAAGATTTAATACTGTTTGGATATCAATATTCCCCAAAGTGATCTGTAAATTTGACACAACCCCATCATAATCCTAGCAGGCTTTTATACAAAAACTGACATATGTAGTCTGTAATTTATATGGAATGGCAAAAAAAAAAAAACAAAACAAAAAAAAAAAAAACTAGAAAATCCAGAGGAATTTGGGGAAAAAAAATAACAAAGTTGAAGGGCTTAGGCTACCTAACTTCAAAAACTACTATAAGGCTACAGTGTTCAGGACAGTGTGGTACTGACATAAAAACTAGCAAATCCACTAATGGAAGAGAATGGAGAGGCCAGAAACAGACTCACATTTATGCTGTCATTTGATATTCCAAAAAATAAAAATAAATAAGTCATCAAAACAATCCAGAGGGAAAGGAAACTTTCAACAAAGTAAGCTAGAAAAACTGATATCCACATGGAAAAACAAAATGACTGCCAAGCCCTACCTCACACCATGCAAAAAAATTAATCTGAGGTAGATCATAGGCCTAAGCCTAAAAAGTTAAATATATAAAGCTTTTAGAAGAAAACACCAAAGAATATCTTTGTGTCATGAGAGTAGCTAAATTCTCTTATACAGAAAAAATAATAAATTTAATTAAAATATATTGCTTTTCCAAAACGACTATTAGGCATTGAAATTGGTAAGTTATGGGCTGAAAGAAAATACCTGCAAAACAGATATATGACAAACATGAAGAAATCCTACTACTTAATAATTAAGAGACAAAAAAAACCCTGTATGAGCAAAATATTGGAATATATATACTTTTAAAAAGAAGGCATATGAATAGCCAATATGCACACAAAGAAGTGTGTAACAGCATTAGTGTCCAGTTTTAATGCAAGTTAAAACCATGATGAGATACCAACATAGACCTATCAGGATGGCTGGAATTACAAACACTGACAACACTAAATGTTGGGTAGAATGTGGTGAAACCAGCATGTTCATACTTTGATAGTGGAATTGCAATATGATATAAACTTTTTTAAGTTCTGGCAATTTCACAAAAGATATAAATAAATAAATAAATAAATAAATAAATTCCTACCCTATGACCCAACCGTTACAGTCTTACGCATTTTCTCAACAGAAATGAAAACATGCCCACAGGCAATGTTCTTAGCAGCCTTATTTATAATAGCCAAAAACTAGAGGAAAAAAAAACAGGAGTGTGTTAATAGGAGAATGTGATATGTAGCAGAATACTATGAAGTAATAAAAAGAAATAAACATATATAGGCAAAAGAATAGATGAATATGAAAAACACATCGAAGCCTCAAACAAAAGAGTACACGCTATATCGTTTCATTTCTGTGAAATTCTTGAGCAGGCAAAACTAATTTTTTAGGGGAAAAAAAATCAGATAAATGGTTGACTGGGGAGAGAAGGGAAAGTGGAATGAAGATTAGAAGCAGCAAGAAGGAACTTTAAATGGTTATGGGAATGTTTTGTATCTTGAAAGGGCTTTGGATATAAACAAATATTGCATTTGTCAAAACTCATCGAATGGTACATTTATGATTTGTACATGATCAAAATAAAAAGATTGTAAATAAATATTGAAGTCTAGTTGACAGTGAGCATGCTGAAGCATTTACGTGGAAATGTATTGATTTCTTCAACTAACTTTGAAATTCATCAAAAAGTAAGACAACAATGGATGAATAGAGAGATAAATACGTGGTAGATAACTAAGTATAGAAGAGTTAATGGTAGAACCTAGTTGGTAGGTAAATGTCTTTTCAATATTAAATTATTTCAACTTTTCTGTATTTTTGAACATTTTTCACAATAAAATGTTGGAAGAAAAAAGAGATTAATGCAATGACTATTAACAAGATTTCTGGGCTCACAATAAACAAAATAGAAAATAAGTACATTTTATTCATGGTACTTAAATAAAAAGTGCTATAGTTTACATATTCATTGATTTACATTAACAGATTTTTTAAATAATCATTTCATAAAATTAGGGATGTAAATAATCCAGACAAAATACACTTAAAATTGCATACTGCTCCAAAAAGCCACTCTTAAAATGTGGAAACAAATATTTATGCCAATTATGATGACACTTTGGTGATTAGAACTGTCACAGATATTTCAAATCTCCCCTTCGGAGAAATACAGAAAGATTATAATCTCCTTCCTTGCTTGAAATAAAGCATAGCCAAATAACTTTCTTTGGTCAGTGAAATGTAAGCAGAAGTTATCTCTGTCACTTCCAGAAGGAAGCTTTAAAAATCAATAAATGAGAATTGTATTCTTTTTTTTTTCTCTCATGACAATTCATAATGTTAAGGATTGTTGTGGCTACAACAATCTCAGTCCCTGAGGGAAAATGACATTGAGCAGAGCTCCCTCAGACCCATGAAGAACATGCAGCATAGACAGGAAATATATCTCATTGTTTTAAAACACTAAGGCATTGGGCATGTCATTGAAGCATAACTTAACCCATTTTGTTTATCACAATTGCAGAGTAACTCTTTCATATCATTCTTTTAAATATGAGCACATAAAGTACCCTTTTCAAATCCGAGTTTTAAATTGGAAATCATGTTATAAAAATATTGTAAGGATACTCATTTCAAAGCCAATTCACAAAGGAAACTCAAGTTTCTTCTCTACACACACAGTCCTCTAATGACCACGTAGTATAGGTTGGGGAATTTCATAATACAACATCATGAAGAATAGCTCAGTATTCAGATATACATCAAGAGTCATGCACAAGAAAGAGTGGAATTCAGTCTCATTAACAGCAGAAAGTAATGGCTGCAAGACCTTAGGAAAGAAAAGGTGAACATTTCAGGCTGCAATCAATAGTCAGTGGCAGCAAAAGGAGCTACGATGTGAGTTTGGTTCAAAAGACAGATTGCTCTTTTATTGACAGCAGTCCTCTGTTGTGACCAGTCAGTCTAAAGAACTGAAGGGAAGCAATGAAACTGCAAAACTATCGGGGAAAACACATTTATTTCAGGAGATGTTTGCAAAGATTTTTGTAAATAAATGGTCAGAAAAACACTTGAAAATCACAGCCTCCATTTTCAACAGGTTAAATCCAAAACTATAAATCTATTTATAATGTGGCCTGGGTCATAGCAGCTGTGATTTCTCATTTTTCCTCTCCAAGGACTCTTTTGACATTTGATTAAATTTCACAGAAACTTACTTCAACTTCCTTAAACTTAACTTTATCAACCTTCAGCAGGCTTTTCCAGAACCTTGTGGGTGTTGACATATTGCATTTGCATAACGATAAAAATAATTTGGAGAATTGGACTCATATTTTAAAACTCCAATTAAGCAGTTATAAGAGACTTTGAATAACATTTGGCCCAGTGTCTGGTACATGAGAGGGACTCCCTCTACCCCCATCCTCACTACACAAATGCATGTCATCTTAAGTCATAATTCTATATTTCAGACTGTGGTGTAATAACAATTAACCTTTTACATAATAGGAAATGTTTAATAAACAAGAGAACAGCCTTCAAAACTACCTTTTTAGCTGGCAGACCACATCTCTCCCAGACACAAGAGGAAAATGAGAAAGTGGTTTCTTGGGGTCATGTTTTTCTAAGCCACAATCTCCCAGTTTACTCAAAGTATATTATATCAGACTCAATATATATTCTTCCAAGGTCTATTTATTTGAGACCAAAACCTATTGGTGTTCTAATCATTAAAAACATGTAATGTGCCAATCACAGCTTGCTGCTATACCGTATTACTTATACTGAAAATCTCCAAAAAATACCAAAGTTACCCACAGAATATGTTTATTTTGCTTGTATTTTATATTCCCCCCTTTTCAGTCTCAAATACTTTCTATAAAAAGTGATTTTATCTTCCACAGTGACAGACATCAGGATAATTCTTTTTAAAGTAACAACTTCCAGAATTCAGTTCCCGTGAGCTATAGTTCTTCCCACAAATGACAGATGACAGATTCTTTGTTGACATTTTTCACCAAAAAGTAAGTTTTCAGTCAGCAGTTATTTTTTCTAAAAGCAAATTCCGTAAGATTTTGCCACTTACCATAATTTATATTATTTATTCCAGCAAATATTTACTGCACATATAATTTATGTCCTCATGGGGAACAAAAACATAGACTTTTAAACAGGGGACACGCTGGATTCAAAGTCTGATTGTACCACTACTGGTTGTGTGGCCTACAGACAAACATTAAACATGCACAATCATCAGTTTCTTCATCTTCAAAATAAGATTATTAATATCTGTCTCATAGGATTCTTAGAAGAAATAACAGAAATAATACATGTAAGTCTCTGGTCACAGGACCTGACATTTAGTACACACTCAGTAAATATTAGTTCCCCTGGTAGCTAGCTACCAGATTCTTCTTTCAACAACACACAAGAGTATATTATCCACCTTTTTTTCCCTTAGGCAGTCCTGTGTGACTAGTTCTGACCATGGAATTGGAAGTGTTAGCTATAGGAGTGGAAGTGTTAGCTAAAACATACAAGAGTAAGAATAAGAGCTCAAATAAGTCTCTTCTGCCACTACGTACAAGGAAACCGTGTGCTCCAGAAAAGGCAACTCTGAGATGGAAGAGTCTCCATCACTCTGGATCCCTGAGTGGTCATCTATAGCAAATCTACTTTCCATCCAACCCATAATAGACATGTGGCCATGAGAAAGAAATATATTTTTATTTATTGTGATAAGCCAGGTAAGTCTGGAGATTGTTCCTAATCACATCATAACCTATCCTGACGAATACAAAAATTGGTACTAGAAGTAGGGAACTACCGTGATAAAAATAATATTCTACAGCATATAAGACAAACTCCCCCACCAAGAACAACTAGAGAAACTGGATGACATAAAAATACAAAAGACACCAAAAAGCTAATAAACCAAGACTTGCAAAGATAAGATCACAGAGAGAAGGGAAATGTATTTTGTTGAGCCCAACATTCTGCACTGCATTTCCCTCAAGGACTTTGTAAGCAGTTTGGGCCGAGAGGCTGTCATTAGCTGGAACAGGGTCAGAAAGCTAAATACTAAGGAGAAAAAGAACGAGGGAAATGTTCTATATCTTGATTGTGGTGGTGGTTATGCAACTGCATACATGGGTCACAACTCATCAAACTGCACATCTTAGAAGGGTGAATTTTACTGTATATAAACTATTCCTCAATAAACATATCTTTTACAAAAGAGTTCTATTGGTTTCTCTAATTATTAGAGAAATGAAAATTAGATGAGATTAACTTTTTTCACCTCTTAAATTGGTAAGAATTTAAATACTGATAATTTCCAAGAGCTTTGCTTTCACAACTGTAAGATTATGGGCAAAGATGAAATCTCATAGACAGTATGAATATCAATCGGTATAAACTCTTTATAAGGCAATTTGGCAAAATGTATCAAAATTTGAAAGATGCATTTCTTTGAACTTGGGATCTTTGTTTTCAGAGGAAAACTGAATGTGTTATTTTGTTTATATAACACTGCATACAGATCAAAGCTGGTGGAACAAGTTATTGGTTAAAGTTATTAAAGAAACTCATACATTGTCTACAAATTCGTGCTTCTCAGTAAGCTACAGGTATTACCCCTGGAGTTCACAGCGCAAAGTAATTTTTTGATGACATTTTACTGAGAATTTAGTAAGGTCTTAAATCCTATGCTTTCCTTGACAGATAATACAGCATTTATATTTTTAATACAGTTGCCACCTAGCTAATGCTTGAAAAAGTGGGGGTTCCCATCACAGGTCAAATTGAAAGCATAAACAATTTAAATATAAAATTGCATATCACCTCTAATATATGTTGATGACTGGGTTTTATGCAGATGACACACTGTGTATTGGCCAGCCAACAAACATTGACACTTAATCTCCATATTTTGAGCATTTGTAATTAGAGCAAAAAACAAAACAAAACAAAATACATTACTTGCAGATAAAATTATCATGAGGCTTTTAAGAGAAAAGTATAAATTAGGAAAATCCCCCTAAGTCACAGATGAAGGTAGCTAAAGTTGTAGAGGAATCTTTGTCCAGAAGTCATATTCCATACTTCCTTATTACCTCATCAAAAATTAAGATTAAATATATTGCTCTTTAATAAAAATCTAATTTGCTTAGATTCTAACATGAACTAATAATGTTTTCCCAAACTGGTTTTCCTACTCAATTCTATCTAGGCTTCAAGTCCATTCTATTAGTTTTTAACATGCATAAATATTAAGTATTTACCATGCTGTCATGATAGGGCCATAGTAGAAATGGAGGATTCAGAGGTAAACAAGAGTCAGACATTGGGCTGCCTGCATTGCAGGCCACGCTGAGGAATGGGAATCTATGGATAATAAGAGAATAATGGCATTAAGCAGGGCAGTTAGAGTTGTACAGTTGACCCTTGAACAAGACGAGTTTCAACTATGCTGTTCCATTTACACTTGGATTTTCTTCCTGAGACAACAAGACCAACCCCTCCTTCTTCTCCTCCTCCTCAGCCTAATCAACATGAAAAAAACAGGCTGAAGACCTTTATGATAATTCAGTTCCACTTAAGGAATAGTAAACATATTTTCTCTTCCTTATGGTTTTCTTAATTACAGTTTTTATCTAGCTTCCTTTATTGTAAGAATACAGTGCGTAATGCATATAACATCCAAAATATGTGTTAATCAATGATTTATGTTATTGATAAGGCTACCAACAACAGTAGCCTATTAGCAGTTAAGTTTTGAGAGAGTCAAAAGTTATATGTAAATTTTAAACTATGTGATCGGTAAACTATGGGGATTGGCACCCCAATCCCCATGTTGCTCAAGAATCAACTGTATTTCCATATTTGAAGAAATCAAATCTCTGCTGGTATGAAGCATGGATCCAAGGAGGTTATGTGAAAAGCAGGAAGATGAGTTAGGAGTTTTTAGTAAAGTACGCATACAAAGCATGAAGAGAACGTACTGCAGAGTCCTGAAAAGGTGAGTGAGAAGGAGAATGGAGGGAGGGCAGGACAGAGTGGCAGTGGCTAAAGGAAGGTGGCAGAGCAAGAAGGAGCCTAGGACTTTGGAGCTGTGACACCATCCAGCCATCACTGTGACCTGGGCAATGCCAGCTGATCCTACTCCCTTTTTGCTCAGCCTGAAGACCGTAGTGGAAGAGTGAAGTTCCTGGACCTGCCCTGGAAAAAGAATATTAGGTAGAGATGAGCTCACTGAAGTTACTTAATTAAAATGTTTAAGATAAAAAGCCACACTGAACCAACCTAGAGCAGCTGCAGTCTAAATTTTCTAATTTCAGAAAGTATGTGGGAAGAAATGATGAGTAATAGTTCTACTAAGGCCTAAATTGCTTCCTGAATAGCCCCGATTTGGCAACATATGAATTGTCCAAAGAAGCCAGTAAATTAACTTTCAGATTTCCCATGACCTATTACAAAAATATACTCAAGTAACTGAGGTTGTTGTATCTGTATACAGAATTATAGTAACCTAGATACCTACTGTGCAATTGTCTCTTAGGAGAGTATAAAATAGCATTACGGTGAAGAAGAATTAATTTTGAGGGTGATTCTGCAATTTCTAGCCTATATAAATCACATGACTTCTCTGCACTTGGACTGGCACATAATGTTAACCATCATGGGAGAAAAGGAAATAGAATGAATGAAAGTAGGACACACAACATCAATGAAGGGTTACTTTTGGTGATGTATTCCATAATGAACTATTTCAGGAAGAACCACAGACAGCATCAGCTCAGGCTCCCAAAAGCTTTAATGTTTTTGAATTTTTCACTATATGTGGTTCCACATTTTGGATTTCACTCAGGCTGCAAACAAACACCTAATCTTTCTCAACACATTCCCAAATGTAATTACATGGTTACTTTAGCTACAACATTCAGATTGATCATAACAGAAATATATCTTGCACCTATACAGTGTACTTCCACCTATACTACTGAATAGTTCACAGGAAAGTCTATCTGATTATATATATAGTAGGCCTTATGCTAGCTTACAACTCAACGGACACAGCAGCTTCCTAGGTAGGTATCTCAGTTTAATCCCATGAACTCTCAAATTTCTATCAGTTTTACAAACTGGTCTCTAGACTTCTTAACTTACATCTAATCTTTGGGCAAACACTTTAACTAAACAGATATATCAAAAAGGACATGAGATGTTAATATCCACGTGTCCATTAGTACACTGACTACTTCACAACCACCAACAATTCCTTCATCTGGGAGCTTGAAGTCTCCTGCCCATAGCTAGTATATCATTCAGAATGTTTTAACAGGGCCTTGAAAAACAAGTGAAATTAAACTTCAATCCTCATAAAAATAATAGTTCTTCAAAACTGCATTTATTTGGATTAAAACATCCCAAAGTTACTCTTTATATTAAAAGCTAGATCTTAAATAAAAGTGAGCATACTATATCCATAGCAGCCAGTCTCCTAATTATGGTATAAGTAAAGTTCCATCTGTGTGGAAAAAAGTTCAAAGCACAAAGTTTTATCTGTGCCAACCTCACATCTGTATCTCAGCTAATACAACCACAGGAGATAAGCAGGTCATGGAGAATCTGCCCACAATCTTCATATCAACAAGCTCTGGAACATCTGCCCCCTCCAGAAATATTTATATCCAGAAGGTATATTTATATCCAGAAGGTATATTTCTGGAGGAGGCAGATGTTCCTGAGCTTGTTGACCCACACCATCCCACTGGGCAACAACTCTGCAATTTCTCCTAAAGTCATGGTTATTCAACTTAACATGTACTTTTACATTTGTATGTTCTTCAAATAAATTGCCTACATTCACACCAGGGATGATATCCCCCAACATTGAGCATATAAGTCTTCTAGACCAATAAGATTATTATGGAGAAAGAAGCTATTCAACACCTGTTTTTCTCATGAGTCACATGAGGCAACAACCTGAGGTCAAAGAAATGGAGAATAATTGAACTCAAAGGCATCTAAGGAATTAAAATTCTACATAGCAAAATCCTTCCATTACAGAAGTACAGCAGGTAAGAAGTTATAATGGACACCTATAGCCCAAGGCCCACATTTTAATCTGAGGGCTATTTATAACTTTTATAACAGGTCTAGATGTATAGATCTTATGCTCTCATAACTCAAAAGATCAAAAGTCCACTCTTGAAACACCAACTATGTGGAAGTACCCCCTTTGAACCATCCAGCCTTCACTTTTCGTGAACCATGTACAATGCCAAGTCATTTTTGAGATCAAAAAACTCAGTATCTTCTCTAAAGAAACAACCAAGGTTTAAGAAACTGTCTTAGGGGAAAAATGTCTACCAATACATTGAATATTGTCCAATTGAAGGTGTTACAAGAAGATGTACACAAAATTTTATGTTGAAAGTCAGCCCACAGACCTGATGATACCTGAGCATATTGTTGTAGGCAGTTAACATTCATCATGTGGAATGCAGTCTGCTATAAGACTTGGTTACCAGCTGCCTCACTGTGTACCCTGAGTCCGATGTCCCATCATACTTAACTCTGTGTCTAATGCTTGGGCTTTCCCAATATTTTTTAAGTCAAGTCACTACAAAATCTTAACAAGAGGAAAAAATAGAATGATCGTTTTTTGAATTTTAAAGCTTTAAGTGAAACAGTGCATACGTAAAGAAAGGAAACAAGATTTAAGTATTAAACTGCTTTGGGCTGCATCAGGCCAGTTGTTTCTGATACTCTCTGCTTTGTCTTTGTCTTCCTCGAAAATGCCTTCCTGCTGTGAAGTTGGCATCTAAAGTCTAAAGACAAAAAGAAAAATGGTACCCTTTCTGTACAACACATGCAATAAAATACCACAAAGCTTTTCTTATTAAACACATCCCTAGAGCCTACTTTCTCACTCATAGTACTTAGAATTAGGCAGAAGAAAGAGCTGGAATGTAGCCAGAGGCAGAAAGCAATGGGGGCTGTCACCCACTGCAATGCTTGCCAGTGGATATTAAAAATAAACAGGATTATTGTAGATAGCCAAGTTTAAAGTCAAAACATTGACTTGAGGCTTTGCATCTTAAGTGGGAAGAAATATGACAAATCCTGGGTAGACTGTCGATATTGCTATGGTTTGAATGTTTGTGTACCCTCCAAAATTCATGTTGAAACTTAACCTACAAGGCAACAGTATTAAGTGGGACCTTTGGGGAAGTAATTAAGTTTATGGGGGCCCCACCCTTGTGAATGGAATTAGTGCCCCTTATAAAAGAGGCTTCAAAATGCTGCCTGGTCCTTGTGCCCTTCTGCTTTCCACCTTCCACCTTTTGAGGACACAGCATTCGCCTCTTCTGCCATGTGGGGATGCAACAGCAGGTGTTATCTTGGAAGTGAAGCTGGCTCTCACCAGAACCAAATCTGCTGGCACCTTGATCTTGGACTTCCCAGCCTCCAGAACTATAAGGAATAGATTTCTGTTCCTATAGCATACCCAGTCTCTGATACTTTGTTATATCACCCTAAACAGCCTAAGATAGGCCCAAAACCTTTATTTGATAAATTTTTTTGGTACAAAGTCCTTGTTTATAGTTTTATCTGTGGTTCTGTGTGAATATTGATAAATACTAATGTTTTTATTTTATTAATGAAACCTAATTCAGATCTCCTGAGTTGGTGATTGTGTGATTTATTTGGGCAACCTATCTTTACAACAGATAAAATTGTTTCTTTCTGTTTAATGTTTTCAAGACTTTTTAAATGTATTATATTTTAGAGACAGGGTCTTACTCTGTCACCTAGGCTGGAGTGCAGTGGTGCCATCATAGCTCAATGCAGCTTGTATCACTTGGGGCTCAACCAATCCTCCCACCTCAGCCTCCCAAATAGCTAGTCTTAGCTAGTCTTAGCTATTTGGGAGGCTGAGGTGGGAGGATTGGCACATGACACCATACTCATCTAATTAGATTTTTTTTTTTTTTTTTTTTTGGTAGAGATGGGCTATCACTGTTTGGCCCAGGCTGATCTCAAACTCCTGATCTCAAGCAATTCCACTGCCTCAGCCTCCCAAAGCACTGGGATTACAGGCATAAGCCACCATGCCCGGCCTCATATTTACAAAAATTTAAAAGTTATTTCTAAAAATTTAAAAAAGAACTACTGAGGACCTGAATGAGACAGTAGCAATAACATTGGAGAGATGAGGATAAATATTTAGAGATATTTAGAAATTTAAAATCAACAATATTTGTAATAGTAGCTATTGGATCATGGTGGAGAGTTTAAAAGAAAAAAAAGCAGGAAACACTACTGATGCCTATGTGTACATCATGTTGCCACCAACCAAATTTGGAGATGTAGAAGACACAGGCAGAAGACAGAAATTTGAAATATCTGTTGGGTGCTATTTTGATAGTAACAATAATAAAAGCAGTTATCATTGTTACCACTGCCAGTTACCTACCATGAGCTAAGTCCTTATTAAGTGTTTTATATGCAGTATTTTATATAAGCCTCATATTTGTCAGCATTTCCATTGTACATATAGGGAAAGTGAAGTACTGAAAAGTTTGGTAATTTGCCCCAGGTCACATTGCTAGTGAGTGAGTGACTGAGCCAACATTTATACCCAGGCAGCCTGGATCTAAATTTCATGTTTCAGATATAACTTAGAGGGCCCAGAACAATCATTTTATACAACAAAAAGAGAAAAGGACAGAACATGATATACTGATGCCAAAATAAAGAGGTCTGGGGAAACTAAAAACATCATCAGAAAGAACTTGTCTAAGAACTATTTTATCTAAACCAGGACTGGTTCCAACCTTGATTGAGATTCATAGGAATTTTTGTCAAGCCTGAATCTCTGTAGTATTCCTTGTCAGGTTGTCTAACCTTGGCCAGGTTGCTCAATCCCAGCCCTTGTTTATTCACATCTGAGATAAGGACACTGTGCTTCATAATCACTAAACTCTCTTTCATTTCTAAACTTCTGATATTCACTAGAAAGAAACTTGCTGAAAATCCTTATGTGAGCAATAATTTGCAAGTTCAGAGAAGGAGCCTCATAGTGCAGTACAGATTTATAACGAGCAAGAAGGCAAAAGGGTTACTGCCCTAAAGGTGGAATGTTCTTATACCAATATTTAGATTGAAGGAAACATAAAACAAAACTTTTCCTCTTTATCATCTGATGTAAGATAATTACATAAGTTAAAATCTTTAAAAGCTCAAGAAATGAATCAAACATTTTAGAAGGAAGCTTATTCTACTAAACCTGAACATTTCTCCAACAAACCAAGCAACCATCCAGGACCTTGAGAGACCCTCACAAGGAAATTAACATGTTCTTCTTTAGGGCCAACTCAAGTTTGTATACTTATAAACCTCTTCTTTGGGCCACAACACTTGCTGATGATAATGTAATCATTTCATGTATTCATCCTCTTAGCTCTAAGTGTCTCAAATCATTTATTTTACCAAAAAAAAAACTATTCCTTCACTCAACGACATATTTTCATACCTGTGAGGAACATCTTACAAAGAAGGGAAAACCACCTTCTTCACATTTACCCTGTGCCTATGACTATTCATATTACAATTAATGATTTATAAAAATGACTTGAGCTTTGGCTATAAAGTTACTCCATGTGATTCTTTAAATCTTAGCTAATTTTAAAGTCCATGTCAAATGATCTCTATAGGCCAACATGGTAATTTATTAATGAATTCTTCTAGGGAGGTTTGTTGTTTTCCTGAGATTAGACAGTCAGCAGGAAACCCATGTGTGTGTTTTTAACACTGCTTAGTAATATCTATGTCAGTGTCTCTACGTACCAGAACATGAGCAACCGGGACAATCCTTTGTCAGATGCTTCTGAGGACCTCCAGGATATAGAGAAATTCATTGTAGTGTTACCGTCATATTAATTGCCAAGAGAGCAGTAAAAAAGTTGAAAAGCTTTATTTGAAAGAATCATTTCAAAAAGCCATTTGTTCCAGATTAAACACAAAGGATATTTTTAATAAACACTTAGCTGCTCATTAATAATAAAAACAAAGGATGCTGTTTGTTCTTATTGTTTATGATATTCTTTCATGATTTCTCTGTGGCACTGTAATGGTGGTGGCTTTCGAACAGATGAATATGAGAAGCAAATTCTCTGAAATAAATTTCAGTTTTGTATCTCTTTGTAACAGAAATTTTAGTCTTCAATTCGTGTCTTTTTGTAAGCTCAAAGAAACACATGTGTATTATATTCATGTAAGAAACTACATTGCAATAATATTTGAGTCCCTCTTGATGTTTAATAAATGTCAGTACAAAAAGCACAGCTTTTATGGGAAAAAAGCATCTTTTTTTGCTGTATGGGCTGAGTCCTTAAGGTTCATTAAAATACATAGAAAGTTCTGTCATTTTCTTCCAATATAAGGTTTCACTATGATTGGCATGAGAATGGCTTAGCATATAAAATGAGAGGTCTCATGGAATGTCAGGACTAGATAAGGTTCAAAAGTCACTCACCCAAAATTTTCAAATTGCCCCTGGTTGAGCACCACTGGCCTATGTGGATAATTTTGGTATCTTGACACAGGACACCCTATTCAAGATACTGAAGAGTGAGAACACAACTCTTCTGTTTCTCCATGAAAGGTATAAAGAAAGAAAAGAAAAATACATACTCTCCCTTAATCTTGAGAAAACTTACCACATAGAATTATGTAGGAATAATCACCCTTAAAGCTTCCTTCAAACTCCCTGAATAATAAACATCATAAACTGTTTTACGATGAAGTTGAATAAGCAGTGACAATACTGGAATGTCTCACATTCTTACACTGAAATAAATTTTGAAATACTAATGATGAAAGCACGATTATCATCACACTGTTACAGTTCATTTTAACATTTAAGTTCCTCAGATACATGGAGTCTGGTATTATCCATATATCTATAAGGCAAAATTAATAAATATTTAAGAAAGAAGATGAGAATACAAAACTAATGTACTGAGAATTCTAGTTAAGATGTCTTATGATTTCAAGATACAAAGACCCATGAAGCCTAGCTTAAGTAAAAAGGAGAATATGGGAAAAAGATAAAGGGATATATCACAGACCCCAAAGGCAAAAAGTGGGGTACAACTCCATAGTGTACTAGAATTATAATAAAGTGGAAAGTTATGAGAAATTCAGACACAAACCTCCTTTCCTCTGGAACTACATGAACTCTCTTCCCTACTTCTATTTGTGTACCTATTTCATTCCTCTCTATATAAGTGAACTGACTAATTGTGTAGATATGGGGTCAGAAATAGTTACTCAGGTACTAAAACATGTCCTCCCTACTCCAGTGCCTCCAATCAATTATCAGAATCCTGTGTCACAATATGCAAATTTTCAGAGAGAAAGTCTAATATGGCCAGTTTAAGCCAACTGTCCATTGATAGTTCAAATACTTATAGCCAGCCATATAGTATGGTAATATCGTATAGAAATGGACACAAATGGATATCACTCTCAATACACCGGAAAGTTCTCAGAGAAAAAAACAGCATAAGCTAAAAAAAAGATAGAAGACAAAACATCAAACTGCTTAGGGTGCTAACTCTAGCACAACATGAATTTCAAGGCTGTCCCTGTCAGTTACTATGTGACCTTGGACAAGTCAGTTAGTCCTCTCTGTGTCACAATTTCCACATCGGTAAAACAAAAATAATCAGAGTACTTATTTCTTAGTGCTGTTTTTTGCATAAATCATATATAATACTGAGCACAGTGAAAATGGTAAATGTTCAATGAATGTTGTCTATTACTAAAACCATTATACCAAGTGTAGTAGGTAAAATCAGACCCTCTTTCCCCAAATATGACAATGTCTTAACACCCAGAATCTGTAAATGTTAGTTAGGTTACATGGCAAAGGGCAATTAAGGTTGGAGATGGAATTAAGATTACTAGTGAGTTTACATTAAATAATCCTGGATTATGTGGGTGAGTCCTTAAGAGTAGAACAGGAACTCAGAAGAGAGGGACAGAGATATGACCCTGGAAGTAAGGTCAGAGAAATGCTACATTGTTGGCTTTGAAGACGGAAAAACAGGAGCTATGAGCCAAGGAATATGAGCAACCTCTAAGAAGTGTCAACAGCAAAGAAACAGACCCTACCCAGAGCCTACAGAAAGGAATGTAGCCCGGTCAATGGCTTGATTTGAGCTCACTGAGTCCTAGGGCAGACTTTTGACCTACAGAATTGTAACATAATAATTTGTTGTTATTTAAGCTGATAAATTTGTGGTAACTTGTTATGACAGCAACGGAAAACTAATAAACTGAGATTTTTAAATCTTACTCAAATGTTGTTCAATGATCACCACAATTATAAAATTTCAAGTAAAAATAATTCATAACAATAATAATTCCTGATGTGTTAAAAAAAAAAAAAAAAAAAAGTCAGGCACAGTGGCTCACACCTGTAATCCCAGTGCTTTGGAAGGGCAAGGTGGGAGGATTGCCTGAGGCCAAGAGTTCAAGACCAGCCTGGGTGTATTAGTTCCTTTTCATGCTGCTTATAAAGACATACCTGAGGCTGGGAAGAAAAAGAGGTTTAATGGACTTATAGTTCCATACGGCTGGGGAGGCCTCATAATCATGACAGAAGACAAGGAGAAGCAAGTCACATCTTACATGAATGGCAGCAGGCAAAGAAAGAGAGAACTTTTTCAGGGGGACCCCTTTTTTTAAAACCATCAGATCTTGTGAGACTTATTCACTTGTCATGAGACCAGCACAGGAAAGACCTACCCATGATTCAATTACCTCCTACCAGGTCCCTCCCACAACATGTGGGAATTCAAGATAAGATTCTGGTGGGGGCACAGTCAAGTCATATCACTGGGCAACGTAGAAAGAACTCATTTCTACAAAAAGAAAATGAAAATACATATTTTAACAGGTGTGATGTCACACAACCATAGATCCAGCTACTCAAGAGGCTGAGGCAGAAAAATCGCTTGAGCCCAGGCATTCATGGCTTCAATGAGCTATTACTGCCTGTGCATTCCAGCCTGGTGGCAGAGTGAGACCCTGTCTCTAAAAAAAATAATAAAAATAAAAATAAAATTGTAACCTTACCAAGGCAAGCTCTCACAAAACTAGCCATGAGGTTTGTTTCTCTTCAGTGCTCACCCCTCCAATTTCCACTGGTTGCTTCCCTTCCTTTTCAGTACCTCACTCAGCACACACTATCTTCCCACTGCACCCTGGCTTTTTCCCCTTCTTAACCCTACTAGATGAGAAGGGACACCTGTCCTTGGGACTATTTCAATTTCCTAGTCCAACACACTCCCTCTATACCTAATTCCTTCAGAACCATGTTTATATCTAATATATAGTTAACCAACCAATCCATACACCCGTATTCCTGAATATTCTGCATTTAACAGCATTTTCCAGAGGAAACAGTCTTACAAGAAAGCAATAATGATCAATGCACAAACATAAGGAGTGCCATCACCATCAATATGAAGAGTATTCCGCAGGACTGTGCAGTGTACACACAGCTAGATGTGGTTTCCCTGCAAATGAGGCATAGCGGGAGTCTGTCCATGACAACAGGGAAACAATTTGAGTTGCCAGCAGTCATTTTGGCCTTCACCCAATGAAATGGCCATGGCAGCCACTCTGTCTGCATACAAGGCTGGATTGAAGAGTTAGTCAGCGGTGAGTTGTGCCTAAAGAGCTCACTGACACAGAACCACTGAGAGAGTGTGCATCCTCTCCTGGCAGGTCTTCTGAGGCCTTGAGATAATCATAGGTAAGACAGAAAGCTTCTTCCTGAAGCCATAGATGTTCCATTATTATCCTGAATAGCAACCAAAACACTTCTTGAAAATACTAAACTACTAACACAGCTTTAAAAAAAGAAAAGGGAAAGAATCAACCTGCATGAGGACAAAAACAAAGATTGTCTATTTTTTCCAGACTAAAAAATAAAGCCTAGAAAGGAAATTTTCAAAAAAATGAATAAACAAACCAATTTCTCAGGAGAATTAGCTCTTTTAGTGCCAATAAATTGCACTTAGCTCATTCTATAAATAAATTTGTGTAAGACAATAGACTTTTTACATGTACAAAGAATCTCATTATTTCTTTTCAAAAGACATTTAGAAAGCACAATATTCAAAGAATAATAGGAAAAAAAACCAGTAACATAAATTTCAACACAGATGAAAACAAAACTGTTAGTTCTGATCTCTTTCAAGATACTAGCCAAAATATTACCATCATCTGAGAAGCCAGTCTTATAGGATCGACAGATCCTTTCAATTTATTAAAACTAGGAAAAATATATTAGCTTTAGAACCCAATAAGAGAGCCACATAGCATATCTGCGGTATTTAACAAAGAGTGCTTACACACCAACATTGAGATATCAGGTAAGTATCCAAGATCCAAAGGAAACAGTGAGACCCTCCAAGGCAAGAGTAACAAGAAATAACAGTAACATTAGTGATGAAAATAAAAATTAATACAAAGTAAAAAACATGAGTGCCTTAGCTTGATTCAGAAACTGTAGGAGCAGGGTGGAACTAAAGAAGATTTAAGGGGCTCATAATCTGCAGTGAGGCAGTAGCAGGTGATAGTTTGCCTTCTCAGAGTAACCAGGGCAAAGAGTGACATCTGAGATGGAGAATAAAGTCAGGCTCGTAGCCGAAATCCAGGACATGAGGGGGGGCTTCCCACCTCCTGAGGGGGGCCTCGAATCAACTCTTGCTTAAGAAATTAATTTAAATAAATACAAAAGGCCTATATAGGACAAACACAGCCTTGTTAGCAAGAATAAATTAAGCCACTCAGTAGATCTGCAATATCTTTAATATCAGCTAGGGCAGGGATACAAAATGTCATAGAAAAGCCTGGTTTCCAAGCTGGTGGCTTGAAGATGCCAGTGAGGGAAAAGGCAAGACTCTTAGACAGAGAGAGTACACAGGAAAGAAGGAGGGAGAGAGAGCAAAAAATAATAATAATAATAATAATAATAATAACAACAAAATCTGCCTTAAGATGAGACTGCCTAATCTCAGGAAGATGCACTATTTTAGCTAGTACTAAAAAGCTGACAATATCAGCAACTTAAATGTAAATTTGCCCCAGATGAAATCAATGTCTAAAATTAAAGTATCACAAAGACTTTGAAATAGAATAAATTAAGAAATAATATATTAAATCAGAAGAAATTATCATTAATATAAAATATTACAATGCAGAAATAAATCTAGCCCATAAACAAACAGATAATTAAGATAATTGGTAAAAGAGAGAGAGAGGAAAAAATAACTGCACCCCAGAAATAAAATAGATATGCTTTGAAAGACTACACGAGACTCTTACAAATATTGAATATGTAAAAGGTCACAAACGAAATCTCAATGGGTTTTAAAAGGAAAATGATGTATGGTGTTATCATCTACAACCTTCTGATCTTTGACAAACCTGATGCAAACAAGCAATGGGGAAAGGATTCCCTGTTTAATAAATGGTGTTGGGAAAACTGGCTAGCCATATGCAGAAAACTGAAACGGGACCCCTTCCTTACAACTTATACAAAAATTAACTCAAGACAGATTAAAGACTTAAACGTAAAAGAGAAAACCATAAAAATCCTAGAAGAAAACATAGGCAATACCATTCAGGACACAGGCATGGACAAACATTTCATGTCTAAAACACCAAAAGCAATGGCAACAAAAGCCAAAATTGACAAATGGGATCTAATTAAAATAAAGAGCTTCCACATAGCAAAAGGAACTGTCATCAGAGTGAACAGACAACCTACAGAATGGGAGAAAATTTTTGCTATCTATCCATGTGACAAAGGGCTAATATCGAGAATCTACAAAGAACTTAAACACATTTGCAAGAAAAAAACAAACAACCCCATCAAAAAGTGGGCAAAGGATATGAACAAACACTTCTCAAAAGAAGACATTTATGGAGCCAATAAACATATGATAAAAAGCTCATCTTCACTGGTCATTAGAGAAATGCAGATCAAAACCACAATGAGATACAATCTCATGCCAGTTAGAATGGTGATCATTAAAAAGTCAGGAAACAACAGATGCTGGAGAGGATGTGGAGAAACAGGAACACTTTTACACTATTGGTTGAAGTGTAAATTAGTTCAAACATTGTGGAAGACAGTGTGGAGATTCCTGAAGGATCTACAACTAGAAATACCATTTGACCCAGCAACCCCATTACTGGATATACACCCAAAGGATTATAAATCATTCTACAATAAAGACACATGCACACATATGTTTATTGAGGCACTATTCACAATAACAAAGACTTGAAACCAACCCAAATGTCCATCAATGATAGACTGGATAAAGAAAATGTGGCACATATACACCATGGAATACTATGCAGCCATAAAAAAGGATGAGTTCAGGTCCTTTGCAGGGACATGGGTGAAGCTGGAAACCATCATATTCAGCAAACTATCACAAGAACAGAAAACCAAATACCACATGTTCTCATTAATAAATGGGAGTTGAACTATGAGAACACATGGACACAGGGAGGAGAACATCACACCCCGGGGCCTGTTGGGGGTTGGGAGGCAGGGGGAGGGATAGCATTAAGAGAAATACCTAATGAAGGTGATAGGTTGATGGGTGCAGCAAACCACCACGGCACGTGTATACCTATGTAACAAAACTGCACGTTCTGCACATGTACCCCAGAACTTCAAGTATAATAATAATAAAAAAAGAAATACTGAAAAAATCAAAAATAAATAAAATACATAAAATGAAAATAAGTATAATATCGACCACATTATCTTACTAAAATACAATTAAATTAGAAATCAGCAATAAGAAAATTTAAACAAAGACAGCTGAAAATTTTTAAACTCAATCACAATGTACTATAGAAAATAATAAAATTCTGCATGTCAATACTTGTGAGTTACAGTTCCTAGAAATATTTGTTTCTGCTTAGAATGTAGAATATTTCAAAAGACCATCACCTCTACTCAACAATCAAAACAAACTGGATAAGTTACAAAAATCAGAGTTGTTTTAAACTTTTCAGATTGCTGAAGATTCACCCACAATAAAAATAATCTAAACGAAATAAATTCCAGAAACATGGCCCCGGGTAGAAGAGAAGAGACCTATAGCTGTTATCATCCAAAGGGTCAGCAGAAAGAAGAGGAATTTCCCTTAGTTGGGGATCAAGAGAAACCAGATGAGCTTTTAACAGATTTTTAACAGTCACTTATGTGCTAGTATGATCGATAGGAATAACCAGGAGGTAAATCAAGCCCAGGAATGAGTCTTCACCCACTGACCTTCACTGAGTGCCTGGGGTAGAGATGAAGGATGGAGCCAGACAGTACTGCTGAGAGAGAACCCTCGGAGGCACACTGGGCCTTCTCCCAGTACAAGGAGGTCGCTCCTGTAGGCTGAGGTTGAACAGAAACGCTGCTAGATCTCTCTCGAGGTACATGGAGCCCTCTCAAAATGCATGGCAACCCACAGAGTGTGTGCAGGGCAGGAGAACTGAAAAAATCTGCTCAAACAGAAGCAGGTTTTCTCTGAGTATAAGGCAGCAGCTGCTACCAGCTGGGGGTAGAGCAAGAAAGTAGAGGGAGATCACCCCGTGGCATCACAGGCCTTCCGCAAGTGAACTTCAGGGGTCCTCGAAAGGCTGGGGGCAAGGAAGTGTGGGAGAGAAAGAGAGATTTCCAGAGGCATAGACAAAAGGGCTGGAGAGGAGGGATTACTCCCTAACAACCCAAGAAACTGGCAGACAACATAGAGGGCAAAGAAACGTCCACAGCTCAGCAAGCCAGCACCTGGACTGTATAACGAAAAGACACGGAATTCCACAGTTTCACAAGTACTCAGATCCCAATCTGAAGGGGAAGTACTGTCCTCACCTTCAAACTATTTAAAAACAGTGGTAAACTGAACTAAATTAAAACTGTAACGAAGCCCAGATCCAGCTGAACTATAGATAGGATTAGTTCAGCCCCTACACTAGTAGCCTGGCAGAAGGATTGCACCTTATTCCAGAAGTAAATATTATTTACTTCTGACTCTCCTGATTTTGCCTACAATCTGGCATAAAATCAAAAGAAATGAAATATACGTGGAAGTAAGAAAATGTTAACCCTAGTTTAAAAGATAGAAGTCAATAGATGCAAACTCAAATATAGCACAGATATTAGAATTATAAGACTGAGGCTTTAAAATCACTGTAATAAATATGTGTACAACATACTGGGGTTTCAGCAGCAATATCAAAATCATCTTTTAAAAGGCAAAAAAAAAAGAGTTACTAGGAGCACAATATGTTAAAAATGAAGAATCCATCAAATGTACTTATTAGCACATTGGATGCAGTAGAAAAAAGGATAATAGAATTTGAACACAGTCAATAGAATTATCAAAACTGAAATGCAAACAGAAAATTGAGCAAAAAAATTGAACAAAGCATCCAAGATCTCTAGAACAGTATCAAATGATCTTACATTCTGTAATTAGCATTCCAGAAGGAAGAGAAGAAATGAGACAGATGAAAATGCTCAGAGTTAATTGCCAAGAATGTCCCAAAATGTATTGATATCAACGCATGAATTCAAGAAGCTCTGAAAACTCCAAGCAGAATGAACACAAAGAAAACCACATTTAAGCATATCACACTCAAATTGCTGAAAACCATAAAGAAAGAAAAAAAATCTTAAAAGCAGTCAAATGGAAAACAAATCAGATTATGTAGAGTTTTTTTAATGGCTAAAAATATATCTGACTTCTCATTAGATACAATGGATGCTAGAAGTTAAGATATGACATTTTTAACATCCTGAAAAGGAAAAAAAAACCTTTCACACTAGAATCTTCTATTTAGTGATTTTATTCTTTAAAAATGAAAGTGAAATAAAGACACTTTCTGGCTGATGAAAGCATAGTTTTCCTTCAGTAAACATTATAAAAAATGCTAAAATAAGTAAATTGTGTTAAAATGATCAGATGTTCCTTAGATCATCTGGGAAGATAAAATGTTCCTTAGAACATTTGGGAAGAAAGTAAAATCATGAATTAATAATAGCCTTTGATAAGCTAAGAATTTACATTATGACATATAGTGTAATCACTAAGACTAGAATAAAAAAGTATAAAACCTCCCAAATGTTAAAGGGAAAATGAAATAATGAAAAAACACTGACTTCAAAACAAAGGAAAAAGGAAAATAAAGGACAAGAACAATCTAAACAAAGCAGTAGAGTGGTATATTTAAATTCTAACATATCAGTAATCATTTTACATACAAATCAACTTAATAATCCAAGTAAAACATAAAATGAAAAATTAGATAACAAAGAACAAAACCCTAATACATGTGGTCTGAGATAGATTTGCCTAAAACAAGAAAAGTTGAAAATAAAGGATGAAAATGTATATTCCATCCCCAAGCTACCAAGAAGAAAGTTGGAAAATCTGTATTATCAGACAAAGTAGACTTTAATAAGTATTACTAGAGATGAAAGGCGACACTACACAGTAACAAAATATTGAAATACTTTCTGCATTCACCCCAACTTGAAACTACTTACTGAATTGCTTTGAAATCCATTTACGGCTTGGAGCTCTCCCAAGGACAGCCTTCCCCATTTCAAAAACTTGAACAAAAGTTCCACAATAACATCAAATATCCACCTAGTGTTCATATTTCTCTAAATACTCAAAATTATTTTAAAAAATTGGCTTATTTTGATGGGAACCAAAGTCCCCAATTTGGCTGATTGTGGTATCTCTAAACTGCCTTCAATATATTGCTTCCTTTTTCTCTTTACTTTTCTACTTTCATTTTATTTATTAAGGATACAAGGCTGTTTGTTCTATAGAAATCCCTCATTCTAGATATTGCTGATTGCCATGATGCTGTGTAACATATTCCTCTGTCCTGAATTTCCTGTAAACCTTTGATTTAATTTGAAAGCTTATATGAATCAGGTTAAAATTTTTGGCGAGAATATTTCATACTAAGAACACGTGCACACAGGGGAATCAACTCATACTAGTAGGGGCCTGTCAGAGGGCAGGGGTTGGAGGGAGAGAGAGGATCAGGAAGAACAGCTAATGGGTGCTGGGCTTAATACCTGGGTGATGGGATGATTTGTGCAGCAAACCACCATGGCACACGTTTACCCATGGAACACACCTGCACATCCTGCACATGTACCCCAGAACTTAAAACAGAAGTTGGAAATAAAATAAAAAAGAATCTTTCATAGATGATTATATGAATTATACCAGGAAAACCACATTATATTACCTGATTGGTCTCTTTGTGATAGTATCAGGGCTGATGATCTTTGTCAAGGTCCATTATTTCATTAGGAGGTTGTAAAATGGTGATATTTTAATAACATTTGATGCTAGTTTTGTCCCAATTGCACAAATAAATTGCCTGTCTATGGGGTACTGATTAGAATACATCAAAGTATTATGTTCCTAAAAGGAATGCTGTATATCCCCCTTCTCAGTTAATTTGAATGTTTAGTGTGTTACTGGAGGGTCTCCTAAATCCTGAAGACATGGCAAAGAACAAGAGTCTAAGGTTCCTGCTATCATGATCATGGCACTCTAATGAGGAAAAAAGACAATAAATCAGAAAATAAATAAACAAGCTAATTTCTGATTATCTTAAGCAGAGTGAGAAAAATTGACTAGGTGAAGTGAGAGTGACCAACACAAGAGTGGTCTTTAAGAAAAGTGGTCCTGTCTTCTCTACTATCTTCTCTGACAATGTACTAATCTCCAAAAGCCTGTATGTAAGACTACGGGTACAGAATGGAAAATATGCTCTTGGTACAGAAAGAAGCCATATAAAAATGAAGTGATCAGTTCAGTTACAGAATTAAAAAAAGGAAGAAGTTTTCTTAATACCTTATCTCTTAAATTTTTCCTGATATTTATTATCAGAACATTTTTTAAGAATAGTAATTTTCTAATTCATCTTTTTGAAACTCCTGAATCCATCCTGATTTTAAAATACTGAAATGTACAGAAGTGATGGTTTGGTCAATTACAATCTTCCCATCTGGGTAATTAGAGCAAAGTACTTTGAAAAATTGAGAATAAGCTTTTAAAAATCAAATTTATTTTTTTTCTTATGGACAAATCTTGTGATAAGAGACTAACTCCCAAAAGAGGAAATGTTGTCTTCCTTATTCTCCCTACTTTCTGTTTGTTTGTTTGAGACGGAGTCTCACTCTTGCCCAGGCTGGAGTGCAATGGTGCGATCTTGGCTCACTGCAACCTCCACCTCCTAGGTTCAAATGATTCTCCTGCCTCAGCCTCCTAAATAGCTCAGATTGCAGGCGCCCACCATCACACTCAGCTAATTTTTTTGTATATTTAGTAGAGATGGGGTTTCACCATGCTGGCCAGGCTGGTCTCGAACTCCTGACCTCAGGTGATCCACCAGCCTCGGCCTCCCAAAGTGCTGGGATTATAGGCATGAGCCACCAGGCCCGGCTCTTCTCCCTACTTTATCTGTCTCAATGAATCCCATTTCCTTCAAGGATCCATTCTTAGAAAATAGGAGAGGAAACAAAAAAAGGCATGGTTGGAAGGTTCTGGGACTTAAGATGCATGCCATGTCCTCTACTTGAAAAGGAATGGGAAAATGTCCCTCTGTCTTTTCGCTTCATGCTCCATGGGTAATTTTGGAAGAAGATACTTCTCTTTTCATGCTCGGAAGATAGAATTCCTCAGTTACTGCCAGATTAAAGATTAAAATTATCTGTTTATTTTGAGTTTATATAAGAAGAGTCTAGGTTAGGGCATAGATTTTAGCATCAAAGTCCTGGTTCAAATTCCTTATGTTCTGCGTAAGCTTGTGTGTGACCTCAGACAAGTCATTCAATCCCCTTAATCTGTTTCATCATCTATGAAATGGAGGGGACACTTAAGTCTCATACTTGGGTTTCTTCTGAGAATTAAATGTAAAGCAGGCAGAACAGTGCCGGGCACATCTGGGAGCTATTACTTTTACCATCCCAGGATGACAAGGACCACACCCACTCCCCTGAGGAGGAAGTGCTGTTGACTACACAGAACTTCTGGACTACACTTTCCAGAATTCCAAAAGCTATAAGGAAGTACTTCCAACTATGGGAAGTAGTGAAGGGATTTCATCCAGCCTTTTCTATATAAGTCACATAAATCATAACACAGAATTTCAATTTTTAAAAACTCTTTTCATAAAAATCAAAGTAATTTCATCAGAAACACCTAAGATTTATATACAAAATGGTATGTGGAGGGGGTCTAATAAGGACTGGGAATTCTGTTTTCTGTCTTTCTTACCAGAGAACAAAATACTGATTGATTCTCATTTTACTGATACTAAAACTTTTCCTACAGTATATTGTATTGAGAGACGTGCTTAAAACTCATCATCAGCTTGATTTCCTTCCTCCTTGACATAGTTTAATACAATTTGTTCAAGTCACATGCAGAATTTGAGCCCTCAAATTCACACTTAAATCTCACAGCACCAGAAGGAGCCAGAGATAAAACTGAAGTGTTTTCGTGTTATCAAGATTCCACTGAAGAGGAAACAGAGCACAAAGATGGAAAGAAAACATTCATGTGCTTCAGTAAAGGTTATTCCTGCTGAAGAGGTGAGATGTATTTCCTGCTTCAATGAGTCAGATAAAATTCACCATTCTTAATGGAGATGAACTGGCTTGAAAAATATTTGCTTAAACAAACCATGTCCTTGCATGGTCCTTTGCAGCTTTCTTTTAAATAACATTCCTCTTAGATGCAAAGTTCAGCATCCATATTCAGTCCAATTGTCAGACCTTTATAGAAAGATTATATAACTGCCTGTGGTAAGAGAGAAAATTTGGAATATTCCACATTGACCTGCCACCCTTTCTAGGCTATGTCAAAATAAACATATAGAATGCAAAGGCTACACACCTTAGGTAACATGTGTGAGAAAATTGAATTTAATTCTATCAAAGGAATAGAAAAACTTTTTATAAGCATGCAATGAATAAGAGGCGTGTAAAGGAGGGGGATTTACTATCCTAATTTGTATAAGATGTCTTTGAGACACAGAGACATAACATTGACCACATTTCTGTAACATAAGGGAATGCATGAAATAGAATTAAGTTTTCTCAATCTATAGTCTTCTAATATTCACTCTGGATCATAGAACCTGGAAAGCTCAAGCTCTCATTTTCAGGTGCAGTCTAGCATTTTGTAAAGATTAGACCATGATTAGTACTATCATTTACAAAATACAATTTTGGAATATGCATGTAGACATATACACAAAATATCTGTGGTTGTCTCTGAATGGGAAAATATCAAATATACCAAAAAGAGAACTGAATTTTATTTGCACTCAAGTATCTGATCAGTTGACTTTAACTCTGAACCCTAATTATACTTTTCTTTAAAATTAAGCATGCTCTTCAACAACTAATGGGTCAATAGGAATATTAAAAATTTTCTTAAGACAAATGAGAATGGAAAAATATCATATCAAAACCTATAGGACACAGCAAAAGCAGTTCTTAGAGGAATGTTCATAGCAATAAATGCCTATATCACAAAAGAAAAGTTTCTAATAACCTAACAATGTACCTCAAGAATCTAGACAAACAAAAACAAACTAACCCAAAATTGGTAGAAGAAAGGAAATAATAAAGCTCAGAGCAGAAATAAATGAAATAGAGACTTAAAAAATTCAAAAGAATCAACAAAAGAGTTGTTTGTTTGAAAATATAAACAAAATTGACAAACCTTTAGCTAGACTAAGAAAAAAAGAGAAAATACAGGTCGGGCACAGTGGCTTACGCCTGTAATCCCAGCACTTTGGGAGGCCGAGGCAGGTGGATCACGAGGTCAGAAGAGTGAAACCATCCTGGCTAACATGGTGAAATCCCGTCTCTACTAAAAATACAAAAAAAAAAAAAAATTAGCTAGGCATGGTGGCAGGCACCTGTAGTCCCAGCTACTCGGGAGGCTGAGGCAGGAGAATGGCCTGAACCCGGGAGGCGGAGCTTGCAGTGAGCAGAGATCATGCCACTGCACTCCAGCCCAGGCAACAGAGCAAGACTCCATCACAAAAAAAAAAAAAAAAAAAAAAAAAGGAGAGAGAAAATACAAAATCAGATATGAAAAAAGAAACATTACAACTGATAGCACAAAAATACAAGCATCATAAGAGACTATTATGAACAACTATATGCCAACAAATTTGAGAACATAGAAGAAATAAATAATTTACTGGACACATACAACCTACCAAGATTAAATTATAAAGAAATATAAAATCTGAACAGGCCAGTAACAAGTGAGGAAATTGAAAAGGCAATACAAAGTCTTCCATCAAAGAAAATCTCTGGACCTGATGGTTTCAGTGCAAAATTCTACCAAACATTTAAAGAACAAACATCAATTCTCCTCAAACAGTTCCAGAAAATTGAGGAGGAGGGAGTACTTCTAAACTCATTTTATGAGGCCAGCATTACCCTGTTTCCAAAACCAGACAAGAACACAGCAAAAAAATAAAACTACAGGTAGTGAACATAGATTTAAAAATTCTCAACAAGATACTAGCAAACCAAATCCAACAGCACACTAAAAAGATCATTCACCACGATCAAGTGGAATTCATCCCAGAGATACAAGAATGATGTAGCATATGCAGATCAACAAATTGTGTAATAATATATCACATTAACAAAAGGAAAGATAAAAACCATATGATCATTTCAATAGATACAGAAAAAGCACTTGACAAAAGTCAATATACCTTTATGATATAACTCTCAAAAAGTGCTTACAGATGGTATGTATCTCAACACAATAAAGGCCATTTATGACAACTCCACAGCTAACATCATAGTGAACAAGAAACAAGACAAGGATCCCCTCTTTCACTACTCTGTTGAACAAAGTCCTGGAAGTCTTAGCCAGGGCAATTAGACAACAGAAAGAAATAAAAAGTATCGAAATTGGAAAGGAGGAAGTCAAATTGTTCCTGTTTGTAGAAATGGCATGACCTTATATATAGAAATCCCTAAAGACTTCACCAAAAATACTGTTAAAACTAATAAACAAATTCAGTAAAGTTGTAGCATACAAAGTTAACATGCAAAAATCAGTAGCATTTCTCTACGCTAATAGTGACCTACCTGAAAAAGAAATCAAGAAAACAATTAAATTCACAATAGCTACGAATGCATACAAATAACATACCTAGGAATAAACTTAACCAAGGAGGTAAAAGATCTCTATGCTGAAAACTATAAAACTTTGATAAAACAATTAAAGAGGATATGAATAAATGAAGAGACATTCCATGTTCATGGGTTGAAAGAATTAATCTTGTTAAAATGACCACACTACCCAAAGCAATCTACAGATTCAATGCAATTTCTATCGACATACCAATGACATTCTTCACAGAAATAGAAAAAACAATCCTAAAACTCATATGATACAACAAATATCCTGGATAGCCAAAGAAATCCTGAACAAAAATAACAAAGCTGGAGACATCACACTGCCTGACTTCAAAATATACTACAAAGCTATAGTAATCAATGCAGCATGGTACTGGCATAAAAACAGACACATAGAGCAATGGAACAGAATAGAGAGCTCAGAAATAAATTCACACACCTACAGGCAACTGATTTTCAACAAATGTGCCAAGAACACACATTGGGAAAAATACAATGTCTTCCATAAGTGGAGCTGAAAAAATTGGATATCCACATACAGAAGAATGAGACCAGACCCCTATCTACCTCTCATCATACACAAAAATCTACTCAAAATGGATTAAATATTTAAATCTAAAATTTGAAACTATAAAACTACTAAAAAAAAACAGAAAACAACATTGGGCTGGGCAAGGATTTAAAATAAGACCTTAAAGACACAGACAACAAAAGCAAAAATAGACAAATGGGGTTACATAAAACTAAAAAGATTTTGCACCACAAAGGAAATTATTAACACAGTGAAGAGACAACCTACAGAATGGAAAAAAAACATTTACAAGGTATACATCTGACAAGGGGTTAATATCCAGAATATATAAGAAATTTAACATCAAAAAAAAAAAGTAGCCCAATTTAAAAATGGGTAAAAATCTTAATAGACAGTTCTCAAAAATAGACCTACAAATAGCCAACTGCTATATGAAAATGTGCTCAGCATCACCAATCATCAGGACAATAAGATGAGATACCACATTACTCAAGTTACAATGGCTATTAGCCAAAAAACAAAATATAACAAGTGTTGGTAGGGATGTGGAGAAAAGGGAACACATACACTGTCAATGGGATTGTAAACCATCACAGCCATTACAGAAAGCAGTATGGCTCAAAAAATTAAAAATAGAACTACCATATGATCCAGCAATCCCACTACAGTGTATATACCCAAAGGAAATGAAATCAGTATGTCAAGAAGATATTTGCATTCCCATGTTTATTGCAGCACTACTGATAAGAACCAAGATACGAATCAACCTAAGTGTACATTAACAGATGACTAAATTTTAAAAATGTGGTAAAGCAAAAGAAACTGTCATCAGAGCAAATGGACAACCTACAGAATGGGAGAAAATTTTTGCAATCTATCCATCTGACAAAATTATAATATCCAGAATTTTCAAGGAACTTAAATTTACAAGAAAAAAACAAAACCCCATTAAAAAGTGAGCAAAGGACATGAACGGAAACTTGTCAAAAGAAGACATTTATGTGGCCAACAAACATGAAAAAAAGCTCAACATTACTCATCATTAGAGAAATGCAAATCAAAATCACAATGAGATACCATCTTACGCCAGTCAGAATGATGATTAGTTAAAAGTCAAGAAACAACAGATGCTGGCGAGGCTGCAGAGAAAGAGGAATGATTTTACTCTGTTGATGAGAACGTAAATTAGTTCAATCATTGTGGAAGACAGTGGGAATTTTTCAAGGATCTAGAACCAGAAATACCATTTGATCCAGCAATCCAATTACTGGGTATATACCCAAAGGAATATAAATCATTCTGTTATAAAGATGATACACATGTATGTTTATTGCAGCACTATTCACAATAGCAAAGACATGTGACATGGAATCAACCCAAATGTCCATCAATGATAGACTGGATAAAGAAAATGTGGTACATATACTCCGTGGAATATTATGCAGCCATAAATAGGAATGAGGTCATGTCCTTAGCAGGGACATGGATGAAGCTGCAAGTCATCATCCTCAGCAAACTAACACAGGAACAGAAAACCAAACACTGCATGTTCTCACTCATAAGTGGGAGGTGAACAATGAGAACACATGGACACAGGGAAGGGAACAAAACACACACTGGGGCCTGTCGGTCGGGGGAGGGGAGGGAGAGCATCAGGACAAATAGCTGATACATAAGGGCTTAATACCTAAGTGATGGCTTAATAGGTGCAGCAAACCACCATGGCGCATGTTTACCTATGTAACAAACCTGCACATTCTGTACATGTATCCCAGAACTTAAAATAAAATTTAAATTAAAAAAAGAAAATGTGGCTTATATACACAATGGAATATTATTCAGCCATAAAAAGAATGAAATCCCAATCAAGCAGAGTCCTATGGATGAAAGAAAAAAATAAGTAAGAATGAAATCCTGTTATTTGTGACAACATGGATGAACCTGAAGGACATCAGGTTAGGTGAAATAAGCCAGACAGACAAAGAAAAATATCACATGATCTTATGTGGAATCTAAGAGGATAAAAAAAAGAATTAGCCAGGCGTGGTGGCTTGCACCTGTAGTCCCTGCTACTTGGGAGGCTAAGGCAGGAGGAACACTTGAGCCTGGGAGGTTTGAGACTGCAGTGAACTGTGATCGTGCCACTGCACTCCAGCCTGGGTGACAGAATGAGACCATATCTCAAAAAAAAGAAAAGAAAAAGAAAGTTGGTATAGAAGCAGAAAGTAGAACAGTGGTTATGAGAGACTAAGGAGGGGAGAGGGGGATGGGGAGAGGTTGGTCAATGGGTACAAAATTACAATTAGGAAGAATAAGTTCTGGTGGTCTATTGCACATAAAATGTATGTAATAGTAAAATATCATATATTACAAAACAGCTAGAAGAGAGGCCTTTGGATGTTCTCACCACAAAGAAATGATAAATGCATGAGGCAATGGATCCGGTAACTACCCTGATTCAATCATTATACATCATAGATATACACTGAAACGTCAAATAGTACTCTACACATATTAACGTGTACAATTATAATGTGTCAATTTACAAAAACAAATTTTCAAAAAAGCAAAGACCTGTAAAAAATTTCCTTTAATTTGCACATAAGCACAGGTACACATTTTGTGCAAATATGCACTCTGCTGTTGCCCTACCAGCTAGTCCTGGGTCCAGTCCTAAAATGTAGCCCTGTTTTTCTTATATGGGGCTATATCATTCTAGACATACAAAAAATAGGAAAATGGCCAACACAAAGTCCGATTTTAAAATAATTTAAGTGTTTGTTCTTTTTCACCTCTGCTACTAACATCTATCTTCTTGTAATCCCTCTGTTACACCACAAAAATGTAATGCCTTCACACTGCCCTTTGGCTTTTGAAATTTTTCTCAGTGCGAGTCCCCTTGGGCTTGCCTAACCTCTAATGTCACATGTTCCACAGTTACATCACTTTTTCTCTTTTCTGAAAAGCTCCCCACTTCTCATGTGGATCATAAATAGGGGCTTAGGAAAGCAATCTGATTGGGCTGAAACACCTAAGCAAAGACTTTTTGATGAGTCACTTCCCCCTTGCCCAGTCCGCATAACCTTCCCAGGCACATTTATGTTTTAATCAATGTGTTTACAGAAATCGTAGGTGTAAGATATTTACGAACAGGCTTCTTTTTAAGTAATAATTTTTAAGTACTTTTCAGCCCAAGAAAATGTTTTAAACAAAATTTACACAGATACCAAATGTACAAAACATGTGAAAACAGAAGTTATTGTTGAAGTAATGCGAGTGGAACCAAAAACCAGCACTCTTAACTCCTCTCTCATACAGAATAGCCCCAGACACACATCCTCAGAGTCCTCATTCCTCAGAGCAAGATTTGAATGCCACTGCAGATTCTCACATGTTTCAGCTTTCTCTGAGCTTTAGTTAGGGAGAAGAAAAAGAAGCAGGTCTTCCACCACTCATTCAATTGCGTAAAAAAAAAAAAAAAAACAAAAAAACAAAACTGAGGGCTATCAACAGAGTCATGCCATTCTCACCCACCACCAATGTGTTATGATTCACTCTTCTCTTAGAAGGAATCAAGAAAAAAAATGACTATTAACACCTTTTTCTTTTTACTACCAGCACTTTTCTAAACCCTGATACCTGGAAGATCCTAATTTATTCTTTGACCTCCTATATGAAAGGAGCAGAATGTAGCTATAGGAGACAATAAAACAAGTTTGTTGAATGGTGGAATAAATTCTATTTTTTAATAGATGCATTAAATGTATCTGAAACACCTTTTAAAAACTTCAATTTGTTTATTTTTATGATATAATAGCTTTATTTATGTAAATAGCTTTCTCTTATCATTATTTTCAAGTCAAAGAATAGCCAGAGATCACATGTAGACACATATGATGAATAAGGCATTTTATGGAAGACTGGTACATTTTTATCCATCCAAAGCTGCCAGATGGCAACAGTATTCTCAAATTGCATGCTGTTTAAAAGGTGATTCTTTTTTTTAAAAAAAAAAAGCAACAACAATAATAATAATAATATACTACACTTACTATAAGCAAAGTTAAGATCATTTCATACATTCTTATTCATTCAACTCATTACAGCTCTATGTTTTAGTTATTGTTATTATCCCCAACTTATGGATGAGCAACTGAGGTTCAAAAACAAGTAACTTATTCATGGTCAAACACATAGTAAGTTGTAGAGCAGAAATTTGAACCTATGCAATGGGGCTTTGGGATGTCTGCTGCTAACTGCTATATGATACTGACTCATGTAAAACACATGCTACCATGTGTGCTCACATCATTGTCACTGGTGTATGATAATGCATCAAGGTGCAAGAAGATTCCTGTTTATCTCCTGCCTGAATAGCTCCCTTTAAAGTCAGACATATAACCAACGTGGATGTTTACTAGCCATATCAAATTTAACATATCAAAAATAAAAAATTCTAATTTACCCAACCCAACCCCTCACAAAGATGCTCCTAATGCAGTCTTCCTCATCTCAGTAAATATGATCTCTAACAGTCCAGTTATGGAGGCTGAAACTCTGGCATGGTGGATATAGGCTAAAACTCAGGTATTCTGATGTGGCTTCCAATGATTCTTTTTCCTGGTATTCGTGCCTTTGGGTACGCCCCTCCCCTTGAACGTGGGCTGGACCTAGTGACTTGCTTCTGCTAAATAGAATACAGCAAAAGTAATTGGATGCCACTTCCATGACTAGTTTACAAAAGATTGTGACTTCCATCTTGCTAGCAGCCTCCCTTTTGTTGACACTCTGTGACGCTTTCACTTGTTCACTCTAATGAAGCAAACTGCCATACTGTGAGATGCTTTATGGAGAGGCCTACATAGTGAAACACAAAGAGTCATCTCTGGCCAACAGCTTGTGAGGAATTGAATCTGACCAATAGCCAGGAAAGTGAGCCAGGAAGCAGATCCTTCCCAGTTGACCCATGAGATGACTACAGCCTTGAGAGAGACCCAGAACCAGAGCACCCATTAAAGCAACATCCAGCAACACTCATTGAAACTATGAGAAATCAATGCTATTGTTTTAAGCCTCTAAGTTTTGAAATACTTCGTTACTCAATGATAGATAACTAATACATCTAGAGTCATCTTTTGACTCCTCCCTCTCTCTCACATCTTATATCCAAACTCTCAGCAAATATTGTTGGTTCTTCCTTTAAGATTCAGCTAGAATCTGAGCAATTCTAAATATCTGCACTGAGATATCTTTGATGCAAACTATCATAATCTCATACTGGAATATTGCAAAAAGCTTATAACTGGCTTCTACCAGGTCTCCTGGGTCTATTCTTGATACAACAGCCAGACTGATTCTTTTAAAACACAAATCAGGCCCTACAGTAATGGCAGCCACGTGGTTCTTAGCATCATCTGCCCGGCAGGTGGCAAAGATCCTGTGTACCTTCTCCATCATCAGATTTCCAGTCACTGATGGGCCAAAGCCAAGACCAAGGCTTTATATCAGAAAACAATAAAACAACAACAAAGGTAAGTCTGGTCGAGAGAGACTCCTAGAACAGAAAACACAGCTGTTGACCCAGACTGGGCTAGTCTTCTCCCTGTTGCAACACCATTTAAATCTTTCAAAGCTCCTTTCAAAGCACTTGAAATGGGTATTTTGACCCTAGAAAGGGGGTTCTATGACAAAGGAGGGAAGCCAAAACTTAAATATTTCTGGCTTTCTACATTTGGCATGTGATTTCTGCACTGAGTGGCCAGCAGCATCAGACTTGTGAGAAATATGAGTAGCACTGCCCAATTAAAACTCATTTAACTGATTATGTTTCAGCAGAATTATCCATTCAAAATCCCAAAGTAGAGTAGGAACCTTATCGAGTAAACTTTCCAATCTGAATTTAAGTGATCATGTGAAGAAAAAATATACTAAACTTGCAAGAGAGCAATACTTTAAGACCACAGAAATGTTCACCAGCAAAACGACAGAATTATGATTATGCAATTTATCCACTCACAGTTTCATACCTTGAATCTTAAACCAGAGAGTAAGAGAAAAAAGATGGAAGCACATGGGAAGGAATATCTATGAAAAACAGTTCATAAAAGAAAAATATAAAAAAATTTACAAATTAAAGCTACTGATAAAAACAAAAAAAGAACACTATTGTTCTAAACAAGGATCACAAAATATCTGTTCATTTTAAGAATGAGAAGAAGGATAAAAATAGCATGTCTAAGTACAAAGAATCAGTGGAAAGGAAGGTACATATTGAATTGACATGAATTAGAGTGAAAACATACTTGATTATCAATTCTATCAGAATATCTCTATATAATCCTTGTATGATCTATATGTACAATAAGAATGTGGCTGACCTTTGTCCCCAGTTCCTGGGAGGTAAACTGTAAACCTTTGAAATGTCCTGAGTGATTGTAGTGTCATTGTTATTTACGGTGGGCACCTCATACTATACCTGATAGTTTATGCTAACAAATGACTAAAGGTGGGAACTGGTCATGCTAGAAAGACCAACCATGTGGTTAACAGATTAGGCTTTCAGCAGTGTGATATCAGCCGGATTTCTGGAAGGGGAAAAAGAGGAGAACTGAAGATTGAATCCAACCATGTGGCCAATGAGTCAATCAACATCATGACTCAATGCAGCCTGAATAAAAACTCTGGACACCAAAGCTAAGGTGAGCTTCCCTGGTTAGCAATACTCTTTGAACATTGTCACACTTCAAAGCTGGGAGGATAACGTATCCCTGAAGACAACAGAAGCTTTGCATTTGGAAACCTCCCAGAATTGGCTCTGTGCCTCTTTCTTTTTGATGGTTCTAACTTGTATCCTTTTGTTGTAATAAAACTGTAATCTTTAAGTATAGCACTTCCCTGAGTTCTGAGTCATTCTAGTGAGTTATCAAACCTGAGGTGGATTATGTGAATCCCCATATTTGTAGCCAGATGGCCAGACATAAAGATAACCCGGGGGAAACCTGAATTTGTGGCTGGCATTAGAGAACAGTCTTCAGGGAGCTGTTCCCTCACACTATGCAGCTTGCCTAACTCTAGGTACTATGTCAAATTTACTATAAATTCTAAAACATTTCCTTAAAAACTGTTGTTTTATAGGGGAATCAAATTTATTCTTACATATATATGCTCAAAAGGAAAGTCAGATTATGCCACCCATCAGTCCCAAATCCTGGACGGGCTCACCATCCTAGTTATTAAAAGCTGAAGCTCACTTAGTGGTCCATGTTGCTATATGGTGAATGGAGTCCTGGGCCCCATGGCTTCCCTGGCTTTTTTTTTCCTCCTACTCTCCCCCTTGCAAGGCTCATGCCTCTCTAGGGCCTTATGCCTTACACTGGCCTCTTTGCTGTTTGTGGAACAATCTAGGTATGCTGGCTGTTTCTTCTACTCAGAACTCTCTTCTCCCTGATAACAGTGTAGCTCATTCCCTAACCTACTACTATTTTGGCTAAAAATGCAACCATGGGCTGGACACAGTGGCTCACACCTGCAATCCTAGCACTTTGGGAGGCTGAGAAGGGAGGATCACTTGAGGCCAGGAATTCAAGACCAGCCTGGGCAAAAAAGTGAGACCCTGTCTCTACAAAAAAAAAATTTTTAAATTAGCTGGGAGTAGCGATGTGTGTAGCTATAGTCTCAGCTACTTAGGAGGCTGAGGTGGGAGGATCGCTTGAGGCCGGGGGCTCAAAGCTACAGTGAGTTATGATCACACCACTGTACTCCTGCATGGGTAACAGAGTGAGACCCTGTCTCAAAAAAAAAAAAAAAACCAAACAAACAAACAAACAAAAAAAACCCACCTTGAAAGTGAGGACTTTGCTGTCCACACAGTGCCCACTCCCCCTCCCCAGGCTGCCCCTATCCACCTCTAAAAAGAAATTTTCTAGCTGTAGCCCTCCCTAAGGACCCCATCAGATCTTATGGGAATAGGATAACTTCTCACTTTTCTTCCTATTATGCTTATTTGCAATGTTGCCCAAAAATGATTGTGTAAGTATTAGTGACATAGTTGTGACAAGAAGCCAAGCCAGGAATGAGGGCCATACCCCTAGGGACTGTCTTCCTGGGTCCAAAGGAAAGACCAAGTTTGCTGAAATTTTAACAGGAAATTCTTACAAGATAATGCCCTTCTGAAATTGCCCTGATCTTCAGGAATATGAAGGAAGCATATATAAGTACAACAAAAATACATTTTAGTCAAAGGCTGAATGGCAGAGTATTTAAGTCAAAATTTAACCACGACTGAAGCTAAATATCACCTTCACAGAATAAAATTTCTGAGATAAGAGTATATCTTAAGTCCAAAACTTGTGAAATAATAATATTTAACTATTTTCAATACTACACTATTACAGGAAAATTAACTGCTTTTAAAAATAATAGTCAAATTTTATAAGTTTGCCATTAAAGGAAAAGAAAAAATGCTTCTGAATTGTAACTAGCTAATTGCAGCTGCAGCTCCCAAACTGCACATTTGCAACACTGTTTTGAAGTTCACTTCCAACCCAGGTCAATGGAAGACATAAAGTATATTTTGATCAGTTTTGTTTCTATTGTTTCTTACAGCTGATGTTACCACCAAGGTCTTACAGTATTTATGTCCTCTAATAGTAACCAGTGAAAGTCTCTTCAACTCCTAAGCCAAATGCTGATGATTGTGATAATGAATTTTATGTGTCTAGTTGACTGGGGTTAAAGGCCAGGCTCAGTGGCTCATGCCTGTAATCCCAGCACTTTGGGAAGCCAAGGCAATAGGATCAGTTGAGCCCAGGAGTTCAAAACAAGCTGGGGCAACATAGTGAGACCCCCATCTGTATAAAAAAAAAAAAAGTAAAAATTAGCCATGCATGGTGGCATATATCTGCAGTCTCAGCTACTCAGGAGGTTGAAGCAGGACATTCACTTGAGCCCTGGAAGCTGAGGATGCACTGAGCCAAGATTGCACTACTGCACTCCAGCCAGGGCGACAGAGCCAGGCCTGGTCTAAAAGAAAAAAAAAAAAGGTTGACTGGGCTGAAAGATACCCAGACATTTGGTCAACCATTATTCCAGGTATTTCTGTGAGGGTATTCTTATATTTTCATATTCTTGTATGAGCTTAACATTTAATTTGGTACTTTGAGTAATAAAGATCACCCTTCCTAATGTGGAGAAATATATTAATCATCCACTAATAGAGTCCAAAGAGAACAAAAATTTGACCTCTCTTGCAAAAGAGAGACTTTCTCTTGTCTGATGGTCTTTGAACTAAGGCATCAATTTTTTTCTTGCCTTTGAGATCTACCTGAAGCATCAGCTTTTCCTGGGTCTCAGGCCTGCCAGCCCTTAGATGGGAACTACCCCACTGGTTCTGCTGGTTCTCAGGCCTTCAGACTTCAACTGGAGCTTTCGCTTCTCTGGAGAGCCCTAAGACAATTACAATTTTATTGATGCAGTTCACAAACTCAACCTCTGTGCACTGCTTGCAGAAGATACTATTTTCAGAAGCAACATTATGGCCTTTTACTTATTTTTATTTCAATATATTTACAGGCCCTTACTGTTTCACATAATCAGTTGTGTACAAATTGTGCTTAAACCTCAAACAAAAAAAATGTGGTGATGAGTCAGACATGGTCGCTCACGCCTATAATCCCAGCACTCTGGGAAGCTGAGGCAGGAGGCGCTTGAAGCTATGGGTTTGAGACCAGCCTAGGCAACAGGGTGAGACCCCCATCTCTACAAAAAACAAAAATATTTTAAAAAAATAACTAGCCAGGCATGGTGGTGGATGCTTGTAGTCCTAGCTGTTCAAAAGGCTGAGGTGGGAGGATCACTTGAGCCCAGGAGTTCAAGGCTGCAATGAGCTAGGATCACACTACTGCATTCCAGCCTGGGTGACACAGTGAGATCCTGTCTCAAAAAACAAACAAAAAGTGGCAATGAAGCTATAAGCTTGAGTTTTAAGATAAATAAAACAGTCTCCAAATTGCCACCTCCAACTCAGCTTTCACTGCACATATACCCATTTTATTATTTTTCCTGGAATAGAATGGTAGAAAAATCAAGCAAGCCCCATGTAACAAATATGTGCCCTCACAAGAAAGATCAGCAAGCTCTAATAAGATGAAGTAGTTTCTGTAAGACCAATATTAGTAGTTCATAAGTCTATTTTGATTTTGGTAAGCAAATTGGCTCATAGCTATACAGGTAAGATTAATTGCAAAGAACAGTATTAAAGTTATTTGTCTCAGGCAGGGTTTTGTTTTTTTTCTTACATGTAATTTCTGTTATTCCAAGTTATTTGAATATGATAAGGCAGTGCCAAAATTTCTTGCAAATCATGAAGTTCATCTATGGCTGAAGAATGATAAAAGGCTCTCAAATATGACCTATAATTCTGAAGTATCTTCCGTACTGTACCTGCTTTCTGAACACATGACTGAAATGTGTGAATAAATGGGAGAGGCTCCCTAAATTATTCACAGCCCGCACCAGGCATTCTGTGTCATCAATAACATTTGCATGATGTGAAAGTCCATATGCACTTACGTTCAGCTTCCCAAAAGCTAAGCCATAAGGTAATGCCAAGTAGCAGATTTGAGCAAATACTGACACAAGACTAAAGGTAAAATTCAGGGCATCCCAAAATCCTGTGAGATTAAAAGAATCAGGAAGCAAAAATATAGAAAAGGCTGGCACGCCCCATCTCTTGGCTCTGGCAAAGAATAGGCACTTGCCTAAGGAATAATGGCCCCGAGATACTAGAGGTGAACCATGGCCAAAGCCCAACAATGCACTGGAGGAACATTCCAGGGACTACACAGGCAAGAACAAATGCACAACAAACCTGGTAATAGCCGCAGGTTAGAGGACAGTTTCTTTTAATGAGAGGAGAGAAGGGCCAGTAAGTAACTGGAATGCCAACCAGATTATTTTAGGTGTAAATTGACATATTTCTATGCACAGCCCCATGGACATAGATCACATAATGTACACTCCAAATGGACATGTATCACAACTTGACAATGAAGAGAGAGAATACTGATAGTAATGTCAAGGCTTCTTTTTTTTAAATATCTTTTTACTTTAGGTATATAAAGGAAAATGAACTCACCCTGATTAATTGAAAAATGAAAATAAGACTTACAATGACTACTTGTCATAATCATGTAGAAAAATGGCCTTAAAAAGTGCATATATATCCCATTACCAGGGGAAGACAACATTGCTTGTGATTAAAAGTTTGTTTTCTTATTTAATTTGGTTGTGATCAAAAGTAATCTGGAACCCTAACTCAGGGCAAATAAATAATACGTGGTTAAATTTTTTAACCAACTCAGTCATTAGGATTAAAGTGGGGAGTTTTATCTTTTAAATGCTGCATTCATTTCAGACATTTTGCTTTTCTGATTATGAGAAGCAAGACATTTATGTGCTTTTATGGGCTTTCTCATAAGAATTTGTACAAATATGCTACAATATGCATTTGCTTTACTATTAAACAGGTCAAGAGGACCATAAGGTACAATTACCATTTATTTCTATATGCCAAGTTTTCTGGCATATATTCTTTGGGAGACTATAAGTCTATCTGGCTGCTTTTGACCAAAGAGATTATTAATTCTACCAGAATCAGTAGCTGAAGTTGAGTGTAGATAAATTTAACTTCTTCTGGATCATTATTTTAAAAATCTCATTTTTAATATAAATATGTATTGATTTTGCTTATTGTCTAAATATGTCTAATGGAGAAAATTTTTTAAGTATGGATACATAAATAGAAAAACACAGAAACAAAATATCACTTATATTCTACCACTGAAGACAACAAACATTAACATTTTAAACTTTATCTCTCTCATCTCTTTGCTATGCTTATCCAAATTATATTTTTTACAAAAACTCATTATTTCTTAACTTTTTCCATGACTGCTAAAGTGAACTACATATTGTGTACTGATTTCCATTCCATTAGCTACTCTTTTACAAAAGCATGTTAAAGACTACATAGCATTCTACTGTATGGATGTTCTATAAATATATTTAGCTATTGAACTATATGTATTTATAACATAATGAGTCAAAAATGTACAATGATGATTTAAATTGCATTCTTAATGCATTTGACCACTTTTTCTACTGAAAGTCATAAAATCAGTAGAGATTTCAAGCTATCCATCAAAATCTATTCTCCCTTTTTTCCTGAAAACATAGCTGAGATTACATTCCCCAATTCCCCTTGCTTCTAAGTATGAACCATATCCAGAAGGATATATGTTATTTTCAGGCTTAAACTTTAAAACATTGCACATGTGTTTCTCTGCATTCATTTCTCCCCCAAGAATCTCCCATCCATGTCTCTACTGAAACCATGAATTTGCAGCAACCCAGCTTTAACCAAACAGATCACAAAAGACCCTAGAATAGAGCAATGACTCGAAAGTAACCCGAGTCCCTGAATGACTGGGTGGAAGATACCATTCTTGGACAAATGTGAAAGAAAGAAAATCATACATTTGTTCTTTAACTTATTATATCATCTGATCTCTCTGTTACAGTAGCAATTATGCCTAATTCACCTTCTCCTTATCCAGTGTAGTTCATCTACAGTAAATTATAACCCCATTTCTGCTTAGTCTGAAATTCAGGGTATACTGGAAGTTCCCCTTCCTGAAGTCTTCAGATCTTTGCTTCAGGAGCAACCCAATCATAATTTCCGTTTCGGAATCTCTGAAAATAATAAGGAATGAGAAACATTCCTTAGGCCACAAATCAGGAAGGTCCTCAATGTTTTCTGCTTCAAGGTTTTTTTTAATTGACATTTGACAAAATGAGGCAATACTACCCACTCTCAATTCAAGAGGAGGCTCACTCAGATTAGAAGCCAGTCCTGTCGTTGATATCAATGTCCTTTTGATATAATAATAACCTGTATATAGGTGCTCAAAGAAACCCTGGAAATAGTCAAGATCCTTCTTTTTACAAGTGCAGAAACTGATGCCCAGAGAAGTTAGCAGCCTTGTCCAACATTAAACAGGTGCAGATGCCACTAAGAATCAGAACTCAGAAATTCTGATTTCTTGTCAAAAATACTTTCTGCTACTCTAAAATACAAAAGCACCAATAGGAAGAATTCCTTTTCAAATGTCCTGTCTTTTAATCCTCAACCACATTGTCTTTTTCCCCAGTGCTACCCCTACTTAAAACCAAACATACTGCAACCCAGTACACACAGTCCAGTCAGTTCTCCCAGGCTGAATGAGAATCATTCATTCATTGAACAATTATTATACAATAACTATGGATTTATCACTGTTGAATAGGATACAATTTTTGCCTAAGGAAGTATACATCTAGAAAGCAAGCAGTTATAATATTTTGAGTGTGGTTAGGTATGGAGGATAGAGGAAAAATAAAATATTTATGGTTTTATATAATTACAAACCCTAAACCAGTCCTGAAGGTCATAGAAGGCTTCCTGGAAGGGGTGCCATGAGGCTGATTTCCAAAAAAATGTGTAGAAGATAAATTATATGAAGTAGACAGACTGGGACAACTGGAACTATCATATATAATGGAACTCTAGGGGAAATCTCTATTTAACATCTGTTCCTATCTCCTTCAAATCCATTACCCTACTACCCTCCCCATATGCTTTTCCCATACACCAATTTCTGTTCCACGTGATGAGACAATACTAGTCATAACCATGAAAAAAATGTAAAACCCTACAGCCACCATGGACTTTGATTTAAATTAAAAATACTGGAAATAACTTCATTTTACTGCAATTTAAATCTCCTCTTTATTGTCACATTAATATTCTGTTTAAAACTGAAATATATTCTGAAAATATTCTGTTTTTTAATGCATGAAGGACCATGATTTTGAAATAGCTCCTTAAAAGACTGATGAAGCCTTTAATCATTTGTCTAGATGGAGGAGGTAAATGGGCCTGCCGCAGGGTCTCTAGGTCATGCCATCATCTGCTAGCTCCAGTGTTCGGAGCTAAATGAGGAACGTTCATAATTGATAGCACAAGTGTAAATAATTCCACATACTACTGGCTTCCCAAAACCTCTTAATTATAGATATGGAGGTTTGTTGCATTTTATTAAATGTTTAAATAACCATTAAAATTATTTATGTCCCATGTATGATAATAAAATAACACAATTAAATGTGTGTTTAAATATTACCATAAAACTTTAAGCCCATTAACATACATAAGGGAATATATTATATAAAAATATCTATCATGACATGTATACTTCAAATGAATAGGATACATAAATAAAATTATGATGTACAAAATACCTAATGTATCAAAATAATAAAGTCCTCTTTTCAAGAATGTACAGACGTCACAGTGAAAGTTCCTTAGTGATATACCCTTGTGATTATATTGATTTTGAAGCATTCCAACTTGACGTAATACAGTTATAAACAAAGATTTACGTCAAGTTGTCATGTTATTAGAAACATGATATGGAGCAAAATCTAATATTTTCTACCCATTTCTGAACATAAAGAAGTTTATTAATAATGCAGACCAAAGAACCTGTGTTCTTAATTTAAAAAAAACAAATGTGCATTAGTATTGATGAAAAATTATGGAAGGGATAAGTTAAAGACCAGATCAAGTGATCATATTAAGGTAGTTTAGTTTTAAAATAAAAGTCTACACAATGCAAAACTCTCATTAAGAATCCTTATTTTGAAAGCCACAGATGTAATATCATATAGACACATTTCTTACAAACCAAACATTTCCTATTTTATGGGAAACAGTGTGCTTAAAGAGTTACTTAAAGGATTTCTTAAAAATTAGGCTGAAGCACGCAGATCACCTGAGGTCAAGAGTTCGAGAACAGCCTGGCCAACATGGTGAAACCCCCATCTTTACTAAAAATACAAAGTTAGCTGGGTGTGGTGGTACGCACCTGTTGTCCCAGCTATTCGGGAAGCTGAGACAGGAGAATCGCTTGAACCCAGGTGGTGGAGGTTGCAGTGAGCCGAGATCACACCACTGTACTCCAGCTCGGGCGGCAGAGTGAGACTCCATCTCAAAAACAAAAAAACACAAAAAAAAACAAAAAAAAAAACAGGCACGTTTATACCTATGTAACAAAACTGCACATTCTGCACATGTAACCCAGAACTTAAAGTATAATTTAAAAAAAAAAAAGAATTAAAGCCTTAAAGCCTCCATTTTACAAATAGCAAAAGGGCAATAATGGTACTGTTTCTATCACATTAAAAAGTGAGACTGGTGTGCTATTGTTCTTAAGGGAGAGCTAATGTTCTCCAGTTGGTTCTGATACCCTCTCTCCTTCTGCCGCCAGTCAATTAACTGTTAACTGGTTTGAGAAAATTAGCCTTTACATAGGTTTAATCATGAATAGTTAAAAAAAAAATAAGCTACCTTACCTACTTGGTGTTCTTATATAATACTATATAATATGAATATAAAATGAAATTCCTTATTCACTGTTATATGTAATCAGATAAACCAAAGAGGAGGAAAATACTTGCAATTTAAAAAGGTAGACTGCATAATGTCTTACACTGTAATAATTACTTTGATCCAGTCTATCACTCACCACTTAAAACATTATCAACTTCAAGAGTTCCCATCAAACATTAATAAAACATTGTTTCTATGAGATAAATGTACTCCCTCAATCCCACCCCAACTGACTAAGTCTCTCAATTTTATCTAATTTTGAGATCCAAACATATGCCATTCCTGTGAGCACATCCACAAGAATTTGAAGAATTCAATTCCTATTCACCTTCCAAGGAACTTTCTTGTTAACATTAAAGCAGTTTCTGCATCTTGAGTCAAATTTGGAGAGTTCCAGCACCTAAAAAAACACATTCTTACCTCTGATAAACTAGTAAATTTTGAAAAGGCTAAGATATTACCTTCTCTCAATATCAACAAGCTGACTATACACTTGCCTGTCCCAGTATCCCAGACCAGCCTCTAACCTACCTCCATTCTGCCCACTCTGGTCCAGGTCTCTGCAGGCATTCTTACTCCGACTAAGCAGGTGGCTGGCCCTCCAGCTCGTTTTGTTCTGATTACCCAATATCAACCCTCCCCCTCTGACTTAACCCAACTCAGACGAAGCAGCTGGCTCTAATTCAACTTCTTGCTGAATCACTCACACACCTGATTTGATTCTTTCATTAGTCTTAGAGCGCCTACATTGTGCTCAGCTGTGTACTCCTATTTCAAAACAGCCTGTGATCTGTTCTTGTCCTGGTGACACTGAGATCTTTCTGCCTATTAACATGAAGAAAGATAATGTCGCCATCTCCAGATGACTTTTCTAATGACTGATCTAACACATCCTACATTATTTAAAAAGCCACACTGTTCACAAGATAATGATATATATTAAAGTGAGGTCACTGTTTATCATAAATCATAAATCTTAGGCATTTTCTTTTCTTTTGTTACCTGTGGCATACATCCCTGGCATGCCAGCAACAACCCAGGCCTAAGACCTCACAAAGTGAGCAGCTGTGCTATTCACCATATACTTCTGGCTCTCTACCTTCCAGGCACATGGCAGAACTGCCTTTCCCTGTCCACTTTGAACTTAGGCCCAGCCATGTATTTTCATTGAAATGGTAACAGAAGTGTCAATTCCAGGCAGTAGCTCTAAGATCCAGTGTAAGTCTCACCCCGTCTTCCAGCTAAGATGATCACGGAAGCTTTGTTGCAATGGAGTTGCTCTGAGCCTGGTTGAGAGATGAGCAGAGCTCCCTGCTGGCCCATGTTGGGCATGTAGTGTGAGCAAAAAATCGTAAGTCAAGTTTCTAAAATTTTTGGAGGTGCTTCTTACTCCAGCATTAACGTTGCCATTTCTGTCTAATATAGGAATTAAAGAAAACTTAAAAAGGTGGATTGAGACAGGCTTATATATCTGACAGGATTTATTAATATAATTAGTTAAAACTAAGCGAGCCCCTTTCAGCATGAAACAGTCACCATCTACTTACTTTTTTAAATAGAAATCAGTTGGCATTTTCTCCTTATTTCATCTGAAAAAAATGACAGTATTTAGACTCCAAACCATTATCATTTTTTCTTAGTTACTGGCACAGAACATCCAGGCCAGGCTTTTTATCCCATAGCACCTGTAAAGACTGCAATTCCACGTGACATAATTAACTTTAGGGACATCACTCAGTTTAGGGCTCTAATCACACATATCACATTAAACTAGCTATAAATTAATCATAGATAATGATTATAATGTACAATTGTAATTTAATATGATTTATGGAATTACTAGAAATCAATTTCTACTAAAAATAACATGGTATTCTAAGTGACCCTAATAACATGGTGTTCTAAATGACTTAATAAATTTTATTTCTTTGTATATTTTTAGTAAATGATTAACAACTTCATGATCAAACCACTCAATGAGAAAACTGTTTAAAACAACATATGTAATCTTTGACTAAATACTGACCCCTAAAAATATCTATCAAAGCACATTTAGTCAAAATTTATGCCATAGCTTATTAGTGGTGTTTAAAATGACAAATTTTAGAACATTTATCTTTTGACTGAACATTTCCCTTTTGACAGTAAGGGATATACTGAAGCAAAAGTTACTTGCAGCCTGAAAGCAAATCCAAACTTCTTGTAGTACTCATAATTAAAACATATTTTCCTTTCTTACGTTTTTCCACTTGGATTAAAAGTGTTTGCATCTAGTATTTCTATTTAAATTATCTTTTAATGTCTTTTCTTATTTATTTAATTTTCTCTGTCCACAGAATTTTATTTGATTTTTATAATCTGATATCTTCTCTAATAATTCAATTGTTTTGTATAGTTTCTCAGGATTTCAATGCAAAATTCAGCCATTTTTATAATTGTTAAAAGTTTACGCAAATCAAAACCACAATGAGATACCATCTCATGCCAGTTAGAATGGTGATCATTAAAAAGTCAGGAAACAACAGATGCTGGAGAGGATGTGGAGAAATAGGTATGCTTTTACACTGTTGGTGGGAGTATAGGTTAGTTCAAACATTATGGAAGACAGTGTGGCAATTCCTCAAGGATCTAGAACTAGAAATACCATTTGACCCAGCAATCCCATTACTGGGTATATACCCTAAGGATTATAAGTCATTCTACTATAAAGACACATGCATACATATGTTTATTGCAGCAGTGTTCACAATAGCAAAGACTTAGAACCAACCCAAATGCCCATCAATGATAGACTGGATAAAGAAAATGTGGCACATATACACCATGAAATACTATGCAGCCATAAAAAAGAATGAGTTCATGTCCTTTGAAGGGACATAGATGAAGCTGGAAGCCATCATCCTCAGCAAACTAACACAGGAACAGAAAACCAAACATTGCATGTTCTCATGCATGAGAGTTGAACAATGAGAACACACGGACACAGGGAGGAGAACATCACACACTGGGGCTTGTCGGAGGGGGTGGGGGACCAGGGGAGGGAGAGCATCAGGACAAATACCTAATGCATGCGGGGCTTAAAAGCTAGATGACGAGTTGATGGGTGCAGCAAACCACCATGGCACATGTATACCTATGTAACAAACTTGCACGTTCTGCACATGTAGCCCAGAACTTAAACTATAATAAAAAAAAAAAAAATGAATGAACACGGCTGGGCACAGTGGCTCACACCTGTAATCCCAGCACTTTGGGAGGCTGAGGCAGGTGGATCACCTGAGGTCAGGAGGTCAAGACCAGCATGGCCAACATGGTGAAACCCCGTCTCTACTGAAAATACAAAATTAGCCAGGCGCGGTGGCACACGCCTGTAATCCCAGCTACTTGGGAGGCAGTGGCAGGAGAATTTCTTGAACCCAGGAGGCAGAGGTTGCAGTGAGCCGAGATTGCACCATTGCACTCTAGCCTGGGTAACAAGAACGAAACTCTGTCTCAAAAAATAAATAAATAAATAAATACATAAATAAATAAATAAATAAATAAATAAATAAATAAATAAATGAAAGAATGAGCAGCACTTTAGAACTGCACATAGCATGCTGGAGAAAGACACCCACTCACATAGTAGACTGTCTCCTCTCCTGTGACAACTTTCTAGCCACTCTTTCATTCAAAAGCAGGTTTTGAAATATGTCTCTACATTCTCACATATCCAGATTGAGCCTGGTCTGAATAAGTCTCGTTACTCATGGATGAGATTTATTCATTTACTCACTCCACTGCTTTCTTATTAATTTATTTAATTAACAACTTCAATTACTTATAGAAATTTCTTTGTTTTTGTATAAACCAAATTTGGACTAATACTGTCTAGCTCCCAAAATGAAGAAACACATTTTTGAATTTAAAAATCCCCAGTAGGCAGAGCACAAAGGATTGTTTTAGGGCAGAGAAACTATTCTGTATGATACCATAGCAGTGGATACATGCCATTAAACATTTGCCAAATCCCCTAGAATGTACAACACCAAGTACATTAGGCTTACCAGCCCTAATGTAAACTATGAACTTTGGGTGATTATGTGTCAGTGTAGCTTCATTGATTGAAATAAATGTACCACTCTGGTGACAGATGTTGATAGTGGAAAACGCTATGTATGCATGGATTATGTATACAGAGGGTATACAGATACTCTATACTTTCCACTCAATTCTGCTGTGAGCCTAAAATTGCTCTAGAAAATAAAGTCTATTTTTTAAAACTCCTTGATAACCTACAGAATATTTAGAGCTTTACTGTGTTAACCTAATCCAGACAACTTTACAGGGCAATGGCTGCTAAAACAGAGATAGATGTGGGATGAATAATCGTAGAACCACAGCTGTGATTTACTGTGAATTTCTTTTTTTTTTTTTTAATGAGTAAGAGGTAGTGGCCTCAACACTTTGTATTTGTTGGGTTTTGTTTTCATAATGACCATAAAGATAGGTATCATTATTGTCTTTATTTAATGAAACTAAAACAGCTGTGGTGAGACTGTGCCATTTGCCCAATGTCGTACAGCAAGTAAGAAGAAGAGCTGAGAATTTACTGCAGGCCCATCTGATGTAATATCTGATGTTCTTAGCCATCCATTCATGGATTCAATATTTGTGAAGAAGCTTCTATGTTACTGGATTTTTTTGTAGTGAACAAGACAGACATGAACTCTGATCCCATGGAGCTTAGATCGTGGGGAAATTGTGTAAGAGTCAGACTAAAAAATTAAACATAGATAGGTAGACAGACAATTTTTGTATAAATTTTACAAACATACATTTAAAATACACAAAAAAAATTATTCCAAAAATGAAAGGGCTGAACAGAGAAGTAATAGGAAGTGACTAGAAGGCCACCTCAGATATGTTAGTCTGAGAACACTTCCCTGATAAATCTGCATTTTAGACTGATACAGGAATGACAACCTGCCATCTGAAGGCCCAAGGAAGAACATTCCAGTACAAAATTCCTAAGGTAGAAATGAACTTAGCATGCTTAAGTTGCCAAAATAAGGACCGTGAGAGTGGAGCATGGTAGAGCAATGGGGGAGAAGAAGAGACGGGCCAGGGTAAGGAGTTTGGATTTGATTGTAAATGCAACAGAAAGAAGCCACTACTGGTTTTACGCAGGAAAGTGACATTCCAGGTACTGTGTAAACAACAGTTTGTAGGGAGGCACACATGGAGGAAGTCTAGTTAAGAGCCAATGAGGCTAATATATAAGAGAGATCATGGTAGTTTGCATTAAAGTTCTAATGGTAAAAATGTAACTGAAAGGGTAAATTCCAGATGTGTAAATAGAGACACAGGGCTTACGGTTCTGGCCCACTACTGAATGGACACCCTAAAAAATCACTATGGAGACCAACAGTGCTGGCATGTCTATAAAATAATTCCACTCTAGTGGATTCAGCAAAGAGCTGATGCCCTATTGCACTCTGGTTTAAGGTGGTATAAATTCCTTGGGGAATCATTCCTACATGTCAGCACCATTATACTATGTGCTCAGTTCATCAATGATGCCATGCTACAATGGTAAAAATAAAATTAAAGTGAAATAAAATCTTAAAAACTCTAATCATCTTAATAATGCATATTTTAAGTTCCTTCCCTCCATTTTATTGCGTGATTTTAAATACAAGAGTAAGATTCAGAAATCAAACTATCCTTCTATAAAATTTCCTGCCTAAGTGCATTGTGTAGTCTATAAGTGTTCTGTAAATCTCATTAAATGATACGAGTAAAGAACTAATAAAGAATACTGGCTCCTTATTCCTGAATGTTTACAGAGCTTCCATTTTCCTTTACAGGCTCTTAATGAAGTTTAAGCAAAGTGATTCCCAACAAAGTGATATATTGTCAGTACAATTTTGAATTTAAACCAGGGCATCAAATGGTATTAAAAAATCCCAGAATAAACACATCCATAAATTTTCCATTATACTATTTAATAGGAATATCACAAAACTACTTTTACATGAATACGACTAGTGAGATTCTACAAAATCACAACTTAAGTTGAAGATTTCTGCATTCTTTTTTCACTGCCAAGACTGGTGAAGTAGGGGCAACAATTATTCTCACCACATCTAAATTCCATAAAGCATTTCCATCTTCTTATGTTTAAAGGTCGTTTTTCTGAAGTGCCCTTAAATTTTGTTGTTTAATCTGCTGCCCTTGTTTGGCTTAGTTATTCAACTTGCAGAACTTCTGTGGTTCTGTTCCTTACCTGCTTGATTCTGTGATCTGGGTGAGCAATTTATATGCATATGTTTTGTGTTTTCATTCATGTTTCTATTTATTTTTCTGAAATTTATTCAATTTTTGATTTGAGAAAGTTTGAGCTGACAGAGATTTAAATGTTTATTTGTGTATGTGTCATGGCATCTTAATACCTCTCAAAGTCTTAATACACAGGAAACAGAACTCTAAGAAAAGAATGTCTAGCAGTCACCAATGAGTAGAGGAAGATGCACAAAGTCTAGGTTCTAAATATTTTATTTTGAATCACAGAAAAGACACATCACACTATAAATAAGAAAAGGAGAGAGAGCCTTGACTCAACGTGAACTCTATCTACATTAGGTTGTAATTTGTCTTACACTTTCTTTATCCATTTGCACAGTATCTATTCTCATACTGCAGGCATAGAACCCACTGCCCTCCATCCTAACTGACAACACCTCAATTCAGACCATCACCCCTCACACTGTTTGTGGAAAATAAAATTCTGAAATTTAGTGGTCGTCCTGACTAATTCTTCCATCGTGGTTATCACCATCTTTTGTGGGCTAGGCTACTTTACAAAACTGAGAATAATACAAATAACTCCTATTCTTAGAAATGCAAATTATGTCCAGTGGACTATAATCATTACTTCCTGGATACCAACCAGTTTTGTAGTTTTAAATCCACTTACTAATTTCATCATTCCTAATCTGACTATAACTATGTGGCATTTTGAGTTCTCTTCTGAATTTGTTGTAATACTACAGGTTTTCTCATTAATTAATGAGTTAAATAAAAATTTTGACATGTGTTCATTTTATATTTGTGAGACACATAATTTTATTCTATTTTAAATTCATCAATTGAATATTCTACTCACTATCCCCTCTACCACTTCCTTGAAAGATGATCATTCAGTCTTTGCTTCAGCAAGTCCAGTAAAAGATAGCTCAATACCACACACAGAGGCATTCATTTTTCACCCAACTAACGTGTGTTGAAAACTGAGTTAAATCTGCTCTTTTATATTTTGGTCTATCAATGTCAGTTCAAAAGACAAATTTCCTTTCCATGTGACAATCATTCAAACACTCTAGAACTGTGCTATCCAATACAGTAGGCACTATCCACAAGGTAGCTACTGAAAACTTAAAACATGACTGGTTAAAACTGAGGTGTATTCTATGTGTAAAACACACACAAGATTTGGAACACTTAGAACAAAAACAAAGAGGGTAAAATACCACATTAATATTTTTAATGGATTACCTAGTGAAATATTTTATATTGCATCAAATAAAATATGTGATTAAAGTTAATTTTATCTTTTTTTACTTTTTAATGTGACTATTAGAACATTTAAAATCACATATGTGATGGCATCTGTAGCTCAAATAATCTATCCATTGAGCAGCATTGCTTCAGAACTCTAATCCTCTCTCTAGTAAGTCTTCCCTTACTCAGACCAAACATCTCTAGATCCTCCAACCATTGTCAAACTTAATCTGGTTTTTCAACTCCTTCAGGTTCCTCAGTCTCTCATCTGGAAATATTCCAGCTTGCTGAAATTTCAAATAGCAGACACTCAAGATAAAATATAATCACTAGGGCGCATGATATTTCTTTGTAACTTGATTGAGAACTCGTACTTCCATTCACAAAAATTCACATTACACTATATTTTAATAGACTTACATGACTTGCTTTTAAATCAAATCTTTCCCCATCTAGCATCTAAATGACTTAAATTTTGTTCATTATATGTGTATGTGTGTGTGTACATGCATCTTCTTAGAACTCATAATTTGTTCATCTCACTGAGGAATTATGACCATCCCTATTGTTTTCTGCTATCTATAAATGCAAAAATGCATATATCTTCTATTCCATGACTCTACCCATGTTATAGTTAATCATTTCTCAATCCATGAGCCTTGCTACTCCAGTGTACTGTGGAGTCTTCATAGGTATGCTTTCAAAAATGTTGATCCCCATGTAAAATTTGTTTTTGCAACAAACAGGCTCAAAAACAGCTCTATATGCCTATCTTTCAGACGGAACACTAAGCTGGGAGGGCAGAGCTGATAAAACACTTACATGATTACATGTTACAGTCAAAGGCAAAAGGTAATAACAAGCAGGCAACAGAGAACCAGAATATATGCGCATGGTGCCTCACACGTGCATAAGAAAGAGGAAAAGGAGGCAGGGCATTCAGCAGTTCCACTCTAATACGGAACTTGGGGGAAAGAGCAACCAAGTGAAAAGTCCAATAACTATAGTTTTCAATCATGCTAGCAAAATATATTTTGAAACTGTGCCACAGGTATAAAAACATCAAGAACTACTGCTATAGATTAAAATTTCAATGAAGAGGACCAGATCAGACCCATGGGACACAGCACTGGAGGGCTTCTTAGAGGTTAACATTGGACTTTAACTGTCATACAGCCTGGGTATAATTCCAGCAAATTCTACTATAAGCAAGTCTATTATGTTTTCTTATCCATAATCATATCATCTGAAATCAAAACATATTATATCTACAGTATTGACCTCTTCTACCAGTCTACAGTATTATTCCTTATGAAACCAGGTTTAGCATTACCTATTTTTGATAAGCCGATGTTGACCTTTAACACTTCTCTCTTTTATAAGTGTTCATAAGCTAATTACCAATTTAAGCATCTGGATCAACATTAAACTTACGAGTTTTAGTTGTGGGGTCTAAATTTTTGCCATTTTTTGAAATTTAAAATATTTGTTCATTTCTTGGCTTTTGATAGCTTTACAGAAGAGTTTAGAGTGGTATAAAAAGGACGCACTTCAGAACCAAGCTAGCTCTAGCTTTAGGGCTCTCTATAGACCTTTGAGCAAGCTGCCTAATCTCTAGAGTTTCAGTTTCTTCATCAGTAAAATAGGAATCATGAAACTACTTGCTGAGTGTTAGTAAAGACAAGCAGAATTTAAAATTGTCAGCTGTAAGGCTTTGGATGGATTAAAAAAGTGAAAGAAATATGGCAAAACATTAAAATAAGTCTATCGATAGGTACATTGGTATATGATATATTATTTTCTGTACCATACTGTGTGCTTAAAATATTTTATTTTACATATATGAGTAATTAGCATAGTTTATTATAATATTAGCAATATCTTAATAATTTAGCATAGTTATCTCAATTGTTATAATTTTTTTCAAAATTTACAGGTAACAAATCTGTAAGTCTTTTCAATCATAAGACAGGTCACATGGCATCTGTCAGATCTGTATTTTAACTCTTACTTAACCACCAATATGCTAGGTAATGCTTGGGAAGACTTATTTTTCTCTAGGAAGTTTGTTCTTAATTTGTAAAATTAAGATAAGCAAATCTGCCTTGAAGGGACATTGCAAGAATTATGCATGATATACTGGTTATCACATACCTGACAAAGTATTTCCTTGAAAATTCATAATTATTATAATCATTATCATTATTCTGGAATATGATATTTTCTGAACCTCTTAATACATATTTATTTGAATTAAATTATAAAAATTTAAATTAAATTATAAAGATTAAATTTTTTCTTAACCCTTTTACTATTACAATGCTTTCAATGTCTCCTGACTGCTTCTTTTTTCCTTTCCAGTTTCAATGTCATTTTTATTCCGTTAGCTAAGTCACACTTGACTGCTGTCCCTCCCATATTTCTCATATCTAATTAACCAATCAGCCCTATTCAATCAGCTGAAGTGATGTTTCTTGCCACATTTCCTCCTCTCCTTTCCCACTACCACCATCCTTGTTCAGATATGCATTGCCTCTCACCATACTATTAAAATAAATGCCTAACTCTCCTGTTTCTTCCCTGTCCAATGAATTCTAGACACCAATGTCAAATTAATCTTCTACAGTTCAAAGCAAGTTACTCTCCTGCTAACAACCTTCAAAGACTCCCCATTGCCCACAGAATAGAATTCTTACCCTCACTTTCTTACCCTTTTTCAATGTAATTTCCCACAGCTTCTTGAACTCTACCTTCCAGGCAAGGAGATAAAGAACTACTTCAGGAAGTGATGGCTGACTAGTTCTGATTTTCAGACTTATATGAGTTACTTAAGATAAAAATAAGTCCAGAAAAATTTAAATGATAAATTAATTCAATAAAAATATCAATTTATCAAATGGCTTAGTTGAATTTCCCAGTTAATAAAGTACTAAACATATAGATGGAGATGTGGGCTATTTTAACCAGTTACTTAAATTTTCTCTTAAATGTGAAGAATATGTTCCTGCCTTATTAAGTAGTAGATAAGAGCAGTTCCTTTGTTTGTTTATTTAGCGTCTCATAGGATCATAGCACTTATTTCATTTTTTTTCTTTGAGACAAGGTCTCGCTCTGTCACCCAGGCTGGAGTTCAGTGGCATGATCATAGCTCTCTGCAGCCTTGACCTCCCAGGGTCAAGCAGTCCTCTCATCTCAGCCTCCCAAGTAGCTCGGACTACAGGCACACACTGCTACACCCAGCTAATTTTTGTATATTTTGTAGAGACAGGGTTTCGCCATGTTGCCCAGGCTGAGGGCTCATATTTTTATGCACATAATTCAATGGAACATTAACACAAGTCATTCTTGTTTCACAGATGACAAAACTAAAGTTCACAGAGCAGCCTTTTGAATTGCTCCGGGTCACATTCATTGTAAGGACACACAGGGGGTTGAGTTCATTGTGTATACTAAGCACAAAAATTCATTTTCTGTTTTTCCTCATTTTTATTTATTAGAATGGTTTGTATATTTGTCTGGAAATCACACAAACGCATGTTATCATTCCCACTTTCCTGTAACTTCCAAAACTCCAATATACGTGAATAAGGGATTACAAAAAATTAGCTATTTCAGTTAATCAAATTCAAAGTGTTGTCTTAATGAATAGATGCCAACAAATAGACTTGTACTTCCAGGAAAGAAACCTGTCCCCCATGTCTCCAAAAGTTCTTCAGTGTCAAGGTTGCTAACAAAATATTTGCTGATTTTCTCTGTTTATGTCCAACTCTTTCCTATCTTTCCCCCCAAACTTATAATCATTGATAGCGTGGGGAACAAGTTCTGAAATTATTTTTTAGCAAATGTAATTTGCAACATAGGGCTAAGCTTGATAAATACATTTTAAGATGAGTTTTGCTTACAGTTTCCTCAGAATCTTAGGCAGTTATACAATTATTCACATGCCAGAAGTTGCCATGCCTTGATAACTTGGAAATAAAAAATGTAAACATACTGTATAATTAACATCCATTTACACAAAGTAAAAAGGAAGACACAGAAGCTTTCCCTCAGCTCTTAACTACAAGGTAAATTTGATTAAAATAGAAGCTTTTTTGGGGCTACCATCAAGATGGATAGATTCCTTGCTGCATCACATAAATGAGCAGGAAGCATTAACGCAGAAGAGAGAGACCCAAGCATGACTGGGACTTGCTCTTGCAAGTGATATACTACATTGCCAAAAGGAGGGCAGACATTATCTGTTATGTGGGTTTTACAATAGAAAATAATAAAAAAGGAGACTTCTTAGTAAACATGTATCATTTTATAAATACAGTGAATATTTTATCTGTGTCTTCCCAAGGCCAACTCACTTTTGAAGTCCTGACGTCAGTGGTGTGCCTAGGGACACATTCAAATCAGTCAGTGAGTCCATTGGTCAAACAGCTGCAAACCATTATTCAGCCAACGTTTTTTATTTACCTCATTCTGGCATGGAGTGTAATTCACCAGCTATACCAGGTTTAATGAACAGCCCCATCAAAGAAAGGGTCATATGAAAAAATTGTTTCAAAGATTGAAGGTGAGGATATCCTCAAAGGTAAAATCACAAAATCACTAATACCTCATCCTGCCACTAGCCTGCAGATCGCAGTTCTACTCTTTGTCATAACTTCACACTAGTTCAGAGTCCAGTCAAATCTTCCCTGGATATTTGCTCCTAACACCCCCATTCCCAACCCCTACGCTGACACATTCCTCTTACTTCTGTTCTGCACACTGCAGCCAGGATTCTGTTTCTAAAGTATAATTCTGACAATGATCCTCCCCTACTTAAGCCTTGCCATAATTTCCCATTGCCCCCAGGACAAAAAGTTAATGGTTTAACATCACTGCAAAACTGTTCCTTTTCTAGTCCCCAGTGAGTGGTATGGGCCCATCTAGTCCTATGGATCCAGTGGACATGACACTTAGAATCCTCAAGTTTCTCAAGGACCTACAGAAATGTTGAAAAGCTGAATAAAAAGTTGCCTTCAAAATATAAAAGAAAACAAGATCAGTATCACATTTAGCAAATGTTTCCTGAAATTTCCACAGAACATTTTATCAACTAATTGCTATTCAATATGGTTCTTAAAAACTGATCTATAAGTTATTTGATATTGGATATGGATACTGGATATAATGTGAAATGAGAGTTTCAAGGTAAAAGTGCTTAGAGACACAAATGTCTTAGAATCACCATGATATCTTGCCATTCTCCCACCCTCCATCCTACCCTCACTCTACCCAAACTGAATTTCTTTTGGTACCTAATATGTCATGCTATTTTATTCCCTAGATGTCTCATCAATGCCATTCCTTCTCAGTGGATTACCTCTATACACATTTGGCCCCTACTCACCTGGCTGACTCCTATTTATCCCTCAATTCCTTGTTTAGATGCCACTTATCCTAGGCAGCCTTACCCGACCTGTCCAATCTGGACTCAGTGGCTTCCTATCTATTTCCAGAGCATTCAACACTCCACTGTCATTAACTTTGAGTACACATGACTGCACTTGGTCACCTACCTGCTGGTCTTCCCCTCTGCAATGTAAGTTCTGGACAGGCATGTACTGTGTCTCTCCTCTCCTGTTCACCACCAAGTCCCAGAGCCTGACACAGAGCCTGGAATTTAGTAATGAACATCTGTTGAGCGAATATGTAAAATCTTCTGCCTCACTCAATCATAATTCCACTGCTTTGGATAAACTTTCATATTAAACAACCGATTGGTATTTTTGTTTTTATTTCAATTACAGTTTGCTTGGTTGACCTGACTGGCCTCATCTAGGAAGCATACAATCTGCTAAATGAGATCTAGTTTATGCCTCTTGAATTCAGTCTGTTTTTATTTCTCTTTAAAGTATACCCTACTTTACAGGAAATACTAGTATGTAGGGCCTGAAAGTGTTTATTTATATTTTTGTTTATACTAAATTATTATCTGCATTTGAATTATTTATGTCCATAAATCCCATATTTCAAAATCTTTTCAAATTATCACTGTTTCACAACACAAATTTGTGGATATTTACATGAATCTATTTCAATTTTCACCTAAAAAGAATAATTGATTTGTATCTCAAAGAGCTCTACTAGTGACCAGCGATAGGACCTTGGCTTAGTACTTTAGCTACCTGAGCCTCTGTGTCTTTGTCCAGTTGCCCTCAGAAGCAGACCCTGAGCAAGTAGTTTATTTGAAAGAATGTTTCAAGAAACAATAGCAGACGAGTGGGGCCTCACAGAGAAAATTACCCAAAGTAGGTAATTGTAGTTTAATATGATAGGGATGCTTCAAATACCTTGGAAGAAGAATTGAGAGATGGGGAAGCTGGGGTATTAATATACCAACTTTGTCAGTCCTTGGGAGAGGGCTGCTCCTGGAGAGTATTAATTCTTAGGCACTTCTGGGCTGCCATTGCACAGAGGCAAAGTGGCCCCCAGCTGCTAGGAAAGGTCTTTAAGCAAAAGGAGGCAGATGCTGGGAATTGGAAGTACTGCTTGCCTACAGGTGAAGCCCAAGAGCATATAGATGCAGGACACAAACAGCATTTGCTACATTCGGTTTCCTCAGCCATAAAATGTGGAAAAGACCTACCCCTCAAGGTTGCTGTAAACTGAGCCACAATGTATTTTACCTGCCTGGAAATCAGTCTACATATTATTTGCCTAATATCTAGTCTATATTCTTCAGCAATAAAGCCAATGACTTTTTGGCAGCTACTATCTTTTAGCTCCTATCTGTGTAAATAGGTGGTCAAATACATGTAGATCACTTGCAACATGTGACAAAGCATTTAACACATGAAGAAGTTTGAGTTTCTAAGAAAGAACAGTACTACTTAAATGCAAACTATGACCAGTTGAGGTGTGTCATGACTGTAACCCCAGCACTTTGGAAGGCCGAGACACGAGGATCGCTTGAGGTCGGGAGTTTGAGACCAACCTGGGCAACACAGCAAGAACCCATCTCTAGAAAAAAAAAAAAAAAGTGATCCAGGACTGCTGTTGTGTGTCTGCAGTCCCAGCTACTCAGGAGGCTGAGGCAGGAGGATTGCTTGAGCCCAGGCAGCCAAGACTGCAGTGAGCCATGATGGCACCACTGCACTCCAGACCAGATGACAGAGCAGACACTGTCTCAAAACGAAATAAAATAAAAAATAAACCAAACTACTCCATTTGCTTTTATATTTTTAGTGGGAACCTAAGCAAACAAATTTTAAAAATAAACATCTTTGTTAGTGGATAAATGCTTGCATTGCATACACTTCAAAACAGAGTAAACATCACTCAATGGGAATATAGTCAACACAGCTTAAAAACCATCTGGTCATTCACATTAGATTTAGAGAGGAGGAGAGAGAGCTTCAAATGGGTTGAATGATTAGTCCAAGGTCACACTGGTAGTTTCCAGCATAGCACAGATTGGCCCCTGGCCTGCAGTCCTTCTCCTGTACCATTCAGCCTTCCTTAGTTTTCCCAGGATTACAGAAACCAAGCCTGTGATTTCCTGGAGGAATTATTTGCTTTAGCATGAGCACTTATTTCATGTTGGGATAATTGCACAAGGCCTTGCCTACCTAATTGGATTCTTATTTCAACCTAAACTGCAATTTAAGCTAACACTGATTTTCAGTGAGCTCATCTAAAAATGTCTTCATAAATGCCTACAAACAAAAATCACATCCATAATACACGTTTTCCAGATTAAAACACATACTGCAATGTGTATTAACCTAAGAAACCAGGATGCATTATCAATTAAATGAAGTACAACATGCACAGCTTTCCACCATTGTGTGTTTCTTTAATGTGACTTGAGCAAACAGCAGGTATTAAATAACCTTCCAAAAGACTGTAAGTTCAGCATTATCTGCATATTTGCTTGAACAGCAGTAAGTAAAAGGAAAAGCAATGAGTGTCTTTGGGGCTGCCTTGATCTAAGGAAAACATCTTCAAAGAGTCATGTACTGTGATATTCTTCTTCCAATGAGGGGTGAAGTAATGTAACACTTCAGAAGGAGTCACTGATAAGTTATATTCATCTTCCGTGATAGACAGTTAGACCTTGAAATAACAACAGAAAAGGAAGATTTTCATCAAACCTGAATTGAAGAAGGAACAAGTAGCAAAAAGAGCAATGGACCTTGGGGTTTGTTCAGATACAAACTGCTATTTACTAGCTGTGTGTCTTTAAGCAAGTTACTTGACTTCTCTGTGCCTCAGTTGTCTTCACCAGTAAAAAATGCAGAGAAAAAAACCCACTTGTTGAGGTATGAGAATTCAATGAGAAAATAGATAAAGATCATGCATCACAGTGCTTGGCACTGAGTAGGCATTGGGGGAAGATGTATATATAATTATATGATCATCTGCTGTCATTTTTAAACAAGTCTGTCTCAGACTCCTCCTACTCTCTGGGAGAATCTAATTGTATTTGCTTGGCTGATTAGCAGGCAAGCATTTGCCCAGTCTGAAAAACTGTTAAGGTATGTCTAGTGGGTTGAATAGTATCCCCTACAAACTCATGCTCACATGGCACCTTAAATTTGACTTATTTGGAAGTAGGGCTCTTGCAGATGTAATTAGGAACTTGAGATAAAGTCATCCTGGACTTGAGTACTAAATTCAACAACTAGTCTCTTTATAAGAAGAGAAGAGGACACAGCAACACAGAGGGAAGAAGGCTGTGTGAAAACGGAGGCAGAGACTGAAGTGATGCAGCTACAAGCCAAAGAACACCAAGGACTTCTGGGAGCTACCAGAAGCTAGGAAGGGGTAAGGAAGGGTTCTTTCCTAGCGCTTTTGGAGCAAGCTTGGCCCCATCAATACCTTGATCTCAAACTTCTAGGCTCAAGTACTGTGAGAGAATAAACTTGTACCACTGAAAGCCACCAAGCTTGTAGTAATTTGTTATGGCAGCTCTAAGAAATGAACACCATATGATTATTTTCTGTCTAGTAAAGAAGAAAGCCCCAACAATTACTTTTTCCCCTATATGACATGAACCACTTTTATTTCTAATTTGTTAATCTTGTCTGAGCATTCTCTTTTATTCTACTGACCAAAAAAGAGTTTCCCCTATTCTCTTTGGTAATCATTCTATCACACTACTAGTTCCCTCGTTAATGCATTAAATAAAATTTGACATATGCTTAGATTCTGTATGAGAGTTGTACTTTTAACATTTTAAGAATTATACTTTGGGGCCAGCACGGTGCCTAACACCTGTAATCCTGGCACTTTGGGAGGCTGAGGCGGGTGGATTGCTTGAGCTCAGGAGTTTGAGATCAACCTGGGCAACATGGCAAAACCCGTCTCTACCACAAATACAAAAAGTAGCTGGGCATGGTGGCATGGACCTGTGGTCCCAGCTACTCGGGAGGTTGAGGTGGGAGGATGGCTGGAGCCAAGGAGGTCGAGGCTGCAGTGAGCTGTGATCATGTACTGCACCCCAGCCTGGGTTACAGCACAAGATCCTGTCAAAAAAAAAAAAAAAAAAAAAGAATTTAACAAAGTGCTTCTTGGTGATAACTGATGACGATGATGTTAGAGACGATGATGAGATGAAGAAGCCTCATTGTTTTCTCCTTGTGGCAAGCCTTCACAAGAGACAGAGAGAGAACATTACTCTGAGGCTCCTGAGCCAGCCTATGAATTGGCACACGGGCCAGACAAGTGTGAGACTCCTCAAGCCACCAAGGAAGGCATGTGCTGCAGAGATTGGGCTATGCAATGGCCTAGAAGGTATTATAACTTTGGTTTTAGGAAAAAGAATAACTTAAGTTCTTACCAGCAGCCTTTGAAAGAGCCCTCTCTTTTTTATTGTTATTTTTAAAATTTTGTTTATAATTGGCACATAATAATTGGACATGATTATGGGAGAGAGAACTTCCCACAATGCCTAATCAACATTTCAGCCAAGTGCTCATGCCTGGGTCCAGAACAAATCCAAAGAGGCTTCAAGGAGGTCCAGCCTGATTCCCTGATGGGCTTTGTGTGGGATAATTCAATGTAAACAGTTTCCACATGCACAGATGCAATGCACTTTTATGTGAATATTGATAGTCATAAATATAAATTTTATTACAGTTGAAGCTGCATTTTTTTCCTCTCTCAGAATATAGAATTTCAAAACCCATGATTTCATCATTCTGATCAATGGGGAAATGATTCAATACTCAAAAACTCTAATAAAGGAATAAATCTGCCACCATAGAAGGAAAGCTCATATAATTTTGTGAGAAGCTTTATATTAGTTTTCTCCTAAAAGAAGACAAAAACAAATGAATAGATACAGACAATAATAAACCAATTACTTTAACCTGTGTTCTTTTGGCCTCGAAAACCGCATCTTGCCAGGTTATGATTGGTTTGGAAAGAGGTGGAGATGCAAGATAATAACCCAGGAAGGAAAGAGGATTATGTCATTAGGGCACAAATCACTCACTCTCACTGCAGGTCAGCGGTGAGTCTCCTGTGCCATTCCATTTGCAGGTGGTTTCCCTGACCCTCTTGAAAGCAATCTGTGCTGATTACCTAAGAAATGGGGATGTCCATCTTCCTCGGTTTCATTTATAAACTAAATGGATGGTTTTTCGATTGTTGATCACCCTGTAAAAAGCATTTTGTCCCTTTCACAGCAATTAAGACTGGTAATTGCCCCAGGGCTATTTTTCCCCTCTTCATTTCTCACTGACAGAGGCCAACAGCATAACTTCTCTGCCTATGCCCTCCACTGAGCCTCTAAGGGCTCAAAGCAGAGAAAGCAACACTCCAGGGACATGCTCCATTTTGACAGCAATTTTCTCACTTATGCTCCCCTTGCTGCAGGCTAAATTACCCTCAAATCAATAGCCCCCAAATGACAGTCTTTACAGAAATCCTCCTTAGAGGTCTGGGATAGGTGTGAGCAGCAGGGATTGGAGGTGTGGGGCACTGAACTGAGCATCAGACAACAAAAGGCCAAATTCTGTTTTCAGCTCTGCTCCAGGTCTGCTGGTAATCTAAACAGGTCACCTGCCCCTCTGCATTTGCATGTCCTCATCTGATCTAGTTCAACATTATTTGTGCTCATGCCCTGGGACAGAGACGATTAGTAAGGTTTTGCCAGAAACACATGCATATTATACTTTAATAATACAAATGACAGTTTAAAAATTTATGGTAAATCTAAAAGATGGAACTTAATGTAGTCATTAAAATGTTTATGAGGGATTTTTATTGGCAGAGAAATGCTCTCAACGTAAGTGAAAAAGCTGGGCCAGAACTTGTTTCACATTATGCTCAATGCATATTGAGAAGGAAATAGATCAAAGTGTTAATAAGTGGTTGCAATTGGTTGATTTCAGTCTCTTCATACCTCTGTACTCAAACTGGTGAGTTCAAACTAGGTTCCTCAAAGAAATACTTTCTTTGAATGTTACAACTTGATCACTTATGGAAGTACTAAAGGGAGAGAACATAATAGACACTCTATCCTCAAAGAATCAAAAAAAAGCCTTTGACCACCATGATAGGTATTTGAGAAACAATCAGGTCCCCACCTGGATTTACAGATCACCTTGGTCTTTATATCCAACTCAGTGACTTAAAATTCTGCTTCAAAAGGCATGTTTCTCTATATATAATTCCACCTTTTAAATGCTTTATAAATGATGGCGAACTTGTTATCTCTCAATACCTCACCCCTGCCTTTATTCCCAAGCTGGATTTTCAGGTCCTCAATTGGATATCAGTTGATGGCTAAAATGATGTACAGTTAATTAATTGTAATATCCAAAGAACATTCTTTGACTGTATCCCAAAGTGTGATCCACCAGTCTTTCGGTAGATATATGATCTCAAAAACTGAGGTGAAGATTCCTGGGTAAACTCACCAGATCATTTTATTTGGGAAACAACAAAATCAAATAGATTCCTTCACTGTGAGCCTTCTGAAGGTTGTTAATATGCTAATATGCAATGCTAATACGAAGAGTGAATATTGTACCCAGCATTTCCCCAAAATATTCAAACACAGAAGCTTTTTATATTGTCTTGAGACTCAAAAGTTCTGAGGGAAACAGTTTTGGAAGTACTACTCTAAAGGTCTGAATACATTTGTGATGTTTCAAATGGGCCACCCCATGACATGCATTCAGAGTGAATCAAGCAGCCTGGCCAGCAGCACTCTGCTGAGTGGTTAGTTGTGGGTAGTAAAATGTTAGGCAGCAGAACAAGGAGAAAAGAAACCTCTGCCTCTCCCATTGTTTTATGTGTTCATAAGGAGGCTTTTTTGTTTTTTGTTTTTATTATACTTTAAGTTCTGGGTTACATGTGCAGAACGTGCAGTTTTGTTACATAGGTATACAAGCCACAGTGGTTTGCTGCACCCATCAACCTGTCACCTATATTAGGTATTTCTCTTAATGCTATCCCTCCCCTAGCCTCCCAATCCCCCGACAGACCCTGGCTTGTGATGTTCCTCTCCCTGTGTCCATGTGTTCTCATTGTTCAACTCCCACTTATGACTGAGAACATGTAGTGTTTGGTTTTCTGTTCTTGTGTTGGTTTGCTGAGAATGATGGCTTCCAGCTTCATCCATGTCCCAGCAAAGGACATTAACTCACAACAAGGAGGCTTTTAATGGGGGAACTCAGAGAACTTGATCATTCCTGGAAGGACCCTAGAGGCCCCATCTTGCATGACATTTTTAGTATCACAGTCTCTCTCCTCCCTTACCTGCAAGGATCATGACAAACTGCTTTGAGCTGAAAATTACTGGCCAACTAAGAGAATCCCAGACTCATGTATTTTTTGCTGGATTAGTAGTATAGTTGGCTGGGTAAGGAGAGCTCATGTTGCACCTAAAAGCAGCAGCTGCTCAGCTCCCACTGATGGCTGCCATGGGGGAATATAGGTCCAGGATTGCCAGAGAGTTTGCATTTTTCAAGAGAAACCAGAGATATTGGTTTTTAATACTTCCAGTGAATAGAATTTATATACCATGCAATTCAGTCACTCAAGGTACATTCACATAGTATATTCACATAATTGTGCAACTATCACCACAATCTTATTTTATTGAAATTTTCAAGATTTAAATGTCAGTTCAAATGCATTTGAAATAAAGTACATGCCAAAAAATACATCTACTATCGATATTCAGCATGTGGGCTATTAATTAATGGCCTCTGGTATAAACAAAAAGGAAAGAATTACCATATACTTCTGGCTCTTAATGAAATTATAATCAGTAGAATTGAGTTCGCACAGAAGAAATAAATGTGTTAACTAATATTCTATTTGGAAACTTATTTATCGCATAATTTTCAATGTTTATATGCATGTAGCAAGGAAACACATGGAAAGTCTTTAATTTCATGGGTTATCTGTGTAGATTTTAAAGTGCTAAAATACAACAAAAAGTCATTTTTTGAGGATGGGAACCAAGACTGATCATTTAAACATTAACAATGCCCAATACAGCATCTGACACAGAGAAGGCATTTGCTAGATGTAGTATAACTTTACTCAGTAATTTGTGTGTAAGAAGTGGGATCATTTTCCTTTTACTAATGACCACCTGTTTTCTTTCAACAGTAATGTAAGGGAAGATATTCTGGGACTAGATGAGAAGTTATACCAGGAAACTCATAAACTCCATGATGCAGCTCCCTGTGAACAGTTCCAAAATAATACTTTCTGTGGTTAACCTAAAATATAAGAAAACTTTTCTCTTTCATCAATTCTTCATTAAACAGTACCCCAGCACTCTAAGTGCTGCTGAATCATCACATCAACAAGTACTCACTATATAAAGATAGAACGCAAGGGAATGAAAAGCTCTGGAAGCCATGAAGTCACACATTTAAAGATAGTTACTGAATAAATCTGCTCTCGCTGAACAGGCCAGCAAATCAGCCCATCGTGGTCCAGGGTTATTCGGGACTTTTTTTTTCCCCCTAGCATAGTAGAGCTGTAAGAGCATAGCCAGATCAGAGAGCAGACCCAGTTCAGTGCAAGCACAGAAGCAGGGTTAATATCCACTCTAGGTTATGGTTACCATCTGCCCCTTAAGCAGTAGGACCATTGACTTGGCCTCAAATGGACATACACTTCCAAGCCATACATAAAGCAAGTTATGCCTCCTAAAAGGAGTTAATCAAATCATTTTGATTCGCTTCAGACTGGAAAAACAAAATCCAAGTTTATCAATCCTGGTTTGGTGGCATTTCTAAGGCAAAGTTAGAACCAAAACAACCTGGCAGGGTTAGGGGATTTGGGAGTTGCAATGGACTGAATATTTGTGTGTTTGGGTGACCAAGATTAGAAAAGCCTGGTAAGGAAGGAAAGAGAACAGAGACGAAGCTAGTATTTTCATCTGAGGAATTTAGCCACTAGATCCAGCAATAAGATATTATCCAAAGCACTTTAAGAGCTGAATACATCTCAGTTCTGTAAGCTATGAATTTTTAACATTAAGGCCAAGCTAATATCCTTGGCAAAATATGACATTGATCTCTCATACTGATACCTGGTCTCAGATCACTGTCCAAAAGGGAGCAAGTAATCAATTTCCAAAAATGAAAATATCAAGGGCAGGTATCCACTCCTATTAGAAAAGCAAGTTTTAAAATATCCAATCTCATTGCCAAGTAAACATTTGTGTCACAAAAAAATTCTTAGTTGCATCAGAGGATTTATATGCAAAAAAATCTAATTACTTATATTTCAGGAAGATATTCATATTCTATATTCTAGAAATACCAACATTGTACAAGAGATTGGTCAATGGATACAAAATTACAGATAGACAGGAGGAATACATTCCAGTGTTCTATTGCCCAGTAGCGTGACTAACAATATTGTGTACATTTTTAAATAACTAGAAGAGAATTTTGAATGTTCTCACCACAAAGAAATGAGAAATATTTGAGGTAATGGATAAGCTAATTATTCTGATTAATCATTATACAATGTATACATGTATCAAAATATCACACAGTACTCATAAATATGTATAATTATCCATTAAAATAAAACACAAAGTATTATATAGTACACAAATAAAATTATAAATATGTATATGTATAAATATATTAAATATGTATATAAGAATATAGATTCTATAAATGTGTTTATTTTATAGAATATAGATATTCCATAAATACGTTTCTACTGTCAGACATTTTCCCACAATCTAACTCACTACTTTTTTTCCAGATTATTTCCTCATGCACATTCCATTGCTATGGACATTTGAAATTAAAGAAAACAAAACTTTCCACTCATTTTTGTTGTTTAACTTTTCCTTTGAAAGCTCTATATATCTAACATAGGGAGCTCAGACAGTTTTTCAACCAATAAACCATCAGCTATCAGCAAACATGAACATCTAAGCCAGTCTTTCTCCACGCTAGTTTTTACTATCTTGCCCTCTCTCTTCGTGACTTCAAAGTCTGACCAACGGGAAGAGTATGACAATTGGCCAACACTTCTAGACATCAGCATGCATTCTCCATGCCCCATCATCAAAGATATTAAGAACTCAGAAAAATCAAAGGGAAATTCCTAACGTGAGATGGACAGGAACCCTTCCCTCTCCATGATTTGGTATTTTGTGAGAAATCTCTTTCTTCCCATTTCACATTGGATCATCATCACCCTCTTGAAACTTGAGAGACAGAGAATTATTAGAAGTTTAATTTAATTTTATCCCTTAAGCCTTTTTCTTCTCCATGACACTAACATTGACAGTTTAAAGAAAATAGGTTTTGTGCAAAATTTTTTCTAGGGCAAAATTATCCACAGCTCTTAACTGAAAAGTGAATTTTATAACAATGATCATAAAACTTTGCCAAGGTTAAAACTGGCAGTGAGAAATACTTTTAGTGAGAAATACCTCAGACAGCTCAATTGCTTCAGCCCTGCAATGTCTGGGTGTGCATTTATATTCAGGATCATTTCACTTGTCCATGACATAGGTTATTTTGATCCTTAAGACCTGAAAGGGAGAAAAAGGAGGACTGGGCTCTTGCATATGCCCAATAAATTTTATCTGACCTTAGTAATGAAAATGTCAGTGGTTCTTCCAGAGCTGCTGTTTTAGTCTTTGAACTGGTGTGCTGAATTGGTATTACATTTCTGACAGATTCAATTATTCCATTTTTTCCCCTTTATTTTCTTCCAAACTGTTTGACTGTAAATAGATACAAATACGAGAGCATTAATACTCAAATTCACATAGCAGAAATCTTCTTTTTTAATTGAATACATTTTAGGTGGTCAACATGATGTTTTGGTGTACATATCCATAGTGAAATGATTTCCACAGGCAAATCAAGCAAATTAACATATCCATCAACTCACATAGTTGCCTCTGTGTGTGTGTGTGTGTGTGTGTGTGTGTGTGTGTGTGTGTGTGGTAAAAGCACGTAAAATCCATTCTCTTAGCAAATTTCCAGTACACCACACAATATTATTAACTATAGTCTCATGTTGTACATTAGATCTCTAGACTTATCCATCTTACATAACTGTAACTTTGTTCCCTTTGACTTCCATCTTCCCATTTCTCCACCCCAACACCTGGTAACCACTGCACAGTTCTACTCTGTATGTATTAAAAGTTCAAAGGTTTTTAAATTACACATATAAATGAGATTACACAGTATTTATCTTTTTGTGTCTGGCATAATGTCCTCTAGGTTCATCTATGTTTTCCTTCTTTTCTCCTTCTTTTCTGAGGCTGAATAACATTCCCTTACCACAAATTATTTATCCATTCATTTGTTGGCCAATACTTTAGTTGTTTCATATCTCGGCTACTGTGAATAATGCTGCAATGACTATGGGAGTGCAGATGTCTTTACAAGGTGGTTATTTCATTTCTTTAGGTATATATCCAGGAAAAAAAGATCTGTGTTAGATGAAGATCTTGATGGTCAAACAAAGAAGCCAAAGCCAGAAGACCTGTGGCCTTTATTCATTCACAGGTGACCTGGGAGCCTGTTAGAAATGCAGTATCATGGCACTGCCCACTCCAGGCCTACTGAACCAGAATCTGCATCAGAACAGTTCCCCAGGATTCCCCAGCTGATGCTGATTCAAATGCACATTAAAGTGTGAGAAGCACTGCTCTAAGTCACTTGATATATGCTTTTCTTTTGTCAGAATATGTAGTTTTCAACATTTAGTCAGAAAGGCATATGCGCTAAGTGGTTTTTTACAACCATGATACTAGGTTACGTAAAATCAGATTTTTATAATTGGAAAAAATTAGAGAAATTCAAGTCTAGATATCTATTTATTCATGCAAAAGGAAAACAAACAAGACAATACTCAATCTAGGTCCAGAATGGGCAAATGATTTGCTGACAACCACACAGCATTTTAATGGTAAAGAAAGAACAGGAAGCCAGGCCTGCCAATTCCTCCTGGTACTATTTCTACCATAATACTGCTTCCCACTAACCTGACCAAAAGTGGGCATTAATAACAAAAACAAAAACAAAAAAGGCTAATATTGATTAAGTACTTACTACATCTCAGGCAATTTATCACTTACTCTATATGCATTTTCTCACTTGATCTTGACAATAAAAGTATGATACAGGTAAAATTATCCTTCCCATTTTAAAGATTAGAACACCAACTCTTAAAGAGATTTTGTCTAAGACCACATGTCTAGAAATGTTTAAGTTCACTTTTTATAGGGCGTTCATGCCTCTGGCCACCATGTCATTAATGTCACACTTTTTCTGATGCAAATATTCATTCTCTATTTATGTTTAATCCACAATGTTCAACATAATTACCAATGGAATTTATCATAATTCACTTTAAAGAAGTGTGCTATTTTACCAACAAGTAACATAGCCTCACTGCTCTTGATTCCCTTGGGAATATTGCCAAATGTAGGCAGCAGAGAATATAAGTTCAAATAAATCACCTCTGTGTAGATCTACCTTTTCCATGAACCCATTTCTTCACATTTCCTGGCAAAGGAATCACTGCAGCTTGACACAAGGTCTTTGTAACTCTAGTGGATAGCCATGACCTGTTTCATGAAGCTATGATTCTCATTTTCTTTACGTCATACAAATGAAAACGGCCAACATCTGCTAGTGTCTGATTCATTTTCTTGGGAATTGTACTCACATTTATTTTATGACTCAGGCAAAAAAGGCCACAAGAGGGCCATGCAAGGGGGATGTGATAACTCCTGTAATGGAGAGAGGGGACAAGGAGGATGTGTTCCTAAATCAGGTGATTCACAAGGATTCACTCCTCTTAAGGGAGGAGACCACCCCTCATATTGTCTTATGCCCAATTTCTGCCTCCAAAGAAAAAAAGAAGTAAAAACTAAAAGGCAGAAATGAAATCCACAGGCAAAAAGCCCAGTGCCACACCCTGGGCCTGGTAGTGAAAGATAAACCCCTGACCTAGTTGGTTATGTTATCTATAGATTACAGACATTGTATGGAAAAGCACTGTGAAAATCCCTGTCCTGTTCTGTTCCGTTCTAATTACTGGTGCATGCAGCGCCCAGTCACGTACCCCCTGTTGGCTTAATCAATCATGGCCCTCTCACATGGACCCCCTTAGAGTTGTAAGCCCTTAAAAGGGACAGGAATTGCTCACTCAGGGAGCTCGGTTTTTGAGATGTGAGTCTTGCCGATGCTCCCAGCAGAAAAAAGCCCTTCCTTCTTTAACTCAGTGTCTGAGGGGTTTTGTCTGCAGCTCATCCTGCTACACTCTAAATATTAAGAAACAAGGGGTACTGGCCTATACATAAAAGGTAAAAAGATGGTGTCTGAGCCTAGATTTGATGCGGACTCCCTTAATAAAGACTGTTCATCATGTACTCCCTGGTACTTTTATGAATAATTCCATTATCAACTTCACATATACCAAACCATGACCCAATTTGTTGCATATGTAAGTTGGACTTTGGCAATAAAAGAAAGAGCATATTACAAAGTAATAATGTCTTAGACATTGTCTAGAATAATGTTCTAGAATTCATCATAAACCTTTATGTGTTTGCATTACAAAGACATTCTGTGATAGCTTTAAAAATGGTTATTACTTTTTAAATGTTTGAAGAAAAATAGATGGGTCTGGGGAAATTTAGAGAAAAAAAAAAAAACCATAGACTCTTAGTAAACAATCGGAACTAAAATTTTACCTAGTACCTAAATCATTTCTGTATAATCAGTATTTGACTAATTTTAACCCCCACAAGCCTCCCAGATCATTAATTGTCAGACAGTTGTAATGCTTAGCAAGGTCTTGTCTTACTATTTGAGAAATTCTCTTCATGAGTCATGAAATCATCAGTAGAAAATAATTTTTCTTTCTCATGGAGAAGCAGTCAATGATTGCTATCTAGTCTTAAATAAGACACCAAAAATGCACATGGCCCTACAAAAGGATAGACCACATAGCTTCAAAGACTGAGAGAAACACATAATGTCAGCAACATAAAGCTCCTTTTCTTAGAGATTATGTGTGTAGTGCTTTTATATTGTAAAATATAATGTAAAAGAATACAGAGAAACATATAGGAGTTTTCTCTGTAAAAGAACAGAGAGAGAGAAACATATAGCACTTTCCCAAATGGGAATTGTGCTTGATGTCATTAGGGGCACACAATTTCCACCCTGAATGAAGCAATGTAAGTACATTCTGTGCCCACCCACCTCCACCCTGAATGAGTGATGATCAGTAAAAACACGTTAGCAGAAAATGTGTTTCACATGGGTCAAAGACCTAGACTGATGGAGGAATCACCATCTTTTAGTTGTGTCAACCAGAGAATATAACCTGATCAACAAGCAGGAGAAGACGTGAATGGAAGAAGTCAGACAAGGAATAAAATACTGCAGCCCAGAAGTGACACACATTCCTTCCTGTACTGTTCCATTGGTCAGAACAACTCACATGGACTACTCAGCTTCAAAGGGGAAAAATGCATTCTTCCAAGTTCTGGGAAAAATAGACATGGATGTTGGTGATCTCTGGTAATGACTCCTTAACATCTCCCAGAGAGCTTTCCTTTTCCAAGTTAAGCATTCCTAATTTCTTCAACTGATTTTCATACGACATAGTTTCCACAGCCCTCATCTTCCTGATTGCCCTCCTATTTTGGTCATCTCTACTTTGAGTTCTTGACCAGCACTTGTAAATATGTGAATTTTATGATCATGTTGATATTCTGAGAAGAAAGGATGCAGTATTCAAAGTGGTCAAACTGAATAAAGGAAGCTTAAAAGGATCAGTCAACCTGAGAAAGTTTAGAAACCACCACTTTAGTTCTTCATTATTACCTTCAAGGGTCATGCTTAGTGATACAATTTTAGCAATGGTCTGACCACTAGCGAATACTACTGTTCTGTTGCATGTTTTGATATGAACAAAAATATAACATTTCTATGAAAAGAGCCTAAGATTGCATTATTGTGACAAAATATTGGACTACAGTGAGTTTATGGGCAACTAAAACACCCAAGGGTGTGCCACTTGAACTGCTGTCAAGATAAGCATCACGAATCTTGAACTTATGCAAATTCTGAGGGTTTGTTTTAGTTATTTCTCTTAGATCTCTTCTCATTTTTACTTGCTGTAGGCTCAAAGTTCACATCTTGTGTTGGCATGGATTTGGTGAAAAGGGAACACTTTTACACTGCTGGTGGGAATGTAAACTAGTACAACCACTGTGGAAAACTGTATGAAGATACCTTAAAGAACTAAAAGTGAACTACAATTCGATCCAGCAATCCCACTACTGGGTATCTACCCAAAGGAAAAGAAGTCATTATATGAAAAAGACACATGCACACACGTGTTTATAGCAGCACAATTTGCAATTGCAAAAATATGAAACCAACATAAATGCTCATCAACCAATGAGTAGATAAAGAAAATATGGTATGTATAACCCATGGAATACTACTCAGCTATAAAACAGAATTAAATAATGGCCTTTGCAGCAACTTGGATGGAGCTGGAGGCCATTATTATAAATGAAGTCACTCAGAAATGAAAAACCAAATGTCATGTGTTCCCATAAGTGGGAGCTAAGCTATGAGGATGCAAAGGCATAAGAATGATACAATGGATTTTAGGGACTAAGGGAGGAAGGATAGGAGGGGGAGGAGAATAAAAGACTACATGTTGGGTTCAGTGTATACTGCTCTGGTGATGGATGCACCAAAATCTCAGAAATCACCACTATAGAACTTATCCATGTAACCAAACCCCACCTTTTCCCCAAAAACTACTGAAATAATTTTTTTAAGGTTCACATCTTGGTAAATGGTTTTTAGTCCTAATCCTGTTCTTCACACCCATATTTGTGTTTTCTGATCACCAGCAGACATAGATTCCTTTGAGGCAACTACACAAAACATTGGACAGCTGAGTGCAAAGAACTAAGCCACAGAACATATCACATAAGAACTTCCTACAGGATGACACGATTGTGGTCATCAGCACACTGGATCATCTCCCTGTTCTGCATCTATTCTCAGGTTCATCAGTGTTCACGAATGTGCTTCCCTCCCTAACATGAAGCACTTCCCTGCTCCTCATTGAGTGGCCCTTCCACTGCAGTGAACAGGTTTCTGATCCCACCGACAAAGTTCTCAGTTGTTGTGGGAAGTCAGGGACCCCAAATGGAGGGAGTGGCTGAAGCCATGGCAGAAGAACATGGATTGTGAAGATTTCATGGACATTTATTAGTTCCCCAAATTAATACTTTTATAATTTCTTATGCCTGTCTTTACTGCAGTCTCTAAACATAAATTGTAAAGATTTCATGGACACTTATCACTTCCCCAATCAATACCCTTGTGATTTCCTATGCTTGTCTTTGCTTTAATCTCTTAATCCTGTCAGCTGAGGAGGATGTATGTCACCTCAGGACCATGTGATAATTGCATTAACTGCACAAATTGTAGAGCATGTGTGTTTAAACAATATGAAATCTGGGCACCTTGAAAAAAGAACAGGATAACAGCAATTGTTCAGGGAATAAGAGAGATAACCTTAAACTCTGACCACCGGTGAGCTGGGCAGAACAGAGCCATATTTCTCTTATTTCAAAAGCAAACAGGAGAAATATCACTGAATTCTTTTTCTCAGCAAGGAACATCCCTGGGAAAGAGAATACGCGCCTGGGGGTATAGGCCTATAAACGGCCCCCCTAGGTGTGCCCGTCTTCTATGGTCGAGGCTGTAGGGGTGAAATAGACCCCAGTCTCCCATAGTGCTCCCAGGCTTATTAGGAAGAGGAAATTCCCACCTAACAAATTTTTGGTCAGACCGGTTATTCTCAAAACCCTGTCTCCTGATAAGATGTTATCAATGACAATGGTGCCCGAAACTTCATTAGCAATTTTAATTTTGCCCCGGTCCTGTGGTCCTGTGATCTCGCCCTGCCTCCATTTGCCTTGTGATATTCTATTACCTTGTAAAGTACTTGATGTCTGTGACCCACACCTATTCACACACTCCCTCCCCTTTTGAAAATCCCTAATAAAAACTTGCTGGTTTTTGCGGCTTGTGGGGCATCACGGAACCTACCGATATGTGATGTCTCCCCTGGACGCCCAGTTTTAAAATTTCTCTCTTTTGTACTCTGTTCCTTTATTTCTCAAGCCGGCCGATGCTTAAGGAAAATAGAAAAGAACCTTCGTGACTATCGGGGCAGGTTCCCCGATACTCAATGATAACCTTCAGTCTGAATTGAATTCTTTATTGTTTTCTTTGTTTTATCAAATTTTCTTTACCTAAAATGTGTTCTTAATATTAATATTTTAATCACAGCTTTTACACCAAATGTGAATTCAGAAAAGTTATTTAATGACTCTGGAGCCCATTTTATTCACCAATAAAGAGATGGTTGGACCAGAAATCTTAGGGCCCTTTGCAACTCTACAAATGTAAGATTCTCTGAATTTTTCTGGATATTTTCTTCTGAAGAGTGAAAAAGTTCCCTGACAGAATTGTAAAAATCCTATGACAACAAAGAAGCTAAAGCATGAAGAGATAATGGGATTTTCCAATTGTTGTGCATAGCCCATTGTAGAATCAGGAACATAACCTCACCCTGTATGCATTCCCTCTAGAAATAATAGCACTTCATCCTCTTGCCAGACATTAAAATGCCCTTATGTACCACCTAATAATAATAACTGTTTAGTCCTGACTTAATGCCGCCTATCAATACACATTACATTGGCCTATTAGCTTCAAAACACCTCACAAGGTTAACTGTGTAATGATTCAATAACATTTATCTAAGGATCAAAATATTATTATATTATAATACAGAAAATAATAGGGATGTTATGCACTTGTTATAGCTATTCAACAAAAATAGAAAAATAGAAAATGTACAGCTGTGTTACTCTGCTTCCCCTTGTATGAAATACTTATCCCAGACAATTGCTATTCTCAGATTAATGACATCCGATTTTACTTAAAGTGTTGACAGTGGTTTCCCTCCTTCCTCATTAGGGTCCTGACTGGTCACACCATATGCCAGAGGGCCTCATATATGAAGTCATTGGAAGCCATTTACAGGTTTCAGGAAGCTGAGTTTCTTCCAAGATGAGAAGAAAAAAATCTGTTTTACCTTGTTATTTCAAAAAACATGGCCTGGAGCTCAAAGGAGTAGATAGCTTAAATGCATTGCATAATGTGTTCCTTGTTAAGAAATTATAAACCCTGTGCCGAACATACCAGCCCAGCCACTGATACCCCAGAGAAAACAGGAGTTGTTTTCAGGAAGAAGTTGAACTGATCATTATTTTTCTGTCTTCTTGCCTCTGATCTCTTCACTTTACACAAACATTCCCTGTTAAGTAATTTATCTGAAAAGAAAATATAAACACACCAAATAATTGTCTTTTTACTTCAGTGTAAAAACAAGCAGGCATGTTGCTGTCTAGGTTTCAGAGCCACATCCTTCTCCATCTCCAGTGACAATGAGGCCCCTTTGAGTTGAGTATTGTTTTTTCAATTTCTTCAGGTTTTCACAGATGAAAACGTGAGTCATGTAGAGGAAGTCAGTCATTTCAAGAGCCTCTGTAAATGATTCATCCCACAAATCTTTCTGGAACCAGTTAACTCTTTCTGAGGGAATGGACAAACATTCCTTGCCAACCTGGGCAGAAACAAAGTTCTCAATTATCATTGTTACCAACTGAAAAAGCAAGAATGGCTTACATATTGAGACTCTCAATAAATAGTTGTAGGTGTATTGGCTGAAGAATGTTTATTTATTCAGTACCTACTATATTTCCAGGACCAGGGTAAATAATTATAAAAGATAAGACATGGCATGGGGCTTCAGGGAATTTATTATACACCTTGGGGGAGCAATGACATATTTAATATAATGGGAAATCAATATTAGGAAAAAAATCACACTTTAAAAGCCTTGTAAAATAGACTTTAAATTTTTATAGATTTGGAAAGAATATATATATATATATGTTAGGGTGGACATTGAATGAAGGCTTTGTTGAAAAAGTAGATATTCAGCTTCTGTTCATTTATTATGGGTTACAATACTAGGGTTAACAGGTTAGCAAAAATCTCAATGGCTCATCCAGCATTTATTTCTCACTCACATAAGTGATATCTGAGGGTTGGCTTCAGTTTTGTTCAATGTTTTCTTTACCCGGAGACCCACGCTAAAGTAGCAGCCTTATTTTAATCTGCTAGTAGAAGGAAGAGATAAAAATAATGAAACCACATGATGCTCTTGAAGTGTCTTCTCTGTCCTAGCATGTGTTACTTCCATATTCCATTGTCCAAAGCAAGTCACATGGCCAACCCAACCATTAATGAGGTAGCAAATATACTTATCCTACTGGGAAGAGCACAGCAAATCACTTAGGAAAAAGTGACAATATATAATCTTCTTAGAGGGAGCAAATGATGCAACAATAATACATTAATGTAATTTAACAATACGATACTGCAATCTACCAAGAGGTATATATGTATGGAATATGGTTTTGCACAAGGCAGAATGGAGGAAGCTCATTCTGGTGGTAGGTATTTCAAGAATATCTGGGTCAAAGTGTATATCTATACTGATTTTATCTGAGCCTCCCAAAGAGCCTTCCAAAAATACTGTAATAATCTGCATTCCCACTAAAAGCGTATAAAAGGATCTTTTCAATCCTATTTTTTATGAACTGCTCAATGTCCCAATTTGTGAGGTACAAAAAAATGTTAATTTATGTTCTTATTTCCATTTCTCTGGTTAATGATGAGCATTTTTCATATGTTTTGTGGCTATGTATATTTTTCATATTCATATGCTTTAAGAACAATGACCTTTTCGTACGGAAAGAGAATTTATACAGTCTGTTAAAATTCATTGTAATCTGCTCAGGGGCAGGTTTAGGCATTGGATACAGGGGTCAAGGATGTATACCAAGTGAAGTAACAACATCTTTCTAAAATTAGGGATTATTTTTTGAGTGGTATGTGTCAGAACTTCCTCTGTTTCCTTATTTACTTCCAAATATCACCCCGCTACACACACTCAACTTACTTACCAGACATGGAAGTCTGGTAGTAAGACTTTTCATGGAAGACATGGAAAGACCACCTGGGATGAAAATCACGGATTTTAAAATTCGAAATCCTGGCCATGAACATAGTATATCTGATCACTGAGATGAGGATGGATTCCCCTATCTTTGGGGGTTACTAGAATGCTGATCTCCTATGACTAAAAATCACAAATCATTCTTCAATGCCTTTCTCAATTCTCTTACATTTTATTCTCTCTACTCCAACATTTTCAAAACTGTTTTTCATGGAACATTAATCTCATAACATGCTACAGGTTAAAAAAAAAAAAAAAAAGAAATGAAGTAAGGTTATAGTCAAATAAGGTTGAGAAATACTATGTACTAATACTATCCTCAAACTCACAAGCTAAATGACCTTGGGCAAGTGACTTTCTTTCTCTGACTTTAGTTCCTACATGTGTAAAATGGTGTGATAATAACAGTACCTTCCTCATGTAATATTAAACTAGTTAAATCTTGCAAAGCACTTAGAATGATGCCTGGCATATAGTTAGTGTTTAATCTGTTTGTTATTATTATTATTATCATTTTATTAGCATTAGTAGTAGTGGTAGTAGCTGCATCTAAAGGCTCTGAAAAAACTTTGCAGCAAATAAGCTTATTTAACATTGCTTAATTCAGATTATTTCTCATTAATTATTTTTTACTTAAGTTGGAAAATACCATTCTTCTTTTATCTGAATCTTCAAATAGAAAAGGAATAGCTGGGGGTCGGGGGACACAGAGACCATGGTCAAGGTCAATAGGAAAAGCCATTTGGTAATTTGTGTTTAATCATGAGTTTTCCCTCAAGTGCCAGCCCAAAGAACAGCTTCTGCCTCTTCTGTAGGAGAAGAGACACTTGACACGCCCTGTCCACATGCAATGTCAAGCATTACAATTATCTCTGTCTGCTACCATGTAATAAAAGGAAAATTAAAAATAACTTGAGTTCCTGCATTTCATGTTCTTCTTCTCGTATCCAAATATAACTATTTCTGAGCACATTATGAACAGCAAATAATTCTTGCTGGAAAATTTCAAGAGGAAAGAGATGATCCTTTCCCTTGTCATGCTCTCAGTGATAAATAAGGCACAGAATTCTATTCTCCAAGGGTGAGATCTGACTTCTTTTGTTTGGAAGCCAGGGCGGCATTAAATGCAACATTTATTTCCTTGACATCAACAACAACTGCATGAAATTGCTTGTGCAGGACACAGACTTGCCCTACCTGCCTGCTCTTGCAGTGTTCGTTTCATAACAAGTAAGTATGCTCTGTCCTTAGCAAAAAGGAGAATGTCTCAGAGGCCACTCAGAATGGGCCACCAGGCTGGCCCCAGTGCATCTGTGTCACTGAGTTCACCCAGATACTCAAGAGGCCAACCACTGCTTGCCAGCAGGGCCAAGTAGATACTGGGAACTTGGGACCTCCTGTGCTATTCAAAGAAGGTAACTGAAAAAACTGAATTTTTTCCTTTATCAGAAAACACATGAGGCCGGGAGCAGTGGCTCACGCCTGTAACCCCAGCACTTTGGGAGGCCGAGGCGGGCGGATCACGAGGTCGGGAGATCCAGACCATCCTGGCTAACACGGTGAAACCCTGTCTCTACTAAAAATACAAAAAAATTAGCCAGGCGTGGTGGCTGACGCCTGTAGTCCCAGCTACTCAGGAGGCTGAGGCAGGAGAATGGCGTGAACCCAGGAGGCGGAGCTTGCAATGAGCCGAGATCGCGCCACTGCATTCCAACCTGGGCGACAGAGCAAGACTCCGTCTCAAAAAAAAAAAAAAAGAAAAGAAAACACATGAAATATACATTTAATCAGGGATTTTAATTTATTCAAACTATAAAAATCACTTTTGACAAGTATCTTTTTAATTTGATTTTTAACAGTAAGTAAATATATAAGGATTATTAAATATTACAAACTAAACCAGAAACTATCTGATTAACAGCTGTCAGTATTCCTCAAAAGTAAAGATGCCCTAGACCTAATGTTGATGGTTGTCTAAGTTTAAAATAAAGGAATGAACTCATGTATCAGTTTTCTATTGCAGCTATGACAAATTACCAAAAACTTGACAGCTTAAAACAATACCCACTTATTATCTCACAGTTCTCTGGGTGAGAAGTCCAATACACATCTCACTGGCCTAAAATTAAGGTGTCAGCAAGGCTACATTTCTTACTAGAGGCCCCAGGGAAGAATCCACTTCTAAGCTCATTTATATTGTTGACTCAGCTGAGCTCCTTTCATTCCTTTCATTTGTAGAACTTGGGACCTCATTTCCTTGCTGACTGTCAGTGGGGAACTGCCCTCTCTCCAGTCCTTACACATGACCTCCCTACATCTCAAAACCAGCAATGACAATGCATCAAATCCTTCACCTGCTTGGAATCTGACTTCCTTCCCGTCTCTCTCACTCAACCAAAGAGAGTTTTCTGCTTCTAAAGGCTCATGTGACTATATTAGTCCAACACAGATAATCCAGGATAATCTCCCTATTTTAACATCTGCTACCTTAATTACAGCTGCAACGTCCCTTTTGTCATAACAAGTAACATATTCATAGGATTAGGAACATCTTGGAGAGACGGGGGCAGCATTATTCATTCTACCATAACTAGTGTTAATTTAAAGGTAGACTGCTTTGCTCTTCAAGAGGAAAACAAACACACATTTTACTATAGGGAGAAAGCACATTGTTTTGCTGATTTTGAGACCATTTTTCTTATCTTATTTGGACTTAATTATCAATAGAAAAGGCCATGCTTTAGGTGTTGACCTCCCTTAATTGGCACAGTTTCCTAGTCATCCAGATGCCTCTATTCACGGCAGTTTTAGTAGACATATAATTTAGGGGCCAGGCTTTAGCCCACTGAGAGGATAATCACCACTCTGTCATGATGAACTCTCCTCTGGGAATTCTCCAGTTTTTTTTAGGCTGAACTCTATCACAACACAAATCCTTTTTCAAAGTCTGTAACAATCACATTTCTATCACACACCTTTCATCACTACTAGATGGAAGGTATATGATGGCAAGTTTTTTATGTCTTGTTCACCATGAATCACCAGTGCCAAGCACAGTGCCTGGTCCTAAGAGGTGTCCAGTGAATTTTGGTTGAGGAAAAGGATGAATGAATGAATGAATGAATGAACGAATAAACGCAACAGTTTAAGGAAGAACTTGGGTAGAACCAATGAAAGTAAACTGCAAAAAAATTTTCATAGACTGTGAAACATTTGATAGACCAAATGGGTCCTGAAAGATTTCAACCAGATTCACAACTTGTTTAAAAATAAGAGTATAAACTCATTGGGATGAAATTTGCATTGCTGAAGTTTTAAACTTCCATTTCTATCTTAACATACATCAAAGAGTAGCTGAATCAATTCCTAGGTCACATCTACTGCACAATAACCATGTACTCAATAACCAAGTAAGTTGAGTCAGAACTCAATAAGGCCAAATTTTCAGATTTTACTAACTAAAATATGCAATTAATTAAATGGCCATACTTATGGCTATGATTTATTAGAGAGGACACAAAGCAAAATCAGAAAAGAGAAAATGTCCAAAGGGCAAAGTCCAGAGGAAACCAGGTGCAAGCTTCCAAGGGTCCTCTCCTAGTGGAATGCCAAATTCCCCAGCAATTACTGTGACAATATGTGTGAAATGTTGTCTACCAAGAAAGCTCATCAGAGACTTGGTGCCCAAGGTATTTATTGCAGCTGGTCATCCAAGTACCCACTGCTTAGCATGTACTGAAATTTCCAGACTCCCAGAGGAAAGCAGATGTTTAGCACAAACCACATGGTTTGCATGGTTTAGACAGTGAGTCACTCTGGTCAGTTAGTGTGATGGGAACCCTCCCAAAATCTAAGTTCCCAGATGCCAGCCAAGGATCATCCTTGTAAGCAGGCCTTTCAAAGGATAATAGCCAGGGCTGCTATATTAACAGAACAATAATAACAATATTCTACACAACATTGTAGAATTTCTATAAATGTCTATGATTTTCCACCTTCACATGCTGAACAACGTATGTTTGAATTTCCCATTGTTCCTAAAGATTTGAGTCTTGCATATACTTTGAGAATGATTGCTGATGCTGATAAATAAACAGAGAAGCATTCACAAAGAAATCTTCATGACAAAGTTGGGTAGCATTAAAATACTGATAAATTTTACATTGAGTTATGGAAATAAATCTGTGTGGCATCAGAAAAGATGAATATTATGGCATTAATAGGTAGCTCTGAAATATGTATCAATTTAAATTCAATAATGAATATCTCTCGCTTAAAGTGATATATTTTTATGCTGGATGTCTGAAGAAACATTTAAGAAAATAAACACTTATAAAAAGTATATGAAGAAAAAAGATCGTGTAAAAAAAACGAAATATTTTAGATTATAAAAGCTAAAATTTTGAGCAGCTAATTCAGTTTAAATACATGTACTTATACTAGTGTGACTTTTTTGCATTAACTTGGTATATAATTGTGGACTATGATTTGCACATTTTATTACTGCTCTTCCTCCCTACACTTTCTTTAGCAATATCTATTTATTTGTATCACAAAAATTAGAATTTATCATTCATAAACTGGGCAACATTTACCTTTGTGCTCACTATGAAAAATAAAAATAAAAAATAATTAATAATATTAGCAAGATTTAAAATGAACATTTACCTATTAAAGAGAACATGTTTTATTAATTTCTGCAGCATTTCCTGAGCAAATACTGTATGTCTGAAACTGCTAGGAAATGAAGAAAAATACTGACTAAAATAATAGATTCTTCCCTCAAAGAACTAACCTCTAATGGGAGAAACAGGCTTTTGAACAAATGAATTTAGTAAGTGCAATACTACTTGAACAGAGGTGTGTGCTAGGCATTACATAAACTCACAGAGAATAAGATTTGAGTTTTGAACAATGGGAAGCTTGTTTGGCAGACAGAGGAAAGAATAGCATGCAAGGGAAGCTCCTCAAGGCAGACTCCAAGCTTCCTGAGTGCAGTGCTATGTTAGCCCTCCTCCTTGTCTCAGCCCCAGTGCCAGGAGCTCGACATCCCTGCAGCTGCACATTTCCCCTTCCCTCCAGGGCTCTCTACTGTTTTTTTGTTTGTTTGTTTGTTTGTTTGTTTGTTTGTTTGTTTTTGAAACGGAGTCTAGCTCTTTGGCCCAGGCTGGAGTGCAGTGGCGCTATCTCGGCTCACTGCCAGCTCCGCCTCCTTGGTTCACACCATTCTCCTGCCTCAGCCTCCTGAGTAGCTGGGACTACAGGTGCCCGCCACCACGCCCAGCTAATTTTTTGTATTTTTCAGTAGAGACGGGGTTTCACCATGTTAGCCAGGATGGTCTCGATCTCCTGACCTCGTGATCCGCCCACCTCGGCCTCCCAAAGTGCTGGGATTACAGGCGTGAGCCATCGCGCCCGGCCCAGGGCTCTCTACTGTTACAGAGGCTGCAGGGTCCCTGCTTCTGGCAAAGGCCTTTCCAACTCTGATACCCCAGGGCCCACTCCCTCTTGCGGTTTCAAGCCTTTCTCCTATAGTTATGCCCCTCTCTACTGCATTTTGAATTTCTCCCTCTCCACTGAGTTACTCCCAGAGAACAGAGATGCTTTCATGTTTCCCATCTTAAAAAGGACAAAAATACAAAAATACAAAAAAAAAAAAAATTTCTTGGGCCCACCCACTCATCTGCTCCTCCAATACCTATTCCATTTCTCAAAAATTTCACAAAAGTGTTAACTAGATTTAGTCTCCACTTTCACATCTCCTATTTGCTCTTTTTAAATTTAATTAGATGTTTCAAAGTGAAAACTAGAAATTATTATATCAGCAAATACATGCACCCATGTCCCAGAACTTAAAATTTTTGCCAACTATTTCAAAATTTTTTTTATTATACTTTAAGTTCTGGGGTATGTGTGCAGAACATGCAGGTTTGTTACATAGGTATACACATGCCATGGTGGTTTGCTGCACCCATCAACCTGTCATCTACATTAGGTATTTCTCCTAATGCTATCCCTCCCCTAGCCCCCCTACCCAACAGACCCTGATGTTCCCCTCCCTGTGCCCATGTGTTCTCATTGTTCAGCTCCCACTTATGAGTGAGAACATGCAGTGTTTGGTTTTCTGTTCTTGCATTAGTTTGCTGAGAATGACGGATGGTTTCCAGCTTCATTCATGTTCCTGCAAAGGACATGAACTCATCCTTTTCTATGGCTGCATAGTATTCCATGGTGTGTATGTGCCACATTTTCTTTATCTAGTCTATCATTGATGGGCATTTGGGTTGGTTCCAAGTCTTTGCTATTGTGAACCATGTCACAATAAACTTACGTGTGCATATGTCTTTATAGTAGATGGTTTATAATCCTTTGGGTATATACCCAGTAGTGGGATTGCTGGGTCAAATGTTATTTCTGGTTCTAGATCCTTAAGGAATTGCCACACTGTCTTCCACAATGGTTGGACTAATTTGCACTCCCACCAACAGTGTAAAAGCATTTCTGTTTCTCCACATCCTCTCCAGCATCTGTTGTTTCCTGACTTTTTAATGATCAACATTCTAACTGGCATGAGATGGTATCTCAGTGTGGTTTTGATCTGCATTTCTCTAATGACCGGTGATGATGAGCTTTTTTTCATATGCTTGTTGGCTGCATAAATGTCTTCTTTTGAGAAGTGTCTGTTCATATCCTTTGCCCACTTTTTGATGGGGTTGTTTTCTTCTTGTAAACTGGTTTAAGTTCTTTGTAGATTCTTGATATTAGCCCTTTGTCACATGGATAGATTGCAAAAATTTTCTCCAATTCTGTAAGTTGCCTTTTCACTCTGATGACAGTTTCTTTTGCTATGTGGAAGCTCTTTAGTTTAATTAGATCCCATTTGTCAATTTTGGCTTTTGTTGCCATTGCTTTTGGTGTTTTAGTCATGAAGTTTTTGCCCATGCCTGTGTGCTGAACGGTATTGACTAGGTTTTCTTCTAGGGTTTTTGTTTGTTTGTTTGTTTGTTTTTATTATTATTATACTTTAAGTTTTAGGGTGGTTCTAGGTTTTAGGTTTAAGTCTTTAATCCATCTTGAGTTAATTTTTGTATAAGTTGTAAGGAAGGGGTCCAGTTTCAGTTTTATGCATATAGCTAGCCAGTTTTCCCAGTGCCATTTATTAAATAGGGAATCCTTTCCCCATTGCTTGTTTTTGTCAGGTTTGTAAAAGGTCAGATGGTTGTAGATGTGTGATGTCATTTCTGAAGCCTCTGTTCTGTTCCATTGGTCTATATCTATATAGCTGTTTTGGTACCACTGCAATGCTGTTTTGGTACCACTACAATGCTGTTTTGGTTACTGTAGCCTTGTAGTATAATTTGAAGTCAGGTACCGTGATGCCTCCAGCTTTGTTCTTTTTGCTTAGGATTGTCTTGGCTATGTGGAATCTTTTTTGGTTCCATATGAAATTTAAAGTAGTTTTTTCTAATTCTGTGAAGAAAGTCCTTGGTAGCTTGATAGGGATAGCAGTGAATCTATAGATCACTTTTGGCAGTATGGACATTTTCATGATATTGATTCTTCCTATCCATAAGCATGGAATGTTTGTCCCTTTGCTTGTGTACTCTCTTATTTCCTTGAGCAGTGATTTATAGTTCTCCTCGAAGAGGTCCTTCACATCCCTTGTAAGTTGGATTCCTAGGTATTTTGTTATTTTTGTAGCAAATGTGAATGGGAGTTCACTCATGATTTGGCTCTCCGTTTGTCTATTATTCGTGTATAGGGATGCTTGTGATTTTTGCACATTGATTTTGTATCCTGAGACTTTGCTAAAGTTGCTTATCAGCTTAAGGAGATTTGAGGCTAAGACCATGGGGTTTTCTAAATTTACAATCATGTCATCTGCAAACAGACAATCTGACTTCCTTTCTTCCTATTTGAATACCTTTATTTCCTTCTCTTGCCTGATTGCCTTGGCCAGAACTTCCAATACTATGTTGAATAGGAGTGATGAGAGAGGGCATCCTTGTCTTGTGCTGGTTTTCAAAGGGAATGCTTCCAGTTTTTGCCCATTCAGTATGATGTTGGCTGTGGGTTTGTCATAAATAGCTCTTATTATTTTGAGATACATTCCATCAATACCTAGTTTATTGAGAGTTTTCAGCATGAAGCAGTGTTGAATTTTGTCTAAGGCCTTTTCTGCATCTATTAAGATAATCGTGATTTTTGTTATTGCTTCTGTTTATGTGATGGATTACGTTTATTGATTTGTGTATGTTGTACCAGTCTTGCATCCCAGGGATGAAGCCAACTTGATCATGGTGGATAAGCTTTTTGATGTGCTGCTGGATTCGGTTTGCCAGTATTTTATTGAGGATTTTCACATTGATGTTCTTCAGGGATATTGGCCTGAAATTTTCTTTTTTTGTTATGTCTCTGTCAGTTTTGGTATCAGGACGATGCTGGCCTCATAAAATGAGTTAGGGAGGATTCCCTCTTTTTCTATTGATTGGAATAGTTTCAGAAGGAATGGTACCAGCTCCTCTTTGTACCTCTGGTAGAACTCGGCTGTGAATCCATCTGGTACTGGACTTTTTTGGTTGGTAGGCTATTAATTACTGCCTCAATTTCAGAACTTATTATTGGTCTATTCAGGGATTCTACTTCTTCCTGGTTTAGACTTCAGAGGGTGTATGTGTCCAGGAATTTATCCATTTCTTCTAGATTTTCTAGTTTATTTGCGTAAAGATGTTTATAGTATTCTCTGATGGTAGTTTGTATTTCTTTGGGCTCAGTGGTGATATCCCCTTTATCATTTCTGATTGCATCTCTTTGATTCTTCTCTCTTTTCTTCTTTATTAGTCTGGCTAGATAGCTATTTATCTATTTTGCTGATCTTTTCAAAAAACCAGGTCCTGGATTCATTGATTTTTTTGAAGGATTTTTCATGTCTCTGTCTCCTTCAGTTCTGCTCTGATCTTAGTTATTTCTTGTCTTCTGCCAGCTTTTGAATTTGTTTGCTCTTGCTTCTCTAGTTCTTTTAATTGTGATCTTAGGGTGTCTATTTGAGATCTTTCCTGCTTTCTCTTGTGGGTGTTTAGTGCTATAAATTTCCCTCTAAACACTGCTTTAAATGTGTCCCAGAGATTCTGGTACATTGTGTCTTTGTTCTCATTGGTTTCAAAGAACTTATTTGTTTCTGTCTTAATTTGGTTGTTTACCCAGTAGTCATTCAGGAGCAAGTTGTTCACGCAGTTGTGCGGTTTTGAGTGAGTTTCTTAATCCTGAGTTCTAATTTGATTGCACTGTGGTCTGAGAGACAGTTTGTTGTTATTTCTCTTCTTTTACATTTGCTGAGGAATTTTTTACTTCCAATTATGTGGTCAATTTTAGAATAAGCACAATGTGGTGCTGAGAAGAATGTATATTCTGTTGATTTGGGGTGGAGAGTTGTGTAGATGCCTTGAGGTCTGATTGATCCAGAGCTGAGTTCAAGTCCTGAATATCCTTGTTAATGTCCTGTCTCAATGATCTGTCTAATATTGACAGTGGGGTATTAAAGTCTCCCATTGTTATTATGTGGGAATCTGAGTCTCTTTGTAGGTCTCTAAGAACTTGCTTTATGAATCTGGGTGCTCCTGTATTGGGTGCACATATATTTAGGATAGTTAATTCTTCCTGTATTGATCCCTTTACCATTATGTAATGCCCTTCTTTATCTCTTTGGATCCTTGTTGGTTTAAAGTGTGTCTTATCAGAGACTAGGATTGCAGCCCCTGCTTTTTCTTTTTTAGCTTTCCACTTGATTGGTATATATTCCTCCCTTCCCTTATTTTGAGCCTATATGTGTCTTTGCATGTGAGATGGGTTTCCTGAGTACAGTACACTGATGGGTCTTGACTCTTTATCCACTTTGCCAGTCTGTGTCTTTTTACTGGGGCATTTAGCCCATTTACATTTAAGGTTAATATTGTTATGTGTGAATTTGATCCTGTCATTATGATGCTAGCTGGTTATTTTGCCCGTTAGTTGATGCAGTTTCTTCATAGTGTCGATGGTCTTTACAATTTGGCATGTTTTTTCAGTGGCTGATACTGGTTGTTCCTCTCCATGTTTTGTGCTTCCTTCAGGAACTCTTGTAAGGCAGGCCTGGTGGTGACAAAATCTCTCAGCATTTGCTTTTCTGTAAAGGATTTTATTTCTCTTTCACTTATGAAGCTTAATTTGACTGGATATGAAATTCTGGGCTGAAAATTCTTTTCTTTAAGAATGTCAAATATTGGCCCCCACTCTCTTCTGGCTTGTAGGGTTTCTGCAGAGAGATCTGCTGTTAGTCTGATAGGCTTTCCTTTGTGGGTAACCCGACCTTTCTCTCTGGCTGCCCTTAACATTTTTTCCTTCATTTCAACCTTGGTGAATCTGACGATTACGTGTCTTGGGGTTTCTCTTCTTGAGAAGTATCTTTGTGGTGTTCTCTGTATTTCCTGAATTTGAATGTTGGCCTGTCTTGCTAGGTTGGGGAAGTTCTCCTGGATAATATCCTGCAGAGTGTTTTCCAACTTGGTTCCATTCTCCCCATCACTTTCAGGTACACCAATCAAACGTAGGTTTCATCTTTTCACATAGTCCCACGGTTTTTGGAGGCTTTGTTCATTCCTTTTCATTCTTTTATCTCTAATCTTGTCTTCTCGCTTTACTTCATTAAGTTGATTTTCAATCTCTGATATCCTTTCTTCCACTTGATCAATTAGGCTATTGATACTTGTGTATGCTTCATGAAGTTCTCGTGCTGTGTTTTGCAGCTCCATCAGGTCATTTATGTCCTTCTCTAAACTGGTTATTCTAGTCAGCAATTCCTCTAACCTTTTTTCAATGTTCTTAGCTTCCTCGCATTGGGTTAGAACATGCTCCTTTCACTCAGAGGAGTTTGTTATTACCCACCTTCTGAAGCCTACTTCCGTCAATTTGTCAAACTCATTCTCTGTCCAGTTTTGTTCCCTTGCTGGTGAGGAATTGTGATCCTTTGGAGGAGAAAAGGCATTCTGGTTTTTGGAATTTTCAGCCTTTTTGCACTGGTTTTTCTTCATCTTTGTGGATTTATCTACCTTTGGTCTTTGGTGTTGGTGACCTTCGGATGGGTTTTCTTTGTGGACATCCTTTTTGTTGATGTCGATACTATTCCTTTCTGTTTGTTAGTTTTCCTTCTAACAGGCCCCTCTGCTGCACCTCTGCTGGAGTTTGCTGGAGGTCCACTTCAGACCCTGTTTGCCTGGGTATCACCAGCAAAGGCTGCAGAACAGCAAAGATTGCTGTCTGTTCCTTCCTCTGGAAGCTTCATCCCAGAGGGGCACCCACCAGATACCAGCCAGAGCTCTCCTGTATGAGGTGTCTGTTGACACCTGCTGGGAGGTGTCTCCCCATCAGGAGGCATGGGGGTAAGGGACCCACTCAAGGAGGCCGTCTGTCCCTTAGCAGAGCTCGAGTTCACTCAATTTTTATAATAACTTTGTATTCTTTTAAATCCTTATTTTACAGAGGTTTAACAGTTAGGTGACTTGCCTAAGGTCACACGAAGTAAATTTCAGACCTGGAATTCCAATATAGGTTTGTTTGCTAAACCCAAGAGACTAAACATTGTACTTTGCGGCCCTTCAATATGAATGCAAAACAAGAGTTTTTTAATCCATAAGTAGATATCAGTGCTACCACTGTAATAACACTATCTGTGTTAACACACAACCTGGTGATTACAGATGTGCAGTAAATATGGAGTGGCTAAATAAACATTTTTAAAATTTTTCTCTCCTATTGTGTTGTTCAGATTATTAATTTATTTTTTTTATGCTGCATAGTCATGTTAAGTGGGGGAAATGAGAACAGGGCTTGAAATTTCAGTCTGTTGAATTTGCTTCATCTTTATTTCAGGCAGTGGGGAAAGCAGAGGGAAAAGTATAAGTGACTGGGATTCGTCGCATCAACGTTGCTGCATTCATGCCAGGAGATATTTAGTTTAACTCCCCAGAAGCAGGATCAGTCACTGTTATTTTAGAAAAAGCAGCTGAAATGGGAAATTGGAGACGTGAGTATTTCTATCTCATATGACTATCTGACTCTTTACACTGAACTAAGATCTTTTTGTACAGAACACTCCCCAATTCCCTTCTTACAAAAAGAATATGTATCTCCATTTAAAGAGTCATCTCTGCTTCTTCCTTTATGGAAAGAGTGAATTTCCTGAATATTTCATTTCAAAGCCTGTGATCAATTTTGTCTGAACCTTTTTCTCACAAATATACCCAAATGCATTGTATTTACTGCTCTGAGACAAGAATATTGCTGTGACAGAACAGTTGTCTTTAATAAAATCAACATTTTTTCCTGAGGATTAATAGCTTTAGTCACCAGAAATAACGAAAAGTAAGGTAGCTCCTCAAATTCACCTGGCAAGCAGCTGCTTCACTAGCACATGCTGAGGAATAAACTAGAGGCTGGCCTTGATTTGGTGGTAACCAATAACTGTGAGCCACTATGCCCAGCCAGAAGAAGCCAAAGGTAGAATGGGTGCCCCTAGTCAACTTTATCCTTGCTAAGCAAAGTGAGAAATTGTGTGTGGTGTACAGTTCTAGCAATAAAGAATGAAAGTTGAAAGATGAGGACTCTCTTAGTCCATTCAGGATGATATAACAAAATATCATAACCTGGGTGGCTTAAAAACAACAGATATTTATTTCTCACAGTTGTAGAGGCTGAGAATTCCAAGATCAAGGTGCTGGCAGATTTAGTACCTGGTGAGAGCCTGCTTCTTGGTCCAGAGCAGTCTTTTCACTATAACCTCACCTGGCAGAACAATCAAGAAGAGTCTCTCTCTAGATTCATTTTTTTTTTAAGAGAAATTCATTTTTTCTCGCTCTGTCACTTGGGCTGGAGTGCAGTGGCACAATCACAGCACACCACCACCTCATGATCCTCCAATTTAGCTAGGACAACAGGCCCGCACCACCGCACCACATGGGGCTTTTCTGTTTTTTTAGGAGACAGAGGTCTCACTGTGTTGACCAGGCTGGTGTCAAACTCCTGGCTTCAAGTGATCCTCCCACCTCAGCTTCCCAAAATGCTGGGATTATAGGCATGAGCCACCGTACAGGGTTCTAGCTTCTTTAATAAGCCCACTGATGTGCTTTAAATGCTTGTCTCCCCCAAAACTCATGTTCAAATTTAATTGCCATTATAGCATTATTAAGAGGTGGGACCCTGAAGAGGTGATTAGGCCGGGGGTCTATGCCTTCATACATGAGATTAATGCCCATTATAAAAGGGAGAGTTCTGGCCTCCTTGCCACCTCTCTCTTTGCCTTTCCACCGTTCTCCAAGTGAAGATGAATATTTCCTCCCCTCTCGAGGATACAGCCTTCAAGGAGCTATCTTGGAATTAGAATCGCCAAACCTGCAGGTGCCTTGATATGCGATTTCCCAGCCACCAGAACCATGAGCCAGTAAATTTCTATTCTTTGGAAATTGTCCAGTCTGTGGTATTCTGTTATAGCAGCACAAAAGCAACTAAGACACACTCTAGTCCCATGGATGATGGCTCTGCCCCCATGACTGAATCATCTCCCAAAGCCCCACCACCTAATATTATCACCTTGGGGATTAGGATATCAGCATGTAAGTTTGGGGAGGAAGCAAACATTAAGACTGTAGCAAGGCCATTGAAAAATGCTTTCTGTAAGTTAATAGACTTTTTAAAGTGGGTTTTGTGTAAGCAGTTAAAATCAGAAGTGACTAAAGGTCTTATTTTCCTAAGATGATTCATCATAAGAGCAATTAAAGCCAATTAATGGCCTTCCATGATGAGCACAGGAAGTATACCTAAAAATCATTTCTTTATTAAACAATGAACAATTGCATAAATCATTGCCAAAACACCACAAAGTTATGGTAAAATCCCAAGAGATAAGAATGTGAAAACTGACCCAAAGAACCACACTACATCTTTCTGCCTCCTCAGTCTTCCTCGCTGTAAGCCATCTTATACAAATCTGGATTTCTCCCTCCCTTATCTTCCTGCTTGTTCAGTCTTCAGAAGACCACATTATAGCTCATTCATCTACTGGGCACTACTCATACTGGTTAAGAAAATGAGCTCTGGAGCAAGACTTCTTCAGTTGAATCCTATCTCAGCTTTGTGACCTGAGCAATTTACTTAGCATCTCTGGGAATGATACCTTTTTTAGGTTTGTTGCAAAGATTAAATGAGTTCCTTACATGAAGAGTATTTAGAATAATGCCTGTTACACGGTAACTGCTGTTGTTGCTGTTATTGTTGTTTTTTTTTTCAATTCTGGTTGTTATTTCTAATCAAATATAAACCATAAATCATGAATTTCAAAGTCCTACTCTTCCTTCCATTTTACCTTGATCATCTAGTATGCCCTAGCTTAGTAGTTTTCAAAGCAGGGGTCCAGGGAGAAGGTACTTATGGGAACCACCTAGAGTACTTTTGCCAACCACTCATTTTGTGTCCGCATTCCAAACTATGAATCAAGAAAGAAAAAAATGGCTGGGCATAGTGTCCGTTTTTATACCTGTAACTTTAGCACTTGGCATAGCCAAGACAGGCAGACTGCTTGAGCCCAGGAGTTCGGGACCAGCGTGGGCAACATGGAGAAACCTCATCTCTATAAAAAATACACACGTTTGCCAGGCATGGCGGCATGTGCCTGTGGTCCCAGCTTATTTGGGAGGCTGAGTTGGTAGGGTTGCTTGAGCCCAGGAGGACAAAGCTGCAATGAGCTGTGATCATACCACGGCATTCTAGCCTGGGTGACAGAGCAAGAACCTGTCTCAAAAAAAAGAAAAAAAATCTCGGGAAGAAATGACTGGACATACGTGTTTTGAAAAAGCTCCTCTGGTTAAAAATAAACATGACATATTCAACTGGCAACTCTAAGGCTTTGAACAAATAATCCTTTCATGAAAAATAGCTTATCCTCTCATCTTAAGAAATCAGGCACAAGCCTCATTTGAAATGCTTTTAAGCATCACCACTTATGTGAAATCATCCAAAGTGAAACTTATTTCTACAAAATACTTTGTTTACTCTATTGATTCCCAGGCATTTCTGTTCTATTAAAGCTGACTGTATATACACAATAAACTTTTCCTGTGGCAGTCAGGGCTCACAGACTCAAACGCCTTCAGGAGCTCGGCCAGTAACATAAACGAGTAAAATACACCACCAAATCGTGAAAGCACATGACCTTCAGCTTCAATATCAGAGATGCAATAGGGATTCTCAGGGATTATGGCAGAATAAAAAATACAAGAATCTTCTATAGAGTATGTATTTGTCCATTCTCACACTGCTATAAAGAACTGTCTGAGACTGGATAATTAATAAAGGAAAGAGATTTAAGTGACAGTTCCACATGGCTGGGAAGGCCTCAGGAAACTTGCAGTAATGGTAGAAGGCAAAGAGGAAGCAAGCACCTTCTTCACAAGGTGGCAGGAGAGAGAAGAGCAAGGGAAACTGCTCCTTATAAAACCATCCCATCCCATGAGAACTCATTCACTATCACAAGAACAGCATGGGGGAAACCACTCCCATGATCCAATCACCTACCACCACCTCCCTCCTTTGACACATGGGGATTACAATTCGAGATGAGATTTGGGTGCAGACACAGAGCCAAACCACAGCAGGACACTATTCAGCTCTAACAATTGTTTAGTGACATGTGGGAAAGGAGGCTCAACACTGCTAGAAATTCCAGTTATTAAAAAACTATAAATATCGAATATTACATTATTTTTGCATTTTAAAAAGCCATTAACAACTAAATCAAATTTAAAACCCTGTATGAGCAAACACCATAGACTCAACAATGCATACCTTCTGGCAAAAATCAGCCTTTCAATTAACAATTATAATCCTGCTTTACATGTTCTTGCTCTTTCACAGAACATAAGATGCTTAAAGGCTCTCTGGACACTTTCTTCACAAGATTCCTCACAGTACACATTGCTGTTTAATAACTGTCTTGCCACTGTTACCATAAAAGAAAGAGCAAATTCTGCATTGTCTACCATTTTACCCCCAGTGCCTATCTTAGTGCTGGGCACAAAAATGGTGCTTGATACATATTTGTTGACTGTCTAATGAAGGCAGGGCCTCAACTTTATCTTCCTCTGTTAATTCAAGGATATTTAACATAGCATTCTGCAGATAATACACACTATAGAAGTATAGAAGGCTCACATCCAAATTGAATATAGATGGGACAGTAATCAACAATGCCCTCTGGTGAGCATAATGTAAACTTTTGTTATAGGACCAACAGATTTGTATGCTCACTGTGCAGTAATAGTCCAACACAGTGAGACAGCAAGGATTGCAGCAGAGAAAGAGTTTAATGATTGCAAGGTGCCAAATGAGGAGATGGAAGGAGACCATCAAATCCAAATTCCTTAACCACAGTTTAGGGCTGTGGATTTTAGGAGGATTATGGAGGGTGAGGGGCTGAAAAACTGGGGTTGTTAATTGGTTGGAGTAAGGGGTAAGGAGGAGGAATTCATCAGGATGTGGAAGCTGCATTCTTTGTTGAGTCAGCTCCTCATGGAGTCCTTCATAGTAGCTGGTGTCAGTAGTTTCACTGGTATGCAGGATCTGAATGAATATCTCAAATGGAAAACAACATTTCACAATGTTCAAACTGTTATCTATAGAGCTGTTAAGGGGAACTATAATCTTAGGACAGGTTCTGCATGGTTCTGAAGCAATAGGCCACAAACAACTATGAGGGAATGGACCAGAAAGCAAGCTGACCTAATGATTAATGCTGAATGTGCTGCAAGCCTGGTTTATTTTGTTTCTTCCCCTCCCTTTTTTCCTAATTAATTTTACAAAGTTTATAAGGACACTTTTACTTTTAGCTATAAAAGCAAACTGGAAACTAGCAGAATTTGAGCAAATACTTGAAAAATTAAAATCAAAGCTAATCTACTTTGGAGCTGACTTTCCTTGATGTGCCAGAAGTTCTTGGGCTCTCTTGCCTCAATTATCAGAACCTTGCCATTTTGTATATGGTAATCCTCCCTTCACCTGGAAAATAGATGTTCTTCATAAACTATCACCAAAAGTACAGGGTACCACAAGCATTAAGATGGTCTTTTCCTAAGAGACAACTCACGTAAGTTAAAAGGAAGGAAATGAAATAATGAGAAAATCTTCAAAATCTTTTACATCTTGTATTATATCATGAGAACTTTTTGGATTTTTTCTTCCTTGTGATATTCTGTTAAGAAAGAGAGAAAGCCTGCGTTTGGTGCACCAAATAAAGAATGGAAAGTTGTAGCTGATGTCACATAAAACGGAGTCAGGTCATCCCTGTCCCCAAGGAAGCAGTGACCAGGTTATGCAAACAAAGCCAAGACTGGAGGTAAAGGGAGAAAAAAATGGGAATAAGTTTGGCCTTTAGAAAGAATTCAAAGACAGAAACCTCACAATTCAAGAACTGGAAAAGCAGTTTAGTTTATGTATAATTCCTAACAATAATATTTTAAAACTCTTTTTACTGATGTCCACCCTAGAGTGCTAATTTACAGAAAAGACTAATATTTAATTAAGGACCTGAAATGAAGTTCTCTTCTGATATTAAGTAAAAAATTTTCTTAAAACACTTGCATTCCCTTTGGCTATAGAGACCCAAGATGATGATAGCTGGCATTTATTTAGAACTTATGTCATTTAATTCTCACAACATCTCTATAAGATGGTATGAATCCAAGTCCACCTGTGCTCTGAACCATTCCATTCAACCATAGTTTCTCGGTGTGAATTTTTAAAAAGAATTGCTAACAGTCTGTTTGAAGAACACATTTAATATTCCTGTTGCCCCAACAACATAGATACAGCAGTGCTGACATGTAATTCAGCCTGTTTTATAGAGAAATTGAGTTTTCCACATTTGTTTTCACATTGGAGACCTTTCATTGCTATTAAATATTAAATTTAGACCTTTGATAACAAGAATAACACTTTCTTTTAAAGAAAAGCCTATTTTACTCAATTCTGCCTTTTTGTAATTTTCCTGCGCACTACTAAAAACTCCCTGCAAATAGGACTTGTATTCATTTTCTATTGCCATATAAAAAATTACTACAAATATAATACCTTAAAGCAACAAAATATATAAGCTCACAGTTCTGTAGGTCAGAACAATATGGCTGGATTTTCTGCTTAGAGTCTCACAAAGGGCTGTGTTCCTTTCTGCAAACTCTGGAGATGAATCCACTCCCAAGTTCATTCCTGCTCTTAACAGAATTCAATCCCTTGCACTCAAAGGACTGATGTCTGTGTTTCCTCACTGTTCGTCAAACAGGAGCCACATTCAACTTCCAGAGGCTGCCTATGGCCCTCTTCATATGACCCCTTCCATCTTCAGAGCCAGCAGCAAGAAGTCAGCTCTTTCTTGGGCTTTGAATCTCTCTGACTTTCTCTTCTTTTCATGAACATATGTGATTAGATCAGGCCCATCTGAATAATCTTCCTACTTTGAAGCCAAATAATTTGGGACTATAATTACATCTGTGAAATCACTTCGCTGTAGCACCTAGAGTAGTGTTTGATTGAATAGCCAAAGGACAGAGATTTGGGTGGGTGTTGGGGGCAGGGGGGTAGGAAGGAAGCATCTTTAGAATGCCATTACCGTAGACCTGTTTGTAACTTTCTGAAGCTAAACTTTTTGGCAATAAGATGCTACTCTGCAGAATCTGGTCATCATGTTTAACAAGGCTTTTACTAGAATGAGTCTTCAGATTCCTTACCAAGGAAGTATACTTACTGTGGCAAGGTTAACAACTGACTCACCCCATCCATCCTCCCCCTCATGGTGTTTCCCTACCTCCAAGCCATACGCATAGCCTAGAAATGAGGCTCTGCCAGACTAGTGGTGCATCGTGTCTGATAATCAAGTGAGTAAATCCAGTGAGTATTCTACAGAGAGGGCAGCAAGGAGCAGCTGTAGTCAGAGCCTCATCCCAGCTCCCATTTCTACCTTCATAGTCTTCTGCATATCTTTGGATGACTTTTTCTCCTTTGGTGCAATATGGTGCCTCTGTCCAGGGCTTCTGCCTTCCCTTCCCCTCTCCTCTCAGTTTTCCCCCAGTATTTTTTGCCCTTGCAATAAGCACTCAGCTTTCGGGTTAATTGTACAACTGTGCAAAAAATATCTGAGAAGAAAAAAAATTCTTCTATCGGCCCTCCCTCCCTCTTCCTTCTTTCATTCAATTCTGTACACATTATGTGGTCAAAAAGGGAAAATTAATTTATACATCAAAGGAAAATGAGATGCCAGGTATCCTAGAACTTGAACTGCATAGTTAGAGCAGGAGAACCTAAAATAAGCAACAGGCATGGGTCCCACAGGTTAAAACATGACATGCGTGAAAGAAGAGCTAAGAAGGCTGGTACCAGGATTGTGAAATTTGCAAGTGATGAAGTGGGTAGGGAAGTAGCAATTTCCTTCCTTCCCATTGTTGCTTTTTCCACCCAGACAGGGCCAGCCCTGCACTGAGAAATGGGGACTAGGAAGGACTTTGTTATCAGACAGCATTAGGAATGACAACTTATAGTCCCACAAGGAAGTGGATTCGTGTTAGTTCATCTCTGCTCTTAGGTTCTTAGGAATTTGTTCATGTCTAAAAGACACATCCAGATCAGGGACTGCTACATCAGTCTGACCTTGTTCAATTTCAAATCAACTCAATGTTCAAAGGAGGATCTGATACTAGCACGGTAGTGTGATGAACAAGTATTTTTCTTTGAGGACTTATAAGTCATTTTTATTTTTAATTGATAAATAATATTTTACATGAGCTCCTAGTGCTTGGGTAGTAGCTCAAATGTTCCCACCACAGTTATGAGAGGGGAAAAAATGTGGAAGTCTGAGGTGTATAGGTTACACCCTGAGAGGGCAAGCAAGCCTCCCATACACCCATGAAGGTTTTCTATATGTCATACTTCCTAAGATATAGTTCTGTTTTTTCTATATATCATACTTTCTGAGATTTTAAGTTTCTAAAGGACCAAGCAGATGGCAGTAGCCTTGGACTTCCTGTGGGATCTTACCACATCCTAAAATTCTATACCAGATTTCAGCTTCCCAAAAAGACTTAACACTTTCAGCAACAGAAAGTTTCATTTTTTTCGTTTAACTGGCACACAAGAAACCATAAAGAAAGTAAGCCCCCAACACCCAGGCTCAGAAAGGAAAATCATTTGATTTATTGGTTATACAATGGATAATGGCAGAAAGTGAACCCATTGCTTCTTGGTTCATCTTCGCCAAGGGGAATTAATTACAACTAAGGATTCATTCCTAACTGTTTTATTTATACCTAAGCCTATTCATATGAAAAGGCAAAGATGACTTTTAGTAGTGAGAGAGTGAAAAATAGCCCCAGCACCTGACAGGTAGGCCTTAATGTCTTCAAGAAAACTAAACAACTTTTGTTCAATATGAACAATAATTGAGCAAGCCAAGGCTGCACTGGGATATAACACAAGACAGAGATAACTGATTGGGTCTGAAACCAAACAGCAACAAGGATGCTCCACAAATACAAAAATATCTGAACTTCTTTTTGTGCTGGCTCACACAAGTGACTACTCTTTCTTTACCAATGAATAGTGAATCCACTCGAATCTCTCCACCTTCAGATAAAATTTACCATGATGCTCTTTTACTTCCTGACAGCAGCTTATCCAGAACTAGACTCCACTTCCCTTAATCCCTCCTTAAAATTAGCCAGTACAAGCACAAATTCTACAAGACCTATGCCCCACTAACTCCTTCTTACCAAAATACCTAATAATTCCTCTCATATGCCTCTTCTATGCTGCAGTAAGCTAAATAAGCCTAATATTTTTTTGGCCGTCAGTGAATCCCTGGTAGTTTTTGTTGGTAGGCCATTTTTTTTTTTGACAGAGTCTCGCTCTGTTACCCAGATTGGAGTGGTGCAATCTCGGCTCACTACAGCCTCCATCTCCTGGGTTCAGGTGATTCTCCTGCCTCAGCCTCCCACGTAGTTGGGACTACAGGCATGCACCACTACACCTGGCTAATTTTTGTATTTTTAGTAGAGATGGAGTTTCACCATGTTGGTCAGGCTGGTCTTGAAGTCCTGACTTCAAATGATCTGCCCGCCTTGGACTCCCAAAGTGCTGGGATTACTGGCGTGAGGCATCCACCCAGCCTGGCTGATAGGCTTCTTCATACAACTATCTGAACTACAATAACTTAAAGCCCTACATCCAAAGCACTTACTATTATAACCAGAAATTGTTGTGACAAGAGTCTTCAGAAATTTCTAAGTTCCCTACATCAAAAAGATTTTTACACAAGTGTGAAAGATTGTATTTTCCAAGGATGCTTCCACCAATATTTCCCATCTTATATGCTGTTCTGCAATATGGCCTTGCCATTCCCCTATCACAAGGTAAAGTTTAATTCTCTTTCTTTGAATCTGAACTGGCCTTACTAACTCTAGTAATCAATAAAATACAATGGAAGCAATGCTGTGTGACTTCTGAAGCTATATATAAAAAGTCCACATGGCTTCCGTCTACCCAATTTCTCTTATAGCATTAGCTCTCTTGATGATCCCTCCCCAGACAGATCCTCTCAGAATCCAGCCATCATGTTATGAAAAACCCAAGATACATGAAGAGCCAGTATTTGGTACTTCAGATAAAAGACTCAGCTGAGCCCAGCCTTCAAGTCATCTTATTCCAGCCACTAAAACATGTGAACACAGAAACCTTTAAATTATTTCAGTCTTCAACCATTTTAGTCTGCCTGGCTAAGGCCCCAGACATGGTGGAGCAGAGGCGAGCCATGCTTATATACAATTTCCTGATCTACAGATCAGGAATCTATGAGCATTTAAAGATGATTGTTGCTTTGTGTCACTAAAACATGTATCATTCACCAGTTTGGGGATTGGACAGGAAATGAAAGTCTGCTAGGCTTCAAGAAAACTATCTATAAGAGGTTCAAGGAAAGTGAGAAAAATGTTTTGGAAGTTGAAGAAAAAGGGACCTTTGTTATGTAGTGGTAGAAAGTTTAGTGGAACTGTCACCTAGAGTAATATAGAAATTACTTAATGAATTGATAGATCTGTCTAAGATTTCCAGACAAAGTATCAACTGGTATCTCTTCCCTGAATATAATAGGATACAAAAAATGAGAGGTGTTAACAAGGAATTATTCCATCTTTGAGAAGAATTTAGAGGTACATAAAGGAAGTAGGATTTGCTGAGTCAATAATAAAACTGATTCTCAATCCCAGATCCTCAATCTAGAGAGCAAAAGATTCTCAAAGCAGGAAATGTCCTCGATGCAAAGATCAAATCCAGGTTGGGTTGTTGGATCCTTGTTAATAAGACCTCAGAAGCTGATCACAAGTGTCTCATGATTCAACTAGATAAAGACCTTCTAAGGAGCTTACGGATGTTCCTGAAAAACTCTTCCTGTTAAACAATAAGGAATTTAGGACTCTTAAGGGTATTGCCCCTCAGTAGCTTCATAGGGATCCCAAGATAGAGAAGGGCCTGACTTGAAGAAAATTGTGGCTGTGGTTTTTGTCAGATGGAGTGAACTTTCATAAAGTCATAGAATCCACAAAATGTATATGGGTATAAGCACTGTCCACTCAAGCCAAAAGGATCACGGATAATACAAAAAAAAAAAAAAGATGTCTTTGTACCTTCAAACTGCTGTGGACAGGAATCAGGCTGAGAAAACGACTCAGCTGCAAACACAGCTTAATTTTTATACAAAAAAAAAAACGATGACTCAAAGGGTAAAACTAAGAGACCAGTGATGGAGCCAAAAGCCACAGAGGATCATTACCAGGAAACAATACTAAGCCTGCATTAAGGAACTGGGGACACATGGTGGCTGAATTTCAGTATTCTGTATACCAGTGATGTCCCTGTGCTCCCTCTTCCTCCCCTAACTCTTTGAATGCGGGTGTCTACTGCACTCAGTCTGTCACTGGGTCTGCCTTGTATCTTGGGTGCATAGGAGGGGAAAGGGGCCAGATAACTTGTTTCTTTAGGTCATAGGTCTTTAGAAGGGGAAGGACTGGATTCAGAGAGGGACCACTGCCAAAGAACCACATCTGCACCTGAACTTAATTAAATAAGAAGATCATAGACTTCGAGCTAATGTCATAATGATCAGATGCATTGGATTTGAGGAAGGTATGTGTTTGACATATGGGAAGGAGTGTATTGCCATGGCCACAGGACAGACTGTGGCAGACTGTATTTTCTGGAGATGGCCACCACAATATCTCTCCTCCCACATGCTCTTCTGTATTGAGACCTTGTCACTCTTATATCAAGAGGTGGAGTTTAATATCAACCCCATTAAATTGTGGCTGACCATGGTGGCTTGCTTGTGACCAATAGAATGAGGCAGACAGAGGTGACAGAGTATAGCCCTTGAAGCTAAGTCAGAATAGGTCATGCAACTTCCCCAGGTTCTCTAGAAACATTCCACATCTGTATGTACTACAGGACATATCCAGAATTTCAGACTTTCAGAACCCAAGTACCATAATGTGGCAAGTGCATGCCATAAAGAAAGGCCACATGTAAGTGCTCTCCTCAGCAGTCCCGGCTGAACCCAGCCTTCAAGTTGTCCCAGTCCAGGCATTAGACATAAGTGAAGCAACTTCCAGATGATTCCAGCCTGAGCTGTCTGAGTTACCCCATCATTTGAAACTTCCTATCTAAGGCCCCAACAAGCCATCTGTGCTCTGCCATGAAGTTCTGACCTGCTGAATCTGTGAGCAAAATAAATTTGGGTGGTTTCTTGTACAGAAAGAGATAACCGAAGCAGACAGTCTAGATGCTGCATTTTCCACTGTACTGGCTACTATCTCTCTCTTTCTCTCTCTCTTTCTTTCTCTCTTCATGTGGCTATTTAAATTTATTTAAATTTTGAACCATTAATAATGTAGTCCTCAGTCACACTAGACATATTTCAAGTGCTCAAAAGCACGTGTGGCTAGTGGCTACCATATTAAACAGCAAAGATGTAGATTATCTCCATCACAGAAACTTCTGTTGGAGAGTGCTAATCCAGAAAATATAGCTTTTATGAGATTTAACATGGATTGTAAACTCAAAAGTTTTCAAGATGCAGGCAGGTAATGTAAGCAAATGAAACTGAATTAGGAAAACAATAGAACAGCCAGGATTGTGGCAAACTGAAGATCGCATGCCCTATTTCATGACTGATTATCTTAAACACCTTATGAAATTAAAAAAACACATACCGTAGATGGATATGGCCTGTAGTACATGAGTTTTTGACCCTAAGTTTATATGAACAATGACATAGTACATTGTAAATCAGGACTGTCCCTGAAAATTTGGAAAAAATGATCATAGTTGATATAAAAACTCTGTCATATGCTGATGAGTTGTAGGGATATTTATTTATTGCTCCTTGTGCATTGTACATTTGCTATTAAATTCTCCTACTTTGAATGAATTTGTTAAATTGAAGCCATCAAATACTTGCATCTAAGATAAAGGTAAGAAAAAAATTTAGAAAATTCAACAGTATGTATTAAGTAAAAAATTTAAAATTCCAAGATCAGTAGATTGTTGGAGTCAAAAGCGTCCTAGGAAACTTTAAGTCCAATGCATTTATTTTATTTGTGGAAAAAATGAAAGCCAGAGAGGTTAAGTGGCTTGTCTAATATCACACAAAAAGCTATTAGCAGAATCACTAGGGACCTTCTATCTGTGAACATCTGTGAAACAATGAGAGGTCACTCATTTGATAATTGATGACTGAGTGTTGAAGTAATAGGTCACTTGCCCATGTCTATTACAACCCTAACATAGCAAATTTGCATTGGACTGGCTTTTGGTAGAAAGTGCCTTCTTAATTTAAAAAAAAGTCTGGTTTCAGGGCTCTCAACAAGCCACTTGTGAAATGGCTTTGATTACAGGGGAGATTTCAGGGCTCCTCAAATAACACTCAAAGCCAACCTTGAACAACTGAAGAAAATCAAAATATTTTACCCCAAAATATATTTCTCTGACATATTTTGAAATGACTGCCACAGGGCCAACAGACACAAGTAGCCCTACAAAGCTGTCTTTTGTGGGGGAAATTTGTATCTGTAAAGAATCTCCATTAATGCAGCCTTGCCTTCCCTTTCTAAGCCTTTCCCAGATCTTAGAGAGATTAAACAGAGTCTGACATCTTTAAAGGTCTGAAAAGAGATAGTTAACCACCTATTCTTTCTGAGGGCTGCTATCTATGAGTCTTCATCAACATAACAAGGACACCTTTGCTAGCCAGGCCTCTTCCTTTCTCCCTCCCAAAACCTGCCTTGCCACTAACACCTGTTTTACCAGCCTAACCTATTTTTGACCATACTCTGAGCCCACATTCTTTCTATAACCTCAGGGTGGTGTATAAGCTTCTGTACCTCATTGGGGGTGGGGTCTTCATTCTGAAGGTGTGCATACATGTTAAATAAATTTGTGTGCCTTTTCTTCTATCAGTCAATCAGCCTCATGTCTGTGATTTTTCAGCCAACCTTCAGGTTTTATGCTAGGAACCAGGACACAACCAAGAAGAACCCAGAAAAAGAAATCAAACAGAATGATGCCAGATTATTATAATAAGCCTTCAGAAATAAAAGACACTCAAAATAGCCCTGATAGTTTAAAGTCGTTCCTTGTAGTCCTCAGTATGTTTTTTTGTGGTTTGTAACCTAAAGCCTCTATGCATCTGTAAATACCCACATATTATCCTTTTGCTTTATAAATGCAATTACTGCATATAGCTGCTTCAAGAAACACTAGCTGCCTCCAAATTGATTTCACTTTCCTGGTAAGGTTTGATTCTCTTGTTACCATTCCCACCGTGACTCAGTTCCTAGAGCAGAGAAACTGTAAGCACAGAAAATATCTAAAAATTGTAGGAAGCAAACGCATGTTACAGTGGTATAATAAAAAATATATTTGATTTTGTACGGTTCCTGGCACAGAACTTCTGAGCCCCTGTAATTTCCTAGTGACAAGAGTGTCTTTTGTTATGCATAAAAACCCCCATTAATCACACCTGAGTTTATGCTAATGCATGACTTAGGGTAGGGTCCCTGGATAGCCTCAGGATGGGACTGGTCACCAGAAAGACCAAGTGATTAGAGGGTTGGAATTTCAGCCAGGACCACCAGCCTCCAGGAAGGGGCTGGAGGTTAAGCTCTATAAAATTCGAACAATGAAACTTGATGAATTTCCAGGTTGGTGAACATATCCACATGCCAGGGAGTACAGTGCACCCCAACTCCATGGCAACAGAAGCTCCTGCCCTCGGCACCCTTTCAGACCTCACCCTAGGTCCCTTTTTATCTGGCTCCTCATCTGTATCCTTTGTAATATCCTTTATGTTAAACTATAATGTTTCTTTGAGGTTTGTAAGCCATTATAGCAAACTGTTGAATATAAGGAGAGGGTTATGGGAACCCTCAATTTATAACCTGTTGGTCAGAAATACAGGTGACAACCTGGCACTTGCAATTGGCATCTAAAGTGGGAGGCAGTCTTGTGGAACTGGATCCTTAATCTGTGGGGTCTCTGCTAATCCCAGGCAGTAAGTTTCAGAATTAAATTGTAGGACTCTCAGTTGGTGTCCAGAGTATTGGAGAATTGGTTGGTGAGGGGAAAAAAAACAAACATTTGCTTTCTTTTAGTTCTGCTTCAGTTGCGAGATATTTAAGGCTCTCTTTTGCCCACATGGGCAATCTGGCAACAACCAAAAAAAAGTTTCTTTGACATAACTTTTTCAAATAGTAAGATGTTCCATCTGCTAATTAAGGCTCTGTTAGAGGCCTGAACTTCCATGAGGTGCTTATTAAACTCCTTTGGTTTCAGCCCCTGACTGTGATAGAACTAGATAAACATCTTACTTAAATGCTAATAAGAAACCATTTTAGTTAAGAACTTTGATGTTACATGTGCACTGTGGATTGGAGACTCTCATTTAATACATAATTAAAAGGTTAGGTTTGTTTTCTTTTCACATGCCCCTCTCTTCCCACAAACTACATTAAGATTTTCTTCTTTTCTTTAATATCATTTCCTAAATTTTAAACAGATATGACTCATTTTTATTATATCTAGAAAGGTGGTTTATTTTTTTTTTTTTGGCTTTTTAAAAAAATTATTCAATTAAACAGAGGTAAGTACAACTTGAGAATTTTAGGATCTAAGCTGAATGATTAAAATAAAAAACCTGATTTTTAAAAGATACTTTGACTCTGAAAAAGATCAGGATCTAATGACCAGATTTAATACATGATACTGAAATTTGTCAGAAACAATAAATTTAAGCATTTGCATAATGATAACAATTCATTATTAAAATCATGAAGTTCTAAACATGATGCTTATTTCACTAAGTTTTAAAGACCACTTATATCAGAATTACCACAGATTCTTATTTTTTTTAAATACAGATCCCTGGGCCGCACCTTAGATTTAATGACTCACTTTCTTTGGAATCTGCACTTCCTTAAGTTCTATAACAGACATAAGGCTTTTGAAAGCTACCTTTATAGAGAGACATAGAGCATTATTTTTCTAACTTCCCAAGTAAATTTAATGTGACTTATAGTTAAGGATTTGCTGTTAGGGCAGAAAACCTTTTTTATGGTAATAATAGGAACTAGTCTACCACATTACCATGCACAAAATAATTCAATAAGTATTATTCATAAATGCAGATTCATTAAGAGCTTCAGCTATCTAATGCACTCACTTGACCATTTCCTTCTTTAGCAATGAAAGCAAAGGCAGAAAAGAATAAAAAACTACTTTTTTTTTTTTGAGACAGAGTCTAGCTTTGTCACCAGGCTAGAGTGCAGAGGCACGATGTCAGCTCACTGCAACCTCCGCCTCCCAGGTTCAAGCGATTCTCTTGCCTCAGCCTCCCCAGTAGCTGGGACTACAGGCATGTGCCACCATACCCAGCTAATTTTTGTATTTTTAGTAGAGACAGGGTTTCACCATGTTGGCCAGGATGGTCTCGATCTCTTGACCTCGTGATCCGCCTGCCTTGGCCTCCCAAAGTGCCGGGATTACAGACATGAGCCACCGTGCCTGGCCAAAAAAATTACTTTGTTAATATATTCACAAAACCGAATTACAGACCTCCTAAAAGAGTTTCTAAAGATGACTTCAGAAGAATTGGCTTTACAATGCAGAAGTTAATTAAGTGGGTTGGGGTAATTTTGCAAAAAAAGTTGTCCTGGATGATTATGTGAGATAAAGGCTTATTTGTGAAGAATGAGAGCATCACTGGTAGAATAAAGAGGAGAAGGGGCAATGGTTTGACCAACTACCTCCTTTCTGGAATCCTGCAGAACTCAATTAAAATTCAACTGGAGTTGTAAATGACATGCTTTATTAATGCACTTTCGGTAATGTTTGCTCTTGACAATCCTAATACAATCTACTGAAAGGGAAGTCCTTACATGAAAAAATGTTGTGTTTCACAAAAGGTGATTTTTGTTCTCAAGAAATCATTACTGTTACCTCTCCTGGCTGAGAGAAACGTGTTTACTATTGCCTATAAAAATGGGAAGTGTTTCAAAATAAATTTATATGAAACAATTACAGTAAATGAATCATTAGGAACTTTACATGTATCAGCATAGTTTCTTTTAGAAGATAGTTAACAAAATTAACTTTACCTCTATGCCAAGAAGTAATGAAATAAACAAGTTACATTAATGTTATAATGTGATTTTAATAGTCAGTAAGAACTCAGCAAATATCTGCCTCATCAACTTCAGCTCCCAAATAACAAGTCATTGCTTATGGTCATTAAAAGTACATAAGTACATCAGGCAAAATTAGATTAACTTATTAACCAATATTAAATCATAGTCATATTTTGTTTGTTTTTATCAATAAATTAAATATTGGAAGCCTTAGTCCTACTCAGTCGGATGCAATTTTAATTGGAAAAGGGCACACAGCTAAGGAGTAGCTGATCTAAACTGATAATTCTTGATTCAACAGAATTGTGAATTATTGTGATTTATCACCCTCACAAGACTTTTAATAATAGGAAAATCTTTGTGTATGAAAATGTGCTTCTCATGTTGAATCATACATTTTCTCCTGCAGTGAGTTTGGAGTAGAGAAAGAAAAGTAGATATTCTATTGTTATGTCATTGCCTGCCAAGTTTTCCCAATACTGAGAAAATTAACCCTGTGAGGTTTCTGGCAGCTAGGTATGACAACAAAAATCTTGGATTCAAAATTGTCCAACTGGTTCCTCTGTGTGGATTGGGCTGCCATTTTGCTCTTTCCATGTGACAAGGCACAATCAGGTTCCACTGAGTTGTTCCCAGCACTGTTCTAACAAAAACAAGACGTCATTTTTTTATTTTAAAACCTCACACCAGCATGGTCTATTGGCTTTTGGTGCCATCTCAATTGTTCTTAAGAGTCAATCTCTTAATGCCAGAGTCAATGTCTTGGTCATGGAAGAATCAGACTTTAACGTAACAAGTGAAATGAGCACCCTGTGCAGAGACCAGTCAGCTCATGCAGAGCCGGCAGAGCACTTGTTTCCTTGGCAATCCCTCTTGCTTCTATGGGGCCTGATTTCATCATCCAGAAACAAATTCTTATCATTGAGAGAAAGAATTCCTTAAGCCATGTGTTGCTTATTGGAGAGCACTGCTACAGCAATGAAATGGTTCTATTTCTAAAACAGAGAGAAGTTTGGAGATGTTCAGAAATCAATGACTCTACTGCTGCTCAATCAATTCAGGATCTATATAGTACAATACGAGATATGAAATGGCTTAACACTGATTTCTTTGCCATGATAATGTACTATGCTATTAACTTTCCTTACTACATTTATCCCTTAGGGTTAAATCATAATTATGTTGCCATTAAATTATTGCCATCACTTTATAAAATTTAACATAAAAAGCATTATTAGCAATAGCCAAAAGATGGATACAACCCAAAGGTACATCAATGGATGAATGGATAAACAAAATGTGGTATACCCACAATGGGAAATTATTCCGTCATAAAAAGGATTGAAGTCTCGGCCAGGCACGGTGGCTCACACCTGTAATCCCAGCACTTTGGGTGGCCCAGGCAGGCGGATCATGAAGTCAAGAGATCGAGACCATCCTGGCCAACATGGTGAAACCTTGTCTCTACTAAAAATACAAAAATTAGCTGGGCGTGGTGGCGGGCGCCTGTAGTCCCACCTACTCGGGAGGCTGAGGCAGGAGAATGGCGTGAACCCGGGAGGAGGCGGAGCGTGCAGTGATCCGAGATCGTGCCACTGCACTCTAGCCTGGGCGACAGAACGAGACTCCGTCTCAAAAAAAAAAAAAAAAAAGGAATGAAGTATCAATACATACTACAACACGGATGAAACATTGTTAAGTTTAAAAAGCCAGCCACGAAAGGTCACATGAAATATCTTGAATAGGTAAATCCATAGAAACAGAAAGTGTATTAATGGTTTCCAGTGGCTGATTGAGGAGAGAAAGGGGAGTGACTGCAAAAGAAATAATGTCTCCTTTGCAAGTGATGAAAATGTTTTGGAGCTATAGAGGTGGTTCTTGTAAATACACTAAATACCACTAAATTTTACTCTTTAAAATTGTTAGTTTTATGTTAGACAAATTTTTTCTCAATGTTTTAAGTTGCCATAAAGTAGAAAGTATTCCACTAAAATTTGATTAAACTTTAAATAAGATTTAAACCCTTTGTTGTTGTTGTGTTTGTTTTTTTTTTTTTAGATGGAGCCTTGTTCTTGTTACCCAGATTGGAGTGCAGCAGCACAATCTCGGCTCACTGCAAACTCCACCTCCCAGGTTCAAGCAATTCTCTGCCCCAGCCTCCCGAGTAGTTGAGATTACAGGCACCTACAACCAAACCTGGCTAATTTTGGTATTTTTAGTAGAGATGGGGTTTTACCATGTTGGCCAGGCTGGTCTCAAACTCCTGACCTCAGGTGATCCACCCACCCTCAGCCTCCCAAAGTGCTGGGATTACAGACATGAGTCACCATGCCAAACCAGATTTAAAACCTTTTTAATAATAATTTGATATCTAATTTACAATGGGTTCTAAATGACCCAACATAAATCATATGAATACATGTATTTAATTAAATAAAATGAAAGCCTCTTTCTGTTATGGTACAATTATTTTTCTATATCAATTCAACTGGTACTTTAGTTTCATCTTAAGCATATATGTGACTACTTCTTCTTTCAAACTATATGTTTAATCTTATTTAGAAGACATCTAGAGCCAAAATTAACAAGCAGTTCCATTTCTTTTCTACATGCAGGTTTGTGTTGGTAAACCATTCAGTGCTAAATTTTTCTTTTCACATCACTTACAGAAGCAATATAGCAATTTCCTGTGACAGTGGCACACTTCAACCTTCAGACCTTGCTCCCTTGCTCAAAACAAGAAAAGTTGAAATAATGTAAAAATGATTACTTCAATATAAAAAATAATTATTTAAATACACAGCCATGCTCAAGGTACACTTGGAAGAGGGCCAAGCGGGTGACTTGAGAGATCAAGTGCACCATTTGGCCTTTGACATAGGGTTGTATATGCTGGCATACTTCTGGGGTTTTGAATCCCTTCTCCCCTGATTCTTCCCTTGGGATGGGCAGTCCGCATGCGCAGTGGCCTGCTAGCACTTGGGAGGGGAACATGCACAGTGTGTTTACTGGAGCTGTATGCATGCTCACTTGAGGCATTCTTCCCTTATCAGTCAAGTGTTTCTATAAGGTTATATACCAGTTAAACTCCACCATTTTACCTCTTAGTGCACATACATGAGCCTACTTGCCCAACTTCTGAGATATTATCGGTAAGCTGCTGATCACCAGCTTCAGGTTTTTCCATCTATTGGGAGACTGTTTCCCTGGCGCCAGCTGCACCGATTATTATTTTAGAGAAAGGGTGTAATAATGCCTGACCATCACCTGATGGTTGCCTGATATTCCTTGGGGTGGGATGGCCCTCTCCTGCCCTGCTCATGTCTGACTAGCTACCTACTGTAACAAAACTTCCTAAGCTTTTGGTGAAAAGTGAATCTTGAGAATTCAAAACACCAGATTTGCTCTATGTGCAGATGTGCAGCACTCTTTTCACTACTCATAAAGTATGAAAACCCACATTAAGAAGCTCATATAAAAACAATCACCGTAATGACCTATTGGACTCCCAAAGAAGAAAATTCCCACTGAAGAATTCATACACAAGATTTAAAAGAACAAGAGGAAATCCACCAGCAAAAAAGACAGACAATGCAGTAAATGGAAGAATTCACACTTAAAAGTGGTGAATATAGAATAATTTGAAAGAGACTTTATAAGTGTTTTTTAAAGTCCAGAGAAGTAAAGGAACAAACCCAAAAGTTAAAGGCATGACATTATTTTAAAAATAACAACCAGATTTGAGGATGAAAAAGAAATTCTATAAATTAAAGAGTCATTGAATCTTTTTATAAAGTTGATAATAATGGTTAAATACTGGGCTAAGAGTACCTCTTATCCAAATGATCACAACAGCTCTCCAGCAAGGGCACAGAACTGGGCTGAGGCTGAGATGGATGAATTGACAGAAGTAGACTTCAGAATGTGGGTAAAACAAACTTCACTGAGCTAAGGAGTATGTTCTAACCCAATGCAAAAAAGCCGAGAACCGTGATAAAACATTACAGGAGCTATTAACCAAAATAACCAGTTAGAGTGGAACATAAATGGCCTAATGGGGCTGAAAAACACAACACAAGAACTTCATAATGCAACAAGTATCAATAGCCAAATAGACCAAGTGGAGGAAAGAATCTCAGAGCTTGAACACCATCTTGCTGAAATAAGACAGGAAGACAAGATTAGAGAAAAAAGAATGAAAAGGAATGAACAAAACCGCTGAGAACTATGGGATTATGTAAAAAGACTGAACCTATACCTGGTTAGGACACTCAAAGAGATGGGGAGAATGGAACCACGCCTGAAACCATACTTCAGGATATCATCCAGGAGAACTTCCCCAACCTAGCAAGACAGGCCAACATTCAAATTCACGAAATCCAGAGAACCCTGGTAAGATACTCCATGAGGAGATCAACCACAAGACACATAATCATCAGATTCTCCAAGGTCAAAATGAAGGAAAAAAATGTTAAGGGCAACCACACCAAAAGACCAGGTCACCTACAAAAGGAAGTCCATCAGACTAACAGCAGAATTCTCAGAAGAAACCCTACAAGCCAGAAGAGATTGTGGGCCAATATTCAACATTCTTAAAGAAAATAATTTCCAACCCAGAATTTCATATTTGGCCAAACTAAGCTTCATAAGAGAAGGAGAAATAAATGCTTTCCATACAAGCAAGTGCTGAGGGAATGCGTCACCACCAGGCCTGCCTTGCAAGAGCTCCTGAAGGAAGCATTAAATACAGAAAGGAAAAGCCATTACCAGCCACTATAGAAACACACTGAAGTACACAGACCAATGACACTATGAAGCAACTACATTAACAAGTCTGCAAAATAACCAGCTAGCATCATGATGACAGGATCAAATTCACACACAAAAATACTAACCTCAAATATAAATGGGCTAAATGCCCCAATTAAAAGACACAGAATGGCAAGCTGGATAAAAACTCAAGAACTATCAGTGTGCCATATTCAAGGGGCCATCTCACATGCAAAGACACACATGGGCTCAAAATAAAAGAATAGAGAAAAATTTACCAAGCCAACAGAAAGCAGAAAAAAGCAGGGGTTGCAATTCCAGTTCCTGATATAACAGACTTTAAACCAACAAATATCAAAAAGACAAAGAAGAGTGTTACATAATGGTAAAGGGTTCAATTCAACAAGGGCTGACTATCCTAAATATATATTTACCCAATAAAGGAGCAACCGGGTTTATAAAACAAGCTCTTAGAGACCTACAAAGAGACTTAGACTCCAACACAGTAATAGTGGGAGACTTTAACACCCCACTATCAACATTAGACATATCATAGAGACAGAAAATTAACAAAGATATTCAGGACCTGAACTCAGCTCTGGATCAAGTGGACTTGAAACAGCCCCTCCCATCACAGGCCTGGAGGCCCAGAAGCAAAAAGTGGTTTTGTAGGATTTTGCATCTTAAAAAAAAATACTAGGCTAGACAGTTACTAAGAGAGAAGTAATAAGTTTGGAAAATAGAGCCCAAATACTTACAACACAGAGAAATAAAGCAAAAAACGTGGACAGAAGTGGGGTGTTTAAGTCTAAATCTTGTTGGTAACGGATAGGGCAATCTAACCTTAACGAATGCTGTGACACCAGAAGACAGGCTGGCTGCTGGCTTAATTCAAATACCCTGAGAAGAAAGCACTGCTAAATGCAAGCTGGTCCCCATTTCAAATTGAACTTGGTGATCTCACCCACCTGCTTCATTGTTCAGGTTCCAGAAAACCCTCTCCACACTTCTCCTTCTCTTGTCTTGGCTGTGCTGTTAGTCCTATCTGCTGCTTCTGCTTGATACTTTAGATGTCAAATCCATAGGCTTGAGTCACAAATACAAAGCCATAAATTAACCTTCCTTTAAATTCACCTAAAAGGATAGACTGCCCTAAATATGTCCATGAATGCTGGGTTTCAGGGCTGGATTCCATGGACCATGGATTTGTCCCATTGCAGCAGTTCTCAGTTTCATCTAACATAAAGAGACTTGTAAGGTCTTATGTGAACCAGCTCCTATAGTTTTTATGTCCCACATTTTTACTCTCTTTAATGAGTTTAAAATGTTCTAACCAGGCATACTTGCCTCTGAAAGAAATTCGGTGCCCTTATTTAGGAAGTCAAATGTATTTCTTTTTTTTTGCAAGGCTGGCACAATATAAAATGACCCAAAACTTGGAGTCAGTCACATAAGGAAGGGCCAGGCCACATTTTAGAAGGAAAAATCAAAGAAGGCAAGAGGCAGCATCTGGGATCTATCAGTCTGCTTGCCAAGAAGAGGCAGGGAGCCTGCGAAGATGCAGAGATGCAGGATTATCAGCATTAGGACCAAGAGCATTGAATTGTTCTGCTTTGGAGAGGCTCAGAAGATGTTACAGTGGCAGCAGGGTATCAGAGCCAACAACACGCATCACTTTAGGACAGGTGACTGGGCATCCCAATAAGAGTCAACAGGCACCCAGCAGGCATGCCCCTGGATTACTCTTCCTTGGCAAAAACAGGTGTAATTAATGTATCACAAAAACTTCACATAATCCCAATATATATGATTCAGGGAGCATGAGGAGTGATAGGGAAGTTAGGTATACCTGGGTATACCCATTGTTCAAGATAGGCTTTTTTGGTGGGAAAACTGAAGTTCCCAGCCCAGTGCTCCAGGTAGCCATTGTCAATCAAGCAACACAACTGTACTATATGATACTAAGTTGCCAACCAGGATGGATCTAGCTCTAATCTGATAATGTAGAAAAATACTACTAGCAAGTAAATGTGACTTTAGATAGAATACCTCTTTGAAAATCAAAGCAAAGAAAATGTATTTTCAATTGGAAAGGGGAATTCTAAAAATTGAAAACATTCCTTATACTTTTATTGTATTTTTGAGTTTTAAAAATGATTTCCCATGCATGTTCTCATTTTATACTTCCAACAATTTTGTGGTAGGTACTGAAGTGTTATCTCATTTTGTTGATAAGTAAACCAAGAGACAGAAAGTTTCCATGACAAGACAAAGCTTGGAAGATTTAGCAAATGGTTCTGCATGGCTGGGGAGGGTTCAGAATCATGGCGGGAGGCGAAAGTCACTTCTTACATGGTGGCAGCAAGAGAAGAAAAGTTCAGGTTTAAGAATGATGTTTTGTCTATTCAGACGCTCTGCCCAGCTTATTAGAAAAAAAGAGGGGAGAGGAGATGAAACATAACTGAAATGTATTATTCCCTGCTTCAATCAGATATCTGTACAAATGTCACCTCAGAAGAGACACTCTGGCTTAAAATGGCAGATTGAGGCTTTTCACCCTCCATCCCTTTCCCCTGCCTTCTTTTTCTTCTGGCATCTGTGACATTCTGATGTACTGTTGGTACCGCTGTTAACTGGTCTTGTTTTCCACAGTGGAATGCAAGCGTCTTGAGAATTGGAACTTTTTCTCTTTTGTTTACAGATGTATGTCTAGTCCCTAAAACAATGTTTTAAGAGGTGGATAAATATGTGTTAAATGGATGAATGAGTAACTTGAGGGGCTTCTATGTGCCAACTCTTTTAGGCAGTATATTCATTCGTTTTCACACTGCTGATAAAGACATACCTGAGACTGGGAAGAAAAAGAGGTTTAATTGGACTTACAGTTCCACACGGCTGGGGAAGCCTCAGAATCATGGCAGGAGGGGAAAGGCAGTTCTTACATGGTGGCAGCAAGAGAAAATGAGGAAGAAGCAAAGCAGAAACCCCTGCTAAACCTATCAGATCCTGTGAGACTTATTCACTGTCACGAGAATAGCATGGGAAAGACCAGCCCCTATGATTCAATTACCTCCCCCGGGGCCTCTCCCACAACATGTGGGAATTCTGGGAGATACGATTCAAGTTGAGATTTGGTGGAGACACAGCAAAACCATCTCATTCCACCACTGGCTCCTCCACATCTCATGTCCTCACATTTCAAAACCAACCATGCCTTCCCAACAGTCCCCCAAAGTCTTAACTCATTTCAGCATTAAGCCAAAAGTCCACAGTCCGAAGTCTCATCTGAGATGAGGCAAGCCCCTTCTGCCTATGAGCCTATACAATCAAAAGCAAACTAGTTACTTCCTAGATACAGTGGGGGTACAGGTATTGGGTAAATACAACCATTCCAAATGGGAGAAATTGGCCAAAACAAAGGGGCTACAGGGCCCATACAAGTCCAAAATCCAACCGGGCAGTCAAACTTTAAAGCTCCAAAATGATCTCCTTTCACTCCAGGTCTCACATCCAGGTTACACTAATGCAAGAGGTAAGTTCCCATGGTCTTGGGCAGCTCCAGCCCTGTGGCTTTGCAGGGCACAGCCTCCCTCCTGGCTGCTTTCATGGGCTGGCATTGAGTGTCTGTGGCTTTTCCAGGCACACGGTTCAAGCTGTTGGTGGACCTACCATTCTGGGGTCTGGAGGACGGTAGCCCTCTTCTCACAGCTCCACTAGGCAGTGCCCCAGTAGAGACTCTATGTGGGGGCCCTGACCTCGGATTTCCCTTCTGCACTGCCCTAGCAGAGGTTCTCCATGAGGGCCCTGCTCCTGCAGTAAACTTTTGCCTGGGCACCCAGGCATTTCTATACATTTTCTGAAATCTAGGCAGAGGTTCCCAAACCTCAGTTCTTGACTTCTATGCAGCCACAGGCTCAACACCACGTGGAAGCTGTCAAGGCTTAGAGCTTCCACCCCCTGAAGCCACAACCCAAGTTCTACGTTGGCCCTTTTCAGCCACTGCTGGAGCAGCTGGGACACAGGGCACCGAGTCCCTAGGGTGCACACAGTAGGGGGACCCTGGGCCCAGCCTACAAAACCACTTATTGCTTCTGGGCCTCCAGGCCTGTGATGGGAGGGGCTGCCCTGAAGGTCTCTGACATGGTCTGGAGACATTTTCCCCATGGTCTTGAGGATTAACATTAGGCTCCTTGCTACTTATGCAAATTTCTGCAGCCAGCTTGAATTTCTCCTTAAAAAAAAACAAAACAAAACAAAAGAAAAAAACGGGTTTTTCTTTTCTACTGTATCGTCAGGCTGCACATTTTCTGAACTCTTATGCTCTCTTTTCCCTTTAAAATGGAATGCTTTAATAGCACCCAAGTCACCTTTTGAATGCTTTACTGCTTAGAAATTTCTTCTGCCAGATACACTAAATCATCTCTCTCAAGTTCAAAGTTCCACAAATCTCTAGGGCAGGGGCAAAACACCACCAGTCTTTTTGCTAAAACATAAGGAGAGTCACCTTTGCTCTAGTTCCCAACAAGTTCCTCATCTCCATCTGAGAGCACTTCAGCCTGGACCTTATCGTTCATATCACTATCAGCATTTTTGTCAAAGCCATGCAATGAGTCTCTAGGAGGTTCCAAATTTTCCCACATTTTCCTGTCTTCTTCTGAGCCCTCCAAACTGTTTCAACCTCTGCCTGTTACCCAGTTCCAAAGCTGCTTCCACATTTTGGGGTATCTTTTCAGCAGTACTATATTAGTTCATTTTCACACTGCCGATAAAGACATACCCGAGACTGGGAAGAAAAAGGGGTTTAATTGGATTTACAGTTCCATGTGGCTGGGGAGGCCTCAGAATCATGGCAGGAGGCAAAAAACACTACTTACATCGTGGCAGCAAGAGAAAATGAGGAAGAAGTGAAAGCAGAAACCCCTGATAAACCCATCAGAACTCGAGACTTATTCACTACCACAAGAATAGCATGGGAAAGACTGGCCCCCATGACCCAGTTACCTCCCACTGGGTCCCTCCCACAACACGTGGGTATTCTAGGAGATACGATTCAAGTTGAGGTTTGGTGGGGACAGAGCCAAACCGTATCAGGCAGTTTATGGATCATCCCATCCAAAGGAGCCAGGTATCTGAACAATAAAAAAAGGGTGTGCCAAGTCTTCCGAGGTCAGATCCAAATGGCTAAGACAATCCTATCCATGTTTAAACAAAGAGTATTTGTGGGTCTGTTTCATGGATTGTGGAGTAGAGGAGAGCTAAGTCTGTTATGGTTTATTTGTCGGGGGAGATTGTTCTGCAAATGAGGCTAAGACCATTCCTTTCTCTCACTGATTCTCAAGAGGAAGCTTATGCCAGAAAAAAGAAAATCTTATTTATATGGACTGTGAGATTATCTCTGGCTACTAAAAGTTGGGACACTAAACTACTGAGAATTAATGGGCGAACTTTTGTTCCACAGACTAGAAATTTAAAAGGTACCATGGTGCAACAGAACAAGCATGGATTTGGACTTAACACCTATGTGGTCCTGAAATCCTCTTACCAATAAATGTGTAACCTGAGCACCTCTCTGTAAAACAGCAGTAAGGAGGTGCTGTAAGAGCTAAATGAGATATTTCCTGTGAAGTATTTTGAAAAACAGAAAGAACTACACCAATGAAATTTGTGTTTGTTCATTTGGAATCAAATATAGTAAGTATATTTTATCAATTACTTGCCTTTATGGTAGGAAGCAGGGTGAATTTAATTCAAGGGAATCAAACAGAATAATTTAGACTTAACCATTTTTTTCTCTCTCTCTGTCTGTCCTTCCCTACCTCCCTTCTCTCTCCCTTTTCTCTCTGTCTCCTCTTTCTCTCCCTCACACACACACACTCACACACTCACAAATACACACTCACACACATGCAGTTTAACCCCCACAGCCACTGAGAGGGAAAGAGCTGACTCTTCCACCCAGTGTCCACCCACACACCTGAAACCTTCCGACAACCTGCCTCTAGTATCTGAATTCTTGGTTAATGAGCTCTTGGCTTCAGCCTCAAAAGAAAGAATCAGACATTTTGTAAATATGATGACTTTGAATAAAACTTTTAGGACCTCGAACTCTTTTCCTGAATGCCAAAGCCACTACCTAGTCACCCCTCAGCTGTGCCCACAGGTTCCTATAGAGAGTCTGAGCCCCAGCCATTCCTGACCCCCAACCTCCTGGGTGATTCTACATTTTCAAATAGAAATTTCAGTGTTTCCCTTAGAATTCGGAATCTTTCCAATTTATCTTTCTAAGCTATAGTTTGCCCCCTAAGATATATATATTTAAATTTTTTAAAGAAAATTTGGTCATCTCAGTCTGTTTTAGTCCAGGCTTCATACAGAAGAGTTTCAGCCTGAAATCACTGAAAAATCTGTGTCCCATAAAAATGACAAGCCACTCAAGACCTTGCATGGTCCCAGAGTGCCATCTAGTGACTAAAAGTTGAAATGACGGCCTCCAAATCTTTACTGACACTTTTTCCTGCAAAAAGCCATGCAGAGAAAGCATGCTTGTTCTTGCTCTCATCAGAGTATCAGATTAGGTGGTCACAGCACCCACGTGCATGGTGAACTATGTGGGATGGCTGTGGGAGTTAAACTGTGTGTGTGTGTGTGTGTGTGTGCGCGCGCGTGTTTAGGACACAAGGATGAAATAGTTTAACTGCTTATTAAAAGAATCCCTCTGGATATGGTGTGTAAAACAGTCCTAACAGCATACAAGATGGAGTCCGGGAGAGCAATAAAGATACCAGAACAATTCAAGCAAGTGCTAATGATAGGTTACACTAGGGTGGCAGTGGTGAGATCCTAGATATATTTTGAAAAGTAGCTGGCAGGATTTGCTGAGGGGCTTAATGTAGAGTTAAACAAAAAGAGGAGTCGAGGATAACTTCCAGGTTTTTAACCTGAACAATTAAGAGAAACGTATTGTCATTTATCAAGCTGGGACAGATTGGGTGAATCTCAGTCTACACAGTAATCCTAAACATCTGTATAAATAAAATCCTGTTTCCAGGGACTTGGACTGCGCCATTAACTCAAGGCACCTTTCACTAAAATGAGGGCTGATTGTTGCAAGGAAGATGGCTGAGGCTGTGCAGATGGATCCAAAGAAACCCATCAGTACCGTCAAATGTGACCAAGACCTTAGAAGATTTTTCCTCAGCAACCATAGCACACTGCTCAGAAAAACATACAGGAGCCCTTTTACAAAGGCAAGCCCAACAAAATCAGCCAAGACTGGAGCCCGATAGGTTAGCCTCAGTTCCCAGACTGCAAGGAATTGAAAGAAAACAAACATGTAAATCCCAACAATCTAACTCCCCACAGCCACTGAACTACAGCCAGTATCCATGAAGCTGGTTAGCGGGCTCGTGGTTAATGGCTTAGTTTTTCAGATACTTATCCAGGACACTCTTCACAACTCCTTGGTACTCCAGATTATTTCAGGCCAATTAAAAGTCCCACTTCTCTTCATCCCACCTGTGATTATGACCTCCATGCAACAGAGGTACTTCTAGCAATGATAAGCCAGTTTTAAAAGATGCCCTCCTCCTAAGACTTATTGTTCCATTTAAAGCTTAGCTGCTCCTAGTAACATAGATGCCCTAGAAATGGGTCAGTTGTGTTTTTCCCGGAAGAACCTGCCTGAATAGTTCACTCACTCCTGTGTGCTCCAGGCAGGTCTAGAGCACATGCCCTATTTGCAGAAGAGATCAGTTCAGATATTCATTTGTTGTAACCTATTATGTGTCTGTCACTCTGCTAGATTCTCAGGCTCGATGGTGACCAAGACATCCCTCTTCCCAGAAATCCAATGGAAGAAAAAGCCAAGATGAAAGAAAAACAAATCTTTAGAACTGTGTAATAAGATTTTATTTGTGAGATATAATGAAATTATATGTGCTTCATACTCTGATTAGCACGTAAGCACTCATTAAATATTAGGCTCATCAAAAATCTTAATTTAACATATTTTACCAAAATTTAAAAGAGTGGGGAAAGACAGGGCCTCCTTCCAGCCCCATTTCCCTCAGTAGTGGCCCATTCTCTCAGTAGCCCAGGGGTTTCAACTGCCTCTTTCCTGTGTCTCCTGTATGGCGCCAGTGGCCTGGTCCTTTAGTTCTGTCTCTACAGTGTCTCTTTCACCTCTTCCTACCTGTTTTTGCTGACTCCTGTGAAATTCAGTGGCACCCCATTACCCTCTAAATCAAATGAAATCCTCACCCCAACATCCAAGGTCGCAGTAAAGCCACATTTTCAGTCCCATGGCCCACAACTTCCCCAACCATCCTCTGCCTCAGCCAAACTGGATTCCCACTAATCCCAAACCTGCCTCCTGCTTTACTCTTGCTTTGCCACGACCGGGAATCCTCTTCCTGCCATCTTAACCAGCAGAGGTTCTATTTTATTCTTTTTTTTTTTTAAGAGGCAGAGTCTCACTCTGTCACTCAGACCAGAGTGCAGTGACTCTATCATAGCTGACTGCAACCTCGAACTCCTGGGCTTAAGCCATCCTCCCACCTCACAACCCCCGAGTAACTAGGACTACAGGCAATGCCGTCACACTTAAAAAATTAGATGATTTTTCCTAATGTTTTACTTTTTGTAGAGATGGGGTCTCCTATGTTGCCCAGGCTGGGCTGAAACTCCTGGACACAAGCAATCCTCTGGCCTCAGCCTCCCAAAGCACTGGGATTACATGCATGAGCCACCACACCCAGCCAGTTCTATTCATTTTTAAAGACCCAATCTCCTCCATGAAACCTTTCCTTGTTTCCTAATTCAGATGTTTTTTGAATCTGCATAGAATTTACTTGAGATGCCTATTTCATTATTTCATGTCTTACAGTTATTTAATTAGTTTTCAACTCCTCCTCACTAAATTGTAAACTTCTCAAGGGTATGTACTGTGTTTCATTTATAAGAGGAAGTAAAGCAGTGATTAACAGCACAGGCTACAAATCCAAATTATCTGGGTTTACCTTTTGGCTCTGCCACTTGCTAGCTGAGTGAAATTTGGCAAGTTACCTAGCTTCCTTGTACTTCATTTTTTTCATCTATAGATTTTCTATATTTTAAAGAGTTAATGCATGGAAAACTGAGGTCAGTGCCCAGAACATAGAATGACAGATATTAAGGTGACTTTTCCTCCCATGGTTTTGGTTGATACATAAAGACAGTAGATGCTATATTTCAAAGTAAAGCAACCACACAGGACTTACTAAAGAGAGAGGGCAGAAAACTAGTTTTGCAACACTTAACTGACCACCCACCTCCAGCTATAAAAATGTTTGGAGAAATTCAAAAGGAAGATAATGAAGACAGAGTCTTTGCAATGAATAGTTGGCATGCCAAGTGAAAACAACAAAGGTGTCATATGTTTTTTCTTGTCTACAATGGAGGGCTCCAAAGAAACCACTCAGAGAGCTCATGAGTTCCCCCACAGTGACTGGTCGCCCATCTGAAAATTCTGAAGCCCAGTATTTGTTCTTGCCAGGAGCTGATGATAGATGAATCAAAAGAGAAGAGGTTGCATTGGTGAGACAGTAGTCTCAGTGTTTGTGAGGGTAGAAAAGAATGATCCTTGGAAGACAAGTGGGTTTGGGGGGCTCAGTGGGTAAAGCAAGAGAGCCAACCGGCATTGGATTGTCTTAGATCCAGCCTGAGAAGATCACCTGGAGGGGTAAATAGACCTCAGCAGAGAGAAGCTGAAGGTACCACTGGATGGCCAGGGGCAGAGGAAGGATTAGCAAAAAGTTTTAAAAAAGCATATCACCCACAGCAAAAGAACTGCAGGCAAGAGTCTCCAGCTATTGCAGGCAGGACAGGATGAATGGGTAGACTACAAAGAATCTACAAAATCCAGTCAGCCTAAACACCCGCCTTGGCCCGAAAGGAAGAGTTCTGCTTGTAACAGGTCTGGCCAGGTAAGCACATTCTTGTTCCCCTTTCTCTTCTGGTCAAGCCAACCCTGGGGGTTAAGAAACTACAGTTAACAAGATGACTGAAGGAGAAAGGGAAACATCAGATGAGGAGAGGAAGCCAACCACATTCCCATCTCCAACTGTTTATTTTCCTCCTCTCTGTCAAGCCTGAGATGGTGGAGGATAAACCTCAATGTCAAATCAAGTTCAACATGTTTACTATAACATAGAAATTGGCATTTTAGTTACCTGTCTTACCTAAACATAATCAATGACTTGGGGGATAGAGAGAAGCGAAAGTCAAGGTGTCTTATAATTGCATCCCATAAGTCATGCTTATTCAAGTTCGTAGTTAATCCAAGCTAAACAAATACTCAAGAAGTGTTAATTATTTGTACCACTTTTGTTCCCCCTTGTGTTTTTTAGTGTCTTGAACATACCAGGTGCTCATTTATTCAACCTTCAAACAGTCAGTAAGTACTGCTATATGCAAGCATATTGACTAGGAACTAGAAATTGAGGAAGGACAATGACACCGCCACTGTCCTCAACAGACACAAAAGACTAATGAATTGATAACAGGTAACTTAAAAAATGAAAATATAGAGCATGAAGTGATCTGTAGATATGCACAAAGTGCCATTGGGACAGAAAAAGGAGTGACTAATATCTAGGATGGTGGGGAAATGACACGTGAAGGAAACAATTGAGCTGCTCAAGGCTTGCTTATTAACTTTCAACTATTTACCTTTTGCTACCTTGAAAATATTCAGATTTAGAGGCGCAGGAAATTTGGATGTTTCCTGTGGTGAAGGCCAAGGAAATAGTCGGGGCGGGGGAAGCTAAATTTTTGTCTTCCAATGTGCCAAGAGTAGGACTGTAGCTTTCAGACTCACAGTTGGGTGCAGGGCCAGGACAAGCCATTGGCTCCTGTAGCAGAAGCAGCCTCACCACCAGGAGACCACTTTTGGGATGGCCTGGATAGCACCTCCTTTTGTGCACCAGGAAGTACTCCCCCACTCAATGTCCTGAAATTTTATAAAGAGCAATTTATTGCTCCATCCTCAAAGGTTTGGCCAGTTAAAATGCAAATACTGCTGAAGAGGGAGTCGATTATTACATTTACATTTATATTTTAGCATGAAGGAATTGTTAGACTATTTCCTGAGGGTAAGTTCTGACACGGAAAAGAAGGAAAATGCATGACATCCCAGGGTACCAAGAAGAATAAAAAGAGCACTTTTCTGAGGTTTTCTAGAAAACATACTGTAAGATTATGAGATTTGCATATGGGAGGTTTATAAGTGATTGCCTTAGAGAGCAAGAGCTGTGAAGGAAGATTGGACAGAGCAGGAGCTAAACTGAACCACAGTTCCAACAGAGGCATCAGCAGATCCTACTAGAAGCTCTAGAACTGGTATAGCCCTTAAAAATTGTCCCAATTGAGGTGAGGGGGCCAGGCTTTTGTACCCAGTATTGATTAGTGTCTCTGTTGTGAAGGAGGGCCTGAGGGGACATGACAGTTCTAACACCTTGGAAATTAGCAGAATGTAGAAAACAGAAATTATGTCTACAGCTGAACACAAACTTCCCCTACGCTGTCATTTAGCTCATCTCTATTTCTCCAGTCATTTGAAGTCCTCCCAGTATTAACTGTAAATTTCTCCTAGATCCTAAATATTCAAGTCTCTCCTGAAGAAAACAAGTAAAAAATGTTATTTACACATCATAGAAATCACCATGCATTCTCAGTTTCCCCATTGAGCTCAGGAGAGTTCATCAGGAGATCAAAGAGAAAATGACTGTGAGATTAACATAAGCATTAAGCATAAGGCTTTTTGGCTCCTCTGCTCAGAACTACCCTTCTGAGGACTGACCCATGACTTGCCAGGGAACAGCTGGTGCTCAAAATGCCTTCTTATACATCACCAACATGCTTTTAAGTTTTTATTTCTAATCCTATATGCCCCTGGACGTAGTTAAGAGGCTTCATGGGCCAGAAATTCCCATTTTGCATATTACAGTTCTCTAATGCTAGGAAATTTGCCCACTCTATGGGCCAACTCTATTGGGCTTGGCAGAAGCTGATATCCAAAGCCCCACTGTGAATAAACAATGCCTGTATCCATTTGTTTGCCAAGTAAACATTTCCTCTGTGCCTACTATGTGCCAGGAAATGTGCTTGGCACTAGGAATAAAGAGATATGCAAGACAGTGCCGGCGTTCTAGGGCCTCAAAACGTTCTCATAGAAAAGCGATAGATGAGACTCTGCTATCAAGCAGGGCACTCCCGACTTGTTGGACAGGAAACCACACACCAGGCCAAGGTAATCCATTCTTTCAACAACTCACTGAACCCTGCCAAATTATGCCATCATCCCTCGCCAAAAACTCAGCAGGAAAAATTATCACCAAGCAGTGATGTGATTCCTCTGAAATAGGGCAATATTTAAACTCTTCTTGTGTTAGCAGAGGGTTTTTTTGTGAGTCTTATAATTGGCTCTATGATGGTGGTTTTCCATTCTCAAAACTATAAAGTAAGTTGTACATTCATGCCAGGCCCTTTTCCCCGTCCAGGCCAAGCCACTGGAGCCTGCTCCAGTTTAAGCAAGAGCACTGGGATTTGGCAGTGTCTGACCGGGAGCACTCCCATGTCTCAAACTCTGGCTCCCCAGGAGAAGGAATTAGGATGTACAGCTGCCTGTTCACCTTTCCTAATTTTCCATCGATAATTAATCTGTTGCTCCAAACAATATAATTAATAAAGGCCACAGAAAAGGTAATTTTGTGCTATCCAAATCACCAAAATTGAACACTGAAATTGTAAAAAATCCCCCGTTCTCTAAGAAGGGTATTTTTTAAGTTCCTTTTTTATTTCCATATGTGTTGTTAAAGAAATGGCTAAGTAGCTTTTATAAGTTAGGCCTATCAATTACCAAATTCTACAAGTATTTATTGGGGGCTACTCTTTGTGATTTGGTGTGCTAAGTTCACAATAGGAAATGAGACCAGCTGGTTCAGATGAAGCCAGATGATGAAAGGTCCCAGAAGCCAGGGTAAATGATTTATACTTGATTCTCTAGGAGGTGAAGAGCCAATGAGGCTTTTTGAGAAAGCAAAAGGCTCAATGAAAGTAGAATTATGGAAAGCGTAAATGATAAAGACAATGCAAGGTGAACTAAAACAGAGTTTGGGCAGAGTCCAGATTGTGACTTATTTACAGTGGACAAAGATGGTGGAATGTAAATAGAGATAGAAACAAAGAAGAAAAAAAAAGGCAATCAAGGAAAGAAATCCAATGTATCCGGATTCTGATCTTTTTTTCTAAAACTTCCTTAAGTTTCAATTCCTGCTCTACCACTTATTAGCTGAGTGATCTTAACGAAGCTACTTAGTTTCTCTTGGCCTCAGTTTCTTTATCTATAAAATGGGAATGCTAATAGAACCTACTGCATAGAGCTCTTATGGTATTAAATAGGATAATATACTGAGAAAGAGGAAAGAAGAATGCCTGCTACGTAGCAAGTGCTCAGTAAAATACAGCTAATGTTACCATTACTATTCATCATAATACAAATGAGGGAAACCTAATTTTTACCTTTAGATAATATTCATCCTGTTGTATTTACCACATTTTTAAAAGTTCCAAGTAGAACATTCAAACAAATGTATTTCTATGTGCAGAATATTTTGGAAGGTGTACTAGAAATGGTAGTAATGATAATCTCATAGAGGATAGAAAAGACCAGAGGACTGAGGAACAGAGATGGGAAAGCAATATAATTTTTCCTATACACCCTTTAGTATGGTAGAATATTTTCCATGTGCATGTATTACCTATTCAAGAAAATAATTATTTAAAAGGGCGTCACCTGTGACCACACAGAAAAGGAATTTATATGAGAGCTGGATGCTTACATTGGGTGAAGTAATAGCCGTAAAAATCACGGTTAACATGCACTGAGTATTTATCATATGTTTGGCACTGTTTTTTAATTCATATTGTTTTTGTTTTTAAGTACTTTAATTTTAAAAAAATTTTTGTTTCAATAGCTTTAGGGGTACAAGTGGTTTTTGGTTACATGGATGAATTGTATAGTGGTGAAGTCTGGGATTTTAGTGCACTGGTCACCTGAGTAGTGTACATTGTACCTAATATATAGGTAGGTTTTTCAGCCCTCACCCCCCTCCCACCCTCCCTCCTAATTATTATTATTATTATTATTATTATTATTATTATCATTATTATTTTTTTTGAGATGTAGTCTCGCTGTGTCACCCAGGCTGGAGTGTAATGGCGCAATCTCAGCTCACTGCAAACTCCGCCTCCCAGGTTCAAGCAATTCTCCCACCTCAGCCTCCTGAGTAGCTGGGATTACAGGCAACCGCCATCATACCCGGCTAATTTTTGTATTTTTGTAGATATAGACTTTCACCATGTTGGCCAGGCTGGTCTTGAACTCCTGACCTCAGGTGATCCATCTGCCTCAGCCTCCCAAAGTGCTGAGATTACAGGCATGAGCCACAGCGCCTGGCCCCTCCCTCCTTCTGAGTCTCCGGTGTCCATTATACCACTCTCCGCCTTTGTGTAACCACAGCTTAGCTCCCACTTCTAAATGAGAACATGCAGTATTTGATTTCCCATTCCTGAGTTACTTCACTTAGTATAATGGCCTCCAGTTCCACCCAAGTTGCTGCAAAAGACATTATTTCATTCTTTTTTATGTTGAGTCGTATTCCATGGTATGTATATATGCCACATTTTCTTTTTCCTCTCATCGATTGATGGTCATTCAGGTTGATTCTATATCTTTGCAATTATGAATTGTGCAGTGATAAACATACATGTATGGGTGTCTTTTTGAAATAATCTGTTTTCCTTTGGGTAGATACCCAGTTGTGAGATTGTTGGATCAAATGGTGTATCTATCTTTAGTTCCTTGAGAAATCACCATACTGTTTTCCATAGAGGTTATACCAATTTACATTTCCACCAGCAGAGTATAAGCATTCCTTTTTCACCACATCTGCACCAACATCTTTTGATTTTTGACTTTTTAAGAAAATGACCATGCCAGGTGTGGTGGCTCATGCCTATAATCCTCACGCCTGTAATCCTAGCACTTTGGGAGGCCAAGGCAGGCAGCTCACCTGAGGTCAGGAGTTCGAGACCAGCCTGGCCAACATAGTAAAACCCTGTCTCTACCAAAAATACAAAAAATTAGCCAGGCGTGGTGGTGTGCGCCTGTAACCCCAGCTGCTTGGGAGTCTGAGGCAGAAGAATCGCTTGAACCCAGGGGGCGGACATTGCAGTGAGCCGAGATCGCCCCATTGCACTCCAGCCTGGGTGACAGAGGGAGACTGTCTCAAAAACAAACAAAAAGAATGACCATTCTGGTGGGGTGAGGTGGTATCTCATCATGGTTCGCGTTTCCCTGATCATCAGTGATGTTGAGCATTTTTTCATAGTTTGTTGGCCATTTGTATATCTTCTTTTGAGAATTGTCTGTTAACGTCCTTTGCCCACTTTTCGATGGTATTATTTGTTTCTTTCTTGCTGATTTGTTTGAGTTCTTTGTAGATTCTGGATATTAGTCCTTTGTCTGATGCACAGTTAGCAAATATTTTCTCCAATTCTGTAGGGTGTCTGTTTGCTCTGATGATTATTTCTTTTGCTGTGCAGAAGCTTTTTAGTTTAATTGGGTACAATTTATTTATTTTTGTTTTTGTTGCATTTGCTTTTGGGGTCTTCATCATGAATTATTTGCATAAGCCAATGTTCAGAAGAGTTTTTCCTAGGTTTTCTTCTAAAATGTTTATGGTTTCAGGTCTTAGATTTAAGATTTTGATCCATCTTGAGTTAATTTTTGTATATGGTGAGAGATAGGGATCCAGTTTCATTCTTCTACATGTGGCTTTCTAATTTTTCCTGCAGTATTTATTGAATAGGGTGGCCTTTCCCCAGTTTGTTTTTGTATGCTTTGTCAATGATCAGTTGGTTGTATTTGGCTTTGTTTCTGAGTTCTCTATTCTGTTCCATTGGTTTATGTGTCTACTTTTATGCCAGTGCCAGGCTATTTTGATTACTATAGCCTTATAGTAAATTTGAAGTCAGGTAATGTGAGGCCTTCAGATTTGTTCTTTTTATTCCTACACATTTTTTGGTAGCCATTATAAAAGGGATCAAGTTCTTGATTTGATTCTCAGCTTAGTCATTGTTGGTATATAGCAGTGCTACTGAATTGTGTACATTGATTTTATAACGTGAGACTTTGCTGAATTTATTTATCAAATCTAGGAGTCTTTTGGAGGAGTCATTAGTGTTTTCTAGGTATAAGATCATATCATTGGCAAACAGAGATTGTTTGACTTCCTCTTTTCCAATTTGGATGTCCTTTATTTCTTTCCCTTGCCGGATTGCTCTGGCTAGGAATTCCACTCGGCACTGCTTTAATCTCTTTCACATGAACTCACATGATCAATCCCCACAATACCATATGAGGTTAATATGATTACTTGACACTCAAGCACAGATGATGTATTATTACTATCCCTAAGTTACAGACAATGCACAGCAAGATTTAATAACTTGCTAAATTTACCCAGCTAATTAGTAGAGAGCCATGACTGGAACCTGAAAATGTACTGGCTCTGAAAATGTACAAATTTACATCCACATCACCTGAAAAGACCTTTTTAGTTATGTGTATGGACTAAGGAAACATGCTGACCAAATTCATTGTAGGATTTTGGATTGGATCCTGGGACAGAAAAAGGACAGTCGTAGAAAACTGAGGAAACCAAATGAAGTCACTACTTAGTTATGAGTATTGTACTTATGACACTTCCTTAGTTTTAACAAATATAGCACGGTTATGTAAGATGGTCACATGAGAGGAAACAGGGTGAAAGGTATAGGGGAAATCTCTATACTCTCTTAGCATTATTTCTATAAAGTTTATGTTATTTTAAATAAGTGTTTTTTTAAAAAGATCTGTATAATCATAGCTGCCAAGCATGACTACAATTTCAGAAAGATGCATCTGTGAGGGAAAATGCTCACTGGTTTTCAAATTCTGGTCTGTTCTTGTGCTTCACTAGCCTAACACCATGGCCCAGTGCCTAGCCACATCTCAACAACCAATTGATATTCCTCATATTTGAGAGGAATCTACAGATTGAGACCATTTTGCAAGAGAAAGAATAAAAAACTAGCTCATCTTTTAATAAAATAATAGCAAATACCTCTGTTGCCAAAATATACTAGAAGCACTGAGCCTCCTCATATCCAAACTAAATGTTAGAATTCAAGAAAGAGTAAACAGTAAGTACTTTCCTTATTCTTCCAAGATGTTACCATTCTTTTTTAGATGTGTCTACCCTGCACCTGCCAAATGAATTATTGAATATATGAGGGTGACTCTAAGCCAGAGCTACTGATCAGTGAAATTAGGTGCAATGGGTGGAAGAGCTGCACTGCTGCAAACTCCAGCAAATAACAACATCACTCAAAGCCTGAAAGATTCTGCTGTGAAAACATTACATTACCTAGATGTCTGGATGCATAAGGCTCAGGGGAAAGGTTACTTTAGGAGCCTCATGAAACTTCTATACGATGCTGAGTCTGTTGCTCACCAATGAAATAAGGAAGAAGTATGGCCTAACTATGGAACTAGACTTTGTTTGTCAAGATGTTGTTACATCAAAGCCCACTCTCTAAAAAATAAAACCATGAAGTATTTTGTTATTTACCTTTTGAGAACTATCTAATTTCACAATCTTATATTTAACCAACATCATAAGCAGACTCTAGAGACAAAGCAAATGTCATAAATGTGTGCACAACTCTAAAGTGGCAAATTATAACATCCAGCAGGGGTTAATGAAGGATTAACTGCATAGGGTTTCTCCTCAACTTTGTATAATCCTAAGAGACACTCTAGAGATCATAAGCCAAGCCCCTAGGAAAAAAAAATGTTGATGCATAACTGCTCATTTTGCTTTCAAATTAACACAGTTAAAGGCATATGTTTTGGTACAGAGTCCTGGATACCTGTGAGATATCCTACAGCCAAGTACAAGTATTTATTTTTATGTGAAGCTAAAGATTTCTTACTTGTAACATGCTATGTCAGTTATGAAAAGGTCTTAAATCATCTTCCCTAGAAGCAGGCCCTGAGATGAGAACTCTTGTAAAATGATTCATTTAGGAAGTACTTCCAACAGTAACCAATAAGGGAATGGGAGAAGCAAGACAGGAAAGTAAAAGAGGCCAGGCAAGCATGCAATTTCAGACAAAGTCCCACAAAGGGTAGCTCCAGTTTGATCCCATGGGGGAATGCAGAAGTGTAAGCTGTGCTTCTGAATTTGTCCTGATTCAAGGCAAGATTGCTGGACTTTTGTGCTGACTGGGAACCAGTCAGTCACTGGCTAAGGGCCACCCTGGGTGCATGTTGATTCCCAGGCATTTCTGTACAACCAGGCAAAGCAGCTCCAGTACCTAAGGGTAGGCCTCCAAAGAGAATCACAGGTTTAGGTCAACAGAAGCAAAGGCACATAGAAGACAGGGAGGGGGCCGGGCGCGGTGGCTCACGCCTGTAATTCCAGCACTTTGGGAGGCCGAGGCAGGCGGATCACAAGGTCAGGAGATCAAGACCATCCTGGCTAACACGGTGAAACCCCGTCTCTACTAAAAACACAAAAAAAATTAGCCGGGTGTGGTGGTGGGTGCCTGTAGTCCCAGCTATTCAGGAGGCTGAGGCAGGAGAATGGCATGAACCTGGGAGGCAGAGCTTGCAGTGAGCCGAGATCGCGCTACTGCACTCCAGCCTGGGCAACAGAGCAAGCCTCCCATCTCAAAAAGAAAAAGAAGAAGAAGACAGGGAGGGGATGTACAGAAAGGAAAAATTATGCTAGAGGCTCTAGGCAGAGCTGGCACCATAATTTCTGTTGTCATGACAAAATTTGATATTCCTAGGATGCGTATTATAACAGTTTACTGAAAAACACAATTCAGTACAGCAAGGCTCTTGCTAGCCCCCTTCATGTAGCTTGAATTCCCAAGTTTCTTATCAAAACCTGATGACCATTGTGTTGTTTTTTATTGTTTTCAGTTGTTGCTCCTTTCATTTTAAATGACAAATTAGTATTAGCTTTGTATCACTGCTATTGATTTAGTTTGTAGTCGTTTGCTTGGTGAACCCAATGGCATATAGTAAAGGATATTTGCATCAACAGTACTTTTGGCTTAAAGTTTTCCAATATCTAGATTTTATAAATTGTGTATGTATCAGGAAGAAGTATATGAATTATCATATGCCTATTGCTAAGGCATATGTTTATTAATCTCTCAAAATATATTTGTTCAGTCGTACATCAATATTATCAATACATTTTCCAAAAAGTGGAACTTGGGTGAGGGCATGGTGCTGACAGGAGCCCAGCATCTGCTGCCTCTTGAAGGCTTGAAACCCGCTCCCGAAGGACACCACGTTGAACCCCTGGCCACCAAGCTACCAATTTACCGTCACCGTCTGCACGAGGGGATATGCTATCCACTCTGTCAAGAAATCTATGTTTTTGAAAGGGAAGGACTGGTTTTGACAAATTACCACAGGAAAAGCATTCCCCAAAGGAGGACCATAGAAACTTCTGTTTTCCTCTCTAAAGTTTTGTCGGTTCAAACTAGATGACAAACATGCTTCTAAAAAGCTTCTAAACCAAGAGCAAATATCATCCACCACTCCCACCAAAAATATCCAAAGCTATTATTAGGTTGGTACAAAAGTAATTGTGAAATAATTTGCCATTACTTCCAATGGTGAAAGCCAGAATTACTTTTGCACCCACCTTGTACCAACAATCTATAAAATGTTAAAATGGAAGGTATTGTAGGCTTTGTCTATTTAACCTCTTCATTTGTCAGTGAGAAAACTGAGGCTCTAGAGTTGTGACTTGTCCTTAATATAGTTCTATGTATTTCCAAAGAAACAATTCCCATATAGTACATTCAAAATTAAGCTAGTAACTCCATCTTGCCAATGACACAATTAATCAAAGAGAAACATTCAACGTTTAGCAAGTCAATTCAAATATCTTAGTTGTGTCTCCACAAAATAAGGCTATTACACAAGAGCTATGGTTAAAGAACACTATTAACAAGTCCTTAGCATTGTAATTCAACTAAATGCCTTATCCAAAAGTTTCCAACATTATTTTCCACTCGCATTCCCACCATTAGTCTAAATTTACCATTTACACCTGCTGTCCCATTTACTGCAGGCAATTCCTTTAAATTGGAACTACTTCTGCCCTTCACTTATTCCTCAGAATTTTTTAATGCAAGAAGTGAAAAGTATAATACATTAAACCTAGAAACTCAAATTTGAAAATCAAATGTTTTGGACTTTTTTTCTGATATTTCTCCCTGAGGAAACAGAAGTTATGATTTGTAAGTTTCTGATATGTTCCAAGACATGGTAATTTATTCAAGCAATTGTATCTATCTGTTACCTGTAGAGTTTCTTGACAACCAAGCCAATCCTGGAGCATCTGATTTATTGTAGGACCACAGCCTCCACATTCATCCCATTCTCCATGACAATGCACTTTGAAGCGTTGGTTTTAAATTTAAAGCCTGTATTCCTAGAGACACTGTGTGTACCCACCTCCTCGCATTATGAAGTCTTAGCAATGCCCAATTAAATGACAAGAACCAGCATCAGAGGCTGTCTTATAATCAGGCATTTCTTTGTTCAAATCCCACATATGCCAACCATTTACCATGTTATATGGCAGATGCACCTGACAGCAATAATTTAACTAAGCATACCCTCAGAATGACCCCATGGTCTAAGAAGAATGTGTTAAGAGTTGTGAACTAAGGAAAACAGGAGTGGCTGGCCCAGAGATTGATTCCTTACCTAAGAAGAACATCTGAACCCCTGGCTCATCCCATGGAACCCAGGCGGTACAGGGGATTGAGGCCCTTTGTTTTGGGTTAAATGAAGGTTGCTAGGTGGAAGTTGCTAGAGGGAGGGTGCTAAGTGAAAGTGCTATATAAACTGCATGCTTTTTACAAGGGGTTGCTGTTCTGCTGTCCAGCCCACCACCACCGGACTGCCCTGTATGCCCTAAGTCTCGGTTGCTGGGTCTCTTCTTTAGCATTTTGAACATGGTGCCATCTCTACTGAAGTCAATAGGGGTCCATCCAGCATAACACATGTAACCCCTCTCATCATCAATATCTTCACATATAAAATGGAATTAAAATTACCTACTTGACAAAATTATGATTAGGATTGGAAATAACAAGCCAAAGTTGTCTTATAAGTGTCAGCATATATTATACACTCAATAGATGGAGTTTGGTAGCAGTGACTGACTCAAATGTTGGTGAGACAGAGAAAGGGAAAGTGGTCAGAGGCTACTGGGATTCCTCCCTCCATGCTTACTTTTGGTACCTTTGACCATGCTAGCCACCATGGTGGAAATGCTAGCAGTTCCCAGCATGTCCACTTCCACTTGGCTTCAACCGGTATCTTGATAGGAATTAACTGCCCACAGATGAATCTGCTCTGTGGTCAGAAGCAGCACCCACTTCAACCCTACAAATAGGTTCTGTTTGATACAAATAAAACAAAGAGAAAGACTGTGGATCCTGCTATAAATAAATCAATGACTATGACCGGGATCATGGCATGTCCATATTTCTATTCTGTTTCTAACACTTATCAAATTACCCCTGGAATAAGTCTCAGAAATTTTTCTTAGTGAGTAACAGAGGAGCCCCGCACCACACTGGGGGAAACAGAGTGCTGCTAGGAGAATCTTTGGCTTCGGAATCAGAGATTGGCCCAATAATGACTCTACCACTTAGCAACTCTCAACTTAGTTTAGTGTTACTGACATTTTCTATGCTAGTATACCATACTGGCCTGTTATTTAACCAAGTTATTAAGATAGCAGGACTCCTTTAGTGCTGTTACTTATCCTCTCTGACCCTTCATGTCCTCCTCTATAAAATAAAGAGAACTGCCCTCATGTTTGTTGTATGAGGTAAATGAGATCATGTATGAAGCAATCAATATAGTATTGCCCTTGGTTTAATAATCATTATTTTGCTGTCCTTATTCAGTATTATAAAACTCTATCTTGGCCAGGTGTGGTGGCTCACACCTGTAATCCCAGGTCTTTGGGAGGCCGAGGCGGGCAGATTGCCAGAGGTCAGGAGTTCGAGACCAGTCTGGCCAACATGGTGAAATCCCATCTCCACTAAAATACAAAAAAATTAGCTGGGCATGGTGACAGATGCCTGTAATCCCAGCAACTCAGGAGGCTGAGGCAGGGGAATTGCTTGAACCAGGGAGGTAGAAGCTTCAGTGAGCCGAGATCGCACAACTACACTCCAGCCTGGGCAACAGAGCAAGATTCCGTCTCAAAAACCAAAACAAAACAAAACAAAAAAAACTCTGTCTTCTCTCATATGTTGAAACATTCATTTTGCTCTTCTTTCTAATGTTTGTGAGGCGGAATCTTTGCTATTGTAGCTCTCCTAGCTCAGCATCATAGATTCCCCACAGAGCTGGAAATCAGGAATGCTGACATTACAAACATTCTCCTGTGATATGCTGCAGCCAAGAAAAATGCCAGCCCATTTCCTGGATCACCCACAGGTCAGTATTCCACTAGCTCCATTCAACCTTTGCCACTAAGTCTATTTAATTGAAAACCTCAACATAGGAATCAAATGCATGCTGTTAGTTATATGCTTCAATTATCTATGAAGGCTTCTCATTTACCAAGGCCCACATATCCAGAGTCAACAAATATTTTTTCCTTATCTCAGAATAAGGCTAATTTCTCTAAAAATCTGGAGCACCTGGGTGGTAGGGATATAGAAATAGAGACAGTTAAAAAGGTAATACAACCTCCATATTCATTTGACATGCAGTAACCAAAGACAAGTGTGTCCCAAAGTACTTTTCCAGGCTTGAGGTAGCCCCTTAAAAATGACTGAATTTCAAGCTACGTGTGATGGCTCACGCCTGTAATCACTTTGGGAGGCTGAAGTAGGAGAATCACTTGAGCTCAGGAGTTTGAGACCAGCCTGGGCAACACGGCAAAAACCCATCTCTATAAAAAATACAAAACTTAGCTGGGTGTGGTGGCATCTACCTATGGCCCCAGCTACTCAGGAGGCTGAGGTGGAAGGATGGCTTGAACCCAGGAGGTCAAGACTACAGTGAGCCAAAATGGCACCACTGCACTCCAGCCTAGGTGACAGAGTGAGACCCTATCTCAAAAAAAAAAAAAAAAAAAAAGATTGGTGCTAAATTCACATTGATTAACTACTAATCGCAATATTAATAATAACATTTATGCAGTACTTACTATGTACTATGCTTTACTTATATTTATTCATTAAATCCTCACAACAATCCTAGGGCTATAGGTACTACTAACATCTCCATTTTACTGACAAGGAAACTGAAGGAAAGACAGTTAAGCAATTCGCCAAGGATATACAGCTGGAATTTGAACCTTTTCCTTTACTATGTTGTACTGACTCTCGAAGATCACAGGAAAAAAACATGAAAATAATTCTTTCAAGCTGGGCCTACATGGCACTGAAAAGCTGTTTAAAGAGTCATAGAATGCCACTGATTCCTCCACTCAACAGTCAAGGAATGTTTACTGAGCATATCCACTCTGCCAGGTGCTAGTTGTTTACCATCATTTCTGTTTAATCTTGCATTAAACCCTGTCCCTGATCATGGAGTAGACAGAGTGCTGTGTAGGCCTATACAATGGAACATCTGTGTCAGTACATCCTTCCATGAGTTCCCTTGGCAGTTGGTTTCACGTAATATCACTTTTTCTAAAATGCACTAACACAATATCCTATCCCCACCTCCAGCCCCCACCAACCTACCCAGCATTCTTGAGAGTATATGAGCTCTGGGTCGGGCATGCTTGTCTAATTCCTTGACTTGTTACAAGATGATTGGAAGAGTATCGGGACAAAACTTAATGAACAGAAAATCACATATAATATAGAATCAATCAGCAAATAACAGTAGTAATAGCAAGCTACACCTCCTTATGTCATCAAAAGCTAAATACTCCTTCAATTATAGCCATTCTGTTAACCTACACTTGGGAACATTATGATAAGGCCTAGAGAATCATTCCTTCCTGACCAAAGATTATTCCTTTCATATGAATGGAAAATTGGATCCATACACTTCAGTCTGTCTTTCCCTGAATATTGGATTAAACACTGCCAGCTTCTGCATCATTGGAAATCTCCATTCTTTGAAGGCCTTTACTGGGTTTACAATGGCTGAAGGTAAGGAGGTCTTCTTGGTTGGGTTGCATCCTTTCTAATGCAGCCATATAACTCCATGTGGTTCTTCCAGCCATTCATTCACCCAATAATTACTGAGAACCTGGCAGAATCTGTGCTGGTGCTAGTGATCTCTACCCTTGAGGAGCTTACAGACTATTGGGAAATATAGAAATTAAACAATATAAATAAGTATAGAATGTAGTCATTCATTGTTTTCAGTAGTTCCAGGAGCCACAGAAAATCCTATCATTGTAACTGTCACATCTCTTGGATTCAGAGATTATTATAAACTTATCTACCCTCCCTTCATGTCCTATATTTTCTTTTACTAAAACTGCTGCAAATCTTCCATTTTCCCTCAGACCCACTCTCCATCTTCTCTACAAGCTTATGTGTCTCAGGATGTGTAGAGAGGGTAACAGAAGGTTCCCTTGTCCTTGGCTTCCTGTTGGGCTCAGCCAAAGGGGTGTGCTGACCAGAGATTTTTTAAAAGGAAAATAGAGAGTAAGGTTGAGGTGTGTTTTTTTCATCAAATTCCTTTCTGTGGCATCATTGTGGGGTAAATACAACCTTCAACCAAAGACCACAGCCTCTGTCAGGCCACCCTCCCCACACAGCTCTCTTTCCCTATACCCTCTCCTATCCCTCACCCCTACTACAGGATCTAGTTACAAAACAGGCTCCTAGATTTTGCATTATCCTTTCAGTTTTTAGTAAATTTCCCCACAACTTTACAATTAGTCTTTTATTAGACTCTCCACAAATCACCCATTTCGAATGTGCCATCTGTTTCTTGCAAGGAGCCTGATTGATACAAATGCCTTGGATTTCTCCTTTATCATGGCTTTTTCCTGTACAAAGAATTATTTTTGATATTTTATGAAATATTTTGGGCCAATCAGTAAACCTTTAATGAGAAACCACTATATGCTTGACTGTCCAAAATGTGCTGCGGATACAAAGGTGACCAAAACGTAAGATTTGCCCTGTAGGAACTGGGTCTAATGGTAGAAATAGGTACATAAATAGGATACCCTCAAACTTTATTATTAGAACTGCAACCATTTTTAAAAAGAAAGAAGCTGTTATTAACAATTACACCAGGATAATAGGCATAAACTATAACAGTCCCAACTTCATCCTATACATCCTTATGTATAAGCAGATTATTGTATTATACAATAATGAGCACTTGGATTAATGTGAATGAGAGATCATAGGTGAGCAAAGGTGGGCCACCTAACTGACCCCTGAAGAGGATGTCAACAGAAGGCTTCTTGGAAGAGTCTTAAATCCATTCCCCAAAGACCTCACTTGTCTCTAGCACCTCTTTGGCACATTGTCTCCTCTGCTAGAGACTCATTTTGACTAGAGCTAACTGCTTGAGAAATCAGGGCCAAATGCAGGCTTATTTAAACAGGAAAAAAAAAATTTACTCTCTAACCTCGGAAACAAATATTTTTAAAAGTATGCATGTAAATATACACACAATGACAAACATTTGTGGCTTGTATATACCTCAGTCCACAAATTTAGGAGTGTATACATTGTTAGTTTTTAAATTTTTTAAATTCCACTTGAGTCAATTCAGGTCGCCCTGAGACTTCTCAGGATTTTGAGGTGTGTGGGCATGTGGGTGCACAGAAATCTTACTGACAACCAACAGAAAAGAGCAGTGGAGGAACTGACAAAACAGAATTGCTGCAACCTTTGCTTTGTGTGTTGGGACGAGGCTTCATCATACTAAGGGTGTAGAGACTTCTGGTCCCTGATGCTGTTGCCTGTCCACCATTGAGTGGTGTTTGATCTCCATGGGTCAGCTGTGATTTCCTTCCATTCCTAACTATGGGGAGTCCTCGTCCTCTCGCTCAGTCTCTGGACCATGTCTACTCCCCTGTCTCATTTGTGGACATTATCTGGGGCTGGATGAGGGGAGGACAGGCAGGGCATGAGATTCCTTCTGTGGATCATATTGGTTTTGAAGTACTGGAAACTCCAACCAAAGTCAGGAGAATCTTTATCGTGACTGGTATGCTCTTATTTATTTTGTATTCTTCCAAATATTACCTTATGTGTCTGGGCCTATCACATTAAATCTCGAGACTCAAAGATTTTTTTCTTTGTTATCATGACCTGTCTCATCAGTCCTTCAGTGAGAAAATTAAGACAGGCTGCTCAGCTGCCCAAGGTAAGGAAAGGTGGAAGTAACAGGTCTCCCCCAATGGTCAGGGAGAGGGGAAGGCATCCATCAATACTTACACATTTTCCCACCCAGATTCTTTGAGTGTGATCTATGTGCCAGGAACTGAAGACACAGAGCTGAATGTGAAAAAGTGCTCGCCCTCTGGAAGCTCAGAGCCTATTAAGGAATTGTGGAACCAAACAAATAATCATTGCCAAAGTAATAAGTGATTTCAGAGAAATACATTCCAGAAGACTAAAAAACTGGATTTAAAAAGTTATTTATGGATATATGAACATTGATATGGTTTGGATTTGTGTCCCCACCCAAATCTCACATCGAATTGTAATCCCCAGTGTTGGAGGAAGGGCCTGATGGGAGGTGACTGGATCATGGGGATGGACTTCCCCCTTGCTGTTCTTGTGATTCTCAAGAGACCTGGTTGTTTAAAAGTATGTAGCACCTCCCCCTGTGCTCTTCCTCCTGCTCCAGCCATGTAGGATGTGCCTCCTTCCTTTTGACCTTCCACCATGAGTGGAAGTTTCCTGAGACCTCCCCAGCCATGCTTCCTGTACAGCCTGCAGAACCATGAGCCAATTAAACCTCTTTTCTTTTTAAATTTCCCAGTCTCAGGTAGTTCTTCATAGCAATGTGAGAATGGACTAATGCAAACAATAACTCTGCTCTCTCCCTGCTGATTTCTTGAAACTGAAGCCCATGAATTACCAGAGTAAGTTTTGTCCTAAACAGTCCATTAAACTGTTGAGTGGCAGCCATGTGCTTTGCAGGCATACGTAAGACTCAATTATTGGTCTGGCAATAATTGAGATTTCCAGATTTGGCAAGACCTACCATACACAGTGTCACCAGCAGTTCTCAAACTTGATGATTTACTACCTTGCTGGCCTTGAATAAGCATGTTCTAGATAAGATCAACTCATCCTGGCTTCTCTGTTGAGGAACAAGGATTCTGCTTCCGTAATCACTTTAAGATGGATACTCAACTCTCCAATATCTTCAAATAATACTTCACTTACCAAAGAATAGAGCTAGGAAAGCAACTTGAATATCTCTGCTGAGTTAATTAATAATGAAACTATTGTCAACATATGGGAGCAGTATTAGTCAGTGTACTGGGTGGGGAGAGATCTGAACTCTCAGTTTGGTCCATGCTATTCCATTTCTCTTACCAGTTCATTTTTGAACTGCTGCATTTTGAAGAGTGGTGAATATGTGGTCATTTTCCCTTTCTCTCAGGAAAATCACTAAGGACTAATGTTATTCTGTTAGAAGGCTTCAACACACTCCGTGCTATAATAATTTGATGTGGAACCTCAGAAGTGCACAAGTGGAGATTTGGCTACACTTTCAGATAGAGAATTTCTATTACCCAAGGCAATCTTTAGAATTAAATGCCCTATAGTCACCAATTTATATACATAGATAGAATCTGCTCTCAGTCATAAAATGACAGTGGCAGCTTATCACCCATCTGATCAGTAAACCAGCCAGGCACCAGGCATGTATGAAGCTTCTGTGTATCAGACCAAAATATCTGGACATAAACTCCAAGGCAGCAGTACCTTAGATTTAGAACTGTGGTTTGATTTGAACTTTTTTTTTTTAATTGAGACAGAATTTTGCTCTTTCACCCAGGCTGGAGTGAAGTGGCACAATCTCAGCTCGCTGCAATCTCCACTCTCCAGGTCCAAGCAATTCTCCTGCCTCAGCCTCTTCAATAGCTGGGATTACAGGTGCATGCCACCACACCTGGCTAATTTTTGTATTTTTAGTAGAGACGAGACTTCATCATGTTGGCCAGGCTGGTCCCAAACTCTTGACCTCAGGTGATTCTGCCGCCTCAGCATCCCAAAGTGCTAGGATTACAGGGGTGAGCCACCGTGCCCAGCCTGAACTTTTAAATTCTTTTTATAAAAGAAAATTTATCTTTTTTACCCTCAGAAAACTTCAATAGATATCTGGCTAACTAAGAAATCTTACTAACAGATATAGAACAATGTGAGAGGAGCAGTGCAGGAACTGACAAAACAGAATTGTCGCAATCTTTGCTGACAAGTGAAATTTTAGAAAGGGTGCCCTCACCCTCACCTTTAAGTAGGTACAATTACAGTTGACCCTTGAACTTTTTTTCAATGTAAGTTACACCTAGTATGCCAGCCTCTCCTGCCTCCCCTTCCACATCCTCCATCTCTGCCTGTGCCACCCTGGAGACAGCAAGACCAACACTTCCTCTTTCCCCTCCTTCTCAGCCCATCAACATGAAGACAGCAGGGACGAAGACCTTTATGATGATCCATTTCCACTTAACAAATAGAAGATTTATTTTTTAGTCTCTATGATTTTTTAAATAACATTTCATTTCTCTATCTTACTTTAAGAATACAATATATAACACATATAATATACAAAATGTGTTAATCAACTATTATTGGTAAAGTTTCTGGCCAACAGTAGGCTATTCATAGTTAAGTTTTTGAGGAGTCAAAAGTTATACATAGATTTTCAACTGTACAGGGTTCAGCACCCCTAACCAACTCTCCCCCAACCCTCTCCCCACCCACATTCTTCAATGATCAACTATGATCTACAAGCCTCTGCAAGCCTCAGGAGTGGAGGAAGTGAGAGGTATTTGCAACTATTGCAAAAGAAACAATAATCTAAAAAAGAAAAGAACTGGCTCTCTCCTTACTCACCCTTTGGCTCACTGTATAAATTTTTGATACCTGAGCACAAATGGTATTTTGAATATTGAGAGGGTTTATTTTGTGGTAATAGGATTTTCTAATAATGCCATAAAAATATAAATTATTAAATTACTGTAAGTTTGAAATGAATAGGAACAACCTAAACTTATTGTTCTGTCTTCTGAATTGCTAGCATTCTCATCAGGCAAAAAGTTGACAAGGGCACTTGAATTTTATCCATACATATAAGTAGAGTTGTAAATATAGGATACAAAAATGAATCAGAGTCATGCAGGGGTAGAAAAAGGCCTGTGGTCATCAAACCTTTGAAACATCTACTTATTATTAAAAGTACCATAAACAACTAGAAACATTATCTGGAAATCAACTCCAAGATAATGGAAAGACCAAGAACAGAAGCAAACTATGGGTTAAAAAAAAGCTTTGGAAGAAAAGTTCAAAAATTTTTTTCAAGTGAAATGCTGGCAGAATAAATTCAGCACCAGTTATTGGTAATAGAAACTCTTAGCAAAGTATGTAGACAAGAAGAATTCCTTTATATGGCAAAGGTATCTAATAAACGCCTGCAGCAAACTGAATAATAACCTAGTAGCAGTGTTCACTTTGAAGTCAGTAAAAAGATAAGAAGCCTGCTATCATGCTTTATTAAGTACAAATGGAGTATTTAATAAGGTAAAGCAGAAAAAATACTTATGAGTACTTAATAAGGTACTTAATAAGGTAAAGCAGAAAAAAAAAGGAAGGGAAAGAGGAGAAGAGAAGAAAGGAAGGCAGATAGGAAAGGAAGAGGAGTGAAGGGCGAGGTAAAGAGGAATGAAAGAAGGAAAGAAAGAGTATAGACATTGGGAATAAAGAACAGCACCATTTTTTGCAAAAAGTGTAATTTTTCACACAGAAAATTCAGGAGACTCTGAAGACCAAAAATTAGACACAAAAAGAAAGTTCAGATAGTTTGTCAATCATAAAAGTAATACCAAAAAAGTCAATTACATTCCTACAAATAAATCACAAACTATTAGAAAATGTAATTTTTTACGGATATTACATAAATTATTTAAAATAACCTATAGAAATAAATCTAGCAAAAGATGTGCCATAATCTTATTGAGAAAAAAAAACTCTATTGAAGGATTTAAAACTTAAGTATTTATGGATGGTGACACGCAATATCTTGAAGATGTCACGTATAACCAAATTAATCTATAAATTAAATGTAATTGTAGTCAAAATCTAACAGTTTTTCTTGCAACTTGAAAAGCTGCTTCTAAAATTTATATGGAAGCTACCAGCCAATAAAAATCAACAAGACAATTTTGAGGGAAAAAGAAAATCTTAGTAACTCACCATATCATATATAAAGACATTATACAGGGATAGTAATTAAGAAATTAGAGTGTTTGACAAGAATAGTCAATTAGAACAATGAAAAAATAACTCAGAAACAAGTTCTTGCTTACATGGACACAAAATTATGTGATATAACAAAGATAATGTCACAGATCACAGAGAGTAAATGAACTATTTAATAAATAATGCTAGGACAGTTAGTTAATCTGGTAAACATTAATAGTGCTCAACAATGTCCAATTTTCCTCTCTTTCCAGACAGACTGAAGTCCACACTTGCACACCACTTTGCAGTTGGTCTGGCTGTGTGACGGTGAATAACCAATGACCATAAGCACGAGCAGTAGGAATGGCAGGTGAAAGATGCTCCCCCCCTCCTTTGCATTGCTAGCAAAGGAGGCTGTGTATCCTGGAAGGTAAAGCTACAAAACTGCAGTCACTTCTGCCTGAGCCTTTACAAGAGCTGTAGAGCAAAGAACCAGCTATGCTCACCCATCCCCAACAGCCATGAATGTTGGACAATTATAAGAAAGAAACAAATCTTTGTTGTGTTAAGACATTAAGACTTAGGGCTTAATGTGTTACTGAAACATAACTACCTTATCCTGATAATACAATTGTCCTATGAAAAAATAAAATTAGATCCTTACCTTGCAACACAGGTAGGTTTTAACTTAATTTAGATCTAAATATGAAAAAAGAAAACCTTCCAAAAAATTTAGAAGAAAATATACAAGAATATCCTTATGACCTCAGGGCATAGACGATTTCTTAAATAAGACACAACAAAACTCGAACCGTAAGGAAAAATATTAGTAAGTTTCAATACATTAAATTTTAAAAATTCTCTGCAACAAAAGACATTATAATCAAAGTAGAAAATCAAACCACAATTTGAAGAAGATATCTGCAACCCACATAACTGAAAAAAGAGTAGTATCTGGCATATGTTGACTCCTATAAAACCATAATATATCACTCCTTGAATAAAAAATGTAAACAAATATTTCTATTCCAATACATACAATTCTAGATTATGTGTATTGTAATACATATAATATAGTAATAGTCTAACTAATTAAGTAGATGTAAATGGCTGTGATGAGGGAAACCACTTAAAAGATGTGGTTTGTGTCTTGCCCAGTAATTGCCTCTGCTTCTTGGTGCTGCTCAATGCTGGAGTTCTATGGACCAACAGGTCTTTTTCAATCCAGTCTTTAAGAGACCTGTAGAGCAAAGAACCAACTGTGCTCTTACGTATTTGTTCCCCTAATGAGATTACACACTCTCAAGGCAGCAGTTGAAATTTTGTGCTTCCTGGCATGAGGCTTTTTCAAAAATTTAATTTGAATGTCTCTAGATGAAGCTGTGAAATTCCACCATTTGCAATAGGCGCCATCATTCTCTACAGTCTTATCAGCCCAAGTCACATAACTGTTACCTATCTGACCTATATATGCAGTCAAGTTATGACTTCTGCTTATGAGCAGTGATTAGCTTTAACTTTTTAAAACTGATAAATCAGGCCGGGCACAGTGGCTCACATCTGTAATCCCACCACTTTGGGAGGCTAAGGCAGATGGATCGCTTGAGCTTAAGAGTTCGAGACCAGCCTGGGAAACATGACAAAACCCTCTATCTACCAAAAAATACAAAATTTGGCCAGGCATGGTGGTGGACACGTGTGGTCACAGCTACTTGGGTGGCTGAGGTGGGAGGATCACTTGAGCCTGGGAGGCAGAGGTGGCAGTGAGCTGAGATTGTGCCACTGCATTCCAGCCTGGGTTACCTTTCTGGTAATAGGTCAAACTGATTTTTAGCAAGTTACAAAAGCAATTCAATGAAACGACAGTCTTCAACAAATGATGCTGGACATTTTTGATCAAAAAAAAAAAAAAAGAACCTGAACCTAAACCTCACACCTTATACAAAATTAATTTAAAATACATCAAGGAATCAAAAGTCTAACATAAAACTATAAAACATTTTAGAAAAAAAATTATAGGCAAAATCTTCAGCACTTAGGGTTCAGTGAAGAGGTTTTAGAATTGATCCCAAAAGCAAGATTTATGAAAGGAAAACTGATAAATTGAAACTCGCTGAAATTTAAAACTTTTGCTCTGCAAAAGACCCTATTAAGATGAAAAGACAAGTTAGACTACAAGAAATCATTCGCCAAACATATATTTGACAAAAAAACCTCTATCTAGAATATATAAGGAACTCTCAAAACATACCAATTTAAAAAGCCAATCCAATTAGAACAGGCAAAAGGCATGAACAGACATTTCACCAAATGGGCATACAGATGGCAAATAAACACATGAAAGGTATTCAATAATATTATCCATTAGGGAAATACAGATTAAAACCACAACGATATTACTATGCACCAGTAAGCATGGCTAAAATAAAAAATTATGACAATACCAAATGCATATAAAGTTGAGGAGAAACTGAATCAGTCATACATTGCTGGAGAGATATGGAATAGTATAGCAAATTTAAAATATAGTTAGCCAAGTAGTTTTAAAAAAAAAACAAAAACTAAACATGCACCTACCATATGGTCTAGAAATCCTCCTTTTAGGCATTTATCCCAGAAAAATAAAATTCACACTCACACAAAAACATACACAAGAATGTTCATAAAAACTATATTAGTCAGGGCTCTCCAGAGAAACAGAACCAATAATACACACGTGTGCACACACGCACAGAGATTTAAGAAATTGGCTCACATGGTTTTGGGGGTTAGCAAGTCTAAAATCTGCAGGACAGGCCAGTAGGCAGGAGACCCAGGAAAGAGTTATTTTAGTAGTTTTGAGTCCTAAAGTCATCTAGAAGTAGAATTCCTTTTCCTTGAGAGATCTCAGTCTTTTCTCTTGAAATCTTCAACTGATTAAATGAAGCCCACCCACACTGTAGAGGGTAATCTGCTTTACTCAAAATCTACTTATTTATATGTTAATTATACCTTTAAAAAACCTTCGCAGCAACATCTAAACTGGTGTTTAACAAATACCTGGGTACCATAATCTAGCCAAGTTAACATATATAATTAGCCATGATAGCAGGTTTTGTTGATAGCCAAGTAATAAGAGCAACCAAAAAGTCCTTCAGCATGGTAATGATTAAACAAACTGTGATACATCCATGCCATGGAATACTACTCAGCAATAAAAAAAAAAAAAAAAAAAAAAACAAGCTCTTAATGCACACAACAATATAGACGAAACTCAAATGTACTGAGTTTTAAAAGGAGTCAATATCAAGGTACTATATGATTCCATATATAACATTCTTAAGTAAAATTATACAGATAGAGAACAGATTAGTGGTCTCCAGGGGTTATGAATGGGGAGGGGGTGGGTATTGATACGGCTGTGATGACTGGAGGAATACCAGGGTCCTTTGTCTCAAGCCAGTTTAAATAAAACAACACAGACACACGTGGAGTGGTTTTAAGGAGTGGAGACAGTTTAATAGGCAAGAAAGAAAGAAGAAGCTCCCCCATACAAAGACAGAGGGAGGGGGGCTCCAGGCCAAGAGAGGGAACCCTAAGTGCAGTAGAAAACAGAGTTATAGTAGGAGGCTGGAGGAGGCAGTATCTGATTTACATAGGGCCCAGGGGATTGGTTTGACCAGATATGTCATTCACATAGCCCGCAAAAAAACTGGCCTTCCCACCCTAGTCTTTTAATATGCAAATGCAGGGCACCATGATGTTCTACAGAGGTGAGGATTATCTGGGGGCAGCCATGATGCAAGGCACTTGTGATAAGAAGAAGAAGGCGGGAATCGCTATATTGAGTGGACCCAGTTTCTAATGGCTGGCATTTGCTTATCAAAGCTTGCTGGCCTGGCCCTAAGAGTTGCTTTTCTGCTAGACAAGAAACGTTTCTGGAGCTGCTTTAAAAGAAAAAAAAAAACAAAAACAAAAACAAAAACCTTACTAAGGACCCCTTTTCTTCTCTGCCTAACAATAATTTCTTAATAACTCCTATAACAGTATAACTATAAATGGATAGCAGGAAGGAATCTTCTGGTGATGCAACAGTTTGGTATCTTGGTAGTGGTGGTTGTCACGCACGTCCGTGTTGTAGCAGGACAAGCCGCAGACAAAACTCCTCAGACACCGAGTTAAAGAAGGAAGGGGTTTATTCGGCTGGGGACATCGGCAAGACTCCTGTCTCAAGGGCTGAGCTCCCCGAGTGAGCAATTCCTGTCCCTTTTAAAGGGCTCACAACTCCAAGGGGGTGTACGTGAGAGGGTCATGATTGATTGAGCAAGCAGGGGGTACGTGACTGAGGGCTGCATGCACCGGTAATTAGATCGGAACAAAACAGGATAGGGATTTTCACAGTGCATTTCTATACAGTTTCTGCAAACTATAGATAACATAACCGATTAGGTCAGGGGTCGATCTTTAACTACCAGGCCCAGGCTGTGGGGCCGGGCTATCTGCTTGTGGATTTCATTTCTGCCTTTTAGTTTTTACTTTTTCTTTCTTTAGAGGCAGAAATTGGGCATAAGACAATATGAGGGGTGGTCTCTTTAGTGTGAAGAGACCACCAAACAGGCTTTGTGTGAGCAATAAAACTTTTTAATCACCTGGGTGCAGGCCGGCTGAGTCCGAAAAGAGAGTCAGCAGACGGAGATAGGGGTGGGGCAGTTTTATGGAATTTGGGTAGGTAGTGGAAAATTACAGTTAAAGGGGTTGTTCTCTGGTGGGCAGGGCGGGGGCTCACAATGTGCTCCTCCGTGGGGAACTTCTGAGACTCATTGTCCAGGAGAAGGAATTTCACAAGACAGTGTCATCAGTTAAGGCAGGAACCGGGCCATTTTCACTTCTTTTGTGATTCTTCAGTTGCTTCAGGCCATCTGGATGTATAAGTGCAGGTCACAGGGGATATCATGGCTTAGCTTGGGCTCAGAGACCTTGACATTCCTGTCTTCTTATATTAATAGGAAAAGTAAAACAAAATAGTGATGAAGTGTTGGGGCGGCGAAAATTTTTGGGGGTGGTATGGAGAGATAATGGGCGATGTTTCTCAGGGCTGCTTTGAGTGGGATTAGGGGCAGCATGGGAACCTAGAGATTAAGCTGAAGGAAGATTTTGCGGTAAGGGGTGATATTGTGGGGTTGTTAGAAGGAGCATTTGTCGTATAGAATGATTGGTGATGGCCTGGATGCAGTTTTGTATGAATTGAGAAACTAAACGGAAGACACAAGGTCCAAATAAGAGGAGAAAAACAGGTATTTAAGGACTAAGAATTGGGAGGACCTAGGACATCCAATTAGACAGTGCCCAAGGGGGTTCAGCGTGATTATTTGCTTGGTTGTCCCTCTGAACAGCTCTCAAAATATGTGAAAGAAGTAAATTTTGGGATAAAATACTTTTATTTACTTTGCAATCTTTTAGTAATCGTTATAGGGTAGGACCTGCTAAAATGGAAAAGTCTCTCCTTGCTGGGCTAAGAATGGCTCTTTTTAAGTTCTTGCAGTCATGAAATAGTCGCTAGTCTTTCTCTCACTACTCAGAAGGTATGTCTACAAAACCCTTGAGTTGTCTTTTGAGGGCACTGACCCAGTTTTTCATGTATGGAAAGTGAAATTGTTTCAGAGCCAGACAGAGCCTAGAAACAAATTTGCAGGAAACCCCCATTGTCACGACTGACCGGTCCCAAGTACAAAACAAAATCATCTGTGGTCTCTGGTGCTGCAATAATGTTTCATTTAACCCTGCAGCTCCATGTCCAACCAAGGACAAAATAGATATTGGAACGTGGTGAAGTACAAACTGGGATACATTCACAGCCTCGTAATCATGCTGTGCAAGGAGAGGCCAACATTCCCTGGTTCCCTTGCAAGCTTGTGTCCTCTCATCTGTGGCGACCTTGCTGAGGCTGCTTCCCTCACTGGCTTACGTGGCCTTAGTGGGATTCAACTGACCCAGGGTACTCTCCTTCTTTTACTCATAATGTCCTATCCATCTAGGGGGGAGGGCAGGGGATTTCATCTGGCTGGCTTGGTGTTTGGCTTATTTTGAGAAGATAGCTGCCGAAGAGTGAAATTAGTGCTGGGCAATTTAGAGATGCAAACACCAGTGTGCAGAGAGAGAAGGACATGCCTGGAAGACAAAGATTTCTGTTCAGATATATTTCTTACATACAATGTAAACTGCAGTAAGGACTACTACTATTGTACAGTGCTAAGTGGGAAGGGATATAGTCTTTCTACTTGTAAAACTTAGCCACCAAGAGGGCCAAGCACTCAACGTAGAGGCGAAACCACCTTTGCAAAAATTATGACAGTAAGAAAAATATGACATAGGAAAATTATGACAGTGAAAGAAATCTCACATAACTGACTCCATCTTGCTTCTAACCCCCAAGCTACCCTTATTTATTCCTAGGCATAGGCCCAACTAACTATGGGAGGAATTTAGTTTATAGTTTAACTTTGAAACAAACATGATAGCCCTTCTCCAAACCCCCTCCTTGCTTGGGGACAAGACTGCCTTTGTAAAATGAAAAAGTTAGAAATTATGGCTCAAGAGTCATGCAACTAGAAGCCACAAGATTCCTAACCTCCCCAATTGTTCCTATAGATAACATAACCATTGTCAAACCAATGAGTGGTGTTTTGAGGTATTTTTCAGATGCTGTCTTCTGATGGACCAGCTGGCACCACCCAGATTGGCAAACTGGCTTACTGGGTCTTGTGGCTCCTGACCAGGAACCGATTCAGTCCAGGAGGACAAGCTCTGACTATGATTTCATCCCTAAGTAATCAGCTCTTCCCATTTCCTAGCCCCCTGCCTACCAAACTATCCTTGAAAAACCCTAGCCTCTGAATTTTCAGGGCGGTTGATTTAAGTAATAATAAACTCCTGTCCTTCCATTTATCTGGCTCAGTGTTTATTAAACTCCTCCTCGATCGCGAAAACCTGCTTCTCAGTATATTGGCTTTTCAGGGCAGCAGGCAAGATGAACCCATCAGGCGATTACAGAGGGATGGTGATAAAAGGAGCCTCCTAAAATTAATTATGAGTAAGCATCAAAATTAAATTATAAGATTAATTTTAAATGTTGATAAATTTTTCAAAGTCCTAGGTGAGTATTCTGAAAATGTAAGACATGTAAATAAGTGTTTACATATATATGTCTATATGATTCCCCAATTAGATTGTAAGTTCCTTAAAAGTAGGAACTCTATAATGTCTAGCCTAGCTTGCCGCACAGACTAGCATTCAAAAAATTAGAGAAGAAAACTAATATTTGCTCTGTACCTAGTCTTTTCTTTTGCATATTCAAACTCGTCAGTTTAATCCTCACAACAATGCCCTTAGCAAAAACTATTATTGGCATTTTGCAGATATGGGAAGATGCTAAGAGAGTTTGAGTGACATGCTCAAGGGCTTACAGAGAGTAAGGGGAGGACTGACACCCATATCCAGGTCTATGTGTCTGACCCAGAGGCCCCTGTTGTGTCAACAGCACTATTTGGTTTCCCAAATATGTATTATTTCATTTTGAATGTGTGCGAAGTGTGTATGTATACACGTATATTTTAAGTGTTAAGGTAACCAAAAGTAAATCCTTACTAAGCAGCACACACTGATGATGTACAGCAGGTTCATGTTTTATAGTTCTAATGACACAAAAAGATTCTTGAGTGCTTTCCAAATCAAGCACTATTAAAAATTAACATGAATATTAATTTTAATATGAATCACTAAAACATTAATATAGACTAATTTTAATATAGAATAATATATTTTCATAACATATATAAATATATTAATATAGAATAATATATTAATATATTCATAACATATATAAATATATTAATATAGAATAATATATTAATAACATATATAAATATATTAATATAGAATAATATATTATTAATGTAGAATGATATACTTAGTCTATATTAATAAATATTCTGTATTAATATGTTCCATATTGTTTTAGTGATTATTGAAATGGGGCAATCCATGTATAGTGACTCTTTATGGAGAAGACAACTTGTCTATGATGGTTACAATGATAATATTAGTAAGTAGAGAAAAGAGAGGAAGAAATTGAGAGGATAAAAGAAAGGAAGGTTGATTCTTTGTTAGCTTCAAAGAGGAACTTAGTCTAGGTTGCAGAGAACTGGGAAAGTAGTACCAGTCTGAATTAGTACAGCAGTTTCCAATTGTTAAAATATTTTTGTGACATCTCAGTCTCACAGGTAGCATTAGGGATTTTGTGTTGGAGGACAATACAGGTTCCTTGCAACAGCTACAGAAGTTACAAGTTCTAACCCCAGGCAAAATTTTTATTTCCACCCACCACGCAATTCCAGAAGACATGTTTTTAAATGAAAGGAAAATATAAAACAAAACAAAAATGTCTGATACAGCTTCTCAAATAGAGAACAGCATTAGAGCCTACAGTTAAGAGCTAAAGGGGAAAAATCACCCACATAGGTTCTTAGTTGGAATGAACTCCTGTTACAAAAGACAGATTAATTAAAAATGAACTCCTGTTACAAAAGACAGATTAAAAAAAGTTTATTAATATGGATATTTCATTCATATATATATATATATATATATATGTATATGAAATACCCAGAGAATGAGTAGTTTTCCAAGAGGTGGCTCTGAATTCCCACTTATATAGCATCTTCAACAAAGAACAGTGAATTTTTAGAGAAGTAACAAGGCAAAGGCAAAGAACTTTGAGCCTCTAGGGACAGCAACTTGAGGAAAGGTAAATTAGTCCCAAATAAAGGCTAATTAGTAGAGCCTGTTAATATAAATTCCTCTGGAATGTTCTCCGGTCCAATGAGGGTTTGAAGTCTTCAGTGTTTAACCTTTGTTCTCCCCAGTGAAAGAGGGTGCAAGATACCTTTGTAAATCCATGTTATATTTTTAGGCAAATAGAGAGAAGGCAGAGAACTTCCCTGAATCTGCTTCTTCCTAATTGTCTTCTGCTCAACAATCCTTCATATTTAAGGGCAGTATATCCTGGTCTCCCACAAAAGAGAAACCTAATGTAAAATATAGCGTAAACTGCATTAGTTGCTGAAAATGTGAAACTTTACCTGAGCCCTGGGCTCCTGGAAAAACAGCCATGGTCAAGAAATCCAACCACTACCACCACCACGAAGGAAGCCAAAACATTTCACCCCAAAATAGGTTTCCTTGACAAGGAGATTTTCTCTGCATTGACGCAGCCAGATCTTCTTCGAGGGCTTTCTTTTATCTGATCATGGAAAGATCAACTAAGAGTCTGACACCTTTAAAGGTCTAAAAGAAACATATTACTATATATTCTCTCTGAGAGCTGCTCAGAGAGGTTTCATCTACATAACAAGACCATGTTTGCTAGTCAGCCCTCCTCTTTTTCCCCTCCCATGACTACTTGTTTTGTCATTATAACCTGTTTTGCCACAATCCAAGCCCCAATTTTTCTTGTAACCCTCAAGATGGTAGGTATGTGTATGTGTGTGTGTGTGTGTGTGTGTGTGTGTATATATATATATATGTGTGTGTGTGTGTATATATATATATGTGTGTGTATATATATGTGTGTATATATATGTATGTGTGTGTGTGTGTGTGTGTGTATATATATATGCTTCTGAACCCCATTGAGGGGTTGGGGTAATCACTCCGTGGTTCTCTCCCGTGTGTGTTAATAAATGTGTATGACTTTTCTCCTATGAATCTGCCTTTTGTGAGTTGATTTTTTGAATCTTCAAAGGGTAAAGGTGAAGTTTTCCCTTGACCACTACAACCACCACCCTTTTGTATTTCAGAAAACAGCTTACTATAAAGAACCATCCTACATATAACTTAAAGAGGCCCATAGATGATGTGAAAATAAGTAATTCAAAAATCTAAGTTCTTGGAACTCTAAATTATTTTGAGCCAAAAATAAAGATGATTGTGGGGCCTGAGTCATGTGACAGGCAGCCATAACTTAGGAAGTTGTGACCTTCATTTCTCTGTTAAATTAAGCCTTCTTTGTTTTGGAAAATGATGTAACGAGCTAAAGGGTACCAGGAAAGACTCCATCCCCCTTCACTGTTGATCTTCATTGTAGATTAATTTCCCCCCTTCTTTTCTTTTTTTTTAATTGCTTTTAATTTTATTTATTTTTGCTCTGCAATAAAAATGCTTTTAACAAACACCATATGTTGCACCTTTCCATATATGGCACAGGATACAAATTTGATTAAGATATAATTCTGCCCAGTAGAAGGTGGGAGAAGGGAAAGGAAGAAGAAATAGAAAATATAAGTTGAATCTGATCCTTAATATGATTTTTACTCCATGTATACTTTTACTCAAATGATAGCTTGTGCACATGCAAGGATGGACTATGCTATTTCAAGGTACTTTCTATGGGGGAAGGAAAGCAGGAGAAGGAAAAGAAGATGAGGAGAAGGCCATGTATCTCCACTTCCTGAAGGAAAAAGCACATTGGTCCCCAAAATGTCAAATGAGTAGAAGGAATATTATACAGGGGAGCAGAAGTATGTTTTGCATGGAGGCCTCATTTTAGCAATCTTTTTGACCTTCTGCTTCCAAATCTTATTTGCCAATTTAATGCCTTTATATAAAGTTCTTATGATGAATGAAAAACTTTCTCTTTTTTTGGCTATTTTTTTTTTATTTTACTTTAAGTTCCGGGATACATGTGCAGAACATGCAGGGTTGTTAGATAGATATACACGTGCCATGGTGGTTTGCTGCACCTATTCTCTCTTACTTTTCTTATACAAAGACTTCACGGCTATCACATTGTCTTAAGATAGAATGTTAAATATAGTCTTTTAAATTGGTTAAAAAACATGAAAACAAGCCATAAGGAAAATAAAACAAACTAATTAAATTGTAAAGACTCATAAACCAACCATGTATAGAAAATGTTGCAATCTTGTTAAATTTCTTCATTTTCTGCCTATATAAGAAGAAATTAACTTTTAACTTTGGAACACTGACCACATTTCTCTGGAGTCTTTGTCTCTCAAGTGGCTATTCCCAGCTTTTTGCTTGAATAAACTCTTTAAAATTGGATTCTGATCCCTTTGATTATTTCATATTGACAATGACTAACTTGTCTACCTATAACAAAGCCAAACACAGACCTTCTAAATTGTCTTTTTTTTTCTTATAAATGATTAGTTGAACTGCTTAACCCCACAGACCAATCTGGACAAAATATCCAGTAACTTGACTTGACCAAACCTTAGAGACTTCACTCCTTCCCCTATGCCCCTGAACTTTGGCCCACCCTTGAGCTTACTCAAGCATTGCAAGCTAAGGGGACACTGGAACAAGTATCAAAATCTCCTAAACAGCCCCTCTTGAGAACCAGCTAACCATAAAAAAGGACATTTTCTGCTCAACTCTCCACTGCTGATCCCACTTCCAACACCTGGTTCTTTCTAGCCTTGTTTACTCTTCCCTATAAAAGAAAAGCTCTTTCTGCCTGATTGTTGAGACAATTGTAGATAATACAGTCAATGCATTCTCCCATTGCAATAGTTCCTTTCCCCCATTGCAGTAGTCCACCATCCTCAATTGTAATAGTCTCTCCTTACTAAGTCTCAATTTGTTTTTTATTTTATTTATTTATTTATTTATTTTATTTTTGAGACAGAGTCTCACTCTATCTCCCAGGCTGCAGTACAGTGGCTCAATCTCACCTGACTGCAACCTCCACCTGCCAGGCTCAACCAGTTCTACTGCCTCAACCTCCTGAGTAGCTGGGACCACAGGCTCAGGCCACCATATCTGGCTGATTTTTGGGGGTTTTTTTGCTTGTTTGTTTGTTTTAGTAGAGACAGGGTTTCACCATGTTGGCCAGGCTGGTCTCAAACTCCTGGCCTCGTGATCTGCCAACCTTGGCCCCCCAGAGTGCTGGGATTACAGGCATGAGTCCATTTATTTTATGACACTGTGTAAATAGTTTCTAATAGTTTTTAGAAGTATATTTTTCCTGTGTCATATTTGCTTTTATTTATGATTTCCCTTTAATGGATTTTAAGTGTTCATCTGAATCAGAAGCCACATAGGCAGAGGGATCAAACTCTTAAAGGGTATTAACAAGATTCCCACATACCTCTAATGTTGAAATGGAAACAAATAGGTAGGAGGCCCACTTCTATTTGCAAACACCTCCAGATAACTAATTCTATTCTAATAGCTTGCTGGCTGCAGAATCACCATTTCTAAGGCCTTTCAATTCATTTCCAGCTAATGCCTGCGGTGCTAGTGCATAATGAAAAAGAAAACTAAACTAAAATATTTTATCAGATCACAGCAAGCTAAAAGTCAAGCCAACTCCAAGCTTCACAGAGTATCTTGTCATCTTATCCCTGAACTGGCCCAAATAAATGGTTTGCAAGTGTTTACAAACTATCAACATTGCACTCTTGCAAATATTTATGTGATCCTCTGAGTTTCAATAACATGATTTTCAAAAACAAATGTGGCAATACAATATGCAGACTGGCAAAAGTTTTTTTGACTTATGAACTTAGTAATAGGTAAAATCATATATGAGTTAAAATGTAAATCACATTTAGTTATGCAAATTTAATGAACTGCTCACTAAAATCATAGCTGACATTAAACCTCCAGGATATATGATGTATTAGTATATTTTCACACTGCTATAAAGAAATGCCCAAGACTGGGTAATTTATAAAGAAAAGAGATCTAATTGACTCACAGTTCAGCATGGCTGGGGAGGTCTCAGGAAACTTACAATCATGGTGGAAGGTGAAGGGGAAGCAAGGCACATCTTACATGGTGGCAGGCGAGAAAGAGCCTGTGAAGGAGGAACTGTCAAACACTTATAAAACCATCAGATATCATGAGAACTCACTATCATGAGAACACCATGGGGGAAACCACCCCCATGATTCAATTACCTCCACCTGGTCTCTCTCTTGACATGTGTAGATTATGGGGATGACAATTCAAGATGAGATTTGGGTGGGGACACAAAGACTAACCTTATCACATGGTGCCCATAGTCATAGGGTACATTTACTGGATTCCTTTTCTAAAGTTTCTGGTGTACGCTGTCATTGTTATCAGCATCAGTAGTGTGCTGAGAAATGTTTAACCACTGTCTGGGGATTGTAGGGGGGGCAGGTAGGTCCTGATGTGTGGCACTTGCCAGTCTCTATGCTGTAAATACTCCCACCATGGATGACTTCAAACTATCAGTATGACTGCACTGGGAGTTGAAGAAGAGATCCTCAGTAACACACCATCATATATAGCATTTCTGCCGTACATGTGGGGGTCTGTCCTGCAGACCCCAGCTGCACAGCAGATGAGACACGTACTCAGACACCGATATTCAGTGAAAGAGCAGGCCAGGGGGCTGCCGGCACCAGGAGCCAAAGAGAGTTTGCTGCCCGTCTAAGCTGGTAATGCTTACATTTATTTAGTACAGATTTAATTGACAGAGGCTTTGAGTCAACACACCTGTGGGTAATTAACCTGGTCACCTCCCCCCGACCACGGAGAGGGCCATTCTGCCCTCGAATGATCAAAGGTTGATTTAGGACCACATGAGTAAACAAGCTATTTAGATAAACTCCTCTACATTCCTATGTATCTGTGCCCTAAGCTTTTAAGAGAATTCAGCTGCCTTCAGCCAAATAGTTTATGCAAACCCTCAGGCCTTCCAAGAGGGTTTGTGTTTATTTCCTATAATTTTACAATTTCTCCCACCATCCTGACTGAACCCCCACACATACAGATACAACAGATGTAAAATAACCTCAGCACAGATAATAAAATTTAGTATCTTATTAAAATTTAGTAAGACCATAAGGAAGTAATGAATTTTGACTATATATTACCTTTGTTTTAATATGACTTTCACATTTATAGCAGCTTTATTCATAATCACCAAAAAATGGAAACAACCTGAATATCCTTCATTGGGCGAACAAACTGTGGGACATCCATAAAATGGAATACCACCAAAAAGCAGCAATATGGATTAGTCTCAAAGACGTTGTACTCAGTGAAAGAAGCCAGTCTCCAGAGGTCATGTTATGCATTATGACATTTATGTGACACCTTGGAAAAGGCAAATCCATAGGGAAGGAGAACAAATCAGTGTTTGCCAGAGGCTGGGGTAGGGTGAGGGCTTGCCTACAAAGAGGAAGCATGAGGGAATATTTCAGGGTGATGGAACTGCCCTGGATTCTGACTGTGGTTATGGTTACATAAAACTATACATGTGTCAAAACTCATATAACTGTACTTCCAAAAAAGTTAATTTTATGGTATTTTTAAATGAAACAAAGAAATGATAGACAATGGAGACTCAGAGTGATGAGAGGGGTAGGAAGCGGGTGGATGATGAGAGGATGCTTGGTGGATACAATGTGTGTTACTCCAGTGATGGATGCACAGAAGGCCCTGACTTCACCACAATGCAATATATCAGTGTTGCAAAATTGCACTTGTACCCCATGAATACATACAAATAAAACAATGTTAACTTAAATTTTAAAAAGTATTTTTAAATTTAAAAAAATTAAGTGACAGATATAAACTTGCATATATTTATATTATATATAATTTTATTTATACATAACATTTAATATACATGTTATATATAATATATATTACATACATAACTTTCTCTTAAAAAGTGCTTTAAATTTTCTATTTAGGTTTCTGCCAGAAAAGCTGCTTTGAGGAACTCTGCCACATCTGTGTTCTCTTAGCCTGATTTTCCATCTCTAAAAGAAGAGGATCAGTCTAGAGCAGTGACTTTTTTTTCATTCATTTTTCCTCCCAAATGGTGTCTCTGGCCACTCCCTTTGTGGAAGTGGGTGTGTTTGGAGAGAAAGTGCATTCAGCCTCCCCTGGGCTCTGGAGCCACAGCTTCACATCAATCAGAGCATTTGTACTTTTGTTTTGTCTCATATATTGTCTGCAGACCTCCAGATTCCAATAGCTGATCCCAAACTGCATCCCTAGGCATTCCAGGAGTTTGAACCCTCCCAATTCCAGGGCCTACTGCTGAGGCCAACTCATTTGTCCCTTGGGCAAGTGCTCCTGTGGCTTGCAGTGGTTAGCCAGACCAGGGAACTGGCTCTGATGGTGAGTGATTCTAAAGAAAACACTTTGAGATCCAGCTGGCAGGAGCTCCTTGCTTTACAACCTTTGGATTAAACACAATGAGAACTCTGAAAAGGCTGCAAAATCTAGTCCTCCCTGATGGAGGGTCTGAAAGGATCTTAAACCATTTTTTCCCCCTCCCACAGGATGATATTTGGAAGCACACTTTATAAAAATAAAGGGATATGCACAGATGGGGAAAATGCTGTGGATGGGGATGAGTGTGCTTCCCCAGGACCGGCAGAGCCCAAGATTATCATTAATAACAAGAACTGCTCTTTAAGCATGTGCCATGTTCCAGGTCCACTGCTAGCGATCAGTTCATCCTCACAACAACGCTGTGAGAGAAGGGCTGTCATTACTTTGACAGGTGAGGTCATCGGGCCTCCAGGAGGCCCCATATCAAATGCAATGCAAGTGACTGAGGTGACAGAGCTGGGTCCCAGCCCACAGCTGCAACCTTCCAAGCCAAGGCCTGCAAAATAAAACCCCAAGGACTGAAAACAGGCCTGCCCTTCTCTCAGTACATGCCTCAGACAAGGAGACTTAAGCCATTTTTCCTCAAAGGCTGGTGGAAGGTAGCTGCAAACACCTTGAGACCTTGTCACCTGACAAAACATTATTTTTAAATGTTATACAGTTGATTTGATACGGTTTGGATCTGTGTCCCCACCCAATCTCAAGTTGAATTGTAATCCCTGGTGTTGGAGGTGGAGCCTGGTGGGAGGGTGACTGGACCACTGGGGAGGAGTTCTTATGAATGGGTTAGCAACATCTCCTCAGTGCTGTTCCCCTGATAGTGAGTTATTGTGAGATCTGCTTGTTTAAAAGTGTGTAGCACCTCCCTCTCTCTTTCTTCTTCCTGCTCCTGCCATGTAAGATGCCTGCTCCCACTTTGCCTTCGGCCATGACTAAAAATTGTTTGAGGCCTCCCCAGAAGCAGAAGTCGCTATGCTTCCTGTATAGCCTGCAGAAGTATGAGCCAATTAAACCTCTTTTCTTTATAAATTACCCAGTGTCAGATGTTTCTTTATAGCAATGTGGGAACAGATTAGTATAGGAATACTTTCTTCAAAAGCTTTCTTATGCTTAAGCCCTTCTAGGAAACCAAAGTTGGGCTGCTCTGGTTAGAGATGAGAGCAAGGGTGACCTGAGGTCGTCTGAGACTCCCTGGGCTCCCAGAGAACCATTTGAAGGCCACGTATTTTGTAGGTTGGCTCTCATTGTGAGAGATACCAGAGGGCCACGGTGCCTACGGCTCTGTGGTTTTGGGTTCCAATGAATGAGCTAGGATTCTGGCTGACTTGCTCCTGGGTAGACAGGCTGGGCAGGAATGGGTAGACAGGCTGGGCAGGGCTGTAATATTCCAGGCCTAACACATGGCTTGGGTGCTGCTGGCCGGTCCCCCTGAGTGGGCACCACCTGCTTCACCTCCCTGACCAGGCACTAGTGGTCATGACTTGGCACTCTCAGGGTAGGAAACTAATATTCATCTTCTATTTAGTGAGTTTTACTCTTCAAAGATATGTGGACTATAAGGTCAAAACCTCCAGTAACTCTCCCTTTTTTCCTTCCTATTATAGGAGACATCATGTGAGTTTCTGAATAAACAAAAGTATTATACAAGCTCAAGTTCAGATCTTGGTGGAAGAACAACAGCCGACCAGCACCTGGGACCCCGCAGGCAGGGCTGGCCAGGATGCCCCTCGGTTGGGTTACCCATTAAACCGACCTCCTTCTCATGGACCTCAGGGATCACACCACCCCTCAGGGAGCTGACTATGTGCGCAATATTCTTGCCAAACCACTGGAACTCCTGGTAGATGCAGGGCTCCCCAAAGCCATTGTCAGGCTGATGGGTGTCCGGCAGGGGCGCAGCTGCTACTTCCCTGGGAGAGGGCAGAGAGGGGCAGCCCTGCCTCGCGACCATGAATGTGATCCGCGATGTGGCCCAGCAAGTTGCGCAAGTGCGAGACGCGCGCGGCGGCCACAGGCACCTGAGCATCCTGAACGCCACTGGAAGATGGCGTCCAACGCCCCCACTGAGACATTGACGACAGTGGTGATACGATTACCGGACAGCATGAGCGTGTTTCTGGGCCACCCCTTGAATATACAGGTTGTTGGTGATCTGTGAGAGGTCAGTGGCCAAGGCACTGGACAGGAGGGCCCCGGGAGTGTGGTCACCCAGGCGGAGGTTCGGCGGCCAGCGAGGAGCGAGGTGCGCATCTTTCTACGGGGGCTCAGCCCACCGAAGCTCTCATCCGTCAATGGGCGGGTTCGTTCAGCAAGCAGCCACTGCGAAGTCTTCGGAAGGGGTTTGCGGGAGAGAAGACGGGTCATGATCTTGGAGCCATAAGTCCTGCCCGCCCTGGGCTCTGGTTTCCGTGGCAGGCAGGAATCAGCAGTGCCTGGTCTTCGGAAAAACCCAACCTGGCTTCTTGGCTTCCCTGCCTGGGCTCACCCAGTTACACACCCACAACTGCCACTGGCCCCACTGCAGCCCTCTTTGAAAAGTCTGCATTTAATTTTGTTGAGCATTTAAAAGAAAACTTGGTAATCTCCTCCTATTTCTTACGGAGTTTAAAATGCAGTTCACTATCTCCTCTAAGCACAAATAGAAGAAAATCCATTTCGTCTGCCATATTAGATATTAAATTCAGAACAAAACTACTGGAAATGGGAGCTTTTAGCATTGGAGGGCATCTTAATGGAAATGCCCTGTCTGGAAAACTGTAAGATGGGGTACACCCCAGTTGCCTGGAATCCTTTAAGTAATGACTATCTAAACAGCTCTAGGAGATTTAAGCCCCAAAGGCCAAATGAAGAACTCCCCAAAAAACAGTCTGGAAGTCAGAGGAGATAATGTCCTCAACTACTTGGATGGCTTTACCGATTTTTCAAGAGACATCTATGTCTCCATAAAAGCCAATGCAGTGACTAATCGCTCTCAAGTGTCTAGAGAGTTCCTCACTCACTACTGATGTTACTGCTATTATTTAGGATTTGTGATTCACCAAACCACAGCCTAGAGACTTCAGAGGGAGCATGACTCTGCCAATATCTTGATTCTGAACTTATAGTCTTCATAACTGTGAGAGATTAAATGTCTGTGTTTTAAGCCATATGGTTCATAGTGCTTTGTTATTGCAGGCCTAGGAAAGTAATTCACCTCTCTCCTGTTTCACTCATGAAAGTATACCTTGCATTAAGTATACTTAATGCAAGCAAATAAGAGAGACGATATTATAGGAACAACTTTGAATTCACTCTTAAAATACAAAACCATTTCCCAAACTTATATTAAATGTAATCTGTAACAAATTGCTTCCAAAACACTTCCCAACCAATCACAATATACTCAAGCAACCCACTATCAGGGCTAGGAACTGTTCATCTCACCCAACACTTTCATTTTCCTGGAGAAATGGAGACCCAAAAAGGCCAAACAGCTCACCAAAGGTGACATAGCAACTTGACTGTGCGTTTCTCCTCGTAGCTAGCTCACTTTGTTCTAGCCAAGTTTTTAGCACAGATAGAAAAAAGAAAATGGGAGGCACGTAGAGGATGTCTCATCATTGCTTATATCAGTCTTCAGACTTCGCCTTCTGGCTCCAGTTTAAATCACTTTATGCAGGATGGCTGAAGCCTGTGACTTCCATAAGCAATTCTGTTTGTAACTCTGAATTTGAAGGCTGATACTGGGACCCATTTAGCCCGCCGGACAAACTGAATGACTGTTCAGTGTATAGAGATTAGGATGTAATACAATATCCATGTCAGAGCATAGATCATGGGCAGAAGAGGAAGAGAATCAGTGCTTTGATATTGCCATTAAGTGGCTCAGATTGATTGGTATTTAACCCTCCTTGGATAGAAAGACCAATGGTGAATCCATCAAGAGGCCTGAATTATCATTTTCAAGTGAGTGGTTTCTTCTCTCTGTGTCTCAAACAAGGGTCCTAAACAGTCCTCAAAAGTAGCCAAGATCAAATGTCAAAATTGGCACATAAGGAATTTATAAGTGCAATTAACTAATATCTTTAGTCTGTAAAGATGTGCTCCCAGTTAAGACTCACTTCCAAAAAGATGACTTTGTTGACCTTGACTTCTCAGCATAATAGTCCTATTTGCTTCCTACCTGTCTCAGAGTTAATTTACTTTTCGTTCATGTTCCTGAAAATAATAAATCTCCTTTTTTGTTTGTTTGTTTGTTTTGGAGATGGAGTTTTGCTCTTGTTGCCCAGGCTGAAGTGCAATTGCACGATCTCGACTCACTGTAACTTCTGCCTCCTGGGTTCAAGCGATTCTCCTGCCTCAGCCTCCCCCGAAGTAGCAGGGATTAGAGGTGCCCGCCACCACGCCCAGCTAATTTTTTGTATTTTTAGTAGAGATGGGGTTTCACTATGTTGGCCAGGCTGGTCTTGAACTCCTGACCTCAGGTGATCAACCCTCCTTGGCCCCCCAAAGTGCTGGGATTACAGGTGTAAGCCACCACACCCAGCCAAATCTCCTACTTTTTAGACATAACCAACAGAGTTGGAAGAAACTAACTCCTCTGCCAGTTAAAAAGTTCCCATTCACCCTTCTTACAAAGGAATTGGAAATTCACATAAGTCAGCTAAACTTTCAAATGACACTTCAAAGGGGGGCCCAAATACTTACCAAGGAATCTAATACTGAAGTTTGGATCTAAAACCTTGAGTTACAGCAGAATAACCTCCCTGAGACATTAGAAGAAGAAATAGGGAGCACTGCTGGGAGATGCCCAACTGTAGCCTAAAGGGCTGCAGTGGTATCTATAGGGGAGAAAGTAAACTGGGAATAGAACAGGAAGAAAGCAAAGAGGATCCTAGGCAATTGCTTTTAATGAAGCAAAATGTCAGAGGGCTGAACATTTTGATATGTTGAGGTATTTTTCTTAATGCAAATAGCTGACTCATATGTAAATTAAATCAGAAGGGTGATTTGAGGTCTGTCAAAAAATCCCTCAAAACCACTTACCTCCTTATAAGTATTCCTATTATTTCTTTTAGGCTGTAAATGTGCCTGCCCTTCCCACAACTCTGTAAGAAACAGTCTCAAATGTTCATGTTATCTGCAGTATTACTATGATTGACTGGATAAATAGTGGACACTCGATCCAAGACCAGGCAATCTATTGTCTAGCCAGCACCCAATTAAAATACTTCCTGAAGAATTTAAATAAAGAGAAATCCCAGCTGTACTCAGTGGGTAGAACGTAATCTAACTAAAGGGCCAAGTGGATGGATGGACTCTGATTGAGCTTGCCATTTTGATGCAGACAAATGTATAAATAGACTGATGTGCAGAAAAAGAATGGAGCAACATAGAGAAAGAGGCAGACACATTAAGATCCTGTGGTCCGAGAAAGTGAGAAAGCCACAGGGAGAGTAGCTGTCTTAGGTAACTGATGGCACAGCAATCCGCAGTCACAATTTGGTTGATATACCTCTAAGTACTTTGTCTCCATGTGGTTTCTGTAACCTTTTGTCAAACATCCTTTTGTCAAGTTTTGGCTAGGACAGCACTCTTAGTTATTCCCTTATGTTATTCCTCCTATTTTCAGAAGACCCCTATGTGGGCAGAATTGTCTTCTAGAGAAAAATACAACTCTGGAAAAAGAATGCTAAGAACAAACAATCAAATTCTACTCTAAAATAAAATGCATGTGCATATTCACATCTGTCATTTGCATATAAAACAGTATAAAATATTAGATTCATTGGCATTAAATCAGACAAGCTTAACTGTTGGCTTTGAGAACCCTACAGTTAGCTTCACCATAAATAACAACGGCTCATAATAATCTAAACCCCACTGACATATATAATCTTTACATAAAGATATGTATATCTTCATATATGTATATCTAACTATATATAAATCTAACTATATATAAATCTGAGATATAAAGGTATATATAATATATAAATATTATATATGTATATCTCTTTACTTATCTTCTTTTTCCCTCAAAATAATGAAGAATATTCTGAATTTTACCTAAGGGAATAGCAGTGATATCTATGTTTATACAAGATAAATTCTATATGAGAAAAGTTGAACAGGCAAAATAAAGACAATTTCATCATTTTTACAAAATACAAAGAAAAGTAAATCATTTTCTCCCTGAACCTTCAGTGGAAGGCAAGATTCAAAAAGAAAAAATACAGTGTGAAGAGAACATTTTTAAATGATTTTTGGCTACAACTTACATTTAAAAAAAAAAAGAAAGAAAAAAACATAACCAGAGACCTAGATTATCAGGCTGGTATCTTTACATTTTACACGAAGACCCAAAGATAATCACTCTAATAAAATCATATGTAAATAACATATTCAAAACTATACTCAAAATACCATCATACCAACAAAATAAACAGTAAGAATTTATTTTTTTTCATCCAAAGAGTAAAAATCTATAGAATGAAATAAACATTAAAAAGCTGGCAATAGCATTCTACACAGACCATAGCAGTCTGACAGGCTGTCATTGTTTATGCAGCGCAAACCCTGCTATCAAGATAGTTTAATGCAAAGCAGTCCTTTCCAGAGAACCTGGAAAACTGTAATGACAATTCAAACCAGCTTTTTAAAAAAACAATAAAAAGAAAGTGTTAAGGATTTTCAGTGTATTCTCACCTTTAAAGACATTTCTCTTGTTTCAACAGAAGAGATGCCTTTGTGGTTGATTTCACAGCTTACTTTAGTAAGTTTCTTTCGTAGATGAACAGAGCTTTGAATTACTGTAATAAAGACTGTAATAACAGCACGTCCAGAAATAATTAAGTCTTGCCAACAGATCTTTCTGTAAAAGAGGGTGTTTATGTTAATTCTGGTTACAAGAATTCTGAGTGCAGAAAGGATTCATTCATTCATTATGGGTATGTATACATAAATAGTCCTGAATGGCATATTTAACTCTGAAACAGAAAATGACAAAAAGATTTGTGAGGAATGAGAAGCCCAAATGCTGATGTGGAAACTGTATCTCTAGTATTTCATGGGTAAGCTTATGTAGTATGATGATTAATATCTTAAGGCAGAAAAGAGTCTGGATACCAGCTGTGTAATTTTGGGCATGGGAGTTAGTGTATCCAGTGTCCTCATCTATAAAATCAACATAAGAGGACCTACCTCAGGGAGTTATTTGGAAATCAGGTAAACTAGCCACACGCGGTGGCTCATGCCTATAATCCTAGCACTTTGGGAGGCTGAGGCGGGGAGATCACTGAGGTCAGGAGTTCGAGACCAGCCTGGCCAACATGGTGAAAACCCATCTCTATTAAAAATACAAAAATTAGCCAGGCATGGTGGCACGTGCCTGTAATCCCAGCTACTCGGGAGGCTGAGGCATGAGAATCGCTTGAACCTAGGAGGCGGAGGTTGCCAGTGAGCCCGAGATCGTGCCACTGAACTCCAGCCTGGGTGACAGAGCAAGACTCTATCTCAAAAAAAAAAAAAAAAAAAAAAGGAAAAGAAAAGAAAAAGAAAAAGAAATTAGATAAACTAAAGTGCATAAATCATTTATCACAGAGACTTATAATAAGTACTGGATAAATCATTGTGTGGTGCTGATGATGACAATGGTATTGACAACATCACTTTCACATGCCTTGGCATTGTGAATCCAGTAAGGATTTATATGGTTGTGTCTTTGCTCAAGTTCAGTCCCCACATTAATTTTACCATGTTTTCATTATTATCCCCCTGTGTTCCACAAGTTCTTTCCCATGATATTTAGTATGGGGCAGCCATTGTTTCTTTGTATATAGTACTTAATCTTTAAACTACAAATTCTTTGTACATAATTCTTAGTTTTTAAACCTACAAACACATGAAGTTCTCTTTAAATAGAGTGCCTAAAATAGTTTTCTTCCCCTATCATACTCTGTAAATGTGACCTGCTCTCTTTACTTGCTAGTATAGGAATGACCTGTATTTGTCAGCAGTTCTTTAAACCTAACACCACTTTTTGTGTTCTTTGGCATGTCAGGACTTTAGTGGACAGTCACATTTCAATTAGAGTCCAACTGAATACAAATTCTCTAATTGTGCAAAACCATGATACTTCCTATGTAACACCATTGAACACTACTCCTGACCATTAAATTATGTCATGGTTACTACTGCTCATCCTACACTAGCAAGCATTAGGTTCAAATGGTGGACAAGAAGAGCTTGTTAAGCTAAATTAAATTAGATTATAAAGATAGCACGGAAGAGTAATGTTTCAGAATGCCTTTGTACAGTCTGTTCCAGCATACTGAGACCATGTCTGGTGCTGCATGATGAAGCTTCCTTCATCTGGAAGCACCTAGACATGAAAAACATTTCGCAGGAAAGCATGATGTTACATGATTTAGTCTAGTCTATTCTCAAAAGTTACAAACTGAAAGGAACAAAAACATGAGCAGTTTTCAGTCTTACATCTTACTCTATCTAATGTTACATGAATTTTTACATGTTTACTACCCTGTAATTAGTCTATTCATAAATAACTAAGCCCATCTCTCTACTCAAATGAGAAAGTAAATGTTTTCATGTAATGTCATCATTTTGCATCATCTTGGCTTCAAAAGCAGGTCAGTTTTCCACCAAGAGAAGAGTCTTGACATCATACCCATGAAGCTTAACCACTGGTGAACCATGGATATGGTCCCCTCTACTCTGATGTATGAATTGCTTAAAGGAGGGGACCTCAGCAGCTGATGGTTGAAAATCAATTCAGGTAATATCCAATTATTCCTCAAGATTATGCTAGACTAGCCAGGCTCAGTGGCTTGCGCCTGTAATCCCAACATTTTGGGAGGCCAGCGCAGGAGGATCACTTGAGCCCAGGAATTCAAGACCAGCCTGGGAAACAAAGTGAGACCTCATCCCTTTAAGAAGTTAAAAATTTAGCCGGGCATGGTGGCATGCACCTATAGTCCCTGCTACTCAGAAGGCTGTGGTGAAAGGATTGCTTGAGCCTAGGAGATTGAGGCTACAGTGAGCTATGTTTGCACCACTGTACTCCAGCCTGAGTGAAAGAGCAGGATTCTGTCAAACAATATATAACATATGTTTGACATATATATATATGTGTGTGTATATATGTGTGTGTGTATATATATGTATATATGTATATGTATATATGTATATATATGTGTGTGTGTATATATATATTTGACCCCCAAGTCTTATCCAAACACAACATATATATATATACCTACCACAAGTCAACCATCAGGCAAGAATTATTCATGTTCCTCCTATATAAGAAATATGCTTATCTCCCTTTAGTGACCCCCAAGTCTTATTCAAACACAACATCAGGTTGGAAGCCCATATAATAGGTATAAACCACAGATCTTCTTGATCCAGAAACCTATGAATAAAGAAGGCAATATAGCTACCTCACACACACACAGCATGCAGTCGTGAAACAGGGACAGGATAATTACAATAAACATATATACAACGTATGTCTTAAACAGAAAGTAAAACAATTTGTTCGAAAAAGAAAAAACTATCTACTTTGTCTAGATGTGTGATTCCTGTTTTATACTCAGCTCAGTCATTTGCCTCTGCTTAGAGAGGTTGAAAGAGACCTTCATAAAAAAAGGCCTAGAAAAACTCAATGACCACCCTTAACCTGATCTTAGGCCAAAGACGGCAGGAATCCAGGACAGTGGGCCCATGCCAGAAAGACCATAGTTTTTATGCCATCTTCTCTGACTGATCAAGTAAGTCAGGTCCAGTGGGAGCACCTCATATCACATAGCATGAGCATAACTGAGTACAACATCGTTTCTGATCTAAACTAGTAAGCAGGCACCACCCAACACATAGGTTGTTGAACAGAAAGAAAACACTGGCAGTGTCCAAGAAAGTAAAAGAAGAGGAAAATTCAGTGAGTAAAAAAATAAATATTACAAGTCTATGTTGCAGCCATATCCCAGAGGTCTAGTGGCAAAGCCAATGTTTTCAAATCTAAACTACTACCCAAACATACTTTCTAGTGCATCAGTGGTTAATTTGGTTGGCTTTTGCCAGCCTTCACAGGTCATTAAAACTCAGTTTCTCAAGAGGCTGAAGCAGGAGAATTGCTTGAGGCCAAGACTTCAAGGCTACAGTAAACTATGATCACACCACTGCACTTCAGCCTGGGTGACAGAGCAAGACCCCAATTCTAAATTAAATTAAATTAAATTAAAATAATAAAGTAAAATAAAAATCTCAGTTTTCTTGTCTATGAAATGAAAGAGACTAGAAGATATACAACATATAATTATATATTTTCTACTATATATTAAAATATAGGATTATATATAATATTCAATTCATTAAATTTACCCTCTAAGACAGTAAGTCTCAAGATAAAGCTGAGAAGAAACAATATTCATTTTTAGATTCTGCCCACCTCTTCACACTGTGCCCAACTCCTCCTGGAATACCCATCTGCACATGACCCAACTCTGTGTAATCCTTCATCCAATGGGCTTTTCTGATGAATGTATACGTAATACCTGCTGATGATGCCTTAATATGTTACTGTTTTCATGGGGTGTTTGTATTTTAGTGAAAGACTATAAGAAATACAGTGTCTTTGTCCAAATGGTAGAATTTCAAGCCCAGTCGTACATCAACAGGAAAAAAAAATTGAGTGTTGGAGGGATTGCTTTTCAACTGCACAGCCTTGATAGTTGCGCACTGCACATGCCTTAAGAATTACAGTTGGTTAGTTTTCTCAGAATTTACAAAAAGACTGTTCTAAACTCCTGGGACATTCCTTTTATCAGCCACAATTGCTGTATAACAATCAAACACAAGTACCAATAACATACAATAAAAAACATGTATTTTTCACACTTTGAAATATTCTGCTGATCTACGCTAAATGTGGATGATCTCAGCTGGACTTCGCACTTATCTCCAGTTTGGCTAACTCATTCGTGTGTGTTTAGGTTGGCTATGCACAATGCAATTTCATCATTCCTAGAACCAGTGAATAAACTTGATGTGACCTTCTCATAGTGATGGCAGAGATGAAGGAGCGCAAGTACATAGACAAAAATCTCTAAAAGGCCAAGCTCAGAAGTGACACACAGGCATTTCAACCACATGTATTGGCCAAAGAAAGTCACGTGACCAAGCCCAGAGTCAGAATAGGAGTTGGATAGTGGAAGGAGTAAAGAACTGGAATCCTGTCTCAGTCTGTTCAGGCTGCAATAACAAAATACCTCGTTAGCTTATAAACAACAGAATTTTATTTTTCACAGTTTTGAAGGCTAGAAAGTCTAAAATCAGGGTGCCAGCATGGTCAAGTTCCAGTGAGAGCCCTCTTCCAGATTGCAGACTGCAGACATCTCACTGTGTCCTCACATGGTAAAAGGGGCAAGGCAGCCTTCTGGGGACTCTTTTACAAAGACACTAATTCCACACATGATGGAACATTCCTTATGACCCAAATCACCTCCCAATAGTCCCTAGCTCCTCCTACCATCACCTTGAGGGTTAAGATTTCAACATATTAATTTGCGGGGCAGGGGGACACAAACATTCAGACCATAGCAAGTCACTAATACAACCTACCACAAGTCCACCATGAGGCGAGAATTATTCATGTTCCTCCTACATAAGAAATATGCTCATCTCCATCCAGTGACCCCCAAGTCTCATCCAAACACAATATCAGGTTGGAAGCCCATATAATAGGTATAAACCACAGATCTTCTTGATCCAGAAACCTATGAATGAAGAAGGCAATATAGCTACCTCACACACACAGCATGCAGTTGTGAAACAGGGACAAGATAATTACAATAAACATTCCAACTCAAAAAGCAGAAAATGAGAGGCACATAACAGTCACTGATCTATAGCATGTCTGAAATCCTGCTGGGAAAATGTTTCCAGGTCCTTCCATTTTTGAAATTGTAAATATTTCTTGATTTTACTCTGTCTCTGTTCCCTGAATGTGGCTCAACAGTTCATTTTTTAAAACTGTTATTATTTATTAGAGACAGTCTCCCTCTGACACCCAGATTGATCATAGCTCACTGAAGCTTTGAACTGCTGGCCTCAAGTGATCCTCCTGCATCAGCCTCCAAGTAGCCAGGACTACAGGTGCACACCACCATATCCAGTTATTTTTTTTTCGAGAGACAATGTCTCACTATGTTGCTCAGGCTGATCTTGAACTCCTGGCTTCCAGCAATCCTCCCACCTTGGCCTCCCAAAATACTGTGATTACAGATGTGCGCTACCACATGTGGCCTCAGTTCAGTGTTACCGATGAATCTTGGTTCCACCTTCTACAAAATCCTTCCTTTCCATCAACTGCCTTGGCCACTTCTAAAGAGCTCACTGGAACATAGGTTGAGAAAAAATTTTAGCCTGATTATTGGTCATAAAAATTGGAAGCCCAAAGGCCTTCTAACATTTTATATTGCTCTATCTCTTTTATTTCAGACAAATGGCCCTTATGCTACTACAGCCTTCTCAAAAATGTTGTGGGTTTCTAATATCCTTCATTATTTTATTCCCTGTATCTAAAGCCATTCTGTAAGAACAATTCTACATATCTCCAGCCTTTGGAGGGATTGTTATGTCAGACTGCTGTGGGCCATGACCTTAAGATTCCTAAAAGTCCTAGGGTATAGAAGAGAGGATAGATTGGGTATCAACCTGATTCTTTCAGAAGTCTTAGTGAAAGGTCATGTGGCTACTTTCTTGATTTGGACTTTACTCTGAGACCATTACTTATTGGCAGCAATTGACCATTACCTCCTTCCCCCAAACTTTACCTCACTCAGAATCTGTTACTGACTGCAGAAACTAGACATGAGAAACAATTTTATTTTCCAATACTACAAGTGATTATTTTACAAACCAACTCACCATTTTTTAAGTCTCCTATAATAGTTTTCTCACCATTTTTCCAGTGTCCTACCACCACTCAGTTCTAAAGCAATGCCACATATTTCAGGTGTTTTTTGAAGTACCCCATTTCTGGATACCAATTTCTGTATTGGTTCCCTCTGATTGTATAGTAGACCACCCAAAAAATTCATTGGCTTAAAATAACAACTGCTTATTCTCACAATTTTTCTCTTGGCTGGCTGGATCTGCTGATCACAGCTAAGCTTATTCATTGTCTAGGGGTCATCTGTTGAGGCTAAGAAGCTTAGGGGTGAAATAACTGGGCTTGAAGAATGTGGTATATTATACTAATGGCCCCCATGTCCACATCCCTTTCCATGTAATTGAATAGTTCTTCTATTGGGTCATATAACTTACTTTGGCCAATAGAAGTTGAAGTAACAATGTACAAGTCTGAGCCTGTGATTCCAAAAGCTTTGGGTATTTCTGCTCGCTATCTTGTGCTTCATCATTCCCATGAATAAAACATGCTACAGGTGACCCACTGGTCCTAGAGGAAGATGAGACATGTGGAAGATGAGAGGAAGATGAGAGACCCTAAGTGACCCCAGCTGAGCCCAGACTTGGTTAGTCATTCCACACCCAAAGATGTCCATGCCCTAGTCCCCAAAATCGGTGAATGTGTTGGCATATATGACAAAAGGGGAATTACGGATGTGATTAAGATAATGGATCTCAATCCTTGAGAGAGGGAGATCATCCGTGATTATTCAGGTGCAATTTAATCACAGGAGTCCTTTAAAGCTGAGAAACTTTTCCAGCTGCACTTAGAAATGTGACAACAAAAGAAGGGTCAGAGAGATGGAACACAGAAGGATTTGACCTGCTGTTGTGGCTTCAAATGGGGAAATGAATCCTCTCATAAAGCCTCCAGAAAGGAACACAGCCCTGCTGACACCTTGATTTTAGCCCAGTGAGACCCATGGCAGACTCCTTTAAGATAACACACTATAAGACAAATATTTGTGTTGTTTAGCCTACTAAACTTGTGCTAAGTTACTATGACAGCAAGTATATGAATACATTTCCATATTTTCCTGAAGCCTAAAAATTTGGATTTATTGAGTTGCCTTTGTAAATGGTTGATTGACCATTTTATGAATCACTTTCCTGTAAATATCAAACTTGTTTTTAAATTTTTTCACATCATTTTTATTTGCTATTTTTACCGATATTTATCCCATGATTCTTTAAAAGCATAGAAAATTATAAAATGAAAAAACTAATTTTCCAACTTCCAATTTTGGCACTCAAAACAAACCATTATTTACAATTTATTTCTATTTGTCTATGCATCTATATATGCAAGAATATGTGTGTGTTTGTGTACATATACCTATTTATATCATTTGTATTTACATAAACAAAACCATTCTATAAATGGGAACAGACTGTGGTAAGATTCTTACACTGTTCATGAAGTAGTATGAAGTACAGCCTACAATAACTTAGATGTACCACACTTTTATAACAAAATGGAAAAGAGGACTCACTTTATCAACATATACATATATATATCCCTCTTTTTTTAAAAAAATAGAATTTTGGTTTTTTATAAATTTTAAAAATTCCCCATTAACATGTGGATGTTTCTAGCTTTTCCTATAATAAATAATATTACAATCATTGTCTTTTACATTTAAATAGGGCAGAACAATTATTTGAAAATGTATTTAAAGAAATTATAGCTGAAAATTCTTCAAAATTGATGAAAGGTATCAATCCACAAGCTTTTTGAGCTCTACAATCTCAAAACAGAATAAACACAAAAAATATCACACCTATTCAAGCATAATATTCAGACTGCTGAGGGAAAAAAACAAAAGATAAACAGCAAATTTTAAAAGCAGATTTGCTGCTTTTAAACAGAGTCCAAAAAAGGACACATTATATCCAGGGTAAAGTCTATGTAAATAATAGCCAACTTGTCATCTGAAACAAGGAAGGACATAGGAAAATGCAACAACGTCTTTAAAGTAACAAATGAAAAACAAAACGCTCAGCCTAGGATGCTATATCAAGAGAAAATATCCTTTAAAAGGAAAAATAAAATAAAGATGTTTTCAGAGTGACAACAGCAGACTGACTCTTCAGAGGATCTGCACTATGAGAAATGCTAAAAGATGTTCCTCAGGCTAAAGAGAAATGATACCAGACATAACCTTAGGTCCACAGGAAGATATAGATATCACTGCAAAGTGTGTGTGTGTGTGTGTGTGTGTGTGTGTGTGTGTGTGTGTGTGTGTGTGTGCATGTGTGATTTTTTTTTTAGATTAGTTGCTTTAAAACAAGCTTGTCCAACCTGTGGCCCATGGGCCACATGCAACCCAGGACGGCTTCGAATGGGGCCCGACACAAATTCATAAACTTTCTTAAAACATTATGAGATTTTTTGTAATTTTTTTTTAGTTCATCAGTTATCACTGATGTTAGTATCTTTTATTTGTGGCCCAAGACAGTTCTTTTCCCAATGTGGCCCAGGGAAGCCAAAAGATTGGACACTCCTGCTTTCACAGAAACTATCAACAGAGTAAACAGACAACCTATAGAATGAAAACTTTTTGCAAACTCTGCATCTGACAAAGGTCTAATAACTAGCATCTATAAGGAACTTAGACAAATTTACAAGAAAAAAACAACCCCATTAAAAAGTGGGCAAAGGACATGAACAGACATTTTTCAAAAGAAGGTATACTTGTGGAAAACAAACATATGAAAAAAGCTCAATATCCCTGATCATTAGAAAAATGCAAATCAAAACCACAGTGAGATACCATCTCACACAAGTCAGAATGGCTATTATCAAAAAGTCAAAAAATAACAGGTCCTGGCAAGGTTGTAGAGAAAAAGGAATGCTTTTAGCACTGTTGGTGGGAGTTTAAATTAATTCAAGCTATTGTGGGAAAGCAGTGTGGTGATTCCTCAAACACCTAAAAACAGAACTACCATTCAACCCAACAATCCCATTACTGGATATATACCCAAAGAAATATAAATCATTCTATTATGAAGACACATGCACACATATGTTCATTGCAGCACTATTCACAATAGCAAAGACATGAAATCAACCTAAATGGCCATCAATGGTAGACTGTATAAACAAAATGTGATACATATACACCATGGAATGCTAGGCAGCCATAAAAAAGAATGAGATCATGTCCTTTGCAGGGACATGGATGGAGCTGGAGGCCATCATTCTTAGCAAACTAACAGGAACAGAAAACCAAATACCGCATGTTCTCACTTATAAGTGAGAGCTAAATGACAAGAACACATGGACACAAAGAGGAGAACAACACACACTGGGGCACACTGAAGGGTGCAGGATGGAGGGTGCAGGATGGAGGGTGGGAGGAGGGAGACGATCGGAAAAATTAACTAACGGGTACTAGGCTTAATACCTGTGTGATGAAATAATCTGTACAACAAACCCCCATGACACGAGTTTACCTATACAACAAATCTGCACATGTACTCCTGAAATTAAGTTTAAAAATACATAAAAATAAATTTGATAAAGCATTGAATTAAAAGTTGCCTTTGCCATATATTACATTATCAAATACAGGAGAACTATTTTGGAGTTTTCTATTATTTTGTACTGATTTATTTGCCTATTCCTTTCAAACACCATATTAATTTTTTTAGTGTTTTTATAGCATGTTATAAAAACATGCTATCTAAACATGGTTTCTGGTAGAGATAGTCCCCCTGACATATTGTTTTCTCATAGCATTTTGGCATTTTCACTCATTTTTCTATGTGAATTTGAATATCACTTACCTGATTTCAAAATGTTAAATGATACTAGCATTCTAATTAGTATTGCATTGAATATATGTTAATTTTGGCAAAATTGAATTTAATTCATATGAAGTGTTCTTATCGAAGAACACAGTGTACCTTTCCATGGATTTAGCTTTTTTTCTTAGGTCCTTTATAAATAATTTTTTAGTTAATAATTTAACATAAAAATTTTATTAAAAGATTTTATAGTTTTTGTCAGGTAGATCCCATATTTCTCAATAATTATAATTCCAAATATTGTATGTTTTTTAGTATGGCTAGTAAAATACCTCATTTTTATTTCTATATTTATTGTCCATATAAAGAAAAGCTATTGACAACTTTTGCATAGTAATAGGCAACTACCTTACCATATCTCTTATTAATTCTCAGAGGACTTTTTGGTTTGTTTTGTGTTTTAACTGAAGTCTTATAGGTTTTCTATATGAACAATTTCACCATCAGCACAAATACAATATTTTATCTCTTCTTTCACAACACTTATGGCCTCCGCGTAGAAAGTGACTCAGTGCAGGAAGACCATTTTGGACACTCCTATGATTTCATCCCCAACCAATCAGAGGCATTCATAGTCTCCTGCCTGCCAAATTATTCTCAAAAACCCTAGCCTCTGAGCTTTCCGGGAGAATTAAGATTTGAGAATTATCTCCTGTCCTACCACTTGACTGGCCATGTGAAAATTAAACTCTTTCTCTACTAAAGCACTGCTGTCTCAGTGTATTAGCTTTTCTGTGAAGGAGACAAGAAGAACCCATTGGGTGGTTATAATCGTGAACACAAAAGGTTTTAGCAAAATACTAGCAAATTTAATCCAGAAATAATTTTTTAAAAAATAATAAATCAGGATCAAGAAATATTTATCCCAGGAATGCAAAGTTGTTTTAATATTCAAATATCAATGTACTAGACTTCCAGTTTCAGCTCCAATATGTAAGGGCCTCCACACTGCTGCGAGTTTTACCTCCAGGAACCCCATCTGGTTCTCCCAGTGAAGATCAGGGAAAAACAGTTTCCTGCTTTCAGATGGAGGGATGACGGGAGTAATCATTTTGAAATAAGCCCAGAGCACTCTGTTCTCAATAACAAAGGGCTGCCATTAAGGAAAACTACTTTATAGGAGCCTTATTTAACTTAAAGGAAAAGCAATTAGACAACTCTAGCCCTCCTTAGCTTTCCTATCTCACATAAGGGAATTTTTAAAAAGGCTAAGAAACTTTTCTGAAGGTTACAGACCAGGGAATCAGACCCACTAAAAAAAACGATTTAATCTTAAGGCTATGGAATGGTTTCCCTCCACAGTATCTACCTACCACATCACAAGGCCTTCACTATAAAAACAGCAGATTACAACTGAGAGAGCTGCAAGATACAGACTCTATTTAAGAAGTTTCTAGGGAAACCCAAAGACAACAGGGAAGACAAAAACAAGGACACCGAAGGAAATTGAATCTCTGATACTTACACCTACAGGAAACATTAACTACAGCCTTACTCCTAGCAGATAAACATAAAACCTAATGCTAAAGCCCTGTTTACCTCAGCTTTTATTATCCAATATGTCACACTAGGCTTTCAACAAAAAAACTACAAGACCCATGAAAAGACAAGGAAAAAACTCAGTCTGAAGAGATAAGGCAAGTGTCAGAACTAGTCTCAGATATGACAGAAATTTTGAATTACCGGACCGAGAACTTAAAATAACCATGATTAATATGCTAAGGGCTCTAATGGAAAAAAATGGACAAGATGCAAAACAGATGGGTAATGCAAGCAGAAAGATGGGTAAGAAATGCTAGAAATCAAAACCACTGTAACAGATATGGGAAATGCCTTTCATGAAATCATCAGTAGACCGGATACAGCTCAGGAAAAATGAGTGAACCAGAAGATATGTCAATAGAAACTTCCCAAACTTAAATGAAAAGAGAAAAAAGAATTAAAAACATGGAACACAATATCCAAAACTGTGAGGCAGAAAGATGTAACATATATGTAATGAGAATACGAGTAAGAAGAAAGAGAGGTGGGGCAGAAGAAATATTTAAAGTAATTATGGCTGAGAATTTTCCAAAATTAATGATAAACACCAAACTACAGATCCAGGAATCTCAAAGAACATCAACCAGGATAAATACAAAAAAAAAACTATGTGTAAGCATATCATTGTCAAACTATAAAAAGTCAAAGGCCAAAAGAAAAACTCGAAGAAGTCAGAGGAAAAAAGAAAAATCCCTTACATATAGAGAATCAAGGATACGCATTACATTGGACTTCTGTTCAGAAACTATCTAAGCAAGAAGAGAATGGAGTGGAATATTTACAGTGTTTAAAAAAATAAGTACAAGGCCAAACTAGAATTCTATATCCAGTGAAGCTATCCTTCAAAGGCAAAGGAGAAATAAAGACTTTCTCAAACAAAACCTGAGAAGAGTTGTTGCCAGTAGATCAGCTTTGCAAGAAAGGTTAAAAGAACTTCTTCATGTATCCAGGAAAATATGTGTCAGAATCTCACATTTATATAAAGAAAAGAAGAACATTAAAGAAGGAACAAATGAAGGTAAAATAAACTATTTTTTGTATTCTTAATTGATCTAATACGTAACAGTTTGTCTAAAATAATTATGGTAGCAATGTATTGGGTGATTATAACTTACGGATAAGTGAAATGAATGCCAGCAATGTTATAAAATTAGGAAGAGAAGACTTGGAAATAAACTGTTAAAAGTTAGCTGCACTATCCATGAAATAGTATAGCGTTATTTGAAAGTGGACTTAGATTAGTTGCAAATGTATACTGCAAGCTCTAAAGCAACCACTAAAAACACATAGCAGGTGAGAATGTAAAATAGTGCAGCTTCTGTGGAAAAGTTTGAAGGTTCCTCAAAAAATTAGCCATAGGGTTACTACATGATTCAGCAATCCCACTCCCGGATATATACTCAACAGAAATGAAAAAAGTCCACAAAAAAAGTGTACGTGAATGTTCATAACAGAATTATTCACAATAGCCAAAATGTAGAAACAACCCAAAGGTCCATCAACTGATGAATGGATGAACAAAATGTAGTATATCCATACAATTAAATATTATTTGGCAGCCAGGTGTGGTGGCTCATGCCTATAATCCCAGAACTTTGGGAGGCCAAGATGGGCCGACCACCTGAGGTTGGGAGTTTGAAACCAGCCTGTTTTTTAGTAGAGGTGGTGAAACCCCATCTCTACTAAAAATACAAAAAGTAGCCAGGTGAGGTGGTGCATGCCTGTAATCTCAGCTTCTTGGGAGACTGAGACACGAGAATTGCTTGAATCAAGGAGACAGAGGTTTCAGTGAGCTGAGATTGCACCACTGCACTCCAGCCTGGGCAACAGATCGACACTTTGTCTCAAAAAATAAAATAAAAATAAAAATAAATAAATATTATTTAGCCATAAAAAGGAATTCACTATTGACACATACTATAACAGAATTAATCATTAAAATATGCTAAGTGAAAAAACCAGAGACAAAAGGCCACATATAGTATGACTCGATTTTTATGAAATGCCCAGAAGAGGAAAATCCATAGAAAAAGAAAGGAGATTAGTGGTTGCCAGAAACTGGAGGGAGGGAGAAACAGGGAGTGACTGCTTAATGGGTACAGGGAGTAACTACTTAATGGGAACAGAGTTGAGATTATGAAAATGTTCTGGAATTGCATAGTGATAATGGTTATATGATAATATGAATACACTAAAAACCACTTAATAATATACTTTAAAAATCAATGTAATTCACATTTACAGAATAAAGGAGAAAAGCTATATGATCATTATGCTAGACAGAAAAAGCACTTGACAAATTCAACACTCATTAATAATAAAAACTCTCAGAAAAATAGGAATAAAGAAACCTTCTACAATCTCATAAAGAAATCTATGAAAAACCTATAGTTAATATTTGACAGTGAAAGAGAAAATGCTTTCCTCCTATGATCAGGAACAAGAGAAGGATATCCTCTCCCACAACTTCTAGTCAACATTGTGCTGGAGGCCTCGATCAGTATAATAAGGCAGAAAAAAAAAAAAAAACACTGAAGGGCAGGGGGCAGGGGGCAGGGGGCAGGAAATGAAATAAAGGCAAACAGACTGGCAAGAATAAGAATAAGAAACAAGTATGGAATATCACTGTGACTTGGATATAAGCAAATGTTTTTCAGACAGGACAAAAAAACACAAATAACCATAAGAGAAAAAAATTGAATTCAGAAAAATTTTTAAGTTCTGCTCATCCAAAGATAATGTTAAAGAAAATTAGGGGACCGGGTATGTTGGCTCACGCCTGTAATCACAGCACTTTGGGAGGCCGAGGCGGGCAGATCACAAGGTCAAGAGATCAAGACCATCCTGGCCAACATGGTGAAACGCTGTCTCTACTAAATATACAAAAATTAGCCAGGTGTGGTGGTGGACGCCTATAGTCTCAGCTACTCGGGAGGCTGAGGCAGGAGAATCACTTGCACCCAGGAGGCGGAGGTTGCAGTGAGCCGAGGTCATGCCACTGCACTCCAGCCTGGGCAACAGAGCAAGACTCTGTCTCAAAAAAAAAAAAAAAAGAAAAAAGAAAAAAGAAAAGAAAATTAATAGGAAAACTACAGATTGGGAGAAAAGGTTCAAAAGTATAAATCAAACAAAATGTTGGTATCCTGGGTGTATAAAAAATCTTACCATTCAAAATAAAAGACAAATAACCTAGTGAAAAAATGTCTAACGTCATTAGTCACCAGCCAACTCAAACTGAAGCCACAATGAGATAGCACTACACTCCCACCAGAAATATAAAATTAAAATGACTGGCAATACCAAATTTTGACAAGAATGCCAAGCAGTGAGAACTCTTATACCTTGTTGGGAAGAATGTGAAATATTACTACTTAAAAAAAAGGTCTGACAGCTTCTTATGAAACTAAATATACATCTTCTTTATGATCCAGCAATTCCATTACTTGATATTTCCCCACAGAAAAAAAAGTTTTATCTAAACTTTATTCATAGCAACTTTATTCAAATAAAAAAATTGAAACAAATTAAATGTTTATCCACAGGAGAACAGATAGACAAATCATGGTATATCCATGCAATAGAATATGACTAAGCAATAAAAAGAAAGTAATGATGCACACAACAAATGGATGAATTTCAAAAATATTATGCTGTGTGAAAGAAGACTTAAAAGAGATCATAACTTATATTTTATAGATTTATGTAATTTTTTCATAAAATTCTAAAATAGGCAAAATTAATATATGGTAGAAAAATCAGAGCACTGGTTGCCTCTGCAGGGAAGAGACTGGAATTGACTGGGAAGGGACATGAGGAAACTTTCTGAGATAAGGGAAATATTTATTCCTGAATAGAAATTTGAGTTACATTATCCTTAATGTATAGATCAATCTCTTCACTGTAGCCAATCTCCCAACGCCACTTTCACCACCCCCACACCTGTGCAGTCACACTCCTCTCCACATTCATTCCATGTTGAGCCATCCACTCACATGGACAGCCATCTCACCCAACTATCTCCAGTACGCTACTCTGCACCAGCATGGCTCACCAACAGATGCCCACCTTGCTCGGCACCATCGAATGACTTTAGGGGATGTTAGGGGAGAGCTTTTACATTTCAAAAGACCCCTCTATTTCATTTGAGCCTTTAATGAGACTACAAGATAGGCAGGGTGTATAATTTTAACCCATTTTACAGGTTAGGAAAACAAGACTCAGAAAAGTTAAATATCTTCTCCAAAACTGCTTGTTGGTAGGCAGGCACAATCCAACATATCAGATCCCTAGTCTAGTGTTATTTCTAGCACCTTACACAGAAGTTCTCATTCCCACCTCTATCTCTACATCCCAATTTCTGAACCAGGGGATTTGGAGAACAGAGAATCAGGCAAAATAACACAATGGGACCTGTAAACAGCCTCTGTGACTAAGGTAGAAACCACCATAACACACATCTCATTCAGCTATACACTCTGTGGCTGCAAAGAGCCAACCAAACCATGATACTTACCTTCATGTGCTTCTGATGCACACACCAACTGCCAGGCTCTTGGGTTGACTTCTCCAATCGTTCTCATAAGAGGAGGTGTTGGGGGATGTTTTAGATTCCTGTGGATACTATCACAACCACAAATTTGATGGCTTAAAACAATACCATATATTCTCTTACCCTTCTGGAGGCACTTCTGAAAACAGTTTGAAGGTATTAGCAGGGTCACACTCCCTCCAGAGGCTCTATGGGATAATCCATTTCCTTTCCTTTTCCAGCTTCTAAAGCTGTGTCCCTTGGCTCATGGCCCCTTCTTCCACCTTCAAAGCCAGCAGAGTAGCATCTTCACTTTCTCTCTGCTTCTATCATTACATCACCTTCTGCCTTCTTTGTCAAATCTCTCTCTGCTCTGTCTTCAGATCACCTCCTCTTCTGTCATACAATCTTCTGCCTTCTTATAAGGAAGCTTGTGATTACACTTAGGGTCCACCTGGATAATCCAGAATACTCTCCCCATCTCAATATTCTTAATTCGAACACATCTACGAAATACTTTTTGCCACATGAGGTAAACAAAAAAATTCATATGTTCCAGGGATTAGGACCTAGATATCTTTGGAGACCATTATTCAGCCTACCACAAGGGCCACAGAAGCAGGGGCACAAGTCTTCTTGGGATTTGTGTGGGAAAAGTTAAAATAAAGTAGAATTATTTTTCTTATCATGATTAAGATAATGCCATCAGCTAAGGCACTTCAAACAACACTTAAGTGAGTCCAGTCCTTCTCATTCTGTTTTCCACAAAACAATTGTTGAAATTTACCAATGAATTTTCAACAGCCTATTTCACTCAAGTAGCTTTTTCATCTCTAGTTGATGCACACAGCCAGGGAATTATCACAGAAATGGAATTATTTGGTGAAAATTAAATATATTTTCCCTTAAAATGCACTTTGAGAGGTTTGCCCACAGAGTTTTGCCCAAAGAAACAATTATTTTAAGCCTGAAATTGAATGTTAACATTCTGAATATGAATAAGCTCTCTGTGTTTGTTGGTCTTTGCTTTGGGGTCTGGGGGGCAGTGCCCAAAAAACACAGAAACATGCTATTTTTCAAGTTGTTTCTAATGCTTTTTGTTATTTTATTTTGTTTATATTTTGAAAAGATTCAAATTAAACAAAAGCAGAGAGAATAATATAATAACTCCACGTACCTATCACCAGCTTCCATAGTTATCAACATTCAGACACTATTATTCTATATACCTCCCACCACTTTTTTTCTGAATTATTTTAAAGCAAATCTAAGACACCATAAAAATTTATTCTTAAATATTACCTTTTATTGCTAAAAATGAGGTCTTTAAAAATATTTCAATTGATATATAACATTACATCAATAGCACATTTGGCACAATTAACAGTAATTCATTAATAGCTTTCAATACTAGTCTGTCTTCAGTTACTTTCACTTGTTTTAAAAATGCCTTTTTACAGGCCTTCAACAAAATTCAACACCCCTTCATGCTAAAAACTCTCGACAAACTGGGTATCGATGGAAAGTATCTCAAAATAATAAGAGCTATTTATGACAAACCCACTGCCAATATCATACTGAATGGGCAAAAACTGGAAGCATTCCCTTTGAAAACTGGCACAAGACAAGGAGGCCCTCTCTCACCACTCCTATTCAACATAGTATTGGAAGTTCTGGCCAGGGCAATCAGGCAAGAGAAAGAAATAAAGTGTATTGAAATAGGAAGAGAGGAAGTCAAATTGTCTCTGTTTGCAGATGACATGATTGTATATTTAGAAAACCCCAGCATCTTAGCCCAAAATCTCCTTAAGCTGATAAGCAACTTCAGCAAAGTCTCAGGATACAAAATCAATGAGCAAAAATCACAAGCATTCCTGTATACCAATAACAGGCAAACAGAGAGCCAAATCATGAGTGAACTCCCATTCACAATTGCTACTAAGAGAATGAAATACAACTTACAAGGGATGTAAAGGACCTCTTCAAGGAGAACTACAAACCACTGCTCAAGGAAATAAGAGACAAAACAAACAAGTAGAAGAACTTTCCATGCTTATGGATAGGAATAATCAATATTGTGAAAATGGCTATACTGCCCAAAGTAATTTATAGATTCAATGCTACCCCCATCAAGCTACCATTGACTTTCTTCACAGAATTGGAAAAAACTACTTTAAAGTTCATATGGAACCAAAAAAGAGCCCAAATTGCCAAGGCAATCCTTAAGCCAAAAGAACAAAGCTGGAGTCATCATGCTACCTGACTTCAAACTACACTGCAAGGCTACAGTAACCAAAACAGCATGGTACTGGTACCAAAACAGAGATATAGACAAATGGAACAGAACAGAGTCCTCAGAAATAACACCACACATCTACAGCCATCTGATCTTTGACAAACCTGACACAAACAAGCAATGGGGAAAAGATTCCCTATTTAACAAATGGTGTTGGGAAAACTGGCTAGCCATATGCAGAAAGCTGAAACTGGACTCCTTCCTTATGCCTTATACAAAAATTAACTCAAGATGGATCAAAGACTTACATGTAAGACCTAGGACCATAAAAATCCTAGAAGAAAACCTGGGCAATACCATTCAGGACATAGGCATGGGCAAAGACTTCATGACTAAAACACCAAAAGCAATGGCAGCAAAAGTCAAAATTGACAAATGGGATCTAATTAAACTAAAGAGCTTCTGCACAGCAAAAGAAACTGTCATCAGAGTAAATAGGCAACCTACAGAATGGGAAAAAAATCTTTGCAATCTACCCATCTGACAAAGGTCTAATATCCAGAATCTACAAAGAACTTAAACAAATTTACAAGAAAAAAATCAAACAACTCCATCAAAAAGTGGGCAAAGGATATGAACACATATAAACTGCATAAAAAGAAGACATTTATGCAGCCAACAGACATATGAAAAAAAGGCTCATCATCACTGGTCATCAGAGAAATGCAAACCAAAACCACAATGAGATACCATCTCACGCCAGTTAGAATGGCGATCATTAAAAAGTCAGGAAACAACAGATGCCGGAGAGGATGTGGAGAAATAGGAATGCTTTTACACTGTTGGTGGGAGTGTAAATTAGTTCAACCATTGTGGAAGACAGTGTGGCGATTCCTCAAGGATCTAGAACTAGAATTACCATTTGATCCAGATATCCCATTACTGGGTATATACCCAAAGGATTATAAATCATGCTACTATAAAGACACATGCACACGTATGTTTATTGCAGCACTATTCACAATAGCAAAAACTTGGAACCAACCCACATGTCCATCAATAATAGACTGGATAAAGAAAATGTGGCACATATACACCATGGAATACTATGCAGCTATAAAAAAGGATAAGTTCATGTCCTTTGCAGGGACATGGACGATGATGGAAACCATCATTCTCAGCAAACTATCACAAGGACAGAAAACCAAACACTGCATGTTCTCACTCATAAGTAGGAGTTGAACAACGAGAACACATGGATATAGGGAGTGGAACATCATACATTGGGGCCTGTCGGCGGGGTAGAGGGCCGGGGGAGGGATAACATTAGGAGAAATACCTAAAGTAGGTGACAGGTTGATGGGTGCAGCAAACCACCATGGCACGTGTATACCTATGTAACAAAAGTGCATGTTCTGCACATGTACCCCAGAACTTAAAGTATAATATGTATATGTATACACATACATATACAGTATACATAGTATATATGTGTGTGTATATATATGTGTGTATATAAAGCCTTTTACAGGTAGTGTGTTCAAATCAGAATTCAAACAAGGGTTTTTTAAAAATATTTATTGTATCTATAGTTATTACTCATTTTTCATTCCTGTTTTTCTTTCTGCATCTTTTCTCCTTTTTCATGATTAGTCTTGCCAGAAGTTTACCAGCTTTGGTTTTGTTAATATTTTTATTCTATTGTATGCCTATCTGATTTAGTTTTTATTGTGGTAGAATATACGTAACATAAAATTTACCATTTTTATGTGTACAATTTAGTAGCATTAAATACATTCATGTTATGCAACCATCACCAGTATCTATTTCAATAACTTAGAAATAAACAATTTTATAAGGAGATCCAAGAAAGTGACTTTACCTCCTCAAGACAACTTCTCTCCTGAAAATAGGATGGATGGAGATTTCAGAATAGATATTTACAAGCTCATTAGAAGTTCTCAATATCATGCCCATTTTTAAAGCTCTGACCTATTTCACAGTAAGATGGCCTTAACTAGTAATTAATAAATGTCATTTACAAGAAGAATGTATAACTGCATTAAATCCTCATCCAAATACATGTCAACAGCCCATCAAGCAGCATCATATAGATGAAATTGCTGGTTTCATCCCAAGGCTCATTGAATTATAATGCTGTTTATAAAGATTAACTCACCAATGAATGGCATCTCAATTTATAGCAACTGGTTTAGTCTCTGAAATGTGTCCACCTCGTCAACAGTCACACTCACTTATCCATTTTCCCTCCTATTATTATTAATTAGAAATGATACAATCAGTCCTTACCAGTACAGAAAGCTGTCGACATTCTCTGCTGAAAATGTATTGGGACAAAATCAATTAGTCAAATTTGATTAAAACAGTTGGTAAACTGAAAAGAACCTCAACAATACAGATTATCCTTCTAGTTCTACTAAAGTCAAAACTTTGAAATAAAATGTGATACATGTATTTTTTTAACTGAGGATTTACTCAAGGAAAGCAAGAGAATAAGAAATCAAACATCCTGAACACTGCATGGAGCATTCCACATGAGATTTGATTTAAGGCATCACAACTCACCATCTTAGAAAACATGAGGGATCCAGTCTGTGATGAGCAGGTCATTAAGTGCTGTGATGCATGGGTCTCCATGAAAACATGATTCCTTTCTGATTTTTAAAAAATGCATAGGATTGAGGAGGAGAGGAAAAAGGAAGAAGTAATCCTATTTTTACATCTTATCCAAATATGAAGATAACATTGGAAAACCTGCATAAGGAATAAAGTATGAAATTACTTTCACAGTGTATGAGCATCATGGTCACTGCTGGTCTGTCATAATATGCTTTAAGGAATATTTTATTCCAGTACTTTAGATTTCAACTCCTGGCTGATAACAGCCTACAAAACATCAGCATGAATTAAACATAGAAGAATCACAAAAACTGAATGTAACAAGAGGAGGTTGATGCAGTTTGGCTTCTTTGATCTACAATTAAAATAAAACATGATAGAAAATCTTTCTGAGGCAAAAAGCAGCAGCTTTGTAGAGGAGTAAACAAAGATGCTGCAAATGTAATTATCTTAACTAAATAGAAATAAGAGAAAATGAATGGTTGAGCAATTTTACTTCTGCAACTGATTTTATTGATTTGTAGAAGGAACAAGCCAGCCAGCTCCAGAGTCAATGTATTAATCGTTCATTCATGTGGGGGTGCCCATTATGCTCTGGCACTTTGCTAGGTGCTGGGGATACAACAGGGAACAAGACCAATACATTCCCATCTTCATGAAACTTGCATCCTGGTAGAAGACAGATGATAGATGAGTAGATATATTTTTAAAAGAGGGTCCATGACATAAGTTTGGCAGAAGCACATAAAACAAATGATTATAACAATGTTCGCAGAAGCAAGAAGAAAACCCACAGTAGACATGAGTGGTCACTCTCTGATCACTAATTATTATATTTATATATATCTTCACTTGATGGAAGATGGTTTTTTTACAACAGCCAGCCATCCAGACCCTCACAGAGGCAAATTTTTTGATAATGCTGGTTATGGATGTAAAAGCAAAATGAAAGAATTATTGAGCTCATGCCTGTAAGCCCAGCAATTTGGGAGTCTGAAGCAGGTGGATCTCTTGAGCCCAGGAGTTTGAGACCAACCTGGCCAATAGGCGAAAGCCAGTCTTTACTAAAAGTACAAAAATTAGCCAGGCATGGTGGCACGCACCTGCAGTCCCAACTACTCAGGAGGCTGAGCACGAGAATCACCTGAGCCTGGGAAGTCGAGGCTGCAGTGAGCTGTGATGGTGCCATTGCACTACAGTGTAGGCAATGGGAGTGAGGCCCTGTCTCAAAAACAAACAAACAAACCAGAAAGAAAAATTGAGGTCGGCGCGGTGGCTCAGGCCTATAGGCCGCAGCGGGAGGCTCAGGTGGGAGAATTCTCTGAGCCTGGGAGGTCGAGACTGCAGTGAGCTGTACTCCAGTGCACTCCAGCCTGGTTGACAGAGCGAGACCCTGTCTCAAAAAAAAAAAAAGAAAGAAAGAAAGAAAAGAAAGAGAATAATTGTGTGCACCAAGCACTTAGGAAGTTGAGCCTCTCCAGAATCTATCGCTAAGGGTCAGAGTCAAACGATCTATTACAAGGATATATATATGTAGACATATTCAGAGAAGACAAGGAAGTACAATATATGCAACATAACCCCTCTGTCTCTGCTACAGGACATGGCTGAAAATGTGCCCCTAACACAGCAATCTTTGTTCCTTACTTGGCCAGTCGCTGCTCTCCTATACTCCGCTTCATCTCCCTGCAGAGGAGAGAGGAGCCAGAAGCAAGCACCAGCTTTCCCATCACATTCTTCCCTGGTCGACTCTCTGATTAGCATGGATTAAGAAAGCCTTCACTGCCTGCACGCATCGCATTCCCTCAGACTATAAACGTTTCTTCTAAAGACTGAAAGTCCCACCCGAAGTCCTTCTGTGGTGTTAGATGTTGAGAGCCTCAGTTCTTATTTAAATACATTCCCTGGGGCCACTTGAACTATTAAGAACACGGTGATTCTCAGCCCTAACTGCACCTTATAATCAATCACCTGAAAGGGTTTTTTAAAATTATTAGTATTAAGGCACCATCCCCACAGATTTTGATTTTGATTGGATAGGGTAAGGCTCAATGGGGAGAAGTTTGAAAAGCTACCCAGGTGTTTCTAATGTTGCAGCCAAGTTTAAAAACTGCTGCATTAAAGCATTGATGTGAATTAGTTTGTCCCTTAGATAACAAAGGCCTGCCTGAGAGAAAAGTACACATTTCACCAGAAACGGAAAGACACATAGGGAGTACGCAGAGTACAAACCCCTGGAGCAGGCACAAGAATGCAGAGCCTTGATGAACCACGGTGTTCCCGGACCAAACTGAGGATTGGGCTGCTCTTTCTCGTGGCCCAGTAAAGAGTTGCAGATGAACTGGGGAGAGAGAGAGTTTTTATTTCTGTAACCAGTTACAGGGAGAAGGCCTGGAAATTATTACCAGACCAACTCAAAATTAGAAAGTTTTCCAGAGCTTATATACTTATATACTCTGGAGGCTGGGTCTTAAGATAAAGAGGGCTTACTCTGGGGAGGAGCTGCCAACTTCAATTCCCAGAGGAGCTGGGCAAAACAGAAAAATTAAACAGTTTACCTTGGGACTGCGGCAAAGTAGAACCCATTCCCTATCCATAAAAGGCAACTGAGATCAGGTCAAGAAAATTGTTGCCAAGCAGAATGTAGGCCCGGTGAGGCTGAGTACTAGTGTTTCAAATTCCTAACAAATATAAATCTTTGAGATTCTGTTTAACAGCCGGGTGCGGTGGCTCATGCCTGTAACCCTAGCACTTTGGGAGGCAGATGCGGGCAGATCACCTGAGGTCAGGATTTCAAGACCAGCCTGGCTAACATGGTGAAACCCAGTTTCTACTAAAAATACAAAAACTTAGCCGGGCGTGGTGGCGGGCGCCTGTAATCCCAGCTACTCGGGAGGCTGAGGCAGGAGAACCGCTTGAATCTGGGAGGCATAGGTTGCAGTGAGCCGATATCGCGCCATCGCACTCCAGCTTGGGCAACTAGAGCGAAACTCCACCTCAAAATAAATAAATAAATAAATAAAAGATTCAGTAAGGAGAAATCAGAATTGCCAAAATTATAAGTTATTCTAAATTATTAACACTTTATTTACATTTTTAAATAATATGGAGAAATCACAATAAGGAGCATTGAATCATTTATATGATAGTACTAAACCTCTAAAAGTTCAGAGATTTCCTATAAAAATAAGGTAATAAATAAAAAGTAATAAATGCATGATATACCATTAATATGAACCAATATACTGTGATAAGATGATATATCTCAATAACATAAGAAAATAAATGTCAAATAAAATATTTAGAAATTAAATGATAATACCACCAATATTTAATATTTTAAAAGATATCAGACTTAAAATGAAATTTTTAAGCAGAAAAAGTATCAATTGCCGTTTCCAATAGCCTTGATGTTTGTTTGGTGACAAATATTCCAAAAAACTTTTTTTCATTTTGCATTAGTATTATTTGAATTAAGTGTTCATCTAAAGACATATTTTTGTTGTATGTTAACATACATGTTCCTTCAAATAATCTAATTTTATATACGCTTTAGTTTTGATTTTGACATTGAAATTGAGATTGCTTTTGCTAATACAAATTTTAGATCAGTTTGTGATTTCATGTCAGAGTATTCCACACAAATGTACATATCTTTCTCTTTGCATTTCTCTGTTACAGTTTTGTAAGGACAGTAAGTACTATTTTAGATATTGAATATTTAGACACTGGAAAACACCAGCAGATATTATTGGGTAGTATTCTATTAACATAAAATTCAGATCTTCTAGCAAAGTTAACAGCACTACTTTCAATCCTGTGTAAAAATTGCCAATTTAGGGACATGTTTTGCCACAAAACTTGTTATTTCTTGGATCGCCACTCATAGGATTTGTATGTAGTATACAATGTATGTAAACTTATTAATATTAATAACCTCTTCTATCTATAAGGATCACTGTGAGAAGCAGTCAGGCATACAAACATCTATTTATAATACCATGGCAACAGAGACAAGAAAGACTGAGTGATTATATCACAACCACTTCTCTCCTATGTGCTATTGTCCCAGTTTCCAGAAGTGTCCGACTTAACCTTTGACTGCACATGTCTGCTTTTCCTGTTCTTCCTTTTGATGTCAGTGGATTCCTTCAAACTAGTAACAACTCTATGTTGATTGATAAAGGTTAATTCTTTCAAGAGAACTATAATACCTTTTTCCATGTTTCTGATTTCTCAGCTGAAATTTTTTCTGGGACCTGGAATTTGAAAAAAAAAAAATATATATATATATATATATATATATATATATACACACGTATATATATACACACGTATATATATACACACGTATATATATATACGTATATATATATATACGTATATACACACACACACACACATATATACACACATATATATATACACACACATATACACACCATCCCCAAGAGTTACAAGAAAGGATTTCTGCATGGAAAATACTAAGGCTGACCAATGTAGTAAATACAGACAATCAAGAGAATACAAATGTTCAAGGTTTACCAACTGTGGGCACTGTGTCCTAGTAAAGCATTTACTTCAGGTCCACATGTATGAGCCAAAATATAGGTGTATATCACCATGCCTAGGTCTGTGACTATAAGGCCATGAGCTTCACACCATGCTAAGAGAATCTTCAAGATAATCAAGATTCCAAAGAGATAACTCAAGGCCATGCGGGGAAACAAAGAAAAGGTAGAAAAAACTTTGATCCCAAGGATTGATACTTATATCTATTGTCTTCAATAGCATAAGATCACTGCTTTGAAATGTTAAAGTAAACTAAATATTCCTGAGAAGGACTCTGTACTTCCATATTTGAGTCCTTTTGGACAAACTAACCTAACTTAGTAGGCAGACAAGATTGGAAACCTATCTTAGGAGTATGCACCTGTAACAATAGCTGAGTCTTGGCCAATCCCAGCAGCCGTACTTCAACGACTCATACACTGCTGAGTGTTCAAACTGTGTTCAAATAAGGCAAATGCCAACCTGTAACCAATCCAGCTGTTTCTGTACCGCATTTCCAATTTCTGTGTGTCACTTTCCCTTTTTTTTGCCTATGAATTTGCTCTGACCATGAGGCATCCCTGGAGTCTCTCTGAATCTGCTGTGAATCTGGAGGCTGCCTGATTTGCAAATTGTTTTTATTTTTTCCCTTGCTCAATTAAACTGTGTTGAATTTAATTTGTCTGAAGTTTTCTTTTAACAGAGGGGGGGAAATATTTGAAAATATGAAACAATTTATATAGGAAACACTCAGCACAGTACCAGGAACATAGTAGACTCTTCAGGTTTGTTTAAATAAAATTCTTCCAAAAGCAATATCCTGGCCTTATCTTCTCACCCTGAAAATTCATTTAGAGGGTCATCGATTTTCATTAGATGTTAAACTTCCTAGGTTGGGTCTATCCCCCATCCTTATCCTGCATGTTACACAATACCACATTGAATTTCTCCCTTGTGAAATCCAGTTCCGTTGCTAATAAAATATTGTGAGTGGTCGGCTTGCTTTCATTCACTTCTGACCATTTTCCAGGACCCAATTAAGGCGGCCACAGAGTCTGAAGGGATAGGGAGAGGAAGGAGAGATTCTGCCAATTTACCTCTATTACCCCGATGCCTAATTGTGCCATTAAAATTTGGCAAATGTCCCAGAATCCAGTAGTCAATAATTCACAGCCAAGAAACATGAAACCCAAGGCAACCCCACAAAGGGACTTTCTTTCTACAGCTTTCCTTCTTAGAGAAAGAGTTTAATTCACACAGAGCCAGCTGCACGGACTAGAGTTTTATTATGGCTCAAATCAGTCCCCCAAAAACCCCAACGATTGGGGTTTTTAAGGATAATTTGGTGGGTAGGGGGTTGCAAAGTAGGGAGTGCTGATTGGTCGGGTCAGAGATGAAATCATAGGAAGTTGAAGCTGTCCTCTTATGCTGAGTAAATTCCTGGGTTGGGGCCACAAGACCAAATGAGCCAGTTTATCAGCCTGGGTGATGCCAGCTGATCCACTGAGTACAGGGTCCGCAAAATATCTCAAGAACTGATCTTAGGTTTTACAATAGTGATGTTAACCCCAGGAGCAATTAGGGGAGCTTCAGAATCTTGCAGCCTCCAGCTGCCTGACTCTTAAACCATAATTTCTAATCTTGTGGCTAATTTGTTAGTCCTACAAAGGCAGTCTAGTCCCCAGGCAGGAAAGAGTTTGTTTTTGGAGAGGGCTGTTATCACCTTTGTTTCAAAGTTAAGCTATAAACTAAGTTCCTCACAAAGTTAGTTTAGCCTATGCCCAGGAATTACCAAGGATAGCTTGGGGGTTAGAATAAGATGGAGTCAGTTAGGTCAAACCTCTTTCGCTATCATTATCCTCTGTCATAATTTTCAAAGGTGGTTTTTATCTTATTCATTTCCATTTTCTGTTTTCCTCCCGTGTCTTCTCCTTTTCTTCTCTTCTCTATCTGCTTCTCTACCTAGTTTTTTTCCCCAAAAAGTTGGCATACATGAAAAAGAATGAAGTCATGTCCTTTGCAGCAACATGGATGCAACTGGTGGCCATTATCCTAAGCAAATTAGCACAGGAACAGAAAACCAAATACTGCATGTTCTCACTTATAAGTGCAAGCTAAACATTGGGTAGATAAGGACATAAAGATGGGAAAAATAGACACTGGGAGCTACTTAGAGAAAGGAGAGAGGGAGGAAGGAAAGGTCTTAAAAATTACCTGTCCTGTCCGGTACAATGTTTACTACCTGGGTGATGGGATTATTCACACCCCAAACCTCAGTGTTTTATAGATATAGATATAGATATAGATATAGATATAGATATAGATATAGATATAGATATAGATATAGATATACACATATAGATATGATCAATGTTTGAGGTGGTGAATAGGCTAATTGCCCTGATCTGATTATTATACATTATATGTATCAAAACATCACTATGTACCCCATGAATATGTACAAGTATTATTTGTTGATTTTTAAAAAGTACATTTTTTAAAAAAGCAGAGACAATTAAAAAAGCATCAACATTGAAGTCAGATGAAAGAAAATAAATGTTGAAAAGTGTATGTGTATATATATATATATATATATAGAGAGAGAGAGAGAGAGAGAGAGAGGAACTTAGGGTTAGGGGATGGTAGAGTTGTTTTTTGTTTTGTTTTGTTTTGTTTTGTTTTGTTTTTTGTTCTTTTTAAAGATGGTGTCTTGCTCTGTCGCCAAGGCTGGAGTGCAGTGCCACGATCTCAGCTCACCACAACCTCCTCCTCCCAGGTTCAAGTGATTCTCCTGTCTCAGCCTCCTGAGAAGCTGGGATTACAGGCGCCTGCCACCACGCCTGGCTAATTTTTGTATTTTTAGTAAAGACAGGGTTTCACCGTGTTGGTCAGGCTTGTCTCAAACTCCTGACCTCAGGTGATCCACCCTCCTCGGCCTCCCAAAGTGCTGGAATTACAGGTGTAAGCCACCGCGTCCGGCCGAGTTTAATCTTTCTTTATGTAAATTCCCTCCATAATTGGTTTTGTCTAATTTTAACTTACATGATATTCTAAAATGTAGTTTATGATATGATTATTTCTGCACTTCTATAATTCTTGAACAGTCATTAATAGTGAAATATTTGAACAGTTCATGAATTCAGTACAACATTTAAATAATTCTGTTTAGTTTTCAATGCTTCTTTTATAATTTTCCTACTGATGCATTATTTCTCAAAGATATGCAGAGGTCAGAGAGTATTTAAATTGGCAGGTGTGATGTTTTATGACTTCCTTAAAGCAGACCAGGAAAATCCCTCGGACACCTGGGCTCCTTGAACTCATGAATATAAAGAAAATATTTACAAAGACAAAATACTTCCAAGAGACCATGCGCTCATTTCTTCTCTGAGGGAGTCTAACACTACCAGCAGCATGAAATCCATATTCTATCAACCTGCACTCAAGAATAAAGTTTCCTAAAATGCTGATTTGTTAAATCATACCAACTAGATGCTCTTTAAGGTTCATTGGCTAAGCAAGTAGAGCCTATGTTTTTATAGCGTTCAATACCAACAGAAATAGGCGAGGAACTGACTTAGATTCTCATGGTTCCACTAGACACTTACAGGAGGCATTTGAAAGCAGAGACTCTAATGAAAACTAGTCAAAAGACCCTCAATTGAAACAAATTTCACCAAGCAAGATTTGTAGTTCAAGATATGTCTAGCAATGCAATACCATCTCCAGTGGAAGAGTTTATTGACCAGGTCTATGAAAATTACTTTGAATTTGTCCCCTTCTGGTCAAGAACTCTCCACATGTGAGATGAGAGGGGGCTGAAATTGTGGCCTCATCTGTCCCTGGAGCAGAGTGTGCCTAAAGGCTCGACTCCAGGAGAAATGGCCTCCTGACCTGAGTCTCATTAGCACTATGCTCAGCCAGCTGAGCTCCCTTCATTGTGAGATGCAGCCAGGACCACTGTTGTTTCTGAACAGCACCAGGAAGGAAAGCTACTGCAAAGTAGATTAGTGAGATTAAATCTTATCGGTGTGATTAAATCTGAGGCTAAGGTGATAAGAAATATATCACTCTCCTCTACATAATTATCTGTTTTATTAACACCAAGTTACAGTATTTTATCAATGTTTCCTAGTGCCATGTGGCTCTGAGTACACGTGTGCCATGAGTACACGTGTGCCATGAGTACACGTGGCTCAGTCTACTATTCCCCAAGTTGCCTTTGAGCCACCTGGCTATGCAGTGTGGCTGTGACAGCAATTGGATCCACAGAGAGGAGTTCAGGCTGCATTTCAGAAGAAATATCAATGTTTGAGGTGGTGAATAGGCTAATTACCCTGATCTGATTACTATACATTATATGTATCAAAACATCACTATATACCCCATAAATATGTACAAGTATTATTTGTTGATTTTTAAAAAGTAAAATTTTTTATAAAGCATAGACAAATGAAAAAAGCATCAACATTGAAGTCAGGTCAAAGAAAATAAATGTTGAAAAGCGGAAAGCATGTACACATTAAACCATTCCATAGTTGTTTGTCCTTGAATAATGTGTTTAACTTCTCTGAGCTTTATTCTACCATTAAAGAATGAAGATAATAATACATATTTTATAATATTATGAGAATTAAATGGAAATAATGTTATAAAAAGCACATGTCTATTATCTGTCACAAAATATATTTAATAAATGGTAATTATTATTTTTATTATCATCAGCAACATAATCTGCTATGTCTTGTGGGCTTTCCCTCTTCTTCCCCATACTGTGCTTTCTCTGCCTCCCATCATACTGTCTCCTCCAGAGATGATGATGATGGATAGTGATGCTGACGATGGAGAAGGAAGAAAGAAGGGGAGTGATTCACAATTAATTCAATGTTCCTGATATGCCACATCCTGTGCTACATGCTTAACACATGGATTAGTCTTTTCTTACCCTGAGAATAAAGACATACCTGAGATTGGAAATTTATACAGGAAAGAGGTTTAATGGACTCAATTCCACGTGGCTGGGGAGGTCTCATAATCATGGCGGAAGGCAAAGGAGGAGCAAGTCACATCTTACATGGGTGGCATCAGGCAAAGAGAGAGAGCCAAAAGAAAGGAATTTCCCTTTATAAAACCATAAGATCTCATGAGACTTATTCACTACCATGAGAACAGTATGGGGGAAACTGACCCTATAATTCAATTATCTCCCACTGGGTCCCTCCCACAACATGTGGGAATTATGAGAGCTACAATTCGAGATGAGATTTGGGTGGGGACACAGCTAAACCATATCAGATAACATATATTATCTGATTTAATTCTCACAACAGATGCTACTAAGTAGGTACTACAGATGAGAAATGAAGATTTGGTGACCTGAATTAATTGGACTAAAGTTCACACAGCAAATAAGTTGCACTGATAGAATTTGAAGCCAGTGTCTACGGTGTTAAGTACTACAAAACCTGCCTATGCATGCCTGTAGTCCTAGCTACTTGGGAGGCTGAGGCAGGAGGACCACTTGAGCCCAAGAATTTGAGGCTACAGTGAGCTTTGCCTATGATTGTGCCACTGCACTCCAGCCTGGGCAACAGACAAGACCCTGTCTCTTTCTTTCTTTCTTTTTTTTTTTTTTACATCTTGCCTATCAAAGACAAACAATCAAAGACAAACCCACCAGCAGTGGCTTACCTCACCTTATATTTAGAGTGAAGGACATCAAAGTATTTTACCCCAAAATATATTTCTTTGACATATTTTGAAATGGATGCCACAGGGCCACCAGACACAAGTGGCCTTGCAAAGTTATCTGTTGTGGGGGAAATTTGCCTCTGAAGAAAAACTCCTTTGGTTCAGCCAGCCCTTCCCTTTCTAGGTCTTTCTTAGATCTAAGAGAGAGTAACTGATTGTTTGACACCTTTAAAGTTCTGTAAAGAAACATTTAGCACCTATTCTTTTTGAGGGCTGCTACCTATGAGTCTTCATCTACATAATAAGGTCACCTTTGCTAGCCAGGCTTCTTCCTTTCTCCCTCTCATAACCTGTCTTGACACTAACATTTGATTCGCCAACCTAACCTGGTTTTGACCATGCTCTGAGCCTGCATTATTTCTATAACCTCAAAGTGGTGTAGAAGCTTGGTGGTGGTGGGGTCTTCATCATGAAGCTCTCATTTATACACATTCAATAAATTTGTGCCCCTTTTCTCCCATCAATTTGCCTCATGTCAGTGATTTCTCAGCAAACCTTCAGAGGGCCAAGGGATAGAGATGCTCATTAAGTAAAATATTGTGGAGAGCTATTGAATGGCAGTGCAAGTGCCTGACTTTTTCCATGATTTCCTAAATTTGCAGTGATGGCTGTGCTCAGAATCTGTGGTGTGCTCTGAGGTTTAATTAGGGAAAGTTCGTGGCTCCCTTATGTTCCATTTAGCTACTTCTTACATCATCCCAAAGACTAAATATATATTGGTCAAGTTACTGGGCTACAGTTCCAGGAGGGAGAGCTTCCAAAGGGGTTGAAGTTCAAATATACATGATTATAGTCATCCTTTACATGTATTTTATTCCTAGAAGCTAAAAAGGACAGAGGTGGGATTGGCTCAAAGAAGGCCTTAAAAATGACTTTGCAAAAACAAGGACAGTGAGAGAAATTTGACATGGCTGACTCCATCTTGCTTCTAACCTCACAAGCTGTCTTTGCTCATTCCTGGGTGTAGGACAAGCTAACTATGGGGGATATTTAATTTATAGTTTAACTTTGAAACAAAGATAATTACAGTCCTTTTCTGAAACTAACCTCCTCCTTGCTTAGGAACAGAAATCACCTTTGTAAAACTAACAAATTAGCCACAGTGTTAGAGTTATGGCTTGAGAGTCATGCAGCCAAAGATCACAAGATTTGTAACCTTCCCAGTTGCTCCTATATATAACATAACTATTGTAAAATTGAAGACTGGTGATTGAAGTATCTTTTAGACGTTGTATTTTGCTTTCTTAAAATAAAAAGTAGAGATGGGGACTTGCTATGTTGCCCAGGTTGGTCTTGAACTCCTGGGCTCAAATGATCCTCCCATCTTGACCTCCCAAAGTGCTGGGATTACAGGCATGAGCCATTGCACCCAGCTAGACTTTGTATTTTGATGAATCAGCTGCCACATCCTGGACCAGCAACCCACAACAACAAACTAACTCAACTGATCTTGTTACCCCCACCCAGGAAATGACTCAGTGCAAGAAACAGCCTCAACCCCCTAGGATTTCATCCCTGACCCAGCCAATCTGCATTCCTCATTCCCTAGCCCCCTGCCCACTAAACTATCCCTGAAAAATCCTAGCCTCCAAATTCTCAGGGAGGCAGATTTTTGAAATACCTCCCATCCTTCAGCTTGGCTGGCCTGCAATTATTAAACTCTTTCTTTTCTGCAATAGCTGCTGTTCTCAGTGCATTGGCTTTTCTGGGCAGTGGCCAAGAAGAACCCATTGGTATAACCGTCTGATTATATTTCCTTTTTATTTTGGACTGAGAGAAAGCAAGGGTGGCCTCAAGCACCTGGTTTTGAACAATGAACAGTATTGTACACAAAAGAAAATTCAAGGGGAAAAAGCAACAATGAAGCCTGAACTGGATAGATAGAAGAAGAAGTAAATTAGTAGGAATATGTTAAGGGAATGAGAGGAAGATAATCCTCCTCTATAAAATTCTCACAGATCTAAGGAATTTCAGATGAAAAGGTACTGACGTGTAAGAATAGTGCAAAGCCAAGAAAGCCTACATGGTGCTAGGGCAAAAAAAAAAAATGCAGAAGTCATGAATTTTTCTTAGGGAAATGCCTGTTATAAATGTAGAGTACTCTGCTACAAAAAAGAGTGAGCCTTGTATCCCTAGAAAGAACCCACACTGCTATGAATTAAATTATATCCATTCCCCCCAATTGAAGCTCTAACCCCCAATGTCACTGTATTTGGAGGTAGAATTCACAAGAAAGTTATTAAGGTTAAATGAGGTCATAGGAGTAGGGCCCCAATCTAATAGGACTGGTGTCCTTATTAAAAGAGGAAGAGACACCATAGTTTCCTTCTCTCTCCCTTTCTCTCTTTCTCTCTCTCTCTCCCTCTCTCTCGCTTGCTCTCTCTCTCTCTTTCTGTCCCCATCTTTCCCTATGTGCACATAGGGGAAAGGTCATGTAAGGACGTAGCAAGAGAGTGGCTGTCAGCAAGCCAGGCATAGAGCCTTTACAAGAAACCGAATCTGCCAGCACCTTCATCTGGGACTTCTAGCCTCCAGAACAACAAGAAAATAAACTCTTTTGTTTAAGCTATTCAGCCTGTGGTCTACTTATGGCAATCTGAACTGACTAATACATACACCAACTCAGCAATGAAGCCCAAAGATGTAGAACGTCAAAGAGAGATAGAAAAAAAAAGGCTTAGAGGTTTAATACAACAAAATGGACAACAAAGGAAAGAAAGACCTCAAGAAGACCTGAAGATGGGCATTGCCCCTATAGCAGGTTCTACATTTTGCAGAAAGACAGGAGTTTTAGATGCCACCCTTGGATAAAAGACAATTTGAACAGTGGTGGATTTCCTCCAGGGTACAAGAGCTACTGTGTCACAATTAACCTTTCAATGGGAGATTCCTCCTTACTGAGTTGTAAGTTCACAGGTGCTTCATTCTGTAAAACTGGCATAGATTGATTACTACCTGGCAAAGCTGGAACCAAGAAATCTTTGTCTTTCACTCTCTTTTGTTTATTCTATCCATCAACTTCTCCCAGATAAATCTCTGTTATGGTCTATGGTCCTTATCAGCAATGTAGATCTAGAATGCGATACATGTTAAGTTCCAGCTAATACTTTCTCCTGGAAAATGTGATTTGATGTGGAAACTGCTGCTCCAATTGACAGTTGCTGAAACAGGAATATTTGATGTCACAATTGTGTCTGCTCTTTGTGTTGTTGGAACTTTAGTACCATAGAAGACATGTGACAGCTGGAATCAAGACAATTCAAATTTTGAGATAGCTGACGTTGCTAAAGGAATCACTGCAGTTCCAGGGAAAGATAGCTGCTGTAGAAGAAGCGCAGATTCCATATAAGCCATCACTGACAGAGAATATGAGTTAACCAAGAAAGAAAATTGGGAAAAATAAATGGTTTTATACATATTTGGGGACTTTAGTCTTTGTATGGCAACAAGAAAAAAAGACATTCAATTTATTGTGACTTTAATTTCTCTGATGAAACTAAGGATTGACTTACTAAGGAAATTCATATTGCTCACTTTAGGTTTATTGTGTTCTATCATTATAAAGTAGATGGACCTGGGTTGAAATGCTAGATCCATCACTTGTTGGATCTGCTGATAAATTACTTAATGCCTCTGAGCTGTCTCTCACCTATAATATGAGATATATAATGATACTAACCATCTCAGAGTGGTTAGTATAAGAAAATCAAGTGAAATAATGCCTGAAAAATATCTTGCACATAATAATTGCTCAATAAATATTAGATATTATTATTGCTGTTATTTTTGTCTGGACTTTACTCTGGTGCAAGCAGTAAAACACTATGTGGTGAGCTGGAGGGGTAGGGTAAAAGGAGGAGGAGGAATATCTGACAGTAAATGACTTCTTACTATATGCTGTAAGTATTAAGTGCTATCACATCCATTATTCTATTTTTGTTCATTACATATTTATGTATTCATTTCTTTATTATTAACTACAACCTAATGAAGTAGCTACAGTTACTTTACAGATGGTAAAAGTAATTTTTAAAAGTTCAGAAAGACTAAGCATTTTACTAAGGTCAACACAGGTAGTAATTAGTGACTCTAAGACACAAAGCCCAGATGATTTGATTCTAGGGTCTTTAGTCTCAATGAGGATCACATAAAACATATTTCAACAACATTCATGTCAAATATAGAAAGAGGATGGCCTATCAGGTAGTGTACAGAGTGGTCTTGGGGTTAATCTCAAAAACATATTATCATCAGAGGCATTCATGAAAGCCTTGGGAGACTGAACTGCTCCTCTCACGATCATGGGTGAAGATGCAGAGACTGAACCAGTAGATCTATAAAAGTGGGATCAGGACTGATACTTTCCTGACTTGCTCACCTCATTCTACTCCAAAAGACAAGGAGTTTGTCTCTGTATTGATCCCTGCTATTGAATGTGCATTTTTCAAGGGATTCAAACATCATATGCATAAATATATATTCTTTCTTTGTCTTCTTTTGATTCCTTGAAGCTGAAGGAAGACAAGAACAGGGCTTGCTTTTTCCTGGGGAAAAACCTGTCCATCTCCATTTTACTTTGGTTGCTTTCTCTTTGAAGACCTACTTTACTCAACTGGTGAGGAAAGGTGAGCCTGGAGATGACTCTTTCTTGAGAGTTACTAGAGCTTCTTGCTCTTTTATTCATCATTTCTGGGGTGCCTCTGGCCCTTGCCATTACACAAGAAAAATCTGAGACTCAGGGATACACTTAATGGGAGGGAAATAGAAAAGATCAGTGATTGTTATTATCCTTGACTACGTATTTGAATTCACCTTGCTGGATTTTTTAAATTCTGTAGGCCAAGGCACATGTTATACCAATTTAGCCAGTATTTCTGGTGGCAGAGGAGAGGAGAACCCACGAAACAGTTTTTTTAAAAAATCCCAGATCATTCCAATGGGTAACTAGTGAAATAAACCACACAATCCATTTTAGTTCTAGACCTCAGAACTGCCCTTAGGATGAGCAATTATAATTTCCATTTGGCTCAGTGTAGACCATTAAAGGCCACAGCCAGAGCAGAATAAAGAATGTGCCTTGGTTCCATCATTTTATTCCATGAAAATATTAATATATTCCTAGTGGGGACTTTGCATGGTTAAATTGGAATAATAGTCCAAGGTCTTGGGTCAAATACTCTTTGGGTCAAATGTAATTCATATCTTCTTACCCCATAATATTTCTCAAAAATTGCAGAGCCATCATGTCTCTCTAATTACAACAGTGCTTTTTCCTATTCTCATTTCCCTCAAGTCTTCAAGCAACACTTGAACTAAAAATTAAGGCCTATCTAATTATAACATGCCTCCTAAAATACAAGAATTGAGTTTTTTGTTTTTTTTTTTTTTTTTTTTTGAGACGGAGTCTCGCTCTGTCGCCCAGGCTGGAGTGCAGTGGCGGGATCTCGGCTCACTGCAAGCTCCGCCTCCCGGGTTCACGCCATTCTCCTGCCTCAGCCTCCCAAGTAGCTGGGACTACAGGCGCCCGCCACTACGCCCGGCTAATTTTTTGTATTTTTAGTAGAGACGGGGTTTCACCGTTTTAGCCGGGATGGTCTCGATCTCCTGACCTCGTGATCCGCCCGCCTCGGCCTCCCAAAGTGCTGGGATTACAGGCGTGAGCCACCGCGCCCGGCCAAGAATTGAGTTTTTAATGTATCACAAAAACATTTCCAGAAGGAGGGAAAATGTATCTGACAGAAACACAAAAGGTCAGCCAAAACTTCTATTTAAGTGCATCATGAAACAAAAATTCTGGTTCTAAGTGTCCTATAGCTATGAAAAAAATCACATATTATCTTTGCCAAAGAAGAAATGTAAAAGAGTAGTAATACATAATAAAACTATGCAGAGATGAGGCCGGGCGTGGTGGCTCACGCCTGTAATCCCAGCACTTTGGGAGGCCGAGGTGGGCAGATCACGAGGTCAGGAGATCAAGACCATCCTGGCTCACAAGGTGAAACCCGTCTCTACTAAAAATACAAAAAAAATTAGCCGGGTGTAGTGGCGGGCGCCTGTAGTCCCAGCTACTCGGGCGGCTGAGTCAGGAGAATGGCATGAACCCGGGGGGCGGAGCTTGCAGTGAGCAGAGATCGCGCCACTGCACTCCAGCCTGGGCGACAGAGACTCAAAAAAAAAAAAAAAAAAAAAAAGCTATGCAGAGACAAAGAGGTTAAACAGAAGTATCAAAATAAAACAACCGTAGTCACAGTGGCTCTCAGGTGAGCTCACACATTACAATTGCCGGGTGAGCATCTTAAAAACCAATTGAACCAGAATCTTTAGACGTGATGCCCATGCATTGTTTGTTCTGTTTTGTTTTTCTTTTGCTCCCTGGGTGAATTCCAATGGTCAGCCAAGACTGAGAAACGGTATGCTAAGAAAGAGTTTCAGGACCTTGGACAGCTGTATCCTGCCAGGCAGTAGGAAGGGAAAAATAAAAAATTGAGACAATGTTTGTAAATAATTAATTTTTACTAAAGACACAAACATGTGGAAGGAATCAGAAAGGATAAATCACAAACCATCAAAGAAAACTGCAATTCTTGTGTAAAATAGTGTTCTTGAACCAAAATGACTTTACAGGGTCCAGGTAGAAGTAGACAAGGTTTGTTGCACAATAGTGGTTTACATTTATTCTTTTAACAAAGACACCCTCTGGATTTAGACTACTCTGCAGTTCCACACACACACACAAAAAAATGTTCTTTGAGTTTTCTAGAAAAGGCATGACCTTCTAGGTCTAGATTTTACTCTTCCACTTTTGATAGAAAGATACTTATGACATAATTGCATTTTCCTTTTTATTCTGCTATAAGAAAAGCAAAATTATAATAAATGGAAACTTCATAAGACAGATGACAACATGAAGGCTAAATAAAGCACATCTGTGGAACAATTTTGGCACATATAATATCAACCTGCAACTGATACAATTAACAGAAAAAATATACAAGATATGAAACTTTCTGTCTGGCTTACTTCAAAACTAAGCTCAAATTAATTCTCAGGCCATAATGTGCTATGATGTATGGGATATTTAAGGGAGAGAGAACTCTTCACTATTTTTCATCAGGCTTCCTAGTTCCCAGCTAAATTATATTCACAAATTTCCGTTTTGCAAAGCACCTGTTGACCTGATCACTATAATTCATGTAAGGCAAAGAACGATTGCAATTACCTGGATAATTCATGAAGAGCAGGGCATTCACATAGCATTTAGGACACTTCATTGTCATTTTCATTACAATGTAGGCAAATTATTTATTGAAAAACCAGATAAAGCAGTTCACATTTATCAGACAAAACCACAGAAGCACTGTGAAAATGCTTCAACCTTTTCTGTCAAATGTGGTATTTCAGTCAGTTAATCATTGCAAGCACCTTTCATTAAGCAAAGGAGTCTGACTGTGAAGGACTAAAGCCAAGCAAAATCAATCAATTATGGGAAAACAGAAAATGCCTACATTTATCTAGTTTATTTATAATTGATTAGTCACTGAACATCAAAAACAAGAGAGAAATTTTTTTCTATTAATAAAGTAAACGATTTTCATATTTTAAAAAAATAGGGATGCCTTTTAGGCATCTGTTTCCTCTTATATATGGTTGTTGACTTGATTATTTTAAACTTCTAGCTTTAGAGTTCAGCCTGCTACAGTCAGAAGCCAGTTTTTCAAACCATCCCACTGCCACTTCTGCACCATCCAGTGAGCTTTGTACCATGCTCTTTCCAAAGAGAATGGTGAGTGCTGGACTTTGGTTGAGTGCTGTGACTTTGGTGAGTGCTTTCAGAAAGGCAAATAAGGCATAATGTCAGAAATATTTACAGTTGCCAGCAATTCCATCTCTGAGCTAAAGTTATAAATACTTGACTAAATTCCAAAGGAATATTTATGAGGTTTTTCCCTGGAGAAAAAATTGCAATCTCTAAAAATGTGGTTAAAAAGAAATCTAGTTTGGAAAATGTGTTTCTTTTTGGTTTCACAGAACTTTGGAATCTGTGGTACAAGAAGCCCTAGGGCTCATCTCTTCTGACCCTTACCCCTGCCTCGGTGCCACATACAAAACTTAGAGCCTTGGGCTACTCTTAGTTGCTTTGGCTAAAGGCCTTGTTGGTAGGTCCTGCTTCTGGGTATTGTGGCTAAACCCTGTACATTAATTATGAACTAGAACAAGATCACTGTAAATTCTAGACGACTAAACAAATTGGTTTCCAAAGCACATATTTTTGCAATTTATTAACCATATGGGCAATCAGAGATACCAAATGTCATTAGTGCATATTTCATTATATATCCTGATTTCTATATTTGCTTTCCTAGAGTATAACATAGTATGTATTACTAAAGAACATAATGAAGAAAGGACCTAGTGATTTATAATAAAAAACTGATAGAATAGATAGCTAATAGTAATTAGGAAGTTTTCCCCCAAGTGGAAATTTTGCTCTATTTAGTTATTTTATTTTGTTTTTTTATTGAGGTGAAATTCACTTAACACAAAATTACCCACTTTAAAGTGAACAAAATAGTGTTATCTTTCTTGATATTTTAAAGCCTAGACTGGCTAACCATGCCATACCAGTGCTAAAACTGAAAGCTGCAATCAGTTAAAATGTTTTGTATTTTATGTTATGTTTATGCCAAATAAAAAGTTCAACTGATTTTTTTTTCCATTTAACTGACTATATTAGATACAGTTGACTCAAATTGACTGACTATTCAGGATATGCTTATATAACACTAAACTAACAGATCGACCAGAGGAAAAACAACAGTCAAGTCAATTGTGTTCTCATACATTTAGCTAATGAACATTTTAGTCTACCATTGTGCTGTCTTAGAGATATAAGTCAGCAGTCATTCCATTGAACCCTAAGACCTTCACAAAGAGTACTGTGCACTTGCTCACAGGACTTGACCTTATTATCTCCATCGTCACTCGGAGTTTGCAACATGGCTTTGACAACACTGTGTTCAGCTTTTCTGCTTCTGCCCAGGGAAGAATTATACCATCATATTTGACTCCTCCATATTAAGCATGAGCCTAGGCAGTGAGTGGCAAAATTGATAACATTTATATAAAGTCTGTTCTGTGGAATCTCCAAATTTGCTAATCAGAATCTTTCTCCTTCTTTGTTATAGTCTGGATGACCATTAAATTTCTGTATCTCTGCATGCTCAGGCCTGGATGCAAGCTCCTAAACCTTTCTCAACTCCAATTAACCTAGTGCTTTATGCCCAGTACCTTCTTGATTGCTTTTGATAATATAATAAACAATTCAGTACTACAAAGTCAAAGGCTGTTAACAAATGACACTTCACATTACTGTTGCACTTCAGCCTCAGAGACACACAGGGGGAACTAGTGAGAGGATTCTCAGACATCTTTCTAGGTTTGGGGCACCTACTTCCCTTCTGTGCTCTTGTAATAATTGTGGGCTGTTACCCTGATGAGGCAGATCTTGAGAATGTGTTTATTTTAAGCTTAAGAAATTACAAATGTTATTCCAAAGGAGGAACTTTCACTCCAGAATCACCTGTGCAGCTTTTCAAATGAAAAACACCCATGCCTGTGACCCACCTCCAGGCACCTGTGGATTTTGAAAGCACCCAGGTGAGTTTTAGCCACAGCTAGGGTTGATTTCTTCTTGAAAAGTTCTAGTCATTAGATGATTACTGAGGACCAACCTAAATCTTAAGTTCAATGATGTGCAATTAAGCATTTATCTTGCCACAATCATGAGAGAAAATTACATCTCACAGTCTGCTCTGTTAGCCTTTTCTAGGACCCCATGAATCTTGGGCAAAGATTTTTAGTACCAAATGTGATATCTGAATTTTAAATCCAGATTTCATTTTCCTCCTAATATTCACCATTGACGAATGAGAGGTTGAGATCTTAGTGACTCCACTCCATTACTGAAATGAATTGAAACGCTTCAAAAAAGCATCCCCTACTAAGCCATCAATAATGTAAAAACATGTTCCCTGTGGATTGCAAAATAGATGTCTATTTCGATGGGAACATCCTGTGTGGCTCTTGTGTGGGGGGGTAGACTCATTTAATTAAGAGAGCTCCTCATCTCTGTCAGAGCAAAGTCATTCCAAACTCGCTCAACAAATCTTAACAAGAGCACGTCTGCCACCCAGCGTTCAAAGCCAGCATAAAATTCTGTCAGCATTCAAAGAGAAGCAGCTCCTCTATTTCAATTTTACTTTCCATAGCTAAAGTCAATTCAGGAGAGTAGGGGTAGGCTTGGCAGTAATACAAAGAGGTATTATGTTGATGCAAAACCTATAGAAATGCAAACATTTGCACTCATTACTTACTCACTTACTGGATACTATGAAAATCAATCCAAAACATCGTGATTCATGTGCCTGATGCTCATTCTCATTAAATTGGCTCCACAAAATTGGCAACCAGAAGTACGTAGGCTTACAGAGCCCACGCTTGGGGCAAGCAGCTATATGTGGTGACTCCATGCATGTTTATAAACTTGAAAAATGTTGCTCTTCATTGGCTGATGGTAATTTACATTTCAAAGAGGATAATAGTGAGGACTGCCATATTTTGGTGCTGAAATTCACATTTCACAGAATACAATTTACGTCAGAATGTTATGTCACTACAAAACGCCTCAGGCTCACAGCTCACTGAACTAAATAACTCTGTCTCCCCAGGTGATGATGATCAAGACTTAATCGCTCATCTAGTTTTTCTCAGCTGGAAATTAAACCTGAATTTACTTACAAGGAGTTGTTGAGGAATAGCTGGGACAGGCAAGAGTAAAAGGTCTTGTGGAAGCAATGATGCGGATGTATCTTTGCAATATAATGTCCTTTCCTCCAGCCAAAGTAAGAACCATGTTATAGCGAAAAAGTCTACGGATGGATCACCAGGTAAAGGATTCAGAGACAGGAGCCTATGGGGATAACTAGCACATTCTTCCTCATGGTCTCACCTCCAAAATGCAGTATACCCTCTTTGCAGTCTCCAAGGTTAAACATAAAGTATCTATGACCCATTGGGAGCAAACAAAAAATGGCCACCATGGGAATTTATCCAGCCACCACTGTGAAAGTGGTGTAAACCTGACCCTTCCACTAGTTGCATACTTGGCCACAGAGGGAACTAGCAGGCCAGCTCCTGTGCTTATCTACATCATTACTCCCATTTAGAGATAGCACTAGCTGTCTCACACCAAAGTTGTTGCTCTTCCCAGTACCCTGCACAATCAGACTGGAGGGGTCTAGAGGTCTTCCAGACATGTGGGGAATTCCAGCTCTCTGTTCATCCTTGGCACCGCAAGCAACCTTGGCTGTAAGCACTAGAAAAAAAAGACTAAAAACTCCAAAGCAATGTGCTTCAAACATTAGACTTATTTGTTGATATAATATGGTACCAGCACTTTCCTGATCTAAATCCATATGAACAAGAAGTCACCTAAGATTCTTTGTCTCAGGGCAGGATTTTAACAATAGCCTCTTAAGTAATATCCTTCAGGCCATTAGTGCTTCCTCCAAATCCATTATGTTCTAAATACACTTTTCTACATACCTACTTTACCATGATACATTCATGCTTTTGCATTTCTCTGGTCGTCTAGAATAAAATCCATACTGCCTACTGAGGTATTTGAGGCTTTTCTCAATCTCACCTCCATCAAGACATTCAGGCTTTTCTGATGCTCCATTTCATGAATCTTCCTTTCTAATCAGTCACATATGTCTACTTACTAGAAAAATTTGCTGGCTTACATTCTTCTGCTCCTTCACGGCTATATGCCTCAAATCTGGAGTGCCCTTGCCAATGCTCCCTGCTTGTCCAGATGTTAACCATACTTTTCTAGTCTCAGTTTTTAATCTGATCTCCTTTATGAGAACTTCATCATGTTAGCTGTCACTGATGACTCTCACAACGGTATTCCTCCAGCCCTTATAGTCAGCATCAGTTGGTAGAATGAGGTGTGCGTGTGTGTGTGTGTGTGTGTGTGTGTGTGTGTGTGTGTGTGTTCCCATTGCACTGAAGCTCATTTGGGGCAGAAATATTTCCAACTCAATTTCTTTTTTTTTTTTTTTTTTTGAGACAGAGTCTCACTCCATCATCCAGGCTGGAGTGCAGTGACATGATCTCAGCTCACTGCAACCTCCGCCTCCCAAGCTCAAGCGATTCTCATGCCTCAGCCTCCCGAGTAGCTGGGATTACAGGCATGTGCCACTATTCCTGGCTAATTTTTGTATTTATAGTAGAGACAGGTTTTTGCCATGCTGGCCAGGCTGGTCTTGAACTCCTGACCTCGAGTGATCTGCTCCCCTCAGCCTCCTAAAGCGCTTGGATTACAGGGTTGAGCCACTGTGCCAGGCCCCAACTCAACATTAAAATACATTTATTGAGAATCTACTTTGTGCCAGGCACTGTGCTCTGCACTATCTTATACTTCTTTTAACCCTCAACACAACATCTGATGCCCAGCTGGGCTTAAATTGTGTATTCAAGTAATATTTCTAGAACAAAGAAAAAATGAACACTATTTGAAGGCATAATCCATGTCAAGCCCTGTAGTAGATGTTTCTATGTGCACTGCTTTATTTAATCATAAAAACCACCCTAGAGGGTAGGTATAATTTTCCCATTTTTGAGGATAAGAATCTGATATTCTAAGAACTTAAACAATTTACCAAAGAACACCTAAAAACATGGCCAAGTTCAGATCAAAGCTAGTGGATCCTGTCTCCAAAATATGTTATACTCTACAGTTGTCTTGTCTTTATCACAGCTAAACTTTTCCTCTGTCTAAACTGGCTAGCCATATATAGAAAGCTGAAACTGGATCCCTTCCTTACACCTTATAAAAAAATTAACTCAAGATGGATTAAAGACTTAAATGTAAGACCTAAAACCATAAAAATCCTAGAAGAAAACCTAGGCAATACCATCCAGGACACAGGCATGGGCAAAGACTTCATGACTAAAACACCAAAAGCAACAGCAACAAAAGCCAAAATAAACAAATGGGATCTAATTAAACTAAAGAGCTTCTGCACGGCAAAAGAAACTATCATCAGAGTGAACAGGCAACCTATAAAATAGGACAAAATTTTTGCAATCTATCCACCTGACAAAAGGCTAATATCCAGAATCTACAAAGAACTTAAACAATTTTACAAGAAAAAACAAACATCCCCATCAAAAAGTGGGCAAAGGATATGAACAGACACTTCTAAAAAGAAAACATTTATGCACCCAACAGACATATGAAAAAATGCTCATCATCACTGGTCATCAGAGAAATGCAAATCAAAACCACAATGAAATACCATCTCACACCAATCAGAATGATGATCATTAAAAAGTCAGGAAACAACAGGTGCTGGAGAGGATGTGGAGAAATAGGAATGCTTTTACACTGTTGGAGGGGGTGGAAACTAGTTCAACCATTGTGGAAAAGAGTGTTACAATTCCTCAAGGATCTACAACTAGAAATACCATTTGACCTGGCAATCGTATTACTGGATATATACCCAAAGGATTATAAAACATGCTACTATAAAGACACATGCACACGTATGTTTATTGTGGCACTATTCACAATAGCAAAGACTTGGAACCAATCCACATGTCCATCAATAATAGACTGGATAAAGAAAATGTGGCACATACACACCATGGAATACTATGCAGCCATAAGAAAGGATGATTTCACGTCCTTTGCAGGGACATGGATGAAGCTGGAAACCATCATTCTTAGCAAAATATCACAAGGACAGAAAACCAAACTCCACATGTTCTCACTCATAAGTGGGAGTTGAACAATGAGAACACATGGACACAGGGAGGGGAGCATGACACACTGGGACCTGTTTTGGGGGTAGGAGGCTGGGGGAGGGATAACATCAGGAGAAATGCCTAATTTAAATGATGAGTTGATGGATGCAGCAAACCACCATGGCACATGTATACCTATGTAACAAACCTGCACATTGTGCACATGTACCCTAGAACTTAAAGCATAATAATAATAATAAAAATTTTCCTCTGCCTTTTTCCCCTGCCTAACATAAGCATTTAGATAAGTTGGTAAGAGATCCCATGAGAAAAATCTTTCTTCTTTCAAATAAATGCCATCTTGTAAGGAGAACTTCTCCTTCCATCACCAAACTGTGCAGTAAATTAGTGCATCCGAGTTCAAGTTACAAACTAGATGATGCAAACTTGTTATAAAATAGTGATATAAATTTAGGTGCTAATACTATGTTTGAATCTTTAAGAATGTGGTAGTAGGAAGAATTTTTTTCTAAAAGTTAAGCCTACAGATTTAACTACCAGATTACAGAAAACTTGGGGGTCTAGGGACAAGCCGAGCAACACCTTGAAGAATCAATAAGCCAAACCCAAAATAGGGAGCACATTATTGGACAAATGACCCAATTTGACAATAGATCAGCAGCCCAGAAGTCAGTAGCTAAGCTAGTACTGAGCCCAGGCAGTCTGTAGTTTGCTCTAAAATCTGGGCTTGTAACCTCTACACTGTGTATAATGTTGTATTTCTCCCTTGACGGTAGTAGAGTCCTTAGCCCAATAGAAAAAAAAATTTTATATATATATATATATGTATGTATGTATATGGCAATCTAATGCCATTTAAACTTAAATTAGAAACTGAACAACTTCACTTTTTGTCTCCAAAACAGTCATTTATAATGCCTAGCTATTTCCCAGTAGTATAAATACTGCTGACAGCATGACTCAGTGCCATGACGAGAAATTAAACCACAAAACCATTCTTAGGCGACCATTACTGATATCCGCAAGCCTGGGACGGTTGCCATGATTCTAACAATGTGTGTTCACTATTGTCTCACGCCACACTCCTTCTGGTTATGCAACATGACCACTGTACAATAATTGAATTTCCTTTCTACTAGGTTGAACAATATCAGTAATAATGCATCCAGATGTTGATTTCAACATCTGCAAGCACAGTTTGTAAAGCAGTTTAAGACCATCTAATTTAAAAGTCAGTCTAACCATTGTCTGTGGTTTTAAACTCGGATGGATTAGACTATTTCCTTCCAGCAGACAAAATGTATTTCTGCCATGTGAATCCCTTGAAAAAGCTTTAGGAAGATGAAGTTCTCAAGTTTAAGTCATGGTTCCCACACCTGACTAACCATCAGAACTTCTAGGTCAGATTTTCAAAAACACAGGCTCCCAGCCTCCACCTTAGAAAATCTGAATCTGAGTATGATTTTGGTGAGGCCCAAGAACTTGTAATTTTTTTAAACTCCCATGGATTTTGATGGCCAGCTAGGTTTCAGATGCTCTGCTTCAGAAAACAGGAGGAATCCCTCTCTTTCTCTTTGTTCTGTATTGGTTCATGAAATAGAAACTTCCACCATCAATTTTACCTTAAGTAATAGTGAATCTGACAGCCATTTGTTCCTCTTCTCCTCAATTCCTCCCACCCAAAAGAAGAGAAATAATTTGCCCCAACTGGGGAAGCCAGCGGAAGGCCCCTGAGCATGCATAGTTTGTCCTCTGGAGTCTGGTTATTGCTGTCTACCAAGCAGATCTCAGAAGTAGAGAATCTTCTCCAGTGAGCTCCTGCTTCCATACTGGAAGTCTTGAATTGCTCTGTCTTCTAGCCTTCTCTCTTGGCCCTCTGACTCTTGTTTATCTGAACTTGAAGGGTTACAAGCACACTGTGAACTTCCAATTGTCTGGAAAAGAAGCATCTACCTTATGAATATGAACCTAATATCCTCTACATGCAATTCCCATGGTCTTGACTTGGGTGCATGTAAAAGGAGTTTCCTATACAGGCCACGAAATGGATCTTGCTGTGATCTGAATCTGTGCATCTCCCACCTATCAAATTTCTATATTAAAACCTAATTCCCCATGTGAGAATATTTGGAGGCCTTTGGGAAGTGATTAGGTCATGAGGGCAGAGCCCTCATGAATGGGATTAGTTCCCTTATTAAAAAGGCCCCAGAGGGTCCCTCACCCCTTTCATCGTGATACAGCAAGAAAAATCCATCTGTGAACCAAAAAAGCAGGTCCTCATCAGACACTGAATCTGCTAGCACTTTCATCTGGGAATTTCCAGGCTCCAGAGCTGTGGGAAATGTTGTTTATAAGCCACCTGATTTATGATATTTTGTTATACCAGTCCAAATGACCTAAGAGAATCCTGCATTTCATTCCCATCTGGTTCCTATATCTGCTTCTCAACTGGCTCCTCCAGATCTCCTAATTCAGACCACCTGGCATCGAGCCAAAACACATCTGCATGGTCCCATGATTCATTTGACCATCCATCAGGAAATGGTGCACAAGGAGCTCCAAAGCCAATAAAAAGTTAGAGCCTCTTGCCTGAAAGCAGGCAAGAACTTTGTGAACGGTGTCCTTTGGACTGCCTCTGACAAACCTCGCCGGTGGCATCAGCAGGTCTAGATTACAAGATGGAGTAAAGCAAGATGCATGGGTTAGAAATATTAAGATAAGGCAATTGCAGAGAACAAAAGAAAAAAGACTTTCCCTCAGTTGTCTCTAATCAGTAGAGCTAGATTCGCTAGCACCTGTAGAGGGCTAATCCTCCTAACTCTTCTTCCCTCTCTTGCTAACACACACGCTCACACATGCACACATACACAACCCTCATTTATAAGACTATACCTGTGGCTGGGTCACTTTACCCAGAAAAAAACACATGTATTGGGCAAGTTAATTTTTCTGAATGTGTTTCAGTGTGAATTTTATATATAATAATTGTACAAAGAAGTAGCAGCTTTTCCAAAATAATTGCTGTGAAAAATACTCCACACTCCAGTTTCCTATCAGCTTTCTTTATGCAAACCCCATTACACTGCAGGTAGAAATATGTAAGTAATTTTGATGTTGCTTTAGAAAAGGGGTCCAGGTGTTTTCAGTTTAAAGATAAATGCTCTTTATGGAACCAGGTAGAGTTCTCATAAAGAAGTAAACGCACTTTTCAAAACTCTTCAACCCAAATTTTGTTGATATTGTTACAAGGAGTTTCAGAGTGGACTGGTAGAATAGCAACGAGAAAAAAAGATAAAACAAACCACTATACCAGGAATCAACTCTGATGCTAAAAGAACTAACAGCCTCCCAATTATCTACCATCAGAGTTTAACACATATGCAATCAACATGCATCAAGCTTGAATTTGCCAACTTGAAATTGATTATAATTCACACAGTGTTTTTTTTTTAATTTGCCTATGAGGGAAAAAAAGGCTTATAAAAAACCAATAGCATTAATAGCATATATGGGAGAATGCTTCTTAGAAAATAAAAAGTGTTCAAATGCTTTTTAGAATTATTTTGCAAAAAGTAATATTCAATGAAGCAGCAAATGTTATTGTCTCATTATATAAACAAACATTCCTAGGCTATTCTTTAACAATAAAAATTAAGGAAGGTACTAGTGTGACTTCAAAAGTGTGTCTCCAACCATAGTGGCTATTCTTTAACCCATTCTCATTCTTTTCAATGGCCTCCTACTGATCAGCAGTGCTCATCTGTCAGGACAAACAACCCTGACATAGAGTAAAGTTAATTGACCAATATTTAGATGGTCCTGAGCTGGTGAGAACTGTGCCCTGATTTGGTTAGCATAGAGTCCTAATCAAAACTAAACATAGTTATAAGTAGCTGTTTGCCCACTTTTAGAGTGTCTATTTATATACAAACAATGCAACTGTAATACACTTAGACGGGTGGTTTCATGAACTTTTCTATTTGTGGTTTCATTAAAGTAAGCATTCTAAGAGGCTTTCAGTGCAAGTGGGCGCTTGAAAAATGCAATTGAATTCATTTACAAATTTTTGTTCAAATTTATTCCATTTATGTAGACATTACCACCCCCATTACCACTCATTTAAAACTTAAATTAGCGACATGGGACTATCATGTTGAGTTCTGAAGAATTCCCTCTATGAAATGCTTTTTATTAATGACATAAATTATAACTGTACTTTCCTTGAAGAGCAATTATGTATTCTCCACCTTGCAACTTATAGTTAAAAATAAGCTATCTTAATGCATTGTATATACACATAAAATATTTATCAAGGATCACCAAGGATTTGGTTCTGCCACTTTTTAAATATGCTTCACATCAAGGGCTTTGATATTCTTAAGTTATCTGGCAAGATGACATCCCAAGCAAGGTATGATTTAATCAGATATTTGGAAGTCATTCAATTTCATATAAGAGTGAAGGAAAGAAAACACATTAACTGGCAAAGAAAATGCATTTTCACCTGTAAAAATATTGATTTGCTCATATGAATGATTTATATTACCAGCAGAAATATCTAATTTGGACCCTTAGGGTCTATTTTGCACTATAATTTCAAACACGTGAATGTTAAATTCTTCCAAGTTACAAATTTATTCTTCTCTTGCGTCAAAAATGTATTCCTCTATGTGATTTTTCTCAACTTCAGCACAAACAATTTATTGCTAGATGCCTTTATAAGACAGCAGAAAATATGCTTACCTCTTTTATATCCTTTTAATCAGAAATGGACTGGAATCCATAGGGAATATTTAGTCATATTTGGAGGGGAGAAAGTTAAACTAACTTGCCATTTTCTTATGAAAACGTCGAGAAAGGAACCCTTCTAAATAACTTATGTTGTTTGTTAAATCTCTCTACCTAGAGAGAAAGCCAATAATTGAATAATGGTGATAAGAAAAACATATCCTTATGTGTTTTCTGCATGACTCATAAGAAAAAGGATTAAAAAGGAAAATTCTTATCCCATAGTCACAAGAAACAGGACAACACTACCCCAGTATTGTCATTTGTGGAGGGACCTCCTTGGAAGGAAATCAGCATCCTCATCCATTGCAAGATAATCTTCAGTTATAGGATTCATATAGTATTTTATCACAGCCACACTAAAAGAATTATGCTATTTAAATTACAATGTATTTTAATATTTTTATATCTTAAAGATGGATGTTGATGGCTGTCTTTTTAGCCCACCCCCTTCATTTTACAAATGAGGAAACTAAGGCCTAGGGAGGGTAAATGACTTGCTCAAGGTTACAAAATTCATGCTACAGGGGGTAGCGAACTCCATGTCACCTGGCTTTTAATCTAAGATTCTCTCTAAGTCATGCATCTGCTAACTCAGCTAGCTAGCTTGGGACAAAGGATCTAGCCAACATTTATTGAGGGCTTACTATGAGCAGAGACAAGGAAGCCTATGTGCCAGTTATCAATCTATTGCTTAGCTCCAAATTCACCCTTCAATACATGCTCTGCATTAATGGATGAATTTCCGCATGCGTTTTTCTTGTGCAGTGAGCATGATATTAAGCTTTTACTAAGGAGGACATTGCAGCAATATCCCAAAAGGAAAGGACTCCTCTTATTTTTCCTGTGACTGCACAGTCAGTCAGGGGTGTTATGTGAGGGTGTGTATAGTGCTTGACCCCAGCCATACACTTAGAAGACATGGTCTCTTGACCTTGAAGCTCTGGCCTTACCTAGTGCTCACCTTCCCAGAACCCTATCAACACTGACACTGGCCTGTTCTGATGCCATTGCTCCCTCTGCATACCGACATGCCCTGCCTAGCCACTAGCTGCTGCTCACCTGTTCCTCCTCTTCTCCTAAAGAGTTGCTTCCTCCTTGCCCAGAGACTGCAGACCAGCTCTGGCCCACACAAACCAGCAAAATTATCTGCCATCCAATGGGCTACAAGTACACCTTCTCCAATAACGTCTGAACCTCGGTCTAAAGAGGGAGCCCCCAAGTATGCATTTGTCCTTCCTGTGTACTCCTCCTCAGCCCCAGGGTACCCTGTAAGGTTTTTCTTATATCTTATAGTTACCCTTTATCATAGCTTAATAATTCTTTATATTATATGTCCCTATTTGAATCATTGTGTGGCTTCCATCTCCTGACTGGACCCAGGCTGAGACAGCTTGCCAGAGATGGAGTCATGGCCCAGTCTAAGAATCATGGCACCAAGAACAAAGGTAAGTGAAAAAAAAAAACTCCCTTTTTAGATATAGTGGAGTAAATCGAGTCACCCAAGGAATATCACTGTTCAGCTATACAACAGGGGCTCTGTTTTGCTGAGTAGAGTACACAAGCTTGGGAGAGAAGCAAATTGTTCAGGATCAGAGCAAAGATTTGATATTCTAAGAGTTAAAAGAAGTGAAAGAAGGATGAAGCATGAGACAGCTGGAAAGGTAAACAACAGATCATCAAATGCAGACTTTGGTTGTTCTGTTGTGCCACATAGATACTCATCTATGTGTCCTCAGTAAAATACTCAAGTCTCATTGATGTGGGAACAATTTGGATATATCTGGGGGCTGCATCAAGGTGAGTCCAGCCTCAAGGCAGACCCAGAGCAAGAACAGTCTGTCCACAGGATCACTGCTACCCTAGGCTTGTATCAATCCTATGCAGAGGCCCAGTGGTGTGCTGCGAATGAGTCTTGGTTATGCAGACTTGTGAATCCCTTCAGGCTTTAGATGAAGCCTGAAGCAGCCAAAGCCTCAAGCCAGTTGCCTCTGGCTGCAAAGAGCCAGATTCAGATCTTGAAGGTTTATGAAAGGAGCAAGGGAGAGGAGACAAAAAGTGATCATCAATCTTACCACCTAAAATGTAGTTTTGTAACTTAACAAACAGAGAGCTTTCTGATGACATAGTTACTGAAGGACAAAAGTGGAGTGGGGCATGAGCATGTTATTCTGGGAAAGCCTCATAAAGAATGTGAGTTCTCCAAATCTGATTGATGTTGTGGAATTTAAAAAAAAAAGAATCATCGCTGAGCACGGTGGCTCACACCTGTAATCCCAGCACTTTGGGGGCTGAGGCGGGCAGATCACAAGATCAGGAGATCGAGACCATCCTGGCTAACACGGTGAAACCCCGTTTCTACAAAAAAATACAAAAAAAAATTAGCCGGGCGTGGTGGCAGACGCCTGTAGTCCCAGGTACTCGGGAGGCTGAGGCAGGAGAATGGCGTGAACCCAGGAGGCGGAGCTTGCAGTGAGCCAAGATTGCGCCACTGCACTCCAGCCAAAAAAAAAAAAAGGAATCATCAAACCTGCGAGGCAAGCAGGGCGATGACGAGACACTTGTGTGATGATCCAGAAGAGGATCTGCAGTTTCCACAAACAGACTCGACCAGCTCCAAAACTGGCAAGGGTTGGTCCTACCTGCAGGACGGTTTGCCTGGTGCACATGCTTCTTGACTCTCCCCATCCTGAAAACTTTCCCTGAAATAATTTCTTCCTGCTTTTCTCTGTGGTCTGCAGGCTGAGCTCTTCTACATTTCCTGGGTCTCAATTTGTAGGACATTGTGTTTAACCTGTGTTTCCTTACTTCTGATTGGTGTTTCTCGTCTTGTGTCCTGAGTTCTGAAGACACTGATGACATTTGTTTGTTTGTTTGTTTGTTTGTTTGTTTGTTTGTTTTTGAGACAGGGTCTCACTCTGTCACCCAGGCTGGAGTGCAGTGGTGCGATCTCGGCTCACTGCAGCCTCCACCTCCTGGGTTCAAGTGATTCTCCTGCCTCAGCCTCCTGAGTAGCTCAGATTACAGGCATGCAACAACATGCCCAGCTAATTTTTGTACTTTTAGTAGAGACAGGGTTTCACCTTGTTGGCCACACTGGTCTTGAACTCCTGACCTCAGGTGATCCACCCACCTCGGCCTCCCAAAGTGCTGGGATTACAGGTGTGAGCCACCGCACCCAACCACTGATGACAATTTTTAAGCAATAAAAGAAATCTGCTACTTCTTCTCACCTTCAACCACCCATGGCAATTTCAGTTCTGTTGGAGATTGAGTACCTCTTCTTGACGCTTGTTCTAGAATCAAGCTGATGTTTAAGTCTGGAGGCTTCACAAAAGTCCACAGAAGCTGAGAGATGACTAAGCACAATCCGACTTTCTAGGCACTCGAGCCTCCCTCTTGCTCATTCATTCAGCAATCGCATGCACTGAGCCCCAGCTGTGGGCCAGTCACAGTGCTCAGCCTGGGGCATAGTCATGACAATATCTGCCCTCCAAGTTGACAATCCATGGAGAGACCAACTATAAACATGAAAGTGCAGCAAGGAGAAGCAGGGGCTACTGTGAAAGGAGGAGGTGGCCAAACCTAGTCTGAAGATCAGAAAAGGTTTCTCACAAGAAGTGACATATTGGCAGCTGAGGCTTGAAGGGTGAACAGGAATTGGTCAGGCGACTGTCTTATCATGCCCAGGTGTCCAGTCCCTGCATTTCCTGTGCTCCAGAGGACACACCCAATTTGACACCTCATCCTAGCTCTCCTTTCACAGGAGATACTGCATTTCCCCTGGTCATCCCTCATTCCACCCCCCATAATGAAACATAGGTCTTTGTCTCACATTGTCTTGGTTCGTTTGTGAATATCACTCATAGTCCAATCATCTGAGATCAACATTCTGACCCTACCATCTACAGTCTTTATGAATAAGTTGTCTTATTTCTTTTCTGAGTCATTTTTCTCATCCTGAAATATGGGGTCATTTATACCTTCCTACCTACTTCACAAAAATAAGAATAAATCAAATAATTGTGTTTTTGCTGCTGGATTATAAAAGGAGATTTTAAAGAAGTAGAATAGTTAAAAAAATATATGAGTTAAGCCAGCTGTCCCCAAAACACTTATCATCTCCTATGATGCTCTTTATATCATAACTATAGTCATAATAATAATAAAAGTTAATACTTTTATTGCTTATTTTGGTGTCTGTGCAGAGCAGACACCCTATAAATATTTTTTAATCACTTAATCTTCCCAACAAGTCTATAAGGTAGATATTAGTACTATTACTATTATTATTATTATCCTATTTTCAGATGGATATGAGGCAGAGAGAGGTTCAGTGATTTGTGTGCAATCAAGCAGCCAAGAAATGGTGGAACCAAGAGCAGCTGTGGGTGAGCACGTCGTGGCTATCCTCCCTTCCTTTCCTAACTCTCTGCTTCAACACCCCTCCCCTGATTCTGTCCCTGGTATTGTTTTCTGCAGTCTGCATTAAAAGCAACTTAGTCTGTTCTTTTCTTTATAGCACCACAACAGAGCTGACTTTTACATGCTGCAATCATCGCAAATTCCAAGCCGCTTCTTGAACAGGCAGTCACACAGAGTTACAGAATGTGACTGTTGCCCACTCTATCAGTGCTGGAAAGACTGATTCCATGGAGGGATAGAGAAAAGGCAGGTAAAATGAAAGCCTCCTGCCTAAAGTGTTAAATTTTCTTTTTAAAAACAATCAAAAAAAAAATTTCTGTCTATCTACAGACAACAGCATGTGCATCCATCAGGGCACCTGACTCATTGCCTCTATTCCAAGGCAATTCCTGACTGGATTAGGTTCAAAAGAGCAGGTAGAGAAAATATGATACTATCAGAGAGCCTTGGGCCTTTTTGTTACCCTGGCAGGTTCTAGCTAGATTATCACCATCGGTGTTCCAGATAACAAGACACTCCTTTTCTCTGTTAAAGCTCATGGGAGACTTTCTTTCAAACAGACAGGAAATTGAGAATCCTGGATAGTTACTCTCCAGCCCTCTTCCCTCCTGTCCCTGGCTTCTCATTCCAGAGAAGTTCCTGCCCCACATCCAGGAGGAAGAAATGCTGCTCAGAGGCCATATTAGAATCCAAACAGACCTTTCTGGGTTTACCTATTCAGTCTATTAGTGTTAGATCACACCCTTTTTGTCCAGTCATATTTCTACATGGCTGTGCATACTTGGCTGAATGTAAGCATTAAAATGGACCATTTCCCCTGTCTCTTTGGCCCTTCATTCTGAAGGCTCCTATGTCATTTAACACTATGACCAAATAAATTTGTATGCCTTTTCTCCTATTAACCTGACTCTTGTTAGTGATTTTCAGCAAACCTACAGAGGCCTAAGGAAAAGCTTGCCCTTGGCCACTACATTACTCTCAGGCCAATTTATCCAACTCCTTCTAGGTAAACTAGAGATAACAATGCCTACTTTGTAGATTTTCATGAGTTTTAAAAAACTTAACAAGACTTTATTTTCTTTCTATCTCTCTTTCTTCTACTTTGAGCCTTCAGTTTCTTTCTTTCCAGACTTACTAGAATTCATTTCAATTGAATTCTGGATGTTTGCAGAAGTCAGGTCATTTTCATAGGATGAAGATTTACCACTATTGAGTTACTTAATTTAAAAATACCACAGATTTTGTTTGTTTGTTTGTTTGTTTGTTTGTTTTTGAGACAGGTTCTCGCTCTATCATCCAGGCTGGAGTGCTGTGACACTATCACTGTCTACTGCAGCCTCAACCTCCGAGACCCAAGTGATCCTCCCATCTCAGCCTCCCAAGTAGCTGGGACCACAGGCATGTGCCACCGCATCTGGCATTTTTTTAAATTATGTGTAGAAATGGGGTCTCCCTATGTTCTCCAGGCTGGTCTCCAACTCCTAAACTCAAGCAATCCTACCACCTCAGCCTCCCAAAAATGTGGGGATTACAGGTGTGAGCCACTGCGCCTGGCCCCCAGAGATTTTTAAGGCAATTTTATAACACCATTTCTCAAAATATACTGAGCAGTAACATTTATTGAAAGGTGTCTAAAGACTCTAAGGTGACTACTTTAAAAATAATAATAGGCCTTCTGTGAGTTCTGGTCTGTTGAAATAAAATTAGTTTCGATGCCTAATAGTAGTCAGTCATGCCATTGTTAAGTACCTGCTCTCTTGAAGAAACAGTGCTGTGCCCTGTGAGAAGCACAAAAATGGATCTAAGAAAACCAAACACTGCATATTCTCACTTATAAGTGGGAGTTGAACAATGAGAACACATGGACACAGGGAGGGGAACATCACACACTGGGGCCTGTCAGGGGGTTAGGGGAAAGGGTAGGGAGACCATTAGGACAAATACCTAAAGCAAGCAGGGCTTAAAACCTAGATGACGGGTTGATAGGTGCAGCAAACCACCATGGCACATATATAGCTATGTAACAAACCTGCATGTTCAGCACATGTATCCCAGAATTTAAAGTAAACTTTTAAAAAAATGGATCCAATCCACTCTTTGCTTACCTACCTAAATGATAGATATATTTTGAGAGTTAAATAATAAAATGGTGCATGTGAAACATTTTGTGATTATGTAAATAAATAGAGGAAGTAGTGGAAGTAGTAGTCAAGAATCTTTCAGTCAAAAATGACAAATCCAATTGGCTTTAAGAAAAAAAAAGGGGATTTATTATCTCAAGCAATTAAAGTCCAGGAAGATTTAGCTTCAGGAATGGCCAGATCACAATGTTCAAGTGATGTAATAATCTGTTTCTGTGTGTGTATATGTGTGTGTCTTACTGTGTGTGTTTCTGTGTGTGTATGTATATGTATATATATGTATGTGCGTCAACCTTTTCCAGCATTTTTCGTGTGTTGACTTCTTTTGCAGACCAGTCCTCTTTTGTGTTAATAAGAGCCTCAGATTTATGTCCTCACAGTTGAGCAACTGTGGTGGAAAGAGAGCCTGTCTTTTCCATTAGTTACAGCAAAAGTCCCAGATCGCATCTCATTAGTCTGGTATGGACCATGTGACCATCCATGAACTAATCACTAGGGCCCAGTAGATGAAATGCTATGATTGGTGAGGCAAGACTCATATGGCCTTCCCTGGAGTCAGCTTCATCTAATCACATGGACTAAAGTAGGAAAATTGGGGTGGTGTTTCCTGAAGAATTGGAAATTGATGCTGCACATGCAGAACAAAGTAGGTGTTAACGATAATATTAGAATGTGAGCACCAGAATAGCCCAAAGTTACAGTGGCTTCAATAAAAATAGAAGTGCATTTCTCTTTCACATTCAAGAATCACAGTGGTAGTCAGATCAGAACTTCGAGAGGTAAAAGATCAGGCTCAACTACACTGTGGGATTTCCATTCTAAAAATCACCTCGTAGTGCAAGATGGATGCTGTGGCTCCAGTGATTACATACTCATTCTACCCAGCAGACAGGAAGTAGTGTACAAAAAAATGCAGATCCTCCTGCCATTGGACCACTACCAGCTACATCCTACTGAGTAGAACATAGTCATGTGGTCACATCCATCTACAAAGGATGCTAGAAAATATAGCCTTTATTCTGGGCAATCATGCACTCAACCAAAAATTGAGATTTAAAACCACTATTGAATAAGGAGAGGATGAATACTGAGGGAGAACTAGAAGTCTTTACCACACAGATTTAAATATAGAATTATAATACAATATAAGTTAGTAAGTGCTAAGAAGACAAAATAAGATGGTGGGTTTTGCTTTATATTTCTGGAACACTAAGCAGTTGTAATTCTAATTAGTCTTCTGATAATACTGCCAAGTTAGGGCATCACTGACCCAGAAGAATACTAAATACTGATAAAAGTAAAATCATGGCAGCCAGAGACTTCAAACACATAACTTATATAGTTTTAGGCATTCACCAAAAACATAGTTTTGAGAATAATAATGAAATAATTTTCTACACATTAGGAGTTTATCATTTCAGATCTTCAAATCATGTCACAAATAGTAACAATTAGTTTACATGATAACTCTGAGAATAATTGTAAGCAAATATTATCCCTGTTCTACCATTAAGGAATCAGAATCAAAGGCAAAACAACAAAATACTTAAGAATTCTACAAGTCTACAGAATAAAAGGAAGAGCTTTGTTTCAAAGATTCCCATCTTTATGAATCCAGTCTACATTTCCAGATTCTTTTCTCAAAAATTCTCTTCCCAATGCAGCCAGTTTTTCAGTGTAACTATCCATTCATTCTGCACAGTCTTCAGGTTTTCACCTGAATCCTTTGATGCTGCTGGGCACACCAGGTGAAACTTCCTGAAAACATTTCTTCTTGTTAAAATTTCATCCTTCCTTTTATAATTGCAAACCCACTAAACAAACACATGATGGGCACACTGGGAGACAGAGAAATAATAACTAAAACTAAGCTCCCCTCTCAAAATAAGAATGCTCTCTCTGAACACTAAAATAATTGAAAAAAATCTAATCAAGCCAAAATATAAATGTAATCAATTTCTGTATCACTTGACAAAGACCAAAATAAGTATATTTAATTGCTCATCAAAATAAATGCAAAACACATTATTCTATTTATTTTGTTTTTTCTTGAGACATCACTTTATTGCCCAGGCTGGGGTGAAGTCATATGATTATTGCTCACCGCAGCCTCAAATTCCTCAGCTCAAGTGATCCTCACCTCAGCCTCCTGAGTAGCTAGGACTATAGGTGCGAGCCATTGTGCCCACCTAATTTTTTTATTTTTTATAGAGACAGGGATATCACCATGCTGCCGAGTTTGGTCTCAAACTTCTGAGCTCAAGCAATCTTCCTGCCTCTGCCTCCCAAAGTGCTGAGATTACAGGAATGAGCCACTGTGCCCGGCTTAAAAAGCGTTATTCTAAAAAGAACAACTACAGTGAGAGATTTATAACATAATCTCCTCAAAACTAATAGGACAAGCAGATAATAATAAATGAAGATATCAAATACTTGAACAATTAGTATTGGATATATGAAATTTATTTAAACATTAGGTTGGTATGGAAAAATACCTAATGTAAATGATGAGTTGATGGGTGCAGCAAACCAACATGGTACATGTATACCTATGTATCAAGCCTGCAAGTTGTGCACATGTACCCTAGAACTTAAAGTATAATAAATACATATATATGTTAGGTTGGTGCAAAAGTAATTGCTATTTTTGCCCACTATTAAAGTTTAATATTAATTAAATTTCATATATCCAATTACTTTTAATGGCAAAAACCACAATTACTTTTGCACCATCCTAACATATTAGATATAGTAGATGATACACCTTTTGAATATACATGCAACATATATAAGAATGAACTATTTCAAGCCTTTACAATAATCTCAATAAATTCCAAATGACCAATATGTACTTCAAACTATTACTCAGACTATTATACAATAAGTTTATAAATTAATACCAAAAATATAGCTATTGAGATGTAACAAATGTTTGAGAACTAAATAATATATGACCAAACAATCCATGGGCTAAGAGAAAAAAAAAAAAAACCTTAAAGAACATTAAGATCTATTTATAACTGAATGCAAACAAAACCCAGTTTATGTAAAATTTAGTTTGACATAGCTAAGGCAGCACTTGGGAAATTTATTGTTTACATGGACTCACTAGGAATTAAGAAAGGTTAAAAATAAACATCTTTATTATTTCTCTCCTTCTTGCTTCTTTAGCTGTGTCTTATTACTTTTTTTCAACTCATTGAGTTGAATGCTGCACTTGAATGACCTGTAAACATATGAAAAAAGATGCTCAGCCTAATTAATATTCAGAGATTAGCAAATGAAAGCCATGAGATACAAGGCTGGTGTGTTACATGCATATGCATAGTCCAAGATAACTCAGTATCATATTTGCATTCCAGCTATCAGGAAAGAAAAAAAGTTAGGAAATGGAGGGGAAAGGCAAACCCCTTCCTTTTAAAAGGGTGTGGCCTGAAAGATGCAACATTAACATTCTCATTGACCAGAACTTGGTCATGACTACACCAAGCTTTCTGAGGATCCGGGAAATGTATACTTTATTGAAGGCTTCCATGTACCAAGATGAAAACTGGGGTTTCTATTACTGCAGAAGAAAAAAAGAATAGACATTGAATAGATAGCCAGCATACTCTAGCATGGGAGACACACTGAAGTAAATTTTTTTAACTCTCAGACTTTGATGGGGAAATCCAGCCCCTTTTTAATGTTCTCAGATCGTTCATTTGGGTGTGGAAAGTTATCTGCTGCTCAAGATTTGAAAAAAATCTTGAAAATTTGAAAAATTTTTTCAAAAAAAAATTTGAAAAATAGGCCAAAACTAGGCTTGGAAAGAAAAAAAGTATGCATGCAAATATTTTTTCAGGAAAGTTGTGTTTATTCAGTCCAACATTTAATTACTTGAAGTTTTTTCAGCCTTCACCTTTTATGGAGCTTTTGAAGCAATGCTATCTGGGATGTTATTAAGCAGAACTGCTAGATAGTTCAAACCCTGAGGACTGATGGCAGCCAACGACTTATAGTGAAAATCAGACTACCTTTCATTTCTGTTTATGATATGCCATGATTTACTAATAGTTTTATATTATCAATTATTTTCACATGAAAAGGACTATAAACCTTTTTGAACGCACTGACAAGGATTTGTAATACCTCTTTGGTATCAAGAACACCATCTCTGGAAACCAAATGGGCATTTGACAAGCCAATCAATTATTTAATGGAATGCAGAGGAGAATATTTGGGGGGGAATAATTGACTCCTCCGAGTGGATTTGAAATGGTATAGTTTCTTTTCACAGAAGGCTTCTAGTTACTTTTCAAGAAACAGAATAACCTGGTGTTATCAATGTATAAAAGCTTAATTTTTTAATTCAGAAATATTTTAGCCTCCAGGCTTCCCGGCAGAATCTTGAAATGTTGTTGAACACTGAAAGAGTTAAGAGACCTGTTGACACTTATTACTGGAGTGAACAGAAATGAAATATCATTTTCTATTATACTGCTTGTCTCCTCTTCCCCATACCGTACAAGAAAATGTAGAAACAAAAGTAAAATCTGTTGAAAATTTACATTTGTTTGGAAAAAAAATGTATTAAAGAGGAGATTACAGGAATTGGCAATATCATCTTTTTACTGGAGGGCTACTGCCTGCCTGCCAGCATCAATGCCCAGTACCAGTCAAGCAACTTACCATATTTTAGGGATGGATCTAATTATAGCCAGCGGAAATTAGCTACTTTCAGATGGCACATTCACTTTCCTGTGTCCTGCATTTTATAATGTGCTTTTCCTGTCATTTGTCCCTTTGTCTAATTCAGAAGTCTTAGGAGACATTTAGCAGGAATGTAAGAGTCCTGAAGATACCAGACATGCAAAAAATGATAACAGGAACTATAATCACCAATTGTGGGCAATGATGATAAATTGTGTCCCACAAAAATTTATGTTCAACCAGCAACTCAAGTAAAAGAGGGCAAGATTGAGGAAGAAGCTGAAATACAGGTAGCTGTGCTCAGGAAACAAAAGCTAAAATTTTTAAAATTCAGTTTTTCTGTGAGCAAATACTTTTCTGCAAGAAAAGAAATGGGATAAAGGGCATACAGGTGCTTTGAAAAAAGAATTTCAGAATGATTTGGCACTTTAATCTATGTGACTGTATAATTTGATTTAAAAGCAAGCATTAAACAATTAAAAAGCTAAAATACAATTTATTTTCAAGCTCTAACTTCCAGTACCTGTAAACATGATCTTATTTTAAAACAGTCTCTTTGCAGATGTAATCAAATTAAGATGAGCTCATACTGGATGAGGGTGGGCCTTAAATTCAATAACTTGTGTCCTTATAAGGAAAGGAAAATTTAGAGACAAAGAGACACAGACATACATAGAGGGGGAAAGGCCAAATAAAGACAGAGGCAGAGATGGGAGTCAGACAGGTATAAACCAATGTATTAGTCAATTCTCATGCTGCTAATAAAGACATTCCCGAGACTGAGTACTTTATAAAGGAAAGAGGTTTAATTGACTCACAGTTCAGCATGGCTGGGAGGCCTCAGGAAACTAACAATGGCAGAAGGAGAAGCAAACACATCCTTCTTCACATTATGGCAGGAAGGAGAATGAGTGCCCAGTGAAGGGGAACTCCCATTATAAAACCATGAGATCTCATGAGAACTAACTCACTATCACGAGAACAGGATGGGGAAACCTGATTCAGTTATCTCCACCTGGTTCCTCCCAGGACACATGGGGATTATGGGAACTGCAATTCAAGATGAGATTTGGGCGGGAACACAGCCAAACCATATCAACCAAAGAACACCAAGGAATGCTGGGAGTTACCAGAAGCTAGGAAGAGGCAAAGGAAGGAGTCTTTGAGTCTCTGAAAGCTCAAGGAGGCTTCAAAGTGTACATGGCCCTGCCAGCACCTTGATTTAGAGCTTCTAGCCTCCAGAACTATGAGAAAATAAATTTCTACTGTTTTAAGCCACTCAGTTTGTAGTAATTTGGTTCAGCAGTCCTAGGAAATGAACATAGGTGGAAATGATATTTCTGGCTCAAAATTTTCCACTACGTCATCAGGAGTTAGTTGCAGACACTCGACCCTCAGGGATAGGAAAAATCTGGCACTGGTTATTTGACTTAAAGGTAGTAAGAACTATGTTAATGCTCAGAAACTAGACTTTAGCAGCCCATAGCATGCTGTGGTGAATTATCTAATTAAATGAATTCCTATGGTCACCTGGAATAAACTGACCTTTAAAAGAGATTTAGGGAAGCTGAGCTATTCTCCGACCTTAGACTAGTATGAAAAACTGAAGGAATTCAATATTGCGGAGTAGCAACTTCTAACAAAACCAGAAAGTTAAACAGACAAAAGCTCAAATGCTTAAATTCTCTGAACCATGATGAACTAAAGGCTTTCTATTATTATTTAGCACTAAAGCTAAGATAATTGGAGATTGAATTTCTTCCAAGGTCTGAGGTCACAGTTTCATGATTTCTTACATGACAGTTATAGCATTGGTCACAAAGGAGTGGGACAGAATTTAGAAGATTTGGACTACACCAAGACTCCAACTCCCTATGAACCTCCTCAGACAAATGGATCAGCCCTCTCTACCCTGTCCTGGTGAGGCTGTGCTACCTTCTTAAAGACACTGTCTCTCTCTTACCTGAGTAAATCGCTTTTCCAGAGGAAGCCACTTCTCAATTCTCATCTTCAGTCTTGCCCCCCACCCCCACCACTCCTCACAGTATTTAGATATTAACCATAGGAAGATACAGTATATGCTAGTAGACTAAACCCAAGAAGAAAATTCCTTGCAGGGTGTTACTTAAATTTTAGGAAGGATACCATACCATGGTGGTTAAAACACTGGAATCCAATGGCCTGAATTCAAATTCCCCCTGTGACACTTACTGTGTGACCTTTGTCAAGGTTTTTTTTACATATTTTTGCCTTAATTTCCTCATCTGTAAAATTCAAATAATAACAGTTTTATCCCTTAGGGTTTTTGTAATAATTAAAATGAATCTATATATATAACATGCTTAGAACAGCTGGCATACACTAAGCGCTACGTAAGTCGTGGCTATTCGTGCACATTAAACTCTAGAATACAATGCACTCAGGCTCCACCCAGCAATCATCCCTTAGTGTAGTTAGACTCTGGCCTTTTCTGCTATGGAGGCTCCATGCTGCAGTGTTCCACACCTCTGGATAACTGCCATTCTCAGCACAGTCAATCTGCACATCTTCTATGCTGAGCAGGTGCACACCGCCAAGGAAACAAAGACAATAACAAAGCCATATGTGCTAATACCAGATTCAACTTACTTAATCTGCAACATGAAAAAGTAGAATTATATAGTAACATCAAAACAGTGAGGCCCAGGATACAGCCGCTTCTTTTTATAAAACTACCATTTATTGAGGGCCTTCAGTTACAGAAACTGTGTGCTTCCCACTTTACAAGATATCGTGGATTGATGTCCGCTCAAATGTTTATGTCCCCTCATATTTCACATGTTGAACCCTAACCTCTAGTGTGATGCTATTTGGAAATAGCGTCTTTGGGAGCTAATTAGGGGCCCTCGTGATAATGGAATTTGTGTCCTTATAGAAAGAGACCAGAGAGTTTGCTCTATAAAGCTTTCTTCACCATTCTCCCTCACCCTTATGCGAGGACACAGGGAGTAGGTGGCGGTCATGTGCAAGCCAGGAAAAGAGCCCTCACCAGAATTCAACTATGCTGGCAACCTTACCTTGGACTTCCAGCCCCCAGAACTGTGAGAAAATAAATTTATATTGTTTAAGCCACCTAGACTACAATGCTTTTTATGGCAGCCCAAGCTAAGACATGGACATTTTCCTTTGTCCTCACAAGAGTGCAGGAGACCCAGTCCTTGCCCTCAGTGAACTTTCAGTTTACTGATTAGGTACTGATACCAAGGTGATTAGGCACAGAGATAGGGAAGTACACCAAGGATAGCTTGAGGAAAGGAATATATAAAGTACCCCCTCAGCACACACCTACAATTCTCTGCCAAATACAAGGGGGTTGTTTCTTGCTTGATGACAGCAACCAATGCACTTTGAAAACAATGTCAAGCAGGTTTCTTCCCACCCCTTTCCTAGCAAGTTCTTAGGAATTATGCTTCTCTCTCTCTTCCTCCTCCTCCTTCTCCTCCTCCTCCATAATTTCCTCCACTTTTGCCCTTGCCTGCTTCAAAATTCTTGGAAGAGGTTGGACCAGCATTCACCAGTATCCTGAGGTTTCAAAGCAATCATGTCCTAGTATGGTGGTTTCAGAACCAAGGACAGCACTGTGTCTATCTCTCCCAAAGTTCTGTAATCCACACCTATGGGAGTGGTGTGATTAGATTTCCCCCAAAGTCACAGTTAAGACAGATCTTTCATATGCCATCCTAAGAAAATAATATTAATGTAAAGTAATAGTAGTAATGCCTAATGTTTATTGAGTGTTTAATATATGCTATATGTTTATCATTTCATTTAATTCTCATAACAACCCTATAAAGTAGATTTTTTTATTATCCCCATTTGACAGTTGAGAAACAAACTCAGGAGGACATCAAGTGGTTTGCTCAAGGTCACGTGGATAGTAAGAATCAGAACCAGAAGTGGAATCCAAATTAGGCATTTACTACTATTATTCTATTTGACATGACTTCTTATATAACTGTACTTGCTGAAATTATTCTTTCTCTGAATAGTTTTTCCATCATAAAGCACTGTTTTCCAGGAACACTATCAGAATTATGTGCATTTCACCATATGAACCTTACACAATATGACTTCATTACTCATGGGACATTGAGCTTCCATGAAGCCAGATAACATTAGCAGAGACTCCTGCAAGGAATTACATGGCGAGGCTGAGAGAAGACATTCCCAATTAATCATTGCCTTCCACCTTAACCATTGAACTACCAGCCCCAAGAACTGTGAGAAAGTGAATTTGTATTGTTTAAGCCACCCAGTCTATATAACACTTAATTATGGCAGCTCAAGCTAACCATAAGACATAGACATTTTCCTTTGTCCTCAGCCTGTGAGTGATGGAGAGTTACTGTCACCAATAGGAAGGAAACGAGAAGGGCAAATAATATTCATGGAAAATTGCTGTTTTGCAAGGACCTTGGTAGGCATTTTTGCAATATTTTAAAATTTTATATTGAATTTCTAAATACAACTTATTATAGTTTTTTTCAATTATATATACACACTCCAGCGAAAAAATAAAACCAAAAGGAAAACCTCACTTATTTTCCAGTACTCAGAGATAACTATTCTTTCTGTTTTGTGTATTTCTCCACAGTCTTTACTTTCTACAATTATTTTCAGCAAGTAGGGGAGTGAGTAGACCATCCAATGATAAACTAAGTATTTATCTGCTAAACATACTGGGACTCCAAGTAAACTCTCATTTGAAGAAAGGATATCATTTGTTTTTAAAACTAAAGTTTTTAAAATTTATCTAGTAAATATTTTGGATAAGCTTGTGGATATTTTGAAGTTAACTTTCGATTATAAACCAGAAATATTAGTAGCTAATTTGTAATCCCATGGAAGAGAAATGTCTGAGTATTGGATTTCAAAAATTCCAAAATCAACTCGCTATCTACTTATACACCACTAGGTGGTACTAGGTGATTTTTCTTTTCTCTTTAAGTCAGATAATTGTGTGTGTTTTCTGCTCTTAACACTCCTTAAAAGGTGAAATTGAAGGAAATTTGGGAAGTGCTAGAAAAGTTCTAAAATTGGATTGTGGTGATGGCTTCTAAATTTAAATCACAAATTTACTAATATGTCTTGAATGACATTTCAGTGAAGCTGTAAAAATTTTAAAAAAAGCTAAAACTTTTTCATATGTGGTTTATCTTGAGAATCCATATGCTTTTTCTGTATATTTAAAAGAAAGCAAGAAATCTGCTTAGCGACAAGTTGAAAATTTTTAATTCATTTATATAATCTGGACATGCTTCCACCATTGTACTTTTACTTCTTTAATTTGCATACTTTCAGAATTGTCTTACATCAGAAAATTGCCTAATATTGCAGGTACCTAATTAACCAATATAATTAAGTATTTATTTAAAACCTTTTTATATAGTACTCTCAAACAGAAACAATTTGATTTTTGGTATTGCCTTTCAATAGCTTCTTCACCACGCAGAGTATCTCTATGAAATGCAAGAGTCCATAAACCCACATCTTTAACTTTTAACTTGGATGGTATTTTCAGCATTTAATTTGATTAAAGACGGGGTTTTTTTCCACAGTGATATACATGGCACAACATATTATCACTAACACAGGTATCCCTTGTTAAGGAAATTACAGAATTGGGAAGTAAGCAAATCTAGTGCCGTAGTTAAATCCCTTGGCCTCTTAGATCTGCATTGAACTCATTCTAAGCTCTGTGAGCTTGGGCAGTGTTCAGGAGTTGGAAGCTGTTTAACCTCCCCAGGCCTTTTCCTCATCTGTAAATTTGGAATAAAACTTTCTCATAGAGATTGTATGAGGATTAGATAGGTTTGACATCAGTAACATAGAGGAAGAAAAATGTTACTGAAACTGTGCTTGCCAAAAGTGGCTATCATAATTCATTTTTGTAAAATTAAACCTCTGTTCTTTACAGACATTGTTGAGAAACAGGGGAACACAACTGAGACTGGAAGGCTTTGCCAGTGATGTTAAGCTTAAGATCTGAAGTAGGTAGATGGCTTGTTGTTTTTAATAAAGACATTAAGGACTCGGATATAGTAACTGTTAAAAATTCCAGGAGGGAGAGATGTAGGCACTAAAGGGTAGTTTAAGACACAGATGTTTAACATTCTATTTCAATTTGTTTGTGTTATTGCAATGCAACCAAGTTTATCATTCCCAAGCCTTCCTTTAATCCTGCTGCACAAACAAAGTCTCTGTGTGATTAGTGTGAGAGGAAATCAAAGAAAAGGAGCTGAGTCCCACCCTGGCTTGTTATGGAGCAGAAAAAGCAGCTGCAGAATTAAACAAGATCAAGGGCTGTTGTCCAGGCAGTGATGTGATCATAGCTCGCTGTAACCTCCAACTCCTGGGCTTAAGTGATCCTCCCATCTCAGCCTCACAAGTATTTGGGACTATAGGCCTGAGTCATCATGCCTGGCTGGTTTTTAAAAATTTTTTATAGAGACAGGGTTTTGCTTTGCTGCCCAGGCTTGCCTCAAACTCTTGGCCTCAAGTCATTCTCCCACCTCAGCCTCCCAAAGTGCTAGGATTACAGGAGTGAGCCACTGCACCAGGCCTCAAATTTTTTTTAAGATGTGAGATAGAAGGTTGTAATCAAATGTGCATGTTTGTGTGGGGGAGGGGTGGGGGAGATGTCTTAATGTATACAGAGTTGAGCCTCACTATTTATGGATTTCATATTTGCAAATTCACCTACTTGCTAAAATTTATTTGCAGCCCCAACACAAATACTAAAAACAACAATAAATATTGACAGCATTTTATCAGTCATTTGCAGACACATACAGAACAGACACACACACACACAAAATGAGTCACCGGAGGCACGCTTTCCTAGCTGCAATCAAACAAGGTAATGTTCTGCCTTCTTGTTTCAGCTCACATAAACAAGTATCCTTTTCACAGTCTATTTACTGCCATGATTTTGCATTTTGGTACTTTTATTATTTTTATTTACTTTTTTGGTGATATTGCTGTTTAAAATGGCCCTACCAAGAGTAGTGCTGAGGTGTTGCCTAGTGTTCCTAAGTGTAGAAGGCTGTAATATGCGTGAGGAAGAAAATACACATGAAGATAAGCTTCATTCAGGCATGAGTTACAGTGCTGTTGGCTGGGTGTTCAGTGTGAATCAATCAAAAGTATATATTAACCAAGCCATCTTTAAACAGCAACACATATTAATATACTGCAATACAATTCTGATGCTAACCATCCAGTTAGCATTCAGACTCCGCAAGTTAAAGAACACAGTCCCCGCAAAGACTGCTCTTATTTCAGATGCCAATTCAGGGGTGTCCAGGCCTCCCATACTTCTGACCAACTGGTTACAAATCTGGGGGTTTCAAGGACCCCCTCAGGTTCAATAATTCACTAAAATGACTCACAGAACTCAGGAGAGTGCTACACTTATAATTACAGTATATTATAAAGGATACAAACCAGGATGAATTAAGTGAAAAGACACAAAGGGTGAGGTCTGGAAGGGCGCCCAAACATACAGCTTCCTTGCCTGCTAAAAAAGCTTCTATTCAAAAGAAAGAGAGTAGCTGTCGAAAAGCAGGGAGAACAGAACTACCTGAGAGCACAGCCAACTAGAGCCATTTATGCTCCAACACCCTTGGAACCCTCAAAAGCCCCTGCAGCTAGTGGGGAACAGGATCACAAATATTTATCCTCTAAAATTTAAAGTCACCAAAAAGACATTACCCTTCCTTCCTTCCTTCCTTCCTTCCTTCCTCCCTCTCTCTCTCTTCCTTCCTTTCTTCCTTCCTTTTTCTTTCTTTCTTTCTTCTTTCTCTTTCTTTCTTCCTTTCTTTTTTTCTCTCTCTCTCTTTCTTTCTTTCTTTCTTCTTTCCTTCTACATATAAGGAGCACCTACTCTGTCCCAAGCAGTGTTCTAGATGCTGCAGAAGCAACCAGGAACAAAAATGACAAAGCTTTTGCTCTCCTGGAGCTTCCCTTCTACAGGGGGAGAATATGGTGTGGGGGCGTGGGTTGGGACAGGGGATGAGAGAGACAGACAATAAATAAATAAGAAAAACATAATATATGTCAGATAATAATAAGTGCTGTGAAGAAACATTTGACAGTGCAAAATGCCTGAGTCATGAGGCACCGGCTGTTCTTACCCAGCAAAAAGCCTTCTAGGGCAATGATACAGGCACGGGGAACTGGAAAGCGTTGGGGAGAAGTCTATGAAGATGTGAGAGTTGAAAGTTCCAGGTAAAGGCAAGTGCAAATTCCAGGCGTAGCAGGAAGAACTGCACGAAGGGCAGTGCCAGCTTAGCCAGAGGGCTAAATATGATAGGAATGGAAGGAAATGAGATCAGAGAGGCAGCCACAGTTTCGAGAATATAAGGCTCTGGAAATCACCATAAGTATTTTGGATTTTATTCAAGTGAGATGGGACACTATTGGAGGATCTTGAGTGGGAGAGTGAAATGATTTGACTCGGATTTTAACACCCTCATTCTCACTGCTAGTGGAGAAAGAGGATAGGGTGACAAAAGGGGAAGCATGCAAGTATCTAGAAGGCCACTGGGCAACCCTGGAAAGAGATCATGGGGACTTGGACCAGGGTATTAGCACTGGAGGTGGTGAGAGGGAGTCGGACTCTGGGTGTATTTTTGAAGGTAGAACCAACAAACCTTACTAATAGAATGGATTTGGAAGAAAGAGTCAAAGATGACTCTTTTTTTTGTTTTGTTGCAGAGACAGCTGGAAAGATGGCGTTGACTCCAAAGATGGAGCTAAGGATCACCAGAAAGGAATCTGTATTTTTCTAAGACTTTTTGGTATATTTACTGCTCTCAGGTAGTAGCTAAATTACACTGTGACTATTTCTAATTACTTTGGCTGCTAAATGGCTAATGGCTTAATTCATATAAAGTACAGTGCTGGGACTAAGCTACTGTACTATGAATACTAGCTACTGTTACTACACTTTAGATCACAATTTAACTTCTAGTTACTATACCTTAGATCACAGTTTAACTTCAGTAAAATATCCGGAATAACCAGACCAAAAATTAGGATAGTTCATGAGAAAGTAACCCAATGTTTTCCGACTTGGTGACTTATCATCCATCTAAGTAAATGAAGGGTGTTCAAGTGCGTGAATACTCAGAAGAAACTAAATTTGAATACATGGATCTCTGATTTGTTCTTTTGGAATACAAGTTTAAGAGCTAGAGATTAAAATGATTAGTGGTCTGCTAAGAGATGTTGCTGGGGGAAGGACATTTAACCTTTATAAACCAGAAAATGTATTTATCTTTCAGTCATATTGTGTTCTGCTCTGTGCTTTACTGCTTAATTTTCATGAAAACAAAGTGAATGTATGTCTTAGAACAAGGACAGTTGGCAGAGCATGTGCAGGCCCTACATTGCCTATTGCTTATTTTCATAACTCTATTTAATTATAATTTACATATAACAAAATGCAACCGTTCATAAGTTTCTCAAGTCTTGACAAATAGATAACATTTGTATAACCACTGTCACAATCGTGGTAAACAATGTTGCCATCAGTGCTTTCCCAGAACCCCTCGTCTCTTCTGGAGACCACCTCTTCTATTTATCGTTAAAGATTGTTAACTCCAAGTCCCCAGTCTCTGTCCAGCCAGGGGAAACGAACCCTATGAGTTCAGTGGTTTTTCTCCTTTCGGGGAGAAGGAGGGAATTCCACCTCACAGTGACACTACCTGGTATAGTGGGAAAGAGAGGGTGGTATTAGTGACATATTTGCTGAATTTTATCTAATTCAGTCATCCTTTGGTATCTGTAGAGGATTGGTTCCAGATGGATTCCAAAATCTGTGGAGGCTCAAGTCTATGATATAAAATGGTGTGGCATTTGCATACAACCTACCCATATCTTACTGTATGCTTTAAATCATCTCTAGATTATGTATTAAATATAATACAATGCAAAACTATATAAATAGTTGTTATACTGTATTTTAAAATTTGTATTATTTCTAATTGTTGTATTGTTATTTTTGTTGGAGATTTTTCCTGAATATTTTCCATCTCTGATTGGTTGGATCTGCAAATAAGTAACCTGCAGATACATAAAGCCAACTGTATTCTTTTCCCCAAGTGCTACTAGATAAAAGTATGTCTGTCTGTCTGTCTGTCTGTCTGTCTTTGGGTGGGACTTTTCTAACTTCATACTGATGCAAATGAACAAATTGTGTACCTAAAGTGTGGCGAAATGATAGGTATAAGGAGAGAAAGACAAGTGCCCACCAGCCCTGGCCCCAAATCTTAGCTTTAACACCAACTAACTGCATGACATTAGACATGGGCCTCAGTTCCCTCATCTGTAAAATGGACAATAGTGGCTTCACGTACTGATTGGATCAGTTTGTGTTCTGGAGGGTAAGACAGGGCCTGCTTCTGCTGCAACACTCGCCATCACTGCTTCACAGGCCCGGCCCACAGGAAGGAGCTTATCCAGGCTGTGGAGCCCACAGTGTATCTCTAAGTGTCTTCTAAATCTCTTGGCCTCACCTCAACTTTGATTCCCTCGGAAAGATTCTTTTCAAAGACCCTGTTTCTTGTGATATTCTTTGTGGCACACTCCTTCGTGGCCCATTTTCATGGAATGAACACAATGAAGACAGGAAAGGAATCAAGAGTAGAAAAGGCTGAAAATGCCTGAAATAATCAATTTGCAAATTTTTATGTAGAAGAAGCTCATTTCTTCATTAAGAAAGACATTTACAGATATGAAAATACAACCTAAATTTTCTATTTTTGTTCATTTACTATTTAAGGTCTTTTTAAAAATAATGCCACTGTTTTATGAGAACGCATGGGATGATTTATTACACAAGGTCAAAGTATTTTCACCAGAGGAGAGGCCACTGAACTGCAGAAACTCTACTTGAACTTTTCTCACAATGTAATTAATACCCACTCCTAGTTTAGAAAAAATAACTAGCATGCTTTAGTGTGTTCCTAATAATGAAATACACCTAACTTGTGGCTGGAGCTTGACTCCTTTGAATTGTGGTGTGGTGCGTTTGGGTTTGTACCCAAGTTCCTGATAGTGTAGACAGAGCTGTTAAACCATTTGAGGCCCAAGCTCCTGATAGTGTAGACAGAGCTGTTAAACCATTTGAGGCCCAAGCTCTCTCATCTAGGCAATGGTGACTGTAGTGAAAATAAATTGTAGCCTAAAAATGTTTTACACACACACACAAAAAGCACTGCAAGATGAAGCTATGTGATTTTAAAATGTAAGAAGTGTAATTTCATTTGTTCATTCAATACATATGTACTAAGAATCTCAAATCATAAAAATTCATTACTTACCCATGATGTAAAAATCTTTGTGACTTTGGGTTAAGTAAATATTTCTTAGAGCCAATATCAAATGTACCATACATAATAAAGAAAAAAAAATTGATGAATTAACCTCTGCAAATTTAAAAATTTCTGCTTTTCAAAAAGAATGTCTTCTCAGTAATGAGAATGAAAGACAGTTCACAGACTGGGAGAAAATACTTGCAAATCATATCTAATAAACAACTTGTATCCAGGATGTATCATGAACTCCCAATGTGCAATAATGATACGGGCGGGAAAGTGTATAAGAAAGAGATGGTTAAAAAGTTAAACAGATACTTCCGCAACGAAGATGTACAGATGGTAAATAAACACATAAAATGACATCATTAGCCATTAGTGACATGCAAATTAAAACCACAATGAGATACTACTATACATCTATTAGAATGCCTCAAATTGAAAAAAAAAAAACTGACCATACCAGTGTTGGTGAGGATGTGGAGCAACCAGAATGGTAAAAATGTGAAATAGTGAAATCGCTATGGAAAATATTTCAGCAATTTCTTAAGACGTTAAACCACTAAATGACCCAGCCAGTGTACTTCTACGTATTTATCCAAGAAAAAGCAAAGCATATGTTCATACAAAGATTTGTACACAAAAGTTTGTAGTAGCTTTATTATGATAATAGCCAAACACCAGAAATAATCTAAATTTCTATCAACAGGTCAACAGACAAGAAAATTGTGCTCTCTCTCTCTCTCTATATATATATATATATGAATACTATTTAGTAATTAAAAAGAAATGAACTATTGATACATGAAACTATGAGAATAAATTTTAAAACAATTATTCTGAGAGCAAGAAGCCATACCAAGTAAATCAATAAATCAAAAGTATAGAAATAACAAAAATTCAAATCATTGTATGTACTTGAAAGCAGGTAAGTATTTGCTTGGGAATGGAGACAGGAAGGAGGGATGATGAGGAGGGCCTGCAAGCAGGATTACCAATGGGCATAAGGAAATTTTTACAATTGATCAATATGTTCATTTTCCTGATGGTTTCAAGGGTATATGCATATATCAAAATTATCAGATCGTACATTTTATATATGTGCAATTTATTGTGTATTATGTAATAAAGCTGTTAAAAAACAAATTGATCATATTTGCTTGTGTCTACTTCTGAACTTTCTTTTCTGTTCCATTTATCTATGTACCTATCTCCCAATACCACAGTGTCTTTGTTTTTGGTAGCTTTAGAGTGAATCTTGGAATGTGGTAGTATGAATTCTACAACTTCATTTTTTTTTTTTTTTAGACAGAGTCTCCCTCTGTCACCCAGGCTGCAGTGCAGTGCCGTGATCTCAGCTCACTGCAACCTCTGCCTCCTGGCTTCAAGCGATTTTCCTGCCTCAGCCTCATGAGTAGCTGAGACCACAGGCATGCACCACTATGCCCAGCTAATTTTTGTATTTTTAGTAAAGACAGGGTTTCACCATATTGGCCAGGATGGTCTTGAACTCCCGACGTCAGGTGATCTGCCCTCCTTGGCCTCCCAAAGTGCTGAGATTACAGGCGTGAGCCACCACACCTGGCCATACAACTTCATTCTTTTTCAAAATAGTTTTGGTTGTTTTATTCCCTTTGCCTTTCCATACATATTTTAGAGTATAGATTTTTTTTAAAGGGAAAAATATTCTGCTAGGATTCAAATCAGGATTGTTTCAAATCTATAGATCATTTTGGTAATAATTGACATCTTAAAAACTGAGTCTTTCAATCCATAACTATGCCATATCTTTAATTTATTTAGGTCTTCCTTGATTTTTTATCAGTGTTTCATGTATTGATTTTTAAAAATCATATGTGTGAAAAGATTATATTACTTATAAGTTTCAGTTCAGGATAGCAAATATGGTTTTATAAAGTAGTCATTATTGGAACCTATTAAGTCTAATAGATTTGAGAACCTGACCTAAAGAAGTGCTACATAAAAGAGAAGACTGACTTTCAGAATACACCAAGACTCAAGGGTTGGTGAAAAGAGAATGATTCAATGAAAGGTGCTGAGAAGATAAGAGGTGGGAGAAAAATATGGAGAATGAAAGTCAATAAGGCCAAATGAAGAAAGAGAACATTTATAAAGGAGAGTACATTCAACTGTCTCCAATGCTATTACATCACATAAAATGAGGAGAATTGAACTTCAGGTTTAATAATATAGAAGTTGTTCTTGTCAAGAACTATTTCAATTTATGGGGGTGTCAGGGCTGGGGTGGTGAGAAAGCCTGATTGGAGTGAGTTAACAGAGAAAAAAAGGAGAATTGGAAATAAGTTGAGGCATTTTGATGAAAAGGGAGAAAAGAAATAGGGTGGTAGGTGTAGGAGCAAAGGAAAAGTCAATAATAGATGCTTAAGGGGGGAATATCATAGGTGTGGAAAATCTTACATGTATACTAACAGGAATGCCACAGCAGAGAGAGAAACATTCCAGTTGCAGGAGAAAGGAGTGAGCATCGCCGTAGTAATGTTTTGCTGTTGTTTTTGAGACAGGGTCTCATTCAGTTGCCCAGGCTGAAGTGCAGTGGCACCATTGCTACTCACTGCATCCTCCACCTCATGGGCTCAAGTGATCCTCCCACCTCAGCCTTCTGAGTAGCTGGGACTACCAGCACATACTACCACAAATGGCTTTTTCTTTGTTTGTTGCTGTTTTAGAGGCAGGATCCCACTATGTTGCCCAGGCTGGTCTCGAACTCCTGGGCTCAAGAGATCCTCCCTCCTTGACCTCACAAAGTGCTAGGATTACAGGCATGAGCCACTACACCTGGCCCAGTGATGTTTTTTAATATGTGTGAGAGTTTTGGATCTAAGGGCAACAGGAGAAGAGAACTTCGCATAGAAAATGGCAGTGTTCATCCATTATAACAGCAAAGAAGAAAAAAATATGGATCTAGAAGGAGGTGGATATGTAGGTTTGAAGGTGAGATGATGTGCTAACATTTTGATTACTACCATTTTGTTAGTGAAAAAGTAAAAACACGGACTAAGGGAGGCTGAGGGAGGAGGCATGGTGAAACATCCCTCTGGAAGGATGGTGCGGTAATTGGCTTTGAAGGTGTAGTAAGATTGCCTTGACAGTAGTGAAGGCAATCTTCAAATCACTTGGAGTTTGAAGTAATAAATTTCAAGAGACACCATGAAGATGGCTGTGTTTTTCTCCAACCATTTTCATCTAGCTCTTTTTATTAAAATAATTTCAACTTTTATTTTAGATTCAGGACATACTGTTGCAGGTTTGTTACCTGGGTATATTATACTGGGTGATGCTGAGGTTTAGGGTATGATTGATTCCATCACTCAGGTACTAAGCACAGTACCCAACAGTTCTTCATCCCTTGACCCACCCCACCCCCAGTAGTTCCCAGTGTCTGTTGTTGCCATCTTTATGTCCATCAGTATCCTTTGTTTAGATCCCCCTTTTAAGTAAGAACATGCCAACTCTTTTCATCTCTAAGGTACAGGTACTGAATTGGTAGAAAATAAGGAAAACCAGGGTTTGAGTTTTCCAGGGAAATACAATGAAAGGTATAGGGCTAGAAACTCTGTGGCGTTGTGTATGGGAGTGACTATAATGAAGGACTTTTGAATCCAAGTTGTATAAGGCTTAAAGTAAGAACAGGAAGATGATGGACAATGCAAAGGTTAGAACCAACGCACTGGATCCTTGTGGGTGAAAATAGTAGAAAGAGGAAGTTGAAAGTATAGGAGGAGATAGAGTAGGATATTAATCAGTAATGTCTAGGGTGCCCATGAGAATGAGTGGCTGAAGTTGGGGTAGAAAATAAAATCACTGGAAGTGAGGAGGTCAGGGACTGAGAGGTCAAGGTATTGGAAAAATCACCTATGGGTACAAAAAATCATCAAGAGTAACTTCAGAAACTGGAATGTGGAGTATGAATGTGAGCCAGGTACTGTGTCTGACATCATTGGAGGGGCTATGGATAGATGACTGAAATAAGGAGGGAGAGCAGGTACTTCAGAGGAATTTGCCTTGTTTTGTTAAAGGAAGGAGTAGGAATAATGATGATTCTGAAAGTGGCTACAGAACATCTACCACCTCCTGGCCTGACCTTATTTAAATATGGTGAAAAAATAGCCACTGTTTACCTTAAATATCTCCTTCTGAAAATATAGGGAACTGTGCAATATCTTTTGGAAGGATTATTATAAACAGTTTGAGAACACCATAATACTTGAAGAAATACACTTCAGTTATTTGCAGATTTGTTATGTGGAAGCTTCTAATATGTTATCTGCTATTTATGGCTTCATCTCAAATGGGTAATATCATATTTCAAAAACTCAGATCCTTGAGCACTTTTTTGAAAGCAAGGTCTCTACAAAAGCTATATGGAAAAAAGTAAAAATTAGCCTGGAAAAGCTACATAGCACATATTTGTGTAGTAACTGAGCACAGGTCTGATTAATCCTCCTACTTAAGATTAGGCAAATTTACTTAGAGCTAGAAACTAGAAATTAGGGATAAACACACTGACATGTTTGGATAAGGCCAGAGTGCTAGATGTTGCCATTTTTCAAAGAAGATTTACTAATTTTATTATCCCCAAGAAACATATTCAAAACCAATTATTACATATGCAAATGTACATATTATTACCAATAATAACAGGGTAAAAACTTAATAGTATCCCCTCTGGGGAAAAAATGAATGGGAAGTTCATGGGAAAGGGACATTATAAATAGGCATTCCTCCTAAGACTTTTCACCCTCTTTGGTACATTATAAAGAAAAAAAATAGCAGGGAGAAAATGACAACGAATTAATGTGAAATTCTGATTTAGGATGATGAAAATCCAGCTAAACGGAAATAAAACAGCATATTCAAGTTCATCTAAAAGCTGAACTAAAACTACTAGATCTGTGAAAAGAGTTTCAACATTAACTAGTGAAATGGTGTTTACAACACATAGTAGAAGATATGCATTCTTTTGCATAATTTCTGTCATAGAAGCAAACAGTTTGTTTACACTTGAAATAAAATCAGTTGACATTGATCACCAAGGAAGCTCATGAATAAGACAAGATTGCTTAGGATACGAAACCATTCTCCAAACGATAACATCATAATTTAAAGTGGAAGATGGCAATACTCTAGGACTGCCCAGCGGGCTCTACCTAGAAGAGGTAACGGATGAAAGAAAAAAAAAAGAAACATTTTAGGGATTTTAAAACTCGCATATGCTGCTTGTCCTGCTGCCTCTGTTCTGATCCACAGAATTAAATATCCACATTGTCTAACTTGTTCTGACATTGCTGCCCCATAAAGCCATGGACTATGACAAGACAGAATTTCTTGGTGCCCTGTGTGAGTTAATCTGAGGTTGGAGCATGTGGTTGATTGTACTGTGACTTCCCTGTATCCACACCCTTCTTCAGTGTCCTCCCACTCTGACTCTGGATTCAGCAACGGTAGCAAACTTAAACAGAAACTTGAAACCTGTTTGCATGTTTTCAGCTTCTTCTTCTGGACTCCTAACTACAACTCAGAGAAATGCCTGGGCTAGCCTGCTGAAATATGAGACACATCGTCCTACCCGCACCCCCAGATGACCTGCCAGCTGATTCTAGAGACATAAGTCTAGCCAAGATCAGCAGAACTGCCCAGCCAACTTGCAGATCCATCCAAATAATAAAGGGGGTTAAGACTTACGCTGCCACTTCGGGGTGTTATGCAGCAATAATTGTGGATAGAGTGGTCAGGCTAGTCCATGATTTAGATTGATTATCCCCTCCACCTCTGACATAACTTGGGTGGGTCAGGGCCAACCACTATGAAGAGTGGAAACTGAGAGTTAAAACGAGTAAGAATGAAAAGTTATGGTATTACAGTTTCTTTATGAATTTATAAATATGAGGATGTTCTTTGAACTGGATTCAAGCCTCGAAAGCTATAAACTAGGTCTATTTACCTGAAGTCTATGATCTTTAAAGTGTATGAGGTGAGACTGGTTACTCCTCCGTGCACTATCTCCACAAGATGCTTCCACACTCATCATTTTCCTTGAGTCCATTCCAAGGCACTTTAACAATTTATGTTAACTTTCATTAAATAATAATTTTAAAGACCTTCCTAGCTCCTCTTAGAAAGACTTGGTTTTCAACATTTCTTGGCATTTGAGCCAATTGTACCATGTCATTTACGCCCAAAGCACCTCTAGAATGTTGTCAGATGACAACTACAATGTAATTAACAAGCATACGCAGATTATTTTCTTAGGTTGGCAAAGTAGTAACTATTTACACAGAAATAAAAAAAGGCCAATGGCACAAATAATAGAAAATAACAAGTTTATCATTACAGGACTCCCAAAACTTGTTGCAGGAGGCATGGTTTAATGCCCTTGACATTAACTTTCCAATGAACTTTTTCTTCCAACTAAGAGTGGCCAGCGTTATATTAAGCCATTTCTGGCTGTATTTTCTTCACATTCTAAGCCCATTTCCTTTTCTGTTGCCAGCACTCTCTCTTGGCTTTCCAACAGCTCTGGTTGGGCCTCTGTTCAAGTGGTAGTGCACACCCTACCTCCAAGGAACTTGTTGCAAATCTTGTTAGTCAAAAGTGTGGTCCATGGACCAGCATCAGAGTCCAGTCCAGTCTACTTAATCAGAATCTGCATTTGAACAAAATCCCCACGTGATTATTTTTACTTATTTTATAATTATTTTCACTTTTTATTCTTTCTCTTTAGCTTTTATTTAGTCTTTACACTTAGCTATAACTTGGGGACTGTGGCAGTGGGGTTCCATGTTATTCTTTTCAGCAGTTAGGCAGCTTATCTTAATCAGGAGGGAAAAAACTACTAGATCACATAGTATTGCTCCTCCCCATAGCATTCACAAAGAAGCAGGCATTAAGGTGGAATTCAATACAACCTTCTTTAGCACTATGATGTTATAAACCACACTCTCTTCTTCCTCTTGCATGCTATAGAATGACTTCTCTGTCTTCACAACCCTGCTGGATATTGAGAAGTCAATCATAATTCCACTATTTTATCCCACACTGACATGTTTTTTTTCTCTTCCAGCCAGTATATATCTTGATAATAGGTACTGAATCCTTTTTAACTAATAATGAAAATAATAACTTGGTCACTAATTTCTGAAATTTCGAATACATGCAAAAAAAAAAAAAAAAAAAAAAAAAAACCTTACCTACTTAAGCTTAAGTTACTGCATTTTCATAGCCATATCAATTTGTTTCTCCTATGGCCCACTTCTCCCTTCTAGGTTGATTCCAAAGATTTGTTTATGTGACAGAAAAAATAAATATCCATGGAAAATGGTTTACATACTTTATCATTTCCAATGTGTACACTTAAAAAAAAAATCCCTTCCCCAATTTGTCTGAAAGCATGGATCTTTCCACTGATGCACTTTGTCATCTTTGATTCCCCAGTGATTCCTATAGTTTCTGATACACAACATTCAATATCTGTTGAATGAATGAGTTATTTTTAAACCACGTTAGCATGTTACAATTAATGAAAAAAGTTCCAATGCAAAACATTTTAATAGGTTGTCAAATATACAGTTATTAGAATTATGTAAATATCACTTATAAAAATTGGTATATCACATTAGATGATTCTATAAAATAAAAACACAAATCACACATTGACAATAACCCCTGCAGTCCAAGTATACCCCCACAATAGTACAAATTACAAACACATTTAAAAAAAAACCCTAAAGACATTTATACATTTAAACCAAAGTAACTGTGACTAAATACATTCATTCATCAAGTACAATAAATTTAGCATTGCTGCTTATAGTCACTAATAACACAATTTTAGGTGCAATTTCACATGCTTTCATAAATCTTCCAGTACAGTTCCCATAGTAAAGTGTCTTTGTGCACGCCATTTTCATTTATATGCAGGTGCATCATACATCATACTTAAAACTATTTCACTTTACAAACTGTTAAATTATATTTAAGTGGACAGTAGGTAAAAAATTTAAACTTTGATGACAAAATCTAAAATTAAAGAAAAGTCTTAAAAGCCTATAGTGACTTGTTTACTTGCATAAATAATATTTTCACTTAGTACAGGCTATTAATATAAGTAATGAGAATTTAAGTATTAACTCAAAAAAAGATAGAGGCTCCAAACTTTTCTAAGAAATTAATGCATTTTCAAAGTAATAATATAATCAATCTGTAAGTCAAAAGTAATTTCATATTCATTGCCAAATTTAAAATACCAGTGATGTTAAGATTGAGGCCTAAAACTGTTGTACTAAATTGTAAAATACAGTAAAGAAGATGCAGCTCATTTGCTTGGGAATATGTAATGGAATGTTTTTCACAGTAATGTTTATGTTAAACATTACTTTAAATGGACAGTCTAAATAAATGTACCTTTGCCAGCAAGGAAAGTGAAAAATTAAGGCTTTTTTATGCTATCTGTAACTAATACCCAAACTTAAATAGAGGTTACAATACTGTAAAATATTACTTCTAACTTCAACTATTGTTAGATGCTTCATTTCAACCCCACACTTATTATCTTATTTAGATGCCTATTTTTCTATATCTCTATTTTAATTAAGTCCCCAATCCCACCCCATCCAAAGAGAATGCTGAAAATGGTTAGGGCCTTATCCGTTTGGTTCACAGTTGTAATACTGGGGGCTAAAAATGCTTAATACATGGCATAAATCCAAGGAATATTTTTGAATGAACTAAGAAGCCTGGCCTCCAAAGGCAACCCTACTTGTTTTTCCAAAGCATTAACAGATAATTGTTACCTCTTTAAATAATCAGATTGACAATTATTAAAAAGGAATCGATGTTTCCTAGGCTATGAAAACATCAAAAACATGTAATAGAAAGGGTAACTGAGGGTACAAACATATCAAATCAAGACTAAAGGCACTGGAGAAAGAAGGTAAGCATTATAAACAATTTTTAAAGCAAAACAAGTTTTAAAGTATAAAATGCCAAACTACTAAGAGAAAATGTACTAAAATGACAATGCTTTACCATAGTGGACACAATTCCTGTAATTTCATAAACAGAATTCTTTCGTTGTTCTATCGTTTTCTTTCATCCTACATCTTCTATAATATTCCAACCCCTAGAAACAAATGTATTTTCAGTAGCATGAAACAAAAAATTGCAACTGAAGTATCTGTGGAAATTCCTTTTTCTTAAATGATGTTATAAATTTGATACATAGACTTGATAGACATAAGAACATCATCTTGGAAATCATAAAATACTAAATTATGCTCAATCAAAATACAGACGAAGGTTCTTCAGTTAAACAGTTTAGAGCCCCATAAGAGCAAACTGTAGTGTAAAGAGGAAAAGTAAGTACAATCTTTCCAGACACACAACTAATAATGAATACTGAGTTGAAATACCACAAGCTCCACATTAGAGCCATTTAATATACACATTTCCATAACTGTTTCTTGAAAAACTATTTAGATAAAATATTTAGCATTTATCATTGATTTTAATTTATTTGAATCTATGCAATGTCTATCCATATTAAAATATCAATTAATGTAAATATTATAAAACTATTATACAATTTAAATTTTTATTAGAGAAAGGTATTATTCACATCCACAATTTCTTAAAGTCCTTTTTAAATGAGTGTATTCCATAAGAAATACACTAAAATCATTACTTATGTTTCATAGGGGAAAAAAAACTATGAGAATCCTATTAACCCAAACTATATCCGCATTATGCTTATTTCTTAAGCATTTACATGTTCAAATATACTTGGTGAATAGCGATCATTCATCCCCACAGTGGTAAATTTCAGCATAATATTAAGTGACCGAGAGAGACTAAGATAGTCACATGTAGATTAGATAAACAGATACTTATTCTGTTATACCTAAGCCTACTTATAAAGCAACATAAAATGAGCATTGGATAACAATGATAACAAATGTAAACAAACAGAATTAAATGTTAATCCCTTCCCTGAAAAACAACAGATAAAAGGGCTTCTTGCTTTATTAAAAACAAAACATGATCTATTGTATCAAAAAGGTAAGACATTGATTTTACAAAATTGTATTTCCAAATGCAGATAAAAAAATCTTGAACATTAAGATTTTATTGAGCTAAAATGTGCAAAAAATCTGACAATACTTAAGTTTATTAAATTCATTGTACATAGGTTGATATCATCCCATACAAAAAAAGCCTCAGTATCTTGTTAAGATTCAAAATAGTGTTTAATTATCTGAGCTTAAGATTTATTGAACCACTATCCAAATAACAACAAAATCCATATTGTAAAAGAAAAAAGTAAAACTAAAAATTCTGATTATTATGACTTGAAATTCATTCCCGTTAAAACATAAAACTATAGCCAATATCCATTCAAAAAGTGAAGAAAAATTGGAAGTCCCTATGATAAATACACCAATTCTAAATAAAAAATTAAAATCAAATTTTGCTATTACAAAATGAACATGATCTTTTAAATTATTCAGGTTTAATAGATTTACTAAGGATAGAGTTCATAGAGCATTTAGTTGGTACTTCTGTTTGGACTCAGGTATTTGCAAAGTGCCCTCAGAGAAGGCTGAGAAGGTAAAATAAACATAAAATTGTGATAATTTTCTCCACACCACAATAAAGGTGCTCGGATTTAAAAATTCAATTTGTAACTCCAGAAGAAAAAGAGGAGAAAGAATTTACAACCCCAAAATATTTTCCAGGAATATGACAAAACTGATAACTACCTAGAAATGTTATTAGTGAATGGAAGTGCAAGTAATGGCAGCATTAACATCAAATGTATTTGAAGACTCAAAGTTTTAAATGTTTTAAATGACAAATAACTAGTTGATTTTTTTTTAAGGTGGTGGGTGTGAAACAAAGATAATACAAATCTAATTTTTCCAGGAACTGTAGCACTGCCCCTGTCCCCATGAAATTAAGTTACAATTTCACTGGTCAACATAATATAAAACTGTTTTGAGGAAGAGTGAAATAGAAGCATGAATATAGATACGCACCAAACCCTATATTACGGACTAATTTACACACAGTATTTTTGATAACAACCTAATTAGATATTGTCTTTCATTGCTTACTATAATTCTGAGAAACTGTTTTTAACAACATACATTTACACTACCACTTAACTAAATGGGGACATATAAATACATAAATTTTTAAAGAAAAAAATTCAAGTTATTTAGAGGAGAAATAAAACTTCAATTATTTACTTTTTTGAAGCTGCATTTAGATACAAAGGTATATGGTTTATGATACTTTCACAATGTAATAAATTTATATTCCAATTTTCTCATGAATGAAAGATTGTAAAGGAAAATATTTTGTTCCTTGAAAATAATATCTCTCTTCCCCTAACCCCAGTAAGGACAATTAGTGTGCCCTTAATTTCAAGACTTTGTTGTTGTCATCCACATCAATTGTCTTTTTCATGAAGTATAATATTTTGAGAGAGAGATGTAAAAATTAAAGAGAAAACCTGCTTTTGGAATGCAACAATTCTAAATCATTTCACTAAGGAGCACCCTTTGATATGCTGGTCTGAACTTTTAATATAAAACCTAAACAGTACTTATTTCTGAAGTAGAATTTTCTCCAGTTTTAGTAACTTCATACATAGCAATACTAAGGACATCAACCTGTGCTTTCGAGATTTTGGTAGGTGTTCTAATAATGTAATATTTTAGATATGGCTCATTGTCAAGGCTGGGTGGACAGAGATTTCATGAATTGGCTACAGAAAGCTAACTAAACTCTTAATGACTGAATAATGGTTTGCATTTTGCTTGAGCCAAAAAAGATGTTTAAGCCATGTACCACCACATTCCCTGCTTAACATTCCTAAGTTTCTTTATTCTTCATAGTTTTCTAATGAACAAATAGTTAGTTTTCCTGAGTAAGATTATAAAAAAGTTAACCATTCTTCCAAAAGTATAAAGACAAATAAAATGTCGACTCATAATACAAATTTTTTACATAGCATTAAAGGTGCAGATATTGACTGCCCCTCTTCATTATGATTGGCCCACCCCTTAAAAAGACTGCAACAGAGGATTCAATTGTCTAAAATACTTCGAAGTACAGAAATTAAATGCTTTAGCCCATAAACATATCCCTCATCTATTGTGTTGCTAGGGAACACATGAGCAAAATCTATCATTCGCACTTCTACTTCAGCAATCTCTTGGCAACCAGTGGGAAGATGGTAGAAAACTTTTTCCAGTTGGGAAAGTACATTTCCATTTAAATGTTCCTGTGACATGCTTTTCCACCCATTGTCTTGCTCCAGATTTTCAACTTTCAATGAAGTCTGACTGTGATGCTTTTTTGTATATATTTTCCTGTGACGCGCATACATCTTGGACAAGCTTTTGCCCACTGAAGACTCTATTTTTCCATTAGCTGTGGAACTTAACACATGAAAGTTATTATTGTACTCTAGTACTTCTGTGTCTGACAGTTGTCCTTTGGACAAAAACTTTTCTGCCAAAGTTCTGTCATTCAATTTTGTAGTGGTTGGCTGAGATGAACCTTCATAAACAAAGAGTAATGAACTTGCGTAAAAATTAAGCTGCTTCTGGTTTTCAAACCACTGCAGAATTTTCTCAATCTTCTGAATACTGGCAGCAACAGCATCTTTTCTTAAGCAGTACCCATTATGAAAAAATCTGGAGACTCCTATAAAAAGAAAAATATGAGCGTTATAATCAAATTATGAAATAACTATTATTTGGGAAGTAAACTCATCACAGAATTCTCCAATATTTTCCCCATCATCCCTTAGAATTAAGTGAACAGTTAATCCTAGAATTCTAAGAATTCTAGTCAGATATAGAAGTCTGACCTCAGCTTGATTTTTGGTGAAGATGCTCTTATTAGAAAACATTTAAATGACACTAATATAATATGAAATATCCTATTTAGACAAAAGGAAATTTATTACAGGTAGACTGGTAGTTTACTTCTCTCACTATATTCTCTTAAGAAACAGGATTCCAGGCTGGGCACGGTGGCTCACGCCTGTAATCCCAGCACTTTGGGAGGCCAAGGCGGGCGGATCACGAGGTCAGGAGATCCAGACCATCCTGGCTAACACAGTGAAACCCCGTCTCTACTAAAAATACAAAAAATTAGCCGGGGATGGTGGCGGGCACCTGTAGTCCCAGCTACTCCGGACGCTGAGGCAGGAGAATGGTGTGAACCCGGGAGGTGGAGCTTGCAGTGAGCCAAGATTGGCCACTGCACGCCAGCCTGGGTGACAGAGCGAGACTCCGTCTCAAAAATAAATAAATAAATAAATAAATAAATACATAAATACATAAACACATAAATAAAAAATAGGATTCCAGGCCGGGTGCGGTGGCTCACGCCTGTAATCCCAGCACTTTGGGAGGCCGAGGTGGGCGGATCACGAGGTCAGGAGATCGAGACCATCTTGGCTAACACGGTGAAACCTCGTCTCTACTAAAAACACAAAAAATTAGCTGGGCATGGTGGCGGACGCCTGTAGTCCTAGATACTCGGGAGGCTGAGGCAGGAGAACGGCGTGAACCCAGAAGGCGGAGCTTGCAGCGAGCCGAGATCGCCCCACTGCACTCCAGCCTGCGCAACAGAACGAGACTCCGTCTCAAAAAAAAAAGAAAAGAAAAGAAAAAAAAAAAAAAGAAATAGGATTCAAGACTTGCTCTATTTGCTATCTTGAGCAATTTTACAGTAAAATTACTTGTTCGGGCTGGGCGCAGTGGCTCACGCCTGTAATCCCAGCACTTTCGGAGGCAGAGGCGGGTGGATCACCTGAAGTCAGGAATTCAAGACCAGCCTGGCCAACATGGTAAAACCTCGTCTCTACTAAAAATACAAAAATTAGGCATGGTGACGCATGCCTGTAGTCCCAGCTACTTGGGAGGCTGAGGCACGAGAATCACCTGAACCTGGGAGGTTAGAGGTTGCAGTGAGCCGAGATCGTGCCACTGCACTCCAGCCTGGGTGATACAGCAAGACTGTCTTGAAAACAAAAAACAAAACAAAACAAAAAACAAAAACTTGCTTATTAGAATCTCATTTAGAGCTAACTAAAACCTAGAGTCAAATTTAATTATTTTTTAATGGTACCATTACTAAATACCAAACCATAACTCTACCATAACTCTACTAATTTTCATTTGCTCTCAATAATATTGATTAAGTCAATTTTTCCAAAAAGTTAAGCTCACTTTTGGGAATAGCACTTTCCCACGTTAGGTATATTATTGAAAATTGAGACCTTTAAATGTTTTAACCTATCAGATTATTAGGCCTTTTTAAAAACTATGCCTATTTTATCATACTTGGGAATTTATAGGTATATATAATTTGATTTCTGCTTTCAAATAACTTGTTCCCCCAATTTGGGACAGAAACTATTAAAAGATATATTCAGATATGACTAAATTATTAGCCTGGGAAAATATTTTTTAAATAGCCCAGCTGAATGTTATTTTGTTGTTGATTAAGTACTCCAAAGCAAACACTAATTGTTAAGCTCATGCTATGGATGTTTGCTTTCTATATATAAAATAAGAATTCTTCTACAAACTTTTTACACTATGCATAAGTTCTTCTCTAAATATCTTAGTAGAGCTAAGAATAAACTTGTAATATAATGTTATTTCCAGGAATCTAGGATATTGTTGCTTTTGTAGTATCTTGGCCGTAAATACTTTAGAAGCATGTATGTATGTTAACAGATTTTATTTAAATCAGTTTAATGCCACTTAATTATTCATTATGTAGCTCTAGAAACTTACATAGCTCAACTACACATGGGAAAATTCAATAAAAATACATTAAATGCTACAACACATATTTTAAAGCCTCTTATGTAACAAGCAGTTTTAATATACTATGATCTATAACGTTTACTTACAAAATAATTTTATACACAACCTCTAGTTCCAGTATTGAGTTAGATGGCTGGTACACAGCTGTTCATTTTTTTTTTAAGTATATTAATAAGAAATAAATGAAAATGTAACAGAGGGCCATTCATAGTCCCATGCTCTTGATATATTATGAACCAGGGCTTATGGTTAATCCAATTCTGTAAATCTAAGTTTCATTATTATTTAAAAAATGTTTATTATGAATCAAATCACTTTTCCAAATGACAACTAAAACTGAAATAACTTTAGAAGTCTTTTAACTGTTCAATCATAAAAGCATTAGTTTTTTAGTCCTTACCATCCTTTATAGTTTCTTTTGTTAAGCTTCTTCCGTAATGCTGGTTTTCTGTCTCATAGCTATCGGAATGAACATGATAAACCTGTCAAAAAAAGCAGTGAATATTAAAAAGCTAATACTCCTTGACCATGTGGGGTTATCCCAGCCACAAGGGTGGCTAAAGATGAAATCTACTCAGGTAATTCATTCTAATAGATTTGAGAAGAAAAAAAAAAATCGCAGTTATATCAATGGATGCTGAAAAAGCACTTTACAAATTTAACATCCACTACTGATGAAAACTCTCTGTAATATAAGGATAGATGAATATTTCCAATATGATAAAACTATCTACCTCAACCTACGAGGAGTTAGTCTCAAGTTTAAAGGAGAGAACTGAAAAAGCACTTCTTTTAAAATACAAGAAGCCTTCACAAAAATATTTTATCATGATGTCTTTTATATTATTATCATCTAATATTCTGGAGTTCCTAGTAAATGCAATTAGAGAGAAAGAAATTAGAGGTATAATAATTTGGAAAGGTGGAGATAAAGTTAATACTCTGAAGATAATAGTTGTACACTGGAAAATAAAATTAAAGACAAATACAAATAATAAAATATATGACACGGCATTTGAATACAAATTAGTAAACAGAAAATAAGCTTTCTAAACACAAATAACTCATTAGAAAATGTAATGAAAGACCCCATTTATAAAATGTAACCCCCAAAGAACATGAAAATAAGCTAGATAAGTAAAAGATGTAAAAGAAGATATCTTTAAAACATTCCTAAAACACACACCTATGTTCTCAAAAAAGATTCAGCATAATAAACTATATCAATTTTACTTAAATTAATCTACAACTAAAGTGAGATTATAATAAAAATACCAACTTTTTTTTGGTTGGGGGAGGGACGGAGTCTCTCTCTGTTGCCCAGGCTGGAGTGCAGTGGCGTGATCTCAGCTCACTGCAACCCCTGCCTCCGGGATTCAAGTGATTCTTGAGCCTCAGCCTCCCGAGTACCTGGGATTACAGGTGCGTGACAATACAGCCAGGTAATTTTTGTATTTTTAGTAGAGGTGAGGTTTCACCATGTTGGCCAGGCTGGTCTCAAACTCCTGGCGTCAAACGATCCACCCGCCTCAGCCTCTCAAAGTGCTGGGATTACAGGTGTAAGCCACCACGCCCGGCCTCAATAATTTTTTTTAACCATAAGCCAACTCTGAAGTTCACATATTTAAAAATAAATAAATAAATAAGAGCCAAGAAAAGTTAAAATAAGATTAATAAGGTAGAACTAACCTTGCCATCCTACCAGATATTAAAACACATTTTAGAATCAAACATATGTGAGAATTTAGTATATGATAATGGGATTTTAAATCAATGGGAAAAGATTATTTATTAAATTGTGTTAGTCTGATTAAACAGTGATCAGGAAAAAAGTAACTTGTATTCATACCTGATATCTTATGTCAGGATAAATTCCAAATGTATCAAAGATTGAAATGATAAAACGGTCCCCGAAAACATACAGGAATCCTTGAGTAACTGATAATAACTAGGGACAGCATTTCCAACTAAAACTCAGAAATGTCAGTTGGTTCTTTTTGGTAGATAATATTTGTACATATTTATGGGGCACATGTGATATTTTTTTACAGGCATAGAATGTGTAATGATAAAGTGAGGGTATTTAGGGTATTCACCACTACAAATATTTATCATTTCTATGTGTTCACAGTGTTTTTCCCACGCAGAAATCAAAAGAAAAATAGAGAAAAAAAACTGTTTGAAATTTATTTGATGAACAAAGGACATGTTTACACTTATGAGGGAAAAAACAAGAAACAAAGTGTTTAAGGTAGGTTTTGTAATAAACATATATGCAGTATTTGCATGTTTAAAATATCTCTGGAAGGGTATATAGAGAAAAAATAAGTATAATATGATATCTTGTATGGAGGCAGACTACTCAGCTGTACAGGTATACCTCATTTTATTGTGTTTCACTTCATTGTGCTTTACAAATATACTGCATTATTTACAAATTGAAGGTCTGTGGCAGCTTGAGCAAATCTATTGGTGCCACTTTTCCAACAGCATGTGCTCATTTCATTTCTCTGTATTACAATTTGGTAATTTTTGAAAATTCTCAAACTTAAGTATCTGTTACAGTGATCTGTGATTAGTGATCTTTGATGTTACTCCTGTGATTATTTTGGGATGTCACGAAGCACACGCACATAAGATGGCAAATTGGATAAATATGTGTGTCCTGACTGTTCCACTGACCAGCTGTTCCCCCATCTCTCTTCCTCTCTTCAGGCCTCCCTATCCCCTGAGGCACAATATTGAAATTAGGCCAATTAATAATTAGTAACCCTCCAATTAATTAATTAATAACCCTCCAATGGCCTCTAAGTGTTCAATGAAAGGAAATGTCACGTCTCTCACTTAAAATCAAAAGCTAAAAAGTGATTAACTTAGTAAGGAAGGCATCCTGAAAGCAAAGACAGGCCTAAAACTAGGCCTCTTGTGCCAAACAGCCAAGCTATGAATGCAAAGAAAAAGCTCTTGAAGGAAATTCAGAGTGCTAACTACAGTAAACACACAAATGATAAGAAAGTGAAACAGCCTTACTGCTAATATGAAGAAAGTGTTAGTGGTCTGGATAGAAGACCAAACCAGCCACAACATTACCTCAAGTCAAAGCCTAATCCAGGGTAAGACTCTCTTCAATTCTATTAAGGCTGAGAGTCACCATGAGGAAGCTGCGAAAGAAAAGTGCAAACTAGCAAAGGCTGGTTCATAGACCCTAGCAGAAGTTTATGGAAAGACGTTGTTTTTAACCTAAAATGCAAGGTGAAGCATTTAACCTAAAATGCAAGGTGAAGTAGTTGTAGAAGCTACAGCAACTTATCCAGAAGATAACTGATGAAGGTATCTACCCCAAACCACAGATTCTCAATGTAGATGAAACGGCCTTCTATTGAAAAAAATGCCACCTAGGGTTTTCATAGCTAGAGATAAGAAGTCAGTATCTGGCTTCAACGCTTCAAAGGACAGGCTAACTCTCTTATTAGGGGCAAATGCAGCTGGTGACTTTAAGTTGAAGCCAATACTCACTCATTTGTCCTAGAGCCCTTAAGAATTATGCTGAATCTCCCAGCCCTTTGGGAGGCTGAGGCAGGAGGATTGCTTGAGGCCAGAGGACAACTTGAGGCAAGGAGCTCAAGAACAGCCTGAGCATCATAGTGAGACCCCGTTTCTACAAAAAATTTAAAAATTAGTTGGGTGTGGTGGCATATGCCTGTAGTCGCAGCTACTTGAGAGGCTGAGGTGGGAGGACTGCTTGAGCCCAGGAGTTGGGGGCTGCAGTGAGCTATGATTATGCCACTGGACTCCAGCCTGGGCCAAGACCCTGTCTCAAAACAAACAAACAAAAAAATGTGCTGAATCTACTCTGCCTGGGCTCAAAGCCTGGATGACAGCACATCTGTTTATAGCATGGTTTACTGAATATTTTCAGCCCACCATTGAGAACTACTACTCAGAAAAAAAGATTCCTTCCAAAATATTACTGCTCATTGACAGTGCACCTGGTCACCTAACAAGATTACTGATGATGTACAAGGAGATTAATATTGTTTTCATGCCTGCTAATAACATTCCTTTTGCAGTTCTATGGATCAAGGAGTAATTTCAACTTTTAAGTTCTATTATTTAAGAAATACATTTTGCAAGGCTACATACAGCTGCCATTGATAGTAATTCCTCTGATGGACTGGGGCAATGTAAATTGAAAACCTTTTGGAAAGAATTCACCATTCTAGATGGCATAAAGAAGATTTGAGATTCATGGGAGGAGGTCAAAATATCAACATTAACAGGAGTTTGGAAGAAGTTAATTCCAACCCTCATGGATGACTTTGAGGAGTTCAATTCAAGACTTCAGTGGAGGAGGTAACTGCAGATGTGGTAGAAAGAGCAAGTGAACTAGAATTAAGACTGAAGGCTGAAGATGTGACTGAATTGCTGCAATCTCATGATAAACCGTGAATGGATGAACAGTGACTTGCTTGCTTGTTTTATTGATTGGCTGACTGAGATAGGGTCTCGCTCTGTCACCCAGGCTGGAGTGCAGTAGCACGATCACGGCTCACTGCAGCCTCAACCTTTTGTACTCAAGCAATCCTCCCACCTCAGCCTCCTGAGTATCTGGGACTACAGGTGCATGCCACCATGTCTGGCTAATTTTTGTATTCTTTTGTAGACGGGGTTTCACCATGTTGCCCAGGCTGTTCTCAAACTCCTGAGCTCAAGCGATCCACCCGCCTCAGCCTCCCAAAGTGTTGGGATTACTGGCATAAGCCACTGCCCCTGGCCTCAGAGTGGCTTCTCATGGATGAGCAAAGAAAGTGGTTTCTTGAGATGGAATCTACTCCTAGTAAAGATGTTGTAAACATTGTTGAAATGACAATGAACAATTTAGAATATTACATAAACTTACTTGATAAAGCAGTGGCAGGATCTGAGAGGACTGACTCCAATTTTCAAAGTTCTACTGTGGGTAAAATTCTATCAAAGAGCATCACATGCTCCAGAGAAACCTTTCATTTAAAAAAGAGTAAATTTATGTGGCAAACTTCATTGCTGTCTTATTTTAAGAAATTGCTGCAGGCACTCAAACCTTCAGCAGCCACCACCCTGATCAATCAGCAGCCACAGGCAAGAGCCTCTACTAGCAAAAGGAAACAACTCACTGAACGCTCAGATGATCATTAGTATTCTTTAGCAATAAGTATTTTTTAATTAAAGTATACACACTGTTTTTTAAAAAAACATAATGCAACCAGGCACAGTGCCTCATGCCTTTAATAATAGTGCTTTGGGAGGCTGAGGCAGGAAGACTGCTTGAGTGTAGGAGTTTAAGATGAGCCTGGGCAATATGGCAAGACCCCATCTCTATAAAAAATAAAAAATAAGCTAGGTGTGGTAGCAAAGATATTTGTAATAAAAGTTAACATTCTCAACCTAAAAACACGTAAATACGTAACAAAAAAGTATCCAATTTTTTTTTAATGGAAAGAAAACTGAGAAACAGGTGTAGGAGGACAGAATGATAAGCAAAAGCAAGCTCCAGCTTTTCCTCGTACGTCACCATATTAGTTGCTCATTTTGCGACTTCTTTGCAGAAACTGACAAGCTGATCCTAAAATTCATGTGGAAACTAAAGGGATCCAGAATAGCCAAAACAAATTTGAAAAAGAGAGCAAAGCTGAGGCCAGGTGCAGTGGCTCACACCTGCAATCCCAGCACTTTGGGAGGCCAAGGCGGGAGGATCATTTGAGCCCATGAGTTCAAGACTAGCCTAGGAAACAAAGTGAGACACAGTCTCCACAAAATAATTTAAAAATTAGTTGGGTGTGATGGTGTACACTTGTAGTGTCAATTACTTGGGAGGCTTAAGTAGGAGGATTGCTTGAGCCCAGCAGTTCGAGGCTGCAGTAAGACACGATCACGCTACTGCACTCTAGCCTGGATGACAGAGCAAAGACCCAGTCTCAAAATAAAATAAAATAAAATTTAAAAAAGAACAAAATTGGAGGACTCATAATTCAAAACTTACTCCAAAGCAACATTAATCAAAACAGTGTAGTACTTGGCATAAGGATAGACAATATGAAAATGGAAAACATTTATGGTCAAAAATTTAATTCCAACAAGGGTATCAAGAATATTCACTGGGGGAATAACAGTCCTATCAACAAATGGTGCTGGGACAACTGGATATCCATATGCAAAAGAATGAAGTTTGACCCCTTCCTTAAAGCATACAAAAAATTAACTTAAAATGTATCATAAGTCTCAATACAAGAGATAAAATTATAACATTCTTACAAGAAAAATAGGAGTAAATCTTGATGAGTTTGGGTTAGGCAATGGTTTCTTAGATTTTACACCAAAAGCCTAGGTAACAAAAAAAAGTAAATTGGACTTCAAAATTAAAAATTTGGAGGCTTCGACAAATACTATCAAGTAAGAAAATCAGATTAGAAAAAAATTTGCAAATCAAAAGTTTGATGGATTTATATACAGCTCAATAATTAAAAACAAAATGTCTGAATAGACATTTTTCCAAAGAAGACATATGTAGTCAAAAACATTGCACATGAAAAGATGCTCAACATCATTAATCATTAGAGAAAGGCAAATCAAAACCACAAGGAGATGCTACTCGACACCTACTAGGATGGCTTATAGCAGAAAAACAAAAAGGAACAAAGGTTTCAAGAATGTGGAGAAAATGGAACCATCATGAATTGCTGGTGGGAATGTAAAATGAACGGTGAAGCCACCATATGTTCTCACTTACAAGTGGGAACTAAGCTATGAGTAAACAAAGGCATACAGAGTAATACAATTGACTTTAGACACTTGGAAGGAGAAGAGTGGGAAGGGTGGCTAGGGATTTAAAAAACTACATATTAGGTACAATGTACGCTACTCAGGTGATGAGTACGCTAAAATCTCAGAATTTACCACTATATAATTCATCCATGTAACAACAACAAAAAACTGTACCCCAAAAGCTACTTAAATAATTTTTTAAAAAATTAAATAACTAAATAAAATGGTAAAGTCACTTTGGAAAAACACTTTGGCAGTTTCTCAAAAAGTTAAACATAAACTTAACCTTAGGACCTACCAGTTGCACAGTTAGGAATCTACCTGAGAGAAATAAAACATATACCTACACAGAAACTTCTATACAAATGTTCATAACAGTTATTAGTAGCCCAGAAGTAGAAACAACCCAAAGTCCATCAATGAATGAATGGATAAACAAAATGTGGTATATCCATATAATCGAATATTATTTGGCAATAAAAAACAAAGTACTGACTTATATGACAACATGGGTGAACTTTAAAAACACGAAACTAAATCAAAGAAGCCAGTCACAAAATACCACACATTGTACTGTAAATTTGATTTATATGAATCGTCCAGAAGGGGCAAATCCATAGAGATAGAAAATAGATTAGTGGTTCCCTAGGGACAGGGAGTTTGGAAGGAAATTGGTAGGGACTGCTAATGTGTATGAAGTTTTTGCAGAAGTGGTAAAAAATACTGTAAGTTGAATGTGGTAATAGTTGCCCAAGTCTATGAATTGATTAAAACCAGTGAACTCTATACTTTAAATGATTAACAGAATGGTATGTAAATGACATCTCGCTAAAGCTATTTTAAAAAACTAAACCTCTTTAAGAAATAAACCTCCATTTATGTCTAGGGAAACAATAAATCCCAGCAGAGTGAAATCATACAATACCCTATTTGCTTATCCTGTCCATGTACCCTAAAGGTAATGCAAACCCAAAGAAGAGTTTACTATTATTATTATTTTATTTCAATAGCTTTTGGGGAATAGGTGGTTTTTTTGTTACATGGATAAGTTCTTCAGTGGTGATTTCTGAGATCTTGGTGCACCTGTCACCCAAGCAGTGCACATTTTACTGAATGTGTAGTCTTATCCCTCACCTGCATCCCACCCTTCCTCAAGTCCCCAAAGTCCATTATCTCATTCTTATGCTTTTGCATCCTCAAAACCTAGCTCCCACTTGTGAGAGCCTATAGTATTTGGTTTTCCATTCTTGAGTTCTCTTAGAATAATGGTCTCCAACTCCATTCAAGTTGCTGCAAATGCCACTATTTCACTCCTTTTTATGGCTGAGTAATAGTCCACCATGTATATATATATATATCACATTTTCTTTTCTTGTTTTGAGACGGAGTCTTGCTCTGTTGCCCAGGCCTGGAGCGCAATGGCACGATCTCAGCTCACTGCAAACTCCGCCTCCTGGGTTCAAGCGATTCTCCTGCCTCAGCCTCCTGAGTAGCTAGGACTACAGGCACCCACCACCAAGCCTGGCTAAATGTTTTGTATTTTTAGTAGAGATGGGGTTTCACCATGTTAGCTAGGATGGTCTCGATCTCCTGACCTTGTGATCCGCCTGCCTCGGCCTCCCGAAGTGCTGGGATTACAGGCAATCACATTTTCTTTATCCATTCATTGGTTGACAGGCATTTAGACAGGTTCCATATTTTTGCAACTGCGAATTGTACTGCTATAAACATGCATATGCAAGTGTCTTTTTCATATAACAACTTCTTTTCCTTTGGGTACCCAGTAGTGGGATTGCTAGATCGAATGGTAGTTCTTTTAGTTCACACTGTTTTCCATAGTGGTTGTATTAGTTTACATTCCCACCAGCAGTGTAAAAGTGTTCTCTTTTCAACACATCCATGTTAAAGTCCATTTGTTCTAGGGTATAGTTTAAGTCCATTGTTTCTTTGTTGACTTTCTGTCTTGATAACCCATCGAGTGCTGTCAGTGGAGTACTGAAGTGCCCCACTATTATTGTGTGTTATCTCATTTCTTAGGTCTAGTAGTAATTACTTTATGAATTTAGGAGCTCCAGTGTTAGGTGCATATATATTTAGGATTGTGATGATCTTTTTGCAATGAATTTCCTAGGATTTCTTTGCGTTTCTTGTAATTGATGTCTAGATCTCTAGCAAGGCCAGAGAAGTTTTCCGTAATTATTCCCTCAGATAAGTTTTCCAAACTTTTAGATTTCTTTAGGAAGACCAATTATTCTTAGGTTTGGCCATTTAACATAAACCCCAATTTCTGGGAGGCTTTGTTCATTTTTCTTTTTTTTTAGATGTAGTCTTGCTTTGGTGCCCAGGCTGGAGTGCAGTGGCGCGATCTCGGCTCACTGCAAGCTCCACCTCCCGGGTTCACGCCATTCTCCTGCCTCAGCCTCCCCAGCAGCTGGGACTACAGGCGCCCGCCACCACGCCCGGCTAATTTTTTGTATTTTTAGTAGACATGGGGTTTCACCATGTTAGCCAGGATGGTCTCGATCTCCTGACCTCGTGATCCACCCGCCTCAGCCTCCCAAAGTGCTGGGATTACAGGTGTGAGCCACCACACCTGGCCCTGTTTTTAAAATTTAAGTTGCTTTCCACCTTTCTCTGGTATCTCCTTGAGTAGCTTAATAATCAGCCTTCTGAATTCTTTATATGGCAATTCAGAGATTTCATCTCGGTTTGGATCCATTGCTAGGGAGCTACTGTGATCTTTTCGGGGTGTTATAGAGCCCTGTTTTTGTCATATTACCAGAATTAGTTTTCTAATTCCTTCTCGTTTGGGTAGACTGCTTCTTCAAATTGTTCTTGAATATATTTTTGATTTGACTGTTTTTTATTTACTTTTTCTCTCTCTCTCTTAAGGATTAGACTTTAATGTTCATTTTAGTCTAAACTGATTCTTGGTACTTGTAGGGATAAAGACTCTGTATGAGTTCCTTAGTTATAGAGAGTCTTTGTGTGCTGGCTTTCCCTAATGCTGGCTATAGTAGTTATATTATTAGTGTGTGGGTGAGTTCACTGTCTCCTATAGAGTTGGAATGGCAGGGATCTCTTGAAGCTTATCTTGTTCTCTCGTGGTGTACACCTTATTTATTTAATTTTTTCCTAAGTTGATGATTCCGGCTTCAGGCCCATAGAGGGGGTATCCCTGCATAGGCAGCAGATGTCGCTAAGGCAGGTGAGTAGATGTAATACCCAATGGTGGGCCAAAGTCCCAGCCTTGATGAGGGTAGCTGGGGTGGCTCTCAATTAGATGTGCTGAGGATTTATCAGAGTGAAGAGTGGGAACTACCACAGCTTCCCTACCAAGTCAGCGGGAAAACTATTTACCTCACAGCCTCACTCCTATACTAGTGTTTCAGCTATTCTGATCAGACAGGCACCTCTTTTCATCTATAGGAATGTTGTTATTCCAAACAGGGAGTGATTGTGACTCTGCCTCTTGTGCAGGCCTGAATCTGGGGGGTGCTCCTCCTGTCAGGCTGCACTTACCCTGGATTATTCCAGAATGGCTTTCTATAGGTGCCTCCATGCTGCATTCCTGTAGGGGATGCCCCAGCTATGTCTACAGTGGAGTCCTGGGGAGAACAAGGACCTCTTCTCCAAGGTCCTTCATGATCACAGTGGCTGCCCGCCTGTTGCAGTGTATATGCAGACTTTCCCAGCTGTACCTAGCACTGCAATTGTGTCTCTGCTGTGAGAAACTACCCACCAGTGAAAAGATCTGGAACTCAAGGCCTGCTGTTCAGATTCTTTTGTCCCACAGGGTGATCCTTTGATGTGGTGCTCTCCCTATTCCCCTGGCGATGGGGCTTCCTGAGAGCCAGACTGTAGTGATCGTTATTGTTCTTCTGGGTCTAGCTACTCAGCAAGGCTACCTGGCTCCAGGCTCCGGTATGTGCTGGGAATGTCTGCCTGTGATGCGATCAGTCTTCAGGTCTCCCAGTCATGGATAACAGCACCTGCTCTAGTGGAGGTGGCAGGGGAGTGAGGTAGACTCTGTGAGAATCCTTCATCGTAGGTAGGTTTAGTGTGCTGGCTTTCTCGAATGCTGGTTATGCTAGCAGTGAAGTTGTTACATGGACAGACTGAGGACCACTGGTTAGTCAGGGTGTTGGAGGCAGTAGCTTTAGCGGTTGTTTTCTCCTTCCTGGGAGCAGTTATTCTGTCATGAGTTGCTGTAATGGCCTGAGTTGGTTGGCCTCCAGCCAGGAGGTAGTGCTTACAAGAGAGCACCACTTGCAGTATTGGCAGTAGGATCTGAGCTTGCCCTAAGTTGGCAAGGGGGAATTATTCTGATTTCTCACATGATGGGCAATGCCATAAAGCTCCCAAGAGTTTATGTCTTATCAGGGCAGGTAGAGAAAAACCATCAGGTGGGGGCAGGGTTAGGCAGGTCTGAGCTCAGACTCTCCTTGGGTGGGGCTTGCTGCAGCCACTGTGGGGGATGGGGGGTGGTTCTCAGGCCAATGGGATTATATTCCAGAGGAACGTATTGCTGTCTGTGCTGTGCTGTATAGTTTGCCAGAGAAGTGGGGAATAGCCAGTAGCGAAGGGACTCACCCAGCTCCCACGCAGTTGGCGAGGCTGGTGTTGCTCCCACAGTGCATGTTAACAGCCCCAAGTTTAGATCTGGGCAGCCTGCATGTGAAACACAGACCTGCCCTGGGCCATAAGCTTCCCCACTGAGAAAGCAAGCATGGCTTTCAGGCTACACCCCTCCTTGTCTGCCAACAATGGTGATGGCTCCTGTGCTCCTATCTGCAGCATTTCCCATTTGCCCCTGCATTCTGCTCAAGTAAGTTCGTGCCCACTTGAAATTGCCACAAAATTCAGCTGCAAGCTTCTTTCACCCTGTGACTAGTCCCTAATTCCGCTGGCTGCCTTCCCTGAGATCCCATGTGAAATATAGTCAGGGATTACTTCCCTGGGCTTGCGCTGGAGACTGGGAGTACCTACGAGGCTGTTCCTGCTGTTGCTTCTACTTTTACATTTTACGTGGCCCCCTAAATCCATTCCACCTCTAGGTAAGGTTAAATCCTCCAACTGTGATCTGGATTCTCAGATTCACTCAGGGGGTATGTGTTCGAAGGCAGGTCTTCCCCCCTCACACTTTGGGAATTCACAGTTTTTCACCTAACTCACAGAGTTTGCAGTGATCCTTTCAAAAGATCTGTGAATTCGTTTGGTTTTCCTGGTACTTTCCTGTGGTGGTTTTTGGAATGATAGTTCACATTGTGAATCTCCACACACTGTTCTGTCCATCCACGTGGAAGATGCACATTAGCCCTGCCTCCCATCCACCATCTTCCTCCCATCTGACAGAAGAGTTTTTGAATAGGGAACATCATGATTAGATATACATTCTACAATGTTTAGAGAAAGAATTATAAAATAACAAAACTGAACTTGAGAGACTAGACTCTGGAGAGGGATAATAGTGATAATGGGACTCGAGAAGTTTAGGAATCAAGATCAGTAGGATTGATGGATGGCTGACAGGTAACAGTGATTACCCGGTTTTTTTTTTTTTTTTTATGAGACAGAGTCTCGCTCTGTCACCCAGGCTGGAGTGCAGTGGTACAATCTCAGCTCACTGCAACCTCCACTTCCTGGGTTCAAGTGATTCTCCTGCCTCAGCCTCTCGAGTAGCTGGGATTACAGGCGTGTGCCACCATATGCAACTAATTTTAATATTTTTTATTAGAGACAGGGTTTCGTCATGTTGGCCAGGCTGCTCTCGAACTCCTTACCTCAGGTGATCCACCCACCTCGGCCTTGCAAAGTGCTGGGATTACAGGCATGAGCCACCACACCCAGCTGACTACCCGGTCTCTAATGTGTAAAACTGGTTACATGGTGATTCCATTTACTGAGACAGGGAATAACAGGGATTTGTTTTTAGGCTGGGCACAGTGGCTCATGCTTGCAGTCCCAGCACTGCTTGGGATTGCCCAGGATCACTTGAGCCCAGGAGTTCAAGACCAGCCTGGGCAACGTGAACCTCATCTGTACTAAAACCTCAGTGCAACAGTGAAACAGTGCACAGTAGCAACAATGAAACCTCATCTGTACTAAAAAAAAAAAAAAAAATCAGCCAAGTGTAGTGGCACATGCCTGTAGTCCCAGCTACTCGGAAGAGGCTGAGGCAGGAGGATCCGGAACCCAGGGGTTGAGGCTGCAGGGAGCCATGATCTTGCCACTGCACTCCAGCCTGGGTGACATCTCACCAAAAAAAAAAAAAAAAAAAAAAAATTTGTTTTCATTGTTGTGGTTGTTGGTTTGCAAGAGGGATAATGAGTGTGTCAGTTTTGTGGGGTTTTTTTCCCCAACTAAATTAGAATCTTTTTATTCTCTTAGTAATCTCTTCCAGAGTCAACTACTTCCATTGTAGGTGATAAAATGTATAAGGTCCACTTCAGATGTTGGCATTGCTATGAGCATGGTCTCTCCCCTTTACTGCAACTCAGAATTAAAACTTTTGCTTCTTATTTTTTATATTCCAGTTCCAGAAGTAGTTTCCACCGTGAAAGTTATTTAACAACAGTCTTATTCTTTCTAGTAGTGGCTTACTACCAGGCTCCAGCTTCTTCAGGAACGTTACAAGATGGATTTAGTTTAAATATGTATTAAAGTAAAAGGTATTCTATCAAATGAGTTTAAATGCATTTTGTTTTTAGATAACCTACATGACACGTTTTTCTTAAAAACAATGCATCCACTCCATGCATCCATAGTCAAAATAAATGAAAAGCTCAAGATGACATCAGTACCATTTGTCTTAAGACCTGGTGTTGTATGGATGACAAGCAGCAGCCAGTTATGATGACAGGTGATAGATCCAAAGTAATTGCCGAATTTGTTAACCCTTTTCCATTTCTGAACCACCCTTAAAGAAAATCATTTATGGGATCACTATCCTCATGATAGTCCAACAGAGCAACCATGCCATCTGGATTCATGTTTTCACCAGTAAAGAACTAGTAGCTTTTGCAATCAGCAAGGATGTGCAGCCTCTGTCGCAAAAGGTTTTACTTTTTCTGGTCTCTGTTCTTCAAGTTTGCCTTTGATTGTTTTCATGTAATCTTTGATGTAGTTCTTGTAGGTGTTTTTTGTGAAGCTGGTTTCTTGCAAGTGATAGTCTGTGACAGTATCAACAGTGATAACTGTGGTTTTGGTACCTTTGCCCTCGGGACCTTCAGCAGAGGCATTTCCGCCAATGAGCAAGTCATCAGTGTTACCCTCTGTCCTACTGACCATATTCCCCTCCACCACCAGGCACAGCCCATCTGCAATCTCCCAAATCTCATAAATGTGGAATAACACCTATCTCATCATAGCTGATGAGATGCTGGTAAACAATCATGATGGCAGCTGAAGGGAGACAGAGGACAGTGGTGCTAGCTTAGCAGGAGCCGGGAGCTCTGGGCGATGGTGGTGGAGCTAGAGTGCTCCAGGAAAGGGGAACCATGGAAAAAGTTATGTCAGTTTTTTATGTACTGAGTTCAAGATGTCTTTAAGCACTTAAGATATTTAAGTAAGGTATCCAGTAAGTTGTTAGATGTACATATCAGGAGATCAAAGAAAAAGCAGAGCCTGCTGATAAACATTCATGAGTTATGTGTGTAACTAAAATGAGAATAGAGAGCCCTGCTTAAGAAGAAATAGAAAAGGAAGGCAGATGTTAAAATGGAACCAAGAGGAATACCTCAGCATTTAAAGAATAAATAGAGGCTGGGCGCGGTGGCTCACGCCTGTAATCCCAACACTATGGGAGGCCAAGGCGGGCGGATCACAAGGTCAGGAGATTGAGACCATCCTGGCTAACATGGTGAAATCCCATATCTACTAAAAAAAATACTAAAAATTAGCAGGATGTGGTGGCGGGTGCCTGTAGTCCCAGCTACGCGGTAGGCTGAGGCAGGAGAATGGCATGAAGCCAGGAGGCGGAGCTTGCAGTGAGCAGAGATGCGACACTGCACTTCAGCCTGGGCGACAGAGCGAGACTCCGTCTCAAAAAAAAAAAGAAAAAAAAAAAGAAAAAATAGAAATGGGCTGGCAAAGAAGATTGCAAAGTGGCCTTAGGCAGAAACCAGGAGAGAGATGGGTGCCATAGATTCAAAGAAGAATGTTTCAAGGAGGGTGTGGCTGGCATTGAAAGCTACTTTTCAAAGTAAAGTAAGGTAATGAAAAATGCCATTTGGAATTAGTGGCATGGTGGTGCTTAATGAAGAGCTAATCCATTAGCATGATGGGGCAGAAGCCAGATTAGAATGAGCCAAATACTGAATGGGAAATAGGGAAATAGAAATAACGAGTTTGGTTGTAAAGCCGAGACAAGCTAAATCTGCAGTTGGAAAGCAAAGCAGGTTAAAGGTGGGGTTTTGATGTTTTGTTTTTTAAAAAACTTGACAGTGATTTGAAGATATTTAAAGCAAAATGATAAAAGCCAGTAAAGAGGCAGAAGTTGAAAATATAAGAAAGATAAGAGAAAATCAATAGTATAAGGTTCTTGAAGAGATAAGAAGGAATGAGATTCAGAGGGCGTACAGAGGAACTGTCCTTAGATAGGAGGACGGAAAATTCTTCAATGTGACGGGAAAGAACAATGAGGGAATAAAAGCAACTGCAGGTAAGGCATGTGCATCTGTTAGCAAGAAATTAAGGGAAATCCTGTTGGATGATTTTTATTTTTTCTAAAGCAGAAAGCAGTCATCTGCTAAAAGTCAGAAGGAAAGAGGGAGGGTGAGAGATCTGAAAACAGTGGAGGCTTAAATAGTTGCCCAGTCAGATTCCTATGGGATGTTTATTTCCTGTTTGTTTTAACTGTATTCCATTACCATTTTTTCTTTTTCTATACATTCATATTTAATTATAGTTTTCTAAAATGAAATAACTGCTTGAACAATTTCTCTGGTTTTATACATAACCCAAATATCAAATTCAATTTTGCTATTACCATCACAATGACAATTTATCTATCATGCTTCCTATTAGCTCTTCTGTTTAAAACTCAAAAAGGAAGATCCATATATCATTTTACATGAATTTCAGAACTACCCATTATGCTTACATATAGATAAACAAGTATTTGGTATATCCACAAATTTTACCTTCACGCATCTAGAAGATGCAGCATTTGTTTAGAGGACTTTACACCACATTACTTTGTTTTTTCTCTTTTTTATCAAAATGGCCTCAACAAAATTCTCCTCACCCTGTGCACATTGCTATTCATGCTGTGACTTTGCCTTTCCTACCATCGGAGGTGGAGTCTGTTTTCTCGCCCCATAAATCTGGGCTAGCCCTGTACTAGATTTTGCCCTATAGAATTTCATAGAAGTGACAGCAAATAAATTCCTAACCTAGAGTTTAAGAACCCTTATATTCCTCCTTCTTAGAATGTGGTACTTCAAAATTAAAAAGCCCAAGCTAGCCTTCTGACAGATAAGACCACAAAGAAAAAGACCCAGCCAACAGTACCAACTTCCTGACACAAGAACAATTCTCTGGTTTTACATACAACCCAAATAAATGAGAGAGAGTCATTTTAGACCATCTATACCCAGCTGAACCATCAGATGATTGCAGAAGGAACCCTAAATAAGATCAGCAAAAGAACTGCACACTTGAGACTAGCTCAAATTGCAAATTCACAGAATTGTGAGAAAATGAAACAACTGTTTTAACCCCAAAAGTCTGAAACAATTACCTATTTTTTTTTTTTGGTAGGGGGGTGGCGTTGTTTGTTTTTCTGAGACAGGGTCTCACTTTGTCACCCAGGCTGGAGTGCAGTGGCATGATCATGGCTCACTTCAGCCTTGACCTCCTGGGCTCAAGTGATCCTCCCACCTCAGCCTCCCGAGTAGCTCGGACTATAGGCACACGCTACCTCTCACCCAGCTGGTTTTTGCATTTTTGTAGAGATGGGGTTTTGCCATGTTGCCCAAGCTGGTCTCAAACTCCTGAGCTCAAGCAATCCACCCACCTCAGCCTCCTGAAATGCTAGGATTATAGGCATGAGCCACTGTGCCCGGCCACACAATTACCACATTTTAAATTTCTTTTATATTTTGAAAATGCAGAAAAATGACTGAATATATATATTTAGCACTTTTCTCATGGGAAAATCATAAACAATATCACATTTACATTTAATATTTGCTTGCACCTAAATTTAAGACTTCTTTAAAACAAAATTACCAGAATTATAGTCCTGAGATTCAGCCATCCATCCATTTATTTATCAATCACCCTACTATGTTCCCGAACCAGAGAAACTGACCATATATCAGTGAACAAAAAAAAAAAATTTTTTAATCCTTGCCCTCACTTTTCACATTGGGGAGTTACAGACAACTCAATTCCAAAATACATTATTTTCTGATATATTAGTACTACAATGACATCCATAATTTTCAAGGGAAGAACATGTACAGAGAAATGTGCATATTATACTAATAAGCACTCTTACCCTCATGCCAAGCACCAAGAACCCAATCTCTTCCATTAATGGGTACTTGCTGACCTGTTGCTGAATCTTCTCAGATGAGGCAAAAGGATCATAGCTTTTTTGCCCTATCTTTACATCCATTATACAGGGCTTATTAAATTTATGGGTCACATCTTCCAGTTTTAGGTATAAATCTGTTATTAAAGAAAAATATTAATTAGTAATAGGCAAACATATTACTACTCAAGTACTTGCCAGGGAAAAACAAGATGAGAAAATCCTAAAACAGAGAAAAAAGTTAAAATAAATGTAAAGTCAATAATTATTCTTAACTCTACCTAAAAAAAAAACCTAAACAACAAATTTATAACAAGTATAAACATCACAGAGAAGCTCTTGCAGGAGGTGAATTAAATAAATTCAACCACAAGCAAAAGACAGCAGATACGAGGTTTCCAACAATATTAAAAAGGCAATGGGATCATTTCAAAAGCTTTTCCAGAATGCATTCCCCTTGTGAATACAATTTATGCCATATGTTTCAGCAGAACTCTTAGTATTTTAATAATTTTTAAAAATTGATTCATTTAAAATTAGTAATAGGAATAAATCCTTCCCACAGAGTAATATAACAGAAGTACAGATTAAGAAAGGGTAAACCTATCCAAATGATGATAATTGTCAAATATACATTCAAGTCTCACCAGTTTCAAAGGAAAAACACGAATCTTGCTTTTTATTTTTTTGAGACATGGTCTTGCTTTGTTGCCTGGGCTAGACTGCAGTGGCCAATCTTGGCTCAGTGTAACCTCCGCCTCCCAGGATCAAGCAATTCTTGTGCCTCAGGCTCTCAAATAACTGGGATGACAGGCGTGTACCACTGCCTGGCTAATTTTTATATTTTTAGTAGAGATGGTGTTTTGCCATGTTGGCCAGCCTGGTCTCGAACTTCTGGCCTCAAGTGATCTGCCTGCCTCGGCCTCCCAAACTGCTGAGATTACAGGTGTGAGTCACCATGCCCAGCCCATCTTGCTTTTTTTTTTTTTTTTTTTTTTAGAACACAGGCATTCCCCAAAAGTTGTTCTGTATATCATGCTGGCATCCTGCACACATCTTTCCACAAAAAAATTAAATAGAGATTCAAATACAGTATTATAAAAGCCCCAGTTATCATACATGGCTGACCTGCTTTTAGTTTTAGTTTGAAAGCCAGGGTCCAGGTCCCAAGGGAAACAGTAAGGAAAGAAATTCTTCCCTCCTTTCCTGGGTTAAAGAACCGTCTCGGCCAGGTGAGGTACCTCACGCCTGTAATCCCAGCACTTTGGGAGGCCGAGGCAGGTGGATCACCTGAGGGCGAGAGTTTGAGACCAGCCTGACCAACATGGAGAAACCCCGTCTCTACTAATAATACAAAATTAGCCAGGCATGGTGGCAGGTGCCTGTAATCCCAACTACTCGGGAGGCTGAGGCAGGAGAATGGCTTGAACCTGGGAGGCAGAGGTTGTGGTGAGCCGAGATCGCGCCATTGCACTCCAGCCTGGGCAACAAGAGCAAAACTCCATCTCAAAAAAAAAAAAAAAAAAAAAGAATCATCTCAAAGTTCTGAATGAGATCATGACTCATTTTTTAGTTAGGAATGTAACAAGAAGTATTTCTCCTCAAACACAGAAAAGATTACTATCAGTGAACATGACAAATAAGGTTAGAGAAGGTGTTTATTTTCTCTGAATTAAATAAAAGAGTACCGGGGTAAGAGAAGCCTTACTCTCTGATGTCCTTTCATTATCCCCATTCCACCAAGACTAGCATAGCTGCTGAATTACAATAAAGAAGTTTATGCTCAAACAAAAGTGAGAACCCAGTTAGGGCTTGAAAAATTTTTAAGCCCCTCAGATTTAAAAGGAATAAATCTTCTCCTTCAAAGGACAAGAGATACTTTTTATGCTTTAGTCAAAGAAGAAGAGAGCAGGGTTATAACTCTGTAGAACTAAGTGAAGTTAAGCCCAAATATGACAAAAAAGTTACTGCAGTCCAAGGGAGAAGCACTGACACACCCAAGGAGCCTTCCACACTTGAAAGAAGGGTTTTCCCAGACAGACAATTTCAGGATAAGAGAAAACAAAAGATCTTGACAGAGATATGAAACTGCTGTCTGTGAAAACTAATGGGACAAGTGGAAATATCCTGATCAAGGAGTTGGAATACACCCAAGCTTCTGTGTCTAAAAGATAACCATGGATGGTATGAGAGAAGAAAGAAGCACAGGACATTTACCTTCAGATTTTCTCCTCCCATCTCCAACCACCTTAAGCAAAAAGGAAGAAAACAGATCCAGCCCCACTCTAGGGCTGCTCAATAATTTCAGTAAAAAGACTTGAATTTCAAATATCAGAATAAAGCTAATTAGATAGTAATACATAGTACAGTAGATCCTTGGCATTCAAAAATTTATTATCATTAATTTAGACTCAAGAGACTCCAGAAATCTTACTGGGGTCAAGTTGTATATGGGAGTATAAAGATAGTGAGAGAACGTAGCTAAATGTCACAGCATCTATATCTCACTGTAGGGTTAGTGTCTTCTACCTGTCAACCTGACAGTGATTAAAAACAAACAACAAACTTTTTATGATAAGATAAAGATAAGAGAAGCTAGGGTAGAGGCTTTGCAACTCTGAAATAAAATCTCCTATCTCTTACTTTTTCTTTTTGAAAGGAGGAAAATACAAATGCAAACTCTATATATAGTGGAAATACAATAAATGTTTGCTGAATGAATGTTTGCCCTTCCCATTCCTATTGTCCAGTGAAACTTTAGACTTGGCCTTCCTCACACTATAATAAATTGAGGCACCCCTTCAGTAAATAGGGATGAATATCATGGGTTTTATTTGATATTTTGTTAGACTATCCAAATGTGTTTTTCTTTACTTTACTTTCAGGTCCTTCTTATGTTTCATATGGTTGGAATTACCAAATAACTGCTAAATTATTTCTTATTCGCCTTCAGAAATAAAACCATAAGTTAAGCCTAGTGAAGAGTGGTTTGGTGTTTTCTTTCTGTTCTCTAATCTTACATTTTTTTAAGTGAAAATAAGAATTTGAGATTCTCATTTCTATCTTTCCCTCTGAGTTAAAAAATAAACATCAAAACCTGCTTTAGAGATGCAGAATTCTTATGAAAGAATGCGATACCATGTCTTTCACAACTTGACTGCAAGTGCTTTTGAAAAAGGTAAATAGAAAAACAGGGCATGATCTGAGCATTGAGATTTTTACTGATTTACAGGCTGTCATTAATAGAAATAAATCTGATTATTAATTCACCCTGAAAAATGCTATTAGCAAATTCTTTCCCTAGAAGAGAGTTTAATTCAAGGTAGATCAATCCTGAGACTCAGTTACTTAAATGACCAAAGACATTTTACTACAGGCAGCCTCACTTACAAAGCAATGCCAAATTCTGGATTAACAAAGGACACCTTTTCGGCTAGGCCCCTCTGGGTATAGAGTGGAGCAGTATTTTTCCATTTCTAGGCCACAACCCATCATTGGATTATGAATTCAACTTAATAGGTTGTAACTAAGTTTCCTAAATGAAAGAGAAAAGAGAATATATGAGACTATCTCACAGATAGTAAGACTAAGTATTGTTGTCTGGGTTGGTCTGTCTTATAAACATTGAGTTGCAATGTAAAAATGTATTTATTACGTATCATAGACAAAGAAGTTTATTCCCCCCATGCCCTAAAGGCCCAGTGTTTTCTTGTTTTTTTCCTTTTAGACAAAGAAGTTTTAAAAACACTTGACTAGATAGAATGTCACTCTGTCATTAGCATGTCTGCCCAGCTCAAGAACTATCCTCAGTCCTACAGAAGTGGTCCCTTTGCCAACACCATCATACTTTGGGAATCCAGCCCATGGCCCACAGTCACTGACTGGGGCAGGAGCAAATATCTGATACAAGCTTGGTCAGTCTTGCCAATTTGGAAATGGAATGCAGAGAAAACCTGTTGCTGACCTCTGTGGGTGACTGGTACTGTAACATGTAAGTCCCTTGGTAGGGAGGGGAGAGGTGTGGATAGCAAGGAAGGCAGAGGAGAGAAGAGGAAGGGTTAAGTAAATATGCAGAGAGAGATCTCCCTGGGCTTTGATAGGGTTCAGATTCTAGTTCCAGTCCCATCTTAGACTCAGATGCATGGCCCTTGGCTTTCATAAGACACCCTCATATCCTTATAAGAACTTTTCCTTGTTGCTTAATCATGTTCAAGTTCATTTCCATAACTTGTGCCCAAAGAATCTTAACTGAGATGATAAAGTTTAAAGCAACTGCTTTAGAAGAAGAAAAAGGAGGCTCAAATCTCAACTCTATAATTTGCTAGCCTGTGACCTCAGGAGCACTTCTCAAAACCTCAATTATATGTAAAATGCAGATAATTACAGACTCTACCACAGGGATATTAAGAAGACTAAATGAGATAATATACAGTAAAGCACTTAGCATAGTGTCAGTCCTCATCCCATAAATGCAGGTTACACATTCCCATATCCCCTCCAAAATAAAATTTCATACATTCCATATATAATTACTGTCAAGGCACACAGGTGAAGAAAACAGATAAAAACCTGCCTTCATAGAGCTGCTTTTGAAGAGTTGAAATCGCATTACACTTAGCATAATTGCTGCTACGTATTTGGTACTCACTGAATATTTATTCATTTTACCTCTAAGTATATATAAATATTAAACAAGTAAGTCACTGATAAGTATTAAAACCTGCTAACCATGTTAGGTCACCAATGAGTACAGGTCTAACTTTGATATTCAGTATAAATAAAAATAGAAGATGATTCCCTGGAGTCTATTCTTACCCTTCCAGATGAGACAAGCATAATACACACAAAATTAAAAGATGTATTCATAACTCAATTATGCACTTGATAATGGATATTCTCCAACCCTCAGGCTAATATCAAGCCTTAGCCTTTAGTTATATTAAAAAGAATACTTATATGTAATAAACCTACTTATTACATATTGATTTCACCTCAAGTTAAAGTAACTCTCTTTTGCATGTGTCATGACTGCAAAACACACTCAATCTGACCACTAACCTCAAGTATGCCCTTAAAGTTGCTCAACTATCATGATCTGTTTCCCAAATCTCCTCACTTTTCCATCCTCTGAGACTACTATTTCATCCTTCCTTCCCCCATCATCCATAAGCTCAGCTTGCCTATTTTTTTTTTTTTAAATTCTGAAGAAAAAGCTACAGATTAGTCAAGGTTATAGATAGTAAAGATTACTACAGTAAAGATTACTACAGCTAGGTTTTCTTTGATGCAATAATAACATAAAAAAGATGACAGCAAATAAGAAATTTGTTCTAAGACTGATCCAAAAAAATATAATGAACTAAAAATAAGATAGATTTCTGTTGTTATTGTTGTTTGAGACAGGGTCTTACTCTGTCACCCAGGATGGAGTATAGCAGTACAATCATGGCTCACTGCAACCTCAAACTCCTGGGCTAAAGTGATCCTCTCGCTGCAGCCTCCTGAGTAGCTGGGACTACAGGTGCATGTCACCACACCCAGCTAATTTTTATTTTTTTTCTTTTCTTTTCTCTTTATTTTATTTTTGAAACAGGGTCTCTCTCTGTCGCCCAGGCTGGAGTGCAGTGGTGTGATCTTGGCTCACTGCAACCTCCACCTCCTGGGTTCAAGCAATTCTGCTGCCTCAGCCTCCTGAGTAGCTGGGACTACAGGTGCCTACCACCATGCCCAGCTAATTTTTGTATTTTTAGTAGAGACAGGGTTTCACCATGTTGGCCAGGCTAGTCTTGAACTCCTGACCTCAGGTGATCCACCCGCCTCAGCCTCCTAAAGTGCTGGGATTACAGGCATTAGCCACTGCACCTGGCCTAATTTTTAAAATTTATTGTAGATATAGAGTCTTGTTATGTTGCCCAGGCTGGTCTTGAACTCCTGCCTTAAGCAATCCTCCTACCTTCGCCTCCCAAAGTGCTGGGATTACAGGTGAGAGCCAATGTGCCTGGTAAGATAGATGTGTTCTATCTGGAATAGTTTAAGTTCACTCTGTTCAAGGTCAAGAATATAAATTAGGCTATATTAATATGATGATTGGAAAATATCTTGTAAAATAATTATGAGTATTTCACATGATGTAGTTTACAAGTAAAGGCAGAATTTTGAATATTAGAATAGAGCTTAATTTTACATATCTATATACCTCTCATAGACGTGTGTGTATCATAAAGATAGCACAATTAACTAGATTTACTTTTATAACTCTGGAAACTCTATTTAGGACTCTTATGAAGTGAGTCCTGCAGAAGTCTAAGGACTGGCACTTGTAAACCCCAGATCTAAGACAGAGAGTCTGTAAAGCTTAGTGCTGGTACTTGTATAATAAATAAAAGGATATCTACTCTTCATAAATATGTGGAGTTCATTTCAAGAGGTAACTATGTTTAGAAATAAAGCTACATTTAAGAGGCTATGGCTAATAACCTATCACTTATTAATTTATAGAAAGTATATAAAGAATTTCTATAGTGCCTTAATTTTTCTGAGGTAAAGATCATGAAAATACCACGTGTTCAGAAATATAACACTTCCTGCTGTTTTAAGTAGACTACATAAGATCACTCTGTGGCTTTACCAAGGATATTGTTTTCATGCCCAAAATATTTATGTATTTCATGATGCTGATGATAGTATGAGATTATATTAAGTGAAGTAACTCAGGAATGGAAAACCAAACATCATATGTTCTCACTCATAAGTGGGAGCTAAACTTTGAGGATGCAAAGGCATAAGAACAATACAATGGACTTTGGGGATTCCGGGGAAAAGGCGGAAGGTGGGTGAGGGATAAAAGACTACACACTGGGTACAGTGTACACTGCTCTGGCGATGGGTGCACCAAAATCTCAGAAATCACCACTAAATAACTTATTTATGTAACCAAACACCACCTATTCCCCCAAAAACCTATTGAAATTTTAAAAAATTTAAAAATAAAGATTACACAAGGTTACTATGAATGAAACTTTTCTATCTTGTTTAACATACATAATTAAATATAACTATCTTAAACGTAAGTTAAATATACATATTGTTTTATAAGTGTTAGGTATAAAAAAAATTCCTTTAGCTAATTTTCTACTGCTAGTCTTGATACCCTAAGAAAAAGAGGCAAAAAGAGCCCTACAGAAAAATCTCGAAAAATCTACAGATCACTAAATAGTAAAGATGAAATAACTAGTTCCTTTAAAGGGAAGGCAACAGGGAGGGCATTTAGGGAATTGAAAGAATACTTATTTACAGCCCCTTAATCAATATTGTTGATTTCATAAATTACGAAAATATGGGTTTCAAATTTCATTAAGGTTTTCCTCATCCTATCTGGAAAATCTACTAGGTATCAGCTACCATCTTGATTTCTAAACCTCATAAAAAAGGAGGAAAAGCCAGATGAAGAACCACTGCTCGATTATGAAGCCAACTGGAAAAACAGATGATATGGTTTGGCTCTCTGTCCCCAACCAAATCTCATCTCTAATTGGAATCCCCATGTGCTGAGGGAGGAACCTGCTGGAAGGTGATTGGATTATGGGGTGTTTTCCCCCAAGCTGTTCTCATGATAGTGAGGGAATTCTCACGAGATCTGATAGTTTTAAAAGTGGCAGTTTCCCCTGCACTTTCTCTCTCCTGCCACCATGTAAGACGTGCCTTGCTTTCCCTTCACCTTCCACCATGATTTTAAGTTTCCTGAGGCCTCATCAGCCATGCAGAACTGTGAGTCGATTAAACCTCTTTTCTTTATAAATTATCCAGTCTCAGGCAGTATCTTTAAAGCAGCATGAAAATGGACTAATACAATAAGACCTTTCTTTTCCACATCAATCTTCAGCTATTTCTGAGAACAATACAAGTTGAAAGCAGAAAGAATAATAAGTAGAGACCTTGGGTCCCCAGATTAGGGGTGAAGGAAGAGGTATGCAACAGACATGTATGTCAGCTTGTTTCAGTTCATGCCTCCTGCAACATGACTAGTAGCTAGCTCCAGAAAACTACCAATCAATCAGACTAGAGATTACATTTTGAAAACTCTCAATTTTTTCAAACCTACTCGATGTTATACTTTTCTATCCCTCCAAATAATTATATCCAACAGTTTTTGATGCTACATGTATTAGCCTTTTATGTGTTTATACACAGGTACAAAAGATATTTACTATATATAACTAGCATGAAATGTTCAAAGATAATTGCCAACAAATGTTATATTTTTAAAATTCCACTGCTCATGTTCTAAAATTAGATAATTGTGATGATTGTATAATTCTGCGAATATACTAGAAACCACTGAGTTGTATGCTTTAAATGGATCAGTTTTATGGTATGTAAATTATATCTCAATAAAACTATCATAACAAAATTAAAAGAAAAAACCTCATTGGTCAGAACATTCTTATTCTTCAAATTATTATATGATAATTTGTTGAACAAGTTGGCTTTCAGCATTTTACTACTTTGGATTATTAAAAACAGTATCAGCTTTATAAAACTCTACCCTGGACACATAAGAAAAGATACCCAAACAACAAGAACAAAAACCAACAGGAAATAATGTCATTAGTTTTAGACTACATAAAACACAGTAACGCAAACCATAGTATTCTACTACAACTCAAGCAAATATGTTTTCATGATCCTGTGGGCTAAACATGTACATAAGTTTGCTGTCTTCTATTTCTTTCATTTGCAATCAAAAGGATAAAAACAGAAAGATGATTCTATGAAGTTGCTAGTAAAATCAAAAGAAAACAATCTGCATGGTCCAACAGTTTTGTCCCACTTCTTCCAGAGCTAACAAAGTAGGAAAGAAGTAGAAAATCCCTTGAGGCAACTGTTGGTACTACTGGACCACTCTGTTATCATATACACTTTATTCCTTGTCCTTTTTTCCCTTCAGTTTACATTTTTCCTCTCTTCACTCAGCTTCCTCACTTCATCCTCTCATCTTAGGAGCACCAATATCTCCATTTATTTTCAAATGAGAGAATTAGAGTTTATAAAATATTTTCACATAAGATAACATGCATCTTTACAACTTGGTGGTATTACTTTCTATTTGTAGAAGAAAACGTGGAGCTCAAAAAGATTACTGAGTTAGCCAAGTTCACAATATTTGTAAATAACCAAGATAGAGGCCAAATATTTTTACTTCAAAGTTACTGCTCCTTCTATATTAGCATAGCTGAACTTCAAGATTATATAGTATTGAAGACCAAAAAGGTTGATTACTAGCAATCCCTTGATTATTTAAATCATATGCTAGTAACCCTAAACTAAAAAGGCTATCTTTAATTAAAATGTTTCTTCTCTTATCCAAATTCTTTCTGTATACTCTATTCATAGTAATTATGCTGTATTTGCTAGTTATTCTACTCTTTCCAAACAATCTTTTAAACTAAGCATTTAATTACGTAGATTTTCAATCAAACACCATCCTCAGCAACCTTCATTAATTTTTCAGCGTCACTTTACTGAGGAATAATGATTTACTCTAAATTAAACAGCAATCAGTAGCAAAGTTCATTGGAATCTAGATACTGTACCTTCTCCTTTCCTTTATCTCATTTATAGCATTCCTGAAAACTTCCACTTACAGCAAAGAGGGAAAAAAAAGGAAGGCATTAAATGGGTTTGCGAGAGATTATATAGGGAATGATGACCAAAGGGCAATCATAATGACTTGTAAACTAATTTAAGCAAAATGTTGATCTGAATCATAGACAAATAGATATAGTTAGGACTAAAAAGACCTGTAAGCCCACAAAAAAGAAGGAAGGAATTAAGGGAGGAAGGAAAAAAGACAGTTAATAGAGCTTTGGCTCACTTTCTTTTTTTCATACAATTAAAGTACAGAGGAATCATAAATACTCAAGGGAGCCATCAATTTACTATCAGCTAGCTGAGGATACTCACAGAGAGATACCAGGGTTCCCTATTAGTGAAACCTGGCACGCAAAGTCATTAAGTTAAAGGAAGACAAGAACTGACAAAAGGAATAGGCAGGCTCACACTGGAATCCCCTTCTCTTTCTGTCCTCAAAGTGTGGTTCAAGAACTATCCACATCAGAAACACCCATGGCTTTTATTTAACAGGCATATCACTACACTCCAACATAGACCTGTATAAACAAAATGTCTGGGAGTTGGCCTTACATATTTGCATTTTAACAAGACCATAGGTTATTTTTAAACCCACTGAAGTTTGAAGCCCTTTCCCCTCAATTCACCTTTGTCAATGGTCAGTCAGTCAAGCTGCTTGTTTAATTAAATTGTATGTGTTTTGGCAAAGGCCTTCTGGGGGCAAATACTGCTTCAGGTATTAGTTAATCTTAAAAAAGAGAAATTCTGTGCCCTATTTAGGTCATTTTATTCTCTATGAAACTTACCAGTGCTTTTCAGAAGACTGTAATTTAAAGCCTGGAGGTGAGGGATGAAGGAACAGGATAAGAGACTGGGAGGAAGTCATGCAGAGACAATATTTTTCTTGATTTTTAAAAAATCACTCAAAATGGGAAAAGAAACTACACAATAAATTAGGACAGAACATCTGCAAATTAAGATAGTATTAAGTCTATATGCTTCCATTCAACTATAAGAGATTGGCCATTTACTTGTATATGCCATTTTAGAAATGGTTATGAAAACAAAAGTATTAATAAGTTTCATTTAGTGAAAGAAAGATTAGAAAGCAAAACATATATATTTTGTGTTTTTATAATACATACTCAGTTAAATTTTAATTTTACATAAGGCCTTTAAAGAAGCTACACTCATGAATTAAAACTGAAAGATAATTTTTATGACAAGATTACCGTTTGGTGCAGTGGGAGGTGACCAGATGCCATAATATTTTGGCAAATATTTTCGTAGCTCTAGAAGAACACCATCAAAACAGTCAGCAGCATAAACCTGAAACAGAGAAATATAACATTGCTAGATTCTTACAATGCTTTGTAACTGCCCTGCACATTTCTCAAATAAAATTTATGTTGAATTATAATTCATCTGGTATGGCTTCAATTGCAAGTAAATTTGGAACAAGCAAAAAATATTACTGTGTGTCTCCAATGAGTAACTATGTATTTAGAGTACACTCTTCTTGGTTATCTAATTCTAGCCTTTTACTATCGAACTATTTTACAACTTTGTAAGTTATAGATACTGATAGCAAATGCAAAATAACTCTTGTCCATAAACATGTAAATAAATTCTGGCCAGAGGACATTCTTCTGACTTTCCTCCATGCACCCTGAGAGGAGGAAATGTAGTGGCAATATGAAAATTCACATCAAACTTCCATTATTCCAGATAAATGTGTGTTTCTTTAACTTCTCTTTTGAACAAGTTTTAACATTTATCTGGTTCCCTCATTAAATAATATGTTAAAGCAAATCTTTAACACATATTTGTTTTATATCTACATGGTGATTTTTGCTTTTATCTTTTTTAAAAAAAATCCTTTAACACAATGTAAGTCTAACTGCTGCTCATTTAATTCCTTGATTTGTAACCATTAATAATGCTAAAAGATATTAGAAAATTCTAATATCCTAGAACTAGATTCTAGTTTTCCTAGAAGACAGAATATTTTTTGTTTACAAAATGGCATGTAAGACATGTTATCCAATGATCTTTCCTAAATATTCTCTACCTAATTATCTAAAATTAATGAAGTTTACTGGTGTAAAATGCTTACGAAAACTTAGTATTAGAATCTAATTATATATGCCAAACCATATTTATGTCAAGTAGTTGTATGCAACATAATTCTTCAGAATAAACTCAAGTGTGGCAGACTCTTGGCAGACCAAATATCCAAGTGGTACATTGTATTTCCCAGATTCCCCTGTTGAAATGTTAGAAGTGATTCATATTAGTCACTTCCAGGCCAAGGTAATTTAGAGTAAGTATACCTGAACGTCCCTCTATTCCTAGCACAATGACCGTGGGTGCAGTGCTGAGGATGAGCTAATTACAAGACGGAGGAATGAAGTAGATCTCTGTGTACTGATCTAAAGAACTCCATGCTATATTTATACATGAAAAAGATAAAAGGCATATTACATAAAAATATATATAGCAGGTCTATGAAATTAAGTAAGATACATATGTGTGTATCATCTCTGTAAAGGCACAGAAAAAATTACAAATATTCATTTGAAACTACTCATAGTTTAATTCTGGAATGGAAATGAAAGAGAGATAAATTTTCTCTTCTTATTTAGAATATTTTTTAAAAGTAGTGGGACTGGTGTTTACTGCAACATGCCAGGCAAGATAACCTAAAAACCTTTCTTTTTTGTGTATGTGTTTTGTTTTTTGAGACGGAGTCTCGCTCTGTCACCTACACTGGAGTGCAGTGGTGCAATCTCAGCTCACTGCAAGCTCTGCCTCCTGGGTTCACGCCATTCTCCTGCCTCAGCCTCCCGAGTAGCTGGGACTACAGGCGTCCGCCACCACACCCAGCTAATTTTTTATATTTTTAGTAGAGACGAGGTTTCACCGTGTTAGCCAGGATGGTCTCGATCTCCTGACCTCGTGATCCACCCATCTCAGCCTAAGATAACCTAAAAACCTTTCTATCTTGAAATGTAGAATAAAATATAACAAATATTTTCTTAAATGCATAGCTGAGCTCTCAAGGAAAAAAAAGGGAATTCTTCTTAGTTTTGCATGCCTATGAAACAAAAGTGTTAACCCAAGCAGTGATGTTTGGGCTTCACAGAGGTTCACTCAAGACCTGAACCAAAGGATCTCAGAACTCAGGGATGAGGCAGAGCTGAGGACAGAGTTACTATACTGAAACATGGAGAGTAAATAAAATTCAAAATCCTGAAAAATAAAAATCTTGGCTTACTTCTCTCTCCCCCAACCACTGAACTCCAAGAATGCTGGCAGCTAAGCTTACAGAGAAAAACAGAGAAGCAGCAAACAAACAATATTAGGAAAGAAAAGGGACTCTCAACTGATAGAGCAGAATTTTTTTTTTAAATACTAGGAAAAGCTTTGTCAAGAGGGCAATTTGTATTTAAAAAATAATCTAGGCCAGGCATGGTGGCTAACGCCTGTAATCCCAACACTTTGGGAGGCTGAGGTAGGTGGATCACCTGAGGTCAGAGGTCAGGAGTTCCAGACCAGCCTGGCCAACATGGCAAAACCCTGTCTCTACCAAAAATACAAAAATTAGCTGGGCTGGGCGGCATGCACCTGTAATCCCAGCTACTCAGGAAGCTGAGGCAGGAGAATCACTTGAACCTGGGAGGTGGAGGTTGCAGTGAGCAGAGACTGCGCCACTGCACTCCAGCCTGGGCAACAGAGCGAGACCACGTCTCAAAAAAAAAAAAAAAAAAGTAATCTAAATATATTGTACTATCACATTAACAAATAAAATAAAAATCTGAAGAACTTTAAGAAATCAAATCACTGGTTAAAAATCTATCCTTCCCAGGAACAAATGAAAGAAAGAAAGCATGAAAAAGAGGAAAGAAAGAGGGGGGTGTTCCAAGATGGTCGAATAGGAACAGCTCTGGTCTGCAGCTCCCAGTGTGATCGACGCAGAAGACGGGTGATTTCTGCATTTCAAACTGAGGTACCTGGTTCACATCATTGGGATTGGCTGGACAGTGGGTCCCTCACCAGGGAAGCACAAGGAGTTGGGGGATTTCCCTTTCCTAGCCAAGGGAAGCCGTGACAGACTACCTGGAAAAACGGGACACTCCCATCCAAATACTGCACTTTTCCCAAGGTCTTAGCAACTGGCAGACAAGAAGATTCTCTCCCATGCATGGCTCAGTGGGTCCCATGCCCACGGAGCCTTGCTCATTGCTAGCGCAGCAGTCTGAGATCGAACTGCGAGGCAGCAGCCTGGCTGGGGGAGGGGAATCCACCATTGCTGAGGCTTGGTAAACAAAGAAGCTGGGAAGCTCGAACTGGGTGGAGCCCACTGCAGCTCAACAAGGCCTACTGCCTCTAGACTCCACCTCTGTGGGCAGGGCATAGCTGAACAAAAGGCAACAGACAACTTCTGCAGACTTAAACGTCCCTGTCTGACAGTTCTGAAGAGAGCAGTGGTTCTCCCGGCATGGTGTTTGAGCTCTGAGAACAAGCAGACTGCCCCCTCAAGTGGGTCCCTGACCCCCGTGTAGCCTAACTGGGAGACAGCCCCCAGTAGGGGCCAACAGACACCTCATATAGGCGGCTGCCCCTCTCGGACAAAGCTTCCAGAGGAAGGATCAGGCAGCAATATTTGCTGTTCTGCAACATTTGCTGTTCTGCAGCCTCCACTGGTGATAACCAGGCAAACGGTCTGGAGTGGACCTCCAGCAAACTCCAACAGACCTGGAGCTGAGGGACCTGACTGTTAGAAGGAAAACTAACAAACAGAAAGGAATAGCATCAACATCAACAAAAAGGTCATCTACACCAAAATCCCATCTGTAGGTCACCAACATCAAAGACCAAAGGTAGATAAAACCACAAAGATGGGAAGAAACTAGAGCAGAAAAGCAGAAAATTCTAAAAATCAGAGTGCCTCCTCTCCTCCAAAGGATCACAGCTCCTCCCCAGCAATGGAACAAAGCTGGACAGAGAATGACTTTGACGAGTTGATAGAAGTAGGCTTCACAAGGTCGGTAATAACAAACTTCTCCGAGCTAAAGGAGGATGTTCGAACCCATCGTAAGGAAGCTAAAAACCTTGAAAAAAGATTAGATGAATCGCTAACTAGAATAAACAGTGTAGAGAAGACCTTAAATGACCTGATGGGGCTGAAAACCATGGCAAGAGAACTTCATGATTCATGCACAAGCTTCAATACCCAATTCAATCAAGTGGAAGAAAGGGTATTGGTGATTGAAGAACAAATCAATGAAATAAAGCAAGACGACAAGGTTAGAGAAAAAAGAGTAAAAAGAAATGAACAAAGCCTCCAAGAAATATGGGACTATGTGAAAAGACCAAATCTACATTTGACTGGTATACCTGGAAGCGATGGGGAGAATGGAACCAAGTTAGAAAACACTCTTCAGGATATTATCCAGGAGAACTTCCCCAATCTAGCAAGGCAGGCCAACATTTAAATTCAGGAAATACGGAGAATGCCACAAAGATACTCCTCGAGAAGAGCAACCCCAAGACACATAATTGTCAGATTCACCAAGGTTGAAATGAAGGAAAAAGTGTCAAGGACAGCCAGAGAGAAAGGTTGAGTTACCCACAAAGGGAAGCCCATCAGACTAACAGCGGATCTCTCGGCAGAAACCCTAAAGCCAGAAGAGAGTGGAGGCCAACATTCAACATACTTAAAGAAAAGAATTTTCAACCCAGAATTTCATATCCAGCCAAACTAAGCTTCGTAAGTGAAGGAGAAATAAAATCCTTTACAGACAAGTAAATGCTGAGAGACTCTGTCACCACCAGGCCTGCCTTACAAGAGCTCCTCAAGGAAGCACTAAACATGGAAAGAAACAACCAGTACCAGCCACTGCAAAAACACACCAAATTGTATGGACCATCGATGCTATGAAAAAACTGCATCAATTAATGGGCAAAATAACCAGCGAACATCATAATGACAGGATCAAATTCACATATAACAATATTAACCTTAAATGTAAATGGGCTAAATGCCCCAATTAAAAGACACAGACTGGCAAATTGGATAAAGAATCAAGACCCATTGGTGTACCGTATTCAGGAGACCCATCTCACATGCAAAGATGCACATAGGCTCAAAATAAAGGGATGGAGGAGGATCTACCAAGCAAATGGAAAGCAAAAAAAAGCAGGGGTTACAATCCTAGTCTCTGATAAAACAGACTTTAAACCAACAAAGATCAAAAGAGACAAAGAAGGCCATTACACAATAGTAAAGGGATCACTCAATTCAACAAGAAGAGTTAACTATCCTAAATATATATGCACCCAATACAGGAGCACCCAGATTCATAAGGCAAGTCCTGAGAGACCTAAAAAGAGACTTAGACCCCCACACAATAACAATGGGAGACTTTAACACCCCACTGTCAATATTAAGACATATCAACGAGACAGAAGGTTAATAAGGATATCCAGGAGTTGAACTCAGCTCTACAACAAGCAGACCTAATAGACATCTACAGAACTCTCCACCCCAAATTAACAGAACATACATTCTTCTCAGCACATCACACTTATTCTAAAATTGACCACATAATTGGAAGTAAAGCACTCCTTAGCAAACGTAAAAGAACAGAAATCATAACAAACTGTCTCTCAGACCACAGTGCAATCAAATTAGAACTCAGGATTAAGAAACTCACTCAAAACTGCACAACTACATGGAAACTGAACAACTTGCTCCTGAATGACAACTGGGTACATAACGAAATGAAAGCAGAAATAAAGATGTTCTTTGAAACCAATGAGAACAAAGACACAACATACAAGAATCTCTGGGACACATTTAAAGCAGTGTGTAGAGGGAAATTTATAGCAATAAATGCCCACAAGAGAAAGCAGGAAAGATCTAAAATCGACACCCTAACGTCACAATTAAAAGAACTAGAGAAGCAAGAGCAAACACATTCAAAAGCTAGCAGAAGGCAAAAAATAACTAAGATTAGAGCAGAGCTGAAAGGGACAGACACAAAAAACCCTTCAAATAATCAATGAATCCAGGAGCTGGTTTTTTGAAAAGATCAACAAAACTGATAGACCACTAGCAAGATTAATAAAGAAGAGAGAAGAATCAAATAGATGCAATAAAAAATGATAAAGGGGATATCACAACTGATCCCACAGAAATACAAACTACCATCAGAGAATACGATAAACACCTCTATGCAAATAAACTAGAAAATCTAGAAATGGATAAATTCATGGACATATACACCCTGCTAAGACTAAACTAGGAAGACGTTGCACCTCTGAATAGACCAATAACAGGCTCTGAAATTGAGGCAATAATTAATAGCCTACCAACCAAAAAAAGTCCAGGACCAGATGGATTCACAGCCGAATTCTACCAGAAGTACAAAGAGGAGCTGGTACCATTCCTTCTAAAACTATTCCAATCAATAGAAAAAGAGGGAATCCTCCCTAACTCATTTTATGAGGCCAACATCATCCTGATACCAAAGCCTGGCAGAGACACAACAAAAAAAAGGGAATTTTAGACCAACGTCCCTGATGAATGTCGATGCAAAAATCCTCAATAAAATACTGGCAAACCAAATCCAGCAGCACATCAAAAAGCTTATCCACCATGATCAAGTTGGCTTCATCTCTGGGATGCAAAGCTGGTTTAACATACGCAAATCAATAAACGTAATCCGTCACATAAACAGAACCAACGACAAAAAACATGATTATCTCAAGAGATGAAGAAAAGGCCTTCAAGAAAATTCAACAGCCCTTCATTAAAAAAACTCAATAAACTAGATATTGATGGAATGTATCTCAAAATAATAAGAGCTATTTATGACAAGCCCACAGCCAATATCACACGGAATGGGCAAAAACTGGAAGCATTCCCTTTGAAAACTGGCACAAGACAAGGATGCCCTCTCTCACCACTCAATTCAACATAGTGTTGGGAGTTCTGGCCAGGGCAATCAGGCAGGAGAAAGAAGTGAAAGGCATTCAGTTAGGAAATGAGGAAGTCAAATTGTCCCTGTTTGTAGATGACATGATTGTATATTTAGAAAACCCCATCGTCTCAGCCCAAAATCTTAAGCTAATAAGCAACTTCAGCAAAGTCTCAGGATACAAAATCAATGTACAAAAATCACAAGCATTCCTATACACCATTAACAGACAAACAGAGAGCCAAATCATGAGTGAACTCCCATTCACAATTGCTACAAAGAGAATAAAATACCTAGGAATCCAACTTACAAGGGATGTGAAGGACCTCTTCAAGGAGAACTACAAACCACCGCTCAACAAAATAAAAGAGGACACAAACAAAGGGAAGAATATTCCATGCTCATGGACAGGAAGAATCAATATGTGAAAATGGCCATACTGCCCAAAGTAATTTACAGATTCAATGTCATCCTCATCAAGCTACAAATGACTTTCTTCACAGAATTGGAAAAAACTACTTTAAAGATCATATGGAACCAAAAAAGAGCCCCCATTGCTAAGACAATCCTAAGCAAAAAGAAAAAAACTGGGGCCATTATGCTACCTGACTTCAAACTATACTTCAAGGCTACAGTAACCAAAACAGCATGGTACTGGAACCAAAACAGAGATATAGACCAATGGAACAGAACAGAGTCCTCAGAAAGAACACCACACATCCACAACCATCTGATCTTTTGACAAACCTGACAAAAACAAGCAATGGGGAAAGGATTCCCTATTTAATAAATGGTGCTGGGAAAACTGGCTAGCCATATGGAGAAAGCTGAAACTGGATCCCTTCCTTACACCTTATACAAAAATTAATTCAAGATGGATTAAAAACTTAAATGTTAGACCTAAAACCATAAAAACCCTAGAAGAAAACCTAGGCAATACCATTCAGGATATAGGCATGGGCAAGGAATTCATGACTAAAACACCAAAAGCAATGACAACAAAAGCCAAAATAGACAAATGGGATCTAATTAAACTGAAGAGCTTCTGCATGGCAAAAGAAACTACCATCAGAGTGAACAGGCAACCTACAGGATGGGAGAAAATTTTTGCAATCTACCCATCTGACAAAGGGCTAATATCCGGAATCTACAACTAACTCAAATAAATTTACTAGAAAAAAACAAACAACCCCATCAAAAAGGGGGCAAAGGATATGAACAGACACTTCTCAAAAGAAGACATCTAGGCAGTCAACAGACACATGAAAAAATGCTCATCAGCACTGGTCATCAGAGCAATGCAAATCAAAACCACAATGAGATACCATCTCACACCAGTTAGAATGGCAATCATTAAAAAGTCAGGAAACAACAGATGCTGGAGAGGATGTGGAGAAATAGGAACACTTTTACACTGTTGGTGGGAGTGTAAATTAGTTCAACCATGTGGAAGACAGTGTGGCGATTCCTCAAGGATCTAGAACTAGAATTACCATTTGACCCAGCAATCCCATTACTGGATATATACCCAAAGGATTATAAATCATGCTACTATAAAGATACATGTAGACGTATGTTTACTGCAGCACTATTCACAATAGCAAAGACTTGGAACCAACCCAAATGTCCCTCAATGATAGACTGGATTAAGAAAATGTGGCCCATATACACCATGGAATACTATGCAGCCATAAAAAAGAATGAGTTCATGTCCTTTGCAGGGACATGGATGAAGCTGGAAACCATCATTCTCAGCAAACTATCACAAGGACAGAAAACCAAACACCACATGTTCTCACTAATAGGTGGGAATTGAACAAAGAGATCACTTGGACACAGGGGAACATCACGCACCGGGGCCTGTCAGGGGCTGCGGGGCTGGGGAGGGATAGCGTTATGAGAAATACCTAATGTAAATGACGAGTTGATGGGTGCAGCAAACCAACATGGCACATGTATACTTATGTATCAAACCTGCACGTTGTGCACATGTATCCTAGAACTTAAAGTGTAATAAAAAATTTAAAAAAAAAGAAAAAGAAAGAGAGAGACAACCAGTAGGCTGTTGTGACAAATTTATAGGTAAGTTCTATCAAGCCTTTAAGGAACAAAACTCTTAAAGAACTTCTTAAAGAACTTTTTTTTTTTTTTAGAGAGAGTCTCACCCTGTCCCCCCATGCTGGAGTACAGTGGTGCAATCTTGACTTACTGCAACCTCCACCTCCCGGGTTCAAATGATTTTCCTGCCTCAGTCTCCCAAGTAGCTGGGATTACAGATACGTGCCACCCACAGTGGGTTAATTCTTTTTTTTTTTGGTAGAGACGGGGTTTCACCATGTTGACCAGGCTGATCTTGAACTCCTGACCTCAAGGGATCCACCTGTCTTGGCCTCCCAAAGTACTGAGATTATAGGCATAAGCCACCATACCTAAAGAACAAAACTCTTATCTGATGCAAATTCTTTAACAAAATAGATACGAAAAGGCTCCTGGACACATTTATGAAGCTAAATGAAACATATCAAAAGCAGATAAAGATAATATGTGAAGAAAATAAGAGTTTAATTTCATTTGTGCACACAGCTGGAAAAGATCTTAAGCACTCCCAAGCAAAATCTCACAATGCATAGTATTAAAAAATTAAAAAGACTTAAGTAGGTTTTATTTCAGAAATGAAAGGTGATGATACAGAAATCTATTTCTGTATTTTACCATATTAACAGATTAAAGAAGGAAATTCATATGATCATTTCAACAGATACCAAAAAGGCAGCTGGAAACTATTCAATATTCACTCATGCATTAAATTGTTTCTGAAAACTAGAAGGGCCAGGTGTCGTGGCTCAAGCCCGTAATCACAGAACTTTGGGAGGCAGAGGCAGGAGGATCGCTTGAGCCCAGGAGTTCAAGACCAGCCTGGACAACTGGTGAAACCCTCTCTCTACAAAAAAAAAAACTGTTTTAAAATTAGCCAGGCTTGCTGGCCTGTGCCTGTAGTTCCAGCTACTGTGGGGAGGTTGGGTTGGGGTGGGGAGATGCTGAGGTAAGAGGATCACTTGAGCTTAAGTGTTTAAGACCAGCCTGGACAACAAAGTGAGACCCCATCTCTACAAAAAATGCAAAAATTAGCCGGGCTGCGTGGCACACGCCTGTAGTTTCAGCCACTTAGGAGGCACAGGCTGAGGTGGGAGAATAGCTTGAGCCTGGGAGGCAGAGGTTGCAATGAATCAACATCATGCCACTGCACTTCAGCCTGGGCAACAGAGCCAGACCCTATCTCAAAAAAGAAAAAATCAAACTAGAAAAGATGCTATGTATCGTCCCTTTCCCATTCCACCCTTCTCCACCCAAGAGGCTGACTTGAATCAACTGCATCAATGAGATCCCTTGCCCTCTTGCCCTTACAAGACACAAACAAGAGACTGGAGGGTATGAGAAGAGTTGAGATCAGTTATTTACTTTTCTAGCTCCCTCCTTAACAGGTCATGTCTTCTCATAAAAATTACCTTCCCTAGGCTCCAGGAACCATTCTCTCCACTTCAGGCCCAGGGATGGTATAACATTATAACATCTCTTGCAGGTTGCCATAAGCTCTAACCTTACCTTTGTAAATAGTCCCTTTATGAAACCAACAGAGCATACCATTTGTTTCTTGACAAAATGTTGCCTCACACAGAGGGTAATTTTAATTTCCTTAACCTGAGAAGAAGTATCTACCATAAACACAGAAGAAGAATCTAAGAACTGAAATAGAATAGAAAATACTAGACTGCATCACATACAGTAAAGATACGCACTGCTTTCCATGAAGCTTTTGTTTCCGTTACATACACACAGTGACTATGCTGTCAAATATGTGTCTTACTGTGAGTCACCACCAGAAAACTCTGAAAAACACTTTGAAGACAACAAAACAAATCTTACCTCACTTACCATATTATAGAATTCCAGCTCTCTTGGGCCCCTTGGAGGTGGTTGTAACTGTTTCAAAACTGTGCCATCTGGATGTTGCAGTATACCTATGGAACAAAAATCAGAAATTGTTTAATGCTTTAATAATAGTAAACCTTGCTTCATTAAATAGATTAGTTCCTGAAGTGACAGGTAAACTACTTCCATTAAACTTAAGGGTTTACTTTTACTTATTTCAGAAATTTTAACATTCAACCAACATGTTTCAGTACTTATTACAGCAAAGCACCAGAACACAAATTCCAAATGTCTTCATTTTAGTGTCTCCAACCACTACCTCTTTTGGCACCCTCGGGCTTTATAATACATAAAACATATGTGTCAATTTATATAGAAAGTCCTCAGTAATAGGCTTTCTGTAAGATGTTAACTTATAGTTATAAGAAGCAAGTTAAAAGCAATAGCACGAATTGACCCCACTTTTAAAACCAGAAAAGAACATATGTGTTAACAGTGGCCATATATGAATTTCCTACTTGGTAATTTTTTATAAGTCTCTCTTGTCTAAAAGCAACTAAAATATTTGCTGATTCAAATGCACTGTATACAACTGTATAGATAGTACCAGGGCATCTAGCCAATGGGTAAAGTTAGGGCTGAAATCAGGCAACAAGCCTAGAGCAGGAAAGGGCACCTTTTTATAATCTGTCCATTCAAAGAGGGAGACTTTTTATGAAGTCATCATATATATACCAACACTGGTCCTACCCCTATGCCATGAAGACTCATTCCAAATTTATACGTCAAAATCTTAAATTTTGATGTGTTGGGATTTTATAAAATCATGCTAGCTAGAATATGGCTCAAATAAACATATTTAGAATTTCAATTAAATATGCCACTTGAGTTTCCTTTTCTTTTTGGCAAGTGTTAGGAATTTTTTTCTTTCTATCAGATAGGTAATGTGCTAACACTGTAACAAGACTGGAGTGAGGCATATCTCACACATGAGCATGAAAATTCAATCATTGTGCTTATGAACTACAAAAGGATCTAGAATTTTTAATAATGGCAAAAATGCAGAATTCAGCCAACAGAAGCAGAAAGTCTCAAGAGATACAGAAATCAAGTTTGTTTTTTGTTTTTTTTTAATCTTAAGACTTAGATATAGGCCAGGCATGCTGGCTCACACCTGTAATTCCAGCACTTTGGTAGTCTGTGGCTGGAAGAGTTTGAGATGAGTCTGGGTAACATAGCAGACCCTGTTTCTACAAAACATTTAAAAAAGAAAATTAGCTGGGCATGGTGGCATGTGTCTATAGTCCCAGCTACTCAGGAGAATGAGGTGGGAAGATGGCTTGAGCCCAGGAGTTTGAGGCTGCAATTAGCTATGATCAGGCCACTGCACTTCAACCTGGGCGACAGAGCGAGAGCCCCTCTCTAAAAATATTTGTTCAAAATTTTAAAAAGGCCTAGATATAGAATAGAAGGTAGGTAAATATTAATCTTTCTGTATAAGACTGGTTGGTAAACAGTCAAAAGACTTCAAAGAGTAGTCCAATATAACTAAAAATTTCTGAAGAAGAATTCTGTTCCTGAAGGTTCAGATGGAGCACAAGAAAGGCCTTTATTCCCATGGTTATAACATTTTCTGTGGGGCTTAAAATGAGTAAAGAAGCTTTGATGAATAGAATTCCAGAGGAAAATAAAAATTGAACTTTCATAAGTAAGCAGAGAACCATGACAGCTTCCCTGCCTTGGGGCAAACACCTTGGTCTAGATACAGGTGATCTTCCCATTAGACAAATACATTTTATCAGGCAAGCAGTAATCAGCCAAGCGGTAGACAACAGCATGGGATAGCAGGATGGATTAGAGACTGTAATAATCCCAACACAAAAAGAGATTGCTTCGTCCAATATGTCTCCCATATTACTCACCCTGCAACATAACCCCTCACGTTTGAGAAGACAGAAGGTGGTAATCTCGGCATTCTCTAGGTGAGTGAATTCCAGGATCCAAATAAACCAACAGTAAACCAACAGTATCTGAGCCTGCAACCAAATCCCCACCCCCAGCTCAAAAACTGTCAAGATAAAAAAGGAGGCACCTTGGAATGCTGAGCCAATAACAGATACACTGAAACTGAGACTGCAGCCTAGCACTAGCTCAACTAAACTCAGTCCCTTACCCTAAACACAGGAAAGGGCATGTACTGCACGGGGGATCAAAACAAAACAAAAAATAGTACACATCACTTCCCACGGTTCTTTAAATAAAATGCCCTAGATTCAAGAAAAAATTATGACACATACTCAAAATATCAGGAAAACATAAAGCACAATCAAGAGAAAACATAATAGGAGATGACACACAGATGACCAAGTCATTGTAATTAGCAAGCAAGCATGTTAAAACAAAAAGTATAAATATGCTAAAGAAACAATAGAAAAAGATGAATGCAAATGCTAAACAGATTAGGTATTTCAGGAGATAAACTACAAAAAAAAACTCTAAAACTGAAAAGGCACAGTATCTGAAATAAAAAATTTAATTAATGGGATTTAATCAACAGATAAACAATCACAGAGGAACAGAGCAATGAACATTCACAAAGACCAATACAAAATATCTAAATTAAAGAAAATACAGAAAAGTATCTAAAAAGAAAAAAAAAATGTATAGAGCATTAGAAACCCATAAGGTAATACCAAGAGTTTTTAACAAATGTGTAGTTGGGGTCCCATAAAGAGAAAAGAGAATGGGCCAGAGAAAAAATTCTGGGCTTTCAAGTTTCCACCTAGGATATAGAAAGCTGGAAGAAGCATTGCTCCCACCTAAAAGCAAGAAAAAGCTAGATAATCTACAAAATCATAACTTTTCACGAAACCATCAAAGTGTTGAGATAATAACCAACAGACTTGAAATCTAAAGGAAGACATACACCACGAAAAAAAAAAAAAAAAGACAAATGAGAGCACTGACTCACCCATGGAGCGGAATGGGAAGGTGGGGTTACCTTACAAGGGGGTTAGAATAATAAAGCTAAAATTTTTAACAAATAGCTAATGGCAAAGTGTAGATTCCAGTGAGGGTATAGAACTCCCAGAAGTTGCAAACACTTGCAGCATTTTCTTCCAGGCCGTCAAGAAAAAGACTGGAGAGAGGCAGAAAGCCAGAAAAAGTGACCATCAGAGGTACAGGCATTAAGGAAGTGAAGCACCACTACTAAAAAAGACCCTTTTCCCCTCTGGATCAAAAGTCTTAAGTTGTTGAGGTAAGAGCAGCAAATCATGTTGTCCCCAAGAAACAAGTGACAAGCCATTGTGGATGGCAGAAGAATAAAGAAAAATATTCTCCAACACTGGGAGGGTGAAGGAAGACAGGAAATCATATGCAGTCCTAACTTTAGAGGTCTCCTACTGCTGGGGGTGGGAAGGAAACTCATACAAACGACTTGCTGAAGGCAGAAGGCAGTCTGACTTCTACAGGAAAGAGGGGCAGGATACCTGAACAAGTCCCATTCCCCAAAACTTAGGATCACAGAGCCTACCTAACATTGAATCTGGGCCAAGACAATAGAGGATACCTCTGCAGCCTAGCACCAGGGTAGCTATCACCAAGTAAAAAATAATAGTAATCTACATTTGCGGGAGGGGCACGAACATAGAGAAAACCACCTCTGAGGCCTAGGTGCACAAAGAAGACCTAAAGTAGACAGTTAAACAGAAATACTGAGAAAAATCCTCTGGCAAATCAGACCCACCCTAAACAAAAGACGACACTAGCAGAATTTCAAATCTGTGGTGCACTGACAGTATTTTAGTCAGCCAGGGTTTGCATAACAAAATGCCATAGACTGAGCAGCTTAAACCACAGAAATTTATTTTTCCATATTTCTGAAGGCTAGAAGTCCCAGACCAAGGTGCTGGGAGATTTGGTTCCTAGTATGGACTCTCTTAGCTTGTAGAAGGTCACCTTCTCACTGTGTTCTCACATGGCAGACAGCTAACTCTCTAGTGCCTTTTCTTATAATGATACATTCTGTTGGTTCAAGACTTAACCCTTATGACCTCATTTAACCTTAATTACCTCCATAAAGGTGCAATCTCCAAATATGATTACATTTACAGGGGAGGGGGGCTTCAACATATGAATTTTAAAGGACACAAACACTCAGTCCATAACAGAAACCAACTATAACAACAATACTTACATTTATCTCAACTCCTCATTAGATTGGTTCAAATCACCAACATTACCAGTCAAGCAGAAGAGGTATAATCATTTCAGTAACAAATACTGTTGGCTTCAGTTTGCTACAGTCCTACACATGATGCCCACCAGAATTTAATAAAAATTACAACAGATAAAAAAGCAAGGAAAATAATACCGTCAACAAATACAGCAAAATACAGACCAGTATCAGAAATGACAGTGATGTTAAAATAATCAGACAGGGGAACTTAACCATAATTAATATGTTAAAGCTGTAATAGAAAAAGTACACAACATGGATGAAAAGACATCACGAGGTAAGGAGATCGAGACCATCTTGGCTAACATGGTGAAACCCCATCTCTACTAAAAATACATAAAAAAATTAGCCAGGCGTTGTGGCGGACGCCTGTAGTCTCAGCTACTCGGGAGGCTGAGGCAGGAGAATGGCGTGAACCCAGGCGGTAGGGGTTGCAGCGAGTCGCGATTGTGCCACTGCACTCCAGCCTGGGCGACAGAGCGAGACTCCGTCTCAAAAAAAAAAAAAAAAGAAAAGAAAACAAAAGACAAGTGTGTCCATCAGAGAGAAACTTTAAGAACTTAGTGGAAATAGTAGAAATAAAATACATGGTATAACAGAGATGAAGAAAGCTTTCTACAGGCTCATCACTATACTCAAATCAACCAAGGAGAGAATCAGTAAATTTGGTGTCAGATAAATAGAAATTATACAAATTGAAACACAAAGGGAGAAAAAATAAAAAGGAAGGAGAAATCAGAAGAAAGCATCCCAGATCTATAGAATAATATCAAACAGTCTATGATAACTATCTGATATGGTTTGGTTCTGTATGCCCACCCAAATCTCATGTTGAATTGTAATCCCCTGTGTTGGGGGAGGGACTTGGTGGGAGGTGACTGGATCATGGGGACAGATATCCCCCTTGCTGTTCTCATGATGGTGAGTTCTCATAAGATCTGGTAGTTTGAAAGTGTGTAGCACTTCCCCCTTCTCTCTCTCTCTCCCTCCTACTCTGCCGTGTAAAGAAGGTGCTTGCCTTCCACCATGATTGAAAATTTCCTGAGGCCTCCCCACCCATGCCTCCTCTACAGTCTGTGGGACTGAGTCAATTAAACCTCTTTTCTTCATAAATTACGTCTCAGGTAGTTCTTTATAGCAGTGTGAAAATGAACTAATACACTATCCTAGGAAAAAAATCAGAGAAAGGCACACCCATGTTGATTATAACATTATTTACAATAGCTGAGAAGTGGAAGCAACTTCTATGTCCATTGACAAATGAAAGGGTAAAAAAAAAGGGGTATAGGCATACAATAGAATGTCATTCATTATTTTGTATGTATACATGCATATGCATTGCATGGATGGATATACATTGTATATGTATACAATAGAATGTCACTGCCTTTAAAAAAAGGAAAATCCCTCTCCCTCTCCCTCTTTCTACGGTCTCCCTCTCTTGCGGAGCCTGGACCGTACTGCCATGATATCAGCTTGCTGCAACCTCGCTGCCTCGGGCTCGGGTGATTCTCCTGCCTCGGCCTGCCGAGTGCCTGTGATTCCAGGCACGTGCCGCCACTCCTGACTGGTTTATATATTTTTGGTGAAAACGAGGTTTCCCCGTGTTGACTGGGCTGGTCTCCAGCTCCTGGCCTCGGGTGATTAGCCCGCCTCGGCCTCCCGAGGTGCTGGGATTGCAGACGGAGTCTCGCTCACTCAATGCTCAATGTTGCCCAGGCTGGAGTGCAGTGGCGTGATCTCGGCTCGCTACAACCTCCACCTCCCAGCCGCGTGCCTTGGCCTCCCAAAGTGCTAAGATTACAGCCTCTGCCCACCCGCCACCCCATCTAGGAAGTGAGCAGCATCTCTGCCTGGCCGCCCATCGTCTGGGATGTGAGGAGACCCTCTGCCCGGCCGCCCCATCTGGGAAGTGAGGAGCGCCTCTGCCCGGCCACCACCCCGTCTAGGAAGTGAGGAGCGTCTCTGCCCGACCGCCCATCGTCTGGGATGTGAGGAGTGCCTCTGCCTGGCGCGCCGCCCCGTCTGGGAGGGGAAGGGCGTCTCTGCCCGGCTGCCCCGCCTGGGAAGTGAGGGGCACCTCTGCCCGGCCGCTCTTCGTCTGGGAGGTGGGGAACGTCTCTGCCCGGCCGCCCCGTCTGGGAAGTGGGCGCCTCTGCCTGGCCACCCTGTCTGGGAGGTGAGGGGCGTCTCTGCCCGGCCGCCCCGTCTGGGAGGTGAGGAGCGCCTCTGCCCGGCCGCCCCACCTGGGAGGTGAGGAGCGCCTATGCCCGGCTGCCCTTGGTCTGGGAGGTGGGGAGCGCGTCTGCCCAGCCGCCCCGTCGGGGAAGTGGGCGCCTCTGCCCAGGCCGCCCCGTCTGGGAAGTGAGGAGCGCCTCTGCCCGGCCGCCCCCTCTGGGAAGTGGGGGGTGCCTCTGCCCGGCCGCTCCTCGTCTGGGAGGTGGGGAGCGCCTCCGCCCAGCCACCCCGTCTGGGAGGTGAGGAGCACCTCTGCCCGGCCGCCGCCCCGTCTGGGAAGTGAGGAGCGCCTCTGCCAGGCCGTCCCGTCTGGGAAGTGTACCCAACAGCTCCGAAGAGACAGCGACCATCAAGAACAGGCCATGATGACGATGGTGGTTTTGTCGAAAAAAAAGAAAAGGGGGAAATGTGGGGAAAAGAAAGAGAGATCAGATTGTTACTGTGTCTGTGTAGAAAGAAGTAGACATAGGAGACTCCATTTTGTTCTGTACTAAGAAAAATTCTTCTGCCTTGGGATGCTGTTAATCTATAACCTTACCCCCAACCCCCTGCTCTCTGAAACATGTGCTGTGTCAACTCAGGGTTAAATGGATTAAGGGCGGTGCACGATGTGCTTGGTTAAACAGATGCTTGAAGACAGCATGCTCATTAAGAGTCATCACCACTCCCTAATCTCAAGTACCCAGGGACACAAACAGGGCCAAAGGCCGCAGGGACCTCTGCCTAGGAAAACCAGAGACCTTTGTTCTCATGTTTATCTGCTGACCTTCTCTCCACTATTATCCTATGACCCTGCCACATCCCCCTCTCTGAGAAACACCCAAGAATGATCAATAAATACTAAAAAAAAAAAAATAATAAAATAAACAAATTAAAATAAAAAAATTAAAAAATACAAAAAGGAAAATTATGTCTTATGCTAAAGCATGGATAAAACTTAAAGACATTATGCTAAGTGAAATAAGCCAGTGTAACAAAAAGATAAATACTACATGATTACACTTATAGGAGATATTTAAAGCAGTTAAATTCTTAGAAAACAGAAAATAGAATGATAGCTGCCAGGGGCCAGGAGAAGGGAGAAAAGAGTTGTTCAGTGGACATGAGTTTTAAAAGATGAAAAAGTAGGCTAGAAAATAATGGCTCATGCCTATAATCCCAGTACTCTGGGAGGCCAAGACAGCCGGATCACGAGGTCAGGAGTTCAAAACCATCCTGGCCATCATAGTGGAACCCCGTCTCTACTGAAAGCACAAAAATTAGCCAGGGGTGGTACCACATGCCTGTAATCCCAACTACTCGGGAGGCTGGGGTAGGACAATCGCTTGAACACAGGAGGCGGATGCTACAGTGAGCTGAGGTCATGCCACTGCACTCCAGCCTGGGTGACAGAGGAAGACTCTGTCTCAAAAAAAAAAAAAAGATGAAAAAGTCCCAGAGAGACGTATCTCAAAATAATAAGAGTTATCTATGACAAACCCACAGCCAATATCATACTGAATGGGCAAAAACTGGAAGCATTCCCTTTGAAAACTGGCACAAGACAGGGATGCCCTCTCTCACCACTCCTATTCAACATAGTGTTGAAAGTTCTGGCCAGGGCAATGAGGCAGGAGAAGGAAATAAAGGGTATTCAGTTAGGAAAAGAGGAAGTCAAATTGTCCCTGTTTGCAGACGACATGATTGTATATTTAGAAAACCCCACTGTCTCAGCCCAAATCTCCGTAAGCTGATAAGCAACTTCAGCAAAGTCTCAGGATACAAAATCAACGTACAAAAATCACAAGCATTCTTATACACCAACAACAGACAAACAGAGAGCCAAATCATGAGTGAACTCCCATTCACAATTGCTTCAAAGAGAATAAAATACCTAGGAATCCAACTTACAAGGGATGTGAAGGACCTCTTCAAGGAGAACTACAAACCACTGCTCAAGGAAATAAAAGAGGATACAAACAAATGGAAGAACACTGCATGCTCATGGGTAGGAAGAATCAATATCGTGAAAATGGCCATACTGCCCAAGGTAATTTACAGATTCAATGCCATCCTCATCAAGCTACCAATGACTTTCTTCACAGAATTGGAAAAAGCTACTTTAAAGTTCATATGGAACCAAAAAAGAGTCCGCATCGCCAAGTCAATCCTAAGCCAAAAGAACAAAGCTAGAGGCATCACACTACCTGACTTCAAACTATACTACAAGGCTACAGTAACCAAAACAGCATGGTACTGGTACCAAAACACAGATATAGATCAATGGAACAGAAAAGAGCCCTCAGAAATAACGCCGCATATCTACAACTATCCGATCTTTGACAAACCTGATAAAAACAAGCAATGGGGAAAGGATTCCCTATTGAATAAATGGTGCTGGGAAAACTGGCTAGCCATATGTAGAAAGCTGAAACTGGATCCCTTCTTTACACCTTATACAAAAATCAATTCAAGATGGATTAAAGACTTAAACGCTAGACCTAAAACCATAAAAACCCTAGAAGAAAACCTAGGCATTACCATTCAGGACACAGGCATGGGCAAGGACTTCATGTCTAAAACACTAAAAGCAATGGCAACAAAAGCCAAAATTGACAAATGGGATCTAATTAAAATAAAGAGCTTCTGCACAGCAAAAGACACTACCATCAGAGTGAACAAGCAACCTACAAAATGGGAGAAAATTTTCGCAACCTACTCATCTGACAAAGGGCTAATATCCAGAATCCACAATGAACTCAAACAAATTTACAAGAAAAAAACAAACAACCCCATCAAAAAGTAGGCAAAGGACATGAACAGACACTTCTCAAAAGAAGACATTTATGCAGCCAAAAGACACATGAAAAAATGCTCACCATCACTGGCCATCAGAGAAATGCAAATCAAAACCACAATGAGAGACCATTTCACACCAGTTAGAATGGCAATCATTAAAAAGTCAGGAAACAACAGGTACTGGAGAGGATGTGGAGAAATAGGAACACTTTTACACTGTTGCTGGGACTGTAAACTAGTTCAACCATTGTGGAAGTCAGTGTGGCGATTCCTCAGGGATCTAGAACTAGAAATACCATTTGACCCAGCCATCCCATTACTGGGTATATACCCAAAGGATTATAAATCATGCTGCTATAAAGACACATGCACACGTATGTTTATCGCGGCATTATTCACAATAGCAAAGACTTGGAACCAACCCAAATGTCCAACAATGATAGACTGGATTAAGAAAATGTGGCACATATACACCATGGAATACTATGCAGCCATAAAAAATGATGAGTTCATGTCCTTTGTAGGGACATGGATGAAATTGGAAATCATCATTCTCAGTAAACTATCACAAGAACAAAAAACCAAACACCACATATTCTTACTCATAGGTGGGAACTGAACAATGAGAACACATGGACACAGGAAGGGGAACATCACACTCTGGGGACTGTTGTGGGGTGGGAGGAGGGGTGAGGGATAGCATTGGGAGATATACCTAATGCTAGATGGCGAGTTAGTGAGTGCAGCACAACAGCATGGCACATGTATACATATGTAACTAACCTGCACATTGTGCACATGTACCCTAAAACTTAAAGTATAACAATAAATAAATAAATAAAAAAGAATTAGAAATGCAAGGCTTTTGATATACATAGAATAAACTCTCACATTAAAAGGAGTAATGGGATGAATTAAAATTTGGAAGTAAAGCCCTCTAATTAGCTAGTGGATATCCACAGCTTGCTCCACAGCTACAGACTTTTTCCTTTATGTATGTGTTGCCCCTTTTTTCTCTTTACTAAATGAACACCTATATTAAAAACAAAGTCATCCTTCTATGATTATGCAAGTTGCACATGCTCCTTGTGAAAAATCGGGGAAAAGTGCAAAGAATAAAAAACATAAAGGGCTACAACCCACCACCTACTGATAAACACTGTTTATACTTCACTTCAGTCTATTTTATGTGATAATAAAGTATATTATTATACTTTAAAACTTAAAGTATAATAATAATGAATTTAAAAAAAAAAGTCCCAGAGATCTGTTGCACATCAATGTGCATGTAATTAAGAATACTGTACATTTAAAAATGGCCAAGATGGCAAACTGTGTTTTTTAACAAAATTAAAAATGTTGTATATTCAGCAGGATTACAAATATTAAAAATAAATGCACGCTAAAATTTCTATCTGCAGAAGGCATTTTCTAAATTTTTTTGATACATAACTGTACATATTTATGTGTGTGCACATATATTTATTTTGATATGTGCTTACAATGTGTAATGATCAAATAAGGGCAATCAGTGTATCCATCACCTCAAACACATAATTCATTTGTGTTGGGAACATATCAAATATTCTCTTCTAGCTATTTTGAAATATACATTTTTGTGAACTATAATCACCCTATCGTGCTATTAAACACTAGAACTTATTCCTTCTAAGTGTATTTTTGCACCCGTTAAACAACCTCTCTTCATTCCTCCCAACAACCTTTCCCAGCTTCTGGCAACCATGATCCTACTCTCTACCACCATGAGATCAATGTTTTTAGCTCCCTCATCTGAATGAGGTCATGTGTTATTCGTCTTTCCATGCCTGGTTTATTTCACTTCATATAATGAGCTCCAATTCCATCCATGTTGCTGCAAATGACAGGATTTCATTCTTTTCTATGGCTGAAAAATATTCCATTATGAACCACATTTTCTTTATCTATTCATCTGTTGTGGACACGTAGGTTGATTCTATATCTTGGCTATTGTGAATATAGCTACAATAAACAGGTGAGTACAGATATCTCTTCAACATACTGATTTCTTTTGGATATATATTCAGAAGCAGGAATGCTGGATCATATGGTAGATTTATTTTTAGTTTTTTGAGGAACTTCCATACTATTTCCCAAAGTGGCTATACTAATTTACATACCTAACAACTGTGTAGTAGTGTTCTCTTTCTCCACATCCTTGGCAGCATCTGCTATCCTTTCACTGTTTTAAAAAGATGTATATGTTGTTGTTGTTTTTGAGATAGGGTCTCTCTCTGTAACACAGGCTGGACTGCAGCGGCACAATCATAGCTCACTGCAGCCTCCATCCTCAGGGCTCAAGCAATCCTCCCACCCCAGCCTCCCAGGGCTGGGATTATAAGCATAAGCCACCATGCTCAGTTTGACGTTTTAATAATAGCCATTTTAACTAGCATGAGATAATATCTCATTGTTTTTTATACTTGCTTTTCTCTTATGATTAGTGATGTTGAGCACTTTTTCATACCCCAACTGGTCATTTGTATGTCCACTTTTGAGAGATATCTATTCAGATTCTTTGCCCAGTTTTAATTGGATTATTTTTGCTGTTGAGTTGGTTCTTTATACATTCTGCTTATTAATCTGTTCTCACAAGGATAGTCTACAGATATTTTCTCCCATTCTATAGGCTGTCACTCTGTTGATTGTTTCCTTTGTAGTGCATAAGCTTTTTGGCTTGATGTAACCCCATTTGTATGTCTGCTTTTGTTGCCTGTCCTTCTGAGGTCTTGCCCAGAAAATCTTTGCCCAGACCATTGTCCCAAAGCATTTCTTCAGTATTTTATTCTAGTAGTTTTATGTTTTACATCCAATCCAATCAAATACATATTGGTTTTTTATATATGGTAAGGGATACAGATCTAGTTTCATTTTTCTGCTTATGGATATCCAGTTTTCCCACCCCACTTATTGAAGACACCATCCCTTCCCCAATGTATGTGGCTTAGCACCTTTGCCAAAAATCAGTTGGCTGGAAACCAGTGAATTTATTTCCAGTTCACTATTACGTTCCATTAGACTATGTGTCTGTTTTTATGTCAGTGCCATGGTGTTTTGGATATTACAGCTATGTGGTAAATTTTGAAGCCAGGTAGTATGATGCCTCCAGCTTTATTCTTTTTGCTCAGCATTTCTTTGGGTATTTGAGGTCTTTTGTGGTTCCATACAAATTTAGGACTTTTTTCTATTTCTCTGATGAATGTCTTTGGTGATTTGATAGGGATTACATTGACTCTGTAGACTGCTTTGGGTAGTACGAACATTTTAATATTAATTCTTCCAATCCATGAACATATCTTTTCATATTGTGTGTCTTCTTCAATTCTTTCAGCAGTGTTTTATAGTTTTTATTGTAAAGATATTTCACTTTTTTGGTTAAATTTTTTCCTAGGGTTTTTGTTGTTGTTGTTGTTGTTAACTATTGTAAATGAGATTGCTTTTTTAGTTTCTTTTTCAGATTGTTCACTGCTGATGTATAGAAATGCAGATTTTTGTATGTTGACTTTGTATCTTGCAGCCTTGCTGAATTCTTTCATCAGCTCTAACAGTATTTTGGTGGAGTCTTTAGATTTTTCTAAATATAAAATCATGTTGTCTGCAAACAAGTGTAATTTGACTTCTTCCTTTCTTATTTCCTTCTCTAGACTAATTGCTCTGACTAGGACTTCCACTCCTAGGAGTAGGACTTCCACTCAAATAGGAGTAGTGAAAATGAGCATCCTTGTCTTCTTCTAAGATTTCAGAAGAAGGGCTTCACTTTTTCCCAATTCAGTATTATATTAGCTGTGAGTTTTCACAAATGGCCTTTATTGTTCTGAAGTATGTTCCTTCTATACACAGTTTGGTGAGAATTTTTATCAGGAAGTGATGTTGAATTTTATCAAATGTTTTTCAGCATCTATTGAAATAATTATACAGTCTCTGTTCTTTATTCTGTGAATGTGATGTATCATGTTTCTTGATTTGCCATAGTATGTCAAACCATCCTTAGAGACTTTTCATCTATTTAACTTCTGCTAATTTTGGTTTTGGTTTGTTCTTGCTCTTCTAACTCATTGAGATGCATCATTAGGTTATTTGAAGTCTTTCTACATTCTGACATCAGTGTTTATTGCTAAAAACTTCCCTCAAAGAACTGCTTTTCTTGCATCCCATGTGTTGGTATGCTGTTTCCATTGTCATTTGTCTGAAGGAATTTTATAATTTATTTTAATTTCTTAATTGACTCCATTCATTGTTCAGGAGCATGTTGTTTAATTTCCATAAATTTGTACCATTTCCATCATTCCTTCTATATCGTTTCTGGGTTTATTCTGTGTGGTCAGAAAGGATAGTTGATATTATTTTTAAAAATTTGTTAAGACTTGCTTTGGGACCTAACATATGATTTATCCTGGAGAATGCCCCATGTGCTGTTGAAAAAAATGTGTATTCTGCAACTGTTTACTGCAATATTCTGTAAATGTCTGTTGGGTCCATTTGGCTTACAGTCCAATTTAACTCTGGAGACTGTGGATTTTCCTATCTGGATCATGTGTCTATTGCCAAAAGTGGGGTGTTGAAGTCTCCTACTATTATTCTATTAAAGTCAATTTCTCCCTTTAGGTCCACTAATATGTTTTATATACTTGGGTCCTCCAGTGTTGAGTACATACACATTTACAATTGTTATATCCTCTTGCGGTACTACTGACTCCTTCACCATTATGTAACAAATGGCCTCCTTTGTCCTCTGTAACACTGTTGACAGTTTATTTTATCTGATACAACCATAGCTACTCCAGCTCTCTTTTGGTTTGCATTTGCATGGAATATCTTTCTATCCCTTTACTTTCAATCTGTGCATGTCTTTAAAGGTAAAGTGAGTTTCTTGCAGACAGCATATAGTTGGGTCTTGTTTTATTATCCAGTCAGCAACTCTATGTCTTTTAACTGGGGAATGTAATACATTTACACTCAAGGTATGATAGGTAAGGGTTTACTACTGCCATTTTGTTAGTTGTTTTGTGGTTGTTTTGTAGATCTTTTCTTCCTTTTTTCCACTTACTGTCTTCCTTTGTAGTTAAGGATTTTTTTCTAGCAGTATGTTTTGATTCTATGCCATTTATTTTTAGTGTCTCTCTTACAGTTTTTGGTTTGTGGTTACCACGAGGCTTATAAAAAACATCTTGTAGTTACAACAGGTTATTTTAAACTGATAACAACTCAATGTGGACTGTCAAGTATCAAAAACAAACTCTATACTTTAACACCATATCACCCCCGGTACTTTGACTGTTTCAATTTATACCTTTTTATATTGCCTCTTAACCAATTGTTGGAGTTATTAAGAGTTTTGTCTTTTAGTCTTCATCTTTAAGATATAAGTGGTTTTACTTACCATAATTACAGTATTAGAGTATTCTGAATTTGACTGTTTTTTTTTTTTTTTTTAAGGTTTACTTTTAGGTTCAGCGGTCCATGTGCATGTTTGTTCTGTAGGTAAATTATATGTCATGGAAGTCTGGTGTACAGATTATTTCATCACACAGATAATAAACATAATACCAAATAGTTAAGTTGTTCTACTTTTATCCAAGAGTTTTCTTTTCTTTTTTTTTTTTTTTTTTTGAGATGGAGTCACCTTCTGTCACCCAGGCTGCACTGTAATGGTGCAATCTCTACTCACTGCAACCTCCACCTTCCGGGTTCAAGTGATTCTCCTGCCTCGACTGCCTGAATAGGTGGGATTACAGGCACCCACCACCCGCCTGGGTAATTTTTGTATTTTTAGTAGAGATGGGGTTTCACCATGTTGGCCAGGCTGGTCGCAAACTCCTGACTTCAGGTGATCCACCCACCTCGACCTCCCATAGTGCTAGGATTACAGGCATGAGCCACTGTGCCCGGCCACATCCATGAGGTTTTTAACTTCAGATGTTTTCTTGTTACATCTTAGCATCCATTTCCTTCAGACTGAAGAACTCTCTCTAGCAGTCTGACATGGTTTGGCTGTGTCCCCACCCAAATCTTACCTTGAATTGTAGTAATCCTCACATGTCAAGGGCAAAGCCAGGTGGAGATAATTAAATCATGGGGGTGGTTTCCCCATACTGTTCTTTTGGTAGTGAATAAGTCTCTGATAGTTTTATAAATGGAAGTTCCACTGCACAAGCTGTCTTGCCTGCCGCTATGTAAAATATGACTTTGCTCCTCATTCACCTTCTGCCATGATTGTAAGGCCTCCTGAGCCATGTGGAACTGTGAGTCAATTAAATCTCCTTCCTTTATAAATTATCCAGTGTCGGGTATGTCTTTATTAGCAGCATGAGAACAGACTAATACACAGTTCTTGTAAAACAGGTCTGGCATTGATGTATTCCCTCAACTTTTGTTTGTCTGGAAATGTCTTTATCCTTCCTTTGTGTTTGAAAAATAGCTTTACTGGGCCAGGCACAGTAGCTCAAGCCTGTAATCCTAGCACTTTGGGAGGACGAAGCAGGCAGACTGCCTGAGCTCAGGAGTTTCAGGAGTTCGAGACCAGCCTGGGCAACACAGTGAAACCCTGTCTCTACTAAAATACAAAAAATTAGCTGGGCATGGTGGCATGCACTTGTAGTCCCAGCTACTCGGGAGGCTGAGGCGGGAGAATGCTTGAACCCAGGATGTGGAGGCTGCAGTGAGCCATCACACCACTGCAATCCAGCCTGAGCGACAGAGTAAGACTCCATCTCCAAAAAAAAAAAAAAAAGAAAAAAAAAGAAAAGAAAAAGAAAAATAGCTTTACTGGGTACAATAGTCTTGGAGGACAATTTTCCTTCCTCTCTCCCTCCCTCCCTTCCTTCGAATATAGCACTCCAGTCTCTCCTGGCCTTCAGGGTTTCTGCTGAGGAATCCACAGAAAGCCATATTGGGGCTCCATTGACTGAGATATGTTTCCTTTCTCTTGATGTTTTGAGTATTTTTTCTCTGTCTTTGATTTTTGCTTATTTGATTATAATGTGCCTTGGGGAATTCCCTCTCTAGGTTGAATTTGAATGGTAATCTTTGAGCTTCCTTTACCTAGATGTTGTCATCTTCCCTCAGATTTTGGAAATTTTCAGCCATTATTTCCTCAAATATACCTTCTAGGCCTTTTTCACTCTCATCTCCTTTAAAAATTCCAATTATCAGAGGTTGCTTCCCTTATTGATGTTTCGTAATTCTTGTAGGCCCTCTTCATTCTTTATTCTTTTCTTTTTGCTCCTCTGTTTAGATAACTTCATAGCTTCTACCCTCAAGCTCAATAATTCTTTCCTCTGTTTCATCAAGTTTGCTGTCAAAACCTTTTAATGAGTTTTTGCATTCAGTTATGGTACTCTTCATTTATAGGATCTCTCTCTTTTTTAAAAAATCACTTCTATTTTTTGTCAAACTTCTTATTTCGTTTCTGGAGTGTTTTCCAAATTTCATTTAGATTTCTATCCATATTTTCTTGTGATTCCCTGAACTTCTTCAAAAAAAAATTCTAAATTATCTTTCAAAAATCTTGTAGATCTTCAATTCTTCTAGTTCATTATTGGAGTTGAACTGGTTTCTTTTAGTAGTACCATACTTCGTTGGATTTTCACAATCCTTGCATCTTTATGTTGATGCCTGCACATTTGAAGAGACAGTTACCTCTTCTAGTTTTTGCAGGTGTTCCTTATTGGTGTCAGACCTTTACTTTTTAGTATCAGAACTTAAACATGGCCTGTTGTTTCTTCCTGTTCAGTGGATGACTTATAGTAAGTACTGGAACTAAAACCCTGCACTAGAACTAATTCATTGCCCTGTCATTGTTTCCTGTTCTGGGAGAAGACTTATAGTGAACATTGAAGCATAAATGCTGTTGCAGGATGAAATCGCTGCCCTGCCATTGTTTCCCAATCCAGGGAAGACTTACAGTGAGCACCAAAGCTTAAACACTGCCACAGAACTACATTGCTGCTCTACCACTGTTTCCCAAACTGGGGAAAACTTTAGTGGGCACTGGAACTTAATCATGGCTGTTAGTTGTTTCTATCCAGGGAAGGTTCCATGCAAGCACCTGGGCTTTGTGGAAAGCCTGGGACTCAGGCTATCCCACAGACTGTCCCCCTACAGCTCTATGGCATCAGCCAGTCTCTTCAACGTGGTTTCCCAGGTGATTGGAGTACTGAGTAGCCACAAAGATCCACACACCTGTCACTGCAATCACTGACCCACTTTTGTTCCCAATACACTCCAGTTGGTTCAGCCCTTCTGGCATTTCCAATGGTTCCTGTGACATGGAGCTGGAGTGGGCTTTCCATGAAGATTCCCAGACCAGTGAAAAGATCAAACATCCACCTCCAATTCTCTCCTCTCACCTCAGAAACCACGGGTCTAGGGAAATTTTCTGTGAGTGGTGTCATGCCAGTTTGGGGGAGGGGGTGACACAGTCTGAAATGATTTCTCTTATCAGTCAAGGTTTCTCTCAGGTCTGTGGATACAGGGGATTTCTCTGATTCTCCCCTGGGCTCTGGTGTATTCAGGCTGGTGCTCTTGTCTTTGAATGGTTTCTAATTGTATTTTTATGAAAGCAGTGAGGTAGGGGATCTTCTATTCTGCCATCTTGATGATATCACCATCTAGGTAATTTATATTTCTTTTTTTTTTCTTTTTTGTAAATTTCTCCTGGAATTTTCTATGATAAACATATATTGGCCAGGTGTGGTGGCTCACACCTATAATCCCAACACTTTGGAAAGCTGAGACAGTGTTCCGGGAAGTCAGAGACCCCGAACGGAGGGACCGGCTGAAGCCACAACAGAAGAACATAAATTGTGAAGATTTCATGGACATTTATTAGTTCCCCAAATTAATACTTTTATAATTTCTTATGCCTGTCTTTACTGCAATCTCTGAACAGAAATTGTTAAGATTTCATGCACATTTATCACTTCCCCAATCAATATTCTTATAATTTCCTATGCCTGTCTTTAATTTCTTAATCCCATCATCTTCATAACCTGAGGATTTATGTCACCTCAGGACCCTGGATTGCGTTATCTGCACAAATTGTTTGTAAAGCATGTGTGTTTAAACATTATGAAATCTGGCCACCTTGAAAAGAACAGGGTAACAGCAATTTTCAGGGAACAAGGGAGATAACAATAAGGTGTGACTGCCTGCGGGGCCAGGCAGAACAGAGTCATATTTCTCTTCTTACAGAAAGCAAATAGGAGAAATAGCACTGAATTCTTTTCTCAGCAAGGAATACCCCTGGGAAAGGAATGCATTCCCAGGGAGAGGTCTCTAAAATGGCCCTCTGGAAGTGTCTGCCTTATGCGGTTGAAGATAAGGGATGAAACACACTCTGGTCTCCTGCAGTGCCCTCAGGCTTGCTAGGATTAGGAAACTCCAGCCCAGCAAATTCTAGTCAGACCAGTTGTCTGCTCTTGAACCCTGTTTCCTGTTAAGATGTTTATCAAGACAATGCATGCCCAGTGGGACATGGAACCTCATCAGTAATTCTAATTTCGCCCTGGCCTTGTGATCTTGCTCTGCCCTTCTGCCCTTGTAATCTTTTATTGCCCCTTGAAGCATGTGATCTTTGTGATTTACTCCCTGTTCGTACCCCCCTCCCCTTTTGAAATCCCTAATAAAAACTTGCTGGTTTTGCAGTTCAGGGGGCATCACAGAACCTGCCGACATGTGATGTCACCCCCAGAGGCCCAGCTGTAAAATTTCTCTCTTTGTACTCTTTCTCTTTATTTGTCAGACCAGCCGACACTTAGGGAAAATAGATAAGAACCTATGTTGAAATATTGGGGGCTGGTTCCCCCGAAAGACAAGAGGAAAACTTGAGCCAAGGAGTTCAAGACCAGCCTCGGCAACATAGTGAGATCCCATCTCTACAAAAAATAAATGAAAATTAGCCACGCATGTTGGCACATGCCTATGGTCTCAGCTACTTAAGGGGCTGAGATGGGAGGATCACTTGAGCCCAGGAGGTTGAGGCTGCTGGTAAGCCGTGATCACACCACCACGCTCTGGTCTGAGTGTAAAAGACCCTGCTTCTAAAAACAAACAGAATAAAACAAACGAAAACAACATTTTGCTTTTATTATTAGAAAAGAAAACCTGTGATATAGGAAAGTATATACATTATATACATACTAAGAGAATTATAGATTCTGTTTAATTTCAATTAAACACAGGGTATTTCAACAGCCAGGCCCGGTGGCTCACACCTGTAATCCCAGCACTTTGGGACTCCAAGGCGGGTTGATCGCCTGAGGTCAGGAGTTCGAGACAAGCCTGGCCAACATGGTGAAACCCTGTCTCTACTAAAAACACAAAGATTAGCTGGGCATGGTGGCATGTGCCTGTAGTCCCAGCCACTCGGGAGGCTGAGGTATGAGAATCTCTTGAACTTGGGGGGCAGAGGTTGCAGTGAGCTGAGATTATGCCACTGCACTCCAGCCTGGGCAACGGAGCAAGACTCTGTCTCAAAAACAAAAATAAATAAATAAAATAAAATAATAAGATAAAGAACATTTTTAAAATGTGAGAAAGGTACTGAGAAAATATTTGACAAGGCAATGGCTGAAATGTTCTAAAAGTATTAAGAAACATAAAAACGTACAGCCAAGATGCTCAGAGAATCCGAAACAGACTGAAAAATATCAAACCCCTAGACACTTTTTGAAGACACAGATGAGTTAAAAGTGAAAGAATGGAAAAGATGCATCATGCAATTATTGCTCATAAGAACGTTTGATATAGTAATATTATATATCAGACTACATAGTATTAGAGACAGCAGACTACAAGAAACAGAACATTAAACACAAAGAGAGACATATCATAACAATAAAAAGGTCAGTTCATTAAGATGATATAAAAATCCTAAATAAGTGTGTACTAAATTATTTGGTGGTTCAAAATACATGAAGCAAAAACTGACAGAACTGAAAGGACAGACAAATCCATAAAGGACAAATCCACAATTACTTTCTCAATAATTGATAAAACAAATAGAATAGGCCAGGCGTGGTGGCTCACACCTGTAATCCCAGGACTTTGGGAGGCCAAGGCGTGCAGATCATGAGGTCAGGAGTTCAAGACCAGCCTGGCCAACATGGTGAAACCCCCATCTCTACTAAAAATACAAAAACTAGCCGGGCATGGTGGTGCGTGCCTGTAATCCCAGCTACTTGGGAGGCTGAGGCAGGAGAATTGCTTGAACCCAGGAGGTGGAGGTTGCAGTGAGCCAAGACTATGCCACTGCACTCCAGCCTGGCGACGGAGCGAGATTCCATCTCAAAACAAACAAACAAAAAATAGAATATTAGTAATGATATATAAAACTTGAACAGCAACAAACAAGTTGACCAAATTGACACCTGCAGAATGAATGCTATATCCAACAGAATATACATTCTTTTAGTATATAAATGGAGCATTTACCAAGATTGAGTATGTGCTGGACCATAAAACAAGTCTAAAATCTAACAAGATTGGAATCACACAGAATATTCACATAGGGAATATTCTCTGACCACAATGGAAGTAACAGTAAGATATTTAGGAAAATACCAAATAGTCGGAAAGTAAACAACACCCTCCTAATTATTAATGGATCAAAATTCACAATGGAAATTAGAAAGTATTTTTAATATAAATTATAATAAAAACTCAATCTATATCAAAATTTGTGAAACGCAGCTAATATATTGTTTAGTACTTAAAGGGAAATGGGCAGTTTTAAATGCTTGTATGAGAAGAAAAAGGAAGTCTCCAATTTAAGATGTCAGAAAAAAGAACATATTAATTCCAAATAAATAGAAAGATAGGAATGAAAAATCAAAGAAATAAGAAATGGACAACGAAGAAAAATCAATGCAATTTTAAAAAGTGGTTCTTTTAGATGGTTCTGGGAAAATAAGTTGGTTTAAATATTTCAAAATGAATAAATATACTGATGTTTTGAGGAGACAGAGTTCTCACTGAGGAAGAAGGGAGATGTAAATACAGAATGGAGGGAGGCAAAAAAGAACTTTGTGGTGCTGAATTTAAATTATAGGTATGGGGATTAACTCAAATGTTTAATAATATGAAATACATTTCTTAGTCCAGTCTGTGAATGGACAAACAGCAATCACACCCAAGGAACCATGAGCACACCTAGTGGCCAGACCATAGTTTCTAAATACCATTTACCCCTAAAGGAACAAGGGTTTCTTGAAGAAAAACGGCTCATTTCAGGGCCGAGACAGGGAAAACACAAAAGGAATGTGGAATATCTTTTTATGCCAGAAAGTTAAAAAATGCTTTGAAAGAAAAAACAGGAAATATCAAAAAGACACAGGAGCCAGCTTGAAGTTCCCACTGCTCAAATCTGAGACAACCATAACATCAAGCAGCAACAATAATGGATATCTATCCACTGAAATTTGAAAAAAATCCACCTTAATAATGAATGAATGAATGAATGAATGAATGAATGAGGAGGGAAATCTATTCCTTAACATAGAATGCCAACTAACAAATGTAATAGGAATGAGGGCTGGGCAGAATGGCTCACGCCTATAATGCCAGCACTTTGAGAGTCTGAGGTGGGTGGATCGCATGAGCTCAGGAGTTCAAGACCAGCCTGGCCAGCATGGTAAAATCCCATCTCTACATAAAAAAAAAAAAAAAACAATTAGCCAGGCATGGTGGTGCATGCCTATAGTCCCGGCTACTCAGGAGGCTTCGGTGGGAGGATCACTTGAGCCTGGGAGGCGGAGGTTGCAGTGAGCCATGACTGTACCACTGCACTCGAGCCTGGGTAACAGAGCAAGAACCTGTCTCAAAAAACAAAAAGAAAAACAAATGTAACACGAATGATAGTTAGAATATTACTATTTTGCAATTATCATAGTACTATATGAGTCTGTCAAATATTATCAATCAAGGTAAAGTTTCATGAGGAACAGAATATCTAACAGTCTCAAAATATTCCTCTCAAATTACTTAACAGCAAAAACGATAACTTTCCTGTGGAAAAACCTGGCAGAAATCACTTAACCAGGTGATCAAAGTTACATCACCAATAATGCAACTGACATCCTATGTCTTATGATATGCTTTGAAGACATGACATAGTCATATAATATTCTTACCAAAAATGCATAATCTGAATATAATCATGACAAAACAATCAGACAAACTGAACTTAAAGGACATTCTAAAATGTCATACACCTATACTCTTCAAAAATTCCATGGTTATGAAAGATACAGAAAGAAGAAAGAAGTGCTCCCGATAACAGGAAACTAAAGAATCGTAACAACGAAATGCAATGTGTGATCCTGGATGAAGGAAAGTGCTGTAAATGATATTATTGGAATAATGGCAAAAGCCAAATGCTAAATACTCTGAATTTTGTAATTTTACTATGGTTAGGTGAGAAAATTGTCTTATTTTTAGGCAATATACACAATTATTTAGAGAAAAGGGGTCATGATGTCTAAAATTTATTCTTAAATGTTTATGCACAATCATCATATACAGAGAGTAATAAAGCATATGTGGCAAAATTAATATTAACAATTGATAAATCCAGATGAATGGCATACATTAGTTCACTGTACTATTCTGGCATATTTTTAATAAATTTAAATTTTTTTCAAAAAAAAACTTAAGGCAGTACAATTTACAGTAAAATCAAATACTTAAGGGAAAAGCCTAGTAAACAATGTGTAAGACCTGTACACTGAAAACTATGACTCACTGAGAGAAATTAAAGGACTAAATAGAGAGATATACCATGTTCAAGTATTGGAAGACTCAATATTGCAAATAAATCGATTCTCACCAAAGCTATCTACAGATTCAAGGCAATGCCAAATAAAATCTCATCCTGTTTCTGGGGAAAAGTAATGAGTTGATTTAAAATCTGTATGTAAATGCAAAGGACCAGAAAAAGCCAAGACAATCTTGAAATAGTAAGTGGGATGCATGAAGACTTATTATAAAATAACTTGAATCAAGATCGTGAAGTAGGATAAACAAGCCAATGAAAATAAAAGGCCAAAAGCAAATCCAGGAAATTGATTGAATATGCACGGCTGAGCTATAAAAAAAAAAAAATGAGGAGGAACTCTATGAACTGATACATACGAATTTCTAGGATATAGTCTTAACTCTTAAAAACCATGTGAAAAACAGTATATACAGCATACTAGATTTTGTATCAGAAAGAAAGGGAAATAAAACTTCCATAGATCTATTTAATTCTGTAAAAAGAAACTCAAAAAGGGTAAATCAGAAAACAATGAAATTGATTACCTACAAGAGATGCTGAGGAGTGGATGGGGTGGAGTGATAAGGGAGTGAAATTTTTTATTATACTTTTCTGTAAAGTTTTGTTTTTTGGAAGCATGTTAATGTTATAAGCTTTCAAATATATAATCAAACAAACAAAATTTGAGGAAGCAGGGATGAATTTAAACAGAAACAAATGAACCCAACTGTATTTCAAATGAATACTACTACTGCGAAAAGGGAGAAAAAGAAATAACAACCAAAAACAAAAAACCTAATCCAACTAACTTTTGTTTGTTTTTTTTTTTTTAGACAGTCTTGCTCTGTCACCCAGGCTGGAGTGCAGTGGCACAGTCTCGGCTCACTGCAACCTCCGCTCCCAGGTTCATGTGATTCTCCTGCCTCAGCCTCCTGAGTAGCTGGGACTATAGGCGCCACCAACACATCCGGCTAATTTTTGCATTTTTTGTAGAGACAGGGTTTTGCCATGTTGGCCAGGCTGGTCTCAACCTCCTGGCCTTGGCCTCCCAAAGTGCTGGGATTACAGGCATGAGCCACCGTGCCCAGCCCCAAGTAATTTTTGAACACAGTTTATACCCTCAGTATAAGAAAATCTCATCCTGAATTCATGAGTTGATGTCCTTTGTAGCGACATGGATGAAACTGGAAACCATCATTCTGAACAAACTATCGCAAGGACAGAAAACCAAACACCGCATGTTCTCACTCATAGGTGGGAACTGAACAACGAGAACACTTGGACACAGGGCAGGGAACATCACACACCGGGGCCTGTCGTGGGGTTGGGGGGATGGGGGAGGGATAGCATTAGGAGAAATACCTAATGTAAATGACTAGTTAACGAGTGCAGCAAACCAACACTGCACATGTATACATATGTAACAAACCTGCACGTTGTGCACATGTACCCCAGAACTTAAAGTATAATAAATAAATAAAAAAATCTCATCCTGAATTCTTTATTCTAGGCTTGTTTTCTGAAGTAGTATGGGTGTAGAAATTCTGAAAATTGTAAGATTAAGCAAAAGAATAAACATATTAATATCACTGGGAGCCAGGGTTCTTACTACAGAAGAAGGGAAATACAAATTTAGAATCAAGGGAAAGGAAGAACTCGGGTTTAAATGAAATTTGAAATATGAAATTATAATTTCTAAAATATTTATACATACTTTAAAAATCATGTCCATTGAAAAGTCCTGGAAGAAATGATACTCCAACAGTTATGACAATACCTAGTAACACAGATCTTGGTTTCTAAATACCATTTTCCACTAAAAAGAAACCAGGGCTCCTTGAAGAAATGGTTGACTCTAGGGCTGGGGAAGAAAGTTATGAGATAATTCTAAAAAATCTGTTATGACAGAAAGGAAGTGCTCTCAATGGTCAAATTTGGGACCATTTGAGCAACAAAATAAATAAGTTCCTTTTTTAAAAACATTGAGATGTGATTAAAGTCCAATAAATAAGTTCCATAATGGGTAATGATACATGTTATCAAATAGGAATCCATGATGCAAACTGATTATAAATAAGGACATAAATACTTAAGGGTAAAGGAAGAGCTATTTCTTGGAATGCTAGCTGTTAAAGCAGAGGGAGTGAAAGAATGGGGGGAAAAAATCACAATTTTGTAACTATCAGAATAAACACAGCTTCAGGCAAGAATCAACAGATGCCAAATCTAGGGATGAAGTTGATGAGAATCCAGATAGCTGCATGACTGTAAAGTGTCTCCTCACATATAGCTTATTAAATGTAGAACAGAAAACATTAACTATATACTGAAGCCAGGCATGGTGACTCATTCCTGTAATCCTAGCACTTTGGGAGGCTGAAGCAGAAGGATCACTTGAAGCCAGTAGTTCAAGACCAGCCTGGGCAACAAAGCCAGATCCCATCTCTACAAAAAATTTTAAAATTAGCCTGGCCCAGCAGTGGTTCATGCCTGTAATCCCAGCACTTTGGCAGGCAGAGGTGGGTGGATCACCTGAGGCCAGGAGCTCAAGACCAGCCTGGCCAACATGGCAAAACCCCGTCTCTACTAAAAATACAAAAATTAGCCAGGCATGGTGGTGCACTCCTGTAATCCTAGCTACTTAAGAGGCTGAGGCACGAGAATCACTTGAACCTGGGAGGCGGAGGTTGCAGTGAGTCAAGACCGCGCCACTGTTCTCCAGCCTGGGCAACAGAGCAAGACTCCGTTAAAAAAAAAAAAAATTAGCCTGGCCTAGTGGTGTGCACCTATACTCCCGGCTACTCAGGAGGCTGAGGCAGGAGGATTGCTTGAGCCCTGAAGTTTGAGGCTGCAGTGAACTACATCACGCCACTGCACTCCAGCCTAGGTGACACAGCAAGAGCCTGTCTCAAAAAACAAACAAACAAAACGATATACTGAAGAAGCCAGACTACACTTGAATCAGACAACCAGAAATAATCCACTACCAAAGGGCAGCTATTGTTGGCCTCCACTTACACAATGTTCCAGCTGGAAAAGTATCATCTGAATCCCATCGTAAGGAACTATCAGAAACCCAAATTAAAGAACATTTCATAAAATAACTGGCCTGTACTCTTCAAAATGACAATGTCATAAAGGACAGGGAAAGGCTGAGGATATGTTACAAATGAAAGGACACTAAAAGACATAACAACTAATTGCAATAAATGATTCTGGACCAGATCCTGTACTGAGAAAAACAAATGTGATAAAAGACATTACAGTATTGGAACAGTTGACAAAGTGAGACTATGGACTATAGATTAAAGTATTATATCCCTGTTAAATTTCCCATAGTTGATCAATGTGCTGTGGCTACAGAAGAGAATATCCTTGTTCTTAAGGAAGACACACTTTAGTATTAACATGTAAAGTGGCATAATGTATGCAACCTACTTGCAAATAGTTAAGAAAAATTATTTGCATTGAGAGATAATAAAACAAATTTTGCAAAATGTTACTTTTCTATTGTTCTTGCAACTTTTCTGTAGGCTTGAAATTATTTTAGGTTAATTAGTTTCAGAGGATATCTAATAAAAAGAGACTACTAAGCCAAGATAATTGTAGGTCTTTCTCCCCCACAACAATTATCAGTTTAAATCCTTGTTTTCCCTATAGACTACCCCATTTCTACATCCTACATCAGATCAAGAAATATCAGATTTCCATCATTTGTTTAAAACTTTAAGGACTTTTTAAAGAACTTAATGATACATATTAAAAGAATTTTATGCTAACTTTGGTGAGTTTTGGGAATTTATATTGATCTTTTTTTTGCGAAAACTTCCTACAGAGATAGGTACACAACGTGCAAGGTATGCTATTATATACAAGAATGTTTAATAAGTACATTACTTATCACAGCAAACAAATGGTGAAAAGTCTAAAAATCTATGATTACAGAAATAGTTAAATAAATTGTGATACATCCACATTGTAGAACACAATTTTTAGAAAGAATAAAGTATACCGTAAGTGCAAAAATATAGGTATAATACATGATATAATACAGAATGAGAAAAGTTGCTGATAGATTTATTTGTATAAAAAAACAGAACCGCGCTAATGTGTTTATGTATGTGCCCAGAAACAAAGGCCTGAAAGGATAGACAGGAAGTAGTTACCAGTGATTGCCCCTGGGAGAATGAGTAGGGGGAAGGGCACTACTTAAACTGAATTTTTTTCCTAAAAGATCCGTGTACTATACAATTTTTACAGTTTAAAAAACAAAATACTTTGTATTCTTAGAACTAAGATTTAAATGTATTTTGATGAAATATGGTTTCAGTGAAGAACACAAAATATAACGGATGTCTGAACTACTAATATATGCTTGTTACTTAGCATATATAACAAGATCTATTTTTCTGTTCAAGCACCTTTGTTCTATCAAGTTCCATGAGTTTAATTTTTAAACTAACAAAGCCAACAACTCCTTTTTGGAAATAGGTAAAATAATTCTAAATGGAACATTTCTGGTTACTTACTGATAGTAACACAAATTTAAAAACAAAACAAATACCAACATAACGTCCTTAACAAAGCTTATCCTGAGAATTATTTCAATTGACAGACCAAAGCATGATCTAAATGATGTAAACTGTACATGACTTATGACAGTGGAGAAACATAATAAAACTGTTGAACTTTGAATTAGTGACCATCTTATCCATTTTACAAATAGGGAATATATCATCAGTCAAGTATCCTTTTACTTAACAATACAGTCAGGATTGTATAACTATCTGAGAATTAAATTCAACAAATATTAGGTTGCTAGCACAGTATGTTTAAGCCATTCTACTATGGTGACACAAACACTGTCCCTACTCAAAAGACCCTTATGAAATTGCAAAAAAAGTTTATTTTACACTGAATGCCATAATAAAATTAAGGACTACTACCTCTAGAATCTAAACTTTTCCATTAATTAGGCAATTTGGGTGACAAATTAACTTTTCAGCCACTATTTGCAATCACTCTGAATGGGATCACTATTACATACTGTAATAAGCAGTGGTTACACTCTTAAGTGACAATTATTTAGATTGTTTTTATGTTGAGATTTTTAAAATCTATTCTCCTTTGCATATAAGTCAATCTCTAGGGACCTTTAGGGAAACATTTACTTTTTCAGGCATCTAGAATATTATTAGGAATAGTAAAATCACAATGTATTAATATAAATCAATAGGCATTCCTCTATTAACAGAAACCCCATGAGTACTCTCAAATTCTCATTACAAGACACTGGCACACAGGAGGAAATGTCTATGCTGAGCAACTTGAGGACGTTGTTTCTTTACCTCGGTATACTAAAACAACTGTCAATTTTCACTATTCAATATTTCCTGAGTGTTACTGATTCCCAGTCCGTGCACAAGGCTATGAGAGAATACAGATTCTCTCTCTAACATCTAGGAATTCACAATTCAGTGGGGAGAAAGGCACACAAACAAAGTAGGTAAAAATAAAAGTAGTGGAAAATGTCGCTTTGAGAAATAGCATATACTCAAATTAATACTTATCCATTTTCTAAAAGCCTTGAGTTGTTTCAGCAAACACAATACATGGTGAAAAAATACAGTACTCAAAGGAAGAACTCTTGGTTTCACAATTCTTAACATATTGTAACGTGACTTCAGGCACGTCATTCTTAACCAGGGTTGGCCTTAGTCACCTCGTCTAAAAATGTCAGTATTAGCAACCTAAACCCGAATCGTTTTACCGGCATAAACTAAATTGTCTCTAGTGGCTCTTCCGGGTCAAAGATCCACAATACTCACATACTCATCCATCAGATTACCCCAGTAATCATGGCCCAGGGAACCACTACGGGTAAACTAGATGAATTAGAGTTCCTAAACTGAGATAGGCTTTAAACTTGTGAACTCAGAAAATGTATTACAGTGGCCATGATACAGCCTTATAAAATGAACAAGAATAGCTGAACATTTTGTGTATCATTCTGGTACAATATGCGTGTGAATTTCCCACCAGGAATCCGAGTTTCTGCACTACTGGAACCACGCCTCCCAGAGAAATCAAGGAGACACCAGAAAAACCTCCTCAAGGGACAGGGAAAAATCACGGACAAGCTTTCTTCCCTTCTCACCTCCCCCTAAAAAAGCCCAGTGTTTTTCTTCCCCTCCAGCTATGCAGCTGCACCCAGCAGAGAAGTACTAGATTAGCATCATCTGCATTTCATTCCTTTTCTTTTGCAATAGCTACTCGCCTATAATAAACAGACCTTGTGCTCAAGGGAGAATTTACTTCCCCGTCCAGTAAAAATGAAGTTCCTTATTTTCACTAACAACGCCGTCTCCAATCAACACCCAACCTCCCTGGGGGGTGGGTGAGACCAGACACGCCTCTCCCTGCCACCCGTGCTGCAAGCCTGACGACCCACACCCTAGGAATTGTCCCACTTTCCGAGCCCCTTCTGCTCGAGTGGCGAGGCTTCGGGGGACAGCGGAAGAGGCCAGGGATTTGGCGTGCACACCAGGGGGGCGTCCAGGCAGGCCCGAGAGCGCTAGGCTGCCTCCGCTGACAGGGGGCTCGCACAGGCGGAAGGGGAGCGGCGAGACCTATGCCACCCCCACTTACCCACTTTGTCCTTCCCGTACATGTGCCCGGCCACCTGATGCGAGAGGGGCACGCAGCCGTTGAGGAAGCGGAGTCTGCCGCCCGCCGGCTGCGGGGTGCCCTCAGGGGTGGACTCGATCGCCGGTGAGGTCCGCATTTCTGGGGGGCCCGGCGCCTCGACCCGGAGGGGGGATGGTGGCTCTGTTGCCATAACGGAGAGCAGAAGCGGTAACGGCAGCGAGAGTAGGAAAAAAAATAGGGCGAGGGAGGGGGCGCCGGAGAACCCGAGGGTCGCTCAGGCTCGGGCGCGAGGAGGCCCGGGGGTTCCCGCGGCTGGTGCCCTCTGAAGCGCGGGGAGGGGGCCCATGACGCCGCCGGGGCGCGGGCGCTCCTCTGCCCAACTCTCGGCGGAACGCGGCTCCCGGCTCCTGTTCCTCTGCCGCCGCAGCCGCCGGCCCCGGCGCTGCCCGGTAGACAGAACCGAGCCGAAGAACAGCAGCAGCGGCGCCCCGCGCTCCCTGGGGCCCTGACGGCGACGGCGGNCCCACCTCCTGCGCCCCCGCCCCCTCCCGCCGTCCTCCAGTCCCCTCAGCTGCCGCGCGCGCGTCACCGCCGCCCGCACCGCCGCTGCCGCCGCTACTGAGCATGCCCAGAGGCCGTCCAACGGGATTCCGGCCCCCCAAGTCAGCGGGGCGGGCGCGCCGTGCTGCCAGGACCTGGCGACGGCGACAGGGATAGGGCGAGCGCACCCCTGTTTCTTCTCACCCCCACCCCGCGGGCATTTCGAAGTCACGCGTGCTGCTGTGGCCTCATTCATTCAACACGCTTCTCAGCGCGTCAGCTCAGAGAAGCCAGGGACTTCTAAGTGTGCGGAGCAGTCCGGCAAGAATTGGAAGGCACTAGCATTGCCAAGGGTGGCTCTAAAGGCCACCCCTAACTGCACTCAACTCCCTCCAACTCCCACCCCGCACGAAAACAACAGAAGTAAAAGCAGGCAGCTTATTAGAGATGCGCCTTCAAAATACCCTTCGAGTTAATCTCAGCCCCCCTCCCCGGATTGCTGTCTCTAAACCGCTCTTACCAAAAAGTAAAACACATAAAAATAAAATAAAATTGGAACCGACACGAATTTCAGACTGTAGAAGACAGAGAAAACTTCTAATTTTTTTAAGTGAACATGTTTTTTAAAGAAAGGAGCAAGTTTTTTCTCTCCCACTCGACCTTTAAGATAGTGCAGGTTCCAAGGTCCTGAGTAGATAATTATATCAAAAGCAGAAAGGGATGGACACCGGTAGCTACGCGAGGTTCTGGAATGGGACTCAGTCATTGATTCCTGTATGTCCGCCGCTGGCATGTTATATAAAAGCTGGACCTGGCCTTGAAGGTAAATCGTCACAAGCCCCGAGCAAGAAAAACTGGGGTCAAATCTTAGGTATCTGATTAAAGTAAGTGTCCTATTAACACCTGTTTCTGCCCCCAGAAGCCCACACACCTGGAAGAGACGTAAAATCTGGCCTGGATTCCCTAATCCCAGGGCCCTGCCCCTCGGCTTCAGGGCCCCGCCCCTCGGCTTCAGGGCCCCGCCCCTCGGCGTTGCGCAAACTCTGTTGCTACCTAAGTCTTTTCCTCCTCCCACCTCCCGTAGCTGTCAAAATCCGGAGTCCAGACTTCCTTATGGCCAGGACAGCTCCACGCATGCTCAGCACCTACCAGGGTCGAGCTCACACACGTGCCTACGACCCGCCGCGGCGCCTGCGCGGTAGCATCGCGGAGTCGGTGCTTTAGTACGCCGCTGGCACCTTTACTCTCGCCGGCCGCGCGAACCCGTTTGAGCTCGGTATCCTAGTGCACACGCCTTGCAAGCGACGGCGCCATGAGTCTGACTTCCAGTTCCAGCGTACGAGGTGAAGTGGGGCCTGGGAGCGGGTGAGGCTGGTGAGGCTCAGCGGTTGCCGCGCCCGCAGTTCGACTGGGTTGTTTTACCACTGCCCTACGCGCCCGCCGGTCCTATAACCTTGAGATGCAGAAGGGCAAGCGCTCGGCCCGGCTGCGGGCTCCGGGCCGGACAGCGAAAGGGGGCGAGGTCAGGGATGGATTGATGGTTTGGGGCCATGCCGGACCAGAGTCCACGTTTACCCCAGCTAGCCAAACCCTAACACCTAATGACCGCGCCGCTAGCTTTTCTTGTTCACCCCTAAGACGCTTTCATGTCCTTAAGTCACATAGCCTGGAAAAGAAGGAAAGGTGGGAGAAAACAACAGCAAACCTGTTTGCCCTTCTCATGTTTCAGTCAGCGTCGGGCCACAACGTCGATTTCCTGCAATCCTGAAGCATTGCGTGACTAATCACATCTTAGTTTTGCAGATTTTTTTTTAAGGGATGAAACGCAATCCGAGGTTTTCAGTTTTCCCGGTTTTTTATTATTCCTCTGGCATCTGACACTCGGTGGCAGTAGTCCAGGATAAAGGATTGAAAACTGCGTTCGTTGAACCTTCAGCTTTCTGAGTCTTCTTTCCCCTGTGCTAGTACCTAGCGTTTGGAAACAGTATTTCGCAGAAAGTCCCGTTATAATAAAATTAAGAGACTTTATAAGCAGTCATTTAATGTGGAGTTTCACTTTATAACCATTCTTGGTGATGTTATAATTGTTAATATAATACTGTGTACCAGACACACAATATATGTGATCTTTGCCCCTCTATAAAACGCCACTTCGCAAGGTTTTGAGTAAAGGCAAAGAGACTGTCTAGAGGTTAATTAAAAATACGTTCAGTAAATATTGAACATCTGTAGTGCCAGGTAATAAAAAGTCCCTACTAACTTGAGCCCTAATTTTTTAATAGGTAGTTTCCAAAAATTGGAGAGTTCCACTTCTGTTGACAAAATTTACCTGGCTAAGGGTGATATTCCATGACATTTCGAAGTTACTAATGATATAGAGATTATTATTTGCAAAAATTATATTAAAGGATACTCATCTTGAGACTTTTTTTAATAGAGGCAGCTTGGTGCATTTAAAATAGGGTGTGATTTTTGTTTTTGTTTTTTAAAAAACTATATTCTCTTGGGATTAAGACTTGTGAAATGAGATGTTCATGTGACTTGTGCCGCTGATATTTTTAATTTTACAGGAAGACTGCACATGTTTGAGGTGGACCAAAAGATTCCACAGTGTGTGTTTAAAATACGGGATCATTTTGTGTACATGAACACTAAACTCTATTTAGGTTGCATATTATTGAAATGTGAAACGGGTGAACCCCTTAGGACTTACCGCTATCTGCAGGCTGGTCTGCAGGATTTCTTTTTTAGACAAGACAAGGTTTTTTGTTTTGTTTTGTTTTTCAAGTCTAACCATAGGGGAATTCAAAGGCAACTTTCCCAATCATTTTCCATTGCCTAAGGAATAGGAAATCACTGAAGCAGGTTATTGGCTTCAACTGGAAGTATTCAACTTTGTTAGGAGGAGTGATTATTTTTTGAGACAGAGTCTCACTCAGTGGCCCAAGCTGGAGTGCAGTGTTGTGATCATAGCTCACTGCAACCTTGAACTTCTGGGCCCAAGCCATCCTTTCTCCTTGGTCCCCTGGCTTCCCAAAGTGCTGAGATTACATATGTGAGACACCACACGTTGCCATGACTATTTTTTTTTTTTTTGAGGCGGAGTCTCGCTCTGTCGCCCAGGCTGGAGTGCAGTGGCGGGATCTCGGCTCACTGCAAGCTCCGCCTCCCGGGTTCATGCCATTCTCCTGCCTCAGCCTCCCAAGTAGCTGGGACTACAGGCGCCCGCCACTACGCCCGGCTAATTTTTTGTATTTTTAGTAGAGACGGGGTTTCACCGTTTTAGCCGGGATGGCTCTCGATCTCCTGACCTCGTGATTCGCCCGCCTCGGCCTCCCAAAGTGCTGGGATTACAGGCGTGAGCCACCGCGCCCGGCCGACTATTTTTTATTTCACCAAAAAGCATGCAAGTTGTCATGAGGACTGTAGGGAGAGGCCCAAAGCCTTTGTAAATCTCTTCTACCAACATTTTCCTCCTCAATATAGTAGTAGGTAGGCAAGGTAGGGAAAGAGAATGTCGAGGGGATTTAACTTTTAATGTTTAGATCACACACAAGTTTGGTTCTCTTCTCAAACTTTAAACCAAGTTTATTCCTACAGATTGAAAATCAATTTAGATCTTTTAATTGGGGGAAAGATATCATGTCTCTTCTCAATTAAATGAATTTGTAATTATAAAGGGTTTAGAATGATATGTGACAGTGGTAAGCACTATATAAATATATGTTAAATATAAAGTGTGTACGTGTATGCAGAACTCTTGTTCATCATCAGAAGAAAAATAAAAGGTAGTTTATAAAAAAAAATTTAACGGGAATCAGGCCAGGACTGGAATCAGGCAGAGGCAGTGAGAATGAATGATTGGAACTGAAATACTCTTAAGATCCTGATCATTGAGATAGCTCTTGATACCAGTATGGTCGATAAGACCATTAGTTTATTATATTTTCTAGTACTAAGTGGCCTTCACTGCCTACTCGTCCAGTCTCTTATGATTCCTCCTCATATCCAAATAGATGACCTTTCTGAACATCATCCTGCTCCTTGATAACTCTAGCACTCATTGATCACTCTCACCCTTAACCCTTTCTCTTCTATTTGCAAGGAAGATGTTAACTCTTAGGCTGTTCTCTCTCCATGTCCTCCAGATGCCGTTTTCTTTTGCTTAAATCTTTGCCTCAGTGATATCTGTTGTTCGTAAATATTTAGTGCCTCATAAAGATTTTCTTCAGCCTTAAGTCACTCATAATTCACCCTCATCTTTAAAAAAAAAAAAAAGCCAACTATACCAGGTAATTTTGAAAGGCATCCCTTAACCTGCCTTCCCCTGAAATCACTTTTTTTTTTTTACTTTACCCTCAAGTTGCAACATAGGGATTTGTCTGTTCATCTTGTACTTCATTATCTATCCCAAACCCTGATCACTACAACGCTTGTAACCAAAATTACATTTCATAAATTCTTATTCTCTTTCATATTCTTGTGTATTTTATTGAAACTAATTTTCTAATTCATTTAACCACAACATAGGAAAATATTGTTTTGGTTCACTAAATTCACCAAGTCATTTAAAGTCATTATTTAAGGGTTTTTGTCTGAAAAGAAAGGTATGGATCATACTGAAAATAAAAGGGATAGCTCCTATAAGTTATAAACAATAAATGAAAAATAAGAGGGCTGGGTGCGGTGGCTCACGCCTGTAATCTCAGCACTTTGGGAGGCCAAGGCGGGCAGATCATGAGGTCAGGAGTTCGAGACCAGCTTGGACAACATGGTGAAACCCCCGTCTCTACTAAAAATACAAAAAATTAGCCAGGCATGGTGGCACGCATCTGTAGTCCCAGCTACTTGGGAGGCTGAGGCACGAGAATTGCTTGAACCCAGGAGGCAGAGGTTGCGGTGAGCTGAGATTGCACCACTGCACTCCAGCCTGGGCAACAGTGCGAGACTCCATCGCAAAAAAAAGAAAAATAAGGGGGGAGTTTGGAGCTATAGACTGGCCAAATTGATGGTGGTTAGAGCTAATTGAGGGTAAATGGGATTCATTATAGTATTCCCTGTGTGTGTCTGAAATGGTCCATAATAAAGTTTTTTTAAAACATAGCTTCTTATATATACCTGAAGTTTTTTGTTTGTTTGTTTGTTTGTTTTTAATATATGTATCAGGGAGTAAATTCCACACCCTGATACAGCAGGTTAAGAAGAAGGTAAAGATAAGTCATTTAGTATAAGAGCAATGCAGTGTAAGGATAGAAAAATTGCACATAGGAATTGCAAATTTAAATTAGTCATCCATTATTTCTTTTGACTCAACCAACATTATTGAATATCACTTATATGCCAGGCCTTGAGAAAAAAAAAAATTACCAGGCACGGCCTGCCAGCCTATGGGAGATCTAAGGGAGGGAAGGGTTTAAGCACAGCTCCCCTCCCCCTCTCCTCATAGAAGAGGAGAAACATTATGATTCTATGGCAGTTGATGGTGGGCTGGAGAGGGCAGTTTAGAGCAGAAAAGGGGCTAAGGTAAAAGAAGCCGAGAGAGATTTCTAAGTTAAAGCAAAATAATGCTCACAGTAAAAGAAAAAAAAAAAGCTGAAGATTGGGTTATATACAAGGCTGATGAGTTTGGGAACAAGTCCACGTTTTCTCTCTCTCTGAATAATTTTAAAGAGAAAACCAAAGATTATACAATAGTACTCCAATGGAAGAATAAGCAAATGGGAGGATTATTCAGAAATTATTGGAAGTGTTACCTTTCTCTACATTTGTGATCTTTAATGGTATTTGTGTAGATATAAAGCATGATTACACAAGGTCTGGTAGGGTGAGGTTTGACCTAACTACAGGAATTAACTGTCCTTGAGAAATGTCTATAGAAAAGAAAAGCGAGGGCTGGTCATGGTGGCTCATGCCTGTAATCCCAGCACTTTGGGAGGCCGAGGCAGGCGGATCACCTGAGGTCAGGAGTTCAAGACCGGCCTGGCCAACATGGTGAAACCCCATCTCTACTAAAATTACAAAAATTAGCCAGGTGTGGTGGTGGGCGCCTGTAATCCCAGCTACTTGGGAGGCTGAGGCAGGAGAATTGCTTGAACCCAGGAGCAGAGGTTGCAGTGAGCTGAGATTGTGCCATTGCACTCCAGCCTGGGCAACAGAGCAAGACTCCATCTCAAAAAAAAAGAAAAAAGAAAAAAGAATTGGGTCTCAGTAAAGTTCCTTGTTGCTTCTGAGATTATGACAATTCTTAATAGGCATATACCCATTTATCAGGGATTATTGGATGTTGCTATTTTTATTTGTTCAATTTCTCAGGTCTTCAGTTCTTTCTTTATCCTAATTGTTGATTTTTGGACCTGTCATCATTTTTGTCTATCTCTGTATAGTTTCCTTTTCCTTTAGAGTTGCCAGTGGCATCCACAGCTTTTTGCCAGAAAAGACTGATGATTCAGGCTACACTCATGAAGTGATAAAATAACAACTTTTTTTTTTTTTTTTTTTTTTTTTTACTTCTGGGAACTGTTGCATTTGTCCCTAATGAGATTACAGAATTAGAATTTGGGAAGGGAAAAAAAAAAAAGAAATGGAAATTGTTTTCTCAAGACCTTAGAGCAAATACAAAGCTATTTTCCTCGAACACATGGTACTGTGACATTGGCATAGGGTCATAAGTGGCCCTTGCTAGGGGTTGGGGGTAGAGCACAAAGTGTGTGTTTTGATTCCCCATGGGGCAGCTAGTCTTGGGTATCTGGAGTCAGTTTCCATTTCTTTCAATGATGCCTTTGGTGTTACCCCTTTTCCATGTCAGTTATTCTGTCCTGTCTCCCACCATCACAAAATCCAAGGGAGGTAAAGCTTAAAAAAAAAAGTGACCTGTGGGTGCAGTTGGCAAATTACATGAGAAAAAAGAATGCAAGAAGAATGGGATTTAATGACTAGGAGAGATTATTTTCACTTATCATGATGAGTTTCATGTAGAAATTCCTATAGTATTCTCTTTTTAGGTCATGAAACAAATTAACCAATACTAACCAATTGTAGTTCTTTGGATCTCAGGACTGTTTGCAATATGCAGGTGCCATCAAACAAATATGTTATGAAGTACTTTATAATTCACCTAAAAAGTAAAGTGTAACTAAAATCGACAGCATTAAGGAAGTTGCGTTATTTTAGTCTTTTGGGATATTGCCCCCCTTTAAGTTTGTACTAAAGATGATGTTCAGCAAATGTTGTGGTGCATATACTATGCAAAGCAGCATTTTCGCCCATTTTGTGATAGGTACATTAGCTATTCAGAGTGGCTTTCCATTAGCTAAGAAGTGGATTGCTACAGCTCCTGGCATAGGAAATGTTTTCTCAAGAAAGTTCCATGGTAAATAACATTAGAAAGGAAGATCATGAATCTAGCCAGAAGTCATAGCAAAATTGTAGACCTGCTTGGAATAACCACAGGGTAATACCATGAAGCAGCACTAAAGTTGGAGATAAATCTACACATAATGTGTACCTACTTAAAAAATGTCTTCTGATGAGGCCAAAGGTTTGAAGCTGTCAGGTGATATATTAACTTAACTTGTCTTCTCAGTCATGCAGGACCTGGGAAAGACGAAACATTAGTGTTTATTAGGGAATTATAGCAAGAAAGAATGATAATGCTACGGGAAGGAAAACAGTATAAATTAATTTGTTAAGAAAAATACTACCGTGGTTGAAAATAAAATCCAAGGAACACATTAATTAGAAAGTGAGGATAAACCGGAAGAGGCAGAAATTATGCTCTCTTACGAGATGAGCAAAATGCAGGAATAAGTTAGATAAAGTCTAAATTATTAAATAAACTAGAAAAGAAGACCAAGATACAAGAGACTGAGAATGATCCTTTATATTACAGTTTTAGAAGATTAAGCTCCAGTTTTATGTAAGGTACTATTAGGTATGGTGAAATAAGAAATTTGACTCAATAGTGCAAGTAAACTATACAACTAATTATTAATTATGTGTTTTTATTTGGCCTTGGGATGTGTTTTTTTGTACTTGTCTGTCTAGGGTTTTATTTGATAGTCTGGGAACTTATTTCAAACACTGAAGATCTGACTCAGGAAGTGCTGGGAAGGAGTCCAGTGTGTTTATCCTGACCCCTGTTCAACTTCTTCCTGCAGCCCACTCCATGCTGGGAATAGACAACTCTCCTCTGAGGCTGAGGCTAACCAGATTATGCAGAACTTTCTTCTCTCCAACATTGCCTGGAGCTGGGGTAGTTGTTAAGTCCTTGGGTTTCTAAAGACTTGAAAAGCTGCTTGAAAAGAATAACTAGATGGCTTGTTAGTCAGTTTTTTTATTATTAGAAAGCAGAATAATGCCATTAAATTTAAAATAAATTTTATAGAAAATTAAAATATATTTAGAATTTATTAAATGAGAATATAACTATACTTATATAATCATGTTTTCTACAAAATATGAAGTTAGTACATTCTGATTTTTATTTTAATGAGAAAACACTTTGAAATTTTAAACAAAGGACTTTTGAATGAAGAATGACTTTGAAACCTGGAATCCTGCTACATATATTCCTTTGAAAATTAACATTAAGGGTGGTTTTGTTTTGTTTATCTGTTTCTTTGGGTATCATTTCTCTTACAGCTTTCTGTGATAGTTGCAATTGAGTTTTGGTAAATTAAATAATTTAAAAATCACTAAGGGATCTTACTATTTAAATAAACTCAAAGGAGTCATTTTGTTAACATAACAAAATGTTATTTGTAATCTGAATTTTTATGTTTCGGGGCTTTTTTTTTTTTTAAGCAATAGTTACCTGCAAGTTCACATGTTATTTAAAATTTACTTATAAACACTTTTTAAATGATTATTGAGCTTTGGGTTTTTTTTACTCCAGCTCTAAAATAATAATTTTAAGTTTCTTCTACTTAATGTAGCTATCATCACTCAGTAGAAAATACACAATTGCTTCAATAAGGGCCAGGGAAAGTCATAACAAAGGACTATTATACCAGTGTTTTCTGATCATTTTGTTAACATTAAAAACCTTGGACTATTAGGATGCTTAATACTCAAAAACTGGATTTTCTGACATGCATGTGATATTATTGGTGTATATTTTGGTTTTGATAATTATTTGTTTTCCTTCCCTGCTCTAGTTGAATGGATCGCAGCAGTTACCATTGCTGCTGGGACAGCTGCAATTGGTTATCTAGCTTACAAAAGATTTTATGTTAAAGATCATCGAAATAAAGCTATGATAAACCTTCACATCCAGAAAGACAACCCCAAGATAGTACATGCTTTTGACATGGAGGATTTGGGAGATAAAGCTGTGTACTGCCGTTGTTGGAGGTCCAAAAAGGTGAGGAAAGCAATTCCTTCATACAGTACCATTTTTAATGTTATATTTCTTTTTAAATTATTCTGTCAGACTTGTTCACCAGATATTGTTATGATATCCCTTTTTTGTTGTTGTTGAGACAGAGTCTTGCTCTGTCATCCAGGCTGGAGTGCAGTGGTGTGATCTCAGCTCACTGCAACCTCCACCTCCCGGTTCAAGTGATTCTTGTGCCTCAGCCACCGAGTAGCTGGGATTACAGGTGTGAGCCACCACGTGTGACCTGTTATAATATCACTTTTTCTTTCTTTTTTTTTTTTTAATGAATCCTATTCTTCTTTGCCTTCCATATGCTCTTAAAGAAATATATTTTCTAAAATATCTAACCAGTATGCAGTAGAATTACGTTGTACCCTCATCGAGTTCAGGCAGATTTAACCATATTCTTGGCCAAAGAAAAGAAGAAAATCCCTTTAATTTGCTCTTAGGATTTCTTAGCTTCCACTGTCCCAGAAAGTGAAGTGTACAGCCTAATCACAAAGAGAAGCAGAAGAAGTAAAAATTTTTTTTGAGCTTTCAAGCACCAGATACTAAGACAAGTGTTAGAAATTTGAAAAGAAACTTCTTTAAAATCACCCGTAAAAACTTATGTGGTAAATGTCCTATACCTTCTTTCAGCTGCAACTCCTCTAGTTAAATATCTAACAATATAGGATCCTAAAATCTTATTTTCTTATATGAGAATTGTATTTTATCAAGTCCCTTTTGGAGGTGTCATCTATGAAACCTGCAGGTTTTAGACATGATGGCAGCTAGTGATCCACAGTTGATAAAATACTGTCTCGAGCATCTCAAAAGGATTTGTACACCGAATGACTTCAGGATTTCTGGTGTGTTGTGAGAAATATGGTATAAACACTGTACTATCACTCTTAGCATTCAAATAAAATGGATTTCAGCAGGGCGTGGTGTCTCACACCTGTAATCCCAGCACTTTGGGTGGTTGAGGCAGATCACTTCAGCCCATTAGTTCAAGAGCAGCCTGGGCAACATAGTGAGACCATCTGTTGAAAAAAAAAATAGCCAGGCATGGTGGCATGCACCTGTAGTCCCAGCTATTCAGGAAGCTGAAGCAGGAAGATCACTTGAGCCCAGGAGGTTGAGGCTGCAGTTAGCTGTGATTGCATCACGCTGTGATTGCATCACACTGCGTTCCAGCGACAGAATGAGACCCTGTCTCAAAAAATAAAATAAAATACAATGAAAAAAATAATGTTAAAGGGCCCCCAAAAAAATCAATAAAAATGATGTATCTGTTTTTGAAAGCACGTTATGTTGGGGATCTCTCCCCATAGTAGAGGGTCATTTTCGCAAATAACTTGTCACAAATATGGAAGAAGCCACATACTAGGTACAGGTTGAGCATCTCTAATCCAAAAATTTGAAATCTGAAATGCTCAAAAATTTGAAATATTTTGAACACTGACATGACACCACAAGTGGAAAATTCCATACCTGACCTCATGTGACAGTTCACCGGTTGAAGTCAAAACACAGACGCAGAGGACACAGTTAAGTCAGTGACCCAAAGGGAAAAAAAGGCCCCCCCAGCTGCTGATGTAGGTATTCTGGTGGTGCTATTATGCTGCTTAATTTCCCAGAGCACTTTTTTTGTTAACTGAATTAATGGTATGTTATGTTTTTTACTGTTAAGTACTGACATGTGAATACATGCAAGAAAATGATTGCTTATCAGTAGCATATAAATTCATAGTCGGGAATGATGGTGATACAAGATAACCACAGATAGTCCACATGTGTGACTAAGATGGTGACACCTTTGCTTTCTGATGGTTCCTTGTATACAAACTGTTTCATTCACAAAACTATGTAAAATATTGTATAAAATTACTTTCAGGCTACATGTATAAGGTATATATAAAACATAAGTAAATTTTGTGTTTAGGCTTGGATCCCATCCCCAAGATAACCTCATTATGTATATGCAGACATTTCAAAAGTTGAAAAAATCTGAAATCCAAAACATTTTGGATTTCAGATTTTCTTTTCATTTTTATGAAAAGTCCCAAGCATTTATTTTCATTTTTTATGACAAGTATTTCAGATAAGGATTACTCAACCCATACTAGAAAGCATATTTCACTCCTTTCTCCCAATAAATCCAGTGATAAAGTACTTAGATTATGCCATTTTGTTCAAAAATTCCTTGATGACTATATTGAATATAAACCAGAAATTAATAGGCTCATTACAACAAATTATGAAGAGCACTATTCATTTGGAATTTGAAATTGTTGATAAGTACTGGTGGGGTTACTAGAAAATAATAAAGTAATCTAGAAATTGTGGAATTTCTAAGTTGGAGTTTTATAGTTCCTTAGTGATCTTCAGTAGTTCATTTACTATCTACTATATATGCATGCGTGAGAAACATTAAAGAGTAAAACAGCAGATGTCACAGATGTATATAGTACATGCAGTGTAAGTGGTCTAAATAAATGGAAGCTAAAAGGAAGAAATTACACCATGAGGCTGGGTGCAGTGGCTCACACCTGTAATGCTAATACTTTGAGAAGCCAAGGCAGGAGGATCACTTGAGGCCAGGAGTTCAGTACCAGCCTGGGCAACATGGTGAGACCCAGTCTCTGTTTTTTGTTTGTTTTTGTTTTTTCTTAATTAAAAAAACATCACATCTTCTGGGAAAGCATAGTCATATACTTGGGAGTTAAATTGCTCTGAGAAAAATTGGTAACATTTGAATAAACTGCATATATTGGAGACTCTCAAAATCTGCAAGGAAGGACTTGTGAACAAAGGTGAAATGAATAAAGAATCTAGTCTGGTTCTTGTACTGCCCTTCCCCAAGGAATAAATCTAAACTGAGGACAATCTTGAGGACCAGTGTGAGGAGTCTGTGACTCCAGACATGGGGAGCTCCTTGACAGGGGTTTCAAACATAGAGTTATGATACTTTTACCGGGGTGCTAGCTATGGAAATGGAGACAAATGATCAGAGACATAAAAGATTTCGGGGAAAGGATCAGCCAAATGCACTGACTTCTGTGTGAAAGACTAGGGGAGAAAAACTAAAGCTCATTGAAGGATCTAAGCATGTAGGATTAGAAGAGGGTTATGCCATTAACAGAAATAAGAGATTCGAGGTAAAAGGCAAATTTTCCAGGACAGCGATAAGGAGTTCTGTTTCAGAGAGTGAATTTGAGATGATAGTTGAATGGAAATGCACAGCAGACAACACGAAATGTGAGACATCAGGGTTGGAGATAGAGATCAGCAAAACTGATGAGTCAAGTGTAGGAATGCAACTGATCTTTGATATGGATAAAAATCAAGGGCTAAATATGAAATCTTGGGGAATTTTCTGCATTTTGGAAGGGGGACAAGAGCCATTTAAGGAGATGGAATGGGCCAGAGAGGTTAGAATAAAACTAAAAATATCATAGCTTCAAAGTAGAAGAGGGAAAAGTTTCAATGATCTGGTACTGAACATTGGCCTGTGCAAAGACAGCTACATGAATAGACAAGACTATTAGATTAAGCAATTGCCATTTTGGTGTCATTTCAACGGAGTAATTAGAATAGAAGCTATGTCCATGTGAGTTAAAGTGCAAATTAACTAATAAAGAAACGACAGAAGTCTATGTCATATTTTCCGTAGATGCAACAGTGAATGGAAAGAAAAGTAACATAATTGCTTGAGTGAACACTACAGCTTGGCTTTGAGATCAAGTAAAGGGTGTTTGCTTTGATTGGGTTTTCCCAGAGGGCAAAGAATCCAATAAACTAAATATGGGCTTTCATGAACTAAGATCTCAAATATTTCAGGAAGAATCACCAGTGGACACAAACTAGTGGTGTAAATGTTTATTAGACTTTATAATTCAAAACATTCCAGGATTATTCTTTCATTTTACAATTTAGAGTTTCCAGATGGTTAGGCCAGGGACTGCCATTTCCTGTAGGTGGACTGAGAGAGGACTAAGAGAGGGAATGAGACCAGTCATTTTATTTCCAGTTTTCTCATGCCTTTTTTTCCCCCTCTGGCTTATCTTTTATGCTGTTTAGTGATCCTCTTTGTGTCTTGAATTTGTCAGTTCTGAATTTTCATTGCATCTTGGGCACTTATTCCTGCATTAATCAATTAACAGTTTGCTTTGAATATTACCCAAGTTAACAAATGTTGTTATTCTTCAGAGACTTTTGGAAACTCCCCACATTCCTGTGGTTCTAAGGTTATCACACAGGTGCCAAGTCACACACTTAAACGCCAGTTCACAAAGACTAATTAATACCTTTGATTAAGTGGCTACATTGAGTTTATAGTCAGTAATTTTTCCCTCATACAAACCAGTTGTATTTATAACAAAATTTAAACATCATTTTACCAATGGAAAAAATGTTATATGCGATACAAATTTCAAATCTAATTCATTCTTAAGGTGCAGTCACTAGTAACCTGTTGTGTGTCTGTAACATCTTGAGCAGGTTTCCCAACCCTAATGAATCAGATTTCTTAGTAATGTGCAGAAATTACATTTTTTAAAAACATATCCCTCCCTTTTGTCCAGTGCTTCTCTTGCCAGCATTGGTATGTCATCTGATGTTTCAGAAATTGGCTTGGCTTTTTTTTTTTTTCTTTTTCTTGAGAGAGTCTCACTCTGTCACCCAGGCTGGAGTACAGTGTCGTGATCTCAGCTCACTACAACCTCCACCTTCTGGGTTCAAGCAATTCTCGTGTTTCAGCCTCCTGAGTAGCCGTGATTACAGGCATGCACAACCATGCCTGGCTAATTTTTGTATTCTTAGTAGAGACAGGGTTTCACCATGTTGGCCAGGCTGATCTTGAACTCCTGACCTCAAGTGATCCACCCGCCTTGGCCTCCCAGAGTGCTGGGATTGCAGGTGTCATCCACTGTGTCCGGCCCAGAAATTGGTTTATTTTATAGTACAGGCTTCCCTCGGTGTCCATGGATTGGTTCCAGGACCTCCCATGGATACCAAAATCTGAGAATGCTCAAGCCCCTGATTTAAAATGACAGTATTTGCCTATAAGCTATGCACATAATCCTGTATACTTTAAATTATTACGTCATCTCTTGATTGCAAATAATACCTAATACAGTGTGAATGCTATGTAAATAGTTGTTATACTGTATTGTTTAGAGAATAATGACAAGGAAAAAAGTGTACATGCTCAGTACCCATACAATTATTTTAGCGAGTATTTTCTATCAGCAGTTGGTTGCATCCATGGATGTGGAACCCACAGATACAGATGGGGCCAATTGTATTTCACAAAAGGGCTATCCATATTTGAAGTGAGAATGAAAGGAGCCAGTATAGAGGAAATGATTAAAGTGACTACAGGGAAAGATACTATTTGAGTCAGCGGTATCTTGACAAAGGGTGGAAGGAAATGAGAGTAACAGCACAGATGTGAAACTCAGCCTTAAAAAGGAAGAGATAGTCTTACTTTCGAAACAAGAAGATGAAAGGACTCTGATGTAAGAGGGAAGGGTATGGGATGTAGTATTGCTAGGTTCCTTTCCCTGCAACTTCAGGTTGGTTACATCACTTGCTGAGTTGTATGACGGCCACCTAGGAGGCAGTTCAAACAAGGACAGCAAAAGAATACAGACTAAGAAGAAAGAGAGGAAAGTCTTACCAGTTAACATCAGGAGCTGAACTGAAATTGAAATGAAATGCAACTGGACATGTTTAGACTCATTTTCTTTCATTTACAGGGTAAGATTTGAGTTAATGATACTTTTGTTTTGTCGTTGGTAGTAGGCTTGATCCTGGGTGTTTTTTTTTGGCGGGAGGGTGTTGGGGGAAAAAGAGAAATCCTCCATCCTGTTAATGGCTTAGAAGTGCATTTTACTGAGTCTTTCTTCATAAAAACGATATTCTGAATGTTGGTGACATTCCTTGGCCAATCCACATAAAGACAGTCTTATAAAAATCTTAATTTATCTTTGTACATTTTCATATTATAGCTACTGTCTTAGGTTTATTGAAATAGGTACATAAGAATGGTATAAAATGTCATAATCTCTAGGTTAGTCTCAAAAATCTCATTACTTCGTTTTCGTTCTCAACCAAAGCAAGCATATTTTTCTGGACAGTTTATGGTAATGAGCCAAAATGGTGCCAGGCAACTTCCTTGGGACAGAAAATCAAAACTCTAATACAAAGTACGAAGTTCAGAGAAGGAAGATAGTCTTTAAAAGAAAATTGTTTCAGGTGGAAGAGATAAGTCAAAGAGGAGCATTTATTAAAACAGAGGCATAACTTGAGATGTGGGGCCATTAAAAAGAAATGTTGTGTTTTTATGAAGATCCATATAGCATTGCTAGCTTTCCAGGTGGAGAGCAAGGACCTCCACTGTTTTTTCTACTAAAGCTTTATTCCAACTTCTTCTAACCCTTTCTTCCCCCACTTTTAAAGATATTTGGGATTTGTAGTGTTCAAATTGGGTTAACAAACATAAAAGGATGTTTTCTGGACATAAAGGAAATTTGATTTACAGACTTTTTCCAGGATTTGTTAATAAACAAACGCTGACATCTTAGAATAAATTAAGTATCAATACTACACGAACTGAATTTAATATTCTTTGTGTTTTTTTCATAATTTAAAACAATTTAACAAATTTCAAAATGTTTAATGAAAAAGTTAATAAAATTCTCATATTTTTGTACATTATTTAATGTAAAAATTACTGTACTTCCTACATTGTATTTGAAAGTATATAATGCCAGACACAGTCGCTTAGGCCTGTAATTCCAACACTTTGAGAATGTAACAGCCAATGTAGTGAAACCTTGTCTCCACAAAAAAATGCAGAAATTAGTTGAGTGTGATGGCATGCACCTATAGTCCTAGCTACTCAGGAGGCTGAGATGGAAGGATCCCTTGAGCCTGGGAGATTGAGGCTTCAGTAAGCTGCGATTGCACCACTGTGCAATCTAATTTAATCTCTTAAAAAAAAAAAAAACTGTATACCCACCACATATTATCTTTCTCCTGCATAGATCAGAAATAAAGCAAGACACATAAGGCAGTAATTCCTAGGGTTAAGTGATATAAAAAGTACTATTAAAAAATACGTCTCTGCACAAAATTATTTTTAACACCTAGTTTGCATTATAAAGGCATAAAAGCTTTATACACTTTAATCGCATGAAAGTTTATTAACAAATAACCAGGATAAACTACTCATTGCTTTTTAAAGAAATATGTGTTTGCTTTTAAGAATATGAAGAAACAGGCTAATTTCAGTTTTTAGGCAGAATTGGGTGATGAGAAAAAATGTATTCTCACTTTTGATATATGACTTTCTTTATATTTTGTAAGATTTTCTTTGTATATTTTTTCTATAGATTTCTCTCCTATTCTGTATATGGAGGAAAATAATTTGAGAAAATGTTAGTTTCTAATATTTTCAACATAAGATTAAAAAATAAAAGTTAAACATGCCATTTCAGTAAGTTATTTAGAAATATTTCATTTTTCAGAAATGTTGCCTGCATGGATTTAATTTATAGTGAAGTGTTTTGTGTGTGCTATTTATAAAAAGAGTCTTTACAATGTAAACTTTTATGCTCACTGTAAAATCATCTGTGTTTGTTTATTAAACATATGTCACTTTGAAATGCTGTACTTTGCTGTGGGATACATTTTAGTTTAATTTTTATCGCCTCTTTCCTCATCCATGCCAAGAAAAAACTGAAAGCTTGACTTTATGTTTTTGCATCAAGGCTTGTTTCTAATATGAATATACTGTGTACCACATCTTATTGACCTCAAAAAAAGAAATAATATAAACTTTACATATATTACATTTACACTGCCCTCTACGACAGGATAGAATTTATATCTGGAAATATAAGATATGCCAATACCTTGAGTTTTTCTGTAATTTTTAGCTAATTTAGTGCCTCTTGCAATTATTTACAGATAGATTAAAATTTGATTACTTTAACATTAAGTAGCCTTTTGGATATCAAAGTTTAAGATTAAATACCATCATTGTGAAGTTTCACTGATCTGTTATGCTCCCTTCACTGCACGTAATGAGGTACTTGTTACTCATAAGGCTAAGAATCCTCTTACTTTACTCTTCTAAATAGGCTTCTTCAAAGCAACAGTGTACCTTAGACTAAACAGTGAAACTCTAGATTCTAGAGTGTAGATACATTCAAAACACCAAGATTAAGGCAAAGATGCTAGCTCTTGTCATTTGACATGAAATAGAAATAAAAGATACAAATATAGAGAAACAAAAAAATTACTGATAATTATTCCTTCTAAGTGTAAAATCCTGAAGAGTTAAGTGAAATATTATTAAATTCTTATTTTTTCATTTTACAATAGAGGATATACTTGTTAAAAATGATTTTATATAGCAAGAATGTTCAGATATGAAAATAAATTATAATAGTGATTAAAAATATGACAGAAATAATCTTACCAGAATATACATGAGATCTGAGGATGAAAACTACAAAAGAAATTAAAACTTGGCAAAAAACATTCTCAAGCTTATCTGGAGGAATAAAGTGATAAAGTTTAATAAAGTTAACAGGCTGGGCGCGGTGGCTCACACCTGTAATCCCAGCACTTTGGGAGGCCGAGGCAGGCGGATCACGAGGTCAGGAGATCGAGACCATCCTGGCTAACACGGTGAAACCCCGTCTCTACTAAAAATACAAAAAATTAGCCGGGCGTAGTGGCGGGCGCCTGTAGTCCCAGCTACTCAGGAGTCTGAGGCAGGAGAATGGCGTGAACCCAGGAGGCGGAGCTTGCAGTGAGTCGAGATCGCGCCACTGCATTCCAGCCTGGGCGACAGAGCAAGACTCCGTTTCAAAAAAAAAAAAAAAAGTAAAAAAAAGAAACAATGAAGGAAAACTAGCCCTACAAAACACTGAAATGTTTAAAATGCAAATATCCCAGCGTAGTAGGCCGATCAACGTAACATAGAACCTATAAATAGGTGCTTTTACATGTAGAATTTATTTTGATAAAGTTACGAATAAAGGTAATAATGTGGGAAGCAATAGCCTCCAGTAATGCTGAAGCAACAGGATCTTAGAACAGCGTTTGCAAAGTGTGCTCTACAGAAAACTATGATAATAGAAATCAAAATTTAAAGTGTCCATAGTCCAGTCACCTTGAGAAACTCTGGGATAAAATTGTGTTTTTTATAGCAAAATTAAAATAATGTGTGCTGTGATTCAAATGGGCTATATGATATGTTTTTTTAACACAGAATGAAACCAAATCAGAGTGTCTTGCAGGATTCAGGTTCTTTGGACCACACTCTGCAAAACACTATGTTAGAAATTTAGTTTTGTCCCTCTCCCTCCCACTGGACACCAAAACAGCAGTTATATCTAAAATGTGAATTCATGAAAATGAATGGAAATTTGTATTTCTCACATCTCTAGAAGAAAGCTGTCTCCATGAATGATGTTAAAAAGGGAGATATTGACATATTTGTATGAAAGTGGAGAAATTGAGAATATGAAAAAATAAGCAAAATGAAAAGATTTGGGAAAGACTGCTGCAAAAATAACAGAGGAATAATATGCAGTTGATTTATTTTTTATTTTTTATTTTTATGTTTTTTGAGACCAAGGCTGGAGTGCAGTGGCACAATCTCGGCTCACCGCAACTTCCCCTCCCAGGTTCAAGCCTCAGCCTCCTGAGTAGCTGGGATTATGCGCACTCGCCACCATGCCTGGCTAATTTTTGTATTTTTAGTAGAGACAGGGTTTCACCATGTTGGCCAGGCTGGTCTTGAACTCTTGACCTCAAATGATCCACCCACCTCAACCTCCCAAAGTGTTGAGATTACAGGCATGAGCCATCGCGCCTGGCCGCAAATTGATTTTAAATAAATGAACTTAAACTCTTAGAAGTAAATAGGCAATGGACATGTTCACTAGAAAGGAATGTAACTAATATATAAACATAAGAAAGGCCTTCAACACTCATCACAATCACACTGAAATTCAATAAATGATGTGTGTATTATGCACAAGTCAATTTCTTCATCTTACTAAGTAGCATATGTAGTTTACATATGCTGTTTAAGAAAGCCTATATAAGATAGCCAAGAAAATCTTTATGTTATATGAATTAAGCATCACCTTCCACTCTGCCGAGCATAATACTGATTTTGAGATTAGATGTTTCACATTCATTCTTTCTCTTCCTAGTTCCCATTCTGTGATGGGGCTCACACAAAACATAACGAAGAGACTGGAGACAATGTGGGCCCTCTGATCATCAAGAAAAAAGAAACTTAAATGGACACTTTTGATGCTGCAAATCAGCTTGTCGTGAAGTTACCTGATTGTTTAATTAGAATGACTACCACCTCTGTCTGATTCACCTTCGCTGGATTCTAAATGTGGTATATTGCAAACTGCAGCTTTCACATTTATGGCATTTGTCTTGTTGAAACATCGTGGTGCACATTTGTTTAAACAAAAAAAAAAAAAAAAAGGAAAAACCAACCTGCATGGCCTGTGGGTTATTTTGGTCTTGTAAGGATCCATTTCTTTAAAATACTGACATATAGAGTTGTACCTTATATAGAATATAGTTGTATCTTGAAGTCAACATATTAAATTATTCTCAAAATTATGTATTTGCAGATTGTACTTGTAAGTTTCAAAGAAAAATTACCATCTTTTCATATTGACCTGGAAACTAAATAGGATGTGATTCAGCTACATTAATTTCTTAATACAATCTAGGAAAGACCTGTTGTAGCCTTGATTTTCTTGACATTGGTAATGACACTGAGAAAATATGGCTTCTGTTTTTCACCGTTTTCAATCAAAATGATTGATAAATGTTATTCTGTTTAATTTCATAAGTCAGGTCAATAATAAAGGGGTGGTAACTTCCTCATATTTATCTTCACAGATATTTAATGAAGATGGATCCATTAAAGGAGCCAATAGTGAAAATTTAGTTAAAGGTGATATTAGATTTAAATTAGTCATGAAGAATGTCTTAAAATCTAATGTTCCAGAATTCTGGCCCAAGGAATGGTAAGCACTTGAACTGAGGATTTTGAAGGAATTGGAACATATAATGTCAAGTCTTTTGATCACTAAGCCACATATCCTGACAGAAATAGTAGTCACAAGATTAGATCAAAGGCGTGGGAAGATTTTTTTTTTTCCCACTCTAGCTAATCAAGCACATGGCTTTTAAATTGTATGATCTTTTTCTTAAAAGCAAAAATTTGAAGACAAGTGTTTGTTTATGTAATATTCTTCAAAGACTCCGAGCAGAAACATTGCATTCATTGTTGATTCAGAAAAAAGAAAATATAAAAACTGAAAATAATTAGCAATAAAAGATTTAAGACAAATAGTTCATAAATATTTTTAAAGAGATTAGGTTTTTGAATTTCATAGGTTAGAAGGAAAATCATGGCAAAATTTACAGAAAATTGGGCAAACAATTGAAATTGATAAAGCAGGTAAACATCATCATTTATTTTAGTATACATGAATTCTCAGTAGTAGTCAATCACAAATTTCTACTTGCTAAAATCCATTTACCTTGACAGGAATCAAACCTGACAGCAGCATATCCTATGTAATATATGATCATGGCTATTTTTAAATATGTAGTTTTGTGTATTACTGTAGATAAAAGTTGGTAACAAAATTGTACAGTGGTTTTAAGAAGCCCATGTAACTAACTTGGACATGTCTTTAAGTCACATATTCATCATAAAATCTAAAATCCTACAAACTGATTCTATTAGATTCTTAGGGTAAATTTTTTCTTTGCCCACCTCCTTCTTTTTAAGATAAGTATGCATGTCAGCAAAACAGAGCAATCATGCTTTTAAAGATGAACTGTTTTAAAGAAAAATAAATGCATCAACTCCCAGTGTTTCTGATAAAGGGACATCCTTCTAACTTAACAGACTATTCTTTATCTTGAATTTGAAATTATATTGTTAGTCATGCATTTTTGTAATGTCAGGGGGAACCTGGTACCAGTTCTCAAAACTATAGGATTATATGAGTGTGTGTATACATATGGCAAAATTATAAATGACCACCTTACTGTGAAATATAGATCTTGAGCATTTTGAAAGGCCAAAATAATTAGGTAAATGTATTTTCAAGGTCATGTTAAAATGTTTACATGCTTTTGAACTAGCATTCATTTATGATTAAAACCCTTTTCAGGTTATTTGACCTAAAAACCAAAGTGAGTGTGGTTAGGTTAATATGAGATTTTTTTACACAAAAATCATTGTGTGCAATTACTGTTCTAGCTAAGCACCTTAATGCTTCTAAGTGCTTTTCATTTCGTTGAGGCAAGACAAGTGGGGCTTTCATCTTTTTTTTCTCTATGTCATTTATATTCTAGTTATTTCTGAAGAGTGTACTAGGTTGAGAAGTTTCTAATGTGAAAAATCTTGTTCATCTGTTCATGCAACAGACATTTATTAGGCATCTGTAGACCATATAATTGAGACAGAGAAACATTTTGGAGAATTAGAAGCTCACACTATTTATGGCATAGGTTATATAATTATGATAATTTATGATTTACTTTCTTGACAAAAACAGCTACAACCATGTATACCTACTATTTCTCCTACAAAGTAGGTGAGATTTTTTGATTTTACATTAGTTAGGGAGGTTTTTGATTTGGTTTTGCTTTAAGATAGGCATTGACTATAGCTTCTGATTAGCAACACACAGTATTTTGTGCTTGGGTATCTGTGAGGGTGTGTAATTCTAGTTGTCAGAAGCTGTGCTTTTTCTCCTTGATTTTAATACTAGCTGACCTCAGGCAAAGCCACTCACCTCTCAGCCTTTTAAATTGTGAAGTGAATGGACTAAATGGCATTTTAGGCAATTGTTCCCATATTCTAGGCCAACAGTAAATATTCAGCTCTCCTCAAAGGAAAAATATAAATAATGCTGATAGAAAGCTCAAATTTGATTTTTTTATTATGATTATTTCAGCTCTTATGGTATTTAAGTGTCTTTTATGAAATGTTGATTGTAGTAGCTTGGCAAAATAGTAAGGTGGCAGCCCAATGTTGATCCCTACTTTTTTTTTTCACTGCTCCATGGAATTTAAAAGTCTGGGAACCACTAAGCCAACATCCTATCTAAAGTTCTGAGACTTATTAAGGTATTAAAGTAACAGTTTTATTTTGAGATTTAGCTTGTGTTATATGGAATTTTTCATTAGCACAATGTGTTGAGGTGAGACTTCATGGAAAGTTACTGTAAAAAACAAAAAAAAGTCCTTACTTCCATTCAGTTTACCATCATGGATCCAAACTAAGGGTAAAGCCAATACATCCTAATATGTGCCCAACCCATAACTTTAAATGATTAAATGAAACACACAACAGGGAGATCTATTGTTAATGTGTTAACCAAAATTGCCAGGAATTGCCCTAAAGGGGAAAAATTGTTTAATCAGTAAATCAGTGAGGAAATACAAGATTATAAATTAGAAGTGTTGCTATGGTGTTAGCTCTTACATCCCTGAACAACAAAAAAGACAGTTCAACCCCAAGCATGGAACAGAAAAATGCTGAGCTTAGAATGTTGTCAGCTAGATATTGTGTAAAATAGATGTTCTCTTTAATACCTGTGTCTCTGTGGATAATGTATTTCTAGTTCTTCCATCCTGTCCCTTACAGATAACCAGAAGTCAATTCATGTTAATATTTTGTTCTTTAATTGTGACATCGTTTTCATTTGTAAATATGCAGCATTATGTAGATTCCCAGCTTTTTCATTTAAAATAATTTCGAGCATTGCCCACCTGCCTGAATGCTCATTACTGGGAGGTAAATAATTTTTCTGCTGGTGATACTGCCTGCCAACAATTTCATAAGCAGTGGTTTATCTAACTCATTATACAAGATCGACATGAGATACAGACGAGAGATTATGTCTCTTATGGCTTTATCATCAATTAAACTTAGCAAAGTCTGTTAAATTTATTTCAGAGTCTCCCAGCTGTGAAAAGTAGAGTTCCACTTATGTCATCCATATCTGCACAGTAATCTTTTTTTTAATCCTAAACTTTCTTAACAGGTTTCTTCTCCTTATTCTAGACAATAATGCTATGTGTTTTCCTTGAATACCATGATTTTAAACTTTTAAAATGTCTCAGCCTTCATCTTTCCAATGCAGTCTACCCTGTAGCCTTCACATGAACCTTCTATATCTTTTCACTTTCACATCCCTCCCAGCAAAGAACATTTTGATCATTAGTTAAAGCAACCTCACCGCTTTCTCTTTTAAAACTGTTTCTCTTAGAATCCACAGGGAAGCTGCATCTAGCACAGAAGCTAGTATGATTGGCTTTCCATTGCTAGTTACTGCTTTCAGCCTGACCCTGGATGCCACCTAGTGTTGAGTCTCTGATAATGAAAATATGAAACCATAAATTACATTTCATAATTTAACAATGCCATCTAGTATATGCATTTGGTATATGTCCCTGAACTTGCAGTACCTTTGTACTCCAAAAAGTTCGGTCACTTGCAGCAGTTTACATTTCTGTGACTCCCTTACGCTTTTGGCATCTGGTTTGGAAAATAATTATAACGTTCAAGCACTCACCTTTTTTAATCCCTGAGAAAGAAAATAATTTTTAAAATTTTGATTATTACAGTAGTCTCAGTACCCAGAACAGTTACAAGTACATAGCAGATGTTCAGTAAATACTTGTTTAATAAATAGATTTGAATGCACGATTTTTAAAGGATACAAAGGTAACTGCCAAGAAGTCAATATTTTGTCTTGTTCTGCCCCCAAACCTGATTACCTTTTTTTTTTCATATTTGTTTACATCATGTATTCTAAATTTTTGAACATGGCTTTTAGGAAAATGTACTGAATAGCTCTTATTCTGACAAGATTGGCTATAAAGTAGTCTACCTAATCAGCACTTCTGTGGCTAAACTTGTGGTATAAAAACCAACCAACCAACAAAACTGCTATCCAAGTCAGCTTGTTTTAAACCAGTGTGCACATGGTGTATCATACATAACTGGGGAGATATGTGGTACTTGGTTATTTCAAATCTGGCCAGTGCTCTGGGAGAAAGCTGCTATAAAGACAACTAAAGTTTCTAGTGTTTGTCAGCCTGGAAGTCCTGGTGATTGCCCTTGGGGCAATGTGGGGACAACAATCATGGAATTCTAAGTCAGACTTAAAATCAGATCCCTGATCTGCCCCTCATTATTTGAGATCTTGAAGAAATTATTCTTTCTAATGGTTAATTTTATGTTGCAATTTGACAGGGCTACAAGGTGCCCAGATATTTGTTCAGACATTCTTCTGGGTGTTTCTGTGAGTGGTTTTGGATGAGATTAACATTTAAATCAGTAGACAAAGTAAAGCAGATTACCGTCCCTAACATGGGTGGGCCTCATTCAATCCTTTAAAGGCTTCAATAAAGCAAAAATGTTGTCCTTCTCCAGGAAGAGAGAATTCTTCCTGCTTGACTACTTTGAACTGAAATAAGGAATCTTCCTGGATCTCAAGCCTGCCTACTTTCAGACTAAAACTATAACATCTGCTCTCCTGTGTCTCCAGCTTGCTGACTCACCCTGCAGATCTTGTCAGCCTCCGTAATCACGTGAACCAATTCCTAATAATCTCTCTCCATCCTATTTACTTTTTTATCATGTAAAAGGGAGATTGTCCTTACCCTTCAAGCATTAGAGATAATGAATTTAAATATCTATCACAGTATCTCGCACATAATATAGACTAGCTTAGCCTCCTTAGCCTAAAATCATGTCACTTGCTAAAAGTAGTACAATGATTCAGAGTTGTTTCCTACATAATTTTAATATGGAGAAATGATTGAACATTGGCAAACTTGTTAACCTCCTAAAACAATTTTGGAAAAAGAAAATTTTTAGAACTTTTATGCATGAGAGAAAAAATGACCATTTTATAGTAATTTCTACAAATAATTATTGTTGGCTTAAAGAAAGAAACTGAGTCAAAATTAATATAGGCAAAAAGTTTACCTGGGCCATATTTGAGGACTGCAACCCAGGAGACACAGATTGAAGTTGCCCTGAAGGTATACCCTGATTAGCAGCAGTTACAAGTGGGTTTTTAAAGGAAAAAAAAGTGTGTATGGTGGGGGTGGGGGAAAGGGGGGGGCAGTAGTTCTTACATTGGTTCATTGGTTCATTAACCATAATAAGCTATTGATGGGCTATACATCGTTCTTCCTATTACAAATTCCAGTAACGTGAAGATAACAGGTAAGGGTTACATTGTGTAACTTGTGATAACATTTTAGGTAATTTATTAGCTAGTCTGGAAATTACAGGAAAGGAAAGGAGAAACAAAGTGCCCTTAAAAAATTGCCCCCAGGCATGAGTGGGTGGGTCTATTAGTCTGTTTCCATATTGCTATAAAGTACTGCACAAGACTGGGTAATTCATAAAGGAAAGGCTCAATTGACTCACAGTTCAGCACCGCTGAGGAGGCCTCAGGAAACTTAAACTCATGGCAGAAGGTGAAGGGGAAGCAAGGCACCTTCTTCACGGGGCAGCAGGAAGGAGAAGTGCCAAGCAAAGGGGGAAGAGCCCCTTATAAAACCATCAGCTCTCCTGAGAACTCACTATCGTGAGAACAGCATTGGGGAAATGACCCCCATGATTCAATTACCTCCACCTGGTCTCTCCCTTGACTTAATGGGGATTATGGGGTTTACAATTCAAGATGAGATTCGAGTGGGGACACAAAGCCTGACCATATCAGTGGGTAAGGGTGTGATTGAAGTCTCTTATTCCTGTCTCTCGCCTGATTAATTCTGCATACCTCACATAGCTCAGACTGCTCTGAGTTACTTTTCTTTCACATTATCGAGCACCTACTGTTTGCCAGACTGTAGGTAACAAGACGGAAACAATTTCTGCCCTCATGGAGTTCATCAATACACATACACACATCCCTCTTAGTAGGAGAAAAGGCTAGTGTTAGAGACAAATAAAAAGGTCCTTATTAATTAATATGATTAGAGCTATGAGGTGAGAGAGTGAAGTACAAAAGCTATATAAGTACAAGGGGCATAAATCTAGAACCACCCATGTCAGGGCAATAAGAATTAAAAAATGAGTTATGTTTTTGAAGGGAAATGGAGGCAGCAAGTTTCAAGGCTTGGAGACCAGTTCAGAGAAATACACCTTGCCCTTTCCACCAAGATGGATGTGATTGGTTCCACCACTTGTTATGTCTGCAGTGTGCCTTCCGGTAGAATAATATCATTAATAGTTTTTTTTCTCTTGACTTTTAATATGCAAGATGAAATCTAGTTGTCACTCCTGACTCAATGTCAGGATTAAGTAGTTAGAAGAGGCAGCTCACATTGCCTTGGCCAAGACTTAAAAGGTCTTGTATTCAAATGTAAACCAAAAATAAAACTAAGCCTCCCAGCCCACTAAATGGACCCCCTCTCAGCCAAAGTGATGCCAAACAAACATGAAAAACCAGATCAGGTCATGTTGGGAAGTGGGAACTCAGATATGTCTCATTATATCCTCTTCCTTTTGGGGTTTAGACACAACAAACCAGCATTAACATTAAAATAGAGATCTTAAGACTGACAGACTTGGTAGCAACAAGACATGAAATTCCAGCCGGGTGCCATGGCTCATGCCTGTAATCCCAGCACTTTGGGAGGCCAAAGCAGGTGGATCACTTAAGGTCAGAAGTTCAAGACCAGCCTGGCCAACATGGTGAAACCCTGTCTCTACTAAAAATACAAAAATTAGTGGGGTGTGATGGTAATCCCAGCTACTCAGGATCCCGAAACAGGACCCAAGGAGGCGGAGGTGACAGTGAGCCGAGATCGTGCCACTGCACTCCAGCCTGGGCAACAGAGCAAGACTTGGTCTCAAAAAAAAGATGAAATAACCTGACACTAGTATAGCATTACATGACAAATAGCAGGCCCTGAAGGAAATGAAAGTATTTTGTCCCAAAATATGTTTCTTTGACATATTTTATAATGGCCCTGCAAAGCTGCCTCTTGTGGGGGAAATGTGCATTCCATAGAGAATCCCCTTCCCTTTCCAGATCTTTTTCTGATCCTGAGGAGATTAGCTGAGAGTCTCTAACATCTTTTAAATGTCTGAAGAGGAAATATTTGCCATCTATTGCCTCTAAAAGCAGCCACCTTTGAGGCTTTACCTACATAATAACTTTGATCTTCACAACTGCTTATCTTAACCCAGACACCCTGTTCTGTTTATCCCAGCTTGTAAATAATAACTTAGATCTTTCTACAAATTGCCAATCAGAAAATCTTTGAATCCACCTGTGACCTGAATGGTCCTGATGTTCTGGATGGAACCAATATATACTTCACACAAAAACCAAGCTATAACCCAGCTACCTTGGACACATGTTCTCAGGACCTCCTGAGGATATGTCATGGGTCGCAATCCTTAACCTTGGCAAAATAAATCTCTAAATTGATTGAGACCTGTCTGATACTTTTTGGTTTACACAACCATGATCACTTCACCAGAGAGGCTAAAATGTTAAATCACTGGTGGTTATGTCCTCTCATTTCCTAATGAAGAAATACCTGACCTGGATACAAATGTTTCATGATCTCAGTACAAACAGTGATGTTTTAAATTAAGCTATACCGGCCACATGTGGCGGCTCACGCCTGTAATCCCTGCACTTTGGGAGGCTGAGGCAGATGGACCACTTGAGGTCCAAAGCTCAAGACCAGCCTGGCCAACATGGTGAAACCCTGTCTCTACTAAAAATAAAAATACAAAAAATTAGCCGGCTGTGGTGGGGGGTGCCTGTAATCCCAGCTACTCGTGAGGCTGAGGCAGGAGAATCGCTTGAACCCAGGAGGCGGAGGTTGCAGTGAGCCAAGATCACACTACTGCACTCCAGCCTGGGTGACAGAACAAGACTCTGTCTCAAAAAAATTAAAAATAAAAATAAATACATTAAGCTATACCACCATGTGATTTTTGAAGAAGAAGGTTAAGTGGGTATTTATATCAAGACCATTCTTTTCATTATTCACTGCTCATTATTGAGCACATTGGGGGAATCCCTAACAAAGAGATAAGGACGTTAGGTCAGGTCATTTAGCCTCTTTAAGAACCTACAAAACATGGATAAGCCTGTAATCCCAGCACTTTGGGAGGCCGAGGTGGGCAGATAACAAGGTCAGGAGATCGAGACCATCCTGGCTAACACCGTGAAACCCCGTCTCTACTAAAAAAATACAAAAAATTCTAGGGTTTTTATGGTTTTAGGTCTAACATTTAAGTCTTTAATCCATCTTGAATTAATTTTTGTATAAGGTGTAAGGAAGAGATCCAGTTTCAGCTCTCTACATATGGCTAGCCAGTTTTCCCAGCACCATTTATTAAATAGGGAATCCTTTCCCCACTGCTTGTTTTTCTCAGGTTTGTCAAAGATCAGATAGTTGTAGATATGCGGTGTTATTTCTGAGGGCTCTGTTCTGTTCCATTGATCTATATCTCTGTTTTGGTACCAGTACCATGCTGTTTTGGTTACTGTAGCCTTGTAGTATAGTTTGAAGTCAGGTAGCATGATGCCTGCAGCTTTGTTCTTTTGGTTTAGGATTGACTTGGCGATGTGGGCTCTTTTTTGGTTCCATATGAACTTTAAAGTAGTTTTTTCCAATTCTGTGAAGAAAGTCATTGGTAGCTTGATGAGGATGGCATTGAATCTATAAATTAACTTGGGCAGTATGGCCATTTTCACGATATTGATTCTTCCTACCCATGAGCTTGGAATGTTCTTCCATTTGTTTGTATCCTCTTTTATTTCATTGAGCAGTGCTTCGTAGTTCTCCTTGAACAGGTCCTTCACATCCCTTGTAAGTTGGATTCCTAGGTATTTTATTCTCTTTGAAGCAATTGTGAATGGGAGTTCACTCATGATTTGGCTCTCTGTTTGTCTGTTATTGGTGTATAAGAATGCTTGTGATTTTTCTACATTGATTTTGTATCCTGAGACTTTGCTGAAGTTGCTTATCAGCTTAAGGAGATTTTGGGCAAAGACAATGGGGTTTTCTAGATATACTATCATGTCATCTGCAAGCAGGGACAATTTGACTTCCTCTTTTCCTAATTGAATACCCTTTATTTCTTTCTCCTGCCTAATTGCCCTGGCCAGAACTTCCAACACTATGTTGAATAGGAGTGGTGAGAGAGGGCATCCCTGTCTTGTGCCAGTTTTCAAAGGGAATGCCTCCAGTTTTTGCCCATTCAGTATGCTATTGGCTGTGGGCTTCTCATAGATAGCTCTTAGTATTTTGAGATACTTCCCATTAATACCTAATTTATTGAGAGTTTTTAGCATGAAGGGTTGTTGAATTTTGTCAAAGGCCTTTTCTGCATCTATTGAGATAATCATGTGGTTTTTGTCTTTGGTTCTGTTTATATGCTGGATTACATTTATTGACAAAAACCCTAGAAGAAAACCTAGGTATTACCATTCAGGACATAGGCATGGGCAAGGACTACATGTCTAAAACACCAAAAGCAATGGCAACAAAAGCCAAAATTGACAAATGGGATCTAATTAAACTACAGAGCTTCTGCACAGCAAAAGAAGCTACCATCAGAGTGAACAGGCAACCTACAAAATGGGAGAAAATTGTTGCAACCTACTTATCTGACAAAGGGCTAATATCCAGAATCTACAGTGAACTCAAACAAATTTACAAGAAAAAAACAACCCCATCAAAAAGTGGGCAAAGGACATGAACAGACACTTCTCAAAAGAAGACATTTATGCAGCCAAAAAACACATGAAAAAATGCTCACCATCACTGGCCATCAGAGAAATGCAAATCAAAACCACAATGAGATACCATCTCACACCAGTTAGAATGGCAATCATTAAAAAGTCAGGAAACAACAGGTGCTAGAGAGGATGTGGAGAAATAGGAACGCTTTTACACTGTTGATGGGACTGTAAATTAGTTCAACCATTGTGGAAGTCAGTGTGGTGATTCCTCAGGGATCTAGAACTAGAAATACCATTTGACCCAGCCATCCCATTACTGGGTATATACCCAAAGGACTATGAATCATGCTGCTATAAAGACACATGCACACGTATGTTTATCACGGCATTATTCACAATAGCAAAGACTTGGAACCAACCCAAATGTCCAACAATGATAGACTGGATTAAGAAAATGTGGCACATATACACCATGGAATACTATGCAGCCATAAAAAATCATGAGTTCGTGTCCTTTGTAGGGACATGGATGAAATTGGAAATCATCATTCTCAGTAAACTATCACAAGAACAAAAAACCAAGCACCACATATTCTCACTCATAGGTGGGAACTGAACAATGAAAACACATGGACACAGGAAGGGGAACATCACACTCTGGGGACTGTTGTGGGGTTGGGGGAGGGGGGAGGGATAGCATTAGGAGATATACCTAATGCTAAATGACGAGTTAATGGGTGCAGCATGCCAGCATGGCACATGTATACATATGTAACTAACCTGCACATTGTGCACATGTACCCTAAAACTTAAAGTGTAATAATAATAAAATTTAAAAAATAAAAATAAATAAATAAAATAAAAATTAGCCGGGCGTGGCAGCGGGCGCCTGTAGTCCCAGCTACTCAGGAGGCTGAGGCAGGAGAATGGCGTGAACCCGGGAGGTGGAGCTTGCAGTGAGCCGAGATCGCGCCACTGCATTCCAGCCTGGGCGACAAAGCGAGACTCCGTCTCAAAAAAAAAAAAAACATGGATAAGAAAACTATCTCACAGAGTTGTCATGAAGGTGGAATGCACAGGAAGCACTTTCCACTGTGCACAACACCTGGTAAGTGTGTTCCATTATTCATTACTGTCCATTTTGGTTCAGCAGTTTAACAGCATGTCAGAATGAGTAGGAATCATAACTACTGCATAGTCATGAGTGTTTCCATTCAAAGAAGCCATTTTCTTTATTAGAAACTATAGCTTAGTGGTAACTATAGTCAACCAACTACAGTTGTTCTGGGGACTAAGGTTGCTTTCTTTGTTATACCCTTTGATTAATAATGTTAAAAGACCCAGAAGAAGAAACTGGAGAAGGACAGAAGCAATAAACACATCACACAAAGGTGAGGAGGTTGGAAATCTGAACTGAGAGAAGTAGCTCAAACATTTCTACTTTTTTCTAGTTCCTCTTTTGTCCTTTAGCCTCCTTTATTAATATCTGCTCCATAGGGGGAAAGCCTAGTGAGAAATCCAAGTTTTAGGGACCTCTATGCACTTGTTACCATGTCCACCAGGGGGAGGCCTGACAACACATTTCTGTGGTAAGGTAATAGGTGGGAGTGGGTCAAAGTCTCTTTTTTGTAGAAGTTTCTCATTAACACTTCATCAAGATTAGAAAAACAGTGATACTGTTGACGAATGCACGTGTGCCACTTGATTTCAAAGAAGCAAGTTGATTTCAACCGTCTAATTTTTTATTGGTGTGCTAAGAAAGGGGCGAATATAAACCCTAAGGGCAGAATCAAAAACCAGACTGTAAGCTGATCAAAGTAAGGGGATCTTAGACTGTTCTTTTATCAGTAGGACAGAAAAATGCACACTGGCAGAGAGCTCTAAGAAATTCCACATGTAATATCAAATAAAATTTCTAATCTCACATTGCCTTCAAATACATCTTAAATTATAGGAAATGTTTAATACACTTCTGGGGTGAAGCACATTTCTCTACCCTTACTCTTTTAAGTTTATGGGTTTTTTTTTTCCTGCTGGGTAAGAAGGATTCCATATATTCATAATTCCGCACTCGGATGAAATGAAGAGTCAACTTTCTATGGTATATCTCTGTGTATTTATATATTTGTAGTATTTATGATGTCTTACAAATACCAACTGCAAGCTAAAAAGTCACTTTACAGATAGAAATCAAGGTATAAAGTATGCAATTAGAAAAGAAGTAAACATGCCTTTGGGGATTATTATTTATTTATTTATTTTTGAGACCGAGTCTCGCTTGGTCGCCCAGGCTGGAGTGCAGTAGTGCGATTTCAGCTCACTGCAAACTCTGCCTCCCAGGTTCAAGTGATTCTCGTGCCTCAGCCTCCTGCGTAGCTGGGATTACAGGTGTGCCCAGCTAATTTTTGTATTTTTAGTAGAGACGGGGTTTCACCATGATGGCCAGGCTGGTCTCGAACTCCTGACCTCAAGTGATCCACTGCCTCAGCCTCCCAAAGTACCGGGATTACAGGCATGAGCCACCGTGCCCAGCCTGATTATAATTTATATTGGAAGTTATTGTATAAGCAGAAAATTCAGAGAGATCCAGAAAAGAGGTGGGAGCTCTTTGGGTTTTAATAGTTGGAAAACACTGCATGGAAAAAATCCAGCATGACCTGGATCTTTATAATAGTATACATAAGGAAGAGACCTGTAAGGAAACACCTGTCATACTTGTCTGTTCAATGGCACTAACACAAATAAACAAATAGGCTCACTCTCAATGTTTGAATACAGCCCAAACAATAGAAGCAGAGCTCAGTGTGACATGGAATTCCATGACAACCTTCCTTCTAAGCAAATTCCATTCAATTTTCATCCCCACTTAATCACTTGCACCATCAGTTTAAACTAGATTTTATAAGAACCTGCCTGCTAATGAATACTATTATTTCTGCATAGGGTTTTATAGAGATTTTAAAATGCTTCTCATATATCATCTCAGTTGATCTTCACAGCAAATCTGTAAAGTTGGTAGGGTTTATTGGTCCTTATTTTATAGATGGCCTGAAAAGTTAGGTGCCTTGCAAAGGTCATGCCATTAACAAAGAAGGTATATAATGTTGACGTGAAGTCCTATATGCTTTCTGCAGCAACAGATCACCTCTTGTATCATGACCAAATGTGAATCTAACTCATTTTAATTCATTTTTTCTCTTCTGTCCCTTCCTCTATCTCCATGCTTCTTTTTTGAAGATCTTCCCTTAATTTTTTTTTCCTGAAGCCTACAAATTTCTCCCACTTATTTATCTCTTTATTATTTATGTAGCTCTGATCCTTCAGGCTACACACCTTTTGCAAGGATATGGATAATGTCTACTTTCCTTTGATTTTTTTGTCCTCCTCCTGTTTGTTCTATTCTGACTCTAGAGACAACAGGCTATTTGGCATAGATTTTATATGTGAATTGGTCCCTTTCCTTCTTATCTGAGGCATTTAAGCATGAGTTGACCCAAATTGACATGCTCTCTGGACTTCTATTCATTACACAGACTTCAGCTTCCACAACATCTAAAATAGTCTCTAACTGGATATCAGATTTCAGAGTGGTTTTTTTTTTTTTTTGGGACTTACTGGTCACAGTGCCACCAAACCTTTATATTCTCAGGTCCACATATCAAAAATCTGCCCTGGATTATAATATTATGCTGCTTTACCACAATATGTCTTCCACCTAATCATATGATCTCCAACAATTTTATTCCTGAATAATAATGTATGTAGACAAATATTTAGCTTGCTGCTTAATCCTGTGTCCTTTAAAAACTGTTCTTCAGATCTTATTTCTTCAGATGTTTCTTCACACATAAACCATAAGCTTTACATCACACTCCATCACAGTCTGTCTAAAACTAGGCAAAATGGGATTTCACATCAAAGTTTCACCTATATAATCCCTGAGGACCAGCTGACTTGGAAATTAATCCTAGCAACAGATAATCTTCGCAGAGATTTCTGATGAAGTGTTTTTTTCCCTGAGACATTGCTGGCAGTCCTTTTTAATTCCGGTGACCTTAGAGGAATAAGCAGATGTCCCAACCCTATCAGAAGTTCCTTTTGCCTTTTCCCCTCCTCAAGGTACAGCAGAATTTATCTCTCTGCTTTTTTTTGTTCCATCCTTTATACATTTAAAAAAAGAGAGAGATGTTACAACATTTCTTTTGCTTCTTTTTCTGCTACCTTTCTACTCTTTGAGACGACTATTATCAGACAAAGCTGGCTGCAGATCTTGGCTCCACCCCACTTTATCACCTGTGTGACCCTCAGCAAATGAACCTCTGAATCTCTGAACCTCAGACTCTGTGTGTGTAATATACAAAAGGTGATAGCTACTTCAAAAGGCTGTTGTCAGGAACAAGGCAGATAATATACCTAAAGCACGTAGCACAATGTCTGGTTCATAATAAGTGCCAAGACACCATGTTATTATTTATTATTATTATTTTTCCTCTTCTCAATTTCAGTTCTTCCCAGTGCTTACTTCCCAATTACTTCATGGCATAATCTTTTTACTCTCCATCAATTATTTTTCAAGGACTCTATTCCCTCTCAAAGTGGACTACTAGCTAACCTTCTACCAAAGCAGCCATCAATATTCAGGACGCCAATAATACTGATTAAATATTCACTGTAATGTCTAGTCCTATATTAGACATGATGACCTCAGAGATGTAAACTGACCTCAGAGAGAAGGGCTCTTAAACAGCTAGAACTCCCACGTTTCGATTCCTGGACAATCCGCAAATAAACATCCAAAGTAGATACATTTGCATTTGTCTTCCCATTGTCTTTTGATTACTCTATTTAATTTTTTAAAAATCTGAAAATAAACATTTATGAATAATGTCCATATGAACTAATGGATTAAATCTGAACCCCTCACTGGATATTCAAGGCCCTTCATAATATAGCCCTAACTTAACTTTCTTATCATTAAATACTCCCTAATGCCTGCCTTACGTTTCAGCCCTTGTCATTATTCATTATTCTGCAGTATTTGCCTTCACATTTTGGCCTCCGTATCTTTGCTTATGCTATTCCATTTGCATATGTCTTCTCTCATTCTTTTTTTATGTTAAACATTACCTATTCTTAATGTCCATTTCAAATTCTCTGTCCTCTGACATCACTGACAATCTTACTCCTTTTGCATTTCCGAAACACTCATATGCAGGTATCTATTCATTCAGGGAACAAGTACAAGGTATCATACTGATGCTTTGGATACAAAGATTAATTTTTAAAATTTAAAACAATTCCAGCCTAGCAGGAAAACTAATAATAATACCTATAAAACAGAATAACTAGTGTTAAAATAAAAGTATATGCAAAGTACAGTTGTTCAGTCTATTCAAATTCTGTTCTTGGGGGCTACAGGGTGGTTAGACTGACTGTCTTTCCAGAGAAAGTGGCACTTGAATTGGCACACAAAGAATAGATGAGATGTGCCCAGTCCAAGAATAAGAGGAAGTTAAGAGGGGCTGTGGGGGTAGGGGATGGGGGGCGGGAAGCCACTGGGGAAAAGAAGAGGCATTAGGTTGCGTAGTATGCTAGTGTAGATCAAGGTTATTCAGTGTAGTTCTTCAAGACCAAGCTTGACTACCCCTCTGGCACTGTCATCCTTCATCTGCAACCCATACCCTAGAAATCAGCTATTCCAATCTAATCTAGATCCCACACCAAGCTGCTCTAATTTCTTGCAACACCTCCCCACGTCTCTCTTTCTTTCTCTTTCTTTCTTTGCTTTTGTCTTTCTTTCTTTTCTTTCTTTCTCTTTCTCCTTCTTTCTTTTCTTTCTTGACAGAGTCTTGCTCTGTCACTCAGGCTGGAGTGCAGTGGCGTGATCTTGAGTTCACAGCAGACTTAACCTCTTGGGTTCAAGCAGTTCTCCCACCTCAGCCTCATGAGGAGCTGGCACTACAGGCATGTGCCATCACACTCAGCTAATTTTTGTATTTTTTTGTAGAGACAGCGTTTCACCATGTTGCCCAGGCTGGTCTTTTTTTTTTTTTTTCCTGGGTAAATCTGCATATTGCTTCCTCTGCAGAGCCATCCCTACTCCTTCAGTCAGGTAAATTAGGTGCCCCTTCCTTATGGCCCTTAGAACTGTGCATAGCTTTTGTCAATAGTTTTACAATGACTATAAACCTTTTTACTTAAGCTATAAAGTCTTATATATTTCCCTGCTGTCTAACATATGTTGAATGAATGAATGAGTCAATGGGCACCTGTTATGTGCCAGAAATTCTGGTAGGCCCTAGGAGGGAAAGTGCAGTAAGACATAATTCTTGCCCTTAAGGAGTTTAAAGCTCAGATGTGTCATAAGGGGTGTATCAGTGGCTGAGGATGAAGGGAGAAGAGAGAAGGAGGTATTGAGTTGTGGGAGCCATTGGCCGAGACTGGAGAGAGGAGACAAGGAGACGGATTCCCTTTGTGTGTTCCCAGCACCTACCAACATAAAGACTGAAAGCTGTTGGACTCATGCTCAAAAGAATCATAGGCAAGTTGTGTTTGTCCCATTAAGCTAACATTTAAAAATCAGAAGATTTTATCCAAAAGATGGATTTCCAACTTCTTTTGAATGATCTGGTAACATGGGACTGTAGTCTCAGAATGGAAAAACAGCTGACCTTTAAAGATAAGGTATTAACTCTCACATTTTTTATTTTAAATAAACCTATTTCAGTTAAGAAATGAATTACTTTAAAGAAAAATAAAGGTAAATAACTAGACAGGCAGTCCTTGGACATGGCCTAAAAAGTGAAGGGGCTCTTAAATGATGGTTCAAGGCCATAGAGAGCAACACATGGGCCTCCAGTTTGTCTACCACTGCCCACCCTATCCCAGTTCCAACTTCCAACATTTTAGTCAAAATGTATACATAAGTTGGACATATCTGTAAAATCGTTGTGTATTGCTTCCTTTATAAAGTGCCATCTTTGTAATTATTTTCCAAATTTAGTCTCATCTGATGTTTATATTGCAACTTCTACTTTCCTGTTATTTGTATTTTCTTAGAATGTCTTTGTTCATTCTTTTAAAGTTTTCTAAGTAATTTTAATTTAGTGCTCTCTCTATATACAGAGTATACAATGTAAATGTTCTTTGCTTTATAATCCAAGCAGATTATTTTATAATAGATAGGTTTAGCATATTTACATTTATGGATATAACAGATGAGTGCTAGTTCTATCATTTTTTTGATGATTTCTTTCTTATTTTTAGCTTATTTTTAATGATATTTCACTATATGTTCTATGCTTGTTTTGTGTTGTTACATTTTTTCTGACAATTGGAAAAGTTTGTATTTTTGTTTTATCTTTATTGTGAAATATACATACTCTTCTATTTGTTTTGTTTGTTTGTTTGTTTGTTTGTTTTTAGATGGCGTCTCTGGCAGCCAGGCTGGAACGCGGTGGGTGATCTCGGCTCACTGCAACCTTTGCCTCCTGGGTTCAAACAATTCTCCTGCCTCAGCCTCCTGAGTAGCTGGGATTACAAGCACCATCACCACGCCCAACTAATTTTTTGTATTTTTAGTAGAGATGGAGTTTCACCATGTTGGCCAGGCTGGTTTAGAACTCCTGACCTCAGGTGATCCGCCTGTGCTCAGCTTCCCACTGTGCTGGGATTATAGGCATGAGCCACTGCACCTGGCCCTATTTGTTTAGACGGTATTTAGCTACTACCTATTAAGAAATTATGACATAGTATATTTACACTTCTTTCTCCCTGTCTTGCGTCTCTGCCACCATCCTAAATGGATAGCTGAGGGAAGCAAGTTCCAGGAAATGGGAATGACAAGGGTAAAGGTATCCTGCGGTAAATTATGCTTAGTTTGTTGATGTATTTGCTTAAGAAATAGCTAAAATGCCCGTGGGGCTGGAGCTGAGTGACAGAGGGAGTGGGAGGGGATGAGGTCCAAGAGGTCATTAGAGCTGTGTTAGCCATGGTGGCTTTTATTCTGACCCAGGCTTCTGTGTGGAAACTAAATAATAGAGACACCAAGCACAGAAGCAAGGAAATCATTTGGGAGGCTATTGCAATAATCCAGAGGACAGAAATGATGGTGGCTTTGTCTAGGATGGAGTGCTAGAAAGTTGGTCAGATTCAGGATATATTTTGAAGGTAGAATGGGCCAGATTTGCTGATGGATTAAATGTAGTGTGTGAGAAAAGGATTACTGCAAGGCTTTTGACCTGAGCATTTACTGGGATGTTCTCCAGATTTCTGTAGGAGGATAGCAAAACCTATTATTAAACCCCAAATTACCAAGCCAGATAGTTAAACCTATATTTAAACTACAATAATAATTGGAATGATGTGATAAATGGAGCATATTTTTTTAATCTGTGAAAAAGAATAGAAACTTAGAAAGGATCTTAATTCAATATAAAAGTAACACTTCAAATCATCATAAAAAGGATAAGAAATCCAAAGTATTGTGCTGAAACAACTAGATAGATAGCTGGGAAAAAAATAGTGTTGGATACCTACCACTACCTGATATATCTGAAAACAAGATAAATTTCAGATTCATGTACCTCCCCAAAACTGTGAAGACAAAGAGGGACTATAAAGCTCTAGAAGAAAAGATAGGACAATATTCTTTAACTCTTCAGGTAGTAAAGACTTTTATAACACAAAATACAGAAGCCATAACTTTCGAGTTCATTTTAAAAAACAAAACAAAAAAAACTTCTGCATCACAAACACCCAAGAAATAAAGTCAAAAGATGAATAAGAAATTGGGAGGAGGAGAGGGTTATATATGCAAGTATTACAAACATATATAATGTTACTTTTCAATTTTTCTGTATTAATAAAAATTTAATTCAAAAATCTCATATAAAAATATGAAGAAGGAACATAAACCCTATGGAGAGTCAGGAACTGAGCATTAACTTTGAACATGGTGGGAGAAGCTTGGCACTGCAAACAGAAGGATAGCTTAACCATCTGACCAAGGAGATGTAGACACCTCTTACCAAATACCCTGTGATACTCACTTGGGCATGGCTGTCCCTCTGCACATTTTCTGAAAGACGATTTGAGGTTTACCCTGGGGAGAAGTTGTCATGGAGGGACACTGGACTCCAGCACCCTAGATACGGTGAAGAGCTGAATTAAAAACCAAAGGGCGAAGTTAAGATATATCTATTAAATGGTGAGCCTTATAACCCTTTTACTGACAGCTTGCTTATAACTCCTTCCCATGTCCCCTCTCCACTGTAGCCTGACAGAGTAGCCAAGCGAAAATACTAACATTTGTAATACAAATAAATAACCCTAAAGTAATACCCATCATCACTCCTAAATGTGAACCGATAGACAATCATCGACAGACCTGTGAGGTAAACCTTTAATGTGAAAAACTGAAGCAAAAAAAACAACAGCGAAAAAATTTTAAAGTTAATAGATGCATTATAAACTCCAAGACAAGTAAGTGTGATATAAGACAATAAAAAGTTGTGCGTAGCTCTGCTGTGAATACTATTTTTCTGATTATAATAATTAAAATATTAAATTTGATTTTCCCCAAACTGGGTAACTAAGAGGACAGCTGTTTTCTCTTCAGAACCTTGTAGTATTATTTGACTATGAAAATTATGTACAAGCCAGGCATTGTGGTGCACGCCTATAGCCCCAGCCACTCCAAAGGCTGAAGCTGGAGGATTGCTTGAGTCCAGGAGTTTGAGGCCAGACTGGGCAACATAGCAAGACCCCATCTCTTTAAAAGAAAAATTTAAAAACTATATACCGACAAGTCCCTGAAGGTCCTAGTCAGTCAGTGGGGAAGTTGGGCGAGGGAGACCAAGAAACTTAAATAAGAGACAAAAGAATTGATAAGGATGAATACAATTCTAGGTGGTCTATTTGTCTGTCACTTCATGATTTCCAGAGTCTTAGCTGTCACCTTACAATTACTCTTGATTTTGGGATATACATGGTACCCTAAAGATTGTTGACATGAACATCTTGGAATCATTAGAGCATAGAAAATCATACAGGTTGCTGAATACAAGCTCATGATATCAAAATCCATTATATTCGTATACAACCAATAATTACCAAAATACCAAGAAATAAATTTAATGAAAGATGTGAAGATCTTTATGGAGAAAAGTATACAATTTTAGTAAAGAATACATAAGAAGACCTAAGTAAATGAAGAACACAGTGTATACAAAAATTGTAAGAACTGTCATCATAATGATGTCAGTTTCTCCCCAAATTAATCTTTACACTTAATGTAATTAAAATTGAAATCTCTACAAGGCTTTTCATACACATTTACAGGCTGATCTTAAAATTCATATGAAAGAATAAAGAAAGGCAACATAATTTTCAAGGCAAATAAGAAAGGGACGCTTATCTTACAAGGAAGGCAAAGCTCATTATAAAGCCAGAATAATTGAAACAGCATACTGCAATATGACACAAAAATACCAGTGAAAAAGAATAGCGAGTTCGTAACAGTTCCACATAAATATGAACAGTAGCAAGACAATTGTCTAACCATATGGAAAAAGATAAGATCAGATAACTCTATCATTCCATACAAAAACACATTTCAGGTAAATTAAAGATCTAAATATAAAATGCAAACTTTAAAATGTTTAGAAAACAAACAGCGGCCAGGTGTGGTGGCTCACGCCTGTAATTCCAACACTTTACGAGGCCAAGGCAGGCAGATCACTTGAGGTCAGGAATTCAAGACCAGACTGGCCAACATGGCAAAACCTCATCTCCATTAAAAATACAAGAAATTAGCCTGGCATGGTGGCAGGCACCTGTAATCTCAGCGACTAGGGAGGCTGAGGTCGGAGAATCACTTGAACCCAGGAGGTGGAGGTTGTAGTGAGCCAAGATCATGCCATTGCACTCCAGCCTGTGAGACAGAGTAAGACTCCATCTTGGGGAAAAAAAAAAAAAGAAACATACAGCTAAACAAATTTTAATGAAGTTGACATAGGGAGAGATTTCTTAAACAACATCCGAAGAGCACAAACTCTGAAGAAAAAGACCTAATTATATAGATCACACAGATAATTGATTACATGGATATTTAAAACTTCTACTTAACAAAATACAATCCATCTAGAACCTGGAATGTATAAAGAATTTCTACAAATTCATAAAGAAAAGATTTTAAGAATGGCAAAAGATGTGAACAGGCAGTTCACAGACAAGGACCCCCAAACCCAAATGATCAATAATCAGGGAGAAGGTGCTCAACCTCTTGAGTAATCAGGAAAACGTAGTATTAAAAATAAACAAGAAAATACTGATATAATTTGGATATGCATCCCCTTTAAATCTCATGTTCAATTGTAATCCCCAGTGTTGGAGGTGGGACCTGGTGGGAGGTGACTGGATCATGGGAGTGGTCTCTCATGGTTTAGTGCTGTCCTCACAATAGTGAGTGAGTTCTCTTGAGGTCTGGTCGTTTGAAAGGGTGGAACTTTCCCCTCTCTCTCTTACTCCCGCTGTGTCGTGTGAGATGTCTGCTCCCTCTTTGCCTTCCGCCATGATTGTAAGTTTCCTGAGCCTGCCTCAGAAGCCGATGCCGGCACTATGCTTCCTGTACAGCCTGTAGAACCATGAGCCAATTAAACCTCTTTTCTCATAAATTACCCAGTCTCAAGTGTTTCTTCTCAGCAATGCAAGAACAGCCTAACACAAATACCATTTGACATACATCTGATTATCAAAAAAGTCTGATAATACTAAATGTTGAGGAGAATGAGGGAGTGTAAGTTGGTACAACAAGCTTGGAAAACCATTTGGCGAAGTTGAGTGAAATTGAAAATGCATGTACTCTATGACCCAGAAATTTCATGTCTAGAATTTAACTCAGAAAAACTTTTGCTCAATTCTAAGATCCAAAAAGCAAAAGCCGTCAGTGGTGTATTATTAGTAAAAATAAAAAACTGAAATAATCTACATGTCCATTGACATGAGCTAATGACAAACTGTCATATATTCTTATATAATATACAGCAATTAAAATTACTTAATAAGTTCTATGGAGGTCATTATGCTAAGTGAAATAAGCCAGCCACATAAAGACGAACATTGCATGTTTTCACTTATTTGTGGTATCTAAACATCAAAACAATTGAACACATGGAGATAGAGAGTAGAAGAGGGGTTACCAGAGGCTAGGAAGGGAAGTGGGAGAGGGAAATGGGGATGGTTAATGGGTAAAAAAAAAAAAAAAGTTAGAAACAATGAATAAGACCTAGTATTTGACAGCACAACAGGGTGACTGTAGCCAATAATAATTTAAGTGTACATTTAAAAATAACTAAAATAATGTATTGGATTGTTGGTAACACAAAGAATAAATGCTTCAGGGGATGGGTACTCCATTTTACATGATGTGATGATTATACATTGCATGCCTGTATTAAAAAAAACTCATATACCCCATAAATATATACAACTACTATGTACCCACAGAAATTAAAATTAAAAATCAAATAGTAAAGAATAAAAATAAAAAAATCTAAAATTACTTAAGAAGTTCTATATGCATAAAAATCAATAAAACTAAAAGATATTTTTGTTGAGCAAAGAAAGGAGATTATAATTTGATAAAATGTGATACCATTAATGTGCTATTTTAAGACACAAAGCAATATTATATATAGCTAATAATATAATATGTACAGCTATATGTTTGTGAATGTGTAATAAATTTATAATAGCATACACAAGAAGGATCACACAAAACTTCAGTATAGGAACTACCTCTTCAGAAAGAAGTAGGAGATGAAATGTCTTTAATTTTATCTGAAACATTAAATATTGTAAATATATACATTCATTGAATCTAGGGTGTGGGCATGGGAGTGGGGATTTTTAACATAATTTTGGCATTTTCCAAATGCTTAAAATAGATCACAATTTAAAGAGAGAAAGAGAAGCAGACAAACTTAATCTAGGACCAAAGCCTTAGTCATCACTGAGAAGGAATGATTTTAAGTAACACATAATATTTCTACTCAGATTCTTCATTGAGCCAAGTCTCCACCATCACATGGGCTCATGCCCAGAGTTTTCTGGGAAGGACAGGAGGCTAAGAGAGGGAGAAGGAGGGAAATGCTGTAACTATGAACTGCAAGTATGCTATTCTTAAAATTCTAGAAGACATAGTGGTGCAAGGCATGGTGGGGCAAATTTTTTTCTTGCATTTCTTTTTTGATTCCTGGTACACACTAAGGCTGTGAAAACACAGAAGAGCAGTACAATTCAACGCCAAGGAGGAGACAGGCATCCTTTCTGTATACTGGAGCTATGCTGACAGGAGGCTAATTTCAACAGTGTGAAAAGTTAGCTTTCTTTTAGGTCCTCTGCTGCAAGTTAACACTAGCTGGCATTGCTGTTGAGAGCCATTAGCCACTCATTAGCTGCGTTGAGAGTCCATTTTTTATAGCCATTATATTGCAAGTGAAATTCAGAGACATTAAATAATTTGCCCAAGTTCACATTGCTGTTAAGTAGAGAGGTCAGGATTCAAATCTAAGTTTCTCTGACTCTAAAAATCCAAGCTCTTAGGCAGGACGCAGTGGCTCACGTCCGTAATCTCAGCACTTCGGGAGGCTGAAGCGGGCGGATCACCCGAGGTCAGGAGTTTGAGACCAGCATGGCCAACATGGTGAAACCCTGTCCCTATTAAAAATACAAAAATTAGCTGGGCATGGTGGCGGGTACCTGTAATCCCAGTTTCTTGGGAGGCTGAGGTGGGAGAATTGCTTCGACCCAGGAGGCAGAGGTTGCAGTGAGCCAAGATAGCACCATTGCACTCCAGCCTGGGTGACAGAGTGGAAATTCCATCTCAAAAAATATAAATAGATAAATAAATAAATAAATAAATAAATAAATGAAAAGCTGGAGATACCTCAGTAGAAAGAATTTAAAGAAGAGGGAAAAAAGGGAATCAGAAGAGAAAAGATGGATGGGAAGTATATTCGTTACTTATTATTGCAAAGCAGTATTCCCAGAAATTTAGTGGCTTAAAATAACACATTTATTAGCTCATACTTTCTTTTTCTTTTTTTTTTTCAACTTTTATTTTAGGATCAGGGGCACATGTCCAAGTTTGTTACGTGAATATATGGTGTGATGCTGAGGTTTGGGGTACAAACAGCCCCATCACCCAGGTACTGAGCACACTACCCAATAGTTTTTCAGCACTTCCCTGTTTCCCTGCCTCCTCCCTCTGGTAGTCCCCAGTGTCTGTTGTTGCCATCTTTATGGTAAACATGCCTTCCATGTGTACCCAATGTTTAGCTCCCACTTATACGTGAGAACATGCAGTATTTTGTTTCCTGTTCCTGCATTAACTTGCTTAGGATAATGGCCTTCAGCTGCATCCACGTTGCTGTGAAGTTCATTGTTTCTTTCTTTTTTTATAGATATGTAGTATTCCATGGTGTGTATACACCACATTTTCCTTATCCAATCCATCCTTGATGGGCACCTGGATTGATTCCACGTTTTTGCTGTTGTATGACACAACTTCTGTAGGTCAGGAATCCAGGCATGGCTTAGTGTCAGGGTCTCACAAGGCTGAAATCAAAGGTGTTGGTCAGGTTGGTTTGACTGCGAAAGATCTGTTCCAAACTCAGATGGTTGGTAGCAGAAGTCAGTTTCTCATGGCCTATTGGACTGAGAGCCTCTTTTTCTTGCCGTCAATGGAGGCCGTCTTCATTTCCTGCCTGGTTGTTGGCCAAAGGCCACCCTCAGTTCCTTGCCACATGGGCCTCCTGAACATGACCCTTTGCTTCATCAATGCCAGCAAGATGGGCATTGTGGGGGGCTTGTTGGGGGCAGAAATGGGGATGGTTAATGAGTACAAAAAAATAGAAAGAATGAATAAGATCCAATATTCAACAGCTCAACAGGGTGACTATACTCAATAATAATTTAATTGTACATTTTAAAATAACTAAAAGGGTATATATAATTGGGTTGTTTGTAAGATAAAAGATAAATGCTTGGGCAGATAGATACCCAATTCTCCATGATGCGATTATTACTCATTGCATGCCTATACCAAAATATCTCATGTACCCCATAAATATATACAACTACTATGTATCCACAAAAACCTTTTCTAAAAGATGGGCATTGTACCTTAATAATGTAATTGCAGAAGTAAAATGCTATATGCTATCACCTTTGTAGTATTCTGTTGGTTAGAAACAAGTCACAGATCCCACCCACAATAAAAGGGAAGGGATTACACAAGGGCATGATACCAGAAGATGGGAATCTTCAGGGGCCATCTTAAAGTCTGTCCACAACAGGGAGCAGAGAAGGTTAGGCCTCCATACTCTAGCTTGCCTCTCTGTAAGCCTAAAAGAAATCCCCAAAACCAACATCTTCTCAAATTTTGTTCCCATTTTGTCACCTGCCAGATGCATAATCATCCTTCAAAATGCAGATCAACTATTCATTTAACCATTAAATTGTTTTCAAATTTTTGTCTCTTATCTACACATTCCATTATTCCCTCCTCTGTTGTACCGTGGTGTTCTGTTCAAACTTCTAATAGAGATAGGACTTAACACTTGGTATTATCATTTGTTTATATGCCCCTTTTGTACTATCAGCTTTTGAGGGCATAGACTGTCTTATTTATTGAAATACTCACAGAATGTATGCAAACGCCTGACATATATTATGGATTGTTCATAGGTGTTCACTGATGAACTGCTATATTAAATATCTCAAGATAAGGGATAATAAGTCCCAGAAAAATGACATAGATAGTAAGTACTATAAGCAATCAGAGGAGTGAGAAATTACATTTATTTCATATGACTCTAGAGATAGCAATTGGACTGATAGGTAAATGTTACAAGGAAAGCAAGTTTAGGCTCACTATAAGGAGGAGTATGAATAATCAAACTACCCCAGGAGCTGATCTGTTTCCCCAAACTCACTAGTTTCTTATTATTACAGGCCAGTGGTCTGTGATTCCTGTATTTGTTAAAGTATGGGACCAAGGACCCCTAATATCTTCTCCTAACTTCTAATCTATGATTTCATGAAGTTACTAAGTGTTTGCTTCCATTAGGCATTTCATCTGTATTTTATTCTTGAGTTTGATATTTAAGAGGAATTCTTCTTGGAGGACATGATGAAGAAATTGGAAATAGAGTGAGCTCAGAGCTTTTCTCAACAAACCAAACCTTAGGCTGCATTCAGGTGATGGATTTACCCTGCATCATGCATCCTGTCTATTGGGATGAAGAAGAGGTACAGGAATAAGAATTCTGGTTCATAAATGGGGTAACTGTGTGCTTAGGTTTGCAGTAACCATTTGGTGCAGAGAAGGAAAGAAGCAAGGAAGTGGAAGGCAAGACACCAAATGTTTTGGCCTGTGTCACGTGGAAGAAGACCAAAAGAGAGAAAAAGAGTCTTTTCAGTGGAAAGAAAATGGAAATAATTTGATTCTAGGTAGTAAGAACCCATTAAATGTCTTTCGGTGGAAAAAGCCTGAGAGATAATGACAGTAAAGACAGCAATGAGCCTTTTTCAACAAACCCTACCGGCTTCTTTTCTTGTATGACCTCTCTAAGCTGCCTGTCTCCCCATGAGCTTTTCTCTTTGCCCACCAAAGAATCCAAACCCCTCTTCCTCTCTGTTTCCCCTCCAAAGCTATTTTCCTCTTCTTCTTCAGCCACCCAAACTTTTTCTTGACTGATCACCTAAATTGTGTTCATTTTCTCAGGGTATTTATTCCAAGTTTGATCTCTGTTGCTGGATTCTCAAGACTGGGGCACCAAAGACACCACTGACCTCATCTGCCCCAAGTGTCTCAAGGTTTTGAGAGCAGCCCAGGGAAGAACAGAAAAGATGTCTTATTTCAAGATTTCTCTGCACGCTGTTCTTAGTGCTTTCCACCCGTGTGAAAGTGGATGTTTGATGGAGTTGGTAGTTTTGTATTCTGTAGTATTTGTAGTGTATCTCTACAATGTCACCTCCCACAGTTCATTTTATTGCTCACTGTTTTAAAATATGCTTTGCACATAGCACAGGCTCCTGTACCATGGGATTAAATGAATTGAATGTGCTTTCATAGCAGGCTGCTTCGGTGAACCCAGCAGACACTACAAAGCATTAATGAATCAATCTTTTGTTTCTACAAGAAAATAATTAGGTTCCAGGTAAGTTAAAATCAGTGCCAATGTCTATGAAAGGAATATTGGGACTATCTTTAAAAATTAAAAAGTCACTTAACATTTGGCCCAAAAGCTTTATTTCTAGGAATCTGTCCTATAGATTTATTCACGCATGAGTAAATGAGATAGGTTTAAGATTACTACATGGCATGGAAAAAATTTGTAATAGCAAACCAAAAGAAACAACCTGAGGTTTAAAGAATAGGGTTCAAATTAACTATATCACAGCACATGGTCACAATGAATTAAAAGGCAGCCCTTAAGAGAAATGAGGCAGATATTTTCATATTGATATGAAACTCTATACAATATATGTTAAGAAAAGTAAGGTGCAGAACAGTATGTATATGCTCCATTCATAGCTACCATTTCACAATATTTGCATGAAAATATATATTCAGGTGTATATTTGTGCATATATACATATATAAGTAATTACAATACCATAAAATTTCAAGAAAAATCAATGCAAAGCTTTATCCATAGCTACCATTATCTAAATATTTGTTACACTGAGTGCAATGTCAATAGTTTCTGAAATCCAAGCCTAAACTTGAAGATGGCTGGAAACAATCCAGTCTCTGTTAGCTAAGCATGCAATGAAATAGCTAGCCTGCACCTGTGGGAACAAAAACAGTAGGGTTTTGCCTCACTTACATCAGTAGACCAAGAGGACATTAACTTTCTTCTCTAAGCAGGTCCCTCTAAATCAATTAAATTCAGTACTTAGAGTCTTAACAGGCCAGGAGCAGCCCTTCAGATTTCCTCATGTTTATTCCTCTTTTTTTTTAAATTCTGAATCAAAATGCTTCTTTTTCAGGCCCTACTCAAGCTTTCCCCCACAAAACATCTCAACTGTGAGAGCCCTCAGTAATGGCACCCTTTCCTGGCCCTATAGAGGTTTTGGTCCAGGTCTTTTCTGGGTACTTGACATATTACTTATATTATCTTCATGTACGTGTTCTGAATTCCTAATTAGACCATGAACACCTGCAGAGCAATGTCACTCATTGGAGATAGACAGATGTGGATTCAAATCTACTAGCTGGAAACCACATGTTACTATGTAACCTTGCACTGAAGCTCTCTAAGCCTCATCTATAAAATAAAAATGATAAAACCTACTTTAGGGTTTTGATGTGATGATTGAATCAAGCAACACTGCCTGCCCCAGAATCTGATACATGTATCAGATGTGAGTCATGTTGCCCCCCTAGGCTCTAACAAAGTAATTTGTAGAAAGGAAGTCATTGGTGCATATTTATTCATTATAACATGGATTTTTTTTAAAGAAAAGAAAGCAAACATAAACATAATTTTCAAATATAAACAGTGCAGTAGTCAAATATTGTGCAGGGCAGAATTTTATATTAATATCCCCTCCATCCATTCTATATGACAAAATTATTTTCAGTAACACCGTAAAAAGAAATGACTAATAATGGCCAGAAAAGAAATGCAGATGGAGAAATTTTCTTTTATCTAACTTCAAATACATAATCATTTTGGTAAAAGTAAGAATAAAAAAATTAAACATTTCAGTAAAATAAAGGAAAATAAAACATTGATCTTTTTTAACCACATTAACAGTTTTGATACAAAGGAAAATACCTATATATTGGTCTATAGCAGTAATGAATAACATTACATTTTCTCTTTTTAAGTGTTAACTTAGACAAATTTATCAATGACCTCATCAAATTTGACCTTCACATCTTCACATTCAATGAATAGTCTAGCAGGATTTACCTACCAATCTATATTGAGAGAAAACAATATGTTATAATAATTTTAATTTGGAAGTTTCTTTCACATGAGGCAACAGACTTACATTTAAACATGAAGATAATTTTGGCAGAGTCATAAATATTGGATTTAACAAGAAATTTTGGAATTTGTAATATCCTTATATCTTTGTCTTTAGGAATAATTCTAAGGGCTTTCAAAGGTCTCCCAAAAAATTTCTATTAAAATGCTATCTTCACCAGAAATATTTGTCAGAAATTTCTTTTCTATAATTTAGTAAAAGCTTCCCGGTTTTCATCTTATACAAGAATCTGAGAAAAATGATTGAATAATAGTAAACATTGGCTTTTTGGTTTTTTTAATCCATTGCTTTAAAATGGGTATCCAGTGCTTGGTATTCAAACACTGACTTTTGATTTCTTCTAGCAATGAAATACCAATTTTTTCATTGTTTGTCTTGGCATTCTTTGAACTTGTATCCTTTGTTAAATGTAAATATCCAAGTTTCTTACATTTTGTTGTTGTAGAGCCTTCTCTACAATATCTATACACAGATCTTCAAGGAATAATTTTAAAGTTTTGTGTTTCATTGTATATTATTCAAGTCTGATTGTGGCTATTTGCAAACACTTTTATATCTGATTAACCTCATCTAAAAATTTTGTGCCATAAAAAAATTCAAAAAATATTGCTTACATCTATGATTGTTTGTCTTGAATCCACTGTTTAAATGCAGGAATGCGTAAGTGATGGAGTTGGTTGCCCAGAAACTTCAAACAATTATCATCTGTTATGAGCTTACTTTCAAAACAAATGCATATAGTTTAATTCCATGGGTCAGAGGCTAACAGTATAACTGGAAATTCTCCAAATTAACTTCCATGTAGTAGTATGCAAAGCTATTAAAGGATTAGTAATGTAAATTTACTAATTAGAAGCTTATGTAAGTGTATTAAAACTCAATAGGTGATGAAAATATTCTAAATTTAGATTATGATGATGGCTACACAACTCTGTGAATATACTACAAATCATTTTATTGTACACTTTATATAGGTCACTTTTATGGTATGTGAATTAAGGTAAAAAACCTTAAGAGGAACTGCAGTGATTATTTAGAACTTAAATCAGTAATATATTTTGGGGGATAGGAGTATGTCATCACTGGCATTCTGTAGAATTACTGAAAGATTTATATTATTCTTAAATTCCCTACAATAAGCCCACTATGGTCTGCACCAGGGCAAACAGCACCTATATCCTTACAACCTTGGCACACTGCTGGATCAATTAGTGTATTCATAATTCTATGTAATGTAATTATTATTAAATTCTACTCCATTAGGCTTAAACTCAGAGCAAGGATCCAAACATATGCCATATCTATTATGACTGCCCAAATGCTAAACCACAGTAATCCAGGGGATTGTGGAATCCAGCACTAAATGACGTATTCAGGAATGACCTGGCAGTATCCCTGCTTCCAATACTGAATTTTCTGTCTTGCAGTTTCTTATCTGTTTCTGTCTTTCTCCCCCTCACTCTTTCTCTCCTTCTTCCTTTCCTCTCTCCAGCGTTCTATGTTAGAAATATCTGAAAATTATTCTGAGAGGCTTAATGTTCTTAAACCTGCCAGTTGCCTGAGACTTTTTAACACCAGCTGAATACGGTGATCTTTCTTTGCTAAGGTGCAAAGGCTACAGCAGCTGTGTAGTTAAAACACCTACATTTATACTAATTCCACCTCCTTTTCCTACACAGGCAGGAGAAATTTTAATCCAGATACCAAAAGTTTGCTTTGTTTTGAGGTGGGCGGGATGTTAATGTTAAGATGTGACTTAGTTGTTTCCCATTCCCTGCCAAGGTGGTGGGCTGGGGAGAGTTCAGAAATTAACAACAGAGCAATCACTTATGTAAGCACATCCTTTATGGGATGTTTCTGTCAAAACCCAGAAATTGTGGCTCTCCTTTCCATTTCTAATCAATTGCCCTCTCCCCACTCCCTATTCCAAACAGCACAGTCTCCTGTAGCAAGCAAAAGGGCCTCGCCCAAAGTCTTAAGCCTTTTCTCCCGGTCAAATATGCTTTCTGTCCACTTTTTCCCAGGAAGCTGTATTCTTTTTTTTTTTTTTTTTTTTTGAGATGGAGTCTCACACTGTCGCCCGGGCAGGAGTGCAGTGGCGCGATCTCGGCTCACTGCAACCTCCGTCTCCTCCTCCTGGGTTCAAGTGATTCTCCTGCCTCAGCCTCCTGAGTAGCTGGACTACAGGCGCATGCCACAATGCCTAGCTAATTTTTTGTATTTTTAGTAGAGATGGGGTTTCACTGTATTGGCCAGGCTGGTCTTGAACTCCTGACCTCGTGATCCACCTGCCTTGGCCTCCCAAAGTGCTGGGATTACAGGCGTGAGCCACCAAGCTTGGCCGGAAGCTGTATTCTTTTTACTTTCAAGTTTCACAAAGTGTGCTGACACTCTAATTTTCTTTTCTTTTCTTTTAATTTTAAGTTCCTAGATACATGTGCAAGACATGCAGGTTTGTTACATAGGTAAATGTGTGCCATGGTAGTTTACTGCACCTATCGACCCTCTCATTTTCAATCTCTTCTCACTTTTTCCATTTTCTGATCTCCTGACAGAGTATGTCCCTTTTCCCTAGGACACCAATGGATGGAGCCCTTGGACAAATAAAAGCCCAAGAGACAGACACACAACATGGACAGGCTCACTGAGTTGAGGGTCACTCATCTGTTCTCCCTACAATAAAGGAATAAGCAACATTTCTTGGCCTGACTTTCCAGGGCTTACCAGGGTAGACAGTGAATGCCAAATCCCACCCTCTGAGAGATCAACTATCCTCAAAATAGGATTTGGGTATGTGTGTGTGTGTGTGTGTGTGTGTGTGTGTGTGTGTGCGTGTAGCATATATATTTTGAAAAAGCATATAATAGTGCAGTGGAAGGCAGTACAGTGCCCTGGCTAATAGCATGGCCATTAGTGTGGTCACTGACAGGCTATGGGATCTCATAAGATTATTTTTTCTCTTTAAACTTCAGTTTCTGTATATGTAAAATGAGGCTAATAAAATATCTCCTTCATTGGAAGGTGGACTTTTTTCTGGTATTTCAATGTTTATGAATTGTCTTACTTCATTTTCTGTTGCTTTTAACAGAAAACCTCAAATGAAGTAATTTATAAAGACAAGGAATTTATTTCTTACAATTATGGAGCCTGGGAAGTCCCAGGTTGAGGGGCCACATCTGGTGAGAGCCTTCTTGCTGGTGGGGACACTCTGAAAACTCCCAAGAGAGTGTAGTATATCACATGGTGAGAAGGCTGAGACTGCTAAGATGCTCATGCCCTCTTCTTATAAAGCCACCAGTCTCACTCCCATGATAACCCATTAATCCATGAATGAATCAATCCATTCATGAAGGAAAAGCCCTCATGATCCAATCATCTCTTAAAGCCCAGCTTCTCAATACTGCCCCACTGGGGATCAAATTTCAACATGGGTTTTGGAGAGGACAAATATTCAAATCATAGCAATGAAATTGGAATTATCTTACAATCTGAGCTGTTTTACATTATTTGTATACTAGTGTGATGGCTAATATTAAGTGTCAACTTGACTCTATTGAAGGATGCAAAGTATTGCTTCTGGGTGTGTCTGTGAGGGTGTTGCCAGAGGAGATTAACATTTGAGTCAATGGACTGGGAGAGGAAGATCCACCCTCAATGTGGGTGGGCGCCGTCCAATCTGCTGCCAGTGTGACTAGAAAAAGCAGGTGGAAGAAGGTGGAATACGCTGTCTTGCTGAGTCTTCCGGCTTTCATCTTTCTCCCATGCTGGATGCTTTCTGCCTTTGAACATCAGACTCCAGGTTCTTCAGCCTTTGAACTCTTGTACTTACACCACTGGTTTGCCAGGGGCTCTCTGGTCTTCAGCCACAGATTGAAGGCTGCGCTGTTGGCTTCCCTACTTTTGAGGCTTTGGAACTCAAACTGAGCCACTCTTGGCTTCCTCGCGCCTCAGCTTGCAGATGGCTTATCATGGAACTTCACCTTGTGATCGTGTGAGTCAATTCTCCTTAATAAACTCCCTTTTATATATACATATATCCTGTTAGTTCTGTCCTTCTGGAGAACTCTAATACTACTAGTAACTACCTGCTAGGGTTTTTGTGAGGCTTCAAGGTGATAGTGACTGTAAAATGCACTTCACTGCTAGGGATTCTCCAGTGACAGATGTTTTCTCTTCAAGAAAGTAGGGGAAATATATTAGAATCTGTGAGAACATGAGATTTTATTTATATTAGTAGGCCATTGGTTTGTGTATGTGTGTGTATTTCTTTTGCCCACAAATTTTCAACTTGGGCAGAGGTCAGCTGTCTCAGCTGACCTCTACCCCAAGAGGTAACAGCCTGGGCAGCTTGAATAGGACTGGAGGATCTGCTTCCAAGAAAGCTTACCCATGTGTTGGGTGTGGTGTTTTCTACATGTTTAAATTTTAATATTTATTTTATTGAGGTATAGTTTATATATAAGTCCAACTTAAAATGTGCATTTCAATGATTTTTTAGTAAATTTATCCAGTACAACCATTACCACCATCCATCCAGTTTTGAAACATCTACACCACCCCAAAAAGTTATTTTGTGCGTTTTTGTAGTTAATCCCCACTTTTATTCCCAAGCCTAGGCAAACACTGATCTGCTTTATTTGGGTCTTTATAAATTTGCCTTTGCTGGGCATTTCATATAAATGAAATCATACAATATGTAGGTCTTTTGCATCTGGCTTTTTTTTTCACTTGGTGTAATGTTTTTGATGTTCATCCATGTTTTAACATGCGTCAGTAATTTGTCCTTTTTATTGCTTAATAATATCCCATTGTGTAGATATACCACATTCGATTTATCTATTCACCAGTTAATTGACATTTGGGTTATGTTCAGTTTTTATCTATTGATGAAATAATCAGCTATGAATATTCATGTGCATAGTATTTGTGTAGAAATATGTTTTATTTCTCATTGATAGGTTCCTAAGTGTGAAATTGTTGAGTCATATGGTTACATTTTGGTTTAGCTTTTGTATATATGTGTTTTGTTTGTTTTTGAGATAAGGTACTTGATATGTTGCTCAGGCTGGTCTCAAATTCCTGGCCTCAAGCAATCCTTCTGCCTCAGCCTCCCAATTAGCTGGGATTACAGGTGCATGACACCACACCCAGCTTATGTTTAACTTTTAAAGAAGTTGCCAAAGTGTTTTTCCAAAGTTGTTGTACTTACATTTTGTATTCCCACCAGCAGTGGATAAGGGTTCCAGTTTTTCCACATCCTCTCCAACATTTGTCTGTCTTTTTAATGACATTTTTTTTTTAATTGTAGCAAAACAGCACATAACAAAATGTACCACCTTGACCATTTCTAAGTGTACAGCTCAGTCGTGGTAAGTATAGTCACATTGTTATGCAACCAGTATCCAGAACTTTTTCATCTTGCAAAACTGAAACTCTATACCGATTAAACAACTCCCCATGCCCTGCCGTGACCCTTAGACCCTGGAAACCACCATTGTACTTCCTGTTTCTGTGAATTTGACTACTCCAGAAACCTCATATAAGTGGAATAATACAGACTAAGTCATTCTGTGGCCAGTTTATTTCATTTAGCATAATGTCCTCAAAATTCATCCATGGTGCATCCTATGTCAGAATTTCCTTCCTGTTTAAGGCTAAAGACACAGATTTTTAAAGGATAAGGAATGCTGTATTTATCATCCTTGGGGTTTAGTAAAGTCTCTCACTCCTGGCTGCAGGGGAATGGGAAAGTAATGGGAAAGGAAGGAGAAGGATTTGGGAGAAAGTTTCCAAAAAGTAGAAAGGCATACAGGAAGGAATTAGGAACACATATTGTATCCCTAGGGTGAGCCCAACCACCGAACTTCCTGTGTCAGTAAAGTGTAAATATCTTTCTGCCTTTTCACAAGATTATATTATACAGTATATATAAAGGTCTTCCTAAGCCAGCTGGCTTTGGAGTCCCCATCACTCTTAATTGATTATAAAGTTGGCTTTGCATTTAGTGCCTGTAATTAGATTCTGTGAGGCATTGCAGAAAAGTACAACCAACCATGATTCAGAGCACTTGGAAATAGGTTTGTTAAAGAGCTGTGTCATGTAGACTTGTTTAACAATGTTTATAGCATTAACATGTTTATTACTGTTTAATCTCAGGAGTAAAATTACAAACATCAATCTCAGTAAATGACAATATATTGTTCTAGATTACTTAAAAAGTTAAGAGAGTGAGGTGCTCATTTATTGCTTTAAAGTATAGTCTTGCAGGGAGCGGTGGCTCATGCCTGTAATCCCAGCACTTTGGGAGGCCGAGGCAGGCAGATCACGAGGTCAGGAGATCAAGACCATCCTGGCTAACACAGTGAAACCTCGTCTCTACTAAAAATACAAAAAATTAGCCAGGTATTGTGGCATGCGCCTGTAGTTCCAGCTACTTGGGAGGCTGAGGCAAGAGAATCACTTGAACCCGGTAGGCAAGGTGGCAGTCAGCCGAGACCGCACCACTCACTCCAGCCTGGGCTACAGAGCGATACTCCATCTCAAAAAAAAAAAAAAAAAAGAATAATGTTTACTTTTAGATGGCATATCAGCTGCAAAATGTGCAATTGTTATAATATAGAACTAAATTGATTAGAGCAATACAGTCAAAAGACTCCATCCAGAATATTTATATCATAGCCTAAAATGACAATTCATATCAAAGAAGAAAGGAACTAAATTTCTAAACATGCTTGTGAAGGGTCACAAGATAGGAGAAAGCTGGTTTTTTTTTTTTTTTTTTTTTTTTTTTAACTGTTGTTTGTTTGTTTGTTTTGTTTTGTTTTGTTTGAGATGAAGTCTCGCTCTGTCATCCAGGCTGGAGTGCAATGGCATGCACTCACTCTTGGCTCACTGTAACCTCTGTCTCCCAGGTTCAAGAAATTCTCCCACCCCAGCCTCTGGAGTAGCTGGATCTACAGGCACACACCACCATGCCCAGCTCATATTTTGTATTTTTAATAAAGACAGGGTTTCACCATATTGGCCATATTGAACTCCTGGCCTCAAGTGATCTGCCCACCTCAGCCTCCCAAAGTGCTGGGATTACAGGCGTGTGCCACCTTGTCTGGCTGGAGAAAACTGTTAAATGGAATTGTAAAAAAGAAAAAAATATATATCTGAGAAGAAGGAACCCTGAAAAAGAGTAAAACACATCTATTATGGGAATAAAATTCTCTCTACATGTAACTTTCTGCTCTAGGATTACCACTGCCTTAATCTTTTTTATATCAAAACTTTGAAATGAGTTTATTAGGGATATTCTTCCATGAAACATTTTTCATTTTAGATAATAAATCATGGGATAAAAATGCTATTTTTTCATCATTTTTAAAAATTTTATATAAATTAAATAATAGACCTTCCTTTCTTCCTTCCTTCCTCCCTCCCTCCCTCTCTTTCTTTCTTTCTTTCTTTCTTTTTTCTTTCTTTTACTTTCTTTTTTTTTTTTTTTTGACAGAGTCTTGCTCTGTCACCCAGGTTAGAGTGCAGTGGCATGATTTAGGCTCACTGCAACCTCTACCTCCTGGGTTCAAGCATTTCTCATGCCTCAGCCTCCCGAGTAGCTGGGATTACAGGCATGCACCACCACACTTGGCTAATATATATACATATATGTGTGTGTGTGTAGAGATAGGGTTTCACCATGTTGCCCAGGCTGGTCTTGATCTCCTGGCTTCAAGGGATCTGCCCTCCTCGGCCCCCCAAAGTGCTGGGATTACAGGCCAGACTTTCCATATAATTTATCAAAACATGTTTTTTTTCTTTGTGTTAACAAAGGCCATGAGCGAAATCAGTGATTTCCAAACTTTTTTTTCAAGTGTTGGAAGCCATTCTTTTAATAAATTCTAATGTGGAATTCAAGAACAATAATAGCTCCCATTTTTCTGAACAAGCTCCATGTTCCCCATATTGTGCTAAGTGCATTACACATTACCTTCTGTTTCCGTTGATCATACATGGTAGGTCTATTAAACTAATTTTTATATGAGGAAGCTCACCCAAGTCCATTCAGATACTTTAGAAAAACAGACACATACTGAACTGCTCCAGTTACAGCTGGGGATGAGAGGGAACGGGCCACATCCACATTTCTGCCCTCACCACAACCTTGTCCCAGCTCCCACAACCCGGTCCTAACTTCCGGGGTCTTTGTTGAAATCCCCCTCTGCCTCAGAGTGGCCCATCAAGAGCCTGTCCACTGGGTGCTTTGCTGAAGAATGGGGGGATGCAGCTGCCCTGTTTAAGAAGGGGTCTAACTTCCCAGGGCCCCTCAGAACGTTATGAAAATAAATTATGACTAAATAGAACCACAGAGGGATTTTTTTTTCTCGTACTTCATTAATCAAAGAAAGAAAAAATGTTTAAACACTCTTCTGCTTGCTCTTTGGTGCTCACAATTGGTTTTATTGTTAATGAAGAAAAATGGGCTACAAAATGGACAGGATCAGTCTTGAAAGAAATGCAGGTCTTAGAAGGATACACATAACAGAAACTGCCTTGAAGGAAGCACAGGTCACTCCTGAGAAGTTCATGGTTGGCTCCACCACTGTTGAGGCTGTCTGCTCTTTGCCCTTCCCAAGTGGTGGTTCTAATCTAATTTCAAACAGAGACTCATTCAACACTGGGTTTGAACCCTGTGGAGATTTGTGGGGGACAAGGAAGTTCATATATCAACCACAGGTACCACCCTGGGAATGGTCCCCCTGAAATCTTACGGCCTGTAGCAGGACAGAATTGGGGATGTGGGGGTCACATAATGCCAAAACCTGTGAGACAACAATCCAGACAGCTGTTCAAAATAAGACACATGAAGAATGCTTGTCCTACATGTGTGCCAAACACCGGTTCTGAGCCATTCATTCCCAGCTCTCCTGATTGGGCTCTACCTCCTGATGATTCTGGTGTTACAGTTGGTGGGACTACCCAATCACAAAAGGAATAGGCCCTGTTGTATATGAAGACCTCAGTGGCCTATAAGCTCAGAACTGCCCCCAGGACAAAAGAGAGTTCTCACCAGCCCAAATAAAGCACCCAAAGGTCAAAAAAGGTGGGGACATTGGATGGGGTGGCCCTCCCCAGAAACCACTCCTGGACAGCAAAGCCTCAACAACACAAGGAGAAAACAAAAAAGAGCGCTTCCTGTATTTGCAAAGACAAACACTTCTTCATTGAGTGAAGGAGAGGCAAAATTGGCAATTGGCCGGCAGTCCCCAGCAGTACCTGAGAAATGAGGTCACTTTTGTTCCAGAGAGGGCAGCCTTGTCTTGGCATCTCCTGCAGCGGAGCCAGGCTGCACTGGCCTCACTCCGCCAGGGCCAAGCTCATGGACCATAGCCCCGGGACTTCTGGTAGATGTCCTGCTCCACTATGTCACCTCCACCAGGAATGCCTGAATCTTTTCACCAAACCCTTCTTTTCACTCTACTCTCTTTGAAATTTCTGACTGAATCCGTGTGTCAACTCCTTCCTTCAACGTCTTCATAAATTGCCCGATTGCCGACTGTTGCTTTGACTCTGCCTCCAGATCTGCCTTGGTCAGCAGCACACCCAGGGAGCTCTTCATCCGCCTCTTCCACTTGGCCAGTGATCCTCTCCAAAGACTTCTCCAAATCTGCCCCTCTTTCTCTGGACCATCTTTCTCTGGACCATCTCCCCCCACCCCCGCCTCCACACCCCATCGTGACCCGGGAACCACTCTGTATTCCGTGCGCTGACAACTCCTGCTGCCTGCTCCGTATCCTGCAGAGACTTCTTAAATCTGAGCTTCTGACGGCTGCAAGATCCCTGTGGCCTCTTCCGTAAGCTGGGCCGGGTGTGGGAGAACTGGGTTGCTGCAGCCCTGCTGCGGGGTGACAGGAGGCCCAGGCTTCGCATTGCTGTGGGTGACGGTCATATGGATCCCGGCTCCTGCGGCGTCCTCGCTCCTTCCCTGGCCTCCCGGAGCGGGGCAGGTGACGAGTCAGCCCTGGCGAACCGAGGCTGGGAGGGGTCGAACAGGCCTGGGCGGGGGCTCCCGGGACGCGGTCCTGGCCTGGCCGTTGGATAAGCTGCTTGGGCCTGCGCTCCCTGTGCCTCCAGCCAATCGGGGTTTCTAAAAAGTGACTCACGCTGTCCTGAGGCACAGCCAGGGTGGAGAATTTCTACTTTACAGATGCTGGGGCTGGGAGATTTTGAGATCTTCTTTCCTTTCTTATTTGGTCGGATGGAATGACGGAAACAGCATCCCTGAGATGGAAGCTACATACAGACAGATAGGGCTGTCCTCAAAAAGAATCCCCAAGAAAGAAAGTGACGGTGATGAGGCCTGAGGGTTCAAATCCCAATGAGGACAGAATTGACTTTAACAAAAGTTTTATTGAGATATAATTACATACCTTAAAGCTTAGTAAGTGTACAATTCAATGGTTTTAAGTGTGTTTAAGGAATTCTGCAATCGTCACCATAATCTAATTTTTGAACAATTTTATCATCCCCCAAAGAAACCCCGTACCCATGAGCAGTCATTCATTCTCCCCCAAACCTCCCTGCTCCCAGCCCTTAGCAAATACAAATTTACTTTTCATCTCTATAGGTTTGCCTGTTCTGGACGTTTTATATAAGTGAGGTTATACAATATGTAATCTTTTTTGACTGGCTGCTTTCACTTAGCATAATGGTTTGGGCTTTGTTTTTTTGGGTTTTTGGAGTTGGGGTGACTATGTTGCCCAGCAATCCTCCCGCCTCAGCCTCTGGAGTAACTGGGACTATGAGCATGTGCCATTCCTCCCAGCAGCATTGTGGTTTTTAGGTTCATCCATGTTGTAGCACAGCAGTCTCCAACCTTTTCGGCACCAGGGACCAGTTTCATGGAAGACAAATTTTCCACGGATGATGGGGTGGTGGTTTCGGGATGATTCAAGTGCATTACATTTATTTTGCACTTTATTTGTATTATTATTACATTGTAATATATAATGAAATAATTATACAACTCACCACAATGTAGAATCAGTGGGAGCCTTGAGCTCATTTGCCTGCTACTAGGTGGTCCCATCTGGGGGTGATGGGAGACAGTGACAGATCATCAGGCATTAGATTCTCATAAAGAGCATGCAACCAAGATCCTTCAGATGTACAGTTCACAATAGGGTTCATGCTCTTATGAGAATCTACTGCTGTGACTGATCTGACAGGAGGCGGAGCTCAGGTGGTAATGAGAGCCATGGGGAGTGGCTGTGAATACAGATGAACATTCACTCACTTGCCCACCACTCATCTTCTGCTGTGTGTCCCAGTTCCTAACAGGCCACAGACTGGTTGGGGATCCCTGTTATAGCATATTTCAGTACTTTATGCCTTTTTGTTGCTGAATAATATTCAATAGTTTAGATATACCATGTTTTGTTTTTCCATTCACCAATTGATGGACATTTGGGTTGTTTACACTTTTTGGTTATTACAAATAATGTTGCTGGGAATATTCATGTGCAAGCTTTTGCATCGATATATGTTCTCATTTCTCTTGGGTGGCTACCTAGAAGTAGAACTGCTGGGTCATATGGAAACTTCATTTTTAACATACTGAGGAACTGCCAAACTGTTTTCCAAAGTTACTACACCATTTTTCATTCTCACCAACAATGTATGAGGGATCCAATGCCTCCACATCCTTTCCAACACTTGATATTGTCTATCTTTTTGAGTACAGCCATCCAGTGAGCGTGAAGTTTTATCTCGTTGATTTGCATTTCTTCATTGACTAATGATGAGCATGTTTTCATGTGCTTATCATCCATCTGTATATCTTTGAAGAAATATTCATTTGAATCTATTGCCTATTTTTAAATTGGGTTATTTATCTTTATTTTATTGAGTTATAAGAGTTGTTTACATATTCTAGATACAAGTCCCTTATCAGATGTGTGATTCACAAATATTTTCTACAAGTTTGTGGGTTGTCTTTTTCCTTCCTCCCCTTCTTTCTTCCCTTCCCTTCCCTTCCCTTCCTTTGCATTCCTTCCTTTCTTTCTTGGTCTCACTCTGTCACCCAGGCTGGAAGTACAGTGGCACAATCATGGCTCACTGCATCCTTGATCTCCCAAGCTCAAGCAATCCTCCCGCTGCAGCCTCTTGAGTGGCTAGCTGAGACTACAGGCACATACTACTGCCATGCCTGGCTATTTTTTAATTTTTAGTAGAGACAAGGTCTTGCTATGTTGCCCAGGCTGGTCTTGAACTCCTCAGCTCAAGCAATCCTCCTGCCTAGGCCTCCCAAAGTGTTGGGATTGTAGGTATAAGCCACCACACTCGGTCCTTTTCACTTTCTTGATGAGAACCAATCTTTAATAGTTTTGTAGTATGTTTTTTCCAAATAATTCTTATAAATTTGTCATGCCACTGTAGTTCATTATGTATGTTGATGTTCTCAGTTTCCATATTGTTACTTATATTAAATGCCTTCTAAAGAGTCTCAAAGTAAAGGTGTCTGTGAATTTAGAGAAAGGATGTGAGAAGAAGAAATAGGAAACCTGTTATAGGTTTCCAAGAGGGTCCAGGATAAAAATGGGGGAAATTGGGGGCTTGGTGTTGGGGGAGAAGCAGACAATGGAGATGCAGAGCCAATACTAGGGTGGGGAAAGGGATATTCATAATCTTAGGTAGGGTTAACACTAGTCACAATCTCCACCTCTCTTGTGCAATTGGCCTGTATTTTTTGGCCAGTACTACATGCTCAATATAACACCTTTTATTCCATCAACTCTGATGAAATGAGAGAAGATTTAGGGGTTTCCCAAATATCTATGGTTTCTCAGATATGCGCTTGCAACTGTAATATGCTGTCTCTAATAAAATCATTAAGATTGAGACAGAAAATCTAGAAAATTAAACGAAATATTCCTACAGGTAGCAACCATGATTAAAAGGGTAAAAGATAGGACCTAGATGGAGAGTTTAAAGCACTGGAAGACAAGGAGGAAAGGAGAAAAATAACATTATTGGGTACTTATTCTGAACTCAGTGCTTTATATAGTCTGTTGTTTTCATCTTCTACCCCACTTTATAGAATTGGTATTATTGCCATCATATAATTTAAGAAAAAAACTAAGAACTGGAGTGGTTAAGAAACTTGCCCAAAGACATACAGCTAATTAGCAATAGAAACAGGATACAAATCTATGTTTTTATTCCAAGGTTATACTCTTTCCACTGCATTAAATTAGCTATTATAAAACAGGATTATTTTCATTAAGTTGTCTAATTTTGTTGTATGTTGCCTTAACTGCTAACTCTGTGTGGTAAGCAGTCAATTTGTAGGCACTCTTATTTATTCTGCTTCATCTCTGTCACAAGACTCACTTCTACACTTCCTTCCTCCTGCGTAGGCTACAATTTCCTTCTCTAAAGAGAATCCTTTCTGTACCCTGGATCAATGATTCTCAAAATGTAATATGCATATGAGTCACCTGGGGATCTTTTAAAAATGCAAATTCTGATTTGGTAGTTCTGAGGTAGAGTCTGAGATTCTACAATTCTAACAATTTCACAAATGATGCCACTCAGTGGACCATACTTTGAGTATCAAGGGCTTCTGCCTTTCCCTTAACACTTGCATTAACTTTTCCTTTCCCTCTGTGGTGGCGAGCCTCCAAGATGGCCCCTCATCTTGGATTCCCATATCCTGGTGCCCACATCTTTGTGTAGTTTCCTTCCACATTGGGTAAAGTTGACAGTGTGTGACTTCCAAGACATTGTGACTTCCATCTTGCTCTTTCCTTGAAGAAGGAATAAGGGGGAAGCCAATTGTCATGTTGTTAGGACACACAAACAGTCCTATGAAAAAGTCCAGATGGCCAGAAAAAAAGGCCATTCTGCTGTCCATGTAAGCGAAGTGTTTTAGAAGTGGATCCTCTATCTATAGTAAAGACTTCATATGACTGCAACCCTGGCCGACATTTTGACTGCAACTTTATGAAAGACCTCAAGGAAGAACCACCCGGCTAAGATGCTCACAAATTCCGGACCCACAGAAACTATGTGAGATGATAAATGTTGATTGTTGATTTAAGCTGCTATGGGTTAGGGTAATTTGCTTTGAAGCAATACATAATAGACCCACTAACTCTTTCACATCTACCTTCAAGCATGCAGAGATCACATTTGGAAAAATCACAGGCCCTCTTTTAGTTCCTATCTCATGCCCCTTCCTCCCCAGCATTTTCCAAAGTGTGATAAGCACTGCTTGACTCCATTTAATTTACCCATTTATCTTTCACTATGTCTTATTTACCCATCACCCTTCTTAAACACTATCCTTGAAGGTAGCACCTCACTAATTCTGATATCCATTTCCTGTTCCTTATTCCCTTAGATCCCTGTTGCAAAATACATCTTTTTGAAGCTATTTTCCTACCTAAAGCTCTCACTTTTCTTTGCTGCCACTACACAAAACACTCTTGGTATTCCACTTACTTTCCCACCCATGACCCATCTTTTTCCTCATAGGTCTTCACTGTTGCTGCTCCCCAAAGCCCATTTTCTAGTGCCTTCTCTTTTCTCTGTCTTCCCCTTTCCTCTTTGGGAAGCAATTTGTATCTTACGGTTTCAAAATCATTCTCTCACATGATTGCTCTCATATCCATATTCTCAGCCCCATATCTCTACCTACCACTAGGGAAGTTCCACTTGAATACCACATACATTTCATATATGTGTATGTCTTAAGCTCGGTTTACCATTCTCCCCTCCAAAAGCTTATCAATGTTAACACCTTTAACTCAATCCACCACTCATAAATTTAGAGTTCATATTTACTCTTCTATTTTTCTACTTCTGTATGTAATTGCAACAAAGTTCCATGGCTTTTTTTTTTTTTTTTCTCAAAAAGTTCTTCTTTGGGTTTCTAGTGCTATCAACCTTGTACAGGCAGGCCCTTATTATTTTGGTCCTAAATACTGCAATAGTAATTGAACTTGTTTCCCTTTCCTGATTCTGTCCTCATTCCATGTCCCTCCACTAGACTAATTGTCTATTTAATGCATCACTGTCACAATAATACTCTCCTGATACACAACCTCTTGTTGCATTTAAGCTCAATTTCATGTTTCTAAGACTAACAGTCAATGTCCTTCACTATCTGATCTCAACCATTGGACTTAGTTGTATTTCCTTGCTTGGCCTCCATGTTGAGCATTTCATACTTATGTCCATTCCACATGCATTTCCTTACGATTGGAAGTTCTTCACCTATTCTTTTGCTTTTCCAAATGCGTCTTGCATTCAAGTTCTATTGTCTCTACAAAGTTTCCCTTACTCTCCGTCCATGGCAATGCCCTTTTGAACATCTTTAGCCCTTATCCTCTGCACCATTTGTTTTGCTTTAAGGAAATTTTCCTGAAATTTGTTGTTGCTGTTGTCTGCATGACTGACTGACTGACTGAATGAATGAATATCTTGCATTGCTACTTATTTGTTTTATGCATTTATCTTCCTACCATGAAGATTTTAAGTTTATGGAAGGTAAGACCAAATATAATCTTTCTTTTGCATATATTTTACCACCTAGTGCAGTATAATATCCCAAACAGAGATAATTCAGAGGGCAAGGATTATTTATTGACAGTGTGGCCTGATGCCTAGAAATCTGCATTTTTAACAAGTCTTGTACCCTCCTCCCCACCCCATAGGATTTTGATGTTCTGCTTGTGAGTAGGGATCTTGTCTATTTTCTTTATCATGTGTCTTCAGTGCCTGGCATATAGTAAGCATTAAGTAACATTTTTGAATTAGTTATGCAGTTGATCACAAACTATGTTTTGAAACTACATCCTGGGAGAAAGAGTAGGAGATTAAATAACACACTGAACTACTATATGTTGCACATGTATTTGCATGTTGCAAAAATGTGTGTGAAATGTTTTGAAAAGCTTAAAGCAATTTTTTTTTTTTGAGATGGAGTCTCACTCTGTCACCCAGGCGGGAGTGCAATGGCTCCATCTCGGCTCAGTAAAACTGCTGCCTCCCAGGTTCTAGCGATTTTCCTGCCTCAGCCTCCCAAGTAGCTAGGATTACAGACATGTGCCAACACGCCTGGCTAATTTTTGAATTTTTGGTAGAGAAGGAGTTTCACCATGTTGACCAGGCTGGTCTCGAACTTCTGACCTCAGGTGATCCACCTGCCTTGGCCTCCAAAAGTGCTGGAATTACACGCGTGAGCCACTGTGCCCAGCCCATTTAAAGCAATCTTAAAGTGTAAACTATTATTGCAAGATACCAACGTAGATTTTTTTAATAAGTGTTAATTTCTCTTTTGTTGGGAGGTAAACTGCCCTAGGAAAGACAAAAATAATCTTGTAAGCTTACTTTTTAGGTTTCTTTCTATTTATAAAGAAGAGAAAAAAATCACCATTTTTTGTGCAAATCATAGACCTTTGAGTTAGAAGGGCACCAAAAGTTTCAGCTCTATTCCCTTTAAACAAATACAACATTTATTGCATTAGTTATGGGTGAGGAAATTGAGGCTTAGAAGGATTTGAAGATTTGCTCAAGGTGGAGATTCTCAAAAGTGTCCTCAGATACCTGCATCCTAACTTCCTGGGAAGTTTGTTCTAAAGTTTAGACTCCAGAGCTTCACCCAAAACTTACTGCTAAATTAAATCCTTTAAAGGAAATCTGCATTTTTAGGATCTCCTCTTATGCCTTCCAGCATAGTGCTTCTCAAACCCTAATGTTCATCTGAATCACCTAGGAGTCTTATTAAACTGCAAAGTGTGATGTAGCATGTCTGGAGTGGGGCTCAAGATTCTGTTTTTGTTTGTTTGTTTTTGTTTTTCAACTTTTATTTTAGATTTAGAGGCCACATATGCAAGTTTGCTACCTGGGTATGCTGTGTGATGCTGACATTTGTGGTATGAATGATTTTATCACCCAGGTACTGACAATAGTACCCAACAGTTTTTCAACCTTTGCTCCCTCGGTCCCCTCTCTAGTAGTCCACAGTGTCTATTTGTTGCCATCTTTATATCCCTGAGTGATATGGTTTGGCTGTGTCCCCACCCAAATCTCATCTTGGCCAAGAAGCCAAGTTTTAATGGGTACACAAGTGCATAGGAATTGGAGAGTGGGGAGCGTGAGTTGACTATTGGTCAGGGACTGTCAACGGAAGGGAAGGAACCAATGATGGGAGTGAGAGCCCAGAACTCGGTGTTCGAAGTGGGTAATTTATGGGAGGGGCATACCTACGAGCAGACAATGCACTCAGACAAGGAAGATTTGCACATTGGACAGAAGAGACACCTTTTTCCTCTGCAATAAGAACCAAGGAGGTAAGTAGGGGGTCTGATATGAGTTTGTGCATGTGTGCAGGGTGAGTGAGACAATCCATATATTTGAGAAAAGACAGTGAAATCTTTAAAGGTAAAAATAATAAAACCAGCTGTGGCACCTATTGGATAAGGAATTACTAACTGATGATTTAGAAATTCCTTTATGTGCGTTAGGAGCTCATTTGTTATCCCCATTTTACAGATGCGCAGCCCCAGGTTCAGCAATTTGCTCTAAATGAGACTGTAGAGGCTAATTCCAGCCCCCGGCAGCTCTCACCTTAAGCTGCCTGGCTGAGGTCAGCAGTAAGTTACCTGGCAGCGTCCGGGGGCCTGCAGCCGAGGACAGGGCTGGAACTACACTTCCCAGTGTGCCAGGCGGGGCGGGGCGCGGCGGGGAGGGCGCAGGCTCCTTCCCAGAAGCAAAAGCGGAAACAAAAGAGTCTCGCCGGCGTCCCCGCCCGCACACTCGCGCACACTCGCGCTCGGGCGCACACGGAGCAGGGACCGGCGCCCGGAGCGAGCCAGGGAGCGGCTAACCGGGGACCCACCGCGCGGAGCCAGCCTAGCTGCCAGCGAGCCCAACCCGCGACGACCCACGCCCCTGAGCCCCGCAGCCGACCCCTGCCGGCCGGTGTCCCCACCGCCATCCCTGACCCATGGCGCTGAAGAGGATTCAGAAAGTGAGTGCCGGGGCCGGGCCTGGGGCTGCGGGGCAGCGGCCCCCTGCCCACGCTGACTCGGCCAGTGGTCCCGAGAGACATGCGGGGAGAGCAAGGGATGGAAGGGTGGGCCGGGGTGCGGGCAGGGAGCTGAAGGCTCGGGCCGGGCCAGCGGGCATCGGACAGGTGAGGTGGGAGCAGGGTCAGGTCCCAGGCGGCCGGAGGAGCTTGAAGGCTGGGGGCCCGCGCGCGTTCGCGCCGGAGCCGCTCCCGGAGCCCCAGGGTAGAGAGCCTCTTGCGCGTCCAGACCGTCCCGAAATCTGTGCTTCACGGTCACGGCCGGGTTTTGCCCTCCATGGGGCTAGTTTTGACCCCTGTCATGCTGTGTTTTCTCCAGGCTGTTTCTTAAGCCTGTCCTCTTTTATGTTCTTGCTTACCCGGCCTCCCCGGGAGGGCAAGGAAGGTGGGGTGGGCCTGCAGCCTTTCTCCGCGGAGCTGTCGGGTTGGTTCTTTCTCTCCTCTGCGGTTGGCTCTTGCTCAGTTGCCCGAATGGGCTGGAAAGCCCATTTGCGGCCAAGAAGTCAGGAGAAGGCTCCTGCCCCTTCTATTTTGGTGCCTCTGCTGCTGCCACTTCAGGTCACATAGCTGTAGCGAAAACATAGTTGCTGATACACAACAAGATGACCTCCTGGCTGTGATTCACGGTGAGTCAAGCCAAACAGGTTTTTTTCCCCCTCATGATAAACTTAGATGTAAAGTTCGAGACACAACATAAACTGTCGCAAATAAATTGTTTTGATGCTTTGACACATGGGTATAGAATGAGGAAGAAATATATATCTTCATCCAACAACTGTTTACCCATCTCAACCCTGTGTATGGAATCGTCTTTTTTTCACAGTATTTATTGCCACCATTTCAGATGCGAACATCCTTCAGAATTCAGATTCGGGCATTTCTTTCTGTTCATTTTTATTTCTTGTTGGTCTGTGTACTGACCCAAGTTTTAGGTTTTACAGTTACAGTTCACACTGGCAACATTGAGAATGTGTTTGTTAAATAGGGAGTGCTTTTCACTAAGTTAAGCAACAATGGACAGTGTATTTTGTAGTTGTTTCAGAAGAAATTGATGCCCACATTTTTATCCACTTTTTTGACCAGGAGTCCATTATAGCAATAGTATATGTTAGAGCAGTGATAGTGACGTACGCATTGCATTCTGACTCGCCACTGGTGACATCTTTAGGTACAGAGGACAGCAACTTTTAGAGCCTGCCAGTTTTTTATTTTCAAATTCTAAATCTGTGGATCACCTGTTATTTTTTGTGCCATTTAAAGGTCATCTCATTGTAAAACATACAGTTAACAATCAGCATCAGCATTTATTAAGTAATAATGTTTTCTTGTTTGAAGGTAGCGCAATTACACATTGTTTTATATAAATACCCTAATTTTGAAGCCTTAGCATCTTTACCATACCTTGCATACTTATTAATGACGAAGTAATATTGGTTCACATTTGGATCAGAAAATGCACATCTTCCAAGGAAGTTTTCAAATTCTATTTCCTTCTTTCCTAGTTGTGAGAATTTTTCACATGATTTTGCACATACAAGAGCTTTTTAAATTTCATTGTGTTTTTTTAAGAGATGGGGATCTCACTATATTGCCCATGCTGATCTTGAACTCCTGGCCTCCAGAAAGTCTGGGATTACAGACACAAGTCACCATACCCAACTAACAATAGCTTAAGCTGTATAATTTGTCCACAGTAAGTGGATATTCAAAGAAATATGAACATTATTTGTAAATACCACCCTTGGCAGTTCTCATCAATCACCATGCTGAACTAGTGTATTTGATTTATATTTATAATATGGCGTGTGTCCAAATCTTTTTAGTATTTATTGGTTATTAGTTTATAGAATTGTTGAGTAAAAAAAAAAATTACTTACATAGAATTGATATCAAACATGTGACAAATTGATATTTTGGAAAAGAAATTGGGGATGACACACCATCACATCTCTGTGTGTTCATTTTTGGCTTCCCTTTCTGATATCAGGAAAATCGACTTACACAAATCTTCTTTCCATTAATCACACATTCAGACCAATCCCTCAAACCTTAGGGGTGATTATTTTGATTGATTCCCTACTTTTCCTCCTCCTTTACCTACCTCCTTGATTAGAAGCCAATTCTAGGTTAGATGTGCCGCCTGCCGTATGAACAGTTACACCATCTTCTTTGATGTCATCAGTATAGAATTCTTATTTGAATCTTTCATGTTCCAACAAATGAAGATGTATACTAACTTTTGGCCTTTCTTCTTAAGCTCACTGAAGTATTAATATAATTTTCCTGTACCTATAGATGGTGGCAGGCCATAGAGTTGTGTGGAACCTCAGATAAGTCTGCTGTAGTGTAGTAGAGGGTACAAGCAGGGGAACAGCTTCTAAGGCAGTGTCTTAGAATCACCTGTGGGACGTTTTCAGACTGTCATCACTTCTATAAATGGAGAGATGTTGAATCCCTCAGATCGGTTGGGGTGGAAAGAAGACTGAGGACCACTGATGTTCTGGCCTGTCCTTATTCAAGGAAGGATCCAGAGGCCTGGAGTGGAGGAGTGCTTTGTCCAAAGATAATCTCTTTTTTTTTTTGAGATGGAGTCTTGCTATGTTTCCCAGGCTGGAGTGCAGTGGCATGATCTCGGCTCACTGCAACCTCTGCCTCCTGGGTTCAAGCAATTCTCCTGCCTCAGCCTCCTGAGTAGCTGGGACTACAGGCGCATGCTGCCATGCCCCGCTGATTTTTTGTATTTTAGTAGAGATGGGGTTTCACCGTGTTGCCTAGGCTGGTCTCGAACTCCTGAGCTCAGGCAATCCACCTACCTCGGCCTCCCAAGGTGCTAGGATTATAGGTGTGAGCCACCACACCCGGCCAATAATCTCTTAATTGGCTTGGCTATTTGAGAGTGTTAAAAAGTTCATGATTTCACATTTCTTCACTATGAAAAAGAATAAAGATGATTGGATTAAAATTATATGTAAAGACAGAGCATGGAGATATCAATGCTTAAAATATATTTTTATAGTAGAATAAACTAACTATACTAGAATATACTAAATGATTTAATGCTCTGATTTAGTGTGCCAGTTTTGCATTCCAGCTCATAAATTTACACACCCATGCCCTATTTTTAAATAACAGTGAAAGATGTTATCGCAGTCACCTAAATCATTAAAAGAAAAAAAGTTTGAACAAAGTCTAAGGAAAGATACCTAAAACATGTCTGAAAAGAGGAGGACAGTTTTTCACCTAGGTATCTATTTTCTAGAAGTAATTTCTAAGTTGTTTCTTCTATCAATACTATTTTCATTACTTGAAACACTTTTTTTGGGGAGGATTATTTTTTAAATTACAGGTGTTAATATCCCAATACCAAATGTTTTGAAAACTAAAGGGCAAAAAAAAGGAAATCCTAAAACAGTCATTGTCATCATCATAGATTTTATTTGATAAAGAATTTGAGGTAATGAACATCATACTAGCATTATGTGATGTGATGTGATGTGATGTGATAAGTTTATTTACATTTTTGTCTTTTGAAAAGTGAGGCAATAGAGTTCCGTTTTACAAACATAGCAACTCAGAGAACTATTCCTTAGTGTGTAATTCTGGCCCCCAAATGGAACATTAGTTGTTTTTGTTTTTTAATAATCAATGTAATCTGAAACATATATAGAGAGACATAGATTAAAATCAAATTTGATAAATGTTTGAGCTGCTGAATTTTTTTGATTTGTAGAATTTTATGTTAAACTGTTTATGTCAGTCTAGAAAACTTTAGGATACTTAACCCAGCCCTCTATGGACGGAGCATCAAATGGAAGAAGGAGGTCTGAGTTTTTTTTGTTTTTAGACAGGGTCTCACTTTGTCACCCAGGCTGGAATGCGGTGGCACAATCTCGGTTTTCTGTGACCTCTGCCTCTGAGGCTCAAGTGACCCTCCCACCTCAGCCTCCTGAGTAGCTGGGACTACAGGCCTGCATCACCACACCTGGCTAATTTTTGTATTTTCAGTAGAGATGGGTTTTCACCATGTTGGCCAGGCTAGTCTCGAACTCCTGACCTCAGGTGATCCACCCGCCTCAGCCTCCCAAAGTGCTGGGATTACAGGCGTGAACCACCTCACGCAGCCAAAGGTCTGGTTTTTATTCCTGGCTGTGTGGCTTACTAGCTTCGTACAATGAGGCTAGTACATATTTTCCATACATTTCCATACAATGGATATGTATGGATATCCATACATATGAGGCTGCTGATCTCAAAAACCAGGGTGTTTGTAATCGTTACTCTGCCTTCTAAGTACTTGACATATATTAATTGACTTAATTCTTAGTATACCCAAGAGGTAGAAACAGTGTTATTTCCATTTTACAGATGATGATACTAAGGCAGGGAAATATTGAGTAGTTTACTCATGATCACATTATCTAGTAAGTGACAATGCTACGATTCCAAAACAAACAGTTGGCTTCAATTCCACATTCCTTTTTTTTTTTTTCAGTCTTAGAATCTTTTATTTAATACCTTCTCATGCCCAGTTAACACAAAAATAGTTGCAGTTACATATCGCTACTGAAAGCTACCAAACTGCCTATCTGAAGAGAGAGTCAAGGATCCTTCTCTTCCACTTCTTAGGAGAGAATGATAGTTTTTGGATGTTGAAGAGAGCATTCACTGAGATTACTGAACTCACCAGATATACTATAAAGCTTTCTGTCTAATGTAGCCAGTAGCCACATGGAAACAAATTGGGTATGAAAATTTAGTTTTCAACCTTGAGCTTTATGAAATCTAAATATAGATCAAATATTGCTGACGAAAATTTAGTATCCAAATTGAGATGTGCTGAAGTGTAAAATATGTACTGGAATTTGAAGACCTAGTATACAAATCTAAATAATTGTTACTAATGAGATATTTATAAACATTTTTATATTGATTAAATTTTGAAATGATGACATTTTGGATAAGCCACCTAGTCAGGCTAAGACTCATTTTCTTTCTCTGTAAAATGAAGGAGTAAACGATATCAGAGTACTACTTGCCTTATTCTGTCTTTACATTCAGGTTCTAGAAACCAGACCATGGGCAGAGCATTTTCCTCCTTGTTCAGCAGAGCAAATTTGTGGGCTTTTAAAGATGGTAACATTGTTTCTTAAATCACTTTCCATAATTTAATATCAGTAATCTGTTTATAGAAGAGAACAGCCACATTCCCTGACAAAGTTTTGTATGACTTTACTTTTTATTTTGCTTTTAAGCTTGGCTGTAATATTATTACTGAACCTGTGACACTTCACTTAAAATGTCAAATCCTTTAGTGGAGAGAGTGTTATTTCCTTGTCTTAATCTTTTTATATGCCAATGATTGTGCCCCCTAGGATAGCAAATAAAATCTGTCAATAAACTGACTGAACAATGCTATCCAATAGAAATACAATGTGAGCTACATTTTAATTTTAAATTTCCTAGTAGCCACGTTTTTAAAACGGGAAGTAGAAGCAAGCAAAATTAAATTTAATGTGTCTTATGTAATTCCATATTCTTAACCACTTCAGTACATAGCTTCTCTTATCCACATGAACTCGTATCTATTGTACTTAAACTGGAAGACATAGAGTCAAATGGGTTTATGGGATATAAGTGCTTTGCAAACTGGAATGTTCTATACAAATGTAAAGTGGTGTTATAATTAAGACCTTGGCATATTTGATCATTTTCACTGACACATTGCTCAAATGTGTTGATTGTGCTTCGCAAATCTCTGCTCCAAAGTAACACATGCTGAGATCGTTTAACATTGTAAATCAGTAATATAACTTTGATCATCTTTGTTTCATCACTTTGAATTTCTCTCCTCCAAAAGGATTTTGAAACATTGGTTGTAGTTCATAAATGCTCTGTCAAAAGTATCATTGCATTGTGAAGTTTTTATTTGAGATAACTTTTTGAATTGACAGAGTCATTTAGTTCCTGTAGTGGTTTTGAGTAGTAAACTGTTCATATTATGAGATTAAATCCAAGACTCCAGTTCTTTCTAGAAAGAATGATACAACTTAAAGAAGCACGGTATTTATGCATTTTGGGATAAATGGTTTTCCTTGAGATGAGAGCGAGATAGTGTTCTTTCTCTAATAAGCCACGATGTAAATTTTTTTTTAAATCTTTGTAATTAAGCTCAGTCTTTCTTTTGTCCTTGATACTGTATTTTTCTTTCTTCATCGCAATAGAGGTATAAAAAAATGAGGTAACCTATGACAGTTAAAAAGTTCTGAGATTTCTTCTCTGTGGAAATAAATAGCCTAGAACTAAATAAAGCTGTTTATGCCTATTTTAAGAAGCCAGGCACATATGAAAACCAAACCTAGCAGGATGTGGGATTGCCTCCAGGAAAGCAAAATAGCGTCCTTACTCGCTTTAGTTCCCTGAAATACGCATAGAAAACATATGGGCCCTTTATTTTCATTTAATGAGTGCTACTAATAGAAATGATAAACCTAATATTTAGCCATAAAACTGAGTTAATGGTCATCTACTAATGTAATAGTCCCTGCCTTTTTAATAGTGAATAAACTGATTACATTGAATTAACAACAGGAATTGAGATACTTATCCTCTCTCCTCTCCTGTGAAATGCTGGAATAAATGATACTAGAATATATAATATGACCATATTTGCAGTTTGGGAATTGGAGGGGTAGGTCCTCAGGCCACCTTAGCACATGTGTCTGAAGGCAGGACAGGTTTTATTTCTGGCCCATCTTGGTCTTGATGGTCTCTGAGAAGCTAAGGTTTTTCTGTGCTTAATTTGGTTCTGAGATGAATCTGTGAAGGTTCAGTTTCACACATTAGACAATAACAGGCTGTTGTGTTCCAGGATTGTCCTTAGTATGGGGAGGAAGCTGCTATCTAGAAGCATACAGTCTAGTGCTGTCCATTCCACCATCATGCTCTGCATCCTCTTGTCTTACCTCTTTCTGGATGTATTTCCCACTGTCCTCTATTCATATGGTCCCGTTTGTATGGCTCATCTCTTTTAGTGACACCACAGTTCTTATTTAGATTCCTGGGTTTTTTTTCAGACTTAAGAAACTTCTCCAGTGGGGGTGAGCTGAGGAGTTGGTTCCTTCACCTTAAGCTTCCTCAGATAATAATCTGATTGTTCTCATTCTAGGTGGCCACCCTCCTTATGCGAGCAGAGTTTGGGAGTAGTATGGTTGGATTGTCTAGAGAAAACCAAGTGGACCTAACAAATGGTCTGGGTTCATTTTTCTTCTCTTCTCTTAAACCAGGAAATCTCTGGCTTGTGTTTTTGCTTCTCCCAAATTTTGCTGTATTTTGTTTTCACTTAAATTTAAAGATATTTTCTAGTTTTCCTTTTTATCTCTTCTTTGACCCTTGGATTATTTAGAAATACGTTATTTATTTGCCATATGTTTGGAGATTTTACAGATAGCTTTCTGTTGTTGATTTCTAATTCCATTATGGTCAGAGAACAAATTCTATTATTATTTGACTCCTTTTAAATTGTGGGTACTTGTTTTTTTTGGTTTTTTTTTTGTTTTTTTTTTTTTGAGATGAAGTTTGCTCTTGTCGCCCAGGCTGGAGTACAGTGGCGCGATCTCGGCTCACTGCAACCTCTGCTTCCTGGGTTCAAGCAATTCTCCTGCCTCAGTCTCCCAAGTAGCTGGGATTACAGGCGCCCACCACCACACCCAGCTAATTTTTTGTATTTTTAGTAGAGACAAGGTTTCACCATGTTGGTCAGGCTGGTCTTAAACTTCTGACCTCAGGTGATCCACCTGCCTTAGCCTCCCAAGTGGGGACTTGTTTTATGACCCAGCCTTTTCAGGTGCTCAACAGCACTTTTGAATGAATGATGGTTAATAGTTTGTAGACTTCATTTTGGTATTTTCCAGTTGGTATCTATTGACTGTAGGTTATTTCTAAGAAATGGATGCCAAACTAAGGTGTACACCTTCCCAGTATCTTTTTTTTTCTCTTTTATGAGTTTCCAAACAGTTTAGTGAATAATAAACATCCACTTTTTAAAATGGAATAGAAAATATTAGTGCTTTGCATATAGTAAGGGTGTTGTTTCATGAAATTTGTTTTAGTGTGTGTGTGTGTACTAGGTTGTAATGTAAAATCTTTTTCATATTATAAATTGCTGTAAGGAAAGCTGGAAAATCACTGTTCCATAACATAAGATCCTTAGGTAAAATTAATGTTAAAAATACATGCCATACAACCATACATATACATGTATACATATATAGGGAGAGCAAATGAATACATATACACATACACAGAGACACACAAATATATTGATACACATATACACATAATGTAAACTGTTCTAGCCTTGGAAACGTTTGCATTTGATACAGACCGTATGCATTGTTTTCTTCTACAAGTAGCAGCATTTTAGTGACTGATGTACAACCATAATATTCAAGAATAATACTGGATGATACTAACAGAGAGTAGAGAATTTATTATGAAACACTCAAGTGCCCACTATATGCCAGTTATTAGGTATAGAGCTGTAAGAAGCAATATTTAATAACAAATATTTGGTAGGTATTGGTAGGCATGTTCATGTTTTACACACGTTTTAATAAATAGGCAGCTAGGTTTTCTCTCTTTTTTCTTCCATCTTTTTTTGGTTACTGTAAAGTAAATAGTAAGTTTTGATAATGGAGCACTCAAAATGCTCCATTTGCATATTTTATGTGAAAATTCTATTTATTTAAGTTGTGTATAATTTCCTGTAAAGTTTTTCTTGACTCTCAGAGTGTCTTTAAACACAACGCTCCTGAAAGCTTATGAAATAGTATTCGTTTCTAACCTTTTATATGATATAAGCTCCTGAGAAAAGATAAGAATTCCTTCTCATTCCTTCACTTATCACACTTTTGTTTCTCTGGAGCATAGCTAAAAATGTGCAAATGGCCTTAATACAGTACTGGAGCATTGTTTGCTTCAGTGTTGGTTGAAAATAATGTGCTCTAGCTGTTACAGTGTTGAGGTGAGTATTGAATTGGGGTGGGAAGAGTGCTGGAGTAGAAGTCAGATGGTCTGTCCCTTTGTCCTAGTTTGGCTTTGTGACCTTGGCCAGGAGACTCAGTCTTTATACTCCTCACTTGGAAACTTAATGGATTGAACTTGATACTTTCTGTCATCTCTTCTGAATCATAATTTTAGGCAAACCTAAATAATGTATTTGCTGTTTTTTTTTTTGCAGCAAACAACAGTGATCACAAAAACAAACACTGAGCTTTGGCACTGTGCTATGGAGCTATATTAGACTTGACTTAAAATTCCATTTACTTTGAAATATCAGATTTGAAATAAATGTTGACATCTCTTAATGTATAAGGTCAATAAATCTTATTCTCTAACTAAAGAGCAATTATTTATGATGCAAATAAAATGTATTTCTATTATTGCACTGGTAACATAACGTGGTTCTCTAATTCCATTTAGCTTTTCTCTATTTGTTAGCTTTTGTACTTAAGATTGTTTTATCCACATATTTAGACAACTGCCATACACAGCTGCACAGCTGCCTTATAGGTAATAGTTTTTTTGTTTTTTTTTTTTTTAATGACAAAGTCTGGCTCTGTCACCCAGGCTGGACTGCAGTGGCATGATCTCAGCTCACTGCAACCTCCACCTCCTGCGTTTAGGGGATTCTCATGTCTCAGCCCCCTGAGTAGCTGGGTCTACAGGTGTGCACTACCATGCCTGGCTAATTTTTGTATTTTTAATAGAGACAGGGTTTTGCCATGTTGTCCAGGCTGGTCTCGAACTCCTGACTTCAAGTGATCCACCCGCCTTGGCCTCCCAAAGTGCTGGGATTACAGGTGAGAGCCATGGTGCCCAGCCTATGTAATAGATTTTTAAGATTCAGTGCTGGGCACGTGGCTCATGCCTGTAATCCCAGAACTTTGGGAGACCGAGGCAGAAGAAACACTTGAGCCCAGGAGTTTGAGACCATCCTGGGCAACATAGTGAGATCCCATTTATTTTAAAAAAAAAATTAAAAAATAGCTCAGCATCGTGGCACGTGCCTGTAGTCTCAGCTACTTGGGAGGCTGAGGTGGGAGGATCACTTGAGCCCAGGAATTCAAGATTACAGTGAGCTGTGATTGTGCCACTGCACTTCAGCTTGTATGACAGCAAGACCCTGTCTCAAAAGATTCAAGTTAATGCATTTATCAAACACCTTCTGATACAAGGCATATATTAAATGCAGTAAGGAGATGCTAGTTATGTAGAAAAACAGGTATCACCATTATCTAAGAAATTTAAAATTAATAAGTGTAAGAAAAGTCCTGTAACAACTAGATGGATTTAGGAAAGTACCAAACAGAAAATACAATATATTTAAACAGGAAGGGAGTCAAAGATGGGAGAGGCCAAATTTATTTGGGAAAATCAGGAAAAACTGTGGAGAAGATGGAATTTGATATAGGTTGGGAAGACTGGATAGCATTTTGAAAGACTTAGGGGAGCCAGGCTTGTAGAGGAAGCTACGGAAATGAAGACACTAGAATATGCTTGGCTTATTTGGGAAGGAGCAGATAATCCTGCTTTTGGGAATCGTTCAGAAACAGTAGACCATAAAGCTTCATATTGTAGACAACCTTGAAGGCCTGTGCTGAGAAATATGTACTTAATGCAGAAGATTGGGGAAGCCATTGAAGGTTTTTGAGTAATAGGAGCTAATACTTTTTTTTTTTTTTTTTTTAGACGGAGTCTCACTCTGTCACCCAGGCTGGAGTGCAGTGGTACAATCTTTGCTCACTGCAACCTCTGCCTCCCAGGTTCAAGCAATTTTCCTGCCTCAGCCTCCCAAGTAGCTGGGACTACAGGCGTGCACCACCATGCCCGGCTAATTTTTGTATTTTTTAGTAGAGACTGGGTTTCACCATGTTGGTCAGGCTGGTCTCGAACCCCTGACCTCAAATGATCTGCCCGCCTCAGACTCCCGAAGTGCTGGGATTACAGGCGTGAGCCACCATACCCGGCCGGAATGAACACTCTTAATCATAGGCATCCTTGCCCTCATCAAACTCAAGATTGTTTACTGTTTGTCATTATAATTTTGATTAATGTCATGAAAAGGGATGCATGGAGTATTCTAGGAATATAGCAGGGACCCATTGAAGGTTTCAGGGAAAACCTGAAGGCAATGATGTTTAAGATGAGACAAGAAAGTAAAAGTAAAGTAGATAAAATGAAAGAATGAGGGAGAAAGTGTGTTTTGGGGAGGGGAGGTGATTAAGTATCTTCTGCCGAAAAGGAAGCCATGTTTGCAACTAAAGGCAAGATTAAAAGTCATGGCTGGTGCAGAGAGCACTGGGGAAAAGTGTTGCAGATATGACGCTAGAAAGAAGTCACGTCTTGGAAGGTCTGGCAAGTCATTTTAAGGACTTATAAGTCTTACATGAAGGTGAATGGAAAACATCGAAGAGGTTTGACATGGCTCTTCAAGAAGATGATTTTGGCAGCAGTGTATAGGTAGAAAAATAGGAGGACAGTAGGTAAGTTAAGATATTGCACTTAAGTGAGATCCAAAGAGGGTCTAAGCTACAGTGTTAGCAGAGGACATTGAAAAGAGGGATATATGACAAAAATTACAGGGTGTTTGTACCACCTGGCCCTTTTGAGTTGGTGTGATCCATCTATGCCTACACCTTCTTGGCCTTTCAAGTCAAGTATCACAGGCTCCCTGGTCTAGGCAATCTCTTCAGATTCCTCCTTCTGTTATCCAGTCTGGTCCCAGATATTAAGATTGTCTGCCTGGCTGGAACCTTTGGGTTCTTATCCTAAACTACCTCTCCTCTGGCTTATATCAGACTCTTCTACACGTTGGACCTCAGCTGTCCTATTTGATGGGCCTTCTGGGACCCTTTCAGAGGGAGGGATCTAGACAGAAGGAGAATCTGAACAATTTGGTACTTTTCAAATTGTGAAGGAGTGGGATGTGAAGAGAAGAATTAGATGGTAACTCCAAGGTTTAGAGTTTGAATTACTAGAACGAATAAATGCATTTTTACTGTAAGCCTTCATAAAACAGATTCAAATACAGCTTTTACTTGGCTACTTTGGATTTGTCTAAAATCGATTTTTATTTATGTAATTCCTCTGATGGAAATATTATATGTAGAGAGTGTGATCAAGAGTCCGCCATCTAAACAGGAAGCCATGTTTGAAAGTAGAGGCAAGATAGCATTTTGGGAAATTGAATCATTATGCCTGGTGCAGAGAAAACTGGGGGAAAGTGGTTGAGATGTGAGGCACTGAGTAAATAATGTCTGTAATTCTGACCTCAAGCTTTTATTCTAAATTACACTCTTTTTTTTTTTTTTTTTTTTGCCCCGAGACGGAGTTTTGCTCTTTTTGCCCAGGCTGGAGTGCAATGGCACAATCTCGGCTTGCTGCAACCTCCGCCTCCTGGGTTCAAGCGATTCTTCTGCCTCAGCCTCTCAAGTAGCTGGGATTACAGACATGTGCCACCAAGCCTGGCTAATTTTTTATATTTTTAGTAGAGACGAGATTTCACCATGTTGGCCAGGCTGGTCTCGAACTCCTGACCTCAGGTGATCTCCCCGCCTTGGCCTCCCAAAGTGCTGGGATTATAGGCATGAACCACCGTTCCCGGCCCTAAATTACACTCTTCATAGTTCACATTCAATATATATGACTGATGTGGCAAAGTCACATATTATTGCTTTCTTCATCTTCCTTTTTTGTGGCAGTTGGCTGCATTATTATTTTTTAAATAAACAGCTTTTGCCAGAGAGACTTGATCCAAGGAAACAGCAAAGCAGATAGGACCAGTTTGTTGAAGTGAGTTTGGTTCCTATAACTTCATTAATTGGATGTGTCAGCATTTTGAAGTCTTCCAGGAAGAATCTACATGGTTTAAAATGCAAATGTACTTTAATTCACAGGCTTAAAGAGGTTCTGTATTTGGAGACATTTCTGATGATCGTTTGACATCTTTCTATTGAAATAGCTCTAGTCAACTGGATAAGGAGATCAGGGCCTGAACTGTAAGCCCATGAAATGTTTATTTACAGACAAACCAAATACAGCTTATATATCCTTTTAGAGGCAACATGAAAAATGCAATCCAGTAAGAATCACTGTCTTGTTTTAGGAATTTTGAGGTAAAGATTGTTGTGTCATGTTAATTAATTGCCAGTTGAGCCAGGAGTTTTGAAATAATGCTTTCACAGGCTTTGGACTCAATAATTTAAATTTTGGGCTGTAAGTCAGCCGCTTGCATGGACTGTTTAATGTCCTTTACACACAACCAGTGGGGTATGTATTATATCTATTATGGAGATTTAGATCTTCTGACTGTTGAAGCTAGAAAACAACAAAGCATTTTTAGTCTGGTCAGCGTAATTTTTTAGGGAATATTTACTGCATTGCGTCATATTAAGTTTTATGGTAAATATGGCAGTTCTCACTTGTTTGCTTTTATTCTCCTCTCTTCAGATTGGCCTGTTACCCTTCTGGGAGCCAGGAGATTAATGCAGGCCCCTTCTCTTACATTCCCTTCTTTGTTTCCTTTTATTTGTTTACTTTGTTTGAATTAGGCTGCCTCATCTACTTTTAGATTTTAAGTCCCCTAGAGGCAGGGATTGTGTCTAGGTTGGTTTTATGGAGAACACTCAGCATATTGTGGGGGTGTTATAAACATGCCATCTGTGGCAATTTAAAATTCAGTTTCAGACCTTTCAGTACTTTTCTTTGTGTCTCGTTGTTTATAGAAATCTGAACTAGAATAGAGGTGCTTAGCAATGTAAGGCTATATAAATCCATTAAATATACATTTTTGTGGCTTTATTGTAAGTGCTTTTATAGTTCTAGTCATGATATAAAGGCACTATCCTTTAATTTACTGATCATTAATATCTTATATTTTTATTTTAAAATTTAGATACTTCTAGCTAGTTTTTTTATTTGAATATTAATCACATTAGAATAGAAAATTGCTTCATTGGCACAGACTACTTTTTTGTGGAACATACTTTCACCAGTTTGATGATATTTATTGCTTGATCTGTTTAGGTATAGGGTTGACTTGTTCTAAGCTTATTTTTGTCTCAAAGGGGAAGAAGGAAATAGAATCAACAATGCATTTCAATTTTAGATTAAAAGTCACTGGAAATGAAACCGAAATACACAAAATATATGTATACTCACACAGTGTGCTTCTATAATGAATTCTTTTCATATACAGATTTATTACTAGTCTTATTATTTGATAGCCATCTTTTCCATTATATGAATTCTATAGATCCTTGCCCTTTTTTTTATGTTATCATTATGTTATTCGTTGTGGCAAAATACATTTTAAAAGTTACAATGTAAACTTTTTGTTTCAGTTATACAGACATAAGTATACAGCTTGACCAATTTTTACAAAGTGAACAAACCTGTGAAACCAGCACCCAGCTCAAGAAATAGTATTACAAGGACCCTAGAAACCCTTTCTTCTCCCTTCTTAGCTTTACCTCTGTCGTCAAGGTAAATCACTATTCTAATCTCTATCACCGTACATTACTGTAGCCTGTTTTTGAACGTTATTTAAGGGGAATCATACAGTATGTATCTTTTGTCTCTGGCTGCTTTTGCTCACCATATTTGTAAGATTCATCTATATTGTTGCCTGGAGCTGTAAGTTCATTCATTCTTACTGCATGAATATGCTTCGAGTTGTTCGTTCTACTGTTGGTGGACTTTGGGTTGCTTCTGGTTCGTTCTACTGTTGGTGGACATTGAGTTGCTTCTGGTTTGGGGCTATTACAAATAATGGCACTTTGGCATGCATATTCACTTTTCTGTTGGGTATATACTTAGCAGTAGAAATGCTAGGTCATAGAGTATTTCCGTGTTTGCCATTAGTGGTTACTATCAGTTTTCCTCTTCCACCAGGAGTTCCAGAGTTCCATTTGCTTCAAATCTTTGCCAACACTTGTACTCTCTTCTATTTCATTTAAATCATTGTGTTGGATATGTAGTGGCATAGCATTTTGGTTTAAATTTGCATATCCTTGATGACTAATGAAACTGAGCCCCTTCTGATATATATATATGTGTATTGGCCATTTGGGTAGCTTCTTTTGCAAAGTGCCTGTTTATGTTTAAGCTGCTTTTTAAAAAGTTGATCTGTAGGAATATCTTTTACATATTCTGAATGAGCCTTTTGTCAGATACATGTAATATTGCAAATATTTTCTCTCACTTTGTGGCTTGTCTCTTCACACTTTTAATGTGCCTTTTGGTGAACAGATGTTCTTAATTTTAATCAAGTCCAAATTTTTCATTTTTTCTTTTATTGTTAGTGCTCTTTGTGTCCTGTTAAATCTCTGCCTTTATGGGGTTTTAAAAAGCTTTATTATTTTAGCTTTCACACTTAAACCTACAGTCTATTTAGGATTGATTTTTGTATAGTCATGCATTGTGTAATGACAGGGATAATTTCTGAGAAATGCATCGTTAGGCAATTTTGTCATTGTGCAAACATCATCGAGTGTACTTACACAAACCTAGATGGTACAGCCTACTATACATCTAGGCTATATAGTGTAGTCTGTTGCTCCTAGGCTAGAAACCTATACAGCATGTTACCGTGCTGATACTGTAGGCAATTGTAACACAGTGGGAAATATTTGTGCATTTAAATATAGCTACTCATTAAAAAGGTACAGTAAAAATATAGTATAAAAGAGAAAAAATGGTATGCCTGTATAGGGCACTTACCATAAATGGAGTTCGCAGGACTGGAAGTTGTTCTGGGTAAGTCAGCGAGTAAGTGGTGAGTGAATGTGAAGGCCTTGGGCATTACTGTACACTGCCGTAGACTTTATAAACACTGTACATACACTTAGTATATACACATTTATATGAAAAATATTTTTCTTTCTTCAATAATAAATTAAACTTAGCTTACTGTAACTCTTTGTTTATAAACTTTATTTTTTTAACTTTTTGACTCTTTTGTAATAGCACTTTGCTTAAAACACAAAACACATTATATGGCTATATAAAAATATTTCCTTTTTAATATCCTTGTTCTATAAGCTTCTATTTTAATTTTTTTCACATTTTTTTCACTTTTTAAGCTTTTTTGTTAAAAACTAAGACACAAACCCACACATTAGCCTAGGCTTACACAGGGTCAGGATACTCAGTATCACTGTCTTCCACCTCTACACCTCCACATTTTGTCCCACTGGAAGGTCTTCAGGGACAGCATGGAGTTGTCGTCTCCTCTGATAACAGTCCCTTCTTCTGGAATATCTACTGAAGAACCTGCCTGAGTCTGTTTTACCGTTCTTTTTTTATTTTATAAGTAGAAAGAGTACATGCTGACATAATGATTAAAAGTACAATGTAGTAAATACATGAACCAGTAACATAGTTGTGGATTATCACTGTCATTTATTATGCACCATACACAGTTGTATGTGCTATACTTTTATAGGACTGGTAACACAGTAGATTTGTTTACACCAGCATCACTAAAGCATATGAGTAAGACATTGCAGTGCGATGTTAGGATGGCTACAAGGTCATTAGGTGATAGGAATTTTTCATCTCCATTATAATTTTATGTGACCACTATATATGCAATCAGTTGATTGAGACATTATGTGGCACGTAACTGTATATTATTTGAGGTAGGGGGATCAAGGTTGTTTTTTCCTCATATGGATACCTAATTGACCCAGCACCATCTATTGAAAAAAAACTTTCCCTCTACTAGAAATGTCATTGTTTTCACTTTTTAATTTTTGAGTTCTGGGTTTCACATTTCTTTTTTTTCTTTCCATTTTCAACACATTGTCACAGTAGCTAAAGGTGAAATAAGTACTCTTGGTCCCATTCAGATGCCAAACACCATCACTTTTGCTTCCACATCAAAAGTGGAAGCACTTTTGTTTGCCTGAGACAGTGATGATATGCTAAGTTAGGTTTAAAGGATATGTTTATTTCCTATGTGCAACTTTCTGTATTAAGGCTTTGCAGAGCTCCCAGGGAGCAACACTCACTTTGGGGCCTGTGTGAATGGTGTCCTTTGTTGTCAGTGGCACACGGTCTGTGTGGCAAGATGGCAGCAGCCCTGAGTCCTACTTGTAATAACTGGCAAATTAAAAAAAAAATCATGGATGTGGCGATATGTGCCTGGAATCCCAACCACTTGGGGAGGGTAGGGCGGGAGGATTGCTTGAGCGCAGGAGTTTGAGTCCAGCCTGGGCAACATAAGGAGACCCCCATCTCTTAAATCGAAAAAAAAAATTACTATTTCTATGCCCCCAGCAATCTACCATTTCACAAATAGGGGTACTAAAGTGTGCCCCAAGTTTAAAGAGATGGATAGGAAGTAAACTCTGAGGCAATCCTTGTGACTTTTCAGAATTTACCAGGTCTTATCACCTTACTTTTTAATATTTCATATATCAGTTTCTATTTTTGATTTAGAAGGTAGTTTACATCAGTTATTTTTACTAGTTCCTTATTTTTGATTTAGAAGGTAGTTTACATCAGTTATTTTTACTAGTTCCTTACTAGATCACTCTTCTGTCCTAGGATAAACTTTCTTTCCAGGGTTCCCTGCAGTATTCTAAACTTTAGTGACACATTCAGAAGGGGACCCTTGAGACTTATAGCTACTCTTGTATTTCCTTGGAGGTACAACTTCTGTAGCTACTTTTAAGTTTCTAAGAACCTAGAGGACCTCTTTGCTATAACTTTTAAGCTACATCTTGTAAAAATATTGTTTCCACAAATGAGTAAGTTCTCCTTTAATTTCATGCCCCAGTTTAATCATCAACAATGTGCCTGACCAGTGATTTATGAGGATTTTTATTAGCATCATAATCTGATACTATTGCATTAAATCTTTAATGCCTTGGAGGGGTATAGTTGGGATGAAAGTATAAAATCTGAATAATGCCTGTTAGAAAGGATGTAGAAGTACTTAATAAATTTCTACATTTAGCCCATCTGGTTAAGTTAACCATGGAATAAACAAACAAACAAAATCTCTGTCCACGCCACAGACTGCAGCTTGTCTGTGGGCAGCTCTGTCACTAAGGATTGCCAGTGGTTAGAAGACGACTTACTTTGAGATGAGGTCAGCTCAGCACAAACCCCTAACTCCCCTTGGAAAGCAACCCATAGCTGTGTCCTGAAAGTAGGTCAATACCATCCTAAATAAACAATAAGGAATGTTTAGAGCTTTGAGATCTTCTGAACTAGAGAAATGGAAACAAAAATTTAACAAGAATTTTGTGTGGCTTTGGATACTTTGCTAGAATATATAATACATTCTGTAAATTGAAAATAGTTGTGACAATGGCATAATATCTTAGTAATTAATATTCTTTTGATATTCATTTTTGTGTTTCACATGTTATTTAAAAGCTCACCATAGTGTTTTCAAGTGACCTGCACTATTCTAACACCTGTTATACTTTTTACCGTATGCAATCTGCATATCTATATAAAAGAATAATTTATTTTGATTTGATTCTCTAATCACTTGCATTTGTAAAATATTGAAATTTGAGATATTTATCTTCTACTGATGAAATTTTTCTTTAAATTTTATTGCTGATTCAAATAATACCAAACACCTTATGTGAAAGGCATTGTGCTAAGTATTATGGCGGGATCCATAAATAAAGTGCATAAAATTCTTAGTTTTAAAAAACATTCCGGTAGAAGAGGAACAGATGGGGGAAAGTTAGCATTTATTAAGCATCTATTATACATGTCGGGTATTAAGCTAGGTGCTTTACCTATGTATTTTTATACATGGGTATGAAATTTTAATTCTCAGTACAGTTCTTAAAGGTAACCAGAGATGTCCCCATATTACATACGGCACACTTGAGACTCAAAGAGGTTAAGTAAATTGCCCAAGGTCACACAGCTAGTAATTGGACTTTGAAAAGATAGCATTAAGGAAAGCAGGTAAAATTTGATCATGGGAGATGAAAGGAAGGTTATTTTAGAAGAAAGAAAATTATAAGGGCCAGAAAACTTAACTGTGTCTAGGAAACATCCAAGTAGTCAGGTTATACCTGCAGTTCTTAAACTTTTTGGTCTCAGTACCCCTTTAATTTTTTTTTTTTTGGTTGCCACTGAACAAATTAACCTTTAATATTATTAAGTATTGTAGAATCCAAAGAATTGTTTGTTTCTGTGGGTTATTTGTATTATCATTTACCATATGAGAGATTAGAACAATTTAAATATTTGGCCGGGCTCAGTGGCTTACACCTGTAATCCCAGCACTTTGGGAAGCTGAGGCAGGAGTTCAAGACCAGCCTGGCCAATATATAGTGAAACCCCTTTTCTACTAAAAAATACAAAAACTAGCTGGGCGTGGTGGTACATGCCTGTAGTCCCAGCTACTTGAGAAGCTGAGGCAGGAGAATCACTTGAACCTGGGTGGTGGAGGTTGCAGTGAGCTGAGATAGTACCACTGTACTCCAGCCTGGGCGACAGAGCAAGACTCCATCTCTCAAATAAATAAGTAAATAAATAATAGAAAATAAAACATCTTAAATAGTAAATAATTTAAGAATAACAAATCCACTGCATTAACATAAATAACATTTTTTTGTGAAAAATAACTATATTTTCCAAACAAAAAAGTAGAGTGGCATTGTTTTATGTTTTCAAATCTCGTTATAGTCAAGCTTACAGATGACAGCTGGATTCTCACATATGCTTATGCATTAATCTGTTAAAATACCACATGTCATTAAGCCTCTGGAAAACTCTACTATATACTCATGAGATATTGAGAATGAAAAGATAGATAACATCTGAGTTTTATTATGAAATTAATTTTGATCTCATAGACTTCCTGAAAGTGTTTTAGAAAACCCAAGGGGGTTCTTTGGAGAATCACTGGGCAAGTTTGTGAAGGGGAACCCAAATAAGAGTGTAGGTTTGGGACTAGATAATGAAAAGATGTTCACTGGGGGAATTTGGTCTTTACTAAGCAATGGGGAGCCACTGAAATAAAGTAGAAGAGTGAAATAAAAGGAGCTGTGCTTTTAGAAGATTTTTTTTATTGCAAGTAATGCCTAGAGTATCGGAAGCAGTTACAATTGAACTGTAATTGATATTTGAGGTAACTGTGGGAAGCAACGTAATGGGTTTTGAGGAAGAATATAAATATAGTACATCTGATTAAATACAAAGGACAGACAAAGAGGAAAGTCAAAACAGTGCTAAGATTTTGAGCCTTATGACTGGTTGGCTTATGTCCCATTAACAGGCATGGGGAGTACAGGAAAATAATTAAGCTTGGGAAAGAAAGTAGGGAATTAAGTTTTAGATTGTATATAAAAAGTTTTACCTCTAACATTTTGAAATAATTTTGTCTTACAAAAAAGTTGTTAAAATAATAAGGTTCATATATATCCTTAACCTAACTTCCCCTAATACAACTTATATAACCACTGTGCAGTTAAACAAGGAAAGCAACCTTGGTATCACGCTATTAACTACACACATAATTCAAATCTCACCAGTTTTTTTTCACTAATGCCTTCTTCCTGTTACAAGATCCAATCTGGGATCCCACACTGGATTTAATTGTTGGGTCTTCTTAGTAGCTATCCTCCAATCTGTGACAGTACCTCAGTCTTTCTTTCATTGTCTTATAAAACATTTTTAATGAAAAGAGAAGATGCTTAATATATATGTAGAGGAAAAAAAACCAATGCCATTTTATCTCTTTTTTTATATTTATGTATTTATTTATTACCTCCATTCTCTCAGAGTGGGATATTTTATCTTTTAAAATGCTTAAGAACCTGAATAAAAATCTTTATTTTTCTTTAAAAAGTTACAAAAGTATTATAAAAAATTAAATGGTGTAGAAAACATAAAGAAGTAGCAACCCAGTAGTATCTCCCAGAGATAACTACCATTAACAATTTGTTGTGTATCCTTTTATTTATTTATTTTTGCCTAGAATTTATATGTATATTATGAGATCATAATGGGCATACTGTCCTGTAACTTGTGTTTTTCATTCAATTGTATATTACGTTCACTTAACATTTTTCAATGTCAATATATATAGATCTGTTTCACTGTTTTAAATAGCTACTCAGTATTTCATAATATGGCTGTATTATTTCATGAAGCCATTCTCTTATTGATGGACCTTTAGGTTATTTCAGTTTTCATACTTATACAAGATGCTGCAGTAAATATCCTTATATATGTATCTTTAGCTACCAGGGCAGTAATTTCTATGAGGTGAAATTGCTGGGTCAGAGACCATATCCATTTTCTACTTTTGCAGTTATTACCAAATTTCCCTCCAAAAGACTGTATCAACTTATCCTCCCTCCAACAGTGAGTGACATGCTTATTTCCCAACAAAGCTGTGGATGGAAGTATTGTAATTGACAATGGTTTGGTCCAGGTATGGTCTTGTGGGTGCTTAACTATACATTGCTCGCTCTCTTTTTTCCTACAAATCATTGCTTTGCTTTTGTAACACACATATGTAGATAAAATACTTAATGAAAATATTGAATGCTTTTAAATCCTTTGTCTTTGAGATCTTTTAATGCAGCATGTGATAAAGACAAAAGCATGGCCATGAAGAGTTCTTGGCAGGAAGCCTGGGGGGCTTATGAAATCGTTATTGGGAGGCTATTTATAGGGTGCATCTTAGATTTCTAGGTAGTGGTGGAATAGGAAGAAATATTCAAGAAGTGGGAATCTGGGGTATATAAATTGTTCTCAAGAGGGACTTCTATTAGAGTGAGGAATGTGGAGTTAAGTCCTGGCTCTTCAGAGGTTCCTATGGTCTTGAGCAAGTTGTCTAATTCAGTGTTAATTCTTACTTGGTGAGTAGGGGAGAAGGGCAAGGGAAGAGAGTACTAATCCTAACATATCCGTTTGGAATAACATAAAAATCCTTAAATTATCTTTAATACCCCATATGTAGTAGTGGTGCTAAAAGCAGATAACTAAGAATGTCAGTTATAGCAGAGAAAGCATAGATCAGGTAGTAAGGCAGTTCCAGAAAAACTTAGAGTAATCTAAATCAAAAGAAAGAATTCAACAAATAAAAGTGATCCTTGATTTTGTCTGTCATCTAAAAGTACACTGGCTGCTGCACAGACTAAGCAAAAAAAGTGGGGTTTTTGTTTGTCTAGTTGTAGTTTCTATTTGTTTTATATTTTCACCTCATTAACACATCTCAAAATTTTCCAAAATATCTTCATTTTTCTTTTTTCAAATTTAAAGTCTGTATTTTTGTGGACCAGAGTGGGAATGTGTTGTACCTTTTGTTTTCTGTAGGTCATTCTATCTGCACATACGCATCCTAGTTTCAGTTACGTATTTCTGAAAAAATAACAGGACGTATTTCCAGACACATGGATTGACAAAGGGATAGAACATTAGGAATCTAGACCCTCCTAAAAAGTGTAGGTTATGTAAGTCTCCTCCCCAAAGCATTACTGTAATTATTTGTGACAAATAATGATCCATGTGAATATTAAGGATGTTTGATATACTATCAGCTGCCTCTTTCCTATGTGGATGAGCTGTAATAAAGTGACAGCTTAAGAACTCGGCCTTTTCAGGTGTGTGTTAGATTTTCTCTCTCTTCCTTAGCCCTAACTTCTAACAGAGGAGGTAGAATTAGTGCATCAAAAATAATAATAATAACAAGATAACCTTTGTTTTTATATATAATATAATATTTTAAAGGGTTTTGAAGAACAGCCTGACATGTGAAATTTGAATATGGTTCAAGGCTGTTCCAACTAAAATAAGGTTTTCATTTTTCTTGTTAATAAAGAAAATCAGTATGTATTTGTGCATATGTATGATTTATTCACATACACATTATCTCTGTAAAATATGTACATGCAAGTCATTAACAATTTTTTAAAACTACAGAGACTATCATTTTCTGATTAACTAGTTTGCTAGTTAAAATGAGGGCAAAGAAGTCCCATTTACACTAATGTTTAGAAAATTCAACATGATGAATAATTACAGAGGCAATCTCCTAAAAGCCCAAATTAGAAAACTGTTACAAGGCACAGCCCTTCTAAAATGGGGCTGTGATTTGGGAACTGTTCCTCCCTCAGTCATTTAAACTATTTTAATAATTGTATTCTGCTGCTAGAGAATTGGAAGGCTGTCAGTTCCCTTTATTTGAATGCTTACTATGTGCCAGAGACTGTGCTGTACACTTGACATGTATCATTTCACTTGGTTGTCATAGAAACTGTGGATGGAGGTAGTGCCACTTGAAAACTGAGCTTTGGAGAGAGAAAAAAAGATTTTTCCCAAGATCATGTGGGAAGTGAGTGGTGGCACCCAGACTTGAACTTCAAAGCCTTGCTGCTTTTACCCAGCATAGTTAAGTCAAAGTCTGAAATCTGTTTCCTTATTGCTTTTTCTTTTTCTTTTTTTTTTTAAATGCGGTCTTGCTCTGTCACCCAGGCTGGAGTGCAGAGGCCCAATCATAGTTTACTGCAGCCTCGAACTCCTGGGTTCAGGCGACCCTCCTGCCTCAGCCTCCCAAGTAATTGGAATTACAGGCATGAATCAGCCTGCTTGGTCCGTTATTGCTTAACTGTAACATGGACCAAAGAAGCAGCTAACCCTGTTAGTTAATTCTTACTAGGAAGAGAAACCGCACCAGCTATTTAAAAAAAAAAAAAAAAAAAGCAAAACAAAAATGAAAATACCAAGGTATACTGGAAAATAACATTGAGCTTAGAAGGAGACCTGAGTTTGTACCTGGCTCAGTCACCCAGCTCATTTATCACTTTCTTAGGAAGGCCTTTCCCTGTCACACCCTCCTTCTTGTTTGTCTCTATTAGAGCACTGAACTCATTGCCATAATTACCTTATTGCAGTGATTCTAAGGTGGACATCTTTCACATTTTAACTTTTCTAAAGTGTGGATGCATTTTACAATTGATGGTGTTTTAAAATAAATTGGCAGCATTTTTTCTTAATTATTGGTACTTAAAATAAGGATGTGCTGTACAGTTGATGACATCTTAGATTTGATTAAGTGCATATTTATTTTTGTGTGTTCCCACAAAAATGTTTACATCATTCTCATGGTTTTAAATATCAGATATATGCAATGATTTTCCAATTTCTATCCTTTTTTAAGGTCCACCCCTGTATGTTGAACCACATTGTTTCTTCATATCACAAGGATTACAGATTCAACATATCTACTCTCCAAATCAGTTTGTCTTCTATTGTTCTCTATCTCAGTGAATGGCATCCACATTCGTACATTTGTGGAACTAAAACATGAGATGATCGCCCACCTGGGTTTGAATCCCAGTTCCGCCCTATAGTAGTTACTCAAGCATGCAGTGAAGTATGTCACCTTAACTATTCACTTGTAAAATGGGGAACATAATAACACCTATCTCTGAGGATTGTTAGAATGACTAAGACATTGAATAAATGTTAGCTGTCCCTAATCTTCATCATACATATCTATGACTTCTCTCCTTCCTCTGCACATGTAATTCATCAACTCCTGTGATAGATAGGCCCTTCAGAGTATCTCACATCTACCACTTCTATCTTGTTGCCACTTCTCCAATCTAAGCCCCCATTTTTCTTGCCTATGCAGCAACTAATATTGTAGCTTCTCCTCTTTCCCATGTCTAATCCAGTCACAACCATCCATTAAATCAGAACATGCCACTTCTTAAGACCTCCCTCACCCCCTACCTAATGCATTTGGTATAAAACACCACATCATTAATGTGGTCTGTATGGTTGTCTGTTTCCTGCCTGGCTTCTGCCCACATTTCCAGCCTCATCCTCTGCCACTCTGCCTCCCAGTATCACTCTTTTCCTCCAAAAGTAACTCCTACTCATCCTTTAGATTTCAGCTTAAATGTCACTTCCTCAGAGATGATTATTGATCTTCCAAACTAAATTAAGTTCTTCAGTTATAGTCCTTTATATTGAATGTATGCCTTTCTTCTTTGGGATGATCAGTTTCTCCCAAACTGTGGCTAAAGAAGTGAAGTAACTTCCACAAGGCCAAAGAGTGAGATCTATTAGAACTGGAATTCTCTCTGTTAGAGGAAAAAAAAAAATCCAAAAAAGAGAAAAGAAGAAAAATGGAAAGAACTGGAATTACAACCCAGGGGCGGGGTGAACTCTAAAGCTGTGTCCTTTCTGTGATCTTTGCTGCCTTGAGGGCAGGAAACAGGGTATGAATCAATGTTCTAAGTTTCAAAACATGGCCTGACTGCTGCTCGTTTATTTCCCATTTCAAGTTGTCCTTAAATGAGCTGGGTGCAGTGGCTCATGCCTGTAATTCAATACTTTGGGAGGCCGAGGCAGGTGGATCACTTGAGCACAGGAGTTGGAGAACAACCTGTTCAACATGGCGAGACCCCATCTCTACAAATAAAATTAGCCGGGTGTGCTGGCACATGCCTGTAGTGCCAGCTACTCGGGGTAGGAGTGGGGGCCTGAGGTGGGAGGATCGCTTAGGCCCAGGAGGTTGAGGCTGCAGTGAGCTTTCGTGCCACTGCACTCCATCCTGGGCGACAAAGTGAGATCCTGTCTCAAAAAAAAAAAAAAAGTTATCCTGAAGTATTATTCTTTCTGAGCCTTCATGCTCCCTCAATAGATTGTAACCTGTTAAAATAGTACCTGTTTTCTGATATATTATCAACCTAGCATTTACATAAATTATCTTACATACAGTAGGTACTCATTAAATAGTTTTTCTCTTAGGGATGTTAAAGAAAAACAGTATTTTTTTTCCATTTAATCTTTTCAAGGTCTGAAGCTGTCTCATGGAGGAATTGAGTACCTTATTCTTTCTACCAGTCAATGACAGAGTACAATTTATGTTTTTATATTTTGAATAGAACTGCTTTAAATGTTTTTAAAGCTAATAGTTTGCATCTTAATGGATCATTACCCTTGTTTCATTGGGAAAAGAAGGAATTAACCTTACATATTTTTGATTTCCTTCAGGAATTGAGTGATCTACAGCGCGATCCACCTGCTCACTGTTCAGCTGGACCTGTGGGAGATGACTGTAAGCCTTGCTCTATTTCTGGGATTATGCTACCTTTAAAAATATAGGTTTGAACATTTGTTAATGACTCCAAAACTCCTTTGTTTGTTTCAGTGTTCCACTGGCAAGCCACTATTATGGGGCCTGTAAGTATGATTCATATCTATGAAATTAACCCCCTCAGCCATACTTCATTCTTGCCATTTCACCTTTGATCAGATGTTTGTGATGAAGGTTGAATATTCTTGTACTTTGAATCACCTAGGAAGCAAAATATTATTAAGGATTTACAATGATTTTCCAAAGCATTGGTGGCAAATATTTCCTGGGATCACTATTATGTTTTCCTTTGCTGAATCCTAGATCATTACACATAATGGAGTGCCACAGCTCGCAACCAGGCTGTGTGTTTATCTTTTTTTTTTTTTTTTTTAAGTCACAGAGAGTTAGTTGTAATTAACCATAATCATTCTCACATCCACAGTTTTGGTAGGTTAGAAATTAGTCTAATGAAGCCAATAATTGAATTCCTACAAGTAACAAGTGTCAGTTTGCCATAAGTTTCATCACTGTTCTTTTTTGTGAAAGAGAATCAATAAAATATTACAATGGGTCTGTCTTTACCTCCTTATAAATTTGCTGCTTTTAATTTTGTTGCATTGTCCTAAACACAAAATTATCTGCTGTTTGATAATTGGCTACTCTCAATACTTATTACTTTTGTTAAAATTATTTCTTTCAATACTTTAGAGGCAGTTACAAGACTTGAAACAGGCTTTTTCTTTCTATGAGCAAAAAATCTGATTGCATAAGAATGAGCACTGACAGCTCAAATCTACTTTCTGGGTGAGAGTACATAAGTAACATGTTTCCATGAACACCATTCTCTTCTCCCTGCCCTGAAAGAGCTTTATCTAGTGAGTTACAGAGTTTTTAATCATACGACCTTGTGTTTAACTTTAAAAAACACCAAAACTACTGAATTTCAAAGCAGTACTCTGGGCAGTTGTCTCAAATTATTGTTTTATTAAGTTTGTTTTTCTAAAAAGGCAAAATACAATGTATTTATATAACAACTTTCAATAAGAATCCATTTATTTCTGTTTGTTTTTAATTAGTTACTAAGAACCTTCAAAATACTCTCATTTAAAGGCCCACCCTTACCTTTTGAATTATGGCCTTTCACAAATATTTTTTAGGTGAATCACATGTAACAAATGGTTATAATCATGTTATTCATAACTCCCTTACTTTAGTAATGTAAATATTTACAGTACTCTGGACCATATCTGTCATTGTAATTTATCTTCATTTTCTATATTTCTTACAATTTTTGATAAACTAGAATTGTTTAAACAATATATATAGTAAGAATTATTATACAGGAAAATCCTCTAGCATATATGTGGAAACTTAACGAGAAAGTAATGAGTCTTGGTGTTATTACCAGAATGCTAATATAACATGATATATTTAATTAAATATGAAAGAATTAAAATAGAATTGTAGGTATAGTTTGCTAGCATTTTCTTTTTTTAAAATTTTTTTGCTTGTAATGTTATATTTTCTAATGGCTATAAAGAAACATGGTCAAATTTAAATTTCTCTAGTAAAGTTGATTCCCAATTTGATAGTAGCATGAATATATAATTTTGTTTTGGATTTTTTTGGGTTCTCTACATTATTTTATAAATAATTACTAAACGAAGATTTGGCACATAAATTGTGTAGCAGGGTCCTTAGCATTTTCTTTTCACGACAGCCTCTTCAGTTCATCTCCATTCTTGGTCATCAAGTGAACATCAGAACTTAAGTTTTACTATCCTCAACCCTTTTTCAAAAAAAATACTGATTACGGCTGCAGAAAATGATCTTTTCCCACAGCAGTCGTGTGTATACTGATCTTTAACAATTTGTACTCATAACCAGATTTGTTTGGACAAGTCACAGCACTGTGTGTGTCCTGTTTTTGTTTTGTTTTAAATTTTATGATGTCGGCATAGTTGTTGGAAAATCCTCCTTCGTACCTGCAGAGAAACCTGTTCTCAAAGTAAATGATTTGAACTTATGACAAAATGGTTGCATTTTTTTCATATTGGTAATATTTAATGAAATTATTTTAAACATGATGGCATTTTTTTCAAACTGATAATATTTGGGGGAAATAATTTTGTTGTTATAAATAAATATAGTAATCAAATGCTGATGCAAATCTTTTGTAATTTCAGCCTGATAGCGCATATCAAGGTGGAGTCTTCTTTCTCACTGTACATTTTCCGACAGATTATCCTTTTAAACCACCAAAGGTATTTTTATTTTTATGATTGATGTGACTCCCATGTAAGAGATTTTATTCTTTATCTAGAGCTCATTTGATTATCTAGAGCTCATTTGATATGTCAAAGACTGTGGGGAGGTTAGCATTTTCAAACTGTTTTGTAAAAACTACTGAATCTAAAATCTGATTTCTTATTGAAATACTGTATTAAGTCTATAAAACAAAAGTCAGTACGTGTCATGCTATAAATTAAATTCCTTGCTTTTCTTTTCCTTCTTATTGGATATGTGTAGTTTGGGACGTTTTTATGATTAAGAGTCAGACTTTTCTATTCATGGGATTATCCTTACAAAGTTGATCATTCTTTCTCTGTTTTTTTTTTTTAAGTATTCAATAAACATTCACCGAGTACCTACTGTGTTCTTCTACACTGGGGAATCCGAAAGTAAATATGAAGCAGTCCCTTAATTTAGTATGGTAGGAGAGAGAAACACATGTTAGATTTAGATTTGCTCTAAAGAGGAAACAAATGATGGGGATATCAGGGAGGGGAAAAGTGGGCAGATTTTGTCACTCAGGATATAATTATTTTAAATAGTTAAAAACAGATTAACATTGTATTTATGAAATGGTATGACAACTCTTGTGGAAAATTAGGATTCTTAATGGATTTCTTAGCTGAGACGCCTCAACTTTGCCCTGAAACAGCGTCAGCACCCTGGTTTTAGATCCAAATGTTACTTCCAGGTATCACCAATAATCAAATTAAGAAAAGGATTACTTCTACATATGATGGAAGCCATGGTTAATTACTTTAGATGCTGCTCAACCAGTCATACCGGCTACTAGAGACTTATTTATTACACTGTCCAAAATACTCTTCAGTTCCTTTGAGGGCAAAAGAAGGAAGCTGACTTGTTTGTGTTCACATTCTCACTAGCTAGAACTGTGTGTAGCACAAAGTAGATAATTATTTGATTTGTGTTGATGACTTTTCTCCTCTAAAGTTATGTAAAGTTGAGGATATTTTACCCTAGAGCAAATTGGTTCTGTTTTATTCATAGTTGATTCAAAGGTGATTGTCATATTTTGTTGTTTTGTTTTATGTTTAGATTGCTTTCACAACAAAAATTTACCATCCAAACATAAACAGTAATGGAAGTATTTGTCTCGATATTCTGAGGTCACAATGGTCACCAGCTCTGACTGTATCAAAAGGTAATTTCATTGATCAGGTTTGAAACAGTTGATAACAGTGAGACAGGAAAAATACAGCAGAATTACCTATGGACTAAAGTTTTAAAACAACAATCAACTGTGCTTTCTCCTGTTTTGATTTTGTTTTGCTCTCTTTGCTCTTATGTTACTATGGCTTTTGGCAGTTAGCTTTGGTTGAGGGGAGTGTGGATGGACAAATCTAAATGATGAAATGAGAAAAAACCTTAAAATATCAGAGCTAGAAATTTGGGGATAAACCTATTGATATTTTATCCTTTTAGCTTGGGTGTTGTCTTTTAAAAAAGAGAGAGTGCCCGGGCACTGTGGCTCATGCCTGTTATTCTAACACTTTGGAAGGCTGAAGTGGAGGATTGCTTGAGCCCGAGTTCGAGACCGGCCTGGGCAACATAGGAGACCCCATCTCTGCAAAAGAAGAGAGAGAATAAGAGATAGTAAAAGGAAGATTTTGGGACTGGTTGTCCCATTCATTAAATGGAAATGTTGACAATAATAAAGCTTTACAGCTGTTTTACTTCATCCAAGAATAAAATACCAGATTTGATTGATAAATGATTTAAGATGAAAGACATTTCACACTGTAGGATAATGCAGTACATATAGCATGTTAGTCTAAACTTCGAATAATCAGTAGCATCATTATAGTGACTGACACAAGATCTGTGCTGATTCTCAACTTTTACAGGGGTATAGCTGTTCTTTGCTGGATTATCAGGTGTATACATAGGCATCTCAAGCCATTTTATTTCATTAGCCACTGCTACTTACTGTGCTAGCACTCTTAATTTATGTCTTGTTTCTCTGAAAGAAGAGAACCTGACAGTTGGAAAATACTGTTTAGGTTAGAAGTAGCTGCACTGAAGCAACCATCAAGTTTTCCGTTTTTATAAAATTGAAGAAAATGTTTCTCTTGAAGGGATTTATGGAAGCAATCTGTACTCATTTTTTATTTTTAATAATTGCTACTTGAATATACAGCATGTTTTTAAAAGTAATAAGGTTTATAGGAAGCAGGGTCCACAGCCGTAGCTCTTTCAAATATTAGATAAATAATAGCTCTTTCAGTTCAATTATTTATGAACGATAGTTTTTCTGACCTAAGATGCTCATCTACAGTATTCATATAGATTCTCATATTCTTTTAAGAATCTTTCACACAGTGTAACTGTCATGCATTAGATATATGAAAGATTCTGTGTTGAAGGGTTAATTCAAGTTCATACGCTGTTTCCTGGAATGGTGTCACAAAATGGATCTCACTTGGCATATAAACTGCCAAGTCCTTATACATATAAAAGAAATGGCAAACTGCCAGATATTGAGTACTTATATTCTGACATTGGTAGCCTTTTATAAAGAATCAGTAGTGTTAGATTCTGGAAACCATCCTGTGAGAAATGAAACAGCCTCAGTTTCCTTATAAGTAAAATGGGGATTCTTATAGTGTTACCATACAGGGTTGCTATGTACCTAGCACATAGTGGGCACTTACATGAATGTTAACTGTTACCCTTTTCCTTACCTTAAAGGATAGACATGGTTTGTGTGCATGATAGTGAAACTGGGGCAAATGGCTCCTGGCAGTAGGGGTGAGCAGAGGAGGAACTTCCTTCTTGCTTACTTTTTTATAAGATAGATCATACCTTGCTCATTTGTTTGTATATTTTTTACTTTGCTATATTTTTTTAAATTTTTAATTTGTTTATCTTAAAAGATTGTTTTTTAATTAAATATAGACAGAGTCTTGCTGTGTTGCCCAGGCTGGTCTCAAACTCCTGGCCTCAAGTGATCCTCCTGCCTTGGTCTCCCAAAGTGCTGGGATTATAGGTGTGAGCAACCTTGCCCAGCTTATTATTTTTATTTTTTTATTTTTTGAGATGCAGTTGCTGTGTTGCCCAGGCTGGTCTCGAACTCCTAAGCTCAAGGATTCTTCCACCTCAGCCTCCCAAGTAGCTGGCATTATAGGCACATACCACCATTGCCTGGAGCTTTTCCATATTTTAAATGTCTTCTTTTGCTTTTTATCATGAGGTTAGTCTGGAAGCATTCTGGGGCTGTAAGTTAGCCCTGAAAATCTGCCCTGTTGGTTTAATATACAAGGCTTTTAAGTTTCATTGGGCAGATAGAAGATAAGAAAGATGAATAAAATACTAATTTTTTCTTTAGTTCATAACACCCCCCCACCCTTTGCCTGTCATTGTAAGAGTCAACTCTGCTCTATAAATCCACCTTTGGACTTGAAAGAGTACGAAAATAGAAAGGAAACGCAGTGGGGTGGGTGCAAGTGGAAATGGGAGGTTGGTCCAGAGGTTCCATGAACCTCCTCAGAAGTGGTGGCATGCAATTGAAGCAGACAAATGAGGAACCAGAGTCCTTGTTCCCTCTTATTTCAGATACTTAGATCGTTAGTGTGTGTGTGTGTGTGTGTTAGTGTAGCTATTTGCATTAGAATTTTGACATACTGGAGTAACAACTACTTTTTCAATTTTCATTTCTTTTTTAAAATATGCAAGCTATATAAAGATAGCTGTTCACATTATTTTTAAATGCATGCAATACAAATAAACTACATTAAGTAAAGATTCATTGAAAAAAATTTTACAAATTTTTCTTCTTTGTAGACAGACTATAGCTCTAAGCCAAAGCAAAAGAGTGTATGAGCACAGTATCCAAAATGGTTTGGACTGTTAACTGTAATTTGATTGTTCTGTAGAGAACTCTCAAGTTTAAAGGTTGTTAATAGCTACTTTGGAGGGTCACATTTTTTTAAATAAATGGGAACTCGGAATTTAAAACTTCAAAAGCTAAAATAATTTTATATTTTATGCATCCTATGGTAATTTTATAACTTTAAAAATTAAAGATCAATTTGCTATCAACCAAAGTAGAATAAAATATAATTTGATGTGTTCATTTTATGTTTTTTTTATAAGTACAGTATCTATATTCACTAAAATTATTTTCACATATGTAATTTGTATGAAGTAGAAGGGTTATTGTCTAATGTGATGTTCTCTTTTAAATCTAGTTTTATTGTCCATATGTTCTCTACTTTGTGATCCTAATCCAGATGACCCCTTAGTACCAGATATTGCACAAATCTATAAATCAGACAAAGAAAAGTAAGTGTTTACTTATTTTAGTTTCTGTATGGATACATTCCTATATAGTATGCCAAAACACGAATATTATCAATATGTTTTAAGTCAATTTGATTATGGTTGTTATATGTATATTGTTTATCTTTTTCCAATGGAGTAAACCTTTCTTTGAGAACTCTGTTAGACCTTTTATGATAAATCTTGTTCCTTCCCACTTACTGTTCAATAGTATATACTCTGTATTTGAAAAATAGATGTATATATTCTAGGTGATAAATTAAAAATGAAAGAATTTAATCATTGGAAAGTATTAAATATATATTGCTTATCTTCTCCAAGGAAGAGGAGTTCTCTCGTACCCATCCAAACTGACCTAATTCTCAAGCTGCTTCATCTTGCTAGTACTGTAGGTTCATTTGCAATTTGTAGATAATGCTCCTTCAGGATTGGCTTTTGTAAATTTCTGTTAGAAGCTGGTTTCTGCATTTTGATTTTTGTGTATTTGGATACATTTTCATATAGGTTGCAGAGAAATCCATGAGTTAAAAAATTATTTTTCCTGTTTTATTTCTGCATGAACCTAAGTCACATTGACCCAGTAATTGATATATGTGTGATTATTGCAATTAAGTATAAGAAGGTAGAATATATAGTTTTATTAGACAGATGCTTCTGAAATATTAATTTTGTATGTTTTTACTATATCCTTTTTGTGTATCTACAGATACAACAGACATGCAAGAGAATGGACTCAGAAATATGCAATGTAAAAATCAAAAACATTTTCATATATACCAGAGTACTGTAAAATCTAGGTTTTTTTCAACATTAGCAGTAAATTGAGCACTGTTTACTGTTTCATTGTACCATGAAACCATTTGATTTTTACCCATTTTAAATGTGTTTCTGAAGCAAGACAAAACAAACTTCCAAAAATACCCTTAAGACTGTGATGAGAGCATTTATCATTTTGTATGCATTGAGAAAGACATTTATTATGGTTTTTAAGATACTTGGACATCTGCATCTTCAGCTTACAAGATCTACAATGCAGCTGAAAAGCAACCAAATTATTTTTTGCTGAAACTAGATGTTTTTACATGAGAAATACTGTATGTGTTGTCTAAGATGTCAGTTTTATAAATCTGTATTCAGATTTCATTCTTTGTTAGCTCACTTTATAATTTGTATTTTTTTACTGTATAGACTAAATATATTCTATTTACATGTATGTCAACTCATTACTTTTTTCCTGTGAACAGTATTGAAAAACCCCAACGGCTGATAATTAAGTGAATTAACTGTGTCTCCCTTGTCTTAGGATATTCTGTAGATTGATTGCAGATTTCTTAAATCTGAAATGATCTTTACACTGTAATTCTCAGCATACTGATTATGGAGAAACACTTGTTTTGATTTTGTTATACTTGACTTAACTTTATTGCAATGTGAATTAATTGCACTGCTAAGTAGGAAGATGTGTAACTTTTATTTGTTGCTATTCACATTTGAATTTTTTCCTGTATAGGCAATATTATATTGACACCTTTTACAGATCTTACTGTAGCTTTTTCCATATAAATAAAATGCTTTTTCTACTATTTGTCTTGATTACTTAAAAAAATAAAAATATAAGTAAGGATCAAAACTCTAAAATTTTGCATGAAAATTACATCCAAATTGTGAAAATCAGATCTATTTTGTTTGCCATTAGTCACCATTAGTTATATAAATTTTATTGTTTTAGGTTAGTATCTCTTTACTAAATTGTCAGTCTATAAGATAATATATGTTGATCCCTTGCTGTAGAGGAGAATTTAGAGTAATTTGGGGTTTGTCTTGGATTATATCTAAATGGATTATTTGTTAAAAGTACTGAAATGAGTATAAGGCAGTATCACCCATCCAAAAGAAAGGTCTTTATAGACCTGCACAGTCACTAGATTAATTCATTAAAATGCCCCCACCCTGATGTAATTGACATTACATTTCTTAACATTTTAAAATCTAGAATTTCTAAAATGGAATTTAATGCCATCACAATTTGAAAAACTTTTTTTTTTTTTTTACTATAGAAGTTACAAAGGAAGTTCTAAAATTATGCCTCCCTCTGTTTTTATAAGTTGCCATCGAAAAGTGATTTAAATAAGCAGGTTATCTTTATAGATTTTAAAGAAAACTAGAAAGTTTTAATGTTTTAACTTGGGGAAAAATACATCTCTTTAATGTTTAGCATGCTTGTCAACCTTGAGTGAGTGTCATTTTTAAGAACAGTTGTAGCCCTTCTGATTATTGCAGTAGCTGTAGAAGTATGTAAGAATATGTGATGGGTGTAGTCATTAGCAAAGCATTTAAATCACTTGAGTATTTTGTCATGGTTCATTATTATTAAAGCACAAAATAACCTATTGTTAGAAAATATGTGTTTTTATAAATGAATGTAAAATAATTAAATGAATTGTGAAATGGATGTTTAAGAAAATATAGGCTTAAAAAGTAAATCTATAAAATGATGTCTTAAAACAGCCATATCATGAAAAATTCTACTTAGCTATATTATTATAAGCTACATTTGCCCTGAATTTGAACACTCAACATCACTAGATTTAAATATTTAGTATATTTTGATAGTAAAGGGTTTTGTTTCTTGAATATCTTCACTTTAAACAAAAAAAAAAAACAACTTTCATTTGTGTGGCATTTATTTTTGGAAGTGTCTTCTTTTTTTTCTTTATTAAAGTTTTTGAAACTTGCCTAACTTGTTTGCCTTTGCTTACATCTGGATTGTACTGGACTTGAGGAGTAAGCAGAAGTTCTCATAATTAGCTAAAAACCTTGAGTTCCATAGTGGCGTCATGATCGGTCAGAACACCATTTTGGGTATATTATTTTTGCTTAACTCTAACAAGGAGAACATCAGTTACCTTTTAAAACTGTAGAATAAAAGTCAGGGCCTTTTGTGGATTAAGCATTAATTTAAGGACTTCCTTGGAGTGAGAGAAATAGGTAGTCTTTTGGGGATTTAGGATCCCACTTCTTGAAGTTGCATAGTTGAAAACCATGTTCAAATTGGATTCTGAACGCTTATAACTGCCATATACAGCAGTTACCCACATCAGTGACATGGGTTGTAAGGGGCAGCCTCACCACCATCCTCCAACTATCTCAAAAGCGTACAATTCCTGAAGTACAAGCTTTACATATATGCCTCCGTCAACCTTATTTATTAATTTTTGCATTATTTCCCTGTTTCACCCCTTTTAAACGCTGATAGGGAAAATTAAAAATTATAAATGAACTGCATATCAAGGACAACTCTAAGAGTTAACGTTCAAAAGTTACTTTTCATAAGAAAAAAATAATACATTGCAGTTTTAAATTTTTCTTATTTATCACAGTGATCTATCTAATGATTCAGTCATTGATGTTTGTCAAGATCCTGCTCTCCCACAGTTCTGTATTTTTTAAATGGAGAGATTAAGGAAATTAATTTTCCTCCCAAATTAAAAGAAATTATTGGTCATGAAACTATATCATGTCTGTTTATTGGTAGTCATTTTGAACTGTACAAAAGCCCAGCCCAGTTGATAATGCTTTAAAATTTGAGCTCTGCAGTAGAATCATCAGTCCTGTTACTCTATCTTCTTAGGACCAGCCATGAAAAATGTGATCAGTGCTTTAGCCATGGCCATAAAAACAGAGCTTCATTGTATTCAGATTGTTGAAAGTACTGTTTATCTTTGTTTGTTTCAGTCTTTTAAGTGATTATTACTACAATAAAAAATCTGATTTTTAAAAAATTAGTTTTATCACTTTTCAGCTGTAAAGTAGGATTTTCACAATTTTTTTTTCTTTAAAGCAGAGGCTTAATCACAATTTAATAGCTGTAAAATGTAATGCAGATTATTTATGAAAGGTCTTATAATGCTTCTCTTTTATTCTGATGGTTGTGTTGCACAAATAGGGCAGCAGGTAGAGTCTCATCTAATTTCACTTACAAAAGTTCTTATAGGTAGATAACTAGTCATTTCTACTCTCTCTGTTTTTGAACTGAGTAATGTGTCTGTAAGCTCTTCTTAAACTGTGTAATTAATATGTTTTCCCTAGTTTTTTTCAGTAGTGGTGATAACTGAAAATTTGTAGACGGCTGATAGTGTCCTGGTGACAGCCTAATAGATGTTATATCCTTATTTGTATTTTGTTACATTTACAATTCTGCTCCCATTATCCTGTTATATAAGAATGTGGCTTTAAATTGTAAATGAACTGAACTAATAGGAAGAGAGAAAATTCACCTGAGAGTATTAGTATTGGGGGGCATTTTATGTAATAAGAAACATTTCTCTAAAAACTTGGTTAGCACTCTCTTAGGTCCTACTGTTGTCGAGGGAGAGATGTGCCTTTCTTCTCTCAGAGGAGGTTGCTTTTATTATACTGGCATATGCTGAAGGTCTGAACTCTGCTTTCCTCATATAATTTACTTGGCAGGAAAAACTGTTAAGATCTCTTGAGTGCAAAAGATCACCATGAATTGCATATGAAATATTTCAGTATAAACTCTTAATATACATATTGTGGGAACAGTTGTGATACCACTTGTGTTAGCACTTTTGGTACACTTGTTTTGGCAGTCCCACACATTCAACGTGTGGATAGAAGAATGCACAGGACCCAACATACCATCATACTCAACAGTTAAGATTTATTACAGCCACCTGGCAAGGATACACAGTGGGGGCAGTAAGGGGGAAAGACAGACCAGGCAGTCTGGAGGAATCCACGTGCAGGCTCCCTGTGCTCTCCCTGAAGGGGCCACAAGAGTGAAGCCTTCCTCTAGTAGTAGCATGGGCATAGTGTTTCTGCCCTAGGATGCTAGTGTGAAACGCAAAGTCCAGGGTTTTTATTGGGGGCTAATCACATAAGCATCCTTTGTTTTCCAAAATTCTAGTCTTCTAGAAGGAAAGCAGGTGTTCACCATAAATCACATTGTTTATTTAAGAAGTCTAGTCAGGCTAGCACAGCAAGCACATCTTATCACTCAGGGATGGTTTCAGAAGCCAGGTTTCTAGATGTCAGCCAAGGGCAAACCTTGTAAACAGGCCATTCTAAAGATCAGGCCTGTATAATTTGTTAAAAAAACTATTCTTTCCCTTTGAATGGCCTTAGTACCCTTGTTGGAAACCAACTGACCATAGAGGTTTATTTCTGGTCTCTCAGTTCCATTCCATCAATCAATATGCCTTATCCCAGTATGACACTGTTTTGCTTACTGTAACTTTGTAGTAGCTTTTGAAATGGGGAAGTGTGTGCCCTCCAACTCTGTTCTTTCACAGTACTGTTTTGACTATTCAGGCCCCTTGTAATTCCGTATGTATTTTAGGGTAAGATTTGCCATTTGTCCTGAGATTTAATTGGGATTTATTGAATCTGTAGAGCAATTTTGGTAAAGTTGACATTTTTTGTTCTGGTTATCTACTGCTGAACAACAAACCACCCCAAGCTAAGTAGTGTCAAAGAACAACCATTTCTTTATGCGCATGGATTCTGTTGGGTCAAGAATTGGGCTGAGGCACGGGAGGGATAGCTTGTCTACTCCCCTGTACTTAGGTTCTTGGCTCAGGATGACTCAGATGGCTTGAGGCTGGAAGCATTTGGAGGTTTCTCCACTCATACGTTGGCACCAGGACAGGTATTATATTCTAGGTCACTTATTAATGGCCTTTCTATGTGGTTTGATCTTTGCACAAGATGGCTGCCCACTTCCAAGAGGGAGCAGTTGGAGATAAGTGTTCCAAGAGAATGAGGAGTAAGCTGCCTTTTTAAGTGATCTAGCTTTTGAAGTCAGAGATTGTGTAGTTCATTGGATGAAACAGTCACAAGCTCACTCAAATTCAAGGAAAGTGGACATAGACCCTTACTTTTCCTTGGGAAACAATTTGGGGTCACTAATATGTCTTACTGACTAGTCTTTCCAATGTACATGAATCACTCAATGTACTTAGGTGGTCTTTAATTTCTAATTGTCATTGTTTTATAGGGTAATTGTTTTAATTGTTTTGTAATTCTCTGTGTAGAGGTCTTGCACGTTTTTCACTGGATTCATTCCTATGTATCAAGTTTTTAAAACCTATTATAAAATTATTTTTCATTTCATTTCATATTTATATATTATTTATAGAAAAGCAATTTATATTCATCTTATATCCTGCAACCTTGCTAAATTTACTTTTTAAAAGTTTGTACAATTCTAAAGTTTTAGTTTTCTATACTTACTTATAATCATGTCAGCTGCAGATAGAGATGATTTTATTCAAATCTTTATGCCACATTTCTTTTTTTTGCCCTTTGTTGCATTAGCCTGAGCTCCAATATCATGCTGAATAGAAATAGTAATAGCAAACATCCTTTCTTGATTTCCAAGGGAAAGCTCTTACATGTCAGTATTAACAATGGTGTTCCTTTCATATCAAGGAAGTTTTCTATTCCTAGTTCTTAAAGCATTTTTATTACTATTGAGTTACAAGTTGAATTTAATGCTTTTTCTTCATTTATCAAGATTATTGTGATTTTTATCCTTTTCTTTGATTAATGTAGTGTGATGAACTACACTAACTGATGTTCACCTGTTAAATTATCCTTACATTTCTGGATAGAAACCCACTTTGAGATGTATTTATCTTCCTTACAAACCACTAGATTCTATCTGCAAATTTTTTTGAGGATTTTTGCAACTGTGTTCATGGGACGAGTTGGTCCATAATTTCCTTTATTGAATATTGTTGTCAATTTCATACCTCAGGTTATGCTGGGCTCATAAAAACAGTGAAGAAACATTTCCTTTGTTCTCTGGAAGAGTTTGTAGAAGATTTGTGCTATTTTTTCCTTAAATACTTTGAAGAATATTCTGAAGGCATCATGTCTAGAGTTTTTTTGTTGTGGTGGTGGTTATGGGAAGATTTTAATAATAAATTATATCTTATATATGGACTAGATATATTTTTATTACTCAGTTTTGTGTTTTTCAAGGAATTTCTGCATTTTATCTAAATCGTTGATCTATTTGGCATAGAGTTGTTCATGATATCCTCGTCTTTTTGAAGGTAATATGTATCTGCAGTCATACATATCTCCTCACAATTTTTTTCCTTGGTGAGTCTTGCTAGAAGACTATCAACTTTATTAATCTTTCAGAGAATCAGTATTTTATTTTTTAAAATTTCTTTTGTACATTTGTTTTCTGTTTCATTGATTTATATTATTTATGTTTTCTTTAGTTTTTGATTTTGATTCATTTTTTGTAGCTTCTTGAGGTTGAAACATAATTTTTAAAAACCTTCCTTCTTTTCTAATATATGTATTTAAAACTATATGTTTACCCCTAAGTACCACTTTAGCTACATCCTACAAGTTTCGAAATATCGTATCTACATTGTCATTCAGTTAAAAATATTTTCTAATTCTTGTTTGGATTTTTTTATTCACTTATGAGTTATATATAAGGATACATTGTTTTATTTCCAGGCAATTGGGCTTTTTTTTTTTAAGTTAAATTTTTGCTATTGATTTCTAGCTTAATTTCTCCATGGCCAGAAAACATAATATGAATAGTTTCAATTCTTTGAAATTTGCTGAAGCTTGCTTCATGGCCCAGCATATGGAAATTATGATAAATGTATCATATACATTTGAAAATAATATGGATTGTTATTATTAGATTCAGTGTTTATATGTGCTAATTAGATCAAGTTTGTTAATTGTGTTTATAATTTTTATTTGCTTGTTCTCACAGCCATTAAGGGAGATACGTTAAAAAGTTTCCCATTATGATTGTGAAATTGTCTGTTTTATTTTTGCCTTATATATTTTGAAATCATATTCTTGGATACTCTCTCTTACACACACACATAAAATTGTGATATCACATTAAGAAATGTCTCTATCTGTATTAATGCTTTTGCCTTAAACTCCACTTTATCTAATATTAGTATGGTTTCTTTTGGCTAGTATTTGCAGTGTATATCTTTTTCTATTCTTTAATTTTTGATCTTTCTGTGTCCCTTTTTAAATGTGTGTCTCCAGTACTCATTTCAAAGTTGGGTTCTATTTAATTTGGTTTTTATCTAATCTGACCATGTTAGTATTTCAATTAGAGAATTTCATTCTTTTGCATTTAAAGGAATTACTGATATAGTTGGGTTTATACCAACTGTGTTCCCATTTTTGTTTTTTTTTCTTCTTAACCATGTTTTATTTTTTTCACCTTTCTTTTTTCCTTCTTTTGGGTTTTTCAGTTTTTATAACAGTATCATTTTCTTTCCCTCTGATAACTTGTTAGACATTCTTTGTGCATGTGATTACTCTAAATTAAAAGATCTATCTCTGATTATAGTTTAATATGAATTATTGCTTGTACCATTTTTCCCTATAATGTGAAAACTTTAGACCACCTGGATTCCATTGTCTCTTTCCCACCTTTGCTGTATTATTATTGTCATGTATTTTAATTTGACATATATGTGAAATTCCACAAGACACTGATGTTTTGTATGTCAGTATCATTATACCTACCTCCGATTTTACTTTTTCCAGTATTCATTGCTTTCCTGTTTCCATATGGGATCATTTACCTTTTAACTAAACAACTCCGTTTAGAATTTTGTTTAGTGTACATCTTCTGGTGACAAATACTCGCTTGGTTTTGCTTTTCTGAAATGTTTTTATTTTGCCTTCATTTTTACAGGATATTTTTACTGGGAATAGAATTCTGGATGGGTATTTTCTTTTCAGCAATTTAAAGATGTCATTCCATTGTGTTCTGGATTCCATAATTTATTGAAAGGTCAGCTATTATTAGTCTTTTTTTTTTTTTTTTGAGACGGAGTCTTGCTCTGTTACCCAGGCTGGAGTGTAGTAGTGTGATATCGGCTCACTGCAACCTCTGCCTCCCGGGTTCAAGCAATTCTTCTGCCTCAGCCGCCTGAGTAGCTGGGGATTACAGGTGCCTGCCACCACACCTGGCTAATTTTCGTATTTTTAATAGAGAAGGGGTTTCACCATATTGGCCAGGCTGTTCTCAAACTCCTGACCTCGTGATCCACCTGCCTTGGCCTCCCAAAGTGCTGGGATTACAGGTGTGAGCCACCGCGCCTGGCCTTATTAGTCTTACTGCCTTTTTAAAAGTAATATGCCTATTTTCTCTGACTGCTTTTAAGATTATCTTTTTTATTTTTAGCAGTTTTATGACGGTGTTACGAGGTGTAGTTTTCTTTGTCTTTATCCTGCTTGAGGTTCACAGAGCTTCTTGAATCTGTGGGTTGATATATTTTCATCAGTTCTAGAAAATCTCAGCCATTATTTTATGGAATATTGCTTCTGCCCCATTCTATTTCTCCCCTTTAGGGCCCCAGTATAAAAAATATATATTTGATCTTTTGACTGTATCCAACATGTTTTCAAACCTATTTTCCGTGTTTTCCTTTTTTCCCCTCTTTGTCCTTCTGTGCATCAGTTTTGTATTGACCTTTTTTCCAGTTCATTAATCCTATCTCCTGCTTTTTCAATATGCTTTTAAACCCATCAACTCCATTTCAGACATTATGGTTAATTCCAGGTTTATTTTTCAGTTCTAAGTTACCATTTGATTTTTTAAACATATTTTAGTTTTTTGATGAGTTCCTAAATTGTTTTATTTTTTGTCCATATTTTTCTCTAGTTTTTGAAGTTCTTAATCACAGTTATTTAAGTCTTTGCTAACTCTAGTATCTGAGTTACCTGTGGGTCTGTTTTTATTGAATGCCAGACATTGTGCAAAAAAAACCTGTGAAAACTCATGATGTTTTCTTCCACCAGAGAGGTTACATCGTGTGCTCGGCTAGTCAAATAGAGTGTGAAGATGACCACTTTAATGCAATCAGGACCTGTGCTTAGTTGAGGCTGGCTTGCAGTTTTATTAGACCCAAACTGTGTCTAGTTTATCTTTGTTCATAGTGCATAACCCTCTTCAACTGTCTTTGTTTCTCAGCACAGACAGGCTATAGGAAATTCCACCTTGCTTTTCAGTATTTTTGATTCACAGTTTTAGCCTATTGCTCCTGGGAGATTCATACTTTGGCAAACATCTTGAGCAAGCAACCCGCTGTCTCTAAAGCCCTTCAAATCTGTAATTATGTTACATTTGCTGTATGCAACCACCAGACTACTACTGGTTCTAATGTCATGAACAGTCATAAGGGATCAAGCTCGAATCCTGAGCCTTTAGCCACATCCAAATCAACAAGTGCTGCAGGGAGAAGAGAGGATGTAAATCATTGGTGTTAGTTTAGTTCACAACTTCAGTCTTTTTGCTTCTAGGCTGTTCTTTGGGGTCTCCTTCCTCTGTCAGGCTGTTGTCTTCTCAATACTAAGAGAAGAAAATTACACTATATTTTTTTTCAGAAATTTAGCTCTTTAGCCTCCTACCCAACAAAATTAAAACTTTGGCTCTTACTTGAGGGGGAAACTAGTTGTATGTTGAGGTTCCTTAAGTCTCTAGTTTTGTCACTCCAGCTCTGTGCAACCACAAAAAACTCTGTCCTTCAGCAGTGCTCCTCTGCCTGCATAAAGCCCAAATTCTCAGCCTCTAACCTGTACTCCAGGAGAAAAATGACCACAGATACTCAGCTCACCTCTGAAAGTCTCATGACTTCTGCAGCTCTCTCACACTTTCTCAATTATAAGGTTTTATTTTATGCAGCTCTTCTGATTCTCAGTGGAATTTCTTGAAGCAGAAATCTCTACCTCTTCATTTTTTGATGGTACTACCACAACATCCTATCTTTTCCCTACCCTCAAGTCCATCATCCACAGAAGTGTGAAAGTATTCTAACCCCAAATCTGATCTTGTGGGTTATCAGCTTTAACATTTTTAAATAGTTCCCCACAGACTCAGCAGTGGTTTTGCAGAGGGACCTACAGAAAAAAGAAGGGAGATGCTAATGGTTTAGCCTTTGGACCCTGACTTTAACTTGGACCCACTTATAACTTCAAACAGTGAAGCTCATTTTTATCTGATACGTATATCAGGACCCTTTGGGTTCTCAGGTTCTTTCCCCTTGTTTAAATCATGAACCAACAGAATAAAGTATCAAGTCCTTAAGACTCTTGTGGTAAATTTTAGCTTGCATCTCCAGTCTCATCTGCCATTCCCGACTCCCACCAAACTGCCTGCAGTTCTCACTGGATCCCAACCTCTCCCCACTTCCAGTATAGAATGGTGCTTCTCATTCTCAGATTTTGGTCAAATTGTACATTCCGCTCAAAATGCCCTCTTTCCCTATCCTTTAAATCTCTAATTTTTATGTCACTCCTTTTCTTAGCTGTTGAGGTAATAATAGTTCTCATCAATGTTACCATGATTCCCAGTGTGCATCTTTATGCTTGCTGGGATCTACAGTGTCTGGCACACAAGTACTTAAATAGTTGTTCACTAAACAAATGAATGAACTAGGCTTTGGAAGATACTTAGGGTTCTAATTGGCATATTTAAGTAGGGAAGGCATTAATGAAAACAGGAGAAGCCAAACAAAGGTAATAAAGTAGAAATAAGTGAGAATGGCACTGGCAGTCCATGTGCAATGAATGAGAGAAAAGATTAGGTGGAGAACATAGATCTGCTGGATATGAAATCTTGGTTCGATAGCAAGTAAGAAGTGTGTAAGTTTTTAACCAGCCAAATGATATAATGAAAGCATTTGCTTGGGGATATTCACTTAGCAGAGTATGCAATTGGAATTGGAATAGTCTATCAAGGTAGAATCCTTAAAGTCATTCTTGTGTTCTATGTACTTAACCAGTCAATGGAATCTTGCCCATTATACTTAGGCCTTTGGAGTATGAGCCATGGCACCATGTTACTTCAGAATCTCAGACCCTCTTTCCTGGATTACAGCAACAGTCTTCTCACACCCATCATTCTCTGTGCTCCTACTAAAGGGATTTTTATAAAAACAACTTAATTGTGCCTGTAACCTGCCTAAAAAGTTGTTTGGCTATATTTTCCTAACAAACTTAAATTATACATAGTCCTTTACAACCCAACCCCACTCAAATTTAAAGAGGTTTGTTTCATACCACTCCTTTTCACATATACCATGCCCTCATAAATATCTGTGACTTGCACATACTGTTTTCCTTTTCTGGAAGGCATCTCAACCTTTCCCCACTCGAAAAAACAGTTCAAATGTCACCTACTCTATGAAGCCATCCCCTGCTTTCCCAGGTAAATTTAAATGGATGATCGGGCCTTAATCGTATTTGTATGTATTATTTATTTATTTTATGGAGACGGGGGTCTCACTGTGTTGCTTAGGCTGGTCTCGAATTCCTGGGCTCAAGTGATCCTCCCCCGTGAGCCACTGCACCCAACCATATGTACTTTTAGAACTTAGCACAGTGTCTGGCACAGTATTGGCCTCTCCTAGGAACTGAGTTTTTAAAAAATTATCACTAAAAGATGAATATTACTATTGTGTTTTACAAGAAGACTAAGATAATATATAAATTAAAAAATGAGTACCACCCATGCACTCCTGCAATACTCAGATACAATCACTATTAAACCAAATTTTGTGTACTATTCTGCACTCTTACTTTTGCACGCACACTCATGCATATGTGTATGTGTAGTTCTTTAAATTCAAACCTATGTTTTTGGGTGACTGAATACTTTTTAAGAGAAAGGGTCTTGCTATGTTGCCCAAGCTAGATTCAAACTTCTGGGCTCAAGCAATCCTCCTGCTTCAGCCTCCCAAGTAACTGGGACTACAGGCATGTGCCATTGCCCTGGCTTAAGATATTATTTTAGTAAGCCACTCAGATAAATAAGAAAGCATTTATGGGGACTGGAAATAATAGAATGTGAGCAGGTGTTTAAGAAAACTACCGCTTCATGACTGATTTACCTATCCTGTATCTACGTAGAGTCATATATAACTTCAAAGCTGCAAACTGTGGATTCAGAGGTGGCAATTTTTGTTATTAACATGCTAACAAGGAAGATATCCTTCCTATTATTTATACAGTTTTCATAGCTGTACAGTAGAAATCATAGCACCTTAGAGGATTTATGAAAGGATTAGTGATAATGTATGTAAAATACTTGGCATGTAGTTTAGCAATAAATTATAATTATTACCATTTGTATTGATCAGATACTTTACCGTGGTATGAGGGCAGACACATTATATTGTCCTATTAACAGCATTATTCCTTCAATACAATCATTCTGGATTTCTTCCGATCTTTAAGTTAGCTTTCAGTAATATGAAGTCAGCTTTCAGTAACATCCAGTAATATGAATTGGGGTATTATACATTTGCATAAAATTATAGCTGTTCTTTTTGCTTGTCCTACCTCCTGCTGACTCATAGAATCAGCTTTAAAATAGACAAGCTACATTTATTTTTTGTAATGCTGCTACAGCAATGGCTTAAAATAATTCTGATATGCCCTTAATAATTAAGGCTGCATGCAGACTTTGTTCTAATTGAGAAATATTTCACAGATAATAATAATTTCGGGTAGCTGGGAACTATTAACATGCAACAGGTCTTTCTTCTAATTTCTCTATTTCTCTTTCCCTTCCTTCTTTTTGTATATTGATTTTAAAGGCAAACTCCAGTGGCATGAAAACAGACTCTATGTCAATAAAAATGGTTTGAAAGAAAAAATTATACAAGTAGTTTTCCATACATAATTTATTAAAATCTTGACTCACAGAAAAAATAAGCTAGGAGATATTCAAGGTGTAAAATTTTTTCTCATTGCTGCAATGCACTGTTATACTTTTATTCCTTTTGTGTCTTTATGCTTTGTTCCCCCAATCACAGTGTCAGCTCTTTGGGGCAGGATCAATATCTTATGCTTTTTGTGCCCCTTTCAAGTGCTTATCACAGTGCTTTGTAATTGCTTATGAGGAAATTGTCTTTAAATGTGGTGTCCATAGTATGATCTTATTTCCAGAGATATTTTACTTACAAGTTCAGAATCACATCTATTTATCCTGCTAAAACCTATTAGGTAATTGCTCCTGTTGTAGCTAAATTATTTATCTATTATAATTACAAAAGCCAAGACTGCTTTCTCTTAGCAACATTTTTTCTTCATTTGAGTGATATCTGTGCATCTAACTCCATTATTCAGCAGGGAATTATCCAGGTTTCTGGCTGCTCCTGCTGTTTATTGGCACTACCTTCTGCTTTACCAATGTGCAAGTATCAATGAACCATAATCATTACTTTCATGTGTATATATATTTCAGAATTTTACATGGTTTCCATCTCCACACACTGGCAAATGTGTCCTTCTATTGGCAAATGACACTTCTAACAGGTAGTTGTTCTCTATGGGGCTAAATTTATATATAAATAATTTGTGCAGATGCTAATCTTTTCACACTATTCATCTCTCTCTGTGTATCTATATGTCTGTCTGTCATCTATTATCTATCTATCTATATATCTGTCAGTTCACCTATCCATCCGTTTGTCCCTTCATCCATCTATCATGCTCAGTGTACTGTGCTAGGTACAATAGGGGATAAAAGAAGGCATAAGATTTAGTCTTTTCCTAATATAACTTACCATCTATTGTGGAAAAAAATATGTATACATAGAGAAAAAGATCAGAAACCAGAGTGGTACATGATGTCACAAGTAAGTGATGTGAGCTCACACACTATAGATGATCCACTAAAGATATTTTGGGCTGGAATGATGTGGCATGTTCACTGAGTCTGAGTGATCTGATACAAACGAAAAGCACAGGACAATGAATTGCAATTTTTACCTACACAACTTACTGTTGGAAGCTTATGAGTTGGGCTTTCTGAACTTCATTTTTCTCATCTGGAAATTGGGAATAATGATCATGACAATACCTTCTCTACCTTTTCCTTTGATATTTGAATCATACAGTCAAATAAAGTTATTTAAAAATTTCTGAAAATATTAAAGTGCAATCCAACTTCAGGGTGTGTTGTTTTAATTTTTCATCAACTACCACAATGTGTCTGCTCAAATATTACTAATTTAAGAAATATTAAAAGTTCAACAGGAAGAAAGGAGCAATGCTGGTTATGTAATATGTATGTTTGCATGTTAACAGGAAAAGAAAAATTTGTCAGTAGCATGAAATCTGCCAATGGTGGGAGTATTTACACCATAGAACTCAGCAAACACCACAAATTGGGGCTTTCTTTTTTGGAGAGCTATTTACCAGCATATTACTGGCCTGAACAAAAGCAACAGCAATGGGACTAGAGAGAAGGAAATACATACTAGAGGGATGAATGAGGCAGAATCAGCAATACTCATCATCAGTTGGTTAATGGCAGGTGGAGTGTCAATGGGGAGATTCTAAAATGATTTATCAAGTTATTGGCTCAGATGATTAAAGAGGAAAACATGTGCATCTTACCAAGAGAAGGACTTCAAGATGGGTGAAAGATAGTGGATTTTGTTCAGGGAATGTTGAAATTGAAGTACTTGTGGGACATGATGGTGAAAATGTACAGAAGACAGTGGTTATGTGGATACGGAACTCAAAGGAGAGGACTGGGTTCAATATGGCAGTCATGAGGCTATAACTAATAGCTGAAGTCATGGGACTAGAGAACTTTACAACAAAGGGACCCTGGGAAAGGCTGCAGTAAGTCTTCATGTTTTATAAAGTAATTATATACCATGTCTTTTTGTTAAAAGACAGTTTTAGTGGATAAAGTTATGTTTCTTTGTAAATTCTGCTTTTAGAAGTAAAATTATCACTGCAATGTAAATGAGTTTTAAGGAAGATTGGTATCTGATGAAAAATGTTATGGATTTGATTTTTAAGGTCTTTACAGCAAGATTTATACAAATGAAAGTCGAAAACAACAAAAAGTTTAATATCCAAAAGAAGTTTATGTCAAACATTTGAAAGAACAAAAACATTCTAGAACAAAAAGGGAAACAAATTATTTTAGAAATCAACTTAAATGTAACTTCTGTCTGAGCCCCATGTTGTAATTATTTGCTACTTTGCCTCACCTTTGGGGCTGGGGGCGGGGGGTGGGCTGGGGCACAACACTGTGTCTTTTATCTATGTTTAGGGCGTTGTACATAGTATATACTCAGGAAAAAAACCTGTTTATTCCATGCCAGAATGGGAGGTTTGAACAGATGACTTGGAAGGTCCCTTTCAACCCTGGGAGTCTATAAAAGGGAAGTGGTTATTACCGCTTAAAAGAAGAAGTAGGCTTAGTCCTACTTCCAGAGAGCCAATGTTTTCATAGTTACAGAAAGGTAAATAGACTGTCAGCTCAATATGACACTGGTAAGAATTTTCTAACAATTACGGCTATCCAACAGAAGAAAGGCTGTCTCAGAAGGTGGTTAGCTCTGAAACAACTGGTATTTAAGGGCTGGAAGGACCCTTAGGTATCTTTAGGTCTTCCTAATCTTTTTCATGCCATTGCCTATACAGAAAATGGTATTTCTATAACACAAATAAAAAAATTATACAGCAATTTTTGACACATCAATGTCTCAAGGCATACTTGTCACACGTTCTCAGGGCTTTGGCTGGGAAAACTGATTTAGTCTAACATCCTCGTTTGCAGAGGGGGAAACTGAATCTTAACGAGGGAATGCAATATTCCCAAGTCAAGACGTTAATGTTAATACTGGAACTAGAAGAATTGAGACTAGCGACTGTGGACAACTAGCCAGTTTCCTCTGCTCAAATTAAGCAAGCTGGAGGCCAGACTGAAAGACTGCAGTAGATGGTAGAATAAACAGTCTAAAGCTATATTGCTTTAAATGTGGTCTCAAGACCACCGACATTAGAACTTGTTAAATTCTGGGGAACTCGCTAAAATGAAGATTAATGGGCCCCACATAGACACACGGAATTAAGCTCTGCGGTAAGGCCTTGGAATCTGCATTTTTAGGTTTGCGAATCCCCGCCTCTCCCGTTACTATTTCTGAACTCCGAGCTCCAGCCCTGGCTTGAACTGAGACGCTCCGCTGGGCGCGCAGCAGCCGCCGATCGGACCTCGGGGTCCTGGATGCAGGACTGTCTGTTACGTACAGCCCTTGTGACCGTCACGGGCGGACACCGGCCAACGCCGGGTTGGGGTGAGGCCGCCGCCGCGGTCCCTCCATCACCCTCCTGGCCCGGCAGAGGAACCCACTGCTCCGGGCGGCCGGGGACAGAGGTGGCTCAACAGCGCCGCCTCGAAGCCAGAGCCCTCCGCAGGCTAGAGGATTGCGGTTTCCCTTCATCTCCGCGGCTCTTATTCCTCCCCCGCAAGGCCGCCCACCGGGGTACGCTCTCCCGCGCCTGCGCCAATTCCGCCCCGCCCCGCCCCCATCTACCGACCGGATGTTAGCAGATTTCCCATAGTGCCTCGCTAGTGGCGGGCATGATAACACACGCCGGAGGGTCGCACGCGGGTTCCAGTTGTGATTGCTGGAGTTGTGTATTGCCAGGAGGCTCTCCGAGATTGGGGTCGGGTCACTGCCTCATCCACCGGAGCGATGGCGTTTCTCCGAAGCATGTGGGGCGTGCTGAGTGCCCTGGGAAGGTCTGGAGCAGAGCTGTGCACCGGCTGTGGAAGTCGACTGCGCTCCCCCTTCAGGTAGGCCCGCTTGCCTGTGCCCTAGGGGCAGCAGGGCCCAGGACGTCCCGGGGTTGGAATGTAGACCCTATCCTTCACTTTCTGCCCCTCCTAGGAGTTCAGAGTCACCCTGGTTCTTTGATTCAGACCGCGACCTTGCCAAGGGGACGGTGGCCTTGAGACCAGGCCTTTATTTACTCTCTTAATACGCCGTACCTTCTTGCTACCCTCCACTCGCTTCTCCCATCCCTCCTCACTGTCCAGCTTTGGATCCTTTCCGCCTCCTCTGCGAATTCGCGCCGAGTCTCCGGCCATCATCTAGGCATTGAGGAGGCGGGGCCCAGGAGCTGGAGTATAGACGCTTTCCTTCACTCCCTGCCCTTCCTAGGAGGTAAGGGCTTTGAGACTTCAGTCCTGCAGACGCTCCCCTCCGTTTAGGACAGGGTTTTAATAAGTCTCTAGCATTCTTGTTGAAGGCGTTGGATACATAGTATCTTGATGACATTTCTTATTTGGGATCTGTGTTCATATACATGTGAATATTGACAGTTAAACATCTGACACTGGTTATTTTCTTTTTGTTTATATGTAGTTTTGTGTATTTACCGAGGTGGTTTTCATCTGTCTTGGCAAGTTGTCCAAAGAAACCTGTAAGTTCTTACCTTCGATTTTCTAAAGAACAACTACCCATATTTAAAGCTCAGAACCCAGGTAAGGAGTTTTGGGGCATATACCCTTTTCTCATGTAATAAAAATGCCATTAAGCAGTTAAATACCAATGTTGAATTGCAGTGCTAAAGCATTCAGTGACTGCAGGAACAATCATTTGATGTCTGTAAAATAGGAAGTTCTATTTTATACCAAATGGAAATGCTTTAAATATAAATGAGAACTAGTAAATGGTATTTTAAAAATAACGTATAGTGTAGAAAGCACCCTAGGAAGAGGATAAAAAAGCTGAATTTGGGGCCTTGTTGCCTTTGGTCTAGAGGACCACTGATGAATTATTTTCTCTTGCCTAGCTCCTCCTTTTTCTGGCTCAGGGAATTGTTAATAAAGTTGCAACTTCTGTGGAAGCATCCATAAACTGTAAGTTCTGTAGAACTGTAAAGTTCTATGCAATTTACTGCTAATTTCAAGAGCTTTCAAGATAAGAAAGGATAAACCTTTTCATCATAGGAGTTCAGAGCCACTCTGGTTCTTTGATTCAGACCTCGACCTTGCCAAGGGGATGGTGGGTTGTAAAGGATAAATCCTTTCTTGTCTTGGGTTCCTAAAAAAAAAACATTTCCAGGTAGGATGTTTGTTGACTCTCTAGAAAGCCTCTCGGCGAGAATAAAAAATGCTCACATCAGGCTGGGTGAGGTGGTTCACACCTGTAATCCCAGCACTTCGGGAGGTCGAGATGGGTGGATTGCTTGAGCCCAGGAGTTCGAGAACAGCCTGGGAAACATGGAAATCCTGTCTCTACCAAAAATACAAAAATGAGGTGGGCATGGGGGCGCAGTGCCTGTAGTCCCAGCTACTTGGGAGGCTGTGGTGAGAGGATCACTGGATCCCAGGAAGTTGAGGCTGCAGTGAGCCATGACTGCTCCACTGCACTCCAGCCTGGGTGACAGAGCGAGACCCTGTCTCAAAAAACAATAATAATTTTAAAAAAAAGCTCACATTATAGGTAAGGAGTTAGTTTCAGAGACATGCTTAAGTACCCACATCTTTTAAATGTAAGAGTTAGTACTAACAGGTATTTTTAAAAATCAATTAATTGCACGCCATCATTCCGGTTAAGATGAAGAAGGAAGTGGAGAATAACAGATTGAATTTCGAATAGCTTGTTTCCAAATGATATTTCTGTTATTGAAATACGAGGCTGTGTTATATGGATCGAGAATGTATTTTGTTGTTAGCTTTTATAAATTTAGGAATTCCTCAAAGACTTGAAAAAGTGTTTTGCTTGAAATATGGAAGGGAAGTAAAAAACTTGAAGCAATTGATCATCCAGCTTCTTAAACTAGTAATCAGCCTGGTGTGGTGGCTCGCGCCTGTAATCCCAGCACTTTGGGAGACTGAGGCAGATGGATTGCTTGAACTCAGGAGTTTGAGGCCAGCCTGGGCAGCATAGCGAAACCCCGTCTCTACAAAAAATACTAACATTAGCTGGACATGATGGCGCCTACCTGTAGTCCCAGCTACTCGGGAGGCTGAGGCAGGAGAATCACTTGAGCACAGGAGGTGGAGGTTGCATTAGGCCAAGATTGTACCACCGCACTGCAGCCTGGGTGATGGCCTGGGTGACGGACCCTGTCTCAAAAAAAAAAAAAAATCCTAGTAATCAAACTGTTGACTGTTTCTGGTGGTATATGGTATACTCCTTAGTTGTTAGATAATAGACTTTTGATAATGTTGGATAAATTACTTACGTTTAAATTAGTTGGATAAAGGAAAGTTAAATCATTATATTAAGTTATGTGTGGTATGGATTGTGCTTTCCTGGATATCTTTAGAAATTAATCCTGAGAGGTAAAATTGTGGCATCTTTTTTCTTTTTATTTCATTCCATAGATGCAAAAACTACAGAACTAATTAGAAGAATTGCCCAGCGTTGGAGGGAACTTCCTGATTCAAAGAAAAAAGTAAGCACATAAGTTTTCAACATTGCTGACCAGTTATTCTGCAGTTAGGAGCAATTGTCATGTCCTTTAAAGGACCAGATGGATCAGACTTTTTAAAAAATAATCTGTTATCTACAAAGAAACTTTATGTCTTCTCATCTGCATAAATAATGAGAATATGGATGTATGGGGTGGAGGTGAAGAAGTGGCAGTAGTTTGAAAATGGAAGCTGATTACTAAACTCTCACCTTGATTAGTATATATAAGGAAAATGTATGTTTTAATCCATATACATCTCATCCCAGAGCACATTTTCCACCTGGTGATAAAATCTGTCTGTCTGAAGTCATGCAGTTGCCTTTCCCTGGCATGTGCTATGTTGAATTTGCCAGCAATGGTTTGTTGACTTACTTGGGTTTTTTATTTATAGATATATCAAGATGCTTATAGGGCGGAGTGGCAGGTATATAAAGAAGAGATAAGCAGATTTAAAGAACAGCTAACTCCAAGTCAGATTATGTCTTTGGAAAAAGAAATCATGGACAAACATTTAAAAAGGAAAGCTATGACAAAAAAAAAAGTGAGTATCATTGAAATACTTTTTTCTTATGGTAAAGAATTGAGATTTATATAACTATGAATATAGGTAGTTTTCTCTTAATAGGCAAATAAAATATGGTAGAATGTCATCAAGTATTCTTCAGTTAGGCAGAAGTGGGATAGTTCTCTTATGAAAAGTGAGATAGCCACTAGGACCACTTGCCATTGAGTCTGTTTGGAAATCCTTGTTGCTACTTGCAGATGTATCCACATTTAAGGTGTACAGTTCGTAGAACAGTAATGGAAACTACAGGAACAGAGTTATGAAACAGTCAAACCAGGAGTATCAAGAATCTTTGCTTCTGAGTCTTCTTTAGAATAACGTATTAATTTGAATTATTCTATAGATTATGGTGAGTTTGATATGGAATATTGCTGAGTAGACTGCATTAATTCATTAACACATCGGAAAAATGCCAATTTATCTAATCAATTAAGTGCCTTTAGGATGGAATTCTTTTTTTTTCTTCAAAGAAATAACTATTAAAAACCTCACATGGTTCAAAATTTGTAGTTCCCAGCTTAATGTATTAATTCACATAAATGTCATCATTTGAAAGTTATACATTTTTTTCATAGAGCCAGTATTAGTTTTGAGGTGGTCAGTTTGCTAGTCGTGTACCTACACTATTACAAATGATCATCAGAGTTAAAACTATTTCTTTGAAAGACTAGATTACAGCCTTGAATGTGGGATGCCAATACGTCTTTCCCTGACCCTAATGTTTTAAGCTGTCCTAGCACTAGGGTTGAGGACCCGCCCAGTTTCGAGACCATGATGCCGCTACTTTAGGGTGGCTGATCTAATCAGTAAAAGGGAGCCAGAAAGATACTAAGAGTGAAAAATAGAGTGTCTACATAAGGATGGTGTTTGGAAGAGTGATTACTAAAGTATATCCTCCCTCTTTCATTCTCCCTTCCTCCTTAATGCACCCAGCCCACTGTGCTAAGAGTAGAGAGGACCAGAAGCATGAATTGGACATTTATAAAGTTTCCCTTGTCATTCTCTCTTTCTTTTGTAATTGTTCTTGACTCCCAGTACCAACTAGTTCAGAGATCAAGTGAGAAGTGTGAGGACTAGGAAGTTACAAGTAAAACCCTCAGGAGAGAAATCCCTAGTGATAGCTCTAGAAACAAAGAGGGAAATAGTTAAGTTGTAAAGTGCTTGGAGTCTATAGTAGTTTCAATACTCAGTGACTGAGAGATTCAGGAAGAAGAAACTAAATCAGAGGAGCCCTACTTACAGTTATGAATAAAAGTTGAATTTGTTACTGATTATAGCCAAATTGCTATTAAGAGCCACAGAATTTTGTAAATTACAGGTACTACTTACTATCCAAATTCAGAAACTTAAGTATAATAATGCAATATCACTCCCTGAACTCAGAAATTAAACTGATAGTAAGGGATACTTGTATTCTTTTCCACAGTTTCTTCCCTTTTGGTAACTAGTAAAATGAATTTAACACAACTATGGAGCTTTAAAGGTGGAGACATTCAGGGAATGGAGTGAGATGAAAGATTATTAAACAAATAGTCCATTGTTCTTGGGTTGTGGTGGAAGCATGCAGTGATTTGGTCAAGGGGACAGTAGTATCTTACAAGGATGAACCTAAGGTTGTTTTATCTTTTAAAAAGGTTTTGTACATATATATTCAGTTATTTAGTTCATGGAGACTATGAGAATAATAGGTAAAGGAAATGGTTTTGTATGGAAAATAACTGGTGAAATCTAACATAATTTTCATAACAGTGCTGTCAAAAAAATTCTGACCGCAAGATGTAATAATCACACTATATAAGAATCATAACATTCACTTTAAGGAATAATCTGTAATGCGTAGTAGTGAATAAAGTTTCTGTAGGTAAAATTAAGTCTCATGGAGGTTAACACTATTTTTGACCCTCCAATTTTTTTAATTCAGGAGTTAACACTGCTTGGAAAACCAAAAAGACCTCGTTCAGCTTATAACGTTTATGTAGCTGAAAGATTCCAAGAAGCTAAGGGTGATTCACCGCAGGTAAAGCTGAAATATATTTTTGTTTAATTTTTAAAATATTTAGACAGGAAAAGTCTAGAGTGCCATGTGTCAGGTAGTGAAGAAAAGTAGTGAATATCCAGACAGTAAACTCTTTTGCTAAGGCCCTCTTTAAAGAAAAATCTTTTTTCTTACCATATACAATCAATTTAGGTATGTAGTTGCCAACACATACATACATACATTGCCAACTTTTTAAATTTAAATACTTAACATTTTTTTTAATATGTAGGGATATTAAAGTTCTTCTGGAGGCTTTTCTGTTCCAGCAGTTCTTAACTGTTTTACGATCACTAGAAAGAATGAGAGTAGAGCTGCAATATTTTCTATGGGGAATTGATTGTAACCTATTGCTTCATTTATATCTTTTAATAACATTTTGGTTATACCCATAGGGATGTGTTATACATGTGAATGCATCATATCAGTGTGTCAAAGAAAAAGAAAGCTTGTCAATCCCTGCTGTGGCTTAGTCTTTCCTATTTTTTTGCTGCTTAGAAGCTCCAAATGGGCAATTGCTTTTTTTCCTGTATCATATGACATAGTAAGAGAAATGGATGTTTAGATCCGTAACCCATGTTAATCTAAGATGAAGTTTTTGGCACTCTGCCTACGGGATTATTATATCTGTAGTTCACTTTACAAATTCTGTTTCCATATCCCTAAATAACATTTTTATATTGTTGCTTCTTGATTTTTTTTCAACTTTAATCATTGTTTATCTTATGCTTTAAGCATTACCTACCACCGTTTAAGCTAGACATTTAACTGTCATCCCACTGTTGTCATGTTTCGATTCCCCTACCTCCCAATATAGTTAAAATTTTGGTTAGCTTGGTATTGTGTGTCTATATTAGGTTGGTGCAAAAGTAATTGTGGTCTTTGCCATTAAAAGTAATGGCAAACACAGCAGTTACTTTTGCACCAACCTAATAGTATTATGATTATGTAAGCTGTATTCACAGCTGACATATGCTATGATTATTTTTTCTTTCTTACGAAACTTATTTTCCCTGAAGTTGCTTATGTCTGTTTGTTCACTTAGGTTTTTTTTTTTTTTTTGTACTTACCAATAATTCACCCTCAAACTCCTCGGTATTCACCAGCTTTTAGTAAATTTAGGATGTGTTTTTCTTTCAGTTTAACTCTGAAAACTGGGGTTTGTTCCAGTGTGACTGTTGCCTTCTAATCCTAGTATACAGCTAACATCTTGAGATTGCCTTCATTATCCTTGTGGTGCTGCTTTTGCTTCTGTTGTTTACTTTTTTGGTTTACTCTGATTCTTGTATAGCATCTTTCCCAGTAAAGGTGCATGGGAGATTAAATTTTTGAGTTTTGCATGTCTGAAAATGTCTGTATCCTCACATTCACTTGTTAGACTGGGCATAGAATTCTAGTTTGGAAAACATATTTCTTCAAAATGTAAAAATTCCTTTTCTTCTACCTTATTGTACTGCTTTTGAGAAATCTAAAACTGTTTTGATTATTGGTCCTTTAAATGTGATCTGGTGCTTTTTTTTTCCTCCCCTTTAGAACTCCTGCTACATGTATATGCATCTTCTGAGCTGGTCCTTATTTTCTTATTTTTTTCCGTACTGTTTTCCTTTAGTCTTCTTTCCTTTTTTTTTGTTTTGTTTTGTTTTGTTTTTCCTGAACTGCTGGATACATTTTAACTTAATCTCTCTGCTTTTAGTATGGTACCATTTCCCTCAACTGTACCTGTACCTGGTTTTCACAGAGTGACACTATTTTACTCTCTAGAGAGGATAAATGTCCTAAAATTTGCCATGGTAGAAATTTAACCTCTTTTTTTTTTTTGAGACAGGCAGCCTGTTATACAGGCTGGAGTGCGGTGGCACTATCTCAGCTCACTGCAGCCTCTGCCTTCCGGGCTCAAGCAATTTTCCCACCTCAACCTCTTGAGTAGCCAGGTCTACAGTCATGTGCCACCAAGCCTGGCTAATTTTTTGGGTATTTTGTAGAGACGGGGTCTCATCATATTACCCCAGGCTGGTCTTGAACTCCTGAGCTCAGGTGATCCACCCACCTCAGCCTCTCAAAGTGCTGGGATTACAGATGTGAGCCACTGTGCCTGACCCAACCTCTCTTTATTTTTTTTGAGTCGGAGTCTCACTCTGTGGCCCAGGCTGGAGTGCAGTGGCGTGATCTCGGCTCACTGCAACCTGCGCCTCCCGGGTTCAAGCGATCCTCCTGCCTCAGCCTGCCTAGTAGCTGGGACCACAGGCACGTGCCACCACACCTGGCTAATTTTTTATATTTTTAGTAGAGATGGGGTTTCACCATATTGGCCAGGCTGGTCTCGAACTCCTGACCTCATGATCTGCCTGCCTCGGCCTCCCAAAGTACTGGGATTACAGGCGTGAGCCACCACACCTGGCCCTAATCTCTTTTTAAACAGTCTTTCAGCCAATCTTGTGTTTAACCTTAGCTTCACCTGTTTTACACCTGTCTGGTGCTGCCAATTCCTGAGATATTTGGGAATTCTGTATGGTAAATTAAGTTGCTTTTAGGTTTTCTCCACTGTCAGTTTAACAATTAGCTTTCTTTTGTCAGTTAAGTCAGTTACCACTAATGCATCTGCTTTTCAGCTTCCAGAATTTTGTGTTGATAGTGCCCTCTTCTGTTGTCTTTATTCATGTGGGATTATCCTTTAAAAAGATTTCTTTGTTTAATGGGATTTTAGGGAAAGCAAAAGTAAACATCTTTGGCTGGGCACAGTGGCTCATGCCTGTAATCCTAACAATTTGGGAAGCGGGGTGGGAGGGTTGCTTGATTCCAGGAGTTCAAGACCAGCCCTGGGCAACGTGGTAAGACCCCATCTTTACAAAAAAAGTTTTTTAAAAAAATTAACCAGGCATGGTGGTGCATATCTGTGGTCCCAGCTACTCCAGAAGTTGAGACAGGAGGATCACTTGAGCCCAGGAGGTCAGTGCTGCAGTGAGCTGTGATCATACCACTGCTTTCCCACCTGAGTGACAGAGTGAGACCTTGTCTCAAAAAAAAAAAAAAAATTCTATCCCTTTAATTTTATAAATGAAGAGCCAAGCCCAAGGGAGGTAAAGTGACCTTTTCCAGGTCATATAATTAAGTTCAACTAAGTAGACTTACTGGACTTGTGCTGTATTGTTCTTATTACTGCATCTAAACACTGAAGCACAGATTTTCAAATAAAACCTAAAGCTACAGGGAAGGAATAAAAACAGACTTTGAAGTTAGTTTATGACAACACATAGATTATACCTGAATATTAATATTTCCGAATCAAAAATATGTACCTTCATTCAGTTCATTTTTGTAAATTGTAACAGTTTGATAGTTTTTGTTTAGAGAGAAAAGATGTTAAGAATTGATGAGGCTTTGCCTGTAATTCTTGGTATCTTGAGTTTTTGTTGGAATGAATAATAAAGGTCACTGAAGTCCCCATATCTACCTTAACTTAAACATATATTGTTTTACAGGAAAAGCTGAAGACTGTAAAGGAAAACTGGAAAAATCTGTCTGACTCTGAAAAGGAAGTGAGTATTACGGTTGTTAGTCTCAAGTGTCTACTTAGGATATCTGTGAGAGAATGTATTAGGGCAAGGCTTGATTCATGTGAAGACAACCTTGTATTACTAATAATACAAGTATTCTAAAATTATTTTCATATTCTCAGAACCAGTTTGGCATTTTTCTCTTGGTAGTTTTTGTCTGCAAATAAAATTGGTATTTGAAACCACAGCACTCATAAGCCTGAGTGTCCACTTATTCAGTGGCAGTGATACCCTGCTGCTGCCCCCTTCCTGCACCTCAAGATCTGAACTTGTAACAATTTCATTCAAAGAGATAACAGTCTATCTCTTACATTTTCATCATCTAACTTTTATCTCATGAAAATATTTCTTCTCCAGTCTGCCTTTATACATGTAGAATGGTAATGTAATTTCTAAAGTATATACAGAAGCATTCCAGAAATTAATTGCTATTTTAAATAATCATTTTATCTCAAAAAATAAGTAAATCATTTTAACAGTTATGCTTTTTCTCAGTTATATATTCAGCATGCTAAAGAGGACGAAACTCGTTATCATAATGAAATGAAGTCTTGGGAAGAACAAATGATTGAAGTTGGACGAAAGGATCTTCTACGTCGCACAATAAAGAAACAACGAAAATATGGTGCTGAGGAGTGTTAAAAGTAGAAGATTGAGATGTGTTCACAATGGATAGGCACAGGAAACCAGTTAGGTCTCAATACCTGAAGCTATCGTAAAATTAAGAAAGGATAAAGTTGGTAAACCTTTTATATTTAGTATCTTTTTATTCAGCTCATGGACTTCTGCCAGCATAATACTTGCTTTGGAAAACCCAGATAAAGGTTCATGCAAACTTTATTTTGTGTTTAGGAACTACTGAGGATCAGAGTAATCCAAGCAAATGTGAATCATTTTACCTTTGACAAAGGTAAATCAGACTATGAAGTTTTTTTTATACAGGATGATGACTATGGAAAGAGTACTCTTGTTTCCTTATATTATGGAGGCAGGAGTTTCGTTTTCAAAATTGTTACAAATTGTAGAAGCCACGGTGTTCTGTGATATAAGTGTGTGTTTTTCATAAAGCAGGCAGAACTCATCTAGGTAAATTACAGTTCCTAGGTATAATTCACATTGTATTCAGAGTTGATGGTTGTACATATAAGTGATTGCTGGTTTTAGTTGCAACTTTGTATAAAAGGGACTGAGAAATTTATAAACTTTTTTCTTACTGTCTTTTTTCTAAAGTAAAAACAAAGAAATTATGTGCCAGATTTATGCATATTATTTTATGTTGCATAGAATAAAATTTTTAATCTTTAATTTTACATTTCCTAAATATATTTTAAGACGAAACATTTGTTCTATAGCTTTTCCCTTTTTTTAAGTAAGGAATTTTATTTTTTTCTGAATTATTTTCTCTCGTGAGTATATTGATCCAGAAAGAAAACTTGTATTATGTGTGTTTTAAAATGAGAAATCTAAAAAACGAAAAGTCTCCAAAGTCTCTGGAATTTGAAACACTTTGCATAACGTATAAAAGCCTGTTTAAGAGACAGCCAACTATGGCCTGTGGATCAAATCCAGCCTGCTGCCTGCTTTTTATGGCCTGTGAGCTAGGAATTGTGTTTATAATTTTAAATGTTTTTTTTTAAAGACTTTTATGATACTTGAAAATTAACATGAATATTTAGTGTTCATAAATAAAGTTTGTTGAAACACAACCAAGATCATTCTTTTACTTGTCTATGGCTGCTTTTCTGTGGCAGAGTAGCTGCCACAGAAACTATAGCCCACAAAGCCTGATATTTACTGTCTGTCTGTTTATGGAAAAAATTTATCAACCCATGGTCTATAGTATAGTGTGATATGACTACTGTTCCAATGTATTGAAGTGTTGGGATAGTTTTTTCAAATGTTTTCAGATGTTCTTGTTTTAGAATCATTGTCACCTTTAAGAGGAAAAAGGTCATCACTAGATAATCTAAACAAATTGTTGCTTCTCAGTGTTAGCAAGGAAAATAATCTAGTTTCAAATTACATTGCAGTATAATGAAAAAGATCCATATACTGTGGAATGATATTCTTTTAAAATTATTTGCTATGGCTTGGTAAAAATGTACTTTTTCCAGTAGCACATATCACAAGAACCTCACTGTAGTTGAAAGCCATCTTTCTTTAGTATTTGTTTATCCTTTTAGGAGAGTCAAGCAAAGGTTTTCACCACCTGTTTGAGCAGAATAATTCTCATCAGTTCACAGATATAGGATAACTCAATTTATATGCACTTTATGCGTTATGCAAAATATTTAGAAATTGTAGATTCTAGATCTCCAGAAAGACTTTGAAGACTTTGATGTCACAAAAAGATGACTTGTTATATGCTGAGCTTGACAAAGGTAGGAATGGGAGAGAAAAATAGTAGCTTATGAGGAAATATGAGGCTTTAAATATATAAAGTTGGATATTTTAAAATAACTTTTCCCTGTGGGAGCTTCTCACTCTGGGTGCAGACAGGACAGTGTTGGCCATTGGTGAAATAGATAGGATGGGTTTGAGGCCAGAGCAGTCTGGGAGTAGGGGGAAAGAGAAGGAGGTGTGCTAGTGTCTATCACAGGCTTTCTCAATTAGGTTTGCAGGAGAAAAAGCCCTAAGTCCCTGTGTCATCTAGAATGGTACTAATTATGTACAGTCCCTAGGAGAATGGAGAAAATCATAACTCAAATCATCGACTCAATTCTGTTCTCTTCAGATGAGCTCAGAGAGCACATAGGAGTGTTTGTAATGAGGGGTATGTAATGATTGAGATAGAGGAATGAGTTACATAAACATCTCGGGACAAATGCAGCATAGAAAACATCTTTGTAGTTACCCTGCGGGGAAATTTCCTCTGAGTTCTTTTAACATTAACTACCCGTATTATTTTATACTTAACATTCATATCATACCTTCCCAAATATATTGGGAAGTTCAGTGTTAAGTACGTTTCTCAAGTACTTAACAACTTAATATAGGGAGGAAAGGTGTAAACAGTGAAAAAAGAGCAAAACTATTTTATGGTAATTTTATGGTAGTATCAGCTTGTATTTGGTTCTCTGTTTCTAAAATAATGTAATTTTTAATATTTTAAATAATAGGATAACCTGGTTTCCAAGCCTTTTTTTCCCCCGACATCCAGAATACACACTGGATCCAAGCCTTTCTTAAACATCAGTACATGTGGAAGACTGGCATGCCATATACCAAATGCCATTCAGCTGTAACAGTATACACAGATTTTCTCTTATAAAGAATAAGAACATCATAACCAATGACCACTCATATAAAGTCTTATTTGTGTGTGTGTGTGTGTGTGTGTGCACGTGTGTGTGTTAGAGTCTCATTATATTGCTCAGGCTGGAGGGCATGGTGTGATCTTGGCTCACTGCAGCCTTGACCTCCTGGGCTCAAGTGATCCTTCCGAGTCGTTGGGACTACAGTAGGTGAACACCACCATGCCTGGCTAATTTTTGTATTTTTTTTTTAATCAAGATGGGATCTTGCTATGTTGCCCAGGCTGGTCTCAAACTCCTGGCATCAAGCGTTCCTCCTTCCTTGGCCTCCTTAAGTGCTGGGATTATAGGTGTGAGCCACCATGCTTGACCATAAAGCCTTACTATTTCTTTTGGAGACACAGTCTTGCTCTGTCCAAGCTGGAATGCAGTGATGTGATCATGGCTCACTGCAGCCTTGAACTCCCAGGCTTAAGAGATCCTCCCATCTCAGCCTCCTGAGTAGCTGGGATTATAGGTGCAGACCATCAAGCCTTGCTATTATTTTTTAGACTTTTCTTAATTTCATCCAACAAAGTAGTTGCTGTAGGAGCTGAGTGTTAGAAGGAAAGATGCTGAAGAAATGAAATCAAGCAGGGTGTATACTGTCATGAATAGGCATACAGTAGTTTTTATACTTTTGTTCTTTGGAGTACCAATGTTAGGTTTTACAAAAGTAATTTGATGAGGGGAAGGAGGGTTGTGTATTTATTTTACTTTCTGATGTTTGCTTAAATAATACTGTGTACGTATTCAGCTTGCTGTAATTCTGTAATTACGCTATTGCGTTTGGCTAACTCCTTTTTGGAAATGTCTTTTTTTTTGTACAAGGCATGTGTTAGTTTTTACTAATTGCTCTGAATGTGTATATTTAGATTTCTGAATTGAAAAAAAATAGCGTACAATAAGTAGATTTAAAGTAATTAGAACACTTTATTGATTTTTCTGATGTTTTCTGTATCTAAAATTTATCACCACCAGGTTGTGCTAAAACAGCAGGAAGTTTTTATATTGTGAGTGACAGTACCCATTATTTCTCTTAATTTTACTAACATTTACTATAAGAATATTCTCTCGCTCTTTTCTCCACTCACAGCCATTCTCCCTCCTTCTCTTCATAACATCAAGCTGTCACAGACAAATCTGAAAATGTTACAAGCACAGACTATGTTGTATGTTTTGAAATTTTAGAACAGTAATGTTCTTTTTAAAATTGAACTTCTGCAGAGTAAGAAAATGAATACATTTATTACTTTAAATTTGTAAAATTTTCCAAAGTAAAACCATACAAAGCTAGTGTCAGTCTCTCTCATTGTTCACAAATAAAGGACTTTTGTTAATTGATTAAATCACTTACTATATTCGATATGAAATATATAAAACATACAACCATTATCTAATACATTTCAGAATGTTTCACTGGTTACAGGAGCCAGTAAATAAAGTTGACTCTAAACAGGAATTTTAAATAAACTAAACATTTTTTCATCACCAAGCATCATTTATATATTGGTTTCTGATTTACATATGTGATGTCTAAGAAAATCTCTGACTTTATTCTTTTTTGCCTGTATTAATTTAAAATTTATCCCATTTCGTCTCCCCCTTCCCACAAATCAGGTATACAATGGGGGAAGAGGGAAAGGAGTACATAGTTTTGACACAGTGACCTTTTATTATATAGGTTACCAACTGCTAGCCTTCATATTTTTAGAAAGGGCAGTTTTGATTAGACCCATCTATGAGGTTCTGTTTTTTTTTTTACTGGAAATTTCATGCGTTAAATGTTGGGTAGGATTAAGTGATGAGACGACGGGTCCAAATGTATTAATCACTGGGAAGTGTTGAAGTATTACCGACCATCTTACTCATTTCTTTATTTTTTCCTCTCAGTCACCAGTCAGAACAGGTCATCAGTAGTTGTGTAACTAAGATGAACAGGAACTTTGGTGTCAGGGGATACTTAGTGATGCCAGTAGTTTTTCCAAGCTTGAATTTATACTGTGACTATCAGGCAATATTTAGATGGGGGTAATGGAAACTTTTTTAAAGTATAGGAATTTTCTCCTTATGCTGACATAAGTAACATCTGATGCTGTAGAAGCTTAGTATCAAATATTAATTGGACTGAAATAGTTCAGAATATTTTCCCAAAATGATTTCCTCCCACTCAGTTTTTACTTTTGCAGAGCTTCTACTTACCATTTGTAGTAACCTGAATGACAATAAAATGGTGAAAAAAAGATTTGAAATGGTGAAACCGCCTTCTTCCAGATATCATTCAGGTGACTAAAATGCAAAACCAAGTACAATAGACAAATAATAGCAACACTAGAAAACAAGAAATACTACCGTCAATAGAGCAGCAATTTCTAGGTATTTTTGGAAGACAGGAGGGACATAGGGATTGACAGGTGTTTGTTGGTGTCAGTGTGAGCAAACCACGTAAGCTGAGTGAAGCAGAAATGGAGAGGTCTCACCAATTCTGAGTAGTGAGGGCTAGTAACAAAGATTAACCCTAAGGTGGGTGGACATGGGTGTGTGGTGGCTGGTTCCTGTAGTCGCAGCTACTCAGGAGGCTGAGATGGGAGGATCACTTGACCTAGGAGTTCAAGTCAAGCCTGGGCAACATGGCAGGACCCTATCTTTAAAAAAAAAAAAAAAAAAAAAAAGGCCCTTAAGGTGGTTGGAGAGAAATTACAGGGTGCATGGGGCAGGAGAGGGGTAGGTATCAGTAGACGTAAGGTTTGCTTTTTTCTCCCCAGTGAATATTTTACTCAAAACTGAGGAAAGTAGAGTGATACGCTACTGCAGAATAGGTTTTTTGTTTTTTTTTTCAAGCCGGGTGCTGTGATTCTTGACTATGGCTGAGTAGAATCAACCGTCAGTGCATGCAGATAGCTGGGCCAGAATCTGGAGGGTGGAACTGGCCATTTAAAAAAGTTCTTTAGATTTAATAATGTGGAGCTATCATTGGTGGGAGTAGTATTATAACTCAGAGCTTCCTAACTTCCTAAGCTGGCAGTTCAGTAGTGGCTGATAATGAGTGAATCATGTATATGGCAATCTTACACTTGTTATTGTATGTCTTTTTTATAGCCATCCTAGTGGGTTTGAAGTATCTCGTGATTTTGATGTGTTTACATTCTGACTAATGATGTTGAGCATTTTTTTATGTACTTCTTGGCCACTTGTATTTCTTTGGAAAATTATCTATTCCAGTTCTTTGCCCATTTTGAAATGGGTTATCTCATTTATTACAGTTTCAGGAGTTCTGTATATATAATAGACATAAAGCCACTATAAAATAAATTAATTACAAATATTTTCTCCCATTCCAGGAATTGTTTTTTCACTTTATTGATGGTATCAGTTGCAGCACAATAATTTTAATTTTGATGGGGTCCAGTTTATCTATTTCATTTTGTTGCTTGTGCTTTTGGTGTCATATCCAAGAGACCATTGCAAAATTGAAGATTATGAAGATTTACCCCCAGTATTTTCTTCTGTTTTATAGTTTTAGCTCTTGCATGTAGGTCTATCCATTTTGAGTTAATTTTTGTGTATGATGTGAGATAGGTGTCTAGCTTCATTCTTTCACCTGTGGATATCTGTTTTCCTAGCACCATTTGTTGAAAAGATTATTTTTTCTCTGTTGAATTGTCTTGACACCCTGGTGAAAAATCGATTGACCACAGATCTATGGGTTTATATCTGAAGTCTCAATTCTATTACATTGATTTATATGTCGTCTTTATGCCAGTATGACATTGTCTTGACTACTGTAATTTGTTATAAATTTTATAATAGGAAATCTGAGATCTCCAACTTTGATTTTTTTGAAGATTGTTTTAACTACTCTGGATCTCTTTCATATTCATCTGAATTTTAGGATCAGCTTGTCAATTTCTGTAAAGAAACCAGCTGGGTTTTGATAGGGATATATTGGATCTGTAATTAAAGTTGGTGCTTTTGTATATTAGTTTCTAGTATTCTGTGTCATCAGTGGCATCTTCATATTAACTTGCTTATGGCAGATTATAAATTTGTTCTCTACATAATTTTGGAGCATGATTGTGGGCTAACCTGCCAGTGAGAGTGGCTGCTGTGCAGCTGACAGTCTTCTATATTTGTGGAAAGGCAGGAGAAACAGCACGTTCAATTGCCTCGTGTTAGGATGGACAGAATTCGGTTAATTCAAGAGATATTTGAGAAGTTGAATCCACAGGACTTGATAATTGATGGAGTGTGAGAGATAAGGTAGAGAAAGATAGAAAAGGTTATGCTTAAGTTTCTTTGGGCAGCCAAGATGGGGAATGTTGAAGAAGGAGCTGAATTCCTTCAATTTGATCATTTCTCTACCTAGACCTATAGATTTCTGGTCCCTCTAGGTTATTGTATCCAGGGCTCTAAAGGCAGAACAAGGCTAGGATTTAGGATGCAGGCATGCATACAAAAATATGTTAAAGCTGGAAGGGTTGATAGAGTTACTACATTAGGCATAGCCAAGGCTTTATTTATATAGAGACAAACATAAGAGCTCTGAATGCATCCAAAGAAATCAGAGCTTGTATCCAAGGACATCAATGCTATTGGGGACAGAAAGGTGAGACATCAGTACTGTAAGTGACAACAGACAGCCTGAGATGTCAGTGTAGGCAGAAGTTAGGCTGGGGTCTCCAGAATCAGATGTTCAACTGACAGCAAGTGTGAAGGAGGACTTTGTCAGGGAGAACTGGGATCAGTTTCCAGAACCAGGAGAGTAGAATAAATAACATCATCTACCTGGAGTCTGAAGTTCATCCAAACTAGTGTTTATCAAAGAAATTTTAAGAATCATCTGTAAAACACGTAAAATGGAAATTCCTGGATCTCTCAGCAGGTCAACAAGAGGCTCAAGTGATCCTGCCACAGATGGAATATTGATCGTAATTTAAGAAACACTGATGAAACTATCAAAAAGACCAATTTCATGATGAATCAGCAAGCTACTAGGACATACGTCCTCTGTTGACATCTAGGACAAATCTTAATGTATGAATGGAGATTGGGGTTATCTACAAGGAATGGAGCTGTTACCAGAAAGGGGATCTTGATTCAGACCCCAATAGAGGCTTGGATCTTGCACAGGAAAGAATTCAAGATGAGTTGCAAAGTGCAGTGAGAAGAGATAGTTTATTGAAAGCTACTCCATTCCAGAGTAGGCATCCTCAGAAAACAAGCAGAGGAATGCACTGTCTTTAAGTTTTTCTTATATAGGGGTCTTCTCTATGTAAAGACTAAGGTGTGCGTACAGGTGGATAGACAGATAGCATGACAAAATTTAGTACTTTATTGATTTAAGGAAATCCATCCTTGGCCAGGTGCGGTGGCTCACGCCTGTAATCCCAGCACTTTGGGAGGCCTAGATGGGCGGATCATTTGAGGCCAGGAGTTCAAGACCAGCCTGGCCAACATGGCGAAACCCCATCTCTACTACGAAATACAAAAATTAGCCAGGCATGGTGGCACACACCTGTAATCCCAGCTATTCAAGAGGTTGAGGCAGGAGAATCATTTGAACCCGGGAAGCGGAGGTTGCAGTGAACCAAGATCATGCCACTGCACTCCAGCTTGGGTGACAGAGCCAAACTCCATCTCAGATAAATAAATAAATAACTCTGTGTTTGACTTCTTAGTGTGTAAGTGCATCAAAGCATAACTATAATTCTTGGAAGCATATATTGTTATGAGTATTGGGACTTCTGGACTTTCTGCTGTAGGAGTTTGTTCTTACAGGTGTCTTTAAGCTGTTTTCTTAGCTGTGAACATCTTAGTTCTATGGGTCATGACTGGGAAGTTTAAGATGGAGTTGATTTTAAAATGGTGTCACTCTGGCTCTTCTAGGCTTCTGCTTCCCTAATACAGTCACACTAGATAGATCTTTGGCCAGTCATGTCCTGTCATCCTCTAAATCAGGGTTTCTTGACCTGATTGGTGGGGAGGGAGGGCAGAGCAGTTTGCCTCAGAACATTTGGCATTATTCTGAGAAATACATGATTGTCATGACTGGGGAGGGTACTACTGGCATCTAGTGGGTAGAGGACAAGGATGCTGCAGAGTCATCCCCATAGCAAAGAATTGTCCAGTCCCAAACATCAGTCTTGCTGCTGTTGAGAAAGCCTGCTCTATATCCTGAAGGATCTTGTGATAAAGAGAAGAGTAATTGCTTCCTAGGTTCAAGAGACATGGCTAAGGTAGTTCTAACTCTTTTTCTGGGGGGCTGCTACAATTAGCAATATCCACACCACTACCGAAAGAAATACTAAACTTTTTGGAAAGAGAAGGATTGGGGAGAAGTGTGTGCAATGAGACAGGAAAGCCCCAGGAACTCCCCTGAAGTCTTTTCCATGAAGACTGATCCATGACAACAGCTGTGTGCATGGTATTAGAAATCCCTGTGGAAAGTGACCAGTAAAGAGAGCTTGTACTTGTGTAACAGTTTAGTTTACAAAGCACTTGTGTATTGCTTAGCTTCTTCTTTGCCTTGGGAAGTAACCAGGATTATTGGTTTCCTGTGGCTGCTGTAACAAATAACCAGAAATTTGGTAACTTCAAACAAGAGAAATTTATTCTCTCACAGTTCTAAAGGGCGGAAGTAATCCTGGCTCATGCCTGTAATTCTAGCACTCTGGGGGGCTGAGGCAAGAGGATCACTTGAGCCAGGGGTTCGAGACCAGCCTGGGCCACATAGTGAGACCTCATCTCTAGTAAAAAATTAGCTAGTCGTGGTGGTGCACAACTGTATTCCCAGCTACTTGGGAGGCTGAGGTGGGAGGCTCGCTTGTGTCAGGGAGTTTGAGGCAGCAGTAAGCCGAGACTGCACCACTGCACTCCAGCCTGGACAACAGAGCTAGACCTTGTTTTAAAAAAATAAAAAACAGTAATTTTAAAAGGCTAGGCGTCAAAAATCAAGGTGTCAACAGAACCATAATCCTTGTGGAAGCTCTAGGGGAGAATCTGTTCTTTGTTTCTTCCAGTTTCTGGTGCTGTCAGCATTCTTTGGCTTGTAGTGGCTGCAGCTCCCTCTGCTCCGTTTTCATATCTTCTCTTCTCTATGTGTCCCCAGACTCCTTCTGCCTTTCTTTCCCAAGGATACATGTGATTTCATTTACGGTCCTCCCAGATAATCAGGAAAAACCCTTCATCTCAAGAAACTTAATCACATCCTTTGCCATACAATAATACTCATGGGCTGCAGGGATTAGGGCGCAAGCATTTCCTTCTTTGGCCTACCATTCACCCCACTATACACAACAACAACACCCATCTTATAGATTATTTAGTAGGTCACACGGCTAATTAATTGTGGAATTCAGCATTGAGCTCAAATCCTGGTTTCATCTTTCATCACTATAGGGTGTATCATAATAAGAAACAAAGATGAGAAAAAAACAGGTAAGGCACAAAAAGAGAATAGAGGAGAAATAGGGATGTGGAAAACAAAATTAAGTTGCAGACTTGAGATTTTGGACAGTAAACAGAAAAAAATATTGCTGTGGAAAAGGTCAACAGGTGAGCCCAGGGACAATTGCCAATTAATTTTTCTTTGTCACCATATCTCCAAGTGGCTTAGTGCTCTAGGCCTGGAACTGTCTACAGTTGAAATAATTCCACTTACTTACAATAATTGGTACAGTGCCTTGCAAATAACGTTTCATCATTGGAAGGCACCATAGTTACTGGGCCCTCTAACATTTTTTGAAGCTTAAGTTCTATAAGGCCTTGTTGATTTGGTATTTTTATAAACCTTGCAAATAGTTAAACCTTGCCAGATGACTAACACTCCCAGGTAAATGGTAAACAATGTGGCTCTCATTTTTTCTACTCCTTGTCCGACATTGTCCAATTGAGAGAGACCACTGTCTTTAGGCCAGCTCCTCACAACCTTGCAGCACATTAGAGTCGCCTGGGGGAGTTTGTTTATTTCTTAATTTATTTTGAGACAGGGTCTTGCTCTGTTGCTCAGGCTGGAGTGCAGTGGCACGAAGAAGGCTCACTGAAGCCTCAACTTACTGGGCTCAAGGGATCCTCCCACCTCAGCCTCCCATGTAGCTGGGTGGGACCACAGGTGCGTGCCATCACGCCTAGCTAATTTTTTAAATTTTTTGTAGAGATGGGGTCTTGCTGTGTTGCCCTGGCCGGTCTCGAACTTCTGGGCTCAAGCAATCCTCCCACTTTGGCCTCCCAAAGTGCTGGGATTACAGGCATGAACCACTGCGCCTGCCCTCACCAAAGGAACTTTAAAAAAACATAATATTCTTGCCCACCTCAGACAATTAAAGAGCCAGAGAGTGGGGCCTGAGAAAAGGGGTCCTCAAATGTTTTTACTTCTATTTTTTTATTTTCAAATTCACATTTTAAAATAGGCATATACAATTTTGTGTTTAAAGAGATAAAGGACTAAATTTCTAGCATATTGTAAATACTGACTTAAGATAAAAGTCATATCACTTTTGAAATGTGTATAATAGGTTCTAAATACCATAGTTAACACACTTCTTATCATTGGGAATTTTCCCACCTTTCTATTCCACACTTTCCATAGAATTTTATCCTACTAACATATTTTCATGCTTGGATATCTTTTGTTTATCACCCTATCATGTAAGTCTTCTGGAGCAAGAATACCTATATAAATTTGGATTTAACTTTTAAGATTTCCTGTTTCCTTAGGCTCTAAGTCCTTAAAATTTCTGGATAGTGTGCTCATTGTAATTGCTATTGAATGCACTTGATAAAAGCAACATTAATATAATTTGGTGGGTATAAAAACCAAATTTCTACCAGTGAAAGAATAAACTAAATAAGGTATATTTATATGATGGAATGCTCAGCAATAAAAAGTCAGGAACTACTTATATATACATTAGCATGAATAAATTTCAAAACTGTTGTGCTAAAAGAAGCCAGACATAAAAAAAGTATGTACTATAGGATTCCATTTATGTTAAAATATTAGAAAATGCAAACCAATCATTAGTGGCAAAAAGCAGACTGTTAGTTCCCTGGGACTGGTATAGATGGAGTGACAGACTACAAAGCGTTGTGAGGAAACTCTTAGAGATGATGGAGATGTTCTGTAACTTGAGTGTAGTGGTGAGTTCACAGTGTAATCATTTATCAAAATTCATCGACTTGTACAGTTTGAATGAATATGGCCTATTGTACATAAATTACATTTCAATAAGGTTATATGTTTTTATAAATATTAAATAGAAAGTGAAATTGTATTGAAAATATACAGAAGAATAAATCTTTACTCAAAGCAGTAAAAGTCTGTCACTCATTCTTGAACCAAGGCTATTAGCGCTGCTAATAGATTTCACTCCCTATCCTCGAGCCTGATCTTAGTTTCTAGTATTCTACCCCTAACTTCCTTCCTCACCTCTGCTATTTCTCACACACACCAGACCATGTACCCACTTCTGAGTCTTTACTCTGGCTTTTCTCTCTTCCTGTAATTCTCTTTCCCCAGAGACCCATAAGTGTCTCTCCCTTATTTTTCTTTTAAGTCTTTTCTCAAATGTGATCTTTTCAAAGAGGACCACTCTAAACATCTTTTGACACGGCAACATGTATCTCCATGTCCACACTCCCATCTCTTCTGCCTGGCTCTTTCTTTATTCTGTAGACCTTAACACTTTTAAATATTATATAATTTGCTCATTATGTTTATTATGTATTGCCATTAGGAATTGTATATTCCAGGAGGGCAGAAATCTTTGCTTTGTTCTCTGTTGTACTCCCGTACCTAGAATCCTGCCTGGCACATACTCAGCACTCAGTAAACATTGAATTAAAAAATGAATGAAAGTAGACTTGAAACTGAAGGCTTTTCATGTTAGTATATATGTGGATCAATAAGATCCCTTGTTATACATTTTCAGCCCTTCTAGGGACTTCTATGAGGGCTGTCTAAAACAAAAACAAAAAACCTTGACTTCAAAGAGCCTGATTCAATGTTTTTGAGACAAAACCAGCAAGTTATAAACACTATAGGATTCCGGAGCACTCATAATTGTCATTTGATGAACTAACTCCAGTGTTAACACAGAGCCTTGGATGTGAAGCGGGGTTTTGTAAGGCTGAGCACTTGCTCTTCCTTCCAATGAGAACACCATCCTCAGGAGGAGAAGTAAATTTGATGAAAATTAAATTTAGGATGATTGTACAGATGTGTTGAGTTGCCCAGCTGGAAATATAGTACCATTGCCTGGGGGAAAACACTGCTTATAGCTTCTAAATAGATGGTTCTTCAAATGAAGTGAAAGAGTAGACCAAATGTGGAGCAACATAAGAAACTGTAGCAGGAGGGGTCAAGGGCAGTCTGTTAACCTTCCTTTTGCCACAGGGCCTCTGTCACATTTTGCCTCCTTCCTTGGACAGCACGAGATCTTTATGCTTTCAGTCACATCACTGAAACCTAGCTTGTCAGTGCCCTTATCACTTCCAAATCAAAGGAATGTTCACCTCTGGCACAAAAGTGTCATAGCTTAAGTAGATTTGTTGGGTTTGGATTTAGCACCCAAAATGGCAGTAGGAAGTCAGAACTGGGTTAGAAGAAACTGTCCAGTTGTGGATTTATGGTCAGCATTCAAAGGGACTACTGAACTCTGGGCCAGATCAAGTAGATAACAGTTTCTAGATGGTCCAATCCAATGGCCCAATTAGGGATGAGGTGGAGGTGAAATGTGCAGGTTTCAGAGAGAATGCAGGCAACAGGCAATACTCAGAGACAAGTTGTAGCAACAGTACTGCCTCACTAAGCCAGGCAATGGCTAGGGTAGACAAACACCCAAGAGAGGGTTTCCAAGCCAAAGGCATGGCAAGATGTCAAGAAAGGGCCCCAGTTCCAGCAGGGCCGTCTGGACAATATGCAGTTTCTGGGACCAACCTGAACAGTAAGATATGTTGCATAAACTCTTCTGAGAGCCCTAGGAAAGCCATGGAGCATTTGGATTTTGAGATTTCTTACTCTTCGATTTAGGGGAGTATGGAGAGATTTCAATTCAGGATGGATTTCAATTAGGGTCAGAAGTCCAAGTTTGAAAACAATATTGACAGTCAACATGGCATAGTAATAGTAGTATCTGCCTTATGGTCCTGTTTTGAAGATCAAATTAGCTAATATTTATCAAGCATGTAGAACAATACTACACATAGTAAGCACTAAATATCAGGAAACCTGTGTCTTAGAACAAAATTTTGTGAAATTGCTGTCCTAAATGCTTATCCAGTATGAAACAAAGGTTACAGTGTACTTTCCTGAATAGAATATAAATCTAGGAAATTCAGTGAGTAATCAGAACTTTTTCAATTGTAAACAAAACTACAAATATTGGTAGATTTGAAAAATATGACAGAACTGATGAAAAATGATAAATATCGACATAGAAAAAATTATAAATGTTGCATGTGTATTTGCATTTCTATTTTATCTGAATCTAAAAATAACAAAAATAACATCTAAAAATAAAAAAGTAGACTGAGCAACGTGGGTCACACCTGTAATCCCAGCACTTTGGGAGGCCGAGGCAGGAGGACTGCTTGAGGCCAGGAGTTTGAGACCAGCCTGGGCAATATAGTGAGACACAGGCTTTACAAAAAAATTAGGAAAAAAAATAGCCGGGTGTGGCATCACATGCCTCTAGTCCCAGCTACTCAGGAGGGTGAAGTGGGAGGATCTCTTGAGCCTGGGAGGTTGAGGCTGCAATGAGCTATGCTCACGACTATGCACTCCAACCTGGGTGACAGAGACCTAGTCACCTATTAATAATAATAAATAATGATAATTTAAAAATAAAAAGTAAACACAGAGAATATAGAAATAGCAAAAGACAACTAATGCTGAAAAAGACTATATGAAAAAATAATTGACCAAACAATGAAGTTGTAATACTCACACACTGTGTACATGCACATGAACGATGGTATATACAATACATAGAATTGTATGACATTATATGAATGATCATTTAAGGGTATAGCTATGTCAAGTTGCTCTCTGAGAATAAAGGTGTCATTATTTAAGTAGAAGTAGATAAAACACCCTTAAGCCATAAACTGGGCAACAAATTGTTTTGTGCTCATAAATTCATCTTTCTATCTGAATAAATCTGGGTGACCAGAAATTACCTCTGTTGTGGTTTTATTATAAGGATTAGAAAATGATATTGATAGCCTCATGCTCAAAGGAAGCAAAATATAAGCATCTGTGGAAGGGGCTCTTGCTTCCATAAGCAAATTTGGCAGTAGCCACGTTTCAGGGCCCTTTGAGCTTGATGTTGAAGCCAAATCACCCAGCTGGATTTTCCTCTCACAGATCCTGGAGCAGACTCAGTGAGGAGGAGGCGTTAGTTCACCTCAGGTGCTCGTTCCGTGGTCATTATATCATGGTTTCTCAGAGATTGGATCTGCTGCATCAGAATCACCTGGTGTGCTTGTTAAAAAAAAAAAAACACCAGTTCCAGAGCCCAACCCCAGACCTACTGAGTCACAATCTCTAAAGACAGATGCCTTAAATCTTCATTTTCAGCAACCATTCCAGATGATTCTCATGTTCACTAAAATTTAAAATCTACTGCACTAGAGTACATATATATGCTTCTTCCTCAGGTGAGGCTGCCCAGTTCAGGTACAGCTTGGTATCCAGTAGACTCAGGCTGAAGGCATGAGAGGCTGATGGCAAGCTGGATTAAACTGCTCACCTTTCACCCAGCAAATATTCTTTCTAGGTCCTCTTCTTAAATTATTAACCTCCAATGGTAATATAAAAATATACTGGGTTTTTTTGGTTTTGTTTTGTTTTTTTTTGTTTTTTGGTGGGTGTTATTGTTGTTTTACATATCGGGACATAGGGAGCTTGTATCTTTTTAAAGGCTGCATTGTATTCCATTGTATGACTATACCATAACTTTTTTTTTTTTTTTTTTTTTTTGAGACGGAGTCTCGCTCTGTCGCCCAGGCGGAGTGCAGTGGCGGGATCTCGGCTCACTGCAAGCTCCGCCTCCCGGGTTCACGCCATTCTCCTGACTCAGCCTCCCAAGTAGCTGGGACTACAGGCGCCCGCCACTATGCCCGGCTAATTTTTTTGTATTTTTAGTAGAGACGGGGTTTCACCGTTTTAGCCGGGATGGTCTCGATCTCCTGACCTCGTGATCCGCCCGCCTCGGCCTCCCAAAGTGCTGGGATTACAGGCATGAGCCACCGCGCCCGGCCAACCATAACTTTTTAAAAACAGGTTTCCAAACTTTTGGTATTATAGATAATGGTGCAACAAATAATCTTTTTTTAATTTTTTTCCTTTTTTAATTTTTTATTTTTATTATACTTTAAGTTCTAGGATATATGTGCAGAACGTGCAGGTTTGTTATATAGGTATACATGTGCCATGGTGGTTTGCTGCACCCATCAACCCGTCATCTAGGTTTTAAGCCCCGCATGCTTAGGTATTTGCCCTAATGCTCTCCCTTCCGTTGACCCCTACCCCACCGACAGGCCCCAGTTTGTGATGTTCCCCTCCTTGTGCCCATGTGTTCTCATTGTTCAACTCCCATTTATGAGTGAGAACATGTGGTGTTTGGTTTTCTGTTCCTGTACTAGTTTGCTGAGAATGATGGTTTCTAGCTTCATCCATGTCCCTGCAAAGGACATGACCTCATTCTTTTTTGTGGCTGCACAGTATTCCATGGAGTATATGTGCCACATTTTCTTAATCCAGTCTATCATTGATCGGCATTTGGGTTGGTTCCAAGTCTTTGCTATTGTGAAGAGTGTCACAACAAACATACGTCTGCATGTGTCCTATAGTAGAATGATTTATAATCCTTTGGGTATATACCCAGTAATGGGATTGCTGGGTCAAAGTGTATTTCTGGTTCTAGATCCTTGAGGAATTGCCACACTGTCTTCCACAATTGTTGAACTACTTTACACTCCCACCAACAGTGTAAAAGTGTTCCTATTTCTCCACATCCTCTCCAGCATCTGTTGTTTCTTGACTTTTTAATGATCTCCATTTTAACTGGTGTGAGATGGTATCTCATTGTGGTTTTGATATGCACTTCTCTAATCAGCAGTGATGATGAGCATTTTTTCTTGTGTCTGTTGGTCGCATAAATGTCTTGTTTTGAGAAGTGTCTGCTCATATCCTTCGCCCACTTTTTGATGGGGTTGTTTTTTTTTTCCTGTAAATTTGTTTAAGTTCTTTGTAGATTCTGGATATTAGCCCTTTGTCAGGTGAGTGGATTGCAACAATTTTCTCCTATTCCGTAGACTGCCTGTTCACTCTGATGCTAGTTTCTTTTGCTGTGCAGAAGCTCTTTAGTTTAATTAGATCCCATTTGTCAATTTTGGCTTTTGTTGCCATTGCTTTTGGTGTTTTAGTCATGAAGTCTTTGCCCATGCCTATGTCCTGAGTGGTATTGCCTAGGTTTTCTTCTAAGGCAAGGCAAATAATCGTATACATGTCATTTTGCACCTGTATGAACACACCTGTAAGATAAATTTCTTAAAGTGGAATGCTAGATTAGAGGTATATGGATCTGTATTTTTTTATCCATTGTGCCACGTTGCCCTCCACAATATGTGTGTAGTACATAATTTTTAAATGACTACATATTATTCTATGGTAGGGATTGCTGTAATTTGTTTAATTTATCTCTCATTTGTGAACACTGTAATCATTTCTCTATCCCACATTTATTTAGCTCTCAAAGCTATGCTATTTTATTGTACAATGACTAAACTACTCAACATGAGAGATTTGGGAGGATCTTTGTGGTCAGCTTATTATTCTTTTCATTACCACAACAACAGCACTACAAACTCTTTTTCTAAGTGTTTCTCCATCTATGATCTCACTTTTGTGGCTAGACCTCACCTCTAGCCCCTGGGAATTTCTTCTGTGAACGCAGCAGGATGACATCCCTCAAGTCAAATTCCAAAGCCTTAAAGTAGATCAGCAGATCAGGGCCCCCTAATGACTGATTACACACAGCTCTGACCCCACACTTAGCCCCGAGCTTGTTGTTTTCTGCAGCCTTTTATCCCTTCATTTTGAAGATGAGTCCATCTCTTCCCCAGTGAGAAAGCAAACAGTGGAGAGGGAGAGTGTGATGCACTTCCCCCAGGCCATGCAGAGGGCAGCATGCTCTGATCTCTGCCTTGCCTTATTTGCAAATACCTTTCCCTAGTACTAGAAGATTGAAGAGAAAGGTAGGAATGGTAACAGCTCTGGCACCTGGAAACTGCAGGTTGATCTGTACAAGCACAATATAAGTAGTTTTTGCTGAGCATCTCCAGCTTGTCATATTTTAGTTACTACTCTAGCCTCAAACTTGAATGGTTTGATACTGTTTGCCAAAGAGTTTGCAAATATTTAGAGGTTCTCAGAGATGGTGGTCTTGGGATGGAGACAATTCTCAGAAAAGAGTGCTGCAATTCCGGACATGATGGCCTTTGCTCATTAATCTACTTGGCTTCTCTAGCATGAATCCCATTAGGAATCAGAGTGAGATTGAGGGGCTATCGGAAATTAAGCCGGGCCCGGTGGCTCACGCCTGTAATCCCAGCACTTTGGGAGGCCGAGGCGGGCGGATCACCTGAGGTTGGGAGTTCGAGACCACCCTGACCAACATGGAGAAACCCCGTCTCTACTAAAAATACAAAATTAGCCAAGTGTGGTGGCACATGCCTGTAATCCCAGCTGTTCAGGAGGCTAAGGCAGGAGAATTGCTTGAACCCAGTAGGCGGAGTTTGCGGTGAGCTGGAGATCGCGCCGTTGCACTCCAGCCTCGGCAACAAGAGCGAAACTCCGTCTGAAAAAAAAAAGAAATTACTAGGCCCAGAGACCCATGAATATTTAAATCCTGCCAAAGAATAAATAGAAAAGGAAGGCATATACTGAAGGAAGGTTAGCAAAGGGAAACAAACTAACACAATAAATGTGCTTTTGACTTCCAACCCCAATAGAGACAACTCACATAAATTTGTCTACAGTGAAGCCTCTTCTAACCCACCTTCCTCCATCCAAAGATCCCAAGCCACAGTTCCAATTGGCCACAAAATGACCATGGGGGATAAAGGGGGAATAGAAAGATGTGACTGTGACTTAAACTTCTGTGAACATAGACCCTGGACCTTACCACTTTAGCAGCTTGGAAGGAAGATGAGAGAACACTCCTGTGGATGTGATATTGAGGGAAAGTGTGTTGCAAGCAGAGGAAAACGTAAGTGCACTGAGGCAGGAGCATGCTTGGCATGCCCAAGGGTCATCTCCTGATTCTTGGCTTTTATTTACTGTTTAATCTGTAACTCTGACAAGTGTTTTGTGTATCAACTGACAGCTAGAGATGTGATACTTTTAAACATTGTGACTTTCATTCCTTGGCTGTACTGGGCAATATTATATTCAGAAACAGAAACTTTGTTTGTTGACATAAAGTTATTCCCTACTGGCACTTAACATTCTGAAAATCAGTGATGTCACTCTTTTCCTAATCAACATTTATGATGGTGGTATGGTTGGGGGGACCTTGTAAAGACAGATTATAAAGAGAAGTGATATGAATAATACTGGCAATAAATTAAACGCTTTTATTGGAAGACTTCATTTGGATTCATAGTTTGTACAAATGATTCATAATTTACCATGTGCTTTCTGATCATTCCATGAACCATGAGGAATGCTTAAGACTGCCCCCACTCTGATTGTGGAAGAAAAGATAAGCTATACCTAGAGGTCTAAGTTAATAGCACCTCGGTAAAACTTGATCTGTATGGCAGTTGACCCAATCATTTGGAAGTAGTTTTGGTGCCCAGTTTGGTGGATTTTTCCTGGTTTCCATGAGGTTCAGACATCTAGAGCTATTTATCCCAGGAAACTACAGCTAGATTCATTCTCTTATGAGGCTGTTTTCACATTTCTCAAAAGTAGTTTATTCCACAAACATCAGAGGGCAGCATTTGATAGGGATTCCAAAAAGACAGAAAAGCTTGTCCACATCGGACCTGCTTGCATGCTCCACTGGGCTATGCTTTTCTCTCTCCTCTTTCCTGGTTCCATTTCTGTTTTCAAGCCAGGAAATGCCTTCACCTGTGGCTTTCCAGAAACCACTGCTCCCTTCTTCCTCATGGGACACGGTGAACTGGCTGAGGTACATGGTAGATTAGTGCTCCGCCTCCCTTCTCCCTCCTTCTTGGATGCTTTCTTGTACTACACAGGCTGGAAAGCCAAAAATTCCATGTCCTGATTTTCTTATAGTGAAGGTTCCAGATGTGGGAACCTCAGTCCATGATGAAGATCTGACAAAATCTCAGCCAACCCAACGGGGAGCTCCAGAGCAAAGATTGCTCATTAAAGAAACCCACAGAAATGGCCAGGCCCTAGTGTCCTTACTGTGCTCAGTCACTGGGTGGGGGTTACCTTGGAAGAATGCAGATTCGGCTTGAAAGTGAAGGCAGATCATGAATTCATTAACAGCTGAGGCTGCCAGCAAGTTCTTCCTTCAAGGGTGTTATGAGCAGTAAACCTCCATGGTTGCCACAATCCACCCTTGTGCTGTGTGGCTTCGTATCACCATATACACTTGCAGAGCAGCTTCTTTGGGGTCCCAGTGAGCCTCTCTTCCTAAGGGGAAACTGAGAAGAGGGAGCTTAGGGGCTCCAATTGGTATTCACTATCCCCACCTTCCCCACCCAATGTCCATTCTAAATTCCCTGCTTCCTCAGCTACCACCTCCGTGGCTTACCTACTGAGCTGACTCTAACTCCCATTCCTGAGGGGTCTGGACCCCTGATAATCACACTTTTCTCAGATCAGGATGGCTGCACTTGTCCATTCACAGTCACATCTGGATAAAGGAGTAACAGGAAGTGCCCCTGCAGATCACCTGAGTTCTGTAAATGTTCCTCTCAATTGTATAAGAAAGAGGTGTAAGCCTCACCTTTTTCTGCTGGTCAGGGCCAATGACACCTTTCAGGACAATGACTCCTGTTCTTGCCTGCTGGTCCTGAATATAAAGAGCCAAAGTGCCCAGAGGGCAGCTGAGGCTGGTAGTTTAATGGAAATCTTGCTGTGTCCCTTGGCAAGGGTGTGTCCCCTTTTGGAACTGGGACCTCTAATCCTGCAGAGCCCAGAGTTAAAGGGACAAAAAGAAAAGCCCCCTAGTGGGTCATTGAAAATGATGTTAGGTAGGGCCACTTGTGCTTCTATACCTTGGTTCCTACTGGAGACCCAGCAGCATATGGAGGTGTCTGATTCAGTATGTATACTTCATCCTATTGGATGCCTATGAGTTAGTGTTTCAGCTGTGCCTTTTTCAGAGTGTTGCCTGTGAGTTAGTGTTTCAGTTGTTTCTTTCCAGCAAATCATTTCATTACTCTAATAGGCTGGTAGTGTCTGGATGGGGCAGTATGTGATATGACCATTGGGTCTCCTGGTTATGGCTCTCACTCTCATACCTCCTTCTCTCCCATACCTTCAGTGGGTTCTCTGATCAGATGCTGTATTGTCTAGGATTCTATGACTATGGATCAGGCATTCCATAGCCAGACCCTCCAAATCTGATAAAATCCCATGCAGCTATCTTCTACTGTGATGCAGTAACAGAGAGACCCAATTAATTAATTTTATTGATGTAGATCCTGTAAAAATACAACTTAAGAGTGCAATTGGTACAAAGATAGAAACAAATCTACACATACTAGTCACCTAACTTATGACAAAAATGACACTGCTGTGCAGTGAGTGGTAATAGATGATTATGTTAATAAATGGTGCTGGTTGGGCAGGTGGTATGGCCCACACCTGTAATCCCAGCACTGTGGGAGGCCAAGGTGGGAGTATCACTTGAGGCCAGGAGTTTGAGATCAGCCCAGGGAACAAAGTGAGACCCTATGTCTACCAAAAAATGTTTAAAAATTAGATGGACATGGTGGCACACACTTGTAATACCAGCTACTTGAGACTGCAGTGAGCTATGATCATGCCACTGCACTCCAGCCTGGGAAACACAGTGAAACCTTGTCTCTAAAAAATAAATGCATACATACATACATACATACATAAAAATAAATTATGCTGGGCTGGGAGCAGTGGCTCATGCCTGTAATCCCAGCACTTTGTGAGGCCAAGGCAGGTGGATCACCTGAGGTCAGGAGTTCAAGACCAGCCTGACCAACATGGCGAAACCGCGTCTCTACTGAAAATACAAAAATTAGCCGGGCGTGGTGGTGGGCACCTGTAATCCCAGATACTTGGGAGGCTGAGGCAGGAGAATTGCTTGAACCTGGCAGAGGTTGCAGTGAGCCAAGATCGCACCATTGCACTCCAGAGCCTGGGCAATAGAGTGAGACTCTGTCTCAAAAAAAAAAAAAAAAAAAAAAAGGATGCTGGGCAACTGGATATCCACATGGAAAAAATGTATCTTGATCTTGAGCCTTCCTTACACTAAACTAAAAAAATAAATCCAGCTGGATTGTTGATCTAAATGTGAATGGTAAGACAATAAAGCTTTAGGAGAAAACAGAAAATTTCTGATACCTTGGAGTATGCAAAGATTTCTTAAAAAGACAACAAAGTACTTACCAAAAAGGAATATACTTATGAATTGGAGTTTAATAAAATTGAGAACTTATGTTTATCAAACAAACAAACCACATGGAATGTCAAAAGGCAAGCCAGGTCTAGGAGAAAATATTTGCAATGGCACCTGCTTAACAAAGGACTCCTACCCATTTATATAAAATTCTCTTATTTTCTTACAAATAAGAAAAAGAGATAACCCAACAAAAAGAGCAACAAGCAAGATTTAACAGGTGCTTTACCAAAGAGGATATCATTCATTTAATTCATTTGTTTCTGTTTATTTTCTTTTGTTTATTTACTTTTTATTTTTTATTATACTTTAAGTTCTATGGTACATATGCACAACGTACAGGTTTGTCACATATGTATACATGTGCCAAGTTGGTGTTACTGTACCTGTTAGCTCGTCATTTACATTAGGTACTTTTTTTTAAAATTATACTTTAAGTTCTAAGGTACATGTGCACAGCGTGCAGGTTAGTCACATATGTATACATGTGCCATATTGGTGTGCTGCACCCGTTGACTCGTCATTTACATTAGGTATTTCTCCTAATGCTATCCCTCCCTGCTCCCCCCACTCCACGACAGGCCCTGGTGTATGATGTTCCCCACCCTGTGTCCAAGTGTTCTCATTGTTCAATTCCCACCTATGAGTGAGAACATGTGGTGTTTGGTTTTCTCTTCTTGCGATAGTTTGCTCAGAATGATGGTTTCCAGCTTCATCCATGTCCCTACAAAGGACATAAACTCATCCTTTTTTATGGCTGCATAGTATTCCATGGTGTATATGTGCCACATTTTCTTAATCCAGTCTATCATTGATGGACATTTGGGTTGGTTGCAAGTCTTTGCTGTTGTGAACAGTGCCACAATAAACATACATGTGCAAGTGTCTTTATAGCAGCATGATTTATAATCCTTTGGGTATATACCCAGTAATGGGATTGCTGGGTCAAATGGTACTTCTAGTTCTAGATCCTTGAGGAATTGCCACACTGTCTTCCACAATGGTTGAACTAGTTTATAGTCCCATCAACAGTGTAAAAGTGTTCCTATTTCTCTGTGTCCTCTCCAGCACCTGTTGTTTCCTGACTTTTTAATGATTGTCATTCTAACTGGTGTGAGATGGTATCTCATTGTGGTTTTGATTTGCATTTCTCTGATGGCCAATGATGATGAGCATTTTTTCATGTGTCTGTTGGCTGCATAAATGTCTTCTTTTGAGAAGTGTCTGTTCACATCCTTGGCCCACTTTTTGATGGGGTTGTTTGATTTTTTTCTTGTAAATTTGTTTAAGTTCTTTGTAGATTCTGGATATTAGCCCTTCGTCAGATGGGTACATTGTAAAAATTTTCTCCCATTCTGTAGGTTGCCTGTTCACTCTGATGGTTGTTTCTTTGGCTGTGCAGAAGCTCTTTAGTTTAATTAGATCCCATTTGTCAATTTTGGCTTTTGTTGCCATTGCTTTTGGTGGTTTAGTCATGAAGTCCTTGCCCATGCCTATGTCCTGAATGGTATTGCCTAGGTTTTCTTCTAGGGTTTTTATGGTTTTAGGTCTAACATTTAAGTCTTTAATCCATCTTGAATTAATTTTTGTACAAAGTGTAGGGAAGGGATCCAGTTTCAGCTTTCTACATATGGCTAGCCAGTTTTCGCAGCACCATTTAATAAATAGGGACTCCTTTCCCCATTGCTTGTTTGTGTCAGGTTTGTCAAAGATCAGATGGTTGTAGACGTGTGGTATTATTTCCAATGGCTCTATTCTGTTCCATTGGTCTATATCTCTGTTTTGGTACCAGTACCATGCTGTTTTGGTTACTGTAGCCTTGTAGTATAGTTTGAAGTCAGATAACGTGATGCCTCCAGTTTTGTTCTTTTGGCTTAGGATTGTCTTGGCTATGCGAGCTCTTTTTTGGTTCCATATGAAATTTAAAGTGGTTTTTTTCCAATTCTGTGAAGAAAGTCATTGGTAGCTTGATGGGGATGGCATTGAATCTATAAATTAACTTGGGCAGTATGGCCATTTTCACGATATTGATTCTTCCTACCCATGAGCATGGAATATTCTTCCATTTGTTTGTGTCCTCTTTTATTTCATTGAGCAGTGGTCTGTAGTTCTCCTTGAAGAGGTCCTTCACATCCCTTGTAAGTTGAATTCCTAGGTATTTTATTCTCTTTGAAGCAATTGTGAATGGGAGTTCACTCATGATTTGGTTGTCTCTTTGTCTGTTATTGTTGTATAGGAATGCTTGTGATTTTTGCACATTGATTTTGTATCCGAGACTTTGCTGAAGTTACTTCTCAGCTTAAGGAGATTTTGGGCTGAGACAATGGGGTTTTCTAAATATACAATCATGTCATCTGCAAAAAGGGACAATTTGACTTCCTGTTTTCCTAATTGAATACCCTCTCTTTCTCCTGCCTAATTGCCCTGGCCAGAACTTCCAACACTGTGTTGAATAGGAGAGGAGGGAGAGGGCATCCCTGTCTTGTGCCAGTTTTCAAAGGGAATGCTTCCAGTTTTTGCCCATTCAGTATGATATTGGCCATGGGTTTGTCATAAATAGCTCTTATTATTTTGAGATACATCTCATCAATACCTAGTTTATTGAGAGTTTTTAGCATGAAGGCTGTTGAATTTTGTCAAAGGGCTTTTCTGTATCTATTGAGATAATCATGTGGTTTTTGTCTTTGGTTCTGTTTATATGATGAATTATGTTTATTGATTTGCGTATGTTGAACCAGCCTTGCATCCTTGGGATGAAGCCAACTTGATCGTGGTGGATAAGGTTTTTGATGTGCTGCTGGATTTGGTTTGCCAGTACTTTATGGAGGATTTTTGCATCGATGTTCATCAGGGATATTGGTCTAAAATTCCCTTTTTGGTTGTGCTCTGCCAGGCTTTGGTATCAGGATGATGCTGGCCTCATAAAATGAATTAGGGAGGATTCCCTCTTTTTCTATTGATTGGAATAGTTTCAGAAGGAATGGTACCAGCTCCTCTTTTTACCTCTGGTAGAATTTGGCTGTGAATCTGCCTGGTCTTGGACTTTTTTTGGTTGGTAGGCTATTCATTATTGCCTCAATTTCAGAACCTGCTATTGGTCTATTCAGGGATTCAACTTCTTCCTGGTTTAGTCTTGGGAGGGTGTATGTGTCGAGGAATTTACCATTTCTTCTAGATTTTCCAGTTTATTTGCATAGAGTTGTTTATAGTATTCTCTGATGATAGTTTGTATTTCTGTGGGATCAGTGGTGATATCCCCTTTATCATTTTTTATTGCATCTATTTGATTCTTCTCTCTTTTCTTCTTTATTAGTCTTGCTAGTGGTCTCTCCATTTTGTTGATCTTTTCAGAAAACCAGCTCCTGGATTCATTGATTTTTTGAAGGGTTTTTTGTGTCTCTATCTCCATCAGTTCTGCTCTGATCTTAGTTATTTCTTGCCTTCTACTAGCTTTTGAATGTGTTTGCTCTTGTTTCTCTAGTTCTTTTAATTGTGATGTTAGGGTGTCCATTTTAGATCTTTCCTGCTTTCTCTTGTGGTCATTTAGTGCTATAAATTTCCTTCTACACACTGCTTTAAATGTGTCCCAGAGATTCTGGTATGTTGTGTCTTTGTTCTCATTGGTTTCAAAGAACATCTTTATTTCTGCCTTCATTTCGTTATGTACCCAATAGTCATTCAGGAGTAGGTTGTTCAGTTTCCATGTAGTTGAGCAGTTTAGAGTGAGTTTCTTAATCCTGAGTTCTAGTTTGATTGCACTGTGGTCTGACAGACAGTTTGTTATAATTTCTGTTCTTTTACATTTGCTGAGGAGTGCTTTACTTCCAAAAATATGGTCAATTTTGGAATAAGTGTAATGTGGTGCTGTGACAAATGTATATTCTGTTGATTTGGGGTGGAGAGTTCTGTAGATGTCTATTAGGTCTGCTTGGTGCTTTCTGTCTCATTGATCTGTCTAATGTTGACAGTGGGGTGTTAAAGTCTCCCATTATTGTGTGGGAGTCTTAGTCTCTTTGTAGGTCTCTAAGGACTTGCTTTATGAATCTGGGTGCTCCTGTGTTGGGTGCATATATATTTAGGATAGTTAGCTTTTCTTGTTGAATTGATCCCTTTACCATTATGTAATGGCCTTCTTTGTCTCTTTTGATCTTTGCTGGTTTAAAGTATGTTTTATCCGAGACTAGGATTGCAACCCCTGCTTTTTTTTTGTTTTCCATTTGTTTGGTACATCTTCCTCCATCCCTTTATTTTGAGCCTATGTGTGTCTCTGCGTGTGAGATGGGTCTCCTGAATACAGCACACTGATGGGTCTTGACTCTTTATCCAGTTTGCCAGTCTGTGTCTTCTAATTGGAGAATTTAGCCCATTTACCTTTAAGGTTAATATTATTATGTGTGAATTTGATCCTGTCATTATGATGTTAGCTGGTTATTTTGCTTGTTAGTTGATGCAGTTTCTTCCTAGCACTGAGGGTCTTTACACTTTGGCATGTTTTTGCAGTGGCTGGTACCAGTTGTCCCTTTCCATGTTTAGTGCTTCCTTCAGGAGCTCTTGTAAGGCAGGCCTGGTGGTGACAAAATCTCTCAGTATTTGTTTGTCTGTAAAGGATTTTATTTCTCCTTCACTTATGAAGCTTAGTTTGGCTGGATATGAAATTCTGGGTTGAAAATTCTTTAAGATTGTTGAATATTGGTCCCCACTTCTTCTGGCTTGTAGAGTTTCTGCTGAGAGATCTGCTGTTAGTCTGATGGGCTTCCCTTTGTGGGTAACCCAATCTTTCTCTCTGGTTGCCCTTAACATTTTTTCCTTCATTTCAACCTTGGTGAATCTGACAATTATGTGTCTTGGAGTTGCTCTTCTCGAGGAGTATCTTTGTGGCATTCTCTGTATTTCCTGAATTTCAGTGTTGGCCTGCCTCACTAAGTTGGGGAAGTTCTCCTGGATAATATCCTGCAGAGTGTTTTCCAACTTGGTTCCATTCTCCCTGTCACTTTCAGATACGCCAATTAGACATAGATTTGGTCTTTTCACATAGTCCCATATTTCTTGGCGGCTTTGTTTCTTTTTACTCTTTTTTCTCTAAACTTCTCTTCTTGCTTCATTTCATTCATTTGATCTTCAATCACTGACACCCTTTCTTCCACTTGATCAAATTGGCTACTGAAGCTTGTGCATGCATCATGTAGTTCTTGTGCCATGGTTTTCAGCTCCATCAGGTCATTTAAGGACTTCTCTACACTGTTTATTCTAGTTAGCCATTCATCTAATCTTTTTTCAAGGTTTTTATCTCCTTTGTGATGGGTTCGAACATCCTCCTTTAGCTTGGAGAAGTTTGTTATTACTTATTGTCTGAAGCCTTCTTCTCTCAACTCATCAAAGTCATTCTCCGTCCATCTTTGTTCCATTGCTGGCAAGGAGCTGTGTTCCTTTGGAGGAGAAGAGGCGCTCTGATTTTTAGAATTTTCAGCTTTTCTGCTCTGGTTTCTCCCCATCTTTGTGGTTTTATCTACCTTTAGTCTTTGATGATGGTGTTGTACAGATGGGGTTTTGGCGTGGATGTCCTTTCTGTTTGTTAGTTTTCCTTCTAACAGTCAGGACCCTCAGCTGCAGGTCTGTTGGAGTTTGCTGGAGGTCCATTCCAGACCCTGTTTTTCCTGGGTATCACCAGCGGAGGCTGCAGAACAGCAAATATTGCAGAATGGCAGATGTTGATGCCTGATCCTTCTTCTGGAAGCTTCATCTCAGAGGGGCATCTGGCTGTATGAGATGTCAGTCAGCCCCTACTGGGAGATGTCTCCCAGTTAGGCTACTTGAGGGTCAGGGACCCACTTGAGGAGGCAGTCTGTCCATTCTCAGATCTCAAACTCTGTGCTGGGAGAACCACTACTCTCTTCAAAGCTGTCAGACAGGGACGTTTAAGTCTGTAGAAGTTTCTTTTGTTCAGCTATGCCCTGCCCCCAGAGGTGGAGTCTACAGAAGCAGGCAGGCCTCCTTGAGCTGCAGTGGGCTCCACCCAGTTCGAGCTTCCAGGCAGCTTTGTTTACCTACTCAATCCTCAGCAATGGTGGACACCCCTCCCCCAGCCTCGCTACTGCCTTGTAGTTTGATCTCAGACTGCTGTGCTAGCAGTTAATGAGGCTCTGTAGGCATGGGACCCTCTAAGCCAGGCACGGGATATAATCTCCTGGTGTACTATTTGCTAAGGCCATTGAAAAGCGCAGTATTAGGGTAGGAGTGTCCCAATTTTCCAGGTACCATCTGTCACGGTTTCCCTTTGCTAGGAAAGGGAATTCCCTGACCTCTTATGCTTTCTGGGTGAGACAATGCCCCACCCTGCTCCATGGGCTGCACCCACTCTCTGACAAGCCCAGGGAGATGAACACGGTACCTCAGTTGGAAATGCAGAAATCACCCGTCTTCTGTGTCGCTGATGCTGGGAGCTGAAGACTAGAGCTGTTCCTATTCAGCCATCTTGGAACCTCCCTTCTGTTTATTTTCAAATTTGAGTTTAGCTTGTTTTCTTTTTGTATTGATTTTTTAAATAACTAAAACATTAACATATTTGAAATTCAAAATTTATAGTCACAGCAAAAAACCTTTTTTTTTTTTGCAAAACTAAGCAAATATACATACATATTTTTATTCTCCTACTTTCTGACACAAAACATAGCAGCACATTATATACACTTTTTGGTACACTGCTTTTTTTCGTTTAAGGTGTTGTGGAGATTATGTCATATTAGTACATAGATATCTTCCTCATTCTTTCAAAAACCACTTTACATTCCATTGTGTGCAAAACTAAGCAAATATACATACATATTTTTATTATCCTACTTACTGACACAAAACATGGCAGCACATTATACATGCTGTTTGGTACACTGCTTTTTTTCATTTAAGGTATCATGAAGATTACATCATATTAGTACATAGATATCTTCCTCATTCTTTCAAAAACCACTTCACATTCCATTGTGTGGTTGTATTGCAGTTTATTCACCAAGACCCCTATTGATGCATATTTGGACTGTTTCCAATATTTTGTGACTGTGAGTGAGGCCACAGTGAACACCCTGGGATGTATGTTGTTTCATGTTGGTGGGGATATATTGTCTAAATACTTTCTTAGCAGTGGAGTTCCTGGATCGAAGAGTAAATGCAATTGTTTAGATATTGCTAGGTTACTCTTCATAGGAACCAAGCACTATTTTGTACTCTCTCCAGTAGTGTACAAAAGTGCCTGTTTCTCCACAGCTCCACTAACAGAGTTTATTCTCAAACTTAGATTTTTGCTAGTCTGATAGGTGAGGAATGGTAATTGCATTGTGATTTTATTTGCTTTTCTCTTGTTACAAGAAAGATTAACCATCTGTTCATATGTTTAAGGGTCATTTAATATCTTTTTCTATAAACTGCCTATTCTTATATTTCGCTCATTTTTCTATTAGAGTTTTTTTTTTTTCCTCTCCTTTTAAGAACTCTTTATATGTTAGGGAGGTAAGCCCTCTGTACTCTAGGTTGCCAATATTTTTCTGCTAATTAAGCATTTGTATTTTCACTTTACTTAGGAGATTGTTGTGATACAAATGTAATTTTTTAAAAAATATAACCTCTTTTGGGAGGCTGAGGTAGGAGAATCACCGGAGGCCAGGAGTTCACAACCAGCCTGGGCAACATTGTGAGGATTTGTTTTTACCAAAAAAAAAAAAAATAGTAATAATAGAGAAAGAGAGGAAGAGAGAAAGAAAGAAAGAAAGAAAGAAAGAAAGAAAGAAAGAAAGAAAGAAAGAAAGGAAGGAAGGTAGGTGGGAGGGAGGGAGGAAAGAAGGAAGGAAGGAAGCAGGAAGGAAGGAAGGAAGGAAGGAAAAAATTAGCCAGGTGTGGTGGTATGCACCTGTAGTTCAAACTACTCAAGAGACAAAGTGGGAGGATTGCTTGAGTCCAAAAGTCTGAGACTGGAGTGAGCCATTATTGCACCACTGCACTCCAGTCTGGGTGACAGAGAAAAACTTTGTCTCAAAAAAAAATTTTTTTTAATGTAAAAAAATTTCTCAAGTGTATTAGTCTCTTTTCACATTGCTGATAAGGACATACCCGAGACTGGGACAAAAAAGAGGTTTAATTGGACTTACAGTTCCACATGGCTGGGGAGGCCTCAGAATCATGACTGGAGGTGAAAGACACTTCTTACATGATGGGAGCAAGAGAAAATGAGGAAGAAGCAAAAGTGGAAACCCCTGATAAACCCATCAGACCTTGTGAGACTTATTCACTATCATTAGAATAGCACGGGAAAGACTGGCCCCCTGATTCAATTACCTCCTCCCGGATCTCTCGCACAACACATGGGAATTCTGGGAAATAAAATTCAAGTTGAGATTTGGGTAGGGAAACAGCCAAACCATATCATTCTGCCCCTGGCCCCTCCAAATATCATGTCCTCACATTTCAAAACCAATCATGCCTTCCCAACAGTCCCCAAAGTCTTAACTCATTTCAGCATCAGCCCAAAGTCCACAGTCCAAAGTCTCACCTGAGACAAGGCAAGTCACTTCTGCCTATCAGCCTGTAAAATCAAAAGCAATCTAATTACTTCCTAGATACAATGGGGGTACAGGTATTTAGTAAATACAGCCATTCCAAATGAGAGTAATTGGCCAAAACAAAGACGTTACAGGACCCAGGCAAGTCTGAAATCCAGCAGGGTAGTCAAATTTTAAAGCTCCAAAATGATCTCCTTTGACTCCAGGTCTCACATACAGATCATGCTGATGCAAGAGGTAGGTTCCCATGGTCTTGGGCAGCTCTGCCTCTATGGCTTTACAGGATACAGCCTCCCTCCTGGCAGCTTCCCAGGCTGGTGTTGAGTGTCCATGGCTTTTCCAGGTGCATGGTGCAAGACCATTCTGGGGTCTGGAGGACAGTGGCCCTTTTCTCAAGCTCCACTAGGCAGTGCCCCAGTAGGGACTCTATGTGGGGGCTCTGATCCCACATTTCCTTTCCACACTGCCCTAGCAGAGGTTCTCCTTGAGGGCCCCACCTCTGCAGCAAACTTTTACCTGGGCATCCAGGTGTTTCCATAAATCTTCTGAAATCTAGGCAAAGGTTCCCAAACTTCAGTTCTTGACTTCTGTGCACCCATAGGCTCAACACCACGTGGAAGCTGCCAAGGCTTGGGGCTTCCACCTTCTGAAGCCACAGCCTGAGCTGTACATTGGCCCCTTTCAGCCATGGGTGGAGTGGCTGGGACACAAGGCACCAAGTCCCTAGGCTGCACACAGCATGGGGACCCTGGACCTTGCCCACAAAACCACTTTTTCCTCCTGGGCCTCTGGGCCTGTGATGGGAGGGTCTGCCGTGAAAGTCTCTGACATGGCCTGGAGACATTTTCCCCATGGTCTTGGGGATTAACACTAGGCTCCTTGCTCCTTATGCAAATTTATACACCTGGCTTGAATTTCTCACCAGAAAATGGGTTTTTTTCTCTATCGCATAGTCAGGCTGCAAATTTTCTGACCTTTTTTGCTGAATGCCTTTAACAGTACCCAAGTCACATCTTGAATGCTTTGCTGCTTAGAAATTTCTTCTGCCAGGTACCCTAAATCATCTCTCTCAAGTTCAAAGTTCCACAAATCTCTTGGGGAGGGGCAAAATACCACCAGTCTCTTTGCTAATACATAACAAGAGTCACCTTTGCTCCAGTTCCCAATAAGTTCCTCATGTCCCTCTGAGACCACCTCAGCCTTGACCTTATTGTTCATATCATTATCGGCATTTTGGTTAAAGCCATTCAACAAGTCTCTAGGGAGTTCCAAACTTTCCCACATTTACCTGTTTTCTTCTGAGGCCTCCAAACTGATCCAACCTCTGCCTCTTATCCAGTTCCAAAGTTGCTTCCACATTTTCAGGTAACTTTTCAGCAGCACCCGACTCTACTGGTATGAATTTACTGTATCAGTTCGTTCTCTCACTGCTGATAAAGATGTTCCCGAGACTGGGACAAAAAAGATATTTAATTGGACTTACAATTCCACATGGCTGGGGAGGCCTCAGAATCATGACAGGAGGCAAAAGGCACTTCTTACATGGCAGTGGCAAGAGAAAATGAGGAAGAAGCAAAAGTGGAAACCCCTGATAAACCCATCAGATCTCGTGAGACTTATTCACTATCATGATAATAGCATGGGAAAGGCAGGCCTCCATGATTCAATTACCTCCCCCTGGGTCCCTCCCACAACACGTAGGAATTCTGGGAGATACAATTCAAGTTGAGATTTGGGTGGGAACACAGCCAAACCATATCTTCAAGTTTTTATTGTTTCCAGATTTTGAGTAATGAATTGAAAGGCCTTCCCTATTCCTAGGTTATAAAAGAATTTACCTATATTTTCTTCTAGTACTTGTATGGTTTCTTTTTTTGGCATGTAGTTATATGAATTGGAGTTTATACTGATACATGGTATGAAGTATGGATCCAGTTTTATCTTTTCTTCAAATGGTTATCCATTTGTCCCAACGTCATGTATGAAAAAGTCAATTTTTCCCACCCTCACATTACAAACTTAGTGATTTGAGATGTCACCTGTAGTACATATTAAATGTATATGTGTGTTTGAGCCTATTTAAATTTTTTTTCTTTGACATACTGATTTCATTTCTTTGGAATATATGCCCAGTAGTGGGATTGCTGGATCATATGATAGTTTTATTTTTAATTTTTTTAAAGACCATCCATAGTGTTTTCTGTAATGGCTATATTAATTTATATTCTCACCAACAATGTACAAGAGTTCCCTTTTCTCTACATTCTTGCCAGTACTTATTATCTTTCGTCTTTCTGATAGCAGCTATTCTAACAGTTGTAAAGTGATAGCTCATTGTGGTTTAATTTGCATTTCCCTGACTAGTGACATTGATCATTTTTTTTCTTTTTTTTATTATTATCCTTTAAATTCTAGGGTACATGTGCACAACATGCAGGTTTGTTACGTATGTATACATGTGCCATGTTGATGTGCTGCACCAATTATCTGTCATTTACATTAGGTATATCTCCTAATGCTATCCCTTCCCCCTCCCCACAACAGGCCCCGGTGTGTGATGTTCCCCACCCTGTGTCCAAGTGTTCTCATTGTTCAATTCCCACCTATAAGTGAGAACATGTGGTGTTTGGTTTTCTGTCCTTGCAACAGTTTGTTCAGAATGATGGTTTCCAGCTTCATCCATGTCCCTACAAAGGACATGAACTCATCCTTTTTCATGGCTCCATAGTATTCCATGGTATATATGTGCCACATTTTCTTAATCCAGTCTATCATTGATGGACATTTGGGTTGGTTCCAGGTCTTTGCTATTGTGAATAATGCTGCAATAAACATATGTGTGCATGTGTCTTTATAGCAGCATGATTTATAATCCTTTGGGTATATGCCCAGTAATGGGATTGCTGGGTCAAATGGTATTTCTAGTTCTAGATCCTTGAGGAATTGCCACACTGTCTTCCACAATGGTTGAACTAGTTTACAGTCCCAGCAACAGTGTAAAAGTGTTCCTATTGCTCTGCATCCTCTCCAGCACCTGTTGTTTCCTGACTTTTTAATGATTGTCATTCTAACTGGTGTGAGATGGTTATCTCATTGTGGTTTTGATTTGCGTTTCTCTGATGGCCAGTGTTGATGAGCATTTTTTCATGTGTCTGTTGGCTGCATAAATGTCTTCTTTTGAGAAGTATATGTTCATGTCCTTTGCCCACTTTTTGATGGGGTTGTTTGATTTTTTCTTGTAAATTTAAGTTCTTTGTAGATTCTGGATATAAGCCCTTTGTCAGATGGGTAGATTGTAAAAATTTTCTCCCATTCTGTAGATTGCCTGTTCACTCTGATGGTGGTTCTATTCTGTTCAGAAAATTCTGTTCTATTGGTCTGTCTGTCCAGTCGTGAACTATTATTATGCTAATTTAATTATAGAAGCTTTATAATATGTTTTCATATCTGATATGGCTATGCTCCCCTCCCCACCATTGCTCTTGTCTTTCTTGCTTCTTGGCTGTTCTTGCCTGTCCTTTTTTCTATGTGACTTTATTTTTTTAATTGTATAAATTTATGGGATATAAGTACAATTTTATTACATGCATAGTGGTGATGTCAGTGCTTTTAGGATATCCATCACCCAAATAACGTACTTTGTACCCATTAAGTGATTTCCAATTATCCATCCCCTTCCACTCCTTCACTCTTCTGAGTCTCCATTGTCTATCATTTCCCTCTCTACTTACATATACACCTTTTCTGGCACTCATTTATAAGTGAGAACATGCAATATTTATATTTCTGTGTCTGGCTTGTTTCATTTATGACAATGCCCTCCTGTTCCATCCAAGTTCCTGCAAAAGACATGATTTCATGTTTTTATGGCTGAATAGTACTTTATTCTTTATATATACCACATTTTCTTTATCCAGTCACCTGCTGATGGAAACTAGGTTGCTTCCATATCTTTGCTATTGTGAGTAGTTGATAAACATACAAGTGCAGGTATCTTTTTGATATATTGATTTCTCTTTCTTTGGCCAGATACTCAGTAATGAGATGGCTGGATCAAATGGTAGTTCCATTTTTAGTTCTTTGAGAAATCTCCCTACTGTTTTCTATAGAGATTTTACTAATTTACATTCCCGTCAACAGTGTATAAGCATTCCCTTTTCTCCACACCCTCCCCCAAATCTTTTATCTTTTGAATAATAGCTTCTGATTGGGGTAAGATGATATCTTATTGTGGTTTTAATTTGCATTTCTCTGATGATTAGTGACGTCAAGCATTTTTTCATATACCTGTTGGCCATTTGTATGTCTTCTTTTGAAAAAATGTCTATTTATATCCTTTGCCCACTTTTTAATGACAGTATTTGTTTTTTTTTTTCCCATTGAGTTTTTTGAGTTCCTTGTATATTCTGGATATTAGTTGCATGTAGGATAGTTTCCAAATATTTCTCTCATTCTGCAGATTATTTGTTCACTCTGTTGATTCTTTCTTTTGCTGTTCAGAAGTGTTTTCATTTAGTTATGTCCCATTTGCCTGTTTTTATTGCCTGTGCTTTTGAGGTCTTAGTCATAAATTCTTGCCTAGACCTATATCTAGAAGAATTTTCCCTAGGTTTTCTTCTAGTATTTTTATAGATTTGGGTCTTTTGTTTAAGTCTTTAATCCATCTTCAGTTGATTTTGGTATATCCATGCGACTTTAGAATAATTTTGTCTTCTTTATGAAAAATCTTATTAGCATTTTTGTTGGAATCACAATAAATAAATAAATAGGTTAACTTCGGGAGAACTAACATCTTTATGATAATGAATTTCCTTATCCAAGAATTTATTATGTGTCCCAATTATTCAAGTTTAACTTTGTGTCTTTTTGAAATGTTTTGAATTTTTCCTCATATAGGTTTTGTATGTTTCATGTTCCATTTTCTTCCTAGGTATTTTATGGTTTTTTGGTTGTTGGTTTTTTGTTTTGAAACAGGGTCTTGCTCAGTTGCCTAGGCTGGAGTGCAGTGGCATGAACATGCCTCACTGCAGCCTTGATCTCTTGGGCTCAAACAATCCTTCTGCCTCAGACTTCTGGGTAGCTGGGACTACAGGTGTGTGCCACACTTGGCTAATTTTTTTTTTTTCATAGAGATAGGGTCTTTCTTTGTTGTGCAGGCTGGTCTTGAACTCCAGGCCTTAAGTGATCCTTCTGCCTCGCCTTCCCAAAATGCTGATATTACAGGTGTGAGCTACTGCATCTGGCCTGTAGTTTTTTAAATGGGATCTTCTCTTTCATGATATATTCTAACTGGCTTACACTTGTGGATAGGAAAGCTATTGATTATTTCATTCAATATTAAATTTACTTTTTTGTTTTACTGAATTCTTTTTTATTGGTTATATATAATTTTTCATGAATGTATAGTATTGCATTATATAAAAATACTGTAAGTTAATTAACCAAACTCTTGATATTGAACATTTAGTTTTATGTGTGTGGGAGGTGGGTATGTTTTACATTTTCCCACTATTAATACAAAGATGTTTACATCCTAGTGGCTAAATATTTTTTGTTTCTTTAATAATTTCCTTATAATAGATTCCTGGAAGTGAATTTGCTGCTTCATTGGATGTCAAAACTGGAAAGCTTTAAGAAATATGTTTTGACAAATTGCCCTGGAGAGGGCTTGTACCCATTTATTCTCTAACAAGTTATGTCTGAGAAGGAACAGAGTTTAATTTTACTGGGCCAAGCAAAACATCAAGCTCATTAAAGGCCTAGGGCAATAACTTTCAGATTATTTAGTCACAGACTTTCTGTTTACAAGGAAGTTTATGTATTATATTGAATTATATGAAATTGACATTTTTGCAGGCAATATGGTTGAATATCAGCAGTTTCCTATTGTTCAACTTAACAGAAGCCTAACAGGTATAGCAAAAAAAAAAAAAAAACACAGCTGTTTTGACTGATGATGGAGTAGGGGTATTCAGAAGACCTCAGAGAAGGGCTTAAGAGCAGCTCTCTAGGCACAAAGCCCTGGGTGGGAAGGCAGGTGCGGGATCTGGGAACCCTCAGGGCTTCAGTCAGGGCGAGTGTGTGGACAAGGGTGGTGGACAGTGTGAGGGCCCTGATTGCCTGTGGGATAGGAGCTGGCAGAGAGGACAAGAACATCAACATCTGGCAAGGGAACAGGTGCTTTGGACATTTGCCTTTAACAGCAAGTCTGACCTTGCCCTTTTGTGGGATTGCAATGTCTGAGAAGCAGTACCAAGTTCCTACAGTGTCTCTGTGATGTGTGGAAAGATGTGGGTTCAATCCCAGATCAAGTATTTATTAACAATGTGACTTAGGGCAAGTTTGTAAGTTTTTCTATGAGTTAGTGTTCTTTTCTGTAAACTGTGAATAAGAATTCCTACCATATCAGTTTGTTGTTAAAATACGATGCTATGGCCGGGCATGGTGGCTCACGTCTGTAATCCCAGCACTTTGGGAGGCTGAGGCAGGGTGATCACAAGGTCAGGAATTCCAGAGCAGCCTGGCCAATATGGTGAAACCCCGTCTCTACTAAAAATGCAAAAATTAGCCTGGCGTGGTCGTGGGCGCCTGTAATTCCAGCTACTTGGGAGGCTGAGGCAGGAGAATCTCTTGAACCCGGGAAGCAGAAGTTGCAGTGAGCCCGAGATCGTGCCACTGCACTCCAGCCTGGGCAACACAGTGAGACTCCATCTCAAAAAAAAAAAAAAAAAAAGATGATGCTACAAGCTACCTTAGATACTTAAAGTATTACATAGTACACAATAGATTCTCAAAAATGTCAGTTGTAATAATAATTTCATTATCTTATATTCATTCCTTTTGCTCTCATCAAGGTTCAAAAGGACATCCAAATGTGTGTTTGTTTAGAGTTTATCTTAGGGATTCCACCTCCCTAATATGTCTGTGAACCAAGGAATAGAATAACAGTAATAATTCCTCTCATTTTGTAGAAAAGAAACTAGAGCAGCTTATTGTTTAGCTCCATGAGGACCATTAAGCACTGGGACTCATTTTTATTCTCAAAGACTCCCAGGTGAAAAAGACCTGGAAATCATCTGTTAGTTCAGGTTGAGTCTGATTTCTGATTCACATCTGCAACACTCTTGGTGAGACACGAGCAAGCCTAAGGATGGATAGCAAAACCCACAATACCCATGCCATCACGCCTCTTTCAAGGTCTCATGTAAATATTATTAATTTTTTTAACTTGTCCAAGTTCACAAAGCTAACTCTTTTTTAATGATATTTATTTTACTGCTGAGCCCTGATGGGCCTCAGAATCCTTTTCAACAAATTCTGGAAGCAGCTAATACTAAACAATTTGATCTGTCACATTGAGTTGAAATCTATGTGCTGTTCTGACCCAGCCTCTAGCCGAGAGCTAGCCAAAGGCTGGGAATGCATTTCTACTTGCAAGAGCTAGTTTCATCTCTGGAAAAACATGCTGTCTCATTTCACTTTTTAATTCCCCCAAAATATATGCATAAATGCTTAATAAAGATTTTTATAATGAATGAATAAATAAATAACTAAAGGAAAGATTTACAGAAGTGTTTCATAACTTGCCTCAGATCTCCTGGAAAATGTGTTGGTTCATCAGACATTTACTGAGAACCTATTATGTTAAGTACCATTTATGTGAGGTGATCAGGAAAGTCTGCAATGATATGACTTTTTAAGTTATGGTGAAATATACGTAACATAAAATTGACCAGTTTAACCATTTGAAAGGTACAGTTCAGTGGCATTAAGTACAATCTCACTGTTATGCAACCATCGTCCACATCCATCTCCAGAACTTATTCACGATCATAAACTGAAACTCTCAACTCATTAAACCCAAATCATCCACTATTCCATCCCCCCATCCCCTGGCAACCACTGTTCTACTTTCTGTATCTATGAATTTGACTACTCTAAGAACCTCATACGTGAATTCATGCAATATTTATCCTTTTGTTTCTGGCTTATTTTACTCAGGATAATGTCTTCAAAAGTTCATCCATATTGTAGCACATACGAGAAGATGACTTTTTAAAAAGTTTTTAATTAAAACATAACATAAAAAGTGAAAAGTGCATAACTTGCTCACAACCTGAACACATCAGGGTAAGTAGTGTCTACATAAGAAATGGAAAGTTACTAGAAGGGCAGAAGACCTCCCCATACTCCACTCCTAACCCCCGAGAATAATCTCTATCCTGACTTCTAACAGCGTAATTTTGCCTAGTTTTTAACTTTACGTAAATTAAAGCATACAGTATTTTTTTTCTATTTGCTTTTTTTGCTCAATATAATGTTTGTGGTATTCATCCATATTGTTGTGTGTAGTTATATTTCTTTCATTCTCATTGCTATACAGTATGTTATCATGTAAATATGCCACAATTTATATATCATTATATTGTTGATGGAGACTCAGGCAGTTTCTGGTTTTTTGTTAATATCAATAGTCTTGCTATGGCTAGGCATGGTGGCTCACACTTGTAATCTCAGCACTTTGGGAGGCGGAGGTGGGTGGTTCACTTGAGGCCAGGAGTTTGAGACCAGCCTGGGCAATATAGGGAGACCCTGTATCTACAAAAAATTAAAAAATTGGCCAGGTGGGCCAGGCATGGTGGCTCACACCTGTGATCCCAGCACTTTAGGAGGCTGAGGTGGGCGGATCACAAGGTCAAGAGATCAAGACCATCCTGGCCAACATGGTGAAACCCTGTCTCTACTGAAAATACAAAAATTAGCTGGGTGTGGTGGTGGGCGCCTATAGTCCCAGCTACTAGGGAGGCTGAGGCAGGAGAATCTCTTGAACCCTGGAGGAGGAGGTTGCACTGAGCCAAGATTGCGCCACTGCACTCCAGCCTGGCAACAGAGTGAGACTCCATCTCAAAAAAAAAAAAAAAATTAGCCAGTTGTGGTGGTGCACAGCTGTAGTCCTAACTACTTGGGAGACTGAAGCAGGAGGATTGCTTGAGCCCAAGAGTTTGAGACTGCAGCAAGCTGTGATTGTGCCACTGTGCTCCAGCCTGGGCAACAGAGGAAGACTCTGTCTCTATAAATAAATAAATAAATAAATAAATAGTACTGCTATGAACATTCCTGTACATGCCTTTTGGTAAACATATGAATGGATTTCTATTATATATATTATGTATATGCTATATGAATATATCATATAAATGTATATATGCATATATATATATTCAGAATTAAAAATGCTGGGTCACAGAGTATGCCTATATTAAGCTTTAATAGCTTTTCAATGTGGTTTACCATTTAGAAAGGGTCATTTAAGCTGTGGCCTGAAAAACGAAATGGAATGGAAGCTGCATTGAGATTTCCACACTAACATCTCCCTACTGCTATGACAAAAATGTGACCTTTTATAAAGTGGTTAGAGTCAAATGGGAGAAGTCCTTTGCCTCTTTTTTGCTGTGGTCTCCCAGTACACTTTAGTGTGAGGAGCCTCTGTCATTTTGGTCAGACCCAGGGAGTCAAGAGATGATGACTGATGACTCAGCCTCCTCAGCTCGGCTTCCCAGAGCTCCACTCACCACATCAGTGAGCCTGGCATGCAGGGGGAGACATAAACACAACCATGGTGTTGATATCAATCCTAGCAGAGATGTCACAAGCCAAGGTCTGGGAAGAGGAAGAATGAATCAGGATAAAACTTCAGTGGAAAAAAGACCAAGTGAGAGACTTAAAAGTCACGACTAAAGAATTGTGTAAGTAACAGTGGCAAATGACAACAAAAGGCCTCTACAGCTAAAATAATCAGTGGTACCTGTTTCAGATCCCCAGGCTTCTCTGTTTTTGGGAGGTCTTAGGATGCAGGGCTTTGCCAATTGTGTGGCCTGGGATGACAGCCAATTGATGGAAGCTGGAATTCAGGGCTTTCTTCTCAACAGAAGTTAAAGAAGGCAAAAAAAAAAAAAAAAACCCAAACAAAAAATCTGGCCACAAGTGATGTCTATCAGTGTTGTGTGGGTGTGAGAGCCTGCCCCTTTGTCTTAATAGAGAATAGAAACATACCTGAGGAGGAGCCCCAAAGGCCTGATAGGAATGGGTCATTTTGAGAAAAAGTTTCCAATGGGAAAGATAAAAATCTAGTTGTTTTGCCCTTCAATGTTTTAGAGTTTCCTCAGAGCACAGAGAAATCTTAGTTTGCTTCTCCTTAAGGTACTGCTCATAAAGTCCCGTCTTTTAAAGAAAAGGAACAGAGTGAAAAATGATTGATGCATCAAAGTGAAGTTTCCTTTTCCAAACATGTGTCCGTAAGTTGCTGATCTGGGGTCCCTTCAGAATTGCATGCTGTGTCTTTAACCCATTTCCTGTTTGGAAAAAAATGTGGCTCACTGCCAGCACAGTGTTCTTGGGGCAAACGGGAAGTGGCTTTAGGTAGCCAGACAGGTATGCAACAAACTACCTTTCATAACAATGCCTCAGGCCAGAAGGGATTGGGTCTCATGCCAAAAATATCTTTTGATTATCTTTCTTTAGTACGTACAAAAATTGAGACTTAAAAAGTATTTCAGGGCCACCATTTTAAATTTCAGTCGAATGTTCATGTTACTGATTAGAGTTGTGTCTGTAAAAAGTATTAAAGATTGAAGTGTGTTTCTATTCTGTAACAGTTGCATATGTGTGTATTCTAACAGAATTTCTTGTATGAAATAATTGTCTTTCATTTATTTGTTTCTCTTAAGAGTTCTCAAGGAAAATACAAGTTAAATTAGTTAAGAAAATTCTGATTGGTTGGGTTTCACCTACCTGCAATATTGATTTCTCTATATATATGGATAAAAGAAGTCAATTTAAATATGTTGACCCATGTGGTCCAGTTTATATGACATTCAAATAAACACAACTTTGAACACCAAGACTAATTGGAAAATAATTCAAATATTTACCAGGGACTCTTGAAGAATGTCAGAAGAATATCTAGCAGACATCCTAACAATTATTTCTGCATCTTTCTTTCTATTTCCCATCACTCTGAAGTTTTTTTTCAAAGACTTGCTCAACTCACAAAATCTCTTTCTCATCCCTGCATTGCACTCAGGGTTCTGGTCTTTTTCCTCCCTCTCTCCCAACAAAACACAAAAATAAATAAATTTGTCTCTTTATAAGATTGAAAAAAAAAATCCCAGTCTGTATCTTATCTTCCAGTTATCAGATCTTTCTACCCATTGGCCTGATTAGCTTCACAGAGTCCTGGAGACAAGCTAGCAGTCACAGAGAGGGAAGATTGTGAACCCTTATACATTCATGCTTATGGTCCCAGTTGCACAATAATTTTAAATACAATTCATACAACAGGCTATTTCCCAGTCACTAAATGACAAAACTTTCTTTGCAATAAGAGGCAAGGCCAACAGTGACCAAAATTCACATTTTTGAAGACTGGAGAAAGGCATGAGGGAAGAGGTGAAATGTGGTATAAAATGAATAACATCTTTGAGCAGAGGCGGCATTCTGCCTTAGACCCTCCTCTTCCCCTCCTCTCATGACATCACACGTGCCGATGCTTTTCCCTAGAAGCCCTATTTCTTGAAATCTGAGACCATAACCCAACAAATCATTCCCTTGAAAGTTTACTTACTTTTTGATGGTTATTTGATATGAAGAAGAAATCGAAAAGAGAGCAGAACTTCAAGGTTGAATTTGGCCATTTCCATGCTAATTCATATTGGTGCCTGAGAGTGTCCTCATTAGGATCTCATTTCTCTGTTAATGTCAAACAGTATCTGATCTCTGCCTATCCAAGGGCTGGTATGGGCTTAATGCCAGCATTTAATGCTGGAATCTAAAGCTGGGACAGGTAAGGTGCTTCGCCTGCAGCATCCAAAGATCAGAGCAGGCAGAGAGGAAGTCTAGGAGCATACACAGTAAAAACGTATAAATAATATGATTTGATAAGATACAAGCACAATAAAAAGTTAGAAAAGAAAAATACTAAATACACGTTAAATGTATACATGCTGAAGAGATTGCCAGATAAGAGTGTTTACATAGCGTAGTGGAACAAGTGAAGAAATGTTTCCTTAGAGAATAATATATTAAGAAAATGTCCATGTCACCTGTATTGGTTCAGAAAGAGTTATTTTTGAAAGCACCTGGTTGTCTTAGGATTAAACTGCCTAGCCCTTAGGGAAGGAGACAAGGGCCTGTTCATTCATTCATTAACTCATAATATATTAAAATTGTGCTTGCTATATACTAAGCACAGTATTAGGCACTAGAAATAGGGTATGGACTATGACCAACATGTTGCTTATCCTCTTGGAGCTTACAATATAACAGGGAAGATAGACCTTGGAAAGGTTATTACTCATTCAGACAATGAATGTGTGCAAAGACAGTGATGATGGAGAAATGCATGGTGCTATTGAAGGCATTATGGAAGAATATGACCAAAAAAGAGGACAGGGTCGCTTTCTTATCAGTGAATATCAGCTGAGCAATTCAGGTGCCACTGCTTCCACCTCTGGGCATGGGCTTTCTCCCTTGCTTGGAAAGAATACATTAACATCAGATTAAGCAAAGAGCTCATAAAATGCATGATGGCACACTGACCAATCAAAACATACCAAGCATTCTTTTCCAGAGGATTGGGAAAGAGATTCATTTTGAAATAATTAGCTGGCAATAGGTTCAACATGAAAAAAATAAACATTAAGCCATAATTATTTTTCAACAGAACTGGAGACTTATTCATCTACTTTCTGAAATTGTATATCTATTTCATAGCACTGGAAGCTCAATACTATGTTTAATGTTCTGAGGGTAAAAACACGATGTCTGTTTTATTTCACAACATGAATTGAAAGCGTTTGTGGGACAGGATGTTGTTTTGGTTCAATAGGTTGTTCAAGATTCCTTAGGAGTTTTATCCAGTAACTGCTTTCAGCTTTAAGAAATTAATGTTTCCATTTGGTTTTCAGATCCAAAAACTGCATAAGCAGATTTTTCTGTTTTTGATGCCTTATCCAATTGCTAGTGTGGTTTAAGGTAATCAATCATATAACTGAGAGTTAAAGAACTCTGGCTAAGAGTTTTTACACAAATAAAACTTGCATTGGTTTGATTGTGGATGGTGCTTGTTCAAGGACTGTAGGAATAGGTTGTAGTCAAACCTCAGAAATGTTCCAGATTTGCAGCCCATGCACTGGTTGGGAAGGCCATACCTTATGGTTCAGGTAAGATACAGGCAGGGCTCGTGCTAGGAAATGAGAATACCTGATGGGAACAATAAAGTTACTGATTCTCTTGGCTGCCCAGCAAGTCTCTACCTGTCCCTCATGAATCTTTCTGCCAAATTCCAGAAGGAAAAACTCTCTTTCTCTGGGATATCCAGGGAAGATGGAGGTTCCTTTCCAGCCTTCCTTTCATCACAAATTTACTAGTCATATACTGTGGCAGGCACTAACAGCACAAAGACATAAGATTATAATCCCAAAGAGCTCACTGTCTAATAAAGGAAAATTAGCATAAATAAAATACTTGCAATGCAGTATAAGTACAATGCTAGGAACATTCATGTTATATTTTCAACCAGGAGACAATGCAATTAGCAGTATCAGGATTCAGGAGAGAGAAGTGTGGCAAAGAATACTGCATAGAAGTGAACAACAAAGTGGGGAAGGGAAGGAAACCCTTCCCCAGGGTTTGTATTTAGGAATACAATGAAATTAGTCAAGGTGGTCACAGCCTATCTTCTTTCAGGACCCTTTTCCCCTTCATAGGTCTATCATGCCTATCTTCCAGTGCTCAATACTTTCCTGTTGCCCTCTAGAGGCCCAGAGTTCACCACTCTGGAGTCCTATCTACCTTGATCTGCCCTTACTCGGACCAGTATTGTCACCTGTTCTGATCTTTCTCCAAAATTTTATGCTGACTCACTGTATTAGTTTCCTTTTGTTGTGGTAACAATTACCATTAATGTAGGGCTTAAAACAGCACAATTTTTTTATCTCATTGTTTTGAAGGTCAGAAGTCTGAAATTATATCATTGGGATAAAAACCACGGTGTCGGCACAGCTGCATTCCTTTCTGGAAACTCAAGGGGAATCTATTTTCTTGTCTTTTCTAGCTCCTAGAGGCTGCCCACATTCTTTGGCTTGTGGCCCCCTCCCATCTTCAAAGCCAGCGATAGCCAGTCAAGTCCTTCTCACATTGTGTCCCCCTAGCTTTGCTTTTGCCATCACATTTTACCCTGACTCTTACACTCCCACTTCCTCTTTCACCAAGCACCCTGTGATGACATTGGGCCCAGCTGGATAATCCCGGATACTCTCTCTCTCTCTCTTTTACAGTCAGCTCATTAATAACCTCAATTCCATCTGCAACCTTAATTCTCACAGTTTCTGGGGATTAGAATGTGGTCATCTCTGGGGGTGACTGTTATTCTGCCTACTGCACCCACCTTCAATTCTACTATCAATCAAAATTTACTTGTATGTTCTTCAATGACTCCTCATTAGCTAAAAAGTGAACCTAATAATTGAACCCAAACAGAAGGTGTTAAACGGAAATATGTAGGACCTGTCCCTACTTATTCTCCTGTCCCTGTTTACATATCATGAGTCAAGCATGGTTCTCTTCTATCTGAACCCAAATGAGCCTTCAGAATCCTTTTTCACATCCTGGCAACCACTTCCTTATGACTCTCTGTGATCTCTACACCTTGCCCACCCCACTCTCCTCCTTGAGCAACTACCGATCTTTTTGTCACTATAGATTAGTTTGGAATTCCCAGAGTTTAATGTTAGTTGAATCACACAGTGTGTACTCTCACCCAAACTTCTTTCATTCAGTATAAGTAGTTCATGATTCACCCATGTGTCATTCAATAGTTCATTCATTTTGGATCAGTATTGTGAATCAATATTCCATTGTATGGATATACCACAATTTGTTTATATATTCACCTTTTGATGAACATTTGAGTTGTTTTACATTTTGGCTATTAAATATAAAGCTGCTATAAAAATTCAGGAATAAGTCTTTGAAAGGACATAAATTTCCATTTCTCTTGAGTAAATACCTAGGAATTAAATAGCTGGATATATGATATGTATATGTTTAACTTCTTAAGAAACTGTCAAAATATTTTGCAAAGTGGTTGTACCATTTTACATTCTACCTACCAGTGAATACAAATTCCAGTTTTTCTACATCCTCACCAATACTTGATAAGGTCAGTCTTTTTAATTTTAACTATTCTGATGGGTATGTATACAGTGATACCTCATTGTGGTTTTAATATGCATTTCTCTAATGGTTAATGCTGTTGAGCTTTTCATGTGCCATTTGTATATCTTCTCTGGTGAAGTGTCGGATTAAATCTTTTGCCTAATTTTTAATTGGAATGTTTTTTCTCTTATTGTTGAGTTTTGACAGTTCTTTATATGTTCCAGATACAAGTTCGTTATTAGATATAGGCTTTGCAAAGGTTTTCTCCTAGTCTGTGGCTTGCCTTTTAATTTTTGTTCTTTCATTTCATTTTCATTCTTTCATTTATAAAACAGTGTTATTCAAAGAGCAAAATGTTTTCATTTTGATGAAGTCCAATTTACCAGTGTGTTCTTTTATGAACTTTTTTGGTGTCATACCTAAGAAATCTTTGCCTTACCAAGATCATCATCATAAGTATTTCATATCTTCATTAATCTTATAAATGTTAACACTTCTAAATTTCAACTTCTGACACTTTGTTGCTAGTATATAGACGCCATGCTATTAAATTCCTCTCCATCATGTCCAGAGGCACACAATGCCTGGCTATCCCACTCTTAGTGATGTTAAATTAACCAATGAGTTTAGATAGTGTCAACATGATCTATTCATTAAAAAGGTTCTCCATCAACCTTTCACTTAATATTTTTGGACGATTCAAATTGCCTACATAAATTATTTCATTAGAGGTTCCAAGCTGTTGATTTTTTGATTCCGTTATTCTTCTTGCATTTACTAGCTGTGATTCATTTATGAAGAAATTTTCCTGGTCCCCTATTTTATTAGCCTAAAATATAGAATGTGGAAAAAGAAGTATAAATAATTGATTCTCTTTTTTACTTTATTATTTTTATAATACATATTTAATACTCTAGAAACGACTAAAAGTCGTCAATAATGTTTTATTTTTGGAATATCTTAATGAACACATGCATTTATATTTAGTTGATGTATTTCAGTTCATTGGAGCCCTTATTTTTTGGATGCTTGAATTGTCCATCTTTGGCCAGTATGAGCTCTTTCTTATTGGTCTTTTTTCAGTATGACTCTAGTAGCCATTCATAACTTTCTTGCTTTCAGGAAAGACAAGATGTCCCAGATTCATCCTGTACATTTCCTATTCTGGATATCAAATGGCTATTTCTATAAGGTGCTCTGGCTCCCGTCCTGGAGAAATGATATGAAGTGATCACAATCTACATGCTAGGGACACTAATGACTCCTGCACTCTGATTGTTTCTTTTAGTGGGGTGTATGTTCATAATCAGAACTTAGTTTTAATTCTGTCAGTTTAGCAATGTTTTTATTAATGATTAATCCTTTTTTGTGCCTTGTTTTAGGATATTTCCTTACTTGGAAGTTACAAAAATATTCTCCCATATGATGCTCTGAAAGGGTTGAATATTTTGCCTTTCCTATTTAGGGCTGTGAACTAACTGGAATTGATTTTGTTATATGGTTAGGGTTCCAGTATCATTTTCCCTCAAAATAATGCTCAACTTTTCTATAATTATTTATTGAAAGGTTCACCTATTTCTGACTTCTCTGCAGTACTATCCCTGTAGTAAATCAAATATCTTTATGTGTGTAGGTTGGTTTCTGGAGTATACATATTTTATTCTATTGGTCTATTTGCCTATCCTTGTATGAGTACCTCATTCTTTTAAGTTCTATAGCCTTTAATAAGCCTTAGTATGCAGTAGAGCCAATCTTCCAATTATAATTGTGTCTTGGCTATGCTTGGCTCTTTGTATTTTTATATATGTTAGAATTGGCTTGTCAATATCCCTCCCAAAAATCCTAAGATTTTAATTGAACTACATTGACACTAGATTAATTTGTGGGGAATTGCAATATTTATAATATTGAGTCTTCCAATCAATGTACAGTAAATTTCTATATTTGTTTAGGTCTCCTTTAATTTTCCTTGTTATAATTTTATAGTTCTTGCCATACAACTCTTGTATTACAACTCTTGCAATACAACACTTAAATTACAGTTAATTCTAGTTATGTAATATGTTTGATATTACAATAAATGGCATAATTTTTTCAATTTTGTTTTCTAAATGTTGCTTATATATAGAAATAAATTATAAATTGATTTATTTAGTAGACTTCTAAACTGAATTAATAATTTATCTGAATTATTTTGTACTTTTTATAAACATAATCATATCACCTGCAAATGATGCTATTTATATTTTGCATTTAATTTTTATATATCTTTTTTTTTACCTTGTTTTACTGTTTTGTCTAGGTTCCCTAAGGCAATGTTGACTAGAAGTGGGATAGTAACACCTTTTTTTTGTTCCTTATATCATAGAGAAAACTTTATGTCTCCTCATTAAGAACTGTTTGCTTGTGAAGTTTAAATTTTTATTTTTATTAATTTTTAGACAAAAATGATCCTCTCAATTCCTACTTTGCTAAGCTTTTCCTTTTTAATCACAAAAGAATTCAAATTTTATCTAATGGCTTTTTTTCTGCATCTATTGAATTGATTATATGATTTTTCTTTAACCTCTTAATATGGTAAATTACATTGATTAATTTTAAGTATTAAATCAACCTTGACTTGCTGGCATAGACCCTAATGATTAAATTACATACCTGGCAGGAAACAGTGGCTCATGCCTCTAATTCCAGCACTTTGGGAGGCCGAGGCGGGTGGATCACTTGAGGTCAGGGGTTCGAGACCAGCCTGGCCAACATGGTGAAACCATGTCTCTAATAAAAATACAAAAATTAGCCAGGTGTGGTGGTGGGTGCCTGTAATCCCAGCTACTCAGGGAGGCTGAGGCGGGAGAATCGCTTGAACCGTAAGGCAGAGGTTGCAGCGAGCCGAGATCATGCAATTGCACTCCAGCCTGGGTGACACAGTGAGACTGTCTCAAAAAAAAAAAAAAATTACATTACCATTTTGCTATGTTGGTTGATTCAGGTTGTCGCTTTAGTGGGATTTTAAGAGTGAGTGAAAGTAGGTTCACGTTTTCAATCTGCCATCTTTACTTCCATGTTAGTACTAAATAATTTTTTTGCCAGCTGATTTACTATATTGGCACCTTCACTCCATTCTAGTATTCCTTGCCACCTTTCTCTCTCCTAAATCCTGGTACTGCTAATTGCATTGTCTTTTGGTTGAAAATGTAACATGAATATTCCAAGCACTGTACTTATACTACATTGCAAGTATTTTATTTATGCTAATTTTCCTTTATTAGACAGTGAGCTCCTTGGGATTATAATCTTATGTCTTTGTGCTGTTAGATGCCTGCCACAGTACATGACCAGTAAATTTCTAATGAAAGGAAGGCTGGAAAGGAACCTCCATTTTCCCGGGATATATATTAAAAATCCCTTATTGCAACATCACTATTTGGCAGCTGCTAAGAATGACAGCTGCCGAATGGTGTAGAAGAATGTGTCGAAAGGCCCCATGGGGTGTGATAAATTACACTAGTATAAATCATTCTTTTTAAACTTTTAAAGCATTTTTATAATTATCCTATTTGACCCTCACAACTGAGAAATATGTAAATTAGTAGCTTTATCCCTGTTTTACACATAAGTAAACAAGGCCCAGAGAAACTAAATATTTACCTAAGACTATATGCTAGTTTGGGGCCAAATTTGGTCTAGAATTCAGGTTTCCAGATGTTTAAACCCAGGGTCTTTTTAATAGACCAGTGGTTCTCAAACTAAGGATTACTTAGGGACTGCTATTGAACAGGGATGGGAGAGAAGATAGAGGGTGAAAGATCAGGAATCTGGGCCCCCTACTCATGTTACAATTCTGCTTTTGTCTCTTCTACGTGTAAGTGTTCCATAGAATTTATCACTTGGAAAATAGCTCTCTTGCTGATAACAACACGCAGCCACTAGTCTTTAAGCACATACTTGCTTTCTGGCACCATGTGATGTTTCGGGCTTACTTTGTACATTCCGTGTCCTGGAATTGGTTTCAGCCATTTCTCCAAGGAGTTCTGGTTTCTTTAGGTGGAAATGAGATTTAGAATCCAGTATCTGGGCTCTAGGTGGGCTCGTCGCTACTGGTGCCTCATTGCTTCTAGCTCTTTACAGGAGACAGTGATAGGAAACTGCTTTTCTAAAATAAAAAATATAAAAAAAAGAAAAAAAGATAAAAGAAAAGCCTGAGTTTCTAGTAATACTTATAATTCACATGCATTACCACATGATTATTTCTTTCCTTCTCCCATTCCATTTTTGTATTTCCTTCTTCCATAGTGAAAACCCTGCTTCTCAAACACCACCACAAACAATATTTGTTCACTTCTATTCTGCAATGCACACAGTTTTTGAGCTACAACACCATACACCTGTTAAAAACAAAACTAGTAAATACAGTCAAATTTCTTTGCATTTCTCGTAATTCTTCAAAAATATTTATAATTTTATATGCTTTATTGGTGAATGTATGTGTATATATGCATATATGTTTGTGTTTGTGTATGTGTGTGTATATATATATGCATGTGTTTGTGTGTACTGAGAAAAACCTTAATTCCTGTTTATTCAGTCTCGACTTTGATCTCAACTACTCTATATAATCATTTTAATCTGTTGTTGGTTACATTTTTTTCACTTCTTTTTTGACAATAAATGCATATACACTTTTATTTTATCTTCTTTATTATTAAAGAGATAGCATATTGTATGCACACTCTATATTTTGCTTTAACTCTTAAAAATATATTTAAATTTATCAATTTACAATTTTATGTTTAGTATTCTCTTATTTTTTGTTTAAGAATTCTTTACCTGCCCAAAGATCACAAAAATTTTCCACTATATTGTCCTCTAAAATTTTTAAAAATCTTGCCTCTTACGGTTCAGCTTTTAATCTCTCTAGAGACAATTTTGTGTGTGATATGAGGGGGGTACCCATTCCATTTTTAAAATGAGTTTCCATTTATCTCATACACTTTGTCAAACAGTCTATTCTTTGCCCAGTGATATTTGGTGTCGGTTCAGCTCTACATCAAGTTTCCACACATTCATGGATCTGCTTCTGGACTTTCTATTCTGTTTTATTTGTTACTCCGTCTATTCCTGAGAAAATCTTCTGTCTAAAACTTTCAGACATATTTTTATGTTATTAACTTTCATTTTAGGTGCGGGGTACGCGTGCAGGTTTGTTATATAAATTGTGTGCCATGGAGGTTGGTGTACAGATTAGTTCATCACCCAGGTCCTCCCACACTCCACCCTCCACCCCACAATAGGCTCCAGTGTTTGTTGTTCCCTTGTGTCCATATGTATTTAATGTTTAGCTCCCACTTATAAGTGAGAACATGCAACATTTGATTTTCTGTTCCTGTGTTTGTTCACTTAGGATGATGGCCTCCAGCTCCAACTATGTTGCTGCAAAAGACACAATCTCATTATTTTTTATGGCTGTGTAGTAGTCCACAATGTATATGTCCTACAGTTTCTTTATCCAGTCCATCACTGATGGGCATTTAGGTTGATTCCATGTCTTTGCTATTGTGTATAGTGCTGTCATAAACATACACATGCATATGTCTTTATGGTAGAATAATTTATATTCCTTGGGGTATACACCCAATAATAGGATTGCTGGGTGGAATGGTAATTCTGTTTTACCTTCTTTCAGAAATCGCCCAACTGCTTTCCACAATGGCTGAAGTAATTTACATTCCCACCAGCAGTGGATAAATTCTCCCTTTTCTCCATAACCTTGTCAGCTGTCAGCAACTGTTTTTTTTCTTTCTTTTTTTTTTTTTTTTTTTACTTTTTAGTAATAGCCGTTCTGACTGGTTTGAGATGGTATCTCATTGTGGTGGTTTGATTTACATTTCTCTATATAATTAATGATGTTGATATGGTTTGGCTCTGTCCCTACCTAATCTTGTCTTGAAGTCCAAGGTGTTGCGGGAGTGACAGATGGGAGGTAATTGAATCATGGGGGCAGGTCTTTCCCTTGCTGTTCTTGCGGTAGTGGATAAGTTTCATGAGATCTGATGGTTTTATAAAGATGAGTCTCCCTGCACAAGCTCTCTTCTCTTGTCTGACCCCATGTGAGATGTACCTTTCACCTTCTGCCATGATTGTGTGTCCGGAATTGGTGGGTTCTTGGTCTCACTGACTTCCAGAATGAAGCTGCGGATCCTCGCAGTGAGTGTTACAGTTCTTAAAGATGGTGTGTCCAGAGTTTATTCCTTCTGATGTTCGGACGTGTTCAGAGTTTCTTCCTTCTGGCAGGCTCATGGTCTCGCTGGCTTCAAGAGTGAAGCTGCAAACCTTTGTGGTGAGTGTTACAGCTCTTAAGGCGGCGTGTCTGGAGTTGTTTGTTCCTCTCGTCTGGAGTTGTTCATTCCTCCCGGTGGGCTCGTGGTCTTGCTGACCTCAGGAGTGAAGCTGCAGACCTTCACGGTGAGTGCTACAGCTCATAAAGGTAGTGTGGACCCAAAGATTTACGGCAAAGAGCAAAAAAACAAAGCTTCCCCAGCGCAGCAAGAGACCCCAGCAGCTTGCCACTGTTGGCTGGGGCAGCCTGCTTTTATTTCCTTATCTGGCCCCACCCGCATCCTGCTGATTGGTCCATTTTACAGAGAGCTGATTGGTCTGTTTCATAGAGAGCTGATTGGTGTGTTTACAAACTTTGAGCTAGACACAGAGTGCTGATTGGTGTATTTACAATCCCTTAGCTAGACACAACCATTCTCCAAGTCCCCACCAGATTAGCTAGATACAGAGTGCTGATTGGTGCATTTACAAACCTTGAGCTAGACACAGAGTGCTGATTGGTGTATTTACAAACCTTGAGCTAGACACATAGTACTGATTGGTGTATTTACAATCCCTTAGCTAGACATAAAGGTTCTCCAAGTCCCCACCAGATTAGCTAGATACAGTGCTGATTGGTGCATTTACAAACCTTGAGCTAGACCCAGAGTGCTGATTGGTGTATTTACAATCCTCTAGCTAGACATAAAAGTTCTGCAGGTCCCCACTAGACTCAGGAGCCCAGCTGGCTTCACCTAGTGGATCCTGCGCAGGGGCCGAGCTGCTGGCTGGCAGAGCTGCCCGCCAGTCCCGCGCTGTGCGCCAGCACTCCTCAGTCCTTGGGCGGTCGATGGGACCCGGCGCTGCGGAGCAGGGGGCGGCACTCCTTGGGGAGGCTCCTGCTGTGCAGGAGCCCACAGCGGGGGGTGGGGCTCAGGCATGGTGGGCTGCAGGTCCCAAGCCCTGCCCCGCGGGGAGGCAGCTGAGGCCCGGTGAGAATTTGAGAGCAGTGCCAGCACTGCTGGGGGACCCGGCACACCCTCTGCAGCTGCTGGCCCGGGTGCTAAGCCCCTCACTGCCCAGGACCTGCGGCGCTGGCCTGCTGCTCTGAGTGCGGGGCCTGCTGAGCCCAGCCCACCGGGATCTCCTGCTGGCCCACAAGCACCCCATGCAGCCCCGGTTCCTGCCTGCACCTCTCCCTCCACACCTCCCCGCAAGAAGAGGGAGTCAGCTCTGGCCTCGGCCAGCCCAGAGAGGGGCTCCCACAGTGCAGCGGCGGGCTGAAGGGCCAGAGTGGAGGCTGAGGCCGAGGAGGTGCCAAGAGCGAGCCAGGGCTGCGAGGGCTGTCAGCATGCTGTCATCTCTCAATTGTGAGGCCTCCTCAGCGACATGGAACTGTAAGTCCATTAAACCTCTTTCTTTTGTAAATTGCCCAGTCTCTGGTATGTCTTTGTCAGCAGCATGAAAATACAGATGTTGAACATTTTTTCATATGCTTGTTGGTTGCATATATGTCTTCTTTTGAAAAATGTCAGACATATTTTTTAGTTCTAGAATTTCCATTTTAAACAACAGTAACTTTTTCTCTGCTGGAGGATTTTCTTCTTTAAAAAGCAGAATTAAAATTCATTATGAACATATTTTCTTCTATGCTTCTGAGGATAGTTTTAATAAAATCCTTTTCTGCTAATTCCAACATCTGTCCAGTTTCCACTGATTGATTGTCTCTGGAATATGCATCACATTATCCTATTTCTTCACATTATTCTAATTATTCTATTTTTTTCTTTATAATTTTGGATTATCCTAGACATTCTAAATGATATTTTGGATTCTGAATTCTGTTATATTCTTCTGAACAGTGCTGAATTTGCTTACAATTAACTTTGCTGGACTCTAACTTCTAACTCAGTCTACCTTGAAGGTGAAATCTTGTTTAACTCCTTTATCCTTAGCAGGCTGTTTAGGATTTGCACTACACACGCATAGCTTAGGGGTCAGCCAGAGATTTGGGCAGAGTTTATATGCAGAATTTGTGACTCTCCTTTCTGGTTGTCTCCTTTCCTGGACTTCTCCCCTCACTTTTAGCTGCTGTGGTGGTTCCCAAACTCTGTTATTTGATATTTCAAGCCACTAAGATTATAGACTTCTATTTGAGATTTAGCCAACTAATGCCTACCCTCAAATAAAGACCCATTAAAGAATAGATAACTCACCCAGTTCCATTTCCTTCATCTAAGTACAGGTCCCCCACTCCAGCTTCTGCCTGCTTTTAGTTGCTTTCCAGTTGTTCCAGGGAATTGGTTTTTTATATTTTGCCTAGATTTTTTGTGGTTATATGTGGAGAGTTAGTTTGATGGGAGCTACTGAATCATTACTGGGAGCAAATAACCTGATTATTGTATTTATTTAGCTTCTGATCAGTCTTAGATCTTGCATGACAAACGCTTACCTTATTTTAATTCTTCAGTGTCTTAGCTATTCTTGTGTAGAAGCTGAAGTCTTATCCAGTATACTTTTCTACCTCTCAGGTCCTTCTAAATGGAAGGAACTGCAAATTAGCCATACCAAAGAGAGGATATGTGGAAGAGAGGAAAGGAAGCTAAACAGCTTCCTTTCTGTGCTGTCCATAAATCCGTACCGCCAGGGATCATAACAATTTGAGGTACCACCATAATATACATATGCATGTCTGGTGTGTTTGGAGAAGGCTGTTTAAACCAGGACTGAACATTTGAGGATAAGAAGCTTGTGGTTGGGAGAAGCAACTGGGAAGTGTGGAAATGAAGACAGAGGTGAGTTAGTAGGCTACTTACTGCAGGAATCAGGTGAGATGAGAAGCTGAGCTAAAGCAACATTAATGAGAATGTAGAAAGGGACCAGATTGGAAAGATAATTAAAAATTGATAAACCGGCCAGGTGTGGGTGGCTCATGCCTATAATCCCAGCACTTTGGGAGGCTGAGGTGAGAAGATCACTTGAGCCCAGGAGTTTGAGACTAGCCTGGGTAACATAATGAAACCCTATTTCTACAAAAAATAAAAAAATTAGTTGGGTGTAGTGGCACATGCCTGTAGTCCGAGCTACTTGGAAGGCCAAGGCAGGAGAATCACTTGAGCCCGGGAGTTCGAGTCTTCAGTGAGCTGTGACTGCGCCACTGCACTTCAGCCAGGGTGAAAGAGAGAGACCTTGTCTCAAAAAACAAAACAAAATGAAAAAACAAGAAAAACTTGATAACCCCTGTGTACAGATTGAAAGAGATACTTATAAGGATAAGAAACATTTTCTCCCATCACTCAAATCACAGCAGGTGTCAACATCTTACTTCGCTGACACATGTAATAATATAGAAAGTCTAGAAAATAGAAAAAAATTATCAAAAATTCCACTATCTTTATATAACTAAAAATGTTTTATCTTCCAGGCCTTATTTAGAAACAAATGTATATGTTTTATAGCTACAACCACACACAAGTTTGAAGGTCTTCGATACATCATAATTTTGCATTATTTCTATCATCTCGCATGAATGAGCAATTTTCATCATGCTGATATCTGTAATTATGTCCTTTTAAATGTCTTACATAGTATTCCATCATTTCATACACCCCAAACTTTTAAACTATTATTCAACTTGTTGTACATTTATATTATTACAACTATAAATAATGTACCACAAACATGTTTATGTATATAGTCTTTCTCTTCTATGGGGGGTATCTCTTTAGCTGTAAGATATCCATGGTGAAAAGTAGAAACATTTAATATTGTTTTATGTATATTGATATTTAGTCACAAGAGCTCTGACATTGTAAAGCCCCAGAGTGATATGTGTGAGAATCTTTGAATTTCAGATAATTACTGAGAGAAAGGACTTTGCTTTGTAGCTCCAGGAGCTAGTACTGTGGCTAGGCATATTAGACCAGTAATAGCTGTGTTTTGAATATGTAAATCAATGATTAAATGAATGATTAATTCACTTGTCTTGTGATGAGAGTTTTAAGATGTTTCTTGCCATCTGGATGCAGTATGATTTCAAGTGTCCCCTCTGATACTGGCAAGGTCTGGAGAGCCATTAAGACAAAGAGTTTACTCCTGTGAGCTGGGTTCTACGGAAGTCTGGAATGCTGCCCTGAGAACACAATCTGCAACAGTATCTGTCTGAGATTTTTGGTTTTGTTTCCTCCACCACTATAAACCCAAGCATTTCCATGGGCTCCCTTCTGAAAAAGGGAAGGTGATATTTCCTGGCTGAAGGAGACTTTCCCATTAATGTTTTACCTCAGTGTAGCAAGCACGCTAAGCTTGGGTCAGAATGTTTGAATGTTTTGGCTCTGTTCTCTTGTGGACTTCAGAAAACAACTAAGTTCATTCTCAACTTAAACTGGATCACTGTTTTTGTTTTGTAATGATTTTTCTTGTAAAGGGAGAAAAATAATTTTGGTTCAGATCAAATTGTAAAAAAAAGTTTAAGATTTAGCTGATCAGAATAAGGCTTTTGAGATGGAGATTTTATATCAATATCATTTGTGTTTTTACTAGCACTAGTAATTACTATTTATAGCACTCTGTGCCTGTCCCTGCTCTAGTACATTTTTTTTTTACATTATTTAACTTACTTTAGTCATCTCAGCAATCCTATGAAGTAGATATTACTTTCATTTTGTAATTATCGGGAAAATGATGCTTACAGAACTTAACTCACCTGCCCATAAGCACACAGAATTGGTAACAGTCAGAATTGAAAACTAGATCTGTCTGATATCAATATGCTCACACATCCATTTGATTTTTGTTTGTTTATTTATTTATTTATTTTGAGACAGGGTCTCATTCTGTCACCCAGGCTGGAACGCAGTGGTACAATCTTGGCTCACTGAAGGCTCACAGCAACTTCCGCCGCCCAGGTTCAAGCAATTCTCCCACCTCTGCCTTCCAAGTAGCTAGGATTACAGGTGCATGCCACTCACTATGCTAGGCTAACTTTTTTTTTTTTTTTTTTTTTGGTAGAGATGGAGTTTAACCATGTTGGCCAGGCTGGTCTCGAACTCCAGACCTCAGGTGATCCGCTCACCTCAGCCTTGCAAAGTGCTGGGATTACAGGCATGAGCCACTCACACATCCATTTGAAAAGCACTTTCACATAAATTTTATTTTCTCATTCACAGTTGCAATACTGGGAAGAGGGCTGTGCTTAGTCCTGCCTGGCATAGGTAAAGACAGAGATTTACAGATTATGTGTTTTGCCATCCAAGGTCACACTGGAGAGAGTTATCAGAGTCAGGGCATAAATGAAAACCTTCTGGTCTTCATCCCGTACCCTTTCCACTCTTCTCACGGACTCCCTAGAGATTTTCTCTCTCAATCTCTCACTTTATGTTTGAGCAAATGGAAGCCCAGAATATTGCAATGATTCATCAAGGTCATACAACTAGTTAGCAAACTGATGCTAGAGGCTGGATTTTTTGCCTCCCGAGCTAGCGTCTTTTCTGTTAGGTCTATGTAGCAAACAAAACCTGATTGTTAAGGAATGTTCAATGTGAGTTACAATCCAAGCCAGGGAAGACATTAATATAGGCCATCCAGTACAGAGCCCTTCACTCATCATTTTCATTTTTAACAAATGTCCTCCCTCATTTGAGATACCCAGTTGATGTGCTCATCATCAAGTATGCACTGAAATGATGAGTATGAATGTGTCCTGCACTGGGGACCAGCCCCGAGTGGGTCCCCCATTGTCAGTATATGGAGAGTCTCAGGAATAGCAACTCTCCCTTCCTCAGTGTAGACCTCGAAACAGCCAAAGTAAATAGAATTTTCCACCTCAACAGCTGTATTTATTTTGGGCTGTTTCTCCACCTACAACGCCCATTTGCTGTTCTCAGAGCTTCTGAACCTGTTTATTTTCAACCTCCCAGAGGCAGCCAGCTGTTGTATTCCCATTTCAAGGCAAAAAGAAGTCAACATGTTCTTCTGGAGGGAAGCAACCCATTTTAAGATCTTAAAGGATATCACCCAAAGGAGAGTTTACCAGCTGTGGATATTTCCTGAGCAAGACACTATTCCTGCTCTCAAATATCTTATTCAAGTGGCTTAACAGATGTAATTGGAGACAGAGCTTGAGCGCTGAAAATTACATAGTAATATAAAAGAGCTAGGGAGCAATATGAGCTCGAGATTTAAGTGATGTCAAGTGAATGTGATTGAGCAGAGCCTCCCCATCAGTAGGCTGGATTAAGCCTATAGGAATATTTTGTTTGGGATCCAAGTTTGTTTGTGTATGTGTTTGTTTTTCAGTGAGCCAATATTTAAAAATTGAGAGACTTTACCTAAAAGTCTGATTTCTGGCTTCGTTTGAAATACCAGAAGATCTGTCAATACGTGTTTGTCCTTATTGGGGCACCAGTGGGCTGGTGTGGTGGGTGTGTTAGATAAAACACACCCTCCTCAGTTTGCCATAAGTACTCCCTATTTTCTTTCCAATGTTGAGGCCAACTCTTAGTTGCCTTGTACCTTCACAGTTGCAGTGTTGTTTTACTTATTCTCATTCACTTCAGTTTTGTGCTGGACCCCATGGGCATGTGAGTATTTCAACCCTTTTGGGGTCATTAGTGCCTTAAGGGCTGGTATGGATGTCGCCTTTGTTGAATGCCCATTATAATATAATAAGCACTGTACTAGACATGTACCTCATTTACTACTCACAGAAAACCCTACCAGGCAGACATTATCATTCTCACTTTGCAAATGGGAAAAATGAGACTCAGCAAGGGTTTGATATCAGCTAGAAGTCATCCAGTTCACGAATAGCTAGGATTCAAATGCTAGCTGGCTAATTTCCTCCTTCATAGATACTGCCTCCCAGAGAACTAGGAAGTGACAAAGTTGAGTCTTGAACTCCAGCCTAGTGAACATTCTAAAAAGTCATACTCTATCACAGGCACACATTTTGCTGTGTGCAAAGAGATAGCTAGCAAATACCTCATGATGAATCCAGAGGACCTAGAAGAAAAAAACCACTTCCACTAGGAAATGACTCAATAACCAATAATAACTTCTGAAAAGAATACACTGTAATTGTCCTTAAATTGTAGGTAGACAAACCCATCACCAAGGAGTTGGCATGTGCTTCTGGGATAGATTGAAAATTTTGGCAACAACAGGGTATTGAACTATTAGAAAATACCATTTGGGTATTTCGATGAGAAGAATGGAATCTGTGAAGATGCTAAACAAAGACCATAAATTCCATACGGTTTGGGCAGATAAAGAAGTAGTAAAACCTATATTCTAAATTCTAAGCCAACCATTCCTGGGCAGTGACCACTGGAAGCTGGACCTCAAAGCCTGAAGCCTGGATGTCAAAACCTATCACTTCCCATACAGCTCATTCTAGGTAGCAGAAATACAAAATATTTAAATGTCAGTTATTCTGTTTTATATTTTGAAAAAGAGTTTTGGAAAGTTACACAGCTTGAATTTAAATCCAGGACTTCCATTATATGCTACCTTGAAGAAAACAGATGGTAGAGAGGGGAGGGAAAGGCATTCCAGGTAGGGGATGTCATGTTAGAAAACTTCAGATTCAGCTTGGGTAGAGAAGGGAACTAAATAGCAGAGATTACAGTCTCTAAAATTTCTATCACCATGGTACATGATGACAGCAGCTACCTGTTTTATTACTTACCCTGTTACCTCAGATTGCAGATAACTGACCATGCTGGCCCTCACTGAAATTCCCAAGGGACATGTCTCTAATGACCACATGTCCCTTTTACTCTCCTTTCACCTAGCCATGGCCATTTACCCCACTTGCAAGATCCACCCTACTCCAAGGTTTTGGATCAATTCTCTTCCTGGTCAAGGTAAGTTGCAGGCTAATAGGTAAATCACAGGCCAGCTATAGGTTGAGTAATGTTTAACAGCAACAACAAAACCAAAAATAACAATTACTATAACAGTAAAAATGGTAGTTACTTTTCCTGAGCTATGTCTATGTACTAAACACTTTGCTATTAAATAAAATAATTAATTAAATAATAAATAATTTATATTCTTTACTCCATGTAATTATATCACTCTGTGAGTTATACATTATGGGGAGACAATTCTCTATGGGTCTCTTGCATTTCCGCACATCTTGTGAGTGAGGCATTCGCTCTTCTTTGTTCCAGACTTCTTTTTTTTTTTGATGGTAAGCAGTTTATTTTTTATTTATTTATTTATTTATTTATTATACTTTAAGTTCTAGGGTGCATGTGCACAACGTGCAGGTTTGTTACATATGTATACATGTGCCATGTTGGTGTGCTGCACCCATTAACTCGTCATTTACATTAGGTATATCTCCTAATGCTATCCCTCCTCCCTCCCTCCACCCCACAACAGGCCCCGGTATGTGATGTTCCCCTTCTTGTGTCCAAGTGTTCTCATTGTTCAATTGTCACTTATGAGGGAGAACATACAGTGTTCGTTTTTTTGTCTCTGTGATAGTTTGCTGAGAATGATGGTTTCCAGCTTCATCCATGTCCCTACAAAGGACATGAACTCATCCTTTTTATGGCTGCATAGTATTCCATGGTGTATATGTGCCACATTTTCTTAATCCAGTCTATCATTGATGGACATTTGGGTTGGTTCCAAGTCTTTGCTATTGTGAATAGTGCTGCAATAAACATATGTGTGCATATGTCTTTATAGCAGCATGATTTATAATCCTTTGGGTATATACCCAGTAATGGGTTGGCTGGGTCAAATGGTATTTCTAGTTCTAGATCCTTGAGGAATCGCCATACTGTCTTCCACAATGGTTGAACCAGTTTACAACCCAACCAACAATGTAAAAGTGTTCCTTTTTCTCAAACTTTAGGTTGCATCTGAAATACTAAGATACTTGTTTTAAAACGCAAAACTTCAGCCCTTATCCCTAAAAATGCTGAATCAGCAGGTCTAGGTTAGAACCAAAAATTGTTATTTAAAAAATAAGATTCCCAAGTGATTCAGGTGCATGAGGGTTGTAGAATTCTTTGAGAAGCATTGATCTATGGGGGTAAAATGAAGTTCCTTTACAAGGAACACAAGAATCCCCACTATATAGTCCTTACTTATATCTTATGCTGCCATTCCTTGTTTTGTGCTTTACATTCTAGCAACTCCTAACAGCTTTTTAACACTTTCTACTTCCATATTTTGACCACCTTTCTTCTCTACATAAACTAACTAACCTCTACTCATCCTGTAGCTCAGGTGTCTCCTCCTCCATGAAGCCTTCCGCCATCCCAAATAGGGGATATACAGTACTTCCTCTTCCCTCCTAAAGCCTTCTGTGCTTATCTCTATTATTCAGATCTACCTTTGATTAAAATTATCTGTTTATATGTCCGTCTCTACCATAAGACTATAAACTCCTTTAAGGTAGGCCATGTGTCCACTTTATCCTTATATGGGAAGACCTTTGTGGGATACTACAGTATCTAGTTTACAATAGGCATTGGGTTTCAAAATCAGTTTTTGTTGAATTAATAAAAGAATGAATAAATGGCTGAATGAATAAAGCCATTTCTTTGCAAGTAGCTTTCAGTATAAAATCTTGTTATGATATACTATTGATTTTCTTAAAAACATTGATTTCTTCTGATATAGGACCAGAAATATGAGAAAAATGGGAAAGAGCAGAAAGTTAAATTTTAGCATCATAGGGAGATTAAATAATTTACCCTGGCCAACTCTTTTTACAGATAAGGAAACTGAGGTTTAGATAGGATGAATGACTTACCCAATGTCACACAGCTTGTTAGGGGCAAAATAAGACTGGGAGTTTTTTTCTCTTGGTTCATAGTCCCAAGCTCTTCAGGCTAACCATGGTCCCTCCCTTCCACTAAATTCTGTACCTACTCAAAGCCCTACTGAAGTTTCTACCATCCTGGCTTTTCCTGAGCTCATCTGATATTGATCATGTTGGTACTTCATATTATCTGAATAACTCATATGCCATTTTTCCTTACATAAATTTGCCTTTGATATATACCCAGTATCGGAAGTATTTTTAAAAAACCTTTTGCTGTATTTATCTTTACTGTTTAGATTTTTGTTTTTATATGCTGTAAATCAAATTTGCCTCCTCATGTTGGCTGACTAATCTCTGATCAATAGATTTTTCTAGAGAATGTCTCCTTCACTAGTATTTAAGGGAGGGAAATGTGATATACTAAATAATAAACTCTCCTAGTTTTCCCAAATACATCCAAAGCACAATCATCTCCATCTGTGTTTCCTCTGTCACTTGTATAATCAGATGTGGAAAATATTTAACATCACATTGAGTCCTCCAGTTTGAATCAGTACACGTGATAAATTGCATGGGGGTGTTTCATTTGTCTTGCAACAGAAACCTTTATCTTTGCCTGGTGGCCTGACTGTAGTTTAATAAAAGAAAGGCCCTTTGAATAGATCTTGTGCAATATGAGTTCTCATCCAGGTCTATGAATAATTCATCAGGCAAGAATCTTGTTTCTGTTTATGAAATAATATTCTAAAGACCATTAAGGCTAGACCTGTGCTGTAGTCAAAAGTCCTTCTTGAGTTCCAGCTAGTGATATGCAGAAAATTATTGTTGCTACAACTCTTCAGACATATGGCTAAGTTCAAGGGAATTTGTTAACTTCTTGTGTTGCATCCAAAAGTTTCCAATTATCAACAAAAGATGGCATACCAATGCAATTACTCCTGATGTATTCCAGTTAGGGATTCTAAATAACCATAGTTGTGTGGGTGTATGTGGTCTGAAATAACAGGAATCAGTGAAAATTTCAAGTGTAAATACACCACAGAGACCACTTACATATCACAACCAGACAAACGTATCCCACTGAGCTGAATGTGCTTTCAACAGGAAGCAGGGATTTTTGGACCACCTCCCAAACCCTGATTCCCAGCCGTTGTAAACTGTTTGAGATCCATTTTGTTTCCAGTTGTGCAACAGACTTCTCCAACAGCTTATTTGCTTCATGTGTCAACAAAGTTGAAAAACAGTGCCTCTTACACAAGTTAGTCAGAAATGTATAAAGCTATTGTTAATGATGTGGTTACCACCAAACTTGGAAAAACAAATTACAGGCTGTGCCAGAGAAGCAGGCTTATCTTGCTGAGCCTTAGTATGCCTCCTTGATTCCTAGATAACTCTTATACTCATTGGTTTGGGATCTTTTTAAAGGTTATTTTTAGAGTAATTCTGCTAGCCAAGGAATAGCAAAGTAAGAAAGGGAAAAGACTTGTATAGCTTCAGGAAAACATACACTGCCTGTTTTGGAGGAAAATCATCCCTGGGGATAAGGCCAAAGGGAGATCCCTGAAGGCAAATTCTTGACCATCCAGGTCCTGTGGCCACACACACTATTACTTTTATTTATCCAAATATCAGCAGAAGCTACCAAGCCTGTAGGTGCAAGTGGCAATAATTTAGGTTTGATCTTCTTTAAGTGCAGCTCAGATCATGTCACTAAATCTTTACTGATTTTTGTCATTCATAAAATCAAGTGCAAACCCCACAGCCTGGCTCTCAGTGCCCTCCAAAAATAAATAATTCTCTAATATTATCTTCCATTAATTTAATAAAACCTTATTCCCAGGTAATCCCTGAAATAATCAGCCCATGATGGTTAATTTTATGTGTCAACTTGGCTGGGCCATGTTGATGCATATTTTAATAATTTTGAAATACGTGTTCAACATTATTCTGGATATTTTTTGTGACAGTATTTTTGAATGAGATTAACATTTAAATTTGTGGACTTTGAGTAAAGTAGACTGCTCGCCACATAACGTGGGTGGGTCTCATCCAATCAGTTGAAGGCCTGAATAGGACAAAAGACTGACTTTCTTCTGGAGGGAAATTCTGCCAATAAATGGCCTTCAGACTTGAACTGCAACATTGTCTCTTCCTGGGTCTCCAGCCCAGTGGTCTTCCCTGCAGATTTTGGACTTGCTAGCCTCCGTAATCATGTGTACCAATTCCTTAAAATACATTTCTTTCTATGTATATACATATCCTAATGGTTTTGTTTCCCTGGAGAACTGGCTAAAACATAGCCCCAGGCTTTTATGTTTTGTTGTCTTTGTTTATATGGTATTACAAACACTATTGCTAGTAATACTCTTATTGGTATTTATTGAATCTTACTATGTGCAAGGCACCATGCATTGAATTTCCACACATTGTCTCATTTAATTCTCACAACAACCTATGAGGCAAGGACATAGAGTTATTAATCAATTGCTTAAGATCATAGTACTAGTAAGTGGCAGATTAAGGGTTTTGATTTTATATGTTTCTGACACAAAAGCCCTTATTATAATGAGTTCGAAACCCCATGAGAAATTATATCTTTGAGAAAGTTAATTTTCTCTACCAGTTTTTAAAATGATATCTTAGCAACCTGTCTGATCCTCTTCCCGCTACATAGTGAACTTGTGGAGAACGGGAATCACGTCTCTGTGTTTTTGTATCCCATGCAACACCACAGTATTGTGCATAGTAAGTTTTCCATTTGTTCTAGGAAATTCTGATAACCTAAATATCAGAAGGATTCTGAAAAGAAAAACAGATTCAACCAAAAAGAGGAGTTGGTGAAGTTGGTCTCTGGCATCCCAGCCTTCTGTCTCTGTGCTCTCCTTTTCCTCTAGAGAGAACTCCCATTTCCCACGGCACTCACTGCTAGAACTCTAAGAGGCAGAGGATGCAAGGGTTCAGTGAGGGCCAAGCCATGATATGCTGGAGCCAATTTGTACCAGCTCATGAGAATCAATTACAAGCACTTTTTCTAAACTCTATATTCAATGATGTAACATTGGAAGCTTGAAATTGCCCATGTGTGAGTATTTACACCATGGAAATCAGTAAACACTACAAATCAGGGCTTCCCTCTCTCCCATCCAGAGAACTGGTTTATCATTAAACTAGTACCTGCCCAAAGAGGAGAGGGAACCATGATTCCAAAAGCCTCCTGCCTTTTCCCTGCTCCCTTTGACCTCAACTTCTGGATTCACAAAACTTTGTTAAGTGTCTTCTATAAGCGGTTGCTTTGCCAGGTGATATGAAGAATACCATGGTTAATGCCATCTGGTTCTTAGGAACTGGTTTCTCAGTGGGAAAATAACAGATACACAAATAACATGAATAATTATTGATTATCCCATTTAGTTTTTCCCTCTTATTTGTTTTGAAATTCAAAGTATGAATATTTACCCATATAAAAATGTAGAAAATGTAAGTGCCATGAGGACAGGAACTTTGACTTTTTATTACCTTTGCCGAGTGCTAGGACGGTGTGATGCATATGGTGAGTGCTAAACAGTCAATGAATAAAATTATGCATTAAAAAATGAAACGACTATATATAATAAAATGTTAGCAATGCTTATCTATACAGGACTGATAGGATTATGGCTCACTTTTCTTCCTTTCTTTTTGGTGAGGGCTTATCTGTAGTTTTCAAGTGTTTAATGATGGGCATATATTAATATTATGTTGGAAGCTGAACAAAAAATAAAAAATAACTAGAATTACATAAAGTAACCAATATTAAGTTACCAGAAGGTACATAAATATAAGCCTCACCAAAGCTAATTGCTGTGTAGTCTTCTGGGAGTGTTTCTTGAAGGAAATGAGGCTGGCGATATGTTTAAAATCCTCTTTGCTCAGAATCATTTTAAGCTACCTGTCATAGGAAAAGGACCAGGTAAAATAATTCACACTAAGGGATGACTGGCAGCCGATACTGTCATTTCTTTCAGGAGGCAGTCAGTTCACAAAAATCTAAACTAGTGAATTATGTAATACAAATCTTCCATATCTTTACTAATTTTTCATATGCTTTGTTTATCAATTACTGAGAAAAGTACATTAAAATTTCCCACTGTTGTGGTGTATTAGTCAGTCTCTTCATGTAAAGTGCTTCATTTTGTGTAACTTTTCAGGTGTATTTTCAAAGTCACTGATTTTCCCTTCAGCTGTGTCTAAACCAATATTTAAACCTTCCTTTGAGGTTCAAATTTTAATGATTAAATTTTATTTTTAGATACTTTATTTGTATTTTTTCTCTTTGTCTCATCAATGTTGATACTTCGACTACTTTTTGTGGTTTCTAAAACTTATTTTATATTTGCTATCTGATCATTTCAGCATCTGTTGTCTCAGGCTGATTTTGTAGCTTGTGATGACTTGTTTTCTAGTGCGCTTAGTGACTTTTTTAGTTGTGTACTCATATCCCTCTGGAACATCTTTGAGGCCTGTCTTTAAGTTTATTACCCAATAGATAATTGGCTTTTGCTTCTATCGGGTGTTTATGGCACCATCAACCTGAAGTCTTTTTAGCCTAATTTTTTCAGCTAGGTTTTTTTTTTTTTTTTTTTTTTTGGGCTGCTTTGGCAGTATGAGTTCTGGCTCCAGACCTGTGTGAGTTGGAAATTATCAGGGGATTTTTTTTTCTTTTATTCTGTACCATGTAGACCTAAGGCTGAGATAGCCAAGTGTTTCCACCATCTGCTTCTTCTTTTTTTTTTTAATTTGTAAGGTTTAAAAAATTTTTTTTGTGGGTATATAGCAGGTGTATATATCTATGGGGTACATGAGATGTACCCCATGTACATGCCTGTTTTGATACAGGCATGTAATGTGAACTAAGCACATCATGGAGAATGGGGTATCCATCCCCTCAAGCATTTATCCTTTGACTTACAAACAATCCAATTATACTCTTTTATTTATTTATTTATTTTGAGATGGAGTCTCACTCTGTCACCCAGGCTAGAGTGCAATGGCATGATCTTGGCTCACTGCAACCTCTGCCTCCTGGGTTCAAGCGATTCCCCTGCCTCAGCCTCCTGAATAGCTGGGATTACAGGTGTGCGCACCACGCCTGGCTAATTTTTGTATTTTTAGTAAGGACAAGGTTTCACCATGTTGGTCAGGCTGGTCTCAAACTCCTGACCTTGTGATCTGCCCACCTCGGCCTCCCAAAGTGCTGAGAATACAGGCGTGAGCCACCACGCCTGGACAATACTTTTTTATTTTAAAATGTATGATTAAGTTATGATTGACTATAGTCACCTTATTGTACTATCAAACAATAGATCTTTTTTTTTTTTTTTTAGATGGAGTCTCACTCTGTTGCCCAGGCTGGAGTGCAGTGGTGCGATCTCAACTCACCACAACCTCTGCCTCCTGGGTTCAAGCAATTCTCCTGTCTCAGCCTCCCGAGTAGCTGGGACTACAGGTGTGCGCCACCATGCCCAGCTAATTTTTTATAGTTTTAGTAGAGATGGGTTTTCACCGTGTTAGCCAGGATGGTCTCGATCTCCTGACCTCATGATCCACCCACCTCGGCCTCCCAAAATGTTGGGATTACAGGCGTGAGCCACCATGCCCAGCCAATAATAGGTCTTATTCATTGTTTCTAACTATTTTTGGTACCCATTAACCATCCCTACCTCCCCCTACAACCTCATGCTACCCTTCCCAGCCTCTGGTAACCATCTGTTTATTCTCTATGTCCGTGAGTTCAATTGATTTGATTTTAGAAATCAAATCAGTAAGTGAGTAAGTACGTGTGATATTTGTCTTTCTGTGCCTGGTTTATTTCACTTAACATAATGATGTCCAGTTCCAACTATGTTGTTGCAAATGACTGAATCTCATTTAAATGAGTAAGAACATGTGATATTTGTCTTTCTGTGCCTGGTTTATTTCACTTAACATAATGATGTCCAGTTCCATCTATATTGTTGCAAATGACTGAATCTCATTCTTCTTTATGGCTGAATAGTACTCCATTGTGTATATGTACCACATTTTCTGTATCCATTCATCTGTTAATGGGCGTTTAGGTTGCTTCCAAATCTTAATTATTGTAAACAGTGCTGCAACAAACAGGAATGCAGAGATCTCTTTGATATACTGATTTCCTCTCTTTTGGGTATATACCCAGCAATGGGATTGCTGGATCATATGTAGCTCAATTTTTAGTTTTTTTTTTTTTGAGGAACCTCCAAACTATTCTCCATAGTGTCTGTATTAACTTACATTCTCACCAACAGTGTACAAGGTTTCCTTTTCTCCACATGGTCGCCAGTATTCGTTATTGCCTGTCTTTTGGATATAAGCTACTTTAACTAGGATGAGATATCTCACTGTAGTAGTGGTAGTAGTTTTTTCACCACCCACTTCTGTGTGGTTTATCTTTCCCCTGCTTCATCCATTGACCTAATTGTCTCTTGGAGCTCCTGAATGTATTCAGTGGTCTATGGATCAACCTTCCATAATGCACTGATTTCAGGGTTTGCATTTTGTCACTTGAGCATGGGCCATTAATCCCAAGCCGTCTGCTACTAGAGACTTGTAGATGACCCCTAATAAACAATGGCTTTTGGGTTGCTTTCTGCTTTGAATGTACTCTTTCTTGTTATTTCTTTTTTTTTCCCACTAGTATAGACACACACTTAAAAATATTGATTTTATATTTTATAAAATTTTTACTTTATTGTAATAGCTTTTGGGGAACAGGTGGTTTTTTGGCTACATGGAAGAGTTGTTTAGTGGTGATTTCTGAGATTTTGGTGCACCCATCACCCGAGCAGTGTACACTGTACCTGATGGGTAGTTATTTATCCCTCACCCTCCTCTCACCCTTATCCCTGTGTCCCCCAAATCTATTATATCATTCTTATGCCTTTGTGTCCTCATATCTTAGCTCCCACTTATAAGTGAGAACATACAATATTTGTTTTACCATTCCTGAGTTACTTGACTTAGAATAATGGTCTCCAGCTCCATTCAGGTTGCTGTCAATGCCATAATTTCATTCCCTTTTATGGATGAGTAGTATTCCATGGTATATACATACCACATTTTCTTTATCCACTTATTGATTGATGGGAATTTAGGCCACTTCTGTGTTTCTGCAACTGTGAATTGTGCTGCTATAAACATGTGTGTGCAAGGGTCTTTTTCATATAATGAGTTCTTTTTGTCTGGGTAGGTACCTAGCAGTGGGATTGCTGGATCTAATTGTAGTTCTACTTTTAGTTCTTTAGGGAATCTCCATACCCTTTCTCTAGGTATGGGGCTTCCTGAGAGACAGACTGCAATGATTGTTGTTACTCTTCTGGGTCTAGCCATCCAGCAGGGCTACCAGGCTCTGGGCTTGTGCTGGGGAATATCTGCAAAGAGTCCTGTGATGTGATCCATCTTCAGGTCTCCGAGCCATGGATACTAGCACCTGATCTGGTGGAGGTGGCAGGGGAGTGAAGGAGACTCTGTGAGAATCCTTGATTGTAGATATGTTTAGTGTGCTGGTTTTCTCAAATGCTGATTTTGCTAGTAGTAAAGTTGTCATGTGGACACCCTCAGGATCTCTAGTTAGCTAGGAAGTTTCAGGCAGTTGTTTTAGCTATAGTTTTCTCCTTCCTGGACGGAAGGTTATTCTGTCATGAGTTGCTATAATGGCCTGAGTTGGTTGGCCTTCAACCAGGAGGTGGTGCTTTCAAGAGAGCACCAGCTGTGGTATTAGCAGTGGGATTTGGGTTTGCCCTAAATTGGCCAGGGGAAGTATTCTGGTTTCTCAAGCAATGGGTGGGACCATAAAGCTCCTAAGAGTTTATGTGTTTGTCTTCAGCTACCAGGGCAGGTAGAGAACTACCATTAGGTGGCGGTAGGGTTAGGCGGGTCTGTTCTCAGACTCTCCTTGGGTGGGGGTTGCCATGGCCACTGTGAGGGGTTGGGGGATAGTTCTCAGGCCAATGGGGTTATGTTCCAGAGGGCATTATGCCTGCCTCTGTTGTGTCATATAGTTTGCCACAGAAGTGGGGGATAGCTGGTAGTGAAAGGCCTCATCCAGCTCCCATGTAGTTAGTGAGGCCAGTCTTACTCCCACAGTGCCCTGCCAACAGCACTGAGTTTAGATCCAGGCAGCCTGCATGTGGAACTCAGACCTTCTCCAGGCCATAGTTTCCCCACTAAGAAGGCAAGAATGGCTTTCAGGCCTTGCCCCTCCCTTTCTGCCCACAATGTCAGCAGCAGCTCCTGCACTCATATCTGCAGCAATTCCCATTTGCCCGCACCCTGAATTCTGCTCAAGAAAATTCATGCCCAGTCAAAATTGTTACAAATTTCAGCTGGAAGATTCTTTCACCCTGTGACTCCTCCCTAATTCTGCAGGCTGCCTTCCCAAGGGCCGCTGGGAGACATAGTCAAGGATGGCTTCTCTGTACTGGAGCTGGAGACTGGAAGTTCCTACAAGGCTCTTCCCACTGCTGCTTCCACTTTTATATTTCACATGTGATATGGGTTTGCTGTGTCCTCATCCGAATCGTATCTTGAATTGTAGCTCCCATAGTTTCCACACGTTGTGGGAGGGACCCAGTGAGAGGTAATTGAATCATAGGGGCAGGTCTTTCCTGTGCTGTTCTTGTGACAGTGAATAAGTCTCATGAGACCTCCCAAGTAAGTGTCTTAAACTGAAATAAGTTTAGAAACTACAGTTAATTAAAGTTAAAGGGCTTTATTTGTGGAGAAATCTCAGAGCTTTTAATATATTCAGTGTTCTTTGTGAGTCTTTAAGGAACTAGATGGAGTGTGTAGTTTATTCCAAACTCCTTTGATCAGAGAACTCTCTTTCTGGAGGGCATTTCCAGTATCTGCTGTGCTATAGAACGCACTTTGAGAAATGTTGCTCCAAAATAATGAAATTTATTCCTCTCCTTCTGTAAACGTACACATCAAAAATTTTGAAAACACCAGAGAAACATGAAAAAGTCTTTAAACTTTATAGGAATGACTTTAAAATAAAGAAAAACAAATGGAGGTACTCAGCTTGATCATTCTTCCAATCATGTAAATTTGTCTTCAAATGACTCTTCCAATAATCACTACGACCCTCAGATGACTTATTATTACCAAGGACATTCCAAAGACAGAGTCACAGTCTACAGGGAGTGAGTTACCGAAGAGCAGTTCCCCAACTTCCTAATTTATGGGCAGCATTGTTGGTACATGTGCAAGGCTTGGAAAGGCTTTGAAGAGGCAACTCTCACTGGGAGATATATATTCAGTGATGCTAAAATCCCAAGCAGTCTCACCAAAAGGAATACATAAAAATGCTAACAGTGTCAATCATTAGGTGGTAAGATTGTGAATTATTGTTATTTTTTCTTTTAATTTATCCATACTTTTAAAAATGTCAACAGTGATTGTGTATTATTTATGAAATAAGAAAAATGTTTTTAAAAAGGAATCTTATAATCATTTAAAAGGGAAAATCCATTTTAAAAATGGAGGAATCTGAAGCTTGGAGAAAAATGAATTTTCCAAGGTCACATAGTCTGTCGGAGGTAAACTGGATTCTTGAACTCCTGACCAGGGCCCTCCTCAGAATACTCCACATTACTTCACAGTCACAGAGGAATAGCCCCTGCCAGGGCTGTTCCTTCTCAGGAAGGGAGTTGTCAAAAGAGGAGAAACATGCATCTTCTGGGTGGGTGAGCCCTTTCCCTCTTCGAACCATAGGAAGGCTGTGCTGACACTTGGACAGATTCTCCTGCTTGTGGTACAGGTTTTGCTACTATTTTTCTGGCTAGGAAATTGTCATGAAAGGAGGGAGAAGGACTTACCTTAGGAGTATGGGAGAGTTAAGTTTCCCTCAAGACACCATCCTATAATAAATGGAGCATTGTGGCTGCTATTTTTTTCCCAGGCTGCTTATTGCTGTTGAGTTCCCCTCTGCTCCCACAGAAGACAAGGAGAAGGAATGTCACAGGGGCTTGAGTATCCCTCTAGGGAAGAGTGGCTGGAACACCTAATGTGAAAGTTTGGGGAATCTTTGGCTGCTGAGGTTTGGAGATTGGGAGGTCTGTGGTGATTCTGGAACTAATTTTACAAAATAGACAATGAAGTAATTGATTGATTCACTGTTTTCCATTAAGATTGTGTTTTTGTGGTTTTTCTTGTGGAAATAAGAGCTCAGAGGGATGATGATATAACATTGGAGAAAGGATGTTGGAACCTCACCCACCTGTGTTTGCCTTCCCATGCAACTGGAGCAGTGGAAGTTAGAAAGTAGGGTATGAAAAACGACTGGAAGCAGAGATCCTCTCCCACAGAGGGGTAGAATTGGAAGACGCACTCAGAAAGCCTTACGGCCAACCTCCTCAGTTTTCATACAGGCAAACTAAATATTACAGATGGGAAAATGGTAAGTATTTAAATATTTATTGAGCATCTAGTATATGCCAAACACTGTGTTAAGCATTGAAGGTACAAGAGAAAACAACATAGATGAGTCTCTGCCTTCTGCAATGTAGAGGTCCTGAGAGGTGAAATGACAAAACAAACTCACAACAAGAATCTAGATCTCTTAGGTCTGAATTGGTGATCTTTCTTAAATTTTCCATCTAGAATACTTCAAGCACCTAGGAATTTCTATATGACTTTGGGCAACTCACTAAACATCTGTAGGCTTCAGTTTTATGAACATAAAAAAAGAAATTTGTACATTTACTCACTCATTCATTTACTAAAAATTTACTGATAACCATCTGTATTCCAGGCATAAAGCTCACCAATCTCATAAAACAGGAGCTTTTTTGCTGAGAGTAAACATCCATCTGTCAATAATTCTCTCCAAACAGTAACCAATAGGTAGCTGGAAATTCCAGAGTTAGCTGTAGTTTATTTTTTTGCCATTCAGAGTTGGCTTACTCCCTCAAGTGCCTTGAATCCGCACTTGGAGTTCTCCCTTCCTCCCTCACTTGCCTGCATTCTTCCTTTCCCTCCCTCCCTCCCTCCCTTCCCTCCCTCCCTCCTTCCCTCCCTCCCTTCCTTCCTTCCTAACTTCCTTCCTTCCTTCTTTCCTTCCTTTTTTCCCTCTCTCTGTCTTCTTTCTTTCTATCCACCCATCTTCTTTTCATTTGAAGTGTAAACCCTAACACTAGGGAATTTATTTACAAGAAGAGATTTAAAAGTCATAAAGCTATACACTTGGATTGGTACGGTTAGTATACTCTTGCTTTGTAGCTGCTCCACATTGAAACTTTTATTTATTATTCCTAAATGTGTACTTTTCCTAAGTCTCAAACTTTTATTTAACATAGGAAATGTCAATACTGGATTACATTCACTGCTGTATCAGGAAAACATGTTACTGGCATGAATCCCAAAGGGGGCAAGGGTGAGAGGAAGAAAAAGGAAAAATGCAAAATGACATGACTGATTCTTGACATGTCCAGATAAAAAGGAAGAAAAAAGTACTAGTCCTTATCAGAGCAAATAGTGTTATCTCCCAAAGTACACAAGAATTTCCAATATTAACCAACCTGTACCCTTTAGAAGACATTTTCTCATAGCTGAAGAATCACATTCATGTTGGCAGTTGATTTACAAGGGCAGGAATGTGGTTTCTTGGACCATTGCCTCATTAGAATGGAGAAAGTGTAGAAATAAATGGTGCTCATCTGTTTGTTTTTTCAGTTCACTTGCATATAATTTTTTTTTTTTTTTTTTTTTTTTAGTAGAGACGAGGTTTCACCACGTTGGTCAGGATGGTCTCAATCTCTTGACCTCATGATCCACCCGCCTCGGCCTCCCAAAGTGCTGGGATTACAGGCATGAGCCACCACGCCCGGCCCACTTGTATATAATTTTTTTCCTATCAAATTTGAGGAGATTAATGGCAGTAGTTTCTTGAAATTAGCAAAAGTTTATGGGCATACTGTGAGACACTGCATAGCAGTGCTTTCAAGGTTCTGTTTCAATAAGTGAACAAGGGGAATGTGCATGTTCTTTTTGAAGACTATTGTTGTATCAGCTCAAAGACTGACCATCTCATTGATACAGCCCTCCTGTTAAGCTGGGAGCTCTCTGCCATAGACACTGTGCATCCATTCCTGGCTAGTTGTGTGTGTGTGTGTGTGTGTGTGTGTGCGTGCAAATACAGATGGTGAATCTATGGGCTAATTTATGAAAAAGGCAGGTCCAGGCTGGAGAACAAAGCTCACTTTTGGTATTGGCAGGTTCTTGATTCTGCCATAACTTGGTTTTTCTCATGCTGGAAGCACTCCCTGGGAAACTAAATATGTATTGTTTCAGCTATTTTCCTATGGGTGGGGAAAAATGACAATTCTTTTAAATCCATTCTTCTCCAGAGCAGGAGGAGCACAACCAGGCTGTAGGCTGGGAAGAAAACTATTCTCCAGAAAATTCTACGTGGTACTTTATCTGTGTTTTTATTTATTTGTCTTATTGTCTGTATTTCCATTTACTCATGTATAAAACTGTACAGTGGTATTTCATATATTCAGTTCTTCGTGGAGTGCCACAGATAAGTACTTAATATCTCTTACCCACAAGTACTGTTACTCTACTACTACTAGGGCTACCACTGCTTCCAGGCTTCCTACAATTACTTCTCGGAGTCACTTCAGTATTGTATTTGGACACTCAACAGCTATAATACTATTTTGAGCTCCACAAACTTAACGGTGTTTTTAGAATTCTGAAACATCAAAATGTCCTCTGAAGGGTACAGGTTGGTTAATATTAGAAATTCTGATGTGTTTTGGGAGATAACACTATTTTCTGTTTCTTCACATAACAGAAAACTCAACTCAAATTGGCTTAAAAAACTAAACAGAACAACTTAGAGTTTCACTGCTGGTAATATATGAGCTAAGATAACCTGAAATCTTACCAATATAAACAAATAGAAATGCTGGATGAATTATTTCCAGAAGATTTTAAACTATGAATTCAATTTATTTAATTTTTTGTATTATTCTATTATTCAGATAATCTGTTTCATTATGGGTGAGTTTTGGCATTTTTGGTTTTCAAGGCATTTGTCCATTTTTTCTTTCTAGGTTGTCAAATTTTTGTGTGCGGAATTGCTTGTATAAGTTCTTTGTTTTTTTAATGTATGCTGGGGTCTAGGTGATATTTTCTTTTTAATTCCTGATATCAGTAGTGTATGTCTTCTTTCTTTGTCAATTTTGATACAATTTTAATTTTATTAATTTTTTAACAGAACAAGATTTTGGTTGTATTGACTTTCTCTTTTTCTGTTTTCAATTTTATTGATTTCTGCATTATTATGTTTTCCCTTCTGCTTGCATTGGGTTTATTTTGCTCTTCTTTTTGGGTTTCTCAAGGTGCTTTCTGTTAGCATTTGATGCTATAAATTCCCCGCTAGGCACTGCTTTGTCATCTGGCAAATTTTGGTATGTTTTACTTTCATTTAGTTCCAAATATTTTCTAATTTCCCTTGAGACTTCTTTAATGCATGGATTATTTAGAAGTGTGTTGTCAAGTTTTTGAGATTTCCTGTTATCTTTCTATCATCAGTTTCTAGTTTAATTCTAGTATAGTCAGAGAATAAACCTTGTATCATTTCAATTCTTTTAAATGTGTTAAACTTTATTTTATAACTCAGGATACTGTCTATCTTGGTGAATGTTCCATGTGCACTTGAAAAAAATATATATTCTGCTATTGGTCCTGGAATGTTCTAAAAATTTCAATTAGATCCAGTCAGTTGATAGTGTTTTACAGTTTATTAATATCCTTGCTGATTTTTTATTAGTTCTATCAATTACTGAGAAGGGAGAGTTGAAGCCTTTTATTATAATGAGGGATTTGTCTGCTTCTACTTTTAGTTTCATGCAACTTGAAGTTCTATTGTAAGGAGCAAACATACTTCGGATTTATTGTATCTTCTTGGTGAAATAACCCTTTTATCATTATATAGTGTCCCTCTTTATCCTTGGTAAATTATTTTGCTCTTCATTCTTCTTTCTCTGATATTAATACAGCCGCTCTAGCTTTCTTTTGTTAAAGATTTACATTGAATATGTTTTCGTATCCTTTATTTTTAACCTACCTATATCATTATGCTTGAAGTAAGTTTCTTAGAGACAGCATATAGTTGGGTCATGTTTTTCAATCCACTCTGAGAATATCCATCTTTTAGTTAGTGTTTCAATGCAGAATAATTTTGACATCTCCTCCAACCCATAATTGTGACAACCAAAAATGTCTTCAGATATTGCCAAATATATGTCCCTCTTTCCTTCCTTCTTACCTCCCTTCATCTTTCTTTCTCTTTTCTTCCTTTCCTTTCCTTTCCTTCTCTCTTTTATCAAATGCCTCTTTAGTGAAATTTCTTTTGTCAAATGCCTCTTGAGTGAAATTGCTCCAGGTTGAGAACCATTGCCCTAGCGATTTCAACATGCATCCTTAACTAGTTACAGTCTACCTTAACTAGTAATCTAATTCTACATAGAATGTAAGAATCTTATAACTTGACTCCATTTGCCCCTTTCTCTTACCTTTTTTGCTATTGTCACATATTTTACACTATGTTACATGTTCTAAGCTCCAAAAGATGCTATTGTTGTTGCTTTATTTGTTTATTTGTAGTTTCGAGACAGAGTCTTGCTGTGTTGCCCAGGCTGGAGTACAGTGGCTCAATCACAGCTCATTGCAGCCTTGACCTCCTGCCTCCTCAGCCTCCTCAGCCTCTCAAGTACCTGGGACTACAGGTACACTCCACCATGCCTGGCTAATTTTTTAGTATCTTTCCTAGAGACAGGGATTCATCATGTTGCTTAGGCTGCAATCAAACTCTGGGCTCAAACGAACCTACCTTCTCAGCCTCCCAAAGTTCTGGGATTACAGTCATGAGCCACTGTGCCTTGTTGCTTTAAATAGTTAGTATTCTTTTATATTTATTCACTGATTTATAGTCTTTTCGGTGTTTTTCATTTCCTTCTAATTTTCTGTGTTTCTAGCTCAGAAAATTTCCCTTCTGCTGGTAGAACTCCCTTTAGTACTTACTTCAATGCTGTGCAGCTAGCAACAAATTCTATTTTAATTTGAAGGAAATATTCTTACTGGTGTATAATTCTAGGTTGAGAGGTCTTGTTTGCCTTTTTGTTTTTTCATTTTAAAAATATCATGACATCGTCTCCTGATTTCCACAGTGTGTCATTTTGGGTTCCATGAGAAGCAGACACCAAGATAGGATTAAAAATATAAGAAATTTGTTCGGGGGAAATGCCTGTAAAGGATAAAAAAAGAAGGAGAGGAGTAGGCAGGGAGAACCTTCAGACACCAAGACAGGTCCAGCACCTGTGAAAGAAGACAGGTGAGGAAGGATTAGGCCAGAAGAGCCTCAGACTATCGACGGGTCTGTTAAATTCATGGCCAGGTCAGTAGAGATCTCCTGAGCCAAATTGCCTGTTAAAGAAATTCTGCATCTACCAATATAGCCTGATTTTCATACCCCCATTGAGCTAATTCATTGACTGGAAGCAGCCCAGGGGAAGTATGATTTGATATGAAAGTTTTAGTGGATCTAACAGTGCAGCAGCTGTCAATAAGATGAGCGCCCCACAGCATGATCTCTTGAAGGGAGATCTGAGGGGTGCAATTCCGTGGCTGCCACACAGTGTTTTTTTTTGTTTTTTGTTTTGTTTTGTTTTGTTTGAAGTTAGCTGTCAGTCTTATTGTAGTTCCCCTGAAGACTTGGGCTTTCCCCAGCTCTGGTTGCTTTAGAACTTGTCATTCTTTTTCAACAATTTCTACAATGTGTCCAGGTATGGTGGGTTTGTTGGTGTTACTGTTGGCATTGTACTTATTCTGCTTAGGGACTCTTGAACTTCTGGAATTGGTGGGTTTATATCTTCCATTACTATTAGAAATTTCTCAGTTGTGTGTTTTCAAATATTGCTTCTGCTCCATTCTCTCTCCTTTCTCTCCTTTGAGACTCTATTACACTTTATTAAACTGTTGGAGTATGTTCCACATTTGGACATACTCTTTCTTTCCAGTTTGGTTTTTCTCTGTGATCCAATTTGAATAGTTTCTATTGATCCGTCTTTAAATTAACTAATCCTATCATCTATATCCAGTTTGCTTTTAAACCTACCTAATTAGTTCTCAAATCCAAACATTATACTTTTCAGTTCTAAAATACCCATTTAAAAATTTGATAGAGCCCAATTATCTGTTAAAATATAATTTTCACTTTTTTTTAACATGCTTTTTGAAACTTTTTTTTAACATGCCATGGTTATTTTATTGTGCTTTTTCTCATCTCAATTCTCTTTGGGCTTGTATTTATTTTATTTTTTGATTATTATTACCTATCCTGATTGTTTTAATGTGCAGTAAATTTTGATTGCATGCTGGGCATTGGTATAAAATAACTGTAGACTTCTGATGGTATCTTCCACCAGAGAGGTATCTTTTTTTTTTCTTTTTTGTTAGGACCAGGAGCTAATTACCTCATTTCAATGGGAACTGAGTTGAAGTAGGGCTGCATTTACAATTTTAGCAAGATTCTGTCCACCCCTGGTTTATCCCTGCTTTTTAGATATAGTCTTTCCAAGCTTTTGATTGAGAGCCTGGAGTGTCTATTTCTTCTCAGCTTTAAGAAAATTTTTTCCTTTTTTAGTCTTTTTGAGACAGAGCCTTGCTCTGTCGCCCAGGCTGGAGTGCAGAGGTGCGATCTTGGCTCACTGTAACCTCCGCCTCCTGAGTTCAAGTGATTCTCATTCCTCAGCCACCTGAGTGACTGGGATTACAGGTGGCTAATCTTTGTATTTTTAGTAGAGATGGGGTTTTGCCATGACTGGTCTTTAACTCCTGGGCTCTAGTGATACACCCACTTTGGCCTCTGCAAGTGCTGGGATTACAGGCATGAGTCACTGTGCCCAGCGTCCTTCTGTACCTAGACATCATGTGGTCCTCTATAGCTCTTTTATAACTTTAACATGTTTCTTTCAATGTATTAATTTGTTACTAGTTGCTGCAGCAAGACCTTTGACCTGCTTTGACCTACTACATTCTACCTAGGAGCAGAAGTATATATAATCTGTTATTCTTACTAATAATATGGCAACAAATAGTCTTAAATATGCTTTATTTCATACAAATGCAAGTAAGGCTGTAGAAGAAATTCCTAGATCAAAAAGTATATGCATTTGTAATTTTGGCAGGTATGATAGTTAATACTGAGGGTCAACTTGATTGGATTGAAGGATACAAAGTATTGATCCTGGGTGTGTCTGTGAGGGTGTTGCCAAAGGAGATTTAATATTTGAGTCACTGGGCTGGGAAAGGGAGACCCACCCTTAATCTGGTGGGCACCATCTAATCAGCTGCCAGCGAATATAAAGCAGGAAGAAAAACGTGAAGAGGTGAGACTGGTCTAGCCTCCCAGCCTACATCTTTCTCCCGTGATGGATGCTTCCTTCCCTGGAACACTGGACTCCAAGTTCTTTAGTTTGAGACTAGGACTGGCTCTCCTTGCTCTGTAAACTTGCCAACAGCCTATTGTGTGACATGATTGTATAAGTTAATACTTAATAAACTCCCATATTTATATATGCCTACCATTTGCTTTATATATATATATAGTGGGACCTTGTGATTGTGTAAGTTAATACTTAAACTCCTATATGTGTGTGTGTATATATATATATATATATATATATATATATGCCTACCGTTTGCTCTTATATATACATCCTATTAGTTCTGTCCCTCTGGAGACCGTGACTAATACAGTAGGTGTCACCAAAACTCTCTCCTTAGAGATTATAGCAATGTATATTTCCACCAGGAATATATAACAATGCCTATTTTAACAGCAGCTTTACAAATACTGTGTGTTAACTTTTGAATGTTTGTGAGTTCAGGAGTAACATTATCAGAACTTTGCATTAAGAAGGTTAATGTAGTCATAATATGTTAGGTGGATTAGAAAAGACCAAGGACAAAAGTCACTTACCTCATAGTTTTGTCTCTGTTTCTAGTGACCTAAAAAGTGAAAGCAACTGTATTCGTGCTTGAAAACATTTCCCGAATTTTCTAATCAGGTCTCTTTTTAGCCGGAAAGTTGATGGCTCAAAGTTCTTCCACAGGTTCAGTACAGATGTTAGCAGATTTTAGTGGCTGCAGTGTAGTACATCTGTTTGTCACACCAAGCTCAGCATCTGTGTCAGGAACAGCCAGTTTTGTGATTCAAGAATAGAAGAGACAGAGATGGCTGTGGTTTCCCCTTAGGGCTCTAGCAGAGGAGACACTTTGGGGACAGTAAAGAACATGAGATGATGTTTCTGTTAAGAAGAAATCTGTTCCTGCTTCATTCTTGGTCAAAACAGCCGTAAGCCTGATAAAACAATATTGCATGCTAGTTTCAGGAATGTAACTCAGCCATTTCAGTGTTTCCTTTCCGGGTCCCTGTGGATTTCTAACCCTCACTTTAACAGTAAGGCTATATTATCCTCATTTTCTCCTGCCATCTCTCGGCTGTTTTTCTTTCTCCTGGGTTCAGTGAGTCATTTCCTCAAGTCCTCCCTGGTTTGGCTTCAAAAATTTAGGATAATCATCAAGAGCTGTCCTCTTCTCCCCTTCAGGCTTGAATTCCTCTTAGTGTTAAAGGCCTTTCACATTTCAGCGTCTGAGGTGGGTGGGCGTGAGTTAAGATCCTTTCTTAAATCTTAGCGTGTATGCTGGAGAAAGCCTAACAGATCACGAGAAAGAGGTAACAAAATGAACGTTCCAAGGAAACTGGGAGGATGTGGGGGAAGGTGCAGATTCATGCTTCATTCAAGTTGCTGATAATGAATGCATTACCAAAGTATTACACTACCAAGAGCTTCCTTTGTAATAACATGAAAAAGTCAATGCTTTGTGATAAACTTCATGTAACTTTATTTTTCTTCCTTACTAGTTGCATTTTTTTAGCTGGTATAGTTGTTAAGCACTTGACTCCTGATGTCAGATGGATCAAGGGTCAAAATCCTGCCACTACCACCTTCTAGCTATGTGACCACCCCCTGGCAGTTGTTTGACGGGCAGGTATTTTTGTCTTCTTATCTAACAATATGGGCAAGCACAATAGCATCCTCCTCATAGGACAGTAGAACAATTATATGAGGAAATCCACATAGGAAGTGCTTAATAGATTGTAGTTATTACTATTATCATTCCTATGGGAATTTAAATTGATGCCTACCATTTGCTTTTATGTTCTTCTGGGATGTTCATGTGGTAATAAATGACTAAGTCTAGATCAGGTCTTGACAAACTACAAATCTGGCCCATGCCCCGTTTTTGTAAATAAAGTTTTATGGGCACACAGCCACACCCATTTGTCTATATATTATCTATGGCTGCTTTTGCTCTACAACGTCAGTGTTGAGTAGTTGTAATAGACCATATGGCCCTGAAGGCCAAAAATATGGACTAGATGGCTCTTTATAGAAAAGTTTACCAACTCCTTGTTTGGAAAATCATACTTTTAAATTTTTCAATTAAAAAAGAAGTCATGGACATATTGTAATTCTGTGCCTCAGTTTCTCTAACTGAAAAAGGCATATATTATGCATATATTAGATGGCTCCTAAATAGGATCCATCTAGAATTGTTCGTCTATCATTTTTACGCATGGAGCCCAGGAATTTTTAATACATTTGGGCTTTCTGGTGGGTTCTTCCAAATGCTTTAATGAGAAAGAAAAAGCAGAAAGCAACCTTTAGTGACTTGAATGCCAAATATGTGAAGCTTTAATGTTTTTCTCTGAAGCCAGGTTCAGGAGATCTTGGTCACTGGGCCACTTCCTGGCTGATTTAACCATATTTCTAATTCTTTTTTTTTTTTTTTTTTTGTCTTTCAAAAAAAATCATTCTCTTTGTCTCCCCACTACCTCCTCTTCATACCACTTCCTCTCCAGGTTGGCCCCTGCCTTCTTGCCTTCCTCCAGCCTCCCTCCTTTCTCCAGTGGTTTCTTAGCTCTCCGTCCTCCCCCCAGCCAAATGTGAAGGAGAAAGTCTGCCAAGTCTCCCAGCCACTGTCAGCCTAGCTGACTGTAATGCTTCCAGCAGAACCTCCAGCTCAGGGCCCTCTGGCAGGGCCTGAACTCCAAGCAGCAGGAGGGACTAACGAGTTATAAGAAAGGGAAATACCAACAGTAATCTGCATCCTTTGAAGTTGAGGGTTGGGAAGCAGGGAAACTGAGAGATGTTTGACAATTTCCCAGGGGGTACCTGGGAAAGAGCCTGAGACTGGGGGTCAGGACTGTCTTTTCCAGCTCTGCCCCAGATTAAGTGCAGAGTCCTTGGGCTAGTCATTCATCATCCCTGAGCCTCAGTTTCTCTTTGTAAAATCAAGAAAATAATTTCTGTCCTGATTTTCCTGTAGGGCTTTCGTGATGATCATACATTTGTGATCATGTATGTGATTTATTTTTTAAATAAATATTTGATTTATATTTTTCCCATTTCAAAATTACCTCGTGCTTATGTGACAGAGGAACTTTTGTCAGTAGCATCTACCATCCTTCACAACAGAACCCCAATTTCCTTTGGGGAGTTAACTTACCACACCACTGCCTATATTTTACTGAGATGGAAAATCCAGCTGCCTGTGCCTCCTGTGGCCAAAGGTGGGCAGTCTCTTCAGCTCAACCCATGAAAGCTCGCTGCTGAGATTTTGACTTTTGAGCATATGAAATTGGGTGAGTGAAGAGGTTGGCATTCTTTTATCTTGGCAGGAATATCCCTGCCAGACTGTTCCACTGCAAGACTAGTCCTATCATTCCTGCTTTCCCGCCCCTGAAGCTGAATTGGTGTCTGCCTATTTCCAAGCCTAGTTCTCCAACTTTTGTGCAATGTTTTTAATAAATTCCCCTTTGTTTAAGTTGGCCAAATTTTTTTGTTGCTTGTAATCAAAAAACCCCAACTGACACACAAGCCTGATGTAGAGAACCATTTATAGAGCACTTATTTTGTGTGTGGAGAAGCAGATACTTTGCATACATTATTTAAATTAATCTTTACAAAAACCCTAAGAGGTGGCTGTAATTATTTCTAAATTACAAATGAGGAAACTGGGGCTCTGTGAGGCTCAATAACTTTCCCACATTTGTATGAGGAGCAAATGATAGAACTGAGTGTTGGAACCAAGGTTTGAACCAAGATGTCTTTGATTCCAAACATTTTAATATTTATGCCATGCTAAAATGATATAATAGTGGGCATTTTATTTTGCAGCCTGTGTTTTGGGATTAGGAATTTATTATGAACATCCTCATGTCAATAATATTCTTGAACAACATGATATATAATGGCAGTCTAATAGTCCATTGTTTGGATTCGCTACCATTTACCTAATCAAATTCATATTGATAGGCATTATGAAATGCACTGTAATGAATACCCTTGAACATTACATTTTGTACCTATCTCAAACTTTCTTCTGAAAATAAGTTACTGGAAGTGAAATTTCTAGGTTTAAAGCTCATGCATAATGTTAAGGTTTTTAATGTAATTGACAAATTGCCTGCCAGATAAATCTTACCAATTTTGTTCCCATTAATAGTGTGGATACCAATGTAAGCACTTTCTAAATGAAGAAAAATGCTAAAAACCTGTAAAGGGCTAATTAATTGAAGACATTCTTATTTATAGAAAAGGCAAAATGTCTTTCCAAATTACATCTATTACAATAAAATAATATATTTGGCCATAAAAAGGAATGAAATTGGCCAGGCATGGGGGCTCACACATGTAGTCACTGCAATTTGGGAAGCCAAGCCAAGAGGATCTTTAGAGAGCAGGAGTTCAAGACCAGTCTGAGCAACATAGCAAGATCCTATCTCTAAAAAAAAAAAAAAAAAAAAAAAATAGGCAGTCACAATGGCATGCACCTGTGTTCCAGCAACTTGGGAAGCTGAGGCGGAGGACAGCTGGAGCATAGGAGGTTGAAGTTAGTGAATCATGATTGCACCAGTGCACTCCAGCCTAGGCAACAGAACAAGACCGTGCCTCAAAACAAAACAAAACAGAAAAACAAACAAAGAAACAAAAGAGAAAATAAATCATGTAATTTGCAGCAACATGGATGGAACTGGAGGTCATTATGTTAAGTGAACTATGCCAGGCACAGAAAGACAAATATCACCTACTCTCCCTCATATATGCAAGCTAAAAAAGTTGATCTCATGGAGGTAGAGAGTATAATTGAATGATAGATATTAGAGGCTGAAAAAGGTGTGAGGGAGGAGGGGTGATGAACAGAGTTTGGATAATGGTTGCAGACATACAGTTAGATAGAAGGAACGAGTTCTAATGTTCATTAGCAGAGTAGGGTGACTATAGTTAACAACAATGTACTGTACATTTCAAAATAGCTAGAAGAGAGGAATTGAAATGTTCCGAATACATAGAAATGATAAATACTCAAGGTGATGGATACCCCAAATACCCTGACTTTATCATCACACATTCTATGCATGTAATAAAATATCACATGTATCCCATCAATAGATACAAATATTATGTATCAATAAAAATATTCAAAATTAAGATACAATTTGCAGTAAGATTAGTATTCAAATGTATAGGTATTGGGTTCCTATACACTTCCTAAAGAAAGGGAATTACTTTGGGCCAGGTGCAGTGGCTCATGCCTGTAATCCCAGAACTTTGGGAGGCCGAGACGGGTGGATCACCTGAGGTTGGGAGTTTGAGACCAGCCTGGCCAATATGGCGGAAACCCCATTTCTACTAAAAGTGCAAAATTAGCTGGGCGTGGTGGTGCATGCCTGTAATCCCAGCTACTCAGGAGGCTGAGGCAGGAGAATCACTTCAACCCAGGAGGCGGAGGTTGCAGTGAGCCGAGATCGCGCCATTGCACTGCATCCTGGGTAACAAGAGTGAAGCTCTGTCTAAAAAAAAAAGGGAATTACTTTGATTCCAAGGGTTTTTTTAGCAGCCAAGTCAAAGAGGGAAGCTAGAGATGATGATAGTGGTGGTGGTGGTAGTGATGATGATGATGATGATGAAGATGATAATGATGATGGAGAGGAGACAGAGGGGGAAGAGAAGGAGGAGAATCCCGTAGGGCATCTGTGGTGGTCGTGTTAGCCAGTTAGATTTACTATTTTTTTGAGACTTTGTTTTGGCATTCCTGCAGGAGACAAAAGAAAGGGAAGTTTCTCCTCAGACTTTCGGTAGCCTTGTGGTAAGAAGGCAGCTGGGCCACCCAGACTTACATATTTGAGGCAATAAACAGTGATCAAAGCAGTATGATTTCAGGGGAACAAAACTCTTCCACTCCATATACCTCCCTCTTTATTTCTCAATAAATGCACATTGGTTTCCTTTGTAAGAAGGCTACATTAAGATGCAATTTGACATCTGAAAAAGTTATACAATAAGCTATTTCCCACCATAAAAACTCTAACTGAAATTGGTTCGTAAATTTTATTCCAATCATTTAACAAAACCTAAGAGGAGGAAATACAGGACTGGACTATTTTCAAAGGGAAAAGTGAACTAGAAAAGTCACAATGATTGTGAATGGGGTAAGGGATGCTTCTAGGAAGTTTAGGAGACTTTTGAGCACCAAATGAGAGCTTGAGGCTTCAGATGGCCTGGAGTGAGCTTATAAAGAGCTATTGAAAGTGAGATATGTAATAGCAAGAAATGAAAATGAACTTTGCACTAAATGATAAGTACTAAAGATATGTTATAACAAAGCCAGTAATAGTGTTTAAAGTAAGAAGCGAGAGTTCCCCACCAATCAAACCCTCATGCGCACACACACACACACACACACACACACACATTGTATTTCATTGATTCTAGGACCCATGTTTTGCAGTTTAACATCTCTGAAACTGGAATGCGTTTGATAATCAATGGTGTGTCATGGTTAGTTGGCAGCATTTTTTTTTCTTTACTAGTGATACATAAAGAAATGGTGCATATTAAAATCTATGGTGTCTTCAATTTGAAGTGTGTATGAGAGAGAAGGGGGAAATACTGTCTTGTCATAGGAAATGTCTGGAAGTAAATTTTGATTACTTATACTATTTACCTTCCTAGTTTCTATTGTCTTCTCATTTATTCTTTTTCTTAATTTGAAAAAGGACCTTAGAGATGACTGAACTCAAAGTCTTCATTCTACTAAGGAGAAGATGGGCCTGAGGTGGTAGGTGACTGGTCCCCATCACAGGTGTTTGGGGTGTGGTGGGCCTGTGAGTATATTCAGAGCATATCTATATGTTCATTCTTTCCCAGAAATGATTTACAAATTACAGAGGGTTGGGAGCCCCAAGTGACAGGATCTGTTTGGAACTAGAAGGACCAAGAGTGATGAGGACAGAGTACTGCCCTTTGAAATGTGCTCCTTGATAACACCAACCCCAGAAAGGGAGGATGAGGGAACTGATCCTGGCCTGGGACAGCCAGTCAGTATTAGTGTGGTTTAGTTTTCCTGACTAGACGTCCTCCTTCCCTCTCTTTCCCTCCCCTCCCCTTCCCTTTCCTTCTCTTCCCTTCCCTCCCCTTCCCTTTTCTTCTCTTCCTTTCCCTCCCCTTCCTCACCTTCACTTCCCTTCCCTCTCTCACCTTCCTTTCCCTCCCTTTCTTCCTCCCCTCCTCATCCCCTCCCTTCCTCCTCCCCTTGCCTTCCTTTCCCTCTCCTCCCTCCCCTTCTCTACCCTCTACTATTCTCTCCTCTCCTCCCCTCCCCTCCCCTCCCTTTCCCTTCCCTCACCGTCCCTCCCTACCTCTCCCCTCTCCTTCCCTCCTCTGCCTTCTTCTTCTCTTTCCTTTCCTTCCTTCCACACTTTCTTCCTTCCTTCCCTTCCTCCCTCCTTCTTTCCACCTTTCAACTTTAAATGTTTGTGAGGCATGATAAGAGAGTGAATTTAATTATCCTATTGAGTGAGGAGGGTGCCCTGGCCTTCTTGGCAACAAAAAAGACACCTGTTGCCCTCTGTTCTCCCCCTACACATATGGAAATGAGTCAGAGCTGCATTATTATTTGCTACGGTTTGAACTCCTCCTCCAAAGTTTATGTGTTGAAAACTTAATCCCCAAGGCAATAGTTTTGGGAGGCAGGGCCTAATAAGAAGTGATTAAGACATAAGGGTTCTGCCTTCATGAATGGATTAATGTCGTTATCACAGGAGTGGCTTAGTTATTTGGAGGGTGGGTTTGTTATAAAAGTGAATTCTGCCTTCTCTCTTCCTCTTGCCTTCTGCCGTGGGATGGTATAGCAAGAAGGCCCTCGCCAGATGCTGGCATGTTGGTATTGGACTTCTCAGCCTCCAGAACTATGAGAAATAATTTTCTTTTCTTCATAAATTACATAGTCTGTGGTATTGTGTTATAGCAGCATTAAACAGACTAAGACAGTATTTAAGTGTAGAATTGGGTTCTAGAGGGCCTGGATGAGGCACAGTGGTTACACTTTTCCCTCCTGAAAGTCCAGAAATTGTCCTGCCTCATTTTTTTTGCTCCCTTCTAACCTCCCTTCTCTACAGTTTTCTTCTATTAAATGATAGCCTGATGATTGATCCTAAGGTCAGACTGAAATGCAGATAAAAATGTCCTCGCAATCTCTTCTCCAGTGACTCTCTTTTTTGAATGTTAGAGGGGCCATTTTAGCTGTGTGACCTTGGGAATCTCAAAATACAGTTTGCTCATCACACATAGGCACATTGAGAAGATTAAATGTGGTAATTCATGCAAAGTCTTTCCATTTCTTACTGTCAGACAAAAAACAGATATAAAAAATGTCAGCTATTTTTATTATTTTCTTGGAGTAGCACCTCTTCCCCTTTAGCAAGCATTGAATTACAATTCTTTCACCTTGATAACAAAATTTATTCTTAGAAATACTTTAATATTAGTTAATTACTGGTATTTGTGTGAATTTATGTTAACTGATATTCTCTCAATATTGTTTGCATTCCTCCATTTATTTTTGCAAAGTGTAAAGCCACTTCTCATATTGAAGGAAGTTTAATGAAGTCATTTTTTTGGGCAAATTGGTGGGGGGTAGGAAGGAGGGTCTTTTTATCCACTTTCTTTCCTACTTCCATCTTTATTTAAGGTTAATCCTATTGGCTACACAGGGATTTTTCCTGGTTCTAAGTGCTACTCTTGTGATAATCCCAGTCTTGTACACACTGATTCTACCCCTTGTTTTTCCAAAGTCTGCTCCCATTTAACTTCTCTGTTCCATTCTTGGCCTTTTTCTATTATCACCTTCTTCCTTTCCCTGGTGATAACACCCTAGCCAAGCTGCCACTCAGCTATTTCCACAGCAGACAACTCTCTCACATGCCTCAAATCCTCTTTAGTTCTCCATCCATTCAACTCTGCACATGAAAGTACACTCTTCCTTCTACTTGTGAATTCAAAAATGACTTTCATCATACAGGAGACTGTGGCAAGACAACAGTATCCAGGAGAAGGAAGCCGTAGAGTTTTTTGTATTTTTATTGCTTTTATTCTGATTATAAAAGTAATACATACTATCTTAAAAAGTTTGAACAGTATAAAAATATACAAATGAGAAAGAGAGTCAGTCTCATGCAATCTCACTTGCAAGAGGCAACCACTAATAATAGTTTGGGACACATTGGCCCAAACTTTTATTTCCTAATGGTGTTAAATGTTGAGGTATAATTAGGCATAACGGAGAAGAGTTGGTTTCCCGAAACTCTTAAAAAGTCTTTGAAAATAACCAGATCTGCTTCTAGGAATCAGCATAATACTTCCAATAAAATGTGTTCTTCCTCAAGCCAAACATTCACAATACATGAAACGAGTTCTTAATTCAATGCACTGTTTTGTTTAATAGCTACCATTGCTACAGTATTGTATCACACTATTTTCTTAATAAATAATGTGGGCTTCAGATTCTTGATAAGTCAAGCAGGTATTTGTGGCCTAATCTTGAAATTCAACTACCATTAAAAACATTATTTCTGTAAGGAAATACATACTGACAAAGTCCAGCAACGGAACTTGGAAACAGCCAATACTTACTTTCAAGTGAATGCAGCTTTCATGTAGATTTAGAGCAGATTTCACTTTCTTAGGCGGTAAAGAAAACCTAGTTGAGGACCCAGCGCTACCTCAGTTGGTTAAAACTTTCAGTAAATCATTGAACTTCATTTGGTTGCCTGGAGCTTCCTATGTAATATTATAGCAGATATCATCTCTATGCATGAACATTACATTGTAGCTAAAAATGAACACAAAAAATAATGACTTGAGAATGGAAAATGGGTCTATTGTTTTTAAAAATCCACTCAAGTTATTAAAACAAAAAGTTGATTTTAGGGCTAAAACTGGCAAAAGGAGGCACATTAAGTATAGCTGAGTTGAAAAGGCAGTGAAACTGAAAAACTGGGACCTGAGACTGTTCCACCTTGTGGTTCTTTCAAAGAACCACACAGCCTGCATCTGCATTCTCTGCATGTTGGCTATCCCTGGGGTTCATAACTTTGACTGACACATGATGATTTTGGCCAGGAGCTTTACACTGATCCTGACTTTAATGTCTCTGATATTCAGCTTCCCCAGCAAATTGAGCCAGAATTTCAAATTCTCAGGATGAAAAAAATCTGATTGGCCCAGATGGTGTCAAATATCTACCTGTTGTCTAATCAACTGTGATTAGGGATGCAGAAGAGACTGTAGGTGGGAGTAGATTCTCCTAGAAAAAGCAGTGGCAGTAATGGGCAGGACGCGGTGGCTTACATCTGTAATCACAGCACTCTGGGAGGTTGAGGCAGGTGAATCACAAGGTCAGGAGACTGAGACCATCCTGGCTAACACGGTGAAACCCCATCTCTACTAAAAATATACAAAATTAGCCAGGCGTGGTGACGGGTGCCTGTGGTCCCAGTTACTCGGGAGACTGAGGCAGGAGAATGGCGTGAACCCAGGAGGTGGAGGTTGCAGTGAGCCAAGATCGCACCACTGCACTCCAGCCTGGGCGACAGAGTGAGACTCTGTCTCAAAAAAAAAAAAAAAAAAAAAAAAAGAAAAAGAAAAAGAAAAAGCAGAGGCAGTAATGACGATGATATTTAAAATTAATACAATTTAAGAGAAAAAAAGAAACTTCATATCTCTCAGTTCTAATCCTTCTTTGGAGGCCCTTATTTTCAGTTTAATTCAATTCAACAAAACTCAAATCTCTTCAATTCTAAGACATACTTTTTCATAATTTAATGTGTCTGATATCTAGTTCTGCCTCATAATCAATGTGTTCATTTAATGATTTAATGTGGTAGTATTTCTTCTTCCCTCCTTCCCCTACAGCCAAAAACTATTATTAAACTGGTGAGGTTTTAAGACAGAGGAAATATGGTATGTATTATCAACAGGCATCAATTGCTTTCCATGGAGGATATAATTAAGGAGCCACTAGATATGGGGGTTGGTTGAAAGACAGGGAAATGTTCCAACATCTTTTTCCTACCACCCCTTAAATCGTGAACCAAAAGAAAAAGGAGGCTACATTCCTCTTCGCTTTAAAAGATGAAGTCCATTAAAGATTGTAAGGTGGTCTCAGGATTTATAGCCCTGAGAAGCAAATATTTATTTTATAGAATAATAACTATCAGTACTGACTGAGCAGGAAGTCAACACCAGAGCATGTGTGGGCACAAAATGTAGCTTCATATGCAACCAAATTCCAGGCAATTGCCTCGTCTAATTCACTCAGAATTTTTTAAAAAGAATGCTTCCTTTGAAACTGAAGTTCTTTCTACTTGGTTTCAGCCCAAAGGTGAGCATTTTTTTGAGAAGGTTAAATCTTTTCAGATGTTTTTGAGGTGCACAAAGAGGAAAAACTAAACCATTCTCTATTATGCATACTTCTAGCTTCACATTACCCAAATGGATTTGAGCTTTACTATTTTTATTCAATTTTGAGAGTCCAATGATCTGCGCAGAAAACTAGCTGATGGAAAAAAATTCATGTCAAATTAGTTCTGAAAATAGCTACTTTTATACTTGCTTAGAAGAGTAAACTTTTCAAACTATGTGAGAGGTACACTTAAGATAAGGCCTATATATAGAAACCCATCAGTTGGAAAACTGGCAGATAGAGTCTGTTAAAGTTCCAGAGAAAACTTGAATCAAGTTTAAGGAAATAGTTAACCTTTAAAGTATCAGTGGATTGGAAAAATAGAACATTTAAACTAGTAATTGAGGCTGCATAATGTATTGGTTGAGCTTTGACACTTGTATCAAGGACCAGTATGTCCTTGGTTATGTTGCTTCCCCTTTCTGTGTCTCAGATTTTATTTATAAGGTGGTCATGATAGAAGAACCTGCTTCCAAAGTCGGGGTGAGCATCAACTCAGGAATACAAATAAGACACTTAGAACCATGAATGGCACACTGTAAGCTATCAATGAATGTTTTCCACTAATTACATTGAAAACCACCTTTCAATAAAGACAAATATCATTTAATTTAGAAATAAACATTGCCATTTTAATGATCACTCCATTTTTAAACTCATTATTTTCAAACACAGTGGAACTGGTTTTCTTATTTTAGTGATTTCAAGTAATACATCAAGTCTTTCTTTGCAGCTGTTGCACATTCTCCCTGTCAAATTGGACAGACTGGACCATTTGGAAATGGGATAGTTTCTGAGTATGAGCTATTCAAAATGCGTAGTAAAAATTCCATGCTACTTATTAGATCACACATTTGGAGATATTCTCCTGACACTTGCAATGACTAAATAAAAGATGACTCATGTAAAAACTGTAGACTCTGTTGGCTCCAAGCAGCCCCAACTGGGCCCATCCATACCCCACCACCCCCACTGTTAGCCTTGCCTAAGAACCATAAAACATGGGTATCCTTGATGCTACAAGCAATTTTAAATAGCTTTATACATTTATTTTGTATGATGCTAATAATACATTCTGGGGTTTTCATTTTAAGACTGACTAGGCCATAGCTCCATGCTTATCATAAGTGACAATTTTGCAAAGTGCCTTGAAACATGGTAAACATTCAATTTGTTCAGTGTCTTAATAAAAATGAAGGGCAAATTTATACTATGAACAAATATTGATTTCCATATTATATGTGTTCCTAAAAATCATACTGTAGACTAATTTTTTATAAATAAAATATGTGTTATATTGGCTTTTCATATACTTACATTAGTATTTCTGATACTCTTCTACTTGTCTACAGACATTTAACACTTAAGGTTTAGGTGTTTCTTCCATCTTCCTATTTCACCACCTGCCAATACCTACTTCCTCCTCCAAGTCTCTGTCAAGTAGTTTATGATATGGAGACATCCCTTTTGAATTACAATAATCAGCCCTTACTCACAATTTACCCTTTGCAATTTTTTTAATTGAGAAAAAAATTTTTTTGAGACAGAGTCTCACTGTGTCACGCAGGCTGGAGTGCAGTGGTGCCATCTTAGCTCACTGCAACCTCCCACCTCCCACGCTCAAGTGATCCTCCCACTTCAGTCTCCCATGAAACTGGGACCACAGATGTGCACCACCACACCCAGATAATTTTTTATTTTTTTTGTAGAGACGGAATTTCACCGTGTTACCCAGGCTGGTCTTTATCTGCTTGCTTTGGCCTCCCAAAGTCCTAGAATTACAGGGGCCTCTTGCACATTTTAATTTCCATGTGACAGATTGTCTTTAAGTAGGAATGTACTTATAAATACATTTATTTCAACACCAAAATATAAATAGAAAAATAGAAAATAAATTTTAAAGATAAGTAATATCCCAAATGTTATAACCCCAGACTTAGTGATTTGCAACAATATCAATCCTAAGAGAAAAATTTGGGTTAAATCTCTTAAACGTAACAAGAAACCTTGTTATATTTATGACACAAAAACCAAGGTATCCATTTTCCCTTAGCACAAATAATGTGTTGGCTAGCTAAGAAGGGATGTAATTATGTGGTATACAATAAAGGGTTCCATTGATGCCAAAAACAGAAAAATGAGTGAACCCGACCAGAAATCATGTATTGGGTAAACAGCTTCCCAGACAAATGAATTTAGCTGATTTTTAAAAAAGCGTTTTGTTTTGTTTTAAATTTTCAGTTTTATGATCTTTATGGATAGATCTGAACTCTATATACATATATTTTTAATTGAAGTACATGGTTCAATATTACATATTTAATTCCATGAAATAATGTAGTTGCATGCTTGACGGAATAAATAGACGTACTTTGGGATACTACTTTCAGGACTTTACCAAGCAACTTAAAGCTAACCTTCATACTTTTTGTAAATAGGTGTTAGGGGCTGGTTGGATGACTCGTCATGAATTATGTAATTGATATCTTTAGTTTTCTTTTTTTAACTTCTCAGGAAGGAGAAAAATGTAATTTTCTTTGGTAGGAAGATGCATAATAGTTATAATTTTTAAAAATGTCTGTCTGATCATTTGGGATTATATATATGTGTGTGTGTGTGTGTGCTTAAAATTTTAAATTTAAGATAATTTACATTTTCTTAAAAGATAAAATAGAAAATACAGAGAAGCCAAAATTGTTTTAAATTTATAATCTAATCCACTCAGAGATAATCACTGTTAATTTTAATACATATACATCCAACCTCTTGCTTCCTCACATTTTTGCAATCAAGATTTTTAAAAACGGCATGTATTTATGACATAATAACATAAATATATTTCTGATAGCTGCTTCTCCAACCTACCAGTATATGGTATGGATATTTTCCCACATCACTTTATGGAAGCTTTGCCATTTCCTTTTATGGTAGGACCCAGTGAGTCACAGAAAATTGGCAGCTTTGGAGGCATCCAATTATTGTACTCCTGACGTAGACATTAGAATTGAGATGTTTTCAAAGCAGTTTTGTAAGAAGTGGATATGGATAAATGGGAGCTGGAATAGTACATTGTGCTTATAGACTAATAATGAATTGTTCTTATAGACTAATGTATGAGAAGATATAATTTTGTCTTTCAAAGGACCTTTTGAGATGGTACTAAATTCTTGCTTTAGCAGGTGAGGATGTGTTCGGTTAAATATAAATGTGAATTTCCTGTAGATAGTATGTAGTTTGGGTCTTATTTTTTAAATTCATTCAGCCACTGTACGTCTCTTGATTGGAGAGATTAATTCATTTACCTTTAAAGTAATTATGAATAGGGAAAAATTTACTATTGCCATTTTGTTGTTTTCTGTTAGTCTTGTAGTTCTTCTGTTAGTCTTTTCCTCTCTTTGTGTCTTTCTTTGAGTTTTCTAGATTTGCTTCCTTTTGTGCGATTTCTATAGGTATTCTTTGTATGTGGTTATCTTGGAGTCTATATAAAATACAGTCACAACAGTCTATGTTAAACTGATAACAACTTAAATTCAATTATAAACAAAAACTAACTTCTCTGCCCCCTACACATTTTACAACATAACATTATTGTTGTTACAGGTTTTATTTATTCATATTATGTACCTTTTAATGCATTTTTATTGTCATTTTTAATACTTTTGTCTTTTAACTTTTATACTAAAATTAAAAGTCACTTACCTACCACCATTATAGTATTATAATATTCCGTATTTATGTATTTATCTTTATCAAAGAATTTCATATTTTCTTACTATTGTGTTGCTGTTCAGCATTTTTTCATTTCAACTTGAAGAACTTTTAGCGTTTCTCATAAAGCAGCTCTAGTGGTAATTAACTCCCTCAGTTCTTGTTTTTCTGGGAAAGTCTTTATTTTTCCTTCCTTTTTGAAGGTCTGGTTTGCCAAGCATAGCACTCTTGGCAGTTTTTTCTCTCATTATTTTGAATATTAATATCTCATTGCCTTCTGGCTGGCAAGTTCTGTGCTAAAAAATCACTGATAATCTTATAGCCAATTCAATTTTCAGAAAGAAAAACAAAGCTGAACATGTTGCCCTTCCTGATTTCAAAGTACATTACAAAGCTACGGTAATGAAAACGCTATGGTACTAGCATAAAGACAGATATATAGACCAATGGAATGGAAGAGAGAGCCCAGAAATAAATCTATGCATATATGATCACCTAATCTTCAGTAAGGGTGCCAAGAGTACATAATGGGGAAAAGATAATTTATTCAATGTTGGGGAAACAGAATATCCACATGCAAAAGAAAAGAAGAAAATTATACTCTATTATATCATACTCGAAAATAAATTTAATATACCTAAAGACTTAAATATTAGACTTGAAGCTGTAAGATTCCTAGCACATGAGGAAAGCCTCATGGCATTGGCCTTGGCAATTATTTTTTGGGTAGGACAAAATACCCAAAAGCACAGGACAGGCAACAAAAGCAAAAATAAACAGTGGTACTACATCAAACTAAAATGCTTCTGGACAGTAAAGGGAACAATCAATACAGTGAAAAGACAAACTATAGAATGGGAGAAAATATTTACATAACAAATATCTGATAAGGGGTTACTCTAAAAAAAATAAGGAACTCCTATAAGTTAATAGCAAAAAAATCTAATTACCCGATTAAAAAATAGACTAAGGACTTGAATAGACATTTCTCCAAAGAAGACATGCAAATAGCTAACAGTTATATGGAAAAATGCTCACTGTCACTAATCATTAGAGGAATTCACATCAAAACCAGAATGAGATATCGCTTTACACCAGTCAGGATGGCTATTACATATATAAAAAAGACAACTAATGTTTGTGAGGATGTGGAGAAATTAAAACCCTTGTATGCTGTTTGTGGGTATGCAAATGGTACAGTTGCTATGGAAAACAGTGTGGAAATTCTTCAAAAAAGTAAAAATGGAGCTAGCATATGATCCAGCAATCCCACTTCTGAATAGTCATCCAAAATAATTAAAATTGGGATCTTGAAGAGATATTAGCACTCCCATGTTGATTTCAGGACTATTTATAATAGATGTGGAAGCAACCTAAATATTCATTGTCAGATAAATGTTTAAAGAAAATATGGTATATAGATAGAATAAAGTATGATTCAGACAAAGTAATAAAGGAAATTCTACAATATATGACTACGTGGATGAACCCAGGGGACATTAAGCTAAGTCACAGAATAAGTCACAGAATAAGTCACAGAAATATAATTACTGCATGTTTCTACTTATGTGAGGTACATAAAATAGTCAAATTTGTAGAATCAGAGTGGGATGGTGGTTGCCAGGGGCTGGCAGGAGGGGGAAATGGGAAGTTACTAATCAATGGGCATCAGGTTTCAGTTAAGTCAAGATGAATAAGTTCTAGAGATCTGCTGTACAACTTTGTACCCATCAATGACAATACTGTATTGTCACGAGAAATTTTGTTAAGGTGGTAGATCTCATGTTATCACACACACACACAGTATTTTTTTTTTTACAGATAAAACCCCTCAATTCTCCCAACTATAAATATGGTCCCCATTTGCTATTATAGTTTGCTAAAGCTGGACCAGCATTCTTCTATCCCTATGTATGATTTATACATTGACAAATCAAACAAGGCACCAGGGTCCAGTTATGAGAACAAAAACCACACTAGTTATTTTTAAAAGAAAGAATTTAATAAATGAAATTGATCAAACAGTATGACAAAAAGGGAACATTATGGTAATACATATAGATACATTCAGAGAGCAATTATGCCACCCATGATTGGGGGAACAAAGGAAAGAGGTAGATTATTAAAACCTGCAAGCTTGGGGGGGTCCTGTGAAGCTGGGAATAAAACCTCCCAGCGGTGGTGGTACCATCTTCTGAGGGCATGTGATGAGGCTGGTTCTGGCAGTGATGGAATAAGTGGGAAACCAGAAGTAGACTTTGTCACTGGGTTGAAAGGACATTGCTGGGCAGCAATGACAAGAATGGGAAGCACAAGGAAAAGAGCAAGTCCCTTCTTCCTCCTCTAATCTTCCTGTCTCTCTCTATTGAATCAATTTATAGAACCTAACAGAAGCTGCTCTCACAAAAGAGAAATGGCATTTGCAAAGCCCCAGTCCCAGTATCATAGTCCCAGTATATAAAAGGGTGGCTTGTAGCTGAGAGTCAAGAGCTTAATCCAGCACTAGTCTGCTTGGATATAAATGCAATTCCCATTTTGTACTCACAGGATGCTAAGAGAGACCTGGACATTTTTGTTTCTCTGGTTATAAGTTATTCAAAACCACAAGCAAAGAAGCCTATGAAAAAGACAAGTTGTCTAAGTAAGCATAAGTTTATGATATGCTATGTAAATGGAACATCAAAGCCTGGACAACAGCACATTCGTTTACAGCGTGGTTTTAAGCTCACTGTTGAGATCTGCTGCTCAAAATAAAAGATTCCTTTCCAAATGGTAACTGAATTATCCACTGATCTATACTTAATAAGTAAATTCAGGTGATTTGTCATAGACAAAGAGAAGTTATTTCCAAAGTTATTTTAAAAATCTTTTTGAAAAATAACTTAAAATTGAAGGACTTAATATGTAAATCCAATATTTCTAAAGCAATTGGGAAAAGGTCACATTATTTGATTTAATAATTTGAACACTTACTCTAACTCTGCATTCCACTGGACATATTTAGAACCAGCAGTAAGATGATAGTAAATGGCTGCAAAATGTGAACAGGCACCATACAACGAGGCCTATTTCTCTTTTTCTGCTTCTGTTATTTGATTCCTTTCTTGAAGTGCCTCTCCTTTTAAAGACTGTCAAAATAATGATATTAAAACCCTGAAAAAAATAATATGGTTTTGAAAAAATAAGAGAAAAGAAAAAATAAGATAAAAATTCTATTGGTTACAGGCATACTTTGTTTTATTGTTCTTTATTTTTTGCACATCAAAGATAACACATTTTTTAAAAATTGAAGATTTGTGGCAACCCTGTGCTGAGCTAGTCTATCGGCACCATTTTTCCCCCAGCATGTGCTCACTTCTTGTCTCTGTGTCACGTTTTGGGAAATCTCATAATATTTCATTATTGTTACATCTGTTGTGATGATCTGTGATCAGTAATGTTTGATGTGACTATCGTGATTGTTATGGAGCACCACAAACTGCAGCCATATAAGACAGAGAGCTTAATCAGTGAATGTTGTGTGTGTGTTTTCACTGCTCTGCTTACTGATTGTTCCTTTTCTCTCCCTCTCCTTGGGTGTCCCTGTTCCCTGCAATACAACAATATTGAAATTAGGCTAATTAGTAACCCCTCAATGGCCTCTAAATGTTCAAGTTGAAGGAATAGTCGTATGTCTCTCACTTTAAATCAAAAGCTAGAAATAGCTAAGCTTAGCTATTTCGTGTCAACAGCTAGGATAGGCCTAAAGCGAGGCCTCCTACACCAAACAGTTAGCCAAGTTGTGAATGCAAAGAAAACGTTCTTGAAGGAAATTAAAAGTGCTACTCTAGTGAAAGTACAAATGATAAGGAAGCAAGATAGCCTAATTGCTGATAGGGAGAAAGTATCAGTGGTCTGGATATAAGACCACACCAGCCACAACATTCTCTTAACCCAAAGCCTAATACAGAGTTAAGGCCCTAACTCTCTTCAAATCTTTAAAGGCTGGGAGAGGTGAGGAAGCTGCAGAAGAAAGTTTGAAGCTAGCAGAGGTTGGTTGATGAGGTTTAAGGAAAGAAGCTGTCTCTGTAACATAAAAATGCAAGATGAAACAGCAAGTGCTGATGTAGAAGCTGCAGCCAGTGATCCAGAAGATCCAGCTAAAATCATTGGTGAATGTGACTATACTAAAGAGATTTTCAATGTAGATAAAACAGTCTTCTATTGGAAGTATATGCCATCTATGACTTTCCTAGCTAGAGAAGAGAAGTTGGTGCGTGGCTTCAAAGTTTCAAGGGATAGGCAGTCTCTCTTGTTAGAGGCTAATGCAGCTGATGACTTAAAGTTGAAGCCAATGCTCATTTACTAATCCCAGGGCCCTTAAGAATTATGCAGAATCTACTCTGCCTGTGCTGTATAAATGGAACAATAAAGCCTGCATGACAGCACATCTGTCTCTAGTATGGTTTACTGAATATTTTAAGCCCACAGTTGAGACCTTGGACTAGTCCCTTCTCATACTGATATAAAGAAATGCCTGAAACTGGGTAATTTATAAAGAAAAGAGGTTTAATGGGTTCACAGTTCCACAGGCTATACACGAAACATGGCAGGGGAGGCCTCAGGAAACTTTCAATCCTGGTAGAAGGGGAAGCAGGCATGTCTTACGTGGCAGGAGCAGGAAGAAGAGAGAGAAGGGGGAGATGCTACACACTTTTAAACAATTAGATCTCATGAGAACTCACTCCTATTACAAGGAGAGCAAGAGGGAAATCTGCCCCCATGATCCAATCACCTCCCACCAGGCCCCTCTTCTAACACTGGGGATTACAATTCGACATGACATTAGGTAAGGACACAAATCCAAACCATATCAGACCTACTACTCAGAAAAAAAGATTCCTTTCAAAATATTATTGTACATTGAAGATGGCACCTGGTCACTCAAGAGTACTGATGGAGATATACAAAGAGATTAATAATGTTTTCATGACTGCAAACAACATTCATTCTGTAGTCCATGGATCAATGAGTAATTTTGACTTTCAAGTTTTAACACTTAAGAAATACATTTTGTAGGGCTAGTTGCCATAGATTGTAATTCCTCTGATGAAGCTGGGCAAAGTAAGTTGAAAGCCTTCTGGAAAGGATTTGCCATTCTAGATGCTGTTAGGAATATTCGTGATTCATGAGAGAAGGTAAAAATATCAACACTAACAGGAATTTGGAAGAAATTGATTCCAACCCTTATGGATGACTTTGAGAAGTTCAAGACTTTAGCAGAGGAGCAGATATGGTGGAAACAGCAAGAGAACTAGAATTAGAAGTGGAGCCTGAAGATGTGACTGAATTGTTGCAGTCTCGTGATAAAACTTGAACAAATGAGGAGATGCTTCTTATGGATGAGCAAATGAAGTGGTTTCATGAGATGAAATTTATTCCTGTTGAAGATTCTGTGAACATTGTTGAAATAACAACAAAAATTAAGAATATTACATAAACTTACTTGATAAAGTAGCAGTAGGATTTGAGAAGACTGATTCCAATTTTTAAAGAAGTTCTATCGGTAAAATGCTATCAAACAATATCACATGCCACATAAAAATATTTCCCGAAAGGAAGAGTCAGTCAATGCAGTAAACTTCATTGTTGTCTTATTTTCAGAAATTCCCACAGCCACCCCAACTTGTAGCAACCACCACCCTGATCAGTCAGCAGCCATTAACACTGAGGTAAGACCCTCCACCTGCAAAGAGATTGGGACTCACTAAAGGCTCAGATGATCATTAGCATTTTTTGGCAATAAAGGATTTTTTAACTAGGGTATGTAAATTTTACAAAACTGAATGCCACTTCACACTTAATATACTACAGTATAGTGTAGGCACAACTTCTGTATGCACTGGGAAACCAAAAAATGTGTGTGACTCACTTTATTGTGACATTCGCTTTATTGAGGTGCTCTGGAACCAAACCCCCAATATCTCCAAGCTATCCCTATATTTTGTACTTGAGCAGAATTCTTGATTGTTTTTTATTTTCACATTTTATTCAGCTTTGTTGGCAAGGAGAACATTAATTCATTCACTTTATTTAGTGCCTTCAGTGTGCCAACTTTGTTAAGTGCTGGGGATATAAAGATAAAGATAAATGGGATAGACCTTGCTCTAAAGGGATGTGTGATCTGATAGATGAAGATGGGTATGTATACAATAACTAAATTGTCAGAGGGGCCATGATACAATCAGGTAGACATATCGTTAATACATTAGGGAAGTGGTTAATTATGCCTTTGAGATAGGAATTGGTAGGAAAGTCTCCACTGAGGAAGTGCATCTTGTTGAGTCTTAAAAATGAGAAAATTTCTACCAAGTAGGGAGTATGCATACATAAATAGCCTCCACTGATGATTCTTCTTTCCACTACCTCTGATATGGTTTGGTTCTGTGTCCCCACCCAAATCTCACCTTGTAACTCCCATAATTCCCACATATTGTAGGAGGAACCCGGTGGGAGATGATTGAATTGTGAGGGCGAGTCTTTCCCATGCTTTTCTTGTGATAGTGAATGGGTCTCATGAGATCTGATGGTTTTAAAAATGGGAGTTGCCCTGCACAAGCTCTCTCTTTGCCTGCTGCCATCCACATAAGATGTGACCTGCTCCTCCTTGCCTTCTGCCATGATTGTGAGGCCTCCCCAGCCATGTGGAACTCTAATGCCAATTAAACCTCTTTCTTTTGTGCCCAGTCTTGGGTATGTTTTAATCAGCAGTGTGAAAACAGACTAATACACCCTCCCTTTTTTTGAGGTTCAGATATTGTATGTGGAAATGTCATAGATATTGCCTCCATTTAAGAGTAAGAACAAAACTACTGGATATCAAAGCCAAAAGAAAGAAGAAAACATTCAGAAATATGAAGATCTTTGCCAAGAAGAGCAAATTTTTATATTGTTGGTTTGAGCAATTTACTGTACTCAATTTCTTGGCATTGAAAAAAAAACAATCAAAGACAGGCTAAGCTTATGTCTGGCTTTGAGATTTTGTAATGTATCATTTCCTCTTCAGTTTAGCCAATCACAGGCTCCTGTTGAATGTTATTTTAGCCATTTTGCCTTTGGCCTTATAAAATGCAAATTATACTATGCAAAAGCAATTTTAATATAGGACTTAAATCCAGATTCCATTTGTTTTCACCAAGTACCCGCTGTAACCAGATAATATTGAACTGTGTGACTGTTGGTAGAATTTTAGCTAGGAATTAAAATGTGGCAGTAACTGAAAGATATTTAAAGAAGAAATTCAATCACAAATAATGTTGGATTTGGGTAGTGTGGATTTTTGAACGATTTCCTTGAGCATGTATTGAAAGATGGGTCTTGGAGTTTTCCTATTGATTTTCAAAAAGAAAATATCAAAGGATTTAATTTTCCTTTTTAATAAAAAAGAAGTATGTAATTTGATACCTTATTATTTTAATGAAAGACATATTACAGGTACTAATTATATTCCATTACAACTTGAGCTCCAACTAGCAAGACCTGGCTTTAGAGAAAGGGATTATATCTAGATGTTGAGATATGTTATGTTGGACTAAGAATTTAGAATAGTGATTTTTGAATAATGCTGGGCCTTCTGGAAAACATGATAATATATAGATTCTCAACAGTTTCTTTCCATCTCCCACCATAAGACTCAGATTCAAGTGGTTTGAAAAGAGTCCTGGAAATGTGCTTTTTTAAAAAATTAAAACGATATTTGGTAGACAGGGTCTTGCTCTGTCATCCAGCCTGGAGTGCAGTGGCATGATCATAGTAGCCTCAAACTCCTGGGCTCAAGTGATCTGGCTGCCTCTGTCTCCCAAGTAGCTGGGACTACAGGCATGCACAACCATACCTGGCTAATTTTTTAGTACAGACAAAGTCTTGCCATGTTGCCTAGGCTGTTGTCAATTTCCTGGGCTCAAATGATCCTCCTGCTTCAGCCTCCCAAAGTGTTAGGATTATAGGCATGAGCCACTGCACCAAGCTGACTTCTGACCTTTAGAACTGCTAAAAAATAAATTTCTGTTGTTTGAAGTCACCAAATTTCTGGTTATTTGTTACAGCAGCCACAGGAAACTAATACTACCTGGTTACCTCCCAAGGCAAAGAAAAAGCTAAACAATGTACGAGTGCTTTGTGAACTAAACTGTTATACAAATACGACATCTCTTTATTGGTCACTTTCCACAGGGATTTCTAATACCATGCACACAGCTGTTGTCATGGATCAGTCTTCATGGAAAAGACTTCAGGGGAGTTCCTGGAGCTTTCCTGTCTGATTGCATACCCTTCTCACTAATCCTTCTCTTTCCAAAACATTTTCAGTAGTGGTGTGGATATTGCTGACTGTAGCAACCCCAAAGAAAATGAGTTAGAACTACCTTAGCCAGTCTCTTCAATCTGGCAAGGAATTACTCTTCTCTTTATTACAAGATCCTATGTTAGTTCAGGATATAGAGCAGGTATTCTCAACAGCAGCAAGACTGATGTTTGGGACTGGACAATTCTTTGCTATGGGGGTGACTCTGCACATTGTATGTGTAGCAGCATCCTTGTCCTCTACCTACTAGATGCCAGTAGTACCCTCCCCAGTCATGACAATCATATATTTATCAGAATAATGCCAATTTTTCTGAGAAGCAAACTTGTCTGCCCTTCCCCCTTCTAACCAGTTCAAGAATCCCTGATTTAGAGGATGACAGGACGTGACTGGCCAAAGGTTTATCTCGTGTGACTGTGTTAGGGAAGCAGGAGTCTAGGAGATCCAGAGTGACACCATTTTAAAATCAACTTCATCTTAATACTGACAAGGCATATTCCTTCCTGGTCTTGATCAATAGTCCTGACTAGGTCATGACTATGTTTACAGCTAAGGAGAGAGTTGAAAGACACCGGCAAGGAGAAATTTCTACAACAGAAAGTCCAGGTGTCCCAACACCCATAATAATATATGCTTTCAAGATAATTATAGTTATGCTTTGATGTACTTACACACTAAGATGTCAAGGATAGATTTCTTTAAATTGATAAAGTACTAAATTTTGTCATGCTATCTGTCCATCCACCTGCAGGCACAGCTTAGTTTAGTCTTTACATAGACAAGATCCCTATATAAGAAAAACTTAAAGACAGTCCATTCCTCCTCTTGCTTTCTGAGGACGCCCTACTCTGTAATTAAGTAGCTTTCAATAAATATCCTTTCTCACTGCACTTTGCCATTTGCCTTGAATTCTTTCCTGTGCAAGATTCAAGCCTCTCTTGGGGTCTGGATCAAGACCCCTCTTTCCGGTAACAGCTCTCCTCCTGGTAGATAACCCCAGTCTCCATTCATTCATTAAGATTTGTCCTAGACGTCAACAGAGGACATATTTCCTAGTAGCCTGCTGATTCATCATGAAATTGGTCTTTTTGATAGTTTCATCAGTGTTTCTTAAATTACGATCAATATTCCATTTGTGGCAGAATCACTTGAGCTTCTTGTTGACCTGCTGAAAGAGATATCCAGGAATTTCCATTTTACATGTTTTGCAGATGATTCTTTTTTTAACTTTCTTTGATAAACACTAGTTTTGATTAACTTCAGATGCCAGGTAGATGACGTTATGTATTCTACTCTCCTGGTTCTGAAAACTGATCCCAGTTCTCCCTGACAAAGTCCTCCTTCACACTTGCTGTCAGTTGAACATCTGATTCTGGAGACCCCAGCCTAACTTCTGCCCTCATTGATATCTCAGGTTGTCTATCCTCACAGTACTGATGTTTCATCCTTCTCTCCCGTAGCATTGATGTCCTTGGATGTAAGCTCTGATTTCTGTGGATGCATTCAGAGCTCTTATGTTTGTCTCTACACAAATGAAACCTTGGCTATTCCTAATGTAGTAACTCTATCAACTCTTCCAGCTTTAACATATTTTTGTGTACATGCCTGCATCCTAAATCTTGGCCTTGTCCTACCTCTTGAGCCCTGGATACAATAGCCTAGAGGGACCAGAAATCTACAGGTATAGGCAGAGAAATGATCAACTCGAAGGAATTCAGCTCCTTCTTCAACATTCCCCATCTTGGCTGCTCAAAGAAATGTAAACATAATCTTTTCTATCTTTTTCTGCCTTGTCTCTCACACTCTATCAATTATCAAGTCCTGTGGAGTCAACCTCTTAAATATCTCTTGAATCAACCTAATTCTCTCCATCCCAACATGAGGTAATTGAATGTGCTGTTTCTCCTGCCTTTCAACAAATATGAAATACTATTAGTTGCATAATAGCCCCTCTCACTGGTAGGTTAGCCCGCAATCATGCTTCAATATTTTGTACAGAGAAAATTTATAATCTGCCATATGCAAGTTAATATGAAGATGCCGTTGATGACACAGAATACTAGAAGCTAGTATACAAAAGCACCAACTTTAACTACAGATCCAACATAATCCCTATCAAAACCCAGCTGGGTTCTTTAAAGACATTGATAAGCTGATCCTAAAATTCATATGAAAATAAAAGAGATCCAGAATAGCCAAAATAACTTCAAAAAAAGTTGGAGATCTCATATTTCCAATTACAAAACTTACTACAAACTACAGGAATTGAGACAGTGTGATACTGGCAATAAAGATGACATATAAATCAATGTAATGGAATTGAGACTTCAGATGTAAACACATATATCTGTGATCAATTGATTTTTCACAAGGGTGTCAGGATAATTCAGTAAAGAATAATCTTTTCAACAAATGGTGCTAGGACAACAGATATCCACAAATGAAAGAATGAAGCTGGACACCTATCTCACACCATACACAAACATTAACTTGAAATGCATTACAGACATCCATCAAAGAGCTAAAACTATACTTAGAAGAAAACACAGGAGGTAAATCTTCATAAACGTAGGTTTTACAATGGGCTCAGATATGACACCAAAAGGACAAGCAACAAAACAAACAGATAAACTGGATATCATCAAAATTAAAACTTTTTTCTTTTCTTTTCTTTTTTTTATGGAGACAGGGTCTCGCTCTGTCACCCAGGCTGAAGTGCAGTGGTGCAGTCTTGGCTCACTGCAACCTCCACCTTCCAGGTTCAAGTGATTCTTGTGCCTCAGCCTCCTGAGTAGCTGGGGTTACAGGCATGCACCACTATGCCCAGCTAATTTTTGTAAATTTTGTTTTCCTATTTTCTTTCTTGCACATCTTAGTTTTCTTCCTCTCGAATAACTTAAGTGTATTATTTCTGTGTCTTCTGGCATAAGTTTTGCTGCTGAAAAGCTAATGACAGTCTTATTATTTTTCCTTATAAGTGAGTTGATCTTCTTGCCTGGTAGCCCAAATAAGTCCTCTTTTTATTTAAAATACAATACTTTTGACTGGAACATGATTCAGGGTTGGCTATTCTGGGTTGATTTTCCTAGTATATAGATTTATGTCATCTTTTATTTCATTAAAGTTTTGTTCTTTTTTTTTGGTGAGACAGGGTCTCACTCTGTCACCCAGGCTGGAGTGCAACGGCACGATCAGAGCTCACTGCAGTCTCAGCCTCCTGGGCTTAAGTGATCATCACACCTCAGCCTCCTGAATAGAAATTTTTCTTAAGTTACAGTTTTTAGTGTTTGCTCTGTCCCATTGCTTTGATTTTCTTTGTCAGGGACTACCATTATACAGAAGCATCCCCACTCCCATGTTCTGTATCTACTATTTTCTCTCAAATCTTTTAAAAAAATCTTTAATTTCCTTTTCATTGAAAATATTTTTCCTCTTTCCATCTTTTACTTAAGACAGTATCCATTGTGTTTATTTGCTCTTTTGTTTCTTCCAATTTAGTGTTAATTTATTAATTTAAACTAGTTTAATTCTTTCCTGAGAAAGAATTCTTTATCCTTTCTTTCAAATCTTCATACTTTCCACTCAGATCAGACTATCCAATCCTGACTTATTTATTCTTTTATAGCTTCTATCATTAAAAAATGTCTTTTTATTTGTTTGGAAATTTAAGTTACAATTTTAATCTGTTTGGAGGGCATGCCTTTCTGTCATGTTTTTATTCTCTCTAGGGATATCTCCTCCATTATTCAATTTCTTGTTCCCTTTTTTTCATAATTCAACCTCAATCCATTTCTGTTGCTCATTTTTAAGTAAAAGTAGATTTCTTTACCAAAGAAATAAAACAAGATGGGCCTATGCTTCTAAGATTTGCTTCTCCCCTTCTTCCTCTTGTGTCTTGACCTTCTCCTACTTTTGCCCCTATTTCTTTATCCTCCTTGATTTTATCCTATTGCCAGAAGTTTCTCCTCAATAAAGATTTGACCCAGAAGAGAGCTTTGGCCTTTTAGTTTTGAGTGTTCACAGGGTCCAGATTGTTTCAGCAACAACAGTCAGAACTTATTGTCAACCACTGCACTTACCTACAAATTGGGTCCTGCAGGACTCCCACCTATTTTCAGCCGCTGTTGTCAGATTAGTTTTTTGTGCTTTCCAATGAATATCTGATGGCAAATTTGGGATTCTCCTGGATGCTGTCACCACTAGCTTCTATTCCGGAATTTGTACAGATACCTAGTTGTCTAATTTTCTTATGTATATTGTCTATGTGTTTTTGGTTTTGCAATCTATTAGGTTGGTACAAAAGTAATTGCTGTTTTTGCCATTAAAAGTAAGTGTCAAAAACTGCAATTATTTTTACATCAACCTAATAATCGTTCTGTCTGTTTTTTTGAGAGAATGGGCCAGGATTCAGGGATTTTCATAAAATACACTGCCAAACCTACCGCCACCTTCCATTATTTTTCTTTTTAGGTATATGAATATGTCTTCTTTCCTCGAGCAGATTTCTTAATTTTTCTAGTTAAGCACAAAACAGTTATTAAAAATAATAACCATTATTGAGTGCTTGCTTCAATAACCATTGTTGAGTGCTGAATGGATTAAATGTTTCATAAAATGTTCGTTAATCTTTACAAGAACTTTTGGATATAGCTATTTTATACCCATTTAAAAATAAACTGAGGTTTAGAGAAGTAAAATAATTGGTTCCAGTTTGGAGTAAGCAGATTCTAAAATGGCACCAATAATTCTTGCCTCCTTGTATTCACAGCCTTGTGTAATCCCTTCCCCTCCAGTGTGGGCTGTACCCAGTTACTTACTTCTAATGAGTAGAGTATGGAAAGTGTATGTTATGTCACTTCTGAGATTAGTTCACAAAAAGAATGCAAGTTGGGTACTCACTCTCTCTTGCTTTCTTGCCAGCTCACTCTGATGGAAGCCAGCTGCTATGCTGTGTGTTGCTCTATGGAGAGACTCAGGTAGAAGGAATTGAAGGAGGCTTTCGGCCAACAGTCAGCAAGGTACTGAGGCTTTCAGTCCAAGAGCCTATAAGGAACTGAATCCTACCAGCAACCAAGCAAGTGGCTTGAAAATGGACCCTCTCTCAGCTGAGTCTTTGAATAAGATCACAGCTCTTATTCAATATGACACCTTGATTGTAGTCTTGTTAGAGATCTTGAGCCAGTGGCACCCAGCTAAGCTGTACCTGTATTCCTGACCCATAAAACCCCACAGATAATAAATGTTTGTCATTTTAAACTGTGAATTCTTGCAGGTAATTTGTTATGGGGAAAGAGATAACAAATACACAGATCATATAAATAAAGTGGCTCAGTTGGCCTGGAACTCAGGGGATCTGATTCCAGGGTCTGTATTCTTTATCTCTGTGCAATGAAGACTTTGATTAGCCTGCACTTTTATAAGCTACTATTTCCACCACGTTGAATTTGATAGTCTTTCAGTTCTTCTTTGATTCTATTTGTTCTTCTTTGAAAGAACCTTTTCTAACCAGAAACAACCTGTTGCTGAAATGAGGTATTATTTTCCAAGTAGGCAATTTCTTTGAGTCATGGAAATTTAGGGTTAGAAGGAACTTAAAAATTCACATAGTCCAAATCAACCTTTTCCCAATTTTTACAGATGGGAAATTAGACCCAACAAAATTAAGAGCCTGGTCTAAAGTTACACAATTAGTGAAAGAATGAAGATTAAAATTCAGGTCTTCTAATATCCAGTTTAGAACCGATTGACAGCTCTACATGGCCCTAGCTCACTACCACATTGTGGACCTGGAGTAGCTTCAATTTGATTCCTATTCATTTTAGCTGTACAAAAACATAAGAATCTTGAAGGGAACAGCTGACCAGGATATTTATTTCCTTTGCTCTGAGGCTCACCTGCCCTGAAAAGAAGGGTCAACAGCCTGTGTCCAGTTGAATGACTGTTCATCTTCCAGTCCCTTAACCACAGCTCAGGATCCAACATGGCAATGAAGTTTCATATTGAGAGCCAACTCCAAATGATTTGTTTTGGCTGTTTGGACTGCTTATTGAGAAGCATTTCCTGAGCTGGAGTGGAAGAGAGCTGTGATCAGCTAGTAATGTCAGCCATAAGAGGAGGTTGGGGGTGTGGTGGAGTGCATGCCATATATTTGCCCACTGGGATTTCTGTGGATTTTGGTCCGACTCCTTCCTTTGATGACCCACTCTCTTCCTGTTATGACCCATTCTTCCCACACAAGTTGCCCAGGAAGGCTCACTCTCAAGGCTCCCTTGGCCCTAATTTCTGGAATCTTTTTCTCATTTGATGTGAGATTTAGCACACAAGTGGCATTGGTGGAATTTACCTTGTAACTGAGTGTGGTGTTAGAAACAGAGCCAGTTCTCAAATCCTTGTGGGTTGGATGCTTGTATGGCTTTGTAGTCTTTGTTTCTGGCTAGACCCAAAAATCACATTGCCAGCAGACTGTCAGTACATCAAATAAATAAATAAATAAATAATGCAGGGAGGTACAACTTTGCACATGCTTACTCTGTTGTCTTTTACAAAAACATTCCATCTTTCTCAGTCCCAGGGGGTCATGAGAATAAATTTACATGTGAGTGTTAGTCCAGAAGTAAAAGACAGGGTAAAATGCTGCTGCTGTAGATCAAAAGCACAATTAACATGTACCTTGAAATCTGGACAACTGAAAGAGCTATGGGGGGGTGGGGGGCTCAAATATCTCCATGGGTGGTAATTTCAACATTGTAGTATTGTTGTCTTTTAACCCTCTTTTTGGCAGAGTTCTATGTTAGGCAATGTTAGAATTCAAATAAGTGACTGGAAAGTGTTCATTTCCTTCTTTTATTCTTCTGCCTGCTTTTCAACTTTCTTCTTCCATATTCATCCATTTTATTTTCTTTTAGATGACCCAAATATTCCTCTATTATTACTTTTCAGCATTGAAGTGCTGAAGACCTCAATGAAAATGTTTCACTTTTCACAATATTTTTAATCAGAAGCTTATTTTATTGAAATAGTAAGAGAATTCAAGAACCCCCTCTGTTATCTAAATTTTCTTGCCCTTGCCTTCTGGAAAACACAAAACCCCTCCTCTTTTAATGGGAAAGCAACACAAACCTGAACATGACTTGATGCTTTGAGCTGTGTAATTTGAATAAGTCACTGTCTCTATATGCCTCATTTGTACCCAGGGATAAATATATGTGTGTGTGTGTCTGTGTGTGTGTGTGTGTGTGTGTGTGTGTGTGACAGACAGAGAGAGAGAGAAAGAGAGAAAGAGAAAGAGAAAGAGAGTGGAATGAGATCAGCAGTTTGAGCCCCTTTGAAACCCTGAGATTATGGGAAGGAGAAGATGAGCTAGTGAGAATTCCCCATCCTTCTTCAACCAGAGCCACTGTTACTAGTTTTGTGTAACGGCTTTCTGCATTAGAGTTAATTTGAAAGACAGTTTCTATTTTTTAAATGTGAAAACTACGTGAATCCATGAGCCTTAGGTTCCTTCTACCTCTAACATTTTACACTACCTACATGTAATCAGATGGTTCCAGGTTTACGAATGTTGTCTCTTCCTGTGTGCATGTGTTCTCATTGTTCAGTTCCCACCTATGAGTGAGAACATGTGGTGTTTGGTTTTTTGTCCTTGTGATAGTTTGCTGAGAATGATGGTTTCCAGCTTCGGAGGGGGGAGGGATAGCATTAGGAGATATACCTAATGCTAAATGATGAGTTAATGGGTGCAGCACACCAACATGGCACATGTATACATATGTAACAAACCTTCACGTTGTGCACATGTACCCTAAAACTTAAAGTATAATATAAAAAAAAAGAATGTTGTCTCTTTCAGATGTCTCTGTGTTTGACTTAGAACCATTACCATACTGCAGGTCTTCAGGCAAGTTATCCTCTCAAGGCCTTAGCTCTTCTCTTCTCTAAAATGGAGACAAGAGTTGTACCAACTTCAAAAGATTGTGGTGACAACCAAATGAGACAACTCATAGTGTCCAGCAAATTATAAATGCTCAGTAAGTGTTAGTCCTTATTATTAGTCTGAAGAAATGCTTGAATTACACATGGTAGGTTCACCTTCCTTTATTAATTTGACTTATGCTTATTTCAAATAAGCCTTCTTCTAGAACAAACTCCAAGGTCATTAAAATAGAATATCTTATATTTTGCTTCTGTTTTAACTTGACATTGCAGGGAAAATTTATTTATATGATTTTAGAGTATTCACTTAAGAGTAAAGTGATATCCAAAACATACTGCATCATATCATGGCTATGTAGATTTCTTCCCAGAAACCTTCAGTTAAAAGTTAAAATGAAAAAAATAAAGTTGAGATGAAATGAATTGTTTCTGTGGGTGATACTGTGCTGAATATCAGCTTTTTCATAAATTTTAAGCTTATATTTGCAAGATTTTATTTTTTATTTCGGTCTTTGGGTCTCAGTTTCCCGATCTGTGTAAGTCAAGGAACTGGACCAATAACTGCAGATTCAACGTTGATGATTCAAAGTTTATTTCAAGTACTGTGGCACTCTAATCAATTTGTCTCATTTCTCTGGACCTGTTTACTTAGCTGCAAACTGAGGAGAAAATGTTCTTACCTATCAGCTGCTTTTAATTATAATATTGGAGTTTTAACTCTTCTTTTCCTGTTCTTCCTCAACTAAGTTAGTATATGGTTATCTAATCATCCCAATTATAATGTATCACAAATTAATTTCTAATGTTTCCAGGTGCACAGTTAAAAGCTTGTCAACATATACTAGGCAACTGCTGGGTGCTAGAGACACAGTAATGAAAAGCCATGCTTCCTGCCTTCAGGAACTGGGACATCAGACATAGAATGATGATAATGATAAGGATGAGGATGATGATAATGACAGAGATAATAAATGTAAAGATAATTGCTTTAATAGGAATAAGTACAATATTCACTGGAGACAAAAGATCTAGAGAACCTAAATCAGCCTGGTGGCTGGGTGTTTGTGAAGGCTAGGGGAAAAAATGAGAGAGAATATTCCAAGCTGGAGGAATACTGTGTGCAAAGAGCTCAAGATGAAAAGACAGGACTAGACCAGAAATTACAAATAGTTTGGAACTGTTGAAATATGAAATGCAAAAAGAGGAGGTGGGAGAGACAAATGGGCCTGAGAGCTTTGTAAGCCATTTAATTGATTAATATCTGGACATATGTTGAGATTTTTCAAACATAATTGTAATGTTAAGGTTTTAAATTCAAATAGAAAAGCAGTTTTAATATAAGCTTCTGAAAGTATTACAAAAATACAAAAATTCAAGATCAATATTTTTGTAGGTAGCCTTGGAAGAAACAAATTCAGGGAAATGAAGAGTGCTTGGGAAAGAACACCAAACCATCTTGCTTTGAAGTGTATCCTGAGGAGTTTTTCTGTCAGATGACCACTGATTAAGGTTAGACATCTAAGGTAGATGTCAGATAACTAATCTTGTTTTGCTAAAAATCTCTTTTGGGTTTTCATATTTTGTGAACTTGAAGATTTGCTGTGATCTTAGTTATTTAAATTTTCTCAGTGATTTTTTTGTTTGAGAGCCTTACTCCATTAAAGAAAATCTATACAATTGATTACTTGGCATCTGATCTGTTCCTAGACTTCGAATGGATTGAAAAGTATTATTTTCTTGAATGAAGTGGAAAGATAAAGACAAACAGATATATATATGTATGCTCTATAAAAACAAAAAGATTGGTAAATATTCTAATTCTGGTTTGATTTTTGTAGAAAGAGCACCTGACTCAGAAGTCATGAATTCAAGGTTCTGCTATTTATTTATTATTCATTAATGATAATGATATTTATCATTATTAATAATGGTGTAATAAGCATGTATTACTTCATTTGCATTTCCAAAATTAAAGTTATACACCCATCAAATTGTTCTAGAAGACTTGTATAAAAACCAGAAGTACTGTATGCCTTCCCCCCATTTCCCATTTCCTACAGCAATGACTTCCAAAACGTTTAGCTTGATATTACTTTTGCCACTGTGTCTCCAAATAATATGCTTACATTTCTTCCTCCTGATTTTTGAAACATTTTAGCTATTATCTATTGATGTTTCCTTAAAGCAGATGAGGTTCATTTTTTTTCACCACTTCCTCCCCTTACACAAAGCCTCCACTACACACAGGCACATTTCCCAATCCCTCAAATTCCTATTCCAGATATGTCATAATTTAGGTTAGATCAATATGCATGGTTTACATTATTACAACTAAACAAATGCTAGTTACGACTCAGCCACGTTGCATACTCTGATTATTCTGAATTTTTCTGCATGTTTTGTTATACTTGGAGTTAATAATTGTCTTCTTTTTGGTACCACAGTTTTCTATGAACTGATTACTAATTTAACCACAGAGTCTTCATGAGCTGTCTCAGTATCCTCTATGTTCTTCCATTCCAAGAATTCCATTTAATCTAGAAGAAATCTCAACCCTGAGTTTTCTGACCTACTCCAATTTGAGTTCTCTTTTCATTATCATCTTGAGGAACTCTTTTGCCTCTATCATGTGCTAGCTTGCTTGTTTTCTATATTCTACATTTTCTCCTTATCTTGATTTAATCTTGTTTCGGTGGCAAGCAATCTTCAGTAGCTACCTCAGACAGGGCATAAATAAATAAAACTTTTTTTTTTTTTTGAGAATGGATTTTAGCCTTATGTTTGGTTGATAGTTTTGCGGGGTATAAACTTCTACCATGGAAATTATTTTCCACTGGGCATTGCTGCATTGCCATTTGGCTCTTGATGCTGCATTCATTTGGCAGGAGTCCTGTGTTTTCTCTGTGCCTGCATTCAAGAAGCTGAGTACTGTTGGAGAAAGTCATAGGACAAATTATAAATTTATGATTATAATTATAATTTTATAAAGTTATGATTACCAACATCAACTGGCCTCTCAACAGTGCCAACTCATCCTTTTACAGATGCAAAGGCTATATAAAAACCTCTCAACTACCAAAAGCAAACCCTACTCTCTTCAAACCTATGACTGCTCTCTTTCCCTCCTACTCTTCATAGATAACCTTGACTTTTACTCTTTTGGGAAAATACAATCCATCATATGGGAATTCCTTCCTGTTGTAAAAATGCAACCTACAAACTGACCTATATTTGTACCTATCTTGTTTACTTTCTGATGAGCTATTTGTCCTCTTATTATCTCTTGTAATCTATTCTGTTCATGCTCTCAAAACCTGATAATATTAATTCTTCTCCTTTTTGTTGAATACTCAATTTCTGCCACCTGAATCTTTTCCAGTCACTTTTAAACATGCTCAAACCTGGCAAACCATTAAATCAACCATCTAACCAACCAAACTACCAAACAACCAATGCCCACTTTATCCTTCAGCTATTGCTCCTTCCTCCCTTTCTCAGCCAAACCTTTTCCAAAGAGTTGTTGTTACTTCTCATTTCATTAGCTATACCCAGTCCTCAACCACTCCATTATGGCTTTCTTGCCAAGGTCTCAGCAATCTCATAAAAAAAATGTTGACTTCCCTTAGTAAACAAAGATGATCACACTTTCCTTTTTGTAATAGTCTTTTTCTGAGTTTACATGACACAGCTTTGTTTCTTCATTCTTCTTTCACTGCTGCTTCTATATCCTTTCACATTACACTGTCCTCTACTTGACCACTGTCAGAATTTTAAAAAGTCACATTCCTTGGTTCCCTTTTCTTCTAAGTCTCTTCTTTTTCCCTAGACAGTCTGACCCAGGTAGATGGCTAGAATTGTTACCTATAAACAAGTAACACATTTTAATCTCTAGCCAAGATTCCTTTACTGAATTCCAGACCTATTCAATTGCTAACACAACATCTCTTCTTGGAGATCTCAACATCATTTCAAACTCAAAATGCCGAATTCAACTTCATGAACTTTCTTCCATTGTGATTTTCTTTCAATATTCCCAGTTTCAGTTAATGACACCTATCTCTCTCTTATTATGTTAGCCAGAACCCTGGAGATATTCTCAACATTTCTCTTCCCATCACACTATTTCTAATTCATCACCAATCTACTTGGTGATACTTACTGTTTAAATATTTCTCAAATCCTCTCATGTCTCTCATCTTCACCACCTATGTAAGCTAGCAGCATTTATTATCTAAACTTCCCATATAGTCTCTTAATTGGTCCAACTGCTTCTATCTATCCTTGTCCCTCAGTCTGTTCTCCACACTAGAGCCATAGTCAACTTTTGAAAATGCAAATCTAAGCACATCTTTCTTTACTTACAGCCTCTATATGATTTCCTTTTATTCTAAGGATAAAGACAAAAACTCCTTAATTTGACCTATGCTGCTTACATATGCCCCCTCTTACTTATAACTCCTGCCCCAGTGAGTCCTAATTCCTTGTTTCCTTGTACCAGCTACGCTGGCCTTCTTTTAGTTCATCCAATGGGGGAATGCATACTGCCCCCTTCTGCTACAGTGTCTTTACTTGTGCTAATCTTATTGAGAGCCAATATAACTTATTGGCTAAGCATAAAGCACCTGAAGCCTAATTTTCAAGAGACTGCCTGGGTTCAAATTCTTATTCTTCAACTTAGTCGTGCAACCTTGAGCAAGTCATTTTACCTTTTGTGCCTCAGTTTCCTCAACTCTAAAATGAGGATAATTGTAGTATCTACCTTCAGGGATGTTACTATGATCAGATGATCATTTGCAGGGATGGCTCTTCCTTCCCTTGCCTAGTTAACTTCTCTTCCAACGTCTGTTCTGAGTTAGAGTCACTGTTTCGAGAAGCCTTCACTGACCTCTCTGACTGAATCCAATTACTCTATCATAGGTTTTCTCATATCTTGAGTCTCTTGTTTGTAATGCTTACTGCGGGCATGATTTTATATTTGTGATTTATTTTTTGGTCAGTATTCCTTCTCATTAGAATTTCAGCTCCAGGAGGGAGTACAGGGATGTGTCTGTCTTTGCTTACTATTCCTTGGGCTTAACAGTGCCAAGTACATAGTAGGGTCCCAATAAATATTTGTTGATAGAAAAACACAGTAAATGTCCCTGATGGAAAACAGTGGGAATGCTCCTACATAAACCCTTTGGGTGCTGAAACTAGTGCCTTGGATAGAAATTAACAGTAATTAACAAGTTTATAAAAGGAACACATGGTGGTGAATCAGAGCAGTTAAGTGTGCAGATGCTCTCAGTTCTTCAGGAGGTGACTCTGGGCAGGAGGGGTCTCCGCTCAAAAAGGTAAGACTTTATATAAAGACCCACAGACCTGGGTCTGATTAATTGGCTGTATTATCTGCTGCTGGACAACCTTAGTCAAGTTACTTTATTTCCCACGGTCTCAGTTTCCTCATCTGTACCCATCACAGGGTCAATTCCTGTTAACTAGGCAGCTGAACCTGAAATAATTTTGATTTACCTTCAGCATATTCCATGATTATCCAGAGGCCTGTGCCAGTGATATGGCTCTTCCTACATGTGAGCCAGGCAGCCTCCTTCTGTGGCGCAGTGACAAACTGCTATCCCCATCATTCCTCCCCGCAAGTCTTTGTACTTTGGGTCATAAAATAATAGGCTATGAATCTGTGTGAACTGGGAAAACAGAGTTCCAAGGGCACACCCAGTACGAGCGAGTCTCCTCTTCCCCCGCGCTTCATATCCAAGCTTGACAGAGGCCGTGGGTGGGCTGGCCCTCGGCAGTGAGGCTCAGAGGTTACTGGCCGTCATCTGTCAGAGACTGACCTTGAAAACAGAGAAAAGCCCTCAGTCCCTGACAAGACAGCCCTGCCCACGTGCCAGCTGGATCCAGCTCGCCAACACAGCGATCTCCGAGCCCCTTTTCTACTTAAAAAAAAAAAAAAGTCTGCTGAGTCCATTCCTTGAGAATCACAGAGAAAACAATTCCTTCCTTACTCCATTCAAGAAAAAAAAAAATTCCCTTTCTCAGAATAAAAAGAGTAAGCCTCTTGTCCACCTCTCGTGCAGCGGGCCACTTTGCTGGGAGGAGACGAGGTGTCTGGGTTTGAGCCCTTCCTGGAGGTATGAACTACATGCGAGCCACGTCCATGGCGATGCCTGCGAAAGACGGGCATGATTTCTTCTCCAAGCCTTCTTTTTCCTCTTCCTCACGTTCGAGCTTGTGGAACCAACTGGGGCTGTGAGTTTCAGGGTGTAGGGTATGTATGTAAACAGCGGAATTGTGTATGCGCTTAGTGTGCGTTCAGGACTCTGCTGTGCTTGAACTTGGCGTGTTTGTGTTTGTGTGTTTGGAGGATTATGAGAGCATGTAGGGGGAAGAGATTTGTATGTGTAAGTGCAGAAAAGTAGTAGTGTGTGTGATGTGTGTGTGTAGACAGGAATTACGTGGATACTCCATGTGCGTTCAGGAGTGTGTGTGTTTGAGGAGCTATGAAAGTGCATGTATGGAAAGGATTTATACGTGTAAGTGCAGAAAGTGGCAGTGTGTACGTGGTGTGTGTGTGCGCGCGCGAGTGTGTGAGCGCCAGGGGCCGCCCGCCCGCCGCGGCTCCCCGTGGGCTGGCCGGGCCAATGAGCGCGCGGCTGTAGGGGCGGCGGGCGGGGAGGGGGCGCCGAGCCCTGCGGATGGAGGCGCGGGCAGCGCGGCGCGCTCATTCCGCGCGGGCGTTGCTGGCGGGGGGCGGCGCAGCCACTGGACCCGGACCGGGGCCGCGACCCGGGGTGGCGGGTGGCGTGGGCGGCGCCCGGGGCTGGGATGCGCCGGGGGCTCAGTGGCGGCGGCGGCGTTGGCGGTGGCGTCGGCGGCTGCAGGGGGACGAGCTAGCGCCGCGGCGCTGGGAGCCAGTTGAGCCCGGCCGGCGAGCGGAGGCGGCAGCGCAGGCAGAGCGGCGGCGGCAGCGGGAGCCCGAGCGCTGCGCGCCCACCATGGCCGCCCAGGGAGAGCCCGGCTACCTGGCGGCGCAGTCGGACCCCGGCTCCAACAGCGAGCGCAGCACCGACTCCCCAGTGCCCGGCTCCGAGGACGACTTGGTCGCCGGGGCGACCCTGCACAGCCCGGAGTGGAGCGAGGAGCGCTTCCGCGTGGACAGGAAGAAACTTGAGGCCATGTTACAAGGTAGGCATCCCTCGTGTTCTCGGACTCTCCGACTGAGCCTCTAACTCCTTTTCGGACATCCCCACCGCGCGCTCCGGCGCCCGCTACTCCAGCCTACGGCCGGCCGGTTTAGCTCCAGGCCCGCTCCCCCGCGGAGCCGGAGGACACCCAGGGACTGGAGACTTCGCGGGACTCCCCACCCTTCCACGCCTCTCAGATTTCCAGGCGCTGGGGGCCCTGTGCGAACTTGACTGGCTTCAGAAAAGCCGAAGGCCGAGTTTGTACTGGCGCGCCCAAGTTGCGTTCTGGACTTTGGAGATGCCAACTTTAGCCCGGACACCTGGGCTGTGCCATCCGGACCACTCGGGCCGCACAGAGTATGCGTGACCCTCCCCATTCCCTGGCAGCCTCGAGTTCTGTCTCTCTCCGTCTGTTTCACTCTCTCCCCTTGTCAGTATCCACTTCCTCCAGCTGAGGGGCCTTGTCTCACTATTGGGAAACGCTCTGCAGATGTCAAGGCTTAAGACAGGAGCTCCCGCCCCCACCCCTGTGGTCAAGGAGGGCCAGGATCGGGGTGAGCAGCCAAAGCGAGGGGGGAGTGTGGAGGCAGTGCTGCTGTGTTTGAGGACAGTGTTCATCTCTTGACAGGCTTATAAAACACATCTTGAGTTACATTCAGTCCATAAAAATCTTCCTATGCTATGGGTGTCTGACTTTGTCTTTCACAACTTAGAATTATTTTTAACTCTTTAATTTCTTTGGGACTTTCCCAGGTAGAAAATCTTCAACCATACTGGACCGAAAACAGATTCTGATTTATAATACGAGTGTTGGAGTGAACGTCAAAACGTCCAAGGTCATTTTGACCTTTCTTAAAACAGATAATTACTAGCCTACCTGTAGCCACCGATGTGGCTCATTTCCCACATCCAAAGAGAGAAATGAGTTAGTTTGAATGACTGTTATTCTTAAAATACGTGTACGGGACCAGGCGTTAGTCTCACTTAGGGCGCTGGTGAAGATTCATTCAGTAGCTAGTGTTCTTTTATCATGGAGGAGTTTGGAGTTTTTCAAACGTTATTTGTGGCTTTATGCATAACTTACTTTGACTTTATCAGTCAATGCATCGCAGTATGGGAATGATTTAGCCCTCTGTGGAAATGCAGTGGCTTTTTAGAACAATTAAGCAGGTTATTTTAAGAGAGAACAACATGTTTTCCAAAACAATAACTTGGTGGAAACAAATAGCAAGAGTGTTTGGCAGACGTTTTTTGGATGTGCTACAGGCTTTCCTCCCTTGTTGCTTATTTTTATTGACAAACATCCCTAATGTGTGTCATGTCTTTCTCTGTCTCTCCCCTTCCCTCTCTTTTTTTCTCAAATTATGTAACTTTTGAGGACAGTTACTTCTGTGATAAACTCTTCAAGTAAGACCGTTATAAGATAGATTTGGAAATTAAAGCCCCAGTTGCATTTCAGTAACTCATTTCAGTTATTTCGTCTGTTCTGTGGTTCTTTTTGCCTAGTTTATGATTATAAAACAAAATATTAAATTTATGTCAGGCATATATTGTGAGATCGTTTGGAATGAACTGATAGTAGCACATACTCATCCTTTTCAACCAGCTTTCAGTTTTCTACATTAGTTTGGAGTGATATGAAAGAATGATCTGTTTCACCTGCGCACAAACAAGTAAGGACAGTGATGTTAGCTTCTGGGAAGTTCAAGTGTATAACCTGAGCTTTAGAAGTGAATTTCCTTTTTTGATTTAATTCATTTTCACTTCGAATAAAATGAAATTTTGAGGAGACTTTTTGAAAATTTGAAGGCTCTTTTGTATTAATAGATGTGATACTACGATCTGAGACGGTTTGAAATTGCTTTGCAGTAATAGTTTCTTTTACAGAAAGTCTTAACATCTCTTGAACAACCGATATACAGTCATGCAGTCCATGCTTAAGGACTACGACTGGGATACCTTGTTAGAAATGTGTCCTTAGGCATTTTCATTGTGCAAACATCATGGAGTGTAGTTACACAAACCTAGGTTGTGTAGCCTGCTACACCTACTACCTAAGCTATATGGTATAGTCTATTGCTCCTAGGCTACAAATAATGTTACTAGGCTACAAGGCGTGTTACTATACCCAATACTGTAGACAGTTGTGGCACAGTGGTATTTGTGTATCTAAATATATCTAAACATTGGAAAGGTAATGTGTTATGTTACTATGGCTATGACATCACTAGGCGATAGGAATTTTTCAGCTTCTTTATAATCTTACGGGACCATTGTAGTGTATGTGGTTAGTTGTTGACCAAAACACAAGTGTGAGCACTGGGATCACTAATACCTGGGTTCAAAACTCTGTAGGATCTCAGGAAAGTTGCTAGGCCTCTCTTTGCCTTCAGTTTGCCCATCTGTAAAATGGAGCTGATACTAGGACCTTTTAGGTTTTGGGAGAATCGAAAGAGATAATGCCTAACAAGCTAACATTTGCCCACAGTGTTTGGTCAATGATAAGAACTTAATGAATATCTGTTGTTATTATTAATAATAAATATTGCATCATGGATTAAAAGGATTTCCAGTGCCTACCACAATGTATGAAATATAGTATATACTTAATAAATAGTTGGGGAACAAAATAATTTTGCAGGTTCATAATTGCAGAAGTAAAATAGAAACTAAAGAAGTAAGTCTATCAAGTCAATAAGCATTCTAATATTGTTAGATATTCTTGGGTGGAAAGCTTTTTATTTGAAAAGTGCCAAGTAAGTAAAGTCTGTATTTGAGTTTTCAATTATTGTGAATTTGGGTGTGCTATTTTTCTATTTACAATTGACTTAAAATAGGTACAGGTTTCCAATTTAAATCAGGATAAATAAGATTATCTGCCTTTAAGTATTCAGAGTGCAAATTGGTGATTATAATGCTTGGAATTTGTTTCCAGAGAGACTGTCCTGGGGGCAAGTTAATCTTTAATGAGTTGTATTTTTATTAGTAGATAAATTCTTCTACGCAATGGACCAAAAATTCAGTGAGGTTAATATATGGGCAATAGGGTAGTAGTCAAATAAATGAAATACCATTCTTAGATGATCATTAAAACTTAAAAGAATTGTTGCAGATAAAAACCACCAGGCCAACAATGTAGGGAAATATCACTCTTTTTTCATGGTTTTTTACTGGCAGGTTGGGGTCTAATTACTACTTCGAAACAACCATGCAGAGTATCTGATGTTTTTGCTGTAAGTGAAGATTATCAGTTTTATTAGTTTACAGTTTTATAAATGGAAATTTATTTTCAAGTTTAGGTTTTTGATGGGTGTGGTAAGTCTTGGAATGAATACCATAGACAGCATTTTTAATGATAAAGAAAATCCTTATATAATTTCTTTATTTAATACTGATCTTCAAATGTAAATTTCATGCATCATGTGAAATAATAGTATTGATTTATGTAAGCCAATTAAATTTTAGTTAAATTAACTCAAAGTTATAAGTTACATATCATAACTCACATTAACTCAACTGAGTTATCAGGGAGGAAAGGGAGGAGAGTGTTATAGCAGGAAGTCTGGGAGAAAGTAAGAAATAATTGAGTCAAGAGAATCAGAGATACAGTCTTGGTGTTTGCCAGAGTACTGAGGCAATCACAGGATTCCTATATTAATACTTTTCTTTTTTAAAGTATTTTTCTTTGTAAAAACATATATGTGTACTATAAAATTAAAAATTCCCATATATAACACAGCACTTCAAATTATTATTTAAAAAAAATTTCCCATATAAAATTCAGAAGCATAGGTATTTTCAAAGTTTGGGAATCCCTTCTTTCAGTAGAGAAAATGGTAAGTGTTAAAAAGTGGGACCTGTGGTGGGGAGGAATGGCCTATTTTCATGAAAGGAGATTGACATCTGGTGGGATTTTATGATACTGCTGCCAAAGACTTTAAGAACCATGTTGCATTTTTGCAGTGATAGGCAGAACTGGGGTCATTTGCTACTGCTCGGTTGAGTAGCAGAGTTAGCCACTGAAACAGAGGTTGTTGTACATCATTGATTAACAGTAGGAGCAGCAACTATGTTATCTCTTTAATTCAGCAAACTTTAGTGGATTTTTAAAATGATTTGATGAACAGATAATAATTTAGACTTTTTTCATGAGAGCGGGAAGAAATATGAAGCCAAAAATGTGTGAAAATGGGGGAGTACTGAAAGTGAAGATAAAGAGTAAAGCTTAAATAAACAGAGTTTTCTAGCTAATGCTTGATCAAGGCTAATAAACAGCAAAAACAAATCAAATACATTTATGAGCTTAGAGATTAATAGCACAGGGCTGTGGGCCAAATCTAGATTTGAATCTTGATGCTACATTTTAATAGGGAGCTTGGGAGAATCCATCACTTGGCGACCTCATTTCTCAAATGGGGCAGTTAATGGTAGTACTTACCTCCTGAGGTAGTTTTGAAAATGAAGAGGAAAAAGGTGTATGTAAGTCATCCCAGTGCTGGCAACATAGGAAGTGCTGAATAAGCTAATAACAATATTCACAGTAAATCATTATGTATAAAATGCACTTTCTTATATTGATCATGAAAATCAAGTATATTGGAAACTTTAGTTTGGTCTTAAATTATCTTACGATTAATGAACATGCACAGCTATCTAAATATTATTATTGGCCTCCCTGGTAGCTTGCCATGTGTTGAGTATACTTGTAAAGGTGGGTGGGTAAATACTAAGTAAAGCTCCATTAGACATGAGTGTGGAGTTCTAGATTTTGCTCAGGACGAGAGGGCTTTTCACCCTTTTTAGTTGTAAATTGTTCTTGCTTTGAGTATTTTTCATTATTTGACTGGTCCTGAGCCATTCATTTCTAGTATGGTTTACTAAAGACTAGCAGCGAAATCAGTTAATCTCTCTTCTGGTTGTAAGTTGCTCTGAATTTGAGTCATTCATTGGTGTGTAGAAAGAAGGTTTTTTGAAGAAAATACTCTGCCTGGGTTAACATGTTTCATTTGCTCACCTGTAAAATGGGGATAATAATAGTCCTACTTTACGGTGATATTGTGAATGCTGAGTGTGAGAATGTATGTAATATGCTTAGTTCAGTGCCAGGTTGATGGTGCTTAATAAACATCAGTTCAGATGCAGCAGTACTGTCTCACATGATGGATAAAGATTTCAAAACACTAGAAAGCAAATACTTGCCAAGTCTTTTTTTCTTTTTTCTTCTAATTGCATGTGAATCCTTTGTGTATGTGTGTGTTGGGGGGGGGGGGGTGTGTTTGATGTGTTTTAGTGAAAGTCTTCCTCAAAAAATTAGAAAAGTTTGTTATGACAATTTATTTGATCCAGAGAGCATAGTTGCAATTAAAATTGCTTTATAGATTAAGTGAAAAAACACATCAGAGGTTGTATAGCTTGGCAGTAAAGAGCCCAGGAGCTGCTTTCAGACTAACTTGGATTGAGGAGGTCCTCACTTTGCTTCTCGTAGAGTTCCGTGAGGATGCACTGAGAGGGGCAGTAAAACCTCACGCTCACGGGCATGGAGCAAGCACTCTCAGTCACTTATCTCTATGAAGACTTGGAGGGTTTTGGTGAAGTTGATCATTGATAAATACATAGCTAGAGAGGTTTGTTATACCAATGACTTTTACAGGCAAGAATGTATTTGGCTGCGACTAACAGGAAACCTGACACAGAGTGGCTTAAACAAGCCAGGGGTTTGTCCTTCTCACCTAATGAGAAGTCTGGGGCTAAGCAGTCCAGGCTCCAAGAGCTGCTCAAGGGCATCAGGAGCCCCGTGTCTTCCCTCTTCCCTGCCTCCACCATCTTCAGCCTGTGGCTTTTTGCCTTATTTTTGCACTGTGGCTGTGGCTGTGTTTTGAGGTGTGTCTGGTTTATGCAGGAAAAAGGCGGAAGAAGAAAAATTATTTTCTCTTAGAGATTTTGCATTTTTATGTGACAAAGAATTCTCTCTCCTGGAACTTCTGTCTGTACTTCTTTGGCCACCTTTTGCTGCAAAAGACTCTGGGAATGTATCTTCTTTTTCCAGCCTCACTAGTGGAAGTAGGCAAAGAAGAAGGGGGTCAGAATGGATGCTGAATGTTTTACCCCATATTTTCCTCACAGTGGGCAAAGTGGAGGAGCATTAGGACTCAAAATTGCAAATTGTGACTGAAGTCAAAGCTTACCTGTATTGGAGACTTTGGACTGTGCTGATAATCTGTAGGAACTTATGTTATTCAGTAACATTATATATCAGTAGAATTTCTTTCTTTCCTTTTTTTAAATTATAATTTTTTTTCATCAGGCAGCCCCTGAACCAGAATAGGTTCTGAGAGGCTCCCTAGAATTTCTTTCTTGGCATAGTCCAGAAGTAAACCTAAATACCAAAGAGGAAACCAACTCTGATCATCTAAAGCTCTTCTCATCTTGTTACTCCTTTTATGAACAGAATCTAGGACCACTGAGTACTGGAACTATCTCTAAAAATTCTCCATTGTTTTCTCCATGTCAAATGTTTTTTTTTCCATAGAAAATTACATGGTACAATAAAAATGCTTATTTCACTTTTTATTATCTTAAGATATCTTTTCTGTCCTCCCTCCTCCCACTGTCCACACATGTCAGATTTGGTTTAGAATTGACAGGTTCAGTGTAGTTCATGCCTCGCCCTTTTGGCTTTTCATAGATTGGTCACTTAGGTATAATCTGGCCAACAAAGCCAGAATTTGTTCAGAACCGTTTTGGAGACAGTTTGATAGAATTATCATCCCATGTTTTGTCGTCTGAAATTGTCCAAAATAGTGAGCTAATAAAATAGACCAGTTGACTCATTCTTAGTTCGTTTTAAGATACTGTTCTTACTTAAAAAATACATAGGGTAATAGTGACCACATATATTCCTTTATATGAAATATTTAATAAACTACCAGGAATGAGGCGCAATTTTATTGCTAATTTATAGTGGTTTTGGTGTGTGGGGATGATCTTGGCAAGAAAATCTTGTTATGCTGCAAAAGCCACCAAATTCAATGTCTAATCCTTATCGTACTACCATCTAGGGCAGTCTCCAGAGAGCACAAAACCATCATAGAAGCATTGTGGGTGCTATACATTTGTAAATCCTTTTCCTACCTATCAGGCTACTAATAGCTGTGGATGATGAAAATGTTTGTATTTGTAACAAGTATTAAATCTTGTTCCCATTTATGATGCTGGCATATAAAAAGATAACACTTTCTAGGTATCAGGTGGTTTCCCTGTTATAGTGAGAATGATAAACCACATATTAGTCTGCATATTGAGTTGATCTGGAGCTTAACTGTATCTCTTATATAGAAAGGTGATTAAACATAGGATTTGAAAATTAGCCATTGCTGTTTTTTCCCCCTCGATTTTAAAAGTAATACAAACCTATATAGAATACTTGAAAGTATAAACATAAGTAAAAAAGAAAAACCAAGTCATCCCTAACTCCAGAATCCAGCAATAACCACTGATGATATTTTAGGAATTTTTTTCCTGGTCTTTTGAAAATATGCCCACACATAATTTATTTTTGCCATGCATTTTGAGTTTGTACCATATGTCAGGTGCAGTGTTGAGCTTTGGGGATGCAGATGAAACCAAAAGAGTTACTGGCCCTACCCTTCTGTGACTTAAATTCTACACTGGGATCATACCTCCTATCTTTTTCACTTAGCGTTGAATCATAAGTATTTTCTGTTTCATTAAAGGTTCTTGAAGAACATGGTTTCCGGTGTCTGTATAATTCTTTTGTTGTAGTATACTTTGTTTAAACACTACAACATTTTAGAATATTTTTAGGTGGCTAGACAGTGGAATGAGTCCAGTGTTTCTACTCAAACTGCCCGGGATTCAGATCCTGATTATTAGCCATGTGGCCTGGGACAAATTAATAACTCATTTGGCTTCTCATCTCTAAAATGGAGATAAAAAGTATCTATCTTCTAGGTTGTGAGGATTAGAAATACTGTATCCACAAGTGCCAGGTGCGGAGCAGGTACTCAAGATATGGCAGATGATAAATATTTAGCCCGCTGTCCCAACCACTTCTGCCTAAAAGCCTTTTATGCATTTTTTATTATTCTCATAGGAAAAACCTTATTAGTGAAATTTTGGGGAGCAAAGGACATGGAAATTTTAAGGTTCCTGATCAATTTTGCAAAATTATTTTCTGGGAAGTTTTGCAGGTTAGGCAGAAGAGACAACAAATCTGCAGGGTAATCTGCTCCTTATACCTGCGGTTCCCACAGTCCATTATTAGAAAGCAATTGAATTACCAATATAAAGTTAGATCTCCGTTTTGCCTTTTTTTGCTGAAAAATTGAAGTGAATTTTATCTTACCTGCTTAGCATGTTTGTGGATCAGTATTTTTTAAAAGTTGTGGGCATGAAAATCAGCCAGGGAATGTGGTGTTTTTTTTTTTTTTTTTTTTTTTTTTTTTTTTTTTTTTGAGGGAGTACACTTTGGCCTTCCCTCTCAGATTCCAACTTTGTAGGTTTGAGAGTGGTGTTGGCAGGATTGGCATTTTGGAAAGAATCTTTTGTGAGTCTAATGGAGATGGTCCCAGGATCACACTTTGAGAAACATTGCAAGGTGGTTAGAGGATGGTGAAATCATTGAAGTTAAGAATCAGACTCTTTTCTTTCTTTGATTTCCTTTACCCTTGAAGCTAGTACTTTTTCCACATTATTAAACCATCTTGAAGCATTTTAGTCTGGGAACATAATTTATAACTGGTATGTTGTTTATAGTGGCTTGTTGTAAGGGACTTGGGGGAGGAGCACAAATCTATATATTCTTGCGGAGGGCAATATTGTCATATTGCACAGTAGGCTCACAATGCATTTGGTTTTCCTGCAGACTCCCATTAAGTTAGGCATAATAGATACCTATGTAATATATTATGAAATAATTTAAAAACACACTTTTCATTGTAGAAATTTTTAAAGCAATACACTCCTTAGCAAATGTAAAAGAACAGAAATTATAACAAACTGTCTCTCAGACCACAGTGCAATCAAACTAGAACTCAGGATTAAGAAACTCCCTCAAAACCGCTCAACTACTTGGAAACTGAACAACCTGCTCCTGAATGACTACTGGGTACATAATGAAATGAAGGCAGAAATAAACATGTTCTTTGAAACCAACGACAACAAAGACACAACATACCAGAATCTCTGGGATACATTCAAAGCAGTGTGTAGAGGGAAATTTATAGGACTAAATGCCCACAAGAGAAAGCAGGAAAGATCTAAAATTGATACCCTAACATCACAATTAAAAGAACTAGAGAAACGAGCAAACACATTCAAAAGCTAGCAGAAGGCAAGAAATAGCTAAGATCAGAGGAGAACTGAAGGAAATAGAGACACAAAAAACCCTTCAAAAAATCAGTGAATCCAGGAGCTGGTTTTTTGAAAAGACCAACAAAATGGATAGACCGTTAGCAAGACTAATAAAGAAGAAAAGAGAGAAGAATCAAATGGACACAATAAAAAATGATAAAGGGGATATCACCATCGATCCCACAGAACTACAGACTACCATCAGAGAATACTATAAACACCTCTATGCAAATAAACTAGAAAATCTAGAAGAAATGGATTAATTCCTCGACATATACACCCTCCCAAGACTAAACCAGGAAGAAGTTGAATCTCTGAATAGACCAATAACAGGCTCTGAAATTGAGGCAATAATTAATAGCTTACCAACCAAAAAAAGTCCAGAACCAGATAGATTCACAGCTGAATTCTACCAGAGGTACAAGGAGGAGCTGGTACCATTCCTTCTGAAACTATTCCAATCAATAGAAAAAGAGGGAATCCTCCCTAACTCATTTTATGAGGCCAGCATCATCCTGATACCAAAGCCTGGCAGAGCACAACAAAAAAAGGGAATTTTAGACCAATATCCCTGATGAACATCGATGCAAAAATCCTCAATAAAATACTGACAAACCGAATCCAGCAGCACATCAAAAAGCTTATCCACCACGATCAAGTTGGCTTCATCCCTGGGATTCAAGGCTGGTTTAACATACGCAAATCAATAAACGTAATCCAACGTATAAACAGAACCAACGACAAAAACCATATGATTATCTCAATAGATGCAGAAAAGGCCTTTGACAAAATTCAACAAAGCTTCATGCTAAAAACTCTCAATAAATTAGGTATTGATGGGACGTATCTCAAAATAATAAGAGCTATCTATGACAAACCCACAGCCAGTATCATATTGAATGGGCAAAAACTGGAAGCATTCCCTTTGAAAACTGGCACAAGACAGGGATGCCCTCTCTCACCACTCCTATTCAACATAGTGTTGGAAGTTCTGGCCAGGGCAATCAGGCAGGAGAAAGAAAGAAAGGGTATTCAATTAGGAAAAGAGGAAGTCAAATTGACCCTGTTTGCAGATGACATGATTGTATATCTAGAAAACCCCATCGTCTCAGCCCAAAATCTCCTTAAGCTGATAGACAACTTCAGCAAAGTCTTAGGATACAAAATGAATGTGCAAAAATCACAAGCATTCTTATACACCAATAACAGACAAACAGCCACATCATGAGTGAACTCCCATTCACAATTGCTTCAAAGAGAATGAAATACCTAGGAATCCAACGTACAAGGGATGTGAAGGACCTCTTCAAGGAGAACTACAAACCACTGCTCAATGAAATAAAAGAGGATACAAACAAATGGAAGAACATTCCATGCTCATGGGTAGGAAGACTCAATATTGTGAAAATGGCCATACTGCCCAAGGTAATTTATAGATTCAATGCCATCCCCATCAAGCTACCAATGACTTTCTTCACAGAATTGGAAAAAACTACTTTAAAGTTCATATGGAACCAAAAAAAGCCCGCATTGCCAAGTCAATCCTAAGCCAAAAGAACAAAGCTGGAGGCACCACGCTACCTGACTTCAAACTATACTACAAGGCTACAGTAACCAAAACAGCATGGTACTGATACCAAAACAGAGATATAGATCAATGGAACAGAACAGAGCCCTCAGAAATAATGCCGCATATCTACAACCATCTGATCTTTGACAAACCTGAGAAAAACAAGCAATGGGGAAAGGATTCCCTATTTAATAAATGGTGCTGGGAAAACTGGCTAGCCATATGTAGAAAGCTGAAACTGGATCCCTTCCTTACACCTTAATTCAAGATTGATCAAAAATTAATTCAAGATTGATTAAAGACTTAAATATTAGACCTAAAACCATAAAAACCCTAGAAGAAAACCTAGGCATTACCATTCAGGACATATGCATGGGCAAGGACTTCATGTCTAAAACACCAAAAGCAATGGCAACAAAAGCCAAAATTGACAAATGGGATCTAATTAAACTAAAGAGCTTCTGCACAGCAAAAGAAACTACCATCAGAGTGAACAGGCAACCTACAGAATGGGAAAAAATTTTTGCAATCTACTCATCTCCCAAAGGGCTAATATCCAGAACCTACAATGAACTCCAACAAATTTACAAGAAAAAATCAAACAACCCCATCAACAAGTGGGCGAAGGATATGAACAAACACTTCTCAAAAGAAGACACTTTTGCAGCCAACAGACACATGAAAAAATGCTCATCATCACTGGCCATCAGAGAAATGCAAATCAAAACCACAATGAGATACCATCTCACAGCAGTTAGAATGGCAGTCATTAAAAAGTCAGGAAACAACAGGTGCTGGAGAGGATGTGGAGAAATAGGAACACTTTTACACTGTTGGTGGTACTGTAAGCTAGTTCAACCATTGTGGAAGTCAGTGTGGCAATTCCTCAGGGATCTAGAACTAGAAATACCATTTGACCCAGCAATCCCATTACTGGGTATATACCCAAAGGATTATAAATCATGCTGCTATAAAGATAACATGCACATGTATGTTTATTGTGGCACTATTCACAATAGCAAAGACTTGGAACCAACCCAAATGTCCATCAATGATAGACTGAATTAAGAAAATGTGGCACATATACACCATGGAATACTATGCAGCCATAAAAAAGGATGAGTTCATCTCCTTGGTAGGGCATGGATGAAGCGGGAAACCATCATTCTCAGCAAACTATCGCAAGGACAGAAAACCAAACACCGCATGTTCTCACTCATAGGTGGGAATTGAACAATGAGAACACGTGGACACAGGAAGGGGAATATCACACACTGGGGCCTGTTGTGGGGTGGGGGGAGGGGGGAGGGATAGCATTAGGACATATACCTAATGTTAAATAATGAGTTAATGGGTGCAGCACACCAACATGGCACATGTATACATATGTAACTAACCTGCACGTTGTGTACATGTACCCTAAAACTTTAATAATAAAAAAAATTTTTTAAAGCAATACAAGGAAGCTTTTTAAAAAGAAAAATAATCGTCAGTAATCTCACCATCCTAACAACCATTTTCATTTTTCTGCCTTGAATTAGAGTTTATGTAGTTGCTGGTATAGTATTTACTGCTTTGTATTCAGTATTTTAATCTATTAAATGTTTTCTGTATTTCTAAGCAGTTTTCAGAATTCTGTGGTTGAATAATAGTACATTTGGTTGAAAAAAATTTTTTATAGTTATGAACTACCTAATAACGAATGTGATTACATGGCTTTTTTTTCTTCGTGACTGTATTCTGAGGAAGAAATTTGAGGAATCTGAGTACTGAAGAATGATGGTAGTTGCAAAAGCAGCAGCCAATTTGTATTATCTCTTACTTTGTGTGGGACATTGTCTTTGGTGATTTATGCCTGTGCGGTCATCTCAGCTTCTCAGCAACAACTCATGACATACAGATGCCCATTGGGATCTGTACTTTACAGAGAAAAAAAAAAGCTGTAAACACTTTAAATTTGGAGCCCTGATTTCTTTTTGGAATTCCAAGTAGACCTAGACACTAGTTTTCCAATTAGGGTTGTTGTAAGGTCTAGACTTTTGTATGTTGTGGAGATGTATCATAGCTGAGTTTAGGATGACAAACCACCCTCCCGAATAGGTTACATTGTTTCTTTCTTTTTTTCTTAATTATACTTTAACTTCTAGGGTACATGTGAACAACCTGCAGGTTTGTTACATATGTATACATGTGTCATGTTGGTGTGCTGCACCCATTAACTCATCACATGTGTCATATTGGTGTGCTGCACCCATTAACTCATCATTTACATTAGGTGTATCTCCTAATGCTATCCCTCCCTGCTCCCCCCACCCCACGACAGGACCCAGTGTGTGATGTTCCCCACCCTGTGTCCAAGTGTTCTCATTGTTCAATTCCCACCTAAGAGTGAGAACATGCGGTGTTTGGTTTTCTGTCCTTGCGATAGTTTGCTGAGAATGATGGTTTCCCGCTTCATCCATGCCCTACCAAGGACATGAACTCATCCTTTTTTATGGCTGCATAGTATTCCATGGTGTATATGTGCCACATTTTCTTAATTCAGTCTATCATTGATGGACATTTGGGTTGGTTCCAAGTCTTTGCTATTGTGAATAGTGCCACAATAAACATACATGTGCATGTATCTTTATAGCAGCATGATTTATAATCCTTTGGGTATATACCCAGTAATGGGATTGCTGGGTCAAATGGTATTTCTAGTTCTAGATCCTTGAGGAATCACCACACTGTCTTCCACAATGGTTGAACTAGTTTACAGTACCACCAACGGTTTAAAAGTGTTCCTATTTCTCCACATCCTCCCCAGCACCTGTTGTTTCCTGACTTTTTAATGATTGCCATTCTAACTGGTGTGAGATGGTATCTCATTGTGGTTTTGATTTGCATTTCTCTGATGGCCAGTGATGATGAACATTTTTTCATGTGTTTTTTGGCTGCATAAATGTCTTTTGAGAAGTGTCTGTTCATATGCTTGGCCCACTTTTTGATGGGGTTGATTTTTTCCTGTAAATTTGTTTAAGTTCTTTGTAGATTCTGGATATTAGCCCTTTGTCAGATGGGTAGATTGTAAAAATTTTCTCCTATTCTGTACGTTGCCTGTTCACTCTGATGGTAGTTTCTTTTGCTGTGCAGAAGCTCTTTAGTTTAATTAGATCCCATTTGTCAAATTTGGCTTTTGTTGCCATTGCTTTTTGTGTTTTTAGTCGTGAAGTCCTTGCCCATGCCTGTGTCCTGAATAGTATTGTCTAGGTTTTCTTCTAGGCTTTTTATGGTTTTAGGTCTAACATTTAAGTCTTTAATCCATCTTGAGTTAGTTTTTGTATAAGGTGTAAGGAAGGGATCCGGTTTCAGCTTTCTACATACGGCTAGCCAGTTTTCCCAGCACCATTTATTAAATAGGGAATCCTTTCCCCATTTCTTGTTTTTGCCAGGTTTGTCATAGACCAGATGGTTGTAGATATAGACCAATGGAACAGAACAGAGCCTTCAGAAATAATACCACACATCTACATTGCTTCTTGAGTGCCCTGCTGAAATGCAGAGGAGCTTGGTGTCAGGCTCGGGTGGGTTAGAATTCTCAGTGAGAATGCAGGTGTTGCAAAGCTCTGCCTTCTACTAGCTTTGGTTATGCTTTCTCAGTTTCTCCCTTTACAAAACAGAATAATAATATGTCTCATGTAGGGTTATGATAACATTTGTAAGGCTGGCACACAATTGGTGCCCTGTAAATAGTTGGTATTTTTCAAATTCATATTCTGTTCCTCTGTGGCATCTGGCCCAGAGCTGTGAAAATATCTGGACTGTGTTTATAGAATAAATGACCCATGATGGATCTGGATTAAAAAGTTTGTTCATTTTGGGCTAGCGGACCTGGCATTGACCTCATGGAATGGAGCTTTAAAGCAAAGTCACGTGCTTGGCCTTAGGAAGTGCCAAACAGTTCTGCCTTACCCAAGTAAGGCAGAGCAGTTCTCCATATGCAAGATGATCTGTCTTCACCCTCAATCTAGGCCGTATGTAGAATGTTTTACTGTTAGTGATAGAACATTAGTGTGGAGTTTTGAATGAGGATATGCAAAACTTAATTCAAGCGAGGTTAATGTTAATTATATTTGTATCTAATCTGGATTAGTTTTATAAATCGAAATTTGTCAAGGTTAATATAATTTCAGTTTATTTCATTGCCGACACTGAATTATCTTGTTCTTAGAATAATATATCTCTAGATACTTGTTTAAATGTGATTTCAAATCTTCTCAGATAAGAGATAATCCATTCTCAAAATTAAGAATAACCTTTTATGTTAGCTTGCTCACTGCACTAAAATTATCATTGAGTTATTTTGAGTTAGAGGGAAATAAACCACTTCTCCCCACAAAATGTTGATTAGGAATTAGGTGCCCTGAGTTCATGACCCAGTCTTGCCACTGACTTCGCCACCTTGGACAGCCTCTCAGGGTTTTGGATTAGATGCCCCTTAAAATCTCTTTCAGTTCCAGTATTCCGGGTCTTCTGCACAGTAAACAATACAAACCCAATGGTACTTTGAACGTGGTGTTAGAAGCTGAGTTGGTTCTCCATACATGAGTAGCTTTGGTAGGGATTTGCCTTGATCTTTACCACACCTGAGCATTCACAGCAAATGGGAAATGTGGTAGAAAGAGAGGATAGTTAAAGTGTCTCGGCTTTGGAGAAGCAAGTACTTGTCAGAGAGCTAACCACAAGCTTTGTTTTCTAACATCTTGGCAGTCAAATTTGCAACACCCTGAATTCTGTGGGCTAGAGCTTAGCTAATTTAAGATTTTCTATGGTAATTGAGCAGAGATTACAGTGTAAATCATAGTTGAGACTTGTTGGTGTTAACATACTTGTCTAGGTGAACAACAGATTTTATGCGTCTTCAAGTAGGATCTTTTTGTCACATTTTCCTTTTCCTCTGCTAACATGTCCAGCTATCAAGCTTCATGTGCCAGTATTGATATCTAGCATCTAAACCACTAGAGTTGCAGGGCAGGAAAATGTAATGTTGTGCCTTAGGGTAAAATTTCAATAAAAAATACATCTGTATCTGTCCAGATTTCAAGTATTTTCAGAATTGTTTTAATTGCTTGTTGATTATTGAGAACTAACACAGTATTTCTCTTATTCTGCGCAGAAGACCACTAAATCTTGTATTATCTATGTTCTGAGTTGATCCCTTTATCATGAGCTTTTTCTTTTGTTTGTTAAAAGCATCACTTAAAGCAAAGGCAATGTTTTGGTAAGATTTTATCTTTTTTAGTTATTTCATATAATGATTTAACTTCAAGCCAGAGAAATGTGTGTTTGGCTTGAGTCTTGCAGGAGGAATCATGTAAAGACATGTTTATTTTAATCTGGGGGGAATTTTTTTTAATTAGAACTTTTTATATGGGAAAAGAAAACCTGAGATTGTTATAGATCTATAGCGTTTTTCTTCAGGGATCTATAATTTACTAAAACATTGTTGGCACTTATTACGTACACAGAAAGATCACCTTCAAAAATATATTTACTATCAGTAAATGGATATCTGAGATGCATTATCTAAATAGAGCATATTTGACCAAGTCTAAAAACTGGGCTTTAGCAACAAAACATTATAAAAATGGATCTGGATTTTAAAAGTTTTGCATAAATGATTAGCTTTCAAGCTTGTGAAAGTTTTTTTTTTTCATTTTAAATCATTTGGGACTAGTGAGGCCATCTACAATGGGAAATTGTTGCATGTATTGGACAAAAATCATGAGTGCATATTATGGGACTGCAGAATTAAATGAGGCCCTTTACCTTTAAAAGGAATATAATCTAGTGGAAGAGAGGAAACGTATCTGTATTTTTTAACAGAAAACAAAAGGAGATCACGTAGAGTAAGGCCCTGATTAATGTACATCATAGCCTGGGTCACGTACCTCCACCCCACAAGACCAAGAAGTGAAATGAGGGAATTGAAGAATCAAATAGAAAAAGGCAAAGCCAATACAATGATGCACTATCTAGTTTGTTACTTCTGAGGATGACTACTACTTCTGGTGAGGCCCAGAAGCTATATCCCTAAATTGTCCACCTAAGGAATTAAAAAGAGAGGCATTGGTCTGTCAGCTTCTGTTCCCTCCTTGAGGAGAGTCAAGGGTTGCCTTCTGGGGCCTGCCTTTCCTGCGATTCTGTGTTAATACACTTAAGACTTAGACGTATAGATATCTAACAAGCTCCTAGGGAAGTAATAAAGAAGTATGTTTAGTGTAAGATTGAGATGAGACATTGTTACCCCAAAGTGGGTTGATACCTATGCCGAACTGTTTACTGTAGCCTCGCTGGAATCAGAGATGAAGGTGAGATGGTATATAAGATTGTGTGTCCAGTACAATGTCTTTATATACTTTAAATGCAAAAAAAAAAAAAAAAAGAAAATCAGAAAGGGAGAGGCGGAAATGGACGTTTAAGATATTTCATACCTTTGTTCTAAATCAAAGAAACTTCCTTACTGTAAATTCTTCATGTAGAGAATGCTTTATGAGATTACAAAAATAAGCCTGTCTGCAGTCAGCAAGATGGAGGAATAGGGAGCACCAGACTTCTACCCCTACAGAAATACTGACTTAACAATATGTGGTCCAATAAAGCCTTTATGAGAAGGCCAGAAATCACTTATGAAGTCACAGAACTCCAGTTTAAAACCAAGAACCATGGTTTTGAAACAGGTAAGAAAAGCTGTTTCATTTCATCTGAGTCGGCCCCTTCCCCAAGCCACCACAGCTAATGATGAGGAAAAAAAGTCCAGTGACTGGTTTCTCCCTTGGGAGAAAAAGAGTAAAATGGAATTATGTCCAATGTGCTGGCTTTTTGAGACTACTCAAGTGACTGGTTTCTGCCTTGCTTGACTTGGAGTGCTGATGAGGAATAGGCATACTTTGATTGCCTGGGGACTGCTGAGAACAAGAGAGCTCAGCGGTTGGTGGCAGTACCAAAATACCCGTAGTACTGCAAACAGACACCAGAGGGTGCAAGAGACTGTAGACTCCTGAAAAAGAAACCAGAAAACTTTGTCTGGTTGTGAAATTACACACATAGGCTCAGAAAAAATTCATCTCTGTAAAAGGTTTGAGAGACCGCCAGAATCTCTAGCTGGGCTGATTGGTGAAGATCTTTTTCCATCCAAAACCAGTCTGTAAAGACTGGAAGAGGTGACCGTTTATTCAAATACAAAAATTACAACAAAATATAAGGCACACAAACAGGGAAAATATGGTCCAATCAGAAGAACAAAATAACTGTCCGTAAACTGACCCAAAAGAAATGGAGATCTGTGAATTACCTGACAAATAGTTTAAAAGGAACATTTTAAATTAGTGCACTACAAGAAAACATATACAATGAAACTGTGAATAAAATGAGAATATCAATTAAGAGATGGAAACTGTAAAGATCCAAACAGGAATTCTAAATAACTAAACAGGAATTCTGAAGCTGAAGAATACAGTAACTGATTTGAAAAAAAAAATTATAGGGGATCAACAGCAGACTTTATTAAGCAAGAGAAAGAATCAGCAAACTCAAAGACAGGTCATTTGAAATTATTGAGTCAGAGGAACAAAAAGAAAAAGGAAAAATGAAGAAAGCCTAAGGGACTTATGGGGCGCCATCAAGTGAATCAATATATGCATTACATGAATTTCAGAAGAGGAATATAGAGGAAATGAGGGACAGAATATTTTTCAAACTACAATAGCCAAAACCTTCCAAATGTGAAAAAGGAAATAGATATCCAAATATAAGAAGCTCAAAGGACTACAGTCATGATGAAACTAAAGAAATTCACACTAAGACACATTCTAGTCAACTTTCCAAAAACAAAAATCTTAAGGGCAACAGGAGAAAGGCAATGTGGTATATACAGAGACTTTCCATAAGAATATCACACATTTCTCAGTGGAAGCATCGCAGGACAGAGTGGAATGAGATTATATGAGGGATCTTCAAAAAGTTTGTGGACGGTATGTATTATGAAAAAAAAAACTATGCATGGATTTCAAACTTTTTTTTGGCACTAAAATAAATTCCTGCTGATTTGGGTAAGACATCAATTTGAAAAGAGTCCCTATCCAGAGCAACATGTATTCTGCTATTACTGAGGCAAGAACAAATACCAAATTTATGGTGAAGCATGGTGGAAGAATGGTGAAATTATTGATACTTTACAAAAAATTTATGGGAATAGTACACCAAAGAAATCAGCTGCTTCCAAATGGATAATTCATTTTAAGAAGGGACGAGATGATGATGAAGATGAGGCCCATGGCAGCAGACCATCCACATCAATTTATGAGAAAAAAATTCATCTTATTCATGCCTAACTGAAGAGGGCCAACAATTCACAGAAGAAGCAATGGCCAAACACCATAGGCATCTCAGTTGGTTTAGCTTACACAATTCTGACTAAAAAATCAAAGTTGAACAAATTTTCCACTCAATGGGTGCCAAAACTGTTGTGCTAAGATTAGCTGCACACAAGAGCTTTCAGTGAAAAATTCAAACAATTGGCATTGAGATCCTAAAGCATTTCTCGAAAGAATTGTAACAGCAGATGAAACATGGTTTTGCCAGTACAATCCTGAAGACAAAGCACAATCAAAGCAATGGCTACCAAGAGGGGCACATGGTGAAGAGCAAAAGTCATGGCAATAGTTTTATGAGATATTCAAGGCATTTTGCTTGTTAACTTTCTGGAGGGTCAAAAGAAAATAACATCTGCCTCCGTCCCAAAAAGAAAAATAAAAAAGAAAATAACATCTGGTTATTATGAGAGTGTTTTGAGAAACCCAAAGCTTTAGAAGAAAAACGTCTGGGAAAGCTTCATCAGCGAGTTGTTCTCTGCCATGGCAGTGCTTCTGCTCGTTCCTCTCATCAAACAAGGACAAATTTTAAATAATTTCCATGGGGAATCATTAGGCATCCACCTTACAATTGTGATTTATTCCTTTTGACTTCTTTTTGTCTTCTAATTTAAAAACATCTTTAAAGGGTATCCATTTTTCTTCACTTAATAATGTAAAAAAGACTGCATTGACATGGCTAAGTTCCTAGGACCCCCACTTTTTTAGTGATGTACTAAATGGTTGATACAATCACTTACAAGAGTACTGGAACTTTTTGGAGCTTATGACAAGAAATAAAGTTCATATTTTTAATTTTTATCTTTTAATTCAATTTTCCATGAAAGTTTTGATGTCCCCTCATCCATACAGAGTGCTGAAGGAAAAAAAAACCTGACAATCAAGAATAGTATATATGGCAAGACTTTTAAAAGTGAAGAATAAATAAAGACCTTTCTGGATAAACAAAAGGCGAGGAATTAATTACCATTATGCCTGCCTTATAAGAATTGTTAAAGGGAGTTTTTCAGGTTGAAACAAAGGGATACTAAACAGTAACATGAAAGGATATGGAAATATAAAGCTCTCTGGTGAAATACCCATGGTAGATGCACCAGAAAAAATGAGAAAGAAAGAAAAGCATGTCACTACAGAAGAATCAATGAAATAGAAAGGCAGCAAGAGCCGCAAAGGGGGACAAAATTACTACTAGCCATACAGAACACAATTAAATGATAATAGTAAGTTCTTACCTATCAGTAATTACTTTAAATGTAAATTGATTAAATTCCCCAGTCAAAAGACATACAGTGGCTGAATGGATTAAAAAAGAACAAGATCCAACTATATGCTGTCTACAAGACACTTTAGATATAAGGACATACTCGGGCTGAAAGTAAAAGGAGGGAAAAAAGATATTCCATGCAAATGGTAACCCAAAGAGATCAGAGGTGTTCATGTTTATATCAGACAAAAATAGACTTTATAGAAAATAGGTAAAGGAGGGCATTAAGTCTCCCCTTACCCAAGATAGCAGATTGGAGGTATTGCTAGCATGCCTCTCCCACTTAGACAAAGTAGTGTGTAGAAATTAATGCTCTGAACTTTTTTTTCAAGAAGCAACATAGGAACTAAACAGAAAAACTGAAAGGAACTACAGACCCTTTGAAAGAAGCAGTGGGCGGCAGCCTATACTGTGAACCAGACTGAAAACCCCCACAGGAAACACTGAACCTGCTCAACACCAAGCATATCACTACTACAACGAGCATCTGAGAAAAACATCACACAAAGATTCTCTATAACCAAGAAACTTATACAGAGTCTTCACCACTGAAAGCACCTAGAGCCAAAGCTAGGTGACAATAAATTATAAACATTAAAGTCATACCCTCAAGGGGAATAAAAGAAATAAAAACCCCAGTTAAATGAAAAATAAATTCAAAAATAATGAGAAGAAATAGTCTACCCAAATGAGAAGGAACCAGAAAAATAATTCTGGCAATATGAAAAAACAGGGTTCTGTAACACCTCCCAAAAAACACACTAACTCTCCAGCAGTGGATTCAAACCAAGATTAAATCTTTGAAACACCAGATAAAAATTCAAAAGGTTGATTATTAATTTACTCAAGGAGATACAAGATAAAGGTAAAAACCAACACAAATTAAAAAAAAATTAGGATATCAATGAAAAATTTTTTTTTAAAGAGATAGATTTTTAAAAGAAAACCAATCAGAACTTCCAGAAATGAAAGACACACTTAGGGTACTACAAAATGCAGTGGAAAGTGTTAATAATACACTAGATTAAGTAGAAGAAACAATTTCAGAGCTTGAAGACAAGGCTTTCAAATTAACCCAATCAGACAAAAATAAAGAAAAAAGATTTAGAAGAAACAAAGTCTCCAAGAAATATGGGATTATGCAAAACAGACAAAGAATTATAGGTTTTCCTGAGGGAGAGGAAAAAACAAAAAATTTGGAAAACCTATTTGAGGGAATAATTGAGGAAAACTTCCCTGTCCTTGCTAAAAATTTAGACATCCAAATAAAAGAAGCTCAAAGAAGTCCTGGAAGACTCATTACAAAAAGGACGTCACCAAAGAACATAGTCATCAGATTATCTAAAGTCAATGTGAAGGAAATAATTCTAAGAACAGCGAGACAAAAGCATCAGGTAACCTATTAAGGAAAACCTAGCAGACTAACAGCAGACTTCTCAGCAGAACAAACCAGAAGAGATTGGGGTCATTTTTTAGTCTTCTTAAACAGAATAACTGTCAGGCAAGAATTTTGTATCCAGCAAAACTAAGTTTCATAAATGAAGGAGAAATAACGTCTTTCTCAGACAAGCAAATGCTGAGGGAATTTGTCAATACTAGACCAATGTTACAAGAAATGCTAAAAGGAGTTCTAAATCTTGAAAGAAAAGATTGATACACACCAGGATAGAAACCTCTGAAAACATAAAATTCACACGGCTTATAAAACAATAACACAGTGAAGAAAAGAAAGTATCTAGGTAACAATCAACATTATGACTGGAATAGTATCTCACAATACTAACATTGAATGGAGATGGTCTAAGTGCTCCATTAAAAGATACAGATTGGCAAAATGAATAAAATCGTCACAAACCAAATATCTGCTGTCTTCAGGAGACACATCTAACACAAGGATTCTTATAGACCCAAGGGAAAAGGGTGGAAAAAGATATTTCATGCAATCAGAAACCAAAAGCAAGCAGGAGGAACTATTCTTATATCAGATAAAACAGACATTAAGGCAACAATAGTAAAAAAAAAAAAGACAAGGTCATTATACAATGATAAAAGGATCCAATTCATGAAGAAGATAAAATAATTCTAAATATATATGCACCTAACTCCAGAGCTCCCAGATTCGTAAAGCAACTACCACTAGACCTAAGAACAGAGATAGACAGAAACACAATAATAGTAGAGGGCTTTCACTCCACTGGCAGCACTAGACAGAGCACTGAGGCAGAAAGTCAACAAAGAAATACTGGACTCTAGAACAAACTGACCTAAGAGATATTTACAGAACATTCTACTCAAGAACTACCCAAGAACTGCAGAATATACATTCTTCTTATCAGCACATGGAACATTCTCCAAAATAGATCATATGTAAGCTGCAAAACAAATCTCAATAAATTTTTTAAAAATTGAAATCACATCAACCATATTCTCAGACCACAGCAGAATAAAATCAATTCCAAGAGTAATCCTCAAAACTGTATAAATACATGGAAGTTAATCTGTTCCTGAGTGATTTTTGGGTTAACAATGAAATCAAGATGAAAATTGAAAAATTTCTGAAATGATTGATAACAATGACACAAGTTCTCAGAACCTCTAGGACACAGCAAAAGCAGTGTTAAGAGGCGTTTATAGCACTAAATACCTACATCAAAAAATCTGCAAGGTTACAAATTGACAAGCTAATGTCATGCCTCAGGGAACTAGAAAAAGAACAAACCAAACTCAAAGCTAGCAGAAGAAAAATAACAAAGATCAGGGCAGAATGAAATGAAATTGAAAAGACAGTACAAAAATCAATGAAACAAAAGCTAGTTATTTGGAAAGATAAACAAAACTGATACACTACTAGCTAGATTAACCAAGAAAAGAAGAGAAAAGATTCAGATAAGCTCAATTAGAAGTGAAAATGGAGACATTACAACTGACACCTCAGAAATATAAAAGACTATTTGAGATTACTATGAGCACCTCTATGCACACAAGCTAGAAAATCTAGCGGAAATGGATAAATTCCCGGAAACATACGACACCCTAGCTTGAGTCAGGAAGAAATAGAAATCCTAAACAGACCAATAACAGGCTGTCAGATTGAATCAGGTAAACAAACAAACAAACCAAAAAAACAAACCTGTCAACAAAAAAAGCCCAGGGCATATGGATTCAAGCCGAATTCTACTAGACATTAAAAGCAGAACTGGAATCAATTCTACTGAACTATTCCACAAGATTGAGAAGGAGGGAAACCTCCCTACCTCATTCGACCCAGTCAGTATCATCCTGATACCAAAGCCAAGAAAGAACCTAGCAAAATAAGAAAACTACAGACCAATATCCCTGTTGTATATAGATGCAAAAATCCTCAACAAAATACTAGAAATGGAATGAACTAGAACAAAAAAAAAAATCATGATGAAGTGGGTTTTATTCCGACTTTTTCTTTCTCAATAGGTGCAGAAAAAGCATTTGATAAAATCTGGTATCCCTTTATGATAAAAATTCTCAACAAACTAGTTATAGATGAAACATACCTCAAAATAATAAAAGCCATCTATGACAGATTCACAGCTAACATAATACTGAAAGGGGAGAACTTGAAAGAATTCCCCCTAAGAATGGGAACAAGACAAGGATGCCCACTTTCACCACTTCTATTCAGTATAATACCGGAAGTCCTAGCCAGAGCAATCAGGCAAGAGAAATAAAGGGCATCCAAACTGGAAAAGAGGAAGTCAAACTTATGTCTATTTGCTGATGATGTGATCATATACCTAGAAAACCCTGACTCCTCCAAAGAATCCTAGATCTGATAAATGAATCCAGTAAAGTCTCAGGTTACAAAATTAATATACATAAATCAGTAGCAATGCTATATGCACTGAGAACCAAGCTGAGTATGAAATTGAGAACTCAATTCCTTTTACAATAGTTATACAAAAATATTTAGGAATATATATAACCAAGGAAGTGAAACATCTGTACAAGGAGAACTACAAAATACTGCTAAATAAATCACAGGTGACACAAACAAATGGAAATACACCTTATGCTCATGGATTGGAAGAATCAATATCGTGAAAATGACCATACTGCCCAAAGCAATTTACAGATTCAATGTAATTCCTATCAAAATAACCAACATCGTTTTTTCAGATAATTAGAAAAAAAATCATAAAATTCACATGGAACCAAAATAGAGCCCAAATAGCCAAAGCAATCCTAAGCAAAAAGAACAAATCTGAAGGTGACATCACATTACCTAACTTCAAAATACACTACAGGGCTATAGTTACCAAAACAGTATGGTACTGGTAAAAAAGTAGTTACATAGACCGTGGAACAAAATAGAGAACCAAGAAATAAAGCCGAATACTTACAACCAACTGATCTTTGGCAAAGCGTACAAAAACATAAATTGGGGAAAGGACATCCCATTAAATAAATGGTGATGGGAAAATTGAATAGCCACATGTAGAAGAATGAAACTGGATTCCTACCTGTCACCATATACAAAAATTAAGATAGATTAAAGACTTAAATCTAAGACCTGAAACCATGAAAATTCTAGAAGAAAAACTTTTCTGGACATTGGCCTAAGCAAAGAATTTATGAATAAGACATCAAAAGCAAATGCAGCAAAAGCAAAAATAAATAAATGGGACCTAATTAAACAAAAGCTTCTGCACAGCAAAAGAAATAACCATTAAATAGACAACCTACAGAATGAGAGAAAAAATCTGCGAATTTTGCATCTGACAACATACACGGAACTCAAATCACTAAGAAAAAACAAATAATCCCATTAAAGAGTGGGCAAAGGACATGAATAGACAGTTTTCAAAGGATGATTTGCAAATGGCCAACAAACATGCAGAAATGCTCAACATCACTAATCATCAGGGAAATGCAAGTTAAAACGCAACAAGATACTACTGTACCCCAGCCAGAATGACCATTATTAAAAATTCAAATAACAATAGATGTTGGCATGGACAGGGTGAAAAAGGAACACTTATACACTGCTGGTTGGAAAGTAAATTAGTATAACTTCTATAGAATACAGTATGGAGATTTGATCCATGAATTCCACTACTGAGTATCTACCCAATGGAAAGGAAATCAATATATAAAAAAGACATATTTATCACAGCACAGTTCACAATTGTAATGATACGGAATCAACCTAAATACCCATCAACCAAAGAGTAGATAAAGAAAATGTGGCATATGTATATTGTAGAATACTACTCAGCCATAAAAAAGAATGAAATAATGTCTTTTGCAGCAACTGGGATGGAACTGGAGGCTATTATTCTAAGTGAAGTAATTCTGGAATCAAAATCTAAATCCAACATGTTCTCATTTACAGGTGGTTTCTAAGCTTATGGATATGCAAGGGCATACAGAGTGGTATAATGTACATTGGAGACTCAGAAGGCTGGCAAGCAGGAGAGAGGTGAGAGATGAAAAAGTACCTATTGGATATAGTGTTCAGGTGGTGGGTGCACTAAAATTCTAGACTTCTCCATGGTACCGTTCATCCATGTAACCAAAAAATCACTCATACCCCTAAAGCTACTGAAATAAAAAAAAATTTTTGAAGTACATTATGTAATGATGAAAGGGCCAATTCACCAGGAAGGTATGACAATGATAAATGTACATGTACTTTACAGCAGAACACAAAAAATATATAAGGCAAACATGGACAAAATTGAAGGGAGAAATAGTAACATAATAATAATAGAATATTTCAGTGCCCCACTTTTAATAACCAGACAGAATATTAGTAGAGAAACAGAGCACTTGAATAATGCTATAGACCAATTGGACCTAACAGATACATACAGAACACTGCACACCAAAACAGCAGAATAGATAGTCTTTTCAAGTGCACTAGGAGCATTCTTCAGGATATATCACATGGTAGGCCACAAAACTAGTATTAAGAGAAGATTGAAGTCATATCAAGTATCTTTTTAGACCATATTGTAATAAAACTAGAAATCAGTAGCACAAGAAAAACTAGAAAATTCACAAATATGTGGAAATTAAACAACACACTCTTGAATAATCAGTGGATCAAAGATGAAATCATGGGAAATTAGAAAATATATTGAAAAATGAATATGAAAACACAACATAGCACAACACATAAGATGCAGCAAAAGCAGTAGTAAGAGGGAAGTTTATAGCAGTAAACATCCATATTAAGAAAATCTCCAATCAACAACCTAACTTTATACTTAAGGGGACTAGAAAAGGAAGAACAAGCTAAACCCAAAGTTAGCAGAAGGAAGGGAGGAATAAAAATTAGAGTCCAAATAAATGAAATAGATAATAGAAAAAGAGTAAAAAAAAAAGGCTATGAAACTAAGAGTTGGTTTCTTAAAAAGATCAACAAAATCAACAGTTCCATATTTAGCTAGAATAAGAAGAAAACAAAGACTCAAATAACAAAAATCAGAAAAGAAAGAAGAGACATTACAACTGATGCCACAGAAATGTAAAGTATCATAATAGAGTACTATGAACAATTATACACCAACAAATTATATAACCTTGAAGAAATGCATACATTTCCAGAAATGTACAATCAAGACCAAATTATGAAGAAATAAAATATCTGAGTGGACATATACTGGTAAGGAGATTGAATCAGCAATCAGAAGCCTCCTGACAAAAGCCCAGGACCAGATGGCTTCACTGGAGAATGCTTCTAAACAATTAAATAAGAATTAACACCAGTCCTTCTCAAACTCTTCCAGAAAACTGTAGAGGAGGAAACGCTTGCAAACTCATTCTACAAGGTCAACATTACTCTGATACCAAAACCAGGATATGCAAAAATCCTCAACAAAATTTTAGCAAACTGAATTCAACACCACATTGAAAGAGTGGTGCATTATGACCAAGTGGGATTTATTACTGAAATGCAAGTATGGTCCAGCATATAAAAATCAAGGTAATACTGATATGTTAACAGAATGAAGGAAATGTAACACATGATCATCTCAATTGATGCAGAAGAAGCATTTGAGAAAGTCATACACCCTTTCATGACAAAACACTAACCAAACAAGGAATAGAAGGAAATTACCTCAATGAAATAAAGGGCCATGTGTGAAAAGCCCACAACTGACATCATACTCAGTGGTGAAAACTGAATCCTTTCTCTTTAAGATGATGCACAAGGGAAGGATTCCTTTTCTCACCACTTCTATTCAACATTGTATTAAAAATTTTACCCAGACCAAGCAGGCAAGAAAAACAAAAAGCATCCAAATAGGAAAGGAATAAATATAATGATCTTTTCATAGGTGACATGATCTTGTACGTAGAAAACCCTAATGATTCCACACACACACATAAAACTGCTAGAACTAATAAACAAATTTAGCAAAGTTGCAGGACACAAAATCAACACACAAAAGTCAGTTACATTTCTATACTCAGCAATGACCAATCTGAAAAGGCAGTTGAGGAAACAATCACATTTACAGTAGCATCAAAAAGAATAAAATACTTAGGAATAAACTTTACCAATGAGGCGAAACACTTCTACACTGAAAACTACAAAACATTGCAGAAAAAATTGCAGAAAACACAACTAAATGGAAAGACCTTCTGTGTTCATGGTTTGGAATCCTTAATATTTTGTTAAAGTATCTCTATTACCCAAACCAATCTACAGATTCAATATAAGCCCTATTGAAATAGCAGTGTTATTTTTTGCAGAAATAGAAAAAAAAATTCTAAAATTCATATGGAATCTCAGAGGACCCAGAAAAGCCAAAAAAGTCTTGAGAAAAGAAAAACAAAGCTCGAAACCTCGTATGTCCTGACTTAAAAACATATTACAAATCCATAGCAATCAAAATATTATGGTAGTGGAATAAAGACAGACAGACATATAAGCCCAGTGTGGTGGCTCACACCTGTAATCGCAGCACTTTGGAAGGCAGAGGTGGGCAGATCGTTTGAGATCAGGAGTTTGAGACCAGCCTGGGCAACATGGCAAAACCCTGTTTCTACAAAAAATAACAAAAGTTATCCAGGTGTAGTGATGTGTGCCTTTGGTCCTAGCTAATCTGGAGGCTAAGGTGGGAGAATTGCTTGAGTCCGGGAAGTTGAGGCAGCAGAGAGCTGTGATCACGCCACTGCACTCCAGCCCAGGTGACAGAGCAAGACCCTGTCTCAAAAAAAAAAAAAAAACAAAAAAAAAAACCCAGACATACAGACTAGTGGAACAGAATAGAGAATCGAGAAATAAATCCTCGCCTATATAGTCAAATGATTTTTGACAAAGATGCCAAGGCTACTAGTAGGGAAAGGACAATCTCTTCAACAGATGATGTTGGAAAAACTGGATATTGGCATGCAGAAGAATGGTATAACCTTATACCAGATTAAAAAAAATTAAATGGATTAAGACCTAAATGTAATACCTGAAATTATTAAGCTCCTAGAAGAAAACAGGGGAAAAGCTTCATGACATTGGGTTTGGCAATGATTTTGTGGATTTAACACAAAAAGCACAGGCACCAGAAGCAAAAATAGACAAATAGGACATCAGACCTAAAAACTTTTGTGCAGCAAAGGAAAATCAACAGAGTGAAAAGGCAGTCTACGTAATGGGAGAAAATAATTGCAAACCATATATCTCATAACGGGTACATAACCAATATATGTAAAGAACTTCTGTAACTCAATAACAAACATCAAAATTTAAAAATGGGCAAAGGACTCGAATATATCAAAGAAGATATACAGTTAGCCAACAAACATGAAAATATAAACATCGGCATGAAAAGATCAACATCAAGTAATTGTTAAGGAAATGTAACTCAAAACCACAAGAGGTATCACCTTGCACTCATTAGGATGGCCATTATTAAAAAAAAACAAACTGAAAAAAACAAGTGTTGGTTAGGATCTGGAGAAATTGCAATCCTTTTGCACTGTTGGTGGGAATGTAAAGTGATGCCACTAGGGAAAATGATATAGAGGCTCCTCAAAAAATTAAAACCAAAATTACCGTATAATTCAGCAATCTCACTTCTGGGTTTATATACAAGGAATTGAAAACAGGACCCCATGGAGATATGTGCACACCCATTTGCATTGCAGCATTATTTCCAGTAGCTAAGAGGTGGAAACAACCTAAATGTTAATCAGCAGAGACAGGGATAAAAAAATGTGATATAGACATACAATGGAATATTGCTCAGGATTAAAAAAAGGAAATCCTGTCATATGCTACAACATAGATAAACCTGGAGGTCATCATGCTAACTTAAATAAACCAGTCACAGACACATACCACATGATTCCACTTACATGAGGTATCTAAAATAGCCATACTCTTAGAAACAGAAAGTAGAATGGGTAGTTACCAAGGGATAGGGATGAAGAAAGGGAGAGTTGTTTAGTGGTTATAGAGTTTTGGTTTTGCAAGATAAGGAAGTTCTGTGTTTCTTTTTTACAACAATGTGCATGTAGTCAACACTATTGTAATGTACACTGAAAAATGGTTAAAATGGTAAATTTTGTTACTCCTCCCATCCCACTTTTTTAGACAGGGTCTGGCTCCTGTCACCTAGGCTAGAGTGCAGTGGTGTGATCATAGCTCACTGCAACCTTGAACTCCTGGGCTCAAGCAGTACTCCTGCCTAAGCCTCCCCAATAGCTAGGACTATGGTTATGTGCCACTAGGCTCAGCTAATTTTTTTAGGTTTTGTAGAGACAGTCTTGCCATGTTGCCCAGGCTAGTGTTGAACTTCTGGCCTCAAGCGATCCTCCTGTCTCGGCCTCTCAAAGCACTGGGATTACAGGGTGTGAACCACTATGCCTGGCCTATGTTTTTTTTTTTAACCATAATTAAAAAAAAAAAAAAAAGAAACCACCTGTCTGCATTCTGATATTTTACCTGATAGGACAAATTTGCCTTAGGTAAACCTTTATAAACAGGCATGATCTTTTAGAAACTACTCAAACGTTTTAAAAGGAAGAGCAAGAGCAAGTGTCAGTTATGACACTTGAAGAGTCATAACTGGTTACCTTTGTTACAGTTTAAAAAAGGTAGCACTTTCTGTGTTTCACAGGGTGAATGCCTTCATCCATTGGAACCTGAACCATGAGTATTTCCTTCTGAGACTTTCATCAAACTAAGTCTGCATGAAGCCTGAGTCCTGTGGTAACTGGAACCTCATAATAGCATTTACATTTGGTGTTAAAATGCACCCAACAGGAAAAAGGATTCAGTTATTTTCAAGCTTCCAAATTCCAAATGTGCTGAATAGACATTTCCTTTAAAAAATAAATATACAAAATGGATTTGTGTGACTTGAAGTTTAAAAGAAATGTTCTTGCATGCCATAGTTAAGAATTGTAACAATATCACATTCTCAAGTTTACTTATTTTAAAAGTAGACTGTCATGGTTTGGCTCAGCTACTAAATTAAATTATTGCTGGCTTGAACATTCCTGTTGGTTACACTGTAATCTTTACCTCCCTTGGAAAATATGTCCGATTTTGAGTGTTTATTTCAGACTTGGCTTGAAACACCTCTGTTTAGCAGTGAAGTATGGATATATATGTGTGATCTGTGTTACGTATGTAGAAAGGAAAGAAATAGAAAAAAGTTTTACATTGTGTGTTACAAATACACACTAACAGGAATACATATATACATACATATATGCAACTAGAACCATGCTTATCAAGGATCAAGATAATATAACTATACTGAATTAATAGACATGCATACATACATACATGTGTATCCATTAACATGTTATTACAGGTTGAATTGTGTCTCCCTTTCCCCCAAAATCAGATGTTGACATTTTCACCTCTGGGAGCTCATTTGGAGATAGGGCTTTTGCGGCGGTAATCAAGTTAAAGCAAGATCATTAGGTTGGGTTCTAATCTAATATGACTGGTATTCTTATTAACAAGGGGAACTTTGGATACAGAGATATGCATAGAAGGAAGACAGTGTGAAGAGACACAGAGAAAAGACAGCTATCTACAAGCCAATGAGAGAGACATGGAACTCATCTTTCTCTCATACCCCTCAAAAGGAACCAACCCTGTCAACACCTTGCTTTTGTATTTACTGCTTCCAGAAATTGTGAGACAATAAATTTATATTGTTTAAGCCACCTAGTTGGTGGTACTTCATTACAGCAGCACTAGCAACTAATACAAGGTATTTCTCTATTATGCTAAGAATTCAGGATATACTCATTTAGATAGGATACACGATTAGTCTTTACATGTTTTAACTTTTCATAGTATCTCCTAAGCACTCTAAGAAACTAGTTTCCCTAAAAATAAAGAAAAAAGGAAAAAAAGAAATTAGTTTCTCAAGTTTGCAAAATTAAGAAATTAGTTTCTCAGTTTTGCAAATTGAGAAATTAACGTTGACTGTGATGATGAAGCAGTTAGATTTGGAAAGTGGATCCTACTTTACATAAATAATAATCAGACTTTTTCTTTTATTCAGGAGTCTGTGAGTTTGTGTAATTTGTAGTGATAGTATCAGAGTTTACCAGAGGCCTAATGGATTGGAAAGTCAGAATCAGAACAAGCAAATCTACCCTCATCCAGCACCAGAATTAAAAGTTCTCAAAATTGCGCACATGGGAATTAAATTTCTCCACATTAGAAACAGATGCCTTCAAATAACTGATTTTTCCATTGCCCCAACGTGTAAGTGCCTTTTTATTGTGCTCATTTTGTCATCAGTAGAAGGACGCTTGAGTTCAGTACTTGGAAGAGTGGAAGGGTGCAGTATTCCTTGGGCCCTGTCCCTTTACGTTTCATGGTATGCCAGGGATGTCTGTGTTTACTACCTCCAACCAATGCAAGAACATACCTGAACAACCCAAACTCCTGACTGGGGCTAATTGGAGTTAGTGACAGAGAAGAACACTATTTTACAGTGTTGGGTATTTTTGTTGTTGCTCTGGAGGTTGGGAGGGATTAGTCTTTGTCAGGAGATAGGATTTAGCAGAATATATCTATTTATATCTTGTTTTATCTATTACATCTCCATCCTATTGACTTCTTTCCTGAACCGGAATTAAGCAATGAATGCTGTTTGGGCATTTTTAGTGTGGCTGTTCATTATTACCTGGATAATTCAGAGTACTTCTAGGTCATGACATAAAAATGCTGTTATTTGTATTAGCTTACAGATACTGTTGGTCTGTCTCCAATGTTGTTGTTTTTCAAATTCCAGGAGTAACAGGATGGAAGGTTGCAGAGCTCTAAGTAATAAGTAAAGTGGCCTGGGATACTGAACATAGGGAGTGGTGGAGATTGAGGCAAACTAGACAGATAGCTATGCCTTGTTTAAAGGGGCTGCCTGTGTTGTATTACATCTGGTTGTTGTCCTGTGAAAATGCAGGCCAGATGTGGCCAAATCTTCCTGTTTTTCAAACCAAGTGGTAGAAATTTGAATTTTTACAAGCAGTCTCCCAATTTTTATTGTGACAACTAGTTCAGATTACGAAAAATATTTATGGGCCAAGTAAAATACCACCTGTTTTCAGCCTCTAGTGTAGGATATATGAAGCCAGCTTGTTCTTCAGGTAGCAGGTGGTGCTTACAGGTCATCTCTACTGAGGCATCGTTGGTGAAGTCCTCTAAGACTCAGCTCTGGGATCCTCTGTAGTGAATGGCTCTCATAGTTGCAGGAAAAACCCAGGTCCAAATGACACCCACAGTTGACCACAGTTTTACCTAATTAAGTAAAAAACTTTTTTTAAAAAAATAATTTATTTTGTTATCCTGTTACCAGTACTTTCAAATACTTAAGAAAAAAATCAATATTAAAGTATCAGTTTTGCAATCCAGAGGATATTTGTACTTTTTCAAAAAAATTTAAAAATTAGAAAAAAGATAACATATTGGCCTCCTGCCTTTTAAATATTTAAGGGATGAATCAGACTTTCAGATGTGCTTAAATTGGTACCTAGAGACCTAATGGAGGTTTCTTATTTTCTTCACTGGTAAGATTTTGTCATTCATTCCAGTAGATACTTTTAAGCAACCTTTTTATTTTAGAGCAGCTTTAGAGATAAAGTTATGAATATAGTACAGCGAGTCCCCCTATACGCCAAACCCAGTTTCCCCTTATTATTACCATCTTATATTAATTAATGAGCCAGTAATGATGCATTGTTATGAACTACAGTCCATACTTTATTCAGATTTCCTTAGTGTTTACCTGCTGTTCTTTTTCTATTCTGGGACTCTATCCAGAATATCACATTGCATTCATTGTCATGTCTCCCTTGGCTCCTCTTGGCTGTGACAGTTTCTCAGACTCCTCTTGCTTTTGATGATTTTGACAGTTTTGAGAAGTATTCCATAAAACATCCCTTAGTTGGGATCTGTCTGATGTTTTTTTCTCATGATTATGTATTTTTGGGGAGGAAGTCTAAAGAGGTAAAGTACCATTCTCCTCATATTAAGGGTGTACACTATTGTGTCAGCATCATGTTTTACTGTTGATGTGAATCTTGATCACCTGGCTGAGGTGGTAGTCATCAGGTTCCTCCATTGTAATGGTATTGAAGGCACTGCGTGCAGCCCATGTGTGAGTAGGAGTCATGCTGCACTTCTGTGAGAGGAGAGTATCTACATCAACTATTCGGAATTCTTCTGCATAAGAGATTGGTCTCTTCTCTGTGTATACATGCATGCATGTATGTATGTCAGTATGGATATTTATTTATTTTATACTTTGGATTATAATCTAATACTTGTTTATTTCATTGATCAGACTGTTGTAGCTTTGGCCATGGAAGCTCTTTCAGTTGGCTACTGTGTCCCTTTGATATACCCCCACTGTTGCATTGTTGTTGTTTTTGAGTACTTTCTTAATTTCTGGCACTACAAGATGCTCATGCACATCTTGTATATTCCCTGCTCCAGTGCTAGAATCAATGATTTTTTCCAAGGAGCCCTGGTTTCTTTTATTGGAGACTGTTACTAGAAACCAAGATCTGCTATGCTCATTGCTACTGGGATGTGTTGCTTCTAGGCTCTTTCAGCTGACAGAGCAAGGAAATATGTTGTGTATAATAATCTGTGTATGTTCACATATTTATAAATATTTGTATTTGTGTCTGTCTATATTAAGCCAAATATGTGTTTATACTGATGACTTCAACTCTTAATCTGTTACCACATGGCTCATTGGAGTTTTCTCTCATTGCTTCTCTGTAAACTGTCATTCAAACACTGAGAGATCTGGCTCCCAAGAGCCACGATCCATTTGCATTGTTCAACTCCAGTATACAGTATAATAGTGATTTTAGAATTCCTAACTAAATACCCTGTGAGAAACAGTTTTATCCACAGAGCTTATGCACAGTGCCTTTTGCCTTTAGTCTTACCTACTCCACTTATTTGTAAGGATGCTCAGGTCAGCATCTTTCCCATTCCATCACTGAGTGTATTTTATACATTTGCTAGATTCTTTCACCACAGCCTGCATTCCATCTTGGATTCTCCAACCTCCCAAATGATTTTTTACAATTTGCATACATTAAGGTTAGCTCTGTATTTTGTGGGTTTTGAAATTTACAATGTCATGTATCCCCCATTAGAATATCAAAGAGAATACTTTCATATCCTAAAAATCCAATGTGCTATATTTATTCAACCCTCACCCCTTCCGAAACCCCTGGCAATGATTGACCTATTTACTGTCACTGTAGTTTTGCCTTTTTCAGAATGTCACACAAATGTCATATAGTACATAATCTTTTCCTTGGCTCAACATCATATTTATGTATATGCATATAAGAGTTATCTATGTTGTTGTGTTTTTGGGGAGGGGAGGGGACAGGGTCGTGCTCTGTCACATAGGCCCTTGTTTTTGTTTTAGTTTACTTTGGGGTGTGTGTGTGTCAGGGTTTCCCTCTGTCACCCAGGCTGGAGTGCAGTGGTGCGATCATGGCTCACTGCAGCCTCAACTTCCTGGGCTCAGGTGATTTTTCCACCTCAGCCTCCTGAGTAGCTGGGACCACACACCTGGCCAACGTTTATATTTTTTGTGGAGACAGGGTTTTGCCATGTTGCTCAGGCTGGTCTCAAACTCCTAGACTCAAGCAATCTGCCCATCTTGGCCTCCCAAAGTGCTGGGACTACAGGCATGAGCCACCTCCCTCAGCCAGTTTTTTTTTTTCTCCTATGAATAGTATTCTATTATATGGATGACAACAGTTCGTTTATACACTCACCTGTTGAGATTGTTTCCAGCTCTTGACCAGTATAAATAAGACTTCTATAAACATTCTCATGCAGGTGTTTATGTTGACATAAAATTTCAAAGGAGCACAATTGCTATATTATATGATAGAGACTGTGTTTAGCTTTTTAAGACACTGCCAAACTGTATTCCAAAATTTGGAATGGTATACAGCTTTTGCATTCACTCCAACAATGAATTGAGAGCTCCTGTTTCTCTGCATCCTAGTCAACGTTTGGTATTGTCAGTTTTTAAAATTTTCGCCATTTTAATAGATGTCTAGTAGTATCTCATCATTTTAATTTGTATTTCCCTAATGAGATAATGATGTTGAGCATCTTTTCGTATGCTTATTTGTCATCTATGTATCTTCTTTGGTGAGGAGTCTGTTCAGATTTTTTTTTTTTGGCCCTTTTTTTTGTTGTTGTTATTGTTGAGTTTCAAGAATTGTTTGTTTGTTTGTTTTTTTCTTTTTTTTTTTTGAGATGAAGTCTCACTCTGTTGTCCAGGCTGGAGTGCAATGGTGTGATCTCGGCTCACTGCAACCTCCGCTTCCTGAGTTCAAGCGATTCTCCTGTCTCAGCCTCCTGAGTAGCTGGGATTACAGATGTGCACCATTGTGCCCGGCTAATTTTTTTGTATTTTTAGTAGAGACGGGTTTTTACCATGTTGCCCAGACTGGTCTTGAACACCTTTACCTCAGGTGATCCACCTGCCTCGGCCTCCCAAAGTGCTGGGATTACAAGTGTGAGCCACTGTGCCCAGCTTAGTTTCAAGAATTCTTTGTATATTTTAATTATTTATTTAGTTTGGAGACAGGGTCTTGCTCTATCACCTTGACTGGGGTGCAGTAGCATGATCATGGCTCAAAGCAGCCTCAAAATCCTGGGCTCAAGTAATCCTCCACCTCAGCCTTCTGAGTAGCTGGGACTACAGGCAGTGCCACCATACTCTACTAATATTTTATTTTCAAATATTTTTGTAGAGACGGGGTTTTGCTATGTTGACCAGGCTGGTCTCAAACTTCTGACCTCAAGCAGTCCTCCCACCTCAGTCTCCTAAAGTGCTAGGGCTACAGGCATGAGTCTCCCTGCCCCGCTGTATATTTTATATACAACTTCTTTATCAGACATGTTTTCTAAATATTTTCTCCGAATCTTTGGTTTGTCATTTCATTCTCTTAATAGTGTCTTTCACAGAGTAGAGTTTGAATTTTATTAAGTCCAATTTATCTATCTTCTTTCATAAATAATGTTTTTTTGTATTGTATCTAAAAACTCATCACTAAACCCAAGGTCATGTAGATTTTCTCCTATGTGTTCATCTAGAAATTTTACTGTTTTGCATTTTATGTCTAGGTTTATGATTCATTTTGCATTGTTTGTAAAATATAAGGTCCAAGTCCAGGTTCATTTAATTTTTTTCTTGGTGTATGAATATACAATTATTCTAGCATCATTTGTTGAAAAGACTATGCTTTTTTCATTGAATCGCCTTTCTGTGTTTTTCATAAATCAGTTGACTACATTGTATGGGTTGATTTCTGGGGTCTGTGTCTTGTTCCATTGACCAATGCATCTATTCTTTCTGCCAATTCTACAGTTTGGATGGAGTTTGATTTTAATTGGTATTAATTTTTATTTGGGGTTTGAGAAAGAGGTTCTCATTCAATTTTATGACAGTGCTTGTGTGTTTGGGTGTTTTTAAGATATTAGACATTTTATCTCCTTCATCTTGTCATCAGCTTTTAACATTCCACATCCTGTTTGTTTTTAAGTGACATTGAGAATGCACGTCTCTGATCTTCCTTCACATCTCAGTACTAGTAAATACAACCTCTTTCTGACATATGATATACTTGTTTCCTTTTTATCTGTTCCCCTGATCCTTCACTATTTCATAAAAGTTCATAAAAGCAGGGCTTTTAAAATTTGTTGTTCACTGCTGTATCCCCTTTACCTAGGACTTGCCTGGCATCTGGTAAGATCTCAATGAAGTAATGTGAACTAGATTAATGAAATATGAGGTCTCACATTTATAACATCTTTGAACAAGAGGTTATTATACAAAGGTGAATTTGCTAAATGGCTGAACTTTATACCTTTAAGCTGCAAAACTTTTATTATTTATTTACTTTTAAATTGACATAAAAATTTAATATGTTCATGGTATATACAACATGATGTTTTGATATATGTACATATTGTGGAATAGCTCAAATGAGCTAATTAACATATCCATTACCTTACATACTTAATTTTTGTGTGTGTGGTGAACACATTTAAAATCTGTTTTCTTCTCAGTAGTTTTCAAGTATACAGTACATTGTTATTAACTGTAGTCACAATGTGTACAGATCTCTTGAACTTACTTTTCTTGTCTGTGTGAAATTTTGTATCCTTTGACCAACATCTTCCTAATTCCACACCTCTCCTTCCCACCCAGCCCCTGGTAACCATCATTCTACTATTTGTTTCTGTGAGTTTGACTTTTTTAGATTTCGCATATAAGTGAGATCATACATAATTTCTCTTTCTCTGACCTTAGGACTTTTATGACTTCTGACCTCTAAAACTGTAAGACAATAAATTTGTGCTGTTTTAAGTTGCTAAGTTTGTATTATTTTGTTACAGCAGCATTAGGAAAGTAATACAGATGTTTAGTGCAAGGAACACCATGCAAGTTAATTTTAGAAATTAGTCTTCTGAAATGTTTATAAAATATATAAAGACAAGTTTTTTTTGGGGGGGGATAGACTCTCCCTTCTTTTTTTAGCTTTTTCTTTAATGAACATCAAGCAGATTTTAATGCTCATTTTGTGTGCTAACACTTCTTTGTCATTTTCAAGGGTAGCTTTTTGGAACTTTGTCAATAGAGTACAAAAATGTAAAAAAAACCAGTCTACTGGGTCTGGATGGGAAAGAGTTCACTCTTCATGTGTTAAGAGTCTTAACTTCTTGGTTACCTACAGTGTTTGAGGGGAATGGTGACTTATAGAACTAAAAACATTGAATAACTTATGTTTTACTATACAGATTTATAGTTGCACAAATCTGTAGTTGATATTTTCAAACTGTAATTACATTTTATTCTTATTTCTTTTTTTATTATTTTATTTATTTATTTATTTTTGAGATGGAGTCTTGCACTGTCACGCAGGCTGGAGTGCAGTGGTGTGATCTTGGCTCACTGCAAGCTCCGCCTCCCGGGTTCATGCCATTCTCCTGCCTCAGCCTCCTGAGTAGCTGGGACTACAGGTGCCCGCCACCACACCCAGCTAATTTTTTGTATTTTTAGAAGAGATGGGGTTTCACCGTGTTAGCCAGGATGGTCTCCATCTCCTGACCTTGTGATCCACCCGCCTCGGCGTCCCAAAGTTCTGGGATTACAGGTTATTCTTATTTCTTAAACACACCGTAGTGAACTTTTTTGTTTGTGCTATGTCATATAGTATTTTGACCAGAAATAAGGAAATTGAGTTAAAGTCCTGTTTCTGAAACTATCTAGCCAAGTGATCTTAGGAAAGTTATAATTTCTCTAGGTCTCAGTTGAACACTAGATTGGTGGTGAGATATCTTCAGATCTCAACAGTCTCTAAAATTCTGATTGATATTGACTGTATTCCTTGTGACGTTTTTTAAACAGGGCTTTCCTCACAATGATATTAAAGTATGTAGAACATTCCACGTAGGCATGGGCTTTCAGACAGATATATAATATTTTAGTTATTATTTTAAAGAAATTTTTATTCATCTGCCTTTGTTGCTAAGTGTTCCTGTGTTTATATATTTTTTCCTACTGAATTGTAGTTTTGTTCTTTTGTCTTTCCCTTTAAATTGACCCCCATAGGGCTTGTTCATCCCTATAATCTGTTAATAGACTCTCTCAATAAATGTATGACAGATGTAGTGGTGGAGAGAAGACAGACCTCCCAAAGATGTCCATATTCAAATCCCTGGAACTTGTGACTGTGTTACCATGGCAAGGGGAATTAGGTTGCAGATGGCTTTAAGGTTACCAATCAGCTGTCCTTAAAGAGGTTAGCCTGGGTTATCCAGGTGGGCCTAATGCAATCACATTGGCAGTAAGTGAAAGAGGGAGGCAAAGGAGTTAGAGTCAGAGGAATTCAATGTGAGAGCAACTTGATTGGAATTGTTGGACTTCAAGATGGAAGGAAGCTGCAAGGAATGTCGGCAGCCTCTAGAAGCTCCAAAAGTCAAGGAGACAGATTATCCTCTAGAGTTTCCAGTAGGATTGCAGTCCATCAACACCTGGATTTTAACCCAGTGAAATCCATTTTGGACTTCTGACCTCTGAAACTGTAAGACAATAAATTTGTGCTGTTTTAAGTTGCTAAGTTTGTATTATTTTGTTACAGCAGCATTAGGAAAGTAATACAGATGTTTAGTGCAAGGAACACCATGCAAGTTAATTTTAGAAATTAGTCTTCTGAAATGTTTATAAAATATATAAAGACAAGTTTTTTTTTCGGGGGGGCTAGACTCCCCCTTCTTTTTTTAGCTTTTTCTTTAATGAACATCAAGCAGATTTTAATGCTCATTTTGTGTGCTAACACTTCTTTGTCATTTTCAAGGGTAGCTTTTTGGAACTTTGTCAATAGAGTACAAAAATGTAAAAAAAACCAGTCTACTGGGTCTGGATGGGAAAGAGTTCACTCTTCATGTGTTAAGAGTCTTAACTTCTTGGTTACCTACAGTGTTTGAGGGGAATGGTGACTTATAGAACTAAAAACATTGAATAACTTATGTTTCAATTTATACTATTTGGATTCTGTAGAAGAAGAATTTTATTTAAAATAATGTTTTTGTTATGTTTATTTTAAATGATATTGAAAATGAATTACATTTTCTCAAGGTCATTTAAAATGAACTGATTCTTTATTGGGTGATAGGTGGAAGGCAGGAATTGATTGAATTCATACCTGTTAATCCCATATTAAATTCTTAAGGAGTTAGGAAGATCTGTGGTGGTTGTACTAATTCTACAGTTAAGGAAAGCTGAGAGTCAGAGAGGACAATTTAAGTGATGAGCTCTATTAGCTTATCTGTTTTATTGTCGAACCCTGAGCAGAACTTAGTCTCTGAACTTTAAATCCGGTCTTCTTTTCCTGTCTTGTAAGACAAAAATGGGAGAATTTCAGGCTTTTAAAATTGAACTTTAGTCAATGCTGTAGTTATGTAATTTTTATAAAGAGCCTACAATATATAGATTCTCTTATTAAACATGTTAGCCATTATAAACGCCTTAGGCAAACAGGCATTCTTATTTTATGGTTCAGTTTCTGAAGTTCCTACTCTTTTTTGTTGTTCTTCCTGTGATGTAAGTCAGGAGCAGTGGTTTTGGAAGAAAGTATAAAGAAGGTGCAAACATCAGAAAAAAAATGCTTGTGTGTTTACTAGAACAGCATTTGTATAATAAGAATTACTTTGTGTTTTTGATCCATGAAATATACACATTCATTATGGCTAAAAGGAAGGACCTAATTTAAACAATGTGATATCAATGTTGGTTTAATATCCTGATTTTTAAAGTCTTATATGACTTACATTTGATTTTTTTTTTTTTGCCTCTCTAGCCTTGTTAGAATTACATTTAATTTTGGTATAATAAATTCTGTTATATATACCTCCTTTTCTATTTTATATATTAATATTTTACTATTTTATTTTCTTGTAAGCTTAATTCTGTTTGTTTCTCTTTTGGCTCTGTGACTGATCAAGAACATATTAAATGTATAAAGTCTGAGCTTGTTATTTTAAATTTGTAATGTCCAGGTTTTGTTATAAATACCTTAGTGTCTTTCTTTAAAAAGAAAAAGAACAAGTAATAAGTAACTCACATAGTGGGGAGAGTAAAACCATTTTAGCTGAAATGGTTTAGATCTAGGATAATTATTTGGGGGAAAATACATTTTCGAGATTTTTTCATATTTTTGCTTGAATTACCTTTACTTTCAGTGCAAACTTCTGAAATTTGATGTAATGTACTCTTTATTCCTGTTGTAACAACCTCATAGATGTCAGGTTTTTATTTTACAGCTGAAGAGAATAGAGGCTGTTGGACATTTTTTTTTTTTTTTTTTTTTTTTTTTTAGGTGGCTGACCCTAGGACGTAAGCAGCAATACTAAATGTTGCAACTTGTGGTCCTATGTATTGTAACCTGTTGGAAGTAGAGTAATTAGTAGTACTGGTGGAAATCTTAAAAACATCAATATAAATAGGCAAAATTTCTTTTCTGATTATCAAGATCAAAAAAGGGAAGCTAAGGTCTAGGTGATGAGGTTCTCTATGTGAAGTCAGTTAATTTTCAATGAGCAGATCAGCGTTCTTATCTCTTCTCACAATAATGATTAGCAGTTCTTTGCAAAGGAAGTTTCAGTGAGTGCTTGAAAAATATGGGTCACTGAGGTCTGTCATGCGAAACTAAGTGTTGGCCTGGCATCTCTGGAACTCAAATGATGGCCAAGCAGGCTTGACTTCAGTGAAACAGGGTTTTAATGATTAAATGGAAATGGATGAAGTTGGTGAACAAATATAGTGACTTCAAAGCCTTTAACTTGGATTACTGGAGAATCAAGTGAAATATTTCACCACTGTGTTATCACTAAAGAGAATCAGTTCTGTGTGTGGTATTGGTTCTTTAAACATTATGTTCTACACTAAGGACCCGAACTGTCATTCCCAGTTAGATAGTGTTTGAATGGGAAGTAATGTTGAATTGTTTATTCTTAAAATTTTTTTTTATTTCCTTAATTATGGTTATTTAGATAATCCATCAATTATAGAATGAGAAGCCTATTTGTAAGATTGTGGAATTTCTAGTTTTCGAGTGTTGGGGGATAGTTAATATTATGACAAATTATTAACTTAGGGTGATTGCGAAAGTTATACCTCCTAGGTTGAGTTTAAAATGCTAGTCTCTTACTGTTGAATGTGAAACCTTGAATATGTCTAATTTTTATTGGCATGGATGTATGCATACAAATAGAGAAAGGTAAATTCTACTCATTTGCAGCTTCTCAGATATTCTGAAATTGCATTACTAGCTCTAAAATAAACATAATAGGTCAATTTGGTCTTGCATCGAAGCATTTTATGTAAGGAAAATGTATATTAAAAGTTATTGAATTTCTTGATGGGCCATAAATCCCCTTAGCATCAAAGTTTGCAGCTTGGTTAAGAGTATGAAGGAGAAAAGAAACTTGACCAAGAAATGTTACTTAGAAAATATTTGTATGGAGTTAAATTACCATAATTTCAATTCCTCTTATGCCAGATTTTGCCCTTAAAAGTGAAAAGCAATTTGATTGATAGAGCAGTTGATGCAGGCAGGCAGAAACCTTTTTTTTTAAAAATCACTCTTCAGATTGCTCATGAGTTTGTTTTTTTCTTAACATCACTTACAATATTATCATTATGTAAATATTTGCTGTGGAATCAAGTAGTATACTTGGAGTGATTAAGAAGAAAACAATCTTAAATTACTAAGTATGCAGTTCAAAAGGTAATGGCCTAGGCATCAAAGTCCGAAAGAGTGTCAGTTTTGTCCTTTTGTCTGTTTCTTCTCAGTCATATGAGGCTTCCATTTAAAAAGAATTCTCATATGTTTTTCTTGCATTACTATTTTTTATTCTAGTGTAACATCTTTTTAAGTGGTTTCTTCATATGAGGTGTGTGGTTAGTAGAATTATGGCCCCTAAAGGATGTCTACATTCTCATTCCAGGAATTCATGAATGTTACCTCGCGTTGTAAAAGGGACTTTGCAGATGTGATTAAGGATCTTGAGATGCAGGATTGTCCTTGATAGTTATTTTTTCTCTGTCTGAAGGATTTCCTTTAACATTTCTTATCCTTTAATATTCTCATTTTGCCTTTATTTTTGAAAGATGTTTTCGTTGAGTAAATAATTCTAGGTTGACGGTGTTTTAAAATTGCTTTTAAGATGTTCTACTCTTTTCTGGCTTGCATTGTTTCTGATGAGAAATTGGCCATCAACATTGTCTTTGTTGCCTTGTAGATAATGTGTATTTTTTTTCTCTAGCTGTTTTAAAGATTGTCTTTAACATTGGTTTTAAGCAATTTAGTGATATATGACAGCGTCTTTTTTTTTTTCATGTGTTCAGTGGAGTTCATTGAGCTTCTTGGATTTATAGCTTTATTGTTTTCATTAGATTTGGAATAATTTTAACCATTATTTATTCAAATATCCTTTCTGTTTCTCCTTCATTGGGAACTCCAATTACACATATATTCGACTGCTTGATGTTGTTCCACAGCTTATTGATGTTCTATTCAATTTTTTCCAGTATTTTAAAAATCACCATTTAACTTTAGATAATTTCTGTTGCTATGACTGTAAATCCAATCTCACATTTTTTTCTCACATAGACTAATGTGCTATTAATACTTTCAGTGCTTTTTTACCCCAAAGATGTAGTTTTCATCTTGAGAAGTTTAGTTGGGATCTTTTGAATATCTTAACACTTTTCAAATTTTTCTCTAGCTTTTTAAATACACAGTAACCTTTTTTTAATGTTCTTTTCTGTTATTCTAACATGTAACAATTCTATGTTGGTTTCAGTTAATTGATTTTTCTTCTCATGGCCTGTATTTTCCTGTTTCTTTACATGTCTAGTAATTTTTGATTAGAGGCCAGACATTGTAATATTACCCTTTTTGGTCCAGATATTTTCGTACTCTTGAGCTTGTTAAGGGATACAGTTAAATCACTTGGAAAGAGTTTGACCCTTTTATGTCTGTCTTTCTGCTTTCTCAGGTAGGACCAGAGCAGCATTTAGTTCAGGGCTAGTTTTACCTCCTACTGAGGCAAAAGCCTTCTAAGTTTTCTACCTGATATCCTGTTAATTATAAGGCTTTCTACTCTGACCATTGTGAACAGGAGGAGCTGTTCTAAAACTATGTGAGAGTTAGGATTATTTCCTATAATCCTTTCAGTTGGTTCTCTAGTAGTTTACTCATATGCATGGGTTGATCGGTACTCAGCTGCACACTCAAGGAGTAAGCCTGAACATCTCCAGAATTCTTTGTCCTTGCAGCTTTCACCTCTTTGCTATTCTGCCCTGCAAACTCTAGGCGTCTTGGTCTCTTTGGTTTCCAGGCCCAGTTCCTCTACTTAGAGAGACTTCTAGGTTCCACCTTGCTTCATGCTTTTCGCGTCACAATCTGTAAGTTCTCCTGGCAATAAGCTGGTTCAATTGTATGATTATTTTATTTGTTTCCCCCCAGGAATCGGCATGCTTTGTTGCTTGTTCGGTGTAAAACCACTCTTAAATTTATGTTTTCCATTTTTGAGTTGTTTTCAAATGTGAGGGTAAATCAGGTCCCATTTTCTCTATCTTGGCTGGCAGAGTATGTCTCTTGCCTATGAGATCTTAATCTTAACTCTAAGCAACATTCTTAGTTTCTTAGTTCACAGGTGCTGCTGTAACAAAAATTCCCTAGATTGGGCAGTTTATAAACAACAGAAAATTATTTCTCACGGTTCTGGAGCCTGGGAAGTCCAAGATCAAGGTGCTAACAGTATAGGTGTCTAATGAGGACCTGTTCCTCATAGATGATGCCTTCTAGCTGCATCCTCACATAATGGAAAGGGCAAGGCATTTACCTGGGTTCTCTTTTATAAGGTCACTGATCACATTTATGAGGGCTCTTTCCTTACACTTTAATCACCTCCCAAAGTTCCACCTCCTAATACAATCACCTTGAGAGTATGTTTCAAAAATGAATTTTGAGATGATACAAATATTCAAACCATACAAATATTCAAACCATAGCACTTAGGATTGCCTTTTGTGGTACTTGTTGCTGTTGCTAACTTCATGATGTGTTTTAATTAATAACCACCCCCCCAGGACTTTTACTTTCATAATTGAGCCCCGAAAAATAATGTATTTATATATATTTAGGAGATTTATAATGACTTATCTGAGAGTCTGTAAAATATAGCAGAAATCTCAGTGTTCAGTCACAATGCTGAGAAATACTAAAATTAAAGTTGTAAAGGATTTACAGAACTGAAAAATGGTAGCATGCTTACTCACTTTTTGCATGCTAAATTTATTTCTAGGCATTTGTGTTTTTTTTTTGGTAAGTAGATATTGTAAATGAGATTGCTTTCTTGAATTGTTTTTCAGCTCTTTCATTATTGCTTTATAGAAATGCTACCAAATTTTGTATTTTGATTTTGTGTCCTACACCTTTATTAAATTCATTTATCAGTTCTAAGAATTGGTGGAGACTTTAGGTTTTTCTGTATATAAGATTATATTGTCTGCAAACAGAAACAGTTTGATTACCTTGTTTCCAGTTTGGATGCTCTTTCTGTTCCTTAATTGTTCTGGCTAAGCCTTCCAGTACTATGTTGAATGTGAGTGGTAAAAGTGGATATCCTTTTCTTGTTCCAATTCTTAGAGGAAAGCCTTTCACATTTCCCTTGTTCAGTATGGCGTCAGCTATGGGGTTGTCATGTATGGCCTTTATTGTGTTGAGGTACATTCCTTCTATGTGTAATTTGTTGAGAATTTTTATCATGAAGGGATGTCGAATTTTATCAAATGCTTTTTCTGTGTTTATAGAAATAATCATTTAGGTTTTGTTCATTTTGTGATATATCATGTTTATTGATTTGCATGTATTCCTGGGATAAAGCCCACCTGATCATGTTGTGTAATTTTTTGATGTGTTGTTGGATTTGGTTTGCTAGTGTTTTGTTGAGGATTTTTGCATCTAGGTTTATCAGGGGTTTTGGCTTGCAGTATTCTTTTTTTTTTTGCAGTGTCTTTGTCTCGCTTTGGTATTAGGGTAATGCTGGCCTCATAGAATGAGTTAGGAAGAATTACCTCCTCTTCAATTTTTTGGAGTGATTTGAGAAGAATAAATGTGAGTTTTTTTATAAGTTTGGTAGAATTTAGCAGGAAAGTCATCCATTCTTGAGCTTTTCTTTGTTAGGAGACTTTATTACTGACTCAATCTCCTTACTCATTATTAGTTTGTTTAAGTTTTCTATTTCTTCCTGGTTCAATCTTGATAGGTTGTATGTGTCAAGGGATTTATTCATTTCCTCTAGGTTTTCTAGTTTGTTAACATAAAGTTGTTCATAACAAGCGCTGATCTTTTGTATTTCTGTGTTATCAATTGTAATGTCTTCCTCTTTTATTTCTGATTTTGTTTATTCGGGTATTCTCTCTTTCTCCTGGTTAGTCTATCTAGTGGTTTATTGATTCTGTTTATCTCTTCAAACAACTGTATTTCGATTTCATTGATCTTTTGTATTTTTTTAGTCTCTATTTTGTTTATTTATGCTGTGATCTTTAAATTTGTTTTTCTTTTACCGACTTTGGTAGAAGGAAAGATTTGCTTTTGCTTTTTAAATTCCTTGAGGTTGTTCATTTCAGGTCTTGCCACTGTTTTGATGTAGGTGTTTATTGCTGTAAACTGTTTTCTTAGTTCAGCTTTTGCTGTATCCCATAGATTTTGGTATGTTGTGTTTGTATTTTAGTTTAATAATTTTTTTTGTTTTCTTCTTAATTTTTCTTCATCACTCTACTGGACTCTACTGGTGTTCAGGAACATATTTTCATTTCCATTTATTTGTACAGTTTCCAAAGTTCTTATTTATTCCTAGTTTTATTCTATTGTGATATGATTTCAATTTTTAAAAATAGGTTGAGGCTTGTTTTTGGGTTATTATCTGGTCTATCCTGGAGAATTCTCCATGTGCTCATAAGAATGTGTATACAGTAGCTGTTGGATGAAATGTTCTGTAAATGTCTGTCAGGTCCATTTGGTCTGTGATGCAATTTGAGACTGATTTTTGTTGCTGTTGATTTTTCTATCTAGATGACCTGTTCAATATTGACAGTAGAGTGTTGAAGTCCTCAACTATTATTGTATTGGGGCCTGTCTCTCCCTTTTAATATAATAATATTTAGATCTATTAATTCATGCTTATGTATCTGGGTTTTCCAGTGCTGGGTGCATATATTTACAATAATTATATTTTCTGGCTGAATTGATCTCTTTATCATTATATAATGACTTTTTTTCTCTTTTTATAGTTTTTGACTTAAAAATTCATTTTATCTAATATAAATATAGCTACTCCCATTTAGTTTTGGTTTCTCTTTGTGTAGAATATTCTTGTTCATCCCTTCATGTTCAGTCTGTGTGTTCTTTATAGGTGAAATGAGTTTCTTATATGCATATAACTGGGTCTTGTTTCTTTTTTTAAAAAAATCTATTCAGCAACTCTATATCTTTTATTGGAGAATTGAAACCAACCATTTATATTCAGGATTACTATTGATAGGTGAGAGCACACTCCTGTTATTTTGTTGTTTTCTGGTTGTTTTGTGTATCATTTGTTCTTTTCTTCCTCTCTTATTGTTTATCTTTGGTGGTTTTCTGTAGTGATAGGGTTTGATTCCTTTCTCATCCTTGTGTATCTGCTCTGTCAGTTAATTTTATACTTTCATATGCTTTCATGATGTTAAATTTTGTCCTTTTACTTCCAGATATAAGACTCCCATAAGCCTTTCTTATAAGGTTGCTCTAGTGGTAATGGATTTCTTCAGTTTTTACTTGTCTAGAAAAGACTTTATTTCTTCATTTCTGAAGAATATTTTTGCTGGGTACAGTATTCTTTGCTGGCAGTTTTCTTTCAGCATTTTGAATATATAATACCATTTTCTTTTTGCTGGTAGCATTTCTGCTGATAAATTTGCTGTTAGTATGATGGGGAGTCCCTTTTTACTTCATGCTTTTCTCTTGCTGTTTTGAAAATTCTCTCTTTGTTTTTGACTTTTGACAGTTTTCAGTAATGTGCCTTGGAGAGAACTTTTTTGAATTAAATTTACTTAAGGATTTTTGAGCTATCGTATCTTTTCCATGACTTGGGATATTTTCAGCTAGTATTTCATTAAATATATTTTCAATACCTTTTTCCATCTCTTTGTTGAATTCCTATAATGCGAAAATATGTTCACTTATTTGTGTTCCATTGTCTTATTGGCTTTCTCCATTCATTTTTATTGTTTTTTCTTTTTATTTTGTTTGACTTGACTATTTCAAAAGACCCATTTTTATCTTTAGAAATTCTTCCTAGAAAAATCAGTCTCTTCTGCTTGATCTAGTCTATTGTTGAAGCTCTTAATTTTGTTTTCTTATTTCATTCATTGAATTCTTTACCTCAATATTTCTGTTTTGTTCTTTTTTATATCTATTTGTGTTGAATTTCTCATTTAGATCATGAATTGTTTTTGTTTTCATTGAATTCTCAGTCTGTATTCTCTTGTATCTTGCTGAGTTTTCTTAGGATCATCATTTTGAATTCCTTTTCAGGCACTTTATAAATTTCCTTTTTTGGTGTCAGTTACTGGAGAATAGTTTTCCTTTGGAGGTGTCATATTCCTTGCTTTTCACTTCTCTTGTGGTCTTACATTGATATCTGTGCTCACTGCTTCTGATTTTATGTAGTTTTTGTAAGGATAATTTTTTTTTTCTGTTTATGTGTCTTGTAGTGCTGGTTTGGTAGAGTGTTTTCATTTTAGTTCTGGATTGGAACAGTATTGTCTTCTTGTGCTTTCTTTGGCGTATTCAGTGTCAGCTGTGTCTGCAAGTGCCTCAGTGGCCTGGGCTGTGGGTGTTTCTGTAGGCAGTGGCACAGCTTTTTTGGTGTGGGGCCTGCCAGGCAGGCTGACTCTCAGGTCCTTGGGAGCGTATAGGGGCTCCCTTGGTCTTGAGGGTAGTCTCCTCTCTATGCTGGGCCACTGCTTCTTGGTATACAGGTTGCTGTATGGGCTTGCATGCCTGAGTCATTGCCGTACCACTGGGTTCAGGGTGGCATCATTGTGCTGCAGCCTTCTCTGTAGGCATGGTGAGATAGTGGAGGGGTCACAGGGATATGGAATTGCAGGGATATTAGGCCCCAGGGAAAGATGCACTCTGGTAGTAGCTCATCTCTCAATATGGCTCTGTGCCGCAGCAGCCTGGGTCCTGGGGGTTGCGGGGGAGACCCAGCATGAGTTTTCTCTGGGGAGCAGTGCAGCCATGTTAACTTTAGGCAGCTCCCTGTACCCTGACTAAAGTGTACTCCGCTTAGTCCTCTGTGAGGACTGTGGGGCTTTCCTATAGCAAGCATTGCAGGCATCCATGGTGGCAACGGAGGCTACCTCTTACCTTTTCTCCACAATGGAGAGTTCCTCTTGGTTCAAGCCAATCCTTGCTGGATGCTTTACTTCCTTCTCTGTGATACTATCCTGAGTTTTTGTGTCCAGAGGCTTTTTGCCACTTCCTTGCTAACTTGCAGTGTTCTCTCTTAGACATTCTACTCAAAGTGCAGTTATCTCTTTGTTGTTTTGGTTCTTTGTGGAAGAGGCTAGCACTGGACACCTCCACTCAGCCATTGATGATGACATGTTCTTTGCTTTTGACTACATGTACTTTGAAAATCAGAGACAAAGGGGTGTTTTAAAGTTTTCCTTTCATGTCTCTTAGCAACAGCAAATAAATTTTCTTTGGATTGCAATTTTATAAGTGATAAAAATGTTTAGCAATATGATGGGGTGATTGAAATTTCTTGATAAAAGTTGCCAGTTTTTCTAATGTTTGCCGTGAAAAGTAGATTGCATATTTGAGTACTCAAACACATATATTTAATTGCTGATAGTATCCTATGCCACATTTTATTTTGTACGGCTCTTTCTTTTGTCTTTCAAGTAGAAAAATAAAAGTCTTGTGATATTTTGTGATAAATATGTGACCAAAGTTGAAGGAGAGTGAAAGCTGAACACTATATTTTAAGCTAATCTTAATTTAAAATATTTTTTGTTTTAACTTTATATTTTTGTTATAAATTTACATACAACATAGTAATTTTGAGTATTGTTTTGGTCACTCTTCTTTTTCCTTTTCTTTTTCTTGACTGTTTAAAAAATTAAATGGTTTTGAAGGAAAGTCACAGAATGCTTTGCTCTCATTTATTGTTTATTTTCCATGGCTATAAATCAAGTCCATAAATGAGAAAATGGTTTTGGCTTTTTCAGTGAGGCTTGAAGTGCTTGCTGATCATGGTGTCTGAACCAGTGGGGCTGTCCTTGGCTTTACAGGTGGCAGGCAGTTAATATTGATCATCTCAAATATCAGCAGTATATCTGGCATTTTATGGATGAAGAACCTATTTTATGGATGAAGAACCTAATATTCAGTGAGATCACTGTAAGCTGCTCCTTGTCACTCAGTGAGCAAGAGGTTGATTTTTTGAACTTCATGACAACTATGACATTATGCTGTTTTCTACCTTTTCCCCTTGGACATGGGTAGAGACAACTATTACCTGTTCAATTGCCCCTTGTTCATTGTTATGGAGGTCAGTGTACCATCATCCAGAGGAATCACTGGCCTTTCAATTACAGTCCCAAACTAGTCTGTTGGGATGTCCCACAGCTTTATAAAAAGAGGCTATGAAACCCATTTGATATGAATTTGGTAAATATGGTTATAAATGGTTCTGGCTATTTATTTGAGAAAAATCTACAAAATGGGACACTTTTAGGAATAATCCCTTTTTTATTTATTTTGGCAATAAGTTAAAAATATGAAATAATATACTTTTAGGCATAATTTTGTCCTTTTCATTTTATATAATATTGGTATTAAAGAGGAATAGGAAAGAAGGAATTACTCAAGAATATGACGTCCCTTTTTTTAAAATTATTTGATTTACCTATTTACATTTTTTGCTTCAACTTACCTAGCCATCAGAGAAACTTTTATTGTAAGCCAAATCTTCCAACACTTCACACTCACTGATTCATCTCCTGGGTATCGTGAATATTCTGACCATTTATATCAGTGAAAAAATTTGTATGTTTGCAAATTGATAGAGATGCATTTCATATTTAGGATTTTATTAGCTTTTATGCTTCATCTATGCTATTTAAGCAGGTAGGCACATGTGAAAAACTGATATCAATTAGCCATTACATAATTATTTTGCATCTGTTATGTCCATGTGCCTAGGAACACAGTGTGAATAAGCCAGGCCTAGACCCTCATCTCTAAAGACTTGCAGTCAAGGAATTGCAGGAGCTTTTGGAATGTTGAACAGATGCTGAGCAGAGCCTCTTTTCATCCTGTCCTCAGAGGAGCTGGTCAGTCAAATCTGCCAAAATTCTCTGCCTCTGTGTAGCCTATTCCTTGGGGGTTTAGGAAAGAGGGCAATAATCCTCTGAGTCAGAGAGCAGACCATCTCTCATCCTTCACAGCAGCTGGATGCTACTGTCTCCCCTTGCCCCCCCGATGTATGCCCTGGGCGGACAGTACTAAATATAATGGAAAACCAAAATACTTAACTGGAAACCTTTATCATATTAATTAGATCTCTCTTTGCTTCAGGCTGTAAAACTGATTAGTGTTCTCAAAGTCCCTGAGAAGACTTTGCTATCTTCTTTGACTGATCTATGAAGGAAGGGGTAGAAGACTGGTTGCAGGGTAAGGCTGGCCCAGTCTAGGGAAAATCTTTTTTGTTTTTTTTGAAAGGTCAATATATTTTTTAAAAATCCTTTATTTCCATAGGTTTTTGGGGAACAGGTGGTGTTTGGTTACATGCATAAGTTCTTTAGTGGTGATTTCTGAAATGTTGGTACACCTTACCCAAGCACTGCACACTGTACCCAATTTCTAGTCTTTTATCCCTCAGCCCCATCCCACCTTTTCCCCTGAGTCCCTATAGTCCATTGTATCATTCTTATGCCTTTGCATCCTCATACGATGTTTGGTTTTCCATTCCTGAGTTACTTCACTTAGAATAATGATTTCCAATTTTATCCAGGTTGCTGCAAATGCCATTTTTTCATTCCTTTTTATGGCTGAATACTAATTCAATGATGTGTGTGTGTGTGTATATATACATATACACACGTGTGTATATGTGTGTATACACATGTACACACTTGCATATGTGTATATCTATACATGTACACACGTGCATATACATACGTGCATATGTATATATGTATAGATACAAACATGTACACACACACCACATGGTGTGTATATATATATTCAATTATATATATACATACACATATATATATACACACACATATATGTACACCACGATTTCTTTATCCAGTCATTGATTGATGGGCATTTAGGCTAGTTTCATATTTTTGCAATTGTGAATTTTGCTACTATAAACATGCATGTGCAAGTATCCTTTTTGTATAATGACTTCTTTTTCCTCTGGGTACATACCCAATAGTAGGATCGCTGGATCAAATGGTAGTTCTACTTTTAGGTCTTTAAGGAAACCACACTGTTTTCCACAGTGGTTGTGCTAGTTTAAATTCCCATCAGCAGTGTAAAAGTGTTCTCTTTTCACCGTATCCCCATCATCATCTATTATTTTTTGATTTTTTTGACTATGGCCATTTTTGCAGGAGTAAGGTTGTATCGCATCATGGTTTTGATTTGCATTTCCCTGATCATCAGCAATGTTGAGCATTTTTTCATATGTTTGTACCCCTTATCTTCTGATGTGTTTGTGAGAAAGGCCCTTACTTGGAATGTGTGTGCATTCTTCTGTTATTCACGATTTCAGCAAGCTTGCTTACCTGGTGTTTAAGTCCACAGCTAACCAGAAGTGACACAGTAGAGGCTTGGAGAAGGGATATTTAGGCCACTTACTCTCTGACATTATAAGTATACAGCACAGTTGAAACCTGATGGGAGAATAATAAAAAGGTGTAAAAACCTGAAAACTGATTGTACTCTGGTAATAGGAGGTAGAGAGGCAGCGGCAGCTGTGCAACTCTTTGGAGGCCTGCAGAATCATAATTCACGTGCATAGTGGTGGGTTAGGCCATGTCTCTTGTGCCTTAGGAAAGGTGGGGAAAAAGTGTTTTAAAATGTCACAGAAAGCTTTCTATGCTTAATGGTTTACTTACATTTTGTTGTTGTTTTGCTTAAGGGTATAAACTTTAGTTTTTTATGGTGGACTATTCCCAGACCTGAGGTTTTAGTGTACATGTCATTAATCAGCCTCTCCCATAAGCTCTCAAAAATTATTTGGATGATTTTTTCTCCCTTTAGGAAAGTTATGAAGAGAAAGAAAAGACAGTGATTTGTCATCTTTTAGGGGAGATATATATATATGTGTGTGTCTTTTAGGGGATATATATATGTCTTTTAGGGGATATGTATATGTGTTCTAGGAGATAAATACATGTATGTCTTTTGGGGTGTATGTATATGTATCTTTTAGGGTATATATATATATCTCTTTTAGGGGATATATATATCCCCTAAAATTATATATAAAATATATAATTTCCCATCCCCCAATTGGCTTATTTGACTTTAATGTTTCAGCATACTTTTTTGAGCCTCTGCTGAATGCTGTGCCTGTAATTGCATAGCTAAGACCTTAGACAGCCACTGTCAGTTTAAAGTCAATACTTAAATACTTATAGTTAATAGATTACTTATAATATAGCATTTATAAAGTTCCTGCTATCTAGAGACTCCCTGATCAATTGTGCTTGGAAGTGTGAATACCCAGGGAAGGCAGTGACGTCATCTGATTCTCAAGTAAGTGTCTTAAGGGACTTACTTACCTAGGGACCTGTAAGTGCAGAGGCTTCAATGTTGGAAAGGGCATGGTATATTTGGAGAAGACTGGGAGGTTTATGTGATCAAAATGCTCAGGGGACAATGGGGAGGGAATCAGAAAGAAAAAACAGTTAAAATCTTCTCTCCTGGAGTGATCATTTTGCAGTCAGTGGCATTCTACTCCCAACAACTTTCTGGCTATCTGAGTTTAGGTAGTTTACCTTGATTTCCTCATCTGTACAGTCAGTGGTGCTAACAGTGAGACTCCAGTCTCTAGGAGAGCTTTTCTAAGGACTAGATGAGGAGATACAGAGGTCTTGAGCACACTGCCTGAAATTAAGTGCTCTCTACAGGTTATTCTCTCCTTTTTCTCGTTCTGCTCAGGACCCCTGGTGACATCCTTGTTACTTTCATCCTGACTGACAGATGCCAAGTAGAGCCCTAGGATTTGATACGAAAGGGCTGGCTTGGGAATGCCTTTAAGTAAGCAACATTTGGTTTGCTCCTTCAGAGAGTTCTCCTTGAGATCACCACACTCTAAACCTGGGTCACATTTGTTCCAAGGCCTTCTAAAGCTAATTCTGTATTATATAGCACTTATTTTAATGTTCCAGTGGGTTATCTGTTCACCTCAAAGATTAAACTGAGAACTCCTTCTGGCAAGAATGAAAGGAAAGGAAGAGGGGTTGTTGGCCAGCAAAAACAGAATAGAAGAGAAACTAGTGCCCAGAACGCCCACATCAGCACACCACATCCACTCCAAGGAGGCTTTTCAACCCCAAACATCCAGCCAGGGTTTTTAGGTAAGGATTGGTCTTTGTGTTCAGTGTTTGTCTTGGACATCTTCACATTTTTTCCTACTCCTGTGCTCCACTCCCTTCTCCCCCTTGCCTTCCCTCAACTCAGTGGGTTATTGGAAGAAAGAAGGCAAGAATCACATCTGAACACCTTTTGTAAGAACGACATGATATTACCAAGGCCTCTTTAAGGAAGGGGAATTTGGCCTCAAAGCCAACTGGCCTCTTGGCTTGCCATGGAGTGGGTTTGGAAGCAGCTACTGCTCAGGCTTTCCCTCCTTTACCTTTTGTGTTCCTAAGGAAAGATTTTTGTAAAAAGACAAATGAAGACATTCTACTTCTTGGGGTTATTCCTAAGAATTTTCAGCTTGGGCCCTTTTAATTTTTCCCTTCTCTAAATAACAAAGGTAGGGAAATGAACCTGGACAGGTTTGATAAAAGTACACTAGAAATGCTGTTCATGTATGTTTAAAAGTTACATTGAAAGGGAGAAAACAGCACTTCAAGTTAAGTAAGTTACATGTAGAATGCAGTCTTTACATCTAATAATATTCATTTGGAGATGGTATGACTCAATGTTCGTCTACAGTTTCCTGGAAGTTCTTCAATCTCAAACCTCTTTAAATTATACAGTGTTGCATTTTTCTTCTTGTTGCAGTTCACCTCATCACAAGGAATATATGTACATGCCACAATACTTAAACATGCAATTAAAATGGAATGTCTTTTTAAAAAGTATACTTTAAGTTCTGAGATACATGTGCAGAATGTGCAGGTTTGTTACTTAGGTATACACATGACATGGTGGTTCGCTGCACCCATCAGCCCATCATCTACATTAGGTATTTCTCCTAATGCTATCCCTCCCCTAGGCTCCCACCCCCTGGCAGGTCCCAGTGTGTGATGTTCCCCTCCCTGTATCCATGTGTTCTTGTTGTTCACCTCCCACTTACGAGTGAGAACACGTGGTGTTCGGTTTTCTGTTCCTGTGTTAGGTTGCTGAGAATGATCGTTTCCAGCTTCTTCTATGTCCCTGCAAAGGACATGAACTTATCCTTTTATATGGCTGCATAGTATTCCACGGTGTATATGTGTCACATTTTCTTCATCCAGTCTGTCATTGGTGGACATTTGGGTTGGTTCCAAGTCTTTGCTATTGTGAATAGTGTTACAGTAAACATATGTGTGCATGTGTCTTTATAGTAGAATGATTTACAATCCTTTGAATATATACCCAGTAATGGAATTGCTGGGTCAAATGGTATTTCTGGTTCTAGATCCTTGAGGAATTGCCACACTGTCTTCCACAATGGTTGAACTAATTTACACTCCCAACAACAGTGTAAAAACATTTCTATTTTTCCACATTCTCTCCATCATCTGTTGTTTCCTGACATCAGGAATGTTTTGGGGGAAAATATTTCTGAGAGTATCCCTCAGATAAAACTTCGGGAACTATAAGTTGTCAGTTGCAGTAAGCAGTACATAAGCAAACATTACTGCCTAGTGAGAGAGCATGAAAGTCAATGAATTTATTTGTTCTGATGAAGAGCCTTCGTTGGGAAATTTATTTAAAGACAATAGATGTAGTATCCAGTTCTGATGTCAGGGTTAGAGAAATTATCTTTGGCTAAGGTTATCTCCTATTTTGCCCTGTAACATTGAAATGCATGCTGTTATGTGATGCCAGCATGTGCTTTTCCTGGCTTGCTGCCCTCTTAGGTTTGGCCCTGGCAGATTGAAAGGTTCTCCAAGTTGGCCAACCCTTGTGATGAACTCTTTGAGCATGATAGGCTGGAGGCGGTGGCAGGAGCAGCCAAGATGACTGGATTCTGGTGTTGAAAGAGGGTGAAGTGAAACTATTCATAACAGATGCAGAGTTACTTACTTCAATTGATCCCATCTTTGTAGGCTTCTTTTCAGCTTTAGAACTGCTTCTTACTTTGGCTTTGTATGTTTATCTTTCCCTTAACTTTCTAGTCATAATATATTTGAGTCAGCAGAGCTTGCAATTTGTGCCTAATTTGCACAAATACAGTTTGGAAACTTAAAGGTCAGGGAAGTTATGTGCAAATAGGAAATTTAACTTAAACCAGAACTGTGTATTTCCGAGACCTGAACCCGTATAACCTGGAATCACTAAGCCAACTGCTAATTTAGCATTGACACAGCCTAAACAGAAACAAATGGGTAGCAAGTGTAGTTTAGGGTGAATGTTTTGAAATCATTTCTGTTTGGGGTTTGTAAAAATAAAATGCTGCTGATCTTGTTTTGCTCTTTTTGGGTAGAAATGTTTGCTTGATTCTGGTCATTTTTAGTACCCAGCAAAGGTATCCACTTCACCAGTTGCTCATTTCTTTACCATTGCTGTGTATCCAGTGCATTCTAGACTTGGTTGCAGCTCTAGATCAAACAATTTGATTTGAGAATCTGGCTTCCCAGTTTTCTTATTTTTGTTTCATAGACCGCAAGATTTTAGAAAGGCATGCTGACCAGTTCTGAATGGTGTCCTAAGAATTCAGGGACTTGCATAATTTTATTGGAAGAAAACTTTGTTTTCCCTGGGCCTATCCAAATACCAAGCTCATGGAAGAGGCTTAAATACTTTTTCGTTGCAGTTAGATAATCAGGTTTTATATTTTTATTTATATAATTTTTATTTCCAACTTTTATTGTAAGTTCAGGGATACATGTGCAGGATGCACAGGTTTGTTACATAGGTAAACATGTGCCATGGTGGTTTGCTGCCCACATTGTCCCATCACCCAGGTATTAATCCCAGCATCCACTACTTATTCTTCTTGATTTTCTCCCTCCTCCCACCCCCGCCCTCCGACAGGCCCTGATGTGTGTTGTTCCACCCATATGTCCATGTGTTCTCATCATTTAGCTTCCACTTGTAAGTGAGAACATGTGGTAGTTGGTTTTCTGTTCCTGTGTTAGTTTGCTAAGGATAATGGCCTTGAGTTCCATCCATGTCCTTGCAAAAGACATGATCTCATTCCTTTTTATGGCTGCATAGTATTTCATCATGTATATGTGCCACCTTTTCTTTATTCAGTTTATCATTGACGGGCATTTAGGTTGATTCCATGTCTTTGCTATTGTGAAAAATGGCGCAGTGAACATATGTGTGCATGTGTTTTTATAACAGAACGATTTATATTCCTTTGGGTATAAAGAAATGGGATTATTGTGTCGAATGGTATTTCTGCCTCTAGGTCTTTGAGGAATCACCACATTATCTTCCACAATGGTTGAACTAATTTGTACTACCACCAACAGTGTAAAAGTGTTCCTTTTTCTCCACAATCTCGCAAGCATCTTGTTGCTTTTTGACTTTTTAATAATAGCTGTTTTGACTAGTGTGAGATGATATCTCATCGTAGTTTTGATTTGCATTTCTCTAATGATCAGTGATGTTGAGCTGTTTTTCATGTTTGTTGGCCGCATGTATGTCTTAAGAAGTGTCTGTTCATGTCCTTTGCCCACTTTTAAGTGGGATTTTTTTTTCTCGTAAATTTGTCTAAGTTCCTTATAGATGCTGGATATTAGATCTTTGTCAGATGAATGGATTGCAAAAATTTTCTCCCACTTTGTAGGTTGTATGTTTACTCTGTTGATAGTTTCTTTTGCTGTGCAGAAGCTCTTTAGTTTAATTAGATCCCATTTGTCAATTTTTGCTTTTGTTGTGACACGTCTTCATCATTAAATATTTGCCCCTTTCTATGTCCTGAATGGTATTGCCTTAATTAAAGACTTGTTTAATCGAACTGATATGGACAAGCAGTACACTATTTTTATAGATGATCTTGTTGGAAGCCAGATTTAAGGAGATTGCCTGGAGACTAAAAATACATTATTTTCATGGGGATTTCATTTTTAATCTAGTGTGAAAATAGTGTTGATATGAGCAAACTTTATTCAGTGTTGTAATTCCTCAAATAAAATATGCATGAAATTGAAAAGCACAAAAGTCTTCAATGTTTATCTCTGTCATCTATATCTATGTCTACCTGTAGATATATAGCACATATCTATATGTGAATATATAGAGAACAATGCTAGAATGATAAAATAGCAACAGGGATTATATCTGGGAGATGGGAAATGTGAGAACACCAGATAGCCAGAGGTAAACAATACTACGCCTTTGATCCCTCAACATGGAATGAAATGTGGTGAGCATTTTCCATTGTCATTAGGTAGTCTTCGATGGCATGGTTTTCTGTTATTATTTATTCTGTTATGTTGTTATGTTATTATGTTGTTATGTGATATTCTGTCATATAGGTATTTTGTTTATCTTGGTGCTTAAGAAAGCCAAAGTAGATAATTCATATTTGACTTTGGATCCTGTGTTTTCTAAGTTTTTACCTCAAACAAAATGATGACACAACACCTTGATGTGGCCTGAATTTTGGAAGCTGCATGTTCTTCCTGCTTGGCTCTCTCCCATTCTGCCTCTACTTTCTCTTCCCTCTCTGCTTTCTCCAGTTGTAAATAGGACTATCTTAGTGGTTATGCACTGCCAACTTTTGTAGCATTGGGTTCAGTTTATAGCATGTGTAAGTGGTCAATGAATGTTTCTTCCTCTAAATACTTTTCTTACAAGAAGAGGTAGTTAGATTTTCATCCAACACAAACTCCAATCTGGCTTTTGTCATTACTGAAGATACTGATTTTGCAAGGCAGAATTCCTGAAGCTTTTGAGCCCTTTCTAGGCAGTTCTTTGCGGTTAGATGACAGTGCTGGATAAGAAGGAATAGGTATTTCTCAGGCCCAGATGGTCTGAAAGAGGTTTTGCTAATGCTCCTAAACCAATTTGATGGATTATAATTCTTTGTTTCTTTTGGGTAAGCATGAAGAGTGTAATAGATGGCAAGGTAAGGGCTGTAGGGTTTCTCTTCAAAGACTTTATTAGGCGGTGTGTAATAACCAAAGCAAATCTCGCAATGAATTCTGCCTCACATGCAAACCCTTATTAATGAGCAGGGCCCAGTTGTATGACTGTTCTCTAATGTCAGTGAGGTGCCTGCTGTCTGTCCTTAGGGTACTCTAACAGATCTGTGCATGAGATGTTTATTTGAAGCAGAAAGGGAAGTTGTTCAAGCAGCGTGATTGACTTCTGATTATTCTTCAGCATCAAAGTCCTAAGCTTAAGGGTACTAATCCTAAGGGGTTGAGGCATTGGACATTTTTGGTTTGTAGACCCTGTTTAGTTAAAGGCAGGAGTACCCTATAGTATTTCTGACCACTCTACATCTGGCAAAATTCACATTTACCCATGAGAAATAATTTTTAGCATCCATTTTGCTAACTAACAAAGCCTCCGTTGTTTATGACAAATAAAATTTGGAGTCCGCTGACTCTGGAGTGTGAGCCTCCCTAGGAAGGCTTTCACATACTCATGAAGTACCTCTGGGGTATGTTCTCAGCTGGAATAACCCACCACTCCTGGGAGGAGGGTCAGAACCATCCTACAGGCATTTGTTACATGCACTGTGCTGAAGTGTTTTAAAGATAATTACAGACAGCACAACAGAAGGATGTTTTGTGATTCTTCTGTGTGAGAATCAGATTGGGAGATGGATTTGGACACAAAAATGTTGAAATATAAGGAACATTTTTGTGGTTGATGGGAAAAATTGGAAACACATTTGATGTTAAGACTGTCCTGGAAAACCCAGGACACGTGGCTACCAGAGAACAGGCTCTTTCAGTTTGCTTTTTTCTGGGAAGTGAGATAAAAATACCAAATGCAGTGTGATAAACTTTTCCTTCCCATAAAATATACATGTATTGATATGTTAAAGTACTATGTGTTCACAAATACAAGCTTAATTTTATACATATGCATAAGTATTAAAGTGTATACAGCTCTTTCACCTTCAGGAACAGTTTTCAAGCATTTTGATTTCAAGCCCCTTTTACATTTTAAAAATTGTTGAGGATCCCAAAAGAGATTTTATATGTTTGGTTTATAGCTATTGATGTTGACTATATTTTCAGTTAAATTGAGACAATTTTAATAGATTTATTAATATTTTTAAAAATAACATAAAACTTACTGCATGTTAATAAAAAATTGTTTCACGAAAAATTCCCTATTTTCTAAGACAAAAAATTCAGTGAGATGAATGATATTGTTTTACGTTTCTGCAAACTTCTTGTGTGTCTGGTGTACAAGAAGACAGCTGCATTCTCATTTCTTCTTCTGCATTCAATCTGTCCCTCTCACTCTTCAGGTAGCCTCTGAAAAACTCTGTGTACATTTGTGTGAAAACGAGTGAGCAAAAAATGACTCAGTATAATTTTAGAAATTATTTTGACCCCTCAAACCTTTTTTTTTTTTAATTTTACTTTAAATTCTGGGATACATGTGCAGAACGTGCAGGTTTGTTACTTAGGTATACATGTGCCATGGTGGTTTGCTGCACCTATCAACTCATCATCTAGGTTTTAAGCCCCACGTGCATTAGGTATTTGTCCTAATGCTCTTCCCTCCTGTTGTCCCCCACTCCCCAACAGGCCCCGGTGTATGATGTCCCCCTCTCTGTGTCCATGGGTTCTCATTGTTCAACTCCCACTTATGAGTGAGAACATGACCTTGCAAACCTTTTAAAGAGTATCAAAGATCCCCGGGTCCCTGGATGACACTCCGCACACTGCTCCGTGGTTTCAGTGTTCTACCACCCATTGTGTTATTTGGTCCTAATTGCCAGCCCTGAGAAGTCATTACTATCTCCATTTTATAGTCGAGGCAAACTGGGATTCCAGAAGGCTTGCCTTTGAGTATTATGAAAGTTCCACTAGTACTGATGCAGCCAGTTTTTATTTTTATTTTATTTAGTGTTTAAAGGTTACAGTCTTATTGCCTTGGAGATTTATGAAGTAGTTTTTTTTTGGTTGTTGTTGTTGGTTTTTTTTTGTTAAGAAATAGGGTCTCGCTATGTTGGGTAGGCTCTCCTTGGACTCCTGGACTTAACGCGATTTTCCTGCTTCAGCCTCCTAGGCAGCTGAGTCTGTAAGTGTGTGCCACTGCTCCAGGCTGCAACCAGTTTTTAAATGAGAGTCTTCTGATGGCTTTGTTTCTGTGATTGTTCCTTTTCAATGTATTACCATAAATTGTATTTACCTTCTACTTAGAATTCAGGGAGAGGGAAGCTTTTATCTTTTATTTATGCAAGTTCACAATAGAAGTTTGCAGAGCGTTATAGCTTTGGATGATTTTTCAGACATTTTCATATCAGGTTTTAATCTGTAATATTTTAATATTTGAGCATTTATGCTAAGAATAAGTGATAATATTTTACAATTTTTTGGTGTGTGCTTTAAATAGGTTATTTGAGGACAGTTGTTTTATTTTCTCACTTTATGTGGATTAAATGTCACATCTTTGAAGAGCCGAGTGGATTTGGCAGAGTGTCACCTAGCCCCTAATTAACTGTGTTTACACAGTCCACAAACTTGTGCCCTCCATGGAGGTCAAAGCAAATTTGCCTTCCAAACCTTTCAGGAACAACTCTGTTATATAGAATCTGAGTTTTAAAATTTCAAAATTCCAGTGGAATGATACTTTTTGTATGGCGTACTGATCCTGTAATAGTTAATACAAGTGAATAGTGAGAAAAATGATAATTACTAGAAAAGCAGCAGACATACAAAATAAAAGCCTGGATTTTTATTTCATTCCACATGCATACAACTACCTTTTCAAGTTACTACAAGAATTTCTAAATACTCTTTAATTTCTGTATCATTCTGTATTATCTGCTTGCTCTCTGGGAACACACGGTTCATGTACAAGCAAGGATCGCACTTTGAATAGCACTGATGCCCATTATTGCCACTGTGCATTCCTGCATAATTCAAATCTGGAATTTTAGCTGTCTTACTTCGTGCCTCCCATCCTCAACTTCAGTTTAAACTAGAGAATTATTTGTTCTTCTCTGCCTCCCCTCCCAAAATACTTAAATGGTGTTATACATTGTTACAAAAGTGAGGGAGATATGTATATACAAAATATACTGTTTAAAAGGATCAATACTGTTACAAAAAAACCGCACTCAAATGTAAGTTCAGATGACATTGTTCTGAATCTTATTTTCCTCACTTAATAAGGTATCACTTCTGGCTCACTTGCTTGAGGGGGACAAAATAATGAGAGAGAAAGAAAGTTATCCCAGATGTCTTGAGTTAAGGGAAAGGATGAGTGATTGCTTATTTTTTTCTTTATGGGATTCTTACATAGTTGTTTTAACGAAGACTTGTGGATGAGGGGAGGAACAGAGCAATAGCTGGTCAGAAGTGGGAGCAGCTGAGAAAATGAGGGAAAACAGAAACAAACTGTCGGGCCAGAGGCAGAGGGGGCTCTCAGAGACAGAGAAAGCAACTTTGATCAGATGAGGTTGGTTTCCACAATGTCCAGCTATCTGCTGGACCTGTGATCCTCACAGTCAGTGCTGGGTTTCCCTGAGCACTTACCATTCAGTGGGTGCCTACCATGTGCTAGACAGGGGAGGTTCCTTTTCACACACCTGCACTTAACCCTCACAACAGACCCAAGAAGTGGAATGAGAGAACAATGAGGCTCACAGGGGTAAAGTATTTGTTTAAGGGCACCAACTAGTAAGTAATGAGACTGGGATGGGAACCAACATCATTCTGATGCCAAAGCCTCTTGCTTTTTCCAGATTTGCTACAAATTTAAAAGATAGGGAGTCGAGACTGAGGAGGGCCCATGAAGGAGCAGTAATATGCCTGGTACATTAGCCCCTGTAGCTTCCTAACAATTCCTACAGTACTTCTCCAGATAAAGAATATGGAAGACAGTGAAGTATCTGTTTCCAGAAACATTTTTGAGGAAGTCAGAGAGAGGCCAAAAGGGACTTAAGTTTCTTCAGAGAGGAAGTTGAGAAACTCAAGTATAGCAAACCACTAATGCCAGATGTTATTTATCCAAAGGTTTTTGGCTATATTGCAATACTTTCTGGATCTCTGCTAGTTCTCTGCAATCTTTCTGAAGCTGCTTTGAGTTTTGAAAATATACATACCTGAATTTGAAACCATGGTCATTTAATCTAAAATATGTCCTTAAAATCCTAAACTCTTTGTAATAACAATGGTGGAAGCACAAGAGGAATCATTCTCAATGACTATTTGAAATATTATTTTATTCTAAGTCAAAGAAGTATTTCTGATTTGGTAACTGTTTCAGCTAGAGCAAGCTGTGTTTTTGCTTTAAAAATTGCATTTAGCCCTCTCTATGTGCAAATAGAGTTTCTTTCTTAAATTTTTAATTATTATTCCTCAATGGAAGGCTGAAAGGAGATTTCATTGTATTATAGCCCTCATTGACTTTTCTCTCTAAATGATGACAAAAGCTTTTAAATTTAGTTATAAGGCAAAAAATACTTATGGACCTGTAAAGTGTGTGAAGAGGTGGGTGGGGGTAAAGACAATTAACATTTTCCCTTATGAAAAGGGCTGATTTGTGATATAATTTCTCTATTTATCCTTCATTTCCTGTGTGTCATTTTCAGCAACATTTCAACTTTAATATCTTGACTTTTGATCATTTTTTCCTCTTCACTTGAGAGTATTTCCGAGTTGTTATTTTTTGTTCCTGAGACTTTAGTCAAAGAATCTCTTCTACTTGTTCTTTTTATTTTTCTACCAGTATACTGTGTGATCTACCTTTGTCTTTTCCAACGTCGGGCCCACATTGTATTTCAATACATCACCCTAATTGATAGAAAACTTGCGGGGATGTATTGTTCCGGCTAATCCATTTTTCCTCTTAATAAAGAATCATGAAGAAACTTTATTTTCTTTTTTGACTCTGACTGTTGAAAATGTTCCTAAAACAATAACCCACATTCCTGCCTTAGTAAGCACAGTGGATATGATTGACTCCTGATGGCCGAAAACCTTGTAGTGTTTGAGAGCAACTCCTGCAGATATCACTTCTTCCCAAATGTATGGTAAATTGAAATTTGAAAGAGGTGGAGGTAAACAGCTTCTGGCATAATTGCGAGAGAGGCACAGGATCTCGTTACCCTATCCCCTCGCCCCTCATCAGAGAGAAACACCATAACCCCTATAAGAGCCATGCCCCCTCTCCCACCTGTGTGTGCAGGAGTTCAACCTCCCTTCACTTGGAAGTGTGCAGAATTCTCTTCCTTTGCTGCTACTCCTTGAAAGCTAGCCCTCTGTGCCCTCACCTCTCGTACACATAAAGGGGGAAGGCATACCTTGGCAGTGCCTTTTAAGATAGTGAATGGCCAGGAAGTGGCTATATGAAACAAATCCTCATGATATCTAGATTTCTTATGAGTTGATTTCTCATGAAAGTTCTGGTTCATAATGTTTCAGACTTGTGCCCTGTTGAGAATTGATGAGGAATCTAAAGGCCCCCTTCATATATAATACCACTGGTGGTCAGCCCCACTGAAGCCCCACTGGGACCTAAGGCCATGTCCCTGTTGAGCTCACAGCTGCAACGCTGTCACCTTGGGTCAGTTGTGCCTCTGGCTTCCTTGCGACATTCCTTAGAACTGGCTTGAAACTGAAGCTCAGTGGGTGTCCACAAGGGCAATAGTCCGCTCCTTGCTGGAGAGAAGACACTTTAACTTTATTTTTGGGTTATGCTGCTTACGTAAGTAAAATTAAATATAAGTAATTATTTTTTCCTGCTGGTGCTGACGTGTCACACCCACAGTAAAACTAGAATTGTCTTCACCAAAGGAATGGCTTGTGTGCGTGCAGGCATTATTCATGGTGAACACCACAGCGTTAACAATCCACGTGTCACCATGATCAGATCCCGGAGCCACGCCTACTGGGGCATCGGTTTTTCCTAGCCTCACTAGCTCTGATTTTACAATCCATCCCCTGGCAGAGAAATTTGGGGCTCTCCCTGGATGTCAGCAAATCACTGCTGGCTTGTAACTACCAGGTGGGAAGTGTTCATCCCTAATTGTTCCTAATTTTTGAAGTAATGGGAGTTTTCTTTTTTCTCTCCTACTGCTGAGCCTGTGAAGTACTTCCCCTACTCAGTTGGCTGAGTTAATCTGCTCTCAGAGAGGATGCAGGCTAATTTAGCATAAAGGGAGTATGATTAGAAAGGTAAGTTTACAGGGCAAAGAAAGCACTGGAAGTCTTCCAAAGTAGAAAAGAACAGCTTTTTTGGATTATTCATTTTTTCCATAATAGAATATATACTCTAGCTTACTCTCAGTCACTCCAGTTTAGTTTCATGGCTATGTGAGAAATAATTATATTACATTTTGCCCTAAATTTTTTTTTTTTATTGTGTTTAAGAACACTTAACAAGAAAGCTGTCCTCTTAGCAATTTTTTTTTTTTTTTCCAGACAGAATCTTGCCTGTCATCCAGGCTGGAATGCAGTGGTGTGATCTCAGCTCACTGCAACCTTCACCTCCTGGCTTCAAGTGATTCTCCTGCCTCAGCTTCCCAGTAGCTGGGATTACAGGCACCCACCATCACACCCGGCTAATTTTTGTATTTTTAGTAGAGACAGGGTTTCACCATGTTGGCTAGGTTGGTCTCGAACTCCTGTCCTCAAGTGATCTGCCCGCCTCTGCCTCCCACATTGCTGGGATTACAGGTGTGAGCCACTTTGCCTGGCCTCTCTTAGCAAATTTTAAGTACAGGTTGAGCATCCCAAATCCCAAAATCCCAAATTTGAAGTTCTCTAAAATTCAAAACTTTCTGATTGCTGACATGATGCTCAAAGGAAATGTTCATTGGAGCATTTCAGATTTCAAATTTTTGGACTTGGGATGCTTAACTGGTAAGTAAATAATGCAGATATTCCAAAAATCTGAAAAAATCCAAAATCTGAAACACTTCTGGTCTCAAGCATTTTGGATAAGGGATATTCAACCTGTATATAATACATTATTGTTGACTATTGGCACAGTGTTCTACAGATCTCTAGAGCTTATTAGAAGCTCTTAACTTAAACTTCATGCTTGTTGATTAATAACTTCCATTTCCCTGGATATTATGCTATGGAGTTTTTGGCTCTACCTGCTACCAGCTTTCCCTTCCCAATATCAAGCAATATTTTTATTAAATTTGAAAACCTCAGTTACCAATGGACTGCAAACAAACTCAGTGTATGAAGGAGCTAGTGGTTTTTAAAGCTCAAACCATATCAGAGGAATTTCATGTTTAGTAAATTTTAAAGTCTCCTTAGGATGTCTTAATGATGGGAGTAAAAACAGAAAAAATTATGTGACAACCTTTGTATTTTATTTAGAAAAGGTTTTAATCAGGGAAGAGGGGTTGGTATTCAGGTTTTGAAGTTATTTGTGTGTGAAAACTTACTAGATATGTCTAAGAATTTTATTTTCCTTTTAAAAATTAAATGATGACTTTATTTCTTGGTGTTTCAGTTTTCCATACTTATAAAGCAAAGGAAATAATAAGAATCTCTTTGTAGCTCTGCTTTTATAAGGATAACATAAAGTCTCAGATAATTGTGCCTACTACTCCTGAAGGAATTATATGTTGAGGCCTCTTTTTAAAAGTGTTAACTATTTTGAATAGTAGTGCTTTGCTAAATTTTGGTACTTAAAACAGAGCCACAAAAATTAAGTGGTAATAGTAATATTTATATTTAAAATATGTCAGTTTATGATGATATTAAGTTATTCAGTGGTCAGTTTATTCATCTATATACATGCTTAATATTATTTTTAAATGTTGTAGTGTTTTTGATCCATAGGATTTTGACTTTTCACATGCCTCTGTTTTATGATCCTTGAAAAGAAAAGAAAAAATCAAGGCACAACAAACTTAAAAAGCAGGAATTTTGTTCTATATTGGTGGAGAGGAGCAAATAGACTGATGTGAGATGTTAGAAATATTTAGGTGTTGACATCAATTGATAGATGTTGGTTATTTATCATACTGTAGTCTTAGTTAACAACATTAACGATCCACGTGTCTGTGGTCAGATCCTGGAGCCTCGCCTGCTGGGGATCGGTTTTTCCTAGACGCAATCATACTGTATTATAAATAAGAGGGAGAAAAGTGCTAAGGGGACCCCCTCCCTCCAATTTGGGAAGATTGAGAAAAGCACATCTGTTTGTTTTCAATGGATGAAATATGCACATGGCAAATTTCAGAAGATTAAAAAAAATACTTAAAAGTATATTAGTATTTTTTTCTCCATTCCTTTAATCATCAAATTCCTCTCTATCTCTCCTCCCCCATGTTACGATAACGGATTTTTTCAGGTTATTTTGTCCTCTCTCCCACCACCCCAAGGTCATCTGTGCATATACATGCATATGTATGTGTAACCTGTTTTGTTTTTAAAGCAAAATTGTAGCATTCTCTGCACTCTTTCCCTAGCTCCTTAGCTTTCAATTTTTGAAGATTGCTCCTTCTTAGTACTCATCCTTTCCAATATCCAGCTGGATGTACTAATATTATTTGGCTAGTATTCTCTTAGTGGACATTTCTGTTGGTTTTAGTGGATGTTAGGTTATGTGTATATTGAATTTCAAATGATATTACAGAATTGCTCTCTGTAAACTCTCCACTTTATATTTACAGCAATAATGAGTCATATTGCCTAGTTTTCTACATTCTTACTAACATGATGTGGTCTTTTTGACCTTTGTTAATCTAATAAATGAAAAATTGTATTTTAATGTAGTTTAAGTATTTCCTTTGAGGGAGGCTGAGCATAAATGAATACCTTTAACTATCAGGGTATTAGACTTGATCACCAACCACTCAGGTCCTTTTCTTTCCAGTTTATATTCTCTGTATTGATGGTGTTATAAATTCTTATTAGCTTCAGTTACTATCCACTTAGATGTCTCAAGGCCACTTGTATTTCCTATTGTTGCTGTAATAAATTACCACAACCTTAGTGGCTTAAACCAATACAAGGTGATTATCTTAGAATTATAGAGGTCAGAAGTCCAAAACAGATCTCACTGGGCTAAAATTAGAAAGTTGACAGAGCTGCGTTCCTTCTAGAAGCCCTGGGGGAGGTTCATTTCCTTGTCTTTCTCCAGCTTTTGGAGGCCACCTGCATCCCTTGGCTTGTGGCTCCTTCCTCCATTTTTAAAGCCAGCAGCAAAGCACCTGATTCTTCTGCCTTTCTCTTCCATCTTTTTAAGAACTCTTGTGATTGCATTGAGCCTACTCAGAGAACGCAGGATAATCTTATTTTTAGGCCAGCTGCTTAGCAATCTTACTTCCATCTGCAACCTTTATTCTCCCTCAACATGTAACCTAACATATTCATAGACTCCAGGGATTATGATGGAGGGGCCGTTATTCTGCCTACCACATGGCTTAAACTCCACATATCCAACACAGAATTCCATCACCCCACCCTAAACTTAGTCTTCCTCTAGTGTTCTGTGTCTTAATAAATGGTTCCTCTATCAGTTGAAGAAATAGATGTCTCCGAGTTGTTATTGTTGATTCTATCTTTGTCTTCCTCGCTTTCTAGATATAATCTATCATGAACTTTTATGGATTCTGCTGCCAAGGTAGATTTCTTAAAATTTTTTTTTATTTCAATAGGTTTTTGGGGAACCTTGGTGACATTTGGTTATATGGATAAATTCTTCAGTGGTGATTTCTGAGATCTTGGTGTACCCATCACCCAAGCAGTGTGCAGTCTTTTATCCCTCATCCCCCTCCCACCCTTCCCCTCGAGTCCCCAAAGTCCATTATAACATTCTTGTGCCTTTGCGTCCTCATAGCTTAGCTCCCACTTATAAGTGAGAACATAACGATGTTTGTTTTTTTCCATTCTTGAGTTACTTTACTTAGAACTGTGGTCTCTAATTCCATCTAGGTTGCTGCTAATGCCATTCTTTCTTCCTTTTTTATGGCTGAGTAGTATTCTCTCTCTCTGTGTGTGTGTGTGTGTGTGTGTGTGTGTGTGTGTGTGTGTGTACATACACACACATACCACATTTTCTTTATCCACTCATTGATTGATGGGCATTTGAGCTGATTCCATATTTTTGTAGTTGCAAATTGTGCTGTTATAAACATGTGTGTGAAAGGTCTTTTTCGTATTATATAATGACTTCTTTTCCTCTGGGTAGATGCCCAGTAGTGGGATTGCTGGATCAAATTGTAGATCTACTTTTAGATCTTAAGGAATCTCCACACTGTTTTCTACAGTGGTAGTACTAGTTTATACTCCCACCAACAGGATGGCCTTAAGTCATCCTCCTGCCTTGGCCTCCCAAAGCTCTGGAATTATAGGCATGAGCCACTGCACCTGGCCACTTTTTCTTCATAGCTATTGTTATGGTTTGTAATTGTAACTGTTTTGTTGAGTAGTTAAGTATCTCTACTCTGAATGTAAACATGAAACACACACACACACACACACACACACACACACACACACACACACAGTTTTTCAGTATTTTTTCTCACCTGCGCTATGTTGACATTCCCATTTCTGTGAGGTAGAATGTAGCATATTTCTTAATGATATCTCAACCAGATTTTATAGCTTTCCTTTATCGTTTCAGCATTTAAGACTCAATCCTCTTTATTTTACACCTTCTGTCTTCAAATTGGGGAAGGGAAGAAATGACCTCTCCCATGAATTCTGTTGTCCTCCAAAGGTAACCATACCCTGTGTTCTGAGCCCCCTTTTTGGACTGACTGAGGTTTGGGTGAAATGATGGTTGGTGGAATTAGGGCCGGTTCTGGTGCCTCCTACTAAACTCTGGGAGGAGGTGACTTCGGCAATATCTGGTGCGCTCCTCTGACTGCTCTGTGAATGTATATTGTGATGTGCTTAGGTCTGGGCCTTTGCTATAATTTCAGGATATGAGGATCATGGCTGGGATGCTATTACATAATTTGTTTTTGTGATTGTCAGAGAATTTTCCTTTTCCTCATTACACAGAAAGGTTCGTGAGTACAATAATGTATATCTATCTTTTCCCTTCATTTGTTTCTCAGTGGAGTGTGACTAGCTGTTCCAGTTTGTCCAACACTGAAGGGGTTTCCAAAGACATGGGACTTTTAATGCTGAAACTAGGAAACACCTGGGTAAATTGGGATGAGTTCATTAGTGTATTGCAGTGCCTTTTTTTTTTTTCTTAGCACAATGACAGTGACTGACAAAATGGTTATACAACATTTTTTGAAAAAACATGAGTGCGGAAGAGTTTTACAAAGACTAACCAGTCAAGTTATAAATGATTATAACCAATATTAATGATTGTGTATTTTTGTTTTACTTCATTAATAAAAATTTAGCATAAATAAAATTAGTCATTGTGCAGCCTCAGCTGTTTAGTGATTAATTTCCTTCACTTTAGGTTTCTAATTTACAATTATACCTGGCAAGTGGTAGGGAGTTGTACAGGTAGAGTATGAAAAGCAGAATTCAGTTGACTTAATGCTTTGTGAACCGGATCAATAATTTATTTGTAGTGTTGAATAAGACTAACATATTTAGGTAGCATTTCAGTATTGCTATTTTTTTCCCTTTTATTTTGAAAAGTTGTTTACTTTGGCAAGCAAGGCTTAGGTAGTCTGTGTGGTCTGTTCCTGTCCAACTGTGACACAAATCTTTGTGTGGCCATTGTCAAGTCACTTTTAAAAATCAGGTATGATTCAGTTGGTTGGTGCTGGTCACTTTTGAACAGTTCCTAAGGACGGGTGCTATCATTAGAAGATCCAATGATGAATGGGCCTCAACTCACAGTAAGTTTATACTTAAGGAAGTGATTTATACTATTTTCTGAATATGGTGATACAAATTAGGGTAAAAAAGATCAATGCTTATATTTTGATAAATTGAGAACTATTTTCTTTCTAGTTTCCCCTCCTATTTTTCTTTTTCCGTGATTGCAGTCTTCGGCATATGTGTGTCATACACCTCACAGGGGACCAGTGGATCTCATTGTGCATTCTCCCTCCTCCCCCAGAAAAACCTTATACTTCCCCTTTTCTTTAATAAGAAAGCACTGTGGTGAAGTGTGCTTTATGTTTTTTAGTGGAGTAATCAGAAAATGGATTATCTCAGATATGGACTTGTGAATTTGGTATAATTTCTTAATAATTATTAAGTTCATTTAATTGTAACAACTTCATATATTGTAGTGTAGGTATTATTCTCCCAATGTGTGACAGATGATGACGTACCTTCAGAGAGGTGGCCAAGGTAGATTGTGGTTGTATGTTAGCAGAAGTAGCACTTTTATTCTGAAAGGTAGGGGCTGGTATTCTACACATAAAATACACAGTATGTTAGTAGCCACATGAGTAGCTAATACTCATTTTAAGTGTTTTCCTCCAGCTAAACTTTATCAATTAAGAGACACTCTCACCTTATTATTTACAATTTTCTACACTGGAAAGTGATAGTTTATACATGCCAGTAGTAGAAAAAAATGTAAGCATTTGTAGTTTCCTTCGTGAGGACTAAATCCATTCTAAGCAGAATCCTAAAAATGTGACTTCCTTCTTTGATTCTTTTGTTTCTTAACCCATTTATTCATCCATCCATCCATCCATCCAGTATTATTATTATATGTCTGCTACATTTCAGATATTGTCAAAGATTGAGGGATTGGTGGGTCAAAGAAATGAGGTGATTAAGACCCAATCCCTGTTTTATATGAAGTCAAGCTCTACAAGTTGCATGTTCTTGGTAATCTCTTACTGACTACCAATTGACTTTCTAAATATTTGCTGAGTACTTTCTCCGTGTCAGGCACTGCTGTTAACAGTGGAATACAAAGTGAATAAGATTCATGCAGAGTACTTCCTGTAATACCAGCTACTCGGGTGGCTGAGGCACGAGAATCACTTGAACCGGGGTTGGGGGCGGGGGGGCGCGGAGGTTGCAGTGAGCGGAGATTGTGCCACTACCCTCCAGCCTGGGCAACAGAGAGAGACTCACTCTCTCTCAAAAAAAAAAAAAACAAAAAAAAACCTCATACAGAGTTCCTATGTTCACATATACATACCCACACACACTATATCCACAGACATGCATACTACAGACTACATACATATACATGCAAATGAATATATGTATACATAGGCAGAAAGCATGCAGTTACATTCCCATAAACATATGGATATCATCTGGAAATATGTATGTTTATGTGTCTGCAAGTGCGTGTAAATCAATGAGCTCATTGAACTGAGGGTGATTTCAGGAATCAGGCATCAACCAATATTATGAACTTGTAGCCAGGTTCTTCTCTGGCCTCGTTTGCCCATTTGTTCTCTATGGGAGAGACACAGGGATTAGTTAGCCTGCTGACAGCTATGGGTTTTGTGTGTCCTGTGCTGAGGATAAGAATGTTCTTTACTGTGGGTGGCCTAATTAAAGCCTCATGAATATTGAGTGCCACGTATGTCTCATATATAATTTGTGCAGCATGAATATTTAGTGCCTCAGGTGCCTCATGCATATTTAGTGCCTCATGAATTTTAGAAGCTTCTTGGTCCTTCCGTCTTCTTCTGTGTTCATGCATACGTGTTCTGCTTGCTTTACCTAATAGGTTTCATTACTTATCTATGCTTAACACATTTTATGAGCTTCATCTATCCCATGTATTTTCCTGTCTTATTGATCATAGTTTCTTGTCCTATTAAGCAGAATTGAATTTTCTCCAGCACTATAGCAAATTTACATTACATCTGTCCATTTGGAAAGCCTATGGCCCAGATGCTTTATGGAAAAGAAAGCTATTTTTAATATTCAGAATTTCAAGTCAGTACATACACTTACAGATATTTTCCAGTGTAGGACTTTTCGTAAAATCTTTAGCATAATAAAGCTCAAAATTGATTTAACAATCTAGAAAAAGTATTCTTGAGGAATTCATTCATGCTAGTTTATGGTTTTGCTTAAAGCTTGTGGTTGGAGATGGTAAGGAAGGAGAAGGTAATATTCCTTACTGGCTTGGGGGTTTTGAACTTTAACTGGCCAGCTTTAGCCCTCTATGTTGTAAACATTTTTGATGTAGTTACAATTCAAAGTTATGGCATATGGAAATGTTCTATTGTAGGATAAAGTGGCGGAGTAGTATAAATAGGGTTTGGCTGGCTAAAAAGCTCCATTTATTCTGACTTTGAGTCAGTTACCCATTAAGCTTATGGGTTTCGAGTAACCTAGGGGTGTGTTTAAGGTTAGTAGTAATTGACAGGGTTGTTTGTATTTTCTGTGTATTGTGGGAGGAAGTTCATTCCATTTCATGATTAATGGTCAGGAAGGGACTTCTAGGATTTGGTGTTTCATCTTCCACCATTGAAGAGGATCTCATTTAGATTGTTGAAGAAGATATCTTTGAACAGACACATCAGCCATCCTGCATATATTTAGGGAAGTGGTACACAAAGTGGTTCATGTACAGAAATGCTTTTCCATTGTGATTGACACCAAAATAAACTTGCTGAAATTGAAGAATCATAAAAAATATATGCTCTATGTATCTTATTCCCTTCAAATATTAGTATGTATTTATTCATGACCCCTGCCCCTTTTATTTACAGGGACAAGGCCTTTTCTGAATATGAGAGGCTGACTAGAAATATGTATTTTGTGATTATTTATTTGACAAACACATTTGGGGACAAACACAGTTGAACCTTGGTAAGTAGATGATACATCTGGTGGTGGGAGCAGAGGTGCTGGCGGGTGCATGGGTGTATCTTGTTAAACCGAGTATTTGGGGTCCTCATATGCATCAGTCACTTTGTTTTACAGGAAGGGAGAGTGGCAGTGATGTGAAGGTTGAAACTGTGTTAGAGCTGCTTCTGCATTTCATACTTTCATTCTTTTTTGTCTACCTTGAATTCCAGCTTAGATCTCTACTGCATGCCAGTGATGGAGAGGGAAGAAAGGCATTTCTTGTATTGGAGGCTCTTGTTTGTGGCATTCTGGAGCCATTTAAACAGGCAGGGGCTGGCAGCCTGAGGACTGTTCTCTAGTGGATCCAGCTCCAGAGGGTGCTGTGCACACGATGTCACAGGTACCATGTGGCTTTAAGGTAGTAAAAACGCATCCCTATGTTGCTTTGAGTATACAAAAATAGTTAACATCCAATATCGAGTGCCAGGCCCCAGGCTAAGCACACTGCGTGAAGGAGCACATTTGATTTTCATGGCATTGGATGGCATAGCAGACTTGGCCACACCTCTTGCGACTCACCATCCTGTGTCAGGATGGCTACTGCAAGCACCAGGTAGAGTGACCAGCTGTCTCCCTTTGCCCTGATCTCAGGGTTGTCCAGAGAGTCTGAGTTTTTAGTGCTAAAAGGAGGGTGAGTTGGTCACCCTAGTCCCTGTGACTGCTGTCCAAGGACACCGGCAGCCAAGGAACCTCTCTCACAGTGGATGCTGCCCTCTACCGGTGACACCGGTGACGGTGATTGGTGGGTGAATACCATCTCTGCAGTCTCCGAGAGTTCCCCTGCAGAATTCGTCCTGTGGCCCACAGAGAGAACCCACTCACACGCTCATCCATGTAGGATTCCCTCTTTGCTCTTTTGCATTTCACTTTCTCACCTCCCTACCAGCGCCTCCGGGGATCACCTTCTGCATAAATGACTTTCACTCAGGTACTTGTCACAGGGTCAGCTTCTGGGGGAATCCAGTCTAAAACACATGGGTAGAACTGCTTTACTACCATTTCACATAAGAGGAAACTGAGGTGTGGGGAGGTTAAATAATTTTGCTCAAAATTGTACAGCTGGCACACAGAGCTAATAATTCTTAGTTATTAAGTTATACAGCTTTACTTTTTTTTTTTTTAGTTTTTAATTTTTTGAGACAAGATCTCACTTTGTCACTCAAGCTGGAGTGCAGTGGTGCAGTCATGGCTCACTGCAACCTTGAATGCCTGGGGTCAAGCTATTCTCTTGCCCCAGCCTCCCAAGTAGCAGGGACTAGACGTGCATGCCACCATGCCTGCTGATTTTGTTCTTTAATTTTTGGTAGAGACAAGGTCTCGCTATGTTGTCCAGGCCAGTCTTGAACTCCTGGTCTCAAGTGATCTTCATGCCTCGGCTCCCAAAACAATAGGATTACAGGCATGAGCCACTGTGCCCAGCCATTACAAATTTTTTAAATTATTATTATTATTTTTTTTAGTGATGGGGTCTCATTATGTAGCCCAGGTTGGAGTGCAGTGGCTATTCATAGGCATGGTCATAGTGCACTGCAGCCTTGAACTCGTGGCCTCAAGCGATCGTCCTGCCTCAGCCTCCCGAGTAGCTAGGACCATATATGCACACCCCTTTGCCTGGCTTAAGTTATACAGCTTTTGTTCCTATCCTCACCCATGTGTATTTATTTCCAGGAAATCTACAATTTCATTTATTCATATGGGATTAACAATAAGCTATCATCAGTCCAGTGGGGTTATGAATGGTATGTTATTATTCTATCTCTACTAAATTCATTGAGCATGGAGCAGAAGTCTTGATTTTAATGGACTTAGGGGAGTTTGATGGGACTGTTTTTATGAAGGAGAAATTTGTCTTTTATACATAAGTTGCCAAAACCAGTGCTGTTGCTGACTAAGGACTAAGTGCCTATCCCTTGCCTAGCTATGCGCAGTCTGGCCTTGACTGGAAGCAGGAATCGTGACATCTCTGACCAGATTGGATGTAAACTGCCTGCTTGTGCTAAGGAGTTGTGTCTGCTGGTTCTTGGCTCCCATCCTAGAGTTCTCTATGAAATGACTCATTATAAGGAAGTCTATTAAAAACAAATCTCTCCCCATTTTAGAGTATCTCTTAAAATTTCTTCTTAATAAGAGAATTTTGGTGCTTTCAGTTCCAGTTAGTGCCAAGAAATTTGAAGTGTGTATTGAAGAAGGCTATGATAATTACAGTACTTGAATTTCTTGTAAAGATAGATGCTTTGGGAAGTGAGTGTATTTCCCTTTTATTTGAAAGACAGAAGCTTGGAAATTCTACCAGACTTAAAAAAAAATTTTTCTCTCACTGCAAATCCACAGCCTAATGGAAAGTGCTCCAAGTTTCTCTAGTGAAAGTGGCTTCACTTACCTCAGCATTTAAGATCCTTCCCCATTGTTGTAGTTTTATAGGTATTTTAGATTATCTATTTAAAAAGGCAGCTGCCTGTCAAATGATCCACATAAATAAAATAAGATTGTGCAGAAGTGTAGAATATAACCACATGCCAATCCTTAGGAAACAGTGGGAAATGTTTTACTTTAAAAATGTAGGGTTTTGCTTTTACAAAACTGATCTTTGACCACCGGTTCTCTCAGGCTTTGCCTTTTCTAGTTCAATGATCTTTTCTACTAGTTCCCCCCTCCCTTCCCTCAAAGGCCTGAATAGACACTTCCCAGTTTGGGAAATAGACCTTCATTAGTTACACCTGGCTCAGCATTTTTTTTTCTTTTCTGCACATCTGCTTAGCATCATGTATTTGAAGGTGCCACATACATGTTTGCTAACGTTGCTTTAGATGCTGTTGAGTCATAAGAAGATAAGCAGTGCTAGGGAGGATTCAGTCCAGCTTGATATTCTTCTCCACAAGTGTGACTTGGGTAGGGAAAGGGGGACACTTTCTTTGGTCAAGACGGAAAAACAGATTCATGTTACCTGTCATTAGCATAGTAAAAACTATGGGAAATGTCTTAGTCCATTCCGGCTGCTATAACAAAATACCATCAACTGGGTGGTCTATAATGAACAAAAATTCCCACTTCTGGAGGCTGGGAAGTCAAAGATCAAGCGTCTGGCCTTCAAAGATGTGCCTTCTCTGTAACCTCACATGATGGAAGGGGCAAAGGACCTCTCTAGGTTCTCTTTTATAAGGGCACTAATCCCACTCTTGAATGCTTCCTCACATGACCTAACCACCTCCTGAAGACCCCACCTATTGATAAGTATCATTACCTTGGGAGTTAGGTTTTCAACATATGAATTTTGGGAGATACAGGCATTCAGACCACAGTGGAAAATTAAGCTTAACTGATGGGGAGATTTAGGAGATGCAGTGAGAGAGCTTTGTTGTGCTGTGTGCTCTGTTCTCTCAATATTATGATTTTAGGAAGGCCATTGCCTTCTCAAGAGTTTAGGTATGTGCTGCAAGCACTCAGCTTTTTATAATTTACATCCTTCCTCTACGGATGGTTGAATGAATGAATTGCTCTGAATTCTTGTACCTATTTCTATTTCTGGCCTGTGCAATTGAGTTTAATGTTCGCTAACCACATATAAAGTTGTGCTTAGCAATGTTTCTCAAGTGGTGTTGTTTATTGTTTTTCTAGATTATATAGAGTAATACAGAATATACTTTCCAGAATATGACACATCTTTGTATTCTCTCCATACCTTTTATAATTTTATAAATGTGATTTTATAATGTTTTTAACTTATCCTTGCTGCAATGAAAATTTCCACAACAAAGTTTATTAGAGGAAAAACATACATTTTACTTACTGTATTAATTACCCTTATTTGAAGACGGTTTTTTGTTATGTGTTGTGATGAGAAATAACAAGCAGTATTCCCTGTATAGCCGAGTATTACTTTTGGCTAAAGTTAGGATAATGTTCTTTGCCCTATTTTGTCATTGCCCATTTTTTCTTCTTGTTAGGGAGGCAGAGGTGGTGGTGGAGACAACTGGGAACAGCTAGAACTGAGTTAATATCTTTAGAGAATAGTCTGCTATGACATTGTTTTTGTTTCCCTCTATAAACCCTTCAAATAATTTTTAAGAAATTCCTCTGGGCCAGTCGCAATGGCTCAGACCTGTATTCCCAGCACTTTGGGAGGCCGAGGCAGGCGGATCACGAGGTCAGGAGATCGAGACCATCCTGGCTAACACGGTGAAACCCCGTCTCTACTAAAAATACAAAAATTAGATGGGCGTGGTTGGTGGCGGGTGCCTGTAGTCCCAGCTACTTGGGAGGCTGAGGCAGGAGAATGGCGTAAACCCAGGAGGCGGAGGTAGCAGTGAGCCAAGATCATGCTACTGCACGCCAGCCTGGGTGACAGAGTGAGACTCCGTGTGAAAAAAAAAAAAAATAGCTGGGCCTGTTGGCGTGCACCTGTAGTCCCAGCTACTCAGGAGGCTGAAGCAGAAGAATTGCTTGAACCCGGGAGGTGGAGGTTGCAGTGAGCCGAGATCGCACCACTGCACTCAAGCCTGGCCACAGAGCAAGACTCCGTCTCAAAAAAAAAAAAAAAAAAAAAAAAAAAATCCTCTGCATTGAGAGCCAAGTGTTCGGGCTCGGTGGGTCTTACCCTGACAGAGCCCAGCACACTAAGATCCACTGGCTTGAAATTCTCGCTGCCAGCACAACAGCAGTCTGAGATTGACTGGGACGTTCGAGCTTGGTGTGGGGAGGGGTGTCCTCAGCAATGGTCCACCATTGCCTATGCTTGAGTAGACTGTTTTACACTCACAGTGTAAAAAAAGCCACTGGGAAGTTCGAACTGGGTGGAGCCCACTGCAGCTCAGCAAGGCTGCTGTGGCCACACTGCCAGATTTCCTTTCTCTGGGCAGGGCATCTCTGAAAAAAAGGAAGCAGCCCAGGTCAGGAACTTACAGATAAAACCCCCATCTCCCTGGAACAGAGCACCTAGGGAAGTGGGTGGCTGTGGGCACAGCTTCAGCAGAATTAATGTCCCTGCCTGACAGTTCTGAAGAGAGCAGTGGACCTCCCAGCACAGTGTTCAAGCTCTGCTAAGGGTCAGACTGTTTCCTCAAGTGGGCCCCTGACCCCCTTGTATCCTGACTGGGAGACACCTCCCAGTAGGGGCCGACAGACACCTTATATAGGAGAGCTCTGGTTGGCATCTGGCAGGTGCCCCTCTGGGACGAAGCTTCCAGAGGAAAGATCAAGCAGCAATCTTTGCTGTTCTGCAGCCTCCCCTGGTAATACCCAGGCAAACAGGGTCGGGAGTGGACCTCCAGAAAACTCCAGCAGACTGGCAGCAGAGGGGTCTGACTGTCAGAAGGAAAACTAACAAACGGAAAGAAATAGCACATCCACTCAAAGACCCCATCCGAAGGTCACCAACACCAAACACCAAAGGTAGATAAATCCACAAAGATGGGTAGAAACCAGCGCAAAAATGCTAAAAATTCCAAAAACCAGAACGCCTCTTCTCCTCCAAAGGATCACAACTCCTTGCCAGCAAGGGAACAAAACTGGACGGAGAATGAGTTTGACAAATTGACAGACGTAGGCTTCAGAAGGTGGGTAGTAACAGACTCCTCCAAGCTAAAGGAGCATGTTCTAACCCAATGCAGGGAAGCTAAGAACCTTTAAAAAAGGTGAGACGAATTGCTAACTAGAATAACCAGGGTAGAGAAGAACATAAATGACCTGCTGGAGCTGAAAAACACAGCACAAGAACTTCATGAAGCATACACAAGTATCAGTAGCCGAATCCATCAAGCAGAAGAAAGGATATCAGTGATTGAAGATCAACTTAATGAAATAAAAAGAGGAGACAAGATTAGAGAAAAAAGGATAAAAAGGAATGAACAAATCCTCCAGGAAGTACAGGACTGTGTGAAAAGACTAAATCTACATTTGATTGGTGTACCTGAAAGTGACGAGGAGAATGGAACCAAGTTGGAAAGCACTTTTCAGGATATTATCCAGGAGAACTTCCCCAACCTAGTAAGACAGGTCGACATTCAAATTCAGGAAATACAGAGAACACCATAAAGATACTCCTTGAGAAGAGCAACCCTAAGACACATAATTTTGAGATTCTCCAAGTTGAAATGAGGGAAAAAATATTAAGGGCAGCCAGAGAGAAAGGTCAGGCTACCAACAAAGGGAAGCCCATCAGACTAACAGCGGATCTCTCCGTAGAAACCCTACAAGCCAGAAGAGGGTAGGGGCCAATATTCAACATTCTTAAAGAAAAGAATTTTCAACCCAAAATTTCATATCCAGCCAAACTAAGCCTCATAAGTGAAGGAGAAATAAAATCCTTTATAAACAAGCAAATGCTGAGAGATTTTGTCACCACTAGGCCTGCCTTACAAGAACTCCTGAAGGAAGCACTAAAAATGGAAAGGAACAACTGGTACCAGCCACTGCAAAAACATATGAAATTGTAAAGACCATCGACAACATAAAGAAACTGCATCAACTAATGAGCAAAACAACCAGCTAGCATCATAATGACAGGATCAAATTCACACATAACAATATTAACCTAAATGTAGGCTAAATGCCCCAATAAAAAGATGCAGACTGGCAAATTGGATAAAGAGTCAGACCCATCAGTGTGCTGTATTCAGGAGACCCACCTCAGGTACAAAGACACATATAGGCTCAAAATAAAGGGATGGGGGAATATTTACCAAGCAAATGGAAAGCAGAAAAAGCAGGAGTTGCAATCGTAGGCTCTGATAAAACAGACTTTAAACCAACAAAGATCAAAACAAAGAAGGCCATTACATAATGGTATAGGGATCAATGCAGCAAGAAGAGCTAACTATCCTAAATATATGTGCATCCAACACAGGAATACCCAGATTCATAAAGCAAGTTCTTAGAGACCTGCAAAGAGACTTAGACTCCCACACAATAATAGTGGGAGATTTTAACACCCTACTGTCAATATTAGACAGATCAACGAGACAGAAAATTAACAAGGATATTCAGGACTTGAACTTAGCTCTGGACCAAGTGGACCTAATAGACATCTACAGAACTCTCCACTGCAGATCAACAGAATATACATTCTTCTCAGCACCACATCACACTTATTCTAAAATTGACCATGTAATTGGAAGTAAAACACTCCTCAGCAAATGCAAAAGAATGGAAATCATAACGAACAGTCTCTCAGACCACAGTGCAATCAAATTAGAACTCAGGATTAAAAAACTCACTCAAAACCACACAACTACATGGAAACTGAACAACTTGCTCCTAAATGACTGCTGGGTAAATAACGAAATTAGGCAGAAATAAAGATGTTCTTTGAAACCAATGAGAATGAAGACGCAACATACCAGAATCTCTGGGACACATTTAAAGCAGTGTGTAGAGGGAAATTTTATAGCACTATGGCCACAGGAGAAAGCAGGAAAGAGCTAAAATTGACACCCTAATGTCAAAATTAAAAGAACTAGAGAAGCAACAGCAAACAAATTCAAAATTTAGCAGAAGACAAGAAATAACTAAGATCAGAGCAAAACTGAAGGATATAGAGACATGAAAAACTCTTTAAAAAATCAGTGAATCCAGGAGCTGATTTTTTGAAAAGATCAACAAAATAGATAGACTGCTAGCCAGACTAATAAGAAAGGAGAGAAGACTCAATTAGACACAATAAAAAATGATATAGGGGATATCACCCCTGATCCCACAGAAATACAAACTACTATCAGAGAATAGTATAAACACCTCTGTGGAAATAAACTAGAAAATCTAGAAGAAATGGACAAATTCTTGGACACATACACCCTCCCAAGGCTAAACCAGGAAGAAGTTGAATCCCTGAATAAACCAATAATAAGTTCCGCTCAACTTGTTTGAGGGATCAAGTTGGCTTTGCCCCTGGGATGCAAGGCTGGTTCAACATACACGAATCAATAAATGTAATCCATCACATAAGCAAAACCAATCACAAAAACCATGTGATTACCTCAATAGATGCAGAAAAGGCCTTCAACAAATTCAGCACCCCTTCATGCTAAAAACTCTGAATAAACTGAGTACCCATGGAATGTATCTCAAAATAATAAGAGCTATTTATGACAAACCCACAGCCAATATCATAGTAAATGGGCAAAACTGGAAGCATTCCCTTTGAAAACCAGCACAAGACAAGGATGCCCTCTCTCACCACTCCTATTCAACATAGTATTGGAAGTTCTGGCCAGGGCAATCAGGCAAGAGAAATAAAGCGTATTCAAATAGGAAGAGAGGAAGTCAAATTGTCTCTGTTTGCAGATGACATGATTGTGTATTTAGAAAACCCCATCATCTCAGCCCCAAATCTCCTTAAGCCGATAAGCAACTTCAGCAAAGTCTCAGGATACAAAATCAATGTGCAAAAATCACAAGCATTCCTATACACCAGTAACAGACAGAGAGCCAAATCATGATTGAACTCCCATTCACAATTGCTACTAAGAGAGTAAAATACCTAGGAATACAACTTACAGAGAATGTGAAGGACCTCTTCAAGGAGAACTATAAACCACTGCTCAAGGAAATAGGAGAGGACACAAACAAATGGAAAAACATTCCATGCTCATGGATAGGAAGAATCAATATTGTGAAAATGGCCGTACTGCCCAAAGTAATTTATACATTCAATGCTATCCCCATCAAGCTACCACTGACTTTCCATACAAAATTGGAAAAATCTACATAAAACTATTGGGGGAACCCACCCCCAATATTTCAATGTAAGTTCTTTCTATTTTCTATAAGTGTCAGCTGGCTGAGAAATAAAGACAGTACAAAGAGAGCAATTTTACAGCTGGGCCGCCAGGGGTGACATCACATATCAGTAGGACATCACATGTCAGGTAGGAATCACCATGATTCCTGCCTGAGTCTCAGACCAGCAAGTTTTTATTAAGGGTTTCAAAAGGGGAGGGGGTGTAAGAACAGGGAGTAGGTACAAAGATCACATGCTTCAAAAGGCAAAAAGCACAACTACTAGTAAGGGTCTAACACAGATCACATGCTTCTGAGGGAACAGGACAAAGGGCAAAAGCAGAACTACTGATAAGGGTCCAACAAAGATCACAAGGCAAAGAGCAAAAGCAGAACTACTGATAAGGGTCTGTGTTCAGTGGTGCACATATTGTCTTGATAAACATCTTAAACAGCAGAAAACAGAGTTTGAGAGCAGAGAACCAGTGTGACCACAAATTTACCAGGGCAGAGTTTCCCAACCCTAGTAAGCCTGAGGGTACTGCAGGAGACCAGGGGGTATCTCAGTCCTTATCTCAACCACATAAGACAGACATTCCCAAAGCAGCCGATTATTGACCTCCCCCCAGGAATGCATTCCTTTCCCAGGGTATTAATATTAATATTCCTTGCTAGGAAAAGAATTTAGCGATACCTCTCCTACTTGCACATCCGTTTATAGGCTCTCTGCAAGAAGAAAAATATGGCTCTTTTTGCCCAACCCCGCAGGCAGTCAGACCTTATGGTTGTCTTCCCTTGTTCCCTAACAATCGCTGTTATTCTGTTCTTTTTCAAGGTGCACTGATTTCATATTGTTCAAACACACATGTTTTACAATCAATTTGTACAGGTAACACAGTTATCACAGTGGTCCTGAAGTGACATACATCCTCAGCATATGAAGATAACAGGATTAAGAGATTAAAGACAGCCATAAGAATTACAAAAGTCTTATTTGGGAACTGATAAATGTCCATGAAATCTTCACAATTTATGTTCCTCTGCTGCAGCTCCAGCTGGTCCCTCTATTCAGGGTCCCTGACTTCTCACAACATAAAACTTCATATGGAACCAAAAAAGAGCCTGCATAGCCAAGACAGTCCTGGGCAAGAAGAACAAATCTGGAGGCATCACGCTACCTGATTTCAAACTATACCACAAAACGACAGTAACTGAAACAGCATGTTACTGGTACCAAAACAGAGATATGGACCAATGGAACAGAACAGAGGCCTCAGAAATAATACTGCACATCTACAACCATCTGATCTTTGACAAACCTAACACAAACAAGCAATGGGGAAAAGATTCCCTATTTAATAAATGTTGTTGGGAAAACTGGCTAGCCATATGCAGAAAACTGAAACTGGACCCCTTCTTTACACCTATACAAAAATCAACTCAAGCTGGGTCAGAGACTTAACTGTAAGACCTAGGACCATAAAAATCCTAGAAGAAAACCTGGGCAATACCATTCAGGACATAGGCATGGGCAAAGACTTCATGACTAAAACACCAAAAGCGATGGCAACAAAAGCCAGAATTTACAAATGGGATCTAATTAAATTAAAGAGCTTCTGCACAGCAAAAGAAACTATCATCAGAGTGAACAGGCAACCTACAGAATGGGAGAAAATTTTTACACTCTATGCATTGACAAAGGGCTAATACTCAGAATCTACAAAGAGCTTAAACAAATTTACAAGAAAAAAACAACCCCATAAAAAAATGGGCAAAAGATATGAACAGACACTTCTCAAAATAAGACATTTATGCGGCCAACAGACATATGAAAAAATGCTCATCATTACTGGTCATTAGAGAAATGCAAATCAAAACCATAATGAGATACCATCTCACACCAGTTAGAATGGCGATCGTTAAAAAGTCAGGCAACAACAGATGCTGGAGAGGATGTGGAGAAATAACCCTTTTACACTGTTGGTGGACGTGTAAATTAGTTCAACCATTGTGGAAGACAGTGTAGCAATTCCTCAAGGATATAGAACCAGAAATACCATCTGGCCCAACAATCCCATTACTGGGTATATACCCAGAGGATTATAAATCATTCTACTATAAAGACACATGCACACATATGTTTATTGTGGCACTGTTCACAATAGCAAAAACTTGGAACCAACCCAAATGTACCTCAATAATAGACTGGATAAAGAAAATGTGGCACATATACACCATGGAATACTAGGCAGCCCTAAATAGGGACGAGTTCATTTCCTTTGCCAGGACGTGGATGAAGCTGGAAACCATCATTCTCAACAAACTATCACAAGAACAGAAAACTAAACACTGCATGTTCTCACTCATAAGTGGGAGTTGGACAGTGAGAACACATGGACATAGGGAGGGGAACATCACACACTGCGGCTTGTCAGTGGGTGAAGGGCTAGAGGAGGGATAACATTAGGAGAAATACCTAATGTAGGTGATGGGTTGTTGGGTGCAGCAAACCACCATGGCATGTGTATACCTATGTAACAAAACTGCACGTTCTGCACATGTACCCCAGAACTTAAAGCATATTAATAAAAAAAATTCCTCTGAATTTTCTTTTACTTGTCCTCTTTCTCTCTCCTTAATCCTACCCAGAAAGGGGTTGGGGACAGTACCAGATCAGTGTGGATTACCTGTTCAAGGCACATCTCTATGAAAAAATTCTGAGACCAGTTTTTGTCCTTTTTAAGAGTGGGAGGGTGATGTAAGAGAGAGACTTTTTTCTTATGGGATCTGATTGTCCCCCAAACATCACTCCTGCTCTGACTAACATGATTTTAATTGTCTTTCACAAAATCTAACTAAAGAGGGTGTGTGTGTGTGTGTGTGTGTGTGTCAGTGGGAACATCTTGTGTTTGTATTCTGTGATTCATTACTTTTTGGAAGTTATTTGGACAAAGATTGTCAAGAATTGCTTCAAAATGCATCCCACTGATGCTCACGTTCTCGTTTCCTAATTGCTGATGGGGAAGCTTTTGCTCCTCCTGTTGTAGTCACTGCTTCTGCCCATGTGTGTTGGGGGCTCCTCACAGTTCATACAGCAGCACTGTTTTGAGACATCAGCTCCCAGCCCTTACTGTTACAACATGCATGTCACATAGCACCCCGTTTTTCAAAATCATTTTTGTTGGCTTGTGATTATCCTCATAAAAGGTGCTTAATTGGAAGCCTCACAGCTGTAGCTTTCTGTTTATAGCCACTGAGTAGGTACAGTTAAGCTGACTGCATTTTACGTGTTGTGAGCCACGGCCCGGGAATGGAGAGATTCAGGCTGTCTCTAAGACAGAGCTATGGGGAGAAGCTGTACACGACTTACTGGAAGGTAAGCATTCAGGCTTAGACAGTTGAAGAACTTGGTCAAGATGTGCTGTTTTGTACATTCATTTTGACTTTGTTAAACTTAAAATATCCTTTGGAAATGAAACTTTTCTTTACTAGATTTAGTTAGATATATGAGTGAATACAAATTCATATAATATAGTTGACTCTTGAATACTATGAGTTTGAACTGTATGGGTCCACTTATGTGTGGATTTTCTTGCACCTATGCCACCCCTGAGACCTCAAGACCAACTCTCTTCTTCTGCCTCCTTCTCAGCCTGCTCAGTGTGCAGGTAATGAGGATGAAGAACTTTATGATGATCCACTTCCACTTAATGAATAGTAAATGTGATTTTCTAATAATATTTTCTCTAGCTTACTGTATTTTAATAATACATTATATAATACATGTAACATAGAAAATATGTTTTAATCAGCTGTTTATGCTATCTGTAAGGCTTCCAGTCAGTAGTAGGGTACTAGTAGCTAAGTTTTAGGGGAGTGAAAAGTTGTACGTGGATTTTCTACTTCCAAAGGTAGTTGCTGACCCAACCCCTGTGTTGTTTAAGGGTCAACTAGAATCCTTTTTTTCTCACAAATGGATAATTTAAAATAGAATTAGACTTGATAAGAACACTTCACTAGTTTTTACTTGGGTATTTATGTGTGTACATACTTTTTAGGCAGTCATTTTAAAACTTATATATATATATATATATATATATATATATCTCCCAATAAAATTTGGAAAATAAAAAAAATTTAATATAATCATACTCTTCCCTGGCATACACATTTTGATCTTGTGATGAATGTTCCTAGTTTTTATGTGTTTATTTAAAGAATAATAGTTACAATCATGTTTCACATGTAATTTTATAATCCACTTAAAAATCATGCCTTATTTTCTTTTTTATGCAGTTTATCATAATCATTTTTCCTTATTGCTTCAAAGAGTTTTGCAAATCCAAATCATCTTTTCAAATGACCTTAAAATGTTTGAAAAAGTGTCTATATCTAAATTTTCTTAATTCCCATATTGGTTTTTCCTTGTTTTTGCTTATTATGTGTATTACTAAGATGACATGTTTGTGGCAGTAGTTTTTCTTCTTTCTCTTCTTACTTGGATTATATTTTTAAGACCTAGACTCTTAGAAATAGAATTACTGGATCAAGTACATGGAAACTATAGTTATTCTTTATATAAACCAAATTATTCTTCAAAATGGTTGTGTGAATTTACACTTCCGCCATTGTACAAACACTACATCATTACTAGTGCTTATGATATTACTGAATCTCAGGGTTATAATTATATAAATTATACAATCTTCAACTGAGGTAAAATCTTTTAAGTTACCTGGGAAAATACACCATTTAAAAAAGGATGGATTCAAGGGTTGTATCTTGAATTGAAGATCAAAAATTTATTTTCAAATCTTTCTCGAATTAATCTAAGCAGATTTAGCAAAATTAGAAAGATATTCTAGAGAATGTTTACATTATATATTTCAGGATAGGTGTCTCAGCCATGAAGATCCAGAACTTGATAGAGCATTGCCAACTATTAAAGAGAATAAACTTTTATTACCTTTTTAGAAGGACTTGAATATTTTGAGGCTGGTGAATAAATGAGGCCTGAAACATTTAAGTTTCTTGAATTTAAGAAGAAAAATGAGTTTAAGCTTTCCAAAGTAAACAAAGTAGGAAAAGCAGCTGAGAAGATAGAACTGTTCAAGATAATAATACTTATAGGACCACTATGCAACTGTAGCAGATTCATTTTAATTGAGATAGAATTTGACTCCTTAACCAAAGTTACAATTCTGGGAATAAGAATAAAGTTATGGCTTAGAGTATGACCAATGTGTTTGCATCATAAATGTACGCACATATTTTTTGAAAGGAAATCGAGGTAACATTATGTTATAACTTTTATGCTAGGCCAAAGACTATTACCTAAAAATTACTCTTCAAGCATTGTTTGAAATGAAAACCATATTTAAAGGTGGTTTGCTGCCTACTGATGAAAAATGAATTCATGTTAAGAAACCAAGGACTTTAAACGGAATAAATTATAATCAGATGTTAGATTTAGACCAGCTTTAACAAAAACAAATGATTCTTTTCAGAGATGAAAACTGATGGCTTAGCCCTCAAAGCATCTATCTTTTTTCAAACTAAATGTCTTGAGAGAAGGGGATCTGCTTAATTTCATAAAAGTAGGTGTGTGATTTATCAGCAGCAAATTGCTGAGTTTAAGAAATAAGAACTTCCCTAACTCCCCTAAATGTTTCCCTAGGCCTTCTAAATGAGAATACTTTGATTTGTAGTAACTTGATTATGCAAAGCTATATTTTGCAGAAGGTTAAAACAGGACCCATTGGGATCATAGACCAGATCCCTTCTGAATGATGACCCTTGCTGCCTTTGTTTGCATGTCCACACTTACTCCGTAAACCTCTGGATTATAGACTTGGTCTTCTTGAGTAAAGAAAATCCTCCAGTTCCACTGGACACCTGCTGATTTACTTTAGCACTTCAGGCCTCTTTTAATGAGATGCAGTATGAGACAGTCTTAGGGCTCAAAAGGCATTTAATAGATCAAGTTTAGAATATTTTAATGTTAAAATGTCTATCAGTGACTGCTTCTACCATCCTTCATTTCACCTTGAAAAACAGCTCTTTTAGGTCATAATGAGTTGTGCTAAACACTGAGAGCAAATTTGAATCTCTTACTTGCCTCAGAGTAATTAAAAGAGAGAATTGTTTCCTCACATTTCTCTGTAATCATGGGGTTAAGTTAAATATGGGATAGATGGTAATGAGTACAACTAGTTAGGATTATAGGAGGCCAACTTGACTGATGGTTTGGAAATAAGTAGTGTTGATTTCACCATGTGATTCCAGTGGTGTCACAATGCTTGAGACTTACCTGTGTGTAAAATTTACCTGGCATGCTTGCAAAAATGCAGATTCCTGGGATCCCAGAAAGATTAAAATTCAGTGGGATCTGTGGGTGGGGCATAAGAACTTGATTTTTCTCGTGAGCACCCCGCTACCTCTATGTATCTTCAAGTAAGTTGGTATGCCGTCAGTCCACTGTAGAGCGTAATAGTTGATACACTGAGTTAGTCAGTGTGTCCAATGAAAAAATATACATTTTGTGGTATAGTTAAATGTATTAGCAAGTTAAAAGATGGAAGGATCATGCAGATTAATTATCCATTTGGTAGTTCACAGGTCAATTTTGTGGGGAGGGTGAAATTATATAGAATGTACATTGATGGAGGTGGAATTCTACTTGCAGTGAAAATGCCAATCTTCCATAATAGTTATTATCAGGAGTGGGAGGCCAATAACATTCTGTTCGTTCAATTTCTAAAATCATGAAGTCAATAGAAAAGTGGGCAACTAGTTACTCATTTGGTACTTAAGTAATTAATGAGTAATTTAATACTTAATAGGTAATTAAGTACGTAATAAGTATTGCCAATATTAGTTAGGCCTGTGGAGTTTTTCATAACGGTCTTCAAATAAGTTCAGATCTATATTTCTGTTATGTGCAAGGGGGTCCCTCTTCTTTTTTGAATGCTTCATCTACTCACTGCCTTTCCATTTGTTTGGCCTTTCTTTGCTTCTGCTTTCTGACTAATTCTGCACTTCCAAGAAGACTTCAAAGCAATAGAGCCCTCCAGATTTTTGCCACATGGATGGTTCACTTAATTATCCTCTGATAGTCCTAGTATTGTGTGCCCAGTCCCACTGGGGAGAGGTGGGGCAGTAGAACTCCTGAGACTTGCTACTGCTGTATTGAGGGCCACAGTGATAAACACATTGTTGTCTTATAGTCTGTTTGATATTTAGACTACTCAAATTTAACCATAATCTTTAAAAATAAAATGTAAATATAAATACTATTAGGTCATGAACAAAAAAAATTAAGCGGCTGGGCGTGGTGGCTCATGCCTGTAATCCCAGCACTTTGGGAGGCCGAGGCGAGTGGATCACGAGGTCAGGAGATCAAGACCATCCTGATCCAACCCCATCTCTACTAAAAATACAAAAAAATTAGCCAGGAGTGGTGGCGGGCGCCTGTAGTCCCAGCTACTCGGGAGGCTGAGGCAGGAGAATGGCGTGAACCCGGGAGGCAGAGCTTGCAGTGAGCTGAGATCACGCCGCTGCACTCCAGCCTGGGTAACAGAGCGGGGGAAAAAATAAAATAAAATTAAGCAAAGCATAATTTCCATCTTTACAAATCCTGAATGAATATTAGTTCATGCTTTTATGTCTTTAGAAAACATAGTTGGAATGGTGTCTTAGTCTGTTTGGGCTGCTATAGCAGAATACCATATACTGGATAGCTTATAAACAGAAATTTATTTCTCACAGTTCTGGAGACTGGGAAGTTCATGATCAAGGTGCTGGCAGATTTGGTGTCCTTTGAGGCCCGACTTTCTGGATCAGAGACAGTGCCTTCTATTTGTTTCCTCATGTGGTGGAAGGCAAGAGGCACCTATCTATGTTCTCTCTTATGAGGGTGCTAATCCCATTTTGAGGGTACCACCCTCATGACCTAATGACTTCCCAAGGGCCCCACCTCCTAATAGCATTACCTTGGGGGTTAGCATTTCAGCATATGACTATGAAGGCAAAACATTTAGACCAGAGCAAATGGTCTAGGCCAGATTATCACACTTGTCCTTTGTATTCTCTTTGTGGTGTGAGTACTAAGCTAAAATAGCCTAGAATATTAAAAATCGTCACGTAATATATACGCATAGTTTAAAAATGAAATAGTATAAAAAGACTTATGATGAAAACACAATATCCTTCCCCACAAAACATACTCTGTTCCCTAGATGTAGCTGCTTTTTATTCCTTGAGCTGTTTCTTGCTGATTCTTCATTTTCGAAATCTGTTTATTGCATTCTCCCCATTCATTACCTTTAGCCATTGTCTGTTGTATTCTTTTGTGGTAGAAAGGATTTACCTTTTATCCTCCTCTGTTTTCCCAATAAAGTTTAATGACAAGTTTTAGCTTAATCAATATTCAGTGTGTATATTTTATTTGTCCTTTGGTGTCTATGGGGGATTTGTTCCAGGACCTCCTATGGATACCAAAACCTGATGCTCAAGGCCCTGACATAAAATGGGATAATATTTGGATATAACCTGTGCATATCCTCTGTACACTTTAATCTCTAGATTACTTACAATACCTGATACAATGTAAATGATATGCAAATAGTTGTTATACTGTATTGTTTAGAGAATAATGTCAAAAAAGGCTGTATTTGTTTAGTATAGACACAATTTTCTGTTGAATATTTTTGATCCACATTTGGTTGAATTCACAGACATGGAACCCAGGGAATGTGGAGCGCTGACTCTCTATCATCTATGTTGTTGTTTCCTGACAAGCAACTAATATACAAACATTTCTTTTCCTTTTTTTGTCAGAATTTTGTTTTTCCTGGAGTTGGTAATTGCCTTGTTCTTTTCTTCCCCCTTGGGTTTAATATTTTTTATACCTATCACAAATTCTTTCTACACTGTCTAATGCTCTCAGAACAATTTTCCACATGGTTAAGATTTCAGATAATTAATCAGCTTTTTTTTTTCCCTGACAACTTTCCTCTTTGAGGCCTGTTGGCCTGCTTCATCCTTTACTATTTGCCTTCTGGCCTGGCTTCACAGCTGTCATCATGGAATTTGCTCCCATCCTGGGAATTTCTCCTCACTCTTTTCTATATTCAATCCCCAGTTAATTATATAAGGGAAAGTCTCAGTTTCTTGGCTAATTTATTCAATTTGATACATACAACCCCTACTAATATATGGAATCCAAGTAGTAGGGAGGTAATTTTTTTCCCCTTGCAACTTAGCGTGCCTGAAAATTTCACCATATCCTTCTACTTAATTGTGGGTTTAGCCAGGTAAAGAATTTTGGGTTGAAAATAATTTTTCCCTGGGGTGGGGGAGGGGGGAGGGATAGCATTGGGAGATATACCTAGGGCTAGATGACGAGTTAGTGGGTGCAGCGCACCAGCATGGCACATGTATACATGTGTAACTAACCTGCACATTGTGCACATCTACCCTAAAACTTAAAGTATAATAATAAATAAATAAATAAAATAAATTTTCCCTAGAATTTAAAGCTTTACTCTCTTGTCATATACCATCTCATGGCTTGAATGAGAATTCTGACACTATTCTAATCGCCTGTGACTTGTTTTTTTCTCTCTGGAAGGTTTTAAGATATTTTTATTTCAAATGTGAAATTTCAGAAGCATATGCTTTGAGTATTTTTTCTTTCAGTTACAAATTGAATTAGCTCTACTAATATGGAACCTTATGTTTTTTGGTTCTGGACATTTTCTAGTATATTTCTTTGATTAAAAATACATTTTATAGTCTGTTTTCTTTTTCTGGAAATTCGGTTAGTTGGTCTTGGATTTTTTAAAAAGCTATTTCCTCCTATATTTTATGTATGTCTTGTTCTTTCTGGGAGAATTTTTAAAAATGTTTCAAATCTTGGATAAGATTGTGATATTTTTGTTCTCTAAATGTTTCTCTTTTAAAACTGTCGGCCTGGCGCGGTGTCTCACGCCTGTAATTCCAGCACTTTGGGAGGCCGAGGTGGGTGGATCAGCTGCGGTTGGGAGTTTGCGACCAGCCTGCCCAACATGGAGAAACCCTGTCTCTACTAAAAATACAAAATTAGCCGAGTGTGGTGGTGCATGCCTGTAATCCCAGCTACTCGGGAGGCTGAGGCAGGACAATCCCTTGAACCCGGGAGGCGGAGGTTGCAGTGAGCCGAGATTGTGCCATGGCACTCCAGCCTGGGCAACAAGAGCGAAACTCTGTCTCAAAATAAATAAATAAATAAATAAATAAAACTGTCATGCTACTGTTTTTTCTTTTGGGATGGGTGCATTACTTTTTCTTATCTTTCTAATATCAATTGTAAGTTAAAAAATTATCCCATCCTCCATTCTCTTTCCCCATTTCCCAGCCTATCCTTCCTCATCTTCTCCACCTCCTTTATCCTCCTTCTCCTCTCTTCTCTTTCCCTTGCTTTCTCCCTCCTGTCCTTTTCGTCCCCCTTCGCCTTCTCCTCCTCCCCATTCTCTTTCCCACTCCTCCCTCACTCTTCCCCATCGGCCTCCCTCACTTTCTTCTCTTTGTCATTTCCTCATCTCCTTCTCAATCTCTTCCTTCTGTTATTTTGTTTTGCTTTTGCTTATATTTTGGATTGAGGCAGTAAAACTGTTTCTGCTTTGGTGTGATTTGTTGACTGGTCCTCACCAGCAAGGGAATGACCTCGTATGCTGATACATTTCATAGTGAATAACTGCTACATGGCTGTCTTATGATAGTACAGTCCGTAACAGGTAGAGCATTGCATCAGCTGTGCACCTGAATTGGAATATGATGCCCTAGAACTGGACATGTGGAGAACCCAGGAGCAATCTTGAACTCGGAGGAAATAGCTGTCCTTCCTGGTTTTCATGGTAATGTATGGGACTTGAGCAAGTCTAAGTCACTGACACTGAAGCAGTAGTGTAGATATGTACTATTTTAGAAGATCATTTACTGAAGAAAGGACATTTCCTAAAAGAAACAATATATGGGTATCACTGGTATTATACTCCTAGTATTATACAACCCCTTTGTGGGTGTTCTGGGCCCTGAACACTAAATGTCTGTATCACTACCCCCTTTTCCTCCCGCATTCTATAACAACCATAAAACTACTCCCCACCTCTCCTGCTTCCACTGCCCCAAAACCACCTATTTCGGAACACCTGTGTGAAGAGTGGGACCTCCCCTGGTGAAGAAAGTGTTCGCCAGCTTACGGGATTCCCTTTCCCTTTCACCATCACTGGAGAGCTCCCCTTCCTCCCCTGGCCTGTACCATCTGGCTCCTTCTAGGCACAGGTGCTATTTCAAGTGCTCTGAGGCATTGAAAAAAGAAAACGCGTTTTGGAATCAGACATTCATGAGTATTCACAGCATTGTCTCTGCCCAGAATTCCCTTTCCCCATGTCCTCATGTCTACATTCTACATTAAATAATCAGTTCAAAAGTCTCTACAGTAGTTATTCTTTGAATTCCTGTGCTTAATCATCTGTGACTCTTCTGTAATGTTTTAGTCTTGTCGTTTTTATTACACAACTATACGTCCTTAGAGGTCAAAGTAGAAGGCTTCCATTTATTAAATGCTTACAGGGTGCTGCTTTGCATATTTCAGGGGTAAAACAGAGCTTGAAGGAGATTGAAGAATTTGCCCAGAGTTATGCCACTGGTAAATGGCAAACCTAGATTTGAACCTAGACTTTTCTGGTTCCATAACTTTTATCTCCTCTCTCTGTGCCTTGTTGCTAAATAAATTTGTATAAATAAATAAAGAAATACATAAGTATTTTAGCATAAAGATGAATAAGCAGCCCTGATGAAAGCAGGCATGTCTCTTCTTTGCCCTCTGTCAACTTCCAGTTTTGGTGGAGAAAATAGCAAAACAGACTGCCTGGTCATGGATTTCTGCATATAACCTGAACTTTAAACATGCCTGGAACACATTTGGTTCTGATTTAAAACAAGTTGGCTTGCACCATTGCCATGTTATTACAAATACAAAAGAAATATAAACTTCATTCCATTAAATAACCATCCACATAAACTCTTAAATACTTTCATGGCTTTGGGCTGGGCCAAAGCTGGATATTAAGGAAATGATTATTAATGTTACATATTTTATTCAAACTGCTCTAATTCTTTTAACCTTCCCTCCATCCCTAAAAGTACCAGTCAACCTTTTCCTTCCTCCTGCAAAATGTTCCCAGGAGGTTAAAACAGATAGAACTTTGATTTCAAGCTACTGACTCTTACTATTTGGAAATACTCTTTGTTTTCAGTTCCTCATAGCCTGTAGCTGTGTGCTCTACTTGAAACTTTTCAATCCTCCTTGGATGACAGCAAAGTTAGTTATTATTCCCTATAGCGGTGCTGTACAATGGAAATATGTGAACCACAAATGTAATTTTATGTTTTATTGCCACATTAAGAAGAGTGAAACAAAACAGGTAAGATTAGTCTTATATTTCTTTGTTTAACCCAATATATAAAAGTAACATCATTTCAACATGTAATCAAAACATTATTAAGATTTTTTACATTCTTTTTTTACTACGTTTTCAAAATCCTGTTTGCATTTTATACCACAGCATATGTGAATTCAGACTAGTCACACTTTCAGTGTTCACGAGGCACATGTGGCCAGTGGCTGTCATATTGGATGGCGTAGCTCTATAGGAAGATCAGCATAAGCTCACTGTGGTGTATTAGGTATTCCTAATTCCATTAAACTATGAACATTGTTTAAATTTTGGTAAAGGGTTAGGGTTGTTTTTCTAAAAAAACATTGAAATTATGTAAATACCCAAAGTCTTCAAATAGTGTTATGACCTCAGGCCAGACTAAACGATGCTTCAGGGATTGCTTATATAAGAAGAAATAGTGTCTGAAAGCAAGGCATTGGACATGACCAACGTTTCTGTTAATCAGTTGGACTGAAATTCCATTGACATATGTTAGGGTCATCAGTCCACCAGGAAGTCTTCATTGTTAGGCCAATAAATTTGAAGTTCGAATAAACCCTTAGCAAGAGTTACTGAAAGAGTTCAAGTTAAAAGTTGCTTAAAGCAGTGAGTAATGTAGATGTTCTCAAATTTTTGGGAATATATATTTCCCTACATTTGATAGCAACAGATGCTTTCTGAAACTAAAATCCCCTAGATGAGAGAATGCTGGCCTTTGCTTGCTTTCTGTTGTGCCCTGAGTGTGACAGGGTCAGCACTGTCTTAGATTGTTCCTGGCATTGGAATATTGGCAGGAAAAAGATTTTACATGTGAAAAAATGCCTTGCAATCCACATTTTGAGAAGTGTGTGTAATCTGCAGAGTCTTATGGAGCAGCAGTGGTCCCCACTGTTAGACAGATTAGGAATCCTCCCCCTAACCTCCATCATAATCTTTCTAATTCTTATTCTGTTAAAATATTTTGTGGGAAATGAAATTTTAAAACACAGTCTCAAAGGATGTCTTGGATGGTTCAATTATTGGCCCATCCTCTTGTCCCAAATTGCCATGGATAATCTATCTAGCTCTTTTTTTTTTTTATTCTGAGCCATAGAGCCCTTTTATAATGGGGTAAATTTCTGTTTTATTTCGTGTTTCATTTGATGTGACCTTTCATTGAAAGTGGGTTTTGTTTTTAAACAGCCTAGAATTGGAAATGTATGCATATACATTTTTCTTTTTGCGGTTCACACATTTTGGAGGGTGTCTATTTCTGTCTTCTTTGGCTAGCTATTGAGTTTGGATATAACTCACAGAGGTTTTCCAAATACTAGATTGTTTACTGTTTTCAGCTGTGAAGATTCTACTATAGGCCTAAATGATTAAAGCTTCTCCACTGAGAGCTGCACAAAATCAGTGTTTCATTCTAGAAAGTACTAGGTTGGTTAAAGCCTAAGATCTATACCTGGCATGATGTTATTGATTGTCCATTATCTATCTCTGATATTGCGTTAGTCATTGTGTCTCCTTAGGCAGCTTATATCTACATTTGATTTTCGTACTTTTGCCAATGATTGCCTTATACACTGTGGGCTGAAAATAATGCTGTGACAGACCAGTAATGGTGAAACCTTGGTTCATTCTCAAATAGGAAGGAAGATTTAAAAATAATTTTTACCTGAATGTTTTCTAATTAAAAAGCAATTCAAGCTATTTAAAGGTATGCTGAAAAATACAAAGAAAAAATGATAAACAGACCCAAGAATTCTACCACTCAAATAACAAGTGTTATTAATATTTTGGTATTTATCCTTTCAGTCTTTTTTCTAACACATTCACTATGTATCCATATATCTAAATACATGTTTGTTTATATTTGTGTCTGTATATGTACACGTACAGACTTTTATACAGAATTTAAGTCATTCTGTACATTCTGTTTTTTTGTTTCTTCTTTTTTTTTTTTTGAGACAGAATCTCGCACTGTTGCCCGGGCTGGAGTACAGTGTCATGATTTTGGCTCACTGCAACCTCCGCCTCCCAGGTTCAAGAGATTCTCCTGTCTCAGCCTCCCAAGTAGCTGGGATTACAGGCATGCTCTACCACTCCCAGATTATTATTATTATTATTATTTTGTATTTTTAGTGGAGACAGGGTTTCACCATGCTGCGTAGGCTGGTCTCAAACTCCTGACCTCAGGTGATCCTCCCACCTCGGCCTCCCAAAGTGCTGGGATTGCAGGTGTGAGCCACTGTGCCCAGCCTGTACATTCTGTTTTATACTTTAAAAAACCAAGTTAAGATTGCATTTTTGACCATGGGAATTTAACTGCAAAAATAAAACAATATTTAAGAAAAAATATTAAAGTGAAGAAGAAAGCCATCCTTAATCCAGCCACTGTTAAGAGAAAAATTATATTTATTTTTGTCTATTCTTAATTTTTCTCAACAGGCCTATTTATTTAATTTTTTACAGGCAGGTGAATTTGAATTGTTCACAGTGAAGACTGGTAATTAGAGAGGGAAAAGATAGGGTCTGAAAATTCTCACACTTATGAGATACAGCATTCAGATGATACTTTTCACCGTTGAAATTTAAAGTTAGAAGTGTTCTTCAGTTGGTTAGAGTATTTTAATGATGACTATGATTTTAATTCAGAAGTGGAAGAAACTTTAAGAATGAACCTAATGACTACTCTTTTCTCAGTTGGCTCTCAGAGCTTTGCATGCCATTCCAAAGTGCAAGGTATAATTCATGAACATAAAAAGTTTCTCTGGGAATGTATAGAAACTGCATCTTCTACATCTTTTGTGCTGATTCCTCTTTCACTTGAATTGGCTGGGTTGTCAGGGAAACAGTTAACATACAGTTTTCTGGAAACAGTTAATATACAGAATAAAATATATGGCATAGCTCTTTTAGCATATGGATTAAATTGATACAATAAGGGAATGTTTTAAATTTTGTGTAAAATATTTTTGCACAAGAATCAGGCTACCTGAATAATTGTTTATCTTTCAGGTGACCGAAAAGCACAGCAGCCCTCTTAGTTGCAAATGTGTTGAGTTGTGTTAAAAAAAAAAAAAAAAGATGGAGAGGAATGCCCTGATTCTTTACAGATTTGAAGAATTATATCTCAATTAATTTTATAATTTGAACTTGGTATTTTCTTGCTCAAATTCCAAAGGGGAAGAAACCCCATTGTTTATCAAGGTAATGTTTAAAGATGTTTCATACTATGTTATAAATATGAAGAACATAGTCCTTGTGTTTTTAGAGTTGGCTCCATAAAGCATCAGATGTTATAATAGAAAAGCATTTCAAAATGAAAAGGATATTTAAACAGAAGTTTCCATGTGCCCCAGGAAGAATTTAAAGTCAAGCTACCCCCCTCCCATTTAATTCAGTCATTAACTGGACTTGCTCTGTAGTTTGGGGGGATTGTAATAGTTTACACCTGTTTCAACTTTTGCTGTTTTTATTGGCAGTGGCTTTTGCCATCCCATATTTCTTGTGAAGCAAAAATATGAAATAAAATATGGCAAAGCATTGGAGAAATTATAATAAACATAAAAAATGAATCGTTCAGCTTAAAATATGAAATGCTTTACCTGCACATTCAGCCAGCCACGTTTCAGTAGTATTGAAGTAATTTATTCCCGGAGTTGTGTGTCATGAAAATAAAGACAATTGCTTTCATTGGCAGGAATAATCCAGGGTTTTTACATCCAAGCGAATAAACTTTGGAACATCAGGCAGACGTTATATTGTAAAGACAGTTTAAGGAAAACCTGCTAAATCATTATATCTGTGCTCATGTCACTGTGGAATAAAAAAGATGAAGGAGTATCAGTGTCTAAGATTGCAAAGACTCAATAGAAGTATTTTACCACAGAGTGTAATCAAACTTTAAAGGTCAAGCAATATCATGACATAAAGTATGGTTTGGCTCATTTCACAGGCTCCATTTTGCCCTCCAAATATAATGAAAAGGAAATGATTTGAGTCAATATATTATCATATCTCATATATATTTTTTTCTTCCGATCCAGCTCTCTAATGGTCTCCATATAAGTGCCCTTTGTTCTTCAGATCTAACGGTAGCTGTCCAGCTCCAGTGTTGGGTTCGGAGTGAAATAATTAAGTTTTTAGTGCATTGTCTAGAATGAGAATTGCTAAATTAAATTTATAAGTTTAATTTGGTTAGAATTGTGACTGTGAAAAACTCTCTGGGAAAGTTGCTAGGAGAACTGAATTTTAACTTTGGCTTAATCTCACCAGTTAGGTTGCTTTGAATATTTTACAGGTTGGGGTTGTAATTTGAATGAAGGTAGGGCCTTGCCTATTTTGATTCATTAGCATCGAACCTAAGTCCTAAGTATTTGCAGAATGAAAGTGTCAGCTTTTCTGGGTCTGTAAAATGAGCATTTTATTTTATTTATCTTATTTTTTTTAAATGAGCATTTTAAATGCCTAATTTTATATTGAGAAAAATGTTCTTCAGTGATACCCTTTTCCCCAATCTCTCACTTCTTGGAAAGACTTTATATTTTGATACTAATGAATGCAGACTAAGTGGGAGAAGTAGACTCTCAAATTTGGGCTCAGAAGAATCCGTGTTTGGGGGAAGAGAAGAAGACTTTTAGTGAAATGTCACTCTCTTAATAGGCTCTCATGGCCTTTGTTAGCTTTGTCTGCTTGGGGTCAGTGAAAGTCCTTCAGGTGACCTGGCATCCTGGGAGTGAATTGAGTATGCTTCTCCCTAGGAAGGGCTAATGATTGGGACTCAACACCGTTTGCACCTGAGACCATGATCTAACCAACAACTCATCAGCATCTTTTACCAAGGTATTTATGGGCTTGGGAAATGGATACATCAGAATTGAGGTAAAATCAGGCTCAGATTTAGAATTTCTTGCACACAAACACTTGGAATAAAAAAGTCCAAAGATTTTTGCTGCCAGTGAATGTAATTTGCCATTTCTGGCTTCTTGCCTGCTGTTTTCCCTCAAATAATAAACTTGCTAAAGGTGCAGGTTTCTGGTTAAATTTTAGTGATTTTTTTTCACCTTGGAACAGAGGTAATAACAGTTTAGGTCTAACTTAGGAAATCTTTCCCTTTTTATTCATCTGGAGGTTGAAGGGCCATTCTGTGAAGGGTGTTTAGTGTTTTGATGGACTTGGAATGAAGGGGCATGACAAAGTGTGATGTAATGAGTTTGTCTTGAGCAAAATAAGTCTCCTCAAGGAAGTTTGTGTAATAAATATAGTTGTATAATGAAATTTCAACAGATGAATTCTAAGTTGTGAAGGAATTTCCTGTGGTAAAAAGGGCAATTATCTACTTTGCTTGATAGACCTTTGAAAATATATTTGATTCTAAAAATTTCTTCTCACAGAAGAGTTTCCTCAATGTGACTAGATATTTTTTTGAATCTCCATGTCCTTATCTGCTACTTTCATTGCCATGTGAAAGTGGGTATCATTGAGGGTGGCTCTTTTAAAACTATTTTTAGCCTTAGACAAAGACAGCCAAGAATTGGCTAAGTGCCCCCCCGAGACACTTTTCATTAGGTTTGAGCACTGACCTTTTATCTTGCCTGGGTGTTCGCTTTAGCTAGGGCCACCCACACTTGCCAGTTTGCTTAGAAGTTTGTTCAACTTTACTTTTTATGTTTTCATTGAGCTTTAATATTGGCATATTTTAAAGTTACAGAATGAAAATCATTGTTTGCAGAGCAAACTACAGATAATTTATTTGTAGAAATGTGTGATTCAAATGGCCTCCATCAGTGTGTAAGGAAAATGGATGTGCCGCAGTCAAGAATACGTCGAGGCAGACATCCAGTTCAGCATGACCCAGCGAGTTTGGAGTGCAGGCTCCCAACTCCACTCATTATGTAACCACGCCACATGAGGCGCATTAGGTGTCCACCCACATGAGCTCGTGCTTTGCTCAGAGCCACTATTGTCTGTAAAAGGTATAATTACCCTGCTGACACTACATGCAGCTTGTGCCCCAGTCGGCTTGTTCGTGCCAAGAGACAGAATAAAGCCACGTTGAAACCCCCTACGATTCCTTGAGTGTTCTTTCAGCTGTCCACCACTCATCCACCCACTCCTCAGTCCTCAGCTTGGGCTGGAACCTAACACTTGGCATGACACTTGGCATAGTCAGCAGGATACTGAGGAGAGAGAGCCTTCGGTCCCCACTGATTCCAGGTTGGGCATGTGACTGCAACATGAGTTATGGTGCCCAGTGGCAGCTGTACTGCTTAATGGGCTCTGGTGGAAACCTAGGTGGTGGCAGTAAATCGGTCCCCCACGAGCATGGAAGAGGTGCTGAAGCAGCTGCAAGTGCAAAGCCCTGAGAAGGAGTGAGCTTTTGCTGGCAGAGTTGGATAGGCATTTTTGAATGCACTATGAAAAGTACACACCCAGTCCCTGAGGGATGCAGCAGAAGTAAGGGCCCTCCAGGTGCAGGCTGGGTGCCTGGAGGCCTGGCTACACAGCTCAGCAAAAGATTTAGAAGCTGCCGTAAGTGGGGACCTTCAGGTGCAGGCAGGGTGCCTGGAGGCCAGGCTACAGAGCTCGGAAAAGGAATTAGAGGCTGCTGTGAATGCAGGCCTGGGGCTGTCGTCTCAGCTGGAGACCCCCACTCTGATACCGAGGAGGCTGTTAGTGAGACCGAGGGGTCTGCTCCATAAAGAAGGGGAAGATGCCCTGCCTGCAGGGGTCCCCCCACTGGAGAACAGGGGGCCCCAACAAGTGACATGCTCAGAGATGTGGATTGATTTGGTTTTGGCCAGGATTGACTGAGAGAAAATTGATAAACAGCCAAATGAAGTACTCTTAACTTTGTGCAATTCCAGAAAATGCCCCAATGGGAGAAGGACATTGCTGCACAACCTGGTCCCACCTGGGCGCTTCAGCTCAAAGACTCCGTATGTGCTACAGCCAGGTGGGGGTGTAAAGCCTTTTCTGTATGATGAGGGAACTGGCTGAGGTTCGACTTAGGGGAACACCAGATGACTGGAGGCCACATGTGGAGTTGACAGTCCATTGTTACCCCACCAACATATAGCAAGTGCTGGTGCTGGTAGACACCAGCACAGATAACGTTTTGGGCATGGATATTTCACATGGCTTGGCAGCCATGCTGTCTATCAGTGGGCTTGACAAAACTGAGACAGTACCACTTTGTGGTGGACTTGGCCAATGCATTCTTTTCCAGAGAGCCAGGAGCAGTTTGCCTTCATGGGAGGGCAACAGTGGACTTTCACAGTGTTGCTGCAGGGCTATGTGCATAGCCCCACCATATGTCATGGTCTTGTTAATGATATTATGCTAACTTCTGATTCTCTTGCAGATTTAGAAGTGACAATGCTCCCCTTGCCTAGATTTAAGATGGTGCGGCTGAGACCACCTTCCTGGCAGCCAGGTGGGCTATTCAGCAGGCACAAGCCCTACGGGTAGTTGACCAGGGGTACCTGTTTGAGCTGGATGTGCATGTGACCACAGATAGTTTTGGCTGGGGCCTTTAGCAGCGCATGGAGCGCTTGAGAATGCCAGTAGGCTTTTGGTCCCAACTGTGGAAAGGAGCTGCGCTCCAGTATTCACTGTTAGAGAAGCAGTTAGTAACTGCATATGCTGCCCTTCAGGCTCGTGAGAGTACGGCAGGATGGGCTACAGTCGTCGTGCGGATGACTTAGCTGATAGCGGGATGGATGCATTCATGGATAATGACTCCCTGAAATGGGCTAGCACAGACATCCACTTTAGCAAAGTGTGGTGCCTACTTGGAGCAGCAGAGTACACTGAATACAAGTCCCTTAGCAGCAGAGTACACTGAATACAAGTCCCTTAGCAGCAGAGTACACTGAATACAAGTCCCTTAGCAGCAGAGTTGCAAGAGGTCTTGGGACTTGTAGTCCTAATGGAAGATAAGGCCATGGGGCCTGAGGCACCCCTCCATTCCTGATAGAGCATGGTATACGAATGGGTCTAGCTGGGGTGCTGCTATTGCCTGGACTGCTGTCACAGTTCACTCTAGTACTGACGCCATATGGTTTGATACCAAGTGTGGACAAAGTAGCTAATGGGCTGAAATCAGGACAGCATGAATGGTGATCACCAAGGTGGTGACACCTACGGTAATCTGCACCGACAGCTTGGCAGTTTATTGAGGCTTAGCCTTGTGGTTAACTATCTAAAAGTAACAGAAGTGGCCAGTTGGTCACTGGCCCATATAGGGCCAAGCCATGTGGCAAAACCTATGGGAGGAAGGATGACCTCCTCTGACCAGGTACAGAGATGAATGGTAACCTGTTGTTGCCTGCCCCAGTGCTCCTAAAGGCAGGGAAATAAAAGCTTGGCTAAATGTACAAAGCAACATTGGTGTAATGTCACCATGGGGTGGTTGCCCACCATAACCTGGAGTTGTTTTTCCCTGTATTACTGCTGTGGCCTCTGGGTCCAGGGTTTCACCCTTTGGGCATGTGTCCCCACTAGAAAAACTCCCTCTGCCTAGGGGGTGGAATGTAAGACCTATGTGTTGGGCCTGAGTGTCTGGGGCCTGTGTACCTAGAGCCTATGTGTAAGGTCTTGTGTCGGACCTGTGTGTCTGGGGCCTGGCTTGCATGCCCAGAGGCTATGTATGAGGCCTGTGTGTTGGAGCTGTGTGTCCAAGGCCTATGTCTCCCTTGGCCTAGGGGGTGGAGTGTAAGGAAAATGGATCTGCTGTGGTCAAGAATAGGCCAAGGCAGACATCCGGTCTTGCATGTGAGTCTGGAGTTTGGAGCGCATGTACACAATTCCACTCCTTACATAACCACGTCACGTGAGGTGCATTAGGTGATCACCCATGTGAGGTCGTGCTTGGCTTGGAGCCACTATTGTCTGTAAAAGGTATAATTATCCTGCTGACGCTGTACATATGGCTTGCGCCTGGGTTGGCTCGCGCCCAGGTTTGCACCCACAGTTCACGCCCAGGCTCACTCACACCAAGAGAGAGAATAAAGCCATGTCACAACTCCCCATGATTCCTCGAGTGTTCTTTCAGCTGCTCGTCATTCATCCACCCCCTCCCCTTGGTCTCCCGCTTGGTCTGGAACCTGACACTTGGCGTGACACAGTGTCTGGGTGCAGTTCATCCTATTGATGATGTGGAATTTGTGCAAAAATAAAAGTTAAAAAGACATTAGCATTATAGGTTAGTTTGCTTTTGCTGCTGTAACAAGTTGCCACAGTGTAGTAGCTTAAAACAACAGAAATCTTACTTTTTGGGTCTGAAATTTGAAGTGGTTTTCACTGGGCTGAAAGCAAGGTGTTAGCAGAGCTGTATTCTCTACAGAGGCCATAGGGAAAGATAATTTCTTTGACTTTTCCAGCTCTTAGAGGCCACCTACATTCCTTGGCTCATGGCCTGTTCCCCTGTCTTCAAATCTTTGTCATCTCTGATCTGTCCTTTGTTGTCATGTATCCATCTCTCCTTGTGCTTCCATTGTTACATCACTTTCTTGTACTCTGAGCCCCCTCCTTCTTTCATTAAGGACACGATTACATTGGGCCCATCTGGCTAATTCAATATAATCTTCCTATCTTTTTATTTAATCACATCTACAAAATCTCTTTTGCCGTGTAAGATTCCAGGGATTAGTACATGAACACCTTTGCTAGGAGTCATTATTCAGCCCTACCACATATTAGAATACAATTTTTAAATTCCTTTTTAGCCTTTGTTTTTATGTTTTCTCAGATTGCCCTTGGAATTTCCAGAAACATGTACTCTGCAATCTGTTGTTTGGATAAAAATGTGTTGGTAAAAAATACACATTTCTATAAAAATAGAGAAGATGTCTTATATTTAACTGTAAAATTTAAGTTGGTGAAAAAAGAATGTAAATACTTGTTATTTCTTTGAGGGCAGAGAGAATTTCTCAAGTTTTGAATCTTTTTTTTTTTTTTTTTGAGAGAGTCTTACTCTGTCGCCAGGCTGGAGTGCAGTGGTGCAATCTCGGCTCACTGCAACCTCTGCCTCCCGGGTTCAAGCAATTCTCCTGCCTCAGCCTCTCAAATAGCTGGAACTACAGGCGCACACCACCACACCCAGCTAATTTTTGTATTTTTAGTAGAGACAGGGTTTCACTATGTTTGCCAGGATGGTCTTGATCTCTTGACCTTGTGATCCGTCTGCCTCGGCCTCCCAAGTTTTGAATCTTTCACTTAACAATGTCAAAATTATGGTAGATGCTTGTCAAAACTTGCTAAGTGACAAATGTGATTCTTAAGTGATTGCTCTGCCACATTTCTTGGGTCTTTAGTCATTTTAACAAGTGTTCTGGACACACACACATATGCACTTCTGCACACAAACATGGCTGTGCTGAGGTATTACCTAGCAGGTGTTTGGTTTACCGTGGTCTTCCAGACTTTAATTTCCAGTAGTTCTCACTTCAGTACCTTTCTTTGTCCTGGCCAGGCTTCTCTCATTAATCACTATTCCACCTACACCTGAGTCAGAGTCCTGTTTGGCCTTAGAAAGATGCAGTCTGAGTCTGTTGCAAGCAAGATGCTATTGGCTCTTTATCACTTCTCTCCTTTTAGTCAAATTCCCCACCCCTCAAAACAAATGAATACAAAATGTTCATAGTCACAAGACTTATGAACACAGACTGAGAAATGGGTTTGTCTTGTATTTATGGGCTACCATTTATCTATAAAAATGATATGAAAATACAGTGATATTTTAATTAATGTTACATGCAATTTTATTGTTGGCTGTGACCGTCACCATTACTGTTTAATTCTCATGTTTTTTTTTCTCTCTTTGTATATACAAATGAAGGAGTGAATTAAAAGTATATGATGCCAGCTGAAATTCAAGTAGATTATATAGACTTTATAAAGCATAAAATGGAAACAGCTCAGAAGTAGGCCATATACATGAGCCATCTTTGTGCCTGGGATTGATCACAGATAGGAAGTGCTTGGAATGCTACAGTTGATTACTTTGAGAGTTGCATTTATTCATATAGTTCTTTAACTATGAAAGGACGAGATCACTTTCATCATCTAAGTGTGCAGGGGTTTGTGAGTCTTTCAGACAAAGCAAAAGAGTGTTAAATAATCCAGAGACATGTAATTGATGGATTGGATTGCTAGTCTTTACCAGTTTTGCATCCCAGTGAGGCATATTAGCAGGCACTGAGCTGTGGGAGAGCAAGGCTGGCATCTTGTTTGCTTTTGCATTCTCATATCTGATGCTCGAAAGTTTTTTGAATGCATACATTGAAAAAGTATTTTAAATGTGCACATTTTTATTTACAGCTGCTGCTGAAGGGAAAGGCAGAAGTGGGGAAGACTTTTTTCAAAAGGTAAGTTGTCTTTTACTCTTGTCATGGTGATAAGTAAGAGGAAATATACTTATCTCAACAGCTACCCTAGAAGCCACCGAACGCTCCCCTTCATGTGGAGGAGAACAGGTTTCTATACGGGAGCTGGAAACACTCAGAGCTAGCCAGGAAAAGAGGGGATGCTGTATGAAACTTAACCATTCCAAGAAGGCTCCTTCCAGGGAAAATCTAATGAAATTTTTGCTTAAAGGCAAATAAGCAAAATGTAAGAGGGCTCAGAGGTGGATCAATTCATGTGGCATTCACACTTCATTTGGCTGGCATGTGACATAGGAAGGGGTTATTGTGCAAGGTAAGGTACACTATCCTATATGGTGAATATGGTGGGGGAGCTTTTCTAAAGATATTTAAATTAAAACAAATTTTAAAATGTTCTACTGGCCAAATAGAATGTGCCAGACTGCTAGTTTTCCATCCTTTGCTAAATTTATAGGCTCAGGCTGATGCAGTTTAGGTACTGTACCCCCTGACTTGGTGTTATCTGACATTGGTTAATCTCCAACTTATACTGAATACCCGAGCATTTCTAAGTGCCCTGGCCTTAGCTGGGGCAGGCTTAGCAACAAGGGTAAGACAAGAGAAGACGAATAGGCTGGATGCAGTGGCTCATGCCTGTAATCCCACCACTTTGAGAGGCCGAGGCTATCAGATTACTTGAGTCCAGGAATCAAAGACCAGCCTGGGGCAGGGCATGGTGGTGTGTGCCTATAATCCTAGTGCTTTGGGAAGCTGAGGCAGGTGGATCACTTGAGGTCAGGAGTTTGAGACCAGCCTGGCCAAAAGCCTGTCTCTACTAAAAATATAAAAGTTAGCCCGGTGTGGTCGCAGATGCCTGTAATCCCAGTTACTTGGAAGGCTGAGGCACGAGAGTCACTTGAACCCGGAAGACAGAGGTTGCAGTGAGCTGAGATTGTGCCACTGCACTCCAGCCTGGGCAACAGAGTGAGACTTTGTCTCTAAAATTAGAATAGAATAGAATAGAATAGAATAGAATAGAATAGAATAGAATAGAATAGAATAGAATAGAATAATCCAGCCTGGGCAACATGGAGAAATCTCTCCTCTACCACAAAAACAAACAAAAAACCCAAATTAGCCAGGTGTGATGATGTGCACCTGTAGTTCCAGCTCCTCTGAAGGCTGAGGTGAGAGGATCACCTGAGCCCAGGAAGTTGAGACTGCAGTGAGCCATGATCGTGCCACTGCACTCCAGCCTGGGTGACAGAGTAAGTCCCTGTCTCAAAGAAAAAAAAAATGAAAAGAAAACAAATAGCAGAAATCATAGATTTCCCTTGGGTTGGCTCTGATGGTAAAAATAGATGCTGTCAGTGGAAGGATTCTTCTTCATTGTTCTTCTTTAACTCACAGATAGATGTAAAAAACAGATGCTCCACCTTTGTGATTTCAGACAATTTAAAAGCTGAGTCAAAATATGGTGTATATGATCATAAAGGACTTTCATTCTTAGATTTCCTAATATTTCTCACTGTTTGCAGAGACATATATACATTCCAGCAGTTTAAATGGAAACACATGTTTGAATCCAGGAACATGTGTGCGTCCCACAGACTATGAGTTAGAGTCATAGATTCTATTCTTGGTCACAGATTAATGAGGTCTCTGAATAACTAGATGGGAGTACATTTTATCTTCTCATTTGTTTCTTTAGTTCAATGGGAACTGTCTTTTCCATAGATAGGTGTCCGTATAGGATTTGCATACTCATCCAGCAAAAAATCTCTAACTTAGAAACAGCCCAAATTCCAGAGAGTCATTTTTCTGCTATTTTGACTGGACAGAAGTAGACATTATGGTTCATCTACAGTAGAATGAAGTAATGGAGAAATACTGAATTGTCCTCCAGGAACTTGCATGCAGTCACATGTATTCTAGTTTTACATGACATTTTGGGAAGCATTTAAGAAATAGGCTACATAGCTGTTCACTAGCATCTTCGTATTTTTCTCTCTCTAAAATAATGCAAATATGAAGGATCTAGGCTTGTGATTGGAATGTTTCTTAGTTTTTACTTTGAGGTGTGCATGACAAAAGTTAAAACCTCTCTTTAGCTGAGTTTAAACTTCAGCTACTCAACTTTTCTAAGCCTGGAAGGATATCTACCTAGCTTCATAGTGCCTCTCCCTATGTAGAGATTTGAGAAGGAGTGTGAGACTTTTCATATGTAACTTTATGTTTTTTTGTACCATAAAAATATATGTAAAATCATAATGACTATACTAAATTTTGCTCAATTTAATTAATTGCTCTCATTAAAGTTTTCGAATTAGAAAATAATAAAATTAATTTTAAAAATCTTCCAAAATAAGAATTGGTATATTTCCATAAAGAGCTTGCATTTCAGTTTAACAGATAATAAGATTGTGAAACATATTATCTCAAATTTGAGGCTGTAATAGTAGTTGTTAAGCTTATTATACACTTCTTCCATTGAGTCAACGTTACTGTTTTTTCCAGAGATCTACCCAGTTTTCTATACACTGTTTTGCTGCATGGGTTTGAAATGATATATTTCCCAAACACAATAAAGGATAAAATGTAAAAGCCTAAGATGTTATAGCAAAAAATCCCCAAAACCCCAACAATATAGTGTCTTAAAGAGCAGAGTCATTCGTTGTCCTCTTATGTAACGTTCTAAGGAGAGTCTTCCAGCTGGGTTGGTAGCTGTGTCCCATGCTGTCATTCAGTGACCCAGGCTCCTTCTAAGACATATCTGGATTGTCCCTAAGCATGACCTTCATCTCCGTTGTTGAAGCTTGGTCACAACCATGTCCAATTGTGTGTTGGTGAGGGAGATAGAATATTGAAGAGAGGCACGCCATGGTTGTAACGCCCAGGCCTGAATGTGGCACCTGTCACTTCCTCTCACACTCTATGGGAGAAAACTTAGTTATGTAGTCTTACCTAATAGCAACAATAGAGGGGAGGGAGGGGCTGGGACATTTGGAGAAAACAATTGATTTTGCAGGCACTATTCACCACAAATGAGATTGTTAGGGAAAAAAAAAAGTCTGTGATCAAAGTGTAATTTCTTTGTGTGGTGTACTTTGAAACTTTTTGTATTTGTTAGGGCTCCCATACCACAAACTGGGTGGCTTAACTGTGGGAGGGAGAATCTGTTCCATGCCTTTCTTTAGCTTCCCATGGTTTGCTGGTGATCTTTGGTGTTCCTTGGCTTGTGGAAGCAACACGTGGATCTCTGCCTTGATCTTCATATGGCATTTTCTCTGTGTGCCTGTCTCTATGTCCAAATAAAGACACCAATTATATTGGATTAGCAGCCCACCCTACTCTGGTGTGTGTTCATCTTATTATACATCTGCAGTGACCCTATTTCCAAATATCACATTCTGAGGTCCCAGGCATTAGTACTTCAACATACGACTTTTTGGAGGACAGTTCAAACTATAATACCTTTTAATGGAGAAAATAATTCTGTAGAAAAATTTACTAAGACTGTAGATGTTATTTGTCACATTTTGATACTCAGTCTGATCTATAGATATTTAACTGCCTAGTCATTTATACTAAATCTATTTTTTTAATCACAAGTCATTTCTAAATTGTCTACAATGAGTATATAATTGACATGCAAAAAGAGAAAAAAGTAATCTGTAATCTTGCCTTTTTGTTTTTGTTTTTTGTGTTTTTTTGAGACAGAGTCTTGCTGTGTTGCCCAGGCTGGAGTACACTGGCGTGATCTCAGCTCACTGTAACCCCTGCCTCCCGGGTTCAAGTGATTCTCCTGCCTCAGCCTCCCTGGTAGCTGGGATTACAGGCATGCGCCACCACGCCCAGTTAATTTTTGTGTTTTTAGTAGAGATGGGCTTTCACCATGTTGACCAGGCTGGTCTTGAACTTCTGACCTCCAGTGATACACCCACCTCAGCCTCCCAAAGTGCTGGGATTACAGACATGAGCCACAGTGCCTGAACTGTAATCTTGCCTTTGAAAGAGAACTATTTGTACACCCTTGGTCTTTTTTCTGTGTATATTAAAAATATATATAAAGTGATTTTTAATATTCCCTGTTTGATGGGATTACAGATTAAACTATGTATTTGCATTGGATCCATTCTGTGTTAAAACTTTGCAAAGTTATCCTGTAATAGTACTTTTTATTCTTCGGCTCTGACTACACTTATAAAAGGCGGGAATGGATATAACTTTATCAGTACTCTCCGTCCACTCCTGATGGCAGCTCTATCTAATGGAAACACATGGAAACAATCTTCCAGTTTTTTACAGTTCTTTGGGCAGTTGTTCATGGCTTACTCACTGTCTGTCCTATTTCCTTTTAATCAGTTCTTTTTTTCTTTCTCTTGTGAAATGACTATGGTCAGATCTTGGAGGGGAAAATGGGTTACAGTATTTTAGGTGGGGATAGGGTCAGTGATTGTATTACACATGTGACTCATCAAAGCAAACTGCATTAGGAATCTGTAATCCCAATGGTTGGAGAAGACAAAATACAGTCAGCATTGTAATTGATGAAAGCCAGGTTTTTTTTTGTTGCATTGGGTTATGTACAGTATTTTTCCTCAAAGTATACATCATTTATTTTAATGTAGGACTATGTTATATTCTTTGAATATATTGGATGTTTATTTGGAAAACTGACCTATAAACCATGGCTTGTCACAAAGGCTAACAGTAAGACTAAAACAATGAGATATTGATGGCTTATGTGGTTTATTTTTAAAACTTTCAAACTCATTGTTTTTAGACAAACATTACTTTTGGTGTTTTCAGACTGGAAAATAGCAAGTGTTGTCTTCTGGGGGAAATTCCTGGGATAAATAATTTGGTTCCCTCTGTACCTAAAAATGGGTGCATTAGATGGTCTTAGATGGGGACTAGGTGAGTCCTTTTATTGAGGGGCAGCAGAGTTAATAAAGTTACTCTGGCTTTCTCCACTAGCGATTATTTTTATATTTCGAGTGGGTTATTTCCTCTAGTAATGGATATAAGTTTTGGTTTAATTATTTAAAAGTGAATTCAGTTAACTCTGGCTCATGAATGTGCTTTTTCTAATACTGAGTCTGTGCTTAAACACAAATCAAATTTAATTTAAATAAGATCCAGATATTTTAAAGCTTTAATTTTAGTATTTATTTCAATAGGTAATACACGTACATGGCTCACAATTCAAATTTATAAAAGGGTATGCAGTGAAGAGTATTTGATATCTTGATGGTTTCTGAAGGTTCACTGAGAAAGCTGTGCAGCATTACATTGTTGGTCCCAAGCTTGGGTAAAGATGATCATCAATGTGCGTCATTACTAATGAAAACTTAGGGCCTAAAGCTAACATTCTGTGAGTTCTTATTACCGATCACTATACTATTGCCCTGAGAATGTTCCAGTGACAGAATCCGTGATCATGTTTTCTTTATACTACTGTCTAGATAGGAATAACTGGCTGCTTGTAAGACTTAGAAAAGAAGAGTAACTTTCCACCCCGTAAAGGTTGTTTAGTCATCATCTAGAAAGTTACTAAAGATGAGAATGGAGCTTATTTTTATACCTTATGATTTACTCACCTTCTATCAAGAATCTAGTAAATCAGGGTTAGTGAGAAGAGATTAAGAAAAAGATCAAGTAATTTGCTCATCATTCTCCTAGTCTTTCAAGTTTTGTTCTTGTGTTCATTTGAACACAGGAAGACTGGGTTTTGAGTCTATATTCTCTTAGCATGTTGTAGAGTCACCTGCTTCGAGTTGCATTGTAATGGTATATTCTTTTATTTCATCAGTCATTTCACACAACCTCTTTATGAAAACCACATTTCCTGTATTATTCCTTTTTCTAAAACCATGGAAGCAAGGAATGTCATTGAGATTGTTTAAAAATGTATGTTTAATGGCCAGGCACAGCAGCTCATGCCTGTAATCCCAGCACTTTGGGAGGCCGAGGTGGGCAGATCACCTGAGGTCAGGAGTTCGAGACCAGCCTGACCAACATGGAGAAACCCCGTCTCTGATAAAAATACAAAGTTAGCTGGGCGATGGTGCATGCCTATAATCCGATCTACTCGGGAGGCTGAGGCAGGAGAATCGCTTGAACCTGGGAGGCAGAGGTTACAGTGAGCCAAGATTGTGCCATTGCACTCCAGCCTGGGCAACAAGAGCAAAACTCCATCTCAAAAAAAAAAAAGTATGTTCAATGATAGTGAACGTAACTTAATTACTACTGCAGTTTGTTCAATTGAATAATCTTTAATCAACATCTGATGAAAGTTTAGTCATTATTGATTAAAATGGTTCCTTGAAACCAAACTCAATGCATTGGATCATGTAGAAAATGAAATTGAATTCATGAAAATAGGTCTTTTAAGAAGGGTCACAAGACAGGACCCTGGATTACACACTTGTAGTGCAAGTAACCATGGAAAGGTCTAGTTAAGAGACTTATTGGCATTAGTTTAAAAAGGTTTGTATATTATTTTGTAAAGTGTTCTCCCTTTATGACTTAAATGCCTACATTAATTCCTGTACTTGTCGGCATTTCCCTTAATCGAAAGATCTTGAGATACAGACTTCCTCATTTATGGTTGATATTAAGATTTTGGAACTATTTCGACATTATGTAGATAAAAATTACCCTAACTGATAATATGCAAACGTAAACATTTTTGTGTGGGTCAGAAGCAACTTTTGAAGAGGGTGGCATTAGCTGTTTGTGAGGAAGGAGTGCATTTGATTAGTTCCAATTTTAGCCTTGCCTTTGCATTGTGTGTCTATTTAATTGTCTTTTCAATGTCATGTGATTCAAATTGTTTTTATATCTTAGCGGGGGCATAGGACAAACTTGGTCTTAATATATTACGTAGAACATTATCAGAGATGTGTCTGAAAATCCATATATAAAGATATTCATTGTCACAATATTGTAATAATTAAAATAAAATTAAAAATAACCTAAGTACTCAGCCATGTAATATTTGAAATGTGGTATATCAGACATTGGATTATTATGTAGGCATTAAAAATCATACTTTTTGGAAATATTTAATGACATGTTGAAATTGGTTACTAGATAGGTACAAAAATTAGGACAAAAGGCATATAAATAGCTTGACTCAAATTTTGTTATATATGTTTATGCCTAATAAATGACTGGGCAAGAATTATGCCAAAATGTTAACCGTGACTCTCAGTGGTGAGATTGTGATTGGTTTTTATTTTCTTTCTGTACTTTCCTACAATGGACCTCCATTACTTTTATAATCAGGATTAAAAACAACTACCATCTTATGAAGAAAAACAGATAACAATAACTAAGATAGATTGAAGTTGTTAATGGATTAATTATTGCAGTTTAAGAGCATGCAGTTTTTTTGCTGAAAAACATTTAAGAAGTCAGACTTCCCATCATACTGAGGTTACTTCTGTGTCTTTTATATAACAGTTATAAAGACAGAACAAGTTTCAGATCATCAAGGTGGATCATTTCTAGGTAGTGTTAATTTTTAGAAAAATGTCCCCCCTTTCATCCATTTGCCCTTGTTTTGACATTCAGAGGTGTAAAATTTTTTTAAGATTTTTTTACATCTCTGTGCCTTCTTTTCTTCAGACCAAAGATACTTAGTTTCTTATTTATCATATGACTTAGTTTTCAGACCCTTATCATTCTTTTCGCTTTCAGTAGCAAGATCAGTGTCCCATTTTAAAAGTGGCAACAATATCTGGGTATAGTGTTTTGGATAGAGCCTGGCCAGTGCAATTATAATGAGGCCATAATATTCATAATATTAAGGTGATCCAGAAGTACCTAAATATTATATAACCTTTAGGCACTGTTACATTGGTCACTGACATGAAGAATCGACATTACTTGTCATTCTTCACCCAACTGAAGAGAAAAGGTTGGCTCCAATGTCATTGCTAGGTACATAACATAAAATGAGGATACTTCTAGACTGTTGACTGGCTGGTAAAGGCCTCCATAGATGTCACTCATATGTTGTGCCTGTCACTCTAAGCTCTTGACCTGACATGTAGCTTGGAGACAATGTGGCAGATGTGGTGGCTAGACTGTGAAAGTGTGGAAAGCCTCACTCTGGGAGATTTCACATGGTTTGGACATTGAATTGATAGTGAGAACTCCTGCATGCTTTTTTCTTCTCTCTGGACTCCTTGAGTTAGCTGGGGGAAAGGACTCAGCCACAGGGTGACAGTCTAAGATGATGGGCTGGGTGTAGTGCCTTTTAATCTGGCTAAAGTAACATGTAGTAAAGAACTTTAAGCTTTACTGATTTAAAATGACTTCACAGAAGAATCAATGCAGTTTAAAGCTGGATGTGGTATTGTCTTTTTCTTCTAGTCGGGGATATCGTGGTCTAAATAGTCGTAGATTGATTTTTTTTTTTCAAGTTTATACAGGTTGTTGGTGGCAGCCAGAACTTAGCGATATTCTGACTTTATGCTTGGCTACTATTAATACAAGATAAATGTTTTTATTTAAATCGGCAATTATCATGCCCACATTAATGGGCTATGCATCTATAGTGAGAGAGGTTCTGCCTAAAACTGTAAGTTTTGCTAAGTAGGGCTCTGAATTAGGGTCATTGTGGCATATTAGAGGGACAACCAAAAGGCTGGGGGCAAATTAATATACTAAATAAATGTATGGATTTTGTAGTACTTTGTATTTTGTTTAAATAGATTCAGAATCACACTAAGGTTTATCATTTTGAAGTTTGTACCTTTGGTACCTTACTTTTTAAATTTCATCTAGGAGATTTACAGTAATGATTTGTTGTCATCTCATGAATCGTTTCTAAATTTGAGTTTGGGAATCTTTCTGGTTTCTTAACAATGATCTTTGGCTTGATGTATTTGATGTTTTTGCATTTTATCTTGGCAAAGTATGTTGCGTTAAAATTTGTTTTTTGGCCAATTCAATTCTTTAACCTTTAGGCACTGTTATTCAATTCAACTTGCTTTCCTTTCTAAATAGCCCTTTTAAATTTCTAGGCTTTGTAGTTTACATGATTATAGCTCCTACCTTGCTGCATGAAAAAGGAGAGGAGAAGGCCTTATTTTGCACCACTCGACTCTGCTTCCCTGCTCTTCCAGCCACAGCTGCTTGGGCCAGGATGTGGGTGCCACATGCAGCAACAAACCTTCTCTATACAGTGTACGTGACCTATGTGGCATGCTCTGTGAACTCAGCTGAGCCAGACTCATCTCTATTGAGTTAGGAAGCTAAGATCAAGAGTGGGAATGAGAAGAGAATGGGGAGGGTCATGAGGTAGCATGGAGTGAGGGAGAGGCCAGGAGTGGTGCTGTTGATCATGGGAAAGCTGGGGTTAGGAGAGGGAGAAGCTGTGAATAAGTGGTGAAGACCCATCCACGGAGGGAAGCATGAAGCAGAAGACAGAGGGGGAAAAAGATGTTCCAGAGTGAGCGATGCTCCTACTTGGAGTTGGCACAGTTTGGGATGCATCTCAGGTTCTTTTCCTGTTTTTGTTTTGTTTTGTTTAAAGAGATGGGTTTTGCTCTGTTGCCCAGGCTGGAGTGTGGTGGCCTGATCATAGCTCACTACAGCCTAGAACTCCTGGGCTCCAGCCATCCTCCCACCTTAGCCTCCTGAGTAGCTGAGACTATTGACATGCGCCACCACGCCTAGCTTTCAGGTTCTGATCTATAGGTGTCCCTAGAGTCTTCCCCTTCTCCTGATGTAGTTGGGAAACTCTACAAGGCCTAAATCATGAATTCAACTGTGATGCATAAAAGACATTCAGTTAACTGGGATAATTGCATAATCCCCTTTTCTTCAAAGGGTTTATGCATTCACATGTTAACAAAATTTGGTGTTTGTAGAGTAGTTTAGCTCCTCAGTGAGTGCCCCAAATTAAGTTATATCTTTAAAGGAGCAGTGCTCTTTATATAAAAGGTATTTCTGTCAAATCTGTCATTTAAAATATGTATACTGCAGCAATACTACGGTAAAATATTAGACCATACTATACCAGTGTATGGTGAACTCTCTCCATATATTACATATATACTATAAAGTATATATGTTTCTTTTTGCTAGTCAGTTACCAGCATTATTCAAGAAATAATGGGGTTATTGACGTTAATATGTTAGGTGAAAAAAGTGAGTGCTGTCCTTTTATGTTACTGAGCTTTTATCCTGCATATCAGAATTTCCTTTCTCTTTGTCATTGGCATTAATATTGTTTTCATCCCTCTTACACTTCTGTGGGAAGTTTGTAGACAGCCAACATGCAGAAAGGTTAGCATGGCAGATAAATATTTTCTATTTTTCTTATTGATAGTTACGGAGAATGCTTTGTTACTCTATGCCTCTCTAAGTAACATGATCCTTGAATAGATGTATTAAATATCCTAGTGTTACTCTCTCATTTTATATGTTTAACAGTTGCGGCTTGTCCCAAACTGGCTCTTTGGCAGGTTTTTTTCTTTCTTTTTTTTTAAATTCATTGGATGTAAATTTCTTCCTAAAAGGAGTTGTCTTTTGGCATTTTAAGTAGTGGAAAAATAAATTTCATTATCTTTCTTCTTTCTTTTTTTTTGTGAAATCAAAATTATCAAGAAATGTGTACATATGGCTTTTCTTCTTAGCATTTGCTACTTTTGTTACTTTTGTCACCCTGGATTATCCAGTTATTCAAATTTTCTGCTTCTCAATGGGCAAAGTACCGATAAGTAGGGAAGGAGGGAATTTAGCCAAAGTTGTAACTGACAATAAGCAAAATATAGAGGCCTCTGTGTTTCCTGCTTGGTTCTCTTTCTTGAGTTCATCACTAATTTTATGAAAGAAGAAAACAAAACAGAAAAATAACCAGCTTCAATTTCCACGTGCCTGTTTATTCTGGAGTTACCAGGAAACCTTAATCTCCAGTGAATAAGAACACTTTAAACCCAAAGTTGTTTGGGTTTGTTTTCTTAAATAGAACTTCTTCCTGTTATGTTTTCCTATTGGCATTTGTAAAACAATGATTCATGTGTAAATCAGTAGGAGGTGCTCTTTGAGAAGCTTCCTAGGTTGGTAGGTTCCAGAGCCTAAGCTTTTCTTGGCTTCAGTCAGTATGTTGAGAGGGGAAGGTATTAACAAGATCAAGGAAGTGATAGTTTTCGGTATGTAGTTGGAAAGTGGGTATGTGTGTCTTCTCATTTGAATATCACTTTGTTGTCCTTTTCATATATTAATATGATGGGCTACCTCATAATCTGGGAATCCAAAAATTATCCTGCCTTCTTCTAAATTCCATGAGAATACTAAAGAAGAAGTAATTTTAACTTTCAAAGAGCTTTTATTCTGAAGGGAAAAGATGCTTGTAAGATGGTGTTAGCATGCATGTGTGCAGGCTTCACAGAGCTGCTAAGGACGCCATTCATGAGACATTATTGCCCTCCCTCTGAGCCAGACACTATACCATGTACAGTTCTACAGAGGGGGAAGGGTGGCCCTATGGCTTCTCTCCTCAAGAGGGGCATACTCCAGAGGAGAAGTGGCACAGAAGTGCCATCCAGTGTGGCGAGAGCTTTACAATGGAGGAAACGGAGGGAGTGATTTTTTTTTTTTTCCCCTATTCTGAGGACTCAGGGAAGATGGATTTCTTGGGAGAAAGTGTTTGAGGTGCGTTTTGAGGACTAGGTAAAAGGAATTTAACTAGTATGTTGGGTGAAGTGAGGAAAGGCTTTGTGGCACAGTTTCTGAGCAGGGGGCAGTTTAGATTAGATTAAGATGCCTTCCAGACCTGTGACTCCATGACCTGAATGTCCTAATGGAGACAAAATAGGCATTTCCAGCAGAAAGAACCAACTGATTGCCTTTGCAAAGGCAGAATAAAGGACAGAGGAGACTGTTTTTTTCTCATATAGCCCAGAAAACAGATTAAAGGTTTTACATAGATAGATAGATAGATGGATAGATAGATAGATAGATAGATATCACTTCATCTGAGCTAGTTATTTAAAAATTCTTTAAGTGAAAGGTTTAGAGGATATGTAGAAGGATTTGAAATCTAAAAGTTAGGAGATCATATTGTTTCTATTCATTATTGATATGGTTTGGCTGTGTTCCCACCCAAATCTCACCTTGGATTGTAATAATCCCCACGTGTCAAGGGTGGGGCCAGGTGGAGATAACTGAATCATGGGGGATGTTTCCCCTATACTTTTCTTGTGATAGTGAATAAGTCTGGGAGATCTGATGGTTTTTTAAATGGGAGTTCCCCTGCACAAGCCCTGTAAGACATGACTTTGCTCCCCATTTGCCTTCCACCACGATTGTGAGGCCTCTGCAGCCATGTGCAACTGTGAGCCAATTAAACCTCTTTCTTTGATAAATTACCCGGTCTTGGGTATGTGTTTATTAGCAGCATGAGAACAAACTAATACAATTGTCTACTCAAAGAGGATGAGAATTAAAAATGATAGCCAGGGTGACCAAACATTTTGCAGTATAGTTGCTTTGCAGCATCTGACTTCATTAGTGCCAGGTAAGGGACAAATTATTACTTTTTTCCACTACCTTCCTAAATGATAAATGCATTCCTAGCAAGATTAACTTTTAACTATGCTTTGAAACATGAGTTTTCAGCTATTGTGATGCCATCATTACATTCTGAATGATAAAATTGCCAAGTTCAGAATGACAGCTGTAAAATAAATGGCATCATTTAATTAAGTTCTGAACTTTTGATGATATGCAGTTTAAAAAAAATGTATTTTCCAGGAAAACAGTTGGAAGTTTCGACTTTGTGGTTTACTTTTGGCTGTGTTTTATGGAAATCACATGAAAACTTCTGAGAAAAAGAGACAAATGATTCAAATTTTGCAAGTAATAGAAAATTGGGTTCCATTTGTATAAAAGATTCCCTGAAATCATTCACTATCAGTTTAGCACACTCTGGTATTAGCATTTAACCACCAGTATATTGATGAACAAGTACAGAGGAGAAAGCCAAGGATATTTGAGATCCAGTATCATATGCAGAATAAATGTAATAACTTTTAGGGGCGGAATTTCTTTTCTTTTTCTTTTTTTTTTTTCTTTTCTTTTTTTTTTTTTTTTTAGATGGAGTTTTGCTCTCGTTGCCCAAGCTGGAGTGCAATGGCGCAATGTCAGCTCACTGCAACCTCCACCTCCCAGGTTCAAGCAATTCTGCCTCAGCCTCCTGAGTAGCTGGGATTACAGGTGCACGCCACCACGACTGGCTAATTTTTTGTATTTTTAGTAGAAACAGCATTTCACTATGTTAGCCAGACTGTTCTCAAACTCCTGACCTCAGGTGATCCACCGCCTCGGCCTGCCAAAGTGCTGGGATTACAGGTGTGAGCCACCACGCCTGGCCTAGGGGCAGATTTTCAGTTGAATTATTAACTGGAATTCATGTTCCTGTTCCCATTTCTCCAGTTCTACCGTCAGCCATTTTAGTGATAGTAAACTCTTAATCTAGAGCACCATTCTTAACCCCAGGTACAGGTTTGTCTGAGGAACTTTTAAAAATTATTGATGCTTTAACTAGAGATTCTGATTTATTTGTTCTGAAAGTAAGGCCTTAGCATTAGTATTTTTTGGAAAAGCTCCTCAGGTGACATTACTCTGTAGCTAAGGTTGGGAACTACTGATGTGCAGTATGGGTAGGTACAAAGAAAAGTTGTAAATTCTTGTTGGTCTCTACCTCTGATAAAAGGAAAGGAATTACATTTTACTCTTGAACAACACAGTGGCGAGGGTTGCCAGCCCCCACCCCACTGTGCAGTCAAAAATTTGTGTATAATTTTCTCTCCCCAAAAGCTGAACTATTGATAGCCTAGTGTTGACCAGAAGCCTTACTGATAAAATCATCAAATAACATGCATTTTGTATGTTATATATATGGTATAACGTATTCTTACAATAATCTAGAGAAAATAAAATATTTTTAAGAAAATCGTAAGGAAGAGAAAATACATTAATTATTCATTAAGTGGAAGTGGATCATCATAAAGGTCTTTATCCTCATCATATTCATGTTGAGTAGGCTGAGAAGGTGGAAAAAGAGGAGAGGTTGGTCTTGTCTCAGGGGTGGCAGAGGCAAAAGAAAATCTGTGGTAGACCCGTCACAGTTTAAACTCCTGTTGTTCAAGAGTCAACTGTATATGTATTTTGTGTATGTGTGTCAATTACTGATGGATTTAACTTTCTGTTCAGTTTCATTCTCTTAGAGGGTATACTGTGAGATACTAGTTCTGCACTATCTTAATAAATATATGAAAAAAGTTCCATGGTAAGATAAGTTTGAGAAATACAGGCATTTACAGTTAAAAAATAGTTCTTTCCTATAAAACTGGTTGCAAACTTAAATGTGCTGGTTATTTGCATTTTATGCATTTGTTACAGAAATATGTAATTTGTGGCACTTCCCAGTATTGTTTGATGAAATGATTTCTTTTTCTTGCTAGAAACTCCATTCTACAAAATTAAACAATCAGTGAATCAGTTGGAAATTCATTTTTTTCATTTACTGAGATCTGTGTTAGGAATGGATGTGATGTAGCTATACAACAGAGGCTCTCTTGAAAAGTTCCTCAGTGAGCCTTATCAGAAGGGTGAGAGTGTAAATTATTCCAAGGTACACAATTCTTTTCTAAAAGACAACTGTTACCTTTTTATATCCATGCTCAGAATTTCTCTGACAACTCACCATTGCCTTCCAGGTAAAATTAAATAAATATCCACCTTTGACATCAAATGTTTATTATAGTCTGATCCCTTCCTACTGATATAACTTTGTTTCCCATTGCCCCTCAACTCAAGCCTTTCTCTTGTCAACCAGTGGTATCCCCAAGCCCTGATCGTTCTTGACTCTAACAGCGATACATAAAAATATATCCCCAACTAGAACGTCTTTTTTTCCTCTTTGTCTCTGGCCCTCTCCATTAGTTATATATTTAAAAGTCCGTCATTTGGCATTTTCTGGACTAGCCCAGCCTGTGATGACAGTTCCCACTTCTTTATATGTTAAACTTACATATCTGTGGTCACTTTGTTTGGATTTTCTTAGAAAGTCAATTTTCTTGTTTTGTTCTCTTGTTATGAGTTGATACACTAATAGTCCAACTAGTTTCTGAATCTTGAATTGAGACACTCAAATGTTTTGGGACCTAACACATTGTTCTGTGTATTTGGTGGGGTGAAGTAACTCTGTAGAATTGTGATGTTGTGGGACTGTATGGGACCTTAAAGATTTCCTAGTTTAGCAAGTGTACAAAGGAGGATAAGACCTAGCATTTTTAAGTGATTTATCTGAGTCATATGACTAGCCATTTGTTGAATCTGGGGAGAAAACCCAATTCAACACTGTTTATTACACTGACAATTCATAACTTTAAAAAATCTGTGCTCTTTCAAGAGAAATTAAATTTCGTATTTGTCTTTCTTAATGGGAAAACACAGTAAATTAAATATTATTAAAGCAATAAGAGGTAGTGCTATCTTGTCCCATCCTCCTGCCTCCCCACCTCCTCCCCAACACACAAAAAGATCCTATGGGTGTTCTTAAGGAGCTGTTGTCTGAGATAGGGCCTAGGAAGTAGGTTTTTAAAACTTGGGTGATCCAGAGCGGATGATGATATGCATTCTTCCATACACATCATTGTCTCCTCCTCCTCCTCCTCCTTCTCCCTTTTTTCCTTCCCCAATTCATGCCAGGCTGTCATTTTGAATCAATAAGTGAATGTAACAAATAAGAGATGTTAATACTATGAAGAATACTGAACTAGGAGCCATGAGTTCTGGCTTTGAATTCCAGTACAGTCACCAGCTGTGAAATCTTGGGCAAGTCATTTGACAACTGAGCTTCAGTTCTCCTGCTTAGAAAATGGGGATAATTCCTCATAGAATTGATGTTAAAATTGGTTGAAATATGCACTCAAAAGTGCTTTATAAACAGTAAAGCATTGAGCAAATGCGAGAGATGATTTGATTCTTTAGAGAAGACCCTTTCATTCTAGTGTTTGCATCCTCTGGCTGGGGGGAAGGCTGTGTGGCTGATGTAGGATGAGGCACCTTCCATATCTTTAGTTGCTTGAAAAAAACCACACACAGTTCTATAATATTTTTGGCAATTTGTCTCAGTTTAAAGCTGTGATCGTAACTTTTATTTGGGGATACTACTTTCTTGATTCTTATATGGGGAAAAATTCCATTTGTTGGTTTCCTTTTATTTAAATATGTTTATGTATTTTGCATTTTAGAATAAAAACATTTCCTTCTCGAGTGAAGATTTTTTTTCTTTTCTTTTGAGGTGGTGGTTAAGTTCTCATGTAATAGGATAGTTGGTTGCTATTAGAAATATGTTTTTTCCTTTGTTATGAAATGGAAAATTGTCAGAAACTGATAGGCTGTGGTTAGATGAGGTTTGCTACCAATAAAGAATTATCAGGGTAAACTGAACTTTCATTTAGGATGCAAAAATATTTGTTTTGCTTGGCAGCATGGCATAAAAAGAAAATCCAAGAAACTTCTTGTTTCAGGAGCTGCCAGTTCTCTCTGTGGCTCAAAGAACGTTTCGTGTCTCAGCCACAAGAATTTGCCGCTGGTTCTGATGTTCATTGTCTTCCCTCCTCACGCACGCTTTGCTTTCAGCTTTTGGCTTTACAGCCCTTTGCTATAAGATGATGAAAGTCCTTCCAGGGCTACTCATTAACTTTCCCTTCTACATCTTACTGGTATGAATAGTGGGAGCCTTTCATCTTTATTGTTATGAAAGCTTTTATAGAATATTGAATGCAGGGCACTGTGTTAGAGCTCTGTAAAACATGATAACATAGTAGATTCTGTCAGTTATTGGCTGTGAGTAGAGGTAGTTTGTTGAGGATCAGTATAGGTACCAGTGGCATAACTTATAAATTGGGACAGGCATGGTGGACCAGAGGGGATCTAGTAACTAAGCACTGTGATAGCCAGGGGAATCACTTAAACAGGACCAGTAAGGTACAGAAGGCCTGGGAATTTGGGGGAGGTATGCGAACAGGAAGATAAAGGGACTGATATTAGGAAATTAGAAGGAAGAATCTTGGATGTAGGATGTAGTGGAATGAAGTGGATTTTAAAGTTTCTAATACTAAATGACAGACATAGTAACATCTAGCAGGAGGGCTGTTTTGGAGGAAAAAAAGAATGTAATTTTAACTAATACGATGACTTTTAAGTCTAGGTGGTAAGGTTTAGAGTAACAGAGCAGGGCTGGAAATAGTGACTTATTAGGAATTAACTTGCATTCCAGAAATTGAGGGTTCATGTAGAATTGCCTGTAAGCCAGGAGTTTTCTTATTCATCTCTTTAATGTTATAGAAAATAACATCTGTACTTTATGGTAAGTAATTACAGAGTTAAAAAAAAAGGCCATTTGAAAAAAACAGCTTAAAAATGTCAAATAGGAAATGTGGGGATAAGTGTATTCTTTTCAAAATGTGGTTCTGAATTGGACTAACTCAAGCTGCAGTTAAAGGAAAAAAGGCTCGTTTATTTGACTCTTGCCTTCTTTGCTTTCTCCCTGTCTCAGGCTCCTTTCCCCAACGCCTCTCCCCTTTTTGGTCTCAGTGCTTCTGAAATGTAGACACTGGTCTACACATGGGTCACCCAGAGTTCACAGACTTGAAAGTCCTCTTATTCCCAAGAGCTGTGTGTGCCTCATCAGCCTTCTCTGGGTTTTGTGGCAGGGGGTGATGAGAAAGGATGCCCAGAGGCTACTTGTACCAATAAGAGCCACCGCTTGTTGTGAAAAGAGCACCAATGAGGAGAAAGCAGGCAGAGATAGTCCCGGCACTGGGTATCTCTTCAAGGCCTCTGGTTCCGTTATTCGTCAAAGGAGGGGTAGAACTAAGCATATGGTCTCTAAAGCTTTGAAATTCTTTTTTCTTTTCTTTTCTTTTCTTTTTTCTCTTCTCTTTTTTCTCTTCTCTTTTTTCTTTTCTTTTCCTTTTTCTTCCCTCCCTCCCTCCCTCGTTTGCTTTCATCTTTTTCTTTCTTGCAGTTGACAAATAAAAATTGTATATATTTATGGTGTACATATTTCATTGTATATATGTACATTGTGGAATAGCTAAATCAAGCTAATTAACGTATGCATTACTTCATATAATTATCTTTTTTGTGGTAAGAACACCTAAAATCTACTCAGCAATTTTCAAGTATAAAATACATTGTTATTAACTAGTCACCATGTTGTATAATAGATCTCTGAATTATTCCTCCTAACTGAAAATTTTTTTAGTGTGCAGAAGATCCATATCTATACCCTAAGTGTTCCCAATAAATCAAAATAGTGTCCAAGAAGCAGCTCACAGAGCATATTTGTTTTCAATGTGAGATTTATGTAGCACTTTTATATTTGCCAAAGCTTTTATTTTCCTAAATTCCCCAGTGAAGTAGGGCAACAAGAAGATCATCAGTGGTGAGTCTGCCATTTAAATTTTTTTTTTTTTTTTTGAGACAGAGTCTCACACTCACCCAGGCTGGAGTGCAGTGGTGCAATCTCGGCTCACTGCAACCTCTGCCTCCTGGGTTCAAGCAATTCTCCTGCCTCAGCCTCCCAAGTAGTAGCTGGGATTACAGGCGCCTGCCACCACACCCAGCTAATTGTTTTTTTTTTTTTTTTTTTTTGTATTTTTAGTAGCGATGGGGTTTCACCATGTTGGCCAGCCTGGTCTCGAACTCCTGACCTCAGGTGATCCACCTGCCTTGACCTCCCAAAGTTCTGGAATTACAGGTATGAGCCACTGTGCCCGGCCAAATTTTTTTTTTTTTTTTTTTTTTTGAGACAGGGTCCTTCGTCTCCCAGGCTGGGGTACATCTTGGCTCAATGAAGCCTCAACCTCCCAGGCTCAAGTGATCCTCCTACCTCAGCCTCCCGAGTAGCTGGGACTAAAGGCATGTGCCACCATGCCTGGCTAATTTTTGTATTTTTTGTAGAGACAGGGTTTCGCCATGTTGCCCAGACTGGCTGCCATTGAAATTAATCCAGTGTAATCTTCTCAAATGCAGTGTAGTATTGAGAAACGGGGTCCAGTGCAACAAAGAGTTTATGATTTTCCCTGAGCCTCATCCCTAAGATCTTGTTAACCAAATTTTGGACAGAAATGGTAATTTTTCAGTAAGCATAAGATAACATTACTTTTTATTCTTTTTTTTCTGATGGGAGTACTGATCAGTAAATTAAGCAATATAAGCTTCTTAGAAAAGATTGGGTTGGAAAAAGAATTGAATCCACACTGTAGTTTTGTTCTGGATTTACATTATATGCCCTGCCTGTGTTTACTGACAACATTCCTCGAGCATTTTATTTGCTATTTGGATATAAAAAGGTGTCAGTTGTATAGGAAGAAACCAAAGTTATAATAGAGTGTTTGTACCAAAATGTTTACCTATAAACAGGTAGGGCTGTCATGAAATGCAATAACTAATCCTTATCCATACTGAAGAAAGCTGCATTGTGGCTTTTTTACATGCAAAGTCTTAAGGTGTTATAACTTAAGTTAGATTTTAAATAAATTATGGACTGCCCTTCTTCCCTTTGTGACCTCTTAAATCTCTGAGACCAAAAATATTTACATATGCAGCTTATAGACATTTGTTAAACCCTAAGATGGTTATTGCAGCCATGGGATACTCAATTAACTGTGCATTTACTCACCAAAAATTGTTTTTGAGCCCACTAGTGTGTGGCAGGTACTGAGTTGGGCCTTTGGAATACAGTGGTGAGCAGTTATGACATGGATTCTGCCATTATGGAGCAAACATAAATTTCACTGAAGAATGCAGACAAAGTATAGAGAAATGAGTAGATAGAATAATTACTGATTATAATGTGTCTACGAAAGAAACAACTTGGAAGGGACCTATTACATGGTGAACACATCAAGTAAAAAGCTCTTCAATTTTTAAACAAAATAATTTTGAGGGACAGCTAAATTTTCATCACTTGCTTTGGATAGATAAAAAGCTTTCTTAAGTGTCTATTTCAACTTTCAAAAGCAGTTCTTTGCTTTTCCACTTAGAAAAACACATTTAAAAATTCTTGCCCATTGAGGATATAATTGTATTTTCTTTCAATTGTCTTTATTGGAATTCTTTTACAATTCTTCCAAAACAATAATACATTCCTTAGAGCTGAGCCTCAGCAGGAAAAATGAAGCATCTCATTTGATGTATTATTCCATTACCTATGATGTCAAGGCAGTTGGTAAATAATTTCTTTTTATAGAGCAACCACAGGGGTTGCTAACAGTGCAATCCCCAGGAAATGATTTTGGGAAGCTCTATCATGCGATGGCTGCTATTCATTATCTACTCTGTGTTGGACAGGCTCGGGGTTTTGTTTGCCTTTTAAATCAGGGCAACACTTGCATTGTGGTTTTGCCGTCGTGCCCTTGCTTCATGTTGGAATTTTTCTAGGACTTATTGCAGATTCAGAGGCAGATGTTTGTCTTCCTGAGGTTAGGAGATGATTTGGCGCCATCTAGGTTGACTTCTTTTTTTTCTTTCCTTTTTTTTTTTGCTTTCCTGGAACAAACACTATTACCAAATACATTTCAAGCAATGAAAATAGCTCAGTAGAAATGGTATGGTGGTGCCTTCATACCCTTGGCTATTCGAGTATTGACTAGTCTTAGAGAGATTAATCATTTGTAATTTTAAGTTCTAATAATACAGCGAAGGTTATCATTTGTATTTTAGGAAACTTTATAGCCTCTGTACTTTGTAATGGAGAATGAGTTGGCTGTGGGGTTAACAATGTGGTTATATAGATAAAACCTCTTTTGAGAGATTCTTTTTTCAAGAAATTGTGGTAAAACACACATAAAAGTTACCATTTTAACCATTTTTAAGTATACAGTCTAGTGGTGTTAGCATTGTTGGGATTCACATTGTGTTAGGAATTCACATTGTGATTCACATTGTGTTGGAATGTGAATCACAGCAGTATGAATGTACCTAACGTTGCTATTTTGACGTCTAAATGGCCACATGTTTTCAGAGAAAATAATTTAACATTGAAACATAGTTACAAAATATCTTGCAGGGAAGACACAATTTGAAATTGTAATAGCAGTGCTGCAAGTTTATAGTAAAACTGGAATAGCCAGGTCTCTTCAAGGCCAGCTTTGCACATTTAAGTGAATAGTAAATAGTTACTCTAAAGCTGGCATTTAGAATTATTAATTAATTGGTAAGTGCTGAATACCTGGAAAATAGCCCAGGGAAGTATCTGCATTTTGTGAGGTGTGAGTTAGGCTCTGCACTTTCGGGGTGAATGAAAATGAACAGCAGCTACTCATGGTGGCTTCTTATTCCTGAGTTCCGAAAGAGGCTGGGGGTGTTTTCATGTACTGAGTACTGTCATTATGTAGATCTTAGCTTGTCTTCCCTGAAATGTTTATTAAATCTCTATGTGTTGTGTTCCAGGGTGTGGAAGAGTGACTTTGGTTGGTTAGAGGAAGAGGTCAGAATGATGAGTTCTAGGTTGGCATTATTCCTGGAATGTCATGGAACTTTTCCTGTAATGAGTTCCTGGTGACTTGAGAACATTTGCAAAACCGTGCCCTCAACGTCTAGCTGTGCAGTCATCCTTTCTGTTCCACTCAGCCAGTGGTCTCCCAGGAAAGTGTGGTTGACTGTACAACCCATCATTCTATTGCACCAGTCACCAAAAACACATATGCTCCTGACAATATGAACCATTTATTATTATTATTATTATTATTATTATTATTATTATTATTATTATTATTATTATTGAGGCAGGATCTTGCTCTGCCACCCAGGTTGGAGTGCAGTGATGTGATCACGGCTTACTGCAGTCTTGACCTCCTGGGCTTAGGCAATTCTCCCCACTCAGCCTCCTGAGTAGCTGGGACTACATGTGTGTGCAACCATGCTCGGCTAATTTTTTTTACTATTTTTGTAGAGATGGGGTCTTTGTTGCCCAGGCCAGTCGCAAACTCCTTGGCTCAAGCAATCCTCCTGCCTCGGCCTCCCAAAGTGCTAGGATTACAGGCATGAGCCACTGCGTCTGGCCCTGTCTTTATTATTCTTGTAAACTTAATGTCTGCAAGGTGTTATTTACCAAAGAGGTTTGTAAACCAGATGTCTCTTCTCTTGAACACTAATGAATAAAATCTTGTATTTTTTGGCTTTCTCAGCTAATCATTACTTAAACCTTCAGCTTAAAAACTGGGGAATTGAAATCCCTGTGGCTGGCTAGTCCTCTGAAGGCTTTGTGATGATGTCACTCTCAGATCGGGACAGAAGCATTCAAGAGAGGGATAATACTCTTGCTTATGTGACAGCTGTATGTGTCCAAGAGCATTTGGCTACATTCAGTGATTTGATGGCCTTGTTCTGATTACAGAGCTCTTTGCTATCTTCTTCCTTTGCATTGAATTTTGTCAAATTTCCCAGGTATTCTCTGAAGAAAGTTCCTCTTTAGTTGTCAATCACCACCTGTCCATCAGAGAAATCTTTTAGCTACCTCTAAATGTGAGCTTGGCTGGGCTAGGTTGAATGATAGAATTCTTGTATTTTTAGAGTGAATTCTGAATAGCAGAATGGTCAGGACTTACAGTACATTATTTTATCCTTTGTTCCAAAAAGGGGTTTGAAGTGGCTTAACAATTTACATTTAGTAATACAGACTGAAAAATAAATAGAAGAGGAAATTGTTGTGAAGGGAAAATAAGTGTTGGAAAATAATTTGAGAGGAGGAACAATAAGATTTGTACACAACACACACCAACAGGATCTGAGCTTCCTCCATGGCCACAGCAGAAAAGGAAGCCTGACCATTTAGGAGAACCACAAGGTCCATGAGATTAAAAATAAATTAGTGGCTCTGGAAGATCACAGGCTTTATTGCTACAGGAACCTTGGAGGAGCTTCTGTTAATTACCTAATGAGACACTGCAGTGTGTGTCTGGCAGAATATGTCCTCAACAGCACCTACCCTGCTGAAATATGGTTGTTTCCTGTTATGTGTCAGTATAGGAAATAATATAGTTTGCTTTCTATTGTGTGCTAATATGACTTAAATCAGTTCTAAAAAAGTTAGAAATTTTTTTGGAATATCTACGATGAGATATATACCTGTCAGTCCTCCATGAATTTCTCCCAGCTGAGTTAGATAAGGTGGTTATCTGGCCTTTAGAATATTATTATTGCTAATAATTATTACAGTAGCACCAGTTACAACACATAGCTACTCTTTCCCAAGTACCTATAATGTTTTAAGCATCATACTAGGGCACTTGCTACAGAAGAGATCTCTCAATTCTCAGGGAAACCGCGTGGCTTTATTCTTATTTTAGAGAAAGAAAATTGGCTCAAAGACTTTGACTGACTTGGCCAGGTTTGCCTGGCTACCACTCCCTGTGTGCCTGGCCCCGATTCTTCTACCTGAGACCCAGAAGTTGTGTAAGGAAGACAGTTTAGCTCTTTTGAGTCAACTCCCTAAAACAATCGATCCTTTTCTCCTGTTAGTCTGTGCAGCACAGAAACAGAACTCCACCCGTCCCCGTGCCTGGGAAGTCTCTGGTTTTTGTTTAAGGCATGTGTATCCTATACGTGCCTTGTGGCAATTCCACAGCTGGCTCCCTTTAGGCTCCATGGAATTGTACATCTAGGGCCACGTTAGAGTGATCGAAAAAACTAGATAAGGATAAGTATTTTCTTGTTTTAACTTTTTAAATGTTCTTAAGCTTCGAAAATTGAATTGAATTTAATTTGGCCAACGTTGTCAGGAAGGGCAAGCTTATAAAAAGAAAAAAATAACCTTTCATGTAAAGTTATTTGAAATCTCATAATATTTCTACTGTGCCTTTTTGATTAAAAATTTAAGTTAAAAGCAGTGATAGATTTTGCCTATCATTTTGATTTTTTAAGTTTATGTTCAAAAGTATGCCTATATATATTTTAAGTCAGAGCTGGGGTTACTTTTAAATACCGGTTCTTAATAACAATAAAAGGTCATCAAATAGTATTATGTTCACATTCTAAAAGGTTTAGTCTGTGTCTAAACAAAAAAAATTTTCTTTATATGGACAGAAAGAACTCCCCGCCCCACCAATACACACCCTCTTTCTTACACTTTGTAGTACCCTAGGTCAAAGTAGGGAAGCTCATGATATGTTTTAAAGAGGGAAAAGGTGGCCAGGCGCGGTGGCTCACGCCTGTAATCCCAGCACTTTGGGAGACCGAGGTGGGTGGATCACGAGGTCAGGAGATCGAGACCATCCTGACTAACTCGGTGAAACTTTGTCTCTATTAAAAATACAAAAAATTAGCTGGGTGTGGTGGTGGGCGCCTGTAGTCCCAGCTACTCGGGAGGCTGAGGCAGGAGAATGGTGAACCCGGGAGGCGGAGCTTGCAGTGAGCCGAGATCGCGCCACTGCGCTCCAGCCTGGGCGACAGAGCGAGACTCCATCTCAAAAAAAAAAAAAAAAAAAAAAAAAAAAAGAGGGAAAAGGTATGCAATTAGAACCAGATTGGCATTTTGGCAGGTATTTATTTTTCCAGGATGAACGTGCTTTCAAAAATTGCCAGTAGTTGCTAGGCAGACTTCAACAAACACAAAAGACATTTCCCAAGCATCTAACCTGGCTGGTTTCTCCATTTATATTTTGTGATCCTGGCTCGCAGTGTAGTAAACCCTATTACTATTTGAACTCGAAATACAGAATACTTCTGCCAGCAGTCCCATTGGCATTTTGCGGCAGTCATGAAGTTAAATTTTCTTCGCCAGGAGGCCAGTTGACTAACTTTAAACGAAGGCACATTGTCCAAGATTGTGGGCAGATCATTTGAACTGCCTTGAAGTTGAATAGAAACTATATAAAGAAAACAACTCCATCTTGCCAGAAGCAGTTGCCTTTTTATTTGGTGTTCTCCTTTCTGATCACTGAATTTTCCTGCTGAGTTTATGCTTATTGTATCTTTCTCTTTCCTCTGGCAAATGAACAGAACCCTCACATACGCAGTTATGGTCAGTCCTTTACTTAAATAACTTTGCTGGATGAATTTGGAACAATGCCAGAGAAACTGAAGAAACCCTTGTTTTTCTGGAATAGCAATTAGATTTGCAATGCTTTTTTTTTTTTTTCCTGAAGAACTGTTTAACCATAGATCTGTCCATTTCCTTATTTTTTGTTTGTTCATTCGTTTTTGTTTTCCACTACTTGTCCAGGCCAGCTTTTCCTAAGAATAGTATTATGCCATTTACTAATAGATGGGAAATGCAGACTAATTTTGAAGGCTAACAGTTTAAAAGTCAGCATCTTTTAAATGCGTTGATCATATTGGGGCAAAGTGCTAATAAATATAATTTTCCTTCCACATAGAGTAAGCATGCACAGCTGGGATAAGATTGCAAAATATTTATCCTGACTTGTAGTGGTAGTAAATGACCTATTTGTTTGGGCTAAAAGTCTCCATAATATAGTAACAGTTTTACCATATTTTCTAGTAAGTTATGACTATCATATATTCTTTAAAAAAGGTTTTAGGGTCTTGCAGGCTGTCTGCATTGTATTTGGATATTCATTACCTAAAAATGAGGGTATGGATTTCCTTCTGCATGTATAACCTCTTATTACTATTAACCCTTTATATTTAGTCTCATGTGTCTGGAACATTTTGATTGAGACTAGCATGATATCTCTGTGCCTCCTGTATAGAACTTCTTAGGAAACTCATAGCCGAAATGACGGGAGAAACAATTTTATTTTAGGCCATGGAGATTCTTGTGAAAAATGTTAACAAGTAGGTAGTGCTGTAGTTGGGAGATATATGTTCTTTCTTTCTTGCCTGTTCCTGATTTTTTTTAAATTAAATACTACAGTCAATTTTAGGGGGTTGACATGCTAGTTTTAAATACAACAGAAGGTATTTCTTTTCGTAGGTTAATATTCTATTTGGAAACATAGCCTTTTTCCTTCTTTCTCTCTTTCTTTCCTTTCTGTTTTTAAGTAAAAATGGTATATACTTATAGAAAGAAAAAAATTACAGAAAAATCCACAGCAGGAAGTAAAGAACAGCCAAATTCTCTCCCCAAAGATACTGTTATACATTTTGGAAGCATCTTTCTAATCATCTTCCTATGGTAGATATACCTGCATATACCACTTTAATTTAATTGTCATTTACTCTGTAAACTAGTCTGTATTCTGTTTTTTTCTAACCATCAACTTTTCTTGTTCGTAAATACAGATTTACAAAATCCTTTTTAGTTATAGTCTCACATCAAAAAATATCATTGTTTTATTTAGTAAGAAAAGTAGCATTAAACATTCACTATTTGCCTATAGTAACTATTGAAAACAGAATATTCCAAATTTCTACTGTAAGAAATTTAGTTCATAAAACATTGAAAGTGTATTATTTTAGGAAAGAGCATGAATGTCAAAATAACTTCGCTGCTTTGGAGAACCAAAAATCTTTGGCCTTTAGCTTATTTCAGAAGTTTGGAAGAACTTAAAGATAATTCATGAGTTTCAGAAGCATTTTAATACCATAAAATGCTACTTATCTGGAATCCAGAGAAATGAATCATAGTGGTTACAGTATCAAAGAGTGAGTGATTTTTTTCCCCAAGGTGATTTTTCCACACTCCTAAAAACCATCATCTTCACGATAACCTGTGTCTTTTCACTTGTCAGCACATTGAAATATAAGACTTTTCCAAATCCCAGAACCCTCTTTGGCTGCTCATAGCTACTTTTCAATCTTTTTGATGGGGTTTAAAGAGCTACCCTGCACCATTGCAAGAATGTGTGCTTAAGGGATTTGAAGAGGGCTTTCTCAGAAAAAAAAAAAAATGTGTATAATCACGTAAAGGAAGCATGGCTCTGCAAACATGAAACTAGCTGAATTTTTCTCCAGCTTCCTTCAGTGTTTAGCTGTGACCAGAATTACAGAGAAAGTTGATAAGCATGGTCCATCATCTACTGATTTTGTAAGTGTTGTAAACTGTTGGAGAATACACTGCATTAGTAATGCATTTTCCAGAAACCACATATTTTTTTCTACCTTTATGACATGCTAAGTTATTGTCTTAACTTGATCTGGTGGTTTCTTGCCTTACTTTAATTAGAAAAGATTTTCGGAAATACACATGACACAATCAACTGCATTTAAAAAAAAATGCTTTGCTTTTCTAGCAGGCCATTAGGCATAAGTAAGGGCAGTGTCTGCTCTTTTGACCAAGACTGTCTCCTCCGGTAGAGCATGGCTGAAGCCGTCTGCTTTAGGAGGGTGTAGTGTTTTGCAGCTGTAGATGCTGTTATATATAAAAATATTTTCACAACTGCCCTCTTTGAACTGTGTTCTCATATGTAACAGATTGTACACAACTCAGTGCTTCACCCTTGTACTGATCCTTCAGTGTTTTTTGTGTTCACCTATGTTAAATGTCATTTCTCTCTGTCCTTTGCCAGAGAGGCTTTTGAATCTAAGCCAAAAAAGGCATTTATTATACACAGAGTTATGTTCTCTGGCATGTAGAATACTCTTGTATGCTGGCCACTCCACTCGGACTTAGTGTATTCCTATAAATATGTCTGTTGCTTTCAAAGGCTATGATATGGAGGGAACAATGGTATGTTTAGTGCCTCTCTCTCTCTCTTTCTCTCTCTCTTTCTCTCTTACAGAGACACACACAGAGGATCTCATATCTTTAGGCATCAGAACGCTAAGGTACAGAATGCCTCTACACTGTTGGAAATCCTCTCTGTTGTTTGACCATAATGCTACTTGCTACTCCTGTCTTTTATCTTAATCATGATGACTCCTGATCACTCTGCTTTTCTCTTTCCTTTCTGCTTTTTCATTTTCTCTTGATAGTTGCACTATGCATGTTAGTATCACATGATTTGAGTAGGACCTTGCTTGTTATCCCATAATTGGCAACTAAGATTCAGAATGGAGAGCCATGTGGCCCTGGCATTCTGAAGAGTGCTTTGAAAGATCTGCCAACACTTGAAGGCATACACTTCTCCTTCACACTTAATGAGAGGTGGCAGAAACTTCTCTAATAACAACAGCCACTATTACAAACCACCCTACTACCCTGAACACCTTCTCCCCAATAAGAAGATTAAAGAGAGAAGAAAGAAGTACAAAGTCATTGGTGATAAAAGTGGTGGGAAATGGGTAGGCCCCATAAAGGCGAGTAGATGATCTCTTGGGAGAAAGAACTTTCCAAGGAAATCTCTCTTAAATATTGGGCATGTCTACAAGAGGAGGAGGCCAGAGTTTCTTTCCCTGGTTGCACAACTGCTTAAGTGACAGACTTGTTGATGTGCCCCAATGCCTATGAAAAGAGACTTGAAGAGAGAATTGGGGAGAAACTCTCCCGCAGTGTAGCATAAGTCAAGTAGGTATCACTGAATGAAGCTGGGCTTGTGCTCTCTCTCTGATAACCCACCCACGAAGCCTGCCTGCTAGGTTAGTAAAGCCCAGCAACTAGAGACCATCAGATATTCTGCTGGTATCAGAGGGTAAGGAGACATGGGAGATACCGATTTTCTCATGTTAGTGAAGTATGCAATGGGAACCCTCATGGGTGTCTTTTAAAAAAAACTCTTCAACTCCCACGAGAGAGCTGCACCTGTGGAGGCTGTCAGCAGCCAGTTAATATTAGAGAAGCACTGGGAAGCAGTGGAAAGAGAATTGTGACTGCATCCAGGTAAGTAAGGAGATATTTGCTTTTTCTTTGATCCCTTTTTCCTCTGAATAGCTAATCTCTATTGGTACTATTCCATGGGCTTTCCAGATATTGGCTCATCTAATCCTTCTAGCAACATGGGATTACATAGGTTCTACTGTTGTTCTTTTGCATGTATAGGAACTAAGGCACAGAAAGGTTTGTTACCTAGGATTTGGATTCAGGGGGTCTGGCTTCCAAGACCATGCTATCACTACCACATTGTACTTGTACTGCCCTACCACCCAATATTGAGATAAATCACTTTCAAATATTTTTTTGAATATAACCGTAAGAAATATATTGACCCACTACTTGACTCACTACGTAGCTACATAAAAATAATGAAACAACATTTCATGAAACAATACTTATATGTAATATAACCTTATCATTTTGTCTTGTTTTCTCTTACATTAACGATGCTAGTCACTATCTACTGAAGAGATGATCTGCAGCCCTGAAGAAGTTTGAAAGGAGAAAAGAACAGTGCCATTCCTAATGTATATTTCCTCTCTCTGTCTCTTTCTCCCTGTCTTCTTCCTTTACTCCACTGCCTCCCTTGCAAACCTGAGTTTCCTGAGCTGTTAACTCTAGCTGGTCATGTGGAGTAGGTTAACTTTGAATTAACTGGTTATGAGAGTGGAGTGTTACATTTCACTGGACTGAGTTTCTGATACTACAAGTGACCAGAACTTTATGGAATCTTACCTTAATGTTAATACATGAGAAAGAGGGATTCCAGAGAGCACAGTTAAAAACAGTGATGGTGTCCTATCCCCACCAAATGATGATTATTTTAGTGAGCTGGTTGTATCAGCCTTCAACTGTTTGGACTATGTGAGGGGCTTGCAGTCCAGTCAGGATGACCCTGTCTTCAAGGGGTTGTGCCTATCATCCATGGAACATTGGCTACACTATTCTTATTCATGGCTCAAATGGGGCTGTCAGGATTCTAATTCCAGACCTCAAGCTACTTTGTGTTACTAGCCTAGAGTAGGCTTTACTGAAATAGCTTATTTTGCTAAGTCAGACTTGTTTATTACTGCATTTATTATGTGCAGCACACTCATATTCATTCATTCCTCCTTGGCTTATAATTTCTTTTCAATAAAACTCAGGCTCCTCGTATCCTTTTTATAAGCTTTTCAAGTTAACCTGGAGCTCCCCTTGTTAAAAATAAATAAATAAGTCAAAATGAAAAGATGTCTTGGTAGGAGAAGGTGAAACCAACTGCAGTCAGTCTTTGAAAATTTACAAGACATACAAATGTTAATGGTAACACTTCTGTTAGAGTTTGTGGAATCATGCTTTTTAAAGACCAAAAAACTACTGGGCTCCCTCCTCACCCCACTCCCAGCTTACAAATTACTTTTGTAGACGATGAGGAATGCCTGCCCTGAGCACTTTCCAGGCTAAAATGATTGCTACCACGCTCTAAGCTTTGTGACCTTAATTGCCCATTTGTCTGGAAGTTGGAGTAAAGCCAGACTCTTCTCTAAGGGAGATTTTGGCCTTGTTCACAAATACTTCCTCTGCACAGTGAGATGGGTTGTCTGTCTTGGTTTTATTTGGCATGAGGCCATCTGCCTGTGTTGCGAGACAGTGAGCAGAAAAGACCCAGCACACACCACTATTGTGGAGGACATCACCCACCACATCACAGACTGGACTCTATGAAAAACCGCCGGGGAAACTGCCTGCAGATCTTCATACCAGCAGCATCTGTGCTTCCATCCTGAAAGAGTGGTTTGCTTTTTAGCTATGGACAATGTGAATCCTGTTCAGATGTTGTTTCTCTCTTTGCTTGAGGGACATGGGAGTAAAATTTGCAGCCCAAAATAGCGGCCATTCAAGCCCTGTGTAGTGAAATTCAGTGTTCCAATCCTAACCTTTGTTTTATTATTTCCCTATCCTGATTTTCCTTATGAGATTCTCTCAGTTCTTTATTTTATGTTTTTGTTTCTTTTGTGCTTTTTTAGACACCTCCAGTCCTCTTGGTGAAATACATACATCTAGAGTGCTGTTGCCAAGTAAATACAGTGTGTTTTTAAAGCTTTAGTCTTTTTTAACCTGCTACATAAAATAGTGATTCTATTTGAAAATAAGTTATTTCCCCAAATTTATAGTGGATGACTGAAATCATAACTTTTCTAGAAATCTTGAGATCTTGTTGTAAGCTTGGCAAAGGTAGACATGATTAAGTAAAAGTGCATCCTTTTCTTGAGATAACAGGATTAAGATGGTTGAAAAGTCATGTTAATTGCTCAATAGACCTTGTTGGTATTAAAATTTATGGAACCACCCAGAGGGCCATTCCAAATTCGGTAATGAACTGAGATAGAAAGCATATTTAAAGTTCATATTTAATAGTTCAGAAGACAAAAATGGAGTTGGAGGCATTGATACTGAGAAGCAAGAGACCTATTAGCTGGGTTACTTAGGTCATTTTACCTTTTTTTAAATTGGTCATTTCATCTATAACATGAAGAAACTAGATGAACATAACCAATCTATCATCTCTAGAGTTTTGTGATTTATTTTTCAAATGCAGCTGAAATAGACCCTCAAAAAGAAAATTTACTATTATTGCTTGGATAAGTAAAAATTTGGGAATCCTGAGTTTTGAGGTCCTTAGCGGTAGCCAAATTAATATGTTAATTCACAGACCCTCATTGCTGTCTCTTGGCACAGTGTCTGGGGCTCTAGACACAGTCTTTTGCTCGTAAATCTGAACATATAATAGTAATTTATAATAAAGCAAATTGAAGAAGTTCTGTATACACACACTTGCATGCATGTGTGATTACAGTAGTTACCAGAAAGATTACCTGCTCATAGTTCTCTTCTTGGTAAGTTTTAAAATACCCATCATTAGCATTCAATAAATATTTATTGTTTTGATTTGAAATTATACATCATTATCCACGTAACACGGTCAATTATATAATGTCTTGTTGCCTTACCTTGGAATTAATTTTCTTTTAATTTTTTAAGGATGATAAAATTTTAATATTGTTTACCTCGTTAAACATTTTTGTTTCATGATTTTGGGGGAGGAGATTGTTTAATATTATTACTGTCTAGTGGAATGTGGCTTCTTTTTACTTATTTTAGAACTCTTAAACTTATCTTACACGTGTAATAGAGGAAGGTAAGCACTGCACCTAGCACAGAATTGGAGTTCAGTAAATGTTCTTTTCCTCCTTTCTTTGAATCAGTGTTTGCTGTTAGTAGAAGTCTTCACAGCTAGAAATCTGTACACATGGAGGCTGAGCAGAGGTTTCCTTGATACCATGTTATATACACTGGAACATTTTGGGCATGCAGGTGAGGGGTTTAATCACCAACGTAAGAGACATACAGAAAACAAATTAGTACAAAGTTATTACCTTAGAGCTAATCATTGATTTTTTTATGAAGTAAATAAGAGTGTAGTATTTAAAAGTTAAGTTACTCTAAAATATGAAGTATATTTAGCTAGGTTGAATTGATTTTGATGGTTTATGCTGCTGATGGTAGCTGCCATATTTCACAAAAGAGAATGCTTTTTCACTGAGATGGGCAGAAGCAAACACTGCCCTGATTTTGGCCAAGTAACCAGAAATAGTTTTGGGATTCATGGAGCTGTCTCCAAAATTCCAGAGATATTGCATCATCTTGGTGGGTCTGGTTTGTTTTCAGTTCTTTTAGAAACTGAGCCCTGCTGATGGGACAAATGCTTGATAAATCACATTCACACCAAGACTGTGGACACCAAAGACAGTCACAGAAATTTAAAGCCCATTTCATAAGCATCAAACTGTGCACCCCACTTCTGAAGAGTGGCTTTATTTCAGTGAAAATGTGGTTCAGCATTTCTTCAAAATATGTGAAGTTTGGACTCAAAATAGTTCAACATGGAAAACTGCTGAAGTGTTGTCTTCATCTGCCATCTGTTCAATCCACACGTCTTGTTTGAACCAGGGCAGTGCACATCCTTTTACAAGTATTGTTCTTTCTTTTTTTTTTTATTATTATGCTTTAAGTTTTAGGGTACATGTGCACATTGTGCAGTTTAGTTACATATGTATACATGTGCCATGCTGGTGTGCTGCACCCACTAACTCGTCATCTAGCATTAGGTATATCTCCCAATGCTATCCCTCCCCCCTCCCCCCACCCCACCACAGTCCTCAGAGTGTGATATTCCCCTTCCTGTGTCCATGTGATCTCATTGTTCAATTCCCACCTATGAGTGAGACTATGCGGTGTTTGGTTTTTTGTTCTTGTGATAGTTTATTGAGAATGATGATTTCCAATTTCATCCATGTCCCTACAAAGGACATGAACTCATCATTTTTTATGGCTGCATAGTATTCCATGATGTATATGTGCCACATTTTCTTAATCCAGTCTATCATTGTTGGACATTTGGGTTGGTTCCAAGTCTTTGCTATTGTGAATAATGCCGCAATAAACATACATGTGCATGTGTCTTTATAGCAGCATGATTTATAGTCCTTTGGGTATATACCCAGTAATGGGATGGCTGGGTCAAATGGTATTTCTAGTTCTAGATCCCTGAGGAATTGCCACACTGACTTCCACAATGGTTGAACTAGTTTACAGTACCACCAACAGTGTGAAAGTGTTCCTGTTTCTCCACATCCTCTCCAGCACCTGTTGTTTCCTGACTTTTTAATGATTGCCATTCTAACTGGTGTGAGATGGTATCTCATTGTGGTTTTGATTTGCATTTCTCTGATGGCCAGTGATGATGAGCATTTTTTCATGTGTTTTTTGGCTGCATAAATGTCTTCTTTTGAGAAGTGTCTGTTCATGTCCTTCGCCCACTTTTTGATGGGGTCGTTTGTTTTTTTCTTGTAAATTTGTTTGAGTTCATTGTAGATTCTGGATATTAGCCCTTTGTCAGATGAGTAGGTTGCGACAATTTTCTCCCATTTTGTAGGTTGCCTGTTCACTCTGATAGTAGTTTCTTTTGCTGTGCAGAAGCTCTTTAGTTTAATTAGATCCCATTTGTCAATGTTGTCTTTTGTTGCCATTGCTTTTGGTGTTTTAGACATGAAGTCCTTGCCCATGCCTATGTCCTGAATGGTAATGCCTAGGTTTTCTTCTAGGGTTTTTATGGTTTTAGGTCTAACGTTTAAGTCTTTAATCCATCTTGAATTGATTTTTGTATAAGGTGTAAGGAAGGGATCCAGTTTCAGCTTTCTCCATATGGCTAGCCAGTTTTCCCAGCACCATTTATTAAATAGGGAATCCTTTCCCCATTGCTTGTTTTTCTCAGGTTTGTCAAAGATCGGATAGTTGTAGATATGCGGCATTATTTCTGAGGGCTCTGTTCTGTTCCATTGATCTATATCTCTGTTTTGGTACCAGTACCATGCTGTTTTGGTTACTGTAGCCTTGTAGTATAGTTTGAAGTCAGGTAGTGTGATGCCTCCAGCTTTATTCTTTTGGCTTAAGATTGCCTTGGCGATGCGGGCTCTTTTTTGGTTCCATATGAACTTTAAAGTAGTTTTTTCCAATTCTGTGAAGAAAGTCATTCGTAGCTTTGTGGGGATGGCATTGAATCTGTAAATTACCTTGGGCAGTTTGGCCATTTTCACGATATTGATTCTTCCTACCCATGAGCATGGAATGTTCTTCAATTTGTTTGTATCCTCTTTTATTTCATTGAGCAGTGGTTTGTAGTTCTCCTTGAAGAGGTCCTTCACATCCCTTGTAAGTTGGATTCCTAGGTATTTTATTCTCTTTGAAGCAATTGTGAATGGGAGTTCACTCATGATTTGGCTCTCTGTTTGTCTGTTGTTGGTGTATAAGAATGCTTGTGATTTTTGTACATTGATTTTGTATCCTGAGACTTTGCTGAAGTTGCTTATCAGCTTAAGGAGATTTTGGGCTGAGACAATGGGGTTTTCTAGATATACAATCATGTCGTCTGCAAACAGGGACAATTTGACTTCCTCTTTTCCTAATTGAATACCCTTTATTTCCTTCTCCTGCCTAATTGCCCTGGCCAGAACTTCCAACACTATGTTGAATAGGAGCGGTGAGAGAGGGCATCCCTGTCTTGTGCCAGTTTTCAAAGGGAATGCTTCCAGTTTTTGCCCATTCAGTATGATATTGGCTGTGGGTTTGTCATAGATAGCTCTTATTATTTTGAAATATGTCCCATCAATGCCTAATTTATTGAGAGTTTTTAGCATGAAGGGTTGTTGAAAGGAGCTGGTTTTTTGAAAGGATCAACAAAATTGATAGACCGCTAGCAAGACTAATAAAGAAAAAAAGAGAGAAGAATCAAATAGACGCAATAAAAAATGATAAAGGGGATATCACCACCGATCCCACAGAAATACAGACTACCCATCAGAGAATACTACAGACACCTCTACGCAAATAAACTGGAAAATCTAGAAGAAATGGATAAATTCCTTGACACATACACTCTCCCAAGACTAAACCAGGAAGAAGTTGAATCTCTGAATAGACCAATAACAGGAGCTGAAATTGTGGCAATAATCAATTGTTTACCAACCAAAAAGAGTCCAGGACCAGATGGATTCACAGCCGAATTCTATCAGAGGTACAAGGAGGAACTGGTACCATTCCTTCTGAAACTATTCCAATCAATAGAAAAAGAGGGAATCCTCCCTAACTCATTTTATGAGGCCAGCATCATTCTGATACCAAAGCCAGGCAGAGACACAACCAAAAAAGAGATTTTTAGACCAATATCCTTGATGAACATTGATGCAAAATTCCTCAATAAAATACTGGCAAAATGAATCCAGCAGCACATCAAAAAGCTTATCCACCATGATCAAGTGGGCTTCATCCCTGGGATGCAAGGCTGGTTCAATATACGCAAATCAATAAATGTAATCCAGCATATAAACAGAGCCAAAGACAAAAACCACATGATTATCTCAATAGATGCAGAAAAAGCCTTTGACAAAATTCAGCAACCCTTCATGTATTGTTCTTTCTTTGTCCCAGCTTGACCTCAGTAAAAAATATCATCCTTTAATCATAGAGGCTCTAATAAGTTCAGTTCTAAAATTTTATTCCCTAAGTTCCTTGATCTGAGAATACAACTCAATTACTTCATGTTTTTACAGCCAGCTGAAAGAATTTAAATGACACCTCCATACTCTACCAGCGGAACTTCCGACCTTCAGTAAATCACAGATGGTTAATTTTATCTCGGCATAACAGTTTATAATCTTGACAATGTCTCCATGACTTAGAAGGTCACACACTGGTTGGACATCTATTAGGAGATTGACAGTGACCCAGTCTGGGATTTGCTTGATTATTGAGGCACTTCTACCTTCTGCGCTAGCCTCCCTCCAGCCCCATCTTTCTCCATTCCTCTATCTTAAGTAGGTGCTGTTGTCAAAATGAGCTGCTAGCTTCTCCTCACGTGCGCCATTCCATCTACCTGAATGCTCTCCTACTATCCCTACTCTTGCCTGGGCGAGATGCATTATTCTTGAAAGGCCAACTCAAATGCCATTTTTTTCCATGAAGTCTTTCTTCATCACAGGGAGCTGGAAATGATCACTGTCTATTGAAATGTTCTGTGTTGTAGTGCACCATCTTCTCACTCATTGGCGTTTTTGTCTGCATGCATCACTGCTCTGCATTATAATAGGTGTGCTATAGTCAGGTAAAGGTAAGGATTGCTGTTTTTGCTTTTTTGTATGTTCCTGAGGAACGTGCACTAGTAGTTTTTGTGTATCTCAGTAGGAGCTCAGTATCATTGAGTGACTGAACATTCCCTTGATTGAACTGGCACCACCTGCAGGTACACTGTGATTGAGAGTAGTAGGAGTGGTCTGGAGCCACTCAAGTTACCTTAGGGTAGGAAGATTTTTCTGAAAGTGAAATTGTTTTGTTTACATGTTAATTTAAATTCTTGCTTAGTTAATGTATTTTCAAGATTCAGGATTCAAAATGTACAAAGGGGTATATATAATGTTAAAAGAGCTTCAGTCTCCTTTCTTTGCCTGGCATGTACTTAACATTTCCACTTTTGAATTTGCTTTTAACTTTTTGAATTTTTGTTAACTTTAACCATAAATCTAGAAACTTATTCCAATTGATATATAAAGATCACTCATATTTTTTTTTCTTCTTGCTGCATATTACATATTATTACAATGTGTGGATATAGCGTAAAGAATTCAACCAGTCCCCAGTTGATATGTCTTCAGTTGTACAACTATTTATTGTTAGAGGAGTGAATTTTCAACCATTTGCAAAACTGGAGGAGGATTCTGTACTCTTCTCAGTGTGTCACCTTAGGAAAAATTGTGTCAATCTGTCCTTCCACTAGTGGTAACTGTGATTACCTAACCAAGTTGGTGAATGATGAGTTTTTTCACTACGACACCACCATTATCCCCTTTGTAATTAATTAGCACCTTGTGCAGAGATGTTCTCATATTATGCCAATTTCTGTTCATCAAGTCTTCACCTACAAGCCGGAGCTTTCATTAACAGCTCTCTGCTTTTTTTTGAGACAGAGTCTCAGTCTGTCACCCAGGCTGGAGTGCATTGGTGTGATCTCTGTTCACTGCAGCCTCTGCCATCTGAGTTTAAGCGATTCTCCTGCCTTAGCCTCCTGAGTAGGTGGGATTGTAGGTGCACGCCACCAAGTCCAGCTAACTTTTTGTATTTTTAGTAGAGACGGGGTTTCACCATGTTGGCCAGGCTGTTCTCGAACTCCTGATCTCAGTGATCCACCTGCTTGGCTTCCCAAAGTGCTGGGATTAAGGGTATGAGCCACTGCACCCAGCCTCTCTACTTTTTAAATGTAGATTACCACTATGATAGTTGCCAAATGGTGATTAATTTTATTATGCCATCTGTGTTTGTTACTTAGCATTGTATAATAAAGAGCGCTCTTTTATTCCCTGTTTATCAAATTGTTTATTCGTTTAATGGGTTTATGGACTTCCATTTTATTCAGTGGATAAATACTGGATAATGGATAAATAATATCAGTATTTGATGCCCAAATTGTTCCAAATTTGGCCAGTAGGAGACCTTTCAGGTTGGCTTCTGTGTCCTTTTGACATGCTCCCATCATTCCTGGAGCATTTTCCTGGTTTCTGGCACAAGCAGATGTTCCAGGTTTTTTCTTGTACTTTCTGTGCCCCAGCTCTGATCCTTTTTGTGTAGTGGAGGATGGCAACAAGAAGTCATGATCTGGGCCTCAGTGGGTTAATTGGCACTAGAGTGTAATTGGTTCTGCACCCTCCCAGCAGATAGAACTAGGACATGTATCTGCATGTGTATGAATGTGTGTATGTATACACGTACGTATATCTATGACTAATTCTATATGTGTCTATATAACTTTTTTAAAAGAGTTCATTCTGGGCTATTAAAAAGTCAAAAAATAACAGATCTGGTAAGGTTGTTGAAAAAAGGGAACGCTTATACACTGCTGGTGAGAATGTAAATTAGTTCAGCCATTATGGAAAGCAGTTTGGTGATTTTTCAAAGAGCTCAATACCATTCAACCCAGCAATCCCATAATTGGGTATGTACCCGAAGGAATAGAAATCTTTCTACCATAAAGATGCATATGTATGTTCATTGTAGCACTATTCACAATAACAAAGACATGGAATCAACCTAAATGTCCATCAATGGTAGACTGGATAAAGAAAATGTGGTACATATACACCATGGAATACTACACACCCATAAAAAAAGAACAAGATTATATTCTTTGCAGCAACATGGATGGAGCTGGAGGTCATTATCCTAAGTGAACTAACACAGGAGCAGAAAACCAAACACCATGTATTCTCACTTATAAGTGGGAGCTAAACTTTGAGTACACATGGATGCGGCCTAACTGAGGGTGGAGGGAGGGAGGAGGGTGAGGATCCAAAAACTACCTAATTGGATTCTATGCTTATTACCTGGGTGGTGAACTTACTGGTACACGGAACGCGCATGACACACAGTTTACCTGTATAACAAACCTGCACATGTACCCCTGAAACCAAGTTAAAAAAAAGACTGTCTTTCAGAATTTCTGGGAAAATTTTATGTCAAGTGACTGATAAAAGTAGAAGCCCAGAAAATAGTAGTTATTGGTGAAAATTTCAGAGAGTAAAATAAAAATCTGAGAAACAGAAGCACTTGAGAAGAAGGTAAAAATATATTATTATAGCAACAAAGTAACAGTACTAATACTGTTATTATTATTATACTGTGCTGACATGTAGTATTATATTGTGCTGGCATGGAGGTAGTTTTGTGTGGTTCTTATAAGGAGGATTGTCTAAAAAGGACTCTGAGAGTTCTCTCTGAATTGCCTAAACAATGAGCTAGTTAGCACTGGGGCTTACCCCTTCTCCTAGCAAGAAGAGCTCCTCATTGTCAGCTGCCTGTGGGTCTAGGGGCCCTTTGCTCCAGCAGAAGGTGCTGCAGTGAGCCACAGGACTCCAAATCACCAGGTGCTGAGCAGCTAATATTCCCAGACAGCCCTTATAAACAGCAGCACCCAAACCTGGAGTACTTGGTGCTCAAGTAGTGTATTTGTCTTCTCCCCGACAACACAGGCAATTAACAAGGCCACCTTCCCTTGTTTGTCAAATAAGGAGAGTATAGTAATAGGGGACACATTTCCTGCCCTAAAATCATTTCTCCAGCAGCATACCCTGGCCCTGGATCACCTCTCCTCAGGAATAATGAGAGATTTCAGGATTGTGTATCTTCTTTTCTTGCTGTGACTCTTGTTTTATAAATTTCCTGAAAAAAGTTCATTCCTTAACCCATTAAAAAAAAAAAAGAGTTCATTCTGATAGTTCACATTCTAACCAAATACTTTAGTGTACTTCTAGCCCGTCTCTTCTCAGAAGGTGAGAAAGCTGGTTTCCAGGATCCTCAGTGTATTAACTTTATGCCTAATTAATTAGTTAATTGTGCTGAACATAACCAGTATTCCAACTACTCAAGACTCCTTCTGACATCTTTGTACCCTCCCATTACCTCCCTTCCTTGGCTACCAGTCTCATAGGACTGATGCCTCTGCCTGGCAACTCCACCCCATCCCATTGCACCTCCTCAGGAGGAGAGGAGAGAAAAGGGAAAGAGAAAGTCACCCCAGGCGACTTCATGTGCTGCCAAGGTTGAAAGCCACTGTATTTAACATTTACACACATTATGTCTCTTTAAATATTTCAAAGCCTAGATGCTTTCCACATGGAGTAGTAGAGATTTAAGAAAAGTATATTTTTATCAGCTTCTCTTTTTATAATTTGTCCATTTCTCCCACAAGTGGAATAGAGAGGTAAGTTCTCATTAATTGTGAGGCTGTAGTGGGGTGTTGATGGCTGGATTTTATTCGAATGTTTTCATTTCCTCTGTGGTTTTAGGGCAGTGGTTTTCCAAATGGTCTGATCTAGTGCATTGGTAGCAACCTGATGCTGTCAGGTTTTTTAAGGGGGAAGATTCTTATTTTCAAATTCGTAATTTTTTAAAGGGCTCGCATATCGAGCTTGAATTTTTTTTTTTTTTTTTGTCCCTGAAGTTCTCTCATGCCAATCCTTGTTTCTGCTTCTTTGCTCAATTCAGAATACTGGTATTCAGTTAGTTCCATGTCATTTCTCTCTGGAGTTTAGAAATGGCATTTTAAAGGCATCAGGCATCCCCTAGCCTAACCCCACCTCCTTTAGGAAAACTGGAAGGAGAAAAGGTAGAGGGTCACTGGCCTAGATTATAAAAATCAAAGCACCAAACCTGATTATAGTCAAAAGAATCCTAAGAGTGATCTGAAGCTAAATTCCATGGCTGTGTGATTCATGATGATCTAAGACCTTTCATCTGTTTTTCATTTTCTGAAGATTGTTAAGTTGGTTGCTATTATTGACAATGTTTAGGTTTAAACAATTAGAATTAAGGTATAGAGTTACCTACATATGCTGTGTTCGGGTTGTGCTCATTTGTTGGCACAAGTTGATTCTGCAAAGGTTATGTGGCAAAAGTTTAATTTAGGTCATCTCTTGCATAGTGGAAATAGCTGAAGTCATTGGAGGATAACAGTGCTTTAAGTAAATTTTTACTTAAAAATTTGATTAAGTATTATTGAATTTATACTTCAAATCTGATATAATTTGGCTTTTAACATATGAGGCATTGAAATTTGGTATAGTTTTAAAAGATGAAATCAAGAAAGTAAAATCAGAAAAATTCGAGTGTAGGTTGAGAAAAAATTGGAAAAATATAGAAAACTATACTTTTTAACCTTAGAACTGTCACATTTTGGAATTTAAAAATTGTTATGAAGAATAAAATGTTCCATCTCTTATGTTCTAAATTTCCATGTATTGTGTTTTCTCTGCAGTGAGGTCCTTTGAGAGGCACATATGGGCGTGCAGTTCCATTCTCTTAGTGTGTGCCTGTGTATTGAGTAGCACCTGCCTCTGGTGTACTTGAAGAAAACTTAAGTGGCTATAGAATTAGTAGTCCCTCCAGGCCAAAATACAAATGACACATATCTTGGACATCTTCTACTAGAAGAATATAAAAATCCCAATGGCCTTTAAAAAATTAGAATAATGTTAAAAAACACAATTTATAATTTCGTTTCTAAAATTATCTGAAGGAATTGGAAGGATATTCCATTTTTAAATGCCCAAATGAAATAATCCTTTTAAACAAGGGTTTTCCACCCATGATGAAGGAGGTTAAATTAAAAACTTAACTAAAATGAGAACAATTGTGTTGTTCTTTAGTTCTTGCATTAGGAATGTGAAACCAGAAGTCAGCTAAGTCTCCATAGCAAGCATCTGTATTTACAAGATGAGTAACACAAGTCTGAATGTTGCGAAAGCTCTCGAAAGGTGAAAAAAGTTCAGAATATCAGACGTTTTGACTAGAAACTCTGTCACTGATTATCTCGTATTACAATGAGAAGGGCATGACATGACCCCTGATTACTTTTACACCTTTCTTGCTTCTGAATCCTTGTTTTTGAAACATAGGAAAGAACTATTTTGTTGACAACATTGCAGTTTCATATAGTTCATCCTAATAAATGTATAACAAAACTATCATGAGATAATATAGGAGATTTTGTAACAATCTGGTAAGAAAGGAAAAGTATTGCGAGTTCTGAACATTCAGTTACATGTGGAAAACTTGTATAAAGTGAATTTATTGCATTTGTTGTCATCACTTTTCTGAAAAAGAGAACTCTTGCAACTAAAATAAAATTCTTTTTTATCCAGTGTCTAGAATAGTACCTGCCACACTGTAGGCACTCAATAATGTTTTGTTGAATAAATAAATGAAAGATGTCATTTTTATTTGTAGTTGGCTTTGAACATCCAATTTTTTTCTTTTTCTTTTTCTTTTTCTTTTTTTTTTTTTTTTTTGAGACGGAGTCTTACTCTGTTGCCCAGGCTGCAGTGCAGTGGCACTATCTCGGCTCACTGCAACCTTTGCTTCCTGGGTTGACGCCATTCTCCTGCCTCAGCCTCCTGAGTAGCTGGGACTTCATGTTCATGCCACCATACCTGGCTAATTTTTTTATTTTTAGTAGAGACAGGGTTTCACCATGTTGACCAGGCTGGTCTCGAACTCCTGTCCTCAGGTGATCCACCCACCTCGGCCTCCCAAAGTGCTGGGGTTACAGGTGTGAATCACCACATCCGGCCCAATTTTTAGGTTTTATTTAACAGACATTTTCTTCCTCCCAACTTCTAGCACTGGACAACCTCTGGTGTGTTTTCTCTTTCTTTTCCAACATGTCATTTAAATCAGGGGTCCCCAGCCCCCAGGCTGTGCACTGGTATCGGCCTGTTAGGAATTGGGTCACACAGCAGGAGGTGAGCGGTAGCCAAGTGAGCATTACTGCCTGAGCTCCCCTTCCTGTCAGATCAGCGGCAGCATTAGATTCTCATAGGAGCATGAACCCTATTGTGAACTGTGCATTCAAGGGATCTAGGTTATGCACTCCTTATGAGAATCTAATGCCTGATGATCTGCGGTGGGACAGTTTCATCCCGAAACCATCTCCCTGCCCCTGCATTCGGTGAAAAAATTGTCTTCCATGAAACTGGTCCCTGATGCCAAAAAGGTTGGAGATGGTTGGTTTAAATAGAATCATATGCTATAGTCTTTTGTCTTCTTTTATTTATTAAATCCTTTGAGATTCATCTCATTTGAGGTTGTTGGGTGTGTCAGTAGTTCATTGCTTTGGTTCTGAGTAGTGGTCTATTGTATGGGTATATCACATTAAAAACATTCATTCACTAGTTGATGGAATTTGAGTCATTTTTAATTTAAGGCTTTTATGAATGAAGGTGCTGTAAAATGCACATAGAGGTCTTTGTGTAAACATATATTTTCACTTCTTTTGTATGAGTGCCTTGGAGTGTAATTGTTGGCTCATGTAAGTGTGTGTTTCACTTTCTAAGAAAGTGCCAGATTATTTTCTAAAGTAGCTATGCCATTTCAAATTCCCACCAGCAATATAGGAGAGTTTTAGTTGTTTCACATCCTTGTCAGCACCTGTTATTATCTATCTTTTGAAATGTTAGTCATTCTGGTGGATACTTAGTAGTTTCTGATTGTGGACTTATTTGCATTTCTCTGAGAACCAATATCGAGCATTTTTTAATGTGCTTAATCATTGTTTCCTTTGGTGAAGTATATGTTTGAGATTTTGCTAATTTTTTATTGGATTAAAAAGCATTAAGAGTTCTGGATATAGGTTCTTCATAAGATATAGGTTTTGTAAATAGCTTTTTCCTCAGTCTGTGGCTTTGTTCTGCATTTCAGACATTTTTCATTGGATTATTTTATAGTTTTTATGTCTCTGGTAAAATTTCCCTTTCTATACAGACACATTGATAATATTTTTCATTAGATCCTTATATTAATTGTAGTTATTTTAAAAGTTCTATCTGATATTTACAAGTCTGGGCCATCTTGAGGTCTATTTCATTTGACTATGCTATCTGTTGATGATAGGCTTGTGGGTTTTTTTTTTCCCTCCACTTTTGTGTCTTGTAATTTTTTATTGAATATTGGTATTGTGTGTTAAAGAGCAATAGTCTGTGGTAAATAAAATTAATACCCACAATGGTTACTTTTTTTGTTTCTTCAGTTCGTTAATATAGGGGAGTGTGTCAGTAGTCAGTATTGTCAGCAGTTGAGCTGGGTTTGAATTTTGCTGTTGCTGTAGTTACCTTGAGTGCAAACAGACTTCAGATTTCTCCAGTGGTGGATGGATTGCTGCTGCTACATTGAGCTTAATATGAGTCCCGGAGTGTGGTACAGTTTTCTGTGTTCCTGATCTACCTTTGGCTTTCTGCCAGCTCTGTACAGCTGTGCCACAGGGGTCTGTGTTATTGCCACTTCCCCAGTAGTAGACTACTGCTTGTTATTACTTGGTAAAAAGTTCATGGAAGGGTAAGTGGGTGGTTTGGTAGTCTGTCACTTCCCAGCCTCAGTTTTAGTCAGGTCTTGTGTGCCGAAGCCTCAGGAAAGGGGCATTCTCAGTGTTCCCACCTCTCTCAAAAACAACCATTTTTGAAATCTGCAAGATCAATTTTAATAGTATCTTGTTCCCTTAACATACTTTTGATAACTTCTCTTGTGTTTTTAAGCATAAGTATTCTGTATAATATTATTATAGTGCCTGCATTATTTTAGTGGTCTTTTTCTGTTGACTCTCACTAATCATGGCTTTTCCTCTCATATCTTTGGTGGTTTGATTGTACTTGTTGAAGCCCGTATTTAAACTCCTTGGCCTCAGAGAGTATTTTTGTCTTTATCTGCCTGGGAATACAGCCATAACTAAATGAATCTGTTTTGCTTTGTTCATGAATTCTATCGCCAATAGTGCATAAATACAATCTTGTGTTTAGGAATTCAGAGGAGAGAGGTTTTTCATTCCCCTTGCTTCACCAAGGCAAAACCAGGCACTCATCTACACTGTGAATCACTAAGGGAAAGTTTTATTTTATTTCATCTTCTGAGACTTTATGTGTTTTGATCTGAAATTTATTTTCTATTCTTTAAACATTTTTTAAAACCCACGCTGTAGACCACCAGGTATTAGTGGACATTTTGCTGGCAAATGCTGGCTCTAGCCCTAATTTACCCGTCTATTTCTTTGTTATCATTTCTGATCTCTAATGAATTTTATAACCTTGCAAAAGTATGGTTTTATATTTTACTCAGCATTTTGAGATATTTTCTGTTTAAACATGTATAGTCGGTTTCATCTGAACATCCAGTTTACCCTCTTGCTAGACGTACAAGTTCCTTATGTTCTCATACTTCTGGCCAAGCAGTTGATATATTATATTGGTAAAATAAAAACTTCAGCCAAATTAAATTTAAAGGAGCTTAATTGAGCAATGAATGATTTGCAAATCGGGCAGTCCCCAGAATCACAGCAGATTCAGAGACTCCAGGGGTGCCTTGTGGTCAGAACAAATTTATAGACAAAAAAACGTAAAATGACCTACTTTCACTTTCAGAAGTGAGGTGCAGAAAGAGTGAGATTGGTTACAGCTCGGCATTTGCCTTGTTTGAACACAGGTTGAACATTCAGCAGACTGTGAGTGGTTGAAGTAGGCCACTGAGATTGGCCAACACTCAGCTATTGTTTCAGGTGCATATTACTAAGTTAGGTTTTCAATTTTGTCTCACTGTTAAGCTAGGTTATAGTTCATCTATAAGGACTCAAATATAGAAGTACTGAGTCCTTCTCAGGCCATATTTAGTTTGCTTTAACAATATCCTAATTATGTTCTTTTCCTTCAGCCAGCATTTTAATTCTAATAGGTTGCTGAATGTGACTTTTAATTTTTGAATCCTTATCCAAGCACACAGAAGGTGGGAAGAAGTGTGATGTAGTATAAAAGTGCTTGGATTTTTCATTCAAGTGTATATATGCTGGAAATACAAAATCAGCATTTATTAGCTGTATGCTCTTGGGCAAGTTACTTAGTGTTTGAATCTCTTTCTTCACCTGTTAAATGGAATAGTGAGGCCTTCCTTTTATGGGACTAAAGACAGAAAACCAATCTACCTAAAACCTCCTACCTTGCATGACCCCTCCCACCATGCATAGTAGCCATTCAATTGCTGATATGGCACTCTTTTTCTCTTTCTTAATTGAATTATTTAGGATATACTTGTTTTTTCCTTGAGTTCCTCCCTGGAAACAACTTTAAATAAGATACTAAAAAATTTCAGCTATTTGCTCCTATTTAACTTGTCTACTTAATATTTAAATTCCTTTGATAAATATATTAGACATAATGGGTTATTCTCACTTTTCAATAATGATCTAGATGAAAGAGGCTTACAATTTGGTCAGCTAGAAGGAAAAAATTTCAATTTAGTGCCACTGACAGTTTTAAGGAAGGCAAATTACTTACCAAACTAGGATTTCATTTTATTTTCAAACTAATTACTGTGTGTTTGTACCTCTGTAGATTATATAAGTAGGCTCCAGAAGAAACTACTTGCTTATTCTTCTTGGCCTTTTAGTCCTTTTAAAAGCTAATTTGTAAAGAATGACATGTAAGTTTAGATATACAATTTCTCATAGCTATTAATGATATTTCTTTACCAAACTATGAGAACACAGTAATGATTTTTTAAAGTGAAGGTATGAGGTATTTGAGGGAATTTTATGAAGTCTGGTCCCATTTGTTCACTGGAATTATGAAAAAAATATAGCAAAAGTAGAAGTCTTTGGATACTCTTATAATTCTTAGGGAAGGTAGTTTTAACCTTAATTCTCAGGGTTCAAGGAATTCTTATATTTCCCTTTCAAAGGTCTGGATGGTGTTACCAATACCAAAACACACTTTTAAGTACTCTTTTTTTTTGGCAGCTCCTTTTTTCTTAAACCATTCTGTGGAATTAGTAAAGAACAGTGAAATTGGATAAAGGCAAAGGCAATAGGGTAGAGGGGAGGAAGTAAGCCTGAACATCTATTACCAGTCTCTGAAAGATCAAATTTACCTTTTAAAGTAACTACAGGGTTCACTTGAGTCTATTTATTTTGTCTATGAGGAAATAGAGTGTCAGAGAGATGACATATCTATATGAACTAATAGCTACTCCTTGGAGAAGCCAGGACTGGAGGATGCTCCTAACTCATAGCTAGGTGATCTTAAATCTCTCTAAACTTCCTTTTCAAATGTTAAATGGGGAGCATGCCTGCTTAATCAGGTTAAGTAGATTAAGCAGAGGTAAAGCACATATTTATGAAGTGTTCATGGATACCAGATGTTCAATAAAAGTTTTTTTCCTTTGTCTCATCTTGGCTTACTGTAAATTTTTTAAAAAACATAATAAATTAAAAATTGGTAGTAAACAGTTTACACAGAATGAAATATTTCACGGTCATCCGGCTTTTAAGAAAATGCATAGCATGCAAACTGGAAGCAAAAGTTCTTTGGGAAGAGTCCTTGAGTCATTTGAATTTGGAAAGGAAAGGAAGTTTTACGTCATCTGTAGATGCTCTGATTTCAGTTGGTGCATTATTGCCTTGGGCCAGGTGCACCAATTTATACAAAAAGTAGTTTTAAAAACTTTTCCTCTCCATTTCTTTTATGAATTCATCTTGTGTGAGCTTTTGATCCTCACTGAATGACCTTATAAAATAAAGGGAAAAATCAATAAAGCTTAAAACTTATACTTTTCACTCAATTTTTTTTTCCAGATGAATTCACAGTGCTCTGAATCTCACCTTTAGGTTTGACCCTGACTGAAAAACATCTCAAAATTTTACTTTTGCACAACAACCTGTATCCCAGTAATCATATTTGAGCTGCACTTTTACTTCATTTGCCCTTTTAAAGAACACACATTGCAAGGATTGCATCAATTTAAATGGACATAGCATGTGACTAGAAATTATCTTATTTGGGAAAAGTGTTTTATTGATAACAGAGAGTTCTGGTGTTGGTTTACTCATTTGTTGATGATCGTTACTTCATTTTGGGCCAGTTACAGTAAACCAGAACCTAGGAACTTGCAAAGCCAGATTATTTTTCCTTCTCTTCTACTAATGGTGCATCTAGTTCAGTATTTTTCCTGATCAGATTAAAGAAAAACTTAGAAACTCAGGAGTTGGGACCAGCCTTGAGCTCACTTAGCTTTTTCTCCCTACCATCCAGCCCCACTCTGTCTTTAACAGTGGGAATCTAACAAGAAATAGTGCCTATTTGAGGGATGTTTATTTGAAGGATTAATAAACATTTATTTTGAAATCTAAAAGGATTGTAAAAAGTTTTTGAGCAGTTAAAGCCCATGTTTTTACTGTAGTTTGTATAGTAAGAGAAACTAATATCTAAGAATATTTCCCAGATTATTTGTTAAGAATAAAACCTTATCTACTGAAAATAAGCAATAAAATATAGTTTCTTAGGTAGTGTATATGAATAGGCAATTAAAATACTTGTGCTACTAAATGACAGTTCTTTTTTTTTTAAATATACCCAGTTGAGCATCTCAAACCTCAATCCAAAATGCTCCAATGAGCATTTCCTTTGAGCCTCATGTAAGCGCACAAAAAGTTTTGGGTTCCAAAGGATTTTGGATTTTGGATTTTGGACACTTAACCTGATACGTATACAGGAATGCTTGCCATTTAATAAACTCTATGTATTGGTTGAGAATGATGAGAGTCTATTTGGAGCATCTGAATTTGTAGTTGGTTTTGAAAATTCAAATTATGAGTTTTAATTAAAAGGACAATTTGACCCTTATATTTTGAAGATGAATTTTTAGTAAAATTTAACTAAGCTTTTAATAAATTGTAGTTGCTAATTTTTGCAAAGAAAGACCTGGGGTGTTTTTATGTACAAACTATTGTATTTGATAGTGGAAATTAAGGCTAGAAACAATATTCCTAGGGAAACATGCAAAAATACGTTGAGTAACATAATGTGACATTTGAGATGCCAGTGATAGTTATCTACTATAAAATAGGTCCCACATAGCTGCCAGAGTATAAAAATAACAAAACAGAATCCCTTAAAACGTTACATAATTCAGAATAACTGTTATTTTCCCTAATGAGCTAGAACTTTACCCATATATTTTTTTCTGAATTAACATGGTGTTAAAATATTTCTGTTTCACTCTTTTGCTGCAAAGTAAATGTTTTGGGCTTTTGATAATGATTTCAAACGGCATTAAAATTCTTTGTCATTGCATTGCTCACAAATCCATTAGTAGTAAACATTCATGAATTCTTAATAAAAGTGAAGATGTGAAGGAAAGGAAGAAGAATGTGCTCTGTTTATGTTATTGTAAAGTTTTAGATCGTGCTTTTAAAGAAATGCAGCTTGGTTAAAGTTTTTTTAACATTCTAATGGGAAAATGCACAAAAGTTGAGATAATTTTGCATGGAATACCAGATATCCACTACCTAAATTCTAAAATTATTTTTAAAAATATTTGCTTTATCACATATCCAATCTTCTATCTGTTCATCAATCCATCTTATTTTTTGATGCATTTCAAACTAATGCGCAGAAATATCCCTACACTTCACCTCATCAGCGTGCATACCAATTACTAGTGTCAATATTTCTTACATAGCTTTTTTGGGGGTGGTTGTTGTTAAACATTCATAAAGTAAATGTAGCATTCAATGTGTTTCTACAAATGTATATATCTATTTCACCCAAACTCCTATGACGATATAGACCATTATTATCACATTATCATCCTACGCCTTCCAAAAAACTCCACTGAATATCCTGTCCCCATCTGCCATGGCAACAAAAATACCCCTATGGCACTAGGGCAAAGTGAGTAAATGTGAAGAAGAGAATACTGGCAGGACTTTGGGTCTGATCACATGGGAGGAGTCAGGGACAGGCAGTGGTCAAGGATGACACTGAAGACTGTGACTTGAACAGTAGAGGGAATGGCAGTGCCATTTACTGAAATAAAGACTTGTGGAAAAGATATACATTTAGATGAGCTCAATTTTGAACATTCTGATTTTTAAGTTCCTGTGAGATCATCAAATGGAAATACCTAGCAAGTAAAAGACTTGTTTTTGGCATCTTTATTCATGAAAGCCAAAAACTGAAAGCATCCAGGTGTCCATAGAGTGGATAAACAAACTGGTGGGTTTCATACAATGTAACCATACTCATTAATAAAAAGGAAGGACCTACTGACACATGCAACAATATGGATGAAACCTGAAAAAGCGTTATGCTGGGTGAAAGAAGCCTCACCCCATAGAGCAGGCACTGTATGTTTCCATTTATATGATATTCTAGAACAAGCAAAACATGGCTCTACGTGGTTTGCCTTCTCTCTCGTCTTCCCTTTTTCTTGTCTTTCTAACCACATGGTTTTGCATGACCCTCGTCCTTCCCATGTAAGGCGGTTTCCCTCTGCCTTGTCTCTTTAATGAGATCATTCCCATTTCTACAGAGTCATATTCTAGTGTCTCCAAGAAAACCTTCTTATATTAGTTGGGATTAGAATTGTCTGCAGACATAGAAAACCAAAGCAAAACAAAATAACCATTGTTTAAATAAGTTGGAAGGGTATTTGTTATGAAAAAACTCTGTAGCAAGGTAGTCCAGGTCTGGTGTGGTGGCTGTTTTCCAGAGACCTCAGTAACCCAAGATTCTTCCACCTTTACTGTTCCCATCTGGAGGGTATGGCCCTTATCTTCATAATCCAAGTTGGAACTGTGGATATCACAGTCCAGTTGGCAGGCTGGAGGGAGACACAAAAGACATTGACAAGCTGAATGATGAGATTTCTTAGAATCTGCTAAAATTTCCCTGGACAGAACTTAGTTATGTGCCTTGGGTGTTACCTGTCTTCAAGGAAGGCAGGGTACTTAAGTGTCCATGTGTCCAGCTAAAAATGGGGTTCCAATTGGGACAAATTGGAAATTAGGGTGGGCTGCTTAACTACTTCCATGCTTCCCTTGATTTCACATTATCCTCCAGCCATTGTCCTGTTTCTCTGCTGCTTGTTAGAATTGATACTTCTTGAAAGAGTTATCTACTCATAACATTCTATTATACTTCCCAAATTGCCTTGTTTTTTCAACTCACTCCAGCTTCTGCACTCACTCTTCCATGTAAATGGCTATCAAGGGTACCCATGATCTGTTTCAAAATGTAAGAGATACTTTAAAGTTCTCATCTTATTTGGTTTCTCATCAGCATTCAATTCTTTTCCTTTTCTTGAGATTCCCTGTAAAAGGAACAGCCTCGAGTTTTTCATTTGTCGTCTATGACTTTGTTGTTGTCTACCACCATTCTGGAAGCTCGTTCCCTGTCATTTTTCTAGCATTTCCTGTTCTGTGCAGTGTCTAAATGTTGGAATTTTTTAAGGTTTAGTTTTTATTGTGGTAGCATATACATAACATGAAATTTACCATTTTAACCATTTTAAAGTGTACATTTCAGTGGCATTGAGTATATTCACATTGTTGTGCAACCATCATCACCATCCATCTCCAGAACTTTTTCATTATCCACAACTGAAATTCCATACCCATTTAACAATAATCACCCATTTCTCCCTCCTCCCAGTCCCTAGCAACCACCATTCTACTTTCTTCTCTCTCATTCAGACTTACTGGAGTAAGTCTCTCAGTAGATTTACTTTTTAAATTCTATTCACTATTATATACCTAATGCTTAACATAAGGACGGGCACTTATTTAGTATGCAGTAGATGTTTGTGAATTGAGTGAATGCTAATCTCCCTGGCATGTTTTGTGTTACCCCATTTGATGGAACCATGCTTCATATTGCAGCTTAGAAAAGGTAGCCTTTTCTGATTATTAGACTAGTTGGGGTCTGTATGTCAGATGATATCATTGCACTTTGTAAATTTTTCATGACACTTAACTTTGTAATTATATATCGGCAAGTGGTGTTTGACAGTTTGTTTCCCTGTATGTACTATAAGCCTCACAAGAGCAGGGACCAAGGCTGTCTTGGCCACCATCCTTTCCCCGGTGGGAAATATAGTCTCACACTCACCTTGTTTTATAAATGAATGCTCAGTGATAAAAATAAACCTCTTTAACTGGTTACATTTCCTAATACCTGAAAACTGTATGCCATTTTATTCTTTGTGACTAGGTGTTGGAAATTGAGGTTATATTGAGGGAATTTGAATTTCTTGAAACCAGAGTTTGGAAAGTTTAGTGGTTTTTAATTGGATCCTCTTTAAATGTTGAGAAGCTAAAGATTCACCAGGGGAAAGCCATTTTGAAACTTTTACTATAAGAATCACATGAAGAGGTCTGATATATTGCCAAATCTAATTCTGCACTGTTGCAGATGAATGCAATCTTAGGACATCTGTGTGTTTGTCTTTCTAGCTCTCCCTTGTGACATCATTAGTGCACTTAAGCCTCCAGAGTAGCTTCTTTGGAAATTTTCATTACCAATTAAACTCATTTTTGAAATGTATAAATTCTTTGAATATTACTAATAACTTTTTATAGGCTCCACATTTTTTTCCTATATCAGGAAGATTTAAAATTACTTTTGCAGAAACATACATGTAGAGTGCAGTAGGTATTTTCTACCATGCTGTACCAAATTCAATAGGGTAACAATTTTTCTGGCATCCTCTGGGAAGGAATCAGTTCCAATATTTATTCAGGAAGTATTATTGAATTCCTACCATGTGCAAGGGGATTTACATATAACCCTTGCCTTAGGCTTAATTGGACTCAGTTTTCTAGCAGCCTTTAGCCCTGTGCCTCCCCACCAAATGCTTTAGCCTGTAAGACAGGTGCTGGACTATAAAGCTGTCTGTTCCTTCTTCCTAAGATCAAAATCCAGCTAGTTATAAAATGCCGTGGAGCACAAGCTTTTATGATTCTGGTAGTAGCACCATCTACTCACTTTGAGTATTACCACATTCTTGTTATTTTTTTCATTTTTATTTTTTGTGATTGAGTCTCCCTGTGTCACACAGGCTGGAGTGCAGTGGCACGATCTTAGCTCACTGCAACCTCCACCCCCTGGGTTCAAGCGATTCTCCTGCCTCAGCTTCCCCGAGTAGCTGGGACTACAGGTGTGTGCTACCACGCCCAGCTTTTTTTTTTTTTTTGTATTTTTAGTAGAGACGAGGTTTCACCATGTTGAGCTAGGCTGGTCTCGAACTCTTGACCTCAGGTGATCCGTCTGCCTTGGCCTCCCAAAGTGCTGGGATTACAGGTATGAGCCACCATGCCCAGCCTATTTTTCTTTTAATCTATCTCAGGTAAACACTCAAGCTAATAGCTTGCTGGTTGTATTTGTCATACAAGTTATGTTCACTGTAGGCCATATTGTGTTTGTCTGAATAATGGTTTTGAAATAAATCATTTAGCTACCAACATTTTAGAATTAAGGAGATTTACATACCAATTTGGTTTTGTAGCTTCTCTTGGAAAATCTGAATGTCTGGCTATTTTGTGCCAGCATTTGCACGTGATAGCTGGAGCTGGTGTTTGCAAGCTTAGGCAGGGACAGTCCCTATCCTATTTGCTGCACCTCTGACCACTCTTTATTATTTCCCTGAAACTCAGATCAAGTGTCAGTTACCATTTATCCTTGTCATTGTACTATTGGTTTTTTTTTTTCGTGGTAGAGTGAAATAATTTTTGTACCATGTCTGCAGGTCAAGGGGAAATATTAGTGAAGGGGTGTTAGTGAATGCCAAGAAAATGAGACAATATATTTCTTTGGGCAAATGAGTAATTTTCCTGTGTCTGTGTTTTTCTTTTGTGGAACATATATTTATGTTAAAACCATGCACTTCTGCCCATTCATTCCTCACTGTTCTTTCTCTGGCTTTTCTAGACATCTGAGTCAGGCACTCTTGATTAGATGCATGATTGTACAAAAGGAAAGTGATTCTACCTGAGGGCCGCTTGAAGGACCAATTCAAATAGAGTAGTAATACATCATAACTATCATAAGAGGTGATATAGCAGCTCAGAGGAAGGAGAGATTACGGGAATCTTGATGTTGCTTTTATAGTTGCTGTTGAACAACATGTAGAAATTCAGCAGCAGGAGACAGTGGGACAAAAGGACAGTTTGAATAAAGCAAAAAAAGAAAAAAGGAGGATTGGGTGAGGATAGGACAGTGGCTAGTTATAAGTAGGGAGCTCTGAGAGAAGTAAAACTTAAGAGGCTGGTTGTGGCCTGGTTATGGATAGTCTTAAATGTTAGGCTGAGAGACAGATAACAGTTAACCTCTGAGAGATGTTGTAATTAGGGGAGGGAAATATCAAATTAACGACTTGTATGAGAAAAGGCTGGATGTGCCACCATCAAGCATGAAATCCTCTGTGTAAGTACTCACGGATGGTAATTATCTGGATAGAAGATTGTCTTGGATTATGGACATGGTTTTGGAGAGGGAATTGCTAGGTCTGTGCAACTTATTAGATATGGTTGTGGTGGGGGTTGAGGACAGTTGGAGGAGAAGCTGGGAGAGAGGAGAGAACAAGGATTTGAACACAGATATCTGAGGAGAGCATGGAAATCAAAAGGAAGACCTGGTTTGGAAGGAGTATCCAATAGGATGCATTTAGCCTCAACTAACAGGCTGGCATCAACAATATGCATGTGTATTGGCTCATATTACTGAAAAGTGCAGAAGTACAGTGGGTTTTGGAATAGTTAATCAAGAAGTTCTGGAAGATGAATGGATAAAGAAATTGTGGTATATATATATAATAAAATAATATTTAGCCATAAAAGAGAAGGAAATCCTGCAATTTGCAACAACAAGGGTGAACCTCTAGGACATTATGCTAAGTGAAATAAACCAGACATGGAAAGGCAGATACCATCTGTTATGAATTATATGTGGAAAATAAAAAAAAATCAAACTTACAGAAGAGGGTAGAACCATGGCTGCCAGTGGGGTGGAGGAAACGGTGAAATTTGGGTCAAAGGGTACAAACTTTGAATTATAAGAGGAACCCAGTTCTGGTGTACAGCATGAGTGGCGATGGATGTGTTAATTAATTAGATTGTGATAATCATTACAGAATGTAAACATATACCAAATCATTATTTTGTACACCTTGAATATATCCCATCTTTACTTGATAATTAAACATTTTAAAATTTAAAAAGACATGAGGGATTCCTGGGCAAGATGGCTGAATTAGAATAGTTCTGGTCTGCAGCTCCCAGAGAGACTAACGCAGAAGGCGGGTGATTTCTGCATTTCCAACTGAGGTACCCGGTTCATCTCAGTGGGACTGGTTAGACAGTGGGTGCAGCCCACGGAGAGTGAGCAGAAGCAGGGTGGGGAGTCGCCTCACCTGGGAAGTGCAAGGGGTTGGGGAACTCCCTCCCCTAGCCAAGGGAAGCTATGAGTGAGGGATGGTGCTATCTGGCCCAGATACTACATTTTTCCCACTGTCTTCACAACCCGCAGACCAGGAGATTCCCTAGGGTGCCTACACCACCAGGGCCCTGGGTTTCAAGCACAAAACTGGGTGGCTGTTTGGGCAGACACCGAACTAGCTGCAGGAGTGTTTTTTCATACCCTAGTGGCACCTGGAACTCCAGTGAGACAGAACTGTTCACTACCCTGGAAGGGGGGCTGAAGCCAGGATGCCAAGTGGTCTTGCTCAGCAGATCCCACCCCGATGGAGCCCAACAAGCTAAGATCTACTGGCTTGAAATTCTTGCTGGCAGCACAGCATTCTCAAGTCAATCTGGGATGCTCGAGCTTGGTAGGGGGAAGGGCATCCGCCATTACTGAGGCTTACGCAAAGCTTCTGTAGCCAGATTCCTCTCTAGATTCCTCCTCTCTGGGCAGGGAATCTCTGAAAGGCAACAGCCCCAGTCAGGGGCTTATAGCTAAAACTCTCATCTCCCTGGGACAGAGCACCTGGGGAAAGGGGTGGCTGTGGGTACAGCATCAGCAGGCTTAAATGTTCCTGCCTGCTGGCTCTGAAGAGAGCAGCGGATCTCCCAGCACAGCGTTCAAGCTCTGCTAAGGGGCAGACTGCCTCCTCAAGTGGGTCTCTGACCCCCCCGTGCCTCCTGACTGGGAGACACCTCCCTACAGGGGTCGACAGAAAACTCATACAGGAGAGCTCTGGCTGGCATCTGGCGGGTGTCCCTCTGGGAAAAAGCTTCCAGAGGAAGGAGCAGGCAGTAATTTTTGCTGTTCTGCAGCCTCCGCTGGTGATATCGAGGCAAACAGGGTCTGCAGTGGACCTCCAGCAAACACCAGCAGGCCTGCAGAAGAGGGGCCTGACTATTAGAAGGAAAACTAACAAATAGAAAGCAGTAGCCTCAACGTCAACAAAAAGGACAACCACACAAAAACCCCATCTGAAGGTCACCAGCATCAAAGACCAAAGGTAGATAAATCCCTGAAGATGAGGAAAAAGCAGCGCAAAAAGGCTGAAAATTCCAAAAACCAGAATGCCTCTTCTCCTCCAAAGGAGCACAACTCCTCGCCAGCAAAGGAACAAAACTGAACAGAGAATGAGTTTGATGAATTGACAGAAGTAGGCTTCAGAAGGTAGGTAATAACAGACTCCTCCAAGCTAAAGGAGCATGTTCTAACCCAATGCAAAGGAAGCTGAGAACCTTGTTAAAGGTTACAGGAACTGCTAACTAAAATAATCAGTTTAGAGAACAACATAAATGACCTGATGCAGCTGAAGAACACAGCACAAGAACTTCGCGAAGCATATACAAGTATCAAGAACCAAATTGATCAGTTGGAAGAAAGGATATCGGAGATGGAAGATCAGCTTAATAAAGTGTGAAGATAAGATTAGAGAAAAAAGAATAAAAAGGAATGAAGAAAGCCTCCAAGATATATGGGACTATGTGAAAAGACCAAACCTACGTTTGATTGGTGTACCTGAAATTGATGGGGAGAATGGAACCAAGTTGGAAAACACACTTCAGGCTGTTCTCCAGGAGAACTTTCCCAACCTAGCAAGATAGGCCAACATTCAAATTCAGGAAATACAGAGAACACCACAAAGTTACTCCTAGAGAAGAGCAACCCCAAGACACATAATTGTCATATTCACCAAGGTTGAAATGAAGGAAAAAAATCTTAAGGGCAGCCAGAAAAAGGTTGGGTTACCCACAAAGAGAAGCCCATCAGGCTAACAGCAAATCTCTCTGCTGAAATCCTACAAACCAGAAAGAGTGGAGGCCAATATTCAACATTCTTAAAAGAATTTTCAACCCAGAATTTCGTATCCAGCCAAACTAAGCTTCATAAGTGAGGGAGAAATAAAATCCTTTACAGACAAGCAACTGCTGAGGGATATTGTCACCACCAGGCCTGTCTTACAAGAGCTCCTGAAGGAAGCACTAAATATGGAAAGGAAAAAACGGGACCAGCTGCTGCAAAAACATACCAAATTATAAACACCATCGATGCTAGGAAGAAACTGCATCAACTAACAGGCAAAATAACGGGCAAAATAGCGTCATAATGACAGGGTCAAATTCACACATAACAATATTAACCTTAAATGTAAATGGGCTAAATGCCCCAATTAAAAGGCACAGACTGGCAAATTGGATAAAGACTCAAGACCCATCAGTGTGCTGTACTCAGGAGACCTGTCTCACGTGCAAAGACACACATAGTCTCAAAATAAAGGGATGGAGGAAGTTTTATCAAGCAAATGGAAAGCAAAAAAAAGCAGGGGTTGCAATTCTAGTCTCTGATAAAACAGACTTTAAACCAACAAAGATCAAAAAAGACAAGGACATTACAAAATGACAAAGGGTGCAAAAAGAGGAGCTAACTGTCCTAAATATATATGCACCCAATACAGGAGCACCCAGATTCATAAAGCAAGTTCTTCAAGACCTACAAAGAACTTAGATCCCCACACAATAATAGTGGGGATTTTAACACCCCACTGTCAGTATTAGACAGATCAACGAGATAGAAAATTAACAAGGATATTCAGGACTTGAACTCAGCTCTGGACCAAGGAGACCTAATAGACATCTACAGAACTCTCCACTGCAAATCAACAGAATATGCATTCTTCTCAGCAGCACATCACACTTATTCTAAAACTGACCACATAATTGGAAGTAAAACACTCCTCAGCAAATGTAAAAGAATGGAAATCATAACAATCAGTCTCTCAGACCACAGTGCAATCAAACTAGAACTTAGGATTAAGAAACTCACTCAAAACTGCACAAATACATGGAAACTGAACAACCTGTTCCTGAATGACTACTGGGTAAATAACAAAATTAGGCAGAAATAAATAAGTTCTTTGAAACCAATGTGAACGAAGACACAATGTACCAGAATCTCTGGGACACAGCTAGAGCAGTGTTTAGAGTGAAATATATGGCACTAAATTCTCACAGGAGGAAGCAGGAAAGATCTAAAATTGACACCCTAACATCACAATTAAAAGAACTAGAGAAGCAAGAATAAACAAATTCAAAATCTAGCAAAAGAGAAGAAATAGCTAAGATCAGAGCAGAACTGAAGGAGATAGAGACACTAAAAACCCTTAAAAAAATCAGTGAATCCAGGAGCTGGTTTTTTGAAAAGATCAACAAAATAGATAGACTGCTAGCCAGACTAATAAATAAGACAAGAGAGAAGAATCAAATAGACAAAATTAAAAAAGATAAAGGGGATCTCACTACTGATTGCACAGAAATACAAACTACCATCAGAAAATACTATAAGCACCTGTATGCAAATAAACTAGGTTATCTAGAAGAAATGGATAAATTCCTGGACACATACACCCTCCAAAGACTAAACCAGGAAGAAATCGAATCCCTAAATAGACCAATAACGAGTTCTGAAATTGAGGCAGTAATTAATAGCTTACCAACCAAAAAAAGCCCAGGACCAGATGGATTCACAGCCGAATTGTACCAGAGGTACAAAGAGGAGCTGGTACCATTCCTTCTGAAACTATTCCAAACAATGGAAAAAGAGAGACTCCTCTCTAACTCATTTTATGAGATCAGCATCATCCTGATGCCAAAACCTGGCAGAGAGACAATAAATAAAGAAAATTTCAGGCCGGTACCCCTGATGAACATCAATGCAAAAATCCTCAATAAAATACTGGCAAACCGGATCCAGCAGCACATTAAAAAGCTTATCCACCATGATCATGTTGGCTTTATCCCTGGGATGCGCAAGGCAGGTTCAACATATGCAAATCAATAAACATAATTCATCATATAAACAGAACCAATGACAAAAACCACATGATTACCTCAATAGATGTAGAAAAGGCCTTCGATAAAATTCAACACCCCTTCATGCTAAAAACACTCAATAAACTAGGTATAGATGGAACGTATCTCAAAATAATGAGCTATTTATGACAAACCCACAGCCAATATCATACTGAATGGGCATTTCAAAGTATTCCCTTTGAAAACCAGCACAAGACAAGGATGCCCTTCGTCACCATTCCTGTGTATTGGAAGTTCTGGCCAGGGCAATCAGGCAAGAGAAAGAAATAACAGGCATTCAAATAGGAAGAGAGGAAGTCACGTTATTTCTGTTTGCAGATGACATGCCTGTATATGTTTGTATATTTGGAAAACCCCGTCATCTCAGCCCAAAAACTCCTTAAGCTGATAAGCAGCTTCAGCAAGGTCTCAGGATACAAAATGTGCAAAAATCACAAGCATTCCTATACGCCAATAACAGACAGCCAAATCATAAGTGAACTCCCATTCACAGTTGCTACAAAAAGAATAAAATACCTAGGAATACAACTTACAAGGAATGTGAAGGACCTCTTCAAGGATAACTACAAACCACTGCACAAGGAAATAAGAGAGGACACAAACAAACGGAAAAACATTCCATGCTCATGGATAGGAAGAATCAATATCATGAAAATGGCCATACTGTCCAAAGTAATTTATAGATTCAATGATATTCCCATCAAGCTACCATTGACTTTCTTCACAGAATTAGAAAAATCTACTTTAAATTTCATGTGGAACCAAAAAGAGCCTGTATAGCCAAGACAATTCTAAGCAAAAAGAACAAAGCTGGAGCGTCATGCTACCTGACTTCAAACTATACTACAAGGCTACAGTAACCAAAACAGCATAGTACTCATACCAAAACAGATATATAGACCAATGGAACAGAACAGAGGCCTCTGAAATAGGTCCACATGTCTACAACCATCTGATCTTTGACAAACCTGACAAAAACAAGCAATGGTGAAAGGATTCCCTATTTAATAAATGGTGTTGGGAAAACTGGCTAGCCATATGCAGAAAATTGAAACTGGACCCCTTCCTTACACCTTATGCAAAAATTAACTCAAGATGGATTAAGGTTTTAAATGTAAGACCTAAAGCCATAGAAAGCCTAGAAGAAAACCTAGGCAATACCATTCAGGACAGTGGTATGGGCAAAGACTTCATGACTAAAACACCAAAAGCAATGGCAACAAAAGCCAAAATTGACAAGTGGGATCTAATTAAAGAGCTTCTGCCTAGCAAAAGCAACTGTCGTCAGAGTGAACAGGCAACCTACAGAATGGGAGAAAATTTTTGCAATCTATCCATCTGACAAAGGCCTAATATACAGAATCTACAAGGAACTTAGACTAATAAGAAAATAACTCCATCAAAAAGTGGGTGAAGGATATGAACAGACACTTTCAAAAGAAGACATTTATATGGCCAACAGACATATGAAAAAAGCTCATCATCACTGGTCATTAAAGAAATGCAAATAAAAACCACAATGAGATACCATCTCCAGTTAGAATGGTGATCATTAAAATGTCAGGAAACAGCAGATGCTGGAGAGGATGTGGAGAAATAGGAATGGTTCTATACTGTTGGTGGGAGTGTAAATTAGTTCAGCCATTGTGGAAGACACTGTGGGGATTCCTCAAGGATCTAGAACTAGAAATACCATTTGACTCAGTGTGCCTGGAATTGGTTCCTTCCGGTGGGTTCTTGGTCTCACTGACTTCAAGAACGAAGCCGTGGACCCTCGCGGTGAGTGTTTCAGTTCTTAAAGATGGTGTATCCAGAGTTTGTTCCTTCAGATGTTCAGAGGTGTCCAGAGTTTCTTCCTTCCGGTGGTTTCGTGGTCTTGCTGACTTCAGGAGTGAAGCTGCAGACCTTCACAGTGAGTGTTACAGCTCTCTCTTTCTTTTTTTTTTAAATTATACTTTAAGTTCTAGGGTACATGTGCACAACGTGCAGGTTTGTCACATATGTATACATGTGGCATATTGGTGTGCTGCACCCGTTAACTCATCATTTACATTAGGTATTTCTCCTAATGCTATCCCTCCCTCCCTCCCCCCACCCCATGACAGGCCCTGGTGTGTGATGTTCCTCACCCTGTGTCCAAGTGTTCTCATTGTTCAGTTCCCACCTGTGAGTGAGAACATGCAATGGTTGGTTTTCTGTCCTGGCGATAGTTTGCTCAGAATGATGGTTTCCAGCTTCATCCATGTCCCTACAAAGGACATGAACTCATTCTTTTCTATGGCTGCATAGTATTCCATGGTGTATATGTGCCACATTTTCTTAATCCAGTCTATCATTGATGAACATTTGGGTTGGTTCCAAGTCTTTGCTATTGTGAATAGTGCCACAATAGACATACATGTGCATTTATCTTGATAGCAGCATGATTTATATTCCTTTGGGTATATACCTAGTAATAGGATGGCTGGGTCAGATGGTATTTCTAGTTCTAGATCCTTGAGGAATTGCCACACTGTCTTCCACAGTGGTTGAACTAGTTTACATTCCCACCAGCAGTGTAAAAGTGTTCCTGTTTCTCCACATCCTCTCCAGCACCTGTTGTTTCCTGACTTTTTAATGATTGCCATTCTAACTGGTGTGAGATGGTATCTCGTTGTGGTTTTGATTTGCATTTCTCTGATGGCCAGTGATGATGAGCATTTTTTCATGTGTCATGTGTCTGTTTCATGTGTCTGCATAAATGTCTTCTTTTGAGAAGTGTCTGTTCATATCCTTCGCCCACTTTTTGATGGGGTTGTTTGATTTTTTCTTGTAAATTTGTTGAAGTTCTTTGTAGATTCTGGATATTAGCCCTTTGTCAGATAGGTAGATTGTGAAAATTTTCTCCCATTCTGTAGGTTGCCTGTTCACTCTGATGGTAGTTTCTTTTGCTGTGTGCAGAAGATATTTAGTTTAATTAGATCCCATTTGTCAATTTTGGCTTTTGTTGCCATTGCTTTGGTGTTTTAGTCATGAAGTCCTTGCCCATGCCTATGTCCTGAATGGTATTGCCTAGGTTTTCTTCTAGGGTTTTTATGGTTTTAGGTCTAACAATTAAGTCTTTAATCCATCTTGAATTAATTTTTGTGTAAGGTGTAAGGAAGGGATCCAGTTTCAGCTTTCTACATATGGCTAGCCAGTTTTCCCAGCACCATTTATTAAATAGGGAATCCTTTCCCCATTTCTTGTATTTGTCAGCTTTGTCAAAGATCAGATGGTTGTAGATGTGTGGTATTATTTCTGAGGGTTCTGTTCTGTTCCATTGGTCTATATCTCTGTTTTGGTACCAGTACCATGCTGTTTTGGTTACCATAGCCTTGTAATATAGTTTGAAGTCAGGTAGTGTGATGTGTCCAGTTTTGTTCTTTTTGCTTAGGATTGTCTTGGCAATGCGGGCTCTTTTTTGGATCCATATGAACTTTAAAGTAGTTTTGCAATTCTGTGAAGAAAGTCATTGGTAGCTTGATGGGGATGGCATTGAATCTATAAATTATCTTGGGCAGTATGGCCATTTTCACGATATTGATTCTTCCTATCCATGAGCATGGAATGTTCTTCCATTTGTTTGTGTCCTCTTTTATTTCGTTGAGCAGTGGTTTGTAATTCTCCTTGAAGAGGTCCTTCACAAACTTTTAAGTTGGATTCCTAGGTATTTTATTCTCTTTGAAGCAATTGTGAATAGGAGTTCACTCATGATTTGGCTGTCTGTCTGTTATTGGTGTATAGGAGTGCTTGTGATTTTGCACACAGATTTTGTATCCTGAGATTTGCTGAAGTTGCTTATCAGCTTAAGGAGCTTTTGGGATGAGACGATATGGTTTTCTAAATATACAATCATGTCATCTGCAAACAGGGACAATTTGATTTCCTCTTTTCCTAATTGAATACCCTTTATTTCTTTCTCCTGCCTGATTGCCCTGGCCAGAACTTCCAACACTTTGTTGAATAGGAGTGGTGAGAGAGGGCATCCCTGTCTTGTGCCAGTTTTCAAAGGGAATACTTCCAGTTTTTGCCCATTCAGTATAAAATTGGCTGTGGATTTGTCATAAATAGCTTTTATTATTTTGAGATACGTTCCACCAATACCTAGTTTATTGAGAGTTTTTAGCATGAAGCGCTGTTGAATTTCGTCGAAGGCCTTTTCTGCATCTGTTGAGATAATCGTATGGTTTTTCTCTTTGGTTTTGTTTATATGATGGATTATGTTTATTGGTTTGCGTATGTTGAACCAGCCTTGTATCCCAGGGATGAAGCCAACTTGATCATGGTGGATAATCTTTTTGATGTGCTGCTGGATTCAGTTTGCCAGTATTTTATTGAGGATTTTTGCATCGATGTCATCAGGGATATTGGTCTAAAATTCTCTTTTTTTTGTTGTGTCTCTGCCAGGCTTTGGTATCAGGATGATGCTGGCCTCATAAAATGAGTTAGGGAGGATTCCCTCTTTTTCTTTTGATTGGAATAGTTTTAGAAGGAATGGTACCAGCTCCTCTTTGTACCTCTGGTAGAAATCGGCTGTGAATCCATCTAGTCTTGGACTTTTTTTGGTTGGTAGGCTATTAATTATTGCCTCAATTTCAGAGCCTGTTATTAGTCTATTCAGAGATTCAACTTCTTCCTGGTTTAGTCTTGGGAGGGTGTATGTGTCAAGGAATTTATCCATTTCTTCTAGATTTTCTAATTTATTTGCATAGAGGTGTTTATAGTATTCTCTGATGGTAGTTTGTATTTCTGTGGGATCGGTGGTGATATCCCCTTTATCATTTTTTATTGCATCTATTTGATTCTTCTCTCTTCTTTATTAGTCTTGCCTAGTGGTCTATCCGTTTTGTTGATGTTTTCAAAAAACCAGCTCCTGAATTCATTGACTTTTTGAAGGGTTTTTTTGTGTCTCTTATCTCCTTCAGTTCTGCTCTGATCTTAGTTATTGCCTTCTGCTAGCTTTTGAATGTGTTTGTTCTTGCTTCTCTAGTTCTTTTAATTGTGATGTTAGGGTGTCCATTTCAGATCTTTCCTGCTTTCTCTTGTGGGCATTTAGTGCTATAAATTTCCCTCTACACACTGCTTTAAATGTGTCCCAGAGACTCTGGTATGTTGTGTCTTTGTTCTCATTGGTTTCAAAGAACATCTTTATTTCTGCCTTCATTTTGTTATGTACCCAGTTTTCATTCAGGAGCAGGTTGTTCAGTTTCTATGTAGTTGAGGGGTTTTGAGTGAGTTTCTTAATCCTGAGTTCTAGTTTGATTGCACTGTGGTCTGAGAGACAGTTTGTTATAATTTCTGTTCTTTTACATTTGCTGAGGAGTGCTTTACTTCCAACTGTGTGGTCAGTTTTGGAATAAGTGTGATGTGCTGAGAAGAATGTATATTCTGTTGATTGGGGGTGGAGAGCTCTGTAGATGTCTATTAGGTCCGCTTGGTGCAGAGTTGAGTTCAATTCCTGAATATCCTTGTTAACTTTTTGTCTCATTGTTGTGTCTAATGTTGACAGTAGGGTGTTAAAATCTTCCGTTATTATTTTGTGGGAGTCTAAGTCTCTTTGTAGGTCTCTAAGGGCTTGCTTTATGAATCTGGGTGCTCCTGTATTGGGTGCATGTATATTTAGGAGAGTTAGCTCTTCTTGTGGAATTGATCCCTTTTCCATTATGTAATGGCCTTCTTTGTCTCTTTTGATCTCTGTTGACTTGAAGTCTGTTTTATCATAGACTAAGATTGCAACCCCTGCTTTTTTTGTTTTCCATTTGCTTGGTAGATCTCCCTCCATCCCTTTATTTTGAGCCTATGTGTGTCTCTGCACATGAGATGGGTCTCCTGAATACAGCACACTAATGGCTCTTGACTGTATCCAATTTGCCAGTCTGTGTCTTTTAATTGGAGCATTTAGCACATTTACATTTAAGGTTAGTATTGTTATGTGTGATTTTGATCCTGTTATTATGATGTTAGCTGGTACTTTTGTTCATTAGTTGATGCAGTTTCTTCCTAGCATCAATGGTCTTTACAATTTGGCACGTTTCTGCAGTGGCTGGTACCAGTTGTTCCTTTCCTTGGTTAGTGCTTCCTTCAGGAGCTCTTGTAAGGCAGGCCTGGTGGTGACAAAATCTCTCAGCATTTGTTTGTCTGTAAAGGATTTTATTTCTCCTTCACTTATGAAGCTTAGTTTGGCTGGATATGAAATTCTGGGTTGAAAATTCTTTTCTTTAAGAATGTTGAATATTGGACCCCACTCTATTCTGGCTTGTAGAGTTTCTGCCGAGAGATCTGCTGTTAGTCTGATGGGATTCCCTTTGTGGGTAACCCGACCTTTCTCTCTGGCTGCCCTTAACATTTTTTCCTTCATTTCAACTTTGGTGAATCTGACAATTATGTGTCTTGGAGTTGCTCTTCTCGAGGAGTATCTTTGTGGCATTCTCTGTATTTCCTGAATTTGAATGTTGGCCTGCCTTGCTAGTTTGGGGAAATTTCCCTGGATAATATCCTGAAGAATGTTTTCCAATTTGGTTCCATTCTCCCCATCACTTTCAGGTACACCAGTCAAATGTAGATTTGGTCTTTTCACATAGTCCTGTATTTCTTGGAGGCTTTGTTCATCATGTCTTTTTACTCTTTTTTTCTAAACTTCTCTTCTTACTTCATTTCATTCATTTGATCTTCAATCACTTATACCCTTTCTTACCCTTGATCAAATCGGCTACTGAAGCTTGTGCATGCGTCATGTAGTTCTTGTGCCATGGTTTTCAGTTTCATAAGGTTATTTAAGGTCTTCTCTACACTGTTTATTCTAGTTAGCCATTCGTCTAATCTTTTTTCAAGGTTTTCAGCTTCTTTGCGATGGGTTCGAACATCCTTCTTTAGCTCAGAGAAGTTTGTTATTACCAATCGTCTGAAGCCTTCTTCTTTCAACTCGTCAAAGTCATTGTCCATCTAGCTTTGTTCCATTGCTGGCGAGGAGGCGCGTTCTTTTTGGAGAAGAGGCGCTCTGATTTTTAGAATTTTCAGCTTTTCTGCTCGGGTTTCTCCCCATCTTTGTGGTTTTATCTACCTCTGGTCTTTGATGATGGTGATGTACAGATGGGGTTTTGGTATGGATGTCCTTTCTGTTTGTTAGTTTTCTTTCTTACAGTCAGGACCCTCAGCTGCAGGTCTGTTGGATTTTGCCGGAGATCCACTCCAGACCCTGTTTGCCTGGGTATCACCAGCGGAGCTGCAGAACAGCAAATATTGCTGAACAGCAAATGTTGCTGCCTGATCCTTCTTCTGGAAGTTTTGTCTCAGAGGGGCACCCGGCTGTATGACATGTGAGTCGGCCTCCACTGGGAGGTGTCTCCCAGTTAGGCTACTCAGGGATCAGGGACCCACTTGAGGCAGTCTGTCTGTTCTCAGATCTGAAACTCCATGCTGGGAGAACCACTACTGTCTTCAAAGCTGTCAGACAGGGACGTTTAAGTCTGCAGAAGTTTCTGCTGCCTTTTGTTCAGCTATGCCCTGCCCCCAGAGGTGGAGTCTACAGAGGGAGGCAGGCCTCCTTGAGCTGAGGTGGGCTCCACCCAGTTTGAGCTTCCTGGCCACTTTGTTTATGTACTCAAGCCTCAGCAATGGTAGACACCCCTTCCCCAGCCTCGCTGCCACCTTGCAGTTCGAGCTCAGACTGCTGTGCTGGCAGTGAGTGAGGCTCCGTGGGCATGGGATCTTCCAAGCCTGGCACGGGATATAATCTCTTGGTGTGCCATTTGCTAAGACCATTGGAAAAGCGCAGTATTAGGGTGGGAGTGTCCTGATTTTCCAGGTACTATTCTGTCACGGCTTCCCTTTGCTAGGAAAGGGAATTCCCTGATCCTTTGTGCTTCCTGGGTGAGGCAATGCCCCACTCTGGTCCGTGGGCTGCACCCACTGTCCGACAAGCCCCAGTGAGATGAACCCAGTACCTCAGTTGGAAATGCAGAAATTACCCATCTTCTGTCGCTCACGCTGGGAGCTGTGGACTGGAGTTGTTCCTATTTGGCCATCTTGGAACCTCCCCCGAGTGTTACAGCTCTTAAAGGTGGCGCATACGTAGTTGTTTGTTCCTCCCGGTGGGTTCGTGGTCTTGCCGACTTCACGAGTGAAGCTGCAGACCTTTACAATGAGTGTTACAGCTCTTAAAGTTAGCGTGGACCCAAAGAGTGAGCAGCAGCAAGATTTATTATGAAGAGTGAAGGAACAAAGCTTCCACAGTGTGGAAGGGGACCCAAGTGGGTTGCCGCTGCTGGCTCGGGTGGCCAGCTTTAATTCCCTTATTTGGTGCCGCCACGTCCTGCTGATTGGTCCATTTCACTGACCACTCATTGGGCTGTTTTACAGAGTGCTGATTGGTGCATTTACAAACCTTTAGCTAGACACAGAGCACTGATTGGTGCGTTTTTACAGAGTGCTGATTGGTGTGTTTACAAACCTTTAGCTAGACAAACAGCACTGATTGGTGCGTTTACAATCTTCCAGCTAGACAGAAAATTTCTCCAAGTCCCCCCCTGACCCAGAAGCCCAGCCGGCTTCACCTCTCACCGGCAATCTCATTACTGGGTATATACCCAAAGGATTATAAATCATTTTGCTATAAAGACACATGCACACGTATGTTTATTGCAGCACTATTTACAATAGCAAAGACTTGTAACCACCCGAAATGCCCATCAATGATTGACTGGATAAAGAAAATATGGCATATATACACCATGTAATACTATGCAGCCATAAAAAATAATGAGTTCATGTCCTTTGCAGGGACGTGGATGAAGCTGGAAACCATCATTCCCAGGAAACTACACAGGAACATAAAACCAACCACCACACATTCTCACTCATAAGTGGGAGCTGAACAATGAGAACATATGGGCACAGGGAGGAGAACATCACACACTGGGGCCTGTTGGGGAGTGGGGGGCTAGGGGAGGGATAGCATTAGGAGAAATACCTAATGTAGATGTCGGGTTGATGGGTGCAGCAAACTACCATGGCACATGTATACCTGTGTAACAAACCTGCACATTCTGCACATGTATCCCAGAACTTAAAGTATAATAACAACAACAACAACAAAAAACAAGAAAACATGTATTAAGAAAGAAAGAAAGGTTTTTGGTGCTAATGATCAAGAACCTTTCTGCGATATCATCTAGGATCTAGGATCCAGGATCCAGGTGTTTTCTGACTCTGTCTTTCACACTGATGGTTGGTACTCCTTATGGCTCATGGGTGGAGCCTGTGGCATCAGGGCTACCTGTGCCTTTGTTCACATGTGGTAAGAGAAAGAGAGAACTTAGTAATTCTCTTACAAAGCCAGAAAGCTTCATTCTCAAAAGCTTCCATGAGACCTCTTCTCCCTTGTCTGTGGCCCAGATTGGATCACGTGCCTATTGGTAAACCAACCTATGGGAATGGGAGTGGCATCCCTTTTAGATAATCAGGTTGATTCCAGGATTCTGGGTAGACAGCTTAAATGTTCACTTGTGCACAGAAGATTGAGTGCAGTTTAAACATGTCAAGGAGCTGGTGGCATAACAAGGTTGCAACTTGCTTCAGAGGTTACATTTATGAGTCTGGATTCTGAAAGGAGCAATATGTGTTTTAAAGGAAAAAAGCAAGAGACAGTGTTCTTGAATTCTTCAGTGTTTTCAGACTCTTTCTGTGAATGTGTTACTCTGAAAGTTTGTAGTAGTACAGACCTGGCCAGTTTTGTACAAGCAAAGCGGAGCAAACATTCAGTCCACTGATTCCCAAGGTGCTGAGGACAGAAGTTAGTGGAACAGTCCACGGTGGTGTAAGCTGAGTACTGACACTTTCCTCATTTACCAGCTAATTCTCCCTTTTACCATTTGATTTGACTTTGCCGAAATTGGTCAGATGGGTAAGGTTTGGGTGGCTGAAGCATATGACACTTTTCAGTTTTAGAGCTCATTAGGTGTTTTTTACCAGTATTTCAACTTGATGCATTACAAATTTGATATAATTCAGGGAAAGGACCTGTATGGGATAAGAAGTAATCAAAATTATTCTGACCTTTTTATGTAGTGTTTCACCATAAACATATTGTTTACTTTTGTCTCTTCTTTAAGGAATATATACAGCATTAAAAGATGAGAGTTAAGTAAACTCTGGGCTATCATACAGTGGAATATGAATAAAATACATACATACACACACCCCCTTCCTTAATCCCTCCCCACACCCCTAAACTTTTCTGGCAGAGGCAGTCGTGCCCACCAAATATTCTAATTGCTTTCCGCATTTCCCAGCCACCTTTCAGTTGCGTGGGCATGTGTCTCATGATGGACAATGGGCTGTGAAAGAGATACATTTTTCTTACAGGCCATGGCAGTAAAAGATCCATGCAGAATTCTTCCTGTTTTTCTCCCATGAGGAGACTGAAGGGACCATGGATTCCAGATGGGCAGCTATAAAATGGAAGGATCTCTGTTAGTTTGAGTCGCTGAGTGACTGTGTGAAGCCTGTGTGGAGCTGAGCCTCTTGTTGACCCTTGTAGGCCATTTAACATGGGGGAGAAATGAACTTTTGTTCTGTTCATCCACTGGCATTTGGAATTGTTACAGGAGCACAATGAATACATACCTCCTTTCAATATTTACTCTTTGTCTGGAAGCACCTTTCTCAAACCTAATCCTTACCTCCTTGCCTGCTCACCCAGTAGAGCCTACATAAAAGTTTCTCTCTTTTTGATATCTCAGTGTTGCCATTATAGATCTCAGTTATTGTGCTGATCTGTTATTACTCATCAGCATAGATGCCATCAGGACCTACTAAGCTAAGTAGGGTCATTTGCTTTAAGAGATGAACTGAGTTGAGTAGTAAAATGTATTCCCTAAAAAAGCATGTGTGAATCTACAGTAACTGGAGTAACTAGTCTTATGAAAAATTGGAGACTAGAAAATTGCATTCAAGGTTTGGTAGCTTGATATTTTGTTAAATCAGTACTATTTCCGTTCCTCCCCCAAGTTTGTTTAGTTTCATTTTTTAAAAAGACTTTATTGAGGATAATCGACATAAGAAGGTGTACATATTTAATGTATACAACTTGATGAGTTTGGAAATAAGTATATATCCAAGAGACCATCACCACAAGCTATCCACCCTCTCTGAAAGTTTCCTCCTGTCCTCTTTATTATTGTTTTTTTCCTGAGAAAAACACTTCATATAATATCTACCCTCTTAGCAAATTAAGTATACAGTACAGTGTTGTTATCTCCAGGCAGTGTGCTTTACAGTAGATCTCTAGGAATTATTTGTGTTGTCCAAATTATACACTGTTGTATTCAAGTTATATACAAGTTGTACCTTGATAGTTCAAGTTTAATAAATCTCTTTGTAGTTACCCATGAGATCTGATAGAAGATCTGGCTAATATTTCTGAAGAAATTATTCCTTGGAGAATGAAGTAGCTTTTAGAAACATATTTTTATGTCCCAGAGGAACCCCAAGACCTGTTCTTCACTAACATTATAGGCCGTCATAAATAACCTACCCACACACCACGAAAATTGTCTTTGGTTTGGAGCAGAGGTCAAAAAGTGGGACCCATGCTTGCTTTGGCCCACAAAGTGGTTTTTGCATAAGGAAAATAGGTGCCAACATTTAGAAATCAGGAAATTTAACACAAAACTCTAGATTTCTGGCTGCTCTTTTAAAATGGGTGGATGTGGCCACTCTGAGCCTGTGTTAGCAGAAGGTTGGAATGGAAACAACAGAACTGAGGCATCCCATTTTCCACAGCCCTCGCTTGGCTCGGTTTGCCTCTCACTCACTGCACTCACCCCACTACTGCAGGCATTTTGGTTGGAGGGTTTTTTTCTCCATTATCATGCACATATTTCCTGGGAGAATCCTGCCAGTGATTTAGGACTTACTTTCATCTAATAAATATTCACTTAGTATTCACTTAGTTTCACTTACTCTGGTAAGCAGTCCACGTGACATATAATTGGAAAGCCTTACATAATTGTTGCCTCTTCTGTTCTCTTCATGTTATCTCCTTTATCACTATAGCATTAAATTTACTCTAATGATACTTATTGAGATCCTATGTGCTAGATTCTAAGGGTTTAAAAATGAATGAGATACAGTTGTTGGCCACCAGGAGCCCAGCTTGTTGGTGATATTGTTAAAGAAATGAGCACTATAATGTTGCCACAATATACTGAGTATGAGAGAGAGAAAGAGAGAGAGAGAGAGACAGGTGACCTCTGATGGGGAGAGTTTTGGAGGAGTTTTCTTAGTGGAAGGCACATTTGAACTAGGTTTTCATTGATAAGTAGGAGTTCTCTAAACTTTTGAGATAAATTAGCTAAGCCTGCCTATAGTGTGGACCAGTTTGAAACTTTTACTAATTCTTAGTGAAGCATGAAAGGTAGTCTTCACTTTGCATGGCCTATGGGGACATCAAAATGACTACGCAAGTTGAAACTGTGCAAAACACTTTCATCAATCAATGGGAACATTAATTGATCTACAGCCTTTAAAATTTTTTGTCAAAATATTTAGTCTGTTTTATTGTCAGTCATAAATGTATAGGAAAATGAAAAAAGTAAAACTAATATTTATTCAGTACACTCTATTTAAATGTTGGAAACACTGAAAATTAACACGTATTATTTCTTTGTAAAAACTTGTTAAGTTCGAATAGTGCTTTCTTTTTGTTGTATAATTTACAATAAGGCGAGAGCATCTTTTGTAAGCCTTAGGGAATTGTCATACTCAGGAGTCTGGATCAGCTTCCAGTGTTTCATCCTGTGTGCTTTCAAAGTTGTGAAAAATCTTCTAGAATTTCTTTAATGTGAAGTTTTTTGTGGCATCACTTCCTCAGGGATATCTCCATCTTTTTTTTTTTTGATTTTTTTTTTAAATTTTATTATTATTATACTTTAAGTTTTAGGGTACATGTGCACAACGTGCAGGTTTGTTACATATGTATACATGTGGCATATTGGTGTGCTGCACCCATTAGCTCGTCATTTAGCATTAGGTGTATCTCCTAATGCTATCCCTCCCCACTCTGCCCACCCCACAACATTCCCGAAGTGTGATGTTCCCCTTCCTCTATCTATGTGTTCTCATTGTTCAATTCCCACCTATGAGTGAGAACATGCGGTGTTTGGTTTTTTGTCCTTGCGATAGTTTGCTGAGAATGATGGTTTCCAGTTTCATCCATGTCCCTACAAAGGACGTGAACTCATCATTTTTTATGGCTGCATAGTATTCCATGGTGTATATGTGCCACATTTTCTTAATCCAGTCTATCGTTGTTGGACATTTAGTTTGGTTCCAAGTCTTTGCTATTGTGAATAGTGCCGCTATAAACATACATGTGCATGTGTCTTTATAGCAGCATGATTTATAATCCTTTGGGTATATACCCAGTAATGGGATGGCTGGGTCAAATGGTATTTCTAGTTCTAGATCCTTGAGGAATCGCCACACTGACTTCCACAATGGTTGAACTAGTTTACAGTCCCACCAACAGAGTAAAAGTGTTCCTATTTCTCCACATCCTCTCCAGCACCTGTTGTTTCCTGACTTCTTAATGATCGCCATTCTAACTGATGTGAGATGGTATCTCATTGTGGTTTTGATTTGCATTTCTCTGATGGCCAGTGATGATGAGCATTTTTTCATGTGTCTTTTGGCTGCATAAATGTCTTCTTTTGAGAAGTGTCTGTTCATATCCTTTGCCCGCTTTTTGATGGGGTTGTTTGTTTTTTTCTTGTAAATTTGTTTGAGTTCACTGTAGATTCTAGATATCAGCCATTTGTCAGATGAGTAGGTTGCAAAAATTTTCTCCCATTCTGTAGGTTGCCTGTTCACTCTGATGGTAGTTTCTTTTGCTGTGCAGAAGCTCTTTAGTTTAATTAGATCCCATTTGTCAATTTTGGCTTTTGTTGCCATTGCTTTTGGTGTTTTAGACATGAAGTCCTTGACCATGCCTATGTCCTGAATGGTACTGGCTAGGTTTTCTTCTAGGGTTTTTATGGTTTTAGGTCATATCTCCATCTTTTTTGTCACAGCCCCTTCCTTGCTCATATCAATAAATGTATCTTCACTAAGTTCCTATGGCTGAGCATCTGGAGTCACTCAAATAATCAGCAATGTCAGCATTCCCACAATCATCTCCTTCTCCTGTTCTCATTGACTTCTGATTCAGATTTCATTTCCAGCATTGTCATTTTTTGTTTCCTTGCTGCACTTTCACCTTTGTTGGTCAGTTTCCCCTTTTGATTTACCCATTTTTGTAAAATGCCACGTGGTTTTATGACTGGGAGACAAGGAGTCATCATGACTACTTGCGTTGCCATCTGTGCAGAACTGATAACAGCCATGTCGTGAGCAGTCACCAACAAACTTCAGAAGAGAAATGTGATTGGTCACTGATCCAGATGAGACCTGTTATTTATGGACTGAAGAGCTGGCAGTGAAATTTGTATTTGATGCAACAACTCACAGTTTGTGTATCATGGTAATGGAAATGTAAACTTGTGTTGTTGAGGGATTGGTGGGTTTTCAACCAAGCTGTGGTAACTGAAATTCATGCGTAGTGGAACTTTGTAAAGCGTGGACTATCTGTATTGACATTTTGAGTGGATTTGTCCTGTCCTCTGTTCAGAGTTTAGCAAGTATAACCCTGGCCACTTGACGGCATTCCATTAAAACCTCCTAATCGCTGTTAACAACCACAATGCTTCCCATATTTCCCATATGTGTTTGGGGGTGGTGGTGGGGACACTAATCTAGTTTGGGAACCATTTGGGGGCTATCTCTGGGTCATTTCATCATTAATAAGGCAGGGAGTGTTTGGAAATAGCCACTCTGCTGCTGCTCAGTTACTTCAGCATTTATGGCTGAATTCTGAGAGGTGGAGCTTTCAGAGTGACCTCCCCTTAAGTATGTGGTGCCTTCTGCTTCCTTCATAGGCCAAGGGAGGCAGAAAGAGCCTCCTCCACAAGGAGTCACATGACCTGGATTCTAGCTGGACTTTGCCACATATCTGTCTGCCATATAACCTTTTTGAATCCTAATTTTCACAGCTATACAGTAAGTTTATCTGATTTACAAATTATTGTGAGGAATAAATGGAAAATGTATGTAAATACTGGGTGCACATGAGGAATTGTTCTGATGATGATGAATAACTGAATCATTGGTAGGCCTTTCTTGGACTACAATGAAATATAGCAGAACCCTCTAATGTCTCAGCAAAATAAACATCCTCAGCTTTTAGACGCCGCCTCGAGTGAGAAGTTCACAACTTTCCCATCTCCGCTTAGTTGGCTCTTTTCTCACTTAGCTCCCTTCATGGTGAAATGCAGCGAATAGACTACCAGTCCATTATTAGTCCATGAAATAACTTTAAACAGCCTCCTCCATGAGGGACAGACCTTATTTCTCTATTAATATAAGGAAAATAGAGCACAAATTAGTTGGTCTTTTAGAGAAACAGGCTGCAGATGGCTCCCAGCTGGTAGCCATTTTGAATGATGAATTTTGAAGAGAGTATAAATGTTGAGTTAGAGAGTTCAGTGTTCTTTTCCTGGTCCAAGAATAAATATTTTTAGTAAAGTTAGTATAAATAGACCTGTCTTGGGGTGATCTGAGATGCTGATTACTTACCTGTGGATTTTTAACTTAACGTCGGGAGCGAAGAATTTGGTGAAATAAGCATGTTAGTAGAATATTGCTGGCTTGGCAAAGGTTTCCTTCATCTGTAAGATATTATCCGGTAATTGCTGCAAACCTGCGACATATATGGTTTAGTGAACATTGGTAGATATGTTCTCTTTCCACATGGTATACTAATCTGGAATTTGTTGGAGATGAGATAAATCTATTATGACTTGAGGATTGAAGAATATGAATGGAAATTATTTTTATCATGGATGAAACTACTTGTAGAATTTGATTAGATTTTACTTGTTTATTTTATTCTAACTTTAACAGTTTATTTCAAGAAAGTGAAATTACTTAAATGATTCAGTGTAAATCTCTGAAATTTTTTCAATAGCTTACAGACTTTCTTCTAATTACAAAAAATTTGTAATTCTAGCTTTTGTAAACATTACCTTCCCTTCCTATCTCTACCTGCCAAAGCCCCACAGAAACTGAAAAGAAAACAGGTACATGCAATTTTATATTTATTTGGTACCTTTTTAATGTGGAAAAGAAGTACTTAAGTCTTGGATCAGGGAACATTACTTCCTATTTATAAAATTTAAATATAAAGTGGAAAGTTAAGATAACTATTTAACTTCCAAAGCTGTTACATATCTATAGCATGCTATCTTCATCAGATTTTTCATGATGAAAAAAAAACTTTTGCAGATGAAATATAAAAAAAAATTTTCTTACATCAACAATCTTAATTTTAATTGTTTCATATATTTTAAAATTGATATTCTTTGGGCAAGCCCTTTTTTTACTATGAATATTTGCTATTCATCAAATCTGATATTACCGTAAGAATGAAGTTACACTTCAATTATTAGTTCCCTATAGGAAATGAGCACAGTAAATCTAACAACAGAAATTTAAAACAATTATATATTCAAATAATTACATTTTTAGATGGACTCCTCCAAAACCTCTTCTTTTCTTATGACATATAAGATTGCTAGTATAAGAGAGCAGCTAAGGAACCCTAACAGAGATTGGTAAAATTGAGAAGAGATTTCTTTTGTCAATGAGGATGTCCGGAAGTTGAAACTGACTTACCTGAAATAGCAAAATCATACAGCATCCAGAATTATGAGTTAGAACAAGAGTTTTAAAATACTTAATGTGTGTTTTAATGTTCATAGACAATGATTCAACATCAGATGTTTGTTCTTTGAGCTTTCTTTTGGTTTTGTGGTGGTGAAAACAGGGACAATAGTAAGATTTTAAGAAACTGGCTGGAATTCACTCTAGGGCTTCCCCCACCCCCCTGCTGAGACGACATCATTTTCTTCGTGGAGATTTTGTGGCTTTGCATAACTTGGCATTCTCTAATTTAACTGACAGCATGATATTTATAGTTTTGTTACCATAAGGAAGTACTAATTATTTTAAACGTGTTTCCCAACTTTCAGGTAACATTTCACACAACTGGGAGGCATCAGCGTCATATTTTGGGTGGGGAATGACCAGAATGATCCGCTTAATTGAATTATTCCTTGAAAGCAAACTAAACATTTTGGACAACATATTGACTCACTTAAACATATCACATGTTTCTTGGAAGTGATTTTCTTGTCAGATTTTTTGGGAATTAATTGGATTGTGAGAAATGTACAATATCCTCTTGAAAAAGTGTCAGTGTCTCTGTCCATAGTAGCATTCATAAAATTATCTCTTTATTTCCATGATGTTTTTGAAAATGTTACTTTAATGTTTATAGAAAATAATTCAAAATCAGTAGTTTATTCTTTCAGTTTTGGTTTTGTGAAGGTGCAAATAGGGACAATAATGAAATTTTTTTAGAGATCAAAAACCAACTAGTTGAAACTCACTGTGGAGTTTTTTATTTCCCCTGAAACAAATAGTCATTTTCTTCTCAGCGGTTTTGTAGCTTCTTTGATTTCAGCCACATCTTCCTAGCCTTACCTTTTCCAGTTCCCTAATTTACCTGCCTTGATGAACATTTAGGACATATTTTTGCATAGCTTGTGGATACAGAACCTCTGACTTGCTTACTGCCCTATCTCCTGCCTTTGTGCCCTTTCTTCCACCCCATGCCACTTGCAGGAGATGTGCTTGTCGGCCCCCAGATCCAGTAACCTAGCTCCAGTACTGGGGTTCCTGGACCAACCTCCACCCACACCCCCTGCAGGAGATGTGCTTGTCAGCCCCCGGATGCAATAATCTAGCTCCAGTACTGAAGTTCCTAGACCAAACTCCACCCACACCCCCTGTAGAGACCTTGTGCTTCCTCCCCCACCTCCCACCCCCATGACAGAATGCGTCACACTCCACTACTCCCATCACTGGCTGAGGCTGTCACAAATTAATAGTGTGCCATATCAAAGCTGTAAGAATAGACCTGGAGTCATTGTAGATGATGGTTTTAAAAGCTTCATTGATCACATCCTAAGGAAAATTTTGACTTCCCGAAAGTGAGTAAGTGTGGCCCCTTCCTATGTGTAATCACTGCACTGGCCAGAATTTATTTGTAGGGAGTGTCAGTTAAGCACAGGTACTTGGTGGCTTCTCTTTCTGTCATGAATTCAAGTCAGTTTGAAGGGTATTAGTGTGCACAGCCGTAGGACAGTGGGGATGACAAGAGACACGTTACCTGTCCTGGATGTGTGGGGTGAGCCTTGAAGCCCTTCGGCTGCACTGAATCACCCTCAGGGCCTTGCAGGTACCAGCCCTCTCTTCTTTTTCCAGACCTTTCCACATGCCCTCCTCCTCTGCCTGGGACACATTCTTCACCTTTTCTCCAGTGAGCCAACTTTTTCTCCTCCTTTAGGTCACGGCATTAGTAAGCATTTTCTTGAGGTAGCTTTCCTTGACTACCCACGACCGGGTTAGGATCCCCTCTGTACATGCTCATATTGCACTGCCCCATTCTGAAACATGGCACACAGTACCATGATGGCGGTTGGCTTATCTTCTCCCTTGTTAGATTCTGAGCTCCTGCAAGGTAGGAATTATCTTGTTTGCTGTTGTATCCCTAGTATCTAGGACAGTGCCTGTCTGACCAAAAGTTATTAATATCATCATAAATACAAGGGCTAATATCAAGCACTCAGTACGTGCCATGCTATGTGCTTTGGGTTTTCTTAAGTTCTCACAACAACTTTAGAAATAGATACGATAAAGGATTTTACAGAGGAGGAAATTGAGATTGATAGAAGTTAAGTAATTCGCTCAACACAGCACCCCTAGAAAGCAGCAGAGCTGGTATTTGTCTCCGGAGTCCCTGCTCATAATGGCTAGATTACACACAATGATGAACAAATAAAGGATGTCTGCAAAGGCATCTGGCCAGAGCTCTGTGTGGGGCCAGCAGCTTCATGAATGATCCAAAGAGTTGGCATTAGCTGGCCACAAATGGTGTTCCAGAGAGTCACTTTTTTTCTAGTCATATAGGAGAGGTCAGCTCCAGATGTCAAATTCTAATTACTGGCAATTTGTTTTCTCTAAGAGGTTTGGCATTTACTGTGGCTCATAGAACTTTAGAGGTCGTGTGGTACAGTATACAGAGCTCTAGTTTTAGAATTAAGGATTGGAGGCTTGGGCTTACCCCACTTTCCCTTAAACACAGTGTTGATGTGAGTAGGTTGAGAGTGGTCTTTGTGAACCCACTTCTCTGCACGGTATAGACAGGGAGTTGTAGTGTGGCTTAGAGGGAGTGTGTATAAAGCTGTCTTCCCAACTTGATGGCAGTTACCTGCTGCTCTTAGGATATTTTCTCTGGCATATTATTTTCTGTCATGGGCATCTATTGGTGCTTAATAAAATAAGTGTACATGCAGGGTTATTTCTGGGCACTTCTACTAATGATTTAAGATTTCAGAAAGTTAGGTCTTCTACACATATGTCAAAAGGCAAACTTATCTATTACAGTATCATAATATGGCCCTTGACTTCATTTACTGGATTAAGCAACTGCATTATTTAATTCAGAAAAAGAAAAGCATGTAGATTGTTTTCTTACTGCCTCCCCACCAATAGCAACATTATAGTAAGATCTTATTTTTCTATCTTTCTTTCTTTTTTTTTTTTAAACAGTGTCTCAATCTGTAGCCCAGGCTGGAATGTGGTAGCATGATCATTGCTCACTACATCCTTGAACTCCTGGGCTCAAGTGGTCCTCCTGCTCCAGCCTCCTGAGATGGGACTACAGGCATGTGCCACCACATTCAGCTAATTTTTGTATTTTTTGTAGAGACGGAGTCTCACTATATTGTCCAGGCTGGTCACAAACTCCTGGCCTCAAGCAATCCTCCTGCCTCAGTCTCCCAAAGTGCTGGGATTATAGGCATGAGCTACTGCATGCAGCCTTATTTTTCTATCTTATCTCTTTGAGAGTCTTAAGTAACTTAGGGGAAAATTCTGAAACTAGTTAAATCCGGGGCCTGCTGTATACAGGGCAGAGAACTTAGTTTCTGTTTTGCAGAAACAGGTTGTAAATAAGTAAGTTCAGAAAATAAGAGGATTTCCACTTGCAATAAGGGTTAGGAGGGAAATAAACACAGTGAGGTGGGAAAAATAATTGTGGTTGGGTTGGTGTGAGAGTAGAAAAGGATGGGGAGTTGGACAAGATGGCAGCTGAAGTCTGAGCATGAGAAGGGGCTGGGACAGGAAATTCTGAGGAAGAGATAATAGTGAATGCAGGGACTCAGAAGGGGAGCCTGCTGGGCATGTTTTTGGGGTGGCATCATGGCTGATGCAGAGGGAGTTGAGAAAGATAACATTTTTTCTTTTTTACTAGTGGTTTAGACTTAACTAACCAAGTTAATGGTGCAAACAGTAAACACATTAGCAGAGACAGGCATGAATGAGAGAAGCAGCAGCCGGGGCCAGGTGCTGTAGGATTAAGGTAACGAGCTCACCTGCCTTCAGGGCCAGACCAGTACCTTGACTTAGTGAAGACAGTGTGGGCTTAACTTTTGTTCAATTTTTAATAGAGACATAAGTGTAGAGAAATATTGCTCTGAGAAAAACAGCAAACACCATGATAAATGGCAAGTGAGCAGTACAATGCCATGATGATGATGGCAAGTGGCCTTTGACCTCGCAGTCAGAGAAGTAGTAGGGACTGGGAGCAGCTCAGAGCCTGCTGGCCCTGACTCAAGGGGGCAGCTGTTTCTCAGTGCCAGCCAAGCATTGCCATGTGGGAATGTGAGTGGTCTGTGCTAAATTTGCCAAGTTTTCCAGAGAACCAGAAATCTGAATTGTTCTATGAAGTTCCCAGATTTAAAAATGTTGGCTCAAACTTTAAAAAACCTTACAATGAATAGACAAAATGCATCTGTGGGCTTACAGTCTGAAACATCTGCTGTAAGCCCTTTTATATTATGATAAAGGGGGCTCATGAAGTTTGATGTATGTGAACCATTTCCTTGTGCCCGGTACGTAGCCAGTACTGAGGAGAAAAAGGTACTTATTATTGATTGCACCCTTGATGTGTTTAGGTTGTTTTCACCATTAATATATTTAATGAACTCTCAATCCATATTAAAGATAAATATTATCCCAGTCTAATTCAAGTGATTAAATTAATACATGATTTTTTTTTGCTGTTTGCATATTGGTTAGTAGTTTGCTCTATTAGTTTGGTTAATTCTATGTTTGTCTTACATGAGCAAACATTAATCTAGTGTAATTCACGTAAAATTAGTGAGGAACAGAGGACGCACATTTTAAATCCTGTTCTTTTCTTATTTACCGTCCATTTCCGTTGCTGGGCAGTCGTTGCTTCCCTCACTTGTCCTGGTGCTTCCACTCATTCAGGTCTTGAGACCTCCTAGACAGTGTTAGCTGCATGTGCAAGTGGGAAGGACCTTTGGCAAAAATGCCATTCTGAACCAGGCAAAGGATGATGGGGAATGCAGTCTTACGACGTGATGTCGCGTTTAGAGGGTTTTCATCAGTTTTAATGAAATACAAATGCACCCAAAGCAAGTTATTTTTTCCCCCAGGGAAAAAAATCTTCATTTAGTATGGTCTAACTCATGCAGTTTTGTATTACAGGAATCATGTTTGGTGTGTTGCAATCCCTTGGCAATTGTCTTGGGGAATTTTATTCAGCACAAGCATCTCTGATGGTTCTGGCATCAAGTTGGGTTAATTACTTGTTCATGTACTTTTTGGTTTGTGTCTATGTTAAAATTCTGAAGCATTGTGGAGAGGAACACTGGGAGTAACAAAATATATTTGAATATTTCTAATAGATTAAAGGCTTATAAAAACATCTCTTTTCCCCCCAGGGTTTTTTTTTTCTTTGCATTGTTTTCAAATGAGATCATTTTGTATGAACATGAACTTAGGAACTTGAAAATAAACTTTTTTGTGTGTGAAAAATCTTATCTGTAAATACAAGTTTTTAATTGAGTCAATATTTCTCTCAATTTTTGTTACAGATCATGGAGGAAACAAATACGCAGATTGCTTGGCCATCAAAACTGAAGATCGGAGCCAAATCCAAGAAAGGTAAATTGTGAGAGGGCAAGAAATAGGTGGTTTTGATAACTGAGATTATGGAATTACTGCAGGTTTGCTGGGGAGAAAACTAACCTTTATTCTTAACACTTTTGTCCCAAAATGTTTGTTAAGTAGCAGTCTTTCAGGAGGATTTTCATAATTAAAAATTATAGTTTTTATCCAACAACAGAAAAATATTAACTATTAACATTATGATAGAAATGTAATTATGAAAGATATAGCAACCTGTGATTTCAAGGATGCTTATTCGATTGATATCCATGAGTCATGGTAACTCTTCACATGTTTTTAACACATAAATTTCTATTGTTTATATTTCAGGGTTCTTTTTTATGTACTACACAGATTTAATAGCTGGTTTTTTTTTTCCCTCCAGTATGATATGAACCTTAGATTTCAGGTCTCGAGTGCTGCTTGTCTTCATCTATCAGACAGCAAAGAACCCACTAGATTTCTCTTTTAGGCTGAGTGTTTCCCTTGCCTGGTTTTACCCTATGGGACACTACCCAGTGCATAGATGTTCAGAAATGAAACTAAAGGCCTCCCTAGTTTTCTCCCTGGATTACATAGTGTTTTCAAATGTGACCTGCCAATATATATTTTTATGGATAGTTTTTAAAGTATGACCTTAGTCTCAACAAACTTTGTGGAGTATATTTCATTAGAAGAATGCAGATGCATGTAGTTGTCAGGATGTAATGACAAATACCATCAAACAATTAAAAAATAATTGCAGTCTGAGCTGCAATTATCCATCATGGTCTGGCATTGTTATTGCTGCTGTTTAGTTTCGTATTTGCTGCCCCTTCTCCCCATGACTTACTACTAAATGATAACACTGTAAGATTTCTCAGTTTCCTTTCTTACTTCAGTCCAGTTTGCCTTCTTTTAATTGCATTTCGTTAGAGTTACTCATCACATGGAATAAAAATTATTTTAGTTATTTAGTGAGTGTTGTTAGCTGGACTTGAATTGACTGGAATTCCTGTAGAAACTCCTATCTTGCTACTTTTTTTTTTTTTTTTTGGAGACAGGGTCTCACTCTGTCACCCAGGCTGGAGTGCAGTGGCACGATCATGGCTCACTGCAGCCTTACCCTCCCAGGCTCAAGCCATCCTCCCACCACAGACTCAAGTAGCTGGGACTATAGGACACCACCATGCTTGGGTAATGTTTGCATTTTTTGTAGAGATGGAGTTTCACTATATGTTGCTCAGGCTGGTCTTGAACTCCTGAGTTCAAGCAATTCTCCTGCCTTGATCTTCCAGAGTGTTGGGATTACAGGTGTGAGCCACCGCACCCAGCCTTGTTACCTTCTTAATTGTTATCATGGGCGGCAAGGAATTGGGAACTTATATGCTAAATAATCATAAGAAGACATGGTGAATTTGCAAGTGCAATTCTGTATCTTTGTATAAGCCTGTATTTCTCAAGTGGTGTAGAATATATTCTTAATTAATCTTCAGTAATTTTTGTGGTATGTTGGAATGTTTTGTACTCATTATGCAGAAGAAGAAACTGCCGTTCATGGATTATCTAGCTGTTTGCAGCATTTAAAAATTTCTGTCCTACTACTTGAATAAATTGGAACTTGAACATAGACTAAATCTTCTTTCCCTGTTGTCAGGCATTTTTACTTAAAGAATAAAATTAGCTTTATTACTAGCCTAATAAAAATGCAACTTAATCAGTCTCCAAAGAAAATCCCCAAGGAAACATGAACATTTAAACAATGCTAGATAACTTTTTATGTCTTATTCTCTTGCAGTATCCATGCTGTTGTTTTCCTCTCCCCATGCCATTATCCTGAGAAACTGAGAACTGATTAGTTTTTGTTCAAAATGTGGTGGCAACATTAGACATTTCAGAAAATGTGGAGCTGAATAGATTTTATTCATTGGTTTCTTGTCATTGACACTTAACCCATTCAAAATGGCCAACTATATTGCACATTTTGATTATATATTTTGCTTTGGAATTAAGAATATTTCAGCAGTACATTCGAGGGTGTTTGGCATAATTTCCACCTGGTTAAAATTAACCTTTGGAACTATGCCTAAGAATTGATCCCTTCAGGCCTGGATCTATAGACATCATTTATTTTGTATTATTTATGAAGTGTTATGGATGTATATAGTACTATATGATGCGCAGAATGCACTTAAAGAGAACATGGAAGGGAGAGAATCAGAAGTTTGCCTCAGAGGAATTTACTGTTGAGAATTTACTTGAGTTGCTCTTATCATTTAAGCACACAGCTGCTGAATCAGTTCTTGGCTAACATCCCTGGTATGTGTATACCTATATTATTTTTTAAATGATTCACTTCAGAGATGCAATTTTTGGACCATAATTTGTATTTAATAAAAGTGAAATGAAAATGGCAGGAAGAATGTTAGAAGGTAATTATTTGCTCTTTGATCTGATGTGGCTTTTCCTTCTCACCCCTGAGTGTTGCAGAGGAAGGAATTGTTGGTCTTTAGAGCTTTTTCATTCCAGACTATTATTATTCAAGAGACCCAAGAATATAAATGTATTTAGGGACTCATGCCGTGTTTTGGATGATTATTACATTCTAAATCCCATGGTGATGTGAAACTTTGGAATATACACATAATCCCCAGGCTGAGCTAGAGAGACAGTACAGCCATAGGTTTGTGTTGCATTTCACTTTGGAGTTTCTAAAATGCATGTTGGCTAAATATTTGAGCCTAGACAAACATTTTTCGTGGTCGCTGTTACCACAGTTTGCCCCCTTCTTTACCTTACTGGAATTTAGTCCTGTGTTTCCTAAATTAGCTTCCATAGCTCTGTCTAAACTTTACTTTTTAAGCCATTAATCCTTTATCGAGAGCAGCTGTGTGAGTGGCCGTATGGCTCACTTGCTTGAAGAGCTGGAAGGAAGCTGCCTGGCAAGAAGGCAAGCAGCCAACAGCCTGAATTTGCCATCAGTTAGAGAGTTCAGATTCTTCTCCTCTAAAGATGTTGGCTTAGTAGTTCTGAGGCTGGTACTGGGAGCTGCTATATTTAACAAGTTTCACTACTTGTTCTTATGGTCAGACTGAGTTTGGGAAACACAAATCTCACCATCTGATATGGAAATATCACTAAGAAGACCATGTGTTCTGAAGGCAAAGGGTGACCACTACTGAGAAACAGCAGAGTCCTTCTACAGTCGCTTCTGGATAATGCCCATCTTGGCATCTATAGAACTGCATTTTTATGGATGCATTAATTTCATTTTTCTATCATCTTTGTAGTCAGTTAATGTGGATTAGTTTAGAGTGATGACAACCTCATTGTTCTGTGCCTGTGCTAAATGTTGGATAAAAGACCATCTAATTTTTGTCCATTCCCTTTCCTCCTCCCTTTCTTATCATCTCACTTTTCTTTCTTACCTTTCACTCCACTTTCATTCTTCTGTGACCGTATTCTAGATGGAATATAGTAGGGGCAAAAGTAATAGAAATATTTTCATGTGCACAGGGCATTTTAGGGAAGTGCATGTTTTGTGATATAAACTAAGGAACTATAGAATTATTTAAACTTTTTTTAATTTTAGATTCAGGGGTACATGTGCATATTTTTTACATGGGTTTATTGCATACTGGTGGAGATTGGGCTTTTAGTGTTACTGTTACACAGATAGTGAACATGGTACCCAATTGGTAATTTTTCAAGGCCTTGCCCTAGAATTTTTTAAAACATCTCTAGAGTATTTGAAATTATTGGAAGGTTGAGTCATCATTAGAGCTGGAGAGAACTGAGAATTTAAGGTTCAGTATAATGGACATTTAAATGGGTGACTGTAGAATTGTCTTAAAGAGGGTCACGATTAAGAACAACAAAGCAATATTTGATATTTCTTCTGTATCACGTAAATTTATTTTGAGTGGATAAAAATTTAACTCCTTCTGACTCTTAGATTGAGAATACTAGAACAGTCTCCTTTACATTGAAAAATTTGAGGTTTGTGCCTGTGAAACCAGTATTTAGGGATTAAGGTGTTTAATACCATACACCCTTACCAACAGAATAACTTCAAGGACTCATTAAAATTTTGAACATGCTATTCTGAATCATAGCCTTAATATTTTAAAATAAATGCAGCTTCATTAAAGTACAAATTGCATTCTTAACAAATTTGATTGTTTTGCCAAATAGAAGTCCTGCCAGACCTGCTTTAAGAAATACATAAAAATGATTTGCAATGAGCATTTATCACACTGGTATATTGTGCTGTGAGCTTCATGATGCTAGATAAGTTTGTTTTCTTAAACAAGGTAAACATTTTTCTCACAGTCTTCTTTTGCTCTTAATCTGCTCATCAGTCTCTTCTTAGACTGGCGAAGGTGAACGGTAAATGATATGGTTTGGCTGTGTCCCCACCCAAATCTCATCTTGAATTGTAATCCCCTTTATCCCCAGATGTCAAAGGAGAGATCTGGTGGGAGGTGATTGGATCATGGGGGTGGTTTCCTTCCACGCTGTTCTCATGATAGTGAATGAGTTCTCACAAGATCTGATGAGTTTAAAACTGTTTGAAAGTTCTTCCTTCCCACGCCCTCTCTCCCCTGCTGCCATGTAAGATGTGCCTGCTTTCCCTTCTGCCATGATTGTAAGTTTCCTGAGGCCTCCCCAGGCATGCAGAACTGTGGGTCAATTAAAGCTCTTTCCTTTATAAATTACCCAATCTCAGGTATTTCTTTATTGCACTATGAAAACAGACTAATACAGTGAGTAAAAAAATGTTTAAAGTTTTTAAGCCAAATTTCAAATAACTGAGGTCAGCATGAGTGAAGCTTTATTGCAGAGTTAAACCAAGTGATAGGAACTAATCCCTGCAAGTGGTCCTTGCATGATGACTTAGGAAACCCCAGGACTAGCAGGAATGAGAGGCATTGACTGGGTTACTTGATGTTTCCTGGTTTGGAGACAATTTGGCACCAAGTTTAGCCATTCTCTTCCTCCCAGAATCAACAAAAGAATCTTCGTAATTCCATGAGGTTTTATTGTTTTTGGTTACATTTTATCAGAACAAGTAGGTATCTAATAGAAAATGTTAGCATGAGAAAAATAGTAGACAGTTCGTTTTGTTTTTTCCAGAAGAAAATGTTTTGTTGAGTATGCTTACACTTTTATTGGGTGTTCATAGTGAACTAGTTAGTTGAGGGCTTTAACATAGTTGTACTTAAAGGGCTGAGGGCACGGAAGAGGCATGGCAGGGCATGGCATGCTGGACCAAAGTGTTGCTAATGGTGGGTTGCAACCTATTCGTGTGTCAGGTGTTAGGTTAGTGCGTCGCAGCCAATAGTAAAATAACCCAACTAGGTTAAAAAAAAATAGAGTGTAAGGGCATTGTTTGTTATTAAATTTTTATTTTATATTTTTTGAGACAGAGTCTCACTCTGTCACCCAAGCTGGAGTGAAGTAGTGCAATTTCACCTCACTGTGACCTCCGCCTCCCGGGTTCAAGCGATTCTCCTGCCTCAGCCTCCTGAGTAGCTGGGACTACAGGCACACACCACCACGCCCAGCTTATTATTATTATTATTATTTGAGATGGAGTTTTGCTCTTATTGCCCAGGCTGGAGTGCAATGGCGCAATCTCGGCTCACCGCAACCTCCACCTCCTGGGTTAAGCGATTGTCCTGGCTCAGCCTCCCGAGTAGCTGGGATTACAAGGCACCTGCCACCACGCCCGGCTAATTTTGTATTTTTAGTAGAGACAGTGTTTCTCCATGTTGGTCAGGCTGGTCTCGAGCTCCCGACCTCAGGTATTTCAGCCACTTCGGCCTCCCAAAGTGCTGGGATTACAGGTGTGAGCCACCGCGCCTAGCCAGCTAATTTTTTTTTTTTTGTATTTTTAGTAGAGACAGGGTTTTACCATGTTGGCCAGGCTGGTCGTGAACTCCTGACCTCAAGTGATCTGCCTGCCATGGCCTCCCAAAGTGCTGGGATTACAGGTGTGAGCCACCGCGCCTAGCCAGCCAATTTTTTTTTTTTTTGTATTTTTAGTAGAGACAGGGTTTTACCATGTTGGCCAGGCTGGTCTTGAACTCCTGACCTCAAGTGATCTGCCTGCCATGGCCTCCCAAAGTGCTGGGATTACACGTGTGAGCCACCATGCCTGGCCAATATTTAATTGATAGAATACTTTACATATTTATAGAGTACAGTATGATATTTCAATACAAGTATACCAGATGTAATGCTCCAAGTGAAGCGGCATCATTGTCTGGGGTAAATTCCTGAGGTTCGTTGTCTCATGCCAAGGAAATCAAGGACACGGACACACATGGAGTGAGGTTAAGAGCAGAGGTTTAATAGGCAAAAGAAAGAGAAAGGAGAACAGCTCCCTCTCCTACAAGAGAGACTTCCAGCCTGCAGTAGAGTGCACAGGGTTTTATAGACAGGCTTGAAGAAATGGTGTCTGATATACATAGGGCCCGAAGATTGGTTGGACCAGGTGTGATGTTTACATAGCACGTGAAGAAGCTGGCCACTCCACCCTAATCTTTTACTATGCAAATGGGGTCTCTACTTGGCCTGTGCCATGTTGCCTGCTTACTTACTGTGCACGTGGTTGACAAGGAAAGGGGAAGATGGAGCTGCCGTGTTGGACCTACCTAGCCCCCAGGTGGTCTTTTCCTAGTGGCACAGTTGCTGGCATTCACCCATGCAAGCTTCCAGCTTGCTTGTCTATGTTTGCAGCTCGATTTTACTGGCTGCTCTTTGTTAGACAAGAAAATGATTTGGGGGCTACTTTTCCTTAAAAGGAAAACCTTACTGAGGACTTCTTACCCTTACTATCTGCCTAAATAGTATTCTCTTAACTCCTATATCACAAGCAGGGTAATTAGCATATCCATCACCTCCAGCATTTATTATTCTTTGTGTTGGGAATATTAAAAATCCTCTCTTGTAGCTATTTGAAAATATATAATAAATTATATTTAACTGTAGTCACCCTACAGTGCTACAGAACACTAGGATTTATTCTTCCAATCTAGATCTTACCTTTGTAACTGTTAACCAACCTTTCTCTATACCACCGTCCCACACCACACCTTTCCCAGCCTCTAGTACTCATTGTTCTGTTCTCTACTTCTGTGAGATCAACTTTTTTCTCTTCCACATATGAGTGAGAACATGCAGTATTTATCTTTCTGAACCTGGCTTATTTCAGTAAGGGTATTGTTTAGTAAAACTTTCATATGCGTCTGTTTATGTGCAAACATACACCTGTGCACAAATATATTAGTAGGTCATGATATAAAATGGATGACAAAGGTTGTAGAACACTGTGCTAGGTGGTCAGCTCTCCAAAGGGTAAGGAGCACGTGGATTTTGTGAATCCGTCTATCCCTAACACTGTAACCAGTTCATAGTTGGCACTCAGTAAGTGTTTGTAGATTGAGCCCTCAACTCAATCATGGAAACAGTGGAACCACTAATACAGATGGGAATGTATATCCCTAAGGTGTGTCATGTAGGAAAAAGATTTAGAATTATTGCCTTCCCAGATGAGTGATAATCACTGTTATGAAAATTATCCACTACTGATATCTTCCCTATAGACCCCTTAAGTAAAAAAATGTGGGACATGATTGTGACTAAACCTTCTTTAGTGGTTCTGAATAGTCCTAATGATGACTGCCTGCACTAATGAGGGAAGTGGAAGGAAACTTAGGGACAATGACCTGATCATTGTCATTCACAGGACACCTGAATGAGTGAAACTCCGGTGCCATTCTCAGTAAGCTTTTAAATGAGACTTAACAAGACACAGCCTCCTGGTAGACCTCCAGACTATAGTTGTTTTGGTTGTGGTTATTTTAATTAGTATTTATTTACATAATTAGCGATTATGTAAGTGGGTCCTACCATTTGTTGAAACCTCCTGGGGTCAGGCACTGTGCTAAATATTTTATGTACATAATCTTTTCAAATTATCAGTGAGTGATACCACCAAACTCTATGAGTGAGGTGGTAGTATTTTCATTTTCGGATGAAGAAACTAAAGCCAGTAAAGGTAGGTTAGTTTGCCCATGGTTTTCCAGTTGGTAAGTAGCAGACCTCAAACCCAAATTCAGGTCTGTTTGTTTCCAGAACTCCAAATCACTGTACTCAAATGCCCTTTCACACCCATACCTTCCATGGTGCTTTTCCCTATTCCAGGAAGTTCCATAATGTATAATAATATCTCTTCAGCAACCATTGCCAAGATTAGCTGATGATGCTCAGTCCAGTTTCATAATGTCTCAGTCCTTGCAGATTACAGAGATTACAGAGATTTGAAGGTAGGCTAAGGTTAGCATTTCTTGTAGACAACACCTCTTTTTTCAGGGGAAATTAGATTTTACCGTTTAAAAAGATGAAACCACTCAAAGGTGTGTACATTTTTGAAAAGTGCTTGCCTCTGAATTTTACCTTGCTATTTCATGCCATGTGTTATTTCCTTAGGCAGAGACTTTTTGATATGTCATTAAACAACTTTGAAAAAATGAATTTGGAAGGAAAATAAACCCAGAATATGTTATAAATTGCTTGTTGTGTTGGTTTTCTTTTACATGTATATGTGTGTGTGTGGTTTTTTTCTGTATGTGTGGTTGAAATCTTCGAAAGTACTGTTTGTCACATACCTGAGGACCTGTGTATTTCTTCTGGGTAGAAAAATGTGTGGTTTTGTTGTTGTTGTTCTTGTTTTTGAGATAGGGACTTGCTCCTTTGCCCAGGCTGGAGTGCAGTGGCATGATCATAGCTCGGTGCAGCCTTGGCCTCCATGACTTAAGTGATCATCTCACCTCAGCCTCCCAAGTAGCTGGGACTACAGGTGCAAGCCACCATACCTGGCTAATGTTTAAATTTTTGTGGAGTTGGGGTCTCGCTGCATTACCCAGGCTGGTCTCAAACTCCTGGGCTCAAGCTATCCTCCCACCTCAGCCTCCCAAAGTATTAGGATTACAGGCATGAGCCTCTGTGCCTACAGAATATTTTGTACTTAAAACTTTTGTATATATTATTAAGATCATCACTTGGTGAATGCTAATCGAGGGCCAAGAGTAGAAATTCACCCAAAGAGTTGAATAAGTTGTATGCAATGTACCAATAGTCACTGTGGCTAGAGAGAGCATGGTCTAAATAGGACCACTCAGAGGAGAACAGAGACCTGGGCCATTCCAGTTCTTGAAGATCCCAGTATACTTCAACAATAAAAATTTTATAAAACGACTACTTTTAGATATTCAGTTTTTCAGTGCATCTCTTTCTACATGAATAACTGTATTTGTAGATAGTGCCAAACATGCACATTTGAGATCCTTTTCGAATATGTATTTTCTCACACTCACAGACATACAGCGCACACATCATTTTACAGGTGAGACAGCTCATGTTCGGTGACCTATTAGCAAGACTGAGGACCTGAGCTTGGGTTCATTTCTTGATCTCCAGCTAGTTCCGCCTTCTTCTCTTCTGAAGGTCCCAGGTATTGGCTTGTTTGCTTATCTTATAACTGCTGCAAACTAGCTGTTCTTTCCAATCTTTTTTCTCTCTCTCCTGTACCAGGGTCAGAGAGGAAAATGGTCTCAGCTTTTCAGTTATCTTCTCAAGCCTAAATAAGCAAATATATCTGGTAGTTTTTTTTTTTGTTTTTTTTTTTTAAAGATATTTTCCCTTAACTTAGAAATGAAACAAATTTTCAGTGGAATAGAGAGGTGAGAAAGTAAGTAAAAAAGTGAAAACATCAACAGAAAGACAAGCCAGAGACGGGGAGAAAATATTTGCAAAAGACACATCTGATGAAGAACTGTTACTCAAAATATACAAAGAACTTTTTAAAACCTAACAATAAGAAAACAACCTGATTTTAAAAGTGGGTCAAAGATCTTAACAGACACCTCACCAAAGAAGATATACAGATGGCAAATAAGCATGTGAAAAGATCCTCAACATCATGTACCATTAGAGTTGCAAATTAGAACCGTTAAGATATCACTACCTACCTGTTAGAATGGTTGAAATCCCAAACACTGACAACACCAAATGCTGGTGAGAATGTGGAGCCATAGGAACTCTCATTCATTCTTGGTGGGAATGCAAAATGGTACAGCTACTTTGGAAGATGGTTTTGCAGTTTCTTGTAGAATTAAACATGCTGTTACCATATGATGCAGCTGTCTCTCTCCTTGGCATTTATCCAGGGGAGTTGAAAACTTATGTCTGCACAAAAACCTGCACATGGAACAGAAGCTTATAGCAGCTTTATTTGTAATTATCAAAACTCGGAAACAACCAAGATGTCCTTCAGTAGGTGAATGGATAAATGTGGTACGTTGACACAATGAAATATTATTCAGTGCTAAAAAGATATGAGCTATCAAACTATGAAAGGGCATGGAGGATTCAATCTTAAATGCATTATACTAAGTGAAAGAAGCCAGTCTGGAAAGGCTACATACTTTATGATTTCAACTCTATGTCATTGTAGAAAAAGCAAAACTTTGGAGACAGTAAAAAGATCAGTGGTTATCAGGGACTTCGTGGGAGGGAAAAATAGGCAGAGCACAGAGCATTCTTAGGGCAGTGAAATTATTCTGTATGATTTACAATGGTGACTATATGTCATTGTACATTTGTCAAGGCCCATAGAACAGGTTTTGAAGTTGATGTGATGTTGACAGTCCCCGGGGAGGCTGTGCCTGCGTATAGAAAGCAGCGTATGGGAATTCTCTGTACTTTCCACTTGATTTTGCTCTGAGCCGGAAACTGCCCTGAAAAATAAAGTCTATATTTAAAAGAATAGTCGTAGATACTAGACACAGCATTTTTATCAGCATTTTAAAATATACTATATGCAAAGATAATATTATATGGTCAAGAATAACTCCTTAATGTATAAATTTAAAAGCACCATGAAATCTCTTAAGAAACAATCAGAAGTTTTATAAAATTTTAAAAAAGGAAAGTGAGGAAAATGCCTAAATTAAACAGTAAAACACACCCAGTTATTCAACACCAGGTGGCGACTGGACTGGGTCTGGATTTTTCTTAGCTTGCCTGACTCTGTGACTGCTGCTCTCTGCTTTCTTGGGCTCCTTCTCCCTCAATCTTCCTGTTTCCAGAACAGATGCTTTTTATGTCCTCTTGCCTGTGGTGACATCCCAGGATCCCTTCCATCTGCAGTTTTTTCTTACCTGTTAAACTTTATGAGGAGGAAAGGAGAAAATATTGATTATTTACCTGTTTTGTAATAGGCATTATAATAGATGCCTGTTGTAATCTCTTTTAATCCTCACAATAACCCACATGAAGGAGTGTTATTCTCCCCATTATATATATTAATAACTAATGTGAAAGATGATATAATTTGTTGAAGGCCAGTGAATTGTAAGTGATGTAGTTTGGATATAAACCTTGGTTTCAAAATTCAAGACACGGTAATCTGTCCATTCTGTAAGAAGCAAGCACATAAGTGCTAATGATGAGTGTTTGGTCACACACAAAAAATAAAGATTTACTAACACATTTATTTAAGAAAACTCAGACTTAAGCTACATTTGGTTCTTAAGTGTCTTCTTCAAAAAGAAAGGCAATCTTGGGTAATTCCTCACCTGACTTTTAGAAGTGTGCTAGACCTCTGTCTTTTAAAAATGTTCAGCCTACGTTTATTTTTATTATTCTTGTTCTTCATGGTATCTTTCTTTCCTTTTCTCCTTTTTTGAGATCCATTAAGGATTTTACTGTGATTTATAAACTTTCTTCTGGAATGGTGGTTCTCCACCTGAGGTGATTTTATTCCACAGGGATCATTTGGCAATATCTGGAGACATTTTTCATTGTTACAGCTGGGAGAGGGTGCTACTGGCATCTAGAGGGTAGAGCCGAGGGCCGCTGCTAAACATCCTACCCTGCAGAAGACAGCCGCCTCAACACAAAATTATCTAGCACAAAACGCCAGTAGCTCAAGGTTGAGAAATGCTGAACTAGAGGTGTGGGCTTATTATCAGGATAGCATAGCACTGGATTCCCATTAGAATCCATAGTGTCTTCATAGCACTGGATTCCCGTTAGAACATTTCATGCAGCCTGGTGCTTCAATTACCTGGCTTCCCTTTTTGTAGCATTGGCATTAGAATATAGTTTAGTCTGACTACAGAAGGGAGAAAATACCTATGTAACAAAATAGGTGAACTGACAGAATTTTGGTAAAAGAGATAAAACATAGTAGGGTGATAGGTCTACACATTTTAAAAGCCAGTTTGCAGTCAGTGTTGAATTTTATAGTTTAATTGTGCAATTTAAACTGTTTGTTTATTCTCCATGAGTGTTTCACGTTATGCCTTTGTGCCTGCTTCAGTGCTGGGGGACAGACCTTCTACCCTCCTGGTTCATGTTGCCTCTGTCTTCCATTCCTCTTTGCTGGAATGTGTAGTTGTGGTAACTGTGACAATTCCTAAGGTTTCTGACAGTTTTTGAACACCACAATGGTGCTGTAAATTCCTGTCTTGGCCAGGAGATGGACACCACATTTTGATGGTTTCTCAAACCGTGTGTGACCTTTTCCTGGTTTCTCTGTTCTGTCAGTCATGGCATGGCTGGACAGAATTCAGGGACATCTATCAGGCCTCTCAGGAGCAATTAAATTATTTTCATGAAGGCAATTTGCAGTTGTAAACAATATTGAAGACACTGTGTGGCATTTCTCATTAGCTAAAAAAAAAAAAAAAAAGATAGTGGCAACAATACAGGATTATCTGACTCGATAATTAGCCAGGCATGGTGGCACACGCCTGTAATCCCAGCTACTCAGGAGGCTGAGGCAGGAGAATTGCTTGAACCCGGGAGGTGGAGTGAGCCAAGATCTAACCACTGCACTGCAGCCTGGGCAACAGAGCAAGACTCTGTCTCAAAAAAAAAAAAAGATTAAAAATAATAATTAGGAGGGAGAATAAACGACATCTTGGTTTTTTAAAAGTCCTTTTTATGCCATTAAAGTGTGGCTTGTGGTTTATTATTACATTTGTATGCAACCTTGGTACTGACATTTTTATCAAAAGATATTGGAGAGATTTCAGGAATGAGGAGTTACATTCCCTTTATATCTTGTTGCCAGAAATTACTCTTAAGCAAAATAAATTCTGCCTGAAATAAAAATAAAATGAGAACACAGCATATGCGTGTTTTTGGCTCTGTGATCTATGCAAATAGTTATGTATTAACTCATTAATTAAAATGGGCTTATTCTACACACACATTTCTACCATTGGATTTTTCTTCTTAAAAAATAAGCAGAGCAGAGTGGGGAGGCGGCAAGAGGACCTGTGGCAGGCCCTCTTCGGCCATCTCTCTGGCCTGGTTTCCCTCGGCGTGCCACTGTGTGCTCAGTCCAGCACCATGGGGAAGCGGGACAATCGGGTGGCCTATATGCACCCAATAGCAATGGCGAGATCAAGGGGTCCAATCCAGTCTTCAGGGCCAACAATACAGGATTATCTGAATTGACCAAGGCCTACCTGGGAAGAAGTAAAAGAGCAACTAGAAAAGAAAAAGAAAGGTTCCAAGGCTTTGGCTGAATTTGAAGAAAAAATGAATGAGAACTGGAAGAAAGAACTGGAAAAACACAGGGAGAAATTGTTAACTGCAAGTGAGAGCTCATCCAAAAAAAAGACAGAGAAAGAAAAAAGAAAAGAAGAAATCTGATAGGTATTCATCTTCTTCATCAAGCTCTGATTCTTCCAGCAATTCTTCTGATTCTGAAGATGAGGATAAGAAACAAGGAAAATGAAGAAAGAAAAAGAAGAACCGTTCACATAAATCTTCTGAAAGCTCCATGTCAGAAACTGAATCAGACAGTAAGGATAGTTTAAAAAAGAAAAAGAAGTCAAAAGATGGAACTGAGAAAGAAAAGGATATTAAAGGACTCAGCAAAAAGAGAAAGATGTATTCTGAAGATAAACCTTTATCATCTGAGTCCTTGTAAGAATCAGAGTATATTGAGGAGGTGCGAGCAAAAAAGAAGAAAAGCAGTGAAGAACGAGAAAAAGCAACAGAAAAAACAAAAAAGAATAAGAAGCATAAGAAACACAGTAAGAAGAAAAGGCTGTTAGTTCAAGTCCTGACTCACCATAACATTAAGAAAAATCAGGATTCCCTTATAAAGAAAGTGCAATGTCTGAGGAAATTTCAACTGTGAAAACTACAACATATTTACTAACATGCATGAATTTTCTTGTTTTTAGAATTATTCCTGGACTATTCAGTAGCCACTCAGATGCTACTGTGTGAAAGGGCCATAAATGTTGCCTGCTGCTTGAACATCTATTTTTTTCTCTTCCAGTGCTTGATAACTCTGGGAGATAATACACTGCAGTCATACTAGTGGTTAAGATATTTGGGAATAAAATTAATACTTTTGACTAGAAATGTCTAAGGATAAACCAACAGAAATTGAATCTGGATACATCTTTAAGATGTAATCAGAAATGACCAGATGACTCTAGTTAAAATTTTTGAAGGAGGGATTACATTAATATTTCAAAACCCTTACTCTGTAAGATAAGTGTAGTTTAATTTTTTTCCCCTCGTATACTTTTATTTACCTGGGGAAGGAGCTTTTAGGGTTGGGGGGGTGGTTTGCTATCTCTTTAGCTAGCAGAATAGTGTGCCTTTGATCCTCACACATCCTGTATTATGAACACAGTAGCCATACTTCACGGGGAGGTCAGAGCTGGCTACCAGCAGTCTTGCCCTTTACTGAGCTTAGTGTCATCCTTGGATGCTGTCATATGCTGCTTTGAGTGAACCAGAGAAACAGCCATTTGCAGCATGAGAAAGCCCCAAAAGCTCTGGGATTTACCTCCACTTCAGTAATAATGAATATTTTTTAGCATTAGAATGTGTTAGGTCATTTGAATTAATTTTTACTACACTTTGGCTTGGGAGAGGAATTATTTTAAATAGACACTGGTACTTTTCGAACTTGATAGCTAAAGATTCTAAAATGCATGTTTTATACTAAGTTTTAACCAGTCAGGAAAATTTTATGTAACCAGTGATAGTTTATTTTTTTGTATGAATTTTGTTTAGGCTACAATGTTTAGCTTTTGTTAACTCCTCACTCTTGCTGTCTTAAGTTCATTACTATGTTTAATGGCGTACTTGCCAAGATATTTAGCATGTAAAAAGCAGGGTTTTGATTAAAAAAAAAAAAAAACAGCTTCATATTGAAGCTGAGACTTACAATAACAAGTTGAGTGGCAAGCCTGGTATGCTGTGTCTTATTGCCAGAATCTTAGTAAATGTAATGTTTTAAAAGTTTATTGTCTTTGTATATTAATAACAAAGTATGACAAGTTAAGTTTAAATAAGAGTTAAAAAAATAAGCAGAGAACTTCTTCTATATAAGCACGTAAACAGTAATACCATTATTTTTGTAGCTGCATGAAATACCATTGCATGTATATGTAGGATATGGCTATAATATACATTTCAACAGATTTGATGACATTGGGTTGTTTTCTCTTTTGTCTACAATGAATTTCAAATTTAGTTGCCTACTTTTACACATTTTTTATGTTGCGTAAATTCTTAAAAGTAGAATTTTTAGGTCACAGGATATGAGTAACTTTAATATTTTTTAGGATTGTCACCTTGTCCTTCCAAATGACTCTTGAACTCCTACTAGGCAGGGGCTGGATTCTGGAAAGAGAAACAATTGTTCTTGCTCCTCTTTGCCAATACTGTGCTTTCCTGTCCTAGGCCAATCTAAATGGTGGAAAAAAAAAACAACAACAAAAAAACAAAAAAAACCTCATGTTGTCATATGCACTTTCTTAATAGAAAAGTTGAGCATTGTTTAATCTGTTTGTGGAACACTTATTTATATCACTCTGTGAATTGTTTGCCCTTCCCTTTTGTTGGTTTATTCATATTCTTTCCCTATGTTAGTGAGTTGTTGTCTTAGTTCATTTTGGCTACTATACCAAAATACCTTAGCCTGAGTAATTTGTAAACAACAGAAATTTATTGCTTCCAGTTCTGGAGACTGGGAAGTGCAAGATCAAGGTGCTGGCAGATTTGGTGTCAGGGCCTGTTCCTCATAGGTGGCACCTTCTATGTCTTCACATGGTAGAAGGGGCAAAAAACCTCCCTCACATCACTTTTATAAGGGCACTAATGCTATTTAGGAGGATGCAGCCCTTATGACTTAATCACCTTCCAAAGTCTCCACCTCTTAATACTGTCAGCATTGGGGGTAGGTTTCAACATAGGAATTTTGTGGGCATATAAACATTCAGACTGTAGCACTTGTTCATCTTTTTTTTCCTGGTAAAATTAGACTTTTAAATTGTTTTTTCTATTGTTTGTCTTGCCCAAACTGTTCCCTCCTCGCCACCAATGCTTATTTACAAGTAATTGATGGATAATTTCTATATCAAACTAGAATGAAATGAATTGACCTTAAATACTAATAATGTGTTAATTTTTGAAGGACTATAGGAAAGTATGTATTAACATTAAGGCCATTGGATTTCCAAAATAAATTATCTAAAGACTAGGTCCTCAATATTAATAGCATGGAAATGTGTGTGTGTGTGTGTGTGTGTGCGCGCGCGCGTGCGCGCGTGCGCACGCCCGCGTGCTTATGGGTATGTGTGTGTGCGTGCATGTTTGCCCTGATATGAGAATTACTTACTGTATTATACAATAGTCATTGAATTTCTGAGTTTTCTTGGTGTAACAGAAAGATGATACAATAAGTTGTTTGGTTTTATTTCTATGTGTTGGGATTTGAATTCTAATTTTAGGGTAAAATTTCTGAATTTTTTCTAATCCATTATATTCAAGGGAAGGAGGACATATAAACTTCAGTATGTTATTTTGAATTGGCTCATATTCCATTTCTACTTTGTCTCCATTTCTAGAATGGTATCCATATGTAAAAGTATTTAATTTTTGGTATGGTTTACTTTCTCTTTAACACTCAGTTTAATTAACTGAGAACAAAATTCACCTTCTGTGCTGTGCAACTTCAGAGGTGCCAAAATAGCACCTTATATTAAAAAATATCTTGGAAATATTTTTGAGTGCTTTGAATAAAGTTTTTCCAGCAACATTGATTTATATTTTGTTCCTCAACTCATTATGCTACTTTACACCTGGGTTGTGTCTGCTATGGAAGGGCATCCTCCATCCTCCCTTTTCCAACTGGCCAACTCCTACTCATCCTCACACATCCATCCCAGGTGGCATGTCTTCCTGGAAAGCTTCACACACACCTCCAGATGGAGCCTAACACTCTCTTTCTTGCACCAGCTCAGCACCTTATTCATGCTTACATTTGGGCACTTTTCTTTTTTTTTTTTGAGACGGAGTCTCGCTCTGTCGCCCAGGCTGGAGTGCAGTGGCGGGATCTCGGCTCACTGCAAGCTCCGCCTCATTTGGGCACTTTTCATGCTTGTATTGCATCAGCCTAGACATTTGCCTTTTCTTTGGACTTTGAGCTCATGGACCTATGTCAAAGACCAGTATGTCTTATTCCTTTCCATGTGCGCAGTGCCTGCCAGAAAGTTGGAGTGATAAATTATGAGTTAAAGTTTACATTATCATTAGATTTAGGATAAATTTGAAGTTAATTCAACAGTTATTTAAGTTATTCTGTTATCTTTTGAATAACTTTTGAGAAAGTAAAAAATGGCCCTGGCAGCTGACAGGCCACATAATGTTCCCAACTGAACATAAATACCTCTTGCAGAATATAAATAATCAGACAAGCCTACTTCTTGAGTATGTCTGAAACAAGACTGAGAAAGGACCCTTTCCAACTACAAAAGTAATTAAACATCCCTCTCTTATGACTGACATGAATGATTGCTGCTTCTTTACCGATGATGACTCCAACTCAGCTTTAATCCTCTGCTTTCTAGATTAAATTTGCCAAGATAATCAGTGAATTGTCCCTACCTCCTGACAGCTCCCAGTCCAAACCTGGCCTTTAGTTTCTTAAACCTTTCTTGGAATCACCCAAAACAAACTGAAATAGTATCCTAAGTATCCACCAGTTTCTTAAAATTCTCCAGTTACTTTGGTGTACTCTTTCTTGCTGTCGTAAGTGAATGAAAGCTCAATTTATTTACTACAAGAGTGTTCCTGGTGGTCTTTGATTAGTGGGCACTAGAGTGAGTGTTGGAGTAATTTAAGAAAGAAACATTTATCTCAGTCTCTGCCCTTTGGATACTTAGAGTTTGCCTGGGGATTCTGGCCCTACTTGCTTTAAATAAACCTTTAAAGTGGCATTGTTTGCTGTCAAGACTAGAGTAGAGGAGAAGAGTGCAAGTCACAGCTAAGGAAAATATTCCTTAAGTATTGATAATTTCTAGTGTGGATCTCAAAGGGCTGGGGCATTCTGTGTGGGAAAGGCTGAGAGCTGGGGAGAATCATTATGTGTTACAGGAAGAGAGGAGACTATTTTTTGAAAGGGAAAGTATTTGAAGACTTGGTGGCCAATAAGGTTGGACAGGTAGAGGAGATCGGTGACAGCCGGTGACCTTGTGAGAACTCATCTACAGACAGTGAAAATCCCGGGGTTCGGGGTGGACACAGGAGATAATTAGTAGGAAGGGGTTAAAATACTGAAAGATGAGTATAGTAGGTCGTATTTGATGACAGGAGGATCAGAGAGTCTTTTTTGAAAGATGAGTCAGCAGGACATGGTAACTTGATAAGAGCAAGGAATTGGGTGGTGGGCTGCTGTAGCAGATGCTTTTGATATGGTCTTGGCCCACCTGTGAGTTCACCCACAGTGGACATCTCCCATGCATGCCAACAGCTTTCCATCTCAAGGGCCTGATCTGTGCTTCTCTACCGGAGCACATTGTCAGCCCTGTGGAAATTTACTCTTGCTGCAGAGCAGCCTCGAAGTATAACCTTTACTCAGTGAAGGGCTGGAGTCAGAACACAAATGCCCATTTTCCCCTTCTCTTCGTGGGACAATTCTGAAGCACATTATTTATGTCTTTTCAGAACATCCTAGGGACATTGACCCCCAGCAGGAATGTGGCATACCACCCCCTTCCATGGTTTTTCTCTCTCCCCAGTCAGGCTTTCCTCACTTCCTAACTTATGCTCCCTGGGATCACCTCCCCAGTTCACTATGCCAGACTAACCAACCCAAGTTCTTATCTCAAGGTGACTTTTGGGGGAACCCAAACTAAGATGGGTATCTTGGATAATTGGGTTAATTATTATGCCATGGAAAAATGGAATTGGGATTCTTTCCCAGGTTAATTAATGACTGCTGTCTAGTGAAAAAATGACTACAGTCATCTCAAGTGTATTTTATATATCAGTGCAGGAATATGGCAAAATGCTTTAGAATTCGTGGCTTGTTTTGAGGAAAAAAAATATGCTCCAAACCATCTGCAAAAGTATTACAGTGATCTCAAGTGGAACATAGGCACTTGAAGCAGTTTCCAGGCACATTAGATTGTTGTCAACAAGAAGAAAAATATATGCCATGGGGAGGAGCAAGAAGAAAGAGAGGGTCTAGAAATCCATGATTTTAGCAAGTCAGGAAAAATAATTTTCAGCACGTAAGCAGGGCAGGATCCCTGAGCTCCTTCACCTGGAAGTCATCCAGGTGGTTTAAGATTCTCAGGCTATTGGCAACTATGATGTGGCTCCTGCCAGGTTAAGGAGCATTGATGATTGATCACAAGGGAAAGGACCCAGCCATATGATTGTTTCTGTCAGCTTGTACTCTCCTGAAAGTCATGGTTAATGACTTGAGCCAAGTTAGGAAAAATATTTCCGTTACTAACAATATAGTTGTTAAGTATGCTCCATGGGGATTCTGAAATATTTACTTGACAGTAATGAGCTTTAGAATTTCATTCTTTTCCTATGATTCTTCATGATCACATTTGCATCCAGATCTTTGAACACTCAGCACTTGATGGAGTTTAATAGACTAATGGCAAGAAAATTGCTCATAAGTAAAGGAAGCAGTGAATCCATCCGGTTTCCATGAGCAGTCATACCTGAGTTCTTCAGCAATTGGAACAGATGCGTCACTGAAAAGATGCCTGCACTGGGGTGGTCCTATCCATTACATTCTCTTAGGAAATGAAGCCCTGGCTTTCCTTAGCCCTGTGATCTATTTTGAACCTTATTCTAGCGGAGAAGGAATAGTGTTTATTGATTTTTTTTCTCCTGTTGTCTATTATTTAGAGATTCTTAATTCTACTAAAATAAGTTGGGAGAACACATATTGTTTGTTTAGTATTTAATAAATTTTGGAGAATCCATATAATCACTTTACAGTATTCTCATCAATCACATGAATTAAGTAATAAAATAATAAAACATTTGAATTCTTAGGAACATGTATTTTTTAATCAGAAAATATTCACCTCCGTGGTTAGCAAACCTCATATACAGGAAAATAAAATTAGGCCATGATCACGTTAGTTATCTCTGAGAGAGCACTTTTAGAAATAATAATCTAGAGGACAATGATCAGAAAAGGAAGAAGTAGCAACTAATACTTAAGGATACCTACCTATGAAAGAAGATGGTAATAGATAGGGTAGTTTCTTGGTGCATCAGTGGGTTGAGGTGAAATAAGTTTATTTTATAGTTTTGTTTTTGTTTCCTTTAAGAATAAAGGAAGCTTATTTGAGTGAGCTTCTAGACTGAGGAAGTGTAGATTGACAATAGAGGAAATTAGAGGGTGGTGTTTAACCTGGAGCGACCCCTTGCAGGGGTAGATTTAAGGTAACAGGTGTTAAGGCTGTGGTTAACTAGTTTTGGGCTTGTTCACCTCACTTTGTGAATTCTTCCACTGACACTTTGCTCATTTTATTGAAATAACTGATTTCAATTTCTGGTTTCTAGTCTTCAGTTCTGCTAGGTATGGTCTCAGACTTAATGATGAAAACTGTTGATTCTGCCAGACACATGCCCAATAAAATGCTTAGCTTTTAGCAGATCCTCAATAAATATTTATTAAAACTAATTTGAACATATTTTCCTGAGTTTGGGAAGAAGGGAGTGAGACAAATAAAAATTATAATGTATTTGATGTAAACTGGAGAAAATTCAGTGTAAATTCCCTCTACTTTCCTCAGTCTGTTTGGAGATAAAGTCATCTCCTGGGAGAATAAGGGGATGGATTAGAGACTCGAAGACACTGGGGAGTGTTCAGAACAGCTGCTTATGGAAAATGCATGGAAAAAAATTAAAAACTTGCCAAGATGAACTGAATATCCAGCTGAGGCTGCATGGTATGAACTTGTTGAGTTTCTTAGGATAGTTCTATGCCTTTTTCTAGTTCTTTGGTCACTCAAAAGTGGAGAAAGCAGAGAGGGGTTATCTTTGGTGAGACGGGTATGGCAGAAAGCCTGAGGACTGGGGATTTTGGAGTGTTTGATAAAAAGATGAAATGTTCAGCTGAAGGTTGTGATGGCACAGAGAGAATTTCAAGCCAGCAGGAAGGCTAGAGAGGGCAGGGGCTGGAGTCATAATAAGCTAGAAAACTTATTATGTGTTCTCTAGCTTGTTGCCTGTGGGGTTGAGGACATTCAAGATTGTGTTGGTAGGAGGCTGTAGCCACAGAAGGAATGATAGCTTAAAAATCTTAAGAGGTTGAGTGGTCTGGATTGTGATAAAGTGCAATTTACAGCTGGGCTTATGGGTTGCTAATGTGTAATTACTCTCACAATTTGGCAATTCTCAGCATCTTTAGGAGTGTTGTCTAGCAAAATTAAATTAGATTCTTTAAACAAGCAAAAAGAAACTTGTTAATGAATTACAACCAAGTAAGATGGAAACAGTTAGTGTCAACATGATGAGTTTGTGAGATTCTATGTGACTTTAAGACTTTGAGCAGCCAAGCTAATGTTCAGTTCAAAGTAATTGAATTTCATGTATGGAAGAATGCCTTATGAAACAGCCGATCAGTGCTTTTGCTAGCCAGTTTTGAAATGTTACATGTCCAAACACCTCATAACTTATGCATGTTCTCCAGTGAGAATTACATCATAGGTTGAAAGAAAATAAATGCATCCATGATTCTTAGATGTTACATAATCTAAGCACTTAATAACTTCCTAGTTACATAATCTGTAGTTATTATATAATCTCATGGCTCTTTACAAAGGGGGAAATCAAACTATTCTCAGAGAAATTCAATTGGATGATTGGATGAAAGAACTCTGTGTCTGTGTGTGTGTGTATATGTGTGTATGTGTGTGTGTGTGTAATTTTGCACATATACAAATACTTAAGTGCTGGTTAGAATTGATCTGACCCTCTCCCTGACTGCTTTTCCCAGCCCACTCCAATGAACAACTGGGTCATCTTTCAGCTCCAGAACATTAAAAGTTGTGACCTGTGCCATCCCAGGACTATGTACAGGATTCCTTGGAGTCATAAGGAATGTTCTTCATTCTTCCAGCCATTTCACTCTGTTCCTGGCTTTTGGCTCTGCCCCAGTAGTTATGCTTAGCCCTACTTGCCCTGTCAGCAGCTCCTGAACCAGTTGCAGGTTCAGTTGGTGACTTCAAGATGGGGACACTGGCTTACAGACTGGCAGTCACCAGAACACATCTGTCCAGAGCCCCGGTTGCCCCGGTCCTGTTGAAACAGGCGCTGCACCTTCAGGTCTCTATTTTCCTTGCACCTCCGATTACTCATCATGGTGGAGTCTGGGTAAGAAGGAAGTTGAAGAGATGAAAGCAGATAGAGTTCCTGAGGATCTCATTGCCAGTCGTGGCTGTCTATTCCCTCCCTTGGCAGCCCAGTGTCTCATTTGAGGTTAGACACCTGTCTGGTGCAGATGTAAACTGATATACCTACCTCCCCATTTGCAGCAGGAATCTGGAGTCTCCTATGGCAATTTTGTGGGGGTTGATTTTGGGAGACTTTTATCTAGACATTTCTGCCTTGTTTAACGTGTGGCTTACTTTCCTGTTCTGTGCATGTTATTATGTATTACTGGCATAATAACATGCACAGAATGCATGTTATTTCCTTTTGGAGCACATTGTTGCAAATATCGATCATGCAAGACATGTACATTTGTGGCAGACTCTTAAATGTGTAAGGATGCAGTGAGGTTTTACTTAGCCTGATCGTTCCATCTGTGACTTCCACTTCCTTGCCGTCCCTGCCCTACTACAATTCCCAACTGCAGACTCTGCCCAGATGTAATTCAGCAAACATTTTAAAATACCAAATTTTCTCTCTACCTCTGTCTTGACTGTGGTCCTCATTGTGCTTCTTTCAAGTATGGATCATCTAGTCTCCATCCTTGTTTGTGAAGTTGTCCTGTCCTTCACATATTTTTAAGAGGGGAGAGGAGCAACGCGGAACTGTATTTCACCGCTAGAGTGAACATACCATATCAGAAGGCAGAAATGTGTATTTTTGTAATTACACAGCATGTGTTTTTGTCTGTGGGTTTGCTTATTTTGCAAACAAATCCACATGGTTTACTTGCTAGTCTTCTTGAATTTTTCAGATGGTGAGCCTGTGGATCCTCATCTCATCCAAGATGACTTCCTGGCCACCTCAGGCCATGTTAAACAACCTGGAATGCTAGTATTACTACCAGCAGTGTCTGAGGGAGACATCCCAGAGGCTGATGGTTTTCTAGAATCATGTTTTCAGGGAAAAGGGAATAATTTTTTTATGATGAAGTAAGTTCTTAAAAAATTGCCTTATTCTTTTGGTTAATGTTTCTTAACAGCTTTGTGGGGAATGGTTGCACACTTTATAAAGTTTCCTTTACAATTGGGGAACTTGGAGACCAACTTTAATGTTGATTGTTAAGGCTATTTCACTTATAAAATTTAGCTAGCTGTTAAAAAATTTCTCTGCTGTATTTCTTATATCCACAAGGGATTAGAATCTATTGCTTTTGCAATGTAATTTTAATTAGACTGCAAATTCAATCATCTGACTAACTCTTCCCTTGTCATTTAAAATTGTTTGCAAGCTTGAATGGGAAAAGTTAAAAATGAGACCAGATAAGCATGTGCATTTTCATTCAGATAAGACTACCCACAATGGATTTAATCATTTAACCAGTTTTAATAATAATAATAATAGTGAAAATTACATAATTTATTGAACACTCACCTAGTCAGCTGTTGGATTTTACATGTCTTATAATTTATCTCATTCTTCTGAATAGCTATTCAATGAGATGAGCATCGCATCTCAAAGTCGAGAACAGGCTTAGAGAAGTTAAAGGAACTTCATATGTTTCCATTAACTTGTAGGTTCTTTGGCTGGGATTTGCACCTACAGTTCATCCATCTGGGCAACCCATCATCTTCACAGTGCTTAGAGCTTCTAGAATAGGACCCTGGCACTGCCGTTGTATACTCAAGTATCACATGTATATTTTTAAGCACTTTAATTGTTAAGTCTTTCTGATTTCAACAGGTAATGTTGCTATTATATGTCATGCACAAATAGGAGACAGCTGTTAGGCCTCCATCCATCCTGTGTCTGTTACTTACATACTGAAAAGAAATCAGCTGGTTGTGTTTTATTTGGGAGTGACTGGAATTGATCTGTGCCCATTTTTGTGTGTGATCATCTTAAAAATATATCTGTTACTATGGAATGTTCTGCAGTCACTTCTTAAGGTTGAATACACAGTTGATGGGAAATATCTTTTAATCTACATACAAAGGAGGAAGTTTACCACAGTGAAATTCAGACGTATAGACTGTTGTTGTACAAAATGGAACTTTTTCCTCCTAGAATTTGGCAGACTTTTGAGTCCAGGAGGAGGAGGGGTATATAGGTGGATGGAAGATTGAGGAAACATGAAGTTGCTTTAGAAATGTAAGGAGTTGATTAAAAAGTAAGTATAGATGCTTATTTTACAGAGCTTTGTAACTTTGTCTCACTAATGTTAACATTGGCCTTTAAAAAATGATAGAATTTAGTGTTGCTCTTTTCTTTACAAAGAAAACTATACCATAGAAAATGGAATTTTCTAGGGGACAGTAAGAAAATAATATATATATGATTTAAATTCTTTATTTTATTCATTTAATTCTCTTTGAGAAAACTTAGTGCATATGTATCCAAAGTCTGTAACCAGATTGTTAAGTTAAAAAATGGTTTTCAGGCTGCGCACAATGGCTCATGCCTATAGTCCCAGTACTTTGGGAGGCTGAGGTGGGCAGATCACTTGAGCCCAGGAGTTCGAGACCAGCCTGTGTACCATGGTGCAACCCCATTTCTACTAAAAATATAGAAATTAGCAGAGTGTGGTAGTGTGTGCCTGCAGTCCCAGCTACTTGGGAGGCTGAGGCAGGGGAATCACTTAAGCTCGGGAGACTGAGGCTACAGTGAGCCAAGATCATGCCACTGTTCTCCAGCCTGGGTAACAGAGCAAGATGCTGTCTCAACAACAAAAAAAAGGTGGGGTGGGGTGGGGGCGGTTCATACTTAAGAATTACAAAAGGATTTCTGGCAAAGTTGTACTAAAAAATAGATTTCTTTTTGTATTGAAAATATAATCTTTAGAAACTGGATTTATATTCCTTTAGCAGCAAACCTGATTAATGTCAGTTAATAGCTTCTTCTTAATCAAGTACAGACATACCTTGGAGACACTGCAGGTTTAGTTCCAGACTACCTCAATAAAGCAAATACCTCATTAAAGTGAGTCACACACATTTTTAGTTTACCAATGCATATAAAAGATATGTTTACATTACATGGTAGTTGATTAAGTGTGCAATAGCATTGTGTCTTTAAAAAATGTACATACTTTAATTAAAAAACCTTTTTTGCTAAAAAATGCTAGTGATCATCTGAGCTTTCAGTGAGTCTTAATCTTTTTGCTGGTGGAGGGTCTTACCTCAGTGTTGATGGCTACTGATTGATCAGAATGATGGTTGCTGAAGGTTAGGATGGCTGTGGCAATTTCTTACGAAAGTCAACAATGAAGTTTGCCCCATCAATGGACTCTTCCTTCCATGAAAGATTTCTCTGTAGCATGTGATGCTGTCTAATAGCATTTTATTCAGAGTAGAACTTCTTTTACAATTGTCATCAATCCTCTGAAACTCTGCCACTGCTTTATCAACTAAGTTTATATAGTATTATACATTTTTGGTTTTCATTTCAACAATCTTTGTAGCATCTTCATCAGAAGACAAAGAACCCATGTTCTTTGCTTATCCATTAGAAGCAATGTCTCATCCACTCAAGTTTTATCCTGAGATTGCAGAAATTCATTTATATCTTTAGGCTTAACTTCTAATTACAGTTCTCTTGCTGTTTTCACCACCACTGCAGCTACTCTCTTTACTGAAGTCTTGAACCCCCTCAAAGTCATCCATGAGAGTTGAAATCAACTTCTTCCAAACTCCCGTTATAATTGCTATTTTGACCTCCTCCTATGAATCATGAATGATACATAGAATAATACATCCTTTCCAGAGGTTTTCAATTTACTTTGCCGCAATCCATCAGAGGAATAACTGTGTCAGCTATAGTCTTACAAAATGTATTTCTTAAATAATAATAATAATAATACTTGAAAGTCATAATTACTCCTCTATCCATGGGGTACAGAAGGAATATTGTGTTAGCAGGCGTAAAAACATTAATCTTTTTGTACATCTTCATCAGACCTCTTTTGTGACCAGGTGCATTGTCAATGAGCAGTAATATTTTGTTTTTTATTTTAATATTAAAAAAAGGAATCTTTTTTTTCTGAGCAGTAAGTCTCAACAGTGGGCTTAAAATATTCAGCAAATCATACTGCAAACACATGTGCTGTCATCCAGACTTTGTTACATTTATAGAGAACAGGCAGAGTAGATTTAGCATAATTCTTGAGGATTCTGGGATTTTGGGAATGGTAAATGATCATTGGCTTCGACTTGTAGTCACCAGCTGCATTATCCCCTGTCAAGAGCATCAGTCTGTCTTTGAAAGCTTTGAAGGCAGACACTGACTTCTCCTTTCTAGCTAGGAAAGTTCTAGATGACACCTTTTTTTCCAACAGAAGGCTGTTTTGTCTACGTTGAAAATTTGTTGTTCAGTGTAGTCACCTTCATCAATTTTCATAGCTAGATCTTCTGGATAACTTGCTACAGCTTCTACATCAGCACTTGCTGCTTCACCTTGCATTTTAAAATTATGGAGATGGCATCTTTTCTTAAACTTTATGAACCTGTCAGTCTTAGCCTCCAACTTTTCTTCTTTAGCTTCCTTACCTCTCTCAGCCTTTAGAAAATTGAAGAGAGTTAGGGCTTTGCTCTGGATTAGGCTTTGTTGTGGCTTCTTACATTTTCTATTCAGATCACTAAAACTTTCTTCATATCAGCAATAAGGCTTGTGTTTGTTCCCACACAGCTTTAAAGAAATACCTGAGACTGGGTAATTTATAAAGAAAAGAGGTTTAATTGGCTCATGATTCCACAGGTTTTACAGAAGGTATGGTGGCATCTCCTTCTGGGGAGGCCTCAGGGAGCTTTTACTCATGGTGAAGGCCAAGTGGTAGCAGCCATCTTACATGACAGAAGCAGGATGAAGAGAGTGAAAGAGGCAGAGGTGCTACACACTTTTAAACAACCACATCTCGCAAGAATTCACTCACTATTGTGACGACAGTACCAAGGGGGACGCTGTTAAATCATCCATGAAGAATCCACCCAATGGTCCAGTTGCCTCCCACCAGGCCCCACCTCCAACATTGGAGATTACAATTCAACATGAGGTTTTGTGAGGACACAGATTTAAACCATATCTTTCTCCCCTGACCCCACAGATCTCATATCCTTCTCACATTGCAAAATACAATCATGCCTTCCCAACAGTCCCCCAAGTCTTAACTCATTCAGCATTAACTAAGATGTCCAAAGTCTCAGGTCTCATTTGAGACAAGGCAAGTCCCTTCTGCCCATGAGCCTGTAAAATCAAAAACAAGTTAGTTACTTCCAAGATACAATGAAGGTATAGGCATTAGGTAAAATACTCCAGTTCCAAAAGGTAGAAAACAGCAAAAAAGGGGGTTACAGGCACTATGCAAGTCAGAAACCCAGCAGGACAGTCATTAAATCTTAAAGCTCCAAACAAAATAATCTCCTTTGACTTCATGTCCCACATCCAGGGCACACTGGCATGAGAGGTGAGCTCCCAAGGTCTTGGGGAGCTCTACTCCTGTGGCCTTGTGGGGTTTAGCCCCTGTGGCTACTGTCATGGGCTGGCATTGAGTGCCTGTGGCTTTTCCAGTGCAGGGTGCAAGTTGCCAGTGGTTTACCCTTCCAAGGTTTGGAGGACAGTGGCCTTCTACTCACAGCTCCACTAGGCAGTGCCCCAGTTGGGACTCTGTGTGGGAGCCCCAACCCCACATTTCTCCTCCACACTACCCTATTAGAGGTTCTCAGTGAGGGCTCTGCCCCTGTAGCAGGCTTCTGCTTGGACATCTAGGCTTTTTCATATATCCTCTAAAATCTAGGCAGAGGCTCCCAAGCCTCAGTCTTTCTTTCTGTGTCCCTGTGATCTTAACACAGTGTAGAAACCACCAATGCTTCTAGCCTGCACCTTCTGAAGCAGAGTCCTGAGTGGTACCTTTGCTCTTTTGAGTCAGGGCTGCAGCTGGGGCAACAGGGATACTGGGAGCAGTGTTCTAAGGCTGTGCGGGGTTGCAGGGCCCTTGGCCTGGCCCAGGAAACCATTCAGCCCCCCTAGGCCTCCCTGCCTATGATGGGAGATTATGCAAATTCCTGCAGCCTGCTTGAATTCCTCCTTTGAAAATGGGCTTTTCTTTTCTAACACAGAAGCAGGCTGCAAATTTTTCCAAACTTTTATGTTGTGCTTCCCTTTTAAATAAGAGTACCAGTTTCAGATAACATCTTTGCTCATGCATATGAGCATATGTTATTAGAAGCAGTCAGGCTATATACTTGAATGTTTTGCTGCTTAGAAACTTTTTTTACCAGATACTCTAAATCATCTCTCACAAGTTTAAAGTTCCACAGATCCCTAGAGCAGGAGAACAACCAGGCAAGCTTTTTGCTAAAGCATAACAAAAGTGACTGCTGGAGTTCCCAAAAAGTTCCTCATCTCCGTCTGAGACCTCCTCAGCCCGGACTTCACTGTCTATGTCACTACCAGCGTTTTAGTTACAACCACTCAATAAGTCTCTAGGAAGTTCCAAACTTCCCTTCATCTTCCCCCTCATCTTCCTGTCTTCTTCTGAGCCCCCCATACTCTTTGAACCTCTTCCTATTACCCAGTTCCAATGTTGCTTCCACATTTTCAGGTATCTTTGTATTAATACCCCACTCCTGGTAGCAGTTTTCTGTATTAGTCTGTTCTTGCACTGTTATAATAAAAAAATACATGAAACTGAGTAATTATTAAAGAAAAGAGGCTTAATTGTCTTGTGGTTGACAGGCTGTGTAGGAAGCTTGGCAGCATCTGCCTCTGGGGAGGCCTCAGGAAGCTTGTACTCATGGCGGAAGGCAAAGTGGGAGCAGGTGTCTTACATGGGAGGAGCAGGACAAGGGGAGAGAGAGAGAGAGAGAGAGAGAGGGAGGGAGTGGGGGAGAGATGCTACACACTTTTAAACAATCAGATCTCTCAAAAACTCACTCATTGTTGTCATGACAGTACCAAGAGGGATGGTGTTAAACCGTTCATGAAGGATCCACCTGAATGATCCAATCACCTCCCACCAGGCCTTACCTCCAACATTGGAGATTACAATTCAAAATGAGATTTTGTGGGAACACAGATCCAAATCATATCAAGGCTATTTCTCTTTCTTATCATTTGTGCGTTCACTGGAGTGGCACTTTTCATTTCCTTCAAGAACTTTTCATTTGCATTCATAACTTGGCCAACTGTTTGGTTTAAGAGGCTTAGCTTTTGGCCTGTTTTGGCTTTCAACATGCCTTGTTTACTAAGCTTAATCATTTCTAGCTTTTCATTTAATGTGAGAGGTGTGTGAATCTTCCTTCTGCTTGAACATTTAGAAGCCATTGTAGGGTTATTAATTGTCCTAATTTTAGTATTGTTCTTTCTTAGGGAATAAGGAGGCCCAAGGCGGCGGGTGGGGATGGGGAGAGAGAGAGAGAGAGAGAAAGAAGGAGAAGAGAGGAAAGAGAGAGGAGAAGAGGAGAGAGAGAGAGAAAGAAGAGGAAGAGGAGTGTATGTGTGTGTGTGTGTGTGTGTGTATGTATATATATATATATATATATATATATATATATATATATATATATATATATATATATATATACTGGTCAGTGGAGCAATCAGAACACATACATCATTTGTCAGTTAAGTTTGCCTTCTCAGCCAGGCACATTGGCTCACACCTGTAATCCCAGAACTCTGGGAGGCTGAGGCAGGAGGATTCTTTGAGCCCAGGAGTTTGAGACCAGCCTGGGCAACATGGTGAAACCCTGTCTCTACAAAAAATATGAAAATTAGCCGTGTGTAGTGATGCACATCTGTAGTCCCAACTACTTGGGAGCCTGAGGTGGGAGGATTGCTTGAGCCCAGGAGGTCGAGGCTGCAGTGAGCTGTATTTTGCACCACTGCATTCCAGCCTGTGCAACAGAGTGAGACCTTGCCTCACACACACACACAAAATTGCTGTCTTATGTGGTTTGGTTTGTGATGCTCCGAAACAATTTACAATAGTAACATCTTCTGATCACAGATCACCATAACAAATATAATAATAATGGAAAAGTTTGAAATATTGCAGGAATTACCAAAACATGACACAGAAACACAAAGTGAGCACATTGCTTTTGGAAAAATGGCACTGACAGACTTGCTTGATGCACGATTTCCACAAACCTTAAATTTGTTTAAAAAAAAAGCCCCCAAACAAAAAATACAGTATCTATAAAGCATAATAAAGCAAAGCACAATAAAATGAGGTATGCTTGTAATATTTATCACTGTTACTGTGTAGGGAGATTAAACATGATTGTAGCTAATAAAACATGATTTTGTAAACACCTGTAACTCTAATTTCCATGAATCTCTAAAAATAGAACTTTGTGAAACAATCACTAGCCCTTGAGGCAATACCTAGTGCATAGTAGGTGTTCAAAACTTTTTGTGAGTGAGTGAATGAATAATGAATGGAAGCGTTTGTGATTATGTGAGCTTTAACATGTCCTTTCACTGCCAATGCAATTTCTTGTGATTCTAATCTGTAAAAAAAGTATTCCTCTCTTACTATTCCCTGTTGCCTTACTTGGGTATACTTAGCTTTATGCTCAGAGAACACACTTGCTTAAAACTAGAGTAATAATCACAGGTACAATGTCCCCAATACATTTCTGTGGAAATTTTTGTAATCTGGGTTGCATTGGTAGTAACCAAGTTTCATCTAGGGTAGCTACAGCACCTCAGATACTCTCCTTCACCAGTGCCATCTGCTCAAGCCTGTTTCTATGGTTTGCTGTTGATGCAGCTGTTGGAGCTACTCTCTTGGTCACTTGCTTACCCGGCTTCTGAGATTCCTCTAAAAATCAATCACATGGCTAATTGGCTGCTGCTGTTGATCAGGGCCAGTTGGCCTAGCATCATAAATGCATTGCTGGTTGGCATTGATAGTCTTGGAAGTGGTTTTCTTTCTGATATAAGTCTCTTTCACTCTAGTATAGGATAGTAGTTAGGAGCATGGTGTCTTGATGCAGAACTATGAATGTTGTCCTGGGTCAGCCAGTTACTAGTTGTAATTTGAAATTATGGGCAAGTTATTGTACCTCACTGTAAACATCTCAGATTTCTAATCTGTTAAATGGAAAGACAAGTAGTAGCCACCTCTTAAGGGATTTGTATTGATCTCTGCCCTAGGTAGTGTAACATACACTTCCATCTGTGGGAAAAGTCTGTGACTGTTGTCACTAACCTGCACAGGGATCTGGGCAAAAATGAGGAAGACTTTAACACAAAGCTGGGACTGTGTTTAAGATCTGCCACCCTGCCTCTGATTATCTTCACCTAGTGGAGGGTGAGCACCCCCTCTCTGTGACTTGCCGACTTGGCAAGGATTTTAGGTCACTGTTTCTACCCAGATGCCAGTATCCAATTAAACTCTTGAGAGTCTGTGATCATTATGATAAAAATGTTCATTCTGGAAAAGTTTGAAAATGCTTTCTGGTTAGAATGAGATTTTTGGCATGTTTTAATTGTGGTCTTTGGCTATAAATTCCTGAAATGCTGACATGGTTGAATTTATTTTTGCTTTAAACAAAATCGTTAACATTTCCAAGTGTCCATATGAGCTCGATAAATACTTTGCCTCTGCTTACTGCGTATGTGAACCGAGTGAAGAGGAGCCATCATGATGTGGGGAATCTTGAACATTTTTCTTCATTTAGCTTGATGGGGAAGTGAATTGAAAATACTTCTTTGTCAACATAATTTTGGGGTTTTGAAATTGTGTTTGGGTTTTCAGGAAATTGGTGGTAATCTTGTATTAGCTGAAAAAAAGTGAATTTTAAAATTCTCAGTGAAGAAGCAAATGATTTATTTTTCATAGAAGAAGCTGCTTTTTTCAAGGGAATTTGCTGCCAAGCTGTCTGCAGTGGCTTCAGACATTACTTGACCTTTTGGCATATCAAGAAATTGTGGTTTTTTGGTCTAAATATTAAATACCTATTTTAGGAAGGCTGGGTACTCTATGGTATATAGTGCAAGAGCAGCAGAAAGAGTCAGCCTTGTGCATTTCCACATCTGCAAGCAAATTTGGTTTCTGTACTGTCCATCAAGCAGATCTTACAGAATGAATTTTCATCCCCTCACTAGTTGCCATGCAAATTCTATTAATAGTTCTCCAAGAAATAAATCACAGTGACCCTTCTGACAAAGGTAGACAGTGAAAAATAGTACAAGGATATAGTACATCCACCCTTAACCAGAAGCAAATTGTGTTTTCCCTTTTTATACTACAAAAAGAGAAAACAATTTACAAAAACAGTTTCTTCCACACATGTGTTATCTATGATGTGATAGACTGTTCTTTTCATAGCCCTTTTCTGTTTTGGTGACTGCAACGGGGTATTATTTGGAACATGTAGTCTTCTGTTTGGACACCATACTCGGGCTGTTTTTCTTCTCGCAGCCTGTGCTGCTGGAAATATTCCCCCGTCTCATAGCCATCATAAGTAAAGGACACCTTCCACTGCGACATGCTGCATGCTGTTAAAGCCCTTCGATGCCAGCCAAATGTTACACCGTGCCTTCCAGGATATCTTTAATTAAACCCTTATATATGCATTTATAACCATCTGATGAGGGGATTAATATTACTTGTGCTTAACAAATGTGTTAATTGAGAAAGGAAAAAGAATACAAAATAAACATTTTTAAGTACCTTCCCTATCGTAGTCACTGGGCTAAGTTCACAGCCACCTTGCCAGGCAGAAGTTACCATCCCCATTTATGATTGGGAACTGAAACTTGAGGCACTTTTGGGAAACTCTTCAACTGATTATTCGATCGTGTGAAACTGAAGCCCATGTGCAACATCAGCTGCCTCCCTGAGTTTCACAGTGAAATGTGAAATATTTAAGATCCTCAGTGAATATTGTTGAATGTGAAAGATATTTACTAAATTGTAATCAGTTTCTCAAACTATGTTCTTTATACTACAAGGTAACTGGATTAAAATGGACTTTCCATAGGTACCTCATTCTTAGCTCGACCCCAAATAAACTTGGGATCTCCTCCTAAAATTGTCCCCACTTCAGTGTTCCCATCTCACATGCTCCAGCCAGAATTGCAGGAGTTTCCCTTGAGCCCCATTTCCCTTTCTCTTTCCATGTTTTATCAGGCAAAAAAGTATCACGATTACCTACGAAGCATCACTGCCAATTGCAGGGGTGCCTGAGAGAGCAGCAGGACAGAGCCCAGTGCAGCCCCACAATTCAGACCTGACACCTGTGGAAGGAGATGTGTGTATTGGGGCAGGGGATGAAATGGAGCAAGATGGGGACAGGAGAGCTTCAGACTGTGATGCAGATCAGTTCTATGTGGTCAATAAGTAAATCTGCATATTATCATTATATTACAATACACTAGCCACTGGAGATGCAGTGGGATATACCACCTTATGTAATGATAATAAGGGACACCCAACAAATAGCTGATGACTCACTAAAATGAGCAGTACAAATTTTATTTTGTTTATCAAATGTTTCTTCTCTCAGAAAAAACAACATATGTAGAATTTTGTGATTAAATTTGATGCTTGTTTTAATTACTACCACATTTAATATAGTGTGCTGTTTTTCCTTGCACTTAGTCTTTTTGTGAAAAATCAAGTACCAAATATCTAAGGTGAGTCATCAGAGGTAAAAAGATTGGTCCTTCTGGAGTACTTGTGACCGACTCATTTCATGAGATTTAAGAAACACTGTAATGCCGTCTTTCCATTGGGTATCTCCATGATTTATTGATATGTTTTTAGAAAATGAAAACAAGTAAACAAATTTTAAAGTTATCCCCACTCTTATTGAAGAAAGTCTGTGTATAAAAATACATATGTATTTAAAAGTAGTTAAAGTCATTGTATGTTATCAAATTCTTGTATTACCAGAAGACTTACTAAAGAACAGTAGTCTTTGTGATTACCTAATACTGGATGGAGAGGTGAGCTGAGTAGTGCTAGGGGAATCTAAATCTAAATTATTTGTCGTATTCAGCCAGGATGAGAAACGTTGATTTGATTGAACAAATAAAGAAAATAGAACTAATTTTATTTTATTTTATTTTATTTTTTTGTCTGGGGCATAGAAATTTTATTTTCACAAAAGTATGCTTTATTACACTAGAATATTTAAAAATGAAATACTATATATGTCAACATTTGAAAAAAAATTTTTTTTGAGACAGTCATTTAATATCATCTTTATTTTGTACTTTCTGTGATTTTTTAAAATTATACTTTAAGTTTTAGGGTACATGTGTACAACGTGCAGGTTTGTTACATATATATACACATGTGCCATGTTGGTGTGCTGCACCCATTAACTCGTCATTTAACATTAGGTATATCTCCCAATGCTATCCCTCTCCCTTCCCCCCACCGCACAACAGTCCCTGGTGTGTGATATTCCCCTTCCTGTGTCCATGTGTTCTCATTGTTCAATCCCCACCTATGAGTGAGAACATGCGGTGTTTGGTTTTTTGTCCTTGCGATAGTTTGCTGAGAATGATGGTTTCCAGCTTCATCCATGTCCCTGCAAAGCACATGAACTCATCCTTCTTTATGGCTGCATAGTATTCCATGGTGTATATGTGCAACATTTTCTTAATTCAGTCTATCATTGATGGACATTTGGGTTGGTTCCAAGTCTTCGCTATTGTGAATAGTGCCACAATAAACATAGGTGTGCATGTGTCTTTATAGCAGCATGATTTATATTCCTTTGGGTATATACCCAGCAATGGGATGGCTGGGTCAAATGGTATTTCTAGTTCTAGATCCCTGAGGAATCGCCACACTGTCTTCCACAATGGTCGAACTAGTTTACAGTACCACCAATGGTGCTATTTCTCCACATCCTCCCCAGCACCTGTTGTTTCCTGACTTTTTAATGATCACCATTCTAACTGGTGTAAGGTGGTATCTCATTTTGGTTTTGATTTGCATTTCTCTGATGGACAGTGATGATGAGCATTTTTTCATGTGTCTTTTGGCTGCATAAATGTCTTCTTTTGAGAAGTGTCTGTTCATATCCTTCGCCCACTTGTTGGTGGGGTTGTTTGATTTTTTCTTGTAAATTGGTTTGAGTTCATTGTAGATTCTGGATATTAGCCCTTTGTCAGATGAGTAGATTGCGAAAATGTTCTCCCATTCTGTAGGTTGCCTGTTCACTCTGATGGTAGTTTCTTTTGCTGTGCAGAAGCTCTTTAGTTTAATTAGATCCCATTTGTCAATTTTGGCTTTTGTTGCCATTGCTTTTGGTGTTTTAGACATGAAGTCCTTGACCATGCCTGTGTCCTGAATGGTATTGCCTAGGTTTTCTTCTAGGGTTTTTATGGTTTTAGGTCTAACAATTAAGTCTTTAATCCATCTTGAATTGATTTTTGTATAAGATGTAAGGAAGGGATCCAGTTTCAGCTTTCTCCATAAGGCTAGCCAGTTTTCCCAGCACCATTTATTAAATAGGGAACCTTTCCCCATTTCTTGTTTTTGTCAGATTTGTCAAAGATCAGATAGTTGTAGATATGCGGCATTGTTTCTGAGGGCTCTGTTCTGTTCCATTGGTCTATATCTCTGTGTTGGTGCCAGTACCATGCTGTTTTGGTTACTGTAGCCTTGTAGTGTAGTTTGAAGCCAGGTAGCATGATGCCTCCAGCTTTGTTCTTTTGGCTTAGGATTGACTTGGCAATGCAGGCTCTTTTTTGGTTCCATATGAACTTTAAAGTAGTTTTTTCCAATTCTGTGAAGAAAGTCATTGGTAGCTTGATGGGGATGGCATTGAATCTATAAATTACCTGGGGCAGTATGGCCATTTTCACGATATTGATTCTTCCTACCCATGAGCATGGAATGTTCTTCCATTTGTTTGTATCCTCTTTGATTTCATTGAGCAGTGGTTTGTAGTTCTCCTTGAAGAGGTCCTTCACATCTCTTGTAAGTTGGATTCCTAGGTATTTTATTCTCTTTGAAGCAATTGTGAATGGGAGTTCACTCATGATTTGGCTCTCTGTCTGTTATTGGTGTATAAGAATGCTTGTGATTTTTGCACATTGATTTTGTATCCTGAGACTTTGCTGAATTTGCTTATCAGCTTAAGGAGATTTGGGGCTGAGACAGTGGGGTTTTCTAGATATATAATCATGTCATCTGCAAACAGGGACAATTTGACTTCCTCTTTTCCTAATTGAATACCCTTTATTTCCTTCTCTTGCCTAATTGCCCTGGCCAGAACTTCCAACACTATGTTGAATGGGAGTGGTGAGAGAGGGCATCCCTGTCTTGTGCCAGTTTTCAAAGGGAATGCTTCCAGTTTTCCATTCAATATGATATTGGCTGTGGGTTTGTCATAGATAGCTCTTATTATTTTGAGATGCGTCCCATCAATACCTAATTTATTGAGAGTTTTTATCATGAAGGGCTGTTGTATTTTGTCAAAGGCCTTTTCTGCGTCTATTGAGATAATCATATGGTTTTTGTCTTTGGTTCTGTTTATATGCTGGATTACATTTATTGATTTGTGTATGTTGAACCAGCCTTGCATCCCAGGGATGAAGCCAACTTGATCATGGTGGATAAGCTTTTTGATGTGCTGCTGTATTCGGTTTGCCAGTATTTTCTTGAGGATTTTTGCATCGATGGAGCTGATTTTATAAAACTTTAGTTTAATTTTTTTTTTACTTTCCTTCCAGATCTAATTTCTCTCCAACAATTCTTACATGGAAGTATAATATTTTTCTCCTCATTTGTTCTTGAGCTATTATAGATAAATTTTAACTGAACACTTTTGTTGTTAGAACCGATCTAACTTGGGTTTACTGTTTTGTCAAATTAAAAATCAAAATCTATATATAGATATATGTACACATATCCCTTCCTCTAGAAAATTGGTAGTTTTTCCCTCTGTTAGGAAATAAAAAATATTTTAATAATATCACTTATCAGTTTGGGAAATTAGTATATAAATCTTAGATGAATGGCTTATATCTCCACTGGTCAAAGAAGGTTGCCCCTTTGAATTTGACAGTTGGAACAAGTCTTTATTTACTCTATAGAGAAGTCATCTAATCTGTTTAGCTTTTTGGTAATAGACTTTAGCTTATAGAATATATACATGACCTTGTGGGTCAGATTGTCTGTATTTGAGTCCTTGCTTGATGATGTCTAGCTGGGTTTACTTAATCTTTTTGATCAGTTTCCTTATATGTAAAACAAGAATAATGGTTCCTACTTCATAGGATGGCTGTGGGATTTAAATGCAGGAACCTGCAGGAAGTGCCTGGAGTAGTCCTGGCACTAGGCTCCCAGGGAATGGTAGCTATTACTATGACCAGTGCATGGAAATAACGTGTGTTTTTATTTCCCAAATTCAAAGTTAATTTTTGAAATGAAGGTTTATTTCCCTGTTGAATTCTAAAAGATTTGCACATGTATAAAGAAAAGACGATTATAATTTAGAAATTATATTTTGGAAACTTATCAGAGTCTTAAGGTTTTGTGCTGTTCCCTGAAACTCCTTTGACATTTAAAAGTTGTCAAGACACCATCAGGTATTTCAAAATGAGATCAGCTCTGATTCATTTGGATAAATCAAATGATTTATAAAGTTTATTTGATTGTGTTGGGGCTTTTGTTTCCATATTTCCCTGGATCTTATTTGATGGGTGTATATATGTGTGTGTGTTTAGTCAAGAGTCATTATGGAGTGGCTTGGATTTGGGTGAAAAGAAAAAAAACCTCTTTGGAAATTAATAATTTCTACATCACTGTTTAAATCTTTTAACTCTTATTCCCAAGTTTTAACAGCTCCTTAGGACAGAGTTTAAAACAAAGTGTCATGGGAGTCCACATGAGGAGTGACTAACTCATTCTGGAAGACCTCCTAGAAGAAGTGACATTTGAGTTGGCCTTGAAGGATGAATTGTTCGCCAGATGGAGAAAGGGATGGGTGTGGGGTGGCTTTGGCCGACCAAAGGCGTGACACGTGAATGGTGTGGCTTTGGCAGACCAAAGGGGTGACACGTGAAAAGGCAGAGCTCTGAAAGCCCACATATTTCATTAACCGTGGGAAATTAGGTGCCTGGACTGTGAGAGATTACAATGTGAACGCTGTCCCTGGAACCGTGAAAGAGTGGTTTCAAATGGTGAGGAGCATGGTCAAGAGACTGGAAATGGATTTGGGACCAAATTGAGACGGGCCTGTGTCCTAAGGAATTTGTTCTTTACATAGAAGGCAGTGCTCACATTTGTATTTTAGATTTCTGGGTGGAGAATCACCTGAAGAGGGCAGACGAGTTGTTGGAAGGTGTTGACCGTAATACAGATGAGAGATGAACTGTTGTAATGGAAATGGCAACCCAAGGAGATTAGGAGCAAGATATTTAGGCAATAGAATTGATTTGCAGAAGGAGAAGGGATTTGAATTAATTTTTATGGATTATATATGATCAATGTGAGCTTTAACCTTGTAACAGCCCCATGAAAGAAGTTAGTATTTTGTGACTGATTTTTTCGGGGGAAGAAATATTAATACATTTCTCAAATAAGGATACTGTAGTCCAAGAAGTTTGGGAAACAGTAGATTAAACAGAGTGAGATCATTTTTGCTCTATTTATATTATTTCTCATAACCTTTAATTTGGCAATATGTTTGGCGAATTCCCAAGAGAGCAATATAGAATGACAGAAATACATCTCAAAAACTATTTGTTAGTTGAAGCTTACTTTTTTATTTTAAAAAATTTCTTATAAGACTCATGTTGAGAGAGGTCTTATATCTTTGCATTACAAACGGGAAACTGAGAATAAGATTGAGTATCTTGTCCAAGGATTGTGTACCTAGTAAGAATCCCTTTATATTTAAACCCATGCCTTTTATTTTTCATGATATTGTAGTTCTGTTGAAATTGTTGGATTTAGGGTTTGAGCCTAGGAGACGAGACGAGTCAAGACTGACTTAGAGGCTTTAGTTTGAGTGACCATGGCTGCTGGCACTTTGAACCAGCAATAGGAAACTTGAATACCGAAGCAGTTTTGGTTTTGTTTTGTACATGTAGGAATGGAATGGATAATCATTTAAGCCTTGGACTTGTTGGATTTAAGATACTTGGTGGAGATGCCTCGTAGGCAGTTGGAATATCAAAAAATGAAAGGTATACTTTTGGACTTGACACAACTATAACTTTTTCTGTTATAAAATTGGCCATTAAAGTTTGGATGTTCAATTTTATTATGACTTCATTTATAAGTTGATGTCTGAAACTGCCAAAGTAGGCAGTTTGAAAACTTGTTTTTTTCCTAAGTGCAAGTATTACTTCACACCCAAGTGTCATGTTTCATTTTACTTGTGTATGTTTTGTCAGAAAGCTGTCTGAAGAAGTCTTTAAAGGGAAAATATTTCTACTCATTTTCTTTTCAGAGAAGTATACTGTCTAGCTCTTACGGCATATTTTAAGGATTTCTTGACATTAACAACTGTCCATGTGAATGAATTATTATATCTCAGTGGTATTCTCAAGAGTTAGTCACTTCTGCCATGAGGTCATGTGTATGCTTTAATTTTTTTTTTTTTTTTTTTTTTTTGAGATGGAATCTCACTCTGTTGCCCAGGCTGGAGTGCAGTGGCACAATCTCAGCTCACTGTAACCTCTTCCTCTTGGGGTCAAGCAGCTCTCCTGCCCCAGCCTCCCAAGTAGCTGGGATTACAGGTGCCCATCACCATGCCTGGGTAATTTTTGTATTTTTAGTAGAGATGGCGTTTCACCATATTGGCCAGTCTGGTCTTGAACTCCTGACCTCAAGTGATCTGCCCACCTCAGCCTCCCAAAGTGCTGGGATTACAGGAGTGAGCCACTGTTCCCAGCCAAAATTCTCTGGTCTAACTGTGTGTCAACAGCTTTGGCTTGATGTGCTTAAAGGTTTCTACTTTAATATTCTTAAATATTGATTGATTGAAGCTGATATTCCTTAATTTTCTACCATTCCATTATCATTATTGTCATTCAGGTTACTAGAGAACTAGCTATTAGATTCAGAGCCATTGCCCACACCTTAAATGATCAATAGTATCCTGGAGAAGTGATGCAGACACCTGAATACTTTGGTAGGCATGAAGTAAATGTCAAGCAATGTGAATAAAATAGTTAATGTAAATTCATAAGTCATTTTTGCCAGGTGGCAATTGAACCTGGTTTTATAGATTATTTACTCCTTGTAGGATGATGGCTCAAAAGGCATTCGGGTGGTGGTGGTTGTTCGGGAAAGTCAGATATTTAGCTTATTTACAGAATGACAAGCAGACATATTTGGCTGGAATGCAGAATTCATGGAATTGTATATTTGGACGTTGGCTTAAAATTAAGTGGCTTGGGGCCAAATTGTGGAGGACTTTGTGATATCTGATTTCTTAAGAAAATACTATCTCCAGGTCTCTCATCAATACCAGTCTGGCTGTCACTTTTCTGTGGACTAGTTTATCTTGTAGGCCAATGAAACTTGAGCTATAGAATGGCACACACATGCATCCAACAAAATGGGACCAGGGCCTCTTCCCCTCTCTCTAAATTTTTATTTCTCTACCACCATTTGCTGGGATTTTTTTTTTTTTTTGGATATTTTGATAGTGAGCTTTAGGTAAGTTTAAAGGAAAAGATGAAGTTAGTTGAATTTCCCTTAAAATACCAGCAGAAATAAAGCAAGGAGACAGCAGCTGTGAAAACATACACCAAACATCTCAGTTATGGTCTTATCATGCTAGCTTCAGTGCAGGCTCACAGTGTGTGCTTCTGTTTCCATGGTTACCTGCTAGGCAGCAGAATCCCCCAGGTTGGTATGCTATAGAGTCAGGATTTTTCATGGAAAGGAAATTCAAGTCTTTTCAGAGTGAAGTTAATAGTTTTCTTTTCTTTTTTTTTTTTTTTAAAGCAGATGGGTTATACATGTTTTAAAAATAAAAATGGTTACTGCAGGTTTGATTTCCAAACTGTAAGTGAAGCCAGACTTTAAGGCAGTGTTTTAATGGTTTGGAAATTCTAGTTTTCAAATGGTTTCTCCTAGATGGTTCCCGTGACAACACAACTTAAGCAGGTATCGAGTATCATCTTTGCTGTGAAATATTCATGCCACAAAAATTCCTTTCATTTTTAATTCCACGCTAATGAACTAAGGCAGAAGAAGTTAGCTTATTCAAGGACAAATGGACAAATATTTCAAAATCATTGTTGAGCTTAATAAAATTGCAATTCTAAGTGAGCTTTTAAAAAATTGAATGATGATATCATACTTTATTATATTCTTAAATTGATGTTTTGTTCCCTTGAAACAAGTATTATTTCAATTGCTACCTGGAAAAAATAGTATTGTTTTATGATAGAAAAATTTGAATTTCATAGTTGTAGCAGAAGATTGCTGTTTTAATAATGCCTGTTTTGTAGTGTAGTTAAAAAGCTCTCTCAGTGTTTTGGCATATATCTTTCCCCACTCAATTTTTCTTCCAAAGAAAAATTTTATTGTTAAGCTAATACTTGATAAAGCCATTCATTTGTTAAAAGATATGATTTTTTTTAAAAAAATAGCTTTCATGCATGCATTTTAAAACTTTGTTAAAAAATTAGAATGAGGTGCCATTTAAAGAATAAGCTTCTAATTCATTAATAAAAATTCATTAATATTTTTTAATTTTAAAAAGAATAATTTTTTCAAAAGTGACAATTATTCTTTATTTGTTGTTTAATATTTTATTTTATTAGCCATTGAAGAGGAAGCATAAAATCTTACATTCCATGATGAAACTTTTATGATTTGACATCTTTATCCTTATCTTGAGATTTGCTGATGAGACCCCCTTTATCAAATTCAGATGTCTCTCTCTGATATTCAGTACAATATCTGCCTCTGGACCAGGGTTCAAGGAAAAGGATGGATACAGGAGGTCATTGTGAAGATACTGGGTAATAGAGAACATCTGGAGGTGATCAGAGATAGCCTTATAGGAACTGAACCATAGAAAGGAAGTTCATTACAGCAAATGGATGAAGTTGATGGTCCAGAAGAAATGAGAAAGATTGACCCATGTTGAGAGTTCTTATAAGAGTGTTTTTATTTGGGCTACTTCTGCAGATTCAGTCAGGCCTTAAATTAGATTTTCTATCTCCTGTTATGACCCTGTTCTGCTACATTCACATTCTTGATTAAATGTTATAGTAAATAACTTTATTTCCTTTAACCACATGATGACTCTAATCTTCTAAAGACTTTCCATCACAAAACTTCAACTTTTAACCACAGGTTATGGCTGTCCATAAAGTATTTTTCAGTAATTTTCAGTCTTTCACATCATAAAGTCCTGGCTTAGGGGATTGGGCTCTGGAACTTGACTAACTGGGTTGAATGCTGGTTCCGCCACTTATTGGCTCTGTGACATTGGACAAGTTAATAACTTGTCACAGTATCTTCAACTGTGAGATGGGAATGATAATAATAATCCCTCACAGGATTATGCAGGAATTAATATATCAGAAATATCTAGTGTTAGTTTTCTATTGCTCTAACAACTGACCACAAACTTAGCTGGCTTAATACAGACACAAATTTATTATCCTATATTTTTGTAGGTCAGAATTCCAGCAGTCATATCACTGGGCTAAAGTCAACGTGAAAGCAGAACCATGTTCCCTTCTGGAGACTGAGAATTTGTTTCCTTGCCTTTCCAGCTCTAAGAGCCCCCCACCGCCCCCCCCCCACATTTTTTTCTGATGGCTCCATTCCTCTGTTTTCAAAGCCTTTTCTTCTGTAGTCACATCTCTCTCTGCTTCTTCTGCCTCCCTCTTCCACCTTTAAGGAGCCTTATGATTACATTAGGGCCACAGATAACAATTAGATAACTTTTTATTTTGAGATCAGCTAACTTTTTATTTTGAGATCAGCTGATTAGCAACCTTAATTACCTTTTGCCGTGTAGCCTAACACAGGATTTAAGGGTTAGGATGTGGAGATCTTTGGGGGATCATTGTTCTGTCTGATTTGTGTTTTTACCTCATGCTATCCTATTATAGGGTAGATATTTGTATATTTCTGCAATTCTAATATTCTATCTATTTTGGAGCATATATATTACCACAGGCAGATGAGAGAGGTTGAAGGAAGGGAGAAGTAGGAAGAATTATGTCCTGGTATTATTTTTTGCAGCCACAAAGAAGTAATTTATTTGTCATATTTTTGTAGCAATCCAAATTGGCCTTCCCATTTGGTTAGTGCCTCTGAAGTTTGCTAAAAGCAGTTATAACGATGTGGACAGAATTTAATCTACTTAGCTTTGAGACATCTTTTTCCTACTGAAACTTTATTTTGCTTACATCTATAAAGTATGGCCTAACTACATCAAATATTACAATTTAGGGTGAGCAAAGACTTAAAACAATGTATTAATATTTGTGAAGTGCCTCAGCATTTACAAATGTTTTCATAAAAATTATTTTATGTAGCCTGTCAGCATTTGGAGAACTAAAGCAGCTCAGCTCTTTCAGACAACAAGGTGTCTCTGAATATTTGCTCCCTCATTGCTTCTGCCAAAGAGGACAGGGGTAAGAAAAACACCTACCTTCTTCCTTAATTAAAATTTGGCAGTGGTATGATTGGTAAGAAGGGGGAAAATGATTGAGGAGGTGAGTTCTCAGTTTCATAGCTGAGCAAACTAAGGTGAGAAACACTAAGGCTGCTCATTGCTATGGCTGAGTTTCTATCCCAGACTGGTTACCTTTGTCCTTGGTGTGAATCAGTTTGCAGGAGTAGGCTAGGAGAGGCATTCTTTCCTTTTCCTAAAGCAGAGCATGAATACAGGTATTCATTAAGCCATTGTTTCCTAGCTGGGTGTTCATCTACTGGCATTGTCAATGATTGCATATAACAAAAAGGGAATGGAGAGAAAAATCTGTTCTGAGTTCACAAAACTCACTGAAGAAAAAATGTAAAGTCAGCTGATATGTCAACAGCAGGGAAATAATTCATTGTCTCTTAGAAAAGCGAATGCCAATAACAATAGCCATGATTCTGGCAACAGAGTAGTACTTCAGAGGGTCACTTTCAGCTCTTGGCTTTCTCCTTTCCCTCCATTTCCAAAGGACATTCTCCCCAGCAACAGAAACCAAGTGATTTATCATGGCTCATGTCAGCTGCTGAGGTTCACGGGACCACACAGAGTGGTTGGTCAGCCAGGTCTGTCTTTCCATGGCTGTTATTACAAAGGAAGTATTCTTTTATAAAAAGAGAAATATAAAGTGATATATTTGTTTGTTATTAAAGCCTTTTTGGATGCCTTAGAGAAGATTAGCTTCAGCTCCAGGGTGCCAGAGTAAACTTGCATTTGATAAAGCCATGGTCATTTCTACTGCTGTCTTTATTGCACCCAAATCTTACAAGGTAAAAGATGTGAAGAAGACAGCCTTTCCTTAATTGTCCATTTTGATTATATCTTTGTATTTAAAAAAATACAGAAATGAACTTTAAGACCAACTTAAATAAATAAGCAAATAAATGATGTAAGAGATAAGTATGCAGAAATAGTTATTCATTTCTTAGGGGTTTATACATTTTATTTATACCTATTATTATTTTTGATTGAAAAATTATCGTATACATTTATGGGGTACAATGTGATGATGTTTTGATATATGTATATGATGTGGAATGATTAAATCAAACTAACATGTCTATCACTTCATTTACCTATCATTTTTTATGGTGAGACATTTGAAATTTACTCTTTCAGTTATTTTAAAATATACATTATGGAGTATATACCTTAGATAACATAAACCTTTATATGCTCTTTCTAAAAATGGCTATTTGAAACCCTGTGTATAGCCTTTTGTCTGTATCTGTCAACTTAGTTTTTAAATATAAAACCAATAATAGTTGTTAGCTCTCTTGCTTTCATCAGGGATTGGCAAACCACATTTCACAGGCCAAATCTGGCCAGCTGCCTGTGTTTGTAAATAAAAAGTTTTATTGGAATACAGCCTCATCCATCATTTACATATGGTCTTTGTATGCTTTCGTGTTACGGAGGCAGAGTTGACTAGCTAAAGCCAAGTCCAAATGGCCTACAAAGCCTAAAATATTTACTATCTGGCCCTTGCAGAAAAAACTTTGACAGCTGCCAGACAGGTAAGTTACATTATATCATACTAGGTGATGTGGGTTCAAAAATTATTTAAGACTTAGTCTTTAATAGTTTATAACGTAGCTGGATAAAAGACATACCAAAGTTTAAGTGATAATACAAGTCAGTTTTAAATTTATGTTTTCATTGTCTCAAATCGAGTGACTTTTGAGAGTGTCCTATATGCCAGGCAGTGTTCTAGGGACTGGGATGTAGATGTAAAGAACACAGAATTTTTGCCTTCATGGAGCTTATAACCTGGTGGATCAGGCAGATAATAAAGAAAGAATATATAGTATAATGCTATACTATACATTCTTGATACATTGAGATTTAGCCCAGGTCACATTAATAGTCTTGTCTGCCTTTAGCAATAAATTGGTTACTTTTCCTAAATATCTTTTTCTCCAGTAAGATTCATATGAAAAAGTGGTGGGGGGTGGGGAGAATGAAAATACCTCAAACCAGTCATTGTTTCTCTAAGTTTGTACACGTGGTTCAGAATTCGATTTTTATCTTGACGTAGGGTGGAAAATATTATAAACCTGTTCTGGTATAGTAGAAGAATATTTGATTGGGAAACAGGAAACCTGTATCTTAGCCCTAGTTTAGTCTCTTCGGGCTGAGTGGGCTTGTAAAGATTCTTAACTTCTCTGGAGCATGTAGGGTATTGTACTCGGTCAGTATTTCTCAAACTCGAATGTTCGTCAGAATCACTTGGAGAGTTTCACATTTTTGAGCCCTACCCCCTGAGACTCTAACTAAGTGGGGCCTGAGAAATTTCATTTCCAGTGAGTTCCCAGGTGAGGCAGCTGCTGCTGCTGTTTTGGGAACCTGCTTAGAGAAGGATTGCACTCCATCATTGTGGAGGTCCTTCCAGTTTCTCCATTATTTTTAAACTCCCTGGAGAAGCTTTACAGCTCTTTGAGCTTGCCTAGGAAGATTCCACTAAATAATGGTTTGGTTAAGTTGTCTACTTAATACTCAGGGCTATTTGCTGAGGAAGAGATTTCAAAGACATAAGAGTTTTTAAACACTTGCTTATGGTCACATGGATTGATATTCATTTAATTGATATTATGTGGTTTCTTTGGGAAAATTAATGTTTGCTAATTCTAAGGGCAGAGACTATTGTTCATGATTTCTTCTTTGTATCCTGAGTCCATGGTATGCGTTAGATGCTCAATACTGATCTGTTTAATTGATCTAAACTTAGAGAAGCACAGAATACTTCTGAAGGTCATCTTCCTGAGTTCCTGTTGGGTTTCTGTTATGCTCTATTTAGAATTAAGAATCATGAACTCTACTGGCTGTCAAAACTATACGCATTATTGTATTTTTGCAATGTGTATTGGTATTATTTCTATAGAAATTCCAGTAAGAACTTCATATTGATATTCAGTCTGTCTCCTCCTTTGAGTCTGAATATACAGCAAAATAAGCAGAAACAAGACAAACAGTATAATAAATAAAAGTTATCCACATTTTCTGTTACATATAATGTATCCACTTAATTTCGTATAATTCAGATGTTTTTGTTCAAATGTGACTTTTACAGAGCATCTCTTAAAACTGTAATGTTATTAAAATAGGTTTAAAAAGTAGATACTCATTTCAACCTGTTTCTCAAATGCCCACTGTGGATCTACAAAGATGCATAAGATAAAATTTCTGCCATTAAGTGCCCTCCAGACCCTTAGTTGAATAAATCAAGGATTGAAGAAATGTCCAAGGAGCCAGGCACCCAGTGCTTCAAAGTTGGGATTTTTATGACTTTTTAAAATGTTGGCTCAAGTTAAAAATAATCAAAAATGAAAACAGTGTGGATCAACAAAACCTAGAGTTAGTTACCAGCTGAATTCTAACATCAAGCCTTCAGTTTATAAGTTTTGAAACATGGATGCACAGACATAATATTTGGGGATGTTTCATATGATCTGGAGTGAGAACAAATCTAAGTGCAGAGATTAGAAAAAGTTGCTTAGAGGACCTGGTGTTTGACATGGACTTTGAAGGATAAATAAAGACTCTAGAGCAAAATCTAGAGCAGTGTGAGGATAATGAGTCCTAGCAGAAACAGACCATGAGAAACTTCTAAGGCAAGTAGATGGAGTCAATGTTCAGGGCATTGTGAATAGTTTATTGCTCACAGCAGGAGTAGAAAAATGGTAGCGAGTGAGAGAGAAGACTGTTAAGTGTAGTTGGGATTCTACTGTGTGGACCCATGATGGCCAGTTGAAAGTTTTATACTCAGTGTGTTAGGCAACTTCAATCACCAGCCATAGACAAGCATTATTAATCTGGATTATATTTATACCCTATTTCATCAAATCTAAAATGCCATTGATTGTTAGAAACATATAACCACTAAGGAAGAAAAAAAATGCCACTGTTAAACTATGACAGAATGCTGTGTTGTCATTTGGAATTATTTTAAGTTCATAAGAACTCTAAGATTTGTTTTGACACAAGAAATAACGAACCTTTGTGTCCCAGTTTGTGCTTGCATATAGATCTATGTTATGACCGCTACCAGACCACTAGCTATTGCAGCTATCAGTTTGAAGATGCATCACCACTTCATAGAAGTTGAAAGGTGCATCCTACAGTCAATAAAATATGATAGGTGAAAAAGTCTACATGTTGGATATTATACATAATGGATTGAGTGGAAGATTTTTTAAACAAAATGCCTCCCATCTAGGTCATAATTACCATTATAATCCAGCTATTACCATTTTCAAGTGAAAAGCTTGTTAATTGTGACTTAATGTTCCAGAAATCGGAAACCTGCTTTTTAATTGGAAGCAGTCTTTACTCTCTTGAAGCCACGAATATTTTCTTACCTGAAGGGTGCTCATTGAAAACAGCTGATTCCTATTTCGTGTTTGTGTTCTTCCTTGGGAAAGTCTTTTGCATCCCAAGCTTTGTTTTTCTTTTTCTCTTTCTCTGTTAAAAAATGTTAAGATTTTATGAAACGGAAGAACAGCCCTAGGGAATAAACTCTTAATCACAGAGCTGATTGAGTGGGTTTGAAACAGAAGATGCACACACCCAAATCAATAGCCATAGAAGGATAGCAGTTCTGCAAGTCTCCAGTAACTATTCTTAATTCAGAAAAGCCAGGAAAGGTCACAGGCTCCAAATAAATAAGGTTGTTTTTCTTGCTCCTTTAGTGTTTTGTTTTTAAATCACCCATGCCTGTAACTTAACTGAAACGTTCCTTTTTATTTCTATACTACTAAAGTGATTCTAATATAAATGGTACAGTTGTTGAAACACTGATCACTGCCATTTCTTAAGGTTTTGATGTGGTGTTTCTGACTGGTGTCAGCCTACCATGCTATCCTTTTTGAGATGTTACTAATAAATATTTGTAATAAAATATAAATGTTAAAAACTATCAGCTGTTAATTTCCTTAAAACCTAATGAAGTCCTTTATTAATAATACCTGGGATATGTTTTGTATTTAGGAAGTAACGTGCCCAGTGGGAACTATTTCATTTGTTCTCTCTGTGTGTTAGGGATGTCTAACTTTATCTGTTGAGATGCAAAATATTTCACTGTTAAGCAGATAATATTACTGGAGAAGAATAATTTAACATCCAGGAAATGTTATAGCCCAAAATATAACTGTTTCTTACTGCTAGTCAAAATACATATTCTGCTTTTATATTTTAATTTTTTCTTTATTGAACCATTAAAAACTTCAAATTTTGTTTAGGAGAGACAAACTTTAATTTAACTTCTTTGTATTTTTAAAGTGCCTGAAGCATATATCCATTCACATGTAGGTTTGGAACCAAAAACCACAGGCTCAATATTTTTAGGGAATCTAATGCATTTGGAAATTGAGACTGTACATATAACATACCTATAGGGTGCATTTATTTTTTTCCAGAAAACCAAGTTTAATAATGTGTTAAGATGAAAACAAGCCTCCCTTTCTGTTATAACCTTCTCTACATTATACCTCACTATGATTTCACATGAGCTATTGAACTTCTACAGTTTTTCTTATTTTTAGACATAAAATTGGATGTTGTATGCATTTTTAAAATATCTCTTCAGCTAAGGAGAGAATGTGGAAAAAACAAAGAGCAAACCCACTTTGCTATAATTATATTGCTGAATCTAAAGGATTTTTCACTGGCACCGCAAAGTGTAAAAGAGCCTCACAGTGTGACATTTGTGCTGTTGTGGAGTTGACCTAAGTATATAAATCTAGGTTTTTGTCATCAGCGCGTATTGATGGCATTTTAAATATATTGGCATGCAGTTCTCTGATATTAGGCATGCCCAGGGATAGAGTTTGAGTATCTGCTTGCAAAACGTCTCAGTAGAAGGATCTAATTCTCTGGCACAATTGCAAGATTTGGGCCTTCCTGAACAATCCTACTGTCTGTCTGGGGCTGATTCTTCGGAATGCCATCAGAACCTGGGTTAGCAGCAGTTGAACCAGGGCTCAATAATGGGTGAAGAGAGAAAGAACAATTTTCTTTTAGCATCTTTATCCTACTTGGCTGCTAGGCTGCTGTCTTTCTTCTCATTTCTCTTCTTCCTGAATCTTCTTCTGATCCCATCTCCTTAGTTGAGTATCTTAGAGGCACCGTTGATTCTAGAAATAGTTTTGATTATTTTCAAGAGCACATCTGCCCTGAATGCTAAAGGACATTTCAAAACCATAGTGGTGGGCAATGTTTTGTTACTTTGGGTATACAGCATTTACTTTACCATGCACTTTCATTCGTGGCTGCAAAGAACAGAAAACCCAACCAGTAGTAGCTTCCAAGAGCAAAGGTGAATTTTCCCACTTAGCACAAAAGGTCTGGAGGTCAGCAGTGCAGGCTGGTTCCATTGACTGATGATGCAGGTGACCAGGGACCGAGGTGCCTGCTCTCTAGAGAGCTGTGCTGGCTTTCTTTATGCTTCCCATAAAGAAAATGTGGTCACAACTTTGTAGCTGCATCTGAGTAATCAGGAAAAAGTGGGGCGATTGAAGGGCTGCAGGGTGTTCCACTCTTCCTTCCTCTGCAAATGGGTATTTACACTGCCTCTGCTGGGCTCCCCAAAGCCTAGTGTCTCAAAGTCAACTTAATATTTTTCTATTTGATTTTACGTTGTTGTTGTTTTTGTTGTTGTTGTTGTTGAGATAGGGCATCCCTTTGTCACCCAGGCTGGAGTGCAGTGGCATGATCATGATCATAGTTTTCTGCAGACCCAATTTACCAGGCTTAAGCGGTTCCCCCACCTCAGCCTCCTGAGCAATTGGGACCCCAGGCACACACCATCAGGCCTGGCTGATTTTTTATTTTTGTTAGAGACAGAGTCTCGCTATGTTGTCCAGGCTTGTCTCAAACCTCCAGGGCTCAAGTGATCCTCCTGCCTTGGTCTCCCAAAGTGCTGGGATTACAGGTATAAGCCACCACGCCTGGTCAGTTTACCTTTCTTATGTAGACCTTTGATCCATCTGGAATATGTTTTTGTATATGATGAGAGGGATCCAATTTTTTTCCACAAGATGAGTCAGTTTTCCCAGCATCAGTTTCTAGATAATCTGTCCTTTCTCACAGGCTTATGATGCCACTTCTCTGCATCGGCCACACCTGCTTTCTTTATGATGCCACTTGTTAGCTAAGTTGGAAAACACACACACAGACACACACACACACACAGTCTCTTTTCTCTCTTTCTTTTTCTTCATCCCTCCTTTATATTTTTCTGGAATTTCTATTCTTTTCCATTTTTCTCTTACACTTTGTAATATACCTTGATATATGCTGGACAAAGGCCCTTTTTGCCTTGCCTTGCCATTTTTCCCTATTCCGTACTATATCATTTGTCCTGTTTCATTTTTCTTCCCCCCCTTTACTTTTCTTCTCTTTTTCTTCTTAAAATTGACAGTAGATGATATCTCTGCATACTCACCATATGATAGGACTTAATTTTTGTGTTTCTCTTTCATTGACCACCAACTGTAAAGCAAATTTTGAGGTATTAGGTGTATAAAAAGGCTACATTCAGCAATAACAGCCTAAAAACAGCATACTGTGTGTTTCTAAAAACTGTATGTTTTTGGCCACTACAGAAATTTTGGGTTTGTTTTGTTTTGCTTTGGTTTTGACTGCCAGATGGAGCAAAGTGTTCATGTACAGCTCAAACATAGCTCTGTATAATGTTGCCTTTTTTTACTCTTGTCTCCTTACAGTCATTATCTGACTAAAAGTAATTAGTGTGTTGGAAATTTAGAGTGAATAACTTTGAGAGGAAGCACTTATTTTCTTTTATTGCAAGTAAAAGATGTTTTTTGATTCAGTTGAATAGTACTTGAAAGACTGAACGAATGTAGCAAATTCTGTCAGCAAACTGGATAATCCAAAAGTTGAAAATGTGGGGGTCTGCAAAAATCAGTTACAGAAGATTAAAGTACCTTTGGTAGCACATTATTAAGAAAATCCACAGCTGTTTTAAAGTGGGTGTTTCCTCATGGAGAAAAGTCTAAAGTCTCTTGCAGTTACATTCTGATTTCTTCGTAGCTTGCCAAAGGTTGGCAACCTTTGCTCAGTACATGCCTCACACGGCAGGGAGCAGGAGTGTCTCATCATTTCTGGGGTGGGTGGTCTCCTTGGGGGAGCCCAGGGATGCCTTATGCATGGCTGAGAAATTTTCTTTCTGTGGCCCTCTGTACTGTATGGGCTTTAGGGACAAACTTGTGAGGGGGGGTGTGTATGTGTGTGTGTGTGTGTGTGTGTGTAAAACACTCTTCTTGAGCTCTGACTGCAAGAAGAAATGGTTTGAGAAGACAGAGGAAGGCTGAGAAAGGACTTTGAATGTGAAAATGCTATTCTTGTAGCATCCTTAATGCCATTGGTCCTTAGCTTTATAGATCAAGATTGCGAGTGAGCCCCTTATAGGTCTGGGGTTTATTGTTGCTAATACCAGATGAGTTACAGTATGTATTGCAGTCCTTGTATTTTAAGTTACATCTGGTTTCTCTTAAAGTTCCTTAGTAAACCAAAACTGTTGGTGAGTGGAAGCCTGATGCTGAAAATTTTGAAAAGCAACTGTGTCAGATCACAGGATTTTTCTTTGTTTTTTGTTTTCATAGAGTTGTTTTGGGCTTGGTGACTGTTTCATTTAAATCAAGTATAAATGCACAGAGGTAAACAGACACTCCTATTTAGTCTTAAGAACTTGGTTTGATTTGGAATTTTAACTGCCAGGGCCCACTGTTTAGTGTCTAGCCTGCTTTCTATTTCCTGCGCTATTGTTTTGCTTTTGGTCACCTTAGGGGAAAGGCTACAGCTTCCATGGTCCCAAAGTCAGTGGCGCTGTCAGATTATAAACTGAGAAGAGCTGATTCCTTGGTGGACAACCAGAGTTCTTCATGTGATTTTAGTTTACATTTAGTTGGATTTCACATTACAGTACATTTGGTGAATTATTTCCTGAATGAGACTGAGAAATCACTGGGCTCTGGCAACTCTGTACTGCTTCCTCTGCTTTAGGGATTTTCTGTCTGAAATCTTCAGAAAAAGTTGCAATAGAGTTCATGAAAACCCTCAGTTCTAAATGGACACATGAAGAAACACCTTAGGTTTGAAAGGGTGTTTTAAAATTACATTCCTGTCTTGTATTTTTTTTTCTCCTTTTTATTTTTTTTTTCTTTTTGGCCTAAGTTTCAATGACATTCTGGAAGATGAATTTCAGTTGGGTTTTGGGAAACTATTTCCAGCAGCGGTTGAGTCTGGATTTGATTCCACAGAGTTACAGCCGAGGCTTCTCTGCATTGGCCACACCTGCTTTCTTGAGCAACCTGAGAGACACTGCCTGTGGACATTTTCCACTACTTAGTGATTAGTCACCTCACAGTTCTGCTGTTTTTGCCGTGAGATAATTTCACTTTCTCCTTCTGCTCCTGCGTGTTCTATGTCTGTTTTCACCCATCTTTGCTTTTCCCATTTTCCTCTGGATTTATTTATTCTGTCCCTTACATTTCTTTATACATTTGCCTCTTCTTATCCTGGGAACCTCACACCTCTGCTTGTTCCATTTTCACTTGTTTCTGGATGTGTTGTATCTATTCCTTTGAAAAACGTTGCTCTTTTGTAACATGACCTGTCCCAGCATCATCAAGATAGAGACTTTTAAAAAATACTCCCTTTCGTATCTTAGAAGGCAATAGATCTTCTTTCCCAGCCAACCAGCTGGAAAGGCTTTTTTTTGCTTTTCCGTTTTTTGCATTTCCACGTAGACTGCGTTGCTCCTTGCTAGAGAAACCACAAGCATTCCTGTGTGAAATGAAACTCGCTGTTTTGTGATTTTGTGTGTGGGGGTGGAGAGGGGCATGGTAATATTTAGAGTCCCTGGCCTTTGCCTCCCAAAGGTTTGTCATTAACATTTTGTTGATTTTTAAGCTTGCTCTTATATTTAGGACCAGTTTACTGAGTTTACCTCCCATTCCCTTTCTAGCAGGACACCCAAGAGTCCTGTTTGCTCATTTCCTCTTGTCCTGGTCCCACCCTAAGGGTTTTCCATGGGCTCGCACTTCTCAAGGAGTTCTTGGGATCCAGGACCCTTTAGCAACTACTAGCCTTTTTTTTTTTTTTTTTTTTTTTTTTTTTTTTGCCAGAGTCTTCTCCTTAGCAACTGTAATGGCATATTAAGTTACCAGTTAATTCCTTTGTGAGGAAGCGTAGCAGTTTAATATCGAACAAAGGCATGTTTGAGCAAATATTGACAATTGAACACTTTAGCAACATTAAGATGCCTTTTATAATGGATCTGTCTTACAAAGAAAAGCGATAACTTTCTAGTCTCTTATGCTGTCCAAAACTCAGGGACTTCGTAGATTTAGATAACATGATTTCCTTGGTAGTTGGATTTCAGCAATATCATAGACTTTGATAGTGAAGCATGCTTGTATGCTATTTTCAAATAATTTTCATTGGTGCTAACATTTTTAAAAATTCAATTATTGTCTCACTGCTTTAATTTCTTAGTTACTCTAATAACAAAGCCCTTTTATTGTGCAGAGAAGTAACCGTATGTAATTTATAATACGGGATGCTGAACAGGACTTATCGTGTAACCCGCTACAAGACTTTAGAATATACAAGGACTGTATATAAAATAATGAGACCAAGTCTGTGGCTCAGGCATGAAATCAGCCACCTTGTTGAATGTTAAACTACTTTTATATAATGTTCTGTGGATTTGTATTTGTTCATGAGTATGTGAACATTTCTCCTCTATGAAATAAAGCTGTCAATGAGTTCTATGAAATCGTAACACATTTTCTATAGGACGAGTATTTGACGTTATGGTTAAATATAGTACCAATTTATCTACCCAACTATTATCATGTTTCTATGTTTCTACTGGAAAATGCACTCCTAATTGAGATGTCAGAGGTGAGAACTAAAGCCTCTGTGAGACTAGCATTTAAGAATGCAGAAGTAAATATCAGTGAGTCCATGCCAGAGTGGAGCTTATCAGTAAGTGATGTTATGGAGAGTATATATTCAGAGTCTCTGACTAAGGTTTCAGTTCCTTTAAGAGATTGAGTCCGTAAAAAGGGACAGGAAGGGCACAGGTCTTTTAATGCTGTACACCTATGTAATTTCACAAGAGCCAGGACCCCCCATCCAGGTCAGCCACTCTCAAGATATTCAAGACATAACTTCCTTCAGTGATTATTTGTATGTTTAGGTTGTTCTTGGGTAAACTGTGTTAGAACCAGAGATGCCATAAATATCAATGCAGTCTGTCCTTAAGCCTGTGGCTGCCAACTCAGATCAGCTGTGTACAGCTGACCTTTACATCAAAGGCTTCTCTTTTTGCTGCCACAGCAAAAGGTTTGAAGTTCTTGGCAGTCAGCAACACTGTGAAGAACACAAGGGGAAGATGCATTTCCTATCTCAGAAACAACCCATAGGAAGCAACCTTAGCAGTGGTGCTTGGTTTCCTAAGCCATTCTGCATAAGACATAACATACTGACACTTAACACATTTGCAGTATTTTTCCTTCTACTATCTTAAAAAAAAATATATGTAGTTTTAAAGTCATCCTATGAATGATTAGGCTTCTGTGAGCCAAACCTAGGTCAGTAGCCGTCATTAAAAATTTTTTTTGGTTGGAAAAATATGTTGTATATTTCACATAACCAGTTCATATAAACACTTACAGAATATAATCCATTCATAAGTTTGCGGTTCCCAAGTGTGTGTTTAGCATGTGCCATATATACTTATAGATTTGACATTATATAGGAGCCCCTCACTATAAGTGCCTAAAGGTTGCTAGATGATTACTAATGTATTCTTCCCCTACCAAATTGACAATTCTCTGCTACTGAATAAAAAATGGAACTTGTGATGTATCCTAGAACAGGCTATTAAATCACTGCCATGAGTATGACATTCACTAAGAAAGGAATTCCTGGCACATAGTTCATCTAGTTTTTCTCCTCTTCCCTATAAGGTCTGTGACAAAAAGGCAGTTCACTGTTCTTCTTGTCCCTGCCTGGTTACAAGGTTAGTTCTAATAACCAAACTGTGGGTCTAGATAGTAATTCTATTTCAACCCTGTAAATAATTACCCAAAGCTGCCAAGCTTAAGAAATGTTTTATCAGACATTTCTTCTCATCATCGGTAAGTCTAAGATAATGAAACAAATGGCACTAACTTTTTTTATTTTTTACTTGTGAAACATTTCTGTTTTGGGGAATAAAAGAGCAAGAGATTTTTAAAGCTCTGTTAAGTTCTGTAAAGTCTGATCAGAAAATGGAATTAAAATTAATAAAAACTGAGCTTTTGTTCTAATAAGATTTTTTTTAAGCTGGCCACTTGCTTAAGTCCAATTTAGCTTCCCAAGGACAGTATCTTTGATCATTAAAATATTTATTTATTTATTTATTTATTTATTTATTTATTTATTTATTTTGAGATGGAGTCTTGCTTTGTCACTCAGGCTGGAGTGCAGTGGCACAATCTCGGCTCATTGCAATGTCTGTCTCCCGGGTTCAAGTGATTCTTCTGCCTCAGCCTCCTGAGTAGCTGGGATTACAGGTGTGTGCCACCACACCCAGCTAATTTTTGTATTTTTAGTAGGGACGGGGTTTTGTCATGTTGGCCAGGCTGGTCTCGAACTCCTGACCTCAGATGATCTGACCACCTCAGCCTCCCAAAGTGCTGCAATTACAGGAGTGAGCAACCACACCTGGCCTGATCATTAAAATATTTAAGAGAGTGGCAATATAAGCAAAAATGATTCAATATAAACAAATACAAATTTCAATATAAACAAAAAGATTTATGAAACCTAAAATATTTGAAACTTTTCTAGAGAGAGAACACTAGTCTAAATATCTAGGAAGCAGGCATTTAAGTCCTTGTGCTGGCATATGAAATGGGTTAATTCCTTGATACAAACAGCTCTGGGTATTTATTGTATGTATTTGTATAGTGGCATAAAACATTCTTTACTAAGTTACAAGTCAAAACAGTAAAGGAATGAAAATGACTAAATTGTTCATTTGTTAATACAATATTTCCTGTTTACTCTTTTTCTATGGTGTAAAAGAAACTGAACATTGACTTTCTGTTTTGTAAAACCTAAAAATATAATTAAGAAGAAGAGAGCAGGCCTGGCGCGGTGGCTCACACCTGTAATCCCAGCACTTTGGGAGGCCGAGGCGGGTGGATCACGAGGTCAGGAGATCGAGACCATCCTGGCTAACACGGTGAAACCCCGTCTCTACTAAAAACACAAAAAATTAGCCGGGCTTGGTGGTGGGCGCCTGTCGTCCCAGCTACTCAGGAGGCTGAGGCAGGGGAATGGCGTGGACCTGGGAGGCGGAGCTTGCAGTGAGCCGAGATCGCGCTACCACACTCCAGCCTGGGCAGCAGAGTGAGACTCGTCTCAAAAGAAAAAGAAAAAAAAAAAAAAAAGAAGACAGCAAAGAAGTGAGAAAGGAGTTTTGGAAGGGGTTGTGATCATTTGCAATGTGACACGATGTTAGCTGCTTTTCATAAGCGCGTTTTAAGCAAATGTGTTCTTAGCTCTGTTTTTGGTTTTAATAGTAATTCCACTGTGAATTTGTATGTTGTGGAATGAGAGAATAGTGTTAAAAGGTGCCTGGTTGTTGCCAGATCTAAGAATGGGAATGATTTTCTCAGGCAACTCTTATTCCATCAAGTGTGTTAAATTACTGTAAATTACAATCATGCAGGAGATTGGTGGTCCCCAAATGACGTTTTCCACTATTTGCAGCTCCTTAGTGTATCTATACCTAACAGTTTTGCATCTTGTTAAACCGCAGCATTCATATATTACGCCTCTTCCACAGAGAAGCTCACATGTACATTCCAGGTGGAATCCCACCGTAATATATACATCACAACCAAACACCATAGAGTAGGTTTTCTGAATCATTTATTTAATTGGTATTTAATACAGAGGAATTTCTGTTTGCCAAAAAATGTTTTTTGTAATCTACTGTAAGCAGACTTAAATTGTCCTTGTTAATGGCTTTGAGAATTATTTTTTTTACCATTAAAGAATAATTTTCTGGGAAAATAAAAAATGATGAGACTCATACAGACATAAATTGAACACGTGTTAAAGATTTTATGAATCTTATTAATGGAGAACTAGGAAGATGTCATAACCATTCAAAGGAGAATCATAGATTTATATGGAATAAAGAAATGTGAGATGAATTTACAAATGGATCTGAAGCTGGCTTTTTCTAATGGGAGGAGGAATGTAAATTGAACCTCCAAGGGACAGAATTTATTTGTATTGTCTATAGAAAAGACTTACTTTGCTTTGGTCTCATTTATCTAAAACAGAGCTATGAAATATTTCAGAGGCAGTAAAATGCCAGAATCAGAGGACCCCAAAGGGTGTTCTCTAGACAATGCATTGTTTTCCATTGGAAACACCTAGTAATCCTTTTTGTTTATCACCCTGCCTGGCAAAATTTTTGTATATTTTTTTTTAATAGAGACAGGGTTTCACCATGTTGGCCAGGCTGGTCTTGAACTCCTGGACTCAAGTGATCTGCCTGCCTCAGCCTCCCAAAGTGCTGGGATTACAGGCGTGAGCCACTGCACCCAGCCTAAGAGACCAAGAATTTATGAACAGAATGACAAGTTTGTGTGAAAGTACATGATGCTAAGATACAGATGAAGGCTACCCCACCTCTGTGCTAGCTGTCTACAAAAGGAGCCGAGTGCGGCTGGAAAGAAAGTTGCTTCCTTTCCAATTCGAAGAGGAGGTATACAAATCCTAGAGCTGGGGGCAGTGACAAGGTTTAAAATCGATGTGAGAGAAACACTAAGGAATGAGTCAGTGAAAGATTTTAAACTCCATCACACCCAACTCAGTTTCTCTTTAAAGGAAATGGCAGAGATGCCCATCAATGTAGATTTTTAGAGATGGTTTATTGTGATTTCCCATTTATGTTAATTAGCTTTATCTGTCCCCTTTCATTTCTTTTGATAAAATCACTTAGAAAAATGTAGACGTAGTTATGTGTGTTAAATAATATAATTCAGTGTGACAAGGAGTTGCGTCCCTGAAGATGTGTTGTTGAGAATGGATGACAAACAGTTCAGGTCAACCTTGAGTAAGTGTGAGGAAAAAATAAAAATAAATAAATGAAGGATGTAATTGGGCTCCTCTCCTGGAGACTGAAAAGTAAGGACTGGCATGGAAATCTTTGATTTTTGGCAGTATATCATTATCTTTAGAGGTCTAGAAAAAGTGCCTACGTCATCCTTTCTATGAACACATTTCAGGAGCTGAGAAGTTCCTATCCATCATGAATAAAAGCAACCACTTGCATGTGGCTTTTCTAGAAAAAAATTCTTATAAAACATTTTCATCAGGAAAGAACCAGGAGTCTAAAGTCAGATGAAAGAACGTCAGACTGTAGAAATCAGCTTTGTAGGTATGAGTCCAGGATCAGTTTGAGGTCAAACCCCTTTGCACATGTTTTTAACTTTGCACCGCCCTCGCTCTCAGTGCTGGCTCCTCCACTCATCTTTGTTGCTAATTCATGTTTGAGAGAGTCTGCACAAACTCCCCACCCAGGCTGGTATGGGCCTTAATGCAAGTTTGTGTGTCCAGGAGACTCACAAATCTGATCAATTTCAAGGGCAAGTAAGTGAAAGCTGGAGAATGTACAAACAGAAAATCGAAAGCTATGGAAACTTGAAGAGACAAAACGAAAATGTAAGAAATGCCACTAAAATGAGAAAATATGGTCAAACATTGAGAACTGATTTGCAGATAAGCTTTATGGGAATGTCTGTGAAATATTGGAGAGTGTAGGTGTCAGATTTGCTGAGTACAGCAACAAAAAATATCTAAAGCATATAGTGGTAGTACCAAAATCAAGATTCATAAGGTTTTACATGATGTAGTATCTGGCCAAAAATGTGGTCAGCGTTGTTTTTTGTTTGTTTGTTTGTTTGTTTCCACACTATGTGGTAAAAGGAAGAAGAACAGGTTATTAAGTGGCCAGCATTCATCTTTATAATCTGTGGTGTCTGTGGTCAGTCCTGCTGCAGGGAATATCCAGCCTGTATGCTTACACATGTGGACTGGTTTTCATGATGGACCATTTCAGTGCCAGGTGGTGTACATGACATTAAGCTTCTGTACACACTCTTTTCAAAATTTTCTTTACATGAAAATTAACATCAGTTTTTATTATGAGATGGAAGTTAATAGTCATTGACAAAACTTGAAAATGTACTTTAAAAACTTTAAAAAACAAAGAGTTCTCTCTCTCCAGATCAACCTTACAAGTACATCACAGGATTTAAGCAATTTCATCGTAACACAAAGGAGGCCCAGTACATTCTTCAGTGCCAGAGCCAATCCACCTGTGTTGGTTAGACTCAATGAAACAGAAAGTTTATAGGTTCTAAATGTAAAATGGAGCCAGCCCTATTATGTTTGTTGTTTTAAGGCCCTGTGATATATTGTTTTTGTGAATGGGGGAAATATAGGAAAAAAAACACTGAGTTTTGAATTATTAACATACTATGATTTGCTTCATAATTCTCAGATGTAGTTCTGTCAGATCCTCAAAATGTGCACAAGATTGACCATCCCTTCCAGGAAGAAAAATAATATGCTTCCAATAATGAATACACTCTAAAAATATATGGTAGTTACTTTAAAAATATTGGAGATATTGGGAAAAATTATTAATATATATTTTTTCTTTTAAATGCTGTTAAGACACTAGTCACTGTAGCTGATAGCATGGGTTAGTCAACCTTCACAAGTGATTTTAAAACTGTGAGAGTATAGCCATAGCCCTGAGCTTTTCCCAAGACAGCATCCCAAAGAACAAGTTAAATGTGATTTAAATGGAAGAAGAAAATATTTTGAGGTACAAGTGGACTCAATAAATTTAGGAATTACTATATTTGAAGGAAAAAAGAAAGCATAGTGGTTCCTACTAATGGATTGTGCCTCACTGACCATTAGAATTACATACACAGGAGAGATCCTTGAGGAGTTAAGTTCTGAGTACAGACTAGTGTTTATATTAAAGGACAAGATCACATGCTGGTGATCTGTTAACCTTTGGATTGCTTTTTCTACAGTGTTCTTTCTTAAACTGTGGAGATCCCCATTGCACCACCCAGAAAAGAGAGAAGAGTAATGAATTTTGGACCTGGCACGTTGAAATTAAAGAGCATGAAGAAAGTGAGAAGTTGTTTACTAGGCGTTTGAGACTAGCTGGGAGGCTTGGAATAGAGGCCTAAACTAGGAAACTGGAATTGGAAAGAATCACAATACTAGATAGTAAAGTTACACAAGTAGACGCCCTAGGCAAAAGGCCTGGAAGAGAATAAAGCCAAAGGGATCACTTCTAAGAGCAGAGGCAGAGAAGACAGGAAACTAACAAGGAATATCAAATGAAGACTCACAGGCATGGAATTGCTATACATTTAGTGGTGTTTGGGGGCCCTCAGAAGGTACAGGTACAGGTACAGTAACACATACTGATGTTTACTTACACTTAAAATGAAATAGGCACTATTGTCAAAACCATTTAATGAGTGAGGAAACTGAGTTCACTTCAGTAGACCCAGGACTCATACCTGTATTACTCTGAGAATAGCCAGTTGCCTACATTAGGCTTTTGAAAGCTTAATTAGACAAATGATGAAACAGAGAACTAGACATGACAGTGAATTGGCAGAAACACTGTTTCTTCAGAGGCCCATAATCAGCTTACATACCTAGAGACCCTAGACTGAGCCATAGAAGTGGAAACAAATCTGATTTATATGACTGTGGAGAAAATCTTGTACTTGGAATGCTGTACCCTGTTCTCGACACATTATTGGCAGAAAGATACATATCAAGGAAAGGACCTGGAATTCACTTGTGGATGAAAAAGCAAAAGAAATAAATGTGTAAGGCAGTAAAAGTATATAGAAAGTGAAGGTGATACTCATGTATGTGCTGACATAACAGAAGGAAAATGACCTGAGTAAGCATAAAACTGATGCCAGAGTCAGGAAGAGAAACATAGAGCCTGGAAATTGATCACTAATTTCCTTCTTTTTTTTTTTTTTTTTTTTGTTCTAGGCTTGACATTTTCCACTTTCTTTCTCCTAAAACAAGAAAGGGGACAGGTTGTAGATTTTATGTCTTTAATTTTCTTTAATTCTTGCCTAACAGTGATAAAAACATAAGATCAGTGGGCTGAAATTTAGGGACACTGAGGGAATGAAAATAGAAAACTAAACCTGGATAAGTTCATCAGCATGTCTGGGAATAATCAACAGGTTATATGAGAAACAGGTTTTAGTTAAGTTACTAATCTGGAATAATCAAGGTGATAACTGTAAATTAGGAGAAAGTTTGAATCTAAGAGCTTGTATTAAAAGAAAGTTTTCTTTTCCTCTTTTGGGTTACATAACCAAATTATGGTCTAATATTCCTAGGGAAACTAGCTTAATAATTAGTTGCTGCAGTTTTGTAGGTAGTATGGGTTTTTTGTTTGTTTTTTTGTTTTGTTTTGTTTTGTTTTTGAGACAGTCTTGCTCTGTTGCCCAGGCTGGAGTGCAGTGGTGCGATCTCTGCTCACTGCAACCTCCGCCTCTCCGTTCAAGCAATTTTTGTGCTTCGGCCTCGCAAGCCTGGCTAATTTTTTTTTCTATTTTTGGTAGAGATGGGGTTTCAACATGTTGGCCAGGCTGGTCTCGAACTCCTGACCTCAGGCCATCCACCCACCTCAGCCTCCCAAAAGTGCTGGCATTACAGGTGTGAGCCACCATGCCTGGCCTGGTAGTGTGTATTTTTAAATGTGTGCAAAGTGGGCTTCCACAGGACCTATGTTGTTTGAATAGGACCTCTCTTGCCTAAACATTTTTATTTACATTCATTCATCTATCAAACATGTTCTTTAAAGTAACGGTGAACTCCAGACTTGCACAAAATTTTTATATTATTATAAATTAGTGAAGTTCACATTAATAAGGTTGTACGTGATAAACTCCACTGTAAATCCTGAAACATGTGCCCTGTCAAGACGGGAGAATCCCATTAATATCTAAGATTTCAAAACTTAGCAACAATTTTGGACAGGCCAAATCATAAATGAAGTAGTCTAACATTTTACCAACTAAAATTTTGTATTCTAAGATGAGGACTCACAGGGCAAAAAGGCCTTTCCTCTTGTTCTGAACAGATACCTCTGGTGCTCTGCACTTACTAATAATCATGTCAAAAAAGCTGATGCCAATTTCATTTTTCCTCTTAAAGTCACTCTATTAAAGGAAAAAAGGTTCTGTTAAAATTTAATCAACAAAAGCAGGTGTTACAGGGAGGGGTAGATTCGTTGAAAGCTGCCAGTGAATCCAAATACTCTCTCTTTTCCAGGCACACAATAAAGTTAGTCCACAAGGGCACATGAAATCTTTCCAGCCCACAATCATATTAGAATTTGCATTGTGTTACTGGAAGCAGCACAGAAATATTCCCTTTTGGCTCACTTCAGTTCTTCGTCACCCCCTGAAGCTGCCTCCTGCTGATTCGAAGGTCTTGATAGTTTCTGGCAGGACAGTGGTATCACTCTCCAGTTATATTGCTGCTTAGCATCTGGTAGTTGCAGAGGAGGTTTATACTGCATTATGTTCCAAAAAAAAACCCAATCTGTGAACCACATTAAGGCCAAATCTAGTCTTGGATATAGTGCCATGGGGTGGGGATGAAAAGGGGATGGCAGGGATACTGACTGGCAAAAAAACTGGAACTTGATGGAATAACATATTGGAAGAATGACCCCCATGTGTGTATTTTTGTTTTGTTATTTCCCTAGAAGTATGTGGGAAGGGAGAGTAATTAGGGGGCGGGCACGAGAGAAAAGCATACACTTTTTTATTTAGTGATATAAATAATAGTAAAATTTGGATAATCTCCTGAACTGAAGGATCTAGTTCTCTTCAACAACAAATGCTTATCAGGAATGATTTCAGCAAGATAGCAGAATAGAAGTTTTCTATCATTGTCTCCCTGTAGAAGCACCAATTTTGACAATCACTCATGGACAAGAGTACCTTTGTGGGAGTCTGAGAGTCTAGCAGAGAAGTTCCAGCTCACTGCTGGAGCAAAAAATTTAAGGAGAGATGCATTGAAGAGGTTAAGAAGAATAGTTTCATTTTACCCATGTCACCTCTCCTGTAAAGCAGCACAGTTCAGTGCCAGGAGAGACCCTCTTTGCCCATGATTCTTCTCACAGGGGGAAAGTTAGTGTTGTGAATACCCAGCTTTACCAGCTGTGTAAAATGCTGTCCAAGAAGCCCACCTCTTTTTTGACCCACCGAGAACACTGGAGGAGATTAGCATGTCTGAGTGGCTGAAAGTAGGGAAAGGTGGGGATGGGGGTGGCGGAAATCACAGCAGATAGGTCTTAGAATTCAACAGCTGTTTGTATCTGACTGACTGCATCTCAGACTCCATTAGGAGGCCTGCCCATGAGCTAGTTGGGATGCCTGACCTATAAACCCAACCAATTCCATGGGTGCCCCCATGCCCCACATGCTTCCTCCCCTACCCCTCCTGTGGCCAATTCTGATGCACATTCCTTGGGTCATGAGTACAAGCCTTTACAGGTGGTTTGTAGTCAGTTGGCTTGACTCTGGGATTGGAGGAAGGTACATAAACTGAGCATTTCAGGGCACTGCCCTAGGGAAAGCAAATGAAAGGCTCTCAGCACAAAGCCTGGCTTTGTGAGATTGAGAGAAGGTACACAATCTTAAGAATTACCTCCCAAGAGAAAGCAAAAAGAGTGGAGGGAGTGCATTCATAGAAAATATCGAGAGTGCCTCAGAATTCTAGCCAGGCTGACTGGTGAAGGAGTTCCTCTCCCCAAAGCTAGTCAGTAAAGACTGGAGGAGATGACTACTACTTCAGATGTGAAAACAGCAACACAGGACTTCACAGAACACACACACGCAGAAACCCGACACCAGCAAAAGAACACAATAATTTCTCAGTAACCATCCCCAAAGAAGTAGAGGTCTACAAATTACCCGACAAGGAATTTAAAAATAATTGCTTTTTAAGGACACTTAGCAGGCTACAATAAAACTCAGTATAAATCTAAATAAAATAAAATCAGTGTAAATCTAAATAAAACTCGGTGTAATCAGGAAAACAATATATGAACAAAACTGAAAGCTCAACAAATAGATATACATCGTAAAATAGAACCAAACAACTTCTGAAGCTGAAGACTGCAATGAATGAAATGAAAAATGCATCAGAGAGAGTCAACAGCAGATTCGATCAAGCAGAAGAAAGGATCTGTGAACTCAAATACAAAGCATTTGAAATTATCTAGTCAGAGAAGGAAAAAGAAAGCTTATGGGATTTATGCGATACCATCAGGAGAAATAATATATGCAATATGAGAGTCTTCAAAGGAGAAAAGAAAGAAAAGGGTAGAAATCTTACTTAAATAAATAATGGCTGAAAACTTCCCATATCATGGGAAAGATATGGACATCCAGGTTATGAGGCTCAAAGGTCCTCAGGCAGGTTCAACCAAAATAAAACTTCACCAAGACACATAATCTTATTGTCAATAATCAATGACAGAGAATTTTGAAAACAGCAAGAGAAAAGAGACTCGTCACACATAAAAGAAGACTGTCAGTTAGACTATCAATAAGACTATCAGTTGACTTCTCAGCAGAAATCCCACGGGTCACGAAGGAGTGGGATGATATACTCAAAGTGCTGAAAGGAAAAAACTGTCTTTCAATGGTACTTTACTCAGCAAAGCTGTCCTTTGTAAAGGAAGGAGAGATAAAGATTATCCCAGACAAACAAAAGCTAAGAGAGTTCATCACCACTAAGACTGCCTTACAAGAAATGGTAAACGAAATTGTTCAAGCTGAAATGAAAAGACACCAATTAGTAGCATGAAAATATAGTATTTTTACTCCCTGGTAAAAATAAATATGTAGGCAAATTCAGAATACTCCAATATCCTAATGATGGTGTTTAAATTCATTTTAACTCTAGTATAAATGTTAAAAGACAAAAGTATTAAAAATAACTATAGCTACACCAATGTTAATGGAGACACAATATAAAAAAAGTAAATCATAACATCAAAAAAAATGGGGAGTAAAAGTGTAGAGTTACCAGCTTCAAATAGACTCATAACTATAAGATGTTTTGTGTAACTCCATTGTAACATCAAAACAGAAATCTATAGTAGATACACAAAAGATAAAGAATCAAACCATACCACTATTGAAAATCATGAAATTACAAAGGAACATACCAAGAGAGGTATAAAGAAACAAAACAACTGCAAAACAATCAGAAAACAACAAAATGGCAATAGTAAGTCCACAATGGAATGTTATTCAGCCTTAGAAAAAAGGACATACTGCCATTTGTGACAACATGGATGAACCTGGAGGACATTATGTTAAGCGAAATAAACCAGACACAAACAGACAAATACTGCATAATATAACTTATATGTCAAATCTAAGAAAGTTGAACTCATAGAAACAGAGAGTAGAATTGTACTAACAGGGATTGAGTGTGAGGACAATGGGGAGATGTTGGTCAAAGGATACAAACTTTCATTTATAAGATGAATAAATTTTGGAGACCTAGTGTACAGTGTGGTGACTATAGCTCATAATATACCCTTGAAATTTGCTAACAGGGTAGATTTTAAATGTTCTCAACACACACACACACACACACACACATGCACACGCACAGAGGTCAGTATGTGAAGTGATAGATATGTTGATTGTGGTAATAGTTTTATAATGTATGTGTGTGTGTGTGTGTGTGTGTGTGTGTATATATATATATATATATATAATCACAGTATATATCTTTAATAGATATACTTTTTATTTGTCAATCACTCCTAAGCTTGAAAACTCACCATTTTCAAAGCAGTCACTCCTTTCATGTCCACATTTCATCAGGGAATGATTTTGTCCCATTATTAATATAAGTACCATTTCCCATATATTGTTTGATTTAAAGATTTCTGTTTCTCCCATGTTTTCATTGTGCAGTCTGAACTACTATTGGCACAACTATATTTACATAAACAGTTCTAAACCTAGGGATCAATTATTGTTATTTTTGTTTAGAAAATATTTTTATGAATATCAATGGCTTTTTCTTTTGAGATTCTACTGTATTCATATAGTGTACTTTACTACCTGTACCTTATTTATATTTTACCAGCTAGGGAGCTGAGGGGAACTCAAAATATCCAAGACTTTGGGCCTAAATTTCTAAAAATGGTCATTAAAATAGGAAGTATTAAAGGAGTGTGGGTTGTGGACTTTCGTACTGATTAGCATGAACATTTGAAAAGCGTAAAAGTAGTGCTACAAAATATTTCAGGTTTACATATCTTTATTATATGTTCAGTCAAAGCTGTCAAAATCGGTTCTTACAGTTTTAATTATAATTGCAAAATAAAAATTTTATAAATTTCGGTGTAATCTTTTATAATCTTTAGCAGATATAAGTTCATTTAATTTATTTAGAAGTGTTGCATAAAACTCCTTTGCTATATTTTCTAATATGTAGGTATCATTGAGAGGCTCTGCTGTGAAAAAATATATATTGTAGAAATGTTAGGAATTTGTGGTAAATTAGTCTTCATTGATTTTTCAGGTTTTAGAATTTCTATTGAGTCATAATATTCTAGTCTGACATTTTTTCTTTTTTTGAGAAACAGTGAGATGATGGCAAAGTGAATATGTCCCATTTTTTATTGCTTTTCATCAAATGTTACTTTCTCATAAACTGCAGAGTGAACCTTTCTCCACCAAGTAATTATGCTGATATGTTGTACATTCTTAATACTCCTTAAAAGTGAGGGAAAATAAACATATCAAATGTCAAATAGTATAAAAAAATTTCTCTACTAATCTGAGAATAAGAATTATATGTTTGGATTCCCTTGATCATATATCTCTTTATGAGGATGGTACCAACAACCCAATAGGAATTTACCATAAAAAAAAACACAAACACTGATATAATACAACTAATATAAGACATTTTATTATAATTTATACTAAAACCATAATAAAAAGGTTGTTTATACTTAATGGGACAATCCAGGGAGGGGAGGAATACAAGGCTGAACACCAGTTGATATGAGAAGGCTCTGAGATTTTGGTTGTTAAAAGTCACTCTGCACCAGCATGTGATGTGTCTGCAATGCTGTTATAAATGCCATCTTAGGCAGATTTGACAGAGGGATTCGGAGATTATGTAGACCTGTTGGGCTCTGCTAATCAGAAAACATCTCTAAAAAGATATAAGAAGAAATAAGAGCTGAAATGGTAACTATTGTCGTAATCCTTCATTTAGTTACTAATAACTAACATTTATGGAGTATTTACTGTGTCAAAGACACTGCTAAGCCCATTATGTTATCTTACTTACTATGATTTAATCCTTACAACAATCTATTTCTATGGACACCTACTTTATTCCATAGCCTATGCTAGAGATTGAGGATTCAAAAAATTAAAGTTGCCTGACTTAGAGTGAGTTCACAGAAGGACCCACTGAGAGAAGTAGGGTGATTGATTGCCCAAAGAAAAAGTGATTGAGAATGTAACAGTTGGTGGCTGTGCCAGAGTCTGAAGGGCTGTCATGGATATGCTAAGGGGATGACATTTTTAATATAGAGGAAGGGGGAATAAAGGCACAAAAATTATGAGGAAATAGATATCAGTCACTCTAGTGAAATCCAGATAGTTATCTAATGCTTGTGTTCTAAAACTTGATACATAGTCTGTTTTGTGAGGGGTATAAAAACTGGGCACAGTGTCTCCCATTAGATCACAGGGCCTACAGACTGATGAAAGCAGGTATATGGATAATGGGGTAGCATGTAATAGGCCTTTTAAGGGAACAAGCAGTGTCACGGGAAACCAGCGGAGGTAGAGATTTACTTTGCACTGGAGGGGCCTGACAAAACATGACATTTGTGTTAACCTTAATGTGGTGAGGATTGGACTGATGGAGCCAAAATAATAGTACAGTATCCAGTGGTTTCAGGAACAGAAGCATCAAGATAGGAAATTATAGGACATTTTGGTGCAATGGTGAGTATTTTGGTTTGGTTGTAGTGTGAATTTTATGAAGGGAAATAATGGAAGAGAAAGCTAAACAGCTGGGCACAGTCCTGGTCATGAGGTCTTTGAAAACCACAGCAGACAGTTTGCAATCTTAATTCTGTGTAATTGGGAAATCATTGAAGGCTTTTGGGGAGAAAGATGGTTTTAAGGAAATGATTTTTTAACAGCTCACCTTTGCTTTTTGATAAAATAGTTTTCTCTCTGTCACTAAAAATGTGTCAGTTTAGATGATAGTTTAGGAGGAATGTTACATAGAAGAAAGCATGCCAGGAGTGGGAAGTTTTTACATCTGTGCTCATTTACTGGCTTGGATCATGGTGTCATCTTCACTGTGACTCCAGTTTCTAGCAGTGTCTGGCCCACAGTAGGCATTCGGTGAGCCTTGGGGAAGGATGTAAAAGACAGATAGAACTTCAAGTTCCATTCCAGGTCTGAAGTTCTTTGATATAATTCCAGAAGTTAACATAGCTTCTAAAACAAGATTTCATACAAAGATCTAATTCTGTAGCCAAAGCATAACAGTTGTAGGATTTAAACTCCAATAAAATACACAAGATTTTTTTTTAAAAAAAGAGCAAGAGTTAAACAACAATTAGATTCAGTTGTGGCTTCTCTCACTTGCCTCTATTGTTACTGTTTTCTCCTGTGTCTCTTATAATAGTAACTGAAAGGAAGTAATGATTATCTCAAATTTGGTGTTGTCCTATTGATTAGCATTCACGTTTTAAATATAATTGCTGACATTATATTAAAAAATATAATTGTTGAAAATTTCTGAACCAAAGATAAATACCAGCTTGTAGTAATGCCAAACCAAAATTGAATCCTTTGAAGGTTTCAAAATCTGTTCCCTGAATGTCTGCAAAATTCCACACTACTTACAGCAGGACTTAGCTTTCTTAGCCTTTCTGAAAATCAGTAGATACACTCAGAAAAGTTTACCAATGCACGTGTACATAGTCTTTGGATGCAGTTATAGGCCGGTTTGTTTACAGGCCCAAGAAGATAATCAATAGACATCCCCACCCCTCAGTTGGAAGCAAATTCAGTGGTTACAGAAATCTCACTTCAATGTATTTGAGGTTTTCGCAAAAAAGATGTGTACTGCATATATCTTTAAAGCAATGTTTTTTGAGATGGAACATACAAATAAATGCCTTTAGAGGTAAAAGTTGTATGGAAGCCAAGAAAATATTAAAGAAATTCAAAAATGCTGCTGATCCACACATATTTCTCAAAGGTCCTATAAGCATTACAACACATTTATCAAAGAACATTTGAAGGTGCCAAGATACTTCCAGTAATAAGCGTGATTATATGATTAAAATGCATTTGCATAGCCTTTGGGGAAATGGAGGAGGGAGACAAGGAGAGAGAAAATAAAGAGGAAACTGCATTAGTGATTCTCTGCCGTTGTTGTGAAGTTGACTTGTAGAAAAACACCAATTTTTCTAAAAAAGTGTATGCTAAGACCTAAGGAATATTATTTTTAACCTATCTAACGTATGGAGTTGACCCCCTAAAAGTTAGTGCTTCTGTGGAGAAAGGAGACCAACACAAATCTTCACCACCCCAACCCCTGCCCACACACTTTCTCGTTAAAAGAAGAAAGGAATTGGTGGAATGGGTGTTGTGTCAGTCTCACTCTGGCAGAAAACAGAGTTAACTCCAAATGGTGTAAGAAACTCTAACAACGGGGCTGTTTACAGTAGACAGGGTTAAGTGAGCAAGCAATGGATATTAATAGATGATGAGGCACAAAAACTGGCAACAGCTGGAAGCCATTATCATCACCTGAGGGCTGATGGGGCAAGGGGAGGACAAGGTATTGTGGGAGCCCAGTGAAAAAGGAAACTGCCAAGAGACTACTCAGTGGAATTGCAGTCATGGAGCCATGCAGCCACTGCCAGGGGTGCTGGTCCAGCTTGCTGGGCACGAAGCAGGGCAGAGCCAAAGACAGAATAGCCCCAGGGCAGGGGCAAATGGCGCATAACCAGGTACCGTTCTCAACTCTTTGACTTCTCTGCTGAGAAGACAAAACATCTTTTAAGTTGCCATCCTGGTGAAACTATTTGTTACGAGGGTACTGTTCTGTGAGGTTTTTATTGCTTAACGTTAATAGGCGGCTTAATCACACCCTGAGAATAATACCCAAATATTGCTTTTCTAAATGTCCTTGTTTGGGAGACATTGGAAAATTCTTTAAAGAAAGAGCAGTATACCCCCACTACCCAGATTGTCCTTTTTTTCCATTTATTCCAGAAACCTTTACTGCAGGAAAAGAGAGATGTTGCCATAAATGTTTGAAAGAATTCCTTGTGTAGTTAGTGGTGGCCATAAACATATGGCCTTCACTAACTATTTGCCCTCTGTTCCAACCTTGTCTTTCCATGACAGTTAACCCCATCATTACGTATTCCTGCTCCAGTTTCACTGGGGAATTCTGTATTCAGAGCCAAAGTATGTCAGTAAAATATTAAAAGTAACAGCACAACAAATAAAAAGAGATAAAGTTGAGAAACTGCATGGCAAAAAGCCTGTCACAGAGTTGTAGAGAAGAAAGAAGGAACTTTTTTTTAGCTAATTGAGAAAGCATTGTTGTCATTATTGCTAACATTTAAAGTTCTCAATTTTTAAGGGAATTCTTGAAACATTGTACTGGGGAAAACAGGAAGTTCTGACTTGAATACATTTTTTAAAGTAAAGGATGTAATTTGAGTGAATTGATCTCAGACTTTACAGATGATCTTTTAAGATATGAGTATTTTTTGTGCATTATAAAAGTATAGTTGTTCATAATGGAAAATACAGAAGCGCTTAGAGCATAAAATAAAATAGAAATTACCTGTGACTCTGTTGCTTAGAAGTAATCACTATTAATTTGGTTTTCTTCTCTTCTTAATATATGTGTATTCTTAAAATTATGATATTGTGATCCTTCATTGATATTTCCAAATGACTTTCCAGATTTTCTCCACTGGTTTTTATTTCCACCAAAAGTATGGGAATTTAACTGTATCCTTCTTGGGCTTGAAATTTTGAAGACCTTTGCCGATTTTATTTTAAAAAGTGATTAGTAAGGTTGAACTTTATTCATAGTTATATATTTATCATTTTGTATTGAATTATTTATCCATGTCTTTTGCCCATTTCCTTAAGGGACAATTAGTATTTTTTAAAATTATTTTTAGGAGCTCTTTGTATGGGAAGAAATTTCAGAAGATCATCTTTCTTGTTAGAAAGGATAGGACTAATTGGTCACCCTTATCAGGTGATTATTTGATGCAATTTTTGATGCCTTCTTGCTTTTAGAAAAAACAGTTTTAAAGGACTAAGCTCAAAATTTTTGTTATTTAAGATATTTAAGGGCTGGGTGCGGTGGCTCATGCCTGTAATCCGAGCACTTTGGGAAGCCAAGCTGGGAGGATCACTTAAGGCCAGGAGTTCGAGACCAGCCTGGCCAACATGGAGAAACTGCATCTCTACTAAAAAATACAAATATTAGCTGGGCATGGTGGCGTGCACCTGTAGACCCAGCAACATGGGAGGCTGAGGCAGGAGATTCACTTGAATCTGGGAGGTGGAAGTTGCAGTGAGCTGAGATCGTGCCACTGCACTCCAGCCTGGGTGACAGAGCGAGACTCTGTCTCAAAAAAAAACAAAAAACAAAAAACAAAAAAAAACAAACAAAAAAAAACATTTAAGCAGGAACTTTGCCTTTGAATAAGTGCTTGATGAATTCTGACTTAGAAATTGTTAGCTCTTAGGTAACTTTTAAGATATTATTCTTAAGAAAAATAAAGGATTGTTTTGAAGTTATTTGACAATTAAAACTTTATTCCCATCTCCTCGCCCAAAGATATAAATCTCTTAGGACTGAGAGATTAGGATCCTTCATTTCTACTTTATGAGAAAAACAAATAATACACAGTTGGGGTGAGGAATAATGCACAGTTGGGGAGAGGAATAGGCATATTGTGCCAGTATATGTGGCTTCATGAAAAAACTATTAACAGCTGTTGTTAAGCTAGTCTGTAGAAAGTAGAGTGAGAAGAAGGCAGATAGGCATTTTGCAAGTGATAATTTTCTTTAAGGACCACTTACCTAATATTAGGCCTTTTTAATTTTTGTGAATATTACCAACTTTGAGATCACGAACAAGCTTGAAACACAGTCTTTAGCACACAGAGTCAATTGAACCTATAATTAGCTGCTCTTTAGTGTAACATATAAAAGTTATATGTAACAAGTGTAACATACAAAACAAAGATGAGAAATGTAAAGAATTTTAATGCCAGTCTCAAGTTGCTAAGTTATTTTTAGAATCGAATTCCTAAAAGTTTTGCTGTTTCCTGCATGTACCTGTAATTGTTCCTTGAATCTCTTCAAGAGACAGGTTTTCCGGTTTCTAAATTCTTATCTGAGTAGCTCAGACATAAAGAGATCATGTATATGGTATGATGTGGTCACCTTTTTATTTACGGGACTTTCTTAGTCTAATGTGTGTGAACTCTTAAATGCATAGTGTCTTACTCTGTAACAGCAACCAGCAGTTGTGTGTTAAGATTTTTCACGAAGAGTCCCAGCTGTTGTAAAAAGGAACAATCTGCCCTGGCTACAGATTACAGTGCTTTGGGTTTAGACTGCAGGCAATACCTCTGGGACCTGTCATGCACACTGTGAACATCAGTATTCCTGGGAGAGAGAAGGCAAATTAGTCACTTCTGGCTCTTAGAAGTTCTTGCATAACTTGCTGTTATCTCAGTACAATTTCCTGGGGATGCTTTATCCTGGCATGTGCCCCCTCCTTTATCAAAAGGACCATTGAGTATTGGACTGGGATGCCATTGCCATTGCAGAGGGCTGGTGTTGTTTCCTCCTCTTCATCCTGGATCCTCGCATTATTGTTTTTGCCATGTGGGGTGTCTTGGCTTCGTCTCCACCATCACAAGAGTTGCCCATCTCCCTCTCATACTTATGTCAACGACCTCCCTTGCAGTAATCTAGCACTACCCATGCTTTCTGTAGAACTGTTATATACAAACCATTCTAATGATTCCAGATTTCCTCCTGGCACTTCATTTTCTTTCCTCCCCTTCCCAGAATCCTCTTCCTTATCTCTGGAATATAGAGCTCAGATGCCAAGAGGCTGCGGGAAACTAATTGAGTTAGGCTTTTTGTTTCTTTCTTTTTCCACCCTCCGTGTTCCAAAGCTGGATTTCTCTTATGCTTTGGATTTTTCCCTGCCCTCCTCCTATCTGAACAGCAGCTTTCAGATTATGTCTGGGGTGTAGTTTACACTATATAAGAGAAAGTGGTTTATAAGATAAGGTAGTTTATCCTTTTCCAATTCTCACACTCCTTAAATACATCTGTTGTTGATTATTTCATCTGGTATGCCTTGATTTTTGCTTTCTACTTTGTTTGCATTTCATTGTTCTTCTCTGAGATTATTTCTAGACTTTTTTGCTGAGCCCCCATAACTCTGTTTCTGATTAAGTAAACAGCTTTGATAAGTCACAGTGGAATCTTAACACAAACTGGCATATGCACAATTTACCTCTTCTCTCCATTAAGCTGCATTTCCTCCTGAAGTTGAAAAGTCAGTGGAGAATAGTTCTAATAGCCCAGCATCCTTGTATTTTAAACTCTTCCATCGCTGATTATATTGGAAATACTGGTATTCCATCACCAAAAGCTCTTACTTATCTTCCAGCTAGTTTTGAATTTTCTCAAGTTGGTAGCTCTTTTTTATCCAATTGGTAAACCATTCACAGGCTCCACCTTGGTATGTGAATGGACCTCCCACCCTTTCCTTGCATTCAGCAAGAACCTGCCTGAAGTATTCATTACTGTAGCGATGAGGGCACCTGCTCCCCAATCATTGCCAAAGAGAGCTGAAAATGCCTAAGGAATTTGCCATACTTGGTTTCTTACAATTCGCTCACGTCACTCCTGCCATTATCATGTCAAAAATACTCTTTCTCTGTTAAATATTAAGTTTCATTTGGAAAAAAAAAGAATCTTGATATGAAGTTGCCATGGGACCTCACTGTGTATAGGTTGATATGGATACTAATGGTAACATTAATCTCATGAAAATTAGGTTTTTGAATTTAAAATACATTTGTTTTTGCACTGCTTGCTGTCTGTTCCTCTTCTCTTTTAGTTGACTAGTAAGGAGATTATTTTTTCAGTTTTAAAATAAGATATTGGCTGGGTGTGGTAGCTCATGCCTGTAATCTTAGCACTTTGGGAGGCCGAGTCAATGGGTTTCTTGAGTCCAGGAGTTTGAAACCAGCCTGGACAATGTGGTGAGGCACCCCATCTCTACAAAAAATTAGCCAGGCATGGTGGCCCGTGCCTGTAGTCCCAGCTACTCAGGAGGCTGAGGTGGGAGGATCGCTTGAGTCTGGGAGGCGGCAGTTGCAGTGAGCCGAGATCACACCACTGCACACCAGCCTGGGTGACAGAACAAGCCTCTGTCTCAAAAAAGTAATTAATTAATTAATTTAATTTAATAAGATACATAAAGATGATTTTATGCTTTATCCTAAAGCAATGTTCAGGTAAGCCTTGAACAAGTGGGGTCAGGGATGTTGACCCACCACACAAAAATACACGCATAATTTTTGACTCCCCAAAAACTTTATTAATAGCCTGCTATTGACCAGATGCCTACCAGTAACATAAAAGGTTGATTAGCATATATTTTGTGTGTTATATGTATTATATACAGTAGTCTTAACAATAAAGTAAGCTAGAGAAAAGAAATTTTATTAAGAAAATTATAAGGGGGAGAAAATAGATTTACTGTTAAGTGGAAGTGGGTCATCAAAAGTCTTCATCCACATCGTCTTCACATTGAGTAGCCTGAGGAAGAAGAATGAGGGGGAGTTCATCTTGCTGCCTTAGGGGCAGCAGATAAATTCTGACTAAGTGGACCTACACAGTTCAAATCCATGTTGTTCAAGGGTCAACTGTATTTAGTATAGGGAAGGCCTAGAGCAGATGGGTTTGTTCTTTATTCTGGTTATATCACCTGACATGTTATGGCTGCCCACTAACGTTTTGCTTTAACTATGTGTGGCTTGGGCTCTTTTACTCCCCTCTTGAAATATACTTTGCTCTTTTATTAGAATTCTTACTGTCAAAGAACATTCCTTGAAATAATCTGGAATCCATCTCACTGGCCACAAAATAAATGTAAAGTGCACAGGCTTCTAGTCGTCCTGTTTGCTCTTTCAAAATCATTTCTAGTCAGGCTTAATAAGTCAGTTCAGGTGTTCTCCATCTCTTGGTAAAGTATGTATTTTCACCGTAAAAAAAATGTGATGTTGGTATGTTATTTGGCCCATGTACAGTTTTTGTTTAAAAAAGAAAGTCAATTTCTTAAGAAGCCAGGGGGAAACATGTTTCACCATAAAATATGGGCAGTGGCCAGTTGACTATGAGTAGAATTCACTTTTGCTGATTACTAAAGTGACTTGCCAACCTAATAGTCATCAAAATAGAAGCCATATTAGATGGCTCAGATAGGGTTTGAAGTAGACTCTCGTCTTTGTATGGGGTTGTCAATGCATTTGTTTTGTGCCTAAAAGCACATTATTCAGGAAATGCCACTGGGGTGAACACTGCCTTTCATCCACTTTGATACAAAAATCACAGATTCTTAAAATGTGCAAAATAAGAGGAAAGCCAGTTGTAGATATGTCACCAGATTTAGGCTAGTTTAAGCTTCTTGGAAACATTTTAGATTTTAAGTGAGCTACCTACCATGAGTTATCAAAAATTGTAAAATAAAGTTGCTTATTAGTTTAAGAACCTTATAGTACTATTTTATACCAAAGAAATTTGCATTTATACAGAAATACAGCAGTGATCTAACTGAATTTCCTCATTTATTTTTTGAGGAAACTATACTTGAGTGATTCAGTGACTTTTCCAAGGTGACAGAGTTTGTTTATGGCTAAATTGCGATTAACTGTAGACACCACATATTTTTACCACATCATAAAGGAAATCTGTAGTCGATTGCCACGTTAAAGGCATTAAAAAGTAATAAATTCTGTGTGATACATTCTGGCTTTTCCTAGCTTTTCCCTATATGATTCCAAGTGAACTAACGCCCTTGAGAAGCCTGGGGCTTTTTCTGACACTTTTTTTTCTTTCTGAGATTTTTTTCACAAAATTGTAAGCCTAGGGCTACATTCTTTCTTACATAAAAATTTTGGCTATTATTACTTTGGAACTACTTGCCGACTGTTGACATATTCCCAATGGTTGCAAAGAATCTCAGAAGAAGTTGGAGCTGCGCCTCAGTGTTTGTCAACACTGGCCACTCTTGACAGATCCAGGCCCCAGGTAATGCCCGTCTTGATTATATTGTTTCAGAAGTAAAGCGCTTTTGGAAGAAATTAACTTGAAACAAACGTGAAAGAGCTCCACGCCAGGGGAAAGTAAATTCTGTCCACTCATCTGTTTGACAGTTTTGTTTATGTACATAAAATGTACCACAGCCATCCAGATTTGAAGCCATTTATAATATATGGAAATTTTCCCTGTAAACAGAAGTACAACTCTGATACGATAACTTTTGTTTTGTTTTTATTGTGAGTGGGAGGCGGGGAGGTAGTCAAACAAGGGATTTTTCTGTTGTTTTCTGTCTCTAAATGTACATGCCGAGGGTGGAAGACATACTGTGAATTTAGGGGGTTGAATCCTGTTCTCAGCAGCACTTAATCATGGAGACAGGAAAGTGGCTACAGATTTTTGATGAAAGATTGGCCTAAATTCATCATGTGTCTATAGCACATTACTCTCTGTAGCATAATAAATGCAAATGGCTGACATGAGTATTTTCTGCAGATTTTGCTGTGGAATAGGAATGAAGTGGGAAGGAGGTTTAGGGGCCTGAAGGAAGAAGGAAGAGGCAGTAAAATATTCACTAATGTTTCCAGGGGTGGGAATGTTTCCAAGGATGGAAAACCACAGAGTAGAAACCAGAGTACCAAGAGATAATCTTTTAAAAGCATAACTAAACTTCACATTAAGTCATAAAAACATTCAGTATTCTTACAATAGAGTAAGGTAGAGAAAATAAAATTTTAATTTTAAATATTGAAATACTTTATTTTTATTGAAAATATGGTTTTTAGCGGGTGTCCTTACGACAATTGTTGCCTTGTTAAGTCCTTACAGATATCCATATGAAAGTCACAAGAACCTTTATGTTCAAAGGTTTAACATTTTTAAAAAGGGGCATTTTTTTCTCTTTGGCATTATTCACATATAAAATACCCATTTCATATGCATTTCCATTACAGCTTCCTATTACTTAGAGAAGGTTGGATTACCATCTGGTCACTTTCTCTTCATTAGGATGACACCAGAGGGATGTGAGCAGACGGGTAGGACAGGAATCTAAAAACCAAAAATTGAGATGAATATCTGACAGTTTTTTTGTATTTTTAAAGAGGTGCTAAGATCAGAATATTTGAACTCAGAACTTTTTTGGAAAGTACCACACACACAGTCACCTAGGATATGAGCTTTAGACTCTTTCTATAGACTTCCATCTCCTCTCTCTGTATTTAGCCATTTCCTAAATTATAGGTGCCATCCGTTCATTCAGCAACAGCTTATTGAGTATCTACCACTTGTTTGGCACTGTGGTAGTTACAAAACCAAATTAAACATGACCCCTGTGTTCAGGGAACTTGAGGATTGGTTTTAAAGTAGTAAATTTTTTTTTAAGAGTAAATGTCTCAAAACCTTTATGCCTAAATTGAGTTCTTCAAAGCAATTAATTTTGGGAGGGAGAAGCTCTACGCTTATTTCCTATTTTTCTGTTATGCCATCTTCTAACCCTCTTTATAGCTGACTTTTTCCTCAATTTATGTTTATTAATGTGGTTAATACTTTGACTTTTCTCTGTCAAGTATTTGCAGAGTGGGTCTAAAGGAAATCTTAATCCCTTTTGGTATTACACAGACATGTTTGAATTGTAAACTGTTAACAGTCATTGAAAAACAGAGACCTGTATTTCAGGAATTGAAATGAATAAATTAAGATCAACCTGGAAAAAAGGACACATCTTGTATGCATCTTTTAAGCAAGAGCCAAAAAGGGAATGAAAAACACAATGCTGCTAGCCACTTTAGCAATCTAAACCAGAATTTTGTCATGTTTGTTTTTCTCTGTCCTTATTAAGCTTGACTATTTGAAGAACCACTTTCCAAAAAAGCACTGATTCAGACCCTGGAGGTAAACGTGTTACATGTTGGTGACTGTCTCTGCATGCATGCTCATGTGTCTTTGTGCCCACTGATAATTTATATTTTTGGTCACTAGATGGTGCCCTTTCACTTTGAATGAAAGTGTATTTTCTGTTGAGGCGTTTGCTTTTTATTTTGCTTGTTGTTCTGTTGATGCAAAGATGGTGGAAAATCATCTTATTTCTTGATTTAAGAAAATCACATTCTCTCTTAAATCGGATACGAGGCTCCCTGTCCCTCTATGTATGCATAGGAATTTTAATGCGATTATCCAACCTGTAAAGTCACACATTTGTAGATTATCATACCACTCAAAACTTACTGTTAATTTGTTTTGTGGGAAAAATACAAATTTATCCTATAGAAGCATTTTGTATAATATATATAGGACCAATACATAAATGACTACAATTGAAATATCTATGTGGTTCAATCTGCTGTTTCTGTACTTGAGTTAACCATCACTTGGAAAGCCAGTGAAATGCCAGTTACTGAGTCCTGAAGGCCCAGAAACCTGTATTTTAACAGGCATGTTTTGAGACACATTGGCTTCTAATCACCCACAGTAGTAGTGAACATTTTCAGTAGAGGTTAACTTCATTGTCAACCAGCAGTAACTAAAACCAAAGTTAAGGATAGTTGAGAGTGAAATTTTGAAGGTAGACAGCTCTTTAAAACCTGATTGAAGGTAGACAGCAACTGGAAAACCTGATTGAAGAGGGAATTAAGGAGGCTAGTCCCCACCCTGAGGCTTTGGCTTGGTATCTCCCTCTACCTGGAAGGTTCCAGCTCAGCCAAGTATCCTACCTCCTTTAAGCCTATTGCCTAGCCGAGCTATTATGGATGAAATAAGAATTATTGAATAAAATGATCTGTCTGTTTACATAAGTGTGGTAAAAGTTGGCTAGAGTATAACAGAGAAAGGGCAGTCCTGGTTCTTGTTAGGATGCATTAGAGAGCAAGCAATGGGAATGAGATGCTGTTGGGCTCTCTCCCAACTTGGGTTGGTCAGACGCCCCTTGTGCCTTGCTGTTAGGCCCCTCATTTCATAATAACTGATGCTTAACATTTTGGCAAGTTTTAACCACTCTTAAGACCTTTGACCTTCACAGTGTCCCTGTGACAGGTTAAGTGTCAGGGGAGGGATTACAAAATAGGATAAGGAAGGGTGCTTGAGACCAAGAGCAGCCACCAGGAGAGGGTGGGGGCTGGAGGTGGTGACAGAGACTCAAATTAGGCACAGCTGCTGGACATCTCCCCAGGAGGCCAGAGGCATTCCTGAACTCTGAAGCTTGGTGCACTGTTATTAACTGTGATTTCACCATCCTGGTCCTAGCAGTGGGTAGCTTTAAGAAAAATCGTTTCCTCCCTTCTTTCCTTCCTCCCTCTTTTTTGGTGAGGGGAGTGGCAATTGCCCAATTGCAACATAAGAATATGATATGCTCTCTGTGGCGTTTTCACCTAGGCTGTGGGATGGGGGTGGGAGATCACAGTGTCAGGGGAGTATGTGTGGTTTAGATAAAATCCCCACCCAGTGATTCTCATGCCTTATCCTAGAGAATAGATGCTTTAGGAGTTAAAGGATTCAGGCGGAACTGGTGGTAAATTGTGAAAGGTGTGAAAGGTGTGAAAGGTGCTCAGTAAACATTTACTGACTCTTTACTGCCTGGATGCAAAGTACAGGATATAAAAGACTTAGCCAGTACTAACTGACTTTCTTAGAAGTCAGTACATTGTAGACACTCAGTAAGGTTGAGACATGATCAATGGTTGTGATAATCATAATGAATTATCTCTATGTTATTCAGTTTTATCATAAAGCTGATGGGTATAGAACTTTTGACTTATCCTAGAATGATCTTGATCTGTGTCAAAGGCTGACCTGTAAAATAAGAGAATACCTGGATTGCTGGGCAACTTGAAAACCTGATTGAAGAGAGAATTAAGGAGGCTAGTCCCCACCCTGAGGCTTTGGCTCTGATATCTCCCTCTACCTGGAAGGTTCCAGTGTCTTACCTCCTTTAAGCCTTTACTCATATCTCCTTTTCTCTATGAAGTCTGATACTCCTCAAGACTCTCTCATAGCTGGTACTTCCTCATCTTTTTGTGTTACTCTTCTTTTTCTTTTTTCATAACATGTATGTTCTGATTAATTATTAATTAGATAATTTATTTGATTAAATTATATTTTGTCTCTGCAGAAGAGCCAAGTTCTTTGTGGACAGGACTCTTGCTTCTTCACTTATCTCTTCTCTCTAGTCCCTGGAACAGTGCCTGGTACATAGTAGAAGTACAGAAAAGATTTGGTGAATGAATGAATGCTTTCCTGTAGAAAGTTTAATGGCAGTAATAAACAATATTAGTCACTCAATACTAATTCTGGATAAATATTGAATTAAATATTCCTGAATGAAAGTTAAGGTTTTTTTTCTATTAGCCTTCACTGTGGTGATGTCTTTTAAATGAAGTTATTGCATAAAGTGTGGATCCAGAGTTGGAAGACATTGGATTATAATGTCCAAGCTTCTGAGTGGTTTTCTGGGAGAAGTTACGAAACCACTCTGTGCTTTAGTTTCCTCTGTAAACAACGTCATGAATCTGTGCTGTGGATTAAGTGAATTGATGCACTTCAACCCTTAGAACAGGGCGGAGACTTGTAGCAGAAGCTCAATTAATAAATCCAATTTATAAAAAAAAATTATATGATATTTTTATTTTGCAATTACGTGATATACTTATTTTGTAAAAAGAAATGTAAATTTAAATGGTTTAGCCAATTTTAAGGAAGAAAGTCACAGATAAATGAAAACGTGGGCATTTTCCATATTCCTGTTGTTGTTACAATAACACACCTAGAATTTTATTATAATAATAATCTCCAAATGTTGAGTTTATTATGGAACCTCTTATGTTCTAGAGTCAATTTTAAAACAGAGTTTTTAAAACAATTTTAAACAGAGTTTGGGAGTTTCACACAAGCCTTTTATTTCTTTCTTATAGATCCCCATATTAAGGTTTCTGGAAAGAAAGAAGATGTTAAAGAAGCCAAGGAAATGATCATGTCTGTCTTAGACACAAAAGTAAGTGAATGTTAAGGACACTCAGATGTCAGAACCTTGTCTCTACAAGGGCTACTTCATGCCGTTATGAAAGAACCATTTGGAGAAGAAAAACCAGGAGAAAGTAATGGTGGGTTTTAAAATAAGCACATGTGATTCTACAGTGGATGTAAAGTTCTGTTTAATATTTGAATAGGTTCTTTCATGCTGAGTAATTGAACTATACATACACACACACACACCTATATGTACCTACATCTACATACATATATATGTATCGTGTATGTATGTGTATATATGTATACATGTACATATATACCATCTTCAGAAATAGAAATTGGCCCTGATTAATATAGGGTAAGTAATAAGGATTGTAGGAATTAGATTATTTGCTTTTATGATGTCAGTAGAATACCAGAATGATCTTCTATATAGCTCTGTGTTGGGTGTGTGTAATGGCATGAAATTTGTTGCTTGCTTTTGTGTGATCACGTGATGTCTCTCTCTCTCTCTCTCTGTAAGTATATGTATAGAGAGAGAACAGGGAAATTTCAATATGTAAAAATTTATACTCATTTGTGAGAATTTATTTTCTTTAACAAACACATCTAAATCACTTATTGTATACCAGGCACTTCGCTAAGTACTCTACATTTTACACTTATTAATTTGTTTGATCCTCGTAACTGACTCAGCACAAAGGTATTAAGTAATTTGTTCAGGACCCTAGAGCCGGTTAAGTGGAGAGGTGGGATTCAAATCCAGGCTGTCTCATTCTTAACCACTTTGTCTTGCCACCTGGCATTTCATTAGAATGATCTCCCTCTGATCGCTTTCTTGTTTTCATTCTTCCTTTCTGTTCTTTGTTGGTTTTCTTCGTTTTTAAAAAAATTACTCCCCTGATAATTATTAAATAGTTTAGAATTTTCTTCAGGAAAGGGGGATTTTTTTGTGTTTTAAAGGTTAAACTGAAAGAACTAAACTTAAAAATCAAAATATATTTAATGGGCATAAATTTAAAACTTAAGAATTCACAAGGTATAAAAATATTTTTGACATATTTTGATATTTCGATTTTACTTTTTAAAGACTGAATAATTTCAGTAACAGTCTTCTAAATGAGAAGGGATTTTATGCCAGTCTTTATGATTGTACAGCACTAAATTCCTCAAATATAGTCCAATATGACCACAGCATTTTTATTTATTATGTCTTAGAATTTTACATTTTGCTTTAATATAACTAATGTACTTTGAATTTCTTTATTTAAGCCATTTTGTGACCAGTTATCTGCACTTTATGATCTCTTTCTCCCTTCTTTCTACCAGCAAGAGTAATAGATCTACTTTGTAAAGTTCAATATATAGTAATACAGGAGTTGGGAAAGCAGTGATTCTAAAAACTTTCTTATTCACAGTTTTGAGCTTTATTATTTCTAATTTTGTATCATCTTAGTTATGCAGTCCCACTAGCATGCATATCTTCAATCTTGTAATTGTGTTTTCATCTGTTTTTAGTTATTTGAATTAAATGTTTCGTGAATAATGTCTTTAAAGACAAATTGAGTAATTTATTTAACTGTAGCTGACTTTGTTTAAAGACTTCTTTCCAAAAAAATTATCTTGGTAAAGAATAAATTTTTCTATTTCTTCTGACAAATCTTTCTTAAAATGAGAATTTCTTTTTTTATAATCAGAGAAATTAATAGCAGGAGAACACTTATAGATTAAGATGATCTTATTAAGAAATAAGATTTCCCACTGACTTGCTTTTTGTTAATACCATTCCCTTGAGGGAAAGACATTTAGGAGGTCATTCTTTCCTTTTGCATACATCAAGTAATAATACATTATTTTCACATAGAGCAATCGAGTCACACTGAAGATGGATGTTTCACATACAGAACATTCACATGTAATCGGCAAAGGTGGCAACAATATTAAAAAAGTGATGGAAGAAACCGGATGCCATATCCACTTTCCAGATTCCAACAGGAATAACCAAGCAGAAAAAAGCAACCAGGTGGTTTGTCTTTTCACATGAACTTTTATGGGATGAATTACAGCCTTAATTTAATTTTCAGTTTGCCTATCTTTTTTTTCTGAGAGGTGAGACAAAAAAAAAATCACATAGATGACATACAGTGTAGATTGTACAACTTTCTGCAAGGAAATTGAAGGTGCTTTGCTTTTTTGAGGAGATGAGTTGTAGATGGGCCCTAAACTCTTGATCTTGAAATCATTGATAAAAAATAGCGGAAGATGTAATGGCCACAAAACAAAACCTTAAAGAAAGGCTGAGAGAGCATATCGTTTAGGACCTGGAAGCTTGCCTAGTCCAGGAACCTATCCATTGCCTGGTAGAGACCTGGAAGTAAATACCTTTGTGGCACACCAGATCACCTTCTGAGGAGCAGTGCATTAGTGCCTGACTTCTTACATTGCCTTAATTATGTCTCTCTCTAGTTTATACACATTTGTGCTTGTTCTTCTGTTTGGCAGCAAATGGAACTCACCTGTCCTCATGCAAGCGGTTTCAGTACTTGAAGAACAGATAGTATTATTTGTGATATTTGGAAGTATTCTCTCTTCTAAACTAGTTACAATACTAGAAACTGTCAGCCACAAAGATGAATAGTCTTTTCTCTACAGGGACTAATGGTGACAGTGGGATGTGCACATAAGGGACTAGACAGAAAGCTATAGTAAAAAGCAAAGACAATATTCAGAATATTTAAAAACTGGTACGGCATGACCATTGGCCCTAAGAACAGTGTCCTGGAGCCCCTGTACCCCCCACCACAATGCCAAGACTAACACCTTGAGTCAGTGGGTCATGGGAATGCCCAGGAGATTTCAGAAGTAAGCTCGAGGTAGATGTTGGAGCAATGATTGTGTACCATCTGGTATGGAAAATGTTCACTATTTTCAGAACCTAGTGTAGCTCTGTCATTGAATATTGATAAGTATCTGGTATGCAAAGAGCTTAAACAAAACGGAGAAAATGCAGTGAACAAGAGTAATTATAAAGAGGGCAGGATGATCTCCTGGGGGCTGTGGGGCTTTCAGTAAGTCCAGTGGGTGAAACAGATCAGTTGACACAAATTACCTGAGGATCTCGTTAAAATGCAAATTCTGATTAAGCAGGTCTGGATGGGGGCCTGAGATCCTTTATTTTTAACAAGCTTCTGGATAATACCTCTGTATTTGTCCCTGGATGACACTTTTAGTAGCAAGCATATAGATGAACTGGAAAAGAGATGTGAGTTTGATTAAAATAAATCTAACTTTGTATTTTCCTCCTCTTATAGGTATCTATAGCGGGACAACCAGCAGGAGTAGAATCTGCCCGAGTTAGAATTCGGGTAACTATTTATTACTTTAACATTGTAAATTGATGTCAGCAACATTTGCATTATAAGGCACTAAAAATATAATAATTTATCATTTTATAACCGAATCATGTTCAATCAGTAGGAAATAGTGGCAAAAGTTATTTTAGTGTCTATCTTAGCATTCATTATCTAAATATTTATTGTATATGTTCAAAAAGTGAGTTTCTATGTTATTTATAAAATTTTTTCACTGAAAATGTTTCTCAGAGATGTTCTGGATTTTATCTGACTCAGTTTTTCTAGTTTTTATTCAATGATCATAAAGAGGCCTAAGGAAAAATGCCACAGGCAATGTGAGTTAGAAACTCTCAGGTTTCACAAAAGGCTCCCATCATTTAAAAACACTTGTAGGCCAGTTGTGGTGGCTCACACCTGTAATCCCAGCACTTTGGGAGGCCAAGGCAGGAGGATCACTTGAGGCCTGGAGTTCGTGACCAGCCTGGACAACATAGCAAGACCCTGTCTGTCTCTACAAAACATTTTTAAAAATTAGCCAGGTATGGTGGCACATGCCTGTAGTGCCACTAATTCAGGAAGCCAAGGTGAGAGGATCCTTGAGCCCAGGAGGTGGAGGCTGTAGTGAGCTGGGATGATACCACTGCATGCCAGCCTGGGTGACGGAGCAAGACTCTGACTCAAAAAACAGAAAGGAAAAAAAAAAACTTTATATAATGTAGCTAAACTTAATATCTATAAGGGCAGTTTATGCTTTAAAATCTATCTTCAGAAAAGAACCAATGAATGATACACATGTCTGAATGTCTAATGCTTTAACTCTCTGCTTTGGATTCTCATCATTTCATTTTAGGAGCTGCTTCCTTTGGTGCTGATGTTTGAGCTACCAATTGCTGGAATTCTTCAACCGGTTCCTGATCCTAATTCCCCCTCTATTCAGCATATATCACAAACGTACAATATTTCAGTATCATTTAAACAGCGTTCCCGAATGTATGGTGCTACTGTCATAGTACGAGGGTCTCAGAATAACACTAGTGCTGTGAAGGTAAATTATTCAGATAATTCTGCACATCCTATATGTACAAGTTACATGAGTTTCATTTTTAAAGAATATTAGACTAATTTGATTTCCAGAATTTTCCTTCGTTCTACATTTTGGTTTGCAGAATATGCTGTATTTTTCCATAGCTGTTAGAAATGCAATAGAATCTTTCCCCGTATATGAACAGTTAATGTATAGGATTATTTCTTTCCCACCCTTTTCTCTTAGGAAGGAACTGCCATGCTGTTAGAACATCTTGCTGGGAGCTTAGCATCAGCTATTCCTGTGAGCACACAACTAGATATTGCAGCTCAACATCATCTCTTTATGATGGGTCGAAATGGGAGCAACATCAAACATATCATGCAGAGAACAGGTGCTCAGATCCACTTTCCTGATCCCAGTAATCCACAAAAGAAATCTACCGTCTACCTCCAGGGCACCATTGAGTCTGTCTGTCTTGCAAGGCAATATCTCATGGTAAGGTTACTGAAATAAGTGTTACAATTTTTTTAAACCTCTTTGGATTCAGTGCATGTTTTTCCATCCACTGTACTAATGTGATATTTAGGAAAGCACTTCGGAAGCCTCGTCAAATAAGGAAGTTTCTTGCTAAAAGGAAATAAACTGGAAGAGTAATAAGGTTCATAGTGCCTCAACAGGTTTAATTTCATTGCATATGTAATTTTATTTCAGTGTTTTCTTTTTAACTTAGACTAAACACAGAAGAGAATTATAGTGAAATAATTGACTGCATTTTGTGGCAAGGATGGAAGGTGACTGTTTTCATCTGACCTGTAATATTAGTGTGCAGTTTGTATTTGGCAAAAAAAAAAAAAGTCCTCTGTTTAAACAGAAAAGTAAAAATACTATTTAAATTTCACCATCAAAGACAAATTTTGTCAGCCCAAAACATTTGTACATTTCATAAATCTTTGATCCAATTAAAAAATACTATTTAAGTCACAAATTCGAGCGTCACTTATTGAAGGAAGAAAAGCAAAGTTATATATTATAATTCAATACTACTTTACTACTTCTAATTTATAATTGCAATATTTCTATCCTTCCCATATTTGTTTAAAACCCCTCGGCCAGGTGCGGTACCTCATGCCTGTAATCCCAGCACTTTGGGAGGCCAAGGTGGGCAGATCACTTGAGGTCAAAATCAAGACCAGCCTGGCCAACATAGTGAAACCCCATTTCTACTAAAAATATAAAAATTAGCCAATGCGGTGGCAGGTGCCTGTAATCCCAGTTACTCAGGAGGCTGAGGGAGGAGAATTGCTTGAACCCAGAAAGCAGAGGTTGCAGTAAGCCCAGATGGCACCACTGCACTGCATTTCAAAAATGAAATAAATGAAATGGAATGAAATAAACTATCCCAGTGTATGGGTTGATAATGTAGTAACAAAATGGATGGACATGATGCTGGGCTTACAAATATTTGTATTAAAAACACCATTGTATTCTCTCATTCAGTGCTTGACCTTTAGTGGCATTTGAATCAGTAAGCCTCAGGTGTGACATTTACTATTATTAACTTGCAGAGTTTATTTTTGAGAAACTTTCAGAAAATCTAAGTTTTTATTGTTGATTCCATTCCTCTGACAGACAAGAACTTGTTGGAATCAGTAAGATTGTAATCCACGATTTTAAGAAATTTGTCATGATTTTTTTTAGCCGAGCTTATTTTATCAGGTTATTTTTAATATACTGTACTACAAGTCAGATTTATATTTATATCCAAGAATTGTTGTAATCTTCATTTTTTTTCTGCTTTACAAGTTCTTTAGATGTTATTTTTTAGTTTAGTGAAATTTTTCAAATATTCTCTACAGTTATTAATGCACATTTATACTTTGACCATACCTGCCAAAAATAATGACTCATATTATTGCACAACATTGAAATAACTGAAGGAGAAATTAAAAGGCTTTAACCCGTATTTTAAATACCATCACCATTTTGTATAGCACTATTCTTATAAAAATCACTTCCTGGCTGGGCGCGGTGGCTTACACCTGTAATCCCAACACTTTGGGAGGCCGAGGCAGGCGTATCACAAGGTCAGGAGTTCAAGACCAGCCTGGCCAATATGGTGAAACCCCATCTCTACTAAAAATACACAGAAAAGTTAGCCGGGCATAGTGGTGAAGGTCTGTAATCCCAGCTACTCAAGAGGCTGAGACAGGAGAATTGCTCAAACCGCGGAGGTGGAGGTTGCGGTGAGCCGAGATCGCGCCACTGCACTCCAGCCTGGGTGACAGAGCAAGACTCCGTTTAAAAAAAAAAATCAATTTCTTCCACAGGAGAAATGGAGCATAGTATTTTATTTCTTTTTCTTTTTTTAGTTTAGGTGAGGTCTTACTCTGTTGCTCAGGCTGGAGTGTAGTAGTGTGTTCTCAGCTCACTGCAATCTCTGCCTCCTGGGTTGAAGTGATTCTCATGCCTCAGCCTCCCGAGTAGCTGAGATTACAGTCATATGCCACCATGCCTGGCTAATTTTTTTAGTTTTAGTAGAGATGGGGTTTCACTATGTTGGCCAGGCTGATCTTGCACTCTTGGCCTCAAGTGATCCACCCACCTAAGCCTCCCAAAGTGCTGGGATTACAGGCATGAGCCATGGTTCCCGGCTTAGTAATTCATTTTAATCCTAGTGTGCTTAATGGTAACCTCTCCTGATATCCATTTACAAATTCCAGCACCCAGTGGGCTAACACTGGAAATTCTGTGCATCAGAGAAAGTATATTACATTGTTCCTAGACTCAGTAGATCAGAGGCTGTGAGTAGAGCATTAGAGAAAAAAAAAAAATCTAAAAAATGAGGTAGTTAAAAGAAGGGACAGTAGTAACAATTTACTCCAGGAAGGAGGAAAGGTTTAAACTGCATTAGGTTAAGTAGGATTTATATTGGTGAAGAAGCTTTTGATGAGTTAAGGCAGGGGTCCTCAATCCCCGGGACAAGGACCGGACCAATACTGGTCAGTGGTCTGTTAGGAACTAGGCCACACAGCAGGAGGAAAGCAAGGGAAGCTTCATCTGTATTAACAGAGGCTTCCCATCACTCACATGACCGCCTGAGCTCCACCTCCTGTGAGATTAGCAGTGGCATAAGATTCTCATAGGGGCATGAACCCTATTGTGAACCGTGCATGCAAGAGATTTAGGTTGCATGCTCCTTAGGAGAATCTAATGCCTGATGATCTGTCACTGTCTCCCATCACCTCCAGATGGGACCGTCTAGTTGCAGGAAAACAAGCTCAGGGCTCCCACTGATTTTACATTATGGTGAGTTGTATAATTATTTAATTATATATTACAATGTGATAATAATAGTAATAAAGTGCCGAATAAATGTAATGTGCTTGAATCATCTGAAACCATCCCCCTTCCCTCCCCCTCCCCTGGTCCATGAAAAAATTGTCTTCTGTGAAACTGGTCTGTGGTACCAGAAAGGTTGGGGACCCCTGAGTTAAGATACCAAAGTACAAGATCCTCTTAAAGGATCGTTGGGAGGCTGGCCTAACCTGGAGGAAGGGGAAGACATACAGATATAAATCTGTGGTTGAACAAGCAAGTCTGGGCTAAAATGTGGAACTCTTTAAATGCTCGATCATGTTTAGTTTTCATTCAAAATACAATCAAAAGCTGCCACTGGAAGTCATTGAGCAAAGGCAAAGATTAGTACCCTTGATATAGTCGAGAATCTAGTTTCTAGCATAACTTAACAAAACTGAAGTTAGAGAATAAAGGAATTTTCCAAGGTGCACAGTGGATAAAAAAAGTCCGGGGCCAAAAACAGAAACTTAAGACATATAATTTCGTCATCCAAAAATGGTTTTCTCCCCCTCAACGTTAATGCCACACCTGTCCTCTAAGCTATGTGAACTTATATAATTCAGCTTTAATACTTCAGTTTAGTCTTTAAATCTGTAAAATAGTGCATTATTTGCAGGCATGTTAAATTATCAGGTGTTTAAATGATTAAATTTTTACCTCCTACACATTCTATTGTGACATTTTCTAGGGTTGTCTTCCTCTTGTGTTGATGTTTGATATGAAGGAAGAAATTGAAGTAGATCCACAATTCATTGCGCAGTTGATGGAACAGCTTGATGTCTTCATCAGTATTAAACCAAAGCCCAAACAGCCAAGCAAGGTTGGTTCAGAGTCTGAATCCAGAGAATTATGTATCATATCATATGCTGTATAGTTTTATTTTGCATAGAAGTATTTATTTGCATATACATGAAACTGTTACTCTATACAGGTTGAATATCCCCAATCCGGAATGCTCCAAAAGCTGAATCTTTTTTAGCACTGACATGACAGTCAAAGGAAATGCTCATTGGAGCATTTTAGATTTTGGATTTTCATATTAGGGATGCCCAACCAGTGCAGATATTCCCAAATCCCCCAAAACCCCAAATCTAAAACACTTCTGGTCCCAGGCATTTCAGATAAGGGAAACTCAACTTGTATAATATATATGTCATTATATATTTAGTTATCTAATATAAATTTGTAACAGTATTCATTATAGATCATCATTTTCTTTATATATGTGTTGGTTTTTGCAGTCCATTTAGAGTAACCATTATTTTTCCATAGTTAAATGAGAAGGAAAGAACATTTGTTCTTAATTTAGAATCTGGTAACTTGAAGCTTTTCTAAGTTACCCAAGAGTTGATAAGGCTACTTACATGTTTTGTGTGTGTGTGTGTGTGTGTGTGTGTGTGTGTGTGTGTGTGTGTACATGCCCAGTGTAATTCAGAAATTGTTTAGACTACTTACTATATGCCATCTCCTGCGCAAGCTGGAGAGTTAAAGAAGAGGTGCCTGTGCTTTTTTGTAAATACTTTAAGGACTGAACTGTCTCAAGTTCAGCGTTCTTGGAATCTCTCCTCAGAGTGTTGTAAAATTTCAGTAACTACATGTAGAGTAAAAATTTAATGGAATAAATGTTTTTTTTTTTTTTCTGAGACAGGGTCTCACTTTATCACCAAGGCTGGAGTACAGTGGTGTGATCGTGGCTTACTGCAGCCTCGACTTCCTGAGCTCAGGTGGTTCTCCCACCTCAGCCTCCCGAGTAGCTGGGACCACAGGCATGTGCCACCACACCTGGCTAATGTTTTGTACTTTTTGTAGAAATGGGGTTTGGCCATGTTGCCCAGGCTGGTCTTGAACTCCTGCGCTCAAGCAATCCACCCACCACAGCCTCCCAAAGTGCTGGGATTACAGGTGTGAGTCACTGTCTCCGGCTCAGAATAAATCTTTTATTAAGTGCTAGTAAGAATGAGGAAAGAGGAATGTTTCTACATTAGTATTGTTGTTTAAACTAGCACAGCCACTTTGAAGAGCGATTTCTGATCATCGCATTATTCTAAGATATTGATTACCCTACCTGCAGTAGTTCTACTTCTGATTATACACTCTGAAAACACCTTTGCACCAAGAGACAACACGAGAATGGTGTTGAGTAAAAAAAGTATATTGCATCGTAGTATGTAGTCAATGGCAGCATTTTTGTGTATATATATGTCTGTACATTTTTAAGTATAAAGCATTGTTTAGAAGGATGCACACAAAAATCATGATGAGTTGCCTTTGGGGCAATAGAAAGGAAAATGGAACAAAGTAAACAAGGGAGATGTTCTATTTATTTAACAAAAATCCGAAATAAGAAAATAACACCATTTTTAAATTTTGAAACTATAAATCTTATATGCATAGAATGGTGTATATATAATATGTATTTTATATAATTTGGTATATGTAAATAATGTGGTAATCGCTGTCCAACTGAAGAAAAATGATCTTGCCTTCTCCCAAAGAAAACTTTAAAGGAAAAGATAGCATTGATTCTAAGTGAACTTGATATAATTAGTTTAAAGTTAGGGAACAGGACATTAATTTTATGTATCGTGAAGCTTCATGTGTGACTAATTTGAGTTGACCAGAGTCACTGTAGATACCAGGACTAAAAGATAAAGACAGGAGAGACATTAGAGGGCTTGTGCATATTAAGATGGACAGTCAGAAGAATTCCAGGAGTTCAGTAAGAAATGAGCAGAAGTCAGGGAAAAATAGATTGTAAATGAGAACTCCAGAGCCTTGCAGCATCCCAGGGCCATTTAATTATGCCCAGCTGGCCCACATTCTAACTACTGCTTTAACTGCTTTCTCAGCCACAATTTTTTTTTTTTTTGGTCCATTGAGGGCTTTCCCCTTTGAGTTCACATTTCAAATTTTCTTGATGAGTCCATTGTGAAAGAAAAATGATTTATTATTTAGAATTTTTTTTACCATAAGCTTTGCCATAGATATGTCACCAATGAGGGATAGTCATACCTCAAGGTCTATTAGCTAACTAGTAAACCATAAATGTCAAACATAAGTGATGATGATGATGCAGTTTATATGTGGTCACAAGTTTGATTTGGTATGTAATGACAAGATGCAAGGGGGAAGCTTTAGTGTAAAGATGAGGGGCTGTAAAAAGGGAACCCAGGTTCCCATCCTCTTGCTGTCTCTTCACAGCTGTGCCTTGACCTGGGCTAAGTCCCTTAACTTCACTGAATATGAGTAATGATTCCCACCCTATAAGGTTTTGCTGAGAATAGGAACATATATGCAGCTACTATCACAGCTCCTGGAACCCAGAACATGCCCAATAAATGGTAACCAATAATTTAGGGTTTTGCCAGAAGGAGTAATCTTAAGCACGAAGTGGTTAGAATTTGCAGATGATTTAAAAGCAGCATTGATATGTCCCCTGAGTGGAATTCTTATTAGCGTATTCATTTTCCACCTCCCTCCCCTCCCCCATTCATTGTAGACTACTTGCATGTCACCTTTTTTCCCCCATTATGTGTTTTCATAGTCTGTGATTGTGAAAAGTGTTGAGCGAAATGCCTTAAATATGTATGAAGCAAGGAAATGTCTCCTCGGACTTGAAAGCAGTGGGGTTACCATAGCAACCAGTCCATCCCCAGCATCCTGCCCTGCCGGCCTGGCATGTCCCAGCCTGGATATCTTAGCTTCAGCAGGCCTTGGACTCACTGGACTAGGTATACAATTTATTATTACAGCGCGTCTCAGTCACTGGGGAAATGCTTGTCTGGTTCCCTTTCTTTCTACCATTCGGGTCTACATTTAAAGGCTATTTTTTTTTCCTTTGGGCTCTAAGATCAGATGAAAAGCCATACAACCTGAATCAATCCATTTTGGGGTTTCTTAGTCTCTGTGGATTTGTTACCCAGATTCTTCCCATGTTTGCATAAATAATCAAGGTCTGACTATTTTATTTTCGGTGGCTGTGTTTGTTCTAAATTAAGAATGCCATTGAGATTGAAGTAAGCATGCTGACTGTAATTTATGTTTGTTCTCTCCTGCATTTGCAATATTGTCTTCAGTCCCTAGAGATAAAGATTATCCAGTTTGCTTTTTAAAAAGTAATTGCAAATCTGTATGAGGGGTGGGGAGGGGGGTGAAAATAAGCAGAACCCGCATCTCCAGTGGTTAGGCCTGCCTTGCCTAGATACAAAGGAAATCTAGTCAGAGGCCAGACCTGTATTTCTGTCTAACGTGAGGAATAGAAAATAGAAGAATGAACAAACGTCATCATCTCAGAGCTTCAGTCGAGAAAGTAGAATGAGCTGTTTAATAGTCATGGTGATATTTATGTCCTCATCTATGGATTGCTATTTTATAGGCTGAAGTTAATTGCTGTATTACAGTTTTGCTAGATTTATTTCTTTCCTGCACATTTCTCAGTTGCATTTATTTTCCTTAATCAGTACTCCTAGAAAATCATCCTGGGTCATTCAGTGTTGATTTGAGACAAAAAAGAATACTCTCAGCAGTCTTTAAAATTTTTTTTCCAATAGCTATTCTTGCAGTCTTTAAAATTTTTTTTCCAATAGCTATTCTTGCTTTTAACTTTTAAGAAGTTTAATGCTCTTATATGATTGATTTTCCAAGTAGCCCTGCCTAGACATCATTAAAGAAAGATTTTTTTTGTATCTTGGCCCCTAATCTACCAAAGTTGTTCCTTCCACTGGGACCTGAACAGAGTCATAACAACATAGCAATGACTGTGAGTCAGGAAATGCCAATTAGGTAACTTAGCAGGAACCTAGTTCATCCTGCACTACAGAGAAAACAAGTGAGCAAAGATTCACTAACTGAATTTTTAAAATGTTTTCATTGCTATACCTATCCTGTTATATACTTTATGCTTTATATGTATTCCTGGAAACTTGTATACAAATCCACATTTCATTCTAGAACATATTTTAAATGCCCAAAGGAAAATTTCATTATTTAAATCAAGCATTGACTCCTTAGAACAACAACAACAACAACCAAAAAAAAACAGTATTTTTTTCTGAGGAAATTTTCATCATTGAGATGGAGCCCAGGGAAGTCATGTATATGTTTTGAGATACATTTAGGAACTGTTCTGGTAGCCTACCCTATCTGCAGCGGGGACAAATAGATCTATCCTACCACAGGAAAGCATTCCCTAGTCGCTGCTACATGTGAGTAGTTTGAAAAGGGTTTGTTTGTAAGCAGATGACAAATGAGTTATGCAGAAGAATAAAAATGAGTTTCCACTTGAGCAGAATTTTGTTCATCCTGGGTAGCTGACATGAATGCAAGCACCTGGTGATGTTCAATGACCCTAACTGCCATCCTGGTCTGGGCACACCTATCTTCCATTTTCTGATAGCAACTCTTTGTGGATAAGCTGCTTCCTCTGTTGGAGCTGTATGATGCAAAACTCATGTGAGTATTTGAAAGAAAATCTGTCATCCATATTTTATATTTAGAAAATATCAGATTATATCATTGTGCATTCCCAATGGCAATATTGGTGCCATCTCTATTTTAAAATCTTAAATTTATGTGAATTGACTTTATATATTCATTTATTACAGGTCTTTTGGGACCCACCACCTTATCTCTGAACACTTCAACAACCCCAAACTCACTCTTGAATGCTCTTAATAGCTCAGTCAGTCCTTTGCAAAGTCCAAGTTCTGGTACACCCAGCCCCACATTATGGGCACCCCCACTTGCTAATACTTCAAGTGCCACAGGTCAGTATCATTTAAGTATATTCCAAGTTGTGTATTCTTAGGTGTTACCAGTTTTTTAAATAAAATTTACGAAGGGCTCAGTTTTCTTAAGGCAAAATTAGGGTTCAAAGCATACTCCATTGAAACAGAAATTCCCTGATATGTAAATTAGTTAAAATGAAGAACAGCAAAGCAGTTTGAGTTTTTCATACAACTGAAATACCATCTTCAAATGTGATAAACAGACCTGGTAGTTAGGTTCTAGTTGGAGTAACTTGCTGGTAGTCATTTACATCTGTACAATGAGAGGGTTGGATTAAATATTCTCTATGATATTGTCCGATTTTAACACTCTTTTGTGTTTTTATAGTAAATAGTACCTCTGTTTACAGAGGTGTCAAAATTGAATTCTTTTCTGAACTTGCAGCAACAAAAATGATATTTTTATTGTTAATAAAAATAATAGTTGAATCTGAGTTTCTTCCTAATATCTGTCATCATAAAATGTTGTTGTAGGTTTTTCTGCTATACCACACCTTATGATTCCATCTACTGCCCAAGCCACATTAACTAATATTTTGTTGTCTGGAGTGCCCACCTATGGGCACACAGCTCCATCTCCCCCTCCTGGCTTGACTCCTGTTGATGTCCATATCAACAGTATGCAGACCGAAGGCAAAAAAATCTCTGCTGCTTTAAATGGACATGCACAGGTAATGGCCTTCTGCCAGAATGTGTGTGTGATCTGTACTGTTTGTAAGAGACAAACCCCTGGTAAAGTTAAAACATGCTAGAATGTGTGTGTGTGATCTCTGCTGTTTGTAAGAGATAAACCCCTGGTAAAGTTAAAACATGTTTAAACTTTCACCTAAAATGAATTTTATTTATTTTTTTCAACTTTTATTTTAGGTTTAGGGGGCACATATGCAGGTTTGTTACATGGGGAAATTGCATATTTAACCAATCTTGAGTTAATTTTTATATATGGTGAAAGGTAGGGGTCTGGTTTCATTCTTCTGTATATGGCTAGCCAGTTTTCCCAGCGCCAGTTATTGAACATGGATTCCTTTCCGTATTGCTTGTTATTGTCGACTCTATTGAAGATCAGATGGTTGTAGGTGTGCAGCTTTATTTCTGGATTCTCTATTCCGTTCCCTTGGTCTATATTTCTATTTTTTTTTTATGCCAGTACCATGCTGTTTGGTTTCTGTAGCCTCGTAGTATAGTTTGAAGTCAGGTAGTATGATGCCTCTAGCTTTATTCTTTTTGCTTAAGATTGCTTTGGCTATTTGGGCTCTTGTTTAGTTCCATATGAGTTTTAGAATAGTTTTTTCTATTTCTGGGAAAAATTATGTTTGTAGTGTGATAGGAATAGCATTGAATCTGTATATTACTTTGGGCAGTATGGCCAGTTTAATGATATTGATTCTCCTGATCCCTGAGAATGGGATGTTTTTCCATTTGTTTGTATCACCTACAATTTCTTTCAGCAGTGTTTTGTAGTTCTCCTTGTAGATATATTTCATCTCCTTAGTTAGAAGTATTCCAGGGTGGTTTTCTTTTTCGTGGCTGTTATAAATGGGATTGTGTTCTTGATTTGACTCTCTGTAAAATTGTGACCATATTTATACATTATTTTCTATTATTATTTTAGTCTCCAGATATAAAATATGGTGCAATATCCACTTCATCACTTGGAGAAAAAGTGCTGAGTGCAAATCACGGGGATCCGTCCATCCAGACAAGTGGGTCTGAGCAGACATCTCCCAAATCAAGCCCCACTGAAGGTCGGGAACTGTACCCTTCTGAAATTCATTTTGGTTGTTATTTGGAAAAAGGAGGTTGTAGAGAGTCTATGCAGTGATTTTTGAGTTGGTTTTGCTAAACAGCTATCATTCATCCTACCTCAATTATGTGGAAAGACAACATCCTGAATAAAATTTCAAAGAGCATGGTGAAAGATTAACTGAAAAGCACTTTCCACAGAAATAATCATTTCCCCATTACATTGTAAGTTCCTGAATTAAAGTGAAGGTAATTGTGCAGCAGAAAAGCATCAACTTACTAAATGTTATATATATAGTTCCCCCAAGTAGAGTATCTTTTTATAACCTTTTTACCCACCCCCTGCCCCACCAAATCTTTAAAATATATGCGGGTCTTCTCTTCAAATTGAGTTTTTGTGACAACCTGAACTTGTTAAGGTGTTTCTTTGCAGATGGAAGAGGTCTCTGTCAGGTTAATCATGTCTCCATAGAGTAGGGTTCTGATTTGTTTCCATTGCAGATAATTGTCAACTGGAAGGTGATGTTGTTTAGGTGTTTCACTTTTTTTTCCTTTTCCTCTGCAGGTTGTAATGATGCTTTTGTTGAAGTAGGCATGCCTCGAAGTCCTTCCCATTCTGGGAATGCTGGTGACTTGAAACAGATGATGTGTCCCTCCAAGGTTTCCTGTGCCAAAAGGCAGACAGTGGAACTATTGCAAGGCACGAAAAACTCACACTTACAGTATGTATTTTAATCTTTAAAGAGCCCTTGATATTTTGAAATGATATATATTTGTTCTCAACTCTATAGTTAGTACTCTTTGATTCAAGTCATGTTTGATCTCATCCATGGGTGTTTTCATTTTAACTTTTTTAAAAAAAATATTAAGGAATAATATCTGTTAATTTTCACCCTTCTCTGTCTTCTCTATAGTCCCTTCCCCATTTAATGAATTGATTTATATCTGTGTCCTCTAAACCGTCTGTATTACTCTGAAACTGTAGCATTCTCTCTGCTCTTCAGTAATCAGCAGGGCCATTTTTATTCTCTGATTTTTGCTGTTAGAAATTTTCCCACTGTGAATTCTCCTTCATTTGGCTTTGAATTTCTTTCTTACTGTGGCTCTCTTTTTTCCCAAGGTAGTTAATTGCAAACTTTTAAATAAATGCTTGACATTATCATGACTTTGTTTATTCCAAATCACTTTGGTTATAAATACATAAGTTGTATTAAATATTAAATATAACTCTTCCTTACCATAGCACAGTTAAAGTATGTCATCCTTACTCTTTTTTTTTTTCCTCCATGTATTTTGGACAGTCTCTACAATGTAAGGTTTTGTTCCCACCTATTCCGTCCACCTGATTTCCTCTGCTGTCTTATTAGTTCCTGGTATACCCTTCTAGAGTGTCTTTATGCAAAGATTAGCGTACATGGTTTTATTTCCTCCCATTCTTATTAAAATCCATTTTCCTTTATAAACTCTTTGGTCAATCATTATTACCCACCGTTGTCCAGTTCTCCTTTATCTGTGTTTTTCTTTACATGGAGCTAATACCCAAAATTAATGTTCTCATTATAGGCTAGAGAAACAGTTTTACTTCCTTGAAACTATTGAAGCATTTAAAATAGATACGTATTCTTGTCATCACTGAGTATGTCCTGAACCTTCTTATCATCATCTTTTGGCTTAAGCTGCAGCCTCCAGAAAGGTCTCCCTGCCTCCAGTCTTTTATTAGCTTGATCTATCCTTTATTTTGCTTCAGCAATTTACTTTCGAAAACAGGTCTAATCTTGTCACACTCTGGCTTCAAATCACCAATGGTCTGTGTTGCCTGCTTCCTTTCCTTTACTTATGCTCTTCCCTCTGAGTTGCTGTTCTCCTGACCTTTGGCACCAGACAACTTGCAGATGCTCTTAAGTTCCCAGGTCAAATGTCCTTTGTGTAGCCTCTGTCAACTTTTGTCAAGCAAAGTTCATTGTCCCTCTTTTTGTATTCCCCAAGTACTTTTCTAAATTCCTCTAAATTCCCTTGGCACAGCAGCTGAGTAGTTGAACAAATAAAATCATGAATGAATAAACAAAACAGTACTTGATTGATATTGCAATCCCTATTTTGAGCCTAAGGTGCAGTTAGATTTGAACTTGTGGTGCATGCATTCTGTACATATCATGTGTTGTAATTCACATATTTGCTGCTCTAAGAAGCACTTTTACGCTCTGCCTGTCCCCCTCAACAGACTTTGAAGAATATTTCTTATTTATCTGCTACATTTTATTTGTTACCATCATATACATATTTCATACACACGAATTGGATCATCTACATCCCTTCAAATTGACTGGATCTCTGTTTGGACTTTGCATGGATGAATCATTGATATCTCCTTGATGTATAAAAATTAGAAATCTCATCTGTACATCTATTCCACCTATATCATATGCAGTATACCATATATACTATATATACTGTGTTTGAATGTGCATCATGAAATAGTTTCAAGCTTTAGCCCTACAGTCAGAGTGCCCAATTTCAAATTCCATCTCTACCATTCACATTAGAGGTATGACCTTGGACAATATACTTCCTTCATCCACAAAGTGGGGATAACAGTAGTACCTGTGTCATAGCATTGTTGTGAGGATTAAATGAGAGACTACGTGTAAATAGCTGATGATGATAAACATGCATAGTAAATGTGGCATGTAGGAAACATTCAGTACATTTGTATATATAGTGGAGTGTTAAATTCCACACTCTTATTTCACAGCAGCACTGACAGGTTGCTCTCAGACCCTGAACTGAGTGCTACCGAAAGCCCTTTGGCTGACAAGAAGGCTCCAGGGAGTGAGCGCGCTGCAGAGAGGGCAGCAGCTGCCCAGCAAAACTCCGAAAGGGCCCACCTTGCTCCACGGTCATCATATGTCAACATGCAGGTAATGGTAATAAAATAGGAAAGCCACTCAAATGTCATATGTTTGGGTTCTGGTATGGAGAATTCAGTGAGTGTTCAGCAGTAGTGCAGAAATTAGGTTTTCCTTCTGTGCTACATTCAAAATGAAATTTAAATATATATGTAGCAGTTAGTTTGCTATAAACATTAAAAATGAAAAGCAGTATTTACCTTAAGTGAGAATTCTTTAAAATATATTAAAAATGGTGCAGAATGGTCTGTGTCACTGTCTTATGCAAATAACATTATTCATGTGTTACTTAAAAAATTTTCAGATGAGTTTGCGGGACTGCATTTCTAAGTATTCTTGCTTCATGACATAGTCTTGGATAAATAGATATACTATTTTCTATGTAATGAAGATGATGAATGTGTTTGGTGCCATTTAAAGATAGTTATGAGAATAACGAATGTGGAGTGTTCTTTGAAACTAGATGATGAATATTATTGATGATTGTGTTGGTTCACAGATTTTTTATGATTATAAAAACAACTTCCTTTAAATAATTTTTATGATTAAACAACTTCCTCAATAGGAACTTTCTGTGTTTCCATTTTCAAACTATTAGTCTAATTACTCAGAATAGACTATTGACCATGAAAATGCAGAAATTATAGATGACAATATGAAAGATAAGGATTTGTGCTTTGTGCTTTTAGAGATGCCTACAAGCATTTGATGTCAGACCAGAATTGCTGAGTAGACTTACCTGTTTTATCTTTCACCACCAAAAAAGAGGAAGAACGTTCCACAAAATCCTAGAAACAGAAAAGCTGTCATAGATGTGTCAAAGAAATTAATTCATGGAGCTAAACTATATTACTTTAATTCCAGTGCAATCTGCAGTTTAGTCCTCCTTCTCTATTTTTTTAATCCTTTGCATTGGAACATTTTCCTAAGTTTTTCGATGAATTTTTTTTTAAATAAAAGCTATGGCCTTTATAATGTGTCAGTGTTTAAAAAAGACATTTAAGGCCGGGCACAGTGGCTCACACCTATATTCTCAGCACTTTCAGAGGCCGAGGCAGGTGGATTGCTTGAGTCCTGGAGTTTGAGACCAGCCTGGACAACGTGGCAAAACCCCATCTCTACAGAATAATTCTAAAAAATTAGCAGGGCGTGGTGGCATGCACCTGTAGTCCCAGCTACTTGGAGGCCGAGGTGGGAGGATCACCTGAGCCTGGGAGGCAGAGGTTGCTGTGAGCCAAGATTGCACCACTGCACTCTAGCCTGGGAGAGAGAGCGAGACCCTGTCTCAAAAATTAAAAATAAATAAAATAAAAAAGACATTTATTACATTTTCTCTGGTGGATGTATTTTCAGTTAATATGAATTACAATTTATTTAACAAATATCAAATCCCCTTTATAATCTTTTGATGGTTTTTGTCTTGTGGTTCTTGTCACCTTTTCCATCAGATTTATACCTGCAGTGAACCAGTTTCTTGTTTCTTTCTTTTAGGATGGATGAGCATGTTCTTAATGTTTGAGTTTCAGCCTAACTCGATGTATTTATGTTGTTAGTGAACAGTTGACTCTTAATAAATCACTAAGAAATCAATGATAATATTCACTGAGCATTGACAGGGAGAAAGATTGAAAACTTGGCCTGATTTCCTTGGCTGAAAATGATCTGTATCTCCTGATTGCTCTTGGAGTGCTATATCCCCAGCTCTCTTTTTATGCTTATCTCAGTTTCTAATTTATTTTATAGTTATTTCTTTTTCCCAACCCTCCTAAGACTGCAAGTCAGCCAGGCATGGTGGCTCACACCTGTAATCCCAGAACTTTGGGAAGCCAGGGTGGGCAGATCACCTGAGGTCAGGAGTTCGAGACCAGCCTGGCCAACATGGCGAAACCCTGTCACTACTAAAAATACAAAAATTAGCCCAGCTTGGTGGTGGGCGCCTGTAGTCTCAGCTACTTGGGAGGCCGAGATAGAAGAATCACTTGAACCCAAGAGGTGGAGGTTGCAGTGACCTGAGATTGCACCACTGCACTCCAGCCTGGGCAACAGAGCGAGACTCTGTCTAAAAAACAAACAAACAAACAAACAAAAAAACTGCAAGTCATCGAGGCTGTAGCTTATTTTTGATTAGTTGTTGTATTCTTCCACAAAGCTGAGCATAGTCTCTTTAACCAGTAGGCCCTCAATGAATATTTGTTGAACAAGTAAATTTAGGTTCTCCGTATACCTTGCCTTTAGGCATTAATAATTAAAAATTGATTTTAACTCCCAATGCCATTTTAGTCCTAGGATTTAAAAACTTCATCAAAAATATTATCTAAAAATCTGGCTTTCCTGACACATGGCTATGTTTTTAGTTATCACATGTCCTTGTTTGTCTGGGACAGCCTCTATTTACTTTTATTATCTTGGCCTAATTGTTATTCACAGCACATTTCACCTTCAGAAATGTCCTGTTTCAGACCACAGATTATATAGGTACCTTATATATGATGGTATAGTCTTTCTGGTTAAAGAGCTCTTGCCAATTGGCCCTTGGTCCTTGTGGTAGGCCTTTGAGACATGCTTAGATCAAGTCTTAGCTATTTCCTAAATTGGGGAGTTGATAACACTCAGAAAAGATTTGAAATGTAGCTGTATCTGCACTACTTTCTTCAAAATGATCTATCTTAGTCCTCACATACACTTGACTACATCGTAGTTACTCATTCAGTTTTAATGGAATGAATCAATGGTGCTATCCTAGCCCTGTGCAATAAACAGTAACTAGGTTTAATTTTATGGCATTGCTTAATGTCATTATAAATTAAAGTTAGACATCTGCCATTTATCTCACATCTCACTTCAAAAGCAAAGACTATGCCAGTTAGGTTAAATAATTTCTTAAGGTATCTTGACATCATACCACTTCAGGCCACGCTTACCTAAATGAAGAGGGGATTTTTGAGACCCTAAGGGGGCCAATAGATACATGACAGCATTTTGGAAATGTATACTTTCAAAACCCACATTATTATTATTAGGCTGTTCACTATATTCTAGCAGACATTGGCTCTGGTGTGCTAGGTATTTATGGTAAATAAGATTTTTTTTTCTTTTTTTAAGGAAAAATTCTAACTCTTAAAGTCAACCTTAAAGTCAGAAGTGGTGATTTATTATTACTAATTAATTAGTGTTGGAAACATGTTTAAACTTACAGACATACCTTGGATTTCTGTGGCATTATTGTGCAAAGCTTGGTGTATGTCTCAGGCAGATTCATGGAACACAGTCAAAACCTTTGTTCTCTAACCATGGAGTGTTGGCATGACATTTGGAGAGACTGTCAATAAAGGTATTTTCTGTTTCATTTTCAGGCATTTGACTATGAACAGAAGAAGCTATTAGCCACCAAAGGTATGTAATACACTAATAACTTACACTTGACTATATTTTAGTACACTCATAAATGTTTTTTGAGTACTCATGGTGAATCGAGAACTTGAAAACTCAGAAAAAGAAACCTAGAATATTTGGGTTCAAGTTGCATACATTCTGTTGAATATATTTTGTTGAATGGTTTAGCATTAGACCAATTAAGAAATCATTTAGCATTTTTTCATTTATCATTACTTGGATAAAATATTTCATTAAGATATTTTTAGACATTTTGTGTTAAGAAATAACATTCAGTGATAATTTCTTCACATATATCAAAGAAACGACACTTATCATCAGTATTTTATTGAAGAAATGCATTAAACATACCAAGCATTGGTTTTATTTTGTTTCCAAAGCTATGTTAAAGAAACCAGTGGTGACGGAGGTCAGAACGCCCACAAATACCTGGAGTGGCCTGGGTTTTTCTAAATCCATGCCAGCTGAAACTATCAAGGAGTTGAGAAGGGCCAATCATGTGTCCTATAAGCCCACAATGACAACCACTTATGAGGTTTGTAGAGTCATGTCCTACTCATTCTTCCTGTCTGTTCTTTCAGCAAAAGAGGACAGTCCTTCCCCCACCCTCATTCTTTATGTACCTAAGGGAAAATGATTAGTGGTGACTTGTTTTTATTTCTATTCTTGTAAACACACTGTTATAAAACTGATGCACTCTTGTGTATTATGATCTTTTATCTGTATTCTCTCAAAGTTGTTGGTCAGCTCTTAAAGAGATGTAAATTTGGATGTGAGTTTTTGTTGAGTGTGGGATGTGTCATAAATGATAAGCGTAGGGCTGAGATTAAGCAAAAGGGAGATGTAATATTTCATAAAAATGTCTAAAGAGTCCTATTATCCAAGGGTTTCACTAGCAAGGTCACGATGGGGGAAAAGGCAAATATTCAACAAAAATAGGTTTTCAGATATGAGTTAAAAATTCAGTGTGCTCAGATGTGCCAAGAACACAGCAAGAAGTATCTGAAACAAGTGCTCCAAAATTTTTATGTTTCCCAGATGTTGGCTGCCCTGCTCAGGGTGAGACTGGGAAGCTGGCATTCCTACCATATGGAAGGGATGGAGAGTTCCATACTCCACAGCCAGGCTACACGCGATTCACCAAGCAGGCCTTTTCCATTTCAAAGTATCAGATTTTGGCTCTAAGCCTTTGGGAGTCGGGGTGGGTCTAGAGAGAGCGTGCACACATACACAATGCTGGGAGACTGTACACACCCAAACATGGATGAAAATGATTAATCCAGGAGTCACAGTGTTCAACCAGAGAGAGCACTGTAGGCCAAAAAACAAACACTGGTTAAGGGTTTCATAATTGTTAGTCTAATAACTAGCATTTGTAGATTGACCTTTTCTCCACCCATTTGCTTTGTAATAAATTAGGCTATTGATGAAACACAAAAGCAAACATGCTGCTTTTTTTTTTTTTGTCTCTTTTGAGTAAGTGAAAAAGAAAATACTATTGAAATACTAAAAGAGTCTCCTGTGAATTTCATTTTGGGAGTTATAGTAGCAACATGGCAGGCTGTGTTTTAAAGATTGAAGTTACCTTCAGCAGCAGAATGTAGGAACCATTATGAAAAATGTTGAGGCTCTAGGAGGTACACTCTTCTTTCTTCCATTATAACACAGAGAGAAAATAAACATCTCCTTTTGTTAACAGAGACCATAAAACTGCTGTGCTCATTCTTAGAGTTTCACCTGATGTACGGTATGGCTATTCCTTTCAGCCCATCCTTGCTTTTGACGGAGTGAAGTGTGCCAGATTGTTGACTGTGTTCCTATAGTTTCAAAGATGAAGTATTTGCTTTAGAAATGCTCATTCAGTTCTGCTTTCTAAGACCAACAGTAGGACAAGTTGAAAATGATGTTCATTTCGGTAATGGAGTGGTCAAGTTCAGGGTTCTGATAACCACCTCTGACCAGATGTATAGCTTTGGTGAGGGACTTCACTCATCTGAGCTGTGTCTCATTCAGGTTGTGCTGAGAAGGGCATTGGAGAGGGCATCCAGTGATTAGCATGATGTGTTGTCAGTTCTTAGTGATATTTAAAAAAAATTTTTTTTTTTTTTTGACGTGGAGTCTCACTCAACCCCCCTAAGCTGCAGTGCAGTGGCACGATCTCGGCTCACGGCAACCACCATCTCCTGGGTTCAGGCAATTCTCCCATCTCAGCCTCCCGAGTAGCTGGGATTACAGACACCCACCATCATGCCCAGCTAATTTTTGTATTTGAGTAGAGACAGAGTTTCACCATGTTGACCAGGCTGGTCTTGAGCTCCTGACCTCAGGTGATCTGCCCACCTCGACCTCCCAAAGTGCTAGGATTACAGGTGTGAGCCGCCATGCCTGGCCTAGTGATATTTTAAAAAATTTTACTTTATTAAGAGTCTCACTCTGTCACACAGGCTGGAGTGCAATGGCAGGATCTCGCCTCACTGCAACCTGTGCCTCCCAGGTTCAAGCATTTCTCTTGCCTCAGCCTCCCAAGTAGATGGGATTACAGGCATGCGCCACAACGCTCAGCTAAGTTTTGTATTTTTTTTTTTCTTTTTTAGTAGACACAGGGTTTCACCATGTTGGCCAGGCTGGTCTCAAACTCCTGACCTCAAGTGATCTGCCCGCCTCGGTGTCCCAGTGTTGGGATTACAGGTGTGAGGTTCTTTTAAGTTTTTTACATTTTTTTCATTTTTAAATTTTAATCTATATACTTATTTATTTTGAGACCAGGTTATGAGACTGGCTAGTCTTTGTATTTTTGGTAGAGTCGTGGTTTCACCATGTCGCCAAGGCTGGTCTCAAACTGCTGGGCTCAAGCAATCCACCTGCCTCAGCCTCCCAAAGTGCTGGGATTACAGGAGTGAGCTACCACGCCTGGCCAGTTCTTACTGATATTGAGTGGCTATTATTATTTCCAGTGGAGGACTTACTTTATCCTGAAGAAAACCAAGGGCTTGCTGAAAGATGAGATTATGTTTATGAATGCTCACTGGTGGAAATATTTCTGCACACTCAAGCTAGTTATGCTTTTTTATATTCAAAGGAATATCTTAGGGTATTATGTGAACACATAAGAATTTAAGGTAATAGTAGTAATTATCTTAAATCATATTCATTTAGTTCACCCACAATTTTATTCAATCCCCACAAACTCCTAGTAAGGAAAGAGGGGCCCAGAATGGCTAAGTGTCTTACTCAAGGTTACTTATACTCCTCTTCCTAATGATTTAACCCAAGAGAGTCCATAGCAAAGGGTGGTATGTAACTGATCTAGAGCCATGTTGCCATAGTTTTATGAACATAAGAATCACTCGGAGAGCTTAATAATCCAGACTCTTCTCCTAGGATCTCACTCAAAAGGTAGGGAGTGAGGACCAGGTATCTATTTGTGTTTTCAGCAAGAACCTAGTATAATTGTGATGCATGTGTCCCACAGGAAACTCTGCTGTAAAGGGATGTAACCCTATGGGGATAAGGGCAGGAATAGGCATAGGAGCCCAAAAGGCTCTTCTGCTCCAGCACTTGCCCAAGGACAGGTAGATCACAGATCACTTTCTGTGGGCAGAAATGTGCAGGGCCCCTGACACCATGGTTGAACTTCTTCCTATGGCTTTTCTTGCTTTGGCTATCTTGGGCTAGCCTGCCCCATCATCCTGGCTGGTGTTTAGCAGCACATTCACATTGAAATTTGGGAGGAAGGGTGGGTGAGACCTGCTAGATTCCAGCATGGACATTAACCATGTAATCTGCTTTTCTTCACTGCCTCTTTAAGTGCTACTAATGGAAAGATATGATCTTTTTTTTTTTCTTTTTTGTGAATGGTGTTCTAGATTCTCCCTGGTATATAAGTTAGACTTGAGCTTTTCCTCATGTATCCCAAATTCTTTGAAATGTAAGAAAGGGCCCCTCACATAGCATGGTCTGATTTTCTGCAGCAGTGGCTGTGTATGTCTTTTCCTTTATTCTTCTATAGCTCAGAAGGATCAGAAATAGGGCATCCAGTGAGTATTGCCTCTATAGATTAGGAAGAGGGGAAGGGCCTGGGGAAAAGTAGAGAGGGAGATTTTTATTAAAATAGAGACCACATCTATGCTTATGGCACTAATATTTTTAAGTTGGAGAGTAGCTAAAAACACCTTCCTTTTTCTTACTTTTTCATTTTTCAAAAGAAAAATAAAGCCAAATGAACAAGGAGAATGCCGATCTGTAAAAAGAGCAAGCATGTTTGACCAATAGGTCCTGACAGGTGAGGGCTGCTCACTCGGTGTGCCAGGGACCAAATGTTTCCTGCTGTAGCAACTTTGCTTGAGGCAAGAATCTGATACTTCAAACTCTGTATTCAATATTATTGAGAAGCTCAGCTTGAGCAGTTTTTTCCAGTTTTAGGGCAGCTTTGAGAAATTAATCTACTTCAAAGAGATCCCTTAGATAAGAAGCAGGCACTTTGAAGCTTTTTTTGTTTTCTCCAAGATTCTAAATTATGACCCTGTCCCCATATATTATATTGGGATACCAAAAGTCAAACAAAAGGCTGCTTTGACCTGCAGTAACTGTGTCACATCAATAAAGCTACAAAGAGGTTTGGGATTTTCTTTTCCTTTTTGCCACCCATCTCTTAAAAGCATGAGTAATGGTCACATATTCTCGGAGCAAATAAAAACCTGCACTGAGAATCAAAGGTGGTTTTAAACTTCCCTAGCACTGATAGTAACGAGGTTGTCTGATTATTTTAAATCTTACAAATCTAGGAGTAGAAATATTAAAGATATTTTATCAAAGATATACAAATAATAAAGATACTTTGATTGGAAATCCAGTTTTTGGTCTCAGAAAACTTCATTTCCCTATACCCATTGCCAGAAGTTAGTGAAGGCGTCCCATAGTTGTAGGGAAAGGAGTCCTTGAGATTAATTCAATAATTCCACAAATACTAAGCACCTTATGTGTTCCAGACACAATTTTATACACTGGTAATACAGTGTTTGAATACAAGGTTCTTACTTTCTCAGATGGAGCTTTCTTGTGGGTAGAAGGAAACATAAAACAAACAAGAAGTCATTAGTAACAAGAGTCTCTGTTACATATGAAACAGAACCACTTTAGATTGGGTAGTCATAAAGCAGACCTTATGAGCAAATGACATTCAAGCTAAAACCTAGATGCCAAGAAAAGGCCATGAAGATCTGGGGAAAGAGTAGTAGGCCAAGGGAACAACTGGCACGATCACCCCAGAGTCAGAACCAGCCGGTGAGTTCCTGAAGCCGAGGTGGGTAGGGTGGGGGACCATCAGCATCAGAGAAGAGACTGGAGAGAGGCAGAGGCTGGATTATGGAGCCTGTCAGTTTATGGTAAGGCACAGTGGAAATACATCACAGGACTTTACACAGAGGCATATTTGTTTTAATTTGCATTTTAAGAAATCAGTCTTGTTGCTTCATGGAAAATGGATTGTAGGGAGATAAGCAACAAGAGTAGAATTAAAATGGCCCTTAGGGAGGCAGTTGGGACATTGTGGAGGTGCATAGAAGTGAGCAGACTTGGGGTATTAAGATGACACTGATGAACTTGCTGAGGGATTGGCTGTGTTGAGGGAAGGAGGAACCAAGGATGACCCTTGGACTTTTGGCTGGAGCAGCTGGGTGAGTAGTAGAGTCACTAGCTGGGATATAGGAATTCTGAAAGAATAAGTTTGAGGATAGCTGATGGGGATGGGTAACAACAACTTGGTTTCAAGCACACTGAGTTTAAGATGCCTATCGGACAGGAAAATGGCAGTGTCCGACTGGCACCTCTGTGATTCTAAATTTCTTTTCTTTTCTTTTCTTTTTTTTTTTTTTGAGACAGAGTCTCACTCTGTTGCCCAGGCTGAAGTGCAGTGGCATGATCTTGCTCATTGCAACCTCCGCCTCCTGGGTTCAAGCAATTCTCCTGCCTCAGCCTCCTAAGTAGCTGGGATTACAGGTACGCACCACCACACCCAGCTAATTTTTGTATTTTTAGTAGATATGGGGTTTCACCATGTTGGCCAGGCTGTTCTTAAACTCCTGACCTCAGGTGATTCACCCACCTTGGCCTCCCAAAGTGCTGGAATTACAGGTGTGAGCCACTGCACCCGGCCTATGATTCTTAAATTTCAACAGAGAAATCAAATCTGGAGTTAGAAGTTTAGGAATCACTACTGTCATTACTTTTTGAAAGGACTTGAGATTACTTAAGAAAGTAGACAGAGGGAAGGGAAGAGATCCTAGGACCAGGTACAGGGTAATCTGACATTTTAGAATGTAAAATAGGAAGATCCTCCAAAGGACACAGTGAGGTAGGTGGAAAACTTGGGGCCTGGGGTGTCAGGATGCCCTAAAGAAAGAAATTTTTAAAGGAGGGCATAGTGAGCTGTCTTTATGCCATTGCAAGATTGAATTAAGTAAGTTTATTGAAGTGAACAGTAAAGGATTCTCTTGGAATTACCTAATGAACATAATATTTTGAAAGTCAGAGAATCTTGACTTTAATACTCTAGGTAATAGTAGGGTGTCTATAATATAGTGATTAAATAAATACAAAGATGAATAAATGCAAGTTCAGTGCAAATTTTAAATTATTTTTGTTTTTATTGTGGAGAATTTAAAGAGATAAATTACTCCAGGTATGTAATTTGTTAGAGAGATTGTATCCTTGTTTGTTTAGGGGAGGGTAACACAGGGGAAATGACAGCTCCCCTTCCAACCTCAGGCTCTATTAGCATTTTGAGAAGCCAGCTTTGCCACATCACCATTTCTCTTACTTGTGTAATACAAGGCAGAGAATCTTTGCTCTACCAGGTGGAAGATTTGCTTTTTGGTCTCCAAAATTGGAAGGAGTCTCAGCATCCACTCTTCCAAATTTTATAGAAGGGATTATTTATCCCGGAGGCTCTCAGAACTCTCCCTCAGAATCTACTCCCCATAATGAAAGAAAAAGACTTCACTGTGCAAATTACCAAGTGTCCTTGGTGCTGCAGGGCAAAGGCTGTAGGCAGGTTCCACAGCCTTCCCGAGAGTCAACACTCATGAGTAACTGCGGTGGTTGGCAAGAGAAGTAAACGGCAGTGGTGTAATGTGGATTCTTTTCTCCTCCCACCCTGAAAAACCCACCTGATTAAATATTTCCTTATCTGGCTTTGTCTGTTTACAGGGCTCATCCATGTCCCTTTCACGGTCCAACAGTCGTGAGCACTTGGGAGGTGGAAGCGAATCTGATAACTGGAGAGACCGAAATGGAATTGGACCTGGAAGTCATAGTGAATTTGCAGCTTCTATTGGCAGCCCTAAGCGTAAACAAAACAAATCAAGTGAGCGTTGTGTTTTATGCACACTTTTAGGTATCCCCAGATTAGAATGTGTTTATTTGGGTTGGAGTATCACTGACTGTGGCCTCTCTGACTTCAAGTGCTTGGTGTAATTCACATGCCATCTCCTCTGTGAAGCCTCCTTGTTTCTCCCAGTGAAGCAGGCCACCTGGTTCTCTTTCCTCTCACTCCATTTTGTGCGTGCTTTCACTCTAGCACTTGCCATACCAAAGGGCAATTATTTATCTACCTATCTGTATCTCCTTGTGAAATTTGTGCTCCACAAACCAAAGACTGTATTTGTTCATTTTATAAACATTTATGAAGTGTCCATGTGTCAAGTATTCTGTTATGCTCTGCCTTATTGGATATTTCTTCCCAAACGCCTAGTGAACTGTCTGACACCTAGTAGGTAGGTGCTCAGTAAAAGTTTGTGAAATGAATGCATGAATGGGTAATGTACACACATGCATCCAGGTGGTGACAAAAAGACAAGGACATAAGAAAGTGGTTGAGGCCAGGCATGGCAGCTCTCACCTGTAATCCCAGCACTTTGGGAGGTGAAGGTGAGTTGATAGCTTGAGCCCAGGGGTTTGAGACCAGTCTGGGCAACATAGTGAGATTTCATCTCTACTAAAAAAAAAAAAAAAAAAAACAAGAGGCTGGGTGTGGTGGTATGCATGCGCCAATAGTCTTAGCCTACGTGGGAGACTGAGGTGGGAGGATCGCTTGAGCCCAGGAGTTTGAGGCTGCAGTGAGCTGTAATTGAACCACTGCACTACAGCCTGGGTGACAGAGCGAGACCCTGTCTCAAAAAAAAAAAGTGGTTGAGAAAAATGTGATTGAATTAGCATCTTAGACCATTGAAGAAAGACTGTCCAGCGGGTGGCTACTAAAGGTGAATAGCAGGGTTTGATTTTGTAAATAGACAAGATGTTGCTGAATTCGCATAAACAGGAAAAAATTAACTTATTACAGCATGGGGGTTCTGGCTTTTAGCAAATCTGGCTGAGACTCAGCATAAGCCCATTGTTTTATCTACAACAGCACCCATACTCCTGGGCTGTATAAACAGATGAGAGCTGACATTGTCATCACAAGATATGCCCCAATGCCTTTTTTCAGGGTTTTTGACAAATTTGGAATCCTGAAACATGTAGAATATTTGAAGACTCCTTGAAGCTAGGCAATCTAGATGAGCATGGTAGACACTCAGTAACAGTCAGTTGTTACGTTACTATCACTCATGTCAGCTGTATTATCAGGAGTCTCAGATTTGAAAGGAGTAATCAGGTTGTTGGCCAAGTCTAAATAAGAAAGCACGGACAACTATTTCATTCCTAAGTACACTGTCAATAGTAGCCTGGAGACTTCCCATTAGTTACTGGCTGGACGCTCCACCACTGACAGTATGATCAAGATGAGAGTCAGGCTGATGCCAGGCACAGATGGAGGGGTGTAAATGATGTCCAGTCTCTAGCCCAAGATACATTCATTTGGTGCTTCTCTTTTTCTATCTTTATCTCCTTTCCCTTCATTTAACATTGGATAATTAAATTGACTGTACTACTCAGTTGAATAGAAGTTCAGGATTAAGATGGAGGATACATTAATAAAAAGGAATGATTAATGAAGCACAGTTATTTGGGTTTTGTCACTTTTTTTAGGGTATAGGGAGTTTAAGAGAGACTATAGAAACTACAAGTAGTTAAGACCAAAAAAAAAAAATTTAAGTAAAAGTACGTTATAGGCTACTTTGAACATTTATCACTATGAACATTTTATTTTCAAACATTTGTTTTTAAAATTGTTAATAATTTAACATATGTAAGATTCCTTTTAAATATGTAATCAATATAAAAATTATTGGAGATAGCTTACATTCTTTCTTAGGTTGTACAAAGGCTTTAAAATCTGCAGTGTATTGTGTACTGACAGAGCATTTTCATTCCCACTAGGCTCATTTCAGGTGCTCAATAGCCATGTGTGGCCAATGGCTACTGTATTGAACAGCACAGTTTTAGATAATTTCTCTTAACACCCTTGTCAAGGTCACCAATGTTTCCATTTTCCTGGGCATCCCTATTTATACCAGTTGCTGCAGCATAATTCTCAGTAACTCTTTTACTCTCGAAAAAAAAAGTAAATCTATCATTTGGACCATAAATTATATGGGCAGCCTTTCAGCCACTTTGATGTAGTCACATCCCACATCTGGTGGTCACTCACCCCAATTTGCTTATCGCAGTCCACTTTGTGGCTTTGTGTCACCTTTGACCCGGTACCTCAATAGTCACTCCTCCTCAAACTGTTTTTATGACTTTGGGGCCTCTGCTTCACCTTTAAATGGTGGAGTGTCCCAGGACTCAGTATCTTGGGGTTTGGTTTTGGGTCCTTTCTCTACACATTCACCCCAAGAGATAAACAGCAGCTATCCTTAAGAGAAAAACCTTTTCAGGAAATGCCTTCTGTTTGAGAATCATAGAGGACATCTCAATTGGGAGATGAAAACAACTGGAGAAAGTGATCAATGACACCCAAAACAGTGCAGAACAAGATTCCTAGATTTGGCAGACACATGGATCCCCAGAGTAGACTAGATGGATCTGATTGGCTTTGGTCAGTGTTGTCCTCCCTCACCTCTTTGGGGATCTCTCCTGAAGCCACATCCTTGGTGTAAGAAGACAGATTTCCCACACAGGCAAGAGCTCATTATTGGTCTGGGAGGTGGAATGCCTGCACTCTGCTGAAATCTCCAAGGCTGTGTGTGTGTGTGTGTGTGTGTGTGTGTGTGTGTGTGTGTGTGTGTGTGACTTACTTGGCTTGGTTCAATAGTCCGTCACCAGCGCTTGCTTGTCACTGGGTCTGAGAGCCACAGACAGTTTGTTGAAACCTTTGCCCACCAAATCAGTTGCAGAACCAAGGAAAAGTTCAGCATTGCTGTCTTAAAAGTTTTCCCCAGAGACAGATTTATTTTTGTCCTAAATTAAATCCAGGAACCCCAGCATCATTCTTATCACTTTATACATTACTATTAATCTTGGAAGTGTGCTGTTTTGTGACCTTGCTACCCAGTTATATTTTTTAGGGAGCAGGATTTATGTGTTGCAATACCATACAATTCCTTTGACCAAAGGAAAGCACAGGTGTAGATACAGAGAGCCACCCTGCCATCCAACGGAGCCTGGACTTGTAATAACTTTCCATACCTTTATTTTGTCCCAGGGATCCTTTTTACAGCTCCTCATTTAATTCACATCCAATCAATTTTAAACAACAAATGCTTCTGACTACTCAGGGAGAATATGATGAATGATTATTAACTACAGAGGCACTGTTGCTGAATTTCTGCCTCCCAAGTGTAACCTTTTAAATGTCAAGAGCCTCCCTGAAAGCAATAACCAGCATTTCCTTAATGGAAAGCCAATATTTCAGTAAAGGATTGCTGTATTTCTACAGCTACTGCCCTATTCAGCTGAACAATGGAAGTTGAAATATTTAGGTGATTAAAACTTTTAATTAAACCATGTTCTCTCTGGGCATTTACACTTCAAGCCTGTCTCTCCTTTGCCTTTCAGCGGAACACTATCTCAGCAGTAGCAATTACATGGACTGCATTTCCTCGCTGACAGGAAGCAATGGCTGTAACTTAAATAGCTCTTTCAAAGGTTCTGACCTCCCTGAGCTCTTCAGCAAACTGGGCCTGGGCAAATACACAGATGTTTTCCAGCAACAAGAGGTCAGTCATTATTTATTTTCCCAAGTATCTTTGTTTTGATTGTGTGTATGATGACTTCTAGAATGAAATCACTTATTGACCTATGAGTATGCTTTCACTGAGCATTTATTCAAGTCTCATAGCTTGTCCTTGCTACTAAGAAAAATGTCATCTCATTTCTTATTTAGTGCAGCTAGTAAACACGGGATAGCAGAAATAGAGAAAATCATACTTGCAGAAAAATGTACAATAGCTGTCTAACAGTTTTAGCAATAAAACCCAATCGATATATAGATTCCTAGGAATTTTTGTAGTCACAGCTCCCTTAAGGTCAGCAACAAGTCTGTATTTAACATGATTTCATTTTGAATCTGTTGTTATCTTTATTTGTGGCACTTAAAAGTAAATAACAGCATCTGAAATATCTCTGGCTGTTTTTGACTCATCCTGGTCATGCTGAAGTCTGTTCTTACAGAATATATGTTTTTTTCAACATGTTAATTTATTCATTAACTTATTGTTTGGGTTTTACCTGAACTGAGACAGAACTGAGATGTCTACTGAACAATCATGACCATGGATTTTGGTCAAACTGATTAGCCATATCCTATTATGTACTGGCATAAAGAAAAGAGGCCCCAGGCATGATTCTTCCTAACAGTGCTCTCATATTACTGGGGCACAGCTAACTCAAAGTGTCAGAAAATTAAAATGTTTCTATACATTTGTGTCTTTTTCAAATCAAGACATGGTCCATGTTTGATGCTAGTTGGCTTAATTTTATGTTAGAGAACATCTGATTTAGTCAGTAATTTCTAGGCACGTGTCAGTTAATAAAGAATCTATAGTTTTTACTAGGCACTTTGTATCATAAATTCAATGTACTGCCCATGGTCCAATAAATTATTAAGTTTAAATGCTGAGCATTTTTGTTTTTTACACTGAAAGGGCAATTGTTGTGTGTATTAAATTTCAGGGTATTGATTTTTTTTTTCTGTTTCCCCTACATCTGAGTTAGTGTTCATTTAACCAAGAATTTTCTAAGCTGAATAAACCTTTCATAATCAGTGCATTAAAGAATATATCTCCTTATTTTGTCTTGCTGGTTAGATGATGGTAGCTGGAAGCAGAAGTATTTTAATGTGTCCAGGCACAGAAGGTCAAAAAGCAAGAGATTGAATGTTAATTCAATGATATTCTGGGTTTGTTTTCATCTATGTTTCCTATTTGAAGAAGCATAGAAATTGTAGGTATTTCTTATTCCAATTACTCCAAGAAGGAAAAAAACATGAAAGTATAAAGCCAGAGGGACTTAATGTAATATTTTATTAACTACAGCAGGGGTCAGCAAACTGTGGTCTGTAGGCCAACTGCCTGATTTTGTAAAGTTTTATTGGAACACAGCCACATTCATTTGTTTACATATTGTCTATGGCTTCCTTCCAGCTATAACAGCGTAGTTAAGTAACTGCAACACTGACATTGTGGCCCACAAAGCCTAAAATATTTACCATCTGGTCCTTTAAGAGAAAGCTGGGGAACACTTGAGCTGAAGAATCTCTATTATAGAATTTCTGAAAACATATCTTTAGAACTGTGATAAATGATGGCCTAAGGTTTTCTAAGACCTGGATGTACCTTCCAAATCAAAACAGGACAATTTAAATTATCTTCAATATCATTTAATGAAAAGTTTTACCTGTTTATGGCATGTTGAAATTTGGTCATCTGCTTTTTTCAGTGTAGGATATTTTCTAATACTCAGATGTGATTTAACAAGAATCCCCCATAAGTAACTTCATGAGATTTAATTTATTGTAAGCATGTTGAAGATTCATTTAGCAACTTTCACAGGTGATATATCAACATGCATTATTACTAACCATACCTGCCAATTGTCTTATTTGGTAAGCCCAGTACTTTATATCTATAGTTATAGTGAATGCTTACAACAGTTCTGCAAGATACAGTATTGTCAACCCTCTGTGCCCACAGCTAGTAATGGCAGAGTCAGGATCGAACCCAAGTCTCTTTGGCTTCAGAATCTGTTGTCTTTCTCTTCTTACACACTATCTTTAAAGGAAGGTGGGGGATCCTTGGGCAGTTTCCCTTCATGCTTTGTTCCTGATGCCAGACAGTGCAGTTTTATAGTTCCTGCAAATACTTCTTTTGTGTCCCTTTCAGTGATAGTTTGCTGAGTTGAGCCAAGTGAACTGTAGATCTGATTGTGTCTGGGAATTCTTCTTTCAATCCTTTCAATCCTGTGTTGAACACAAAGGAAGATGCCATCTGTTTTATTATTTAGTTTCTTCTTATAAAGATAAAGATACACTTAACCAATTTAAAATCCCAACCTAAGAAATATTTTTCTCTTCTCTGAACAGATAATGCTCTTCCTTTTATCAGTTCACAAAAATGGTACAATCTTTGTGTTTCCTTTCTTGCTATAGTTGCCGGGTTGCTCAGAGCTAAGTCTTCTGCTAGAATCATCATTTCCATTTCACCACCTTTCTTAATTCTTGTTTCTTAGGTTTGTGCTACCACCTTTCTTTTCTGGAAGTAGGCAGAGCATAATTAATAAATAAGTGTGACAACAAGTTGATCCTACAGTGGGAAAGAAAATAAGTAATTAATACATTGGTTATAGATTGACCTTTCTACCCACAGATCGATCTTCAGACATTCCTCACTCTCACAGATCAGGATCTGAAGGAGCTGGGAATAACTACTTTTGGTGCCAGGAGGAAAATGCTGCTTGCAATTTCAGGTGAATATAAATATTCAACTCATATGTTAAAATCTGAATAACCTCTGCCAGTGGTCTCAGCCATTGGGTTGTTTCTACCCATTAACTGCTGGCTTACTAACCTAACACCTTGGTTGTGGTTTCAGAGGGTTTTCCTGTCAACAGTGTGACAGATCCTGAGACTGTCTTACTTTTTCATCAAGGCATTGCCTGAAAACCTGCCTTAACAAGGGTCATATATGAAAATAGATCTCTTCAGAAAGATCTAACCAAAATCGCCCTATGCAGAACATGAGAAGTTGGGGAGAAAGTTTAATTCTCCTCTTTGCAGTTGTGTTAAACAGTAATCATTACATTAGTGAATAATTATTCTTGATTGGCAGTTATGTTTCAAATGTTTGTGTCCTTGCACACCGACTGAGTTCATTGCACTGAGAAGAAAAGAATGCTGGTTGAATCTGGCAGTGTTACTTGTCTTAATTCTTCTTAGTCTTCCCACTGTCTTAATAGAATTTATGAGTCACAGGACATAGTATCCTGAAGATAGTCACAGAATGAAGGAAAATAATGTCTGTCTCCCTAGGCCACTTTCTTTGTGCATCTGTTGCATATATATTTTAGAAAATGCTCTATACGTATTTATTGGGTGCCACTCATTTGAAAGGAATTGAGCCAGATGATGAGTCAGGAGTTGGCAAATACATAGTAATGAACCTCAAAAAAGCGTTTAGAAAAATATGCGGAAATTTTAAGGAGGGAATGGGATTAGTTTTTGAAGACTTGCCAATAAAGTTCTTGAATGTCAAGTTTATATGTGTCCCAGTCTCAGAAAGACAGACACACCAGGGGCAGAAGCCAAGTGTCATGTGCTGCGGAAAAATGAATGCTTTTTCAGAACACTGAATTTGCAGGCTATGCCTCAGTGAAGCCAGCAGTTACATCCAACTGGTGAAAGTCCATTCCAGACAACATTCACTAATCAGATCAGCAGATAAAATTTAAAACCTCAGTGGTTTTCCATTTTATTTTAGCGGCATGTTGAATGCCCCACCCATCTTCCCATAGGAAATCTTTATCTGAAGCAGATACAGGCAAAGCAGCTTTGAAATAGGAGTGGAAATCCAGCCATTGAGCTTCCTGGTGGCAGCCTGTTAGGTTCTTCTGTGGATAGAGTTCTACACTCATCAGTTTTCCCAGAACTTCTTCTAAAATTTCTTCTCGGATATACTGTGTGTACCCAAGAGGCTCTATTAATGGAACTCCACAGGGAAAATGCATAATTCCTGCTCATAAGATCATCTTGGTATAGTGGAAAGAACACTGGATTCAATTAGGAGATCTGGGCTTTACTTATGCTAAGTCATGAGTCCTTGAGTGAGTTTCCAAACCTCTCTTGGCTTTGGTTTGTTAATCATGAAGGTAGATTGGAATTTGTGATTGTACAAAGGTCACCTTCCATTTCTAAGATCTGTCCTTTCATGTGATATCATCAGGCTTAGTGAAAATGGACAAAACGATAGTTTTATTACTTGTTCTTTTTTACCATCTATGATAATAGAGTAATTTTTAAAATTTGTTTTCTGTAAAGCTCATCCTCAGGGGGCTATCCCTAGACTCAAGCTAACTTTAAAAGTTTTCATATTATTTTATTAATTTGCAAATGAAATTTATTTGCAGTTTGAAACGTGATTAACTTATGCATTCACCATACCTGTACTGTTGAAATATGCCTGCAGGCCAGCAATTTTCTATCAGTGAAGTGTGTAGTCCAGAGCTCCATAATCTTTCACTAGAGATTCATGGAATAGCAGTGAGGATATAGTGAAAACTAAGTTCATTTTTTGGTGTCCCAACCCAATTCTGAATTCTGTAAAGATTTTAGCAACAAGCAGATAGCTGTAAATACATTCACAGGTTGTAGATAGATCATCAATACCTTTCCTCTGGAATATATCAGTATCTTTTGGGGGAGGTAAGATGGGAATCAGAAAGGTTTCAAGCTCTCTATTTTAAAAAAATAATATTTTTTCTAATCATCTTCTTTGTCATTCTGTTGAGGTTATATAGTACTTTTGCAGACTTCCTCTCTCAGTGGGGTTCACCAGGTCCTCTTGCTTTTAAAGGGAGTTTGAGACTGACTAAAATACTTTATGGCTGCTCTGCACAGCATAAAGGACTTGATTATTTTAAGAATAATTTTGTCTTACTTTGTTGAGTGCATTTGTTTGAACCTGGTAAATTATTTTCTCTGAAAGCAATACATTTTTATTGAGAAAATTCTTCATCAAAAAGCTTCTTTCTCCAGTTCAACTTATCTCATAACAAAGACATCCATTTATAGTCCCAGAACATTCTGTCTCCCTATGGATGCAGTATAGCTGGGCAGTCTGAACTCACATTTGTCTTATGGTTATAGATTGGTTAGGTCCAGAGTTTGCTTAAAATTCCTTTTTAAATTTTGTAGATTTTAAACTTATAATCTGAGTGATTCTTTCAGTATAAGGTTTTGTTTTATTTTTAATCTCAGGCCAAAATACATTTAATGTTATAGCAGTAGATGAAATTTATCTCCAATGGAGATGGATCAAAGTATAAATTTGATCTCTTTTTCCCCAAATCCACTTTTTTTTTTTTTGGAAAATTCACAGATTTTTCTCAGAATATTTTCATGATTGGTCAAATGTACAGGGACTCAGTGAAAGGACGCTTAGCATCCTGTTGACAGGCTTCCCACCACGGCCTCAGGTAGATCTAACATTTCCCGACCTATTCTTTTAGTTTGTGACTCTGTTCAGATCCGCAACAAGATCCTGAGAGCTGCCAGGATTGTGTGAACCTTGGAATTTCAAAGAAAAAGGTTGGTATTTTCCCAAACCATCCCGTAGGCTTACTGAAAAATATTAGAGGAGTTTGCCTTATCATTTAAACAACAACAACAGCAATTCTAAAGTCTCTTCAGTAGGACTTGACCTTGATAACCTCTCTGGAAGATTTATCTCTGTGCATCACATTTAAAAACATATGTATGTACTCTCTTAGAAACTGTATCGATTAGGGTTGGATTCCCTTGTGATCATTTTACTGTTTCAAAGATCTAGCTGATGTGTCTTTTCAGAATAAAGTTTTTAATATTTATTTTGAAAAACTTTGTCTTCATGGCCCAGTTGTTGTCATGTGCTCAGTTATACATGTTATATATGCTAAAGGAGAATGTTGTTTGGCCTCATTCCTTTTTTTTCTTTGCTGTAAAGTGGGAATGTCTTCCTGAATTGTATGTTATTCCCCCGTGAGAAAATGGAGGCCGAAGATAGTCCCTAGCTTGAAGATGATAAAACTTTTCCAGGCTGTGTACTTAAGGGGATTCATTTATTCTTAACGCTTCTATAAGTTTGCCTTTAAATATATTCAATTCTGTCTTGATTTCTGAATTTTGAAGTGCTGTGTTTGTTTTTAACAAGATACATGTATTCAGCTTTTAATAACTGTGTTTCTGGAGGAACTTGAAACAACAGCCATCTGTATGCATGCCTGCATGTGTCTTTTGCTTGTAAAGATACCTTCCTTGCTTCTTCAGAGTGAAGCTGGGTTTTTCTATTTAAAAATTAAATTTGGCATGTTAAAATAGCAAATAAAGCTCTGTTATCTGGCATACTTGGAACTATCGATTTCTCAGATTTGTATTCCTGATGCCTTGGTTGGTCTTCTCTGTCCAGTGGGTCACTGAAGGCCAGTGCTCAGGGCATTGACCTTTCCATCAAGCATGTGAGGTTTCACCTCTGTCACTTAGTACCTGTGTGGGCAAGTGACTTAGTCTATTTTTTCAATCAGTTTTTTCACCTATAAAATGGAGAATGGTAATATTATCTATCCCTTAAAGAAGACTTGAATAGGGCAAAATAAATGTAAAGTGCTTGTCATACAATAAGGCTAATGAATCATTGTTATTTTTCTTCTCTCCTAAGACCTATATATGAACAAAAGAGAGATGTCTCCAGTGTTGCTTTGACCATATAGGGGCAGGCGTTTACATTTTGGAAGGCAGTGGGGTAAAATGTGAAGGGTATTGGTCATCCTCCAGAACTTGGCCATAGGAGTGTGTCTGGTCATATGGTCATCCTTAACACCATGCAGTCTGTTACAACCTGAATCTGTGTCGTCAGCATTACTGTAGATGGCCATATCTTACATTGTAACTTCACAATTCAAAAGGGGATTGATTGTGTGTGTGTGGTTTAAAAAGTACTGAGTACCATGCAAATATAAGGTGAATCACTGCTCTAGCCCCTCAAAGAGACAACTTTAAGCAAATCAGTTACATAATCCCTCTAATCTATTTTAAACTGAATAAATTTGAGGGTATTTGCATTTGTTTGGTATCAAAACCCTAATTTCCATAGTCTGATGATTCTGTGTACTTGCATGAGTTTGTCAGAATGAGTTACATCAGTGATTTTGAGGTGGGGGCGGAGGTTGATGCATACTCATAAAACAACGTAATCTGTTTCAATTAACTTTTTACCTTTCCAGTTAATAATTTTAGTTGGCAAAAGACAAACCAAAACAGTGTTTTCAGAGTACTCTAATTTCTTTACCATTCAAATAGGGCACCTCAGGTTTTCCCTGAAATTTTAGATTCAAGTATTTGTTGTTTGTGAGTATTAATTTTCTAAGCTGATATGATTTTTTTACTAGATTAATTTTTTATTCAAAGAAACCTACTCATATGCCTCTTTCTAAAACTATTTCTGACTCAAGAAGTATAGGGTTCATGAGTTGGCAGAGCCATGGGGGCTGTGGCTTAATACAGTTGACCCTTGAACAACATGGATTTGAACTGCACAGGTTCACTTATACACAGAGGTTTTTCAATAAATATATTGAAAATATTTTTGGAGATTTGTGACAACTTGAAGAAACTTCCAAACTGCATAGCCTGGGAATATTGAAAAAATTTAAGAAAAAGCTAGATATGTCAAGAACGCATATGTATGAAATATATACAGATACTAGTGTATTTTATCATTTACTACCATACAATATACACATCTATTATAACATGTTAAAATTTATCAAAACCTCACAGACCATATATGGCACCACTGGCAGCAGAGAGAAATGTAAACAGACAAAGACATTTTAAATCATAACTGCATAAAATTAACTGTGTTATATACAGTACTGCTGTAATAATTTCATAGCCACCTTCTGTTGCTATTGCAGTGAGCTCGATGTTACAAGTATCCGCTTAAAGCACTATATGACACTAATTTCCACCTGAGCAATTAATCTCTCCAGTAAGTTGCATATAACAGTTACAAGTGATCTCTCACAGTTCTTGAGTATTTTTCATTGTGTTTAGTACAATACCATAGACCTTGAATAACACCGTAGGACCCACATAAAGTGCCGCTAATGCTCTCAAAAGCAAAGTTATGACATCATGGGAAAAAGTTGAATTGCTTGATATGTACCACAGATTGAGGTGTGTAGCTGCATTTGCCCACCACGTCAAGATAAGTGAATCCAGCATAACAACTATTGTTTAAAAAAAAAAAAGGAAAAGGAAATTTGAGAAGCCATTGCTGCAGCTAGACCTGCAGATGCAAAAGCCTTGCACTTTTTGCAAAATACCTTTTTTATCTTGCATTGAAAATGCAGCTTTTAGAGTGGGTGCAGGATTGTTATAAAAAAGCATACTTATTGACTCCATGATTCAAGAAAAAGCAAAGTCATTATATGACAACTTAAAGCAAAATGAAGGTGAAGGATCTAAAGTTGGAGAAATTAATGACAACAAAAGATGGTATGTTAATTGTAGAAAGAGGTTTGGCTTAACAAATTTGAAGATAACAGGATAAGGAGCTTTTGTCAACCACTAGATACCACATGAGTTCCCAGACACGGTTAAGAAAATCATTGAGGAGAAAGACTATACACCTGAACAGGTTTTTAATGCAGATGTAAGTGTCCTATTCTGGAAAAAAAATGCCACAAAGGATTTTTATTAGTAAGAAAGAAAGGAGGCCGGGTGCGGTGGCTCATGCCTGTAATCCCAGCACTTTGGGAGGCCAAGGCGGGTGGATCACAAGATCAGGAGATCGAGACCATCCTGGCTAACACGGTGAAACCTTCTCTCTACTAAAAATACAAAACAAAAAAAAATTAGCCAGGTGTGGTGGTGGGCACCTGTAGTCCCAGCTACTCGGGAGGCTGAGGCAGGAGAATGACATGAACCCGGGAAGCGGAGCTTGCAGTGAGTGGAGATCGCACTACTGCACTCCAGCCTGGGCTATAGAGCGAGACTGTCCCAAAAAGAAAAAAGAAGAAAGAGAAACAAACACCCGAATTTCAGACAGGAAGGGATAGGCTGACTGCTGTTTTGTGCGAATGCAGTCACGTTTATGATCAGGACTGCCCTTATCTATAAAGCTGCCCACCCTTGAGCCTTGGAGGGAAAAGATTAACACCAGCCGCCAGTCTTTTGGTTGTAGCACAAGAAGGCATGGATAACAAGAATGTTTTCTCTAGACTGTTTCCATTGATACTTTTTCCCTGAAGTCAGGAAGTAACTTGCCAGTAAAAGACTGACTTTTAAAGTTCTTTTGATGTTGGATAATGCCCCTGGCCACTGAAAACCCCATGTGTTTAACATCAGAGTCGTCAAACTAGTTAACTTGTCTCCAAACACAAAGTCTCTAATTCAGCTTCTAGATCAGGTGGTCATAAGGACCTTAAAGGATTGTTACACATGGTACTTTATGGAAAGGATTGTCAAGGTTGTAGAAGAGAACCCAGATAGAGAAAACATTATGAAAAGCTGGAAGGTTTACACCATTGGAGATGTCATTGTTGATACAGAAAAAGCTGTGAAGCCATCAGGCCTGAAACAATGAATTCCTGCTGGAAAAAAACTGTGTCCAGATGTTGTGCACGACTTCACAGAATTTACCATAGAGCCAGTCAAGAAAATCATGAAAGAAATTGTGGATATGGCAAAAAAAATAATAAATAAAGGTAAAGGGTGAGTGAGGGATTTCAATATCAGATCTTGGAGAAATTCAGGAGCTAATAGATACCACACCAGAGGAATTAATAGAGATGACTTGATGGCGATGCATGTTTCTGAACCAGTGCCAGACGATGAGGAAGACATAGAAGAAGCAGTGCCAGAAAGCAACTGATGTTAGACAGTCTGGCAGAAGAGTTCCGATTATTCAAGACTACTTCTGATTTTTTTAATGACATGGATTCTTCTATGATAAAACAGTGGAAGAATGACTAGTACCATATAGAAACATTTTTAAAGAAATGAAAAAAGCAAAAATGGCAGACAGAAATTATGATGTATTTTTGTAAAGTTACACCAAATGTGCCTGCCTCTCCTTCCACCACCACTACCTATTGAGCCTCTACTATGCCTGAAACAGCAAGAGCAACCCCTTCTCCTCCTCCTTCTCAACCTACTCAACGTGAAGACAACAGGGATGAAGACTTTCTGATGATTCACTTGCACTTAATGAATAAGTAAATATATTTTCTCTTCCTAATGATTATCTTAGTATTTTCTCTGGCTGAGTTTATTGTAAACATGTAGTATAAAATACATATAACATACAGAACATGTGTTAATCAACTTACTGGTAAGGCTGCTGGGCAACAGTAGGCCGTTAGTAAAGTTTTGGGGGAGTCAAAAGTTATACATGGATTTTTGACTACATGGGAGCAGGAGGGGTTTGGTACCTCAACCTCTGCATTATTCAAGGGTCAGCTGTTCTTCAGGGTGCTCCTCCAATATCCCTGTGCTTAGGTATGGGGTCTTCTTTTTCATATCTGACTTTAATAAAACTAAATGATTGCCATGTTTGACATGAATGAGTTCAGTAGCTGTAATAATTTTCTGTGCCATCAGTCATACGTCCTTTCACGAGCTTAGCTTGTTCTCCTTGCCTCTGAAATGACCTTTGGAGTAGGTCAAACTATTTAATTTGGTTAGAGCGTTCTGAGAATGGTATATCCTCCAATACAGTTTACAAACTATAATAGAAACTGTTTGCTGTCAGGAGTTTATGAGTTGCAACAAAAACTATTTGCTGTCCTTTGTTCTCTAGACTATCAATATGCTATCTTTAATACCATACTTTCTAGTATTTCAGAAATGCCTTGACCATCAACTAAAAGTTTTCCTTTTGATACCAGACTTGACTTTCCTCAAAAAACCTACCACGTCACCATTTTCTGAGCTCTAGTGCCATGTCCTGTAGTATACATAGAACTTCTCTTGAGCTCCTAACAATTCTCTCTTTCTCTCTCTAGAACTAAATAAAAACCGAAGAAAGCTTTTTGAATCGCCAAATGCACGCACCTCTTTCCTGGAAGGTGGAGCGAGTGGAAGGCTACCCCGTCAGTATCACTCAGACATTGCTAGTGTCAGTGGCCGCTGGTAGCAGCACCCTCTTGGCACATGCCCGCTGACTAACTGTAAAGTGGACACAGGAGATGTATGAACAGCCTTCACAGCACACCATCCTTAGCACTCTGGGTGTCTGGTATCAGGACCAAAGCATTTTATTCGCACCTGTACTTTATGGCAAAAAGGAAGAAGAGAGAGAAGATGTTCTTATGATGTCATACAGAACACCAAATATGGATTACTTTTTTAAAATGGCAGTTGGACAGAATTTGCAATATAAGGATAGGGCTTTATTTCCTGTTTTTATTTACCTATATAACATATGCACTGATGATTTTTTTTTTTTTTTTTTTTTTTTTTTTTTTACTTAAAATGAAGGATGAATTGACATCTGGGATGCCAGAAGACTTAGAAGTTATTTTGTTTGCTTGTTTTGTTTGGGTATTTGGGGATTTTTAAAAAATAATCAAAGTGGAATTTTCTGGTACTGCTTTAAAATAATTATTGTGGTCTTTCAGCACTTTACACGTTCTAATTTCTTGTCCTATGGAAGTTCTCGCTGTCTCCATCTCTCTCATTTTTGTGTCACCTAATATGTTGGTACAGATAAGAGTTAGTCACATTTTTCTGACTGCATCAAACTTTTATTTGAAATGGTACTGGATCTTAGTTTCTGTGCAGAATATTCTGTGATTTTGGGAAATGTAAGTGAGTCCACTTGCTTCTGGACCAATTCTGTTTCATGTATGTTAGCATCCTAGAAACACCTAGCAATGGACCTAGTTCACAGTAATAGGTGCAAAGAAAGACCAAATGGACTTTGCAGTATTAACCCTTTGCAGTCGTCATACTTAGCTGCTGCCTGTAATGCTAAAATGATTTTAATGGTTGTCTGGAGGCAAAGGGCTGTTTTTTAGTATATTGCCACTAAAGGACATTTATTTATATCAAACTTTTATTTTTAGATATTATAAGCATACAGTACATAATTGATGAAATTGATATTTACTAGAGATTTATGGTAGAGAATGGACGACATTCAATAACTGGAGCCCGAGATTGTCACTTTATTTAAAAAGACAAATAATCATCTGACAAGACAGCACTGTTGCCATTATAAGGAGAAATAGATTACAATCCTTATCATGTACACGTTAGCTATGTTCCGTATGGCCACAGGACTTTCCTGAAACCGTATCTGTCTGCTTGAAGTAGACTTATGTTTGTTGAGAATGAACAGGCTTATTTGAGCCTCCAGGGTGGCAGTTCATAAAGACAGCTAAGTTCTGAAGGAAAAAAAAAATATATCTTTTTAAGTGGCTAGAGTCATTATTACAATCTTATACTGTGAAAGTCCAAGAAATCAGGCAACATTGTTTCCTGGGTCTTTTCAGAGATCTTATAGATTTATGAAGTGTTTTTAATCCATGAAGAAACACTAAAGTGCCTTTCTTTCTTCAAAGCAATATTATTTCCAAGTATATTAATTTGTTAGAAAACTTTCCCATAGGAAATGTTGTCAAGTTACCTGTACTGTAAAGAGTTATTTATGTTCAGTAGTCAAGATTTTCTACATGGACATAAACCACTCTCACGTGCTCTCAGCAGAAGGCATTAGATAAGCATATACAAGAATTGGGTACTTTTATACAAATATGGGATAAGAAATACTTGCCTGACACTTTTCCATGGCTGAGTCTGACCATTACAGTAAGAACAAGAATTGAAGAGGCATTTTGCACACAGAAACATTCTCACTTTAAAAAATGGTATTGGTTACCTTGAAGGCATAGATAATGGGCCTGTCATAAAATTATCAATTATAACTGGCACCGAGGGACTGCCCTTTTTAAGCTAAACTAAGCCTTATCTGCTTAAGGATGTTGAACTGAATCACTCCCTTTACTCATCCTGTGCATATGTGTACAAATGGTCATGTGGATCATGTGATGATCATCCATCTTATTTGATTGTATTAATGCATCATGCTAAACATGTAGTACAGGTTAACAATACCAGATTTATGTCCTGTTCAACAACTCAGTACTCTAAATGTTGTTATGCTTTTAATAAGACCTTCCCAGATAATAATCTTGGAGCTCTTTTCCCAGCTGTCTACCATGCATTTGCAACAGGAGGAAGATGTAATGAATATGCAGTATTAAGTTGATTTATGAACAGTGCTTTGATATGCCAAAGGGAAAACTGTCCCACTTAAATTAGATTAAGTAGGGTGGCTAAAAATAAATAAAAACACTGGAAATTCTTTCTCTCACTTTCTCTTGATGCAATGAAGGGAATATGACACTACAGTATACAGAGTTGTTGTTATATGATGCACAAAATATTTTGATGATTTGAATAAATGTTAACTTTTAATCTGCGCCTTAATAATGACTGGTTATCTGTAAATATAGAACAGATACAGATTGTATTTTTCTGTGGGTTTTTGTCCTTTTAGTGATTTTTTTCCAAAAACGAGAGATGGAATTAACATTGAAAATGGGAAATTTTTCTAACTGAATCAATTGTTACATGAAAAATAAATTTATATAACCCCTTTGTATTGCTCTTGCTATATGAAGCGTGTCTTTTTTTAAAAGAAAATCTTTATGCATAAACTCTATGCCTGTCTTTGTTTTCTAAGAAATTTTTTTTTTTTTTTTTTTTTTGCCATTTTTGGCAAAGTTGAAAGATGTTTCTTCAGTAGAATTGAATATGCATTCTGTGTTCTCTTGTTTTGCATTGACATTCCTCATTTTCAACCAGAAACTAAAGCACTTTATTTTAGGCAGTGAATGCAGGACCAGTCATCAATCATTGTTTCTTTGGCCACCCATAGGTACATACAAAAGAGTACCATTATAGAACAGGTTTTATTCTTGTTATTTCTTTCTTTTATAAAGACTCAAGTGTATGACCGCTTTGACAACCTCATTTATCAGCAAAGAATGACGTGATACTGGGCTTTTTGATCCAGGTTCCCCTTTCAGAGACTGCCATTGTGTTATCTATCACACTGTGTGTTTACCATGCCATGCACTGAGATGCTCACTGGACTCATGCTAAATGGAATGGACGCTCTTACTTATTCTGAGATTTTGCTAAATCTTAAAGAAAACCTAGCCCTCCACATACTATGCCCCCAGGAATATTTCCACTTGAATTATCTATGCCAGTGGTTCTTAAACATTGTTTCTAAAACAAAAATTCTTTTGATAATTGGAATCTTACCTGTGACCCAATATTAAATTATTCATTTATTATTTATTTGGTTCATTATATACATATTAATGACACATAAATAGTGTCAGGCTCTGGTCTAGGAACAGTAGTGAATAAAACAAAACCCCTTGCCCTCCTTGAACTTGAATTCTAAACAGAGAAAGGTGGCGCTAAAGAGGGAGAGGTTGGAGGATGGAATATCCCCACCCTTCATGTGGGCCTCCATATGTTTACCACACTCCAAGGGAACTCGAGAGAGCTCTCTAGAAACCTGTTTTTAACAAAACTGTTAAAAGTGGCTGGGCATAGTGGCTCATGCCTGTAATTCAGCACTCTGGTAGGCTGAGGCAGGCAGAGCACATGAGGTCAGGGGTTCAAGACCAGCCTGGCAAACATGGTGAAATCCCACCTCTACTAAAAATATAAAAATTAGCCTGACGTGGTGGTGCACACCTGTAGTCCCAGCTACTCGGGAGGCTGAGGTAGGATAATTGCTTGAACCCAGAAGGCAGAGGTTGCAGTGAACCGAGATCACAATAATTGCACTCTAGCCTGGGCAAAGAGTGAGATTCCATCTGAAAAAAAAAAAAAAAAAAATCCTGTAAAAAGTACCCACCATGTTGAAACAAGCCTGTGCTTTCAAATGCAAAATATTCCTTCCTTTCATTCCCCCTCCCTCCCTATCTGTAGGTTCCACAGGTTTAATCACATTCTGAAAAGGAGTGTGTGGCCCAAAGTGCTATGTTCCACTGCTTTATAGCTATACCCTAGGATGATAATGGCTGAGGACTCATCACTTCTTAGACTTGACTCCAGGTGACTTCGCAGTTTTTAGAAATCAAGTTTGCCTTAACGTGATTTTTGTTACCAAGAATACTCCAAAGAATGTATTAATACTTGGAAGTTAATTTCAAACGTAGACCTCCCACAAGACAATAGTGCAATAAATAGAGTCTCCTTAGATGACTGTTTCCAAGGGAACTTCACTCCCTTGGCTATATAAATCCTGGTATATACTGTTAAATTAGCTCAGAATTTATCCTGGCTTAGATACTTAGTAATTTTGTGAATTCAAATGAACTGAAGTGCATTTAACCTAATTTTGATAATCTGATGTTTAGTGAATGTATTAAATATTCCGGTCATCACCAGAGGCCATGATTCTCCTACAGTCCCACTCCAGGTAAGTCAGCTTCCTTTCTTCTCCTCAAACAGCCTTTTGGATAACTTACAGGTCATCTGGCTGAGAAGTAAAGAGGTTGGACTTTTTGTCATTTTACAAACATGCATTTAGATCTTGTCCGTAGACCTCGGGAAAATTTCTCTGTGTCTAGGAGTCCTCATCTGTGAAATGGAAATAATACTTACCTCTGAGAATAGTTGAAAGGATAAAGAGAAGCTGTGTGTAAATTTTTCTGCACAGTACAGGGCACAGAGTGAACAGTGAATTAATAGCAGCTACTATTATGAATAACAGGATTTTCCTTTCACTGCATGGGCGTATCTTTGCCCATCAGGGATCTTCACTGTGTTCATCATTCTTCTGTATCAGAAGGAGGAAGCCCATTTCCTGTGCCTGAATGTCAGAACTGTAAACTCCAGTCTCAGGGACCTACCTCCTGGTTAATAAGGTTGAAGTCAGAACACGGTCCTGAAAGTCAGGGTCAGATTTCCATACCTTATTTGGTTGCTTTTTATTTTATTCTTTTAAGTCTCTGATTCACCAGAGTATTGAAAACTGGGCTCTCCATATGGGTGGAGAAGGTTAGTAGCCAATTCTAATAGTCATATATTTTGTGCCTAATGGCACTATTCCCCGAGAGTTCTCATTACTCTAAATGGTATTCACTCCCTGTCACCCACAAGGTCACCTCCATCCTAGCCCTGGTTGCTCAGTTTCTCCCACTTTTATTTCTCTCTGCCCACCACTACCACAGGATCCAATACAAACTCCCTTTGTGTGTGTATAATGAGCTTAGCTTTTCTTTTGAAAGGAGCCATTTGCCTGTATTTGTGCTGTTTAGTTGTTGTTTTCCACTTTAAAAAGTGAACAGAGTTAGATAATATTTGACCGTTCCTACAGACATGGCCAAGACACTTCAAAAACACTTCATCAAGGGATTTCACATTTTTGTTGCTTTTTAAAATACTTTGACTCACTCTGAAAGGAGGCAAGTGGAGCTTGAAGTTCTCTTTCTCAAGGGTTAGGCCATGAATGTGTTTGGAACAGATTTTGGGAATTGGAGTCTGAATCTGATTTAGGAGGCAGAATTTCAGTGTGGGAACCAGAACCTTTAGGAAAAAATTACAGTAACCGAAATGTTTCAACTTCGTAATAGAATGTTTGGATGAGTTACAGGAGGGAAAAAAGAGTAGCTCAATAACTGGGTGTGTGTGGCCTTTTTTTTCCAGGCCAGAGAAAACAAACGACTCTGAACTCACTGTCTTCAGTGCTGCTTAATCCCTCATAGAGAGGCTGTGGGAATTAGACATTAAAAGACATCAGCAAAACATCCAGAAAACAATTTATGTTCAAACAAAATTTTCACCCAGGCAGAATTGACTCTTTGTCCAAATTGCTGATACAATTTGATTCAAAGTCGCTATGGATAAAATTTTCCAGTTTTCTAAGATTGGGGATGTGGGTGGGTGACATTTCCTTATTTTTTCCCCTCTTTAACAGAATCATAGACTGATACTAATAACAGCCAGGCTTGGAGTGGTGGCTCATGCCTCTAATCTTGGCACTTTAGGAGGCTAAGGCAGGAGGATCGCTTGAGCCCAGGAGTTCAAGGCCAGCCTGGGCAATGTAGGGAGACCTCATCGCTATTAAAAAAAAAAAAGAAAAAGAAAAATTAGGCAGGTTTGTGGCGCATGCCTATAGGCCCAGCTACTGTGGAGGCTGAGTTGGGAGGATCACTTATGCCCAGAAGGCCAAGGCTGCAGTGAGCTGTGTTTATGCCACTGCACTCCTGCTTGGGTGACAGAGCAAGACCCTATCTCAGAAAACAGCCAAATGAAGTTGCTGTAGGTAAATTTTTCCTGTGGATTGAAAAATATCCACAAAGAAAAGTTATGCTACCTTCTGTTTCATGAATCTGAGTTAAATTCCTAAACGAGGAGGGGAAATTCCATCTTGTTCCTTTCTTTATACATTTAAAAGCTTTTAAAAAACACATAAAACTACCTTAAATATTGTCATGGTGAAAATGGGAAGATGGGAAGGCTTTAAGGCAAGTTACAGCTTTGCCTGTCATATAATAAATTTTATACCAGGCACTCCTAGTATAATGAGGATGTCTTTAAAGAACTGACTTGCATAAAAAATAGCAAAGAACATGAAATTGAGTTAGAAAAGAGTATCATGGGAATGATGATGATAATATTTGCCTCCCATGTGTCATCATAAGCATAGTATAAATGCAAACTTTTTGGAATATCCATGTGATAGGAAATGTAAATATGAAAAGTGGACTCATTACTTTCTAGTCACAATATTTTTCAACCAGTTAAGGAGAAGCCAGTTAAAAAAATAATTCAAAATGAAAACGTTTTGATTTTGAGCCTTTTAATTTTTTAAATTTTAATTAAAACTTTCACATCTTTAATTGCCTAACTTTATGTCCTCTACATACAGTATTTCTGTATGAAGGATTCTGTATTTCTGCCAGTTTGTTAACAACAATTAAATTTAGGTGGTGCAAATACAGGTGTTCATTATACAAGCATTTCTCAAACCATATGCGCTGAAAAGCCAGTTTGTTTGTTTTTCAACTTATTGCAGACTAATATATTTGTAAAATATAGTAAAAATGTTGTGATCATATAAAATTGCTATGAAGTTTTTAAATGCTTACTCTGACTTTCTGTAGTTACCGTGAACCAGGAATAAATGCTTCTTGTAGACATATATGTATACACACATACATGTCCACAGACCACTCCTTGAGCAGTACTGAATTATAAATTTTTCATAAAAGAAACTTTAAGAATGTATTCAACAATATATGGAATTATCAAGTGCCATTGCATGTTTTATCAGCTGTGCCAGCGTAGAGAGAACTTAGATGTGCTTTCAAGTATCTTTAAGACAGAGTGAGTTGTATAAATCTCTTGGAGACAAATCAAAGTGTGCCTCCCATGTGTGCTCAATGTAAATGTGCTTTTCTTTTGATTTTTGTTTTTGGGCCAGCCCTGTGGCTGCTACTGCAGCTCCCTGTGTGTTTAATGTATCAGATTCCCCCTGTGCTGGTTTCTCCATCTCACTTTGTCCCATTTATTTATGCTTTCCCACAATTGAGGGAAAATAACATTTTCAGTCACTTGGAGGAGGATTGATTTTGTGTGGCAGGACCTCTAGATTCTGGCATGCTTTGGAAGTGGAAAAAATTTTCTTTGATGTTCTCAAGATGGTAGTTTGCTGAGTTCCAAGGAAAGGCCAGCAGGGCACACATGTAACAGTACAGCATTTTGGAGGCAGGCCCACTGCCATTTTCACCCTTGGAAGGCTAATACAGGCCACTTTGAAGCCACTCTTTATTAGTAGATGTTAAAACGTTACCTCCTTAAGATGCTCTTAGAAATTGATTTTAGTGCGGGCGCAGTGGCTCACCTCTGTAATCCCAGCACTTTGGGAGGCTGAGGTGGGTGGATAACGAGGTCAGGAGATCGAGACCATCCTGGCTAACACGGTGAAACTCCTCTCTACTAAAAATACAAAAAAAAAAAATTAGCCAGGCGTGGTGGTGGCCCCCTGTAGTCCCAGCTACTCGGGAGTCTGAGGCAGGAGAATGGTGTGAACCCGGGAGGCAGAGCTTGCAGTGAGCGGAGATCACGCCACTGCACTCCAGCCTGGGTAACAGAATGAGACTCAAAAAGAAAAAAAAAAAATTGATTTTAGCATTCTGCTAAAGTAGAGGAATCCTCTTACCATCCACAGCAGGCAGTGGTAAAGATATATTTTTAACAGCAAAAAGGAAAACCAAATCCCAAACAACTGTCACTCCAGCCCACAGCCTAGAGAAATGAGTTGACAGCTCTGTGAAGAGGATGTCCAAACCAGTGTGCCTGCTAGAATTGAACGAAGCACCCACGTGGAGTGACAGTAACAGACCAACTATCCGCTGGTTGAGGATTATGAAGACCAGCTGTCCACACATAAGGCATGGAAACAACATAAAACAGCAGGAAGGGAAAGGAAGAGGTTGGTGGAACACACTGCAGCAAGGCCTGCAGGCCACGGCACAGAAGACTGACATCCCTGGGTTTGTGTCTGCAGAACTTGAACGTGTTCTGGATTCAGTCCCTCTAGCCATGTAGTGGGAACTGCTTCAGCCAAAAAGGGACTCCCGAAACCGCAAGGCTCCATAAAGTGGCTTCCTTTCCAAAACCTGCTCAGGCCTTCTAGGATTTCTACTAGTTAATTGGGAGGTGAGGGGCAGAGAGCAGGACCACCCTCCCCACGATGGAAGGAATGGAGGGGACTCCACAGCAAGTGTGAAGGTGAGCTGTGACCAGAGCTGAACACAGAATCTTGCTTTATAAATGAATATGCAGCCCACAGCTGTATGCCTGCAGCCCTGCCTGAGTGCATGGGCCACTGTGCATAAGAAGCCTGTGCCAGCTTGGAGGGACTCGAACAACGACATTCTCACTCCCTGCTCTTAGCCCAGGGCCATATAAGAGTTACAAAGATTAATTACTGTTTTCTGCTTGGTCTTTTGTGATGCTGTAGTTCACATTATTTTTAATGCTTTTTAAATTACAACCAATAAATTTCATAGAAAGAGACTCCCCATCTCCACTCTAAATGAAAACAAGTTTCTTGGGAAAGTTTCAGAGAATCTTTCTTTTTCTAAAATCTTTCCAGATGGTTCTGCCGCATCATGGCTGGAACACCTGAGCAGGACCATTGTTCAATGTTCATTTCCAATTTAATATTTTTCCGTGATTCTAAGTTTGAGTCTAACCCCATCTTTTAGATACTATTTAAAGACTTAGGCAGGAGATGAGTTGTAATTTGCTTTTGTCTGGCAAATCCATTATTCTAAGTATAAATTTAAAAGGACATAAAGAGCTCCTAATAAGGCAATCCTGAGTAAAACACACTTTAACCTCTGCCAGGCTTTGAGAATATCTGCTACCTGTAGATCAGTTGCATGCTAATTCGATATTAGTCACAAATTTCCTAAAGATTTGTATAATGCAATGGTTTAAAGAATAGATTAGCATGTTGGACCTTGTACGTAGAAGGAATAAAATTACATTGCTAGAATTCTGCCTTTCGGAGATGGAAATCCATACTACTCTGCCTCCTTTATGCTTCCTACCTTACTGAATCTCTTGCTTTGGGGCAGGGCTGGCTTCGTGGGCATGTGACCAATGCAGTCGCCCAGGGATCCACGCTTAGACGGGCCTCGTACTTGGTTTAATGCGCTGGGTTTTGTTTTTTTTTTCACCTTGAAACTCTTGATCTTCTAAAAAGAGAGCTTACATTTTCATTTTGCACAAGGGCCCACAAATTCTGTAGCTTGTCCTGCCTGGAAGGTGATTCCAACTCCCTACTAATAATCAGAAATTCTCAGCCAATCCAACTTCCTTTCCATTTTTGTGGCTGTCATATTAAACTGTGTATCAAGATGAATGGGGAGAGGTGGCTTGTTTTGGGAGATTGGACATAGATCTTCTCCCTGGAACAGTGATGGGAAAAATACTGCCTGTGTTTGGCCCATTGCCCCTTCCTAGCAAGACAGACTAGGCTTCATTCAATGAACAGGGAATTCAGCATATTACTATCACTGTTACTTTTGTGGAGCATCATAGGGAAGCCAGACTCAAAAGAATCCTTTCTCCCTTGCCTTCTGCTAGGGCTGGGCCTTGTACATATGTGTGAAGTAAATGGCTAACTTAACGGATGTGTGGTCTAGCCAGCAGCTGCCATTCAACTTCCCTCTCTATCAGCACAGTGCTGTTTGCTAAGGAACCTGGAGGTCTACTCTTCTTCCTCCTTGGATCCTCTGCCTCACTTGTGGTATTTAATTTATTACTTAGGGCTTTTCTTTTTTTCCCTAACCAGCCTCATACTCCCATCAAATGGGACCTCAGCAATAAAATTAGAGGTGGGTGGACAAGGGGAAAAGACCTGATGGACTAGGACAGAGCAGGTCAGGGAGAAGGCAAGTTATTTCTCCAGGACTTTGAAGAGGAAGGAGGTAGTGTTTTGCTAAGCAAGATGAAGATTAAAACCTTCAGCATTGCCGGGTGGTAGTGGCTCACACCTATAATCTCAACACTTTGGGAGGCTGAGGTGGGAGGATCACTTGAGCCCAGGAGTTTGGACCAACCTGGGCAAAATAGCAAGATTCTGTCTCTACAACATTTTTTTTCTTTTCTCTTCTTTTTTAAGTAGCCAGGTGTAGTGGCACATGCCTGTAGTCTCAGCTACTCAGGAAGCTGAGGTGGGAGGATCACTTGAGCCCAGGAGGTTGAGGCTGCAGTGAGCACTGTTTGTGCCACTGCACTCTAGCCTGGGCAACACAGTGAGACCCTGTCTCAAAAAAAAAAAAAAAAAAAAAATCCTCAATGCTTCCTGAACCCTGTAACTAGATAACTGGCCCACAGTTTATGTTCCAAGATATCCTGGATTTGGCATGACTTGTGACAGGGAGGAAAGAGGTCAGATGAAATCATCAACATGACATGTAGGCAGGGCACCTGGAGAAATAATACCCAGCTAAATTCTGAAAGTTGCAAAGATTCAAAAGAGAAAAGGATGGCATAGGTGTTTTGGTACTTACCAAGGGCAGAGGGTTTTATGGCACAAATGGCCTACAGATGGGAGCCAGTCTCTTACAAAGGGCTCTGCATTCATCAGGATGTGGAAATGGGCTGGCTGGCTTTCAAATATGTATTGAGCCCTTGCCTTGTACCATGCACTGTACTAAGAGCTTCACATAGATTTTCTCATTTACTTCTCACAATAGCTTTAAGAGATAATGCATTAGTCAGCACACCTTAGGTTGCAAGCAACAGAAACTCACTTCAAATGTATTTAAACAAAATGGGGAATGCATTGGCTCATGTACCTGAAAAGAAAAACGGGATACTTCAGGCATGATAGATCCTTGTATTCAGTATTCTTAGGAATCTATTTTTCTCCAACCCTGTTTTGCTTTCTCTGTTGCCTCTATTCACCATTTGACTCTCTGTAAGATGGCTACTAGTAGCTCCAAGCTTACAACTGATGGAAAGAGTGCATCTTTCACAATATTCTAACAAAAATCCTGAAGAAGACTCTCACTGGCTTAAACTGAATCACATGCTCATCGCTGACTTAATCTTTGATTAGCCAGGCTTGGATTACATGCCCACCCATGAAGCCTGGTGTGGGTGCAGCTCAAAGAGCCACATAGACTGAATGGAAGAGGAGTACCTTCCCAAAGGAAAAATAGGGGTTGTTAGTGGAAGAAGCTGGAATAGATGCTAGTAGGGAAAACAAAACAAAAAAATACTCATTACAGGGAGGCACTATTGCCATCCCCTCTTACAGATGATAAAACTGATACAAACACATGATATCTAATTTGCTAAACATCATATAGCCCGTAGGAGGTCAGCTGAGGTTTAGAGATAAGCTCTTTGACTTTAGAAAGGTAACTTTCTTCACCACTATGCTGAGCTGCAAAGAATCTGGGGCAACATGGGCAGATTGGCTGGTCATACATTGCCTATTTGTGTTTTGAGGAGGACTGTGATCAGAAGTGGGAAATTGACTTGAAAAGAGAGTACCTTTCTGCATATGCTAGCAAGCAGGAAGGTGGAATTCCATGCAGGCTGCCCACCTCAAGCAATGCAGAGACAGGTTGAGAGCATCTCAGGCAGGCAAGGTTCAGAGCTGAGAGTACACAGTTTATAAGTGGCAGCACCTCCTCTGGGCTGTGTGTAGGAAACACTTGACCTGGAAGAGTCACATGGGGTGTAAATCTGGAAATGCACTCTCCTGGCACTTCATCTGTCTTGGGGGATTCACATGCTCTGATTTTTCCAATTTCCATGGAACTTAAACCTTGATGCGAAAAACAATGTAAGGGCTGTGACTCCTACATGAACTGTTTTCAACCTGTCATGAAAATATTGTCATTATCACAGGAGGGGAGCTGATGGCAGGGAATGAGCCAGGTCTTCCCTGTTTCATTTCTACTCCCACCCACCATTCCCACCCCCTTTCCAGGGTAAAGAACATGCTTGATTAATGTTTGAATTTCTCCAGTGACATTGCTATAAAAGTGTTTGATTGCAAATATTCTGCTGTGCTTCTCCTGGTGGTCTAATGGTATTTGCTGCTGACTAAATAATGACTATTGTATTTAGCCCACTTACCAGCTCTTCATTACTTTGGGCAAGTTATTTGGCTTTTCTGACATTCTGTCTTCTCATTTGCAAAATGCAGTTAACAAATTTCTACCTCCCAGGGTTATCCTGATGATTAAGTAAAATAATTTGGATTAAGAATCTCACCCAGTGCCTTTTAATTAGGACATGCTCAATAAATACTCATTTCTTCTTCTCTCATGTCTCAGATCAGTGCTGTCTCTAGGACAACACTTCAAAAACTGTTGAGAAAAACAATTACTAAAGTTATTTGCATACGACTGTTATATTTCATAATCTTATATACAGAATTCCTTGCCTCTCCCGAAAGGAATTTTCCACATAAAGTGGTTGGTGATGCCCTCCAGTCAGAGTTCACCAAGAACACACCTTGAGTGGACACCTTGGGGATACCCATTGCAGGTAGAACATACACCATGGGGGACAGTGGAATGTCTCAGTAAGTGGGGTGTCAGAAAGGACCTGTAGGATTCAGGCTGGTGTTTTGGGGGAGAGATTAAGCAGAGAGGTTTTACAGTGGCTTGGATGCCTGCATTGCCAACACTGGAACAAATGAGATGAGGTGATCACATCTCAGAGAGCTCTGTTCCAACTCCAGAGGTTGCTCAATCAGAGCAGTAAAGTGGAAGATAGACTGATCAAATTGGGCATGGCAGATGAACTCTCACTACTGTCTTGATGTTGGCATCCAAGATAGTGGAAAGAGTCAGAAAAGGCTTCCTGCATGGCTAGTTTATGGAAGCAGTGGCATTTGTTTGAGATTTCTCTTGGCAGTGCATCCTCCAAAGGAGTTATAATTGAGACTCCTCCTGAAGTTATGGTCTAAGACCACCAATAATCTCTGTTGTTTCTAGCATTTCTCTAAAACAAAAATGCAAGCAAGTACCCAAAAGAAAATAAGAAATGTATGTGAAAATGGAGAAGATAAGCTCAAGGCTGGTAGAGACTTGTGATGACTGCTTCCAGGGGTCAAATATCAGTGAACAGAAAGCTTACTCTCCCTCCAGAAGCCCATCTAGTAGCAACTACTAGCAGAGAATTCTTTTATCCTTAAGTCTCCCATGCTATAGCTAATCAACCTTCTCTATGCATGCTGAGTTATTGGAGAGGAGCAAGGTTATCTGTAGGAAAAGTTGTGGAATAAATATCGAATTCCTGACAGGCTCTGCACCCGGATCTCCTCGGCCTTCTAGGAGCCTCAAGTTTCCCCTCCTAAATCTACTTCCATAGGCTCCCCAGCCCGTGTCCTCTTTCTCAACAAATTAGTTTTTCTTTCAAGTCAAATAAGGTTACTTGGGAAAGGAAAAAAATCCTGCTTAGGTTTGAACAGCAAGAAATGCTTTTAATTCTCAAAGTGGTTATTGGTATCTTATCCAGAAATAATGATTTAATCCAAAGGAATGAAGAACAAATGGTGGAATATCAGGCATCAACTGTTCTCCTTTCTAGAAAAGTTTTTAAGTCTGATTTTTAAAAGCCTTTGTATGATACCAGGTAATCAGGTGCCTGTTCTGTCCCCTTAAGGGGCATTCTCTGTAGATGATTGATGATCCTCTTTAAGTTAAATAATGAAATATATGGGACTTTTCAGTTTGTCACATCATAATGCTTACTGACAGGTAGTTGTAATTATTATAATCTACTGAATTGTTTTTTACATACTTTGGCTATTACTAATGTGGGTAGGGTGATCTCAGCCAGTTGAATATACAACTTGAGATCACGATTTTGCACCGGAAGAGATTCAGGCTGGGTTTAGTATCCAGAAGTGCCATTTATCTCTCCCCCATTTTGGAGTATTCGGTCCTCACAGGACAATGGGGTATATGTTTGGGTTTTGCTATGCCGTCTGTAACCAACCATGGAAATCCAATTTGCTTTTTATTAATATGTGGCCCTGGCAACTTCCACTTTGACAATCTGGGCTAAAATGTTTTGTGAACTCCATCTAGGACAGAAGTTGAGCAGAGCCTCAGGGAACTCACACTGGACATATACCAAAGATGTCCAGAACCAGACATTTTATACAGAGCTCTGTGGATTTGGACCAAGTCATGACCCAATTCTGGACACAGTTTTCACAAATGTGAGGTTGTCAGTAGATGGCTTTGGGGGAAGTGAAGCCCCACTTACAGCTCTCCTGGGTGTTGTAGCAGTGACCCTGAGCAAGACCCTCAGGTCACTCTAGAAGGACAAGGTGGATTTAACTGCAGATTGCAACGTGGAAGCCCCTGAGTTAAACCTGATGAGGTATGGAACAGGCTCCTTTTGGGGGTGATTATGCTCCTTACATAAGTTCGCATTTGAGGACAAATTTGAGTGGTCCTAGAGGAAAGATGTTTAGGGATATGGCAATAAAGCATTTACACAATATATTGGTGACCACAGTAAGAAAGAGTGATATAACATTACAAGCAGCAGAGGCGCTAAATCCCCAGTGTTTAAAGCGGTTGTTGTGGCTCCTTTCTTAGCTTGGGTTCCCTGGAAACCAATTAGATGCAAACCTTTCGAATTAACATTTTATCAGGAGTGCATTCACAGGCAAAGAGGAGTGAAGATAAAAGAGAAGTAAGGCTGGGCACAGTGGCTCAAGTCTGTATTCCCAGTACTTTGGGAGGCTAAGGTGTGAGGATCACTTGAGCCTGAGTTTGAAGTCAGCCTGCACAATACATTAAGACCTTGTCTCTACCAAAAATTAAAAAAAAAAAATTAGCTAGGCGTAGTGGTGCGCACCTGTAGTCCCAGCTACTTGGGAGGATGAGGTGAGAGAATTGGTTGAGAGGTTGGTTGAACCCAGGAATTCAAGGTTGTTGTGAGCTATGATGGCACCAGTGCATTCCAGCTTGGAGCAAGATCCTGTTTCAAAAAATAAGGTGGGGTGGGGGAAGGTAAGTCAGAGAAGGCAGAACAGCAAAGAACAGGTGGTGAATTCTCAAGCTGACCACTGCTTTGTGGCAAGATGACCATGGGGTCTTGCAGGAAGTCTTCTGAAAGGCCATATATATCTCTTGCCTGAGCTATCCTTTGAAGATAACAGGCTGAGAAACAGAAGAGTGCATCCTCATCTGTGTCCAGCTGGCCAAATTTATACTCTCCTGTGCATCAACTTCCACATACTTCTGGGTTGCACACATGTGGATGCTAGGTGGGTCCCTTGGTGTCTCACTCCTCAAGGGCAATAAGCAGCCCTCAGGCAGATGGTGTACAGCATGGGCATGAGGCAAGACACTGTCATGACGTACTCAAGAGAGACCGACAGACCAGCTGGCCCTGCAAGATGAGCAGTCTAGCAGAAGAGGTGGTAGCAGCAGACACCTGGCTGCTTGACAATGGGACAATGCAGGCTACTGGAAGGGCTGCTCAAGTCAGAGAGCAAGGCAAGGGCATGGATTTAGGGCAGTACATTTCCTGTTATCTCATGACACTCAGTAGGGCAATAAAACAAAAGGAAAACAAGAAAGTTTGCTTTCAGCGCCTGGGGAAGCCAAGGGTCAAGACAGCTTCAGTTCAGAAGAAGTGACCCAACAACTAAAAATATTCTGGGTGGTGGCAGTATTTTCACTGTTTAGAACAATGGAATAAAGAAATAGAATAACACTGTGGAAGCCAAAAGACATCACTTTCAATGCAACAAAAGGGTCCACAAAAGATGTCACCATTTGGAAGAAGGGATTGGGAAAGTTAATATTGTAAATCGTTTAGGGGGGGGATTATAACAGGATATTTATAATTCTCCTATTAGTTATATATTCTTTTTACAATGTAATTAGTATTATATTCTTTTTATGGTATAATTTTACAATGTACTATCAGACAAGAAAGACAAAAAGAATTGATAGGAAAGATTATCATAGGCACCTTTTTAGAAGCCAAGATGTTTGGGAAGACAGGTGGGGACAATTAAGATGGCAATATTGATTAGACAGGTTACTCTCTGACTTGGAGGGGGAAATGTATCAGGGTTAGCAAGAAGAAATGCAATAGGTGAAGTCAGTGGATTCAGAGTACTGTGTATGGATTACGAAAGACCTTGTGGAGAAACAAAATAAGGAGAGGGATCTGCAAATGTTCGAATCCTCTTATCACAAATTAAGGTCCAAGAACACCTCCTACACATCTTACAGCAGGGCTCCTCTGCACAGTGTGGACATTCTCATGAGAAAAATACCCACGTCCAAATGAGTAAGAATAAGTAATCATTAGAGGTGTCACCACAGGTGGGGATATCTAGTAACAGACCTGAGAACTGTTTATGCCCTAGATACGAAGAATGAGGTTAAGGGGAGGAATATGACTTCTGCATGGCAAGAGAATGGCTTCAGCCTAGGAATTCGAGCCTGGGAATTGGAGCCTGTGCCATCAATAGGGTTCCTCGGTACATCTCATAGCCTGGTTTTTGCCACTTTCACAGAAGTCAGAGTAGGTATTAAAAATATGCAGTTGCATCTTATTCCCTTCTTCTTAACACTGGAGGGCTGAGATGATGGAGCAAAGTCTGATTTCATTTCTGGAGCCCAGACCCTGGGTACTGATCACATGGAAACAAGAAGCAGAAAGAGGGCCCACTGGGCAGGGACCAGAAATGACAGGGGGCAGGCTGAGGCCTGGATTCTGTCTGTGAAGCTCAGCACCTGCCCACTAGAAAAAAAACAGACCTAATGAATGTTGTGGGCTCTGCCAATTAGATTTGAAACTTTTCTTTTTGTCAGGAGAAGGTTTAGAGAGGGACGGACATACGGGAAGGAGCATCTAATAACACTTCTCCCCTAGATATGAACCTGCCTAGAAATATGAGGTGAGGAAAGTTGTCCCCACCTCAATATTCCTGGCCCTCTCAGATCAAGGTCCAAGTCCCTTACTACAGCTTTCAAGACCCTCCACACTCCATTTCTAGCCTCACCTTGCAAGATTAATGACACACACACCCTGTCCAGCCTAATCAAACCGTGGGGCCTTCCTTGAGCATGTTCCGTGTGTCCCTGTCTCCATGCATTTGCTTGTGCTGCTCCCTCAGCCTGGAATGCTCGCCCTGAAACTCACTGGTTGCAGAAATCCTTTCCATCTTTCCCAGCTCAATTCAAGTAGCAGCTCTACCATGGACTTCTTGATTACCTGGGTGGAAGCATCTTATTCCTCCTCTGAACTCCTGTATCCCTGCGTAGCTCTCTCATGTGATTGATCAAATGCTACCTTGTAACAGAGATATTGAGGACAGAAACTAGCTTTCATCCATCCTTCTTTCTATCCTCTCATTGGTGCCTAGGCCTAGGATGGTGTCTAAGATAATGACGAGGAAACAGTGAGTTCAGCAAATATTTGCCAGCCTGAATTGAGTTTAAGGGTTCTTGATGGAAAATAAGGAGACAGCTCCAGAAGTGGAAGTGACCAACATTTCTTTCTCCTCTGCTTGCAGCTTAATAACTGTCATTTCATACCCAGTGATGGTGGATATCCTGGAGGTGACTGAACTGAGAGTCAGGAAGTGGAAGGATGGGAGACATGAATCCAATTTTTTTTCCAAATGCGAAATATGTTGTTCTTGAAATGGGCAAAAAGCATGCTATGCTGCAGCACAGTGTCATTTCACAGCGTGACCCATCTGCTATAATTGCTCTGTGCACATTTGTTCTGATATCTGGTCTGATTTGTGTGTCAAAGACCGAGTGATGAAGCCAATGAGAATTAGTGAGAATAGCCTCCAACTGAAAGGGGAAAATGGCACTGAGAACAGAAATGAAATGTAAGTGGGAGCAACTGGGAGACTAGCTAGCAGTTAAAGATCATTCTAGATTATTTTGGAAGTCAGATTGCTAAATAACACACTTAACAATGTTCATTGTTCATTCTCATTGGCCTGAGAAGAGATTAGAACTGGAAACCAGGAAATCTAAGTTGTTTTCATAGTTCTATCTCTTCTAACAATTAGCTCCAATTGGCCACAAATTTTGCATGTATGAAATGGTTCTGAGATACCTCACCAGCCATGTCCTAGAAAGTATGGAGCACAAGAAAGAAAGAAAGACACTTCTCTTCCAATTCATGTGCTGATAACTCCTGGCCTTTAATTCTATAAGAGGATTAGCTCATCCCGGATGACACAATTTGTGTCCATCCATCCCCAGATCATTTAATAGGCATCTCCTGTGTGCCAGGCTCTACAATATGTTCTGGGAATGGAAAAATGAACATTAAAGATAACTTATAATGTAGTTTAGATATTTGTCCCCTTCAAATGTCATGTTGACATGTGATTCCCAGTGTTGGAGATGGGGTTTGATGGGAAGTGTTTGGTTCATGGGGCAGATCCCTCATGAATGGCTTGGTGCTCTGCCTACAGTAATGAGTTCACATGAGATCTGATTTTTGCAAAAGTCTGGGACCTTCTCTCCTCCTTCTTCCCTTTCTAACTTATGTGACATGCCTGCTCTTCTTGCACCTCCCTCTATGAGTAAAAACTTCCTGAGGCCTCACCGGAAGCTGAGCAGATGCTGGTACCATGCTTTGCAGCTTGCAGAAGCATGAGGCAAATAAACCTCATTTCTTTATAAATTACCCAGTCTCAGGTATTTTGTACAGCAATGCAAAATGGACTAATATACCTTCTGTGGCAAAATAGCGTTCAGCATGGTTCTAGCCAAGTCCATGTTAGGTGTGTGACCTTGTGCAGCTGTCTTTCCATCTCTAAGCCTGTTTCTTCATCTGTAAAAATGAGATGACAATAGAATCCAACTCAAAGGATTGTCGTGAAGATCATATAAGGTAAAAATGTGCAAAGCTCTTAGCAGAATGTCTGGAAAACGGGAGACTTTCAACAAATGTGAGCAGTGATGACCATGATAATGATAATGATTTGACTGCCTCAGAGTAGTAGACCAGTTGGGAGTGGGAGCCAATCACATGACAGCTAATACAATTAAAAATACCCAATGTCTTGAGTAGAATCATTTTCTTGGGTTTGGTAGCTTAGAAGTTCCAAACATTTCTATTCTGTCCCTTGCAGATTCTCTGTTCAGTATTCCTGAGTTCCAGGCCTCAGTGCTTTAGTGTTGAGCCTCTAGCTTCTGCTTTTGGGACTCAGGAGTTCTGAATAGATGTGGCTATGACTCATGGCCCCTTCCCATATCATGGGAAGGGTGAAGAGGAGGCCTAGGCCAGCGCATGAGAAATACATTTGTTTTTGGTTCCCAGCTTCCCCAAAGTGCCATTTTCTGTATTGGAGAAGAGTAGATTCCCAGGAGTGACAAAAACTGAGGTTCTGAGAGAGTAAGTCACTTGGCCAAGGCCCTTCCTTGGTGTTAGGATTGGAACTCCAGCCCTAGCTTGCCAACTCTCACTACAATGCTCTCTCCATTGTGGCATTTTTCACTGAGCTTTGCATACTGAATGATGGGAAAAGAGCAAGGAGAGTTTGGTGGCCTTGAATCCATATCCTTCTTGATATGTTCTTTTCATCAATGAGTTCAAACAACTTCTGAGGTGAACTTTGCATAGCATCCCAGATTATCTTTTTCTGCTCTGTATGCTAGAGGATCAGCCCCAGCCTCCTTCTCTGTACTCCCAAAGCACCTGTGCTTTTCTTTTTATGGGGCAGCAATGTGCTAAGATAAAGTGAGATCCTCCTCCAGGCCCAAGGAATGACCCATGATACATCTAAAGCCAATCGCAATAATCCCGAAGATTGGCTAATTCTGACCAATAACACATAAAGATATATCTATTATGGCCAGGTGCGGTGGCTCATGCCTGTAATCCCAGCACGTTGGGAGGCCGAGGCGGATGGATCACTGAGGTCAGGAGTTCAAGACCAATCTGGCCAACATGGTGAAACCCCATCTCTACTAAAAATACAAAAATCAGCTGGGTGTGGTGGTGCACACTTGTAATCCCAGCTACTTGGGAGGCTGAGGCAGGAAAATCGCTTGAAGCCAGGAGGCAGAGGTTGCAGTGAGCCACTGCACTCCAGCCTGGGTGACAGAATGAGAATCTGTCTCAAAAATAAATAAATTAATAAAGATACATCTATTAGGGAAGGATGTATTCTCCTTGGGAAGGAATTTCCTCTCTGACAAGGAGAGGGGCTTTACAATACTATAAAGCTACAGTAATCAAGACAGTGTGGTACAGGCAAAAGAATAGAGAAATAAATAATGGAACTGAATACAGTGCCAGATTTGGACCCATATAAATATAGCCAACTGATCTTTGACAAAGGAACAGAGTCGATACAACAGAGCAAAGATTGTCTTTTCAATAAGTGGTGCTAGAGCAACTGGATATCCACATGCAAAAAACAAAAACAAAAACAAAACAAAAAAAAGATCTAGACATAGAACTTACCATACATTTTTCATAAAATTAATCCAAAATGGATTATAGACCTAAATGTAAAATGAAAAACTATAAAGCTCCTAGAAGATGACATAAAAGGAAAACCTAGAAGACATTGTGTATGGTGATAACTTTTCAATGCTTATATCTTACTTCTTTAATCAACTTATTTTAAGTTCCGGGATACATGTGCTGGATGTGCAGGTTTGTTACAGACGTAAACGTGTGCCATGGCGGTTTGCTGCCCAGATCAATCCATCATCCAGGTATTAAGCCCAAGTGATAAATTTTAAGGTACAATACTAAAGGCATGACCCATGAAAGAAAAAATCGGATCAAATGGATTTCATTAAAATTTAAAATTTCTGCTCTGCAAAAGACAATGCCAAGAGTGTGAGAAGATAAGCCACAGATTGTATAAAATATTTGAAAAAACACATCTGATAAAGCAGGGGTCTCCAACCCTCAGTACCTCCCCATGGCCTGTTAGGAACTGGGCCATACAGCTGGAGGTGAGCTGCGGGCAAGCCAGCAAAGCTGAGCTCTTCCTCCTGTCAGCTCAGCAGAGGCATTAGATTCTCATAGGAGTGCGAACGCTATTGTGAACTGTGCATGCGAGAGGTCTAGGTTGCACGCTCCTTATGAGAATCTAGTAAATGTAACGTGCTTGAATCATCCCCAAAACATCCCCCCACTCCACCCCAGTCCATGAAAAAATTATCTTCCATGACACAGGTCCCTGGTACCAAAAAGGCTGGAGAATGCTATGATAAAGGACTGTTACCCAAAATAGACAAAGAACTCTTAAAACTCAATAATAAGAAAAACAATCTGATTTTAAAATGGGCAAAGACCTTGATAGATACCTTACCAAAGTGTTGCTAAGATATCTATCAAGGTCTTTTCCCATTTTATACAGGTGGCAAATAAGTATATGAAAAATGTTCCACATGATATGTCATCAGAGAAACGCAGATTAAAACAACAATGAGATACTACTACACACTTGTTAGAATGGCCAAAATCGGGAACATTGATGTTACGGTTTAAATGTGTCTCATCCAAAATTCAGGTGTTGAAACTTAATGGCCAGTGTGATGGTATGAAGAGGTGGTGCCTAAGAGGTAATTATGCCATGAAGGAGGCCTCCTCTTTCATGAATGGGATTAAGATCTCTATAAAAGAAGCTTCACGCAGCATTCAGCTTGCTTGCCCTTCTGCCTTCCACCATGTGAGCTTGCAGCATTCCTCCCTCCCAGAGGGAGGGAGCAACAAGGCACTATCTTGGAAGCAGAGAGAAGCCCCCATCAGACAGCTCAACCTTCTGGTGGCTTGATCTTGGACTTCAGCACCCAAAACTGCAAGAAAATGAATTTCTGTTCTTTATAAATTACCACAACTACTCAATCTGTGGCATTCTGTGATAGCGGTACAAACAGAGTAAGATAATTGACAACACCAAATGCAGGTAAGGCTGTGGAGCAAAAGGAACTCTTGTTCACTCCTTGGGGAGTGCAAAATGGTACAGTGACTGGAAGACAGTTTAGTGGCTTTTAAAAAACTAAACATTATCTTACCATACAATCCAGCAATCACGCTCCTTGGTATTTACCCAAAATACTTAAAAACGTATGTCCACATGAAAACCTGCACATGGATGCTTACAGCAGCTTTATAATAATTGCCAAAACTTGGAAGCAACTAAGATGTCCTTCAGTCGGTGAATGGATAAACTGTGGTATATCCAGATGATGGAATATTATTCAGAACTAAAAATAAATGAGCTGTCAAGCCATGACAAGAAAAAAAGGAAACTAAAATGCATATTATGAAATGAAAGAAGCCAATCTGAAAAGGCTGGACATTGTATGAATCCAACTCTATAACATTCTGGAAAAGGCAAAACTATGGAGACACTATAAAAATCAGTGGTTGCCAGGGATTAGAGGGGGTGAGGGGAAGGATGAATAGGCAGAGCACAATGAGTCACCTGAGGTCAGGAGTTCAAGACCAGCCTGTCCAACATGGTGAAATCCCCTCTCTATGAAAAATACAAAATTTAGCCAGGCGTGATGGCATGTGCCTGCAATTCCAGCTACTCAGAATGGTGAGGCAGGAGAATCACTTGAACCCAGGAGGTGGAGGTTGCAGTGAACCGAGATTGTGCCACTGCACTCCAGCTAGGGCAACAGAGTGAGACTCTGTCTCAAAACAAACAAACGAAAAATAGGCAGAGCACAGAAGGTTTTTAGGGCAGTGAAACTATTGTGTATGATACTATAATGATGAACACATTTTATTATGCATTTGTCTAAACCCATAGAATTTATAAAACAAAGAGTTAACGCTATTGTGAACTATGAACTTTGGGTGATAATGAAGTGTCAATGTAGGTTCGTCAGTTGTAAGAAATGTACCACTCTGGTGAGGGATATTGATAATGGGGGAGGCTACGCATGTGTAGGGTCAGGGAGTATATTGGAAATCTCTGTACCTTTCTCTTCATTTTCTTGTAAACCTAAAACTGCCTGATAAATAATGTATTTAACAAAGAAAAATATAGAGGCTTCTAATTAAATTTCTTCTTGTGCCTCCAGCAAGAGAGAGGCAGAACATCTCCTCCTTACTCCCTGGGCCTTTGGGTGTTTTCATGATGATGAGGTGCTGTGGCAACCATCTTGTGACTCTGAGACAAAAATCAAGAGAATTAAGGAAAAGTCCCTGAGCTACTGAATCGCTTAATTTTGGAACTCTCTACCTTCAGACTTTTTTTTTACATTAAATAATAAAACTAAATTTTAAAAAATTCCCTCACTAATAGCTAAAAGCATTCTAGCTGATTTCAAAACCTTCCCGAAGGAGATGAGAACTAGGCCTCGAAAGATAATAGGATTTGGGTAGGCAGAAAGGAGGCAGTAGACCTTCTATTGGAGAATAAGTGAAGGCAAAGGAATGGGAGTGAGCCTGGCTAATGTGGCTGCTGGTGAGGGACCTCCAGCCTGCTGTGGAAAATGTCAACTGGAATAATTGGGCCTTTCTCTGAACTTATAGTACTTAGTCCACCTGTATTTGTGTATACATTTTAAAATATTTATTTGCATGCAGATTGTTTTCTATAGGAGGAGAAAAGTGGTTGGCTCAAGTGCTTTAGATACAAAAGGACAGAACAGTCTTTTCCTAGCTCTGTGGTCTCCTGGCTGGGCCCCTCACGCTTGTATTGGAGCATTATAGATAGCAGCTATAGGCAGAAGCTGGAATAACTGCTCTCACAGCGTACTCCATGAGACTGACCAATAGTACCTCTTTGGTTTCCAGGTAACTAAATGAGACAGAGGTGGGCAGGGGGTTCTCTCTAAGCCTGCAGAGCCATGGTGGGATGCCCTGAGAACTGTGTTAGCTAGCTCTGGGCACACCAGGGACAGCACACTTGGCCTCATCAGTGTTTCCCTGGAGGGTGCAGGCATCTATGCAGGGTGAGTTGCTGCTCCTAAGGGACTTCTCTTGCACGTGCCACCACAAGGGCAGGAGCGGAGAGAGAAAGACTACATGAACTGTGTGAATTCACTTGAGACAGCTCCAGGACACAGAAATAACAGCATGAGACCTAAAAAAATTTTATGAATACATAATGTACATACTGATGGGGTACACGTAATGTTTTGAAACAAGTACACAATGTGCAATGATCAAATCTGGGTAATTGGGATATTCATCACCTCAAGCATTTATCATTCCTTTGTGTTAGGAACATTCCAAATCTACTCTTCTAATTATTTTGAAATATACAATAAATTATTGTTAACTATAGTCACCCTATTGTGCTACCAAGCATTATATTTTATTCCTTCTAACTATTTTTTTTTTTTTTTTTACTCATTAGCCAATTCCTGTTTATATCTCTTCACCACACTACCCTCCCAGCCTCTGGTAACCACCATTCTATTCCCTACCTCAACAGTATGAAATTTTGAGGGGAACAAAGCCTTTCATTATTCAGGTGGCAGCCTGATTCTAGGAAATGGCAGCTATTTTAGTGAGTGTGACTCTGTTGGAATCCCTGGCACATGAGTCTAGGTCAAGATTTCTCAGTCTTGGCACTCTTGACTGACACTTTGGGCCAGATGACTCTTTGTTGTGAGGACTGTCCTGTGCATGATAGGATGAATATTCAGCAGCATCCTTGGCTTCTACCCACTAGATGCTAGGAGCAAACTACTCCCGAGCTGTAACAATCAAAACTGTCTCGAGACATTCCAGAACCACTGATCTAGAGAATCGTGGGAGGTGTGTGTGTATAAGGATATATATATACCAGCCATTTAGATTTCTACCTTTTCACTTTTAAAAAGCTTCAGTGAACTTTTTCTAGCTTAATTTTGTCACATCTTTATTTTCTTGGTTTAGATTCCTAGACACGGAGTTGCTTGGTGAAAGAGTGGCACACTTCAAGGTTTTTTATATATATTGACCAGTGGCCTCCAAAAAAGTATTTAATTCTGATTCCTACCAAATTTGACACTTCCTTTTCATCTTTACAGAGTTCAGTCTGGTTTTGCACATGGTAGGTGCTCAATAAATATTGCTATTTAGGTGATTGAATGTTAGCTGTGAGTATCCCTCCCTTTTTTTCTACTAAATATGTGGGCATGTTGGTATATGGCACTTCACAATAATTTTTATAAGGGCTGAGTCTGGAGAAGATGTTTGTGATATGGGATTATTCCCTGTAAATAAGTGCTTCTCAAGCATGATCCCGGAACTAGTAGCATCTGCATCACTTGGAAATGTGCTAGAAATGCCAATTCTCAAGCCCCACAAGGACCTACCCTGTGTTTTAAAAGTCCTCCAGGTGATCTTCTAAAAGCTAAAGTTTAAGAACCACTGCAATAGATAATAAAGTAAATCAACACATGCTGCTTTTATCAGCAGGAAAATAGCTGTTCCCTAAACACTCTAATGTCATTTCCCTGGTGGGAGTTGGCCAGCCTGCCCTTGGTTCATAAGAGGTTATGAGACTCAATCTAAATGCAAGTAATGCTTTCTAACTCCATCTGGTGCCTTGGTTGGTTTGAGAGGCCCATCTCATGCCTATACTTTATGCTCAGGCCCATCTCAGCCTGCTCCATGGCCCACAGCCTAGGAGCCAACAGCTGGGACGTTTAAATGCAGAATGATACTTGCATGTTCAACCTCATTTGCTAGATTGCTCATTAGATAGATAATGCTAGATAATGCTGTTATCTTGGCCAGATATGAAGTCCAATGTGAGCAAGGTGGCCATCTGTTCAGGGCTGGATCCTTTTGGTATAATCAGAGACTATGTGGCTCCAGTAGGCACTTCCACCAGAGACAGCAGCGCAGTCTCTGGGGCTGAACCATAGGGTTGGTCATGTGCTGGATAGAGGAGGAGGTGGGAGGGCACACAACTTCCAAGAGCCTTTCTTCTAGATGTGACAGTCTCAGGGCACCCATTGGCCTTCCCAAAGGAGAAGAGACACAAAGTCAGGGGATTACTTTGGAAGGATGCCACACTGCAGTCAGCAGGGACTTCTGTGCTTGAACTCACACCTGGTTCCCCTCATCCCCTGTGGGTCAGAAATAAATCCATAATAACAGCTCCTGACATCTGTAATCCCTGGGGCTTACAGGATTCTGTGTTTGCAGTTCTCTAATTAGACTGAGACCTTTTTGTTGTTGTTGTTGAGACAGAGTGGTCTCACTCTGTCACCCAGGCTGGAGTGCGGTGGTGTAATCATGGCTCACTGCAACCTCCCATCTCAGCCTCCTCCGTGGGCTCAAGCCATCCTCCCATCTCAGCCTCCTAAGTAGCTGGGACTACATCATACCCGGCTAATTTTTGTATTTTTTGTAGAGACAGGATTTCGCCATGTTGCCCAGGGTGTTCTTGAACTAGTGAGTTCAAGCAATCTTCTCACCAGCCTCAGCCTCCCAAAGTGCTGGAAACACGGTCAGGAGCCACCACACCTGACCCTCGACTGAGGCCTCTCTTAAAGGCAGGGGCTCAGCTTGGCTTATAATGGTCATTTTTAAATGGGGCTGACTGCACTTTAAATGCTCATACGCTAAATTGCTTAATCTTCAGGATTCCCAAGGAACACCAGGCCCTGCCCACAGACAGATACATACTCCCAAGAAGCTAATTATATACAGGGGTTGAAAAACTTAATGTGAAACAATTAGTCAAAACTCTTCTTTGGAACCAGTTCCAGGTACTGCTTTGTAACTGAGAATTTTAAAACTGGTGAAATGCTGCTGGGCGCAGTGGCTCATGCCTGTAATCCCAGCGCTTTGGGAAGCTGAGGCGGGCGGATCATGAGGTCAGGAGTTTGAGACCAGACTGGCCAACATGGCGAAACCCTGTCTCTACTAAAAATACAAAAAATTAGCTGGGCTTGGTGGCAGGTGCCTGTAATCCCAGCTACTTGGGAGGCTGAGGCAGGAGAATGGCGTGAACCTGGGAGGCAGAGGTTGCAGTGAGCCGAGACAGTGCCATTGCACTCCAGCCTGGGCGACAGAGTGAGACTCCGTCTCAAAAAATAAAAATAAAAATAAAAATAAAAATGATGAAATGCATCATCATTCATATCTGATCCCTCTATCCCAGATTGATAGCAGTTTATTCTGTGACCAGTTCAGAGGTTCAGCAACTCAAGGTGATAGAGTTAAATTCTAAACAAGCCATCAAACTCTGCCTCTTCTCTGGCTGTGAGACAGCAACTTGTGAAAATAATTTCATCTGATTTAAGCAGACCAGGGCTGCAAATAAAGCAGCTGTTCTAAGGAAGTGGGTGCTGCAGTTATAACAGTAAGCGCTGAAGTGGGTGTCCAAATGCTGACAGTCAGAACATGTGTGCATGACTGGGCAGCTCTGTTAGCTGTGAATGGTATAGCATGGCATGAATGGAATGTGCTGGAATGCAGAGGACTCCCTGGGGTTCTTGTTGACCATTACATGGGTGGAGGGTGACCAACTGGTTTTTAGCACTGAAAGTTCTAAATAGAACTTTCTGGGAATGAGGGGACAGATATGAATGATGATGCATTTCATTATTTTTATTTTTATTTTTTGAGACAGAGTCTCACTCTGTCGGCCAGGCTGGAGTGCAATGGCACTGTCTTGGCTCACTACAACCTCTGCCTCCCGGCTTCACGTCATTCTCCTGCCTCCGCCTCCTGAGTAGCTGGGATTACAGGTGCCTGTCCTGGGAAGCCCCCTCAGTCCTTGGCGAACCAAGATGGTTGCTCACTCACCCTGTGTGGCTTTCAGATGTTTCAGCTCACTCTGTTCCCACGGCAGCCCGTCCTTCAGAGGTGGCTGAGTTCTTCATGAGACACATTGCAAGCAGCCCTGGAAAGTAAGGGTGCCCCATTAACCTTTCAGATCTGAACTATTTTCTGCCTATGAAGTGCATGTTCGGTTTTTATAGATTTTATATGTTTTCCCATCTTTCAGATCTAGCGCTGGCAAGCAGGTGGTATGGGAGTCCTAAAGTGGGGCAGCTGCTGATGTTGGAGGTAGATCCTGCCTCAGCACTGAGGCCAGGCTTCTGCAGAATCCTTTGAGGCTTCTGTCCTGAACTTCCAAAGTTCCAGCAGGAGGTGTTGGGCTAAGGTCAGGTGTCACAGTGGGAGTACGTTGCAGAAGCATAATATTCCAGAGGTTTCAGGGGCTTTCCCATTCAGTTAGTCAGTTTGTCACATCCCTCATCCCTAAGACTGGCCAGGCACATTTCCCTTTAGATGCTTATTGATGCCATTTTGGATTTTGTGGCATTCCCTAGAATGTCTAGAATGTTTAAAGTTCTGAAAAGCACTTAGTTCTCAAATATTTGAAAACAGAGGCAAAAGAATGTGTTGAGAGTGTGATTTCTGGAATCAGACTTCCTGTATTTAATCCCAGATCTTCCCTTTAATATCTATGACCCTGGGCATGTTACTTCAATTCTCTAACCTCAGTTTCGTTACCTGTATGTGTATATATATATACACACACATATATATATACACACACATATATATACACACACACATATATATATACACACACATATATATATATATACACACACACACATATATATATACACACACACACTTTGAAGAATGGGTATCCATCCCCTCAAGCGCTTATTCCAAGTTGCAAACAGTCCAATTACACTCTAAGTTTTTAAAAGATGTACTGTTATTATCAACTATAGTCACCCTGTTGTGTTATCAAATAGTAGGTCTTATTCATTCTTTCTACTTTTTTTGTTTCCATTAACTATCCTCACCTCCCTCAACCCCCTATTACCCTTCCCAGCCTCTGGTAACCATCCTTCTACTCTCTATGTCCATGAGTTCAATTGTTTTGATTTTTAGATCCCACAAAAAAGTGAGAACATGTGATGTTTGTCTTTTTCTTCCTGGTTTATATTTCACCTAACATAATGATCTCCAGTTCCATCCATGTTGTAGCAAATGACTGGATCTCCTTCTTTTTACTGGCTGAGTAGTACTCCATTGTATATATGTGCCACAGTTTTTTTTAATCCATCCACCTGTTGATGGACACTAATGTTACTTCCAAATGTTAGCTATTGTAAACAGTGCTGCAACAAACATGAAAGTGCAGATATCTTGTCGATATACTGATTGCCTTTCTTTTGGGTATATACCCAGCAGTGGGATTGCTGGATCAAATGGTAGCTCAATTTTTAGTGTTTTGTGGAATCTCCAAACAATTTTCCACAGTGGTTGTGCTAATTTACATTCCCACTGACAGCGTACAAGTGTTTGTTCCCTTTTCTCCACATCCTTGCCAGAATTTTTTATTGCCTGTCTTTTGGATACAAGCCATTTTAATTGGAGTGAGATGATGTCTCATTGTGATTTTGATTTGCATTTCTCTGATGATCAGTGCTGTTTAGCACCTTGTCATATACCTGCTTGCCATTTCTATGTCTTCTTTTGAGAGATGTCTATTCAAATCTTTCGGCCATCTTTTGACTGGATTATTAGATATTTTCCTATAGAGTTGTTTGAGTTCTTTATGTATTCTGGTTACTAATCCCTTGTCAGATGGGTAGTTTGCAAATATTTTTTCCCATTCTGTGAGTTGTGTCTTCACTGTGAATTGTATCCTTTGTTGTGCAGAAGCTTTTTAACTTGATGTGATCTCATTTGTCCACTTTTGCTTTGGTTACCTGTGCTTGTTGGGTATTGCTCGAGAAATTTTTGCCCAGATTAATGTCCTAGAGATTTTCCCCAATGTTTTCCTGGTGTAGTTTCATGGTTTGAGGTCTTATATTTAAGTTAACATATATTAAGTGTTTTGAGGACAGAATAGTGCAAATGGAAAGAGTTTAATAGACACAGCTACAAAATATACCTCTATTACTTCCTAGCTGTGTAGTCATGGGCAATTTAATTCACCTCTTCGAGCCTCAATTCCCTCATCTGTAAAGTCTTATCTCATAGATTACTTATGAGAATTAAATGAGATGACTAGGTAAAATTTCCAGCATATTGCCTGGCACCCTGCTTGCTTAATACATATTTATACTTTCCTATACACGATAAGTTAACATAGATTTGGTGCCAAAACAATTTAGTCATGTTCACCAAATAATCATATATGAGGCACTACTGGTGATTATTGAACTTGGTCCTTGGACTGTCATTGTTCTTGGTTAAGGTGCAGCAGATGTTAACTTTAAAATAGACATTTGGGTTCTTTGGTATTTCAACGGCAAGGGATGCTGTAGCAAATTTCTATGAACCCGGTAGCTGAGCAGATACAGTCTCACTTTATAACAAAGCATATTTTCATGAGACTCATGGAAATGGTTTACCAACTCCCAGAGGATTTGGTTACAATCACAATATTGCTTACCAGCTGTAAATGAAGGCTTTTGCCTGTCTGGAGCCAGCTCAGCACCATGAAGTATCTGGAGAAGAGCCAACAGGTCATGGAATTCTTTCTTCAGATGCTGCTCATCACTGCTTGCCTGGTCCCAAAAGATTTGTCCTGTGTCTTTTGTCCCTTCTATCCCCTGCTTGGATAGCATTCACTATCCTTCTTTTTTCATCTGATACCTTCTCTGGCTTGCAAAGGCCTTTCTACAGTCTTCCCTCCCTCTCTTTCCCACACAAGGCATGCTTCCATACAGCATTACATTGTCTATTTGCTCCTCTTGCCAGAATCCTTGGAAGCACCTATCCTTTGGGCTCGATATCTCACTCCCTGAGTGGCCAAACAATGAGATTCTTCCTGACTCACAAGCAAAGTTCATGGTTCCAAGGAAAAGCCAATGTTATCCATGGCAACCCTGAAAGATGAGTGAGCCCCATGCCAGCCGCTGCATGGGAAAGGCCAACAGCAAAATATCTTTACCTGACATATACACTCACATTCTTTTCACTACCTTCCATTTTTACCAGAATCCAGGCAGACTGATAATACATTCTAGATAATTGTTCTAAGCCATTCTTGAATATTTAATAGAGTAGATAATGTATAGGTGGTACCATCTGCATCTTTTTGTTACCTTTAACTGTTCATACTTCTGGTTATCCGATATTTGATATGAACATAAAGCTGAATGAACAATGTGGTTGCTTTGTGAATATGAGTTATTCATTCCTAACCTCACTGTTGGAATACCTACAATATGCCACGCCTGTGCCAAGCCCCATGATAACAGGTCAAATAAGACATAACATATTTGCATGACACTTACATTATGATGAGTGACAGAGAAATACATCAGTGATGACAGGACTGCATAGTATTAGGTTGGTGCAAAAGTAGTCGCGGTTTTTACCATTACTTTCAATGGCAAAAACCATGATTACTTTTGCACCAACCTAAAAAAACTATGACACAAGCATGGATAAGGAAAGCATCAAACCCTACTGGGATGGTGGGGTAGGGATAGAACACGGAGGAGCGTTTGGAAGACAATCACACTAAGCTCACTGCTGGAACAATGGGTAGAAACCAGATAAATGAAGACAGATTGGAGGGAGACCTGTGTCTCCTTCAGCCCTCAGTGTCTGCTGATTTTGTCACTGTAGACAGTACTTTACCCCTGCTCTCTCTCTCTCTGCATTAGGGACTCTGGAACTTTCATATAAGGAACAGAAATCCCTCAGTTTTTTATAGTGCAATTAAAAATATAAAATCTCCCTTTCATGCGCGTCCGTGTGAAGAGACCACCAAACAGGCTTTGTGTGAGCAACATGGCTGTTTATTTCACCTGGGTGCAGGCGGGCTGAGTCCAAAAAGAGAGTCAGCAAAGGGAGATAAGGGTGGGGCCGTTTTATAGGATTTGGGTAGGTAAAGGAAAATTACAATCAAAGGGGGTTTGTTCTCTGGCGGGCAGGAGTGGGGGTCGCAAGGTGCTCAGTGGGGGTGCTTTTTGAGCCAGGATGAGCTAGGAAAAGGACTTTCACAAGGTAAAGTCATCACTTAAGGCAAGGATCGGCCATTTTCACTTCTTTTGTGGTGGAATGTCATCAGTTAAGGTGGGACAGGGCATATTCACTTCTTTTGTGATTCTTCAGTTACTTCAGGCCATCTGGGCGTATTCGTGCAAGTCACAGGGGATGTGATGGCTTGGCTTGGGCTCACAGGCCTGACATTCCTGCCTTCTTATATTAATAAGAAAAATAAAACAAAATAGTGTTGAAGTGTTGGGGTGGTGAAAATTTTTGGGGGGTGGTATGGAGAGAGAATGGGCGATGTTTCTCAGGGCGCTTCAAGTGGGATTAGGGGCGGCGTGGGAACCTAGAGTGGGAGAGATTAAGCTGAAGGGAGGCCTTGTGGTAAGGGGTGATATTGTGGGGATGTTAGAAGAAACATTTGTCATATAGAATGATTGGTGATGGCCTGGATACGGTTTTGGATGAATTGAGAAACTAAATGGAATAACAGAAGGAGAAAAACAGGTATAAAAGGTCTAAGAATTGGGACGACTCAGGATATCTGATCAGGGAGTGCCTAAGGAGACTCAGCATAGTCCTGCCAGCAAAGATTATTTATTTACTTCAAGAGTTAAGAGTGGCAGTTTGGGGATAGCACCAGGAGATATCAGCTGTGATGGCTTGGAAAAACAGTGTAAACCAGCAGTGTAAACAAGAGCAGAGCATGTATGAGTAGTTGAGAATGGTGAATAGGAGTATGACTAGACAGAAGATAGTAAGGATGACAAGTTTTTTTGGGGGGCACAGTGTAAGTTGGTCTGGTGTCTGGAATGAGACTGAGGCCTAATAAAAAGGAGCGTCTATACAGGAGCTCAAATGGGCTGTACCCTGTAGCATTCCGAGGACAGGCCTGAATTCTGAGAAGGGAAAGTGGTAAAAGTATTGTCCAGTCCTTTTTAAGTTGGTGGCTGAACTTGGTGAGATGTGTTTTTAAAACACCTTTAGTCCATTCTACTTTTCTTGAAGACGGAGGACCGTAAGGGATATAAAGGTTTCACTGAATACTAAGAGCCTGAAAAACTGCTTGGCTGATTTGACTAATAAAGGCTCGTCTGTTATCAGACTATATTGAGGTGGGAAGGCTAAACTGAGGAATTATGTCTGACAGAAGGGAAGAAATGACTGCGGTGGCCTTCTCAGACCCTGTAGGAAAGGTCTCTACCTATCCAGTGAAAGTATCTACCTAGACTAAGAGGTATTTTAGTTATCTGACTCAGGGCATGTTGAGTAAAGCTAATTTGCCAGTCCTGGGTGGGGCAAATCCTCGAGCTTGATGTGTAGGGAAGGGAGGGGGCCTGAATAATCCCTGAGGAGTAGTAGAATAGCAGATGGAACACTGAGAAGTTATTTCCTTGAGGATAGATTTCCACGATGGAAAGGAAATGAGAGGTTCTAAGAGGCGGGCTAGTGGCTTGTACTATAGCATAACCTGCCTTTGCTGGTGTGTGGTGATTAGGCCAGGTGGAACTGCCATCAACAAATCAAGCATGATCAGGGTGAGGAACAGGAAAGAAGGAAATTTGGGGAAATGGGGTGAATGTCAGGTGGATCAGAGAGATACAGTCATGGGGGTCAGGTGTGGTATCAGGAATAATGTGGGAGGCCGGATTGAAGTCTGGGCCAGGAACAACGGTAATTGTGGGAGACTCAACGAAGAGTGAGTATAGCTGAAGGAGCCGGGAAGCAGAAAATATATGCATCAGGTATGAGGAAGAAAATAGATTTTGGAAGTTATGAGAACTGTAGAGAGTGAGTTGAGCATAGTTTGTGATTTTGAGGGCCTCTAAAAGTATTAATGCAGCGGCAGCCGCTGCACGCAGACATGAGGGCTAGGCTAAAACAGTAAGGTCAAGTTGTTTGGCCAGAAAGGCTACAGGGTGTGGTCCTGGGTCTTGTGTAAGAATTCTGACCACGCTAACCATGCCTAGGAAGGAAAGGAGTTGTTGTTTTGTAGAAGGTGCTGGGATTTGAGAGATCAGTCGGACACGATTGGCAGGAAGAACACGTGTGTTTTTATGAGAATTATGCCGAGATAGGTAACAGATGAGGAAGAAATTTGGGCTTGATTGAAGTAATGGGGGCTGTCTGTGAAGCTTTGCAGCAGTACAGCCTAGGTAATTTGCTGAGCTTGATGGGTGTCAGGGTCAGTCCAAGTGAAAGTGAAGAGAGGCTGGGATTAAGGGTGCAAAGGAATAGTAAAGAAAGCATGTTTGAGATCTAGAACAGAATAATGGGTTATAGAGGCAGGTATTGAGGATAGGAGAGTATATGGGTTTGGCACCACGGGGTGGATAGGCAAAACAATTTGGTTGGTAAGGCGCAGATCCTGAACTAACTTGTAAGGCTTGTCTGGTTTTAGGACAGGTAAAATGGGGGAATTGTAAGGAGAGTTTATAGGTTTTAAAAGGCCATGCTGTAGCAGGCGAGTGATAACAGGCTTTAATCTTTTTAAAGCGTGCTGCGGGATGGGATATTGGCGTTGAGTGGGGTAAGGGTGATTAGGTTTTAATGGGATGGTAAGGGGTGCATGATCGGTCGCCAAGGAGGGAGTAGAGGTATCTTATACTTGTGGGTTAAGGTCGGGGGATACAAGAGGAGGACACAAAGGAGGCTTTGGATTGGGAAGAAGGGCGGCAATGAGATATAGCTGTAGTCCAGGAATAGTCAGGGAAGCAGATAATTTAGTTAAAGTGTCTCAGCCTAATAAGGGTACTGGGCAGGTGGGGATAACTAAAAAGGAGTGCTTAAAAGAGTATTGTCTAATTTGGCACCAGAGTTGGGGAATTTTAAGAGGTTTAGAAGCCTGGCCGTCAATACCCACAACAGTTATGGAGGCAAGGGAAACAGGCCCTTGAAAAGAAGGTAATGTGGAGTGGGTAGCCTCCGTATTGATTAAGAAGGGGAGGGACTTACCTTCCACTGTGAGAGTTACCCAAAGCTCGGCGTCCGTGATGGTCTGGGGGCTTCTGAGGCGATCGGGCAGTGTCAGTCTTCAGCCGCCAAGCCGAGAAGATCTGGGAAGGAGTCAGTCAGAGAGCCTTGGGCCAGAGTTCCATGGGCTCTGGGAGTGGCTGCCAGGTGAGTTGAACAGTCCGATTTTCAGTGGGGTCCCACACAGATGGGACGTGCCTTAGAAGGAATCCTGGGCTGCGGGCCTTCCTTGGCCCAGTGGCCAGATTTCCAGCACGTGTAGCAAGCTCCTGTGGGAGGAGGTTCTGGAGGAATGGCTGGCCGCTGCGGTTCAGGCGTTTGGAAGTTCCTGTGTGCTGGAGATGTGGCTGGGGTTTGTCTCACAGTGGAGGCAAGGAATTGCAACTTTTTTCTATTATCGTACACCTTGAAGGTGAGGTTAATTAAATCCTGTTGTGGGGTTTGAGGGCTGGAATTTAATTTTTGGAGTTTTATTTAATGTCGGGAGCAGATTGGGTAATAAAATGTATTTTGAGAATAAGACGGCCTTTTGACCTTTTAGGGTCTAGGGCTGTAAAGTGTCTCAGGGTTGCTGCCAAACAAGTCATGAACTGGGCTGGATTTTTATATTTGATGAAAAAGAGCCTAAACACTATCTGATTTGTGATAAAGAAAAAGGAGCATTAACGTTGACTATGCCTTTGGCTCCAGCCACCTTTTTAAGAGTAAATTGCTGGGCAGGTGGGGGAGGGCTAGTCATGGAACGAAACTGTAAGCCCGACCAGGTGTGAGGAGGGGAGGCGATAAAAAGATTATAGGGTGGAGGAGCGGAGGCTGAGGAAGAATTGGGACCTAGCTCGGCCTGGCGAGGAGGGGAGAGGTCAGATTGGTCTGTAGAAAAGGAAGATTAGAAAGACTCAGCGACTCTTGGGATTGGGACTGAGGGGACAGGTGGGAGGGAAAGAAGATTTGGGACGAGTTGCACGGGGCACAGAGACTAGGAAGGGACTGATGTGTAAAAGAATGCCTGGACTTCAGGCACCTCAGACCGTTTGCCTATTTTACGACAAGAATTATTTAGATCTTGCAGGATGGAAAAATTCAAAGTGCCATTTTCTGGCTATTTGGAACTACTGTCAAGTTTGTACTGGGGTCAAGTGGTATTGCAGAAGAAAATAAGGCATTTAGGTTTTAGGTCAGGTGTGAGTTGAAGAGGTTTTAAGTTTTTGAGAACACAGGCCAAGGGAGTAGAAGGAGGAATGGAGGGTGGAAGGTTGCCTATAGTGAAGGAAGCAAGCCTAGATAAAAGAGAGAGTAGAGAAATGGAGGGAAGGGGTTCGGGGGTTCTTACCTTCCAGAAAAGTGGGAAAAGGTGTTGGGGCACAGAGATAAGAGGTCGGGGCACGGAAATAAGGGATGGGGTGTAGAAATAAGGGGTCGGGGCACAGAAATAAGGGATTGGGGTGCAGAGATATGAGGTTGGGGTGCAGAAATAAGGGATTGGGGGTTCTTGCCCCTAGGAAAGCGGGACTTGCCGCTAAGGGTGAAAGAGAAGGGGTTGAGGGGTACTTGCCCCTGCCCCAGGAAAGCGGGACTTGCCACTAAGGATGAAGGAGAAGGGGTTGAGGGGTACTTGCCCCTGCCCCAGGAAAGTAGAGAAGGGGTAGAGACAAGGAGAGAAGGGGTTGGGGTACTTGCCCCTTCCCCAGAAAAGCAGGATTTGCTGCTAAGGGTGAAGGACCAAGGCAGGCGTCCCTGCGTGGTCTGACACCTTTGTTTTTTTTTCTTTTTTTTTTTCTTTTTCTTTTTTTTGTTAATATTATACTTTAAGTTTTAGGGTACATGTGCACAATGTGCAGGTTAGTTACATATGTATACATGTGCCATGCTGGGGTGCTGCACCCATTAACTCGTCATTTAGCATTAGGTATATCTCCTAATGCTATCCCTCCCCCCTCCCCCCACCCCACAACAGTCCCCAGAGTGTGATGTTCCCCTTCCTGTGTCCATGTGTTCTCACTGTTCAATTCCCACCTATGAGTGAGAACATGCGGTGTTTGGTTTTTTGTCCTTGCGATAGTTTACTGAGAATGATGATTTCCAATTTCATCCATGTCCCTACAAAGGACATGAACTCATCATTGTTTATGGCTGCATAGTATTCCATGGTGTATATGTGCCACATTTTCTTAATCCGGTCTATCATTGTTGGACATTTGGGTTGGTTCCAAGTCTTTGCTATTGTGAATGGTGCCGCAATAAACATACGTATGCATAGGTCTGACACCTTTGAAACGTGGGTGAATAATCAGAGAGGTGTCCCTGCAATGATTAAACGCCAAGGGAAGGCTGCCTTCCCAGTCTGTGACCGGCGCCGGAGTTTTGGGTGCACAGATAAAACGTGTCTCCTTTGTCTCTCCCAGAAAATGAAAGGAATTGAAATTAAGAGAAGGGAGAGATTGAAGAGTGGAAAGAAGAAAGTGGTTGAGGGACAGTGAGAGAGGTTGGAGAAGAGAGTAAGAAGATGCCGCTTACCTGATTTAAAATTGGTGAGATGTTCCTTGGGCTGGTGGGTCTGAGGACCTGAGGTCGTAGGTGGATCTTTCTCACGGAGCAAAGAACAGGAGGACAGGGGATTGATCTCACAAGGGAGGTCCTCCGATCCGAGTCACGGCACCAAATTTCATGTGTGTCCATGTGAAGAGACCACCAAACAGGCTTTGTGTGAGCAACATGGCTGTTTATTTCACCTGGGTGCAGGCGGGCTGCGTCCGAAAAGAGAGTCAGCAAAGGGAGATAAGGGTGGGGCCGCTTTATAGGATTTGGGTAGGTAAAGGAAAATTACAGTCAAAGGGGGTTTGTTCTCTGGCGGGCAGGAGTGGGGGTCGCAAGGTGCTCAGTGGGGGTGCTTTTTGAGCCAGGATGAGCCAGGAAAAGGACTTTCACAAGGTAATGTCATCACTTAAGGCAAGGACTGGCCATTTTCACTTCTTTTGTGGTGGAATGTCATCAGTTAAGGTGGGACAGGGCATATTCACTTCTTTTGTGATTCTTCAGTTACTTCAGGCCATCAGGGCATATTCGTGCAAGTCACAGGGGATGCGATGGCTTGGCTTGGGCTCAGAGGCCTGACACTCCCCATTTAGAAAGTAGTGACTTGCTGTTTGGGGTAAGTTTCTCTACCCTATATTCAGGCATGACCTATAATTTTAGTTTTTGGTTTGTTCCCCACTAGCCCCTCATAATACCAGCTTGCAGCCTGAGTAGGTTACCCTGGATCTCTGAGTTAGAAGACATACAATTTTTACACTGCCCCACGTCCTCACCTTTGGCCCTTCTCAAGGAGTCTGTAATCATGGGAAAAGGGCAAATGAATTTCAGGATGGAAGAGTTTTCTGCTTACAGAGCTCAGGCCTGTATAACTGCCCAGGGGAATGGTTGGGCAGTCAGGGAATGGTATTGAAGATTCTGCATGCCAGGAGAATAAAGAGGAAAAGAAGGGGAGATTATAAAGCAAATAAGATAGGCACAAACATAAACTTGGCCTTCCTCAGGGTATTTTTGTGGAGTTCTGATTATGTTGCTTTCTAAGTTGTTCTGGCCAACAAAGAATGAGGGTATAGTGTCTTCTGAGAGATAAGAAGGCATTAGCAAAACATCTGCATTTGCATATGGACACACATCTCAATCACTTCCTCTTTCCTAGGGAAGCACCTTATTCTCCAGATATATCTTCTAGGCCTGGTCCTGATTGGGTCTGCAGTTTCAGTGCTGCAGGTCATGATGCTATGGGCCTTGCCTAGAGCCTGAGGTGTGGGACACCACTATCCCATGGGATTTAATTTTGCTCAAAGCCCTTTAACACCAGTTTCTGGCCAAGGCTTTACTGGCTGTCTGTGATTATAACCAACTATTTTCTGGCTTTGAGAACCTCACATAACCTCGCTAGTAATTCATAACTGGCATAGAATTTTGAGTCTAGCATTAGAATTTAATACAAGGGCCAATTAGAAAAAATGTTGCATTGCCCCTCACAGTTCATGCTTCAATAAAGTCCAAAAGGAAAACCATAGATTGTGATTATTTAATATTGTTTTGGTACATGGTCTACTCCAAGGCAAAACAAAATGCAATTTATTCCATACACTGAGAAATAAGGTAAAGCATGTTGTAATTTTATCAGAATTTTGTAGGGGACAAGATAATTTAAAGAAAATGTTTTCTTCTGGTCAAAGTCACCTTTTTTCCCTATATGTACTTTGAACTATGTAACTGATAGCATTCTCATTCTTTCAAGCAATATAGGGAAGAAATAGTGGATTTAAAATTTTCCCTTTTGAAGAACAGTCCAATCAAAAGAATGTTGCATTGATAACACTGAAATCACTTGGAATAATAAATGCAAAATGCTGTAAATGTAATGTGGTATGATTATGCAAGAAAAAAATAAGACAGTTAAAGAAGTTCTATCTTTCTGTAAGAAATTTTCAAAGGATGTTTCAAAGGCAGAATTATAATCTTCGGTGTAAGGGGGTAGTGATAACCGACATGTCATGCCTCCAGAACCTATTCTGCTTTGTTTTTGCTTCTGTCAAAACACAGTCTGTCATTGAGATTGAATTAAGATTTCATCTCCTCCTCTAATTATCTATTCATTTATTTAAAGAGGAGTCAGGAGGCTAGCCGAACATTAAAAGCTGACTGTGACCTCCTAAAAAGATGAGTCAGGAAATAAACTGGGGAGCACCATGAATCATGGCAGAAATATATTGACTGGGGAAATATAAGCTGCTCTTGCTCAGACGCTGAAAACACCAAGCCCTTATCTTTTATGGTTGGTGCCACGGTTTCTCAAATACAGTCTGATGGATCTGGGAGAGCAGAACTCTTAGCGGAAGTTATTTCTTTCCTTGTTATGGATCCAGAATTCTCTTGGGCATAAACTACTTTCCTTCTTGGCTGGTGACCTCAGGCAATTATGAGGACTTGAGGATGATGGAGCTGGGGTATCTGTCAACTCACCGGTTGCCAGAGTCCATGTGACTAATATGGCTGGCTTGATGTTCTCTTCCTCACTCATCACATAGTGAGGAATCCTCCTGAAATTCCGTGCCTGGTCAGAGAGAATGATGTTCCCTAGTAGAGAAGAACTGTTCTTCAATCAAAAGTAAGCTGTCACAGAACTCCCCTGCAAGAACCTTTGTACCAGTTAAACTATTACTGGCGAATTTAAGCAGAAAATGAGGATTATTATAAGGGTAGTGGGCATATTTTTAGAAGAAAATGTAAAAAAAAAATTATGACCTTGGTAATGATGAGGAAACATTTCTTACACAAGATGAAAAGCACAATCTATGCAAGAAAACTGATAAATATGGCTACATTAAAATATAATTAAAATCTATGCATCAAAAGACACTGGAGACAAAGTAAAAGCACCTAGGGAAAATATTTGCAAAACAAGTATATTTTTCATCTCATGTATTGTAATTTTCACCTCTAGAATTTCAATAAGGATATTTTTATATCTTCCATATTTATAATGTTCAATCTTTCCTCTAGCTTTTTGAACATATGGAATATAGTTATAATAATTTTTAAGTGCTTGTCTGATAATTGAAACATTTATACATCTGAGTCAGTTTCAATTGTTAATTTTTATTCTTGTTGAGGGCTACTATATTTTCCTGATAAGCTTTGATAGGAATGGCAGACATTGCAAATTTTACCTTGTTAGGCATTGAATACTTTTGTATTCTTGTTGGAAATAGTTTGATTGCTTGGGGCAATACTTTTATTGTTTTCAGGTCGGCCATAACTACATTTATTGTAGGGATAATTAAATTCATTGCTGAGGTATGTGCCTTCTGACTACCAAATTTCCTCTGAATTATAATGTTTTACAGTTTGGCTGGTGGGAACAGAGTAGGGGGGCAAGGCGGAGAGTAGGTTTGGAGGAATGAACAGAAGGTATCTAAGAGGCATCCATTGGAGATTCTGAGACAGGAATGGCTGGGATGGAACCTAGGAGTTTGTACTTTTAACCGTAAACCAAATGATGTTTACCAAGCTTGAGAAACACTGTTCAAGGGTAAATGGCTAGAAGTGAAATTGCTTGATCATAGTGTGTGTGAGTTATTGATTTTTAAGCTAAATTATTTTGCGTTGTGACCATGTCAATTTAATCTACAACCTGCCGTATAGAAAAACAACTAATGTCCTCCTCAATCTCACCAAATACTTGATATTGTTAAACTTTTCAAAATTTGCTAACTTAATTAGTAAAACATGAAATATTTTTTGTTGTATTATTATTGATATTTATCTGATTTCCAAGAAGATGAATATATTTTCATATATTTGTCATTTCAATATCCCTTTTTAAATTTTTAGTGATCTTTACCCATTTTCTATTGTATTGTTTTTCTTTTTCTTATTAATTGGCCAGAATTCTTTATATATTCTGGATACAATCTTATGTCTAATATATGCTGCAAATACCTTTTCCTAGTCTGTGGCTTATTTTTTTCACCCCGTGTATGTTGTTTTTTTGCCATATGAGATTTGAAAATTTTTATGTGGTAAAAATTTTAATTTTTTATTAATTTGTGCTTTGTATTGTTTCTGACTTTTTCTATCAAAAGTTCATTAATATATGTTCTTTACTTTCTTCTAGCAATTTTGTAGTTTTATTTTTTATACTTAATATATTTGGAATTTGAATTTTTTCCTCCAAGCATAACAATATACAAAATGCCTATAAAATTATACTAAATTACACTGTGTATAAGTTAGTATATCTTGGATTTAAAATTCATTTAAATAAATTACATTTTTCTTAGGGCCAACATGAATGAATTGTTAGACAGTAGATATTTGAAAGTGCCAATACAGAGAATTTTGAAAGAAAGGAGATTTCAGCTTTGGCAATCTTTGATTAAAATAGAGTATTGCACAAAGGGCAAAGAAAGTAAAAACACTAGTCTAATTAGTATTAATAATGAAAAAATATTTCTCAGTGTAACATTATTACCATGTATTCTTGTAAGAACATTAATTTAAAACATGTTCAAGTTTAGCCATTTGGCTAATAACCAACCTGTTATTTCTGTTAGAAGTAATGGCAAGAGGGTGCTTTTAAGAGATGGAAAATAATATGAAGATAATATTTTTGAAATCTTGTTCAAAAGGTGGCCTGAGTACATATATCTACCTCAAATATCCCCAAATTTCTTCTGAAACAAGAGAAATTAATTAATTGAAAATATGGGTTGAGTGTGGTGGCTCGTGCCTGTAAGCCCAGCACTTTGGGAGGCCAAGGGAGGAGGATTGCTTGAGTTCATTAGTACAAGACCAGCCTGGGCAACATGGCGAAACCCTGTTTCTACAAAAAAAATACAAAAATTAGCTGGGCATGGTGGTGAACACCTGTGGTGCCAGCTACTTGGGAGGCTGGGGTGGGAGGATTGCTTGAGCCCAGGAGGTGGAGGCTGCATTGAGCCATGATTGTGCCACTGTACTTCAACCTGGCAGGTGACAGAGTAAGACCTTGTCTCAAAAAAAAAAAAAAAAAAAAAGAATTAACTATTTGATAATGAGAGTCTGGAATACAAAAGGACAACTAGCAGCCAGAAAATTTTGAGAAAATCATGGAAATATATGAAATAGTTGTAATCAGATTAATGGGATTAAAAAAGATCAGACGATGCCTACTTTCCCTTAAACAGAGGCTTAGACACTCCTTCCCTGAGGAGCACCCATAAATAAAGCTCCAAACTTGAAGTCAGAAAAGTGCTGGTAATTATTTAGAGACCCACAGTGTGAAGGGCCAGACCAGTAAGGCCTTTCACCTACCCTCTACCTCCTACCTCCTAGCAGAGGCCTCTAGGACAAGGCCTTATTATTAACTTAACTAGGCAAAAAGTTAAAGCTCCAGGCTTATTCTCTAAAAAATTGGTTAGTCAGCCTGAGGAGTATTTCTAGAGTGGATATTATGGCCTGAGAGAAAAACAAACAAACAAAAAACACTTGAGGAAATTTAAGAGCTACATATCAGAAATTAAATTTTTTTAAAAGCCGATTTTTTTTTCAAAAGTGAAATACTTTAAATTTTTCTACTACAGAGTAAAATGCTCCTTGCATTGGCAGTTTTGGGATCCAGTCTGTTTTCTCCATGCCTGTTGATATGCCCTGCCACTCACAGTTCACAATGAGCCAATCATTCATTCAACAAACATGACTTGAGTGATTGTCAGGCACAGAGCAGGAAATGAGATGAACATGTCCCTGCCCCCATTGTGCTAATACTTTAGAGGTGAAAGACACACAATAATCAACCAAGTATATAACATAGAACAAGCCAGTATATAACATAGAAATTCAAATTCGGAGAACTGCTAAGATGAAAATAATCAGGAAAATGTGTGAGGTAGTAGGGGGCTACTTCAAATTGCACATCAGAACAGGCCTTTCTGAACTAAGATCTGCAGCAGGAAAAGAAATCACTTATGAGAAAAGCAGGGTGACAGAGCATCCTGCACAGTGGGAGAGAACACAGCTAACCAGCACTCCTGTTTTTAGGGTTGCTGATAATTGATTGCAGAACTTCACACTGATATATAAGTAAGCATTTATGTAGTTTTGTGTATGTGCATGTTTTTGCCACAAAATTACAAAAACGAAAAGAAAAAGAAACAGACCTAGATGAGTGGAAGGGAAAAGGTTTCTAGTGGACTTCTGTTTGTTTGCCAGCTTTTCTTTCTGCCCCCTTTTGCTTTTCCCTTTGGGGAACTCTCACTCTCCCACTCATTGGTTCATGGTAGAATTGTTGACCACAATGTCTTCTGCCCCTGTGAAGAAGTGAATATACGGCCCAAATAAATGCTTTCTCTAGGAGTTTGAATCTTAAGTGGAGTGACTTAATGAGAAAAGTGTTGGGAGTTGTGTCATTTTGAAGGAAGCTCCCTAAACAGACTGCACATTGCTTTCTGTTCTCTGTCTTCTCCACTCACCTGCCCCCAGCTGCCTGGTACTTTTCTTTCAGAGGCAATTCTCTGTTTTCAATTCTGTATGTCACTCAAAATCGTTCCAGTGAATTCCTTCCCCTTATCAGCTCAGGTTATACAGAGTCGATTTCTGTTCTTCACAACCAAATTATGCTAACTTGACAGAAAACCAGTGCAGGCACCCACAGTAATCAACCTAGCTCTTCAATCATAAAAGGAACTGACAACCAAAGATCACACAATATTTGGAGAAAACAGCAGAAAAGATAATAACCAAGATGAACAAACAGAAAAACTGACCTCTGAGTTAACAGAAGCATAAAGGACAAAGTTATGATTATGAAACCTAAATAAAGATTATAAACCTTGACCAAGAAAAAATAAATCTAATTTATAAAACTGAGGGTAGAGAGATGAAAACAGTAGAATGAATGTGTTCAATTTCTCATCTTTCACAGTGATAAGTCAACAAACTCCTTAATAATTCAAGCCAGAGTGGTACAAACATATTATTCAAACTTTTAATAGTCAACATCAAAAAAAAGGAAGAAAGAAGAAAAAGAAAGAAGAAAGAAAGAAAAGAAAAAGAAAGAGAAAAATTAGGATGTACTTAAAGCAACTACTTCAGGATTTGAACATTAAAAAAGAGAGATTTTGAATTTTAGATTCTTCTGCATGGTTTGAGGTTTTTAAACTTCATCTGGGTATTACTTTGATTAAAATTAATCCTACTTTAAATACAAAATAATTTGTATTATACAAATGATGCATATTATTAGTTAACACTTGCTTATGTTTAATTTTTAAATAAGAAACTATATCCTTTAGGCTGGGGTATTTAGGACCCTCCAAATCTCATTCTTGACCAACGGCTCTCCCCCAAGGGTCTACAACATGAAGTGTGTACACAGGAGGAAAAGCAAGGTAAACAGAAGGTAAAGGAACACTTTAGTCCTAGCTGTGTCGTATTTGACAACCCAGTGCTCAACACTGTGAACTAGTTATCTGGGCTGTGACACACCTGACAGGGACTTTATTCCTTAACCTGGGAGCCAGTCAAGCAGGCCGTGAAGCAGGCTCGGTCTGTTTTCCCCATTTATGCCAGAATCAGATCATGCACCCTAATGGAAAAGAAGTCCAATCAGAGAATTTGAGGCCTCAGAGACAGAGCCCAAGAGAGAATTTTTCTCTCCTTCCAAATTGATGCAGAGAAGGGAATATAATCCAGGGACACTGAACTACCTGTTCCTTCCATGTTGAAGCAGGCCTGAGCTCTCCCCATTTTAGTCACATGGAAGTAAACAGGGAGAGATGGGCAAGAAAAATTCTATCCACATGTGCTGACCTTTTGACCCAAAGGTTCTCAGCCTGCTTATACATTGAAATCACCTGGGCAACTTGAAGACTTCTAAGACCTGGGCTGCATCCCCAGAAATTGATTTAATTGCTCTCAGGTACATCTTGGACTATGAGCATTTTAAAATTTCCCCAGGTGGGATATGGACTAACAATTCTGAAATGACATTTTCTGTATACTGGAGTAAAAAGATCAGTAAATGGGCAATGAATGGTGGGAGTCAGGTTTCTCATTGTCGGGGGCGGGGAAGTTACAGATTAGCAAGAAGGGAAGGCTAGAATGAACCGTGTAGGCTGGATTAGAGTTTGGACATCAGTAAGAACTCATGTTTAACTATACACACACAAACCCAAATACATACAGAAACAATTACAGATATGTGTGTGTATACAGGCTAATATACAAATATGTATTACCTAGCTCTGTGCTAAGAGCAATGACACTTCAACAGCAATTAGCATTCCCAGTTCCCAGATCTTGGTGACTACTTATCATTTTCCAATAAAAAGAACCAGGTTTATTTGGAGAAATGGCTGATTCTACTTCCAGGGCATGAAAAATACAAGATGAACTGGAAGCATCTTGTGCTACCAGAAACTAAGGCAGTGTAGAAAAAAAGAAAAGGATGGTATATGTCAAAGGGACACAGGAACCAACCCGAAAGAACTCCTAATGGCCAAAGCTGGAAAGATTTGAGCAATAAAATTTAAAAATATGGTACTGTGTTACAACTCAAAGTATAATATGAATACACTTAAGTCCATACTGTTATAAATAACTGAATTAATAGGGATAAAGAGACAAACATTTCTTACAGAATAATCTCAATTTATGAACATATTTCCCTTTCCAGGAGATGGAGCTTAATTCTTCCCTCATCTTCCTTAGCGTAGGCTAGACTTTGTAACTTCATTCCAAAGAATAAAGTAGGAAAAGGGAAAAATGTAATAGTAACTTATGGTGGAGAAATCTGGAAAACATGACTTTAACAAAGTGATGAAGGTTGAAGGTTAACATCACCTGTGATACCATGTGGTCATCATGGATCCCCTGGTGTTATGTGATGAAAAAGGCACTTCACCTTCATGGTACTATTCCCGTAAACCCACAATCCCATTCTAATTATGAGAAAAACAGGCAAATCCAAGTTGAAGAACATTCTGTAAAATACTTAACTGTACTCCTTAAAGCTGTCAAGGAAAGCAAGGAAAGACTGATAACATGTTACAGACAAGCGGAGACTGAGAGACATCTAAATGCAGTGTGGTACTCCGGACTGCATCTTTGAATGGAAAAAGAGCATAATAGAAAAACTGGGGATATCTGCATAAAGTCTGGATTATAGTTAATTGTAATGTAGCATTGCTGATTTCTTAGTCCTGGCAAATACACCACAATAAAATAAGATGATAACATGAGGGAAAACTGGGTGAGGGATATATCGGAAATCTGCATTATTTCTGCTGCAACCTTTCTATATATCTAAAATTACTTCAAAATAAAAGTTTATTTAAACAAAAACAACAAATCAAGCAGATCAAATATTGGGCAAGAATTCCCAGGACAGAAGTAGAGAAGTTCAAAATGATCTAAGTAAAATAAAGCTCTCATAATACGTGAAGAAACTTCCCAGGTGATTCTAATTACAATCAAATTTGAGAATCACTTTTTAAATCCTTTGAAATCTTTGTTTCTAGAACATGAGACCAAGTAGCAGTCTTTGATTTTGACCGGAGGTCTCCCCTCCTGTTGAGGTAGAGAGAAGAGGAAATTTGAAAGCAAGGTTTTTAAACTATTCACCACAGAGGCCAGGGATCTGTATCAGGGTTGTGGGGAAATATAGAGGATTGTGGATATTTAATTGTTCTTAATTTTCACTAAACAGGCTTTTCAGGCATATTTAGGAAAACAAGGGAAAACTCAGAATTAAATCAGCACTGTCTTGTAGTGGGAAACAGTGTTAATAGTTAGGAGATGTTCATTTCAGCAATTTAAGTAGGTTCTAGATAACCAGAATTCAGGGACATCCTAGGCATATACACTTGGTCAGTGTTTTCTTGTCTTGGTGCATGTAGGCATTCAATTCTTTTTTTTTTTTTTTTTTTGCCTCATTTTATCTATTTATTTACTTTTTTTGTACTAATCTTTTTTCTTTTTATTTCTAGTTGCCACATAATAATTATACATATTTATGGGATACAGGGTGATATTTTGATATGAGAATCCAATATGTAATGATCAAATCAGGGTAATTAGCATAACCATGACCTCAAACATTTATTATTTATTTGTGTTGGGAACATTCCAAATTATCTCTTCTAGCTTTTTGCAAATATGCAATAAGTTATTAATAACTATATTCACCTGCCAGTTCTATAGAACACTAGAACTTACTCCTCCTCTTAGCTGTAACTTTGTATTTGTTAATCAATCTCTCCCTATGCTTCTCCCTCCTCTTCCCAGACTCTGTCTCTACTCCTATAAGCTTAACTTTATTTTAGCTCCCACATATGAATAAGAACATGTAGTATTCATCTTTCTCTGCCTGAATTATTTCACTTAACATAAGGTTCTCCAGGATCATCCATGTTGCCATGAATGACAGGATTTTATTATTTTTTATGTCTAAATAGTATTTCAACCACTTTTTTTATTCATCCATTTGTTGATGGTCATTTGAATTGATTCCATATCTTGGCTAACAGGAATAGTGCTGTGATAAATATGGGTGGGCAGGTATCTCTTAAATATACTGATTCCCTTTCCTTTGGACAAATATCCAGTAGTGGGATTGATAGATCTTAGGTACTTCTATTTTTAGTCTTTTGAGAAGCCTCCATACTGTTTTCCATGTGGCTGTACATATTTACATTTGTACCACAGTGTATGAGTTCCCTTTTCTCCACATCCTTGCCAGCATTTGTTATTTCTGTCTTTCTAATAATAGTCATTCTAACTGGGGTGAGATAATATCTCATTGCAGTTTTTATTTGTATTTTCCTTATTATTAGTGATATTGAATATTTTTTCATACACTTGTTGGTCATTTGTATTTCTTCTTTTGTGAAATGTCTATTCAGAGCTTTTGCTGATTTTTAAAATCGGATTATTAGGTTTTTGCTGTTAAATTGTTTGAGTTTCTTGTTTATTCTATTAGTCTTTTGTTGGGCATATAGTTTGCGTATATTTTCACCCATTCCACATGTTATTTCTTCACTCTGATGATTATTTTCTTTGCTGTGCAGACTTTTTAGTTTCATGTGGTCCCATTTGTCTATTTTTGTTTTGGTTCCTTGTGCTTTTATAGTCTTACCCATAAAATATTTGCTTAGACCAATGTTCTGAAGCATTTCCCCTATGTTTTCTTTTAGTAGTTTTGTAGTTTTTAAGCTATACATTTTTAAATCCATTTTGAGTTGATTTTTGCATATGGTGAGAGATAGGGGTCTAGTTAGTTTTATTCTTCTGTGTATTGATGTCCATTTCCCCAAGTACCATTTATTGAAGAAGGTGGCCCTTCCCCAATAAATGTTCTTGGTTCCTTTATCAAAAATCAGTTAGCTGTAAATACATGAGTTTATTTCTAGGCTCTGTATTCTGTTTCATTGGTCTATGTATTTGTTTGTAGACCAATAACATGCTGTTTTGTTTACTATATCTTTGTAGCATATTTCAAAGTCAGGTAGTGTGATGCCTCCAGCTTTGTTTTTATGCTCAGATTGCATTGGCTATTCAGGGCATTTTGTGGTTCTATATAAAATTTAGAATTATTTTTTCTATTTATGTGAAGAATGCCATTGGTATTTTGATAGCAATCCCTATCAATTCCTAGCAAATCTGTAAACTACTCTGGGCAGTATTGATATTTCAACAATATTCACTCTTCTAATCCATGAGCATCAGTTGACTTTCCATTTTTGTGTCCCCTTCCGTTCCTTTAATCAGTGTTTTATATTTCTCATTATAGAGATCTTTCATCTCCTTGGTTATATTTATTTCTTAATATTTTATTTTTATAGCTATTGTAAATGAGATTGCATTCTTCTTTTTCAGCTAGTTTGTGATTGGCATGCAGAAATGCTACTAATTTTTGTATGTTGATTTTGTAGCCTGCAACTTTACTAAATTTGTTTATCAGTTCTAAGAGATGTTGGGGAAGTCTTTATGTTTTTCTGCATATAAGAACATGTCATCTGCCAAAAGGAACAATTTGACTTCCTTTTTTCCAATCTGATTGCTCTTTGTTTCTTTCTCTTGCCTAATTCTTCTGGCTAGGACTTTTAGTACCATGCTGAATAGGAGTGGTAAAAGTAGATATTGTTGTCTTGTTCCTGTTCTCTTTCAGTATGATGGTAGCTGTGGGTTTGCCATATATAGCTTTTATTGTGTTGAGATTTGTTTCTTCTATACATAATTTGTTGAGAGTTCTTTTCATAAAGCAGTGTTAAATTTCATTAAATGCTTTTTCTGCATCAATTGAGATAAGCATAGGGTTTTTAATCCTTCATTCTGTTGATTAGTTTGCATGTGTTGAACAGTTCTTGCATCCCTGGAATAAATCCCATTTGATTACGAGGTATAATCTTTTTGATGTGCTATTGGATTCAGTTTGCTAGTATTGTGTTGAAGATTTTTACGTCTATGTTTATCAGGGATACTGGCCAGTAGCATTCATTAATTGCGTCCCTATCTGGTTTGGTTTCAGGGTAAAATTGGCCTCATAGAATGAATTAAGACAAATTTTCTTCACTTCAATTTTTTGCAAGAGTTTGAGAAGAATTGGTGTTAGTTCTTCTTAAAATGTTTGGTAGGATTCAGTAGTAAATTATTCAGTCCTGGGCTTTTCCTTGTTGGGAGACCTTTTACTACTGATTCAATATTGTTACTCATTATTGGTCTGTTCAGGTTTTCTATTTCTTCTTGATTTAATCTTGGTGGGTTATATGTGTCCAGTAATTATCTGTTTCCTCTAGGTTTTCCAATATGTCAGCATATAAAACTCATACAATATAGACATAATAGTCATGCAATATTGTTCATAATAGTTTCTAATGATCCTTTGTATTTCTGTGATATGTTATAATGTCTTTTTCGTTTCTGATTTTATTTATTTGGATCGTCTCTCTTTTTTCCTAGTCTAGCTGATGGTGTGTTGATTTAACTTCTAAAACCAATGTTTTATTTCATTGATCTTTTTATTGCTTTCTTGTTTCTATTTTATTTAGTTTTGGCCTGTTCTTTATTATTTCCTTTCTTCTACTAATTTCAGATGTAATATTTTCTTTGCTCATTCCATGAGGTTCATAAGTAGGTTGTTCATATTTAAAATACTTTTACTTTTATAATGTGGACATTTATTGCTATAAAGTTTCCCCTTGGTGCTGTTTTTGTTGCATCCCATTGGTTTGGGTATATTGTATTTTTATTTTCATTTGTTTCAAGAAATTTTTTCATTTCCTTTTTAATTTCTTAATAGACCTATTGGTGATTCAAGCACATGTTGTTTAATTTCCATGTATTTGTACAGTTTCCAGAGTTCCTCTTGTTATTGATTTCTAGTTTTATTCAATTGTGTTCTAAGATACTTGGTATGATTTTGAGTTTTAAAAATTTGTTGAGACTTTTTTGTTACCTAACATGGTGTATTCTGAAGAATGTTCCATGTGCCAGTGAGAAGAATGTGCATTCTCTAGCTGCTGGATGAGATGTTCTGTAAATGTCTGTTAGTTCCATTTGATCTATAGTGCAGTTTGAGTCTTATGTTTGTTTGTTGATTTGCTATCTAGATTATCTGTCCAACGCTGAAAGTGGGGTGTTGAAGTCCCCAACTAATATTGTATTGATATCTATCCCTCTCTTCAGCCCTAAAAATATTTGCTAGTCTGCTGCTCTGATGAGGGATTCATGTACATTTACAATTGTCATATCCTCTCGCTAAATGGATCCCTTTATCATTATATAACTTGCCTCTTTTTATGTTTTTTGACTTAATATCTATTTTGTCTAATATAAGTATGGCTACTTCTGCATGCTTTTGGTTTTCATTTGTGTGGAATATCTTTTGTCACCCCTTGGCTTTCTGTCTATGTGTGGCTTTACAGGTAAATAAATTTCTTGTAGGCAGTATATAGTTGGGGCTTGTTTTCTTGTCTATTCAGCCACTCTATGATTTTTAATTAGGGAATTTAAACCTTCCATTCAAGATTGTTATTGATAGATGAGGACTTACTCCTGTCATTTTGTTAATTGTCTTCTGATTGTTCTGCATGTCCTTTGTTCCTTTCTTTCTCTCTTATTGTTTATTTTTGGAGATTGATGGTTTTCTATAGTAAAAACATTTGATTCCTTTTGTTTCCTATTTGTGTATCTGCTCTTCCAGTGAGTTTTATACTTTCATGTGTTTTTATAATGGTATGTGTCATCCTTTTGCTCCCAGATATAGAACGTGCTTAAGCACTTCTGGTAGGATCCATCTAAAGGTGATGAATTCCTTCAGTTTTTCCTTGTCTGAAAAAGACTTTATTTCTCTTGCATTTCTGAAAGATAGCTTTGCTGGGTATCGTATTCTTGTCTGTAAGTTTTATTTCTTTTTCTTTCAGCATTTTAAACATATAATTCTGTTCTCCTCTGGCCTGCAAGATTTCTGTTGAGAAATCTGTTAGTCTAATGAACATCCCTTTATATGTGACTTGATGCTTTTCTCTTGCTGATTTTATAATTATCTGTTTGTCTTTTCCAAAGTTAAACTTTTGACTGTTTATCTGTAATGTGCCTCAGAGAAGGCCTTTTGAGATGAGTCTATATTGGTACTTTGAGCTTCCTGTATCTGGATGTCTATATCTCTCCAAAGACTTGGAGAATTTTCTGTTGTTATTTCATTAAATAAGTTTTACCTGCATTTTTGTATCTTTTCTACTTTTGGAACTCTCAAAATGTGAATGTTTATTTACTCAACCTTTTTCCCATTTAGAAAAAAAAGTGCAGCTTGCTGCCAGCGCTCATTTAATTTTACATACTCACATTCTTTGAGGCTGAAGCAAATCTGACTGATTTTCAATGTGAAAATAAAATGTAAAAACTGCTCTTTGAGTTATATTTCTAAACAGAACTAATGTCAGAATCATCTGAATCATCAAAATCATCTATTTTGGAAAAATCTAATCCACCAAATGAATCTTTGGCTAACAACTGTTAGAGAACAATGTTAACATCACATGTAGGAATGCTACATTTTCTAGGATTTGACATTTTAAGCAATCGAGAATTACTATACTTTGTAAATGGAAACACTACTACTAAAAACAGAATGCTATAAATAGAATGATGTCTTTTGTTTCCAAAGTTGGTATAATAGAGTGATGCAAAAATAATAATAAAAGTGAGATACTTCATGGCTAAATTGTCTCAGGGTAAATGCTGCCACCACAAGTGTTGCTGACAAGTATTCTTGGGGCAAATGGGAAAAGGGTTAATAATGTTCCATATGTCATATAGGCTTTCTATTTTCATGTTTCTTTTTTTCCTTTTTTGGTTTGACTGAGTTATTTCAAAAGACTTGTCATCAAGTTCAGAAATTCTTTCTTCTACTCAATGTAGTCTAATGTTGAAGCTCTTGATTGTATTTTTAATTTTATTCATTGAATTTTCAGTTCTAAGATTTCTATTTGGTTCTCTTTTTATAATATCTGTCTCTTTGTTGACTTTCTCATTCATATCATGAATTGTTTTTCTGATATCTTTATATTATCTGTCTTCTCTTGTATATCACTAAATTTCTTTTAAATTATTATTTTGGATTCCTTTTCATGCATGTCATATATTTTGTTTTCTTTGGGGTCTGTTAGTGGAAAATTATTGTTTTCCTTTGGAGGTGGCATGTTTCCTTGCTTTTATATTTCTTGTGTTCTTACATTGATATTCGCATGTCTGGTATAACAGTCACTACTTCCAATTTTATGGGGTAGCTTTCATAGGGAAAGCTTTCATGGGGACTTTTTCCTGTAGACATGTCTATAGTGTTGGTTAGGTGAGGTGCTTTGGCTTTGGTTCTGAGTAGGTGCAGTAGGGTAATCTCTATATGGTTTCTTTGGCTGTAATCAATGTAAGTGGTGTCTGTGAGCTCCTCAGTGGCTCAGGCTACAGATATTTGTAGAGGCTGTGGGGTGCAGACAGGGATAAAAGGAGGCTAGTCTTTGTGACCCTGGGTGGTACTTGCAAGTGCCAGCAGTAGCAACAGTAGGACCCCTGGTGGGTCTCTTCTCAGGTCCCGGATGTCCCCATCCCTGGGGGCAGAGTTGTCATCAATATTGGTAACTCTGGGAAGTCTGCTGTCAGCTTCTGAGGAGCACATGCTTGGGCTTTTTATGTGCTGGGGCAGCATTCTTGATGTGCTAGACCATCTGTTTTCCAGGACATAGGGTGCGGACTAGGCTCAACTGCCAGCAATGATGCTGCCTCTCTGTGTTCACCTGGTGCCGTGACACTACAGCCCTCTGGGTAGATGTCATAGGGGTCATCTCAATGCATATTTATTAAGTAGATTAATAAATGTCTGAATATCTTCCAATGGCCAGTACAAGGAATTAGAAAACATAATTCTTGCTCCTGAATCACAGAGACATTATTTATGAGATAAAATGACTGCATACGCCTTAGAAACTTGAACAGATATACACTTCTGGCATAAATTAAAAAGGCATAATAACGCCCCATTTATACTACTTCAACCAACTTTTGTAATTATGTACTGTACTGCAGGGAAAAGAAGAAATGCTTCTAAGATGAGAAAAGCCTACTTTTTGCTTTTTAAACATTTATTTAATTTAGCTTCCTGAGATGCAGAAGTATTGTCAGAAAGCCTGACCTTCCCTGTTTACACATCAGTGAACAACACACTTTCTTATATATCAAGAATTCTTACCATCCCCTGGGAAAAGTGGTAGGGCACTTAAACACTTTATCCCTATGGCCAAACCCATCTTGGCAGATGATCTTATGGCTTAGGTTTTCTAAGGGCAAAACAGGACTAAAAATATATCAGAGAGAGGAAAGAAGAAAGAGAAGGGAGAAGGATTAGGAATGAGTGGTGAGCTGTAAAGCAGGAAGAAACTGATGGTTCCAAATGAAAACAAAGAGTCTGCCTTTCCTTCCAATGTCAAGAAAATTGCCCCGGCCTAAAAAGAGGTCTGGAAAGGATGAGGGGCAAAGAAACTGCCTTGTGAAGACATGGTCCAGTACCTCTCCAAAGAAAATATTTTAGAAAAGTTAAACATAAAAAAAAGAGATCTAAGATTTGTCGTGCCCCCAGAGATCTCTCCCCCTCTTTTATTTTCTGACTGAGAAAAAAAGGATTAGATGAGGTAGGGTCACCACAAATGGAAGTGCACACATGCTGCCCATTTCCAAAATTCCTGAGCACTTAGGGCAAATACTGGAGTGATGGGAAATGTAACCCAAAGATGAAATGAGGGGCTAAGGGGTGCATTTATCAACCTCAAACTATGCATTTTAAAATTTGTCCTCCCAGATTCTGACCATAATGGAAAAAGCTTACATCAAATTGTATAATAAGTGATTCTTTATAGGCCAGAAAACTCTGTTAAATGGAAAGCTAAGAGACAAACGATTCTGTTAACCACATGGAAAAACTTGTGGAATCTGAATGACAATGTATATTTTATGGGTGTCCATTAGATCTGAGACCAGTCTCTTTCAAACCAGGCAAACTGAAAGAAGATAATTTCTTTCCTAAAATGAAAGTTAAGAACTCAATTCCTTGGTTCATAATACGCTATCCTCTTTTTTAAAGGCAATTTGGCATGTTTAAAATTCAAGAAAAGATTATATTAAATCACAACACCACTCTGAATATGTTAGGTTTCATTAATCAACAATTATTTACTGAACACTCTTTATGTATGAGGCACTGTGTGAAGCACTGGAGATACCAGGACAAACAACAACAAAAAAAAACACATTACCTCTGCATTCCCTAGCTTGTACTTATCTCTAAAGTAGCAATAGACTCTTTGAGAATAACATGGATTTAGCTTTCATTTCAGAATATATAGAAAGCAGAGCTCCAAATTTCTGTTAATGCATATCTAGGGTTCTTACCTAATCACATAAGAGGACAGAGACAAGCATTATACTTGGAGAGATGCTATAAGTTATAAAAAGATGAGAGAGATGCTTCTATTCATCTCCATAAAGAACACAGACATGTTGGAATTGTGCTAGTTATAAGAACAAATCTATTAAACTTGACCAATCTCTGACATTTTAGATTAAGTCCATAGTTTTATTTCCCAGTATATCAATCACTTTTGGAGATCACTGCTATTTTCAGTAAATCCGTGGGGGCTTGTAAAATTATTCATTATCTGATCCTCAATTTCCCAGTCTGTAAAATTGGGATAATAATACCTACTTTGCAGAGTGGTTATTTAGGTAAGTACAATAATATCTGTATAGTGCTAGACACAGTTGATCCTCAAAATGGTTGATTTCTCCCCTTTTCGTTTTTCATAATGAAATGGCTGACTGATGAAGTGGCAATTCCTCTGTATTCGAAAACATTCATACCTGAAAGCTGTGAGGAGTTGCAATTGACAGAGATGATGTAGAGCTAAATCATTCATCGGGAAGATGGTGGGGACTAGAATGCAACTGTTTTCCAACTCTGAGATTCTACAAAACCCTTGATTAGATGTTGCCATGGAGCTTCAGTTTCCTCTTTCTTAGTAAGCAAGTCTGGATACCCAATCTGCCTTAGAGGTTCAGATGCACTTCATTGTTTATTAGGCACGTCTGATGTGGGAGACACATTCCAGGTGCCTCCAACATGTTATAGCAGTCAATCCTTTCAACACTCTAGTGGGAAAGAGATTTTAAGGATGTGACAACAAAGTCTCAGCAATGTAAAAATTCAATATAAACTCAATGAGTGAAAGAGTCAGGGTTCGAATTCAAGACTTTCTACTAACTCAAATCCACATCTTTCATCCTCAACAATACTCAGGTTTGGATGTGGTTAAATTAGAACTTGATTTATCTGGCAGAAAGGGCCATGGATAATGGGTGTTTTTAACTTTTGGCTGCTACTAACCAAGCTCTCATATCCTCTGTTAATTTTAAAACTTCAGCAAGGGCTGCCTGTGTTTCTTGTTATTGCTGGGGATGCTTGGACAGCATTTTACCCTTTGGATTCTGGGAGCACAGGTGTGGAAACTAGAGTAAAAGCCAAAAATTTAATGATTTTGAACTCCCAAAGCATGAGGCTCTGGGCTCTCGAGCCCTCAACCGAAGACACAGTGGGGGAATAATGAGAAACAGCTGCATTGCTTTTCATCTTATTTAGGATTTAGGGAAAGAGAAGTTATTGTAAATCACATTTTTTGAAGTCACTGGAGTATTAGGAAATACCTTTAAACATTTTATCACACCACAGTTGAATATGAAATATGAGTTGCATTTAAAATTTCTCATCAAATTTGAAGACAATTTTGCCCAGAGGCATCCATCTGCAAGTTTAGCAAACCAGGTATCAGCTATATTTCATAACAGGCTGGAAAGATACCCCAGAAAATAAGTGTTCTCTGACAGAAGTACTGTTTCCATTAGGTCAACTGTAGACGGTAAGAATTTCTCTGTGAGCCTTTGCAACCCATTTATCCACAAAGGAAGCTCAGTCTAAAATTCTCTTTTCCTAAATGACCAATAGAAACTGAGAGTCAAAAACAGAGGAAACTAGCTCTCTTTTCAAAAGTCTGTTGGATTCTGGGTTAAACACAACATCCCACAACATCTAGCAGATTATTTAGACACTATTTAGCATCTCGAATCCAAGCCCTACATTAAATATTTGCAGCATGGAAGGCATTATGCATAGAAGATGAAACTCCCGAACAGAAAATTATTGGCTGTCATCTAAGAAATAAATGACTCCTACTTCTGTATTTGCTATGATCAGTGTGTTGTTGAGATATTGTGCAGTTACTATGGAGATGGCAGGTCTAATAAAAAAGCTGTAATCTCCATTAGCACTGCAAAAATGACTCCACTCAGCCCCATGAATTAAATGAACCCTGCCTTGCAATTTGGTAGAAGGCACTAAGTGCTTCAACCTCTTTTACTGCTCTTATAAGAAGCAGTCGACTCCAATAGGTTGTGTTAGTATTGGAGAAATGCAGTGGTTTAGCTAAAAGCTACAGCATATATTTAAGGCAGCATATTTCTTTACAATTATATCCAATGATTCATTTATATTGGAAGTTTATGAATGTGAAATGGTTAGCCACCCTCAACTGATATGCTATTTAATTTTGTTTTTCAATGTGAAAATATTATTTATCATCCATTGCAAAGTTATTCTGAGGCTCCAAGGTAAGCAGAGAAAAAAATATTTAGAGTCTGGGTCACTTTTGAATTGGCCAGGAAATAACAGAAGCAAAATAAATGAGTTTTTATCAGATTTGCTATTTTCGTCATTTGAAATATGTCTCAACTCATTACTGTTCTTACTGCACTTTTCATCAAAGGAATTGACACGTAGTTTATACATCACAGTGATTTGAATATTAGAGACTTGAAATCCACTCTTCCCTATTTGCTGGTGGGCAATGAGTTGTCAGAAAAGCAAAGAATCCTGCCAGAGAATTAGGAGAGTCATATTTTGTTCCAAGTTAAACTTTTGTTTTGTTTTGTTTTGTTTCCATACCATCCATACCTGGGCTACCAAATTACTCTCTGTTGTCCGGGACAGCCTTCCTGCTTGCTTTAAAGATGTGATCCTTCTTGGCCTATTGTTTTATCATAGCCCCCCACTCTCATCCACATACCTATTCAAATTCTACCCTTTCTCTGGCAGCTGATTAGATGGTGCCCACCCAGATTAAGGGTGGGTCTGCCTTTTTCAGCCCACTTACTCAAACATTAATCTCCTTTGGCAACACCCTCACAGATACTCTCAGGATTGATACTTTGCATCCTTCAATCTAATCAAGTTGACACTCAGTATTAACCATTATATTGTCTTTCTCAGAGGCCGTACACAGTCTGACCCTGACCCCCTTTTCTCTGACTTCATTCCCTGTGACTCTCCTCCTGATCATTGCTCTCAGCCATTCTGTGCTTCGTGCTGTCCCTGTGACTCAGCCCCTGTGCCAACATCTGAGGGTCTTTCCACATGCTCTTCCTCTTTCTGGAGTGCCTTTCCCCCAGATTTTCACATGGCTCTCCCCTTTTCTCCTTCAGGTCTCTGCTAAGGGCAATTAAGCTTTTCCAGAAAATCTTGTCTACAATTGCATCTCTCTTCTCTCAATACTCCCTCCACACACAATTACTCTTCTCCCTCCTTGCTTTATTTTTTCTCCTTGGCACTTATCCCAAGCCAACCTATTACATTTTACTTACTACCTTCTTATTCCCTGTTCTCTGTCCCTACTAGAATTGGGCTTCCCTTCCTCACATGGCAGAAGGGGTGGATGAGCTCCCTTGAGCCTCTTTTATAAAGGCACTAATCCCATTCATAAGGGTGGGGCTCTCATGACCTAATTACCCCCAAAAGATCCCACCTTTTAATACCACCGCATTTGGAATTAGGTTTCAATATATAAATGGGGGGCATACAAACATTTAGGCCATAGCAGTATTTTTACTTCCAGATTTCTATTTCAATGTGATGACCTGGATCTACCTCCCTAGGTGGCAATCATTAGCTAGAGCAGGGCGGCAGCTGCACAGCCCTTTTAAGAAGGATATATGATCCAGGTTACCACAGACCTCACCACTTCTCTTACTATGTCTTAAACACTACATTCATCTACATTACTCATAATGCTAAGAAGGCATTTGAGTCTGGAACCCCTGGCCTAGACCTTCCAAACCAAGACTGGGATGGGGACCATGTCATGTTGGCACAACTCTATATACATCACCGTACTCAAAAAGGCTGTTCCTCCTGGAATCAGGAATCCAGGAACAGGAAGCACAAAGCCCAATTCTGTTAGGGGGGATGAGGAGAGAAAATTACCTTTTTATTATTTTGCTAATGATTTTGTTCTAGAGGAAAAAAAAAACCACAGAATAATTTCTATATGAAACTTTTAGCATCATTCAGTAGTTTTACTGCTAAGAAGCAATTAGTTTTACATAAAGATAAGTCCATTGAATTTTTCATCATTCACCTGTAAGAAATGCCAGAGGATCGGTTGTGGGCCCCTCAGAAGAACTTGGCTCAGTTCACCAGGAGAAAGCCAGACACAGTTTGAGAAGCAGGCTCCAGAAAGAATATTCTGATTGAATCAGGCACATGCTGTCTCCTGGGACACTCTATCATCATCAGCTTGGGGATACAGTCTTGGTTATGATACTCAAATATAATCCAACCTAGTCCTGAGTAAATTTGTCCCATTTTCCTCAAAAGTTAACTAAAAGAAAACAGACAGCCACCCTTTGGAGAGCCCAATAAACATGCATAAGCCCCAGTCTTCAGAGATGCTTTCCCAGACTCTGAGGGAGTGGCAGCCATACAGCAGTAAGAGCCACAGTTGTGACATTGAAGGACCATTATTGGCAGAACTGGCGACTCACCCATCAGGCAGGCAGGCAGTTTGATGAAATGTGACTTTGAAGTTGACAGCAAACAAATGTAATGGGCTCTCAAGGAACACACCAAGACATTTGCGACGTTGCTAAAGGAAGGAAGGAGACTCTAGTTTCTAGTAATTATAATTGGTACAGACTTATTCAAAGATATTTACCACTGTCATTGTTACTTCTGGCTTTGTCTCCCTCAGCTTCTAAGGCATAGGAAGCAGTGGCTTTACAGTCCATATAACCAGCATTAAATATGATTTCAGACATCACTCTTTCCCTATTCAAAGGTAAAAACACATAAGACTCTTGATCCTTCATTTTTATAGGAACTAAAAAAAACCTGTTGATTCATGTCAAGCCCACTCACTACATTAAAGTGGTTGTTTACATTTTTCACCATCCAATTGTCTGTTGTAAGATCCTCTGGGACTACTAAGCACATGAGATGAGTGTCCAGAGAGATGTGATCCTCGACCGTGGCTGGTAGCTCAAGCCCAGTCAACCCATTTGCAGATGGGTGCCATTTCTATATTGCTGTTGGTCACAAGAGGAACTCAATATGTGATTACAGACTAACACAAGGAAAGACCTCCCACTCCTGGAAAACTATCTGAGAATGAGGAACTTGTCTCCTGTTTCTATATAGAAGGACAGCACATAGGAAAGAGCATTGGCTTTGAATTTAGAAGGACTCAGGTCAAGATTCAACCTCTGCCTCTTCCTGTAAGTATAGCCTCTAGCACTTGCTTAGTTTTCTCATGCGTAAAATGAGGATGATAATGCAACCCAGTAGTATTGTGGCTCAGGTGAAAAATAATACAGGTAAAGGACCTAGTCCACCACGGGCTCACTAAGAATCAATGAAGGGTCATTAATTTGGTGGTGGTTGTTGTTCCTACACAAAGAATATTGTAGAGAATCAGAGAGCCATAGAACTGAAAGCAACCTTGAGGTTTTCTAATCCTACTGTCTTTGAGAAGCATGAAGCATTTCACGTAAGGGATTGTCCAACCTTTGCTTCAAATTGTCATTTTCCATTAGCATTATGTTTTATTTCTATTTTCATTTTTTTTTATAGAGAGAGACAGGATCTGTCCCTGTTGCCCAAGGTCTCGAATAAATTCCTGGTCTCAAGTGATCCTCCTGCTTCAGCCTCCCAATGTGTTAGAATTATAGGCATGAGCCACCATGCCCAGCCTCCACTAACATTAATAACAAGATTACCTAACACTGAGTAGTATGTGTGAATGCTTACTTTGATGTTTAATGCTCACTCTGAATGTATGGCATAAGTACTGTTATCATCATCTTCTGCTTTATAACCAAAAACTTGGAGGCTTAGAGAGGTTCCATAACTTGCTCAAGGTCACACTGTGGGCCTTGAACCCTGATGCTCTCAGTGTCATTCTATGTTGTCTCTCATGTTCATTCTTTTAGAAAGTCAGCCTTGCTGCTGAAATAAGCCTCTTTTTTGTCTTCCTAAATAAAAACCAGGCTAATGGAACACACATACCTTCCAGACATAGGAAGTCCCCGCTGTTAGAAGAGCCACAAAAAGTAAACACACCTGACTCACCAGACTTCTCTTTCTGTGACCTCTTTTTACCCTGGCTCTGTCCCACCAAATTCAGAAGCTAAAACCATTTAAACACCCCTGGCTTCTTCCATAATGAAGTGTAATAGAGCACCTTTTCTGAAATCTCTGTCCTAGAAATCAGGGCCTAAGGGTTCACTTCATAACCTTATATGTTAAGGAGCTACATGACAATTTTTGATTGGGTTATTCCAACTTAAGTGACGAAACTGGAATTTGTAAATTTGAGGGACAAGGTAAACCTGGTAGAGCCCTTGAGGTTCTGGTTAGATGGCATCCTAGAAGTCAAATCAGTCTGGAAGGCAGGTAACCTCTGAGGAGCTGTTGCTGGTACACAGGCAGAGTCTTGGCAGTAGAAGGGTAGGCAGATCTTCTGTAGGAACCTTCTGTGTTTTCAATCTTAGGAGTTCAGATCATCAATAGGGGTGATGATCTGGTACTCTGGAGGCAAGAGAGTCTGTCTGGTTCATACCAGCAATGTGTGCTCTATAAATACTTGCAGGTTCAATGAATAGGAGTAGCTGAGGAAGGGAGGGATGTGAATGAAGACAAGGAGAATGGACTTACCAGCACTGGCAGCAAAAAAGGGACATGTTTAGATGGTAAGCAGAGAAGAAAGTGACTCTTCAGGTCGGGTGGCCAGTTATAAATGAGAGATTTACTATAACATGTGACACAAAATTCCATAGTAAAATAGGTGAGTGGATTGATGAATGGATGGATCTATGCCTAAAATGTGTATAATGTTTATAACTGTGAAGTGGGGATAATGGGCTGTTTTATTTCCTCCTTTTTATAATTTTGTTATTTCATTTTGTTATTCAGATTTCTCAGAGTTTATTAAACATTATGCTTAGATCTGTCACATCTTGCAATGAACTCTGAAAATGCCTTTGTCATTTTCCCTGATGGTAAACTGATGAAAATCCATAGGTCAGTTGAAGCTTAATGAGGAGAGCTTTTCTTAACTTATCTAAGGCTTGCTTAACTCCACCTGCATGTCCATATCAGCCAGCCATCGACGAATGTGCCTTTCCTTAATGAATCTTTCTGTCACTTCTTCACAGTCTTTGTTGCGGGTGCTTTTCTTGGCTCTCTCGGATATCAGTCAGAAAAGGGAGATTTATACTATCCCTTTGAACAGACAATGCCCATGTTCTTATATACAACCCCATGGATACTAAAAGCCCATTAATTTCAATAGCTATTACAGATACTTACGGCAATATTATAAGAATTCCTGCTTCCCAGCCCAGATGACTGGGGAATACCATTGGTTTTGCTAGTGGAATGTATTTAGCACAACCTTGAATTTGTATTTTCTTCCTTCTTTGTCTTGCTTTTCTGCCTTTAGCCCTAGAGAGGGTGTCACTCAGGGCTTGGTGCCAACCTTTTGGTGCTCTGCAGGATAAAGAGGCCTGAGGAGAATGTTGCTTGCCATTACAGAAAGTTTATTATTATTGAATGTGCTATTGTGTACCGAGCATTTACGCTACACCCTGCTGACTCCTTTTTTGCTTGGATTGTGTCTGGGCTCTGATTTGGCTGGTGTTTATCTTTATTAAGTCAGTCTCTCTCTCTCTCTCTCTTTGTCTCTCTCTCTCTCTCTTTCTCTCTCCCCCCTCTCTCTTAATTTTGCTCTTGTTTCTTTCCTAAATAAAATACTTGAAGAAAACAGAAGTGAGGATAGGAATGTGAGGAACGTGTCTGGAGAGTTTTCTGTATTACTCTAATGTGAGGAACAGATGTGGGGGAAGATGCTCCTGTTTTCTGTTGAGTTTAAAATTCAGGCTTGTGTATAAACAGTTTAGAACCTATGCAATTTACATTTTTAAATAACAAAGTCCTGGTGTGGTAACCAGCCACATTTTCTGGTGAACTCTTCATAAGCTATGCCTAGGGTTGGCCAGAGTCCAAATTATAAAGTAGTAGGTTTCACTGTTTGCTTCTTTTTCTTCTTCTTCTTCTTTTTTTTTTTTTTCTCTCCTGTCTTTCCTTCCTCAAGGTGCTTCTGCTTTCATCAAAACCTGTCCCTTGGAAGGAGTTGGCATCAGGCATTTTTATGTTAATGTAAATGGAAGTTTCGGTGTTAGCATTTGTGGACATTTTGAATCTCACCTCTCATTTTGTATCAAAAGATGGATGGTCCTCTGGAAAGCATTTGGGAAAAATAAGGGTATAAGTCAAATCTGATGAGACTTCCAAGACCCTGTATTTGCTAAAGTGGCATCTTGCAAAGGTACCAAGGAAGCAAGGGGTAAGCCCTATTCAGGTGTGGATAAGTGAGAAAAGTGAGGCCATAACATACTGTCATGTTTTTTTATATAAAATCATTGCATATTAAGAAAAAATACATTTTTATTAACTTATATTTCCTGATCACAAGCCAAGTGCAAGAGCAAAAATTAAAGGAAATTTAAACTTTTATGTCCAGACTAGGGTTTTACTTCTATTTGTTTGTTTTGTTTTTGCTACTTCAAAGAGATGAGCTCCATAAGGCTAAATATTTCTTTCTACCTAAAAGAAGGCTATGATTTTATATGTACCTCTGTATCTTTGTTTATGTTTTTTCGGGGATAATAATTAGTGTATTTCCCTTTCCCCTCACCTGCTGAACACATTTTGATATCCAACTGTCTCACTTCTCTCTCTAATCAGATCTTTATTGAAAATTATGTTTTTGAGTGCTGAGTTTCTGGATCTTTCTAATGCTAAAAGTAATGCAGCAGAAATGTAAAACATGCCCAGTTTTACTCTCAAGGGTAGTAATTTCAAGAGGAATGATGGGAGCTAAAGAAATAAGTGAGGAAGAGTTTTAAAAAGGAATAGGGAGGAGTTGAGAAAAAAGTTGAGAAGTATAGAATGGAGAAAGGATTTAAGAAGTAAATTGAGGTTATAAATTGACATCCTTTGAGAAAATGGAATGAAAATTTTGATTAGTTTTGATTAATAGGGTGTTTTTCTTTGAATACAAAGTAGTGATGAGAGAGCCATAACAAATCCCCCCAAATAAAATTAGGGCTTCACAAATGCATGCATATATATTCTGTATTTTCTCTAATTTGAGATACACATCTAACTATAATTATTGATTTTAAGAAACATTGCTATTTCATATACCTACTTTTAACAAAAACACTTTAAATTATTATTTTAACAAGTTTTCAATTATGAGATAAATCTGTTTCAGAGATGTTAAAATATAAAAAAGTATAGTGATAAAATAACATGCATAATATTAATAAAATACAATAAAATGAGGAGAAGATTCGGGAATTGCAAGTTATTGTTGGTTTTTTTTAAACTTTTATGAATTGTCATAGTGTTTTACTATGATCATGAGTTACTTTTGTAATTAGAACCAAAAACATGGTTTAGATGTATTTTTTTTTGTTGGAAATTCACAGGGAATGAAGCTCTTTGCTTCTGGTAACTTCTGGTCTCATTGACCAAATCCTACAACTGCTACCACCATCAGATAACTCTCTTCCAAGGTCCAGCACAAGAGAGTTCAAAATTATTCTAACAGCTTGTTGTCTGGATTTCCCAGGACCTATTGAGTCTCCCTGCCAATGAAACAAACATAACTTTACTTAGCATAAATTATTTGTGCATCTATAAATGTAGGCATATCCATTTACAAAATGTAATATTGGGACAATTTCTAAACTATGCAGTGCACAATTTATTTTCAATGGCCAGTAAAATGCTAAAGTCCATCAGTGTGCCTCAGGCTTCTCTATCTCTCATGCTTTCCTAAGTTCATCTGATTGTCCAGTGGATTCAAGGTTTGAAGATTCTGACGTGTAACCTGAGGGTTTAACTCCAGCCTCCATCTATTCTGATGCACTCTACTGGAAGGCTGAGATCAGACGGTTAAAGGCTACCTGTGCCCTCTACCACCTTTCATTGTATAGCCCAGTGCTAGAGAAAAGCTTAATCAGAAAAAAAGTTTTCACATTTTCTATGACAGAGTTTCTAGCTTGAGCCAAGCCATTTTACCCAAGAATACAGATGAATTTGGGTCAGAAGTGTTGCCTTGGAGGAAAAGAGTAAAAGAGGGAGGAGGATGGTGACTGCATTTCTGAAAATCTCTCTCCCAAAGCAAAATATTTTAATAATTTTTAAAACTATAATCAAATAAACTCTAGAGAAACCTATGTGAAATATGCAATAAAACATTAATGGTCAGACAGTGAGACATGTAGTCAAAGGATGGTGGCTGTTTCCTGTGTTTTCTCCTCATCAAAAGTGCTCTCACTCCCAGGAACCCAGCTTTGCTGATAGTCCGGGAATGTCTGGAGGGCTGGAAGGCTTATCCCCAAAGCACTAAAGAGGAGAGACTTCTCCATCCAGAAGAGGGAGCTGGGTTCACAAGTTCAAGCCAAGAAAAATATGTCAGAGTCAGAGGGCAAAGGTAATTTTGAGTACAGCACAGTGTCTGTCTCTCAATATGTCCTCTGGAACATCCTTTTCAGAGTCATAGATTGTTTCCGGAAAGAGGCAACTTCAGTTAAGAGGAAGTTAAAAAAGAAAAAAAAAGCTTAACAACTTTATAATAAAGTCTCAGTAAAACTAGGAGAGCAGAGGTAAGGCTATGTAGCAGAATATAGCACACATGGAGATGAAAGGAAACTTCTTGACTTGAGGAGGCCTTTGGATCACAGAACAGACAGGCTTAATTTGGGCTGGAGATGAGAAGCTAGGGAGCTGAGAATCAGAGCAGCCCATGCACAAGAAGCTTTGGCAGAAAACAAACAAAAAAACAAACAAAAACAAACAAACAATAAAAAACAGAATTTATATTTATGCTCCGCCCCCCCCCGCCCCCCCCCCCCCCCGACAGCTTGAACAGGAGCAGAGAGAGATGACAGAACTTAAATTGTATGCTAAGGAGCATGCAGTGCCTTCCCTAAGGAAGTCTGGAGAGACAGAGGTGGCCAGGGCAGGCTGGTTTCACGCCAGTATCAGGAAGGGCAGAAGCGAGAAATACTGTGTTGTTACTACATAATGATGCTATTGTGATACATAGAATTTGAGTTATACACTTAAACTTGATGCAGAGTGACTCCTGACTTTGCCTGTAATCACTTAGGCGAGAGACTGTATCCATCCATTGACCATCCCTAGGATGGTGCTCTGCATCAGCGATAAGACTCATTGCTGGTACTGCCCCTCTTCTCATAGATGGATGCTGTGGAACTTCAGGGTTCTAATCTTGGCCAACTTCACACACTTAAGAGTGCCCCAGATTTCCATAGGTTCTCTAGTCTTCAGAAGGAACCTTTCCCACATGCCACTATTCCAAATTCCCATCTGTTGAACCCTGGGAAGTCTATTTTTTTTTTTTTTCAAGTGGGTTCCTTTTTCTAAGTGTTTCATGGGAATTTCCAAGGAACACTTAAATATTATAAAATTTGGCTCTGGTTGTTTGTCACCTGAGAAGAGAACTACAATGTGGAAAAGAAAGCTTGGAACTGGATATAGATGTTACTCCCTCTAGAGCCCTTGGAAATGCCCCTCCACAGGATTCTTTCCTTGCAGTTGACCTGCCACCATGTCCCAGAGCTAAGCCTACCTCCTCTCCCTGACGATGCCTTTCAGCAGAAGTTCCCAGTATTCAGACTCACCTGCTCACAGCCCTATGATGTCATTTCCTCCTCCAGGCTATGGCCCACCCCATTTTTCTCTCTTCAGATGATTGACAGAAAAGGTACAGATTTTCTAGGTGGGAAAGTCCCACTTTTGTTTACAGGATGTGACCTCTGGACCCCAAGGCATGGGATAAGGCAAATGAAATATTTGACCAGAGTTACTTCAATCAGAATTATGCCCCTTTTTCCAGGAAGGGAGAAAGGAAGAAGATCAGCAGAGAGTGGGCTTTGGCAAATCCTATCTTGTCTGTTTTATGACGCAGCCTCTAGCACAAGGTGAAGACATGCCAGATTTGCTACCTCATCTTTTCTGCCATCAACCAGTGTCAGCTTCCAATTTTTTGTGTGTTGTTCTTGGACATAATATGTGTGTGCATACACCCACATCCACACATGCACACACATCCCTCATAAGAACACTACAATATTTTTTTGTAAACAGAGATGTCTAGTGAAAAAAAATCTCAATCTGTAAAGATACAATCACATACCTAGTTTGTATTACTAAACTGAACCTTTAATATCTAGTTGGAAGCAAGGTTCTCCAAGAGAAATGGGTGTGTACTTGTGTTTTATCTGTGTAACTAAAAGTACCTGCCCAAATGGCCTTTCCCAAAGACTAATACTAGCTTTTACTGCACAATAAAAATTTTGCAGACAGTATTCAAGGGAGTAGCTTCTAGCTTTGATAATTTAAATGTTCATTCACCACAGGCCCCTTTTAACAAAAATAATAATACAATTGAATAAGACCTTGAGAGTATATATGTTTATGATTTTGTCAAACAATGTTAAAGCATATTTGAATTATTTCAGTTAAGGACACTCTACTAAGATAAATATTTGGATAAAAGTGGTGTTCTTGTGGCCTCATTTCCAGAATATTCTGAGTTAGGATCTATGAGAAGGAAGAGGATAATTACTTGGATTTCATTTTGGAATAACTTTCTTACAAGCCAGCAGAACTCTGTGAACTAATAAATATTTCTACAGCCACTACTTTTACATCAGAAAAGAGCTTTCTTCTTGTTTTTTAAATGTTTCTTTGGAAAAAATATTTCAAACCCTCCTGAGTGCTTTAAATATTCTAATTCTTAGCTTAACCTTTTGAATCACTACTTTCTGGCTTTTCTTTGGGATCACATTTTTCTGTTTGACTGTCCACAGTTCCAACCTAATAAAAGATTTACCCAGGCTGAACTTAATTTAAACTATAGAGAGGCTACCTTGGAAGAGTTCAACTTCATGCTTATCTGGACAGGAAAGAAACTTCGGAGGTTATGCCACCTGTACAACACCAGGGACTTGGTAATAAAATCTCAGAAGAGAAAACTGCCTGCATCCTATTTCCAATTCTTTCTCCTAAATTTCACTTTACTTCCATTTTTTTTCCTTTGAGTCTTTTCTGTTTCTCTGGGTTTTGTCTATTACCAATATTCTCCTATGCAATGATATAACTGCCTGACTTTATTGTACTAGATAAACAATTACACAATGTTTTTGTAACATTACACAATGTTTTGCTCACTCCCCCTTCCTCTTTCTTGTTTATTTCTTTCTTCTTTTTCTAGTAAAGGCCCAGATGGGGCAAGGGAGCCAGCCATATGGGTATGTGGTGAAAAGACTTTCCAAAAGGGGACATAGCAAATTTAGAGCCTTATAGAGGAGCATGGCATGTCTGGGATGAATGGAGTGAAGGCAAGAGGATAGAAAAGATGAAGTTAGAGCATGAACCCCATCAGCTAGACCCTTGTAAGCTATGGAAAGGGTTTGGTTTTCACTCTGAGTGAGATGGGAAGCCATTGGAGGACATTAAACAGATTTATCCTCCAGTTTTAAGAAGCCCACAGTAGCAGATATCTTGAGAATATACTATGAGCAACTAAGAGAGGTACAGAGTGGGAGCCAATTGTAATAATCCAGGCAAGAGATGATGGTGACTCAGATCAGGTTAGTGGCAGTTGAGATTAAAGGAGTGTTTGGATTCTCTGGATATATTTTGAAAATAGAGGTTGCAAGATTTAATGACTGATTGGATGTATGGGGATGAGAGAAAGAGAGACATTGAGGATGAATTCAAGAATGTTGCATGATAAACATCTAGGACACAGTGAAAAGAAAAAAATGGAAAAGAAAGAATTTTGCATGAGAAACTGGAAGAATGCTGTTGGCATCAATGAAATGTTAGCATTTCAGTTAATGGCTGAGGGTACAACAAGTTTGGGAGTGAGATCATGAGCTCAGTTTCTTTGAACATATTCATGTTGGGATTTCTAATATTCAGATATAATTGCCAGGAAGACAGGTGAGTTTATAAATCTGAAATGCAGGGGAGTGTTCTAGTCTGCATATACAAATATGAGAATCCTCATTACGTAAGTTGTTTCAAGATGGGTGCATGAATGAAATCACCAAAAGAATAAGAGTATGGATAAAAAGAAAAGGAGGATGTGAACAGTAGCCCTATGTATCCAGGTGTTTTTGTGGATTCTGTCCCATTATGATGAAAATGTCTCACTGGCATGACAGTCTGTCCCTTTTCAAGGGAAAATGCTCAAAAAATGAACATCATTCAAAGATTTTTTGTTTGTTTGTTTCCTCCCCACACATTCACTGGCAGGGATCCAAAACAGGTGTGTGCTTATGTGCGAGTCTATGTGTGCATTCTTTTCTGCTGATTTTGAAATATGTCAAGTGTAGCAGCTTGCTTGGAGGAGAAAAACATATCAAGATTTGTTAAAAAGAAATCAATTAAGTTACCTGATAAATCTAGAGTGAAGTGTACAGTTCCTGAGTCCTTGTAGAGAAACTGATGACACAGAAGGATTCTGCTGAACGTGTATTTTTTTGCTGCCATGAGAGTGAGGGGCAGTGAGCAAGAATGCCATTGCAGCCTGACCAGATGGAGAAAAGATTGTTCCATTGACGGTACAAGTACCACTTCTGGTTGCCTTGGTTACAGGAACCTCATAACACATGCAAATGAAGTAAATGGTAATTAGCAGTGGAGCAACAGGTGACCTAGCTTAGTGCTACCTTGGGGGAAGATTGTGTGTCTGGAAACAATGAGACAGGAGACAAGGAACTCATTGTGAATAACAAGCGTGACACTGGCGTTGCCTGTTCAGGAACCTCTCACTGAGGCAGACCTTTTTATATCTTCCATTAGCTCTGGCCAGTGATACAGTTCATTTCTGTGGCCCCATCCAAATATCATGTCAAATTGTAACCCCCAATGTTGGAGGTGGGGCCTGGTGGGAGGTGATTGGATCATGTGGGTGATTTCTCATGGTTTAACACTCTCCCACTTGGTGTTGTCGTGGTGATAGTGAGTTCTCATAAGATCTGGTTGTTTAAAAGTGTGTGGCACGCTGCACCCCTTCTTCCTGCTCTGGCCATGTAAGAGGAGCCTGCTTCCCCTTTGCCTTCTGCCATGATTGTAAGTTCCTGAAGCCTCCCCAGAAGCCAAGTAGTTGCCAGTATCATGCTTTCTGTACAGTCTGCAAAACTGTGAACCAATTAAACTTCTTTTCTTTATAAATTACCCAGTCTTGGGTATTTCTTTACAGCAGTGTGAGAAAGGATGAAACAGTCAGTCTCAATGCAAATAACCCATAGCGTTGCCACCATGGTCCTGTCTGATGTCATTGCTGAATAGAAGGACACCCTGGGGACAACAAGGCGAGTGGATGAACAAAATAATTGTTATAAATCCTTTTTCTCACAAATGGGAAGAGTACATTTTGAAATGCACCTGAGCATTTCAGCATTAATTTCTGCATAAATCTCTGTGGGTATGTACCTCTAACATTAGCGACACATTATTCCGAGATAAACTAAAATGTAAAAAAATTACTTAATTGAATCTATTTACATTGTTCTGTTTGTTCAAAGCTTCAAAATAAATCCAAATCTCACAGGTCATATAAGGTAAAAATTAAGAAATGAGAACGGTACTCCCATTTTTAGGGTTTGATAGGTTGATCTGAAACAATTTGGAATTTCTTTGGCAGTCTGGGCATGAAATCGACCCCCTCTTCCCATCTGTCAGGCTCCATTGGGTTGATGAAGCCACAGAAGAAACCTGCACACTTACTGTGAGAGGAAGTAGCACAGCCTTCCAAGTTGGAGTCATCACAAGCCACAATAAATAATAGTATTATAGCTGCGACTACTTCTTTTTTATTTTTATTTTTTAGAAATAGGGTCTCACTCTGTTGCTCAGCCTAAAGTACAGTGCACTTATAGCTCACTGCAACCTCAAACTCCTGGGCTCAAGGGATCCTCCCACCTCAGCCTCCTGAGTAGCTGGGTCTACAGTTATATGCCACCCTGCCCAGATATTTTATATTTTTTTTATTTTTTGTAGAGATGAGGTCTCACTATGTTGCCCAGGCTGGTCTTGAACTCCTGGCCTCAGATAATCCTCCCACCTCAGTCTCCCAAAGTACTGGGATTATAGGTGTGAACCACTGTGCCTGGCCTAGGGGCTTCTTCTTGAAGCAATCAAAGCCCATCTGATTTTTACTCTGCCTCCTGGCACAAAGGTACTTTGGAAGTTATAATTTGGACATTTTAATATTGGATTTATGGGACTCTTAAAATGTTTTGAGGGTTGGATTGAAGAAATAAAGGAGCCAAGGAAACAAAGGACTGTTTTTCTGTTTCTAATGTTGATCTTCTGCCACCTGGATGTAACACCTGGAAGCGGGTGGGGAGGAACACATAGTGTATATTTGGACCAGCAAAATTGAGAAATCTATTATTTTGTTCCATGTGGTTTAATTTCATTCAGGGAGAAAGATCAGCTAGGCATGGAGCACCAGGAGAGAATGCCAGTCCTGAAAGATGTGTCCATGAGTGATGATCACATTGGCCCCATTGTTTGAACAAGGGCTCAAGCTCCAGCTATAAGCATAAATAGATGGGATTTCAATTTCTATTACTGGCAAGATAATAAACTCAATGTTTCAAAGATTTAAAAGCTTTTCAAATTATTCAGCATCCCCAAGTACTCATCCAAACATCAATTTTTCTTGTTAATGTTTGTGCTGATGGGAAGAAGTACCAGGAGCTAAATATAACCCACAGATAGGCAATTACTATAGCACATTAGGAAAGCTCTGTTTAATGGAGTACTTTAAATAACTGGTGTCCCTTTGCTATGTGATATGGTTTGGATGTCTGTCCCCTTCAAATTTCATGTTGAAATGCGATCCCCAATGTTGGAGGTGGGGCCTGGTGGGAGGGTCATGGGAGCAGGTCCCTCATGAGTGTCTTGGTGGCCTCCCCATGGTAATAAGTGAGTTCTTGCTCTGTTAGTTCACATGAGAGCTAACTAAAGCTCTAGTTTAGTTAAAAGGAGACTGGTTGTTTAAAGGTGAATGGCTCTCCTCCAATGTTGCCCCCAATCTTACCATGTGACACACTGACTCCCCCTTTGCCTTTCACCATGACTGAAAGCTTACTGAGGACTCACTGGAAGCTGAGCAGATGCCAGCACCATGCTTCCTGTATAGCCTGTGGAACAGTGGGCCAATTAAACATCTTTTCTTTATAAATTACCCAGTCTCAGATATTCCTTTAAAGCAATGCAAGAATGAACTAACACATCATGATACAATATATATTTTTCTCCCATCCAATCTGAACAACAATACCAACAACATGCTGTCTCACAAACAGCATTAATAACTTAAAAGGGAAATCCTTATAAGCAGAAACTAACTACTTTTGGAAGACTCACTCTTACACAAAGCAAACCACAGCATTAGGAAATGAAAGGTGGGGTCTTTTTCTCTTTAAATGAGATGAAAGGAAGCATGGGGTATTTATGTAAAGATTGGCTTTGTTGCATATGTATTTTCAAGGAGAAAATGTTGAAAGATGCCATTCCTTTGTCTAGACATTTTAAAAATAGAGATGGCACACTCATGTATAACCCACATTTTTTAATGCAGCAAGCCTTGATTGACTGTTTATTATTCTTTTATTAAGGGTCTGCACCATCTACTTTACAATATGGTTGACCCAGTCCCTGACTCTTGGATGTGTGTAACCAAGCTAATAGCACCTTAGTGAGGCATAAGCTTTCATGCTGGTTGTCTTCTTTCACCTTCTTGCTGCCTGACAGTACTCTTAGCCTACTTAGCTTTCTGACTAACTGAAAAAGATAAACTTTTACAAACTTTTAATACTTAGAAATTATGTAAAATTATGTAGATCTTGTTACTTAGCATGTAATAAACATATCACTATATAATGAATTTGGTTTTTAAAATAATTTGTATTTGAATAAAATTAGCTTCCTTTGTCATTTTACATATTTTATTTTGTATATTTAATAACCTTATTCTGAGAAAGTGTTCATAGGTCTCATTAAAGTGCCAAAGGGGCCATGGTGCAAGAAAAGGTTAAGAACTCTAACAGTCTGTTTTGCAGTATTTGTTTGTCTGAAAAATATGTTCTTTTTGCTTTCATTTTGCTATAGGTTGCTTCTTATTTTCTTTTCAGCATATTGAATATGTGTATCCATTGTCTTTCGGCCTTCATCATTGTTGTGAAAAAGTCACTGCTAATCTGTCACTCCTTTGAAGATAATCTCTTCTAACTTTTAAAGATTTCTTTGTTTTTCAGCATAATGGGCTCAGATACATTTTCTTCTTATTTATTTGCTTAGCTTCCTGAAGCTGTGGCATAGTATCTTCCAATAATTCTGGAAAATTCTGTGAAAACTCTCTGCTAATGCTGCCTCTTCTTCATTATATTATCTCTTTCTGGGACTGTTTCTCTCTACACTTTATGTCTTTCACTCTTCTATATTTTATAGCTTTTTGCCAACCCTTACGTTATTTGAGTATTTTCTTCTGATCTATTTTCCAGTTGTCTAATTTTCTTTTCATCAGTGACTAATCTGCAATTGTGACTATTCACTGAATTGTTAATTTAGGTTATTGTATTTTACAGTTCCAGAATTTCTATTTGTTATCTGCTGTGTCACTATTCCAGAGCCTGTGAGTTAGTTTTTTTATCCTTCCACTTTTTTTTCAATCTCCTACATTATTGATAACAGTCAAATGTAGATTAAAAGACACAATTAAACTTTAATTTGTCATAAATTTCAAAGCATTGAGGCATTACACTAGGTAGAACCTGGGTTGATTATTCTTCTCTCTGGGCCTCCATTTTTTTCATCTGTAAAATGAAATTGGGAAAGATGAGTGACTTCTAGAAATTTTGGATTTTACAGGCAAGTAATTTTTCCAAAACTAATTTAGTATACATTAAAAGGTTGTCAAATTTTTATGTTTCTAAATGAGGACATTAGTTAAACAACCATCACCATTATTTCATAAAAGAAAGACATTTAATACCACCAAATGTTATAATAAAGAAAAGGGGAGTTGGCCAAGATGGCCGACTGGAAGCAGTTAGTGTGCACAGCTCTCATGGAGAGGAATGGAAGGGACAAGTAAATACAGAACCTTCAACTGAAACATCCAGGTACGCATTTTCACACTAATCAAGGAAACAACTCAACCCATGGAGAATAGAGAAAAGCAAGGTAGGGTGACTGCAACCTGGGAGCAACATGGAGCCAGGGGAACCTCCACTGCCCAGGCAAGTGGTGAATGAGTGAGCAATCCTGAGAATCCACACTTCTTTCACGGATCTTTGCAACCCTCAGGTCAGGAGATCCCATCATGAACCCACTCCACCAGGGCCTTAAGTCTGACATGCAGAGCTACATGGAGTCTCAGCAGAGCAGCCCCTCAGCCACACATGAAGCCCAGGGAGCCTTAGATACTCAGGCTTCCTGGAAGAAGCAGCAGCAACTCCGGAAAAGCAGGAGGTGAGACCTCTATTACATACTCCTAAGAAATAGACTGAATCCAGGGGGCTGAGCAGTGACTGTCTGCAGGTCCTGCTTTCACAGCACCTCGCAAGATAAGACACACTGTCTTGAACTCCAGCCAGACACCAGAAGCAGCGTTACACCTCCCGGAGATGGAACTCCCAGGGTTAAGGGCAGGCCACCATCTCTGCTGTTTCACAGCTTTAGCCATTTGTTGCCTTAGGGCTCTAGGGAGTTGAAGGTGACTAGGGACTGGATTCGTCCCCCAGCACAGCCTAGCAGCTCTATAGAGAAGCAGGCAAACTGCTTATTCACACAGACCCCAAATCCCATTTCTCTTCACTGGGCAGAATCTCCTGACTGGGGTTTCCAGTCGCCCCTGCCAGTGTTTTCTTGCCAACAGCAGTTTCAATCCTCCCTGGGAAGGAGCTCCCTAGAGGAAGGGGCAGGCCACCGTTTTTACTGTTTGACCACCTTTTCCCTTCTTGCTTTCGGGCTTTGGAGAATCTGAGGTGACTGGGGACTGGAGCAGACCACAAGCGCAGCACAGCTGCTCTACAAAAAAGTGGCCAGACCGCTTTTTTACATGGGTCTCCAATCCCATTCCTTTTCACTGGGCAGGATCTCCCAACCAGGGTCTCCATCCACCTCCTGCAGGTGCATTCAGGCTGGCAGCAAGTCCTTACCTTCCTAAAATGAAGCTCCCAGAGGGAGGGGCAGGTTGCCATCTTTCTGTTTCACAGACTTCATTGTTAATATTGTCCAGTATTGGAAAATCTAAGGTGACTAGGGACTGGGAAGGACCCCCACCATATTGCAGCAGCCATTAGGAAAAGTGGTCAGATTGTATGCTTTGTGGGTGCCCATTCCAATATATCCTCACTGAGTGGGTCCTCCAGGCCTGGGTCTCCTGCCACCCTCTGCTGGGGCTATCGAGCCAGTAGCAGCTCTGCAACTCCCTGGGACAGAGCTCCCCATGGGAGGGGGAGTTGCTATCTCAGTTGCCTTGCAGCCCTTGCCTTTGCTGTCTCCAGGCTCTGGAGAGTCTGCACGGACCAGGGGCTGGCCCGGACCCACAGCACAGAGCAATCACCTCACAGAAAAGTGGCCAGACTGTTCTCCATACAGATCGCAGTCCTTACTTCTCACTGGGCAGGGTCACTTGACCTGGGACTCCAGCATAACCACCCTGCCTCTACCTGATCACCACAATCAGGTGCAGCCTAGCATTTCTCCAAGGAAGAAATCCCAGAGTCAACTCACAACTCCTCTGCCACTACAGTTGCAGTGGCACCATCCTAAGAGCCCTTGGGCTGGGGAAAGAACAAAGGGCCTATTCGTTACACTGGCACTTCCAGCACACCATAACCAACATATGGAGAGGAGTCCAACCCCTTTTCCCTGCGAACCTCCACCCTCCATTTTTCACCAAACAGGGCTCCTGTCTCATGAACGCAGAACATTTGTGTACCTACAGCTGAGTATACCCACAGAATTTCCCTAGGGAGAGGCTCCCAGAGGCATCTGGCAGCCCCTCTGCCACTGCCACAGCAATAGTTCTATCCCTGCTGCCCTAGGTCTGGGGAAGAAACAAATAGCCTGAGGGCTACACCTGAGCTTACAGCATGCCACAGCCATCATACAAAGGGTGGATCAAGGCCGGGCGTGAGGGCTCATGCCTGCAATCCCAACACTTTGGGAGGCCGAGGTGGGTGGATCACCTGAGGTCAGGAGTTCGAGACCAGCCTGGCCGACATAGTGAAACTGTATCTCTACTAAAAATACAAAAATTAACCGGGCATCGTGGCGTGTGTCTGTAGCCCCAGCTACTCGGGAGGCTGAGGCAGGAGAATTGCTTGAACCCTGGAGGTGGAGGTTGCAGTGAGCTGAGATTACGCCACTGCACTCCAGCCTGGGCGACAGAGTGAGATTCCGTCTCCAAAAAAATAAAAAATAAATAAATAATAATTTATCATCCAAAGGTTCTCTGGCATATAAAGAACAGAAACAGGATGTAAACCCAGGCTGGCTGGCTCTAGCCCCTGTGCTCTGCGTATGTCAGGACACCAGCGTGACAACTCAGTCCTGGTTTGGTTAACATTCACTCCCATACCTTATTTTGTAATCTTAGTTGTTAACTCTTAGAAGAGTGAAATGCATTTCAAGCCAAATTGTGCAAGCTAGATGAAAATCTGACATACGAGTGGACCCAGACATGGCGTTTGGTGAGGCAAAAGTTCACATGATGGAGCTGATCTAGGAGAATTCTTCCTCTTCCCATCAAACAATCCTTCTACTAGGACCTCTTCTCCACCACATTCTCATGGATTTCTCTGATAACTAAAACAAAATAAGAGGTTGTTGGGCAGCAGTTCAAAATTTCCCTTTCCAGGTGTAGTGGCATTTGAATAGGGGATTCACCAAGCTTGAAATACCTTCAGGACCCAAACAAATGAATCACCTGTCATGAAATTTTAGAAACTATGGTCAGCAGCTGGTGAAGATATTTTAGGACAAAACACTATTATCTAGAGCCTCTGGAATCATACACCTGAAATATAGAAGAAAATGCACAGTTTATTTCTATTAATTGTGGTTTGGTAGAATAAAAAAGAAAGTTGGCAGCATTTCAGTATTGCACATTCAGGAGTCAACAAAAGCAGAAACATTACTCTTCACAATTCAGATGCAGGAGTAGCCCCAAGAGTCTGATGCCAGTGACGTGATCTAAGACCCAAATGGCCTTTGAAGCTCTAGAGTTAACTCTTCCCTCTTCTGCCAGTCTCCATGGGTTTCTTTCTACTTACTACCCTGTTACCAACTAACTCTCCTAATTATTTTCCTCTCTACTCTCTACTTGCTACTTTCCCTCTCTGAGATTTCCTATTTGACGCTACTTTCCTCTCTGCTTACTTTTGCTGTAAATCTCATTAAAATTTCCAAAAGATGATTAGATTGGGTTGAACTGCAGTCATCTGGTATGAAATGTTCCTGCTTGGGAGAGGTCTCAAGGTAAACCACACCAAGGTCACAGACCAGACTGAGAGTAGTGGCTTATACCTGTACTAAGAGCACTTTAGCAGGCTGAGGCAAAAGTATCACCTGAGGCCAGATGTTCAAGACCAGCCTGTGCCAGAGAGTGAGAAAAAACAAAACAAAACAAAAACAAACAAACAAACAAAAACATTAGCATGGTGGTGTGCATCTATAGTCCTAGCTATTTGGGAGGTGATGCACATCTATAGTTCTAGCTATTGGGAGGCTGAGACGGGAGGATACCTTGAACCCAGGAATTCAGTGTTACAGTGAGCTATGATTGCACCACTGCACTCCAGCCTGGGTGACAGAGTGAGATCCTGTCTGGAAAAAAAAAAAAAAAAGGAAAAAAATGTAGTATACCATAGAGAATTGCCTCTAGTTCAGACATCAATCCCTTGTCAAATTGGTTATGACCAAGTTAGCTGGGACCTATGGTAAAAATTGGGTGACTTTTGGGTAAAGAACCACTGAAAAGAGTATTTTAAAAGTAACAGGTGCTTAGAATGAACTATTAAATAACACTCCATGTAGGCACAAGCCTTTTCTAATTCATATCTGATTCCCGTTCAAATGTACTCCTGAGTGAGGCTGGGACTAGGTGAGAGAGGCTTGGGTGCAGAATATTAGGAAGGACTCATCTTCAAGGTTGTGCCAGGGAAGGGTGGGCACTGGAGTGAATGCCTCGTTAAATTTTACATCGTAGGCCCCTCATTTCTCTCACTCTAGGTCTGGTTCTGCTCCTGGGAGGCGATTTCCTTTGTTTTGACTTCCTTTCACCTTCTATTACTTGAATTTTAATGCTATGTCTACCACTAATATTGCTATTTCCAGTATGAAAGTCCACAAGAGTTCTAAAAACCTGTCCACTATTGCATTTATTATGAAGGTATAATACATAGTTTTCCTAAAGGAACCCTAAAATTAATAATAGTAAGGATCTATCACAGGTTTTATTTCACCTTAGGAAGGGTTAGTTAACAATAATAGACAATTCAGGCATTTGCCATTAATTTTGTTTCCTCTTATATTGAAATAAATATTAGTAGCCCATGGAGTTATTTTCCGAGCTGAGCTCCAGTAAACTGCACAAATTTGAACTCTCATTCAAAGGTGAAGAATAAAATATCTTGTGGGTGGAGGGTCAACTGTTTTTCCAGAACAGAAAAACAAGGATAAATGTTTTACCCAATGAATTGCTTAAAATATTTGAATCATGTGGTCTGTGAGTAGAATTATTTACATTCATGCTATAAGCTATTTGCAATATCTATTGTATTCCCAAAAGAGATGAGCCATTTATGATAACCTAAATGGCACACCTCAAATACAATGAACTTGAAAGTACAACAAATGGCAACTGTAGGGCAAACACTAAGGGTAAATGGCAATTTTTTTTCCTAGTAAATTAAATGCGGATCATAAAAATCTTTATTTAGTAAAATACACCAAGACTTGTAGTTTTATGGTACACCAACCAGATCCCCTTATCACACTTGTTCCTCCAGCTGGCAGAAGTGTTAGCTGCTGAAGGCTCATAACTATGTCCCTGTTTTGGGAATTGCCATCTGTCTACCATTACTGCCTTGCCCAAAGTTACATCCATTCCAAGGGAGCAAATGACCTGTATTCAATAACTGGCCAATGCAGGGATACAAAAGCCAGACTGAACCTCTTGCTTCTATTATAGGCATCTCTAAAGGCAGCCCATCTTCAGAGTTCCCTGCTGGATCCACTGAGAGTGTCACAATTGCATCACAGTTTGACCTTTTTCCTCTGCCCCATCCTTCTTACCTAACACCTTCACAGGCATTGTTCCTGAAAGCATTCCTCAAAAAACGTCTCACATGCAATTTTCAGAATTTCAGTATTTCCTGGGAACTCTAATCTGCAACATTTGGAGCCAGAAGTGATCCTAGGAGCAAATCCTAAAATAAGATTTTGAAGTTGGATAACCCACCCGTGGAAGGAAATGAGAACATCATCACTAGTATTTGGTGGAGGATGGATACCTCCTGGCATTCTATAGGAATGCAACTACCAGCATTTTCATATGTGGGGAACTGGGATGTGATGCTGGTAGAAAAAAATGCTCTGAGAGGTGCATTATCTCAGGTGTGTAAAAGATATGGGGTGTGGTGTCTATAATAGATGGCTGCAATTTTTTAAAATATTCCTTCCATTAATAGGAAAGAACTATGTCCACTGTCCATGAATTTACAGCTTGTAACTACTTTGACAAACAGATTATGGTGGAAGTGACCCTATGGGACTTCTGAGGATATGTCATAAAAGGCGATGCAGCTTTTTCTAGAGTTTTTTTACCCTTTTTCTCCCAAATAATAGATTATTATTATTTCTACCATTTTAACCATTTCCACATGTACTGTTCAGACACAGCCTTGTTTGCTATTAAAGCATTGTAAAAAATCACCTTTAAAAAATCATGTAAAAGTCTACTACCCTGAGACTGCCATTCTATGAGGAAGCCCAAGTCATATAGAGAGGTCCCAGCTAAGCCAGCTTTTGTGCCATCCTACTCCAAGCACTCTATAGTTGGTAGAAGAAACCTCCAGATCAGGGTTTCTCAACCTTAGTACTATCCACATTTTGGGCCAGATGATTCTTCATTGTGGGGAGCTGTTTTGTGCATTGTAGAATGTTTTGCAGCATCTCTGGCCTCTGTCCACTAGATCCAGTAGCACTCCCTTCCTCAACTTATGAGAAACAAAAATGTCTCAGAGATTACCAAGTGTCCCTTGGAGACAAAATAACTCCTTTTAGGAACTATTTCTTAGGATAAATTCAGTTTTCGGTCCTGTGAGTAACCCTAAAGACATCTGAGTCATCCCAGCTTATATCCCAGATCATCATGAACCAGAGAAAGCAATTTCTCCCTCCTGTGCTATGTCCAAATCTGTGTTCTGTAAAATCTATAACTATGGCAGGTACGATGGCACATGCCTGTAATCTCAGTAGTTTGGAAGGCCAAGGCAGATGGATCACTTGAGGTCAGGAGTTCGAGACCAGTCTGGCCAACGTGGCGAAATCCCGTCTCTACTAAAAATGCAAAAATTATCCAGGCATGGTGGCATGCTCCTGTAATCCCAGCTACTCAGGAGGCTGAGGCACAAGAATTGCTTGAACCCTGGTGGAAGTTGCAGTGAGCCAAGACCGTGTCACTGCACTCCAGCCTGGGCGACAGAGTGAGACTTAGTCTCAAAAAAAAAAAAATCTATAAATATGTCCTTAAATTTGTTGTTTTATACTAGTAATTTTGGTTTTTTTTTTTTTAATGCAGTACTAGATAGCACAGCATGGAAGAAAATCTCATAACAATGATGACTATTACTAGATACAATCAACGTGTTTAGAGAAAATAATACAAACTGAGGATGCTTAATCACAAGTTAAAAAGAGAATGTGAAAGCCATAGGCTCTTCTTGGCAGCATATAAAGAGACTCTCGTCTCCTGAATGCTGAGGATCGGGTCTCAGAACTTCATTATAAAAGTGGCATAGCTATAGAAGAGGTTTAATTCTCAAATTTGGCCAAGGCAAGGGCTATATTTGGAGAAGTAGGGCCTTAGAGTTCCTGGCATCTGTAGAAATCTGGGTTGATGATCTCAAAAATATTGAATCCTCAGATGCTCTTTAACCTCCTGGGCCCAAAAAGGTGGCCCAATTATCTCTGTTAAGTTTTAGTTGTCTCCATTTGCTTGAAGATTATGTAGAGTCCTCTGCCTTGCAAGATAATGTGGTTTCCCACTACCTTCAATTCCTTTCTTGGTTACCAGGCCAGTAACTAGGCTTAGGTCACAATTCATTCTAAGTATGGAGTTGGGGGGACTGATAAGAAAGGAAAATATTACACATTGGAAAGCTGCAGGTCCTACCTAGCCAATGTGGACCAGCAGGAGTTGGGAGAACATGTATGGGACTGGATCCTGAGGCTGCTGGTTCAAGCAGGGAAGAACATAAACGTAGATAAGGAGAGTTTATATAGGAGCACTTTGGAATAATAAATTATTTAGCACCATGGAAAGTACTCTATGATACAGTATTGCTGCTGTCTGTGATGCTGCCTGTGATTGCTGTCTTGATGATGGCTCTTAGAAGTTTGGAGGAAGACAACACTAAAGATGCCATACCTGCCATGGCAGATAACAGCAGAGAAACTATGTGAACTGGACCTGTGAGAGTAGCTATACCACGTCATTTAGGAAAACCCACCAGCCCACCATGTTCTGTTGGAAAGCCCAGAAGACACTTTACTTATCAATGAGATACGAAAGGCATCATTGAGAGGGGACCAGCATTGATTAAACACTTAGTAACAACTCTCTCTGTAGGCTGTGGCTGATGGTAGGAGATGCTGTTATAGAACTGGATTCACTGACGGGGTGATGGTATTGATAGCATAGTGACTTCTGGAGAGTGGTTAGTATATTACTAACTTCCACTCAATGTCAGTGATAAAGAATTACTGCAAGTATTAAATTAAACATTTCAAATTGTTTTGTAAGCAATTCATAAAATGTTATTTATATAAATGTCCTGGATGCCACTTATCTATTAAGTTCTGAGACTGAGTCATATTAACTCTGCTTCTCAGTCAAATTGCAAAGTTCCTAGAATGTAGAAGGTGCTTAATAAATGTTTGTTGATTAAATGATTGTGAAAATTGACCTTCAGTATGACAAAAATCTCAGATATGTACATGACATGAAAGTAAAATACTTACATTTTACTGTAAAGTTAACTAGCAACAATAAATTCACATGCTTATCACTGTGGAATAATAAAAAATAAACATGAAATTTTTAATCCCTTTCTTTAAAGACCAGCTGTCTAGTGGAGTCTATAATTAAGGAGACTAGACTCACAGCAGAAACAATAAAAGAAAAGACAAGTGATCACATCAAGTGTTCTTTAGTCTATATACTATGGAGATATGTTGAAATGACCATGAAGGCTTCCAGGAAGAAGTGGGGTTAGGGTTGAGTTTAGATGAGCAGAGAGGAGAATACTGAGCAGAATGGATGGCACTGCAGAAGTGGTGGGGAAGACATAGGGTGTGAGACGTCAACCAGATTGGAGGCCTGGTGAGCTTGTGGACAGAGAGGAAATAGATTCAACCAGAACCTGGCAGAGTATGTTAAATAATAGTGGAGGGTTTGCTATGGTAAGAAACAAGCAGCCATTGAAAATTTCTAAGTACTGGAGGTAGTCATGTGTGGTTCCCAGCTTAAACAAACATTTACTTCTGTCCCTATACCATGATTCTCAGGGATTTCCAGTCACCATGATAAATCTTTCAGTGTGTTTTAATATTTCTCTGTATTTTTCCTTTATGTGCGTAGCCTTTATGATGGTGTTTAGTCCTATATAATTTGAGGATAAAATTAATGTGTTTTCTTTATTTCTTCTGTATCTCACAGCTCATCTATAAAGATGTGACAGGAAATGGTTCACAGTATCCATCTTTGTCCCACTTCAGATGATTCTCACTGGCTGGGTACCTTTCTATTTATAATTATCATCCCTCTGCAATGCCAGTGAGCTCTTTTTTGATGTAGTCATTATTTCTTTCTAAGCATTTTCACTAAACTTTTCTGAGGTCAAGCATAAAAGGGCTTACTGAAATTTAGAATGGTCGATGTCTAAAACAATTTTTAGACATTTTATCAGCCAAATTGGTTCCTTATTATATGTTAAAATATGCACCTTATTAAATCAACTCTCCAGGCTTGCATGTTCTATAGAATATGTAATTTATATTCCTTTTAAAATGCCCAGAAACCTAACAGCAGATTTTGCTTAAAGGAAAAAAAGTAAAGGAAGGATGGAAAGATGCAAGGATGGAAAGAGGAAGGAAGGAAGAAGAAGGAAGGAAGGAAGAAAGGAAGGGAGGGAGGGACAGAGGGAGGGAGGGAAGGAAGGAGGCAAAGAAAAGGCACAACATGAGCTCAGTCAAGCTCCTGTTAACTTTTCTTATGTGTGACCGTGTGTTGGTCATAATGTGATATTTTACATGTAGAAGATATATCCTTTAGTGGTTAGTTCTGCTTAGGAAATATTCATGGGGTTTGGTTAAGAGACATCTGGCACAAGGTTCTGTTTTTTTAGTGTAGAATATATTTTCCATTTCAAATTATTTCAGGTGTGAAATGTACCAACAGACACCAAAATGTGCATGTCTGTGCCTGAGTATACTTTTAAAAAAATTGGAATGTTGCCCTTTATTCTTTTAATACTTATTGAACTGAGAAAAGATGGAACATGACTTAAAGAAATGCCATGAGGAGGCACAAATTGGAATATTCTTTAATCTCAACCACTTAAAATTTTTGATCATCTGAAAATGGTAGTATCTGGTTTCTAACCTGTAAACTGCTATAACATCTTTATGATTATTACACTTTGAGATAGGTTTTTCTCAATGGGGAGGTGGCAGAAGTCTTTCTGCCCGCTTGGTTGTTGCATCTCACTTATTTACTTAAATCTCCTTGTTGAGACTCTTATTTCTCTGTGTCACATTAGTGTGGATAGTCTCATTGTCTACTAAAGAGAAATGAGTTTTTGTGAGTGGCCTATTTCTGCAAACTTGGACTAAAATTTTCCATTTTGAAAGCTTGCCACCCCTAATGAGATGGCAGCTCACAGAAGCAGAGAATAAAAAAAGACGTTTAGACGTCACAGAGTTCACATCTTTTATTTATGATGACAAATGAGAGACTAAGAGGTCTGGAGATCATCACAGAGATGGGAGAAGGACTTAGAGTCCTTAACTCTTGGGTTACTTTATCTTTTCTGTCTTTACCTTCTCCTCTACACACTAAATGTTTCTCCTTTCTTTTCAACTCACAGTCAGTAGCTTCTGCCCTCACACATAGACAACACCACCGGGATGATTCTGTCAAACGTTAATCTTCACACATTCTAACTTGGTCCCACCAAATATCAGTGATCCAAATAAATTTTTATTAAGATATTTTCTGAAAAGTGCTACCATAATGTAATCACACACCAAATAATTTATAAGGGGCTACATATGGCTTTTTTTTTTTTTTTTTACAATCGTCTACTCCTCACAGATAACTCTAAATGTAGTTTTTGATTCTGGAAACTTTAGATGACTTTTTAAATTTGGGGTTCTATATTAACTAATATCAGAAGTTTCATATCTTTCAAGTTATCAAAACTAAAATGTTCCTTTATTTAAACAACTGCCTACCCCTGACCATCCTTCCCTACCAATCATAAACTTTGAATCATTGGTTTTTGTCTGTTTGTATCTTTTTCTAAAACTTCCTCCCATCTCAACTTTAACCATCATTTAGGACTGGTTAAATATATGAATCTTTGGAATTTTGGTGCTACTGACAAAAGACAGATAGCTTTTCATTAACTCCACTCTTCTGGAATAGCTCCTTTGTGGTTGCCTTTCTGGTGTGCCAGAGAACTTCTTTTTCATTTTGACTTTTAGTCCTGTTAACCTTGAATCACACTGGCCCAGGTCAACCATGTCAACCATTCAATGAATTCCAAATTATAGCTAGCAGTCAGATTGAAAAAGCATTAACTGAAATAAACTGCCCCAAGAATATGGGTAGTATAGGGGAGACAAAACAAAAAGCCACAACTCTATTCCAGGTTTAGGTCCAAAGAACCTCTGTGACTGAAATTCCATCAGGTTGTTTCACCCATATTGAAGACCATTTGGTTAGGGGAATTAAAAAGCTAAAGAACATATAAAGTCATATTTTCAAATGCCTCCCTGTTGTCTAATAGTTTAACACCATGATGTCTTTCTGTAGAGTTAGAGGTTTCTCTGAGTTAAAGTTTTACTAATTAGTTTCACCGGTATTTCTATTATTACTAAAGCAAGATGTTTTCTTTTTGAAATACATATAATTTACTAAAAAGTATAAAATAAATCACTTGTATTTCTAATATTTTGGTGTACAGTGTTTCAGACTTTTTCTATAAACCTACACATATATATGCATGTTATAAAATATTGAATTATACTGTAATAATGCTATTTTCACTCGTGCATCCTTCTATATCGAAATTATCATCCTCCTGAATGATTCCATTGATTATGGACATGGCCCAGTATCATCACTTTGTACTCATTTCTAAGTAACTTCCAATTTGAGGCTCTTACAAATAATACCGTGGTAACCATCCTTGTTTACCATCTTTACCCATTTGTCTAATGCTGCCTTAGAATTAATTTTGCATGTTAAATTTCTGAATCAAAGGGAATATACATTTTAACAGTTTGTTTGCATGTATACTGCCAAATTGTCTTTTGGAAAGTTTGTGCCAGTTTAGACTCCTGCCAATAGTTGATGAGGACCCTCTTCCCACAGTACACCACACATTAATGAGATTTTAGCATTCCTTTTACATTTGCTAATTTGAGAGATGAAGGAGGAATTTTACTTTTTCAATTTGCTTAAATATTGGTAAGGCTGAACATGTTTTCATGTTGTTTTGGGTTAAGTCTAACTAGAAAGCAAAGCACAACTTAAGTATAAATTGGGTCTAAAATTGATTTTACTTAACTGAAATAAGAAAGGCAGTAAATGCAGTCTTTGAGAACATCAAATTTGCTGAAATTAGAAGATCATTTTACTGCTGTGCCTTCTGAGCCTCTTATAATAAGGAGTGATGTGTATCAAGTACTTGTTTTATACCAAGCATTTTTCCACATGTACTGAATTTAGTCTTTATAATAACACTGTGCAGTAGGTAATACTTTTTAAATAAATTTTGTCAATGAGAAGACAGGAATAAAGAAGGTAAGTAACTTACTAAGTAAGTGGCAGAGCTAAGATCTGAACTTAGATACTGCCTCTAAAATATGCTCTTCAGCTCTGTGTTATTCTGCTGTTTTCTCTGTGCACATACCTAAGACATGTTGAGGGAAGACTGTTTATAGTATCTTCCTCTATACTATATAAACTATTAATGAATATTACTATTAAAATAAAACTAACAAGATAGGTTTCTTCTGGAAAAACTGTTTTCAGAATATCTTAAACTATTTTACTTAAAATCCTGATTTAAAAATGTGTACGTGGGCCAGGCATGGTGGCTCATTCCTGCAATCCCAGCACTTTGGGAGGCAGAGGCAGGCAGATCTGAGGATCTGAGGTCAGGAGTTTGAGACCTGCCTGGCCAATATGATGAAACCCTGTCTCTACTAAAAATACAAAAATTAGCTAGGCATGGTAGCGCCTGCCTTAGTCCCACCTACTCAGGAGGCTGAGGCAGGAGAATCACTTCAACCCATAAGGTGGATGTTGCAGTCAGCTGAGATTGCACCACTGTACTCCAGCCTGGGCAACAAAGTGAGACTCTGTCTGAAAAAAATATAAAAGTATATGTGGGCTGGGTGCAGTGGCTCACGCCTGTAATCCCAACACTTTGGGAGGCCCAGGCGGGTGGATCACCTGAGGTCAGGAGTTTGAGACCAGCCTGGCAAACCTGGTGAAACGCATCTCTACTACAAATACGCACAAAAATATTAGGTAGGTATGGTTGCAGGCACCTGTAATCCCAGCTACTCAGGAGGCTGAGGCAGGAGAATCACTTGAACCCAGCAGGCGGAGGTTGCAGTGAGCTGAGATCGTGCCATTGCACACCAGCCTGGGCAACAGAGTGAGAATCTGTCTCAAAAAAAGAGAAAAAATAAAAAGGTATATGTGTAGCTAGAATTGGTGGTCTATATTTGGGGTTGAATACCAAAAGTTTCAGAAATACAGATTTAAACTTCTTTAAATTTAGATATAATAGCTTAGGCTAAATGCTGAAGTTCCCTTGGAATAATAAGCTCTTTGTTTTTTTCACTGACTTCCCTTCTGCCCACTAATAAGCTAGTTTTCTCTTTTCCTAAACTCCTGAATTTTCAAGCTGCACTGCTATTTCTTAAGATTTGGACAGCATACCCAGAGGTACAAGGTTGGATGTGAATATATTAAACAAGTTGATGTTTAAAACATATTTAAATGCATAGGCTAATGCATGTGAGTTGCTTGTGATACATAAGTAATGAAAAAGCTGCTGCCCTGAATGACAGGAAACGTCAGGATGAAAAATTACATGATATTGGCTTATGGTAATGAGGATTAAAAACATGAAAATCATGGTTTTGAGTTAGAAGGCCAATCATCCAACAAATGCCAGGAAATACTAATTATTTGTCCTAAACCAGTACAAAGTAAGATACCTGAGTTCCAATGGGCAAAGCCCTGCTTATCTTTGATGCGATGAAGCTGTTCATATCATTCAAGCCTCACTAAGTGCATTATGTGCTTTCCACACTCATGGAAATCAATCTTTTCTTTGGATTTAGGAGGCTTTGATCCCACCTCTTGCCTCACCTTGCTGGGATTACAATTCACTGTGAAGTATCTGTGCCAGTGATGTTATCATTTTTAAAGTTTGATTTACAGATCTGAGGAAGGAAGCCTATGATATCTTTTGAGCACCAAACAGTAGGATATTTAGCCTACAGTAACTCCATGGGCAAGTCATAGCATCCTCACTTTCATATGAAGACACACAGACTGGGAAAATGAGGTTCCTGTATTCAAGGAGCAAAAATATCACTTGGGAGACTGTCAGGCACTCTCTCTCTCTCTGAGACTCTTTTTTGTCAGCCCTTTTCCTGCTAACTTCTTAAATATTTAATGCTAAAAAGCTCAGACACAAAAATGTGGTAAGAATAATCATAGCAAAGCAAGCAAACAAACAAAAAAGTTAATTCCTCTACTGATACCATTGGAGATATCCTAGTATCTTATTGGCCCAGAGGAGGTAAGATGGAAGGACGGACCCTGCGCAGTGGCTCACGCCTGTAATCCCAACACTTCGGGAGGCGGAGGTGGGTGGATCACAAGGTCAGGAGATCGAGACCATCCTGGCTAACATGGTGAAACCCCGTCCTTACTAAAAAAATACAAAAAAAGTTAGCCGGGCGTGGTGGCAGGCGCCTGTAGTCCCAGCCACCCGGGAGGCTGAGCCAGGAGAATGGCGTGAACCCGGGAGGCAGAGCTTGCAGTGAGCAGAGATCGCGCCGCTGCACTCCAGCCTGGCCGACAGAGCAAGACTCCGTCTCAAAAAAAAAAAAAAGATGGAAGGAATATCATTTTAAAAATGCATTTTCTATGGGATATAAATTTCAGTTAAGATGTAAACTTTTACAAGTTATCTTCCAAACTCCAATTACTTTTCAATTCTTCACACCACACAACTAGTTCAACTGTGACAATTTACATAGTCATCTTTTGCTCTTATTTTATAGATAAAGGAGTTATTTTTCAGTATTAATATTACAAAATAGTTATTTGTTTTTCTTCTATTGTTGCAATGAGATAAACATGTACAAGTTGTGAGTATTAGACTCAGCAATGTCCCCCTTCATGCCAGAGGACTAATAGCAATAATCCCAACAGTGAAAATACGAATACACAAATGCCACTGCTTAGATCACTGCAGCTTCTAGGGCCCAATTTCTTTTACTGATTTAAAAACAAAACAACAAAAAAATTAAAAAGTTTGCCTGACATGAATCTTGATGTTTTTGTTTTTTGTTTTTTAATAAGTAGCCACCAGAGTCCTGTAGAAAACAGACATTAGACCCTTGGTGTAGCTTCTGTTCAACTTTATATCATGGGAACAGATGGGTCTGATTTTTTGGCCCTCATCTTGAATTGCTCATATACAGGGTCCCTGGCCAGTGGACTGAAGGCTATGTCTGTGATGACAAGGCTCAGCTCAGGGGATGTGGGGGAGGGCATTTTCATTTTCACACTTGTTTGAGGTTTCGGTCCCTGGGTAAAGAGGCCATTTATCTTTGTAAATGCAAAACATTTTTGCTTTTTCCAGTTTTCTGTTAATGGCGAAAGAATGGAAGTGAATTAAGTTTTACTGATTTTTGAGACACTAAAACTATAAACAAACAAATAAATACCCAATAGTTTTATATGCAGCACTCCTCTGCCCAGGCAGTGTTCTAAATGTTTGATTTATACTTCAAAAGCCCTATCTAATGCAATTATGGGGTACAAATAATTTAAAATTCTGGTGAATCATTATTGAAAAGTTATTGTTAGCCAGCTAGGAATTCCCTGGGACAATTCTAATCCATTCTTGTTCTGGCTATGGATTGATGCCATCTGGGAAGAGCCATTGTGAATCCTGAAAGCCTAGCCCAGACTTCCAGGTCAGCATGAATGATTCCAGGGATCTGTTAATTAGGTGGCACGCCTTTCTCTCGCATAGTCCTGGGATACAGAGTCAGTAGAATTCTGGGATGTGTGCTGGGTAGAGGGTGGGAATTAATCAGGTTGTATGTGAATATGCATTATCATGGGGGAAAGTTATTCCAGATATTGTTTTCTATATTAATGCACTACAAGGTAAATCTAGGGTAAATACTACTATTTTCATCTGCATTTTTAGATCAGAGAACTGAAGTTTTGGAAATTGAGCTATGCCCACATAGTTCATAAGTGGAGGAGCTAGGATTTGAACTCGGGCAGTCTGGCTCCACTTGGATGTCTCTCTCATCTTTGACACCCATGGGCAAATCATGCATTTGCCTTGTTAGGGATTATTATCCAGGACCAACCCACCAGTGTTCTTCAAGTGTTCTGATAATGGTGGAGAGATTTATTATTGATTTAGACAACAAAAGAAGATAATTGCTTCTCTGAAAGAAGACGGAACAGAGGGAGAAATGGCCACCTCCCTATTACTCATACCTGAGTGGAGCTTCAGGAGGGCTAGCATTAGTGAGAAGTGACTCAGAAAGTCTATAAAAGCCAGCCTGCTGTTTGAGAGGAGTCATGAACCTGTCATTGGTTGACCAAAGTTACTAGTCAGACTCATCAATATTCCTGCAGCATCACAAATCCAGCAAGGTTGCAGAATGCTAACCAGGTAATTATTTCTGTGCTAGGGCTATTCTTGTTTCCTTTCTTTAACTGCAAAAGGTAAATGAAATTACCTTGTTGCTTCTTTTATTCCTTATGTTCTCTTACTGTTAGGCTCTTTCATTCTATTCTTTCCCTGCTGTTAGCAAGATGAAAAAGGCATCATATGCCAAGGCTTTCTGTTGACCTTTGGGACTTAAAAGTCTCCCATGAGAAAGAAAGCATCCTTGAAATAAATGTGGTTTCACGAAATACCTCAGGCTTGTGGAGGAAACAAATGACTCGGTTCTTTTCAACTCACAGCACTCAGCAGGCAGAAAAGCAGCAATTTGAGATTTCAGTGAGTCTGGGAGTCTCACAAGATAATGCTCAGAGTCAGCAGTCAAAGATACTAGTGAAGTATCAGTGCTGCAAGTTTAAATTGTTCTTCCTTCCCAGGGTTTGAAAAAATAGGACAGCCACAAGCTTATTAAATTCAGTGGAATTTCTTTTTCTTTTGTCAGTTTGGGGGGATTTTCCTTGTTTTTCCTGTTTTGATTTGGCAAAGAGACATCACTGATTACTCATATTCATAAAGAGCTCCAGAGAAATGAAAATGTCAAGCTGTAAGGGAGAAGCAAATGTCATAGAGCAAAGATCATCAGCTTGGGAGGAAGACAGATTTAAGTTTGAAGTGCAGATTGAGCAGTTAATTTTATCTTATTAGGAGAATCATTTAATACCTTTATTTTTCCTGAATTAGTACACTAGATTCCTAGCTTGTTTTTCTTCATCCACTGTTACCTGCCACACTTACAATTACATCTAACATGAATTACAAATTCCTCACTATGGACTATGAGGGTCTGTCTCTCGCGTTATTCCTGATTAATCTCCCTTCTTCATTCTCTTCCAGCCACACTAGCTTCCTTGTTGTTCTTTACATATACCAAACATGGATACACCTCGGGGCCGTAGACTTGTTGTTTCCTTCGCCTGAAGTCTTCACTGGGCTTGCTTCTTCCCTGCATTCAGTTCTCTTCTCAAATTCATCTTTTAAGAGCAGGCTTCCCTAAATGAATGGTCTGAAAAAGCACCCCTCGTCATTCTTGATTCCCTTATTTTGCTTTATTTTTCTTCTCAGTTCTTATCTACATCTGATGCTATATTGGCTTACATGTCTGCCAGTCTCTCCCTACCAGAGTGTAAACTCCATATGGGCATAATCTGTTTTTGTTCACCACTCTATCCCTAGTGTCTGGAGCAGTGCCTGGGCCATAAAAGGCACACAATAATTATTTATTGGATGTGTCTTGGTTTCTTTCTAAGAAAAAAAAACCTCTTTGTAGTATTTGTGAAGCTTATAAATAATGCATTAAATGGATCTCAAAATCCCCTAGTGCATCGAGGCATAATCCATCTGTGCCTCATTCTTTATCAATTGTGTGTACTCTGGTGGACTTCCAGCTTTCAGTGTATGCCACTTTGTTCCTGAGGGCTATTTCTGAAGACTTGGAAGGACAGAAGTACCCGAGAGATAACACTCCCTTCCCAGAAATCCTCAAACTCTGACTCTTAAGTGTTGGTGCATAAATATCCCAGTGCTCTTGCCTCTCAGGATAACTCTGAGATATGTTTTGCACCCTTCCCAGAACTTCGTAGGATTAAGGTCCAGCTGATCACAGTGGTAGCTAGCTACGACATCTCCTTTATTGGGTGCCTTGTTTCAGGGGTTTCCCAGTAAAATAATTGCATTGAATCTCTGTCAGGATCTGCTTCTGGGGGATCCCAAGTGGAGATGTTTAAAGAGTGGTAGTTATTAGTATATAATAACTTTTTCTAGCTCTCAAAGTGAAGGTCAGATATTTTCATATCAATTTTCTGTATCTGAATAAATGTATGTAATTGTATACTTCTTAATAATTATTAAAAATAAAGGTGTATTTCTGTGATATTTAGCTCATTCCTTAATATCTTACAGCAGTGCAGTCCTCATCTCTGTATTACATACTTGTTTTGTTCTCTTCACAATGATTAAGCTTGTTGATTACTTATATCTGGAATATATATTTGATCCTCAAACATAGCCTTGTTCCAAAACAGTCCATATATTTGGGGGTGGGGATCAGGCATTGATACCCTAAAAAATTTATCCAGTGATCTCCTGTGCACCTCATATGGCAAACTCTGGTAAATGTTCTATAATTTCTCCCTTTTTCTCAATTTCACTAGCTTTCTCCAGAGTTCTCTGCAGTTCTGTATCATCATGGAGTTTTATTTTCATCTTGAAGGTCTTTCTTCCCTGTGTTGTTAGCATTTGCTTATGGGTTCTCAGAGTTTTACATTTAGCAACTTAAAAAAATTTTTTACTCATTTAAATCTTTAAATCTTAAGAGTTTATAAACCAATAAATGATTAATTTCAAAGCATGGATGTGAAAAGTATTTAAAGTTAATTTATAGCCATTTTAACCTTCATTTAAAAATATTAAGCATTAATACAGTGTAGTATTGGCATAAGGATAGAAATATAGATTGACAGAATAGAATAGAGTCCAGAAACCAATCAATGTGATATTCGAAAAAGGTGCCAAGACAAAGCAGCAGAGAAAGAAGTCTTTTCAACAAATGGTGCAGGAACAATTGAATATTCACATTTAAAAATTATGTCAACTTTGATTTATACCTTGCACCAAACATAAAAAATCAGCTGAAAATGAATCATAGTCCTAAATATAAGAACTTAAACTATAAAACTTCCAGAAGAAAACATTGGATAAAAACTGTGTGGTCTTGGGTTAGGCAAAAGTGTCACAGATACACACCAAAATTATAATCCATAAACAAAAAGTGGTAAGTTGTACTTCATCAAAATTTAAAATGTCTGCTTTTCAAAAAACATTATTAGGACAATGAAAAGACAAGTCACATACTTGAATTGGGTATTAAAAATACAAAGCAAATAAAGGACTTACCCAGAATATATAATAAATTTTTATAACTCAATAATAAGACAAATTAATACAAAAATTGGGCAAAGAAATGTTCAAGAATCAATTCTTATGAATGACCACCACCTATCTTCACCTGTCAGTGTCAATATCATCATTTCTAAATTAATTATTGTGGTTTTCTTGTGGCAACTGCTTCTGGGGAGGCCTCAGGAAGCTTCCTATCATGGTGGAAGGCACCAACCAACCAACTAAACAAGCAAAATTCCAAACAAAAAGATCCACCTCAAACCCATGTCTTGTATCTTACACAACTGTTAACTCAAAATGTACTAAACACATAAATGAAAACATAAAACCTCTAAAGGAAAATTGAGGAGAAAACCTTTGTTATCTCAAGTTAGACAAAAGATTTTTAGATACCACACCAAAAACATTCACAAAAGAAATATTTCTAAGTCGGATATTATTCAATTTGGAAAACTTTGGTCTGCAAGATGCACTGTTAAATGAACAAAAGGACAAGGTCCAGTTTGGAAAAAATATCTACAAATAACATTTCAGACAAAGGTCTTATATCCAGAATACATAAAGAATTCACGAAACTCAAAAATAAGATAAGCAACAATCAATTTTTTTAAAAAATGCCAAAAATCTGAACAGGCATTTCATCAAACAAGATATATGGATGAAAATAACTATATAGAATGGTGCTCAACGTCATTAGTCTTCAGAAAAATACATTTTAATACCATAATGAGACACCTTACATGCACATTAGAATGGCCAAAAACAAACAATCAAAAAAAAGTGACCATGCCACTGGAACTCTTATACATTGCTGATGGGAATGAAAAATGGCACAGCCACTATGGAAAATATTTTGGCAGTTTCTAATAAAATTAAATATATGTTTCTCATTTGACTCTGCAATCCCACTCCTAGAAACTTACTATGATGGATAATTTTATATGTCAACTTGGCTAAGCCATGGTACTCAGATATTTGGTCAAATACCAGCCTAGATGTTGTTGCTAAAATACTTTTTTTTTTTTTTTTTTTTTTTTTTTTTTTTTTTTTTTGAGACAGAGTCTCACTCTGTGGCCCAGGCTGGAGTGCAGCAGCCTGATCTCAACCTCCTGGCTCAATGCAACCTCCGCCTCCCGGGTTCAAGCGATTCTCCCGCCTCAGCCTCCTGAGTATCTGGGACTACAGGCATGTGCCACCACGCCCGGGTAATTTTTTGTAGTTTTAGTAGAGACGGGGTTTCACTGTGTTAGCCAGGCTGGTCTCAATCTCCTGACCTCGTGATCCACCCACCTCAGCCTCCCAAAGTGCTGGGATTACAGGTGTGAGCCACTGCACCCGGCCCGCAAAGGTGCTTTTTAAAGATGAGATTAACATTTATGTCAGCAGACTTGGAGTAAAGCAGATTGCCCTCTCTAATGTAGATGGGCCCCATCCAATCAGTTGAAGGTCTTAAGAGAAAAATTGAAATCCCTGGAGGAGGAGGGAATTCTGCCTTTAGACAGCCTTTGGATTCAAGCTGCAGTATCAACTCTTCCATGGGCCTCTGTCCTGCTGGACTACCCTACATGTAGATTTTGTACATGGCAGCCTCCAAAATCACATGAGCCAATTCCTTAAAATAAATCTGTTCCTGGCCGGGCGCAGTGGCTCACGCCTGTAATCCCAGCACTTTGGGAGGCTGAGGTGGGCAGATCACAAGGTCAGGAGATTGAGACCATCCTGACTAACACGGTGAAACCCCGTCTCCACTAAAAATACAAAAAATTAGACGGCCGTGGTGGCGGGCACCTGTAGTCCCAGCTACTCGGGAGGCAGAGGCAGGAGAATGGCGAGAACCCAGGAGGTGGAGCTTGCAGTGAGCTGAGATGGCCCACTGCACTCCAGCCTGGGCGAGTGTGTGAGACTCCGTCTCAAAAAATAAATAAAGAAATAAATAAATCTGTTCCTGTCCCATTCCTATTCATTCTATTTCTCCAGAGAAGCATGACTAATAAGATTTTGGTACCAGAAGTGAGATACTACCATCATAGTATTCCACACAGCACTGCTTCTGATCAAGGGACTCACTTCATAACAAATAAAGTGCAGTAATAGATGCATGCTGTTGAAATTCACTAATCTTTCCATGTTTCCCACCAACCTGAAGCAGATGGCTTGATGGATTTGAGCTGCAACATCAACTCCATCCTGCCAGCCTATCCTGTAGAGTTTGGACTTGACAACCTCCAGAGCTATATCTCTCTTAATATACACATCCTACTGGATATCTCTTTCTATATATACACATTCTGTTTCTCTGTATAACCCTGACTAATATATTTGCCCAAGAGAAATGAATACTTACTTTCACGCAAAAACCTGTACAAGAATACTTCAAGCAGATTTGTTCATACTTGCCCCACTTGGGAAACAGCCCAGTCCCCTTTAATCAGTGAACGAATAAACCACTTAACTGTACATCCATACAATGAAATACTATTCAGTAATAAAAATCAATAAATTATTGATTCATGTAACAACATGTATGAATCTTAAATGTACTTAGCTAAGTAAAAGAAGCCAAATCTAAAGGGCTGTATGTTAGGTGATTCTATTTATATGACATTCTGGAAAAGGCAAAACTATAGAAATGTCAAACAAATCAGTGGTTTACTTCGGTAAGGGGCAGTTGGAAGGGTTGATACATAGGGGCAGTTCAAAGGAAGTGCAGTGATGGAAGTGTTCTCTGTTACGGCTGTGGTTGTGGATATACAATGCTAAGCATCTGTCAAAACCTGTATATTACCTTAAAGAGTGAGTTTTACTGTAGGTAAATATTTTTAAAATCAACCAGGATTTGATGGGAAACTAAAATGGAATATAAATATTACAAGTGAGCCTGTGTTACAAATGAATAACATAACCACCCTGAAAGGAATGAAGAAGAAAATAAGTCAAATTACTTCAGAAAACAGCATTTTTGGACTGTATTCTATAAGACTGAGGACAAAAAGAACTATATGTAAACACTGAGTCTAGTTGGCAAATTGTTTTTCACATGAGCACCCATTAACAATTATGAAACTTTATTGGTATATACTAGACTTGAACAAATAAGTAAAAATATTGCAGATAATGGGATCAAGTTTTTCACTGTGGAGAAAAAAGTTATAAATAAGGAAAGTGGAACATCTAGAATAAACCCACGTTGTTACTGGAATCACAGGTATCAATCTGAATGCACACACATACACACACAGATAAATACAGAAATAAACAAAGATGTATATGTAATCATGGCATAGCATACATACGTGTATTTTCTGGTTCTGACTTCTGAGAGGATAATGGCAAATCAATGGCAATGAGCACACCTAGTATCCAGATCTTACTTTCTAAATGCTACTTTACAATCAGAATTCCTTGGAGAAAAGTGGTTGATTGCAGAGCTGGGAAAAGATGGAGAAGATTATGATTATGGTGCCAAAAAGTAAAGATGTGTTCAGAAAAAAAAAAAAAATTGAGGGCTTGTCAAAGACCACAAGCGCCAACCTGACAAAGCTCTCAATGGCCCAAACTGGAAAAATTTGTACAATGAAATTGATAATGATAATATTATATAATAACCCAAAGCATACTGATATAATTAACTGAATAAATAAAAGAGGGAAAGGGAAGTTCTATCTCATAGAATTCCAATGAATAAATGTAGAAGAAATGAGGGAAATAGGAAATCACCATGATAATGACATTGTAATAATTGTTTTAGGCAAGATCCCCCCATGGATGGTAGATTTAGTGGGCAAAAGTCTGAGGAGACACAGGATATTTTCATACACTCAAAGTATCTCCTCCACAATATTTATTAATTACAAAGGGAGAGATAATGACTTCATAATAGAAAAACCCAGAACATACCATCATAATCATGTGATCAAGGGTAACGTCACTAGGAATAAAACACAAAAACATTACATACTGCCTGATATAATATACCAAGAAGGGAATATCATCTGTTTATTTTCTCACCAAAAGTGCCTAGCGTCAATCTAATCATGAGAAGACATCAGGCAAACCAAAATTGAGGGAAATTCTATGAAATAGTTGCTCGGTGTTTTTCAAAAGTATATCAGTTCATTCTCACGCTGCTAATAAAGACATACCTGAGACTGGGTACTTTACAGAGAAAAAGAGGTTTAATGGGCTCACAGTTCCACATAGCTGGGGAGGCCTCACAATCACAGTAGAGGCAAAAGGCATGTCTTAACATGGCAGCAGACAAGAGAGAGAATGAGAGCCAAGAGAATGGGGTTTCCCCTTATAAAACCATCAGATCTCATGAGACTTATTTACTGCCATGAGAACAGTATGGGGGAACCACTCCCATGATTATTTAATTATCTCCCACCGGGTCCCTCCCACAACACGTGGGAATTATGGGAGCTACAATTCAAGATAAAATTTGGGTGGGGACACAGCCAAATCACATCAAAAAGTGTCAAGGGTATAAAAGACAAGAAAAGACTGAGGAATTGACACATCCCAGAGGAGATTAAGGAAATGTGACAACTAATTGAAATGTGGGCTCTTGGACTGAATCCTGGAATAGGAGAAGGACATTAGTGGAAAATCTGGTGAAATCTGAAAAGCCTGGAGTTTAAATAATAGCAATCTACTAATACTAATTTGTTAGTTTTGATAATTGTATTATGGCTATGCAAGATGTTAAGATGAAGAGAAGCTGTGAGATGGGTATACAGGGACTCTGTACTATTCTTGTAACTTTTCTGTAAGTCTAAAATTATTGCAAGATAAGTTTAAAAATTGCATGACCAGTATTACTGCTAACAAGAAATATCTGTGAAATTTGAGAAAAAGGAAGAAACAAAAAAAGAAAAGTATACCATGCAAAAACTACACCCTAAAGAGGATTATTAGAGATAAAGAGGGACACTTTGTAAGTCAAAGGAATCAAGGGAAGATATCACAATTGTAAACCTACATGTACCAAATAATATAGCTTTAAGAGTATATATATATTTGGGAGGCCAAGGAAGGTGGATCACGAGGTCAGGAGATCGAGAGCATCCTGGCCAACATGGTGAAAGCCCGTCTCTACTAAAAATAGAAAAAATTAGCTGGGCATGGTGGCGGGCATCTGTAGTCCCAGCTACTGGGGAGGCTGAGGAAGGAGAATTGCTTGAACCTGGGAGGCGGAGGTTGCAGTGAGCTGAGATCAAGCCACTGCACTCCAGCCTGGGTGACAGAGCAAGAGAGCGAGACTCCGTCTCAAACAAAAAACAAAAAAAAAGAATATATATATATATACACACACACACACACACACACACACACTCTCTACACTATATCTATACATGTATACACGTATATATACGCATATATTATATATGTATATATACATATATATGTATATACACGCATATACGTATATGTATATATGTATATCTATAAGGATATATGCATACGTATATATGTAGTATAATGTGTGTGTGTGTGTGTGTGTATATATATATTCTTTTTTTTTTTTTTTTTTTTTTGAGACAGAGTCTCACTCTCTTGCTGTGTTGCCCAGGCTGGAGTGCAGTGGCTTGATCTCAGCTCACTGCAACCTCCGCCTCCCAGGTTCAAGCAATTCTCCTGCCTCAGCCTCCTGAGTAGCTGGGACTACAGGAGCCCACCACCATGCCCGGCTAATTTTTTCTATTTTTAGTAGAGATGGGCTTTCACCATGTTGGCCAGGATGGTCTTGATCTACTGACCTCGTGATCCACCTGCCTCGGCCTCCCAAATATATATATAGTCTTAAAGTTGGATTATTTGGTACATGCAGATATACGTATATATATACACACACACACACATATGTACGTATATATGTGTATATGTGTGTGTGTGTATATATGTGTATATATATGTATATATGTGTATATATATAGTGTAGCATGTGTGTGTATATATTCATATATATATATGTACATATTCTCCAATCCTGTCCTGTTCCATGGCTAATAGAGCGAAGATACACCACATACTCAGAGATGACATCTATGGCATTTAGGATCAAGAAAAAAATCTGAAAATTAAAAAGTAAATATCAAATTATAATAAAAGATTTGTATACTTTCTACTTGTAAAGACAATGCTTCAAAGTCAACAGTAATAAGATAAATTTTGAATTATTTTTCTAGTAATTATGATCAGGTTGTGCTAAGCCTTTATTTTCAAAGTATTTCAAAGTAGGCATTTGAGAATCACCTAAACGTTTCTAAACTGCAGCTCTGTGCACTGTTTCAATAATATTGAGTTGAGGCTTGAAAACGAGGGGTTTCTTTTTTGCTTTTGTTTTTGTTTTTTGAAAATTCTCTAGGTGATTCAAACATTATACAACCAAGTTTGGATACCACTCTTCTATGTCATCCTCTCTTATTTATCAGAGAAATATGATTTGCCCTCTGTCTTAGATTCAAGTTGGCTATGAAACCTGAATCTAAACCCCAGGCTCACTCACATTTCTGTGAATTCATCTGAGTAGCTTTCTGGTGTGTGCATTGGCAGCCTACAGGCAGCTGCGCAGGTATTTCACTTATGGTCCTTCTGTCTATGCTATTCTTTACCAGCACCTACAAATTTAGATATGGCTTTAGATTTTAGGCAGGCATATTTATTGAAAGGACAAATATAGAATGAATGTAAAAATCTGATATTTAATTTAAGAGATCCGTAAATGAAACTTCAATGTGTCCTTGTCACTTCTAAGTTAATGGGGCCAAATATATCCTTGAGCACCTCTCCAGGAACACCTTGGATATGCCTCTTTTCATTTAAGATAGACCTTCTCTGACAAATCCACTGACAGTGGATGAGTTGGGGCAAGTTAACTCTTCTAGTATTGAATTTTATAATTTGCTTATCATCATTTTGTTTTTATGGAATTTCTTTTTTTGAAAATTTAGAACACTAATATTCATTCAGATTTTAGTGGTCATAAAAATCAACCAGAGAAGAAATTTTTAAAAGTGGAAATTCTTGACTACCTACCTTGAGATTGCATATAATTAACTTTGAGGTGAGTCCCCAAAACCTATGTTTTTAAATAAGTATCTTTTCATGATTCTCATGCAGATCATGAAAAGGGGTCACTAGAATACTCCTTAAAAAATCCCAAGTAAGATAATCTCTGAGAATTTTATGTGTTTATGGTTACTCTGTAGCTGAAAACTAGTACAGGCATTGAACTTCATCAATGCAGACATTGTAAGGAAAAATAGAATGTGCTAAAGTATAAAGGGGAAAAAATCTAGTTTTGAAAATGAGCCTACCTCTCATTAGTCATTTGAAAATGAGCCTACCTCTCAAAAAAATCAACTAATCAACCTCTCTGATTAGTTGATTTTTTTATAAATGACAATTTTTGTGAAATGACTCACTTGGGTATTATTACAGGCTGAGTATGATAGTAGTCATTAATATTCCGGCCACACATGCAATTAATTTAGCAAATGCTTTGCTCTTTGAATCGTGAAGTTCCTAATGTAATTGCATCCAGCAGCTAGTACGTGGCAGTAGACCCCTGCATGGCTATGTGGATCTCTCCTTTCAAATATTGTATCGAAACCTCTATGTGTGGCCCTGATGCAGGGTACTTTCAGCTTCCATCTGTCCTTCTGCCTCATTTCTAAAAAACTACTTAGTTGTATTTAGAATCAAAGAGGAAAGAATTTTTTTTCATCTTGTGGTCCTGGCTGAATGTGAAAATACTCTGAGCTGCTTTGAAGGTTGGCGTAAAAAAGAAAAAAAAAAACAATTTTACTCTAACACTTATGCAGCAATTGTTATGAAACCAGCTCAAGGGGGAATGTGAAGGCAGTTTGGTTATCATCACAGTATTATATTGCCTTTTGCTTTTCCCTCAGACTTTAACCTTTTCTTAAATGTTGAATCTTGGGCTATATTGTTCATCATATCCACCCAAGAAATGCTTTTCCTGTCAAATGAATTTTCTTTTTTACTTCATTTGCCATTTAGCTTTTGCTAAGTACAACTGGCAGTAGCATTATGGTCTCAGATAACAGAAGAAAAATTAAATGTGTTAAAAAGCTGTCTGGTACTTTTTCTAGGGAGGTGAGGCCTCATTGTCATGCATGAGCCTATTGGTTAACTTCTAATGGACGACATAGGAGTGTGATTCTAGAAAATCCTATTGTGGGTTTTGGGAGCTCATGCGAGCCAAACAGTCCTTACTGCTCAGGCATCCTATCCTTCACAATTTGTTAAATTGTATTTCTCATCGGAGACTAGCTGATAACACTTGCAACGAGCCAGGGGAAAGTAGGTTTTGCGGTATCTTAATTTGAGAAAATTGATTAAGGTATATTTAAGATTGTGCCCATCTTAGGGAAAAATGAAATAACTCATTATGAAGAGAATGGACAGCTTGTTATTATTCTGATAGGGGACAATTTGATGAGCAAATTTTGAAGTGTCATAGCCAACTTCTTGGGCTTTGCATTTTGTTTGGTGGTTCCTAAAGAAAAAAAATTTAATCAACTTTAGGAGGTGAGCAGATGTTGACATAGAAAACTTTCAAAAATACACAAACTTGCAAAGGAAAATTAATATAATTGTTAAAATTTTGATGCTTGTGCTTCCAGCCTATTTTCTTTGTGTACACGTACATGTTTGTGGCATTGTATTTTATCAACTTCTCTGAATACCGTCTTTTTTTCGCCTGCTCCTTAGATTGTAAGCATTTCCCATTGCTATTAAATTTTTTTCACAAACATAAATTGAATATTTTTAAAATGCAACCTTTATGCACTATAATTTAATTAACCATTCTTTAATAATTGGACATTAAGTTTATTTATAATAATCTTGACCCATGATTGGAGGCCTAAAATATTTGTCAAAAACTCCATATTTCCACGAGTAAATTAAATGGCAATGTTGGATTCTGGATCTCTCTATTTGTAGTAACTAATTTACTTCTTGAGAAAAACAAAAAATGTTGAATAGAATCACAGGCCTTAAAACTGGTTATCTGGGAAATGTGTTTTGGTTATATTGGGGGTTGATTAATTGTTTCCTAAGTAGCAGAAGCTACTTAGGAATGTTTGTGGTCAGTAGATTAGAGCAAGAGTCTCAGTCTTTTGTTCAAGAAAGGGACTAGGCTTATAACTCCAAATCTGCCAGATTGTGGCAATTCATTATGAAGTGTCTGAGTTGGGTGTTAGGAACTCTACGCTCACTAACTTCTCTGACTGGGGAGGGAAAGAAAGCAATCGCCTATGGTGAGAAACATGGAAGGCTATGAAGTGACTAGTTGCTTGAAATAGATTATTTGGGAAGAGAAATGATAAAGTCAGCTTTTTAACCAGATAAAAGTTTGACATCTTCTGACTCAAATTTTGTCTGGCCAAGTCAGAGACTAATTTGGGGGTAGGAGGAGGATTCACCTAGAGTTTAAAACTGAAAGTCTGAGTGAAGTGTTGAGCATCATGAATAAATGAATAAGTAAATGAATGTCTCTGATTCTCCATTCTCTGACACAAACTGGGTGTCTACCAATTCAATTCAATTCAATTGAAGGCTCAGTCCCGCAAGACTGCTCCCCCTTCAGAAGCCAGCCACAATTGAGTGTGCACGCTTATTCTTCTGTCTAACTTGGCTACAAATGTGGGAGTCCCCATGACTCCTCTTTCTTTGTGTTCAGTAATTCACAGAAAAATGCTATATTTACTATTACAATTTATCATAAATGATACCAGTAAAAAAAAACAGTTGAAGAGGTACATAGAATGAGATTTGAAAGGGTCCCTAGTGCGGGAGCCTCTGTCCCTGTGAAGTTGGAATGCATCACCGTCCTGGCACCTCAGTGGGCTCACAAATTTGGAAGCTCTCCAAACTCCATTGTTTAAGAGTTCTTAGGGAGGTCTCATTACTTAGGAATGACTACAGAAATCGTTACTTGGTGAATGAACTCAATCTCCATTCTCTCTTTGAGGTAGGGGGATGGGGCTGAAAGTTCCAAACTTCCAATCATGGCTTGGTCTTTCTGGTGGCCAGCCCCCATTTGAAGCTGTCTAGGCCCCTTCTGCCAAAAATCATCTCATTAGCATACAAAGGACACTAATCACTTAGGAGACTCCAAGGGATTTTGGAACTCTGTGCCAGGAACCAAATATATATATTTTTAACCTTACCACAGAATGAATGAATGAATGGTTGGATGAATTAATGAATACCAGTTACTGAGCACCTCCTATGTGTAAAGCAATACACAAGACACTGTGAGAATATAGCAATGCATAAAAGTGGTTTCTAATATTTGTTGTATAGTTCATTTAGCCTCACAGGAGACGGAAATTGTTGTAAAAGCTGCAGAAGGATATATAGGATCTCGATAGGTAGAGAAGTGGGGAGGAAAACAACTACAGGTATACAATTCCTCGAAGCGCAGGGATCTTGTTCCTCTCCTTCATTGTTGTAATGCCTAGTGGAGGACCAGTACATAGTAGGTATGCAGTAAGCACTTTAAAAAAAAAACAAACCTTGGGGTAGGATGCTAGATGGCTGAATGATGGGAAAAAGTGGAGAATGTGCAATTGTCCAGGGATGGTTTCAGAGGCTGTGTATGTCATGCTCTGGGATTGGCTATTAGAAATCTACTTCATGGGATTGATTGGCATGTGCAAGGAGCAGGGGCTGGAAACAGTTTGAGACCAGTTTGCAGAGGTCTATGACTGACAGACTAAGTGTGGACCATTTGTCCATTAGTCACTGAAAGTGACTGATGGTTTGGAAGTTAAAAATGATAAAACTGGCATTTAAGAAGAAAGATCTGGCATGGGTATGCAGTAACCGGGAGAGAGTAAAAAAGGTATGATGTTGAGTGTTCCAGGCACTCAACACCATGTGATATGTTCAGTGTGAAAGTAAAAAAAAAAAAAAAAAAAAAAAAAAAAAAAAAAGAGACAATATTGGTGATACCTTTAATAAATCAACCTCAATGACTAGGCAACCGCTGTATAGTTTGCCCTATAAACTTAGGGACCATATACACGACTTAGGGACCATGGGCCATCTCTTCAAAGAGATTTTATTTTTATTGAGTCCTTGAGCCTGTCTTATAGATATAGAGGAGGTATCTTCAGGCCTGGCCTGCTGTCTTTTCTTCCAAATCCATTTGCTGTACCCTAGAGACAGCAGTTCCTACTCTGACACATCTCAAGTAGGCCTCTTGATAATAACACTTTGATCCCAGTCCTGATTCATTTCACATGAGGGCTCCTTGATCTGCTTTTGGCCCACATTCTGCAGCCACTAGCAAGCTCTGTTCCACTCTTACCCCTGTCCCACAGTCCTATAACCCCCACCCTGTTTCAGTGTCTGGGATTAATTATTGCAATGTCCCTATAAGTTGTTATCACTATTTTCAGATGGGGAAACTAAGTCACAGAGAGGTTATTCAGATGGAAGGTGGAAAAAAATAGAATTGAAACCCAGCCATTTTGGCTCCAGTGTCAAAGCCACATGAGGTTACACTGGTAGATGAGAAAAGGGAACACATGAATTAAGGATTTCCTAAAGAAGGTTTGAAATTTCTCTAAGCAAAGAAGAATATAAGTCTGAGGACAGGATGAGAGGGGCACTCAATGTCAGGAAAGTGTTGTGGATCCCAGTTTCCAGAACCAAATGTGATTTCTCACATCTTCATGTCTTTACACGTGCTGGTTTCTCTACCTGGTATGCTTTCTGCCTTTTATTCTTTTGACTAGCTCCTGTTCATCCTAAAAAAACCTAGCTCAGATACCACCTTGTATTGAAGGCTTCCTTACATGCAATGCTTTTGGCTTATTGGTCTCCACTCACTCTGTGCTGATTTCTGTCATAGCTTGTGGTAGACTGTAAAAAATAAAAAGTTGCCCCCAACTGTTCATCAATTTCTATATCCACACACTTTGCTATATTACTTTGCAGCCCCATCAAGAGGCTGTATGTATTCCTCCCCGCTGCCCCATCCCACCACATTCTTGAGTATGGGCTGCCTGTGATTTTCTCTGGCCAACAGAGCATGGGAGGAGTGATGCTGTCCCAGGTTTCAGGCTGGACCTCCAGAGATCTCATGACTTCTGGTCTTTTGGAGCCTTTCCTCTCCCATGAGAACAAGGCTGGGTTGACCTGATAGCATGGTAAGGAAGCATATAGAGGAGAGGTGAGCCAACCCTTAGAAATAGAGCCCTTTGCTGGCCCCTGCCTGGTCACAGATGCATGAGGGATCCCAAAGAAGAAAGGTCAAATCTGGCCCAGATCAGCAAAACTGCTTAGTCAACCTGTGGACCCATGAGGAACAACAAAAAACACTGTTGTTCTAAGCTGCTAACTTTTGGGATGGTGTATTGCACAGCAATTACTAACTGATACAGAAATTGATACCTAAAACAAAATCCTAAAATATGTGGCATTAGCTTTGTGTAGGAGTAGTGACTACAGACTTTAAAAGCTAAGCCCAGAAAAATGGTGAGAAAATTTTAAGGGGAGGCTGGAAAACTGGCAATCCATGTTTAAAGTAATGAAGTGACTAGCAAAGTGTTATTTGTGGCAACTTGGAGGACGGAACATGTCCCTAATGAATATTTCAATTTGGCTAAGAAGATTGCTAGGCACAAGAATGAAAGTGTCAATTAGCTGCTGCCTGATGAATATGACAAGGTACAGAAAGCAGATGATAAACTAAAAAAAAAAAGAACTAACCAGTTTGTGAAATGCAAAGTTTGCATAAAATTTGTTCTTATTGCTAGCCTCTCAAAGCAGTAAAAGATCAAATACAGGGCATGCCAGAAAGGCATGGCCATTAGGTGAAGATAGACATGGAAATAGGGAAGCAATTTATAGAATCTAGGCAAATAAATGTTGATCAACTAAGCAAAAACATATGTAATTAGTAGTGAGAAACTGATATGCAGGAAATATAGAAAGCTTTGAGATAAAAATTTGAACACGTGCTCGTTTCTAAACCTGCCAACTTCTTTCCCTTTTATCTCTATAATTGTCAATCTTTTCTCCTTCTTCATTTGCCCTTCTGATTTCTTTTTTGCTACTGCCCTTCCTATCTTTCAATGATGGGAACGATTAAAACATACCCGGAAAGGAGGGAACCTTGGAAAACTGAGCCCAAAATTCAGCATGAAACTTCTCTTTGAGGCATCCACTAACTCCTAGCTGGGCTTACATGAGGCAAAATCAGGCAAATCTCTAAAGAAAATCGCAGATTGTAGCAACTGGGGTGCTGAGTAGCTGAGCAGGGATTTTTGGCAGTCATCTAGCACTGGGTAGGCAGAAGTTGGAGTTCATGGTCCAACACAGTGGAGAAGCTGTGTGAAATATCCTCATGCTTTCAGCTGAGACTCCAGATGGGGAATTAACTAAGGGCTAAGCCACTGCATTAAAAGCCGCTCTCTAGTAGACCGTGTTCCCATTATCTGTTACTGTTTTGCAAACCATCTCAAAATTTAGAGATTTAAGAGGAAAACTTACTATCTTTCATAATTTTGGGGGTTGACAGACTCAGCTGGGTGGTTCAGTGATCTTCACGTGCAGCCAGATATTGAGACTGCAGTTGTTTGAAAGTTTTTTTGCTCAAGTCCCTAGAGCCTGGGCTAGGAGGTTTAAAATAGCTGGGGAGTGGTCAAGCATTTATCTCTATAGGAGTCTTTTACACATGACTGGTTTGGGTCCTCACAGCATGGAAGTCTCAGTGTAGTTGCACTTCTCATATGGTGACTAGTTTCCTCCAGAGGGGGCATTTCAAAAGACAAGGCCATTCTCTTAAGACCTGGACCACAAATTGGCACAGCATCACTTCTGAGACAGTATGGAGAAGAGACTCTATCCTGGCAGACAAGAAACTTGGTAACCAAGATCTCAATGGGCCTCACATGTCTTGGATATATTCCCTCCCCCAGCCTTCCTGCTACCCAAACACATAGTCTCTCCTAACTTAGCTGATTAGGCTGAAATCCAAACCATAAAAGAAAGAACCTAACCATTTAACTCCTTGAGTAATATCTTCCAAGGTTGGTGAAGCAGGACTCTGGTATTCCTTAGAGTAACTGGACCAGATCCAGCGGGCTGAAGACAAGATGAAATCCGCCACTGACCTTTCATGACTTTCTTCTCACTGTAATCTCATTGTAATACTAACATCTCTGCCCAAGGCGGGGCTTATCCGCCATTTTCTGTACATGGGCCTGTCAGGGGATGACGCCCCCCTGCGCAGGCACAGGGAAAGCCCAGTCTAATCAGGCCAGCGGGTGACTACTTTTCCCATGTCAGCTTCCTTAAAATGAGAAGAGCCTGGCTCCTGCAGGAGCTAGCACCAGGAGCCCTTTCCAGTATGCTGCTCCCTTGGGAAGCTCAAGCAGCAAACCTAGCCTGAGAAAATTTATCTTTGGCCTGGTGTTAATTTCTGCTTAGCCGAGAGCCAAAGAACTCGGAGTTCCTGGTGCAGTAACGCTTCTGCCATATTAGATTGGTCAAAGCAGTCCCAGAGCCCACTCAGTTGTAAGAGGAGGAGCAACTCAACGAAAGGAATGTCAAAGAATTTGAGGTTATCTTTATTATGCCCCAAACTAGCTCTCCCAAAGCTTTAAGTCCAGCTTCAACTGGATGAAGCAGATCTTCACATGGTCTATTTGCCTGTCAGAAAAACAATTTAATCTTCCAGGAAGAAATGTTACTTCATCCAGAGACCTCTCCTGTCAGGGGCAAATTAGCTTCGTTGTGCTATCTCCGACTGAGGGGCAGGATGTTTCACAACGACTTTTTGACCTATTAAATGCCTTCAAATACATGGTTTATTATGAGGTTTTCACCCAACAACAGTCGTGCAAATATATTTAATACCCACAGGCAGTATTAAGAGAGAGGGAGACCTTAACCACAGTGAGTAGCTCAGGAGACCAGCACGCTGGCTGACCAACTGGGCAGGTCTGGCTTTCCCAAGGTGGCAGAGGGTGTTGCCACTTTTCCCCCAGCAGTGCTTCCAGCAGCTGCTGCCTATGAAAAAGAGGTCTCAGAGTTATCGTGGGCAGAGCTTCTGCAAGCATCTTGGCCATGGCCAGTTTCTTTGCAGTTTTTATGACCCTCTACAGGAGGATCCATAGCCATGATCTCAGCTGACTTTTGGCTTCACTTTCTTGTTAGGTCTTGGGGTTGCCTGATCACAGCAGGTGGTATCCTATCACTTCAGTCCACCATATATATGTTTATCACTTTGAAGGGTCAACAATTTCACTGTAGGCTGAGTCACTTATCATAAGTGACTCCATTATGAGAAACTTAGGATCACAAAACATTATTATTTATCAAGACCCTACAAGTTGTTCATGTACAATGTTTTACATTCAATGAAAAGTTATTAGAAATGCTTAAAAATAGGACCAAATGTCCAAAAGCCAAGAAAAAGTAAACAATAAAAGCAGGACCAAATGTTAGATTTATTATTTCGGGAATTTAAAATCATCATTAGTATAATCAAGAAAAATTTTTTAAAAGATGGAGAGCTTTGCCAGAAAACTGGTATCTATATAGAAGAGTAGAATCAAATAGAAATCCTAAAACTTAAAAATACAACATCAGATATTAATTCAGCAGATTAAAAATGGAATAAGAATGGATCACTAAACTGAAATATAGGTTAGTAGAAAATATTCATTTCTAATGATACAGAGAACAAAAGGATTGGAAATATAGAATGAGTGTAAGTAATATATAGTAGATGGTGAAAAGTATTAGTATATGTAACTGGAGTTCCAGCAAAAGAAGAGACAGGAGGAAACAGAAACAATACTTCTGAAGGAATATTGGCCAGGAATTTTTCAAAGGTTGGGAGATATCAAGCTTACAGAGTCAAGAAGTGCTATAAACCCCAAGCAGGATTAACACAAAGAGGACCACATCTAAATACAATGTATTCGAACTAACAAAATCAAACTACAGAGAGAAAAATCTTTAAAGTAGCCAGAAAAAGGATACCCTCATTCAAAGCAATGAGATTGACAGTTGACTTTTCAACAGAAATGCACTGAATGCCAGAATTCAACAAGACGATTAATATCTTTAAAGAGTTGGAAGGAGATAACTGCCAATTTATTATTCTATATATAGTGACAATATCCTCATAAAATACAGCAACATAAAGACAGATTTAGACAAACAAAAAATGAGAGAATTTGTTTCCAGGAGACTTACACTAAAAAAAATATTAAAAGGAACATTTTATGCAGAAAAAGAGAGAAAAGACCTTAAATGGAAACAAAATAATGCAGGAAGGACTGAAGATCACTGTGGAGGAGGGAGAGCGAGGAAATCTAAATAAACTTTGATGATTGAGAATAACAATTACAACATCTTTTGTGGTTTAAAAATATAAAGAGAGTTATAATACAACAGAAAAATAACATAGAAGGCAATAGGGAATGGTAAAAAGAGTTGAAATGCTGCAAATTGCCTGGGAAGCAGTGAAAAAAAATAATGTTAGGAAGATTCATACATTACGAATGCATATTGAAATGCCTAAGATAACCACTAAAACCACTATTAAGGGAGAAAATAGAAAAATAATTTTAAAAATACTTGATTAGGCTGGGCGCGGTGGCTCATGCCTGTGATCCCAGCACTTTGGGAGGCCGAGACAGGTGGATCACAAGGTCAGGAGATCGAGACCATCCTGGCCAACACAGTGAAACCCTGTCCCTATTAAAAATACAAAAAAATGAGCCGGGCATGGTGGCGGGTGCCTGTAGTCCCAGCGACTTGGGAGGCTGAGGCAGGAGAATGGCGTGAACCCGGGAGGCGGAGCTTGCAGTGAGCCGAGATTGCACCACTGCACTCCAGCCTGGGCGAAAGAGCAAGACTCTGTCAAAAAAAAAAAAACTTGATTAATTCAAAAGGCAAGATAAATAAAAATTTAAAAATAGATATGAAAAACAGAAAATAAATAATCAGATGATAGGTTTAAGCCCAAATGTATCTGTAAGTACATTAAATATAAAGGAACTAGAGACTTCAATTAAAAAGCAAATATTGTGAGAGCATATACAGAAAAAACATATCCAACAATATACTCCTTACAAAGTTTAAGCTTTAAATGTAAAGCACAGAGGGCCAGAGTGAAAATATAGAAAAGACTGTCTCCTGCAACACTAACCACGAGAAAGCTGATATAACTATTCTAATGTAAGGCAAAGTAAACCTTAAGGCAACAGCATTGCTAGAAATAGATATTTTGTAAGAAGATGGACATATGTTATTTAAAGTAAAGCACAACAAATAAAAGAAGAAATTGACAAATTCAAAATCACATTTGGAGGGCAGGCGAGGTGGCTCAGGCCTATAATCCCAGCACTTTGGGAGGCTGAAGTGGGCAGATCACTTGAGGCCAGGAGTTTGAGACCAGCCTGGACAACATGGCGATCTCCACTAAAAATACAAAAAAATTAGCTGGGCATGGTGGCACGTGCCTGTAGTTCCAACTACTCTACCTGGGGGCTGAGGCATAAGAATTGCTTGTACCTGGGAAGCAGAGGTTGCAGTGACCCGAGATTACACCACTGCACTCCACCCTGGGTGACAGAGCAAGATTCTGTCTCAAAAAACAAAAACAAAAACAAAAACAAAAAACAGAAAACAAAAAAGTCACGCAGCTGGAGATTTTAACTCAATAGTCTCAGTAATAAATAGGATAAGCAGATAAAAAATAAACATACAGCAAAACACAAAACAAAAATAAATAAGGATATAGACAATATGAACAACATGTTAACAAATATGAACTAATTGGCCTATATACAATAGTCCACCACAAAACTAGAAAAAAAGAAAAAAATTATTTTTCAAGCACACATGAGATATTTGCCAAAATAGACATATGTGAAGTTGTAAAGAAAGTCTTAATAAATTTCAAAAAGGCAAATATTTGATACTATGTATTCAAACAGGAGTGAAATTAAGCTCGAAACTAAAAACAGAAAAATAACTAGCAAAAAAATGATTAGACTTAGGAAATTAAGTAATACACTTCTAAAAACCCATGGGTCAAAGAAGTCACAGATATAAAATATTTTAACCAAATAACAATGAAAATATGATATATCAAGATGTGAAGATATAGCCAAGGCAAAACAAACAAACAAAAAACAATCTTAAATGCCTGTCTCAGAAAAGAAGACATGCTGAAACTCAAATCATCTAAGCAAATATCTCAGGAAGAAACAAAACCAAAATTAAAAAAAAAAAACCCTTTAAGAAAAGTGAGAAGAAGTAAATAGGAAGGATGATCAATTAATCAATTAATAATAAATATATAATATGAAAAAATTAACAAATTTAAAAATGGGTTCTGTGGAAAGATTAATAAAATTAATATGACTTTAGCAAGACTGATCAAGAGAAAACACAAATGATTAATATGAGAAATACAAAGGGGGATATCAATACAGAACCTACAGACATTTAAAAATAAAGAATACAATGACAACTTTGTGCTGCGAAATTTCACAACATGGATAAAATATACAAATTTTTATGAAATGTTCCTTGATAAAAAGAAATAGAAAATCTGGACACTCCTGACACCAAAAAAAAGAAAATTTCAGAGTCAGATGATTTCACAAACGGAAAAGAAAATCGGCATCATTCTTACCCAAGTTCTTCTACCAAAGTCTTCTTTTTTAGCCCACTAGTCTGTTAAATGCTAAGTATACAAAGAAGAGTAAGACAAGGTCCTCATCCTCAAAACTTGAATGGGGGTGACAGACTTGCAAGCAAAGACAAATTACAATAAAATAGGCAGGGCACCACTGTAGGGGCATAAGGATTTGGTTTTGGTTGCATATAATTAATTTGTTCAGAAGAACTCTGGGCAGCTTTGTAGAGAAGGTACATTTGAGTTGAGTCTCTAATATTAGGTAGGAGAACCTGCCAGACAGAGAAAAGGAAGAGGCACTGACGTTCTAGGAAGGGAAAATAAGTGCAAAAGGCTCATCTTAAGTGAGTATGGTATATTAAGGTCAGGGTGAGCAGCCTGGTTGGTGTAGCAGGCATAGGTGCATGAGACGGGGTTAGTAAGGAAAGGTAATCTCTGAGCTGCCCTCTGTCTTATTTCCTTCACTTGTGATCTCTAGATTACTAAGTTAAGTTAATTGTGCTTTTTTCTATGCCAGTTCAAAATAACCTCGCCTGGGCTGGGTGCAGTGGCTCACACCTGTAATGCCAGAACTTTGGGAGGCCAAAGCGGGTGGATCTCTTGAGGTCAGGAGTTCGAGACCGGCATGGCCAAGATAATGAAGCCCTGTCTCTACTAAAAATACAAAAATTAGCTGGGTGTGGTGGTGCATGTATGTAGTCCCAGCTATTCAGGAGGCTGAGGCAGGAGAATTGCTTGAATCTGGGAAGCAGAGATTGCAGTGAGGCAAGGCATGGGTGCAGGGAACAACTGAGGGAAGAGTATGGGATGAGGGTGGAGAGATTCTAGGAAGTAGGGAGAGGAAAGACAGCTTTGCTACTTTCCCAGATATGTGAGCCTGCTGCCCAGTGATGACAAATGTACTCTCATATTGATCCAGAGTCCTAGCTATCCCAACTCCTATGTGTCCCAGTTTCTGCAACCTGGCTTCTGGTTTTGTTCTTCCTACTGACTCTCCTTTCATGCCAAGTCTCCTGAGTACTAGGGTACAATCTACCAGTGTCAGGGATAAAACTGACCTGTTATCAGATGGAGTATTAAGATGACAACATCCAGGCTCCCATATTGGAACAAAGCCATCTGCACTTCATCCTGAAGGCACTGCAGGACAATCAGACATGCTGGGGAGACCTGAATAATAACTGTTAGAACACAAAACAAGGTAGCATATAATTATGATATTATATTGTTGGTATAAACGTCCAAGTAGGTGGAGCAAAATCACAGAGGAAAACAATAAAATTTTCTGAAGTAGGGGAAGACATTAAATGGGTATTGTTTTTTATTATGGCCATCTAGGAAAGAACAGAGCAGAAAAAATTTTGAACTATAAAGAAATGTAGTAACACAGTTAGAAAAACCTTGGGAAAATACTCAGAGGGGAAAATATTGACTGTTCATGTTACTCAAGCTATATTGATAGGAAACCAAACCAACCAACCAATGCGGTTAGACAACCAGATGATACAATGGTAGAAGAATGCTTCAAGCTTGTTGCTTAATCACAATTTTGTTTTTTGACAAAGTTTGACAAAGTGGGAAAGAATCTCTTGTCTTCAGAAAATTGGGGAAGGTTCAATAGTCATTCACAGGGATTAGTTTCAAACAAATAATTTGAAAGTCCCAAAAGTAAGACTAGAAGTAGGGCCAAAGATCTTGAGTGCTCTCTGTGATTTTTCTCTTGATTAATTGGCCTCTGCCAGACTTTTGTTGCATTTTTGTCTAGAGTTATTTTGGATGACATTCCTCTTGTCACATGTTGAGACTTGCTAGGGGGCTGCTGCTGGGTTCTTACAAGTACCTCCTCAAATGCCTTCTATTTGACATCATTTTATCCTCCTCCCTGAGATGAAAACAAGCCAACTGAAAATGTAAAGAGTGTTGGGTTGGGTATAATTGATATTATACTTTCTTTGACTAGTTGGCAGTAGATTTTGGAACAAAGTAGTGTATTTACTGCCTGTAAACATTTTGTTGACCTGAGAAAAATACGTTCATGAAATCTATTTGCATTTTCTGATAGAGAAACACTGTGGTAAAGGGTTTTGTTGGGTCATTTTGAAAATTTTGGCTCTCATTCACTGGTCAAACATTTATTGAAAGCCTACTACATTTCAGGTATTATATGCTTTGGAGGAATGTTTAGGGGAGTGTTTTTCAAACTGAACACCAAGATATTAATAGATGTTCCTTTGACAAAATTGTTTCTGGCCAAGTGAGTTTGCAACATAAACTCTTTCTTTGAATCTTAGCACATGTTAGGATGATAAAGTTCCTAAGTCTTGCAGCAAAGAAGCCTGATTAATTTTGTTTTGCTTAATCCAGTGTTTCCTTTTCTTAATTTTTTTCTGACCATGGAACCCCTTATTCTAGAACATTCATTATATCTCTTGAGATAGCAGGGTGTTCAGCTCTCTCTGCCCTCCCTGTATCTTTTGAGGAGTGGAAATGAAAGAACCTTCACATCATATCATGTATTAGACAAGTGCTGAACAGAATGTGCATGTTGTAAGGAATCTGGTAATATAGCGTGTCAATGGCAGAAAAAGACCCATGTAAACATTTTGCCAAAGTACTTTTCTCTCTCCTTTACTCCCTCTTTGTTCCTAGTCCTGATCTCTGTTACCTTTCTTGAGCCTCAGGCACAGAGAAGCAGTAGTTCCTTTTCCTTGAACTCTCTTTTTGTAAGCCATACTCTTCCTTCTGTTTCTGCCAGTTTTTTCTTTTTCTTTTTTTGTTGCTGCTCATACAACCTGTGTTAAGAAGAGGTTTGGCTTTACATTCTCATTCAGTATGTACGATCAAGCATCATCAAGTCAAAAGCTGACTAACACATGTGAAGGAGATAAGTCTGGAGATAGATTCTCAATGTGGTTGGTGGATGCACAGCCAGGAATCCGTTGTAAATCCTAAGTGTCCTGAGTGTAGGCAGATAGCCAGAGAATTTCCCCAAGTACAGGGTCAAGTCAGTCATTTGTAAGAGTCAATAGGATTAGTAAATCCTAGGCAGTGTGGGTCAAATAGTCTGCTGAATATACCCTGGGAGTCTGAAACATTGAATGGAGAAGAGAGTCTGCATTGAAAAGACGAGCACTGGTAGCCATCAGAATTGGGACAGAATGAAGAAATTCCTCTGGGAAACAAAGTAGCTAAGTTTAATTCTTCTCCAACTTTGAATTTCAAAATAAACAGTAGGAAAACATCTGGTCATAAGAATGTTCTGTGTTTTCAGATGCCTCCAGATGTAGAGGGTGGTGGTATCTTGTCTCCTAATGGAGTTCAAAGCCAAATACCATAGTTTCCATTTATCTGCAGTTTCACCTTTTTATGGTTTCAGTTACCCATAGTCAACTGCAGTTCTGAAAACATTAAATGGAGAATTCCAGAAATAATTTAGAAAAATTATAAGTTTTAAATGATGCATCATAATCTCACTTTATCTCGTCACGCAAGCATTTCATCGTCTCACATCATCACAAAAAGAGTTCAGTACAAGAAGATATGTAGAGGGAGAGAGAGAGAGAGATCATATTCCGATAACTTTTATTAACAATATATTGTTATAACTGTCTTTTTTATTATATACTATTGTTAATCTCTTAATATATCTAATTGATGTATTAAATTTTATCATAGGTATGCATGTTTAAGAAAAAACATATTTGTAGGGTTTTGTACTGTCCATGGTTTCAGGCATCCACTGAGAGTCTTGGAACATATCCCCCACTGTTAAGCTAAAACTACTGTAGGGCTGTATGGAACAAGTGTTTTGAAAAGTAAAAAAATACAAATAAAAATGCTCCATTAATAAAATGTAATATTGCTAGTAAATTGGGAGTATTTCATATTTGTTATCCCATTTGGTTTGGGAACATAATTAAAGATGTGTGTTGCCCCAAGCCTTTGTTCACATCCGTATTTTCATCAAAGACCCACTGATGGGCACTTCAGTAGGAGTCCAGACCTTAAGGGGTATCCATACCAAGAAGGGGTGACAGTCTGTAGACAGACACTTTCAATACAGTGCTGAAATGGGCATCTGCACACGGTGTGATGGGAGCATAGAGATGGGAGCAATGGAGTCTACCCTAGGTTTGGGGAAGAGGGAGATTAATTTGGGTATTTAGAAAAGGCTCTCTAGAGGAAGGGATGCTTGAACTAAGTCCTTATCAAATAATAGTTAGCTTCAGGTTGCATGAGGGATAAGATGGGAGAAAAGAGACTAGGAAAGACATTACATGTAGAGGAAGCAATGTGGACCAAGTCACAAAAGCAGGAAACCTAGCTGCTCTATAAGGTGTCTGCATAGAATGTAAGTAGAACAAAGGGTAGACAGTGCATTTGTTTTCTAGTCTTTGCACAACAAAATACCCACACTTAGTAGCTTAAAACAACACAAAGTTTATATTGTATAGTTCTGGGGCTCAGAAGTTGACAGGGGTCTCCCTGGGCTAAAAGAAGGTGTGGTGAGGTGGCATTTTGTTCTGGAGGCTCGGCGGGAGAATCTGTTCCCTTGTGTTTTCCAGCTCCTAGAGACTGCCCACATTTCTTGGCTAGTGGCCCCCTCCTTTCATCTTCAAAGCCACCCATATAGCATCTCTGTGACCCTACTCTTTCTTTGACCAGAACTGGGAAAGTCTCTCCACTTTTGATGATTCATGTGATTAAATTGGGCTTACCTGGATAATCCAAGATAATCTCTCTATGTCAATGTCTGTACCCTTAATCACATCTGCAAAATCTCTTTTGCCATGCCAGATAACATATTCACAGGTTCTGGGGATTAGGGTATGAGTATCTTTGGAGGATGACTATTCTGAAACCTACTGCAGGCAGGGATGGCTTTGGCAGGCAAGGACCACAGCATGGATGGAAGGCCCTGAGTGCCTGCTGCTCTCAGGAGCTAGGTTCTGACTTCTCTCTTCCAGTTTGGATCGACTCCCTTGCCAGTGCTCTGCTATTTTGGGACTGGAGCCAGTTTCTGGTCTCTATGGCTCATTGATAAAAAGAGTGATTGAGGAGTAATTACTTTTCATTACTCTGAATGCTGCCCCTGACCCCAGGAAAGTTAACCCCTGCACAACAGTAATTAAAAAGCTATTTGTCTCCTTTTTCTACTTATCTGAAGATACACACTAAGATAAAAGGGACTTTAACTTCTTATGGATTCTACCAAGCCTCTGTTTCTGCCAGCTATTACCATCCTTCCCTTTATATTTGATTTTCAGTTAAGTGCACATTAAACAATATATGACAGATTCTACATATATTCCCTTCAATTGACCTAATTATATGAATTTATAAAAATAAAATTAATCCTGAGACAGTTCTTTAAATTATATTATTTGATATCTTTTTTTTTTTTTTTTTGAGACAGAGTCTCGCTCTGTTGCCAGGCTGGAGTGCAGCGGCATGATCTGGGCTCACTGCAACCTCCGCCTCCTGGGTTCAAGAGGTTCTCCTGCCTCAGCCTCCCGAGTAGCTGGGACTACAGGTGCATGCCACCACACCTGGCTCATTTTTTGTATTTTTAGTAGAGATGGGGTTTCACCATCTTGGCCAGGATGGTCTCAAACTCCAGACCTCATGATCCACCTACCTCAGCCTCCCAAAGTGCTGGGATTGTAGGCGTGAGCCACCGCACCCAGCCATTTGATACCTTATAGAAAAAAATAATTTGAGAAAATCCAGTATTGCTCAAGCTTTTATCCTCTTTCCATACTGTTATGCTCAGTTAATCTTTCTTAGTAATATCTCTCATTAAATTAAGTGATTCTTAATGGAACATAACCTATAGTTTCACAATAATTGATCTAGTCAATTTCCATAACGTTAAGAACTAGGTAACTGACACCCAGATAGGTGAAGCATGACTTGCCCAACATCACATAGCTACTTAGCCAAAAATCTAGGATTTGACCCTGATATCACTTCTGTCTATACTTTTAAGCTTTAGATTTTATATCAATTTGGTTTCAAATTTATCTCAGGCTTTTCAAAGATTCCTTTGTTAAAAGCAAAATCATTTTTGCTTTTCAGATTGTTGGTGTTTTTGGCTTAGCCCCACATTTTAGTAGTTTTACTATCTTTGCTGGAAAAATAATGTCTAAGGACAAAACATGGACACGCAGTCTCTTTCTATGCCCCACATCACCTCCTTTTGACAGAGAGATTAGCTTTGTTGACCTATGTTCTTTTTGCAAATCTTGTTCTTGTTCTCTTTCTCATAAAGCTCACCGTCCCCTTACTTCCCCTCTGCTTCTAGTTCTCTTTCTTTTCATAACATCTCACACTCAACATGCCTCCTGGGTCTAATACTAACAAAGGGCAGACACAAATAGCTGTAGCAGTGGATGTTGATTTAGATGCTTGGCCACGTTTTTGCTTGGGTCTTCTCTGAGTCTTTCCCCCAGATGCTTAATGAATTTTCCTCCTTCTCGATCTATTTTTTCGTTTCTGAAGAAAATGTGCTCAGCTTCATCCACATCACAGTTATCTGTCAGCACACGCAGAGAATGAGCTTCCCAAAAAAGATGGCTATATTGAGCATTTATGTAGCACCTTCCCCCTCAACAATTGAAAAACCTTCCATAGGGGAGAGATTTGCCATCTTTATTACATTGCTGATGAGAAATGGAGGTGGGGAGTAGGAGGAGAATGATCTTAGAAGGTGGGAAGAAGATATATTATCAGTTACACTTTGCAGATGGAGCAACCAAAGTAGAGATTAGGTCTATCCAGCTATTTCCCTTTATCATTTGGGGCCTTAGGGGAGGTCATAATATTGGAGCATTGATCAGCAGATTGGCTTGCCAAGAAATCAACCCAATCCTCTAGTGAAGATACCTAAAATAGAGTATATTCACAGCCCACAGATGAAAGCATCTTAATATTTAGGCAGGGCAAGCTGCTGCAGAACATAGTGTGGCACTTTAATGAAAGGCACTGTGTATGACCACAATGTCCTGGGCTCAAACCCTATTCTCCTCTTTCCTCCTAAATCTCTAAGAGCCTCTATTTTCTCATCTGTGAAGCAGAAATAGACAAATATGATTTTCAGGTTTAAGAGAGGAAAAAGGTTTTAGTATATTAGAAAGCTGATGAGAAAGATCCAATATAAAGCAAGAGATTTAAGACAGGAGAGAAGGGATAATTTGTAAACCAAGATCTCTTCCCGATGAAGCAGGGCAGGGGACTGGTGGAGGCATAAGTCTTGATTAGAAAGAAGGGCCCCTCTTCCGCAGTGGCAGGAGGCAAGATGGAAGAGTGGCTGTGTAAGTGCATGGGTTTGTAAATGTGGTGGTGGAAAGTTGGAGGATCTCCTCTCAGAATGTCTCTATTTTCTCTATGAAGTAGGAGTTGATGCCATCTGCCTTGAGTATTGGGTGGTGTGAGGAAGTTGGAGGATTGAAGATAGTGAAAAAGTATGGAATCCTCACCATGGAGAATAGGAGAGCTGATGAAAACTCAGTAAATTTCTTGGCAGTGTTTTATGTCCTATTGAGGATGTTGACATGAACACACCATGGCAACACTCTGCCCTGCTGCATTTTCTGCAGTGATGCTCAGCAACTTTGGTCAATAGTTGGGTTCCTGAGAGAGGCCAGGTAAATGGGATGAAAGGATAGTGGGCAAAGGAATTGAAGAAACTGATAAAAGAATGGTTGAAGTAACAGGATATTGAATATAAATAGGATAGGGAAGGAAGCAAAGGAAGGAGGACACTGATATTCTGAGTCAGTGAGATAAGTGAGAAATTGTAAAGGTAGTCAAATGAATTCAAAGAGCTGGTTTAATTGAAATAACTCAAAGAGCCATCTAAAATGATAAGAATTGGGAAATGTCTGAGTTCTTGATTTTGAAGGTAGGACAGTGGTTCTGGGTGCTGTCAAGGCCAAAAGAAGGGCAATGAAAACACATGACCAAAGGAGAATATCACTAGAGATGAAGAGTTCAAGGAAGTGAGCAGCCAGGATGTTGGGTATTACCATAGATAATAAAGTCACACAGCATATTGATATTAGGATCTGGATAGGAGCCCAAGATTTTGTAGACAATAGTGACAAAGAGGGATTGAGGATGTTAGAGCCAAAAGCATGAGTCTCAATGAGAACACTGCCTCCAGACTCTACGATATGTGATTGAGCAAATGCTCCTTGAAAAACCTGGACAGAAAGTTATGTCTACAGGCAAGCCAACATCCTACGAAATGGGGATGATAATACCTATACCTTAGGGTTGTCAGGGTTAAATGAGAGCATGTATTTTGAAATATCTTATATATATATATATATAATGGTAGTTTTGTATATTTAAAAACAATACAATCAACAATGCACAAGACACTATGCTAAGTGTATTTTGTGTATTATCTCATTTAATCCTAATGGTCTGATGGGGCAGGTACTATTATTATCTGCATTTATAAGTGAAGAAGCTGGGTTTTGGAAGGGTTAACTTGAACAGGCCATTCAGCTCAGAAGTGGCGAATGTGAACTCAAGCAGTCTGGGGCCAGAGCCCACACTTAAACACTATTACATGCTTCCTATGTTTTTTTTGTTTGTTTAGTTTGCCTGGTTTGAAACAACTGTATCAGATTGCCCATATGAACAAACTCAAGATATGAATTTATTTTGAAATAATGTAAACTAAACCTAAATTAAGTCAGGCTCTAAGCAAGACAGAATTTTGGGGTAAATGTGAAAATTCCCTAAACTGTAGTGTTTATGCTATTTTCAGCATGAAAATCCCACTACCATCATACCCTACTTGTAGGGCCAGGCAAGGGGATAAAGGCCAGTCAATAACTATTGAGCTGTGTCTCAAGTCAAATCTACCAGGCTATTTTGGACTGTTTGATCTTGACTGATGACTAAGAAATAACAGGATGAGTCAGGGAAGAGATGAAAATGAATTCAGAGTAAGTGCAGCAGCTAATAGTAGAAGTAGGTGGAAATAAAAGGAAATATATTGGCAGATGTGGAGTGATGAGGGGCGTAGTGAGGGGAAACCATGGGCTCCAGTCACCTGCATCTCCTTGATGTGAAATTGAGAAGGGATGGTGGAGGGGACTGTTACATCTCTCATGGGTTTTGCAATGAGAGAATTGTCACTTGCATTGAGCAGTGTCTCTGAGCCATCAGGGGACAGATAGAGCACAAATTAGAGTCCAGATTTTCCAAGAACTCTGAGTTCTTCCCTAAGAGAGAAAAGAGGGCAGTAGTAATGTCCAAATCACAAGAACCTTGGTCTGGCCTTGGATGTTTCATTTGGACCTCCCAGTCCTCATTTAAACCACACACTAACATTCTGAGTAAACATGAACATTCTCATTTTTTCTGTCACTGAGGAGCAAAGGTCTCTGGTACCTTGATGCAGTCCTCTGTAATTTTGACGTCCAGATGGTGCCATTGTCCATGGGGACTGTGTTGAGATGGAAAGGGTACACAGGGATTCAGGTGTAAACCAATGACATTCCAGATCATGTCTGTGGGCAATGGTGAGCATCAGTCTCCTAGAGGTTGAGACTTGAAGGGAGATGATCATGAGAAGGGTTTAATTGAATAAATATTAATATTTCTATTAGCTAGTTCTTATTTTTGTTCAAGAGGAAACATGTTTTTATTACAACCCTGAAGGTACTAAAATAGTACCCCGATTGATCGGAAACCCCCTGGGACCCGACAGTATTTTCCTTTGTCAGATCGCTGGACAACAATGGTCCCAGAGATATGAAGTAAAGGTGTTACTTTTCCAAATTATGGAAGCAAATGACCAGCCTGGACCTGTTCATTAGCTGGCGGTACTGTTTTGAGTAAAGAAAAATTTTAAAGATACACTCCGAGCCAAAGAGTTCCAGGGAAATTTTTTTGAAGTACCCAGTGAGAACTTCCCGGCAGCCACATCTTCTTTCTTTCCTTTGTTTTAGAAGTTCAGTCCCTAAAGTGCTCTGTTCCAAGAATTGTTAGGGAAAGATGAAACTCTTCTGGCAGGTACTGGGATGTTTGGTTTGTTTTGACTCTGCGTTGATCTCAGGAATGTTAACAGGCGTGTTTCCATGCAAACCACACAATAAAAAGATGACTATGGTTAAATCTAGTCCCTTGGGGTAGCTAAAAAAAATTTTTTTAAAAATGTACCTATTGGAAAACCTAGTGCTTCTGTAGCCAATTCTGCCAGATTAACAGAGGAGGCCTTTCTGGAAGGCTCTACACTGATCCTGTCAATTCTTATTAGGATGGCAGTTCCTAGCTCTTTCCATTATGGTTTGTCAGTTTTTCCATTAAAGATCATGGCTTTTCGGAACACAAACATCTGGTGTGTTTCGAATCCCTCAGGATCTTGCTGATGGCATACAATTTAATGGCAGGCAGTGCACGTCTTGCACCACATCTTTGCCTAAGTTTCTGGTGCGAAATTCCAAGTTTTGTAAATCTAGTCTTTCCCACACAATCCTGTACAGCTGTTTTCAGATCCAGGAAATCCTTGGACAGAAAGCAGATATGCTTTCTGGGATGTGATGAGCTTTATACAAGGGGGTAAGAGATTCCTGGCGTGTAAACTTGAACAAGTCTCAATTGTTCCATTTCCTTTTGGAAAAAGTCAAGGTCAACACTGTTGACCAGATGTACTTCAGTTAGTATCCAGAATTACGATGAAGAATAAGAACCAAGAGGCTGATTTTGTCAGGAGGCCTAGGTTAGAGTTCAGACCTTCCACCGATTAGCTGTATGGCCCAGGGTGGTCATTTATACTCTGTGGGAAATGGTTTCCCTTTGGGTAAAATGAAATGGTTGGGCATGTTGGAATCTATGCCCCTCCTAGCTTCTGGAACCCAGAAGATTCCAGAGAAAATGAAAATGCTTGTCAGAGGTTTCATAGTACTACCCCGTAGCACCAGTAGATGGCAGACTCGCATTATAGTCTGAAATTGATACCACAGTATGATACTGGTCACATTGTGAAGGTAGGTACAATTTAATGATCATTAAAAAAACCAAAAGAATGAAAAAAAAAAGTGTTGTTCTTAACCAGCAGGCTCATGTAATCCTAGGCAAAGTTCTCTGTTTCTATTAACCTTAATGAGGACTCCATACTTGCCCAATGACCATCTTTTAAACTGTGCTTGGAAAGGCAATATATCTCCATTGGGGCAAACCATGCATTTCCTCTCTCACTAACTCTGATTAATTCATTCAACAACGATTTGTCTGATGTTCAGTGTGTTCCAGGTCTTGGGCTCAGTGCTGGGGATACAGAGATAAACAAAAGAGACAGTCCCTGCACTCAGGAATCTCATCCCCCAGAGGAATGAGACAGCCACTGAACAAGTAGTTGTCACTGTGGTGCAAGTCTACTGAGAAGTACATACTAGACAATGTAACATGGATGCTAGAGGAGGAGTGACAGGGATAACTTCCCTGTGAAGTACTGGATGTATGAGAATGAGTGAGGGCTGGCTTAGCAGACAGGAAATTAGTTGAGGAGAGAAGTTCAGGCAGAAGAAACAGTAGGTGTGAAGCTGCATAGGGAGAGAGAGGGAAAAGATCAGTGCAGGAGCTAAAAGAAGCTGGAATGACTATGGCATTGAACCAGGCAGGGAGTAGTATGAGATGAGGAAACCAGATCTCATGGGGGCTATCGACCATGCAAAGGAGAACGCTGATTTCATAGAATTCTTGATTTCTCCATGATGTTGTTGATAAGGGTGATTTTTATCAGATTTGTTAGCAGGCATCTTGGTGAGTAAAGAAGCCTGTTATGCTGGCCAACATGGTGAAACCCCATCTCTACTAAAAATACAAAAATTAGCTGGGCATGGTGGTGCACACCTGTAGTCCCAGCTACTCAGGAGGCTGAGGCAGGAGAATCCCTTGAGCTCAGGAGACAGAGGTTGCAGTGAACCAAGATCTCGCCATTGCACTCCAGCCTGGTGACAGAGTTAAAAAAAAAAAAAAAAGAAGCCTGGTATGACAGTAAAAGAGAGAATAGGCTCATTTTGACTGGGAAGTTGTAGGAGAAAAAAGGTGTGATGCCTTTCCTCACCCATCATAAAGGTCACGGCTGACACTCCTATAACAAAAGTCAGATTAACAAGAGAAAATAATAATAAATGTATTTAATCAAAGTTTTACATTATAGGAGGCTTCAGAAATGAAGACTCAAAGACCCAGAGAAAACTGTTTCTATGCTTAGGTTTATTGAAGAATAGACAGCCATGTAGAAATGTGATTAAACAAAAGGGTATGATCTAATGGTAATAGACTCAGGTGGAGAACCCAGCAAGGCCTGTCTGTTCAGATTCTTCTTGGCCTCTCTGTGCAGCATTCCTTCTTCCCAGGTATGGGGCAGGACCCTCTGGAATGAGGGTCTTTAAGATGTTTCAGTAGGTAGCTAGTCAGGCATAAGCAGGGCAGGAGAGGGTTCAGCCTTCCCCACATACACACATGAGGAATGGAATGTCAGGTGACCATCAGGTGATGGTGAGGCAACTGTTAGCTCTCTCTATAAAATAATTTGTCAGAACCGGCACCAGGTAAGGGCAGTTTCCCAACAGATAGAAAAAATCTGAAACTGGTGAGCGGCAGCTTCTCAATAAGATTTCAGGAGTTTGGTGAGTGGGCTCAAACATGCACATTAAGAGGTAAAATGGCAGAGTTTAACTGGTATATGACTTTCCTCTAGGAATGCTAGACTGGTAAGGGAAGAATACCTCAAGTGAACATGCGTACAACTCCAGTAAACACACTGCGCATGTTCCCCTCCCAGGTGCTAGCAGGCTACTGCACACCTTGGCAGCCTGCTCCAAAGGAAGAATCAGGGGAGAAGTAATGCAAGACACCAGAAGTATGCCAATGCATAAAACCCCAAGTCAAAAGGTCAAACTGCACACTTGATCTCTCAAGTCACCTGCTTGGCCCTCTTCTAAGTATAGTTTATTTCCTTTTATTTCTGATCTAAAGCTTTTTAATTAACGTTCACTCCTGCTCTAAAACTTGCCTCGGTCTCTTCTCCTGCCTTATGCCCCTTGCTTGAATTCTTTCTTCTGAGGAGGCAAGAATTGAGATTGCTGTAGACCTGTATGGATATGGATTTGACACCAGTAACAAAGGGAGAAGGGAAAGAATAACTTTTCTAGGTTTTATGGCTTGCTTTGGGGAGAGAAGGATTCCAGTTCCTATAACTCGCCTTAGGGAAGAGGAATTCTGGTTTCTACATCTTTCTTTTGGGGAGCAAAAGGGATAGGAGAAAGGACGGCAGGAGGAGATCAGAGAGAACTTGCTTCTGAGACCCTTCCAATGTCCTTCATTTAGTTCAAAGGACTGGAGTACAGTGTGCCAAGGTGCCATACTTCGGAGTACTGTGTTCTGAGCCCCAAAAAAGTGGATGAGCAGAAAATGATCATCAATATTAGCTTTGATTAGTTTAGATCAAAAGAATATTCACTGCATTTTGGGGATTAATTATCCATCCTTCACTAGCCAACACTTAATATGGTGGCAAGTAGCCTGTCAGTGACACAACAGCGTCTCTCACGTCAGTGTACCATTTGATTTATTCTCCTTAACAGTAATCAGAGCTAGCTAGCTGTGTGTCACACACTGGGATTGCCACTTTTTAGTGCAAGAATTGGCAACACTATGAACCAAAAGAAACATGGAGCTGGCTGAAGAGGCCTGTGCCACCCCTTACTTTGTCTACCAAACCCTCACTCATCATGGTTCCCTATCAATTAAGCAATCATTTTTCTCTGAATATCTGGGCTCTTCAATAACATGGCTGCTTAGCAAATGACACTATGAATTAGCTCCCAGAGTGTTTCCACTTAGTAGAGGGAACAAATAACATGCCATTATGGATTTTCTGGCTGTAAAACCAAGACAGGTATTAGGTTTCAAAGAATTACAGTCTGAAGACAAGCAATCACATAATTTTAAAAGCGAGGTTAGGTCTGTAATCTACTGAATATCTTACAGTGGCCATGAAGTTGAAGGTAGACAAAGTTATATCTGTGAACTCACATGACTAGTTCATACACTGTCCCCCTGCCCAGTTTTATTTTAAATGCCCAGAATAGTGAGTATTATGTGCCTAGATATTTGCTCAAAGCATGCAAAATGCAGAATTAATGACTCTTTTTTTTACTGCCTTTAGGTAAAGCTAAGCACATTTACATAATGCATTTCTGTGTGTGAGAAATTAGAGATACTTTGGGGCTACTGGGAATTTTTCATTTAGCTTGTAGTGACATATATAGCACCCAGTCAAAAAAAAAAAAGAAGGAAAAAAAAATCACGAACTGTTTATCTTCAGGGGCCTGGCTGCAGTTTAGCAGAATACAGAGGCCAGGTATTTATAATATTTTTTAGCCATCTCCTTGCTTGATCTAACCATATGTCTAACTGTAGGTTGTGATAAATATAATGAGGATCTGTTTGGAGATGTGAGGCCAGAGTTGTAGACAGTTTTACTAGTGTTCATAAATATTTATGCTCCAGATGTAATCATATTGTTACAGTTTCATACATACTCACACATAAAATTCACGAGATTATTTATTTTAATAACTCGGCCATGCCCCCATCCCTAGGCAGCAAAATAAATTAGAGATGATAAAAATAAGGACTCAACAGTGGGTTGGCCAGATTCCTTCAACTAGAACCCATTTCAACTAGAATCAGAGTGCTTAGAGCCAGCCCAACCCATCAGTAGGTCAAAATGCTCCCCCACACCACACTTCACACTTTCCTGGCCTGCAACGCCCACCATTGGAGACAATCATGGATGATGCTATCAGTCATGAAATTTTTCCTCTGGAAGAAACAGGAGAGATGACTTTCCTACACATTACACATAACCACTAGCTCCCAGGACAACTCTCAGTGCATTAATTAAACTCTACCCTCTTCTCCACTCAAAAAATAAAATTGTTTCCATTCTGTATAGAAAGTGAATGATTAGCCAACTAACACACAAAGTAGTAGTAGTGAAAAAAATCTCTGGTATATCTCATGTTACTAAGGCCAGATCACAGCTTCCAAGAGGTCCAAGGAAAGATTCCAGAAAGGAGCCTAAAGGGTTCTTTGGCTATCTGAAGAATAATGAATTTCAGAGCAGTGACTATTGTCACTGGAATGCTGAGGGGAAGGGAAAGAAGCAGTAGAAATGAAGATCAATGAAGATCACAACACTTTCCCAGTGGAACTGTGATCATCAGGACAATGGAATTTCCTCTGCACATGCCCAGGAGCTTCTAGATAGACAAAATGGGAGCATGTGTATCTGCTAGATGACTTCAAAAGGCCGGCTACAGAAGGGACCAAGGAGAACCATTTTCTACATCTCGTTCCACTGAAGCAGAAAATGTTAGTGCTAGGAGACACTTATTTTAAGAAGTCTCCCTCAGTTCCCAGATAACTGAAGCAAACTCAGAACAGCTGAAGGTCACGTGGGAGCTGTGGCACAGACCTACCAGGGCAGTGAGTTGAACCCACCTCTAATTACCAGTGAGATCTAATTTCCTCTACACTGCATATTAAAGCAAGCAGGAGAAGCAAGGTGAATAAAGAAATAACTATCTACTTGAATGCCCAGGAATTTCTTAGCCTGCTGAAATGTATTCTTTTAGGAAAGTCAATTCCCTTGAGAAGAAACAGTAAAATGCTATCCTCAGATTACCCTTGGCTGAAAGATATAATGGACACTTAGCCTTTGGTGTCACCTGCTGGATACAGTCCTTTCTCCAAGATTGGTCATAGTCTCAGGTTACTTTTTTTTGGTCCATGTGCTTCATACACACACAATTCTAGACCTCATGTGCCGATCAGAATTCCCTACCCATGCCTGATCTTCCTCTTCTGGCCAAAATAAATAGATACTTCCATAGAAAATATACATCCTTTTTCCCTTTGTCCTTTAAGAACAGATTTTTTTTTTTTTTTTTTTGCCAGTAAGTCTCTAGCTATCTAATCTGCTAAACCTGTCCAAGTTACCATGCTGAGGGGAGTCTACAAGGCACACCAGAGCCAACCTTCCCTACCTAGCCATTGTACCTGCCTGTCTATCAAGCAGCATAATGGAAAGAGGAATTGGAAGATAGAACTTGAGTCTTGGCTATGTGACCTTGGGCTTTAAGCTTTAAGATCCTCATTATAAAACAGGTTTAAATCCCCACTGTTTATACCTTACAGAGTAGTGAGGTCCAGATGTGGAAGGGTATGTGAAAGTGCTTGATAAACTTAAAGCACTTTATAAATTCAATGCATTGTTAGTAATCCATAGGAGTGATGCTGTAGTGGAAATCTAAAGCCAAGGATGGAGAATTCTTAAGCATTCTTAAAAATCCATGCCCTGGTGGTTACCTGTTCAACCTGTGCATGAAATCAGCTGTGCCTCTAGGTTTTCTAAGAGAATCACCATCTTCATGGAAAAACACAATTTTTACACCATCCTTAAGGTGTCAGACATCCTCTTTCCACTACTGTTACCCAGAAGCAGAAGGTAGTTCAGGAAATAACTAACTTTTTCTCATTATTAGCCAACCATTCAGGGTTGTTCTTATAGTGTTTTTCCAGAAGATGTTTGCCTGATATCCCAAAACTTTCCTGCAGCCTCCTTAACTATCTTGCTAATTCCTTGACAGAAACTTCATCTGGTACCCCTACTTTTTATCTGCCATGTACACCATGTAACCGAAAAATGTTGTTTCCCTATTGCCTTTTGAGCCAAGAGTACCAAAATTTGGTGCCCGCAATTTCTGAATGCACTTCCTCTAAAACAAATCTTCGTAGTAAATCTCTCTTGAACCTGGCATACCCTTTTCTTTTCACACATTTACGTTATAAATTCACATCTTTGCTTTCTCACCCCTCTGACATCCTGAGAGACAGTATAATCTACACAGTGAGTTAAAGCTGCTCTGCCTTTTGCCTCCATGGGAAGTTATCCAAGAACAGGCCAGGCACTTGCCCTTTCTCACCTGTGACATTTATGGCAGGCACTCTATCAATGAAGCTTCCAGACCCAGTTTATGCTTGATCATCCTGGAATGCAAATCAGATCAAATGTTGATCATTTGGCAAATCATTTGAGCTACCAATTAGCTTGTGCAGAAGCCTTGGGAAATAGGTATTTCCAGGCAGTTGAAAAGATTTTAAAAGTAGTGCAAATTTTAGGTAAGTGGAAGTTTATGTATTTCCAGTAAATGTTAGATGGGACCTGGTTAAGTCAAAGCAGTAGCCCAGCAAGTTGCTACCTTTGACCAGTGTTCTTCTGAGATAATTTTTAATTTTTTTTTGCCCTTTCAAAAGAATGAAATGAACAGCTAAACACATTTTATAATAAGGAATCTATGGCGGAACTGGACATTCTTACATGTGACAGAGTAAGTAGAATGTAGTATTGATTTAAATTTCCCATTCCTCTTATTGAGGAAATGATAGCTAAGAGAATAGTTTTGTTTTTGTTTTTGTTTGTACTGTTTTGATGATTTTTTCCCTTCTCTTACTTTGAAAATTTTCAGATCTACAGAAAAGCTTATAAAAGCTACTATCCTTCCCCTAGATATACCAATTATTAAATGTTGCCTCACATGCTTTTTCTCTCTTTATATCTGCTTCTTTCCTCCAGAGCCATTTAAAATAAATTTCAGGCATTATAATGCTTCACCCATCAATATTTTAGGGCATATCTCCTAACTACAATATTGTTATTATATCCAAAGAATTTAACATTGATACAATTTTTAAACAGATTTTTAGATATTCACATACAGTGAAATATACCAATTATGAGTGTATGGTTCAATCAGTTTTAACCAATGAATATACTTGTATAATCCATGCCCCTATCAAGCCAAAGGGCATCTCCATCATCCCAGAAGATTCCCTCATACACCTTTCCAGTCAACTCCTCTTTACTCCCAGAAGCAACCACTGATCTGATTTCTATCACCACCAATTCATTTTGCCTCTTCTAGAACTTCATATAAATGGAGTCATACATTTTGTATATTATAGTTAAACTTTCTTCCTGTCATAATATTTCTGAGATTCATCCATGTTGTAGGGTGTATTAATTCATTCCTTTTTATTGCTGATTATTATTATATTATCTAAATATAGCTCAGTTTGTTATTCATCTCCTCTGGCTGTGTTGAGTTTTTGGCCCTTATGAACATTCCTGAACAAAGGTTTGTGGACATATTAACACAGTAATATTGCCTAATACATAGTTCATATTTAAATTATGCCGATTGTCCCCAGCTTTTCTTTTTTTTTTCATTCCAGGATCAAATTAAGTGTCATGCATTATATTTGGCTGTCCTTTCTCTTTGGTGTCCTTTAATTAACAACAATCCTGCTTTTAAAAAATATCTCTCATGACTTTTTCTTTTAAAGTTTGAGAAGATTGTCTTGTGGAATGTTCTTCATCCTGGGTTTGTCCGTTATTTCTTTGTGATTAGATTGAGTTTGAACGTTTTTGTCAAAAAAACCAAGATGATTGATTTCAAAAGCAGCCTCTAAATGGTTCCCAATGATCTTCACATCCTAGTGGCCATGCTTTTGTGGTAACATGGCCATGCTGATATAGGAGTTAAAAAGAAATTATTTAGGCAGATAGTGAGGGTAAGGAAGTCCTTGGTAAGGTTTTCCTTTTAATGAAAAGCAGCCCCCAAATTATTTTCTTTTCTAACAAAGAGCAACCTGTAAAATCGAGCTGCAGACATAGATAAGCAAGCTGGAAGCTTGCACAGGTGAATGCTGGCAGTTACACCAATAGGAAAAGGCTACCTGGAATTAGGCATGTTCAAAATGGTGTCTCCATCTTCCCTTCTCTTTGCCAGCCACATGTACAATAAGGAGCAGACAAGATGGCACTGGCCAAGTGGAAAGCCCATTTATGTAATAAGATTAGGGTAGGGCAACCAGCCTTCCCTGCCTGCTATGTAAACATCACACCTGGTTGAACCAATCTGTGGGCCCTAGTAAATCAGACCCCACCTCCTCAAGCCTGCCTATAAAATCTGCTGTGGTCAGCCACAGGCCAGCTTTTCCCTTTTGGTTGCCTCTCTCTCACAAAAGAGAGAGAGCTGCTCTCCTCTCTCCTTTCTTCTGCCTATTAAACTTTCTGCTCCTTAACCCACCCAAGTTTCTGTGTTTTTAATTTTCTTGGTGTGAGATGATGAATCCCGGGTATTTACCCCAGACAATGATGTCACTTCAATGCCACATTAAAACAGGTCTGGCCTGTATGACCAATAGAATACTGTGGATGTGATGATTTGTAATTTCCAAATCTAGATATAAAGACATTGTGGCCTTTGCTCTGAGCTCTTGGTTCACTAGATCTAGGAGAAGCCAGCTGTGATGCTGTAAAGGCACTCAGGCAGCCCTGGGGAAAGGCCCAGGTGGAGAAGAACCAACTTTCTCAGACCAAATGTCCAGCCATGTGGCATTTTGAAAGTCAGTAAGCCATCCCCAGTCAGGCCTTCAGATTACTGTAGTCCTCACTGACCTCTGATTACAATCTCATGAGAGACCTCAAGCTAGAACTTCCTAGCCAAAACCTTAATAATAAATGATTACTATTGTTTTAAGCCACCAAGTTCTTGGGGTATTTATTATGCAACATCAGATAACTAATATAGTGACATCATATACTTCCCACTGAATGACAACAGGCATCATATTCCACTATTGGTAATGCTAAGTTTGATCATTTGGTTAGGTTAGAATCTACCAGGTCTCTCCACCATAAGTTTACCTTTCCCCTTTATAATAAATACATGGGGTGATGTTTGAGACTATCTAAATATGCTGATCCCCAATAACTTTTGCCCAATAGCATTAGAAACATTGATAATCCATGTCTGAATCAATGATTACACTGATATTTGAAAGTGGAGATTTTCCTAATTCTATCATTCTATTTACTATCTGGCATTCTTTTATAAAGAAAAAAAGAGCTTTCTCTATATTTTGTTCCATCTCTCTTTTTTCTCCTTATCACTGTGAACTTATGGATTAGTTTTTATTCAATGTACATATCCAATATTTTCATTTGCCCCCTCCATTTGTTTAAAATTGGTCATTAGAATCCCCTTCAAGTTATCTCATGAGTTATGTAGACATATGCTTACTGGTCTTTGAGCATTTTGAGGTAATAATCTTAGTGCTAACATAGTCTAGTTCTTCTCTGTGGATCCCATAGAGTATAGACAACACTTAGGTTTCTTATTTCAGGTCCGTTATTAATAATTGCAGAATTCATTTAACAAATATTTATTGAGTACCTACCAGCACCAGACATTGTTCTAGACACTAGGGAGAAAGGCCTAGGTAAAGATATGAACAAAAGAGAAGAAAGAATCTCTGCCCTTGTAGTTTACATTTCAGAGAATATTCTTACATTTTTGCTGATATAATTTTTCAAGTTGTTCAAAAGACCAAGGCTTCATCTCTTGCTTCTGTAGGATTTTGTTTTCTGCTTTCTAAAATGCAGACTGCTTGATATTCTTCTTAATTAAGTTGGCTGCTTGTTATTGTAGATCTGCCTGTCTTTCTGTTTTTCTGTCTCTCCCGGCTCCTAAATTCTTATATCTGGGTTCACTTTCACAGTTATGCTTTCTCTGTGTGATCAGCCATATTTTGTGCATTATGACAATGAGAGAAGTATTTTGAAACTTTGGGGCATGGAAAAAGTCATTTCCACCTCAGGGTCCAGCTGAAAATAACTTCTGTATTCTACAGCTCCATTATTTTCCTGCGTAACACCATTAAAGCCCTCCCAAAGGCAATCTTTTGGGCATTATTGTTTAATCAAATTATTCCGACAGTGTGTGGACTGCACGAGCACCTAGAACAATAGTGAGCATATAGTTGAAGCGAAGACAATGTCCAGTGAACATCAACAAACTGTTGGGCTGATTTGACTGAATCAACCAATGGTAACTGTGGCTTGCTGTTTTCTTATTATGTAGGACTTCTATTTTATGTTGAAGGTAAAAATCCTATGCAACTCTACGGGTATTGAAGACTTCATTCCTGTAGGGAAACTACTAATTGTAAGCAACAAAGACTAACAATTCCTCTTTTGTTCTCTTGAAGGATTTTAAAACAAAATCTTCTTCCACCTTTCCTCTATACCAATGGTTCCTAACTGAGGGCAATTTTGTCCCCAGAGAACAGGTGGCAATTCCTGGAGATATTTTCAACAGCATGACCAGGAGGGGCGCTATTGGCATCTACTGAATAGAGGCCAAAGATGCTACTAAACACATAAAATGCACAGAACAGCCCCTACAACAAAGAATTACGTTGTGCAAAGTGTCAACAGTGCTGAGGCTGAGTAATTCTGTTCTGTATGCATAGTCTAAGTCACCATATAATATGTAAAGGTGCTAATACCCAGAGTGCCATTGGGGGTGCTGCTCCATGATGTCAGAACATAGCCTTTGGGTAATATAAGCAACCATATCACTGGCAACTACAGCAAAATCGAACTTCAAGAGCAAATTGACAATATCTGAGTTATGGGGAGAACTGAATTTCACAAAGAATGTTCTAGAAATGGTTTGATTTTCTGCTGCTTTCTGTAAGCCTTTTAAGGTTATTCTACCTGCAACCCATGTTCTTTTTTCACTACCTCCCTCTTGGGTACAGATGGGAGGAATGTCCCAGAGATTGCAGGAAAAAAAATGCTTTTATCCTCCTCTTGCCTTTCAAAGTCTTTGCTTCCTTTACATGGCTTGGCTTCACATAATCCTTACCTGGTGGGTAATAGAGTACAGACTGTATTCCTGAAGAGCTGCCACCCCTGCTCTGTTTAGGGACCCTGCCTCAGCAGGCTGGGCTATCAGCTGCCCCCACAGCCAGCGAGCAAGTGAGGTCACACAAGCTGTGGTGGCAGAGATTACACCAGCCTTTTGCATTTGGCCTGGAATCCCATGGGGCATTCAATCCCCTCTCCTGTGGTGCCTTTGTGGGCCTTCCCCTAACAAATGCCTACTTGTTCTTCCTCAAAGCTCACAGGGTGTCAGAAGCCAAGACCGAGCCCTCGTTTGCATTCCTGGGGCCCACTGGCATGGCCTCAGGAATTCTGCAGCTGCAGCATGAATGGGGCCATTTGATGGCTTAGCTAAGGGCTTAAGTGGAGTTGGATGGCACAGAATCCTCCCATTAAACGGCACTGTCAAATTTTCAACCAGACTCAAACTAATGCTCTTTAGAAAAATCACTTGTTGTCTGAGTTCCCCCAACTTTCAACTCTTTGCTAAGGGAGGGCATCAGAGATCTGGATTCAGCTTCCACAGCAGTGGGCTTGGTACATAATGCTCAGTAAATATTGGTTAAATCAAACAGTGAAAGCCAAAGTGCCAAAATGAAGCCTTATAGATTGGTTGGTAGCACAGGAGAGGAAACAACATCTTCTTCCTCTACCCTGTTTGGTTCTCCTTCTGCAGGCCTGTAAATGAGACTGACAAAAGTCAGGTTAACTAGAAAACAAAACAAAACAAAACAGAAGTTTGTTAGTATATTCAATGCCCATGGCCATGGGGGTACTCAGTAGCGAGTGACTTAAAGGGGTAGTTAAAATTTCAGCTTCTATAGCATCTTGAGAACAATGAATTAGGAGAGAAGGGACAAGACAAGGGAAAAGGACTTAGAGCTTCTAGGCACTGGTAAATTGTGGAAAGGTAAATATATTGGGGGAACTAATGGAAAATAAGGGTTGTTTTTAGCAAGGTCTGCCTCTGGGCTGATAAAGGTCTAGAGTTGTCTTCAGTGATTAATTTCTGTCCTTTCAGGTAGAGAGGGGAGGGGGAACACCTTTACAAACTTATGTCCTGCTTTTAGGCAGAGAGCTTTTCTTGTATCTGCTTCTTCTCAATGAAGCTTCAGCTCAAAATAATCCTTATGTTAAAGTGGCATATTTTGGGGTGGCATACTCTGCTACCCTTCAGCACTGCTTTTCTTTGCCTCCACCCCTATCCTTTAGCCCTTATCTTTAGTTTAAAGAGCACTGTTCCTGGAAATGAATAATTCTCAGTAAGAGCAACAATAAATGTTTCTATACAGTCAAAATTTCAACCTTAACACCAGGCACATTGTTTCCACACCCCTAGGCTTATTTCCACATGGCCAACAAACTGTTCATTTTTAAAATGCGAATCTGAGTGTGTTCGATCATCAGGGAAAAACCTCTAGCCTCAAAACCCATCACTTTCCCTCTCTCTAACTACACTCTGAGCTCAGTGCACCCCCACCCTCCTTTCACTAAACCACTTTGTTCTGTCTTGCCACTGAGCCTTTGCACATTCTGTTGGCCTGTAACACTCTTCCTGCCTTTCTTTGTGGCGCTCTTACCCAGGATGCATTTAGCTTAGGTCAGTGGTTCTTAAAGTATACCACACATTAGAAACGTCTCAGAGAGCTTTTCATCCCCTGTACCAATTAAATCAGAATCTCTGGGAATGGAATCCAGGGATGGGGATTTGATTAAACTCCCCAGGTGATTTCAATGTGCAAGCAAGTTTGAGAACCAGTGTTTTACTGTGTATAAGTATTACCTGGTAATCTTGATGCAGATTCTGACTGAGTACATCTAGGATAAGACTTGAAATTCTGCATTTCTAATAAGCTCCTAGGTGAGGCTCATGCTGCAGGCTCATATTGTTCGTCTGCAGACCATACTTTGGGTAGCAAAGGCTGAGACTTCAGTTCCTCTAAGACAGTGGTTCTCAAAGCATGGTCTCCAGACCTGCAGCATTAGTATGGCCTGGGAACTTGCTAGAAATGCAAACTCTCAGGTCTCAAACCATACCTATTGAATCAGAAACTCTAGGGTGAGGGCCAGCAGGATGTGTTTTAAAAGTCCTCCAGGTGATCCTAACGTTTGAGAACTCATGTTTGAGAACTGCCCCTGCAGGAAGTGTTCCTGAGACCCCAAAACTAACTTTATTTTCCTCTTTCTAGTCTCTTCTGCTTTTCCAGAGTATCTTGTGTTTCCCTCTGCTGCAGCAGTTTCACTGTCTGCGTACTAGCCTATATCCCAAACTGGAGGGCAAAGTCTGTGATTGTTGGGCCCATGGGATCCCAATGACCTAGGACAGTGGCTAGCATCTACTAAGCACTCAGTAAATATTTGTTGAATGCATTAAAGAAGGACAGGGAGTTAAGCTACACCTTGTTATGTGATTCTTTCCAGGTTATTTCCTCTGTGGCTAGCATAAAGAAAAAAGAAGAAAGAACAAGGATATAAAATACCATCAAGGCCACCTGGTGCCTGAACTCTGTCCCTCACAGTGAGAAGGTCCAGGTTTTGATGATTCTTCTCTCTAGCAAAGCTAAAAATGAGAGTTTAATAAATGTCTTTCTGTGGAGAGGCTAAGCCTAGCACAAATAAAATGAGGGAGAGGGAAGGAGGAACGCAGAAACAGTTTTCTGCAGAATTACCTGGCAGTAGTTTCTTCTCATGCTGCAACACAGTGAAAAAAGAGTAATTCAGATTCCCTTCACATTCTACTCTCCCAGCTTTTCTTTCTTACCTGATAGTCTCCCTAATAGTCTCATCAATAGGAACATCTCCATTTCTTCCAGGGAACAGAGGTGAAGGTATGCCACTTACTAGGGCCCATAAGCACCTTTTGTTTGGCAGTAAGATAAAGGGAGAGAGATTTTTGCCACCCCTCGGACACAGCTATCAGCAGATTTCACGGAGTACCCCTAGCAAATTCATATTGGTTTATATAAATCTGTTGGAAGATGTAAAACTGCTTATACCCAGGAAAGGCATGGTGGGCATTGGAAATTCTCCTTCCAGGGATCACAGAATCCGGAGGGGGTAGGGTTCTTAATCCTAGTTGCATATTAAGACAACCTAAGGAGATTTCTAACAAAAGCAATGCCCAGCCCAACCCTACACCAGTGCCATCAGACTCTCCGAGAGCAGAGCCCGGGTGCCTGCATTTTTAACATCACCTGGGCACCCCAGGTGATTCTAATATGCAGCTTAAGGACCACTGGCATAGTGTTAAGGCCAGGTGGGGACTTAGGAATCATGGGACCCAATGCCATATAATGGATAAAATGAGTGGACTAGATCTCTATAGAAACAATAACGTGGAATCAGCAAAACATCACAATATGGAATGGAAAAAAACAAGTCTGCAGAGAAGAAGCTCAGAATGATACAAATTATTAAATACATGCCCCCAAATTACATATTCTTTATATTGCTATATTGATTATATGGGTAGAAGTCTAAAAGTGGATTAGAAGGAAGTGAGTTCAGGTCTTACAAGTGGTGTCTTCTGGGCCCAGGGGAAGGGACTAGGGAGGGAGGATAAAGGGAGCAAAGTGGGGTCCACCTTCTTGTGTTGTGCTTTCCTTCATTTATGGTTTCAAAACAAGACTTGAAACAAACATTGCACAATGTTAGTAGTGTCTTCTGACTGGAGGGTATGCACAGATTTATATTTTTGTGCTTTCCTCTTTTTAAAAAAAATCTTAAAACAAAAATAATTTTAAGAATAAAGATCTAGCACCTCGGGTTGTCTAATGATAAAGCCTGAATGCATAAATGCCATAATAACTCTGTCAATGGCTCTGGACTCACACACCTCAGGGAACTGCAATTAAACTCTGCTGAGTCACAGATGCCCTGCCTGGAGAGTCGTGTGCCTTCTCAGCATCCCTGTAACCTCCTCTGTCCCCAGGTTCACAGCTCCCCTACTCAGAGGCTCTCGGCTCCTCCCTCTGCGGCTGCAGGCTGCTCTCTCTGTCCCTGCCCGCTGGCCTAGTGGGTGGTGACACAGCACGGTGCATTCCTGCAGGCAGGCTCAGGCCCCTGTGTAGTTGGCTTGACCCAGGCAAGCTCCTGCACTTGTCGCTGAAGAGCAAGGGCTCAGGTGGGCGTTCCGGTGCGGGAACCTTGCAGGAAGGCAATCAGTCGGTTTGTATTCAAGCTGAAAAGCCCCCTCTGAAGCCTGCGATCCAGACACAAAGCGGGATGAATGTGCTTCGCTGCAGAGCGTACAGCTGGGTTATTGACTGGGACTGAGAGAGGCGTTGAAATGAAATAGGGAGACTGAAGAGATCTGCTCTTTTGATTCGGTCTCTTCCAGGATTTTGCAAGCTCCAGATAGCTTTGGTCCAAAGTGAAAAATCTCCCTAAGATCCTATCTAAAATTTGGGGGAATCAGCTGCGTAAATCATTTTTCTTTTGATAAAAAGCGTGCTGTTTTCTCCCCCTCCCATGTTCTGATGTGGCTGGCTCACCTGTAGCTGAGCTGTTTGAATGAGCTGGGTTTTCCTCCTTCCTGGCAAGCTTAGGTGTAAAGCAAGCCGGTTCCTGAGAGAAGTGGAGGAGCCATGTTTATGGAGTCTGAGGACAGTCCCTAATTATGCCAGGCAATCAGAGGCTTTAATGGATGAATAACTGTCAAAGTACAGTGGGGTGTTTGATAACCTGTAAGGCTGCTTATTGTGAGTGGAAATCACAGGGTGAAAAAAAGAAACAGGGATGGATGAGCTTGTGTTTCTTACCCCTCCTTGCCTTTGAAGAATTTGACAATACTGTCATCAAGTGCTCCCTGGGGAGGGTGCTCTTGGGGACCTAGGAGGATTCTGGTTCGAGGAAAGCAGAGGAGAGCTACATAATTAAGGAAGAAGAAGCAGAAATTGGGGGTAGGGCTGCACATTTAATGCAAGAATTCAAAGCATAGAAGTCCTGTTGAAGAGAAAGGGGGAGAACCCCCCACTATCCAGTACCTCCAGAGGAGGAGCTGGAGGCACAGACCAGATGGGATCACCACACAAGTTCTTCATATAGAAAATAGGAAAACTGAGGAATCTGCTTCACTGTTGAATAAGTCTCTCCAAGGGTTTTGCCAGCTCCAGAAATTGAGCTTAAGTGGTGTTCTAGACATGAGATCATTTTATTGCTAGGTTGCAGTAGGAGGAATTTTCCTTAATGTCTGGAAACAGGAGGGCATTGACTCTGTTTCTAATGCAGGGACACCTAATAGAGCTCAATTTGCTTGCCAACTCTGCTTGAGTGGTAGTGGCTACCTGGAGCACTCAGGAGGGGCCTTAAGGCCAGAGCCAGGCTCTGGTGGAACAATGCTTGATTGATTAGTGATGTCTGTCTTGGGTGTGTAATGGTAAAGGCAGCATGTGTGCCTCCTATTTGGAATTTTTGCTTTGGGATGCTTTTCCTTCTGTAGGTGTATCACCACCACTGACATCCATTTAACAATCTATGCATTAGACTCCAAGTCTTTTAGCTCTTCTGCTAAGGAGATTTCAGCCTAAAAGGGATGGCAAAACAGTTCATCAATCATATTTTTTTCTAGGTCCTTTGGAATCGGCTAAGTTTACAATTCAAGGGGCATTGGAATACTTTTCCACTGGCTTGCCTCACTTACCAAAATGCCTACAGAAGTTATGCCGGAGAGAACAGACCTTAATTTTTAGGTTTATCCTCCCCAAATTTACAATCAGAAATTTGCAATTGTATGGTGAAAATAAATGTTCAGTGACTAAGTCTCTTTTCAAGGCCCTGATATAAGTAGCTTTGAGTCTAAATCCAATTTCCAAATAGATGTTGGAGCATCTTAAGTGGTGACAATAGTTATGGTGTAATGAAACTGGAAGAGTATCTGGGAGCAGAACTCTGACACCAATGTCTTGTTGCCTATGGGAGGAAGGATAAGCCCAGAAAGGATGACTCAGGTTTTGAATCCTGATAAGGAGCTGAGAAGAGGGACAGGAGAGGGATTGTGGAGAGAGGAGAGAATGTGGGAAGGATTCAAGTCCCTGTTGCAGACAGCCCCAGCTCACCAAAAACATGAATTACTCATTTGTCTTTAGAGAGTGTGGTAGGCTGAATCATGTCTCCAACCAAATATGTTCAAGTCCTAATCTCTGGTCCTTGTACACCATAAAAGAGACTTTTTGGACGTGATTAAGACTTTCAAGATGGTGAAAACATCCTGGATTATCTAAATGGGTCCAATGCAATCACAGTGGTTCTCATAAGAAGGAAGCAGGAAGGTCACAGCCAGCAAAGGAGATGTGATAATGAAAGCAGAGGTCAGTGACATGGGGCCATGAGACAAGGAATGCAGGCAGCCTCTAGAGCAGCGGTCCCCAGTGTTTTTGGCACCAGGGACTGGTTTTGTGGGAGACAATTTTTTCATGGACTTGGCAGGGAGATGGTGGTTTGGGATGAAACTGTTCCACCTCAGATCATCAGGCATTAGGCTCTCATAAGGACCACACAACCTAGATCCCTTGCATGTGCAGTTCACAATAGGGCTCATGCTCCCATAAGAATCTAATGCTGCTGCTGATCTGACAGGAGGTGGAGCTCAGGCGGAAGTGCTCACTTGCCTGGTGCTCACTTCCTGCTGTGCAGCCCAGTTCCTCACAGGCCATGGACTGGTACTGGTCCATGGCCCAGGGGTGGGGACTCCTGCTGTAGAAGCTGGGAAACACAAGGCCAGATCCTTCTCTAGAGCCTCCAGAAGGTACACAGTCCTACAAACCCATTTTAGGCTTCTGACCTCTAGAACCATAAGAAAATAAATTTGTGTTGCTTTAAGCTACTAAGTTTGTGGCAATTATAGCAGCCATAGGAAATGAAGACAGAGCCCCTCTCTGACTTACAAAGCCTCTCCTCTATCCCCACAGACTTTAGGCTCCTGGTAACCATACCCCCATAAACAGCTGTTCGTAGGAAAGGAGGCCCTGTCCTGTGTGGTTTAGAATGAATTTTAGTCACACATTTCAATCACCTCAGCAGCTTGACTAATGGCAAATTTTGTCCATGCTACAGGAATTCCAAGCACAAAGACCCCTTCCTAATCCCTCTACACATAAGGCTGCCAATTTAGCATCAAGGGAAGGTTTAATGTCCTAGACAGGAAGAATTTTTAAGGTAGGGAATTCCTAAAATCTCAACCTTGCTTTTTTCTCCCTTGATAAGAAATCATAAGACCTGCAATTTTAAGTTCTTTTTTTCTTCCTTCATTTTCTTTTTTATTTACTTTTTCTTTCATCTCCCTCTATCACTTAGGCTGGAGTACAGTGTTGTGATGACAGTTCTCTGCAACTTCCAGTTCCTGAGCTCAAGCGATCCTCTCACCTCAGCCTCCTCAGTAGCTGGGACTACAGATGTGTGCCATCAGGCCTGGCTGGTTTTTAATTTTTTTGTAGAAACAGGGTCTCACTATGTTTTTCAGGCTGGTTTCAAACTCCTGCCTCAAGCAAGTCCCACTTTGGCCTCCCAAAGCACTGAGATTACAGGCATGAGCCACTGTACCCAGCCCAATTTAAAATAATTTCTAATTGCTCTGTGTCAGTTAAGATACCATAAGACTTCTCTTCATATCAGCCTTCATCTATCACATTGAAGGAAAAAATTACTTTAGCTGGACATATGACTAAAAGCATCTGTATCTTTTGAGGCTAATTAAGGTGAAATTCACTGAAAATTTATTTCAGAGAAGTAGTCTGTAGGTTCCATGAGGCCAGGACCAGGGTGTATCTGTCACCATCAATGAGTTATAGTAACCAGCAGAGTGTCTGGAACAGAGTAGACATTCAAGCAATAGATCTTCATTGAATAAATGAATGAACTAAAGTAAATAATGTTTGATAATGGTGGTTCACTAAATGAGTATCCCCAAGGAAAGTAACCCATGTAGAAAATACTAAAGGCTATTGCCAAATTTTGCAAGGAATGTAGTGGTCTTTGAGATAGAAGTATGAAATACAGATTTTCTTGCATGTGATTCTTGGTGTAATTACAGGAAATTTTAATTTTCTTCTTTATGCTTGTCTGTGTTTTAAAATTTTGTGTACTGAATACGATTTACATTTGTAATCAGAAAAAAAGTAATTTCTCAAAATGTTCTTAGGGAGTATGATGAGATGGCTAGAGTTACATGACTTTCCTTGGATGTAGCTTTAGCTGTTAGAGGGAGGTATTAAACTCATGAATGCAGTTAATTATTGATCCCTGGTTTTCTTACAGGAAAGAGCTACATGGAAATAGCCAGCAAATAGGGTTTAGAGTTATGGTAAGAAGCAATAACCGTGAGTCAAATCCTCAGTCTGTCCTTAGTATTTGTTTGACTATAGACAAGTTACTTAGCTTCTCTCAGCTCTGATGCTTTATCTGTAAAATGGGGTAAACAACCACACAGGACTATTTGGGAGTTAAGTGAGACACAAGTTGTAAAGCAGCCCCATGCCTGGCACATGGTAAGTGTTCAATACATGTCAGCTCTTATTATTTTTATTATTAACAAATTGAACATTCTTGGCCTTGATGCTGACATTTCCTGCTGATAGGCAAACTGATTTTTTTCAGTGCACACAAATGGAGGGCACTGGGAATCTCTGGATTTTTTCCTAGCAATAATTAGAAATGACAGAGTGATTAGGTGGCTAGAGGACATAATTAACCTCTCTGGTTCTCAGTCCTCTTTTCTGTAAAAGGAGGGGATAGAATTATAAGATCTTAAAGGTTCCTCCCTGCTCTATGATGTTATGTGTATAAGATTTATTTTTGAATTGGAAACCATCATTTGAAAGATAATGACTTTCTTAAAATTTCATGTATTTATTTATTTAGAACCACAATCTATTCCCTTCTACAATCTATTGTACTAGATGAGTATCTGGGTACATAATAAGAAAGATCCTGGTATCTGGTCAATTGTCTTTGTATTCCATATACAAGGCTGGAGGCTGATTTCAATTTTTTTTGTTGTTGCTCAGGAAACTTAAATTACATTTGTCTTGGAAATGGACTAGAGGATGAAAAGCCTGAGATTTTTTAAAACCCATGCATTGTTAAAGAGAACAACAGCCAGCCATTTCAAGGTTGCAATGCCTAACTTGGTGATGGAGAAATTTAAGATTGTACCTGACTAAAATGAAAAGAACCTTTTTGTTTTTTAGATGCCTGCCCTGTGGCTGCCCAGGGCTACCAATTATGGTGCCACCTTGTCTAACTTCTCACTCTGTCCATTTTCCTCTTCATGAAAATTTACCTGCACAATGTTTCATCCCCCCAGGGCCTTGCTTCTAGTTGCTATGGCAACAGTGAGCTAATCCGCTTAATGTGCCCTTCCTACCGTCTCAAGCAAGGGAGACTTTAGGAGACAACCTCTTCCTGGAAGTGAAATGACATTAATGGGGAAATCTCAAACTAATTTTTAAGACTGATTGTTTGAAACAAGCAATCTGTAGTACCCCTCAAATTAAAACATGGAAATCATCTTCCTTCCTACTTACATATAGAGCCAACCTGATGCCTTGTTATTCTTATTCTTTCCTTTGCTAAACATCATGTCCTATTCGCTGTGATCATAGTGACATGCAGGCTGTGGTCTGTCCTGATGAGTGCTGTGACTGCACAGGTGATATCCAAATTCAATCATCTAGCACTTTTCATCGACTTTCACTAATGCAGGAAGAAATAACACTGGATTCAACAACAGCAACAACAACACCACCACCAACAAAACAACCTCTGCCAATTCCTTATCCTGTTTCTGACTGACCTCTTTTACACCCAAGGAAAGTATTGTCAAACCACCAATCCCCCAGAGCTGCACTGTCTTGGAGATGCTAAATTACAAAGAGAAAACATCTCAGCATTAAGGAGGAAGAGAGCTCTGGCTGTGGAATGATTAGAGGGTGGAGCATCCTTGGGCAAAATGCTGCAATATCTCCTTGGGCTTATATGCTATTATCCTGATTCTAAGATTTTCCATCTCAGGTATTCAGACCTCTAAACTCTGTCTCCTTCTCCCCAACCCTATTTACAAGTTGACATGTACCAAAAAGAATAAATGAATAACAACAGTTTACATTGTTACTCATTCTCAGAGACATTTTGACATGAAATACAGATGTAATTTAAACTACAGTAGAATTTAAGTATAGAATCAGGAAGGGGTGGTGGGAAATTAGAGGTCCAGATGATTATATAGTCCAGTAACCTAGGATTAATTGCCTCTGCACTTCTGCCTTTGGCAGAACCTTAACCTCTCTAAACCTTAGTTTTCTCACCTATATTATGGGATCATAATTGTTCCTATCTCATAAAGGACTGCCAAAGAAAAACTAGAGCTGCATAGTAATTAAAGTGGTAAAAGCAGATTTTGATTAGGAACTATTGCAATAGGGGAAAATGTGTCTAGCCTAGTATAGCACTAGGCTCAATTCTGAATACAGCAAGCACAGGTGAAGATTTATAGCCAAAGAGCAGGGTGGGAGTCAGTGGATAAAAAATTTCTAAGAGGAAACATCGGGGGTGTAAGCCAAAAATAAAATTGTAAGCCCCTCAACCAACTGAATGGAACCCCCTCTTGACCAAAGGCATTCCAAAGTAAACCTGAAAAATGAGTTCAGGCCATGATAGGAAGGGAGGATCAGACATACCTCATTTTTATACCCTCCCTGCTTTGTAATTCAGACACAATTTACCAGCATTAACATTAAAACACAGATCTTAAGACTGACAAAACAGACTCTTTGTAGCTATAAGATACCAAATTCTAACCTGAATCTAGTATAGCATCACATGATAGGTAGCAAGCCCTGAAAGAAATAGAAACATTCAAAATATAGTTCTTTTTTTTTTTTTTTTTTTTTTGAGATGGAGTCTTGCTCTGTCACCCAGGCTGGAGTGCAGTGGTGTGACCTCAGCTCACTGCAACCCCCACCTCCTGGGTTCAAGTAATTCTCCCTGCCTCAGCCTCCCAAGAAGCTGGGATTACAGGCACCTGCCCCATGCTCGGCTAATTTTTGTATTTCTAGTAGAGACAGGGTTTCACCATGTTAACCAGGCTGGTCTCAAGCTTCTGACTTCAGGTGATCTGCCTGCATTGGCCTCCCAAAGAGCTGGGGTTACAGGCATGAGCCACTGTGCCTGGCCCCCAAATATATTTATTTGACATATTTTGAAATGGCCCTGCAAAGCTATCTCTTGTGGGGAAAATCTACATTCTGTAGAGAATCCCCTTCCCTTTCCATGTCTTTTCCTGATCCAGGAGAGAGTTAACTAAGAGTGTAGCACCTTTAAGGGTCTGGCAAGAGATATTTACCATCTACTCCCTGAAGCCTGCTAACCTGGAGGCTTCATCAACATGACAAGAACCTTGGCTTCCACAATCCCCCTATATCAGCAACAAACATTTCTTTCTGCAGGCCTCAATTCCTCAGGCAGTACTTTTTTAACCAATCGCCACCAGAGAAACTTTTAACTCCACCTATGACGTGGAAGCCCCTGCTTTGAGATGTCTCACCTTTTCAGGCCGGATCAATGTACACCTTACATTATCGGTTTACAACTCTGCTTGTAGTTTCTGTCCCCCTGAAATGTAAAAAATCAAGCTGTAACCCAGCCACCATGGGCAGATGTTCTTGAGACCTGTTGAGACTATGCCTTGGGCCCTGGTCACTTGTATTTGGCTCAGAATAAATCCCTTAAAATATTTCACAGAGTTTGACTATTCTTTTTTAACACCAGGAGTAAGGGAGGATTATGGCTAAATGACCTAAGAGCATTCTTACTGAACGCAGATCAAGGTGATCAGATATCACTTGGGGATAGTGGGAGATAAGGAATTTGATCAGATATCAAGGATGATCAGATATTAAGGGTGGAGGATTCTCACTAAACTGACCTAGCAGTTTTAAAATTGGGCAATGCAAAGATGAATACTGAAGGTTGAGGCCTACAGGGCTTAGAGGAGCCTAGAGTTAGGTCAAAGAGAGACTCTTTGTCAAGGTGTTCAGAAGATTAAATTATCCACATAAAGTGTTAAGGGATCAAGTAAGCAATGGATATATTACAGTTCCTGTTAAAAATAAAGCATTAAGAGAAGGAAATTAAGGCTGGTTGTAGAATTTAAAACATCACTTGTTTGTAAAAATGTTTATTCAAGTCATTTGCCTATTTTTTAAATCAGGTTATTTATTTTTTGCTGTTGAGTTGACTGAGTTCCTTATATATTTTGGATCTTAACCCCTTATCAGATATACAGTTTACAAATATTTTATCCCATTCCATAGGTTGCCTTCTCTCATAGGATTGTTTCCTTTGCTGTGCAGAGCTTTTTAGTTTGATATAGTCCCACTTGTTTATTTTTGCTGTTGTTGCTTGTACTTTTGGTGTCATATCCAAAAAATGCATTGCCAAGACCAATGTCAAGGAGCTTGTTCTTGGCTGGGCATGGTAGCTCATGCTTGTAATCCCAGCACTTTGGGAAGCTGAGGTTGGGGGGGTTACTTGAGCCCAGGAGCTCAAGACCAGCCTGGGAAACATGGCAAGGCCCCATCTCTACAAAAATAGCAAAAAATTAGCTGGGTGTGGTGGCACCCACCATAGTCCCAGCTACACAGAGGCTGAGGTGGGAGATGGCTTGAGCCCAGGAGGTCAAGGCTTCAGCAAGCCATTTCATGCCATTGCATGAACTCCAGCCAGAGAAGTCAGGGCTGCAGCAAGCCATGATTACACAACTGCACTCCAGCCTTGGTGATCGAATGAGACTCTGCCAAAAAAAAAAAGAAAGAAAGAAAAAGAGAGAGAGATCTTGTTCTTTTTGCTTCTTTTAGGAGTTTTATGGTTCTAGGTCTTGGCTAAATAGATATATGAGAAGGTACTTAACATCACTAATCATCAAATGCAAATCAAAACCACAATGAGATATCACCTCACACTTGTTAGGATGGCTGTTATCAAAAAGTCATAAGATAACAGGTATACAGTCATTATGGAAAACATTATAGCAGTACCTCAAAAAATTAAAAAGAAAACTATTTTCATCATATGATCCAGCAATCTCACTTCTGGGTATATATCCAAAGGAAATGAAATCAGTAAGTCAAAGAGATACTAATATCTGCATTCCCATGTTGGTTGTAGCACTATTCACAATAACCAAGACATGGAAACAACAAAGTGCTGATAGATGAGTGGATAAAGAAATTGACATGCACACTCTCACACACATACACACACACAGACACACACAGAGACACATACATACACACTGGGATATTATTTAGCCTTAAAAAAAAAAAGGAAATCTTGCCTCTTGCAACAACATGAATCAAGCTGGGGGACATTATGCTAAGTGAAATAAGCCCTACCCAGAAAGAAAAATAGTGCATGCTTTCACTTATAGGTGAAATCTAAAAAATTCAATTTCATAGAAGCAAAGAGTAGAATGGTGCTTACCAGAGGTGAAAGATGAGGGGAAATGGGAAGATATTAGTCAAAAAGTACAAAGTTAGTATGTAGGATGCATAAGTTCTAGAGAGCTAATGTATTGCATAGGGAGTATAGTTAGTATTGTATTCTAGAAATTTGCAAAGAAAGTAGATTTTAAGTGTTCTTACTACACACATAAAATGTTAATTAGCTTGACTGCAGTAATTTCCTATGTATATGTATTAATATATCAAAACATCACAATTTACACCTTAAAAATACAATTTTAATAAAAATTTTTTAAAAAAATAACTTGTTTATTCAACAAATACTTATTAAGCACCTATCATATGTGTTCAGGCGCTGCTTTATTTTATTATTTATTAATTTTTTTGAGGGAGGGTCTCGCTCTGTTGCCAAGGATGGAGTGTAATGGTGCACTCGCTGCTCACTGCAGCCTTGACTTCCTGGGCTCAAGCAATCCTCTTCCTGAGTAGCTGGGACTAAAGGCATGTATCATGTGCATAGCTTTTTTTTTTTTTTTTTTTTTTTTTTTTTTTTTTTTTTGGTAGAGATAGCTGTTGTCATGTTGCTGGGGCTGGTCTCAAGCTCCTGGGCTCAAGTGATCCTCCCACCTTGGCCTCCCAAAGGGTTAGGATTATAGGTATAAGCCACCATGCCTGGCCTCTAGACTGTTTTGAATATTGTGCTAGGAGAACAGCCATGAACAAGACGGACAAAATTTTTGCCATTGCTGAGCCTACATATTAGTGGAGGAAGGTAGGAAATAAACAAATACATGTATATTAATTTCAGGTAGCAATAAATGCTGTGAACAAAATAAGCAGGTTAAGGAGATAAAGAGTGATATGGAGTGGAATTATCTTACACAGGGTGAGCAGGGAAGATGTCTCTGAGGAGGAGGCCATAATCACAGAATTTTAAATGAAATAAAGGAGTGAGTCAGGTGAGTGACCGATGGAAAGAATTAGCAAATCAGCCATGATTTGGTAGATTGTTTTGTTTTTCTGGGAATTTTCCATTACCTATAAAATTATATCAGTGGATGCAAATTTATTTGGCTAGAAGTAAAGTTGATCTTGAATGTGAGATTAGGGCTAGAGGAAAAAGGAAACCAGGGTTTGCTGAGCACTTACTATGTGCCGGGGCTATACTCCCTGCTTTAAACAGGTTTGTTATGTCCTCTAATGCAGCAGTCCCCAACCTTTCTGGCACCAGAGACTGGTTTTGTGGAAGACGATTTTTCCACAGACTGGGAGGCGGGGATGGTTTCAGGATGAAACTGTTTCATCTCAGATGATCAGGCATTATTAGTTAGAGTCGCATAAGGAGCGGGCAACCTCGATCCCTCGCATGCGCAGTTCACAATGCGGGGGGGTGGGGGGGTGGGGGGGGGGACGCACTCCTGTGAGAATCCAATGCTGCCACTGATCTGACGGGAGGTGGAGCTCAGGCGGTAATTCCGCAGGCCTGCCGCTCACTTCCTGCTGTGCGACCTGGATCCTAATGGGCCACGGACAGGTACCAGTTCATGGCCCGGGATTTGGGGACCCCTGCTTTGATGAACCAACCAATCACGCTGTCATTTCTCATAACAGCCCAATGAAGTTATTACTCTCCCAATGGGAAAACTGAGCCTTGAGAATTTTCAGCAACTTACCCCAAGATAGTTAGAGGCTGAAATGAAATTTTCCACCTATCTCTGGTAAGCTCTCCAGATAGTGCCAAAACACAACAGGACTATGTCCTGAAAAAGCAGTTCCCTTGCCCTTCATTAAATCTTTAAAAGGTATTAGCCCTCGTGTGGTCACTGAGGATGTATCCAAAAGCTCGAAACCTAAATTCTTCACCTACAACAAGCGTGGATTTCACCAACCTGAACTTGACCTTAACTTATAAGCAGAGAACTGCCCATACCTAGATTCACCCAGGGGAGATCTGGGATGCAGGCTTGATATTTTACCAACATTTCAGTTCCAGTATTCAGGGGCTCAAAGAATTTCAGCTCTTCTGCTTTGTGGGGAGCTTTCAGATCAGTTAGTGATTTTTTGAATGTGTAGTTTAATGGCAGATTGACAACATATGGGTTTTTGGCCACTTGTAGGAGGCATAACTACAAAGAAATATCACCTTTTAAAAGCTGTTCTTAATCCAGGTGCAGTGGCATGTGCTTGCAGTCCTGGCTGCTCAGGAGGCCAAGGTGGGAGGATTCCTTGATTCCAAGAGTTTGAGCTCAGCCTGGGCAATATAGAAAAATTATTGTTTAAACAAACTTACAAGGACATAATTGTAAAAAAGAGGGAGGGTCAACTAAGGAAACTATACTTATTTAAGATGCTGAAATATTTTGTTAAGAAAGGGCATTACTTGAGACACTTCTATGTGCTGTTAAACCTTTTATATTTAATCTATGAGGTGGGTAATTTTATTCCCTGTACACAGATGAGAAATCCGAGACTTAGAAGTATTTTAAGTCACTTAACATTAGCCATCTAGCAAACTTAGATTTCAGCCCATCTGTCCAGATGTGCCAAAGCCTGTGTTATTTCAACTAAAGTGATTATCTCCGTTAGAATTTACTTTCAGAATTGGCAGCATGTTCATTCAAGTAACTCCACTGGTAGCAGCTGATCATCCAAGGTAGATTTAATATTGGAGAGTCAAGTTCATTTGAAGTCAAGACCGAGTGGATGATCACATTGCATGATGTCATTTTGTTACTTTGACTAGAAAAAAAAATGAGAGAGAAAGTCAGAACGACCTCTCATTCATCCTGCTTTCCTGTAGCCACAAATATTTTGTTTTACACAGTCAATCAGTGGGGTTGTTTTTAATGTAAAATTATTTGTTGAAATGTAACACAGTGATCTATCACCAATGACCTATACTAGCATTAACTTATTGGGCAGATTTTTCTGTTAGTGAGGAGAATCTGGAAAGAATAGGATACAGGACAGATGAGTTTTGTTGGTGGGGTTAGGATGCAGGAAGGTCAAGATTTAAGGGACTACTTGTGGGAGGGAGAATGGGGGTCCTGGGGGCTGGGGTGTGAGGGTGAAGAATAGAGAGGCTGGGGGTGGGGCAGAGGTTGAGAAGATTGGGGAGTGGAAGTGGGCAGTGTGGCAGCAATAGAAACCTGAGATACAGGATTAGACTCTGAAATGGTGCAGAAGGGGAGAGAATAGGCATAGGAAGCCTGCTTAATAGTCTTAGGAAAGACAAGCACTCTGGGAGTAAAATATAATAAAATGTTACATAAAATTATACTTCCAGGAACCACTTAGTGACTTGGAAGAGGTCATAGTAACCTCGTTTGCCTCAGGGAGAGCTGAATATTTTTCTCACTCGATTCACCATGGAATTAACTCCAGCTAAAATATAAACCCCTCTGGTTTTTTTTGAAAACTTTAATCACCTCCCTTATTCAAATGGAGTTGTGGCTATTGTGAAATGATGACCTACCTTTAACCCTATCCATCACCAATTACCAGCAAAGGCAAAGTAATTAATAAATGTATGAATATGCTTTAATTTATTCAGGCTACTCAGCTTCATGAGATAGAGACATGAGAGCTTATCTGTTCAGTTAAATGTTTACTGAGAGCAAGTAAGTAAGTGTTAAATCACGGAATTTTAAAAACATACATGTGGAAACATGCATATCTTACCTTCAGTAGGGGATATTTCTCAGGATTGGAACTTCAATACCACAGCCACACTCATTTATGTATCTATTAAAAGCAGCACCAATTTTAATGAGGCACCTAGAATGTTATAAAATGCCCGTGTATAATTAATTCAAAATGCTCTGTGATTAAATCACATAATGACGCTTTGTGAGCATACATCAGCTTAATTGGGAGTAACGTAACTAAGAGATTGAGATCCAGAGTGCTGTAAATAAAAAAGCTGCTTGGGGCTCCTGCAGTGTAAATTTAGATCATCAGGAAATCTTGCAAAGGCCCCAAGGCTTGTTGTGGGTTAGCGGCCTCTCTCTGCTATGTGAAGACAACAGAAAGATTACTGAGTCTCCTAACTGGAAGGCCTGGTGCAGGTTTTGCGATTACTCCAGTATTTGCAGGGAGAGGACTTGTATGTCAGCTGACTCAGTACTCAATAAGCTCCTCTAGGTTTGCAGTGGAGGAATGGGTATAGCACAGTCAGAGGCCCCTTGAGGTTGAGACATTTCACTTTTCACTGTAGTGAAAAGAGTTCTGCATTTGAAGTATAACATATTTGACCTCAATAATTTTAGTTTCCTTATTTGTAAAATGGCCAAAATAAGACTTGCTTTGTAGAAGTTTTTGAGGATGGTCGGGGGTGGCGGGGGGGAACAACTCATGGAGTATCTGACACAGTGCCTGGCACATAGGAGGTATCAAATGCCATTGGTTTTCCCATGCCCCCAGCACAGAGTATCCTGAACATTGTAAGAACAATAGATCATTGCTGATGTGACTGAAATGTGCCCATTGAGATGAATTCCCCAAAGGGGTGGCCTATATTTCTAGTCAAAGACTGAAGGAACAAATGAAACTGAAATCTGTATTAAGACACAGTCAGGCTATGGCAATGGAGAAAACTGGAAAAACATCACAAGGTCAATAGCAGTAGCAGCTCAACTACTGCTTTCCCATGAAGCGAACCCAAAACAGAGGACAGAAAAACAGACATGTGGCATTAGTTCTGCCATCTCTCCTTGTCATGCTCATGCACCATTACTAACTGATCACAGACGTCTGCCCTCTCTACTCAGATGGGTCCTCAGACCCCTAACACAGCGTTCAGGCAGGCATTCATAATCGGTTTAGCATTGGCACTCGTGACAATGCCTATTTACTATTCTTGACAGAAGAATGCAGCCCATGGCCTGCCTGACCCTATCAGTTGAATAACAAAAGGAGAACAATTACTCCCTCGTCTGTCACCTTTCTGAATCCATCCTAGAGTAAGAGAGAAAAGAGCTCTGTTCCTTTCTCTTTGTAGAGTGATTTTCAGTCTGTGGGTTATTCCTTACACTTGATATTTGGATACCACTTTATAGTTTAGATATATTTTAAGGAATACTTAATCCTGACAATGACCATGGGTGAGAGGTAGGTCACATATTACCCTCACTCTACATAGGAGAAAAACCAAAGCTCTGAGGAGCTAAAGAACTTAATCTAAGCTGAACTTATCCTGTAATTTGCATAGATGGAACTTGAAGATTGGAATGTTCATCTCCAAAATCTGGTAATTATTTGGATTACTCAGTAATTTGCTACAATTACTGAGTAGTCTCAGGGAGAAGACTATGAATAGTGAGCGTACACAAATGCATCATAGAGGAGACTTAGCAGGACCCTGTCCTAGGCGAGATACTACCAGCAATTGTACACAAGTGCAGCTTTGAGGGCACACCAAACAGTGGTAGCAGGAATCAGGCATAGGAAAGAGACCACTATGACTGGCATGGGAGGTGATGCAGGGAAGCTGGAGTGTATTAGGAAATGAGCAGGCCAGGAAGCTGGGCCCTCCAAGGGAACACTTCAAATGCCAGGCAAAACACATTACATCACTTTTTTCTTTATTGAGCTATAATCTGTGATTTTGTCTAAACCCTTTGTCTAAACCCTTCTTGTTCTGAGCTCCAACAATTTAGTTTGTCAAATAAGGTTACTGTCTAAATTTTTTTTGCCTTAGTCCTAAAAAAATACCTTTTAAGATTCAGGGTCTGAAAGAGAAACCTGATATTCTTAAATTGGCAAATATGTCTGTATCCTTTCCTCCTACTCCCCTTGTGACTTTCTATACTGCTTTATCTTGGGGCCATCCATTGATCTTTCCTAGAAAAGAGAATACTGAATACATATTTAACACACAAAAATCAATAAGGCTCATACATATGAATCTCAGCAAGTTAAATTTTATAATGGAAGAAAACATATTTTTGCAACCATCAAAGAAAAAACATGAAATAACTAAAAACTAGGCTTAAACAACAAATGTGCAAGATTTGTGTAAAGAACGTTTTTAAATGTTAATGAGAGATTCAAAATATGAATTGACCAAATGAAAACATACTTTATTTTTAGAAAGACTCATAAATATATCAGTTTTCCTTCATTTAATGTAGGCAGTTAATATAATTATAATTAAAAGAGTACCAGGATTTTTTTTTTTATTTTTTTGAGACAGAGTCTTGCTATGTGGCTCAGGCTGGAGTGCTGTGGCACTCTCTTAGCTCACTGCAACCTCTGCCTCTTAGGTTCAAGTGATTCTCCTGCCTCAGCCTCCTGAGTGGCTGAGACTACAGGCATGCACCACCACACCTGGCTAGTCTTTGTATTTATTAGTAGAGATGGAGTTTCACCATGTTGGCCAGGCTAGTCTTGAACTTCTGACCTCAGGATGGTCCATCCACCTCAGCCTCCCAAAGTGCTGGGATTACAGGCATGAGCCACAATGCCTCAAGAATTTTTTATTAGAGCTAGATAAACTGATAGAAAGCTCATATGTAAGAACTAGGAAGAAATAATGGCCAGGGAAAACTGTGAAATAGAAAAGTATTGAATGAGATATAATTGTATTGGATAATAAACTATGAAAAGATAGAAGTTAAAATAGTGTGGTACTGGCATATCAATAGACAGACAAATTAATGGGCTACAATTCAGTCCAGAAATACATCCAAATATATACATATTTAGTCTACAATAAAAGTGGCATTGCTGATCAGTGGCATAAAATGGATTGTTCAGTAAACATTTTTTAAAAAGTAGAGAAAGAAAAGGAAAGAAATCAGAGAAGTGCTAGAAGAAAACGTGTGTGTGTGTGTGTGTGGTGTGGTGTGTGTGTGTGTGTGTGTGTGTTTATGGAGAGAGAGAGAGAGAGAGAGTTTTCCTGTAACGCCCAGGCTGGTCTCAAACACTTGGGCTCAAGCCATCCTCCCGCCTCAGCCTCCTGAGTATCTGGAACTGCAGGCACCATACCACCATGTCTGGCTAATTTTTTTTTTTTTTTTTACAGATGGGATTTTGCTATGTTTCCCGGGCTGGTCTTGAACTGCTGGCTTCAAGCAGTCCTCCCATGTAGCTGGGACTATAGGCACAAGCCACTGTGCCCAGCTTATATACACTGTAGAGAGTGGAAAGCCTTGCTAACTATGACATAAAATCCAGTGATTATAAAAGCTATCAATACATTTATTTAAATAATGTTTTAATCTTCAGGAAAAAAATAACAAATAATGTTAAAATGGGCATCTAAGGAAAAGTATTCACATTATATATAAAAGAGAACAGACTCATTTTCCTAATTTATTAGATATAAGAAAATATAAGAAAAACTAAAAGTTCAGTAGAAAAATTGGAAAATAATGAAGAAATAATTCATAGGAAGATACAGAATTTTTAAACATATGAAAAAGTCCAGTCTCATTACAATAGAAATGGAAATTAAAACTCTAGTGATAGTTCATATCCACATATCAGAATGACAAGATAAAATAGTTTCATATTGCATTGCATTAGTGAGGATATGAGGAGTAGTCCATTTTAGACATCAGGGATGAGATAGTGAACAATAAAATTCTTTGGAAGATAATTTGCAATATTTTTCAAAATTATAAATGCATATTCCCTTTATCTCAAAGATTCTACTTCTAAGAGTTTGTCCTACACATATACTAGTGCATATGGATACAAAATATGTAGAAACATTCATTTCATGATTGTTTATAGTAGTAAAATATTTAAGCAACCTAAATGTTCATCAGTATAGTACTGGTTAATTAAACTTGGTATGTGCATATAATAAAATACTGTGTAGCTATTAAAATTTAAATGTAATGAGTTTTAAACATTAGCTTTGTTTTGAAAGCAAGGTCTCCTTTCTTCTAGGCAAAATCTCAAAAAGTTGTCAGGAGGATGGAAGGGACTATGAGTGGTGACTTCTCTCTCCAGTTAAATTCATTATAATAAAGAATAATTCAATAGAAGGATAATTCACTAAATTTTAGACAGGCAGAGTGAATAGATTGTGGCTGCCCTTTAATGTACATCACTGAAAGTGAAAAAGGGAGGACATAAAAGATAGTTTTTCAGAAAAGTATGTTACGGATAGGCATGTTTCTGGAAAATCTCTAAGGGGACACAAATGGAAAGTCCCTAGATTCAATTTGTGCAAGATGCTACGTGACTGTGACCCAGATGTAGAATGAGAGGGACTGCCTTGGTATGCTGTAGCAAAACATCAGATCCAGGACCCCAGGAAGTAGGTCTAGGGGCCATGGCTTACTGAGTAACACTTGCCTCACCTGCTGGCCTAAGATACTTCTGGGTGCTGATAAGAGTGGGAGGAGGGGCAGAAGTAAAAGTCTGGGAGCTCTTTTCAGGAGCTTCTTAGCTTTGGCCGATTCCTCACCCCTCACTACTGTCACCACCCTGGAAGCATCCCTGTGAGGAACAGAGAGGGGACACTGTGGATCCATATTTGTGCAGCTATATCTGTTGACTACACTAAGGATTCTCAACCCTGTCTGCCCATGGGGAATCACTTGGGTTAGTGATAAGATTTGCCAGTGTTTAGCCTCCTCCACCAAGTGGTTCTAATCTAAATGGTCGAGGGTGGGACCAGGCATCGATGTTTGTTAAATGTTTCCCCAAGTGATTCTACTGTGCAGCCAGGTCTGAGAAGCATGGGACTGTGCTCTTCTGATATCTTTTTATTTACTTGTTTTTAATACTCAATAATGTTTGTGAGTAGAAATGTTTGGTGTTTGTGAGTTTTAGTTCTGCTATTCCTCAAGCTCATTTCGGTCTCTCACAAGGCTTAAGATGGAGAAAGAGGCAAAGAGAGGGAGAGAGAATCATTGGAGGAAAAGTCTGAAACAGAATGAAAAATAAATGGGGAGATAAATTGAAAGGGAAATGCTGAATTCTTCACTTCAAACTCACTCCAGAATCTTTGAGCATAGGATCTAAAAGTTTGCAGTTTACACACTTCTCAGCTGAGTTTTATGCACACTTGAAGTTGGAAAGTTCTGATCTATTGGGAGATACATTAACAATACAATTAATGACAGAAAAAAAGGGATTGGTGCCAACTGGTGAAGGGTGATGGGACAGAGGGATCATTGTCAAGGAGATTCAGACTATGCAGAAGAATAGGCTGCTTGGATTTTGCACAAACAACCTATGAAATTGGGGGCTTTATGTGAAAATCAAAACCTAACTGCATCCACTTTTCAATGGCAAATGTACCTGAGTTGGGCATTTAGAATGAAATTTATCAGTGACACCAATCATTGGATTTAGAGTCCACCATAATCTGGTATGATTTCATCCTAATTTCATGAAATTTTCAAAGATCCTATTTCCAAAGGTTGAATTCACAGGTACCAAACTTAAGATTTTGTAGGGGCAGGAAAATGTGATAACTTTCCTCACCCATTATAAGGGTCATAGCTGACATTCCTTTAACAAAAGGCAGATTAACAACAAAAAAAATGCATAACAAATTCATTTAATCAAAGTTTTACACAACAAAAGAGACTTCTGAAATTATGACCAAAAGACCCAGGGAAAACTGTTTTTATGCTTAGTTTTGATGAAGAATGGACAGCCATGTAGAAATGTGATTGGGCAAAAGGGTATGATCTAATGGTAATAAACTGAGGTGGAGAACCTAGCAAGGCCCGTCCAGATTCTTCTCAGCCTCTCTGAATAGCATTCTCTTTCTACCCAGGTATGGGGCAGAACCCCTCTAGAATGAAAGTCTTCAAGGAAGAAAGGAGAAGAGAGAGACCTTTTTAGGTTTTATGGCTTGCTTTAGGAGAAAAGGGTTCCAGTTTTTATGACCCACCTTGGAGAAGAGAAATTCTAGTTTCTATGACTTGCTTCAGAGGTGAAAGAGAGGCTGTAAACAGGAGGGCAGGAGAAGGTCAGAGAGACCTTGCTTCTGAGGCCCTTCCAGTGTCCTAAAGTTTGAAGTACTCAGCATGCTGAAGTGCTATACTTCGGGTCTTCTTGTTCTGAGCTCCAACAACTTCAACATATCTGTGTGGGGGACACAATTCAACCTTTACTGACACTTTGTTCAAAGCTACCTTCGTTTTGCTTAAAGCTGTTTTTGCCCAGAAGACCAGCAGCAGCCACACCATCAAGACCCATTTTTTCCTACTTCTTCATTTACAGACCTATAAATGATTCTAGAGCTGTACTTCCACTTTGGCAAAAGTATAGCTAAGACAGAAGGGATGGTGACACAGCATCGCTTTCTCTATCACTAGACTGATATGCATTAAATTACACTGACAAGACAGATGCCCTGGGAGCAAAGGACCAGTGTGTAGAGAGAGAGAAAAACAAAAGTAGCAATCAAAGTACAGGTGAAGACAGTTCCTCATTTTAGAGCTTTTTCCTGCCCATATATTGGAATACTTATTTGACCATAAGAAGTTATTTGTCTTCACATCAGTTTGTTTTGTCCAAAGTACCTGAACATCAATGTAAGAAAGCACAGAATTCCAGAGAGACAGACAAAGTGGCCTCTTATGAACACTTTGATCTGTTTTTTTTTTTTCCTGTTAAATTGTTGTAAGAGAACTCCCCAAATCAAGTTTCAAGCTAATTGCTTTTAAGTCCTTGTAAATGCTCAAAACAAAGAAACATCTTTGCCGTTTGGTCAGTGACGAGGAATAGACTGAGTTCTTACTCGATGAGTTTTTATTTCCATTGGAAATTGCAGGCATAATGCATTTTAAGTAGACAGCTCTAATTCCTGGTTGTTAATGAAGACAATCTTTAGAATCAGGTTGGCAGAGTCCAGGATCAGGATCACAGGGATAAGGACATAGAGAGGAAAGAAGAAGTAGAGATAATAAGCAGGTAATAAGGAGGAATGATGTCAGGAGCAACAGATATCAAAATCAGAAGGGTTGGGGATGCTGAAGGCTCTAAATTGGATCAAGGCAGATAATCGTCACTGAGAATTCCTAGCATCTCCCAGACCTGCTTGGTCCTGGCAATATCTGCTCGAAGGTGGTTCCCGCAGCGTCAAAGTTTTACTGAAGCAGTTCATTGAAGGGAACTCTCACATGCACACTGTGGATTTTGTTTCCATATTTAAGGGAAGGGGCAAGGAGAGGGGAAAAAAGGCTTCAGGACTTTAGTTCCTTTGCTTTTTGCAGTCTAAGCACATTAGCTCCATACAAAGTGTAAAATTCTTCTGTTTCAGAATGAATGGATGCTATTTTATCACCTTCCAGCTCCATCCCACAGGTGTGAGTCCAGAGTTATTTTGTTTTCTCATTGATAAATGTTGTAAAGGAGGTTCCCTAGAGATGGGAGAAAATGAAAAGCATTTCACTGACTTGCTGAAGAGTGAAGGAAATCCAAACAGATTCTGATTCTGGCTATGGAGCCAATGTTATAAATGAAAGGAGCCATTTTACAAGGCAGCTTTTTCCCTCCCAGTGACAGGGCATATCAACCGCTAAGAAGTCTTCAGGGCCATTGCCTGGATCAGGGCCTCTGTGCTGATGGTGGTAGTGGGGCCCTCTGATATTGGCTTGGGAGCTATAGCAGCTGCCTGAGAAGAAGCTGCAACTTGGAATAGACTTGGAAGCCCCCAACACACTTGCTTCTGCAATTTATCCTGAGCCTATGTCAGGTGATTTCGCAGTCCTCAATTATAGCTTTGAGAGGCTACAGGGTAGGTTGTGCAGTGGATATACAGGGATGTGTGTGTGTGTGTGTGTGTATGTGTAAGCTGGTTTCTGAGGCCGACCCATGCTACTAGACAGAATTGCTTGACCCATATTCATCTATGATGTGGTTTGGATTTGTGTCCTGTGTACCTGCCCAAATCTCATGTCAAATTGGAGGAGGTGCCCAGTGGGAGGTGATTGAATCGTGAGGGTGGATTTCCCCCTTGCTGTTCTTGTGACAGTGAATGAGTTTTCATGAGATCTGATGGTTTAAAAGTGTGACACTTCTCCCTTTGCTGTCTCTCTCTCCTGCTACTATGTGAGGAAGGTCCTTGCTTCTCCTTCACCTTCCACCATGATTGTAAGTTTCCTGAGGCCTCCCAGTCATGCTTCTTGTTAAGCCTATGGAACTGTGAGTCAATTAAACCTATTTTCTTCATAAATTACCTAGTCTCAGGTAGTTCTTTATGGCAGGATAAAAGCAGACTAGAACCAGAAGAGAAAGCAGAAAACGTACCAGAAGAGTGAGGCACTGCTATAAAAATACCTAAAATTGTGGAATCGACTTTGCAACTGGGTAAGAAGCAGAGTTTGGAACAGTTTGGAGGGCTCAGAAGAAGACAGGATGATGTGGGAAAGTCTGGAACTTCCTAGAGACTTGTTGAATGGTTTTGATCAAAATGCTGGTAGTGATATAGACAATGAAATCTAGGCTGAGGTGGTCTCAGATGGAGATGAGGAACTTATTGGGAACTGGAGCAAAGGTCACGCTTGCTGTGCTTTAGCAAACAGACTGGCAGCATTGTGCTCCTGCTCCTGAGATCTGTGGAACATGGAACTTGAGAGAGATGATTTATGGCATCTGATAGAAGAAATTTCTAATGCATTGAAGTGTTCAAGATATGACCTGACTGCTCCTAACAGCATACAGTCATATGCATCCACAAAGAGATGATCTGAAATTGAAACTTATATTTAAAAGGGAAGCAGAGTGTAAAAGCTTGGAAAATGTGCAGCTCAACCATGTGGAAGAAAAGAAATTCAAGTCTGCTGCAGAAATTTGCATAAGTAACGAGGACCTGAATGTGAATAGCCAAGGCAATGGGGAAAATGTCCCCAGGGCATTTCAGAGACCTTTGCAGCAGCCCCTCCCATCACAGGCCTAGAGGCCCAGCAGGGAAAAATGGTTTAGTGGGTGAGACCCAGGGCCCAGCTGCTCTGTGCAGCCTTGGGACATTGTGCCCTGTTTCCCACCTACTCCAGCTCTGGCCATGGCTAAAATGGGCCAAGGTACAGCTTGGCCATGGCTTCAGAGGATGCAAGCCCCAGGCCTTGAGAGTTTACACGTGGTGTTGGGCCTGCAAATATTCAGAATGCAAGAAATGAGGTTTGGGAACCTCCACCTACATTTCAGAGGATGTATGCTAATATCTGGATATTCAGGCAGAAGTCTACAGCAGGGGCAGAGCCCTCATGGAGAACCTCTACTAGGGCAGCATGGACGGGCAATGTAGGGTTGGAGCCCCCACTGAGGCACTGTCTAGTGGAGCTGTGAGTAGAGGGCCACCATCCTCCAGATCCCAGAATGGTAGATCCACCAACAACTTGCACTATACACCTGGAAAAGCCACAGGCACTCAACTCTAGCCCGTGAAAGCAGCTGCAGGGGTCGTACCCTGCAGAGCCACAGGGGCAAAGCTGCCCAAGGCCTTGGGAGCCCACCTCTTGGATCAGCATGCCCTAAATTTAAGACATGGAATCAAAGAAGATTATTTTGGAGCTTTAAAATTTGATGACTGCCCTCTTGGGGTTTGGACCTGCATGGGGCCTGTCGCCCCTTTGTTTTAGCCAATTTCTCCTATTTGGAATGAAAGCATTTACCCAATGCCTGTACCCCCATTGTGTTTTGGAAGTAACTAATTTGTTTTTGATTTTACAGGCTCATAGGCCAAAGGAACTTACTTATCTCAGATGATACTTTGGACTGTGGACTTTTCAGTTAACGCTGAAATGAATTAAGACTGGGGGATTGTTGAGAAGGGTTAATTGTATTTTGCAATGTGAGAATGACATGAGATTTGGGAGAAGCTGGGGTGGAATGATATGGTTTGGATTTGTGCTCCTGCCCAAATCTCAAATTGGAGGAGTGGCCTGGTGGGAGGTGATTGGATTATAGGGGAGGATTTCCCCTTGCTGTTTTCATGATAGTAAGTAAGTTCTCATGATATCTGATGGTTTGAAAGTGTGTGACAGTTCCCCCTTTACTCTCTTTCTCCTGCTACCCTGTGAAGGAGCTCCTTGCTTCCCTTTCACCTTCTCCCATGATTGTAAGTTTACCGAGGCCTCCCTGTCATGCTTCCTGTTAAGCCTGCAGAACTTTGAGTCAATTAAACCTCTTTTCTTCATAGATTACTCAGTCTCACGTAGTGCTTTTTTTTTTTTTTTTGAGGCAGAGTCTCGCTCTGTAGCCCAGGCTGGAGTGCAGTGGCACGATCTCCGCTCACTGCAAGCTCCGCCTCCTGGGTTCATGCCATTCTCCTGCCTCAGCTTCTGGAGTAGCTGGGACTACAGGTGCCCGCCACCACACAGGCTAATTTTTTGCATTTTTAGTAGAGATGGGGTTCACCGTGTTAGCCAGGATGGTCTCGATCTCCTGACCTCATGATCCGCCTGCCTCGGCCTCCCAAAGTGCTGGGATTACAGGCGTGAGCCACTGCGCCCGGCCAGTCTCAGGTAGTTCTCTATGGCAATGTGAGAACAAACTAATACATTCTATGGCCTTAGGGTTGTGCATATAACTCTAGAATGTCATTATCTGCTCAAAATAAGAAGGAGAGTTGTTAAGCTATGCGGGAACAGGGGAAAATATAAAACTAAGTATACTTTACTTAAGTATACCTATATAGCTTATGGGATGAGTATACTCAAAAGTTTTAAGTTGCAACCATGTTGGCATTACTGGGCATTTTGTATATCTTGAGATTTAAGGGGTCCCAAGAAAAGCTCCTTCCCCAAACTTCTCCACCAGGGCTCCATAAAATTCTTACATCCTGCACTTCCTTGCAGAAGGGCAGAGATCCTTGATTAAGAGATGCAAGTTTACCAGTGTGTACTTTGTAGCTTACATGGCAGCTCTCCAAGCTGATTACCAGCAATATCTTCATTGCTGCACCATATCTCCTGGTTGAAAATGACAGGGGCAGGTCATGCAGGAACAGCATTGCCCTCTCTTTCACTTATATTGACCAGCTCCCTGTGAGCACCATTCCTTCAGGTTTCAATGAAATGAAAAGAAGCTTCTCCCACACTAGAAGGTTAGGGTACCCTGAGTTCAAGTATGTAGGTCACCTGCTAACTTGGAGTTTGGTACAAGACAGCTAAATCTTAGCATTCTTTCACATATTAGTGTAAATTTAGAAGGGACTTGACATAGGAGCAAGTAGACCTAGATTTGGACTGAAAAGGCCTGAATTTGAATCTCAGCTTTTCGTGTCATAGCTGTATGATGTGTGGCAAGTTACATAGCTTGTTTGAGGCTCATTTTCTTCATCTGTAAAAGTAGAGTCATAATATTTATCTTGCAGCATTGCTCTAAGGATGGAATGACATCTGCAGTTATGCTTGGTACTTAGTAGGGAGTTAATCTATGTTTATCTACTAAATAGATCATTACTTTATACTTTTCAAAATGCTTTTATATATATTATCCATTTGTTCTTCTAATACCCCAGTAAGGTAGACAAGGGTAATTAGGGCAGAACCAGGAGTAGAACCAAGAATTTCTGACTCCCAGTAGTAGCTCTGGTGCTTCCCAATAGTGTAAATTTAAAGGGAACAATGGAATAGCACATTCATCTACTTCGTTTGGACTTCAATGAGTTAGATTGAAACTGTCAGAGGGTGGTGAATGGACTTGTCATTTGAATAAAACACTCAGCTGTCTCTCCCTGTTTGGGAAATCAGTTTATTTGCTCCCAGGTATTGTGCTGTGTCTTATTGCAATTCAAAAAGTTTATTTCGGAACCTTAACACAGAAAGTTTTCCCCTTACAAGTCCCTAGAGGCCATCTGAAGAACCTAAGCAGTATGATTTGAAGTTCATGCTGTCCCTCTGAAGCAGCTGACACAGTAAGTGACTTACACATTGCCAGGTCATCTGGATTAGTTCACAGGTTTTCTTCAATCCCAAGATGGATGCATTTTTTTGTAGTTGATGTGCATTTGGAACAGTTCCTTTGAAAGGATGCTGGTCCTCTTCCTCAGTCCAGGAGGTTCAGAGATATACAGTTGCCTGGCTCCAATATGAATGGTTGTCCTTGCTAAAAATGGTTGTTCTCTTCCAATGCCAGAAGAGGTAGCCGGGAATAATGCTACTCTGTTTGTGATGTCTTATATGGGAGAAGCATACTCGTCCCAGGGAAAGTGCTCTTCTATTTTTGGATTCTAAGAATTTACGTTGAGTTCATGTGAGCACATGTGCATAAATTAATATGCCTTTGAATCCAGCTTTTGGGATATTTAGTTAATTGGAAATGAGGATTTCTCAGATAATGGCATAATGGCATCTCAAAAAAAGTTTAGTTTTGGTTTCTAAAGAGATTTTTATTTTAAAGACCACCTAGTAAAAGATCTCAACGTAAAATTTTGTTGTTCTCTTTAAATGGCTCTAAATAGTGCTGGAAGTGTTTAACTTGTTTCAAAGATTCTAATTTGAGCCTCAGACAGCTGCAGTGGTTATTAATATGAGCACAATGGTTGACATTTTGACAACAGCCCCTAGTTTTCGTTTACGCTTTCATACTAAATGTCCCTTTTGTGCACAGGGCGTAAAAACCATGGTCAGATGACTGACTTGGGAGACACGCCTGCACACTGATCAGCATCTGAGAGCCTTTTTTTTTTTCTTTTAAGAGAGTGATACTCTTTTAATAGAAAAATTGGTAGATTGCTTATTAGATTATAAATATTTAACACGCTATTAGTCTTTCTCCAGTGTAGTGAAAATTTAAGGAGAAGAAACTTATTAATAAAATTAGTGAGGAGTGGTGTGTTCTTAATGCATATTTACACTAAGTAAATTGGCATCTAAAAGTGTCATGGGAGATTGGCCTACAATTAGAACAAATAAGCAGTTCTTTGTCATTCAACTGAAACATTATTTAGAGGTGAACATTTTCAGTCAAAGTTATTTTTGCCTGCTTATTCTTTGTAATTTTCCAGAAACTAATGTTCTCTAAATGAAAAACAACAGAAAAAAAAATCCGATGGCATATTCTTTTCTTAGCTGTTTTTTTGAGTCTGTGCTGGATTCATGTGTATTTATATTTGGTCTGTGCATTTTTCTTGCAGAGCACCATTTTGCTTGGTTGAACTTTGTTTTATAAGTGTACAAAGGCTTAAATCATCCTGTGGGCATCTCTGCATGTGTCACATTCACCAGGCAACTTGTCTAACTCTGTGAATATGTTTCTTTTGAAGGACTTGGCTGATTCATTGTTTGAAGAAAAGCAAATAAACAACTTAAATACTGAAAAATGTATGAGTTAATATCTCTGACCTGGGCTGAGCCAAAGGCAGAATTATAAAGTATAAGCATTTCCCTATAGAGTGTGCTTTCACAATTCAAACTGACCATTTTACAAATTAATGATAATGAGATTGATGAATTAGGAAACACACCTTGCATCAACCAGCCTATCTTCCCTCCCAGAAGATAAGCTCCTGACGGTCACAGACTATCTCTGATTTTTTTTCATTTTGAATTTTCTGTGTCTGGTCCAGTGTCTGTCACATGAATGAATGAATGAATTCTTATAGGACTTAAATACTTATATACAGCTTAAATATGAGTTGTTTAATTTAATCCTCACTACTAATATGTAATGTGGATATTCTTATTATCGTCATTTTACAAATAAAGAAATTTAAGTTCAGGTTGCAATGATTACGCAATGTTATCCAGCTAGGGAAGAGCAAAGGAGAATCATTAACCTTTATCTTTTCACTCCAAAGTCCAGACTTCTAAATCTGATTTCTGTCACACAGCTCCTGGATTCTGCCATTGTAGCTTGAAAATAGCCACAGAGTGCATATAAACAAATGGGCACGTATGTATTCCAGTGAAACTTGATTTATACCACAGGTGGGCCTGATTTGGCACACTGGCTGTAGTTTTCAGTCCTTAATATAAGTTCTAGTCCAGGCTATATTATTAAAAATGGCAATAATAAGATAATAAAAATACCAATAGCTAACACTTATTAAGCGATTCAGGAAATATATTTGCTTCCTCCAACTTATCTCATTTAATAAACCGAATCACAGAATAGTTATGTCACTCAAGGTCATTGAGCTATTGCTTGTAAAGTTAGATTTAAGCCCAGGTCTGCTGACTTAGGCATTCCCTCGAGGCCTTAGAATTATGACAGGAAACTCCTGCTGTCACCAAAATCGGACAACAGAGCTGCAGGATCTAAAATAAGTGACTTTGGGTGGGTGGACCCTTGTTATAGTTAGTCATTCCGTCATCTTTGATGACATGAAATCCAGAAAAATGGGGAAACATGACCCTTGTGTTCCCACAGGTTGGAGCGTGGGGATGTTAGCTGCCTAGTACAAGCCCATCACTGCATGATGTACCCTCAATGACACAGGACTCTGGAGACAGGAGGCTCTGGGGGGAAGTCTGTTGCCCCTCTTGGCATTTATACCTGCTCTCTCTAGGCCATTATTGCTTTCTAATATGCAATGTAAATATTTTCCTGCTTTTGAATCTCTAATAAAGAATGTATTTAAATAGAATTATGCAAAAATCACACAAGCCAGAGTTACAAACATTATATCAGACAGAATAAGATACCATTTCCATCTCATTCTGCCTCACCTTCAGGGAGTGTATGTTTGGTGCCAGCAACAATCCCATTCAGCAGGCAAGGCAAGCAGGCAGAGTTTTTCTGGACTGGTCATGTGTATTACCCTCATGGTGCTTCAGAAGGATGCTGTCACTGAGGCTACAGTACTAGAATCCTGGCCTCAGGAATGTGGCTTGGTGGCAAAGTGATCATTTTAGACAGGCATGACTGATTTTTTCAATGAAATAATGGTCTGTATTCAAAGCTTCCCTTAACATAGAGAAAGTATACAGATTAATTTCCAACATTACAAGAATCAAATCAGCTTCCTCTGATTTTCTTCCATTGGCAAACCTTGTTGCTTGCTCCACAGACTCCATAGGGAAGACAACATCCTGAGACCTTAGGATCTTCAGGTTGCCTTCATTGCTGTTGGGATAAGCCATAGCTGTGTAAAATATGGTACTATGAGAAGGGGGAGAAAGTGAAAGAAAGATAAGGAAGGATGAGCAAAATAACACCTTTGACTAGTTTATAAAAAGAAGTGGTGGGGAGAGGGGAAAATTGGAGCTGGTATTCAATGGTATAGAGTTTCAGTTTTGCAAGATGAAACGTTCTAGAGATCTGTTGCACGACAATGCTAATATATTGCTATTTAACAATACTGAACTGTACACTTAAAAATGGTTAAGATGGTAAATTTTATGTTGTGTGTTCTTTACCACAATTTCAAAAAAGAAGACTAAGAAGTGTTCAAATGCCAGTTTCATGACTATCTGTGTGAGACTGAGGATACTTAGGAGCCTAGTTTTCCTCACTGGTAAAATCGGGGTTATGATTCCTAACTCATTACATAAGGTTAAATGAGATGTAGTACATACAGTGTCAACAGTACTTCCTACTAGTAGAATCTCAATAAAAGCTAGTGCTCTTTTCCCTATCACTCTTCCCCAACACTTTGCCCATTGCTTAGGTAGCAGATTTTATCTTCTTATGGGATATTTTTCCAGGAAGATTAAAAATACTCTGGGTAGTACCTAGTTCTGGGTGCTGAGAGGAGTAGTGACGGAATGTCAAGAGTGCCCCCATGTAGGCTTCTGGGTGAGGAGACAAGAAAGGAAGTGTGTGAGCATACAGTAACATACACACACAATCACACACTCACACAAATCAATTAAGCAGAGTGCAAGACAGGTACATTAACAATTACTAAACCCAGAACCTTAGACAATCAGTACTCCAGATGTTTACAGAAGTGAGAGAGCAGAGTAAGCTGGATCAGTGCTTTTCAAACTTGAAAGTGCAATCAAATTCCCTGGGGAGCTTGTTAGAATGCAGATTCTGATTTCGTAGATCTGGGGGTGGGGCCCGAGATTCTGTATTTCTAATAGGTTTCTGGTCTACTTTGTTTATTCATGCATTTATGAATTCACTATTGACTCTGTCATGTGCCATGTATTTTACTATAAAGGAGGAATAAAACAATGATGAAAATATAGCCTTTCTTTCAAAAAAGATAACAGACAGGTAAAGTAAAGATTAAAATACAGAATGGTAAGTGGTAGAAATATTCCCAGGGTTCTATCGGAGCCCAGAGGCATGAGATACAGATTGAATGCTTCATGACGACTGGATAGGAGTTTAAGGGCAGTTCAATAGCATGCCCTTCAATAGGATGGGAGTGTTCAATAGCATTTTTAAGATTGTCGTGATAGGACCAAAGCAAAGGGTCTGGGAAGAAGAGTGGAGAGAGAGAAAGAGCTGGACAGTGGTCAGCGGCCAAGTTGTAAAGATTCTTGTGTGCCAAGCCAAGGTGTTGACACAACATTCTGAAAGCTAAAGTGACCTGTGCAAGGAAATCCAGAGGGAGCTCAGAGGGTCCCATCTCAAGATGGTGTGTTCTCAGCCTTGATCTTTCTATAAGTGACTATACCAGCTCCTGTCTAGGACCTAAGCTCTTGACAATGTTTTACCTGATTGAGTGTCCACCTCTTTCTTCTACCCCAAACATGTGAGCCACATTTCTTCTACTCTATGGTTTTCTTTAGAAGAGGTTAGTAATGCACAATGAAACAAAACTAATTTGTCCAAAGCAGAGCCCTTCAGAAGTTAAGAGAAGTTCCAGCAACCTTGAGTATTCGAGTCTCCTGGTTTATTTAAAAAATAAAACAGGCCAGAATAAAGTGATGACATTTACAGAATATTTTAAATATTTTCATTAAATAAATGAAAACTTTTGTCACAGTAAGTATGTTGCAAGAGAGTGTTATTTTAAAGATAATTATCATTTTATAAACATTAAAGTACATTAGAACCAGAATGGGGCATAAGATTAATGCCTGCTTTTAATTCTGTATCTTCGTGGTTTTATATATATAACCTAATTTGAAAGCAAGAAAAGTGAAAAGGTGAAGACTTTTGTAAATGTGAGGCTGGCTGTAACCGTCTCTGCCCCTTTTCTCCCTCCCTACCTACCTAACAGTCCCTGATCTAGGAATTTTGGAGATTCTGTTTTTCTTTTCTAATTATTGGAGAAAGCACTACAATGCACAGAGCACTAGATTTCATAGAGAAAAGCAATTGAAGGGTAGGCAAGGTGACCAAGTACCAAATATCAGTGACTTTTAAAGACCACCTTGAGAGCCAAAGAACCCGCTGTGTTGCTCCAACCTGATGCCAACATGGACACATGCAGCAGAATGACAAAAACCACCGCAGAGGAAACAGGCATGTCAGCAAGTAAGAGACAGACTGGCGAGTCCTCTATTATCACCCCTCTTTTTTTTGTTGGCTTAGTGGAAGATTTCCTGATTTGAAAAGACAAGTTTATTTTTGAGACAATGAAACACAAATGAATGTGCAAAGAAAAGGCATATCTGGCTAGGCACGGTGGCTCACGCCTATAATTCCAGCACTTTGGGAGGCTGAGGTGGGCGGATTATGAGCTCAAGAGATCAAGACCATCCTGGCCAACATGGTGAAACCCCATCTTTACTAAAAATACAAAAATTAGCTGGGCGTGGTGGCGCATGCCTGTAGTCCCAGCTACTCATGAGGCTGAGGCAGGAGAATCACTTGAACCCGGGAGGCGGAGGTTGCATGCAATGAGCCGAGATTGCACCACTGTACTCCAGCCTGGCGACAGAACGAGACTCCGTCTCAAAAAAAAAAAAAAAAAAAAAAAAAAAAAAAAAAAAAGAAAAGAAAAAAGCATATCTGCCAGCCAAGAATCAGTTTTCAGCTTAAAACACAATAATACAGACCAAATTTAGCTCCTGTTCCCTGAACCAGTGGCAAAAGCAGCTAGTGCACGTGCCCAGGAAGCCACATGCAGCATGTTTATCCCACTATCCAGCTCTGTGGTGCTTTACTGGTTCTACACGTTAGGATTACAGATCCTTGTAGGAATAGCTTCTGCGCTTTAATGATTTCTTAAGAAAAAATAAAACAAGATCTAGATCATAGACTCCCATCAGAGAGCTTACTGGGAGAAAGAGCTGTATCGTGAATTATGAAGATTAAAGGGGCATCCAACAAGGGGAAAAATTAAACTATTATCTCGTTACTTTGGTAAATTAAAATTGCCAGGCCTAGGCAAAGATCTGACTGGCCAGAGTGAATTTTGGAGTGAAATTTTATGGTTATGTCTTTTAAAAGCCATGTAAATCAGCAAGCGTAAAGCTGACAGGACCTTGCAGGCTTCAGCAAGAACACACTGTCCCTCTCATTTATTTAAAAGAATGCTGCCCCTGCTCAAAGGCCTGCAGTGAGCCATGCCAATGTGGTTTGGCTGGACTGTGAGTGCTTGATGCAGTCTGATAGGAGGATGGGGGTGGCGCAGAGAACATTGAAATCAGAAAGGATTCTGCTCTGTAGAGACAAAGGAAACACAGAGACATAGACATGGATCTGGGAAATACACCTTTTGCTACTCGTTCAGTTTTAGCAAGGAGGTTTCTTGCATGGCTAAGCAAAACTTAAACTTCCTCTGAGAATTACAGGAATTACAGGACCTGACAAAGCTATGAAGATTAAAGTAAGTTAAATTGACTACTTTGACCAGTCTATGATTAAATGCCCTATATAGGATGTAGAGACAGGTGTCTGGTTCAGAAGAGGAAGGGAAGATTGGAAACTGGTTGGAGTAAGAACTGAGCCTGTGGACTATGAGAATGTCAGAGCAGAAAGGGCTTTAGAGTGAATCTGGATACCCTCATTTATATAGATGTGGCAATGGAAGGAGACCCCAGGTGATTTTCTTAGGGTCACACGGTGATACCTTGTTGTGATGAATATATACAGCTAGTAGAACTTTTGATTAATGTGAGTGCGGCAGATTTATTGCAACAGGGGCTCCAATTCTTTTCTTCTCTCTATCCAAGCACCATGGGATGTAACTTTGTAGCTCCTCCCATCAAGAAGTCTACTCAAGAGGTCTCATTGAGGTCTACTTCCTGTACCTCCAAACCTGGGTTGGCTTTGAGACTTGCTTTGGTTAGTAGAATGCAGCAGATGTGATGCTATGCAGTCCCAGGCCTACGCCTCAAAAGCTGTGCTTGCTTCTGCTCCTTCTCTTGACCTTTGCCTCTATTAGCCCTGACTAGCCTGCTGAAGGGACAGAGACCACAGGCACAGAGCTGAGGTGTGCCAGCTGAGGCCATCTGAAACATGGGAGAGAGAGATGGCTATGGTCAAAGAAATGCTCAGCCAGGCCTGACCAAGATCAACAGAACCCACCAGCTAACTGTGAATGTGAGAACAGTAAGAATGGCTGCTGTTTTAAGCCTCTTAAGTTTTGGAGGTGGTTGTTTGCAACATTCTTGTGGCAACACTTGGCTAGTCAGTGGTGCTATAATGAGAGGTTGGTCACTGAGAGGAGAAAGAGGGAGCAGGATAATCCCTGGCATGGTAGGTCTTGCAGTTTCCATCATGGAGTATGGTGGCCAATTTAAGAAAGAAACTGTCCTGGAAACAGATCCCAGAAAAATCTCCTCACTGTGATTGTGGCATTGTGCTGTCTAAATGCCAGACAATCCTGAAGGGTTTGTATCATCACTTCCTAAATTAGAAATGATCCTAGGGCTCTTCCAATTCTGATTTTATAGAAAAGGAAGCAGAGGCTGCGCAGTGTTAAGGCAAGACTAGCTGCTTAAGTTAATGGGCCCAACACAAAACAAAACTGTGGAGTCCCTTGTTAAAAAATTACTAAGATGGTGACAGCAGGGCCTTAAACTAAGCACAAAGCCCTTTTAAGTATGGGACTCTGTGAGACCGCACAGATCTTATGCCCATGAAGCTGACCCAGATTTAGGCAATTTGTCCAAGGACATCACTTCGGAAGATTCATCCATCAGGCTATTCTTTACCCAAAAATGTAACTTGGTATATTTGTTAACTGCTAGTTCAAGAAGCAGGGCAGGAACCTAAGGCCTCTAGTTCCCACTCCAGTGATTCTTCTTTTTTTTTGTTTTTGACAGACCTATAGGAAGAAAATCTGAACCAGAAACAGTATGGCAGAATTGGGATCTGACTCACAGAGGGAAGAACTTATAATTCTTCACAGGTCACATAGAAGCATGAGAATTTGGGTTCAAGCAAGTAAATTCTAAATCAGAATCCATACATAAAGTGTTTGCAATGTCCAGTTATATCTCCATGATATTTTCTTTGTGGAAGTTGATTGTTCTTCCTTACAATAAATTGCTTGAATTGTCTGTCTATTCATTTAGCTATTTCTTTTCTTGTCTTTGCGATATTTTTTTTTGTAAGTAAAAAATTTTCAGACTAAATAACAGGGTGTAATTTTTTGCTTTGTTTCTCCTAAGTTTTGTCTTGTTTATGACATTAATAATTTTCTAAAATCTCTGATTTCTTTTCTGTAGAATGCTTGAAAAATGACAGCTCAATATGCACATTACCCCATCCCTAACCACCTTCGTCACTACTTTGAATACTCTTCTCTCACCCGACACTGCAGTTAAATATGATTGGAATCCTTGTTTCTATAGTAAACCAGTCTACTTTATTTTATGGATGATTAATTTAAAAAATTAAACTCTGGGCTTCCTTCAGGTTTTCTAAGGTTTTTCCCACTGGCTTATAATGGAAAATTCAAAAAGGGCCTCTCAGGTAACAGAGACAAGTTTGTAGATTTAAAAAAAAATTCCTTTAGAAAAGACAAGGTTTCTGTGACCTCCTTTTTGTGAGACAATGAAAGTGACAAGACAAGATCTTAAATAATAAAGTTAAAGCCATCAGTAAAGGCAAAAGTCAAAGATGTGAAACATCTGTGAGAACACACGTAAAAGCTAGTGGGGATATCTCGAGGAACAGAGCTCAGTTTTGCATCAAAGTTCAGGCCAACTGAACACCAAGGCTTGATGGCAGCCAGAGTCTTGCTGTGTAGAGTCTGGTTGCTTTCTGAATGGACACGGATTCTTGCTTTGAAGATTACTTGTTAACTCACCAAACACACCCAGCCCAGCTACCTGCATCATTCCTTTGTCAAGGTTCCCACCTACCTGGCCCAGCTGCAGGTGAAGGCCAGATTCTCAGGGTATTTTACCCATCCCCACTTCTTCTCTTTTAAAAATCACTATTCTGAATTTACAGTTGGCCAATGACCTCTAACTGGATTAATAAAATGTCTAATTTAGTTTGGAACATTGAGCTTCTGTTTCACTTTGGCTTGTTCAGGTTTTTATTAAATCAGAATAAATTTTCATAGTCCCCATGGAAATGCCAGCCTTCTCCATTAAGTTGGCAAAACATTTCCATTTCCAAAGAAGTATTAAAACCTGTTTCCGGCCAGGCATGGTGGCTCACGCCTGTAATCCCAGCACTTTGGAAGGCCAAGGCGGGCAGATCACAAGGTCAGGATATCAAGACCATCCTGGCCAACACGGTGAAACCCCATCTCTACTAAAAATACAAAAAATTAGCTAGGCATGGTGGCACGTGCCTGTAATCCCAGCTACTAGGGAGGCCGAGGCAGGAGAATCGCTTGAACCAGGGAGGCAGAGGTTGCAGTTAGCCAAGATTACAGCACTGCACTCCAGCCTGGCGACAGAACGAGACTCTGTCTCAAACCACCACCCCACCCCACCCCCCCAAAAAAAACCCCTGTTTCCAGAGAAGGTCCTGTATTGGTCAGGACTGGTCAAATAAACATGGGTCATAATAATCATGACGTCCTGTCCTGGTTTTTATCTTTTGGGTATGGTTTGTCTTTTGCTACTTGGTGTTTCTACCCAATCTATTTCATATCTGTTTCCCGCGTTTCTCTTGTATATTTCAGCCCAAACACCAAAGCTGTGATCCATTTTTAGTTTCCAAGGTCACATTGGCACAGAAATCTTTCTGCAGGCATCCCTTGAGGAAAACACCAAACTACAACTTTCTGCCCTTAAGCTAAAGGCTGTATAAGCCTCTAGCTTCTTGCCTTCTGTTCAGCTGGGGATTTTTCTCTTCCTTTTTTATTCACTCTTTTTCCATTTCCTTCTCTTGGCACCAGGTACCCCAGATTCCTTTCTCTTGCTCTCTCCTGCTTTCTTTCATTTGACCCTGAAAGCCAAAATGCTGATAAGCTCCCTTCCTTTGCCTCATTAAAAAATTGCCATAAAATTTATAGCTGACTTAGGCCAACCATCGCTGATCTTCTTGATTTAGTTACTGCCAAGAAGTGTTTTATGATCATCCACTGACTTATTTACAACAAACCCAATGAAGTCCTTGGTATTAGGAGCCTGTATAGATATTACTTGTTTGGAAAATAGGGTGGGTACTTAGGTACTTGAATTTCTCTGTGTAGGCTGGGGTGGTTTGGGTTGTTTTGCTTATGCATTTCATATGGAAAGGCATAATCCCAAGCCTTCATATGTAATAACATGGACTCATTGTGCTGCTGTGTGGCAAATGTATACAGCCCTGAGACAGCACAGGAAATTTTCCAATACTTCTCTAAGCATTAGTTTCAGGAGGCCATTTGTGAGGCTGGTAAGAGAAAACAAATTGTGTTGGTCATAATAAAATTGTCCGTTGGTGGAAACTGTTTGAATACCTCAACGTAATGAGGTTAATTGATTATACAAAAGTGATTTAGAGGCTGATGTAATAACCACCTGTTTTGAGTCTGCTATTTGAAAGACGGGTCAGGGCAGGAATAAATTAAATGTTTGCAACATTTGAATTGTGTTGATTGTTCAGTTGTGTATTTAGAATATGTGAAAGGGATCTGTTCCCCCTGTAATCCCTGATGCTGTTGTTGGTCACAACATAAATTTAAGGTGTTCAATAGTACCAAAGCTCTTTAACGGGTGAGGCTTTGTCCTGAGTAAAACAGTGTAATTACCTGGAACAGATCCATAAAGAAGAGTTGTAATGCATGTTTCCAAAGAGAAATCCTGACTGTATTTTTTGGAAAGTGAACCCTAAAACAATGGTGCCAGGAATTACTCGAACACTTCATTGTCATAGAAGAAATCTGATGTCTGAGGAACAGTTGTAATAATCTGCCTTCTCTGTTTGCTTCCCCCAACCTGGCTAAGGATTGACTTAGGGTCTGGGGTGGTGGCAATAAAGATTAAGTGTCTGCAACTGCACTACTGATTACTATATGTTCCTTTGCTGAGGCCACTGCTATTTTCTAAAGAGTTGCTAGTGGAGAAGAGCCTGGTGATGAAGGTAGAAAAATAAAGACTCACTTCTTTAAGTTTAAAGTGTACTTCACCCAATAAATACAGAAGCCAGAAAAAGGAGTGATCATAGCAGGCAAATCTGACACAGCACTGTTAGAGAAGTGCCACTTGGTAAGTCAGGAACTGTGGTTGCATAAACTATGTATAAACCGAGGCCCCACATGACCTAGCCTCTACATAATGCTCCATGAAAAAGCACAGTCAAGAAACCAGTCATTACAACTGAAACCTGCTCTTTACTTTGATCTCTTAAAGATTGTGATAGTAGATCCATTTATAATCCATGGTAAAACACCTTTCAAAACTTTTTTTTTTTTTTTTTTAGAGACAGGGTCTCACTCTGTTGCCCAGGCTGGAGTGCAGTGGCATGATCATAGCTCACTGCAACTGCAAACTCTTGGCTTCAAGCAATCCTCCCACCTCAGCCTCTGAAAGTGCTGAGATTACAGGCATGTGCCACCATGCCCTGGCTCCCAAACTGCCTTTGCTTCCTTTCTTGTTTCTCAGACTCCAAAGCTGCTCCAGAGACTCTCACATGCCAAATCCTAAAACACTTTCTCACAGAACATGTGGCCCATGTGGGCTTTTGTTCTTCACCCAACTTCTTCAGTTTGCAGGTCTACTCTACCTGGCTGTTTTTGTTTGGTTTTGCTTTGTTTTTTCTGTCCTTTTGTTTGTTTTCTTTAACGTGGTCTGCCTATTCTTACAAAAAGCTTAGGAATTAGTTTGGCAAAATTCTCTTAGAGGGCAAGGCAGGGACAAATGAAGAATCTGAGTAGATAAAGACAAAGTCCTCTTATTAGGGGGAGTTGGGTCAGGAGTCTCAAATTACTGCCATGTTAAGATGTTTTGTCCCTTAATACTGTCACAATTAATAGTAAAAGTCAACATTTATTAGTAGTTAATATGTTGCATTCATTTTTCTAAGTGTTTTTACATAAATTATGTCATAACTAATTTTATCTCGCAAATTTGTAATATCACCATATGAATAAGGAAAGTGTAGTTTACAGAAGTTGAGTGATTTGCCCAAGGTTACAGGGCTGGATAATGGCAGAAGTAGGACTTCCCAGCCTCAGTCTCCTTCCAAAGCCCACTTTTATTTTATTTTATTTTATTTTTTTTGAGACAGTCTTCCTCTGTCACCCAGGCTGGAGTGCAATGGCACGATCTTGGCTTACTGCAACCTCTGCCCCCCTGGTTTAAGAAATTCTCCTGCCTCAGCCACCTGAGTAGCTGGGATTACAGGTTTGCACCACCACACCTGGTTAATTTTTGTATTTTTAGTAGAGACGGGGCTTCAGCATGTTGGCCAGGCTGGTCTCAAACTCCTGGCCTCAAGCAATCCTCCCGCCCCCACCTCCCGAAGTGCTGGGATTACAGGTGTGAGCCACTGTGCCCGACCTCAAAGACCACATTCTTAATCATCATAACTTTTAGGTATCAGCATTCTCCAGTGGCTGAGGTTACACTGAGAATAAAGTGATCATTGAAACACACTAATACTGTTCAGATATAAGAAATATAATTGTCTCTATCCTTTCATAATACTTTCTTTTTACATAATTTTTCAGCTAAATGTACCATTTTTGACCCATATCTGTAATGACATACGGATTACCAAATGTTAGACACTTGTCTACAAATTAGTACTGAAATTTTCCAACTATAAATGCTTGTGATTTGGAGGGGAAATTCAATTTTTAAATTTCTCTCTCTTTTTTTTTTATTATTTACTGTTTTGCACACAAAAGATCAGAGGAAATTCTATGGTTCACAGTTATAATTTTGAGACTGTTTCTTCATCTCCACTCTGTCTCATCTGTGAAGCTGGAGGGAGGAAGGATTTAGGAGAGAGATTAGGAGCTCGTCAGAGCATGACAGTCATGAGTGGTACCCAGAGTGTGGGAATGACCTCTAAACACAGTTGCCAGCTCTACTGTCAAAAATATCACCTCAAAAAATTATCTTTGCATAAATTTCTACTTTTTGAACAAATTTCCCTTTTGGTATAAATGTTTCCTGCTATCTTTGTATCCTGATTGAAAGTGAAATGCTATGCCTCTGAGGAGATTCATCATTACCCTTTGGAAGATAGGCCCTAAATCACACTTCCCACTTTTCTCTTTTTGGCATATGCCTTCAACCTGGAGTGTATGTCTTGAGTCACTTTCGTTTTCAGCATCTGGAAGCTGTGTTAAGTCACCATCTTCAAGTCTCCTGACTCATAAATCACGTGTCAACTCCCTTGGCTGCTGGTCAGTTCAATTTCTGTTAAAATTTGAGCTTGAGTTAGTTATTTGAAGGACATGGAAACAGAGCAAAAAAAAGAGGCAGAATGCAGGGCTGTGACCTAACATCTGGAGACCTTGGCCTTCTGGGTTAAAACAAACACTGGAGCTACAAAAGAATCATTCTGTCACCTGACCCCAATTCCTTGACCTTGTTACAGAAAAGGTTTATGTAATTATTGCAAGACATCTACATATCCCTACATAGATGGAAAACAATAATACATCTTATACATACATATACTATTCATTTTTCACATGTAAGTAGGTGTTGTAATCAATATGACACAAATGGTTTTAATAACATTAAATTTATTTGACAGTATGTATTTTCTTATTCAATATGTAAATATAGGCAAGAGATTTTACTACTATCATGAGACATTTATGAATTCTTAGAAAGGAATTCTCACTTTTTAAAAACAATTGGGAATTGCTAATGTAAATAATGATGGTTCCTTGTGGTCAGCAAAATGGAAAGAAACATGGAAGGGGTCGGAAATATGAAGGCACTTACACACACACACACACACGCACACAAAAGCTATCAATTTCTGTCAGAAAATTGGCTGACGCATCCTTGCTTTACCTTGGAGCTATGGGAGGTAGCTCTTGATTTAGCTGCTTAATTTAGCATGGGTGTTAAAGAACCCTGTGTCAGCAAACTCACAGGAAGAACTTGTCATTTCTATTGGTATTCTGTCTAAGCTTCAAAATGGCATGACACTCAGGTGCCCTAGTGTATCATAGTCTTTGATATTTTCCTGAGGAGAAATCATAGATGATTATGAGTCAATGTGTAAAGAGATAAATAAAGGGCTATCTTCAATTGTGCAACTTCTGCTTCTAGTTAATAATTAAAATGGAGTATCCAAAAAGCCCAGTGGGTAAGTTGTTTAGTTGGTTTTCAACAGTCCCAAGTCCATCTCTCCTTCTTCTGGTAACAGGACCTCAATTTTCCTTTAGAGAATTGTCCATACCCATACTAGGCACATGGCCCAGAGCTAGTCCCCAAATTGCTGCTTGAATTATTGGGAAGGAAGTGAACTCCTCCAGATGAGGTTTTGAAACTGGTTAAAAGTAAGTTTGGCTTGTGATCACTTTCGCCATCACTGGGGAGAGCCTGCCTAAGAATAAGTCAGCACAGGGGACAGCTGCCCAGCAAATAGAGAGAGTCCAAAGAAACCATTGAACATCTGATCTAAATATTCCTGAGTCTAACTTTTGAGTTATGTGAGTCAATCAAATTTCGTTTGTTGCTTACAGGTTTGAGTTGGGGTGTTGTTACTGGCACCATTAAAAAAGCCTAACTGGCCATGCGCGGTGGCTCACACTTTTAATCCCAGCACTTTGGGAGGCGGAGGCAGGTGGATCCTGTGGTCAGGAGTTCGAGACCAGCCTAGGCAACATGGCGAAACCCGTCTCTACTAAAAATACAAAAATTAGCCAGGTGTGGTGGCATGTGCCTATGGTCTCAGTTACTTGGGAGGCCGAGGCAGGAGAATTGCTTGAGCCTGAGAGGCAGAGGTTGCAGTGAGCTGAGATTGCGCCACTGCACTCCAGCCTGGGTGACAGAGTGAGACCGTGTCTCAAAAAACAAAAACAAACAAAAACCTAATTAATACAAAGTTGTTCTTTTGTCCCTCAGCCTTCAGTGGAATTTACCAACATCTTTGCATTGTTTCTTTCCACATTCCGCCCTCTCACAGCAGAACTGCCCCAGCCTTACTTTCTTATGGACCCTCCCAGTGTGTAGCAGGACATTTTCTGGACATTTTCTCTTGCAAACCAGCTGACTTTTAGGCACAAGGCAGTCTCAGCTGCCGAGCATGTCCAAGAAAAGGTGGGGATCAGAAGAGACCCTGTGATTCTCCTGGGGAACTTGGCTCCCAGGCAGCACTGAAAAGTCATCTCAGACCAGAGTGTTCTAAAATGCAAACAAGCTTTCTTTTCAACTGGCAATAAACAGTGCTTGATGCACTGCAGTATACAGGGGTTGCCAATTTTTTGATAGAGCAGCCCAGTAGCCCAGCTGAGGATTCTGAGAAGAGGGAGGATTGTAATAGTGTTGTTTTGTGGAGATGGGGTCTTTTGATGATGACCCTGTGATTTCGCTTCAATTCCCTTTTTTCTGTGCTTTTTGTCATTCTTGTTTTCCCGGCTGTGTTCCTTTCCATTATCACTCTTTTCTTTGTCTGAAATTGGACCCATAGAAATTAGCCTGTAATCAGGGGACATGAGAATCCCTAAATTGCTCTCATTTTGATTTTCTACTTTGTTAATATTTCAGTATATGAAACACCAATGAGACATTTGAGATCACTGGCCCTTCAACTTAGTCATGCTACTATCTAACCTGCTGCATGGAAAATTTGAGTATGCATCATAGCATCTAAAATCGACATTTCTAAATCTGTTTGTGGTACATTATGTAGAAAATTACTTCAGTCTCACTAGTACTTGAGAAACCTTCATCGTACATCATTCCAACATCCCAGAAAAAGAAGCACGTGGGAAGATTTGTATATAAGGGAAATAGGGGAACAGCAATACAGTATTGCAACCCATTGATAAAGATGAAACTGACTTCCTTAGCTTAATTGGACTTGACTCATCCTTGATTTTTGTGTTTCTTTGTGCTGCTTAATATATAACCAAATATATATAACTGAATGAGGTAGCTGTTCCTCAGTGAACTTTGCATAAGAGTTAAAAAAAAAGCCTGAAATTAAAGTCTTTATAACAAAATGAAATCCCCCCCGAAGTATAGGCAGAAACTTTCAGTAAGTTTTTTAAAATAACACTTCAAGTATATTGAGCACATCCTATGTGCCAAGCATTTTATTATACATGTGTTACCTCATTTGGTCTCAGTACCTGAGACAGGAACAATGAGTCCCCTCAGTTTTCCTTTTTTTTTTTTCCTTTCTTTCTTCTTCTTCTTTTTCGTTTTATTTTATTTATTTTTAGTGATGGAAGCTTGCTTTGTTGCCCAGGCTGGAGTGCAGTGGCTATTCACAGGCATGATCATAGCATACTGCAGCCTCGAACTTCTGGCTTCAAGCTCCTCCCACTTCAGCCTCCTGAATAGTTGGGACGATAGTCACATGCCGTCTCACCCAGCTTTACTCATTTTATAAGTGAAAAAACTGAGGGCCACAGAGACCAAACAACCTATTCAGAGCCAAGAGCAAGGTCTGTCTCAATCCAGAGACCAAGCTTCTAAAAGTTACAGAGATATGGGGAAGAGGGAAGGAAAAAATTCCACATTCTCTTATTATTTTATGGATTTTTAAAGAACCCCTAAAGTGAAGAGTTGGTGAGAGAGAGAACAAGGCAAGGCCACTTCCTATTTGCTGGTTTCAGGCCATTCAGGGGCAATGGGCCAGGAGAAAATAAATAAACAAAGACTGGGTCTTGGGGCTTGGATGCCCTAAGGTGAGCACCTTTGCAGCAATTTGTGGTTAGCAGTGGCATCCTTACTGATGGCTTGACAATACCTGGAGCCAAAGACATCCTGGACTCTCTCCAGCTCCCTCATACCCTATACTCCAACCATGATGGATTTTCAGTACCTGGGGCTTAGTCTTCTTTCTTTCACTTATAGGCCTTTAGACATTCTTTCCTTCTACTCAGCATATTTACTCATCTCCTTTTCCCCTTCCCCAGGATAAATCTTGCTCAGCCTTCAAATCCAAGTTTAAAAGATTTTTTTCTCCTTGAAGCTCTTATGCTACCCTTGAACTAATTCGACTTTTTTTTTGGTACATTCATCTATGGTATTGTTTTGCTTTTACCCTATGTACTAAGTTCTAAGATCCTACAGAACCCATTGCATACTCTGGTGGAGAACTTACAGCATTATTTATATTGCATGTTTAATGTCTGGTTTCCTCCCTGGGTTGGAAGTTCTTTGAGGCAAGAACTGTGTTTTTTGTTTGCCATTTAATTTCCTGTGCCTAATTTAATATCTGGGACATAGTATGCACTTAATAATTATTAAATAAGCCAATAAATAAATGAATGAAATAGCTCAAATTAAAGTCACTGTCGCTGAATATTAGAATGGAATAATAACCAGTTATCAAAGTAAATGTGACCTGGTGAAACTAAAAATGACAACAGTGACATTATGCTTGGCTTTAAGGATAAAACTGTGACATACTGCTTGGAAAAGGAAGATAACTATTTTGGATAACCTATAATTTAGAGAGAGTATAATGTAGCGTATATGAATTTTCATAAGTTAAAATAAGAAATACACTATATCATGACCCAGTACACACATATACACATACCTAAAACATGTTTTTATATTATATAAAGTAAATTTTCATATTTATCTTTACTGTATGAAGCCTACTGATAATTTCTTTTCTAATCTATTTTATACTTTTTCTTCTATTTCATTAAATAATTCTGATAATGAACAACTAATTTGATCTTATGACTTTCTAATGGGCCTAAAGATCGCCCTATCATGAAGAGGAGAATGGGTTTTGGAGTCAGAGGGCTGGCTCTGACACTTGCTGGTGGTTGCATCTAACATTGTGAAGCTGCATTGTCCCATCTACAAAACGGAAATGTGTTGGTAACTACATCATAGAGTTGTTGTGAGGATTAAATGAGATAAGGAGTGGGAAGCACTTAGCACAATGCCTGGTACAAAGTCCTCAACAAAAACTAGCTACTAGCAATTGCCAAACTCTATATGAATGCTTCTTTGGCATCTCCCTGTATCCTCTGAAAAGTTCCATGACGTAGTATTATTATTCTCATTTTATGGTGAGGAAAGTGAGGTTCAGAGAGATTAAAATGAATCATCCAAGGTCAAATGGTAAATAAATAGTAGAGCTGGGGTCCTCAAATCAGGCCTGATTGACTCTGAAACCTATGGTTTTTTGTTTTTGTTTTTGTTTTTTTGAGACAGAGTCTTGCTCTATTACCCAGGCTGGAGTGCAGTGGCACGATCTCTGCTCACTGCAACCTCCACCTCCCGGGTTCAAGTGATTCTCCTGCCTCAGCCTTGCCAGTAGCTGGGACTACAGGCACACACCACCACACATGGCTAATTTTGTAATTTTAGTAGAGACGGGGTTTCACCATATTGGTCAGGCTGGTCTCAAACTTCTGACCTCAGGTGATCCACCCGCCTTGGCCTCCCAAAGTGCTAGGATTACAAGCATGAGCCAACTTGGCCAGCCCAAAACCTATGATTTTTATAGGAAATAGGGGGGGATATTCAAAGAAACTTTCATGGAAATGGCTGGACTAGAGGTAGCCTTTGAAAGATAAGTGACTGGTATAGACCCATATAGCCAAATACTATTATAGGTGGTTGAAAGAAGGCCGGGTTTAGGATCAGCTACACCTGGGTTCTATCCTTGGCTCCACCGCTTACCAGCTTAGAAATTGTGTGCAATTTTATTTAGCCTTCTTGAGGCTCAGTTTGCTCAGCTGTATGCTGTTGATAATACCAACACTACAGAGTTCCGTGAAGAATAATAAGCTATACAGAATACATTTTTTCATTTTTTTGTTGTCTGACAAACGAGTGCTCAAAAAATAGAAGCTATTTTTATTAGATAGAATTTACTTATAAGAATGTGAGTCAGAACTTAATCTCTTAAACAGGGCTTAATTAAATTTGTAATTTGTAGGTTTTAATAGATGCAATTTGCAGTCATATTGAGAGCATGGGTAGAAATATACTGTACAAATGGATCTGGTAAGTTTTATTATTAATCGTCTTGAGCAGCTCCAAATAGAATGATCATGAGTGGCACTGAGCTTGCAGCTACTGATTGCATTTCTAGTAGTCGAGTTTGTCCAACATAATCTCTTCCAAGTTACTAGAAAATTGTTTGGCTTTCCTGCGTTAATGAAAAGTACATTTGCCTCACCTAGGAGCCATCAGAACTGTCCGTCTGCCCTTTACAGATATAATAGAATATCAAACGACACTGGGGCCAGCTTGGCAGCATTGTTCATTTCTATCTCAGCTTAATTACTAACCCTGCTGCCTTCACATCAAGCCTTGGGGCTAGAAATGAATTGAATACTGGAAATATAAAATTGGCTCCTGTTTATACTCCCTCTCATTTCTACCACTGTGGATTTGAAGACAGAGAAAGCCAAATTTCTTGTTCCTTATGGTACCACTGAAGGTGTGTTTGATGACTTAACTAGGCATGTTGCTTCAACCGCAGTTCAGCTCTAGTTACTCTGAAATCATTCAGTTTAATATTTCCCCTGGGAACTCCATGGTATGTTAGGTGGTTACTAAAACCCTGGACTTCAGAGGTGAAGCACAGCTGTGATTTTAACGGGTTCACTCACAGGTGGGGAGTGGCAATGGCAGAGCTTGTGAAGTTGAGATGCCCTTTTAAGGTCGTTAGCTGCTCAACTAACCTTGGGCAGACTCTGTCTCTCAAATGAATTACAGAGATGCAGAGAAAATAAATGTTTTAGTCTCTTGGGAAATTAAAATATTCCTCAGACAGAAATACCAGAAGAATGGAAACTGTCAGAAAGGCAATTTTACACAGATATATTTCCTTAAGTAGGGATATGCTTCCACATATCAAGGAAAGATTTGAGAAGTTTTAGTTTTTGTTGTGTTCAGTTATCCAGTGAAAAATGTTTTAGTAAAACGTATCCTTTCAAATCATTTATTCACTAATCAGTAGCAGCAAAAAAGCACTAAGTAAGAGTCAGGAGAACTGAATTTGGGTCCTCACTCTATTGCAATGGTTTTCATTTACCTGTTTTGGTCTTTTCCCCTCACTGGAAAAATTCAGACATATCTCCATAGAATATATAGTCCAGTGCTAAGAATATACTCCAGTTCTAAGATTATCTAATTGAGATTCTGAAAGTTTAATGCGATTAAGTTGAGACTTTTTGACTGGAATTAAATTCCATTAACATTTCTTTCTAACAGGAGAAACATTTTGCACTGTGCTGGGGGATTCTACCCACATAAGTCAGCATGTTACTTGCTAGATAAAAGAGCAATGAATGGAGTACTTCAGTAAGTATCTCTTCAAATATTATATTTATTAATGAGTAGCAATAATAATGAAAGCTAGAGTTTTCAAGGTTCTCCCACTTTATCTCACTTTATCCTTACAAAAACCCTAAAAGGTAGTCATCATTCTAATGTAATAGAAGGAAAAAACTAAGCGTTAAAAAGAATTAGCCTTTTCCCCATGTTTACCTAATTCATAAATGGCAGAGATGGATCATGCTTTTTTTGAAAGAAAAATATAAGTAGAGAATTAATTTGGGCCAAGATTGAGGACTGCAGCCTGGGAGACATAGATTCAGGTTGCCCTGAATACATACGCCCTATGCTTTTTACTTTTACCCATCTGTGAACTGTTTATGTCAACAGTCATGATGATATTAGAAAGTGTTTTGTACTTTGCTACATACCCAAATGCTCATGGCCATATACGTTTTGGATTAGCTAAAGCAGACCCTATTAATCTGTGAGACACAGACCCCTACGGAAGTGGTTGAAAGCTTATTTCTAAAGGCATTTGAATCCTTATGGACACTAAGCATTATCTGTTCACAAAATAAGTAACATCTCAAACATTCTATTCTAAACAGTTCTATTTTTCAAATATTTCAATACAATTGTGGCTATTAAAACAAATAATTATATAACAACATTACTGAATTAGTATTATCTTTCTGTCAGTACTGTATGTATTTTCTCAATAGACTAATATTGCTTGGTGTCTGTGAAACATTGAGTATCAAATAAGCTCATTCCTATAATCCCAGCACTTTGGGAGGTTGAGGTGGGTGGATCACCCGAGGTCAGGAGTTCGAGACCAGCCTGGCCAACATGGTGAAACCCCGTCTCTACTAAAAATACAAAAACTAGCCAGGTGTGGTGGCATGCGCCTATAGTCCCAGCTGCTTGGGAGGCTGCAGCAGGAGAATCGCTTGAACCCCGGAGGCAGAGGTTGCAGTGAGCCAAGATCGCGCCACTGCACTCCAGCCTGGGTGACAGAGTGAGACTCCATCTCAAAATAAATAAATAAACAAATAAATAAATAAATAAATAAAAGCTCCTGTGAACTTCCTGCAGTTATGAATATCTTCATTTGAGTATTGGCTGCATGGCTATATACTTGTTAAAATGTATTGAATTATGCACCTAAGACCTGATATGTTACTATGCTGCTAGAAATTTTACCTCAATTAAAAAAAAAAGGCCTTAGGTACTTGGAATGTTGACAGCCCAAATATACAGCAACTTCTCCAGTCCTAGTTAGACTTTCCCTTCTAGACAGTATTTGGGACAATAGTGAGGTGCTCTTCTCCCATTGCCCTCTGTGAGCTAAACTACTGAAAATTACCAGTGGGTAAAATTGGCTACCTGTTAGTGCAAACTAAGAAATTTCCTATGCATGTGTCTGGAAAGCATTAAAACAGCTATACTGTCACCAAAGGTGGTCAGGACATAGATCATGAAAGCAGAAAGAGAATGTGATTGCAACTTGGGAAATGGAATTTAATTGAATATTTGGAGAAAAAAGAGAGTCAATACAATTGATTAAGTTCTGTGAGCAGAAGAGGGATAGTCAATCTGAAGCATAAAAAGGCAGTCTGAGAATTATGTAATAGTGTCCAGAGAAAGAATGTGCCAAATCTAGTAGATTCTAATAAAGGTGTTCTTGTAGGCAGCATTGTGGATCATAAGTCTTCATCTTGGTCCAGATAAAATAGGTCCAATTTAGCCAACCTTCTTTCATTCTGAATCGTGAGGCTATCTTTTGTTTGCCGATTTGGCTTCTCAAGCCAAATGGTTTTGGAAAGTAGATGTCCTAGGGAGAAGATGTTAATGCTGTAGATACCTGCAAATATCTATTAAAGTAGTTATTCTGTATTACACATCAGTCTCTTTTAAATCCGGTTACTGTAAGTCATTTCCTCTGGGTCTGATCATTTCTAAACACCTCAATTTTAAGTTTATGGGTCTGCAAGACTGTGACGACTCCTTGTATTAGCCAAAAAAAATCGGTTTTCACACGACAGAAATACAACTTAAACTTGCTTAAGCAGAAGCAGAAACTTATTAGCTCACTTAACTTAAAAGTTCAAGGTGGTATTATCTTTAGGCAAGCAGGATCCAGGAGTTTGAATAATTCCATTGCAGATGCTGTGTTCTCTATTGCTAGTCTCTGCTTTATCCTCCATTAGCCCCGTTTTTTTCAGGTTTTCCTTTGTCATGACAAAATGTTTGTCAATAGATCTAAATTAGTCTTAGACATTCCAATGAGAAAAGAGAAAAATCTCTATTTTCAACAGTTTCATCAAAATCCTGGACCAATATCTAATTGCCTTGACTTGGGTCAAGTGGCTAAGCCCGAACTAATCACCGGGATCAGGGAAATAGAATGTGATGATTGGGCAGAGACTTGGATCCTAGGACTACACTGCAGCTGGAGAGTGGGATGGCCCCTCCTAGCCCATAAGGATGAAGAATGGGGGTGGGGTAGTTCCCGACTAGATAGCAGCAGTACTGATATCAGATCAAGGAAGAATGGAGACTAGGCAGAAAGCTGAAACAAAAAGCTATCGCTGACACCACCCAAAGTCACAGTGGTCCCTGAGGCTTCCCTGGGCTGTCAGCCAATGACCTCTGACTTATTTTTACCTTTTCCCTTTATTCTTTCCTTTTCTGCCAGCCAACACAGTGGACTAAGCAAGTATCAGTGATCAGGGTTTGTAAATATCTTTATAAAAACCAACTTATTCTAAATTTAATTTAGAGAAGTAAATCAGATATATAATGTAAAGCTTGTACCATAAGGGAAGAACCCCAATAGTCATTTTAAAATAATTGTGCATCTGCTGACAACAGAAAGATATTCTGAAACTAAAATAATACTTTTGGAGACATAGTCTTCTATTTTGGATTTTCTAGCTACCTCCTCTAATTCACTGGAAGTAACCGTAGTTGGGTGTTTGGGTTTTTTTTTCTTTTTTCTTTTTTTTGGTCACAATAAACAAACAAGGAAGCAAACAAATAAATAAAGACTGCTTTGTGACAGTGAATCATTCATCCCATTCTTCCCTTCTGCAACTATATACCAAGCAGCCACTGTGTTCCCAGAAGTGGTCCTAAAAAAGATGGTATTAAAATTCTATGTGACTGTGAGCCAGAGATAACTAGAGATGGAACTGATTTTGGAGATCATTTTATCAATGTCCAACATGATATATTCATGGTTAGATAGAAATGGAGCAAGCTGGAATAACTCAACCCATATTTATTAAGCACCTGCTATATAAGCTATTAAGTAAGGGCGCAGAAATATGCTATGATTATGGAAATACAAGTTGTTTGACACATAATGTGGGCACCTGTATTGATTTCCTATTGCTGTTGTAACAAATTACCACAGACATAGTGGCTTAAAATGCCACGAATTAATTTTCTTACAGTTCTGGAAGTCAGAAGACTAAAATGAGTCTCACTGGGTTAAAATCAAGGTGTCAGCAGGGATGGATTCCCTTCTGGAGCCTCTGAGGAATAATCCATTTTCTTGCCTTTTCCAGCTTCTAGAGGCTACCCACATTCCTTGACTTTATTTTTTAAATTGTTTTTAAATTATTTTTGTGGGTACCTAGCAGGTATATATACTTATGGGTTATGTGAGTTGTTTTGATACAGGCACATAATGTGAAATAAGCACATCATGGAGAATGGGGTATCCATTCCCTCAAGCATTTATCCTTTCAATTACAAACAATCCAATATACTCTTTAAGTTATGTTATTTTAAAATATACAATTAAGTTATTATTGAATATAATCACTTTATTATGCTACCAAATAGTAGGTCTTATTCATTCCTTCTATTTTTTTTTTGTACCCATTAAGCATCCCCAACTCCTCCACAATCCCCACTACCCTTCCCAGCCTCTGGTAACCATCCTTCTATTCTCTATGTCCATGACTTCAATTGATTTGATTTTTAGGTCCCACAAATAAGTGAGAACATGTAATGTTTGTCTTTCTGTGCCTGGCTTATTTCACTTAACATAATAATCTTCTGTTCCATCCATGTTGTTGCAAGTGACAGAATCTTATTCTTTTTTATGGCTGAATGGTACTCCATTGTGTATATGTGCCACATTTTCTGTATCCATTCATCTGTTGATGGACGCTTAGCTTGCTTCCAAATCTTAGCAATTGTAAACACTGTTGTAACAAACATAGGAGTGTAGATATCTCTTCCATATACTGATTCTTTTGGGTATATACCCGGCAGTGGGATTGCTGGATCATATGGTAGCTTAATTTTTAGTTTTTTGATGAACCTCCAAACTGTTCTCCATAGTGGATGTACTAATTTACGTTCCTACCAACAGTGTACAGGGTTCCCTTTTCTCCACATCCTCACCAACATTTGTTATTGCCTGTCTTTTGGATAAAAGCCATTTTAACTGGGATGAGATAATATCTCACTGTAGCTTTAATTTGCATTTCTCTGATGATCAATGATTCCTTGGCTTATTAGAGGCCATCTTTTGTCAAAGCCAGCAAAGAATAGTCAACAAACATTTGCTGAATGAATGAATTCGGAGTCAGACAGACCTGGTTTCAAATCCTAGCTCTATTACTTGGCCTTGAGCAAGTTACTTAGCTCTAAGTAAAATTATACATGAAATGGGTAAAAAATGTCTATGGAATAAAGTTCTGAAATTTCTAACATTCACTGAGTGCTAAGCATGCTGACTTGATTTGTATTTATTACTTCACTTGATTCTCACCAAAACCCTAAATGGTGGGTGATGTTTTTATGCTGTTTATAGGTAAGGGACTGGGGCATAGAAACATTAAGCATCTTGTTCTAAATCATAGTAAACGGTGGAGCTAAAATTTACCTGGCATTCAGAGTCAGTATTCTTAACCACAATACTGCACACTACCCATAGTAAGGTAAATTCCAATTATGATATCTGGTACATAATTGATGCTCAGTACATTGCAGGGCAAGATTAACAGCAATAAGCCTAGTAGCAAGTAATGTGTAGTGATCCAGGCCAACAGGCTAGGAGTTATTACTGGGAAGGTTTGAAACAAAATCCCAGATGTGGGGTAATAGTCTAGTTCTTAGGTGAGTTTGACAGGAATAAAAATGAGCCTCTATCCTGGTAAACCTGCTGTGCAGTATAGATTATAAGCAAAGACTGTGGCACAGGGGACCAAAATAGGGCCCAGGTCCTGGACCTATGTCCGGAGTTAGAAATGAACTCAGCAACTAAATTGGTGGCTCATGGTTAGAAACACACTAGCAGGATACATGCTGTGATTCTGTGTCACCTGGAGAGCTCTGGCAGCATGGAGTCAGCCTGGGAGATAACTGGGCTGCAGAAGGGTATCAGGAGCCCAGAGAAGAGGAGTGACAAAAGGAGGGTGAGGCCAGGCATTAGGCAAGTGGTCCTAGCCATGTTTATTGACAACAGTAACTTGCTGTCTTAGTAATCGTGTGTGTGCGTGTGTGCATACATGTCCGTGGTGTCAGTCTTCTAGAGTATATGGAACTGTTTTTAGAAAGCGTTCTTCATAGGGCTCCTGTAGATCCCTAAAACATTTCTACAGCTACATTATCAAGATGATTCTATGGAAAAATAAGCTTGTTTCTTGCAAGCAAGCAAACAACCAACAACAATAAAACAATACTAAAAAAATAAATTTTTAAAAACTCTCTCTCAAGTCCATCATCACAATAAAAGTAAGCGCTTTTAAAAACAGAAACTAGGTTTTTAACCAAGTAGTTACTGAGACATTATCTGTAAAATATAAATGATCTTCCTAAAAATATAAAGATCTTTAAAATGTAAAAGATCTTCCTAACCTTTTGGCATATGAGAAAATCAGTACAGCACCATATATAGTGACTAACCACGGGATATTCTTAGAAAAATACTGTGAGGAAATCAGAAAACAAAAAGGAGATTTTTCCCTTCGTTTTCCTTTTTTTCTTTCTGTTTTAAAACCCACAATTCGAAAAGAAAAACCTGGCCTGGAGTTTGGAAAGCAGTACTGGATTCTTGTTCAGGCTATTTCTTCTTTTGTTGTCCTTCAAAGGAGAATGTGGGACTGGGCTGATACAGCCAAAGTGAAGAACAGTTTCATTTCTTTTCAAGTTGTATCTGCTTCAAATTCACAGCACAATTAAATGTGCTTCTTGTGTATCTCACTAAAATTGAGGCTCTATGGGTCTTATGTTAGTTTCCCATGAACTAGTTGTTAAGAAATGAGAAAATCCAAATTCTGTTCTGTGATCCTTTTTGGCAAGTATGTTAAAATTTGTAGGCCTGTTATTTCCTCTACAAACCAGACAGTTTGACTATATTCAAATTTTCAAAAACCCTGGCATTTCGGCAAGATGGTAAAGTTTTTATATTCAAGTCTAAATATAGAGAACATGTCCACATATGGCAAATTATAATGAAGGAAGAATTATGCCAGCTTGAAACCTATGATCCATGAATTAAAAAATTTCTGCAGAAATGGTTGGGAGACTCCAAAAATAATAATAACAATGTTAATGAAGTACTAAAAATAAGATTATGGGTGGATATTTATAGTATCTTTCTCATTCCTTTTCATGTTACTCCTTTTTTGAGGCCTGTCAAATTAATTATTAATTTTCTACCTCCTGGTGGCAATGTAAAACAATCTTACTCAGACACTTGGGTCAATAGTAACAGAAATAATAATAATAGCAGTAGTAGCAGACATTTCCTACCATATGGCAGGCACTGTCCAATCTCGCTTAATCCTTACCGTACATCCCCCCACCTTCCACCAAAACATACTTTTTTATGGATGAGGAAAGTGATGCCCAGAGCTACCAGCAACAGGTTAATGAGTGGCAGTCCTGAGAATGGAGCTTAGCTTGTTTAGTTTCAAAGCCCATGCTCCTGCCATTATGCCATACGGCTCCAGCACCGGAAATGTGTCCTTAACCAGAGGGAAGGCAAGAGCATACATAATCTGGGAATTGTAAAGGAGCATGAGGCTGCACATAGAACTAAAGCCCTTTAGTATGTGAAAGATCTCTAATTGCACAAAAGCACTGAGAGCCCAAGACTTTTCACAAAACAACTCACAAATCTGTAGCAAGTCCAAGGAGGCATGGAGCACCACAAAGCAGTTTTGAAATTCCTGTCTAGAGGATCTTTAATTAAGGACCATTCCAGTGTTAAACTTGCATCTGTCCTTTGCTGATCTTTAATTATTAATACAGGATAGTCACTATTTTTAGAAGGGAAGATCTGTTACTCCTGTTAGTTTGGCTTCTAGGGGCCTACCCTTCTCTTGGAGGTGTGTCCAGTGATGATCACCTTATAATCTAAGGTGAAATTTTGGGGTGGTGAAGCAAAATAGGAGAAATGAGCACTGGATTTAGCTATTGGCCCAGGAGTGAAAGAGGGTTAGACTAAGAAATTGACCTTCCCCAACCCATTCAGTCACCCCTTGGACTGAATGGAAGGAACTAGCTTGTCATGTAAGGAACTAGCTTGTCATGTAAGGAACTAGCTTGGTCTACTCATAGAATGGGGCTAGATCCATGGCTATAAATGAGAGAGAATGCCTGCCTGAGACTACACTAGGAACTGTGCCTGATGGACTAACCAAACCAAGCAGAGACTTGATGCTAGAAGTCCTTTAGAGGAAATTTGCTCTTTCTGGGCCTGGGCCCTGAGGGTTTCACATGATGATTAAGCCCTTTATTTGAAACATTAAGTCCTAAGAATTGCTTCTTGAGCATACCTTCCTGGTTGGCTTCCCAAGTCACAGTTCCCTCACGCCATAACCCTGACAGAGGTCCAGATGTTTTGAGATATTTCTGGCATTAAAGTACAATTAATTTACACTTTAATGTAAAGTGTAAATTAAGACTATTGCACCCTCAAGAAAAAAAATACACACAAACATAGAAATGTATATAATATATAGATACATGTATGTATCTATGCATATATATGTAATTTCTCTCGCTCTCTTATCTTTCTCTTTCTCTCCACACATACACACACATACAATCACATGCACATTAACACACATTGTTTTTTCTTAATGCTCATGCATATAAAAGCAATGAAGAAAGAGAGGCGTAGAGGTAACATGGAGTCAAGGCTTCCAAGGTTGTTTTCTCACTAATTATGTGTGGCCTTTGGTAAGTCTCTCTGAAAAGTGATGTCTTAGTGTAGTACATTGTTATATGATTTAAAAGATTGGATGTTGAAAAGTTAACTCAAAATTTGATAACGCTATTCTTCTATTGAAGATCCACTATGAGCACCAAAGATCTGGGAAGTGGAGAGAATAAAACCCTAATCCAGGACAGCTTTAGTTTTTCTTGGGGCTCATGATCAGTTTACTATTTCAGCTTGTCAAATAAAGCCCAAGAGGCATTTTTAAGCTTGGAAAATGCAATTCAATAGGGAATATCATTACACAAAGTTGATAACTTTTTTTGTCTTTTCCTTCTCTTTTTTCAATGCATGTGTACGCGCATGCGTGAGTGTGTGATTATAATCCTCTCGATTTAGTCAGGGCCCATCAGCAGCCTGTGGCTTTCCCCTCACTCATCTTGTATCATTTCGTACCCGATGAGCAATCCCTACTTTACCGATAATTTCAAGCAGATGAGAGAAAAGGGTAGAAACAGCCTCAGAGAACACACAGCATTTTGCTTTAAAAATTCCTGCTCTGTATTTAGCTTTTAGCTAAATCCTCTCTCCCTCTGAATATTTCCCACATGTAGGCAATTTTGCTTTTCTTTTCAGTTTTAAATGCCGCAACTCAGCAAGAAAAAAAAAGTGTCTGGTATCTTCCTGAACAACTACCTGGTATTATACAGGTGAGATAAATTGTGATGCCACCAAATGTCCTATATATAAACGTATGGACATATATTCTTTTCTGAAAACTGTATTTATACTGCATAATTTCTATCTTATATTTTCATGAATGGTGCCTGTTCATTTCCTTATATCATTAAATACACTTCAAGAAAACGTCATTTCCAGTGGACTCCCAACAAGAGCATAAACTTTTGATGTCAGAAAAACAGCGCAGACATGATCTGGACTCTGGGATATGTAAGATGACCCTCGTCTTAGGAGGCCACATGGACTGTATCACGTACACAGTATATGAGGAAGCTGAGCTTTCCCTAGGGAAACAAGAAAAAGAGTGGAAACTTAACATTGTCCTATTTTTGTGCTTTACATTTATTATCCTACTTAGTGCTTCCCCAAAACTTAGAAACTGTTATTATCTCATTTTACATAGGAGGAAACTGTGACTTAGAGAGATGAAGATACCTTATATATAGATCTTGGATTTGGGACCAGAACTGCCCTAGTCTAGACCTTAGTTCTTTCTATTTCACCATTCTGCTTCTCTGAGAGGTAAACGACATCTTAAAATCAAGTCAGATAAAATGCTTTATACAACTACATGAAGAAAAAATTTAAATTTTATGAGTGGAATAGGACATTTGGTTACTCGGAATCAGGGAGATAATGCAATGTTCTTATGCTTCATGTTTAATTCCCTGAAGCTTAAAAGGGGAATCTTGAGGACAAGTAGGGCAGTCTCTCTTTCCTTAGGTCGGGAATCAGGGAGAAATGAAAAAGGATAGAGTGGGTGTGGAGATAATGGTAGCTCAGTCTAGGAGAAATGGAGCCCGCTCATCTCTACATGAACTAAATACTGGCAGAGATTGAGAATTTTTGTATATCCTGCATCACTTTTAAAAAGTAGATCACTTCTAACAATATAGGATTGAAGACAATAAGAGAGGCCTAGGGGTCTTTTAATCTATATTAGCTAAATGTCTTTGATAACATTTAATAAACTTGGCAATGAAGTTCTGGGTGCTGTTAATATTAAATCATGATTTCTTAAAACATTTTTAAACATTTTATTTGCTTGGTTTGTATTTTTCCCTTTTGTATCTTGACCAACTCTTTCTAGCTGGGCTTGACTTTCTGCCACCACCAAAGAGCAGGGCAAGTACTCAAGTAAGTAAGCTACTAAGAAGGCCAGTGACCCAAGCCACCAGGAGAATCAGCTACCCATCTCCACTCCAGGGTTTCTGCCATTCAGTGACCGTGTCAGGTAGGACAGGCAATTACAGACATCACTATACTCATGCCTCTCCTTAAGCTAATGGAAAACAGGCAAGGATGATGCCCAAGAAGGTCTCAAATGTGTTACTCAGGCATCATCTTTTATTCATAGTGCAAACGTTTTTGGTAACAGGGACCAACTCCCCTGAAACCTACTACAGCCCTTCAAGACTTCTGTATAATTCTTTCTCCTTTATCAAGCCTGTGTACCCAGTATAGGGTAGTGGAGGCATGCTGTTCTTACTCACTAGCTCATTTTTGCCTAATTCTACCATCTTAATATATTTAATCCTTCCAAAAAAGTCATAAAGTATTCTAAGCATAGATAACCACATGAATTATGCCTTTTACGTGTAGAACCTAATAGAAGATACATTTCTCATTCATATTGCCTACAATAACACTCTTTCTCTACAAGGATACAATCAATAACACCATTACCCTCTCCATTCACTGATCCCAAACTAAGGGGAAAGGTCACTATGAGCCAGGGAAATCAGAGAAACACCAGGGGGCACAGTGCAAGGCCTGGGATAAAACTAGGAGCATTGGGACAATTCCTGAGGTGGGCTTTCTGTAATGAGAAGAGACAACTGTGACAGGGACTTCCTTTCTATTTGGGAATGTCCTTAGCAACCTATAGCTGCCTTGCCCCACCGACCCCATCCCACCTACTCCTGTTCTTTTCCCTAAATGGCTCCTGCTGGCTGTAATGGTAGCCTTGGCAGATGACAGGGTCAAGAGATGTGCACAATTATACAGTCCTTCTTCACCCCTGTCTGAGTTCTTACATAACCTCCTAGTCTCTCGGGATGAGCAGAACATCCTGTCAAAAGCAAGAGGTATCAGAGAAGGAGGCAAAGAAGGGTTACAGGTCAGACTCTCTGGTTACCTTGAGCCTTGCCACTAATTTCCATCATCTGGGATTTTTCTTAACTTTCTTCCTACCTAGACTGCCCTGGCTCCAGAGGCATTCATATCTCTATGCCTCAGACAGCAATTATAATGAGCTGCAGGCATGCAGGTCAAGGAAGAATTGACAAGAGTAGCCTCATATAAGGACAAGCTATGAGAGAGATAACAAAGGGTTTTCTTTACTCCAAAGCACCATTTTATTTCTAGTAAAAGTTCAGTTACTCAAATTCAGCACCTAGATATATACCCCAAAGTAATGAAAACAGAGGCTCACACAAATATTGGTATATTAATGTTCACTGCAGCTTTATTCACAATAGTTAAAAAATAGAAACAACCCAAGCGTCCATCAACAAATTCATGTATTAAAAATGTGGTATATGTGTATAATGAATATTATTCAACAATAAAAAAGAATGAAATTTTATATATGCTACAATATGGAGGAGCTTTAAAAACATTACGCTAAGTGAAATATTCCAGACACAAAAAGGCAAATATTGCATGGTTTCACTTATATGAAATATTGAGAATAGGCATATTCATATAGCCAGAAAGTGGATTAGAGGTTGCCAAGGCCTGGTAGGAGAGAAAAACGGCAAGTTATTATGTAATTGTTAAAGTCTCCATTTGGGATGATCAAAATTTTTGGAAATAGATACAGGTGATAGTTGCAGGACATTATGAGTGTACTTAATGCCACTGAATTATTCAAAATGGTTAAAATGGCGATTTTATGCTATATCTATTTTACCACAATTTAAGAAAAGATCAGTTACTCATCAGGGCATGTGTTTTTTTCCTTGTTATTCAAAACTTTTTTTTTCTAGATTTTGCAAAGTCACTGAAAAATTATTTCGTATCATTAGATTGGCACATACTTTTTTCTCCCTTTCTGCATTTCCCCATTGTCTGCTCCTATGACCAACTGTTAGGAAGTCCAATTACTTAACATTTACTGAGTTCCAGGCACTCTTCTGTCCTACATGAATCGATTAATTTAGTTCTCATAACCTCTATGTGAAAAGTATTACTGTTATTGCTATGGAAGGAGGGCAGGGGATTGCTGGGAAGAGGAGGGCGTGGTCCCTGGGGAGGGCTCCACCCCCAGACCTGTGCCCACGTACCTAGGTGAGGACAGGCACTCCTGCCTTCCCGCCCAAAAGTTGCATTTCCTAAGACTGTCCTGGCCCGCCACGCCTCCATCCTGTGCCTATAAAAACCCCAACACCCTGGCAGGCAGAGACACAAGCAGCTGGATGTCAAAAGGAATACACAAGCGGCTGGACGTTGAGGGGACGTCAAGGGGAGCATGCCAGTGGAAGGACACAGGACAGACGCCGGCAGGCCATCGACCAGTGGCCAGCAGAAGGAGGCGAGTTTGGCCGGAGAGATTGGAGGAGAGCCTGGGCCGCTGAGCGGCCAGACTCCACAGGAAAACCATCTACCTTCTGGCTCCCCCATCTGCTGAGAGCTACTTCAACTCAATAAAATCTTGCTCTCATTCCCCAAGCCCACATGTGATCCAATTCTTCCGGTACATCAAGGCAAGAAATCCCAGGATACAAAAAGCCCTCTGTCCTTGAGATAAGGAAGGGGGTCTAATTGAGTTGACTGACACAAGCCGAGCTAACTAACACAAGCCGCCTACAGACGGCTAAACTAAAAGAGCACCCTGTAACACACGCCCATTGAGGCGTCAGCTTTAAACTTTCACCCCTAGACAGTGTTGTGGGGCCGGAGTCCCACAGCCTGCCCAGCTGTATGCTCCCTTAGAGGTTTGAGCAGCAGAGCACGGAAGAAGCGAGCCACACCCCCATCACATGCCCTGTGAGGGGGACAAGGGAACATTTCCTGTTTCATCATTATTCTTATTTTACAGAAGAAGCAGTAAATGTCATTCCCACGTCATCCTGTAAGTAAGGTCAGATTCCGTCTTGGTAAGTCTGGTAAGTCAGGCTCCAATATTTACTTTTTTTTTTTTTTTTTTTTTTTTTTTTAATGGGGTCTAGCTGTGTCACACAGGCTTGAGTGCAGTGGAGTTATCTTGGCTTTCTGCAACTTCCACCTCCCAGGCTCAAGCAGTCCTCCTACCTCAGTCTCCTGAATGCTGGGACTACAAGTGTGCACCATCAACCCTGCTTTTGTTGTTGTTGTTGTTGTTGTTGTTGTTGTTGTTGTTGTTTGTAGAGACAGGGTTTCATCATGTTGCCCTGGCTGGGCTTGAACTTCTGGCCTTAAGCAATCCACCCAGTTCGACCTCCCAAAGTGTTGGGATTACAGGCATGAGCCACCATGCCTGGCCAAAACTTGCATTCTTGACCATTACTCTATGGCATTCTTTAAATCCTGCAATACATGCTCCCACAGTCTGCCCCAGACTGATTAAATCAGAATTTCTAGAGAAGGGGTCTGGGAATCTACATCTTAAAGGAAGTCCCCACAAATTCCAACCAATTTCAAAACTTACTACAAAGCTATAGCAATCAAGATAGTATGGTGCTATTGTAAGAACAAACATATAGATTAATGAAATGGAAGTTTAAGTATAGAAACAAACTCTCACATTTAAGATCAATTGATTTTTGGCAAGGATACCAAGATAACTCAATGGGGAAAGAATAATCTTCTCAACAAGTGGTGCTAGGACAACTGGATATCCACATGCAAAAGAGTGAAGTTGAACCTATATCACATACTCTGCACAAAAGTAACTGAAAAATTGATCAAAGCCTTAATCTAAGAACTAAAACTACAAAATTCCTAAAAGAAAACATAGATGTAAATCTTCATGACCTTGAATTAGGCAATAGTTCCTTAGATATCATGCCAAAAGCACAAGCAACAAAACAAAACGTAGATAAATTGGACCTCAACAAAAGTAAAAATGTGTTTTTTCTAATGATACCATCAAGAAAGTAAAAAGACAACCCATAGAAGAGGAGAAAAAATTTGCATATTATATATCTGACAAGGGACTTATATGTAGAATATATAAAGAACTGCTATACCTTAATAATGAAGAAGACAAATAATCCAATTTAAAAATGAGCAAATAATCTGAAAATAAATTTCTCCGAAGAAGATATACAAATGGCCATAAGCACAGAAATAAGTGTTGATCAATATCATCAGCCATCAGGGTAATGCAAATCAAAACCATAATGAAACATGACTTCACACACACTAGGATGGCTATACTAAAAAAGATAACGAAAAGTGTTGATGAGAATGTGGAAATGTTGGAACCCTTTTATACTGCTACTGAGAATATAAAATGGTGCAGGCACTTTGGAAAACAACCGACTGGTTCCTTAAAAGCTTGCATATAGAATTCTATGACTCAGCAATTACACTTCTAGGTATATACCCAAGAATGAAGAAAACAGATGTCCACACACAGATGTTTGTGTCATTATTTTTATAATAGCCAAAACGTGATAACAATTCAAATGTCTATCAACAGATGAATAAAATGTCTTATGTCCATACAATGGAATGTGATTAGGCAATAAGAAGAAATAGTTACATAGTACAACATGATGAACCTCAAAAACATTATATAAAGTGAAGGAAGCCAGACACAAAGGACGACACATTGTATGATTCCGTTTATATGAAATGTCCAGAATAGGTAAGTCCATAGCAACAGGAAGTTGGGTGGTTGCTTAGGGCTGGAAGAGTTGAGGGAAATAGAGACTGACTTCAAATGCACACAGAATTCCATTTTGTGGTGATGAAAATATTCTAAAATTGATTGTGGTTATGGTTGCACAATTCTGTGAATATATTAAAAACATTGAATTGTATACTTTAAATGAGTAAATTGTGTGGTACGTGGCTTATATCTCTATAAGGCTGTTATTTAAAAGAAGATTCTCACATGATTTTCTATATTTTTCATGTTTCAAAACATAGGAATGTGAAATTAGCAATTCCCTAGTTATATTGACCACTGAAATAACAATAATGATAGCTAATTATGTTATGTATCTGCTATGTTTTCTAACAGCTTTATATTTGTTAACTCATTTGATCCTCACAGGAAACTATGACACAGGTCCTGCTCTTATGATTCCCAGTTTGACTATAGGTAAAGTGCAAATTATTGGCTCCAAAATGAAATTTTCAGCAAACATGATACATCCAAAGAGGAATTTTTGTCATAAGTTAGTCCTAAACTTAACAAAAATTAATTCAACAAACGTTTCTTCAACAAACTGTCCTCAATGAACTCACAAGACAGAAATAGACATAACACTAACCTAATTTTACTTTATTTATTTATTTTTTTTATTATACTTTAAGTTCTAAGGTGCATGTGCACAAAGTGCGGGTTTGTTACATATGTATACATGCGCCATGTTGGTGTGTTGCACCCAGTAACTAGTCATTTACATTAGGTATATCTCCTAATGCTATTCCTCCCCCCTCCCCCCACCCCATGATAGGCCCCAGTGTGTGATGTTCCCCTTGCTGTGTCCAAATGTTCTCATTGTTCAATTCCTACCTATGAGTGAGAACATGCAGTGTTTGGTTTTTTGTCCTTGTGATAGTTTGCTGAGAATGATGGTTTCCAGCTTCATCCATGTCCCTGCAAAGGACATGAACTCATCCTTTTTTATGGCTGCATAGTATTCCATGGTGTATATGTGCAACATTTTCTTAATCCAGTCTATCATTGATGGACATTTGGGTTGGTTACAGGTCTTTGTTACTGTGAATAGTGCTGCAATAAACATTGTGTCCATGTGTCTTTATAGCAGTATGATTTATAATCCTTTGGGTATATACCCAGTAATGGGATGGCTGGGTCAAATGTTATTTCTAGCTCTAGATCCTTGAGGAATCGCCACGCTGTCTTCCACAATGGTTGAACTAGTTTACAGTCCCACCAACAGTGTAAAAGTGTTCCTATTTCTCCACATCCTCTCCAGCACCTGTTGTTTCCTGACTTTTTAATGATCGCCATTGTAACTGGTGTGAGATGGTATCTCGCTGTGGTTTTGATTTGCAGTTCTCTGATGGCCAGCACTAAACTAATTTTAATGCAGACCACACTACAACAAAGTGCCGTTGAGAAGAGGTGCTGAGGACATAGTGAATGAGTAATTCAGGCTCGAGGAGATTGAGAAGGTATTTGAGTTAGGGTTTTGAAGGATGAGTAGACTTTTCTTGGGTTTAGGAGTTAAGGAAGTATCTCTAGACAAAGAGTACAATAGGATAATAGTATGGAGGCTCACTAAATTGAAATGACCTGTCTCTTCCTAGGCTGGCAGCTCCTTCAGAGCATATACTAGGCCTAAGTCATGCCTATAATCCTAGTGCCTTGCAAAGTATTTATGGTGTACTCAGTAAATTCTTACTGAATTAATGAACAGATGGATGGATTGATGAATGACGGAAAAGTTAATGAATGTCATAAAGTGTTTGAGAAATAGCAGTTAGAATAGTGTGATTGTTGCACAAAGTCAAGTAGGCAATGCAGTTAAAAAGACAGTTTGAAGCCAAGCTCTGAAAGGACCTATGTATCATAAAAAGTATCCTGGCCTTTATTTTATTAAAAATATAGATCTATTGACTCTTTTTGAGCATATGAATGGCATTGGCTGGTTTGTGTTTTAGAATAATAATTCTGACAGTATAGAGGATGGATTGGCAATGGTTGGAGGTAGTTATGTATCAGGAGGAAAATTCTTAGGAAACTACAGGAAATTGTCCAATTGAGAGATGATGAAGACAGAACTATGAAAAGGAATATAAGAGAGACACTTGAAAACATCTCTGTGGCATCTAGCTTGAGTGACTGGTAAGAGTGCAGTGCCATATTCTAATATAAATCATGAGAGAAGGAGATTTTTTTGAGGGAAAATGATTGAGTAATTTCACATTTTTTTTTTAGTTTGGGGAGCCCATAAGTCTATCCAGAGTGGTTTGGCAATATTAGTCAAGAGGCATGGGCTCAAGATATAGATTTGGGATTTAGGTGCTTATAGGTATTAACTGAAACCATGGAGGAGATGAGATTCTCTGGGAAGGCAATGAAGAAATAGATTGAGCACAGAGCATTAGAGAATACCTATATTTAATGGGCAAGCAAAAACAAAAGGCACAATGAATGGAAATTGATAGAGAGGAAGGAGACTAACTGAAAGAGATTGCAAGGCAGATATTTAGAGGCAAAGGTGAACCTGACAGACCCAGCAATGAAATACTTACGATGATACTTCTAGTTGCAAGTAGCAGAAACTCACTTGAACTAACTTAGGTAGATGAGAAGAAACTAATAATAGTGTTCAAGAGTGTTTTACCCAACCTAAAGTCAGACCAAGTGACTGGGCCTCACAGGGGGCTGGGACCAGAAACTGGACAGCTATCAGGAACCAACGGAGACACCTGCTCAGTTCTCTAAACTGCTTCGTTCTTCTCTCTGAAGACTGCCTCTGCTCTTGCCCAACTCACAGTGGCTGACTTCCATATTAAATGGTTCTCTGAATCCCAATTCCAGTTATTGTAGAAAGAATATGATTGGCCCTAGTTGGGTTAGGTGTCCACCCTTGATCCAATCCACTATGGCCAGGGTAGGGATAGGGAAGGACTCAGAACAAATATGGCAGCTAGGATTTTCTTCTATGAGTGAAGGGAATAGTCTCAGAGAATGACCACTCTGAATTGGGCAGATGCCCCCAAAGATATCTACTACAAGATTAATCAAAATGACTGCATAAAGGCCTGGTTGATCTTTCATGGAGACATCAATTACAAGGAAAGTTGTTAGTACAGTGATTCCTTTTCTATTCTCTCTGTTCCTGTTTCCTCTGTCAGCCCAGAGGAAAACTTGTGTGAATGTTAGTGTTTATTTCTCCACATAACAGAAACTAGAATAAAATAAATTGCTCGTGAAATGCCTTGACATCCTCAGGTCAAAGGATCTAAACAAATACAAAGCATTTTTTCCCCCTAGGGAAAACTAGAGCTTTCCAGTTGTTTTTGCTTTCACCTGGGTCTCATTGATTTCCCAAATTGTACTAGTTGCTTTCTGGCTTTCATTAATCAAACTGCCACTTGGGATAGACTGCTCGTCCTTCATCTTATTTTGATCAATTTCATTCTCACATTCATCTCTCTGGCAATTTGCAGTGGAAGATTTGTTAGGGGCAGAGCAGGATGCGGGATGACTAGGGATTTGGGGGAGTAGAGTCAGTTCCTGAATCTGATTGAGTCTGTCTGTTAACAGAAATATTTTCCCCCTCATTCCTTCTAGCTCTAAGAATAGCAGTACCAGCTGTACTTGCCTGAGCCATATCTAAATTAATAAAATAAAGTGGGATTATTGACATTTTCTTGCTTCAACTACCAAATGTGCATCTTTGAATTTTTATCAACTGAGATGCTCTTATAATGGAACATTCGCAGAAATGGGCTTGACCTAAAAATGATAATGTACACTTTATTCATGCTAATTATGCATTTGTATTCCTCTTACTTATGTTGTCCTTTTATCTATTTTGCATTTCAGCAGTTAGTATTAAACAGAAGCAGTTTAAGGAGGCAAAGTAGCTTAGTTGTCAGGAAAGTGTCTTTGTGGTCAGACTTTCATCATGCTCCCAGCTCTCTTACCTAAGACCTAGGTGACCTCAGGGAAACTATTTAACCTTTTGAAGCCTCCATTTTCATACCTAAGCAATTATGCTCCTTTGAGGTTTAAATGATATATATACAGCAAGTCTTCAAATAACATTGTTTTAATCAATTCCTGCTGGGACCACCGTCAGTGTGGAGTTCACAGGATCTCCCCATGTCTGCCTGGGTTTTCTACAGGTACTCCGGTTTCCTCCCACATCCCAATGATGTGACCCCTGATATCATTGGCATGTCTAAATGGTCCCAATCTGAGTGTGTGTGTGTGTGTGTGGGGGGGGGGGTGTTGTGTGTGGGTGTGGGTGTGAGAGCACACGTGCATGCACACCCTGCAATGGGACAATGTGCTGGCAAGAGCTGGTTTCTGCCTTGAAGCCTGAGCTGCAAGGATAGGGTCTGGCCACCAGTGACCTTGAACTAGAAAAAGCAGAATAGAAAATGAATGAATGAATAAATAAATAAATAACAATTATTATCAAGTAAAAATTTGTAGATTCAATGATAATCATACAAGTGCATGACAATAAACGATGTGACGCAAAAGTGCTCAGCAAGTCCTCTAGATTTGTCATTGTTTTTGAACTTCATGATGGAAGGAACTGCTTCTTACGGTTTTTACTTTGCAAACATTTATGCTTTGATTTAACCCACCACCGCGATGACCGCACCATCACTCACTGACTCACCAAAAATTGGGTAATTATCTTATTTGTTTTTATTAATCTTTTAAGAATGTATATATAGCTCACATTTATTTCAATGTTAGACTAGAAGTGTTTTGGTTTTTATTTAGAAGTTTGCTGATGTTTTTGTGACCAGAAATATGCTGTATGAATTTAACTCTTGTTTATTTCAATTAGCCTGTGGTAAAATTGGTTTCATTATATGTTGTTTTGCTTTAAGTTGCAGTTCATCATAGGCTAATTAATGTTATTTCAAATGAAGGTTGTTTTGATAGAGAGAGGGTGATTCCTCAGCCATACCATAGGCAGAATCACTGTTTCAGATGTGGAGATAGAGGAAGAGTTTAATGTGTGGATAAACCCAAGGGAGGTCTGGGAGCCTCAGTTAGCAGGTGAAAATAGTGAAAGACTTGCTGGAGGGAATGGGGGTCCCACTCTTTTTGGCATATACAGGACTTCCACATCCCATAGGAGAGTGCAACAGGATTAATCTCTGAGAACCTAAACATTCTTCACTCTCAGGATTGGACACACCCAGAGGTCTCTGTAGCTGGGCCACCCCTAACTTATTAGAAGGCCTGAGGAGGCTCCTAGGCAAGAACTCGTCCAGGTTCAAGCAACTACTGGCCACGGGCCAAGCTCAGGAAGGAGCTTGAATACCACACTTTATCTGCTACTCAACTTTCCCACGGTCTAGACTATAGGACTCATGCCTCAGGCTTAGGGGAAGGCCGGAAATGAGATTAAAAGAAGGAGAAATGCCCTTCACTCACACTTTGGTTGGGCATTCAGAGCACACGTCCACATGGCTTTCTAAACGGCTTAAATTTTGGGTGAACTAAACATTCCCCCTTGAGGTAACTTCTAGAGCCTAAAAAGGTCAAGGGCACAGTGGCCTGAGCAGCAAGCTTGATAACCCAGAAGATGAAACAGCAAAAGAAGCAACATCTCTGAGCCCTTGGCAGCTGGAAGGACTAGCTCACAAACACAGCAAGACCCAGGCGTGAGGGTTCCTGTGGCAAGGGTATGGGCAAAGTGCAAAAAGCACCATTTGTAGCTGTCTGCTGTGACACTGATTTTACCCTCTTGTGATGTAGTCTGGCAAATAATTGGCACCTAACAAATATTTGTGGAATAAATGTCTACTAATTAAGCGATTTATATGCATCCCACTTGGGTATTGCCCTTTTTTATTTATTTTGCTTCAAAGGATTAATATTGAAGTTAAAAAGTTCAAAGGAGTCTGTTTGGCAGGAACAGGGGCTTTGTTTGGCATCTGAGAGAGACTTGGGCAAGTAACTTCACGTCCCCATTCTTTTTTCATTTCATCTATAAAATAGGATTGTTGGGAAATTTAACTGGACAATGTATGTAAAGTAAATGAATGCATGCCTGACCCTAACCATGGAAATTCCACATAGCAATAATCAGCCATAAACTGCTTAGCTTAGAATTCATGTATACAGTTGCATTCTCTTATTCTCATAGTTGAAGGTAGGAGCATTAAAAGGAGCATTCAAAATTAATATAAAATTAATGAGGAAAGAAGTCTGCAAGGAGAGGAGCAAGAATGTGTCTCATAATTCTTTTATATTGTCCAAAGTTTTCAGTACAGCTCTATGTCTTTCAGGTAGTTGCTCAATAAGTGTATATTAATGTATTGATTTGAGGTGCCCCTTGTAACTTGGATAATAGTAATGCAGCTGAAAAGCCACCAGACTAAGAAACAGAAGACTTAGGTCAAGACATAGTTACGCCACGAATTAGCTGGGAGACCTTGAATAAGTCTTTGGCCTTGGTATACTACTTCTTAAATCAGGAGTTTCCCCAAAATTCTTTCCAGCACTAATATTCTACATTTTTACAAAAGATCTGAGGATGTAGAATAATGTTCTTCATGAGGGAAAAGAGTTGCATAGAAATAGCATATGGTAACACCCCAATGGGAAAATGTAAAGTTATGGGCATTAACTCCATATGATAAACAGAGAAATAGCAGCAAGAACAGCAGTTTGGATGTCTACCAAGTTTCAAGCACTGTGCTAATTGCTTTTCACACATTATTTTATTTAATCCTTACAATAACCCTGTGAAATAAGTATTTATGTCCCCAACTATAGCTAAGGAAACCACGGTTTAGAGAAAGTTTTCCATCATTCAGTAAGCTAGCATTTCATTGACCACTGGCCTTGTATACTCACCTGGGAATCTGGTTTGCCTTTCTTATTATCAAAGAAAACTGGAATTCAATATTGGAATTATGCCCATAGAGTTGGTTTGTCTATTGTGCTTCTTAATCTTTACTGAATTATAAGTTTCTTAAGGAATTTGATAAATATTGTGTGGATGGCAGCAGAAGTTACTGACCCTTTAAAGTATATTTTTGGTTTAGAACATCTCTCCTGTAAAGGATCAAAATCTCTCCACAGTCTTCAATTGCAGCCTAGGAAGACCTAGGAACATCTCAAATAACTATCCAGAGAGTGCTTCAAAGGTCTAGAAACATGATAAAAATCCTTGCCACAACGATCTTTTTAGGATATCATGTTTTCTCCTTTCTTAAGTCTGCACCTATCCACATATCTATTGGACTGAGGCTAGAGTGCTTGCCTTGGAGCAATAAAAGATAAATCATTTGGTCTCAATTTCTGCCCGTGATCTATTTATTCACGGGCTTCAATTCTGGATCTTCACTACATTCTGGCCAGATTTGGGGATTGTGTGGGTAGAGATGATGACTGAATACTCACAGGGTATTTGTGCTAAGCTTGGTGATAATACTTCAGCCTGCTTATTACATCAGCTGCAATCTGTCTAGACTACGCTGCATTAGATTATGAGGGGTTGCCATCCTGCCATTTAGAGACCATTCATATTTGAATTATATAGCAAGAGAAGCCAATGGAGTGTGTTAAGCAGGGGAAGGATAAGGGGGGTGTACGGTGGGGGTGTTTGTGACCTGATCAGATTTGATTTTTCAGAATGGCACTGTGGCTACAGGAGGAATAGACTTGGAGAAGACTAAGAACTGGCATAATAAAACTAAATAGACGGCATAGGTCACCCCCCAGTTTCCTTTTGAGCTCTTTGAAGGCAGACACCTTGTTAATATTGGTCATTGATCTCCATGACACCTAGCATAGGGTATAGAGCTTAGTGAGGACTGCGGAATCAATTAGTGAATGAACAAAGAACTAAAAGCTCCTTGAAAGCAGGAAGTCTTCTTCATTTTTCACTGATTAATTTGTAAATTGCTGCTGTTTACTATGACTAGTCTTAGTCAGAAAGCACAAAGTGGCCCAGCATTATTTTCAGTAAATTATTAGCTACTTAAAGGCAGCACCTGTCATTATTTCTTTGTGTCTTTGCCCACCTTCCTCCTAGTACAGTTATTTGTGCATAACAAGTCACTAGTAAATGTTTAATGAATGAAAAATTCAGCTCGTAGACTAATGAAGTTTCTTTTCTTTTTAAAAGGAAACTGTTGAAACATCATTTTCAACAGTCTTTTTACACTTACCAGTGTTTGTTAGTGGGACTGATCCTGACAGTTATAAGCATGAACAACTAAAAGAAGTAGAATCAAAGAATGCCTGAACTGGAGGAGGTTTTAGAGGTCATTCGGTCCAGCTGCCTACCTGATGTGTGTAGCAGTACAACTGCTGTGGGGATTGCTTTCTATTTTGGTTTCATGTTTGACCTTTGCCTGACTTCTCTGAGCTCTGTCCTCATTTCTTCCAGCCCTGGGTAGTACACATTTGCATGATTGTGCTAAATCCATTTCAAAATGCAAAATAGGACACCTCTGTGGTATGATCCAGTGAGTGTCATTCTTCCTGGCTCAGATCAATTTCTTTATCATTCCTTAAAGGAGGTAAAGGAGGGCCTTCTGGGCCAGTATATGCTATAAGTTCTACATGTAAGAATTAAAAAAACTAGCATGTTTGGGGCATTTTAGTGGGATTTTGTAGAGTGTGCTGCTTTCCTGTCTCAAAGATTTAATAAGCAAAGCAAAGGTAGCTAGGGTGGACGTTAGGATTGTGTAGAGTCACTGTTGAATCATTTTATCACTAATGTCACATTCCTGGGCCTCTACACTAGAATTTTTTATACCTGTTATGTATTTACAAAATGCTTTCATAGTTGGTCTTTATTTTTGTCAGCATTCAATTTTCCATTAAATTCTTCAAAATATCACTCATGAACACCTACTTTGTGCGAAGTACTGTGCTTTGTGTGGTGGGCCATACAAAGAAGTAGAGGATTTGCCCCTTTAACAGTTAGCATGCTTAGGTTGCCAGCAGCAGAAAGTCGGGCTAACTGATTGCAAGGCTTTCAGGTAGTTCAAAGAAAGGCTGGAATAGCAGTCTTGGGCCAGGGAAGCATCTAGTAGATCTAGAACCCAAGGTAAAGGAAGATAGGCAGCTTCCTTAGGTCACTACCACTGAAATCAGTCAACTGTTTTCCCTATGTTTATGATACTTTGTTGAAGTTTCAAAGTCCTGGAGAGAAACTCCTACTGGCCTAATTTAGTTATTTATTTAACCTTAGGAAAAGAAGGGCAGAGAGGCTTGACTGATTGTCCAGTCAAGACTTTACACAATAGAAGAGAGAATACTTTTCTTTGTTTTTTTTTTAGTGTTTCATTTCTTGTATTTGTTTACTGACTTTTTTGATTTTGTTGATGTTTTTCTTTTTTTATTATACTTCAAGTTCTAGGGTACATGTGCACAACGTGCAGGTTTGTTACATAGGTATACATGTACCATGTTGGTGTGCTGCACCCATTAACTCATCATTTACATTAGGTATTTCTCCTAATGCTATCCCTCCCCCTGTCTCCCACCCCACAACAGGCACCGGGGTGTGATGTTTCCTGCCTTATGTCCAAATGTTCTCATTGTTCAGTTCCGAACTATGAGTGAGAACATGTGGTGTTTGGTTTTCGGTCCTTGTGATGGTTTGCTCAGAATGATGGTTTCCAGCTGCATCCATGTCCCTGCAAAGGAAATGAACTCATCCTTTTTTATAGCTGCATAGTATTCCATGGTGTATATGTGCCACATTTTCTTAATCCAGTCTATCATTGATGGACATTTGGGTTGGTTCCAAGTCTTTGCTATTGTGAATAGTACCACAATAAACATACGTGTGCATGTGTCTTTATAGTAGCACGATTTATAATCCTGTGGGTATATACCCAGTAATGGGAACGCTGGGTCAAATGGTATTTCTAGCTCTAGATCCTTGAGGAATCGCCACACTATCTTCCACAATGGTTGAACTAGTTTACAGTCCCACCAACAGTGTAAAAGTGTTCCTATTTCTCCACATCCTCTCCAGCACCTATTGTTTCCTGCCTTTTTAATGATTGCCATTCTAACTGGTGTGAGGTGTTATCTCATTGTGGTTTTGATTTGCATTTCTCTGATGACCAGTGATGATGAGCATTTTTCCATGGCTCTGTTGGCTGCATAAATGTCTTCTTTTGAGAAGTGTCTGTTCATATCCTTTGCCCACTTTTTGATGGGGTTGTTTGATTTTTTCTTGTAAATTTGTTTAAGTTCTTTGTAGATTCTGGTAATTAGCCCTTTGTCAGATGGGTAGATTGCAAAAATTTTCTCCCATTCTGTAGGTGGCCTGTTCACTCTGATGGTAGTTTCTTTGGCTGTGCAGAAGCTCTTTAGTTTAATTAGATCCCATTTTTCTATTTTGGCTTCTGTTGCCATTGCTTTTGGTGGTTTAGTCATGAAGTCCTTGCCCATGCCTATGTCCTGAATGGTATTGCTTAGGTTTTCTTCTAGGGTTTTTATGGTTTTAGGTCTAACATTTAAGTCTTTAATCCATCTTGAATTAATTTTTGTTTAAGGTGTAAGGAAGGGATCCAGTTTCAGCTTCCTACATATGGCTAGCCAGTTTTCCCAGCACTATTTATTAAATAGGGAATCCTTTCCCCATTGCTTGTTTTTGTCAGGTTTGTCAAAGATTAGATGGTTGTAGATGTGTGGTGCTATTTCTGACGACTCTCTTCTGTTCCATTGGTCTATATCTTTGTTTTGGTACCAGTACCATGCTCTTTTGGTTACTGTAGCCTTGTAGTATAGTTTGAAGTCAGGTAGCATGATGCCTCCAACTCTGTTCTTTTTGCTTAGAATTGTCTTGGCAATGTGGGCTCTTTTTTGGTTCCATATGAACTTTAAAGTAGTTTTTTCCAATTCTGTGAAGAAAGTCATTGGTAGCTTGATGGGGATGGCATTGAATCTATAAATTACCTTGGGCAGTATGGCCATTTTCATGGTATTGATTCTTCCTATCCATGAGCATGGAATGTTCTTCCATTTGTTTCTATCCTCTTTTATTTCATTGAGCAGTGGTTTGTAGTTCTCCTTGAAGAGATCCTTCATATTCCTTGTAAGGTGGATTCCTAGGTATTTTATTCTCTTTGTAGCTATTGTGAATGGGAGTTCACTCATGATTTGGCTCTGTTTGTCTGTTATTGGTGTATAGGAATGCTTGTGATTTTTGCACATTGATTTTGTATCTTGAAACTTTGCTGAAGTTGCTTTTCAGCTTAAGGAGATTTGGGGCTGAGATGATGGGGTTTTCTAAATATACAATCATGTCATCTGCAAACAGGGACACTTTTTGGCTTCCTCTTTTCCTAATTGAATACCCTTTATTTCTTTCTCTTTTCTGATTACCCTGGCCAGAATTTCCCACACTATGTTGAATAGGAGTGGTGAGAGAGGGCATCCCTGTCTTGTGCCAGTTTTCAAAGGGAATGCTTCCAGTTTTTGCCCATTCAGTATGATATTGGCTGTGGGTTTGCCATAAATAGCTCTTATTATTTTGAGATACATTCCATCAATACCTAGTTTATTGAGAGTTTTTAGCTTGAAGTCCTGTTGAATTTTGTTGAAGGCCTTTTCTGCATCTATTGAGATAATCATGGGGTTTTTGTCATTGGTTCTATTTATATGATGGATTATGTTTATTGATTCGTGTATGTTGAACCAGCCTTGCATCCCAGGGATGAAGCCAACTTGATCGTGGTGGATAAGCTTTTTGATATGCTGCTGGATTTGGTTTGCCAGTATTTTATTGAAGATTTTCACGTCGATGTTCATTAGGGATATTGGTCTTAAATTCTCTTTTTTTTGTTGTGTCTCTGCTAGGCGTTGGTATCAGGATGATGCTGGCCTCATAAAATGAGTTAGGGAGGATTCCCTTTTTTTCTATTGATTGGAATAGTTTCAGGAGGAATGGTACCAGCTCCTTTTTGTACCTCTGGTAGAATTTGGCTGTGAATCCGTCTGGTCTTGGAATTTTTTTGTTCGTAGGCTATTAATTATTGCATCAATTTAAGAGCCTGTTATTTGTGTATTCAGAGATTCAATCTCTTCCTGGTTTAGTCTTGGGAGGGTGTATATGTCCAGGAATTTATCCATTTCTTCTAGATTTTCTAGTTTGTTTGCGTAGAGGTGTTTATAGTACTCTCTGATGGTTGTTTGTATTTCTGTGGGATTGGTGGTGATATCCCCTTTATCATTTTTTATTGCATCTATTTGAGTCTTCTCTCTTTTCTTCTTTATTGGTCTTGCTAGTGGTCTATCAATTTTGTTGATCTTTTAAAAAAAACCAGCTCCTGGATTCATTGATTTTTTTGAAGGGTTTTTTCTGTCTCTATCTCCTTCAGTTCTGCTGTGATCTTAGTTATTTCTTGCCTTCTGCTAGCCTTTGAGTTTGTTTGCTCTTGCTTCTCTAGTTTTTTTACTTGTGATGTTAGGGTGTTGATTTTAGATCTTTCCTGCTTTCTCTTGTGGGCATTTAGTGCTATAAATTTCCCTCTACACACTGCTTTAAATGTGTCCCAGAGTCTCTGGTACATTGTGTCTTTGTTCTCACTGGTTTCAAAGAACATCTTTATTTCTGCCTTTATTTTGTTATTTACTCAGAAATCATTCAGGAGCAGGTTGTTCAGTTTTCATGCAGTTGTGCTGTTTTGAGTGAGTTTCTTAATCCTGAGTTCTAATTTGATTGCACTGTGATCTGAGAGTCAGTTTATTGTGATTTCTGTACTTTTACATTTGCTGAGGAGTGCTTTACTTCCAACTATGTAGTCAATTTTGGAATAAGTGTGATGTGGTGCTGAGAAGAATATATATTCTGTTGGTTTGGGGTGGAGAATTCTGTAGATGTCTATTAGGTCTGCTTGGTGCAGAGCTGAATTCAAATCCTGGCTATCCTTGTTAACCTTCTGTCTCGTTGATCTGTCTTTTATTGACAGTGGGGTGTTAAAGTCTCCCATTATTACTGTGTGGGAGTATAAGTCTCTTTGTAAGTCTCCAAGGACTTGCTTTATGAGTCTGGGTGCTCCTGTATTGGGTGTATATATATTTAGGATAGTTAGCTCTTCTTGTTGAATTGATCCCTTTACCATTATATAATGGCCTTCTTTGTCTCTTTTGATCTTTGCTGGTTTAAAGTCTGTTTTATCATAGACTAAGATTGCAACGTCTGCTTTTTTTGATTTCCATTTGCTTTGTAGATCTCATCCCTTTACTTTGAGCCTATGTGTTTCTCTGCACGTGAGATGGGTCTCCTGAATACAGCACACTGATGGGTCTTGACTCTTGATCCAATTTGCCAGTCTGTGTCTTTTAATTGGAGCATTTAGCCCATTTACATTTAAGGTTAATATTGTTATGTGTGAATTTGATCCTGTCTTTGTGATGTTAGCTGGTTATTTTGCCTGTTAGTTGATGCGGTTTCTTCGTAGCATCGATGGTCTTTACAATTTGGCATGTTTTTGCAGTGGCTGGTACCGGTTGTTCCCTTCCATGTTTAGTGCTTCCTTCAGAAGCTCTTGTAAGGCAGGCCTAGTGGTGACAAAATCTCTCAGCATTTGCTTCTCTGTAAAGAATTTTATTTCTCCTTCACTTATGAAGCTTAATTTGGCTGGATATGAAATTCTGGATTGAAAATTCTTTTCTTTAAGAATGTTGAATATTGGCCTCCACTCTCTTCTGGTTTGTAGAGTTTCTGCCGAGAGATCAGCTGTTAGTCTGATGGGCTCCCCTTTGTGGGTAACCCAACCTTTCTCTCTGGCTGCCCTTAACATTTTTTCCTTCATTTCAACTTTGGTGAATCTGACAATTATGTGTCTTGGAGTTGCTCTTCTCGAGGAGTATCTCTGTGGCGTTCTCTGTATTTCCTGAATTTGAATATTGGCCTGCCTTGCTAGATTGGGGAAGTTCTCCATGGATAATATCCTGAAGAGTGTTTTCCAACTTGGTTCCATTCTCCCCGTCACTTTCAGGTGCACCAATCAGACGTAGATTTGGTCTTTTCACATAGTCCCATATTTCTTGAAGGCTTTGTTTGTTTCTTTTTATTCTTTTTTCTCTAAACTTCTCTTCTCGCTTCATTTCATTCATTTGGTCTTCAATCACTGACACGCTTTCTTCCACTTGATCAAATCAGCTATTGAAGCTTGTGCATGTGTCACATAGTTCTCATGCCATGGATTTCAGCTCCATCAGGTCATTTAAGGTCTTCTCTACATGGTTTATTCTAGTTAGCCATTCATCTAATCTTTTTTTTTTCAAGGTTTTTAGCTTCGTTGTGATGGGTTTGAACATCCTCCTTTAGCTTGGAGAGGTTTGTTATTACCGACCTTCTGAAACCTACTTCTGTCAGCTCATCAAAGTTATTCTCCATCCAGCTTTGTTCTGTTGCTGGTGAGGAGCTGCAATCTTTTGGAGGAGAGGAGGCACTCTGGTTTTTTAGAATTTTCAGCTTTTCTGCCCTGGTTTCTCCCCATCTTTGTGATTTTATCTACCTTTGGTCTTTGTTGGGGTTTTGGTGTGGATGTCCTTTTTGTTGATGTTGATGCTATTCCTTTCTGTTTGTTAGTTTTCCTTCCAACAGTCAGGTCTCTCAGCTGTGGGTCTGTTGGAGTTTGCTGGAGGTCCACTCCAGAACTTGTTTTTCTGGGTATCACCAGTGGAGGATGCAGAACAGCAAATATTGCAGAACAGCAAATATTGCTGCCTGCTCCTTCTTCTGGAAGCTTGGTCCCAGAGGGGCACCCACCTGTATGAGGTGTCTGTCGGCCCCTACTGGGAGGTGTCTCCCAGTTAGGCTACATGATGGTCATGGACCCACTTGAGGAGGCATTCTGTCTGTTCTCCGAGCTCAAACACCGTGCTGGGAGAACCACTGCTCTCTTCAGAGCTGTCAGACAGGGACATTTAAGTCTGCAGAAGGTTCTGCTGCCTTTTGTTCAGCTATGCTCTGCCCCCAGAGGTGGAGTCTACAGAGGCAGCCAGCCTTGCTGAGCTGCAGTGTGCTCTGCCCAGTTCCAGCTTCCCGGGGTGCTTCTTTTACCTACTCAAGCCTCAGCAATGGCGAACGCCCCTCCCCCTGCCAGGCTGCTGCCTCACAGGTCGATCTCAGACTGCTGCGCTAGCAGTGAGCAAGGCTCTGTGGGTGTGGGTACCACATCCACAGTATAATCTCCTGGTGTGAATTTGCTAAGACCGTTGGAAAAGCACAGTATTTGGGCAGGAGTGTCCCGTTTTTCCAGTTACTCTCTGTCGCGGCTTCCCTTGGCTAGGAAAGGGAAATCCCCTGACCCCTTGCACTTCCCGGGTGAGGCGACACCCCACTCTGCTTCGGCATGCCCTCCATGGGCTGCACCCACTGTCAAACCAGTCCCAATGAGATGAACCAGTTACCTCAGTTGGAAGTGCAGAAATCACCCACCTTCTGCATCGATCACGCTAGGAGCTGTACACTGGAGCTGTTCCTATTCAGCCATCTTGGAACAGAGAGAATATTTTTCTAAAGAAAAAAATGTTGCTGTTACCAAAGTAGGAAAATGAATACTGTACAGCCAAAGAAACCAACATATATCATTACTACAGTTAGTTCTCCTGGAGAGTTCATAATAAGATTTGGAAGATGTGACATGCTTCCATGAAGAGTTAACCTAAGGGATAAGAGTTGAATAGCCAAGCAAAACAACAGCACAAATACCTCAAAGTAATGATGTGATTAAGTCACTCTGAATGGTACTGAGGATAAGTGTTGTGAGTTCAGAGAAAAATAAAATGACTAGAGAAAGTCAGACTGCTCTCACAGAGAAGGAATAATTTAAGCCTGGCAAAGAAGGATGGGTAGAATTTGGTTAGATGGGGTGTCCTTCATCATGTATTCACCTCTGGGTAGATTTAAACTAAAAGGTCCAAGGCACACCTGGGTTGGAAGAGTTCATGTAATTAAGTGAAAATGCTAATTATTGAAACAGCAAGAGATAAGATATATAACATATTTAGAATAGAATCTTTCATGTAATTAAGTATTTAGAAAATGTTAGCATTGTTATTAACATTACCATCATTATTGTTTTAAAATTAAGACTATTCATCTGATTATATATCACATTAATTTTTATAAATGTCTCTCAAAAAGACTGGATATATCACTCTGCCCTATGTTACAGAGTCTGATATGAACATCTACCAAAAACTGTGTCCCTGAGCTGCTTGAAAACTTATCTCTGAGACTCATATTCAAAAGGTCAGTCAGGGCAGCCACAACCAGATCTTCACCTAAATTAGCCAGGATATTTTTAGATGGAACCAAGGTTGACATGTCCATATCCTCTCTAGGATGCTGTGTTAGTATTGTCACTCTCCCTGAAAAGACGTTCTTAGTTGTGTCAAATCAAGTTATTTTGCTGTAATATTTATGTGTGCTAACCCCTGTTGAAATGGAAAACAACCTGTCAGTCTCATCCTCTTAATGATTCTTACACTTGAATGCTATTGTCGCTTTTTGGCTTCCTCTTCTCTGAGCTAAAAACACTCCAGCTCCTTTCATCTTTATTTACAGCTTCCCCTATGCTTTTTTATGTTTTTTAAAATGCCTTCGTTGTTGCTTTTTTTCCTCAGGATCACTTGCAGCTTTTCTATGTCTCTTTTTACACTTTCTGGAACAAAATTGTACAGAGTAGGTGATCACAGAGGTCCAATGAATAGGTCCAGGAGACCTCTGAAGAAGCAATAATCATGAACAATTATGGAGTGCTTACTATGTGCTAGATATTGTGCTGAGCAACTTACATACATTCTTTAATAGTTAAAATACTATGGCAATCATTACCCCTATTTCACATTCATGATAGGTTTTAGAGATAGTACATGGCACAGCCTGGACAAAACTCAAGTCTGCTCAATATCAGAGCCTGTGGTCTTAACCCCCAGGCTATATTATAGCCCATTAAGCTTGGGACCATGGTAACAAACAGATGATTGGATGATCAAGGCCCCAATGTGCTTTATCTTAGAGCAGCACTTTTCTAATTTTTCCACCTGGTATTCAGAATACATGGGGAGAATCACAACATGGTCCACCAGAAATGGGAGAGATTATTTAGGAGCTCATCTTTTTAATCTTAAAAATCCATGTATGTTTTGCATTCCATTTAACAATATATTCAAGTTTATTCAAGTACTAAAAAGTTGAAATTATAAACACCAAGTGAAATTGAATCTCCTAAAAAGATACATCATGTTTATTGTTACCTGGAGTTCTCCAGGGCTATGGAAAGCTCAGATTGAGAATCAGAGCCATAGCAATGACTATGATACCTTTAGCATGCAAGATATTTCAGAGGAGTTTCCACCACTTGCCTCCTCCTTCACAGAATCCTCCCCCAAATAAGAGACAAAGCATCACTCAGAATTACATCCCAGTGTGCCCTGTAATATACACCATTTGTGAAATGTCTGTTGCTATAACTCAATGCCATATGGTATAGAGTTATTTAGATCCAGGTAAAATTTGGGGGAAATCCAACTAAAATGATGATTTTTTCATTTTAATATCATTGATCTGTTGTTTTTCGTTCTGGTAATGATTAAATATAATACAGGATACTTATTTGCTATGTCCATTTTGGGTTTGTAACAATGTAACTTATCTCCTGCATTTAAGAGAAGGTTACCCTTCTATTCTCTTATGGGAGTGGAGCATAGGGGAAGGAGTGACAGTGCATCGATCTCATCCCAAACTGTAATCAAATAGCCATCTTATAAAGTTGACAGGGAGGGAAAATGCTTTCTGCTTCATCAACCAAACTTTCGTGGTAGTATTTGTGATACTGGTAGCCTTACATGACCATCAGCAGTTGGGAGTGGAGAGCAAAGTTTGTACTGAGCTCCCACAGTTTGCCACCAAACAAGGGAATCATATAATTTTTGTATAATTTATCATTCAAACTGGGGCACTCTGGAGAAAGAAAGGGGGCACAGTAGTCACAAACTTGGACTAACCTGGGCAAAGTGGGACACATGGTCACACTGCCCATCACCAATTCCTCACACGGAGTCACAGGCAAAGGAAGGGTCAATTATACTAAAAACCTAATGCTATCCAATCTAATTTCACATTGCTTTTTTGGTGACACCTATGTCTGATTTTAGCTGTGGATAATAGGTTCTCATATTTTAAAAGGACCCCTCTACCCCAAATTCCTGTATTAATGTGACTCTTCTTCACATATCTTGGGTATATGTTTATGCGTGTCTATTTACCAATAATTGCATCTAAACTAGCAACATTGTTGCTTATTTATGTCCAATTTGTGTTATATTTTGACCATGAGATTTTTTTTTTGCGGGAAGAACCGTGGTTAGTCAATTTTTCTCATCATATATTTGAGTATGTTCATGCTTGCTCCTAATTGTATTCTTTATAATTATTGAATTTCTATTTCAGTTTTGAAGGACTTTCACACAAACAATTTACAAAATTTGATTCCTGTCTTGAGGAAGGCATTGGCAGCCCTCACCAACTTGATTCAGCTGCCACCTTAATTAATAGCTGTTGATATCAATCACAGGACCACTTAGTGTGAAACCAAGGAAAAGGCCTCCAAGATTATTCTGATTGCCATAACAGATAAATACCCTAATCTCAGTAGTTTGAAAAAATGGAAGTTATTTTTTTTTCATGCAAGTCAAAACTAAATGGGTATTCGTAACACCAGTATGTCTCTCCTCTGAGAAGTGATTGAGAGATCTAATTTTCTTCTATCCTGTTGCTCTTGGGCTAGGCTTGGAGGTAGAACACGTCACATCCACTGATCTTCTATTGCCCAGAAAATCATAGGACCACAACTCGCTGCAAAGAGCTTGGTAAATACAATCTGGCTGCCTTCCCAGGAGTAAGAGGAAATAGATTAGGTGAACACCTGGTCAGTCTATGCCACAGAAGTGATTCTTCCATACCATTTGTTTGGCACATTAAGCAAGGATAGTACCTGGTATAAGAAAGTCAGAACCTAGTCTATACCATATTCCCTTAGTGTGAGAATTGCGTAGACCCCAAAGCTTTATCAAAGCTTTTGCAGAGGCAATAGATCAAATAGACTCAGGTATGACTGTGAGTAACTCACTTAAACTCTATGAGCTTCAATTTCCTCATCTTTAAAATTTAGGCAGAAGCACCGAGTACCATTTCCGCTGCATAGAAAGTAATTATTTCTTATGGTTTCATAATGGAATGTGTTATGAACCAGTATTGGATTCATTATAGTTTTTTGTTTGTTTTTATAGTAACTTTCCTATATGGGAGCTGAATTAACTGATCTTTTCTTTTTTCCTCTTTTATTTTAGATTCAGTGGGTACATGTGCAAGTTTGTTACATGGGTATATTGCATGATGCTGAAGTTTGAGGTACAATTAATATCATCCAGATAGTAAGCATAGTGCCTAATGGGTAATTTTTCAGCCCTCCCCTCCTGACCCCCCACCTAGTAGTCCCCAGTGTCTATTGTTTCTGTTTTTATCTCCATGTGAACCCAATGTTTAGCTCCCACTTATAAATGAGAACATGCAATATTTGGTTTTCGGTTCCTGTTTTAGAATAATGACCTCCAGTTGCACCCATATTGCTACAAAGGACATACTTTCATTCTGTTTCATGGCTGAATAGCACTCCATAGTGTATTTGTACCACATTTTCTTAATCCAGCCAGCTGTTGATGGGCACCTACGTTGATTCCATGTCTTTGCTGCTGTGAATAGTACTGCAATGAATATACGAGTGCATGTGTCTTTTGGGTAGAATGATTTATTTTTCTTTGGATATATACCCACTAATGGGATTGCTTAGTCAAATGATAGTTTTGTTTTTAGTTCTTTGAGAAATCTGCGAACTGCTTTCCATCATCTCTGAACTAATTTACATTCCCACCAACAGTGTATAAGCATCCCCTTTTCTTCATAGCCCCATCAACAAATTACTTTTTGACTCCTTAATAACAGACATTCTGACTGGTGTGAGATGGTATGTCGGTGTGGTTTTGATTTGCAATTCTCAGATGATTAGTGATGTTGAGCTCTTTTCAAATGTTTCTTGGCCACTTGTCTGTCTTATTTTGAGATGTGTCATTCGTATCCTTTGCCCACATTTTTTTTTTTTTTTTCTGAGATGGAGTCTCACTCTGTTGCCAGGCTGGAGTGCGGTGGCATGATCTCGATTCACTGCAGCCTCTGCCTCCTGGATTGAAGTGATTCTTCTGCCTCAGCCTCCTGAGTAGCTGGAACTACAGGCACGTGCCACCATGCCTAGCTGATTTTTGTATTTTTAGTAGAGACGGGGTTTCACCATGTTGGCCAGGACGGTCTCGACCTCTTGACCTCATGATCCACCTGCCTTGGCCTCCCAGAGTGCTGGGATTACAGATATAAGCCACTGTGCCCAGCCCTCTTTGCCCACTTTTTAATGGGGTTATTTGTCTTTTGCTTATAGAATTGTTTTAAGTTCCCTATAGATTCTGGATAGTAGACCTTTGTCAGATGCATAGTTTGTGGATATTTTCTCCCATTCTGTATGTTGTCTGTTTACTTTGTTGATAGTTTATTTTGCTGTGCAGAATCTCTTTAGTTTAATTAGGTCCTTCTTGTCCATTTTTGGTTTTTTTTGCATTACTTTTGGAGACTTAGTAATAAATTCTACTCCAAGGCCTCTGTCCAGAATGATATTTCCTAGGTTTACTTCTAGGATTTTTATAGTTTGATGTCATACATTTAAGTCTTTAATCCATCTCGAGTTAATTTTTGTATATGGTGAAAGGTAAGTGTTCAATTTCATTCTTCTGCCTATGGATAGCCAGTTATCCTAGCACCATTTGTTGAATAGAATGTCCATTTCCCACTGTTTATTTTTGTCAACTTTGTCAAAGATCAGATGGCTAAAGGTGCACAGCTTTATTTCTGGGTTCTCTATTCTTTTCCATTGGTCTATGTGTCTATTTTTGTACCAGTACCAAATTGTTTTTGGCTGCTGTAGCCTTATAGTGTAGTTTCAAATCAGGTAATGGGATATCTCTGGCTTTATTCATTTTGCTTAGGATTGCTTTGGCTATGCTGGTTCTTTTTCGGTTCCATATGAATTTTAGAATAGTTTTTTCTTGTTCTGTGAAAATGACTTTGGTAGTTTGATAGGAATAGCATTGAATCAGTAGATTGCTTTGGGCAATATGGCCATTTTAATGATATTGATTCTTCCAATCCATGAACATGGATTGTTTTTCCATTTCTTTTTGCCATTGTGATTTCTTTCACCAGTGTTTTGTAGTTTTCCTTGTAGAAATCTTTCACCTCTTTGGTTAGATGTATTCCTAGGAATTTATTTATTTATTTAGTGGCTACTGTAAATTGGCTTGCATTCTTGATTTGGCTCTCAGCTTGAGTTATTGGTGTATAGAAATGCAACTCATTTTCTACATTGAATTTTGTATCCTGAAACTTTACTGAAGTCATTTATCACCTCTAGGAGCCTTTTGGTGGAGTCTTCAGAGTTTTCTAGATCTAGAATCATATTGTCAGTGAAGAGAGATAGTTTGAGGTCTTCTTTTTCTATTTGGATGCCTTTTATTTTTTTCCTGCCCAATTGCTCTGGCTAGGACTTCTAGTACTAGAATAGAAGTGGTGAGAGTGGGCATTCTTATCTTGTTCCTACTCTTAAGGAGAATGTTTTAATCTTTTGCCTGGTCATTATGATTTTGGCAATGGGTTTGTCATAGATAGCTCTTACTATTTTGAGGTATGGTTCAATGATGGCTAGTTTTTTAAGGGTTTTTATTATGAAAGGATGTTGGATTTTATCAAAAGCTTTTTCTGTGTCTATTTTGATGATGTTATGGTTTTTGTTTTTGATTCTTTGGTGAATCATATTTATTGATCTGTGTATGTTAAAATAACTTTGTATTTCAGGAATAAAGCCTATTTGATTGTGGTAAATTAACTTTTTGATGTGCTGCTAGATTTGGTTTGCAAGTATTTTGTTGAGGATTTTTGGGTCTATATTCATCCAGAATATCAGCTTGTAGTTTTCTTTTTTCATTGTATCTTTGTCATATTGGTATCAGGATGATACCAGCTCTTCTTTGTATGCCTGGTAGAATTTGGCCGTCAGTTCATCTGGTCCAGGGACTTTTTTGTTCGGTGGGTTTTTTATTACTGATTCAATATTGGAACTTGATATTGGTCCGTTCAGGGTTTCAGTTTCTTCCTGATTCAATCTTGGGAGGTTGTATGTTTCCAGGACTTTATCTATTTCCTCTAGACTTTCTAGTTTGTGTGCATAGAGGTGTTCATAATTATCTTTGAGGATCTTTTGTATTTCTGTGGGATCAGTTATAATGTCACCTTTGTTGTTTCTGATTGTGCTTATTTGAATCTTCTCTCTTTTTCTTTATTAATCTAGCTATTGATTAATCAACTTTGTTTATCTTTTCTTTTTTTCAAATTTAATGAATTTTTTTATGATACTTTAAGTTCTAGGGTACATGTGCACAACGTGCAGGTTTGTTACATATGTATACATGTGACATGTTGGTGTGCTGCACCCATTAACTCATCATTTACATTAGGTATATCTCCTAATGCTATCCCTCCCACCTCCCCCTACTCCATGACAGGCCCTGGTGTGTGATGTTCCCCTTCCTGTGTCCAAGTGTTCTCATTGTTCAATTCCCACCTATGAGTGAGAACATGTGGTGTTTGGTTTTCTGTCCTTGCGATAGTTTGCTGAGAATGATGGTTTCCAGCTTCATTCATGTCCCTACAAAGGACATGAACTCATCCTTTTCTGTGGCTGCATAGTATTCCGTGGTGTATATGTGCAACATTTTCTTAATCCAGTCTATCATTGATGGACATTTGGGTTGGTTCCAAGTCTTTGCTATTGTGAATATTGCCTCAATAAGCATACTTATGCATGTGTCTTTATAGCAGCATGATTTATAATCCTTTGGGTATATACCCAGTAATGGGATGGCTGGGTCAAATGGTATTTCTAGTTCTAGATCCTTGAGGAATCACCACACTGTCTTCTACAATGGTTGAAGTAGTTTACAGTCCCACCAACAGTGTAAAATTGTTCCTATGTCTCCACATCCTCTCCAGCACCTGTTGTTTCCTGACTTTTTAATGATCGCCATTCTAATTGGTGTGAGATGGTATCTCATTGTGGTTTATCTTTTTAAAGAACAAATTTTTTGTTTTGTTGCTGCTTTGTGTAGATTTTTGGGTCTCAATTTCATTTAGTTCTCTAATTTTAGTTATTTCTTTTCTGCTAGCTTTGAGGTTAGTTTGTTATTGTTTTTCTAGTTCCTCTGGGGTGATATTAGATTGTTAATTTGAGATCTTTTTAACTTCTTAATGTGAGTGTTTAGCACTTTCCCCTTGACACTGGTTTTGCTGCATCCTAGAGATTTTGATATGTTGTGTCTGTGTTTTAATTTATCTCAAAGAATTTTTTGATTTCTGCCTTAATTTCATTGTATTTGCAAAAGTCATTCAGAAGCAAGTTGTTTAATTTCTATGTAATTTTTGTGATTTTAGGAGATTCTCTTGGTGTTGATTTCCATTTTTCTTTTACTGTGGTCTGAGAGTATGGTTGGTATAATTTCAATGTTTTTGAACGTATGGAGACTTGCTTTACAGCCAAGCATGTCATCAACCTCAGAGTATGTTCTATGTGCAGTTGGTAAGACTATATCTTCTTTGGTTGTTGAGTGGAATGTTCTATAGATGTCTGTTAGGTCCAACTGGTCAAATCTTGAATTTAAGTCCAGAATTTGTTAGTTTTCTGCTTGGATAATCTGTCTAGTAAAGTGTTGAATTCCCCTACTACTATTGTGTGGACATCTGTGTCTTTTTTGTGGGTCTAGTACTTGTTTTATGAATCTGGGTGTTCCAATGTTCGGTGCATGCATATTTAGGATAATTAAATATTTTTGCTGAATTTAACCCTTTATCATTATGTAGTGTTCTTCTTTGTCATTTTTTTTTTTTTACTGTTTTTGGTTTAAAGTCTATTTTAACTAATCAGTGGATAAGCTTAAATTTTCTAGCATGCACTAGCAAATACCTTTTGTAATTTCTTCCCTCCCATCCCCCTCAACTCAATGAAGTACAGACAGTATACTGTTCAGAGAGATGGTTTAACAATTCCACTTCCAAACACAGAATTTCCCACCTAAGTGGTCCTTAATAGATGAATCTATCCCAAGGCATAATATCACCTTTTGTAGTGCCCAGGAATTCATTCAGTCTTCCAAGGCCTGTTAAGCAGTAGTGTGACCCTAGTGCCACCTTGATGCCTGGAAGATCCTACTGATAATCCATCTAGTTTCTCAATGCGTAGTTCAATTCTTTCTTTCTTTATTCTAATCAGGCTTTCCATTTTCTCTCATGAAGAGTGTTTGATTCTGGGTTATCTGTGAGTCCATTTATTGGATACTTTTGCATAATATAGTAAATATGAGTTCAAGAATTACTGACATTAACAATTGTAAATTGTTCAAAATCAAGAACCATCTTCAGTCCAGATTCCCATTAGATATCATTTTCTTGCTTTGTATACACTGTCATTTTTATTTTTGCATCTGCCTTCAGGAAAGAGAGTGTCATGAGCTTATATGCATATAGAAGGAGAGTAAGGGAAAAACACACAGTAACAGGCAGACACATTCACTTGTTTTATTTTCGCACATTTAATTCTATTAAACAGGTATTGATGGCTTTATTTCAATAAAATGAGTAAACGGAAATTCAGAATTCTTCTTCTGCCCATACTTTAAGTGCTGATATTCTCCAGAGTTATATCCAAGGCCCTCTGCTTTCATTCACAATCTCCTCCCACAGGGTGACTAAGATTCCTTATCTGCTGCCTTTTACTCCTGCCCTGAGAATCAGACACGTGCACCCAGTGATCTATTTGTCTGATGGTTCACCTCAATGTCCAACATATCCCAAACTGAACTAATCATTCATACACTGTATTTCATAAGGAATTGTATTAGTCTGTTCTCATGCTGCTAATAAAGACATACCCGAAATTGGGTAGTTTATAAAGAAGAAGAGGTTTAATGGATTCACAGCTCCATGTGGCTGGAAAGGCCTTACAATCATGGTGGAAGGCAAAGGAGGAGCAAAGTTATGTCTTACATGGTGGCAGGCAAGAGAGAGCATGTGCAGGGAAACTCCCCATTATGAAACCATCAGATCTCATGAGACTTATTCACTATCACGAGAACAGCATGGGAAAGACCCACTCCCATGATTCAATTACCTCCCACCAGGTCCCTCATATGACATGTGGGAATTATGGGAGCTACAATTCAAGATTTAAGTGGGGATACAGCAAAACCATATCAGAATTGATTACATTTTTTATTCAAATATAACATACATGCTAGAGACAGCACAAATCTTAAGGGCATGACTTGATGAATCTCCAGAAAGTGCACACACTTGTATAAGCAGACCCCACATCAAGCTAAGACATAACCAGTAGCTAGTAGCACCCCCATGCCCCTTTTAGTTTTTATCTTCCCCATTCTAAAAGTGACACTATCTTGATTTCTAATAACATAGATTAGTTTTGCTTGATTTTGAATGTTCTGTAAATGGAATCATATAGTATGTTCCCTCTGTGTCTGGCTTCGTTAGCACAATATTATGAGATTCATCCATGTTGTTGTATATAGCTGTAGCATGTTCATCTCATAAATATATGATATTCTACTGTATTAACAAACCACAATTTATTTATTTTTAGTCAACTACTGATAGGCTTTTTGGTTAAGTATAGGGCTATTAAGCATAATGAAGCTATACATTTATTGTACATGTTTTTTAGCAAAGATATGTACAGATTTCTGTGAGCTATATGGCCAAAATGGAATTGCTGGTTCAAGGTTACACATAAGTTGACCTTAGTAGATATTCCCAAATGCTTTTCTAAAGTGTATGCCAACTTACACGCTATCAACACTATCAACAGCATATATGAGTTCCCATTTCTCCATCCTTACTAACACTTGGTATTGCTAAAGGAAGTCTTTTTGCATTTTAGCCATTCAGGTGTGTGTGCAAATTTAATTTGCGTTTGCTTGGGAACCACTCATTAATCATTTTTTCATGCTCTGTTTCATTAAGTTGGTGCCACTGTCCACCTGGTCACAAGCTAGAAATCTGGGCATCATCCTTGTCCCTCCCCTTTCTTTACACTCACACACTAATTTTTCCACATAAATATTTCTCAAATCTCTTGGCTCACTGCCATCTATTATTGCCAAAACCTTTATTCAGTGCCTCATTGTTATTTCTTAATTTGTCAACTTCCACACCCTCCTAAGTGGTTTCGTCTTTTTTGCTTCCAAATAGATGATCTACAAAGCCATCAGAATGATCTACCCTTAACCTAAATCTGCCATGTTTTTGTCATGTTTAAGCATTTCCATGGCTCCTTACCCCCACCCAGATTACAGAAAGTCTAGGCCTCTTAAAATAGATATAAGATCTACCAAGAGTCTGGCTTTTGCCTTCTCATTTGGCCCCATCGCCCATCATTTTCTGCCACTGCTCCCATATTCTATCTATGCCAAATTCTCTTTTTAGTGTTCTTTTTTCCCCTCCGGAAATACTGTATCTTCCATGTCCTCACTCCAAAACCATTCCATATGTCCTGCACTTCTCTTGAAAAGTCTCAGTTTACACTGAGTCAAAGGAATGACTGCCAAACCTTGAGGTATTTCCTCTCCATAGGATGTTTATATTTCAATGGAGGATGAAAAACCAGTCTCTAGCAGTGGAATTTCTAGCATCAGTGTGCATGTGGAAGAAATACAAAATTACACCATGAAGCATGCAGCCTACACATAAAAACAGTCCTTTGAAATAATAATTTTGAGTATATTTAGAAAAGAATAAATCTGTATCCTTATGTAAATCCATACACTAAATTAAATTCCAGATGGATCAAAGGTTTGAATATACATATAAATAACTTAAGAGTGTTAGAAGAAAGTATCATTTAAAATAATTTTATGACAGGAAAAGCCTTTCCAAATATCATAAAAAAGAAACTATGAAAGAAAAGATGGATACATTTGATTCCATAAGAAAACACACATAACATGAATGTGAAACAAAATAAGTGTAAATTTGGTTGAAAGACAATAGTAAACTCGATGTGGTATACAAGATTTTCTATATGCCATTATTGCTTGCTTGAAGTGGCATGGCCTTTTTGGACAAAAGTGTAGTGCTTGTGCCAAATGAATTAATAAAATGTTCATTCAATGAATGATCTCATTTTGGAGCCATTAACATGGTGATATATATTTTCAAAATGGTCATTATCTATTCTTGAAAGGAGAAATAAATAGGCTACATGCTGATTTTAAAGCAATTCTGTGTAAAATTATATGTTGATCCAACACATTTTAAAAAATTATATGCATATATATATGCATATAATGCATGTGAGTGTTTATGCACAGAGAGGTGGAGGACACAGGCTTTAAGGTATGAGGATAGACACTTTTCTCTCTTGCATACACATTTGAATTTGCAGTGCCTGTCAACTAGTACAGGAGTCCCCAACTCCAGGGCAATGGACCAGTACTGGTGCATGGCCCATTAGGAACCAGACCCCACAGGAGGAGGAGAGTGGCAGGCGAGTGAGCAAAGCTTCATCCATATTTACAGCTATTCCCCATTGCTCACATTACCTCCTGAGCTCCACTTCCTGTCAGATCAGCCGTGACATTAGATCATCGTAGGAATCTATTGTGAACCACACATGCAAGGGATCTAGGTTGTGCACTCCTTATGAGAATCTAATGCCTGATGACCTGTCACTGTTTCCCATCACTCCCAGATGGGACCATCTAGTTGCAGGAAAACCAGCTCAGGGGTCCCACTGATTCTACATTATGGTGAGTTGTATTATTATGTCATCATATATTACAATGTAATAATAATAGAAATAAAGTGCCCAATAAATGTAATGTGCTTGAATCATCCTGATAACCATCCCCCAACTCCCGCCCCCACCCCCCGTCCATGGAAAATTTGTCTTCCATGAAACCAGTCCCTGGTGCAAAAAGGTTGGGGAACACTGACCAAGTAAATGTTCAATAAATGTTTGGGAGCAGGAAGGATTCAGCAAAGGAAAGGAAGGGGAATGGAAAGATGATTTGCAAAAATGTTTATAGCAGTTGATGAACTTTTGGATTGTTTTCACTTTTAATATTGTGCTTTTCTATGTTTCTTTGATTTTTTTTCTCTCCAAGGAGCATATATAGTTAGAAAATAGTAACAATGTCATTTTTAACAAATAAAAGCTTCGTAGCTGGTATATATTGGCCAGGTTTGGGGATATGTGAGAGATCCAAGAGTAGTCTGAGACTGAGGAGAAAGAGCTTTCATATGGCCAACCAGCAAGAATGGGTTTTTGTTGCTATTGTAGTTTTAGTGTTCTCTTGCCATCTAAATGGTAACCATTTCATCCTTAGGTAAAAACAGAAGATTTTCACCCCAAATATGGCAGATGACGCCAACAATTCCAAAACCAGAAACTTTCCTCTGCTAATGGAAGTCCCTTGAGCAAGCTGGCCCCATCTCAGCCTCCCACTAGAGGCTCTTTGTCAGTATTAGCCAGACCCATGGGATTTGCATTGGTACCTAAATTTGAGTTTTCTCTGCTCTCCCTCCTCTCTTCCTGGCCCCCTCATAACCTTTGCAGTTTTTCCCTCAGTCACTGATTTCCATCTTTTAGATGTCCTAGGCACACAATCCAGTTCTAGTTTCTGCAACAGACAAATAGAAAAATGTCTGTCTGCCAGGAGAGGAAATAGGATGCTGAAGTGGTGCCTCCTTTGCCCCACATAAAGTGCTTCTGTCTGGATCTTCTCCCAGAATCCTTGGGAGAAGAGGCTGCTGCCAATGGGGTATGCTTTTTCAGATGGAGATTGGCAAGTCAGAGATAGTCTCATTTCCCTCTGTGCTGTGAGAACACTCAGGCCAGATTACAGGAATGCAGCCTCTTTGGGGTTTGCCCTGGAAATGCCTCTAGAACCTGAAGCCAGTGTTATCTGCCCAGGGCTGGAGACAGCCAGGCTCCAGTCAGCTCAGTCCAGCAACTCAGCACTTGGCTTGCAAAAGGCTTTCCAATCTGGCCCCTCATGTTGACAGAGACCACCTATTTCTTTCTAAGTGAATAGAAACTGAATTCTTTTCTGGGGCACTTTTTTAAGCAGTCGGTCTTGGCCCTAGATAACTGATGCACTTGCCCTTAATCTGATGTTTTTATATATATTCGTGTGTGTGTGTGTTTTAGGAAATCAGCATGGTTTCTAATTCTTCTAACCACACACTGGATAAACTCACTTTACACCCACTTTGAAGAATTATAGCGCAGGGATTTCCCAAGCGGCAAACCAGAAAAATCTGATTTAAATGCACATTTGATCATGCTACTAGTGTGGTGGAAATAAAGACCACAAATTTAACCTTCTAAGTTGAGTCTCTCCCATCCTCAAACACGTAGACGAAATGAAAAAGACTCACAAATAGCAGTGACTCTATATCCTGTCTGCTTGATGTTTGGAGTTCCATTTGTAGTTCCATTTGCTCTATTGTGCAACTGGCATAGTAGTTTAAGCAAATAATCAGGGTTATCCATGCCACAGCTGTTACTTTTTGTTGTTAGTGGTCTACTTCTAAGAACAGCCGCTGCTTTTTCTTAAGTAAAAGGTGTTTGCTTTGCGTGTGTGTGTGTATGTGTTTTTTTTTTATGTTTGTTTGGGCATGGAATTTTTGGACAGGGGTTTACTATGACATATGGGAACTTCGGGAAGAGCCTCTCTTTCCATCCAGGGTAGGGGACTGTGGGCATTTCTGGAAGAAGAGGGGTCAATGGGGACCTCATCATTAGTCAGTGCACCAGAGTGTCAGTGCCAAAAACCTGATTCAAAGTAGCTCAAGCCATTAGAAGGCTAATGGAGAGGAGGGGACACACGATAAAAGAAATCACTGAAGAATCAGTTTTAGGACGGGGAAAGCAGAGCAGCCTTGGAGACCTGGTCTAGAAGGAAGGCGTTGAAAGCTGTCACAATTCTGTCTCTCTCTCTCTCTCTCTCTCTCTCTCTCTCTCTCTCTCTCTCTCTTTCTCTCATAGTCTACCCAGGGCCGACTCCAAAAGTCCTTTGCATCTCTCCTTCAGGAGACTGCTTTGTGGGATGTTCCTTACAAGCACGTTTATGATCTGGATCTATCTTTATAATTTCACACCTCACTCTGCAGTTCTGAATGCATTTCAGTTCCTCAGTTAAGCCGTTTGTTTCCTTCTGCACTCCCCTGTCTCATGAACTTAGCAAACTACTTAATTTTCAAGATTCCATTCCAATGGTAACTCCTTGGAGAGACGTTCTCGCAACACCATCCTTCTCCAGGCAATTTCTCCTTCCTGTGCCTCGCCATAACTTCTTGTTCAGTTATTACTATTACCAATAGTAATTAGTATTTAGTTATTACTAAACTATTACTGTACTTCTTATCACTGAGTTATAATTAACATGGCCATAATCATTTGTTTAATGTGTTTTACTGTCTCTGCTCCTCCAGACTGGTGGGTATATTGGGCTCTCTTCATCTTTGTACTCAGAGCCCATCATAGCCCCTGGCACCCCATAGATGTTTGTAGAGTGAAGTGAATAAATTAATGGGAGAGAAAGGAAAACCATTTAAATCTGATTAGGTTTACATGCACTTTAGAAGAGTTTACAGAGCATTCTATAATTCCAAAGCCTACATCTTCAAAACAGTTTGTATTGGAACCATGTTTGTGAATCAGAGAGTAGTTCTTGCACAGCAAGCCTCAACATGGTATTTAAATTAGTTAAGATACACCTAGCAGCTGATATGCTGTGGGAGGGTAGGAGGAGGTGCTTAGAACAGCTAAGAGATCTATGTGAGGATAAGAAAATCTCAGCATTTCAAAAAGAGGAAAAGGTGTGTTTTGCATCTTCCAGGGAAGTTCTGATTTTAAACATTTGGTCTCATTGTCTTCTTAAGCATACTTAAGCTTCTGTTAGATTGTTGTTGTGATACCTGGGCAAGAGAAATACGGTATCATTAGGTAAAATTAATCTGTTGATTTGCTAATTGAAAAGAGAGTCAGGAAAAGGAAGGTACAAAGAGACTGAATAGAATGATAAGAATTTATCCTAATTGGAACTTTCAACCTAGTAGAATAGTCTGACAGTACAAGTCAGAGAGAAGCCAATATATGAAAAATTTAAATGAAACATACAATGTTATCACTTAAGGATAAAATGTTAAAATATCACATTGTATTTGGGTACCTGATATCTTTTAAAAATGTTCATTTACACGAGGAAAAGCCTACAGTTTTCCTTTCAGTCTTTTTGTCAGACTTAAGAGAAACATGGTTCTGAAATCAAATAATTCTCATGTGTTGATAATGATTTTTAATTTTAGGGAAAAATAAAACTTAAGACAGTGGTTCCCAATTCTAGATGATCTTCTGAATCTACTGCAGAGATACTCTACTGTCCTCCTACCTCCTATTCTCTTGCTAGATTCTAGTTCTAAATAGCTCTGAGGTAGAACCTATGTGAAAGGTTTTTAAGACGAAAAAAAGTTAACATTTAGAAGACTGAGCTTGTAAACTAGTGTTTCTCAGGATATGGACTTGTTCTAACCCAATCAAAGTCACCTGGGTGCTTAAGAAAAAGCTAATTCTCAGGCTGTGGTGAGGGCCTATTGAATTAGAGCCTCTAGATGGAAAAGTCAAGAATCTGTACTTTACATATGTTCCCCAGATGATTCTCATGCACATCAGTATTTGAGATCCGCAAGTAATTGGTTTCTAATTTAAAATAAATAAATATTGATGACTATAAGCATCTACCTTATAATATACATAATAATATCTTGATTAAGTAGGATGCTCAGAAAATTGGGAATTCTAGTTAGTTTAATTTTGTGTCAAATTAATTCTGAACTGAACTAGGAGAGCTGTCATCTTTTGGAAACTAATCATAAATTCTGACATTTCTAGGAAGCTGATGTTATAAACTCACCATGGTTCCATTTGTGCACAGGACCCATGAGCCTCTAGGGAAGTACTACCCTCAGAGAAGAGAATATGAAGAGTCCCCATTTGGCCCAAAGGTAATGGGCTGATGCCAGAAGGGAGGCCAGCCAAGGAGAGGGAGGTAGTAAAAATAAGAAGTTTATCCACCAGAAATGAAATTAGTAACATTTTCAGAATACCCAGGCTCCTGCTTTATATCACAGACCAAGCATGAAGGGGGTGATGGGTAATTTCCAATGTTGAAGTGGCTGGTGAAGTGCACACTATAACACAAAGAGAATGGTGGCTTCTACCCACAGACTTCACTGAGATGAAGTGGGAGGGGAACCACATATATGCACAGGAAGAAGGCCAGAAGAAAGTCCACTGTGGCTAGAGCATGAGGGGAAGAACATAGTGAGCTATGTGTGACACTGAAAAGATACTTTTTTCCTAGTACATGAGATGCAAATGCTGTGGACTTCCTGAAATCACTTGATTTTTGGAGTGGGTGGTTTTCTTGTAAATTACAGATGTGCATGCAACTGAAGAAATACTTCTTTCCTACTGCTTTCATGGTATTCATAATGCTTACGGAAACAGGGATTGTATATGTTTCCCTTATTAGAAATTGTTCTAAAATGCCATGTTCCTATCATAATAACTGGAGTAGAGAAAGTTAACATGCAGTGATAAGAATGAGCACAAGACTGTATGTCAGAAGCCCAGTATTCTAATACTGGGGCTCATTTCCTGCTGTTTGACTTTGAGTAAGTGTTAGTTCTTTTTGCCATCTACCTCCTAGGGTTCTGCAATGCTTAAGTTAAATAATAAATGGGAGAGTACTATACAAATGTAAGTTGGGATGATTGTAATTGAATTTACTCTTGATGGAGGAGTCTTGGTGATTCCCTAGAGCAGTTGTTCTAGGGGTTGTACCTAAAAGCCTGTGTAACTTTAAAAAACATAATGTATATCTGGGCCCTGACCCTGGATATTCTGATATGGGGAGGGAAGGCACCTACAACTGTATTTAAAATTCTTCTGATAATTCTTAGATAACACTAGAGATTGAGGGTTTTAGTGTAGAGATTGGTGGTGAGTGCACAGACCCCTGGCAACCCGAGTCTTGGCTCTGTTCTCAGCAAATATTTTTTAGCTGTGGGAGGAAGCTCAGCAGGATCTCGAAAATGTCGCTAAATTCTTCATTCTTCATTTTCTCCACTTGTCAAAGGCAGAGATGGGCTAACCAGTGAACATCTACCTTTTTAAATCCATGGACTTTACCCAATGTGAATTTTACTTAGAAGCTTTAACATGTAAAGCAGAAAAAAGCAGCGCTGTTTTAATTACTGCTCAGCAGTTCTCCTATGGGACTTCAAAAACCATAGGCCTGGATGGTTGATAACATCCCTTCTGGCACTAGCATCTTATTCGAGGCACAGAAAACTTACACGAATTTGTATTGGCCCTATTTGGGAGGACAGAAGGCCCATGGTGTACACACACACACACACACACACACACACACACACACACACACACTGACGACTGTGAATTAGGTGAGTAAGCAGGCACAGCTGGCCCTTTACCTGTTTGCTCTATTATCTTTCTCTCTGCCCTTCTTCTGCCCTGCTCTCTTTTCCAGATGCCTTTGCCAACTGGCTTCTAGCCATATTTGGCCAAAAGCATACAGTGGCAGGAGATTGAAGGATAGGAGAAAATGTAAACTAGAGTATTTCAACTTCTCTTTCTCTGCATTGGTTGATGTCATGTGCTTTTACCCATTTCCTGCTACGGGTTTTCTCAGGGAAAATTGTTTTCTACCAACTTGGGAGATTTCAGCCTCCAAATATCCCTTGACTGCCTGATTTATCGTCCCTTTTCACTTTGACTTTCCAATGGAAGAGTCAGATGATACATAGATTGACTTGCGTCATCATTTTAAAGAAATTCCATGGTAAGGGAAGTGAGAGTAACCCAAGAAAAAAAAATCCACTCCTAGTATATACCCAAGAGGAATGGAAGCATATCCATGGAGACTTGCACACCACTGTTTTTAGCAGCATTATTCATAACAGTCAAAACTTGGAAACAACCTAAAGAACCACCAGCTGGTAAATGGATGGACAAAATGTGTATATCCATACAGTGGAATGATATTTAACAACAAAAAGGAACAAACTACTGACACATCCTACAGCATTGGTAAAATTCAAAAACACGCTAGGCAAAAGATGCTAGACACAAGAAACCTCTTGTTGTTTGATTCAATTATATAAAATGTCCAAAAAAGGCAAATCTATAGAGAGAGAAAGTAGATTAGTTGTTGCCTGGTGTGGAGTAGGGGTGGGAATTAACCCATAAAATGGACATGAGGCGTCCTATTGGGGTGATGGAAATGTTCTAAAACTAAGTTGTGGTGATGGTTGCCCCCACTTCAAAAATGTACTAAGAAATCATTGAATTGTACACTTGATGTGAGTGAATTATATGGTAAGTAAAATATACCTCAATGAAGTCATCTTTTAAAAGGAGAAAGATAATAGGCAATAGCACTGTTATTAATCTAGGCCTTTTTAGATGCCAATTAGTTATTATGTCACTTTCAGCTACATTATTCACATATCTATGTCATTTTCATGGACTTTTGTCATAAAATAATGTTGAAGAGTGTCTCAGAAGTCTAAAGAGAATATCATCACTCTGGTACTCCTATGTCCCTGTCGGGACTCAGAAAACAATACCAAAAAAAAAAAAAAGGCCTCAGAAGCAGTCTAAATTTCTCTCTGACCTTCTCCTGTCCTCCAGCCTCTCATTCTCATTCTTCCATGAGGCTAGATATAGAAACTAGAATCCCTGTTCCCCAAGGTATGTTATGGAAATTGCAACCCCTTTTCCCCAAAGCCAACCATAAAACCTAAACATATCACTCTAACTTTTCCTCCACCTTTCTGTATGAAAACTGGCCATAAACAAATTATCTGATCTACCTTCTTTGACTGTAGGTCATATGACCCCTATTCCAGATGAGGATTTGCCACACACCCAGAAGGAAGGAATGCTGCTCAGAGAGAACGAGAAGAATCTAGACAGACAGGCCTTGCTGTGTCTCCCCACTCAGTCTATTAGCATTAGATCATACCCTTTTTGTTCCACCATATTTCTACATGGCTGTACTTACTTTGGTGAACCTTAAGCATAAAAATGGACAATTTCCCTTGTATATTTGGGTGTTTATTCTGAAGTCTACCATGTACACATTAGAAAAAGTTGTATGCCTTTTCTCCAATTAATCTACCTTTCATGAGTTGATTTTTCAGTGAACCTTCAGAAGGGGAAGAAAAACTTGCCCATTAGCCCCAACACACCCATTTAGTTCCATCAAAAGAGATAATATGATCTAATGTAGTTCAGGCTCTCAGACATATGTACTGATTAAAAATAGAAAATGATCAATGTGTTTGGAGGTTAGGACTTTAAATCCTCCAACCCCTAAATCATCCAGAAACTGGTGGTCTAATAGTGATTCTCATCAGAGGTTTGAAGAAATAATAACTGGTACTGGATAGCCTGCACTCAGAGGCTTGAAGAAATAATAACTGGTACTGGATAGCCTGCACTCAGAGGCTTGGAAGAGAATGCTTGCCTTTGTTTTCAGCACTCAGTAGCTGGGAGATAGGTGATAAACAAATGCTTTTAAAAGTAATTTCTGCCCAAATTGTAATAGCTTTAATTCCCATGATCTGAAGAAAAAGAAGCCCTCTTTATCTTGCCGTATTATGGCAATAAGGTGCTTTCTGTGAAAGGCTGCTGCTCATAACAACGCTCAGTGACTCACATAATAATTGATTCTTCCCACACTGAGTTTGTCATTACCTCCAGATTAAAGTCCCCTTTTCTGATTTTAGTGTTCACACATCTGCCATCAACAGTCCATTGAGTATTGGACTCTGCTCTTAGAAATGACTGAGCTGGATATTTTGTTTCTTAGTTTTATTATTCTTTCATGCTTTCTGTCTGGGAGGGAAAAAATAGTCCTTCACCTCCCTACACCCCAACCTGTACCTCAGCATGGCTGGAAAATGAGCGATTACTCCTCACTCAGCCATAGCTCTGTCATTAATTGAAGTACCTAAGGAAATTACTGGACTGTAGGTTTTTCATCTCCAAAACTGAGACTTCTTATTGTGCCTGTCTCCTTCACAGCATGGTCGTGAAGAGGAAATGTAATAGATACAAACATCTTTTTAAAATATTTCCTGGAGGAGAGATTCTGGGACATTTTGATTCTGGGCTGAAATCAAGCTGAGTTTCAGACACTTTGGGAGATACTGGAGGAAAGCAGACTAGACTTAACTGAAATTTTTCAAAGCTGCATTACTTTCAGGCTCTTGAAGCTCTCTGCTTGGTGCTCCTCCCTCTGGATTCTTTGCAGCTGATTGGAGTACAGGAAGGACAGCTGTAGGTCCTTTGGTAATTGAATCTTAAGGGGATTGACAATAGATGCCACTACATCCCCCTCCAGCCACACATTACTCCCACTAGCAAGATACCCATCCACAGTCCAAATCCTGTCCTCTGCACTCTTCTCCACTGCCTCTCCTCTTCCCTGCCACATCTAATATTCTTTTCATCTTTCCTTAATAGACGCCTAAATACCTGACGTGTGACAGCAAATGCCTGTTCCCATGGAGCTGCTGCTTCTGAGAAAGCTTGAAACAGACAAAGAATAAGGTAGAAATGACCTCCTCACTAGAGATGAAAAGAAGCTGTCCTGGTGAGGAAATTGGATCCCAGCTTTTGCCGCTAAGATTCTTCTCTTCTGCCTCTGGTTTTCTTTATTGTTCACCCCCAGAAGCAATCGCTCTCTCACAAGGCAACACACGCAATAGAGTGAACAGTGATTCTACAGTCTGATTCTGGAAAAGGCGACCACAGTGGAAAGAGTGATCCACACAAGTATAGGGCCTCCTGATTAAAACACTAAGATTTCATCTCACGCTGTGCCTTTATACTGTTGAGATACTAAAGAGGACACTAAAGATCAAAGTGCTACTTTACAACATTTTGAAGAAAACAACTGCTACCTGTGTATTAGTTTGTGCAGATGTGTTACACAGCTTAGCTGTGTCTGTACCAGTTTATTAGAATCAAAGTATTTTTAAAGTACCTAAGGCCAGGCACAGTGGCTCACACCTGTAATCCCAGCACTTTGGGAGGCTGAGGCAAGTGGATCACTTGAGATCAGGAATTCAAGACCAGCCTGGCCAACATGGTGAAACCCCATCTCTACTAAAAATACAAAAATTAGCCAGGCATGGTGTCACATGCCTGTAATCCCAGTGACTCAAGAGGCTGAGGTATGAGAATCAATCGTTTGAACTCAGAAGGAGAGGTTGCAGTGAGTGGAGATAGCAACACTGTACTCCAGCCTGGGTGACAGAGTGAGATCCAGTCTCAAAAAAAAAAAAAAAAAAAAAAAAAGTACCTAAAACTTGTGATATGGTTTGGCCTTGTCCCCACCCAAATCTCATATTGAATTGAATTATGGGGAGAGGTCTTTCCTGCGCTGTTCTTATGATAGTGAATGAGTTTCATGAGATCTGATGGTTTTAAAAATGGGAGTTTCCCTGCACAAGCTCTCTTTTGTTGCCTGCTGCCATCCACGTAAGATGTGACTTGCTCCTCTTTACCTTCCACCATGATTTTGAGGCCTCCCCAGTCCTGTGGAACTGTAAGTTCAATAAACCTCTTTCTTTTGTAAATTGTCCAGTCTCGGGTATGTCTTTATCAGCAGCATGAAAACAGAGTAATACAGCATGTGAGATACAATGCTGAGCACTGAAGAAACAAGGATGGCACAGCCCCTGACTTCCAGAAGCTCACACTTTAGAAAAGCAAGTGTATTAATAACTACTTATGTATAACATTTGTGTTATTTAGAAAATGCAATAAGGGCACAGATGAAGAGCAAAGTACAGTGGTAAAGAAGAGAGAGTTTGTGAGAAAGGTACAGGAGAAAAGACATTTATGCTGGGCTTCAAAGGATGAGCTGACATTTCAATTCCCATCCTTAGACAAAGCTAGGAAAGGCATTTCAGCAGAAGCAAACTGAATAAAGCCCTCGAGACCTGGAAGTGCATGTCATGCCCAAGAACCATGTAAACCTGAAAGCTTTGAGAGCTAGATAATATTTCACCAACTGTGGTCATCAGAATCACCAATATTTGGGGTGTTTGTTTAATTTTTTAGCTTCCTAAACCCTAGCACAAGCCCAATGAAGGTGGGAAGAGGAATCTGTATTTTAGAAGCAACCCTTTCCCCTCCAAATTCTTCATAGAGTGATTGTGATGAATAAAGGTTGAGGACCATCTGGTTTAGGCTGTTCTAGGCAGGGTGGAGATGTAGGGAAGGACACACAATAACCCTGTTACTCGGTTGTGCTGTGGTTATGTGCCTATACACTATCAGACAGACTGGTCAATTTTGTTCCAAATATGTTCAGTGTTAAACAGAACCCAGTATTGTAAACTGTAATTACAAATTATAAAACTTCTGTAAACAGAAGCCTACTTCTCATACACTGAAAGAACCAAAAGGCAAGATGCAACTGAGACCGTTTAAAAATGGTGAAATGTTTTCCAGACTCCAGCTACAAGGAGAATCCTCTTTGTAATGCTGAGTATCATGATTAAAATCTCCCACTGCTCAGCAGCACAAAACTGTCTCAAGGAGTCTCCAAAGAGAGTCATCTCAGAGTATCTCACAGCAGTCCTTCCATCCTCAAGCTTGGTTGTATCTCTACACAGGCCTACATGAAAGCAGAGACACTGCAAACAAGACAGGGCAGAGAGCAAGCCGGGAAGTTGGTGAACTTGGAATTTGATGAGCTCCTTGTCTGAAACATGAAGCTCAGACCAGAAGAACTGGATGCTCTAGAGAGAGATGGACCTCTCCTCAATGGGAATATCAACATCAGTACAAATTGATGATTCCAGTTAAGAAACAGACAACAGTAGTCAGAGCAGCACATAAAGCCAGAAGGAGGCAAAATATTGGTAGCCACTCAGAGCTATGCGCTTTCCCAACCTGTCCTCAGAGTGAACTGTTGCTAATTTCAGAGCCAAGTAGTAGTCCTACTACCAACCATCCCAATAATTTCACATACCAACATCCACAATTAAGTTACTGGTTTATAAACCATAAACCACAATTTATCTAGGGTGTTGACTTAATGTTTTTCAGCAAAGTTTTTTCCCTATCTAAGGTAACATTTCTCATATAATGGTCAAGGGACCCCTACCTTGAGATTGTTAAAATGAAGAGACTTGGGTACCTTTCACAACTCTCTGAGGTTAGGGCCCAGGAATCTGCATTTTCACACACTCCCTCAGAGCATTCTCTCTCACAAGGACTTTCCCTTCAGGGAACTCCTGTTACACTCAGTACTGAATAGTGTAAGAGTATTTTTGTTTTCCATTAGAATTTTGCTAGTGGAACTTTGATTGGCAATAGGAAGTGGCTGGAATAACATAGGGATTTTGGTCTGCATTGCTATCTAACTGCCTGGGTTCCCTGTGACATGTCTCTCAGGTGTCAGGTATCTCTAGCTCTCAGGTATCTCTAGCTCAGCAACTTTCCCACCCTCATCAACCTTCCCATCCTCAATCCACCCAACCCCACTCTCCCACATTAAAATCAAAGAACTTCTACTGTAAAGTCCCTGGTTAAACAATCATCTTCAGGTACTGTCAAAGTAAGATAACTAAACCAGGCTCCCTCGTTGGTACCAATCAGATTGGGTAGGAACTGGTATGGACATCAAACAGAATTGGCACATAACCAGGTACAGTTGCATGCAGGCCAGCATGAAAGTATCAGAATATTTGGTTAATTGAATTAAAAGAACCATTGAGTTATTCTGACATTGTGAAAACATAGTCAAAATTCAGCTCTTTACAATGCTTTTGCATCATTGGAGTTGAGTGCATCAGGGAGACTGATAAATCATACATGGCTCATAAAGACTAAGAGCAAATCATAAAATAATAGAGCTGGAAGGGAACTGAAAGATGACCCGGTCTGGGTTTTATTTTGCAAATGAAACAACCAGAGCCTGCAGAGGCCTAGTGACCAAGGTCATACAGCTCGTTAGTGGCTGAGAATCACAATGTCCTAACTTCTGGCTGAGGGTTTTTTTCTATGATGCCTCCCCTGAGACTAAAATAAATCCCCATTACTAAAAAAGCAAAATCATCTTGTTCTTTTCTTTTCTCTTAAAAAAATGTCCTCATCTTCTCGTTGAAGGACAAGAAAAAGTCACTAAAATAAAGTGTGTAAACAAAGATGCTGACTCATGGATCGAAAAGAAACCTTAATAATTTGGTGATCCCAGTAAATGTTCATGCATGCGTTCATTCATTCTGAAAGCACTGTGGAATGAGCTTTCTCCTCATATCCAGAGAGAGCATGAGATGCTCTTGGGAGATAGGCAGTGCCATTTTAGTGAGATGACACTGAAAAGAGCTTGCTGTTTGGCTGCCATGACCTCCCTCACTTGTCTTCACTTGCCCCATCTAATCTCTTTCATTTTCTCAAATTGAACTGTTCACCCCAGGAGGCCAGGCTCAGTCTCCCTTTTCACCATTCCTCCTGCCGTGCTCTTACCTGGTATGCCTTCCTACTTCTCTTTGGCTCTCCAAATTCTATCATTCAAAGACGTAGCTCAAGAGTCTTTGCCTTGTTCTTCAAGACTTATCTCTCTTCTTGGGTCACAAGGACTTTCCTTTTGATGAATTCCAGTTATACTCGGTACTGAATAGTGTAAGCATATTTTTGTTTTCCATTAGAATTTTGCTAGTGCAGGTTTGGTGGACAATAGGATGTGTCCACCTATTGGCTGAAAGAGCATAGGGATTTTAGCCTGCATGGCTATAAAACTGCCTGGGTTCCCCATGACATGTCTTACAGGTATTTCTAGCTCAGCAACTTTCTCACCATCAGCAACTTTCCCATCCTCAATCCACCCAACCCCAACTCCCCACCCCCTGTCAAAGCTATTCCTCTTCCATTGTTCCTTATCTCACTAAATTATGTGCCACCATCTAGCCAGAAACTGGTGGTCATCTTTTACCATTATTTCTCCCTTACATCTTAATAACCATAAAGTATAATTTTCCTTTCTAAATATCCCCAGCATCTTCCCAGTTCTGTTTACCACTACTCTTACTACCATTCTCAGGGCTGTCACTCCTTCTTCCCTAGATTATTATAATAATTTCCAAACTCCAACCTTGCCCTCTTCAATCTTTGCCCCATTCTGCAATCAGAATAATGTTTTGAAAATTCTCATACTGTCAAAAAGTATACTTCCCTTGATACTCTTACTTTCCTGCTTAAACCTTTTGGCTCTCAGGATAAAGTTTCAGCTCATTCAAATCCCTTTCACAATCAAGACTTTCTCCAGCCCTTTAGTCCCATCTCTTCCTACTTTCCCGCTATACTAGTCAGGGTTTTCCAGAGAAGCAGAACCAATAGGATATACGTAGAGAGAGAGAGATTTAAGTAGACATTATGGAAATTAGCTCATGCAATTATGAAGTCCAAGAAGTTCCACAATCTACCCTTTGCAAACTGGAGAGCCAGGAAAACCAGTGATGGCTTTCAGTCCAAGTTCCAACACCTGAGCACCAGAGGAACTGATGGTCTAACTCCTAGTTTGAGGTTGAAGACTTGAGAACTGGGGCAAAGTTCCTGAGAACTGGTTGGGGGAATGTTGATGCTGTTGCAAGACCCAGAGTCTGAAGGCTCAAGAACCAGGGGCTCTGATGTCTGAGAATGGGAGCAGATGGATGTCTTAGATCAAGAAAAGAGAGAGAGAATTCATGCTTCCTCCAACTTTTTTGTTGTATTTGAAACTTCAATGGATTGAATGATGCTCACTGGCATTGATGAGGGTAGATCTTCTTTACTCAGATTCAAATGCCAATCTTTTCTAAAAATAGCCTCACAGACACACCCAGAAGTAAAGTGTGTGTGTGTGTGTGTGTGTGTGTGTGTGTGTGTGTGTGTGTGTGTGTGTTTTGTTTTTACCCAGCTATCTGGGCATCCCTTAGCCCAGTCAAGATGACACATAAAATTCCCCATTACCCCTAACTTGAACTTCATCTCCAGCCAGATTGAACTGCTTGCACAGTGCACCAGACTTTCTATTGCTGTTAGAGCTTTGCACATGCTGGTTCCTCTGCCTGAAGTGCCTTTCTTCCAATGACTGTTCACTTTTAGTTTTTGAGGACTTAGCTTAGACATTATCTTCTTTAGGAAATTTCTTTGACTCAAGTGTTACTCCTGTGTGTTTTCATAGTATCCTGAGCTTATCTCTTTTTATGCATTAAATTGTGTCCCCCTAAATGATATGTTGAAGTTCTAACCCCTAATACTTATGAATATGACCTTATTTGGAAACAGGTATTTGCAGATATAGTAAGTTAAGATGCAGTCATTAGGGTGGGCCCTAATCCAATAAGACTGGTGTCCTTATAAGAGAAAGATGCCATGTGAAGGTTAAGACACACAGGGTGAATTCTATGTGATGACAGAGGTAGATATTGGAGTGATGTAGCTCAAGACCAGGAATCTCAAGGATTGACAGACACCACTAGAAGCTAGGAAGAGGCACAGAAAGATTCCACCCAGAGTCTCAGAGGGAAACATGGCCCTGCCGACACCTTGATTTCTGACTGCTAACTTTCAAAACTGTGAGATAATAAATATCTCTGTTGTTTTAAATCACCTCATTTGTGATACTTTTTTAGAGCAGCTCTAGGAAACCCATATATTCCTACTGTGGTACTTATCACACTATATTGTATTGGCTTGACAGTTTTGCTTATCTTCTTTTTTTCTCTTGAAAGGTTGTATTGAGTCTTAGACAACTTTGAAATCTAGTGCACTTCTCAGTCCCTAGGAAATAGTAGTTGTTCAATAACTAGTGGATGAATGATAAACACAGTGTTATAAAATGAACTAAAATATTATAATATCTCTAGTAAGGTACCTGACAAAGAGAAGTACTTGGCGAATGTCAGTTGCTTTCCCTTCTGCACCCTAATAGGTTAAAATCTTCTCAGGGGCAAGGACTCAGCCTTCTTCTCCCTCGTGTCCATTCTCAGTGCCTGGCACAATGTAATAGAAACCATAGGGGTTCCCCAACCATGCATATGCTCCTTCACATTCTTCAGCTTTCCTGGCACTTAGGGTTAGGGTCATGTATTGGAATCTGCTCAATATGCTATGTATAAAAGTGATATTAGCCAAATCCATCCTGTTAACACTCTGGGTTTTTTTTCCCCATGCCATGGTAACCTTGGGGTCCCCATATCCCAGACTGAATAGCACAAGATGAGGGACAGTGTCCTGACCTGCATAGGACTCACATGACTGAAAAGTAAACCTTTACTGTCTTAGCAACTATGCTTTAGGGGGTTACTTATGACCATGGCAGAGCCTAACCTATCTTGACTAATATACAAAACAATGTGAACACATGGGAGGTGCGGAGAAGTGCTTGTTGGTTGACTAATTAAATCATCATAACAAATAGGATATCAGAGAGTCCTGACTGAATAAAGACTATTTGAGAAATACAGGCCTCACTATGTTTCCTCTTGGCATGCTTGGCTAGTTTTCAAAAAGTGTCTGGGGCTTGAATGTTTTGATTGAGAAGAAGTTGCCCAGCCAAGACAGCTGCCTTGGTGAGGATGTCTCACCAAGACACTGAGGACTTGTCCATGTGCCTGGGCTTTAAAGGAAATTTGTTCAGTGGGACCACGCCTAAATGAATGCCACCAGCTTTGCCTTCCTCGTCTCTCTGCAGGTGAAAGGGCTATACTATTTATATTACATTTTTGTACAAATTGATTGTTATGCTGCAGCTCTTGTCATAAAGTTAATCAGGATAGTTAATTAGGACATTAAAATCTAAGCTAGAGTAATTAGCTGGAAATAAAGTAAATGTCTAGTAAGCTAGAAAACAGAGCATCACCAATAAAAGACACAAATTGAACAGCCATTCTCTAATAATGCAATTAAAATTTCATAATGCAAACAGAATAGCCACTTGTTACAAAAATGTGAATCTAAAGCTTTATTTGCACAGAGACATAAGCCCCCAGAACATCTGGGCAAAAGTGCTGGTGTGTAATTGGTGAATTGGATCCACATGACTTGACTGTGCATCCCATGTACCTGTGATAATACAGACTTGTTGACCACAGCGGTTTATTAATGCCAAGAAGGAAAAAGTCACCATCATTTGTTTATAATGATTGTCATAATGGGCAAGTGTGAGTACATACTGCTAAGAGTTCTCACTCTTAGTGAGAATTAGGACAGTAATAATGTTCATCAGTCCAGCTGCTTCTGTCTAGTTCATTCTCTCCACATGCATAGATGACAATTCTGTACCTTTTCCTCTCTTTCTAACCTCCAGCACTTCCTTCCCAACCTCTTGCTCAGCTAATGACAATGCTTCTTATTTCACTGAAGAAACAAAGGCAATGGCAGGAGAATGTTCCCACGCTCCCAATACCATACTTATCCACCTGTCAGCATCTGTTCCCATTTACTCTACCTTCTTTTCTATTACTATTGAAGAAATGTCTGAGATCCTATACCTGAGCAATAGATTCCAGCCCCTCTTACCACTCAAGGCATTGTCCCAGGAATCCTTCCCCCTGTCTCCTACATCAATAGTTTGTTTCTTCTCTGCTGGATTGTTCTTACTAATGTACAAGTGTCAAGAACTGCGAAGGGTCTGAGGTTTCACCCTACTTGCAGGCCACAAGTTAGCCTGCCACAGTTTCATGGTTGCTGGGAAAAGCCATAAGCCTCTTGGGTCATTGACAAAGGACTTAATTGCTGACAGCAACAAGAGTAGCCAGAGGATCAGCATTTTATTGTGCTGGTTACCTGAGCCCCAATTCCCACAGGGTGATGCAAAAAGGGCCAGGTGGTACTTACACACATAGTGAGCTGCATTGTGAGAGAGGAACCCTGAACTTGGGGAACCTGAATTATTTATTAACCTGGTCAGTAAACATGACGGCCTTTTGATCTGGAGAGAGAGGCCCTCTCTGTCTTCAAAGTTGTTCACTGTACAAATATCCTTGAAAAGGAATTCTAGGACCAAAGCAAAATCAATGTCTTTTATCATAAGACATGCAGAAATGCAAGAGACTCATGGAAAATTGCCTTGTGACAACAAGTATGCTGTAATTTTTCCCAGCATTAATGAAAACCTCTTTCCTGACCCTCAAATTTATCTCCTCTTGTTCTCTCTTGAATACACTACAATTAAGTTTTCATCCTTAGGCTGCTTTGTCAAGATCACCACTAATCTTTGTGTTGCTAAATCCAAAGCTCAGTTCTCTTTTCATATTTCTTGACTCCACTGCAGAATTTGATACAGTTGATCACTTCCTCCTCCTTGAAACACTTTCTTCCCTGAGCTTCTAGGGCAATCTTACTTTCCTGTTTTTGTCTTCTACTTCATCTACTGCTCCTTCTCAGTTTTCTTAGCTGTTTTTTCTTCATCTTCCATCATGTTGTAGCACTTCCAAGGTCAGAACTAGAGCCTCTTCTTTCTTCTGGCTGCCATATCAATATATGGATATCTGTCTCCAGGATATATACTTAGGATTATATCCTGAATATATTATATCCTTGGATATCCAGGATTATGGCTATAAAGCCATCAATGGAACGATGATGCTTCAGTCCAGACCTGTCCTCTGAAATTTGAACTACTACTGAATTTGTCTAGTCTGTGTCTCTTCTTGAGCATCTCTTGGATATCTCAAATGTGCAACACAGAACTCCTGATTATACCACCCATAAACCTGTACTTTTCCAAGCTTGCCTGACTTATCAAATAACAATTCCATTTTTTCAGTTGCATAGGCCAAAATCCTTGGCATCATTTTTGCTTCTTCTGTATCTTTTATATTTCACATTTCCTCAGCAGCAAATCCTGTTGGCTCTACCTTCAAATTATATCCTGAATTTAATCATTCCTCACCACCTCCGCTGCTATCGAAGTGACCACCCAGGACTAAGCCACCATCATCTCTCCCCTGGATTATTGTTAAGCCTCCTAAATGGGTTACCTTCTACTACTCTGGTTCCGTTTTAGTCTATGCTCAACACAGAAAATACTGTTAAAACGTTAAGTTAGTTTATGTCACTTTCCCTACTTGAAACTCTTCAGTAGCTTTCCACTACATTCAAAGAAAAGTCACAGTCTTTACAGAATCTTTTGCTCCTTGTTCAGGCTTTGATATCAGCTTTTACTACTTTCCCCTTTGCTTGCCCCATGCCAACTCCTCTAATCTCCTTCCGTTCTCATCCCCAAACATGTTCCTGCCTTACGGCCTTGTACTTGCTCTTTTCTCTGTTTACTATACTTTCCCCCCAAGAGAGACTCATGGATTCTTCCCTCACCTTTTTTACATCTTTGCTCAAATGTCACTTGAACATCAAATTGTAAAGTGGAGGTTCACCCCCACCCTGGACATTCCCTGTATACCTTGGAACCTATTTTTTCATCCATAACATTAACTAAAATCCAATCTAATATTAATATATACAGTCAATTCTCACTATTCACTGTGGTTATGTCACTGCAAACAATGAATCAGTGAATACTGAACCATCACGCTTTATACAGGTCTCTGGTCACAATGTTTTTGTCAACCAAACAATACATAACCTTGTTTTATGTATGTTTCTATTTAAAGGAACCTTACTTAATATATATTGTTGATTCATTAATATTGAACTCATGGCCAATAGCACTACCACTCATGCCTGAAGGAAGCTTATCTAACACATGTATTTTCTCCGTAAGTGACGTTACTGCCTTCCTGTACTAAGGAACACTAAACAGTACTTTAGCATGATGCTTGGGTGGGAACATTTTCCACAGAAAAATCATTAACACAAAAATGAAAGAAATGTGGGACTAAATGGACCAAGAAAATGATACTTACAGTATGAGGATAGAAACAGGAAGGCGGAACTTTGCCTTGTTTGACACCAGCTAGAGACATGTGTGTAAGGTAACTCAAGTTTTTCACTGCTCTGGCATGTTTTAAAATGACCACATGACCACAAAAATGCTGTATTTTAATCTGGGGTTACAAATAAATTTTAACACTTAGATGAATTCACAAATATGGAGTCCATGAGTAATAAAAATTGACTGTGTTTATTACATATATTATTTATGTGCCTATATATGAAACTATTTTGCATTTATTGTGAATTTCTTCCTGCTAAAATGTAAACTTTATGAGCCTGGGGATTTTTGTCTCTTTATCTCACTGATGTGCTCCCAGTGCCTAGAATAGTATCTGGCACATTCAATGTTGTCGAATAAATGAATGAAAGTTTCTTTCTCTCCAGGTTGGGAACTGCAGTGCTAATGAGGATTTTGAGGGCCAGGGATGTTGATGTTGGAGGCCAGAGCTCCAGGGGCACCAAAGCCATTAGAGTATGTAGAGCCAAATGTCCAGGAAATATGAGGTTCATATGCCAGAGAAGGAAGTCCAAATGGGTCACCAAACCCAAAGGAGGAGAAGCAAATCTGGAGGGCTAGGGATGGAGGCCAGGAGCAGAGCCCACAGAGGAATGCACTGAGCAGTGGGCTGAAAGACCAAATAGGAAAGCAGTCAGGCAAATCTCTGCAACTGCGGTTAATGTCTTTGGCTGGATATTTCATGATCATGATAGTGAGGTTTGTGAGAGAGCCAGCAATATGGAATATACCACTAGCTGTGAGCCGTTTGAAACCAGCACATGTGTCTGATCCATCTCTGTACCTCCAGCTTGTGGCAATGGCTGCCATATAGTAGGTATTAAAAAATGTTTATTTCATTGAGAAACAGCTATTACCTATCACAGTGTTCTTGGGTCAGAGGGAAAAAGAGAGTGTTTGCGCACATCCTTGGTCTCGGGGGTCTTATAAAAGAAGGCCTCCATTCAGCTTGGACTTCATGTTGACCAGGGCCTTAACTGGGTGTCCTCTTCCCTGTTCTCACTTCCACTCTACCTCTCTGAGCCAGACATCTCCTCTATTTCTGTAGACCTGCTGTGTTCTGCAGTGGACTCATCAAGACAAAATGTTTACTGAAGTCAATCAACTCAGTTCTCCAGGACACCAGTTCTTAATCTGGAATATATAAATTGGTCTCAAGTCTGTGAACCTTCTGAAATGAAAAGTGTGAAATATGTGTATGTGCCTGTGTGAAATTTTCTAGGGAGAAGATTCATAGATTTCACTAAGGGGCACTAATTCTTTAAAAAAATTTTGAGAACAATTCCTTAGAATGATTCTGATTGTGCCCACAAATAAGAAGTAAAATAAAATAACAGCACAGAACTCAATACAGTATTCCTAGGTGGTTGATTGCTCACTCATATAAAAAGGAATTCTAAAACTTCAGTGTGCGTGGAAATCCCTTGGGGACCCTGACAGAAGCAGAGATTTCTGAGACCCTGAAATTATGATTCAGAGTCCAGGTTAGGGTCCTGGAACTGGCCTTTTAAGTAGGCTTCACAGGAGATTCTGATGTATTCCCCAGAGCACACTTCTGATTGTCTAAGCTGTTGGCCAAGTAGAGACATGGCCGTCTTCCATTTTTGATCAGACCCTTTCAGGGCAGTGGGTCTGAACCTGGCTGGGCACAAGAATCATGCAGTGAGCTGGTGGTCAGTGGTGCTGATGGTAGTGGTTTTAAAATACAGATGTTCCGGCTGGGTGCAGTGGCTCATGCCTGTAATCCCAGAACTTTGGGAGGCCGAAGTGGGCGGATCATGAAGCTGGGAGTTCAAGACCAGCCTGGCCAATATGGCGAAACCCCGTCTCTACTAAAAGTACAAAAATTAGCCGGGTGGGGTGGCATGCATCTGTAACCCCAGCTACTCAGGAGGCTTAGGCATAAGGATCACTTGAACCTGGGAGGCAAAGGTTGCAATGAGCCGAGATCGCGCCACTGCACTCCAGCCTGGGTGACAGAGCGAGACTCTGTCTCTAAAATAAAATAAAATAAAATAAAATAAAATAAAATAAAATAAAATAAATAAAATACAGATGTTCCAGGCCATACTTGAGAGACTGTTATTCACTAGAGCTGTGATGGGGATCTAAAGATCTATACTTTCAAACATCTCCCAAGGTTATTCTACACACAGCCATGATCAGAACCACTGCAGCAGAGACCAGGACCAAAAGCATCTGTGTTTAAACAGTTCCACATAGTAGAGAATGCTTTCCTGTGGATCTGGTTCCAGAAACAAACTGGAAGTTTAATATTACAACCGAGCTTTGCTGAGAAAATATTTCTATTTTGTTAACCTTTGGACTTCTCTTTAAAAAGCAAGTAAGCAGGTAACAATTTAACACATAAATGTTTTACTTTCACAGAAGTCAGTGAAGGGAGACATAACCCATGAACTGAATTTCAAAATGGAATATTAACCAAGTAAAGGCCAAAGTGAGATTCATACGAGAACTTCCTATGGTATTATCCTAGCTCCAAGCAACAGTTTGATTAATGAAAATGGCTCAGTTAAGGAGCTGAGCAAACTCCCAGAAGGAACAATGGTGCCAAGAACTCAAACTTTTTAGAACACTATGTTTTTCAAACACCAAATGAGAACACTTCAAATGCATTATTAATGCTCAAAATCACCTCCAGTTATAGATAATGAATTTTCAGTAATTACCGTTGAGTCTAATAATCTCAAAATTAGGAAGAGAAGCCAAATACTCAGTATCCAATCACAAAAACACAAACCACTATGTACCAATCATATAAAGGACCAACTTAAACCAAACCCCAAAAAAGGTTTTAGAAGTATTTTATGAGACATTCAATTCCATTGAACTGACAGTCATTCAGAGCTGATGTATTATGATTCAAGTGAAATAATGTATATAGAGCCCTTATAATGCTACCCATTGCATAGTAAGTGTTTAGTAAGTTATCATCCTAACACCTTAAAAATCTGGAATTTTGTGGCAAGTCTGATGTGCATGAAACCGTCCATGTGATTTTGGAATGGGTTTTGTGACTGATGGTCTGGCCCCTACATATCATGATTAAAGTTCTCAGACCAAAGAGAAGTGAAGGCTGCCCTAGTCTACCCTAAAAAGATGGATATTTTCTAAAGTATGGAAGAGTCAAGGAACATATTCTCCAACTTAGAACACAGCTCTAGTATAGTATAGATTAAAAAAAAAATCAAGTGGTTTTACATTATTACTTCCAAGCCTCTTGGAAACTTGGTATGAAGTACCTGGATAGAGAAAAATATAAACCCTAGAAAGAAAGGCAAATGCCTGAGCACCCTGCATTTGTCTCAAAGAGTGTAGCATTTGGAGGAAAATCCTCTTGGGAATTTTTCCAGGCTTCTTCATCTCTTACTCCTATTTTCCATTGAAGCCCTTCACTGTCTTGTTTCCTGCCATGGCTGGGATTTAGTGCTTAAGGTTCTTTCTTGCTTCCTTAATCCCTCATCAGCTAAGATCTTGCTATAGCCTTCCTCTGAGCTACACCACACTAGGCCTACTGAATCAGAATCACATTTTATGAAGATTTCCAAGCCATCTGTATGTATAATAAAGTTAGAGAAGCATGGCCTAAGACGTATAATTTAGTTCCCTTTTGCTTCATGATTTCTGTGGAGAACCTTAAATTGCATATCAAGCAGTTTGTGGTTAATTCAGTAAACAATAGGGAGCCATGGAAAATTTTGAGCAGAAAAATGAAAAAACACATGCCTAAAATTTGTTAATCTTGATGACTAATGACAATCTTATTGCAGTAATGTTTCTAAATTACTTTGGCTTGTGACAGAAGTTGAGTAGAAGCTGATATCAGATATTGATATTAGAGCAAATGTGATGCACCATTTTAAAAAAATTCACTGGCTTAGAATGTTATAATTGAGAACGGAATACCTCGTTTTCTGTTCCAGTTAAGCCAACATTTACCCTCCAGCCAGAGGAAGTATCCTTGCGATAATATTTAATCATTTTCAACCACAACCTGAAGAGGTCATAATAGTTATTTTTTCTGATATGCTTGTGATTTAGCCTTATGAGTCATCCTTCTTAGCAAAACAGAAATTGGATCTGGAGCCATGGAATTGTACAGAAATAGCTCATGTTCCAGCTTCCCAGATTTCTCACTCTGCTTTTGCCTTTTTTTTTTTTTTTTTTGAAAAGCACTCTCCTAACTCTATGATTTCTGACCCTAGAATCATCAAGTGTAGTTCCACACCACAGACACGTTGACCTTCTTCCAATGAACTGATTACCCAGTTCAGAAAACAAAAGCCAAATCATGCAAGAACACACACCAGTAGAAGGTTACAGGCAGCAATAGCACTTGAGAACAATACAAAACAAAAGGTAAAGATATAAAGCACTGGGAGACACAGGAGGATAAGGACATTCTGAATGCAGTCAAAAGCTGGAACAGGAGAAGTGGTAATAACATAATTTTAGCAGAGCTAAAATTCTAAGCCTATCCAACGTAAAATTAGCAGCTATAATTTGTTGCTTACGTACCAGACACTTTATATACATATTTCCTAATTCCCCAACAACTCTGCAAGGTAGGCATCCTTATTTGCTCTTTGCAGACAAGTATACTGAGATCCAGAGTTTACCTAACTCGCCCCAAATCACAGACTTATTAAGGGTAGAATCTGGGTATTGTCCCAGGTTTGACTGCCTCTGAAGTCAGTACCTGTCCACTCCACCACAAGGCCTCCTTGGAGGGATCTCCTTCCATTTTGCTCTCTGTTAGGAGTTACCCCACTGTCAAAGAGATGAACTCCTGGGCCTCCTAAGACAGCATTTTCCAAAATGTGCTCAATGGAACACAGGTCCTAAGAGGTCTTCTGTAATAAAAGGAATTTTAAGAACTGGGTAAATTAGGGAATAGGGAATACTCAGAGGATCTCAATGCACATTTAAGACAGCCTTGAGAATTTACTTGACCTTGACACATTTGTTTTACCTATATTTAGTATTTTTGAAAACAATATGGGAAGCTTTAGTCTCTTTTTATACCTATGCCTACGTGCTTAATAGCAAGACAAACCAAACAAAAACCCTTAAGCATTATGGGAAAACCCACTGAGCCAGATAAAGAGCTCACATATTTGTGAAGAACTAACTCCAAGCTGATAACTAACTCCTGAAATTCCTTATGCCGCCTTCTCTCCCATATCCTGCATCCATTTAGATTCTTGATTCTGAGCTTTCTTTATCTTTCAAACCTGCCCGCTTCAGCAGAGATAGAATATCCCTGCTGCCAGTGCCTGTTTTCAGAATCTTCATTTCCACATTTAATCTTCCACACCTCATTTCTCCAATCAATTTCATCTTCCACACTTCATCGAGAAATCTTTCTAAAAAATTGAATGTTAAAGAATACATCTGCTTGTGCCAAATTTTGTTTTAACACCTCTGCTATCTCTCTGCTGCTTATTAGAAGAAGTTCAAGCCTTTAGCTGGCACATGAAAACTTCACAGTCTTGTTCCAGTATATACCTTGATACTCTAATCAAGCTGATCACAACATCGTTTTCAACACATTTCGGGCCTTTCATGATGCCTTGTGTGGTGTTCCCTCTGCCCAGAATGGTCTTTCCTTCCTTCTTTGCATAGCAAGCCCTATTCCTCCTTTACACCCAGTTAATTATCACCTCCTTATTAAAATCTTTTTAAGTTTTGTGAGACAAAATTTTGCTACTTTATGTTCTCACAGAGTTCTGTTTCTTTCTCCAAAAGTTTACCCAATATCTTTTTATTTTAATTGCTTTCTTATTTTTCATCTTTACTCAACTGTAAACTTTTAAAAATAGAAACTATGTCTTATTTATTTTTTCAGTTTTGTGTGTAATAGCTATTCATGATATGTAGCAAAAATTGAAAGCCCATTACAGAGCACCCCAGATATAAATATTTAGTTAAGACGGCTGCTCCATTTTCACTTTCACACTCTCATTTTGAAGTTCAGCTTCATCATACTCCAAGCCTCTTGGATTTTCACGACTTTCTAAGTTTCACAATTATTTCTTTAGGATTCCTGCCTGAAGTGTGGCAGTTGATCACAATACCATTTCTTTGATTGTCTAGTGCCTCATGAGCCAAGCTTATCATTTCTGACACAAATATTTGTGATCTAGACCATGTATTTCCTGTGGAGGAGAACATTTTCCTTTTGAGAGGCATCTAAGCAGTTTCTTAAAAATTTGAAAGTCAGTGAATTGGGCACAACTTTCCCCCATAGCGATGAATGTTTCCTTTGCTATTCTCAGTGACCCTTAGCAAGATAGCAGTGTTTATGTGTGATGCAGCAGTTCTCAAAATGTGGTTCCTTGACCAGCATCAGCAGCACCACTTGGGAAATGAGAAAAGTACAAATTATCTGCCCCCTACCTCTGACACACGGAATCAAAAACTTTAGAAGTGGAGCTCTGTAAGCTATGTTTCCACAAGCCCTCCAGCTGAGTGTGAAGCACACTAAAGTTTAAGAACCACTGCTGTAAGAGCTTGGGCTTCCAAAACAGACTACTTGGATTCAAATGCTAGTTCTACTTCTACACCTTGTGTGTTTCCTGACACCTCTGGTGCTCCATCTCACATCCTCTTGGTCTGCATTTTTCTCCTGCCATTGCTGGGATACTTATCCCAGTCATACTTTGCCTCAGCCGCACTCGTCTCTTGCTTTGTGCTTTGTCATCACCACGTGGGACACCTGTAGAAACCTGTTCAACACTCTGATGCATGCACAAGCCTGAAAATGCAGGGAAATTAACTACTTGTGGGACAAACCTTTAACCAATGGAGATGGGAGTCATTAATTAGTCTCTTCTGTTTCTTAAGGACAATTTTGTGGCTTGTTGTCTTCAGCTCCTCAGAACATCTCAGGAGTATTGAGACTCTTTGCCCACTCAGTGACCATGTCAGTTACACACATTGGACTGGCTTTCCCTGCTTCCCTCTTTCACTCTTCTCAGTCCCCCATTACTAGTCATTAGGGCCACCTCCCAAAATAAACTACTAATTGGCAGGCAAGTCCATGCGTCTGGCCTTTTGGGGAATTCCAGGTTAGACATCTTATGAACACACAATTTAAAAATATATAATATTACATGGTAGTTCAATAGAGGCATTTCTACAGAGAGATACCTAATACAGATGCGTTTTGGCGGTATGTTCAAAGTTGTTAACATATGGAAAATCAGGATTGTAACCCTTGAAACAGTTTGTGAGGAAGCGGTAGGTTGTTGGGTGCAGAATGCATCAAATTTACAGTCTGGTGATTTACATCAAATTTATAGTCAGTGATTGAGGAAGGCATCTGAGAGCGGCAAGGAATTTGTCTCTGTGGCCTAGCAAAACTTGTAAACAATCAAGCCCCAAAACCACCTAGAATCAACATCAAGGCAAATCCATTCTCCAACATGATTTTTTCTCCTGAAATCTGTAGGGTGCTCCTCTGGGACCATTTTCTCTGTGCTCTTTGTGTTAATTTGGTATTTAATTTTATCTATAGAAGAATCATGGTGGGGGTTGGAGGGCAGTTTGCAGTAAAATCTACTTGTGGAGAATTCTACAGTGCTTAAAAGCTGAAACCACTGGATTCCCAAGAACCCACTGTAATATACTGTGTGAAGTTTGAGTCTGGTTTTTAGAGACAATTCAACAGTATCAGAATTTTTTACAGATACCCACATACTTTCAAGGGTAAAGAGTTTGGTTGGGAAACTAAGTTTTCCAGTTTGACCAACAGCAGGGTATTAATAATGGAAAGGGTGGTAAGGAGAGCAGTGTGGTGTGATGGGAAAAAGCAAGGTATTTGCATTCAAAAGATATGCAGTAATTACTTCTGCTATCCTGCTTATGTCCTATTACTCCCTTTAGACTCAGTTCTCTGAATATTAAATATAAAAAGCATGAATTATCTCTTCTACAAAGCCTAGCTGTAATATGACATGACGATTTGAAAATTATGGCTATAAGTGTGGTGTGAGTGTGTAAGTCTGTGTGTGGGATATGTTTGTGTGTGATCATATTACTGCATGTAATATCCTTTTGTGGCTTTTGAGGTAGAATCTCAGCTCTTTAGACTTGTCTTATAAAATTCTTCATGATTACAATCTGGTCTATGTCTCCAGCCAGTCTCTTGTTTTATACTCTATACATACTAAATGTCCAGTCACCCCAGACTATTATGTCTCTTGCCTGTAGCCCCTCAAACATGTTGTTACTCTGTCTGTCAGGGTCTCTATCCTTCCCCTGGCTTTTATCTACCAGCCCTTCAAGTCCCAAATAATTATAAAAGCAATAATAATACTAGTTATAGTATACTAGTAATGATAGTTTGAGTAACACTGAGACAAGAATAATAGTATTGACTATATCTTTGCAGAGCTTACTGTGTCCAGCGACTATGCTAATAACTTTTCATACATCATCTCATTTAATTTTTATCCCAGACTTATGAGGTTGTTTTATTGTTTTCATTTTAAACATTAAGGAACAAAGGCCTGAAAAAGTGCCTGCTCAAAGTCTTTTCCTCCTGAAAGACCTTCCTGATCTCTGAAATCTCCAGTGGCTTCCCATGCTATGGGCTCCTCTAGCACCAATAATAGCAACTAACACTACATGATGATATCCACGATGCTCCAAAAGGAAGTCTTGCTTACTATTACATTATTTATTACTGGCACAGTATTTAGTACATAGTACACACTAAATAAATAATGACTGAATGAATGAACTAATAGACTCAGAGCTCTCCTTTCACAAGATTGTGATTTAGTATACTAAACATCAGTGTATCCCATTCCTCAATTTTGTCCATCCTCCCTTTGCTCTATAATTTCTAGTTACTGAATGCATACTCATACTCAGTTACTATATCTGTAACTATATATATATATATGTAAATATATAATTATATATATACTGAGTATGCACTCAGTAACTAGATGCTCAGTATCTGAACCCTTGCCAAGCTTCAGTAGCAGGTAGGACCCTATCTCTCATTAAGAAAGCCAAAAGGCTTGCAAGGATATTCCTTCAGCCATGACTGTCTTCTGATTGCCATTGCAGTTACAACACATGGAGCTGCTCCTGGCTCTGCTGCTTTGTGAATTACTAGAATTTATGTAGTATTATTTCCTGAGCTGTGTATGGAAGTCAGAAAAGGCTCACAAATAGGAGGAACCTCCCACAAATTCCAGACTGTCTCTCTCCGTGTCCCCCATAAACAGGATAATATGAGAGCTTCAAGATTCAACTTGCTTGCCTCTGGAGTGGTCCTTAGGTAGTTGGGCACCCATCCTACTTGGCAGAAATTCCATATAGATTAATGTGAGTTGTGAGTGGGGTACAATGAATTTCTCAGTAAAGGAATAAAATAACATGCCAAGGTTTGTCCCTCATTTGAGATACTCTTTCTGGCTAATTTTATCTTTCTTGCAATTGGATTACAGCCAGATCCACTTTCACTTTTCAAAACCCAGAGACACCACAAGTTAATAGGATAGTCTTCCCTGTTAGTCATCAGAGACCTCAATTAACTGTAGATTCTGCCACAATCAAAAGGAAAGTTGGCAATCTTAGTTAAAGCCAAAACTTCACTTAAACATTTTCTCTTGCAGAGATACAGGTGTGACAAGGGTATTCCAGTTATAGTTTCAGAATCCACTGCTTATAAAGTATCATTTCCTTGTGTATACAGACTCATGCACTTAGGGTTCTACCACAGCAGCTGCTTCACATTTTGAAATTGAAGCAAAAGGAATTTCAAAAACAAGCAGATGTGGTGTGATAGGATTACCGGGTGGGGTCTGGGGTCCTAAATGTTGTTCTTGACTATATTGTGGATCTGACGGTTTTGTAGGAATATCCTGGCTCCCACCTTTAGCATCTGTTTCCAGATTAAATTGGGTTAGAGTAAGTGTCTAGGGCAGTCCCTGTAAGGCAAAATATTTTTTAAAAAATTTTAAATGTAGTTTGAGAAGTGTAGAAGGAGGAAGGACAGTCCCATACCATGTTTTGGTGGTGATGGGCAGGGTCTTCTCAGCAGCTTCTGAAGTTCTGGGTGGCCTGAGTCTGTGGTCTGTGGGAATGGACCTAATTTTCCAACCCCTGGGGTGGCTCTGAGTCAACCTAATCATGAGAATACTTTGGTAAACTATGTAAACGGAGAAAAACGCAGCTTCTCTGACCCTAAACTTTCCAACTCAGACAGGGGAATGAGGAGCCTTGAATCCAGATGTGTTGTCCACAGTGTTAGACAGCCAGATGTTGAGAACCAGCTGTCTCATAGACTCATTTGTCTTCTTTAATTTTTGTCCAAATGTGTGCCAACAGCAGGATCCAGCGGAAAGTTTTATTGCAATCTCCCTTCTTCTCATAACTTCTCTGTGAATGCTGGCACCACTAAAAAGGTGATAGGAATGGGTGTAGGAGTGGCAAACCATAGCACTAAGATACTTTTAAAAACTGAGACGGAAGGATGCTGATCACCTCTGATCTACCACATGACACCTTACAGGAGAGAAGAAAACGGGGAAGTCTGACTCCACTGAGCTTTACCACAGTCAGTAGCTGTTTGGGACACGTAATCTCAATCTCAAGCTTTCTGAAACAGAATCATCTAGAAGTGCTTGCTAAAAATACATATTCTAGATTCCTGCCCTTCATATATGGAATTTGGGGCCAGGAAACATGAATTTTTAAAAGTTCCTGGTATGATTCTTAAGTACTCCAAAGTTTGAGGACTTTTGCATATTTGACAGTACAGGCACTGTGCTCCAGCTACTGTGAAGATCCACTGAACTGCTTAACCATAATAAAGTTATATTTATTTAAGTCATAAAATACCCCCCAAGTTACTATCCCAGTGGGGTCTCTATTCTACCACATTTTACCCCTAAATTCCAGTTGCTAACTCTCATTCACGTTATTCCTGATGCCTGCCTAGCCTTCTTACCTCGTTTCCTGGCTCTTGCTAGTTTCAGGAACACAAAAATCTTAAAATGCCAGAGCTCGAAGGGACCAATGCTCCCAACAAATAGATACTGAGAATCTAGCATTGTTTTAAGGAGCTCCAATCTGAGGAGCCAGAGCCATATCAGTCCAGAGGCAACACCATCTAAAGCAAGCAACAGATACATTGCCCTTTTGTTGCCGTTTTTCTGTTTGTGACTAGTTCTCTATAAGAATAGGTTCTGTGTATTATCATCATTATAATCCCATGCATTTAGCACATGTCTGCATATTACAAGCTTATGACAAAAATCTGTTTAATATAGGAAAGAAGGAAGGAAATAATTTTCTTAAACAAAATTCATGTGGACCTGAGCTACCACTAATAGCCTTTATGCAGCCGAGACTGTTGGTGTTCATCAGTAACTGGTGCCATCAATAAACTGCATTAATTTTCTTGTGGGCACAAAACCACACTTTCCAGTCTCCTTTGTGGTAGGTGTGGTTGGTCACGCAACTGAGTTCAAACCAAAGAAAAGTGAGTAGAATTGAAAGGTACCACTTCATGTCTTGGACCATGAAGACCTCCTAAACTGGATTCTTGTTCTATTTCCCCATCCACCAATTAAATGGAGTTGACTAAGGCCCTAGAGGAAAGTGGATCGACAAGACTATAGAGCCTTCAGTCTCTGACTATGTGGAACTAAAGCCCCCTGGCCTTCACTGGATTATATGTGGGCAAGAAAGAAGCTTCTATGTTCTGCGTCCATGAAAATTTTGCATTGTTTATTACATCATGTAGCCCATTCAACTAGTTATGCTTGGAAACAGTCATGTTCTCACAGTTTTTGCCATTTGCCATGATGTTGCATTAGCCAGATGTCATTGAAATCATATTTCTCTCAGTCTTAAGTTTCCTGGTTCCAGAGAGTCTGCACTTACCAGATCTATGGTCACTAGCCAAAGAGTCAAGATCTCTGTTTCTTCAAAGTGGTGAATAATACAAGAAAGAATCTACACTGAAGAGAAGAAGGTAATATGTTAGGCCAATTTTCATCATTACCAAAGTGACCCAGTCATGAGGGCCAACTTCACAGGCTGTATGCTTAGTTTATGGTTCTGCTGTTGCCATCTTCAAATACTTAATACTTTCTTACCATTTCATTTTGCACTGGGCTCCACAAACAATGCAGCCAGTCCTGCCCACCATAATTAAAGGAAACAAACAGTTGCCCATTGGCCTGTCTTTGACTTCTACCCCCTGGGCAACTGGCTGCAAGACTTTTTGAACTATGGGAGTATGAGCTCAAAGACTACACATGATCAGTAGTTGCCCATGCCACAACTTCATCTCACATCTGCCCTGAACTATGGATGTTTCTCTAAACTCTGACCTTCCTTACTCTTTGGAAGATACCTTGAGGTGAGGGTAGCAACGTATTCCAGTGTAATTCCCCAGCAAGGAAACGGAAGCTTTCTTTTATAAAAACTAGCAAGAAGCCATGCCACCATTTTGAGAGTTTTCTGGCTCTGGCTCTGGCTTTGCTTTGATACAACATCCCCCACCCTCATCTTAATGTTTGAATAATCTTCTGTTGTTGTGAAGCTCCTGGTTTCTGATTCCTGATCTAGAGATTACCCTGATTTTTCATTACTGATTTGCAACCTCAATTACCTGAGACTTCAGATGTTTTAGATTCTCCTCTCAGTGCCAATGTCCTTGTCCATCTTCACATGGCTCCTCATGGACATCCCACTGATCCTTCTAACTTTCTTTCCATTCAGGTCCTGGAATGTGCCCTGCAGTTCTAGTTTGCCTGTTAGTTCTTGGCTAGGTTTTTCTTGTTGTTGTTGTTGTTGTTTACACAAGTCAGACTTCAAATTTTGCTATCATTATCAGAGGTATTCTTCTCTTTTTATGTATTTATCTATTTTTGTTTATTTATTAAGGGTTCAGCTATTTATTGAACATGTTATAAAACAAGTTTAGTCAAAAAGACCAAAGCCCATGTCCTAGTCAGGCTCCTCAGATTCTTCTTTTTTTGCTTCCACTTCCCTCTCCTCAGCTGAGGCAGCAGTGGTGGAAGTGGCAGGACCTCCTGCTTGTGCGGTGCAGGCTGCTGGAGCCATCTACCAACCCCTGCATTGCAAAGGAGGCTGCCGATATTGACACTGGCCAGGGCTTTTGCAAAGAAGCTAGGCCAAAAGGGCTCGACAGTTACAGCAGCTGCTTTAATGAGGTTATTGAATTTATCCTCCGTGATGGTCACCTCATTGCTTTGCAGAATGAGGGCCCAGTAGATGCAGACAATCTTGGGTGAAAGTGGGACCGGAGCTGCCGGCCCACAGTACTACTTGTGAGAAGTAGCACCATACCCGGCAGCTCGAGACTCACATTCACCACATTGTGGGTGGGGGGCCTCACTGCAATGTGGCCTTAGCTTTTTCAGAAGGACCGAGCACCTTGGCAGCAGCTGAGGGAAGGGACTCTTCCCGTTTTAATGTGGTCTTAACCAATGTTTAACAACTAGTTGTTTAGGGGAAAGGGGAAGAAAAGCCCCCATTTGGCTACCTTATTTTTTCACCAAAATTGCTTATTGATATTTCTATCTCCAGTCTTTCCCCTTTCTAACCTTGTCTCTGTATCACTTTCTAAAATGCGATGTCAGCATGTTATAACCTAGGTTAAAATCCTTTAGTAATATCTCACTGCCTGGAGGAAAAAGTCACGCATGGTCTTTCGTGACCTTGGTTCAATTTACTTCTTCAGCTTCATCTGTCAGCCTTCCATCTCTTATTCTATGCTGTAGCTAAACTTGAAATTCCCCCACAATGTAGTAGGGTTTTTTTTTTTACCTCTGAACATTTGCATATGGTATTCCTCTGCCCAGAATGTTCTTTTCCTGCTTTTTTTCACGTTGCTTATTCCTGTTCATCGTCAGGAGGTTGTTAGATTCTACGTCCTCCTAGAACTGTTCCTGATATCCTCCAGGATGGTTTTATTTGTTTATCCTCTATTCTCATAGTACATTGTTATCTATACTAATAATGACACTTGTATGTATCAGGGTCTCAGCAGGAAACAGACAACATACTCCAACTGGACAATTTGAGAAGAGTTTAATAAAGCAAAGGAATAGTCGGGATTTAGGGGAACCAATAATAGATAGTTCAGTACCACCTGGTACTAGTAGCATCAGAAAGTATTTCCACCCTAAGCTTGATGAAGAAAAGAGAAGTAGTTAATACAAGCCAAAGAGAATGCCTGAGCCTTATAAAGGCTGTGGCCCTTTGTAGAAAGATCCACAGCAACTCCGCAATGAGGGATCCTGGGAAATACATACTCAGCCTCACATTCCTCATGTCCTCCAGTCTACTGCCAATGACTTCAATGAACTGAATCCAACCAGAAGCCAAAGGGTAAATGGAGACTGATATAATTCATAATATATCTGATCTATAAAGTTCAGCCTCCTAGTTCCTAGGTCATAGAATAGGACTGAGAAAAGTAGAGTGTGAATCTAGAAGGACAAACACAAGGTATCCAGCACAAACTGATGCCCATTTATTGAATACCTATTTTATTTGACAAATGGTATTCCTGGTTCATAAAAGTGCCCTACATTATATATAAAGTTATGTCCATTTTACAAGTGAGAAAACTGAGGTTTGGCTAGCAAGGCTAGCTAACAGGTGGCATAGTACAGATTCAAATCCATTTATATCTGGGTCTGAAGGCTGAGCTCTTGCCACTTTCCCATACTGCCATTACTGGTGTGGTGTTTTTTCTCATCCACTAGACTATAGTCTACTTGAGTACAAGGTTAACATTTCATTTATCTTTATATCACTCGTGCCTTGTGCAGTGGCTAACCCATAGTAGATAGAGTAGATGATAGATATTTGTGGAATTGATTAACAAAAATAACTGAATGATTCAGAATTTTAATTTATATAAGTGGGGATTGGATAATTGGAGTCTGCCAGGGGATGTTAATGGATCATATCTGGCACTAAGACACCTCTTTGTGACTGTCCTTTATAAATAATTGCCCTCCTCTTCATATTAAAGAGAGAATAAAAGTTTATCTGGTCTCTTAGCCATAATGGAGTGTAACAAAAGCTGACAATAAGTGGGTTTTCTGTATGCTGATCATTTTCCATCTTCCCCCTGACTTGGCTAAGAGCTGAGGGTAACGAACAATGGAGCTTGCTTTCCCCAGTTCTTCCTCTATGACTTTTTTTTCGAGTTGCTATGTCCCTTTCTAATGGTTCATTTCTCTTTCCCTTTCACTTAACTTGGCTTTTATATGTCTGTCCATCACTGGCTCTCTAACTATCAGCTAGGCTAGCCTGACTCTTTTATAACTTTCAAAGGAAGCTGCCTGCTCTGAATGTATGATGCTAGAGAATGGGTCTTGGTAAGTCCTTAAGAACAGTTGTTTATGTTATTTCAAAGGTTGCCAAGTAATAAATAGTTGTTTGAAAGTGAAGGGTAAATTGGTATTTCACCACCCTGTTCTCTGCTGTTCTTGTGATGGCTCAAATCATAAAACATCATGTTTTGACGTTCATAGGAAGATTTCACCAACTGGGGGTTACTGAGTGGGCAGAGACATTCACTTTCCTACTCAGTGCCCTGGACACTACTCAATCCTAGCCCAGTTGGAACTACACTGTTTGAACCTTTGAAACTCTGAAACTGATTGAAGCTTCTGAGCCAACAAAAGAGGCAAAGGGCCTTTGTGCTTCAGCAAGGAAATGTTCCAGTTCTTTTGCACTTTCCTAATGAAGGCTGGCCCAGGAGCCCTGGTGTCCCTGGAACACAGAGGGAGTTGTAGGGAATAAAGGCAACTTGACTCTTTGGGGTCATTCCTCTCTTCCCAGGGACTTTTATGGATAATCTTCCAGCCATTGAGAGGTTTGGTACTCATTCAGATCTCATAGCTTTGTATTTGGATGAGAATTTTTTTAAAAAAGAACTATCTAGTGTATTGCTGAATTGCATCAGATATTCCAGTGTATAAACTCTGATGCATACCTTGTCTCATTTTTCACATCCTCACCCAGCTTCACCCATTTAGGTCACCTGACTAGCCTTGTAGTGATTTCAGTTTGCTATCCCAAATTTAGTTTGTAATTTATAGTACTATGAAGATGTAAATTATTTACCAGTGCTGTTATTGTTGGAGCAAGGTATTAATTCTAATGCCATGTAATGCCTTTAGTAAGCTGAGTGATGAGACAAGAATCTTCTCTCCTGACACAATTTTAGAAAATGTGGTATTTTTAAAAGCTAAGAACCCAAATTCAAAATTTGATTGTAATACATTGTGTTATATATCTGCATATGGAAACTGAGGTAAATAAACAGCAGGCCTGAAAGAAGTTTGAGAATTTCATCCCCCAATCCTCAATTTTATAAATTAGCTATTTGGTATGCAGAGCAATTATTGGACATAAATTCGTATGTAAGGTGATAACTATGTCCTACTGGTCATCCACCATAAATCTTCAAATTTGCAGAACGAATGAGGTTAATTATGGCGTAGCATCTGAGTCTACAATGAAAGAATACAATGTGAAAGATGGTTCTGATACCGCTTAGAAGCATCTGGCCCTAATCAGACTCCAATTTTAGACCCAATCCTACCTAAAGTTTTCTATAATTTATTACATCAGAAGATTCAAAGAGTTATTTTTATACAGAGAAAATTGGACTCAAGTAAAAGTTATTTTCATCACTCCATCTAATTACAAAGCTGAGCACAGAACTATGACTATTCAAACATGTTGCAGATATAATAAAGAGAGTGAATAGCAACGAAAGCTGGTCTTGAATAGCTGCCAGGATAAGCAAAGATGGGGGAAATGACTCTCATGATTGGAGGGGAAATTAAGGAAACAGTAATTTCTTTTCAAAATGTTCACATACCATTTATTAGGTATTTTAAGAGTTTGGGGGTAGCTATGAGTTTTAGTATTCCTTAGTTGCATGTAGCTTATTCCAGCAATGAACTGTGATTTTATTATAACTGACTTCAAGGGATATGGTCTACCACTGAGAAAAAGGGAAGAGAAGACTTATGGCTGGGCCAGGGAATGTGAATTCAGTCAAACATACATACGGTCTAAATTTAAGCTACAGTTCATATCTCTTTGGGTAATTCTTTCCTTCCTTTAGGTTAGCACAAAACTACATCAGCACTGAGGAGGAAATCATTAGCTTTGAGGAGAGAAAATTTAGGCAAAAACAACACCCTGAAAATTTAGCATGACTTGGGAGAGCTCATGAGTCAGCCAACTATTTTGAGTTCTTAAAAAAAGAAAAGAACTTTCTTTGGTCCAGACGAAAACTTTAACTTCTTCTCAACCTTTAATTACTCCTGAGCAGACTAAACAAATTTTAGCTTATCTAGTTTCCTCCTAATACATTTCTGCTGAGAGGCAGTCTGCATACAAGTCAGAGAAACCTGAAATTAAATCTAAACCATGTAGCTTATAGCCATGTGACACTGAGTAAATCACAATCTGTCTAGAATCTAACTTTCTCATCTGTAAAATAGGGTAAATAATGGCAATTTTTAGCGTTGGTGTGAGGGGTAAGTGAAAAGAGATAAACTTCAACAAATAGTAGTTCTTAATTTCTGATGAACACATTATTGCATAAGACTCAATACTGTTAGTATATTTCCATTTTCTCTGGAAGTAAATGAAAGGAAGCTATTTTCTGATTCATTTAGTTATTTTACTGCACAGAAACCAAACAACTTATAAAAAAGGTATCTCTACCTAAGATGGTAGTTTACACTAGTCCAAGGTATATTACTTCTCAGAAAATAGAACAGGTAGGAAAGAGGTTGTAGCAAATAATTTTCATGCTCCCATGAGCTGGAGCCTTATTGTGCTTGCAGTCTGGCAAATTCCCAGGATTTCAGACACAGGCTTATATAAATATAGCATTATGAAAACATAAATGTCTGAGTGGGGGGTGAAATGCATTACTCCATCAGCATGGGCATTTTTATTTTGTTTTAAATTCTCATTATTGAGCACCTACTATGTGCTTATCACTACTTTAGGTGCTTTATACGTGCCATTTTATTTAACCCTCGGCATTATTCCATGAAGTAGGTATTATCCTCATTGTGCATTTGAGGAAACTAACACTCAGAGATATTTACTTGGATTTATGAGCAATGTCTGCATTATAAACTAGAGGTGGGAAGACTAGTTAGGATGCTTTGCAGTAATCCACTTGAGAGACATTGTCAGTCTGTGAGAACAGAAAGTGAATCTCTTGGAAAGATTCTACAATGTTATTGTTTTTGCCCAAAATGGCACATTACAGAAATCAATTAATTAAGTTAAAAAGCAACTATATGTACAAACATGTTTCTATGACTCTTCTATATCATACAATTTCTCTTTGATAAATGTGATTTATAAATAAATTAAGTGCACTTGGGTTCAGAGATGATGCCCAAATTCTCATCTAGTCTCTATTTTTAAAGACATTTACAAAGAGAGATTGAGAAACTTTCCTTGTGAAATGTTCAGCAATCCTGGCTGCCAGAGCCTCCTTTGGATAACTGACAATAAAACGAAGTTGTTTCTTAGTGAACATTAAGTTGGCCTTGAATGGTTCACTATTATATCAATAATTTACTCTTATTAAGAAGCTACCAAATGAAAATAGCCAATATCATTTTGCTTTATCTATTAATAGCTGTTTCATAATACCTTTCCTTTCTCAATGAATTATACCTACATATAGCTGTAATATAAAGGAATATCTTTAAAATATATTTTTATGAACTCCTTTTTGAATAAATGCAAGACTAATCTTTAGCCAGAGTGAGCAGTTACATGTTTGGTGACTAAAAACATTTCTTCCACTAAAGAAGCTGAAGGTGAAGACCTGAATTATATTATCTGAAACTCCTTCAGCATAAAAATACTAATTATATTAGCACAGGGTTTCTCAACCTCAACACTATTTGGACCAGATAATTCTTTGTTGTGGGAGGCTGTCCTGTGCAAAGTAGATGTCAAGCATCATCTTTGGCCTTTACCCACTATACTTTTAAATTGACAACTGTCGCATCCCAAATTATGACAATCAAAATGATCTCCAGACATTGCCAAATGCCTGCTGAGGAGGCAAAATTGTCTCCAACTGAGAACTATAGTCCCAGAGGTAAATATTAGTTACTCCACTTTCGGTCATAGATAAAATGATTTTGATTTTCCATGTAGGCAATAAGAATAAGTCTCAATAGAGTGGTTTATCATTTTATTATTAGAAATAAATTTATCCTTGTTTAAAATAGCAATATATATCCATTGCGCAGAAAAATATAAAATACAGATAAAACTATCAGAAAGGAATATTTAATCACCCCATTGCCATGTTCCACAGATAATCAGCATGATTATTTATGTATTTTTTATCATACTCTTAAAAATGAGATTATATTGTATGTACTAATCAGGAACCTGGTTATTTACAAATTAATACTATATGACTAGTAATTATCCACTTATAGCATGATTTTAAATATAAAGACATTCCATTCTATGGCTTTACCATTGGTAAGTCACCCATTCATTTAATATAGTTAAACTCAATGTGTTAAGCCCTGTGCTAGGTGCTATGGATAAAACGGTAAAGAAGACAGAGGGGCAAGAAACTATCCTCATGAAGGTGCAGAGACTAACAAAGCACATAAACAAGGTAAGAGAGAGAGAGGAAATAGCCTGACACCCTCTAGTAAGACAGGTCTTCATGACCAGGAGAGGTGGATCAAGACAGATGAGAGCACAAAAGTCTTCATTTTAGTGAAGTAACTGGTGCTGAAGACAAGCTATTGTCCTATGGATCCGTGTTTCCCTCTATGCACTTATCAATGTGCTGCTTAATAAGTGATAGAATAATTAAAATTTTTATATGAACTTGAATATCCCAGTCATTCTTACCCTGTGATATAGTTTGGCTCTGTGTCCCCACCCAATTCTCACCTTGAATTGTAATCTCTATAATCCCCACATGTCAAGGGCAGGACCAGGTAGAGGTAATTGAATCCTGGGGGCAGTTTCCTCCATGCTGTTCTCATGATAATGAATGAATCTGATGGTTTTATAAGTGTCTGGCTTTTTCCCTGCTTGCACTCATTCTCTCTCCTGCCATCCTCTGAAGAGGTGCCTTCCGCCATGATCGTTAAGTTTCCTGAGGCCTCTCCAGCCATATGGAACTTGAGTCAATTTAAAGCTCTTTCCTTTATAAATTACCCAGTCTTTATAGCAGCTTGAGAATGGATGAATACACCCTGCTTTGGTAACCTTTCTGCTGCTCTTCCTCTCTCCTCCATTCCCTTAAATGTGCAGACAAATGTTTGATGTATTATAGCTGTGTTCTCTCAATAGGTCTGGATATATACAGAGTGAGCCTCTGCCCCTGTTGAAAACGATGATTTTTTTTAAAAAAAAAGCAATTGAACTCACATTGAGAGCTTGTACTCTAGACTACCAGTCTTTTTGTTTTATTCATAGTGTTTCCTCCAAGTGTAACAACAACCCTATCACCTAATAATTAGGGTTAATTAACTTCTTTTCTTGCCAGCTGGTCCCTTACTAGAAGGAGCCTTGGAAGAAGGAGGTCAATGGGACGCTTGCCTGTCCCTCTTGCCTATTTGTCTGCAGTACTCAGAGTTGTGGGAACGGTAAGCAAAATTCCCCTGAGTAGATCACTAGCAGTGATGGGAAGCAGGGCTATTCCTTTCTCATTCCTTGGTTCCTTGGCCCATGGATTTTACCAGTTGTGGACACAGCACTGTATAATTGTCTTTGATTTAGAGTGTATACTGTATTCTCAGGGACAGCATCTCATCTTCATTGGGTACCATTTATAAGCTGGCATTTTAACAAACAGTTCCACCACTCTTTCAGTCCTGCAGCTCCTGCATGTTATAGTATGAGACACAACCAGTAGATCTCATCGTCATATGCCCACTGCTGTACCTCCTTTGCTTTAAAATGGGTCCTTTGGTCTGTGCAGTGTTATGTGATCAGTGGATCAAACATTCTGTAAGCCCGCAGAGAGTGATGCTGGATGAGGGCCTATAGGCAAAGAAAGACAGACTTGTACCAAGAATAAAAGTTGATTGTCATCAATATGAAGTCATCACTTGCATTCAACATTGTACTAGCCAATCCAATATGTCAAAAAAAGAAAGAAAGAAGAAGGCCATTTGGATTGGAATGGAAGAAATAAACTATTTGCAGATGAAATGCTTATGCAGAAGGTTCAAAAGAATCTACAAAAACCAATAAGTCAGAACCAATAAGTGACTTTAGAAAGGCCATAGAATGTGTAATATAAACTCTTACCTTATGTCATTTATATAACAATGGGAACAAGATACATTTACAAATTAAATACAAAAAATAATAAAATTGACAAATAAACAGCATCATTTTGGTGCATTTCTTTTTCCTTTGCTTTAGTATGAATATGAGACCCCCATAACATCCTACATTGTTTGAGATAAGCATGCCTATTATTACCTTGTTCCATGTGATAATTCAAATTCTTCTTCCACTGCTTTTTATTTCAACTATTCATACAGCCTTCTGACGTCAATTTGCATTTAGTTGGCTTCAATGCTTCACTTATTTGTTAATCTTAATTAGTAAGCACAAATAAAAGTGACATAACTTGGACTTCACACAATCATAATCGCAAGTACAAATATGTAAACTTTGGCACTGAAATCTTGTGGTGGTACTCAGATGTACGTTACCACCAAAATAATCAATAATATGTTTATATTAATTAATTTTTAAAGGTTTTCAGAAAAATGTAAAAAATTCACAAAGAGACCCTGTGTAAAAATATATCTGTGGACAGGGGTACATAGATTCCAGTTTTGAGAAACACTAGTAAATCCTGCTAATTTGAAAATAAACCTATATGATCTGATAATAAGTCTTGTTTTGTGTTCTATTCATTAGATTTAGAAACTCTTTTATGGTTAGTGAGGGTTTGTTTCTTATTTCCTGACGGATAGTAGGCACTTATCCAATACTTAGTGATATGGCCTTGGCTCTGTATCCCCACCCAAATCTCATCTTGTAGCTCCCATAATTCCCACGTGTTGTGGGGGGGACCTAGTTTGAGATGACTGAATCATGGAAGCAGGTCTTTCCTGTGCTGTTCTCATGATAGTGAATTGGTCTCACAAGATCTGATGGTTTAAAAACAAGAGTTTCTCTGCACAAGCTCTGTTTTTGCCTGCTGTCATCCACGTAAGATGTGCCTTGCTCCTCCTTGCCTTCCGCCATGATTGTGAGGCCTCCCCAGCCATGTGGAACTGTAAGTCCAGATGGCTGGACTTCTTTTGTAAATTGCCCAGTCTCAGGTATGGTCTTTATCAGCAGCGTGAAAATGGACTAATACACTTACAGATCAAACGATGCCCGAATTCCTCTTCAGTCGATAGAATGTCTTTGACCTACATAAAATGTTAAGCTTCAAGATTTGTCTTTTGATTGTAAAAATGGGGACATTTTATATATGCCATATAATCAAAAATAGATGTTCAAATTATTACCTGAATGCTAAGCATTAAATGGTTTTATATACAGCATGAGAATATGAGTTTTATCTCATTTGGTCCTACCACAGCTCCATGCAGAAGGTTATGTTGTTAACCTCACTTCTAGTGCTTAGAAAAGTATGAAAGCACTGAGGTTTGGAGAGGGTAAGCAACTTGTCTAACATCACCCAGCTACTAAGCAGCAGAGTTGAGGTTTGAACTCAGCCAGATTGGCTCTGAGCCAGAACACTACACTCCCATGTCTAAACTCAGAGAATCCTGGAAGCATCTTGGATATATTTGCCTTCTAAGTTCTGCAATTTGCCCTCCAGCTGATTAAGTTTCTTGGAATGCCTATTACATAAACATAAGTGAGGAAACCTCATTTTTGGTCATGAAGGTCCATAAGGAAATTAGCTCTCAATGGTTGTTTAATAGGTTTATTTGTACTCTGGAGTTTTGTGCTTCCATTTTTTTAATAATTTGATTTGGGCAGCTGTGGTGTGCTATTAATGTGTTAGGACCACTAATGTACTTATGTGAAGATACTGACATTTTATGATAAAGAAAGAGATGATTCTGATTCCCTTTGATAATCAAAACTTACCACTTCTCTTTAAAATACACAAGCAGAGGAACTGCTTCTCCTTCATTTTCTACATTAACCCAGATGGAGCCAGAAGAGATTCACGAGCCATCTGGATTTAATTAGGCAGTGTACTATGTGAATATGCTGGTAGCAGTGTTGCTCTGGGGAATTAGCTTTAATGGAGAGAACCTTAGATTTGGAATCAGTAATTCTGGTTTCTCACTGGCCTCTGCCACTAACTAACCTCTCACTTAATGTTTTTATTTTATCAAAAGAATGTCTTCTCTGCTCCCTCACTGGGTTTTACTTTGGAGATCAAATAATAAATCATTTGGAAATGATTCAAAAAGCACACACCACTGCAGAATGCAAAAGATTCGTTTACTATTACCACAGTACTGCAGAATTTAAGCCGTGCTTTGTTTGTTTTTAACAACTTCTACAATTATATGATAATTAACCCTCTTTCTCATTTGTGACAACTTGATCGAACCAAAGATGAGGAGTATGGCATTTTGGAGCTCTAATTTTGAGGTCCAGTCTCTGTATCTCTTTGCTCAGCCATGAGCTCCCTATCATAAAATTAAGGTTTGCTTTTATTTTCAAACCTCCTCTCCTCTTATTTCCCTCAGGTTTCAAAAGTTGAAATATTTAGGCATGATTCTTCAGGCTTTGCAGGAAGTTAAAGAAGTATTATTGATTCCACATTGGGCTATGGATTCCAAAACCATTCAAATGAGAGAAAAATAATTTATAGAGCTTGTAATTAGCCAGCTGTGGCTGAGGGGAACCAGATTCTATTACGGGAAACATCAGCTGGATTAAACAATAGCTGTGTGCAATTCCCATTCTGGCCCCAGCTTGTAAGTGGAGTGACTCCGCACAGAGTTTACTCATTGAAAGATATTTGTGGCCATCCTCATTTTATGGCCAAAGATTTGGAAATTTGGGACATGAAGCATGTTCCTGAGAAAAATATCAACTGTTTATTAGGCAGCTTATAGTCAGAAGAGCAAAAATATGCTATATATTCACTTATATCAGACTCTCAGAACCAGTTTTGCTCCTTTGGAAAGTCAGAAAGATAGACAAAAAACAAAAATAAAAAAACGAAAGACAACAATAGAAAAACCCAGCACATGAGCACTGAAAACCTAGAACCATCAAGAATTTTATTTTATTTTATTTTATTTTTAGGTTTCTTTTTAGTCATTTTGCCAAACTCACGGCTCCAGGAGTCTTAGTCTGATTGAGGATCTGGAAAACAGATTTTCGTTCGTTTTCTTTCCTAGCATCAAACTTCGTTTTTGTACTTTTTAAATTTCTTTTCAAGATATTTTAAAATGTCATTATACAGATAACGTGATCTCTGTAGAAAAATTTTATACCTATTAACAAACAAAAATGAAATAAAATGAAAAGTATTAATTAACATGAACAACATCTGAGGTTAATCATCATCTTTGTTGAACTTACTTCATTAGCTCAATGAAGAAGTAATCAGGCCGGGCGTGGTGCCTCACGCCTGTAATCTCAGCATTTTGGGAGGCTTAGGTGGGTGGATCACCTGAGGTCAGGAGTTTGAGACCAGCCTGGCCAACATGGCAAACTCCTTCTCTAGTAAAAATATAAAAATTCGCCAGGTGCAGTGGCACGAACCTGTAATCCCAGCTACTTGGGAGGCTGAGGCAGGAGAATAGCTTGAACCCAGGAAGCAGAGGTTGCAGTGAGCCAAGATTGTACCACTGCACTCTAGCCTGAGTGACAGAGCGAGACTCTGTCTTAAAAAAAAAAAAAAAAAAAGCAATCAGATAAATGATGTGACAATCCTTCAAAAGGTGCTTGTTGAAAACTGACTAGTAAAAGCTAATCCCAAGTAAGATCTTACTGTATGCCAAACAATGTTCCGATCACTGTATAAGTTTATTCCCAACAATCCCTAGTAGGTTCTCTCATCCCTATTACAGAGGTAACAAATGTAAGGCACAGAGATGTTTAGTAACTCACCTAGGGTCTCACAGTAAGGGGTAGAGCCTGGATTCAAACCCAGTAGTCCAACTCCAGAACCTATATTCTAAACCAGTAGTCAGCAAATTATAGCTTATATGCCAAATCAGGTCTTACCATTGATTTTTGCAAATAAAATTTTATTGAGAAACACACACATCAATTACAAACTTAAAACTCAGGGACAAACCTTGGTGATTATACATAGGTATATCCATGGTCTTCTAATTCTTTCTGATTTTTTTTAAGAAAGAAAAGAGAAGATAATATCTAAGAATAAAGCATTTGTTAAACTTCCTTAATATTCCAGACAACTACCACTCAAAGAATTTGTAAGAAAAATGTGTTGTATGTTACCTCAAGGAGAACAGAACGTGAGTTCATTAAACATTTTCCATCAACTAGGAAGGACTTAACCCTCAGACAGATTTTTATAACTCTGTCTTCGATTAGCACAGCTAGCTGTTGCAAAGGAGAAAAAGTAATATATTTTCCTCACCCATCACAAGGTTCATTGCTGACACCCTTATAACAAAAGGCAGATTAGTAAGAGAAAAGCATAACAAACTTATTTTTAAAAAGTTTTTTGTGGAGCTTGCAGTGAGCCGAGATGGTGCCACTGCACTCCAGCCTGGGCAACACTGCAAGACTCTGTCTCAAAAAAAAAAAAAAGTTTTTTGTGACACAGAAGCCTTTGGAAATAAGATCCCAAAATTGAGGGAAAATTGTATTTTTATAATTAGGTTTGATGAAGAATGAACAGTCATAAAGTACAATTGGACAAAAAGGGGGTGCGACCTATTGATAACCAACTGGGAATATGTATCAAGGCCTGCTTATTCAGATTCTTCTTGGCCTCTCTATGAAGTATTCCTTCTTTCTGGGCATAGGACACCTGCCACATGAGGGTCTTCAAAAAAGAGGAAGTAGGAGAAGGTCAGAGACTTTCTACAGTTTTCTCACTTTCCTTTAGCTTAAACTACTCAGTACACCAAGTACCATATTTTGGGGAAGCATTTCCTGCATCCCATTACTGCATTATTGATGTAGCTCAAGACTTAATTAAAACACTGACTTATGCCTTAATGCTAAGTGGAACTCTAGAAATGCTACTACTAAGTTTGAGATCCTGGTTTGGAAGTTAAAAACTGTGTGATGTAAACAAATTTTTGAAATCTTGGTACCAGTTATCCTTGAAAAACAAAAGCAAAACCCTAAAGGCCAGCAATTGATGAAGACAACATCAACAGGTATACATTAAGGCCTTCTTTGAGTGCGACAAAACAGATGTTAGAAAGATAAAGTCTCTATTTTTGAAGAGTATAGAACATTTCCATAATAAAGTTCATTTATTTTCTTCATGCACAGGGTTACTGGCCAGGATATATGCATTGTTTAAAGCACCCCCTTCCAAGTTACCCCATTCTCTGGTGGCTCTGAGTCTATTTTACAACTATGTTAATTATACATAACTGATAGCATAAGAACTGATAACAAAAGATATCTTGTCTATAGATATGTAAGTATTCTGTCCAGTAGAAGTGCAAAGATGCCCTTTCATTCTTCATCAAACCTAAACATAAGCAGCCACTTTTGTGTCAATTTGAAAATTCAATTTCTAATTTAGACCATGTCTTTTCTTTAGATTCTCTTTTGAACTGGTTGTAACATCTTACTGGTTCCCTCATTTATTTAAGGAGTTAAATCAGAACTCTGACGTGTTTATTTTATATTTATGTGTGAGCCATTATTTTACATTTTCAAAAAAATGATCCTTTAACGTGAGCTTAGACTCTATAGTCAACCAGGCGTGGATCTCAGTCCTAATTTGGCTATGTACCAGCTGTGTGACATTAAGCAAAATACTTAAATTCTCTATTAATAATACTCGCATCATTGGATTGCTGTGGGAATTATGTCACACTTTACTTTTATCCTGAAATACAGAAACACTCAATAAATATTAGGGTGGTATTCTTTGTTTCTTTTTTTTTTTTAAGAAACATCAGAGTTGCCGGGTGCGGTGGTTCACGCCTGTAATCCCAGCACTTTGGAAGGCCGAGGCGGGAGGATCACGAGGTCAGGAGACCCAGACCATTCTGGCTAACACGGTGAAACCCCGTCTATACTAAAAATACAAAAAATTAGCCGGGCGTGGTCGCAGGCGCCTGTAGTCCCAGCTACTCGGGAGGCTGAGGCAGGAGAATGGCGTGAACCCAGGAGGCGGAGCTTGCAGTGAGCCGAGATGGCGCCACTGCACTCCAGCCTGGGTGACAGAGCGAGACTCCGTACCAAAATAAATAAATAAATAATAAATAATCATCAGAGTTAATGTATGGAGCAGTTAATGTGTCACAGCAATAAAGTGAACCCATTCAATCAACATCTCACAAATGAAATGTGACTTCTTTTTTTTAATACCTCTAAAGTTGTTGCCTTAAGACTTTAACTCAACTACCTAAATAGGTCAAAATGTTTCCCAAAGCCATATAAACGAAATAGGCTTATGACTTTCAAATTCTAGTTAGGCATATTTAATATGCAAAAGTTAATCAATGAGTAATCTTTGCAATCATATGTATACAGGAAGACACCCATAATAGTCAATTTTATGCATTTCCTCTCGAATTAAGTTTTTGTGAAGTTCTTCCTCTAAAATGTGATTCTCATCTAGTGCATATTAACTATGTTTTTTTCTAGCAGATTAAGAACCCAGGCTGTCCCTCAAAGATTAGTAATTCTTAGCTTTAATTCCAGCTCGAATCATTAATATAATTAATTCCTCCTGCATTTATATTTTTCCTTTTATATTTAGAAATATTGAAATAAGCCCCCTTTTATGGAAACTGGAATAAATCATTAAATACTTTTTTTAAGTGAAGAATAATCAGCTGACAAAACTGACCATATTTCTGTGTAGTATTACATGTTATTTATGTAAACAGCCACTCATTCCAATTTGAAGTCCCTTTCAAAATCCTTCAAAGATTAGGAAGCTCTGAATTTTAGGAGCTTTAATACTAATCTTCTTAACTTCTAGAACAAAATTATTACACTGGCCCCACTTCAAACATCCCACTCATCTAGTGCAATCTACATTTACATACAGGCAAGTAATATTTCTTAAAAGGGAAACTTGAGAGTCTCTATATGCCCTGTGTAAAAATAACTTCAGGATATGTATATAATATCCTTCTTGAGAATTAACAACATATTCTATTACTGATGATTCTGAGAAGACTTATAATTTTTTTTTAAAAGCCTGTTTAACTTTATTTAATCCAGTGTATACCAAATCCCAGGCCTCATTTCACACGGTGCTCCTCTTTGCCATCTTTATCCAGCCACGTTTGCCTTCTTTTTCATTCCCTTGTATGTGCTACCACAGGGCTCACATAAATGCTGTTTTCCCACTTAGATTCAAAGCGGATCTTAGCTATGCCGCACAATAGAATCCCATTCTATTGTGAATGGGATTCTGTTAAAGTGCCCCAGGTGACTCATGCTCAGCCATTGTTAAGAACATTGTCCTGGGCTCTAAGCTTGGTGAAGGCAGGGCTTGGTTTTGCTCACCACTACTATTCATATAGTAAGTACTCAATAAAAAACATTTGTCAAATAAAAGGAAGAGTGAATAAATAAATATCAAACAGTATTCCTTGGGAAACACTGCTTTAGGGAAACATTTGCCAAGCAACCATATGGCTTGAGAGATATAGATAGATAGATAGATAATAGATAGATGATAGATAGATAGATAGATGATAGATAGATGATAGATGATAGATAGATAGATAGATAGATAGATTAGATAGATAGTAGGTGAAGACAGATGGTCCAAATTTAGCTTTTCATGAAGAGCTTAACCTTTTTTGGACTTCTTCCTGCTGCATTAGTTTTAGACTAAACTAATTAGATGTTAGCTCAGAGTCTGGGACAAAGGATGATCCTGGTGGTACTCTGGGGCCAAGGGCTCTTATCACAGCTGACCTTGAGTATTTTCTGGAGCCACAGTTGATCTAGTTGTTTCTTAAGGGCTTCTGAAGAACTGAGATACACGTGATGAACTCCCCAAGTTTGTCTTCTGTCTATATTCAAACTTCTTTTCAGGGCCAGCTGAAATCATACCACCACTGTAAATGCTTTTCTTTGTTCATCACATCTCACAATACAGTACTCTGTAGCTCCTCTGAACAACCACTGCTCTTACATGCTCCTCAAAACAAAGCAGTGGTTCTGAACACCCATGGTATAGACTCTACAGTGAGACTGTCTGGTTTTAAATCCTCCCTGTACCATTTCTAGCTGTCTAACCCTATGCAAGTAACTCAACATTTTCACACTTTGGTTCCTTCATCTGCAAAATTAGGATAATATAAAATATTTCTTCCTTTTAGAATTGCAAGGCTTAAATAGAATAATGTATGTAAAGCATTTGGCACCATGTGTGGTACACAGTAAACATCTAATTATTAGTAGCCATTATTATTTTTCTCTTTTGATACTTGTGATTTTTTATCCTGTTCGCTAGTTTTCATAGGTTCATATCTTAGTGTTTCTTCATGGATTATAAGCTAATTGAAAGCATAATCTTAATATTATATGTTGGCATAATTAGTTTTTGAAACATAACTTGGCTATTAAAGATGACTCTTTGGCAGGGAACGTATTTGGATTGGACTTCTCTTCTAACTCTCACACCCCTAAATTGGTAGAACTTCTAGTATGTGAAAAAGAGTTATTTTAGCTTTATAACTGTCATGAACTCAGGACAGAGGCTCATGCTGACCTCTAAATCCCTATACCAAGAGGACTATTGGCCCACTAAAGAATATTTCTAACTAAGACTTCTGTTTCAGGTATACAAAATAGGTATCACCAAAGGTCTGCATTACCTGAGACATCCCAGTGCCGGGATGGGGTGTTAGGGAACTTTTAAGATTTCCAAATAATTAGCACCTAAGAGAAGCCTATTCAACTTTCCCACCATGTTTATTTCTCTGCCCAGCTTTACAGAAGAACTTGTCTTAAAAGAGGGCATGGGGCAGTGGTCTATTAGAATCACCCAAGGAACATTTTGGGCATACAAATAAATGCCCAGGTTTTATTCATGTTCCACTTAATTAGAATCTTGAGAGATGAGGTTGGACATCAGTATCTTACAAAATAACCTCAGGTGAATGTAATGTGCAGTGAGGTTTGACAAACACCAACATAGAAGGAGATGTTCCACTGAACAAGAATCAACAGGCGGTGAACAAATACTCTGAGCATGACATTTAGCTAAGTACCATAGAGGATACAAAAACAACCACAACTTGTCTTTGTTCTTAAGGAATTTTCAACTTCGTATTGGAGAGACTTCCACCCAGAAAAATATAAATAGCCGAAAGTCTGTAAGGTGTGGGTACCTGAGTGAGTAAAACTAAAAGCTGCAGAAATTTAAAGGGGGAGAAGTCAATGAAGGCTGGAATGCCCAAGGGTTCCATGGCAGAAGAGGGAGGTAACTGAAGATTTAGAAGGATCAGAAGTCAATAAAGGCTGCTTTTACTTTTTCACATCAACTTGGGGACATGTTTTCAGGAGTATAGAGGGCTGCTTTCAGGAGTATAGGAGACACTCATATGCTTGTGGCCTGAATTTTCAAGACTCTACAAAAGCTTTCTGAATGCAATTTGTTGTTTACGTAAAGTTTCAATTCTCAGAACAGCTCTTACAGGTACTGCTATTATTTTCCATTTAAGAAACTGACACTTAGAAAGTTAAGTGATACCTTTAAACATGCTATGTCTGCAAGTGCACACTGGACTTGAGAAAACAAGCAGGCAACCTCTGAGGAACAGACATTCAGGCCAGTTGTCAACATTTCTCAGAAAAGTCAGTGCTCCCTTTTGCCATTTTTTGTCTCTTCCTAGGTCAGTGAGAAAGGATGAACTTCTCCATAAGTATCTGGACAAAGTTCTAATAGCCTAATCCCCAGTCCAGCAGCCTACAACCTCCTTTGCACAAAACATTGAAATCAATTCTTGAATATTTATGTGTTCCTCTTGGTGAGATCCTGGAATCTCATTTCTGCCCATTTTGACACAGTTTCTTCCCTATTGGCCCTAAGAGATTTACACAAAAAAACAAAAAGGCATTTGAATTAATGTGCATTTTGTCTCCTTTCAAGAGTATAATTTTTTTTTTTTTACCCAAGGAGTTTTAGGTATTTAGACTTTCACTTCTGAAAATCACATCTTTGCTACACTTGTCAAAAAAAACTCATTAACTTTCCCCAGTGGAAAAGTTAGAGGCATCACATGTTTATTTGAAGTCAAAGTTTTATTCTAACAGAGGACACTGCATACCATATGCTGGTTGGCTTGAGATCCTTTTTTGAGGGATCTGACTGAACATTGACCCCAATTACTTGCATTTTTGTGCTTCAGTGCTGCTGTTTCAGAACAAAAAGCAATAACTAAACCCTACAGAGAAGGCTTTATAAACTTTCCCAGTGAGTCTACAACTCATTTCTCTTTTTCTCATGGTCACCGAATTGATTTTTCCTTGTTGCTTGTACATGTTGTTCAATTATAGTGAATTGACAAAATCAGATGACAATCAACTGTCAGATAACTCAATGGAACTTGAGGGGAAAACACAAATTTTTAAGCCTTCTCCATTTTCACATCTCGGCCTTTGGCTTTCTTATTAGGAGAGCTCATCACCATTTTTAGGTTGTTCTATTAGGTTGTTTTGATTTTGCCATTTGTGAGAACATATCAGTTGCCACCATTAAGAGTAATATGTAAATTGGTTCAATATTCTATTTTAGGCTACCTCTAAACCATAAATGGAATAATTGTTTTTTTCAGGGATCCTTTGGAATTGATCTTGAAATCAGGCCATTAAAAAAAGAAAAAACCATGGGTCCTAGATAGTGGATCAATGTGACTTTTAGGAATCCATTTAAAATTTAAAATAGGAGGCCTAAATTGACTCTAGGAGGAAAGTCTCAAGAAAAAAGAATGGAAATGAGAAATTATCTGACAGGTTATATTTGTGGACAATTCTATTGAAATGCTGGCAGCTATAGAATGTAGAAAGACGTAGGTGTAAATACAGAGAAAACCAGTTCTTTAAAAAGACGTAATAACTTTAGGAAAAACAAAAAAAAAAATACACATTCAAGAAAGAAAGTAAAATTATAGACCATGACTTAGCCCAGCGGTGAATCATATTGACATAGTTAAATAACATTAAATATAAAGTTATATAGAAACATGGAGATAGATACTAGAAGAAACAGATATTTGAAAGTAGTTGCTTGAAAGAGTAGATTTAATGTTGCTGGGGATATGGGGGCAACTGTTCTTTTTTAGTGTAAGCTACTTAGTACTTTTCAAATACCATACCTGTATGGTTTTGATAAAAATAAAAATTAGTCATTTAAAAATGTTTACATTTTTAGCCTTTTTAGTGTAAGTAAAAGCTTGGCATGCTTTCCCCAGTGTTTTGTGGAGCAGTGCTGAATGGGGGGATGGCTTTTTAGGCATATATGAATTAGAAAGGCTTTGATGTGTTTGGCAGGATGAAGGAAGAGCCTTTGGACAGGGTTCTGTCTGGACAGGCCCTGGTCAAATTTTGTTTACAACCCCTTTTAGCTTTCATCCCTTTCATCCTGCCCTGATAAATAAGGAAAGAGACTTTCATAAAACTCAGAGAGTTGAGTTCTGTGTGCTCATTTGGGATGCTGAGCTTCTCCTTACCATTGTTGGCTATTGGCCCAAACATATTTCTCATTTTGAAAAATGTTCCTCTGGGCTGCCGGGGTGTGCATTGGGCTTGTGTTTAAATCCTACATGTGTCAGAGCATCTCACTGGATCTAAAACCTTTGGATGAATAGTAAAACAAGAGGCTGAGAAATCAGAACATATATCCAAAAAATGAACTAGTATTTACCCTGAACCCTTGTCTATGAGCAGAAATGCTCTGTGCTTTTTAATTTATTCTTATGGCAATTTTTCTCTCAGTTTGCACAACAGAACCCAAAGCAGCATGGTAAGTATGGGTTAGGAATTTCATGTGTGTGTGTGTGTGTGTGTGTGTATATGTGTGTGTGTTGCCTAAATATTCATTTGCTAGCTCTTACATCATGGCTAATTATATCAGGCATCCATGTTCTGGTCATGCCTCAGTCATTCAAAAAGCAAAAATATTTCTGGGACTGGCAACTAACACAATTGGTCATTTGAGTTGAAGTATGTAACTTTTTACAATATTAAAGATGTGGAATTGTTTATACTCAGGTTAATAATTAAGGGAGAAACACATTCCAGCTCAGGGTCAGATTAAGAAGGAACATGATATACGTTTGGGAAAAGAAACTAACATTACTTAAGTGCCTATTCTGTACCAGGCACTTTACATACATTATTCTATTAATTCCCACAAAACCTTACATTATCTTTCTTATTTTAAAGATGAGATATAGAGAAGTCATTTGACTTTTCTAAGGACTCTTAGCTAGTAAGTAGTGAAATTTAAATTTTAGTGTTTTGCTGCGACAAAATTGGAGAGAATTTCAGCAATTTTTATTAACAAAAACCCACCTACAGCAAAATCATTTGTGAAACCCGTTAAAAAGTGGAAATTGTGGGGCTCCACCCAGATATACTAAATCAGAATTTCTGGAAGAAGTGCCAGGGAATATCCTGTGTATCTTATGTACCCCAAAATTTGAGAGCCATGACCACAGTATAATTGCAAATTATGCTCTAATTATTTTGCAGAATGCATTACATTATCCTGTGATTAAACCTTCTTGAAGCTCAGCCTTATTTTATAACCTATTACTTCTCAATCCCTAGGGATTTGGTCACAGTTTCTGAAAACTCTGTATAAAAGTTTCTGAAAAGTTTCGGTTTCTGAAAACTCTGTATAAAAAATATATCAGATGATTAAATTTTATATTTAAGTTGGGCCACAAAAAAACTAGCATTTTTTCTTTAGACTAAGTTTATGGGGTCATGATACAAAACAGTGGCAGAGTAGGAAAAACAAGAGCTAAGAAATGTTCTATGTGTGTGCATTTATGGCAAAACCACAACTGTTCTGCATCTGTTTACTGTGGTTTCTTAATGGTTGATACTAGTTTAACTGAAACATGTAGATTTTTCCTCGCACTCATTCTGAGGGATTGATAGTTGTGTTCTAATCCTCCCAAAGCCTGCACCTTTCTTGGCAGCCCTTAGGCATAGTTTATCCCTTGAACGGCTTTGAGAAAACTGAATTAATGTTCCCAGAATCCTGGGAAGGTTATTGCCAGAGATTTAATTAAAGATAAATAGAGATAAACGAAAATCAAGTACAAAACTACATTAAGAAAACATGAGAAAGGGGAAGATATGAATGGAGAATTTGTAATGGCTCATTTTTTCCATAAACCCAAATAAATGGGTCATGCCGTAATACAACAGAGCAGAAATGACAGGATAAAAGAGATGAGGTCAGTTTATGCTCTTCCTACAGTGTCCCTTACCAACAACAGAAACATGTTTATGTGGAGAGGTATGAGGTATGGATTTTTGCATCAGAGTTTGCTTTTTCTTTGATAATAACTCAGTGCATCCTAAAATAAGAGAGTCCACGGTTAGGAGTTCAATCTAGGATATTTATTCTGAGTTTAACAAATATTTATTGAATGGCCTCTATATTGAAGCCTTTTAATTTTGAAATACTGAACTCTCAGAGAAGTGAGAAGGCATGAGTTCTTGCTCCGTTTAGTTGTGTTACTTTAAGCTGGTCACTTATTTTTTCTGATGTTCAATCTCTTTGTGAAAGGAAGCATCAAGCCCGATATTTTTTTAAGTCCTTCCTTTCAAGCCCAGTGAGTCTGTGTCTGCATTTACAATCATGCCACAAGGAAGGTGAAATTTTTCATTGGTGGCTTAGGAGATTTTGAGGGAGGTTGTCATAAGTTTGTCTAAATTACTGAAGGATCACAATTGCACAGATTCTTAAAGCCAACATTATAGTCATTATTTTTGGATAATATTTTCAGTTAATATGAGTCCAATCAAGGTCCCTACTTGGCATCTGCCTATTTCTGAGACCAATTATTAAAGTTTGTTGTTTGGCTGATTAAAAAAAAAAATGCTAATGCTGAAGGTGCAAAGTGGAGAGGAGAAAATGGTAAAATATTTGCATCCTGATCACGCTGAGGTGATATCTTCTATGCATACTATTGTATTCCACTTAGTTTTTAAGCTTCATTGAGTTTTAATTGACATACAATAAACTATACATATTTAAAGTACACAACTTTATAAGCCTCGACATATGACGTATGTTCACACATCCAATACGATCTATGAGTCCATCGCCACAATAAAGATATTAAACATATGCAGCACTCTAAAAAAATCTTTATGCCTTGTCCTTCCTTTTTGCTTCTCCTGCCCACAATACCCTTCTCACCTGCCCATCTGGCTGCTTCCAGGCAACCATTGATCTGCTTTCTGTCACTATACATTAGTTTGCATTTCTTAGAATTTTATGTAAATAAAATTACACAGTATGTACTCTTGATTTTCTTCTTGGTTGTTTCAAACCACACAATTACTTTGAGACTGTCTATATTGTTTCATGCATTAAGAGTTAATTCCTTTCACTGCTAAATAATATTTCATTCCGTGAATGTAACATACTTTGTTTATTCATTTACCCATTGATGGACATTGGGGTTGATTTCATTTTGGGGCTACTACAAATACAGCTGTTATGAACCTTGGTACATAAGTCTTTGTATGGACATATGCTTGCATTTCTCTGGGATAGATAACAGGGAGTGGAATGGTTTGTTCATATGACAGATATATGTTTAATTTTATTAAGAACTTCCAAACTGTCTCCCAAAGAGGTTGTTCCATTTTATATTTTCACCAAAAATGTGTGGCCCTTTCATCATTATACAAAAAATTCTTTGTTGCTGATAATATCCTTTGCTCTGAAATCTACTTAGTCTGATATTAACATAGCTATTGCAGCTTTCTTTTGTTAGTGTTATCATGGAATATCTTTTTCCATACTATTAACTAATTTTTGTCTTTATATTTGAAGTGCGTCTTTCATAGGTGTCCAATACTTGGGTCTTAATTTTTCATTCAAAATCTTTGGCTTTTAATTGGGGGTATTTAGACCATTTACACATTATGTGATTATTAATATGGCAAGCTGTAAATCAGCCTTCTGTTTTCTCATTGTTCTGTATGTTCTTTGTTCCCCCTTTCCTCTTTGTCTGCCTTCTTTTTGGATAAGCTGAGTATTTTTTATGATTCCATTTTATCTGATTTGTTAAGCTCATTATCTGAAACTCTGTTTTGTTTCCGTAGACAATACCTAAGGGTTTATAGTACATACCTTTAACTTATTACAATCTGCCTTCAAGTGCTATTATACATTTCACATGTAGTATAAGGACCTTATGATAGTTTATTTCTATTTCTCCCCTCTTGGGCTTTGGGTTATTACTATCATACATTTACTTCCACATATCTCATAAACCTTACACTTTTATTATGTTTGTTTATGCAGCGAATTCTCTTTTAAAAATATTTGAATAATAACAATCTAATCATTTTAACTTTGTGTAGATCCAATTTTCAGATGGTATCATTTTCCTTTTGTGGGAAGGACTGCTGCAACATCTCTTGTAGTACAGAACTACTGGTGATAAATTCCTTCCATCTTTTTATGTTGGAAAAAGCTTTTATGTCACACTTTTTTGTAAGGTATTTTCACTGGGTATAAAATTCTAGAGTTTTTTCTTTCTTCTTCTTTCAGTACTTTAAAAATGTTGCTTTGCATTGTGTTTGACAAAAAAAGTCTGCTCTCATTTATCTTTGTTCCTCTGTATATTTTGCAATATTTTTCCCTGGTTGCTTATAAAATTTTCTCATTATAATTGGTTTGTGGCAATTTGATCATGATGTGCCTTGGTGTAGTATCCTTCACATTTCTCGTTCTTGGGGGGTTTTGAACTTCCTAAAGATTTATAATTTTCCTAAATTTGAAATTTTTTGACCATCATTTCTTTAATTACCTTTTTTGAATTCCCACCTTCCCTTGGGAACATCAATTACACATACATAAAGCCATTTGAAGTTGCCCCCTCAGTTTACTGATTCTCTGTTCTTTTTTGTTTTTGACTCATTTTCTCTTTGTGTTTCATTTTGGATAGTACCTATTACTATGCCTTCAAGTTCACTAAACTTCTGCAATGTTTAATCTGCCATTAATCCCATCAATTTTTTTAATCTAGGTTTTATCTCCAGGATTTATTTTCTGTTTTTTTTTGCCTCTACAAGTTGATAATGAGTCTTTTAAAAAATATATTTTTAATCTTTCTATTTAGCATGCTCAATATTTCCTCTAGCTTTTTGAACACATGAACTAAACTTTTAACAATTTTCTAATGCCCTTGTCAGATAATTCTAACATCTCTTTCAGTTCAAGGTTAGTTTTGTTTGATTGACTTTTCTCTCCATTGTAGGTAGTATTTTTCTGCTTCTTTGCATGCCTGGTAATTTTTGATCGAGTACAAGATATTGTGTGTTTTACCTTTTGGGGTTTGGTATATTTTTGTATTCTAATAATTATTCTTGAGTTTTGTTTTCAGATACAGTTAAATAATTTGAAAATAGTTTGATCCTTTCTGCCATAAGGTTTTTTAGGCAAGACCTGAGAGGTGTTTTTTCTAACTCTAATTATTCCCCACTACTAAGGCAAGCCTCTTCTGAGTGCTCTATCCAATGGCTCATGAATTATGAAGTTTTCCTCTCTGGTAAAGGATTGGGCACTATTCCTGACCCTGAGTTGGATCTGATTACTGTTGTGTCAAAGTCAAAATAAAAACTTAGAGACAAATCTCTAAATTTAATGTTTTATTTCTGAAGAAAGAATTGCAATTCAGAGCATACATGCAGACCGAGTGGTCTTCAATAGTCTGAAAAACAGGGAAGGTTGGGAGTTTTATAAACAAGAGGGATGTTACCTGTGGTCTTGAGAGAAAGTTCACTTATAGGAGTAAAAGCCTGGGAAGCTGGCAAGCTCCGATTGGTGGCCAATGGCTGTAGGCAAAATTAGTCCTAGAGTTGCAGCAAATTATCTCAGCATTAATAGGTAAAACTAGTTTCAGGTTACAGCAAGCAGTTTTAGTAGCCAGTCTCAGCAGATAATTTCATTCTTCGAGCTATGTTATGTTCCCTAAGTGCTCCTCCCCCTTGGCTTCTTGACTCTGTTTAGTTTGGTTTAACAAAAATGACCCAATTCCTGTCATCAGCTTTCACAGTTGCTTCTATACTTCTGAGGATTTCTTTCCCCAGCCTCAGATAGTTTCTGCACATGATTGTCCTGATCATTATTCAGCTTAATACTCAAGAAAGATCCTCTGCTGATGTCCAGGATTTTGTTTCTTTGCAGCTCTCTCTTCTTCAGTACTCTGCTGTAAAATTTAAGTCTCTTGGTGGTCTCTCCATACTCTCAGTTTCATCTCATCAGCTCAAGGGTTTCTCTGGTTCTACCTGTGTTTCCCCTTACTGCACCATGGCCTGGAAACTTGAGGCAATGAGTTTTGGCAATCACAGGGCTCCCCTCATTTGTTTGCCATCTCTTAGTGATCACTGTTATTCATTACCTGATATGCAATATCTTGAAAATTATTTCTTCATTTACTTGTTCAATTTTTTAGTTGTTACAGGTAAGAGGATAAACTCAATTCCTGTTACTACTTCTTAGAACCAGAAGTCTTTTCTACTTTTTTTTTTTTAAATAACAACACTAAGTAAAAGAGAGGGTGAGAGAATAGAAATCATCAGAAAAGAAAAACAACAAGGAAAACTTCTACAGCATTTTTGGAAAAGGAGTAACCGTAATGAGTCTGAATGAACAAATTTTTGAATGTATAAATGAAATAAGTTATTATAGGCTTTTAAAATCATTCTCACAGAAAGACTCAAGAGTAGCTTCAAGAAATGTATCACTTACAAGCATGCTTTGTAACTTTCTTCCCAGTATCATTACTTTTATATATTCTCAATGCAAAATATAAGAGTGAAAATATCCTTCTGGGCATAAAACTCTGTGTAGTTTTAGAACATGTAACTATTTCCTCTGCCCCAATTTGGCTGAGCTAATCCACTTACTATGCATTGGATTACTTGCATCAGGTTGCTTGCATCGAAGGGGACTGTTGATGGCAATGAGACTGAATGCCTTTCCGTAAGACCCAAGTCACATCTTTTGTGGATGATGCAAATGATCATTACTGTTGATGAATTTTAAATAGAACAATCATTTTGATTACTCTGCTGAGGTCTGACTCAGTAAGACAGCAAAAGCATTTTTCCCATCATGCAGAATTTTGAACAAATCTCAGGATTCTACCAGATATTTTCATGAAAAATTTGAAAAATGTCCAATGTTTCACATAGTGTTACGAGGTCAATATGACCCCTCTTTTGTTTACCATGGTCTATGTGCATTAAATGGAAATGGAATATTGAATAATAGAGAATATTAGAAAGATTAAAATAAAACTTTGAATTTCATAGTTGGTTTTTTTATTTTCTCTCTCCTAAATTTCAATATCTTTTAAAAATTATTTATAGTGCCTCAAATTCTTTTGCAAAAGAAGGAGCAATAATACATCCACTAAATGTAAATAACAATCCAGTCAGTTATAGCAGGTGGCTGACCTGCTTGGAGGGCAGACACTTCACATCTTCAACAAGCAGAGAAGCAATTATAGCCTGATATAATGCTACAGCTAGAAAGACCTTAGAAATTGCCTAGGTCAGGCATGGCACACATCTGGCATGTGGGTCCTCATTCCTCTGTCCTGTGCTTATGGCGAATTTATCAGAAAACACTTTCCTATTGCATTGAGATTCATCTCAGCTGTCTCCAGTCAGTACCCTAGGCAACCACTACTAATCACTAAAAGTAGGACTGCAAAATAAATCCTATTAGCCATTGAGAATCTAGTCTATTCTCTTAATTTCATAAATATGAGAACTGAGGCTTTCAATCAGCTGCAGCACTGAAATTGGTACTAGGTTCCTAACTCTGATCACAGTAATTTCAGAATGTCGCCATAATCCTAGAGGGGCAAACCACTTTTGTGTGACACAGGATGACAGAACTGGCATGGAAAGAAGATTAAGGGTCATTCATCCTGTTCTGCTTATTTCCAGACTGAGCCCAAGTATGAAATGGAAAATTTTACCAAAAAAAGAAAAAAGATTTTTAACTGATTTAGAAAACAAATCCTGTTGTTAAAGGATACTATGAAGATTTTTTTTTCATCATTTTTTGTTTGTTGGTTTTTTGCCATCCAACTTTACACAGAACCAGAGAGGAAAAGTATCCATAAAAAAGTATTACATTGAAAGTCTCTGATACTTCAAAACTCCCTTGTTCCAGTTCTTGATACCTGTAGTTTCTTTAGTAGATATACAGCTTATTAGTACGTACTGAATGGTAATTCTGAAAATTAAATTCCAGTGGAGAGAAGGAACCCATTGAGTACAATGTCACAAGTCTCAAAAGATTATTTTCTAGGGCAGTTTTTGATAAATGGAACAAAAGAGAAGTACATAGCAAGGGAGTGCAAATGAAGGTTGGGGCACCACAGGGTACTTTTTTTAAAAAGGAATATTGAAGATAAGTGAGGATTAAGTAAGTTGCCCAAGGTTTTTCAAGTGAAATTGAGTTTTGAACCCCAAATCCCTTGACCTGGTTCATGTTACATTCTACCACTTTACACCCAGCCCTGGCCACTCCTCAGAGATCCTCTCCATTACCAAAAATTACTGACTGAAGTTCAAAATAACAATCACTATTAAGTGAACGCTTTTACTGAGTGCTAGGATATATATGCTTACTGCTTTTCACATGCACTACCTCACTTAGTATGCATAGAAAACTTATAAACTTCATTCTTTTATTATAGCCACTTTATAGATAATAAAATGAATCTTAGAGAAGTAATTTGCCTAAGGACTCCTTGCTAGAAAGTGACAGAGCAGATTTGAATAATAATTCATCTAATTCCAAGACAAACTTTCAATCACTATAACAATGTTTTCAGAATCAAGTAAAAGAAACTTAGTCTTGTTTTGTATGTCCCTAAGTATTAATAATACAATTATGAAATAATGTAAGAATTATAAACAATTCATATTCTTTCTCTACTTTTGCTAAAAATCAATAAAAAAGTGAAAGGATATGTAAATGTAAGATTATGAGGAACAAGTAACTAAAAACCACCAAACCAAAGCCCAAATCATGACCTATGCTTAAAAAAAAACTCTGCTCAATGATATAGTTGGATATAAATTTTTTAAATTTTTTATGTTAAATATTATAATTTGTCACAAACCTCATTCTCATATTTACACACAAGGACAATTCCAAAAATATATAATGATCACAGCCCAAATGGATCCCCACAGAATTGAATGTGAGCCTCTTTTTGGCTAGTTGAAGAGGCATAGTTAAGTCTGGGAACTTTTTAAAGGCTGAGGACAAAATGCATCTAAACATTTGTTTCATTGAAGGCTAAAGTCTATGGAGTAATGGTGGCAGTTTTTTCTGAAAGGAAGCTCTGAATAGATCAGTTGTTAGAAATCAGAGGAAGTGGGAGAAGTGAAGATGCAAAGAAGATCAGGGTGTGGAAAGAAAGAGCTTGAACCTAGGGAGCTACTGTTAGTAAAATTAGTATTTTTTAAATATGTGGCCTAACTGATGTTTTAAATAAATAAATATTTTAAATAAATAAATAAAAATTTTTTAAATTTTCAGATAAAAATTTATGTATTTATTATATACAATATGTTGTTTTGACATATTTATACATTGTGGAATGGCTAAATTGAGCTAATTACCTTTTTTTTTTTTTTGAGACAGAGTCTCTCACTCTGTTGTCCAGGCTGGAGTGCAGTGGCATGATCTCAGCTCTCTGCAACCTCTGCCTTCCAGGTTCAAGTGATTCTCCTGCCTCAGTGTCCCAAGTAGCTGGGATTACAGACACCTGCCACCATGCCCAGCTAATTTTTGTATTTTTAGTAGAGACGGGGTTTCACCATGTTGGCCAGGCTGGTCTTGAACTCATGACCTCAATGATCCACCTGCCTCAGCTTCCCAAAGTGCTGGGTTTACAAGTGTGAGCCACTGTGTCCAGCCTGAGCTAATTAATATTTGCATTATCTTACATACTTTTTTGTGTGTGTGATGAGAACACTTAATATCTCTCTTAGCAATTTTCAAGAATGCATTGTTATTAAATATAGACATCATGTTGTACAATAGATCTCTTGAACTTATTCCTCCTTACAGAGGAATAAGTTCCACCCCATCCAGCCACTGGTAGCAACCATTCTACTCTGCTTCCATGAGTTCAACTTTGTTAGATTCTACATGTAAGTGAAATCATGAAGAACTTGTTTTTCTGTACCTGGCTTATTTCACTTAACATAGTATCCACCATTTTCATCCATGTTGTCAGAAAGGACAGAATTTCCTTCATTTTTAAGGCTGAATTGTATTCTATTGTGTATATACCATGTTTTTAAATCAATTCATTTGTGGATGGACATTTAGGTTGATTCCAAATCTTGGCTATTGTGAATAATGCTGCAACAAACATAGGAGTGCAGATATCTCTTCAACATATCAATTTCATTTCTTTTGGCTATATACCCCGTAGTGGGATTGCTGGATCATATGGGAGTTCTATTTTTAATTTTTGAGGAAGCTTCATACTGTATTACATAATGACGGTGCTAATTTACATTCCCACCAGTAGTGCACAAGGTTCCCTTTTCTCCACATCCTCTCCAACACCCCTTATCTTTGTCTAATTGATAGCAGCCATTTTAATTGATGCTTGCTAGCTGTGCATACAACAGATCAGATTTTTGACAAAAGTGCCAAGAACACAATGGGGGAAATGATAGTCTCTTGAGTAGATGGTGTGTGGGCAATTAGATATCCACATGCAGAAAAATGAAATTACACCTGTAATTGGAATAACATTCCAAAACATATATGCCATACTGTTTTGATTACATATCTGTAAAAAATCAACCTTGACTGTAAATTTCTGGGCTCTCTATTCTGTTCTAAAGAACTCTTCTAAAGTTGTTATGATTCTTTTTTGTAGTACATTTTGAAAGGCTGAATACAATTCAGCCTTAAAAATGAAGGAAATTCTGTCCTTTCTGATAACATGGATGAAAATGGAGGGCATTATGTTAAGTGAAATAAGCCAGGCACAGAAAAACAATGAGTGATATCTCATTGTGGTTTTCGTTTAGATTTCACTGATGATTAGTGATTTTGATGATTTTTTGACCTACCTGTTAATCGTTTGTATATCTTTTAAAAAATATCTGTTCAAATTCTTTGTCCATTTATTAATTAGGTTATTTGTTTTCTTACTATTGTTTGTGTTCCTTATATATTTTGAATTTTAACCCCTTGTCAGCTGTATGGTTTACAAACATTTTCTCCCATTTCATAGATAATCTCTTTACTCTGTTGGTTGTTTTCTTGGCTGTGCAGAAGCTTTTTAATTTGATGTAATCCCATTTGCCTATTTTTGCTTTTGTTGCCTATGCTTTTGGGTTCATATTCAAAGAATCATTGTCTAGACCAATGTCATGAAATGTTTCTCCTATGTTTTATTCTAGTAGTTTTACAGTTTCAGATTTTACATAAGTCTTTAATCCATTTTGAGTTAATTTTTTACATGGTGTAAGATACAGGTGTAATTTCATTTTTCTGCATGTGGATATCTAATTGCCCACACACCATCTACTCCAGAGACTATCCTTTCCCCCATCGTGTTCTTGGGACCTTTGTCGAAAATCAATTGACTGTAAATTTCTGGGCTCTCTATTCTGTTCCATTGATCTACTTGTCTGTTTATATGCCATACTGTTTTGGTTACATATCTGTATAGTATATTTTGAAGTCAGGTAGTGTGATCCTTCCAGTTTTATTCTTTTTGCTCAAGAAGTATTATTTTCGTTTGTCTGAAGCAATGGCCAATTACTTACAAACTGAGAAAATATCGCTAAAGGATAGCTTTTAATAAACGTGTGCAGGCCTCACCCAGAACATTCTGTTTTGGGAAAAAATTAAAAAACTGCTAAGATTAAAATTATCCTTAGTAAATTCACACTAGAGGATTCATTTATCTTAGAGAACATGAGACCCAATGACATCCCTGCATATTATTGTAAAGTTTTAGCTACTTGTTTTAATTTCTTGCCAAAAGTCTAAATAAAAGCCAAAAAAAAAAAAAAAAAAGCTTTTGCTTGCTAGGTATGCATACAACAGATCAGACACTTGCCCTTAAAAGATGTAACATAGGCCGGGCGATGTGGCCCATGCCTGTAATCCCAGCACTTTGGGAGGCTGAGGTGGGTGGAGCACAAAGTTAGGAGTTCAAGACCAGCCTGGCCAACATGGTGCAATCCCGTCTTTACTAAAAATAGAAAAATTAGCTGGGCATGGTAGCAGGCACCTGTAATCCCAGCTACTCAGGAGGCTGAGGCAGGAGAATCGCTTGAACCCATCACTTTTTAATTTGAAAATCTATATAATAAAATGTTTCAAACATGCAGAAAAGTTCACAGACTATCCACCATTAAAAATTATACCTACCACCTGGAATCAACTAATATTAACATTTTGCCATATTTAGATTATTTTCACTTCAGGTGATTATCATAGGAAAAAAAATGGAACATATAGTTGAAGGCTTTTCCCATTTCATTTCTCCTCTCTCCTCAAAGACACAACTCTTCTAAGGTTGTTATGCTTCCTTTTTGTAGTACATTTTAAAATAATTATCACTCATATATTTTTCATCAATTGTGTACATTATTTTATGAGTTTAACTTTTAAAAAGGTATCTTACTGTGTACAAATTTTTATTTCACATTATGTTTCAGATTTTTGTTGAAATATGTAAATGTGTTTAATTCACTTTGACTGCTGTATACTAGTCCATCATACATACATACATGTTTTTCCATCCCCCTGTTGATGGGCATGTAGGTTGTTTCCAAATATTTGCTATTACAAAGTGGCACTGATTATCCTTATGTATGTTACCATGTATACATTTTTATGTTTCTCAAGGGTACCTGTAAGGAATTAAATTTATAAGGCATTGCCAAATTCTTCTCCAAAGAGGTTGCTGTTTTGTCACATTTCCCCTACATGTGTTATACTCATACTTTTTAATTTTTGCTTTCCTCATGGATGAGAAATATTATCTTTTAAATGTTTCGTTGGTAATTAATAGGTCTGACTGCTTTTTCTTAAGATTTTTGGCCAGCTTCCTCTGCAAATTTTCACTTCATGTCTTTTTCCAGCTTTCTATCTGTTGTTAGTTTTTCTCTTACTAATTGGTGGAAGTTCTTTATATATCCTGAATACTATTCCTCTCTTGGTTATATATCTCCAAGTTTGAGCCTTGTATGTTAACATACCCAAAAAATGTAATCAGATCTATCAATCTCTTCTCTATGGTTTCAACCTTTGCATTTTGTTTAAGAAAATTTTTCCTGCCTTATCACAAAAACTATTCTATATTTTATTAGTAATTTTACCTTTTTGTTTTTTTACATTTAGGTATTTGTTCCTCATGGAAATTTTTTGGCAATAGACCTAACTCTTTTGCCATATGAATAGAAATTTGTTCCAGTAACTGTTAACTAAAGAGTCCATTATTTTCCAACTTAATATTTTGTCACCTCTCACATACCACGTTTTGTTTCTGCACTCTATTTTCTGTTTCATGTATCTATTCATTTATCCTGATATCAATATCACACTATTTTAAGTACTATAGCTGTGTAATAAGTCTTCAATCACAGGTTGGGTTCCAGGGGGAGGAAAATCCTGAGATAGAACTTAGCATGAAGGAGGTTTATTAGGGATTCTCCTTTGAATCAAAACCTGTGGGAGGGAAAGAAAACAAGATGAACTGGGAAGACAGAGAAGTTGAGGTGTGATGCATTCCCAGCGAAGGCCTCAGCCAACCTCACAGGAAGCTCTGGAGCTGGGACAGCTTTTCAGGGTTGTCCCAAGCATGGATCAGGAAACTGCCCTGGACAGCCAGCATGACCTTGAACTAGATGGCTCTTTTAAACTTAAGATATTTCATATATCTTAAGTTGAATTGCATTTAATATATTAAATATCTGAAGTTGAAAAGAGCCATCTAGCTCAAGGTCATGCCCACTGTTGAAGGCAATATCTTTTTTTTTTTTTTTTTTTTTTTTTTTTTTTTTGAGACGGAGTCTCGCTCTGTCGCCCAGGCTGGAGTGCAGTGGCGGGATCTCGGCTCACTGCAAGCTCCGCCTCCCGGGTTCACGCCATTCTCCTGCCTCAGCCTCCCAAGTAGCTGGGACTACAGGCGCCCGCCACTACGCCCGGCTAATTTTTTGTATTTTTAGTAGAGACGGGGTTTCACCGTTTTAGCCGGGATTGAAGGCAATATCTTAAGGCAGCTGACAACTAAGGAGTGTCTCTTGGCAGCACTATCAATATTTGGGGCAATAAGTTCAATATTGGGGGCAATATTTGGGGCAATAACGTAAAAAGAGAACTGCATGACACATCACATCCACTTTTGTTTTTCTTATTTAAAATTACCTCAACGATTCTTGGCACTTTATTGTCCATATGAATTTTGTAATTATCTTATAAAATTCTACAAAACAAAACACCTGTTGGGATTATGATTGGAATTTACTCAAATGCATAAATTACTTGCAGAAAAATGACATGTAAGATAATGAGTTACTTATTTGCTGACCATGGTCTTTCTATTTATTTAATTCTTTTTTTATGGCCTGCAATAATATTTTATATTTTCCATAATGTTCTAGCACATCATTTGTTAGATTTATTCCTGGGTGTATGACAGTTTATCTCATTGTTTCAATTGTGAAAGTTTTTACTATTATTAAATTTTCAAAATTGTTTCAAATTGTATATAGGAATTCACTGATTCTTCTCTCTTCATCTCATACATGGCAACTTTGATGAACTCTTATTATTTCAGTTTGTCTGTAAATCCACTTGGAATTTTCATGTAGAGAAAAATATAGCCCATGCTATTTATTTCTTTTTCTTAGTGAGATAGGACACTAAAGTGCAACGTTGAATAGAAGCAGTAATAGTTGGTATTCTTATTCCGTTCCTGACTTTAAAGAGAATTCTAAATAACCTTAATCAGGTTAAGAAAGTTCCCTTCAAATTCTATTTTTTTCTAAAAGGATATTTTAAATCAATGTTCTAAACATTTTAGAGATACAATATTAATGAGTTATTATTGATGAAGTCAACACTTGTTGAGTGTAAGCACTATTATTATCTACATTTTACAGATAAGAAAATTAAGGGAAGTAACTTATCTAAGAACACACAGCTAGTAAATTGTAGTTAGGATTTGGACATAGGTAGTGTCTTCAGAGCACATATCAACTGAGATACTTTCTCTCAAGCTCTCCAGCAAGCGCATCCAACTTCCTCAACATTATTTACTAGTACTAGTACTTAATTTTTAACTTAGTTTAACTTTGTCCCCAAATTTCCTTTTTTACCCAGAGTCCCAGACTAATGATACCTTGCCAATTCCAGACCCAACTTTACAGAAGAGGCAATCGTTTTATCATCCCAGCTTTGAGATCTGTGCAAAAATCTCAGTTCTATCTTTCAGCTTTTGGCAAAGGCCAAGCTATATTTCAGCCCCTTGCATGGGCACTAAAACCCAGCTTCCTGGACATTAGAGTTATGTTTGGAAAAAATACCTCCACTAGGCAGTCATTAGGACAATAGCTCACATGCTTACTATCCTGTTTTCATGTTTCTTCTTTGCTGTTTTATCATCTAACGTTTCTCTTCATTGCATTTCATCATAATTTTTTGCTATATTATTATTCAACATTTCTATGTGTTTGGAGCCATGGAGGTGGGAGGCAAGGGAGGGTTCCTCAGTGTCATTTCCATTCCAATATTGCTGGAACTTCTACCTCTAAGCTCTTCTTAGCATTTCCCTGGCTTCTGCCTCTAGTCATTCTGTTAAACTGGCTCAAACACTTCAAATTTTCTTAATAATGCACAGATTTGCAGCCATCTGTAATGCAGAAGAACAAGGTTCCCTCTGTGTGACACTTAGGTACCAAAGGAAGGAAAAAGCCATGTTACCTGTGCCTAAAGATGGCATTTTCCATTGGAATAGATTTTCAGGCATTGCTCTGTACTCCAACCCACTGCCTCCCTCCTACTCTCAGGCCCTGTTGCTGAATCTACCCCTCATGGAACCAGATTTTATGTGTCTAATAACTCACTGGATATCAGTAGCCCTGCAATCTCTTTCCATTATCCGGCCTCTGCTGCCACCCATCCTTCCCTCTAGTGAGCCTCCCCACCTCCGCCACCCCCAGAAGACTCTGTAGATGCAAATTGATACTTGTTCAGGGATGGGGTGAGTGGAGAGGAATGTCACCTCCCTGTGCATTACAGACTTACCCAGTTTCAGCTCTGGCCCATCGAGACCCTTTTCTGTATACTGAAAGCAAAGCAAGTAAAATCTGTGAAGTGAACTTTTAAAAAATAAGAATAAATTAACACTTTTGTTTCAAATGGAGCTGTTTTCTCTGCAGTAAAGAGATTTCCCATCAGTTCTCTGTTCATAAAAGATAAGTAAAATGACTACGTAAGACCTGAATCTGGGTCCTACCTTTCCAAGGCATTAAATCAGAATTTCAAGACAGAAAGTTAAAGTCTAGATATAGTGTGACTATCCACAATTAAAAAGCTAATCTGAGTGAAGGCCACTTCTATTCACTTGGCAAAGACAAACTCCTTCAACAAATATATATATACACACACACATATATTTATATATATATAGTATATATAATGTATATATGTATATATAATCTATATATATCATATAGAAATATATATTTATTATTTTCATCCATTAAAATTCACCTATTTTTGAGGAATATACAGCTCTATGAGTTTTAACACATGCATAGATTCATGTAACTAATATCACAGTCAGGAAAAAGACAGTTCCATAATGCCCAAAATTCCTTTGTGCTGCTTCTGGGAGTCATACCCTTCCCTCATCTGTAACTCACTACCCCCATCCACACAGCCACTGATCTGTTTTCTGTCACTATAGTTTTTGCCTTTTCCAGAATGACATGTAAATCAATGATTTAGTATGTAATTTTTTAAAGACTGGCTTATTTCATTTACTAGACTGTATTTGGAATTAATCCATATTTTTACATGGATCAATAGTTTGTTTCTGTTTAATGCTGAATAATATTCTATTATTTGAGTTTGCTGTAATTTGTTTAGCCATTCACCTGTTGAAGAAACTTTCAGTTGTTTTCAGTTTGGGGCACTTGTGAATAAATGCTGCTTAAATGTTTTTGTACGGATCTTTATGTTAATGTAAGTGTTCATTTTTCTGGGTAAATAATTAGGAGTGGGATTTCTGGGTCATATAGTAAGTGTAGGTTTAATGTCATAAAAAACTGACAAACTATTTTCCAGAGTTTTGCCATTATACCTCCCCACAGCAATCTTTGAAAGCCCTCAGGGTTCCCCATCTTTGCCAGAACTTGGTAGTGCCAGTTTTGGATTCTTTGATTTTTTTTTTAACTTAGCATTCTGTAATGACTGTGTAGTGGTATGGCTGGCAAGTAAGCACACAAAAAGATGCTGAACATCATTAATCACTTGGAAAATGCAAATCAACCACTTAAAACTCTTAGAAAAAGGGTATTAGGTTTTATACTAAGGACATAAGAAATATTTTCTTCTGGGAGTGCAGTAATGTTGGAAGACTCTCAACTAGATATTGCCTATGGATAGGAAAAAGCAGCTCCAACAAAGATTTTGGAAGAATGCCTGGTCTAAAAATAAGAAAACATACTCCACAGTGTTCTGAAAGTCACTTGCTGAGTATCTCTAATCTGTTGTTGGAAATCAGGTCTAGAATTGATTTTCTAATAATGGATTTTTGACAGCTGTTTAAAAAGTATTATTTTTGTAGTGAAAAGTGTTATTTTTCTGTGCTGTCTGAAAATTCAACAGTCCCTTCACTAAAGAAACATGTGTTACATACAGATAAATTAGGGGAAACTGAGTTATGGGGCATCAGTCCCACCAAATGTTTCTATAAAGCTGAGACACTTCAGTGGTTTATGCAAGTGCCAGAAACTTGAGGTGAAATTATAGCCATAGACTTAAGACCCTACTGAAAGAAATTGTCCCCTACAAGTTATCCTCCCCCACGAGTTCCAAAAGCCTCTGTTCCTTTGGCCTTCTCTAGTTTCTCCTCAGCTCTTTGCAACTGTGAACCTTTCCCTCCCACTTACTTCTTAGTGAGCCTTGAAAGACTCCCAAGCACAGGCCTCCCAGTCCCTGGTCTCTCTTTGTGTCTCTTCCTCCCTCTGACTCTCCCCTAATCTCAACCTCAGGCTTCTAGCCAGGAGCACTTCCCCTTCGTTCAGCTAGACAGGCTTCTCAGGATTGAAGGGGCCATTTTTCTCTCTGTGGCCTCTGAAGGCTCCCAAAGAGGTTCTCTAATTATCCCTTCCTACTCTGAGAATTCTTTTCTCCATTTGTCAGCCTTGACAGCACGTTTCTTTACTTTGAGCTTTGGCAGCACTGTTAACTGAACTCCCCAGTTCACACTGACGTCTCGCTTGAGTTACCTTTCTTTTCCCCCAGATACCAGTGAGTTTTCAATTTGTCTTGTTCTAACTAATTTCATACCATCTGTTTTCTTTGACCACCTCTGTCCCAATACGCACTGTAAATTATTTATTTAAAGCCATTTAAGTCCAACTCTAAATTGATGGCCCCATTGATCAATGAATAATCACCACAATAAGAATACATTTTCCATTTGCTTCATTATAGGTCTGTTTCTGGGGATGTAGTATCAGAACAGCACTTTGGAATCAATTATTTTTATCTATTCTTTCTGGACATAAGAGATAATATTCTTCAAGAGGAAGGATGGCCTGAGAGAAGTTAAGATAAAAGCGTGGCACTTTGGTCACACACAGATTCTAGTCTTTATGCTGTTGTTGACTCATGATAGGACGTCAGAAAAGCCATTTAGAAGTGTGCTTGTCTGTCAGGTGAGGACAAACTGCCTCTCAGGTTTCAGATGTGGAAGAAGTTGCTAAATCAGTTACCTAACACATTGTGCTTTGTAGCTCATCCATTGTCAGGTACCTGAGCCAAGAAGTAGGAAAACAGCTCTCTGGATATTGTCACACATCCTTCGTAGGTGAGTCAATTCTTCTGTCCAAAAGAACTCATGCATGGAACTTAGATAAATATCTTTAACTAACTCACAGATGAGTCTATTAGGGCAATGAACTTACACATGAAAACTTAAGGGAAAAAAGCTTTACCCCAGTTTAGTATTATTTTTGAATAATTCTAGCCTTGAACCCACAGGGTCAAAAGAACTTATGGATATTTCTCATTTTACCACTAAGAGACACTGTAATTAATGAACCAATATTTTAATACCCATCAGTTGTTTATAGATTATAAGCTCCATCAGAGCAGAGATGGTACCCTGTGTTTAATATATACTTGTTTAATGAATAAATAAGCAAATAGATGACTTTTTGGTTAAACAGCCAAAATATAATTTAAATATGAAACCAATGTCAGGACTTTGTTGTGCCAGGTATTTTGAGATACTTAGGAATCAAACAATCAATTCCACTTGTCATGTGTTGCTGGCACAGCTGAAAACTACCATTTGGTGTGTGCAGGCAGATAGAGATCTTTCAAGGGGTTCTTATTTTTAATAAATGGAAAGATCATTTTTTTGGTTTTTTGCTTTGTTGTTTGAGTCTTCTAAGTAGAATTTATTTACTGGCCTACAAATGTTGGGCCTGAGGTATAAAAATGTAAAAGACTCTATCTACATAGGCAAATTAAATTAGAAGTCTGAATTATGATAGGTCCACAGAATTTATTAATCAACAAAATAGACTCATTTCTACCAACTTAACCTCTATTAAATATTGGTCCTATAATCAGTCCTGTATATGGAAGTATCTATTTTTTCTAGAGTATGAAATAACAGTAGTCTCTGTCTACCTTCATAATTCTAATGTTTTGTGCCACTGGAACTGCCTGGGATTCCAACTATAGCTGTTGAGCTCCCTCTGGATGTAGCTGAAGTTCTGTTGGAGGTAGACCATTATACCAAGGATCACAGTCAGGCTTATTTAAATGTAGTTGCTATAGTAGTCACTGACTTGGCAGCCCAGGGAGTAACCTCTTCCATGGTAATCCGTAATGACAATCCCTTATCAAAGCAGGATCCTCACTTTGTTGTGTACTCATCCCAAGGACTGTGCTTAAATGCCTTCAGCAAGTAGCTCAGTTTTCCCCTCTGCCAGCCATCATCCCTTTCATCTTCATAATACGTTTCGATAACTCTTCCAACTCTGCAGCCTGAACCATCTATATTGTAACCCCCAATTTAGAGATTGAAACTACTCAAAATTGCATTGTATCCTGAATCTCAAGCTCTAATTCATGAGTAAATGTAATTCAGGTTGAGATGAAAATAATGAGTAAAATTAGAGAGGAGTAAAATTTAAAAAGGAAAAATGATCCTTTTGAATATTAAGAGACATAAGCATGTCTTAACAAACAACAGCGAGTAAAAGAGAGTGCAAAAGCCATTCAACATGGCAAGGTAAAAGGTGATAGAGTAGAATCAAGAGTTCAGAGTCAGGAGATAAGCAGTAGAGGGCATTAGGAGTTTCGGAAGTCACACTAAGAAGTTTGGACTTTATCTTAAAGCTATTGAAGGCCTTTCAGCAGGGTTGTAAGAAGATAAAATTTGTGATTTTTGGAAACATAATCTGGCTCTAGAATGGAGTAGGGATTTGAACAAGATAAGGCATGTGGCCAGGAGCCCTGTAGGAAGATGTTGCAAGAATCTGATGAAGACATATTGGTGACCTGAGCTTGAGTGTGGCAGTAAGAACGAGGAGAAATGGATGAACTGGGGAGAATTTCAGGAAAGAGAATTGGTAAGCATTGGTGATAAATAGAATCAAAGGGTGAGGGAGAGGGACTTGCTAGAAATGATTCCCAGATAAGTGGTTTAGGCAACTGGATGATGGAAGACAGTGTTTAGTTCAATTTTAGAGAAGTTTGAGGCAGCTGTCAGAAATCCAAATAGAAATACACATAAGACATTTAAATAGTTGTATCTGGAACACAGAAGAAAGGTTTGAGTTAGAGATACAGATTGGGGAACACGTATGTACATAGATGGTAGTTGAAACAAAAGAATTAGATAAGATGGCTAAGGGAACAAACAAAATGAGAAAATAAGAGTGTTTATGACTCAGACTTAGCTCTCTAGAAAGCAGACCCTTGGGTTGAAGCTGCTGTCCTACAATTTTTTTTATTTTATTTTATTATTTTTTTTTTTTTTAGAGAGAGTGCAATCACATGGAAGCAGGGATGAAAAGGGGGAATTAGATAAGGAAGAAAAATGAGCTAACAGAAGCTTGTTTTACCCAGTTGGATGCTGCTTAATATTAAGTGGGACCATTCTTCAAGAGACGTGAGCTCATAACTGGGTGGGGAAGGAGTCAGAAAGGAAGACTATATCACCCCCAAATCCTCCATTGGTCAAATACTTGCCCTAGTGTCATTAACTTTTTCACTTTTCCCACCCTTCAATACACACATCTCTGCTTTTGAGTTGCTCCTTGCATGGGTGACAAGTAGGATCTGTAGCATCTTATGAATCACTGGCCACAGGAAAGCCACAAGTTGGAAGGCAAGAGGCTTACAGTGGGCATGATGGCGCTGCTGGTCAGACCCATGTGAATTTAGTCAGGCAGTCACTAGCAAAGCCCACCCAAAGCTGGTCACCATGGTAGTGGCAGGAGTGAAACAAAGGGGAAAGGACTTCAGAGATAGGTAAAGCCAAGAAGGCCCAAGTTGGTTGATAAAAAGTAAGTGCATTCTCTAGATCAGATGTCTAATACTAATATTATTAGTATTAGTAATAATATTAGTATTAGTACTGACAAACACTAATACTTATGGGATGGGCAGAGGAAGAGAAGTGGTAAAGGAGACTAAACATGGGTAAGAAATAACTGCTAGAAAGATGGAGGCAAGGGAGTGACTGAAAATGAGGAGTGACTAGCAAGTGGAGAGATAGGTGTGCTACATTCCAGCAAGATGAATGATTCCCCCAAATTTTCCACCTTTGTACCACTGTTAATTATGTTCTCTCTTCATTAAGTATCTTCTGCTCAATTCCATTCCTCCCAATCTGTCCTTATAATTTTACCCATTTAGCAAGTAATGAATCACCTCACTCAGCAAGTTTTTCATTTTCTTCTCCATTCAAACCAGAGGTCATTTCTCCTCATCAATCCTCTTATAGCACTTACAACACCTTTCCCTTCGGGGTGTTGTTACCCATGTATATGTTTTAAACTTTTGGTCATCTTTGTTTCTCCTTCAATGCTTTGACAGTCATAGGGGCCCTCAGGATATTTGTTGATTGTAAATGACATGAAGGATGAAATAATCATTGAAAAGCTATGCTCAGAGATTAATCAGCTAGCTAATATTTCACAGGGCTAAGTTCCATAATGATTGTCACTTAAGTCCAGAGTTTAAGAAGGCGATGAGTTTTCAAGGCCAGAAAGTGAGAACGAGCTGGGGTTTTCTCTTTTTGTCTTCCTCTGCCTCAATTTTTGTCTGCGTCTTCTATTTTCTCTTATTTACCCTTTACTATTTACTGCTATCTCCTTTCTTCATTCTTCATGGCTATCCCTCATTCTCTCCCCATTTCCTATTAAGCCCATCTGTCCTTTCTCCTTCCTCCTTTGCCTTCCAATTTTTAGAGTTTTTTTAAAGCACCTATTATGTATAAGACATTTAAAGGGAAATTACTGACCTGAAGGAAAAGGAAATCTAGTTAAGCACAGACATCTTGATACAATTTTAATCAAGAGTCTTCTATCAATACCTTTTATTTCTGCTTTCTCTTCTCTTGCCTCTTGTCATCCTCATTCTTGTCTCCAATTCCTGACAAGTGCAGGTCATTTCGACCGATCAATCGAGTGCACTATAGTTTTCGGTTTGCAAGCTTGAGCTTCAACCACAAGCACGCTTTTGTGCAAGGCCAATTCTACCACTTGCCAGCAGAGTAACCCAGGGCAATTTATTAAGCCTCAGTTTCCTTATAAGAAAAATGAGAATAATAATAATAATATTTACTTCATAGTACTCTTGTGAGATTTAGAGATAATGACATAACTGTCTGGTACAGAGGTATATATAGATCAATAAACAAAACTATGATAATGATAATCACACCATAGTATATCATCATTATTAAGTCACAGTCTACATTTTACATTTGAAAACAAGATTTGAGATGATTATAGCTGCTAGAAATCATAGACAATGAAACAAAGCTGTTTATATATCATGTGGCTTTTAGTAGGGGTACGAATGGGTAGAGGAATTATCTCACTCTATGGGAACCAATATGGGAGCATTTGACTGAATTTGAATGGGGGAGAGGCAATATTCCACTCTTCATCCTCCTAACGTTCCATCCTTCCCCTTACAATGACTAAGTAAAGTATGTCTCCTCAAATAAGAAGGGAGAGTGTTTTATGTTTAAATTTAGTCCCATGCTATAAATTTCTAACTCTACCCAGGGACATGGGCTGTTTCTGTTAAGAAGATCCCACAAAAGGGTCAGGCTAATGTTTTTCCAGACTGTGTTTTTGGTATGCTATTGGCACCGACAGTCCCTATGGTTACACATTCTGTTAGCCAGAGCACTTCCTTCAAGCAAGCAGAGCTATAGGAAACAGAATGGAGGAGGCAGCAGAAAAATGGCCAGCAAGCAGTCTTGTCAGGAAAAGTAATGGGGTTCAGAATGATTTATGAAAGAATGACTTGTGAAACAGAGACTGGCAAAGGCAGGAGGAATAATAACATGTTGAAAAGACTCTGGAATAAAGGGAGAAAAGAAAGCATTTGCTAAAAAAAAAAAAAGAACATGGGGTAGAAAAAGTAACAAATTCAAAGATAGATTGCAGTGAATTTTGTTTTCAGTTCCTAAATTATTATGTGGAGAAGAAAGGACATTTAATTTGTAAACTTAAGACATTTGGGGCTATTTTAATGCTCAAAAATTTATTTTCTAAAATTTGGATGTTAAACCTGTCTGATGATTTAGAGTCCCCATACCTCCAGCCCCAGAGAAATAGTTCTTCAGCTTTTTGGAACCATAAGACACTCTTAATAATCTAATGAGGAGTTGTAAACCCTTCCCCCTAGAAAAAAATGCACTTATAAACAAAATATTACTTGGATAATTTTAGTGGTTTATGGACATGGACACACTAGTGTATTCAAGGACTCCAATATTCTCTGTTAAAGAGACTGAAATAAAATCTTTTACTTTCATTTGACTGATAGCTTATCTGAAAGACATCACTATTTTCCGAAAAGAATAGTGATATCTTCAAATGGTAAGCCTTGGGAAGAACAGCAAATTTCTACTTAATCTCAAACTCTAAAAAAAATTAAAATCTTCACGTTGTTTATGTTATACTACAAATTAAATATAACATTAGCAGGGCTGTCAGATCGACTTCACAACCTCTGCTTATGTGTTTTCTCTAAGGGCCCGAATTACATAAGAGAAAATAAAAATTGTGCATTTCAGCTGTTCTACTTTACGTAGATTGCTTGTCTAGTCAGAGGCAAGGTGTCTTCAGGGAGAACAGGGCACAGAGGGTAGAGGCTGGAGGAGGCAGGGCGGAGAGAAAAAGGGCCAGAGAGGGACTAGGAATTAGAGAGAAATTTAGAAACCTCCTGTACATGGTGAATAAATGGTGAACATAGGAAGTGCAGACAATTAAAATCAGGAAATAGCCAAAACACACAATCAATTTGATATAAGGACTCTGTACAGAGTAAATCTTAAGACCCAAAAACTAAATTTAAGGAATTACGAATTGCTAAATGCAATGTAGGATCCTAGATTGAATCTTGGGATAGAAATGGTTCATCAGTGGAAACACTGGGGAAATCTGAATAAAGTTTATAATTCAGTGAATAGTATTGTCCCAGTGTTAGTTTTTAATTTTTATAAATGTGTCATGATTATGTAAGATGCTGACATAGGAGAAGTTGGGTAAGGGTTTACTGCAACTCTCTGTACTATCTTTGTAACATTTCTATACATTAAAATAATTTTAAAGCAAAAGGTTAACATTTTTAAAAATGAATCCTGAATAGAGAAATTAAAATAGATCTTGAATACATTATTAAATAATCAAATGTGGTTTCAGAAAACTAAGTGCTAATCCATCCCGCTTTGAAAGAAAGATTTCACCTGGTTCCTCAGCCTGCCCTGGCATTTTGTCTTCCTGTTGTCATAGTCCCACTTTGTATCTAATCTGGTCCCTTTTACCAGGCTTCATTTCATCCACAAGGAAAGAAAAATGCCTGGGTGACCATGCCTTACTTAGCCTTTCATATTCTTGATTTAGCAATTCTATTTCCTGAAGCAAAAAGGTTCCTCTTTAACCTTTCCCATCAATGAAATTAATCCAGCAATTAATCATTTCTGTTCTTTTCAAGCTTGCTTCAAAATTTCAGTTCCTCCTAAGATCCTATCCATGCACGTTCAGTTTAATTGGGTGGAAAAATATCTAATGTGGACTATTAAATGGATGTCTTGGTGTATATGAGCAGTAGGGGAAGAAAATACTGCTTTTCCAATGTTTAAGGAATGATATTGGCTGGCTGAATAAAAACAGATTCATTGAACATTTTTACATACTCCAATACAACAAATATGTATTGAAAGCCTTTTACAAGCCACATGATGGAAAAACAAAGATAAATGAAATCCCTAACTTCCAAGAGAGTCCATTCTATGGAAGACACAACACAGCCTAGCAGAGAGGCAATTTCAGTGTGTTAATTGCTATTAGAGAAGTATAGTATAGGGTCTGATGGGATTGTATAAGAAAGGCATTGGGACTATGGCCAAATGCACATTCAATCATTCTTTTACCAAGTTTTAAACACTTATGAAACACACTGAAATAGTGCTTTCCCATGGCTTTTTTAACAGATGCTTTTTCCCTATACACAAAGGATCTTTAAATTGTTCTACTCTAGACACAAAGCATCTGTGACATGCCATTTTCTGTGAAACACATTGTTGCATTTTTGTCTAACATGTTATTTTCCCAATGACTATTTATCAACTGCTCTATGTTTGTCTAATGAACAAAAAGTGCAAGGCAAGGAAATAAACCTCAGCAAAACAATGAAAAGGCAACCATGCATCATCGATTTAGCAGGGGAGGAAAGGAACAAATAAAAACAGCACAGAGACTCAGTTGATTCTGAATACCAGGAAACAGCATCTGTGTTTCTCAGCAAGTAAATAGCATGAACTCTGCCAACTAGTTGGAAGCACTGAGAAAAAATAAAAAGCCAGCCAAGTTTTAATTTAAAAAAAAAAAAAAACTATTCAGCTGTATTCAGGTGATCCAACAGGACACAGTCACAATCAAGAGGCTAGCAAAGAAGCAATAATAAGATTATACACACAGTACAAATTCCTGTCCATACACAGTAACTTGTTTTACCATTACCAGTAATTCAACCAAGGAAAATATTTTAATATCTAGAGCTACTCATGTATCAGTCAGCTTGGATTGTCATAACAAAATACCATTGACTTTAGAAGTTTTTATTTCCCACAGTTCTGATGCAAATAACGGGTAGAAAACAATATAAAACCACAGGTTAAAAAATAGCTTCTGGATACACATCTTCTAAAAGCAATCAACTAATTGCAGCATGTCTAGAGGTGTCAGTACCTTAGGCTTACCTTCCTGATTATTAAAACAAATAGAGTATCCTAGGGAACCAGCCTATCACACATGATAGGAAATAATGTAGTAGTAGGATTAGGACTAGGCAAAAGGCAGCAGACGCAAAGACGGTGCTAGTAGATGAATAGTATTTAAAAATATGAGAAATAGTAACTTTCTAAACTTACATTCAAATTAAAATAATGTACTGATTTTCTGAAGGTAGCTTTGGAAGAATGTTTAAAGGCATATTATCAGGACGTGTGTGTGTGTGTGTGTGTGTGTGTGTGTGTGTGTGTGTGTGTATTTCCCCAGTTCTATCCTGAATGTCTGGAGTGCCTTAAGATGGCACATTTTAACCTCCCTAATCTAGGCATCCATATTTATTATGTAGAATTGTAACTGCATCAAACTAATCTGGTTCAACTTTTATGTAACAAAGTTGTGAGTTGTTTTTCAGTTTCCATGGACTCCAGGTTGAAGGTCAGGTAACCTGAGCATGTCCGGATGAACCAAGTGTGCAAACCTGGGTGGAGCCTAAGTGCTCTGACCAGGAGTGAGGACTGAATTAAGAAGCAGACACCATATGGCAGGATCCAGGGGCCAATCAGATACAGTCGTGTCATCACCCCATGGCAGGATCCAATCAGATCATGCCTCTTGGCATCACTGCATTGAAAATTCAATCAGATCACATCTCATTACCCTATGCTTATACGACTTGACCCAGCCCCTGGTTCAGGGAGGCACTGGTTTAGGGACTATCCCAATGTTCTCCTTACTTGTTATAAGTAATAAAATCTCCCTGCTAAATGCTCCTTGGTCAGTGTCATTAGGCTTATACTCACCAAGTGACCAAACCCCCCCATTGTGTGAGTAGCAGAATGTATTGACAAATATTTTTCCATAACTTATTAAAGTGAAATGAAGTAAAATATATAATACTTTAACAAAGAATGATTTTTTAATGTGATAAAAGGAACTCTAGCACAAACACAAATATAGCTCATAAATTTGGACAATGTACTTAGCTTCACTAGTCATAAAATTCCTCAAACGTAAAATGAGGACATTAAAATCTGATATCTTAAGATTCCTTTGAATTTTGAGACTACATGTCTTTTTTATATGACTGAACTTCTAAGTATAAAGACTGCAGAGACTCTTTGATTAGATAAAATGTTAAGCATTTTAAAAAACATTCTACCTTAAAAATACCATTTTACTTTTTGTACCATTTACATTTCATAATTTCTCCCATTTTTGTGATTTTCACATTTAATATGTTGTATATAATGCTATAAAAATAGATTGAAGTTTTAAGGAAAGTTCATTATTATTAAAAGTTTAGTACTCTGAGTCTGGGCTTTCTGACAATAAAATACACCAGAGCAAAAGCCCAAGGAAGTACAACAAAGAGGTATACTAATTGACAAAATAGCTGCTGCAACATGCCACAGGCACTTCAGGCCTAACATTTCTGAAAAAGCATGGAACATGTGGATTCCCGGGAAAAAACTGCCTCAGATCATTTGTAAGAGGAAGAAATAGTAAGTGACCTCTCTAACCAAAACTGGCTAGTAGATACTACATCTTTCCCGTGGCATTTTTGTTTGTTTGCGTGTTATTGAGAACAGGGCAAGGAAAGGCACTGTTTTCTCCAGGTAGTTGTTTTTGAACAAGTGAGGGCAAGCTATACCCCTGCATCAGTACTTTGTGGCTGAAAACCCTCCCTCTGAAGGCTATCCATGTCAAAGCGGGTGGAGACCTCACAGTGCACTAATAATGTGTCATCCTTAATGAAAGTTCTTTGTCTTAGGGCTTCCAGATGCATAAAAGTTACATAGCCAAAACCTTTTGGGTTCCGTGGGATTGTGGGTCGCTGGAAAGCAAGCAGCTCTGGTTTGGCATCCATTATCTCTTCGTGGTTTTTGCCTTACAGGTGCTTGAGACTGATCAAGAATTGTAAGGCATATTGTATCCTGGAAGGGCCAAGGGAGGTGGCTGTCATACTCTCCTTGCATTGTGTGGACAAAAAGGGATATATAGTTTGCACAGCGCTGAGCAGTCGGTAACGGAAGGTGCAAGCGCATGCACAGTTTGTACCTGTGTTTACCCGTGTAGAATCCAGGGCTATGAATCACAACAGGTTTCTGCTCTTCTTAACATTTCAAATTCATTCCCAATCTTCCAAATGTAAATTCCATTGCACTGCTGTGCTTCAATTTCAGCAACTTTGTCCTCAAGGGTTCGAATGGTTCGTTTGAGCTCACTTACATACATACTCTGAGTTTCCATTTTATCAGTCAGCTCCCGGATTTGATGACATTGTCTTACAAGGCGACCCTCTAACTGGTGAATACTTTCCTGGAAATTCCGGACCTCTGAGATATACCCAGAGTCGGGTATAAGGCTCAAACTATGAACAGCCTGGGCCAACATTCTCATGTTTGATTGGGTGTTCTCTTGTAGGTGGCGTGCCAAGTGATTCCTCCGCATCTTTTCATGGCTACGAAAAGTACGGAATGTGCATGGAATTGGGGCTGTAGGGCGGTCTAGGTCATAAAGTTAGGCATCTGTTCTCTGATGAGTATAGTATTGCAGTACTCACAGATGACATTTGCCAAAGGGCAGTTCTGGTCATGGATCTTTTTATCTTCAAATGCCATTGATGCAGCACAGTTGTCACAAGATACCTGCCTCCTTGGACAACCCTTCATAATGTAAATATTAATATGGAATTTTTGGAAGGGAGGCTGGCATTGGGGACAATCCATAAGAGCAAACTCACAATGTGTTTGATGATCCTCAAGATGTCTCAGTTCCATCTTGTGCAAACAACCTTCATTTGGACACTTCACTATCAGAGAAATAATCTCACGTTTTGCAAAATTGTCTGGAAATAGTTAATTTTCCAGCAGTATTTCATTGTCAACTGGATATTTGTGACCTGCATCCCTTATTGATTTTATGATGCAGGCTTTGCAGAACCTATGGCTGCATGGCGTTTGCACTGCTTCTCGTAATGCCATCAAGCAGATGGGGCATTCATACTTGCTTTCCAGGGGTGGGCCAAACTCTACATCATATCCCTGGATCTCCTCCATAAAGGAGCTGAAGAGGTTCCCCGTGCTGGCAGTTCTGCCCACACTATCATTTTTTGTTGCTGCGCTACAGGAGCTGGCCATGGCCACACAGTAGTCACTTTGAGACTGGCTGGATCCACACCTGTTTTCACAGTTTAGCAGACTTATAGTAACTTGATTATCACTTGCTCGCTCAAGTGCACGGGGCGGGCGGCCGAACCAGGCGGGCAGGCGCACGACTCTGCTCAGCCAAGGCGCTGGTAGAGGACGGACACAGAGGCTGCTTGGACGTCAAACTCTGCAACCAAAGGGCGCCGTCGCCACCTCCGCGGGCCGCCCGCAGGCCAAGCCCCAGCTGCGGACACCACTGCTTCCGCCTTCTCTAAAACATTTTTTCGCATTACACCCTGTGAGAAAGATTCCAGTCTCCACTCTGCAAATGAGAAAACTGAAGAAAAGACAGGTGAAGTGATTTAGTTGAGCTTGTACCACTAGCCAGTGGATAAGACTCTGATCGCCCTGTTTGACTCTAAATCCAGTATTGTTTCTCTACCTGTCTGATAGTATATTCTACTCTTCAGTCCACACGAATACCATTTTTTAATGGGAAATGAAAAATTATTCTTCAGTCAATTATAGTATTACATAAGAATTTATTGAATATTTATACTCCTTCGCTGAGCTTTGGCATTATATTAATTAAATCAAAGTCCCTGCGGGATCCCTCTCTAGAAAGAAAATATGAATCTATAGACATGTTTGTAAAACTGAAGTTTCCAGCACTTTGTAGTATTTTCCATTTACCCACCTTACTCATTTCTACTCCTCTTTAATTTCTACACTTTTCATATACTATCAGACAGAAGATGCCTTCTTTGATATTACCTAGAGTTTACTTACAATTATGCACTGACTTGAAGTCATGGCAAGAGGTAAACCTGCAAGGGGAAGGTGTAGTATATGATATGATTACTTCTGTGTGTGGCTTCTTGGTCCAGATACATGAGAACTGGTTGCTTTGTGTTGCTAAGCTAATTATAGAATAATATGGTTGGCTGAAGAATAATTTTTTAATTTACATATAAAAGGATGGAACATAAAGTCTTGTTTGCATGAGCAGCTACTCAAATAAGTTCTAACGATAGTGGACATAATAGAAGTTCTGATGAAACATAACAATTGAACAAATAAGAATAATTCACTAAAGGAGATTTCATAACATTATACTGTCTCCATGTGATAGAACGATCACCTCCTCTTTGCATGCTAGACCGCTGAGAGTTGACCATGCAGTGTACCAGTATAATTGCTACACAGTATTTCTGCTCTTTGAAACACTAGGAGATGAGAAAGATTTAGAAAAACACATCCTAAATAATATTTATCTTTATTATTGATAGACAATTGAAAATACTGGGAGTTTGAGGGAAGAGTATAGCTTGGTGGTTAAGAGCACTAACTGGGAAGATACATTATATTAAAAATAATGGGCTAAGAAGGGAGACGTATTTGGCAATGAAGGACTAAATTCCAAACAAAATAAACAAGCTAAGGAAAAAGAATGTTCTCTAGGTCCTGGACTAGGCTGTGACTATAGGGTTAAGATAAAGGGATGGCCTGGACTTGATATATGGGTCACCAATGAGGCTATATAACTGGGAACTCTCATTCCTCTTCTATTAATAATTTATTAAAATGTATGGAGAAGAACCACATTCTACTCGAATATCTCCATATCCATAAACAAAGCTTTCTAGCAGTTTTTATTGCCAAGCCCTTCAGGGAAGACAATTACCTTTCTACTTAGTTTAATTTGGCAACTGAAGTCAGAAGAGTAGCTCCTTCAGAGTCTTGGGGTCAGGGAATACTTCTAAAAATATAATTCATTTTTTGCCTACAGGACCATTTGTATTAAAACGAATTGCTCAGTTTCATTTGTAGGAAAAAAAACACATTTTACACTGCTGAAACACAGCTGAGAGGCATTTTTGTCAAATAATTCTTAGGCATAAGAGAAGATGTATGAAAGTGCTTTCATTAAAAGGTAAGGGATCCTTTATTAGTATTCACTCTTTGTGGTCACTGGTTTATGGAAAAATTAGAAGGGAAAAATGAAGCAAGGGAAAAGAAAATGCTAGTGGCTGTTATGTTTGTTTTGTGTTTTTACAACACTAGACAGATGCTACACATCCCTAACTGTGCTTACATAATATCAGGTTATATAAGAAACACCTTACATAATTATTAGTCAGATTATACGGTCTTATGTTTACCATGGAAATATCTATATTCTGCTCCTAAGGCTATGAAATGCTATTTTATGCCTTGAAGGAAGCAATTAATGGACAGGCTAGAAATAAATTTCAATTTCCTTGGAATTTGTTACTAATATTGATGATTTGTTGCATATCCTAAACTCCTTTGACAACAGAAACAGTTTAAGGCAACTCTACCAACCAAAAAGACATATATTTACTCTCTATAACATCAATATTTAAATTTTATTCTAGTGTGTTTAACATAGATATAAATGATTCTGTTTTAACTTCAGTATATCCATGTTTTAACTTATTGTTTTATTAATTGAGATCTCTCATTAGAACATTGAGATCTCTTTGAGCTTATTTGGCCTTATTTTACTGTTTGCACTTACATTTGAAAACATTACAGCAATATGTATTTTGATTTTGCCTTTTTATTATATGCATTTTGTTTTATAACATAAATATTGAACTATTACTTTAAAAACTAGATAAAATAACCAAGAGTGATATCAATATTTAAGTAAGCTATTTGTCTGGAAAGATCCTAAGATAAAGTTATCTAAGTAAATTTTGAAATAGCATTCTCTGGAGATAATCAACGAGACTAAATGCCATGATTCAAGGAATCTAGCCGTAGTTAATAATAATTCAACATTGTTAATGTGAGCTGTGACTGCAGCTTGGTCATATCCCATCTCTTCAAAAGGACGAATACACTTGAATTTTTATTTTGCAATCGTACAGAATATTTTATAGGCATGAAAAACACAAATCATGGGTGACAGGCCATGTGATTTTTTTTTTTTTAGTTCAACTAATGGAACTTGGGATTTTAAGTTTAAAAATGAAGAAGTCTCAGGCAAACTAGGATGACTTGATCATCCTACTAATTTTCCTTGCCTATTCTGCCTACCTGGGAAGTGAATGTAATGCCCAAGAATATATGTTTCAACTTGAAACTATAAAAATAAAAGGTTTATTCAAATAGCAGAGCAGATAGAAAAAAATACGTTCTTAATGACCTGTCTGAGCAGCTATATCAGTTTTGAATTGTCTACCCCTGAATTTTATATTAGGTGAGAAAAACAAACCCAGTTTTGCTCAAATCACTGTAGTAGTATTTTCTGTTAAATGCAACCAAATGCATTCCCAACACTTGGACACATCTAGTTGAATCTAGAGACTCAGATTAATCAGCTGAGTCTTGATCGATGAGTGAGAATTAACGAGGTGAAGAAAGGCTTTTAGACTGAGGTTGAGCTACAGTAGGCACTGCATGGAGCGACTAAAACTCCAATAGAAAACCCACAGTCTCTCTCACATGAAGAAACAGAGGTCAATGTATAGTACAACCACAGCCACTGAAATTTAAGTGTGTTTTTGAGAGAAAGGAGGGGGCATTATTTAACAAAAGAGAAATCCAGCAAACACTGAAGGCAGCCAGAGGAAAATGACCTATAAACACAAGGAAACAATAATTCAAATGACTGCTCGATTCTCTTCAGAAACAATGGAGGCCAGAAGACCGTGGAATAAAATCATTTAAGTGCTAAAGAAAAAATCCATCAACCGAGAATTCTACATCAAGTAAAAATATCCTTCAAAAGTGAAGATAAAATAAAGACATTTTCAAATAAGTGACGAAAATTTACTATTAGCTGACCTGCACTACAAGAAATGTTCAAGGAAGTTCTCAGGGTGATGAGAAATAGTATTAGCTGGAAGCTCAGAATTTGAGGAAGAAATAGAGAGAATATGAAGTGGCAAATATATTGGTAAATATAAAAGACATTATCTCCTCTTATTAAAATACATATAATTGTTTTTAAAATTATACCATCGTGTTGTGGGATTTAAGTATATAGATGTAATTCATATGACAAAGGATGGAGAGTTGCAGTAAATGACCCTATACATATACAAAGTTTCTATAATTTATATTAAGTAATATTAACCCTCAGCAGACTGTAAAAAGTTTATTGTGTATGTTGACAGATATAGCTAAAAAGTCAATGGATATATCAAAATGGAATCCTAAAAAAATACAAATAATCCAAAAGAAGGAGGAACAAAGGTTAAAAGAATAGTACAAGCAAAAATCAAATAATAAAACATGATATCTAAATCTAATCATATCAATAATTGCAATAAATGTTAATGAGCTAAACACTCAAATTAAAAATTAGGATTTTGATGAAGGATTAACAAGAAAGGCTCATAGACAATGAGAATGCACTTTAAACATAAATACATTAAAAGTAAAGGGATGGGAAAGATATATTATGCAAACAATAAGCATAAGAAAGTGATGAGAAGGGACTCAATATCAGTATCAGATAAAATAAGACTTCAAGACAAAATAAAACCATATACAAAAAGGAACACTTTATAATGATAAAAGTTCCATCCATAGGAAAGACATAAAAATCATGAATACAGGTATACTTAATAATAGAGCATCAAAATGTATGAAGCAAAAAAGAACAGAATTAAAGGCAGCTATAGATTATTTCATTATTATAGAGATACCAACACTCTTCCCTCAGCATTTGATAGAAGAGCTAGGCAAAATTCAAAAAAGACATAAGTGATCTGAACAACACTATCAACCACCTGAACCAAAATAATACCCACAACTATAGAATACACATGATTTTCAAGTGTACATGCTATGTTCACCAAAAAAGGAAACAAACCATACAAAGTATGTTTTCTGACCACAATGGAATTAAGTAAGAAATCAGTAGCTATAAGATATCTAATAATTTACTGGAGGCAAATTAGAGGGATATGAAAAGATAAACTTACTGTAAGGTGGACTGAAAGATAGTACTGTTGAAATTTAGTCCAGATATTATTACATGGAAAATATTTATCAAAATAATATTTTAAAAAGCATTATTACAAAATATTCAAACTCCAAATTTTGGGTAATAATCAGAGCTTACAAAGTTTACCTTAGTGTGAAGATTCTTAAGTAAAATATGAAATGTGGAGGAAGAAACTACCAAATAGATTAACACTTTAGGTAATATCCACATTTCTAGGAAAGGTAAATACTGGTCATTTCATTCAAAAGTCCTTGTAGAGTGTCTATATTGAGAAAAAGGAGCCTCATGACTCCAGGTCTTATTAAATTTGGGGAACCCAGAATATAGCAGTTAAACTCCTTGTATTTTAGTGTCCTGTTTATTCTTATCAACCTTGGCCATGAGCTCTTAGAAGGATTAATGAACTAACTATTAGGGGTTATTTGAGAAGATGGTGTTCACTTAGGTTTTAAGTCCTTAGAGTAAAAGTACTATTGGATGTTCAGTAGTTATATTGTGTGCTTTTCTTCTAGAGCAGAAGTTTATGAGTACAAATCTTGTCTGATCAGTCTCTTATATCTGGTGTTGCATAAAGCTAGCATTTACTCTGAGAGGTCTAAAAAAGGAAAACCCTAGGGACTAGAGGCATAGACTTTAATCATCTGGCTGACAGGCTATGAGTGATACTTTCAAAGCTGGGGAAGTAAGTGGTAGTTAAAATATGTCTAGAATAGACCTTAAGTGACCTTGTTGGCCATTTCTTGACTAAAGACTACAAAGTATAGAATTTTGATCCAATAAATGGTCGCACTGTAAAGGCAGGGAGTTCTGTGTGTAAAAATAAAGTAAGGTTTTTATTTATACCTTGGGAAACTTATTTAATTTAAAAAACGCAAGAGTGGCTTGAAAATGTTTATTGATTCCTCAGTGTAGAATCACATTTCAGTGAAGCATATTCATAAAACAGATTCAAGCAAGATAACTGTGCAATGTGTTTGTCAAAAAAGGATCTGACTATATCAAATCCTTTTATCCTATGTTTTCATAGTACCATGTTCCTTAAATTGTTGCAATTTTACAGTTGTTTCTATAATTTTGAATACACTTTTCTCCTATACTAGACTGTAGGTTATAAGGGCAGACATCATGCTCACTTTGCAAACATTTCTATTTCCAGCACTTAGCATACTGACTAGCAACAAAGTAGCCATTCAGTAAATATATTAAAAGGAAAAATAATGATCAACTTGTATTCTTTCAGCCCTATTCATATTTCCTCATCCATAATGGATCCATAATGTTTTATTATTTGGATAATAAAACATCATTAACAACTTTCATAAAATTTAAATTAGATAACATACACTAAAGTTCTTTATAAACAACAAATTCCTTTGCAGATCATATGCTATCATATTATTTTTATAATCTCTAACCCCATTATGTATCTCAATCTTTGCCAAGAGTTCTCATTTCATTCCTTTCCTCTCCTCTTTTTTTCCTTTGCTCTGTCCCTTTCTCTGTATCTTTATCTGCTACCTTTTTGTTCGTTACCTCCCACTTGATCCTCCTTCCTGAAACAGTGATGACGATGATGATGAGATAACACCACCACAGCTGAGGATACAGAATTGCGTAGTATTTCATCAGGATAATAAGGGTGTATGTACTGGAAATGAAAGTACACATAGTCATGGTTCCCAAAATCTGTAGAACTGCATTTTTTGTCAGTTTCTCCACATTCTATCATATTTAATACCTACATTTTTCTATCTTTGAAAAGAATAAAAGAAAAAAACACTGTTGTTCCACTATTTCTGCATGTCAGAAAAAGAAGTTATTTTATAATAATCTCTCTCTTCCTTTCAACTATGTACTATCGTGTAAGACTTGAGTTTCATCCAGTTAGGAATCATTTCACCATTGAAACCCAAACAGTAAGTCCTTGCATAATGTCTTTGGGTTCAGCATTATAGCTCTTTCACATATCTGCAGCTAGTGAAGGGTGAAACAAACCATTTTTGGTCTAGCACATAAACTGTGTCCATTGTTTTCATCATCATTTTTGTGGTTTTTAAAAATTAAGTTTAAGTATAAAGACTTGTAAAGCCAAGACAATATCTGATTTTTTGTCCTGTGTTCACCATATTAACAGTGCATAGTAAACTGTCTACAGGTTAGTGACTTAAAGCAACAACTATTTTATTTGCTCAGAAATTTGTACAAGATAGAGTTGAGTGGTTTTTCATCTCCATGTGGCATCATGGAGTCATTCCTATGGTTGCATTTAGCTAATGGGTCTGCTGGATCCTGAGCTCAATTGTAGCACTGACAAAGCTGGGGCTTGAATGTTCAAGATGGCTTCACTGACATATAAGGTGGCTCAGCTGCATAACTAGAACAATTAGGAGCTGGATGGGCATCTCACTCTCTCTTGCATGGTTTCTCCAGTAAGGTGGCTGGATCTCTTTACATGATGGTTCAAGGCCTCTAAGAAGGAGGAAGCAGAAATTCTCTTAAAGCCTAGCATCAAGCCACACAGCCTCATTTTTCCCACATTCTGTTTGTCAAAGCCAGTCACAGAGACAACCCAGGTTCAAGCAGCAGAGAAAGATTTCACTTCTTGATGGGCAAATGTCAAGGTCTCCTTCCAAAAGAGCATGTGAAATGGAAGATACAGTTGTGCTAATCTTTAGAAACCAAATCTACCATACTTGGGTATATTTCCTATTGGGTAGTTTTCTTTGAGTGAATTTGGAATCGTCTTCTTCAGGAAGCAGGAATCTTAGAATCTGCCTAGCTAACATCTCAACCAATCAATAATCTTATATGTAACATCCGTGGCATATAACTGCTCTATGTCCAAAAACTTACTGTGACGGGGAACATAGCACTTCAAGGAACAATTCATTTTTGGACCACTCTAATTTCTTGTGATTTTCTTAATTAAGATCCAAGCAAGATCTACAAATTGCATTTGGTCAAAAAATGTCTCAGTTACCTTTTAATCAACAACAAAAAACCTTTTTTTGTTGTCGTTGTTTTTTGCCTCTCTCCATCACTTGCCATTTATTTGCTAAAGAAACTGGCTCATTTATCTCATAGAATTTTCCCCAGACTGGATTTGGCTTGTTGACTCCTGGAGATGTTGGTTAGCATATTCCTCTATCCTCTGTATTTCCTGTAGAATGATCATTGATGCCTGATTGAACGGAAATTCATTTTTCTTGGCATGAATACATCATAGGTGGTACCCTATACTATTGATCACATTGTGACAAGAGGCACATAATGCATAGTTGTCTCTATTTTGGCGATTTAAAATGCATCAGTGGGTACAGATACTGTCAGCCTAATTTCCCAGTATAAAGTTTCCATGAATCTTTCTCTCAATTGTTTTAGCAGTCAAAATGCGTTATTTCATTAGGTGTTACAAGCTGAGTATTTCCTGATTCTGTCCTTCTGCATTTATTAGCTAAAATTCTTCTAAAAACATTTTCTCAACTATTTGATTATATAGTTTATAGAGCAAGGGAAAAAGAAATACTTGATTTTTTCCTTTTATTTTCCAGTTTTCAGAATAATAATTTTGAAATTATTCAATCTTTAAAGATGACCAATAATTTTGTTTTGCTTTGAACTCATGAATTTTTCATGAGCTTCCTTCAACCCATTGAAGTCATTATTCTTTTGATGCACACATGCCCATCTTTGGCCATTAAGAGCCCTTTCAAAATTGTCTCCTGCATCATCTTGACACAACAACAGTAGTCTTTGATTACTCATTTGCTTTCCATCCAGATAAGACATTACAAGCTAATCTTGAATATTTCTTGCCAGGTTGTGGCATCAGCCATCTCTCCAAGAATCCTTGTTTCCTTTTAGTAAGAAAGGGGATTTAGAGAGCTTGGTCTGGGCTCAGTGATAATTGCTACTGTATGGATATTGCTTCCAGGAATTTTTCAGTGGATAGAGGTAGGACCCAAATATTTATTTTTTAAATAAAAAATACACCATTAATTTATACTGGTCTTAACAATTCAAAGTTAAGAGTAGAAGATTCTTCTTGAACTCGTTTGATATTAATATTTGTATTTCTTTTCACTTACTCTGAAATAAAAATCCCTAAAGATATTAACATAATTATTTATGGATAAAGTAAATAAGTAATTAAGTGAATGAATGACATGAAAACCCAATACAGATATATATTAATTATAAAATGGCAGTGCCAATATGATTATTAAGTTTTCTTTACATTCTCACTTTTGCTTTTCTGCCTTAAAGATATATCTTCTGGGAATATACATTCAAATTACTGAGCTTTCAAGTTACTTGAAAAATTTATTCTCTGTGTGACTAAGTCACCAACTTGACATATAATTTCTTTTTTTTGCTTTTTTAATTTTAAAGGAATTTCTTTGTTTTATAGATTACTTTGACCTAAATTGATTATACATACCTTCTTTATATGATTGTCTTTTAAAAATAGACTTATTGAGATACAATTCACATAACATACATTTCATATATTTAAAGTGTAGAGTAAAATTATTTTTAGTACTTTCACATGATTGTCCAATCATCACCACAATCTAAGCTTAGATGACTTTTTTCCTTCAAAAAGAAAGTCTGTACTCATTAGCAGTCCACTCCTGTTCCCCATCACTACACTGCCCCCAAGCCCTAGTCAATCACCAATTTACTTTCCATCTTTCTAGGTTTGCCATTATGGACATTTCGTATAAAGAAAGTCATACAATACGTAGCCATTCGTAACTAGCTTCTTTCACTTAGCATAATGTTTTCAACTTTTATCCATGTTGTAGTGTGTATCAGTACTTCATTCCTTTTTATTGATGAATACTATTTCATCGTATGGATATAGTGCATTTTATTTATTCATTTGTCAGTTGATGGACATTTTGGTTGTTTCAGTTTTTTGGCATACAGGTGTTTGTATCGACATATGTTTTCATTTCTCTTGTGTATGTGCCTAGGAGTGGAATATATATGTACACTTTTTTGAGGTACATTTCTTTCTTATTAATAAAAATAGTAGTGATCTTATTTTTTGCCATGACATAATACACCAGTCTAGTACTAATAACTTAATATATGTCATCTCATGAAAAAAAATCTTAGGGAAATTGTCCTCAATGTGCAAATGAAAGGAATTGCCCCAAAAAGGAACACAGTTCAGCCATATCATTAATGTCTCCTGTAGTTTCCTCCTGGTGTTTCACACCTGCCTCAACTCAGGTTGTGGACATGATTTTAGCTTTCTACCCACAGCTCAGAAATGCCTTTGATGGATATTTATTTGTATATTTCTTCCTGATTGACCCAAACTATCAAAGGGCAGTAACTAAAATACAGGAAATGGAGAATAATGTAATGGAAAAAGCATGTGGTTGAAAGACAGAGATCTGGGTTCAAATTATGATTCTGTGTCCCAGAACAAATTACTTATCTTCTCTGTGCCCAGGTTCCTTCTCTATAAAGTAAGTCAAATCGACAATACAGACCTCTTTGATCCTGTGAAGATTAAATTTGAATGACATAAAGTATGTATAAGGATGCCTCACATGTTCTATGTACCTGACAAATGCTGGTCATCATTATTTTTTATTGCAAAATTTCAGTTGAAGAGTAAGTGATAGTAAGATTTACTGAAAAGAGTTTAGTAACTCCATTGGATTATCATTCTCCAGGCTACATAATTTATCATTGCCAACCCAACAGAGGTTGTTCAAGGGAACAGATAAGAAGGAAATGTCCTTAAAATTAGCCACAGATAAGATTCAGACAAATTGGCCCCTGCCCAGAGTTTCCTCATTAGTTAAATATAAATACGCCCATTCAGCTTTCTCCACTGGGACTTTAACCTCTTCTTGTAATAAAGTAAAATAAATTTCTCTAGGTTGAGTTCCTAGTAATATCATAATAGGCCCCTGTGTTCAATCATTAAATCTAAGTCAGTTGGTCACGACCCAGCCCCATTTGTTTCAGATTATAATTATGTTTGCCAGGTTAAGTTTATTCATAAATCTTCCCAGGTGTCCAAAGGACTACATTATGCTCGTAAACTTGTTAAGAATTGGAATGCAAATTTAAGCTTAGCATCATTTTAGATTATATTTTCATTTATTCTATTTAACATTGTGCACTGCAGAGCTGGCAATAAGGCAAATCTATCTTTCATAATTCTAACTAAATCATTGTGTTTTACCAAATTGCTCTCTAGCTGACATTTCTTTGTTCGCTAATGGGAGATAACATAAATTTTTCTGAAGTAAAAATTATTCTATGGCAATAAACTTTTCAGAGACATTGTTATCTCTATTTTTTCAAAATTATAAATGTAAACAAATCTGTAATGCTCTATAACTGGAGTCCATTGAACTATCTAACCAATGTTTATCACCTACAAATAAAATCTGTTGTAAAAAATTTGTGACAAGACCAAAATGCACAAATTTTAACTTTTTTGAAGTATAATTGACATACAATAAATGCGCATACTTTAGGTATACAATTTGATGCACTTTGACATATGTATATATATCCCATTAAACCATCAACACAATCAAAATGGTGAACATATCCATCAGTCACAGTAGTTTCCTCATTATCCTTTGTCATGCATCCCTCCTACTCTTCTCCTCACCTTCCCACTGCTATCTCATCCCCAGAGGACCACTTATTTGCTTTCTGTCACTATAAATGTGTAATTTGAATTATATAAACTAAATCAGTAGGTACTCTTTTTGCCTGTTTTCTTTCACTCAGCATAATTATTTTGGGATTATGCTATACATGTTGTTATGTATAGCAATAGTTCATTGCTTGTATTGTTGAGCCCATTTTACAGATACTTCACAGTTTATCCAGTCACCTGTTGATGAATATTTGGGTTGTTTTTAGTTTGGGCTATTAAAAAATGCTGTGAACATTTGTTACAAGTCTTAATATGGTCATATGCTTTTTTTCCGCTTGTGTAAATAGGAGGAGTAGAGTGGCTGGATCATATGGTTCATGGGTGGTGAATTGTTCAAGAAAGTGCCCAACTCTTTCTCAAAGTGGTTGTACCATTTTACAATCTCATCAGCAGTGTATGAGAGTTACATTACATCCACATGCTTGTCAATACTTGGTATAATCATTCTTTTTCAGTTTAATCATCCTAATAGAAGTGTAGTGGTAATTCATTGTGCTTTGAGTTGGTATTTTCCTAACAACAATGATGTTGAGCATCTTTTTAAGTGCACAGTTATTATCTGTATATCTTTACTGGGTTGTTTGCTTCCTATTACATTTTGAAAGTTACTTATATATTCTATATATATAAATACTTTATCAGATATATGCATTTTAAATATTTTACACCAGTCTGTGGCTTTCCTTTTCATTTGTCTAATAGTGCCTTTTGAAGAGCAAAAGTTTTTAATTTTGATGAAGTTCAGTTTTTATGAATTGTGCTTTTGGTGTTATCTTGAAGAAATATTTGCCTAACTTGGAATCACAACAGTTGTCTCCTATGTTTCCTTCAAGAAGGTTTATAGTTTTCAATTTTACATTTAAATTTATGATTCATTTTGACTTAATTTTGGTATATAATGTGATATGTGGATTCAAGTTCACCCTTTTTCTGCATATAAATTTTAAATTATTCCAGCTCCATTTGTTGAAGACTATTATTTCTCCATTGAAGTCTATGAATAATTGTCTAAATCTTGGTTTTATACAGTTTTTCATGTTTTTGAACTTTGGTTACATCTAAAACCTCAAATCAAATTATTCTCACCCATAATTACTTCTGAATCACTAGATAATAGAGAAATGTTTTTAAAAATAGGGACGTCTCCATGGGGATTATATATATTTAATTCTGCAATAACTATTAAGTAAAGATTCAAAATTCTTTAATCATATTTCAGAACAATAGTACTATACACTTTAGCACAAGTCAACTGTGCCCTTTTGATTTTGATCCCAAGTAGATCATCTGAAAGACTTCACCTACATATGGCCAAATGGCTACCTTCTCACACAGGATGTCATTTAGTTAACTCTCAGTAATCCAAGTAGGTCACTGCACAATTGATTTGTATGCAGCACATTTAGATAGACTGAATCAATTTGCCAGTCCCATTATGCTTGTCCATTTTCCAACTGCAATAGCTCATACAATGTGTACATAATTAAAAATTGAGGAATAGTAGTTTGGAACACTTTTTTCCAAAAGTTTACATTTTTCAATAGAATAAATACATGAGCTACTTTAGATATTCTCAGCTAAACAAAGTCTTGACTAAAAGTGTATAACAAATGACCAACCCGACTTTCTGTTTTGGGGGAGAAAACCCTATCTTTTGACATGTAGAGGGAGTAACAACAAATATACTGACCATATGCACAACTATATGCGATGGATCCAATTATTATCCCCATACTATAGAAGTGAAAACTAAGGCTCAGAGAGGTTAAGTAACTTGCTTGAAGTCACATAGCAGTAATTGGCAGAGCTGGAATTTGGATCCAGACAGTGACTTCAGAGCCCATGCCCTTCTCACCCCCTAGGCTGTATTGCCTCTTCTTACTTTTGCCTCCTGCTTGTACTCTTCCTCTTGCTAAATTCAAGCATCACTCTGGTTTCCAAAGAGCCTTTTAACCACTGCTATCCCTTTCTTAAAGTGGCCTTTTGCACACAGGATGGAGTGAGGATGGACCAGAAAATATTTGAGTTGAGAAGAAATGAGCTCAGTGATCAAAGATGATTTTTATAAATTAAAAAGCTAATAAAAAGAGAGATTTCAAAGAGTTGAAATGGTGAAAGTGTAGGGAAGTCAAAAATAGAAGTTTGATTATTAGTTTCTCCAAAGGGAAAACACTAGCTCTTTGGATTTGAAAGAAAATAAAATGGACAATTTAGTCATCTATTTGAGATCACTGAGATGGCCCAGTAAGCAATATGAATTTCTAATTATACCAAGTACTGATAAATAATGCTTTAAATATATTTCTGAAATTCTACAAATGGCAGTTTAAATGATAGTGCCAGGATAGAGGATTTTCAGTGGGGTACAACTACAGTCTATCAGCTTTGCAGTGGTGTGCTGATAAAGATTTAACAACTGGCCAGGGTTTGGGAGATCCCTAATTTTAGCATTAGCTAACCAATTTCTGTGGAATAAATACTCCCACTATGGCCAGTTTCAAGCTACCAACTTGATGTTGCTGAACACAGAGTTTGGAAGAGATGTGTAACAGCACACAAAATACGGTATTTTCTCCATACAGATAAGATTAATATGAATAACCTTAAAAGCACAGATAATAATAAAATATAGTAAAAATAATTAGAAAATAATGCGTTTTGAGTATTTATAGCCTTTGTTTATATAGTATTTATCTCTGTGTTTATATAGTTTAATTTTTAATAATGGCTATGTTTAGTAACCAGCTTGCAAAATTACTGAAAATTTAACAATTGGGTCTTGCAAACTGAAATGAGCAAACCTGAACATTCCACTTCTACCCAAAAATGTTTAAATGAATTTGCAGACATAATGTCAAAAAAATTAAAGTCCACAAAATTTCTCAGACCTGACATTAAGTAGCTAATTACTGTGGAGGTAGGACACATCTCCCAGTTGTCTTACCCTGAATCCCAAAAGTAAATTCCATATTCTAATAAATCACTAAGAACATAGAAGAGGCTGTTTGGTAGAAAACTATTTTCCAGACTTGCCTGTATTGAAATAACTCAGCATTAAGAAATTCTACGGCCACTAAAGAAAGAACTAAAGATTCATTATCACAGACTAAATATCTAGCTGATAACACACCATTGATTCTAAAAGAGAAGAAATGTAGCACAGTATTGGAAACTATCAACATTAGATTTAAACAACATGGTTTTGAATACTGGCTCTTGCACTTATCATCTGTGTGGACTTGAGCAAGTAAGAGCTTTATGCCTTTTTTTCTCATTGGTAAAATGGGAATCAAAATAGTATCTACTTAAAGGATTATTGTCAGGATGAAATAAGGTAATACATATAGGTGCTGAGAATAGTTCCTTCACATAGTAAGTGCTCATTAAGTAATTGCCTACTGTTAAGAATAGAAAATATATTCTTTTAGTATTTTTTTCTACTTCTTTTTTTTTTTACTAGTAGTCTAGTCCCACACCTTTCTCTATTGTCTTACAGCAGTAACAACAGTGGCCATTTATTGAGCACCTGTTTGCTAAGCATTTGTGTGTGTGTGTGTTTGTGTGTGTGTGAGAGAGAGAGAGTGTGGCTGCTCTTAATTACAACCAAACTTTAAAAAGACACATATTGCCCCTTCTTTACAGGTGAGAAAAATAAGGTTTAGTGAGGTAACATGAATTTCATAGCTGACACAGCTAGTTAGTACAGATAACATTTAAACCCAATTCTCTCTGCCTCCAAAGCTTAAATGTACCTTTTTAATATTTAACACTGCTTCTCCATGATTGTCCATCATTTGATGATCTTCATCACAATCTATTTATTGAAACATTCTTTTTACAGTTTCTGTGACACTTAATTTCTTCTGATTTATTCCTCCACTATCAACCCTATCTCATTGAGTCCTAGCCGCACATTATAAACCATATTCTTTGGGCATTCTCTCTGTGTGGGTGTCTGTATCTGTGTCCAAATTTTCCCTTTTTATAAAGATACCGATCATACTGGACTAGGGCCCATTCTAATGACCTCATCTTAACTTGACTATATCTGCAAAGACCTTATTGCCAAATGAGGCCATCCTTTTAAGATACCTGGGGTTATTACTTCATGTGAATTTGTAGGAGACACAATTCACCTCTTAACTCCTACACTTACTTTCTCACAATGAGAAATTTCTGTTTTGTTTTTTGTGTTCTACCTAGTAGATTTATTTCTCAATCTACTTGAAGAATGAACAGTTTCTGAGTCATATTATCTTTCCTCCAACCAGTATTTTTTTTTCTGGGCTTTCATGGTAAAAATCCATAGATTTTCCAAAAAGTAAAACTTCCAATTATTATTTACATTCTAATTCTTCCAAAGGGAATTTGCAGTTATTTACAAAATATGCAGCACAAAGGACAAACAAGATATATAAAATAATAAATGTGATGATAAAATAAGTATATAAATATAAATCTAGAAACTTCTGTTTATTATACATGCCAAGTATACTGCATAGTAACTACATGTGAGTTGCAAATATGGGTTAAAATAATTTAATAGTTTTAAGAACTTTCATGATTATAAAAGTGACATATGTTTATTGCAAAAATTTGAAAAATACAAAGAAGGCATTAATAGTATGGCATGTATCATCTATGTTATAACTGTATCAATCGGCTGTGTTATATCAATAGATAAACTGATTTTTTTAAATTTGGAAGTTAATATTACATACAATTTTGTAGGCTGCCTTTTTCATTTGTTATATTGTGAACATTATCCCATCATTCCATAGTTTATAAATATCATAATTTATTTAACTCATGTGATTTAAATTTTATTACAAATGAGTAGTTAAGGGCATTGTGATCTTTTTTAGGTTTGACTAAAAGACTATAAAATCAGGAACTAGATGTTAAAACTCACTTTTACCCAAACAGAATAGGCAAAGTTGGTTATAATTTAGCAAGACTGCACTGAAAAATATAAATCACCAAAGACAGAGTTTCAATAGAATCTCATACAGCAAAAGGGCACCAATAAAATTTGAAAGACTCTCACTCTATTTAATTTGACAATAGCTTTCAGGACTATGTTGACCATAGTTACTCAGGTATTATGTTCAATAATTCCTTTTTCACTTTAATTATTCCATTTTACTATTAGAACTGTTTCTTATGAACAAGGTATTGCCTACTATTATTGTAAAAAAGTATAAAAGGTCTGAGATATCACCCTACTTACAAGCTAATAATCTGTTACTATTTCATGGATGCTGGCAGAAGGTTCAAGATTCCTGGATCAGAAACAAAGGACTTTGCTACTTATGGCAAAGCTGTAGCCAGAGCCTCCTGTTGGTTTACTTTGGTTCCCCATCCTCTTCTAAGACCCACAGGGGTAATTCAAATGGGCCTAAATGGATGCCTTTAAGCAGTGGGCTGCATTGAAAAAAGGAACACTGAGCTTGAGGAATTTCCTTTTTTTGTTTTTTGTTTGTTTGTTTGTTTGTTTTTTGAGATGGAGTCTTGCTCTGTCACCCCGACTGGAGTGCAGTGGTGTGATCTTGGCTCACTGCAACCTCCGTCTCCTGGGGTCAAGCGATTCCTCTGCCTCAGACTGCCGAGTAGCTGGGATCACAGGCGCGCGCCACCATGCCATGCTAATTTTTGTATTTTTAGTAGAGACGGGGTTTCACCATGTTGGCCAGGCTGGTCTTGAACTCCTGACCTCGTGATCTGCCCACCTTGGTCTCCCAAAGTGCTGGGATTACAGGTGTGAGCCACCGCGCCCAGCCAATTTCCTACTTTTATAGTAGGGAGAAGTAAATCTTCTGCTCTTTGGGAAAAGATATCACCTCATCCTTCAGGGTTGCTCACTGCAACCATAATACTGAGATATGGCCTAGGTAAAATGAGGTCAGAGTCTTACATTCTTGGTGTATCATCAAGCAAGAAAATGCAGGAACCCTCATGACCCAGAGGAGATTGCTCTCCCAACTATTTCCATTTTTCAGTCAAAAGCTCAGCTCTCCAAATCTTGGTATTTATAAGACTGTTTTTTCCTTCTTTGGTTTAATATTTTGTTTAGTTTTTTATAGGCTTTTTAAAAGAGCAGTATTTTAAAGGTTCTCTTTACCCCTGTGTGTACATTTATCCAGTCTACACTTACCGAGTACCTATTATGTGAGACAACATGTTACATGCTAACCTAGCTTTGGTTTTGATTTTCATCTCTCCTATTTTCTCTCAAGAATTACTAGAGATGCAATATGATAGTTTTTCCTTGATATCTTCTAAAGTGTCTGAGTTTGTAGTTTTTTCTTCATTCATTTCGTCCGTAAATTTGATCTAATTAAATTAGATCTTTTTAAAAAATGCATATTCTTCTTGGTCTTTCATTGCTTACTATTTCATGCTTTACCAAGAATCAATCATGCTAGCATAATAAACCACCATGAAGAAATAAACACCTGTTTTCTAATACTATCTGCGTAGGCAGTTTTCACTTTTGTATCCTGTTTTTGTGCCAAAGTCACAACCTTCAAGTTGAAATCTAAATCCATCTGTGTTCCCCCTTAGTCTTCCAGTTTCTCTCCCAAAACTCCGAGTCATTAAAACTATGTTTGAGGTCTCTTCTGGCTCTCTCATTCCTCCTATGTAAATCTGTCTCCATGGAGGAGTTGGTACTTTTAATGTACCTGGGCAACCTTGCTGATGTATCTTAGGTGCTCACTCCAGGAAGGAAGCACACATTCCAAATGGCAATTCGATTTCAGGCTATACGTGTCTAAGACCACACTCCACTTCTCATTAAGGAGCCACATAGTACCCTATTTTTCTCTTCCTACATAAAGTGGTAACTTCATGGCAAACACCAAGGATACCATCGTCTCCTTGTCTTAGTCTCTGAAGAAATATTGAGTCATCTTCAGAATGGACAGATTCACAATTTAATATAGAATTTTTCCTCCTCTTTCTACTCTAGGACAGGTCCTACTTCATGTTAACCTCTTAGTGCTGGTTTTGATTGCCTTTTATCTCCTTTTTTCTGACTTGTGTCTGATTTTGGGGGTATTATCCAAGAAGCCTTTATCCTGACACATTAACCAGAGTGTTGACAGACATTTCTCAATTCCTTCAGTTTATCCCCTAGCAATAAAGCTAGCTGGCATAAATATTTTGAATAGGAAAGCAAAAACGTAATATCCCTGCTAACAATTAAAACAGATTCCTCAAATTTATACCTATGAGTTTCAAGCTGAAATTCAGGTTCTTCCTGGAAGTTATTAGAGGAATGATTTGATGGGCTTGTTTTCTGGAGGTTAAAGATACTCCTTACAAAACATAGCCTTAACATTGTCTGGTCACTCTGCTTCGCTCCCAAAGAATCTGTTAGCATTAAAAAATAATTAAGTGGTTTAGCTAATTTTACCAGAATATCAAGTTCATTTTTTTCTAAGTAAAGAAATAGCTATATCACATGATACTTACTATTTAATGAATACTTACTGTGTGCCAGCAGCTTTAATTTATTTATCAAATTCTAGTATAGGTAGCTCTTAAATATATGCTATAAGTAGAAAATATACAATTCTAAGTTCTTTGAAATATTAAAATGGTATAGCTGGGAATCAACCCCAAGCAGTCTGATTCCAGATCTGTGTTCTTAATCTGATTATATATATATATATATATATAGAGAGAGAGAGAGACAGAGAGAGAGTGTGTATATATACATATAATCTGATTATATATAAATATATATTAAATATATACACACATTATATATATACATAATAATTTGTATATATTGTAGAAATTATGTATATACCCATACATACCAATTTGTATATATTTATTTTATATACATACATACTTAATTTGTATAATAACTCTGCAAGCGAGTTATCTACAATTTAAAAATTACAAAAGTTAGGAAGAGAGAAGTTAAATAAATTTCTCAAGGTCATCACCCATAAGTGGTAGATCTTGTGTTCAAACCCAGGCTTGACTGACTCTAAAGTTTCTTAACTTTTCACAAACCTCATTGCCTATTGTATAAATTCTCTTCACCCTAATTAAATTTTCCCAAATAATACCATCATTGTATCAGTTATCTATTGACAAAATAATCTTACATAACAAACAACCACAAAACTTCAATGAATATAATTTTAAAAATGCATTTACCTCACATGTGTAGCACACTCTATATAGGCTGGGCTTGGATGACTTTACCTGGGCTTGGTCATGCATCTGCACTCAGCAGTAGGTCAGATAGATAGAACTACTGATCCTGACTGTGCTCACTCACGTGTCTTAGAATTTGTTTGCTGTCAACTGATTTAAGCTGGTATTAGTTGCAACGATAGGGGCAACTTGGCTCTGCTTGCCCAGGTGTGTTTTCATAGTAACGGCAAAAGTCAAAAGAAAGAGTAAAAATATGGAAGGTCTCTTTCAACCTTCCACTTGTGTTATGTCTGCTAACATCCCACTGGTCAAAGCAAATCACTTAGCCGGGTCCAGGAAATCAGTGGGAGTATACTACAAACTTAAATGCCACAGAATGTGGATATATGAGGTGTAAAGAATTGGTGTCACTAATGCAATCAATGTATTGCATCCATCATCATTGGGACAAAGTAACAAAGTCACAGAATTATAAATTCAGCAGTATATCAGAACTGGTTACTAAATTCTCAGAGATTTTTTTGAGCCAGTCGTTAAACCATTGGTAGCTTAAAATCAGCTCATCGTGGGAATATTTAAACAATAAAAACTGGCAAACACTACAAATCAGGGGTTTTTTAGAGTCAATTTACTGGTACAACACCATATGCATTTCAAAACTTTCAGTCTAATGCTTCTCCTATGTATAGAAAATTCCAAGTGACTGTGTGATCAAATTACATTTCCACTTTTCATCAAAGAAAATAATATAGGCATAATGATCAGGTTGCTGTTTTGCTTTCTTTTCCTTAGTTACCTTCTATATATTCAAATAGACCAAAATTAATTGTTCTAAACATAGATCATTTCATGAGCAGGTTCAGTAAGAACAGTAACTGAGTAAACATCATCAAGGAAATTACTTATGAGTCTAAAGATTCCAGTTTGCTATTTTTAAGGGTGTTTTAATTCTCATTCATTCCGTGTTTTCAGTAAATCTGCTGTAGATAATCCCAAGGGCAACAGTAGGGTACAGTGTACTTGAATTTTTTTCAGTAGACAGTTGAAGCTGTTAAGTTAGACTGACCTATAATAATAGCTCATATGGGGAGTTCCTTCTATCACTCAAAAGATTTGAGCATAAGTGTATCTTTGCTTTGTGAAAAAGAAGATATAAATTTATTATATTTCAAATCGAAGTAAATGTATTTCACATAACCCGGAGTCTGATGAAGCTGGAGATGCAAAATATGTGACTCTTTATAACCTTTCAGCCAATTCCCCAAGTCTCTAGTCTCACATCACTGTCACCATAAAACAAAATTACCAATAGGTCATGATTCTAGAAACTATGTAGCACTGGAAAGAGTTGAAAATGACTATGTACTGGTGTTTATCTTTCCTCAGTGGGTAAGGAAAGTATAAAGTGATTCTTTTTTGTGAAAATTTTAACTATAGTAGTAAGCTGTGAAATTATATTTCTTTCTTATTAAATGAAGACACTGAATTTGAATATATACATACACATTCTTTCTCCTTCGCATATGTAGAAATTATTTCGGTTATTTTGTAAAATGTAAAGGGAAAGACTATCCCCAAAGCCACACTGTTTCCATTCAAATCCAAGCTCTGTCACTTTGAGCAAGTATTGAAACTCTGTATGCTCATTTTCCTCATCTGTAAAATGTGGATTAAAATAGCGTCTACTTCATAGGATTGTTAAGAGAGTTAACACATGTAAAGTATCTAGAACAAATGCCTGTTCATTCTCAATAAATGTTGCCTGTCATTTCATGATACCCAAGCCATTTCCATTCAAGTCAGTTTTAAAAAATTAATCAGTTTATTCAGAAAGTTTAATCATAGTAATTGTCATTTTTTTAAGATACTACTTTCTCAACAATTTGTGTGTCTTATTGGTACAGTTAAGGAGTGTGTAGACAAAGTCTGAGGAGGGTCTGGACCAGTTTTATAGATTCTGTCTGACACTGACGTAACACATGATTTTCCAAACAGATTTGCAAGTAGCATCATTAGTCCATACCTATTTTGGTCTACCTCCAAGCACTGTCCAGGCTCAAGGTTAAAAAAAAGTCATTTCATTCAATTTTGAAAGCCATGTATTTTAATCTATACAGAATCATAGGTTAAAAGGATCTAAGGAAAATACATATTTGTGTCACCTACATCTGTCATAACATGTATGTTATGATTAAAATATATATGTTGTGATTATAATACATATTATGTTATAATCAGCATATGATAGAATAGACCTAAGTGTACTTAATAATTACCTTTGTTCAGGTATTTTTTAACTAGAAAAAGTCATTAATGTGTTAGAAGTGTTAGAAATATTTATTTGTATTTTTATCTTTTAATAATTATAACTTCACACTAAAATCAAAGAAAAAGTATGAATTATGTCTCAATGTTATATATCTAGCAAAAGTCCAGAAGTCATAATGGAAAAAGAGAAGAGTGAATGGTTCTGATGATAATATATTAATTACTATAAAAGATGATTTTACAATTTTAGCTGGGTATAGTAGAGCACACCTGTAGTCCCAGCTACTCAGGAGGCTAAGGCAGAAGGATCACTTGAGCCCAGGAGTTCAAGGTTGTAGTGCATTATGATCATGCCTGCAAACTGCACTCCAGCTTGCACAATATAGCGAGAACTCATTTCTAAAAAAAAAAAAAAAAAAAAAAAAATGGAAGAGGACTTTACAATTTTATAATGTACCAAGATACAAAGATTGTTTTATATTTTGTACACATGGAGCTTAATTATACTGAACAATTGGAAATTTAAGCTGCACATACAAATACATGCATAGCTCAATAATGAAAACCCACTAAGGTAAAAACTGGCAATTGAAAAGTTATATAAAGTCATTTCGTTATACAGTGCTTGTATGCAGAGCAAAATAGGTATGGAGTAATGATGCTACTTGCAAATCTGTTTGGGACCTGTGTTGTGTCAATGTTGGGCAGCTTCTGTAAAACAGGTCCAGTTTGTTTCTCCAGGCTTTATTTGAAGACATGGGCAGAGAAGACAATTATTGAGGTTATACCATGAACATTGCTTGGTTTTAATTATTAAAAATATAATTATTGTAATTATAGGAAACTAAGTCTCATACACTTTTGATATGATAGTCACAGAATATACTGTAAGGAAGTTTTATTAAATAACTAATTTTAATTAGTTAAAAATTGAAATTGGTGGTATGATAGATAACCATTCAAAATCAAAAGAGCTGAATCAACATCCAGAAGCCTAGATTTTCAAACAATACTGCTAGACCAACCTGAATGATTCTTATATTTACATAAAATAAGAAAGACTCTGAATTTCAGTCTTTAAAATACTATGGAGGTATTTATAGTACACATATGTACTTTCATTAAATTAAATGAAATTAAAGTTATCTGGTATCATATTCATTATTGCTAAATGGCCATTGCATATAGAATACTCATTCTCCTTGCCCACTGAAAAAACCCAATCTTTGTCTGATATATCTACATAAAAAGGAAAAAAAAGTATTTTTAGGGGTAAGATGAATGCTGTTGAGGATCCATCTACAGATTAAAATGGTTTACTCAGCAGCACGTTCAGTACAATGTAGAGCCTAGAAAGGTAACCTGATGGCACTTTAGTTTATTAGACTTGCAGCGCTCAGAACAAGTGTTTTATTCACATACATTTCCTTTAGCTGAAATTAATCTCGCCTTTCTTAGTGCTTGCACAGCACATGGCTTTCTTCCTCTCCTACAGCATTTGTTACATTTTCCTTATTCTAAGCTTTTTGTGCAAAAAAGGTGAAGCATCAATATTTACGAATATCTTGATAAAAATGCTTATGTTTTTCTATTTATTTCCCCCCCCTTCCCATTTACTCTTCTCCTCTAAATCAATACTGTAAAGCACATGTTTACTACATAGAATGCCAAGTTTAGCTCAATTGGTACCATTAAAAAACAAACAAACAATATGGAAAATAGAAGAGTGACGTAGAATAAAGGAAGAATGTCATATTATATATATATTTTGTCTAGATACTAGTAGGCAAGAAAACTGTCAACGTCTTTCTTTCTGACCAAAAAAGGTTTGGAGTGTGTACCATATCATAAAAAGCAGAGGCTAATAGCCCCTCAATGGCAGTAGACTGTTATCCTTCCATGGGTAAATTCATTCTCAGAAGAAAGTCTTATATTTTTTCTGTGCCCTAGTACTTAATGCCTTACACGTAAAAAGCATTAATCTTTGTTAGAGTGCATTAATCAAACCAATAGAGTTTAAATTTGTTAATTCTAGTCTTTAAGTCAATAATGCTGCATAGCAAACTGCAGACTATCTGTGGGCCACAACTATCCAAGTAAAGAAAAATTTTTCAGTTGATTTAGCTTTAGCTGTCTTCTTTGTAGCCTGTGGAGTACAAGGAGGGCAGATATATTTTGTCAAGGGGCCTAGGGTGAAACTGAAAACTCTAAATTACCTTATAATTCAGACATAAAAACAATTCCACAAGTTTACCCTTTCAAATCATTTGGGAGCCATTATCTTTTAAAATTTATTTTAGATTTGGAGGTACATGAGCTTGTTTGTTACGTGGGTATTACATGTATAACAGTGGGGGTTGGGCTTCCAGTGCACCCATCACCCAAATATTGGACATTGTACCCAGTAGGTAATTTTTCAACCCTCATTCCACGCCCTTTGGAGTCCCCAGAGTCTGTTTTCTCCATCTTTTTGTCCATTGTTTAGCTCCCACTTATAAGTGAGACCATGTGATATTTTATTTTTTGCCTCTGTGTTAGTTCATTTAGGATAATGGCCTCCGGCTCCATCCATGTTGCTGCAGAGGACATTATTTCATTCTTTTTTATGACTATTTAGTATTCTATGGTGTGTATATACCACATTTTCTTTATCCAAACAACTATTGGTTAACCTTTAAGTTGGCTCCATGACTTTGCTAATGTAAATAGTGCTGCAATGAATATGTGAGTGCAGGTATACTTTTTACATGATTTCTTTTCCTTTGCATGGTTATCTAGTAGTGGGATTGCTGGGTTGATTGGTGGTTCTCTTTGTAGTTCTTTGAGATATCTCCATACTGTTTCTCATAGAGATTGAGCTAATTTAAATTCCCACAAACAATACATGAGCATTCTCTTTATCCATGTCAACATCTGTTGTTGTTGTCTTTTTTTTTTACTTTTTAATAAATACCATTTTGACTAATTTGAGATGATAGTTCAGTGTGGTTTTAATTTGCATTTTTCTGATAATTAGTGATGTTGAGCATTTTTTCATGTGTTGGCTGCTTGTATTTCTTCTTTTGAGAAATGTCTGTTCATGTACTTGGCCTAGTTTTCAATGGAGTTATTTTTTTCTTGTTGAGTTGTTTGAATTCCTTGTAGATTTTGGATATTAATATTTTGTTGGGGGCATAATTTGTAAACATTTTCTCCCATCCTGTAGGTTGTCTGTTTATTCCGTTGTTTCCTTTACTGTGGAGAAACTTTTTAGTTCAATTAAGTCCTATTTGTCTGTTTTTAATTTTTCTGCATTTGTTTTTGGGGTCTTTGTCATAAATACTTTTCCTAGGCTGATGTCCAAAAGAGTTTTCCCAAGTTTTCTTCTGGCATTTTTATAGTTCCAGGTCTTACACTTAGGTCTTTAATCCATGTTGAGTTAATTTTTGTATATGGTGAAAGATAGGGGTTCAGTTTCATTTTTCTGCCTATGGCTAGCCAGTTTTCCCAGTACCATTTATGGAATACGATGTCTTTTCTCCATTGTTTACTTTCGTCAGTTTTATTGAAGATCAGTTTGCTGTAGGTATGTGGTGGGAGCCATTATTTTGACAAAGGCACTGAGGCTTTAGCAGTAAGAAAGAAAAGAGCCTTGAAATAGAAACATATAAATCTATCTAAGAGGTGGCAGCAAAAACAATCAATGATAGATTTTGGCTTATATGGATTTTGCTGCTCATCTATAAGAAGGTAAGATCAGTGTCAGTTATACTATCTACTATGGTAGATTCACAGCCTCTTATGATGACATGGGGCAAAGTCATAATGAGTGGTATATTAGGAAACTAGTGTGACTTCAACAAGACACGTAAAAATATTTTAGAAGTGTAAAACAAATTAAATGCTTGATTTGTATATGTGACATCAGACAAACTGGTTTGACTGAATACATACTGATATATTTTCTAAAATAAACATGTGTTTGGGGTTCTATATATAAAGACACCCTTAAGAGACAGAATATATAAGGTGACTAATGAGGGCCTATAATGGTTCTATTGAGTATCATATTTATTTTGTATTGTTCTCTTTTCCTGCCTCCATCCACCCACAAGGGCATTTGGCTATTATGGGACAAGAAATAAAAAAGAAAAAGAACTAGAAAGAGTGATTTATCCATGAATGTAAGACAGTAAAATAATATGAAACAAAAACCAGGGCAATGGAATGTAATATGTAGCAAGAATGAACTAAATGTGCATGGTCTATCTCTAAAGCTCAATTTTGCCAGGCAATGGCTTAGAATTTAATTTTGAATTAGTCTGGTTCCTTGGAGTATTAGGACCTTTTCTGTAGGCTTAGTGTCCATGTAGTGTCTCGGTAGACTTAGCTTGTTTGTCTATGTATAATTAAGGCCCCTTTATTCTTCAGTTTTATATCTTAATCAAATCACTATTTTTAGCTGCACAACATTTTTGTGAAGGAAAAATTAAATGCAATATAGAAATGTTCTGTAATAAGAGAACTATCAAATGTGGGACCAAAGAAATAATCTCCTTTATCACTACTGCAAGCATCAACTAAATCCATGCAAAGTTCTAAGTTTTGCTCTGTGAACATCTGAACTAAGGCTTATTTGTTGCATTTCATGGACTGTCAACATCTTCTACACCATGAAAGATTACCCCATGATCTGTCTCACAAAATGTGTGAATCCATAGATACTGTGTGGATATATGACACGTATCATAAATAGAAAATCTTATTATCAAGCTTCATGACAATTCCTGATTTAAATGTGTAAGTAATCATAGAGTAACCAAGAGACTATATAAAATGTAACTACAATGCAGCAGTTATTTCATTTGCAGTGTTATGCATAATTAGCTTTAATATCATTCATGATCTGTAAAAATGAGACCTGTAGGCATTTTTTTCAGCTTAGAAGTACAAAACTTCAAGAAGGCTGTTGTAAGGAATAATAAATAAAAGTTATTATGAAGAAATTTATGAATATGAATAGCTATACACTCAAATGTAATCAAAGATCATTTTTGCATGTGAATAAACTGGTAATTTATTTATAAGTACTTACTTGCAATCAAACAGTTCAGATGGCGATAGAACAGCTCTATTGTGATCAGACCACCCCAGTTATAATGTTTTTAGTTCTGGACATTATATTTTAAGAGGCAAATACATATATATCTATATATAGAGATATATACATATACATATATATATATATGTACATGGCTGTCACGTGACAAAGAATTAACTGTTCTCTGTGTTTTTGAGACAAGGAAACATTGACAGTGGGAAGAAGTTTTTGGTTCCATATAATGAGACTACTAGAGTTCACTGTAGATAGAATAGGCTACCTCAAGAGGAAATACTTTTCTAGTTGCTATACATATTGACATACATACAACTTGACTTAGCTATTGTGGAGAAGTTTCATACATATGAATGGCAGTGGTAAAAGAAATCTTCCACTCTTGAGAGCATTTGACAGCTTTACGAAAATTATATGTGACTATAACACAAATTGGAACAATAAAGTCTCATTTGTGTGTCCTAATAATGGGAACCTTTATTAAGAATAGCAGAAGGTCATCCCATTGTCTCTTGGTATCCATAGGAAATTGGTTTCAGGACCCCCTGAGGATATCAAAATCCACAAATGATCAAGTCTCTGATATAACATGGGGTAGTACTTGTGTAAAACCTATTGCACAGACTCCCATGTATTTTAAATCATCTCTAGATTACTTATAATACCTACCATGATAGAAAAAAGTCTGTTTGTACATATTCAGTACAGGTGAAACCATCTATTTGAAAAAAATATTTTCATCTATGGTTGCTTGAATCCACCAATGTAGAACCCACAGTTACAGAGGGCCAACTGTAGTCTTCTGTCTCCATGGCCCTCACTATTGCTACATTTTAATTGAAATCCCTCCCATGATTAGCTAGTGAGCTATATAATGTGGTCTCCCTTGCTAAGAATAGTTAACCAGAAACAACTCCATTTATATGCAGTCTAAGAAAACAGCAGTCATTTGGAGAAGAGTAAGATGATGGCAAGGACAGTGTTTCTCATTGTATCGTAACAAGAAACCTAATGGCTACTCAATAAGGTACATCAACTTCACACATATATACACATATACATCCATGCATACATAGTATTGAATCATCATTCAGTAGATGTTATTGGCAGACTAATCTCTTTAATAAGCTTCTACTCACTCTGAAGTTTCTCTCATCATGAATCTTGAAGCAGGCCTACTTTGAATGGAATCTGGAAAGTTTAACTCCAATTGAATGCAGTGTGGTAGTTTTGTTTACACAAATAATACAGAGGAAAGTCTCCAGGCAAGATGTGGCTGTTAAATTAGCCTTTCTTATCAAACTAATGAGTGTATGGCAGATGTGAGATACATAACATCACCACTGTTACAGTACAAATTAAGAGTGGGTTGGGGAATGTACAGAAAAATGAAAAGGCTTTTCAAAATCCTATAGACATTTGTTTTAGCTTAGAAAGAACTCTGGGAAACTAAAATGTGTTCATCATTATAAAAGTCACAGCTTTAATTCTGCTGAGATAAAAATCCTTGAGAAAAACCCATCAGGAAATTTCTGTGGTTATATTTAAGGAGATACTAACTAAATTAGGGTTTCAAAAGAGCAGTTTTGAACTGCATGCCAGAGAAATAGACTAGAGGTCCTGTTTTTCAGTAATGTAAAGAGCTAAGAGGATTAATTTTAGCCTGGTGGAAAACTCAAAACTAGAAAGATATATCTGTGAAGGCAAGAACAACCTGGAATATGGGGCAAACTAATTGTGTCTATATCCTTATAGCTCTGCTCACTGTATAGTTTATTTCCAAGATTACCTGACAAGGTACTTAGGGAGGGCTGTGTACTTGAACACAGTTTGAGAATGCTTCACTCTAATAGATAGTGAATAGGAGGGGCAGGACCAGAGAGGAGAAGAAGAGAAAAACTCCCAGAGTGGTTGTCTGTAGAGAGGTTCTTTCTTCTCTATCCTTCCCAAGATTTCTTACCCCAGCCCCTTCAACACTAACTCCTTTCAAATTTTGACTACTGTCAGCAGAGGATATTCCAAGACAGGTTACTCTGAGAGCCATTTTAATTTAGCTTTGTTTATTCACAAACATAAAACAGCAACAACTAAAGTTGTTGCTTTCTTTCTTAAGGATAATCTGTGTAAAACTGGAAACTAACAATTGTGTTTTAAACACTGGGAAAGTCTACACAATATATTTTTCTTCATGTGCCATATGATACTGTACTATACTATTAATATTTATAGTATATACATGTCAGTATTATGACAATTTAATCTTTTAAAATATCAAAAAAAAGAAAGGACCACTAATGTTTGTGATTTTTTTTTTTACAATCTCAGAAACACAGTAGCATAACATCACTCTCTCAAGTCCATTTTCTTTCCATACCCAGTTAAACTATCCTGGTTTATAATCTTACAGTTTCTTGCTGGAATGATAATAATCTCTTCTAAACTCTAGCCTTCTTTCAATTCTACTCACTCTATGAGACATAGGCAGATTAATCTTCATATTACTGCTTTGTAATTGTCACATACCTGCCTTAAAAGCTTCGGTAGCTCAGTATTAACTACGGTACACAAATAGCCATTGTACCTTATTGAGCAAGTTCTGATTAACAAAGTGTTTTAGTGGGTTGGTCTTAGAAGCAGCATAAAGAGAGGTAGGAAGACTATATACATGGTAATTTCAATAATGTTAAAATCGTGAGAATATGGCAGTAGTGTTACTAATTCAGAAAAAGGCACATATCCAAGAAACAGTGAAAAATTGTAATGATTTTGATGATTGTTTGATTTAAAGAGAAAAAGAGAAAATCAGAAAGTTGGGTAATATAAGCTAAGAAGATACTGCTCCCAGTAACTATAATGCGTGAAATTAGAAAAAGAAATTAGTTTGGGGAAGTAATTGATTAATTAGAAATGATTATAGGAATGCAAATAAAAATTTTCATTAGACAGTCAGAAATAGGGCAATGGCTTTTGTTTAGAGATAGGGAGTTGAGACAGGAATCTGACAATAAAGGTGAGAATTTAAACATTAAGAGGAAATTAAAATTCATGAGAATTCATGAATTCTCAGAGGAAACAGTTTTAAACAGAAAAGAACATAATGTCAAAGGTTGAACTTTAAAGTACACCTACACTCAAGGGGGTAGCATAGAAGCTAGAGTTGATAAACAGGAAGCACACATATCAGAAGAGATCCAGTAGAGTTTAGCACTACAGAAGTTCAGCAGAAATAAACTGCTGAAATATCAAAGAGGATGCAGATGATAAAAGGCCTTTACATTTGGTGATATGAAAATCTTACCAAATCCAAATGACATTTGAAGAGTAAGCAGGGTGCTGAAGATTGCTGATACATTGTATGAGGATAAAAAGTAAATGGAAGCAATGAATACCACGTTTATAGCACTTCACATTTTATAATGGGCCCCTTCCATACATTAGAATATTAAAATTGGACAATAACTGGTTCAAGTAAGATAGTTTTTAAAATCAAGGAGATTTGGCAATGTAAAAAGAGAAAGAAAAGAGAGTCCGGAGAAAGAGAAAGACTGAAGAAGCTAGAGGGGAGAAAAATAGGAAGCTATGTCTATCCTGCAGTACACAGGCACTGAATGAAGAGCACAGATGAGGGAAGGAGAAGTGACAAGTTACCGGAACCTACTGAGCTAAAGATAAGAGCAAATGAGCAACTTCATTCTGCCTTCATTTTTCCCCCCAGGAAAGAGAGGGTGGGATCATTTTAAATTTTAAAAAATATTTTGACTGATAAAAATTACATGTATTTAGGATATACCTTTGGGTATATACCCAACAGAGGGATTGTTGGATCATGTATTATATTTTTAATTTTTGGAGGAACCCTCATACTGTTTTCTACAATGGCTGTACTAATTCACATTCTCACCAACAATGTGCAGGGTTTTCTTTGCTCCACAGCCTCTCCAACACTCGTTATCTTTTGTCTTGTCAATTAATAGCTCTTTTAACAGGTGTGAGGTAATATATTATGGTTTTAATTTAGATTTTTCTGACATTTAGTGATTTTGAGCATTTTTCATATACCTGTTGAACATTGGTACGTCTTCTTTTGACAAATGTCTATTTAAATCGGGCTGTTTTCATAAATCGGGACTGTTTCCAATTGAGTTGTTTGCGTTTGTTATATATTTTGGTTAGTAGCCCCTTTTAGGACGTATGGTCTGCAAACAATTTTTCCCCATTCCATAGGTTGTCTCTTCATTCTGTTTATTGTTTTCTTGGCTCTGCAGAAGCCTTTTAGTTTAATGTAATTTCATTTGTCTATTTTTGCTTTTGCTGTTTGTGTCTTTGGGTTTATGCCCCACCCCCCCCCGCAATTACCAATGTCATGAAGCTTTTCCCGTTTCCTCCTATTAGTTTTATAGTTTCAGGTATTTAAGTATTTAACTCATTTTTAGTTGATTTTTCTATGGTGTGAAATAAAGGTCTAATTTCATTTTTCCACATGTGGATATCCAGTTACCCCAAAACCATTTATTGAGGAGACTGTCCTTTCCTTATTGTGTGTTCTTGGCACCTTTGTCAAAAATCAGTTGACTAAATACATGGATTTATTTTGGGTCTCTATTCTGTTCCACTGGTCTATGTGTCCATTTAATGCCAGTAACATGCTGCTTTAATTACTCTAACTTTGTAATATAGTTTGAAATCAGGAACTGTGATGCCTCTGGCTTCGCTGTTGCTCAAGACTACTTTAGCTCTTCAGTTTGTGTGTGTGTGTGTGTGTGGTTTCATGTACATTTTAGGATTGTTTTTTCTATTTCTGTGAAACGCCTTTGGAATTTTGATAGAGATTGCATTGAGTCTGTAGGTTGCTTTGGACAGTGTGGATATTTTAACACTATTAATCTTTCCAATCTATCAAGGTGGGATATCTTTCCATTTACTTGTGTATTTTACAATTTGTTTCATCAATATTTTACAGTTTTCATTGTACAGATCTTTCATATCATCGGTTTAACTTACTTTAGGTATTTTATTCTTTTTGATGCTATTGTAAATGGAATTGTTTTCTTGATTTTCAAAAAGTTTGCTGTTTTGTTGCTGTTGTATAAAAACACCACTGATTTTTGTATGCCAACTTTGTATCCTGCACCTTTACTGAATTTTTAAGTTCTAAGAGTTTTTTGGTGGAGTCTTTATGATTTTCCATATATAAGATCATGTCATCTGCAAACAGAGATAATTTTTCTTCCTTTCCTATTTGCATGCCTTTTTTCATTTTCTTGCCTAATTGTTCTGGCTAGGATTTCCAGTAATATGTTGAATAGAAGTGGTGGGAATGGGCATTCTTATTTTATTCTTGATCTTAGAAGAAAAGCTTTCAATATTTTTTTTTTTTTTTGCGACGGAGTCTCGTTCTGTTGCCCAGGCTAGAGTGCAGTGGCGTGATCTCAGCTCACTGCAAGCTTCGCCTTCTGGGTTCAGGAGCCATTCTCCTGCCTCAGCCTCCTGAGTAGCTGGGACTACAGGCGTCCACCACCACGTCCAGCTAATTTTTTGTATTTTTAGTAGAGACGGGGTTTCACCGTGTTAGCCAGGATGGTCTCGATCTCCTGGCCTTGTGATCCACCCACCTCAGCCTCCCAAAGTGCTGGGATTACAGGCATGAACCACCAAAAGCTTTCAATTTTTCACGATTAAGCATGATATTAGCTATGGGCTTGCCATACATAGTCTTTACTGTGTTGAGATGCATTCCTTCAATGCCTAATTTGTTAACGGTTTTTATCTTGAAAAGATGTTAAACATTGTTGACTTCCTTTTCTGCATTTACTGATATGATCATATGGTTTTTGTCCTATAGTCTGTTAATATGGTATATCATATTTATTTATTTGTATGTTAAATCATCCTTGTGTTTTAAAATCCTCAATACATTAAACCATAAAGATAGTCTAAATATGAAAGTTCTCAGTTTTTAAGAAGTTATGAAACTATTTCCATAAATTTGTACTGTAAAATTAACCAAATATGCTTTCTTAATGTCGTTTTGGTGTCCTACAGTAATAATATCCTAACTTTTGGGGGTGCTTTATAGTTCGTAATAATACTTTTATATGCATTATGTTACTTGATCTTCACAAGTCCCAATACTTCTTGAGTCAGGACAAACAATTTAGAATATTTGGATTGCTTTCAACTGTGTTTCTATTGATTATGAGTTTTCCTTTGCCCTTCCATTTACAATAGGGCTTAGGAAAAGTTTCCATAGTGTTATGAGAGGAAATAAGATGCACTCATTTATTATGCATTTTGTGGAGTTTGTTTCTGTTTGGTTTTGGTTCTTGGCACCCTCTGCGAGTCATAAAATCCTTAGTTGTGCCAGGGGTTGTGGGTCATTTTATTATGAATAAGATAGACCTATGGACTAGCCTACCAAAAGGACTGTGTAGCCTACTTTGATAAAATCCTAGGCTAGCTGGAGCAATATAACTAAATACATTCGAAGTATCGGAGTTCACTAAAATAATTCAGCAAATTGTCCTAAGTATCTTCTCTTTGCAAATACTATAATATGTGCTTAAAATCTACAGTATCACAGGAGAAATAAGAAATGTTCACAGAAGTGATACAGGATTTTTATGTCTTTGCAAGCTCAGAATATGTGAGCAGAGCGATATTATTGTCAAAAAAACTAATGGGCTCCTGGGCTGCATTACAAGATGTCTGGCACACACAACAAAGATGGTGTTACTCTACTGTGCTTTCTTTTATATTCTTATTATATTTCCACACCTGGTGTGTTTACCTATGGACTCAGAAAAATTGGAGTTATCTAGAAGAGAGTGTGTAGAGTGACAGAGGGACTCAAAACAATGGGATATCACAAACATTTGCAAAAACCGTGAGTATTTAGGCAGATATTTGAATATATATGTATAATAGGAAGGATTATTATTCTGTATCACGAACAAATCGGAAAATTAAGGCCTTTGTAGTGCTCTTATAGGAGATATGTTTGGGCTCAGAATGCGAAAGACTTTGGATAACTTCATGAGGATTTTAATTTAATATTTATTAGGAGATAAATAACTTCTTGTCAAGGGCTTTGACATTGGATAAGGTATTGAATTAGATATATTTAAGTCCCTAAAATTTGATTCTGATTCTTCATGTACATTAATAACTTATAAATCATAACATGATGTCTGTAACAGAACTATAAAGCCCCACAGAAATACAACATAAAGGTTTTTGACAGAGGGAATCATTTCAAAAGAATGTAGCATACGAGTTGGGGCTCGGATGATTGGTAGGATTTTGATTGTAATAGCAGACATCTCAAGCTAATGATTAAGTGATGTTGAGTGTATGGGGATTGCAACTACACTGCAATTTAGGTACAAAAAGGTAGAATTTTCATTTTGTCTAAACTGATTCGATCATCTTCATGAAATCTCAGTCACTGACAAACGGGAGGGGAAATAATGTGTTTTTATTCTAACCCAGAAACCTGGGTTCATTCAGTATTTTAAGCAGTTCCTTAAAGTTCAAGTTTATTACGTTAAGACCCTCAGTCTCTAAGATTTCCACCTTTCCCCTACATCCTATTTTAGATAGTATCTGGAAATATCAGATATCCCTAGATACCATTACCTGAGGCATTGGGACAAAGGGTCATTTGGTTTGAACAGGTTCTTCTGCCTCCTCTGGTCTCTGAGGTGACATTCCTCATATGTCTAGTTGCTTCTGGTCTTTCACTTGAAGTTGGTAGCTAGAGAAACTCATGGTCTGTGCTTCAGGGCCTTGCGGCCATCTCTGACGGACGGGTCTCAACTCTTTGGTACTTTAGACATCCCTGGTCTAGAAGGTCCACTCCATAGCCTTTGCTAAAGTGTCACCTTGCTCTTTTAACAAAAAACTTCAGGGAAGATTGGATAGCTCTCAACTCAACCACGTTCTGAGTACTGTTGGAGCCAAGAGAACACTTCCGCTTAGCCCTCTGAAGGTTAGGTGAAAATTACTGACAAGAGGCAGATGAAGAGGAGAAAAGGCATACAAATTTATTTGATCATAGCTTTACATGAAATTTGAACACCACATTTCCAACATAAGCCTTCAGAATGAAGACCAAAGACACAGGGAAAATTGACCATTTTAATCCTTAGGTTCAACAAGGTATGAACAGTCATGAAGAAATATGACTGGACAAAAGGGATATGACCTAATACTAATAGATTGAGTAGGGAAACCCAGAAAGGCCTGTCTGTCTAGATTCTTCTTGACCTGTCTGAGCATGCACTTCTTCCTTTTGGCTATGTGGCAGGGCCCTCTCTGGAATGAGGATCTTATGACCTTCAGTTAAACAAGGTAGGTAAGATAATTTCTTTATGGCCAGTTTTTACACAGAAAAGCAGAAGAAAAATTAGAGTAATATTTTCAGATTTTATGGCTGGCTTTGGGGAAAAGGAATTGTGGTTTCTATAACCCACGTTGGGGAACAGGGATTCTAGTTTCTTATAGCTAGCCTCAGGGGAAAATGAGACTGAGAGGCTGAAGGTCAGAAGATGAGAGGAAAAACTTTTACTTCTGAGGTTTTTTTTTTTTTTTTTTTTTTTTTTTTTTTTTTTTTTTGGGGAGGAGGGGAGTATTGTTTTCTGAGTCTCAACAGTACATAGAAACTTACAGCACTCTGGAAAGTCAATGCCTACCCTGTCTCCGCCCTGTTCAAGGTTACTGGAATGTGGTTCCTGCTCAGCCTGATATCTTCCCAGATATCTGAGAATTGGGAAAGTAATTTCTCTGTCCTTGAGTTTTCCCACACCAATCTGGATATTTCTAAAGCCACAACCCCTCACCCTACATCTTCAGGGTGGGAACAGTAAAAATGTTTCTGGTGTCTTTCTTGAGCTCTTCTACCCCTTTCCCGTAATTCTCCAAGCCAAAGAGAATAGGATTTTCTTCTACTTTACCTACTTCATAGCCACCACCTTCCTTATATCAATCTCTGACTAAATCCTTCATACTGGACTAAGATACCTTGTCTTTACTATGGGAGAAACCCTATCATTTGGTCCACCAGGCCTAGCCTTGATATGTTGAACCATAAACAAATTTACATTTTATGTCTTGACAATGCCTCGATTTGAAGCCTAAAAACTCGATTTAAAAAATCCTATATTTAATATCGAAAGTTAAAAAGTAAATATTTCTTTTGTATTTTTTATACAAGAATCCAAATCCTCAGCAGAAAGGTGCCTTGGATTGATTAAGTTGTATACCCAGAAAGTGACATTAATACACTTCTTGAAACATTACCCTTTCCGATTACACAAATATTCTAGCCGACAAATCTGATCATGCTAATTTCCTATTTAAAGCCTTTTTAATAATTTCTCATTCCCTTAAGATAAAATCATTTTGGAGATCTTCCTGACCATCTAACCTAGGTTATAAACCTCGTGCGTGCTTCTACAAGCTCCCATACTTCCTCTTTCTTAACACCCATCCTACTTTTACTTTTTCAATATATATCTTTCTTGATAAATTTGAACTCCAAATTTTCAACACATAGCACAGTGTCCTGGACATAGGTGCTTCATAAATATTTGCATGAGTTTGAATTAAATGCATGTCGTATTTCTTACTTGAAAATCAGTAAATTGTTATTCTAGTTTACACAGTTCCTTTTTTTTGAGATTTATAAATTTGAGACTACTCTAAAAAATGAACCCACTGTTGGGCTTACAATACCAATTTCTAGTTCTACAGAGCCAGGCTTTCGAACACAGAAAATTCACCAGTAAGTACTTTCTTGTCATATCCTTTGACAGGTAATAATTTACCCTCTCCTTGGGGACACCCCTACCTTAAGACAAGAATTCTTTCAAACTTCAAAAACATCCATCTTCATTAATAAGTTCATAATGAAGACTTTTCACTTTAAGATGCCTAATTATCTTTCACAGATATTTATGAAATTTCAATTGTGCCAAGATTTTTCACAGGCTTATTTTACTTTAAGCTGGTCCTTCCATTTATTGAAGCTTCAATTAATTAGACTTCATCATGTTATAGCTAAATGGATGTGACTAGAAAGAGCAGCATACAGACATCTATGTGTAAACTGTTACTTGTTGGTTAACATTTATGTTTGAAATGGAAAATCAATAAAAGGGAACTTATATTAATTTATAAGCACATTAAGAAAAGAGGGGACACTATTTTTGATCCCAAGATAGCAACAAAACTAAAAACTTTTCCAAAGAAGCAAACGGGAACAGAGGTCAATAGGCTGTGACCTCTATTTTATGTTTAAAACGTTTGCACATCCACTAAGTGCACTGCAGAATCTTAAATGCAATTAAAATCAATGGGCATACAAGTTATAGAGTAGCTTGAGGAAGCACAAGTCAATCTTCATTAGCTATTGTAGCAAAGATTCCTTCCAAATCCATGGGAGCAGGTGCTGTTTATACTCCCTTCATTGACGCCCAGAACAATGGCATAGGGTGAGCATTGAATACTTATTTGCTACGCGCATGAATGAATGAAGCTACGCTGCGAAGGCAGACTGCGTGGCTGCTGGTCCCGTGGCTGCTGGCCCCGCAGCATGTCTGCCGCCTTTTCAGCAGGCTTGCTGCATCTCCTCATTCCCTCACCTTTCTGGCAGTAAGGAGTTCCCACGTTTGCCCCGCTTCAGTGTCGTGGACTGGCAAAATGCTGTCTCTAAACCCCTCCACGCCTCAGGTAATCCGCTCATTTCTCACACAGACGCAGCTGTTTCCGAGGAATGTCCGGCCGAGCCCGCAGGGTGCGGGCAGCGAGTATCCTGGGACCTTCAGGGGAGGAGGTGGCTCCCACACCCCAATACCGTACAGAGAGTCCGAAGAGTCCGGGCCCTTATTTTTCCAATTCTTGGTAAACAACAAACATGCTCGCCCTCGCCTCCCCGTGCAGACGCCTCAGGGCCAACTCGGGCTTCGCCAGGCACCGAGAGCAGACAGAAGACGCCAAATGGCTATCACCAGGAGAGAGGGCGAGGCAGCCGCGCGGCGTATAGCGCTCGCCCTTCCCGCGCGCTCGGTCGCCCGACGCCTCACGCGCGAGGTTGCCTTGGCAGTGGCTGGAGGGCAGGTGGGGGCGCGTGCGCGCAGAAGGGCGGGGGAGGGACCACCGCGCGCCAGCAGGTGGGCGCGTTCTCCCGCGCGCGTGCGCGCGTCGAAGCCCTATACATCACGTTCCCCGAGAGCAGCGTCCCCTCCCCGCCGGGAGCGCGCGCCTCCCATCCTCGCGCCGGGTCCTGCTCGGTCTCTCAGAGCCGCACACTCCGCGGAGCTCCTGCCACAGCCGTCGCCTTCGCGGCGGCTCTCCAGCCCCGCGCCTCAGCCTCGGCGCCGCATCACCGCGTCCCAGGCCTCCTTCCCTCCCTCTGCCACTCCCCCTCCCTTTCCCGCTCTTCTTGCCCACCCGGCCGGCAGAGAGAGCCTGGATACGAAGCAGGCGGGCTTCAGAGTGGGTTGGAAAAATGGAGGTGCCGCGCCTGGATCATGCCCTCAACAGCCCCACCAGCCCCTGTGAGGAGGTGATCAAAAACCTCAGCCTGGAGGCCATTCAGCTGTGCGACCGGGACGGTAAGAGCGGCCGGGACCGCGAGGAAAGGGACAGAGTTCGCGCCGAGGCGCCGGGGCCACTCTGGCTCCGCCGACGCCGCTCGCCAGGGCGGCAGGGTCTTTTGTTGTCCCCTCTGTGCAAATAAATGCAGATGTGGGTTACCCTCCGCCCACCGCCCTCCCCTCACCCCAGAAACAAAAGGACCCCGGGGCTCGCGCCTTGGCGCGGAAAGTAGCCGTCCACAACCGTGGCGCCCTTCGCCGCCTTCGCCCGCCTGGCCCGGACGAGGGCGACGTTCCCGCTCGCGGCTCCTGCCCCGACGAGGCGTTTCCGATCTTTGCCGCAGTCCGGATTTCCTGGGTCTCTGGGCACTGAAGGGGAAATGCCCTCGGGATGTTTCTAGCAACCCCCTTCCCCCAACACACACACACTAGTTGGCATTCTCTTCCAGAAACTTATCATTTTCTTTTTTAAACCTCCCATCCTCAGACTCCCCAAATTAACAAGTCTTTTTAGCCTCTTGGATTGGGATTAGGATGACAGTTTTTCAGTGAGGGCGCAGAAAAACAGTGCATTTCAGCACCAAGGACAGACACAATCTTCATGGTTCCTGGGCTCTGAGTCAGACTGTCGAAAATATTGGCCTAATATATGTGCTGTGATTCAGACTTTGTGGCGAGTACGTACCATTGCGTGTTGATATTATATCGTTTATTCTGTTGTTGAAGTTGGCAGGCTCCTGTGGAAGGAAATTGATTGAATACAGGTCTGAGCGTTGAAGACATAAGCTAGTGCTGTGTGCGGTGTGGTTAGTTACAGTGCTTCTGGGTTAGCTGGACTAGTTAGAGTCTGCTACTTTAGTAATGTGGTACAAAACTTCATTTGTAAAGAAATCATTTGATTAGTAATTGGTTGGCCGAATAATTGTAAAATTCTACATCTGACAAAGGAAACACAGTTCACATGTTGTTAAGAGGGCCCCAAATACTTTTGACTGTAAATGAAATTAATGTTTAACTGTATATAGAGGTAATGATTGTAAAACATGTCTTTAACCAAAGTTATGTACAGATACTAATACGCTCACAGTAAGGTCATAAAATTTATCAGCCTAATCCAAATAGGGAGCAGAGGTCTTGTTTCCAAAGTCATTTAAATGGTAATCACTTGGTTACGCATTGCTATTCAGCACGTTTATATCAAGCAAGCACCGAATTTGTTTATTACTAAATTTTATATTTATTAATATAAATTTATATTTAATAATTTTGAAACCAGAATTCAAACTTTTTGAAACCAAAACCACTTTAATTTCTGATACAGGTGTAGTATATGAATAAATAAATACGTTTGCAAAGACAGCTTGTATTTCCTTTATTCTTAGACTGTTTTAGTCACCATGGTAGTAAGTGCACATATTTATGGTATCTAAAAACATTTATCATTTTGGTATTCCATATGTAAGCTTGCATGATTATAGACTGTAAAGATTATTTTTAATAACGCATAGGAAGTCATTTGGATTTTAGTTTAGACTTTTATGAAATGACTTTTTGTAATGTAACCATTGCAAGTTGTAAATATTTTTATTTTCTTAGGGTTGAGAGAAACACAAGACTAATAAAAGTAGACTTCATTTTTATTTATTGCAATGATAAAGCAAAAGCTCATTCTTGTACTCAATGGAATTAGGCATTCATTGTTGCTCTTCAGAACCCAGTAATCTCAATACTTAAAACCGCATTTACCACGTGTTTCAAAGATATTAGGGAAAATTTAAACTTTTTAATGAAGTTCACAGAGTTAAGAGAGTGCAAAAAATAATGCTGTATTTACTGTGATCCCCTAGAGGAGTAGCTATTTTATTCTGGTATTATTTTTTAGTTGTTTCTTTTCAAATTAGGAATCCCACAAAATGAACAAATTATGTAACATTTAATTTTGGGGAGGGTGCTGGCACTAAGTAACATCTATGAAAATTACTATTTGCAGACTTCCAAGTAATTTACATAGACTAATTAAATAGGGTTTTATTTTATAAAATAGTATACACCAACAAATACAAAGAGCTAACTCTTCTACTAGAAGATGTATAAAATTTGGAAATACTTTGTTTAGAGATGTTGTTAAATGCTTAACTTATTTTGTTATCCTATCTTACATGTCAATTCCAAAAATATTAACTTGGTTGGCTTCAAAGGGATAATTTAGGGGGAATAATGTCGTTTGTTTTTAATAGAACAGCATATGAAATGTTGCATTAAATTTGTCAAACAGACCTTACTTAGCATCATTTTGTATTGAGAGATTTTCAGCTAGTTGCTTTTTACTCCCTTTGCTTCCCTCCTTTCACTTTCTTTCCACTCAAGTCTCGTTATTTTACTTCTGTAACTATGTAACATAGAAAAGGATGTGGCAGAATATGGGACAGAAGATCTATTTTGTGTTTAAGTACCTAATAAGAGCTATATTTCATAATTTATGATAGAATACATTTATTTTGTTTGCTCTTTTCTCACTTTCTTTTAATCTACTGTTAATTTGGTGATGAAAAAAAATGAGAGAAACATTAATTCCCTGGAAGTGGAATAAAATAGAATAGGGGAAAGTATAGTTATGTTCTCCAATCAGAGATATTTTTAATTTTATAATGTTTTCATACTGTATCAACCAAGAGTTATGCCTGCTGGTGAACATAACTGTATATCTCTCTTATGTTTCATTGGATTTTTTTGTTTTTGTTTTTGTCTGTCACTTGCCTATTTTCCTATGAATTGATGATTACATTATAAACAATAATTCAATTTTTTTCATAGTTTCTAAAAATATTTAATAGTTTCTGAAGAATATGGGTTAGAGTCCACATGGTCATATAATTGGCTTTTCAATTAAGCAAGACAGTTACACACACACACACACACACACACACACACACACACACACACACTACCTCATGGATTGTCTTCCCTAGGCATGTGTACTTTGTTTGCCAGGACCTGGTCCTTGCCCAGGTATTACTCTGAAAATATACTGTAAATCCAGAGGTTTCTATTCCTATTGCAAGTAGAAGAGTATTTTTGTTTCTCCATCTCTGCTGTGCTGAAGTATACTCAAATTGCATACATGATGTACTTTTATTATGACTTTTCAAATAAAATGAAAGAGAAAATTTCTTGTTTGGAAACAATAATATGGGAGCCCATTTACAGTTTGATAGATACTTCAGACCTTCACTGACCTGTGACAAGACAAAACAGCTCCCACCCCACACACAGAATTTTATATTACTTGTGCTTTTCGTCTTTTAATCATATATATACACACACACACACACACACATACACACACATATATAATATATATATATAGAAAAAGTATATATATATATATATATATATATATATATATATATATATATATATACTTTTTCTTCCTCGTTGAACAGGAAAGATTTATCTACATGTTGCCTTACATGTATCTAAGCTGCCTCCAGCTTTGTTATAGTAAGGAAGAAAATACATAATTAATTTGTTTTAAAACATTTAAATCTACCCTCAAGGCTTCGTGGCTTTAACAAATATTATTTTCATGAGTCCGGCACTTTATGACTGTCCAGATACGGTATAAACCATAGGGTTTATGATGTAGTCAGCAAGGAAACACATTGGAAAGAAATTACACAGAAGCTAACAGATTTCCTTGTCTTTGTCTCTAACAATACTTACGTGGAAAAAATGGAGGAAAAAAAGATTTTATCTCTTTTACATATTTAAAAAGATAAATTTCTTTGAATGTTGAGTTTATCAAATTTATTTAAATTATAAGTCAATTAAGACCTCACTTATGTTATTGGCATGTGGATTAAACAAATTTTAACTTTGGAAATAAAAAGTAACAAATGCTTAATAGCACAGTGATGTTAGATAATCCGTAATGGCATTTTCTGAAGCAGACATCTAAGAGGAGTACCCATAACTGTTAACTTTAATAGTCTTTATTACAAGAATGTAAGGTAGTCATTACTCAGTCTCAGTGACATGCAGTGTAGCATAGTGATAATACCATTTTAGATCAGACCACCCCTGTTAGAATATTGGCTCTTGAAAGCCGTGTAACCTTAAATTACTTAACTTGTTTTAGCCTCAAGCTTTCTTATGTAAAGTGGGTATAATACCAATCCTGTAGGATTGTTTAAATAAGTAAAGCATTACTTTCATAGAATTTACCAGTGTTGATATTAATACAAAATAGACAGTAATAATTATTATTCTGAATGGAATATTGTCCACGTAACTTCTTGAATTGAACCACTGCTTTTTAAAATTTCTTTTTTGCCAGTGTCTAGGTCCTTGTCGTTTTTCTTAATTTCAGTTACATGTTATAGGAAATCACTTCAACTTCATGAGTAATTACTATAATCTGTAAATTCTGAATTTTAAAGAATAGTAAATTTTGAAATCACAATTATAGTACTCTTATCTTTTACTTCTCTTTTACCATCCTATCAGTAATATCTTTATCACCTTAGCCCTAAAAATTGTTTTCAGTTTCTAGTTCAAATCTGTCATTTGCTATTTTTCATGTGGCTTGTAACCTTGATGGTTGCTTTGTTTAGGTATTTGCCTTAGAGCCCTTCTCTGTTCTTAATTTACAATGTTTTTCTTTATTAACTTTTTCCAAGGATAGACATGTACTAGGACACGTAGCATGTAGATTAATTTCTTTGGCCCAAATATGACTATAGAGATATTAGTGAGTATGAAACAAAACAAAAATAAAATAAAAACTAAAAGAAACAAAAAATTTGGAAACCATCAGATTGTATTAAACCAATTCATATTCTTGGTAGGGTTCTAATTCATTCCCAGGGAAGACCAGGAAGTTACTAGAGCAAGTTACATCAAAGGATATGTGACCAGACTCCCTCCAGTGGTAGAATGACTGATGTGTTGTATGTTTAACGCTGGCAACTTACTTTGTTGCCTAGGTAGGCCCGGTCAGAAATTCACTCTCTATAGAATGCTATTTAGACAACATTCAAATTACTTGGTTTTATCTCTACTGATATTTCTTCCTAAATTAGGCCCAATGTTGCTTTTTCCTCTAACTTATGTGAGTATACTTTCCTGATTACTTTTATATTTCATCCTGGGCCTCGATAATAACAGCAGCTATGTCACTCATTGCAGCAAGCATAAATCCTTCTACTTTCTGGTTTTCCTTCTCTGCTTTTCTTTAGTAAATGCATAATATAAGTTTTGCCTTGTAGAATGTGCCTCCTTCTTGGATTTATTTTCCATTTCTGTTATATTGCTGTATGTGAATCTTTTTATCCTTTATTAATTAAATTCTATTTTTACTATAAAACCTATACCTCCTTTTTAAACTTTAAAATATTTCATTATTAGCATTATTATTATTGAGACGGAGTTTCGCTCTTTCACCCAGGCTGGAATGCAGTGGCGCAGTCTTGGCTCACTGCAACCTCCGCCTTCTGGTTTCACGTGACTCTCCTGCCTCAGCCTCCCAAGTAGCTAGGATTACAGGCACCCGCCACCACACCCAGCTAATTTTTGTGTTTTTAGTAGAGATGGGGTTTCACCATGTTGGCCAGGCTGGTCTTGAACTCCCGACCTCGTGATCTGCCCGCCTCGGCCTTCCAAAGTGCTGGGACAGTAGTTAAACCGTCCTTTGAGCAGACTATATTTTATATACATACATTTGAGAGTAAAATCAGTGTTTGGAGACAACTTAAATGTATAGAAGAATAGGACAGTCTGAGCAGAAAAAAATAGGTAGAAAGCTTCAGCATATTCTGTATATGTTAAGGGTAGGGACTGGAAATGGTATATAAGAAACCAAAAAAGAATCATGAGGAATTCATGATGATTGAAATTTCAGGCAACATGGAAAGTGATCAGGAGTAACTTCAGGATTTTAAGTCTGGGAAATCTGAAGAATCATTGACAGGAAAGGAGAAAAAGAGAAATAAAATAATTTTTAAACATCCTGATGACATTAATTTTTTACATCTCAGATTTTAGGAGCTGGTGAATATCCAAATATGTCCTAAGCACTTTTCTAGAGGCATATCTCTCTCATAGATATTGTTTTACCAGGATGATATTATATATACTGCTTTGTCATTATTGTTTCAGTGTGTTTCCCCATGAGATTACCCACTGATATTCTTTTGAGGCTTTTTTTTTTCTTCATTCTCACTCCTCAAAGGCTATACAAGGTCTGATGATAATACTGTGAGAATCAGTACAATATAAAACTAACCACTTAATAGTTTAGAGAGGATTGTGAAATAGTGATTTTTGAGCTATCTCCGTAAAGAGATTGTTGAATCTAAGGAGACATTTTTGAGAGATTAGTATAAAGCAAAAAGAATTTTTGAGTTATATGAAGATGTTTCAAATCTAACATTAAGAGAACCCTTAGAAACTTAAAAAGTCAGCAATTCTTGTGTTCTGGGGAAAAGAGTTCTAGAATGGGGAGAATTGCTCATAGAAACATATATTCCACTAGGGAGACTGGAAATTAAGTGAAAAGGGAAAGGTTAGGATGTAACTTCAGTTTTACAGTGACTTTTAATGTGCTTTGTATCTCACCCTTTGAGGGAAAGGGGTGGTCACATCCAACTTTAAACAACAAAGATGAAATAAATCTACAACCAGGTTTGTTACAAATGTAACTAAGAGCTCTGTATTTTGAAGATGCTCAACAGATGTGAGTTGAACCAAGAACGTCATACTTGGAATTGTCGTTAGTTTTGTTTGTTATGTTATGACTATTTGAGCCATGTAGTGGCTCATTTAAAAGGGGCTGCTCCGTGGGGATTGTGCATATACACCATTTGTTGTAGTGGTTGTGGCAACTAGTGTAAATAGATCTGTATTTTTGTTTTCTATAGCCTGTGGGAATGTTGCTCTCTAATAATAGTATGAAAAGCTTATAGTTTCCTTAGACATATGCCAATAAAAACAAGGCATAAAAGATTTTTCAGTATACTCTGATTTTTTTGAGAAATAGTGTCTCATCTTCCATGAATTTGAATATTGGTGAATCTCTCAGTCTTTAACATTTTAAAAGCTGTTGATAAATGCCAACAAGAATTATGTAACTTTTGATCATCTACTGTGCAATAGGTCCAATAGGTCCTTAATGGCTGCATTTTAGAGTTATATCTGTGATGCAGAACAGGGGCGTGCATGTTATGTTCCCTGGGCAAAATCCATAAGCCTGCTACCTGTTTTGGTAAGTATAATTTTATTGGAATACAGCCATACTCATTTGTTTACATACTGTCTATGGCTACTTTCTTGCTACAACAACAGGGCTGAGTAGCTGCAACAGACCACATAGCCCACAAACCTTAAAATACTTATTGTCTAGACCTTTATAGGAAAAGTTTGCCAACACCTAGTGCAGAAGATTGAGACATGAGTTAATCTCTCTTGATAGGAGTAAAAATATTGCAAAGAGAGTTTTTGGGAAAAAACTGTGTACTCATCTTACTTTTATATATTTCCAGGGTTTTGCGATTAGGCGAGTCAGGCAGAGAGATGTAGAGACTTGAATAATGTTATCAGGCAGTAAGTTAGTTCTGTATGGAGTCAGTCAGAGATGGGTGGTCCCCTATACCATTGCATCTGATAGGCAGTGACGGAAACAGGCCCTAGTTTTTTTTTTTTAATTTTTTTTATTGTATTATTATTATACTTTAAGTTTTAGGGTACATGTGCACAACGTGCAGGTTTGTTACATATGTATACATGTGCCATGTTGGTGTGCTGCACCCATTAACTCGTCATTTAGCATTAGGTATATTTCTTAATGCTATCCCTCCCCCCCTCCCCCAACCCCACAACAGACCCAGGTGTGTGATGTTCCCCTTTCTGTGTCCATGTGTTCTCATGGTTTAATTGCCACCTATGAGTGAGAATGTGCAGTGTTTAGTTTTTTGTCCTTGCGATAGTTTGCTGAGAATGATGGTTTCAAGCTTCATCCATGTGCCTACAAAGGACATGAACTCATCATTTTTTTTTTTTTTTTTTTTTTTTGAGACGGAGTCTCGCTCTGCCACCCAGACTGGAGTGCAGTGGCGGGATCTCGGCTCACTGCAAGCTCCGCCTCCCAGGTTCACGCCATTCTCCTGCCTCAGCCTCCCAAGTAGCTGGGACTACAGGCGCCCGCCACTACGCCCGGCTAATTTTTTGTATTTTTAGTAGAGACGGGGTTTCACCGTTTTAGCCGGGATGGTCTCGATCTCCTGACCTCGTGATCCGCCCGCCTCGGCCTCCCAAAGTGCTGGGATTACAGGCATGAGCCACCGCGCCCGGCCGAACTCATCATTTTTTATGGCTGCATAGTATTCCATGGTGTATATGTGCCACATTTTCTTAATCCAGTCTATCATTGTTGGACATTTGGGTTGGTTCCAAGTCTTTGCTATTGTGAATAGTGGCGCAATAAACATACGTGTGCATGTGTCTTTATAGCAGCATGATTTATAATCCTTTGGGTATATACCCAGTAATGGGATGGCTGGGTCAAATGGTATTTCTAATTCTAGATCCCTGAGGAATCGCCACACTGACTTCCACAATGGTTGAACTAGTTTACAGTCCCAGCAACAGTGTAAAAGTGTTCATATTTCTCCACATCCTCTCCAGCACCTGTTGTTTCCTGACCTTTTAATGATCGCCATTCTAACTGGTGTGAGATGGTATCTCATTGTGGTTTTGATTTGCATTTCTCTGATGGCCAGTAATGATGAGCATTTTTTCATGTGTCTGTTGGCTGCGTAAATGTCTTCTTTTGAGAAGTGTCTGTTCATATCCTTTGCCCACTTTTTGATGGGGTTGTTTGTTTTTTTCTTGTAAATTTGTTTGAGTTCATTGTAGATTCTGGATATTAGCCCTTTGTCAGATGAGTAGATTGCGAAAATTTTCTCCCATTCTGTATGTTGCCTGTTCACTCTGTTGGTAGTTTCTTTTGCTGTGCAGAAGCTCTTTAGTTTAATTAGATACTATTTGTCAATTTTGGCTTTTGTTGCCATTGCTTTTGGTGTTTTAGACATGAAGTCCTTGTCCATGCCTATGTCCTGAATGGTATTGCCTGGGTTTTCTTCTAGGGTTTTTATGGTTTTAGGTCTAACATTTAAGTCTTTAATCCATCTTGAATTAATTTTTGTATAAGGTGTAAGGAAGGGATCCAGTTTCAGCTTTCTCCATATGGCTAGCCAGTTTTCCCAGCACCATTTATTAAATAGGGAATCCTTTCCCCATGGCTTATTTTTGTCAGGTTTGTCAAAGATCAGATAGTTGTAGATATGTGGCATTATTTCTGAGGCCTCTGTTCTGTTCCATTGGTCTCTATCTCTGTTTTGGTACCAGTACCATGCTGTTTTGGTTACCGTAGCCTTGTAGTATAGTTTGAAGTCAGGTAGCATGATGCCTCCAGCTTTGTTCTTTTTGCTTAGGATTGTCTCGGCAATGTGGGCTCTTTTTTGGTTCCATATGAACTTTAAAGTAGTTTTTTCCAATTCTGTGAAGAAAGTCATTGGTAGCTTGATGGGGATGGCATTGAATCTATAAATTACCTTGGGCAGTATGGCCATTTTCACGATATTGATTCTTCCTATCCATAAGCATGGAATGTTTTTCCATTTGTTTGTGTCCTCTCTTATTTCCCTGAGCAGTGGTTTGTAGTTCTTGAAGAGGTCCTTCACATCCCTTGTAAGTTGGATTCCTAGGTATTTTATTCTCTTAGTAGCAGTTGTGAATGGGAGTTCACTCATGATTTGGCTCTCTGTTTGTCTGTTATTGGTGTATAAGAATGCTTGTGATTTTTGTACATTGATTTTTTATCCTGAGACTTTGCTGAAGTTGCTCATCAGCTTAAGGAGATTTTGGGCTGAGACAATGGGGTTTTCTAGATATACAATCATGTCATCTGCAAACAGGGACAATTTGACTTCCTCTTTTCCTAATTGAATGCAGTTTATTTCCTTCTCCTGCCTGATTGCCCTGGCCAGAACTTCCAACACTATGTTGAATAGGAGTGGTGAGAGAGGGCATCCCTGTCTTGTACCAGTTTTCAAAGGGAATGCTTCCAGTTTTTGTCCATTCAGTATGATATTGGCTGTGGGTTTGTCATAGATAGCTCTTATTATTTTGAGATACGTCCCTTCAATACCTAATTTATTGAGAGTTTTTAGCATGAAGTGTTGTTGAATTTTGTCAAAGGCCTTTTCTGCATCTATTGAGATAATCATGTGGTTTTTATCTTTGGTTCTGTTTATAGGCTGGATTACGTTTATTGATTTGCGTATGTTGAACCAGCCTTGCATCCCAGGGATGAAGCCGACTTGATTATGGTGGATGAGCTTTTTGATGTGTTGCTGGATTCGGTTTGCCAGTATTTTATTGAGTATTTTTTGCATCAATGTTCATCAAGGATATTGGTCTAAAATTCTCTTTTTTTGTTGTGTCTCTGCCAGGCTTTGGTATCAGGATGATGCTGGCCTCATAAAATGAGTTAGGGAGGATTCCCTCTTTTTCTGTTGATGGAAATAGTTTCAGAGGAAATGGTACCAGCTCCTGCTTGTACCTCTGGTAGAATTTGGCTGCGAATCCATCTGGTCCTGGACCTTTTTTGGTTGGTAAGCTATTAATTATTGCCTCAATTTCAGAGCCTGTTATTGGTCTATTCAGAGATTCAACTTCTTCCTGGTTTAGTCTTGGGAGGGTGTATGTGTCGAGGAATTTATCCGTTTCTTCTAGATTTTCAAGTTTATTTGAGTAGAGAGGTTCATAGTATTCACTGATGGTAGTTTGTATTTCTGTGGGATCGGCAGTGATATCCCCTTTATCATTTTTTATTGTGTCTATTTGATTCTTCTCTCTTTTCTTCTTTATTAGTCTTGCTAGCGGTCTATCCATTTTGTTGATCTTTTCAAAAAACCACCTCCTGGATTCATTGATATTTTGAAGGGTTTTTTGTGTCTCTATCTCCTTCAGTTCTGCTCTGATCTTAGTTATTTCTTGGCTTCTGCTAGCTTTTGAATGTGTTTGCTCTTGCTTCTCTAGTTCTTTTAATTGTGATGTTAAGGTGTCAATTTTAGATCTTTCCTGCTTTCTCTTGTGGGCATTTAGTGCTATAAATTTCCCTCTACACAATGCTTTGAATGTGTCCCAGAGATTCTGGTATGTTGTGTCTTTGTTCTCATTGGTTTCAAAGAACATCTTTATTTCTGCCTTCATTTTGTTATGTACCCGGTAGTCATTCAGGAACAGGTTGTTCGTTTTTCATGTAGTTGAGCGGTTTTGAGTGAGTTTCTTAATCCTGAGTTCTAGTTTGATTGCACTGTGGTCTGAGAGATAATTTGTTATAATTTCTGTTCTTTTACATTTGCTGGGGAGGGCTTTACTTCCAACTATGTGGTTAATTTTGGAATAGGTGCGGTGTGGTGCTGAAAAGAATGTATATTCTGTTGATTTGGGGTGGAGAGTTCTGTAGATGTCTATTAGGTCCGCTTGGTGCAGAGCTGAGTTCAATTTCTGGATATCCTTGTTAACTTTCTGTCTCATTGATCTGTCTAATGTTGACAGTGGGGTGTTAAAGTCTCCCATTATTATTGTGTGGGAGTCTAAGTCTCTTTGTAGGTCACTAAGGACTTGCTTTATGAATCTGGATGCTCCTGTATTGGGTGCATATAAATTTAGGATAGTTAGTTCTTCTTGTTGAATTGATCCCTTTACCATTATGTAATGGCCTTCTTTGTCTCTTTTGATCTTTGTTGGTTTAAAGTCTATTTTATCCGAGACTAAGATTGCAACCCCTGCCTTTTTTTGTTTTCCATTTGCTTGGTAGATCTTCCTCCATCCCTTTATTTTGAGCCTATGTGTGTCTCTGCACGTGAGATGGGTTTCCTGAATACAGCACACTGACAGGCCCTAGTTTTAACTTGAAATCTAGCCTTCATATAAATAAGTTTAGAAAGAAATGCTATATATGCACATGCGTTTCCAGGTACACTTATAATTCTATCAATAGATATGTTTTAAAAAGTGTCAAATGTAGTGTGAACTTTGAGAAATATGTATAATTATATTGATGCATATTACAAAAATTTATGTAAATATCATATTATTCCTTTGAAACCAAACTCTCCTTAAAAAAGAGTCAAGATCATATTCATCTTTCTGTCTTCCATAGTCTATCTCAAGCTGTCTGTAAATGACCCTCTTATTTTTCTTTTTTAATTTCCAATCTGTTACAGTCTGAAACTTATTAAGAACATTGAAAAAGAATTTCTAGAAAAATGAAATTAAAATGATACAAATGAATCCAACAGAAGTAAAATTCACTGTTAAATTGCTTTAAAAGTTTCTAAATGCTTAATCCTAATTTTTATATTTAATTTCATCACAGATTGATAGTTTGTAGACTATTGCTTGTGGGTAGACCACATTTTTAAGTAGCACCAGCTAGAGGACCATGCCATTCTATTCTTGTTCAATGATTAATTTATAGGAACTTCCCTTAGCCAGTTAAGAGTCTACTTTGTTTTCTTTTGTTCTTCTACTTACTATTTTTATTATTTATTTTTACATGCATTCCAACTTTAGGTTCTGAATTAAGAACAGGAAAAAAGGACACAAAAATGGATATAACTTGGATTCTGGGTTCAAAGGATTTAGGAAGACAATTTATTTTGAGAATCAATATATTTAAGTAGATAATTATAATAATATTTGATAAATACTATAATGGAGTATAGAAGAGAAAGTGGTTATTTCTATCTTGAGTCTAAGGAGCAACATTTTATTGAGGGTTAAAAGTAAAATAAAAATTTGCCAGAAGAAAAAGTAGGAGAGGGGTATTTCTGGCTGAGATAAGAGAATAAACAAAGGCTTAAAATCATGTATTCTGGGAATGCATAGCATTTGGTATTGCTGGAGGAAAGAAGTGTGCCTGGTGGAAAATTAAGCTGAAAGCTAGTTGCAGCTAGCTAGGTTATGCCATGATTAGGATTTTGGATTTATTATCTTAGATTTCAAACTTTCTAATTTGTGGAGAACGTTTGTTTTATTATATAACATTGTGTAATAAGTAAAAGTAGCATTTTATTGTGTAATTGTACTATAATTTTATACGTACAGCATTTTTCAAATAGTCAATCAGTGGTATAGTGGGAATTTAAATTAGCAGCTATGCTTGAAAGTTGCTATTTTATATCAGCTTCAGCATCCACTATATTTCTGTATCTTATTTTTATTGCATTATATTTTGAAAATTCTGGTTCATACAAATAAGTGGTGGCAAATTGTAATGTTTTTAAGTCATCTGGCCTTTTCAGGATATTCTTCAAATAAACTGATCAAGACCAAAAAGAGAAATATTCAGATTTTTGTCAAAGTAGAATAATGAAAGAATAAATGTTTCATTTGAGGGTAAGTGACAGAATCGATTCATCAGTCATTTCATTTTTCATTGTTTGATGATAAAATTCTGTATCTTGTATCATTCTGAGATATTTATTGATAACATTTTTAAAACTCATACTTTTCTGCTGATTCTGTTAAAATTTCAGAACAGTTGATTTATTTTCCTTGCATGATGAATCTTAACTGTAAGAATCAATTTCATTTCTGAAAATTTATTTGCATTATAAGCTTGGTAATATTGTGACTATATTGTCAAATTGAATTTCTTCAGCTTATTAAAGAGCTGGATAATCAAATTGGTTTTCCCTAGTTACTTATATTTGAAAGATACTTATCAGAGTTTTTAAAAATTACATTTAGAAAGTGTTTCTTGTTTTTCGAAGAATATTTATACCTTGATTCAGGACACCCAGCTAAGTTTGGTATGAAAAATGAGCTTTGAAATTTTCTGTTCTTAACCTTACAATTAGCTCAGAAAAAAATCCCCGACTTCAGTGTAAAGGATAGTTTAAATGTGATTATCCAAAACTATTTTTTAAATATCTAAATATCTAATCCTTATTAGTGTATAATTACTACTTGATGAAATCTGGCAACAACTTTTACAGGAGCTACCATTCCTGTGATTTTTTATGTTATCTATTTTCCTCAATATAGTTGTCTCAATATTTCTGACAGTTTAGTTAGTGGTGTGTTAAAAATTGGTTTAGACATTAACATTTTCTTCTCCATTGTGTATTGTTTTACGATTTCTGAATTTACCTAGTTAAAAAACTTGTGCAAAAGCAAATGTAGAGATCTGACCCATATATATTCTCATTGAGTTAAATTGGAAAGATCTTACATAATCTCAGCATTTGAATTAACTAGGTATATGCGATGAATATTTTTTGTATTACATTTTCAGGTATGTACCAATATTTTGTTTCAGTTTTTTGACAGCAGCTCACTCATTTAACATTTGTTGCAGTATCAATAATGCAACATTTGATAAGGTTTTCTCTAATTGTGTATGCTTTTGTTCATAGGTGATAACTTTATTCTGATTACATTTTAGTCATTAGATTTGCAGTAACTTCAGTCACTGTATGTTTTACTGAAAATTTATGGAATTGTCAGCAACCATATCACTATTTTGCCAAACTTTGTTATAAAAAACCCAATGAAAAGTTGTCAGTTTTTATCACTACAATGTAAGTCTTAATGATAGATGACTATCATTATATTTTAGCCTTGAGTGACTATTCCTGAGAGCTTCCAGCATATTTATTTCATTTTGAACATAGTTGCCACTGTGGTCAATATATGCTGAAAACTCAACAGGTACTAATTAATAGTAAGACTTAATATATCTTGAGTCAAATAAGTAACAACATATCCATTTTAAATTTGTCTGTTATTTCCTGTTTTCAGCCAGTTTCATTTCTAGTTTTAGAGATAATTATTTCATTTCCTATACTGGAAAAAGTATAACTTTATCCCAAACAAGAATAACTTTATCAGAATACAATTAGAGAAGAAATATGCAAATTTCATAGTAAACTCTTAATCTGTTTAAGAGAGGAAGGGCCAAACAGTTGAACCAGAGCCTTACCTACAACTAATTGAACTCTGCATTCAAATACATAATGTCTTTGTAAAACTTTACTTGAGCGTATACTTGCTGGCTTGAATTTAAACAAACACACATGAAACAGAGTTACACCTTTTATTAGCACATGGTGCCATTTTGTGCACTGAGGTAGCAGGCAAAGTCTTCTTTTGATGTTTACCCAAAATAACAGAGGACAATTTAATATTTGCTATTTGTATTACAGTTTAAAAATAGTTTTAAAATAATTAAAAAGGAAGTTAAATGATAATGTTTGATACACTTCTCAGTCACCTCTTTATTAAAAAATATTTAAGTCATTGGTCAGTGGTTCTCAAAATTTATCACCTAGACGGCTTACTAAAATAGATTGCTGGGACCCATCCCCTGAGTTTCTGATTCCTTAGATCTGGATGGAGCCCAAGAATTTGCATTTCTAACAAATTTCTAGGGGATGTTGGTGTTGGTGATCCAGGGTCCAGACTTACAGAAGCAATGCTTTTGGTAGCATGACCAAAGAATTTCTTAGGTGGGGAAGAGATATTGGATATTTGTTGTTTAGATACAGTGTTCTGACATCCATTGGATGAATGAACTGGGATATTGAACTCAAGAGAGTGTAACTACCTAAATGGCAATTATAGATAATAAGTAGGATTTTTAAGACAAGATAGATAAAAATTAGGGGTGGAATTAAACAACATTTCTGAGACAAAAATCTGTTAACTTTGTGATCAAACTGGAAGTGTGGCATATGAAAAAGGAGTTGTTGAGGATGACTAAATTTGCTAGATTTGGAGATGGGGTACATTTTGATACCAGCAAATAAAATAGGAATTTTTAACTGGGGGGAATATTAAAGAGTAGGCTTGAAGACAAGCGATTACAGTTCTTTCTGGACCAGTTAGATTTCAATATCTGTGGAATATCTAGATGGAAATTTTCAGAAGGCTGTTAGAAATTTTCATCTGTGTCTCATAGGGAGAGAGTTTGAGAATAAAGATGAAAATTTGGTAGTACTCTCTGAGTTATTTTCTCTTGTTATATTTCTTCTTCATCAAGTGTTCTTCCTTCATCTTCCAGTCAGTCTTTGAGACCCATATGAGGTTTTTCAACTGCTCATTAGAGTGAGTACATTAGAATGCTTATGCCTTTTGTGTACATGTGTGGTGTCTGAAAGGATCATTTGGAAATTAATTACTTTAGATATAATTATATTTGGTAGGTTGTGGTTATTTGGGGCAGTTAACATGGAAGAAATACAATTAACCTAAGCTCTGTGCTTGATAGATTTCTCCCCCTTATTTTGACTGACAAGAGAACTAAGTGTATGATTATCTGTGCTTACTGTAGAAATACACTGGATTAATTTTTTCCCCTTAAGCAACATAATCTGTGTTGCATAAAATAAATACAGTGCATAAAATAAATGAACTGGTGGAACTCAAATTAGCAGAAAAACAGTGACAGTGAAGCCTAAAGAAAAATTAAAATCTTCAGCAAATCTGTGTCTAAGGCTTTCAAATTGAACACATATGTCCAAGATTTTCTTTTTGACCTTGAACCTACTAATTTTCATGTTTACTAGGGTATTTGTTGAGTGCTAGGCTACAATAAGACATAGTCTCTTTTTTTAAACTTATTTTTCTTGCAGACTCTTTTTGTTTAAGCTTAGATAAACCTTCCATTTTAATAAATATGGTTTTTTAGTTTTTGTATAACATTTTCAAGCTGTGCTAAGGCTGAATATTTGAGCCTATTTCTATATATTTTCTTCTGGTGTAATTCAGTATATCCAATGTTAATTTATGTGGTGCTTGTTAGCTTGATACAACTTTTTTGGCTGTTATTTTTGGTGATTAAAAAAGGAAGCCCTAATGACTAAAAAAGCAGTGGTTCTGGAATTTGCTGTTTATACTACTTGTTTTGCTAAAAGCTTTACATATTTACATTCTAATGATCAAATTTACAGAATTGAAATTAAGCTTAAAATAATGATAAACGTTCCAAATTCCAAATACAATTTAGCTACTTCTTCTAGAACTTTTGTTTTGCACTATGTATTGTAGAAGTATTTCTTTACCTATATGTTTTTTTTTTTTTTTTTTTTTGAGGCAGTCTTGCCCTGTTGCCCAGGCTGGAGTGCAGTGGTGTGATCTTGGCTCACTGCAATCTTTGCTTCCCAAGTTCAAGCAATTCTCCTGCCTCAGCCTCCTGAGTAGCTGGGATTACAGGTGTGCACCACCACACCCAGCTAATTTTTTTGTATTTCTAAGATATTTATTTTTCTAAGAGCTTCATATGGATCCACCATTGAATGTTTTCCTTTGCTACCCTCATAATAGTTTCAAGAATGTTTTCCAATTTCTTTTCCTATAGTGTTAATACTTTTCTATTTTAATTTTCTGACATAGAAACACCACCTAGTTTCACTCTAATATGATAATATTTTAATGAGAATTTTAAATATATTTCCCTGAATGCATGCATAGTGCTATTTAGTGCAGATAATGTGTGTGTATTTATTTTCATTGCACTGTGAAATGCTGATGTGCCATATTTTAAGGAAATCTGAAATATCTAAACTTAGAAAACACATTAATCAGGGAATAGTTATTTTCCCTGCAATAGTGTTCTCTGTCAGTTCTGCAGTGTTCTTCGTTGTTTCTTTCAGAAGGATTTGACAAAAAGGCAAAATGGCAGTGAAATGTGATACCAACTAATTTGTCTTAAAACAACGGTTTCTTAAGTTATCTCTGAAATTTTTATGAGAGGAAGTATATGCTAGACATTGGAAATTCAAAGATCCAGCATTTTTAACTTCACCTATTTATAGGCCATGTCAAAGGTAGCTAAATCGGATAATTTATTGACAATTTTAATAGCATGCTAGACAGCTGAATTTCTGGCATTTACCTGTGAGTGTAGAAAGCTTGTTGCCCAGCATTTCTGTCAATGTTTCTTTATATTTTATTTGAGCATACAGAATTCTTGTGAAATGTCAAAAACATTATTTTTAAGTAAAAAATGACCCCTGAGAAAGAAAAGTGTGGAATATAAGAAAACAGAAAGGGGGAAAGGATTTGTTAAAAGTGTTTTACAAAATATTTGCACTGACTAATGTTATTATATTAATTATGTAATTTAAGGTATTGTTTAATTTATTTTGGTGCTAGAATTTAATTGCTTTTAAAATGACTTTTATTCTCACATTATCATTAAGAGTCTGTGAATGCATTGTGTAGGGGATGAAAATGTCTTTCCTTCTCATCTTAGGTTCATGGCTGAGGCCACATAACAAAAGACTAACAAGAGAAAAGCATACAAATTTATGTAATATAAGCTGTGCATGACGTGGGAGCCTTCATAAGGAAATGAAAACCCAAAGAAATGGGTAAAACCTATGTATTTTTTAATGTTAGGTTTGATGAAGAGTGGACAGTCATGGAGAAGTATAATTGGAAGACAAACGCGTATGATTTCATGGTAATAAGCTGGTGGGAACTTCACAAGACTTGTTTCTTCAGATTCACCTCTGTGTCCTATGTCTTCAGAGATAAGGATATTCTTTTCCTCCAGGTATAGGGAGGCCATCTCTCCAGTGAAGGTCTTATGACCTGCCTCAGGGGAGAAGGGTAGGAGAAGGAGTGACCTTCCTGCTTCTGTTGTTTTCTCAAATTCTTTCAGCTGAAAGTATTTTAGGGTACCATGTCTCGAAACCCATTGCTTACTAACATTTTTCTGTTGTATTCTACTACTTGGTAAATTATATGCTTTAATTGTTTTTACATATGTAAAGACTTTGAAAAGTATCCTTTGTAAATGCCATGGTTATATTGTAATGGTCTTCAAGTGATGTTTATGAACTCCAGAAGGCATAATAGATAATCAATTGGACCATGGAATAAAGTAATAGAACTTTTGTTAATGTTTATTTTTATATTATCTAGAATAAGAAAAAGTTTTATTAATGTTAGCTATAGAGCTTAATACTTGATATATCAAACTGTCACATATACTCTATGTGCATGAGGTACATGTGTATAATTGGTATATGCTTAGTGTTTTGTACATACAGATAGTGATGTACTTTCCCAGCCTGATGTACCCATTCTTGTGTGATACCTTTTCCAACTGTGATAGCCCTTAAAACAAAGTATCTAAATAAACTGAATTTAGAATTGGTCATTGAATTGCTGTGTCACAAAATGTTAAACCAAGTTTATCAAAATAACACATATTCATATATTTTTAGTAAAATGTTTTTATTCTGAAGTAGATAAAAATAAAATATTTAAAATTATTTTGTATTTTATAATTTTAAATTGCTATTTTGCCCAGTCTATAATGTACATAATATATTAGTATATATATATATGTATAATTTATAAAGAAATGACTGCACTTATGAGTACACTGTCAACATTTTTTTTTTTTTTTTTGAGATAGAGTCTTGCTCTGTTGCCCAGGCTGGAGTGCAGTGGTGTGAATCTCGGCTCACTGCAAGCTCCACCTCCCGGGTTCACGCCATTCTCCTCACACCTCAGCCTCCTGAGTAGCTGGGACTACAGGCACCCACCACCACGCCAGGCTAATTTTTTGTATTTTTAGTAGAGATGGGGTTTCACCGTGTTAGGCAGGATGGTCTTGATCTCCTGACCTTGTGATCCGTCCGACTTGGCCTCCCAAAGTGTGGTATTACACGTGTGAGCCACCGCGCCCGGCCAAGTACACTGTCAACATTTTTTATGCAGGGGTATGAGATGAAAAAAGTTTTAAGAATAGATTTGTATTATATTCTATTTTTGTACGTCTTGCTTTACACAGCAAGGTATATCTGTAATAAATAAATCCACCCAATGTATTCAAAGATGGATTTCATTACACAATTATATACTCTTTATTGTCAAAAAGATTTCTTAAATGCGTATTTTAACGTGATGTTGTATATAGCAATTTAGATGAATTCCCTGGGCTCTGGAGGTAAACAGTTCAAGATAATTTTTAGTTATGTATATGAAATCTCAATCTAGGTGCTCATCAAGGAGCTAAAACAACACCACAAATTTAGAAGCATGTTGCTATTCACTGCTACCTATGATAGTCCTGTTTTCCAAAAGATGTTCTCATTATCCTCCCCAGTTTCTCAGGCATTGACCTTCAGGGGCATTCTTCACATAAAATATTAAGATAAAAATCCCTTGAATTCTATCTCCTCAGTGGTCTGATCTTATTTTACATCTTATAACTTTATAACTGAGTAACAAAATTTCCTTTATGATCTGGCCATCACCAATCTTCTGTTCCTCCAGTCCCATCTTATTCTTTCTCTGAAAATAATCTTTTGAGAATAAGTTTTCAGTACCTGTCTTCCCTGTTAAGAAACCTTAAACCTTAATTCAAATGCAACATATATATGGACTTTCATGAACCTCTTTTTAGGGTCATTTGGTTTTGGCATCTGTTACCCTGTTGTGCAAAACTTCACCTGGCTGACTAGTAAGCTCTACTTTTTTTTTCCTACATTTTGTGAGTTTTCTTTCCAAAATTTCACTAAGTTCAAAGTGAACTGCTTTTCCATGTATAATGCATGTCTGTACCTTTGTGCCAGGGCCAGCATTCCCTGCTTTTACTCTTCTTTAACATTTATAACCATCTTCTTCTATTCTGGCTGTGCTACCATATTTATTGTCTTTGAGTCAACACTTTACTTTTACTTATTTAGGATTGTGTATGTTGGTTACAATTACCAACAATTCCAGGGCCTACTTTCCTTTACATTTGGTCTTAAAATGTTGCTACCTGTTTTCATTGACATCTACCTTATCTCCAAACTATTTTGTGCTCCTCTTACATATTATTTATATTCATTACTTTTTATTTTAACCTAGGTCAAATAATGAAGTTTCATTTGTGTGTTTTTATTGCCAGCTACTCAGGGTTGTGCTTGAGGCTTGATTTGCATTTATGTCCTCTTGTGGTATGGAGCACAGAGATAGAATGGGCACAGGAAGATGAACTTAGATCTCTTTATTTTTTTTAAGTATTTCTAAAGCAGTAATCTTTTTTTATTATTATTATACTTTAAGTTCTAGGGTACACGTGCACAACGTGCTGGTTTCTTACATATGTATACATGTGCCATGTTGGTGTGCTGCACCCGTTAACTCATCATTTACATTACGTATATCTCCTAATGCTATCCCTCCCCCCTACCCCCACCCCATGACAGGCCCAGTGAGTGATGTTCCCCTTCCTGTGTCCAAGTGTTCTCATTGTTCAATTCCCACCTATGAGTGAGAACATGCGGTGTTTGGTTTTTTTGTCCTTGCGATAGTTTTCTGAGAATGATGGTTTCCAGCTTCATCCATGTCCCTACAAAGGACATGAACTCATCATTTTTTATGGCTGCATAGTATTCCATGGTGTATATGTGCCACATTTTTTTTAATCCACTCTATCATTGATGGACATTTGGGTTGGTTCCAAGTCTTTGCTATTGTGAATAGTGCCGCACTGAACATACATGTGCATGTGTCTTTATAGTAGCATGATTTATAATCCTTTGGGTATATACCCAGTAATGGGATGGCTGGGTCAAATGGTATTTCTAGTTCTAGATCCTTGAGGAATCGCCACACTGTCTCCCACAATGGTTGAACTAGTTTACAGTCCCACTAACAGTGTAAAAGTGTTCCTATTTCTCCACATCCTCTCCAGCACCTATTGTTTCCTGACTTTTTAATGATCGCCATTCTAACTGGTGTGAGATGGTATCTCATTGTGGTTTTGATTTGCATTTCTCTGATGACCAGTGATGATGAGAGTTTTTTCATGTGTCTGTTGGCTGCATAAATGCCTTCTTTTGAGAAGTGTCTGTTCATATCCTTTGCCCACTTTTTGATGGGTTTGTTTGATTTTTTTCTTGTAAATTTGTTTGAGTTCTTTGTAGATTCTAGATATTAGCCCTTTGTCAGATGAGTAGATTGCGAAAATTTTCTCCCATTCTGTACGTTGCCTGTTCACTCTGATGGTAGTTTCTTTTGCTGTGCAGAAGCTCTTTAGTTTAATTAGATCCCATTTGTCAATTTTGGCTTTTATTGCCATTGCTTTTGGTGTTTTAGACATGAAGTCCTTGCCCATGCCTATGTCCTGAATGGTATTGCCTAGGTTTTCTTCTAGGGTTTTTATGGTTTTAGGTCTAACATTTAAGTCTTTAATCCATCTTGAACTAATTTTTATATAAGATATAAGGAAGGGATCCAGTTTCAGCTTTCTACATATGGCTAGCCAGTTTTCCCAGCACCATTTATTAAATAGGGAATCCTTTCCCCATTTCTTGTTTTTGTCAGGTTTGTCAAAGATCAGATGGTTGTAGATGTGTGGTATTATTTCTGAGGCCTCTGTTCTGTTCCATTGGTCTCTATCTCTGTTTTGGTGCCAGTACCTTGCTGTTTTTGTTACCGTAGCCTTGTAGTATAGTTTGAAGTCAGGTAGCGTGATGCCTCCAGCTTTGTTCTTTGGCTTAGGATTGTCTTGGCAATGAGGGCTCTTTTTTGGTTCCATATGAACTTTAAAGTAGTTTTTTCCAATTCTGTGAAGAAAGTCGTTGGTAGCTTGATGGAAATGGCATTGAATCTATAAATTACCTTGGGCAGTATGGCCATTTTCACGATATTGATTCTTCCTATCCATGAGCATGGAATGTTCTTCCGTTTGTTTGTATCCTCTTTTATTTCTTTGAGCAGTGGTTTGTAGTTCTCCTTGAAGAGGTCCTTCACATCCCTTGTAAGTTGGATTCCTAGGTATTTTCTTCTCTTTGAAGCAATTGTGAATGGAATTTCACTCATGATTTGGCTCTCTGTTTGTCTGTTATTGGTGTATAAGAATGCTTGTGATTTTTGCACCTTGATTTTGTATCCTGAGGCTTTGCTGAAGTTGCTTATCAGCATAAGAAGATTTTGGGCTGAGACGATGGGGTTTTCTAGATGTACAATCATGTCATCTGCAAACAGGGTCAATTTGACTTCCTCTTTTCCTAATTGAATACCCTTTATTTCTTTCTCTTGCCTGATTGCCCTGGCCAGAACTTCCAACATTATGTTGAATAGGAGTGGTGAGAGAGGGCATCCCTGTCTTGTGCCAGTTTTCAAAGGGAATGCTTCCAGTTTTTGTCCATTCAGTATGATATTGGCTGTGAGTTTGTCATAAACAACTCTTATCATTTTGAGATACATCCCATCAATATCTAATATATTGAGAGTTTTTAGCATGAAGCGCTGTTGAATTTTGTCAAAGGCCTTTTCTGCATCTATTGAGATAATCATGTGGTTTTTATCTTTGGTCCTGTTTATATGCTGGATTACTTTTATTGATTTGCGTATGTTAAACCAGCCTTGCATCCCAGGGATGAAGCCAACTTCATTGTGGTGGATAAGCTTTTTGATGTGCTGCTGGATTTGGTTTGCCAGGATTTTATTTTGGATTTTTGCATCGACGTTCATCAGGGATATTGGTCTGAAATTCTCTTTTTTGATTTTGTCTCTGCCAGGCTTTGGTATCAGGATGGTGCTGGCCTCATAAAATGAGTTAGGGAGGATTCCCCCTTTTTCTACTGATCGGAATAGTTTCAGAAGGAATGGTACCAGCTCCTCCTTGTACCTCTGGTAGAATTCGGCTGTGAATCCATCTGGTCCTGGACTTTTTTTGGTTGGTAAGCTATTATTTACTGCCTCAATTTCAGAGCCTGTTATTGGTCTATTTAGCCATTCAACTTCTTCCTGGTTTAGTCTTCGGAGGGTGTATGTGTCGAAGAATTTATCCATTTCTCCTAGATTTTCGAGTTTATTTGCATAGAGATGTTCATAGTATTCTCTGATGGTAGTTTGTATTTCTGTGGGATCGGCAGTGATATCCCCTTTATCATTTTTTATTGTGTCTATTTGATTCTTCTCTCTTTTCTTCTTTATTAGTCTTGCTAGCGGTCTATCCATTTTGTTGATCTTTTCAAAAAACCAGCTCCTGGATTCATTGATATTTCGAAGGGTTTTTTGTGTCTCTATCTCCTTCAGTTCTGCTCTGATCTCAGTTATTTCTTGGCTTCTGCTAGCTTTTGAATGTGTTTGCTCTTGCTTCTCTAGTTCTTTTAATTGTGATGTTAGGATGTCAATTTTAGATCTTTCCTGCTTTCTCTTGTGGGCATTTAGTGCTATAAATTTCCCTCTACACAATGCTTTGAATGTGTCCCAGAGATTCTGGTATGTTGTGTCTTTGTTCTCATTGGTTTCAAAGAACATCTTTATTTCTGCCTTCATTTTGTTATGTACCCGGTAGTCATTCAGGAACAGGTTGTTCGTTTTCCATGTAGTTGAGTGGTTTTGAGTGAGTTTCTTAATCCTGAGTTCTAGTTTGATTGCACTGTGGTCTGAGAGACAATTTGTTATAATTTCTGTTATTTTACATTTGCTGAAGAGAGCTTTACTTCCAACTATGTGGTCAATTTTGGAATAGGTGTGATGTGGTGCTGAGAAGAATGTATATTCTGTTGATTTGGGGTGGAGAGTTCTGTAGATGTCTGTTAGGTCCGCTTGGTGCAGAGCTGAGTTCAAGATCTCTTCAATATTTGCTTTCTCATTTTGTTAGAGGCTGTCAGTTCTTGGGCCAATCCTAATGTGGTATGATGATTTTGAGTAATCAGAGTGTAATGAATCCTTCCTAATTCTAGTTTCAGCCATTGAATAATGAAATTTGGAATTAAAATAAAATGCTTACTAATGATTTATCATAATTATGAATTAAAATATTACAGGTGAATCTGGGCCTTGATATTTTTAAAGTTATAAATATATTTGAAACCTTACTTGAAGATTAGAGGTTTATCATTTATTTTTAAATAATCTATCAGAGAAATATATAGGAAGTTCTCCTAACTGACTTGTGGTAGAGTTAGGGGTCATAAGAGTAAAGCAAAAGAATTTGAAGGATAAATAGAAGTTAGGAAGGAAAAGTTGAGAAAATATATGAGCTATTGGGAGATAGTAGTAAACAGTGAGTGAAAGATTACATAGGCAGTAATAGACCAGGTATAAGGAATCACTCCAACGAAGGCTTAGTAGTGACTGGGGTTAGGGTAAGATTGAGAGTTAGATGAGATTATGTTAGAGATGAAAATATGCCAGGTCTTGAAGGACTAGTTTAAAATATTATCCCAAAGGAGTGGGGGTTGAAAAATTACCCACCGGGTACAATGTCTAATATTTCAGTAATAGGGTACACTAGAAGCCCATCCCCCACCGTTATGCATATATTATCCATGTAACAAACACATGTACCCCAGAATCTAAAATAAAAATGTTTTAATAAAATTTAAAAATATAAAAAGTTATTCCATGTCAACTTTTTTACATGATTAGCCAAGGAAAAATTTGAAGCATTAGAGTAACATTGTCTTCACATGAATGGTTGGGAGGAGAATTTCAACAATTATTGTTCAGATAATTAAACCTCAAATAACTTTTGCTGAATGACTTGGGTAATTTAGATATGTGTGTCTGTGCTTCCTTATTCTGAATGATACCACTTTTATACCATTTTGGTGTGCTTATACAGCTTTGAGTGCTTAAATAGTATTACATTTTATAACCAGAATTAAGGAAACAGAATGTTAGGCCTAGGAAGTGCCTTCAAAACTATTTAATTCAAACTTTCTGTTTTCCAGTTGTGAATATGTGGGATTATTGAGGTTAAATTACCTGTCTAATTTCATATAGCTATTAAACAGCAGAGTCAGGATTTGAACCAGTTTGTCCATTTCTGAAGCTCATGCTCTTAACTAATATCATTCTACAAAATAAAATCAATAAGTACCTTAGACATGATTTTTCAAACTGTTTTATTAATATATTTTTTACTTAGGGTTTAAAACCTACTATGTAGACATAATAATTTAGAAGGTCGTAAACTGCAGCACCCATAACTTCTGCAGAATATAGTGATTACTAAAAAGGCCATAGATTGCAATCTACCCATCTGACAAGGGCTAATACCCAGAATCTACAAAGAACTAAACAAATTTACAAGAAAAAAATCAAACAACCCCATCAGAAGGTGGGCAATGGATATGAACAGACACTTCTCAAAAGAAGGCATTTATGCAGCCAACAGACACATGAAAAAATGCTCATCATCACTGGCCATCAGAGAAATGCAAATCAAAACCACAATGAGATACCATCTCACACCAGTTAGAATGGTGATCATTAAAAAGCCAGGAAACAACAGGTGCTGGAGAGGATGTGGAGAAATAGGAACACTTTTACACTGTTGCTGGGACTGTAAACTAGTTCAACCATTGTGGGAGACAGTGTGGCGATTCCTCAAGGATCTAGAACTAGAAATACCATTTGACCCAGCCATCCCATTACTGGGTATATACCCAAAGGATTATAAATCATGCTACTTTAAAGACACACGCACACGTATGTTTATTGTGGCAGTATTCACAATAGCAAAGACTTGGAACCAACCCAAATGTCCATCAATGATAGACTGGATTAAGAAAATGTGGCACATATACACCATGGAATACTATGCAGCCATAAAAAATGATGAGTTCATGTCCTTTGTAGGGACATGGATGAAGCTGGAAACCATCATTCTGAGCAAACTATCGCAAGGACAGAAAGCCAAACACCACATGTTCTCACTCATAAGTGGGAATTGAACAATGAGAACACTTGGACACAGGGTGGGGAACATCACACACCAGGGCCTGTCGTGGGGTGGGGGGAGGGAGGAGGGATAGCATTGGGAGAAATACCTCATGTAAATGGTGAGTTAATGGGTGCAGCACACCAACATGGCACATGCATACATATGTAGGAAACCAGCACGTTGTGCACATGTACCCTAGAACTTAACATGTAATTTTTTTAAAAAAGGCCATAGATAATGGTAAATTGCTCATTTAGATGCATGTATAAGGGTTATTTTCCGTTTACTAGAAAGGGAGTAAAAGAAGCCTAAAGGATTACATGTTGTTACGGGAATTTACATCAAGATCAAATTCCATGGGAAGTCTTTATGTAGATTTAGAATATAAAGGATTTATAGAATGTATGTAGGGTTTAGGCCAATAAACCAAGTTTCTGAAAACTTTATATAAAGAACTATTATAAGTAAAACAAACAAAGTATAAAGTATGTTTTCAGCATGTAGAAATATTAAATTTAAAATCTTCTATCCTGCTAGGAGACTAGACCTTAAGTTAACACTAAAATATTATGAAAATTGATGACTGCTGCCATTTAAATTCTGTGTTACTATTAGGGTAGATGGTATTGAGGTGACAGTTCATAACCATTCTAAACAGTCTAAGTGATTACAAGTTAAATAAAGTTATATTTTATCATGTAATGAGTCTGTGTATGATGACTTTTAACAGAACCCTTTTTTGTGGGAGCTTTAAATTTCTCCTGTCAGTCGAACTAGAATTATTTTAAAAAGAAAGAGGAGGAGAATTTCAGAGTCCTGGATTAGTGCAAATTTAGTTTGGTTTCATTCCCATGTCAACTAGGATAACTCAAGGACCAGATTCTCAGTTTATGTTGATTTTGTTCCCTTTTGTGTGTATGTCCTTTTTATTTTAAGTGTGACCTTTTAACATTGGCTGTAATCTGAGATTTTTTTTTCTTAACATATTACTTATTGCCAACATTGGTAGGGAGTGCCATCTCCACTATGCTTTTAGTCATATCTTTATATTTTTATGCTTCCATATGTCAGTTTATTCATGTGTTTATCATTCACTCAACAAATATTTATTAGGACCAGGTGCTCATTTAGACAGGATCAGTAGAAAGGAGTCTCATAAAGTTTTTTTTTTTTTTTTTTTGAGACAATTTTCGCTCTTATTGCTCTGGCTGGAGTGCAGTGGTGTGATCTTGGCTCACTGCAACCTCCACCTCCTGGATTCAAGCGATTCTCCTGCCCCAGCCTCCCAAGTGGCTGGGATTACAGGCACCTATCACCTAATTTTGTATTTTTAGTAGAAACAGGGTTTTGCCATGTTGGCCAGGTTGGCCTCGAACTCCTGACCTCAGGTGATCTGCCTGCCTTGGCCTCCCAAAGTGCTGGGATTACAGGCATGAGCCACTGCTCCTGGCCTCATAAAGTTTTTAAAAGAACATCAAGGGAATATACTTAAAAGTTTCACTAAAATAAGATAAAATTATCCCAGTTCCTTGTGGACACTGTATTCATGTTATCCTGATGTAACAGCTTTTTCTCATGTGACATTCTAGATCATGAACGTGAGATTGATTATGTGTGGGTTGGCCATGGGACCAAAAGGGAAGTAGTTGATTCATCTGTTTTCCACAGCATTTTCTCTTTAAAAGAAAATTACAACCATGTTTTTCTTTCACCAACCATGAGATTTCCTAATTGTTCACATTATTAATAATTGTTTTTATTCTTTAAAGTTCTTAATGTAGTCACCTATTTTGTGAACTCATCATGTAAAGCATATTTGTGAGTATTTTTCTCTTGTATTTATTTCATGTGCCCTGGTAAAAGAATGATATAACATGCTAGTTACCAATATGCTAGAGTATTACAGAGTTTTATGTGTAACCTATGTTCATCATCCTACTTCAGCTAATATTTTTCAGGCAGAAAAAGCAGAAAAAGCTTTTCAGTAGTATGTGGGCCGGAGTACACTGGTCCTCATGGCACAGTCCCTCATGGCTACTTCAGCTAATATTTTTCAGGCAGAAAAAGGCAGAAAAAGCTTGACTTCTGGGGTGGCAGCAACAACAATAGGGTTTGAATTAGTATTAAGCCATAAGTCTTAGCCTGATAATTTTTCTGGCTTTCGTAATATAAATTCCTTAATACTACTTGTAAGTTTAGCCTGTCTTCGGTCACTGGGAATAATTCTGCATCTGAGAACAGATACTGTAAGGAACTTAAGGTCAGGATTTCATGGCCTTAGCACTGAGTAATTCTTGGCATTACTTTGTCCTAGTACATTAATTCTAGTAATTAAACTCTTATTTTAACTTCTTTGATCAAGCGCCTTCTTATATCTATCTCTAGCAATTGAATCCTGGTGTTTTCATCTATAAATGAATCTATCCCTTATTTTCTTGCCCAAATCCTAGTCCCTCCAGCCTAAGGTTCTATTTTGAATACCAGGATTTTGCCTTTCATGGTTTCTCATGGGTAGAACTGTACAACTTGCTGGTAAGCCTCCTTGATACAAACAATAACCTAATAGCCTGATCTCCTTCCCATTGCCTTTTGTTAGACTACTTATACTGCGTGTCATACTTTGTCTACTGAATGGGACTTCTGCCATTTGTAGGCTGTGAGGTCTCTATCTGTCTTGATTATCTCTCCCTTCCTATTATTTGGAGTTCTCGTGATTGGCATCGCTGCTTCAAAGGTCTTTCTAATCTCTGGATCTCTGCAAACTGACTCTTAATGGTGTAACCCAACGTAGTCTAACTGAGTCTGTTTTTACAGTAGCCAGCTAGAAATTCTGGAAATTCTAGAAATTCTGGAAATTCTGGAAATTGCCTAGTTCTGGAAGTCCAACAAACCAAGCAAACTCAGTGAATACAACTCATGTTGTGTTTAGACGCAGAAACATTTAGAAGCACATTTATTTAATTCAAATTTGTATATTGGTACATAAGGGAGACAGAAAATTGTAAAAGTACATAACTAAAAGCTGTTATGCATTTCTTTTTTATTTTTTAGTTGTTTTTGAAGAACTTACATCCAAACAGACAAGAAAAGGATAAAAGCACCATTGGTTCATGGCAAGTTATTACATTTTAAGTGATTAACTGTAAGTGCACTTCATCTCCTGCACTAGTCATGTTTTTGACTTCCCCAAATTATGGAAAGTGTGACATGCTTCATTAACATAATACTTAACATTACAAATAGGAAAAGATGGGCTTCTTTAGCAAAACAATACAGTAAGAGGGCCCTTTTCTCAATGAATGATAGGCTAACACAACAGAGATCTTTCAGTTAAAGCAGAATCTTAAGTAAGGTACATAGCTAATGTAAGGTACATTTTAAGTAAGGTACCTTAGCTGTATACATTACTTAAGAATATCACAGAGGTGGCTGGCAAGATGGCAGCATAGGAACAGCTCCAGTCTGCAGCTCCCAGTGAGATCAACACAGAAGGTGGGTGATTTCTGCATTTCCAACTGAGATACCCAGCTCATCTCATTGGGACTGGTTAGACAGTGGGTGCAGCCAACAGAGGGCCAGCCAAAGCAGGGTGGGGCGTTGCCTCACCTGGGAAGCGCAAGGGGTCAGGCAACTCCCTCCCCTAGCCAAAGGAAGCCATGAGGGACTGTGCCATGAGGACCAGTGCACTCCGGCCCCCATACTACACTTTTCCCACAGTCTTCGCAACCCGCAAACCAGGAGATTCCCTCAGGTGTCTCTGCCACCAGGGCCCTCACAGTGTAAACAAAGCCACCAGGAAGTTCAAACTGGGCAGAGCCCACCGCAGCTCAGCAAAGTCGCTGTAGCCAGACTACCTCTCTAGATTCCTCCTCTCTAGGCAGGGAATCTCTGAAAGAAAGGCAGCAGCGGCCAGGCACGGTGGCTCACACCTGTAATCCCAGCACTTTGGGAGGCCAAGGCCAGCGGATCATGAGGTCAGCAGATCGAGACCATCCTGGCTAACACAGTGAAACCCTGTCTCTACTAAAAATACAAAAAATTAGCTGGGCGTGGTGGTGGGCGCCTGTAGTCCCAGCTACTTGGGAGGCTGAGGCAGGAGAATGGTGTGACATCTGGGAGGCGGAGCTTGCAGTGAGCCGAGATGCACCACTGCACTCCAGCCTGGGTGAGAGAGCAAGACTCTGTCTCAAAAAAAAAAAAAAAAGGGCAGCAGCCCCAGTCAGGGGCTTATAGGTAAAACTCCCATCTGCCTGGGGCAGAGCACCTGGGGGAAGGGACGGCTGTCGGCGCAGCTTTGATAGACTTAAATGTTCCTGCCTGCCAACTCTGAAGAGAGAAGTGGATCTCCCAGCACAGCACTCGAGCTCTGCTAAGGGACAGACTGCCTCCTCAAGTGGGTCCCTGACCCCCATGCCTCCTGACTGGGAGACACCTCCCAGCAGGGGTCAACAGACATTTCATATAGGAGAGCTCCGGCTGGCATCTGGCGGATGCCCTTCTGGGAGGAAGCTTCTAGAGGAAGGAACAGGCAGCAATCTTTGCTGTTCTGCAGCCTCTGCTGGTAATACCCAGGCAAACAGGATCTGGAGTGGACCTCCAGCAAACTCGAGCAGACCTGCAGCTGCGGAGACTGAACGTTAGAAGGAAAACTAACAAACAGAAAGGAATAGCGTCAACTTCAACAAAAAGGACGTCCACACAGAAACCTCATCTGAAGGTCACCAATATCAAGGACCAAAGGTAGATAAATCCATGAAGATGAGGAAAAACCAGCGCAAAAAGGCTGAAAGTTCCAAAAACCAGAACACCTCTTCTCCTCCAAAGGATCACAACTCCTTGCCAGCAAGGGAACAAAACTGGACAGAGCATGAGTTTGACAAATTGACAGAAGTAGGCTTCAGAAGGTGGGTAATAACAAACTCCTTTGAGCTAAAGGAGCGTGTTCTAATCCAATGCAAGGAAGCTAAGAACCTTGAAAAAAGGTTAGAGGAATTGCTAACTAGAATAACCAGTTTAGAGAAGAACAGAAATGACCTGATGGATCTGAAAAACACAGCACAAGAACTTTGTGAAGCATACACAAGTATCAATAGCCGAATTGATCAAGCAGAAGAAAAGATATCAGAGATTGAAGATCAACTTAATGAAATAAAGCATGAAGACAAGATTAGAGAAAAAAGAACGAAAAGGAACAAACAAACCCTCCAAGAAATATGGGACTATGTGAAAAGACCAAACCTACATTTGATTGGTGTACCTGAAAGTGACAGGGAGAATGGAACCAAGTTGGAAAACACTCTTCAGGATATTATCCATGGAGAACTTCCCCAATCTAGCAAGGCAGGCCAATATTCAAATTCAGGAAATACAGAGAACGCCACAGAGATACTCCTCGAGAAGAGCAACTCCAAGACACATAATTGTCAGATTCACCAAAGTTGAAATGAAGGAAAAAATGTTAAGGGCAGCCAGAGAGAAAGGTTGGGTTACCCACAAAGGGAAGCCCATCAGACTAACAGCTGATCTCTCAGCAGAAACTCTACAAACCAGAAGAGAGTGGAGGCCAATATTCAACATTCTTAAAGAAAAGAATTTTCAATCCAGAATTTCATATCCAGCCAAATTAAGCTTCATAAGTGAAGGAGAAATAAAATTCTTTACAGAGAAGCAAATGCTGAGAGATTTTGTCACCACTAGGCCTGCCTTACAAAAGCTTCTGAAGGAAGCACTAAACATGGAAGGGAGCAACCGGTACCAGCCACTGCAAAAACATGCCAAATTGTAAAGACCATCGATGCTATGAAGAAACTGCATCAACTAACAGGCAAAATAACCAGCTAACATCACAAAGACAGGATCAAATTCACACATAACAATATTAACCTTAAATGTAAATGGGCTAAATGCTCCAATTAAAAGACACAGACTGGCAAATTGGAGGCATCACACTACCTGACTTCAAACTATACTACAAGGCTACAGTAACCAAAACAGCATGGTACTGGTACCAAAACAGATATGTAGACCAGTGGAACAGAACAGATGCCTCAGAAATAACACCACACATCTGCAACCATCTAATCTTTGACAAACCTGACAAAAACAAGCAATGGGGAAAGGATTCCCTATTTAATAAATGGTGTTGGTAAAACTGGCTAGCCATATACAGAAAACTGAAACTGGACCCCTTCCTTACACCTTATACAAAAATATACAAAAATTAACTCAAGATGGATTAAAGACTTAAATGTAAGACCTAAAACCATGAAAACTCTAGAAAGAAACCTAGGCAATACCATTCAGGACACAGGCATGGGCAAGGACTTCATGTCTAAAACACCAAAAGCAATGGCAACAAAAGCCAAAATTGACAAATGGGATCTAATTAAACTAAAGAGCTTCTGCACAGCAAAAGAAACTATCATCAGAGTGAACAGGCAACCTACAGAATGAGAGAAAAATTTTGCGCTCTATCCATCTGACAAAGGGCTAATATCCAGAATCTACAAAGAACTCAAACAAATTTACAAGAAAAAAACAACTCCATCAAAAAGTGGGCAAAGGATGTAAACAGACACTTTTCAAAAAAAGACATTTATGCAGCCAACAAACAGATGAAAAAAAGCTCATCATCACTGGTCATTAGAGAAATGCAAATCAAAACCACAATGAGATACCATCTCAAGCCAGTTAGAATGGCGATCATTAAAAAGTCAGGAAACATCAGATGCTGGAGAGGATGTGCAGAAATAGGAACGCTTTTACACTGTTGGTGGGAGTGTAAATTAGTTCAACCATTGTGGAAGACAGTGTGGTGATTCCTCAAGGATCTAGAACCAGAAATACCATTTAACCCAGCAATCCCATTATTGGGTGTATACTCAAAGGATTATAAATCATTCTACTATAAATACATGTGCACACATATGCTTATTGTAGCACTGTTCACAATAGCAAAGAGTTGGAACCGACCCAAATGCTCATCAATGATAGACTGGATAAAGAAAATGTGGCACATACACCATGGAATACTATGTGGCCATAAAAAAGGAACAGTTCACGTCCTTTGCAGGGACTTGAGTGAAACTGGAAACCATCATTCTCAGCAAACTAACACAGGAACAGAAAACCAAACACCACATGTTCTCACTTGTAAGTGGGAGTTGAACAGTGAGAACACATAGACACAGGGAGGGGAACATCACACACCAGGGCCTGTTTGGGGATGGGGGTGCTAGGAGAGGGATAGCATTAGGAGAAATTCCTAATGTAATGATGGGTTGATGGGTGTGGCCAGTGTATACCTATGTAACAAACCTGCACATTCTGCACATGTATCTCAGAACTTAAAGTATAATTAAAAAAAAGTAAATATCACAAATAAGGCCTGATATGGTGGCTCATGCCTGCCTGTAATCCCTGTGCTTTGGGAGGCCGAGGTGGGAGCATCACTTGAGGCCAAGAATTTGAGACCAGCCTGGGGAACATAGTGAGACCCCCATGTCTAAAAAAAAAATTATTTTGAATTAGCTGAGCATGTTGCTGTGTACCTGTAGTCCTAGCCACTCAGGAGATGAGGCAGGAGGATCACTTGAGCCCAGGACTTTGAGGCAATAGTGAGCTGTGATCAGGCCATTGCACTTCAGCCTGAGTGACAGAACAAGGGTCTTTGTTTTTGTTTTGTTTTGTTTGAGATGGAGTTTCACTCTTGTTGCCCAGGCTGGAGTACAATGGCATGATCTCGGCTCACTGCATCCTCTGCCTCCCAGTTTCAAGTGATGCTCCTGCCTCAGCCTCCCGAGTAGCTAAGATTACAGGTGCATGCCACCACAGCCAGCTAATTTTGTGCTTTTAGTAGAGATGGGGTTTATCCATGTTGGTCAGGCTGGTCTAGAATTCCTGACCTGAGGTGGTCCACCCGCCTCAGCGTCCCAAAGTCCTGGGATTATAGGCGGACTCTCTAAAAAAAAAAAAAAAAAAAAAAAAAAGGTATTACAAATAGTTCCTTTTTTAAGTTCATTAAGCATAAATTTAGCTGCCTTACAGCACAGCATCTGAATAAACTGAAGTACTTTTTAGGTCAAGTGATTTTGTTTATAATTTGGCTTTAGTAAAAGCTAATGAAAGGAATTCATTTCTTAAAGTGAAACTCATATTTCTGATTTTTACATTTCCTTTCTCAGAGAAGGAATGCAATGGTTTGAATGTTTATCCCCTCTAAAACTGATGTTGGAACTTAATCCCCAATGTTGCAGTATTGAGAGGAGGGACTTTTAAGAGGTGATTAGGTCATGCGGGCTTTGCGCTCATGAATGGATTAATCCATTTATGGATTAATGGATTAATGGGTTATTTTGGGAGTGGGACTGTTAGCTTTATAAGAAGAAGAAGAGAAGACTTGAACTAGCAAGCTCAGCCCCCTCACCATGTGATGCCCTGCACTGGTGCAGGACTCTGCAGAAAGTCCCTACCAGCAACAAGGTCCTCATGAGATGCTGTCCTCAACCTTGTACTTCTTAGCCTCCGTATCTGTAAGAAATAGCCTCTCTTTCTGTATAAGTTACCCAGTGTCAGGTATTCTGTTATAAGCAACAGAAAACAGATGAAGAGCTTATTTATTTTGTTTCTGTTAAATTAAGTTTAGCCTAAAGCTGCTTTCTTACATATTTTTAAGTTTGGCCTAAAGGTTTCTCCATTCATAATGAACTGTAATCTCATTGCATGTATAAACAGACTGTAACCCACTTGTGTAACAAGTAGCCCAGTCTCAGGCAATCCCAGCAGGCATACTTCAACCACTCCTAGGTGGACAGCCATTCAAACTGTGTTCAAATAAGGCAAATGGTCAACCGTTAACCAATCCAGCTGTTTCTGTAACTCATTTTTATTTTCTGCATGTCACTTTCCTTTTTCTGTCCATAAATCCTCTTCAACCACTCAGCAGCACCAGCGCTGCTCTGAACCTATTCTGGTTTGGGGAAGAGAGTGGTGGGAGTCTGCCCAATTTGTGAATCATTGCTCAATTAAACTCTGTTAAATGTAATTTGTCTAAAGTTTTTCATTTATCATTTCCATACAGGTAAAACCAAACTGTAATTGAAGTGTATCCCCAGAAAGCTATGGGACCTCTTATAACTAATGATAGTCACCCCAGTCACCCCAGGATTTTATCGGCTTATCAATTTGTACAACATAGATAATAAATTAATGATAAAGTATAATTCATGTAATGATTCTATTTGACTTCACTAGAAACCATATTTATTTGCCAATTCATTTTCGAGGTGACAGTTGGTTAAGTCACATTCATATTGTCTGTCAGCTCATAACTATAAATTTTATAAATTAATTGGCAGACATACTCTGTATATGGTTCCAAAATATGGCTTTTGCTTAATAATTTGTAGAAGACTATTTAGAATGTATAAGGAGCTGGTAAATATATTTGGATAAAAGGGCTTTCTTAAAAAAAAAAATCTAATCTCATTTTCTCCAATGCACTTTCTTCAGTGCTGCCAGAGTGATCCTCTAATGTAGAAATCCAATTATGTCATTCAATGGTTACCTTTTGTCTGTGTTAAGTATTTACTCTAATATAAACAAAAATTTCTTTGATTTTTGCCCCATCTTATACTCTAGCCTTATTTCCTACCATTTTTCCTACCTTTTCCTAACCAAATCATTCTGCTGCATTGCCTTTAACACTCCATTGTCTTTGAAAGCTTGAGAATATTTATAAAAAAATAATATTTAAAAGATAGCTTTATATGTTAGGATAACCAGCTACGGGTATATTTACTCTCTGAAATGAAAAATGTAAAAATAATAAGGTGATCTCAACTCATGTCTAGTGATTTGTAATGGGAGTCAGTTACTAGGGATAGTAGTCAAAACTTTGGTGATTATAATCAGGAACATGAGCTCCAGCCACAGAATGTACAGCAAAGAGCCAAGGGCTGAGATTTTGGGAATGCCCACTATTGAATTGTAGAAGAAAAATAATGTTGTGTAAGTTAGAGTTCTTGGCTGAAAATAGCCAAGACTAGCTTGATTTTAAACAAAAAACAAAAAACACCCACTACAACATATCAGAAAGATTTTAAGTGACTCAATCAGTGTTAAAGTTTGAGGAGCTAGATTGGGAAGAAAACAAAGGATGAAGCATAGCTATAATTCTGCACAGGACTAGTTACTATGGGTACGACCACTAGTGGCATTGTCAGTGGATACTCAGCCTTTCTCATTGACCCTTCTGCCACTAGAAACTCCTTCTATGCCTCTGGAATCTTAATAATTAAAATGGTGGGGTGATATTTCTGATCCATGGGGGGAAAGATGGATTATTCAATAAATGATGTTGGGATTACTGGATAGCCATCTAGAGAAAAAAAATTTAATTGAAATTGATAAATGAATTTCTATTCCATACTATAAATTCCATACAGATAGTTTCAGACATTTAGTGAAACCATACAAGCACAAGGAAAACATGAATATACATCTAAAAATATATATGCTTAGAATGCAGAAGATGCTTAGTTATGACACAAAACTCTAAAGCCATAACAAGAAAGATTGATAAATTTGATTGCAGTAAAATAATTAAAGCACAAAAAAAAGATCCCTAAAATTTAAAGTAAAATGAAACAATGTATCTGTTTGGTGACATCATCACACAAAAAAGAAGTATTCCAAGTGATTTGAAAACACAGCAATTATACTGTACATCCCTAGTGACATGTACCCTACAGAAAAAGATCTGAAAAAAGAAACTTTAAAAACTGTTTCCAGTAATAATTATTGGCGGTTATGTTGATGGTGTTATTTTGAGTCTGTTATGTGTGTATTGTGGGATTTTATAAAACAAGCAAATAAGTAGTATCCTAATTCTGTCATTCCTGCTCCGTTTGAGAACCAGTCATGGGAGAAAGGAAATATAAATACAAGATGGTGTTAAATTAAAATCCTATAGTACTGAATTTGAATTAGAAGTATTGGTGGAACTCATGATGAGTTTTCTACTTAAAAATAAAACAATGAAATGCCTACTTCTATCAAATGAAAAAGCTTAGAGACAAAGATCAACCCAATAGGAATTAGCATCCTTATTGCCCAGATGATGGTATTGAAATGCTATTTTCTGCCAAAAACAACCAGGAATTTTTGAAGAAATGGTTGATTCCAGGTCTAGACAGGGCAGATAACAAGGATATATACATAGAACATTCTAGATGGATACAGATAAACTGACAGTGATGATGAATGTTTGTAGAGAGGAGAATTGAGGGCTGGGTGTTGAAGTAAGTAGTATACTTTTCACATTACACTCCTTTGCCTTTTTAAATATTATGCATTGTCTTCAGAATGATAAAACAAAATCATTAAAAATTATGTGGAAAGTTAAATTCTTGCTCATTGTTATAGTCTGTGCCTGAAAGAGCATATTACTTGGGGATGGAGTTGACAGGATTTACCCATATAATGTGATGGCAAAACATTGTACTGTCATATGTATTTTTTAAATGATAGTTATTAACTTCTACATTGAATCTACAGAAAAGATCATTGCCTTCTAATGGGTTATCACCTGAGTAGTAAAAGAAAAACATGCAGTTTGGTAGTTCAGAGTCAACTGAAACATTTGGATAATTCATTATGAGACTTTATGAATCAAATGAATAATAACTAAAATTTATTTTACCAGATCTTCAAGTGGTATTTTTAGAAACATAGAAGTAATGTCCTATTTCTGAAGTCAGGGAGTAGACTGGTTCCTTTACTTAAGCATTCATTTATTCAGTAAATATTTGCTATTTTTGACACAATGGAAATAATTGCGACAAGACGGCCATGACCCCTGTATTCATATGTATCTTACACTCTGGTGGGAAAAACAGATAACGATATAAATAAATAGATAAAAACACCTAGAAATTATGGAACTGCTGTAAATGAAATAAATAAGGAATTTATGGAGAATGTCAGTAGTAATGGGACAAATTTACTAAAATATGTGAATATTCTAGAAGGCTTCTCTAAGTAGTAATAGTTAAGCTGAGGCTAAAGGGTGGAAGGAGTAGCTTTTTAAAAACTAGAGGTAAAGCATTATAAGACAGACAACCAGCCTTCATAGAAAAAAAAAAAACAGATTTTTGAAGGATTTTTAAAAGATCAGTTAATCTGTATTAGTTGGTGAAGTCCAAAATTTATGGTTGCAGCATCTGGGCATTACGTTGATGCCATTTACTGAAGTACAGAAATACTAGGTTAGAGGAAAAGATTGGAAAGGAAAATCAAGAGTTCTATTTTAGATATTTTAAATTTGAAATATCTGTGAGACATCCAAGTAGGGGTGTTGAACACATTTCAAATTATGAAATATAAAATTGGAAGTTGTCAGCAAAAAAGATCATAGATTACTTATAGGGAAGAGAGAGGAATTTACAGTACATTAGCCACAAGGATCATATGGCTATTTAATTAAAATTACATAAAGTTTAAAATTTAGTTCTTAGTCACGCTACCTATTTTCAAGTGCTCAGTAGATTCATGTGGCTAGTGGCACTCACACTGAATTTCAGCACTTGTGAGAAACATTATTGTACAAAGTTCAGTGCTTGTTTAGAAAGACAGCACTGGTCAGGAAAGAGGTTATTGATCTAGATCCTGTTCAGTTTCTTTGTAACTCTTGGCTTCAAAGATAAGAACATTCCTTTCTTTTGGATATCGGGAGGATCCTCTGGAATAAGAGTCTTATGACCTACTTCAGAGGAAAATTAGAGCATTTTTTCATGGACTGCTTCAGCGGAGTAAGGTGGGAGAAGATCAATGTGACCTTCTTACTTCTGCTATTTCTTCCAGTGTCAAGGTGCCATACTTTAGGTAGCATGTTCTAAACCTCATCGGGGGTAAAGGCAGAGGAGAGCTGGAAAGTATCCATTGGATTTGCCACTATGCACTTTATTGGTGATGGAGTGGTAGAGGTAGAAACTAGATTTGACTGGGTTTAAGAGTGTGTAGTAAGTGAAGAAATGGAGATAGCCTTTGGCAGGTCTTTGGAGAAGCTTGGTTATGAAGGGAAGCAAAGAAATGGATTTTCTGAAGGGATATAGAAGTAAGGGCTTTATAAATTTACATATGTATGCATGCTTATATATGTTGCTAAATTGTAAGCTTGAAAGCGCAAACTATAGTCTCATTGATTCATCTTTGAATCTTCTGGCACTTAGACATTCAACAATAATGCATGTCTGTTGAACAAGTCAGTCATACTTCTAACTATCTGAGAAAATAGTTTGTAATACTTTACTTTACTATTCTTGGAGTGAGATACTAATCCCCCAAACTTATATTTTCACATATGGAGATCACTGATTTGCCTTTTGATAACCTTGAGGTGTTAAGTGATAGTATACTAGACTACCTTTTACAAAAACATGTTATGTCCTGTATTTATTTTGCAGTAGAGACACTTTTTAGTCTTCAAGTGTAAAGGGAATTTGAAGTGGAGAAAAATGGTCTGATCTTTATATTTAAGAAGATAGACTTCAATGTGCTGATCAATTTTTTAAGCAGTGATATGAATACAAATAGAGCCTCAATTTTAGAGAAAACATTACTATGCAATAGATCCTCTAGTGTTTAAAAGCATATTTGATAAAAATGGGAATAAAATAAAATGACTAATTTGTCAATAACTATTATGTATATATTTTTAAGATGCAAATTTTTGAATTTCTAGTGCAGAAAAAATATACCTCTTGCTCATTTTTCTCTATAATATACAATTATAGTATTGTATTTCAAATAAAGATTTGTACTTGAAATGTTTTAGCTGCTTCTCTGTATTCTGATATCTCTAATATTCATATATTACCACTGTATATTGCATTTTTATATTTTTGCATAAATTTATTGTGTTTCACAATGAAAGGGCAAGTGTGAAGAAAATATATAAAATATATTCCATAATAAATTATATTTTATAAATTATTGCTCAATTCTAAAACTCAAATTTGGATAACTTTAATGTATTTATGATGATTCATAACCAAATATAAGGAAAACTGAATGCAGATTACTTCCTACTAAGTAGATGTAATAGCCTTCTCTCAATCTTACCTTCTTTTTTGAGAAACAGTTCTTTTTAAGGATGCTTACCAGAAAAAAACACTTTGTCTTTCATATCCAGGGATTCAGGTATGCTGCCAGCATACACCTTGGACTAAGATCAGACTTTTATACTCTATTCATTCATTGCTACTTTCCAGTTGACCGTCCAAAGAAAAATTTCTAACGTTAATAATATACGTATACTTGACATCAGACCCAAAGTTGCCAGTGGCATTGCTCGGAGTCATCCAAGTCCCTGAGCTAAGGATTTGGGGGTTCTAACTAGCTGTTTTTGGTTTTGAACATTTTGGGCCTGGATAATTATATTTTCTTCTTATAGACAGGGCTGGATCCAGGTTGTATAGTACCTGAAGTTTATACAACTTTGGATGCTATATTTGGGAAAAACAATACAAACTTATGGATACAAAATGAAGTACTAGGAACAAGTGCAAGTGATGGGTCCTCGAAGCTTAAGCTTCATTATCTTCCTGATCAATTCACTCGTCCTGTTGTAAAAGATATCATTCTCCTCATTTATAAGGTGAATTACTTGAGAACAAATAAATTTTACTAATTTAAGTAATCTCTTTAGATCATAGAGCTCCAAAAGTGGGAGAGATATTTGATCCCAAAACCCTGTCAGATTCTAAAGTCTGTACAATGTAGAATGATAGGGTAGAATAGAAGAATCTGTGGCCTTTACATGTACTGATAGAGTGCCATAAGAGTTCTGAGAGAAGAGCTATCTGTAGACCCCATAGTCATCAGGAAAGGCATTTGGGAGGTTGGGCTTGAGATTACCTTCAAAGAATAGGTTAAAATAGGGCTGGATTCATATATTCATTTAAAAAACATTTTTGAGTGATCTTGGTCTGATATAGTTTGAGGGACTCTCTTTAGAAAAAAGAATACATAATTATAAATATTGAGTGATCTTGGTCTGATATAGTTTGAGGGACTCTCTTTAGAAAAAAGAATACATAATTATAAATAAAAAATTATGTGTTGGGCCCTGAATATTAAGCTTCATTAATCTCATGATAACCCACCTCATATTACAATGTAGCAGTATGGATTTTATGTGCACAATTTATTCTTTTTTATTTTTATTTTATTTTATTTATTTTTTTCGAGACTGAGTCCCACTCTGTTACCCAGGCTGGAGAGCAGTGGCACAATCTCGGCTCACTGCAACCTCTGCCTCCTGGGTTTAAGCGTACACAATTTATTCTTTTTGGAGAGATGTGGAATCTGTCCTCAGCATATTATATGTTTGCTTTGAAATTAGCTGATGTTGGCCACACACAGAAAAATAATATTCTAGGTATTTTGAGAGACTTTTTGATGCCTCATAATCATATTTGGATTGTCCTGCATATATTCATAAAAATAAGAAAGTGCTATTTAAGTGATTAAGTAGGAAGCCAAAGAAGTAGAGTTAGGAATAAATTGCTGTAGTGTTTCTGCACATGGAAGATATTCTTTACGTAGTTTGATATTTATATTCTGTGATATGGTATATAAAAATGAAGTACCCATCAATAAGTTTCCTATAATAAAAGTGTCTGTAGTTACTCAGGTAGGAATAAATAAATTAAAATGAGGTTCACTGACTAGTCTCTATTTGCAGAGTTCATGAAGCTGCTTTATTTCATACCCAAAATTGTTGTATCAATAATAGCTTTTGTAAGTCACAACATTATGCTAATTGGATATATTTGTTGATAAAGTAAGAATTTATTTTTATTTTGATATGAATAGTGATCACTTTTTGCAGAAAGAAGTTTTAGACTTGATAATTGATGTTATTTTATTTTATGCAAGTACCTTTATATATGTCAATTACATGAATTTGCTTGTAGATGGAAAAATTTTCAAGATTACTCAGTACATTAGGTGAACAAGGATCATTATTAGAGAGAGAAAAAGGGAACAACTTTGAGTTGACATCAGTAAGGACAGATATAATTTTCCCTAAGGCAGGTTTAGAATCATGTAGTAATTTCACTTCAAATGTATAGTTTCCTCAGAGTTTCTAGTTAACTACATGGTATTAAACACAAAATACAGGTCCCTACTGAAGTCATGTAAAAATAACAAAGGGACAGGTACATGAAAAAGCAGACAAATAGAATTATGCAAACAACTTGTATTTGTTCTATAATAGTAAAGGAGCAGCAAAACCAGTTCAGACCCTAAGTTCAATGTAGCTTCTGTCTCCTTTCACACCATTTATTGTGCTGAATTGCTAATAACAAAGTGAATAGGTATGCCCCTTTTCCTGTTTTATTTTTATTTACTCCTGGGTGTCTTTGTTGAGGATTTAATACTATAAAATGATAAAAAGATAGGCATAGTCAACTATTAAATAAATTAAAGTTGATCCATTCTGTTTTTTATCCTTTAAGTTTTTTCAAATCAAGAAAAACAAAACACCATGAAAAAGAATGGGAGGTATTGACAAGTTCCCTCAATTTAAAAAGTTGGCAGTTGAGTTAAAGAGAAGCTGAGTGACACAGGTAAGCCTGTGTTACATGTCGGTGAGACATATTGGACCAGAAACCAAGCTTCTCTATTCCTACTCCACTAAACCTTGGTGTCTCATTTTGTCTTCTTGCAGGGAAATATTACCAGAAAATAATTCTTGAATGTAAATATATATTTAATTTAATCATGAGGTAATGGAAAATACTGCTAACTAATAATAATAAATTCAAGAAGCTTAAGAAAATTGCACTTGAGAAAAAAGGTGCTAGCCTTAAGTTTTCCTACATTTGGAATTGGAAGTGACTTTAGGGAAAATCTAATGCAGAGCAGTTCTATTATTTTACAAATACAGAACAATGAAGATTAGTTAAGTGATTTGCCCCCAAACAATACAAATAGTTCTAGAGCAACTATGGTAAGGCAGGTGTAGTACAGTGGTTAGGAACCTGTACTTGAATGCCAGGCCTCTTAGAATAAAATCTTCTCTTTTACATCAGTTATTTGACATTGGGCAAGTCATATAACCTCTTTGTACCTCATTTTCTTATCTGTTAAAATGGGGATGGTAGTAATTAGTAATTGATAAATATGATAACTAAAAAATTAAAAATTATTGTAAAACACTCAAATTACTGTCTAGCTGGCATAAATAAGTGCTTAATAAATGTTCCTATTACTAAACAGCTTTGATCCAATGCTGTATTTAAATAAATGCTATCTATTTTGGTTAACTAAGAAACCTTTTATGCCTTGATTTGCCCAGACTAGACTAGACTAAACTTGCCTGGACTAGACTCTAATGTCTAAAATTACCATCTAGTCTTTCTTTTTTTAATCATATAATTGTTTGATTTGTTCCATATTTCTGTTTAACTTTAGAAAAAGTATGTTTTTTGTGTCACCATCTGCTAAAGGCCTTTTCAACTTGATTTGCTGGATAGTTTTAATATTCTTTGACTAGTGAGGCAAGTGAAAAACAAATTTACCTCATCTTTAAAACATGTTTAACAAGGTGGCTGTATTTTATCATTGCCATTGCTGTTTTGGCTTTTATTAAGAGCAATGACTAAAAATAACATTTTATTTACTGTTTTTTAGCCCATGTACATATATTTTGAATGATTTAACTGCATAATAGGTACTCAGTGAGTTTCACTTTTTCATTTGCTACTTGTTTACTAGTGCTTCGGTTCACCTTTAGCATCAATGATCACATCCATTTAAAATTGATTAGACAGTTTAACTTTGAATTTAACACTGGATATGGCTAAGAGAGATAAGTTTTTAAATAGGAGTGTGAAGCCTTAATTTTGTGCTGCTTCTCATGTCAGTGGAATCAGAATTTTGTGTTTCTTCTATGAACTGTGGAAATCTAGAGCTGTATTGTGAAGGATTAGCACCACAGAGATAAACAAGTTTTCCTGGCTTCTCATAAAAGCTCAAATCTCTAAAATCCCTGAGGATTGTGAATTAACTGCATTTAGATTCTTTCAGATATTAGTGTCTTGGGCTTCAGAGTCTGAAGTTCCAGGATGGTAATATTCCTTGCTATTGACCACATAGTTTGCCAGAGAGGAAAACTTTTCGTTAATATTTAGGTGTCAGATTATTCCATATAGAACTATTTTGCTAATATTATGACAGTTAAATTTCCATGTCCTCTATTTCTAACTCCTAACCCTTGGAGTAATGAGAAGCTGTGAGAAAGTGTTAGTATCAGGAGGTTTCAGTACCCTTGTAGCTGGTTCAATAAATGTAGTTTCATCATTGGTGAAGAATAAAATAGTACCTCATAAAACTTTCTTGAAAAATGAATTGGAATGCCCTTAATAAAGAAGTACTGTATATGGATTTCAAACAAGCCCAGGAATTATAATCACAGAATAATTAGAGATTTTAAGATCCAAAATCGGGGTGAAATGCCATTTGGATACTATGGTTATTGGGGAACTTTGCTTTTTTAACCATCTTTATTAATGAGATTAAAAAACTGTAAAAAATGCAGGTAACTAGGAGGTGCTGTAAGTATAACTGTAAGAGAAATAATTCAGAAAGCGGGGCTTAAGGATTAGATGCATAGAAAAGAGGTAATAAAAGCGAAATATTCTTTAAAAATAAAAATGAGAGACCTGTGGAAAGAAATAATACACCAAGCAGGGTGGCAAGCTATAAGGTTAAAGGAGACCCTAAAGGCAGGAAATTAGATGTGATCTGCAAAGTGATTTAGTTAAAAGAAACAACAAAACAAAAAGGAGGAGAGCATATTTGAGAGAGAAGCATGAGGTAATTTAGAGATTATTTATACTAAAATATCATCACATAAAAATTAGGACATTATTACCTTTTTCAGTATGTATGGATTTACTCAAAAATACTTGAATATATCTGGACACTAATGAATGTCAGAAAAGTGGGGGGGGTTTCAAAAGAAAAAAATTCATTAAAGATTACTAGAGGCACTGATGTTCTGGAGTGAGTTAGAAAAGTTATGCATTAATTAGACCAAGGATAGAGTGAATTAATAATTGCATTTTATATTAGTGCATTGTTAAATCATATAACATTTATTGTCTACTACATGCCAGATGTATTAGATGTTTTATGTGGCTGCATAACCTCATTTCATACTCATTTACCCTATGAGGAAACAGGCTTACAGGATTGTTAACATTTACTCAAGGTCAAACAACTCCATGTAGCATAGCTAGAATTCCAACCCATGTCTGTCTGACTAGTAGGTGCTCTTAGCCACTCTGTAACTAATCATTGTGTACTTATGTATGTGGGATATAGCTATCAACATAGGAAATTCATTGGGATATTAGCATAATGGAGGTATGTAATTTGTGATAAATGTTCAGAGGTTTCCAAACAAATGCAGTTTACCTTACTGTAAATTAAACTTAAAAATTTGTACGGGCCTTTGGCTTAATTCAGAGATCTGCCCATGGGGTTCTATTACTTTGCTCTTTAACTTTGTTCGATCCTTCTTGGATCAGTCTTGCAATTCATTCTTGTCTTTTCCTGAATAACATCTATGTTTTGCCCTCTTTTGAGTGCTATCTTAATATGCCAGCCTATTTCTACCTTTCTTGTGCAGGGTAGCATAATTTTTACTTTCCATTATACCTCAGTCCCACACCTTGTTGTCTGTTTATTTCAATACCTAAGATACTTATCCTCAGTTCCTAGCATACTTTAGTTCTGAAAGTTGGATATCCATAATTGTAGTGGTCTTAAATCTGTAAAACACATATGGATGGGAAACCACTGAATAATGTAAATAAATATGAATAACGATGATAAAATAAAAATAATAAAAATAACTGAGTTCAATGATATTAAAAACATAAGTCAGTTTAACTATTTTTTTTTTGAGACAGGGTCTCTGTCACCAAGGCTAGAGTTCAGTGGCATGATCATGGCTCACTGCAGCCTTGACCTCCCCCGGGTCAGGTGATCCTCCCACCTCAGCCTCCCAAGTAGCTGAGACTAGGGGTGCATGCCACCACACCCAGCTAATTTTTGGATTTTTTGTAGAGACAGGGTCTCACTGTGTTGCCCAGGCTGGTCTTGAACTCCTAGGTTCAGGTGATCCTCCCATATCAGCCTCCCAAAGTGTTGGGATTACAGGCATGATCCACTGCACCCAGCCCAATTGCCCTTTTTTATAGATAAATAAGCTAAGGCTCAGAGAGACTAAATGATGTGAATAAAAAGTAGGTAATTAAAGAAACATGCAAATCTATATTTTTCTTCCAAGTCCATGGACTTTTCCGTTACTATATATCATGCTCTCTCCCAGTTTAGTTTCTTGTTGGGCTTCTAGTTTGAATATTGTGTTATACGGGTGAATGTTATGTTATATGGATAATAAATACTCAATGTATAATTTCACATGGTACTGGGTCTTAGACTTGTTTAATTAATTCATTAATTCCTAAAGTCTAAAGTTAAATTGAATGAGCTTCTAAGAAAAATGTATGTTAACCTACACCTTTGCTGATTTTGATGCCCATGGAGAAGAGTCTTACCTAGCCACAAGGGAGGCTGAGGTAGGAGAATCACTTGAGCCTGGAGGTTGAGGCTGCAGTGAGTCATGATTGTGCCTCTGCACTCCAGCCTGGGCAAGAGTGAGACCCTGTCTCAAGGAAACAAAACAAAACAAAACAAAACAAAACAAAACAAAACAAAAAACAAAACAAAAAACAAAACAAAACAGAAGAGCAATTGAACTATATATCAAAAGGGTTTAAAATATCAGTTCTTGGAACTAGTGCCAAGTCATAGAGAAGTTTTCATTGGCCTTCTGTTAAATTAGACAAATCCAGAAAATTTAGTGAGTTCTTCATAAAGTTGAATTTATTCACTTTAACACATTGTATTATTCTGAAATTAAATATTTCTACATTTGATGTTAAAATATAATTTTTCAAATTACGTTGTAATTAGAATATGGTTTTCTTTTTGCTCTTCACAAAATCAAAACAATTCTCTTATTTTTGTTGAAATTTTGGTAGTCTGTTGAATGAAAAGATTGAGAAATATTGACTAGACCTCTAAAGCCATACTCAGAAAGAGGAGTATATAAATCTATAACATAAAAATAGTAACTCTGCTATTTACTCTTATCTACTAATATTATAATAAACTGCATAAGAATAATCTGGTGAATGCTGCCAGAAATGTCAAGTTAAAAAACCAAAAAGGATGAAAAGTTTAAAAGTCTGATAAAAAACTTACTGTTCTTAATATATATTAAAGAATTTCCAAGTAAGATGGTACTTTTGGGCATGAGCATCAAACTATCCCCTCCATAAGACCTGGGCCAAAATGAGTAAGAAATGAAAATAGAGGAAAACTCTTCTTAACAATAAAACTTATGTAAGGATTCCATCAACATTATACTCCCTGAGTAATATGTGTCATATAATTTATCCATGGAATCCCATTGTAAAAGTTTGTATTCCTCCTCCTCCTCAGAAAATCACACAGTATTGCAGGAAAAATAGTAAAGAAGCTCTTGGAAGATCTGTGCTGTCACCCTGTGATTGGATAGAGTGAAGGATGGACAGCTAGCAACTTCACTTGGAATTTTCCTTGTTGCCATGGATTAATAATTATTGAAAGCAGATATGCTAGGGGCCACAGAAAGTGAAGCTTTATCTCCTGATGGTAATGAGGCTTACCTCTAAAGTGGTAAGACACTTCTCCATGGGAATCAGCAATTCAAGGGAAGAATTCAAACTTAGTTACAAATTGTAACTGGAAGAAAAAGTCAGACCAGGCAGAATACTGGTAGTAGAAAGCCAGCCCCTGATTAGTAGATTAACCAAACCAAGAGAATAAACTAATATGAAGTTTCTTTGCTGTGATTCTCCATATCTCTAGTTCTTTTTTCTCTTCACAGACTTTAAAGTCTCTTAACTAGAAAAATGAAACTTATGTAACTACCCCTTCAGATTAAAATCTAAGAGGAAAATTTTAATAGCATCCTCTTGTAGGAAAAGAGGAGATTTAAGTAGGATCCATCAATCCTATGCTAGACCTAAAAACAAGAAGTTTCTAGGTCTTCCATATGATGAAAAAACAAAATGAGACCTACCTAAGAAAAAACAAAATGAGACCTATCTATGAAACAATTCTACAGAGAAATAGGTGGAGGAAAATTTACCAATAAGAGTCAGAAAAATGACAATTCTGTGTTTTTTTAACAGTAAAACTAAATTTTATAGATTCTGATTTGTGTTCTCAATAAAATTCAAGATTGGGTTTAATGAAACAAAGATGAAAGATTAGTTAAGATAATAAACTAATATATAAAGAGACGTAATTGAGAACAGGAGAGAACATTAGAAAATTAATAATGTTATACTAATTTTAAAATTCCATTAGTAGCAAAGAGTGGAAGCCACACTGGAAGAAAATCAGAGAGATGGGAGAAACACTTAGAATTTTTCTTTCAGAATGTAAAGGAAAAGATACAGATGAAAATAAATGATGATATACATGGAGGACAGAAACAGATCCAATATACAGATACTGGTGGTTCCCAAAGAACCAAACTGAATAATCAAGCCTTTATTCATGTATCGGAACAATACAAGCAAGAGACAAAAAGAAGGCCCCAGTGTTTAATTTCTTCCCACAGAACTGCACCAGGCAGGAGTCAGGTGGATGTAATGAAAATGGTTGTGGTGGTGGTGGTGGTGGTGGAATCATTGCTAAGGAGGAGTTAGAGTGGAGAAAAATGCCTCAGCCAATCCACCCTACCCCGCTTTAAGAAAGTGTTGGCAGAGGTGTCCTATAGGGAAGAGGTACCTGGGCTAGGGAATGCAGTTCATTTTTTAATAAAAATTTAAAAATTGCTCTAAAATCTTAAAGTATGCCATGAGAAATTAAAAGTAAAAGTATTTCAGTTTCTTCATTTTACATATGGAAGGTTTGATAAGTATTTTTTCACTCTTGATATTGGAGAAAAATAACTTCTAGTAAAAGATGGGATTTATAACTTCCAAATTACGGTAGAAAAGAGATTTCAAAGAAAATACCGTCCATATAGTGAAAGACAGAAACTAAGGAAAAACAAGGAATGTAAAAAATAATATCTCATAGAAAAGAAGAAGCAATGTAAGTTAAATACTCCTAATAAAAGGCAAAAATACTCAAATTTAGCCAATATAAAAGATGCACCTAAAAAGTTACTTTAAAAAGATTTAAAGCAAAAAGTGAAATAAGATGGAGAACTAACAATTATTCCACATGCATACAAATTAAAATAAAGCAGGATGCAAAAGTATTTCAAGATGTAATTAATATAGGTCTCAGTCTATTTTCTGTTGGTATAACTGAATACCCAAGACTGGGTAATTCATTAAAAAAAGAAATTTACTTCTTGTAGTTCAGGAAGCTGAGAAGTCCAAGGTGGAGGGCCTCTACCTAGCTAGCTTCTGGTGAGGGTCGTGTGCTGTGTCACAGTGTGGTAGAGAAGCAAGGCAAGCAAACATCCAAAGAAACATGCACTAGAGGCTGGGCTAACTTTATAACGACACTCTTTCTCTGAAACTAGTCCGCTTTCTGCTAGGGTGAGAACTCACTCCCATGAGATGGCATTAATCTATTGATGAGAGCAGAGTCCCCATGATTCAAACACTTCCCACTAAGGCCTCACTTCCCAATGCTGCCACCTTGGGGACCAAGCCTCAACATGAGTTTTGATGGGGACAAACCATAGCAATATATTATACTTATTAAGTAAGATAAACTGGTCATTTTTAATTTAAAAAGCTGTAATCCCTAATGAAGACATAACTCTCAAGTACATATACCTCACACTATGGCATCAAGATATGTAAAGCAAACATTTGAGACACATAAGGAGAAATTAGCTGAAACACAATGGTAGAAGAAAACCTCAAGAAGGCAAAAACAAAATAAGGGGAGTATCTGAATAGTTTTCCTTTTGTGAATCATGCTTTTAAGTCAGAACTCTTTGCTTAATCCTAGTTCCCAATGATTTTCTCCTTTTATTTCCCTAAAACATTTATTGCTTCATGTTTTACAGGTTTTGATCTGTTTTGAGCTAACTTTTGTGTAAAATGGGAGGTTTAGGTCAAGATTCACTTTTTGCTCTTCTAAGATAAAATAAGATTTTAATTTTTGCCTATTGAGATATATATATATGTTTTAAATAACAGTATATAGAATTGGTAAGGGTGCAAAAAATGCGCACCCTAAAACTGTAATTGGGAATACAGATTGGTAAAAACCAATATGATTCAACATTTGCACTTCTTGGGATTTCTTCAAAGATAAAAAAATAGATATGCCCCCAAATGTACTTAGAATAGTGTTGATTAAAGTCTTATTGCAGGAAAACACTGGAAACAATCTAAATGGATGACTGATTAATAGAATAGAATACAAAAAGATTGCAATTATATGTAGCCATGTGAAAATGTGCATGATAAATTATTAAATAAAAAATAGGTTACAAAACAATATGTAAATGTTATTAATAAAGTGATATTTGTTTTTTCCTAAAAGTTCCAACAATGTTCAATGTTACCACTAAGAGTATTTTTATTTTGAGAGTTTATTGTAAAGCAGAGAATAGTTTTGGTGTTTTGTTGTGGTTACTATTTTGAGTTTTATTACTATCTTAATTAGTTTTCCTTTCACTGAATTTTAAAGTATTACAATATTTCAAAGTTGTTTTTAATGAAGAGGAAAGCAGTTTTCCCTCAGCATACTGCATCTCTGACTTTGTAATGGAAGTTATTAAAACATACATTTGTTTAAACACACATACACGTAATTACAATTATAAAATAGTTGTATCTATTCTTTGTTAGAGGCTTTTTAATCACTAAAACTTTAGGAAGGAAATAAAACATGAGAAAGTTGCTCTTGACTGCTACTTTTAAGGGAGGTGAACCTAAAACCTACAATTTGTTTCTTAGAAAAATGGCTTAAGGCTTATTATTTAAACTAACTACCATCATTACCTTTGCAAACACTCTTTATTTCGATGGAGTCATTTAGGCCCTCTTAGCTACTGTAACTAAGATTTTAGTTTGGCTTTTATTGTAGCACTCAAGGAAAGATATTATGTAGAAGAAAAATTATTCATTGTTTTCAAGGCAAAACTGGTGGGACTAAGGAGCAATGGTGCCCAGAATATGATCAAAACAAGGAAGACTTCAATAAGTTAGATATGTTCTATTACAGTATTTGCCAGAGCACATCTGGTTTATTAAGAGACTATTTTAATTCTTATTTCAGATAAAACTGCTTTTTTGGATTAATCAAATTGGGGTATCCACTTCATGCAGTAATCTTGAAAGCCAAGTAACTTTTTTTACTGATTTATCTTTCATAGAGGTAAATACTTTACAAATCTCAGATTCTAAGGAATTTAGTTAAAATAAGAACTTTGATAGTTAGTTTGTCTCAGTATGAAGCTATTAAAAGAGAAATATTATGTGGTTATATGTGTATATTGTATATTCATCAGGTAAATACACATGTATACATCTATAACGAGAAGAGAATTATTATGGTGAATGATTTCTATTGTGTAATATGGCCCTAAATTAGAATAATAATTGTAATTAGTAGTGTTTGTTTAAAATCGACTTTTTAATTCTTGAGAGAGAAGGGGAAGAAAAGAAAAAATATGGAAGTGTGAGTAATCTCTACTACGGAATAGATAATTTATAGAATATATTTTTAAAAGAAAAACCTCAGCCAAATTAAATTTAAAGTTTAAATGAGCAATGGATGATTCGTGAATCGGGCAGCCTCCAGAATCACAGCAGATTCAGAGAGTCTCCAGGGATGCCATGTGGTCAGAACAAATTCATAGACAAAAAAAATAAATAAATAAAAGGAAGTGACATACAGAAATCAGAAGTGAGGTACAGAAACAACTGGATTGGTTACTGCTCAGCATTTGCGTTACTTGAACAGTTTGAACACTCAGCAGTGTGTGAGTGGTTGAAGTATGGCTGCTGGGACTGGCCAAGACTCAGCCATTGTTACAGGCGCATACTCTTAGTTAGGTTTTCAGTCTTGTTTACCTATTAAGTTAGGTTTCAGTTCATCCACAAGGACTCAAATATAGAATTATGGAGTCTTTCTCAGGCCATATTTAGTTTGCTTTAACAATATTGACAATAATTTACTGATACATAGAAATTCATAAATTCACCACAACAACACTGGTTTTTTTATGCATAGATTGAGGTATGTGACTTTGAAGGTAGGTGTAAAATGGGCTTATTATCCTTTTGTACACTTAAAATGTTTTAGTGAGTCTAAATCCTTTCAAGTTTCTCTTGATACAGAGCTTATGATATGTGCTTATGCATCTTCCTAAATACATGAAATATTTTAAAATTGCTTTCTTTTTTTTTTTTTTTTTTTGAGACAAGGTCTTACTCTGTCCCCCAGGCTGGAGTGCAGTGGCACAATCACAGCTCACTGTATCCTTGACCTCCTAGACTCAGGTGATTCTCCCACCTCAGCCTCCCAGGTAGCTGGGACTACAGGCATGTGCCACCACATCTGGCTAATTTTTTGCACTTCTTGTAGAAACAGTGTTTCGCCATGTTGCCTAGGCTGGTCTCTAACTCTTGGGCTCAAGCAATCAGCCCGCCTCAGTTTCCCAAAGTGCTGGGATTACAGGCACGAGGCACTGAGCTGGCCAAAAATTGCTTTCTTGAAATGTTTAAAAGTCACATTTGAACTGAGAGTGAGGGGATACATTTTAATGAAATTGTATCTTAAGCTTTGTACCTGTGAACCCAAAAGTATCTGAGACAGGTGTTAATCAATTTAAAAAGTTTATTTTGCCAAAGTTAATGATGCCCTGGTGACCTCAGGAGGTCCTGACGACATGTGCCCAAGGTGGTCAGGGTACAGCTTGCTTTTATACATTTTATGGAGACATAATTCTTCAAGCAATACATGTAATATTTACATTGGTTTTATCTAGAAGGGCAGTTAAAACCATGGCGGGGGGGCTTCCAGATCATAGGTAGATTTAAAATTTTTCTTATTGGCAATTTGTTGAAAGAGTTATCTGTAGAAAGAAATATCTGGATTACTAAGGGGTTGTGGAGACCAAAGTTTTATCATGCAGATGAAACCACCAAGTAACAGGCTTCAGAGAGAATAGATTATAAATGTTTCTTATCAGACTTGAGGTCACAGGCAGTAAAGGGTTAAATAAGAAAGCAGGAGATAAAGCACATTTTTAAAAAATATAAATACATGGTAAACATTAGAAGAAAAAAACAATTTTTTTTCCTAAATACTTAAAGAAATGAGAGGAAAAGTAAACCAAAGAAAACCCAGGTAGAGGAAGACACACAAGCACAACATAATGCACACAGTAATTGAAACATAAATATGATACATTTGAGAAAAACATCAGTAATATTAGTAAATGTAGACAGGCCTAATTCACCTATTATAAGTAGAAAAATCATTTTTAAATTTGCCCCTCAAGGAAAAAAATCCAACTGTTTGCTCTATAAAAGAGAGATACCTAAAACGTGGTGATTCAGAAGGCTAAAAAAAGTCAAGGAGAGAAGCTATGCAAAGCAAATAGAAGTAAGAAAGCAGGAGTTGCCATCCTGATAACCAGACAAGAATTCCAGCCAAAAACACAAAGAAAGACACTTTTAGATGATAAAAGCCATAATTCACAGTGAAAGTACAGCACTTAATATTTATGAACCAAGTTATAAAGCACTCACATTTAAAAGCAGAAGCTATAGGAGATGGAAGGACACATGATATTGAAGTATCATGGTGATAAAAGATTTAACACAGTACTTTCAGTCCGAGACAGCTAAAATGGACAAAAATGAGGAAAACATACTAAAGAATTTAATTGATAGATCTTACAAATCTATCTCTATCTACATTTATACCTATACCTTTAATCCCTGATAGTAGAGAATGTACCACATATGGAACATTCACAAAAATAAATCAAATATTAATTCACAAAGCATCACTAAATTTCATAAAGTAGAACAATTACAGACAACACTTCGATCGTATGCAGTAAGTAAAGCTGGAAATTGATAGCAAAATAAAAAAATTAAAATGTACCTCCACCTTGGGGGGAAAAGTTCTATTAATAAAGTCTTGAGTGTAAGAGGAAACAAAACTGAAATTACAGAATTTCTTTTTTAAAAATTATGAAAACCCTATGTGTTACAATCTAAGATATGCCTAAAGTACTGTGAGAGAAAGAGGATAGGTTGAAACATTTATTACCAATGGGGGGCAAAAACACCGCATGTTCTCACTCATAGGTGGGAATTGAACAGGATGGCACTTTATTCCTAAACACTAAATTGTATATTTCATTAGAAAAATATTCTCTTACACAACCAAAGTATAATGATCAAAATCAGAAAATTACGACTACCTAAGTAAGAAAGTTGCATAAAAGTTAATCTAGTGGTTTTGTTAAGAACTAGTTAATCTAGTGGTTTTGTGATGAGTAGCTTGAAAATGAAGATTTTTAATATAACAAATTCTTTCTAGGCTTGAGCTTTATATTGTTCCCAATGGGAAAAATATAATTTGAGCAAAGGTTTTCGCTTATAATAACAGTAACATTTTTTCTCTCGAATTTTAACAATCAGAATGAAAAAATCCAAAAAACAAAGTATTATGTTCTGTGAAATAATCATTTGTGACTTTAAGGTTGAAGAAGATAACGATAGTGGAAGTTTAAATGCAAAAAATATTAATAGTATCTTAGATAGTGTTACTATATTGAAGTTGTGTTTCCATTAAATTGAATCAAATGCAAAATAGCTTTATTTTTATCTACATGATCCTAAATAACAATTGTAACTATTTTTTTTCACTCAGTTGTGAAATTATGTGGACATAGTTATAATGCAGATGATTTCTACAAAAATTCTACTATCAGAGTTCAGAAAGTTTTTCGTTACTATTACTGATGTTTAAAGACAAGTGGGACAGATTAATGGGTTGAAATGTGAGCTTTTCAAAATAGTACAAAATTACTAATTGCTATTGTTTGAGTGTTTTTTGCCTTTCCTTTTCCCAAGGCCATTATAAGGATTTCACTTGATTTCTTCCCTGTTCTTAACTTTTGAAAAGCTTTAAGCTAGAAGTAATTTGGGGATTCTATGCGACCTGATGGGGAGGAAAGTAAAGGTGAAGTAGTTTTTCCAGGAGTTTTGTGGAGAGGAAATGTGGAGAAATGGGACTGTGAAGAAAGTACATAGGAGAAGAAAAAAGGATTTTTAAAAGTATTGTTCAAGAAATAAAATCAAATAACTTATTTTAAAATTAGTTTTTGATTGCCTTTGAGTTCCTCTGGCTACAACGCAGCTTCAGATGAGACAACATGGGTCAAAGATTTAATGAAGTTGGGAACTGTCAAAAAGTTTGTATCAATGACTGTCATGGAAATGTAGGGGAGGAGAAAACAATCTAATCTGGAAATGGAAGGTATTACCACAAGGTGAACATTCACTGTTGTTTTTTTGTTGAATAACATTTTATTATGTTAAGGAACGAGTTAAGTAATTGATTTATGGCCTAACATTTTTTCTTATTTGAATAACATTTTTTTTTTCTCTCTTGAGGCATTGAACATTATGTTGGCCTGGGGAAAGGGAATGTAGAAAAAAATGGGGTAAAATTTGATTCTAATATGTCTTTCCTATATGTAAAACAAACTTGACATGTTTGTATTTTCTTTTTGTCCTATGATCCATCAAATCCTGCTCTATACTGTTAGCCAAATTGTTAGCATTTTCCCTAAGTGGAAGTGTAATCTTTAAAGTAACTAGTTGTCATATAAATTCTTCAAGATTTTAATATCAGTCACTATGGCAGTCATCTTTTTTCTTTTAGCCTTATTTGTTATTTCAGCTCTCAAAATTAAATTCATCAAGGTTCCACAGATAAAACATTTCTAGAGTTATCCTTAACATAGTAACTTGTAAGTGAACGGTCTTCAGTATTATTTGTATATGTAGTAAAACCATTACATGCTGTTTCTCTATATAATGCTTCCAAAATGAAAGAGGAGGGGGAATTTTTATAGACTGTCACTGCTAGGTCATGGACTTTTAAAGAAATGTTTCCTTCATTTGGATGGGCCCTTTCATTATCAACATGTCTATGAAATTATCTGGCTTAAAACACCTGATACTACTTTAGAGCAAAATTGATTGGTCATGTAGAAAAATAGGCTCTTGAGGTTTTTTAGAGGGAACCTAACCATATAAAACTAACATGTCATAGATTAGAAAGATAGAGTGTCAGTGTTTTTGTGTTCACTCTGTGAAAACAAATTGGAAACATAAATGGAAAAAGTAAAGATGATAAGGAGTAAGTCATCTCTACTTTTTATTGGTAATAAATCCATTAATTGGAAATAAATTGGAAAATCCATTAATTGGAAATTAACTTCCTGTGCATTGTTTTCTTGCAGGGAACAAATCACAAGACAGTGGCATAGCAGAGATGGAAGAACTTCCTGTACCACATAACATCAAAATAAGCAATATAACGTGTGACTCATTCAAGATTTCATGGGAAATGGATTCAAAATCAAAGGATCGCATTACACACTATTTTATTGACCTCAACAAGAAAGAGAACAAGAACTCCAATAAATTTAAACACAAGGTAAAATCTAACAAATACTCATGCTAATTTGCATCTTAAAACTTTCTAAGTATGAGGACATTTTAAAAGAACGAATAATATTCTATTAATGGCTTATGTGATGTATTTGACTTGGGAAAAAATAAAGATTATATGTAACTCTAAAACCCTATCATTCTAATAAGTTTTGTAAGAAAATGAAATGCCATGCTTTTTGTTAGAAGATAATTTTCAAAAAAAGGTAAAATCATGACTATCATCTAGATGTAAAAATTAGTTTACCTTAAAGATTTTATTTAACTTATTAACGAGGAAACCGATGAGGTGTTATAACCAGTTCAAAGGGAAATCCAAAGAAAAGACTCATTTGTAGATACAGGTGTAAACTGGTATGGAAGTCCTGATGGGAGGGGTGAAGAGGAGGGTTGTCCTCCACTGAACATAATTTATTTGTATGTATTTAGACAAGAAGAACTGAATTGTTACTAGTTTCTACAAATTACAGAATTGTAAAATGGCTTCCATAACACAGACAGATGGCCAGAAGAGGGTGCTATGTGCAATGCATAGTTTTCCACTGAAGCACACTTTTTTTTCTATAACTGCCAAACAAGGAATCTGATGCAGTTTATAAACTTCAAGGTATTTTAAAAACACTTTAGGGCTAAAAATTGCTTTAAGTAGTCTGCTGTCTTTTGCCTTTTGTTTTTTGTTTTGATAATGAAATTTTTTTGTCTTTTGCTTTTTAGTTTTGAGAATGAAAATTATTAACTTTTAAATGTTTTTAGATATATAACACTTCTCTGATATTTATTCACATATCATATATCTTTTCTGATATATCTCTCTTTCCAGAAGTATCTATAGAGAAATTAACAGTTATCTGCTTTAAGCATTCTTTCTTATGTTGCAGTGTTTTCACTGATGATGAAAATCTGGTCTATTTTTTAATATTGATATTAAGTTTTAACTTGGTAGATACTTTGGAACTTTCTTACCTTACCTAGAAATATTGCTTTTATTAGATGTGCGATTATACATACTAAAGATAAGTGAGGATCATACATACTACAGATAAGTGTGAAAGAGGGAGCAAGATTGAGCAGTCATTATTTTTTCTGAGTTCCAGTTCTGATTATGCTTTCAGTGATGGATATTCTCTTTGCTGACATTTGCCTTGTTGATATAGCTTTGAAATCTTAAATTTCAAACATTAAATGATGAATTGTTTGAGATTTGACCCTTTTTCTTCACTCTCCACTTGGAATACCATATCCTTGAAATGTAGTGAATATTCAACTAGCAGATTTAATTAATCACTTTACTAAGCATTTTTTAGAAATACGTAAACTTTTCTGTGACACATAGACTCTATATTTGAATGAAAGTGAAGCAAAAATTCATATTTTTAGTGTTTTCTCCTTTAACCTGTAAAATATCAAGTAATGGGCAGCTTTAGTGAAATTATTGGGTAGTATAAGTTAACCAAATATAATATTTTTAATACTATTGAACTTTATCTTTTATGTCTCTGTTTTTTAAAGTTTTGTCATTTAGTATGAGAATGTTGCATTTTGAGGAGCATATAGTATACAGAAAAGAACACCATATTAGAAATCAAGAAAACTGGAATCCAAGTACATTTATGTTATTAACAAGCTGTATGACCTCGAACTTGTCTCTTGATAAAGTTGGGCCTTAGTTTTTGCATATAGCAAATAAGAGATTTAAATATAATAATTGTTAAGTATCTTTAAGCAGAAAAATTCTATTGTCAGTCAGGAACTTAATAAGTTATTCTCCATTGTTTACAGTTGATTAAAGTTATACTACTAAATTAACTTCCTCCTTTTCCCTCCTTCCTTCCCTCCCTCCTTCCCTTCTTCCTTCCCTCCTTCTCCCTTCCCTCCTTCCTCCCTTCTCCCTTTTCTTCTTTCTTCACTTCCTTCGTCCCTCTCTGTCTCCCCTCATTTTTCTCTCTCTCTTCCTTCTTTCATTCCTAGGATGTTCCCACAAAATTGGTGGCAAAAGCTGTTCCCTTGCCTATGACTGTCCGTGGACACTGGTTTTTAAGCCCAAGAACTGAATATACAGTAGCAGTGCAGACTGCCTCAAAACAAGTTGATGGTGATTATGTTGTGTCTGAATGGAGTGAAATTATAGAATTCTGCACCGCAGGTAAGAGAACTAGGTACAAATATAGAAAAGCTTTAGTTGTTCTGGGAAAGCTAATTATAGAAAAATATTTCTTTTTTGTAATTATAAAGTGATATATGTGACATTGGTCATTTTTTGCGTTGTCAGTAGCATTGTGTAACAGAATAAACAATGTTGTATTGATTGGAGGAAGCTGAAGTTCTCAGTAGAAAAATCTGAGTAATGGCTTCAAATCATTTTTTTCTATATCCATAGTTTGATTTCTTCAAGATGAAAGCTATGCAAATAAAAAGGTATGCAGTTTGAAAATATACTCAGCATAATTTTTTAGCTTCATTTTGAGAGACAGAGCTTTTTTCTCCTTTTTTTTTTTTTTCCTTTTTCATTTTCACCAGTACTGAAAGACAGAAACTAGGAAAATCCTTCTCTATTTCAGGTGAATGGAGGCAGATCTCAGTGACTGTCCCTAGCAGAAATGTTACTAGATTTTTCACTGGAGTACTAGAAGACCTTAAGAAAATCTGCATCTAAACTAGTGTCCTGTATACATATGTGTGTCTTTGCTTCACTCGAAAGTACCTCAAAGCCATTGTTTTGGGAGGTTTGATGTGGAACTGAACCTTAATATTCCATTAGATTGGAAACATTACCATTCATCTCACTCATATATTTATTGTTTACTTGTTCATTCAAGAAACAGTCATTTATTGAGCACTTCAGTGTTAATGGGATACCATATCTCTACCTGAGTACTCCTGTCATCCTTTCCTTTTGTCTTTTAGAAAGAAACTTTGTTTCCTCCTGTTCATCAAGATGACTGTTTCCTATAAAAAACTATAGACAGAGGCTGAATCTACAAGAAACTTAAGCTGTTCAAAGCTCTTGTTTATCAGAATAATTTAGACTTTTCACATAAGCTTTGTCAATAACCTTGACTCTAAGTTTTGATAAAGCTATTTTGTGTAAGTTGACTTTTAATCTGAACATCGAATTCATTCAAAACTAATTAAGCCCATACTGTGAGCTAGGCACTGTACAATGTATTGGAAATAAAATAAAATAGAATGCCACAGGCTAATCTACTTCTTTTCTAGCCTATGACAGGGTTTAAAACCCTGTGCTTATCCCAATCTTAAAATGCTAATACTTACCATAATAAATCATTATTGTACATATATTTATCTCTTCTCTTAGATTGTCAGTTCTTTGCAAGGAATAATAATATATTTTTTATCTTTTAACTTGATCATCTAATTTTGCATAGTACCTTTTACATCATATGTTCTAATCTCAGTACCTGTTTATTGAGCCAATGAAGCAGTGAGTAAACAAACTATGTTGCCATGAGCAATTTAACTAGGTTTCTTCTGTTTAGAAATTCTTACTAATCTTTATAGGCCAAAATGTTTCCCTAGTTTCTGGTGTAGGAGTTAAACAGCAATTCTTAAACAACTTTCAAAACAAAAAGTGGGTTAAAAAAAATCAGATTTACTTTGACAGGTGCTTTAGAGTTTCAAGCATCTTGTGTACCCAAGTCTTATGTACTCATTATTATTTTTGCTGTCCAACTTTTCTATTGATTGCAGATTATAAGCTTCTTTTATTCAGTTTATCAACTGGTTGAAGAAAAGCTAGTATGGTGCTAATGGATATTACTTGGGTTATGAAAATTTATTTAACTTAATTTTTGTTTCAGTATCTCTAATTTCAAAAAATGGAAAAATGCAAGCAAAGGTATTCTAAGAAACAACCATAAACCATAACAAAAATATTTTTGTAGGAAGAAAAATGTGCCACACAGACAATGAATATTTTCTTTTTTAAATGGAATTTCCTATTTATTAAGTTGAATTCCCTAGAGGTGAATTTTAATAATCTTCAATTTATTAAGTATATGGTTGGTACTTTTGGTGCAATATTTTTAATAACAGACTTTTTGGGTTTTTTCCAGACTATTCAAAAGTTCATCTAACACAATTGTTGGAGAAGGCTGAAGTGATTGCAGGACGCATGCTTAAGTTTTCTGTTTTTTATCGTAATCAGCACAAAGAATATTTTGACTATGTTCGGTAAGATTCAAAAATATATAGTGATTTGTTTTACTAAATATAGTTTCAAATTCTAGGCTCAGGTTTCCCTTGACTCTAGTTTTGTCGAATAGCAATTCTAGATTTCTTTTCAAAATAACGATATGGAATTTTATTTTCCAGAAAAATTAAGTAGAAAAAGATCATGGGATTTTTTTCTATTTCACTTAGATTCCTTTCCATAATCATTTGTGATACCAGTTCCTGCCCATTTGACTAGAGGATCTTAAACCTGTGGTATTTAGATCGATGAGCATTTCAGGTACACACTCGTCCTGCTGTCTGCATCATACTGACTACTAATTTTTTCCTCTTTTCATGGGTCTTTTTAAGACATTGAAAATGAGAGTATAAAAGAGTGACTGTTTAATGAAATATTATGGTGAATCAGGTGGGATTTGCAGACTTCTACCTAAGTAGAAGTCTTTTAGCTGTTGTATTAGTGTGTTTTTCAGGCTGCTGATAAAATGTACCCGAGATTGGGCAATTTAAAAAAGAAAGAAGTTTGTTGGACTTACAGTTCCACATGGCTGGAGAGGCCTCACAATCATGGTGGAAGGCAAGGAGAAGCAAGTCACATCTTACATGGATAGCAACAGGCAAAAAGAGAGCTTGTGCACGGAAACTCCCCTTTTAAAACCATCAGATCTCATGAGACTCATTCACTATCATGAGAACAGCACAGGAAAGATTTCCCCCTCCCCATAATTCAATCAACTCCCACTGGGTTCCTCCCATGACATGTGGGAATTGTGGGAGTTACAATTCAAGATGAGATTTGGGTGGGGACACAGCCAAAACATATCAGCTGTTATCTTGAATTAATTATCATGAGGATAATCTCCTTTGTTTACTTTTAAATTCTAGTGATTTTACTAGAATTTCTAAGATAGCCTATGTTTATCCCTGGAAGCAGTTCCTGAGAAGTTAAAAGAACTCTATCCTGCAGGTAGTTTTTATATTTACAGCACTTTCATATTTGTAGAAGAAAATTTGAAGAGAATAAATAGCCAGATGTCTGTTTTGTGTTTTAAAAGCCTTAGTCTCACTAAGGCTTTTAAAATGGCAAATGCTATATAGGTTGTAAAACTTCTTACACAGCATTCCCTATAATTTATCATTTTAAAAGCTTCACTTCAGACTCTAAAGCATCTTAAGTTGACAGGACTATGTATGAAAAATATTTAGGAAACTTTGTTGTGTTCTTTGTATTTGTTTGTTTGAAGACCATGGTTCCAGATTTAAATCAGCTTCAAGCTGTGGAAAATGCAACAGGAATCAGAGAGAGAAGAACACACGTAGGCATCTGTGTTCTTCAAATTAAGTACTTAGCAATAGAATGTATTTTTATATATTTTGATGGTGAAAAAATATTCCTGCCATTTGTTTGAATATCTTATAAATACAGAGTTTAGTCCTTCATTTTCTCAATTGGTATATACCCTAGAGTCCATATATTTCCTGGTAGATACCATTCACCTAATTTAGAGAGTACAGACTGATAGATATAACATAAATTATTGTGCTTGTCAGTTGTGGATTGGCAATGACCATATAGACTTAGCAAGGAAGGTGTTTCTTTATACAGATGCTCCTTGACTTGCAATGGGGTTATGTCCTGTTAAACCCATTGTAAGTTGAAAATATCAAGTTGAAAATTCATTTAATACACCTAACTTACAAAACATCATAGCTTAGCCTAGCCTCCTTAAACATTTTCAGATAACTTACGTTAGCCTACAGTTGGGCAAAATTATCTAACAGAAAGTCTATTTTATAAAAAAAAAAAGTGTTGAAAAGATCAACATTCAAAGTACAGTTTCTACTGAATGTGCATCATTTTCACACCATCATAAAGTCAAACAATTGTAAGCCAAACCATCATAAGTCAGGGACTGTCTGTATTTGTTACGCATAAAATTTGAAAACAAAAAAAACCCCTCCATATTTCTGTTGTCTTTGGTAAGAAATACATCAAAAGAATAAATAATTACATCTTTGATTTTAGGTTTATATTCCTGGAACATTGCCAATATCTATTTTAGGTGGCCACTGGAGGGCAGTATCTCTCTGTGATTTTTCTCTGTCCCTTAGATGGGAACTGGCCTTTGTTTTTAGGTCCTTTAGTAATCTAAAGTTTGCTTCATCTGTTTTCAAAAATGCTTCCAAGAATAAATAAATAAAGACAGAGTGCCTAGAAAATGGATAATTATTGTGTATATTGCATGATTTTACTCCCAGCTACCAGTATGAAAGCTGTGTTTACTAACAAGAAAATTTACCTTTGTTAAGTTTTCCATAATGATAGTTATAAAATCCATGTAAAATATGTCTTGGTGCAGTACGTATAAATAAATATACTTTCCACAGAGTGGTATAATTTTTCAACATTGCTTTTTTAAGAAGCCTTATTAAAAAGTAGTAGACATAAATTCCATGGATGTTGATTTTCTTTTTGTCATTAACTCTAATTAAGACACATTTCCTTGATTAAAATCCATTTTAAATATCATCTTGTTATTCAGAATGCTTGAATAGAAAGGAAACTTTTAATTACTGGATACACTTTCCAAAGTTTATAATCCATTTTGAATTATGAAAAACTGGATAAATACTTACTCAGTCCATAAGAAATCAACTCATTTTGACCTCTTCCTCTAGAAATGAATTCCTAAATGAACATTACTTTCCCATACTCCAAATGAAAACACCACTTTCTTTCTTACCTCTTGTTCATATTCACTAGGTAGTCTAATTGTCCTTAAAACTCCTTTTATATCTGAAGGGTTTCAGGAATTCACTGAGATTGGTAGACATGTGTAGGAATTCCTCTACCTCTGGTGTCAAATTGTATATCCTCAAAGTGTAGGTTCTAGTACATATTTTCTGTTTATATATATGTTGCTGTTATTATTTCATGTAATTGCACTTATAGATCCATGTAGGACACATATCATAGATATTTGGATTTTGTTAATGAGAATGTAACAAGGGCGAGAAATTTTGAACAGGGACAAGATGGGTAGATTCTCTTTTCCTTATTTCGCCCACATCTATCTATTGTTTACTCTTCACTCAAGAAACAGTCATTATTGAGCACTTCAATATGTTAATGGGATACAAAGATATCTCTTTTGTCTGTGCCAATGAGCACAGACAAAAAAGAAATAAAGAACACCAGAAAGTATGTTCCCTTTACCCACAGGATTGGGAAAGAGACTGAGATGACTTTGAATACAGAAACCTTTTAGACAATAACCACCATACCCCAGGCAAACAGTATAGGAAAAAAACAAACAAACCGTAGTCCCTCATGTACCAGCCAAGGCTAAGTGAGGAACCTAGACCTCTATCCTCTCACATCTGTAAGGGGACACCCTTCTCCTTCCATCCTCTGCTAGGGTGGTATCAGAGAAGCCTGAATAGGGAGCCTGGATTTTCCACCACTGCCCAAAGAAAATGAGGCTTGCCCTCATAGTGTGTGAAGCCACATGTCAAGTACTAATGAGACACCCCTTCTCTCTCTGATCTAGAGTATGTTAGCACAGGCTTAGTGGGAGCCTAAACTCCTACCTCCTCCAAGTAGTAACTGACCCTCCTACCCTGTGTCACCGGAGACTGAGTAGGAAACCTGGACTTTTAGCCCCATCTGACATCAATGAAGTGACTACCCCATACTCTTCACCCACTGGTAGATAGTCAGGAGGAGGCCTGCTAAAAATGCTAGATTTAAATATGATCCAGAATATAATAACATAAAACTTAAAATGTCCAGGATACAAATGGAACTCAGGTATCACACCAAGAACCAGGAAAATCTTAACCTGAATGAGAAAAGATAATCAAAGATACAAAAACCAAAATAATGCAGATCTTGGAATTATCTGACAAAGATATTTAAGCAGCCACCATAAAAATGGTTCAAGAAGCACATACTAACACACTTGAAACACATAAAAACGGAAGCAGCAAAGAAATAGAAGATACAAAGAATTAAATGAAAATTTTGGAACATAAAAACACAGTAAGTAAAGTCAAAAGCTGGATAGACTCCATGGATTCCACAGCAGATTCAAGAGGACAAAGAGAAAAAAATCAGTAAACTTGAAGATAGAATAGAAATTACGCAAATTGAACAACAGAGATAAAACTCACCGAAAAATATATATCAGTCTTATGGACATGTGAGACTATAGCAGATCTAATATTCATGTTGTTAAAGTCAAGAAGGAAAAGACAAAGAGGGTGGGGCTGAAAAAGTATTCATAGAATTAATAGCCGAAATGTTCCCAAATTTGCCAAACAACATAAACATACAGATTCAAGCTGAGAAAACCCTAAATGGGATAAACCCAAAGAAATCCATGCCAAGATATATTACAAACTGAAAACTGCAGGCCAAAGGAAAAAAAAAAAACATTGAAAGTGGTGAGATACAAGACACCTTATGTATAAGGAAAAATAAAACAATTTGAATGACATCATCATCAGAAATTACCTAGCAAAAGAAAGTGACACAATATTTTCAAATGCTGAACGAGCACTGTCAACTGAGAATCCTATATCCGGTGAAAATATCCTTCAATAATAAAAGGGAATTAAGATATGCTCAGATGAAGGAAAACTAAGGGGATTTGTCAACAGCATATCTATCCTAAAGGAAGTTTCTGAAACAGGAAGGAAGGAAATAATAAAAGAAGGAAACCTGGAACATCAGAAAGAAAAAAGCACAGTACAAGTAAAAGTATAGGGTCACATCCAGGATATCACACATTTATTTATTGTGTTTCCTCATTCTCTTAACTGTGACAATTTTTTGGTCTTTCCTTGAATTTGCATTTTTAATAAGCTCCCTAGGTGGTTTTCAGGTGGTAGAATTCGAGACCCATTGCTGCTAAATTCAGAGGCAGATCCAGGCATTTCACTGACCCATAAACTCTTTAAGAAGCATGTTGACTGGGGGAACTTTCCCTTACTTGAGTAGTAGCTTGAACTTTGCTTCCCAAGTCATGCTGGTCAGGGACCCAGCAAAAAAAAACAAACAACAAAAAAAAGAAGGCAGCACACTTGGGGAATTCTGGAGAGAATTTAACAAAACTACCCCTTCATAGAGGTGTAGTCAGGGTTACGGTAACAAATAGGGGATGCTAAAGGAACCAAGAACTAGCACTAGCAAGACTTGAAAAGTTTTACTCTTCATGGGAATGAAAGGGAATAGGAATTCATCCAGCAGCAGCAGTAGTCAGAGATACATAGTTATGAAGAATGCAGCCCTGCCAGAACCACAATGCCCTAAAGCGTGGAGGAAATACAGGAAGACATACCCAAAGCTTTACCTCCTCCTACTCTATATATGCTGGTGCCTCACATTGGTAGAACTGAAATGGAAGTGGCCAAGGGATAAGGAACTGAATGCTAGAGTCCCAGGTCACAGTGGAGGACTGTGGTGGAGAATGAATGGATTTGGGGGTGAGGTAAAGTGGGAATAACTAGCACTGTTTTAAGCAAAATGCCAGAGAAATAACCTGATTACTGTCCTTGGGTTAAAAAGCCAAAACAAGGGCTGAGCGTGGTGGCTCATGCCTGTAATCCCAGCACTTTGGGAGGCCGAGGTGGGCGGATCACAAGGTCAAGAGATCAAACCATCCTGGCCAACGTGGTGAAACCCCGTCTGTAGTAAAAGTACAAAAATTAGCTGGGCATGGTGGCATATGCCTGTAGTCCCAGCCACTCTGAAGGCTGAGGCAGGAGAATTGCTTGAACCTGGGAGGCAGAGGTTGCAGTGAGCCAAGATCGTGCCACTGCTCTCCAGCCTGGCAACAGAGTGAGACTCTGTCTCAAAAAAAAAAAAAAAAAAAAAAAAGCCAAAACAAAACACAACGCTTTTGTGCCAGTATAAATGGACAGCACTCATTTTATGACTAAATCTATCATGCTTTAAAGAAACATTCAATATATTTAACCAATACCTTTAGTTCAGTTTTCTCTTCAGAAAGCCACTTCTGAAACCCAGTTGGCACTTAATGTATGTGTGATTTTACCTGTAAGGTTTCTAATTCCAGTTTGATTTTTCTGGCCAGGAAATTTACATTATTATGTTAATTTAATACAAAGTCTCCAAGGCTTGTAGCAGCTCATCCTTACCTTAAGGTCAAAGCTAGAATACAGCCATCTATAGGTAATATGTCAAAAGATGTTGTCCCCTTATTCTGATAGTAAGAGAGGTATTCAGGCCTTTAACAGTAGATGTTTGACTTTTAGGCCATTCAAATATATAAATCAGTGGGTTTACCACTATTGTATTAAGCAGTGACCACTTGTTTTCTCTTGCAGAGAACATCATGGGAATGCTATGCAGCCATCTGTCAAGGATAACAGTGGTAGCCATGGCTCTCCTATCAGTGGAAAATTAGAAGGCATCTTCTTCAGCTGCAGCACTGAATTCAATACTGGAAAGCCACCCCAGGATTCACCTTATGGAAGATACAGGTTTGAGATTGCCGCAGAAAAACTTTTTAACCCCAATACTAACTTATACTTTGGGGACTTCTACTGTATGTACACTGCTTATCATTATGTGATTCTTGTTATTGCTCCTGTGGGATCACCAGGAGATGAATTTTGTAAGCAGCGCCTTCCTCAACTAAATTCTAAGGATAATAAATTTTTGACCTGTACAGAAGAAGATGGGGTGCTGGTTTACCACCATGCCCAGGATGTCATTTTAGAAGTCATTTACACTGACCCTGTGGATCTTTCTGTGGGCACCGTGGCAGAAATCACTGGTCATCAGCTCATGAGTTTGTCTACTGCAAATGCAAAGAAAGATCCCAGCTGCAAAACCTGTAATATCAGTGTTGGACGTTAATGCCCACTTTTCTTATTCTTACTCAGCCCCTTTTCCTCCCTTAGGAGCATTGGTCCTCTGTTGTCCATTTTTATCACCAGATGTTTTCCACTGAAGCATGCACATGCCACTGTCACCAAAACAAACAACTACCACTTTCCAAATTTCATTCAGAACCATTTTAGTGTTTTCCTATTCCCTACCCCTCCCACTACTTTCAATGATGAAATACCCTAAGTTAAGTTCTCCTTTTGACACTTTATTGCCTAGATGCTGCAATGTTTTTATGTTTCCTTTATGCCAAACATAACAAAACAGTTATATAGACTGCTTTAGCAAAGTACACAATAATGGCTTATAAATGGTGTTTAAATATGCATTCATTTTAATCTACTGAACAAATATTGGGATAACTCCAAACCGCATGAAAGGGTGTAATTGCAGCATGAGTTAAATCTTGAAGCCTAGAATTGTCAGCACTTCCAACTTCTTGTTTGACAGTGTTATTTATGTTATTTATATTAGCTAACAGGAAACAACTACTGTGTTTCAACATAATAAATATAATAGAAAAATATTTTATTTGTATTGTTGTATAAAATATTTACAATCATATAGAATATATAGAGTTACATTTTAATAGCAACTGTGTACATGTCACGAAACCATTTCCCTTATCAAAGATGTAATTTGTAAACCTCAAATAGTTGTGTATCTGTCCTGTTAGAAGTAGATGACTTCAATTAAACAAATTTATGAAGGACATTATTCTGATTCATAAAAGTTATAAAATATTAGGTAAATACAGAGAAAACAATAAGCCTCTGAAATAAGTCTGTTTCTGAAATAGTCAATAGTCTTCCCATCCAAACTATAAGAGAATGTGAATTTCTTCAACATCATACTTAAACATTACAGAAAATAGAAATACAAACAAGGTTGGTACATGAGAGAAAATGTTGACCTTTTACTTCCTTTTACAAAAATGAAAATAATAAACATGTTTTCGTATAAAATAACACAAAATGATATACACTGAAGTTGATGAAGCAAATAAATATTCTGGCTTCTTTTTCAAGGTATCAGGGCAAACAATTTCCAAACTTTTCATTTTGTACAGAAGGATGAATAACTACAGCTCATGGGAAATGTTTTGACTTTACAAAGTATAGATGTTGGAACATTAAGAAAAATGTATATTCCCAATGAAAAAATAGTTATATCATCTTATAGTAAACCAAAAGATTAGCAATAATACTATGGACACATTAGATTATATACTACAGACACATATCTATCCAAAATACCTATTTTAAATTTTTAATACAATATTTTATTTTAATATAAACATCTGTCAGTTATAGACAAAGATAATAATTCACAAAGTACATGCTATCAGAATGAACTTTGGTAACCAGAAATGTAAAATTTCAAATAACGGATAAAATAATGTGTTATTTTTATAGAGAAAGAAAAAAATAGCAACACAATCTAGTTTATTTTAGGGTACTGAGAGCCTAGCAGACTTAAAGGACAAGGTAGTAAATGTTTTATCACTCAAAAATCCATTAGAAGTTTCAAATAAATTGCTTTCTTGCTAGCTGTATTCCTTCCTACTTGAAAAGCGAATTTCTTTTCCTCCTATGATTGATTTTTTAAAATCATGCTCTTTTCCATACATCAACATAAACAGTCTTTGGATACTAAATAAACTTTCCCTAACAAGTGTCCTAGCTATGTTATTTAGATTTGATAAAATATTAGACATTTTTAAAAATACTTGTATTGACTATGAGTTTTCTGCTTGGCATGGAGGACACTGAATTTTTTCCCAATTATATGGCTACCTGTTGTATTCTTCCCCCCGTTTAAATCCCTTCTCCTTGTATATAATTAAACTTGCTATTCCTTCTTAAAAACAGCTAATACTACCACTAAAGTGCTTCCATTTTCATTGTGTCAAAACTACTTAGCAAGGATGGCAGAGGAAAATAAACTTTACTTTATATCATGGGTGAAAGTGATCATAACATTTCCTGAACCTCAAATAGTTTTGGCCACATCTTGCTTGCTGATGAGGACCTCTAATAGTCTCAGTTTGGCTTTTATGTGCTTATATTCATAATACTCATCTGCCATTGGTATCCTATCTTCCTTTTGTGGACTTCTGCAAAACAAAAATACATTTGTTAGTTCACAATGAATCAAGTCATTATTTAAACATTCTTTTATAATTCATACATGAGAAAGTATACTGTAACGGCCTCCACTTGGTTTTTGCATCATGTCTTCTTTTCCTTCCCTTTCACCTTCATTCACTCCTTCTTCCATGTGTTACTAAGTTTCTAAATAATAGTAACCTTTGAAAACTTGAATGTCATAAGTGTTTTGCAAATATGTGGTCTAGTGCTTAGACTTACAACAAAGGGGTCAGTGAAAAGATCTAAGGAGAAGCAAACAAACAAGAAACAGAACTTTCAAGGCATTCTTTGTCCAGTCATTCTTCCATTATTTGCCACACCCCTACAGCTGTACAAAATGATCAGCCCTAATACAGTTGTTAAAAATATTAACCTGAAAATACTACAGGAATTTCATTATAAAAATAACATAAACCTATGGTAACAAGAAAAGCATTTAGGGTCTGTCTTACAAACTTGAAACGTTTCCAGATTTTCTTGTAATTATAATACCTATCTCTGCTAATATATAGTAGAACCACTGAGCTGTTCCTTGATTGAAGTAATTGACAAGAGTCTAAATTGTGGTGGTTCTCTTCTGTACACTAATTCTACTAAGGCTAGACATGTAACAATGCATAGATTTTTATACATATGCAGCATACTCTTGCTGTTTACTTGGAAGAATAACTTGGTAATATCAGGAGTTAAAACCATTTGCCTTCCCACAAAAATATGTTGTCAGGAAACGTTTTCTAAAGGGAAAAATTGCGACAGGGTCTCAGAAGGCTCTTGTTTTCTTGGTTAATAAGATAGCCAATCGTTTTGAAAACATTTCCACCCACGACTTTGAAATTCAAGGGGTAGAGGACACAGATATAGTCACCACAATTACAACTGAATATAACCACAAGTATTCTCTAATGTTAGTATGGCTGAAACCAGGTAAATAGCATATATTTAATGTTTTATCTTTAGCTCCCTTCTATTTTTCCCAGTAGTGATAAAGAGATATTTCTATCTCTTACCAAATAAAAAACAAGCTAATCTATACAAATTAAGAATATAGTATCTACTTGTATTTCAACACTATTTATTGCCCTGCAATTTCTAGTACAGAACTCAGAACAGTATACAAATCCATAGACAGCATTCTTCTTAACTGTTGTCTAAATTATATAACATATATCTTTGCCTCCATTCTGTGTTATGAGTCAAACTTATCATGGCTGGATGTCTGAATACCACCTTAATTTGTATAAATAGATCTAAGTAAAGAAATTGTCTAATTATTACAGAGAAACATTAATAATCAATTATGTAATTTTCCGTAGTTTTGCATATTCCATTTTGGCTAATAAGAGTGCTTTGAGGCCGGGCACAGTGGCTCACGCCTGTAATCCCAGCACTTTGAGAGGCCGAGGCGGGCGGATCACAAGGTCAGGAGATTGAGACCATCCTGGCTAACATGGTGAAACCCTGTCTCTACTAAAAATATAAAAACTTAGCCACGCGTGGTGGCGTACGCCTGTAGTCCCAGCTACTTGGGAGGCTGAGGCAGGAGAATGGCGTGAACCCAGGAGGCGGAGCTTGCAGTGAGCCGAGATCGCGTCACTGCACTCCAGCCCAGGTGACAGAGTGAGACTCCGTCTCAAAAGAAAAAAAAAAAAAAAAAAAAAAGAGTGCTTTGACAAGAATGAAAAGTTTTGCCAAGTCTTTCCTGAAGGAGTTTCTCCATTATATAAAACATACTAAAGTGCTTAGCACACTTCCAGGCTAATAATTATTAATAATAATGTAATATCTGCATGATTCTCATGCCTCTTGTATGGCAAATATTACCAAGAACATTTATAGTGCCTTAAACATTTTAGTAATCCATTTGCATGGTTATTTTAACTTATGGATGCTTAGGCCTTCCCAATAAAATGTCTTAGATAAACAAAATTAAGGTCCATATTTCCTAGCCATTCAACTGTTTGATTTTAGTTGTAAAAGATCATCACTTGTGCATTTAGTTGAAATATATCATCACAAGGGGGCATAAAACTTCATAGACAAATACAGACTTATCTGAAGTGGGTTTAAGACTCATAGGTGCAGTGGAACACTATACATAGAACATAACTAACTTCCCTGTATGTATGACAAAAAGCACACCAAGTGACACTGCAGATCCAGTAGGCAGGACTAGTAGCACACTGGGAAGTTCTCAAACCCCTTACGATAGATTCCTGAGTTCAAATTGCTAAAAAATATAAATTTATTCAGGGAACTCAAATTTATGAAAAGAGTGTACGCACATCTTAAAGTGTCATTTCTCATATGTAATGACTGTTTAGATTTAGAATATGTGATAACATCTCCACAAATATTTCCCTGAATGAAAAATTCCCATAGAATACCTTTAATCCAAAAGAGGCAGAGATCAGGAACTTTATAGTGCAAGTCACATATTTACCCAAAGTATAATAGGAGCAGACAGTCCAGACAGACAAAGTTACTACTCCAAGGAATATTTTACAAGGAAAGTTACATGAACATTTTATAAAAGAAAAAAGTATGGAAAAGGAAAAAAATAACAAATGCTTTATATTCTAAATTTATGAGCCACATAACATTTCTCACTAGATTACTTAACATCACCAAAAAGGTAAGTTGGACTTGTAGCAATCAACTGGAAAGGAAGATTGTAAGTAGAAAATAAGTTGTTACATCTGTATTGGCTGAATGCAAAAAGCTTTTCACTCAATAGGTCCAGTCCTAAAGAATATCCCTGGTAGGCTAAAATGGAAAACCTGCCAGGGACTAAGAGGTAAGTAGACCACGCATGAGAGTTTCAAGGTGCTTTTGGAAAATAGTCCCTTTCCATCAGGACAACCCTCAACCTGCTGAACTGAAAAGTCAAATACAATACCTAAATGGAGAGGAATACAGAGGAGCCCATGTAGCACTGATGAGTTTAATGATGAGTTTATGAGTTGAATAATGAGTTTAATCTCATTTCATCTACTTAATAACTTGTGGCTTTGGGAAAGTTACACTCTTCATTTATTTATTTTTGTAAAGATTGATATCCCACATGACAGCTGTAGCTTCCCAAAGTATCCCAGGAGTCCAACCATTTCAGCTCATAAAATGGGAACTGAGGTTCAAGATAGCTAAGCAATTTATCTCTCTTCCAAATTAGATCAATAACCTTATCTCTTGATTATATATGTAATTTTGTTGATGATACACCAAAAATTGGAGGAAACTAATAGAGTGTATAATGAGACTTGGGTTGACACAGAAAAATAGAGGACAGATGATACAGCTAACCATTTATTTAAGAAGTAGAAAGAATGACTATGAATTTTTGATCGACTCTTGAAATAAAATAATTAGGGACAGATCCTGACTTTTAAGGAAGACATTTAAAGCAAATAAGGAATTATTATTTAATAAATTAGGGAGTAACTTGTGGAACTAAGAAACCAACAACAAAGCAGTTATGTGGGCTAAAAAAATCAACAGATTTTTTTAAAGGTTTAAATAAATTCATTTATTTATGATGAGATTTATTGTGCAAAGTTAGAGATTTTTGGAGTTTATCCTTTATTTTTTACAGATTGATGTCATACCTGACAGCTACCATGTCCCATGAAACATCCCTAATACTGGCACTATTAGAATGTTGCATTGGACAAATCCTGAGTCTAAGCCAGTGTGGAAATTATATACATTTTGTAAAAAGTCACCGTTCCTGCAAAAAATTGCAGCTCATTTTTAACAGCAATTCTCTAGGAAGTATTAGCTTTAAAAATCTCTCTGCCGACACATACCTTCCTGTTTGTTTAAAAAACTGTTCTTCAAATTCTCTTAAGGCTTTCCGCAGTCTCTTCTTGTCAGCCCTAGTTTCTCGGAGATGGTCAAGAAGTACAGGCCTATATAAGGTAAAATACTTGTCATTACTGGGCACTGGCATAATTGAGAGATCATCATGAGCAGATTTATCTGTTCAGCCAAAAAAGCATCTATGATTGAAAAGTGTTCCCATCATAAGAGTATCTTTTGAGTAAATATGACACACATAGAGCCTGACCATAGGCAAGCACATAAGCAGGGAAAATTACCTGATGGAAAAAATATCACAGGATAGGGGAAAGGACAGACAAGAGGCAAGGAGATTGATTGAATCCACTGAAGGAACTGGAAAGGGTAACAGCAATATAGGTGGATGAGGGAAGGGATATTTTGAAGGAATACTCATCAGCATTTGGTCATAGACTGAACATAAGAGATACAGAGGAGCAGCTTTTAAAGAAAATTCTATTCTTAATCTAGAGAAATAAGTGTGGGAATATTGGGAGAATAGCAAAACCCTTGTGAATGAAAATAAGACCCAGAAGAAAGCGATAGTTACATTGCAAATTCTACTCACTTCATTCTACCAAGATGAGAGAAAAGTCATATACTCTAGAGCAGGAATCTGGTATATACACAAGCATACCCAAACTCATGTATGGTTTCAGAGATTCTGTGAACTTGAAATTATACATGGGCATTTTCTTAAAATGATTCTATTGGTTTCAAAGAAGTCCCAACACCCCTTGAAAAGTTAGGAATAACTGCTTTAGAACCACCACCAAAAAAATGATTTTCTACTTGCTTTCTCTGACAGACACTTCTGTCAACTTAAATTAAATTAAATTAAATCTCATAATCTGGGCTGTAAGATACAAACCAAAGAAGGCCAAATTATCATGAGGAATGCCAGCTACTGAATAATGATAATAATAATGATAATGATAATATTAATGAAAATCCAAATGGCTTATATCTGAAGGGCTATTTAAGAGACAAAGGGCAAGTCATTTGCTTACTACCAAGTGGATTTCTAGTGGAAAAACTATCTCATCTAAATGTAAGAGACTAGGATAAAGGCCCTGAGAACTGTTGACCCACCCCTTTGAGTCCAGCATTTTCAAAGGCCAGCTCTACTTCATATACTGGTATCAGACCAGAAGGAGTTAAGAGGAGACTCCACACTTAGGATTCATACTCACATGGTAGCCTCATGTAAATTAGACATGGAGAGAGCTGGTGGTTTTACTTCTTTCTTTTCATCTGGTAAAAGGGCCCTAACAGGCTCAGTCTCATTAGAGTAGGTGAGGTGGTCACCAACAGGAAGGTGAGATGCTGGATCTGCCAAAGAAGGTTGTTGGCTTCCCTGTGGACGGTCTTCATCAGAGTCCTCTTCCTCCTGCTTATCACAGGCAGAGTTAAAGAAAGAAAGTCATGTAATGCTCAGTGCCTCTTGAGGAAACAAAAACAGGAAGGGGAACTATAAATCAATGCCATGAAAACCAGTAGGTGACCCATGTGCCTACTGAGAACTGGGATGGAAGAAACCAAGAGGAGCTCTTCCGCAGTTTCATTAAAAACCTACAGAAGTTAATGAGCAAAAAGGCAGCAGTCATGCTGGGCTAAAACACTCACCAAGTTCATCTGTGTCTTCTGGGCCAATGAAGGCACAGACCATTAGGATATGGTCCAGTCTGGACTATACTACCAAGTGGTTCCTCCCTTTCACTCAGACCTTCTGGGCTCCAGCTTAATACTTGTGATATGAGTTAAGATAAGGTGGACTACGGACAACTTTTATCCTCCAGAAATACCCCAAGTCAGGTCCCAGTGGGGACCAACATTCAGATACAGAGGATACTCAGTAAATTGACAAGTTCAGGGGAGAGCTATTTGAAGGCCAAAGCAAAGTGGGGTTACTCCTCAACTGTTCTGATAATTCTTATCACAACTAGAAGATTCTCTTGCAAGAAATATAAGAACCTTACTACATTTTAAATTATGCTTCCATAAAGGGAAAATTCCAAAGACTATGAATTATTATTCACTTAATGTCTTTAAAAATGTGGAAGTATAATTTGTCTCAAAAAAAGTGGAAGTATAAATGTACCCAAGCATACTTAAATTTATATTTGTTAATATTTATTCCTTTTTATATTGATATCTTGAACAAGTAACTGTTTTGATATTGATGGAGTAGGATTTGTGATGCTTTTCTAGTTCTGTATTCCCATAAATCATTCTTTATTAAAAGTAGCCTAATTCAATTTCAGTACTTATATTTTCTATTGAAATAAATCTTCTCATATCTTGTACAGTATGGTCAAATGGTACCAAAAACAAATGTTGCATTATATCAAGAATATATTGTTAATTTTCTGATTAAAGGAAAAAATTAACCAACACACAGAACAGAAAGGCTCTGTTTTGTCTAGCTGTGTTACAAATTAGAAAATGCCAAACTGAAATCTATCATTTCTTTTCACCCAAGATAATGAAAGCAAATGTTAAAATTGGCTCTAGACATACAAGTGCTATATGTTCCTATTTTACAATAGTTCTAATATCAGCCACTGTTAAATATAGTAATGGGGTTAGAGAAGACCAAATTTTCACTTTTTGAAATGACAACTAGCCTTGTTTGCAGTATATACTGCCATGAAGGGTCTTTTATAACTCTTGTACTACTATGTGACATCCTGTTAACTACACATCAGTACAAAGTAACAGCATGCAAGTATCCTGACTTACAATTGTTGGAATAAGGGAAGGTGTTGACAAGATTTGCTTGATAATTCTGTATCGGTCATAAAGCGGCTTTATGAGGTTCTTGTCTTGCTTAGTTACCTGAAAAACATGAAATTAATTATTATTCCTCTCTCAGACAAGAATGAAAACGTCAACATTTTTAGCAGACAAAAAGCCTCAAAGTAAAGGATTATAATACTATAATGCAGCAGTTATCATGAAAAGGAAAGTCATTTATTTATTTATTTATTTATTTATTTATTTATTTATTTATTTAGAGACAGAGTCTCACTCTGTCACCCAGGCGGAGTGCAATGGCATGATCTTGGCTCACTGCAACCTCCACCTCCTGGGTTCAAGCGATTCTCTTGCCTCAGCCTCCTGAGTAGCTGGGACTACAGGCACGCACCACCATGCCTGGCTAATTATTTTGTATTTTTAGTAGATACAGGGTTTCACCATGTTGGCCAGGTTGGTTTCAAACTCCTGACCTCAAGTGATCAGCCTGCCTCGGCCCCCAGTTACAGGTGTGAGCCACCGTGCCTGGCCAGAAAGTCATTTATAAGATACTGTATGTAGCACATGCCAGTTTTTTTCTTGGAAGTTTCTTAAAGGATACGTCCAAGTTTAGCAATGTGATTTTTGGAGGAGTCTGAAATGCGTAAGTGTTAAGGAACCTCTTCCTTAATTACTTCTTCATTCTTAAAAAACCAATCCAGACATTGATTTTTCTTCTGAAACATGTATTTTATCTAGACTTTCCTGATTATATGTAGTCACAAATACCAACCTTATACAGGTCTTCATCACTACATGCTTGTATTATATACTAGGTTACTGACAGGCTGTGATATCAACTAAATTATTTTGGACAAAACATTTAACTTCTCTGAATCCTCAATTTCCTACCTATACAAGAAGGAGGTTGGAGTTACCAATATCCTTCCCTGAAAAAAATGTGTAACCTCTTGATCCACTAATATATTCTATACCCCTCTGCTGTAAGACCCATCCCTAAGCACTATTTTCAATGGATCACACTGTGCATAAAAGTTTAAATAGCTTCCTATCTATCCATCTATTTGTCTGTCTATGTATCTGCCTATTTATCCAAAGTGACCGAACTCCTCTGCTTGCATTGGTTTTTTCCTGCTTTGTATTCTGCATTAATTTTCTGCATGTCTAGTACACATAACCTCCCTTTTACTCTAGTCCAGTGATATACACTTGGCAAGTAGTGGGAAGGGAATAGTAGAAATAACTCATGGAATAATCACCCAGGCATCTTTTATCAAAGTACACACACCCAAGCATGCCAGATACATCTGCCATCCAGATCTGTCTCCCTTGAAAGAAAAGAAAATGTCTCAAACATGTGTTACACTTCCCAGTTATCCTCATGCTCCCAACTCCCATCCCAATTGCAAACCATTCTGGCCCATATTGATCTACCTTTCCTCTCAACTTATCTCATTATCTGGGCCTTAACTGTTTTCTTTGTTTCAGTATTGTCTGCCCAAATAAAGGATTCTTGAGGAGAGAGATCATATCACATACTTCTTTAAATTCTCACAGTACCCAATACATCCCCATCCCTACTACTAAGCTATCAACACAGGTTTATATGCAAAAAGGACTCTAATTTTTAGCAATCTTCTTTTAAGTTCCATACGCTGTGACCTAAGTCTCACCTCCCTCTGTAGAAGCCTGTTAAGTATTGTTTAAATAACCTCAAGATCTTTTCATTTTCTAACCCAATCATTCTTTAAACACTTTCTTATTACATCTTTCCATGAAAAAAAACCCAACAAGTTCCTATCAAAATCTATTCCATGGGATTTTAATAGATGACAGCAGAAAAAAATCTCAGTCTAAGTTCAGAAAACATTGAAATAGTGTTTTTTAAATGTAGTATCTTACTGGGACTTACAATTCATAGAAAGTATTTCAGATAATGATGCATTTAACTATTATTGGTATCTCTCCATTGCAATTTGATTTTTGTGATTTGAATGTATTCCCCAGATTCTAGAAAAGCTAAATTTAATTCTAAAAGGAAAAAGTGACCAAAACACACATTAGAATGATGAATGCCATTATAGAAAACTATCTTCCACAGATGCCAGACAAAAATTCGGGAACAAGTACAATGTATGCACTCCTTTTTCACTTTGATTCCGTTGTCTTCCTCTTAAGATTATTATTAAAGCAATCCCTGAGGAAACGTGAGGGTTCCATACCCTCATGCATAGTAAGTACAAAACACTGTGAAACCTCTAAGTCTACAAGTGCTCATCCTCAGATAGAGGACAGGAAAGCAGATTGCCTGAGGAAGGTTAGTAGTGGGATTATGTGCCAGGAGCTGTTTTCTACTCACAGAAAAGCTATAGGCCTGCAAAGTGATCTTCATAAAGAAAACTGAATCAAGGTAAGCTCTGCAGGATACCCCAAATCTAAGGGGGCAGAAATACATTAGACTTTCCTGTTATTCTTCAGCTACTGTCTGCTAAGAATCAGATAATTTTCTCTTCTGAATTCAATGGCTCTCTCTTTCTGAAGTACATCCTCCTTCCTCCCTAATTCTATAGTTGCTGCTGGCTGTAGTATGCAAGATATACCTATTTTTTCATTTTTGTTTTATGAATGAAGGAAACAAGGTTTCCTTTATGTTTTCGGTTACACGTTGAATAACCTAAAACAGCCAAAGAGAGCTATGAATGGATTGTCATAAAGATAAATAAAAGGAGATAAACTTTAAAAGATGATTATTCTTCCAGTTTCTCCATTTTTATAGTATCAGGGGTATAACTAAGAGGAGGTTGAGCAAGAGAGGACCATATATAGGACACAATTTGATATGATTTGTTTATAGCTTGGCAACTTTGCCACATGAAAATTCCTGGCCCCCTATCAAGTAGGTGATTTGAATCATCAAGGTCTGGAAATAAACTGGCTTTCCAAGAGACATAACTGCTACTGAGGGGTCAGCCCAAATTAGTTTCTTTCTGGGTCCTGGTCAGAAAGTTGTTTAGGAAAAAGCTGCCATAGCTTCAGCACTTCTACCACCTTGTTTTCCTTTCCCGCATGGGAGTGGTGCCATGTATTCTTCCACAGTAAGCCACAGAAATTTATAAATGAAATCATTCCAATTATCCCCATAAATGAGATGTCTCTTAAGGAGAGAAGTAAAACTGACATTCTCTTCTCTGGACAGTGAGCAATGGAAAACATGCTTCTTAGCTTTAGGGACTGAAGTCCTGCCAAGATTTTCCTGTCTAAGTATCCCCATCCCCTTATTGAGGGAGACACTATATGCAGGCAAGTCTGACCATTTAAATTAAACAATCAAACAAGATGGAAAGTCAGTACTGGATATTATCATAGAAAGCAATTGCTAAAGAGAATGTTTTGGTCAATTTAGATGTTCAAGCCGGGAATTGAAGATTAATATTTGTCTTGAAACCAGAAGACATGAGTTCAGATAACCAGCTTCAAAACTTATAAACTGTTTTTAACATTACAAATATGTAATATTTGAACCTCAGTTTCCTAATATGCAGAATGAGGATCACTTTTATTACATTTTATAAGTAAATGTTTCTGGATTAATAACACACACATCAAATGTTATTTGAGCTTTCAAACTAGTTGACTTGATGTTAATGTCAATGCTATCCATTAATAAAAAAGAATGCCACAGTGCTATTGAATAATAATTTTTTAAAAATAAAAGAGAATGATAAGCTCTCTATGTCTTGATATAAAAAGATATCCAGAATATACAAAGTAAAAAGGATGCATAATTGTATAGACTGCTCCCTTTTCTCTAACAGAGGCAAGTTAAGAATATATACTGGGGCCAGGTATGGTGGCTCACTCCTGTAATCCCAGCACTTTGGGAGGCTGAGGTGGGAGCATGCCTTAAGGCCAAGAATTCTAGACCAGCCTGGGCAAAAGTGAGAGCTCACCTCTACAAAAAATTAAAATACTCAACCAGGCATGGTGGTGCACACCTGTAGTCCCAGCTACTTGAGAGGCCGAGGTGGGGAGATTGCTTGAGCCCAGGAGTTCATGGCTGCAGTGAGCTATGATTGTGCCACTGCACTCTAGCCTGAATGATAAAGTGACACCCTGTCTCTAAAAAATTTAAAATAAAAAGGAATGTATATTGATAATTTCTTGTATATGCTCTACATAGAAACTCCAAAAAAGACACATAAGACATTAATAACAATAGTTACCTGCTTGGGGTGGGAGACCTCAGAGCTGGAGATGGCAGTTGGTTTGGGAAGGAGTCTTTTTACCATTTTCTGTTATATATTTTCTTTTTGAACTATGTGAGAAAGTATTATCTATTCAATAATTTCTTTAAAAAAAAGAAGGATAAATAGGAAAGCAGAAAGTTTGATGGGATCTTCCTTTTCATGCCCTTTATCTCTAAGTCTACTGTCTTTCCAACCAACAACAACCTGCTTATAAGTTATTAATTTTTTATTGATTTTTTCCAGATAAAATGTATACTTTCTAAAAATCTGATTTCATCCTCAAAGATGCTACAGTTGATGAGAGGCCAGAAGAAGTAACTGCCATTACTCATCCCCTTGGTAATTTGAGCTGTGCACCTGACCCCACTTACAGTCCTTAGAAAGGTCAATATTGATATATGTGCCAGCACCAATTCAGTATTTCCAAAAGAAAAGGACATAAAAGACATAAATAGGCACTACAGTTCAGCTCAGGGGATGATTAATTAATTTCCAGTGTACAGCCATGCCCTGTAACCCAGAAGTGATTATCTCCAAAAATCATCCATAGATAAAACAGGAAGAAAATTACTCATTGACAGTATCTGAAGCAACAAGGCAATGCTATAGGATTTATCAGCCTTAGTATGGGCTGTGACTAAATACCAAATGCGGAAATTACAGAAAGAGTCATAATAAAGTCTCTCTAGAAAAGACGTCATTCTTTATCTTGAAATTTTAATATTTAATGCATTTTCAGCAGTAAGGCAAGGACCCCAGATGAAAGCCATATGTCTCTTCGAGTTTAAAGAAACGGGACCTAATGAGATGATCTGAAATGCTATTGAGCTCATTGAGGAGTTAGAAATAACACTAGCTGCTATGGGAATACAAAGTTTTCTCTTTGGTTACGTTGTAGCCTCTGGACTCACACTGAGTGTAGTGGCTGACTAGCTACTACATGGTTTACTATATTAAGCTTTCTCAAGACCAATACTCAGCTTTATGTATTTACATTTTCTATTACAGATGCTCTCTGTTTAAAGGGCCTAACTTTAGCCTACTGAAGAGCTACATTATAGGTATATTTGAGGGGGCTTCTGACACTTATTAAACAAAATAATAGATACTTCATTAAAAATAATAGAAATGATTGGCATTTATACAGGGTGACTTCCACGCATGAGGAGATTTTTCTCTGATCTTCCGACTCTCATTTGCATGTGTCTATTTGACTTACATGCCTCAGTAGGATGACCAACCATCCCAGTTTGCCCAGGACTGAGGCATTTCCCAGGACATGGGATTTTCAGTGCTAAAAGCAAAAAAGTCTTGGGCAAACTGGGACGATTGGTCACCCTATTCCTGAAAGATACTAAATGTAATATATCCCAAACTGACCGTTTATGTTTTTATCTACAACCCCAGTGTGCTCCTCTAGTTTTCTCTGTATCAGTAAATGGACCCATCACCATCCCGGATTTTTTTTTTTGCCTTCATTTCCTCCCATCTAATGCTTCAACATGTCCTTTTGATTCTACCTTCAAAATATACTTTGAATATATCCACTTCTTTCCCTCTCCAAGGCCACCGTGCTAATCCAAGCCACCCATTCCATCTCCCCTTTTCATTCTTTTCCCCTGTGATGTATCCTCCACTTAGCAATCAGACGGATCTGTTAAATGTAATCACGTCATGTCACTTTTCTGCTCTCAACTGTTCAACAACTTCCCAATACTTCCCACAGCTTTAAAGGTTCTGTGTGATGGGTTCTAATCTGTCTTTCTGACTTGATCTCATGCCATCCTGTTCTCCAACCCTCAAACCTGAGAATTCAAAGTGCACAACAAGCTCTTCCTTTCATCACGGCCTTCATACCTGCAATTCCATCTGTTGAGAATGTTTTCTGCTGCTCTCTTTGGCCTGCTGATTCTTCTTTAAATGTCACCTCTTGGCCTTCCTAATCCCTTTATCTAAAGTAGAAACTATACCCATATTTTCTATCATATCACCTGTCAAATATCCTGCATAGTACTTATCAACATTTTTAATGATTTCTTTTTATTGAGTTGTTTATTTCTTGTTGTATCCCCACTCCCAGGACAACATGAACTACATGAGGGCATTGACCACCCCCCAATGGCTTCGATATCTTTTAATTTTTTATATCTAGCATCTATTCTACTTCACAACACATAGTTGGCATTTAAATCTTTTTGCAAATGAACTATTATCCACCAGTCAGTAGGCTTCTCTCTTATTGTCATGATAATTATATAAGTAGGTATTACCTGTATTTTACAGATGAGGAAGTTGAATCTCAGAGAATCAGTTCACTTGCCAAGTGCCCATGGTTAGAAAGTGGCTGGTTCAAGTGCTGAATCCTGTTCTAACTCTACTATATCAATCCCAGCTCTTCTTACTACCCTTGTTAATTGAGTAGAACAGAGATTTAGACGTTGACCAAGATGCTTTAATAGATGTGGCCAAAGTGACTTTAAAATACTGGAAAGAACTTCAGAAGCATTGAAGGATGGAAAACCACAGAGATACCTAAGAGTTTCTGTATATATATGCAGAAGTTACCCACTGACTGTCACAGAAGTATAGAATCTTGGTAGGCTTAGGGATAGGATGGCTGAGTGGATGAAACCTTCTCTTCACTCCTCACAACATGTATTTGTTGTTGTTTTAAGGCTAAAGGTATTTCATAAAGAAAGATGTGGTCACAGGCCCATTTCTACTTGTAGATCACAAGTCCTTATGTAAATGACTAATCCAGGGGCATATGTTGAGCCTTTTGAGATTTGGAATATGTTGTCACTTTATGATTAATACCAGGTAATGTACAATAGAACAGGGAAAGGAGGCATTCTCCTCAAGAAGACTTCATTTGAAAATTAAATATGCTAGTTTGTTCATTCATCTGCTCATTTTTCCATTCACTCAGCAAACATTTATTCAATACCTACTATGTGCAGAAAAGGGGAGGTCATGACCTATAAATAGTGCTTCCATGTAAGAAGTTCAAGATGTAGTACAAGAAACAGAAAGTGGCCTACAAGATAGTTAGAGCTGTGATAGGGTAGTTGCATCTGTTATTCGAGCACTGAAAGTCAATCACGCCAGTCTTAGGGTTGAGACAGGGGACTACAAGAAAGCTTCCTTGGCATAATTGAAATGGAAGCATAGATATGCATGACAAGGAGAGATTAACCAGGTAAATACTAATCAGTCTTTTCTTCTTTGTAAAATATAATAAATCTTTTCTTTGAGCTCCAGGCTCATATATTCAAATGCCTGACAACTCTATCTAGATGCCTCACAGAGACTTCAAAACTAAGATATCCAAAGCTGAAGACTTGTATTTCAACTTAACTCTCCCAAAAAACTCTACCTCTCTATTCTTATTATATAAACACCAAACAAATTTCCTTACTGTTTATAGATCATCCCTGCTTTATTATTTTTAATAAGACATAAGGAAAGGGGCTGTAATTGGAGTCCTTTCCTTTTAGGCACTATGCCTATTTCCTAGTCTTGGGTTCATTTGCTAATTTGCAGGTGGAGAGAGTTGGGGAGAAAGGGATATGATATACCCTGGTGTCTTTGCCATTTACTTCCTATCAACACACAACACTATAACCTCCAGAATGGTGGCATAGCCTGGCATCATGTGGCACTACTGCTCGTGGCCAGTAACCTGTCAGGAACTCATCTGAAATTTTGGAGCCAGGCTAATAAAAATATTGATGTAATGGCAAAGTGCTCTGACAAATTGGATGATCTCATTAGCACTGTGTGGACTACAGGGGCCCTCTATATAACAAGACATGGTGATGTACCTTAGAATCCTCCTGGGGAGGAAGTTGCTCTCTTCTCTCCTTCAGGCATGTCAAGGCAGCATCTGGAGTCTCTTCTCCAGAGGAGCTTGGCTCCGGGCCCGCAGCTTCCGGTTTCCCATTTTCTCTGGGGACTGTGGGTTGCTCACACAACAGGTTTCTAGGTGGACCTTTGGGAGCACTCCCTTGTTCTTCTGACAGCTTTAGCTTTAGTTCTAAGAGAAATGCTATGAGTTATCATAAGCAAAGAGAACCCACTAGTTCTAAGAATGGAGAGACTTTCAGGAATTCCTTCCCCTGATGCCAAATCTGTAGAAATGAACACTAATGATGGCTTTCCACAGGGCAACGGCAACCCTTATAACCAGAGCCATTAGCATAAGCTCCCAATCGGGTGTGAAAACAGGGCTCTAGAGGCTAGGATCTCATGGAGGTGGAGGGTATGTGTGGGAGTAGCTCAGTGGTTTAGATTTCAGAGGAGGAAGAGTTTGCAGGAAAACCAGTGGTGCCTGGCCCCACCTGCCATGTACTGTAGCACCCGAAATTCCACACACAAAGATTTATTTACTTAGATTATGGAGTTGTGGGTTCATCAAGAGCTCCTGTGGAAACGCAAATAATTCTGGAAGACATTATGCATGTAGACACCCAAGGAAATACAGGAGAGGATGGGAAAGGGTAGATGGGAGTGTCAGCCTCAACATGACAGATTTTGCTATTTTGTCTTATGATAGCTTTTAAGATCCAGGAATTATTACAAGGTGGCTTTATATAAACCTAGATAATTAAAAATAAAAAAGCCCCCTGAGACTTATCAAGGAATTACATTTTAGAGTATGCAAGGGTACTGGTTGTTTGAATGAGGCATTTATATTGATTTCTCAATTACATAGCTCATTTTCTTTGTTTGATGTTTGTTTCCTAGTTAGACTTTGTCTTGATGTTTAAACATTGCATATTTTATAAACCTGCCACATCATTACAGTTTAATACCACTGAATTAGTATTCCCTTCCAGTTCTTTTTAGTCACTTTCCTTGCAGAAATTTGGAAAAACTCCCATGTCTCTAAGTATTAAAGTTAGAGTGTGGAGAGAGGAAGAAAATAATTTTTTATTGGTAAATTATAATAGTCTATTTTAAATGGATTTTAGAGTTAATACTCTCACCACCATCTCCAGAGAAAGACAGAAAAAGAAGGACACTAGCCCACACGGCAGGAGAACCACATTCTACACCTGGCCCACCACCTTCCAGCTATGTAACCCTCCCCTCTCTATGAGCATAAATGTCCTCATCCATGCACTGAAGTGTGTGGAGTAAATGATTTCTCAGGCCTCTTCTGTTTCTAACATCCAACAATCCAATAACCTAGGGAGGTTAGTGCTCCACATGTTGAAATGTTCCTGGCATTGAAGTGAATCATTCCACTTGGGAGTCTGGAGGTCCTCAGTTTCTTTGTAAGGAGGTTTATTACATGGGGCCAAACAATGACAGAGATACAGGGTGCTTTATTTCAAAAGGGAGTTACAGTCTAAGCAGAAAACAAGGTGCAAGAGGGCACAGGTGGAAATGAATCTAAAATGCTCTGGAGCACATTATCACTAGTTTAACTGCTTCCTTTGTGAGGAAAAAAGATCTTTGGCTGGGATTTACCTTTGAGCTGTTTACGACCTTTAGCCAAATCATTCATCCATTTCAGGACTTCAGGATTAGAAGTCTTGTCACCATGTGAAGGCTACCAAGGGAAGGAAAAAATGGGGGTGGAAGGGAGGGAAGGAGGGAGAGGGTGGGGGAGAAAAAGAGAAAAGGAAAAACAAAATTTTTAAACAGATGAGCTACACAAAGATAGTTTAGGAATATATAAAGCTGGGAGAGAAATTCGGGTGTGAAATTTCTGATGGAGTTGCTTCTGATGAAGTTACCTCTAGGAAACAGTAAATATTCTTGACCTCCTCTACTCTTTAATCCTTGCTATGGGCACTATTTCTAAATGTGCCTGGTCACCTAACATTTTTCACATAGTCCTGGCCATGCCAGTGCCCCTGCAGTCAAACTGTCAATCACCTTGCAGGTCACCCACAGCCCATATATACCCCATTGCCAGGCCATTTTCTGTAGCACTGCAGATGACTGCACTGATACAAACCAGTGGTTACTACCTTGCTTGTGGCTCACACACATGCTTATGACCATAACCCGTGGGAGAATACTGAAAAACTGGAAGATTTAGCTCTTATCAGTTATATCCTCTAAGCTAAAGAAAGGAGACTCCGGAATCTCTAAAACCTGACAATATTCCCGAGAAGTCAGTTTGTTAGGGGGATACACGGATTTCTAATATCTTCACTAGTGGTAGTCAAACATACTGTCCCTCTACCCCCACAGATCAGTAAAAACTGATCTTAAACAAGTCAAGGCTACCATAGGAACTTACATGCAGGCTGAAGAAAATTAATGGTTACTTTAAATTAAGGATGTACAAGGAAGTATAAAATATGCTCAAGGTGACATGATCATAAACATAATAGCCTGAAATATGTGCATTGTTAATGACCAAATCTAGGGGTTCTGTCATTTTTTTTCTTTAAGGATCCACTAAATCCATGTAACAATGGCAGGTTGTTGGTGAGAGGGAGGCACAGGAAGATGGCAGATTTTTAAAACTCAAAGGAAAAAACTACTGTGTGACAGGATCATCACGTGTACATGAGTTTAGGTATGCTCATTGTAAAACACAAGGCATGATTCTGTCAGTTCTAAAGTGATTTAAAAACCATACATTTTAAAATTAAAATAGAAAAGAAGATTGACAATGTTTCTTTCCTAGAAGAGCTTGAATAGCAGACTGGTTTCCCTGAGGGATGGCAGAGGGATAGGGAAGGGGTTTTGGCGGGGGGGGGGGGGAATCCTGGTTTCAGGACCATGGACAGTGACACGTGGCCATCAATCCCCAGCTCTCTAAAACAGCTTAGCCTAGTCCTATCTATGGTTTGCTAGAATGATGCACTGTATCGTCTAGTACTTTGGTTTGGGTAGCAGTCTGGTTACACGGAAAGTCAATGTTTTACATTTGGTTTCCCAAAATCCTTAGAGAATTCTCCACTCCGATCTGAGAACACACCTTGTTGAACAATGCTTCACTGGATCTGTTCCACACAGTTATTTCCATCTTTTGAAATATGGTAAAAACAAACACACACACACACAAAATCCTAAGGCCTTAAGCCAGTGACTGCAAAAGAAATAAGTTTTTACTACGGTGCATAGAACTTAGAAGAAATTTAAGGCTAAATTTCTGACAAAATAATTTAAAGCCTGAAATCAGTTTCTGAAATGAATTTATTTCCCTACCCTTGAAGAAGCTGTTAAAAGGGTTAAATCAAACTCACATGGATGGCAGCTCTCAAATCACATGGAAAGTTCTCATATACAAGCTGTAGATCTTCAAGACTTTTAACTTCTTAAGTGAAATATTCTGATTCAAAAGACCCCAAACGTCATACACACGGAAATTACATAGGTTTAGATTTTGTTCAATGCAATTAAAATTGACCTCCTAAGTGCCATTGTATGAGATTTGTGATCTGCCAAAGATGGTTCAAAAAGACACATTAGAAAAATTACTGGGAGGGTTATAAAAAGACCTCAGTTGCTGTTCTGGCTAGAACTATTCTTTGCTGTGTGATTCTGGGAAACTCACTTCCCCTTTCTGGGCCTCAGCATCTTCAGTTGTCAGATAAGACAAAAGACTGATTCTTTCCAATTCTAACATTCCCTGATTCCACTGAAGGTAGACGTGTGGCTGACGCAGCCTTTTCTTAGCCCAAGAGTCCAATAATCAAATGCAAAATCAGATGTAGAGATGTAGAGAATTTGGGGTAGGTATATAAAATGGTTACAGTAAACAGAGATGGAAAGATATACGTGATACATGGGTATCAAAATAGCACAGAGGCCCAGCAGGAGCCCAGATTCAAAAATTAGCAATGGGTGGTATGAATTCCACAGTCAGGCTGTCAGGAAGGGGAGCCTTACACACAGCAACCAGTTAAAGCCCACTGACATGTCAAACCTCTAAGCACAGCCTGGCATGCTGACAGGAAGGAAAAGCGTTTCCTGAGACCTGTGAGGTTCTGATAATAACAAAGACTTCTATAGACACTGAAGCAGCGGTGACCAAGGAGCTTCCTTCCCCTACTGCTCCCTGATCTGTCCTTCCATATGTGTATTTAAGTCTATGTTTGTGTGTGTGTACATGTGTGTGCATGTGCATGTGAGCTCTAGCTTCAGAAAACTCTAGACAAAGGCAGAAGATGTTTCCAGGAGGAATTCTCTTCCAAAATAAGCATCCAAGATCTGTGGCTGTGGGTAGAAAACTCCAGTGGAGAATTAACATGTACAATTTTCCTTTATTTTCTGACAAGGCAGAGACTGCCATGGAGTAGCCTATTTAAATATATAACTCATAGATTAAAAAGTTTGTGTTATCTAGGACCATTTACTTCCTTTGTACCAAACACTGTAATAAGCATTATGTATGTACTTCCTTATTTACTACTTACAAACTTAAGAAGTCGCTACCTAATACTCCATTTTACACATGACCAAACTGAGACTCAGAAAGATAACAAGTCCAAAATCACAGAGTTCTTAAGTAGCCGTGCTGGATTCAAATCCAAAATAGTCTGACTCAAGAACTGCCAGATAAGAAGTGTTAACAGGTGCTGGGAATGGAGCCCCTGGTTGTTACTCTGTATTTTCCAATACGAGGACATCATAGATCCAGTAACACGCCAGCAGCAAACAGGTGAAATAAACTTCTCCCAGGATATCTGGATCTTTTAAAAAGCAGACACTTAAAAATTTTACTTCTATTCTATTGCAGAACCTACTCATCTGTAATCCACTGACCCAAGTTGCGACCTGATAGAACACAACTATCTTAGGCAAGTCATTTCCATCAGGTGTCAGTTTCATTATCTGTAAAATAAAATCCTGGACTAATAATGTGTTGAGCTCCCTTCTGCTCTGTAAAAGACAATAAATAGCTGTGACTGCCTGACTTTGGGGAAGACAATCTTCAACATCCTGACTAAAGTTGCCTTGAAAGCCAAACTGATTTTTCCCCCATTTTTGCAAAGCTAAAATCTGCTCCTTAAAACTCCTCCTTCAGTGAATTTCAGGCCACTGTGGGAAGCAGGACAGGAAGAATGGAAGAGTGGAATATTATCCATTCTCACCTCCCTCCCCAGTACTTACTCTCATACTCACAAGAACTTTCCAATTGCCTCTGTACCAAGTGTTTAGTGAACCTTTAAATATTTCAAGATGTATGAGAGATTATTCCCTGTTCTCTTTTATTCTAATAACAAGCTATTCTGAGCTCTCTGCCGAAGACCCAATGTCTTTGTCCAGTTCTCTGTGGATATGCTTTTTCTGTATGCCATGGTCACTACTGGAGAAAATAAAAGCAACACTGACCATCAAGACACTTACCTATGACCCTATTGTTTCTTACATAAGAAGAAAGGAGGCTCATGTTTGCTGCAGTGCAGTACTAGCATGAAAACTAGTGTCTCTCTGATGGGGAAAGGAAGGCTTAGGGTTGGTTCTTATGAGTGGCCTGAACAGATGTCACTTGAGAGGTCCTCATTCACCAACAAGGAAATACTTTAATGTCAAAGAAACCATCTCTCCCTCATTCTGTTCCACAATTGGAGACCCCTCCCTTGGATCTTTAATAAGTTCTTATCAAAATGCAATTGAGAAAAAGTGAAAAAAAAAGAAAAAAGAAAAAGAAGAAGAAGAAGAAGAAGAAGACCATAATTCAAAGCTTTCCAAATTTTGTTCCTCAGAAAAAAAAAGGTGAGATCAATAATCAAATAAGTTTGGAAATAATAGTTGTAATCCATTACTAGAAAATATCCTAGCAGAGATCAACTGACAGCAGGTGAGAACAAGACAGATAGAAGATGAAGACTCTATGATAGGTCCAGGTTGGCCCATGGGAACAGAGCTGTCCCCTGGCAAAGAAGGGCACCCAGAAAGGAAGGACAGAGGCTGAGGAGAATCCAGACACCTCTGACCAATCCGCTCCTATGTCAAACCCCAGGGTTCTTACCCGGTATTTCTTTTCTTGTTCAAATTTTTCTTCAAATTTCCGAATTTTCCGCTTGAGGCTCTGGATGTGCTTGGTGAGCTGGGTGATGGTCTGTGGCTCCTTGCCATCTCCACAGCTGCAGCGTGAAGAACTCCGCGGCCTGCAGTGATTACAAGGAGGAAGGAGTATCAAAAACAGTGGGCTTCCAGTAAACAGTTCTGTTGATCTACAAACCAAAATTCCTGGATTGTCAGAGAAGTCCAGAGGGAAGTTCATTATTTGATGAGGCCACCATGGTAGCATCTGCTCATTAATGGAGACTCCCTATCACAAAACTCTGTTATGGGTGGATGTTGTCTTGGACTTTAGTGTAAAATGTCAAGATATTAGTCCAGGAAATGTGTTTTGTAAAGCTTAGAGGAGGCCAATTTAAGACTCGAAAGAGACAGTACTGTTGAGGTTCTGTCCTCAGTAGGTTGCCCAAGCCATACCTACCAACATTTTCAAGGAAGATTTAGATGAGTGGTTAACTTTTCTTGACATAACAGGACTTTTTTTTAATATGATGAAAGGATGGGCCTCTTTTCCAGAAATTGCATACACCCCCTCACATAACACACACTTTACATGCAATGCCAATAATTCACTAACTCTTTCAGGTCCATCGATAGATAGTTCATGGACCCAGGGTTAGATATATTCAAGAAAAAATGGCAGGAGTTCTGACGGAGAAACCAGGGATTCCCTGGGAATATTTTTAGCCAAGGGATTCTTAATCTTAATTATACATCAAAATTATTTGTGGAACTTAAACATAAACAACACATAGTTCCTCAATCCCAAATGCAAATTCCAAGTGGAATGTGTAGGGGGCAGGCATCCGATTACACACACACACACACACACACACACACACACATTATTTGGATGAGGGTAGCTATTGTAAGCTACCACTTTTCTAGAATCTAACAAGAAATGTAGATGGACAGCTCCCAAGTGTTCCCAGAACTCATCCATTGATGCTACCACTGGACATGGAAAGAATATTGAGTTCATCAAGAATGATATGTCTGATATGTGCATGTACATATACTTACTTAAGATTCTGGTCATTTCACCAAAAATGTTCAAACATGTGAGCCGCTGGGCTATCCTGTCTCTCATGACCATTTCCTCTTGAGGTATCAAGGCCTGCAATGGCATCCCCAACTAGCAAGTACACTAATTTTTGTCATTTATTGTTCCAGTCTCGCAGTTGCGTTAGGCAGGCACATTTGTGCTACTTCAGTCACACTTCATTGTAGCTTATAAATGTGGTATTTGAAAAACTGTATGAAATGAAGACAATAACAAAACAGTTTTCTCACATCATAAACTGCTGAGTGCTGGGTGGAGATGGGGCTGACTCGGGGTCTAAGTTGAATCTCTGGCTTTGGCTGAAGATGGAGCATCGTGGCGACAGCAGTGGGTTATCACCATCAGTGATGTGATAGAGCAGCCTGCTGGTCCCCACAGAGTGGAGGTCTTCTGGTGCACTGTCGGCCTCATTCTGCCCATCTTTGTGGACTGGTGAGGGGTCTGGGCAAATGAGACAAATCATCAAGACTTAGAAGTGACAGAGGGCTTGAGACTGTCATGTTCCTAAATAAAGATCATAAGCATTCATTATAATGGCTTGCCTCTTTGTCATTTCTTCCTTCTGGGGATATGAAAAGCTTTCAAAATATTGTCATGTTTATTCTCACAGAACCTGGACAGAAAATATTACAAAGCTGTTAACAAAACAAAGGAAACAAATAAGTTTGGTATGAGTTATACAATCAACACAACCCCAAACTACAAAACAATCTTCTTTTCATTTCACATTATTTGCATAAGTCAGAGGGTATATTACAAAATGTTAGAGCAATAAAAAGAAAACAATAAAATGGAGCTGGAGCAAAAGACTATAGATTATCAGGAAGAAAAGGTATAACAACCAGTGAAGGAAGGGAGAGAAGGGAGTAGGAGGAAAAGAGAGAAAAGAAAAACAAGAGGAAGAGAGGGGAGAGGAGTCCCCAGAAAGAAAATTATTCAGCAATCATCAAAAATGATGGAGAACTCTGCTTATCTACAAGGAATGATGTTCAGAATATGCTAAATGGAAACCACAAATTTCAAAACAAAACATTCTGTTTTACATAAACACATACGTTTATATGTACAAATAGATGCACTAAAAGATCAAAGAGGTTACATAGCAACTACAAAGCATGGTAGAATCAGGAATTATTCTATTTTTTTCTCCAAAACTTTATGTACGATTTTATTTCAGGCAAAACAAAAAACATACACAAAACCTTCTCTGAACCCTCTCCCCGGCTAGCCATCTCTGTCCCTGAATTCTCACTAGAACCAATCCCCTTTTAAGTTAGTTCCCCACCTCACGGTCCTCCAGAAGGTAAGTACCCATCTGCTATGGAAGTAAGGGCAGGCGACTGAGGCACAGCAGCAGGGGATCAGATCATTAGGAAACTGAGTCAGGGGGCCAGAAGAAGGAGCTCTGCACCCTAGGCTCTGTACAGAGTTATTCAAGAAGCAGCCCAGTCTCCTTCTCAAGTTTGCTCAACAGACAAGTCAGGACCAGCCAAGGCTTTCTCTTACTACTTCTTCTCCAACGAAAGGGGAAAACAAAAGATTTTCTGGATGAATAAGCAGAATCAGAAAACACTGATGCTCTGCTTGTCCAAAATAAACACTTATCACAATTTGGTACCAGATGAATCTTAATCAGATTTAGAGTGGCTCCTTGTTCTCTAGAGCTTGAAATGCAATCTGCTTTGCGTAACATCAAAGGCCTGATTAGGTCCTCCTGTGTTTTCAGCTGGCTTCTCCCCTGGTGGATTGTAGACTGGAGAATGGATAACGCCTCCTATTTTGCCTTTGCAGCTCACTGACAGCACTGTCGGTGGCTGAGGCTAGTCAGAAATGGATGTGATGACAAAAGAGTTGGAGGGAGGCAAATGGCAGTGCCTCCAGCCCAAGACAAGGTGTAATGGTGTGACTGACACACATCACCACAGGCAACACCCTTGCCATGAATAATTTACCCAGAAAACTCTGCAGTTTGGAAAGAGCCCTCAGGAGTAACAGGAATAAGAGTTACTAACCAATAACTCATAGCATATAATATCACCTTCAAAATACACCAGTAGGTGTATGGGTTCCTCATCAAATCCTTTTCTTAAACCACTAGGCTCTAAGAAGAAATGTGTTTTATTCATGCTACCAGTTTCTTGGAAATATCTTCTGGAAATAATGGGGAAGAAAATAATCTTTAGCAGGCACCTGGGACCACCATATTTTTACTGAAATGGAAAAGGTCTGAGACCTTCAACCCTTCAGCTCATTTGTGGCCCCAGGGTCAAAACTAACAAGGTCTCTTACTGGTTGCTGTTTTATAATGCCAAAATGGAAATACTTGGGATCCTAGTAACATGACTGTGAAGCAGTGCCAGGGAAAGATCTCAGTTTCTGGAACCCATAGAGTCCTAAAATATAACTTTGTAGAATCACACATCACTACAAATGGCTTTTTAAAAAACTGCATTGCAACAGTAATTGTAAACCTCCATTTATATGGCATCTGTTTTCCCTTGGGCATTTGCATAATTTACCATGTGGCCCAATTAACATCCTAACCTCCTTGCCTCCAATTCACTATTGAAGGAAGCTGTGAGCCAGAAAGATCCCAAAGCAACCAATTGAAAAGCAACACCAGTCAAAAACTGGTAATTTTGTAACCCCTCAGTTCTTTGTCCAAACTCCCCATTTGAGTTGAGAAGGGGCTTAATTAAATCAGCTGACACATGCATATGTGTGTGTATTTGTGTAGACAGAATTATTGAGCTCTTTGCTCAGAAGAGGCTAGTGTAGATTCAGAGCCAATGCTGCTGCTGTCCTGGGAAGAGTCCAGGCCACTGCTTCCAGACCCTGCTTCCCAGTAGGGAGAAGCTGATGGCAATATTAAACTAAGGTGGAACCTTTGTTCCCTAGGGGCACATTACTTTCTATCCCCAAGGAAGGGGCAGCTTGCCAGGACTCATCCTGCGATGCAGTATGTTTTAGAGGAAAGGGTCTGGGAGCCGGGAGTTTGGTGTGCCTATACTTTCTGTGGGGCTCCAGCCAGTTTCCCCACCTCTCTTTTTCATTGTTTGGCCTGTCTTCCTCACAGGACTGTGATAAGAAAAATAAAAGGAGACACTCTCTACAACATTGTGTCAATACAGTAGTCACCACTTATCGGCAGGGGATAAGTTCCAAGACTCCCAGTGGACACCTGAAACCACAGAGCGCATCAAACCCTATATATACTACGTTTTTTCCTATATATAGAGAGAGCTTTGATAAAGTTTAATTCATAAATTAGGCACAGTAAGAGATTAACAACAACAACTAACAATAAAATAGGACAATTATAACAAGATACTGTAATAAAAGTTGTGTAAATATGATCTCTCTGAAACTATTTATTGTACTGCACTGTGGGCACCTGAAACTGCCGAAAGGGAAGCCCAGGATATGGGGAGACTACTGTAGTAACAATGCTGTTACTTATGCTTACGCTTCATCCTAAGCAATGACCAAGAATTCATGAATTTGATGTACTAGTTACATTTTTTAAAACTAATACACATTAAAACAAATTCCTCTTAAAAGTAACAATATTCACCCATGCATCCTTTGTATAGGGTATTTGGTGAAATCTTAAGATAAAGCATAGAAACTACTGAACACAGCATCTATGAGACCCATTATTTTTAACAAATATTATTATTAATATAAGAAAGTTGAATATTGTCTTCTCTTACTGAACACCAACCTCATTTGGAAACCCTACAGGGTTAATGTGGAAAATAAGAACCAATATATCCCTCAACATGTTGTCACTACTCTGAGTCCCTATTTATAAAAACATAATAATCATCATATCTAATATTTATGAAGTGACTCACTGTGTCCTCAATCTTATTCTGAGATTTTTTGCATGTATTTAATCTTCATAACAACTACATGAGGCTGGTAGTAATATGCTCTTCATTTTAAATTCACTAGGAAATGTTGCGTAACTAGGCTATCTCCATTCAGGGAGAGTTTGACCAGTGCTTGACATAGAGGATGCCACATCTCTGACTTGGAAGCCAGAGTGTTTCTGGCAGCACAGTCACTGAGCAGAAGGGAACATAGAGAAGAAGTTACTATCAGTGTGTGAAGGCCAAGAGACCACTTCTGCTCAGGCTGTAACCCCAAGCAGAAGCAAATGCTACATTATAGTGGTTAAATGAGTTAGTCAGATTTAAAAATCTATCTTTCTAATGTGAATTTAAAGCTATTCCAAACCTAAGTAAATCTCTATCTGCAAAAACTTGAGATGGGGTGCTGAGATGTGTAGATTCGTAAAATTGCACTCTTGGGATTGCCCATCATGGTGGGCTCATAAATAGCATTCAGGGACATTCCAAAATGCCAAACTTCAGCCTTTGTTGGTTTCAAATGATAAATAAGCCAAAAGCATGTCTGTGATTCTAATGAGGTTCAGGCCTTAGCATTCTCAACCAGCCTCTCTCAGGACAGACAGCAGGGAGGATAATAGCATCACCCACACACAGAGGGCCAGAAAAACAAAGATGAAAAACAACCAAGAAAACATGGATACATGATGGGTTCAGTTTTAGGTATGTCACATTTGAGTTCCTGAGGCACTAAAGGGTTAGCTATATGGTTAGGGGAGAGAGAACATGGGTAAACCTGAAGTCATCCCAATAACCAAGGCGAGAAAACAGATGAGCTTCCTTGGGTAGACAGCACTGAGAAAGGAGATGCAGTATCGTCATGTCAGGTGGGAATGAGGGCAGATGAAAAGGGACTCTGCATTGGGGAGACTGACTGAGCAGTGAGGAGGTCAGCACTCCAAGCAGTCTTATGTGCCAGTTTCTATAGATGGCCACTAGACGTGTTAGGGAGCTGGAGGGGTGGGAAATTTGTCACCCTGAAAACAGGGCTGGGCTTCATGACAGTCACCCTGCAAACCCAAGAGGCAGTTTGCCATAATGGATAAAAACACGAGCCACAGGCTCAGGAAGACCCAGATTCTCGTCCCAGTTTTGTCACTGGTGTGACCTGGGATGCATTATTTAATGTCTCTCAATCTCATTGAATTTGAGCAATAACCAAGGGAAATGTCCAATGGACAGCTTCTGATCTCTGAGAACATCTTTTACTCTCCCTATGTCACCAAAATGGAGCCAACTGCTCAGATAACAACAAGGCTGAACAATGTCCTGCCCAGGTCCAGGGTTCTCCCTGAGCTGTGGAGCTAGGGAAAGAGAAATTATCCATCATAGTGTGGAATATTCAGAAGTGCCCTCTAGGGATACAGAGAAAGCTGGGTGCTGGATGCTTATCATTTTTCAGCCTACTTGACTCTCCAGGTCTTCTAGTCGATTCTTGAATAGTTGATCACCTTAGTGGTACAGCTGATAAAAATCTGCTATTAAGATGACAAAAGCTATTTTCAAATGGGAGTTTTCATTTATGAGCAGAAGCACTATGGGGAGAATATTTGGGGAACATTGAATATACAAAGCAAACAGAAAGACCACTGAAGGAAATTCCAACCTTCGATGTGGGCGGTACCTTTACTAGTCTCATCCCAAGTCAATTAGAAAGTATAGTCAAGAATGATTCATCTCAAGTGGCATGAGTTAGGCTGAATTAGCCAATTCACTCAGGGAAGTTGGACCAGCAGCTCCAGATAGAGCCAGAGGAACGTATGATTCTCAAGGAACTCGAAGAGACAGGACAGGTTGTCTACCAAGCCCTGGGCCTGGGAGGCATCAAGAGCAGTGTCAGACACCAAGCTTCTGGGCATGCCATCTGGTCACTTCCAGGCACTCTTTCTATGCATGAAAAGCTAATACTAAAAGAACCCAAAGAAAGGTATTTTTAAAGTGACTAAAATATATAGGAAACCTGTGTGCAGGGGAAAAGTGGTAATTGACAACTCTCTGTATGTTCAGTTTTTTTGTAAACCTAAAACTGTTCTGAAAAATAAAGTCTATTAATATTTTTTGTAATGACTATAGGCTACTGGTTAAAAGCCCGGGCTCTGGAGTCAGAGGCTTGGGCTTTGTCTGTGATACCACTTATTGGCAGTTGTTATATCCTTGGCCAGGCAAGTCTCTTCAAATTCAGAATTCTCATTTGTAATCAGTTTAAGACAAATACAATCAGGTATAACAACACAGTACTTGGTCTAATGTAAAAAGTAAATTAAAAAAATTAAATAACTACCTGGCAGTTTGGGCTGTAGGACTGATATTTCCTTCCTATAAAGCAGTTGGAGAAGTGGCCTCAGAGAATTACAGTCATCTATACATTTTGAAATCTTTCCTTAGAAAACAAGGGGTTAATGCAAAGCTCCTTTCTTCATAGATTATGAAGATGGTTACAAAATCACATAAAAATTATTAATAGTAGATAACTTTTCTGGCCAAGTTATGTCATAGGTTTAGCACAGTACAGATTTTATTGTTACAAATGTAATTCCAAATTTAATAGGTAGTATTTATTCAGCCATCAGCTCTATAGATTATTGCTGTTATAAATACCTTTTGCTTAGGAGAATAAGTGTAATGTCAATCATATGCAAGATTCTAGAGGGGACCTAGGGAATGAACAATATGAAATGTCATTTCCAATCCCTGGAAGTAGTTAGAAATTATGATAGAATACATATTCAAAGACAAATGTAAGCATTATCAACTGGAGGAAAGGAGATATGAGTTCTGAGTACAGAAAGAATTCCCAGCTTTTAACATAATGACAGCTGACATTTATGGAGCATTTACCACAGGAGATGAGCTAAGACCTTCATATATATGTTATAGCATGCCATTCTAACAACAATCCTAGGAATTAGATAGTATGCTTTTTCCCATTTTAAACAAAAGGAAACTGAGGAGGATGAGAGAGTAAATAACCTGTCCCAAATCACCCAAGTAGCATGTAAAGTTCTGCAAGGAACTATCTTTCTGAGCTAGGCAGAACCTTTTGCAAAGGGCAGAGTTGAATTAATATTTTAAGAAAATAATTCAGTTCCAATCCTTGTAAGTGCATCCTGGATTAATCTTGTTTTACATTTCAGAAATGACATGGAAGAAGAAATTTTTAAACAACCATTGATATGAAAATATATCTGGGTTTTCAAGAAGTCTATGCAAGATTTTCACGCCAAAGATTGTTTTAAAACAAAACTGAATGATGATTGGGCCATGTTTTGCAATGGATGCAAAGTTCACTTAACAATATGCAGCTAAGGGAAGAGATTAATGTCTGTCTTTATGATGGACATGTCAGTACCAATACTTGCAAATGGGTCCTGAATTAATCTTATTCTGCATTTCAGAAATGGCATGGAAAAGGAAGTGCAGAATGATAAATCTGAATTTGCAGATGATGTTAACATTTTTCAGAGTGAAATGCTAAGCAACCACAGAACAAGCTCATAAACCATGAAGCAGAGGTTCAATAGTGGCAGATGACTTGCACTGCAGGCCAGTAATGATGCCATTAAAGAAAACAAAGCCAGCTACTCCTAACAAATAACAAGCACTAAGCTATTAGTTTAATCAGGTGTGGGATTTGGGGAGCTCTGATAGAATATACTGATATGACAAAAAAGCCAAGAAAATAATGTGCATCTCTAGGAAGGGTTTGGAAAACAATCCCACAGGCATAATTATTTCATATTTATTTTATAAAATGCCCTTGTTCCCATTTTCACATATTAATTCATTTTTTTAAATTGAGATCATTGTAGATTCACATGCTGCTGTAAGAAATAATAGAGATCCCTTGTATACTTTGCCCAGTTTCTTCCAGTGGTGACATTCTGTAAAACTATAGTACCTCTGCTGATATTTACAAATAAAATTGTAGTATTTGACTCCATGTGAAATACGCTATGCAGTTCAGGTAAATATACATCAAAAGAGGCACAGGGACCTAGAGATGGATTCGATCAGAGGAGGCAAAATTACAGAAACAGAGGGGCTGTAGCAAATAAATCAACCACAAATCTAGATCTCTTCAGTCTGACAAGACAAAGTCAGGGATGGATTTTAAAATGACTTACAAAATACGTTAATTATATAGAGAGTATATAGACCAGCTATATATTTCATTCCAAATTCTAGAATATTAGAACTTTGGGGACTTACCATTTAAGCTGGATGGTAAATAGCATACTGATGAAGAGTTTAGGCTATGGAGTCAGAGTGGGGAAAGCCCCACTAACACTTCCCCACTTTCCACCCAGCCACCCTCTACTCAGCAGCTTTGGGCCCTTCAGCCAGTGTATTAGTTCGTTTTCATGTTGCTGATAAAGACATACCCAAGACTGGGCAATTCGTAAAAGAAAGAGGTTTATTGGACTCACAGCTCCACGTGGCTGTGGAAGCCTAACATTCATGGCAGAAGGGAAAGGCTTGTCTCACATGGTGGCAGACAAGAGAAGAGAGCTTGTGCAGGGAAACTCCCCTTTTGAAAACCATCAGACCTCATGTGACTTATTCACTATCACGAGAGCAGCATGGGAAAGACCTGCCCCCATGATTCAATTACCTCCCACCAGGTCCCTCCCACAACACATGGGAATTCAAGATGAGATCTGGGTGGGGACAAAGCCAAACCATATCACCAGTTACATCTCCAAGTTTATTTCCTCATCTTTCATCTGGGGGTGATAATGAAAACTATATCATAGAGTTCTTGTGCAGAATAAGAAAATCCATCCACTAATGCCCAATCCATTCACTAATGCCTGATGCAAATAAAGAGGTCATTGTTAGCTAATGTTGATGTTATTCACTTAAGAGCTTTTACAGCAAAGGTTTCTGAACCTCAGCACTATTGACCATTCAGCACTATTGAACCAGATAATTCTTTGATGAGGGAGAAGGGTGGTCCTGTTTATTTCAGGATGTTTAACAGAATTCCTGGCTTCTACTCACCAGATGCCAGGAATGTCCACCCCCTCATTGTAACCAGTTGTGTCTCTAGATACTGCCAAATGTCCTCGAGGGCGGCAAAAAATAGACCCCAATTGAAAACCTCTATTTTAAAGGAACCAACTTAAGACAAATAAATGAAGTACTACTTTCCATAATAGTAGCCATTTTTCAGTTAAAGCATTAGATGGTACATCCTGAATATATATAAAGGCTCTAGAAGGCTTTAGAAGTCTCGATGTCACATACACATACACACACACACACACACACACACACCATAATGAATTAAGTTTCTAAAAGATATTTGGAAATTCTGTGCACTTCTGAGGTTGAATGAAGATCTCTTCTTACTGACTTTCAAAGACTATCTGGGGTTGCCCCCACATAGGCTGAAATATCAAGTTTTATGGATAACCAGATGCTCCTAGTAGGATACCTGAAATGCTTTCCTATTCTAGAAATCTATTTCTAAATCGCACCTGCAGCAGGAACATATTTCATGTCACCCCTGGAGTGGCACCGTGTTCTATAAAGTATTACTGAACCTTCTTGCACTTCAGAATCATCAAGGGAGTTTTTCAAATGTAGGGATTCTTAGGCCTCATCTTTATATTTTAATTTTTAATTTTAAGGTAGGGATCTCAGACAGCTGTAAATTTGATAAGCATTTCCAATTAATTGAAAACTTCTGGTCAAGTGGACAGTGTCTGGAAATATGAGCGAAAAGGTCAGGTTCTGGTTGACTCTGACCTATGTCAACTTCAACTTTGGAAGAGACCTATAGATTATGCAGAATTCTGCATGAGAATAATTGTAGACTCTAAATAGACATACTACATTAGTGTCTTACCCAAATTGAAAGTTCAATTTGAAGATCAAGATTTTAGAAAAATATAATAAAGTACTGCTATGGAATTATTATTTTTAGTAATAGGTGTGCAGTTATTCTGGTGACAGTTTTTGCTAAAACTCCAAACCATCAATCATCCTTGGTCAGACAGAACAAAGGCTACTATGCTGAGTCATGTGGAACATGAACAGTCCTTCTCCACACTCTAAAATCATAAGCAGTGGAAAAGACAATCCTCATTCCATTTTCCGTTCAATCACATCAGAATAGGTGCTTACTAATTCCATGCTGGAAATATTTGCTTCAGCTGTAAGAAGATATTGATAGAGTTAGAGGTATTTTGAGCCTATTATGTGGGTTTCTGCCTTAGTCAGTTCTGGCTGCTATAACAAATTACCATAGACTGAGTGGCTTATTAACAACAGAAATTTATCTCTCACAGTTCTGGAGGCTAGAAGTTCAAGATCAGGTGCCAGCCTGGTCAACTTCTGATAAGGGCTCTCTTCCAGCTTGCAGAGGGCTGACTTCTTACAGCCTCACATGGAGGGAAGAGGGCAAGCTAGCTTTCTGTACTCTTATAAGGGCACTAATCCCATGGCTTAATCACCTTCCCAAGGTCCCACCTCCAAACTTCAACATATATTTTAATAAGTTGTTGGGGAAACACAAAGACTCAGTCTATAACAGCTTCTGTCTCACAGGTTGTGGTTTGCAACCTACAAGTAGGGTGACCAACTGTCCTGGAATATCTGGGAGTGAAGATTTCCTAGCATGTGGGATATTTAGTGCTAAAAATAGGACAATCCTGTGCAAACCAATCCAGTTGGTTACCCTTTGTATGGCCCCAAGCTGCCTTGCAGCCAATTTCCTCTCCATCAATTTTTCCCTAAGGGCCCTCTATTCCTCAAATCTGCCTATATCCCCATCCCACTCACTCCCAACCCTTGGACTTTCTCCTCCTGAAATAAGTAAGCAGATGGAGCCAACTGGCCACAGACCCTGAGTTACAAGTCCCATGTGATCTGTGAGCCTCTTCCCGTTGGCAAAATTGAGGTACAGCAGAGTCAGACAGAACTTGACATTATCTCCCAATTCAAGACACTGTCCACTTGAATAGTGTGGTTCTATTATTCAGGAGGGTTTATGAAACACACAGATTCCAGGACTTTCATCCTAGACTGTCTAGAGAGGATGCCAGAGAATCTCCACATTGGAAAAGCTTCCTGGTAATTATGATCTGTAAGAAGGTTCTGGAACAGTATCTAGAATACAGTGTCCCCAGGGGTACCATGAAATGCGTTCTTGCTGCATATGCAGTTTACAACTGGTTGTCTAGGACAGGGGAGCATGTCAAGTCTCTTACTAGGTGGAACTGATCTTGGCAACCCATAAACCCAAGTTAAAGCCAATCAAGTCTATAGTGAATTTGAAACCCACTAGGTCACATGAATTTATCCTTTGAATGTTTGCTATTTATGGTTAAGTGACAGCATATTATATCCAGGTATTCTTATGAAAATCACTTGTTCATATCACATGTTCAAATCCGTGTTCAAAATCACGGATTTTGTCCATGTTATTGACATCAAAAATTACTAATTGAATTTTTATAACAATTATGATTTGAATATTTGTATACATGTAAGGCTCAGAGATAATGCTAGATGTTAAGAAAGAGAAAACTGTTTATAAGTTACTATAATCTTTTATGGACTATGGCCATCTGTGTTCATCTTACACAACCATCCTCTCACCAGGACTAACATGAAAAAACTTAAAGTTTTAAGGTGTCCAAAGATCATTCTAGAAATCCATCCCTGAGTTAAGAACCATGGATCTGAGCATAAATTTCTTCCCTGAGTGACTCATTGATTAGAAAAATGCATGGTCTTCCTGTAAGAGTGCATCTAAGAACCCAGTGAGACCAAACCATCCCATAATTTAAGTCACAAAGGCACCTTACAACTGCCTGTCACTTTGGCAATATCCCTGCCAAATGAAGAGACTCCTTAGGTCCCTGGAAACATCAGTTTTCTAGATGTCTCTACAATCTAGTTTTCTAGACTCTCTTGGGAGATCTGAGACATTTCAGATTCATCTACATTTTGGAAAATCCAGCATGCAACCCACAAGCCTCCTCTCTAAAGAGACTTCTGCACATCTCTGCCATTTGATATTTAACATGGAATGCATTGCTAGTTCCTCCGTGTGAGCAATCCCTACATAAACCCTGTATTTATTTTCATTTTATAACAAGTGATAATAAGCTTGTACAAAATCTTGCCCATGCCGAATTAGAAAATCCAAAACTATTCTTAATTGTTGGGAAGACACATAAAAGTCATGATGAAAAGAAGAAAAAATATATCCACATCCAACATGCAACAAATATTTTACTGAACACTTTGTCAGAAACTTGTATAGTTAATCCAAATCATCAAATAACTCAACAGTTAACTTGTACTTGGCTTGAGACTTCTTTATGTGTTTTGTATTAAATATGTTGTCTGTTTGCAGGGAGTGGAATCTGGTGTTGAGGGAAGAAAAGGGATGTTGTCTAAATAATCTGACTGAAATTGCTAATTGGCTTGACGTTGGCTCCTGTTCAATTTTATTTGCCACTCATCCAAACATAATGGCCAACAGAGCAGGAGAGCTCACTGGGCAACAAAGACAGCCAACTGGCCACCTGCATCCATAGGGAAACAATGTACCACTCACCAGCAATGCTATACTAGGCTTCAGTGTCTTATGAAGAATGGTAGTACTTCACAGGTCAGTTTAAGTATTTAATATAATACACAAAAAGTGCTTAGAACAGTGCCAGGATCATAGAATGTTTTAAATAATGATAGTAGCTACTACTAGTAGCTATTATATGCCACCATTATTAGTACACATTCCAGCACTGGAGAGTACTGATTTACCTGCTTAGACTATGTGGGTCTGTTTTCTTTCTTTTTTCTTTAAAATTTGTTTAAATTGTTCATTTATTTTTACTTTTAATTTGGGCATATAGTAGGTGTATATATTTATGGGGTCTGCTTTCAACAGGAGTATCTAAAATGTACAATTGCTAATGGTACTGAAACAGATTACCTGTGTAAATCTTTGCCTTCAACTCCTAGAGATTAAGGACCTTTCATGAAGAATGCTCCCTAAGCCTATTTCTACCATTTATCTGGAAACCAGTCTGCAAACTTGTGACCTCTTTGTTATGTTAGAAAACATAAGCTGTGCTCTCACTTATATAAATCAGTGTTTCTTTCCTCTCCAAATATTCCTGGGAACATTAATTTGCCTGCTGTTGGCTAGCCAATCTACCATCCCCGGAATTAAAGCCAGAGACTAACAGAAAATTGAGACTCAATTTGGGACTTTTTGACAAGGAAATTAATGAAAAAAAAAAATGGAAACCAAACAAGACAATACAGGATCAGAATGAGCTGTCAGTGGACCACTCACCCCCACTTTCCCTGCATGCATGGATCATCTTACAAGCAGTTAACAGGAAAGGAAGTAGCAGTATGGAAACTTCCCCATCCTCAACACATCAAAAAGAAGAATTTCAAGACAGCACAGGTTATCTAGGTCCAGTAATATAAAATAAGCATAGCACTCATTTGTCCCAGGAGACCAAATGGGAAAATGAAGACTAGATGTTGTGATGGGTACTTTCACCTTACACAAATGACACCCATTTGTGTAAGTGTGACTCTTGGCCGCATCTAGACAGGTCTATGTTATAGCAAATCCCAATCCTTCCTGCTCCCCCTCAGCAACTCCTGGGCAACTCAGAAGCACCTCTTGGGCTTTCATGTTGCCCCAGGCACTGTTTTCCCTCAGGGGCTCAGGCTGAGTGTGAACCAGCAAGAGACTGAACTACCTTGAGAGTACAATTTGGGACAACCCCCAGCCCTGTATCTTACCTGCAGAATCTGTCCCATCGGCAAGCACGCTCTGGGTTGATGCTGGCGCCGGGTCCTTGACTCCATGCACCTGAGCAGCTTCTTCCTGGTTTGTTAAAAATGCAGAGCACAGATCAGATTCGAGGGCTTGCAGCTTCAGCAAGGAATTCTGCCAGCAAAAGCAGAACATGAGGCCAGCTAAGTAGATGCCTAACACACAACAGTGTGTCCGCAGCTCCCGCAAGCACCTTCCTCCACTGCCTGGCAGGAAGAGGGTGGTGGCAACAGCTGCTTCAGGGAAAGAACTGGTTGTGCCAGAATCATATACGCATCATTCCACATGCAGGCTGAGTTTCTGCCTCATTTAAATCCTAACGTATATGGATTATCTGTGACACATGGGACTGGTGATTTCATCAGCAAGAGACGCTGCATCTGGAGAACCAATCTGAGAAGATATCTGCTTCCCGGGTGCTTGAGGCTTTACGCTTTGAGTGTTTCATTCATTGTGCTGACATCAGGAAGCAGAAGACATTAGGTCCCTCCCTGGCTACCGTTCATAAAAGCCATCATCCCTCCAAAGCAAAGACTGCAGCAAACTGCAGTGCACAAAGAGTTACTGCTGCAGAGGCTGCCTGGCATCTGGGAGGGGCTTTGAGGCTCCCTAGTCCACATTGGTATGCTGGGGTATGTGTGTGTGTGTGTGTGTGTGTCTTCTAAAGTTACTTCTCTTACATGAGAACAGGGTGAAAGAAAAGGGTGGAGGGAGATGACCTTGGTCATTTAGCATAACCTAGCCACTGAGGAAGAAGCAATTTATCTTTCATAGCCCTCAGCATAACCTCCCACCCACTCTCTTCATTTCTCATTTAAAATTTCTCCCATGATTCTTAATAAGAACAAAGTCATACAGATTGACGCATGCATCCTGCCATGATGCAGATGCCAGCAAATTAATTCCTCCGACCAGGTGAAAGTGAGTCAGCCTGAGTCCCTGGCCAGGCTCTCTCCCTCTCCACGAGAAGGTTCTGCAGGTCTCAGCTGCTCTTCTGTCCTCCCAGCTCCAGCAGGGGTGGGCACCGGGAGCAGAGCCACTGGTCCTTTCCCTGCTAGGACCCTCCAACACACACAGGCACACACACACCTACTCACACCCTACCCTCTGCATATCCTTTCCCCCACACAGTGTCACTCCCACTCCACAGCCCCACCCCTGCCACATACACACCCTCACCCCCTACTCCACACACACACACGTATGTACACCCTCAGCCCCTAGTGATCACCTCCATCCTACATGCACTCTCATACCTACCCTCACCTCCTACTCCACACAGACGCTCATACCAAACCCCCATACTCTCATCCCTACTCCCCACACCTAAAAACACCCCACCTTCCACACACACACACCCTTACCCCACACATACCTCATACCCTCACATCCAGCCCCCGAAACCTCCCAGCCTACTCCACACATACCCATGCACACCCACCTCACACACACCCACATCCAATTCCCATGCCTTCACATACTGTCCACACACACACACCTGCTCCATACACACCTTCACACCTCTCCTCACATAGACATCTATCCAACATCTCTCACACCCCAACTCCTCCCTTCCATGCAAGATCGAGTCCCACACACACCACTTGATCCATTCTGTTGATGTGAGTATGAACCTACAGTAGTGTTTTACAAGCTGCCCACCAAGGGATGTCTAAAATCTGTTGTCTCTTCACCATTCTGAAAGGAGCAGGTGCCTAGGCAGGCTCAGGATCACACCTCTGCCATGCCTGGAGATGGGGTGGGACCCGGCGCAAACCTCCTAAGAGCTCAGCGGCTGCTGTCTGGGAGCCCATAGCTCACGTGAAGCACCTGTGTGGGACTGGGCCATTTTTTTGGCTTCCTCCTCCATTCTGGGAAGTTTTCCCAGCAGCTGAGTGTGGAAGCAAGAACTGAGGTTGTTGACAGGAGCTGCTGAAGGAACAGGCACACCAAGTTTCTGGGAGGATTTACTATTTAGTAAACAAGCAGCTGGGAGGCAAACAAAGATTCTAGGCAAGTTTCCTACTGAAGGACATTGGAAATCAGTGACCTCTCAAAAAGAGCAAAACTACCCTGAAGATTAACAAATAATGCCATGGGAATGCAAAATGGTGCTGCCACTATGCAAAACAGAATGATGGGCTCCCAAAATATTAAAAATAGAATTACCATATAATCCAGCAATTTCATTGCTGCATATCTAGCCAAAACAATTGGAAGCAGGGACTTGAACAGATATTCATACACTCACACTCATGGCTGCATTACTCACAATAACCAAGAGTTATGTTTTGGATAAAATAGTGTCTCTACAAAATTTATACATTGAAGCCCTAAGCCCCAATGATACTGTATTTGGAGACAGCCCCTTTAAAGAGGCAGTTAGGGTTAGATGAGGAAGCAATACCAGGGAGACAGACAGAAAGAAGGCCATGTGAGAAGGCAGCTGTCTGCAAGACAAGGAGAGAGGCTCAGGAGAAATTGACCCTGCTGGCACCTTGATCTGAGACTTCCAGTCTTCAGGACTGTGAAAAAATACATTTCTGTTGTTTAAGTTTCCAAGTCTGATATTTGTTATGGAAGAACTAACAGACTAACACAAGGTGGACACAGCCCAAGTGTCCATGAGCGGATGAATGGATAAACCAAACGTGGTTATGCACATACAATGGAACATTGTTCAGCATTCAAAAGGAAGGAATTCTGACACAGCAACATGCCACAACATGTATAAACTTTGAGGACATTATGCTAAGTGAAATAAACCAATCACAAAAGGATAACTACTGTATACTCCCACTTGCATAAGATATTTAGAGTAGTAAAATTCATCGAAGCTGGAAGCGGTGGCCTAAGCCTGTAAATCCCAGCACTTTGGGAGGCTGAGACAGGCGGATCACTTGAGGCCAGGAGGTTGAGACCAGGCTGGCTAACATGGGGAAACCTCGTCTATACTAAAAATATAAAAATTAGCTGGGCATGGTGGCACACACCTGTAATTTCAGCTGCTCAGGACACTGAGGCACGATAATTGCTTGAACCCGGGAGTTTGGGGTTGCAGTGAGCTGAGATTGTACCACTGCACTTCAGCCTGGGCAACAGAGCAAGACTCCATCTCAAATATATATATATATATATATATATATTCATCATACAGAAAGTAGAATGGTGGTTATCAAGAGCTGGTGCTGGGGGGTGGGACATAGGGAGGAGATGGGAGCTATTGTTTAATGGGTACAGAGTTTTATATTGGGAAGATGAAAAAAGTTCTGGAGATGGATGGTAGTGATGGTTGCCCAACAGTGTGACTGTACTTAATGTCACTGAACTACACACTTAAAAATGTTTAAATGGTGGCAGGGTGCAGTGGCTCATACCTGTAATCCCAGCACTTTGGGAGGTCAAGGCGGTGGATCACCTGAGGTCAGGAGTTTGAGACCAGCCTGACTGACATGGTGAAACCCTATTTCTACGAAAAAATACCAAAATTAACCGGGTGTGGTGGCACGCACCTGTAATCCCAGCTACTTAGGAGGCTGAGACAGGAGAATCGCTTGAACCCAGGAGGTGGAGGATGCAGTGAGCCAAGATCGCACCATTGCACTCCAGCCTGGGCAATAGAGCGAGACTCCATCTCAAAAAAAAAAAAAAAAAAAAAGGCCAGGTGTGGTGGCTCACGCCTGTAATCCCAGCACTTTGGGAGGCAGAGGTGGGAGGATCACTTGAGGTCAGGACTTCGAGACCAGCCTGACCAATATGGTGAAATCCTGTCTCTACTGAAAATACAAAAATTAGCCGGGCATGGTTGGGGGCGCCAGTAGTCCCAGCTACTCGGGAGTCTGAGACAGGACAATTGCTTGTACCCAGGAGGTGGAGGTTGCAGTGAGTGGAGATCATGCCACTGCACTCTAGCCTGGGTGACAGAGTGAGACTCTGTCTCAAAAAAAAAAAAAAAAAAAAAAAAAAAAAAGTTAAATGGTAAATTTTAGGTTAGATATATTTTAAGAATTTTTAAAAATGAATGAAAGGTAAAGTAAAAAGAAAGGCTAGCATTCTTTCTTTAACTTTACCTTTCATTCTTTTTTTTTTAATTGTAGAACCAGCTGCCTGTCTCAAATTTGTAAGTGCTCTTGTATATTCTGCAAAGCAGAAGAGGGCATAGCTTTCAGGTTCCCACAGAACGAGAGGGAATGTCAGCTTTGCTACATACCATGTGTCTGACTTTGGCCAAGCATCCTAGTTATTCTGGGCCTTAATGTCCTCTGTATAAAGGGGCAGTGTTAACAACAACAATGGTACTTGCTCTAAGGGATGCTCTCAGAATTAAACAAGGGAAATCATGGAAAGCTGGAAAGCACTTTGCAGAGCACCAGCATGTTGCAAACACACAAGGACTGGATTCTGTGTTTAGTATGACTATCTCCAAACCCCAAAGGCTGCCGGATAGAGCTCTGGCCATGTGGCAAGGCTGTACACTACACTGACACTGAGGCCTTGACTCATCACTTTACCCCCCAGGGTCTTATTTCTGCACCTGCCTAGCAAGGCCCTTAGGCTACATGACTTCTAAGTCCCCTTACAACTTTAAAGGAGAGAAAAGCAAACAGGCACATGGACTGGAGATGGATGCACAGAATCTGGCATGGAGTGGGTGCTTAGACACTGTGTTTGGAACGGAACCAAATGTCCAGACAACACAAATAGGTTTCAAAGAATTTCACTGCACAGGAGTTCACATTCAGAGATCCCTGGTCTCCCATAGGAACAGAGGTATAATGCCATGACCCAGTTATGGCTAGAACTATCCATTGGTGGCTGGGCGCAGTGGCTTATGCCTATAATCCCAGCACTTTGGGAGGCCGAGGTGGGTGGATCATTTGAGGTCAGGAGTTCAAGACCAGCCTAGCCAACATGGTGAAACCCCTTCTCTACTAAAAATATAAAACTTTAGCCAGGCATGGTGGCACACTCCTGTAATCCCAGCTACTTGGGTGGCAGAGGCATGAGAATTGCTTGAACCCAGGAGGTGGAGGGTGCAGTGAGCCAAGATCATGCCATTGCACTCCAGACTGGGCAACAGGGGGAAAAAGAAGAAGAAGAAGAAGCATCCATCGGTTGTTCTCATCCATCTTCCTCTGCCACTTTCTCCCTCACTGTACTCACACTAAGCAAGACTCTGAGTGTCAAAGGAGATCTAGTTGTGTGGCTGGTTTATTCCTTCTTCAGCTATTAGATAGGACTAAACTTAGAGTAATAGGGAAGAAATTAAGTGGCAAATGGAATAGGAGACAAAAGATGAAGGTCTGGAGAAACAAGAAGATCCCCAAGTAGAAGGGAAAACAAACTGTTATAAATGGAGGACAAGAAGGCAAAGAGGAAGAAACTCTGCAGACCAGCTGTCCTCAGTAATATTCCTTCCCACCCCTCACTGACCCATTACCTGAGGACAGTCTGCCTTTTGGCACCATGGGCCACTTGTAAGTCCTCCTGAACAGAGAGTGGGGACTTGGACACACTGTGTGGGATGGGGTCCATGAAGAGATACTTGTTCTGAGGATCAAGGAACCCATGACAAGGGGACGGGGAGATTTGTCTATGAGTAATCTACACTAGCAGTCCCAACCTTTTTGGCACCAGGGACCGGCTTTGCAGAAGACAATTTTTCCATGGACTGGGGCACGGGGATTGTTTTGGGATGAAACTGTTCCACCTCAGATCATGAGGCATTAGATCCTCAAAAGGAGCACGCAACATAGATTCCTCGCATGCGCAGTTCACAATAGGGTGCATGCTCCTGAGAATCTAATGCCACCACTGATCTGACAGGAGGCGGAGCTCAGGCAGTAAAGCTCGCTGCCCACTGCTCATCTTCTCGGGCCGTGCAGCCCAGGTCCTAACAGGCTACAGGCCGGTACTGGTCCATGGCTCTGGGGTTGGAGACCCCTGATCTACACCACTGCCACATACATGTCCTTCCAGTGGATGGGTGATCTGTCCTACCAGGTCTGTGCCCTGCAGAGCCACCCCAAGAAGGCTTCAGGACAGCTTGCAGTGAATGTGCAGAGTTCGTGTCCACCTTGCAGGCATGATGCCACACATCCAGCTCCACATGGAAAGCCAGGCAGCTTTCCATGCAAGAGCTGCACTAGGCTCTGCAGTATGAGGCTATTAGCAGCCCCTTCCTCGTGGGGCTTCCAGTCTAGTGGGAGATCACTAATAAGCAAGTAAACAAATCAAAAAATCATGACAGTTATTATTGTCATAGGGCTATGGAGGAAAGAAACAGCAAGCCCAGGGAGTGAGTGACTAACCACCCATTTCACTTCCATCATGCCCGACTTAGTGACCTTCAATGCAGGAACATGCTTTTCCCTCTACAGAAAGATGAGGGACCCTTCATTCCAGGTCCTAGTAAACCCCTACAGTCCTAGTGCCACCTCAACCCAGCCCTCTCTGATAGGACTTCCACTCTCCCTGCCTCCCCAAGCCCGTCACTCAGGGCCAGACTGCTAGTGCTTTTCCTGGTTTATATCCAAAGTCTCCTCAAACGAATGTCTAGAATCTGCAGGAAAATTGAGTAAGGGCTAACAGACCCTGTAAAGAACAATGACCACCCCTGCTGCTCCAACTATCCCATCTGGTTAAGAAAGAAGCCAGAGAGAAGTCTGTGAAACGTAGGTGTGGTTTTCTTTAAAAAGCTAATTTTTCCCATTTACATAATGGAGAATATGCTACTTGTTTTAGAAAATACTCTACTCATTTTCTCTCCTCTACAATTACTCAGGTCCCACTTTAGTTGGGTTGAAATAGAGAACACCCACACAGGCTGGATGGTTAAATACTATTTTAAGGTGCCTTTGTCTGCAATTCACCAGTCCCAGAGCAGGCACAGCTTACATTTAGTTCGTATGAAAGGCTTTAGTCCTCCTCTCCCATCCTTTTATCTGTCCAAGAATTGCATATGATTCCCTATGATGATATGAAGCAAATCAAGTTGGAAATCTGCTCAAAACTGGGGACATGACTGGGTCTCCAAATGTCTCCATTTCTACTTACCACTCTTCTTCCCTGAATTTCAATGTTTCTTGAATATATGCCCACCCACATACATACAACACCCTTCCTTTCCATCTGCTGATTCACCTGCTCTCTGCCCCCTCCTCCTCAGACCCTACTCAGCTCTAGTTGTTTCTCGGCCAAGATCCCATCAAATTATTGAGCCAGTTCTGATTATCTTATCTCAGCAGGGGGCCCCCTAGTGTCTCTTTTAGCATCTTGTTTATTTCCTTCACAAGGCTCGCCACATTATGTAATTTTGTGTATTGTTTATCAGCTCCATGAGAGCTAGCACCGTACCTCCATTGTTTACTGCTGCATCCTAGCGCAATGTGTAGAAAAGAGCCAACCAATAAAAAGGCTGCCATTGTATCTGAGTTTTGTCTTTCTGGGTCCTTTAGCCAGTATTTGCAGGGGGGGCAGGGGTCTCTGAGTATCCAATATTGACCCCTCCTGCTGCCCTGGTTTAGAAACCTTAAAGTGCTTAAAAATCACAGGGGAGTTTATAAAAGACGTGCACTCCCAGGACGTGCCCATTCCAGAGATTCTGGTTCAGTAGGTCTGAGGCAGGGTCTTTCAACACAAGAAGTCCAAGGGCCCTATTCCCTGGGGCCTTGACACACTATAAATATCTCAGTTGCCCACTTAGCTCTACTTGCCCCAGGGCCAGAAGCTTTTCTCTGAGCCCCAGCCCTCTGACTCCCTCATTGCCTTTTTATCCTTCGGTTGGTTCCCTTGAAAGCTGCCCCCACCCCTACCAGGAGGTATAAAGTGTGAAGTGCTCAGAAGCAAGAAGGTATTGCTTCCTGAACTTCTGGATGTTCTTGCCAACACAGTGGGACTTCTCCCAATGTCGACCATTACAAGAAAAAGCCAAATTTATCCCTCCCCTAAAGTAAAGACATTGGACTTTTGGCGAATCCCTCTGAGGACAGCGTCACTTGTGTCTGAGCATGGTTTGCAGCACAGCACACCTCAGCTCAGCCCGCCCCAGCTTCCCTCTGTTCAGGAGCTCAGCCCTCACTCTCCGCCACCTCCCAAAGGAGAAATTCAATGTAGGAGAGCAAGCTATTCACTTTAAGGAGCCTTCTGTTGACAAGAAAATCCAGGTCTTATTTGGATCCTATCAGCAATTCTTTTTAAACAAGGACAACCTAGCCACAATATACAATAATAAAACCCACATTTCCTTTAAGCTAAATGACTTCAACCTGGAAAGGGGAATCCTATACTTGATTTCACCTCATTATGATATCCTTGTTATGTTCACTTTATTAAATGAACAATAAGAACAAGATGTTTGGGAGAGAATAATACCATTTTATAAACTCCCTTTTTTTTTTTTTTTTTTTTTGAGATGGAGTCTTGCTCTGTCGCCCAGGCTGGAGTGCAGTGGTGTGATCTCGGCTCACTGCAAGCTCCACCTCCTGGGTTCACGCCATTCTCCTGCCTCAGCCTCCTGAGTAGCTGGGACTACAGGCGCCCACCATCACGCCTGGCGAATTTTTTATATTTTTAGTAGAGGCAGGGTTTCACCATATTAGCCAGGATGGTCTCTATCTCCTGACCTCGTGGTCCGCCCACCTTGGCCTCCCAAAGTGCTGGGATTACACGTGTGAGCCACTGCGCCTGACCTATAAACTCCCAATTTAAAGTAGAACTCTGAGCTTTTCTAGATAATAAGACTGATTTTTCTGAAAATACAATGTGTCTCACTTACAACTCATGGAATGAACTTCAATAGTTTCTCAATGGAGTTACTAGTACTTAAATTATCCAAAAGCACAGGTCTTAAGTTGGATAAGCCCCTAACCAGTCATTTTTCCCAGAACATTAATTAAATCCCAAGGGCTGAACTCCAAAGCTAGTCTGGGTTGTAGCCCATATGGTTGTTTCTTTGTGGCTTTGTTTCCATTTATTTTAGACCTGAAAAATATTCACCTTCAAAACTAAACTTAGTAAGATGGTAGCACAGGAGATGGCCCACTGGGCCCTTAATCTGGCTCATTCTGTGTCACAGGGCAAACCACCAAATGATGCTGGCTCATAGGCCATCTACTTTTTCTGATAACACTACCTTAACTCCTTCGTTTTCTAAAATTCAATGAATATTTATTAGAAATCAGTAAGTATTCACTGAAAATTATAAAATCACATGCCATATGAAATAACATATATCTATGCCTTTAAAGATGGCAGGTCACATTGGAAAGCATGGCCATTTCCTCAAATACTAATTTTTAAGTTATATATTTTTAAATTTTGAATTGACACATAATAATTATACATATTTACAGGGTACACGGTGAGTTTTGATACATACATAGTGATCAAATCACAATAATGAGATTATTCACTACCTCAAATATTTACCATTTGCTTGTGTTGGGAACATTCAAAATCTTCTCTCCTAGCTATTTGAAAATCCGTAGTAAATCATTATTGACGAGAGTCACACTACAGTGCTGTAGAATACTAGAACTTATTCCTCTTATCTAGCAATGATTTTATATCCTTTAACCAATCCCTCCCTGTCTCTCTCTCCCCCTTACCCTTCCCAGCATCTAGTAACCACTATTCTACTCTCTACTTCTGAGATCAACATTTTTTCTTTTTCTTTTTTTTTTTTTTTTTTTTTTGAGACGGAGTCTCATTCTGTTGCCCAGGATGGAGTGCAGTGGTGCAATCTCAGCTCAATGCAAACTCCACCTCCTGGGTTCACGCCATTCTCCTGCCTCAGCCTCCTGAGTAGCTGGGACTACAGGCGCCCACCACCATGCCCAGCTAATTTTTTTTTGTATTTTTAGTAGAGACGGGGTTTCACCGTGTTAGCCTGGATGGTCTCGATCTCCTGACCTCGTGATCCACCCGCCTCGGCCTCCCAAAGTGCTGGGATTACAGGCGTGAGCCACTGCGCCCGGCCAAGAACAACTTTCTTAGCATTCACACATGAGCAAGAACATGCAGTGTTTATCTTTCTGTGACTGGCTTATTTCATTTAATATAATTTTCTCCAGGATCACCCATGTTGCTGTAAATGACAATATTTCACTCTTTTTTATGACTGGATAATATTCCATTGTATATAAGTACCATATTTTCTTTATCCATTTGTCTGTTGATAGACACTTAGGTTGTCAAATACTAATATTTTGTAAGAAAATAAGAAAATTCAGCTCTTGTCTCTCTATAAACTTGAGTTTTATAACCTTCAGAAGGCCAAAAATGTCCTAAAAAAGACAATAGGTGCCAAGGCTAGGAAGGCCAGATGTCCCGACTTGATATGTGTCCCTGTAAACCTCTGGGAAGTGAGGACAGCAAAGTCCACTCTTGTACTGCAGCTGTTTCACCTCACCCCTGTACCAGACCCAAAGCTGGATACACATTTGCTTCTCAATAAATCCTGTTGAAAGAAAGAATTACCCTTAGAAGAAAACATTTCAAAGGTCACAGCTCTCAGGAAAAATTTGGTCTTCAGTTCAGCAGTAATATTTTCTAAAAGTTAGCAGGGGTAGGGGGAACAGAATATATTTATGAAAGCTGTCAACTTTGTATTTCACCAAGTGAGAGCATGTAAGAAAGAAAACAAACAAATCCCCTCCCCATCATTTCCTCACAAAATGAAAATTTTAAGAACAATTTCTAAGTGAAAGGTTGTTCATGGACTTTATAAAAAAACTCACTATATTCATTGCTCTTACGTTTATACTTTTGCCAAAAAGCAATAAAAACTACAGCACAGGCTGGCCCCGGGAGCCACTGAACTGGACACAGTTCCTTCCAGCCTTACATGAGAGAGTAGGAAATTAGTAGTATGAAGAGATATACATGAAAGAATGAGCAACAAGAAAAAGGATCAAGATGTCATGCCAGAGAAAACAGGAGGAGCCAATGGGACAAAGGGACAGAGGAGCTGGGGAGATGGGTAGGCTGCCAGGCAAAAGGCAGCACAGGTGGGTCAACTAGGCAAGTCCTGCCTCAATGCCTCTGCTCAGCCCAACACCTCTGATGCTTCTCCAAGGCAGTTCCCAGACAAGGAAAAATAGAGGCAGCTGCTGGCATGGCTTCCACTTTTTCTGCCAACACCACACTAAGGATTCCCCTGAGGGTGAGGCTCACAGACCTGGTTTCCCTGGAAATAAGAAAGCAGGCTAGATACCTGCATCTGAACAATGGGGCAGAATAAAGCAGGCCTGGAAGCCATTCAGAACTTTTTTGCCATGCAGTTCATTCAGCTGGGAATGAGAACTAGTATTCACACCGTGAACATGTTGGCTACGGGATGTCCTCATTGACACTGATAACAAAAGTTGTCTAAAATTAAATGAATCATAGGATACTGCTCCAGCTGAGGAACAAACCTTGGTAGGGGAGCAAGGTGACTCTACCTCAACTCAGAAAGCCATACCAGAAAAATGCTAAGTGGCATCCTGCAGGGGTCCAGCAGAGAGGAAAATTACCTTGGAGATCATGCTTCCAGAGACCAACATTATGCAGCATCTAATTACTTATCTTCTGAGAATAGCACTCCTAGATCCTAAGTGGGAAATATGGCCCAAGTCTAACAAATCAGCTTATTCCAAACACCAACATCACAGGAACTGGTTCAGAAATGGGCACATGCCCCAAGCCAGATAAATCAGACTGAAGTATGGGACTTTTTAGAACTGGGAAGGAGAGACTCTTATTTCACTGTGTGGTAGGCAGAATCCTAATATCCTGATAACATAATCAAACACTAATCTAGGTACTTCTATGAAGAGATTTGCAAATGTAATTAAAGCTTTAACTTAGCTGACCAAAGATACAGATTACTTGGCTGAGCCTGGACCAATCGGGGAGGCCTTTAAAATGCACAGAGTTTCTTCCAGTTGGTAGCAAAAGACAACATTATAGAAATTCAAAGCACAAGAAGGATTTGCCACGCTGTTGCTGGCTCCAAGATAAAGGGTGAGGAGGGGGAGTGTGACAGCCTCTAGAAGCTGAGAGCTGCCCTCAGGTGACACCCAGCAAGGAAGCAGGACACACAGTTGCACAACTACAAGGAACTAAATTCAGGCAATGACCTGAAGAAGCTGGGACGGGGGCTTTTCTCCAGAACCTCCAGATAAGAAACTACCCCAGCCAGTGCCTAGATTTCAATTTCATGAAACCCTAAGCAGAAAACCCAGTTGAGTCCACCCACATTTCTGACCTACATAACTGTAAGCTAATAAATAAATGTTTAAAGCCACTAAGCTCTTGGTAATTTATTACCCATTAATAGAAAACTAATATACACTGGAATTACTAAATAATTTGTCCCTAAAAAGGGGCTGACCTAAATAAAGATGAAGCCAATATAGAAAAAGAAGAACCCAGAGATAGAAATAGATGGCATCTCCAGTGATGAGTTTTCAATCCCTGGACCTAGCCATGCATAGAGCCTATCCTGATCCTAAGTTTTCTGCTATATGTCAATAACATCCTGTTCTTATTAAAACCAAGTTGAATTGACTTTCAGTCACACCGAAAGAATCACAGATACTTTTTAAAACACCCTCACTCAATCCCAAACTAAGGCCTAACCCTATAGACTGGGTTTGCATTTGAATAGAAAAATAGAGCTGCCTATTCTTACAGAAATAATACCATTCAGTCAGCTCAAGAATGTTAAAGGCCTAGGAAGCCTCTTCCTAGACCATTTTCACAAAATTAACACAATTTTGAGGAAGAAACACATCCTGAACAAAACAATAAGTACCATCTTGAGGCTTGACATGGTTTGATGCCAAAATACCTATATGATAAACTGTGGATGCAATAAAAACACAATCTAGTCCTTCACATGGAGATACACAGAGGCATAGACACATGCATACCGACTCAAAGAGGGACACTGCATGTGTGCAAATTGTCCTACTTTTAACAAAATTAACATATTAAAGGATTCTTCATCGATATCTTTGACATTGAGGCTAAAGTTTAGTTATTATGACCAGCATAATTGAACAGATAAGAGTTAACAGTAGTATGGGAAGAAAAATTAATTTTTCATATTGATTTCAGGTAAATAAATCATCTCTTTTATACCAAGCTAAATAAAAATAGGTATCTCCTTTGTAGAATAAGACTGCAATTATAGATCCAAGGTTAAACTTCTTAATATTGATATTAGGTCATTATTGAACATCTGTTGCATGCTAGTAATTTATTACATTTGTTTCTTATAAGATAGCCTCTTCCTCTAGATTCTAATGGTATTCCTAAGGAATTTATCCTCTTTTGGTAGAACCACAGTCAGAATATAACACAAGTCTGAATCCATGCTCATTGTGAGCATCTTCTCTTCCTCTGGTTCCCCAGTAACCAATGAGAGTGATGAGGACACACACAAATCTGGAAATCTCCTGGCTATTTTTGATAAAGTCAATACTAAATTTCAAAGCAACAACAGAGGCAGAACATACCTTTAGAATGCCCTGTAGGGTCAATTAACAGCAAAAATATTTCTACCTTATTCTATAAACACAAAGAGCACTCAAAATGGAGTCTTCAGAATAGAGTTACAGTAATATTCTTTCCATTAAAGAGATGCTATTATCCTCTCACTCTAACCCATTTATGCCTAGTGTTCCATTATTGGAACGCGAAGCATGTGGGAGTTATTTATATCCTACTGCTCAAAGTCATTGCCAAGGTCTGATTGCAAAAATTCAAAACATTGCAACCTTGGGCATAAATGGACAAAGCACTCATAAAGGGAGCACAATGCAGTATCAGAGAACTTGTGCTTGCCTTTTTCAGATGTTTTAGGTTCTGCTAGTTACCAGGTGAAATGGCTTAGCCAGTGTGACGGTGTTAACATTCCTTATGAAGTAACAATGTGACTGAAATTTCTCCACCTTCAAAAATCATTTCTCTTTCCTACTCTCTACCTCACAGTTAGAAATGGGGAAGCAAGGTGGGATGAATAGATTATCATCCCCTTTTGACCCTCACTGTTGAGTCTACCAATTTCTTCTCCCCTACAAAAGACAACACCATCCTTTCCTATTCCATGACCTGAATATTATAGGACTCAGCGACTTCCATCTGGGTTGGTTTCTTCCTCTCCATCAGTGGCCCCTGACATTCAGTTACTTCAAGGTCCAGGCTGACAATCATGCTATTGTCTGGCTTCATAATTCCTCAACCCCCTCAGTTCCAGGGTTCCTTCCACTTCACTATGGCTGGCTGCCTCAGCAAGTTGCAATAAACTTCAAGGATCTCAAACCTTCTAAACACAGTCCCCATCCCCTCTATCTCATTCACTCCCTGCAACTGAACTTATTCTGTCCTCCTAATTTTATTAAGGTTTTAGATTTTTCTATGTTCCTACAGTGAGTCATCCCACTTAGACTCCTTACCATGTGGGAAACATACCTGGGGGAGACAGACACCTGTCTCTATGGTTTTACTCTGGGGACAAAAAAAAAAGTCAGTATATCCACCTAGAAGTATTTCTCCCATTGATGCCTTAAGTCTTAGCTACCTTGAAATCCCCGCCATTGGAGGTATAGAGTTTACTGGTGTGCAAAAGACTCATGCAACATTTATCCATTTTTGCATTCCAGGATTATTTAGCATCTGCTTCTTTGTGCTCAACACATCTCTCTTGGGTAAACCCATTAACCCATGAGAAGATTGTTTTATTTTTTTCAGATTTATAAGCTGGCATCTTAGGCCTGGAGAGGATAAACGATAGTGATGGTCAATGCCAGCACAAGAGAGTTTCATGGCCAATAAGCCTCAAAGACAAGGGAAATAAGGAATCCATGTAAGGCCACCAAAGCTTCTCCTTCAAGGTCAATTGGCTTGTGGCTGACCTTACCTATATGGCCTTGAAATTCCAGGTAAGAAGTAAAATGTAAACAAACTCATATTCACTCAACTGACATTGTTTTATCCAAAAGGTAAATGCAGAATACCTTCAAAGTATCTATCAGATAAGAAAATAAAGTGTTTTTCCTGAGCACAGAGGCCGTGAACAGTTTTTGAGGTGATAACTTCCTTCTGTATGATGATGACATAAGAGTTGGGTTGGGTGAGTATAATAAAGAAGAAAAGAAGGCCCATGGTGACCCAGAGCTTCAGTCTGCTCCAGCCATACCACTCCAGATCCCCAGTTGATCACAATTCTTCACGTACAATAATGTGGCCTGTCTCTCATGTGAGACTGATAAATAACTATGCTAAGCATATATGTCACTGCTATTGCACTACTTACTATTCACTCCCCAAACTAGGCTTCAGATGGTGGGTTGGCCAGGAGGAGGCCTTAACCATGAGTTACTTGGTTTTCCTTATTCCATCCCTGATGGGAAGCTATGGCTACACTCTGCAAGCACTGGGAAAATGGAAGAAGGGTAGAATCAATGAATGTTAAAATTGAAAGGCCTCAATACTGTAAGATCTCACTTATAAGTGGAATCTAAAAAAGCCAAACTTTTAGTAGAGAGTAAAATAGGGTTACCAGAGGCTGGTGGGGAGGAAGGAGGTGGACAGGGAAAGGGGAGACATTAGTGAATGGGTATAAAGTTTCAGTTAGAAAGGATAAATCAGTTCTGGTGGTTTATTGCACCACACAGTGACTATAATTAATAATAATATATTGTATATTAGCTGAAATAGAGGATTTTAAATGTTCTCATCACAAAGAACTGATACATATTCAAAGTGTTGAATATGCAAATTTGCCTGATTTGTTCATTCCATAATATATCAAAACATCACATTGTATCCCATAAATATATACAAATGTACAATTATTATTTGTCATTTAAAAATCTAATTAAACTTAAAAAAAATCTCTGAAAGGACACCTAGAGTTAGCCCAATTCAAAACTTCCTACAGAGTTAGAAATGCGGAAGCAAGGTGGGAAGAAAAGATTATCATCCCCTTTTGACCCTCACTGTTGAGTCTACCAATTTTTTTCTCAGTAGTTTTAGTTTACAAAGGAAACTAAAAGAAGTTGATGTGGTGCTCTTTCATATATAGTCTGGGAGTTGGAAACAGTAGTTTGAGGACCCAATATGGCTTTTTTTTTTTTTCAGGGAAGGAGAGATTTATTCGTTTTCTTTATAAATATGTTATTTTTCTTAATTGGGACTGAAGCAAGGAATGTGATCTACAAGCATACAGAGAGTAAAAACAATCATTGTTCTTCATTTTATCTTTCAAGTACCTTTCTGATCTATTGAATGCTTATGATTACATGGACTGGCAGACTGACTAAGACCAAGGATTAAGGTGGATGAGACACTGACAGATCTCAAGTCTAGAATATTTTCCAGTCAGGATTCAAAAGATCCTAACCCCCAAAATCTGATGTCTTACCGAGACAGAGTCATACAGCTCAGGTGAATGTCAGTAGGGAGATTTAATCAGTTTTTTTCTGGAAAAAACTCCTATACTCTAGTCCCAGAGACAACAAAAAATGTGGAATAAAAAATGCAATTCCTATCAAGAGACTCAAAGTCAAAAACTGGGAGCTCTAGGCTGGCAGAAGAAAAATGAGACTGGCAGGTGTCAAATCTATACTCATGCCAAGTGGAAACAAGAAGTTAGTGAGCTCTTCGGCCCACTAGGAAAGTATGAGAAACACACACAGAGACAACATACATGGATACGCTACACCATGTATCACTGTGCCAGGCAGAGAAGACCTCGGGTCAAGTGCCAGCTCTGGAATCAAGCTGAGCCCCATCTGTCAGTCACAGAGCAAGTGGACAAAGAAGTACAAATAGTAGAAGTGAAATACCAGATGTAAAATTTGGGGAATGTATAAGGTACGTAGGTAGCATCTTGTAATTATTACTACGTACAACATATGGAAACATCTGGAAAACACTTTTGGACCATGATTCTCATGAGGCTCAAGAAACTCTTTTTTGGTTTTAGACTCGCAAGTTGGTATGGAAGAGAGTGCAGTTATGGAACTGGTAGGTTCTTTATAAGGATGTGTGGGGAGGTGGTGAATAAATAAAATAAAGGAACAAAAACCAATGAAGAGAGCTAACATAACAAAAAGTTCTACCTTACATGTTTATTTAGAGATGGGAGGCATACTCCTGTAAAAAGTCAGCTGTACAAAGAGGCTAGAAAACAGCTCATAGTAATAAAGATATATATGAAAGATAACAGCAGCTCTGGTCAACAACCAGAAACAAGTATACAATGAGTTACAGCAAGGCAAATGAAAACTATGACTATATACCAAACATGAATGACCCTCATGAATATAATATGGAGCAAACGAAGCCAGACACAAAAGAGCATATGTAATCCATGAATAAAACACTAAAAAATACTAGTTATCTTCATAGGAGAGTAGCGACTGGAAGGAATTACAAAGAGGCATCTGGGATGCTGGTAATATTTTGTTTCTTGATTTATGTGCTGGTTGCACACTTTGTAAGAATTCATTCAGCTGTATACCTATGACCTGTGCACTTTTCTGTATGTATTTTCTATCCCCATTAAAAATATAGCAATGTTTCCCATTTGTGTTCCATAGAGACTCTGTCGCCTAAAGAAATGTTATTAGGTGGTTCTTCCATAAAAGAGTTTGGTGTTCAATAAGTTGAGAAATGCTGGGAATGATACAGGACATTTCAATCCATGAGTGTGAACACATCCACCCTCTTTGATGATCTCTGTCCCATTCATATTGCACGTCCTTCAAGTTTCCCCAAGGTCTTTTCTGGTCTCCCAAATTTTGGCCATAACAGAAACTGTGTGAAAGAATGTGGGTCAATCTATATAGTTCACCCCCTGATGGAAAAAAAAACACTGTCAGCACATACTGTATTCAACCAGTCTGGATCAGCAGCGTCACCTCTGTATGGAAATGCACACGTTTAAAATATGGCGATGCCTGCTGTTTCAGATGGACTTCTCCATCCAGTGCTCTTATGCTCAGGCAATCAGCGCAGTGAGCTGGCACACTTCATGTCATTTGCAAACACAATGTAGTGAAGGAATACAGAAAAGCAGGTTTTCAAATATAGCTTTTCACAACTGAGATTTGGGAATGTTCAAGTGATCTCAGCATTCCCATGGATTTGCAGCTCAAAAAACAGTTTCTCCCAAATACTTGAAAGTTATCATGAGTTGACTCTTACAATCACCTCATTTTTCTAGTCACTTATGTCAAAACAAAGCTTTGCTCCTTTACAACTAGCATTTTGCTTGTTCACAGTGGGGCAGACAGCTGCGTTCACTGATTCAGGCTCTTGCCTCTTTTCTCTTAAACTCTTTTTCACTCACTACTATGAGGAAGATTGTAGAATTTGGAGCCTGTCTGTATGCACACACACAAAAATAACAATTCTGTGTTCTTATCTTTAGGACACTTTTTACCACTTTAGCTATTTAACTTGGCTTAACCAAGCAGCTGGTTTACCTTTAGCTATTTATTTCTACCAAGTTCTACCAAAAAGAAAGAAAAGAAAAATAAAATCACCTAAATTAAGTGAAATACCCTTTTTGTGGGGTGGGAGAGGAAGAGGAGGAAGGGATGCATCTTCAAAACGTCAAATAAACAATTTGCGGTAAAGCCCCATCATTTCTCTTTTTGGCATCTGATCATCAGGTCTTTTCATTCTCTTTGCTATGACCTTAATCAGACGTACTAAATACCACCTACTACTACTTAATTTACAATGAGGACAAGAAGAGCCAGAGAGAGTATTCCAAACCAATGTCTTAAACAATGGCATTCATTATAATAGATATCATAATTATATTACATTAATTTCATACAGGAGAATTCAATTACATATTCCAAAGAAAATCCAGAACAAGCTAATTAACATCATGATGTCCAGTTTGGTGGGAAATGATTTGGATTGGAAAATACGGCTTCACGTCTTGAAGTCTACTAAGAAAATCACATTGCAAACACTAAACTATATCATTCTTAGTGGATAAACAGTAAGTATGATTATGTTTGAAATTGCAGAAGCTGTTAGGAAAAACAGAGATGTAGACAAAATAAAATTAAGAGAAAATTTTGCAAATGTTAACTGTCATCGCCACGGTTATACAATCCTGAAGCAAAGCTGAAAAGAGTGTAACAAAATGACTGCTGGACTTGGGTTAGGGCCAAGACATCGCAAGCCACCTCACAAACAGTATTTTAAATGTTTGCTCCGGAAAAAGGAAAAACATTACCAATTGAACAAAGAACTATAAGTATTACAAGTTCACTTAAAAGCAAAAATACTAAGTTTTCATGAGAATGAATTCCTAGTACTGTGAAAAAGAATAGTAAATCTCATGATTGGCTAATTCATGTTCTTATAACCAGTAATGATTGCACGTACCTCATTTAAGTCCTGCCGAGTTTCAAAAGCATCCTTTGGCGAAATGGCAGTCCTCTGGTCTATTCTATAAAATACAAAGAAAAATTATTTCCATTTAAAAGAAACGTTTCAGTGATGTACATGTGAAGCTGGTGGCTACAAATCTGGCTGTACCCCTGATAAAAACCCTTGGTTGTGTCCCACTGCCTGTAGAATAAAATACAGACTCCTTACAATGGCCTGCAGCACATTATAGCACTTGAACCCTGACAGCCTCCCTGGTCCCCTCTCCTACCACTCTCACCCTTGTTCACCACACTCCAGCCACCCTGGCCTTCTCTCTGTTCCTTGAACAGGTAGTGCTTGCTCCCTGTTCAAACCTTCACACTTGCTGTGCCTGAGCCCAGACTGCTCTCCCCTGGGATCTGCATACAATTCACTCTTATCACCATGTATGCATCGGCTCAGCTCACAGGGCACCTCCCCAAGGAGGCCTCCCTAACTAGACAAGACATGCCCTCACCCTCACTCTCTAGCATACAGTCCTGTACATTTTCTTCTTAGCACTTCCTCCTATTGAAATTATACATTTATTTGCATGTCCACAGTAAAGTGTAAGCTCCAAGGAGGTATTGATTATGTTTATTTTCTATACTGCTAAAACCTCACCTATTAAAAATTCAATAATTGTTTTGATTGAATGAATGTGATCTGATACAGTTGCAGAAAGATACCATTTGTCTGCTGAAGACAGCTTATGGAAATTTCATCCTATCTCTTAACTTACACAATAAATGTTATAATATATGCTGGGTACCATGGTGCAATGGTTTGGATGTGGTTTGTTCCCACCAAAACTCATGTTGAAATTTGATCCCCAGTGTGGCAGTGTTGGGAGGTGGGGCCTAGTGGGAGGGGTTTGGGTCATGGGATCTGTGACAGGGGAGGGATAAGGAAGTGAGCTCTTACTCAGAAATAAATTTGTTCCCATTGTGGTTTTGATTTGCATTTCTCTAATGATCAGTGATGTGAGCTTTTTTTCATTTGTTTGTTGGCTCCATGTATGTCTTCTTTTAAAGTGTCTGTTCGGCCAGGCGCGGTGGCTCATGCCTGTAATCCCAGCACTTTGGGAGGCTGAGGCATGCAGGTCACTAGGTCAGGAGTTTGAGACCAGCCTGGGCAATATGGTGAAACCCTGTCTCTACTAAAAGTACAAAAATTAGTGGGGCGTGGTGGCAGGCACCTGTAGTCCCAGCTACTTGGGAGGCTGAGGCACGAGAATTGCTTGAACCTGGGAGGCGGAGGTTGCAATAAGCTGAGATTGCGTCACTGCACTCCAGCCTGAGCGACGGAGTGAGACTCAGTCTCAAAAAAACAGAAAAGTGTCTGTTCATGTCCTTTGCCTACTTCTTTTATGAGGTTGCTTGGTTTTTTTCTTGTAGATTTGTTTAAGTTCCTTATAGATGCTGGATATCAGACCTTTGAGGGATGGGTAGTTTGCAAAAATTTTTTCCCATTCTGTAGATTGCCTGTTTACTCTGTCAATAAGTTCTTTTGCTATGCATATGCTCTTTCATTTAATTAGATCCCATCTGTCAATTTTTGCTATTGTTGCAACTGCTTTTGGCATCACTGTCATGAAATCTTTGTCTAGGCCTGTGTCCTAAATCATATTGCCTAGTTTGTCTTCCAGGGTTTTTATAATTTTGAGTGAAAACCAAATACCGCATATTTTCACTTATAAGTGGGAGCTAAATGATGAGAACACATCAATCTATGAGACACATAGAGGGGGACAACACACACTGGGGCCTTTCAGAGGGTGGCAGGTGGGAGGAGGGAGAGGATCAGGAAAAAATAACTAATGGGTACTAGGCTTAATACCTGGGTGATTAAATAATCTGTACAACAAACCCGCATGACACAAGTTTACCTGTGAAACAAGCCTGCACTTGTACCCTGAACTTAAAATAAATAAAAAGAGGGAAGGGAAGGGAAGGGAAGGGAAGGGAAGGGAAGGGAAGGGAAGGGAAGGAAAGGGGAAGGGGAGGGGGCGGGGGAGGGGGAGGGGGAGGGGAAGGGAAAGGGAGGGCATTTGTTCCCTAGAGAACAGCTTGTTGAAAAGAGTCTGGCTTCCTTGGTTTCACTCTCTTGCTTCCTCTCTCACCATGTGATCTCTGTTCAAGCCAACTCCCCTTTGCTTTTTGCCATGGGAGAAGCAGCCTGAGGGCCACACCAGGTGCAGCCACCCAATCTTAGCCTTTTCAGTGACCATTATTGTGAGCCAAATAAATTTCTTTTCCTTACAAATTATGAAGCCTCAGGTATTCTGCAATAGCAACACTAAATGGACTAAGACACATGGCGAAGCTGGGTTTTGCCACTACATGACTGACAACAGAAGAAAATGAATTTAAAGCATATCTACTCAAAGTCATTTTCTGTAGCTTACAAACAAAAACAAAATACACAAAACTCCACTGTTGAAAGATCCTTAGGTCCAAATCATAATTTGTCAAATTCTATGGTCCAATGTCATCTGTTAAATAGAATTCAAGTTTTTCTGAGACAGTCTGAATGCTATTATATAATAAACATATTAACTTATAGTTATTATCCTTATAAAAAGGCCAGTTATCTTAATGAATAAGAGATTTGTCAGTGTTAACATTTATAAAAAGATTTCTTTGGGGACCTAATTATTTACAGTTACTATTCTGCTCCAATTTGCATCCTGAAGAAAGCATATATGTCCTCTAAATGGGCAACAAGGTCAATATCTAAATGTCATAATGCACATTTAGAAATGCCAGGAGCCTAACTTCTTTAAAATATTCTTAAGAATACAATTTTTTTTTTACTCTACAAGCTTTGCTTACTGTGCAAACAATTTCTAATGAGAAAAGTTAAGGAGATGGTAATAGAAGAAAATTGTGAAGGTCAGACTAATGTCCTCCATGCCTGAACAAACCAGCATTTCCCTCCTGGGTGGGAGAGAGCCTAAGGCTCCCAACCACAAGCTCAGGCTTAGATAGCTCAAGGGGAAAAAGAGGGTGAGGAGGAAGACTGCTGGCTCACACATCTAATATCCATCAATCCCCTGAACCACAAACAGTGATTTCAGTGCATCAGAAAATACAAAATAGCTCTTTCCCACAAAACAGGCAAAAGCAGTCTTGGAGACAGGGGTTAATCCACCCTACTCAGTAACATCTAACACTTTGAATGGCTCATAGTTTCTTTGTAACCCTCAGTAGTTCTCAAACTATGTTTCTATAGAGTAGCACCAGCAAAATGGAAGAGTGGTATTCTCTAATAGAAAAAATATTTACTGGTTTACACTCTTCAAATACAAGTTTTTCTAGGGCTTTGGTGCAAGCTCCCTGTTGATGAGTGACAGCAGATGGTAAAACAAATAACCAAGTAGCAAACTTTCATGGAAGGAAGCAGAAATATACTTTGTTAAAAATATATGGTATATATTAGTGAGATATAGAGAAGAGCCTACGTAGAATATACTCACATGATCTTCCAAGGAAACTACTCTTAACCATTAGATAAACCTCCAGAACAAGTTTGAGAACTGTAGTCTAGAGCATCAAAGGTACTTTAATTTACTAACCATCTGAATGTCTACTGTGTGCCTGGTCCAGTGTTGTGGAAACAATAATAGACAATCAGAGGCAGTGCCTTAAGGAGACTTAGAATCTAGTGAAACTTAAATGATGATAAAGCTAATGAACACTGAGTCTTGAAGCCACTTCAGCAAATCAAGCATCAGGGCAAAAGGGTTGACGTTAGAATGGAGGTGAGAGGCCGGGCGTTGTGTCTCATGCCTGCAATCCTAGCATTTAGGGAGGCCAAGGCAGGTGGATTGCCTGAGCTCAGGAGTTCGAGACCAGCCTGGGCAACACAGTGAAACCCCATCTCTACTAAAATACAAAAGATAGCCAGGTATGGCGGTGTGCACCTGTAATCCCAGCTACTCAGGAGGCTGAGGCAGGAGAATTGCTTGAACCGGGAGGCGGAGTTTGCAGTGAGCTGAGATCGTGCCACTGCACTCTAGCCTGGGTGACAGGCAAAACTCCATCTCTAAAACAAACAAACAAAAAAGAATAATGGTGGTGAGAAACTGGAGAGTTAGAGACAGATAAAAGACATTTTTCAAGGATAAAAGCAATCAAGAAGTCTTGGGTGTGGATTCAAAGTATGGAGTGAAAGAGATGCGGTAATCAAAATTATTACAAACTTGAGTCTGTGTGACAAGGAAAATGGCAGGTTTCTTTTTTTTTAATGAAGCCAGAAAAACATGTAATGTCTTTCATGAAGAGAGGCAATTCATGAGTTCAGATTTAGATATTTGAAGCTTGAGGTGAGACTGAAATAGAGAAGTAAAAATGTCTGGCCAGGGTTCACCCTGGAATGGGGCACTCTAAGTGTGTTCAGCAGAGAAGGGGGGTGAGATAATTATGATGGTGTACAGTGGCCACAGATAAGGTCATGTGGGCAGATTCTGCATCACTTTTTGCTTCGTTATGTGCTAGGCAACGTACCTAGAAGCTTCTCAGTATGTATGTTTTCAAGAGATGGATAAATGAGAGAAAGCACTAGACCCAAGAATGACTTCAATTCACCAGCCCTTACTACCCCAGAGTGGGTCTTCCAGGCAGTTTACTTACATTATTTTATTTAATCATCAAGGTCATCATATGAGACTAGCATTATTATATCTATTTCACCTAATAGGAGAAAGGGTAGTTAAATACTTCATCCATTCAGTCAACAAATATTTTTTAAACACCAAAGATGTGCTAGGTACTGTTGCAGGTGTTGGGAACAAAGCAGTGGATAAAATAAAGTCTGCCCTTGTGGAACTTATATTCTCACGGAAGGATAACAAAAAGAAATAAACCAGTGATTATCTATGGTGCACCAGATGCTAAGTATTATGGAGAAAAAGAAAGCAAGGCAAGAAGAACAGGACATGCAGGAGAATGGCCCAAGCTCACACTGCTACAAAGTGTCAAAGTCTCCTAGAGATCATGAGAAACAGAAGGCGAGAAAAGAAAAGGCCACTGGACTGAAAAAGATAAAGGTCATAGTAGAAGAGGAAAAATAAATGAAGCTTTTCACTGGAGTTTAGCAATGAATGATGGAGAACTGGAACAGTAGCTAGCCATCTCAAACTCCCTTCTTTTTAAGATCCTTAACGATACTGCTTGAACCATTTACAATCTTTCCTGGAAGCTGGCCTACACACAAAAACTCGGTCACACTGAACACTCCCTCCAATTCTCTTGCCGCCTGTGTCCAAAACAATAATAGGAAAGTAACTAAGCAAATATATATCAAATGCATGCTTTTAAAGGGGACCAAAATGAGTCAGCCAGTCATAGTACTGTGCTAACTCCAGTGTAAGCTTGTCCTCTAGCCCAGGTCCTGGCAATGAGAAATGCAGCCTGCACTCCTCAGAGCCCAATTATGGCCCTCAGTAGTGATGAGCATGTGATATCTCCAACCATCACCACCACTACTACCACCATGACTATCACCACCATTCACCAACATCATCACCCACCACCACCACTACCACCACCACCATTACCACCACCATCACCACAACCACCACAACCACTGCCATCACCTCCACAATCACCATCATCACCATCACCATCACCATTGCCACCATCACTACCACCACTGCCACTACCATTGCCACCACCACTGCCACCACCCACCAGCATCACCCCCATCATCACCCCCACCACCACCACCAGCACCACCAACCACCATCACCACCACCAGCACCACCAACCAGCATCACCATCACCACCACCAGCACCACCATTGCCACTGCTGCCACCACTGTATAATTCAAAGTAAAAAATACTTCTCAACAGAGAAATGCAAAACTTAATTTTGTGCTGATATGAAAAGAGCTTTTCCCTGGATTCAAACTGCAAACTTGTGGATAGCCTATGACTACAAACTTGTGGATAGCCCACTGAAATACAACTTTTCTAAAAATGTTTGATGTTCCCACTTTGCTGGAACCCTAAAGCTCGTGCTGAGTCAGCCTGTAGGGTCATCTTCTAGTGGCCTCCTCGCAGGAGGTGTACTGGAGTTCAAAACAATAAACCCAACTAAGCATTAAGATATTTTTCTTGGCCTAAGGACAGTGTCAAACTGCAGGATGTGATAATTTGTGAAAACGCCACATTTTAGCTCACAGTTGTATATTTACACCAATGTTTGAACTATCTATAATTAAATTAGCAGAGGAAAGTGTTTCCTATTTCAGTGAAAAGCTTCCCCATCTTGCCAATGGCTCATGGAAGACAACGGACAGCTATCTAACGCTTTTCTTTCCCTTAAGCCCAATAACCAAGTTATTAACAAGCCTCTCAATTTCTTATCCCAAATCATGTTTGTGTCTGTCCCCTCCCCTCTATCTCTACCACTGCCATCTGGGGCCAAGCCACCAGCACCTCTCATCTGAACTACCTGAATGACAGTAGTTTCTCCCTGGTCTCCCTACTTCCCCTCTACCCTCCTCAGGCCACCGTTCACACAAGATCTTTCACTACCCTTCTGCACACTATACTTAAAATAAAACTCAAAATTCCGAGAGTACTGTATGACACCCTGAAGGATTTAGTATGTGCCCACTCCTCAACCTTAGCTTGCATCATTCTCCCTCTCTGAACTCCAGCTACACTGGCATTCTTTCCGTTTTGTGGATGCACCATGCTCCTTTCCAGCGCAGGCCTTCACATGTGCCTGTAATGCTGTTCCCTCTCCACTTTCTCTCCTAAGTAACTCATTCATACTTTAGATGCTAGATAGCTCCCAGTCAGGTCTCCCTTTCTTATATATGTTCTCACTGTATTCTGATCTTCTACTTTCTGCTATGCAGCAGGTCTCAGTTCTTAATCATGTATTTGTGTAATTATTTGATTGTTTCTTTCTCACGATGGTGAGCACTGTGGAGCAAGGACCATAGCAGCCTTGCTTAGCATTTTATCTCTAGGGCCAAGTCTGGCATATGACACACAGTAGGCACTCATATGTTTGTAAATAACGTATTCATCCTAGGGTTATGGGCAGCTGCCAATTCTTATATATTTCTGAGTGTGTAAAGTAATGATAACTGATGCTCCCTCTTCCACCTATAGCATGCTAGCAGAGCCTAGAGGATGGAATGACTCTCATTCCCATAACAAATGCATTTCTTCCCTGAAGAGATCTATGAAAGATTAATTAGTAGCTTTTGAACCCATGACCTAGAAAACCTGGGCAGAAAGAGTAAAAAGAGAGCATCCAACACACTTTTCAGAATACTTCACATAGAATCAGAGCCTTAGAACTGAGCAGTGCTGACTCCCATCACATCTTCAGAATTCAGGATATTCCACTGCATAAAAAATTGAGCCTCTCTATGAGAAGGCAATACTTGGGATACACTAATGTATACCCGGATGACTGCTGGCTGGCTGTATGACTGGTGTTTCCTGAAACTCTTTTGAAAACAAAAGGTATATCCCAAGAGGACAACCCTCTGAGCAAAACATGTTTTATATACAAACAATAGCTCTATATGCAGACACAGACAAGATGCCAATAAATTCCAGTAATATTATTAGAAACAATAACAGCCCTTAATACCAGTAAATAGAAAGTTCCTTTCTCTAGAGAGTCGAAGCCACATTGAAGACATTCTCTTATTGGTTCTTACCAAATGTCTGCTAAAGGACTGAGGTCAAATATTAAGCAGCCAACTTCAAAGACTAAAAAAAAACCAAGCCACAGTGTTCAAAATTATTCCCCGAGAGACTACTGAAAGAAAACAAAACTCGAAGTCCATGGATGTTCAGAAACTGACTTCCCAACCCATGTATCCACTTGTCCAGGCCAATGAACTCCCAAGGATGCTTCAGCTAGAAACAGAACACTGATCCCCAATGGTATACCCTCCCAGAAGCCAACTTCCCCAACCACCACCTCCCACCTTGTACTTCTCTGAAGATTAGAATCAGCCAGTATTATTAAAACAGAGATTCCTGGGCCACAACCCAAACCTACTTAATCAGAATTTCCAGAAAAGTAGGATGATGACATATAGTTAAGAAGCACTCTAGGGGATTCCTAATTGGGGAACGCTATCCTAAAGGTCCAAGTGCAACAGCCTGGGAGGACACCAGTGGCTAAAACGTGCAAGGGAGGAACTTCTTTGAGTATAGGAGTGACATGGTGTTTCTGGCCTGGTCCCCCAGGGAACACATTCCCAAAGAGAGAAAGGCTGTGCCCCTCAAAACACCATGAAAAACTTCAAATACAGGGCAGCCCAGCTGTCCTGGAAAAGGTACCACTTCTCACTTTGGTGAGCTGGAACAGACACCAGAAGCAGCCAAGACCACAGCAATGCCCAGAGAATGGGTGAGCAGTGAGTCAGGTGCACAGGGCCAGCTTCAGAATTGGCAGAGTGGAGGTAAAGTAGACATGGGTGTGGTTTAAAAGACACTGTGAACCATAAAGAACACATTTTGGATGGAATATTGAGGACACAGGATCCAGCAGGTGAATGAGTGAGAGCAGAGGCCCCAATAAGACATTATTAGGAGTAATAATTATAGCAGCACCTGGTTTGCTGAGCAGGCTACAAGGCACTTTGCTTTCATCACCTCATTCATTCCATACACTTAGTAAATACATTCCATACACTTAGTAAACAATGATCAGACACCTGCTCCATGTGCCAGGCAGTGCTCAGCCCAGGAGACGAGTGGTTGTAACCAATACTTCAGCTCCAAGGACACTTCTGCCCACCTCAAGCCTCTGCCAAGTTTCTTCATTCTTCTGCCTCAAAGTTTTTTGCCAGACAGGGCTCATTCCCTCAGCCTGCATGTGTGGCAGATTTAACTCCCCTGGGAGCAGCCCGCAGCCGGAAGAGAAGGTGGGGTGTGTGTGTGTGAATAAATGCTGCAGCCCTTTCCTCAACTTTCAGAGGGATAAGTCTGAGATACTGCCTACACAGTTCCTCAGAGAGACCCCAGTTGCTCAGAGTGGCAACCTACCAAGTAACACACCTGTTGTGGGCTCTTCCTCCTTCCCTAGATCCTGCTTCCTGGGACCACCTTCCTGTACCCAGCTCCTCCTATCTATCAGAATCCACCTTCAAGAGGAACCTCAAGTAAGAAAGCGGTGACAAAGTCGACACAATCTCTGTCTTTTGGAGCTTACAGTTGGGGGAAAGAGAAAAACCTCATCACACAAATGAAGATTTAGATCAGGGACAGATGCAGTGAAGGGCACAGAGTGTCACAAGTGATGGGCTGGGGGGTGGGGGTGCGGAATTTAAACGACAGGTGAATAGCTGATGAATATTTGTAACTACGTATCACACTGGCTTCTGTGATATTACAACTGATACTCAGACTTGCAACACTTTAACTTTTAAAGTATCAATCAGGTTAGCTCTTGGAACACAAGAATATTTTTCAAGGCACAGGGGATTTGAGTAGGCATTAATATTAATCAAGCCTAAATGCTGCCTGTTCCCTATTCAAGATTTTCTTTCTCTCCCAAAAGGAAAGAGTCATGAGTCTCTATCCTTCACCTGTCATCTTCCCTCCATCTTCATTGTCACCAGCACCTCCCACAGGGATGATATATTAGCTTCCAAGATGTACCCCTGAGTACAACACACTACAGTATAGTGTACAACACACAGTACCCAGAGTGATCGTTTAATGTCAATCTGAGTCTGTCACTCCTGTTTATAACCTCCAGTGGTTTTCTTCTAGACTTAGACAAAATCCAAGGATCAACACCCAGGCTACCAGGCCCCATGCAGCGTGTCCACCACCAACTTTTCTGACATCATCTGGTACATTCTCTCTGCAGTTCAGCACACTCCAGCTTTACTTGTCTTTGCTGATGCGACTTGACACAAGATGAACAGAACCTGGATCAGTGTCGGTCTGAGGAGCAAGGGTGAGTTAATGATCAGGGAGGCAAGTTGGAGGAGCCCTGGTCTTTCCATGTCTTTGACTCAGTTAAGTTTGGCAAGCCACACCAAGCCTTTCTGACCCTTAAAATTGGTTCTTAGTCCTCTTGCTCCATCAGCTCCAGGTTCTTCCCATGCCCCCATGTCACCCAACACTATACTGATTTCATCTGTTCAGCATTTTTCATCTCCAATCCACTTCTTCTGACATCAACCTCCCTTTCCCTTGGGAAACTAGCTTTCCACAATTCTACATGAAAGGGTAAACATGTGGCCTGAACTAGGCCAGTTAGTTCCTTTCTCCCTGAAGTCAAAACTTGAGGGGGAATGAAAAGCTGTTGTATTAGCGTGGGATCATCCAGTGATAACACCTCAGAGAAACATGTCCCTGTCATTGTGATTCCAGAAATCCATGGACTAGGCCTGGTTCTTATCCTTCCCAAAGCATATTTGCCCTTAGTTCAATTTTTTAAGCTAAGCAATAGCCTTCATTTAGATTCCTTTCCTTGCCTGAATCAAACACAGTTAGTTTCCATTGTTTGCAGAGAATACCAACTACATTACCAAGAAACAACCACTTGTCATGCAATAGCCTGGGTCTCCTTTGTTGCACACGAGCAAGATCAGCAAGACTGGCAGTAATTACACATTGAAAATGACCACTTTCTTGATCCCCACTTTTCCAACCATGACTATTCATGGCCAACTAGGGCCACTTTGTCATGTACAACCCCTTTAAAAACCTTTTTGAAATTGTCTGAATCACATGTCCAAGTTGAGCAAGCGAGTCCAAATCACTGGAATCTCAACTGGCAATTCAGTTGAGATTGAGTTGGGAAACCAACTTGTCCAAGGTATGCATAGTTTTTGGTTCAACTAGAGGGAAGCTAAGGTCTAGCTTAAAGATGTGCAGAAAAACAGATCTATGAAGGTAACCTGGGCTCTGTGCAGGATGGATATGGAAGCACAAGAATTTAGCCAGTGTACACAAAAGCAAACTAGAGCTTGTAAAGGACCAGGTACATAAAGGACCATAATGAAATATGGCCAAGAGAGGCGTGAGATTATAGAGGGCAAACCAGAATTCCATGGGATTGCTTATCTAAGAATCAATAAGCAGAAACTTTACTAAACTACTGAACCTATGAGTTCAGCACTGTGCTGAAAACTGCACAGTCAAAAGAATTACAGAAAATAGGCATATATCCTATTTGAAGAGATAAACCAAACTCTTTTAATACTAGTACCATGTGTCTAGTTACATTGAACATGTTCTAACTACAGAGATCAACATGGGCTATTGAGAAAGGAGAAGGTGCATGAAAAGCTGGGAGAGAGCTGGGCTCTGAGATGAGATTAAAATTTAGATAAATGGTGGAGAGAAGAGAGAACACTAGCAGCAAGATAGATGTATTGGCAAGCCATAGATCAATACTGTGGAGCTAAGCAAAAACCTTCATGGAGGAAGGATCTCCTCTCTTATGGAATAGCAACATTAATCTTCCGAGCCCCTGCTGTGGGCCAGACCCTGAATGAAGCTGAACATGCAGTTCATTTAATCCTTGCGACAGTAGCTCTGGGAAGTAGATATTTTCATTTCCATCACACATCTGAAGAAATCAAAGCCCAGAGAGGTTAGGGAATCTGTCCAAGGAAGCAACAAAGCTGGAACTAGCATCCAGGTCTGCATACTGCCAAGGCCTTTCCTCTTTACACTACAGTATCTTGGATATTTCCTAGGCCCTTCCCAGGGGCTCTATTAATGTGTTTTTAGATTTATTCAATAGGCTGGGTTTGGCCAAAACTGTTTTCTTGTGTTGGTGCTAAACTTAAGGCACTAAGAAGACTTCAACAGCTGTCTTATTCCTGCATCTACCCCTTCTCAATCTTTCTCCCCTTGGACCCCACCCCCACTTAAATGGGTCTTGATATTTCCCTTGTCCCTGCATCTGCAGGATCATCAGAGTGCTCTTGATAAGAATTCTGTGCTACTGGACCCCTGAGAGGCTTGGCATGCTGCTCAAGAGTATAAGAAGAGACTTTCTACTGAGGCAAATGCTGAAGAAAAGAGGCATCTATGATACAAATTATGGCTTTAAACATTATTTAAACCTATAAAATCATCTGTAGTATTTGGTTTCTGATCCCAAGTGACCTAAACCACAAAGGCTGTAAGTGTCACTGAAAATTCATTTTAAGTTTTCCCAGTTAACAAAAATAAAAAATAAATCTGTTCTCTCCTAATATTCTGCTAATAGTCATGTCTGTCCCAAAGTAAGATTCAATTGTTACTAAATAAATAAAGCCAGAGAAACAGTAGGTACTATTATTTGTCTTGCAAATAATATAAACTTATCACTTTCTGCCAATTACAAGCTTAATAGGGGATCGCTAGCAGGGAAACTTGGAAAGTAAAAGCACAAAAAATATTTTTTTAATCACCTGTAATTCATCTCCCCCCAAAATTACCACCACTAAAATATGGATTTCTGTCTTGCTAGTATATGTTTCTGTAAATAATTATATATTAAGCAAAAATAAGAACATCTTGTGATACTGTTATGTAACTGCTTTTTTCCACTTAGATCATGTCCCCATGTTAATAAAGACTCACATAAAACATGGTTTTAGATAAGGTATCTATCATGAAATTTAGTGGGGTTTTTTTTGTTTTTGTGTTTTTACAGGGTGATGGTATGTCCCCTAGGGGCCATGTAGAAAATCTGGGGGCTATTTGTGATTATTACAGAAGCTGGAGTTGTCTACTGGCATTCTGTGGGCTAGAGCCAAAGGTGTCAGAGTCCCTGACATGAATGAGGCATCCCACACAACAAAGAATTTTTCCATCCCCCACATGACTTCCAAATGTCCTCTGGGAATGCTAGAGCCAGAAGCACTTTGCCCTTAGCACAATGTGAACTAGAACACCATGAAGGCTAGTGGATGAAACAGAAATATCTAGTAAATACACAAGGAAGGGGAAGAGATTAAACTGGATTGTCTCCAACATTCCACCCAGAGCCACCATCCTATGATTCCAACACATACAGAAATCCAGCCACATGACTTTTATCTAGTTCTCTCAAAGTTACTAGTTGTGTATTATATTCCTATCTTCTTCCATGATCGGACAACTGAAAATTGTATATCTCTTTTTTTCTTTTAACAAGGTCTCACTCAGTCATCCAGGCTGCAGTGCAGTGGCATGATCTCAGCTCACTGCAACCTCTGCCTCCCAGGTTCAAGAGATTCTCATGTCTCAGCCTCCCAAGCAGCTGGGATTACAGGTGTGTGCCACCGTGCCCAGCTAATTTTTGTATTTTATTTTTAGTACAGATGGGGTTTCACCATGTTGGCCAGGCTGGTCTCAAACTCCTGGCCTCAAGTGATCTGCCCGCCTCAGGCTCCCAAAGTGCTGAGATTACAGGCATGAACTGTAATCTCAGTGTGCCTGGCTAAAAATTTATATCTTAAGTTTCATTACAGTTAGCTACTCCAAATCCTATGCCTAGACAACTTTGACTTTTAAGCACAAACCAAGAAAACTATAATGGATGCACATAAAGATATTGTTTTTAAGATGTTTACTACAGCAATAAATACAAATATAAATCCTATAAGTAACTGCAATATCAAATACTTTAGATTTCATTACATAAATGATGGTATATCCACAAAAGGAAATAGAGTCATGTATCCCTTAGTGACGGGGATGTATTTTGAGAAATGCATCCTTAGGCTATTTCGTTGTTGTGCAAACACCACAGAGTGTACTTACAGAAACCTAGATGGTATAGCCCACTACACACCTAGGCTATATGGTATAGTCTAATGTTTCTAGGCTGCAAACCTCTACAGCATGTTACTGTACTGAATACTGTAGACAACTGTAATACAGTGGTATTTGCATATCTAAACATACAAAGGTACAGCAAAAATATGGTATTTTAATCTTATAGGACCACCATCATACATGTCCGTTGTTAACTGAAATGTTATTATGTGGTACATGACTGTATTTTACAGCCATTACGTATGTTATAGTGTATTTTATGATATGGAAAAGAGAATATTAAGCAGGACAAACAAGTTACATAGCAATGTAATATAATTATGTATAACACAATGTAATATACAGCAATGTATAATATAATGTAACATAAAGCAATGTAATTATGTATAATATATTCTTAGAGACAAATTTATAAATATGTGTATGTATGTATACATCTATCTATCTAATCCCAAAAATGTTTTAACCTAGCATTAATAATATAAGAAAAAATACATATGGAGGGTTGAGTAGGAGCTCTGTGTGTATGTGTATGTCACTATACATAATGTGTGTGTGTGTGTGTGTGTGTGTGTGTAGTATTTAATGTAAATCTTGAAAAGGAATACCTCATTGACAAATAACTATAACAGAAATATGGGAGTAGCCACGACTTCATTGGGAAGCTGAAGAGTAAGTTAAAGATTAGCCCCATTCTAGTCGCCTCAGGCACACTGAACACTTAACCAGCTGGTCAAAGTTCTAAATTAGGTTTAAATTTATACATTCTCTGTCTCCTATAATCATTATTGAAATTTCTCTTAAACCTATTTTATGTTAAGCCAAGAAACTTTCCAAGATGTTCAGATGTTAAGGACAAAGTTTCCTGTTTGGTCTCCTAGAAATATCATTTCTAACAAAGGGCTATAATGATACCAAAGCTTGCAAAACATGTTTCTTATAGAAATTGTATGTTAGAATATTTGCTATGGAAAATTAAATTTGTTCAATTTAGCCATAAATGAACTCACCAACCTTGTGATAATTAACCTACTGCTTATTACTCATCTTACTGGTCTTATGTAGAAAAGCACACTGCTATACATGATTATTGTATAATCATAATGCATTCTTGTCTAGCTTTCTATTCTATGATCTGCTTGATGTAAATAGTGCTTCTTTTTTTTTCTTTTATTATTATTATACTTTAAGTTTTAGGGTACATGTGCACAATGTGCAGGTTAGTTACATATGTATACATGTGCCATGCTGGTGTGCTGCACCCATTAACTCGTCATTTAGCGTTAGGTATATCTCCTAATGCTATCCCTCCCCCCTTCCCCCACCCCACAACAGTCCCCAGAGTGTGATGTTCCCCTTCCTGTGTCCATGTGTTCTAGCAGATTTAAAGCCCAATGCATCCAGAAGCCCCTTTCATACACAATTTCTCTTTATAACGTTAAAACAATAGCAACAATATAAGAAAGTGCCTTACCATGGTAATAGTGGTTATATCTCGGAGGTAAGATAACAAGTCATTTTTACATCCTTGGGATTCTCTATATTTTCCAGTGTTTCACTTATTTGATTATTAGTAGTAGTGGTAGTAGTAGCATTTTGAATGAGAGAATGTTTCTAAGTTTCCCTTTTATCCTTATGCCAAATTATCAGTGAAAGTGCTAACAATTTATCAAATGACCAAGGGTAATCTCCTTTAAAAAAACAACAAAAAAGGAAAATTTCATTTCCAAAATAATCAAGTGTGAGCTCTTTTTTCAATCAGCAGTTCACGGACTGGGTGTGGGATTTTTGTGCTCTACAGCAGGGGAGGGGGAATTATTTTTATCTGTATCTTCAGGAGCTCGTATTCTTTAGCTATAGCCTTCCCATGTCTAATGTTTTAAATATCTAGAGTGTTGAGCATTTTCAATGTTAGAGCCAGAAGAAGCTCCAGAAATCATTTGACCCAAATTCCTTATGTTAGAGGAGGGGGCCCAGAAATTTGAGTGAAATGACCATGGTCACCTGAGAGATGTGAGATAAGACCCTGGATCTCTTCATTTGAATGTTCTTTCCTTCCACCAGGTTGTTTCTGCATCCACGGAGGGAGGCAGTGGGTGTGGGCAGTGAAGGAGAGCCCTCCTTTCCAGCTCCCTTTCTATGTGGGATACTCAACATGAACTAGGTCAATACCCACTCATTATCCAACCGTATACCAGGGAGTCTCAAAGCACTGTGAAGGCAAGCTGTTTTTTATCTCTACCTCATCCCTGCTCCCCTTTTAAAAGAAACAAAACAAAACCCTAGGAGCACACTAATGAGGAAGGAGAAGAAGATCCTAGAAATATGCAGAGATCAGGTACAGTCCAAGAAGGGAGATATGTCTTTTGTATTATTAATACTAAAAATCTCAGTGCTCATTCTCTTATTCATTCTGTCTCTGTTTAGCAGAACTCATTAAGACTCTGCTTACGTCTATGAAAAACATTTAAGTAAGAAACAATTAGCTATTCAAACACACACACACACACACACACACACACACACACACACACACACACATTGTCTATCTCAAAAACAAAAGATGAAAGGATTTATCCCCCATAGAAAAGTTGCTGCCAACAAAACTTCCTCTTTCTATAAAGCAACAAAGCCCACAGCTTTCTCTTTCATCTGGAATGTCAAAAAATAGTGGAGGCCATCCAAGGCCATTATCCTTGCTAAGGATCTTCAACCTCCTGCAACATGGGAATCTGGATGAAGAGGCCAATGAACTGGAACTTACAATGTAACCACCAACCTAATTAACAGTAAGACAATGCTATAGAATAACTCCTGTTTACACAGACAAGGTCTTTAACAACATTAAAGGTTTAATGTCGTCATAAATTTTAATACAATATTTTAAATATAAGTGAGTTAATCATTCTCAAAAGTAAATTTACTTAGCTTAGTAAGAATTCCCCAACTGCATTAATATTCTCTTACATTCATAAATTTCCCTTTGTCATATCTGAGGGTTTACAGGATTGGCAGCGGCTTTAGCTTTAAAAATCAGTCAAACTAATGCATATTCATTAAGTGGCAACTCCATACAGATTGATGGTACTAATCTTGGTTCTATTAGTAAGGGAAGAGAGAACTTGAGCAAATCACAGCCTCACTGGGTGTCAAAGAAGAAAAAGATAGTTGTATTAAATGATTACTAAAGTTTCTTCCAGCTCTAACTAACTGCAGTTCTTTAATTTTACATGTTTTGAAAATACCAGGTATTGAGGAGTATGCAGAGTAGTATAATAACCCAACCCTTCCACTCATGCAATGGAAGTCCATATTAAAATGAAAACATGTCATCTGGGGAAAAGATGGCATTAAGACAATATCAGCCATCACCATATGATAAGACATTTTCATCCAGGAGGACTTAGCTCCAGGGAGCTACAGAGTCCCCAGGAGCAGCAGTTGCCAGGAAGAAAAGGATTGAAGCAGGCATTATAAATCAAATGCCTATAGAAGCTTGGCAAAGAGCATAAATAAATGAGGAGAGCTGGGTAGGAATTGTGAAAAAAATTGAAATCTACTCCTCAGCTCCAGCTAGTTGTTGCCTTGGAGGAATGTAGGCCCTGGGTTATCCCTCCTTTAGACTCTTCCAAAGAAAGCCAAAAATCTGTAAAAACTCTTGATTTTAAAATGTTGATTCAAAATAGTTTAACTTTGTACAAGCCAAATATGTCTCCACACCAGATACACCTGTAGGACACCAAATTTGAGGCCTCTAATGTGTGGCACTGTAAGGCCAAGGAATATAATATAGGGAAGGGTGGGGCATGGCAAATGGGAGGAAGGGTGCAGTGAAAGAAGATGGAAGTGGCTTTAACTGTATCTGAGGTTGGCTCTGTTAAGGGAAATCAGAAGAGCAAGCCAGCTTGGAAGTAGAAAGACATTAGGACAAGGGTTCTGTTAAAAGAAAATCTTTAGCTGAATTAAATTTAAAAGGGTTTAATTGAGCAAAGAACAATTCGTGAATCAGGCAGCCTTCCCAGACAGAGTAGGCTCAGAGACTCCAGCACAGCCACATGGTGGAAGAAGAGTTATGGACAGAAAAAGGAAAATGACATACAGAAAATAGAAGTGAGGTGCAGAAACAGCCGGATTCGTTACAGCTCGGCGTTTGCCTTATTTGAACATGGTTTGAACAGCTGGCCACCTTTGGCCACAACTTGGTAATTGGCACAAAAGTAGGCTACAGTTTGTATACAACTCCATTTAGGTTATAGTTCACAATGTACAGAGAAACCTTTAGGCTGAACTTAAAATATGTAATGAGGCAGCTTTAGGCCAACCTTGATTTAACAGTTCTGAATCTTCTCTGGAGTCATGTGTTTTCGAACTTGGAGGTAGAAAGACATTAGGACAGGGTTTCTAAATATTTTCTGGGGTTATATGTGCCATATGAGAGTCTGATACATGTTTTAGAGATTTTCACTAGAAAAAAATAAACATACATGTAGTGGACAGAATAATAGCTCCCCAAAGATGTCCATGTCTTCATCATTGTCGCTCCTCTGCCACCTTACCTTATGTGACAAAAAGGACTGTGAAAATGTAATTAAGGACCTCGAGATAGGGAAATTATCTGAGTGAGCCCAATCTATTCACATGAATCCTTAAAATCAAAAAATGTTTCCCAGCCATGATCAGAGGGAGATGTGACTACGGAAGAATGATCAGAGAGATGCAATGTTGGTGGCTTGAAAATGGAGGAAGGGACCATAAGCCATGGAATGTGGGCAGCCTCTGGAAACTGGAAAAGGTATGGAAATGGATAGATTCTTCCCTAGAGCCTCTAGAAAGGAATGGAGCCCTGCCAACACCTTTTTTTTTTTTTTTTTTTTTTTTTTTGGCCCAGGGAGACATATGTAGGACTTCTATCCTACAGAACTATGAGATAATAAATTTGTGTTTAAAGCCACAAGTTTGTGGTCAGTTATTACAGTAGCAATAATAGAGTATATATACACAGAAACTTGGGCAAACACATTCATAGACCTTCCTGAGTCTCATCCTCATAAATACATAAAGGCTCCTTGTGCTCAAAAGAGCCCAATATACAACATGAGGACTCTGAGAGCTGTAGGTATGAAATTATTTGGCATTCGTGAAAAGATCAATGCCCATCTCATGACCTCAATCCGCTCCAAAATCTCACCTCTACAAACATGGATTCATTTTCTGAAGACTGACTACTCCTTCGAGTCTCACCAAAATGATGTGTGACCCCAAGGAGTAAGGTGGCCTCTTGCTACAGAGAGATCTTTCTTCCTTTTCTTACAGTGTTCATTATATTAATAGCATTCTCCCCAGCCCACTGCCCCAAAGAAGGTGGTATTTTACAACTGCTGAGACTTAGCCTGGCTTATTCTTTCACTCTGAACCAGACCTAGGTCTGGAGTGTCCCATTACAGTATCATGTCTCTATCAAGATTCTATTTGGCATGATATGTCCAAACCTGGCCAGACGCCTGCTTAAAACAGAAGAGGAAGGTTATCAGGAATGTGAGCTACCTGATTCAAAGTTGTTTTTAGCCTCGGATCTCATTTCACTAGTTCATCAAATTTCACAATCCCTGTAATATTTTGAGATGGATTTTTTTAAAGTTCCATTAGAATGTCCCTTGGTGATGTCACCATGGTTGTGATAAATAACTGTAGTTTAAAGGTTACTTAACTAAGAGTACTAGACATAACTGCCCTCACAGCACTCCTGATATGTGACTTATCACCAGATCCTGCGATTGCTGACAGCGGTGCACAGAACAGTCTGGAATGTTGCTAGGTCAGAAAGCTCAATTCTGTGAAAGTGGGACATGAAAGATGGGAGATGGGGAGGCGAAAAAGACAACAAGGTATTTAGGATCCTATGAAGGTTTGCTAAGAGGCAGAGGAAGAGAAATACAAAATGGGATACACAATGGTTTTAAGTTTACTGAACATCAAGCATCTTTGAGAAGGTTAATTGCTAACGCCATTTTCCCCTGTTGGTCTCTGTTAAATATCTACCCCTACAGGACCACCATACATTCCATACACAAGCATGAATGACTTTTTTTTGGTTTTTATTTGTTTTGTTTTGCTTTTATATTATTTTGAAATATGCATGGGAATAATAGTTGACTTTCTTCTTTCTGAGAGAGACAGTCATCAGGCTGGTGGGCCACTGACTAAATTGATTCCAGTAGCCAAAAAATAGCTTTCTTACAATAATACCTCAAAGAGGAGGGAGAATGTCCTGATTACTGGAGAAATTACAAGGCTGAATCCAACAGGTATTACCTGAGGTCAGGTAAGAGTAAACACATAAAAGAAGTCAGCTTGTGAAGAGGGTTATAAAAGGTGCCCATGAATCTGCCTGGATAGGGAAGCACCTTACCTTTGAGGTCCCCTCCAACCTTTTGAGGTTCTATTATTCTAAATTTAGTACATTGGATATTTAAAAGTACAACTGCATAGCACAGCCAATCTTCTCTGTAGTTGTTGATTTAGACTGTGCTGCCTTAGAAAAACAATTCTAAAGGTCAGGCTCAGAAGCACAGCCCTCCCTTTCCACTGAGTGAGGGCTATGATTACACTGTACACAAGATCCTACAAAGACAGCTGACACAACTAGCGGTTGAATTCTTTCTTCTGTTTATTTCCAGAAGAGACTTTCCATAGACAGCTGCAATGCCAGGCTCCCATCAGAATGTCATGCCAACCTTTCTGCAGGCTGCTTTCCACCCACATCCTTGCCCTGGATCCAGGGCTGTCTCCAGCAGGTCTAGCAGGCTAGAGAGGCCATCCTGGGGCTATGTCAGGGCTAAGGTCACTGGAAGACACTCGGGTCAGCACAGAATCTGCACCTGCCATGCTGCAATCAGACATTTGTGGGTTCAAATTCTGGCTCAGTCCTTTTCACTTGTGCAACATCAGGCAAGTGCCTTAATATGTTTCAGACTATGAGTACACAGCTTTACGAGAAAGTAGAGAAGGCTAAATGAGAGACTACGTAAAAATCAGTTGCTATGGTGCCTACATGGTCATCACAAATTTATCACTATCACAAAGGAAAATCTAATTCCCTCTAGCATAGAATAAAGAATAAGAATAGATGAAATCAGCATTCCTCTCCAAGGGCAGGACCTGTCTCCACTTCCCCCTGAGCCTTAAGGTAGATTATTTTCAAATGGAAGACAGAGAAAGTAGGTCATTTACATTTATCTTAAACTCACTCAGCGATTCCTCTTCTAGGCCCCTTTAAGCAGCTTTTCTGACTATAAGGAATGCCAGCAAAAGTCAGAAAGCCTTGCCTCTTGTGTGGGAGTGGCAAGCACACAGCATTTCTGAGAAAGGAACCACAAGCACAGAATAGCTTCTGATAACAAAGGGCCCACCTTGGTTGAAGTCGCACTGTTTCTTGGCACTTGAAGGCATTGTTTTGTGGACTCTCATGAGCTGGTGTTCCTGCTCTCACCTGACACTCTGACTGGCTGGATACCACATGCTCTGTCTCCTGCAAGAAGAAAGAGCAAAAGTAGATGAGCTGTCAACAGCAATCAGTTCCATAGCATTATTATGCTGGAAGTGGGTCTCGGGGCAGGGAAGCAGCAATGCATAACACATTCTGCTGATTGTAGTGTGGGAAGGGAGCCAATTCACTGGTCCAAAATTTTAAAAGCTTCTATCAGTCAGTTGCTGCAAGATTACAGAATAAAGACAAAAATCATAATAATAAATCTTATGTCCAAAAGATATGGTATAGCCATATAACAAGAATTTTACAGACATTAAAAATGATGTCATGGAAGAATATTGGATGAATAGATACATCTGAAAAGATAATTCATAGAAGAATATTTATACTATAGGCTTATTTATGCAAGAATAAACATATGTATGAATGTTCACACATACTCACACACACACACACACACCCCACACACATGAGATTGGAATAAGTTGAACCAAAATCTTAACTGTGACTAATTCTGAGACATCATGTTTATTTATTTTTGGGAGCCCATATATATTTTCTAAGTTTTCTACAATAAACATTATTTCTATAATAAAAGAAAAATTTAAGTTCATCTAAAAACTAAAGAACAAATCATTTTTATGAATTCCAGATCTCAAGAGTCCTTGATATCTCTCCCCTCATCCTGCCACCACCCCCTCATACACACACACTATTGCCATTGGCCACATTGCATCTAAAGAAACCACAATGTGGGTTATCCATGATGCAATTGCTCATTAACTTAGAAAAACTCCAGAGTGCTAAACACTCTACAGAATAAACACAATAAACACACCAAAACTAAAACTAATCTGGATTCAACACAAAGACATGCATACATAGCAAAAATAAAAGATTTATATATATCCAACAGTTCCACTACTATCATCTTTGAGCCATGTCAAACCTCTAATTGAAAAACTTTCTTTAGAATAAAATAGCCCTTCTTTAACCTAATAAATGAGATACTAAAACAAAAATCTGCGAGAAATTCAGTAGCTCCAGGTGGCTACCATCATACAGGCAAATTATTCAAGCAATGCAGTGAATTTGGGTCTTCTGCTGCAATATATTATGGTCACAATAGAGACCCAGCTCCTCTATTAAGGGTGTGGGTTGAAGTCAGTACAAGTGTCAATGTGTCAGGTGTCTTAGAAATCATGTTTCCAGCACACTAGAAAAACATGGTGAGGCTTTTTGCCAAGAAGTCATCATCACAAGCCTCTACAACAAAATCATATGAATGCCTTCATACAAAAGGGGTAAAATGGGAACAGCTGGGCAGAGCTGTGGGAAAGAAAATAATTAGCCCTATCAAGATCCTCTCTTTAATTCTTTGAAGCCTCCAGCTTCAGATAAGAAGACACTCCACATGAAAAGTTTCCATTAGTATGCACTAGTCCCCTAGACTTCGTAGTTGCTTGAGAAAAATTCTACAGCTACCAAAATACTGGTCAAACTCTCTCACACAATGGTTTTCACGTGAGACAGAATTCTGCTTGCTACTTGCTCAGTGTATGACCTTGGCCAAATTACATAAGTTATCTGGGCTCAGTTTCCTTTTCTGTAAAATGAGAATAATACCATCAATTCCACAAGTGCCTGCCAATTGGAGGCACACAGCAGATATGAACTACTACTGATAACAATATTGCTTTTATAAAAATTTTCTTAAAGCTCAATATTCTGAACCTAGTGCTCAGTTAATCCTTGCAGAATTAACCCAAATGAGTTCAGCAAAAGAAAACTTATTTTTGTGGTGGAATGCTTATTTCACATTTCTATACTAATAGCAATATTATTTTAAATATTATATTTAGAAGCCTCAATATATGTAGGCATTAAGAAATGGCCCCTCTGAACTCTAAAAGGTTTAAATCAAAAATGCCCATTTTATTAAAACCTTATCCTTTTAGGAAAGAGTACTGTTTGATTTTTTTTTTGAAAATAGTATTTTATCTAACTCTTTGAATCTTCAAAAGTTGAGAAGGGTTAGAGAGGCCAAACACTGTTGGATTCCCTTGGCCCTAGGATGTATCTTAGATATGAATAACAAGAACTTTAGAGAAAGTGCCTCCTTAATATGCTTAGATCAGAGATCTCAAAGGACTGCAAGAGAAGAACTCTTCTCTAAAATGGGAAGATAAGGAGTATTTGGACACAGCTGACTATCAAGTCCCTGATTCAAATGGGGAAAAGAGTGGCACTGTCACCTATGTTTCTTTTCCCCACCAAGAATTTCAAACCTCAAGATGGTATGGAGAATTGGGGAAGACTAAGTAAGGAGTCTGGTACAAATCATCCTGAATACTGATGAATGGAACAGGCTCTGATGTGATAGGTATGTGTGATTGTCATGACAGGCTGCCCTTCCCAATGCCAAAAGTTAGATCATGAAAGTTCTGATCTATAAGCCCCCCTCAGATCAGAAACCCAAGTACAGCCTTTCTTAGAAAACACCGAGTTTATTCTTCCTTCCAGAGATCCTTATGATCTTGGAAAATATTTCACTCATAAGAAAAGGAATAAAGATTTTTAGTTTAGTTCCTTCCACTCCATTATCTCCTTATGGAAGGATCACCTATGGGCAAATAGCCCCAGCAAAGCTCACATGGGAATCAATGAGCCTTCAGATGCTTCTAATTTCTAGGCTTTAAGTCTTCTAGCTGATACCCCAGACAGCCTGAAGCAGACACAGACCTCTCTAGTCTGCCCTAGGTGAGTTCCTGACCCTCAGAAACCATGAAAGATAATATATGATTATTGCAATTTTAAGTTTTGTGGTTATTTGTTATGCAACAATAGATAACTAAAACACATTACCTTTCCTGTATTCTAAGATATCATCAATTATAAACCATCATTGGTTTGATTACATAAGTCTTTTAGGAAAAAAATAATGCCACATTAAATGCATCCATCAATTTTAAGAAACGTTCAAAAATGAGAAAGGTGAAATTTTGAACAGATGTGTGCATTGGCATTAAGGAACGACAGAGCATGCCCAGGACAGCCTGGCATGTAACAACACAAGACGTCCCGACCCAAGTACCTTACAGGGAATAGGGGAGGAAAACCCAAGCCTTAGTTGACCAGCTTTAAAAAATAATTTCATGTTTTCTCTTAAAGAAAGAAGACAGAAGAAATGGGGATATCATCTTATTGAATTAATAGAACAGTAGCTTTCAAAGGTCTTGTGCTGCCAGCTGTCATTTATTCATAAAGTTATAAAGGAAAGAGTACAAAACAAGAATAGTAGTACTCAATCAAATGTATTTGCCTCTATAAGAGATTTAGCCAGATGCATGAGAAGCCAAGGCTTACTTCCTTGGTAAGCCCATTTCTCTGCTCCAGTTGGACTCCACCACCTGGTGAAGGTTAACTAGGGCTGCCAAAGAAAGTCCTTAGAGTAAATAACATATTTGTGAAAGATTGAGAGTTAACATTTTGTCCCCACCCCCCCACCAAAAAAGGTGACAACATCAAGAAAGGAAATAAATAACACATTTGATTACCTTTGCCCATTTAAGCTTCATCACTCTGTTTAGAATCGGCTGTAACATTCGGCTCAAAAATTGTAGAACATTAAAGTAGGGTATGTATTCTGAAATAAATAAGATATATTTTTACCTAAAAAAACCCCACTATTATATACCAAGCACTTTTATAGTTGAGAGGGTTATAGAGAAGTGAATAAGACATTCTTGCCCCCAAAGAACTTTAAAATCTACTGTTTGACACAGACTGAAGGGTAAGAGAGCAGATTCTAACTTTTTACTTCTGTGTTAATGTGTCTGTCAAATGGTCAGATCCAAACTGACCAAGGGGACTGAGGGAAGAAGCCAAAATCCTCTGCTCCATGCTTGGTCTTTCTGCCACCTGGCCAAGCGTAGCCCAGATGGGCACCTGGAAGAAAAGGCATCCCACATCTTTTCCTGTTCCCAGCCATCTTCATCTACCCTCCACCTCACCCCTAGTATGTCCCAAGTCCACCTCAGTGGGGTGATTTGTTGGTTCTCTGCCAAATGCAGGGACCATCAAATTTACTACATTCTGAGATAGTTCATAAGAAAGCTGTCCATGAAGCAAACATAATTTAGGCTATTTATCTCATCCAGGTACAGAGGCTAGGAGAGTGTGCATGATAACAAAAGGAAAGCTATTAACTCAAGAGGCTCAAAACTCAAACTTAGTTAAGGAAAAATTAGCTGCCCCTAAACCAGAATGGTGAAATATGATATTTTGTTCTCATTGCAATTTTAGTGAGTTCAGCTGACTCTTGTAGCACTTGAGATCATCTAGTTTTGATCAAATGGCATGGCCATTGCTTCAGGCCCTTCCAAGTTCCTTTATTTGTACAAATCCATGGCCATCAAGAAAAACAAAACAAAACAAAACAAAACAATATTCCATTCTAATCCCACCATTCTAATCCCAGATCTTGCCCATCTTCTCTGTCTGAAAGTCAGAAATGTATCTTTGGGCCTCAAGGATGTACACATCCTGTATATCTTCCCTCCAGGATGTGGTCAATCAAAACATCAAATGTTCATCTTCTCATACTTGAGGTTTTCTCTGTGTCCACTCTCCCCAAATTGATAAAACTTTATTTTCTTCAACTACTGGATTAAATTTTAAATTAAATGGTTCTGTAGCTTAATCACTCTATTGTTAATGCCTTGCATTTATGAGAGTATTTCCCAAAATCTCTAATTAAGACATGATTAATATATCTGATAGCACTATAATTTGGAAAATCTTATATTTTCAGTTCTTAAGGTGAACAAGAGAAAGTGTTGTAAATCTACCCTATCCTACATCACCCAAGAGTCCCTTTTTTCTTAACCTTCACATATCTGTGAAAGTGACTTGATGTCCTTCTGAATAATTGGGGAACTTTAAAGATGTTTATACCCGGATAAAAGAAGCTATTGGACTATTACATTCATGTCGTAACTAGGGTAAAGAGCGTCCTGTACGAGTTGATTTAAATTTCCTTTCAAAAATGTGTGTCTATTATTTAAAATTTTCTGGCCCTTTAAGAAATAGGGAACCAAGAGAGCAGTTTCTTCAGATCTATTTTTAAAACATTTCTGGCCATCTTACTCATTATTTCAACAAAGAAATAAAATAAATCATGGGAAAACGCAGGCATAGGCTCAAAATCCACATATATCCATGAAGTAGGATGTCCTCTGATTCCATTTTTTTTTCTTTTTTTCTTTCTTTCTGGTTTTTTTTTTTTTTTTTTTTTTTTTTTTTTTTTTTGAGACAGAATCTTGCTCTGTCACTCAGGCTGGAGCGCAATGATACGATCTCGACTCACTGCAAATTCTGCGTCCCAGGTTCAAGCGATTCTCCTGCCTCAGCCTCCTGAATAGCTGGGATTACAGGTCCCACCACCATGCCCAGCTAATTTTTGTATTTTTAGTAGAGATGAATTTTCACCAGGTTGGCCAGTCTGGTCTGGAACTCCTGACCTCAGGTGATCCACCTGCCTTGGCCCCCAAAATGCTGAGATTACAGTCGTAAGCAACTGCGCCTGGACTGATTCTATTTTTTTAAGCTGTAATATGTATTACCCAGTTTACTGCTTTGTTGTAAGACTTTCTAGTAGAAAACAGACATTCAATTATGCTGTCTATCATATCATATATATTTTCCAAATCTAATAACATTCACTGAGCGCTTGCTCTGTAGCAGGTACTAAACTAGGCACCTTCTATGTACATTTTCTCATTTACTAGGAGGTAGGTTTTAGTCCCCCAGTTTTCCCCAGTGAGAAAAATGAAGTGAAGAAAAGGCAGATGACTTACTGAGGCCAGAAAGATTGCCTTTTATACATGAGGTGCCTTTCTGAAGACCTTGCAGAGTCTGACTGACATTTGTGTATTTTAAGACTATTCTCATGACAGCGGATATTGAGTATTTCCATTCACCAGCTAGTGTGGAAATATTTGAATAAAATCAATACAGCTTATAATTCAATAGGCCCAAACAGCTTTGATATACAGTTCTTGATCGATTTGGGAGGAATTGCATTAATTCGAGTTGTTTGCCTTAAAAGTGATTTAATACTTTATATTCAATACTTAATTAAAAATTGTATAAAATAGGACCACACCAGATCACATGACTGAGCTAGAGCACCCAGTTCCTAACTCCAGTCTCCTAAACCCAAACCCAGAGTTCTTTCCATTATATATTCTAACCACCCACATTTACTATAGAACTGAGAAATATCCCATGCAAGTCAATGTGAATACAGTCACAGTTAAAATGTAACAGCTGGGGTGGGTGGTATTCAAATGTAAAATCAATGGAGTATACACAAGAGTAAAAAAGAGAGTCATGAGGCATGCGAGTTTTCACTAGTATTTGTTTTTTCTCCTCTCTAGCATGTGGGTTAAAGGACTCAGGGACTCTGAAGTGAGGGAGATTCATAAAAACCTAGTCTTCTCTCTAATGAGCTAGAGATTGGAGGCAGGGAGGCAGGATTTACCAGTTGTGAGATGTAAGATAGCTGCCTTGAGTATTTTGACAATCAGCTAACCAAAATCTAGCTACCCCTCTCTAGGAATCCTTGCATTTCTCCTGCCCCACTGAGGAGTTAGGCCTTGCACAGGTCTCCAACTCTCCAATTGCAACACATTGCTAAGACTACAGAAGGCTCCAAACAGCAAAAAGCATGAAGGAAAGCAAAAGGCAAATAGTTTCTGATTATGATCACATTGCTTCACTCCCTCATAGCACTAGTATCTGTAACTACCATGCCTGAGCCCCGAAATACACCTACCCTGACCTTAGAACCAGCCTGATCCCTCACAGCTAATGAGATGTCCTAGACTTGACCACTGTAACTCCTAGGATTCACAAACTGGTCATCTCTGCAGCTTTATGGGATTCTTGGTTTTCTGATGACATACATTCATCATTCAAATATTTGGTCCCTATCAGGGGCTACATTCTGTGCTCTTCCTAGTTCCTGCCCTCAGGGAGCTCACAGTCAAGTTAGCAGTGGCAATGGTGGTGGGGGATGGAAGAGGTGGCAAGACACAAACTATAAACAGGCAATTGAAGTATAGTATGATCAATGCTACAATAGGATAAGGACAAAGTGTGTGATGCTTTGAGAACATATAGGAATGACACCAAGCCTAGTTCTTGAGAGAAGTATCACTGAAGTGGCCTAAAGGATAAATGAACATCAACTGGAGGAAACAGCATGAGGCGGAGGCAGAATGTATCAAGGCAAACATGTGTAAGTGAGAGCATGGAATGTTCAAGGAACTCCGGATGGGTGACTATTTTTAGAGTGAGAGTCAAAGGTGGGGATGGTGAACAACCAGGTAGGTGAGGGACAGGCAGAAGCCAGATCATGTGAAACCTCTAAGTATGAAGACCTACTAGTCTTGAAGAGTTTGGGCTTTATTCCATTGGCAATGGCAAGCCACTGAATATTATAAGTAAGGCATGTTCAGATTTGCACTGGAATAAATCTTCTTGGGCTTGTGTGGCAAATGGATTAGAAGGTGAAGAGGAGGAATCAAAGAAGGAAGGATAGTTAGAAAGGTAGAGCATCCCAAGCAAGAGATGACTGTCACTTGGATGACAGAGGTGGTAGGCAGTATGGAGAATAACAAATTAGCTAAAAAGATATTAAAGAGATAGAAAAAATAGACCTGGTGATTGACAGGATGTGGTTGAATGAAAAAGAAGGACAGATGGTGATGCCAAATCTCTAAGTGGGAAAATGTGGTGAAAGCTATTGCTGTTCCATGAGATGGACACAGGAAGAGAAACAGTGTTCATGGAGAGTTGGGTATGAAGGACCCATGCAGCATCTAAGTAGGCAATGATAAATAGAGGAGCTGGAATCTTAGAGACAGACTAGGGCTGGCAATACATATTTGAGAATGATCAGGAGGGTGACCAAAACCACAAGTGAGGTAACACAATTCAGAGTAGGCAGAGAGGGAAGAGAAAACTTGGGAGAAAACCCTGAGGAATGCCAATATTTACAGCACTGATGGTATATTGTTAAATCAAAACTCAAGCTGCAAAATAATGTATATATAGTAAGAACCCACAGAGAGAGGTGGAGGGGTAGATCAATATGTTTGTATATATATGTGTGTGTGTGTGTGTATTATTACTGTGCAGTTATGGTTTTTTTATGTGGGATATGTTAATTTATACATTACTTAATTGCTTGAATTGTTTAATGAGTATGTGTTGCTTTTATAATCTAAAATAAGAATATTTCATTTTAAAACATTTAAGGGACAGGCAGATGGAAAGGATACTGCAGAGAAGACCAAGAAAGAGAAATAGGAAGAAAATGCAGAGTGGGTTGTCATGGAATCTTCAAGAAGGAAGCTCATTGCCTGACCCACTTGTTTCATAATGCAATGAAATGCTAAAGAATTTTAACTCCATAAGGAAAATCAGGGCAAGACAATAAAAGAAACATTAAATATTAGTAAAAGTACACTCAATAGTATGACTTCTGTCTTGTTCTTTAAAATAGGTGCCTCTGTTCCTTATGTTCTACTTGTGTTAAACTTTAATAAGGGAATACAATTTTCAAAAGCAAGCAATCAAAAATCATGGTTAAATGGAACAACTGGAGCAGTGAGTCAGCACCTATGAATATGGCACCACAAGCTTAAGCCTTTCTGCTAGAACTTATTCCTATGCACAGAGCAGAGGTATGACAAGAAAGCCCCTTTGTCAAGTCTGTCCTCACTTCTCAGCCACATGGCCTGTTAGGTCTAGTATAGAAGCAAGTGAATTATTTTGGCTTCAAAGGGTTACTATGATATTAAAAATAGGAAATGCTAATTTCTGGGGAGTATTTTGTTATTGTTGTCACTTATTTATTTATTTATTTATTTATTCATTTATTGGTAAGAGACAAGGTCTTGCTATGTTGCCTAGGCTGGACTCTCCAACTTCTGGGCACAAGTGATCCTCCTCCTTCAGCCTCCAAAACAGCCGGGACTACAGGCATACGTTACCATGCCAGGCTTAATTTCTGTGATTTTAATATGAATTAAGAAAATATGTATATTTTAAATCATCTCCCTCTGAGCTGAGGTTTAAGATCCCTTAAATACCTCTTACTTGCACTTTGAGAGGCCGAGGCATGCAGATCACCTGAGTTCAGGAGTTTGAGACCAGCCTGGCCAACATGGTGAAACCCCGTCTCTACTAAAAATACAAAAAATTAGCCGGGCACGGTGGCACATGCCAGTAGTCCCAGCTACTCAGGAGGCTGAGGCAGGAGAGTTGCTTGAACCTGTGAGAGGGAGTTTGCAGTGAGCCAAAATCACTCCACTGCACTCCAGCCTGGGTGACAGAGCAAGATTCCATCTCAAAAAAATTAAATAAATAAAAATAAGTTTTAAAATCCTTTTACTTAAAAGCCAGCACTACCTTCCTGGGAAAAGCCCACCTTTTATTCCTTTTTTGGGGGCTGAGAAGGCAAACAGCCTGTTGATACGGAATCTCTACCATGTTATTTTCTGAAATTATTAAAGTATGTCTGTTATTCTTTGCTTTCAAATATCCCTCAGTGTTTCATTTCTCAAGCTCCCTTGTTTGTTTTATTTAGTTTAGCAAGAATCAAATTATTTTTCTATTTCCAAAGCAGTCATGAGAAAAATCCAAATTTACCATCACAAATATTACTTCAGCTACTAAAGCTGCTGCACTAATGCCACAGCTTTCAACACTAGGCTCTCCTTATATTCTTGTATCAACAAGGGACGTCTCTGCCTTTCCTTCTGCTGAACTAGTCATTGAGGATTTTAGAGCAAGTCCAACTGTTCTGACAAAATGTGGAACAGTTAACAAAGGAGAATCATGTCATTCCAGCATTCCCCTTTTAAAGACATTGTGGAAGCATCAGAGCTCTCCCATCTTACAATGAATGCATGGTTCTGTATTTTGTTTTGTTTTTTTTCTTTTGAGAGAGACAAGAGATGGCAGGGGAAATGAGAAAGGAAAATAGTATTGTATCAGAAACCAGAAATGCTGACATGGATTTCACCTTCATGCAAACCAATTTAAGAAACTTTTAAAAACTGGGATAAAAATAAGGAGGAAATGGAATATTATGTATGGTGCTATCTCAAACTAAAAACAAATTAACAACTATAATAAAGCAAATCCTGACAAGAAAATTATTCTAAGATATCTAAAGAGAATAGACATTTTGAAAATAGTGATATCTTGTGAATGCCTAGGACTCACTTGCATGTTAATGGTAATTCAAATATGTCAAAACTTACTGGGTATATACCCAAAGGATTATAAATCATGCTGCTATAAAGACACATGCACACGTATGTTTATTGCAGCACTATTCATAATAGCAAAGACTTGGAACCAAGCCAAATGTCCAACAATGATAGACTGGATTAAGAAAACGTGCCACATATACACCATGGAATACTGTGCAGCCATAAAAAAGGATGAGTTCATGTCCTTTGTAGGGACATGGATGAAGCTGGAAACCATCATTCTCAGCAAACTATCGCAAGGACAAAAAAACCAAACACTGCATGTTCTTACTCATAGGTGGGAATTGAACAATGAGAACACATGGACACAGGAAGGGGAACATCACACACCGGGGCCTGTTGTGGGGTGGGGGGAGGGATAGCATTAGGAGATATACCTAATGTTAAATGACGAGTTAACAGGTGCAGCACACCAACATGGCACATGTATATATATGTAACTAACCTGCACGTTGGGCACATGTACCCTAAAACTTAAAGTATAATAATAATTTAAAAAAGACTTTAATGTTAGATAAACAGTAATACTCCAGTATACCTTCAGTAATACCCAAGGTGCTAGATTTGGGGAATGAGGTTCCACAAAGGTGCAAAATATTAGCTCCTCTTAAAAGGTCTCTAGCTACAATGTTAGCATAAAGCAGGACAAACTCTACAGTGGCCAACTTTCATTTTATCAAAGGCTGCTCAAATAGCCTCTATGTCTAATTTCCCAACTAACAGTCATTAGGGCTGTTTATTGCTAAGTCTTTAATCAGACTCTTCAGCCACAAGTAGAATATATTCCCCCAGAGGTGATCTCCCTTTAGAAAGCATGCTTCCTTCTATGCAATAAGATCAGACAATACATTCAGACTGAATTGAATATTCTACGTAAAGGTAACACATGGCAAGTTTTTATGTGGACTTGGGAAAAGCCTAAGGACCTACGAGACCCAAATATTAATTTTAGCACCATTCACTTTGAGGAAGTCTTTAATTTGATACATAGCAATTATCTGGAATAAAGGAAAAGCTTAATACCTAGAACATTGAACCCAAAGGCATTTGCAGCTTGGCCAATAGATACCCCATGTCTCTAACCCAAAGGCTACCCCACCCCCTACCAGCGCCACTCCTCAAACTAATTTCCATACAGCTTCAAGATACAGGAAATCCCTGGAGGCAGACAAAATTTCACCAGGTGAATGATGTTGAGAATAACTGAAGAAAGGACCAGTCCCTAACAACAGATGCAGTAACATCACTTCCCTAAGTTCAAGTGTCTATCAGCTTTCTATGGCCTACATTGTGTTTGTTTACCTGGGGTCAAGTCCACAGGGGATAGGAATAGCAGGAATGCTCTGCAGGGGAAGGTAAGCCCAATGCAATAAAAGCTCCATGAAGGCCACTCTCTCATAGGACTCATTCTCCGTAATCTCACATACAGAGACTCAATAAATATTTTTGAATGAGTTATTAGCATAAATCATTAACATGACATAGTATCCTGGGACATCAAATTTAAGTGATGATTTAGAGAGAAAAGCTTTTTTGAATCAAAGCAGATATTTTAATAAACTACAGCATGCTCATGACTTCTTCAGATGACAAGCATATACCAGTCAGGGTTCTTAGCTTCAAACAATAGAAACAAACTCTAAGTAACTTAACCAAAGGATGAATTTATTAAGAAGCTTACAGAATAACTTAAATGGTTGGAAAACCAGACAAGGGACTACTAGGCAAAGAGCACAGTAAAATTGTGCTCAAAAATAATCCAACATGGACTCTTCTGCCACCCTAATGCAGACTCTTCTGCATTCTAAATCTTCAATGACACTGACCCTAATATTATTGTTTTTTATTTTTTAAGAAAAACATAATGCTGCTTATCAGCTTCTATACAGCATTGTTTATAAGGAGCATCCTGACTTCAGTGATATTAAAGTGTTGGAAATATGTGAATCTTAGGATGGATGAAAAGAGGTCAATTCTGCAGTGTGTAATGTTCACACCATGCACTCAACAATGGGCACCACCACTATGACCACTGCTCACGGCTCAGATCTCATTTCTTGCTGCATTCACTTCCACTCCTAGAGCTGACTTCTTGGCTTCTTCTCTCAAGCCAAGATTAGGGTGTGTACTTCTGACTGGTATCACCCCAGTTGTGCCCATGTCCTAGCTGAAAGGGAGGCTGGAAAAACAAATAGTGGCCTTTTCAGCTTTTATAGTGAACAAAGCATTCTGCTTTTCTCCCTCCAATGGGAAATTCTCCAAGTGCAAGAACAGAGTTCAGATGCTTGGCAGCCAAAATAGAATGACAAATATCTTCTATAGGGAGATTTCAAAGAAACTCCCTCTTATGGTAAAAGTTCAGTCTCCTCAGCTGTTAGAACTTAGAAATAGAAAAACGTTTGCAAAGCACCAGAATAAGAAAACTCATTAGGATGGAATCCAAGGCCCTTACAATCCAGCCTCTACAAACTTCCTGTCTATCTTCCATCACCCCATCCTTTCCACATCCTACAGTTCACGGATGACAAATTAGGTGGCAGCTCTTGAGTTCCACTATCACTCATGTCTTCACTCACAGTGTGTTCCCTCAGCTTAGAAAACCTCCCTCCTCCTGGAATTTTCTCTACTTAAATAACTCCCATTTTACTACTTGAGCCAAAAATCATCTCTTGTGTGAACTTTTCCATATAGCCCTCTTTTTTGTGATCTTTTAGCACTTTATTTGTAATTCTATCATTGAAGAAAGAGGTCTCTACCCAATATCTGAACAAAAAACTGAATTCACTGCTTGCTAAATTAGCAAGGAAGAACTGTATTTTCAGAGGCATTCTCCCTGAGCAAAGCAGAGAGAGCTGATCTTCTATAGGGCTTGGAGACCCTTAGAGTGCAGGCACTGGCAGACTTCCAGAAGCTGGAATGTTTAGGCATTAGTTGACCTTTAGCTGCAGAAGTAAAGCTGGAGTGAGAATGTTGCTGACTGGCTGACTTGCCTGGGCATGTGCACTAGAGTTTAGCTGTTGCCAATTGTCTGGCTTTACAACTGTGTGTGGTGTTGGCTAGCTTTCAGAAGCAACTGACTGGCTAGCTTACAAAAGCACAAATGATTGCCAGAGCAAGTTGTTATTGACCCAGTTAAACAGGTACAAAACAATACATTCTGATGGTTACTGGTCACTTGTCACTGTGGCCACAGAACAATCAGTCTTTTCCAGACAGGATAGGAACTTTCCATTTTCTTTTTTTTCTTTTTCTTTTTTTTTTTTTTTTTTTTTTTTTTTTTGAGATAGAGTTTCATTCTTGTCACCCAGGCTAGAGTGCAATGGTATGATCTCTGCTCATTGCAACCTCCACCTCCCGGGTTCAAGCAATTCTCCTGCCTCGGCCTCCCGAGTAGCTGGGATTACAGGCACCTGCCACCATGCCTGTCTAATTTTTGTATTTTTAGTGGAGACAGAGTTTCACCATGTTGGCCCGCCTGGTCTCGAATTCCTGACCTCAGGTAATCCACCCACCTCAGCCTCCCAAAATGCTGGGATTACAGGCGTGAGACACCATGCCCAGCCTGAACTTTTCATTTTCATTCTCACTGTTGTCATAATGTATTAGGATACAATAACCATACTAACAGCTAACATTCTAACATTTATTGAGCTTTTACTATGTACTATGTATTACAGTAGATATTTTAAAAGGATTATCTCATTTAATCTTTCAAATAACCTAATAGGTGGGTCATATTATCCCTCATTTTTCAGATTGTTAACCTTAGATGCTTCACTGGGATGCAGGAATGAAAAAAATGACAACAGAGGCAGTGCTCTTGCCAGTGCATGCTAAGGACTCCACTGCCTGTTCCTCTCACTGTTTCCCCAGGACAGATAACATGCCTGTCCCAAGCCCAAACACCAGGGCTCATCTCTTTTTGCATCCACAACTACAGAAGTCCATGGCCTCTCAAGCAGAGTCACCCTCCAATGTCGGTTGTTAAAGGAATGAAGAAAGAGGGTCCTGAATCATTCTATTAGTTCAAAACCTGGACTGATGGTCAATAAACTCTGCATCTTGCCATCTAACTGTGCCAAAATTGATAATAAAACTAACATCCTGCACAAAGCGTCAACTACATTTATGATTTTGAGAAAGTCAGGCCGTAAGATCATATGTTCTACCTGGTTACCAGCCATGTTGTAGCTAATTCTCCATCTTCGATACAACTACTAAATCTAAATGACTAGTCATCAACCTGCCTCAGCTTCCCCAAGGTAGAAGTCCCCACTCCATACCATTGTGTAGTCACTGGATCCCAGTCATATTGCCCTATGCCCATATGTCTCTGCCTTGCCAGTCTACTTAGTGCCTCACATCCTCCTGGAACAGAATCCCATCAGTTCCTGCCAGTTCCCCTGGAGCAGCAAGGAGCCAGCCCACTCTAACTTCAGGAAGCCCCTTCTTGTATTAGTTTCCTAGGGTTACAGTGACAGATTACCATAATTTGTTGGCTTAAAAACAGCAGAACTTTATTCTCTCACAGTTGTGGAGGCCAGAAGTCCAAAATCAAGGTTTCAGCAGGGCCATGCTCTCTCCAAAGGCTCTGGGGGAAAATCCTTCCTTGCCTTTCCAGCTCCAGGTGACTGCTGGCACTCCTTGGCTTCTGGCATCATCACTCCAGCCTCCGCCCCCATCCTTACATGGCCTTATTCCCTGCATGTCTCTCTGTGTCTGCTCCTCTACTTGTAAGGACACCAGGCGTTGGCTTTAGGACTCACCCTAAATATTCAAGATGATCTCATCTGAATTCTTATGTTAATTATATCTGCAAAGACCCTATTGCTATTAAAGGTCACATTCTGAGGTTCCAAGTGGACACGAATTTGAAGGGGGACACTACTCAACCTACTTCTCCCTTCAACATACAAGAGGGAAAATATTCCCTATAGGGAGATTTCAAAGAAATTCCCTCTTATGGTAAAAGTTCAGTCTCCTCAGCTGTTAGAAGTAGAAATAGAAAAATGTTTGTGAAGTATCAGAATAAGAAAACTCATTAGGATGGAATCCAAGGCCCTTACAATCCAGCCCCTACAAACCTCCTGTCTAGCTTCCATTCTCCCATCCTTTCCACATCCAACAGTACATGGATGATAAATTAGGTGGCAGCTCTTGAATTCCACTATCACTCATGTCTTTACTCCCCTCAACTTACAAGAGGGAAAACAAAGGCTCCCTTAGGCACAGTCAACCCAGCATCACTGATGAAACACCACGTTACCAAACCTAATTTGGAAAATTGAGCAAAACTCACTGATAGTTTTGCCCCAAAAGGGATTGCTAGTGAAACTGATAGTTTGAGAAGTGAAAGGAAAGGCCAGCTCAGTGTGCATAGGGCAGGTTGTTTTCAAAATATAACAGAGGTCCCAGCATAGCATTAAAAAAGATGACTGATTAAAATCATCCATTCCAAAATAAGGAGGTAGAGGATTATTTTATGTGTGTGTGTGTTGAAGATAGGCTTTTTAGTCTTGTTTGCAATGGAAACATTTCCTTCTAAAGAACACAACACTAAAAGGCTCTGAGACAAATCACATTTAGCAATTAGTTCACAAGTAAGTAAGAGAAAGCCAAAATAAACCAACTTCGAAAGTATCTTAGTCAACAACAAAATGTGTTCACAGTTATGGCCTTGCAATCAGATGCTGTAATAAACCCTAGGTGTGTCATTTCTGAAATTTTAACCAAATAATGAACATTTCAATTACAGGAAAATAATGCTCAAGAATTGTTGCAGTTACTGAATTTTCTGATTAAAAAAAAATTTTTTTTAAAAAGAGTCTGCTAAGAGTTTTATTATTTTCTGAGTTAGAATATTATCTCCATTGCCCAGAGATTATAATCCTGTCTCCTCTAGTGCCAGTTCCCTGCTTCTCCCTCATTCTGATGTCTACCTTGAGCCCATCCCTATCTCAGCACAGAGTTGAGTACCTCTTGGTGGACTGTTTGCCTGGGCTCCTCACTCACCCCCAAATCCTGGAGACAGCAAGGCTGCATGGGCTAGAGTGTAGCTCACCAGATTCCTGCCTGGCACTTGGCCCAAGAATGACTCTAACACCCAGACCCTTGTTCCTTCGGACTCTCCATTACATCAAGAACCAACTGCTGAGTCCCTATTCTGCTTTTTAGCATGAAGTGGGAGTGGGGTACTCAGAGATATATAATAGGGTTTGGTACTTTTTTTCTCTATTTCCATCTTGATGCTTCACATAAAGTAGAAAAGGTCACAGCTGTCAAAGTCTTTATAGGTAACCAGTGAAAAAAAATAAATAAAATATAAAAGGAAATAGCCTTAAACCATTAGTATTTGCTTATTTTATATTAGATTGGTGCAAAAGTAACTGCGGTTTTTGCCATTACTTGGCAAAAACCACAATTACTTTTGCACCAATGTAATATTTAGCGTTAAACTAGTTCAGGCTTTTGTTTCATCCTTTTGAGTTTCAGAGAGAGCAATATCTGGGTCTTCAGAGGACCACGCTCTCTGGGTTCCTAAATCAAATGTCAGTTTCAGTACAGCTGAGAAGACAGTAAGCAACAGGGAGGAAAAACCTGACAGAGGGAAGAGGTGGGAGGCGTAATGCCCTCCTGTGGATCCACAAGCACCACATTCACTGATTTTCTCCTGGTGATTTTTAAATCTGGTAGGTCGCACCTTTAGTAGGGTCAGTGTTTCCTGGATTTAAACACTCTAAACGCCAATTGCTACCCCTACCACGCTGGCAAATCGACTTACCTTTAAACCTTCACGGTCTCCCTTTGGTTATTTCATGTTACCTACAGCTGAAAAGCCTAAAAATCTGACACCAGAATGACCTTTCCTATTAGAAATTTCCCTGGCACACAGCAACATTACCAAGCCAAGCAATCATAATATTGTAGCTCAGCATGTTAAAGAACAAAAGAGGCAGTGCTGAACATCTTTGTTCCTGAAAGAAATCCCTGGCCAGGCGCAGTGGCTCACGCCTGTAATCCCAGCACTTTGAGAGGCCGAGGCGGGCGGGTCACCTGAGGTCGGGAGCTCAAGACCAGCCTGACCAACATGGAGAAACCCCGTCTCTACTGAAAATACAAAAAATTAGCTGGGCATGGTGGTGCATGCCTGTAATCCCAGCTACTCAGGAGGCTGAGGCAGGAGAATCGCTTGAACCCGGAAGGTGGAGGTTGCGGTGAGCTGAGATCGCACCATTGCACTTCAGCCTCGGCAACAAGAGCAAAACTCCTCCTTCTCGAAAAAAGGAAAAAGAAAGAAAGAAATCCCCTAATTGTGGCCACAACTGATAAGCAGTAGAGGTATAGAGGGTTCAGCAAAAATAAAAATGATTAATAACAAAACACGATGAGCTTTGTTGGGTGGGAAGGCAAAGTTCCTTCATAATTCAAGCACATCAGTTACCTGTGCCTAGAGGTATCTACATAATAAAATGATGCTTAAAATAGTTAATTTATCCTCACCTGTGACACTAGCCTCAGTCTAGAGCAGCAGTTTTCAAAGCCACAGTGTTCTGGCTGACTGCTTATCTCCAACAGGATTAATACTCAAAACATGGCACCATTGTTCTGTATATTTGTGCCAGGAGCGATGTCACTTTTGATCATTTTAACACAGAAGCTGGCTCATGAAAGTCAGCCTTCCTATTGACTTGATGACAGCCTCTGCTCATGGCAAGCAGTATCCTATGGGAAGGTGGTGTGCAGACTTTGAGGGCAGATTTTCAAACTTTTTGAGAACATCTATCAAATTTTCAAGGCTTTATTATCCCAAGAGAGTGAGCAGCTTTTTCCAGGATGTTTCATGCTGTTTGAACACTAAAAATAAAATAAATAGAGAAACAAACCTCCTAGACTTAGTCTGCTAACTTCCTTTCCACTCAAACTTTACCCTTTAAAGTTTGAACTAAAAAAAAAAAAATCCTGGCAGCTCTCAGACCACATGAGTACAACTGGTTATTTCTACCTTGGGAGGAGAAGGTGCGTTTGATTAAACATTCATGCCATTCATTTTTGATAGGGTCACCCAGAGTTAGCAGATAAAAACACAGGATGCCCAGTTAAATTTGAATTTCAGATAGATAATGAATTTATGTTTAGTAAGTAATTTACGTAAGTATACCCCATGCAATATTTGGGACATACTTAATCTAAAACTATTCTTTGTTGTTTATCTGAAATTCAAATTTAACTGGGCATCCCATATTTTATCTGGCAACTACATCTCTTGAAAACTATGGGGTCCGAAATTGCAGACTTGAGGTTAATATGTTATGCCTCAGTTCCTGAGTGTTATTTAACCATGTTTAATAAAGTTAAGATGGGCACTTCTTAGTTACCCAAAATGTCAGTTCATTTTGTTTCTGCTATCCAGACTTTCCAAACAGCTTTACTTCTAAGCTCCAAAACAGGCTAAGTCCTTGATAAGCTGTTTTCTTTGCCTAAAGAACACCCTGCTCTTGGATAAATATCACAAAGAACACAAGGATGTGCATTTGCATATGTATGTGTGTGCAGAAACCCAGCTCCCATATCTGACAATATCCAGATTGTTAAATCCCCTTTCTTCAGAAAGTATTTTTGAATCAAATTTTAAAATGTCTCTAAATCATGGCACCACAGGTTCAGCTGGCATAACCCAAAATCACTCCAATCTTATAGCGAGAGCAAGACCACGATTATTCCTAAATAAAATAGCAAAATTAATGAGCTTGAAGTTTCATTTGGAAGAAAAGAAGAAATCAATGCTAGACCTACTTCTTTGTTCCCTATCATAATGAAGCAGGTGTTTCACTGAAGGGATGCTTCTACAAAACTTCAGTTCCTGTTCAAAACAATAATATAATAGCACGTATATCCTTTGGTGATACTTAATTAACCTAATTAATATTCTTTTTCTTCTCTTAGTCCTTCACATTAATAACATTACTTCAGTAGTGTGAAGGGCTAGAAAAGAAAAAAGACCAATTAACTTCATCTTGCTTTGGATTATGTGCTACTTTGAGTAGAGGATGTGGAAGTCATTAGTGCTATTGTCCAGTATTTCATTCTCCCCCTTAGGACATACTATAGAATTGTACTTCTTGGTCCATTGAGTTATGGGGTTATGGTTACGGCAAAGCATTGACCAGCTCTGGACAATTAGTAGAGAATGGAAATGCTGTGTGTTACTTCAGGCCTGGAGCTTGTAATAGTTGGTGCAGGACCCTCAAAAAATCTTGCTCTCTAACTTGGAAACTAGCAACATTCAAGACTACAACTGTTTCATTTACTTGAGTCTTTAGTTGACTGAGGTGAACAGACACCTACTGGTGACCAATGATGGTTATGTACCATGTGTGAGAAATGCACTTTTGTTGGTTTAAATCACTACGTATTTGGGTTATTTGTTATTGCAGCAGAGTTCAGCCTAGCCCACCACATGAAATATGCAATTAAGGAGGTTTTCGTGTTTTTGCCAGCCAAATGAGTCTATAAAATACTCTATAAACTATTTCTTTTTTTTTTTCTTTTTTCTTTTTTTTTTTGAGATGGAGTCTCGCTCTGTCGCCCAGGCTGGAGTGCAGTGGCACGATCTCGGCTCACTGCAAGCTCTGCCTCCCGGGTTCCCGCCATTCTTCTGCCTCAGCTTCCCGAGTAGCTGGGACTACAGGCACCCGCCACCACGCCCAGCTAATTTTTTTGTGTTTTTAGTAGAGATGGGGTTTCACCGTTTTAGCCAGGATGGTCTCGATTTCCTGACCTCGCGATCCGCCCACCTTGGCCTCCGAAAGTGCTGGGATTACAGGCATGAGCCGCCGCGCCCGGCCTCTATAAACTACTTCTTTTTTTCTTTTTTTTTTTTGAGACAGAGTCTCGCTCTGTCGCCCAGGCTGGAGTGCAGCAGCGCGATCTCGGCTCACTGCAAGTTCCGCCCCCCAGGTTCACGCCATTCTCCTGCCTCGGCCTCCCAAGTAGCTGGGACTACAGGCGCCCGCCACCACGCACGGCTGATTTTTTTTTTTTATTTTTAGTAGAGACGGGGTTTCACCATGTTAGCCAGAATGGTCTCGATCTCCTGACCTCGTGATCCGCCCGTCTCAGCCTCCCAAAGTGCTGGGATTACAGGCTTGAGCCATCACGCCCGGCCTGTAAACTACTTCTAATCCCCTAAAATTTGAATGTTTACGTTTATATCATTAACTTTAATCCTCAACAACCTCTTAAGATAGATACAATTGCCATCTCCAGTTTAAAGATAGGAAAAATGACACAGAGCTAGTAAGTGATGCTTAAAGTCACACAGAAAGAAAGTAGCAGAAGGAATTTGAACTCATATCCAACTGCAGCTATAGACCATGCATTTTACCACATCACTAAACTGATACTCAACTATTTATCTCTGGAGTTTATTAAAGGAAACTTCTCCACAGTAGAGGCAGCAGGTCTCGGAACCCAATGGAGGCACAACAGGTACCAATAGGACAAAGGTGCCCCATGGACGCTCTTCTTCTCTCTATGTGTCGGTAGATCTTGACTGGCCTGAATTTATATGGCCATATAATGTTAGAAACTCTCTTTGGAACTATATAGGAAAAACCGTAAATTCTTTAAATTAGAATTTATTTAAGTATGTAAAAGATGCATAGGAAGTGGCAAATGGACAATTTTAACAGTCATCCTGTATGGCAGCCACCTGCACCTCTGTTTAATATTCCAAGCAGCATGTAAGCAGAGATCAGTCCTTGCCATCCTCCATTGCTATACTCAACCAACACCATCGATACGCTTGTGTTTATTATTTCAAGGAGGATTCTTCTGTAACTTCCATCACAGATGGAATATCAGTTATGCAATGCGGCCCTGAGTGCTACAATACCAAATTATCAAATTCTCCATTGGTTAACTTAAAAGACTCAAATAAATTACATTGTTTTGAATGCAAATTCTGTCTGAGTACTAGGATTTTCCATTTCTGAGATGTATTGCCCAGGCAAACTAAGTACATCACTTCATTTTAAGATTCCTTCATGTCAGTATTTAAGCTGAATATATTTGTATATTTCCAAAAACAAAGTGATAAAGTGATTTTACAGACATCCCAGGTTCCCTCCTAAAAATACCATTTTTCATCGGCTTAATCATTAAGCCTTAACAATAGACTTGTTAATTCAAAGAGGAGGATCAGAATCTGATAGACCACAGGAAACCAGTAAACCCAAACATTTGACTCAGCTAATCTCACTTTCAAGGACCCTGCATTTCTCAGAGCCCTGTCCCCCGAATCTTCACCATTTTATCTTGGAAGAGTGAAGGAGAACTTGGAAGATAAACCCAGAGGACCACTTTTCTTCCTGACCAGGAACAAATCTTCCAGCAAACCCACACCTAATCAAAAACTGAAGTAAAACATGTAAACTGGAGCTACTAAATCATGCATGAGAAATAATACAACATGAACTAAGGTGTCAAAACAATTGTCTAACTAAGACCAATTTTTAGGATCTCAGTGAATTCATGCTTTAGACACACTGCAAGAATAGAGCCCTCAAAGCCATAATCAGAACCTAAGTCTTCCTCTCACTGAAAAGGGAGTGGAATTCTATTCAAGGTTTATTTTAGCTTTCCAGTGCTTTCAAAGTCAATAAGCTGTACTGGTTTTCTTGCTTTTACTGTTTGAAGTTGCTCACTGGATCAGTAATACATCAAGAAAAAAATGCATATAAAGTACGTCCATAATTGAAAACATAATCTTAGTTCTTTTGTAGGGGAGGGTAGAAATGGCCCAGAATTAACTATTGTCCTTATTTTAATTCAGAGTGTAATACAGTAAGAATAAGAACTATGCTCTACAATACCAGAAATATAGTAAATATTTTATAGTTAGGTTATTTTGCCTGAAAGCATCTAGGGAGCTTTGTGTCTGTAGAAAGATAAAAATGAAGATTTCACAATCAGACTTAGATTTCTCTTCAGCCTCTTAACACATCTACAGGGCCAAGTGGAAGAAACCTGATGCTGATATACACCAGACCAAACAGCTGGTCTCCCCAAGGAAGTGGATTAGCAGTATGATCACAGTGTACAGCTCACTGCAGAAAAGCTCTATATAGCCTCCTACTTTTTGTCTTCTGCTAAAATAGCCACCAGAGGGGAGGGCAGCAGGACAGTGCATAGCATGATGCCAGATGGCACGGAGTGGGGATGACAAGACTGCCTCTACCATTGCTAAAAATGAGTGCCTTCTGGACAGTTATGAGGTCCATTACAGGAAGTTGGTTCCATTAGTTAAGTCTCATCCTCCCCAAATTTGGTTGTCAGGGATTAATTTTATGATTTACATGGTGATCAATACAGGATCATTGTTAATTTTTCACAAACTATTACAACATATAATCTGTGCCTTAAATCAGTTCTCCTTTTTGGAAAGGGTGTTTTCTATCTAATTAGATATCACATAAGGGCAAACTGTCACTGGATTCCACTTTGATCAGGAGTTTATCCTTAGCACCAACCAACTCAACATCTCCTAACTTCAGGATTCATTATCTCAATGAACTCTGGCAATAGCATCCCTAAAACCTATCTTTCCAGGAGACAGGTCATTAAATGGTCCTTATTTAAGGCATTCTTTTGCAAAGCCTATTGTCTAAGGAAAAAAGAGATAAACAAGCAGAAAGGAAAACTGATTCCAATTCAAATAAGCGTTCTCCTTCTAAATACCTTAACTTATTTGGGGGCATTCTTGCATTGCCTTCCAGTTCCTGGTATTCTGTTCTATCAGTAAATATAACTAAATCTCTCCCCTTTCCATTTTTTCACTCAAAGTTGGTGCAAAACTGGAATCTTTCATTCACGAATACACACAAAATCTCAGATTCCTCCACCCCACCCATGGTTCATTCTTATATAAGTGGTCATTGCCAACATTAAAGGAAAGTTGCTCAAACTAAAATTTGAATCTGATCCTCCAGAAGTAGAACTTCTGATTCTGACTTTGGCGATCAGAATAAAGGTAAGAAAAGTGGAGCATTAGGCCAAACTTTAGACAGTTACCATCTGGCTCCTTTTATCTGCCCCACACCTATTTTTTTTTTTAATTTTTTACTATTATACTTTAAGTTCTGGGGTACACGTGCAGAATGTGCAATTTTGTTACATAGATATACACGTGCCTTGGTGTCTTGCTGCACCCATCAACCTGTCACCTACATTAGGTATTTCTCCTAATGTTATCCCTCCCCTAGCCCCCCACCCCGCAACAGGCCCCAGTGTGTGATGTTCCCCTCCCTATGTCCATGTGTTCTCATTGTTCAACTCCCACTTATGAGTGAGAACATGCAGTGTTTGGTTTTCTGTTGTGTGATAGTTTGCTGAGAATGATGGTTTCCAGCTTCATCCATGTCCCTGCAAAGGACATGAACTCATCCTTTTATATGGCTGCATAGTATTCCATGGTGTATATGTGCCACATTTTCTTTATCCAGTCTATCATTGATGGAACATTTCAGTTGGTTCCAAGTCTTTGCTATTGTGAATAGTGCTGCAATAAACATACGTGTGCATGTGTCTTTACAGTAGGATTATTTACACCTTTGTTTTTAACCTGGTTAGGATCAGACTGAAGAGCCACTCTGAGGTCCTACATCCAAACTTTGTGAAAAAAAAGAACCCCAATATGGCAGTAGCGCAATATCTATGATGGTGCTTTTCAGTTTCAAAGAGGGTTGTCTTTAAATTTATAAAGGTTATGCCCATAGGGCCTTTATAAGTGATTTTGGGGAATGATGATCCCATAGCACACTCATTAGAACTCAGTGTTTTGATGATGGCAGCAAGCATCAGGTAAGATTTGTAGCTGCAACATAAGCCCAAGTTGCCCCAAATAAATCCACCTTTACAAACAGAACCACTCTCTCAACCATACTGCATGGTAAACCTAATTAATGTGACATTTACCCTGCGATCAAAACTCTTATGAAATAGTTCTATCAAATTCTCCCATATTTGTCCAAGTCCTGGTGGAGCTTTGCCTGATATTAGAGAATGACACTGAGCAGTGATAACTGTAGTTATTATTTAGAATGTTGACTTATCCACAGTTATTTCTCTCATTTGAATCTAGCTACATCTAGGCCAATGGCTTTTACTCAGGGATGTATATGAGACTTGCCTATTGAGTTTAATGACCTACTCCAGACTTCATGAATCTTTTTTTTTCCTTTGAGATGGAGTCTTGCTCTGTTGCCCAGGCTGAAGTGCAGTGGCATGATCTTGATTCACTGCAACCTCTGCCTCCCGGGTTCAAGGAATTCTGCCTCAGCCTCCCGAGTAGCTGGGACTATAGGCGTGCACTACCATGCCTGGCTGATTTTTGTATTTTTAATAGAGATGGGGCTTCACTATGTTGGCCAGGCTGGTCTCGAACTCCTGACCTTGTGATCCACCCGCCTCGGTCTTACAAAGTGCTGGGATTACAGGCGTGAGCCACAATGCCCAGCTGAATCTTTTAAGAGTATTATATCTTGAGGTTTTTTTTCTCTGTAAAAACTATATTCATTCATTTTTATAAAATCAGAAATAACATTCCTTGACTTCTTTAAAAATCGGCTTACTCATTATCCTTCAAGACATTCTAATTTTGGTGGAACGATTTTACTGTCTTTTTTTGCATGTCACATTACGTGCTATGCTTATTATAAACTCTCATCAGACCTTTCACATTTTAAAATTATCAGTAGTAAACTAACCACAGTGATTCCTATTTCTGTCATCTATAGATGGTTACATTTTCCTTCAATGGTTGCCTGAGGTTTTATTCAGCTTTAGGCTACAGTTTGTGTCTTTGGCAAAGATAAATCTCAAGAGCCTCATAGTAAAGGACCAGACACTTTAAACAATTGACACTTCAAATGACAGACTCTTGGATACAGGCATCTGATGACACCAGTGGGCTGAGTCAGGATTTGTAGAACTTTAGTGGAGAAGCAGACAGCTTCATGATACCACTAGCCCAAGATCAAGAGGAACAAGAATTAATTACACAAGACTGACTGAGGCTGGGTGTAGTGGCTCATGCCTATATTCCCAGCACTTTGGGAGGCTGAAGAGGGCAGATTATTTGAGACCAGCCTGGCCAACATGGTGAAACCCCATCTCTACTAAAAATACAAAAAAAAAAATTAGCAGGGCGTGGTGGCACATGCCCGTAGTCTCCATTACTTGGGAGGTTGAGGCAGGAGGATCCCTTGAGCCTGGGAGGCGGAGGTTGCAGTGAGCCATGATCACACCACTGTACTCCAGCCTGGGTGACAGAGGGAAATTTTGTCTCAAATAATAAAAATAATAATAAGATTGAATGGACTACCAAGGAAAATTTTATGTTGGTTATTTATTTAGTATATTATTTTTATTGTTCTATTTTTGAATATATAAGAAGTCCTCTCTATACTTCAACTATCTGTAATTCACAACAATTTAGTAGATGCTGCTAATATAAACTGAAATAAAACATTTAAAAATGGCATCCGAGTCTCACTGATCCCCAGAGTTCAGAAACTCATACCAAGTGTCCTTACATTCTTACGGCAATAGGATAATTTGTATACATTCAATAATAATCTGTCTTCTTTTATCCCCAATATAATTGGAAAATTCCATTATTCAACAAATGTCTTGCTTGGAATGGAAAGCATTTGAGAATGAAGCTCATTGTATCAGATAGAACAGGCCACTTAAATTCCAGTGGGAATTTTACCTGCAGTCCAGGATTCCAATGCTGTATTATGAGCAAAGACTATACAAGCACATTTCTCCCCTGAAATCTACCTGTGTATGAGCAACAGGCTGGGAATTACATGCCCCATTAGCACCTTATTACAAGTGACAACTGTGTAATTTCTGTGAGGCCAGACTACAGGATGAAAAGAAAGAGGGTAGTCTGAGGAGAGATGGCTGGTCACCCTGAAACTTACTATGTCATACGTGACTCCTGGTAGGAGATTCAAGGTCAGCACATCCCTGGGATCAGTCAGACCTGGGGGCAGCCTTTGGGGAACCTGTGCCCTCCCCAGCATGACTCTCCTAATTAGTTAGGTGCTGGAGTGCATTCAGTAATAATCTCAAGCTTATCATAACTCAAATGGTATTTCACACTCACTTCGCTGCAACAAGAGTTACACTCTGTTTAAGATCATCACAACACACCTTCATTAATGCAGAGGGCATTTTCATCTCACTATGAAATTAACTGACTAAATAAGAGGTTGCAATGCCAAGGAAGAAGGAAGATAAAAATCACAAAGCAAATAACAAAATTGCATGGTTAAAAAACCTGCCCAGCCAAAGTTGTTATAACAGGAAGATCTCCTGATGCATGTTTGCTAAACAGGACTGGGCTTAAAAGTTATTACAAAATTAACCTATTACACTTAAAGCCTCCCACATTATTTTTAAAGTTAACATCTAAATGTTAACAAAAAAGCAAAGTTAACGCTTATGGAACTTCCATGTCCCCAAAAATATGTTAGGTGCATTACACGTAAAATCTCAACTATAGAAATATTACCACTTTGTAATTACGAGTTAGAGTAGATAATTCAATCTTTTTTAAAAGCATCAGAAAGGCCAGGCGTGGTGGCTCACTTTCACAACCCGAGCACTTTGGGAGGCTGAGGCAGGTGGATCACTTGAGGTCAGCACTTGCCTGGTCAACATGGTGAAACCCCGTCTCTACAAAGAAAATACAAAAATTAGCTGGGCACGGTGGCTCACACCTGTAGTCCCAGCTAATAGGGGAGGCTGAGGTGGGAGGATCACTTGAACCCGGCGGTGGAGGTTGTAGTGACCTGAGATTGTGCCACTGCACTCCAGCCTGGTTGACAGAGTGAGACCCTGTCTCAAAAAAAAAAAAAAGCATCATGAATCATATGTATCAGGGATTTTAATAGTCTTTGCTACATTCTTATACAAAAAAAGTTTTAATTAATAAAATATCCATTTACTATCAAAATGTATTGGAAAGATGTTTCCTTTATTCATTTAAATACTAATTGACGTCAGAAAACCAGATACTACACACACATACATACTAGTATGTTTATTCCAGTCCGCTAAACTTCAGCCTAAAAGAATAGCTCTGGATGAAACTGAGACTTCTGATTTTGCTGAGCAGAATCCCCACGTCTGAGGCACGAAAACATCCTGGATGAATGACAACAGAGAGATCCTCCTCCATCTTCCCCGCAAAAGAATGCAGCTGCTCCTTTAAATCAAAGTCCAATCTCCAGGCGTGGTGGCTCACGCCTGTTCGCAGCACTTTGGGAGGCCGAGGCGGGTGGATCACCTGAGGTCAGGTGTTGGAGACCAGCCTGGCCAACATGGCGAAACCCTGTCTCTACTAAAAATACAAAAAAATTAGCCAGGCATGGTGGCAGGCGCCTGTAATCCCAGCTACTCAGGAGGCTAAGGCAGGAGAATCGTTTGAACTCAGGAGGCGGAGGTTGCAGGGAGCCGAGATGGCGCCACTGTGCTCCAGCCTGGGGGATAGAACGAAACTCTGTCTCCAAAAATAAAAATAAATAAATAAAAATTAAAAAATAAATCAAAGTCCAATATTTAAGAACACGTTTTAAGGGGCACCAAATTATTAGCCGGCTCAGAGCACCCAACTTTTAACCTGCAAGAGCTTCCACGTGTCTCAGGTCGGCAGAGCACGCAATGACAAGTCGTGCCAATCCCCTCCCGCAAAACAGTGCGCTCAAATCGTCTGCCAGAACCGTGTGGCCTAGCCTAAGAATCACCCGTCTTGGCAAAAGCCTGAGAAGAGAGAGCTGCTACCTGACTTTCTCCGTGGCTCCTCCCGCTCTCCGCTTTGAAGATGGACTTGGGCTTCCTGGACTTGAAGTTGCCCATGCTGGGTCGCAATACGCTGTCCACCAGCACGGTCGCCTCTACATTCTGCTGCTGCGGCTCCCAAGAGGGCGGCGCGTGCTCTTCTACCAGAGCCCCTGCGTCGGGGTAGTTCTCTTTATTGTTTTCATCTCTAAAACAGGAAAGACCCAATTTAGAAAGTACCTTAAAAAAAGATGAATAAACTGCTGCAGGAAAGAGGGCTGGAGATATTCATTGCTGCTATATTTATAGGATAGACACCTCGCAAAATTTTTAGCCTACACTTAGACAATTTTGCATGAACAAAAACTTAAATGTGAATTTCACTCTATATCACTTCACCTTCCCTTCTGATCTTTGTTAATGAATACATACTTTGTGTAGGTGTAACTATACACATATCATTATTATTATTTTTCTAATTTTCACTTTAAGAAACTTTCACATATATCATATTTCCCTCTCACAACAGTAATGTGACATATTCAGGTGAGATATCATCATCTCTACTTTATAGATGAAGACTCTAAGAGATTAAATCACACGCCTAATGGAAGGACTAATCCACACAGACCCAGAGGCCTCATGTGGGTCTCCAGACTCACACCTGTGTTCTTGGTTCAAGGCACCATGCTTCCTCTTCATTGGCAATGTCAGTTTATAATCATCCCCCTACAACTTTCAGAGGTACTTAGAAATTTAACAGGATCTATTTTGATAGGCATGGGCCAAATTTTACTCAACCAGGCCCTCTGAACAATGCCCTGAATGCAAAGTCAAACATCCAAATGTCCAAGTTCTGGTTCTGAAGAAGATGGAAGAGGGCGGTGTTATCTTCATATATTCAGGGCTGGGATGGCACTTGTGTTCTTCGTTCAACAATCAAATTCTGTACAATATCCCTACCCCCCTCCAGTTACAATTTTCTCAAAAATACTGACATGATAACACTCTTATTTGAAGCCATTCTTCCCACTTAAATCTAGATGCATTTTATTTTTCATTCTGCTAAGTATCAAGCAAACACCACAGACATAACCAGAAGGGGCCTTCTCTATATAATCAATATCATTAACCTTAATCTACCACAATCACTGTCACTAGAACATGAAATGCATGAGAAGTGGCCGCTTCCTTCAGGTGTTGTTTTTCCCTCATGCTTCCTTACCAAAAGCACCCATAAAACAGCATTTGCAAAGTCACCTGGAAAGCAATTCCTAGCTGCTCAAGGACACCTAAAGCCAAGAAGCAAGACCAGCAAAGAAGGAATGCCCACCATTCAAGACAACTTTTTACAAATAAAAGGCAGATTAAATTCACTGAGCTGGCATCAGGAAGGATGAGTTCCAGGTAGTCTTTGGGAAAAGAGCAAAGCAAATATCAAGATAGGTGGTCTGGAACATGACCAGGGTGCAGTTGGACAAGATATAAAAATAAAACTACGTGACATAGTTAAACTTGAATCCAGAACAAACGTAGTGCTATCTGGTAAAGGAGAATCCAACAATTACAATAATTATTTAATGTTAGTAACTGAAAAACAAATCAATGCCAATGACACTGGTCAATATTCTAGCTGTGAGATCATTTACAATTAAAAAAATTCTAAGTCACTCATAGATTTGGAAATTAATATCAAACCATGAATTGGAAACTATACTAGTTCATTTGAAGTACATTTTTCTCACTAGAAACCCATCCACTCCATGATCCTGCATGAGAAACAAAAGAAAGAACAGCTGCCTTTACAGTTACCTAAATGCCCTCATTCGAGTAGGATTATAGAACACTCAAGAATTTTAAAAAATAGCTTTTCAAATCTAAAATGACTCTTTTGATAGACTCATTCCCAAAATAATACCTGAACTTTGTTTTTATATCATGTTTTCAAGTCAATCAAAATTTAGAAGTGTAATTTTGTTTACTTCCTTGACTTGGAAAGCCAGGAAAGGGGAGAGGGGGCCAAAAGCATCTTTCTTGCATTACACAAACGTAAAACCTGGTTACAAAAGTCATATTTAGAAACATATTTTCTCACATATTATTGGTTCCTCAGGATCTCCGAAACAGAAAAGCACAGGTTATGTAATTTATGCCACTACTTATCGGAATAAATCATGACTGAGAAAAAGCATGGTGTCCTGAAAAAAGCCAGAGTCTAAAAGATCCTCCCACTTATTAGTTGTGTGGCCTGGGCAACATCACTTCACCTCTATGATCCTCATTCATAAAATAGATGTAATATCTGCTTAACAGAGATAATACAGTCTCTCTGAAATGCCTACCATAGAAAGCTGACCCAAGGCTGCAACCCAATAAATGAAAGCTATTGTTACTCTCAGGCAGGGCCTTAGCCATGTGGTTATTTGCAAAGGAAAAAAAAAGGAGAGAGAGAGAGTTCTTTTTGGTTTCTCTGATGCCTCCAAGATAATTCTGAACTCCTTAGCAAGGAACACAAACCCTAGGAAAATCTGTTCTTTGTTTACCTCTAGAGCTTCACATCTTATCTTACCTCTTACTTCCTCACTCCACCAGGTTCCCAGGGTTCCTACCATCCTGAACCACTTGCTGTTCCTGCAACTCAAACAATTCTCTCTACCCTCTATTGGCTTTCCAGGAAGCTGCTCCCTCTGCTTGGTGGCATTCTCTTTTTCTTAGCCTTGGACCTCACCAATAATAATAATAATAATAATAATTTAAAAAATAAATAAAAATCCATATGCCTTGTATAATGTTCTTCAGGAATCAATCCAAGAAAGCTCTCTGGGCTGTTTGATTCTTCTAAGTAAATCCACTATTTACCTCTAGTATAGTAGCACTCAATGCACTGTAGCATCCACATCTATATTCTAGCCTATCTCCTCTAGCAAACTGAATTCTTAGGAGCAGCATTGGTTTGTCTTTCTTCATCCCAAATCTTAACTGGCTGGCTCCTTGCCCACAAAATTGGCCTTCAACAAATATTTGTTATCCAGTAAGTGGACTTTAAAGTCAGAGAGGCCTGGGTCTAAATTCTGCCTCATAGTGCTACGTTATCTTGGATGAGCTATCATTCCTAAGTGTCAGTTTCTCCATCTACAGGATGAGAAAGGAAACATCAACTTCCTTTCAGTTTAGATTAAATAATAAAATGTAGATGAAAGGGCTTGGAACAAAGTAAATGTAGAAGAAATGATTAGCAGTGAAGGTTTTTCCACGATACTATAAGCCCTTGATGACCAAGACCATACTACAGACACTCAATAATATGTTTGGTGAATAATCTACAGCCTCTTCCTTTAGGGTGTGTGATGAGAATATTGAGATAGGCTAATCAATACTCAGTTCAACAGGCATTTATCAAGTGTTCCCACAGGTAAGGTACTGTCCTGATTGCTAAGAGGGTGGTATCCAAAAGCGGAAAAGACAAAAATTTTGTCAAGAGGTAAAAATCTAGTAGAAGAGATGAGACATGAGAACAAATAATTGGAATTCAAAGAAGAGACTAGAATTCAAAGGAAAGCCACCAGACCTAGATGGCTTCTGTCTCTCACAAATATGAACCAAGCAATGGTGGCTTTTACCTGAGACTGGAGCAATCAGTCTGGTCTTCATGTAGAGAGACTGGATCTTCGTCACACCTGGAAGAGTGGGAAGAAAAATCACATCAGATCCAATTGTCTGCTATAGCAGTAGTAGCAATAATCTAGAATTGTCTCAAGATTACCATGGAAAACTAAAAGATGAAACACTCCCTATCATTCTCTCCCAAATAAGTTCTGATTCCTATGTCTCCCAGTTTATGATGCAAATGTTGTCATATCATGTGAGCTTAAAAGCTCAGAGCCAGATGTGACTCTCCTTTTTGCCTCCACTGTCCTGTGTCACCTAAACTAACAAGGACCTAAGTGTTCACAGCACTTGAGGGGACATTGGACACCAATACTGGTATCCTCAAGACCAATACTGGTTGGCTCAAAAGAGATTCCATTACATGCCTCTTTGCATTTTTTCTGCTTCAGGCAGTCCCAAACCAAACCAGCCTCCATTTAGTTTACTCTATTGGTCTCAGATTTTCTTGATCTTGTGAAAAGGAAGGGGTTCCTTTTCATAAAACTTCCGGATTAACTTTATGAAAAATTCTTGTCTCTTCCATATTGAAAAATCTCCAGTTCTCCATCCTGCCTAGGGGAACCAGGAGTAGGACCATCCTTTCGCTCTAGTATATAGGATGAAGCCTTTGTTCCTGTTCCCAACCATTCCCACTCAGCCCCATTCAAGCCTGGAATACTTTTTCCATCTTCAACTCCTACTCATCCTTCACTGCCCAAGTCAGGTTTCCCCAGCTCTGTACCTTCCCAGCCAAGGTCGCCCATGTGCCATGTTCTCAGTCATGTGCTATGATGGTTAATATTGAGTATTAATTTGATTGAAAGATGCCAAGTGTCATTCCTGGGTGTGTCTGTGAGGGTGTTGCCAAAGGAGATTAACATTTGAGTCAGTGGACTGGGAGAGGCAGACACACTCTCAATCTGAGTAGGCACCATCTAATCAGCTACCAATGCGGCTAGAATAAAGCAGGCAGAAGAAGCTGGAAAGAACAGACTTGCTGAGCCATCTGGCCTTCATCTTCCTCTTGTGCTGGATGCTTCCAGCCTTTGAACATCAGACTCTAAGTTCTTCAGCTTTTGGACTCTCGGACTTACACCAGTGATTTGCCAGGGGCTCTTGTGCCTTTGGCCACAGACTGAAGGCTGCACTGTTGGCTTCCCTACTTTTGAGGTTTTGGGACTCAAACTAGCTTCCTTGATCCTCAGCTTGCAGACGGACTATTGTGGGACTTCACCTTGTGATCATGTGAGTCCACTCTCCTACTAAACTCCCCTTCGAACATACATATATCCTATTAATTCTGTCTCTTTAGAGAACCCTGACTAATACACATGCCAAGTTCCTACTTTAACCTTAATTCATAAACATTTACTCTTCATTCTGAGGTTTTGGTAAACAACTATATCTCACCACACATCACTTGTAAACCTTTGTACCACTGAGATCTTTTTGATTAGTTATTAATTCCATGAGTAGAAATAACTGTAATTTATTTTCCTAGATATATTGCCACAGTGCCAGAGTACCCCAGAGACAGTCAAAAATACTTGAATTGAAATATTAACTTTGTTCCCTAAGAGGTCTGGTCTCTGAAATAATTTAACCAGCATTTATTGAGTATTTACTGAATCCAGGCACTGCATTAGACATTGGAACTGTGCTTCGCAAACTCTCAGGGCTTAGGACAGACCAGTTTGTTTTTTATTTTCACACCACTGTGGACAAACACTTTGGTAAAAATGTCACAGCAATGTCAAATTCCTATTAAAGTTATGAGATACTTACTCCCTATTTCTGTTTTTTATTCTTGTCTCAGACACGTTTTAAACAATTTGGAGACTCACATTTTATGTAGCACTGCTTCTAAAGGACACAAAATTTGAAAAAGATCTGAATCCTGCCCTAAGAAATTCACAATGTAATCAGCAGACAAAAATAAAGCAAATAAATGCCTGCATACATAAATATAACCATAATATACTGTTTATACTATATGAAATAATTTAACATTTTAAAGTATTCTTTACTGGCAATGGTGTATAATTAACCCACAGAATGAATCCAGTCCTCTTCCCTTAAAATCTTTAATTTATAGTTTTGTAGTGAGTTAAACAAAGGCCACCCACAGACTCTAACCCTTTCTACTTACTGAAATATTTTGTTACCTCTGGCAATTAAAAAAATTGGTTGCCCTGGTGCAGTGTCTCACATTTGTAATCCCAGAACTCTGGGAGGCCAAGGTGGGCCTGAGTTGGAAGTTCAAGACCAGCCTGGCCAACATGGTAAAACCCCGTCTCTACTAAAAATACAAAAATTAGCTGGGTGTGGTGGCACACACCTGTAGTTTCAGCTACTCAGGAGGCTGAGGCACGAGAACCACTTGAACTTGGGAGGTGGAGGCTGTAGTGAGCCGGGATCACACCACTGCACTCTAGCCTGGGCAACAGAGTGAGACTCTGTCTCATAAAAAAAAATGCTGCTTTGACTAGAATAAACCAACCTTCTTTACTTTCTTGCCAATAGTCCACTCTGTCCATCTCATGGAAAACAAATCCCCAAGTACCGCTTTGTTCCCCTTCATTAGCAGCATTCAGCTAATAGATCACCTGAGCTTTGTAATGTGGATAAAAATGTTTTTCAATAGCAAAGTAGCAACATCAATGAAGAACAAAAATCTAGAATTGTTGCTTTCAAAGATCTAGGGCTTAAGCAGAGCTTTGGAGCTTCAATTCTGGAGCTCAACAATACCTATTGTTTGGGGATTTGGCAAGAACTTATTTTTCCCCCTCATTTGATTTATTAATCTTTCTCCTCAAAGTACAATCAGTTAAAAATGGAAACTTGGCACCAAAACATACAAAGTTGGAGAAGATTCTGAAGTATGAAGCTGGAGCTGATTAGTTGATCCAATATTCATGTCTACTAAGCAACTCCAGTTGCCACTCAAAGAACACAATTCCAAGCTCACAGATAGAGCAACTGAAATAGAGCTACCTCCTGGCTTACATGGCACATGTTTACAACCTCTTTTAGTTCATTTGAGTTCTCATTTACCTTGGTAAAGACCATCAACTTCTATTCAATTAATAAATCATTTCTGTCCTTTCCCTGAAACCCCTTATTTCTTTGTGAAATGCTCAGGGTTGCTACTTTGCTTCCTATTTGAACTTTTGCTCCCTCAATCAGCCACAAACAAGAAAAAGTTGTGTGGTACTTCACAGCTCACCTGCTCTTTCACATAATCTCAATCCAGCCTGAGAATGCTCCAAGGTAGGAATTATCTTTGCACCTGGGCTAAGTTGTAAGTCAAGATCCCAAGGCCTCAATCGGTGAAGCCTGGATTGTTTCTGCTCCACCACATTAAGCCCAAAAAGCAAGAAACAAATAATCTCTTCAGTCTATATGCCAGAGGATCACAAGAGACAGGGCATGCCATTTCTTAGAATAATGGTGGTGAAAGAAATACCCACAAGAAGTTCTTTTTGCTGCCTAAAACAGAAGAGAGGCCTCAGACTGACTGTTAGATAAAATGTAGTTGTGCTATAAAGATATTTACACTTGCCCTGTAGTACCATGTTCCCTGAAGGCAAAGTTGCAGAGGTACAGCCTCCTGTGGGCTTTCTCAAAATGTGGCCCCTTGCATTAGCACTACCTGAAGTACCTGGTCAAAACAGAAGTCTCCAGCCCCACTACATCAACTCTCTGAGGGCAGAGCCCAGGAATGTGGATTTTTAAAACAGACTGCCTACCTATAGAACTACTATGTTTCTAAACATTTAACACTGACCTAAAGGTTTCCAAACCCCAAAACAGCACTGTCCTGACACCAATACAATCACCCATTCTGGGTTCCCACTTTGAGATAAAACCTGGGAGACTGCAATTTTCACAAGCTCCAGTCCCCTTCCCCAGTTGATATTGATGATCAGTTAGCTTTGAGAACCACTGGTTTGAATGATAACTAATCAGAATTATTGCAGGCTTCATTTAAAATAGCAAGTTAGCTGGGGCAATGTCACGATTGACCATGGAAAAATATTAGATGAAAAGGTGCCACAGATAGGGAAGAAAAGGCCAAGGCCATTGTGATGAAAACATTGGGGTGGAAAAAGAAATTGAATTTGTCTAGAGCTGCATAGATAGTGCCAGGGCTGGGAAAAACCAAGAAGAAAATAAAATCTGTCCTTGAGTCCCTCCCAATTTCCCTTTCCCCTTGACTCTTCTAGGACTCCCAGCTGGCCAAGCATAACCATAACCATAACAGGTTAGAAAATAGGTTAGGTAAAATAATTCATATTAAAGTATTCATGACAATTTGAATCCACTTCCCAAGGGCACAAACTTTTTAATTTCCAATTTAATAAGGGTCACTACCAGAGGCCTTCATCCAAAGAAATCATCTCTAGGTGAAATTTCAGGCATCGAAGAAAATAAGTGGGTGTGAGTAGAAGGATGTAGGAATGGGGTGGGGACAGGAGGCAGAGGAGCTCTTCTTGTATCCAGAACATAGAGGGGAGAAAAGTCCCTCCTCCGTGTAGGCCAAGACCACACCCAAACATTTCCTGAGAACCTGCTATGTCTGTGTCTCAGGATATAGCACCTTGGTCCTGAGGGCTATGGGGTCATGCCCAGAGAAGCACGGGATATGGGTCATATTACTGAGGTGAGGGGAAAATGTTATTGTGGCAATGACTAGTTTTAAACAGTCCTAGTCAATGATGTGTTATACCTATGAAGCTTTTGGTATGTTCTCAATAGGCTCCTTAGATTTTTATATTAGCCAAATGGCATACCAATTATCTCTCAGTGCCTTTTAAAATAAATCACTGTCACTCCTCTGAAAGTAAAAACATGATCTTATGCAATCAGAACTCCTTGGGGAGTGTCCAAAGACAAGGCACCAGGCTCTCCCCAGCATTTAACCACGAAACCTCTACAGAAAAAAAAAAAAAAAAAAAAAAAAAAGTCCACGTGAAATCTGGAGCTAAGTGTCTCCATTTTGAACCTGCCGTGCCTGTGACTGACCGAGGATTTGGCCACACCAGGCTCCTGAGAATCGGGGCCAGAAAGCACTTAGTACTTTAAGCACAGCAAAGGGAGGAGAGCAGTACCTGTGCACCTGGAGCAGGAAGTCCAGGCCTCATCTTCGGCCTGCAGATGCACACTTTGGCACACCTCTCTCCCCTTCTCTCAGGCCTTTAGAAAAGCAACATTGCAGCACAGGTTACCAAGCAATCTTATAAACAGAATGTGGGTCCAAATGAGTATTTTACATTGCTTCTTCTAAAGTCAATCCTGTTTTTTTTTTTAAGTGACTCCACTTAAGTCTGCTCAAAACTGGACACTAAAGGAGCAGCACAGCAAAAGAGAGAAACAAAAGAATGTGGAAAACAAGAGGGCCTAGGAAGCACTGTAAACCTTATCCCTCCCTCACCAAGTCATTGTGATAGTGGCAGGACTTGGAAGCCAAAAGCAAAACATTTATTTGCTTTTTAGGGAATTTTAGCAAACAGCTCCCCAGTTAGTTAAGCCTTCTACATCAAACTCATAACATTTTTTAAATGTAGTTGAGGATACAACTTTACACATGCCTTTTTCCTGAAAAGATGTTTAGAGTGGCTTCTACAAAGGTCCCAGAAGTAAACATCATGAATTAGCCTAGAGAAAGAATGCTAGATGAAGTACATATTCATATATATATATGTATATATAAATTACATACAGTATTAGCAAAATACACTACCTGTTAATTTTTAACAAATATAGTATAATATTAGGAAAACATTAAGGAAGGGATGTCAAAAATTAAAACTATAGCATATAAATATCTTTAAAAAAATACTGTGCTTGCTGGTACGCTCCTTCATTCACACTCCTTCATTCCATGTTTGAAGGGTGTTAGTTGCCCTAATCAACAGCTTTAACCATAGGACTAGGTGACTCATTCGTCCCATAGTCACATCTCTGTAGTCAGAAGACAAACATGACAAAGGGCATGCACAAAAAGTTTACTCTGATATGCCTTAAAAATCTGTAGACAAGAGAGGGCCAAGATAAGTTTAGCCTGTTTACCACATGCTGGAATTCAGCTCATTTCACATCTATCTTCTATTGCTGTAAATGTATATAGTGTGCACTCCATGAAAACTGACACCAATGTTGGCAAAATACAACAAAGCTTCCTAACACATCAAATGGATTTTTAAAAATCTGAGCTCCAAGAACACATATCTTGGAGCACTGAGCTCCTGCAAGCAATCAGCTGGTTTTAATTTCTCTCCCGCAGCTGCTAAAATGCTGGTTTCAACCTGTAAAGATTTCTGGGCCCCACCAGTCAGCACGTCTCACGGTCTTCACAGCCCCAGATTCCGGGAGACAATGCATCTAAAACGAACAGCGGCTGGGAACGGTGGAGGATACCTTCACGATAGTTGCTTCCAGAGAAAGGCATGCAAGTCTAATTTTAATGGTAAGAATCACTTACTCTGTTACAGTGGTGCTGCTGAAGGAATTATCCTGAAGGCTGAAACAGAAACAAGAAAACATCAGCCAAGTCTGGCCGGGGAGCCGTCTCCCTGATTGCTCTCCGGGAGTTAGAGCACATACACAAACATGGCATTGCAAGGCAAGTCTCCGGGCTCGCCCGGCACGCTCGCTCTACCTTGGGCTGCTGTCTGCACATGCTCGTAACGACACCCCCAGCAGGGGCCCAGCGGCACGGGCGAACCACAAAGCCCGGCAGCCCGCGAGGCTGCGGGGACAGAGCTGGGCGGGGCGCGGCGGCGGGGCTGGGACCCCGGGATCCAGCGAGGAGCACCTGGAGAGTTACCACACGACCCCGACCTCGCCAGCCCAGGCGCCGCGTTTAATCTTGGGCTCTTTGTGCCAGCCACCCCCCGAGGCTGGCAATGAGAATGCCCCAGTGTTTCTGCCGAAGTGCTGAAATACCCGGGAGACTTGCTTTCTTCCACATGTCTCCTACCAATTTTACAGAGCTCACCCCAACCCCCCACACTCCCACCCCACCCCCAGGGATGGAGGCTCGCAGAGATTCATCCATCGTTCAGAAAAAGTCAGGAGAGAACAAGAAGGGGGAGGGGGATATTGCTGCTGTTTGGTGTTTTATTTTGTGTGTGTGTTTTTTGTTGCCTAGGAAAAAGAATAGGCTCTAAAGCAGGGCTGGCTGCATCACACCTGATCTGTCTAGAGCGCTCTTATTTCAGTCCCAGAGAGGAAGCGCCCAGCCCCGGACTACAGAGCTGTGAATGAACCCACGCAGGGCGAGTGGAGAATTTATTCCAGGGGTTAGCTGGTGATTAGGACACCGTGCAAGGGGTGGGGCTTGCTATGCCTAGAGCAGCCCGCTTGAGCTCAGCTCCCTAGCTAGCACCTTTACAAAGGATGGAGAGACGGAATCCGCAAACGCTATCCCTTTGAATAAAGGCAGCCTTGTTAGGGAAAGGAAAGACTGTCAGTCCCCCCACTGGCTTCTTTCCCTTGGGGATATTTGTTCTGCCCTCTTTGTATTGTTCATTTCTCCTGCCATGTTGACCTGGATATGGGATGTAGCATCTATTAAAGATTCTTATTTGAATTTGAATTATTTTATTTGAATTTTGAAATAAGATTCCCATCCCCCTTTTTAATCTTTCTACTCCCAGAAGCAGCTAGGATAGTGGTTTTTAGTCCAAACCTATGTAAGTTAATGAGTTAACATAACAACAAAAAACTCATAATTTTTCTAATTGGGCAATTAAAAACTTTACCAAAACTTGGAAATAATGGGGAAGAGCATGACCTTTCAATGTCAAACTGAGACATCGGTTAACAAGTCCACCCAGGGGCCAGTTAATTCTCCAGTTGTGTTTGGCTTTGCTCTTCACTATTGATTAGATTCCAGCCACAGTGAAGTTCTGTGGTCACTTGCACATTTTATTCAGCCTGTTCAGAGAAAAAGATAATCGCAGCGTTTATGATTTTATTGCAATATAGGAAGATAACCAATTTTGCATCTAACCAAATAATCATTTTGCATCTAACCAAACTTTCTTTCTAAATACCTGTAAATCCACAGATCCTCAAAATGCTTTTGGAACCAGCTTCATCATCTTACAGTTTTCCCCATTAATAAGTGAATAGATCTCTGCTGCCTGCCTATGTTTGTATGAGAGTTGTATTTTAACTTTTTAAATTTATACCTTGAAAAATAAAAATTGAGTTTTCAAAGAAAAACAGGTTTCATTAAGGTTCTTTGCAATTTTGCTTTCCTCTCTCCAAATATTTTTAAAATCAGCTAAATAAAAACCTAATATGGTCTTAGACTGAATTCTATGGACTAAAATAAGTTCAGGAATATTAATCCTTTGTATGTATAACTATACAGTACATATTTGTTCCGAAGCCACCTACTATTTCATTTGAGCTAGGTTCAGGAGTAAGAGACATCGCTGCTTCACTGTATTCATTATTTAGCCATTTCAAAGTGAGATCTGTTCTTTGTTTATTCAGACTGATGAAGGTAAGTCTATATTCAGCCTTCTGACTGACTTATGGTTTCATAGATTACATGGTTGTTAATTTCCCATATGGTTGTTAATTTCCAGAAACCCCTTGTACTCATTGACTATGGTGTTTATTCCAAGTGTTCCAGTGTGGAGAAAGATCACACTTTTCTCCTATAAATACTCCCAGTGATCCACTTGTAATGGAAATGTTCAATGCTTTTAATTTGAAATAGGACTTGGACATTTAATTAAGAACAACCTTAATTAAATGGTTGATTTTCTTATATACTGCCAAATACTGTTTTTTTTTCATTCTATGAAATGAATTGGGCCCTTTGAAAATAAAATGAAATAACAAATGTACCCAATAAATGCAAGTATTCAATAATGTCCAAGGAAAAGAAATAAAAATTCTCAGCAACTCGTGAATAGGAAGGACCAAAATTAGGTTTTAGGCAGTACCCACATACAATGAAAACAACTGGTTGATACAGTTGATTATGGATAAAAACCAAAACATCCCTGAAAAAACATTATTTGGCAGTATATAACAAAATCAACCATTTTAATTTTTACTTCTCAATTAATTCTTATGACATTTGTTTTCATCTTAAATCAGGTTTAGAAATTGTCTTTGTAAGTGGCTTTTTAATTGGCTTTTATGATGTTTTGTACTGTTCAACTTGGAATAGGACAATACTGATGAATATCGTACAACATATGATTATTTTGGAGACCCTCAGCTTTACTAAAGAACAATTCCAGGAGGGTTTGAAAAGGGGAGCAGAAAAATTAATATTGAGTTTATGAAGAAGTAAGTTCTAGGCCAGTATTTCCCAAGTGGCAGTGAAATTCTAGTCTCCAGAAAATCCAGGAAAATGTTTTAAAAGTTACATGGTCAAAAATAAGTTTTGGAAAAGATGCATATTATAAATTCACAATGCACATTAGGTAGCAAAGAGAAGTTTTTCATCTGTTTTTAACAGTGTTCCTCAAATTCATTGAAGACCAAAATAATTTTTTGTTAAATATATCATCAATTAGCATCATGTATAACTAGGAATTTTGAGAAAATAACTCCTGAATATATCAGGAAAAAAATGCAAAGGGAATTAAGTGGTATATTTATTAAACGAATGAATGAACAAATGATTCTACATGCTTATCACTATCCCATAGTTATGAATAAGACAGACACAGTCCCTGACATCATAACATTTTTAATATAAATATATTGCATATTTATATATGTAAAATACATAATGTATATTATATGTACAATTCTATTGTATACAATATAAGTAAAATAAAGGAAAAATGAAGATGCTAGATTTGAATATGGTTAATTCACTTAACATGTTAAAAGTGCTCAATTTTAAATGCTCATTTTTCTATCAGTGCTCTAAAACCAATATCTGAATATCAGATCTAATACCAATAGTTTAGTTTAATTGTAAAATTGTTAATTCTAATGTATTGACTTGACTATATGCAAAATATAAAGCAACAGTGTAGAGGTCAAGAAAGAAATTTCCAGATTTGCCAAGACTCAAGACCCACCGCTTACTAATAGTTTAAACATGAACAACCTCTTTTGCCTCAATTTTCTCATCTGTAAAATAAAGATAATAATGACCTATTTTATGGGTTCTTATGAAGATTAAATTAAATGACATGCCTGACAAATTTAAAAAATAGTAAATAAATGCTGCTAATTATCCTTATTTTCATTAGTATTATTATAATAAATAAGAATATATAAACAAAGCTTGAGACAAGATGAACAATGCCACTGTGCTTGAAGAGGAGGCTTACAGATGATATTTTCTTTCTACTTCCTATGATGGCGCAGTGTTTACACAGCTTTTTTTTTTTTTAAGAACAATAAAATTTAAAACTTTACTAAATGCGGATGGGCTGCTCCGGATGAAATGGGTTTCATCCAGATTGGCTTTGTGCTCAGTTTACAACTCTTCAATTTAAAATACTTGCGCATCCCTGGAGGAACAGACAATTCTGAGAAATCACTTTCTGCAAGATGCTGGGGCAAGAAGCCAGAATCTTTACAATGCCAGGAAATCAACAGAGGCCTGCTCTATTGGCCTGGACAGAGTGACTTGTAGCTTCCTGTCAGTACCCTTGGGAATGACCAGGCTTCCTTGTGAAAGAGAGGACTCTTGCCTGAAGAGATAATTTTTTTTCCACAAAAAAAGAAAAAAAAAAAAACTTCTTCCCATCCCTGTCCCCTAATCTATTTCTTCACCAGCTCCAATGAGGACAGCATATCAAGAGTCCTTATTATCTGAGTGGTCAGTAACTGAGCTCCTGAAGATTCAAAGGTGCCCAGGGAAGCAAAGCTGTGATACCAAAAACATGTACTAGCGACAGACTGTTTGTGATATTGGTCTTCATCCAAACAACCCTCCCCAATTAATGCTAGTGTACATCAAGTCCATCTTTGGCAATCTCTCTCTGATTTATCTGACAATAAAATGCAGATGCAATGTAAATTGATTGATAAGTGAAATTTCAATTTTTTACAAAAGAGTCAGGATTTCTTGAAGCCAGTGGAAGTGATATTGCAGAACAGCTTGAATCACATTAAAAACCAGTGACAAGTGAGGTATTGGCAGTAACAACCAAAGAATAAAAATTGACAAGAATGCTGAGATGCCAATTCCAAAAGGAATTAATCAATTATCAAAGGATTAAGAGTGGCCCTTGGAAAAATTTATGGAGCCCTTAATTAATTTTGTAATTTCCCTTTTTATAATAATGTAATGAGTATCAAATGTGATGTGAAGATTATCACTTTGAGCTATTAATGTTTTTGAGAAAAATATGTATAACCCCTCCAATAGGTAAAATTTAGTCTCTATGATTTTTAAGAATTGGTTCACTATTTGAATTATACCCAGAATATAAAATAGTAATATTTCTATAATTTCTTTACCATTTACCATGGCCTCTCAGGCCCTATGTGCTCTGGCCCTGGAGACAACTGAACTTATCTCCAAAACACTGGCCTCTCTCCTGTTATTATAACAGGTGCACCTGATCCTGCCCTAGGACGTTTGCACCTGGGAACACCACCTGTAATATGCACAAACGTCCTCCCCTGGGGAAAACTAACTCCCTAAGTTAGTTTCTCCTATCATTCTATTCTGCTTTATCTTCTTCATAGGATCTGTCCCTACCATATATTTAATAGCTATTTGTCTATTTGTTGTATACTTTCCCCCCTCCACTAAAATGTAAGCCACGCTTGTGCAACCTGGGGCCCGGGACTGCTCTGAATCCAGCCCAACACAAATTGGTAGACTTTCTTAAAACATTGAGATTTTTTGTGATTTTTTTTAGCTCATTTGCTATCATTAGTGTTCGTGTATTTTATTTGTGGCCCAACACAATTCTTCTTCCAATGTGACCCAGGGAAGCCAAAAGATTGGACACCCCTGGTTAAGCTCTTTGAGTAAAAAGACTTTTGGGCCTCATTCACTAGTATATCCCCATGGTCAACAATAGTGTCTACCAAGGTAGCTATGCAATAAATATTTGCAGAATAAAATTAATGAGTGAATATTTAGTTTCACTTTCAAGATAATACTTCATTCACCCCCTTTTTTTGTTTCTATTATCTAGGAAATGTTAGCTCCTGATTAAGGGACTCATTGTAAGTGAGGTTTTTCCAAGACACTTTACCTTCAGGTAATGCACTCCTATATCAGACATTCCTTCCTTTCCTTTGCAGGGATAACAGATAGATCTCCTGCTGTTGTGCCAACCTGATTGATGATACTGGCTGCACAGAATGTTGTCTATTTCTGAGGTGTGGTCCCAGTCCAGCCAGAAAGGGTACTGGGATTGACTGTTCAGCAATGTTTGCAGTGGAAGCAGAATGTGGGCATGTTGGTGGAATTGCCAACCTAGAACACCCTATTAAAAGAAAAAATTTTCTTGGGAAAAGCACAGTTGGTTGTCAACACCTTGGTTTGAATTAATTTTCAGATAATCAAATACATCCTTGCTACTGATGTGATTCTTTAGAACCTTGGGAGTTATCTAGTTTAATTATTATTTTTTATTTTTATTTTTGAGACAGAGTCTTGCTCTGTCGCCAGGCTGGAGTCCAGTGGCAAGATCTCGGCTCATTGCAACCTCCAACTCCCTGGTTCAAGCGATTCTCCTGCCTCAGCCCACCGAGTATCTGGAATTACAGGCACATGCCAACGTGCTCAGCTAATTTTTGTATTTTTAGTAGAGATGGGGTTTCACCATGTTGGCCAGGATAGTCTCGATCTCCTGAACTTGTGATCCTCCCGCCTCAGCCTCCCAAAGTGTTAGGATTACAGGCGTGAGCCACCACACCCGGCCTACTTATTTTTTTAATACCTAAACTTCCAGGACAATCTCCAACTGTTGCTTGAGACCTTCAGAGGCCAAAAATTCACACTTTGGAAGCTCTTTTATTGGATCCTTCAAATCTTGAAAAAAAAAATCCACATAAACCTTCCCCTATCTCTTGTTACTTTCACCTGTGGCTTGAATGTCCCTCATATCCCAGCCGAAGAGATCCAATTCCTTCAGTAGAATCTCATATGACATCACTTAGAAGACCTTCAGCATCATGTGTAGCCCCGGGTAAAGTGTGATAATGTCCTCTTAAAGGGCAGCCCTACACTGAACATATTACTCCAGGTTGTGGTCTGTTCAGTGAAGAGTAAAACAGAATTTGTGTCTCCGTCTTCTTAACATTATACTTTTCCATGTGGCCCAAGATCATTGTGAATGGTTTGGGCAGTTATGTCATAAGGCAGACCCAGATTATCAGAGTCCGCCGACACCCCAGAGCCATACCTGTGCTTTCCAGAAGGCAAGCAATTGGTTTGTTGAGCCTAAGTGCCAGCTTTATGTATATTCCTTTGAAATTCTATATTGTTTGATCTGACATTTTATACTATTAAATACAACTTTTCAGATCTTTTAGAATACACATTTTAGCCAAAATTATGTCGGCTAGCCCTTACAGTTTCATAGAATCAATGTTATATGAAAATAGTCCTTCAAAAAGTTCAGGTATATAATAAATACACTTTTTTTTTTTTTTTTTTTTTTTTTAGACGGAGTCTCGCTCTGTCGCCCGGGCTGGAGTGCAGTGGCCAGATCTCGGCTCACTGCAAGCTCCACCTCCCAGGTTCACGCCATTCTCCTGCCTCAGCCACCCGAGTAGCTGGGACTACAGGTGCCCGCCACCACTCCCAGCTAATTTTTTGTATTTTTAGTAGATACAGGGTTTCACTGTGTTAGCCAGGATGGTTTCGATCTCCTGACCTCGTGATCTGCCCACCTCGGCCTCCCAAAGCGCTGGAAATACAGGCGTGAGCCACTGCGCCCAGCCAATAAATACACTTTTATTCAATTCATAATTTTTTTTGCTTATATCAATCAGAAAATATCACATAATTATTCACTATATTAAAATTTAGAAAGTTTAAAATTATTTTACTTTAGGGGTGGTAGGTGGGAAAAGAAGCAATGAAAAAGGGGCTTAAACCCAATATCTGAGGTGCTGCTAGGATGAGAGTAAAATTGAGGCTGCAGGGTTACATGTGACATCATGAAGGCACAAAATGCCTCAAGGTGGGAGTGGCATTTCCATCCTCTTTATCATACTCTTTCTCCCAGCAAAGTGGTAATAGTTGAAGCTCTAGTCTAACACAGATAGCAATTTAACAAGTCATGCAGTTGAAAGACAGTCTCACACCTGTGTGGGTGTAAGTCAGGACACATCCTAGGTGTCTGGGCCCCATTCAGCCAAATATTCCTTAATCTTAGAAGGAGAAAGTTTAATTTATCCCCCAAATTTCTCCTGTACCTTCAAAGAGAAGTTTCTAAATTTTTCTTTCTCATTCCATGATTGCATTTAATTACTCTGTTTTTAAATCTTGATAGCATCCTCTTTCTTTACACATTCTATTTGAGCTTTGGCCTAAGTAAATGTGCCTATGTTTTCACTGGTAATCTCCTTACATAAATGCCTTTGTCTGCTTACAATATGATAATCTACATCTCTTTAAAATGCTCAACCTCTGAACATTATTCCTGTTATATATTGTATTAATGACCTTAAGTCATTAATTACCATTTTATTACCATTAACAGCCATTTTATTTTGTTCATGATTGTGAGGGTCAGGAATTCCCAGAGAGTTCAGCTGGACACCTCATCTCTGATCCATGTGGTGACATCTGGGACAGGTGCAACCAGAGGACCACCTTCCAAAAGGGTTTCTTCACTGAAAGAGCCAATCACTCAATGCTCCCTGCAGGGCCTGTCTCTCCACATGGAATCTTATCCTTCAGGGCCTCTCCATGTGCCTTGAACTTCTCACAGCATAGTGATTTTAAGGCAATCTACCTTTTTAAATAGCAGCTGATGCACAAGAGACCAAGGCAGAAGCTGCCATTTTACTTAAAGGCTTGACCTAGAACTGGTGTAACATTACTTCTGCCATACTCCACTGGCCAAAGCAGATAAAAGTCAGCTCATATTCAATGGCAAAATAATAGACCCAACTTCCTGATGAGAAGAATGTCAAAGAATTTGTGACTATTTTTAATCTGCTACAGAAGTCTACAATGATGCATCTAGGAATTGTTATCGTTGGTTTCCTTATCCTTAGGGTCATGATAGCAAAGGGTCATGATAGCAAAGTCATAGTTACACTTTTCATTTCAATGGACAATTAATCTATACATTGTGGTCACCTATATATACCAACATGCATTGCTTAACAATGGGCATATAGTCTGAGAAATACATTGTTAGGCAATTTTGTCATTGTGTGAATTAATATCATAGAGGGTTTTCATACAAACCTAGATGATGTAGTCTACTACATACTAGGCTATGTGATGTAACCTGTTTCTCCTAGGCTACAAACCTGTGCTGCATGAAACTGTTCCAAACACTGTAAGCAACTGGAACACAGTGATGAGTGTTTGTGTATCTAAACACAGAAAAAATACAGTCAAAATACAGAATAAAGACTTTTAAAAATGGCATACCTGTATAGGGCACTAACCATGAATGGAGCTTGCAGAGGTAGAAGTTTCTGAGTTAGTCATGAGTGAATGGTGAGTGAATGTGAATGCCTAGGACATTCCTGTACACTACTGTAGACTTTCTAAACACTGCACACTTAGGCTACACTAAATTTATTAAAAATAGTTTTCTTTCTTTCATAAAAAACTAACCTTAGCATACTGTAACTTTTTAACTTTAAATTTTTTAACCTTTTGACTCTACTGTAATAGTACTTACCTTAAAACACAAATATATTATACAACTGTACACATTTTCCTTTTTATATAGTTATTCCATAAGCTTTTTTCTATTTAAAATTATGGAGTTTTTTGTTTTTAAACAGTTTTGTTAAAAGCTAAGGCACAGACAAAGCAGTAGCCTAGGCCTATGCTGTGTCTGGATCATCAATATCACTGTCTTCCACCTCCACATCTTCTACTACTGGAAATTTTTCAGGTGCAAGAACATGCATGGAGCTGTCATCTCTTATGATAACAATTTCTTCATCTGGAATGCCTCATGAAGGAATTGCCTGAAGCTTTTTTTATGGTTACCTTTTTTTTAATAAGTAGAAGGAGTACGCTCTAAAATAATGATCCAAAGTATAGTAAATACATAAACCAATAACATAGTTATTTGCTATCATTATCAAGTATTATGCACTGTACATAACCATATGTGCTATACTTTTATATGACTAGCAACACAGTAGGCTTGTTTACACCAACATCACCACAAACACATGAGTAATGTGTTGCAAAATGCTGTCACCAGGCAATAGGAATTTTTCAGCTCCATTATAATCTTATGGAACCACCATTATTTACATGGTCTGACATTGACCAAAATATCATTATGTGGCCCATGACTGTACATGTATGGAAGTATGTACAGATGAATGAGTGGATAAAAGAAATAGTTATTAAGAAAAGAGGCAAATTTCTGGTATCCCCAAGAATTTAAGTCTGACTACTTAATTTGGCTAATTCAAGCAACAGTATTCAACAGTGTTATTTCAGTACCCTGGCATGCCATGATTAGCTCAAAGGTGTATTACAACTTACAAGTCATTTGTCAAATATTAGCATTGGTGAATAATTCTATAGCTAAATAATAAAGTAGAGCAGATCCATGTTTTTCTCTACAAGAGCATCACTCTCCTTCACATGCATTCCTAACTGCATTCTTCAGTGGATATTAAGGGGTGGAGTTGTTGCAGCTCTTCCACTGAGAACTGCTCATAACTCTGGTGTACTGATGGAAAACTTTCACACCCAGCCATCATCCGTCTTGTATGACTTGGAGAAGAAAAAAAGAAAAGATTAAAAGCTCATAGCTTAGAGAATATTACCAAAGGAGCCAGTATGAGTTAGCTAGATAAAAGCTGGATAAAATCTAAATATGAAGCAATCTTGAAGTTTGTTTTGCTCAGTAGCAATAGAAAAAAAAATCTTATAGGCTTGTCCTACCTTCTGTCTTCTGCCTTTCTCACTTTCCCCCAGATCTTTCCCTAGTGAGTCCACAAATTTGGGTTAACAAAACTTAGTGAAATATACCAGCTACCAATCATACTGGAAAAATAACTCAAAGTCATACTTTGCTAAGGTTGGGTCCGGAATACTGTTTCCTAATACTGAAAACAGAAGATGTATTTATATTTCCAGAAGCATAATGTCTAACTCCACAACTATTTCTAATGACTAAGCATATATTACTGTAAAATAAAATTTGCCCTTATCACCTTCTTGAGACGATGAGTGGGCTCTGTCTCTCATGGACCTTGTGAGCTGCTTTTCACTTGTAGGTGGTTTACACACATATAGAGAAAGCATCATTCCCTTGGGCCCTGAAGCAGTAGGGGCTGCTGCATTTCTATATTTGGCATCAGTCCTCAGTGCAGGATTCAACTCAGGTCACTGCTGGGCCTGCCGTCACTGGGCTTGACTTTGTACAGAAACCAACTAATGTCTTAATAATCCTCAAGAAATCATTAAAAATCCATGTGTGATGTTGTGACTTTCAATCAAATAGTAAATATCAGGTTCTAGAAGCAGTAGGACATAAATGACTGCAACAAAATTGGTCAGAAATGGTCAGTCTCCTAGGCAAAAATAGAATATTCAGAATCAACCTATAAAGAAATATAAATTATTTTAATATGTGCAAAACCTGTTAGAGATAGTTTTCATCTAATAAATAAAATGCTGAAATCGTAAAAGCCTAGAAAGAAGCATAATATAAGGAGAAATACTCAAGACAGAGAGTTCTGGGCCTAGAAGCTGCCTCAGCTGTACCATTAACACACTTGACCTTACATGGTGAGAGGCTAAACTTCTCTGCACCTCAGTGTCCTAAAATATGAGACAGCTAAACGGGATCTTTAATGACTTGGCCAGCTTTAAAATTCTGTTATTGGTGGCAGGGGTGAGGGGATATAAAAACAAAGTCACATGGCCCATGTTGAAAAGGAAAAAAGGAAGAAAAAAAGGAAGGAAGAGGTGGAGGAAGGGAAGGAAAGGAAAGGAAAGGAAAAGAAAGGAAAAGAGAGGAGACTAAGAAAAACTGCTTATGTATATGGGGAAAAACCTTTGAAGTTAAAACTCTGTCTAGATAATGACTACATCAACATAATAAATGACTCAATGAAAGTGGTAAAGAACTGGCCATTCAATTGATGGCCTTACAGTACTACTAAACATTCATTGGCTCATTATACAGAATGTTGGCCTGTGAGTTCTACCTATGAACTTCTAGGAAGCATCAATAATTCAATCAAAAATCGTATTCTATTTTTGCAAATAACATGGGACTATTTCAGTACTATTTGCTTCAGTTTTCCACTGAGGGACTTGAATTTCTGCAACATTATGGATAAATTGGTTTCTGTGGGTGCCTGACTACGTGTGACTCCATATCCACAAGTTATTTTTATGGGAGGGAGCTGAAGGGACTAACATGGCATCTCTCTTCCATTATAATCACTGAAGGTCTGTAAGTAGAAGTGGAGGGGCAGAAGAGTTTGGAGCCTACCGAGATTAGGGAAAAGGCTCAGAAGAAGAAACTAAACTGAGAGGTATCAAAGACTATGAGGAAAGAAGTGATAGGCAAATTATGTGTGGAGGTTAAAAAGCAATGGGGGTTCAATGGAATCATTGTATAAAAATAATATGTAATAAAATAAAATAAAGAGGCAATGGAGGTATCTGGATATCTGGATTTCCAATCAGACCCTGGGATTCTCCAAACTGCCTGGCTCCTATGTTGTTTCATGTAGTAAGAATCCCCTGGTCTTACCTATTTGTTATCCACCTTCTTCCTACCATCATAAGAAGTAACACTGTGGAAAAGGATTCACTTCACATGGTCCGGGCTTTGGAATGAACACTGTCCACTGACTGACAGCATGTGCTCGTAAGAATGGTGGTGTAGACTGGGGTCTGCCTTGCACCATTCATGAGCAGCCAGGGAGACTTTGTTGTGCTGTATTTTGTCAAAAATTGGGTTGGGAGTTTCATGTTCATATTCCTTAAATTGAAGGAGACCATGTCATGGGCCTTAGGAAGCTGATGCCAGGGCTACATTTTCCAGTCTGTTTATCACATTGTCTGAGCTCTCATCACTCACTCAGCAGCTCCTTTCCTTGGCCTCCAGCCCAGCTAAGTTTTAAATCAAAGTTTTTAGGTTTTTTAAAAAAACTTTTCCAACATACACAAATCTAGAGAATAATATGATAAATCCCCATATGCCTAACACCTAGCTTCAACAATTATCAGCATTTAGCCATTCTTTTGCCAACTGCTGGCTGCCCCAAAATATCATCAAAGCCAACTGATAAGACAAAGCTGAGTTTATTACGATCTGATAAAGGATGATACTGTCTTGCCAGAGTTTTAATACCCTCTTGAAGTGAGGGTGGCAAACTTGGCATATATATGTGGTTTTGGAGTCTGATTCAAGGTGGATCTTTCAATGAAAGGGGAACATGATTAGGATTAAGTAAGGATAAAGATAAAATAATTTATGACCTGTGAACACAACAAGATGAAGATTTTCAAGGTGAGGATTTTGAGGTAAGTGATTCGAAAAGTCTTGGGGTATAAATACTGGCTTGGTGCTATTTGTTGGAGAGTTCAGTGTTCAGTTAAAAGGGTTTTATGGGAAGTTCCTGAAACAAACAATATGCTTATTTACACATATCTTCCTGGGCAAGAGTACTCTGGAATAGTAAAATCAGATTGATGAAGGCAGTGGAATGGTAAAGTCATATTAGTGTAGCAGCTAAATAGTAAAGTTATGTTAATGTATGCATTAAGTTTTTTGGGTGTATGTGGTTTGGGTTCTCAGTGTCATCTAGCCCCCCACTCACATTTATTGTTCTTGTTATTCCCTAAAATAGTTTAATTTATTGTTTATTTTTAAAAGTTGCCAATGGTATCCAGGTTATAAACACACTCTGTAACTAGGTAAAATCTCTAATAACCAGAAACCTCATATACATTCTATTTTGTCTTATATTTTCAGTTGTTCTGTTCTTTGCTTTATCAGGAAAGCCAAGGAAATAACTCTCATGCTAAAAATTCACTGTCGGACGCTCTGGAATAAAAAAAAAAAAAATGCTGAGGACTATTCAGAATCTCAAAGAGCTCTAAACAGAAATCATTGCCTTATTAGGCAAACAGCCAGTCTAAGCCATGATAACAGGAGCAGAGAGTCAGCAAGTTCAAGTTCAATGTGGGCTTTGTGGGGAGCATGCTGAGTAAAGTCAGCTCCTCTTTAGTAAATTAAGCCATTCTTCTGAAGGAAAAAAAAATGCCTTAAAGAATATATATCGTGGCTTTTGACATCCATTCCTTTGGGGTTAGTAAAAATATAAATGTATTCAGGCCACAAACATTAATTAAGCATGCTCTAAATGCAGGGCAAAGAGGGAAAGGTCAATGTTTCTGAGAAAATCCTGTCTTGGTGGAAAAATCACCACTTTTGAAATGATACCTGCATGAGAATCTTGAAGAAATTACTTAGCATCTAATTTCTTAATGTCTTTAAATTTCGAAATTTACTATACACAAACTCGCAGGCCTTTAAAGACAGGAAGAAGAAATGCACATATGGAGCCTGGCATCTAGAATGCATTATTGTTCCAACTGCAATCTCTGCCCTTGAGGAGACTTTGCAAAGTGTCAAAAATAGAAGGGCAGAACAGCAGGTTGTATTGGAGTCCAATCATCTAGGGTCCACAATGCTATGTCTGATGTATTTTGTGCATTGGTGAATATTTCTGAGTGGGATTCTAGAATGATAAGAACCATGCTCCAGGAGTATGACTTTGACTGCCAGTGTCACTTATGGGCTCCCAAAAGGGGTTCTGTGCTGGGCCCCAGGCTTTAAAGGACCATTAGCAAACACATGGTGGCTGTCTTTCAGGACCTGGTCTCAGCACTGGTTGAGTGTGACTCACAACTGTTGTGTCTAACACCGCCTCTGTCTCAGAGAGACATTTATCCTCATTGTTGCCTTATATACTTGAAAAGAAAGGTGACTGTGTCCAAATGCCCTCGTGGTTTGTGTGGCATTGCTCCAGAGAGCTAGGAGAATTTGAATGACAGAACAGCTTAGGTAAGAGAAAAGATAAATTAGTTAACCTGTCAATCCTTCCTCTCAGAGAGCATGAATGCACTAAACTCTTGCATAACGAAGTATTTCCCAGGAGGGCTGAATATCCATTTTGCCTCTCTTCTTTCCTATTCATAGTTCTAGAAGTATTCAAAAATTAGTAATGTATTTGCAGCTGAGGAATATTTTACAATATGAAACAATTCATACAACTCTAAAATGTGTATTAGATTGAACCATTTAAAAGTATCCAGTTTTTTGTACATCAACCTGCATGGTTCAAACACACACACATACACACAATCTTTTATCAAAAGACATAACATGCATGAATCCTGATAACAATCCTTTATATTCCTGTATAGGTCCAAAATTGCTTTAAGAGATAGTAAAATTGAGGATTATGTGTTAGGGATATATATAATTAAGTTAAAGTATTTTGTAATATTTTCTGCAATCATGTTTTACCATATACAATCCTATTACAATATTTGAACATGATATGTAAATTCATGACTTTGATATGGTACATAAAATTCATTATTACTTCCAAATCAAAATATTGCTTTAAGAATTTTTTTGACAATCCCAGTTGCTATTGTTTTAGGAGAATGAGGTTTCTCTAAAATGAAATTAATAAAAAGCTATCTAAAAACTATAATGATTCAAAAAATTGGCATTGCTGGGAATAGACTACAAATCATTTAAAAATCTTGATTGTAACAATACAATTATTTATTTGGTTAAAGTAAAAGCAAGAGATGAAAATCTTATGAGATAAATATAAAATAATTTATATTTTGCTACTAGTACAAACACCACTAGCCCATTCAAAGAACAACCTTATAAATGCAAAAGTAAATTCAGTCATCTTTGATATTTTGCCATATTTCATTCTATTAAAACTATAATTTAAAAGGTAGTCTAGATTTGTCATAATGAAGATATATTTGCCACAGTAGGAGGATAGAACAGATTTTTACTTAACAGTTTGTTAACTCGCTTTATAACATTTAAATATCTGTACTTTCACTCCAGGGCCCTCAGATGCTAGGTGCAGGCCTGTTTCCAGCAATATCTTCATTCATTAACAGCAATTACTCATTGGCACCCATGACATGACAAGTAAATTGGAACTAATAAATATTTAAAGGTGATTAGGCCATAGAAGAGGCTTCTGTAATAGTCTTTAACTCAAAAAGCCAAAGAGGCCAGGCAGGTGTCATAAACAAGTGGAGCCAGTGAGGAGGAAGATATTAGGGAGTGGTGGTGACTATGATGAACAGGGCAGAGTTTGTGTTGCATCAAATAGGGACACCTATTGCTCAGGCTCAGACCATTGTTGCCACACGGGAATGTGGGGCAAGTCTTGCCAAAGCTTATGCTTTAAAAACAAAAAAATCTAGAAATATGGATATTTTTGTATAAAATCTCTCAGTTTGAAATAAAAATGTAAAACTATGTAGAATGAACTAAATGTGTCTGTAGGCTAGATTTAGCCAATAAACTAACACTTTGCCATCTCTACTATGGATTAAGGTAACAAGAATATGAACTAACACTTGCCTTGTACTCTTTTTCCATTTCTCATTTGTTCTCACTGAGTATTTGTTATTGTGTTCTGCTCTTCCCTTTCTCCTTCCTCCTTCCCCTCATCCTCTGCCCTTCTCTGACTCTGTTTCTTCCTCTCTTCTCCTCTTCTCTCTCCTTCCCCAATTTGGCTTTCTCTGTTCATTGTGAAATATGGCAGCCACATACATTGTCATTTCAGTCCCAATTAGAAAGTAACTAGCTAAGGAGAGAGAAGTCTCCATGCACCATGCGTGTGAAAAGGAAGAGGAGTTCCTAGATAACGTGGTTTGAGCATCAAAGGTTTCCCCCACAGGATGGTGGCAAATTGACTGATCTAAGATTAAATTGCCTTAAGGAGGCATATTTGGAAAAAAAAAATCAAAGTAACTTTTTGTACCCAAATGACCAAATATATTCTATTTCTCAAGTTTACTATTTTTTACACAAAGTTGCCAAACTTCTCAACCTCCACATGCTCATATTGGAATAACAAAAGCCAACTTGGGATATTAACAATTATTTTTATTTATATGTGTATGTACTACACAGCATGTAATATAATTGTTGCATACTCTCAGAGCTTATGTTACATATCTGAGAAGACTTATTTTATTTTTATTTTTTGAGACAGGGTCTTGCTCTATCACCCAGGCTGGAATGCAGTGGAGTGGCACTGTCATAGCTCACTGCAGCCTCCTAGGCTCAAGCCTGGGCAAGTGATCCCCTTGTTTCAACCTCGTGAGTAGCTAGCACTATGATTACATGCCACCATGTCCAGCTATTTAATTTTTTTTTTTTTTTGTAGAGGTAGTATCTTGCTGGTCTCAGTCTGGCTTCCATCCTCCCACCTAGGCCTCCCAAAGTGTTGGGATTGCAAGTGTGAGCAACTGCACCCAGACAGAGAAGATTTATTCTGTGTGTTTATGCCTGGCAGAGCTGAGTACATTTAGAGCTAGATTCTGTGTATTAACGCAGCTACTCCCACACAAAGGCAAAGGAATAGAAAGCAACTGGGGCAAGAAGAAAAAGGTGCTAAGAAAATCATCACACAAAACCTAGCAAGAGAATTAGTAAACTAAATACCACTGGTCCTACAGTCTAGCCACAAAAGACTAAATAGGATAGGCAAATTGCATTTTGCTTGATGTTCCAACAATTGACTTTTTCAAATCTATCTCCCCAATTCTTTCTCTGAAATCTTCATTTCCACTGTTTGTAGTAGCTTCATTTCTCTCCCCTAAGCAGCTTTTCATAGATCAGATATTTAAAATGTCAAATAATATTTAAAACAGCAAACATTTAAACATAAAATATACAATCTGTAGAATGACATCAGGAATTACAGTGTCTTGAATCACAATCCCGGAATGACTGGTCCTGCTTTAAGCAAAAAGTATATGGAATCAGAAAGTAGAGGTATCATTGTCTCCCTCATCTTTTCCAGTTAACCATTTTACAGTCTCCCTCATCCCCTTCAGTAAATCAGGAGATTCTACCACATATCTGTCTGGCATAAATCTATCTTGCTATAAATTTACATCATTTATTTTATTCAGCTTTAATTGTAGGTAGAATATGGCTTATCATCATTCTACAACACATTTTTGGTAGGTGAATGCTATGAATTAAATACTCAGTGAATTTTAGAGCTGTAAAGTCCTTAGACAGCAAATCCTCCACATTTTATAGATGAGGAGCCTAAGGTCCAAACGTATCAATTGACTTACCTAGGATCAAAAAGCTAGTAACTGGTGGAGACTGGGCTTAGATTCAGACCTCATTAGCTTTAATACCTTCCTACTATTTCGTACTAATTTTTTTAGCAAGGTGAATAAACCCCTGTGATGCTTAACTTTATGTGTCAACTTGACTGGGCCACTGGATGCCCAGATATTTGGTCACAAATTGTTCTGGATGATTTTACGAAGGTGTTTTTGGATGAGATTAACGTTTATATTGGTAGATTTTAACATTAATTTAGATTAACATTTTAATCAGTAGAGTAAGCAGATTACTATTATATAATGTGGTTGGCCTCATCCAGTTGAAGGCCTGAATACAACAAAAACTCAGATCCTCCCCCAAGTAAGAAAGGTTTTCCCCACAGACTGCCCTCAGACAACTGCAAACATCAGCTCTTTTTGCCTGATGGCCTTCAAATTGGAATATCAGTTCTCTGTGTGTGTCCCATACCAATGGCCCACTCTGCAGATGTTGAACATAACAGCCTTCATAATTGTGTACAGCAATACCTTATCATTAATCTCATTATGTGTGTGTGTGCATGTGTGTTGTTTTTCTGGAGAATCCTGACTAATCTAATCCTCTTCCCCCAAATGTTTCAGAATGGATTAATTTCCCTACACAATACTCAACTTCATGCCTCTTTTATCTTTTTACATTTTCTAAATTTCTCATATTACAAAGTTTCAAATTAGGCAGAAGTATCTTGTGTCAGACTGAACCTTGTATGCTAACTTGGATCGACTTGACTCCCCCTGCTTTCAGGGCAACATCTGCCTTCCGGACCACACAATTACTGCTGCTATCACTAAGGTCTTTGAGATGGAAGGTGTGAGTTAAATTCTTGGGCCTCCATGGCCCTTATGTTCCTCATGCCAGATGACCCCTGTGCCTCAGGATGCAAATGCCTAAGTGGCTTCCTAAGCTGTCAAGGGGTCTGATGGTACAATGCAAAGTGTGGGGGAGTTCGATACCTGCAGAGTGAAGCTTGAGCAGTAGAAAGTAGGGAACAGGAGCAAGCCATGGACACCTCTGCCCTCCTTTCCCATTTCCATGGGCTACATTTAGGTGCATGTCCTCCAAGCCCTACTGGAGAAATCCTTCATGCTAAGTGAACATGCCTGCTGAACGACAAGCCATTTCTTTTCATGGTTCATTGGGACACAGTAGCCAGCATGGAAACATCATATCACATAGCTTCACATCTTTCTATGACTTACTTCCTTCTTCCTTACCCTAGCTACCCCAGGCTTATACCTCCTAAATAAAGTTTCAGCACTTTAATCCTTGCCTTAGTCTCTGCTTTCTAATGGATCAAGAAAAAGATACTTTTCCTAAGTTAGGATTGATGATTGTTCAATAACAGATTGGTTTGGGAGGCAAGGAATGGCTAAATTTATCTAACAATTGGCTATTTTAAAAATCAAAAGAGAAATTGTATATTTTATGATAGCCAGATGACATCATCTGGTATTTTATTGACATCATTTAGTATTTTATTGCTAAGATACTAAGGGAATAGAGCATACTAATTATATAAAATTCCTGACTTGCCTGTAATTGAAATTTTTTACTCCAAAACAAATTGAAAACCTTTTTAATTTATGAGTCCAGGTTTATGAATTTATACGGAGAACACACTGCATATTAACTCTTTAGTATCTAAAAATTTTTCAGTGTTTTGAGCAACATTTCCAATATGAATTATGATAGTGTAATACCAAACACAAAGATGTTATGGGACATTGAGTGGTGATCATTGTGGGAGTGCTTGAGATTCCTTTAACCAAACAAATCTCTGCTCTGCTTCCTCTCTCAAAGTGACAAGTTGAGGATTATAGTCTGATAAGCCCAAGCTAACTAAAGTTTTCCTGTTACGGAGTGAATGAATGTTTATGTTCCTCCAAAATGTATATGTTAAATCCCTAATCACCAATGTGATGGCATTTGGAGGCAGATCCTTTGTAAGTAATTAGGTTTAGATGAAGTCTTGAGGGTGTGTCCTCATGATAAAGGTAGTGGTCCTATAAGAAGAGACCAGAATGCTAGCTCTCTCTTTCCACCATCTGAGGACACAGCAAGAAATCAGTTACTTGCAAGCTGGGAAAAGGGCTTTTACCAGAAATGAATCAACCAGTATCTTTATCTTGGACTTCCCAGCCTCCAGAACTGTGAGAAATAAATGTCTGAGTTTAAGTCACCCAGTGTATGATATTTGTTATAGCAAACCTCACAGGCTAGTATATTAATATTCATAACTTACCTAGATTGAACCTTGATGCTTGTTTCTCATTAAACCAGTCTTTGCAAAACAGTCAGTGGACAGAGTGGGAATGAGAAAGGCAGATGATTGATGAAGAGTTAAGAGTAAAGTTGAAATGCAATAATTCTGTCTGAAATCTTCTCTAAATACAAACCACTAAAGAAATAAACTTTCTTTAAAACTCATAATTGCCGATGTTGACCTTGGCCTCTCCAAATACCTTAGGACGTCAGAGCTGAAGGCTCTGGACTGAATCCCATGGAAACAGCACTTAACAGCTTCATCCAAAGTCACAGGGCATACTCTGGTCAGCAAAAGGAACAAAAATATCATCTGCAGTTTCTTAATTATATTTGCCCCAAGAGTTAATTTAAATTTGTTTAGTTTATTATGCAGAGGGAACAAACATTATCGAAAAATCCCAGCTTTTCATAAAGCCAGGGATCATAGAAGTCAAACCACAGATTCAGCCACTTACATCACCAGCAATAGAGATTCTATAATTAGAGATTAGCCAGCTGCAATCATTTCTGCTGCTTTAGACAGCTGGATCAAGCTGATTTCACTGAGTTGTGTCAAGCTAAAATGTCTCCTTTTTTTCCTGTTTAAAAGAAATCAGCAAAACAGTGTGACTCAGACACCCAGAGAACCTCTTTCTCCCACCCGAACCTCTAACAAAATGTTTTTTGTACCTATACATTTATTTCTAGTCTCATACCTTTCTTGGATAAAAAAAAGAATGCTTCCATTACCATGTCACTGCTGGTGAGATGCCTAGAAAATCTTTTATCTTAACTTCAAATTGATGGCATTAGGAATAGTTTCTCTGAACTAAGTCCTATATTCAATCCCACCTAAAAAGAACCACTCCGTTTATTTTCTCACTCCCAACAGATGGTTGAGAAACCTTAAGATTAACAAGTATGGCAAGAGCAGTAACAATGATGACATAAATACTTTTATTATTAATGGAAAAGTAAGCATTCTGGGCCAGATTTTCTTTCCTCTTAATTGTAGCTCATTGGGAATTCCCATGTAGCCTGAACTCTGTGCCTCAAAATCCTTCCTTCCATTAACAACTGGAGCTGTTGGTACTGTTTTGGCCATTGTTCTCACCATTGTTCTGTCCTTGTTGTGAGATGGGAAGCCAGCTTTACATTTTAAATTGGATGACAAGGCTAAGAAAGTAGCAGTAAATTATTACTCAATACTGTTGTTTTTTTCCAAGATGGCATTAAAACACTAGAAAGCTGACACAATTTGACAATTTCCCTATTTCAAAATTATTAGAACCAAGGTTTATAGGAATATCCAACTCTGCTCTAAGGGAATCCAGGGTATTTGCTAGAAATATATTCTCTCACTTCATATTACACTGTTAACTAATTATTAACCTGCTCTACCAAAAATTGGGCAAAAGGTAGAGAAATACACTTTGACCCCAGAGATATCACGGGAAAAAGAATTATTCTAACCTGATTTATTTAAATAGTTAACACCAAAAATAAACATGTGATCTTTGAGGACCACGCAGTTGACATGGGTTGGCCTATTTTTTTATGATTCCTTCATGCAAGAGCAAACGTTCTAATTTTCTAGTCAGTGTGACTTTATGCTTCCTCTTCCACAAATTAAATATCTCACTTTGGCTGCCAGGATTACATATATTTCCTAATTTATATGACAGTGAATTGAATATTAGAGTTGGAGGCATGTTCATCATCGTATAGATTAGTGCTTCTCAAACTTTGTCAAAGTCAGGAGTTCCTTTAATTAATTTTCTCCATGACGTTTTCATTTTGCAAGACTTTGTCAATCCAACAAGATATCTTTATTAAATAATCTACTTTTAAAATTTTTAATTAATGAAAGACACATCTATTGGCACTCAAGGCAGGAGAAAAAGTCAGCTCTATTTAAATGATGTGGACTAAGAATGGGAGAAGGGGAATTTTCCAAGTTGCTGGGCTGACATATACACATCCACGACAAATCCCAGACTAAATTTCCTCATTTCTTACAAAATCTTTTTTTTTTTGCCCTGCTCTGGCTTTACCCATTATTCCTTCTTTCTTCTCCAAGCATGCTTTCTCTGGCCTTTGCATATGTTTTCCTCCTAGTTGAGAAGAAACGTTCCTCATTCATTGCATACACAAGTTATTCAAGTGCCACTGTGTATGTGTGTGTGTGTGTGTGTGTGTGTGTGTGTGTGATCTCCCATGACTCCCACATCCACCACGACCACCAGTCAGAATTAACTTCTTCCTTATCTTTGCTCCCTCTGTAAGTTGTTTGTACTGTGGTCATGAGATTGTGCTTACACATCTGTTTCCCATACCAGACAGTGTGCTCCTTGAGATCAATTTCTACGTCTTACTTACATTCTATTCCTAGGGCTTTGCACAGTACCTAACACACAATAGGATACTCACTAATATTTTACTTAATGAGTAAATTAATGAATGAGTGAAAGTATAACTATGTAAATCTAGTGCTATTACTCACAAAGATAAATTTTTCACAAGATTCTAAGCCAGCATGGATTTGGCAAGGTGTAAAAGATGAGCAAAGTACCGCAACATGTAAATATCTTCCCTGAAATCAAACAGATATTGGATTTGATGCTTCTGTCGTTTAAGACTGTACTGATATTTGTTTTCCATGCTCTACCCACCATTTTTTCCACTTAACAAAATCTTTTTCTTCTTAGTCAACAATGGTAATAGGTCATATTTTGCTTTTCATGTACATTATTCCATTTGATACTCACACCAACCCTGCAAAGTAGGTATTGTTATTGATTTCACTTTCTAGGTCTAGAAACTAAGGCTCACAGAAGTTAAACTTTGCACAAAGTCACAGAGTTAGTAGATGTAGTATGGAGTCTGACCTCACATCTGCTGTCTCCACAGACCACAACACATACTCCATGCACCAACTCCTTCATTATTATTGCCTTAAGATCATAGGACTGTGTAAGGTGAGAGGACACAGTGTAAGAGCTGGACCATAGTAACTCATATACTCAGATGTTAAATGCATACCACCAGGCTTGATTTTTATAGGATGACTTCCATAAACAAACAAAATGCATAAATAGTATAAATTTAATTATGTGGAGGAAAATACAAATACACACAAATACACACTGAGATTAAAATATACCAAAAGGTTAAATATAGTACAGCAATAGATAATGTTAGTTTTAACTTTCTTCTTACAATTTTATATATTTGCTATGTTTTTGCAATAAATATGTCTATATACTCAGTATAGTATGTTATTTGAATAAAAAATAAGATAGAAAATTAGATAAATGGTTAGCTCTATGTAATAGTTTAGAAGCAAACTCAGTGTCTAAGAATTTAGCACTCAAGCTCGCCTGCTTATGGACTTTCTATTTAGAAATCTAGATAAAGAAAAAGAACTCTTATCTTTGCCTACCACCAACAGATGGTAATACCTTTACTGGTCCCTTCGGACTTGAGAACAAATGGACTTACACACTATCTTCAGGACGAATCTATTTGTAAGTAGAGGAGTCTCCACACATAGTAAAAGAAGTGCTGCAAATATATGGGAAGTTCTTTTTAAAGAGTACTGATTTTTATGAACAAAAATATTAATCACAGCATTAAAAGTAATGGCAAAAACCGAAATTACTGTTGCTCCAACCTAATAGCAAAAATTTGTAATTCACCTAAAAAATAAGGTAATAATGAAATAGAAATCAATATTATGTATACTCCATCTATTATGAATTATTTTATAGCCATCAATTATATTTTCAATGAATTCTAATGACTTTGGGAAATTATCTCGCTCTCACATCATTTTGAAAAGCTAGGATGCAGAATTATATATATATGCAGAACCTCAACTATATAAATGTATATAGAAAAGAAACTCACAGCTAACAGGATTTCTGTATAGGAGAGTTATGGAGTAAATTTTAATTTATATCACTATTTCCTTTACATTCTATGATTTTTTCAATGAGTATTTATTAGAAGGAAAAATAAAAATCTTTCTTTCTCCTTTTCTCTGTCACCCCCAACCCCACATGTAAACATACAGTCCTGAAGAGAGAAATACAAGGTTTGAATCAAAATAGACTTAAAATAGGAATGAACAACATGCTGATAATCAATCAACCCTAGAGTGAGTCAAATTAAATTATTCTGCTATAAACATTCAAAACCTAACCTTGGTATTTACCTGCACAAAGGAGTCAGAGCCCAGAGCTTGGGGCTAGATGGCAGATAAAAATCGTCATCACCCCAGGCCAATAGAATTGCTTACCCATCTCATATATATTCTTGTCTTTTTTTTTTCTCACAAATAACTGCTCTTATTAAGGTGCAGATTTCTCCAAACAGCAATATTTGGAGCTCCTGTACAGAAAGAAAAAAAAAAGACAGTGAAAAATTTATCTTGAAATTCATGGTAAAAGGAGGATTGGAACCGATGAATCACAATTATTTATGGTTCCTACTTTACCAAGCACTTTGTACCTACATTGGCTGACAACAACAATGTGAGATATGTAGGACACACAGTATTTACTTTTACTTCACAAATGCCCTTAGTTTTTCTGAGCACTCACACCGCTTCTAAGTGGCAGGGCCTGACTTGAAATCTAGTGTCTGAATCCAATCCCATTCACCTTTCACTAAAGTTACTCCTCAAAAACAGACTTAGAGCCTCCAACTAGAAATATATTTATCTTATTCATCTTTAAAAAAGACACTGTATCATGTACAACATCTCCAGGAGTCTTAAAAAATTATAACAGTGTTATGGGTTTGCTTCTAATACTGAGCACCAATGTAGAATGTTGATACTATGATGAAGCACAATTTTGGGAAAGCAGATGTATAGGAGAGTGAATGGGCTGCATATCCATTAGGCAATTTTCTTCTTACCGAATGTCTCTGAGTCTTGAGTTACATTAAGCTCAGGAGTCATGCTTCCTGCCTTAAGGAACACTTTAAGTTGTGAATGACAGAGACCCAATTTAAGCTAGCCTGGGCTAAAAGGAATTAATAGGCTTATTATCAAATTACTGAAGGAGAGACATGCAGTTGGGCCACAAAAACAACTAGAACCAAGGCCCTGACCACAGCCAGGAATCTCTCCTTCTCTCTCTGTGTTATTTCTGCTTCTCTTGGAATTTTAGCTTCATTCTCCCAGACTGGCTTCTTGTGCCTTGCTCGAGTCCTCACCACTGGCAACTCTAAAATGACGTCTTCAACTTCCCCTGTGCCCTCTTCCTTTTTGTCTCAATTTGAAAAATCTTCAAGAGGGACTCTGATTGGCTCAGTTTGAGTCAGGGCCACACTGTGGTCAGGGGAAGAGGGCATTATACAATGAAATGCCCACAAGAAAAACTTGGCTGGAGTAAGGAATGTGTATTAGTCAGCTCAGGCTGACATAAAATACCACAGACTGGGTGGTTTGAACAGAAATTTCTCATGTTTTGAAGGCTAGCAGTCCCCAGTTCAGTGTCTGGGGAGGGTTCTCCTCCTGGCCTGCAGATGGTCACTTCCTTGCTGTGTCCTCACGTAGCCTTTCCTTGTTGCCTTTGTGGAGAGAGAGAGAGAGAGAGAGAGAGAGAGAGAAAGAGAGAGTGAGCAAGCTCTCTTGTACCTCTTATTAGAAGGACACTAATCCTATTAGATCAGGAGTGACCTTTATGACCTCAGCTAACCTTAATTACTTCCTTACAGCCCTCATCGCTGAATACAGCTACATTGGAGATTAAGGCTTCAACATATGAATTTGGTGGCTGGGGACATCAACAGTCAGTACATAACAGGGTGGGTCAGTGATTTTCTAAGGAAGACAACTGCTGCTACCAGAAAAGGGAAGCAGGGCTTGAATGACGAAGCAATAAATGGCCTAAGTACTTGCTGTCAAGCCCTGGACTATAGTCACTCAAAATTTCTTGTTAGATGTGGAAATGTAGATGTTAACAACTGACAGAGATGCAGTGGGGCTAATATTCTCTTATGAAAGACATGGAGACTGACAAGAATGCATCACTCTTGCCTCTGAGCTGAAAGAAGACCTTTGCACCAGCAGGTGGCCCCTCAACAGGTTGTTTGGGTTCTTATTTAGTACACACATGAAAAAGTAAGTTGAGCCTCTGCTCCATACCACCAATTAATAGCGAAAATAGTTTTATACTGGAAAACCTGTAAAGCATCAGATGTCCACCAGTGCCATTAAAATTATAACTGTCAGGAAAGCCAGATAATATTTAAACTGTGCACTCTGATCTACCCTCCAAAATCGATCCATTGCAAAATATGATACGACGTAATTGGTTAAGTTAAAACTTGCCGTATACAAGTATTGGTTACAACACAATTAAATGTTAGGGCAAATCTCATTCTTCCGGAATAGTATCTTCGATATTAAAATGTTGTTTGCATGTGTGTGGCAGGGTCTTGCTCTGTCTCCAAGGCTGGAGGGCAGTGGCACAATCATAGCTCACTGTAACCTCAAACTCCTGGGTATAAGAGATCTTCCTGCCCCAGCTCCCAAGTAGCGAGGCCTACAGGCATGGGCCACCACACCCAGCTAATTTTTAATTTTTTTGTGGAGACTGGGTCCCACTCTATTGCCCAGGCTGGTCTCAAACTCCTGGCCTCAAGCAATCCTCCCACCTCAGCCTCCCAAAGCACTGGCATTATAGTATGAGCCACTGTGCCCAGCCTTGATATTGAAATATTTGATCTGAATCTCTTCTTTTTTGGCAGTAATTACAGGCCTGGTTTGGTTATCCATCGAGGGCACTGCTGATTCATGATAATAAAATCATGACATCTCCATATAAAAAATGTTTATTCTTCTACATGCTATTGAAAGGAGGTGCATCTCTATCTCAACCAAAATAGCTTCAAATCAGGGAGCTTTGAATTAAAAGGAAAATGGACAGAACACACTCCTGAGATGAAAATTGCTATGTGATTAATCAAAATAACATAATGATCAACTCTCACACTTGCAATCATTTTAAGTCTGTACATGTATCAGAAACAAAGAGTTTATTTTAAGCTCATCAACTGAGCCCACAACTGATATCTGTGCCTAGAATCAAAGGCTGAGGAAAAGTGGATAAAAGCACTGAGCTTGCTTCAGTTAGTCCTGAAAGCATTCTCCTCCAGGTGATGATGAGTAAAACAGCATTTATTTGCTCTTTAATTTGGCTCCCAGCCCCCAAAACCCAGAGTTGCAATCAGGAAAGAAGCACATATTTTACATGAATAAGGTAAAATAAATGTGTAATAATAAGGTAATAGATATTACTTTTTAAAGAATAAAGGATGTCCTTTCAAGCAATGAAACATTTTTACTTTAAAGCTTGAGTAATATATATGTTCTTTATAAAGAAAAAAAATGCAGGGTTCTCTTGGGTGTGAGTTATACACAAGCTCACTCTGCATCCACATTTTAATACTAAGCTGTGTAGGCTATTACAGCCTTCCTGGACTTAATCCCTCAAAATGTTCATAGTGATGGAAGAAGCACTTCTATCTTGTGTGTTTGTGTGTGTATCTCTGTGTGTGCATGCTCATGTGCACATGTGTGCATGTGAATATTACATAGCACAGCTTACTCCAAATAAATCCTCAAAATATTCCCACTGAATCTCCAGTGTTTCTATTCTTTACTATCCCCCATATGGTTGAAGAATCCAAAAGTCATAACCAATTCTCAAATATTTTCTTTGAAAACCTACATCCTGGAGGTTGGTTCCCCATCCTGTTTTTATCTGACTCTACTATTTCTTGATATTTCAGTATAAATTTCCAATTTAATATCCCGCCACAAGGACATTAACACAATTGCCAATATACGAGCTGAGCTGTCTTGGAAATGCTCGGTTTTCAGGATGCCATTCAGATAATCCAGACAGTGCTTATATTGGAGGTTTGTTTAATTTTATTTTTAAAAAATTTTAATTGAAATCAGTACAAAGTACTCAAAATTCTCACAGAAAATATATGGACTTTATAGATTATGTTTCTGGACATAGTTTGAAAAACACTGAAATAACCACATTCTGGGTCTAGCCAAATGGGATTCTGCCATTACTTTGATAAAGGTGAACTCATTGGAAAGAAATCTTCCTAAGATGTTTCATCTGGACTGTAAGATTTTCTGTTTGTTTGCTCGTTTGGTCAGCTGTGCAACTAAATAGCTGATTAGCATCTTTAGATACTCAGTGTTTGGACTGTTGAGTTTGATTTCTAAAACTAAACAGTCTGAACCCCTCCTGCCAAGAAGCCATCAAGATCTTAGCTTCATACATCTGGTACCTGCTTCTCATAGGCTGCCCTTATGGCCAAGCATTTTATCCAAACTCAGTTATTCCTACATCAATTTATTAAACCTGAGGGTTTTTATAAGGTGATAAGGAATTTATAATAATATTTAAATTTGACTTAAGCAAAAGGTTTGGATAGTCTTTTCATGTTCTCATTTTCCCCTCTAAACTGGCCAAGGTTTATTTTGAAGCAGGCACTTGGATGAGTACCACATTTGCATGACACAATGAAGAAGGACCTATTTTAAGCTCAAATCATTGACAGAAAAGGAAGGGATAAGCTTTCCATCGAGGCATCAGGAGCTAAGTTTTAAACAGGCTTTTGCTAGCAATAGGTCACAAGAGAGTTTTAAAGGTTTGGTTAACCCCACTTCTCTCAGCTCCCTAAGCTCATGGTCTGGGTATGGGTAACGGACTGTGGGCCAGCATGGCTACATATTAAAATGTGTTTATTTTTCCATGGGGTAAAAAATCATACTGAGGATGGTGATTAGGAGAGAGCCTGGAAGCTTCTACAATGTAGTCACCCAGTGAGTGAGTGAAATAATCTGAAATATTTTCCTAAGCCACTATATACACCACCATCATCTCAGTTCATAGGTGCCTTTTGTGAGAAATTTTTTACTTAAAGAATGTTTTATAGCTAATCAATTTTCTTCTTCCCTTTGATTCTGGGTGGGGCCTATCAGACCACTGCTATGCCCCAAATTCAGGTCCCCAGAGACCTGAATAACTCCACTGTAATAAATGCATAATCAATAAATGTTAAATACTCTTATGAAATCATAAGAAAGAAATAGCATAGTAGAAAGATAGGCAATGATATTTCTAAGAGGGGCTCTGCGAAGACAGGATTGACCAAGAGGAGAGGAAAGCTTCCTCTTATTATTTCTAGCACAGGTCCCCCCTGTGGCTACCGCATCTATAATCACACTTCTTGTCAGTCATGACATAAAATTAATTAAGGAAAAATATGTGATTGATTTTTACTAATTAAAGAAGAATAGGAGATTAGAAATAAAGTAACATTAAAACACTGAGAATAAGGGGGAAGGAAAGAGTAAAGTACAAATTGAAATGGGAGAATAAAAATCCCAGTGAAGACAAGAGATTAACAGTTGAAAATAATAAAAGAAAACACATGATGTTTAGAATAAAGTATAAAAGGCCAGTGGTCAATGAGATTAAAAAATAAAATCCTGAAAGCAAAAGAGATAAAGGATGAAAAGCCCATGAAACAAAATTTTAGACAAAAATCCATATAAATGTGAGAGATTAAGGATTAAGAGCAGGAATTAGGACATACAAAGGTAAAAGTAGAAAATATAGTATATGAAAAAGGAGTATTAAGGAAAATTATGTTTAAAGGCCTAAATATGAAAACTTTAGAGAAATCATTGAACAGAAATGTCACAGCATGAGGGTGGACCCCAATGGAGGGTGATATGGCATAGTCAATAGCTCTTGGGCTGAGCGTCTTGCCCTTCATAAGGGGCTTCCTTTCAAGTGGGTGGTCTTTACAGGTGAGGCACCAAGGATATGGAGAACAATCTTATAAACTTAAGTCCCTTCAGTCTCCCTAAAGAATAAAACAGAAAATCCTGAAGTTGACTGGCCTCTCAACACTTACAAGGCAAGCCCCATAGAAAAGTTAGGATTCTTTTTTCCAAAAGTCAAAGGCAGAGGGAGAAGTGATTAAATCCTATAAAATCAGAAGCTGTAGAGAAGGGATGAATATGGATTTATTTTTAAATCCAAATCTTTTTATACCATCCATGAGAAAGAGTCAAATTTAAGATAATTGAGAAGAAGGCATTGTTACATGAAGGTTAACACACATGGAACTCATAGCTCAAAGAATTAGTATAGATAATACTTAAATAGTTGTCAAAAGGATTTGGTATACATGTAAATTTACCAGAATGCAGAGGAAAAGAACTGGAAGACATGACTGGAATCTAATCCCATCTCTGCCACTAGCTGACTGTGTGACCTTAGGTAAAGCATTTTATGTTCTTGCATCTTACATTACTTGTGCATCTGTAAGATAAAAAGTTTGGTTTGATATTCTCTAAAACTAACATTTGAAGTTGATATTAAGAGAAATGAGCTTTCTCATATGCTGAATATTGGGATGAATGGGTCATAGATCTGGGTCTGTAAATAGGAATTGAAATATAATTCTTAGAAGGGCCAGAAGGTTGAGTATATGAGAGAAATGACCAGATATAAGACAACAAGGGTTGATGGGGTTGTAAACAACTGGAAATACATGTCTCCTCTAAACGGCATGGTGCTTCTCAGCTATGCCTGATATTGTTATGTAGAAATGTAGGCAGCCAATTCTTTAGATTTTTTTTGTAAAGAAGCCAGAAATCTTTTACGATGTGATATCTCCTGATTGTTAATATCACTAACTTATTTTAAAAATTGAAAAATCAGTAGGTGAGTCAGCTGAAAAACATCTGCCAGCTCAGTTTGGACTGTGGGTCACTGTCTACAAACTCACTGATCTGTAATGCCCCAATCCTTACATCTGCCTCAAAAGTTCAGATCAGGTCTTTACCTAAGCACTGCTGGCCCAAGGCAGAAGTGAATTTATGGAAACTTTATTTCTCCAGTCACTAGATTTATTCCTGTAAGGTCAGAAGTAATGTTTTCTCTCTCATTTCTTTTTACAGTGATTTGCATATTCTCCTTTTTTCTTGTTCAATCAAGCTAAAAGTTTGTCAATTTTGTTGATCTTTTCAAAGAACCAAATTTTGATTTCATGTATTCTTTCTATTGTTTTTCTCCTCTTTATTTTACTCATTTATGTGCATCTTTATTTTCTACCTGCTTGTTCTTCTTTTTCTAGTTTTTTTTTTTAAGATACAAGGTTAGGTTATTGATTTGAAATCTTTCTTTTTTCATAATATAGGCATTTATAGCTATAAATATCCCTCTAAGAACAGTTTTAATTGTATCTACAAGTTTTACGTGCTGTGTTTTCATTTCCATTCATCTAGGTGTATTTTCTCACTTCTCTTGTGATATTTTTTGACCCATTAGTTATTTAGGAGTGTGTTATTTACTTTTCACATATTTTTGAATTTTCTAAATTTCTCTCTGTTATACATTTCTAATTTCTTTCCATCATGAATATAACACATAATTTGTAAGATTTCAATCCTTAAAAATTTATTTTAGATTTGTTTTATAGTCTAACATATCATCTATCATGAAGAAAGTTATATATGCATTGAGGATAATGTATATCCTGCTATTGTTAGGTGTAGTTGGTTTATAGTGTTTTCAAGTCTTCTGTTTCCTTATTGGTCTTCTGCCTGGTTGTTTCATTTGTTGTTGAAAGTAAAGGTATCAACATCTCCAACTATTATTGTTTAATTATCTATTGCTCTTTTCAACTCTGTCAGTTTTTGCTTTAAATATTTGGGAGCTCTGTTGTTAGGTACTTTTATATTTATAATTGTTACGTCATCTTGACGGTTTGGCCCATTTACCATTTTAAAATGTTCTTCTTTGTCTCTAGTAACAATTTTTGTCTTAAAGTCTATTTTGAACAATATGCAATCACTAGCTTTAGGCATCTTCCTCTACCCTTTCCTCAACTTTTGCTTGAGATTATATAAAAATTATTTATGTTCAATAAGCTCACAGTGTTTCCCATTCCCTGACTCCTGGCAAATTACCACCTTTCCCTTGCTTACTCTTCTGAGAACTAAAAGACTCAAAAGTCAAATGAGGATTATTTTAAGTAATAAAGACAGTTTTAATGGAGGAAGAGGTAATTGATGTGATGGGACACATTATATAGAACTGCGGAGGGGTGAAACGATGAGAAGACCAAGATGGCATTGATAGAGTGATGTGGTTAAAGGGGTTATTTGAGTCTAGGAAAGTGAGACATTCCCAGAACATTCAACATGATAAAGAATAGGAGTGAAAAGACAAGGTATTTTAAGAAATTAGGCTGTGAGGTCTGTGCTTTTTTCCACTTAATTGTTTAGGAGAGATGTATAAATGTTGAAATTCATTTGGGGGCAGTGCTTCTTAAAACAGGATGCCTCTCAGACACTGAACTGTATGTGATATGGCTAACCAAGTATTACATATAATAATTCTCCAAGAGAATTCTGAAAGGAGAAGACAGTAAAGGCAGAGGCCACACTTCTGAAGAGATATTTAATGTTAGAGTAGGGGAAAGCTATAGTTTAAAAAAATTCAGTATTATGCTTAGGTAAATACTTACATCATATGCATTATAAGATAGATCTATATTTAACTTTTTAAGAAATTGTCAAACTGTTTTCCAAAGTGATTATAACAGTTTTCATTCCTACCAGCAATGTATGAAAGTTCCAGTTTCCTTACATCCTCAACAACACTTGTTGTTATAGTCAGTCTTTCTAATTTCAGCCATTCTAGTAACAATATTGTAGTACCTTATTAGGAATTTAATTTGTATTTCCCTAATGCCTGATGATGTTAGACATGCCTTATTTTGCCCATGTTGTCTTTATATCTTCAAAGGTGAAGTGTAAATTCAAATCTTTTGCCTATTTTTAAAAGTTCTGAATGAAATCCTTTATCAAGTATATGTTACATAAATATTTTCTCCTAGTTTGTGGCTTGCCACTTCATTATCTTATCAGCGTTTTGCAAAGAGCAGCAAAGAGCAGAAGGTTTAAATTTTGATGAAGTCCAACTTATCAACTTTTATTAATAGGGGTTCTGGTTTTACAGTTAAGAAATTTTTACTTAAATGTTTTCTTCTATACTCTTTATAGTTTTAGATTTAATGTCTAGGTCTATTATCCATTTTGAGTTAGCATCTGCATATAGTATAAGGTATGGATTGAAGTTTTTTCTTTTTTTTTCTTTTTTTTTGCATATAGCTATCTGCGGGAAAACAGTTCTACATGACTCTCACATTTCTGGATATCTTATCAGAAAAGGCATCTTTGTTCAGAAAGGCATCTATATTTTCAAGGATGTTTGTATAGCCAATAGCCTTGGGAAACAGAGACAGTGTCTCTCTTCATAGCAAAGGGCAGATTTGTTATCTGTCCAAAATAATACAGACAATTTCTTCTTTTTGGGTAAACATCAGGAAGGTTTACTACCTTTTATAGAACATTCAAGGTCCCTAAGTTCAGAGGTCTTCAGTTGTGACACAATCCCAATGTGTCCAAAGCCACATCACATTGCTGGAGAGGCAGGGGAGATGAGAGTAACTGTGTTCTTTTTTCAAACATGTGTCTTTCCTAGACTCAGTAAACCTTTTAATCTGCCCTAAACCCCATCAGTGTATTTTTCATCTCCATTATTGGAGTTTTATCCCTAGAATTTCAAATGTTTAAAAATCTTCCATGCTTCTACCTACTTTTTTGAACATATGAAATATACTTATAGTAAATATTTTACTGTCCTTGTCTATGAATTCTAACATCTGTGTCAGTTTCCATTGATTTTTTTCCTTCATTATGCATTATATTTTATTGCTTATTTTCTGCTTATTTTCATGCATGTTTTTATTATATGCCAGACATTGTAAATTTTACCTTTTTGTGTGCTTGATTTCTTTTACTCCAATAAAAATAAATGCGCTCTGTTCTGAGGTGCAGTTAATTTACTTAGAAACCATTGCAAATTTTGGGTCTTGCTTTTAAAATTTGTTAGGCAGGGATCAGAGAAGTATTTATTTCACAACTAATTGTTCCTTACTACTGAGGCAATATCCTTTTGAGTACTATACTCAATGTCCCATAATTTTTTATTTATATAAACTTATGGGGTACAAGTGCAATTTTGTTACATGTATAGATTGCATAATGGTCACATCCTGGCTTTTAAGGACTCTATTACCTGAATAACATACATTGTACCCATTGAGTAATTTCTTATCCTCCACACCCTCTCACTCCCTCACCCTTCTGAGTCTCCATTTTCTATCATTCCACTTTCTACATACATACATAAACATTTTTTAGTGCTCACTTATGAGTGAGAGCATGTGATAGTTGTCTTTCTCTGTCTGGCTTGTTTCATTTATAATGACCTCCAGTTCCATCCATGTTGCTGTGAAAGATATACCTTTATTCTTTTTTTATGGCTGAATAGTATTTCATTGTGTATATATGTCACGTTTTCTTTATTCAGTCTTCTGTTCAAGGACACTTAGAATGATTCCATATCTTTGCTATTGTGAATAGTGCTGTAATAAATATAAGAGTGCAGGTATCTTTTTGATATATTGATTTGTTTTCCTTTGGATAGACACCAAGTAGTGGAATTGCTGTATCAGATGATAATTCTATTTTTACTACTTTGAGAAATTTCCACACTGTATTCCACAGAAGCTGTGCTAATTTACATTTACACCAACAGTGTGTATAAGAGTTCCCTTTTCTCTGCATCCTTACCATCGGTTCGTTTTTGACTTTTTAAATAATAGTAATTCTGATTAACGTAAGATGATATCTCATTGTGGTTTTAATTTGCATCTCTGATAATTAGTGATGTTGAGTATTATTTCATATATCTCTTGGCCATTTGTATGCTTTCTTTTGAAAAATGTCTGTTCATGTCTTCTGCCCAATTTTAATTTTTTTATTTAGTTTTTTTCTTTCCAACTTTTATTTCAGGTGCATGTTTGTTACATGAATAAGTTGTGTGTCATGGGGGTTTGATGCACAGAGAATTTTTTCACCCAAATAATCAGCATAATATCCCAATGGGCAGTTTTTCAATCTTCATCCTCCTCCCACTCTCCACCCTCAAGTAGGTACTGATGTCTGTTGTTTCATTCTTTGAGTCCATGTGTACTCAATGTTTAGCTCCCACTTGTAGGTGAAAACATGCAGCGTTTGGTTTTCTTTTCCCGCATTAACTCACTTAGGATAATGGACTCCAATGCCATCCATGTTACTACAAAGGATATGATTTTGTTCTTTTTTATGGCTGTGTAGTATTCTGTGGTGTATATGTACCACATTTTATTTATCCAGTCCACTATTGATGGGCATCTAGGTTGACTCCATGTCTTTGCTATTATGAGTCGTGCTGCAATGAACATACGCATGCATATGTCCCTATGGTAGGATGATTTACATTCTTTTGGTTATATACACAATAGGGATTGCCAGATCGAATGGTAGTTCTATTTTAAGTTCTTTGAGAAATCTCCAGACTGCTTTCCACAGCAGCTGAACTAGTTTACATTCCAACCATCAATGCATAAGCATTCCTTCTTCTCTGCAATCTTGCCAGCATCCATTATATTTTTACTTCTTTTTTTTACAATTCTTTTTTTTTTATTATTATACTTTAAGTTCTGGGGTACAAGTACAGAATGTGCAGTTTTGTTACATAGGGATACATGTGCCATGGTGGTTTACTGCACCCATCAACCCATCACCTACATTAGGTATTTCTCCTAATGCTATCCCTCCCCTAGCCCCCACCTCCTGACAGGCCCTGGTGTGTGATGTACCCCTTACTACGTCCATGTGTTCTCATTGTTCAACTCCCGCTTATGAGTGAGAACATGTGGTGTTTGGTTTTCTGTCCTTGTGATAGTTTGCTGAGAATGATGGTTTCCAGCTTCATCCATGTCCCTGCAAAGGACATGAACTCATCTTTTTTATGGCTGCATAGTATTCCATAGTGTATATGTGTCACATTTTCTTTTTTTATTATTTATTATTTTTATTTATTTATTTATATATATTTTTTATTATACTTTAAGTTCTAGGGTACGTGTGCACAACGTGCAGGTTTGTTACATATGTATACATGTGCCATGTTGGTGTGCTGCACCCATTAACTCATCATTTACATTAGGTATATCTCCTAATGCTATCCCTCCCCCTTCCCCCGACCCCACAACAAGCCCCGGTGTGTGATGTTCCCCACCCGTGTCCATGTGTTCTCATTGTTCAATTCCCACCTATGAGTGAGAACATGCGGTGTTTGGTTTTTTGTCCTTGCGATAGTTTGCTGAGAATGATGGTTTCCAGCTTCATCCATGTCCCTGCAAAGGACATGAACTCACCCTTTTTTATGGTTGCATAGTATTCCGTGGTGTATATGTGCCACATTTTCTTAATCCAGTCTATCATTGTTGGACATTTGGGTTGGTTCCAAGTCTTTGCTATTGTGAGTAGTGCCGCAATAAACATACGTGTGCATGTGTCTTTATAGCAGTATGATTTATAATCCTTTGGGTATATACCCAGTAATGGGATGGCTGGGTCAAATGGTATTTCTAGTTCTAGATCCCTGAGGAATCGCCACACTGTTTTCCACAATGGTTGAACTAGTTTACAGTCCCAGCAACAGTGTAAAAGCACTCCTATTTCTCCACATCCTCTCCAGCACCTGTTGTTTCCTGACATTTTAATGATTGCTATTCTAACTGGTGTGAGATGATATCTCATTGTAGTTTTGATTTCCATTTCTCTGATGGCCAGCGATGCTGAGCATTTTTTTCATGTGTATATTGGCTGCATAAATTTCTTCTTTTGAGAAGTGTCTGTTCATATCCTTCGCCCACTTGTTGATGGGGTTGTTTGTTTTTTTCTTGTAAATTTGTTTGAGTTCTTTGTAGATTCTGGATATCAGCCCTTTGTCAGATGAGTATATTGCGAAAATTTTCTCCCGTTCTGTAGGTTGCCTGTTCACTCTGATGGTAGTTTCTTTTGCTGTGCAGAAGCTCTTTAGTTTAATTAGATCCCATTTGTCATTTTGGCTTTTGTTGCCATTACTTCAATTATAGCCATTCTGATTGGTGTGAGATAGTGTCTCATTGTGGTTTTGATTTGCATTTCCCCTAATGATTGGTGATATTGAGCATTTTTTTCATATGCTTGTTGGCCATTTTGTGTCTTCTTTTGAGAAGTGTCTGTTTATGTCTTTTGTCAATTTTTTAATGAGGTTGTTTAGTTTTTGCTTGTTGATTTGCTTAAGTTCCTTGTAGATTCTGGATATTAGATCTTTGTCAGAGATATAACTTGCAAATATTTTCTCCCATTCTGTAGGTTGTCTGTATACTCTGTTGATAATTTCTTTTGGTGGATGGAAGCTCTATAGTTCAGTTAGGTCCCATTTGTCAATTTTTTATTGTTGCAATTGTTTTTGGCATTTTTGTGATGAAGTATTTGCTAGGGTCAATGTCCAGAATGTTATTTCTTAGGTTTTCTTCTAAGGTTTTTATAGTTTTAGATTTTACATTTAAGTCTTTGATACATCTCTAGTTGATTTTTGTATATGGTGAAAGGTAGGGGCTCTGTTTTAATCTTCTGCATATGGCTAGCCAGTTATCCCTGCACCATTTATTGAATAATAAGTCCTTTCCCCATTGCTTGTTAATGCTGACTGTGTCAAAAATCAGAGTTGTAGGTGTGCAGCTTTATTTCTGGGTTCTCTAACTTGTTCCATCGGTCTGTGTGTGTATTTTTGTACCAGTAGCATGCTGTTTTAGTAACTGTAGCCTTGTAGTGTACTTTGAAGTCACTTTGCCCACTTTTTAATGGGATTATATGGTTTTTGTTGTTGTTGATATGTTAGAGCTACTTGTAAATTCTAGATATTAGATGAATAGTTTGCAAACATTTTCTCTCATTCTGCAGGTGTCTCTTCACTCTGTTATTTCTTTTGCTATGCATAAGCTTTTTAGATTAACCAAGTCCTATTTGTCTATTTTTGTCTCTTGCTTGTGCTTTTAAGGTCTTAGTCATAGGTTCTTTTTCTAGATTAATGTTCAGAAGAGTTTTCCCTATGATTTCATCTAGTATTTTTATAGTTTTGGGTCTTACATTTAAGTCTTGAATCATTTTGGGTTTATTTTAGTATGCAGTGAGAGAAAGAGGTCCAGTTTTATTCTTCAGCATATGGCAATTCAATTTTCCCAGCACCATTTGTTTAAATAGGTATTCTTTTCCCCACTGTGTGTTCTTGTTGGCTTTGTTAAAGATCAGTTGGCTATAAATATATGGGTTTATTTCTAGGTTCTCTATTTTGTTCCATTGATCTATGTGCCTATTTTCATACTAGCACCATGCTGTTTTGGTTACTATAGCCTTGTAATATAATTTGAAGTCAGGTAATGTGATGCCTCCAGCTTTGTTCTTCTTGCCTAGCATTGCTTTGGCTATTCAGGCTCTTTCTTTGGTTCTGTATGAATTTTAGGATTGTTTTTTCTAAACCTGTGAAAAATGACATTGGTATTTCAATTGGTATTACTTCGAATCTATAGATTGCTTTGGGCAGTATGGTTATTTTAACAATATTAATTCTGATTTATGAGCATGGGGTGCTTTTCTATTTGTATCATCTATAAATTGTGACTATAACTGACTTTTTCTTTTGTTTGTTTTTGTTGCTTTTATTTATAACTAAATTTTTATTGTGTGAAACCATCACACAATGGTTTCACACTAAATATTCAGGAACATTCTCATTGTTCCAAAAAGAAACCCTGTACCTATTAGTAGTCAATCTCTGTCATTTTCTGGCCCTACTCTGGAAATCGCTAATTCTGTCTCTAGGTATTTGCCTATTCTGGACATTTCATATAAATGGAACCTTACTAAATGTGGCCCTTTGTCTGACTTATTTCACTTATCCTAACATTTTCCAAGGTTCATCCATGTTGTAGCATGTATCAGCACTTTATTCATTTTTATGGTTCAATAATATTTCACTATATGGATATATCACATTTTATTTTTTCACTCATCTACTAATAGATTTTTAGATTATGCCTACTTTTTTGCTATTATTAATAATGTTGCTATGAAATTCACATACAATTTTTGTGTGAAAACGTATGTTTCTATTTGATATTGGAAACATGATATTAAATATCTTCTTATGTGCTTTTTGAACATTTAATTGTATTTGGATAAATATATATTCAAATCCTTTTGCCACTTTAATTTGTCTTTTAATTGCTAAGTTATAAAAGTTTTTTGGATTTTCTGAATACTATACATTTATCAGGTGCATGATTTGCAAATATTTTTCCCATTCTGTGGTTTCTCTTTTTACATTCTGGATGATGTCCTTTGAAGCACAGAAGTAAGTGTGTAATTTGAATTTTTAATTATTTATTTTTATTGCTTGTACTTTTAGTGTCATAGCTAATAAACTACTACTTAATACAAACTCACAAAGATTTACAACTGTGTTTTCTTCCAAGAGTTTTACAGTTTTTGTTTTAACATTTAGGTCTTGAATCCATTTTGAGGTTTTTTTTATAAAATGTGGAGAAAGTACAAGTCCAACTATTTTTTTTCATCTGGATATACAGATACCCCAGTATGATTGTTGGAAAGGCAATTTTTTTCCCTTATTGAATAGCAGTTAACTTAAAGGTGAAGATTTATTTTTTGAACTCTCAATTTTATTTCACTGACCTATATGTCTATTTTTATACTAACGCATAAATACAAAACCAAATACAAAAGCATTTATCAAAAATCTCTGAAAATTTAAGAAACATAGATTGATTACAGAAGGAATTCACAACTTGAAGAAGTGACAACAAAGGGTTGAAGTTCCTTTTTTCATTCTCTCTCTCTTTCATAACATTTACCTTAAGGGTGGGGCCTGATACTTGAGTGGCAAAGTGGCACAAGTGATGAATTCTTATAGAAACTCAGTCTTTGTGGTCAGAGAAATCAGGAAAAGAAGCCCCTCAGGGTAAGTGGATGAATAATTCAAATGAGGAGAGAATCTTAATTAATGTGGCTTTGCACTAAGTTTTGAAATCAAGAAGTATGAGTCCTCCGACGCTGTTATCCTTTTTTCGAGATTTTTTGGTTATTCTGTGTTCTTGGCCTTTCCACACGAATTTTAAGATCAACATGTCAATTTATGCAAAAAAGCCAGCAGGAATTTTGGTATGGATTACGCTGAATCTGCATATCAATATGGAAGTGTTGACATCTTAACAATTGTAAACCTTCCAATCCATGAACATGGAATGTCTATTTATTTATGTCTTCTTTAATTTTTCAATGATATTTTGTAGTTTTCAGTGTAAAAATCTTGCACTTCTTTTGTTAAATTTATTCCCCAGCATTTTATTCATTTAGATGTCATTGATAAAGAAAATTGTTTTGGTTTTTTTTTTAGATAGTTCACTATTAATACATAGATATACAGTTGATTTTGTATATTAATCATTTCCTGCAATCTTTTTGGACTCATTCATTTGTTTTCAAGTGATTTCAAACATATTTTGATTTTTCATTCTTAGTTGAATACATTAAAAGTCTTTTTAAAACTGCAAAGAAATGTTAAATCACTCAGTAATATATTTTAACTAATAATAATTTATGCACATTGTAAACTAAACTAAATAAGTAAATATTAAATCTAATTACAGGCTGGGTGTAGTGGCTCACACCTGTAATCTCAGCAATTTGGGAGGCTGAGGCAGGTGGATCGCCTGAGGTCCAGAGTTCGAGACTAGCCTAGCCAACATGGTGAAACCCCATTTCTACTGAAAGTATGCACGTTAGCTTGGCGTGGTGGCACATGCCTGCATCCCAGCTATTCAGGAGGCTGAGGCAGGAGAATCGCTTCAACCCAGGAGGTGGAGGCTGCAGTAAGCCAAGATCGCGCCATTGCATTCCAGCTTGGGAAACAGAATGAGACTCTGTCTCAAATAATAATAATAAATAAATAAATAAATCTAATTACAAATCCATATTTTGGTGTAAGACAAAAAGATATAAAAATGAAGTTCAGTTAAAATTTTGTAATCCAAACTTAAAGTTGAAACTATAAACTCACAGTTTATAGTCACTCAGAAACAGTTTCCTAGCTCTAATCACTGAAAATACCTGAAAACAATAGCTTATGTAGTCTGTACAAATACCCCTAATACATATATAGTGTTTTTCTAATAATATACTTCTTTAAAGAAACCAGGGTTTCTTGAATCCAAATCAGGAGAGGGAAAATTATAAGATAAGCTTGACACATCTTGGTATATCAGAATAAAAGAAAACTATCAAAAATTACTGGAGTTATGAAAAAAGGACATGAAATCAATTCTGAGTTTAATAAAAATTATTAATATAGAAGTGCTAGTTCCAGCATGGTAGCCTGATCCTACTTCTCACTAATTACACAAAACCTGAACTAAATACAAAAGCATTTATCAAAACATCTCTGAAAATTGAACAAAAGTAGATTAATTACAGAGAGGCAATTCACAACTTGAAAAAGTGACAGCACAGGATTGAAGTTTCTTTTTTCATTCTCTCTCTCTTTCATGACATTTACCTTAAGGGTGGGACCAGATACCTGAGTGGCAAAGTAGCACAAGTGATGTATTCTGTCAGAAACCCAGTCTTTGTGGTTAGATAAATTAGGAAAAGAACCTCCTCAGGGTAGGTGGATGGAGAATTCAAATGGGGAAAGAATCAGAGAAGGGGATCTCCTAATACTATTCATGGACTTATACAAATCTTAAGTTCTTTCTTGAGTTTTGGAACGTGTTGAACAGACTTGAACCAGTTTATCAATGTCTTTGAGAGCTGAGCTAAAATTTGAGCCACTGTTCACAGAAGGCAAGACAGAACTTATGGTCTGAACTTAAGCATGATGACTGCCTGATAAGTGAAAACATCGCTATTCTCCAAAGGATTACAGGACCCAAGGGCTATATAGTATAATATTAATGATGCTCAGTTTTAAATCCAAATTAATGAAAATTCAAAGAACTCGAGAAATGTAACCAATTCTCCGGGGAAAATACCATAAACAGAAGCTGGCTTTGGGATGAAGCACTTGCTAGAATGATCATATAAATACTTTACAGAAGCTAGTATAAATATACTCTATATAATAAAGGAACATATGCTCAAATAAATGAAAAGATAGGATTACTAAGCAAGAAATAAAAGGTGTTTTAAAATAACTAATGAAAATTTTAGAACTAAACAAATAAAATATCTGAAATTTTAAAAATTCACTAGATGAACTCAGTAACAGAATGATCCACACAAGAATGAGTCAGTGAATGTGGTAAGGATGAATCAATAGAAATCAGTACAAGCTATACAATCTGAAGAATAACCTTCCCTAAAAAGAGAAAACCAGAAAGACATAAATTGGGGCAGAAAAAATTCAAAAAATAATAGCTAATAACTTTGCAAATTTGTTTAAAGACATAATTTACAAATCCAACAAAGTCTATGAACCCCAAACGCAATAAACTAAACAAAAACTATGCCTACATACATTACAGGAAGATAATGGAAACCAAAGATAAAGGAAAAAATCCAAAAATATATACAAAATAATACACATTACATAGTGAGAAACAATTATTTCAATGATCATGGATTTCTCATCATAAACTATGGAGGCCAGAAGACAGTGGAACAACGTTTTAAAAGTAGAGAGAAAAAAAAAACTGCCAACAGAGAATCCTACATTCAGCAAAATTTTCTTCAGGGATGAAGGCAAAATAAAAGCTTTCTCACAGGAGGGAATACTAACAACTCAGGTCACAGGCTCTAAAGAAATGCCAAAGCGGGTTCTTCTGGCTAAAGAGAAAAATATCAGGGGAAATTTGAACCTACTGGGATGATGGAGAAGAATGGAAATGATAAATATATAGTTAAATATAAAAGACTATTTTTTCTCTTTCAAGTTTTTAAATATACATGAAGCTTTTGAAAATAAAAATTTTAACTATGTGTGAAAGAGCTTACAGTGCAAGAGGTTGTAATATGTAACACAATAGCATAAAGGTTAGTGGAGGAGGGGAGTTAGTGGGACCTATATACTTCCTAAGTTTCTACATTTTACTTAAGTGGTATGATAACAACTCTAAGCAGGTATTAGCTACTATATTAACTCTGTTAATTACTACTATTAACTACTATATTAACTCCTTGCTAGTATGTTACCTCTATTAACTACTACATTAACTGTAATATGGATATAAGTACTATAATCCCAATGGAAACCACTAGTAAAATACAAATGATAATAGCTGAGAAGCCAATAGATAAAATGGAATATTTAAAATATTCAAATCATTCAAAAGAAGGCAGAAAAGAATACAGAGAGAAACCAAATACTGAAGAGAAAAACAGAAAAAAAATGGTAGACCTATGTCTCTTACAATACTATCAATAATTAATTAAATGTTATTCCAGACAGACAAGCAAGACCTTACTTTACACTGCCATCAAGATGCATTTTTTTAATATAAAGCCACAGATAAGGTAAAAGTAAATGGGTGGGCCAGGCATGGTGGCTCACACCTGTAATCCCAGCACTTTGGAAAGCCGAGACAGGCAGATCACCTGATGTCAGAAGTTCGAGACCAGCCTGGCCAACATGGTGAAACCCCATTCCTACTAAAAGTACAAGAAAAATTAGTCGGGCATTGTGGCAGGTGCCTTAATCCCAGCTACTCAGGAGGCTAAAGCAGGAGAATTGCTTGAACCCGGGAGGTGGAGGTTGCAGTGAGCCGAAATTGCACCACTGCACTTCAGCCTGGGAGATAGAGTGAAACCCATCTCAAAAAAAAAAAAAAAAAAAAAAGAAAAGTAAATGGGTAACAAAATGTACAAACGAAAAATTTATGTAAACAAAATTGTCATTCGAGTAATCATATAAAACACAGTTCACAGTAAAAAATAAAAAAATAAACAATTTTATAATGATAAAAGGAATATTAAGCCATATCAAATATAAATGTAACCTTTAAAAGACTACGAAAAGAAATGAACTATTAACAATTCAAATCCGTTAATACAGAGAAAGCATAATATGTATCATGACCAAGAAGGATTTACACTAGGAATGTGAGATTGATTTATCATACAAAAATAAATTATTGTAATACATCATATTAACAGAATAAAGGGAAAAATCGTATGATGTTTTCAATCAATTCAGAAAAAAATATGTGAAAAAATGTACATCCATTCAAAATTAAAACTTACCAAAAAACTGAATGAAAATAATTGTAAAGCTAGCATTCTGAACTGAGTGAAAATATCTGTTAGAGATGAAAGCAAAACACTTTTTAAAAAAAATTTTATTTATGTTTAACAGCCTTATTAAAGTATAACTGGCTTACAATACTCTGCACATATTTAAAATCTATAATTCATTATTATGTATGTGCATATCCAAAATCCATTATTACAATCAAGACAATAAAAATATCCACCAAACCCAAGAGTTTCCATGGGCCTCTATGAAATCCATGTCTGTCTCTCCACACTCCCTGCTCTTCCCTCATACCCAAGAAATAACAGATCTGCTTTTTGTCAATGTAGTATGTTTTGCATTTTCTAGAATTTTATATAATTGAAATCATTGACTACACATTTTTTACTGACTTCTGTTAAACTTTTTGTTTTTAACTGACACATAATTGTGCATATTTATGTGGTGCAGTGTGATGTTTGATATATGTGTACATTGTATAAAAATCAAATCAAAGTATTTTGTTTATTCACAGCCTCATATATTTATTACTTCTTTGTGGGGAGAACATTCAAAATCCTCTCTTCTAGCAATTTTGAATTGCTAGAAGCAATACAATATGGTTAACCATAGTCACCCTACTGTACAATGGAACACCAGAGATAATTTTTCCTATATAACTGTAACTTTGCACGCATTGACCAATCTTCTAATCTCCCTATCTCCCCACTACCCGTCAGCCTCTGGTAACCACTATTCTACTCTCTACTTCTAGGAGATCAACTTATGAGTGAGATCATGTGGCATTTATCTTTCTATTCCTGGCTTATTTTACTTAACATAATGTCCTCTAGGTTCATCCATGTTGCTATAAATGACAAGATTTCTTCCTTTTTTATGGTGGAATATGTTGTGTGTATATATATACATATATATGTGTGTATATATATGTATACATATATATACGTATATATACACATACATACGTATATATGTATATACATATATACACACATTTTCTTTGTGTATATATATACATATATATGTATATATATATACACCATTTTCTTTGTGTATATATATACATATATGTATATGTATATATATACAACATTTTCTTTATCCATTCATCCATTGATGGACACTTAGGCTGATTTCATATCCTGGGTATTGTGATTAATACTGCAATAAACATGAGAGGGCAGGTATGTATTTGATATAGTGATATTATTTCCTTCGGATATATAGCCAGTAGTGGGATTGCTAGATCACATGGTGGTTCTTTTTTTTTTTTTTTTTTTTTTCACAAACAGGTGAATTTTATTTTATTTATTTTATCATTATACTTTAAGTTCTAGGGTAAATGTGCACAACGTGCAGGTTTGTTACATATGTATACATGTGCCATGCTGGTGTGCTGCACCTGTTGACCCATTATTTACATTAGGTATATCTCCTAATGCTATCCCTCCTCCCTCCCCCCACCCCATGACAGGCACCTTTATGTGATGTTCCCCACCCTGTGTCCAAGTGTTCTCATTGTTCAATACTCACCTATCAGTGAGAACATGTGGTGTTTGGTTTTCTGTCCTTGGGATAGTTTGATCAGAATGATGGTTTCCAGCTTCACCCATGTCCCTACAAAGGACATGAACTCATCCTTTTTTATGGCTGCATAGTATTCCATGGTGTATATGTGCCACATTTTCTTAATCCAGTCTATCATTGATGGACATTTGGGTTGGTTCCAAGTCTTTGCTATTGTGAATAGTGCCACAATAAACATACATGTGCATGTGTCTTTATGGCAGCATGATTTATAATCCTTTGGTTATATACCCAGTAATCGGATGGCTGGGTCAAATGGTATTTCTAGCTCTAGATCCTTGAGGAATTGCTACACTGTCATCCACAATGGTTGAACTAGTTTACAGTCCCACCAACAGTGTAAAAGTGTTCCTATTTCTCCACATCCTCTCCAGCACCTGTTGTTTCCTGACTTTTTAATGATTGCCATTCTAACTGGTGTGAGATGGTATCTCATTGTGGTTTTGATTTGCATTTCTCAGATGGACAGTGATGCTGAGCATTTTTTCATGGGTCTGTTGGCTGCATAAATGTCTTCTTTTGAGAAGTGTCTGTTCATATCCTTTGCCCACTTTTTGACGGGGTTGTTTGATTTTTTCTTGTAAATTTGTTTAAGTTCTTTGTAGATTCTGGTAATTAGCCCTTTGTCAGATGGGTAGATTGCAAAAATTTTCTCCCATTCTGTAGGTTGCCTGTTCACTCTGATGGTACTTTCTTTTGCTCTGCAGAGGCCCTTAGTTTAATTAGATCCCATTTTGTCAATTTTGGCTTTTGTTGCCATTGCTTTTGGTGTTTTAATCATGAAGTCCTTGCCCATGTCTATGTCCTGAATGGTACTGCCTAGGTTTTCTTCTAGGGTTTTTATGGTTTTACATATAACATTTAAGTCTTTAATCCATCTTGAATTAATTTTTCTATAAAGTGTAAGGAAGGGATTCAGTTTCACCTTTCTACATATGGCTAGCCAGTTTTCCCAGCACCATTTATTAAATAGGGAATCCTTTCCCCATTTCTTGTTTTTGTCAGGTTTGTCAAAGATCAGATGGATGTAAATGTGTGGTGTTATTTCTGAGGCCTCTGTTCTGTTCCATTGATCTACATCTCTGTTTTGGTACCAGTACCATGCTGTTTTGGTTACTGTAGCCTTGTAGTATAGTTTGAAGTCAGGTAGCATGATGCCTCCAGCTTTGTTCTTTTGGCTTAGTGTTGTCTTGGCAATGCAGGCTCTTTTTTGGTTCCATATGAATTTTAAAGTAGTTTTTCCCAATTCTGTGTAGAAAGTCACTGGTAGCTTGATGGGGATGGCACTGAATCTATAAATTACCTTGGGCAATATGGCCATTTTTGCGATATTGATTCTTCCTATCCATGAGCATGGAATGTTCTTCCATTTGTTTGTGTCCTCTTTTATTTTGTTGAGCAGTGGTTTGTAGTTTTCCTTGAAGAGTTCCTTCACATCCCTTGTAAACTGGATTCCTAGGTATTTTATTCTCTTTGAAGCAATTGTGAATGGGAGATCACTCATAATTTGGCTCTCTGTTTGTCTGTTATTGGTGTATAGGACTGCTTGTGATTTTTGCACATTGATTTTGTATCCTGAGACTTTGCTGAAGTTGCTTCTCAGCTTAAGGAGATTTTGGGCTGAGACGACGGGGTTTTCTAAATGTACAATCATGTCATCTGCAAACAGGGAAAATTTGACTTCCTCTTTTCCTAATCGAATACACTTTATTTCTTTCTCTTGCCTGATTGCCCTGGCCAGAACTTCCAACACTATGTTGAATAGGAGTGGTGAGAGAGGGCATTCCTGTCTTGTGCCAGTTTTCAAAGGGAATGCTTCCAGTTTTTGCCCATTCAGTATGATATTGGCTGTGGGTTTGTCATAAATAGCTCTTATTATTTTGACATATGTCCCATCAATACCTAGTTTATTGAGAGTTTTTAGCATGAAGGGCTGTTGAATTTTGTCGAAGGCCTTTTCTGCATCTATTGAGATAATCATGTGGTTTTTGTCTTTGGTTCTGTTTATATGATGGATTATGTTTATTGATTTGTGTATATTGAACCAGCCTTGCATCCCAGGGATGAAGCCAACTTGATCGTGGTGGATAAGCTTTTTGATGTGCTGCTGGATTTGGTTTGCCAGTATTTTATTGAGGATTTTTGCATCAATATTCAACAGGGATATTGGTCTAAAATTCTCCTTTTTTTGTTGTGTCTCTGCCAGTCTTTGGTATCAGGATGATGTTGGCCTCATAAAATGAATTAGGGAGGATTCCCTCTTTTTCTATTGATTGGGATTGTTTCAGAAGAAATGGTACCAGCTCCTCTTTGTACCTCTGGTAGAATTTGGCTGTGAATTTGTCTAGTCCTGGACTTTTTTTGGTTCGTAGGCTATTAATTATTGCCTCAATTTCAGAACCTGTTATTGATCTATTCAGGGATTCAACTTCTTTCCAGTTTAGTCTTGGGAGGGTGTATGTGTCCAGGAATTTATCCATTTCTTCTAGATTTTCTAGTTTATCTGCATAGAGGTGTTTATAGTATTCTCTGATGGTAGTTTGTATTTCTGTGGGATCGGTGGTGTTATCCTCTTTTTCATTTTTTATTGCATCTGTTTGATTCTTCTCTCTTTTCTTCTTTATTAGTCTTGCTAGTGGTCTATCAATTTTGTTGATCTTTTCAAAAACCCAGCTCTTGGATTCATTTATTTTTTGAAGGGTTTTTTTGTGTCTCTATCTCCTTCAGTTCTGCTCTGATCTTAGTTATTTCTTGCCTTCTGCTAGCTTTTGAATGTGTTTGCTCTTGCTTCTCTAGTACTTTTAATTGTGATGTTAGGGTGTCAATTTTAAATCTTTCCTGCTTTCTCTTGTGGGCATTTAGTGCTATAAATTTCCCTCTACACACTGCTTTAAATGTGTCCCAGAGATTCTGGTATGTTGTTTCTTTGTTCTCATTGGTTTCAAAGAACATCTTTATTTCTGCCTTCATTTCGTTATGTACCCAGTAGTCATTCAGGAGCAGGTTGTTCATTTTCCATGTAGTTGAATGGTATTGAGTGAGTTTCTTAATCCTGAGTTCTAGTTTGATTGCACTGTGGTCTGAGAGACAGTTTATTATAATTTCTGTTCTTTTACATTTGCTGAAGAGGGCTTTACTTCCAACTATGTGGTCAATTTTGGAATAAGTGTGATGTGGTGCTGAGAAGAATGCATATTCTGTTGATTTGGGGTGGAGAGTTCTGTGGATGTCTATTGGGTCTGCTTGGTCCAGAGCTGAGTTCAATTCCTGGATATCCTTGTTAACTTCCTGTCTCGTTGATCTGTCTAATGTTGACAGTGGGGTGTTAAAGTTTCCCATTATTATTGTGTGGGAGTCTAAATCTCTTTTTAGGTCTCTAAGGACTTGCTTTATGAATCTGGGTGCTCCTATATTGGGTGCATATATATTTAGGATAGTTACCTCTTCTTGTTGAACTGATCCCTTTACCATTATGTAATGGCCTTCTTTGTCTCTTTTGATCTTTGTTGGTTTAAAGTCTGTTTTATCAGAGACTAGGATTGCAACACCTCCTTTTTTTTGTTTTCCATTTGCTTGGTAGATCTTCCTCCATCCCTTTATTTTGAGCCTATGTGTGTCTCTGCATGTGAGATGGGTCTCCTGAATACAGCACACTGATGGTTCTTGACTCTTTATCCCATTTGCCAGTCTGTGTCTTTTAATTGGAGCATTTAGTCCATTTACATTTAAGGTTAATATTGTTATGTGTGAATTTGATCCTGTCATTATGATGTTAGCTGGTTATTTTGCTCAGTAGTTGATGCAGTTTCTGCATAGCGTCGATGGTCTTTACAATTGGACATGTTTTTGCAGTTGCTGGTACTGGTTGTTCCTTTCCATGTTTAGTGCTTCTTCAGGAGCTCTTGTAAGGCAGGCCTGGTGCTGACAAAATCTCTCAGCATTTGTTTGTCTGTAAAGGATTTCACTTCTCCTTCACTTATGAAGCTTAGTTTGGCTGGATATGAAATTCTGGGTTGAAAATTCTTGTCTTTAAGTATGTTGAATATTGGCCTCCACTCTCTTCTGGCTTGTAGAGTTTCTGCCAAGAGATCTGCTGTTTGTCTGATGGGCTTCCCTTTGCAGGTAACCCAACCTTTCTCTCTGCCTGCCCTTAACATTTTTTCCTTAATTTCAACTTTGGTGAATCTAACTATTATGTGTCTTGGAGTTGCTCTTTTCGAGGAGTATCTTTGTGGTGTTCTCTGTATTTCCTGAATTTGAATGTTGGCCTGCCATGCTAGGTTGGGGAAGTTTTTCTGGATAATATCCTGAAGAGTGTTTTCTGGCTTGGTTCCATTCTCCCTGTCACTTTCAGGTACACCAATAAGATGTAGATTTGGTCTTTTCACATAGTCCCATATTTCTTGGAGGCTTTGTTCATTTCTTTTTACTCTTTTTTCTCTAAACTTCTCTTCTCGCTTCATTTCATTCATTTGATATTCAATCACTGATACCCTTTCTTCCACTTGATCAAATCGGCTACTGTAGCTTGTGCACGTATCACGTAGTTCTCGTGGATGGTTTGCAGCTCCATCAGGTCATTTAAGGACTTCTCTACACTCTTTATTCTAGTTAGCCATTCATCTAATCTTTTTTCAAGGATTTTTGCTTCTTTGTGATGGGTTCAAACATCCTCCTTTAGCTCAGAGAAGTTGTTATTACCGATTGTCTGAAGCCTTCTTCTCTCAACTCGTCAAAGTCATTCTCCATCCAGCCTTTTTCCATTGCTGGCGAGGAGCTGCATTCCTTCGGAGGGGAATAGGCACTCTGATATTTAGAATTTTCAGCTTCTCTGCTCTGGTTTCTCCCCATCTTTGTGGTTTTATCTACCTCTGGTCTTTGATGATGGTGATGTACAGATGGGGTTTTGATGTGGATGTCATTTCTGTTTATTAGTTTTCCTTCTAACAATCAGGACCCTCAGCTGCTGGTCTGTTGGAGTTTGCTGGAGGTCCACTCCAGACCCTGTTTGCCTGGGTATCACCAGCAGAGGCTGCAGAACAGCAAATGTTGCTGTCTGATCCTTCCTCTGGAAGCTTCATCTCAGAGGGGCACCCAGCTGTATGAGGTGTCAGTCAGCCCCTACTGGAAGGTGTCTCCCAGTTAGGCTACTCAGGGGTCAGGGACCCACTTGAGGAGGCAGTCTGTCCACTCTCAGATTTCAAACTCCATGCTGGGAGAACCACTACTCTCTTCAAAGCTGTCAGACAGGGACGTTTAAGTCTGCAGAAGTTTCTGCTGCCTTTTGTTCTGCTATGCCCTGCCCCCAGAGGTGGAGTCTGCAGAGGCATGTAGGCCTCCTTGAGCTGCCATGGGCTCTACCCAGTTCGAGCTTCCTGGTGGCTTTGTTTACCTACTCAAGCCTCAGCAATGGCAGATGCCCCTCCCTCAGCCTCGCTACTGCCTTGCAGTTCAATCTCAGACTGCTGTGCTAGCAGTGAGCGAGGCTCCATGGGTGTGGGACCCTCCAAGCCAGGCACAGAATATAATCTCCTGTGTGCCATTTGCTAAGGCCGTTGGAAAAGTGCAGTATTAGGGTGGGAGTGTCCCGATTTTCCAGGTACTGTCTGTCACGGCTTCCCTTTGCTAGGAAAGGGAATTCCCCGACGCTTTGTGCTTCCTGGGTGAGGCAATGCCCCACCCTGCTCCATGAGCTGTGCCCACTGTCAGACAAGCCCCAGTGAGATGAACCCAGTACCTCAGTTGGAAATGCAGATACCTCAGTTGGAAATGCAGAAATCACCCATCTTCTGTGTCACTCAGGCTGGGAGCTGCAGACTGGAGCTCTTCCTATTTGGCCATCTTGGAACCTCCACCAGTAGTTCTATTTTTAATTTTTTGAGGAACTTCCATTCTGTTTTTTATAATGACTGTAGTAATTTTCATTCTCACCAGTAGTGTATAAGAGTTTTCCTTGCTCCACATCTATGTCAGCATTCATTACTTTTTGTCTTTTTGATAGTAGCCATTCTAATTGAGGTGAAATGATATTTCATTGTGGTTTTTATTTGCATTTCCCTGATGGTTAGTGATGCTGAGCATTATTTTCAGAAACCTGTTAGCCACTCACATATTTCCTTTTGAGGAATGTCTATTCAGGTCTTTTGCTCAAGGAAAGAGAACAAGAGTCTCTGCCTGGTAATCCAGATAATTATTCTGGATCTTGTCTAAGGCCATGAAGGTAACACCACTATGAGTCTGCAAGAACTAGTGTTAGTGGGCTTTGTGTGCCCCCCTAAAGCAGATACACCTTACAGCACAATGCCCAAGTCCTTTCAAATACCTGGAAAGCCTTCCCAAGAAAGACAGGTACAAACAAGCCCAGAATGTGAAGACTATAATAAATACATAACTCTTCAATGCCCAGATACGGATGAACATCTGCAAGTATCAAGACAATCCAGGAAAAACATGACCTTACCAAATGAACTAAATAGGGCACCAGGGACAAAGCCTGGAGAAACAGAGCTATGTGACCTTTCAGATATAGAATTCAAAATAGCTATTTTGAGAAAACTCAAAGAAATTGAAGATAACACAGAGAATAAATTCAAAATTCTATCAGATTAATTTAACACAGAGATTCAAATAATTAAAGAGATTCAAGCAGAAATTCTGGAGTTGCAAAATGCAACCGGTATATTAAAGAATGCATCAGAGCCTTTTAACAGCAAGATTGATTAAGCAGAAGAAAGCACTAGTGAGCATAAAGACGGGCTATTTGAAAATACACAGAGGAGACAAAAGGAAAAAGAATAAAAAACAATGAAGCACACCTACAGGATCTAGAAAATAGCTTCAAAGGGGCAAATCTAAGCCTTCTTGGCCTTAAAGAAAAGGTAGAGTAAGAGATGGGGGCAGAAAGTTTATTCAAAGGGATAATAATAGAGAATATCCCAAATCTAGACAAAAATGTCAATATCCAAGTACAAGAAGGTTATAGAACACCAAGCAGATTTAACCCACAGAAGACTACCTCAAGGTGTTTAATAATCAAACCCCCAAAGATCAAGGATAAACAAAGGATCCTGAAGGCAGCAAGAGGAAAGAAACAAATCACATACAATGGAGCACCATTCACATACATCTGGCAGCAGACTCTTCAGTGGAACCCTTACAGGCCAAGAGAAGTTTGCATGCTATGTTTAAAGGGCTGCAGGAAAAAAAACTTTTACACTAGAATAGTATATCTGACAAAAATGTCTTTCAAATATAAAGGAGGAATAAAGACTTTCCCTAACAAACAAAAGCTGATGAATTTCATCAACCCCAGATATGTCCTACAAAAAATGCTAAAGGGAGTACTTCAATTAGAATGAAAAGGATATTAATGAACAATAAGAAATAATCTGAAGGTACAAAACTCAGTGGCAATAGTAAGTACACAGAAAAACACAGAATATTATAACACTGTAACTGTGGTATGTAAACTACTCCCATATTTGCAGAAGCACTAAATGATGAACCAAAGAAATAACTACAACTTTTCAATACATAGGTAGTACAATAAGATATAACTAGAAACAACAAAAAGTTTTAAAATGGAGGGGTGTGGAAACAATGTTAAGGTGTGAAGTTTTTATTAGTTTTCTTTTTGTTTGTTGTTTATGTAAACAGTGTTAAGTTATTATCAGCTTAAAATAATTGTTATAAGATAGTATTTGCAAGCCTCATGGTAACCTCAAACCAAATAACATAGAACTGATATGCAGACACACACACACAAAGCAAGAAACTAAGTTGTATCACCAGACAAAATTACCTTCACTAAAAGGAAGACAGAAAGGAAAGAAAGAAGAGAAAACCACAAAACAACCAGACAACAAATAACAAAATGGCAAGAGTAAGTCCTTACTTACCAACAACATTGAATGTCAATGGACTAAACTCTTCAATCAAAAGACATAGAATGGCTGAATGGATAAAAAAAAAAAAAGACCCAGTAATCTGTTGCCTACAAGAAACACAGGTAAGCTATAAAGACAGATATAGACTAAAAATAAGGGGATGGAAGAATATATCCCATGCCAATGGAAACCAAAAAAGAGCAGGAACAGCTATACTTTTGTCAGACAAAATGGATTTCAAGACAAAAACTAAGAGACAAAGAAGGTCACTATATAATGGTAAAGGGGTCAATTCAGTAAGAGGATAAAATAATTTTAAATATATTTGCACTGAGCACTGGAGCACCTAGAAATATAATACAAATATTATTAGAGTTAAAGTGAGAGATAAACCCCAATATAATAATAACTGGAGACTTCAACACCCTGCTTTCAACACTGAACAGATCTTCCAGACAGAAAATCAACAAAGACACATCAGACTTCAACTACACTATACACCAAATAGACCTAATAGTTATCTACAGAACATTTAATCCAACAGCTGAAGAATACACATACTTTTCCTCTGCACATGGATCATTTTCAAGGAAAGACTATATGTTAGGTCACAAAACAGGTCTTAAAACATTCAAAAAATTGAAATTATATCAAGCATCTTCTCTTACCACAATGGAATAAAACTAGAAATCAATAATGAGAGAAACTTTGGAAACTATAAAAACACATGGAAATTAAACAAGATGCTCCTGAATGACCAGTGGGTCAATAAAGAAATTAGGAAGGAAATTGAAAATTTTCTTGAAACAAATGATTAAGAAAATACAACATGCCAAAATCTACGGGATTCAGCAAAAACAGTACTAAGAGGGACGTTTATAGCTCTAAGTGTCTATATCAAAAAACAAGAAAAACTTCAAATAAACAACCTAATGATGCATTTCAAGGAACTAGAAAAGCAAGAGCAAACCAAACCCAAAATTGGTAGAAGAAAAGAAGTAATAAATACCAGAGCAGAAATAAATGAAATTGAAATGAAGAAAACAATATAAAATTTCAGTGAAACAAAGAGTTGGGTTTTTGAAAAGTTAAACAAAATTAACAAATCTTTAGCCAGACTACCTAAGAGAAAACGAGAGAAGCTCCAAGTAAATACAATGAGAAATGAAAAAGAGACATTACAACTGAGGTGCTGCAGAAATTCAAAGGATCATTAGTGGCTTATATGAGCAACTATATACCAATAAATTAGAAAATCTAGAAGAAATTGATAAATACCTAGACACATACAACCTAGCATGATTGAACCAGGAAGAAATCCAAAATCTGAACAGATTAATAACAAGTAACATGATTTAAGTTGTAATAAAATGTCTCCCCATAAGAAGAACCCAGGACTCAATGACTTCACTGCTGAATCCTAACAAACATTTAAAGAAGAAGGAATACCAGTTGTACTCAAATTATTCTGGAAAATAGTGGAGGAGGGAGTATGTCCAAACTCATCCTACCAGGTCAGTGTTACTCTGATACCAAAACTGGACAAAGACACATCAACAAAGCAAACTACAGCCAATATCTCTGATGAATATTGATTTAAAAATCCTCAACAAAATGCTAGCAAATAGAATTCAACAATACATCAAAAAGATCATTCATCATGACCAAGTGGGATATCTCCCTGGAATGCAAGGAGGATTCAACATATGCAAATTAATCAATGTAATATATCATATCAATAGAATGGAGAAAAAAACCATATGATCATTTCAAATGATGCTGAAAAAGCATTTGATAAAATTCAACATCCCTTCTTGATAAAAACACTGAAAAAACTGGGTATAGAAGGAAAATACATCAACATAATAAAAGCCATGTATGACAGACCCACAACTAATATCATATGGAATGGGAAAAAATTGAAAGCCTTTTATCTAAGATCTGAAACACAACAAGGATGCTTACTTTTACCACTATTATTTAACATAATGCTGGAAGTCCTAGCTAGAGCAATCAGACAAGAGAAAGAAATAAAGTCCATCCAAATTGGAAAGGAAAAAGCAAAATTATCCTTTTTGCAGACAATATTATCTCATATTTGGAAAAACCTAAAGACTTCACCAAAAATTAAATGCCTAGGAATTAATTTAACCAAAGAAGCAAAAGAGCTCTATAATGAAAACTATAAAGCACCGATGAAAGAAATGGAAGGGGACATCAAAAAATGAAAAATATTCTATGTTCAGGATCAGAAGAATCAATATTGTTAAACTGTCCATACTACCAAAAGCAATCTACAGATCCAATGCAATACCTATCAAAATACCAATGACATTCTTCTCAGAAATAGAAAAAACAATCCTAAAATTTATATGAAACCACAAAAGACCCAGAATAGCCAAAGCTATTCTAAGGAAAAAGAACAAAACTGGAGGAATCACATTACCTGACTTAAATTATATTACAGAGCTATAGTAATCAAAACTGCAGAGTACTGCCATAGAAATAGACATGTAGACCAACAGAACAGAATAGAGAACCCAGAAACATAACATAACCCACATAACTACAGCGACTCATTTTTTATAAAGGAGCTAAGATCATACAATGAGGAAAAGGCATTATTCAATAAATGGTGCTGCAAAAACTTGATATCCATATACGGAAGAATGAAACTAGACCCCAATCTCTCATCATATACAAAAAGGAAACAAAATGGATTAAAAATTAAATCTATAAACTCAAGCTATGAAATGACTACATGGAAACATTGGAGAAATTCTTTGGAACATTGGTCTGTGCAAAAATATCTGAGAGTAATACTCCACAAGCACAGGCAACCAAAGCAAACATGTACAAATGGTATCACATCAAGTTAAGAGGCTTCTTCACAGCCATGGATACAATTGACAAAGTGAAGAGACAACTCACAGAATGGGAGAAAATATTTGCTAACTACCCATCTGACAAGGGATTAATAATCAGAATACATAAGGAGTGCAAATAACTCTATAGGAAACATCTAATAATTCAATGAAAAAATGGGCAAAAGATTTGAATAGATGTTTCTCAAAAGAAGATGTACAAATGGTGAACATACAAATGAAAAGGTGCACAACATCATTGATCATCAGAGAATTGCAAATCAAAGCTACAATGAGATATTATCTCACCCCAGTTAAAATGGCTTATGTCCAAAAGAGAGGCAATAACAAATGCTGGTGAGGATGCGAAGAAAAGACAATCCTTACACACTGTTGATGGTAATGTAAATTTGTACAACCACTATGGAGAAGAGTTTAGAGATTCCTCAAAAAAATGAAAAATTGCTCTAACATATGATCCTTTTTTGGGGTATTGAATATACCCAAAAGAAAGGAAATCAGTATGTTGAAGAGATATCTGCACTCCTATGTTTGTTTCAGCACTGTTCACAATAGCCAAAATTTGGAAGCAACCTAAGTGTCCATCAACAGATGGATGGATAAAGAAAATGTACTTATACATAATGGAGAACTATTCAGCCATGAAAAGAATAATATCTTGTCATCTGCAATAACATGGATGGAACTGGGGGTCATTATGTTAAATGAAACAAGCCAGGCACAGAAAGACAAACATTGCATGTTCTCATTTATTTGTGGGATCTAGACATCAAAACAATTAAACTAATGAAGATAGAGTAGAAGAATGGTTACCAGAGGCTTGGAAGGGTATTGTAGCCTGGTAGGGAGGTGGGGATTGTTAATGAGTGTGACTAAAAGAGTTAGTTCTTTGAAAATAATTGGACAAACAGCTAAACTAAGAAAAAACAGAGAAGATTCAAATAAATAAAATCAGAAATAAAAGGAGAGACATTACGACTGATACCACAGAAATAAAAATGATTGTAAGAGACTACTATGAACAATCATATGCTAACATACAATATAGCAAGACTAAGTCATGACGAAATCAAAACATCAGAACAGGAATAGTTAACTCCTATGACTAGTAAGGAGTTATGAATCAGTAACAAAAAACCTACCAAAAAAAATACTCACAACCAGATAACTTCACTGGAAAGATCTACCAAACATTTAAAGAAGAATTAATTCCAATCTTTCTCAAACTCTTCCAAAAAATAGGAGAAGAGAGAACACTTCTAAACCCGTTTTATGAGTCAAACGTTACTCAGATACTGAAGTCAGGAAAAGACACTAAAGAAAAGAAAACTACAGAGCAATGTCTCTGATGAATATTGATGCCAAAATTTCTAACAAATTAAATTCAAGAGGACAATAAATGAATTATACACTATGACCAAATGGCATTTACTTCCAATAAAAGGATAACTCAACATATAAAATTTGAACAATATTATACATCACAGTATCAGAATGAAGGACAAAAACCACATTATCATCTCAACTGATGCAGAAAAATCATCTGACAAAAATCCAACACTCTTTCATGATAAAAACACTCAACAAACTATAAATAGAAGAAAACTACCTCACATAATAAAGGCCATATATGAAAAGTCTGCAACTAACATCATAGTCAATGATGAAAGAAATTGGAAGTCTCATGTAGCATTACTGGGAATGTAAAATGGTACAACCATTATGGAAAACAGTATGTAAGACCCTCAAAAAATTATAAATTGAATTACCATATGATCCAGCAATTGCACTTCTAGGTATATATCCAAAAGAGTTGACAGCAGGATCAGTAAGAGCTATTTGCACACCGATGTTCACTGTAGCATTATTCACAATAGCCATGAGGCAGAAGCAACCAAGATGTTCATATATGGATTAATGATTAAACAAAATGTGGTATATACATACATTAGAATATTATTCAGCCTTAAAAATCCTGTTACATACTATACATGTGCTATATGAATGAAACTTGAGGACATTATACTAAGTGAAATGAGGCAGTCACCAAAAGACAAATACTGTATGATTTCACTTTAATAAATTGTCTAAACTGGTCGATCTCATAGAAACAGAAAGTAAAATGGTGTTTTCCAGGGATTGGAGAGAGGGAGAAATGGGAAGATGTTATCCAATGTGTATAGAGTTTCAGACTTGCAAGATGAAAAAGTTCTAGAGATTTTGTAAAACATGTATATAGTTAATGCAATTGAACTGCACACTTAAACACGATTCAGATGATAAATTTTGTTCTGGGTTTTTAGCACAATTTTTAAAAGGTCTCTATGATGTTACCTTTTTGTACAGAGTGTTGAGTTTTGTTTTGTTTTGTTTTGTCTTTTCTGGCAGGCAGTTAACTTACTAGTGGCTCTAATTGATCCTATTGAAGCTTGGTTTTAGTCCTTTAAGAATATGTCTAGAGCAACATTTGCTCTAGGGCAAGAATAGGCTTACTCCTTAGATAATGGTTTTTGACATCTCAACTAAATACCCAGTGTTCGATGTATTCAGCAAGGTCCCTCTACTCTGACTTATTGGACCTCTACTATCTCTCAGCACTATTCAACCTCTAATATCTCTTTTTTTATTTTTATTTTTTATTTTATTTTATTATTATTATACTTTAAGTTTTAGGGTACATGTGCACAATGTGCAGGTTAGTTTCATATGTATACATGTGCCATGCTGGTGTGCTGCACCCATTAACTCGTCATTTAGCATTAGGTATATCTCCTAAAGCTATCCCTCCCCCTGGCCCCACCCTGCAACAGTCCCCAGAGTGTGATGTTCCCCTTCCTGTGTCCATGTGTTCTCATTGTTCAGTTCCCACCTATGAGTGAGAATATGCGGTGTTTGGTTTTTGTTCTTGCGATAGTTTACTGAGAATGATGATTTCCAGTTTCATCCATGTCCCTACAAAGGACGTGAACTCATCATTTTTTATGGCTGCATAGTATTCCATGGTGTATATGTGCCACATTTTCTTAATCCAGTCTATCATTGTTGGACATTTGGGTTGGTTCCAAGTCTTTGCTATTGTGAATAGTGCCACAATAAACATACCTGTGCATGTGTCTTTATAGCAGCATGATTTATAGTCCTTTGGGTATATACCCAGTAATGGGATGGCTGGGTCAAATGGTATTTCTATTTCTAGATCCCTGAGGAATCACCACACTGACTTCCACAAGGGTTGAACTAGTTTACAGTCCCACCAACACTGTAAAAGTGTTCCTGTTTCTCCACATCCTCTCCAGCACCTGTTGTTTCCTGACTTTTTAATGATTGCCATTCTAACTGGTGTGAGATGGTATCTCATTGTGGTTTTGATTTGCATTTCTCTGATGGCCAGTGATGGTGAGCATTTTTTCGTGTCTTTTTTGGCTGCATAAATGTCTTCTTTTGAGAAGTGTCTGTTCATATCCTTCGCCCACTTTTTGATGCGGTTGTTTGTTTTTTTCTTGTAAATTTGTTTGAGTTCATTGTAGATTCTGGATATTAGCCCTTTGTCAGATGAGTAGGTTGCGAAAATTTTCTCCCATTTTGTAGGTTGCCTGTTCACTCTGATGGTAGTTTCTTTTACTGTGCAGAAGCTCTTTAGTTTAATTAGATCCCATTTGTCAATTTTGGCTTTTGTTGCCATTGCTTTTGGTGTTTTAGACATGAAGTCCTTGCCCATGCCTATGTCCTGAATGGTAATGCCTAGGTTTTCTTCTAGGGTTTTTATGGTTTTAGGTCGAACGTTTAAGTCTTTAATCCATCTTGAATTAATTTTTCTATAAGGTGTAAGGAAGGGATCCAGTTTCAGCTTTCTACCTATGGCAAGCCAGTTTTCCCAGCACCATTTATTAACTAGGGAATCCTTTCCCCATTGCTTGTTTCTCTCAGGTTTGTCAAAGATCAGATAGTTGTAGATATGCGGTGTTATTTCTGAGGGCTCTGTTCTGTTCCATTGATCTATATATCTGTTTTGGTACCAGTACCATGCTGTTTTGGTTACTGTAGCCTTGTAGTATAGTTTGAAATCAGGTAGCATGATGCCTCCAGCTTTGTTCTTTTGGCTTAGGATTGACTTGGTGGTGTGGGCTCTTTTTTGGTTCCATATGAACTTTAAAGTAGTTTTTTCCAATTCTGTGTAGAAAGTCATTGGTAGCTTGATGGGGATGGCATTGAATCTATAAATTACCTTGGGCAGTATGGCCATTTTCACAATATTGATTCTTCCTACCCATGAGCATGGAATGTTCTTCCATTTCTTTGTATCCTCTTTTATTTCATTGAGCAGTGGTTTGTAGTTCTCCTTGAAGAGGTCCTTCACATCCCTTGTAAGTTGGATTCCTAGGTATTTTATTCTCTTTGAAGCAATTGTGAATGGGAGTTCACTCATGATTTGGCTCTCTGTTTGTCTGTTATTGGTGTATAAGAATGCTTGTGATTTTTGTACATTGATTTTGTATCCTGAGACTTTGCTGAAGTTGCTTATCAGCTTAAGGAGATTTTGGGCTGAGACATTGGGGCTTTCTAGATATACAATCATGTCGTCTGCAAACAGGGACAATTTGACTTCCTCTTTTCCTAATTGAATACCCTTTATTTCCTTCTCCTGCCTAATTGCCCTGGCCAGAACTTCCAACACTATGTTGAATAGGAGTGGTGAGAGAGGGCATCCCTGTCTTGTGCCAGTTTTCAAAGGGAATGCTTCCAGTTTTTGCCCATTCAGTATGATATTGGCTGTGGGTTTGTCATACATAGCTCTTATTATTCTGAGATACGTTCCATCAATACCTAATTTATTGAGAGTTTTTAGCATGAAGCATTGTTGAATTTTGTCAAAGGCCTTTTCTGCGTCTATTGAGATAATCATGTGGTTTTTGTCTTTTGTTCTGTTTATATGCTGGATTACATTTATTGATTTGTGTATATTGAACCAGCCTTGCATCACAGGGATGAAGCCCACTTGATCATGGTGGATAAGCCTTTTGATGTGCTGCTGGATTTGGTTTGCCAGTATTTTACTGAGTATTTTTGCATCAGTGTTCATCAAGGATATTGGTCTAAAATTCTCTTTTTTGGTTTTGTCTCTGCCTAGCTTTGGTATCAGGATGATGCTGGCCTCATAAAATGAGTTAGGGAGGATTCCCTCTTTTTCTATTGATTGGAATAGTTTCAGAAGGAATGGTACCAGCTCCTCCTTGTACCTCTGGTAGAATTCGGCTGTGAATCCATCTGGTCCTGGACTCTTTTTGGTTGGTAAGTTATTGATTATTGCCACAATTTCAGATCCTGTGATTCAGATCCTGTGATTCAGATCCTGTGTATTCAGAGAGTCAACTTCTTCCTGGTTTAGTCTTGGGAGGGTGTATGTGTCCAGGAATTTATCCATTTCTTCTAGATTTTCTAGTTTATTTGTGTAGAGGTGTTTGTAGTATTCTCTGATGGTAGTTTGTATTTCTGTGGGATTGGTGGTGATATCCCCTTTATCATTTTTTATTGCATCTATTTGATTCTTCTCTCTTTTCTTCTTTATTAGTCTTGCTAGTGGTCTATCAATTTTGTTGATCCTTTCATAAAACCAGCTCCTGGATTCATTAATTTTTTGAAGGGTTTTTTGTGTCTCTATTTCCTTCAGTTCTGCTCTGATCTTAGTTATTTCTTGCCTTCTGCTAGCTTTTGAATGTGTTTGCTCTTGCTTTTCTGTGTCTTTTAATTGTGATGTTAGGGTGTCAATTTTAAATCTTTCCTGCTTTCTCTTGTGGGCATTTAGTGCTATAAATTTCCCTCTACACACTGCTTTGAATGTGTCCCAGAGATTCTGGTGTGTTGTGTCTTTGTTTTCGTTGGTTTCAAAGAACATCTTTATTTCTGCCTTCATTTCATTATGTACCCAGTAGTCATTCAGGAGCAGGTTGTTCATTTTCCACGTAGTTGAGTGGTTTTGAGTGAGTTTCTTAATCCTGAGTTCTAGTTTGATTGCACTGTGGTCTGAGAGACAGTTTGTTATAATTTCTGATCTTTTACATTTGCTGAAGAGAGCTTTACTTCCAACTATGTGGTCAATTTTGGAATAGGTGTGGTGTGGTGCTGAAAAAAATGTATATTCTGTTGATTTGGGTTGGAGAGTTCTGTAGATATCTATTAGGTCCGCTTGGTGCAGAGCTGGGTTCAATTCCTGGGTATCCTTGTTAACTTTCTGTCTCGTTGATCTGTCTAATGTTGACAGTGGGGTGTTAAAGTCTCCCATTATTATTGTGTGGCAGTCTAAGTCTCTTTCTAGGTCACTCAGGACTTGCTTTATGAATCTGGGTGCTCCTGTATTGGGTGCATATATACTTAGGATAGTTAGCTCTTCTTGTTGAATTGATCCCTTTACCATTATGTAATGGCCTTCTTTGTCTCTTTTGATGTTTGTTGGTTTAAAGTCTGTTTTATCAGAGACTGGGATTGCAACCCCTGCCTTTTTTTGTTTTCCATTTGCTTGGTAGATTTTCCTCCATCCTTTTATTTTGAGCCTATGTGTGTCTCTGCACGTGAGATGGGTTTCCTGAATACAGCACACTGATGGGTCTTGACTCTTTATCCAATTTGCCAGTCTGTGTCTTTTAATTGGAGCATTTAGTCCATTTACATTTAAAGTTAATATTGTTATGTGTGAATTTGATCCTGTCATTATGATGTTAGCTGGCTATTTTGCTCGTTAGTTGATGCCGTTTCTTCCTAGCCTCGATGGTCTTTACAATTTGGCATGATTTTGCAGTGGCTGCCACCGGTTGTTCCTTTCCATGTTTAGTGCTTCCTTCGGGAGCTCTTTTAGGGCAGGCCTGGTGGTGACAAAATCTCTCAGCATTTGCTTGTCTGTAAAGTATTTTATTTCTCCTTCACTTATGAAGCTTAGTTTGGCTGGATATGAAATTCTGGTTTGAAAATTCCTTTCTTTAAGAATGTTGAATATTGGCCCCCACTCTCTTCTGGCTTGTAGAGTTTCTGCCGAGAGATCCGCTGTTAGTCTGATGGGCTTCCCTTTGTGGGTAACCCGACCTTCATCTCTGGCCTCCCTTAACATTTTTTCCTTCATTTCAACTTTTGTGAATCTGACAATTATGTGTCTTGAGTTGCTCTTTTTGAGGAGTATCTTTGTGGCGTTCTGTATTTCCTGCATCTGAACGTTGGCCTGCCTTGCTAGATTGGGGAAGTTCTCCTGGATAATATCCTGCAGAGTGTTTTCCAACTTGGTTCCATTCTCCCCATCACTTTCAGGTACACCAATCAGACGTAGATTTGGTCTTTTCACATAGTCTCATATTTCTTGGAGGCTTTGTTCGTTTCTTTTTATTCTGTTTTCTCTAAACTTCCCTTCTCGCTTCATTTCATTCACTTCATCTTCCATCACTGATACCCTTTCTTCCAGTTGATCGCATCAGCTCCTGAGGCTTCTGCATTCTTCACGTAGTTCTCGAGCCTTGGCTTTCAGCTCCATCAGCTCCTTTACGTACTTCTCTGTATTAGTTATTCTAGTTATACATTCGTCAAAATCATTTTCAAAGTTTTCAACTTCTTTGCCTTTGGTTTGAATTTCCTCCTGTAGCTCAGAGTAGTTTGATCGTCTGAAGCCTTCTTCTCTCAACTCGTCAAAGTCATTCTCTGTCCAGCTGTGTTCCGTTGCTGGTGAGGAGCTGCGTTCCTTTGGAGGAGGAGAGGTGCTCTGCTTTTTAGAGTTTCCAGTTTTTCTGCTGTGTTTTTTCCCCATCTTTGCGGTTTTATCTACTTTTGGTCTTTGATGATGGTGATGTACAGATGGGTTTTTGGGGTGGATGTCCTTTCTGTTTGTTAGTTTTCCTTCTAACAGACAGGACCCTCAGCTGCAGGTCTGTTGGAGTTTGCTAGAGGTCCACTCCAGACCTTGTTTGCCTGGGTACCAGCAGCGGTGGCTGCAGAACAGTGGATTTTTGTGAACCGCAAATGCTGCTGTCTGATCGTTCCTCTGGAATTTTTGTCTCAGAGGAGTACCCGGCCGTGTGAGGTGTCAGTCTGCCCCTACTGGGGGGTGCCTCCCAGTTAGGCTGCTCGGGGGTCAGGGGTCAGGGACCCACTTGAGGAGGCAGTCTGCCCTTTCTCAGATCTCCAGCTGCGTGCTGGGAGAATCACTGCTCTCTTCAAAGCTCAGATGGAAATGCAGCCTCTAATATCTCTATTTGGCTCACAACCCTCAAGTAGTTCTCTTCAGGGTTTCAGCAAATCTTGCCCTATAAATGCCTAATATTAAGCCAGTGGCTTAAGGTGACCTTAGAAAAGATTTCTGAAGCTTCATCTCTAAACAGCTACCTCCTCTCTACTAACCTGCTTCATAAATCCCAGCCACAATGCTAATAATGTCTACCTTAGACACCATCAATTTCTCTTTGGGTTCTATTTCACTGCGTTCCTAATCAAAAAGCCAGGGTAAATGTGTTGCTTACCTCCAGTAGTTCTTTCTTTTCCAGGATAGCAGTGTTGTGGAGTCTGTTGTTAGATGTCTAAAAAGAGTTGCTGCTTATGTATTTTTTGAGTGTTATATTTGTTTATGGCTGAAGGGTAAATCTAATAGTTATAACCCTGTCATTATTCAGATGAAGAATTTGTCATTTTAAGTTTCTCTTTTTTATATTCACCACCTACCATTCTACAGTATTTTTTGATTCTTTGTGGGATTTTTCTCTGTCTCTACAATAACTTAACTTCCATGAGAAGTGATTCTGTCAGTCTTACTCAATTCAGATCTCTAGTGCTCAGAAGAGTGCTTGGTACTCATGAATAAACAACAAATATTTAATAAAATTAAATGAAATGAATGAGTAAATTATTGAATAATTATGCACAGATGAAATTTGCTTCAGAACATATTAAAAATTTTACACTAGCAATATAAAAGAATAGGTGAATAGATGTTGAAAAAATTTGTGCAAAACCTATGATATTGAAGAAGAAAATAAGGGGCAGACAAAGAAGTGAAGGAATAAAAAATGAAGAAGAAATAAGAAGACAGTAAAAGAGGAAAATGGAAAAGAAGAAAGTTTGTAGAATTGTGGAGAAAAAAAGACAAAAAGACAAGAGAAGAAATGAGGATATTTTTGTAAAAAGGAAAGGAAGAAAAAGAAAAGAGGCAAGTATTATTTTAATTCTCTAACACAGCAAACATACTGTGCCCTGACTTTGTATTTTAAGGCAAAATTCTAGGGCTGCAATGGTGAAAATAGTTGGGTTATTCTTTCTAAACACCTTTATCCCCAAACATATTTGCCCTGATGTGTAAGAAATACACACAAAAATATAATCCAACTTAGATTATGAGTGCCATAGGAAAGTGCTGTGAGAAGAGTGATATCAAAACCTTATATGGGGATCTAGCTAGGTAGGCATCTTAGAGAAAGTGACTAAGTTTGAAGGATGAATAGAAATTAAACAGATGTTATGGGAGGAAACAATTTGACAAAAGGTTTGGAATAAGGAAAAGAAAGAGCATGGAACAGAAATTGTAAAAGTTTCTGATTGGCTTTCCTAATAATGTCTGAATGACGCTGTTGGGAATGTGTATTGGGAATGCAAGTTTAAGTCTCACATGGAGAGTCTCGAATATTGTGCTAGGAGTTTGAACTTTTAAGTGCTCTTTAGCTTTTGGAAACCTCTGAGAGTTTTTCAATAAGAAAGTAATAAGCTCAGATCAGTGATTTTAGAACATAAAATGTAATTTTAAAAAGCAGAGAAATAAATAGAAAAGAGAGAGAAGGCAACTTTGAGCAAAACTTTTTTCTTAAAAAAAGCGTTTTTGGCACTTAGTTCTAGAAATGATAGAAAAACAGATGGAAAAGATGTTGGTACTGGAAATTATTTTATCAGTCTGTTTTTATCCTGCTTGCTAAGAAAGGGCATGACTTTTTTATTATGCATCTAAGGATCTCTTTTACTTTGAGCCATTTTCACTTGGACACATTATAGTTGAGTGCTGATATTACTGATGTGCTTCCTCCCCTAAATCCCCTTGCCCAACAGGGGTTAAGTCTTGTAGGCCTAAGTGTCTGAAAACTCTGCTCCTCTAACGTGAAAAATCAAACAAAAACAAATGAAACACCACCAGTTATCAGGAATCAGCGTTTCTCTGCAACAAAAGAAAATAGAGGATCATGTTCACCCACTCTGCTTTATTTATGGGAATTAAATTGGGTTTGGTGTACAGAATATCTCTATCTCAATAAAATTCAAGTGCTGCGCAGAAGATAAACGGAATATACTTTTAAATGAAATTGCTTTTCGTTTTGGCAGCAGGGTATTTGGTCATTCAGGAACTTTTGCACCTCTCACTTTTCACAGAAGGTCTTTTAGAGATGTATTTCAGCTAAGGAGCTCACCTCTATGAAAGGAGGACTGGGCCCCTAGGGTTAGCTCTTAAAGATTACTTCTAAGTCATTTCAAGCATTCTGAATATTTTTCAGTTATGTTCATTCAGACTGATTTGATATCCATGGGCAATATTATTTTGAGGTAACACTTCATAAGTATTAAAAAAAATTACTGTCCCCCCCATTTGAACTATTTAAAAAGAGAGTTAATGGAATGTAGAGTTACTTAATTTATGATAAAATTCATACCCTCCCATGTCTGAATATTTTCTAGATGTCTTAATATATTTATTTCTCCCTGTACTAAGTCCCTGAGCAACCTTCTATTAGAGTTACTTAATTACTAACTCATAAAGGCATCCATATAATTTCTTATTTCTATCTACCTTCAATATAAATTTCCACACAGATAGATAGATAGATAGATATCTATATTTAGATAGACAGATGTCTTAGCTATATGCTAGGAGCTATTTACCTAAGTACCTAGCACATAGCTAGGACATCTGTCTATATCTATTTATGTATCTATCATCTGTCTATCTATTGTTATTCATATTTATATTTATATCTACAAATGTAAGTAGACAATGATAGACAGATATAAGTAAATAACGTGCCTAGATATAAGTAAAAAGAGTGCCTACCTCTTTACTAGCCAAGCATGCAATAAGAGAGTGTTAATATTAATGATAATGAACACTTTACATTGGTACATCTAAGACTTAAGTATCTGGAGTTTCCTCTACTATATTTGACTTGTCTCTTTTTGCCACTGTCTTTACCATTCAGATCTTAGTCATAAATCATTGCAGTCATTTCTCCTTATGGATAAGTTATCTTTAATGTATTCTCTAATAGGTGAAGCATTTATTTTTTATTTATCATATTGATCAGTTCTCTAACTTGTGGATTTCTTCATTTCACCATGTGAGTAGATTATATAATTTAAAGTCTCCTTAGGAAAAAATATGACTAAATAAATATATTTAAAAACTTAATGGTTGAGCCATTTAATATTCAAATCAAGTTTACTATGTGACAAGTCCTATTAACTGGGCACACATTGTCTGTAAGGACAGCCAAGAAAAAAAAGAGAGTTACTGAAAAATGATTGATTTCATGATTGTACACATAACTCTAAGTGTTATTTATTAGGTAAACTGTTAATCTCCAGAAAGGCAGTTGCTAGGATTCTTGCATTCCACTATCCCTTTAGAGTAAGAGTGAGCAAACCATTATAAAACTCTTATTTTTGTAGAGTGGTTTTTACATTTTTAAATAGTTGAAAAACTCAACAGAAGAATAATATTTGAAGGCATAGAAAATTATATGAAAACCAAATTTCAGTGTCCATAAATAAAGTTTTATTTGAGAGCAGCTACACTTTATATATTGCCTATGACTGCTTTCTTACTACAGTGGTCAAGGTGGGTAGTTGTGACAGACCCTATAGCTCATAAATCTTGAAATATTTAATATTGGCCCTTCATAGAAAAAATTTGCCAATCCTCTGTTATAATAAGAGCCATCGTTCGTGGAATTATTTTTACTGCTGTTTTAAACAGTATTAGTTGGAACTCTCTTGTCTGTAAGTGACAGAAACTCAACTCAAATATATATAAATATAGCTTAAACAAAAGACGATTTATTGGTTCGTGTAGCTTAAAAGTAAATCTGGTAGCAAGCATGATCAGATTCAAGGATAGGCTCTTGACCCAATCAGAACCAAAGTGATCTTTTCCCTATCTGATAGGCAAATCCTAAGAGAAAGACGCTGACTAGACCCTTGTGTTGGTGATGTTAATCCAGCATGTCTCAGTCCTGGAGTTACCCCAAGTGGTGGCAAAGATGGCCTCTGGCCACTTTAAGTTACCAGTGGAAAGAGCCCACCTCTTTTCAAGTTGTTGCATTAAATGTCTCAAGGCTAACCCTTACTTTTCTAGATTGAGTGAGGTTCCAGTTACCACCAAGCATAATACCTGGACTGCATGTTGTGGGGGATGTTTGTGCAAAGGAAAATTAGGAAGAAGGAGAAATGACTGTCAAGCTGGCAAATCCAGCAGATGGCCACTCTAGTAAGAAAACAAGGTATTAGTTCTTCGCTTTCAATAGGTAAGAATACCTAATATGAAAAAGTTAAATGATTTATTTAAAATTACCTAGATGGAGAACACAAGCTGTGTAATTCTACCACACCATGATGACTTTCTAAACAGTAGTTATTGAGGTCCCCAAGTGTATATTTATCAGCCTGATGGACTGTTTCTGAATGTTCCACAAATTAGCTTTCTCTGATGTCGTGTAAATACTCTTGTTAACTACACTGCCCAATACTCAAATCCGTCTTTGTCAAAATAACTTCAGACATTTACCAAGGCCCAAGGAAGAGAAACTTAGATAATAGATTAGTTTTGTGCAGAGGAAGGGAGCAAGGAAGTGGAGCAAAGTTTTTGAGCAGAAAGTGTCACCCAGTGAGAGAGCCACCATGTCCATAGGACCCGTGTGTGTGTGTGTGTGTGTATGAGAGAGACAGAGAGACAGAGGGGGAAAGAGAGAGAGAGAAAGGGAGGAAGGAAGGAAGGAAGGAAGGAAGGAAGGAAGGAAGGAAGGAAGGAAGAGGAGAGGAGGAGAGGAGATGCTTGGCTTTTGAGAGGTAGGGGTAAATGTACACTAGAAGGGGGCTTGAGAAGAGCTGCTGGAAGACAATTTCTGCCTATTTCACAATTTTGCCCCATCAGGATCCTGGAACACTTCCCGGGTGTAGACTGGTCTTTATCCAGAGTATAAACTGGGAGTAGAATCAATATGCTAGGCATTTCCATTTGCATTAGGCAAACAATAAGATGATTTCTTAATAGATTTCTGAGGATAATGAAAGTGCACAGCTCAGCAAAGATGACTCACTTGGTGAGTTGGTTGTTTAATGCTGTCTCTTTATAAGTCATCACTCAAATCAAATTTCAGGTTATGCCAGTGTTTGGGGCCTCATCTCAGCTCAACTCAGGAAGAATTGTTGGTTCAACCCACTGGCCACTTGCCAAGTTTATCCTTTACCTTGGGAGAAGGTACTTGTCATCTATATGCATAGAACACGACAATCTTGGGAGCTAACGCCAAAAGAAATAAAAAATTGTCATCTCTGTGGTTTTATATTCAGTTTCTAGATAAGCAAAATGCCTTAGAGCCTTCACTGTGATTTCAATCCAATTCCCAAACATTTAAAACAGCAGAGATATAATAAAGCAGACATTTAGCTAAACAGTGAGCTCAATTATGCTTTGCACAGACAACACGAACTAAATGTTAAATAAATGCCAATATTTATCAATATTTATCAGTGTTTTCCATTTCCAGACTCCAGAATTTCAACTTCCCATAAATTCCTTAGGAGTAAAAGTATAACCATAATCAGAGCTTCTATTAATATTAATTTAGTTCTTGTGTATTTGAACTTTGACATTTCTTGAAAGAATATAATTCTTTTAAATCTGAGAAAAACCTTCAGGATCTATTAGACAAAGGTAAGTCTGGCACATTAAAATTGTAAACAGAGGTAAATCATGCTACAGTTCTATATCAAATTCTTTAGCCATTCGCAGCCTCTTGTGTTAGTAGCTCCAGATTGATGGAGGAATTAGACTCTTTGAGAAAAGGAAATGTAATCAACATAGATTACTGTAATATGTTGGGGGGAAAATGATGTGTTTTTTTCTCTTTACTCTTTGCGTGTTATTTCCTCTCAAACTTAATAGTGGTGCACCCCCAGGCAGGTTAAAGAAAATGATTTCTTTGTCAATTGTCAGCTGTGATGAAACCAGCAAGGGGTTGGCAAAATAAGAGGGAATGTGAGCTCAAGACTTAATTAAGATGGAGGCTGAGCAGAGGCTGCTGAGAGGAGGAGAAAGAGGGCCTCCAGGATTCATTTTGCCATTCAGGAGCAATGTCATAAGAAAGAAGAGTTTGCACTGGGTACTGAGGAGCATTTGGGGATTCAAAATATGTGTGCGCAATAAGGATCAATTGTCCTTGCCTGCTTATCTCTTCTTCCATTAGCAGAAAACATGCCCTCCTCCTCTTCTCTCTGTCCATGTGGATTACATAGAGTTGACCTCACCTCATTGTGTCACTCCTCATCAATCATAGTAGTCATATGGCCCTCCAGACCATTAACATAATCTATTCCCTTAGCTTCAGTGAATCATCAGGGAAAGGTGTCAACCCAAGTCATTCCAATGGGAGCTCTAGTGCTTCTTTGGATTTATTGAAAAAGATCTTGGGAAAGATCCAATAGAGTTTTTCCTATTTTCCCTCAGATTGCTGGTAGGTTGGAAGTTGGGTGCAATAAACTTTCTCATTTTCATGAAAGAGCCTACCTCAGAAGGAGACTAATATGGGAAAGCTAGACTTGAGTGACAGGCATCCACACGCATTCAAAGATACTAGCATTCTTTGCATTTCTGAACCAAACAATGCCTGGTTTTCCTTGACCATCCAGTTATATAAGCCAATAAATCTTCTTACATTTTAATCTAGTCTGAGCTGAGTTTTTGTTGATTTTTCTAATACTTGCAAGTGACCTGACTTACACAAGTTCTCTATTTTCATTTTCATCATAGGTTACAATAGAAAGTGTACAAAGAAAAAAGAAATATGAAAAAGATAAGGAAAGAATCTATATTTATATTTTGTGTCAAGTACCAGATACCCTTGAAATAATCTCCTGTTTGGGAAACCAAAAGAATAGATATTTTTTATAGCAAGATGTTTTTCTCTCCCTTGAAGCTATTGGGGGAGGATTATCATCTCAAGAGAATTTTCCCTTGCACACTTTATTACTCATCCCATCATCTAGTGCATTCTCGGTTTGAATTCTGATACTTTAAGATGCCCACTCCAATTTATGTTATGACAATCTAATCTTCAAAATATACTGTAAGTTCTGAACGACACCTGAGTTAAAACTGATTCATAGCTATAGAAAAGCTTATGAATAATCACTGTTACAGTACACCTCTAATCACTGTTACAGTATGCCTCTAGTTCTTATTTTTTAAAGCCTCTCACTCATAACTATTCTTACAGAAATAACTATTACAAATTTCCTCATATGTATGAACACAGCAAAGAAGTTCTGTTATCACACAATGTAGGTAATGAAGACTTACATATTGATGTATTCTTAAGCCTTCTACCTGGATATAGTATTTCTGTTGTTATCATTATTATTTTGAAAAGGAAAAAGATGAAAATGGATAAAATAATTGACCGGTTTTGAACAAAAGCCAACATTTCCTTGGAATCTGGTTCTTTTCCAAGAGCTATGAGTCACGAACAAATGAGATTATGAATCACTATCCCCAACACAGAACACATTTATAATAAGGTTATCTTTAGTTGCATTTTTTATATTAAAAATATTTTCTCAGAACAATTCAAAACTCTAACATAACCTATCTAATACTCTGGAGGATTTATTTTATCAGCTTGGAAGAATAAAAGGCTAGTTAATAATGAGAATCTAAAGACACAGGTTTATCTTCTGGCTCTGAATAAATTGATGAATGTCTCTGGATGTATTTCCTCTGTGAATGTGATGCAGGACCAAATTGTACTTTGCACTTTGATTGTGTCCATGACAAAATGATATAGCTAATGAATATGGCTTACCTGATTTTGTGGTTAAGGTAATGGTATTTAAGTACTACTTTTTGAAGAGCTGGATAGACAAGACAGTAACATATCTGTGAAAGCCAGACTATGTCTCCGTAACACTAAGCATCTTATTTAAAAATGAAAAAAAAACTGTTAATCCAGTTGTTTTCTAAACAATTCCCCTTCAATGAAGTGATTTAAAATTTCCCGCAATGCAGTGAATTTAACTGTAATAACAATATTAAAGAGATTTTTCTCTGGTGAGGGTGATCCTCCTCAATATCAACCTCAATATCTGCTCAGGCATGGAATCACAACCCCAGGGCTTTTCAGCCTCCTGCTGACTTTATTGAATGATAGACAAGTTTTGCATACCCCTTATCTTCTGTTAATCTTGATGTCTCAGATGCTGTAGCCAGCCTCCTCCCCTATGCTTTCTTTGTCCATCATGTGAATTCCTTCTCTTTGGCATTCTTTACCTCCCTGGTGGTCTTTCTTGCTCTTGCTCTCATCTGTGGCTTCTCAACTTTGCTTTTGGACATGCCCAAATTCCTTTGCTGAGCAAATGCTCTTATAATGGGAAGAGCACAGGATTTGTGTCCATGTGCTAGACTTTTATCTTGGCTTGTACTCTGCTCCCTGTTGGCTTTGTGACATCAAGCAAGGCATTTTGCTCATTGAACTGTAGTTTTCTCACATAGAAAATGGGGATAACAATGCTATTTGCCTTATAGAAAAGTTGGAGATGTTCAGTATAGTAAAAATATGTTATATTATAACAATGACTGGTTGACAAATGCAGAAGTCCAGTCCGTTATGCCCCACAATAGGTTGATCCTGCTATCCTGCAATGATTTAACACTTTGCTATTTATTAAATGTTCTGGAGCCATTTTCATTTCGGGTAGGAGCAGGTGGGGAGACTGTACCTTGGTTGCTTAGTATATTTACATTCCAGAAATATTGAGGGCTTTTCAGGAGCACTGCCTAGTTTGAGGGAGCATGTCTTTTCCTACGTGGATCTCCCAGTCAGATTTATCAGTTAGGTCCTATGGTCATAGTTACTAAATGTTTTGAGTGCAACTCCACATGTCAATAAAAGTACACCCTCTGCCTCCCTGATCTCATGACTAAATTTCCATCCTGTTTTCATAGCCGAATTGTGACATTTGTTTGAAGAACCTTTCTTGGTAGCCCCATCCCCTTAATTCTTTGGTTTTCAAAATGGCTGCATACCAAAAATTACCATGAATTTGAATTCCCTGTATCTCCTCCCCAACCAACAGAATCAGAATCTATCAAAGTGGGACTATTGTGTGTAATCATGCTCTTTTAGTTCATGATTACTTCAGGACTTACTTCTCTTCAGGTCAAATATCCATTTACTCTCTTATTATCACTCAATCAGACAGGCATGCTGAGTTTATGAAACAATCTAGGGCATTGCTTTGGTTTTATTATTATCTCTATTGTGCAGGTGTGGAAATGGAGACTCAGAGATGTTAAGTGAATTGCCTAAGATCAGATAAAGAGCAAGGGATAACGGTGGACTCAAACCCAGGTCGTCTAGTGCCAAACCCCTGCTCTTTCACTATGCCACAGAAGACTCCTCCTCCTCCACTCATGGCATTTTATCTTTCTAACATGGTTGACAAGTCCACAATCACTGTGCCCAGTTCAATGGGGGATTTTTATCCTCACCCCTCATCCTCTCTCTTCACCAACCATGGATTACCAAGCATGTCTCAAGACCATCAAAGAAAAATGCCAGACCACTCTGAAGCAGGCCAAGGAAAAGAGATACATTACACAACACACCTTTCCTTCACCTTGTGTGATCAAAATTGCTTTTTCACTGAACATTTTCATACCAATTGGTCTAATAAATTGAAAGAATAGTATATTGTCTCATTTTGCCTTCTTTATTATATTAACTTTAATGACTTCATATTTGTTTTTAATTAAAATTGTGTTGATATTAATTTTATGAAATTACTTAAGATGCTCCATAACCTTTGCTTGTGGTGATCTCATAATACTTCTAGTGCTAACAAACATGTTTCTTTTCAGATTCCGAGTTACATAATCATCTAGTAACCCATAAACTCAAATTAGTTAAATAAAAATAATAATAAGTTAGTTGGCATAACTTTACATACGGATTTGTAATTTATTTTTACCTAAAACCTCTTTCCCCTTTAGAAGTATTAAGAAGTCAACAATAGTCAATGAGTATAATAATAAACGCTTAGGTGAATTAGCAGGGTGTAAAGGCTCTTTTGAAGATTACTAATAATTACAAAAGATACAATAGGTGAGTAGTGGTCGGAAAAATCAATTCTTTGATGATATAATTTCTCAGACATGAAAAATTCTCTGAACAATCTATATTCCCAAGTAAACTGCAGTAAGTACCACTTAGGGGACTAGGATTGATATTGTAAAATCTATCATATTCTTAGTGCAAAGCTAGTCAGATAAATTTTTCAGTAAATGCTTTTTGGTTAGTAGGAATATTTGTTATTCTATAGATAAAAGAACTGGTTAACTGAACTTTTAATTCTTCAGCTGAGTAGTACATAAGTAGGACTCAAGCAATGAGAAAACCAAAAAATTGCCTGCTATCCACTGTCTGTTCAACCTTTCTCTTCCTATTCATTCAGTGAAATCTAGGGTAGTTCCCATGACTTTCCTGGTGAGTATCAGAGAACAAATCACTCTTTGGCCTAATACTACTCACTTCAGCCATTAAAATGCCGGTTGTAGTAAAAGTAAAAACTCAAAACTCCATTCAAATGTAGAGCTCTTCCCCTCCCACAGCTTGGGGCTGTTGCAGACACGAAGCCTTCAATGGAAAGGAGAGAGTGAGTTTCTTCTCTATTTTCCAGCATGGTGTTTCTACTCCTCCCTCCACTCCTGCAAGACTGCTTTTGACAATTCTGGGACTCAAGCAGGAGGAAGGAGGAGAAGTCCAGCAACTGATGCCATTACCCTGTTTATAACCCCTAACACTCAGTATAGGGTACCCATAGTTTCCATCTGCAAGTGCCATGACACTTCACCTGAGAGCTTTCTTTGGCTTATAGAGCCCATTCCTTCTACATTCACAGCAGGCCAAAACTGCTGAGCAAATAATGCTCCTTGGAGCAGCCCTCAACAGACGGCTGACAAGAATTGATGAAGACCCAGTTCCCTCAGTTGGAGTAACCCCAAAGTACATTCTTTACTGTGTCCCAGAGCTGAGGATTGAGCTCCACTTCCTATAGCTGTAACTTACTCAATTTCTTATGTGTTACCGGATTCCTTCTCTTCCCTGTCTCACTAACATTCCCCTGTCTATGCTTCTTGGGATCACCTCCCAAATAAACTATTTGTACTCGTATCTGTTTTAGTACCTGCTCCTGTGGAAACACCTAAACTAAAAGAAGAAGAAAAGGGAAGCCAATATCTTATTTGTAAAATAAATACATAGTATTAGTTTCCTGTGGCTACAGCAGACAGTTAACTTTCTGTGATCTTGCTGAATTCTTAAAAGAATTCTCTTCCTTGAGGCATATATACAGATTCTTCAGGATCTCCATTTCTGGAACCAAAAAACACTCCCGATGATCCTACCAGGCAGGGAGACATCCACCTAGGTGCATCTCAGAGAAGCACAGGGACTAGACTGGTTTGACCCAGGAAGTCAAGCAGCAGCTCTCCTCACCAAAAAAAGAAAAGAAAAGAAATGAAAAAGCCTCCCAACAACCCCAATCAGGCAGAGAAACTAGTATCTCTTGAAATAGGCTGGTATAAGCATAATATGTTTTATGTGAGGATCTTGGTAACCACAAAGGAAAATTCTTTAGTAGAATTACAAAACAAAAATAGAATGGATTTAAAGTGTACTGGTATAGTAAACCATAAAACCACAAAGTAACGGCAACAGAGGAAGAAACAAAATATGTACAAAACAAGAACAAAACTAGTGAAATGGTAGTAGTAAGTACTTCTTTATCAATAATTACTTTAAACATAAATTGATTAAAATCTCCAATAAAAAGACATAGACTGACTGAATAAATAAAACAAAAACAAGACCCAACTATATGTACTGGCCTACAAGTCACTCACCTCACTTTGAAGGACACACACACAGACTAAAAGTGAAAGATGGAGAAAAATATTCCACACAAATAGAAACAATGTAGCAGAGGTAGCTGTATTTATATCAGACACAATAGACTTTAAGTCAAAAATTGTAAAAAAGAAAAAAAGAAAGACATTATATAATAATAAAGGTGTCAATTCATCAACAGAATATAACAATTGTAAGTATATATGCACCCAACATTGGAGCACCTAAATATATAAAACAAATATTTAAGAACCCAAAAAGAGAGAGAGAGATTGCAATACAATAGCACTAGGGGACTTCAATACCCAACTTCCAACCATGGACAGATACTACAGAGAGAACATTAATAAGGAAACACCAGAATTGAACAACACTTTAGACCAAATGGAACTTAAAGACAGGTATAGAACATTCCATCCAACAGCAACAGAATATATATTCTTCTCAAGGGCACATGAAGATGCTACAGGATAGATTACATGTTAGGGCACCAAAAAAAACTTTGGTGAATTTAAGAAGATTAAAATTATATCCAGTATTTTGTCCAACCAAAATGGTATGAAACTAGAAATCAATACCAGGAGAAATTTCAAAAAATGTAAAAATATATGGAAATTAAACAACATGGTCCTGAAAAATCAATGGGTCAAGGAAGAAATTAAACTGGAAATTCAAAAATACCTTGAGATGAATGAAAATAGAAACACAATATGCCAAAACTTATAAAGCAAAAGCAGTTCTAAGAGGAAAGTATATAGCAATAAATACCTACATCAAAAAGTAGAAATATTTTAAATAAAAAGCCTAACAATGTAACACAAGAAACTTAAAAGGCAAGAACAAACCAAGCCCAAAATTAGTAGAAGGAAAAACTAATAAAAGTCTGAGTAGAACTAAACAAAACAAAATAGAAACTTTTTAAAAAATGCTAAGGGTCCACAAAATGAAAAGTTGACTTTTTAAAAAGAGACAAAATTGATAAACCAAAGCTATACTAACTAAGAAAAGAAGGGTAAAGATGCAAAAATAAAATAAAATCAGAAATAAGAAGGGAGACATTGCAACTGATAACATTGGAATACAAAATCATTAGAGACTATCGTGAATAATTATACACTAATGAATTGGAAAAACTAGAGGAAATTAATAAATTCCTGGAAACACACAACCTGCCAAGATTGAGCCAGGAAAAAATGCAAAACCTGAACAGACCAATAATGAGTAATGAGGTTGAATGAGTAAGAAAAAGTCCCCGAAAGAAAAGCTGGATGGTTTTACTGCTGAATTCTACAAAATCTATAAAGAAGAATTGACACAAATTCTACTCAAGCCATTCTGAAAAAATGAAGAGAAGAAAACTCTTTCTAACTCTTTCCATGATGCCAACATTGCTCTGATACCAAAACCAGAAAGGAAACAACAACAACAACCAAAACTACAGGCCAATATTTCTGATAAACATAGATGCAGAAATCCCCAACAAAATGCTAGCAAACAAAATATGACAACACATCAAAAATATACTACACCATAATCAAGTGGAATTAATTTCAAAAATGCAAGGATGGTGCAACATACACAAGTCAATAAATGTGATGCATCACATCACAGAATGAAAGACAAAAACCATGTGGTCATCTCAACAGATCCACAAAAAAAAATTGATAAAATTTAACATTATTTCAAGATTAAAAAATATCTCTCAACAAATTAGGCATAAAAGAAACATACCTCAACATAATAAAGGCTGTATATGACAAACCCACAGCTAACATCTTATTGAATGGAGAAAAGCTGAAAGCTTTTTCTCTGAGATCTGGAACAAGCCAAAGATGCTCATTTTCACCACCTTTATTCAAAATAGTACTGGAAGTCCTAGCCAGAGCAATCAGGCAAAAGAAAGAAATAAAATGCACATATTATATATATCTATAATGCATATATATATGAAATAAAAGGCATATAACATATATATATATATATACACACACACACTAAAGACTCCACCAAAAATTTAGAGCTAATCAACAAATTCAGTAAGTACAGTTGGAGGATACAAACTAAACATATAAAAATTAGTAGCATTTATATACTACTAGTATCTCTTGAAGTAGGCTGTATCTCTTGAAGTAGGCCAGTAACAAACTAGCTGAAAAAGAAATAAATCAAGCAATTTCATTTATAAGAGCTACAAAAAAATTCCCTAGAAATAAATTTAACCAAGGAGGGGAAAGACCTCTACAATAAAAACTACATAAAGCTGATGAAAGAAATTGAAGAGAACCCAAATAAAAAGACACTTCATGCTCATGGATTGAAAAAATAAATATTATTATAATGACCATACTATCAAAATCTATCAACAGATTCAATGAAAGTCCTTTAAAAATATCAATGCTATTCTTCACAGAAATAGAGAAAAATAATCCTAAAATTTATATTCAGCCATAAAAGATCTTGAATAGCAAAAGTAATCCTGAGGAAAAGGAACAAAGCTAAAGGCATCACTCTGCTTGACTTTAATATACACTACAAAACTGTAGTAATCAGAATGGCATGGTATTGGCACAAAAACAGACACATAGACCTATGGAACAGAATAGATAATACAAAAATAAATATACATATTTACAGCCAAACTGATTTTCAACCAACTTGCCAAGAATATACCTCGGGGAAAAAGACAACCTCTTCAATGTATGTTGCTGGGAAAACTGGATATCCATTTGCAGAAGAACAAAACTAAACCTCTATCTCTCACCATACAAAAAATCAACTCAAAGTGGATTAAAGACTTAAATGTAAGACTAGAAGCTATAAAACTACTAGAAGAAAACAGGGGAAATACTTCAAGACATTAGGCAAATATTTTATGGCTTAGACTCTGAAAGCATAGGCAACAAAAAAAATAGACAAGTGAGACTATATTAAACTAAAAACGTTCTTCACAGAAAATGAAACAATCAACAGACTGAAAAGTCAACCTGTAGAATGGGAGGAAGTATTTGCAAACTATTCATTCAACAAGGGACTGACAAAGAAAATATAGGGAGAATTCAAACCCCTCTACAGAAAAAAATATACAAACAATCCCATTAAAAAGTAAGGAAAGAGTCTACATAGCTTAAATCTAAATATGAAAGAAAGAAGTCAAATTGTCCCTGTTTGCTGACAACATGATCTTATATAGAAATCCTACAGACTTCACCAAAAATCTGTTACAACTAATAAACAAATACAGTAAAATTGCAAGAAACAAAGTCAACAAATAAATATCTGTAGCTCTTCCATACATAAACAACAAGTTACCCAAAAGCTCAATTAAGAGAACAATCTCCTTTACAATAGCTACCAAAACTACATAGAAATAAGTTTAAACAAGCAGGTAAAAATCTATACATTGAAAACTACAAAACGTTGATGAAAGAAATTGAAGAAGACAAATGAACGGAAAGATATCCCATGTTCATGGATTGAAAGAATTAATAGTATTAAAATGGCCATACTTTCCTAAGCTATCTACAGATTCAATGCAATACCTATCAAAATTCCAATGTCATTTTATATAAAACAGAAAACATGATCCTAGTATTCACATGGAACCATGAAAAAGAGCCAACAAATAGCCAGAGCAATCATGAGCAAAAAGCGAGAGGTATTACACTGTTTACAAATTATACTACAAAACTTTGGTAATTAAAACAGCATGGTTTGGGGGAAAAAAGAAAATAGACACATCAAAAAAAAAATAGAGCAGAATAAAGAACCCAAAAATGAACTCACTCATGTATGGTCAATTGATTTTCAACAAAGGGGCCAAGAATACAAAATGGGAAAAACATACTCCTTATAATCAACATTTTAAGGAAAACTGGATATATGCATGCAGGAGAATGAAACTGGATCCTCCTTATCTCACACCATATTAAAACTAACTCAAAATGAATTAAAGACTTACAGGTAAGGCCAAAACCTATAAAAAGTACTAGGATAAAATGGGGGGAAAACTGCACAACATTGATCTGGGCAATAACTTTTTGGATTTGAACTAAAAAGTATGTGCATCAAAAGCAAAAATAGACAAACGAAATTACATGAAACCAAAAACTTTCTTCACAACAAAGGAAGCAGTTAACTGTGTGCAGAGATTGGGAGAAAGTATTTTCAAGCTATATATTGATAAAGTGTTAATATCCAAACTATGTAAAGAGATCAAACAGCTCAATAGCAAGAAAATAAAAACCCAATTAAAAATTGGCAAAGGACTCATATAGATGCTTCTCAAAAGAAGATATACAAATGGTCAACTTAAATATGAAATAATGTTCAACTTCACCAATCATTGGAGAAATGTAAATTAAAAGTACAAGATATTATATCACATTTGTCAGAATGACTACTATAAAAAAAGACAGAAAACAAGCGATAGTGGGAATGTGGGGAAAAGGGAACATTTGTACACTGTTGGTAGAAATGTACGGCCATTATAGAAGACTGTTTGGAGGTTCCCCATAAAACTAAAAATAGAATTTGCCGTGTCACCCAGCAATCCCATTTATTGGTTTTGGCATTTTTATTTTGAGACAAAGTCTCACTCTGACACCCAGGCTGGAGTACAACAGCTCATTCATGGCTCACTGCAGCCTTGACCTCCTGGGCTCAAGCAATCATCTCACCTCAGCCCCAAGTAGCTGGAACTATAGATGCATGCCACCATGTCTAGCTAATAAAAAAAAATTGCAGAGATGGGGTCCCATTATGTTCCCCAGGCTGATGTCAAATTCCAGGGCTCAAGCAATCCTCAGAACTCAGCCTCCCAAAGTGCTGGAATTACAGGAATGAGCCACCATGCCTGGCCCCCATTCATAGGTATTTCCCCCAAAAGATTTGAAAACAGTTGGTCAGAGAGATGTCTGCACTCCCATGTTCATTGCAGCACTATTCACAATAGCTAAGTTATGGAATCAACCTAAGTGTACATTAACAGATGGATAAATAAAGAAAACATTGTATACATACATAGTGGAATATCACTCATCCTTTAAAAATAGGAAAATCCTGTCATTTTTGACAATGAAGATGGAAATGGAGAACATTACACTAAGTAATATAAGCCAGGCACCAAAAGACAAATACCTCATGTCCTCGCTTATATGTGGAATCCAAAACAATCAAGCTCATAGAAGTGGAGAGTAGAACAGTGGGTACAGAGGTTAAGGGTGTAGGGGAATGGGGAGATGATGATCTGGTACAAAACCTCAGAAGGAGTATGATTTTTTTAGATCTATTGCACAGTGTGGTGAATATAGTTAACAATAGAGTATTGCACATTTAAAATTGCTAAGAGAGTAAATTTCAATGTTCTCATCACAAAAAAACAATGTTGAGTATTTTAGGTGATGGATATGGTAACTAGCTTGACTTTATTATTCCATATTGTATTCATAAATCATAACAGTACTTTGTTTCCCATAAATGTAAACGATTATAAATTGCCAGCTCACAATTTTAAAAACAAACCTCATTTGAACATTCTGTTACATGTACTATTATTAAATTTTAATAAAGTTTGTGTTCATGTTATACATAGGCACTGTGATGGGTGAAGAATAAGACTCCATATCTGCCCTAAAAGACTTTCTGTTTAATATAAGACAGATAGATAGATACATTATTACAGTATCAGAGGCAATGTACAATTGTAGAGTTTTACAAGACACAAAACTATTTACAAAGAAATCAATGATTAGTTTTATCACAGGCAGGGAAAGCAAGATATGGAATAAGTTAACAGAACTTTGTCAGGAACACGGGACCAAAGTCTGTGCAGATACACAAAGATGCATGAAAAGCATAAAACATTTAGGGAACCAGAAAGGATTAGGGACACTGCTGGAGTGTCCAGGTTGTAGGTGAGCCTAAAAAGAGATTAAGCTAAAAAAGCAGATGGGAAAGGAATCAAAGTCTTTCCAAAGAGTTTAGACTTAATCCTGCAAGTTTGAGGAATTTGTGAAGGATTTTAAGTAGGATATTGGTTTGTAAAGGTTTAGAGTTATGGATAATCACTTCAACTGCTGTATGCAAAAGGGGTTGGAAGAAACCAATGTTAGGGGCAGGGAGGCTAATTAGGAATCTAGGGGAGCCAACTGGTACCATGGACTTGAATAACACAATGGCTATCAAGGGGGAGAGCAAACAGTAAACTACAAACACTTGAGGCCAAGAACTTGATTTTATTCATTTCTATACTCCAAATACTAAGAAAAGTGTCTGGTATAGCATAGACTATCAATAGAATTTGTTGGATGAATTAATGAATGAGTGATTTGTTGTTTGACTACATGCCCTAGATAAGAAATTAGAAATCTAGATTGGATTATACAGGTGAAGTAATAGTTGAAACTCAAGATTGGGGTGAGGAATGGATATATATACAGTACCCCCCACCCCTTATCCTTAGTTTTGCTTTCACAGTGTCAGTCACCCATAGTCAACTGTGGCCCCAAAATATGTGCATACAGTACAATAAGATATTTTGAGACAGACAAAGGGAGTGTGTGTGTGTGTGTATTCACATAACTTTTATTTCAGTATATTGTTATAATTGTCCTATTTCATTATTGTTGTTATTAATCTTTTACAGTGCCTAATTTATAAATTAAACTTTATCATAGGTATGTATGTATAGGAAAAAGCAGTATTTGTAGGGTTTGGTACCATGTTAGCAATAAACTGGGGGGTTTTGGGCAGTTGTTTCGAGAAAATCTGCTTTTGGATAAAGGAAATGGAGCTCAGGTGCAGTGCAGAGAGAACCAGCAAGTAGAGTTGCTAACAGCATCTTCTGGCAACATCAAGGTTGAGGGGTCTTTTGCTCTGGAGCCCAGCTGAATGCCTGCTCTTTCCTCTTCCTGATTATTCGACCCTTCTATTGGTAAATTCTACTTTTTGCTTAAGGTAGTTCAAGATCGGTTACCAAAACAATCCATAATTAATATACATTTGTTTCTTATGCACCCAGACCAAGAAAGGAACTCAATGTTTATCTACATTATAAAACTAATTTTATAAGTGGGCTGGGCGCGGTGGCTCACGCCTGTAATCCCAGCACTTTGGGAGGCCGAGGCGGGCGGATCACGAGGTCAGGAGATCGAGACCATCCTGGCTAACACGGTGAAACCCCGTCTCTACTAAAAATACAAAAAATTAGCCGGGCGTGGTGGCGGGCGCCTGTAGTCCCAGCTACTCGGAAGGCTGAGGCAGGAGAATGGCGTGAACCCGGGAGGCAGAGCTTGCAGTGAGCCGAGGTGCAGCCACTGCACTCCAGCCTGGGCAACAGAGCGAAACTCCGTCTCAAAACAAACAAACAAACAAATAAACAAAAACTAATTTTATAAGTAATAATTAAAATAACAATAATAGCTATCATTTACTGGGCACCTCCTATGCGTCACATGTTGGTAGGTATTCTATATACATGATTTGTAATCTTTATAACAGGCATCCAATGTACATATTCTTACCTCCAGTTTATAGGTGAGGAATTCAAAGCCCAGAGAAGTTTAGCGACCATGTAAGTCATAAAGGCAATTATTGGGAATTAAGAAGTCCCAATAATTTCCATGGATTATTTTTCTCTGCTGGATTACATTAAATATTGAAAATCTATGATGAAGTCTTCTGGAAAGGCCAATGTGTTAATTCACAAGAGCCCATGAAGTTACATAAAAATGATAGTGATTTAAAATAGATGATACAAATGATAGGTAAATTGCATTTAAAAAATTATTAACTCTGCTTCAAGCTATAATTTTACATCTACTAAATTGCAAAACAGAACAAAATACTGCACAAGCACAGACAGTGTTATGGTGAAATGATGCCCTCATACATTGCTCGTAGCTGTAGAAAATGCTAAAAGCTTTTTGGAGAGCAATTTGGAAAAACATTTCAATAGCCATTAAATGTTCACATCCTTTGACTCATGTAATTTTACTCCTGGAAAAAATAACCTTAGGAAATAATCCAAAACAGTATTCATCAAGATGTTTACTAAAGCTATATTTATAACAAGACAAATTGGACACCTCCAAAATGTGCAAAAATCAAGATCTGTCTAAGCATGAATTTGTGGGTTTGTTAATTCATTTGATGAACAAATAATGAAATACCTACCATGTGCCAGACACTATGATAGACACAGAGGTTTACAAAGGTAAACAAGGTCAACACATAAGCCTGTCCTGTGTAAATGTTGTATGTCCATGTAAATTAGGAAAACATGAACATAAACAATAATTTTTATACTCTTATTTATAGCTATTTTTATTCCACAATGAATATGAAGAGGCTTACAACATGATAGAGTAGAATAAACAAATGCATGACCAGGAAGAATGCACATTTTGAAAGAAAATCAATTTCAGGTAGAAAGAGTAGAGCTCTAAAAAATCCGTTTTGGTTAATAAGAGCTCAAATTTGGTTCTGAGCTTCCAAGCAAGCAAAAGAAAAAAGAAACATTATTAGTGACTGATTTATCTTATTAATGAAGAGGTAATACAAAAGTTCCTCAGGAGAAAGAAATGAGTCCTTACATTTTGTTCTAAAAGATATCTCTCTTTTTGTAAATGGCCAATAGGTGATACTACTTGCATCTCTTAGGGGTTTTGGAAGATGTAGAAACAAAATGGTTCAGGCACATGAAAATGTATGTAGAATTATGTAATGAGTATATATATGTGTATATCCCACATGTGGCCTAAAAATGAAAAACGTTATAATTAAAGCCCTTTTGTACCTTTCTACAATTTTATTTCTTGGTGTCTCTACCCAGAATTAATCATTTTCCTAAATTTGGTGTCTCTCATTTTTATTCAGCTCCATTCATATGTATACATTCATTCAAACAGATAGCATTGTTTTCATGAAATACATAGCGTTTCCATAAATGAAGTGTGTGGGGCCTCTAGCTCCTTCAGTTTGTATTGCTGAATAATATTTTATTTTATAAATATGCACAATTTGTCCTCCTGTTGATGGACATTTAGATTATTTCCATTTTTTGCTATTACCAAGCTGCAACAAACTTTCTCATAAATATCTTCTTGTGATACATGAGAATGCTTCCCTAGCCCTTTATCTAGAGTGAAATCACTGGCTAGAGGGTATGTGCATGTTCATCTTGGTTTGATATTGCCACATGGCTCTCTGAATTGATCATACCAACTGAACAACAATGTTCTGCTGACCACCACTTCCCTCCTTCTACAAGTTTCTACTTGTAGAAGTTTCTGTTGTAGGAACTTGTAGGGACAAGAGTAAGATTTATACTTAAAACTTACCCTTGGCGTAAGCATCTGATGACATCTGAGGCAGAGGAGCAGAAACACAATTGGAGCAAAGGTGTAGGTCTTCTACTGACTCCTGAGTCTCAATCCTGAATTCTCTCAGACACATTGTAGAGAGAGCTAGTTTGCAGGATGGCGCCTGAACCCACAGGGCCTGGAAGAGAAGTCCAAGCCTTGAAAACAAAACCTCTCAACTTACCTACCCTATACTCACATGTAGAAGATGGAAGAGTAAGAGACAGCATGCAAGGGAGCATGCATGGGAGCCACCTCTGGCGTATGCTGCCCAACAGATGATCAGAAGAGAAGAAACTGCTCCTCCCTGAAGGACAGCTAGCACATGAGGTGTTGGGAAGAATATTGGAAAACTAGACAAGACAGGGCTTCTATGTGACCGTAGTTAATTTTGCTACCCCACTGATATTTCAACAATGAACATTTTTTAAAGTTTTCTTTAAACCATGGTACTGGTGGACATGTTCATGTCTTTCTCCTTCATGAAATTATAAAAATCATCATGGTGGAAGGGACTGGCTGGGACATTCAGCAGGGGTGCATGCCATGCACAGACAGCTGAAGTTTCCACTCTAGGAAGTTCCCTTTTTAAAGTTATGGTGAAGAGTGGAATTAATGTTTAGTGTAACCCTCCTGATAATCTTGGAATACCCCGAAGGTCATTTCATCTAATTTTTCAAACTGTAAATGACTTGGCTAATTTTAGGATTATTGGTTTATGTCCCCCTTCTTTAGTAGTTGCCAGTATTCAAACAATCTCTCCTTATCCATGAACTTATTATCTGCAATGTCATTTCTGCTGTAATAAGAACTTTAAAAATTTTTCAGACAGCTGTGTGTAATTATAAAGGAAGAACATTTGTATACAAGGGCTTTTTACTTTGCTTCCTGCCCATTTCTGACCACTACAGATGACCTAACAGGCTCTCTTTTTTCTTTCTTTTTTCTTAAGATATTAGAGAGAAAGGAGATATGGTAATTGCCCAAAATCATCATATTAATAAATACCAAATAGCCATTACAAAATACATTTCCTATTCCTCACACTTTCCAACTCCAGTGGCAGAAACAATCAATAGACAACAAGGAATTTAAAGTGGTCTGAGGCTGAGAGGGTTATGTTGGTCCTTGCCTGATATGCCCTCTCTCAATGTCATACAAAGGATGATGAACACCTAGCCAAGTATTACTTACTGTTGAGAAACCCCTGAAACTTCCTTTAAAAAAGTATTCTGCCAGCCCCTTCCTTTTTGTGAGGGAAACATTGCTTATTTTGTATTCATACCTGCTGCTTTTTTATTTCAAAAAGATTAATCTGACTCCCAGCAGCCTGATACTCCCATCTGGATTTTGCTGAAGATCATAGGAAGAGTTTCTTTATGTGAATTCACAGCCACCTACCTTCAGTCTCCATGTTATGGGAGAGAATAAACAGCTTTCATTCAATCGTATTGGAATTTCTATTCCTTGTAACACAAACACAAATCAACCTCCAGGTATACACCCTCTTATAGTGACTCAGTGATTAAGTGCTGGCAATTCTTTTTTCCTGCTGTTTCAGGCTTCTGCCCTCTTTTTTTTTTTTTTTTTTTTTTTGAGGCGGAGTCTTGCTCTGTTGCCCAGACTGGAGTGCAGTGGCACGATCTCGGCTCACTGCAAGCTCCGCCTCCCAAGTTCACACCATTCTCCTGCCTCAGCCTTCCAAGTAGCTGGAACTACAGGCGCCCACCACCACACCCGGCTAATTTTTTGTATTTTTAGTAGAGACGAGGTTTCACCATGTTAGTCAGGATGGTCTCGATCTCCTGACCTCGTGATCCGCCCGCCTCGGCCTCCCAAAGTGCTGGGATTACAGGCGTGAGCCACCGCGCCCGGACTGCCCTCTGTTTTTTTAATGGCCGCCACAACTAAAGCTCAAGCTCAATCACTTCATGACTTGTTTGCTGATGTAGCTGCCAAGGGTATTCACCAGATTAATCTTTTATCAAACCCCGCTGTAATCATTTCTTTCCCATAATCAAAAGTCTTTATTAGCTCCTCACTAGTTCAAGTCTAAAAATACAGCCTATTTAGGGCACTTAGCAGCGTTCCCTAAATGCCTTTCCACTCCATTTTCTCCCATCCTTACTGGTGTAGTCCTTCAGCCCACACCTAACAATTTAGTCAGGGTTTCCAGGACACATATTGCTCATTTCCACCTTTGTACATTTCCTCATACTCTCTCACCAATTTAGAAGACATGAATTGACCAGGGGCTAGATATAGTTCTAGGTATGGAGAGGACAAAGATGAATAGATCAAAGTTCCTGCCTCTTCCTCTATAGCCATCTGTAGGCTCAATAACGGCCCCCAAAGATGTCTATGTCCGAATCCCCAGAATTATGAATGTGTTACTTTATATGGCAGAAGGGAAATTGCAGATGTGAAGTTAAGGATCTTGATTTGGGGAGATTGGGATTATTTGAGTGGGCCCAAATAACTACATTTACATAAATTCAATGTTCTTTTTTTCAGACGGAGTCTGGCTCTGTTGCCAGGCTGGAGTGCAGTAGCACGATCTCGCCTCACTGCAACCTCCGCCTCCCAGGTTCAAGCGATTCTCCCGTGTCAGCCTCCCGAGTAGCTGGGACTACAGGCGCCCGCCACCACGCCCAGCTAACTTCTTTGTATTTTTAGTAGAGACAGGGTTTCACCGTGTTAGCCAGGATGATCTCCATCTCCTGACCTCGTGATCTGCTCGCCTCGGCCTCCCAAAGTGCTGGGATTACAGGCGTGAGCTACCATGCCCGGCCAGCACGAGGTTCTTTATAAAAGGGAGGCAGAAGGGTCAATGTGGGAGAAGGCGATGATGTGGCAATGGAAGCAGAAATTAGAGTAATGCAGCTAGGAATCTGTTTTTTCAACATTATCCCTAATTTTTAGCAAAAACCCTTGAGTAATAAGGATTGTTTTACAATCTTTCATGTGTTTTATTAAATCTTTTTATTTTCTATTCCCAAGTTCTTGGTTTCCAAGCATTTTTTTAAACATGAGCATTAATACTTACACCAGCACTACCATGCAATGAACACTTAGCTTTGTTACAGAAAAACATTTTAGATTATTTTAATAGAGAGTGTTAAAATAATAGCTCGAGAGTCATCAAAATCATATGTACATAAACAGTAGTAAGCAATTCTAAGAAAGAACATTGGTTATTTCTACATAACCAGCTAAAGTGATACCAACATTTCCTCTCGACAGAAACACAATTTACAGTTTGCCCAGAGAGCCAATTGTGAAATTTGTAAACATTTTTTTAATTTGGAGGGAAAAATATAAGTGTTATGTGGGGTGGGAGGAGGGGAGAGGTATAGCATTAGGAGATATACCTAATGTTAAATGACGAGTTAATGGGTGCAGCACACCAACATGGCACATGTATACATATGTAACTAACCTGCACGTTGTGCACATGTACCCTAAAACTTAAAGTATAATAAAAAAAAATTTTTTTGAATTGCTCAATTCCAAATTAATATACAATGTGACCACATTTATTGTCTTTACCACGCATTTGACCCTTGTAATACAAGGCCTTGATTATTTTAGCTGCCCAATCTCCTTAGCTATACTAGAAGCTTCCTTAAATCTTGTATCTTTCTTCCCTCCACAGCTGCTTCTCCCCTCCCCACTTCCAGCATACTAGAATGCTCTGTTTAGGTATTTTCTTCAGAAACTATTAAATTTATTGAAGACTACCTGTTTGAAGCTCTGTAAATAATCACTTACCCTAAAATTATAATTTATGTTACAGTAAAATTAAGTTTTCTTATTTCACTCTTGCACTTTCAAGAATGAAAAGAGGGAACAATAGATCAATGTCAACTCACAAGCATCTCAATTTATATGACTCTGGTACTTTAATTTGGAAGATTTGTAAATAATACCCAGTATTAGTTCCCCAGAGTTCTTACCTTTTTTTGGCCTGAAAAATCAAGTTCATAAAAAGCTGAAACTCCTGGCTAGGCACGGTGGCTCACGCCTGTAATCCCAGCACTTTGGGAGGCTGAGGCAGGCAGCTCATTTGATGTCAGGAGTTCAAGACCAGATTGACCTACATAGTGAAACCTCGTCTCTACTAAAATACAAAAATTAGCCAGGCGTGGTGGTGAGCGCCTGTAATCCCAGCTACTCAGGAGGCTGAGGCAGGAGAATCGCTTGAACCCAGGAGGCAGATGTTGCAGTGAGCCGAGATCACACCACTGCACTCCAGCCTGGGCAACAGAGAGACTCCCTCTCAAAAAAATAAATAAGTAAATAAATAAATAAAATAAAAAATAAAAATAAAGCAATAAAAAAATCTGAAACTCATTTTCTTTTAATAATAATATTTAACTGATTCTATTTCTTCCAGGACACAGCATGGAATTAATTTTTGTAAATGGAAATATAAGCTTTGTCTTAAATTAAAATTTCCCTCAAAATCTTTGCTTAATAGGTCTCAGAAGAAGTAGCAAGTTTCCATGTAGCAAAATGGAATGACATTTTAATTCACAAGTGTGATTCTTCAAAGAGAATGGACTCATCTAGTAATGATTTGCAGGTGGAACTTCAAAATACTAGTGCAAAGTAGAAGAGGATAGTTGTTATTAGTCTTTTAAATTCTACCCCAATGAAGCATTCAGAGGTAGCATATCATTCTCACAGCAGAATATTTTTGATCAATAAAACTGGTACAAATAAGATTATAGAAATACTTAGGTACTAAATTATGGCCTTTGGTATTCAGTCTGGAGTTCAACTCCAAAGGTCAAATTTTTTTTATCTGATTTTGTTGATTTTGTTGTTATCTTAATTGATTTTTATCTGATTCTGTTAACTAGGTGGCATAAAGTGAACATGGGCAAAGGAATCCAGTTACTGAGTTGCTTGGACATTTTGATTTTTAAAACTATTATTAGTCCACCTAACTAGGAAAATGAAAATAGACTAAAAGAGGCTACTTTGGGGTACTATAGTTCTCAGATACAAAGTTTTTTGTTTGTTCCTTTGTTTGCTTGTTTTTAATCATGCAGCCAAAAACAAATTGTTCTTCTTTGAACAACTTTTAGGAGATGGAATTCTTAAATTTTGGATTATGAGAGGTTAAACGAGTGAATTTTCACTTCCTTAATCCTAATGGCTAAAATAGCTTCAAAGAAGATTATGGAGGAAAAAATACTAACCTTTGAACGAGGCCATTATGACAACTTTTGAAACAATAATATTTAACTTTTATTTGGCTTTTATAACATTTCAAGCACTTTTATATGTATCACCTCATTAAACCCAAACAATAACTGATGAAGTACATAATATTGTTATTATCCCCCCTTTTGGCTATATGGAAACAAAAGTAGAGAGATTAAATAACTTGAATGGCATCACATAACTGAGAATGGAAGAGCCAAGATGTGAACCTTGGCTTTCTGCCTCCGGAGCCTGAGCACATAATTCCAGTATCACAGTTGTGTGAGGATCAAGAGGACACAACTAGAACTGCTTGTCCAGTGATCATATCTCACCATCCTCTCAGATTTTGAGTTTTGTATTAACGTTTCCATAAAGACGTTATTTGTTCCAAAACAGTCACAGTTATATTGTCATTGTGAACTGTGCTGTTTATCTTTATAAACTCATCTTCTCTATGCCATTAAATGCTTTTATCCTCATGTTAATCATGGTATGCCTGCTTTCCTTTGTTTGTACAGTTGTCAGATGCTTCTTTGACTATTCTTTAACAATCAGTCTTTCTGAGTCGGTTTATTTACGTGTATGGAAGGAAAACTGACACATTGCTGTCAGACAGAAGGATAGATGGATTCCTCAGGTTCTACTGATAAAAGGCTTTGATGAAGGTAAAAGGTAACAATACAGCAGCAGAAATAAAGCCAGGTAAATATCAGGGAGAAATGAGATTTCTAGGCACAAATTCCTGTGTCCTTTCTATTTCATAGGATATGCTTTTTCCTTAGGTCCTTACCACAAAGTTACATGCAAGATACTTGGTCTCCGAAGAACCACTTTTCAAAGAGGAGTTCTTCACACTTCTTGGTTACATAGTCAAAACCAGGCTATTAGAAATATAAACCACGTGCAAATATCTCTATGTAGATTTTCTTTTTTCTGAGACGGAGTCTCGCTCTGTCGCCCAGGCTGGACTGCAGTGGCGCAATCTCGACTCACTGCAAGCTCCGCCTCTCGGGTTCACGCCATTCTCCTGCCTCAGCCTTCCGAGTAGCTGGGACTACAGGCACCCACCACCATGCCCGGCTAGTTTTTTGTATTTTTAGTAGAGACGGGGTTTCACCGTGTTAGCCAGGATGGTCTCGATCTCCTGACCTCGTGATCCACCCGCCTCGGCCTCCCAAAGTGCTGGGAGTACAGGCATGAGCCACCGCGCCCTGCCTCTACCTTAGCATTGCTTTTTCTAAAAGCAATGCTAACAAGCTGGGATAGGTTGCCCCTATATGTCTTGGCTACTAGCACAGGAAAATAGTACATTTCACTTGTGTTAGCCAAGGGTTAGCACCATGGTTTTAGGCATCTCCAGAAATGAGCACAGGTGAGATTAAGCCAGTACTGACGTAGTCGAACCCCTGACCCTTGGTCAAGCTTTTGAAATTAAAAACTGCTCCATCATTTTTCTTTCTGCATCTTTCCCCACCGTTTATAAACCACAAAAAGCAGAATGACAAACGCCCTCTGCTTTTACATTTAATCATTTGTATCATCCAGTGAGATTTTGGACTGCTTTATTTGCTTATTTATTTACTTGTTGAGACAGGTTCTCAGTCTGTTCGTGGCTGGAGTACGGTGGCACAATCTCAGCTCACTGCAGCCTCAACTTCCTTGGGCTCAGTGATACTCCCTCCTCAGCCTCCCGAGTAGCTGGGACTACAGGCACATGCCACCACATGTGGCCAATTTTTGTATTTCTTGTAGAGACCGGGCTTTGCCATGTTGCTCAGGCTGGTCTGAAACTCCTGGGCTCAAGTGATCCACTTGCCTCAGCCTCCCGAAGTCCTGGGACTACAGGCTTGAGAGGACTGCTTTAAATAACAGATTATTTTGCCAAAAAATCTCACACAGACATTATTAATCATGCACAAGTCTAACAACTCTCTTATCTCCATCCACTACTGAAACTTGAACTTTATAAAAGGTGTCAATAGATTGATTTAAAGTAAGAATTGATTACTAATAAAATCTGGTTCTTTTTCTGGCCAATGATTTTCATCAGAAAAGTGTCTTGGAGTTTTAATTTATTCTGCCAATTTGTTTGATCATTGCTGTCAGTACTACCACAGGTTTGAATCAAATTTTTTCAGATATGAATAACGTGACATGTGTTTTGCTTTGGTTTGCAGTTGACAGATATATTTTTGCTATTCTTTTGCAATCAATCTTTCTGAATCACTTTAGCTGTGTGGAAGCAATACTGACACATTGCCCTGCTGTCATTATAAATATGTGCATCATGACACACCTTCTTCAGAAAGGAAAAAAAAAAAACGCTCTGCACTGAAATAAACCAAAAATAACAGGTCAGCTTGTCAAGTTCTGGTCCCTGAAATGAATGAAACATTGAACATTTCCTGTTCAAGGAAGCAATTTCATTCTTGGCTTTTACAATGATAATGTCTGAAGAAATGCCCTGGTCTTTGTGGCTATAATAATTTTGAAAACTTTCTGGTTTTTTTTTCAACATGTTCAGGTAGTTATAAATTAGTAATCTTTGAGATCTTGGAATTTTTTCTTTAAATGTGTACTGTGTTTTTAATTGGTGAGACAGTACTTCTGATGCCTGACTCCCTTGCACCTCTTTGCAAGCAACATTCTTTTTTGTAAAATGCTGTTGAGGCTGTTTTCCCTTGACAAACATGCCTCTTCTGGATCTTGTATATAATATTCTTTTTTGTTTATTTGGTTAGTTGCGTGTGTGTGTGTGTGTGTGTGTGTGTGTGTGTTGATGTGTTTTGAAAGAGTCTCCCTCTGTCACCCAGACTAGAGTGCAGTGGCGTGACCTCGGCTCACTGCACTGAAACCTCCGCCTCCTGGGTTCAAGGGATTCTCCTGCCTCAGTCTCCTGAGTAGCTGGGACTACAGGCACCAGCCACCATGCCCTACTTTTTTTTTTTTTTTTTTGGATTTTTTTAGTAGAGACAGGGTTTTGCCATGTTTTGTTCTGTCCCAGGCTGTCTCGAACCCTGAACCTCAAGTGATCCGCCTGCCTTGGCCTCCCAAAGTGTTGGAATTATAGGCGTGAGCCACTGCGCCCAGCCAGAACACTTTTTATAAATGATTTTTAGACCATTTATTTATCCTTGGCTTCTCTTTGATAAAAAATTGGATTTTTTCTTTTTGTGTAGGAAAAAATGAAAGAGCTATGCTTTTTCCTGCTGTCATACCTCCTAAATTCCTGCTATGAAGGAATAGAAATTTAAGAAGTGGGATGTTTATAGCCTTATAGGGCTACTTACTGTAATCCCTGCCCTCTTCACTTATTTAACACCTATTATGTGGCTGGCATACTTTTAGGCGTTGGGAATACACCCATTAACTTAAATAAATAGTCTGTAATCTTGTTCTTCCATTCATTTGAAAAGAGCTAGGCAATAAAGGAATAAATATGTGGTAATTTAGATTAAGTGCCTTGAAAAAAAAAGCATAAAAAGGGAATAGAGGGTCAAGGTGGCAAGGTATGTTTGTGATGTCTCTAATAAAGAGACACAAATGATGTAAGGAGGTGATCTCTAGAGATACCTGCGGAGAAAATGTTTCTAGAAGAAGTAGCAACAAGTACAGAAGTCATAAAGCAGGAGCTTGCTCAGGCAGTAAGTAGGACTAGAGAAAGCAAAGGAGACAGTGGTGGGAGAGGGGATCAGAAAGATGGGGTTGGTGTGGTGTAGATTTTTTAAGCGGCATGGCCCTGAACATTTATTCCAAGATGGAAAGCCTTTGATAGTTTGGAGGTGAGAAATGACAGGATCTTACATTTAAAAGGAACACTGGATGCTGTGTGGAGAGTAGTCTGCCACAAAGCAGGAACCCTAGTCAGGGGACCAGCTGGGAGGCTGTGGCAATAATCCAAGTAAGAGATGATGGTAACAATGGAAGTGGGGATAATTCATTAGATTCTGGACTTTCAATTTTTTCTTCTTTTCAATGAGAGCCTATGATGGAAAAAGTGGCTCCTATAATCTGGTTGGGACAAGGAAGACAGATGATTAAGAGAAAACAAAAAAAAAATCTTTAAAGAAGCTTATGCAGGCGGTGGTGGTTGTCCTCTCTTCCTCTATATGTCTAATTACTGAAAACATAAGAGCTTAGCTCCTGAACTATCACAAGGATATCGGTGGGGTCAGAAAGTGGAAAGATCAAACAAACTAGACCAGGTGGCTTCCACATATGAGACTCTATTGAGAAATTGTATTAACTAAAAAGGAAGAGGTAAAAATATCTGTTTAGGTGAGTAAATACCCCCATACTACTCCTAATAATAATTTTATAAGACTTTATTGAGATATCATTCACATATCATACAATTCAACCATTTGAAGTATAAGATTGGATGGTATTTAGTATATTCACAGAATTGTACAGTCATCCTCACAATCGATTCTAGAATATTTCATCACCCCAAAAGAACACCAAAACAATTAGAAATCACTTTCTATTTCCCCCCCAAACTCTACCCCCCAACCTGGGGCAACCACATGTCTACTTTCTATCCCTACATATTTGCTTATTCTGTAGATTTCATATAAATGGAATTACACAGTATATGGTCCTTTGTTACTGGCTTTTTTTTTTAACTTGGCACAATGTTTTCAAGTTTCATCCATGTTGTAGTATATATTAGTCCTTCATTTCTTTTTATGAACAAGTAATATTCCATTGTATGAAATATATGGGATATGTATATAGATATACATTTTGTTTGTGAACCACTCAGTTGAGGGACATTTGGTGGTTTGCAGCTTTTGATATTAAGAATTATGCAGCTATTAACACTCATTCATGTACAAATGTACAAGTTTTTCTGTGAACCTGTTTTTGTTTCTCCTAGGTGGAATTGTTGGATCGTATAGTAACCTACAGTTAACTCTTTGAGGAACTGACAAACTGTTTTCCAAAGGGGCTGCACCAATTTCACCAGTTTACATCCCCACCGGCCATGTGTGAAGGTTCCATTTTCTCCACATCTTCACCAGCACTGTTATTGACTGCCTTTTTAATTATAGTCTACTAGGAAGTGTAAAGTACTCATTGTGGTTTTGATTTGCATTTTCCCTAATGAATAATAATATTGAGATTATTTTCATCCATTTACTGGCCAATTGCATGTCTTCTTTGAAGAAATGTTTATTCAAATTCTTTGCTCATTTTAATTAAATTTGTCTTTGTGTTATTTGGTTGTAAGCCTTTTTAATATATTCTGGATATAAATCTTTTATCAGATATATAGGATTTTAAAATATTTTTCCCATTTTCTGATCTTTCCCTTTCTTGATAGTGTCTTTAATGTACAATAGTTTCTAATTTTAAGCCAAATTTATTTATTTTTTGGTTGCTTTATGCTTTTGGTGTCATATCTAATAAATAACTACATAATCCAAAGCTACAAAAATTTACACCTACAGTGTCTTCTAAGAGTTTTATAGTTTAGCCCTTATATTTAGGTTTTTGATCCATTTTCCACTAATTTTACATATTCGTATAGGAGAGCCCACTTTGTTCCCTTACATGTGGATACTCAATTGTCCCAGGACTATTTATTGAAAAAGGCTATTCTTTCCTTCGTTGAATTGTCTTGGCACCCTTGTCAAAAATTCACTGGCCATAAATATATGGGTATGTTGTGATTTTTTTTAAATAAAATTTAATATGAGTTTTTTTATTATGAAACTAATACATGTGCCATGTGGAGGGTTGGAAAATGCAAAAGTAGAAAATAATGGAACCTAATATTTTTATTATAAATGCATATTTATTTAACAGTATATATTGTGTGTATATGTGTTTGTATAGATATATACCAACTCATAAGGTTATTATTATGATCTAAAGGAATCAAATGATACACTACAAAATGCTGAGAAAATATTAATTGGTATAGCTAAGATTTATTAAGCACTAATACATTAAACAGTCTGTCCTCAGCACTGTGAGTAATTATCTAATGTAATTCTCAGAACAACCCTAGAAGGAAGGTTCTGTTCTTAGGTCTACTTTACAGCTGAAGAAATGGAAACTAAGCTCCAAGTACTGCCTAACCACTTGTTAGAATAAAACCCTCTAAATTATGTCCTTAATGTTCCATAGCAAGGTTTTACTCTGTAATACTTAGGTCTTCTCTATGCCTATGCTAGGCACACTTATACTCACAAACTCCTTAAAACGTGAAAGAACTCTATAGGGAGTATTTTTCATTTCCATTTCATAGATCAGGAAACAGAAATTCAGAGATTTGGCAAGTTACATGGCAGAACCAGAATGCAAATGTAGAACTTCTCATACCAACCTGTTATCTTTCTGAAACACCTAAAGTGATTGAAAAATTACATTGATATGCATAGAAACATTGCATTTATATTTAATTTGGTTACTATAAGTAATTTAAACAGTCATAGAAGCTGACTCAAAATCTGACCTTGGGCAAGATTTCTGAATTTCAATTTGTTCCTTTTCAAAATGAAGACTTTGAGTAATTTTTAACCATGTTTTCCATCATGGATTCCTTTGGGAATCTAATCTAACACTTGACCTTTGGTACTCAAGAAAAATGGATACACACACACACATGCACACACATTCGTATATTATTTCTGAGGGTTTATGGACTTCTTAAGTTCCTTCAAGAATACCAAGGACCCACAGCTCTGCGGTTTCTAAATTCCTTCTAGCTCCAAAATTTCTGTGATGTCAAAACAAAATTCAGTGAAATATTGTAAAAATATTTAGAGAAACTAGTTTTTCTCCCTGCTTCAGCAGCAAAATCAAAGTAATGCAAGTTGGCGTTAAGTCAGCAAATGGATTTATTTCCAAAAAAAAAAAAAAGATAATTGACGAACAACCCACAAGCTGAACCCACATGGCAAGTCTTCCTGCAGAAAAATCCTTGTTTCTAAATTTAAAGTGCCCCACTCCTACGGCACATAAGATAATATTATTATTAGCAGAAAGAAAATTCATCGTGACATGGGTTTCAATAAATATTTATCTGGTATTTCTGGGAAGTGGGATGTTTCTGAAAAGTAACTGAGCTATGTGGATAAATGTAAAAGGATTTCTAAATCCTTTGGGCTAAGCAGGATATGAAGCAAAATGGTGGGAAGCAAGATATGCACTTTTTCAATTTGCCTAAAAAACTAATTTCAGTTTCTCAAAAAATACTGCCCCATTTCCAAGGGGCAGCCTGTTCCTTCCTAAAGAAGGGGAGCCTGAGAATTTAGATATTTCTTAATAACCAGGATAAGTAGCAGCCCAGGCCCAACATATATGACAATCACTCAGGAATTTCTAAAATCCACTGGGCATCCTCAGTTCAGAGGCCTGAAAGCACCTTGTGGAAAGCCTATCAAGAGCAAGCAATTTCAATAAGGAATTGTTAGCAATAAGGTGCAGTAGCAACACTGTGGTGCCACCATAAATGTCCATTGGTCCTGGTGAATTAGTGGCATATAATTGCCTCACTATCATTATGTAAACCCAATTACAGGTAGGGCAAAAAGGGCAGTTACAAAACTGTATGTTTTAAAGTGATTCCATCTTTGTGAAAAAACAGAAAAGTGTTTACATGTAACAGCCATTGAAAAAAAATGGAAGACTATCTAGCAAAATGTCAATGGTTGTTATTTCCAGATGGTAAATTTTTTAACCTTTTTCTTTTTTTTTGCATTTTTCCCCAGTGAGTGTATTATTTCCATAATCAGAAAGAAAAATAATAAAATTATTCTCATTAGAAGGATAAAAGGTCTTATTATATAAAACTATCATTGACTAGATTTTTCTCCTGTTTTTGTATTTTACCAAATAGTTAAAAAAATCCAAATTGTTTTCTTTTAATGCATTGATTTTCATCTCTCTTGGTATACTCTATTTTTAATACTCATATCCTTATCCAAAAATAACTTTCAGTGTCTCTGATAAATTGAAAACAAAAAAAAGCAAAGGAAGTAATCATCTTTGATTTATTGGTTCCTGATGTTTGAATTCACACAGACAAAAATCAGGACAGATATATTTCTCTCTGATTAACAGAGCAACCACTGTATTTATAACTCTGTAACACTAAGGAATTATTGAGCACCTTTTTGTATAAGGTGCTTGAAAGGATATTTAGTTTTATAAGACACAGCCTCCACTCTCAAAGTACTATAGAATCTATAACTTCCAGATGCCAAACATGAAACTGGTGCTGAATCCAACCCGAAAGAATTTACTCCCAAAGGATTAACACTTGGCCTCTTAAGTACAGCTTTAGTGCATTCTTCCATTCCCCTCTGCCTCAGTTGAATACACTACACCCAGAAGATGTGCATGGCAGAGTCTGAAGGAATTATCAGCTGTCAAGTACATGAAGAGGGTCAGTTGGACCTTAGTTATAGGCAGAATGGGTGATGGGTTGCTTGCTGTGAAATGAAATGAGGTGTGCCAGGCCATCCTCTGGCCAAAAACTAATCTATCTCCACCAAGACCTCAAGTAACCTGAAATTCTTGTATTAGAGATATATTGCTTTGAATCTTGAAGACTTTTTACCCTTCAAATATTCCCCATGAATAGGAAAACATCCTTTGAGTGACAACAACTAAGCAACTGTTAGCTCCCATCTTGAAAAGATATAAATTTATGTGCTATTTTTTCAGAACCATAAATCAGGGTACATGGTAAGTTTGAGAATACTTTTGTAAATAGTAATATATTTTTCAAAGTGATGAATTTGCCTAGAAATTCAGGATGTATAGTCACTATATCTACCATTACCCTTTTCTATTGGCTTAGAAAAGTTTGGAGACCTCACTGAGAAACTGCCCAATCCCTTCTTTCCTTCCTTCTTTCCTTCTTTCCTTCCTTCCTTCCTTCCTTCCTTCCTTCCTTCCTTCCTTCCTTCCTTCCTTCCTTTCTTTCCTTCACTCCTTTAAGGTTCAATCTTTCCAGCTGTCCAGACATTCAAATAAAGCAGAAGGTCATCTGGCTTGAGTTGCTTTATATCCACTTGACACATAAAGACATAAAGCCCTTCAGGCCTGTGATGCAGATATTCAGGGAGGAAAGGAAGAAGAAATAATTAGCAGGAAAGGATGTTTACAAGGGTGCTGAGATCAGAGTTGACCTGATATGAATACATACATTCATATACACACACATACAGGACTGTGTCCAGGAGTGGCTCGTGCCATGAAAAGGTCTATACTGCTTATGACCTTATAGATTACCGGTTAACACTTGTTGTTTACTAAATCATAAAAAATGCCAAAAATGACTAGTAGTTATTAAGATATATTTGAAAGGGGGACATGGAGGAGCAGAGGAAAAGGAGAGCAGTCATGCTGTCTGTGCTTTTCACTTATAGATACTTTAGGAATATTTATTGAATGAAATAATTAAATGAGTAAAAATGATGGCAAGCATGATAATGGTAATATTACAGTAATAACCACATTAAAATGCAAGAGGTGAAAGACTGATAAGTAGCTTTCCATATGTCATCAAATTAAGCACACTCTTGTCTCCACATTGATATTTTGAAAAAGTACAAAACACACCAGCACTTCCCAAGGGGGAAAAATGTCTAACAAACAAACCAAAATACCAAGTCTTGAACCCTTGCCTCTGTCTTTGTTATTTTTGTCTGCTCACTTTTCCAAAACAAGTAACTACTGACATTCTCAGCCTTTATAAATTGGCCTGGAACTATTATTTCCACTGGTTGACCTTAACATGAATCAGAAGCAACCAAAACCTTTTGCTTTTGTTAATTACAGGTTTTGAACTGGTCAAAAACTTCATTTGAGGCAAGGCCAGGTGGTGGAAAGTCCGCGACCCAGACTTAAGTGAATCATCTGTCAAAAAAGGGAGAACATGCTTCTCCATCACAGTGACATTTAAGATAGGCTCATCTTCTAGTTAGGAAGTGCTTTGCACATGTGTTATGCAGAAATGAAGCAACTCCAACCAGATGACCTTCTGCTCTATTTGATTTCCTGGACAGCTGGAAAGGCTGAACCTTAAATGCGTGAATGAATGGATTGGGCCGTCTCTTAGTGAGGTCTCCAAACTTTTCCAAGCCAATGGAAGAGTAATGGTGGATACAGTGAATATACATCTTGAATTTCTAGGAAAATCTAACATTTTGACAAATCTATCATTATCCACAAAAGTATTCTCACACATAACATGAACTCTGACTTAGGGTTCAGAAAAAAATGGCCCATAAATTTATGGATCAAGTCTCTTACTGGACAGTAGCTTGTGATTATAGAAATGATGCAATAGAATTGTTAGCTTAGTTTAAATTTGTTATGTTGTTATAAACTAAGAAAAATTAATCTCGATTTAACCCACTCTGCTTCATGGACCAAATGTTACATCCCAAATGTCTTTGAATATAACTGACAATGGTCCAGGCCAAAGAACAATAGATAAAAGGAATACACTAACAAAAATAGTAAATGATAATGGAATTCTCTTCTTAATCAGATTTTCTGATTACCTAAGGATTAGGCAAATCAACTTTTGCAAAAATAAACTTTCTAAAATGTATGAGTCATCCTTAAGAGTACAAATCTGGTGAATGAAATTAAATCTGTTTTTATGGGCTCAGGGTCATTATTCTCTACTTTAATTTTTCAGGGGTCATTTCTGAAAGTAGATGGGCAGACAGTGCAAGCCATTGGGCTAATGCTGGCTTGGCTTTAAAACAGATTCCAAAAGGTATTTAGGTGAGTGAGTTAAAAAATTAGATATATGCCATAAATTATTTTGTTTTTAAAACTTTTCTCCCAGTTCTGTTTAAGATTGAAGGGTGCTATTTAATAAATCTGCCTATTTTCTCATTGCCCATCTTTTTCCTACCTGCTATTATTGGTAGATGAAGGTTTTGCTGCCATTTTTTTAGTCAGCTTCTCTGAATTCTAGATATTTCTTCTTATTCTCATTTGAATGCCTGACTGTATCTTTGTCTGGTGTTTGTGGGAGGTGTCTGTGAACCTTGAATAAGAAACACCATCTGTGGTTCACTTCCTTGGCATAAGAGTCCATTTGGAGAGCTTTTTTGCCATTTGAAATGAAACTGCTGTGCTGCCCTCTGGCTGCTTCTGATAAAATCTAACAGAACAAAAACCACCACCTTGTTCCCTATAGGTCTTTCTCAGTTTGGGATTTCATGATTGTATCACAGCCTAGTTAGATACTCACTAATCACATCAAGTTGTGATTTTATTTCTTTCTGAGGACTGCAGACACTTTGAAATAAATTGCCTTGACCCTACCACCTGTTAATGTCCTCTGTAAGACTGCATGTGCACACTTGTGGTAATTTTCCAGCCACTAAGCTTGAGTGTATCTCCTGACAGTTCAAATATGCTGCTATTTCCCATTTTCACATCCCTTTGTTTGATACCTGCAGATCAGGAAAGTACCAGGTGAAATGCTATTTTATTTCCTGTACATTTTGCAAAAGGTAGAAGATTTTTAATGGTCTATCTCTGCAAGTGTCCAGAGGGGGATAAATAACTCATGTTGCTACACTGAAAATTTAATTATGATAAACACATTATATCTCACCAATTAGCTTCACCTCAGATCAGAAGGAAACACATCTTTAGCTAGCCCATCAGACAGCAGAAGCAGTCTCTACTTTTACACTTCAAAATGCTGAAATTCCTTCCATCCTTTCCAAGATGATAACAATCTATCAAATTCACAAAATTTTAACAATAACTGTAGCTTAAATTTCTAGAGGACCATTTGTCATTGCCTCTTGTTTGAAGAAGTTTTCAAACACAAAAAAAATGAATGTTAAGAGACTTTCATGTTCAGTTCTGACAAGTAAGAGCTTAGAAATTGTCGCTCCGAACTTTAGAACAAGAAAAAAAAACGCTGAACAAACTGAAAATCAATAACTTTTCTTGGACCATCAGAAAATTGAAGTCGCAGGATAAACAGCCACTCTGAAATCTGGAGAGATGAGAATATGAAGAAACACAGCCAAGATTAGCTAGCCCAGAGCAGAAGTTACTGGAGTCATACATTAGTAGAACTACCTAAATAGTTATTTGGATAAATTGCTCTAGGCTGAATGTAGGCTAGCATGAGAATGAGAAAACCTGGGGACTCAAGTCTTAGGGAGGCCTACCCAACTTTCATAGATAGATTTTACCTCCAGGAACCTCACCAGGTTCCCACAATAAAGAGCCAAGAAAAAATCACCTCATATCTTTAGCAAGGGAAGGGGGAAAATGATCATTTTGAAATGTTTTCAGTGTGTTCTTCACAACAATTTGCTCTGCTCAAGTGAAAAAGACTTCAGCAGAACCTTATCTCATATAGGCAGAGGAGCAATACCCAATTCCAGATCTCTTTAGCCTTCTATCTCACTCGAGGAGCAAGAAGAGGGGAAAAAAAGAAGTTGTAGTGAAACTTACAGCCCACAAGACACAGGCCCACAAAAACTCAGCTAATCTTAAGATTACTGAATACGACCCCTTACTCACTCCTTAGCATCACTTCAATAGGGCCTCAGTATAAACATGGATTACCACTTAGACTGTTTTAAGAAGGAATTCTTGGAAAGCCCAAAGACAGCAATGGGGACAAAAAGAAGAACACTAAAGGATTTTGAAATTCATAGCACCTACAGCTACAACAGACATTATAAGCAACATAACTCATAGCTACAGCAGCATAAAACCTCACACTAAAAGTCTATTTCTCTCACTTGTTACTACAAGTTATATCGTGTTTGGCTTTCAACAAAAATTACCAGGAATGTAAAAATGAATTCTGAAGTGACAAAGCAAGTATCAGAACCAGATTCAGATATGATACAGATTTTGGAATTATAAGACCTGGAATCTAAAGTAACTTTGATTATTATATTAAGGGCTCTAATGGAAAAGGTGGGCAACCTGCAAGAACAGATGTGTAATGTAAAGAGAGAAATGGAAACTCTAAGAAAGAATCAAAAGGAAATGCTAGAAATAAAAAACACTGTAAGATAAATGAATAATGGCTTTGATGCACTTATGAGTAGAGTGGACACAGCTGAGGAAAAAATTCAGTGAACTTGAAGATATGTCAATGTAAACTTTTTGAAGTGAAATGGAAAAAAAAACCCCCAGAATATGCAAAAACTGTAAGGCAATTTCATAGGATGTAATGTAGCATAATTGGAATACCAAAAAAAGAAGAGACAACAGAGTAAAAAAAATATTTAAAGTAATATTATTTCTAAAGTTAATGAAAGATGCCAAATGCAGATCCAGAAATTCAGAGAACACCAACAAAATAAAAATTTAAAACTCTATACCTAGAAATATCATACTCAAACTACAGAAAACCAAAGACAAATGGGAAAACTTGAGAGAAGCCAGAGGAGAATAAAAGCCTTACCTAGAGAATAAAAAGATAAAGATTTATAGGAGACTTTTCTTTAGAAATCATGCAAGCAAGAAGTGAGCAGAGTGAAATATTTAGTGTTAGAAAAAAAAAAAGCCCTAGAATTTTATATCCAGCAAAATTAGCCTTGAAAAGATAAGGAGAAATACTTTCTCAAACAAACAAAAACTGAAAGAATTTATCTCCAACATACCTGCCCTGAAAATCATAACTTTTTTTTAAGAAAAAAAGGTCTTCAGAGAAAAGCAAAGTGATATAGGTCAGAAACTCAAATCTACATTTTAAAAAGTAAAGCATCAAAGAAGGAATAAGTGAAGGTAAAATTAAACCTTATTTCTTCTTTATTGTTAATTGAGCAAATAGATTTTTTCAAAGTAATAGTAGTAATTGTGTGATTATATCATATGTATAACTGAAATAAATAAAAATGCAGCAATTTTCTAAGGGACAGGAGAAAGAAGTTGGGAATACTCTGTTATAAGATATCTGTGCTGAAAAGTGGTATAGTATTATTTGAAAGTAGACTTGGATTAGTTGTAAATGTATATTGCAAATTTAAGGAAAAATACTAAAATAATTTTTGAAAGGAATGTGAAATGGTAGGACAGTTTGGCATTTTACAAAGCTAAACGTTGTTTTGTCATGTGATCCAGAAATTGCATTCTTAGGTAGTTACTTAACTGATTTTAAAATTTACGTCTACAAAAAAACCAACATGCAAATGTTGCTTTATTTATAATTGTGAAAAACTGGAAGCTTTATTCATAATTGTAAGAAAAACTGGAAGCAACCAATATTCCCTTCAATAGGTGAATGGATAAACTGTGATCATCTACACAATGGAATATTATTCAGTTATAAAATAAAATGAGCACCAATATTGATAGCAGCATTATCCATAATTGCCAAGCAGTAGAAACAATCCAAGTATCCATCAACAGATAAATGGATAAAATATGGCATACATATGCAATGAAATATTATTCAGCCTTAAAAAAAGAATGATATTTTGGCACATGCTACAACATAGATGATCCTTGAAAACATTATGCTATGTGAAACAAGACAGATATTAAAGGACAAATATAGTATCGTTCCATTTATATACAGTTTCTAGGACAGGCAAAATTATGGACAGAAAAATAGAGTTTACCAAGGGCTAGGTGAAGGAAGAATGGGGAGTTATTATTTAATGGGCACAGAATTTCAACTGGAAATAATTAAAAGTTCTAGAAATAGGTAGTGGTGAAAGTTCGCATTCAACAACGTGAATATGCTTAATGCCACTGATGTGTACCTTTTTAAATGGTGGTTGAAATGGCAATTTTTATGTATACTTTCCCCAATATGCATGCATAGTAAATGTACAGTAAACATTTGTTGAAAGAGGGAAAAAAATTCAAATGAGCTAATAAGCCACAGAAGTCACGGATTAATCTAAAATGCATATTGCTAAATGAAAGAAGACCATCTGAATACTCTATAACATGTATAATTCCAATTGTATGACATTCTGGAAAAAGCAACACTATAGATACAGTGAAAAGATCAGTGGTTATTAGGGGATTGGGTGGGAGTAGGAGGAAGGTTTAAATAGGTGAAGCACCAGCAATATTAAGGGCAGTGAAACTATTCTGTATGATTCTTCAATAGGAGATACATGGTATTGCACATTTGTCATAACCCATGGAACTTTATAGCACAAAGTGATATACCAACTGCATTAAAAAGTATGAAACAATTTCACTGGAGGCGATGAGGGGATAATGTGCCAACCTAAGTATTTCTGGAAATGAGTAGAGTCTGTAAGACTAAAAGCAGAAGGAACTACACATAAGCTCTGCACTCTAGTCAATAAAGTTATTTTCTATCAGAGTATGAGTGCTTATATTGCTATACATGTATACTGGAACAATTAAGTAAATAGATGGTGAATGGTGAGAGCCAGCTTTCCCACTGTTGCAGTAGGAACTTAAAGATAAGCAAGGGAAGGAGGTAAGAATGATGATCCATGTGGCAATGAATTAATGCTGGAGATAGCATTTAGAATTCATGTTTAACTTAATATAGACATGCACGATTGCACATAGAAACATGTATATTTGTAAGTATTCACACATATTTTTCCTTGCTCAGTCAGCTGAGAGAGCCTGAAAGCAATGACACCCCAGTAGCAATAAGCACACCTAGCACCCAAATCTTGGTTTCTAATACTACTCTCCAATTAAAAGAATAAGGGATCCTTGGAGAAATGTGGGATTCTGGGACACATCTGAGACTGAAACAGGTAATATAAATGAGGAGAGTGGAGTATCACGTAGTGCCATAAAGTAAGGAAGTGCTGAAAAAACAAAGAACAAAAGCACACCCCTGAAAAACCCACATTGACAGCTGTATGTCAAAGAGACACAGAAGTCAACTGAAAGATATCCCAATGACAAAAGCTGGAATGATTAAGTTACAAAATAAAATGCCACTGTAATATAACCCAAAGTACAAAATGAATATCCATGAATCCATACTGATATAAATAAATGATTAAATAAACATAGGGATTGGAGATTCAAGATGGCCGAATAGGAACAGCATGGATCTGCAGCACCCAGCGAGATTGACACAGAAGGCAGGTGATTTCTGCATTTCCAACTGAAGTACCCGGTTTACCTCATTGGGACTGATTAGACAGTGGGTGCAGCCCACAGAGGGCGAGCCGAAGCAGGGTGGGGCATCGCCTCACCAGGGAAGTGCAAGGGGTCGGGGAATTTTCCCCCCAACCCAAGGGAAGACAAGAGGGTCTGAGTCTGGGGAACGCCGACACAGATCCTGAGCTTGTCCCACAGTCTACACAACCTGCAAACCGAGAGATTCCTCTGGTGACTACCCCACCAGGGCCCTGGGTTTCAAGTACAAAACTGGGCGGCCAATTGGGCAGACACGGAACTAGCTGCAAGAGTCTTTTTTTTTTTTTCATACCCCAGTGGCGCCTGGACCTCCAGCGAGACAAAAACATTCACTCCCCTGGAAAGCAGGGCTGAAGCCAGGGAGCTAAGTGGTCTGGCTTGGCGGGACTCACCCCCACTGAGCCCAGGAAACTAAGATCCACTGGCTTGAAATTCTCTCTGCCAGCACAGCAGCAATTTGAGATACACCTGGGACAGTCAAGCTTGGTGGGGGGAGGGGCATCCGCCATTGCTGAGGCTTGAGTAGGCAGTTTTAAGGCCACAGGGTAAACAAAGCTGCTGGGAAGTTCAAATTAAGCGGAGCCCACTGCAGCTCAGCGAGGCTGCTGTGGCCGGACTGCCAGATTGCTCCTCCCTGGACAGGGCATCTCTGTAAAAAAGGCAGCAGCCCCAATTAGGGACTTATAACAGACTTAAAAGTCCCTGCCTGATGTCTCTGAAGAGAGCAGCAGACCTCCCAGCACAGCGTTCAAGCTCTGCTAAGCATCAGTGTGCCTCTTCAAGTGGGTCCCTGACCCCTGTGTGTACTGACTGGGAGACACCTCCCAGTTGGGGCGACAGACACCTCATACAGGAGAGCTCTGGCTGGCATCTGGCAGGTGCCCCACTGGGTCGAAGCTTCCAGACAAAAGAACAGGCAGCAATCTTTGCTGCTTTGCAGCCTCTGCTGGTGATACCCAGGGAAACAGGGTGGGGAGCGGACCTCCAGCAATCTCTAGCAGACTGGCAAACGGGGGGCCTGACTGTTAGAAGGAAACGAAACAAACAGAAAGGATTAGCACGTCCACTCAAAGACCCCATCCGAAGGTCACCAACATCAAAGACCAAAGGTAGATAAATCCACAAAGGTGGAGAAAAATCAGCGCAAAAAGTCTGAAAATTCCAAAAACGAGAATGCCTCTCTTCCTCCAAATGATCACAACTCCTCACCAGCAAGGGAACAAAACTGGATGGAGAATGAGTTTGACGAACTAACAGAAGTAGGCTTCAGAAGATGGATAATAAACAACTCCAAGCTAAAGGAGCATGTTCTAACCCCATGCAAGGAAGCTAAGAGCCTTGATAAAAGGTTAGTCGAATTGCTAACTAGAATAACCAATGTAGAAAAGAACATAAATGACCTGATGGAACTGAAAAATACAGGACAAAAACTTCATGAAGAATACACAAGTATCAATAGCTGAATAGATCAAGCAAAAGAAAGGATATCAGTGATTGAAGACAATCAACTTAATGAAATAAAGAGCCAAGACAAGATTAGAGAACAAAGAATAAAAAGGAACAAACAAAGCCTCCAAGAAATATGGGACTATGTGAAAAGACCAAATCTACGTTTGATTGGTGTACCTGAAAGTGATGGGGAGAATGGAACCAAGTTGGAAAATACTCTTCAGGATATTATCCAGGAGAATTTCCCCAACCTAGCAAGACAGGCCAACATTCAAATTCAGGAAATACAGAGAACACCACAAAGATACTCCTCAAGAGAGCAACTCCAAGACACGTAATTGTCAGATTCACCAAGGTTGAAATGAAGGAAAAAATGTTCAGGGCAGCCAGAGAGAAAGGTCGGGAGGTCGGGTTACCCACAAAGGGAAGCCCATCACACGAACAGTGGATCTCTCAGCAGAAACCCTACAAGCCAGAAGAGAGTGGGGGCCAATATTCAACATTCTTAAAGAGAAGAATTTTCAACCCAGAATTTTATATCCATCCAAACTAAGCTTCATAAGCAAAGGAGAAATAAAATCATTTACAGACAAGTAAATGCTAAGGGATTTTGTCACCACTACACTTGCCTTACAAGAGCTCCTGAAAGAAGCACTAAACATGGAAAGGAACAACCGGTACCAACCACTGCAAAAACATACCAAATTTTAAAGAACATTGACACTATGAAGAAACTGCATTAACTAATGGGCAAAACAACAGCTAACATCATAATCATCATAATGACAGGATAAAATTCACACATAACAATACTAACCTTAAATGTAAATGGGCTAAATGCCCCAATTAAAAGACACAGACTGGCAAATTGGATAAAGAGTCAAGACCAATCAGTGTGCTGTATTCAGGAGACCCATCTCATGTGCAAAGAAACACACAGGCTCATAATGAAGGGATGGAGGAAGATCTACCAAGCAAATCGAAAGCAAAGAAAAAAAAAGCAGGAGTTGCAATCCTGCTCTCTGATAAAACAGACTTGAAACCAACAAACATCAAAAGAGACAAAGAAGGCCATTACATAATGGTAAAGGGAACAATGCAGCAAGAAGAACTAACTATCCTAAATATATATGCAACCAATACAGGAGCATCCAGATTCATAAAACAAGTTCTTAGAGACCTACAAAGAGACTTAGACTCCCACACAATAATAGTAGGAGACTTTAACTCCTCACTGTCAATATTAGATGGATCAACAAGACAGAAAATTAACAAGGATATTCAGGACTTGAACTCAGCTCTGGATCAAGCAGACCTAATAGACATCTACAGAACTCTCCACCCCTATCAACAGAATATACATTCTTCTCAGCACCCCATTGCACTTATTCTAAAATTGACCACATAATTGGAAATAAAACCCTCCTCAGCAAATGCAAAAGAACAGAAATCATAACAGACTCTCAGACCACAGTGCAATCAAATTAGAACTCAGGATGAAGAAACTCACTCAAAACCACCCAAATACATGGAAACTGAACAACCTGCTCCTGAATGACTACTGGGTAAATAACGAAATGAAGGCTGAAATAAAGATGTTCTTTGAAACCAATGAGAATGAAGACACAACGTACCAGAATCTCTGGAACACAGCTAAAGCAGAGTTTAGAGGGAAATTTATAGCACTAAATACCCACAAGAGAAAGCAGGAAAGATCTAAAATCTACATCCTAACATCAAAATTAAAAGAACTAGGGAAGCAAGAGCAAACAAATTAAAAACCTAGCAGAAACATGAAATAATTAATATCAGAGCAGAACTGAAGGACATAAAGACACAAAAACCCTTCAAAAAAATCAATGAATCCAGGAGCTGTTTTTTTGAAAAAGATCAACAAAATAGACTGCTAGCAAGACTAATAAAGAAGAAAGAAGAATCAAATAGATGCAATAAAAAATGATACACAGGATATCACCACTGATCGCACAGAAATACAAACTACCATCAGAGAATACTATAAACACCTCTATGCAAATAAACTAGAAAATCTAGAAGAAATGGATAAATTCCTGGACACATACAACCTCCCAAGTCTAAGCCAGGAAGAAGTCAAATCCCTGAATAGATCAATAACAAGTTCTGAAATTGAGGCAGTAATTAATAGCCTACCAACCAAAAAAAGTCCCGGGCCAGACAATTCACAGTGGAAATCTACCAGAGGTAAAAAGAGGAGCTAGTACCATTCCTTCTGAAACTATTCCAAACAATAGAAAAACAGGGAATCCTCCCTAACATTTTATGAGGCCAGCATCATCCTAATACCAAAACCTGGCAGAGACACACAAAAAAAAGAAACAAAAAAAAAAGAAAGAAAGAAAATTTCAGGCCAATATCCCTAACGAACATCGATGGGAAAATCGTCAATAAAATACTGGCAAACCGAATCCAGCAGCACATCAAAAAGCTTATCCATCACGATCAAGTTGGCTTCATCCCTGAGATGCAAGGCTGGTTCAACATATTCAAATCAGTAAACGTAATCCATCACATAAACAGAACCAAAGACAAAAAACACATGATTATCTCAATAGATGCAGAAAAGGCCTTCGATAAAGTTCAACACCCCTTCATGCTAAAAACTCTCAATAAACTAGGTATCAATAGAACAAAACTCAAAATAATAAGAGCTATTTATGACAAACCCACAGTCAATATCATACTGAATAGTCAAAAACTGGAAGCATTCCCTTTGAAAACTGGCACAAAACAAGGATGCCCTCTCTCACCACACTTATTCAACATAATATAGGAAGTTCTGGCTAGGGCAATCAGGCAAGAGAAAGAAATAAAGGGTATTCAAATAGGAAGAGAGAAAGTCAAATTGTCTCTGTCTGCAGATGACATGATTGTATATTTAGAAAACTCCATCGTCTCAGCCCAAAATTTCCATAAGCTGATAAACAACTTCAGCAAATCTCAGGATACAAAATCAATGTGCAAAAATCACAAGCATTCCTATACACCAAGAACAGACAAACAGAGAGCCAAATGATGAGTGATCTCCCATTCACAATTGCTACTAAGAGGATAAAATACCTAGGAATCCAACTTACAAGCGATGTGAAGGACCTCTTCAAGGAGAACTACAAGGAAATAAGAGATCAAGGAAATAAGAGAGGACACAAACAAATGGAAAAAAATCCCATGCTTATGAATAGGAAGAATCAATATCGTGAAAATGGCCATACTGCTCAAATCAATTTATAGATTCAATGCTATCCCCATGAAGCTAGCTTGACTTTCTTCACAGAATTGGAAAAAACTACTTTAAACTTCATGTGGAACCAAAAAAGAGCCCACAATCCAAGACAACCCTGGGCAAGAAGAACAAAGCTGGAGGGATCACGCTACTGACTTCAAACTATACTACAAGTCTACAGTAACCAAAACAGCATGCTACTGGTACCAAAACAGATATATAGACCAATGGAACAGAACAGAGGCCTCAGAAATAACACCACACATCTACAACCATCCGATCTTGACAAACCTGACACACACAAGCAATGGGGAAAAAATTCCCTATTTAATAAATAGTGTTGGGAAAACTGGTTAGTCATATGCAGAAAACTGAAACTGGACCCCTTCCTTACACCTTTTAAAAAAAATCAACTCAAGATGGATCGAAGACTTAAATGTAAGACCTAGGACCATAAAAATCCTAGAAGAAAATCTGGGCAATACCATTCAGGACATACATACGGGCAAAGACTTCATGTTCAAAACACCAAAAGCAAGGGCAACAAAAACCAAAATTGACCAATGGGATCTAATTAAACTAAAGAGCTTCTGCACAGCAAAAGAAACTATCATCGGAGTGAACCGGCAACCTACAGAATGGGAGAAAATTTTTGTAATCTATCCATCTGACAAAGGGCTAATATCCAGAATCTACAAAGAACTTAAACAAATTTACAAGAGAAAAACAACCCCATCAAAAAATGGGAAAAGGATATGAACAGACACTATTCAAAAGAAGACATTTATGCAGCCAACAGACATATGAAAAAATGCTCATCATCACTGGGATGTTTATTGTTGCACTATTCACAATAGCAAAGACTTTGAACCAACCCAAATGTCCATCAATGATAGACTGGATAAAGAAAATGTGGCACATATATACCATGGAATACGATGCAGCTATAAAAAAGGATGAGTTCATGTCCTTTGCAGGGACATGGATGAAGCTGGAAACCATCATTCTCAGCAAACTGTCACAAGATCAGAAAACCAAACATCACATGTTCTCACTCATAAGTGGGAGTTGAACAATGAAAACACATGGACACAGGGAGGGGAACATCACACACCAGGGCCTGTCGGGGGTGGGGGACCTAGGGGAGTGATAACATTAGGAGAAATACCTAACATAGGGGACGGGTTGATGGGTGCAGCACAGCAAACCACCAGGGCACGTGCATACCTATGCAACAAAACTGCACGTTCTGCCCATGTAACCCAGAACTTAAAGTATAATAATAAATAAATAAACATACAAACAAACATAGGTGGGGAAGAATAGATGCCTCCTAGGCAGAAAAATTCCAGATCATTTATGTAGATACTCTACCTTCAAAAAAGGAAAGCATAACCCTCTACTCCTTAAGTGTGGGCTGTGCATAATGACTTCCTTCCAAAGAGTATAGTGTAGAAAGGAGGAAAACTATAACTTTATAGTGGAGAAACCTGACAAACACTACTTCAGCCAGGTGACTAAGGTCTACATCAGCAGTGATAAGTCATCTTGATAGTAGGAACTCTTGATATGACGTGATGAAATGGCACTTTATCTCTGTCACCTTCCGCCCAAAAACCCATAATGCCTATCTATTCATGAAGCAAATATTAGACAAATTACAATAGAAATTTGCCCTATAAAATGCTTGGCCCAGCCAGGCATGGTGTCTCACACCTGTAATCCCAGCACTTTGGGAGGCCAAAGTGGGTGGATCACCTGAGGTCAGGAGTTCAAGACCAGCCTGGCCAACATGGTCTGAAGCAACAAGAGCAGCCTCTACGAAAATACAAAAATTAGCCGGGCATGATGGCAGGTGCCTGTAATTCCAGCTATTTAGGGGGCTGAGGCTAGAGAATCGCTTGAACCCCGGAGGCGGAGGTGTAGTGAGCCGAGATCGCGCCACTGCACTCCAGCCTGGGCAACAAAGCAAGACTCCATCTCAAAAATAAATAAATAAATAAATAAATAAAATGCTTGGCCAGAACTCCTCAGAACTATCAAAGTCATGAAAAATAAGGAAAGTCTGAATAACAGTCACAACCTAAAGAAGACATGACAATGACATGTAAACGTGAATGGGATTCTAGAACACAGAAGGCATGTTAGATAAAACTAAGGAAATCTGAATAAACTATGGTCTCTAGTTAATAATAATATATCAATATTGGTCCATTAACTCTAACAAATATACAATTATAATGCAAGATGGCAATAGCAGGCAAAACTGGGTAAGGGAGTGTAAGGGAACTCACTGTACTTCTATCTTCGCAATTTTTCCATAAATCTAAAGTGTTCTAAAAATAATTCTATTTTATTAAAGAAAGCAAATGTTAACATATTGAGAACAATAGGAAAAATGAATGTGCTTACGTTATTTTTCCAGATACTCCTTAATTTGTAATTATGAGGGGAAAACATGTTCCAATTTGAAGAAAAACTATTACTTTATTAAAGAAACAGAAAAACAGAACAAAACAAAAACTGAAGTCTTTACTAAAACTTTCCAAATTGTTTAACATTTAGATTAAGGAAACAAGTTCTATTGTGTATTAAGGTCAACAGATATTCTCAGATATACTCTCAAAATTGCAGTCAAAACTCTTAATTACTTATCCACCAGTTGATTTGGAAACAGGACGTAACATCTATGAATCTGACACTGCGCCATGCCTCAGCTACAATGATAAATCAAATTCAGCAAATAACTTCAAGGAGCTCGGTCTTATAGGGAAATTCCCTATAAATAGAACACTACAACAGTATGATCAGACCTCTAATTATATGATGAAATTTTGTTATGGAAACACAGAAGAGAAAGAGACCAAAGAAGACCAGAAAAGACTTCACAGAGGAGGTGACATTTCAACTGAGTCTGCAAGGCTGAATGAAAAATCCCAGAGCCCTCATAGATGGGACTGAAGGCTCTTTACCTTCTAGTTGCTGTGGCACAAGAAACAATGTGGGCAAAGGCCCTGATGCCTGTGGGAGCACAATCTCTTTGGGAAACTTGCAATGTGGTGGGGGAGAAAAAGTGGTCATCTCATGAAGGGGTTTGTAGTCCACGCTACCCTGATGTGTATAAGGCTATTTTCTCACTCTTACCATTGTGATCAACTGCAGAGAGTTCTAAGCTTCTGCAGTAGACATAAGTGCTTTCTCTAGAACTCTGGCTATTTTTGCCTACATTGGTTTTGCAGTATGTCTGTGTGTGTGCTTTCCAGAGCTATACAAAGGCAACTCCCTTCCAGTGCTGTAGAATGACTGCTGCAACTAATACGCATGTTTTCTTCTCTGTGGAATGAGAGAAGTTTTGAGTCCCATGTGTGTTGTCAGATAAATGACCACTTCTGATCTGGGTACCATCTAGAAACACCATATCATAATATTCAGAAGTAATTTATTCTGTGCTTAATTCCTGTGTCGCTTTTCCAACAAAGCCTCTTCTCTGCAACCTCTGTGGTTTTACTCACTAACCATTTTTTGCTCCCTTTACTGTAGATTCATTACACAAGCTTCCAAAAGGAAGCAAGTTCAATCATTCATTTATTCAAAAATATTGATTGGGTACCTACTATTTTATTCCAGGAATAAACTTGGATGGCTATATTTGTTAAAGTAATGCTGTATGCTGCGGCAAATAAACTCCAAAATCTAGTGGCCTCACATAATAGGAACATATTTCTCACTCATGAGACAGTTCAGTGCAGGTGCTGGGCTGGAAGCTATTTACGAACCAGGCTTTTTTGATCTTGTGGCTCCACCTTCCTTTAGGGCCTCAAAATCCTTCACTTCCAGGGTCCAGATGTGAAGGAGAGGATGAGTAAGGCACATCTGCTTCATAATCACATCAACCTCGAAGTGATAAATCACATCTGCTCACATTCCATTAGTGAGAACTAGTCACATGGTCACAGGTAGATACAAGGGCTTGGTGGGGGGGCAGGCATGGGCAGCTGGACAATTTAGCCCTCACTGGGGCAGCACCTTCCAGCCACGAGTCTACACTGTAGAGGCAGAATATGCATCTCTGATGGATGGCTAGCCATCTCTGCAACCCTGCTGGAGATTCTAAGACCTAAGATGAATCTGACTCATTCTGATACATGTGAGACTCTCTAACCAAACAAGACAGAAAGAATTAACACCTAACCAAATCCTTTCCATCTCTGCTAACTCACACCTTCTGAGAGTTAATTTAAAGAGCTAAAAAGAACCTGGAGAAAAAGTGTGAAAGCATTTTGCTAGGATCCATAAAAGTGGGTACTGACTAGAACAGAAGACCATAGACAACAACTTGGCTTTCTGCCACCGGGTGCCAAAAATAAGGGTTTAGACCCATTGCATACAACAGAGTAGCCCATTTTCTAACAGTGTGAGTTCCCAGGCTCAGGATTAGATTTCACCTAATGTGCAACATCACACTCCATTGCCTAGAGCCCAATTACTCCAAAGCATGAGGCTGTGCCCCCCAATCACTGTGCCTACGTAAGCAGATTAGAGTCACCACATTTTTTGTATTAAAGATGATCTGCTTTTTATTTACCTCAAATGATTTCAATTTCCAGGAAGCAGGAAGATGACAGAATGTGTGCTCGAGTAGGCAGCGGGAGGCAACGGGGCGGAAGTATCATTTCTGTCAGCATTGCCATCTTGCCCCTGGGAGTTCTAGCAAAGAGCTGAGAGAGGGATTTAGAACAGCGGTCACCTTTGATTAAGAACAGTGGTCACCCTCATTTTGCTCACTGAAGCTTTAATTGTGGATTCTGATCTGCTGGTTGGGGACTTTTGTATGAGACAGAAGCATGTAGCATTATCCTAGTACAATAGTGAATATAAATTGTTATTATAGAATCCTAGCATGACTAGGAAACTGAAATTCAGTTTATCAGGATGCTCCCTTAGACCCTGGATTCATGTATCCATTGGAGGGGATTTCTATGACTCTTCCTCCTCATACTCCTCCATCCTCCAGTTGCCTAGGCAGGGCTTTTGCTCCACTCTCTACTGAGGCAGGGGGGAAAGTCTCCATCACCATCTCTCTTAGTATCTTAACTAGTTCCTTGCCAAGGGAAGGGGACAGTCTCTGAACTGAGAGTTTAGCATCTATGGAGGTATGTTTCCAGCCCTCTGTTTTCTGTTTAATTATTTTTCTGCTGCTGCTTCTATTGTTTGTATCAGGGTGGGCAAATTGAAGAAGCAACATGGACTTTTTTCCACCTTCTCTGTGCTGTCCACCTCACAGTGGCCCTCTTCTCTTTCTTGCTCCCTGTGAGGGTGAGTTCTGCCTTCTAGACACAAGGCTGAAGGTTCATATCTCCCTGGTATTCAAAATCTATTGGCAACTCTGTATATAAAGGGGTTTATTATCCTCCACTTTTAGGCAAATGAATTCAGGGTCTATTTTTGCTCCAATTCTCCCCACCAGCAAATCACAAGGTCTGAGCATGAGCAGATGTTAACAGAATGCTTCCATTTTGACTTCAGGCTAGGCTATTTTCTCCCATCCAGCTTTCCCAAGGAGCCCTGTATTTGGAGAACTGTGTTAGTCTGTTTTCTCCCCACTAATAAAGACATACTCAAGACTGGGTAATTTATAGAGGAAAGATGTTTAATTGCTTCACAGTTCCACATGGCTGGGGAGTCCTCAGAATCATGGTGGAAGGTGAAAGGGGAGAAAGACACATCTTACATGGCAGCAGGCAAGAGAGTGTGTGCAGGGGAACTCTATAAAACCATCAGATGTTGTGAGACTTATTCACCACTGTGGGAACAGTGTGGGGGAAACTGCCCACAAGATTCAATTATCTCCACCTGACCCTGCCCTCGACATGTGGGGATTATTATAATTTAAGGTCAGATTTGGGTGGGGACACAGCCAAACCATATCGGGAACCATTAGGGCACCATTTGTAAAGCCAACTTATTAATCACTATTGATTCCCTGAGTCTGTTCCCTACCAGTTAGAACCAAGTGAGAGGAGTGATGAGAGGTTGGAACCTCTACCTTTTGACATGGATAAATGAGTTAAATAAAGGATCCCAAATAATCCTACTATACAGTACTATGCACCCTCAAATCTCAAAATATAATCAATTATGTAGAAACAATACCAACTGAAGGCACTTTTTTCTACCTCTTTCTCTTACCAAATAATTGAAACCATATCATTTGTCCTTTATATACTTCAGGAAAAGTAAAAAATATGACAGGGGAATTCTGAGATGTATTGCCTACCATTTCTGGTTGTCAGTTTTAATGTTTGCTGAATACTGTGTTGGCATATGACATCTGTCTTAAGTAGCAGCAATGCATCCTCTTGGACTCCCTCTGAGGTAATGCATCTTCCCTCCACTACTGAGCTGGGCCTTTTTGCTACCCCAACATTTTGCAGCTGCTGGAACCTCTCCTCAGTCTGGGATGCTTTCCTCTATGCCATCCAGAGTCCTAAAGGGAACACTGGCGGAAGAAGGGAATTAGAAAAAAAAAAAAAAAAAAAAAAAAAAACACTTAGAATTTATCTAGTTCACACATACCAAGTTAATATTTAATTTTTTCAAATTTATATCTTTTTTCATGGATTTCCTACAACTAACAATTTATGGTACTAAATCTGAATGAAAAAAATTCTGTAACCTGAAGAATTCATGTCCTAAGTTTTCTGGGATAAAAATAAGCAGAGCAGCAATTGAAATTTGTATTTCTCAGAAGGTAACAAGTATGGGGTCAGTACAGAAATCCCCTCAGGTGTCCTGAAGCCAGCTCTCCCCACTACCTTACTGATGCTCTTATTGATTTTCTTCTCCTTAAATATGGAATGTGTTTGCAAAGTCCCTGCACCCTCCCTTTTTGGAAAAATAAAGAAAACAACAAAGATACCCACTGTAACAGAAAAATAAAATATACTGTCAGCTGGAGAAGCTTATCCAGCCCTTGCTGGAGCAAGATCATTGTGGTCTCTGAAGAAAAGGAATGATGACAGAGGAGAGAAAAGTAAGCATAATAGAAGGACCAGACTGAGAGAAAGAGGGAGAAAACAAGGGTTATGGGGATGAAAGGAAATAGTAAGAAGGAGGAGGAATAAGACTGAGGAAAAAAAGGTATGTGTTTTGTGGGATAAACTTAAAATCACAGAAGGCATAAAGTATCTGCCTGTAAGTCAGGAAGCGAATATATGGTGAGTACTTGCATCTGTGCAGGATAAATGCCATGGCAAGATATCACTAATCCAGGGGGTAAAATCCATTCTCTGTCACTCAATTGCTGAGAAAACTTCAGTAGCTCTACATGACCTGCGACTGAGGGGCAAACACTAAAGTGGCAGACACTGGAGGCGTTTGATAATATGCCTCCATTTTTCCAAATACAATGGGATATCCCTTCAGTCCCTAATGTGAACCTCTTCTCCCACCACATGCTTACGTCCTGCAAGTCCAGAGAGTTGATGGCACTGCTTGACCACACTTCTGCCCCTGCCTGTATTACCCTTTTCATTCTTCCCACACATCTACACGGAAATCCTATTCGACTATCAGGACTCACTTCACATTCCATCTCTTCCCAGAAGTTTTCCATAACCACCCCAAGCCTCAACTGATCTCCCCCATTCTTTGAAATCTGGTTAAACTAGACCTGAATTATTCTCTTTCTGAAAGAAGTTGGAGAGTGAATGAACAAATGAATGAATGAAGCAAATAAACTGTTTCCACATTTATTTACATTCTTAATTACTCATTGCCTTGCAGTGTTGATTACCGCATGTGTAAACCTTTCTCTTCTCTTACAGATTGCACACTCTAGCAAAGTCAGAACACAACAGACCCAGCATCACAAAAATACTTTTAATACTGAAATTCTTCTGCCTCTCTACCTTCAATGGATAACATTTCTTAGTGTCAATCAAAGGGAAAAGGTGTTCTATATGTGAAATTCCTCTTTGACTAAATGTGTCTGTGGAATTCAGGTTCTAGTAGATTCTGTTTTTTTAAAGAAACATCTTCTGCTTCAACTTTTAAGGAACAGGAAGCAATTTCTGAAAATCAAAGGAGGTTTCCCTTTTCCACACTAGCATCCCTCTTGGAAGGAAAGACGACTCCTGCCTGCTGAGCCATGTGGAACCAGGAACTGAGACAATGTCACATGAAAACTGTCCCACTGACTCGGCACTCATTTGCGTGATACTGTTTTTAAACAGAGTTTGAAGAGCCACATTCGCTGAGACCAACTGGCACGAAAAAAGTCTACCGAGAGTAAGCTTATAGTGGGGGCCACATTTTCATTGTTAATGTCATGATTTAAAAAAAAAAATACTTTTTAAATTCGTGAAAGTAAGTTTATTTTATTTTAGATTTAATCACATTAGACAAGATTGTAAATATACTCTATTTATTAGCAAAGACAGAGTGAACCAAACAGAGATAGCTAAGTTTTCTGACAAAACTGATTACATAACACAACATCATTCATCATACATTTAACTTACACAGTATGATTATGAAAAAAATTACTTTTGCAAAAGTATTTAAGAGTGTCATCAATTTTCCAAATAATTTCTCTCAATACTTTGGTAGGCAAAGACTGTACCTTCTTCTGAAGGTATCATATCATTGCCCTTGCTGATTCTTTCCTCCAGCATTTTCTGCTCAAATATTACCAGATTTTCTTTGTCAATGGCTTTAGAGGGATCTACCCAGCTCTTCAACATTAACTTATTATCTTCAGGAAATCCTGCATCTTTTATGAGATTAGAAGTTTCACTTTATTATTGAATTCTATGCATTCACATTATATTACCCGTTATTAAGCAGGAATAATGTTAGATCAAAAAAGACATTGACCTGTTGGACCAGCTAACATAACAGTGATAAGTAGTAAGAAATAATTGAATTGACTAATTTAATACAGGTGTTTTTCAAATGGCTATTGCTTTCCCATAGAGCTAACTAATGTCTGGATCTCCGAGAATAAACACTAGGACCATTAGGATCCTCTACTGTATACTTCAGTGCCAAAGTAAGTCTTCAGAATAAATTGATCTGCAAACAATTTGCTTCTAGTCTTTGAAAAAAATAAATACAGAAATTTAAAGTTAATTAAAGTAACTTTTATAAAAATTTAGCATTTCTGGGACAACAAAGCATGGATCAGTGAATCTGTCTAATTGAATGAGATATAGACTATTTTGGGTGTTGTTGGATTTATGCAATGAGCCAGCATGCTGCAAGCTGCATACTAGGCATTGTGCAGTAGAAAGACCATGTGTTAGTCTGTGATGAATTGGGATTTTTAAAAATTGATACTTCACCACAGATACTTTGAGAAATACTGCTCTCTTTTATTCCATATAGCATCCAATGGTTCAAAAAAACATAAACCTTACCCATGTGGCAATACAAGTCCTATAGTAAACACATCTTTCCAAGGGGGACTTTTGGTCATCCCTTTTTTTTTTTTTTAATAAAGTGACAAATCCTTTGTTTTAAATTTTTTTTCTCTCATTACATTTTACATCTGTGGATACACTTTACCATTGTAACTTTCTGAAATGAGCTGTCTCAGAATAGAATTCCTGACTTGTGAGATAGAGATCCCCATTGCTGGAGTTGTTTAAGCAGAAGCATGAGAACCACCTGGGGATGATTTTGCTAAGGGAGATTAGTATATGAGATGAATTTTGGAATTGTCAAATTCCTTCTGACTTAGAGATTCTTCAACCATATGACGGGACTTCAAATAGTTCATGGGAAACTGGAATTGAAAGATAAAATTTTTAAAAAATGAATTTTATTTCTCAACATAAGCTCTTTGAAGTTCAAGGCACTTTTGGAAGTGATGATACCAGCCATTTAGCCCATCCCTAAAGAACTGAGAATCCTGGGAATTTAATCATGTCAATTCAATCTGTTTTACATTATTAACTTAAGAAAATTGGGCACCCTTTACGGATTTTTTTAAGATTAAAAAACAAGCCAGGTGTGGTGGCTCACACCTGTAATCCCAGCACTTTGGGAGGCTGAGGCGGGTGGACTACCTGAGGTCAGGAGTTCAAGACCAGCCTGGCCAACATGGTGAAGCCGTGTCTCTACTAAAAAAAACAAAAATTAGCTGGGCATGGTGGCATTCACCTGTAATCTCTGCTACTCGGGAGGCTGAGGCAGGAGAATCACTTGAACCCAGGAGGCGGAGGTTGCAGTGAGCTGGGATCATGCCATTGCACTCCAACCTGGGTGACAACAGCAAAACTCCATCTCAAAAAGAAAAATTAAAAAATATATATATACACATATTTGTTTATTATACTTTAAGTTATGGGGTACAGGTGCAGAACATGCAGGTTTGTTACATAGGTATACATGTGCCATGGTGGTTTGCTGCACCCATCAACCAGTCACCAACATTAGGTGTTTCTCCTAATGCTATCCCTCCCCCTGCTCCCCTCTGCCGACAGACCCCAGTGTGTGATGTTCCCCTCCCTGTGTCTATGTGTTCTCATTGTTCAACTCCCACTTATGAGTGAGAACATGCAGTGTGTGGTTTTCTGTTCTTGTGTTAGTTTGCTTAGAATGATGGTTTCCAGCTTCATCCATGTCCCTGTAAAGGACATGAACTCATCCTTTTTTATGACTGCCTAGTATTCCATGGTATATATGTGCCACATTTTCTTTATCCAGTCTATCATTGATGGGCATTACAGTTTGTTCCAAGTCTTTGCTATTGTGAACAGTGCTGCAGTAAACATACATGTGCATGTGTCCTTACAGTAGAATGATTTATAATCCTTTGGGTATATACCCAGTAATGGGATTACTGGGTCAAAAGGTATTTCTAGTTCTAAAGATTAAAAAACAGAAAGAAGTCAGAAAGAGCCAAATCAGGACTGTAAGGTGGATGCTAATGATTTTCCATTGAAACATTTGCAAAATTGCCCTTGTTTAGTATGAGGAATGTGCAGGAGCATTGTCATGCTGGGAAAGAACTCTCTGGTGAAGCTTTCCTGGGCATTTTTCTGCTAAAGCTTTGACTAACTTTCTCAAAACACTCTCATAGTAAGCAGATGTTACCATTCTTTGGCCCTCCAGAAAATCATCAAGCAAAATGCCTTGAGCTTTCCAAAAAACTGCTGCCATGACCTTTGTTCTTGACTTGTTCTCTTTTGCTTTGACTGGACCACTTCCACCTCTTCGTAGCCATTGTTTTGTCTTCAGCATCATAGTGGTAAAGTCATATTCCATCCCATGTTGCAATTCTTTGATGAAATGCTTCAGAATCTTGATCTTACTTATTTAAAATTTCCATTGAAAACTGCTCTTGTCTGCAGCTGATCTGGGCTTAATGGTTATGGCACTCATTAAGTGGAGAGTTTGTTCAGCTTTAATTTTTCAGTCAGAGTTGTGCAGGCAGAATCAATTGAGGTGTCTATGGTGTTGGCTGTTGTTTCTGCTGTTAATCATTGGTCTTCTTCAATTAGGGCACAAACAAGATTGATTTCTTTTCCTTCTAAATTGATGTTGATAGTCTGCCTCTGTGAGCTTCATCTTCAACCCCATCTTGTTCCTTCTTAAAATTAGTTATCCATTTGTAAACTGCTGGTTTGGGATAGTTTTCTCATAACTTTTTGTAAAGCATCAGTGATGTCTCCATTCTTCCACCCAAGCTTCATTATAAATTTGATGTTTGTCCTTGCTTCAAGTTTAGCAGAATTTATGTTGCTCTGATAGGGGCTGTTTTCAAACTAGTGTCTTATCCTTCTTAGTGCCTCAAACTAAGTTCTGTTCACACACACTATAACAAGTTAGTTGTAGTTTATTTTGATGCAAAAAAATTTGAAATTCATTTATAGTTTCTTCATAATATGCATTTTCCAAGGACTTTTTGAAGACCCCCCTCATACTTCATCACTAAGGGAGTCCAGCTAAATGAATTTCTAGATGTTTTTCCAGAAAAAATAAGCAAGACACAAGAAACAACCACGAGCAAAGAAACTTGGAAAGTAGTGGATACATTTAAACAAACACGGAATATATAAATATAAAATAATCATAATGAATTATTTTCCAGGTTAACCCCATTACTTAGGTGCACAATTTTGAGCCTCGTAATCATTGTTCTGGAAATACTATAGTTTATTTTTGTAGCAGACCTGCTCAGTTCTCACCTGCATAACACCCCCAGGACAGGCATTTGATCACTGTAAGACTGGAGCTCACAGTTAAATTCTTCTATTTTCTTCCCCCATATAGACCAGCCTGAGATGCTATGGTTCATAAGCCTATGAGAAAACACCCCATGAAATCAAGCCATCAGTTCTTCTTGATATCAAGCAGTGGCCAAGTTTTTAAGGGACTCTCATGCTGATTCTCTTTTCTTTCCAGCCTCACTTCTCTTTCCTTTCATTCCCACTCCCCTGATATAACAGTAGTACATAAGTGTTTGCATCAGTCTCTGCTTTCTGGGGTACCAAAGCTAAAGCAAAAATAATTATATTAATGCAAGCCAAGTCTCACATGCTTTCCTGTTAGTCCTATTATGCCACTAATTTATATTGAAATTTTATCTAAAACTCTGAAATCTGTTTCTTTGTTGCAACAACATTAACAACAACAATAATATAACTAGCATACACACTGTTTATTGTAAGCCAGGTGAGTGTAGATGCTATATAGATATTAACTCATCCAATCCTCCCAACATACCTAAGAGACAATTACTTTTATGATTACCAATTTACAGCTGTGGAAATTGAGATGCAGAGAACTCAAGAACAAGCACTTAATTTGCTTGTCCAAGATCACACAGCTGGTAAGTCGTAGTCCCTGGAGTTGGACCAGACACAGTCCTCGAGTCTGTGCTCTACTCACTCTTTTAGCTGCATTTCCACTGCTAGATTTTTAAAACGAAGCATGGGCTTTTCTATTTATTTCTCTTCAATTTTATCTCATTAGAGTTCAGTTTATCGTTTAAGCCAGTCAATAATTTTGGGATGACCATTTATCATTATCTCTTTTCACCAACCTTCCAGTTTCTTACCCCATTGAAACTTCACTGGCCTTCCACTAATATTTTTTGCTAGTCATTAATAAAATGATTAGTCAGGCAGGCAGATATGAGGACAAAGTCCTATGACAAATTACCAGAGATTTACTTCCAAGTTGATCAATCTTGATCAATCAATAACAAATTTAATGTAACTATAGCATAGTCCCTATTTATTTATCTCATCTACAGAGAGAAGCAAGAAAGATATCGTTAGTCACCTTAATAAGATCCAGTCATACTACATAAAAGCACTCTCTGAATCTATTGCTCTAATAAATAAACCAATTAAGAAAGAAATTTGGTTTAGTGACATATATTTCACTTTTAGTGAATCCATATCAACTCTAAATGATCATCTTGTTTCTTGAATCATCTGTTTGTTATTTTATTCCAGAATTTTGCTTTGGAGGAATCTCTAGCTCACGAAAGAAAAAAAAAATACCTTCTTTCTTGTAAAAAAAAAAAAAAAGTTCATCTATTTTTTCCTTTGCAGTTTTTTCATATGTCTTCCAGTCCATAGAGTTCCATAAAGGGTACAGAAAATGCCTCTTACCTGCAAGCTATCTTTGTGCCTCACAGGGTTTTATCTCTTCAGATCAGAAGACTTGAATTTACTTAGAGTGAAAAATGTTCAACAGAAATCATTCCTGTCTAGATCATCAATTCTCTTTCATTGAACTGGCCCTGGCCTTTGTGTCATTTTATACAATGGAAGTTCAGTAAAACTTGTGTAGTTCTGCCTCATCTTTAAGTCACGGATGTTGCATTTACAACTACTTGGAGCTTTTTAAATTTTGATTCTCTCAAGTGCTTTTACATCACATTAACAAGCTTAAGTATCTGTAAAGTTATTTTTTATTTTAGTTAACACATAATAATTGTACATATTTATGGAATACAAAGTGATGTTGCAACGCATGTATACAATGTGTATTGATCAAATCAGGTTAATCAGCATATCCATCTACTCAAACATTTATCATTTCTTTGTATTGGAAACATTCAACATTCTTCTAGCCATTTGAAAATATACAATAAATTATTAACTATTAACTATATGCACACCACAGTGCTATAGAACAATGAAATTTAATCCTCCTATGAAATTGTAATTTTGTAATTATTAACCAACCTCTTCCTATCCTCCCCTCTCCCTACCCTTTTCAGTCTCTAAAAACTGCAATTCTCTTCTCTGCTTCTATGCAGTCAACTTTTTTTAGCTCCCATACGTGAGAACATGCAATATTTATGTTTCTGTGTCTGTTCTCCAGGCTCATCCTTGTTGCCGCAAATGAGGATTTCGTTCTTTCTATGGCTGAATAGTATTCCATTGTATATATATCACATTTTCTTTATCCATTCATCTGATGTTGAACACTTAGGTGGAGTCCATGTGTTGGCTATTGTGAACAGTACTACAATAAACATGGAACTGCAGATTTCTCTTCAGTATACTGATTTCCTTTCCTACATATAAAAACCCAGTAATGGGATTGTTGGATTATATGGTAGTTCTATTTTTAATTTTTTTAATAATCTCCATAGTTTTTTTTATTATGGCTATAGTAATTTACAACCCCACCAACTGTGTATAAATGTTCCATTTTCTCCACGTCCTCATTAGCATTTGTTATTTTCTATATTTTTGGTAATAGCCATTCTAACTAGAGAGAGATAATATTGTGGTTTTGACTGCATTTTCCTGACGATTTGTGGTGTTGAACATTTTTTCATATACCTGTTGGCCATTTGTATGTCTTCTTTTGAGATATGACCATTCGAATCCTTTACCTATTTTTCAATAAGATTATTTGGGTTTTTCCTGATAAATTATTTGAGTTCCTTATACAGTCTGATATTAGTCATTCCTTGTCAAATGAATAGTTTGAAAATATTTTCTCCCATTCTACAGGTTGTCTCTTCACTCTATTGATTGTTTGCTTTTCTGTGAAGAAGCTTTTTAGTTTGATATATTCCCATCTGTCTGCTTTTGCTTTTGTTGCTGTACTTCTGAACTCTTACCCATAAAATCCTTGCCTAAGCCAATGTCCTGAACAATTTCCCCTACGTTTATTCTAGTTAAGTCTTCAATTCATTTTTAGTAGATTTTTATACATGGTGAGAAATGGGGGTTTAGTTTTCTTCTTTTACATATGGATATCCAGTTTTCCCAGTAGCATTTATTGAAATGGCTGTCCTTTCTCCAATGTATGTTCTTGGTGCCTTTGTCAAAACTCCATTGGCTGGAAATATGTAGCTGTATCTCTGGGTTTTGTATTCTCTTCCATTGGTCTGTGTCTATGTCTATTATGTCAGCACCATGCTGTTATGGTTACTGTAGCTTTGTAGTAAATTTTGAATTCACACAGTGTGATGGTCCAGCTTTGTTCTTCTTGCTTAGTATGGCTTTGGCTATTCAGGGTCTTTTGTGGTTCCATACAAGTTTTAGGAATTTTTTTTCTATTTCTGTGATGAATGTAATTAGTATTTTGAAAGGGATTACATTGAATCTGCATGTTGCTTTGGGCACTATGGTCATTCAACAGTATTAATTCTTCCATTCTGTGAACATGGGATGTCTTTCCATTATTTTGTATCCTCTTCAATTTCTATTGTAGCTTTTACTGTAGGTTCTTTCACCCTTTAGATTAAATTTATTTCTAAGTATTTTTACAAGTATTATAAATTGAATTGCTTTTTTCCATTTCTTTTTCAGCAATTTTGTTATTAGTGTATAGAAATGCTACTGATTTTCCTATGTTGATTTTGTATCCTGTAACTTCTCTGAATTTGCTTATCAGTTCTAAGAGATGTTGCTGATGCTGAAATCTTTTTTTTCTGCATGTGAGATCTTGTCATCTGCCAGGAGAGATAATTTGACTTACTTCTTTTCAATTTGGATGCCTTTTATGTCTTTCTCTTGCTTAAATTCTCTGGCTAGGACTTCCAATACTATGTTCAGTAAAAGTGGTAAAAGTGGGCATCTTGTTTTGTTTTAGTTCCACTCAGTATAATGTTATATATAGTTTTGTCATATATGGCCTTGATTGTGTTGAAGTATGTTCCTTCTATGCCTAATTCATTGAGAGTTTTTGTCATGAAGGGATGTTGAATTTTTTCAAATGACTTTTCTGTGTTTATTGAGAGGATTATATGGTTGTTGTCCTTCATTTTGTTGATATGACATTCATTGATTTGGGTATATTGAACCACCCTTGTATCACTGGGATGAATCTCGCTTGATTATAGTGATTTACCTTTTTAATGTGTTGTTGGATTTAGTTTGCTAGTGTTTTGTTGAATATTTCTGAGTCTGTGTTCATCAGGGATATTGGCATATAGTTTGTTGTTGCTAATGTTTCTGTGTCCTTATCTGGTTTTGGTTTGAGGGTAATTGCAGAATAAGTTAGGAAGAATTGCCTATTCTTCAATTTTTTGGAATATCTTGAGAATAATTGGTATGGTTCTTCTTTAAATGTTTGGTAGAATTTAGCAATGAAATCATCTGGTCTTAGGCTTTTATTTGTTGGGGGACTTTTTATTATTGATTGAATCTCATTACTCATTAATAATCATTATTGATCTGTTCGGGTTTTTTAATTCTTCCTGATTCAATCTTTTTTAAATTTTTGTAATTATCTTAATGTATTTTCAATGTGAGAATTGAAGCTCAGTTCCTACATCAGTACTTATTCTCCACTGAAAGAATTCTTTTAAAAACACTCCTTTGGTTTTGTTTTGTTGTGTTTTTTTGTTTATTACTAGTTCAATCTTGGTAGATAATATGTGTTCAGGAATTTATCCATTCCTCTAGGTTTTCTCATTTCTTGGCATATACTTCTTCCTTGTAGGAAAAAAAAAGAAAACAAAATTTCTGGGGGCTTCAGGATGGCTGACTAGAGGCATCGGGCACTAGCCTCCTCCACAAAAGAGAACCAAAATAGAAAGTAGATAATTACCCTTTGAATAGATCACCTAAGAGAACACTGGAATTCAACAGAAAGTGACAGAAAACTCCTAAGGCCAGAAAGGAGAGGGAAGAGAAGCAGCCTGCCCAGCAAGGATTGGCTGGGAGCCCTGAGAGCCTCCTCAGTTCAGAGAAAGAGTAAGTGAGAAATTCCCAGCAGTCTATTCCCAACAAGAACTCCTGCAATCCTAGCCACAGGAGAGCCCCTCGACCCTGATGGAGCCTGAGACTAACATAAGGAGCTGCCTGGAGACTGCTTAACGGTATCATTCCAGGGATGGGCTCATTTGGAGTTCTATACACCTCCCCCAAGACCTAAGCAGCTACAGCATGGTATCATTTTGAGAGATCAGCCATCGCCAGACTGCATCGTGCCCTAGAGCCCGATACCCCTTGCATCTCCACATCCCTGGAGCCCTATCGTCATCCCCATCAGTAGTTACTGCAACTGTTGGCTGCCACCATGGTCAAAGTGCACCCACCTCTCTGGCAGCCACTCTTCCTCCCTCAGCAGTGGGACTGGCCACATGAATTTGCACATGCCCTGAGTACAGGCTCCTCTACCTAAGCTGCTGCTGCTGGCAGTTGCTACTGGGGCCAAAGTGCAAGCTACTAGCAGCAATCCCACTGCCCCTAGCTGTGTGACTGCCGCACATTTGTGTGTGCATTGAAGACAGACTTCCCTACCCATGTCCACCACCACCACTGGTTGCTGCCATCAGGATGGTAGCATGAGCCATGTGCAATAACCCCACCCACCTGTAGCAGTGAGGCCTCCGCACATTTACATGTGCCTTGAGGACAGCTCCCTCACCCACAACCACTGCCTGGTGCCAAATTAGGCTCTCCCCAGGTGCCTACCCAGGTGTTAGAGGCTGCTGCCTCTAACAACAGCCCCACCTGCCCCAGCTGCAGGGATACAGAGCAATTGCATATGTCCTGCGGGCAGGCACCCCCACTCACCACTTCCACTGCCTGCCTCACCGAAGAACTTCACCAGAGGCCTGGGAATTAACCCACCTCTGCATACCGAAGTCAGTGTTCATATGCACCATCAGGAGTCCTATGAACATGCCTGCCAGACCTGGCTCCACTATCCTCAACCAGTGCCTGAACATGCCATTTTCAGGCCTAGAGATCACCCCACCTCATCCACCACAATTGGCAGCAGAACACTCCTCTCAGAGGCCTGACGATGGGCCCACCTTGCCTGCTGCTACCACCACAGTGGGCACCCACCTGCATGCACCACCTGCTGGCCTGGAGACTGACACACCCAGCCCATTGCAGCCACTGCTAACACCAGCATGGGCCACTCGAGAATCAGAAGGCTGTCCCACCACAACTACTGCCACTGCCCATGCTATGCCCACTGTCCCACTCACTTGCTCATCACTTGCTCATCATTTGCTCATCCACCCAAGGACCTGCCCACTCACCTTGCTCATCAGTGCCACTGCCTGCACCTAAACAAACCAACTGTAATCTCAAGAACTGGCCCACATGGGCCCAATAACACAGGTGCCATAACACAGACACATCCAGCTCGTCAATGCCATCACTGGGGCCCAAGGACTGGCACACCTGACATCTCCATCACTACCAAAACTTCACCACAGCTCCTACTAACAACCACACCCTAAATCACTAGGGAAATCAGACCCCACTGACACCATTTAGAGCCAAATAAATTATACAGACTACACCATTGCATGCACCCAGAATGAAAGCCAAAGTGTCCTACCCCACCAACTCTGTAGATACATTTTCAGCTCTTCAAAGTAGTCTCTAATAATCCTTTGTATTTCTGTGATATCAATTGTAATATCTTTTTTGTTTCTAATTTCATTGATTTGAATATACTCTATTTCTTACTCTAGCTAATGATTTATCCATTTTGTTTATCTTTTTACATACCAATTTTTGTTGCATTGATACAGTATATTCTGAGTTATTTTTCTCTATTTTGTGTAGTTCTACTCTGATCTTTTTTATTTCTTTTCATCTACTAATTTGGGATTTGGTTTGTTCTTGCTTTTCTAGTTCCCTGAGATGTGTGTTAGGTTGTTTATTTGAAATATTTCTACTTTTTTTAATGTAGGCATTTATTTGCTATTAACTTCCCTCTTATTACTGCTTTTGCCATATCCCATAGGTTTGGGTACATTGTTTTCCATTTTCATTTGTTTCAATATTTTCATAAAATTTTATTCTGAATTTCATCATAGACCCATTGGTCATTCAGGAACATGTTGTATGATTTTCATGAATTTGTAGTTTCCAAAGTTCCTCTTGTTATTGATTTCTAGTTTTATTCCATTGTGATCTGAGAAGATATTTGATATGATTTCAACTTTTTTAATTGTTGAGAATTGCGTTCTAACATATGGTTGAGCCTGGAAAATATTCCATGTGCAGATAAAAAATGTACATATGGCAGCTGTTGGATAATGTGTTTTACAAATGTATCTTAGATTCATTTGGTCTTCTGTATAGTTTAAGTCCAATGTTTCTTTGTTAATCTTCTTTCTAGATGATCTGTGCAATGCTGAGAGTAGGGTGTTGAGGTCTTCAGCTACTATTTCATTGGGGTCTCTCTCTTTTTAGCTCTAATAATATTTGATTGGTTAATGTATTTGGGTGCTGTAGTATTGAGTACATATATATTTATAATTGTTGAAGCCCCTTACTGAATTGATCCCTTTATCACTAATTAACAACCTTCTTTGTGACCTTTGATGTTTTCGACTTAGTCTATTTTGTCTGAAATAAGGTTTCCATATGCACAGAATATCTTTTTTCCATCCCTTCACTTTCAGGCTATGTGTGTCATTACATGTGAAATGAGCATATAGTTGGATCTTGTTTTATTTTAATCCATTCAAACAATCTATCTCTTTCAATTGCAAAATGTAAACCATTTATATTCAATGTTGTTATTAACAGGTGAGGACTTACTTTGTCATTTTGTTCATTGTTTTCTCGTTGTTTTATGTATCTTTTATTCCTTTATTCCTCTCTTATTGTTTAGCTTTGTGTTTTGTTTGTATTCTGTAGTGACAACATTTGATTTCTTTCTATTTCTGATGTGAGTTTCATATTTTCATGTGTTTTCATGATGGTAGATATTATCATTTTTCTTCCAGATGAAGGACTCCCTTAGCACAGGGCCAGTCTAGTGGTGTTGAATTCCCTCAATTTTTGCTTGTCTTGGAAAGACTAGTTCTCTTTCATTTCTGAAGGATAGCTTTGTTGGGTATAGTATTCTTGGCTGACAATTTTTTTTCCTTTCAATGCTTTGAATATATTACCCCATTCTCTCTTGGTCTAGAAGTTTTCTGCTAAAAAATATGTTAGCCTGATGGAGAGTCCCTTGATGTGACTTGATGCTTTTTTCTTGCTGTTTTAAAAATTCTTTGTCTTTTGACAATGTGACTATAATGTGCCTTGGAGAGGAATTTTTAAGCTTCCTGTATCTGGATGCCTATATCTCTCCCAAGACTTGAGGAGTTTTCGACTATTATTCCTTTTTTTTTTTTTTTTTTTAGACAGAGTCTTGCTCTGTTGCCCAGGCTAGTGTGCAGTGGTGCAATCTTGGCTCACTGCAAACTCTGCCTCCCAGGTTCAACTAATTTTCCTGCCTCAGCATCCCAAGTAGCTGGGATTACAGGTGCTTGCCACCATGCCTGGCTAATTTTTATGTTTTTTGTACAGATGAGGTTTCACCATGCTGACCAGGCTGGTCTTGAACTACATACCTCAGGTGATCCACCCGCCCTGACCTCCCAAAGTGCTGGGGTTTCAGGCATGAGCCACCATGCCCAGCCTCAACTACTATGTCATCAGGTAGGTTTTATATGCCTTTTCCCATCTTGTTTCCTTTTGTAATTACCATAATGTAGATGTTTATTCAGTTAATGGTGCCCCATATTTCAGAGATTTTTTTCATTTTTAAATTTTTTCATTTATTTATTTATTTATTTATTTAACTAATGGGTTTTTTCTTTCTTTTTTTTTTAAGTTTGAAGCAAGAGTTTAATAGGCAAAAGGAAAGAACAGCTCTCTGTTACAGAGAGGAGTCCCAAGTGGGTTGCCAAGTTGTAGTAAAAATGTCAAGGTTTTTATAAATGGGCTAATGAGGAGGGGGCTAGTGAGGAGAGGATGTCCTGTCCTCCTAGGGCCTGAAGATTTAGTTGGGACTAGGTGTGCAATCTGTATAGAAAAGAGTTTTTATCAGACTTTTAGTCTGTGTTTCTTTGCTTTGCTTATCTGGGAGGGAGAGTTTCTGGGTCTGTGCCCATACACCTTCTGGCAGCTGCAGGAATCCCTCCACTCCAGTCTGCTTTTAGCTTCCCTATCTTAGTGTGCCTAAAGGGGAAAGAATGTGCTTATTAAGGCCCACTGTTTTACTGGGGCCCATTGTATAAGTGTGAAGTTTGGTGATTACCCAGGAGACATCCCCCCAACACCCCACTAATGGGTTATTTAAAACCTGCCCTCATGTTCAGAAATTTATTCTCCTGCTTGATCTTGTCTATTATTGAGCTTTCAATTGTATTTTTTATTTCATTCACTGAATTCTTCAGTTCAAAGATTTCTGTTTTGTTCTTTTATGTCTATCTCTTTGTTGAATTTCTCACTTATCATGACTTGTTTTCTTGATTTTGTTGAATTGTCTATTTATGTTCTCTAGTATTTCAGTTGTCTATTATGTTCTCTTGTATTTCACTGAGCTTCCTTAAGATTATTATTTTGAATTCCTTTTCAGGCATTTCACAGATTTCCTTTTTGAAGGGTCTGTTACTAGCGAATTACTGTGATTTTTTGGAGGTGTTATGTGTCTTTGCTTTTTCATGTTCCTTGAGTCCCCATGTCAATATCGGTGCATGTGGTGGAACTCTCACTTCTTCCAATTTTATGGAGCAGTTTTCATAGCGAAAAACTTTTTTCTGTAGATATGTCCTGCAGTGTCAGTTGGGTAGGCTGCTTTGCCTTTGGTTCCTGGTGAGAACACTAGTGTAATTTCTGTATGATTTCTTCAACTGCAATCAACATCAGCAGTGTCTATAAGTACTTAGTGGCCTAGGCTACAGTTGTTTGTGGAGGCTGTGGCATGGCTTTTCTGGTGATATTGATGCTGGGTAAGCTAGTCCTCAGGCACCTAGATGGTATGTGTGTTGGCCCCACTGCTGGAGGGAGTGGAATTGCCAGTGGGGCAGCAGTGCACCCCAGGCAGACTAGTGCTCCACCCCTGCATGAGTATGACACTGGAGTCAGGTAGAACTTGTATAGTTCTTCATCTTCAGACCACTCAGGTCATATTTACAACTACTTGGAGCTCTTTTAATTTTGATTATCTCAAGTGCTTTTACATAGCATTAAGAAACATAGCATTATGCTATGAAAAAGCATAAGATTCTTATTCAGCCACAACCACCCACAGGATAGTAGTCTGAGAAATACCATCTTCTCAGGACCATTCTTCCCAGTCCTCCTTGAGAGTACAGGCCATCCACTTCCGTGGTATTTATAAGAATTTGTTTATTCTCTTCTATTTTTTAATATTTAAAATCCTCTTCCACTTCATTTATAATTAATAATTCAAATTTTATCATAAAGTACATTTCTTATGCTTAATACCCAAGTACAGATTTTCAAGTAAATATTCAGCCTGAGGCTGTAATCTGCATCTAAATGGAGCTTCCTCCCACCTCCAGGTAGCATATTCAAAAGCAGTGCCAATGTGAAGTATGCATGAGATAAAAATTATTACCCCAAGGGCATTAGGATTATTGTGATCTGTTCCCATTTCCATTCCTGAGATGACAGCAAGATACATTATATCTTAATGTAATTACTCTTTCTTCAGACCATGATCTACTGTAAATTGCGTTCACTTTGTATCTGTTACACAACGGAATTATGGCATTTGAGTTTTGTTGTTGTTGTTGTTGTTGTTATGTTTGCTTTTTGAGGATGAGAAGATGATGTACAGGACAAGTGTGTAAAATATTCCTTTTTGAAGACTTTGCCATCAAACCAGAGAGTATAGCAAGCTGTGTGCTGAAAAGTTAAAGTCTTGTCTAATTCTGAAAGGGCAATATCAAGGTCAGTTTTTTCTATTGGTGCAGGCTACTTCAGGCTGCATTCATTTGCTGTTGGAGGCATTGTCAGTGAAAATGAGAGACAGAGTTAATTTTTAACATTAGAAAAATTCCTCCCTTTCATGGAAAGCAGTTTCAGCAATGGCTAAGTACTAAATAAATATTAGAAATTACTTTTATTATTTTAATTTCTTACAAATAGTAAGAAATTTTTATTTTCTTTCTAAGTTTATCTTTAGTGTTTGTTAGCACTTTTTCCTATTCAGGCCTCCACTCCAGTTCCAGATCAATATGTCTCAAATATCCAAGTATGTGCCAGCTGAATGGGTCCTATTTCTGGTCTAAAGACCTATCCATGTATTTCTCCAAGACATTTGGGTTCTGCAGCAATAAATTCAGGAAAATACTTGGCTTTGGCCAAGCATTAATCTACCTGGGATTTGGGGGTGGAAGAACATTTGGGTTCTGCAGCAATAAATTCAGGAAAATACTTGGCTTTGGCCAAATATTAGTCTACCTGAGATTTAGGGTGGAAGCACATTGGAGGTCTTTAACAATAACTATATTTGTGCCTGAGTAAGGGGGGCAATGGACCAGGCCTACCCTGTCATTGGATTCTATAACACTGAGATCAATGGGATACTTCTGGCTCAATGAGGGGGTCTACATGATACATCTTGGCCAGCCTCATTTGGGCTCAACCTCTGATCTTCTGACTGAAATTTTCTAGAGGAAGGACCTGGAAATCTGAATTTGAAATGATTTTTATCAGGCTACTTGGGGAAACCTGCATTAGTGGACACTGCCTTCTGTTTTGGTAACCATTTTACAGAAAACAGGTGCCATACAGCTTCAAAGGCCCAAGATCTCAAAATAAATAAATGGTAGAGCTGGGATTTGAGCCAAAAGCGAAGCTCCCTCTGTGCTGAGAGATGGCCTGAGTCTATTATTCCCTCTGGCTTTCCCATCTTCCTTGATTCCCTCCCTTTAGGAAACAGAAGTATAAGCATTAAAATAGAGGGTCCTTCATTACCTGAAATTCTGTTCTTTCTGAGGGCGGGATGCTAGTCACTATGACAAGACTCAATGATACAGTCCTGACTCAGAGAGTCACAATAAGAACATTGCAAATCATCAATCACAAATGCTACATTTAACCCACCCAGATCAACCCAATCCCTTTGACCTTTGCCACTACTATGTGAGAGGAGACGGGGCAAAGCAGACAGGAGGTTATAGGCTCAATCATTTAACGGATGTGGGATCAAATTTTGGCAATGCTGCTTATTTGCTTCCCATTCCCAGCCTCAGCTTTCTCATCTATAAAATGAAGGTAATAGCACATAGCTATTCTGTGGGCTACTGTGTGCTCAGGACACAACAGGTATTTAACTGATTGTTCCACTGCATCTGTGATGGTTAATATTAGCTGTCAACTTGATTGGATTGAAGGATGCCTGGATGTCTGGTAAAGTATTGATTTTTGGTGTGTCTGCAACAGTATTGCCAGAGGAGACTGACATTTGAGTCAGTGGACTGGGAGAGGAAGGCCCGCCCTCAAGGCTGTGGGCACCATTCAATTGGCTGCCAGTGTGGCTACAACAAAGCAGGCAGAAGAAGGTGGGATAAGGTTGCTTGCTGAGTCTTCTGGTTTCCTTTTTTACTGTGGTGGATGATTCTTTCCATTCCTCCTGCCCTTGAACATCAGACTCCAGGTTCTTTGGTCTTTGGATTCTTGGTCTTGTACCAGTGGTTTGCCAGGGGCTCTTAGGGCCTTTGGCCACAGACTGAAGGCTGCACTGTCGGCTTCCCTGGTTTTGAGGCTTTCAGACTCGGGCTGAGCCACTAGCAGTTTCTCTCTTCCCCAGCTTATAGATGGCCTATCGTGGGACTTCACCTTGTAATCATGTAAGCCAATTCTCCCTAACAAACTCCCTTTTATATATGTACATATATCCTATTGGTTCTGTACCTCTGGAGAACCCTGACTTAAGCATCCAAGACCCAGGTTAGAGAGCAGGGGAGGAAGAAATGTGTTGTGGGACCTCGTGACACGCAGGGTAATGGAAAATTAAGGAGAGCACTGAGATAAAATGCTTTACAGCAATTAAACTGTTTTTCCCTACAGTGCAGATCTGCATTGTAAAAGTATTTACAGGTGTCTAATTTTGTTGACTATGCAGGAAGCCACCTCGGCAGGATAAATAGAGCTGCCCAGTGCATTTTTGTGCTCTTTATTTGCAGAAAGGGAGATAATTAAAGAACTAATGACAGCCTTCAGGAGCTTGCATGCAGCAGTATCCTAGCTGACACTACATACTCCAGGCCAGGAGCCCTGAAGGATAAGCCTTTAGACTTGACAAGGGCCTATGCCTTGTGCTTCTGATTATTCTGTCTCCTGCTCATTTCTCACCAGGCAGCAAGAAAGAGGTAAGCTTCTTTTGAAGTCCTCATTCATTAATAACTGGAGTTACCTGACAAACATACTTTACATTTAACCTGAGCACTGGGAGACTGAGATGAGGACAAATAAAGGGAAGGAAACTAACATTTATCAGTGATTAGTATTGTCTAAGTATCATACTACTGTGCTCTCCTTTAAAAGAACTTTATATTTTGACATAATAGTACACTCACAGGAAGTTGCAAAAATAATACAAAGAGTCCTGTGTACCTTTCACCCAGCTTCCCTGTATGCAGAAGGCTAGGCAATGGGATGAGCAGAAGCATGTAGGTAGATGCAAGTCATTGTTAGTGTCTCAGTTCTTGATTTGGTTGGTAGTCTTATGGGTATCCATTGTATTATTATTTTAGTTATCTCTATTTTACTATTTCTATTAACATCACTAATTGGGAAGCCATTAGATTCAGTGTAACCAGTCTTAACCAATCAGAAACTGCCAACTAGCCTTTCACTAGGGACTTTCCACTGGAATGATCCAAATAAGGCTACTTTAACCAATCAAATATTTTATTTGCCCTGCTTTTTTATTCACCTTCTAAAAGCTTTCCTCACCTGCCCCTTTGGCAAATCCCTGAACCACTTGTGGTCTGAAGCTGCCCAAATCATGATTTTCTGTCTGCTCAACTAAACTCTAAATTTGAGGGGTTTTTACATTTAATTTAATTTTACATTCCAGGATATATGTGCAGGACATGCAGGTTTGTCACATAGGTAAACATGTGCCATGATGATTTGCTGCACCTATCAACCCATCACCTAGGTATTAAGCCCTGCATGCATTAGCTATTTATCCTGATGCTCTGCCTCCCCACTACCCACATCCCCCCACTGCCACCTAATAGGCCCCAGTGTGTGTTGGTTCCCCTCCTAGTATCCATGTGTTCTCACTGTTCATCTTCCACTTATAAGTGAAACTCTAGAATTTTAATGTGCCAATGTTTATCTTATAACATTTCTTACAGTTCTCTGGCTTGACTGAGACAGCTGGACATCAGCATTCTTCTGATGCTCACCCTTGGGGTCCAGTCACAGCTGGGAATGGAACATTCAAAATGGCTTCGCTCACATGTTTGTGGCCTCAACAAGGAAGAATGGAAGGCGGGTTTCAGCAGGGACAATGGGACACTGGGCTTCTCTCTCCATGTGGTCTCAGGACTTCTCCTTCTCTACCGCCTTTCCACATGGTCTCTCCTTGTGGTCTTTCCAGTAGAGTCATTGGGCTTCTTACATGATGGCTCAGGACTCCAAAGTGCACAGAAGCAGAAGTCACCAGGTCTTCTGAAGACTGCCACAGTGACCCTTCTCCTGCATTCTCTTGGCTAATGTGAGTCACAACACCAGTGCCGATTCAATGTGATGTGACATCAATACCAGGAGGTGTGGTTCACTAGGGGATACCTTTGGAGAGTAGCTATCACGTTTGAAATATAATAGAGCTTCCAAGGACCAATACTGACCCAAAAAAGTATTGTATCATATTGTATCACGTATTGTATCATATATATGTTAGTGTATACAAATAATATCTAGAAGGATCAAAATTGACAAATAATATTTACTTAAACTAAAGAGCTTCTACACAGCAAAAGAAACTATCATCAGAGCTAACAGACAATCTACAGAATGGGAGAAAATTTTTGCTATCTATCCATCTGACAAAGGTCTAATATCCAGAATCTACAAGGAACTTAAACAAATTTACAAGAAAAAAACAATCCCATCAAAAAGTGGATGAAGGATATGAACAGACACTTCTCAAAAGAAGACATTTATGCAGCCAACAAACAAATGAAAAAAAAGCTCATCATCACTGGTTATTAGAGAAATGCAAATCAAAACCACAAAGAGATACTATCTCACGCCAGTTAGAATGGAAATCATTAAAAAGTCAGGAAACAACAGATGCTCACGAGGGTGTGGAGAAATAAGAACGCTTTTAAACTTCAATCATTGTGGAAGATAGTGTGGTGATTCCTCAAGGATCTAGAACCAGAAGTGCCATTTGACCCAGCAGTCCCATTAATGGGTATATACCCAAAGGATTATAAATCACACTACTCTAAAGACACATGCACATGTATGTTTATTGCAGCACTATTTACAATAGCAAAGACTTGGAACCAACCCAGATGCCCATCAATGATAGACTGGATAAAGAAAATGTGGCACATAAACACCATAGAATACTAGGCAGCCATAAAAAAGAATGAGTTCATGTCCTTTGCAGGGACATGGATGAAGGTGGAAACCATCATTCTCAGCAAACTAACACAGGAACAGAAAACCAAACACTGCATGTTATAATTCATAAGTGGGAGTTGAACAATGAGAACACATGGACACAGGGAGGGGAACATCACAAACCAGGGCCTGTTGGGGGATGGGAAACAAGGGGAGGGAGAGCATTAGGACCAATACCTAATGCATGCAGGGCTTAAAACTTAGATGACGGCTTGATAGGTGCAGCAAACCACCATGGCACATGTATACCTATGTAACAAACCTGCACATTCTGCACATGTACCCTAGAACTTAAAGTTAAAAAAAAAAAAAAGGTCGGGCATGATGGCTCATGCCTATAATCCCAGCACTTTGGGAGGCTGAGGCGGGTGGATCACCTGAGGTCAGGAGTTCAAGACCAGCCTGAGCAACATGGAGAAACCCTGTCACTACTAAAAATTCACAATTAGCTGGGTGTGGTGGCACATCCCTGTAATCCCAGCTACTCGGGAGGCTGAGGCAGGAGCATCACTTGAACCCGGGAGGCAGAGGTTGTGGTGAGCCGAGATCACGCCATTGCACTCCAGCCTGGGCAACAAGAGTGAAACTCCATCTCAAAAAAAAAACAAAAAACAAAAAACAAAACAAAAAAAAAAACTATACCATGCTGTCAACACTGTGTTATTTCTGCAGTTGGAATTACAGGACACTTTTACGTTCGAAGTTACGTATTTTTCTAATGTTGTGATTTTAACTAATGAATATATCTGTAAAGTTGGGTTGAGCATGGGCACAGTGATGTGATTTCAAATAAATACTTTCTCAGGGACCAAAAGCCAAATTTTATCTCCTTGAAGAAAAGACATCAGCTGACGGCTTGAACAGCCTGGCAACTTGAGACTGTTTGACAGGTTGTGCATGCTACACCCATTTGTCAATCCATGTTTATAGGTGGGCATCCATCTTCAGAGAATTAGGACTTTATCCCGTTCAGCGAGGCAGTTGTGGTCACTGGCTACTGATGTGACATGTGAGGCCTGTATTTAGCATGTATCATTAAAATACATTGGGTTCATTAAAAAGAGGAATTGTAGCACATAAAATATAATGTTTGAGAACTGATATATGGAATCTGATATGGTTTGGCTGTTTCCCCCCCAAAATCTCATCTTGAATTGTAATCCCCATAATTCCCATATGTCAAGGGCAGGACCAGGTGGAGGTAATTGGATCATGGGAGGAATCTCTCCCATGCTGTTCTCTTGATAGTTAGTGAATCTCAAGAGATCTGATAGTTTTGTATGTGTCTGGCATTGGCCCTGCTTGTACTTTCTCTCTCCAGCCACCTTGTGAAACAGGACGTGTTTGCTTCCCTTCCACCATAATTGTAAGTTTTTTGAGGCCTTCCCAGTCATGCAGAGCTGTGAGCCAATTAAACCTCTTTTCTTTAAATAAATTACTCAGTCTCGGGTATTTCTTCACAGCAATGTGAGAATGAACTAATGCAGAATCCATTCAGTTATTCAACAAGTAATATGGCTTAGGGGCTGGAGGATCAGGGCTACCCAGTTCTGGCCAAAGAGAGAAGAGGAAATCTGCTAGCTGGCTTCTAGACAAGAAAAAAAATCCTCTCTGAGAAAAAGAAAAATGTATATATTTAATAATAATAGCAGCTACCTTCACCCCTAAACTTCAGCCAACTTTCTGCTGGAACCATCTGCCCTGAGTACTCTGGAGACGTCAACAGTTAGCCTTTCTTTTTTTTAATTGACAAATAACAATTATGTATATTTGTGGGGTATAATGTGATGATTTGATCTATGTGTCCATTATAGAAAGATACAATCAAGCTGATTAACATATCCATCGCCACACCAACTTATCATGTGTGTATATGTGGTAAGAATGTTAAAAAGCTATTTGGGCAACTTTGAAATATGTATTACATTATTATTATTAACTGTGGTCACTATGCAGTACAGTAGATCACTGAAACTTATTGCTCCAGTCGAACTGAAACTTCATACCCTTTAATCAATGTCTTCCTTTTCCCATCCCTCCCCCCACACCCCTGGTAACCACCATTCTACTCTCTATTTCTATGAGATTAACTTTTTTAGATTCCACATGTAAGTGAGATCATACAGTATTTGTATTTCTGTGCCTGGCTTATTTCACTTAGCATAATGTCTTCCAGTTCCATCTATGTTGTTGCAAATGACAGAATTTCCTTCCTTAGGGGTTGTCGTTTCTCAGGAGTGTGCCAGGAGGACTTCATTCTGCTTTATGAGGGTCAGACCAGAAGCCTGCCATGCTCTTGAACAGTAACATGCTGCCCACTCACCATGGTGGGTCTATCCAACAGGAAGAGGGTCTGGAATGAAACAGGCACACAAATACACACACACACACACACACACACACACACACACTTTCTATCATCTTAGGCTCCTTTAATTAAATGTAAAAGAATTATAACTATTTCCTTGGAGAACAGGAAACTAAGGGAATGTGACAGTTGGCTTTAACTGCCTGAAAGGAAAACGAATTAGACAAATCTATGTTTGAACTCAAGACAGAACAGGGATCATAAATTTAAAGGAGTTAAAAGAAAACAGATTTCAATTTTTTTATGGAATCAACCTGGAGTGTTCATCAATGGATGAATGGATAAAGAAAATGTGGTATATATACACAAAGGAATACTATTCAACATTAAAAATGAAGGTCATCCTGTCATTTGTAACAACATGGATGAACCTGCAGAACACTATGTTAAATAAGCCAAGACACAGAAAAATAATTACTGTATCTCACTTATATGTAGAATCTAAAAAAGTCAAACTCACAGAAGCAGAGAGTAGAATGATAGTTACCAAAGGTTGGTGGGAGGGGGCTGTAATAGGGGTTCTGGGGAAATGTTGCTCAAAGGATAAAAAATTTCAGTGAGACAGAGAATATGTTCAATAGATTTATTGTACAACATGATGACTATCATTAATAAGAATGAATTATTACTTGAAAATTAGTAGATTTTAAGTATTCTTACTGCAAAAAATAGTATGTGTTCATTATCTTGATTTAGTCATTGCACAATGTATACATGTTTCAAAACATTATGTTGTACACCATAAATACATACAATTTTTAATTTGTCAATTTAAAAATAAAATAAAATAGACCTGGATGCCTCATTGAGTCATGAATTCGTTGTCAGCAGATATATTCAAGCAAAAGCCAAAGTTGTTTTAAAAAGAATTAAAGTATTGGGAAGATAATTAAATTGTAAAAGCTTCTAATTCCTTTCATTTCTGAGATACTTTGGTTCTACTGTATGACATGGCTGTGGCCACAACAGCACTGTGTAAGCAGTCAAATATAAAACATTTGCTAACTAGAGTGGAAATGATTTGTTCTTAGTTATTTTGGACAAACCTTTGCTTTCTCCTATTCTGATGAGACTGAAAGTGCATTTTTCAATTATTCATAAAACTTTTAGTCACATGGTTGCTTTGACACTGAGCTTCTCCAAACACCTGGGCAATGTGGATCTCCACTGAGGGTTGATCCTGAGAAATTAATACTCAGTTTATGTAGTAGAGTCACTTATCCAATGAGAATGAGAGTCCTGTAGAGACAAGATTTCTGATATTTTGTTTTTTATTTTGAGGATTAATAAGGAGATCATATAAAATGTTCAACTTTGAGGTTATGGGACACATGAATGAGGTTTTAGAGTATTTATAAGAGAGCTCATGCAGTCCCCAGGGCTAAGCTGAGGTCCAAAGTAAATGTGGCAAGAAGACAAATTGTGAGAGATAAATTTACAACAATTAGAGCTGTCTGAAATGGGATGAAGTATCTTGTGCAGCCATGAGCAGCCTGTCAGCACTGAGGATTCTCAATCCAACTGGATGACCACTTACAAATTAGTACCAACCTCCGGGGGCTTGGATTAGAAGATCTCTAAGGTGCTGATTCTCAAAGGATGGGCCCACAGTACACTGGTTGCCTAGGATAGTTTCTGAGAGCCTAAAACCAATCCACACACAAGTCCTCTGCTCTCTTCTATGACAAATGACGCACAGCTCCCAAGATCTGTTTTGTAAGTGCAATTAATACTCATAACCTACTAAGAATTATTAAGGATAGCTAAACTTTAATTATTATGATAACATCACATTATTTTTCATTAAACAACTAATACTCAAATATATTTGTATTCATTTTGTATTGCTGCATAGCAAATTACTACCAACTTAACGGCTTAAACTAACATCCATTTATTATCTTACGGTTTCTGTAGGTCAGGTGTCTGGGCATGGTGTGGCTGCACTCTCCTGGTGTCTGAGCATTAATGAGAAGTAGAATTGCCCCAGTAATAAATTATGCACATTTCAATGCTCAGAGTATCATAAGGCTAAAGTCAAGGTGTCAGCCAGGCTGCTTATCTCATCTAGAGCTCAGGTCACATATTTGGTGCAGAATTCAGTTCCTTGCTGTCATAAGACTGAGGTCCCTGTTTGCTGGCTGTTGGCAGGGGCTTTTCCCAGATCTTAAAGACTGTCTGTATTCATTGACATGTGTCCCCCTCCAACAATGAGAACTCCTCAAAGAGAATACACTTCTTACTTTGAATCTCTGACTTCTTCCACCTCTGACCTCTAGACTCAGATGGTAAGGGCTCGTGTGATTAGGTTAGAGCCACCTGGGAGAAGTCTCTCCTTTTCCTAAAGTCTCTGTGCCACCAAACATAATCTAATCATGGGAATAAAATCCATCAAATTCACCATCCCGGGGACTATGCAAGATGTGTACACTAGGGGGAAGAGCTCCTTGGGGGCTACCTTCAAATTCTGCCACAACCACCGCAACCACAACATTTTAATTGTAAAGTCAAAGCGTCACAGAAAGGACTAGAGTTCTACTTGACCACCAGCCACAGCTACCAGAGAGATCCACTTTATCAGTTTGGCATTTATCCTTCTAAATTTTACTATGGATTTGTATACATCTCCATATATGTAAAATATGAGATGTAGTCTTTTAAAGAAAATTCTCAAACTGTTCTATAGTTATTATATAGTTTTATAGTTTGCTATTTGCACTCAACAGTATACATTGAGGATATTTTCTGTGTCCGTTTAAAAAATTTACATTGTTTAGTTTATATTGTTTACTGCTATACCATAATTTATATAATTTTCCCTCTATCGATGGACACTTTTCAATTGTTTGCCATTTTTGACTGCTATGAACAATGTTGCAGTGTGCATCTTTGAAGGTCCCTCCTGGTGTCTGAGTATGAATGAGAAGTAGAATGTCCAAGACATAAAGTGTGCACATTTTAACTTATAGAAGGCAATGCACAATTAAGAGACAATATTCTTAAATATAAAATATTGAGTAAAAGGTTAAATTTTTCTTTTTTATTAAAGCACCTCATATATGCACCCTTTTGATTCTTATCATCAAATTCCTTTTTCACTAGGAACTGTGAAAGCATGAGGTTGGTGGGCAATAGTGCTTGCTACCTGCCTAGGTTGCCAAAGATTCTACAAGTGTGGCCAAGAAGCTGAAAGCATCACCAAATGCCTGGGCTGTATCATCACACTTAACTTGTTTATTGAACTTGTGAGTTCACAAGTTTATTGAACTAGTGAGTCATTGGAAGCATCTAAAAAGTGGGAGGCCCGCTTTCCCTCTGGGTTGCAGCCACAGGTGGGGTGGGGCAGGCACACCCATAGCTTATGGTTTCTCCCAGCTGGGAATATCTCTGGGTGTCAGATGCCAAGCCTGCGGGACACAGCCTCAGCCGGTGACTCTCATAACCAACAAGTGTTCAGTGGTGGGACTGGCAGCAGGTTAACCATGTCTTAACCATGACTTAACCTATCACCTGCCAAAGTTCAATTCAAAATTTTTATACAACAAATCACATAAAATTTGCTTTCCTGGAATAAATAAGCCCTTTTCCCCTTAAAATAAGACAATGAAGTAAGCTTGTTAAATATCATTTATAGGTTGCTCAGTAACTATTCATCATATTTATCCAGAAATGAGAAGAAAGAGACTTATACCACAGAAAGAGACTTAGGTAAGACGTCCAAAAACAATTTTCTGAAGAGGGATGATCAAACCATAGAACCACTTACAAGAAGAAAAAAAAATACATTATTTTTTCCCCAGGGGCCTTAAGAAGCCAACAAACACCCATTATTGTATTAGGCAAAGTTAAGGAAGGAAAAGTAACTAAAAACGTTTGATAGCATGAACCAATAATCAGACCACATCTTATTTCATACCCAGCCAAAGCTGCACAATACATAATTTGAACTCTGTAGAACCTTCAGATAAATGTGGTCATGAAAAACCACACTCTCTCCCCACAGAGAGTTACTTGAGATGGAAAGAAACTGATACCTGAATACTTTTGGATAGACCAGGCCTCCTCTTGAACACACTAATCCTTTATGTATAAGTATGTATCAAAGTTCAAATGACCTTGAAGTTCACTTGGTGCAGGTGTAATTTTCTCCAGAGGGAAAAATTGGTAGTCACTGTGAATTTTATGCTCCATTAGCATTGCTGACTCAACATCAGTTTTAATTACTTATAATCTGTTGAGTTAATACTTTCACAAGGAGAAAATAGTGAAGCCAAAAGTGTCTCACCTTCAAAGCTGATGAGGGACCATATTACAATATTCAAAGACTGCTGAACGTCTGCTCATTCTAAACATTAGCTGACCCAGTTGCAAAGTGTGGAAATATAATACATTACTTTAAAAGTAAAATAAGAAAAATAAATAACTTGCTAGTGCTGTCGAAAACATTTCTTATTGTCTTGTAAACAAACGTTTGACAGAATTTCAAAATTTTAAGTTCTTCACCTTTTCCTACAGAGACTTCAGTAGGAAGAGGAAACAAATGCTGAATTATGAGTCAGTAAACCAGAAATTGTTCCTTGAATGAGACACTTAACTTCTCAGTGGCTCAGTTTTCTTTATTGAATTGTAAAATTAGAGAGTGGTTAGTTTTTTCTAAGTTACTGCCAGCTTTCATAGTAAAGGGACAAAAATTCAATTATCAACCATTGGGAAAAATTTATTTTATTACCAATATGTATGGAATTTCCTAATGACATGCATTCACCTTCCATTGCAGGGACATTCATGTATTATTAGTAATTACATATAAGAAGCAAAAATGTAAAGACATTAGAATTTTCCTACTGATCCCCTATTTTGAGTTTAATAAAGCAAATAAAAAAAAAACAACTAAGCACTCTCAAATTCCCCTCATGTGCTCCTTCATTTCTCTTTTAAATAACTCTGATAAAGATGATGGAATGATAATTCTACAATCATCTTTTCAATGTTTTAGGGATCACTCATATCAATAAACACCTTCCAATTTTCCCAGATGTTTTGGAATGTTATGCCCTGCAGGATTGATGGTGATAATTTGCAATGGTAGCAACTGACAATATTTGACCCTGGTCAGAAATTAGATAGATGACAGTGAAACATAATGCTATCCAACACTTGTAACATGATTTATAGTTTCTAAGTTTGGTCTGAACAAGGCCTGCAATCAAGACTTAAGATGACATTAACAGAGCACTCATTCAGCCTTGGGGTGCACTTTACTTGAAAGAACTAGCAAGACAAAGGAAAAGTTAAGGATTGGGGCAGAGGTAGGCAAATCAGCAACTACAACTCCTCGCATTTGAAGAAGGGCAAACTGCTAAGACCTCAACTTTGTTACTAGACCATAGGCACTGGGGAGTGAGTGCTCACTACACACATTTTTGCAGGCCCCCTGTGCAATTTTCTATACTGAGTTCTTTGGCTATGTCCAGCCAAATTTCTTGTAGTCTGTACCTTCATATCATTTTGCATTCATACTAATCAGCATTTTTCTTGGTCTTCCAATTTGGGCAGTTGGGCAGAATCTGGGTAAAGCCACCTAGGCTATGCTTTTACTTCCTTCATAAAAATTGTGGTGATGAAGTTTTATATGATTTATGATCCTTTATAACTTTTTGGCCAATAATTGGACTGGGTTCTGCTCTAGATAGCGTTCCTGAATAGTTACTTGTTCCTAAACTAACTGCATCACAGTCATTTGATAACCATTTTAAAATACATATTCCATAACTCCACTCCAGACCAGGTCTAACTCAGAATATGTCAAGTTTCCCAGGGAATATGTTTGTGTGTTGCTGGGGTTTTGTTGGTTTGTTACTGAGACAGAGTCTCACTCTGTTGCCCAGGCTGGAGTGCAGTGGTGCCATCTCAGCTCACTGCAACCTCCACCTCACAAGTTCAAGTGATTCTCCTGCCTCAGTCTCCCTAGTAGCTAGAATTACAGGTGTGTGCCACCACACCCATCTAAGTTTTGAATTTTTAGTAGAGATGGGGTTTCACCATTTTGGCCAGGCTGGTCTTGAACTCCTGGCCTCAAGTGATCTGCCTGCCTTGGCCTCCCAAAGTGCTGGGATTACAGGTAAGAGCCACCACACCTATCCTATTGCTGCTTTTAAAACAGCTACCCAGCTGTATGTAATATAATACATTATGTATGTAATGTAATACGTTATGTATGTAATGTATATGTATGTAATGTAATGTAGCCAGTCCAGATACAGAATATGGACAGATATGGAATCTGCTGAGAATTAACTGAGATGCAGAGGACTTGGTCCCAGCTGTGATCCTCAATGTTGTATGACCCTGGCTCAGATTTACAATTTCTGGACCTCATTTTTCCCAACTATAAAATAATAAAAATTAAAGTCCTGTCCTTAATGATCCCTCCAAATCTAACTTTCTGTAAAGCTAACAAAGCCAATAATTAAAATGCTAAGGAAATCAATTAGTGCCTTTAAAAAAAAAAAGCAATACATTAAGTTGTTTAATGAGCACATTTTCAGTGGCACAAGGAACTAACTAAAAAGAAATTGTTAGCAGAGAGGGTAAAGATTCATCTGCATGCTTATTTTAAAAACTCGTGTGTGTGTGTGTGTGTGTACATAAAATACAATGTAAATCCAATGAATAATGGAATTTGCATTACAATTTTGGCATACATTCATCTTGTTGGAATGGATGATTTTTCTATTTTCTGAAATGTGTACAGTCATGTGTCACTTAACAACAAAGATCTGTTCTGAGAAACGTGTCGTTAGGCAATTTTGTCATGTGAATGACATAGAATGTACTTACACAAACCTAGATGGTATAGTGGTATAGCCTACTACACACCTAGGCTAAATGTTATAGCCTATTGCCCTTAGGCTACAAACCTCTTCAGCATACTGCTATACCGAATACTGTAGGAAATTGTAACACAATGATGAACATTTGTATATCTAAATATATAAAAAGCATAATAAAAATACGGTATTTTAATCTTATGAGACTACCATCATATGTGCAGTCCATCATTGACCCAACATTTTTTATGTGGTACATGACCATAGAGAGCATCTTATAAATTAAGCTTTTTTTATATTAGAACTAAAGAGTGATGAAAGGTGAGAAATGATGAACACAATTTAGTTGGCCAAAGGCTTAACATTGGATATTAAACAGATAGTCCTGCATAGAGAGTTAAATAAACTTAGAGTTAACTGGACAGATTCTGTGGCCAGCAAGCAGGATCAGGTGGTGTTGCTATGCCTTACTTGGAAGTTCACAGGTGTTAAGCCTAGAGGGGGTCTGTAGAGATGCTGTGGAGTATGGGTGGGGGAGTGGAGGAACATCCCAGACCTCATTAGAAAAATATACAACAAAAATAACAGGAAAGTACTTGATACTGGGCCTCAGATGAAAAGAGCAAAGCAGGAGAGAGATGAAAAAAAGATGAGTAAGCAACAAATCACAATCTAAATCATGGACCACACAAAGGGGTTGTTTAGAACCATCCACCTAACAGTATCCTTAAACATGGTCCAGCAGAAACTCCAAGACTGAGTGTGGATTCCTAATGGGACCAAGCTGTCAGACAGACTTAGCCAAGGCCTTTCTACTTGATATTGGAAAATAACACACAATTTCAGATAAGTGACTCAAAAAGTAAGGGAAATTGAACAGAAACAAATGAAAAATCTTACAGTGAGGTTGGCTATTCCAACTGCAGAAATGTACAATGGGAGTGGTGTGTCTTAACAGCAGGCTGTGTGAAATCAACTTGGGTTGATTTGGTTTGGGAGGTGAAAACTTCACAGGAGTGCCGCCTCTTAGCCCTGGGGAGCTTGTGGAGACCGAAGTACATGGAGACTCTGTGTTACTTCTGACAATAATGGTTAATACTTATCAGATCTCTATTATATGCCAGATACTTGGCATCATTCCATTTCATCTTCTGAGGCTGACATTGCCATTTGCCCCCATTTTACAGATAAAGAAACCAAGGTTAAGCAGGGTTGATTTTCTTGCTCAAGATCACATAGCTGATGTGTGGTGAGATAGGGTTTTAGCACAAGCCACATGGCTCTTGAGCTAATGCTCACCTGTTACGCTCTCTTCCCTTCATTAGGGAGGAGTGGTATACCCATGAGGAATCCAGCTTCAGTTTCAGTTGGATTAAACGACCCCGACCACCCTGCCCATCCTTAGAAGTCTATGATTCCAGACCCTGCACTGCCATCAAATGGATGTACAGACTTTGAAAAGTCTTTTCCCTGAGCCTCATTTCCTTTTTCTATAAAACTAAAAATCAGAAGAGTCTTAAACATTTGTTAGCTGCTGGATTCTTCAAATAAAATCTTGCTGAAGCCAAACATACACATCAGATAAAACCAGGGCTGCTCTGACTGAAAAAACGGTAGGAGCCCACCCTGACCAATTTATCACCCATCCCAGTTCCCTCCTGCTGTTGCCTGAGGCCCCTGCCCTCTAGCTCCAGATTCTACTAAATACGTTTGAAATCCACTGGGCTAGATTGTTTCTAGGATCTCTTCCAGCTGCATGATTCATGCTTCATGGTCTAGATATTATCAAAATCACACAAATGTAGCAAATTAGAGTAGGCGCTCCAGCATTCAGAGTAACCTCTATGGGTATAAGTTGAAATTATTACCCCTCCTTTCTTTCAAGAACCTGTAGAGAAAGCCAAAGGCCCAAGTATTGTGAGAGATACTTGGAAAATGATTGTTTTGCATCCTAGGAAAGTGATTAATTTGAAAGAACAGCCAGTTATCAGCAATACCTGATGAAGAAGCATTAACATTAACAAAATATATGGCCAAAAGATAACATTCATTTCTTTGAGTTAGTGCATAGATCTGGGATCAGCAAATTACAGCCCTACTCCTTTTTTTTCTTGATAATAGCTTTATTGGGGTATAATTCACATATTATACAATTCAATAGCTTTCTTTTTCAGTATATTCAAAGACTGTGCAATGAGGACCACAATCAGTTTCAGAATATCTTCATCACTACAGGAATAACCTCCTTATCTTTCATCAGTCATCCCTCAACCTCCTCAACCGAGGCAAGCACTAGTCTCCTATCTGCCTCTATAGATTTGCCCATTCGGGACATTTCATTTCAATGTAATCACACGATATAAGATATTCTGTAATTGGCTGCTTTCACTTAGCATAATGTTTTCAAGGTTCATACATGTTGCAGCATATATCAGTACTTCATTCCTTTCTATGGATGAATATACCATTTATATTGTATGGATACGTCTGTTGCATTTATCCACCCATCCATCGATGGATATGTGGGTTTGTAAAAGGAAAATAAAATCTCAGGACCCCAAACTCACTATGCCAAAGGGAAAAGTTAAGCTTCAAAACTGAGTCAACAAAAACAAAAGCAAACAAACCCTCCTTTTGAACGAAGAGACAGCTGTAATTTCACATGTTTACATTATCATATGTAAAATGTAGATCTGCAAAGAACACAAGACAAATGAATGACTAATTGACTTTTTATCCCAATCCTCTCTTTTCTTGTGTAAAATGTGGATTCAGTGGTTGCTAATCAAAGCCTCAAAGAATGTAACTGCTTGTCTCACTATCTAACCCCCTTTTTTTCCCTCTTTCCTCCCTCCCTTTCTGCCCATTCTTTCCCCTTTAAATATTGAAGCTGTCAAAACCTTCTTTGGAAAAAGCACAGGCTACAGATTCTACTGTAATTTGTGTTTCTTTTTCCCAGGTGTGTCCTCAACCTTAGCAAAATAAATCTCTAAATGTATTGAGATCTCCTCACTTTTTGGTTTACAGGTTGTGTCTGCCTTTTGGAAATGGAGCAAGTGTCGGTGTCTCCATGTTGCTCCCCCACCACCATTTGCTGTCACTCTTGCCTTGAGAAATCAGATTAGGATAAGGGGAGTAGCCACAGACAAGAAGTCTCTGTGCTTTCCACCCAGAAGGAATTTTAGGTGAAAGAAGAGAAATGGCCTCTAAGATCCTTCCCTTCCTGGCTGTTATTTTCCGAAGCCTAAACTCATGTATAAGCCTATGTGATGTATCCTAGAGGGAGAGAAACAAACATCCCTAAAAAAGGCACCAGAGAGAAGAAGGTAATTCTTCCTATTTCTAGGGACACAGAGGGCCAAGTGGGAAGAGAGACCACTAGGCCTGGGGAGCAGCGGGCAGCCCCTGGCAGTGCCCTGGGACTATCAGCAGGGAATGGTCATCATTCCCCCAATGTGTCCAGCAATCAGAGGGAGAGGGCCCTGGGTCAGTGGGCAATTCCTTAAGGAGAGAACCCCAGTAGGGACAGAAATTTAATTTCTCCCTTGACTACAGGGCTAGAGGCTCAGAATTACTATCATGTTAGCCTAAAGTTGCATTCCAAGCTGAGTTTTTGGACTGAGATTCATACTCACAAGAGACAGGAATGACTACAGGAGACTAATAAAATAAATATATGTGTGATTAGGACTCAGAAGAGCAGTGCCCCAAGCCCTCCCTGTTGGAGGTAGGCAAGAACAGAAGGAAAGCAAGTATTAGATTGGTGCAAATGTAATATCAGTTTTTGCAATTATTCTTAATGGCAAAAAGAGCAATTACTCTTGCAGCAACCTAATAATTCAGACAAGTTCAGAATGGCCCCCACTCTTTGGTACTAAAGCAGAGGTTCAGGTGAATATCAGGCACAGCAGCTCCAGTAATCAATAGATGCTCAAAGACAAGACCTCTGGGCCACCTGAGTGTGTCCTTCACTTCTATTTCTCTTTGTAGTTTGTATTTTATCCTGAGCTCCACTGCAGGCTTTTCTTTTTTGTTTAAGTAAAAGACTATAGTATAGAAACTACATGTTTTAATGAATATATGTATATTTACTTATATATATAGTATATATATTTATATATATTGTATATATATTTATATATATTTATATATATACTATATATATTTATATATAGTATATATATATTTGATATATATTTATATATTTATATATTTATATATATTTTATATATTTATATAGTATATATATTTGATATATATTTATATATTTATATATATTTTATATATTTATATATATATTTTTATATATATTTTATATATATATTATATATATTTATATATATTTATATATTTATATATATTTTATATATATATTTTATATATTTATATATTTTTATATACATATTTTATATATATTTATATATATTTTATATATATTTATATATATTTTATATATATTTATATATATATATATATCTCCTTGTGACTATTAACAATTCCTTTGCTCTATCATGATGATAGATTTCTATAATCATAGCTATTTTACTCCTGCCAAAACCTATTTCACAGCCAGCTTGCAGGCACCAAAAACCAAAAGTGGGTGGATAAATGTGAATTTGGAAGTAAATTTTAGTAATGTCTTAAGATGTGCTTTTAACAGAAAATTTTCCTCCCACAGGAGGCAAAGTCATTGCTCTTGTCCTTTCCACCAAAGGAGAGTTTATTTCTTTTTTTTTATTTTAATTTAACCAGAAGTCTTCTTACCTTTGCAACTGTGTCACCAGTGACTCCCCACCACCCTTGGTCTTCAGCCCCAAGGGAGCTGCTTATCATATCCTACTGACAGTCCCCTGTATCTTTGTGCAGAATATTCAATTTGTTCCCTCTGTCTACACAATCCTTCCCTCCTTCATTCTCCCAGAGCACTTTATAGCTACTTCTGTCTCTGTCCAGATTTTCCTGACAAAAGCCAAATTATCATTTTCTAAAAGTCCATTGAATTGAAGACTCAAATACGGCCCCAATTTTATAACAATTCTGAAAGTGAATCAGTTCTAAAAATGTGACTTAGAGACCATGAGATCTTGAAGGCAGGAGAGTGTTCTGTCTCGTTAGTTGTCTCTCCAGTGCCTAGAACAGCGTCTGATGCACAATAGATGTTCAATAATGTTTGTGGCATGAAAATGTGAGATTACATAATTCAAACTTAAAGCTGTTGGAACTCTAAATTATTTTGAGCCTTGAGAGGAATATAACTATGTGGCCTAAGTCAAGCAGCATGCAGCTGCAACTTCTGTTTTTTCCTGTAAATGATTAGAAATAGCCGAATGGCGTCAGAGATTAAGAGCCCCTCTGATCATTACCCCTCCTCAAAGAATGTTAAAGCAATCTTCCTTAAAATGTAGCAAGCTACAACCAATCAAATCGCTGTAACATATACACTGGCTTTGAATGGAAAATGTTGAACCCTGTGAAAATTCTCGGTTTCTGCCTACATAAGTGAAACCTTAACTTCCCCACTTGGGAACACTGATCCTATTCTTTTGGAATCTCTTTCTTGGTGGTCATTTCTAAACTTTGTGCTGGAATAAACTCAATCGTATTTTCTGACTCTCATTGTTTCAGGCTGACAAATAAACGAAAACCTGGGCTTTATTCTGTTGATTTTACAATACCCTGTTCAATCCTTTAGGAGTTATGAAAAGGCCATATTTGTACTTCCTTTTCTCTAAGGCATCATCGTGAATGCTCTGCTTGACCCCCCCTCCTCCTTCCCACTTCTCTCCTGGAAGAAGTCGCAGGAATTTTAGCATTTTCCAGACAAATGACAAGTAATACTTAGAATCTAATTGTTATAGAAATGCAAAGTTCAATACCGGGACCAGGTATCTGACAGGACAGGAAAAGCTATTGGAAAAGCAAGGCTTTAGCTTTCTCCATCTCATTAGTGTACCACTGAGACAAGTTTGTTTTCATCTCTGTGGCTTTTTTCATAGTTCAAATTACCCGTCAGTACTTAGAGACCCATCGCTCAACTAATGCACTTTATTAACATGCAACAAACCAAGGAGAAGAATATTTTAACTTGTGAGGCACTTCAAAGGGAAAGAAATAATTTGCAGTCTTCAGAGCTACCCAGAAGCACACACTGCTTTTCATTAGAGAAAGGCAATGTTGGCAGGCATTCTGTTGGCACAACATCCTCTTAAACAAAACCTTGATGCTAATTTCTCCCTGGCTAGCAAATCCATCATGACAATTAGTTCGCTCAGCATTTCACTTTCCAAATGGCAAATAGAAACACAATTTGAGAATTTTCCTACAGATCATTTCCTGAAAACTGACATTTCCTGAAATCCTGACAGTTAGGCTTAGGGGTTTGCAGAAGGGGAAGCCTAAAAGGCAGGTGGCTCCAATACAAGCGTTTGGGAAGGGATGCATGAGCAGGTCTCTAGCTCTCTATTTGGCAGCTTTCATTCCCCAATTCTTCACCCAAGGTCAGAAGGGGTGCCTAAAAAATGTGTTCTTTCATGCCCTTCCAATGTATTTCCCCAAACCCATTTATTATCCTCTACCCCAATGGGACAGCCCAGGCGTGGGTTCAGTGTAGGTCAGTGTGGGAGCTGCCACTCTTACTTCCCATAATCCTGTCCCCTCTTATGCTGAGTGACCTTGATTTTCAGCAGTTAGATTCACCAAGAAGGCAAACTCCTGAGATGGTAACTGAGATCATACTGAGCTCAGGCCAGGGCAACAGGTAGTGTAGAAGCCCTGGAGTAGAATTCACAAGACCTGTCATCCCAAAGATAGAGCATCAGTCTCAGGTCCATAGTTAGTCCACTGGCTGAGAAATCTCAGTCAAGTCACTTAACTTCTCTATGCCTCTTCCATTTTTCATGTATAAAACAGAGATAATAAGAGATAATAAAATATAGTCTTGCTTTTTTATTATGAAAATCAGAATAGGAAAATAAATTTAGTAATTGATCATTGTTACTGGGTAAGGTCCCCACTAAAAGTACCTTCTGCAAGTTAGCAGGTGCTCAAGAAGTGATGCTCACTCTGTTCTAAATAATTCACTTATTTAAATTAGGCTGTAACATGTACCATACATTTCACCATTTTAAAGTGGCCAATTCAGTGGTTTTTAATATATTCGCAAGGTTGTGCAACCATTACCACTATTTCATTCCAACGCATCCAAAAAGAAACTTCATACCCATTAGCAGTCACTCACATTCCCTCCATCTTCTCAGCCTTAGGCAATTTTGATCTCTATGGATTTGTTCACTCTGGACATTTCATATAAATGGAATCACCTAACCTGTAGCCTTTGGTTTCTTCCATTTAGCATAATGTTTTCAAGGTTCATCTATGTTGTAGCATGTATCAGTATCCATCCTTTTCATGACTGAATAATATTCCATTGTACGAACATACTACATTTTGTTTATTCATTCATCAGTTGATGGACATTTGGGTGATTTCCACTTTTCACCTATTACAAATAATGTCATCAAGAATATTCATGTACAAGTTTTGTGTGGATGTGTGTTTCCATTTTCCTTGGGCATATTTTCCTAAGAGTGAAATTACTGGGCTATAGAGTAATTCCATGTTTACCTTTCTGAGGAACCGCCAAATGTTTTTCCACAGCAGTTGCACCATTTTACATTCCCACCAGCAACAAATAAGGGCTCCTATTCCTCCATGTCCTCACCAGCTTCATTGACTTTTAGGATGTTATTTTCCTTTGTTTATGGAACATTTCTAAAATGCGGGATGTGATCTTCAAAGGCTGAAGGGAAAGGAATCTAACCCTGAAAGTGGCTCCCATGGGACTTTGGAGGGGGCAGGAATGGGAGGCTACAAGCTCTACAGAGAGTCAGAGCCTCTGGGGTGGAGAAGCTGCAAGGTCCCCTGTGGAACATTAGTGAGGGTCCTTCTGGCCAACCTAGCACAGGCAGTGGTCTCTACTATGACTGGAGTCACCCACCTGCAGAAATTCCAGCAGTGACAATAATAGGTTGAAATCCATGGCCTCTACCCCGTTGTCTTAACACTGGGCTTTCAGAGAACTTGAAAAGTGAGCTCAGGGCTGGATACAATTTTTAAAATAAAGAAGTCATCTTTCACCTGTAGCATTATAAAGCACTTCACAACTGTTTACATCTGCATAGCATAGGGAATACATATTGTCATCCTCAGATTTTTTTAAATGTACTTTATGGATTTAGGGATACAAGTGCAGTTGTGTTACATACATCTATTATGCAGTGGTGAAGTCTGGGCTTTTATAATACCCGTCACTCATATAGTGTACCTTGTACCGATTAGGTAGTATTTCATCCCTTACCCCCTTCTCACCCTCTCACCTTTTGGAGTCTCCAATGTTTGTTATTCCACTCTGTATGTCCCTGTGTTTATACAACACAGGTTCAGAGAGGCTAAGAAATTTGCAACTAACTAGCAAGTGTAAGGGCTGGAATTCACAGCCTGGTGGGGTGAAAAACAAACCCTTTCTGTTCCCACCACACCATCCTCATCTCAACCATAGGATTCTAGGGCATGCAATCTACAGTTTGAGACTGAAGGTAATTGGGAAAAAAAAAAAAAGGAGAGGAGAAAAAAGGGCAAGGGAAAAAAAACTTCCTGTTGAGCAGCAGTTCCTCTGGCCTGCGCGTCTCTTTCTCCTCTTTGCAGTACAATGGGTTGTCTGATGTGTCCATGCTTAAAAGAGGGCAAATTTGGACTAATTTGAGTCAAAAGACAGTTTACTTTATTTCTATAAGAAGGGGGATGATAAGCAAGCTGGACATGTGTCATTTTTCAGGATCGGGAAAACGTAATGCGCTGAGGGAGAAGCATATACTCTCCTAAGTGTTCTCCAAACTAGGAACAATCTTTAATTTTTTTGTAATTGCATTCGTCAACTTACTTTATACATTTTAATTTTGTTTAGAATTTGATTTCATCTGCTACTTGTTTCTTTTTTTTTTTCAAAACAGTCTAATGCTTCCAATTTTCTTTCTCTTTTTAATCTCAAATTAAGGCCAGAAAGATTTAGTCGTTTTTAAAATTACATAGCTTCATTCATCAATCTCTTAGTTCGCTTTTCTATTGCCTAAGCAAGAAACCAGCTGGCAGGATCTTAACCATGAGAGGGAACATTAATCAAACCCCAAACTTTGAGATGATACATTTATAATGTAATGACAAATTATTAATAACATCCTCTTCATGAAGCAGAGTAGGACATTAACATGAAAAAAAATTGAGGAGCAAAATATAGGAGAAAGAGTTCAGTTCTACCGAAATAGAATGTACAATTAACTTTGTTAGAAAATGAAGGATGTTCCCTAGAGGGTTACATCTTTCCACATTTATATTATTTTCATCTCTAATTGGCATTTTTTAGAACCTGTAAACTCATGTTTTTATTTAGTGATTATGTTTTAATATTCCCTTTTGAATTTTTATCAGTTCTCCTCTGGAAGCTCTCAATATGATATCTTACTCACATTTATTGGAGGAAAGAAGCAGATTACAGTCAGGATTTATTGTACTTGATGAGAGAGACTCACTGTATAAGGACACAATTTGAACAATTAAGTTGGGGAAATTTCCAACAAAAAGATATTCCTAATTCTTTAATTATATGATTTCATGCAATAGAATAATCTTTGTAACACCTTCAAAGGGTAGTGAATTAACCAGGGTTCTTTCAGCTGAAAGTGACAGAAACCCAACTTAAAATAGGTTAAACAAGAGAGAGAGAGAATTTATTGACCAATGGAATTGAAAGGAAAAGTTTCTGAGGGGAATAGAAATTTCATCTTTTTTCTTTACCTTCTTCTCTTTGTTCATTAACTTCTTCCTTCCTCCTGTTCTCCTGCCTTCCTCTATTTTACTCAAATCTCTTCCCAAGTGTTAGGGAATACATGTCTGTGCCCCCACACCCCAAAATTCATATGTTGAAGCCCTATCCCCCAAAGTGATAGTATTTGGAGGTGAGATCTTTGGGAGATCATTAGGTTTAGATGAGGGTAGGGGCCCCATGATGAGATCAGTGTCCTTATAGAAAGAGAAACAGACCGGAGCTCACTTGTTTCCACTCCCTCTCCCCCGTCTCTCTTTCTCTCTCTCTTTCTCTCTCTCTCTCTCTCTCTCTCTCTCTCTCTGTCATGTAAGGACACAGTGACAAGATAGTCATCTGCCAACCAAGGAGAGAGTCCTCACCAGACAATGACCATGCTGGAAACTTGATCTTAAACTTCACAACCTCTAGAACCAGGAGAAATAAATGTCTGTTGTTTAAGCCATGTAGTCTGTGGTATTTCATTATAGCAGCCAAAGCTGCCTAAGATACCGAGCTAATACACTTCTTTATGTGTAATAATAATTTAAGCAGTTGATATTTTCACTGGATCATAGCTGAAGTAAGAAAATTAATGAGTTTTCTATAGCAGAGCAATTTTTGAAATGCTAATGTTTATAGAATTTAAGGATGAGCTTCAGAAACCTGAGCCTGAGGACTTAGAACTGGGGACTGAACTCAGTATATCTCTCTTACCTCAGCTCAGCTCATTTTTACATGTCAACCAGCCTCATGACCTCTTTCTGCAGATAGGCCTTCCCTAGGTGGCAGGAACAGGGCCACTGGTAATTCTGCAACCCTACCAGAAAAAAAGCACATAGTTTTTTCCAGCCATCAAAAATCAACATAATCCCAGAGAAGGCTTCTGATTGGCCCACTTGAGTGATATGGATATCCCTATGGCCAGGATCCTTTCCAGGAGGGGGATTGGAAGATTTGATGCATGGATCAAATTAGCTACACAGTCCACATGAAATGCAAATTTGTTTTGCTCCCTCCATGGCAGCTAAGTATAGTACAACATATTAGGATGTGAGAAACCTGAGCTAAACCCCCACATTTTCCTGATAACTCACTAGCCTTATACAAGTCTCCCCATCACCAATTCAAGCTCTGCAGTAAGCCACACCACTTTATCAGACCCTGGACAGCCTTTCTAGGCACTGCCACAGGCCACTAGAAACCGTTGTTTATATTGAAATAGCAGAACTTACTGTGACCTTTAAAAATAAAGTACTAATTTATATCCTTATGCTGTGGTCTGAATGTTTGTGTCTCTGCAAAATCCATGTGTTGATATCTAGTCCTCAATGAGATAGATTAATGCGCTTATAAAAAAGGCCTAAGGGAGGTTGTTTGTCTCTTCCACTGTGAGAAGGCACCATCATTGAGGAATGGTCCTCACCAGACACTGAATCTGCTGATGTCTTCATCTTTGACTTCCTAGCCTCCAGAACTGCAAAAAACAAATTTCTGTTGTATATAAGGCAGCCAGTTTATGGTATTTTTGTTATAGCAGCCTGAATAGACTAAAACACCTTATATATTCCTTTACGTTTCAACAAAAAGTGGGTGTTGCTTTTTTTTAATAAGATAATGCATGATGAGTATTTGGGCCCTCAGGGACATAATTAATTGAGAGACATTTTTTAAAGAGATTTTTATTACAGAAACTAACATTATGAGAGCACAGTCACTGCCACCTGATCCATCTGCTTATTTTGGGTGGTAGAAATTAAACAAACCAACAGAAGCAGAAGTGGCTTTTCACTAGGAAACCACTTTTAAGTTTTATATCACACATATTCAATCATCATTATGAATTATCTTAATTTCTACCAAACTCTAAAGCAACATGTTAGTTTGGTAACTGGTTGCTTGCCCCTGAAGAAAGAAAAGACTGAAATTTTCACTGGACATTTTAATGGGTTTGGAGCTTTCTAGACAGCATCAGTGGTGAGCTTAAATTCAGATTTCTGATTGGGCAGCCGAACTCTTAATTTAGAGCCAACGGTAGCAGAGCGTGGCTCAATGCTAAACATTGGACAATGGTATAGGGAACACAAAGTCACCTGCTAGTACAATTTTATCTCATACCACGCTCTGCTAGTTGAAAAGCAAAACAGGAAATGTTCATGAGATTTGCTTCAGAGAGAACATTTTATCTTGTTTGGAAGGCAGTTACTAAAGAGAAAAGAGCATGGGCTTTGCCAAAAGTGAGATGAATAATTGAATCTCAGCTCTTCCGTGCACTAGTTGTGTGACATTAATTAAGTTACTTCATCTTTCAGAGACCCTGAAAGGAATCACAGTTACTTCGCAATGTGGTTGTTAAGTATAAATGAATATATGAATGTGCTTAATATAATATACAGCATATTTTAATGTGCAATAAATGCTAGTTTATTTCCACTCTTTGAAACTGAGAAAAAGGCCAAGAGACGTAAAAGGATTCTACTCAACTGTTCAAGAAAAGCATCTGCTCTGTTGTGTTCATCCTATTAGAAAAACCCCCACTTGATCCAACATCTGATCCAGTTTCTTACCCATTTCTTGACTCTGCCTTAGAGCAAATCTCCAAAGAATTAACTATCCTTGCTGCTGCCAATTTCTTTCCTCACTTTCCTTCTCAAACTCATCTCAATTAGGCTTCCCTGCCAAGAGAAAATGCTCTTGATGAGGTCAGTAATGAGCTCTCATGGAGTCCTCCTCCTCTGCTGTTATTACTACTCTCTTGATGACGTTAAGCAATCCTTTGGCCTTAGAAACCACCAATTCTATACTGACAGCCCCAAAATTATTATCTCCTTCCTGAGCATCTCCTTTGAACTTCAGATTCTTACATCCAATTGCCTACTCAACATCCCTACCTTAACATATGACAAATATCTCAAACTTAACATGTCCAAAGCTGAACTCTTAATCTTCCCTTTGAAACCTATTCACCCTAATTCCATAATCTTCCCATCTCAGTCAATGGAAACTCCATCCTTTCAGATGTCGAAAACAAAGTCCTTGAAGGCAATCTGTATCCATGAACTTTCACTGAGTTATGTCACAATAACAACAACAACAAAAATCTAAGAAGCTTAGAGCAACAATTTCTGCTTGCTCATGTTACATATCAGCAGAATGTGGACTGTGACTGTTTCATGCCTTCTCCACTTCAGAATCTAGGCTGAAGGGATACCCCTATCTGGGACATTGCCTTTCTCATGACAGAGGACTGAAGAGGTCCCACATGATGGTGCTTAAATATTCTGCTGGACAGGGGCATATCACTTCCCAATTCACTGCATGGAGCAAGTCACATGTCCAATCCTGGTGACAGTGGGGTGCAAGGATAATTCTCCCAGAGTGATGTGCTCTGTAGGAAGGACCCGCAAATATTTTGGCAATAATACAAGCCACCACAGAATCTTTGACTCCTCTGATTCTGTCAGATCTCATATCCAATCCATGAGGAAATCCAGTAGGTTCTCTCTTTTTTTATTTATTTTTTTTTCAGACAGGGTCTCACTCTGTCACTTAGACTAGAGTGCAGTGGTGCCATCACAGCTCACCGTAGCCTTGACCTCCCAGGCTCAAGCAATCCTCCCACCTTAGCCTCCCAAAGTGCTGGGATTACAGATGTGAACCTCCACACATGGCCCCTGTAGTTTCTATCTTCAAAATAGATCCAGAATGCAACCATTTTTCATCACCTTTAATACCCTTCCCTGGTTCAACATAGCACCATTTAGTGCCTAGAGTATTTATTACATTAGCCCCCAACTGTGTTTCTGCCTTGGCTTCCATACTGCCTGTTCTTAACTCAGCAGTCTGGATGATGCTGTGGAAATATAATCCAGATCATGTCAACCTTCTGCTTAAAACCTTCCTATGTATCTCCATTTCTCTTAAAATAAAAATCAGTCTTTACAATGGGCAATGATCTACAACAGCAGCCCCCAACTTTTTGACACCAGGTAGTGGTTTTGTGGGAGACAATTTCTCTACTGATGGTTGGGGGATGACTGAATGGTTTCTGGATATAACTGTCCCACCTCACATCATCAGGCTTAGAGTCTCATAAGGAGTGCACAACCTGGATCCCTTGCATGCACAGTTCATGATAGAATTTGTGCTCCTATGAGAATCTAATGCCTCCAGTGATCTGACAGGAGGCAGAGCTCAGGCAGTAATGCTCTCTCTTCTGCCTTTCACCTCCTGCTGTTCAGCCTGATTCCTAACAGGCCACAGACCAGTAGGGGTCTATGGCCCGAGGGTTGGGGACCCCTGGTCTACAAGACTTTACATTATCTGTCCAACATTCCCCATGTCCTTCCTAACTTCATCCCCTGATATCTGCCCCCAACAACTTCAATCCAACCACATTTGCCTTCTTGCTTTTCTTTCAATCATAGGTACACCCCAGCCTCAGGGCCTCTGCACTCATTCCTTTTGCTTAGAAATCTTGTCCTTCGAATCTGTGCTGGGCTTACTCCTTCCTGTCCTTTAGGTCTTCAGGGTACCTTCTCAAGCCTACCTCAGTCACCTCATATAAAATTTTAGCTCCTTACCCCATATTAATTTTTGCTATGAAATGATACATTAATTAACAACATCCTATTAATGAAGCAGACTACAATATTTATTGCATTTTAATTTACTACCTAATTTACTTACTGATTACTCTTATTGTTACACTCTGCTAAAATGTAAGCCTCACAAATACAGGAAACTTTGTCACTATTCCCTAGTGAATCCCAAGGTAGAGGTATCTAGAACCCTAAATATGACTAGTTAGACCCAGAGCAGAACAAAGTTGGGTATGTGATAAGTGACTCAATATTTGTTAAAATGAATTCAGTGAATGAATGAAGCTTGTACAATTTTCTTTTTCTGCCTCACCAATTTTTCTCCTTAACATTGTAAAATTTAACTCTTCTGTCACTTAGGAGGTATTCCCATTAAGTATCTATAGCTGATATAAAAATCTTTGTTCTTCATTAAACTTTATACCCTTTAATTTCCCAAAGGAAAAATAATAAGTATTGGATCAAGTAAAATTGAGACTCATTTTGTCAGAGAAAAAGTTTTGCTATTTCTCTAACAGCATTACAACAGTAATATTAACATTTAAAACACTTGGGTGTTTTGTCCAGATTTGAGTCAGTGATGGGGTTTGAGGGAAAGAGGTGGGGACAATTGTTTTCAAACCAATGCTTAAGTCTTAGAGACTTTGTTAAAGAAACCCCAAAATTATTTATCTAGAAAGAGTAGCACCTTAATTATAATCATTTATGAAAGCAATAGCAGATATATATATAAAATAGCTCAGAAAGAAGGAGAAATGATAAATGCATATATTTCCAGATAATACTAAGTTATTTTTTATTTTGAATAAGACCCTATAGTTAAGCTGAGGTATTTTTGCAGCTCTGCAGTCTCCTTGGAGGAAAACCAATTTTTTTGGTTATTGTCTCCTTTTTAATCTTTTCTAAATCAATTGAGCCAATCTCTCCTTAGTATTTCAAATGCCATCATTGATAAAGTCTCAACCAATTCCTCCATATAGTAACAGATATCAAAATAATTAACCAGAGTGGTATGAATATTAAACCAAAAAGTTATAGGTAGAATTAGTACAGAGAAAATAAAATTGTGATAGCAGCCACATTGGTTCTGCATATAATGGACAAGGCCCATGGATAGATTATTGGAATTGACTGGGTAAGACCAAATGTTTGTTTTCTTCATAATGAGAAATACATAAAATGAAAATATTTCAATGAGGATGGAGGAGCTATAGGGCAAAAGGCACCAAGTCATGAAAATGTACAATGGTCATACCACAAACAGTCTATAATTACAGAGAAGACAAGCTGTTCACCCAAAATTCATGGTCTTCCTTTGAGAATGCACAGCTGTTACTAGAAAGTGCCTGTCCAACCAGACCCTCTTGTAACCAGGTGGAACCATGTGACAAGGTCTCATCAGTGGAATGTAAACAGAAAGGATGGCATCCAACAGAATGGGGGCCACTTCTTGGCAATGTGATTAAGAAACAAGTACCTTCCCCTAATCCTTCCTCTTCTGCTAGCTGGAAGCAGACTTGGAGGACCTAGGGGATGGGCACCCAAGGATGGAAGGGGCCTGGGTCTGTGGATCTCCATGAAGGGAAAGCTCAAAGTCTGAAAACTCAAATGGACTGTTATCTTTTAAAATATTCAAATTTGGAAAAGAAAAGCCATGAACATATTCATTCATAGCATTATTTATAACAAAAATGGAAATAAACCTTTATAGCAAGAGATTCATTGAGAAAATCATGGAGTTGCTTCCAATATGGCCAAATAGGAACAGCTCTGGTGTACAGCTCCCAGCAAGATCGACACAGAAGACAGGTAATTTCTGCATTTCCAACTGAGGTACCTGGTTCATCTCATTGGGACTGGTTGGACAGTGGGTGCAGCCCATGGAGGGTGAGCCAAAGCAGGGTGGGGCATCACCTCACCCAGGAAGTACAAGGGGTCAGGGGATTTCCCTTTCCTAGCCAAGGGAAGCCGTGAGTGACTGTACCTGGAGGAATGGTACACTTCTGCCCAAATACTGTGCTTTTCCCATGGTCTTCACAACCAGCAGACCAGGAGATTCCCTCCTGTGCCTGGCTCAGTGGGTCCCAAGCCCACAGAGACTTGCTTGCTGCCAGCACAGCAGTTGAGATTGACCTGGGACACTGGAGCTTGGTGGGCAGAGGGGCGTCCACCATTGCTGAGGCTTGCATAGGCAGTTCTATGCTTACAGTGTGAACAAAGTGTCAGGGAAGCTCAAACTGGGTGGAGCCAACCACAGCTCAGCAAGGCCTACTGTTTCTCTAGATCCCACCTCTGGGGGCAGGGTATATCTGAATGAAAGGCAGCAGACAGCTTCTGCAGATTTAAACATCCCTGCCTGACAACTATGAAGAGAGCAGGAGTTCTCCCAGCACAGCGTTTGAGCTCTGATAATGAACAGCCTGCCTCCTCAAGGGGGTCCCTGACCCCCGTGTAACCTGACTGGGGGACACCTTCCAGTAAGCGCCAACAGACAACTCACACAGGTGGGTGCCCCTCTGGGATGAAGCTTCCAGAGGAGGATTCAGACAGAAATATTTGCTATTCTGCAGCCTCCACTGGTGATACCCAGGAAAACAGGGTCTGGAGTATACCTACAGCAAACTCCAACAGACCTGCAGCTGAGGGGCCTGTCTGTTAGAAGGAAAACTAACAAACAGAAAGGAATAGCATCAACATCAACAAAAAGGACATCCACACCAAAACCCCATCTGTAGGTCACTAACATCAAAGACCAAAGGTAGACAAAACCACAAAGATGGGTAGAGACCAGAGCAGAAAGGCTGAAAATTCCAAAAACCAGAACATCTCTTCTCTTCCAAAGGAACACAACTCCTCACCAGCAAGGGAACAAAACTGGACAGAGAAGGAGTTTGACGAGTTGACAGAAGGAGGCTTCAGAAGGTCGGTAATAACCAAATTCTCTGAGCTAAAGGAGCATATTCTAACCCTTTGCAAAGGAGCTAAAAACCTTGAAAAAAGTTAGACGAACGGCTAACTAGATAAACAGTGTAGAGAAGAGCTTAAATGACCTGATGGAGCTGAAAAGCACAGTAAGAGAACTTCGTAAAGCATACACAAGCTTCAATAGCTGATTCGATCAAGTGGAAGAAAGGATATCAGTGACTAAAGATCAAATTAATGAAATAAAGTGAGAAGACAAGATTAGAGAAAAAAGAGTGAAAAGAAACAAACAAAGCCTCCAAGAAATATGAGACTATGTGAAAAGACCAAATCTACGTTTGATTGGTGTACCTGAAAGTGACTGGGAGAATGGAACCAAGTTAGAAAACACTCTTCCAAATATTATCCAGGAGAACTTCCCCAACCTACCAGGGCAGGCCAACATTCAAATTCAGGAAATACAGAGAACACCACGAAGATATTCCTTGGAAGAGAAGCCCCAAGACACATAATTGTCAGATTCACCAAGGTTGAAATGAAGGAAAAAATATTAAGGACAGCCAGAGAGAAAGGTCAGGTTACCCAAAAAGGGAAGCCGATCACACTAACTGTGGATCTCTCAGCAGAAACTCTACAAGCCAGAAGGGAGTGGGGGCCAATATTCAACATTCTTAAAGAAAAGAATTTTCAACACAGAATTTCATATCTAGCCAAACTAAGCTTTGTAAGTGAAGGAGAAATAAAATTCTTTACAGACAAGCAAATGCTGAGAGATTTTGTCACCACCAGGCCTGCCTTACAAGAGCTCCTGAAGGAAGCACTAAACATGGAAAGGAACAACCGGTACCAGCCACTGCAAAAACATGCCAAATTGTAAAGACCATCGAGGGTAGGAAGAAACTGCATCAATTAACAGGTGAAATAACCAGCTAGCATCATAATCACAGGATAAAATTCATACGTAACAATATTAAACTTAAATGTAAATGGGCTAAATGCCCCAATTAAAAGACAAAGACTGGCAAATTGGATAAAGAGTCAAGACCAATCAGTGTGCTGAATTCAGGAGACCAATCTCACATGCAAAGACACACATAGGCTCAAAATAAAGGGATGGAGGAAGATCTACCAAGCAAATGGAAAGCAAAAAGAAGCAGGGGTTGCAATCCTGGTCTCTGATAAAACAGACTTTAAACCAACAATGATCAAAAGACACAAAGAAGGCCATTATATAATGGTAAAAGGATCAATTCAACAAGAAGAGCTAACTATCCTAAATATATATGCAACCAATACAGGAGCACCCAGATTCATTAAGCAAATTCTTACAGACCTAAAAAGAGATTAGACTCCCATACAATAATAATGAGAAACTTTAACACCCCACTGTCAATATTAGGCAGATCAAGGAGACAGAAAATTAACAAGGATATCCAGGACTTGAACTCAGCTCTGGACCAAGCAAATCTAATAGACATCTACAGAACTCTCCAACCCTATCAACAGAATATACACTCTTCTTAGCAGCACATCGCACTAAATCTAAAATTGGCCACATAATTGGAAGTAAAACACTCCTCAGCAAACGTAAAAGAACAGAAATCACAACAAGCTGTCTCTCAGACCACAGTGCAATCAAATTAGAACTCAGGATGAAGAAACTCACTCAAAACCACTCAACTACATGGAAAATGAACAACCTGCTCCTGAATGACTACTGGGTACATAACGAAATTAAGGCAGAAATAAAGATGTTCTTTGAAACCAATGAGAACAAAGACACAACGCACCAGAATCTCTGGGACACATTTAAAGCAGTGTGTAGAGGGAAATTTATAGCACTAAATGCCCACAAGAGAAAGCAGGAAAGATCTAAAATTGACACCCTAACATCACAATTAAAAGAACTAGAGAAGCAAAAGCAAACACATTCAAAAGCTAGCAGAAGACAAGAAATAACTAAGATCAGAGCAGAACTGAAGGAGGTAGAGATACAAAAAACTCTTCAAAAAATCAATGAATCCAGGAGCTGGTTATTTGAAAAGATCAACAAAATAGAGACCGCTAGCAAGACTAATAAAGAAGAAAAGAGAGAAGAATCAAATAGAAGCAATAAAAAATGATAAAGGAGATATCACCACCAATTCCACAGCAATACAAACTACCATCGGAGAATACTATAAACATCTCTATGCAAATAAACTAGAAAATTTAGAAGAAATGGATAAATTTCTAGACACATACACCCTCCCAAGACTAAACCAGAAAGAAGTTGAATCTCTGAATAGACCAATAACAGATTCTGAAATTGAGGCAATAGTTAATAGCTTACCAACCAAAAAAGGTCCAGGACCAAATGGATTTACAACCAAATTCTACCAGAGGTACAAAGAGGAGCTGGAACCATTCCTTCTGAAACTATTCCAATCAATAGAAAAAGAGGGAATCCTCCCTAACTCATTTTATGAGGCCAGCATCATACTGATTGATAGGAAAGCCTGGCAGAGACACAACAAAAAAAGAGAATTTTAGACCAATATCCCTGATGAACATCAATTCAAAAATCCTTCATAAAATACTGGCAAACCGAATCCAGCAGCACATCAAAAAGCTTATCCACCACGATTAAGTCAGCTTTATCCCTGTGATGTGAGGCTCGTTCCACATACACAAATCAATAAACATAATCCATCAAATAAACAGAACCAAAGACAAAAACCACATGATTATCTCAATAGATGCAGAAAAGGCCTTCAACATAATTAAACAGCCTTACATGCTAAAAACTCTCAATAAACTAGGTATTGATGGAACATATCTCAAAATAATAAGAGCTATTTATGACAAACCCACAGCCAATATCATACTGAATGGGCAAAAGCTAGAAGCATTCCCTTTGAAAACTGGCACAAGACAGGGATGCCCTCTCTCACCACTCCTATTCAACATAGTATTGGAGGTTCTGGCCAGGGCAATCAGTCAAGACAAAGAAATAAAGGGTATTAAATTAGGAAAGGAGGAAGTCAAATTGCCTCTGTTTGCAGATGACATGATTGTATATTTAGAAAACCCCATCATCTCAGCTCAAAATCTCCTTAAGCTGATAAACAACTTCAGCAAAGTCTCAGGATACAAAATCAATGTGCAAAAATTACAAGCATTCCTATACACCAAGAACAGACAAACAGAGAGCCAAATCATGAGTGAACTCCCATTCACAATTATTACAAAGAGAATAAAATACCTAGGAATCCAACTTATGAGGGATGTGAAGGACTTCTTCAAGGAGACCTATAAACCACTGCTCAATGAAATAAAAGAGGACACAAACAAATGGAAGAACATTCCATGCTCATGGATAGGAAGAATCAATATCGCAAAAATGGCCCTACTGCCCAAGGTAATTTATAGACTCAATGCTATCCCCATCAAGCTACCAATGACTTTCTTCACAGAATTGGAAAAAACTACTTTAAAGTTCATATGGAACCAAAAAAGAGCCCCCAGTGTCAAGACAATCCTAAGCAAAAAGAACAAAGCTGGAGGCATCACACTACCTGACTTCAAATTATACTACAAGTCCACAGTAACCAAAACAGCATGGTACTGGTACCAAAACAGAGATATAGACCAATGGAACAGAACAGAGGCCTCAGAAATAACATCACACATCTACAACCATCTGATCTTTGACAAACCTGACAAAAACAAGCAATGGGGAAATGATTCCCTATTTAATAAATGGTGCTGGAAAAGCTGGCTAGCCATATGTAGAAAACTGAAACTGGATCCCTTCCTTACACCTTATACAAAAATTAACTCAAGATGGATTAAAGACTTAAATGTAAGTCCTAAAACCATAAAAACCCCAGAAGAAAACCTAGGCAATACCATTCAGGACAAAGGCATGGGCAAGGACTTCATGACTAAAACACCAAAAGCAATGGCAACAAAAGCCAAAATAGACAAATGGGATCTAATTAAACTAAAGAGCTTCTGCACAGCAAAAGAAATTATCATCAGAGTGAACAGGCAACCTACAGAATGGGAGAAAATTTTTGCTACCTATCCATCTGACAAAGGGCTAATATCCAGAATCTACAAACAACTTAAATAAATTTACAAGAAAAAACTAAACAACACATCAAAAAGTGGGCAAAGGATACGAACAGACACTTCTCAAAAGAAGACATTTATGCAGCCAACAAACATATGAAAAAGTGCTCATCATCATTGGTCATTAGAGAAATGCAAATCAAAACCACAATGAGATACCATCTCACACCAGTTAGAATGTCAACCATTAAAAAGTCAGGAAGCAAGAGTTGCTGGAGAGAATGTGGAGAGATAGGAAAGCTTTTACACTGTTGGTGGGAGTGTAAATTAGTTCAACCATTGTAGAAGACAGTGTGGTGATTCCTCAATGATCTAGAACTAGAAATACCATCTGACCCAGCAATCCCATTACTGGGTATATACCCAAAGGATTATAAATCAAGCTACTATAAAGACACATGCACATGTATGTTTATCCCAGCACTGTTCACAATAGCAAAGACTTGGAACCACCCCAAATGTCCATCAGTAATAGACTGTATAAAGAAAATGTGGCACATATACACCGTGGAATACTCTGCAGCCATATAAGAGGATGAGTTCATGTCCTTTGCGGGGACATAGATGAAGCTGGAAACCATCATTCTCTGCAAACTATCACAAGGACAGAAAACCAAACACCGCATATTCTCATGCATAAGTTGGAGTTGAACAATGAGAACACACGGACACAGGGAGGGGAACATCACACACCGGGACCTGTTGGGGGGTGGGGAGTGGGGGAGGGATAGCATTAGGAGAAATAACTAATAATGTAAATGACAAGTTGATGGGTGCAGCAAACCAACATGGCACATGTATACCTATGTAACAAACCTGCACGTTGTGCACATGTACCCTAGAACTTAAAGTATAATAATAAAAAAAGGAAATCATGGTTTATTCACTTAGATTGGTCATTATGTATTAAAGCTGAAGAAATTTATATAAAATATACCCTGGAGCTGGTGAGAGTGTAGTTGGAGAGGTGGTGAGGACAGATGGGTACACAGATGATTGAGAGAGAAGGGGCCAGGGGATACAACAGAGAGGGCGAGAAAGAGAGAGGAAAAAAAGCAGAAAGGAAGAAAGAAAATGGGCAAATCACTAAAAACCTGAGCTTAAGGAGAAGAATCATGTTATACTCTGAGCCCACAGACACACACACACACACATACACACACACACAAATACACACACACACACGCACAAACACAAAAGATGCTCTCATGTCTGAGAGGTTTCAACTGTCGATGGAAGGCTTCCTCACTCATGCAGTTTGGGTGACTGGTGGTTCTTCCCCACCATTTCCTGGAAGCCAGACTTCACAAATAAGGCTAAGATCAAAGGAACTCAAGCTTTCACCCTTTATACTTTAGTGGCTTAGAAATGAGTACGCTTTCACCTATCATGTACCTCTCCCTGTCATCAGTCGCTTTCTTTCAGGAATGATGGCACTCTACTTCCTTCTAGAATATAAGCTCCTTAGGAGCAGGGTCATGTCATTTGCAACTCTGCATCCATACTGGTGCTAGCACATAGCAGGCTCTCCATTGACTTATTTAGTAATTTATTCTACAAAAGTTGAACATGCCTACAATGTGCCTGGCCTTCTTCTAAGCCCCGGGTGCAGGACTGTGAGCAGTCACCGCCCTCATGCAGTGCATGACCAGTGGAAGCATGTGTCAGGTTGGTGCTACCTGTTTCCTCCCTCCCTGACACAGAATCCAACTGGGCTTCAGGACATAATTACAACACTTCAAAAATAGATTTAAGAAACTGTCCACTACATACTCACTAGGATGGCTATAAGAAAAAAAGATAGATGATAACAAGCGGGGAATATGTGGAAAAATTGGAACCCCCATACATCGCTGGTGGGAATGTCCAGTGGTACAGCCATTTTGGAAAATAGTCTAGCAATTTTTCAAAAGGTTAAAGATAGAATTACCAATGGCACAGCAATTCTACTCCTAGATGTATACCCAAGGAAAATGAAAACATATGTTCACAGAAAAACTTATACATGAATGTTCATAGCAGAATTAGTCCTAATAGCCAAAAATGAAAACAACCAAAATCTCCATTCATAGGTGAATGGATAAATAAAATGTGGTATACCTGTACAATGGAATATTACACAACCACAAAAATGAATGAAGTAGTGATACATGCTACAATATGAATAAACTGTAAAAATATTATGCTAATGAAAAGAAGTTAGTCACACAGGACCACATATTGTATAATTTCATTTATATGAAACTCCCAGAATAGGCAAAGCAATTGAAACAGAAAGGAAATTAGTGATCGCCTAAGCCTTGGGATAAGTTGGGGAAATAGGGGGTGGTGATAGCTAAGGAGAATGGGACTTCTTTCTAGGGTAATGAAAATGTTCTAAAATTGATTATGGTGATGATGATTACACAAGTCTGTAAATATACTAAAAAACATTTAATTGTATGAATTATATTATCTGCAAATATATCTCAATAAAGCTGTTTTAATAATAGAAAAACTTGTTCAATGAATAAAATATTAGTCTTTGGTTTGAAGGTTGGGTGTTTGGAGTTAGCAGGAAACCTTCTACATGAAGTTTGACAATGATTTTGAGAATCTAAAGCTCCTTTCAACACAACTCAATGGTGTTAGCAAGAGAGTAATTCAATTCATCATAGATTTTTAACGTTTTTAAAAAACTGATAATTGGCATCCCATGACAATAAACTGTCTTTTTTTTTTAATGGCAGAGGCATTAGAAAAAGTCACCAGCTCTTTTTTCAGTAGAAATACAATATCCAAAGTTGCACAGCTGGAGTACATCAATAGACTGAACGTTTTTGCTTCCCTGACAACTGTTAGCAACAATGAGTCAGACAGGAAACAGCTAGCCCTGTCTTTCTGTCCAGCTGGAATACACTCATTAAATAATAGATGACAACAGAAGTAATGTTAGCAATATTTCAGTATAAACCTTAAAGTAAAATAGTAATTTAAAAATCTGTAGTGGATAATGCAATATGTATATTACAGAATAGTGTGTTGGGAGCATATTTGTTTCTACAACAAAAATGCCAATGAAAACATGGGTTTTATCATTTGCAGCATTCTAAAGTTAGTCCATTAGCTGAGTTATGACACTGAAGGTTAGACTAGCTCGGAAGGGAATTGGCCATTTATTTGTGTCCCGACCACAGGCAATCTGCCCTTCCTAGATGATGGGAGAGGAAGAAGCTGTGGCCTGTGGCCTCAAGGGGTCTCATTTCAGTGCCTGGTGTGGCTGCAGCTTTTCAGCCTGCTGGGAGGGATGGTGTTTCATACCCAGGGGCAGGTCAGCCTGAGGAACGCTGTGTGCCCTCACCACATACACTATCCCATTGCAGCAAACCCTTGTAATGTTTACTTTATAGTTTTGTTGATATGATCTCAACACCATTTCCATGTTTTATTCTGACAGGGCCTTGCCCTGGGTTCAGTGTCTGTGTCTGTTGATTTAGACACTTCCATGGTATGCAGAGATCACAAAACTCTCTTTTCTAAAACTAAGGCTGGCTACAACACTAGGTAAACTGGTTCAAATGGCACTCTTTGTTTACATTCAAAATGGGCTTTTGAATGTCAACAAAGAAGTCCTCTCGGGTGGCAATGCTGCACATTTGGCATTATTTCTTTATTTTCTACTATTAGTTCTAAGGAATAAAATCTTGTCCTTGCCACAATCCCATGCAAATAATAGCAGAGAGCCTTATTAGTAATGGAAAGTCAGGATTGATACACCTGGTTGAGATACATTTTGACACAGATCAAAGTCCTCCCTGAGCACTCAGTCAGCTGTATGCTCAAGGGCAAGGCTTTCATCCTCTCTGTTCCTATAAAATGAAGGGATTAAATTACATGCTTTCTAAGGTCCTTGCTGCCTCTAAGGTATTTTTCCTTTAACTCAGCTAGAAATGGCCTCTGTAGAACCCAATCAACTCTGTTTCTCATTAATATGCAAAATTATTATTATGTGAGAAATTGGCTCTTGGTTACTCATTCAAGAGAAATAATCAGAATTCATAGCAAATGGCACTTATCTTATTGCATTTAGGATTTTGGCTTTAATTTGAGACTCCCTTCCCGAAATGCAAAATGAAAGAATTTAAAACAAGCAACAGCTAAAAGATTCCTGGCCAAGAAATTGCTTCGGCAGCATCTTGATTTCTCAACTCATTTTTTTAGACCTTTCTCTGCAGTTGTGTTCTGGCAAATCTGATGGAATCAATATGTCCTTTATGGCCAAACTGTTTTCTGGCTTCATCTAATCATCTGTTCTAGAAAAAGCCATTAAGTCGGTAAAAAGAAGTTGGGGAAAGTTTTACTGCAGAGAATGAGGTGTTTTTTTTTTTTCCAATACAAAACACTGACCCAAGAGGAAAAGTGCGCATGTAGGAGTTTCAGAAATCAAAGTCAAGATCAGTCTTAACCATGAGCAGAGTTAACTGTGGCCCTGTCATGTGTTGGTCTAGTGAAGACTACGACAATAAACTTTTTTCCTCCCTGACTTTCACTCAAAACCTCAGAATACAATAGGAAATATCTCCTTTAGATCAGCAAACATCCCATTTTAAAATATACATTTTCTGGTGAGGTGTCAGAGAGGAAGATGAGCACGCAGGTGAGGAGTTCAGGGCACTGCCGGGAGTGGTGAGATTGCAGTGCTGGGCTTTTGGAAAAATCCCCCAAGAACATCAAACAGCAAAAAAGAAAATATCTCCTGAGACAAATCTCCTCACATTTTGGGTTTCATTTCTTCCTCAATAATCTTGATATTTGTTTTTCATTCCAAACCATCTCATATACTTGTAGGAGAAAGGCAAAGTATGAAATTGAACTATTAACTAGGGCTGGGTGCTGGCTGAAGCAAAAAGATGGCTGCTCTTTCTTAAAGTTGAAAGGAAAAGCCTTTGCCCTTTCTTATTTGAAAAGATTCTGTAGTTGTAAAAGCCTTTTGAGGCCCAAACTTTGAAGAGACAAATTCTGTGTTTTGTTTTGTTTTGTTTTCCTAGCAGATGTGCCTCTAAACAAACCAAAACAACAACCCCTCTTCTTGAGTGGTGGTACCATCTTTCCAGATTCTGCCTTTAAAAAACTTAGACGATAAGCAGAGTAGTAGGAGGCTCAGTCCTTTGATTGTGCTGTATTACAGGCACACCACACAGCTCGGGGCTGTTCTGGGCACAGAGAAGCTCCACTTACCCTGATTCTGCAGAGTGAGGAGGAGTGGCAGCAGCACTGGTTTTCTCCCCTTTCAGAGACGCTTCACTCGCGGAAGTCAGTGCTCAAGCACGCTAACCAGACAGACAGAAAACCTTGGCTGGGTTGTATCCAGCCACTGTAACCCAGGCCCAACCCCTGCAACGTCATCGTTCGCCTCAGCAAGGGGCAGCTTTGGTTCGGAGGAGAGTCAGTAACAGAAACTACAGAAATGGAGCCGATCGACAGCCAGGCCCTTGAGGGATGCTGAGCTGAAGCTACCTAGGATGCTGTAGGCTTCTAGTATGAGACCCTCAGATCTATCGCTGGTACAGAGCCCGTGCGTGAAGACATAATTTGTGTTCTCATCAACTCACCATCTCCATGAAGCCTCCCCAGACCCCTGAAACCCACGTCGATCTCATCATGACTGCCTCCCTTCAACTTTCAGCGCTTTCAGTGTTCATCTCGCCTACTGATGCCAGTTGTTTAGTGTGGCTCACTCAAGGACTTTGAGGGAAAACATCCTGAGCTAGTTTGGGGCCTCGTAGGAAAGAGTCCCATGACGCCATGGCTGAGTAGGGATGTCCACCATGAGCGGACAGGAAGCAGAGCAGTGATATTCCAGCCACATTTCCTGGCAGTGTGCCGATGACATTCTCACTTACCTTAGTTCCCAGTGGGGAGATGAAGTCCTTCAGCTCTAAGGCCATGTATTCTGCCTCTCTTGTACTCTCCCCCAGCGCCCAGCACAGTGCTAGAAACATTTATTTACTTGTTTTGAATTGTCATTGCAAACTTTCAGCAATTCTAGAATCACTGGCACAGAGTCTGCACGACCATTCTATTGGTTTGCTACGCAATCTCAGTAATCATCTCAGAACCTTTCAAATCACATATCCTTTCTCTCTCTCGCTCTCTCTCACTCTTTCTCTCACTGCATTAGTACAGATGATTGGGGTGATAAAATGCCACACATTAGAGAACATTGACATATGGTATATAATCAAGTGCCTAATTACGTGGCACACATTGCAGGAATTCAGGGATAACGAACATCGGTATGTAGGCATACCCAGTTTGTGAGTGGGTTCTCTTGTTTCACAAATATTTATTGAGGGACTGTTATGCGCCAAGACAGTGCTAGGCACTAGAAACAATTATCTCAAAATAATAAGAGCTGTCTATGACAAACCCACAGCCAATATCATACTGAATGGGCAAAAACTGGAAGCATTCCCTTTGAAAACTGGCACAAGACAGGGATGCCCTCTCTCACCACTCCTATTCAACATAGTGTTGGAAGTTCTGGCCGGGGCAATTAGGCAGGAGAAGGAAATAAAGGATATTCAATTAGGAAAAGAGGAAGTCAAATTGTCCCTGTTTGCAGATGACATGATTGTATATCTAGAAAACCCCACCGTCTCAGCCCAAAATCTCCTTAAGCTGATGAGCAACTTCAGCAAAGTCTCAGGATACAAAATCAATGTACAAAAATCACAAGCATTCTTATATACCAGTAACAGACAAACAGAGAGCCAAATCATGAGTGAACTCCCATTCACAATTGCTTCAAAGAGAATAAAATACCTAGGAATCCAACTTACAAGGGACGTGAAGGACCTCTTCAAGGAGAACTACAAACCACTGCTCAATGAAATAAAAGAGGATACAAACAAATGGAAGAACATTCCATGTTCATTGGTAGGAAGAATCAATATCGTGAAAATGGCCATACTGCCCAAGGTAATTTATAGATTCAATGCCATCCCCATCAAGCTACCAATGACTTTCTTCACAGAATTGGAAAAAACTACTTTAAAGTTCATATGGAACCAAAAAAGAGCCTGCATCGCCAAGTCAATCCTAAGCCAAAAGAACAAAGCTGGAGGCATCACGCTACCTGACTTCAAACTATACTACAAGGCTACAGTAACCAAAACAGCATGGTACTGGTACCAAAACAGAGATATAGATCAATGGAACAGAACAGAGCCCTCAGAAATAACGCCGCATATCTACAACTATCTGATTTTTGACAAACCTGAGAAAAACAAACAATGGGGAAAGGATTCCCTATTTAACAAATGATGCTGGGAAAACTGGCTAGCCATATGGAGAAAGCTGAAACTGGATCCCTTCCTTACAACTTATACAAAAATTAATTCAAGATGGATTAAAGACTTAAATGTTAAACCTAAAACCATAAAAACCCTAGAAGAAAACCTAGGCATTACCATTCAGGACATAGGCATGGGCAAGGACTTCATGTCTAAAACACCAAAAGCAATGGCAACAAAAGCCAAAATTGACAAATGGGATCTGATTAAACTAAAGAGCTTCTGCACAGCAAAAGAAACTACCATCAGAGTGAACAGGCAACCTACAAAATGGGAGAAAATTTTCGCAACCTACTCATCTGATAAAGGGCTAATATCCAGAATCTACAATGAACTCAAACAAATTTACAAGAAAAAAACAAACAACCCCATCAAAAAGTGGGCAAAGGATATGAACAGACACTTCTCAAAAGAAGACATTTATGCAGCCAACAGACACATGAAAAAATGCTCATCATCACTGGCCATCAGAGAAATGCAAATCAAAACCACAATGAGATACCATCTCACACCAGTTAGAATGGCAATCATTAAACAGTCAGGAAACAACAGGTGCTGGAGAGGATGTGGAGAAATAGGAACACTTTTACACTGTTGGTGGGACTGTAAACTAGTTCAACCCTTGTGGAAGTCAGTGTGGCGATTCCTCAGGGATCTAGAACTAGAAATACCATTTGACACAGCCATCCCATTACTGGGTATATACCCAAAGGACTATAAATCATGCTGCTATAAAGACACATGCACACGTATGTTTATTGCGGCACTATTCACAATAGCAAAGACTTGGAACCAACCCAAATGTCCAACAGTGATAGACTGGATTAAGAAAATGTGGCATATATACACCATGGAATACTATGCAGCCATAAAAAATGATGAGTTCATGTCCTTTGTAGGGACATGGATGAAATTGGAAATCATCATTCTCAGTAAACTATCGCAAGGACAAAAAACCAAACACCGCATGTTCTCACTCATAGATAGGAACTGAACAATGAGAACACATGAACACAGGAAGGGGAACATCACACTCTGGGGACTGTTGTGGGGTGGGGGGAGGGAGGAGGGTTAGCATTAGAAGATATACCTAATGCTAAATGATGAGTTAATGGGTGCAGCACACCAGCATGGTACATGTATACATATGTAACTAACCTGCACATTGTGGACATGTACCCTAAAACTTAAAGTATAAAAAAAAAAAAAAAGAAAAGAAGCAATGGCCAGCAAAACTGGCACATGGGACTGTTTCATACCTGATCCTGTGACATTTACAGGCTCTTCCACTCCCAGTTGTGTGGACATATATGGGTACCCAGAGCAGGGAGCAGGCTACTGCCACCCTGAACCACCGAATGGGGACCTCAGTGCCCAGTTTCCAGCAAACCATCTTCCACACAATAGGCAATCACCTTTTCAAGTTTTTTCACCATAGGTTAGTTCTGCGTATTCTACGAGTTCATATAATTGGAATCATATAGTATGCACTCTCTTGTGTATGGCTTGTTTCACTCAGAATATTGCATTTAAGATTCATCCATACTGTTGCATGCTATAGATGTTTGCTCTAGTATTGCTGAGTAGTATTCCATCACATGGATGTACCACAATTCACAATGTACCACTGCTATTCGTGAACATCTGGACTATTCCCAGCTTGGGGGCCTACTCCCTTCTTGCCTCTCATTTTGCCTTCTGCCTGCTTATATGGGCCGTCCTCCCGTATTGAAGAGACTGGTCCATGGAGACAAACTGACAAGGGTTGGAGCTACTTGCAGAGTGACATTAACAAGTTGTTAGGCTTCTCTGACTCTCCATTTGCTCTTCTGGGGACAATAGTGATAACACCTAGTAATACCTTAGAGTGGGAAGGAACTCAAAGAACCAGAACCTGGAACATCGCAGTATTTAATAATAACAGCTTTATTTTTATGACTATTATATTAGTTTCCTATGGCTGCTATAAGCAAGAACCACAAACTTGATAGCTTAAAATAACAGCAATGTATTCTCTCACAGTTCTGGGGTCTAAAAACCCAAAATCAAGGTGTAGGCAGACTCACACTGTCTTTATAGGCTCTAGAGGAAAATTTGTTCCATGTGTTTCTCTGAGCTTCTGGTGTTGACAGTAAACCCTGCGGTTATTTGGCTTGCAGGCACATCATTCCAGTCTCCACCTCCATCTTCACATGCATCCTTCCAATGTTTTTTGTCTCTGTGTCTCTTCTCTTTGTGTCATAATGACACCAGTCATACTGGAATACAGGTCCACCCTACTCCAGTATGACCACATTGTACCTAATTACATCTACAATTACCCTATTTCCAAATAAAATTCACATTCTAATATTCCAGGAAAAGCATGAATTTGAGAACATTATCCAACCCGGTACAACTACTCCCCAACTAAATTGTAAAATAATTTACTTAAAGGATTGTGTTTTATATCATATTCCTGTGCGTCCCTCAGTGGTCAATAAATGTTTAAGTGAAGCAGAAATGGATAATGATGATGGATTTAAGCTCTACTTTGAGGATTGGTAAGAAGAAAAGATCAAACAGCAGAATAAAGCATAGAATTTTAGCCTCAGTTTCTGTAGATTTCATTGTATATTTTTTGGGAAGTTTTGGAGTCAAGAAACTAATATACTTCCACAAGAAGTTAGCATTTTCATGTAGCTAATCAGAGATTCATGTTGTTCCACCTAGGAGACTTAATAAAAAAATAAAGTTAGAAAAAGATTGAAAGTGATTTTCAGATTTTATTTCAGCTATAGTAAGACATTTCTTTAACATTTGTTCTCAGATAAAACAGTGCTCTGACATTCTCCTAGACCTGGTGAATTCCCTCTAGGAGCAGAGGTTGCTGAAGTATATAAACACTGCACCACAAAATCATTCCCTTCCCAGTTCTTCAGGTAAGAACGGAAAAAAAAATAAAGTTCAAATTCCCTGTTTACACAAGGGTAGATATTAATAGGGACCACATATATCCTGATTTATTTTGTACCTTCTCTGTTGTTTACGTAACTTTGCCCTGATGGCCAAATTCCATAGGAGTAGGGTATGCCAAGTGTTAGAATTACAATTAGATATAAATTAGACAAAGTTTCAGTCTTATTATCAATAATATCCAATTATAGACATATAAAGGATATATGAAGCCTACCTGGTTCTTCTTATGGTCTTCAATCACTTTCTAGAATAAAAAGATATAAAACCTCCCCAGTAGTGTTATATCTCAAAGATTATGAAACATTTCTAGTAGCAAAAAAAAAAAAAAAAAAAAAAAAAATACCCCACAAAATGACCATTTTCTCATTGGTAGTCTTCTATGTTGTTCTGCAACCTGGTTATAGGAATATACATTTTTCCTAAAGGACTCAATAAAAATGCTTTTATTTTGAAAGTAAGCAAAATAAACCTAAAAGCATTTATATTTTTCTGAACTCACAACAGTTCTAAAGTAGTTTCTCTTCACCCCACTAAAATAATTGCTTGAAAGTTTGCCTAACTATCCAAACCAATTCCCACACGTCATAAGAGAAAAAAAACAGCAAAGCCAACTATATAGTTAAGCAAAAAAGGCCACCTGCTTACATAGTGAAGGTATGGAGCAAAAAAACAAAGGAGCTCCTCGCATGTCAAATATGATCCATGCATGCTCTTCCACTTTTACTAAATTTTGTCAATTATAATCTAGTTTGATTTAAGCCTCAAAGAGTTAGATTAAAATTCAAACTCTTGCTGAGAGAGATAACAAATAAATAAATAAATAAATACCTAGACATTTACATGTCTAGGTAAATTTATAATATCAGATGATGCCTTGGTAAGGACCTGAGAGAATGAGACCTTGTGCAAATACATTTTTACAAGTAGGAGAACTACATTTGCAATACTCCTTATGGTTCACAGAGTATCTCCTTATTTTTTTCGTAATATCTTTATAAGAATCCAATAGAGAGGTTTTTTAAAAATTGATGTTAAATTCACATAACATAAAATTAAGGACTTAAAAGTGTACATATCAGTGGCATTTAGTACATTCACAATGTAGTGAAATTACTTCCTCTATCTAGTTCCAAAACATTTTCATCATTCCAAAATAAAACCTCATACCCATAAAGCCGGTGCTCCCCATTTCCGCCTCCCCTCAGCCCTAGGCAACCAGCAATCTGCTAACTTTATGGATTTACCTCTTTCTGCTGTGTCACATCTATAGCCATTACATTATGCATGACACAAAACATTAAGAAAATATTCTCTCAATGTTCGAATATTATTCTCTCATTCAACAAAGAAGTCACTCATGTCATTGACAGATGGAATAAGTAAAGTTCCAATACATGACATTATATTTAGTTTAATGAATTTGTATGCATATGAGAAATAGGCTAACAGTGGGCCGAATATAATACTTAATGACAATAAATTTATTGTGAAAAGAATTAAAGCATTGGATGCAACTTCATTTGTCAAATCATTGTTGAATTACAACATTTGGCTAAGGATACAAGAATTAGACAAAAATCAACAAAAAATTCTGGCAGAATCAGTTAGCTATGTGGAATTCACAATGAAGAGTATTTTTATGATAGTTTTTAAATGTGGCTACAAATTCTGAACAATAAAATTGTAATAATTTGTGTATGTATATATGAATATTTTGGGAAAACTGGTTATTAGACATTTACCAGTACAGCAATACCCTCAAGCATTAATGACTTGAGTCTTTAAAAAGAGAAGAAGAAGAATACTGATTGCATAAGGTTAGCATGAGTTTCTCCTAGTGCAATTTCTGGCAAAGAGTAAGAGCGGTAAGGGTTAGCTATTGTTATTTACAGACAACCAAACTGAAGTTCATTGGAGTTAAGTAATCAGCCAAAGGTAGTTTAGTTTGCAAAATTATACACTCTACTATAAGCTTCTTGAAGACATGGACTTCATCTCATTCAACTGGAAGACATTCCCAGCACCTTGAGAAAAATTCACGTATTTGATACTCCAATGTGCTACAGAAAATTATTTTGAGGATTCTAATCCAGAAGAAAGAGCACTAGATTGATTGTTGGGAAGACTGGGCTTGGGTGTCACCGTTGCCACTAATTCAAGAGAGAATTTTCACAAACCATTTATTGATCATCTCAAACCCTTCACATTTGTGTTCAACTTTGATCACCCTAAAATTTGTACTAACACATTTATACTGTTATAGCAGTATCAGTCAGACTCAACCGCAAGCTTAGCAGGTCATGTAATGCTATTTAATATCGAGTATAACATATTGAAAGTCAAGGATAAGAGTTACAGGGTTAAGTTTACGCCAGTAAAAAATTAAGTATTTGGTACAACAAGCAAGAACTTTGCAATGTGACTGTGTAAGAGAGGGTGGTCAGGGCAGAACTGGTTCTACTCTAATAACAACAGCACTACAAGAGTATTTAAATATCACAATAAAGTTGGATGCTTTTTGTGTCAGTGTGAGGCTACACTGTATTATAATTATTGCAATTAAAATATTATACATACTTATACAAATAAAACAATTACAATTATAATTATTATTCTAAGTAATTATATGTAATATATTTGATTGTATGTGTGATATATTTAATTATATAATAAATATAAATTATATAATAAATATATTATAAACTATATAAGTAAAATTATTATTGATTTCTGTGCTACTTGATCTCAATAAAACTTCTGGCATAAATGCCAATATTGAAAACTGTGCTGTGAACACACAGAAGTGAGGACACCTATGCCAGTCCATGTTCTTCTAGTGTGCTTTTTACTCTGGAAGCAGTTTTGATGTCTTCCTATCCAGCTCTTTCTTCTATGGGTAGGTTTGGTTCATCCTGGTATTCACAAGGAAGGTTATATCTTCCAGCTGAGGGTTCCTACAGGATGGTAAAGGCCTAGAGGTAGCAGAGACTGATCAGTATCCCAACAGGCTTCTATCTCCACTTCCAGCCTTTTGAACCAAATGAAATTGACAATATTTGACTGCTTCTAACCTTCATAGAATTCAACTTAAAATTTCTACTTCGTTCTCAAGGAAAATTCCGGAAACACTTGGGTTTTGCTATTTGGACTTCTTTTTATTTGCAGTGTTCTGCTTCATTTGTAACTTGAAAAAGACAGTTCCTAATATATGAATCAGGGTTTAAGGATATGTTTTCTAAATGAAAAGAATTCCTTTCTCATACTCAAGCACTAGCTAAAATCACTCTAAACAAACATAAGATAGCTATTTGATAAATAAAGAAGGGACTGCAGTGAAAAATATCAGTAACCTCTTAATGGTAAATAATTTGAAGAAAGAGCACAAACCACCAGATAATGAATATCTGTTCAGTCATGACTAAATTTTACTTTACCTGTTAAATGTTTTAAATTATTAAATTTAACCAATAAAAATAGGCTCACACAACTCAAATAAATGCCACATGAGTTGTAGATATACATACATACATACACAAATAGCAAATGTATTTTCTAGTTTTGCCCACTGGGAGAGCCTAGAAACAGCAACATTCCAATAGTAATGAACTCATAAGTGCCCAGATCTTGGTTTCTAAATATCATTCTCCAGTACAAAGAACTAGAGATCCTTGGAGAAGTATTTAATAGTTAATTTCAGGGCTGTATCAGGGAAAACATAAAAATAAGCCTGCTTCATTTTGTGATATCAGAAAGTAAAGAAGTGCTCGAAAAAATGATGAAGATGGCTGGGCACGGTGGCTCATGCCTGTAATCCCAGCACTTTGGGAGACCAAGGGGGGCAAATCGCAAGGTCAATAGATCGAGACCATCTGGTCAACATGGTGGAACCCCATCTCTACTAAAAATACAAAAATTAGCCGGGGGTAGTGGTGCGCGCGTGTAGTCCCAGCTACTCAGGAGGCTGAGGCAGAAGAATCGCTTGAACCCGGGAGGCGGAGATTGCAGTGAGCCGAGATCGTGCCACCACATTCCAGCCTGGGCGACAGAGCAAGACTCTGACTTAAAAAAAACAAACAAAAAAAGATGATGATGAAGACATGATGAAAGGCACAGGGGCCAACCCAAAAGTGCTCCCAACAGCCAAAGTTTGAATAATTTGAACAAAATAAAGAATGATAGTTTGGGATTAGAATAAAAAGAATAAAATAAATATTCATGAGTCCATCCTGATATTAATTTTTTAATGAATAAAGAAATAAATGGGAAAAGGAAGAACCACTGTTTCTTTCAGAAAAATTCCAATTAATAAATGTAGAAAGTATGAAGAAATAGTATATCATCATTAGACTACCACAACAATAATAATGGCGGCTGGCTCAATCCACTGACAACTACTAAAATTCATGGGCAAAGATTTAAAAAGAAATAGAGTATTTGCATGGTCCCAATGTATCTTCTCCAAAATAAATACTTATTAAGTGCAAGGAAAAAACAATAACTGCACAGTGGAGAAAGGGGCAAACACCACCTAACCAAGCAATCAAGGTGGGCATCACTATTAACAAAACTTATTGACGAAGTCATATACCCTTTTAGGATGCGATGCACTAAAAAGGGAACATTGCCTTTTTGGTATCCTTCCCAAAATGCAAAACCTCAGTCTAACCTTGAAACATATTAGACAAGCCCAGATTGAGAAATGTTCTACAAAACGTCTGACCTGAATTCTTTACAGCTGTCAAGATCATGAAAGACCAGGAAAAACTGAGAAACTGTCACAGATTGGAGAAGAGACAATTAAAAGCAATGTGGGATCCTGGACAAGTTTCTGGAACAGGAAAATAAGGACATCAGTAAAAAAAAAAAAAAAAATACATATATATATATATATATATATATATATATATATATGATCTAAATAAAGTCTAAAATTATATTAATAGGATTATATCAATGTTAATTTCTTAGTTTTCATAATTGTTATGTGGTTATACAATATGTTAACAATAGAGAAGGCCGGGTGAAAGGCATATAAGAAATATGCTGAATTTATACATTTTCTATAAGTCTAAAATTAAGTCAAAATAGGAAAAGTGCAATTTAAAATAAAAGAAAATATAATACAGTATAACAAATTCTACAAGGATGTCCCCATATTTGCATTCTAGTCTCAGTAGTATCATTACTTTATTCTGTGCCTTTTGGCAAATCTATTCCCTCCCCTGGGCCTCAGTTTCCTCTTTTGTAAAATAAGGGGAAGAGACAAGATAGTCTTTAAGATTCTACAATTAATTCAAAGAGTCTTGTTCATTGTCTTAGAGTATGAGAATATTGCCTATGCTCTACTCACCAGGCAAATAATTTTAATTGATTCTCATTACAAAGAAATAAATGATTATTATAGAAAATTTGGAATATTCAGGAAATCAAATCACAGCTAATATGTTAGAATATATTCTTCCAATCCTTTATTAATGTATGCCCATATGTGTGATATGACTTTTATGAAAATAGTATCATAAAAATAGTATCATAGAATACACAATATTTTTCTTGCTTCTTAAAACTTTTCCCCAGCTTTACTGAGATATAATTGGCATATAATAAACTATACATATTTACTACATGTTTTGATGATTCTTGACATATATACACACCAGCGAAACCACAATCAGTGTAATGATTTTCATCACCCCAAAAAGTTTTCTTACATCTCTTTGTAATCCTTTTCTACACCCCTCAATGTCTCTTTTTCCTCTCCACTTTTTTCTTAAGCAACCACTGATCTGCTTTCGATTCATCTGCATTTTCCAAAATTTTACATAAATGGAATTATAAATTATCTACTTGTTTTGTTTGGCTTTCTGTAATCCCCTAATGGGTTATTCTTGCCTGCTGCACAGACAAAACCAATTCACTGAGACCATGGTATTGCAGTAAAGAAATAGTTTAATTAATGCAGAGCTACCCATGCAAAAGGACTGGAGTTATTATTCAAATTGGTCTCCCCAAGAACTCAGAGATTAGGGTTTTTATGAATGATCTGATGGGCAGGGGCCTAGGGAATGGGTGCTTCTGGTTGGTTGAGGGTGAAATATAGGAGTGTAGAAAACAGCCCTTGTGCACTGAATCCATCTCTCAGTGAGGTCCACAGTAACAGTTGAGTCATGAGTCCCAGGCCCAGATGGAGTCGGTCAGTTGCCAGAATGCAAAAGTCTAAAAAACGTCTCAAAAGACCAATCTTAAGTTCTACAATAGTGATGTTATCTATAGGAGCCATAAGGGAAGTAACAAATCTTGTGACCTCTGATGACATGACTTGAGCAGCAAGGAATTATAGAAAAGCAAGCTAGGAGACAATAGCTGGTTATCATTTAACTACATCGGCATTTCAGAAGAATTTAGGTCCCTCCCATAATTCTAATCTTGTGACCTTTCATTAGTCGTAAGAAAGGTGGTTTCAGTCTCTGAGCAAGAAGGAGGTTCATTTTAGGGAAGGACCTATTATTATCCTTGCTTCAAAGTTGAACTGTAAACTAAATTCCTCCAATGTTTAGTTTGGTCTATGCTCCGGGATGAGCAAAGACAGCCAGCCTGTGAAGCTAGAAGCAAGACGGAGTCAGCCATGCTAGACTTCTCTCACTGTCATAATCTGCAAAGATAGTTTCATTTTTTCTCTTGGCATAATTATTTTGATATTCATCATATTCTTATGTGTATCAAGAGTTCATCCTTTGTTACAGTTGAGCAATATTCCATTTTGTAGCTATAGCACAAGTTGCCTATCCACTCACCTGTTGATGGACCACTCGGGTTGTTTTCAGTTTGGGACTATTATGTAGTGAATCACTATGAATATTTATGTACAGTTTTTGTTTGGACATATGCTTTTTTTTCCCTTAGATAAGTACCTAAGAGTGGAATGACTGGGTCATACGGTAAGCGTATGCTTAACTTTTAAACTGCCAAGCTGTTTTCTAAAGCAATAACAACACTTCACATCCCCACCATCAGTGTATGAGACTTCCAGTTACTTCACAGACTCAGACACAATTGGTATAGTCAGTTGCTTTCATTTCAGCCATTTTTTAACACTTTAACCAACCTTTAATTTCAAAAGAAATTAATCTAGAATGGTCAGTAATATACAACATCGTTTTATGTTTCTTTCATAGGTATCTATGTAATACAAGTTTATTTGTATATTTGTAATATATAATAACCTATCTTAGATATGAGCCCTAAAAGGATGAACATATTTTCTTGCAACTACTACTACTACTTTATGCCTATGAAGGGTCTGAGCTTGTAATATCCTCCTGTCTCACACCCAAGTTAATGACAGTGTCCTCTCAAAGTTTTTCATAAATTATTAATGACCTAATTTCATTTAAAAAATGATTTCAGCAAATATGAAAATAGAAAATCCTATTATTCTTTATCCATTCATAATATGAGAAAAAAAGAGATGATACATTCCTCTATAGAAAAAGTGGGTTTAGAGAACAGTTCTGATAATATTTCACATGGCAAAGTATCAAAAAGCCTAAAAAGCAGCCCCCTTGCTCAGGGGGATAAAATGATTTCAATGTATTTCTCTTCTGAATTGCTTAGTAACTCCAAGTGATTTTCAAATTGGGGGGCAGATTACTGGCATTGAGTTCATAAAATTTAGATCTATCTTGAATAGGGACATTATAGAAACCAAGAACATCTCTAATCCTGCACAACTGGTGGAGTCTGGAATTAGGGACTACATGACCCAAGTCATAAGCTAAATGTGCCAAAAGATTGAACTGTAGACAACCATCTTCCAGGGAAATGTCTTGCCAATTACTAGGAAAACATGAGCCAAAAACTTATTTAACATAAAGATTCCAAACGACTCTGGAGACCTTCAGGTGGTGTATATGTTTGGCTTCGTAAGGGTGGACGCACTGGGATAGGTTCTTTTTTCACCTCTTTTACTGTCTCAGCAACCACTGGCTCTTTCTCTTTTCTGGATTGAGACCAAAATTCTCTTCAGGTGCCCCTGAGACTGTCCACATAAAGACTCTTCTGATAATGCTGGACACAGATTGCACCACCATCTTCAATGAGATCCATTTCAGCCATTCTAATGAGAGTGTAGGGGTATCTCACTGTGGATTTAATTTGCATTTCCCTAAAGTCTAAAGTTAGTAAGCCTCTTTGCATGTGCTTATTTGCCATCTTTCTATCTTCTTTGGTGAAGAGTCTGTTTAAATCTTGACCATTTTTAATTGGGTTGTCCCTCTTTTTATTATTGAGTTGTAAGATAGCTTCATATATTCTAGGTGCAGGTCCTTTGTTAGATACATGTTTTACAAACATTTTTTCCCAATTTGTGGCTCATCTTTTCATTTTTTTAACAGTGTTATAATTAGAGTTCATGCTTTTGTAGAATATTTAAAATTTTGCAAATCTATCGTCACTAAGATTTTCTCACCTGTGTTTTTCTCCAGAAGTTTTGCAGTTTTAGATTTGACAATGGGTCTATAATCTATTTTGAGTTGATTTTTATGTACGATATGAGGTAGAGATCAACATTCTGTTTTTTGGGGGGGTTTTTTGTAGTTTTTGCATATGAATATCTAATTATTGCAGAGCCATTTCTTGAAAAGATCATCATTTCCTAATTTGCTTGTCATAGCATCATTACCAAAAATAGGTTTCTATGTACTGATCATTTCTGGATTCTCTGTTTTGCTTCATTGATCTTTGGTTTATCTTGACACCAGTAACACATTGTTTTGATTACTATAACTACCTATAATAGTAAGCCTTGAAATCAGGTAGTGTTAGCCATTCAACTTTGTTCCTATTTTTAAAATTTTGATTTGACTATTCAAAGCCCCTCGAACTTCCATATATATTTTAAATCAGTCTGTCAATGTCTACAAAGAAAAGCCTTCTGGAATTGCAATTTGAGTGTGTTGAACCTATAGATTACTTAAGAGAATGTTGTTTTAACAATATTATGTTTTGACTCATGAACATGATATATATTCCCCACTCAACTAAGATCTTCTTTAATTGATCTCAGCAATACTTTATAGTTTTTAGTGTACAGGTCTTGCATATCTATTGTCAAATTTATTTCTAAGTATTTCCTGTGTCTCGATATTACTATAAATGATATTTTGATTTTCAATTGCTAATTCTTAGTACACAGAACTATAACTAGTTTTTGTATATTGACCTTGTATCCAACAACCTTAATGAACTCATTTATTATAGCAGCTCTTTTGTAGATCCTGTAGAATTTTCTAAATAGATAATCATGTTGTCTCCAAGTATAAGGCAATTTTACTTCTTCTTTTCCTGTGTGTTTGCTTTCAATTTCTTTAATTTCCAAGCAGCTTTGCTCTCACTGTCTGAATTGATAAAAATGTGTGTGAGGTTTCATGGGTCAAACAGACATTGCTCGAAGTAGTTAGACTTAAATCATTTTACTGGAAGCCACCCAGAGTCTCAAGTACAGAAGGAAACCATGGCAGCAGCAGGATATGAAGTGGATGGCCTGGCACAGGAGCTGGGAGCAGGGAAATTGAGGGTGATTGAACTAAAGCCAGACCTCCAATGCCAAGGAACCAGCCCTGAGGAGGCTTCCGCCTTGGAGCCTCTACCCCCATGAAATCGAAAATTTAGACACTCGCCATCCAGTGGGCATCAGTGATCAGGCAGTCAGTGTTGGACAGGGAAGTATCAACAACCAACAGAACAACAAAACCAGTTAGTTAAATAAGGGACTCTTGTCCTCTTCCTCCCTCCTCTCTGTTCCAACACAATGAAGGGTTTGAGCCCAGCAGAGGGGAGTAGGAAGGGTTAACTGAGTTCATTTCCCCACCCACCCCCGCGGTAAGGGAGACAAATGTAGAATAAAAGATTACATCATGCAACGTCTACCCTGACACACACATATACACAGCAGTCCCTGGAGCCACAAGCCTTTCCAATGATAGAGAGAAATTTTTAAGTCAGTTAGGAGATTAGAATTTCAAAAAGATCAGATTTCCAATAATCAAAGTGACCAGGAAATTGTAAAATTTTCCTAAGTTGTCATTAAGGGATCTGCTATCCAGCATGAAAGGGAGGTTCAACATAGGTCAACATGGGTCAATGGGGGGCTGTGACAATTGAAAAATAACAATTCAATGTTGTACTCCAACCAGTTAAAAGGTTAATAATCCAGATGTATCTGACTTAAATATGTATCTCTATTAAATTAGTTGACTCAGTATAAATAATGAATTTATCTGGACAAAACTCATTAAAAAGACCTTCCTGCTTGATGCTAGAACAACCTTTGCCAAAGTGGCGGACCCTGATATGGTTTGGCTGTGACCCCACCCAAATCTCATCTGAAATTGTAACTCCCACAATTCCCACATGTCATGGGAGGAACCCGGTGGAAGGTGATTGAATTATGCGGGCGGGTCTTCCCTGAGCTGTTCTCATGATAGTGAATGAGTCTCAGGAGATCTAATGGTTTTAAAAATGGGAGTGTGCCTGCACAAGCTCTCTTTTGTCTGCCACCATGTGAGAGATGTGCCTTTCACCTTTTATCATAATTGTGAGGCCTCCCCAGCCATGTGGAACTGTTAAGTCCAGTAAGCCTCTTTCTTTTGTAAATTGCCCAGTCTCAGGTATATCTTCATCAGCAGCATGAAAACAGACTAATACAGACCCCATGCCCTGGGACCCATTGAACAGGGCTGGAGGAAGCAGCTGCAAGCTCTAAAAGCAAGTAGTCTTACAGAATGAGAAGATTTAGGTAAAATGCATTTGTTGGACCTCTATCCCCTTAGCAGTAAAGTGAAAAAGATTGCAGTGTATTCTCTCTGATCATCTTAGCTCCACTTTCTTTGCTTTTATAAAATGGCCAATTAATATTTTCCTCCTGCTTTTACATGTTTGGGATTTATCTCAGAAAGAATCATCCATTCCTCAAATACACCATGCCTATGCATGCCTATGAACTTCAGCACGTTTCTCCCTTGCTTCTTTCCCACTCACCACCTGGAAAACACTCCCTCATCCTTCAAGCTCAGCTTCTGTGAATCTTTCTCACCCCCTCCCCATGTGAGAATGTCTGCTGCCCTCCTCTGATTCTCACAGCACTCAGTTTATTCCTCCATGTAAAGAGTTTTTTTTAAGATATTGAGTCATATCTGCTGTCTTCTCTTTAATCCATCCCTCCTTTCTGTAGAAAACCCAGCTTCCAACCAGTTTACAAGCAATTCTCCACGATATAAACTTTAGGTGATGGAAAAACAAAAATAGTGAAAGTGATCAGAGAGGCTATGCTGATCTATTATAGTAGAGAGATAACCTGAGAGGGAACTGGAGAGCATCAAAGAATCCTGCATGAGCCAACTTTGAGGTAGAATTTGGGGGAGTTTTCAGTGAAAGAGGAAAGAGCTTTCAACAAATGGTGCTGGAATGGTTAGATATTCCTATGCCAAAATGGTACCTCTGTACCATAGCAGCTTTGCAGATGTGAGGCATGCAAGTAGGAGAGGAAGAAGATGTTTTGTTACATTGTATAAATGAGATTGCTTTTGGCATTGTTTTTTTTTTAATTTTTGTGGGTACATAGTAAGTGTATATATTTACGGGTTGCACTGGAAATCTTTTGATACAGGCATACAATGCATAATAATCACATCAGAGTAAATGCAGTATCCATCACCTCAAGCATTTATCTTTGTGTTACAAACAATCCAATTATACACTTAGTTATTTTTAAATGTACAATTACATTATTTTTTACTACAATCACCCTGTTGTGCTTTGGCATTCTTAAAGAACCTTCCGGCTGGGAGCAGTGGCTCACGCCTGTAATCCCAGCACTTTGGGAGGCCGAGGCAGGCGGATCCACGAGGTCAGGAGATCAAGACCACCTGGCTAACACGTGAAACCCCGTCTCTACTAAAAATACAAAAAATTAGCCAGGCATGGTGGCGGGCACCTGTTGTTCCTGCTACTCAGGAGGCTGAGGCAGGAGAATGGCATGAACCCGGGAGGTGGAGATTGCAGTGAGCTGAGATGGCGCCACTGCACTCCAGCCTGGGCGACAGAGTGAGACTCCATCTCAAAAAAAAAAAAAAAGAACCTTCCATAGAGTTGAAATTGCTTTTCAGTCATTATACACTTAAACTATTGTGCCTTTGAACATGATGATGTAGTGAGGTTGGGGCTTTATTCTGGTGACATCTGTCTCGTAAGTCTTAGCAACTTGAACTTTTTACTTTCATGTCTGTTCCCTTCTTTTAACCCTCCATTCCCGCTCCACACTCTCCTTGAGAGCAAGCACTTTGTCTTATTTATTCATTTCTCCTTCCCCAAGACTAGAATTTGATGACAGCAGTGACTGAACGATTCCCCTAGAAAATGAGACTTTTTCTGGAACTCTACATACAGTCCACAATGGGTTCTAGAGGAATTGCCTGGGAACTCACCAAATGTATACACAGGGGAAGGTAATATTGTTAGGATGCTTGTCCTTTCCAAATCTCATGTTGAAAGGTAACCCCCTAGTGGGAGGTGTTCGGGTCATGGGGGTGGATTCCTCATGAATGGCTTGGTATCATCCTTGTGGTAATGAGTGAGTTTTCACTCTGTTAGTTCATGTGAGAGCTGGTTGTTTAACGAGCCTGGTTCTCACCATGTGACACCCCTGCTCCCCTTCACCTTCCACCATGATTGTAGGCTTCCTGAGGCCTCAGCAGAAGCAGATGGTGGTACCACGCTCCTTGTACAGTTTGTAGAAGCATGAGCCAAAATAACCTCTTCTCTTTATAAATTACCCAGCCTCAGGTATTCCTTTCTAGCAATGCAAAACGAACTAACACAGAGGCCTTAAGGGCTCTGGAGTCAAAATGTCTGGATTCTAATACCAGTTCTGCCACTTAGGAGTTGTGGGACTTCTAACTCTTTAAGTCTCTCTAGAGTTCCCTCAACTATAAAATGGTGGCAATCATTGTGCCTGCAACATAGAGTTGTTATGAGAATTAAATACATTAACATATGTTAAATACTAAGTACAATGCCTGACACATGCAAGCATTCATAGTATAGAGAAAGATATATAAAGACATACTATATCTATTTATATTCAAATATATACAAACATATTCAGCTTCTGTTCTAAACCCTCCCTTAAAAATGCCCTTAGCTTCTAGATATGTATATATTAAATCTGCTATTTAATATATTATGTATATGTATATTAATATACACAGACATTTTATTTCTATAAAGAAAGAAACACATCAACAATAATACCATCACAATTATTTATAAGTATGTTTAATTGACTGAAAGAGCATTAGGCACATGAAATCTGAATGTATAAATCACTTTAAACTATTAATGTAACTCATTTTGCATTATACACATATCTGTCAGGCAAAGGTTAATAGAGAGTTTATGAAATTTGGAATGCAATTAAGTCTCACAGGAATCTCAGCGGGAGGCCATGCCAGTTTCTATGGCAACCAAAGGGCTCAGGCAAGAAGTGGGGGAGGGGGAATTAATTTAAAGGCAAGATAAGCACATAAATATAGCTCTTGCCTACTTTTTCTTCTGCACTCTAATAAACAATCCTTTCTGCCTTTAAATTATTATGCATACTCAAGTGTAAGTCAGATTGGTTTTTCATTTCCTAGAATTAAATACATTTTCCCAAATGTTTAAAGGTGATTTCAGTTTTTTAAAATGTATCACTTCTCTGGATATCCAGTTTATAAGTGTGTCAGGTGTAGTCTCAAATTCCTTGGGGGAAAAAAGGAGAGGAGATAAAAAGAGCAGGACAAGATGTTGAAGAGGATTAGGGGATACTGTGAATAACCTTCTCAACACCAGCTAATGAGGCTGTACTTAGGATCTCAGAGTTGCAATCAGACCAAAGGGAGAAAATGTGGCCACAAACAAAATTGGTTTTCCTGTCACGAATTTTATAACATCACTGAATTGAAGGAGACTTTAGCGATCACCTAGTCAAAAGATTTGATTTTATCACCAAAAACACTTAGCTTAAGTAGTTAACTAAGCACAACTATGGCTGGAATTCAGGAATCTCAGACTCCTGACTGCAGCTTGCTTTGTGTTCCATACTCCACTTTATTCTCTTTCACTTCTTTCTTGTATGTAGAATTCAGCAACGTTGTTAACCATTTTCCATCACAAGTAGTTTCCAACTGTTGAATTTCCTGATATCCAGATTACTGCGTATGATCTGATTTGTTTTTTAAAACCAGATGAATCTTATTTTGGTATACTCCACCTAAGCTCTTAACTTGGTTCACATTTGGCAAGTAACTTCCACTTTGCCATGAACATTGGTTTATGGAAGTTCTACAATTGTTCGTCTGTTTTATGCTGTCAAGCCAGCAGCTGCGTGTTCATGGGCAGCAACATGCACCTGTACGTGCCCCATGCAGTCTTTATAAGGACAGACTGAAAAAGAGAAGCGTTTGGGGGAATTCCCATAAGAGACACAAGATATTGACAAAAAATAGACATGACAGCTCTTCCAAATCCAAGTCTCTAAGAGGAAAACTAGCAAGTGGAAGTCATCCTCCAAGCTTTAAAACTGTGTTTGGGCTGTATTTGTTGTGGAGTTATGAGGACCCCAAGATTTTGACATAGTAAGGAAGATCAAATTGCCAAAAGAAAGAACCAACTGTGATGACAGTGGTTGGAGTGAAAACCTCAGGCTCACTTGGCTGAATCTCTTGTCAGGAATCTCTCCCAACCGTCCAGTGATTGATCAGCTCTGGTAAAGCTGGGCTGGCTTGAAAAGTTTCTGCTCTGTGCACCTTTCCTCAGCACCAAGGTCATGGAATATTTGAGATTACTATGGGAAGCTGGTTGGAATGAACCAACCCTTGCTCTGGTGAAATTGAGAGTCAAGAACACAAGACAGCCAAAGACTCTTAAGAAAATCCTGTTGTATAGTCTCAAATTTTTATTCTGTGACCTCAAGTTATTAGGGGAAGAAAAAAATGTGATAAGGAAAAATAGAATAGTGTGTAATTCAGCCAGCATTGTTAAAACAGTGAGTGCCTGCTACCTTCCCAGGGTTTAACAAAATCTGTTGTTTCTTTGTTTCAAATAAATAAAATAGATAAATTCTGTAGTGGAAAACTTATGGTGACTTCTCTGGGTCTCTGCCCATGTGTAAAAAGGGTGTTTGGTACAAGTGAGGAGACAGACAGCTGGACTAGAATCCAAATCTCAATCTCAAAGACTGAGAAAGGATATCAAAAGTTCAGATCAGATGTTGACCTTACCAATCTCTATAAGCCACAACTTCTTTCTTCTCATTCATAAAATGGGAACTATCCCTGCCAAGCCTACATCACAATGTTATTATGTAGGTAAAATAAAATTGTGATTGGAGATTTTTTTTTAATTGTGACAGGCACCCTGGGTGTAGAGATACTGTTTGCCCTCCCTCTAATAGGGACACTTGTGTTTTATTATTTATTTATTTATTTTGAGATGGAGTCTCACTCTGTCACCCAGGCTGGAATGTAGTGGCTCAATCTCGGCTCACTGCAATGTCCAGCTCCTGGGTTTAAGCGATTCTCCGGCCTCAGCCTCCCAAGTAGCTGGGATCACAGGTGCCCACCACCATACCCAGCTAATTTTTGTATTTTTAGTAGAGACGGGGTTTCACCATGTTGGCCAGGCTGGTCTCGAACTCCTGAGCTCAAGCAATCTGCCCACCTGCCTTGGCCTCCCAAAGTGCTGGGATTACATGAGTGAGCCACCATGCCCAGCCAACACTTATGAAGGACACTTCTCTACCCACAGCCTCTACTGAATAGACGGCCATGGTTTTTCATGTGACCATATCAATTTTCACATGCCCACTCAGTCCCAGATGACACAAAAGGCTGCTACTCTAACATTTGGCCAAAGATCTTTGTGGCCTTGCTCAAAACAATAAACTGAGTCAATCAGACTAAATTTCCCAGAAATTTGAACCAAAACACATGGAAAACAATTTGTGTGTGACCGGTGGGAACTGTAGCTAAAAAAATCCGAACAGACTGAGCAAGCTCACGTTAAGAGAAACAGAAAGCATGAGGAAGGAGGAGTCAGCTGGTAGCAGGACAGAAAAGAGACGTGAGGAGGGGAGCCAAGCCCACCGAGAGCAAAGCGCAGAACTGGAGACCCAGAAGCTGCTGCCACCAGGGTTCCGAGAGGCCTCCTGGAAACAGCAGGCACCAAATCTTGCTTATCCCACATTCTGGATAGTTCTCTCCAGTTCTTCCACTGTCACCTGGGTCCATTATTTTAAAATTAATTAATTAATTAATATCCTCCCATTATTCAACATAAATTCTTAAACTCACTTCACAAGAGCTAATTTGAGTAGGTCTCTGCAACCAAAGAGTCTGAAAAATGGTTGCTGGTTAACTGACACTCACTCTTGGCTTATAAAAATGGCTTTGTTCAAGTGTTATAGTAACAGTTTATCTGAGTGCCTAGACCTGATAAGTTTGTGTATAGCCAAACAGGCAGCAACTTGGTGAGTGGAGCCTGATTGATCACAGATGTTCTCCCTTGCAAGTACAGCCCTCTTCCCTGCCCCTGCCCATACCCACACATACCCCTATACAATTTCTTCGAGTTTCTGGCATTAGTATGTCTTATCCTGGACACGGCATCTTATTTTCCCCATTTGGGAAGGTAACACATTAGTTAGCTAACCCATTAAAGGTATTTGTTTATATGATCAGACCTTTTCCTGTCTGTTAACACAAAAACCGTACATGAAATAGTAACTTAGGGATGCAGGAATGACTCAGTGAGGTTAAAGGGACTGTAGAAACCAGGTGAATTGCCAATGGCCAAATAAAGGTCCCAAGAGAGCAGGAACTTGGTTTTTACCTGTGGATCAGATATTACCACAATCCACAGAAAAGGCACAGAAAAAAGCATTGTAGAATGTTAGAACCAGAAGAGACCTCTGAGATCACCCATTCCATCCATCTAAGGGTAAGAAAATGGGCACGGCAGGCAGGTCCCATGACTTATCCAATACACATCATCATAATAAAAAGCCTTATGAGCAGAGATCAGAGAGAACTCAAGAGCAGAACCTGCTTTCCTGGCTGAGACCCTCCCCAGTGCTATCTCATTCAGCCACTGACAAAGTTTTATCAAGATCTTGAAGGCCAACATTTTGGAAATAAGACTTCCTGAAATATCTCTGCATATCTCACCTACCTGAGGACAGTGGCATTCTAAAAGTAGAAGCTTGTTGCTTGAGAGGGACTTATCAAGACTCACACAGGTTCTGTAATGCCACATTTCCCAGCCTGACCTTTCACAACCAGGGACACAATCCAGGGTGATTTGCAGGGATTGACTTATGTTTACACATAGATAAAGGTCAACGAAGCAAACTGCGGAACTTCTTTTCCAGTTTCTACTTTTCTAGCTTCAGTGGAGCTGCCTCTACCATACCTTATTTTTAGTTTGAGAGAAAAGCAGCTAATGACCATGAACTTTCTGATTTTCTGATTTGAATCTCCCACTCAGCCTCTGCTGATAATTGATGGCTCTTGGAATTTTTTCTCTGCTTTCATTCTCTCTTTGCTTTCATTCTTTCTCCTTGTAATACTCACAGGATGGTGACTCTTTCCTACGGCTGCTCCATTTTCTTGCCTTCTCTATGTCACTCACACAATATACAAAGAGATGTTCTCACTTGGCTCTGCATTCTCAGGTTTATCCAGTAATTGGGTCCCTAAAAAAGTTTTCTGAGTATTTCAGGATACTTTCCAGATGGCTGTGTGATTCATACTGTTAACTATTGAACAATTTTCATTGTTCCAAGCTTCTCTCCAAAAAGATTTTAAGGTATAATCCTTCAGACTTTCAGTTATAACAGCATCATAATGACAATCATGAGTAATAAATTGCAAAATTTCCAAGGCAATTCTCCTGATGAGTTCTGAATGAGTCCTTGTATTAGGCCATTCTTGCATTGCTATAAAGAAATACCCGAGACTGGGTAACTTATAAGAAAAGAGGTTTAATTGGCTCACAGTTCTGCAGGCTGCACAGGAAGCATAGCACTGGCATCTGCTTCTGGGGAGGCCTCAGGAAGTTCTTACTCATGGCAGAATGTGAATCAGGAGCTGGCACATCTCTTGGCCAGAGCAGGAGCAAGAGGAAGAGAGTGGGGCGGGAGGAGCCACACAGTTTTGAACAACCAGATCTCATATGAACTCAGAACAAGAGCTCACTTACCACCGAGGAGATAGTCTGTCATTCATGAGGAATCTGCCCCAATGATCCAAACACCTCCCACCAGGTTCCGTCTCTAACACTGGGGATTACATTTCAACATGAAATTTGGGTGGGGACAAATATCCAAACTATATCAGTCTTTAATATTATTCAGTAATATCTTTCAGGTCTCCCGGAAAACTTCAGTTGCCTTTGCAAAGTTATGCACTAACTATTCAGAAAGCATGCCAATATTGCAATGTTAACTGCATTGCATTCCATAAATGCAATGCTGGGTATGCTTCACTGCAGTCTATTTCTGTGGCAGTTGATGCTTGATGGAATGAAACCAAAATGTTCAGTCGTTCTGAGGAGCACCAAACCTCATGGGACAAGATATTTAACTTTTCTGAGTCTTGATTTTGTTATTTTTTCTAAATAGTGGGGAATTTCAAAGTTCTCTGAAGTTCCTTCTAGCTCTGTAATTCTATCATGATGAGATGAAGGAAGAACTTTAGAATCACATAGTGCATAAAAGTCATTATTCAATTCAATAAGTGTTTATTGTGAACCCTAGGGCAGAATACCAGAAAAGAATCTATGAGAGAAAAAGGGCTAAATAGGACATGATCACTGCCCTCTGCTTTGCCCCAGCCTAAGAGAGAGGAGGGATGGGGTGGAAATCATCAAACACAATGTGTTCACTCAAAACGGCATCATGGGGAAGCAGCAGTGGCCCAGACTGGGGTAGCTGTACCTCTGTGACTGCATCCCAACTTGACCCTCTGGTCCCGCTGATGTGTAATCAGTAGCCATGGGGTTGTAGCTGCAAGTGGAAATCATATGACACAGAGCGACATAGGGTGATACCTTCCTGATAGATACTCAAGGATTGCAGAAGACAGAACAACAAATGCATTTGAGAAATCAGTAAAATTTGGAGGCAGGGGAAACAATCGTTTCCCTCATCTATAACTTGGCTGGTTGTTAAGTTGTCCAGCAATAAGAATAGCCAGGGATATGACAGGAATAAAGAGTACTATAACTCAATTTGGAAGGAAGAGGAGGTGGAGGATGAAAACAGCATGAAATCCTGGGGAAAAGAAGACTATTATTAGAGGGGGGTGGTAACCAGTGATCTGAAGCAGCAGATGTCTGATGCCTTTGAACGTGATGCCCACTAGGAGTCTGTGGGCACCTTCAGTGAGCACAAGACCAGCTGAACCTCCGTGCTAAACGCTACTGATGCTCACTGCCATCAGCTCACTGCATCTTCCCAATGGCCCTGAACAACTGATTGCAGCCATGAGTCCCAATAAAAGAAGAAGAAAATACACACTGAATGAAGTTCAAGCATACAGCTGGGCAGCAGGTTGCAAAACTGGCTGAAGGATAAGCCCCCAACCAAATCACTGCTAACCCTTATCTAAGTTCCCAGGAATCCTGGAGCTATCTCCTTATAAAGAGCAGGTCACACAGTTCCAGGATTTTCATCTTACCAAGGTTATCTCCATCCCAAGCCAACAGATCGATGTTAACCCTATGTCAGTTTTCTAGTCTCTGAAACTATTAGATCATTGAAAAAGTGCCCCTGGAATATCTTATGAAATGCTGTGGTTGTGGATTTTCATGCTGTTACCATATGTGGCAACAGAAGCTGAAAGATTCATATACACATGGTCTTCATTACATCTCTGTGAGAAAATCTTGGAATCACTGGACTGCATCCTACATTTCTCTCTGCTTCCATATCCCCACTTCCCATCCCCATTTCTGAATCAGGGGCAGGGTTGTGTGATACATTTACTTTATTCTTGTATGAAATACAACAAGGAGAACTTGACTCCCCAAAACCCTTGAAGAAGTGACATAGCCATAAATGGTAAGTGCTGAACATATTTTGAGGGCCTGTGTTGGGCAGATGCCTTTAAGCTTCTATGGTAAACATAGACTATGAAGTTTAGCCAACACCTTTGGCAATGTCTTTCCTAGGAATCACTCCTGAACAGCAGCACATTCTTTTAGACATGGATGTAACTACAGGCCTCCTGAAATAAAGATCTAGAAACCATCTGGGGTGACAAACAAACCCAGATTGGATTGAGACCTGTGGGCCATGTGAGGCTGTGTGCAGGGAAGGGGGAAACAGTCAGAGGTGACCCCAGCACCTTTCCAATGGTGCAAGAGTTGGAGGGCACAGGGAAAGAGAAAAGGAATCCCAGGAAGGTTTCTTTCTACTGTCTTTATAGACGTCATCTCACCACTTGTCCTCCCTTTTCCTGCTCCCCAGAGAAATAAGAGGGAAGCTGTAGTCTAGAAGCTTATGTCTCCACTGACAAAGGCTCAGGCACAAATGCGACTACTCAGAGACTGTCCAAGGAAGGAGAAGAGGGCAGGCCTGAGAGCTGTCCCCTACGCAACAGCAACATTTAAGGAGCTGGTGAACCAGGAACAGAACACCTAACTAACCGAAAAAGCCCGGCCAGGTGGTCCAGGCACAGCCAGAGGGAATGGAAAGAAGAAGCAGGTGTGGGCCACAGCATCACTTTCCACAGGGGTCCTGGTGACTGTAGATGACTTTCTACTGAAATTCACATTACAAAATCAATTAACCTTTGGTCAAGACTATGCTTAAACTCTAAAGGAGAATTTTGCATTTGAGGTAATATATAAGTAAAAGGTCAAAATGAACTATTTGATGCAATGGAATGGGGAATCTACCCTTTGTATATTGTGACAGTTGTTTATGTAAAAAGTTGTCATTGAATTTAATTCGGCAGTTTTTCCTCCAGTATTTTATTACGAAAATTGTAAAACAGAAAAGTTTCTTTTTGGGGGGTTGCTGAGTTGGGAGGTATGAACCTGAAGCTTTTGGTGATTGTTTTGCTTGCCAACTACAGAATGCCTGCACACAGAATGAAGACAGGAAGAGAAGAGAAGGGCCAGGGAAAAACAGAAGGCCAAAATAGGGTCCTGACAGTTATTGTTTGAGCTCTTGAATCCATCAGGCTTTGAAATTGGGTTGAGACCTATACTTTGTTTACCTGAATCAAAATTATTTTCTTTTCTTGGGAATTTATTTTTTATTTATTATCTTTCTTTTTTAATTATACTTTAAGTTCTAGGGTACATGTGCACAATGTGCAGGTTTGTTACATATGTAAACATGTGTCATGTTTGTGTGCTGCACCCACTAACTCGTCATTTACATTAGGTATTTCTCCTAATGCTATCCCTCCTGCCTCCCCCTACCCCATGACAGGCCCTGGTGTGTGATGTTCCCCTTCCTGTGTCCAAGTGTTCTCCTTGTTCAGTTCCCACCTATGAGTGAGAACATGCGGTGTTTGGTTTTCTTTCCTTGCGATAGTTTGCTGAGAATGATGGTTTCCAGCTTCATCCATGTCCCTACAAAGGACATTAACTCATCCTTTTTTATGGCTGCATAGTATTCCATGGTGTATATGTGCCACATTTTCTTAATCTGGTCTATCATTGATGGACATTAGGGTTGGTTCCAAGTCTTTGCTACTGTGAATAGTGCTGCAATAAACATACATGTGCATGTGTCTTTACAGGAGCATGATTTATAATCCTTTGGGTATATGCCCAGTAATGGGATGGCTGGGTCAAATGGTATTTCTAGTTCTACATCCTTGGGGAATTCCCACACTGTCTTCCACAATGGTTGAACTAGTTTACAGTCCCACCAACAGTGTAAAAGTGTTCCTATTTCTCCACATCCTCTCCAGTACCTATTGTTTCCTGACTTTTTAATGATCGTCATTCTAACTGGTGTGAGATGGTATCTCATTGTGGTTTTGATTTGCATTTCTCTGATGGCCAGTGATGATGAGCATTTTTTCATGTGTCTGTTGGCTGCATAAATGTCTTCTTTTGAGAAGTGTCTGTTTATATTCTTTGCCCACTTTTTATGGGGTTGTTTGGTTTTTTCTTGTAAATCGTTTCAGTTCTTTGTAGATTCTGGATATTAGCCCTTTGTCTGATGGGTAGATTGCAAAAAGTTTCTCTGATTCTGTTGGTTGCCTGTTCACTCTGATGGTGGTTTCTTTTGCTGTGCAGAAGCTCTTTAGTTTAATTAGATCCCATTTGTCAATTTTGGCTTTTGTTGCCATTGCTTTTGGTGTTTTAGACATGAAGTCCTTGCCCGTGCCTATGTCCTGAATGGTATTGCCTAGGTTTTCTTCTAGGGTTTTTATAGTTTTAGGTCTAACATTTAAGTCTTTAATCCATCTTGAATTAATTTTTATACAAGGTGTAAGGAAGGGATCCAGTTTCAGCTTTCTACATATGTCTAGCCAGCTTTTCCAGCACCGTTTATTAAATAGGGAATCCTTTCCACATTGCTTGTTTTTGTCAGGTTTGTCAAAGATCAGATGGTTGTAGATGTGTGGTATTATTTCTGAGGGCTCTGTTCTGTTCCATTCGTCTCTGTTTTGGTACCAGTACCATGCTGTTTTGGTTACTGTAGCCTTGTAGTATAGCTGGAAGTCAGGTAGCGTGATTCCTCCAGCTTTGTTCTTTTTGCTTAGGATTGTCTTGACACTGGGGGCTCTTTTTTGGTTCCATATGAACTTTAAAGTAGTTTTTTCCAATTCTGTGAAGAAAGTCATTGGTAGCTTGATGGGGATGGCATTAAATCTATAAATTACCTTGGGCAGTAGGGCCATTTTCACGATATTGATTCTTCCTATCCATGAGCATAGAATGTTCTTCCATTTGTTTGTGTCCTCTTTTATTTTGTTGAGCAGTGGTTTGTAGTTCTCCTTGAAGAGGTCCTTCACATCCCTTGTAAGTTGGATTCCTAGGTATTTTATTCTCTTTGAAGCAATTGTGAATGGGAGTTCACTCATGACTTGGCTCTCTGTTTGTCTGTTATTGGTGTATAGGAATGCCTGTAATTTTTGCACACTGATTTTGTATTCTGAGACTTTGCTGAAGTTGCTTCTCAGCTTCAGGAGATTTTGGGCTGAGATGATGGGGTTTTCTAAATATACAATCATGTCATCTGCAAACAGGGACAATTTGACTTCCTCTTTTCCTAATTGAATACCTTTTATTTCTTTCTCCTGCCTGATTGCCCTGGCCAGAACTTCCAACAGTATGTTGAATAGGAGTGGTGAGAGAGGGCAACCCTGTCTTGCGCCAGTTTTCAAAGGGAATGCTTCTAGTTTTTGCCCACTCAGTATGATATTGGCTGTGGGTTTGTCATAAATAGCTCTTATTATTTTGAGATACATCCCATCAATACCTAGTTTATTGAGAGTTTTTAGCATGAAGGGCTGTTCAATTTTGTCGAAGGCCTTTAACAGACAGAAAAGTTTTAAAATTTGTTGGCCGGGTGCGGTGGCTCATGCCTGTAATCCCAGCACTTTGGGAGGCTGAGGCGGGCGAATCACAAGGTCAGGAGATCAAGACCATCCTGGCTAACACGGTGAAACCTCGTCTCTACTAAAAATACAAAAATTAGCCAGGCGTGGTGGCAGGCGCCTGTAGTCCCAGCTACTCAGGAGGCTGAGGCAGGAGAATGGCGCAAACCTGGGAGGTGGAGTTTGCAGTGAGCCGAGATCACGCCACTGCACTCCAGCCTGGGTGACAGAGCAAGACTCCATCTTGAAAAACAAGAAACAAAAAACAAACAAACAAAATTGTATGGTGGACATTAATATACCTAACACTTAGATTCTACAATTGCCAAGCATTGGCTACTTTTGTTTCATTCACATATGTATCTACTAATTTGTTTTATTTTTACCCACTTTTTGAAGATAGAATTTATACATCATAAAATTTACCCATCCTAAGTGTACCTGATTAGTTTTACAAAAACTATACAATTGTGCAACCATCACCACAATTAGTCTCTGCTCCCTCTCCTTGCCCTAGCCAACTACTGATCTTTTTGCCTCTACAGTTTTTGCCTTCCCCAGAAATTTCATATAAATGGAATCATACACTATGTATCCTTTGGTACTTGGCTATTTTTCAGTTAGTATAATGTTTTTGAGGTTCATCCATACTGTTTTATGTATTTATTTTCATTGCTGAATAATCTTCCATTGTATGGACATAACTACATATGTTTATTTCATTAGTTAATGGATATTTGTTAGTTTTTTTCAGCTTGGAGCTATTATAAATAGTCCTACCATGGGTCTTTATGTAAGCATATATAAGCATGTATTTTTGTTTCTCTTGGGTAGCTATCTGGGGGAGTGTTATTACTGAGGCACATGGTGCTTGTATGTTTAACATTTTAAGAAAGTACCAGGTGTACCATTTTACAATTCACTAGGCAATATGTGAGGCTGCCGGTATCTTCCTCACTACTACTTGGTATTGTCTTTTTTATTGCAATCATTTTAGAGGGCATGAAGTGGATCTCATTGTGGGTTTAATCTATATTTCTGTAATCACTAATGATAATGAGGATCTTTCCATGTGCTTACATGTGCTAACTTACTATTCTTTTTTCCTTTTTTTTTTTTCTTGGTGAAATATCTGTGGAAATCTTTTTTTTTTTTTTTTTAAGAAGATGTTGTTCTGCTGCCCAGGCTGGAATACAGAGAGTGCAGCTCACCATGTCCTCAAACTCCTGCACTCAAGCAAAGTTCCCACCTCAGCCTCCCAAGTAGCTAGTACTACAGGTACACACCACCATCTCTGGCTAGTTTTTTATTTTATTTTCATTTTGTAGAGATGGTGTCTAGCTACATTGCCCAGGCTGGTCTTGAACTCCTGGCTTCAAGCAATCCTTCTTCTGGGATTACAAGTGGGAGCCACCATGCCTAGCCTTTGTCTATTTTTTAGTTGGGTTTTCAGCCTTCTCATTACTGAGTTGCAAAGGTTCTTTATATATCCTAAACTCAAGTCCTTTATTGGATATACAATTTGCAAATATTTTTGCCCAGTTTGTGCTTTGTCTCTTCATTTTCATAATGATTTTTTTAAATAATGAAAGTTTAATTTTGATAAATTCAATTTATTACTTTTTTCTTATAAGGGTTGTGCTTTTGGTGTTTTAAGAAGTCTTTACTTAAACCAAGATCACAAAGATTTTCTTCTATAGTTTTTCTGTATATGTTTTATAGTTTTAGGTTTTACATTTTCATCTATGAGCTACTTTGAATACGTTTTAGTGTGGTGTGAAGAAAAGGTCTAAGTTATTTTCTAACGGAACAATATTCAATTTTTAACACTCTTCCTCCAGCTTTGGCCACTTGCCCTCTGCTGTTTGTTCCAGCCAGACTGACAGTCCTTTGATGCATGAGCAGCCATGTTCCTTCTCACCTTCTGGATTGATCTGTGCCAAGTCTCTTTGCAGAGATACATATTCATCTTTGGTACCTGTCTTCTTCCACTTGGCTAACCTCCACTTACTGTTCTGCTTATTAAAGTACGCAATCACTTTCTAAATTTCCTTCACCATCAAATCATGAGCTCTTAGAATAGAGACTCTTAGCTGGATGTGGTGGTGCATGCCTGTGAGTCCTAGCTACCAGGAAGGCTGAGGAAGGAGGATCACTTGAGCCTAGGTGGTCAAGGCTGCAGTGAGCTGTAATTGCATCACTGCACCCCAGCCTGGATAATAAAGCAAGATCCTGTCTCTTAAAAAATAAATTAATTTTTTTAAAAGAAAATCAAAAAGAAGAGAGACTCCATCTTTTTTGTTTCCTCCATATCCTCAGACCCTAGAGCAGTGCTTGGCACATGGTAGGTCCTCAAATAACTTCTGTGAATGAGAGAATGAAAAGGTCCTTCTGGATTAATGAACAATAATAATTTATTTACTTGCCATTCCCCATGAATGTCAAGCTGCTTGCAGTTCAGAGACTATGTTTTATTTAATTTCATGCATTCAGTGTTCAGTACATGCCATAACACATGATAAGTGTTCATGAATATTTATTGATAGAATGAATTTATTGAATGCCTATGTACTCGGGATGCACTAGACATAATAATGGGTAATGTATTCATGATCCCTGAACATTTTTAAATCTTCCATTTCCTACATGTAATACTTTTTGATATTTTAGTCACATTGTAAGCAAGATTTTCTTCTTGTTAAAGGTTACAATTTTCTCATTGAGTACTTGAACCAAAAGCAATATCAGTTCAATGACTTTGTGGATATAAGTAAATTTTATTTTCATAACTTTAGTACATATGTGGATTTGGATCTGATTAGAGTAGTCAGTTATGTTGTTTGCAAGTAAAAAAAAATCTATAACTCTTTCAGGGAAAAAGGAGAAATTATCTAAAAGTCTTTGGATATCTGGTATAATCAAAGCTAACTGCAGAAATTTTGAGAGTTCAAGTGCATTGTGAATCCCTAATAAGGACAATATTATTCATAAATTTCATTTGACCTTGAAATGGTATTTTGTGATTGAGATTTTTCCTAAATAGTTATTGACATCTTGTGAAACACTGGGGTTTTATGGAACACACACTAGGAAATGCTTTATTAGAGAGGAACTCCTCTATCATTTCTCAACTTCCCACCTACCTTAAGATCAGTAGTATGTGTTTAGACTGTCTCAAATCAGCAAACTCTCCGGATGAGTAGATGATCCCATCCTAGCTTATCTGAGGGTCCTGGAACTAAGACTCAGACCTGAAGAATGTGGAGTTTGGCTTCATCGGATTGTGCAGCATGATACTGTGATTCCTTTGGTTTGCTTTGCTTTGTTTTAAGTCATGATAGAGGGACTTCTACTCCCTATTTTGAACAATTTACATATTAAGTCAGGCCAGACGAGGTGGCTAACACCTGTAATCCCAGGACTTTGGGAGGCCGAGGCAGGCGGATCACTTGAGGCCAGGAATTTGAGACCAGCCTCAGAAACATGGCGAAACCCCATCTCCACTAAAAATACAAAAATTAGCCAGGTGTGTTGGCACATGCCTATAGACCCAGCTACTTGGGTCTACTTGGGTCTATTCAAGCAATGAGAATTGCTTGAACCCAGGAGACAGAGGTTGCAGTGAGCTGATTGCACCATTGCTGTCTAGACTGGGTGACACAGTGAGACCCTGTCTCAAAAAAAAAAAAAAAAAAGAATAAATTACCTTTAATAAAGAACGAGTTTTGAAGTATATGAAAAATTCACTTTAATTTTATATGCTTGGAACTTTTGAAAGGGATCAGCATTTTGTGGACTTACAGTGTAACAGGGATAAGATTTACCCTCTCATATGAAACAACAAAGAAACTAGACAAAAAATAAGAAACCGTGGTTCTCATGACATTCAATATCAGGCAACAAAAGATAGTGATCCCTGAGAGATGGTAAACAAGAGATGAGCTTACGATTCCCCCAGCTTACTGCCTGGGAAAAGTTTTCAGGCCATTGAACAGCAAGGGAGATTCAGGCAGAGCCAGACAATGTCCATGAGTTGGGAAGAATGAACTAGGTCTGAGAAGATAAAGGCAGCTAGAGTTTGCAAGCCTTAGGCAAGACAAAAGAGAGAGACACAAAGAACTCTGAATATTTGAAGAGATTTCTCTCAAGTATTCAGTTGAGTACTGATCAGCACATATATGTGGGATCAGAGAAAGAACCACCCAACGGGACTGGAGGAAATAATCACTGGCACTTACATAAGGCCGGGAATGGTGGCTATTTCTAATATCCAGGGTAGAAAATCTCATAGTCCATGGAGCACTGGGCATTGTGCTCAAAAGTATGCTTCCTCAGTTATGAACTCTAAAATAAATGCTGGTCTGGTTCTACCTAAAAGTCTTAAAAAGCAATACATGAACAGATCAAACTATTTTCGACTAACTTAACTATATCCTAGAACTTACAAATTCACAAAGTCTGCAGCCGATAAGAAATTACCATGCATGCAAAGAAGAAGAAAAATATGACCCAAAATGATGAAAAAATTAATCAGAAGTCACCCAGAAATGACACAAATTATAGAAATAACAGACAGGAACATTAAAACTCCTATTAGAATGCTATTTCATATATTCAAGAAGCTAAAGAAAAGACTGAAAAACTGAAATAGAGATATAGAAGATATAACAAAAGGTCCAAATCAAACATCTAGAGATGAAAACTATGATGTCTGAGATAAATACACTGGATGTTTAAGGGCAAACTAGAAATTGCAGGAAAAAAACTGAAAGATGTAGCAATATAACCTACTCAAAATGAAACACAAACACACATACACACAAATACTGGGAAAAAAATGAACAGAGGATTAATGAGCTATGGGAAAGCTAAAAGCCACCTAATATACATCTAATTGGAGTCCCCAAAGGAGGAGAGGAAACAAAAACATAGATATATTTGAAATAATGAACTGAAATTTCTTCCAAATTTGATTTAAAACTCCAAACCCACAGATTGAAAAAGCTGAATGAAGCACAAGCAAAAGAAACCTGCAGGAAATTATACCAAGGCACATTATAGTCAAACTGCTGAAAACCAGAACCCTTTAGACACTAACAACCACACTTCTAACTAACCTGTAGGTGAGATGAAAACTAAAAAAGAAATTATGAAGTATTTTGAACAGAATGAAAGTGGAAATACAACAGATTCACAATTTATAGACTAAAGACCAATATTAGAAAAGACAAAAGGTCTCAGGTCAATGAATCGGTTTTCACCTTAAAAACTAGTAAAAGCAAATAAACAGAAGAAAGAAAATAACAGATATCAGAACAGAAATCAACAAAATAGTAAACAATCACAATAGAAAAAGAATGAAATCAAAATTTTGTTCTCTGGGATCAATAAAACTGTTAAATGTCTAGTCAAAGTGATCAGGAAAAAACAGAAAAGACAAATTACAACAGAAACAGGAGAGGTGACATCACTTCAGACTCTGCAGATATTAAGAGAATAATAAAGGAATATTATAAATAGTTGTATGTCATTAAATTTGACAATGTAAATGAAATCTATAGGCTTTTTGAAAGAAAAATTACCTAAGGTGACCCAAGAATTAGATTAGTGAATTGCTCTATAACCATTAAGGAAATTGAATTTGCAGTTAAAAAAACATTTAATTAAGAAAACTATAGGCCCCAGATGTCTCCACTGGTAAATTCCATCAAACATTTAAGGGAGAGATAATACTAATTTTACACAAACTCTTCCAGAAAATTGCAGAGGAGGGAACATGTCTCAATTCATTCTATAAGGATACCATTATTCTAATACCAAACCAGACAAAGACATTACAAGAAAGAAAACTACAATCCAGAATCTCTCTTGAACATAGATTGCAAACATTCTTAACAAAATGTCAGCAGATCATACTTTAGTGTAGTTAGCATGGAAATTAATCAGTGTAAATCGTCACATAAGTCTGAAAAATGAAAAACCATACGAGCACTTCAATAGCAGCACAAAAGCATTTAACAAAATCCAACATCCATTCTTCACTAAAACTTTTAGCAAACTGGAAAAAGAAAGGAACTTCCTCAATCCTGCCATTTGTAACAACATGTATGAACCTGGGAGACATTATGCTAAGTGAAGCAAGTCAGACACAGAAAGACAAATACTGTATGATCTCACTTATATGTGGAATCTAAAATAGTCAAAACTCATGAAAGCAGAAGGTAGAATGGCAGTTGACAAAGGTTGTGAGGAGGAGAAAATGAGGAGGTGATGGCTAAAGGGTACAAATTTCATCATGTATAAGTTCATCCAGAACTTATACAAGATAAATAAGTTCTGGAGACCTACTATATAGTATAGTGCCTATAGTTCACAGTGTGGTCTTGTATACTTAAAATTGCTAAGATGTAAATCTTATATTGAATGTTCTTATCAAAAACCAAAAAAGAAAAAAGAAAGATAAAAAAGAAGGAAGGAAGGAAGGAAGAAAGGAAGGAAGGAAGGAAGGGAGGAAAGAAGGAAGGAGAAAGAAAGAGAGAGAGAGAGAAAGAGAGAAAGAGAGAGAGAGAGAGAAAGAAAGAAAGAAAGCCCTCAACCTGGTAAAGAACATTTATGAAAACCCTACAGCTAATATCATACTTAATGGTGAAAGACCAGATGTTTTCCCTCTAAAATTTAAGAGAAGACAAGAATGTCCACTCTCACTGCTTCTATTCAATACCATGTTAGAGATTCCAGCCAACACAATAAGGTGAGAAAAGGCAATACAAGGCATCAACATTGAAAATGAAAAGATGAAATTCTCTTTACTCACTAATATATCATTTTCTACGGAGAAAAAATCTGGTGCACTCTGCAAAAACCTTGCTAGGACTAATAAGTAAATTTAACAATTTTGAAGGCTACAAGGTCAGTGTACAAGTATCAACTGTATATGCTAACAATCTAAAATTGAAATTTAAAAATTATCATTTAAAATAGCATCAAAAAATGTAATCCTTAGGAATAAATCGGACAAAGAATGTGCAAGATCTTATCCTGAAAACTTAAAAATTATTGCCAAAATGAAAGCAACCTAAATAAATTGAGAGATACACTAATCTATAGTGACAGAAAGCAGGTCAGTGTGGGAGAGGGATCAAAAGAAGTGGGAGAGAAATTACAAAGGGGCTAAAGGAAATAGTTTGAGATAACGTTTATGTTTATTATCTTGAGTATATAATAGTTTCTCAGGTGCAAATATTTGTTAACACTTATACTTTACATATAGACACCTCTTTGTATATAAATTATACTACAATAAAACCTTTTTAAAAGATCAGTTCAGAGTATACCACTAACTCAAAATGATTATGTTTAGAAATTGGTTAAATTCCATATAGTACTACTAAAAATTGAGTCAACATGTTGCTTATAACTAGAGGAGGTAAAAACCACAAGGTTATTTTTCCTTTTGGCACATTTCTCATCTTATTCCATTTCTATGTTCAGTCTTATTTCTTAATCTTAAGAGAAATCAAATAACAGCAACAGATATAATTAAAATAAAAACAAAGAAGTGTGAAGGGGATTACTTAGATGGGCGAAGCAGAATCTTGGCACTATTTGGCTAAGAATGTTGTGTATGAAGCATTATTTAGTCAGAGGGGAATGGTTGCTTTGTCTCTATCCCCTCAAAGGACAAGAAAGCAATCTTCACAAAAGTGAAATGTAAAGAAAAAAGTTGCATGAAAGTGATGGCTTTGAATGGTGGAATGGGTGCTCATGAGAGCAATTTATTTGTACACAGATGAAACACCTGGTACTCATGGAGAAAAGAGGGATGAACAATCTGACTCAGGCTTCCTTTAGCCTTCCAGATCTTACTTCTTGTGTCTTTATAGTCATGCACTGCAGGTGTATAGCTTTCCCACATTTTTTCATTATCAACCAAGAAACCCAATCTGAGTACATTGGCTTTTTATTTTTGGCAAGGCAGATGACTCAACCTCTGGAGAATGCTCCCCTGGCAAATCACTCAGGCAATCCCCAATCCACTTGCTGATTGCTCTCATCACAGGAGACCTAGAACAATTTCCTGAGCTGGGGGAGGAGTGGGCAGGTGAAGGGGATTAGATGGCTATGACTGATGCTGCTTTCTCACTGGTCAATGGGGTGGAGTGGAGGACTTGGGGACTCTGGAGATTTCAGCCACACTTTCTAGGGATCCCTGTTGCATCCTATAAAATAAAATGACATGTCACTCTGCATCTCTGGTCACTTCCCTAAAATGTGCCTCAAAACCATCTACTACAGAGGCCCTAAGTTTTTCTTTCCTTAAACAATCCACCACTGCATAAAATGTATGCTTTATTCACGTGGCTTATCATCCATGCCCTCATCATCTGTGTGATAACATTAGCTAGGTGAGGACATATCCTCACTTCTCTCAGTGGTTATTGCATTTCCTGTTAAGTCCTGGATCATTACATTTCCTAATTGATTGCTACCCCATCTTTGAAGCTGCAGCTGCTATTTTAAAATCCCACCACAAAACTGTTTCAGTTACTTTAATTTTTGAAGATTCTCATGATGATGTCAGAGAAGCATTGATTTAGGAATCCATAATTACTACCACCAGTGGGTCAAAAGACTTGGAGTCCACTGTTATGAAAGGAGAAGAATCGGCGTAGTCACTCATCCCTATGTAAGTAAATAGAAACCTTGGAGAAAACAAACCAAAAAGCCTCAATTCCATCACTTACTGCTCTTTTCCTTCCTAAACCTTACATATGCCTGTTAGCAGACAAAGCAGGCTTTTACCAAAAATGATATCTATACGAATAAACAAGGTCAGCAATCAACTAGCTGTACTTACCAAGTAGAGTCTAGTATAGGAATACTGTCCAATGTGGCACTGGCCAGATCCCCAACTTCTGCTCTGAGAGATCACCTAATCCTTTAAAGAACAGCTGGTTGTCCAGAGAATTTTGGACAATAGAACAATCTTAGAAATCATCGTGGGGCTTGACAAGACTAAGAACAATTTTTCTTTTGTTTGAGCAAAATTTACAGCTGATACTGAACATGTGGTATGAAGAAATGCACCCCCCTCACCTCGAAAAGGGGTGAATCTGATCAGTCAGGAAATTTAGAAGGCTGAGAATATGAGGTGTCTAGGTAGCAGCCTGGCCTGGGTACATCAGCAAATATCTATGTCTCTTGGTGGCTCCCCTTTCTTCACTTAAAGGTCAGGTCAGGCAGGAAAAAATCTTTTCATTCTCAAGTACGATGGGTTTCTGAGAAGACAATAGAACATTGACTTTGGTTGGCCTTAGTTGGAAAGGGGCAGATTATGCAACATTATGATAGAATTTTTGCTTTGTTCCCAAGCATAGAGCCTTTTCAGGTTTTTCTAAACCTCAATTTTAATACTATCAATTGTGGGAAACTAAGTCGAACTAATTCACTTTTCCTACGTGTCCTAAAGAGGAAGGAGGCCAGATGACAGTTGTTTTCTATTAATAGGACTTATGCTTAAATGGGTTAATAATATTGAAATGGGAGAGCTCCCTGGCCTCCTTGCAGGACATGCAATGTGGGTGTGGCTTTCTGTTAGGCCACCTCAGGCTCAAACCCCTTATGGAGCAGGTGCAGGAACTGGGGCAAGTGCTTTTAGGCTCCAGCCCCATGGCAGTGTCTGAGGGTGGGTGTCTGTGACTCCCAACACCCAAGCGGGTGCATGTTACAGTGTGCACCTTTAGCCTTGCTGTCCACAGATGGCTTAAGTGTTAACCAGCTCAATGGACCCTCTGCCTTTTTTCAAGGGCAGAGGGCCAGGTGTGACAGCTTTCTGTAACCCAAGCTCTTGTCCAGGGTCCCAAAAGAATCAGGTCACACATGGACTTGAAGGATGAATGCAGAGTTTTATTGAGTGGTGGAGGTGACTCTCAACAGGATGGATAGGGAACTGGAATGGAGATGGAGTGGGAAGATGATCTTCCCCTGGAGTTGGGCCATCTTAGCAGCCGAACTCCTCTCTGACCACCCCCAGCCAAACTCCTCTCAGCATACAGACTCTCCTTCTCTTCTCTCTTTCTCTGCCACACCATTCTGCCATTTGTCTGCTTGTCTCCTCATCTCCTCATATCCTCATCTGCTTCTGGAGCCTGGGGTTTGGGGCTTATATGGATGGGGTTACAGGATGGGGGCGTGGTGGGCCAAAGGCAACTTTTGCGCAAAAAAACAGGAATTCCTGTCCTCATTTAGGGCTAGGATATCCAGGCTTGAGGGTAGGGCCTTTGCCAAGGAACTGTCCTCTTCTACCCAGTATTTCCCTGTCTCCTGTCCATATCAATATTACTTTATTTTAAAAGAAAACTTAGCAAGAAGCATTCTTGGGTGTTTTATTGTAGGAATGTGAAGCCTATGAAAGAAGTAACTGGGTGAGATCTGGGGTGGGTGTGAGTGTTGGATTTTGACAGAAGTAAGGCTAGGAAAGCTTCTAAAGGGTGTTGTGTTGAGTTTCCAGTAAAAGTGGTAGCAGGAAAAGGAGAAGTAGGGGCACCCAGTCTCCCCTTCCTCCTTCCCCCATTTTCCTCCAAGTGCCATAAAAATGGCTGTCACTGAATCATCCACAAAATCCCCCTAAACTGACTCTGGGTGGAGTAGTAAGCAGATGGTAGAGGGGGTATGGGAGCTGCAGTCAGTAAGGAAGAGGAGGGAAGTCGTGGTTCCTATTAAGAGTTGTAGCTTAAGTAAGATATGAGCTGGTCAGAGACAGCTATAATTGGATTCTATATACGAAGTGATGTCACTTCTCAGTTCCTTAAATCTTTAGCCATAATGGCCAATGAGGTTGACTGTGTCCCTATTCATTCTATTTTAATATAAGATTGCCAAGAAGTAAGTTGGAAACATTCAGGAGGTATTTAACACTAAGCCAACTTAGGCCCTCAAAGAAATGATTAGAGTTTAAAAAACAAAAACCTAGTTGACCAGCTGCCTCCTCTCTTAAAAAAATACCTGAACTTCCCGAAATGGTGATCTTCACATGTTCCATGATGGGCACAAACATCGCCTGAACAGTTTGTTTCCATTTGTTTCAGAGATGTTTACAAATGCTCATTAAAACATTTTTAAGACATCTTCTTTAAAATACTTATCAGATTATTCCAACATCTGTGTTGTCTCAGTAGTGTCATCTGTTGATTTCCTTCTCTCATTCCAGTTGAGAGTTTCCTGGCTCTTGGTATGATGGGTGGTTTTTTATCCTATTCTGAACATTTGGGGTGTTACATTATGAGGCTCTAGATCTTATGTAAATTTTTTGTTTTAGCTGGCCTGTGCTGAAACTGGACTGGTGGTGGAAGCCGGGCACTAACTCTTTATCACTGGAAGGAAGTGGAAGTCCAGACTCCCCAGCAGCCTCCATTGGTACCACCATGGCAGGGAGCGGGGAGCTATTCATTACCAGCAGATGAGGGTTAGAAGTTCATGCTCCCTGGATAGTCTCCACTAAACTGAAGGAAGGCATTCAAGGAAGGGCAGCTCATCGCCACAGGGCGGAGGTAGAAATCCAGGCTGCCTACTTGACTTCCTGGGAGACCACCTCAGCATGGATGGAAAAGAGCACCTCATCACCTCCAGGTGAGGATGGAAGTCTAGGTTTTCAACCTATGCTTCTCAGCCTTTTCTACAAGGTAAAGGTATGACATGGATTCTTCCCTGGTATTTTGTTGGAGTAGATTATTTGTTGTCAAAATTTTAAAAAGAATATTGCATACATGATGTCCAGGAGTTTAGCTATAGTTAGTGATTAGTCCCTAACCAATCTACCTTCTTCTCTCCACCTTTCAGAGACTTTTTATGTTTGTTTTATGTATAATGTCTGGGTTTTTACCTGCATTTTATAGGAAGGCTAGGGAGAAATGCATTAAGTTCATTTGTCTAGAACTGGAAGTCCTACAGTTTGTCTGCTAAAATGTAAATTCCTGCCCACAACCCATCTAGGAAATTCTGTTTCCATTACATCAGCATGAAGCCCAGGAAACACTGAAGAAGTCAAGCACAGAAAAAAGGAAGAGGACACTGGTTAAGCTCCATAAATACAATAAACTGAATAATATGGTTATAAAAATGACCATAATAATAAGAATCTGTTTTCAAATGATTGTCACATTCCATTCTCTTTGGCCCTTATGCCATTTACAGAAGAACCCAAGGTAGTGATATGACTTCTCCAAAGTCACACTGATAATCAACAGAAGAAAACAGAATCCAATTTGATTTCTGGCTTTTTGTTTTTGGCCTGCCTTAGCTCTGGAATTCTTCTGTGTTTATAGTCAGCTTCAGCCCTCCAAATTTTGTTAGGACATTGGTTCTCAACCTAACCACATTACTAGGGATCTTTAAAAAATGCTTATACCTGAGACCACCCCACCCCTCACCCTCTCCTTCTCGGAAATTCCCATCTCGGGTCTAGGTTATGGCCGGAGCATCAGTATTTTACTTATTATCCCTAGATAATTTCAGTGTGCAGCCAAGAATGAGACCACTGTTTGTGTTTTTTTTTCTTCCTCAAGTAATTAATTGTAACCTTTCTCCTTTAAAGAAAAACACTAATTTTTTGCTAATAGCAATAAGGAGAAACAGCTGGAGCTAAAATATTGCGTCCAGGCCCCCTTTTGGCTAAGCCTTTGTCACAATTGTGTAGATGCTAAGCTGTCATGGCAAGTCATGTCTCAACAGCATTTAAGAGGATGAAAACATTCAGATGGCATTAAAAGAAGACACGGAAACAAGGGAGTGATAATGAATTGGCTCCCTAGTTTGCTACAAAGTGAATGTAGCTAGCCATCAAGACAGGGGTGGGAGTGACAGCAGCCAGAGCTGGATCACCTTTGCATCTTCCCATGTTTTCACTGGATGGATATTTCCACTGAGATTCCCAAATTAATATTTGTAAGTTATAAAAACAAGAAGACAGCAGCAATCAGGAGCACAATACTGACCCCAAGTGGAATAAAATCTAAACAGTACTTCAAGTCCCTGCAGAGGTGGGAGCTACAGGTTCTGATGGAAGAAAAACACCATCAGCTGGACAAAGCTGTTGAGTTTTAAAGATGCTTGGAAGAAACAAATGTGTTGATTTCTTTATCGGTAATAAGTTTTGATATAGAAGATAGTGAAGATAGTGGTGATTCATGAGGGACTATTTACTTTCAGGTGAATGTCCCACAAGTTAATTGTATACATAAATTTCTAATTATCAGTGTTTATGGGTATGCAGATAAGGTTAATAATCTTAAGGTAAATATAATCTGAAGCTTTTTCTGAAAAAAAAAAAAGCAAATTCTGAGAAAACTCTCAATAATCTTACCTAAGTGGAAATTAAATATATATATAATATATATATAATATATACTCTATATATATATAGTAATTTGGCTTCTCAAAGCTTTGAAACTCATCTCTGGGTTCAGTGTTTATGAGTAGATATTGAAGAGCAGAGAAAGGCAAGTGCTCTGAAAGAGAAGATGGGATTAGGGGTTACTAAGACAAATATTGAAGGCTGCAAGCCCAACTCGGGGGCTTTTCCATCTCCTTCTTTGGTTACCCAAATGTGTTCACTTACCTGAGTGTGTTAAGAGGGGGATGGAAATTGTGGAGGAGACTTAGAAAGTAATTAAATAAACTTGTAACATCACTCTAGAAGGCTCTCTCTTGTTCTCTGCATCAGGTTTAGCTCAGCCTATGGCTTTGTGCCCATCTCTTGGGAAACACTCTATGGCCAATGAACTCCCCAAAAATCCTTCTGGTGAAAGATGCTGTCTTTATTTGTTACCTTAAGGCCTCTTGAGTCCACAATATGGGGGGCAGGGGTGGAGAACCTCAGCCATAATAGACTATCAATGAAGAGGATGTCAACCAGTATTATTTGCAGAAATACAAAAGGCATACAGGTTAAAATAGGTGTGACTAAGGCCCTCAATGAGAATAGATTGTTGCTATGCACTCTCCTCATCCAGAAGTTAAATATCTTCATCAGTCTTGATCAAAAATGTAACATATTATTTTTAAAAGGACAAAGTTTTCTACAAAATACATGAAACAAAACCAGAAACTAGATTGGAAAATATTGTCTCTTCCAACACTCTGCCAAGTCTCTGCCCCAGACCAGTGACATATGAATCTCTGGGGAGCTGGGACAATGTCTCCCAAGTGTTCTTGATGATGAGAATTGCCTGGGTCCTTGCTACATCTAGAAACTCCCAGTCCCCCAGGCCATATCTCAGACCCAGTGTTGAATCTCCAGGGCTTGGGAGTCTGTACATTTCACATTGCCCAGCTGGTCCAGAGCGGGAGGTAGACCTTTACAAAATAATTATATAAATATATGGTGCTGTGACAAAAAGTGAATAAGGAGCTATGTGAGCACCTAACTTAGGCTGAGGAATCCAGAAGACTTCTCAGGAAAAGCCCCTTTTGAATGCTGATGTAAAGATGAGTAAGAGTTAATTAGGTATGGTGAGGGCAAGGGGAGAAGGTAAATGTATATTTCAAGGATACAGGAAAAAGTGTGAGCAGGCTCTGGGAGCTTAGAGTCTAATAGCAGAAGTAGAACATGTACTCCAAACACTGGGAAACAGGGTCATATATTTTAAGTGCCATGGGGTAGGAAAAAATACAAAATGCAATAAAAATCTGGAGTCAGAATTGTGATTGGGAAAGTGCGGGGGTGGGACTGTAGAAGGACTCAGAGAATTTCTGTCCTCAGAGATGTAGACTTTCCGAGTAGAAGGCTGAGAATAGGCAGAGATGACAAGGGAATAGCAGGACTGTCTGTGAGCTGGCAGCAGTACAGGGCAGTGCAGGGAAGACGGCAGAGAGAATGGTGACCTATGGGGGCAGATCCCAGAGAGACTTGAGTGACAAGCTTAGGATTTTTGTTTTTCTTTCCTATTTTTTCTTCTCCTGAGCCCTGCATTGTTTTGAAATTCCATTTCTAGTCTAACCCTTGGAATAGTTTCACCTATTATCAATATTCCTACTTAAAATCTTCTCATCCTTTCAGTCTTTAATACTTCCATTTTATAATCATTTGAAAATACTCAGCTATGACACACCTCTCTCCAACCATCTTAAGTTTCCCAGGAAATAAGGAATTACAGATAGGCTATGTAGGTCTCTGTGCACCCAAATAAAAGCAGTAGTACAAAGCTTTTACTGGTTATTTTCCATTATTCTTTGTATTTAACTTAGCTTAAATTAACTATGATTTTATTTTCAAATTAGTGTTCTCAAAGGAAAATATATTAGATTGAGGCTTTTCATTTGGAAAACCATAATATTCTCATTACCATTTCAATGTCCGTTTGGTTATTAAAAGTGATAATTCATGCTGATGGGCAGCAGCCCTGAATGAAGGCCAATAATGAGAGAGGAGAGCATTCTTCAGGCTGCTAGGCCTCAGCTGCTAACCTCATCTACCCTCGCCACAGTGAGGGTCTGTCATCTCATAGTGCCTGGAATGGTCATGCAGATGCAGTCAAAGATATCCATGGCATGGTGCCGCTTACAATATATTTTATGATTTCAATGTGTCTCTTGTTGTAGTTTAATTTAAATGGAATGAATGACTACTGGCTTGAAGCCATACTGATTCTTCTGGCTCTTTTATATCAAAAACAGCTTCACTCAGGAAATGGGATTTGGTTTAGGTACCCATAGGGAATTTTCTGTGGTCTGAATGTGTCCTTTAAAATGTGTGTAAAGGACACAAATTGGAACTGTAATCTCCAGTGCAGCCATGTTGGAAGGTAGGGCCCTTGGGGCAAGTGTTTGGGTGAAGGCTCTGCCCTCATTAATGGATTAGTGCCTTATAAAAGGGATTGATGGAGGCAGTTCTTCTCTTTTTTTGCCCTTCCACTTTCCGCCATGTGAGGATGCAGCAAAAAGACCCTCACCAGATGCCACTGCCTTAATTTTGAACTTCTCACCCTCCAGAACTCTGAGAAGTAAACTTCTGGTCATTATAAATTACCCAGTCTGTGGTATTATGTCATAGCACAAGTGGGCTAAGATACAGTCTAAAGAAACTTAAAAAATAACCAATGACTGAGGTGGATCTTAGGACCAGCCCCCGCTCTGGTCCTCTCCAGGGCCGCTTGTTCTCTCAGGGTGTCTCTGCTTCTCTCTGTAGATATGCTCTCCCTTCACTCTCTCCCCTCCAGCCTTTGCTGCTCACTAAATCTTCTTGCATCTCAGTCTTGCTCAGAGCCCATCCTGGCCACAACCCTCTTTAGAATCCTCTTAAATTCCAACTCCCACTGTTGAAGGACCCAACGTCTTTCTTCCAGATACAAATTCTTAAGAAAGTATGTGATTGGCTCAGCTTATCCCAGTGTACTGAAGTAGTGAATGCCCACACAAGGTGGTATTCAAATTATTATAGTTAGCAATTAGCTCTGCACTTACACAGAAAAATCAGAATCAAAGCTGCCTGAGGCCTGCACCAGGGTCCTCTAAACCCCTTAGTCTCACAGGGGTTAACTCTTTAATTCCTGGAAAGTTGAGAAGAGAGATGGGCTTAGACAGCCAGTTCAGTGGGAGGGTACCAGGAAGGCTTAGGGTAGCCATCATTTTCAATAGAGAAATACTCCATTATTTTAATTACCAATATGGCCGTACTGGTATGGACCATTGAAAACTCTGAATCACTGAGGGTAGGGAGGCACAGGGCCATGAAATACACAATATGACCACCATAGACAGTGGTCTGGTTTTAACAGGCATTTGAGACTCAACCTGTCCAATACCTATGGGTATATTTGAAAAAGTTATGAACCTTGAGGACAGTAAGAACTTAAGGTTTTAGTTTTCATTAAACTCCCTCATAGAACTATTCATGTTCTCCTACACTAAGGGGACTGAATCAATTCAGTGTCATCTGACCAGTGAGTGAGGGCTCCCCTGGGTAGGAGACCAGGTGTTGCATATATCCAGCTATGGGGCTTTGGACGCAAGGTTTTTAGCTTCCACAACTTACAAGTGATGAGCTTGTATTGGACAGACGCTGCAATCCCTTTGCCACTTCAGATTCCTCTTGTGTTTATGGGGGATTATTTTAAGATTTGTGAGCAAAGGTACAGGCCGTGCCAGCTTCAGGAAGGAGGAGGAAAGGCAGAAATGCAACTTTATTTGGATAAATTCAGCACAGCAATGAAGTACATAGGCTCTAGGATCCAATCCTGACTCAACCAATTGTAGCTGGCATAACCTTGAACAAATTATTCAGTCTCTCTGCCTCCATTTTTTCATCTGTAAATGGGAATAATGAAAAGACTTCACAGTGTTGTTATAAAGACAAATAAGACAGTCCATGTAAAGTATTTAAATCAGTGCCTAGCACACAGCAGGCACTCAATTAAATATTAAACAATATTATCATTAGAAGTCACCCCAGGAAACTTCTATTCATTACCTCATTTAAATATTTAAGTATTTAAAAGATAAATATACTTAAATATTTAAATGAGGTAATTAACCACACAAGATACTGTTTTTATTAATTTCATATTATCCATGAGAAAAACTGAGGCTGGGAGAGATATTTTAATTCACCTAGGTAAAAGGTTGATCAGCTTTTCTCATAAAGGGCCAGACAGTAAACATTTTGGGCTTGGCAGTCTGTATAGTCTCTGACGTAAGTACTCAATTCTGCCATTATAGCTGAAAATAGCCACAGACAATAGTAAATGAATGGACAGAGCTCTGATTCAATAAAATTGTATTTATAAAAGCAGGCTGGCTGGCCCTTGGCAAGCAGCCATCATTTGTCAACCCCTGGCTAAAATCATACAAACAATTGGCAGTTAGGATTTGAACTCAAGAGAATCAATCTATCCACTACACCAGAGATTTTCTAGTTCTTCTTTTGGTAAAAACTTTTTTTACAATGAAACTTTATGAAGAACCCAGGGTATAAATTAGAGCCACTTAACACAGACTTCTCTTAACCATCACAACTACTTTCCTTGAATAAGTCTGTGGTTTTCAAACCATACGGGTTTGATACAAATGCAGATCTGGGCTAGGCATGGTGACTCACGCCTGTAATCCCAGCACTTTGGGAGGCCAAAACAGTTGGATTGCTTGAGCCCAGGAGTTCAAGAACAGCCTGGGCAACATGGTGAAATCCCATCTCTACAAAAAAAAGAATACAAAAACTAGCCAGGCATGGTGATCCACGCCTGCAGTCTCAGCTACTCAGGAGGTTGAGATAGGAGGATCAATTGAGCCTGAGAAGCTGAGGCTGTAATGAGCCGTGATCATGCCACTGCACTTCAGCCTGGGTGACAAACAAAGCAAGACCGTGTCTCAAAGAAAGAAAAGAAAAATGTAGATCTGGAGATCCCTACTTCCATGAGCCCAGGTTCAGATGGCCTGGAACAGTGTCAAGTGATGTATATTGTTTACAAGCTCCCAGGGGATTCTGACCCAGGGAGTCCTCAGACCACTCTTTGAGAAACATGGATATAAGGATATTCCATTAAATGTGAAAAAATTTAATTATCCAAGCTGGTTTCATTGAAGATAGAAGAACAAAATAACAGGTATCAAGACATAGAACCTGAGTTTCAACACTGACTTCACAGTTTTGCCTTGGATTTGAGACAGGGATTAATCTATTTTGGTATAATCGGTGTCATTGCCTAAAAGCCCGTTAGGTGCTTTGAAACACAATGAGCCACTCCTACTATGTCATAGATTCCCTTGGCACCAGATCTTATTAATATGAAGTACACGTTGAATCTTTCCTTAACTCTGCTATGAATCTAACAAGAAGCTACAACAGTCGTACAAGAATTCCCTCAAGACATTAGGTTGGAAGATTGGTGATAGGAAATTACTCCAGTAGCTTCATTGAAAAGAACTCTGACAAGCTCTGACACATGTCCAGAGAGTAAAGGCAATATCGAGTTATAGGACAAAGAGGTATCAAAAGAGTGTCTGCTCCAAGCAGCCAGGGACAGCTCAGTACAAGGAGGGCTCAAACAGGACACCCAGCGGGCAGATGCCTGAGAAGCTTGGGCTGTTACCTAGTTACATTTCTAGAAGAATACTTTTAGCTGAACAAAGCACAGGCAATTAAATGTTCAATATCATTGTAAGTGCTGAAATGTCCTCATAAAACTTGAAGATCTGTGCTTTCTGAGTCCACAGAGAACAGTCTGCACTTTTCTGGGCTATAAACTTGGCCTACAGGGAGAGCTAGTAAGAAGGGTCTGCCTTTTTTTTTTTTTTTTGGCTGGACTCCTTCTTCCTTGGCTTCTCTGAGGCCACCTTCAGGAGACATTTGGATGTCCATATCTGGCTTGTCCCCAGGCAACTGGAACTGCTAAAAACAGACCCACTAAATAACCACTCCCCACATAACTAAAAGCTAGAAACAGCATGAGGTCCCTGCCTGTGAGGGTCTCCAAACATTTCCTTCTACCTTAGAAAAGCTTCCTCCCAGTCTTGCTAAAGCTTAAAGGGGCACAGCTCCATAAACACTCTGTCAAAGGCTCTTGCTTTTCCTGAGAAGCTGACAATCTGGCCCCCTTTTAGGGCTGCTTCAGGAGATAAAATAGAGAACCCACCAGCCTCAAAGTTGGAATAAAACAATAATGGCAGCAGTTACAATTTATTGAAGGCCTATACTATGTGTCAGACTATTTGCTAAGCACTTATCTATACTAACTCATTTACTTTCACCACAACTTTAGGAGGTTGTTTTATATAGGTTCTTGCCACTCAAAATCTGGTCCAGGACTAGAAGCATAGGCCTCATTGGGAGCTTGCCAGAGCTGCAGTCATGGGCCCCACCCAAACCTACGAAACCAGATTCAGCATTTTTAACAGGCACTCCAGTTAATGTTTGTGCATATTCAGTTGGAGAAGCACTGACTCAGTTCACAAATGAATAGCTGAATCATCTTCCTTCCTTACTACCTTCCTTAATCTTCAGGTAAGCACTGGTTTTCTTACCTGAAAAAAAATGGAGTTACCAATAATCACTTCCACTTGCTGAGCACACTGCCATGCGCACACACATTGCCACTCATCCTCACAACAGCCCTGAAATGCTGGCAGATTCCCATGTTGCAAACCAAAACCAAGGCCACAAGCAGTCAAACAGCTTCCCCTTGCAGAGTTAGAAAGCAGCAGCCTTCTCTGCATGTCTAAAAGATAATGCCTTTTCCTCTCCACCATGCCACCTCTCTCAGATGATCCTTGAGATCACTCAGCTCTTGGCCAACATCTGGGTTGACCCAATGGCTTAGTCAATGGACATATTAACCAGCGATGTTCCCTAACCTCTCTCCAGTCAGCTCCAAACAGTCCCTTGTTCTTGCTCAGCTCCCTCCTCTCTCAGCACATCTCATTTGTCCAGCCCCAAGAGGGCTTGGGCTCTTCAGACCTCAGATCAGCAGCCTGCTCATTACCAGACCTGCTGCGTGCTTTCCCAAGTGCTTCACCATGACTAGCTCATGATGACTAGCTCACCATGGATCATTGGTCCCCACTGATTCCCAATAACATCTGTTCTTCTTTAGGTCAAGACCCAGCCTCACTTCAAAACTCACTAGGAATGGACCTCCCTTTTCTTTTCCCCTTTTAGAGCCCAGAGTAGTCATAGAGTAGTCTCTCATTAATATATTAATAGACTGTCAGAGCTAGCCCAGTACAATTTATCACTACACCTGATTCATTTTAGTGAGGGAGACACTAACATCTGAAGCTCCATCGTGCATCATCCTGACCAACCTTTCATTTTACAGTGGGACAGTTCGAGATCCAAAAGGCAGAAGTCCATTTTCTTTCTTCTCTTGGTCGGAAGAGCTTTGTAATGGTTGCCCTAAGTCTCTTTGATGCAGGGCAGGTGAGCCCCAGAATTGGTGCTTAGTCCAGGAGGGTTCTTAGCTTTGCCCAGGGAAGAAGTTGAGCATGAGCAGGTGGTGTTAGACAGCAATATTTTATCAAATGGTAAAATTTGCTCCTTGTGGAGCAGGACTAACTCATAGACCATGCACAGAGTCAGCAGGGTATGGGCTCTTGGCAACTGTATTTATGCTCACTTATACCCACTTTCAATTACACACAAATTAAGGGGCAGGTTAATGCAAACTGAAGGATGGGCTATTCAGAACTTTCTTTTTTGGGGGGAAGAGAGAGGGAATGGTGTTTTGCTCTTGTCACTCAGGCTGGAGTGCAATGGCACAATCTTAGCTCACTGCAACCTCCGCCTCCTGGGCTCAAGCGATTCTCCTGCCTCAGCCTCCTGAGTAGCTGAGATTACAGGTGTCTGCCACCACGCATGGCTAATTTTTGTTCACCATGTTGATTACACTGCTCTTGAACTCCTGGCCTCAAGTGAGCCGCCTGCCTAGGCCTCCCAAAGTGCTAGGATTACAGGCGTGAGCCACCACGCCCAGCCAGGTTACTTAGAACTTTCTAGGAAACGGGTGATAACTTCTGGGTCATGGCCATGGAAAGGGGTGGTAACTTCCAGGTCGTTGCCATGGCATTTGTAAACTGTCATGGCACTTGTGGGAGTGTCTTATGTGAATGAACAATGAGAACAGCCAGGAATGGCTTTTGTCACCATCTATTGGTTCCTGCCGGTTTCTTCATTTCATCTCATCAGGACCAGGAAATAAGTCATTCCAGTCCCCAGCCTCATCTTGAAATGAAATTTTAGCTCATCCTCTTATATCCTGAAGTGTTATCATTAGTTGTTGATTCGTTATTTACATACAACAACAGCAACAAAAAATTTTGATGTGTCCTATTTCTCTAGTAAGCCCAGTAAAATTATAAGGGCTTAAAGAGCAGACAAAATAGAAGATAGAGAAATAGACAGAAGAAAAATGAAAGGAAGAAAGGAGAAAATACAGGTAGAATTGTGCATTTGTTTTCATCAGCTCAGAAAGGGTGACATCAATTAAAATTCTTCCATAGTAGTAGTAAAAATAACTACCATTGATTGTAAATATACTAGGCATTAGGCACTCCTAAACATTCTCCAGCTATGACTTTATCGAATTCTTACAATTCCATGGATCAGGTACAGTTATCAGCCCCAAAAAGAGGAAAGTGATTCAACCTAGTGGTTGAACAATTAACTAAAGTTAGTATGTGATAGGACATATCTAAACCCTAGACAAAAGCCTACCCTCTTCAACCTGACACTACAGGCACCAGGAATTTTCTCTCCCTTCACTACAAACTTCCATAGGTACCTAGGAATATCAGCTTTAACATGACCTTACTGGCCCTGAAACCCAGAAATAGCAGTGAGATTGTAAATGGAAGAGCTTTAGTTAGGGATAGCTTGGCCAAAAAGGCAACATTCTATCTTCTCTTGGATTCCTGTGCGGCTGCGGATGCTTCAGAAACAGATGTTGAACACTGCTTAACTTCTGCCCTTCCCCCGCTAGAAAAACAGAAGGTTCTCTAGTTTCACATTAGCTGATTTCCCATTATGTAGACTGTCTGAGCCATCTTCATTCAATTTATTGCTACATTAGTCCCAAACCTGGCAATGGAAAATACATTAACTTTTAATAACACGCCTTTGATGACTCGTAGAAATCGGTTTCTGCCAGCTCCTTCTTCCATTTATCCTTGTGGATCAGGGAGCAGTGGGGAAAATGGCAAATTAAACCTAATGTCATTCTACAGCTGAGAGAAAGAAAGGAACTTTGAGTTCATGGGACAACTTAAAAAATATAACTAGTGCTTAATCATCTGCTGGAAGCATATGGTAATAAGAAGTAACTTGTGGTGGGGTGCAGTGGCTCACGCCTGTAATCCCAGCACTTTGGGAGGTACTGCACATACCTTTACTCAAAATCCTGACAAAGGCACAACTAACAACAGGGTAAAAAGAACGTTACTTAGGAAATCTCTGGAGCTACATTTCCTGATCACAGCCCTGCTTTCCAAGGTGGGAAGCAATTTAGGTTTTATGTACTGCTATAATAGACCCGAAATTAATTCAGCATCTAATCACAACAAAAGCCTTGAGAATCAATCCAATTTTAGTCAACATCATTATCATCACCATCAACAAATGTTTCTTGAGCATCTAGGACACTAGATGCTGGGAATACAAAGAAGCCAGAACTCCTCTTTCTGCTCTGAGGGGGATTCAACAGAGAGAAAAGGAACAACGCATATTAGAATTCACTCAAAAGGTATTATAAAAGATGGCTGACTAGAGGCATCTGGAACTTGCCTTCTCCACAAATAAGAATCAAAACAGCAAGTAGATAATCATACACCAAATAGATCATCTGAGAACACTGGAATTCAACAGGGGAATGACAGGAAACACCTAAAGCAAGGGAGGAGAGGGAGGCAAGGCAGCCTGCTCGGCTGGATGAGCTGGGAGCGAGGAGAGGCTCCCCAACATGGAGAAAGGTGAGTGAGTGACCCCAAAGGTCCACTGTCCCACCATAGACTCTGCAAGCCACGGACAGTCCCTTGACTCTCATGGACCAAGACTAACATAGGGAGCTGCCTGGAAACCATGAGACAGCATTGCCCCAGAGAGGGAACTCACTCTGGGTCCCACACACACTGTGAGCCTTAAGCAGCCACAGCAAGGTGCCATATCGAGAGCCCAATCTCAACCAGATTGCACCTTGCCCTTGGACCCAACAGCCCCTGCATCTTGAAATCCCTGAAACCTACCCAGAGCCCCCTTCACAGCTGGCTTCTGCTTCCAGAGCTGAAGCCATAAGCAAAGACTCTACTACACCCAGCAGTGAAGCCACAGCATATCTCCATGTACTCCAAGGACAATTCACCTGCCTGTAGGACTGCCACAACCAGGGCACTAGCAAAGTGCATGCTCCCCAGCCGTCTCCATATGGCTGCTGCTGCTGCTGAAAGCAACCCCCCGCCTCCCCAGTAGCAGGGCTGCAGTGAAGCCACTGACTCCCCCACCAGAGAATTCTACCTTGGGCCTGAGGATCACACTGTCCCTGCCTACCACAGTTTGTACACACCATCAGGGGCCCTTAAGACAGTTTTCCCTGGCCCAACAATGTCTTCTCAGTGATCAAGCACTCTGTCCATGGGCCTGGTGATGACCCAGCCCAATTCAATACTGTTGGCACCTGAACACCCCTCCCAGGGGCCTGAGGTCAGGTCCACTCAAACTGCCACGACCACCACAGTGGGCACCCACAAGCACATGCTACCTGCAGACCTGGGGACAAGCCCACTCAGCCCATTGCAGCCACTGCCAAAACTAGCATGAACCGCTTGGGACCCAGAGGTTACTCCCACCACTGTTACTGCCATTGCCCATGTCACACTGGCTGCCCAGGGCCTAAGGACCCACCCACCCACTGAACCCACCACTGCCACTACTGGCACCCAAGCAAGCCACTTGGAGACCTATGAATCAACCCACCTGGACCCGCTAACACCTGTGCTAGCATACGCTGCCCTGGGTCCAAAGGACAGGCACTCTGAGCCTACTGCTGCCAACACTGGGGCCCAAGGACTTTCCCACCTGGTGTCCTGGTCCCAGGCAAAACTTTACTGCAGTCTGCATGAACAACTGTACACTAAGCTACTAAAGAAGTCACAAACACCACTGATGTTCTTTATAGCCAAAGAAATCATAAGAAGACTCCACTGCTGCACACATCCAGAATCAGAGCCAAGTGCCCTACCCCCAACCAACACCACAGGAAAAAGCCCTCCTCTACAAAAACAAATTCAAATAATTGAAAGAAGTGACTGTAACACCAGATATGCAGATATCAATGTAAGGAAAGAAGAAACATGAAAAAGCAAGGAAATATGATGCCTCCGAAGAAACATAATGATTTCCCAGCAACAGATTTCAATCCCAGATAAATCCCAGATAAATAATTCAAAATGATGATATTAAAGAAACTCAGTGAGATACAAGAGAATAACAGAAAAATAATACAAAGGAATCAGAAAAACAATTCATATTGTGAATGAGAAATCTATCAAAGAGATAGATATTATAAAAAAATAACCAAACAGAAATTCTAGAACTGAAGAATTTATTAAGTGATATAAAACACATTCAAAAGAAGGGGCTTCAAGAACGCTGACTAGAAGCATTTCATGCTCACCTTCTCTACTTTGAAAAGAGCCAAAATAATGTATAGACAAGCACACTTTATTCAAGAGAGAACACCAGAATTCAACAGAAAAGTGACAGGAAATACCAAAAGTAAAGAAGCATAAGAAAGAGTGGCAGCCTTATTGGGCGGGATCAGCTGCGAGTGACTTCTCAATGCTGGGAAGGTGGAAATGAGAGACTTCTAGCGGCCCACATCCTCACTATTGAACCATGCAATCCTGGCCACAGGAGATCCCCTCAACCTGCCACCCCAAGCCCTGAAACTAACACAGGGAGCTGCCTGAAGACGGTGGGATGGAACCACTCCAAGGAGGCAGCTTCTGCTGAGACCCACACACTTTCCTAGACCTAAGCAGCTACAGCAAGATGCCTGTTTCTAACCTAGCCTTTGGAAGACTGCATGCTCTCCTGGATCCCGGCAGCACTGGAACAGAAGCATTAGGAAAACTTGGGCTGTTGTTGCTGAGACTGGGACATGAGCTGGGAGAGTGCTTTCATAGCCAGGGTTGAGAAATGAGTGAGGCATGGGCTGTGGCTGCCAGTGCTGAAAAGTGAACACCACCAACACTGAGATTAGTACGCAGTGGGCATGAGTCGCCACTTGGACCTAGTTGCAAGCTGGGCAGGGACTCCTATCACCAGAGCTGAGGTGAGAGCTAGGGGGAAGGTACTGCCACCAGGGCTGGGGCGTGAGCCTCACCAGGACTGGGACATGAGAGGGATGCACACTCCCCACCCACTAGCCCAAGCTGTGGCCACCAAGGGTTGTCCAGCACTCTCCCGTGGCAGGGTCTCAGTGCAGCTGCTATCACCCTTCGCCCAAGCACTTCACCAGGATACTAAGAGACTTGCCCCTGCCAACCATGGCTGGTACCTGCTTTCACCTTTGGGAAGCCTGAGCACATGCCATCCCAGCACAGCTTAGCCATGCCATCTAAAACAGCATATAGCTGGGGGTCCTAGGGATTGCCCAACCAGTCTACCACTTTGGGCACCTTAGCACTCACCCTGGAAGCCTGAGGTTGAGCCTGAACTCCTGGCTGCTACCACATCAGCTGACACCTACCTGCAAGCACCGCCTGTGGTACTGGGGACTGGCCTACCCACCTCATCACAGACACCGCCAACATCAATGCATGCTGCTGGAGACCCAGAGAACATCCCACCACTGCTACTGCCATTGCCCATACCACACCAGCTGCCCAGGGGCCTGAGAACTCACACACCTGCCTGGGGCACTGCTGCCACTACTGGCATCTGAGCAAGCACTTGGAGGCTTGAGAATCAGCCCGCTGGTGACTGCCAATACAGGTGCCAGCACACCCCACCCTGGGACACAAAGATAGGAACATTCAACCCACTGCTGCCAGCAATGGGGCCTGGAGACTGGCCCACCTGGCATCCCAGTCCCCAGCACAACTTCATCACAGCCTCCATAAATAACCACACCCTAACCCACCAAGGAAATTACAGACACCACTAACATTGTTTACAGCCAAAGAAATCATATAAAGACTGTACTACTGCACACACCCAGAATCAAAGCCAAAGCGCCCTACCCAACCAACACTATAGACATGTCTGCAGGAAAAATTTCTTCTCTACGAAGGTAAATTCAAAAATAGAAAGAAATGACTGTTAGACCAGATGCACAGAATATCAACATAAGGACACAAGAAACATGAAAAAGGAAGGAAAAATGGTACCTCCAAAGGAACACAATAATGATACTGCCATAAATCTTAATCAAAAAGAAATTTTATTTTCTTTCCTTTTTTTTTTTTTTTTTTGAGACAGGGTCTCGCTCTGTCACCAAGCCTGGAGTACAGTGGTATGATCATGGTTCACAGCAGGCTCAACCTCCCCAGGCTCAGTTGTTTCTCCCACCTCAGCCTCCTAAGTAGCTGAGACTACAGGCATATGCCACCACGCCCAGCTAATTTTTGTATGTTTTGTAGAGATGGGGTTTCACCATGTTGCCCAGGCTTGTCTCAAACTCTCTGGGCTCAAGCGATCCACCCACCTCAGCTTCCCAAAGTGTTGGGATTATAAAAGTGAGCCACTGCCTGGTCGAGATATTTTTAAATAATCCATTCAGACAAAAATAGAGAAAAAAGAATGAACAATGGCTATAGTTAACAACAGTGTATTGTATATTATATATTTCAAAATATCAAGAAGAGAGGATTTGAAATGTTCCCAACCCAGAAATGATAAGTACTCAAAGTGATGGATACCCCAAACACCCTGAGTGGATCACTACACAGTTTATGCTTGTAACAAAATATCACATGTACCCTGTAAATGTGTACAAATATTTGTATCAGTTTTTTTTTTAAAGGTATTATGGGAGATAGGCTGGGACAGAGAAGGAAAGCCAGGAAGAAGAGACAGCATGAGCAAAAGCATGAAGATCAGAATTCAAAGAGGATGCTGCTAAGGTAAGAAGGATCATCTGTCTGTAGCACAGCGTTCGTGCCAGGGTTGGTATACAGAGGCCTGGAAGATGTTAAGAGACTATGATACTTCATCCTTTGGCACTAGGGAATCACTGAAGGTTCTAGAGTAGGAGAGTGATTTATGCAGAGTGCACTTAGGAAGATCTGCAGTGGGCTTGTGCAGCATGAGACCAGGAGAACTTAGTGTAAGAGGTACTCATTTGGAAATGGTCCCTGGGATAGGTAAGGCAGATACCTATCCCAGATACAGACTTGAGGGTGGCCCATGGGAATGTGAAATAAAGGCCCACTATAGATACCAACAAAAATAAGATGTCCACAATTCCTTTCTATGTGCCTCTAAAATTATCTGTAACTTCCTACTTATCTTTCTACCAGTGACAATAAGACAACAGAAAGACCAGGTTGAAACCCTTCATTTTTCTCTCACTGATCCTATACTTTCAAACAACTTTCCTTTGATTTTGCTTTCCCTTAGTGTAATTTTTCAAATTTTTATGTTTTACCATATTTGAAAAGAGGCCTTGTTTTAAACAATCCCATTTTAATAAGATATCTTCCTAAAGGAGACTTTAGGAAGGCTGTTTATTAAGTTGATATTATCAACCAAATGTGCAGTTCTCTAAACAAAGATGATGATTAATGCAAAAGCAACTACAGGCAATTGAGGTTGGTTTGCTGCCTGGGGCTTTATTCTTTTAACTAGCACTGGAATAACTCTCGTCTCTGAAGGCCAATTACCTCCTCCAAACAATGGCAAAGCCAAATCCATTTAGTTTGGACATCCCCAAGTTATGAATGGGTTGTGTTCTAGAACATGAATTTGTCATTTGAGAGTCAGGCCAAACTTTCCCACAGAGGAAAAAAATGATCCATAGAACAAGCAGTGTAATGGCTCTGCAACAGGCACTTCTAAACCTTTCATGTGGATTATTCCATTTATTCTTCACCACAAATTTTATAAAGTTGGCATGATTATTATTGCTGTTTTTGTGAGGGGGAAACTGGGATGCAGAGTGTAAATATCTTCCCTCAGATTATACAAGTAAGAAATGTCAGCACCAATGGACCCGTGCTCTTGTTTGTTTGTGAGATGGGGTCTCCTTATGTCAACCAGGCTGGAGTGCAGTGGCATGATCCTAGTTCACTGTAGCTTTGACCTCCTGGACTCAAGCAATCCTCCCATTTGTCTCCCAAGTAGCTGAGACCACAGGCGCATGCCACCACACCCCGCTAATTTTTTTTTTTTTTGTAGAAACTACAGACAGAGTCTTGCTATGTTGCCCAGTCTGGTCTCAAACTCCTGGCCTGAAGCAATCCTACCTTGACCTCCCAAAGTGCTGGGATTACAGGTATTAGCCACCACACCCAACCCATGCTCTTAACCAGTGTTTGATCCTGCCTTCTCTGGGGAGTAGGAAGTTTCTAAGTAGGGCCATGCATAGGGTGAGGCAGGCTGAAGCACTTGCCTGGGTGCAGAATTGCAAGCGGCTGCAAAAACACACAAATAAACACAAACCAATTTGGTAGGCCAGCCCCAGTCAGCCTTTTAAGTCTGCAGTGAAGCTTCCCTAACCTCCTCTCACACCACAGGGCTTGGTCAGCCTGGGCCATTCAACATACCCATCTTAAACTCATCAGTGGTCCTCAAACATGAGTTCCAGAATCGCCTGCAGTTCTTGCCCCAACCCAAGAAATTAGGATTTGGTCGGCCCAGGGTGGTTTTTGTACCACTCCCATCTGCAGCTGGCCTCCTGCCATTGACCCTCTGCCTGGCTGCTCAACTGAGATGGAGAGCCAAAACTGGACCAGGAATGAGCAGAGGGATGGTCAGCCTGAGAGCACAGCCACTTGGCCAGAAGAGCAGAGAGGGGGCGAGGAGGGATGAGAAATCAAGGACAGGCTTCTGGGGCAGCACAACCAGGCCAGCTCTGTCCATAGAGAAGGGTAGCACTATTAGTATAGAGAAATCTGGTGGAAAACCATTCAGAATTAGCTAATCTGGAATGGCCCTACAGACCATCTTCTTAAACAAATGCTACTTGCCATTACAATAAAACACACACTATAAAAACTAAGTGCAATGTTTAGATCAAATTTCAAAATCTTTGTTTATCTATTTTTAAGTACTTCTTTGAATAATCAAAGGAATGGTATCTTTATCAACGTTTAACTCTTTCCCATTTTTCAGAGGCAAAAGTAGAAGCACGAAAGTTTAAAAGGCTAGCACATAAACCTAAAAAAATGGCTTGGTCTGGATCAGTAACAGTAGAGACAGAAAGAGCTAGGATATGTTTTAAGGGCAGAGCTAACCAGACTTGCTAATGGATTGATTGTGGGAAGTGAAAGAAAAGGAGAAGTGAAGGTAATTACTGCCAAAGCACATGGAATCTATCCTAAGCCACCAAGAGCTTCTGGAGGCATATGGTTTAGCATTGCATTTAGAGCATGACATTGAAACTTCCACGTCACTTCTCCAAAGATAGCTACACCCCAAAGAGAAAAGTGTTGGTTACTCACTATTATCAAGTATCCACTCGGCGCTAAAATACTGGTAAGGGGCATTGTTAAACATAGCGTACAAGGAATAGAAGGGACAAATCTTTTTCTCTTGAAGATTATTAACTCATAGATGAAGCAGGCAAGAACAAAGATATTCAGCATATGAACAGGACTTTCTCACATGCTTGAGCATTGATGTCAACACATACTCTGATTAATCAAAGAGGCTGATGTGTTTATTGCAGTTTCTTCAGGAATTGTCATTCTAAATAACTGAGACTTGAGTGGACTTTGCAGGATGTTAGTATTCAGATAGGTGGAGAAGTAGAAGGGAAGCACACTTAATCAACTGGATTTCATGAAGCAGGACTTCTGTCAATTCTGTGCTAAATGTAGATGCAACGCATCAAATAAATATAAAGAAATCAATGAAATGAAGCCCCATCAGGATCCTCCAAGCAATTTCTGGGACTCAGGATTTGTGTTCCAGGGCCCTTAGTCTTGCAAGGATATATGGCGATTGGCTGCTAACTCTTATATTTAGCCAAAAACTTGAGTTTTCTGAATCCATAGGGCTTTTTAATGGCCTCTGTTAGTCTTTTTCTCTTCATCTTCTCTAAAAGAAATTAATAATATCTAGAGAAATACTATAAGATTTGGGGTTCTCATTTATAAATTTTCCTTTATGACAAACTAGATGATGCATAGAATTTGTTTTTATACAAGGGTTCTTTCCCGCTGCATGATATTTTCCAGAACGGTATTTGATACATAAAGGTAACATACATAATATACACTTAAAATATAAAACAAATGACATCAAACATTATGACGGCACTTCTAAGCCTAAAACTAGACTGTTGACAACAACTTATATTTATTTCTGCGCTTTTCCCCATCCTCTTGTCCTCCCTTTATCACTGAAGCAGCCACTGCCTGATGTTTTAAAAAATTATTTATGAAGCTATTTTTTTAAGTTTTTATTATCAGACACATGCTTCTGTCTATAAACAACATACAATTTAGTTTTATTTTTGAGCTTTATAAAATGGTATCGTATATGAACCTTCTGAGATGTATGTTTCTGAAATTCAACCATGTACTATGTCATCCAGTCATTTTCTCTGCTGTATGATATTCCATCATGTGAATGTACCTTGATACATGCATTTACTCTTTATACCATGGGAAAAAAAGTATTGTAATCTCTAGTCACTCAAAAGTCCAACCCTGTGTTTTATAATTACAAGATTAGGAAATGATCACAGCTAAAAATATTAATGCATAAAGGGAAGTCAGTTTCACAAGCCCATCATTAGCCTTCATATTTATGTAAGGGCATGCCACTCTGAATGACAGGATCATCAGTCTATTTTATTCTTGAACTGAATTTATGCAGCACCAAAAAGAACAGATGATCTGAATGATGGACTAAATTTTCACTTGTCAAACATGTGTTTTGAATCTTGTAATACAGACAGCAGGGAGGAAAATATAAGAAAGTTACCCTCTAGAGAAGCTACCTAAATAAATTTGCCATCAAAATAAACCAAATGTATAATTGAAAAAATATCTGATGTGTCACCTGCAAGCTTGATACATAAGCATAAACTCTAAGAATAGAGCAAGTAAAAAAAAACTTTGGTAATTATGGGATTGTTTCTAAATTAAAAGTCATTAAATAACTGATCATTCACTGATCTTGGAAATTTTACTTATGCCAATGATAAAGCTAGAGAATAAAAATAATTATCAAATTTTGCAGATTTTATACTCTACATAATTTATACCCATTTATTCCACTGAATCCACTTTAGCAAATGATCAGTTAACTTTTCTTTCTCTCCCTCATGGTTGAAATATGGTTGCAATTTTTATTTTTTACATTTCATTCACTGCAAGGAAAAATACGAATTTATCAACTATTCAATTGCCAAAGAACCCACAGGCCAATGTATGTGGAAGATTTCCTTGCTTCCTGAAAAATGGGTGTCGTATAAACTTTCAGGTCTGGAAGATCTATGCAGTTTATTCTTTTAACCAATGTGAAATAATGGTTAATAACTCAGTAGTTAAGAAACATGGAGAGAGAGAGTAGAATTATGGTTACCAGAAGTTGGGAAGGGCAGTTGGGCAGAGGGATGGGGGTGGGGTGGAGGGGTTGGAGGAGAAGTGGAAATGGTTAATGGATACAAAAAAAAAATAGAAAGAATGAATAAGATCTAGTACTCGATAGCACAATGGGGTGACTATTTCCTTAATTATCTGGATCTTTGATGTATGAATTGGTTATGAGAAAGAATAAACATTGATTGAAAGGCTCTCAATAAATTGCATGGTATTTATATCAGTCGTCATAAATTATAAATGTTGAAAAATGAATCTTGTTAGAAACAGATTGTGAAATACATTTTGAGAGCCTGACATCCTGATACACACACACACACACACACACACACAACCCTGATTAATGAATTGCCTTTTACCTTACTTTTGTTGCCTTAATTTTACAGATAAAGATCTATACAAATTAACTTCTCATATTGCTTCAAAATTACTTACTTCAGTCCCATCATAATTCATTCAAAAAAGGAAAGGAAAGTGAATTGGTATGGATTTCCTGTCCTGTCTCAGGCACCCTATGCAAAGCTTTGCACACATAGTATTTTATTAATGCAAGAGCCCATTTATAGAGGATAAACTGTGGTTCAAAGATCTGCTTGCTGAAGGTCATCCAAGTGTTTAAATGCTAGGAAATAAAGTCTTTTCAATTCCAAAGCCCACATTTGAAATAATTAAGTCCTAATCATTCTGCAATTTCAATTCACCAATCATAATTCAAAATAATTGGGTCACTGGCAGGCCTTGAAAATATTTCAAAATAAAGATCATCTAATATTCTTCAACTAAATAGGAAGACTAAAAAATATATAATTTGTAGGTGGTTTATTAAAAGCTATAACTAACAAATCAGAAAAGCTAAGACTCAAAATGAAGTGAATATTTAAGTTAATAAGACTTTTTAAATGGAGATATTGGGGGTGTGGGGAGAGACAATGTTGGTGGTAATAGTGGCTTTATTTTTGTTTTTTTTAATGTTTTTGCTTGTTTTGATAAAAGCTGTATTGCATCTACCTCACAGATAAAGATTTAATACTAGCAAAGCACAAGAACAAATGTGTTCATTCAACTTCTATTTTACTTCCATCTGCTCTGTCTAAAAGTATTGTTGTCACACTGGGAAAGGTAAAACTAATATTGTTAAGTGGGAATTGAAGCCACAGAAAGGTAAGGAGCTTTTAAATGAGGACCTAGCTGCTCTAAATGAGTTTCAAGCTGGACAAAAAACAAGTACAGGGGATACAGTGAGAACTGATATTGGCAATATTTGAAGAAACAGAGAAAAAGAAAGCATAATCCTCATTCTGATAAAATAGAAGAAGAAAGTGCATTCTACAAAAACCATGTAGTTGAAATGTCCAAAGAGAAATAAAAGGCCTAATGCAATCTACCAACAGCACTAATGGCTGCCTGGGAGGTGACAAAAAGTCAAACCAGTTCCTTTTCCTCCGATTAACTTCACCTTCATGCTTCACAAAGGTAAAAAGGAAGAGGACTGTATGTTCACCTGCTGTTTGAAAAAACAGCAGGGATTTGGAGCAAAGATCCAAAAAATGGTCTGGGTGGAGCATCTGAGACTCTCTGGGAAGTAGCATTGTATGCAGTCAGGCTAAGCAAAAAGGAGGAGGAAGACATAGCCTATGCTCAGAACAGAATAAAGGAAGTGAGGGGTTCCAGTTCTGGCCCCCAAAGAAAAGATGGCTTCCTCCATCCCCTTCCCCCAAGTCCTAGGTACCAGGCTGCAGAGACTTAGCTGGAAGGCAACTAACAGCAGTGACAGCACAGGTGGGACATCTCTGGGGGAAGATTAGTTGTCCAGTGGCACGTGGTTTCTCCTTGAAGCCTCAGCAGGTTCATGCTAGCCTCTACACACATTAGGAATGACCAGGGCTCCATCCCCATGATCTGAATGTGGAGCAAAATAACAACTACCTAATACTGAGGTCATCCCCATGACCTGAATGTGGAGCAAAATAAGTACTACCTACTATGTGTCAGGTACTGCGTCCAGTGCTCATAGTGATCCTGTTATACAAACTCCATTATTCTTTCATTTTACAAATAAGAAAACTGATCTTTAGAAAGCCAACCAACTTGGTCCACATAACACAACTAGTTAATGCCCGTGAGGATCTGAACCATAGTCTACCTGGCCCCAAAGTGGATACTATCCCCTCTACATTTGAAGAAAGAGAGATTTGGATGCACCAGACATCTCTCCCCAACCTTTGACCCATGCTTGGATAGGTTGGGTCATGAGATGGGGGCCCTCATTATGGTATTAATTCCCTTATAAAAAGGAGAGGAGACCAGGCTCTCTCTCTGAGTGCACGCACTGAGAGATGCCATCTGAGGAAGAGGCCCTCGTGGGAACCTGATCACACTGCATCCTGATGTCAGATTTCCAGCCTCCAGGTCTGGGACAAAGAAACTTCTGTTGTTTAAGTCACCTAGTCTATGATATTTTTGTCATGTAACTCAAACTGACTAAGACAGTGACCTAACTAAAAATCAATAGAATCCTGGGTAATGAAATTTTCATGTGGCTAGGAACCCAGAGGCAAGTGCTTTGGATCAGTGAATCACAATTCCGAGAATTCTTGTCACAGGAAATTTAAACCTAATTCTTGGAAAGTCCCAGCCTTTGGCCTAAAGAATTAAATGTATAAGTAAAATAGTGGTATGTGAAAAAGAATTAATAGCTTTTGATGAACTTTTAGGCAATTTAAGACAGTTCAGAGATGTAGCCACAAACAAATTAGTAAATTCTTAAGCCCTAATAGTAGAAATGATAATATCTAAAAAAAGAAAATGACATTTCCAATTCTTTCTTCAGCATATAGCTGAAGTACTGTGTGTCATCCTCAGTGCCAAAGGTTAGGAGTAATACTCCCAAATGGAAGTATGTCCATAGTGCACTTCATTCATCCATTCAAGAAACATTTATTGAGTACCTCCTATGTTTTGATCAGTATTAGGATAAATTGGAATGAATTCCTACTAAGAGTGCAGTGAATAGGAAAGAAATAGTCACTTGCTAACTTACTGTAATACTGTTTTTAAAATGAGTAGTTATCTTTTAGAAATGCATACTGAACCTTTTAATAAGATGATATGATGTCTGAAATTTGCCTCAAAATAATCTGAGGAAATGGAGGGAGTGGTGAGGGGATAGCCAAAGCAATGTTGGTCATGAGTTGATAAGTTGAATATGTGGCAGGGTTACATGAGGATTCTTTATACTATTTGGCCTTTTTTGTATATTGTTTGTAATTTTTTATTAAAAAAATGCTTACTACTCTAATAGAGTATATAGTATAAAGGGGGAAAAATAAACAAAGGCATAGTCGGGCTGGCTGCGGTGGCTCACGCCTGTAATCCCAAGACTTTGGGAGGCCAAGGCGGGTGGATCATGGAGTCAGGAGATTGAGACCATCCTGGCCAATATGGTGAAACCCCATCTCTACTAAAAATACAAAAATTAGCCAGGCGTGGTGGTGTGTGCCTGTAATCCCAGCTACTCAGGAGTCTGAGGCAGGAGAATCACTTGAACCTAGGAGGCGGAGTTTGCAGTGAGCAGAGATAGTGCCACTGCACTCCAGCCTGGGCAACAGAGCGAGATTCCTTCTCAAAAACAAAACAAAACAAACAAACAAACAAAAACATAGTCCCAACAATGGAGAGCATTAAGAAGTAAAAAATACAGGTGCTCTGAAATTCATAACAGGGAGACCCAACTGTATTGAGGGACAGTCAGAAAACACTTCCCTGAAAAGGTGGCTGTATTAGGCCATTCTTACATTGCTATAAAGAAATACTCAAGACTGGGGGATTTATAAAGAAAAGAGGTTTAATTGGCTCACAGTTCTGCAGGTTGTACAGGAATCGTGATGCTGGCATCTGCTTGGCTTCTGGGCAGGCCTCAGGAAACTTACAATCATGGCAGAAGGTGAAAGGGGAGCTAGCAAGTCACATGGGGAAACCAGGAGCAAGAGAGTGAGGGGGGAGGTGCTACACACTTAAATGACCAGATCTCACAAGAATTCACTCACTATCACAACAACAGTACCAAGGGGACAGTACTAAACAACTCCTGAGAAAATCTGCCCCATCATCCAATCACCTCCCACCAGTCACCACTTCCAACACTGGGGATTCTAATTCAACATGAGATTTGGGTGGGGACACAGATCCAAACCACATCAGTGTCATACAGCTGGGGCCTGAGTAAAAGTAACATTGGCCAAATGAATGCAGAGGGAATTGGAAAGAAAAGACTGTTTCAGTCAGGGGGGGACACATGTCTGAAGGCCCAAAAGCAAAGGAGAGAACACCCTGTTCAAGGAACTGAAAGAAGTCTGTCATGATTGAGATCAGGAAAGAAATGAGAATAGAGATAAAATACAAGGCTGAGAAGTCAACAGAGAGCCATATAGCTATGGGATAGGGTTTACATTTTGTTCTAGAACAACAGGATGCCATTAATTTATTTTCCACCACAGAGTGACAGAATCAAATTCGTAGCTTTAAAGTATCGCTCTCTGGCTTCAGGGTGGAGAATTGACCAGAATGTGGCATCGAGAGATAGGGAATGATGATGCAGGGACTATTGTGTTAGCCTAGACCAGAGACGATGGCAGCTTGGACTACAGTGGTAGCCATGGTAGCCCTGAGTAAGGAGAGTAGCTGGTAGATTCAAGAGATACTGAAGATATAGAGACAACAAAACCAAGTAAAAGACTGCATGGGGATAGGGGTGAAGGAAAGAGGAGGGGCAAGGATAAACCTCATATTTCAAGTGCCTGGGTTGCTATGGTCTGAAGGTTTGTGTTCCTCCAAAACTCATATGTTGAAATTCTGACCTCCAAGGTAATGGTATTAGGAAGTGAAGGTGATTAGGTCATGAGGGTGGAACTCTCTTATATGGGATTAGTGTTCTTATAAAAGAGGCCGCCTGAGGGAGCTGGTTTGCCCTTTTGCTGTGAGGACCAGCAAGAAGATGCCATTTATGAACCAGCAAGTGGGTCCTCACCAGACACCAAACCTGCCACTTCCTTGATGTTGGACTTCTCAGCCTCCAGAACTGTTAGAACTAAATTTCTTTTGTTTATAAGCCACCTAGTCTATAGTATTTTGTTATAGCAGACCTGACAGACTAAGACATGCATGCATGGCTGCTATCATTTATTGAGCCCCCAAACACTGACCAAAATACAGGCTTAGAAGGGAAGAGAATGGAGAGTTTGAAGCCATAGGAATAGATGAGAAGGTCCAGGAAAGGAGTGTAGAGTGAACACAGAAAGCGGCCTGTGGCAGGAAGCAGAGTGGTGAGGAATCTTACATTAATAGCTTATAAGAAGGAAACACAAAGTGACATCAGAGCAAAATTCTCATAGGTATAGGGCCTTAATTTAAAAGAAAGATTAGACTGTCCATACGTGTCCTGAAGGCCAATTGAGGACAACAGTTTAAAGTCTGGGAAGTGTATTTAGATTTACCATAAGGAAGAATTTTCTAAAAGCTCAAGTTCCCCAAACTGGAATGAGTTGTTTAAGCACAATCATAATCACTTTCTATGTTACTTCATTTAATTTTCGAATCCTGTCAGGTAGGTGTTCCTGTCCTCATTCTGCAAATGAGAAAATTGAGTGGCAAGGAGAATATGTAATTCATTCAAGAACACACAGCTAATAAGTGTTAACATTGGAATTTGAAATTAAGCCCTCAGTCTTATAGTCTTTCCATCCACTACTCTGAAAAGAAAGCTAAATTTCATAATTCTGAGGGTCTGCAATCTAAAATGTGGTGAAAAATGTGACTCCCTTTAGAAGGGCTGCTATATACAATCATTCACTCCCAATCTTTCAACTCTAAGTAAAGTACAGATGAAGCACTTGAAAAAGCAGGTTTTTATTCACATACATATGTATTTTGTTATTTTACTTTAAGCCCTGGGATACATGGGCAGAACGTGCAGGTTTGTTACATAGGTATACATGTGCCATAGTGGTTTGCTGCACCGATCAACCTGTCATCCAAGTTTTTTTTTTTTTTTTTTTTTTTTTTTTTGAGACGGAGTCTCGCTCTGTCGCCCAGGCTGGAGTGCAGTGGCGCGATCTCGGCTCACTGCAAGCTCCGCCTCCCGGGTTCACGCCATTCTCCTGCCTCAGCCTCCCGAGTAGCTGGGACTACAGGCGCCCGCTACCACGCCCGGCTAATTTTTTGTATTTTTAGTAGAGACGGGGTTTCACCGTGTTAGCCAGGATGGTCTCGATCTCCTGACCTCGTGATCCGCCCGCCTCGGCCTCCCAAAGTGCTGGGATTACAGGCGTGAGCCACCGCGCCCGGCCTCATCCAAGTTTTAAGCCCCACATGCATTAGGTATCGTCCTAATGCTCTCCCTCCCCTTGCCCCACACCCCCCAACAGACCCCAGTGTGTGATGTTCCCCTCCCTGTGTCCATGTGTTCTCATTGTTCAACTTCCACTTATGAGTGACAATATGCAGTGTTTGGTTTTCTGTTCCTGTCTTAGTTTCACATAAATATTTCTTTCTGCTGTGCATGTGTGTGTGTGTGTGTGTGTGTGTAAAGCTTTTGCTAAAACTACTTTGGATATTGAGGATAAAGATTCGACACTTTCAGTACGCAAATCTCTGACATTCTATATGAGAATGTAACTGAAAGTATGCTACAAAGTCATTTGATGTAAAATTAAAGGAAAAATTTAGTAACAACAAATCGGATGTATATAAAATTAACAGGAAAACATTACTGTCAGGCTACCAGGCTTTTGGGGTTGCTCCTCCAGCAAGGAGCTTAAAGTTCCATGTGGCATTTGTAGGGGTGGGTGCACAACTTTGATAATGTATGAGATGAATTCCATGGTGTTTCTGCTTAATGCTGGAGAACTGCCAACCTGATTTCAAGGGAGCATTGGCACATGGAGTCTGACTCATGCTGAGAGCTGAAAATTATAACCTTTCAGTAGCACATTAGTCTTCATTTCCCAATTTATGTAGCATTTTGAGACTGCAAGGCATTTTTATGGCATACATATGTTACTATAGTTACATAAAAGTCACATTTCATTGTAAAGCAAAGATGGATGATAGATAGCCTGTCATTCTCCATTCCCCCAGAGAAAGTAGAACGTGGAGTATGGGCTTACCAATATAATTTGAGATAGCAATTGAAGTGAGATAAAGAGTAGTTTAGTGTGTATCAGAATACTAAATGGGAATCAAGAGGCAGAGATGTATTCCTAAAATTCATGATGTAACCTTGAACATGTTAATTTTTTACTATTCTTATTCCTTTCTGATAAAACGAGAATGATATTCACATCTTATCTATCTCATGGGGATGTTCCAGTGCTGTGGATGAGACCAGAGAAAAGGGAAACAGCAGACGATGAAGGTTTCTGCCCCTTTCCATCTGTCAAATCGCTCATCATGATAATAAATTTCTCTTCCATGTTTCTATGGTTCTGAGCTCATGCCTTGTATTATAGTGTTTTCTCAATGATTGTATGTGTTGCTTTTATAATGATTCTTATTAATGAGCTTTGTGTTTTAATTTGGAAGGAAAAAACAAGTCCTAGCCGTGATCAGTTTATAAACAGGGGTTATAGGGAAAAATAAATCCTGCAGGTAGCTGATGCACAAATTCATTGAACTCCCTGATACCATTGGGTAAGACTATGCCCAAATTGTTCCAAGCTAGTGAGTCTGTGAACAACACAGTTGGTGCCCCCCCAACCCCTCAGTTCTTACCACTTCCTTGCTTATACACTGTCTTCTCACGCACGCACTCCCCAGTCCTTAGGGGACCAAAGACAGTTAGTGCTTTTATCTCTAGACCTCCATGTTCTCCTTAAAGACCTTTATAAGGAGGTAGGGAGCAGCTATGGAACTGAAAAAAATCATTCCTTTAGGTGGAAATAATCTAAAAGTGAATGCATACAGAAAAGCAAGGTTATGATCATAATAGGTAATATTTATTCAGCATATCTGTAAACCAGATCCTCTGTAAAGTGCTTTAGATACATCATTTTATTTTATTCTCATGGCAACTTTATGAAATAGGATTGTTATCTCCATTTTACTGATGAGACAACAGAACCATGAAGGGGTCATACAGTTTGGAAGAGTCAGGGTTTGGGCATGACTGCGTTGTGATTCCATGCGTGCATTTTCCCCATGCTACATAGACTCCCTGCAATAAAATAAAGCAGCTTTTGTACATCTAGTAGCCTCGGCTTCTAGTTTGTAGCATATACCAACTGGTGCAAGCCCCAAAATCAGAACCATTACAAAGCCTGAGAAAGAACTAAAATTGTGACAGCAGCAGGAAAATATCTTAATAAATGCAGCTCGTAATTACCAGACCTCCAGACATCACCTGTGCTGCACCGCTGGCTGTAAAGCAAACAATCCAAGTTTACCCAACATGAGTAAATTGCTGAAAGTGCAAAAAACACAGGGAAATCACAACAGTGTTCGACACAAAGTCTTCCTTTTGGCTGCAAATATGCATACCTCAAGAAAATAGATAGGGATAAAAATAAAGTGAGCCACCGAAAGCATGATCCATCAAAGAAAAAATTGGTAAACTGGACTTAATCAAAGGTAACATAAAACAAAAAGCAAAACTTTTTCTCTGTGAAATATCCTGTAAAGAGGATGAAAAGACAAGCTACAGACTAGAAGAAAATATTTGCAAACCACACATCCAGTAAAGAAGTTGTATCTTTCAAAACTCAACAGTGAAAAAAGCGAACAATTAGAAATAAATAATTAGAAAAGGAGCAAAAGACATGAAAAGCTAGTTCACTGAGGAGGTTATACAGGCAGCAAATAAGCACATGAAAAGATGTTTAACATCTTTGACCACTAGGGAAATGCAAATTAAAATGCAATATCACCACATACCTATCAAAGGGGATAAAACAAAAAATAGCGATAACTCCAAATGCTGGTGAGAATGTGGAGGAAACAAATCACTCATATGTTGCTGATGGGAATATAAAATTGTACAGCCACTCTTAAAAAAAGAGTATAGCAGTTTCTTACAAAACTAATTATGCAATTACCGTGTGACCTAGCAATTTTACAATCTTGGGCATTTATCCCAGAGTAATGAAAACTTACGTTAGTACTAAAACCTATGCATAGATGTTCACAGAAGCTTTATTTATGGTTATCACGAGTTAAGGAGTGGCTGGGAGGGAAATGGCTGTGGCAATAAAAAGTAGTCCCAGGGTTCCTTGGGACAGAACTGTTCTTTATCTTGATCGCGGTAGTCCTACCATTCCAAACATGTGGTAAAATTGCGTAGAACAAAATACACACACACACACACACACACACACGAGTGCATGTAAAACTACTGAAATCTGAACAAGGCCAGTGAGTTGTAACAATGTTAATTTCCTGTTTGTGATGTTATGCTATAATTATGCAAGATGTTGGCTGGGCGTGGTGGCTCATGCCTGTAATCCCAGCACTTTGGGAGGCCGAGGCAGGCGGATCACCTGAGGTCAGGAGTTCAAGACCAGCCTGGCCAACATGGTGAAACCCTTTATCTACTAAAAATACAAAAATCAGCCAGGCGTGGTGGCACACACCTGTAATCCCAGCTACTTGGGAGACTGAGGCAGGAGAATTGCTTCAACCTGGGAGGTAGAGGTTGCAGTGAGCCAAGATTGTGCCACTGCACTTCAGCCTGGGTGACAGAGCAAGACTCTGTCTCAAAAAAAAAAAAAAAAGAAAAATATATTACCAGTGGGAGAAGCTGGGAAGCAACATATGAACTCTCTTTGTAGTATTTCTTACAAGTATATGTAAATCTAAAATTAAAAGTTTTAAAATTTTAAATTGTATTTAGTAAAATTTAAAAGTGAAATTGGAATATAGGAATGTTTATGTTTGCTCATATAGATTAAATTATAGTTTTACCTTTACAAAATGATGTATAGGTAACTTATTTACATTTTTGGTGCCAAGGTTTATCTTTTTTTTTTTTTTTGGTAAATAGAGCAAGGAGATACAGCAGTAAATTAAAGCATATTTGGATCTTCCACAAGAACTTTTAGTTTTTCATGTCTTACATGTCAACAGGGTATAGGGGAAAGAGTCCAGTCCTAGTAATCAGGAGCCCTAGGTTCTGATTCTGTTTTTGCCTCTTTCTAGCCTAGGCCAGGTTTGACCTTTAGTAATAATACAACACAAACATCATTTCCTTTAGAACATCGGTATTTGAAATGTCCATCCTTACTGAACATTCTTACAGTATCTTAATTTAACTTATAGAAGGCAAGGACAGCTTTTTCTTACATTTCTCCTCCTGAATTCATGTGCCATGATTGAACTTTCTCTTTGTTTATAAATATATGGAGGACCTTAATCTAAATTCATAGAACTTTAGATATCTGTTCAAGTAGCAAAATATTCCCAAACCAGTACCTCTCAGATCTCCTAGGAAACCTCAGTTCTTATCTGTACTGCTGATGTTTTGGTAGAACAAACTTCTCCCAATAACTCACTCCCTCTTCAGCCAAATTAAAACTTAGATTTATTCCAAATGACTGTGACGTGTCATTAGAGGAATATTTACTAGCTATGTGCATTTGACCTAACTCTACCTTTCAACAAGATCATACAATGATTGACTTAGCCAAGGAAATGCATGCCAGCATGGTCTCAGAATTTCTCTTTTTCTTTGGTTTCTATCTTGACCAAAAAGTTATGAGGCTTTAGAAATGTCAGACTTTGTCTTTGTCTTGCAACTAATGTAGCTGAGTTCACATTCTAATACATAACTGACTGATACATTTTTTGTCTCTTGGGACAGTGAGGTAATATGATGGAATGTTGGGGGTACATATTCTAGTGTGGAGACCCCATCCTCCATATGTTTAGTTTATTACTTTAAATCAGGCAAGCCCTAAGGAGCTTTGGAAGATGGGATGGTCATCCCTAGCAGACACAGGTAATAGAAAGAGGATCAAGTAGGAATCTCTTTAGATTATTGTTCCAAGAGAAGGTTTTGACAAAAATAGTTTATAGCAAATATTCTGTAAGATAAGAAAAGCTTTGGATTTGGCCAAATACCATTTGAAACTTATAAAATAGGAAGTCATTGGTACAAGGTGATCTTTAAAAGAAATTCTACAGGTCAAACAGAATGAAGTTAAGTGTTACAGACTGAGTGTTTCTGTCCCCCAAACTTCATATGCTGAAGCCCTAACCCTCAATGTGATGGTATTTGGGGGTGGAGCCTTTGGAATGTAAGTAGATTTGGATAAAGTCATGACAGTGGGGCACCCATGATGGGTTTAGTGTCCTTATAAGACGAGAAAGAGACCCCAGCTTGCTCAAGAGCTCTCACTCTCTCTCTCTCTCTCTCTCTCTCTCTCTCTCTCCCCCTGCCATCTGAGGACACAGCAAGAAGGCAGCCATCTGCAGGCCAGGAAGAGAGCTTGCCCATGCTGGCACCCTGATCTGGGACTTTTCCTGTCACTGGAACTGAAAAATAAATACATGTTGCATAAGCCACCCAGCCTGTGTGTTTGGTTGTGGGAGCCCAAGCTGACTAAGAGCAAGACTATGCTGGACCATATAAATGGGCAAGATTTTAGAGCTATCTTCATAAAGGGAATTGGACTACTGAGTCACCTCTTAGGGTTTAAAGTCACATTAGCTCAAAATTTGAAGCAGCCTGTACAAAGAAAAAGAACTCACTTCAGAGACTAATGGGTCCTTGTCAGACAATAAGTAGAAATATTTATCACCATATGAAGTTATTTACCTCTAAAAATAAATGAGTAAATAAATACACAGGTGTTTCCATGATACTGAATCCACTACGTAAGTCAAGGACCCTTTGGGATGAATATTTCCTTGGCACAGCCTTCCTTAGGTTCTCAATGCTTTATGAGGCGAAGAGCAGAGGTAGGCAGTGCTATGGGGAAGGTGCCTATGCAAATAGACATTTCTAGTGATTCTTGCCTAATCCTCCTCTCATCACTGCAGCCACCACTCCCCCACTACCACATCAGAATAACAGCTCAGAAACATTTAAAAACAGGTGAGGAATCAAGTGGAAAAGGAAAAGAAAAGTTTCCTGGCATCATGTCTTTTTCTGGGGCCTCCACAGTTGGAAGTGGTGCGGCACCACCCCGCTCCCTCATCCCATGTCAGCACTATCCCTCTTGCCTCAGGACCAGATTCAAAGCACTCTGTGGAGTCAGTTTCCCTTTTGGGTTTTGTTATTGTGGTTGTTGTTGTTTTGTATTATATTGTTCTTGTTGCTTGTTTGAGCACAGGGTCTCACTTTGTCACCATCCAGGCTGGAGTGCAATGGCACAACCATAGCTTCAGCCCCTGGAGCTAGCTGGGACCACAGGAGCATGCCACCATGCCCAGCTAATTTAATTTTGTTTTGTTTTGTTTTTTGTTTTGTTTTGAAGAGATGAGGTTTTGCTCCATTGCCCAGGCTGGTCTTGAACTCCTGGGCTCAAGCAATCCTCCTGCCTCAGTCCCCAAAGTGCAAGGATTACAGGCATGAGCCACCACTCCAGACTTATTTCCCAGTCAAGCTCCTTAGGGCTTGCCTGATTTAAAGTAATAAACTAAGCATATGGAGGATGGGGTCTCCACAATAGAATGTGTACCCCCAACATTCCAACATATTACCTCACTGTCCAAGAGACAAAAAAATTGTATCAGTCAGTTATGTATTAGAATGTGAACTCAGCTACATTAGTTGCAAGACAGAGATCCCAAGAGGAAAGGAAGCCTTTGGTAAGAGTTTGTGTCATGAGCTCCTGCAGCACACCCCAAGAGTTCCTCTTTACAGGGCAATCATGAAGTCTCTGGGTTTTAAGTACCATACCGTCTCCTTAGGAACACCTTGACGATAATAACCTTCCAGTGAGGAAGGTTCCCCACCTTCCCTCTCTTACCTCTGATACCACCTCTGAGCCCATTCACTGCCTTTGACTTCATTTCATCCATTAAAGCTACTAATGCCAATTTGTCCAGAATAGCATACTAACCTGAATGTAGACCAGGTCCTGAATACATAGATCAGGGCCAAGCAAACTATGGCCCTCTTGCCAAATCTGGCCTACCATATATTTTTATCAGTAAAGTTTTATTGGAATACTGCCATGTCCATTTGTATTATATCTGCTTGACTTCATGCTACAAAGGCAGAGATGAGTAGTTGTAACAAAGACCACATGGCCCATAAAGCTTAAAATATTTACTATCTGATATTTATAGAAAACATTTGCTATCCCCTGGTATAGATAGTCATCTTTGTTTGGGCTGCTATAACAAAATATCACAAACTAAGTGGCTTAGAAACAACAGAAATATAAAAATTTATTTCTCATAATTCTAGAAGCAGGAAAGTCCAACATCAAGCCATCAGCAGATTCAATGTCTGCTGAGGGTCTGCCTTTTTTTTTATTTTTGTTTTTATTTCATTTTTATTTATTTATTTATTTGAGACAGAGTCTCGCTCTGTAGCCCAGGCTGGAGTGCAGTGGCGCGATCTCGGCTCACCACAACCTCCGCCTCCCGGGTTCAAGCCATTCTCCTGCCTCAGCCTCCCTAGTAGCTGGGATTACAGGCATGTGCCACCATGCTCAGCTAATTTTTTTGTATTTTTAGTAGAGATGGGGTTTCTCTATGTTGGTCAGGCTGGTCTCGAACTCCCAACCTCAGGTGATCCGCCCACCTCAGATCCCAAAATGCTGGGATTACAGGTGTGAGCCACCATGCCTGGCCAAGGGCCTGCTTTATAGATGGTGCCTTCTTGGTGTCCTCACATGGGAAGGGGTGAGGGGTCTCTCTTGAGTCTCTTTTATAAGGAGATTAATCCGATGCATGAGGTCTCCCCCTCATTACCCAATTATCCCCAAAGGCCCCACTTCCCACTTCCTCATACTATCACGTTGGGGATAAGGATTTTGACATATGAATTTGGGGGAAGGAGGACATTAGCATCCAGACCATAGCAATAGTAAAAGTAAGAAAATGAAACACGCACACACACACACACACACACACACACACACACACACACACATTGTGTACTTAGCTATTTAAAGCTCCTTTCATATACATAACCCTATTGGAAAATCTCAACACACTTTCTTTGGTTTTCCTACAATAGTCTTGAGTAAGAAAAAGTAATTATTTTTTTAATATTGAAATAAGCACATGGCTTTAGCACAGTAAATGATAATAATCCATTTACTGTCAGTTTTCACATATTCTACTTGCTAGAAAGGGCAAATGGTAATCACGTTATTAACAATTGTTGGCCTACTGAGGTCTGGAGTAAAATTAATCATAGATAATTTAACTAGCAATTCTCCCCCTCATGCTAGGGACATGGCCACAAGAGCAGGAGGGCACAGGGAACTGGAGTCTTCTTATGCTGCTGGCTTCAGGCCTTTGAGAAAAGCCCTATGTGAGAGCCACTATAGATGAAAATCACTCATTTCCTATCACATGTCTTCAATGTCTTGTGCATTGAAATCTTTTTATTTTGAGATGGTTTGGGCTTTTTAGTCCATTTGGGCTAACAACATGTCTTAGATTGCACGGCTTATAAATAACAGAAATTTATCGCTCACAATTATGGAGGCTGGGAAGCCCAAAATCAAGGTGCCAGCAGATTTCAGTGTCTGGTGAGAGCCCGCTTTCCCTTTCATCAATGGCACCCTCTCCCTGCATCTCCTGCATCCCCACAAGGTGAAAGGGGTAAACCAGCTCACTCAGGCCTCTTTTATAATGACACTAATCCCATTCATGAGGGCTCCATTCTCTTGGACTAATCACTTCCCAAATGCTCCACCTCCTAATACCATCACCTTGGGGGTTAGGATTTCAACATATGCATTTGGGGGAAAACATAAACATTTGGACCATAGTAGATGGTTTTAAATTTTTCTTCCTTGAGTTTTTTGATACTTTTAAATTTTTTAAGGTAAACATATTATCTCTGTAATCAGAAAAAATTTGCTATTTAAAAATAAACTATACAAAAGGCCCATTAATTTCACATACACCATTTAGATTATCTACATAACATCCCACAAAGCTAATCTTCTGGAAAAAAAAAAAAAAAAAACACACAGCCATTAAAAAGTAACTGTGGGCCAGGCACGGTGGCTCACACCTGTAATCCCAGCACTTTGGGAGATCGAGGTGGGCAGATCACAAGGTCAGGAGTTTGAGACCAGCCTGACCAACATGGTGAAACCCCCACCTCTACTAAAAATACAAAAATTAGCCGGGATGGTGGTGCATGCCTGTAGTCCCAGATACTCAGGAGTCTGAGGCAGGAGAATCTCTTGAACCTGGGAGGCGGAGGTGGAGGTGGCAATGAGCCGAGATCATGCCACTGCGTTCCAGCCTTGGCAACAGAGCAAGACTCCGTCTCAAAAAAAAAAAAAAAAAAAAAAACCCGTGACTGTGTCCATGGACATAGAAAGTAGAAGGATGGCTACCAAAGGCTGGGAAGGGTAGCGAGGTGCTGGGGAGAAGGTGGGGATTGTAAATGGGCACAAAAGAAAAGATGAATTAGACCTATCATTTGATAGCACAACAGGGTGACTAGAGTCAATAATAACTTAATTATATATTTAAAAATAATTTAAAGAATGTAATTGGATTGTTTGTAACTCAGAGGATAAATGCTTCAGGGGATGGATACCCCATTCTCCATGATGTGCTTATTTCACATTGTGTGCCTGTATCAAAACATCTCATATAACCTATGAATATGTACACCTACTATGTACCCACAAAAATTTTAAAAAGTGGCCGGGTGCGGTGGCTCACGCCTGTAATCCCAGCACTTTGGGAGGCTGAGGCGGGTGGATCATGAGGTCAAGAGATCGAGACCATCCTGGCTAACACTGTGAAACCCTGTCTCTACTAAAAATACAAAAATTCAGCCAGGTGTGGTGGCAGGTGCCTGTAGTCTCAGCTACTCAGGAGGCTGAGGCAGGATAATCGCTTGAACCCGGGAGGCAGAGGTTGCAGTGAGCTGAGATCATGCCACTGCACTCCAGCCTGGGTGACAGAACGAGACTCCGTCTCAAAAAAAAAATTTTTTTTAAAGTGACTGTGTTGCCATATACACTATTCTAGAGGTATCAGTTGGTGGCCTGTTAGGAATCAGGCTGTACAACAGGAGATGAGCGGCAGGCAAGTGAGCAAAGCTTCATCCTCATTTATGGTTGCTCCCCATCACTTGCATTACTACCTGAACTCTACCTCCTATCAGATCAGTGGCATTGGATCCTCATAGAAGCCTGAACCCTGTTGTGAACTGCACATGTGAGGGAGCTAGGCTGCACACTCCTCATGAGAATCTAATGCCTGATAATCTGTCATTGTTTCCCCTGTGCCTCCGAGATGGGACCATCTAGTTGTAGGAAAACAAGCTCAGGACTCCCACTGATTCTACATGGAGAGTCGTATAATTACTTCATTCTATATTGCAATGTAAAAATGATAGAAATAAAGTACACAATGAATGTAATGTGCTTGAATCATCTGGAAACCATCCCTCCTCCCCCGGTCTGAGGAAAATTGTCTTCCACTAAAACTGGCCCCTGGTGCCAGAAAGGTTGGGGACTGCTGCGGTATTCCATGGCCACCTAAATATTTCATGTATATCGCGGGATAGTCGTCCCCAGGGCTCAGCTGTAAAATCTAATACATGAGCTCCCCAGCCTTCTCTTGGCAGAGAATGCACTTTTAAAAACATACACCTTATTTTTAAGGCTGGGCGCTGTGGCTCATATCTGTAATCCCAACATTTTGGGAGGCCGAGGCAGGCAGATCACTTGAGATCAGGAGTTCAAGACCAGCCTGGCCAACATAGTGAAACCCCGTCTCTACTGAAAATACAAAAACTAGCTGGGCGTGGTGGCATGCACCTATAATCCCAGCTACTTGGGAGGCTGAGGCAGGAGAATCACTTGAACCCAGGAGGCGGAAGTTGCAGTGAGCCTAAATCGCACCACTGCACTCCAGCCTGGGTGACAGAGTGAGACTCTGTCTAAAATAAATAAATAAATAAACAAAAATTAAATAAATGAAAATCAAAAACATACACTTTTAGAATAGATTTTACTTCTAGATTTACCCAAAAAAATGAGAAGATAATACAAAGAGTTCCTCTATGCCCATCCCACACAGTTTCAATTAACATCTTACATTATAGCCTATCTGTTACAATTAATGAGCTAATGTCGATAAATTATTAAAGTCAAAAGTGCAGTAAGGCTGGCATGGTGGCTCACACCTGTAATCCTAGCACTCTGAGAGGCCAAGGCAGGCGGATTGCTTGAGCTCAGGAGTTTGAGACCAGCCTGAGCAACATGGCAAAATTCTGTCTCTACAAAAAATACAAAACTTAGCTAGGCATGGTGGTGCACTCCTGGAGTCCCAGCTACTTGGGAGGCTGAGGTGGGAGAATCACTTGAGCCCAGGAGTTCGAGGGTGCAATGAGCCAAGATTGTGCCACTGAACTCCCAAAGTGAGACCCTGTCTCAAAAAAAAAAAAAAAAAAAAAAAAAGAATCAATAGTACAATACATTCAAGACTTCCTGATGCCCTATTTCTCTTCCAGGATCTCATCTAGAATCTCACATTACCTTTAGTGGTCATGTCCCCTTAGGGTCTTCTTGGCTGTGACAGTTTTTTAGTCTTTCCTTATTGTTAATGATCTGGACAGTTTTGGGGAATCTTGATCAGATATATTGTAGGATGCCCTCACTATTGGGATTTGTCTGATGTTTTTCTCATGATTAGACTAGAGTTACAGGTTTTAGGGGAGGAAGATCACATAGATAAGTGAAACTTTCATCACATCACATTAAAGGCACATACTATTGATATGACTGTTAATGTTTACCTTGGTCAATTGGCTAAAGTAATATTTGTCAGATTTCTCCACTGTAAAGCTACTCTTCTTTTCCCCTCTCCCTTTCAATACTGTGCTCTTCAGAAGGAAGTCACTATGCACAGTCCACATTTAAGGAGTGGGAGTTATGTGCCACCTCTCCTAAGGCAATTTTACCTACATACATTTGCCTACATAAATTTTTTTGAATTCTTCCACATAGGAGATTTGTCTCTTCTTCCCCATTTATTAACTTATTCAATCATTCACTCTAATCAATATGGGCTTGTGGATATTTTTCTTACACTTTGGGTTATAATAGGATGTACTTTTACAAAGATATAAAATATTAAAATACAGTGTTCCAGAAAAACCACAAGAGCTATGATCCAAGCCCTGCCTGTGCTGCTGAAATAATCGATGTCATTTATTGGGACAATCTGTTTCCATGTCCAGCTCTGTCCCTCTGGGGATAGTTCTCCTGCTATGAAAAATAAAAAAGATTAAAAGTTAAATGCTGAGCCCAGTCTTTCTCATTCCAGCCATACCTGACTTGTGGCTTCTGTCTGCAATACTCATTTAAGAAATACTTGCAAAATGATCAGTCCATGAAACAGTGAGTCCCTAAATCTCTTAAAAGTGCTATTTGCTGTCCAATAAGGCAGTAAAGAACATTTTCCCTAGGATGTACTGTGGTTCAGACAGAAGCCCTGATTTTGCATAGAGCTCTTTCTCTTTTATTTCTTCACACACAACAATTGGAAAATTGACTTTCCCAGGAAAAAGGAGGGAGGCACATTTTTGTGCCTGTAATTGAACGTCAATGTTGAACTAAGAATCTCTCACATGACATAATAAAATTCATATCAAAGCATATTTAGATTTTTAGTTTATTGTTTAAAAAAACAAAGGTCTTTTGAACCCAAGGGAGGCATTCCCAACAAAGCACTCCTCTAAGAGAAGGTCAAGCATCGTGGGCAGGAATAGCACTGTTTTTCTGTATTCCTTCAGTACCCACGTACAATAGATGATAAATAAATACATGTGAGTTAATTAACTAATTGGAAGAACCCAGGCTCCTGCATCAGGAGGCCCACGTACCTGTCCATGACCTGGCTGTCTGTGCTGGAATCACTTTGTGATTCTGTGGCTCAGATTTTTTTTAGCAGGGGTAGGAGAGGCTGTTCATTCCAACTATCAAAAAGCAAAAACACTGCACATACTTTGTACTGGAAATTCTTAGGCTTCAAAATACGTTCCAGGAAACCGACTGAGAAAATGTCACTGCTGGGTGAAAGTAGCCAGATTGATTATAATTGTGTGACAGTCACGGAAAATAGTTACACCACCATTGCTAGAAACTTCCACAATTGCTCCTGAGATGAAAAGGGGCAGTGACAATAAAGAATAAAGCTGTTCCTCATAGCCATTTTTCTAGACCAAGCCAGATTTCAGCAAGATTAAGAATTAAACAATTTGTGTTTTTCTATTTTCTCCCCGCTTTTTATGTAATTTTTACCTTTTAAAATAAACTCTTATTACAGGAACAAAACACATGTAGTGTAGAAAATAATGAAGTAGAAGTAAGTATAGCTTTAAAAATAAAAACATCACATTTCTGCCTTGCAGAGAACACCATTGTTAACAGCTTACTGCCTGTCATTCTGTGTTGTTTTCTATGTATACGTGTACATATTATTTGTGTTTAACTGAAATGAGGTCATATACTATTTTATTGCCTATTTTTTTCAGTCATTGATCTCTATTATTTTAACTAATATCCAGACAATATTCAGATTTTCTAATTGACCCCCAAATGCCTTTTAGCTGGTTTTTTTCAAACCAATATCCCACTTAGGACAATGAGGGCATTGCACTTTTTCATTTTTCCTTTTTAGTCTGTTTTAATCTAGTTCATTCACCCAGACTTGTGAAATAGATAGTTTCAATGATCCTGGAGAACGTTCCTTCTTCGGGGTTTGGATTTGTCCTTGCTGCTGTCTTACAGTGTTGTTTAGCCATTCCTGTTCAGTCTAAAGGCTCAATGGGCTTAAGCAACATCACATCAGAAGACACATCATATCTTAGCACAAGTTGATGATGCGGAGCCTGGCCCCTGGATCAATGTGATGATGGTCTAATATCATGTTGTACTTTTACTTTGTGCAAGTTTTCCCCCTGCATCTGAGCATGTATCTGTGTGGTATAACTTTGCCACTATAGAAATGTTCCATTCTCCTTCAGCTAGCCACCTAATGATTTTTTTTTCTTTTTTTTGAGATGGAGTCTTCACTCTGTTGCCCTGGCTGGTTTGCAGTGGCCCGATCTCGGCTCACTGCAACCTCTGCCTCCCAGATTCAAGCGTTTCTCCTGCCTCAGCCTCCTGAGGATTACAGGTGCAGGCCACCATGCCCAGCTAATTTTTGTATTTTTAGTAAAGACAGGTCTTACCATGTCGGCCATGGCTGGTCTCGAACTCCTGACCTCAGATGACCCACCCACCTCGGCCTCCCAAAGTGCTGGGATTGCAATGAGCCACCGCACCTGGCCCACCTAATGATTTTTAACACAAATTGATCATGCATGCCCAGAGGAATACTCTCACTATGATTTCCAAAACCATATTTTCCTTTTTCTTCCCTTTTTTGCATATTAAAATTATCTATCTCCCTTTGAGCATCCCAACTGTTTCCAGCCACTTGTGGATTCTCAAGTTACCATATCAATGGTCTCTTGAGCCTTCCAGCTAGGATGGACACATATGAATGTATAAGCTTCCACATTGTTAGCATGAGGGAGTTAACTCTGCTCACATCTTCATGAACTATCACCCCAGTGCCTCCCTGTTTTGTAAAGACGCTACTTGAAATGTCATTCATATGTAAGGGCAACTGAGATAGGGGCATTAACTTCCTAAGTGGGATCATGATTTGGATTTTGGAAATACACATGCTTTTGTAGTGTTTTGCACATATTAATAGAAAGCATTCAAAAACTGGTCTTTTTTTTCCTTGTATGTTTTATTGTTCCCCACTCTCTGTTCCCCATCACTGCTTCACCTTCATGTTGCCATGAGATCTAGTAGGAAGGGGCTGACCCTATCTAAGTCAAGATCACTTGCTCCTATCATTTGTTCTGTTTGGCCTTCATAACCAAAGAACACATGACTATTGGAGCAACAGCTTCCTGAAATTCTTGAACTATGGATGCTGGAAATGAAAGAACATGCTTTGATTGACTTTGTCTTGTGTATCAGGCATTCTGTTAAGAACATAATTCTGAAACACCAATTTATGGGTAAAGAAAACTGAGGACAGAGATATTAAGATTCTTGCCCCATGCTTCAGACATTTAGTTGTCTATTGGCTACATTACCCCACTCCTCCCCTGCCGGCAAAGTTCACCTCTCACTCTAGAGACTAAATACGTCACAGCTAGGGCATAAGCATGTGACTCATTCAGGCCATAGTATGCAAGAACAAATCTTCAAGGGGCTTCTGAGATATGCTTCTCTTCCTCATAAAAAGGAGTGTATAAGAAACTACCTCTCCTCACTTTTTTTCCTTTTGCTTTTCATTGTGATTGTGTGAGACAGTGATGCTTGGTGCTATGGCAGCCATCTTGTTACCATAGGACAATATGTTTGATGACAAAAGCCAGCATACCGACGATGGCAGAGCAGAAAGATAGAACTTGAATACTTGCTGGCATCAATTGAAACAGAACTTGAGTATCTGATGGCATCAACTACTAGCCTCAGAATTGCCCTGAGTTCCACCTTGCTTTTACATGAGATAGTAAATATCATCCAAACATCCTAACTAACACACCTAGGAAATCAAGGAGTAAGGGTGTGAGTCCCACTGTGTTTCCTATGAAAACAGGAGTTTCAATTTCCTAGTTCTCCTTGTTTGTTTCTAGATTGTAGAATATTCAAAGGAGATTCAAAGAGACTGATGCCCCTGCCACGTTCTACCCAGCTGCCCCCAAATATGTGGCCTGATGCTTAGCTCTTCACTTATCATTGAACTAGGTCTTATTTTACAATGGTTTGGTCTGTGACTTACTGGCTGATGTTGGCCCCAAGTCCACCCCTCCATCAAGACTTGAACATGTCCTTAAGATCCAGCTCTGGGAAAGGCATCTCAAGCACTAAACCTCCTCTTCTGCCTGCAAGGGTCAATGTAAGAGCCTGGACCTAATTGCTGCCTGGTAGTCCAAGTTAAATAAAAAGTAAATGCTAGGCAAATACTCTGTCTTCAGAGCATGCTGCCTGTGTGGCAACATTTCTGCTAATAGACTCCAGCCATCAGCCATCTGTCCATCTTGATATACTGTGCATTGCAGATGAGAAGGAATGTTCCTTTCCCCTGCAGTATTGCATGTTGATATTTTCCTTCAGGGAAATACCTGAATTTCATATCACTCACCTCATTAAAATTTACCTTGCATAGAACTAATGTAATATGTACTTTTTTTTTTCTTTTGAGACAGAGTCTCACTCTGTTGCCAGACTGGAGTGAAGTGGCACAACCTCCGCCTTCTGGGTTCAAGCGATTCTCCTGCCTCAGCCTCCCGAGTAGCTGGGACTACAGGTATGCACCACCACGCCCAGCTAATTTTTGTATTTTTAGTAGAGACAGGGTTTCACCATATTGGTCAGGATGGTCTCCATCTCTTGACGTCGTGATGCACCTTGGCCTCCCAAAGTGCTTGGATTACAGGCATGAGCCACCGCGCCCAGCCAATATGTACTTTTATAATAAAAATAAAGTCACAAATAAAAGCTTAAATTGCTTCCTTAGCGGAATTATACTTTTAAGGCCTGCCATTGCCTTAACTGGAAGGAGAGATTCACACAGAACTACAGGTGCTTACGCCACCTAGTGGGAAGAAATTTTTATTTCGGAGGGTTTTTCTATGCCACTTACATCCCTTGTGCACACAGGCCCGCGCGCGCGCACACACACACACAGTCACCAGGTGTGATGGCAGCCCACGAGCCTTATCAAAAAGGTGAATGTTGGGGCCAAGAGCAGACAGGACTTCACTGTGTTGCCTCTGATCCAGGAGGCTGCATAGGCAGAAGCTGTGTCTGTTTTTACTTAATATCTGAAATTGCCGGTACACTCTGACTCTGGGAGGAAGGGGGAAGCTACAATACAGAAAACCATTAACTTTGGGGACTGAAGGAGGGGACGTAAGTTGTTTGACCCTGCTAGTTATAATCATTGTTCTTTGCCTTTATTGGAATAAGTAAATATAATCCTGTAGGTAAATGTGCATTTCTTGACATCTTGGATCTCCATTCTGCGTCAGGGGACCCCCAGCTCACTTGTCAGATGAGGAACGGTGAGTAAGGCTGAGCTCAGCCAAAAGTCATGAAATCAGAGAAACTTGTCCCCAGAACCCTGCAGTCTACCGCTTTTGGCTCTCCTTTCTCCTCTCAGTTCTAAGCCTACTGTTAAATTAAGGTTAGCCTAAAGCTGCCTCCTTACATATTTTAAGTTTGGCCTAAAGCTTTCCCCATAAATAGTAAACTGTAACCCAACTGGGTGTGTAAACAGATTGAAACCTACTCTAATACCAATCACCAAGTTTCAGCCACTCACAGGCCAGCTGTTCAAACTGTGTTCAAATAAGGCAAACGCCAAGCTGTAATCAATCTGGCTGTTTCTGTACCTCATTTCCATTTTCTGTACATACGTTTCCTCTTTCTGTCTGTAAATCATCTCGACCATGCAGCAGCATGGAGACTTTCTGAACTTGTTCTTGTTCAGGGACAACCCAATTCACAAATCGTTCTTTGCTATCTACCCAGGCAAGTCTCTTGCACACTGACCATTTTCTCCCCAGTAGTCACTATTCAAACATCCCCTCAGCTAAACCTTGGGGAAATGTCCACAACGATGGGATGAGAGCTTCGTGTGTTATTCTTCCGAAGTCTTCTCATGGGCCCAGAGCACAATGCCTTATCCCAGAAATGAAGACTGCATCGTGAAATCTCAAAACGGGAGGAGAGAGAAGGATGATTGGATCATGGCTATCCAGCTGTTCCTCAGAATGTTTGTTTGGCCTATACTGAACGCAGCGAAAACATTAATGTTACCAGAAAAGGAGCCCGATCCAGACCCCAAGAGAGGGTTCTTGGATCTCATGCAAGAAAGAATTTGGGTTGAGTCCATAAAGTGAAAGCAAGTTTATTAAGAAAGTAAAGGAATAAAAGAATGGCTTCTCCATAGCCAGAGCAGCCCCAAGGGATGTTGGTTGGCTGCTTTTATGGTTATTTCGTGATCACATGCTAAACAAGGGGTGGATTATTCATGAGTTTTCCAGAAAAAAAAGCAGGTACTTCCTGGAACTGTGGGTTCCTCCCCGTTTTACGCCCTATTGGGTAGCTTCCGGATGTTGCCATGGCATTTGTAAACTGTCATGGTGCTGGTGGGAGTGGCTTTTAGCATGCTAATGTATTAAAGTTAGCATATAATGAGCAGTGAGGATGAACAGAAGTCACTTTCATTACCCAAAAGTGGGGTTTGCCTGGCTTCTTTACTGCATCCTATTTTATCAGTAAGGTCTTTGTGACCTGTATCTTGTGATACCCATCCTGCTGACCACCTAGCTCATCCTGTGACTAAGAATGCCTAACTTCCTGAGAATGCAGCCCAGCAGGTCCCAGCCTCATTTTACCCAACCCTTATTCCAAACGGAGTCACTCAGGTTCAAATGCCTCTGATATTAACACTCCAAATAATGCCATAGAAGTGTTAGCTATTATCATCATCACCATCACCGTCATCATCAGGGCCAGGGATAGAGTCAGGCATGTGAGGCGCTCACTTTCAGAGTCAATTTTCATCCCCACCTGCCTTACCCTCTTTCCAGCACTGACTGTCATCATCAATGAAGAGTTAGTAGCTCCCAGGCCCTGTTATAAGGCTGTTATATATTATTAATTCATTTAATGAGAAGAGGAAACAGCCACAGAAATCTCACCAATAGACATTCTGCCCAAGTTACACAGTGAAAGAAGGGTAAACCTTGGATTTTAACTGGTTTAACAATAGTTACACAGGTCTTACACAGGTCTCTTAAGTTTCTGACACTTGGAGACTCAGGGACTCAAGATATTGATTTTATTCATCACTCTGAGTACAAGCACCTCTTGGCAAAAATCTGATGACATATTTTAAGTAGGAAATTGCAAGATAAAGTAGTCAATTGTTAACGGTGGTAAGTTAGTCAACTGTTGGTGGGAGTGTAAATTAGTTCAACCACTGTGGAAAGCAGTATGGTGATTCCTCAAAGAGCTAAAAGCAGAACTGCCACTCGACCCAGCAATCCCATTACCGGGTATATACCCAGAGGAATATAAAGCATTCTGCCATAAAGACACATGCACGCGAATGTTCGCCGCAGCACTATTCACAATAACAAAGACATGGAATCAACCTAAATGTTCATCAGTGACAGACAAGAAAACGTGGTTCATATACACTGTGGAATATTATGCAGCCATGAAAAATGAGATCATGTCTTTTGTGGGAACAGGATAGAGCTGGAGGCTATCATCCTTAGCAAGCAGGAATAGAAAACCAAATACCGTGTGTTCTCACATATGGGTGGGAGGTAAATAAGAAGAACTCATGAACACAAAGAAGGAAACAACAGACACTGGGGTGTTATTGAGTGGGGAGGGAGGGAGAGGAGCAGAAAAGGGAACTATTGGGTACTGAGCTTAGTACCAGGGTGATGTATTAATATGTACAACAAACCACCGTGACACACGTGTTTATCTACGTAACAAACTTTCGCAGGTACCCCATACCTAAAATAAAAATTAAAAAAAAAAAAAGAATCTGCCAGTGACCACAAGCAAATCAAACAGCCTCTCCATACCAGTAAGCAAATTGCAAACTCACACACCTTTGGCGCAGGAACAAATGATAAGGGAATTAAGGAGTACAGGTGTAGAATAACAGGGAAGTGCATAAAGTTACTCACAGTAAAAATTACTGGGACACGGATCTTGGCAAAACCTCTGTACAATCTGTCCGTTTTCTAACACTATATTCAACCAATGCTGGCCAAAGCAACATGTCTGTTGATAAAATTCAGCTGCAGATGGGGTTGTGGATCCAATGAAGTGAGCACGGTTTCCAGGAGGTATTATCAATGGCCAGGAGCTAATTCCTAACTTGGAGCAGCTGAAAACAATCACTCCCCATTTTACAGTAACAGCACACAGAGATGCCAAGTTCTCTGGCTGAGCCGAGTCATCTGTGGAAAGTAGACACAATTCAATCTAAATAATAGAGAACAGCGGCAGCCTGGATTGATGTTTCTGCATGACTCTCTGCTTAGTTCAAATTGGAGCCATTACCTCGTTGGATTTCTCAGCAGGCGGTTTAGCCTATAGGAGACATTCCCTATCCAGTAACAAATCTCATTTCTTCTCAGGCTGAAGGAGATAACAAAAGCCAGATGGCCCTTCAAGACTGTTCATGATGCTCAATGAGCCCAAGATGGATGCGGCCCATTTCTAGACTTTTTTCAGCTGAACCACAAGGTGGTGCCAAAGTACAGAAAATGCTGCTTCAGCCTGCAGGTGTCACCAACTGTGAGGAAGGCAAAAGGAAAGAAAAGACCATTATCTCACTTCGCTGAATAAAAAAGAAAATGCAAGTCTAGGAGGGCCTAACAAGGCCTCAGCACACAGCAAATCCCCACTTATCCTTAGTAAATTCGGGTGCCTGAGTTTCAGGAGGCTGCAGGTAAATTGAGTCTAAAAATTCAAAGGAGCTTAAAAGAGCAATTAAGCCTTTGGTTTGGTAATGAAGGCAGCACTAAGCCATAGGCCAGATAATTAGTGTAATGGAGCTCAGTGCTGAAAGAGCTACTGTGTCTCATTGTAAATTCTGCACCTGTTAAGGGCTGCGTGGGTTTACAGGTGGGCTAATCAAAGAAGAAAACCACAGACAGATCCTGCAGAAAATTCCAGGCAACTGGAAGGTCACCTCCCCCAAAATCCAGGGAGCACAGAGGGCTGCTTTTCTCACAATCCTTCCTACTAGACCTGTGTTGTGCAATACGGTAACCACAGGTGGCAGGCTCTAAACTGAAAATACACACTGGATTTCAGCAACAACAAAAAGAGTGAAATCGCTCATTAATCAGTTGGATATTAGTTACATGTTGAGATAACATTTTGGACCTACTGAGTAAGACAAATGCCAAATTTAATTTCCCTTGTTTCTTTTTACTTTTATTCTTTGTCTCCTAAGTATGTTTCATTACATAGATATTGCTCTCATTATATTTCCATGGGATATTGCTTCTCAAAGAGCATATCATTGGTAAAATATGGAAATACTTCCACACCAATGGGATGCTTACACTGCCCTGGGCCTCAGCCCCTTACTATGTCCCACTGCCTCGGCTGCTCAATCCCTCAGAGCCGTGCAGCGCCTGCCACCCAGCCAGCTTGACGGAGGCCCCTCATTCCCTCACATCCATCCCACCACTCCCAGGATGGGCCTGGACCCAAAAGAGAATGCCCTATTCCCATCTGGCATGTCTTAGTCACACTGCCCTGGCTGTGGGTAAGAAACAGCCTTTGCAGTGACTCTAACAATTGTTAAATATTTGGTATTTGTTGTTGTTGCTTTTTTTGAGACAGGGTCTAACTCACTCTGTCACCCAGGCTGGAGCGAGTGCAGTGGTGCTATTTCCACCCCCCAGGCTCAAGCAATCCTCCCACCTCAGCCTCCTGAGTATCTGGGACTACAGGCATGAGCCACCACGCCCAGCTAATTTTTGTAATTTTTGTAGAGACGAGGTTTCACCATGTTGCCCAGGCTGATCTCAAACTCCTGGGCTCTAGCAATCCTCCCACGTCAGCCTCCCTGTGCTGTGGGATTACAGGCATGAGCCACCGCACCTGGCCAGTTGTCAACTATTTCAAATATCACTCACACCTATGAAGTTTGCACTTATCTCTGCCATGACATTTCTCAACTTGTATCCTAATTGTATATTGGTCTCCTCAGGAAGCATATGAGCTCATGGGTGGCAGGACAAACCTTGACCAGCCTTATTCCCCCTGCTTCCAGTCCTGTTAAGCACTTATACATGTGTGTACTGTGCATATGTACTTTGTGTATTTGTTGGTTGAAGATGAGTAATAGAAAGACACCAATGCAGGGTCAAGAGGCCACACAGCATCCTTTGATCCTGGGGCTCTACAGACCATGTTGCCTCTCACATTCAACAAGGAGACTGACTTCTCCAAAAAGATACTGAGATCAATTTTTCCCTTGGGGTTAGGCTATTTGGGAAGAACAGAGAGCAGGAAATCTATGAAGGGTTTACACAGTGAAGAAAGATAGAATCTGACAGGGTGCGGTTGCTCACGCCTGTAATCCTAACACTGGGAGGCTGAGGCGGGCGAATCATGAGGTCAAGAGAACAAGACCACCCTGGCCAACATAATGAAACTCCATGTCTACTAAAAATACAAAAATTAGCTGGGTGTGATGGCACACACCTGTAGTCCCAGCTACTTGGGAGGCTGAGGCAGAAGAATCACCTGAACCCGGGAGGCAGAAGTTGCACTGAGCCAAGATCACACCACTGCACTCCAGCCTGGCAACAGAGTGAGACTCTGTCTCCAAAAAAAAAAAAAAACCTAGAATTTATTTTGTCAGGAATCTGACATTTGGCATCAAATGACCCAAGTTGCATTCATCCTGTGCTTCGAGGTCTCAATTTGATCTGGCTTTTCAAATCCTCATTTATTCTGTTTCTTATTTGAATATGTTTATTTCTCTCCAAGCTCTCACTTGAATCAAAAGTTGTAAGATACAAGGTAGGTACATTTTCTCCGCTCTAGGATTGAAGGTCTCACATAACCCTTACAACAGGCCTCGGGAAGGAGGCCAGTGGAAGAAGAGCTGTTCACCAGCGAGGACCGCCCCTTGTCCGTTTGAAAGGAGAAGGCACTGGATTACTCTGTGCCCTGGGGGAGACCTAATGTGTCAGCAAACCACAGGTAAGGATTTCATTGACAGAAGATTAAAGATTGAGCTCAGCTCTCTAAGCCTGACTCCTGTGTTGCTAACAGAGAGCATGGAGGGAAATGGCTTGCCCATCCAAATGTGTAGCACTTGGTGAAATTTCCTGGGTTCCCAGGTGTTTCCACTAATCAAGGAGGCGGGGACAGCAGACACCAACTCACTGTAGGAAAAGTAGATGACTTTATAAAGTGCCTTCCTAAGAGTAAAGACCCAGACCACAGCCAGTCTCCCAGCTATCCTTGATTGAAGGTTCACAAAGTGCCAAGCTCTGTGCTAAGGAGTTTCCAAACCTTACCTCAATCATCATTCCAAATGAAAAGATAAGTACTATTATTGATCGCTAATTTGTAGATGAGAAAACTGACACTCAGAGAGAGGAATCAACTTGCTTAATGTTATACAGCAAACAGGTTCTAAGAGCTTCCCCGATCTGTCCGAATTCAAAGTCCAGGAATTTAATCACTACAAAATGCCACTCCTCATACATGAGAAATGTTGATTACTCAAGAAAAGACTTCACAACATTAGCTCAGCAGAAAGGTTGGGCTCACCAGCCCCTCTCCATATATACAACTTCGGGGGAGGCACTGAGGTTCTGCCTGGCACTGGTATGGGCACAGCTAACACTTGACTCTTCTTTAGACTCAAGTGGCTGCCTTGGGGGCTGCTTTGCTGAGAATAATAGCTGTCAATCAATTATGTGCAAGAAGGACACCGCTGTGATCACCTACTGTTGATAGGTACAGAAGGGAGGGGGAGAGAGAAAGTTTGTTGAGGTGCACATATATACCTTATATAACCTTCATAACATAGAAAGGAGGGGCCGGAGGCTCAGTAAGGTAAATGACTTGAAATTGTCACATAGCTAGCTAGTAAAAAGTAAAGAAAGGATTTAACCTAGGATTATCAATCTCCAAAGTAAGAGACTGCTTCTCCCCATGAGACAGAGTAGGGGCCCCCCTAAGGGGCCAACTGAGCCTCTCCAACATGGAAATAAAAGAAAATCTTGAGTTTCTTCGAGGGAAATTCTAGGTACCTCACTAGCCTTAAGAAGTAAGTGAGCAATTTGATAAGCAAGAAGGTGACTGTAGCTTAAAACAATGACCATCCAAATAAGTTAGAGCCATGAGATGTTTGGTTCCCTATGGAAACTAAAGATAATATCTTCACCTAAGTCTCCGACTTGTTTTTCACACCTGAACCCCTACCAGATGGAAAACGCCAACTGCTGTCACACAGACTTCAGATAAGGGGAAACTGAGGACTGAATTCTGACCACTGCTTCTTGTTCTAAATTTCTTCCTAGGCAGCCTGGAGAAAGTCATGCCAACAAGCCAGAACTTAGCATTCCTTTCTGTTAACCCCAAGTTTTTAGATGAAACTTCACTTCCTTCACCAATCGCAAATCGGAGGATTTTTGAATCCACCTATTATCTGTAAGCACCCACTTCAATGGATAACCTCCATGTATTAATTTATTATTTTTGCCTGTAACTTCTGCTTTTCTGAAACTTACCTCTGCCTTCAAAAATTCTTACTTGTGGCCAGGCACGGTGGCTCATGCCTGTAATCCCAGCACTTTGGAAGGCTGAGGTGGGTGGTTCACTTGAGCCCAGGAGTTCAAAACCAGGCTGAGCAATGTGGCAAAGCTCCATCTCTACTAAAAATGCAAAAATTAGCCAAGTGTGGTGGCACACGACTGTAATCTTAGCTACTTGAGAGGCTGAGGCATGAGAATTGCTTGAATCCAGGAGGCAGAGTTTGCAGTGAACAGAGATCATGCCACTGCACTCCAGCCTGGGCAACAGAGCAAGACTCTGTCTCAAAAAATTACAAAAAAAAAACCTTGCTTGTAAGCTATCGGGGAGGTCAGATCTTGGGCATGAGCTACCCAATTGTCCTTGCTTGGAGCCCTGCAAATAAATGTCCTCCCTTATCTTGCTGTAAAACCTCAGTGTGAATGTTTGGCTTTACTGTACTGGGCTAATGGAACCTAGTTAGATTCAGTAACACCCAGAGTGGATGAGATACCTTTTCAAGGTTCTTCTGAACCATATGATCATGCAACTTCAGGAGAAATTCAGATGCTAAAAAGAATTTGAAATTACAGTGCCTAGGAAAAGGTAGGTACTCCTCATTAATTAAATGTCATATTCCCTTCCCTCTCTGTTAGGATAGCCTTTTTGTATATAATACTGATTGTATTTGTACTAGTTAAAAATACTGACGGAAATACAATCAGTGAAAGGGTTCTGAGATTCTTTTTCCTTAGAGTCATGAAGCAAAAGAGGCAACGGAAGTTGATTTGGACCCTACTATGATCAAACATTGTATGAAATACAGGTTAGTGACTAAAGCAGACATCAACCCCACCTATTCTAGCTAGTGATCTGGAAGAAGCCAGACACTCAGATTTCTTCCGCCTTAATCTCTCACCAACAATTTATATAGAAGCCTTATTGAGTCTTCCTTCTAAATCTCTTCCCAAACATCCTCTCCTCTATCATAATTCAAGCATGCATCATCTAGACTTTGGCCATCTATGTCCTCCCTGCCTCTAGTCTTGCCCCCTGCCATTTACCAGCTTCTCAAGGTTACAGCCAGAAGGCTATTTCTAAAATGCAAATTGGGTCATGTCACTCCTTTGCTCAAAATTATTTCATGAAGAATGAAGTGAAAACTGAAAGTTTCTTAAAACAAAAAAAATGTATATCTACCTCATAACCCAGTAGGTCTAAGTATTTTTACCAAATTGTGGTATATTTATAGCATAGCATATGACTCAACATTTTAGAAAAGCTGAAAACATAACAGTATGGATTATGGGTACCAGATTTAGCAAATAAAATAAAAATTTTGCATGAAACCTACTTTTGCTAAAAAATTATTTGGAGTTTATCTGAAATTCAAATTTAACTGGGAATCCTATATTTTATCTGGAAAACTTAACATGGATAAATCTTCAAAATATTATGCTAAGCAAATGAAGTCAGACACAGAAGAGTAGATCCTAAATGATTCCTTTTGTATGAAGTTCATGGGCAGGAAAAAGTCATACTTACTGATAGAAATTAGAGCAGTGGATGCCTCTGGGAAGTGAGGATTGAGTGGAGGGAGACTAAGGGGCATTTCTAGGGTAATGAAAATGTTGGTGGGGAGGGTGTATACACAGGTATATACATTTAATAAAACTTGTCAACTTGTACTCTTTATTTTGCCTCAATGTTTAAAACTCGTAAAATAACCCCACACTATCCTCAATGGATTCTCAACCCCTGAACTTTTGAATATAGTACACTGTTTCTTCCTTATCTTGCCATTCTTATGCATAGGTCTTCCTCTCCTCCCATTATCCTTAGTGAGTCCTTCTGACCAAGTATGATGAAACCCTTACTCATCACTTCAGCCTACCCCTGGCTCTACCTTCTGTAAGCTGAAGACTTGCTAGAGAGGTTTAGACCTCCCTCTCTTCTCCGGTCCCTGGTACCTTGCAACCCACCTCCATGACAGCACTATCCCATTGCATTATTGTCATTGTTTGTGCTACACTAAACTGTAAGTTCCTCATTAAGGCAGGGACCTTTCTTCTTTGTGTTAATGCAGTACAATGCAAGGCACCTAGCAACCATCCATGAATGAACAAAACAATCACTCACTCCAACTTCTCTGCTTAATACCCTACCTAGAAGCTCCAAATGTTCATTTAATTTTTATTTCAAATACAATATTAAGTACATATGCACTTATATTTAAAAAGTAGAATGGTCAGAAGAGAATGAAGGACAAATCTTCTGTATACCTTATTCGCACAGTTACCTTTACCAGAAGCAACCACTATTTAAATTTTCTTCTATACCATTCCAGAAAATTTCTATGCACAGCTAGCATCTTTTGTGTGTGCATATATGTACATATTTATATATTTCTCCTATTTACATAAAGAGGAGATACTGTGCTACTTCTTTTCTATTTTCCACTCTCCATTCCCGGTCTATTTTAGGTCCTATTCTTTGTCCCCAGAAATGACCCCTACATACCTTATACTCCTTGCTGGCTAGTTTCCATTTGAGGTTGTCCAGTGAGAGAATGAAAGGGGGTTGGAGAGTGAGAGGAGAGAGAAACTTGGGTATCTCCTCTTCCCCACTTTAGCTGCATGCTCCTGGTAGTAGCTGCATCCCTTCACAACTTCAGCTTGTGTGCGGGATCTACTTCAGTCTCTAGCACCTTCAGCACCTTTGGCCCCAGGGATGTGCCTTAGATTAGGTTCCCTGGAAACAAACTGAGATGGAGAGGTGTGTGCAGATAGCTTATTGAAGGGTGCTTTATTTTAGTAAGGAAAGGAGGAAAGCAGGATTGGCTGGGAGGAGAAGCTAACCTGAAATGCAGTTCAATGAGGCCTCAGCTGATGCTACAGGGAACTTCTGGATGGCCCTTCAGAATTGTCCCAAATTGAGACAAGGGGGTGGGCTTTCATATCCCTGAATTGGACAGTCATTGGCCATGGCCACCCCAAGCAAAAGTGCAACCTGGGCAAGACTGTCCCCTGTGGTGGCTGAGGGAATTCTAGAGAGGGGTCAGCTGTGAGCAAACAACAGCTGATATTCTCAGCCCTTGTGGATGCTGTGTCAGCCCTGAAAAGGAGATCAGGTGGAGCAGCACAGTGTCCACTGTGATAATGGCTTCCCACTGGTGCTAGTGTCTGAGTGTCTTAACGTGCCCTGCCCACACTTCCGTTCATTGTCCATTGATGAAAGCTCAACATTTGAACCATCTGGGGCAAATTCTGTTTCCTGATGGGATCCTGACTGATACACACACACACACACACACACACACACATACGCACACACACACACTGTTTCACTTAATAGATCCTGAAGCACACTCTATAATAGCGCATCTCAGTGTCTCTTATTCTGTCTATTGGCTGCATGGCAGTTCAGTATCAATATAATATATCTTTATTAAGCCTTCTAGTCTTAGACATTGAGGTTGTTCCCAGCTTCAGTCTTATAAACAATGCTGTGATAAGCATTTGTGTTCATCTTTGCACACATCTAAAAAATTGGTATAAATTTATTTTTTGTGGGTTTTTTGTTGTTATTGTTTGTTTGTTTGAGACAGAGTCTCACTCAGTCACCCAGGCTGGAATGCAGTGACATGATCTCAGCTCACCACAACATCCACTTCCCCAGCTCAAGTGATCCTTTTACCTCAGCCTCTTTGGTAGCTGGGACTATAGGCATGTGCCACCAGGCCTGGCTAATTTTTAAATTTTTTGTAGAGATGGGGTTTTACCATGTTGGCCAGGCTGGTCTTGAACACATGGGCTGAAGCCATCCACCTGCCTCAGCCTCCCAAAGTGCTGGGAAGTAAAAATTCTTCATATTGCGACTACTGCATCAAAGGGTATATACATTCAGATTTCGGTAGATATTGCCAAATTGTCTATGAATAATTTACTCTGACACCTGTCATCATGGCATGTGAGAGTGACTGTATCACCACATATTTCCCAAAAGTGTGTTCACCACTTAGAGCAACCTGTTTGATTTAAGAGCTCCCAAGCACACACTTCTACCACTCCACATGCCTCCTTTGGAAATACACTTATTGCCGGATTGGAGGAAGACCACTCATAGATGATGTGTGACCTCACCACCCATTTTCCCCACAGTCATTTTGCCTTTCCTTCATGTAGACTATTACATGATACTTGGCCCTCAGAGGTAATTAATGGAGTAATTTCTATCTGTCCTCTCTTCTGTCTGAGTTCAAGATGGCTTTATAATTCCATGAAATGTCTACAAATAGCAAACCAGAAGTTAACCTGGAATAATGAAATCTGTCATATATAAATGCAATGCACCTTACTGTGTAATCAGTAATCAGGCCAGTGCCTCACATTCAGCAGACTCTGCTGACACTGAATGTGTGTGTGCTGCTTGAGAATACTAGCAAATACTCCTTGATAACCTTTTTGAAGCCATTGTAACATCTTAAGGGAAAAACATGAGCTTTCAGAAAAAAAATTAGGTTTATTAATTCTGTCAGCTCAGTTCCAAATTTCCCCTTAATACCCTCCCATTTATGCATAACACAGAGACATGTTTCATTTGCTTTGACTAGGAATATTAGCTTGTGAATTACACTCTCTAAAATTAAGTTCTGGAATGTTCTTGGAAATGGAAGAGAAGTTAGATAATTTCAGAAACACAAAATGAAAGGCCACCTATTGGGTTACATTGTAACTTTATCTAATCCTTTAATCTCTTAATTTTAAAAAGAGCTACACTGGATTTTAATAGAAGTAAATGTCATCCAGTAAAATCTGATAGGCTTGTCACCTCCCTTAAAACTTTGAGCCATAACCTGAGAAAAACAGAGCATCTGCAAGGGTCAAAAGAGGAGAGAGCTCAGGCTGGACTCCATGGCTTCCAGACACCAAGGCAGATCAAGCAGCCCCAGGTTGTTGATATATCACACTGAAGACTAAATACCATCCTTTCTTCCCTTCCTGTTATAAGGAAGACATCACACAGAAAAGCAGCTCTAGCCAAGAACAATAGGACTGAGCTAGCCAGTAGAACTGGACTCAGTGGGAACAACAGGAGACAGGTGGTCAGAAGTCCTGGGTGTGCATCCCAGCTCCATGCCCTAAGACAATTCCTCAGCCACTGGAATCTTCAGTTTTCTCCTTCATAAAATAGTGATTTCATCATCTGCCTGGCCTACATCACACTGTTGTTATGAGGATCAGATGAGATGATGAATAATAAAGCACTTTATAAACCAGGCAGTGCTGTAAAATCAAAGGAGGTGATACTTTATAACCTCATCCACAGCAACTGCCACCCAGTAGGTCCAACCAGAATGCCTTGCCCCAACTTACTGCACAGGTGGAGAGGACTTTCATAAGGAAGATGGCTAGGGATCACCCTTTAGTCAGACAGATGTTTCAAGTTATTTTTCCAGAACTGTGCATGTGACTCATCCACTTTCTCTCAAGGTAATTGCCATAGGAGAGTATCAAGAATGATCAAAGCCAGGAATTCATTTTTGGCCATGAGACAAACCAAAACAAATAAATCTCACATAGGGATGGAAACAGAAATTTTGGGCAAATGAGCATCATGCTCAATCATCTTTATGTTTTCAACAGAGTTTATGTTTTCATCATACACAAGAATAAACTACTTAAGAATTATTTGTATAGATGATTTCCAATCACTTTCCCCCAATTCTCTGTTGAACCCATTCTAATGAGACATTTGTGTGCTGGCTACTCCTGCAAACTACTTATCAAGATCACCAAATGATCTCCACGCTGTTGAAGCCAGTGATCAGTGTGCAGCCCTTACCTTACTTGATCCATCAGCATCATTTAACACAGCTCATCACTTCCTCTTTCTTGAATCACTTTCTTCACTTGGCTGTAGAGACATTATTCTCTCCTTTTCCTCCTATCTTACTGACTTGGTCCCTTTCAGTCTCTTTTGTTGATTTCATGGAATTCTGACACTTGGTCCTTGCCTCTCTTCACTCACTCCCTAGGTACCTCATCCAGACTTGTAGTTTTAAATACCTTCTATATGCCTGATGATTCCCAAGTAGACAGACAGCAACCCTGAACTCCATGCTCGTACATCTTGCTTAACATCTCCACTTGGATGTATAGTAGCTATCTCAAACTTAACATAGACACCCCAGGGCTCTTATTTCACAATCTGTATAACTTTTCCCATCTCAGCAAATGGCAACTCCATTCTTTTGGTTGCTGAAGCCAAAAGCCTTGGGATAATTTTTGCCTTTCTCCTTCATACCCCATACCAAACTTAATAAGTCTTGTTGACTCTACCTTGAAGTATATCCAGAATCTGGTTACATATCACCATCACTAATCTATTCCAAGTTACCTTTATCTCCCAAATGAATCACTGTAATGGCTTCCTACCTTATCTCTCTGCTTTTCCCCCTTGTGTTCCTATAGTTCATTCTCAACAAAACAACCAGAAGGATTCTCTTAAAACATTAATCAGGGTCAGCCATGGTTGCTCATGCCTATAATCCCAGCACTTTGGGATGCTGGGGCAGGAGGATCGCTTGAGATAAGTAGTTCAAGACTAGCCTGGGCAACATAGTGAGACCTAATCTGTACAAAAAATAAAATAAAATGAAAAGCCAGGCATGGCGGTGCCCATCTGTAATTCCAGCTACTCCAGGCTGAGGTGAGAGGATCACTTGAGCCCACGAGGTAAAGGTTGCAGTGAGCTGCGATTGCACTACTGCACTAAAGCCTGGGCGACAGAGTGAGACCCTGTCTGAAAAAAAAAATCCGATCTATCACTTTTCTTCCTTCTTTCCTTCCTGCCTGCCTTCCTTTCTTCTTTCCTTTATTCCTCCCTCTCTCCCATCCAGTCTCTCCGCTCCCTGTCTCTCATCACTGGATTGGTCTCAACCTCATTTAATGCAAAAGCCAACATCCTTATAGTGGCCTATAAGGCTCTGTATGATGCCTGTAAGTTCCTTCATTCTCTGATCTCCTCTCTTTCTCATTCACTTTACTCCACCCATCACAGCTAAGCATATTCCTGCCTCAGTGCCTTGGAACTCTGTTGCTCTACCTAGTATCAGGGAACCTGCCCCCGATAGTCATGTAGGTTCTTTTCTATTTTCCCTAATCATTGGCTGGGTTGAGAAATAAAGGGACAGAGTACAAAAGAGAGAAATTTTAAAGCTGGGCGTCCAGGGGAGACATCACATGTCAGTAGGTTCCATGATGCCCCACAAGCCACAAAACCAGCAAGTTTTTATTAGTGATTTTCAAAGGGAAGGGAGTGTACAAATAGGGTGTGGGCCACAGAGATCACGTGCTTCACAAGGTAATAGAATATCACAAGGCAAATGGAGGCAGGGCGAGATCACAGGACCACAGGACGGGGCAAAATTAAAATTGCTAATGAAGTTTCGGGCATGCATTGTCATTGATAACATCTTATCAGGAGACAGGGTTTGAGAGCAGACAACCGGTGTGACCAAAAATTTATTAGGTGGGAATTTCCTCATCCTAATAAGCCTGGGAGCGCTATGGGAGTCTGGGGCTTATTTCATCCCTACAGCTCGACCATAAAAGACGGCCACACCCAAGGGGGCCATTTTCGAGGCCCACCCTCAGGGACGCATTCTCTTTCTCAGGGATGTTCCTTGCTGAGAAAAAGAATTCAGCAATATTTCTCCCATTTGCTTTTGAAAGAAGAGAAATATGGCTCTGTTCCACCTGGCTCACCGGTGCTCAGAATTTAAGGTTATCTCTCTTGTTCCCTGAACATTGCTGTTATCCTGTTCTTTTTTCAAGGTGCCCAGATTTCATATTGTTCAAACACACATGCTCTACAAATAATTTGTGCAGTTAGCACAATCATCACAGGGTCCTGAGGCGACATACATCCTCCTCAGCTTACGAGATGACAGGATTAAGGGATTAAAGTAAAGACAGGCATAGGAAATCACAAGGGTATTGATTGGGGAAGTGATAAGTGTCCATGAAATCTTCACAATTTATGTTCAGAGATTGCAGTAAAGACAGGCATAAAAAATTATAAAAGTATTAATTTGGGGAACTAATAAATGTCCATGAGATCTTCACAATCCATGTCTTCTGCCATGGCTTCAGCCGGTCCCTCCTTTCGGGGTCCTTGACTTCCTGCAACAACCTAGAATTCTATTTCCTTAGCTAGCCATGTAGCTTGCTTTCTCATTTGCATCATGACTCTACTCAAATGTCAACTCCTCAGTGAAAAACCTCCCTGTCAATTATATCTTTAAAAACATCCCCATATCCTAGCCTGCTCATCCCTCTTACTCTTTCTGTCCATTGTATGTATATATGTATGCACACACACACACAGATCTATTTGTTTTTTATCTCTCTGCCTTATATAAAATCTAAGTGTCTTAAGGCCACTATGTGGCTGGCACATGGTGGGTGTTCAGTTATTTCAATATAAATAACATGCAGGTACACTTAAGTATCAAATTTTCAAAATAAAAATAGCTGGCATATCACATGACTTTCGGCCTAGAATTCATAAATTTTAAATTATGTTTTGCACTATTTGTCTAGGTTTTAGATGCAGAGAGAACATCGCCTAACAGTTTCTGACATTGCGGGTCTGGTTGTGATGTGAGCAATGTGATTTGAAGGAGACATCTTACAAGGGATTTCTGTGAAATAGTGAATTTAAAAGACTTGACCAAAAATTCCCATGCTCTCAGCAGATTTTCCTGTTTCCTTTTAGAAACTATCATAAGGGAGCTGATTTAAAAGCTAAGTTATTTAATACATAGGACATCTAGCTAGTTGTTTAGGAAAAAACAATAAGCTTGATCCCTAGCTCACTGCTTACACTAACACAAATTTTAGGTGGATGGAAGTTTTATGTGTAAGAAATGAATCTGCAAGACGACACAATGGTGATTTCTTTCTTTCTCTCAAAACCCAGATTATGCTCACATGCGTGGTAATCATTTGCTTTAGGCCCCGCCCAAGTCTCAGGATTAAATCTTTTTTAAAAATTTTTTTGAGACTGGGTCTCACTCTGTTGCCCAGGCTGGAGTGCAATGTTGCAGTTATAGTTCACTGCAACCTCCAACTCCTGAGTTCAAGCGATCCTGCCACCTCAGCCTCTTGCATAGCTGAAACTATAGTGCATGCAACCACACCCAGCTAATTTTTAATTTTTTAAGTAGAGATGGGGTCTCACTATGTTGCCCTGGCTGGCTTCAAACTCCTAAGCTCAAGAGAGCCTCCCATCTCAGCCTCCCAATGTGCTAGAATTACAGGCATGAGCTACCACGCTCAGCCAGTTAAATCTTTATTAGTCATTCTTGCCAATTTCATCTCCAATGCAGTGACTAAACTGGAAATGGTCATGCAGCATGATTTGGACCCAAGTCCAGCCATGGGCCTTCTGAGAATGCTTTTCCACTTTGTCCAAAGATGAAGTCTGAGGAGAAGCCTTCATTTTCTATTTTTATGGTTGTCCGCATATGACACTTAGAACAGTGGCAGCCCTTGGAGGCCATGAGGACAGCCAGCCTAAGAGGATAAACTACTATACTTATGATTATAAAACAAAAAGATGAAAACAACTTAAGTCCTTGATGACAATGTTTTGTCACAAAATTAACTATGCTGGAATTTTCCTAGCTCCAGACTTTTTGCTATGCAAGATAATAAATATTCTTAATATACATCCTTATAATTTTTAATGTTAGTATTCTCTAGTCTGTAACCAAAAATATCCTGATACATTTAAAAAATAATTTGAAGTTGAGAAGGCCTTCCTAAGCATGGAACAAAACTCATAAGGCATAAATGGGAAGTATTTATAAAATTCACTCCATACTATGTAAACTTTGTATTATAATTACAAAAATAAGCAAATAAGTAAAAATATTAGCTATTATCTAAGCTACTATCTAAATTACACAAATAACTCATAGCTACTAAGTTACTATCTAAGCTACTAAGTTATACAAATTTATATTTTAAATCAATTTGAGAAAACATGATAAAAATGAGTTAAACATAAAAATAAAAAAAAGCTTTAACATGGCAAAAGATGTGATAAATAAAAAGACAAATGAAAAAATGGGAAAAACCAATTTCAACTTATAGTACAGACAAACAAGGGGTAAATATCCCTAATATAGAATAGAAAGGGTTTCTGAAAATAGGGAAAAAACAGGCAAACTGTCCTGTAGAAAAAGAGAATTTGCAAATAAAGGAATACAAGTATCCCTTAAATGCGTAAAAAGATATTCAGTCTCACTCATAATAGGAGAAACACAAATTAAAAGTGCACAAATAAACACAAGTATCGAATTGGTGACTTAGTCACACGGAGAGAAACCATTTCAAGGGACTATAACATAGTTGGCTCACACATCTAGAATAGGTTATTCTAGAGACAAAAAGAACTAGAAAACAGTTTTCAGTTATCATATTATTAGTAATAATTATAATTTACTGTTATTTTGAAAATGTTATACAAATAGTAGGATAAAGCAAATACTTACATTACTGTCATTCGAAAATCAAGATTTTTAGCAACAGAGAAGAATTTAAATACAAAATCAATGAAGTTAGATAAAAAATATGTGATCATTGATTTAAATTAGAGTTGTCAGTATTAACTCATGATGCATTTTTGGCTTACAAAACAAAAATACCAATTTTGCAGAAGCAATCTCCAACCCAGTAGCAATGAGTATCTCTAGTACCCACATTACTAATAGTCTAAAAACTATCCCCAAAGCCTCCTTGGAGGAATAGCTAATTCCAGATCTGGGGCAAAAAAATATCCAGGATGATCCTAAAATATCTTATCCTATTGGGAAGTAAAGAAACTATCAAGGACTACTGACCTTCTGCGGACTTCGGACTCAGGAGTCAATTTGGTAGAAAATTTGAGCATCAGACAACAACAACAACAAAACTGCCATTGCTGAAATTCTCCCTCCTCCAAAATTTAAAATCCATGAGTTCATAATAATATTTGCCCTCAAGGGAGGGAAAGACTCATTCATTGGTCAACTCAGAATCAACTAGGTTGATTTCATATCTTGGCTATTGTAGATAACGTTGCAATAAACATGAAGGTGCAGATGTCTCTGATATAATGAATTCCTTTCCTCTGGATAAATTCTCAGTAGTGGGATTACTGAAACATATGGCAGTTCTATTTGCAGTTTTTTGAGGAACCTCCATACTGTTCTCCATAGTGGCTGTACTAGTTTACATTCCCACAAACAGTGTATAAGAGTTCCCTTTTCTCTGCATACTTGCCAGCATTTGTTATGCTTTGTCTTTTTGATAATAGCCATCCTAATTGGGGAAGATGATACCTTACTGCCGTTTTGACTTGCATTTTCCTGAGATTAGTGATGTTGAGCATTTTTTCATATTTATTGGCCACTTGTATGTCTTGTTTTTTTAATTTAATTTTTATTTTTTTAAGAGATGGGGTCTCACTTTGTTGCCCAGACTGGAGTTCAGTGGTATGATTATAGATCATTGCAGCCTTGAACTCCTGCCCAAGCAACCATGTGCCTATGCTCCTGGCAAGAGTAGCAGCACTGTGGCCTCAATCCTAGTGAGCTAGTCTCCAGGTCAGCCAACCCACTGTGTATACACATAAGCCCTTGGCCTGTAAAACAGCCTGGTGAGCCCAACACCAACAACACTGCTGCCACAACCTCTCTCAGCCTTGGCCACTGAGAAATTTTTAAATGCCACTAGTGTGGATTGTAGCTGAAGAAACTACACAAAGACTACACTGCTAAATCTACCTAGAACAAAGGCCAACATATCCCACCAAACTGATACCCCACGACCCATTCATACAAATAAATATTTCCTGACAAATTCTGGTTATTATATTATATTATATTAGCTATTATAGACAGGATTTGCCTTCTTGATTTCTTTTTTGACTAGTTTGTTGTTCATGTATAGAAATACTACTGATTTTTGTATGTTAATTTTGTATCCTGCAAATTTACTGAATTCATTTGTCAGTTCTAAGAGCTTTTTGGTAGTCTTTGGCTTTTTCTACATACAAGAGCATGTCATCTGCAAACAGGGAAAAGTTTACTTCTTTCTTTCCAATTTGGATGTGTTTTATTTCTTTCTTGCTTAATTGTTCTGTCTAGGACTTACAGTACTATGTTGAATAAGAGTGGTGAGAGTGGACATCCTTGTTTTGTTCCAGTTCTTAGAGGAAAACCTTTCAGCTTTCCCCTGTTCAGTAAGATGTTAGATGTGGGTTTGTCATATATGACCTTTCCTTCTATGCCTAATTCATTGAGAGTTTTTATCACTTTGGGATTTTTGTTTGACCATTTGATCAAATGCTTTTTCTGCATCTATTGAGATGATCCTATCATTTTTATCCTTTATTCATTGATGTGATGTATGATGTTTATTGACTTGCATATATTAAACCATCCTTATATTCCTGGGATAAATCTCACTTGATTTTGACATATTATCTTTTTAATGTGTTGTTGGATTAGGTTTCCAAGTATTTTGTTGAAGATTTTTGCATCCATATTTATTAAAGATATTGGCCTGCAGTTTTCTTTTTTTGTTGCTGTTCTGTTCTTACCTGGTTTGGGTATCAGGGTAATGCTGGCCTCATAGAATGAGTTAGAAAAAATTCCCTTTGCTTCAGTTCTTTGAGATAGTTTGAGAAGAATTGGTATTAATTCTTGTTTAAAGATTCGAGATAATTCAGGGGTGAAGCCATCTGTCTTAGACTCTTCTCTTTTGGAAGACTTTTTTTTTTTTTTTTTTTTTTTTTTTTGAGACAGAGTCTTACTCTGTCACCCAGGCTGGAGTGCAGTGGCCCGATCTTGGCTCATTGCAACCTCTGCAATGAGGTTGCAGTGATTCTCCTGCCTCAGCCTCCCAAGTAGCTGGGACTACAAGTACATGCCACCATGCCCAGCTGATTTTTGTATTTATAGTAAAGACAGGTTGTTGGCCAGGCTGGTCTTGAACTCCTTACCTCAGACGATCCACCCACCTCGGCCTCCCAAAGTGCTAGGACTACTGGAATGAGCCACCATGCCCAGGCTGTTGGAAGACATTTTATTACTGATTCAATCTTATTAATTGTTATTGTTCTACTCAGGTTTTCTATTTCTTTTTGTTCAATCTTGGTAGGTTGTATGTGTACAGGAATTTATCCATTTCCTCTAGATTTTTAGATTTAGTGGCATATAGTTGTTCAAGATATTTTCTAATGATCCTGTATATTTCTGTGGCATCCATTTTGATGTCTCCTTTTCTTTATCTGATTTTATTTATTTGTGTTCTTTTTTTTTTTTCTTAGTCTAACTAATGACTTGTTGGTTTTGTTTATCTTTTCAAAAACAACAGCTTTTTGTTTTGTTGATGTTTTGTGGGGATGTTTTTTCTCGATTTCATTTATTTCTGCTCTGATCTTTATTATTTCTTTCCTTCTACTAATTCAGGGTTTGGATTGTTCTTGCTTTTCTAGTTCCTTGAGGTGCATCTTTAGGTTGTTTATTTGAATCTTTCTAGTTTTTTAAATAGGTATTGATTGCAGTAAACTTGCCTCTTAATACTGCTTTTGCTGTGTCCCATAGGTTTGGGTGTGTTGTGTTTTTTATTTTCATAGTTTTAAGAAATTTTTTTATATTTCATTCTTAATTTTTTTCTTCACCCATTGGTCATTCAGGAGCATGTTGTTTAATTTTCATGTATTTGTATAGTTTCAAATGTTTCTTTTCTTATTGATGTCTAGTTTTATTCTATTGTGGTCACATAAGATACTAGATATGATTTGTTTTTTTTAATTCAGACTTGTTTTGTGTACTAACACATAGTCAATACTGGAGAATGTCCCATGTGCTTATGAAAAGAATGTGTATCCTGCAGGTGTCAGGTAAAATGCTTTGTAAATATCTGTTAGGTTCATTTGGTCTATGGTGCAGCTTAACTTCAGTGTTTCTTTGTTGATTTTCTGTCTAGATTATCTCTCACAATGATGAGAGTGAGATGTTGAAGTCACCAACTATTACTGTATATGGATCTCTGTTTTACTTTAGATCTAATAATATTAGCTTTATATATCTAGGTGCTCCAGGGTTGGGTAAATATTTACAATTGTTATATTCTCTTGCTAATTGGTCCCTTTACTATTATCTAATGTCTTTGTCTTTTTTTGCAGCTTTTAACTTGAAATCTGTTTTGTCTAATACCAGTATAGCTATTCCTGTTCACTTTTGGTTTCCATTTGCATGGAATACCATTTTCCATCCCTTCACTTTCCGTCTATGTGTGCATTTACAGGTGAGGTGAAATTCTTATAGGCAACATATAGTTGAGTCTTGTTTCTGAAATCCATTTAGCCGTCTATATCTTTTAAATAGGGAATTTAATCCATTTACATTCAAGATTATTATTGATAGGCAAGAATCTAGCTCTTGCCATTTTATTGTTTTTTGGTTCTTTTGTATATTCATTGTTCCTTACTTTCTTTCTCATTGCTTATTTTTGTAGGTGGGTGGCTTTCTGTAGTGATAAGGTTTGATTCCTTTTTCTTTCTCCTTTGTGTATTGGCTCTGCCAGTGAGTTTTATAGTTTTCATGATAGTGGTTTTACTTCCAGATGTCAGACTCCCTTGAGCATTTCTTGTAAGACTAATTGATCTAGTGGTGATGAATTCCCTTAGTTTTTGCTTATCTGCAAAAGATTTTATTTCTTCTTCATTTCTGAAGGATAGTTTTGCTGGGTGTGATATTCCTGGCTGGCACTTTTTTTCTTCTAGCATTTCAAATATATCATCCCATTCTCTCCTGGCCTGTAAGGTTTCTGTTGAGGAATCTGCTATTAGTCTAATAGGCATTTCTTTATATGTGACTTGATGCTTTTCTCTTGCTACTTTTAAAATTCTTTCTCTGTCTTTGACTTTAGACAATCTGACTCTAGTGTGCCTCAGAGAGAACCTTTTGGGTTGAATCTTTCTTCTTTGAACTTCCTGGACCTGGATGTCCATATCTCTCCCAAGACTTGGGAAGTTCTCTGCTATTATTTCATTAAATATATTTTTCTCAACTTTTCCATGCTCTTCTCCTTCTGGAATGCCCATTATACAAATATTTGTTCACTTAATGGTGTCTCATAAATCCTGCAGCCTTTCTTCATTCTTTTTTCTTTTTTCTTCTTTTATTTCTGTCTGCCTGTGTTATTTCAAATAATCTGTCTTCAAGTTTAAAAATTATTTCTTTTGCTTGGTCTAGTCTGCTGTTGAAGCTGTCAGTTGTACCTTTTATTTCTTTTTTGAATTCTTCAGCTCTAAGATTTCTGTCTGGTTCTTTTTTATAATATCTCTTTGTGGAATTTCTTATTCAAATCATGAATTGCTTTCCTGATTTCATCGAATTGTCTATCTGTATTCTTTTGTATCTCACTGTGTTTCCTTAAGATTATTATTTTGAATTCTTTTCTGACATTTTTATATATTTCCTCTTGATTGGAGTCTGTAACTGGGGAATTCTTGTTTTTATTTGGAGATGACATGTTTCCTTGCTTTTTCATGGTTGATGTGTTCTTGTGTTAATTTCTATGCATCTAGTGGAAAAGTCACCTCTTCCAATTTTAAGAATTAGGTTTTGTCAGGAAAAATTTATTTGTATGAATGGGTCTTGGGATATCATTTTGGTGGGATATGTTGGCCTTTGTTCTAGGTAGATTTAACAGTGTAGTCTTTGTGTAGTTTCTTCAGCTACAATCCACACTAGTGGCATTTAAAAATTTCTCAGTGGCCAAGGCTGAGAGAGGTTGTGGCAGCAGTGTTATTGGTGTTGGGCTCACCAGGCTGTTTCACAGGCCAAGGGCTTATGCGTATTCACAGTGGGTTGGCCAACTTGGGGACTGGCTCACTAGGATTGAGGCCACAGTGCTGCTACTCTTGCCAGGAGCATAGGCACATGGTTGCTTGGCCAGGCTGGGGGTGTGCCTACCCGGAGAAGCTTGTAGAGTTGTTTCTCAGGTCCAGAATGCAGGCAGACAGCTGCTTGGTCAGTCTGGGGACATATGTGTTAGGGGCAGCCCTTAGGGCTATTTCTCAGGTCTAGGATGTGGTAACACAGCTTCTCAGCTGACCTGAGTGCATGACTGCTGGAGGTGACCCAGGGGGCTATTTCTCTGTCTTAGAACACAGACATAAAGCTGCTTGGTCAGCCTAGAAGCATATCTGCTGTGGGTGGCCCACAAGGCTATTTTTCAGGTCCAAAAATGAGCACGTGGCTGCCAACCTGGCCTGGGGACTTGTTTGTCAGGGGAGCCACGAGGCTGATTCTCAGACTCATGCAGGTTGCTGCATGACTGCTTGGCTAACCTGGTGGTATTTCTGCAGGGAATAGCCCACCAGCACTGTTGTGTAGGTCCAGGATGCAAGCACAGGCATGAGGCTGTGCCCACCAGAAGCGGCCCATGGAGCTGTTTCTCAAGCCCAGTACATGGATGAACAGTTGCTTGGCTAGCCTGGAGGCATGCCCACCAGGAGTGACCTGCAGGACTGTTTCTCAGGCCCTTGTTGGGGATGCAGGGCCATTGGACAGTCCAGAGGCTTGTCTGTGGAGGGCAAGGTTGCTACAGGGCTGTTTCCAGATCCTGGACGCATTTCCACTCCACTGGCCCAGAGGCATATCAGCTGCTTGGAGGCTTAGGGACCACTTCTGCTTAGGATAGGGTATGCAGCAGTTTGGCCAGCTCAAGGGAGGGAGTCACCCTGGGTGGGACTGCCAGACCATTTTTTGGCTGGAGGTGCAGCAGTAGAGGTTGGTTTATTGGCTGTGCAGGACCAGAGTCACAGCTGATTATGGGCTCTGGCTCCACACTGCTGGTGTTGTGGCATTCAGTCATCTGTGCGGACTTGTGGAATGAAGCTGGAGCGCCAGTGCTGGAGAGGTGCAGTGGCTGCTCGCCCCTAGAGCAGGGTACATTCAAGGGGTGACTTTGATCTCAAGATGGCACTGTGCTGAGCAGCTTGGTTCACAGAGGCTCGAGGGTAGATAGGGAGTACACACCTTGTGCTCCTAATCTGGGGCAATGCAGCTGAGTGAATCCCCAGCAGCTCTCCAAACTGGGCTCAGGACTTGTGAGGACTGCAGAATTTTCCTGTTGTAAGGACTGTAGCTGTCTGCAGTATCAATGAGGGCTGGTGAGGATCTTCTACTTCCTTTCCCATGCAACAGGAAGTCCCTCCTATCTCTGGGCCAATCTGATCTAGGTGGAGGAGACAGGGCTGCAGACACCAGGTACCTCCACACTGCCCTCCTAGACTTCCAATCACCACAGGTGTATCTCCACTGTCCCTCTGTACTCCAGCACTCTCCCTTCAACACTGCAGTCAAATTTTAGCTGTGTATTTCTTTCCTTGGTTCTTTCATGTGGGGTGAAAGAGTGCCAGGCTTCTCCAGTTAGCCATCTTGCTCCCCTAAATCCATTCTTTTGGGAATCTTAATGTGAGTCAGACATGACTGAACTCCACTGGGCCAATGCTGAAGGACCATCCCAGCTCCAGAATTTCCCACAGGAGCTGAAGCTTCTGTTACAACTGCACTGCCATCTAACTTATTCTGATCAGCTCTGGGGCACCAATGAGCTCAAAGAGTACAGGAACCTTGTCTATCTTGCTCATTATATCCTTGGTACCTGGGAGAGTACCTAACACATACTAGGGGCTCACTTAAGAAGTGTTGGATGAATAAGAAATGAAGTACCTCAACCTGTCAGGAAAGAGCCAGACCCCAAATGTCCTAAGATAAGAAGGCATCTTTGTGGTATCTTGACAGTCGAGCAGCCAGTCTTGCCAACACCTTTAGAACTTAAACAGGACGAGACATGGTTTGTGAAGTACCTGTAACAATACTGGGCACATAAAAGGCCTTCAAGAAAGGTGTCTCCCTCCCTCTCTGCTCTGATGACCCTGTGTACTTGGCATTATCTCACCATGTTGGGATTTCGGTTGTCCTCAGTTTCCTGGTGGGAAAGAGACTATGAAACAGAGTTTGCATGCAGGAAGTTTATTAGGGAGTGCTTTCCAGAAAAATGGCTGCTCCGTTGTTGCTAGGGTTCTAAAGTCATTTGGGCTGCCCTTGGCAATGCCCTATTATAGCTGTAGATATTCAGCAGTTTTCAGATTTAAGCTGGAGGAATCACAACTTGCTTTATCACATCAGGAACTTTTCCAGGAAGAAAAAATAATTATATCTTTGTGGCTATGTAGTTTTAGGGTGACCTATCACAGGAAAGCACTTGACCACGGTTAATTATTATGTATTGAAAACATGTTGCTTACCAAAGATTTTAGAATATCTTTTTTTATTAAAAACTGATTAAATTTAAATTTATTTTTTCTTTTTGCAAGGAGAAAGAATAAAAGTAAATGACTCATTAGGACAAGGAATGCATGCAGCAAAAAAACAACTAATGCGGCTGAGCTCCACTAGGAATAGAATCCCAGGAGACCTGGCAAGAAATTGCACTCCCTCAAGAGTAAGTCTCAAAGGCTGGAAAGCAGTGAGGTAAGGGCCCTGAGCCGAAGCCAATTAGTACTCGGTAAACAAATCGGATCATTTTGCTTTCTGCCTAATTTCAGGCCCACCTTCGGAGCAGCTCAGATGAGAGTTCTTAAGAGAAGAAAAAGTTCAAATTCCCATAGCAATTCAATTTACAAAGTGGCTTCTATTTGATTTGTGGAGGAACGGCCTGTGTTTTGTTTTGTGTGAAAGCTTCTGAATGGCAATTCCAAAAAAATGTGCTGAGTCATGAATCCCTAGGGAAAGAAGATTTTGACAAGAACAGGCAAAAGCTGCGACAATTATGTGATTAGGAATAACAGAGGCTCATTATTCTTCCAAATGAAGCCCTTTAATGCAAACATTAACCCTACACCTGTTCCCGGAACACTTGATGCCTCCCTCAGGTACAGAGAAGCAATACATTTAAGAATGACAACGACAAAAATAATAGCTAATATTTTATTGGACATCTACTACATATCAGGTATATATATTGGGAATCTTATTTAATTCCCACAATAGCCCTATGATGTGTTTTATAAATGAGGAAACTGAGGCTCTGAGAGGCTAAATAATTCGCTCACAGTCACCTGGCCACAGGGACTGAGATAGGCAATCTGGTTGTGGAATCACAACCTTAACAAGTATGTACACTGCAGTCCCAAGTATTATCCATGTATTCATAGAGCTCTGATCATTTTAACTGAGTGCGATTAAACTCCTTCCTCAAAGAGGGATTTTACTGACATCCTTCATATACAATTGACTATATAGCAGACGGTCCCAAGATATTTTTTTCTTTTTGAGATGGGGTCTCATTCTGTCACCAAGACTGAAGTGTAGTGGTGCAATCTTGGCTCACTGCAGCCTCCAACTCCTGGGTTCAAGTGACTCTCCTGCCTCAGTCACCTGAGTAGCCGGGATTACAGGCATGTGCTACCACACCTGGCTAATTTTTGTATTTTTAGTTGAGATGGGGTTTCACCATGTTGACCGGGCTGGTCTCCAAATTCTGGCCTCGAGTGATCCACCCACTCAGTCTCTCAAATTGCTGGAATTACAGATATAAGCCACTGTACCCCGCCCAAGATTGTTACTAATGAAGGAGAAAGTGCATGGCACTGCTAATGTAAATCATGTATTTTATGTGTTCAATATAATATTCCTTCTAAGTAAAAGAGAAAATGAGATGTCCTTTGTTTCAAAATGGAGCTCCCCTTTATGTCCTGGAACATCCTGAGTTAGGATAATTCTATACCAACTGCTAAGCACCGAGGCTACCTAAGGTCACTGGACTGGTTGGCTGGCGTAAATGTTTGGTCATGACCTCCCAGTACTGGAACTCCTGGTTCTTGGGAACTGTTCCTCATGAGCCCTTTAAAGGTCGGTGGCTGAACCTTCTTCCCTGCTGACATGATTACCCTACAGAAAATTTTCTCTGTTCACTAAAGGATTGGCTTTAGAGCAACCCTCCTGGCCAGGGCTAATTTCTGAACCATGTTAGAAATTAAAGGGTTTACTTTAATTTCTACAAAGAGAAAAATTTTGCATTTTGATTTTGGAAATTACTTATGCTTTTATAATATGTTGTCCATAGTATTATGACAATTATGTTTTAGATCATAAAATGAGGGTCATAATCTCCATCTCACAAGGTTATTATGAGGGTTAAACAACATAAGCTTGAAACATATTAAGAATTCTATAAATTATTATTAAGAACTAAGACCTGCAGAGTACTCTTTACCACAAGAGGTAAAGCTGATAAACTAGCTTTTTGGAAGGCAATGGTAAAAGTAGCTAAGCATTTTGAATATGCTTTTGTCCAATAACCATGTTCCAGAGTCTGAATTATGCCAGGTAATTTATAGTTTTACATTCAAGTGACATGTCACTATAATTGGGTGGAGAACTAAGAGGAGAAAAAGCAACCAAACTGATGCAAAACAAAGAAAAATATTTTATTGTAACTTAAAATTCATCCCCTAGACAACAGATAACGCCCACATTGGATGTTATTTAGCAGACATAGTGAAGATGCCTTTGGACAATTATCAGCATTGATGAATATGAAGATGTCACATCAAAGTCAAACTTTTTCAGGTTATTGGGTTTCCTGAACATAACTGGCAAAAAGGAACTTTCAACACAACAAGTAGTTTAGTTTTTTTTTTTTTTATGTCACTTATTTTATTTACTAACCTTGACAGGGACTAAAGAATGAGGTACAGAAAACTTTCCAGAAGTCTGAGTGTGGTGTAGAAGTCCAAGACAACTTGGAGCTCCATTATTGCATTATTAAGTAGAATGAACTGTTATGAAATTCTCCATATTCCAGGTTTACTACATAGAAAAGTACTATTTACCTACCTCACAGAGGTATTGTGAGGATTTGTGTTTATAAAGTGCTTCAGGCGCCTTCGAAGAAAGGCAACATACAAGTATAAAATAATCATACAAATTTCAAAATAAATGAAAAGATGATTTTGGCACAATGGGAAGGGTGCCTCCTATTTAAAGAACACTTGGCTATTGGTTTATAAAATCCCCTGACCTCTTGGGTTTTAAAAAAATTATTATTTAAAAGAATAAATGTTTTTCCATTGCCAATCTTATAAAAATTCTCAATCCAGGCTGTGTTATCAGAATCACTTGAAGAGCTCAGTAAAATTATAGATGTTTGGGCAACAGCCTACACCAGCAGAATTAAAAGTTCTATGTGTGATACCCAGGTACCTATATTTTCAAAAAGATCTATAGGGAATTCTGATGCATACCAAAGTTTAAAACCCATTTCTTTAGAAAAAAAATCAATGTATTAAACATTGGAGTTTATCCCAAGGACATTTTTCTTAAGGTTAAATGCAACTGCATAAGGGTATTAATTTCTTATTGCCCTTTTCCATTCCCATATCCCATGCAGACTTAGAGCATGCATAGCACACACACACACACACACACACACTCACGTTTAATTCTGCCCTTGAATTATATTTGATAGTGGTAAAATCTGATAGTAGCAAATAAATGCTTCACTGGGAGGATATGCAAGAACTTGCAGCCCATCCCCACTGTGCCCAAAGCAAATGGATGTTTCCCATTTGCCAGAACGGAATGATTGAGAAATGTGTTTCCAATTTGGAAACAGGTAAAATTAGCACTTCCCAGGAAACATCAGCTGAGTGGATGGCCAAGAAGCAAAAGTGAGCAAGGTTGGAGTGGTCAACCATGAAGAAAGTCTACAGTGACTACTTCTCCATTTGGAGTTCACCCACATCTCAGCAAATACCTTAGGAACTGAAACAGTTGCTCAGTGGGTACCAAACAACATGCGAGTACTTCAGTGAGGTAAATAGAATAATGAAAACTGGTGACTGTAGGTTAAAATATATTTTTTTAAAAAATGACCAATTTGCTCCACTGCAATTCTTAAGGCTGTTTTAGTCGCCACTTTAATTTCCTGGCTGGCTTGAAGTCTTCTGTTTACTAGCAAGTCAAACATAGAGAAGAGAATGATTTATTTCCTAGTGGGCTTCACACATATCTTATCATGATGCTTGCATCACTTTTAAAATAGGAGCAGTCTCTCTAGGTGCCTTGCAGTGGATTAAATGGAGTCGGCAGAGAAATTATACTTCTTTACACAGAGAAAGCCTTCTGAGGCTGGTCAAACTTTTTACAATGTTAAGAACTAGTGAATAACAGCAAAACAGAATAGTCCCATTGATGGTGTGGGGAGGAGAAATAGAAAAAAATACGAGATAGAGGCTACGCATACACTACATAAAAAATAGGATATATAAAAAAAAATAATTCATTCAGAGTCAGTCATTGTGAAATTTTGCTATGAGAAAATAGTCTTGACTCTAGAAAATTTGCTTGAGAATCTGTTAAAATATCGTTGCTATATGGTATAAAATAGCAAAAATAGTGTCTTCCAATATTCTTCTAAACATTAGAGGCAACTTTGTACAAGAAAGTTGTTGGAGCTGGCTTGGGGAGTTGCTTGTTGCATGTATCCCAAGAGGGCAAGGCTGCCAGCAGCAGAATAAAACCTCCCAGCAGGACGCAGAAGCCACTAAAATAAAATGCAATATCATAGGTCTGGGTCCAGTCATAAAACCAACCTGAAAAGGCAGTAAGAAAAAAAGTAAGTTTCATGGAAATAGTATGAACATCCATCCCATACCCTAATTATATCAGTTTTATATATAGTTATAATTAGTATATATATTACTCCACTACTTCCAGCGTGGTTTACTGGGAGTTAGAAGAAGAGAATCTCTCAAATATTTGGATAAGAATAAGCAGGCAGGCTGGGTGCGGTGGCTCACGCCTGTAAACCCAGCACTTTGGGAGGCCGAGGCGGGCGGATCACGAGGTCAGGAGATGGAGACCATCCTGGCTAACACGGTGAAACCCCGTCTCTACTAAACAACAACAACAAAAAACATTAGCCGGGCGTGGTGGCAGGTGCCTTTAGTCCCAGCTACTCAGGAGGCTGAGGCAGGAGAATGGCATGAACCCAGAAGGCGGAGCTTGCGGTGAGCCGAGATCACGCAATTGCACTCCAGCCTGGGCGACAGTGCAAAACTCCGTCTCAAAAAAAAAAAAAAAAAAAAGCAGGCATTTTGAGTTTCTCCCAAATAAAGAGCGAACACAAATCCCAGAGCATGCATATTCGCTTTCTCAATTATATCAAAGCAGTCTTGAATAAATCATTACCATGAGATGTTCCATGCAGATTTCTTTTGTACAAATCTGTGCTACTATTACAATCTGGACCTCTATATCTGGAGATATGACAAGGAAGAACAGTAAAATGGGATGATTTTAAGATAAATATCTTACCAACGATGGGTGGTCCTAGGCTATTTCCAAGTCCAGCAAAGAACATTAATATCCCATAGGCATGGGCTAATTTTTCAATTCCCACAGTCTTCGTGGTCACATATGGAAAGATGGACCAATTACCAGTAAGAAACCCTAGGATCCCAGAAAGCAACGCCAATGTGACATAGCTTTTGGCAAATGGAATTGCACACAAGGCTAGGCCCATGATGATTAAGGTAGCAACATAAAGATACAAGGTATTAATCCACTTGAAGTCAGCCAGTATCCCTAAAAGCAGTTTACCAACTGCTGTCATAATGCCTATAATGGAAATAAGTGGCATAATAAACTCTTCTTCTTTCACGTTTGAACTTCTTGCTACATCTTCCATAAGTAATGAAGGTGGAAACCCTCCGATGTCAAAGAGTAAGATAGCAATGAAAAGGGCTGAAAATACTTTGTTTTTAAAAAGAGCCACAGTTTCACCACAGTAGTTTTTATATAACTGCCACTTCCTCTTGGCAAGCTGTTTGCAAAAATATGTCTGTTCTGCAACTTTCTTTTTGTACGTTTCAGGCTCTTTTGTGTGTGTCACTGTGGGGTTTTTATGAAGTAGGCTGTCTTGTTTCCAGTCACCATTGGCTAACGTGATCCTGCATTTTTCCTCACTACTGTAGCTCTTGTCAAGAATGTTTATGTTTTCTTCCAGATTCTTTCCTTTTTCATTGTAAATGGAGTATTTATCTGGTAGATCTTCTGGAGCTATTTTTTTAGGCAAAGGACAATCAGAAGATTGGAGGGGTCTCATCAGACTGCCACAGGCTAATATATTTAAAGCTAAAGCACCCACAATCAGCAAGCATCCATCCAGTCCATAGAACTCAACCAGCATCCTCTGCAGAGCAGCATATATGAAAAGGCCAACGCTTGAACCTAAAAAGGGAATGGGAACTGTTCAACCTCGTAATCTGAGGCTCTCAGGATTAGAATTTGTAATATCACAATTCAATTTATTTTTTATACTGGCATTTATATGTAACTTCATATTAAAATCATATTAAGAAGATAGAAGATAACAATAATAACAATAATATAGTAATACTGATAGAACATTTAAGAATTAGAATTTGCAGCTCAGACACTGTTAAGCACTTTACATTGCACGATCATGTTTAATGCTTTTACTGATCCCATTGAGTAGGTCCTATTATTATTCCCAATCTAGAGATGAAGTGACCTAGGGCTGGAATGGTTGAGAAATTTGCCATAGATCAAAAATCTGTAAAGAACATAAATAGGATTCACACTCAGTCAGTTTGAACCCAATAGCCCATATTCTTAACAAGTATCATCGGCTGGGTGTGGTGGCTCAGGCCTGTAATCCCAGCACTTTGGGAGGCTGAGGTGGGTGGATCACGAGGTCAGGAGTTCGAGACCATCCTGGCCAACATGGTGAAACCCCGTCTCTACTAAAAATACAAAAATTAGCTGGGCATGGTGACACACGCCTGTAGTCCCAGCTACTTGGGAGGCTGAGGCAGAAGAGTCGCTTGAACCCAGGAGGTAGAGGTTGCAGTGAGCCAAGATTGCACCACTGCACTCCAGCCTGGTGACAGAGTGAGACTCCGTCTCAAACAAGCAAACAAACAAACAAAAAAACCCAAAAACCAAGTATCATCATGAAACTATTTTCTTTGCACTTATTATGTGCCAGGCTCCATGCTACATATTTATTCCAGAAAAGTAAATTTTCATATTTTACTTTTTAAAAATAGTATATTGCAGTTTAAGGATATTTATAATGGCTTGATAGTTCAAATCCATTGCTGAATCACCGGAATGAGTGAGTCATCCTTTTCATGCATTAATACAATTATGAGAAAAGTAGAATTTTTTTAGGGTATTTAAATTACAAAGTATGCTGGTTTATACATCTATGTAACACTGTGAATAATTCACCTTTTTAGCACTGATCACACTAAACACAGAGGGTTGCCAAGTTATGGTAGCCTAATCAATTGGTACTGTTCTCATCTGGTTCTGATTTCAATCTTTAATAAACTGAGCATTTTTAAATGTAAATGTCATTGGGAAATGTCATGTGAAAAATCAGGAAAAAAATAGTCTGAAAAGGTTGATCATATGTTTAAAATGGTCAGTATTAAATTACATTATAATCTCATCAGGATGCCAATAGGACCAAGCTCAGAGGCATCACTGATTGCATGGATATGATTGCTATAAAAACCCATCTAATAAAACAATTCTTCCAAATAGCCAAATGGCTCTGCCTTAGAGTTGTAAGAAAATATTTTCTTTGGGACCTCAGTTGTCCCTTCTTAACATTTTTTAAAGTTAACCCCTTCATTCCCAAAAGGAAAAAAAACTTTGCATGCAAATATTAATGTTTCATGTTAATGTAATGGCAACTAAAATAGTATCTTTTGGGACTGCTAAGAGAGTATCTCTTTGCTAACTACTGAGAAGTAATAACAGTAGACAAATGTAACCCTTTCCTTCTCTCATTAAACGTGGCATATACTGTAAAAGTTAAAAACGCTACAGAAAACACACTGACAGAATTAAAAACAGCAGGGTGACCTCATGTACTGCATTAGTACCCATTAACTATAAATTTGTGATTTTTGCCTATTTCTTTGTACAGATTCTAACAAAGTGTCACATCATTAGATACTTAAAAATGCTCTTGGTGTTTTGAAAGTTCTATATTTTCACACAGAACAAATAAATAAACAACTTTCCTATTCTTGCCAACCAAGTTTATCTGTCAACATGATGAAAATCAATTCAACAGATATTTATTGAACACATAAGATAGCAGAGAATGGGGAATATCAAATTACACATTGGAGGCTAGTTTCCTCAGCCTTCATCCCACAAGAACATGTCTGTGGTTTAGAAAGATACAGGATTTTTTTCCCCCAGGGTATTGAAAAGTAATTTAGAGTTTCCTGGTGGAATTTTGTAAACTGCAAAACTGTGATTGTTAAAAATTTTAAGTTCCAGGATACATGTGCAGGACGTGCAGTTTTGTTACATAGGTAAATATAGCCATGGTGGTTTGCTGCACCTATCAACCCATTACCTAGGAATTAAGCCCTGCGTGCAATAGCTAAAACTGTAATTTTTAATCTTCAAAAAGAGCATCCTAATTTTAAAATAATCATTGTAAAGGGTTAAGTGAAATAAAGCACTAATTATGCTTCCATGCATGTTATACATTATTACAAAGAGAGAAAATATTAAATGGCGTTCAGGGAACACGAAGCAGTGAGAAATACAGCCATGCTTTAACTCATTAATACTAGGGGTCAATAACTTCCCGAAAGGATCAGAGAGTAAATATTTAAGGCATAGAGGGTGTACAATCTCTGTCCCAAATACTCAACTCTGCCCTTGAAGCATGAAACCAGCTAGAGATAATCCATAAAAAAATGAGCATGGCTGTGTTATAATAAAATTTTATTTATGCACGCTGAAATGTAAATTGCACATAATTTTCACGTATTATGAATATTCTTCTTTTGATTTTTTTCATTCATTTAAAAATGTAAAAACCAATTGTAGCTTGTTAATCATACACAAACCAGCAGTAGGCCAGATTTGGCCCATAGGCATTTGTGGACCAACCCCTGTTCACTACAGAGGAAGATCGCTTCCCCCAAACCTTCATTTCATGCCCACATTCCTTTCTTTCAACTAGGTCACAATATTTCAAGTGTTTTGATGCGGGGTTTCTTTTTAATTTTTAAAAAACTCTGCTGTGACTTTTGTTTAGCTTATCATATCTTTGACTGAAGGTGGGTTCATACTTCTCCCTAATTTCCCTTCACCTAGCTCCCTGTGAGTTGAAACTGAAAACTCCTTTAAATCTTGACTGCCCATAGTTGCTTCATTTTTTATTTAGTGTGCTATGGACCAGGCCCCTATGCCCTCCTCTCAAGACTGAGTGAAAAGCAAGATCATCTGTCACAGCATGCAACTCCCAACACCTTCAACACAAATACATTTGGACATTAGGGAAACCTAGGTCAGAATTATAACTGCTAACACTTGAGAGCCCCTGTCATGTGCCTTACACATACATCCCTTTCATATGTCCAATAACCCAATGTGATGGGTACTATTTGTAAATCAAAAATAAAATTCTAAGCCACCCAGCCAGCTGATGGACCCTCCCCTTGGCCAAGGGTATTCTGAAGTAAACCTGAAAAACTAGTTCAGGCCGTGATAAGGTCAGGGGGATGGGGGCTGGATATGCCTCATTATACTCTCCCCTCTTTGGAATTCAAACACAGCTGACCAGTATTAACATTAAAACAGGCACCTTAAGACTGATAGAACAGACTCTTTAAGTCTGATAAGAAATATTCCCTTCTATTGATTCTATCTGCATAATGGGAACCTTGGTCTCCACAACCCCTTGTCTTAACCCAGACATTCCCTTGTATTGATTCTAGATCTTCAGACAATAACTTAACCCTTTCAATTTACTGCCACTTAAAAAATTCTTGAATCCACCTACAACCTGGAAGCCCCTGTTTCCAGTTGTCCTGCCTTTCCAGACCAAGCCAATGTACAACTTACATATATTGATTGATGTCTTATGTCTCCCTAAAATGTATAAAATCAAGTTTAGCCTGACCACCTGAGACAGACTCTCATGGGACTCTGTCACAGGCCATTTGTTACTCATAAAAATTCAAATATTTTAAAGAATTTGACTCTTTTCATCAACGTACTATTATCCCCAGTTTACAGTTCCAAAACGGAGGCACAGGACAGTTAAGTAACTTGTCTAACACCAGATAGCTAGTGAGTGACAGAAGAGGATTCAAAACTAGACAGTGTGGATCCAGGCTTGTGCTTCTAACTCGATGTCATACTGCCTCTACAGCAAATATAGTACAGGTGAGACCCACTGTCCTTGAAGCTGCCATGCCTACTCTTACAGTCCTTCCCACACTTGTGGAAGATCCTCACAGGTTCTGCAAACTGCATTCCAACTACTCTGGATTCCCCATCTTCTGTTTTTGCATCCCTTCTCCCATCACTGCCTTAGCCATGTCCTCTGACTCTGGCCTTGTCTCCACCTAGACCACAATTCACACTTCTCACCGGGCAGTGCTTTTTAAAATATGTTGGGGAAATATACAGCTGGATTCAATTCAACCATGAATCACTTTGTTGCCACTGGGTTGGCCTCAGGAATAAAATATTAGTTTGGATCCTGTTGCCAGAATAACTACTGACGTTCTTCAGGCTATCTAAAAGCCTGACCTTCCAGGGTTACCCACCTACCAGCAAGAAGCATATGTAAATTTACAACTTTTGATAACTTGGCAACTGTATGTCCTAAAAAACTCAGGAAATGTTGGCCACATAAATTTTGATAAGAACTGTACATAACTTTAAAAAATTCATCTGAAAACTGAAAAACCACTTTTATATGTCCAGAATGCTTTTATATTTAAAAATTATATTTTATATTTTCCCCCTCAGTGATCATCTCTTGATTACTAAAGGAATAACAAGAGTAAACAGCTTGTCATTTGGATATGCACGTAGGTCAGTGAGAGGTATTGAGAAACCAGTACTTTAGAAAAATTGTAAGTTCCACACTACAAGGAGGTGGAGACATGATCAGCATCAGTCTTTCTGACAGTGGCCTTAGGGATGTTAATTTTCGTTCCTTTTCTCCTATCTTTAAAGAAACAAAGATCAAAAAAGACAAAGAAGGGCATTATATAATGGTAAAGGGATCAATGCTAACAATCCTAAATATATATGCACCCAATACAGGAGCACCCATATTCATAAAGCAAGTTCTTAGAGACCTATAAGGAGACTTAGACTCCCACACAATAATAGTGGGAGGTTTTAACATCCCTCTGTCAATACTGGACAGATCAATGAGACAGAAAATTAACAAGGATATTCAGGACTTGAACTCAGCTCTGGACCAAGCACACCTAATAGACATCAACAGAACTCTACACCCCAAATCAACAGAATATACATTCTTCTCAGCATCACACAGCACTTATTCTGAAATAGACCACATAATTGGAAGTAAAACACTCCTCAGCAAATGGAAAAGAACGGAAATCATAACAAACAGTCTCTCAGACCACAGTGCAATCAAATTAGAGCTCAGAATTAAGAAAGTCACTGAAAACCACACAACTACATAGAAACTGAACAACCTGCTTCTGAATGACTACTGAGTAAATAACAAAATTAAGGCAGAAATAAATAAGTTCTTTGAAACCAAAGAGAACAAAGACACAATGTACCAGAATCTCTGGGACACAGCTAAAGCAGTGTTTACAGGAAAATTTATAGCACTAAATGCCCACAGGAGAAAGTGGGAAATATCTAAAATCAACATCCTAACATCTCAATTTAAAGAACTGGAGAAGCAAGAGCAAACAAATTCAAACGCTAGCATGAGACAAGAAATAACTAAGATCAGAGCAGAACTGAAGGAGATAGAGACATGAAAAATCCTTCAAAAAAATGAATGAATCCAGGAGCTGGTTTTTTGAAAAAATTAACAAAATACATAGACCGCTAGCCAGACTAATAAGTAAGAAAAGAGAGAAGAATCAAATAGACACAATAAAAAATGATAAAGGGGAGATCACCACTGATCACACAGAAATACAAATCCCATCAGAGAATACTATAAACACCTCTACACAAGTAAACTGGAAAATCTAGAATAAATGGATAAATTCCTGGACACACACACCCTCCCAAGACTAAACCAGGAAGAAGTCGAATTTCTGAATAGATCAATAACAAGCTCTGAAATTGAGGCAGTGATTAATAGCCTACCAACCCAAAAAAATGCCCATGACCAGGCGGATTCACAGCCAAATTCTAACAGAGGTACAAAGAGGAGCTGGCAGCATTCCTTCTAAAACTATTCCAAACAATAGAAAAACAGGGACTCCTCCCTAACTCATTGTATGAGGCCAGCATCATCCTGATACCAAAACCTGGCAGAAACAAAACAAAAAGAGAAAATTTCAGGCTAATATCCCTGATAAACATTGATACGAATTTCCTCAATAAAATACTGGCAAACCAAATCCAGCAGCACGTTAAAAAGCTTATCCACCACGATCAAGTTGGCTTCATCCCTGGGATGCAAGGCTGGTTCAACATATGCAAATCAATAAATGTAATCCATCACATAAACAAAACCAATGACAAAAACCAAATGATTATCTCAGTAGATGCAGAAAAGGCCTTCGATAAAATTCAACACCCCTTCATGCTAAAAACTCTCAATAACCTAGGTATTGATGGAACATATCTCAAAATAATAAGATCTATTTCTGACAAACCGACAGCCAATATTATATTGAATGGGCAAAAGCTGGAAGCATTCCCTTTGAAAACCAACACAAGACAAGGATGCCCTCTCTCACCACTCCTATTCATCATAGTATTGGAAGTTCTTGCCAGGGCAATCAGGCAAGAGACAGAAATAAAGTGTATTCAAATAGGAAGAGAGGAAATCAAATTATCTCTGTTTGCAGATGACATGATTGTATATTTAGAAAACCCCATCATCTCAGCCCGAAATCTCCTGAAGCTGATAAGAAACTTCAGCAAAGTCTCAGGACACAAAATCAATGGCAAAAATCACAAGCATTCCTATACACCAATAATAGACAGATAGTCAAATCATGAGTGAACTCCCATTCACATGCTACATAGAGAATAAAATACCTAGAAATACAACTTACAAGGCATGTGAAGGACCTCTTCAAGGAGAACTACAAACCACTGCTCAAGGAAATAAGAGAGTACACAAACAAATGAAAAAACCTTCCATGCTGATGCATAGGAAGAATCAATATCGTGAAAATGGCCATACTGCCAAAGGTAATTTATAGATTCAATGCTATTCCCATCAAGCTACCATTGACTTTCTTCACAGAATTGGAAAAAAACTACTTTAAATTTCATATGGAAGCAAAAAAGAGCCCATATAGCCAAGACAATTCTAAGCAAAAGGAACAAAGCTGAAGGCTTCACACTACCTGACTTCAAACTATACTACAAGGCTACAGTAGTACTGGTACCAAAACAGAGATATAGACCAATAGAACAGAACAGAGGCCTCAGAAATAACACCACACATATACAACCATCTGATCTTTGACAAACCTGACAAAAACAAGCAATGGGGAAAGGATTCCCTATTTAATAAATGGTGTTGGGAAAACAGGCTAGCCATATGCAGAAAACTGAAACTGGACCCCTTCCTTACACCTTATATAAAAATTAACGCAAGATGGATTAAAGATTTAAATATAAGACCTAAAACCATAAAAACCCTAGAAGAAAACCAAGGCAATACCATGCAGGACATAGGCACGGGCAAAGACTTCATGACTAAAACACCGAAAGCAATGGCAACAAAAGCCAAAATAGACAAATGGGATCTAATTAAACTAAAGAGCTTCTGCAAAGCAAAAGAAACTATCATCAGAGTGAACAGGCAACCTACAGAATGGGAGAAAATATTTGCAATCTATCCATCTGATAAAGGGCTAGTATCCAGAATCTACAAGGAACATAAACAAATTTACAAGAAAAAAAAAAACCCATCAAAAAGTGGTGAAGGATATGAACAGACACTTTTCAAAAGAAGACATCTGGCCAGGCACAGTGGCTCACACCTTTAATCCCAACATTTTAGGAGGCTGAGGCAGGCAGATCACAAGGTCAGGAGTTCAAGACCTCCATGGCCAATGTAGGGAAACACTGTCTCTACTAAAAATACAAAAATTAGCTGGGCGTGGTGGCAGGCACCTGTAATCCCAGCTACTCAGGAAGCTGAGGCAGGAGATCACTTGAAACTGGAAGGTGGAGGTTGCAGTGAGCTGAGATTGCGCCACTGCACTCTAGCCTAGGCAAAAGAGCAAAACTCCATCTCAAAAAAAAAAAAAAAAAAAAGAAAAGAAAAAAAGAAGACATTTATGCAGCCAACAAACATATGAAAAAAAACTCATCATCACTGGTCATTAGAGAAATGCAAATCAAAACCACAATGAGATACAATCTCATGCCAGTTAGAATGGCAATCATTAAAAAGTCAGGAAACAACAGATGCTGGAGAGGATGTAGAGAAATAGGAATGCTTTTACACTTCAATCATTGTGGAAGACAGTGTGGCAATTCTCAAGGATCTAGAACTAGAAATACCATTTGACCCAGCAATCCCATTACTGGGTATATACCCCAAGGATTATAAATCATTCTACTATAAAGACACATGCACATGTATGTTTATTGAAGCACTATTCACAATAGCAAAGACTTGGAACCAACCCAAACGTCCATCAATGTTAGACTGGATAAAGAAAATGTGGCATGTATAGGCCAGGCATGGTGGCTCACGCCTGTAATCCCAGCACTTTGGGAGGCCGAGAGGGGCAGATCATCTGAGGTTGGGAGTTTGAGATTAGCCTGACCAACATGAAGAAACCCCGTCTCTACTAAAAATACAAAAAATTAGCTGGGCTTGGTGGCACATGCCTATAATTCCAGCTACTCGGGAGGCTGAGACAGGAGAATCACTTGAACCCGGGAGGCAGAGGTTGTGGTGAGCCAAGATTGTGCTGTTACACTCCAGCCTGGGCAACAAGAGCGCAACTCTGTCTCAAAAAAAGAAAAAAGAAAGAAAGAAAGAAAATGTGGCACGTACACTCCACGGAATACTATGCAGCCATAAAAAAGAATGAGTTTGTGTCCTTTGCCGGGATATGAGTGAAGCTGGAAACCATCATTCTCAGCAAACTAACACAGGAACGGAAAACCAAACACCACATGTTCTCACTGATAAGTGGGAGTTGAACAATGAGAACATATAGGCACAGGGAGGGGAACATCACACACCAGGGCCTGTTGGGGGGTGGGGGGCTACGGGAGGGATAGCATTAGGAGAAATACCTAATGTAGATCATGGGTTGATGGGTGCAGCAAACCACCGTGGCACATGTATACCTATGTAACAAAACTGCATGTTCTGCACATGTAACCCAGAACTTAAAATATAATAATAATAAATAATAAATAACGAGATGGTTTACTTTGGACTTTCAGGAAGCAAACACAATGGCAGGAAAAAATAGCTTTTTTAGAAATATCATAAAGACAACTTTTCAAGTTTTATGATCATTTAAATTTAAGTTTCTAAAAGTGCTTTGACAATGATAGGTGTCCATGTAAAAATGTATTAATGTTATACTAAATATCAGTTTACAATTTTAGAAGAGCTATATATTTTAGAAAACATCCCATACAAGACATAAAAATTTATAATGTAAAATGTAAAAAAAAAAAAAAAAAGAAAGCTACTGCCATATTTATGGTGTAAAATAAACTTTCCTTCCAGAAGTAAAGAAATTATTTTGCTACCTGATTGGTAGCTGGGTAATGGTTGGTTAAACATGTCTGTGCTTGGTAACTTTTTACTTTGTTTAGAAGACTGAATGGTGACAATACTGTACTCATTTTGAAAATATACCTGTTGAAATCAGGCCAAGCGCTAGGCCTCGGCGATCGTCAAAATACTGGCACGTAATGGTCACTGTTGCAGTGTATAATAAACCACATCCAAGACCTAAGCATGAGAAGACATTGCATAAATTAAGACGCTGCATTACTTCAATGCAAGAGAAAAAAGGAAAAACAAGTATGTCCGATAAGACATTCCATTACTCACTGGCTAAAACTGTTACAAGTACAGACTCCTAGATTCCTTCCATGTGTGTAGCCCCAATAGACACCATTGGGCAGCCTCATTTTTCACCCCACACCCACCTTAAGATCAGGGTCAAGTAAAAAAGTATCCAATTTCTAAAGCATGAATGAATAACGCCAATGTAAATTAAGAGATTATGGAGAAAGAAGGAAAATGGCTAAATTCACATACCAAATAGCAAATTTGATCAAGTTTGCCCCTTAGAGATCTATGCCTCTTCCAAGTCCTTGCCCCCAGCTCAGTGTTCTTCCTCTTCTAAGTCCTCTAAACAACTTTTTAAAATACACTTGATCACTCAAAGCTATTTTGTCAGAGTTTAGCCTGCACAAGCCAGTCTGCAATATGAAGGCCCTGTGGGGTTCTCATATCATCTCACACAGTGAAATTTGTATCTGTAAGTCTTCATCTTTTAGAGGTGCATATTACCTTATTTAGAAGTAAAATGTAGTAATGTCTTTACTTTAAAATACTTTCACCAAAAAAAGGAAGCACATACAACAAAATACTGACAACTATTGGTGAGCATATGGTTGTTTGCTATACTATTCTCCACTTTTCTGTAAATTTGAAATTATTTTATAATTAACAACAAAAAAAAGTTACAACTAAATTTCTCTTCCTGAATCCTAAGGGTAATATTTATCTCCAGATCATCTCCAAGGCTCTCGTTTGTTAGCTTAATATTTTCTTCCCTTTTAAGAATCTGACAACCCCAGTTTGTTTTTCATATAATTCTCCGTTGGCCCTCAGTCATTTACTTTATGCTTTTCTTCCACAACATTATCTGTTCTTGAGGATCACTCTAAAACAACAAATAAGCCATAGTCTAATAACTGAATTTTAACTATGGCCTATTATGTGAATTATTAAGGCCATTTTCCTTACTTAAAATAGCTACCTGGACTATGATTTAAAAGAATACATGAGTTTAACAAATACACTGCATAAACATTTTAGGAAATCAGCACTTAACCCATGACTCAGATGATTATCCATAATTGCACACAGAGTCTTATTAATGAAATGAGAGAGATTAAAACAACTAGACTTTAACCCTTTAAAAATAGAGTGCCCTTTTATGTCATTTATGGGGAAAAAAATACTCTCAAAATCTAAGACATGAGTTGGATTAATTTATATAGTTGTCATTACTACACAGAGGACACTTCAAAACATGAAATAAGAACTGTTTCTAACCAATCAATTTTGTGAAGCCAAAAAGTGTCACCCTTAACTAAGACTATTTCTGAAAGCCTTTGGAGGCGGTTTTATTGTAAATAATGCAAAGTTACATGCTTTCCGTGATTTCGTTGTCAGAGCTGTGTCAAAGGTTAAGCATTCAAGACATGAAAAAAAGACATTTCAGGTTACTAAATGTCAATGCCAAAAAAGTTGAAACAGCAACTTTTAAACTTTAAATCTTATACTAAAATGAATTTTTTAAAATGATTTAAAGGCCTTAGGGTTCAGATAAGATTACCTCACTTTTTTTTAATGTAGCAGAAATCTGAAACACATTTACTTTAAATTTGTCAGAAAGCAAAAGGTGAGGCCAGGCACGGTGGCTCATGCCTGTAATCCCAGCAGTTTGGGAGGCCGAGGTGGGAGGATCACTTGAGGTCAGGAGTTTGAGATGAGCCTGGCCAACATGGCGAAACCTCATCTCTACTAAGAATACAAAAAATTAGCCAGGCACACAATGGTGTGCACCTGTGGTCTCAGCTACTCAGGAGGCTGAGGCAAGAGAATCACTTGAACCCTGGAGGTGGAGGTTGCAGCAAGCTGAGATCGCGCCATTGCACTCCAGCCTAGGCAACAGAGCGAGACTCTGTCTCAAAAAAAAAAAAAAAAGAAAAGAAAGCAAAAGGTGGCATGATTCCTCTCTTCATCTGCATCAGGACAACCTTAAATCAGCAGTTGTTAAAGAGAAGTCTGTGTACCTATGGTCCCTAAGATCTTTCATGAAGTTAGTCAAGTCAAACCTATTTTTATAATAATACTAAGATGTTCTCTGCTTTTTTCACTATGTTCACATTTATGCTGATGGTGCAAAAGAGATGCTGAGTAAAACTGCAAAAAGCCTACCACAAACTAAGGTATTCCTAAGGAACTAGACACTTCATAGGCTTCACAACCACACCCTCACAGTAAAAACAAACACATTTGTTTTCAATGCTTCACCTGAATTACAATAATTGCTGCAAGTATAAGCACTTAAGTGATTGTTTTATAGCTAGCTGAAATAACCACTTTTAAAATATAACATCGTTTTATTTGAAACAGTGTCTGACAGACAAACTACAGTTATTTAACCTTGGGTGTCTGGCTGATATTTTCTTGTAAATGAACCAACGCTGGGAAACAACTGACAGTAATTGTTACCAATGATAAAATTCATATTTTCCAGCAAAAAAAAAAAAAAAAAACACACAGAATTTTGGAAAACTTGTATCTGTCACCATGCATTTGACAGCTTCCCAATTCATAAAGATTTCTAATGAGCTTTTTGGTAATATTAACCAAAGTGATGTTTTACAATGAAATGTGTTAATATTTTTAAGTTCTTGCATAACTCAGCAAATTGATATTTTTTGATATTTTTTGATAGCCAATGCATGAAGCTACAAAATTAAGTTTGAATAAAGATCTACTCAAAGCACAAAATAAACACATGGATTTACTATAACAGAGTATGAAAAGTATACTGATATGGTATCAGGTTCCTCATTGCAATTAATCCTTAGGAAACTATCACTTAACAAATTTCGGTAGAGGAATATCTATAATTACCTGAAAAGACTCTTAAACACTCTTCCCTTTTCTAATTACATCTTTGTATGAGACCAGATTTTCTTCATATACTTCAATCAAGAAGCATATTGTAACATATTGAGTACGGAAGTAGATAGGAGAATATAGCTGCCTTCTATGAAACCAGACATTAAAGAGATTTGCAAACATGTAAGACAATGGCACTCTTCTCACCAAATTTTGTTTTGCTTTGGAAAACAGAGTTATTTTTCATAATAGATATGATATTTACGTTAACATCTACTGGATTCGTTATCTTGAAATGAATAGCTAAACAAATATTTTTAAGTGTCTTATCTCTTAATACAGCACATTTTAATAGACTAAATCTAAGTATAATCCTCATAATCAAAAGTTTCCAGGTGTTCTAAATAGAAGAATGTAAAGGGTTCCAAGATTAAACAGTTTGGAAACCACTGCCTTAAAGCATTCCTTGGCCTCCAACCAGTTTGGATCAGACCCCTACCAGTGAAAAAATTCTGTGTACCAACCTCCAGTAAAAGAATAACAATTTTAAAATTAAATACTTGTACTACTGACCATTCACAGCATCAGTATTAGTAAGGCATAGTTGTTTCCCTTTCTTTAAATGGTAAAAACTAAATATATTTACATGTTGTAACATTTCTTTTCCACACTTTACCTTCCATTTCACACACTGGAGACACAACTTCAGAGGCCTCTTTCCCCTCACCTCCTCTCATCAAACCAGACATCAAGCTCTTTATCACACCCACGGCCTAAATTATCAACCTCACTCTCTCTCTGCACTAACACTGCCTCAGTTCACCTCCTCATCTTTTTTTTTTAATCTCATCTAAAGCCTCCTAATAGCTGTCTCAGCCTTCAGTACTTTTCCCACCAATCTGTCTTCTAAACTGTTGTCATATAGTTCTCATCATGTCATACTACTGCAATAAAGACCTCATTAAACTGTTAGCATCTGGCCTCTGTTACATACCATGCTTTGACATATTTGCAACTCCTCACACCATCTGTGCATTCCTTAACAAACACGTATAAAAAGACTGCTGTTTATCCATTCTATCTTGCGCCTCTGAGTACTTAGGCTACTGAAATGTCCTCCTCACACCATCCCCACTCCCCTTCCAACCGTATCCACTTGAACCACTTCCTGCCTGTTTTTCAAGACTTAGCGCAAGCATAAATTAAGCATGAAGCCTCCACCCTCTCTCCCCAGCACACACACATACATTGGCTTCCTTTCATCATTGCACTTATTGTGCTGTGCTACAAGTTATATATTTTCAAGTCTATTCCTCCAACTAGACAATTGGTTGTGCGACTTTGGCAAAGTCATTTAAACTCTCTAATTCCTAGTTTATTTATCTGTAAAACAATCTTGTAAGATAGTTGTAAAAATTAAGAGACATAAAAAATGTAAATATGTAGTTTCTGTCCCTATGCTATCATGAGTACAAAAAAAATCCATTATATTGGTATACTTTTTTCATTTTTCACCTGAGTATTATGGCATTATGTAGATACTGCCTCAGACTACATTAAAAAATCATAGTACCTTATTACACCTGCATATCCATGACAGTTAAAAATTATCTTCAATTATATAACAATTTTGAAAGGGGGGGCTTATAAATCTCTATTTCTACTAAAGCAAATATACAGGAAATGCTCTTTATCTCATTTGGCAGAATTACAGTAAGAGAATCAGACTGTCTACAAACATGTTCTTTTCCCTCCCCACTCTCAGTGGACTACGCAGGTATTACCAAAGAAAGGGCAGTGGTGGGAGGTGAGGGGAAGAAAATGGAATTCTTCCAAAAATCAGGAAGGGAATAATAAGAAAACCATAATCAGCTAGCTAAATAACAATATATTCTAAAGAAAAGAGAATACAAGGAATTGGTTTTGAGTTGTGCTTTTCAGAAAAGCAAAGAGAAATTATTAGAAAGAGGCTTGAGCAAATCATTACAGGCACATTCCCTGCACCACCACCTCCTACCCACCTAATTTTCATCTCTCACTGTATTGCCTTTTGCCTGATTTAGAAAATTTATTGAGAAAACAGGAGACTCAATTCCCAGATTTGGCTGTGTGGCTTACAATCACTTGCCAATACATAAAGATTTCTAATGAGCTTGTTGGCAGTATTAACCAAAGTGATGTTTTACAATGAAATGTGTTAACATTTTTAAGTTCTTGCATAACTCAGCAAACCAATATTTTTCAAATAGAGAATGCATGATGCTACAAAATCAGGTTTGAATGAAGATCTATTTAAAGTACAGAATAAACAGAGGCCAGGTACAGTGGCTCACGCCTATAATCCCAGCACTTTGGGAGCCCAAGACCACGGATCACCTGAGGTCAGGAGCTCAAGACCAGCCTGGCCAACATGGCAAAACCCTATCTCCACTAAAAATACAAAAATGAGTCAAGCGTGGTGGCTTGCTCCTGTAGTCCCAGCTTACTCGGGAGGCTGAGGCAGGAGAATCGCTTGAACCCATGAGGCGGAGGTTGCAGTGAGACTCCGTCTCGAAAGAAAAAAAAAAAAGTACAGAATAAACAAATGGATTTACCGTAACAGAGTACAAATCTATACTGATATGGTATCAAGTTCCTCATTGCAATTAATCCTGCAATCTGACAAGTTGGTACAGGTTTTCATTTGAGCTACAAAAACCTAACAAAACAACATCATGTTTTCAAATTGTTAGTTTTGGAAAAAAATCAATTAAATGGTAAAACAGAATTATATCATTTAACACACTTTAGTATTCTTTTGACATTTTAGCTTGTAATATCCCATATAACTTTAATTTCTTTTCTTGTATTTTTAAACCTCTTACACAAATATTTCTGATTCAATAGAGCTTCTTCAGTAGCCAAAAACTACTGCTGTATGGGTCAGAAAGGAATTTAAGGAGAAAGGAACAAATATGTATTAAACATCTCTGTATGCCTCTTTATAAACATTATCTCATGAATAGTCACAATACCTCCATGAACTCATATCAGTGCCATTTTATAAAAAATAAAAAAGGAAGCTCAGAGAGGCTGAATAATTTTTCAGGTCATAAAACAAATGATAATGGTTTATGCTAGCTAGCATTCATTGCACTATGTCACCCATCTTCACAAACTCCTATAAGACGGGTGCTATTATGATGCTCAGTTTACAAATGAGAACACAGAAGTTACAAAACATGTTTACAGTCACACAGCTGGCAAGTGGATAAAAGAAGGTTAACCCACATGGTCTAACCCCAGAGCCTGCCTGCTAGTCAGTGTCTGATCTTTCCCTTGGTCACACTGTCTAGCTAAAGAGGCCATCTAGCTCATTCCAGACAAATGAAAGTCCTTAGGATATGATTCTGCACAGAATTGCATCTTACAAATGTTACCATTAGACTGAACCGTTCTTATTTTTCTAAAGAGCTCATGATACAGGAATGAGATTTTAGACTGTGTAATAATTTCCTGTCACTTTTTTTTTCAATTTGATACTCTACTTCAAATGGTAACAGAATGAAAGTGCCAGTGTTCATTATTATCCCATTTATTTATCCCACAAACATTCCATGAGCCCTATACTATGAGCCTACTGATGAAATAAAACTGTGAAGAAATCAACCATGGTGGTAAATATTAATAATTTGCCAGCAAGCAGTAACTCACAGGTCCCCAATAATTACGGTGGTGAGAGATATTTTTATTAATTGAAATCTAACTCAACTCTTTATTTTATTGTTATCTTGCTTGACATCATTTAGTCCTCACAAGACCCATACGAGGTAGGTTTCTTAGCCTGCCTTCACAGATGAGGGAGGGTACAGTCATTTGTGGAGATGAAGGAGCTTGCTCAAACTCACAGAACCTGTGTCTGCTGACCTGAAGTCCAGTGCTCTCTCCATGAGCTGACAGTTTCCTCTCAGTCACTGAGAATCAGAACCTATTGCCAAATCAGAGCTATGTACATCCTCAGACCTGAGCCTGTTTTCTGACCCAGAATCCACTAAATGAAGGAAAGGCCAGGACTCTAGGAGGAAGGACACTGCAACAAACATGATGACAAGTTGGTATATATGGAATGATAACGTGAGTCTTTCCCCAGAGAGAACTATGCCATCTATTTAAGTAACTGTACACTGAGGAAAGTGAAATACATTTTGAACATTGTTGTTAGAGACACGAAGAGTTTGCATGGCTTCCCCTTAGAGTGGGCTTACATGGGCACGTAATATATGGGATTATGCCCCAACTGCCCAGCCAATGGTCCTTTCCCCAGTCCCTGATATTTAATTATAGCACATATACACAACAGCTGATAGAACTCCCTACATTGTTCTTTGGTCCCTTGGACAAAGCAATAAGAGGTATCATTCCCTACAACGCCATCATAGTGAGGAAAACCAAGTGAAAGCCCTGTAACTCCACCATCAGCGACAATAGCCATAAGTGTAAGCCTAAGCCAATATCAAATCCCATATAAATGGACTACTGAGTGTCAGACTGAGCATCTCTAAGTATCAAACGAAGTCTCCTAGCTTTGCTAATTTAGTTAGTAATATTTTTACTTCTCTGAGCTTCACTTTCCCTCTCTGTAAAATGGGTTCTTGTGAAGAGGAAATGAGATCATATAAAGCATTTAGCACAGTCCCTAGCATATGATAAGTACACAGTGAATATTAGTTGCTACATTTTCTATTATTTATTATTGGAGAAATATTTCCAGGCAGAAAAAAGGAATATTGGTAGTCAATAAAATTAGCTCCTTTCAGGCATTAAGAAGAAACTTGAAAGCTGGAGGCCATCTTTTTCTAAGTCCCTACCAACAGTCCCTAGAAATACCAAGTTTGGTGATTTTTAACACTGAACCCAATTAGTGTAATGACATGACAAGGATATCTTCCCAAATTTTCAGTACTCTAAGGCCCTGCGCCTCCTATGCTTTCCTCCCCTGTAACCAGCATCATCCCACCACTCAGCTTTCTTCACTCATGTCTTATCTCTAAAAAAAATAGTAATACATGCTTTCAAATCTACTTTTTACTTGTGCTGTGGCTTTTCACTTGGGTTCACAGCAACAGATGCTATGGAATGCAAACAGCTGTTTGTGAACACAAACAGCTTCAAAGAATCATGCTTGACTGCCCAATAGGAAAAGGGCCACTTCATAATTTAGTGAGAAGTGACAGATGTCAATAACATCCAAGTTTTATGTTCCCCTCTCACTTTTCCCATATGTGCTATAGAGAGACAAGGGCTGAGATGAAAAACTTCCCTGTGCCTTGCAAGGAGACAGAGTATGGATTGTTTGTTCTTTCAAACATTTTGATTCACTGGGCAGGTTTTTTTCACTAAAGCAACAGTTTTTGGAGAAGTGGTTATTGAAAGTAAATTATTAGTGAGCATTTTCACTCCTTTACATTAACTGGATCATAAACCTGGCACTGGTGAAATGATGTGTATCTCTTGAAGGTTAGGAAAGTCATAGTGACGAGGTTCCTTACCTACAACAATGCCATAGGAAAAAAACAGAAAGTAGATATTGGGAGCAAAACTGCTCAACATCAGGCCTCCAGCCACCATGAAGCCACTGAAGATTGTGACAGGTCTTGCTCCAAAAGATGAGACACAGAGACTGCAGACAGGACCTAAAAAAAGAAATGAAACCTTCACTTATTATCATATGATCCATCCATCATAAGTTCAAAATGATTCTTTCCACCATAAAACAACAAAAATAAAATGCACTGAGTATTTATGATATGCAGACACTATATGAGGCAGTTCACATGAACAATCTCATCTCATTTTAATCTTACTGCAGCCCTGGGAGGTGTATACTATTGTTAGTCCCATTCTTTTTGATAATGAAATTAAAGGATGATATTATCACATAGGTAAAATGGAGGTTCTGGAGTCAGATTTTATTCAAATTCTAGCCCTACTACTTGGTAGCTATTCGGTCTTGGGCAACTTATTTGATCATTCTGTGCCTTAGTTTCCTCATCTGAAAATGGGAATTATAATAGTACCCACCTGACCGTGTTACTGTGCCCTGTTGACTGAGAGGCAAAAGTGACCATCACCTGGAATTGTTCTACATGTAAGTGGGCAACAGCTCATGTAACAGAATTTAAGTGATAGTGAAATTCTTTCCTACTAGGACTGTACTCAGAAGTACAGAACTTAATGTACTAGAAATAAAAGGACGTTAAGGGTTATTTAGCCCAACAGTCTCATTTAACATGGAAGGAAACTGAAGCTCAAATAAGCTGTTCAAGTCAATGGTAGAAGAAAGACCAAGGATTTGAAAGCAAAGAGAAGTATATCTGAATTGAGTTGACAACCTTTCAAGTTGATCTCCAATTTTCAAAAACCACACCTACCAGAATGGCTAAAGACAGACAATACTGTTAGCAAGAAAGCGGTAGGAACAGAATTCTCACACACTGCTGGCAGTGTTTACTAAAGCCGAACACAGCACGCTGTAAAACCCAGAAGTTTCAATTCTATGTGGAATTCAATTCCACATAAACACCTAGAGTTATATACATAATTATATGGCAGTGAAAATGATCTACAACTACACACATTAAGGGTGTATCACACAAACACAATGTAAATGAAAGACACAATGTAAATGAAAGACACCCAACATAAAAAGTACAACCCATATACTTTCAATTATAAAAACTACAGAAACAAGCAAAACTAATCTGTGTTAGAAGTCAGGATACTGGCTATCTTTAGTAGGGGCTGGGGAGTTATAATCAGAAGAGCGCAAAGCCAAACTTGCGGGGTATTGCTCATGTTCTTGTTCTTGGCATGAATGTAATGATTATATGAGTGTATTCAGTTCATGAGCATTCATCAAGCTATACTGTCATGATACATACACTTTTCTGTATGTATGTGTCTTTTACCACTTTTTGAAGCAACCTCAGAGAAACAATGGAATCCATCATGGTCTCACTGTTTGTAAATGACAGAGGTAGGTTCCAATAACCCATGCACTATGCTCTTACATTCTTCCCAATACCAGAGAACTTCTTATACACATATTTAAGACCAGTTTATGGCCCCTGAGATACACTGAGATCATAGCTCCTGGTGCTTAAGGCTCTCCCACATTCCTTCCTGGCCATAAATTGGACCCTCCCATTTTCAGGCCCTCTTGTGTGAGTCAGCGCAGAAGAGGAGACTGATACATTTGCATGACAAATAGAGGGAAATATTCTGTGCCAGTATTTTAAAAGGAAAATCCATTTGAAAGACCAAATTTATCATCCAATAGTTGGGCTGTCTGTACACCCAATGAGAAATACTTAGATACTTCAAAAATAGAAACAGTTTTAAGAGTCTAATTTTACAAATGAATGTCTGACAGCATAAGGCATGACCCTTCTCTGTTGTTACCAAACTACATTGACATTGAGTTTCAGTGTTCACAAATTTTACAACACATTGGAATTGAAACACACAGAGATTATTCCTGGCATACTTGAAAAGTTTCAAGTTTCATCCTCAAAATAGGACTTTATGCTCTTTAATGCATGCTAATTCCATGAGGAAGCCTCAGAGCCTGGGAGTGTGGGGGCAAGATGGAGGAGTAATAATTTTCATAACATGTACAACCAAAGCCACTGCTGTATGAAATATACAGCATTGTTATCAACTATGTGATAAATTCTTAAGTCACTTTTTTTGCCTAACAAATGATTTTTTTTGAAGAACAATTTAAGCATTAGGAAAAAATGAACAGAAATTCTCTTACAGTGGAAACAGCAAATGGAAACAGGGTTTAAAATTCTCTACTTTCACATTGCCATCTGCTGCTGATTTAGAGAAATATATCATTAGGTCAGAGATTAAAGACAAAAAATTTTAGAGCTGAAATTTTGGAAGTTGAAAACGGTCTAAACACCTCAATTTAAAAATGGTGAAACTGGAACTCAGAAAGATCATGTGATTTGACCAAGAGTCCATAGCTAGCCAATGACAGGTCTAAGGCCAAAGTCAGACCAGCATTCTCCCTGATTGAGAAATAGTTCAATTGGGATCTTAATTTTTTCCTAGAAATCAAATTACTAGTAAAGAACATCAAGGTACTGTTAGAGTAGGTAGTTAGGCAGACATGAGCAGGGCAGGAGAGCCCTCGCCTCACCCAGGAATTTCCAGTAACCATCAGGTGATGGTCAGATGTTTATTAAACTGTTTTTCTGAAATGATAATTGGCCACAGCCAACACCAGGGGAAGAGAGTCTCCCAGTAGACAGAAAACACCTGGAGCTGGTGATCAGCAGCTTCCCAATAAGATCTCAGGAGTTGGACAAGTGGACTCTGGCATGCTCACTAAGAGGCAAAATGGTGGATGTACGACCTTCCTCTGGGGGCATTTGACTGGTAAAGGAAAACTGCCCCTACGGAGCATGAGCACAGCCTCAGTAAACACACTATGCACGTGGTCACCCTCCCAAATGACCAACACTGCCTATGCAGCAGTTGAGCAACAGCCAACCATAAGGAAAGAATCAAGAGAGAAGGAAAAACCCCAGAACCATGCCAACTTGTAAAACCCCAAGTCAAGGACTGAATGGGGCACCTGAATCTCTCAAGTTGCCCACATGGCCCTCTTCCAAGTGTAAATACTTCCTTTCACTCCTGCTCTAAAATTTTTTAATAAACTCTCACTCCGGCTCTAAAACTTGCCTTGGTCTCTTTCTCTGCTTTAAACCCACTTCTGCCCCCTGGCGGAATTCTTTCCTCCAAGGAAGCAAGGATCAAGTCTGATGCAGACCTGTATGGATTCACCACTGGTAATGGTACTTTTGTTAATGTCTTATAGATAACATAGCTTTATGAACTTATGTTAGATGAAAACATAAAATTTATAATCACTTGGTGTTCAATAGTTTAGAGCAAAATTATTTTACCCTTATCCTTAGAACCTGGGTTTATTTATAGATTCTATTCACATAGATTTAAAACACAATAGCCTCATATTTCAGCAATAACAAGACAAAATGTATCAAAGTGACCATCAAGTCACATCTGCAAAATGTGATATATTTATGTATTTAGCTCTTTGTAGTAACTGTGCAAGGCCTCAAGATGATAAACCATCTATTATTCCTCAGCACTGGATGAGTTTCAAGAGACAGATTAAATCAAAGGGCTACTTTCAGGAGATTTCTTACAATGCAAAGTGAAAACTCTGCAGAAGGGAACTTTGGAACAAAAGTTAGTTTACCTGTGACATGAACCAGTGATTCCACACCTTTGAACCTGAACAATTTTAGGGAAAAAAGGGGGGGAAAAAGGGGCAAGGGTTCCTAATGTTTTATTTTCACAAGATACTTTAAAAATATAATAACTGGCCAGGCATGGTGGCTCAAGCCTGTAATCCCAGCACTTTGTGAGGCCAAGGCAGGTGGAACACCTGAGGTCAGGAGTTCAAGACCAGGTTGGCCAACATGGCGAAACCCTGCCTCTACTAAAAATACAAAAATTAGCCAGGTGTGATGACACATGCCTGTAATCCCAGCTACTCGGTAGGCTGAGGCAGGAGAATTGCATGAACCGGGAAGGTGGAGGTTGCAGTGAGCTGGGATCACGCCACTGTGCTCCAGCCTGGGCAATGAGCAAAACTCTTGTCTCAAAAAAAAAAAAAAAAAAAGTAATAACCATCTATTATTACTACTGCTTAATTAGAGAAGAAGAAATGTTTAAATAAGCTAATAGTGAGAAGGATGTAATTTTGGAATAAAATGCAAGACAGTAAGAAGATAATAGGAACTTCACACACACACACACACTCATACATTTCCTCTATCATTGCCTTTATATTCATTTTGCCTTTGGTGAAAGTTTTTCCCGAACTTACCACTGCCTGCATATTAGTGTTCAAGAGCCAATATTATTGTTGTCAGTATTGGTGTTTAGAAGCCACTATTGCCTCAGCCTCCCAAGTTACCACCACTCCTGGCTAATTAAAAAAAAAAAAATTATAGAGACAGGGTCTCATTATGTTGCCCAGACTGGTCTTAAACTCCTGGTCTCAAGTGATCCTCCTGCCTCAGCCTCCCAAAGCTCTAAGTATTATAGGCATGAGCCACTACACCCAGCGCAGTGTGTATTTATTATACCTATAGCTCATCTAAACTGGAATAAGCCACATTTCAGGTGCCCAGTAGCCACATGTGCCCACCCTACTGGACAGCACAGTACTAGAATCTCATATCATGTTAGAAAAGGACACAGAGAAATCAAACACAATCCAGGACTCAGACAAGAGGCAAAACAAACTCGCATCAAGGTTTAAAATAAAACCCAAGGCCAAAAGCACCAAAAGAAAGGTTCAGACGGCTTGTTTGGGGATTTCATAAGAGGAAGAAAAACCAAGGCCACAGAACTAAGCCTTGAACTAGGCTGCGAAGTATGGTTATGTCAACAAAAGGGATGAACATCTATTCTAAATGGAGGGAACAGAAACATAACGTGATTTTTCAGTTTTTAATTTATTATAGGATAGTTTTGGGAATGAAATTATTCCCTTTAGGAAATAAACTCAACCTCCACGCACTTTTTTTTTTAAGTTTAGCTACTTTTATTATTATTTTTTTAATTTATTATTATTATACTTTAAGTTTTAGGGTACATGTGCACAATGTGCAGGTTAGTTACATATGTATACATGTGCCATGCTGGTGCGCTGCACCCACTAACTCGCCCTCTAGCATTAGGTATATCTCCCAATGCTATCCCTCCCCCCTCCCCCCACCCCACAACAGTCCCCAGAGTGTGATGTTCCCCTTCCTGTGTCACACTTCTTTTTCCTAAAAAGTTTCAGAGAGTCCCAGGAGTAGAAGGATGGCCAGGTCTGCTGCAGTGAATACATAAGTTGGCTGATGCTACAGTGAGAAACAGAATATAGTAGTAACCAGGTTATGGACCTGCCATGCAGCAAGGATTTCCTAACAGAGTGGATCAGTTGGGCCTGTGAAGGTCCTACCTTTCCATCTAAAATTCAGGGAGCCCAAGGTGTGAGCTCCTCCAAATTGCAGGTTCCTCAATCCTTGCTCCAGCAAAGACTGTAAATCTCAAGTTCATCTCCTTGAGAAAGAAAAAGGCACTAAGGAGCCACACCCACTCAAATTGTTGATCTCATATACCCTGACTGCCTTTCATTTTAGTGGGTTTGGTGGTATTTAGAGATGGCAGAAAGCTTAACCAAAACCTGGTCTTTATTCCTACCAATCTTTTTTTTTTCTTTTTCTTTTTCTTTTTTTTGAGACGGAGTCTCGCTCTGTCGCCCAGGCCGGACTGCGGACTGCAGTGGCGCAATCTCGGCTCACTGCAAGCTCCGCTTCCCGGGTTCACGCCATTCTCCTGCCTCAGCCTCCCGAGTAGCTGGGACTACAGGCGCCCGCCACCGCGCCCGGCTAATTTTTTGTATTTTTAGTAGAGACGGGTTTTCACCTTGTTAGCCAGGATGGTCTCGATCTCCTGACCTCATGATCCACCCGCCTCGGCCTCCCAAAGTGCTGGGATTACAGGCGTGAGCCACCGCGCCCGGCCACCAATCTTAAAACTGCCTAGCACACTGGGAACCTGCCAATGCAACAGAATCCTTGAGAGAAGCAGGAATTCAGTACTCCTTGAAGGAGTTAACAGTGCTTAGGGGTAATGCCCAAACCCAGCTCTGCCAGCACTCATAACTCATTCAGCAAGTGGGCCTGGCCATACTGACTCATTATATTAACATGGTGATGCGTTTACTGACTCGTATTATGAGTTTGAACACCTTTGGAGGAAGTGAAGACAAAAGGGAGAGGGCAAGGACTCTCAAATCTGCTTTGAGTACAAAACTGCAGACTAGATCTCCGTGCTATTTCCTGCTGTTTCAGCACTTGGGTAGTGTGAGAAACAGAACCACCGTTTCCTTGAATTTGGAGAACAATATCTAGCCAAAGGGTGTGTTAGCTCATCTTAAAACAATGCAAGGCCATGATAGCTCTCTAGTTCAGTTACCTTCCATTCTTCCCATATCAGTCAAGTTTCAACCAGAAAAACAAAACCAGTAGGAAGCATATATTAAGACATTTGTTGCAAGGAATTGGCTTACACGTTTGAAACAACCATACTAGGCAGCCAGACAATACCTGCCTAGCTAACCAAGTCAAAAATTTGCAGAGGAGGCCATTAGGAAGGGCATGTTGGAACTCTCAGGGATAGGCTGCAGCTACAATTACAAGCAGAATTTCTTCTTTTGGGAAAGCTCATTTCTGCTCTTAAAGCCTTTCAACAATTGAGCCAAATCCATCTAGATTTTCTAGGATAAGCTACCTTATTTAAAGTTAAGTGACTATGCACTTTATTCACATCTACAAAATAACTTCCCAGCAACACCTAGATTGGTGTTTGAACAACTGGAGAATGTAACCTAGCCAAGTTGAAACATAAAACTGACCGTCACACCTCCCAACACAATCCCTCCTTTCCAGCCAAATTTACTCCATGAGAACACAGCCTCTGCAGTACCAAATCCAGGCCTCTGCATAAAGGTAATTTGCATGGACTTCCCTCTCCCTGTCTATCTGCCTATGAAAGTCCATCTTCCTATCTGGCCCATCTCAATAGCTTCCTCAAAGGCTATCCCTCTAAAACCTCAGAGATTGTTTTGCCATTGCTATTCTCCTTGATATTTGTGAATTCTCAAATTATTAGTTACCTTTTTTTTCTGTCTCTTCCCTGAGACTACAAACCTTTTAGAAACATGGATGGTGTTTTCTATATTGGCATCCCTAGCTCAGAGACCCTAGGAATATATGTAATGAGGATGAGCTCATTCACAATGTATAACCCAGGAGGGTAGGATCCTTCCTACCCAGCTTTATTCATCCCAGGGATTATCTGGACAAACAAAGAATTCAAGCAAGGGGAAGAAGTATTTTCTTCTCAATTATTTAAGTCTCAAGGAAAAGGAATTAGGAATTAAGATTATAAAGAGTATAAAGTCCAGAATTTCATGTCTTTTCACAGTTGTAATATGCTATTATGAGCTACTGTCCAAATCTAGGTTTGCCAAAGCCCAGGAGTAGGACTTTATGTTTCACATGCTTAGGCACAATCTTGGCAAGGTTCCAGCTCCCTCTGCCACCCATCCTTCCAAGAACTGTCTTCATCTTTCATCCTGAATGGTCCCTTTCTTTTGCAGGTTTTACAGACAATTTACTTTTCATAATTTACACGGCATGAGTAGTGCCACACACAAGAAGAAATCTACAATAGTTCTCTTTATTTTAAAAATGTCAAAGCAAATCATATATCAGAGAGTTATCAAAAAGTGAAAGATTAAAATTTAAATATAGAGGGCTTAAGCCAGTGGTAGTTCCTAACTAAAAATCACTTTGGGGACTTTAAAAAATTCATGAGGCCAGGCACAGTAGCTTATGCCTGTAATCCCAACACTTTGGGAGGCTGAGGCAGGAGAATCCCTTGAGCCCAGGAGTTTGAGACCAGCCTGGGCCACATGGTGAGACCTTGTTTCTACAAAAAATAAGAAAAAAATAGTTGGGCATGGTGGCATGCACCTGTAGTCCCAGCTACTCAAGAGGCTGAGTTGGGAGGATCACTTGAACCCGGGAGGTCGAGGTTGCAGTGAGCCAATATAGCACCACTGCACTCCAGCATGGGTGACAGAGCAAGACCCAATCTCAAATAATAATAATAATAACAATAATAATTCATGAATCTAGGCCCCATCATGGACCAAATGAATTAGACTGTCTGCGTGTCAAATCCACGCAATTATATGCTGAAATGGTCCCATAGATGATCCTAATTATCTCCCTGGCTAAGAACCACTGATAACCATTTGAGTCACCAACATGAAAATACTTATTCCACTTCCAAGGTACTAATGATCCACTTGTTTCTCTGTAGAGCAAAGTTGTCATAAAGCTGATGGTCAGTGTGACTTGCACACTGCCAGACACTGCTTGCTAATACTATATAAACACTGTTTCAGGGTTTGCATCTTAATTTATGCTATGAGGAACCCAAAGAGGATAACATCAAATACAATATGTTCAATGGAGCCAGCTATGCTGAAACTTGTACACAATATCTAAAGTATATATATATGTATATGTATATGTATATGTATATGATGTATATGTATATGTGTATGTGTATGTGTATGTATATGTATATGTATATGTATATGTATATGTATATGTATATGATGTATATGTATATGTGTATGTGTATGTGTATGTATATGTATATGTATATGATGTATATGTATATGTGTATGTGTATGTATATGTATATGTATATGTATATGTATATGTATATGATGTATATGTATATGTGTATGTGTATGTATATGTATATGATGTATATGTATATGTATATGTATATGTATATATATATGTATATGTATATGTATATGATGTATATGTATATGTATATGATGTATATGTATATGTATATGATGTATATGTATATGTATATGATGTATATGTATATGTATATGTATATGTATATATGATGTATATGTATATGTATATGATGTATATGTATATGTATATGTATATGTATATGTATATGTATATATACACACACGCAGGCGTAAGTTGTAGCTATTTAGCCATCCTTTTTTTTTCCCCACCACTTTTCATTCTTGAATTATTTGCCCTCATTTTTCTATGCTCATCTTTAAAAGCTTTGCTCACCAGGTGCAACTGCTTCCTCATCTAGCTAAAGGCAGTGGACCTAGAGAGGTTAAGTGACTTGCATAAGGTCACTCAGCTCAATGGTGGTAGAGCCAGGACTTGAATTAGCTTCTGACTCCACCCTCAAGCTCCTTCAAGTACTTGTTGTCTCCCAGAATTTTGATAAGATGCCCTAACTCTCTGGTCCCTACAAGCAGGGCTGGCTTGTTGGATTTGTGACTATGCAAGTTGCACAGGGCCCAGTGTTTAGAAGGATCCCACACTTGGTTTAGTGCTCTGCTGTCACTAAATTCTGTCACTAAATTTGCTCTGCTGTCACTAAATTTGCACTGGGGCCTGCAAATTATGTAGCCAGTTCTGCCTAAGAGTAAAGAGGGCTGCTCCTGGCTCTTGAGATGAGTTATCATCCACCTAGAAACTTGGAAAACGTGTAGAGCTGCAGTTGAATTGTCAAAAACAGTCAGCTTCAGCTCTGACCACCAATGCCCATCCTTAAGGAGATCTCCGCTTTCCTCAGCCCTCTACTCCAACCTGGACAGACTTGTGAAAAGAAGCTTCATTCTTCAAGTATGTGCTAATTGAGTCAGCATTTTAATTATCCTTTGACCCTTGCTGGAAGCCAAAGTAATTACATTTCTGTTTAACTTAGTATTTGCTAATAGAAATGGTGACTAATTAGAGAACATTAAAAAAATTATTTCCTCCCCACTACAGGTCTTATTTTAGAAATCAATACATTCAAATCACATTATTAACATATCAGTTATCATCCACTTGTACTTTGGTGGCTTTACAAACAATCCTTATTTTGAGAAACTATGAAACAAATCTAGGGCAAACGTTCCCTGTTTCCCTTGAGCTCATAATGGCTATATTATTTTTTTTTGTTTACTTATATTTAATCATCTTATCTGACATAGCAAGATGATCCTGCATTGTTTTTTAAGCCTTTTTTTCTTGTTTATAATTTAACAAGGTAATACAACAATTGGAGGCATTGCTTTTTTTGAAAGACATCCCCTTTACAATTCAGGAGAGAAGCATATTTAAAAGAAGGAATGACTAATGCATTTTTCATGAAACCATTTTAGAGCTGAAAAATACCTTACAAATCATATTTAATGTCCTTATTTTCCCCATAAGAATAGAGATTGTGATTTGCTCAATGAATAATGGTGAGTTCATAGCACACAGGAAGAGAGCCCAGGGCTACTGACCCTATCTAGATCACCATCTGTTGTGCTTAAATAGTTCCAAATATGTTGGAATAATGGTCACTAAATATTACTGCAGAGTTCAAACTATGACTCTAGAAGTTCAAGTGGCATATGATTTTAATGGTGAAAAGGAAAATAAAAAGTCTCTACTATTCTCTCTAAAGATGACAGGAATCACTATTACATCATATGTAACTGTTCATCAAGAATATCACTTTTGGAGACACACAAAATATATCACATATGTCTTATACATAACACTATATTAAAATCCTTAATGAGGATTTTAATTTTGTGATTGGATTGGATTGGATTTTGTGAGACTCTTTGCTATGTCAGCTTTTTCTTGGGAAGTTCTCATGACCACAGGACATGTGATTTGACCACAGTGTATCTGAAACAGAGAAGAGTAATCACAAGCCATGTAGAAGCTGCCTAGAAGGCTGCTGAGAGCCATTTTGTCCTTTGGTCCTTACCAATGTACCTTGAGCATACCTGGATCACTACCTTCATCTCCCTGACTCATTCTTACTCATATATGTGTGTATCTTACAAGACTATGAGCCTCTTAAGGGCAGGAACCATGTGTTTGCTGTTTATCTTTTCATTTCCAGCATCTAGTTCAATGCCCGGCACATCGTAGAAAATAAATGAATAAAGAAATGAATGAATTGATGGTTGATTTAACATCTTAGGGAGTGCCTGCATTTTCACACTGATTTATTACAGTGAAAGTACAATCATTGCAATGAAGGCAGGAAAAGATATGTTATACTTTGAAAAGAAAGCCCTCTCTGCCTTGCACAATGTTCATGATGTAGTAAATGTAATTAAATGATTAAAGAGTAAAGAGAGGCATTAATTTATCCACTTACTTGCAAGCAAGCCAACTCCACTTGCCAGGGATCCAACCCAGGCTGTTTTTCCTTTTCCTTCACCAAAGGCATCCAGCCATTCTATGTACAGGACTCCAACAGCTAGTGGGGATCCGTAACACAAAAACTGAGTAAGGAAGGAGACAAACACAATCACCCAGCCCCATCCACCGTCAGGCGACTTTTTAAGTTCCATTGTAAGACAAAATCAGGAGGCGTTTCTCTGCAGGTCCTAAACAAAAACAAACAGAAAAGAGAATCTTATTTAGAGTGTGGTAGGGCACAGCGCTTGGGGTAAAAATATCTCCTCCTAAAGTGAAAAAAAAAAAAGGTTCTCCAAAGACATACATGGAAAAGCATAAAATATCACTGACATAGCAAGTTAACAAATACATTTGCATTTATAATTTGAATAAATGATGTAGACACATGGTACAATTTTTTTTAATTATAAAAAGGCATAAAGTGAAATATAGCCTTCTCAACCTTGTCCACCTTCACCAGATTCCCACCCTGCTCAACCACAGAGAACCACTAATTTTAGTTTCTTAGTTTTTAGTTTCTTGGGTTCCCTAGGAAGCAGATTCCTAGCAAGAAGTAGACTGATTAGGAATGCTTTCGAGTTGATGCCTATGGAAGGGCACAGATGGCAGAGGGAGAAGATCAGCTGCAGATAACCTTGCAGTTATAAAGAAGGGGATTTCTAAAGTTGGGATGACCCTTCAGAGATGTGCTGAGCTGGGTGCTGGGAGCTGCCCATCCACACTTCCATGTTGATCATGCACTGGATGTGGCTACCCAGGAATGGGTGGTGATCTGAGGTGAGGCGGCTCCCTTCAAAGGAGGCAATCTATCCCCATAAGGGCTGGCAGCATTCTCAACAGCTGGGGCAAGAACTCTGTCATTCCTGAAGGAGGCCTGGAATGGAACTGGCAGCACATCACAATGTTCACCAACTGGAGTATTTTTCCAGTTTCTTTATGCATTTATAAGCAAAACCAAGCAAATATTTTCAATGTCTCTCTTTTTCATAAAAAAGTAGTATATTATACATTACATTCCCCACCTTCCTTTGTCCACATAACATCCTGAGAGATTTTTCCCTATCAATACATAGACAGCATCCTTAGTCATTTTTATAAGTACATAGGATGTATACATATGGCTGTATGCTTGCTTATTTATTTACTCACTGAATAGGCAAAAACACTTGCATGGTTCATAATGAAAAAAAGACAAAAGATAAACAGTCCCCTGTCTACCTATTTCCCATCTAAGCCTTATCTCCTCCACAGGTAACCAATGCATCTTGTTTCTTGTATAGCCTTCTAAAGTTTCTTTATGCATACACTGGCAAACTCAAGTATAGATTTCCCTTATTTTTTACACACAAAAAAATAGCATATTATATACATTGGTATGTGCCTTGTTCTCTTTCACTTGACAAATATCTGGAAGATCTTCCACATCAATGCATACTGACCTTCCTTATTCATTTCTTACTTCTGCACTGTATTCCAGTATGGGACTTTATCTTAGTTTGTTCGACCAGTCCCTGTGGCTTTAATGGAAAACAATGTGCAGTGAAAAACCTTACATATTCATATATCTTTTTGCTTATAGGCATATTTGTTAGGTAAAATCCAAAAGAGGAATTGCTGAGTCAAAAGGAATATACATTTGTAATTGTAATTTCAGAAAATATTGAAAAAGCTGAGTTGGGAGGATCATTGAGGCCAGGTATTACCAAATTAAGTTCAAGAGCATTGAGCTAATTCATATTGTCTCCAGGATTTTGAATGTGTTGTGAAACTTTTGGATTTTTGCAAATTTCTTGGTTTTAAAATAGCATTTCATCATAGTTTCAACTTGCATTTCTTTCTTTTTTTTTTTTTTTTTTGAGATGGAGTTTTGCTCTGTCGCCCAGGCTGGAGTGCAGTGGCGCAATCTCGGCTCACTCAACTTGCATTTCTTACAGTATAAATGTCGTGTACCGTTTTGGAGATGAAAAGCCAGCTGAAATTCCTAATTCTTAGGTGTATATGGATATTCTATTCTGTTCCATTGGTCTGTCTATTCACACATCATTACCACATTTGTTTCATCACAGAATCTTTTTTATAAAAGTCCTTTTACCATATTTTAATCTCTAATGGGGCTTTTTCTGTCTTTATAATTACACTCCTTTTGAAATATTTTGTAGCTATTCATGTTTTCTGTTCTATATGAACTTCAGAATCAGCCTGTCTGGTTCAAAAAGAAATCAGATGATGCTTTCATTAGGACTGAGTTAAATTTAAAAATTGATGTAAGGAGAATTGACCTTTTATGATGTCAACTCATTCTAAGAACATAATATGTTTTGCATTTGTTCAAGTCTCCATCTATGTTCTTAGTGTTTAAAATGTTCCTCAATATTTCATTGTATTGTATTTTTATAGATTTTATCCTCGCTGCTAATATTGTAATTGGGGTCATTTATTTGTCTTCTGTTTGTATGCTTAAAAGCTATTGATGTCTGTATGTTAATTTTACATCCCACTTCCTTACAAAATTCTCCTATTTGTGGTGGATTTTCAGATGATTTTCTTGGGTATATACAATGCACAATGCAATACAGTCATATAGTCACCTACAGTTACAATTTTTTATCTCCTTATATGTCTTAAATTTTTATACTTCCAATTTCCTTTTTTATAAAATCAAATGGTAGATTTATTGGCTGTCTCTGTTACACAATGAGATGAAAACATCTTAATTCAGGACATCCTCCACCTTGCTTTGGTTTCCAGTTGTACTGCAAGACCAGTGTCAGGCACATAGGCTGATTAATCAAAGTTTCGCTCTTGCTGCCCAGGCTGGAGTGCAATGGCACAATCTCGGCCCACAGCAACCTCCGCCTCCTAGGTTCAAGCGATTCTCCTGCCTCAGCCTCCTGAATAGCTGGGATTACAGGCACCACCATGCCCAGCTAATTTTTTGTATTTTTAGTAGAGACGGGGTTTCACCATGTTGGCCAGGCTGGTCTTGAACCCCTGACCTCAGGTGTTTCACCCATCTCAGCCTCCCAAAGTGCCAGGATTACAGGCATGAGCCACCGTGCCTGGCCCCTAATTTCCTTCTTTTGTCTTTGCATTGAACAGTACATACAGAATAATACCAATTAACAAAAGTATACATTTTTGTCTTGTTCTTAACTTTAGTGGGAATGCCCTCAAATACCATGATGTTGCCTCTGGTGCTTTGTTGGATTTCTTTTACGAAGTTAAGAAAGTAATTTGCATTTTTATATTTTTGAGTGTTATTATAAATAATTGTTATTACATTTTATCAATGTATTTCCAGTGTATAGGAAGATGGTCATACAATTTTCCCTTTATAACTCTTAATATGATAAAATATATGTTTTCTACTACTGAAGCATCCATGAATTATTGGATTAAATTTCCTTGGTTCATGCATTGTTTTGACTATGTTAGTCTATTTTGGCGGAGGAATTTTTTACTTCATAGGCAAAATTTGTCTATTTTTGTTTTTGATTTCTACTAGTGTTGGTAACCAAATGGTGTTTACTTTATTTAAAGCTTTGGGCTGGGCACAGTGGCTCATGCCTGTAATGCCAGAACTTCAGGAGGCCAAGGAATGGCTTGAGCCCAGGAGTTCGAGGCCAGCCTGGGCAACATAGTGAAACTCTATCTCTACAAAAAAATACAAAAATTAGACTGGTGTGGTGGTGCAGCTGTAGTCTCAGCTGCTCAAAAGGCTGAGGTGGGAGGATGGCTTGAGTCCAGGAGTTTGAGGTTACAGTGAGCAGTAATTGCACCACTGCACTCCAGTGTGGGTGACACAGTGAGACCCTGTCTCAACAACAACAAAAAAAAAAAAAGGAAAGAAAAGAAAAGAAAAATTTTCCTTCTTTTCCTAAACAGCTTACATGGCAATGGATTTGGAGATCCAAGGCTTAACCTTCAGGTCCCCAGCAGGGCCTCCCACTTAACCTGTACCTTCCATGTCTCTTCACTATGCCAGGTTTACTGTCAGGTGCAACAGAGTCTTTGCCCACGGATTCTGCCAAACCATGCACTTGGCTGTGGTTTCAACAGATAATCTCTGAAGACAGTAGGAATATCAATTATCCATTCACACACAGCCTAATTAGATGACAAGGCATTTGGCTACCTTCAGAGAGTCATAGCTACACCCATCATTTGCCTGGGCTTCCATGGATTTATTTCTTCACTTTGATTTCAGAGCACTGGGCAGAACTCATGTCACCACGTGCATAAGTCTTTACACAAATTAACTTTCAACATTTAATGATCAAAAACAGAGAGATGTTACAATTAGTGAACAAAACTGTAGGTATAAAATCTAGACACTCAAACCATATGATTGTGTTAACAGAATTATCCAAACTTCCAAATCAGAAACTTTTGTAGTAATCAAATATGTCCCTCCATTGGAAATTTGCTCTCTCTGGTACCTACTCTATTGTAAAAGTAAACAATGCAATTCTGATCTTTCTAATGACAATTTAGTACTTTACAATTTCTGTCCAGAATCCTCTTTAAAGAAAATATTGTCTGAACTCCTCAAACTAGATAGGATATGATAGAAATAGCCAAACATCTAAAGAGACTAAGAGGTTGTGTGAAGACAAATGCATACGAGATTGTCCTTCATTCAAATGCTCCAATCACAGCACTTCAGGAAAAGTACACATTTATAGAGACAAAGCACCAGAATCATGAATAAAGCCAGTATTCCTGGGAGGTTGCGGGCAATGGGGGAGGATGAAGAGAATTATCTCCCTTACCAGTTTTCAAACCTAAGTAGACAAAAATGCCTTTCTACACCACACACCTCCGCCCTCCCTTGCATTGCCATGCCCTGCCTTCGGTGACATTTCAGGATGTAGGACAAGAGCCAAAGAAATTCTCACAGTAAATATTTAAGAGAGCAAACCTTGGAAATACAAAGTTCCCATGCACATCAACTCTGACTAGAAAGGCAAGTTTTTATAGCGATGACTAACAGCTTCTGATCTGTCATCATCTCAGAGTTTAAGATACATGTAGTGTCAATAGAACACAGTTAAAACTACCATTGAGTGATTTCCTGTATTCTGTCACTCTAGTACCCTCCTCCCGTGGCTTCCTCTATTCCCTAGGTGCCTCTCACCAGCTGTTTTTCTGATATTCTGTACTGCGTAAGGTGATTTTATGAATAGGCTAGCCTTCATTTCTCCTTTTTTGTAATGGTGCTCAACTTCCTTTTTGAGGATGTAGATCAGTCCTATGGCTAGAGGGCTTGTGGGACTGTTAATTAAGTTTCCTTGACCTTGAGCAATAAAGGGCATCTAACCCAAGAGAAGCCAGTAGGCTTTCAGGACTCTGAATCTTGATTGAAATGCCTGAATCTTGAGTGAAATGCTATATAAGGAAAGGAAAATCTGCGGAGTTTATGGATCCCCATGAAAGTGCACTGAAGAGACCTCTGTCAGTCCTACTACGTTGACCTCCTAGAGATACCGAAGCCTGGTTTCTCCAACCTTCCACGTTTGTGAGCTAACCCAGTAAATTATTTTGTTAAGTTATCGGTACTCATTTCTTTACCTGCAGCTGAATAAATATATTGTGAGTATGCAGTAATTTCAAGTTGATTATTTTAACCATCCATACCCCACTTGGTTCCATTTGGGACAAAGGTAAAGCTGAGGAATATTGTTGATGACCATAGAATATAAGAAATATAGATGTGCCATATCTATTTTTATGAAAATTTCTTATTATCCTCCCTTCTTCATATCTTATGATCTAATATGATACATTCCCTTATTTGGCACTCTTTTTCATAAAAATTCCAAATTAACTAAAACTTCCACTAAGCCCATTTATCCTAATGTTTATAGAAATGCAGCAAGATAAAAGTGGTCTTAAAAATTAGCTGGGTGTGGTGGCATGCACCTGTGGTCCCAGCTACTTGGGAGGCTGAGGCAGGAAGATAGCTTGAGCTGAGGAGGTGAGCCATAACAGTGAGCCATGATTATGCCACTGTTCTCCACCCTGGGCAACAGATCAAGATGCTGTCTCAAAAAGAAAAAAAAGAAGAAAGTGGTCTTTATTCAAAATGTTCTTGATCACTTACATTTAAGTTATATTGCACTAGCTACTAAGGGAGACCAGAAGGCATATAAGGTATGGTCCCTGACCTCAGGAACTCTTTTAACTCACTTAGGAAGGTAAGATATGTGTACATGGGAAGGTGTGTCCACGTGGAAAGGTATGTGCAAAAGAGTACGTACACGATTGGGTGCCATACAAGTGGATGGATATTAAATGTTTAGGAGTCGAAGGAAATGAAAGCACTCAAGATGGGAGCAGGAGTGGAAGGGCCTCATAAAGTAGGTTAGTTGTGAAGAACAATGAAGGGATTCATAGAAGGGCGGCCAAGGCAAGAGGAATAACATGAACATACATGTGTAATCAGGATAGGCCCGATAGGTTTGGTGGAGTTGGAGAGGGCAGTTCTTACAGGGCTCACAGAGCAAAACAAGATTAGAAAAATGGTACTCTCCATGTAAATTCAAGAAAAATGTGTTTCAAGAAGTCTGTGTTTATAACCACAAGAAATAATTGTTTCTACATATTGTAGAATTAATCATTTATATTATCTAAGTGGTGGAATTTTTTTTCCAAAAAAAAAAGGCCAGGCAGGGTGGCTCACACCTATAATCTCAGCACTCTGGGAGGCCGAAGTGGGTGGATCACCTGAGGTCAGGAGTTCCAGACCAGCCTGGCCAACATGGCAAAACCCCGTCTCTACTAAAAAATACAAAAATTATCTGGGCATGGTGGCACGCGCCTGTAATCCCAGCTACTCAGGAGGCTGAGGCTGGAGAATCGCTTGAACCCGGGAGGCAGAGGTTGCAGTGAGCTGAGATCACGCCACTGCACTCCAGCCTAGGTGACAGAGCAAGACTCCATCTCTAAATAAATAAGTAAGTAAATAAATGAATGAAACAAGATCTGTAAGTATCAGAAGGCACTATGTTATTTAGATTTATGATCCATGCATACATTCAACGTTTTGGAGTCTTATTCAAATGTATGAAAATGTGTTTCTAAGAAATAGATATTGTACTACATTCTAGTAAACTATTTGAGAATTTGGAATCTCCTTCAACCAGAGTGTTAACAAACCAGGACTCTGAGTGACCAGACACCTTATAAAACTCAAAATTAGAAACCATTTTGAGAGATCATTTGAAGAACACTAATTTAGGGGCAGTTTTTTTATACTACAGGGTTTAAAGAAGTTTCACAGAATTAATTTGAATTTGAACTTGAACTTGTAAGCATCTTTCTTAACTTTAACTTAAAAAAATTAAATACAGTACATGTATTATGAGCCTCCCTTGGAGGAGAGAGAAGAGCATGAAATAATATTAACCATAAGAAGATATCACTATTCAACAAAATTAGATTATCATTAGTAGAAAGGATAGTATATCTCCTAAAGCCAGAACCTGTTTTGTTTAAGGGGAAAGGAGAGTTGGCAAGTTCTAATCCCTTCCTTCGGGAAACGAAAAAGACTATTGATGAAAGACTACATTTCATTCACAATAAAGCTTTAAGTTCCAGCACCTTCGATTATGTTTAGTTCTGCTCAAATAATGCCAATCCTTTGTTTCTTCAACTCTTTACATTGGCTGAAAATTTCTGCTCTGGATATAGGCTGTCAGAACTGCAGGTGTGACATTTAAGAACACTGAGTATTTCTATCCCTGAAATGTATACATATGCACTATACTAATTTTTGCCAAATACAAAGTGATTTACAAGTATTTAATCTTATTTTCAGCTGACAGTTTCCTGTTGCCTTTGCTCCCTTCCCCAAAATTATCTTTCCCTAATAACCCCCATTTGAGCATTGTCTATAAACATCTCCTTAAAGATTCATAGATAGACTTTTCACTTGAAATATAAAAGGAGGTCAACAGTAGCACATTTTTATTTGAATCTCAATCACTACCGGATTGTCTGGTGCTGAAGCACTTTAAGAGCCTAGAATCCTGTGACTTTATCTTGGGAAAAAAATGGTTGATTCCAGGTTGATTTTGCCTTGATCTAGTTATCTGTGAGGTGAATCAAAAATCTAAATCATGCTGGGTTCCATGACCTTCCTACAGTTACATTTATGACACTTTAAGGCTATAAACCATGGGCGAGGAGGTGGACTGAAACCCTCACATGCTGCTGTGGCAGATGAAAAGGCTGAAGCCACTTTGGAAAAAAGTTTGAGGGGTGGAAATGGGGAATGACTGTTAAAGGGTGCAGGGCTTCTTTGTGGGATGATGAAAACATTTTAAAATTAGATTGTGGTGCAGGTAGCACAACTCTATGAACATGCTAAAAATCACTGAGCTGCACATATTAAATGGATCAGTTTTATCATGTATGAGTTATATACCTCAATAAAGCTGTTAAAATAAAACACTTCAAAAGCTACTGAAAATTATGTTTTAGCTCTGACTCCAATGTAGGTAACAAGTTTTATAAACTAAAAAGCAAACCTGTTCAGCCAGAAGCAGTTGTAATACTGATATCACTCTTTCCCTCAAACAATGACTTTTGTCCCTCCAAACATGTATCATTTATTCTATACCACCTCAGTTTGGGTGAAGGAATCCTGGGAATTGAGAAATAATTAACCAATACCTAAAAACAAACAAAAAAATGTAGGTAAACAAGTCATTCTTTGGGTGTTTTCATGAAATGTAAGCAAAAATGTAGATAACTTTTTGGGAATTCTAAAACAATAGGTACACAAATATATTTAAAACAAACTGAAGCTCCCAATTCAAATACAAATTAATTACATTTCATTTCATGAGACACATAACACAAGTGATCTTATCTCTAGTTCTTGAGTCCGCCTTCTCCATACCACATGTAATATTCTACTTCTACTTTTGCCTTCCCATTTCTTAAGCAATTTCATTTTATACTGTTCAAGGGGTAAAAAGTGCATCTGCGGTCATCAGCTGCAACAGTGTCAACACACTTATAACTGATTTTTATAACAATTTTTAAGTAGGACAGAACTTTAAAGTAAGTCTCCTCTGGGTCAAAGACCTAAACTGTCAAGTAAATCTACTCTCTTTGTTGATTGATGTATTAGCAAATGTCATCATGTTAACACTAACGTAAGTCCTTTAAAAGTTATAGTCACTAGATCAATTTTGTCACTTTCCAATGACGTTTCAAGATGTCAGTGTATCATTTCTCTTCTAAAGTCAAAAAAATATACTTATATATCAACATCAGTTTTTAAGGAAAAGAAAAAGAATCCACCCTGTTGTGCTTCTAAAGTATTAAAACTCTTTGTAAAATCATATTGAGTCATCTTCATTCTGTATGTCTATATATACACACACACACAATTCTATAAGAATTTTCTACGGTTTGAAATAGCTATTCAAGGGGGTGAACTCCAAATAATAATTTTATGTATTATTTATTTATTTATTTATTTATTTTGAGATGGAGTCTCACTCTTTCGCCCAGGCTGGAGTGCAGTGGCGTGATCTCGGCTCACCGTAAGCTCCGCCTCCCAGGTTCACGTCATTCTCCTGCCGCAGCCTCCCAAGTAGCTGGGGCTACAGGCGCCCGCCACCACACCCGGCTAATTTTTTTGTATTTTTAGTAAGACGGAGTTTCACTGTTAGCCAGGATGGTCTTGATCTCCTGACCTCGTGATCCGCCTGCCTCTGCCTCCCAAAGTGCTGGGATTACAGGCGTGAGCCACTGCACCCGGCCTTTTAATTTTACTTATTTATTTATTTATTTATTTATTTTGAGATGGAGTCTCGCTCTGTCGCCCAGGCTGGAGTGCAGTGGCGCTATCTCGGCTCACCACAAGCTCCGCCTCCCGGGTTCAGGCCATTCTCCTGCCTCAGCCTCCGGAGTAGCTGGGACTACAGGCGCCCGCCACCACGCCCGGTAACTTTTTTTTGTATTTTTAGTAGAGACGGGGTTTCACCGTGTAAATCAGGATGGTCTTGATCTCCTGACCTTGTGATCCACCTGCCTCGGCCTCCCAAAGTGCTGGGATTATAGGCGTGAGCCACCACGCCTGGCCTCCAAATAATAATTTTCGTACAACTGTAAATCCAGTTGTGGTGGCCTTGATCAGATTGTCTCAGAAATCAAGATGGGATTAAGCTACTTTCATGTTTCTGACTACTAGCATACTAAATATTGAAAGTAAGAAAAGAAAAAAGAGGATATGAAAATCAAGGTTTCGATTAAATATCTACATCTTAAAAATGAATGCTATTAGCCAGTGATTAATATATATAGAAAATAGTCTATATATTAAGATAGACTATAGATAGAATACATTAAGTATACTAAATATTCAGCCAGGTGCAGTGGCTCATGCCTGTATTCCAGCACTTTGGGAGGCCAAGGTGGGTGGATCACTTGAGGCCAGGAGTTTAAGACCAGCCTGGCCAACATAGTGAAACCCCATCTCTACTAAAAATACAAAAATTAGCCAGCTGTGATGGTGGGTGCCTGTAATCCCAGCTACTTGGGGGCTGAGACAGGAGAATCGCTTAAACCCAGGAGGTGGAGGTTGCAGTGACCTGAGATCGTGCTACTGCGCTCCAACCTGGGTAACAGAGCGAGACTCCATCTCAAATATATATATATATATACACACACACACACACATATATATACACTAAATATTTTTATATATTATATGTGATAAAAACTGATAAACATATATAGATAATGGATCCAAATGCCCATCAACTGATGAATGGATAAAGTATGATATATATCTACACAATGGACTATTATTCAGCAATAAAAAGGGATGGAATGCTTATACATGCAACAACATGAATAACCTTAAAAACCTTAAGCTAAGTGAGAAAATGTAATTGAAAGAGACCACACATTGTATGATTCCACTTATGTGAAATGTCCAGAACAGGCACATCTGTAGAAACAGAAAGTAGATTAGTGGCTGCCTAGGGCTGGGAGGTTTTGGGGTAGGGAGAAATGGGGAGTGACTGCTAATGCATATGAGGTTTCTTCGGGGGTGATGAAAATGCTCTAAAATTGATGGTAGTGATGGTTGTACTACTCTGAATATACTAAAGCCATCAAGGAATTATACACTTTAAATAAGTGAATTATATGTAATTTATAATTTAATAAATCTGTTACCAAAAAAATTAATGTAAACCCTATGTGAATTTGTCAAAACTCATCATACTGTATGCTTATAATTGTTGAATTTTACTGGATGTAGGTTATAACACAACAAATTTACTTTTTAAAAGATGTATGCTATAAACACACAGTTACAATGACCAAATATATGGCCTGACTTAGAAAATTAACAGCAGCTGCATGAGACTTTTCATAAATACGAGCCCCCCCACCTCGTCAATGGCCCTCCTTGCCACCCACATCCACTCTCCCCACCTATACCTACACCCAAATTTCTAACCTAGTAACAGGTTTGTATGAGGAAAATACAATCAGGAAATTATGTATTGCTTATTTCATTGGTTATTATGGCTCCTCAAACAAAGGAGCAACAGAGCAAAGCTTCTCCTCAGGTGCAGGAATGCCTAAATAGCCTGAAAGAGGAATCTGAACAATGAGAAAAAAACATAAATTCAGGGTTTCCGAGGTCAACATCAGTGTCCTTGGGCTGCTTTAGGTACATATGGAGGAAGGAGATAACAGAAAACTATTTTAAGCAAGTTAACAATTTTTTCAATTACTTCCTAGCTTTCCTTTATTCTTTATTCTTAATTTTACCATGAAGATGGGGTAGACAGGAAGAAGGCACATTTCTCTAGCATCTGGTTCCAGAACGATAGGAACTGAGTAATGTTAAGATCAGAGGCGGTGTGACCCTGTCTCTACAAAAGATTTTTAAAGCCCTCTCCCCTCTCCCCTCTCCCCTCTCCCTCTCCGTCTCCCCACGGTCTCCCTCTCCCTCTCTTGCCACGGTCTCCCTCTGATGCCCAGCCGAAGCTGGACTGTGCTGCTGCCATCTTGGCTCACTGCAACCTCCCTGCCTGATTCTCCTGCCTCAGCCTGCCGAGTGCCTGCGATTGTAGGCGCGGGCCCCCACGCCTGACTGGTTTTCGTATTTTTTTGGTGGAGAGGGGGTTTCGCTGTGTTGGCTGGGCTGGTTTCCAGCTCCTAACCGCGAGTGATCCGCCAGCCTCGGCCTCCCGAGTTGCCGGGATGGCAGACGGAGTTGCGTTCACTCAGTGCTCAATGGTGCCCAGGCTGGAGTGCAGTGGCGTGATCTCTGCTCGCTACAACCTCCACCTCCCAGCTGCCTGCCTTGGCCCCCCAAAGTGCCGAGATTGCAGCCTCTGCCCGGCCGCCACCCCGTCTAGGAAGTGAGGAGCGTCTCTGCCTGGCCGCCCATCGTCTGGGATGTGAGGAGCCTCTCTGCCTGGCTGCCCAGTCTGGAAAGTGAGGAGCGTCTCTGCCCGGCCGCCATCCCATCTAGGAAGTGAGGAGTGTCTCTGCCCGGCCGCCCATCATCTGAGATGTGGGGAGCACCTCTGCCCTGCCGCCCCGTCTGGGATGTGAGGAGTGTCTCTGCCCGGCCGCCCCGTCTGAGAAGTGAGGAGACCCTCTGCCTGGCAACCGCCCCGTCTGAGAAGTGAGAAGCCCCTCCGCCCGGCAGCCACACCGTCTGAGAAGCGAGGAGCCCCTCCGCCCAGCAGCCACCCCGTGTGGGAAGTGAGGAGCGTCTCCGCCCGACAGCCACCCCGTCCGGGAGGGAGGTGGGGGGTCAGCCCCCCGCCCGGCCAGCCGCCCCGTCCAGAAGGGAGGTGGGGGGGTCAGCCCCCCGCCCGGCCAGCCGCCCCGTCCGGGAGGTGAGGGGCGCCTCTGCCTGGCCGCCCCTACTGGGAAGTGAGGAGCCCCTCTGCCCCGCCAGCCGCCCTGTCCGGGAGGGAGGTGGGGGGGTTCAGCCCCCCGCCCAGCCAGCCACCCCGTCCGGGAGGTGAGGGGCGCCTCTGCCCGGCCGCCCCTACTGGGAAGTGAGGAGCCCCTCTGCCCGGCCACCACCCCGTCTGGGAGGTGTACTCAACAGCTCATTGAGAACAGGCCATGATGACAATGGCGGTTTTGTGGAATAGAAAGGGGGGAAAGGTGGGGAAAAGATTGAGAAATCGGATGGCTGCCGTGTCTGTGTAGAAAGAGGTAGACATGGGAGACTTTTCATTTTGTTCTGTACTAAGAAAAATTCTTCTGCCTTGGGATCCTGTTGATCTGTGACCTTACCCCCAACCCTGTGCTCTCTGAAACATGTGCTGTGTCTACTCAGGGTTGAATGGATTAAGGGTGGTGCAAGATGTGCTTTGTTAAACAGATGCTTGAAGGCAGCATGCTCGTTAAGAGTCATCGCCACTCCCTAATCTCAAGTACCCAGGGACACAAACACTGCGGAAGGCCGCAGGGTCCTCTGCCTAGGAAAACCAGAGACCTTTGTTCACTTGTTTATCTGCTGACCTTCCCTCCACTATTGTCCTGTGACCCTGCCAAATCCCCCTCTGCGAGAAACACCCAAGAATGATCAATAAAAAAAATAAAATAAAAAATAAATAAATAAATAAATAATTAAAAAAATAAAAAAATAAAAAAAAGATCAGAGGCTTCTTAAATCAAGTTTGTATCTAAGTTCTGGTCCAGTCTGTGCTACTTAGCATGGGATTTTAAGCCAATTGTTTGTTGGCTTTGAGCCTCAGTTTTCTCATTTGTAAAATAGGATAAGAGTGGGTTGCAAATTCAAAGCTCACTGCTGGGCACACAGTAAAAAAAAAAACAAAAAACAAAACAAAACAAAAAACCCTCAATAAATGTTAGCTATTACTTTCACAACCTTAGGGTTTTTTTCTGGTATTGAAGAATCTGGAACTTAAGGGATTTCTGGTAATTTCATAGCCATTGTCTAAGGAGTAGTTACTGGTTACCCCAGAATTCTAGAACAACAACTGGTTACTGGATTATTTAGAAATCTAGGGCTTTGGAAACTTTTAAATCTTTAGTTATTTCTTAATACTTAGAACACTTAAACAAAACTTTACAAAACAAAAGAGCAGAATAATTAGATCCTTTCAGGAGAATATGACTTTTTTTTCCTAAGCACACTGGACCATAGAGGAAGACCAAAGGAATGTACAGTTGCCTGCTCCTTCCTGACTTGCTGTATTTGACTCTGTCCCCACTGGTGGTGGCAATGCTATTAACCCCACACTTTAACGTGGCAAATCCCCAGAATCTGTTGGCTGGTCTCTGGCTAGAGAATGAGCACAGTTTCACCCTTATGGCTCCAGAAAGAGCAAGAACACACCACTGCCAGCCAGAAGAGAGAAAAGTCTTGTTCTGTCTCTTTCCCATTGTCCCAAATAGCCAAGCACAGGTTCAACCACCCCAAATGCCACCCTTCTGCTGTGCAGCAGCCAAGGAAAAGACCCAGGAGGAGCAGCTCCAAGAACCTCTGGGCAGTCAGTGCCCAGATACTTGCCCCAATTCTTTGTGTCCAAGCCACACTCAGCTGACAAAAGCCAACACTTTGTCTCTCTTTTTTTTTTTTTCTTTTTTTTTGAGCAGAGTTTCACTCTTGTCACCCAGGCTGGAGTGCAATGGCAGGATCTTGGCTCATTGCAACCTCCACCTCCCGGGTTCAAGCAATTCTCCTGTCTCAGCCTCTCGAGTAGCTGGGATTACAGGCATCCGCCACCATGCCCAGCTAATGTTTTTTCTTGTATTTTTAGTAGAGATGGGGTTTCACCATGTTAGCCAGGCTTGTCTCGAACTCCTGACCTCAGTTGATCTGTCTGCCTCAGCCTCCCGAAGTGCTGGGATTACAACACTTTGTCTCTTAAGCACTGCACAGTCGAGTTTATCTTTGCATTTTTCATACCCTAGTGTTCTGCTCTTTCCCCAATTCTGCTTTATCCGCAGTCCCCAACAGAACAGGCATGGGCCTGGCAGGAAAACCCCTGAGAAGATTCTAACAAAGATAATGGTGTGAATGATGATAATTATAAGGCTGTCAGGATAATGACTGTCACCTATTAATTTGCTCAAATTAACCAAACAACCTCTCAGTGTGGGAAAGGTAGCAGGAGAGAGGCTGTGATCATTTGGTAAAGGTATTATGTAGTTCAAAAGAATGGCAGGTTGAATTTCCACTTCTCTGTGTTTTCAATAACTACAGTCTCATACGAGTACACACACAGATACTTACATCTGTGAGTACATGAGAACGTCTATTCTAGAAAATTTCGCATAAGGAATAAGCACACTGGCTGGTGTCTTGGATAACCCGAGTGTACATCGCAGCTCTGGTACCAGCCAAGAGTGTGACCTTCAGCAAGTTACTTAAATAGCTCTCTGCCTCTTTTTCTTCATCTGAAAAGTGAGGGGAATGACAGTATTTACCTCATCAGATTGTGGTAATAATTATATGAGTTAATTTCTGTAAAGCACTTAGCCCAGTGCCTGGCACATAGTAATCTCAATATGAAGTATCACTCTTTTTTTTTTTAAATCCCTTTAGACATAACTGGTAGTCAGAAAAAGTTATTTTATCCTCATATAGCTCCCCCAAAATCTTTAAGGTACTTTCCCTATAAAGACCTCTGGCCAGAACATCCTCGACTCTCCTCCTTCCCTGCCATAATAGGACATCTTCTGTTAGATACTTGGTTCTAGGTTTTCATTATTTCAGATTCAACTGCACTGAAAACACACACACACACACACACACACACACACACACATACACACATTAGTACCACATCTCTCCCCCCACCCAAAAATAATAACAGGATATGGTAATGGCATTTTTCAACATCTCTTAGAATAATTTCCTGATGGAAAGAAAAGTCAGCAAATAAGAAGAAAGTCTCAGTGAGGAAAGACCAGAATGACAATCATAGGCTGCTCTTAGATCATTGAAAAGCCCCCAGGTTAGTGACAGCCAAAAAAAGACAAAATCAAGAAGCACTGAAGTCCAAACAAGGTTTGCTTTTGTTTCCTTTCTTTCCTTCTTTCCTTTTCTCCTCAAATCAGGAAACCACATAGCTGGCTACCACCCCCTTTCCAGATGTTGCAGTACAGTTATTAGGGTACCTGTTGGTAGAATGAAAGCTGACAAATGCTGACTTTGTCTCATAAGCACTGCACAGTCAAGTTCATCTTTGCATTCTTCATACCCCAGTTTGCTGCGGTTTCCCCAGTTCAGAGACCCCTTCCTTATCCCAAAGACTCCTAGGATCTCCCTTTCAAAACCAGTTTGCAAAAAAAGGTGGTAATTCAATGTGCATCAAAAAGCAAATGAAGAACTCCATTTTAAGTTTGTATTTCACATGAGCATGTTTCTAGTAACCATCCAAGCATATGCTAAAACCTACAGGGGATTTCAAGCCTGGCCATGAAGCACAGGCACGGAGCTTCGCATAAAGTAACTATTTAGTAAGTGTTCAATCTTGTTACTGTAGTTGCATCTTTCAAAGGTTTTCTTAGAAAAGCATGAAAGGGTACTCTCCCTACCTCTGCTTCCTCACCTTCTCATCATTCCTCTACTCAGTGATTTCTGGCTTCTGATGCACCTAGACAATAAAAAGTGTTTCACTATGGCATTCCCTGCATCCTCACAGTTTGTCAGCACAGCCTCCTCATTCTTGACACTGTTTACGTCTCTGTTTTTATGAACCACTGCCCCCTTGGCTTTCGTGAGCCCACTGCAAGACTCTCCCAGGCTCTCTCTAACGCCACCAAGTGATCACAGATACTCAAGCAAGAAGTCTGAAGTCTCCATCCCCAGCTCTGACCTCTCTTCAGAACTCCAGATCCACATTTCTAACGAATTTTTCACCATTTTCCATGTCAAGATCTCAACTGGATGTGCCCAGGCCCCTCAAACTCAATTCTTAATTTCTCCTCCTGAATTTTACCTGGAAAACTGTCATGACCGTACTTCCATTTGCCCAAGCACAAAGCCTCCACTTCATTGCATTCCAGCTCTTCCTTGAATCCCAGCTACCCGTCTCCAGCATCCTAGGGTCCCCCAAAGAGTTCTGCAATCAGACTCTTCCTCTCCATCTTTTCTGCGAATGCCTGGACCATCACAACTGCCTACAGGTGGATCCCTCAGCTTACACTGTCTCCCTGCTGCAGGGCATCTGCCGAGCTGCTCCCAGATCCATCTTCCTAAACCGTGGCTCTCTGGTCATCTCAATTCTGCTTCCAATTTTTCAGATCCTTCCATGGTTCCTCATTACCCACAGTTTACCCATTAGCAGAGCACAAGGTTTTATTTCATTAATTACAAAAGGACACTAAGATATCAATGACAATCATTCTTTCCCTCATGAAGCTTACAGTTGTCCATCACTAAAACTATAATGTTATTCAAAAATTATAAACAAAAATGAAAGCATTGGTTTTATAAAACCATGTTGTGTTCATATGACATCAGATATCCAGATCTTTAAATAACTAGCCAGTTACCTGATTCTTTCTTCTAAAAGTCTGTAATGCTAGGATGTCCAACAAATCTGTGCCCCCCAACCCACAGCTCACGACTCAGCATTTTAGCTATGCTCCCTCCCTCGTCCAAGCTTTGACTCTTCAGTTCCTGTTAGTAGCTGGAGGCAGCTGGAATGCCTTTCTCCAATTCTACTCTTCCTTCAAGACTGAGCCCAAACTGTTTCTCTCATCTTGATGCCATCTGTGAAACTCTACATCAGTCATTCCTCCTCCAAGGTCTCACACCGATTTAAGCATCTCTGCCATAATATTTATTACAATAGATTGTTATTTGTTAAGGGACTAGCCCACAAGTCTATCACATATGCCTAGCACTAAGAATTATGATTGGCACATAGGGAAAGCTCAACAAATCTGTATGGAATGAATGAATGAATGCATTGAAAGCCTACTTACCTAAAATCTCCTATATATTCAAATGATTAATCAAAGATCTTTCATTCAACAAAATGAACTGAGTGCATTTAGAAGGCATTGTGGGGTGAAGGAGATGTGGCCCCTTCCTCTCTGGAGCTTAGAGTCTGTCTCCACCATTGAATCTGAAAAGCTAGCCAAATACATGAGTAAAAAAATTAAAATCCAAATCTTTTACCAATATAACATCGGATGACATGGCTGTAATGATCAAATAATTACCTGATTCTTTCCGATTCGGTTTTAAATGTTAAACATTCAGTGATGGTTAACATACTCGCTGATGTGAAAGGGTGGGGGCTGACTCATTACTGGGGCTAGGACAAGGGCAAATCGTGGCTCAAAACTGTCATTCAGAGCCTCTTGTTTGTCCTCTGTAGTCAGCTCAGTCACAGTAAGGTATGTGGTTTCTCTCAACATGTCATTCTTGTTTTATGTACTCAAATGCTTCCTTCTCATTGTCAACATCTGCTCTGAACTTTAAGTCAGGCCCACTTGTTTGTAGAATAGCTCATTGACATAAAGCAAATAACACATCCCAGCCAGTCAAATCCAAGAAACTCAGCTTTAAAAACACACTTGTATTAAAGAATTTCACTGCAAATCCATTCATTATGTTTACCTTTTTATTTTTTGGATCCATATAAATAGCTTTTTAAAAAAATCGAAATTGCCATATTAACTTCTACAAGTCAAACACTTAATTTATCCATCTAGTTGAAATTCAAGAACATCCCCAGATAGCTCTGTTAAGGAAGAGGGACAGAATACGTGGTGAAATATTGCCAGGTTAAAGACAATGAAGATTGCTTTGTCTGAACACCATCAGCCAAGCCTATAAATACCCCTCATCCAAGTGGAAACCAAAATTGATTCTTTCACATTAAGATGGAAAGGCAGAACAGGAAGTAAAATATTTAGAGGAGCAGTTCTGAATCTTGGAACTAAATCACACTAATCGTTCCTGAAAGGGACAATAAATACAGGTAATTAACTTCTGGAGCCTCTGATTTTTTGAGACAGGTCCTTGCTGTGTTGCCAGGCTGGGGTGCAGTGGTGCAATCACAGCTCATCACTGCAGCCTTGACCTCCCAAGCTCAAATGATCCTGCTACCTCAGCTTCCCAAATAGCTAGGACTACAGGCAGGTGCCACTATGACCGCTAATTTTTCATTTTTTGTAGAGACGAAGTCTCACTATGATACCCAAGCTGGTCTCAAACTGCTGGGCTGAAGCAATTCTCCTATCATGGCCTCCCGTGGTATGAGGCCTCTGAATTTTATCAATAGTGCGGCTATGAAAAAAGGATATTTTTTAATCTTCGAGGCCTTGTAGATTTTTTATAGTCTAGCATTTGCCAAAGAGCTCCTCCAAAGCTGTCATAATTTGGATACAGGGAGTACTACCATATGTTTTAGCAAAAGGGGAAGAAATTGGCTATATAGGATCACAAAAGTCTGAAGTCAGAAGGAATTTTGGAAACTTTGGCACCACTCAGGCCAAATCTGGCCAAGTCTGGTCTCTTAATGTGTTTCGTTTGGCGGACTCAATGTTTTTGGTTTTGTTTTTAGTAAATTTGAATGAATTGCTGATTTTTTTTTTTCGTTTTTTTTTTGAGACGAAGTCTTGCTGTGTCGCCCAGGCCGGAGTGCAGTGGCGAGATCTCGGCTCACTGCAAGCTCCACCTCCCGGGTTCACGCCATTCTCCTGCCTCAGCCTCCCAGGTAGCTGGGACTACAGGTGCCCGCCACCATGCCTGGCTAATTCTTTTGGTATTTTTTTAGTAGAGACGGGGTTTCGCCCTGTTAGCCAGGATGGTCTCAATATCCTGACCTCGTGATCCGCCCGCCTCTGCCTCCAAAGTGCTGGGATGACAGGCGTGAGCCACTGCGCCCGGCCAAATTGCTGATGTTTTAACACTAGAATAGATTTCACATAAAAATCTGAACTTTAGGATTCTCTCAAAACATTGAAAGTTCTGATAACACTGGGCCCTCATTCTTACATAACAATTAACTGGAACTGAGTAAGTCTGGCTCTCATTGGATGAGGCATTTTCTCTCCAGGTCCTTCTACTCCCTAATATCTCCCTGACGCAGGACTAACGTTGCCTTGCATTTAGTTTCACCTGTGCTATCCCCCATACCTCCACACACCTACTACCCAACCACTGCCCCCAGTCTTCTTTGCTCATTTATGATGCCTGTCTCATCCGGGTAAACCTTGTGAAGATTTGTGATTGCCACCACTTATCTTATTCAATCCCTCAATCTACCCATGAGGAAACTGAAGTTGAGAGACGTCATGCTAAAGGAGAGAACAGTTTCAGGATCCTTTACTCACCAATCCATTGAAGAGTCATCTATTTCTAAGTCCTACTCTCAAACTCAAAAGTGAAAATAGCAGAATCTGTAAACCACTCAGAGCCTGAGAAAAGATGGAAAGGTCCAAATATTTAACAAAGTAAATACAAAAATAAAGATGTAACAGTTAAATTTAGGCAGAGTGAGGGCCAGACACTGAGATACATTGGTATCATCATCTCCCTGTGTCCCACACTGTTACCAGGGTCACTGGACTGCCAGGCTCTCATTTCAGCTTCTCTCTACTCCACACAACCCTCTCCTCCAGAGCTTGGCCTGAGAATAGTGTTCTGGTGAAGAAATCTATGATAATAACACTGACGTGTTCTTTCAGTTAGCAAACGTTTTGCACAATTTATACATGATCATGTGATGTTTGATCTGTTGTCTAAATACATACTTTAGTATGTCATGTACAAAGTAGTATGTTTACTGTATTACCTTCATAATAAAAAAATCAAGACACACAGAAAAATATATGGGATGCTGAAATGCAAAAAGATCTGGTGATTTGGGGAGTTTATTGGGAATCATGAGAATATTGGTAATCAACATTCTTCCAGAGGCCTGGTCTTCACATCTTGTGCCATCACTGTTGCTAACATTTTTTTTCGTCCCACATCCTGTCTCTTCTCAGAGTTTAAGAGTTTCTTTTGGGTGGGTCATAAAAATACGAGATCCCATGAGTAGTTTAAAAGTGTATTAAAACATTAAAATATGTCCCGTCACTGAAAGTGTAAGATAAAATTAATCCAAATGATGAAAATTAAGATGCAAAGAAAAAAAAAACAGAGAAACAGTCCTGCTACAGGAATCAGGCCCAGTTTCTATCTAATATTAACAATAATTATCATACACTATGCCCCGTTACATGATAGTACAATAGTTCAAAGCACAGACTCTGGGGGTAGACTCCTTGGTCCCTTTACTTAGTTGTGTGACCTTGTAAAAATTCTCAGTCTAAGATCAAAATAATGCCTCCCTAGATAACATAAGGCTATGTGGCTCCCTTGACATAACATGTTTAATAAACATTAATTATTATTATTAATGATTGCAACAGAGAATAGAAAATGACTATACACTGCATATTGCCCCAGGAAAGTGGAAGTGTTTTTCTATCGGAAGTTTTAATCAAGCTAAGAGCTATTAATATCATAGGAATGCAGGTTTGGGGGTAAAACACTGTTGGATTTAGATAAAGCATTGAAGGATATTAGGAATACATTATTCTTTTACTGATTGAAAGAAACTGATAGGAAGTGAATATTGAGATTTTAATCAACTACTTATTTTAGAAGGAAACTCATAAAACTGAAATTAAAGGCAAAAAGTACAGTTAAGGATGTTGATACTGTTTATGTAAATATACCAATAATGTTCAATCATATTTTAATTTCTTAGCATGACATGTCATAGTCTCTATAATCTAGCCCCATCCCACCTCCCAGCCTTATCTGTCTTAAATTCCAGGTTTCAGCTACTCCAAACTGCTTTGCTTCCTATAAACACACTAGACTTCCTTATCTCTGTGCTATTCTCTTGTTCCAGCAGGCCTCTTTTCCATCAAGGAAATCCTCTTCCTAAATTGCTACACCCACCCCACAACTTTTCTTCACACTTAGCCTTGAATGAACCTCTCCTTTCCTTTGTCATTCAGTAGCACACTATTGATGTTCTACCCTATGACTCCATTTATACTATCTTGTAATGCAGATATTTGTAAATCTATTTTTCTCACTAAACATTTGGAGGCAGGGACCATGTGTTCTTTTTTTTGAACTTGGTGTTTTGTTATAGTTCAGTCTCATCATCCATAAGGGTTACTTTGGTGTCTGCCAAGAACCTCCAGAAGAAAAGGCTAAGTAGCTCAAAATACATACATTTTTGCAATCATTAATTAAAATTGAAGTCATTAAGTGATACTATCTTGGAAAGCCATGATGGAAAACAATACAGTGGTTCCTCAGAAAAATTAAAAATGGAACTACCATATGATCCAGCAATCTCACTATATACCCAAAGGAAAGCATTATATTGAAGAGATAGCTGCACTTCCATGTTCCTTGCAGCATTATTCACCATAGCCAAGATATGGAATCAACCTAAATGTCTATAAGTGGATGAATGGATGAAGAAATGTGATACACACACACACACACACACACAATAGGAGACTAATTCAGACTTGAAAAAGAAGGAAATCAGTCAGGCGTGGTGGCTCACGCCTGTAATCCCAGCACTTTGGGAGGCTGAGGCGGGTTGATCACCTGAGGTCAGAAGTTCGAGACCAGCCTGGCCAACATGGTGAAACCCCATCTCTACTAAAGATACAAAAAATTAGCCAGGCATGGTGGCACGCACCTGTAATGCCAGCTACTCGGGAGGCTGAGGCAGAAGAACTGCTTGAACCCGGGAGGCAGAGGTTGCAGTAAGCCAAGATTGAGCCACTGCACTCCAGCCTGGGTGACAACAGCAAAACTCCATCTCAAAAAAAAGAGTGAAACTCCATCTCAAAAAAAAAAAAAAAAAGGGAAGTCAGCTGGGCACAGTGGCTCATGCCTGTAATCCAGCTTGGGAACCATGGCGAAACCCCATCTCTACAAAAACACAGAAATTACCTGGGTGTGGTGGCACACGCTTGTAGTCCCAGCTACTCGGGAGGCTGAGGTGCGAGGATCACCTGAGCCTGGTGAAGTCGAGGCTGCAGTGAGAAGAAAGAGAGAGAGAGAAGAGAGAGAAGAAAAGAGGGAAGGAAAAGAGGGGAGGGCAGAGGAGGGGAGGGGAGAGGAGGGAAGGGAAGGGAAGGGAAGGGAAGGGAAGGGAAGGGAAGGGAAGGGAAGGGAAGGGAGGGGAAGGGAGGGGAAGGGAAGGGAAGGGAGACTTGAATCTAAAATTGTTGAACTCAGAGAATAGAGTAGAACCCTGGTTACCAGTAGGTAGGGTTGGGGTGAAGAGATGTTTGTCAAAGGATACAAAATTTCAGTTAGATAGGAGCAATAAGTTTAAGAGATCTATTGTGCAACATAGTGACTATAGTCACTATAGTCACAATTTTGAAAATTGTTAAGATGGTAGATTTGAAGTGTTCTCACCACACCAAAAAAAAAAAAAAAACAAAAGATAAAAATGTGACGTAATACATATAGGTTAATTATGTTGGTTGGGCCATTCTACAATGTATTACTGTTTCAAAATACTGTGTTGTGTGCATCATAAATATATACAATTTTTATTACCTAATTAATTAGGGGTTTGAAAGATTGAGGTAAGGAAGTAAAACTTGAAAATGTGACCACATCTCTGTAGTTGTCATCCTCTAGCTTGAGTTGCATGGCCAGATCCACCCCAGACCACCATAATGTGTCCTGATAAAGATTCAGACACCAACCAATTCACACCACCTTTTCAGACTCAAAGTCAGAAGCCAGAAAAGATTTCCTAATGTCTTGATCTACCTCCCCATATCTTTGGCTCCTCCCAATGCTCTTCCTATGGATATGAAGGATACCTGTTATTCCACTTGCCTACACAAAAAATGGAAGAAACCAGTAGGGATGTTATTAGGGGGTCGGTGGTGCTGAAAGTCTGAGTTGTTGCAAAATTGCAGGTTAAATTATTTTATCTAATTCCTACTTGCGAGGACTTTTTTTTGATGGTGGAGGGAGAGCGGGACTGGTTTCTGGCAATGATATGGGTACTAACCATGTTTTCTGCATTTACATATTTATTATTAATTATTGCAACAGATAATAGAAAATGACTTTACTCTGCATTTGGTCCAGGAAAGTGGAAGGGTTTTCCTATTAGAAGTTTTAAAAGAAGCTATAATCATGCAACAAATAATCATCCTTTCTCTTCGGAATCTTCTCTAGCTTCCTCAGCCCTCTGCCTAAACCTGCCTGAAGAATTTCTCGAAGCTGAAGCCAACTCAAATATAAGAAACTGTTAGGGCATACCGATTTACAGAATTTGATGGAACAACGGAAAATCCTGGGTGCAGGGAATGGGAGAATCCACCTTCAATATGAACTGTTATTCAGTTAATTCAAGATTTTTAAAAAACACATCAAAACTGTAGCCTAGAAAATTGACCAAAAATGTTATATCGAATAACTTACTATATAAGTAATATATTTAGCGTAAATCCTGACTAAACTTCGGGGATAGTTTGTGTTGGATAGACTAGGCACCCAGAAAACAAGGTAAAGCATTGATTTGCTTTTGACAGCCAAGTTTGTTCGTGGTTATCAGCTCTCTGGAAAGCCTCTGGGCGCTGCTGAAGCCAGAGCAGGTTACCTAGGGCGAACCAAAGATGGGGCATTAAGCACCAAGTCCTCCCAAGTGCTGGCTGAGGGTCCAGGTGGGCGCGGTGCCGGTGCCTCCTGCGGCGGTGGCGAAGGCTGGGCTCCCGCGCTCGCCCAGGGCTGCCGGGTGGTGCTGAACCTGGCGCCAACGTGCAGAATCCGCCGGCCCTGCGCGCTGCGCTCCACGTAGGTCAGGAGTACCCGCGGCGCCCCATTCCCAACCCTCCGGGGGCACCTGGTTGCTCGCGCTCCGGACCAAGGCAGTTGGAGGCCTTTCGGTCCTCTGGGAAATGGAGGCCCACCTGCATCACATGCACCTCTCCCTGCTCTTCCACCAGCAACCCTGGAAGCTCTCTGGAGTCCAGAGGCAGCTCTCTGGGGGGCCACCGTACCACCCCCAGGACCCCCTCCCTCTCTTTCAACTCCGTACAAAATGCCGCCTTCGGATTCCCGGGAAAACTTGCCCACTTTGTAGAAGCACCCCATCAAAAAGGGGGCGGCGAGGGGCGGGCGCACCGTGGACACTCGAAGCCCCCGGCACACACCCCAGACAAAAGCCCGGTTCCATGCTGCTCCACCGCCCCCTCCTACTGCTCCGAGTCGGAGTTACTTCTTGCCTCTAGGACGCTGGGCAGCAGGGGCTGCTGCCCACCTTTGGAACCCTCCCCGCAAGCTCCAGCCCTTTACCTGAGTCCCGGCCTCGGCGGGGCCTCCGGTGCTCAGCACCCGGCTCAGTGCCCCGTGCGGCCGGGCTGGTGGTGTGGTGGGGATCGCGGCCGCCGCTCTCCCCTGCAGCTCCGGGCCAGCCGGGCGGCTATTTATCCGAGCCAGCTGCGGCCCCGGCCCCTGCCGGAGTATTAGGCAATCGGTCCCGCTACGCGCTGCCCCGGGAGCCGCCGCCCTCTGCCCCCACAGACCCGCAGCGGCGGCGGCCACATGGAGCTGGGGAGCCGGCCCCCTTCTCTGAGCTCCACCTTCTCTTTCGCCTTCTCCTCCCCGGGGTTTTCCCTGCTGTCTTTTTCTCCCTTGTCTCTCTTTGCGGGGCACCCCGGCCAGTCTGAACCGGTTGTGACTGCGCGGGTGGTTGGGGGAAGGAGGAGGAGGAGGCGGAGGAGATGGAGGCGGAAAAGCGGGCGGTAGGGGCGCTGCGCCTGCTCCCGCTGCTCCCGGCCCGGCCAGGAGTAGGGAGGGCACTGCCCGAGCCGCGGCCCCGGCCCTACCAGGCCTGGAGCCACCAAAGCCACGAGAGAGGTGGGCGCCGTCGGCCAGGCGCCCTCTCGGTGCGCACACACGCGCGTCCCCAGGCGCCGCTGTGCCCCCGCCGCCCACCACGTGCCCTGGCCAAGCCCGCCAAGGGCCGTGCGCGTTTGGGGGGAGCCGGGGTGTACAAATGAATGCGAGTGTTCCTTGGTCTCCCTGGCTCCCGGGGCCGCTGGCGCCCTCCTGGCCGGAGCTGTATGCTCAGCTGGCAGTGGTCCCGGAGAAACGGGCACCAGAACTTTGTGGAGTCCGTGATCCTGGGAAGTGAGGAGTGAGGATGCCAAGTACAGTCCTTTGTGACAGCTCCGCGGGAAAGGAGGGCGTCCTGCGGTGCACACACACACACACACACACACACACACACACACACACACACACACACAGGCTGCTTCTAAGGACGTTCAGTCTGTCCTGCAGTTGAACTGCACTAACAATACTACCATTGGCAATACTATCTTTGGTAATGGGCTTGCGCGCAGAGATGGATGGCTGTTTTATCCCTCAGTCACTGCAGCAGCTGGGGGCTGTCCATAGGTACCAGTGGTTCGCCGGCCGTGGGAAACCTCCAAAGTGATATGCACTTTTTGTGTTCCTCTGTGTTTTTTCTGGGAAGCCGCACCACACTTTCTACTTCTTAAAGGGGACTGCGGCCATCAACCACCTTGATGAGAACTTCCTTTATACACTGAAGTGACAGGTCCTGGCCTAGACGAAGACTCTACACCTGGCAAAGGGTTGGTTTCAGAAGTGCTGATCAAGCTGCTGAGCCTCTGTTTCCTTGTCTATGAAATTACAAGAATCTTGCCTGTATCATGGAGTTTGTGTGAGATGAGAGTTTAAAAAACCTGTGGAGCCTAGGCAACCATGTCATGTTTTCTTACAGCACAAATGTGGTGGAGGTTCAGCCCTTTTGGCCCCCATCAGTCCTTTCTACTCAATTTATTGACTTTCAGGTTAGAGTGAAGAGAATGACCACTGCTAGTCAATAGTATTTTGTTTTGTTCTAAGAAGGAAAAAGAGAAGAGGGGAAAAGTAACAGTGAGAATGAGAGCAACATGGTCCCAAGAATAAGTTCTGGAAGGAAAAATGGAGAAACTGTACTGTCAACACCATAAAAAACTTACTTCTAAAGAGGCAAGGGAACACAATAGGGGATTCTTAGGCTGTATTTTTTTACCTGGTTTATGGTTACTCAAGTGCGTTCACTTTGTGGTAATGCGTTGACCTATACACTGATAATTTGTGTTCTTTTCTCTATGTTTCAATAAAATAGTTTTTTTGAGATGGAGTCTTGCTCTGTTGCCCAGGCTGGAGTGCAGCGGCGTGATCTCAGCTCATTGCAACCTCCATCTCCCAGGGTTCAAGCAATTCTCCTGCCTCAGCCTCCTGAGTAGCTGGGATTACAGGCACGCAGCACTATACCTGGCTAATTTTTGTATTTTTAGTGGATATGGGGTTTCACCACGTTGGCCTGGTCTTGAACGCCTAACCTCAAGTGATCCACCGCCTTGGCCTCCAAAGTGCTGAGATTACAGGTGTGAGCCACCGCACCCAGCCAATGAAAGGTAATTTTAGAAAGTCTGTCTTTGATTCAAATACTTCCTAAGCACCAGAGCACATGTTATCTTGATTGTTGCTCAAACCAATCAATGTATATGAACTTATGTTTTGGGGACAAGGAAATTGTGCCTGGAAAATATTCTACATCCACCAACTGGTTTCTGAAATTGACACATGCCTGTTATCACTTGCACCAAGTTTTCCCAGATTTCTTTTAGAAGAGTATATAGCCAGCACTTCCATTTCTACTCAGGCCAGCCCTTGCCTATCAACTAAGAACCAAAAATGAGCTTGTGCTCACACACAGGCATGCTCCCAGCTTTAGAGAGAAAGACTGGTTCTCAGGGGTCATAAACTCAGATGGCTGCAGGGCCAGGCTTCTAATGTAATGAATGAAGTGGCTAGAAGGGAGCTTGGAGGAATCAGAGAGCTAGAATCTTGCCCTGGGGCAGTAGACACTTGGCTAAGGGGACTGCTGCCAGGCTGGAATGTGAAAATTGCCCCCATCATCTGCAGGGGAGCATTAAGACATGTAAAAGAACTCAGAAATCTAGTTGAGTCCTGACACTTTACTTCCAAATGGAATTTGACCGGGAGAAGCTCAAGATGTGCTCCAGATCACCCTGGGGGTGAGGGAGGCAGATAAGTCAGCAGAGACAAAGCTAAAACCACCCCTCTATGCCCCCACTTTTTTCCATCCAGTGACAAAAAAAAAATGCAAGCTGTGCTTGCCAAGCGAGAATCAGATAAGTTAGATATTGCTGGCTTTACAGCTCTGGCCAGCATCTGCCCTTTGGGTCACTCTCCAGGCTCAGAAATAGTTTCAACAAGATGGAAAAAGGCAGGCTATTACATAAGCCAGATTTAAATGAACCCGGCTTTGGAAGAAAAGGAACCTGAGAAATGCTTTTAAAGAAAAGTTGATATAGAGGTGTCAACTAAATAAAAGAGTTCATTTTTTGCTTTTCATTGTTATTATTAGGTATTTATTAAGAACTTCATAATTTGTGAAATGTTCTAAGACTTCCCTTTCTTAAGCTATTTGCCACCTTAGTCCTTTAGAGAATGAGATGGAGAAATTAACCTAAAATTGTTCTTTGGTCCTTATCCCAGCATGGAAGCAGAAACATGAAACACAGAGGGCAGAGCAAGGTGTCATCAGGTCAGGGGAAGGTGGTACACTTGACCAGCACCTGAGTCACTGGTCCAGTGCTTGCCTGGCTGACCAGACTTTCCTCCCTGACTTACCACACCATTCAGGTTTCTTTTCTTTTGACATGATGTTCTTCTCCTGTTATGAATGACAGCATAGCTACAAAGACACTACACTTTGTGTTAAAAACAATTAAAGAAAACTGATTTTGTGGTTTTTATAGCAGTTGGCTTGGAGATCTATCTATAAACCATTCTATTAATTCCAATTTATTCTCTCACACTCTAACAGACAAACAGTCAGAAAATAATAAAAGTGGATAAATCATTCTCTTATGCTTATAGAGCTTTTGTTTAAAAGGACAAATTTTCAAATGTTAAAAGTGACCTTAAAGATACACTATATTGTATTTTTACTTGCAATTCTCCAGAATATCATTTCATATTTTCCTGCCTTTATCTTTCATCATATTATCTGGCTCAAGTGATTTTTACTTTAGGGGAAATGGGGAATATAAATCAATGGTATTGTTTTGTTTTGTTTTTTAGAGACATGGTCTTACTCTCTCATCCAGGCTGGAGTGCAGTGGCATGATCACGGTTCACTTCACCCTCGAATTCCGGGGCTCAAGGGATCCTTCACCTTAGCCACCTGAGTAGCTGGGACTACAGGCATGCACCACAACACCCAGCTAATTCGAAAAATTTATTTGTAGGGACTTGGTCTTGCCATCTTGCCCAGGCTGATCTCCAACACCTGGGCTCAAGAGATCCTCCCTTCTCGGCCTCCCAAAGTGTTGGGATTATAGGCATGAGCCACCGTGCCCAGCCTGGCTAAGTATTGTTATCTTCACTTTACAGATGAGGACACTGGGGTTCAGAATGGTTAAGTTACTTGCTGAGTCACTTGCTGGGTCAGTGATGGAGTGAGATTCCGAGCCTGATCTGGCTGATTGTTAAGCCTGTGCTCTTCCCAATCTACTTTGGAAGAATGATTCAAGATTGGGGAGAGCTAACAATGAGGACTGACTTCTTACACTAATTTAAAGCTTCACAAGAAACCCAAGAAGTAGGTTCTACTATTATCACCTGCCTTTTGCCAATAATGAAAATGAACTAGAGAGAAGCTGAATAATTTGCCCTCAATCACATAGTGAGAGGTGAAGCTGAGGTTTGAATCTTGGTGACCAGGCTACAGAGAACCCTGCTCTGAATTGTCACTCTAAATTCTCATGAAAGTGGAAATCAGAAACATAAAATTATACAGAATGTGCATATTCTTATGTATAAGGAAAATTAAGGCCTCATGAGGTTAAAGAGGTGCCCGAAGTTGGAGGGCACCAAAATGGCTGAGACAGAGGCAGACACAGGCAAAGTGAGTCCAGGGTCCACACATAACGTAGGACCTCCAGCTGTGCTTACCAAGCTTTATACCAGGCTCCAGCAGAGTGCTTGGCACATAGCAGGTTCTCAAAAGTTCACTGAAGGAGAGGAAGAGAAAATTTCTGCATCTGTCCAGGGCACTTTAAAGCCATTTCCCACATTTTAAATCCACCCATAGAATCTTATGTGCTACAAATTCAGTTTACATGATCTACAGTGTCATTATTAAGGAAGAAGGGCTTACTACCAAAGGCAGGGTGTGGAGTTCAAATATACCAACGGATCCAATTTCTTCTTGTGAAAATACAGGTGGAGTAGATGCATACTATATAAAAATAAACACAAGATGAGTGCATCAAATCTTTTTATGAAACAGTGCCAGTTTTTTTTAATGTGCTTTTGCCTAAGTATTTGATTTAGATGTATTACATAAAGTTTCAGACGGCACCAGTTTTTCAGTTCAAAGTGTTACATTTTAGCCTTCTTCTCTTCATTACATGATGTAAGAGAAAGAGCATGACTTTTACTCTATGTACAGGGTCCATCCTGCCTAAAATGTGTAGGTAGTCCAAAGACTTTGCCCACTGGTTCACTAAGTAAAAAATGTTTACTTGGCAAATATGGTCACCTTAGATCTATCTATTCAACAGGCTGCAATTTTGATTTCTTGGGAGTAATTTAGAAGATGGTAACTAATCCATGAAAGTAAAAGTTATACAGGAAAAAACATACCCTTGAGGAAAAAAAATATAGTCAAGCAGTTTCCTAACAGTTTGAACATAGACTGAAATCAATGCAGACAGAAGCAATCTAAAAGGATACATGAATTATCCTCTACTTACCCTACCCCCAGGCTGGGCTCACATAGAATGGTTTACTCATCTCTGTCCCTACCACCTACCACATTGCAGAGCTACTTACACTTTTCCATCAAAGTACTTGGGAGTTATTCCAAACCATAGGCAAGCAACTTGCTGTAGATATGAAATGTGTCCTCTGGTTTATGTTTTTTGTTTGTTTGGTTGGTTAGTTCGGATTTTTTTTTTTTTTTTTTTTGGCAGGGTCTCTGTTGCCCAGGCAGGAGTGCAATGGGATGATTTTGGTTCACTGCAACCCGAACCTTTTGGTCTCAAGCGATTCTCCTACTTCTGCCTCCAAGTAGCTGGAACTACAGGCAGGCAGCATCACACTCAGCTAATCGTGTGTATGTTGAGGGATGTGTAGACAGGGTCTCACTATATTGCCCAGGCTGATCTCAAACTCCAGGGCTCAAGTGATCCTCCTGCCTCTGCCTTCCAAAGTGCTGGGATTATTGGCGTGAGCCACCATGCCTGGCCTGCTTTATTTTGAAGATGCTTCTGAATCCTGCCTTCTCAATATCAATGTTTGTTTTTATATAGTTAATCAAACTATATGAAAATTTCGTTGATAGTTTAACAATTTAAATATTTATTATTTGATAATTTAACAATTATCAAATCACTGATAATTTAACAATTTAAATATTTAATATTAATAATTTAATATAATAACCAAAGCTCACATTTTAAAGAAATTACTATGTACAGTGTATTAGGGTCTGGGCAGGAAACAGGATTCATCCCAGATAGTCAAAGAAATCTTAAGGGAAAAATACTTTATAGCAATGTGGGCAGAGTCAAAAGAATAAATAGGAGGCACTCAAAGCTGAGGGACAGTGGGAAGCCTTTACTGCTCCTGGGGCTTCAGTGACAAAGGGAAGACCTAGTGTGCCCAGGGCCTGGGCTAGCAGCCCCTGAAGGGGGCTGAAATTGGGAAGGAAGGTAGTTTGTTCCCAGAGACAAGGCATCAAAATGGGTGTACAGCCAATACTCTCACCTCTCTCTCTGCTCTCAGATCTCTTGGTGGTGCCTACCCTTGACCAAGCCCACGCAGAAGGCAGGCATTGAGGGAGAATGGAATACTGCCCATAAGGGTTCAGCCTCCCAGGAACAGAGAGTCAAAGAGGGGCAGAAATTGGATTGGGATGGGGTGGGCTGGCAAATGAAGAATGACTAGAACCACCAGGCACTGTGCTAAGTACTTTACCTATATTATTTTATTTTCATAATGACAACCTTATGAGGTAGGTACAATTTATTCCATCCAAAAAATGAAAAAATACAGGTATGGAGATTAAACCCAGGCTGTCTGACTCTGGATTCTGTGCTCTCAACCACTACTATTTAACCAAGCTGTATTAAAAATAGCATTTTGAACTGAGTGTGGTGGCACATGCCTGTAGTCCCAGCTACTTGGGAAGCTGAGGGAGGAAAATTGCTGAAGCTCAGAAGTTTGAGTCCAGCCTGGGCAACATAGTAAGACCCCCCAACTCTAAAAATAAATAAATAAATAAATTTAAATGATATTTTAAAACTACTTACCTAATTAGAAACTACTTAGCTAGTGACATACATGCTCTGTGTTTGTCACGTAACTTTATCATCATCATCACTCCTATTTTAATAAATTTGCCCTGATTTCATCAGCAATTCTCCTATAGTCAGTCTCATGAATTTTATGTTGATCCTATTATCTTAAACCTTCTATCCTTTTCTTCAGTTCTGGAGATGTGCCTTATTTGTTATCTATAACATAAATTCCCATGTATGAACTACAAAATATACTGTCATTTTATTTATTCATTCATCTAATAATTCTTGTAGCCTGGGCATGGTGGCTCACACGTGTAATCCCAGCTACTCAAGAGGCCGAGGCATGAGAATCGCTTGAACCTGGGAGGCAGAGGTTGAAGTGGGCAGAGATCGTGTTACTGCACTCCAGCCTGGGCCACAGAGTGAGACCCTGTCTCAAAAAATAAAAATTAAAAATAAATGATATATCTTGTTTATTTTATGCCAGGCATCATATAAAACAAAGGAGGTTGCAATCTAGGAAAGAAGACTGACAGTAATACTAGAATGGGCTAACCACCCCAATCAGGGAACTTGTGCCATGTTAAAGAAACACAGAGTCTGAGGCACTGCTTGGCTTGAGAGGGAGGCATTCCAAGACAGAGAGGAGAGCATCTGCAAAGTCTTCATGGCATGAAAGACTCCCATGGTATGCTAGGGAATTACAATGGATTGTTACAAATGATTAAAAGTCAGAGTATTTGTGGGAAGGGGAAGGTAAACAATCATAGGGCTTTTGAATGCAGTTAACAGTTCCCATCTCTTGGCAGGATAGCATAAATTGGAGAACTTGGAAGGACCCACGTTCATTTAGAGATCTCATTGGTAGGGACTATGTATTCTCATGAGGACATTAATGAGCTCCATCCTTGCAGAGTTTTATTCAAGATTCAAAGTCCCAGAAGAAAGTGTGACTGGCCTGGTTTGGGCCATGTAGCCATCTCTAAGCTAGGGGAAAACAGGGCACTTTGAGAGTACTCATTAGGGGAGAGATACTTCTCCAAAAACAAACTGGGATGCTGACTAGCCAAAAAACAACAAATGTTCTCTACAATGGTTTAGACCATGGAAGTTCTCATCTCCATGTGAAGACTATCCAGCAAAGGAGAACCATTGCAACATTCTAAACAGAGGAATGACATGGTTGAATTTGTGTTTCAAGGTGATCACTCTTAGAAACCATGTCAGAGGGTACACTGACTGGGAAGGAGACTAGTTAGAAGGCTGATTTAATAGCTGAGGCAAAAGATAGGAAAACTTAAAATCTATAAAATTATAAAATGATATAGGGACCAATTTGAAAGATAGAGAATTACCACATAACTGGTAGTGGCTGTGATTAGTAGATAAAGGTCTAAGACAGTTTCTGGATTTCCGGTTAGAACTTAGAATAACAAGAACAAAGAATTGCTAGAAAGTGAGGGAAGTGTGCCTCACATTGCAGGATCCTCTAGAATAGTTCCAATTTCAAATATGATATCTCATCATTCCAATAACACATCAAAATTTCATGAAACTCCAGCATTATTGAATCTAAAATACATCTTCAAGATTTCTTTTGCAACTGGAAATAGTACAAAATTATTTTGTCAAATTCAGTTTCTTGATTTGTGGCTTGGAAAATATAATCATAGATCACTGAAGAGATGCAACAGAAACAAAAAATAGAAAACCTATGAGATACCAGTATATTAAGGAACGGTGTCTGGTAAAGCAAGGGCTAAAGTTTCACTGGAAATAGAACTGTCCTAACCAAGAAGAATGAGAAATTGATGATTAGGCTAAAGAGGTCTTAGGGAAAAAAAGACAATATCTTTTGGCAGTAAGAAGCTAACGTCTGTCAAACCCCAGGGGTACAGCTGGCTCAGATAGAAGCATGGCAATAGCTCCTTTATCCTCAACCAAATCTGTCACTGTGGATTTAGATTAAAAGTCATTATGTTTCCAAGTCTACAGAGAGGTATGGCCCATGGTACAAATACTTGGATCCATCACAAAGACTCTGGTACCCACCAATCTAAGGCTGAATTGATTGTCAACATCATGTACAATGATAATTATGGGCATTTCCTTTTATTGAATCTGGTTCTTCAGACATCTTTGGAGGCACAAAGAAGCTGCTTCTGGGTGTTTTAATTCCTAGGGTATTTTTTGTCTTGATTATTTCTTAGTCACATGTGGTCATGAATGCTCTTTTTGAGACTGCTGAATCTGAACCTGAGTCTTAGGAAAAGGGCCCTGGAGATTAGCAGGTGCAACCTCATATTCAATGTAGGATTTAATCTTCTAATTTTTCAGATGAAGAAACAGAAATCCCAAGAGGTTAAAAGAAGCAGAGGGCATATAGGACAAAAGCACAGACCCTGAAGCCCAAACAACCTATTAGCTTCTTAATCTTGATGAGGGTCCTTATCTTCTTTGTGCCTGTTTCATCATCTATAAAACAGGGAAAATAATACCTACCTCAAATGGTAGTTGTGAAGGTTCATGAATTAAACCAGAAAAAGTGTTCAGAACAGCCTAACACATAGTACGTAAGTTCTATATGAGTACTTGTTTTCATGAGTATACCAAAGAATCCCATGGCAAGTAAGGTTCTGAACCTATCTGTACTAAAGTTAAAGGAAGAAAATTCTATCCATTGACAAATTTACAATGACTAATGAACGGATGTCATATGCACTATCCTTTTCTCTCCATTACACAACTGGCATCTGAGTTATTCAAATTCATCCAAGAAGTTTCTGTAGTGACACGCAGGTATGGTAACCAGTTCAGAGAATCAAAGTCCAGCAACCAAAATAGTCTGAAACTTGGCCTTTTAATGTGAATTTAAATAGAATTAAATCACTCCTCAGGCATCACCCTCCTTCCACATCACATCAATATTTCTATAACTCGGGTACATCTTCTGTCAACTGTGGTCTTAATGAAGTAAAGGATTGGATTCTGCCTTCGATGTAATTCTTGGAAAGGCCACTAGTTCAACTTTTCTTTGGCTGGTCAAGATTATTTTTCAGCAGGTTCTCCAGCCAGTAATGTTATAATATACACCAAATAAATTAAGAAATGAACATTACTGTGAGGTGGAAAAATAAATACCTAATGGAACTCCTGTGGTGCTGACAACTGTAATTTGCAAAAAGTTTGACTTGTCAAGTGTGGCCCAAATGGCATATTTTATAAAAAGAAGTATGTAACTAATAAATACCCAAAGCAAAAAACTCAATATGCAAAGAGCTTGCTTGTGGAACATTAGCTATGATAATTATTTGAAGTACACAGTGTTCCTCCAACCCTGAAATAATAAAGTAACCTCTCAAAGTATAAAATAGCAAAGAAAATATTCAGCACTGCACACATGCCTGGCATAGAGTAGGTACCCAATGATTTAGTAGGTAAATAAATTTAATGACTGTCAATTAAAAAGTATCTCAGGTTAACTTGGCTCCTCATTACTTGACCTAAGGCACTTGAAGAAAATGTGAGGAATTTCTTATGTAATTAACTATTTAATATGTAATGGGTAATAAGGAACCCCAATAATAAGGTAAATTATTATTAGATGGCATAAAAAATAAATTCAAAGAAAATAAATGAAAGTTTTAAAACTCAAACCTCTTACTTTGGTTTGAGTTTTAAAACTCATTTATTTTCTTTAAATTTCTTTATTTCATAATCTGTATTTCACATTTCAAATGCTGAGAATTATCAGGTGTCAAAAATGTGCTCCCCCTTCTAGAGATTAGGAGAAAATCTTTTCAAAAACTATAAAAGTGGGGCAGCCACTTTGTAAAATAGCCTGGCACTTCCTCAAAAGGTTAAAGATAGAGTCACCAGATGAGCCAATGGTTTCCATTCCTGGGTACATAACCAAGAAAAATGAAAACATGCCCTCACAAAGACTTGTACATGAATGTTCATAGCAGCATTATTCACATTAGCCAAAAAGTGGAAACAACCCAAATGCCCATCAACTGATGAACAAATAAAGAAAATGTGGTATATCCATACAATGGAATATTATTCTGCTGTAAAAAGTACTTATAAATTCTAAGTGGAAAGAAGACAGATAGGAAAGGCTACATGTTATATATTCCATTTATATGAACATCACAGAATTAGGTGAATTTAGAGACAGAAAGAAGATTACTGGTTGCCTAGGGCTGAAGAAGGGGACCTGCTGAGGGAAAATGGGGAGAAGCTCCTAACATGTACTAATGGGCATGGGGTTTCTTTTTGGAATGATGAAAATTTCTAAAATTGACTGTGATGTTGATTGCAGAACTCTGTAAATATGCTAAAAAGCATTAAATTTTACACTTTGAATTGCATGTCAATTGTATGTCAAGTGAATTGTATGGTATATGAATTACCTCTCAATAAAGCTGTTATTTAAAAAAATACAGCAGATGTAACTTTAGCTCTGCTTGTGTTTTTTTTTTTGCTTTCATTTTTTTCTGATTTTTTTTTCTATTTTATTTTATTTTATTTTTACATGAATAAGTTCTTTAGTGGTGATTTCTGAGATTTCAGTGCACCCATCACTGGAGCAGTGGACGCTGTACCCAATGTGTAGTCTTTTATCCCTCACCATCCCCTACTCTTTCCCCCAAGTCCCCAAAGTCTTATGCCTTGGCATGCTCATAGCTTAGTTCCCACTTATGAGTGAGAACATATGATGTTTGGTTTTCCATTCCTGAGTTACTTCACTTAGAATAATGGTCTCCATTTCCTTCCAGGTTGCTGCAAATGCCATTATTTCATTCCTTTTTATAGCTGAGTAGTATTCCGTGGTGTGTGTGTGTGTGTGTGTGTGTGTGTGTGTGTGTGTATAAAACAATTTCTTTATCCACTCAATGACTGATGGTCATTTGGGCTGGTTCCATATTTTTGCAATTGTGAATTGTGCTGCTATATACATGCATGTGAAAGTATGTTTTTCGTATAATGACTTCTTTTCCTCTGGGTAGATAGCCAGTAGTGGAATTGCTGGGTCAAACGGTAGTTCTGCTTTTAGTTTTTTAAGGAATCTTCACACTGTTTTCCATAGTGATTGTACTAGTTTACATTCCCACCTATAGTGTAAAAGTGTTCTCTTTTCACCACATCCATGCCAACATCTATTATTATTTGATTTGATTTTTTTTTATCATGGCCATTCTTTCAGGAGCAAGGTGGTATCACATTGTGGTTTTGATTTGCATTTCTCTGATCATTAGTGATGTTGAGCATTTTTTTATATGTTTGTTGGCCATTTGTATATCTTCTTTTGATAATTGTCTAATCATGTCCTTAGCCCAATTTTTGATGGGATTGTTTGTTTTTTTCTTGCTAATTTATTTGAGTTCCTTATAGATTCTGGATATTGGTCCTTCGTCACATGTGTAGATTGCAAAGATTTTCTCCCACTCTGTGGGCTGTTTGCTCTGCTGATTGTTTCTTTTGCTGTGTAGAATCTTGTTAGTTTAATTAAGTCCCATCTATTTATCTTTGTTTTTGTTACATTTGCTTTTGGGTTCCAGGTCATGAAGTCTTTGCCTAAGCCAAGGTCTAGCTTATCTTCTAGAACTTTTATGGTTTCAGGCCTTATATTTAAGTCTTTGATCCATCTTGAGTTGATTTTTGTATAAGGTAAGAGATGATCCAGTTTCATTCTTCTACATGTGGCTTGTCAAGCACCATTTGTTGAATAGGGTGTCCTTTTCCCACTTTATGCTTTTCTTTGCTTTGTCGAAGATCAGTTGGATGAAAGTGCTTGGCTTTATTTCTGGGTTCTCTATTCTGTTCCATTGGTCTGTGTGCCTATTTTGTACCAGTACCATGCTGTTTTGGTGACTATGACATTATAGTATATTTGAAGTCAGGTAATGTGATGCCTCCAGATTTCTTCTTTTTGCTTAGTCTTTCTTTGGCTATGGGGGCACTTTTTTTGGTTCCATATGAATTTTAGTGTTGTTTATTCTAGTTCTGTGAAGAATGATGGTGGTATTCTGATGGAAATTACATTGAATTTGTAGATTGCTTTTGGCAGTATTATCATTTTTACAAGATAGATTCTACCCATCCAGGTATGTCAATTGTATTGTATGATATATGAATTATATCTCAATAAAGCTGTTACTAAAAAAATACAGCAGATGTAATTTTAGCTCCGCTTGTAGTTTTTAAAAATATGTCAGCAAAACACAGCCTTTAAATTCATCTAGTAGAGTAACAGAGCTGCTTAATATTGTGCCAAGTTAGGGGTCAGACAAGATCAGGCTGGAATAACCATGAAAAATTGCAACCTTCAGAGACAGGATTCACTGTTTAATGTAAGTTGTGACATATGCTGGCACAAAGGACACAGAACAATACATAGGGCCAGGTACAGTGGTTCACGCCTGTAATCCCAGCACTTTGTAAGGCCAAGGCGGGAGGATCACCTGAGGTCAGAAGTTTGAGACCAGCCTGGCCATTGGTGAAANCCCCGTCTCTACTAAAAACACAAAAATTAGCTGGACATGGTGGCGTGTGCCTGTTATCCCAGCTACTCGGGTGGCTGAGACAGGGAGAATCACTTGAACCTGGGAGGCAGAGGTTGCAGTGAGCTGAGATTGCATCACTGCACTCCAGCCTGGATGACAGGGTGAGACTCCATCCCCCCAACCAAAAAAAAAAAAAAAAACAACAATACATAGAGAATCTGTATCTTCTGCCATTGGAAGGTTTCCCTAACCATCCAGGTTGCAGGATAAATGTCAGAGAAATTATGTAGAAGCTGATTTTTATCAATCTTGAAAAATTAGCTCTCCACTTACTCACTAAGCTGTAGTCACAGTGAGCTTCTGTAGTATCTTTATTAGCAGTGTGAGACTCTGTTCTCATGATGCTATTAAAGACATACCTGAGACTGGGTAATTTATAAAGAAAAGAGGTTTAATTGACTCACAGTTCCACATGGCTGAGAAGCCCTCACAAGCATGATGGAAGGCAAAAGAGCAGCAAAGTCATTTCTTACATGATGGCAGGCAAAAGAGTGTGTGCTTCATAAAACCATCAGATCTCATGCGACTTATTCACTATCACAAGAACAGTATAGGGGAAACCGCCCCCATGATTCAATTATCTCCACCTGGCCCTGCCCTTGACACATGGGGATTATTACAATTCTAGGTGAGATCTGGGTGGGGACACAGCCAAACCATATCAGCTTCCTAATGCTTTAATGAGTTCTACCTACCCCAGGGCCTTTGTATCTGCTTTCCTTGGCATCTGAGTCCTCACTCTTCCTCTAGGCCTCCACCTAGCAGGCTCCTCACCAATCAAGTCTCTGCTCCAATGTTGCTTTCTCAGGAAAACTTTCTTAGCTCCTGCTAGCGAAAATATTCTTCCTCTACCTAAGCTCTCTCTCTCTTTCCTCTGTTTTATTTTCTCCACAGCACATGAAATTCTCATGTGTTTATCAACTTCTTGCCTGCCTTCCTCACTGAAAGCAAGCTCCATAAGGATAGGGGCCCCACCTACCTGGTACTCTTAATATATCCCTGTACCTACAACACTGCCAGGTAGGCTAAGGGTACTCGATAAATATTTATTGAGTGAATGATCTCCATGGTATGAGTCATAATCAACTTCCATATACAACACCCAAAATGGCAAGCCCTGTAGTTGATATTGCACCTTGTACAAGAGTCCAGAGAACAGTCTGCAGCTGCCTACTGGCTGAAAGGCCAAATGAGTCTCCTGGCTCACACTGGAAACCTAGTTGGCCACCAAGGACTTCCCGTGCCTTAGCACTAATCCTTCCTCACCCTAGTCTCAGGTCAGATGGCAGAGCACTCTCAGGGGCCTTTCCTGTGGGTTTATAAATAAGTCTGGGATCATTGTTGATCTTAGACTGGCCTACATAGCATCTTGCCCTGAGTTTGCTCAGTGAGTGGGACAACTCCCAGTAAGATCAGTAAACAGTCATGCAGAGAACAGCCCAGAACAACACCCTGGGTCTAAGTGGTCATACAAACTCCACACATTTAAGATCCTCTCTCAAACCTTGCCCCCCATCACTACAGAGGCAGTTCATCCCAATTATGCGATAGACTTAGGAATTTTTCATTCTTACTGGAATGGCTCTCTGGCTTACTGTTCTTGAAAGTCATTTTATTCAAGTGGACACTCAAATGTTACCCCATCTACAACTCTTAATGAGTCACTCAATGCTTCATAAACTGAAGAGTGCTGGTCACACAAGAGGTATTATTATAAAGGCCAAACAATTGGAAATTGTTTCCAAATTATACCAATACTTGTGAGTTCTTTGAAAACAAATTGCTTAAAATAGTATTTGAGATTTTTAAATTATTTAAAAAATTACATTAAAATGAGTTTTATGGGTACAGCTTTAATTTATTTGGGTACTGAACACAGAACAGTGATCTGAGACTCACATTTATAAGGCCTGACTTCATATTTAATAACAAAAAACAATGGAGCTTTGCCGAGACCAACTCAGTTGTGGAGACCCTAACCTAGCGGCATTAGAGGAATTAAAGACACACACACAGAAATATAGAGGTGTGGAGTGGGAAATCAGGGGTCTCATAGCCTTCAGAGCTGAGAGCCTCGAACAGAGATTTACCCACATATTTATTGACAGCAAGCCAGTGATAAGCATTGTTTCTATAGATTATAGATTAACTAAAAGTATTCCTTGGGAAACAAAGGGATGGGCCGAAATAAAGTGATGGGCTCTGGCTAGTTATCTGCAGCGGGAGCATGCATGTCTTTAAGGCATAGATCGCTCATGCCACTGTTTGTGGTTTAAGAACGCCTTAAGTGGTTTACCGCCCTTGGTGGGCCAGGTGTTCCTTGCCCTCATTCCAGTAAACCCACAACCTTCCAGCATGGGCATCATGGCCATCATGAACATGTCACAGTGCTGCAGAGATTTTGTTTATGGCCAGTTTTAGGGCCAGTTTATGGCCAGATATGGGGGGGCCTGTTCCCAACAGAGCTTAATGACTGGCGAATACATATGCCATTTTATTACAGACGGAAGCCTTAGAGAAGAGGAAACAGTTATCTGTAAAGTGAGACCTTGCAAATGGTCTCCTGACACATTTAGGACAGATGCAACAGGTTGCATTTTCACTCACTGAATCCTTGAGTTTAGGATTGGGGTGCCTCATTACAGTTCAAACCTCTTGTCTACCAAATGAGGAAGCAGTGAGGTAATTAACTTCTCTGGCTTGTTATGAGGCAGAATAACTGAATGGTTTTAATCATTTAACAACAGGATTCTAGAGGCAGATGGTTTTGAGCTGGGAGGTCTTGGTTCTCTCGCCTTCTAGCTGCATCACCACAGTTAGGATGTCCTATATGAACCTGGGCGTTTTACTTCATTTCTCTTAACCTGCATTTCCTTATCTATGAAATGGAAATACCTCATATACTTGTTAGTACAGATTGTTTCATGACGTATGCAAAACACAGCACAGTACACTCTAATTCTAGATACTGACATATAAATAAAAAGGGTTCTTTCTGGAAGGCATTTTCTGACCTCTCTTCTCAACTCAGAATAATTTCTTCAAGGGACTATAGCACTGGGAAGAATGCAAGTCCACTTGAATTAATACCAAGAGATTATGAAATTAATAGCACAGAGCTATCTGTGTTCAGGTATGCCAAGCTTATTAGTGGCAAGTTAAGAAACACCATCCACTTCAGTTGGAGGGTTAATTATAACAGCACTGATGGACATTAAGTTCTATGAAACATCACAGAATTCTACCAGAGGAAATTATATGTTACCCAATCCATACTGTATACATACATATTTGCCATGGATATTGTTACAACCCTTTTCCAATTCTACTAAAGGCAGTCACAGATTCCTTACCTCGAAGAGCTGCTCTTGTCTTCCTAATGTTTATAATAATGACTTGGATTTACATAACTCCTTTTGTAGCAGGACAAGCCACAGACAAAACTCCTCAGACACCCAGTTAAAAGAAGGAAGGGGTTTATTTGGCTGGGGGCATTGGCAAGACTCCTGTCTCAAGAGCCGAGCTCCCTGAGTGAGCAATTCCTGTCCCTTTCAAGGGCTGGGGGCTGCATGCACTGGTAATTAGATCAGAACAAAACAGGATAGGATTTCCACAGTGCTTTTCTATATAATGTCTGTAATCTGTAGATAACATAACCAATTAGGTCAGGGGTCGATCTTTCACTACCAGGCCCAGGGTGTGGCACCGGGCTGTCTGCCCCGTGGATTTCATTTCTGCCTTTTAGTTTTTACTTTTTCTTTCTTTGGAGTCAGAAATTGGGCATAAGATAATATGAGGGGTGGTCTCCTCCCTTATTCCCCCCCTTTGAGACTCTCACTCAATAGTGGAAGTTCTCACTTTCATTTTTACTACCCATGTCTTCTTGCAAGACAGATCAATAGTGATTCATATAGTACACTTGTGCTGAAGCATTTTGGTGAACTAAGGTAGTAATGAAGATTTTATCATTTGAAGAAGTACAGGTAGCAAACAAGGGAGCAGTAAGCAGGTTCCTATTACTATTATAACTCTTATTATGAGAGTTTTAAATCCTCCTAGCACTGGGATTCATTTTCCAAACATGGCCCTAGGATCAAATCTATGCCACACTTGCATGGGCACATGTGCCAGTTTTGTCATATCTCTAACTATGTCTTCAACTACTTGCCTTTGATTTTCTATGTATAGGCAGGAATTAGTAAGGTTAAATTCCTTACAGACCTCTCCTTCAGCTGCTAGCAAGCAGTCGAGAGCTGATTTACTTTGATAGATAGCATTTCCCATCTGAGTTTCTTGCCAGGCCAGAAGAGTCAAGGCTCTGCTGGTTTTATTAGTGATTATTTTTAAGACAGCTTGTAACCGTATGATTTGGTTGATCATGTAAATGGGGGTCCGGTATCCCCACGGGCCATCTTGTGCCCAAGTAGCAGGCCCATAATATTGTATGATTATCTCAGGGGGCCATTTATCATTTTTTTAATTTCCTATAGCCATATTCTCTTTTTGCAGGAAGCATAGACAGGGAAGCCCAGGAGTTCACCTGTTTTTATGGGCAGTAGGAAGAAAGATGGTTTAATAGTGCCAATAACACAACTACCTGCCCACTGGTCAGGTAATTTGGTATAGCTCTATGCCCACATATCCAATATAATCCAGTGGGGGCTGTCCAGTCCTGGTGGGACTCTGGGTGGGTCCACACGGTTTGCAAATTTGGGAATTTACTAAATGGATTTCTCTCTGTGTGATGTGAACTCCACTAAGTGACTGTTTTTGTGGTACCATTATACAGTTTCTGTCTCAGACAACTAAGTCGTCCTGCGGGGTGAGTGAATTCTTTTCCTCCTCTAGCTATGCAATATTGTCCAATAATTGAGGCTTATAGGACCCAGAAATTAACAGGGTGAGTCTTTTGAGCCGGGAATGCATCAGGAACTGGGTCTGGAGGTACTAATTCTCGGGCTTCCCATGGCCATTGATCTCCCATTACAGTTCCTCCACATACATAACATGAAGTGACATTGAGAGACTGGGCTACGTGCTCAGCTAATTGCAAAAACAAACTTCTTGTTTTTCCTGGAATTTCTGGTACTGGCACATTTAGTTCATCATAGAAAGTTTGAAACACTGGCTCAGGAGAGCATTTGTAAACTTCTCCTTGAACCAAGATATTTACTCGAGGATCCAGTCCAGCCCGTCGATTCCTAAGGTCACACGCTCCCCTTTTTTCCAGCGAGGATCAAGGCGATTGGTTGTTACTAGCTCTAAGGAGTTACATTGTCTTTTAGTACAGGAAGGGACATTTTTTCCTTTCTGAAGGTGGGCTGGATCCTTTTCATTTTTTTTTTATCCAAGTGGCCTAAACGACACAAGACTACAAATGTAAATAAATGTATTTACATTTATTTCCACACAGTCCTAATTTATGACAGATGTACTTATTTTCTGCCATATAGCCTCTTTCCTAATTAAGAGAACCACACCTTATTCCTAACTTATTACTATTAATGAGAGCACAGGCATCAAATTTTAAGGTGACTTGTTTGGGCACCCCTTTTTCTTCTGTTTTGGCTAACACTTTACTTGTATCGTTTATGAGCCGCCACCAGTCCTCAGTCCTTAATCTCATTTTAAAAACTGTGGTCATGGGAGGCTCAGATGGGTCGTAACACACGTCAGGTTGATCATTTCCTGGGCTACACACCTTGTATAGAATAACATTATACAAACAATTTCTTTTTAGAGTTCCAGTACACATATAATAACCATAATATAATAGGACTGTAGCAACCTTTTGCCCTACCTCAGTGACTTGATGTATACACTGGGAACAGTCCTCAATCTGAGGAAAGTCAGTTGAAGTCCTTACTGTACAAGTCCAAATTTTAAGGAAAATGAGTCCCGCGATGAGTTTTCTCATTCTTCGGCCATGCGTGGACCAGTCAGCTTCCAGGTGTGACTGGAGCAGGGCTTGTCATCTTCTTCAGAGTCACTTTGCAGGGGTTGGCGAAGCTGCTCCCATCCACATACCGCTCACAGTCTACTGATGTTTAAGGATGGTCTCGGAGGTTGGGCCTGCTGGAATAAACTGAGTCCAACACCTTTATACAGTTACGTTCAGCTGGGCTCTCTGATACCAGAAGCAAGGTGGTGGGGTTTAGTGTGTTGCAAACTTCAATGGTTATGTGGGGATTTTCACATAAGCAAGCTTTGGTACTTGGTTGATCTAGGATTTGTTAACCAATGATGTCATTAAAGTTACCACAGCATGCGGGGCCTTTATAGTCAGGTTCTGCCTAAGGGTTAGTTTATCTGCTTCTTGCACTAACAGGGCCGTTGCTGCTAGGGCCTTTAGACCTGGGGGCCAGCCTTTGGAAACCCTGTCTAGTTGTTTTGAGAGATAGGCCACTGGCCTTGGCCAGGGCCCCACAGTCTGGGTTAAAACTCCAACTGCCATTTTTTCCCTTTCTGACACATAGAGTGTGAAGAGTTTTGTCAGGTCAGGTAGCCTCAGGGCTGGGGCCGACATGAGTTTTTCTTTTAACTCATGAAAAGCTCGTTGCTGTTGGTTGTAATAGATGTAGTTTATCTAATCTACATTTCTATTAACTGTCACCTACCAAAATATTGACTCAAATCCTGCAGCTATTTGATTTAAAGCTTTAAATTGATCTGGTATTGCTCGTGGGACTCCAGTTGTGTCTAAATAGACATGAGAGTCGAAAGACCCATAAGGGGCTTCTCTTGCTTTACAATGTCTTATTTTTTTTCCTTCTGGTTGATGAAATGCCAGGGCAAAAGGGATAGACAATTAGACTAAAGTACAATTGCCACTCCAGTTATTCGACAGAGTGCCCAGTAAAGGTCCACCACAATACCACCACACATCCGCTCGGGGATGAACAAGGGCTGACTGATTGATAAGCTCTTGAAAATTCTTAAGCTCACTGCATCCTTTCAGGTCTCCAAGGAATGTTAAGTTTCCTCCCTGTCATGAGAGACACGAAGTGAACTTAGTGTTGGGAGATGGAGGCTGGATGGCCCTCGGGGGCTTATCCACAGGGTGCTGGACTTTGGGATATAGCAGAGAGATCTTGGCACGACTTATTACTCCAGGCTGTAGAATCCTGGAAAAGAGCTACCATGCAGCCTATGCCTGGTTGACTGGAGGACCACCTTAGTGGAAAGGGGACAATCTGGGCCTCTGGCCTGCCATGTGCACAAGCATAACAATTGTTTTTGTTTAACATGCAGATGGAATATTTGATCCATTTTAACCAGGCATTTGCATCTTGGTATCCTGTTTTAATTGCTTAAGTTTGTTTTAAGTCTTTAACTTCTATGATCCTCTAGTAAAATGAATGTATGGTTTTAGGAAATTACAAAAACCGGTTGGAGCAGTCCATCCTTGCTCTGTAGTGGTCCACAGAACGTTGGACCAACTATGGCATGAAAGTTCTACATCGGGGGGCAAGACTCCTGGTTGGCACCAGGATTTTATCAAAATCTCCCCAGATTAAATGGTCCTAGTTTACTAATGCCCAGTCTGAGGAGAGTCATGAGGGACAGAAGTACTTTTCTGAAGTAGAAAGCTGCTTTGACTTGGCAAGTCCCCACAGGGTATAATAAGGCAAGCATTAAATGCAATAGTTTGAGGTGAAATTGACTTGATTATGTTACTAACTAGATGCTTAGCAATAGAACGATGAAAGAGAAATAGAATAGATGAAAAGAGTTAAATTTTTCTTAGCTTTAGTTTGGTAGGGTTTTCCCCTGGGACTATGGCCCACGACTCTGGAGGGGGTGGCGCTTTCTTGACTCGGGTGTGATGAGTCCATCTTTTTTCTGCTATACGAACAGAAGTCTTGGTGGTTAGCAGCACAAGGTAGGGTCCTTCCCAGGCTGGCTCGAGTTTTTCTTCTTTTCACCCTTTGATGAGAACGTGATCTTCAGGCTAACGCTCGTTTACTGGAAATTCTAGGGGTGGTACATATGCTAAAAGACTTTTAGTTTTTGAGAGAAAGGAAAGTGGAAGATAAACCAAGTATATAACTTTTAAGAATTGACCTTTTGTTTTAAATGTGGGGACCTTAGCAGTGGACTTTATAGTCCTTAGTGCCTTTTTACTGAGAAATTTCCTTTAGCACCTATTTTTATTAGTTTTTTAAACCAAAGAAACCCAAATACCATTTTACATTTAACAATGCTTCTCGTATGATTTTTATATCAGATAAGCTAAATTTTATCTTTATATTAGTATGTTATTAATGTTAAACCTAATTTTAATAAAACCTTGTAGATATATTTATCTAATTTTTAATGTCAGACCATAAGGTAAGATTTTATAAACTCTTTTTAACCTTTTATAATTTTTGCTAAAGAGCAGGTTGGTGCTTTAAGAAAAACCTGTTATGCTTTTACTTTAATGTCCAGTTCACAGCAAAACTGGATGATACTTCTTTAACTTTAGTTAAGATGTTTACACACAGAATTTTCTTTATAATTAATATTTTAAAACTTGCTTAAATCTTCAAAACAATAATTTTTTTTAACTTTTTAATGTAGGTAAAAATGTACATTCTTATGCCTCCTTATAATCCTTTTACCAAAGGTATATTTTACTTTTCTTATACAACGTGCACATAAACTGTTTTGGTTTTTTTTTCAGTAGTTTTACATTCAGGAGGCCTAGTTACTTTTAAATTATACAACATTTTTTGCATAAATTCTTTTTTATAACATTTTTCTCTTTCATGACTTTTGCAGACAATTCTTCGACATGCTGCTTCAACTTTCTGACTTATGACAAATATTTCTTTCTTTAAACAACCAGTTAATTTATTTCAGGACAAGAATTTACCATACAATACTCTTTTTATATAAATTCCGCCCCCCCTTTTTTTCCTTTTTTTTTTTTCTTTAACCTTAGGATACTTCTGAACTGGTGAGGTGTGCTCACAATGACGTTTCCTCTAAAAGTTTTTTTTTTACTTTTTTGTTGTTGTTGTTAGCAAAGCAATTGCTGCTACAGATTGAATGCATTTGGGCCATCTGCGGGTTACTGGGTTAAGGATTTTTGATAGGAAGGCCTCAGTGCTTTCAGGATACTCCCTTGTTTACGCTGACTACAAAGTGGTATTGAAGTGTTATAGGGTTACAGAGAATACCTTCAATTATCAATTATAGGTTTTAAATTTACCTTGGCTTTTAAAGGAATGGGTACACTTTTTTTTTTCTTAACTGCTTGTATATCTCTCTCTTTCTCTCTTTCTTTCTCTCTTTGTCTTTCCCTCTCTCTCTTTTACTTTCCTTTTGCCTCTGTCTCTTCCTCTCTCTCTCTCTGCCTCTCTCTTTCTTTCTCTCTCGCTGTCTTTCTCCTTGACTTCCTCTTTGTCTGTCTCTTCCTCTCTGTCTCTTCCTTTCTCTCTTTGCCTCTTTTCCTCTCTGTCTCTTTCCTTTCTCTCTCTCTGCTGATCTTTCCTTGCCTCTGCCAGCCGCTTATGCTGCTGTTCTCAACCACTGTGTGTTGGGGGAGGGGGGTCTAAAACCAGCTGTAACCAAGTGTCTACATACGGGAACTGGTCTGCGTTCCCTGGCTTAAAGGTTACCTTGTGCCATACCTTTGAAACAAGGGACCTGTCCAGGCTTCCTTCTAATGGCCAACCTACCTCTAATGCTGGCCAGTCTCTCTTACACAAAGTTTTAAGTTTTCCTGGTGTCATAGTACTCCACAGTCTCCTTTAAATTCTTTTTTGAAATTTTTCAACATAGTTCCTAGTAGGGTGGGCTTATCTGTGCCTGACCTACTCTTCTTTGAGACAAAACACCACGCTCACACCACACGCACACCACAAAAGAACAGGTAAAAAGGGCACACACACACACACACACACACACACACACATACACACAGTTTGCACCAAACCAAAATCAAAACCAAAATCAGAGTATCCAGAAATCCAAGCCAGGTCAAAACCAAAACTAAAGTATCAAGCAATCCAAGTCAAGTCAAAAACAAAAACCAAAGTGCCGGTACAGGCACACCATGGGTGATCAGGCCACGCTTCCACTCAAATGGAGTAGGCAAGTTCCTAAGACCAGTCCTGTCAAGCAATTCAAACCAAGTCTAAACCAAAATCAAGTGCCAATAAAGGCACTCCATGGGTGATCAGGCCACGCTTGCACTCAAACGGAGTGGGCAAGTTTCAAAGACTAGTCTTATCAAGTTTTAGATGTCCAGACTCCAAGTGCCCATTCCTTCCTGGAGTTCAGCCACTGCGTTGATCCTCCACAGGGGCCTGCCACACACTGCTCTGGTGAGGCGTCCCACTGGGGCAAATGCCTACCCGGGAGCGCTCTCAGGATCTGCGTCACTCGGGCTGGTAGGAGTCCCCCACAGGGATGTTCTACAGGGCAGGCTTAAGCCACCTAAGGAGCTGCCTCAACCATCTGCCAATCACCTCACTTCCAGTCAGTGAACCAAGAAATGTAGCAGGACGAGCCACAGACAAAACTCCTCAGACACCGACTTAAAGAAGGAGGGGGTTTATTCAGCCGGGAGCATTGGCAGGACTCCTGTCTCAAGAACCAAGCTCCCTGAGTAAGCAATTCCTGTCCCTTTTAAGGGCTCACAACTCTAAGGGGGTGCACGTGAGAGGGTCGTGATCGATTGAGCAAGCAGGTGGTACGTGACTGGGGGCTGCATGCACTGGTAATTAGATAGGAACAAAACAGGATAGGGATTTCCACAGTGCTTTTCTATAGAATGTCTGTAATCTATAGATAATATAACCGATGAGGTCGGGGGTCGATCTTTCACTACCAGGCCTAGGGTGTGGTGCTGGGCTGTCTGCCTGTGGATTTCATTTCTGCCTTTTAGTTTTTACTTTTTCTTTCTTTGGAGGCAGAAATTGGGCATAAGGCAATATGAGGGGTGGAGCCCTTACTTTCTGGTATGCATTTTTGTGTCAGTTTCTGCCCAATTCATTTGACATTCACATATTTATATGTGATACGCAAAGCATGTGGTATTTGTGCCATTTTTGTTTGTGTCTCTCTTTATTTTAATGCAGGAGGAGTATGAGACCCAGAGAGATTAAGCAACTTGTCCAAATGTCACATAGCTCAATAGCCAGAGCAATAAGATGGCAGGAACACTTAGTCACATGAGCTTCGCAAGGCTTCTCAAACCATAAGATGTGTATGGAACACTGGGGATCTTGTTACAATGTGGATTCTGAATTCAGTAGGTCTCAGGGGGACTAGGATTATGGATGCCAACAAGCTCCCAGAAGTTGCTACTGCTAATAGTTCTTGAATCATCTCTCACTATATCCTTCATAACACCGTGAGCATATCCTTCCCAATACTTCCCCCAATTGTAATTGCACCATTTCGGTATTCATTCATGTTCCCCACCAAGCTTTGAACTCCATGAGAACAGTAGCTGTGTTTTGTTTACAACTTGGCCTGGCTGCCCAGCCCAATCTGGCAAAAAGGAACTGAATGAATATTTTTGAAGACTGAAGAAAAAAATGACCTATTGCCAATTATAAAGCCACAACACTTGCATATTAAGACTCTTATTACTTGTTGAAAAAGGATGTTTATCATGTATCTTTTCTTGTCTCAAGTCACATTATGGTACCTAGTTGTAACTTCCAGCTCCCAAAATAACATAACCAAAAGACGCCCTGCGAGGTCAGCCAGTTTAGATCTATACCTCCAGCAGAACTATGCCTAGGTTCCTGTGGAACATAATCACCTCCTTGGGCCAATGTGATGGGTTAATATGAGGTCATTCTAAGTGTAAGGGGGAGTGTAAGTTTGAAGGAAGCCACATCACTTTTGCTCCCACCTGAGGATAATAATGACAGCAATCTATCATAGATTAAAGGTTTCCCATATGCCAGGGACTGTACTAAGCACTTTGCATCAGTTACTTCATTTCGTTTTCTCTACAACCCTATGAGCTAGGCTCTCATTTTATAAGTAAGGAAGCTGAGAGACATAGGGCTGTCGAACTATAGGAAGTGACCCAAGCAGTCTGGCTTCAGAATAGATGATTCGGACCACCTTGTCTACTGCCTGGAAGTTCCCAGAGAAAAGAAACAACTGCCTGAAAACAGGAGTGACCTGATAATGGGTTCCAACAAATCTCAAATATAGGGGTTTGAGGAGAAGCACATCACATCAACAGGAGGTGGTCCTTATACCCCAAAGGTATGGTCTAATAATACAGTGTAGAGGAAGAATAGGACGTTCTGCTACTGTTTTCAATTAACACTCAGTTTGACTCTATTTGGTTTGTGGTTAAATATACAACACTGCTGACAGGTTAAGTAAGAGCTGGTTAAAGGATATGTCTCAAAGGTCCAGATTCCTTTCACACTTAATTAGATCTCTTATGAAACCTTGCATTAATGATTGGACCAAATCAAAGAAAACAATTATCACATAGAAGAACTCAGAATTTTGTTGAGTATGTGTGTCCAAAGTAAGAACTCAAAAAGTCTAAAGGACAGAGAGTCATTTGTTTTTCAAAAGCTTAAAAAGTAGAAGTTCAACAGTTATATTTTAACCCTGTGAGATAAAGCGGAAATGGAGAAAACAGGGGAAGAGAACACATTTTCGAGTGGGACATAAGAAAAAAGTAAACTTGATCTTTCTTCTTGATAAAAAAAAATGTTTAAATATGGAATAAGAAAACAGAGGCAATATTAAATACAGCAAGAGGAACTTGAATAAAGAATTACTGTAAGAAAAAGAGTTTAGCTCTACAGATTGGTTTTTAACTACACTTGTCTTATAAAGTTATTATTTACCTTTGGAGGCAACATATAGATTGTGAAGCCTCCGGATCCGGTTCCAGACACTTCCTAGTGTTGGCCTCAAACTGGCACAATTCTTCCAAGATTCAGTTTCTTCATCTGTAAAATGGAGGCAAGAAGTGCCTGCCACCTAGGGTTATTGTAAGCCTTAGATTAAATGACATAGAGTGAGCATTTAGTCCCAAATAGGAACTCAACATAGGTTATACTCTGCCTTCTCTCCTTTCTTATAAGTTGTTTTCCTAAAAGAATCTCTTCTAAGTATTTTCATTCGTAAGTCTTTGTTGATAGAAATATTTCTCACTTATCCAATTGCCCAGGGTTAAGAAAAATAATCCACCTACAAACAGATGAAATATGTGTATAAGAAAATTGGTACAGCATATGTAAAGATTATGCTACTGGAATGTTAAACTTGGTATGTTAAAAATAGAATTATATAAAATGTCACATAGGTACACATCCTAAAAAATCAACTTCACTCACAATCTCACGTATAAATTTTAGTCAATACACCAAATAACGACTATGTTAAAAAAATCCAGAAGTTGTTTGTTTGTTTGTTTGTTTTTGTTTTGAGACTGGGTCTCTCTCTTTCACCCAGGCTGGAGTGCAGTGGTGTGATCACAGCTCACTGCAAACTTGATTTCCTGGACTCAGGCGATTCTCCCACCTCAGCATCCCGAGTATGAGTATCTGGGACTATACAGGCATGCACCACCATGCCTGTCAAATTTTTTTAATTTTTATTTTTAGTAGAGATGGGATTTCTTCAGGTTGCTCAGGCCCGTATCGAACTCCTGCACTCAAGGGATCCGCCTACCTGGGCCTCTCAAAGTGCTGGGATTACAGGTGTGAGCCACCACACCTGGCTAAAAATCTAGAAGTTTCATGACTCAGTAGGATAGATGTTTTTGGGGAAAAAAATTCACTTCAGTATATGTGAATGTTTCATAAACCATAAAGAACTAAACAATACACAATGTTGTTTGTATTGCAGTGTCCTGTTGGCTTCTAGAATAAATTGGCAATGTCATAAAATGTGAGTCACTCAACAAGTTAAAATACAAATTTTTATTCACTGTAATTCAGTTTGAAATGTACATGGAAAGGAAGTCAGCTTTCTAAGAAGTTATCACAACATATATAATAGAAATTAAGTCAACAAAGATAACAAACAAAATTTTTAGAAGTCTTCCCACAATTTCATCTTCTAGACTTTTGGGAGTAGTAGTAGAAATTAATATCCAGTTTTTACCAGTCATATCCAGAATTATCCCGCTCCCTAGGAAAAAAGAGAAAAGTATCCTCAAATGAACACATTTATAATACTGATTCTTTCAACTCAATCTAATATTTCCACTATAAAAAGATTGTGAACAAGGTAAGTCTTCCAGGGAATATTCCACACCTATTTGTAACCAATCAATGAAATAAAATATTTTTCTCCCATTTATTTTGACCACTTTCTGTCAAAATCACAGGCTTTTCTCTATGCCAAACTTGCCTTTCTTTCTAAAACAAACAGCTCAAGGAACTTTCATAGTGGCCATTCCCTTTTCATGTTATCTGTAGTAAGTTTATTTATCAAGTATCTGCAGTCATTTCAATCATTTTTATTGGCATTGGTGAAGCTGCTATTCCTCTAACTTGTACTATTGGTGTTACCAGGAAGTGAGAATTTGAAGACATGAAAAAAGGCAGGTACTGATCAAAAAAAAAAAAAAAAAAAGGTATTTTTCTTTCCTCAAGATCCTGTCTGTCATGTTTTGGTTACTTACTAAGACATCAAACATTTAATTTCCTCCACATTTCTGTATTAATAAAACAGGTTTTAAAAACTACCTGGAATTTGTGGTCTGCATTCCACATTGTTGGAACAGTTTACCAAACGTCTGTTAGGCAGGACATTTAGAAGCATTCTTAATCCCTTTTACAGGGGATGTAAAGGCAAATAAGTGGTTTTCAAAGCCTTACACCAAAGTTCCCCATATATACTCAACTTAAAATGAACGTCAGTATCAAAAACGTGGCAAGATTTGGGTAGTAAAATATTTCATCTACTATTTTCACCCCAAAATAAAAAAGGCAGGTAGACTTTTAAGAGAGAATAAGAAAAAGAGAAGGGGAAAGAAATGAGTACTCTGCCAGTGTTGTCTACTCCCATTTTGAGCTATCTTGATAATTTCTGTAATAAATTGCTCCATTCCTAGAGAAGGGAATTACTTGCCCCAAATTATACAATAATCATTAGCAAAAGAAACACCTAGAATTTTCCCTGCATGCAACAATTCCTTTTGCCTGTGTTTCAGCAACAAGGAGCAAAAATAATACACGGGTTTGCAAAGTGATTTTCCTTCTCTCCAGAAACCTCAAACTCCAGCTTGTGTTTCTTCAGTCTGTGGCTCCCAGGGGTACCTTCAACTCTCTCCAAATAGAGTAAGAGAGAGACTGAAATAAGAAGTGAGGAGGGGAATAGACAATTAGTGAGGAATGAGGAGTGAGTAGAGACCCATTTCTCACCTGAATTAATCCCAGGTAGTGGTAGGTAACACGGCTTCTCAGTTTTCTGCTCTTGCCAGAACAAAGTGTATTCAGCACAGGTGGTCTCTTAGCAACCTTGATTCCTGTGTCAAATCATAGCAAAAAGTTTTACTGGACAGTGAGGTAGTGTAGGAAGTGGAGGGGCAGGGAGCCTACACAGAAAAACTTCTAAAATTGTTTTCAAAACTAGATTGGAAGGAGATGTCTAAGAGTGAACTTTTGAAAATATGACACTTTAATTTCTGTTTATCCCAGAATTGTAGAGCTTAAAACTGAACATTGGACAGAAAGATTAAGCTAAATTCTAGGATTTTCCTGGTGGGGCAAACATTCACCACACTTTTTAAAGAAGTAATTCCCGACCGGGCACGGTGGCTCACGCCTGTAATCCCAGCACTTTGGAAGGCCAAAGCGGGCAGATCACAAGGTCAGGAGTTCGAGACCAGCCTGACCAATATGGTGAAACCCCGTCTCTACTAAAAGTACAAAAAAAATTAGCCGGGCATGGTGGTGCTCACCTGTAATCCCAGCTACTCAGGAGGCCAAGGTAGGAGTATTGTTTGAACCCAGGAGGCGGAGGTTGCGGTAAGCCGAGATGGTGCCACTGCACTCCAGCCTGGGCGACAGAGGGAGATTCCGTCTCAAAAAAAAAAAAAGAAAAGAAAAGAAATAATTCCCTAAAAATTGTCTGAAACCAAGGCTTTAATATCTTCATGACAAAACAACAATTACAACCAGAAAAGCCTTCGTATGTAAGTGACCATAACTCATGAGATTGTGTGCCTATTTTTTAAGTACAGTCATCCCTCAGTACCCATGAGGGATTAGTTCTAGAATACCCCACAGATACAGTAACCATGGATACCAAAATCCATAAATGCTCAAGTCCCTGATATAAATGGCATAGTATTTACATATAAACTACACATATCCTCCCATATGCTGTAAATCATCTCCATACGTTACTTATAATACCTAATACAATATAAGTGCTATGTAAATAGCTGTTATGCTGTATTGTATACAAAACAATGACAAGAAAAAAAGTCTGTACATATGCAATAGAGATACATAGTTTTTTCAAAATATTTTCAATCTGTGGTTGGTTGAATCCATGGATATGGAACCCATGGATCTGGAGGGCCAACTGTATTATGTTTTAGTATTTTGTATCATTTTTACAAACAAATTAGAAAATGGAGTGAATTTATTACAAAAGACAAGGCTATAAAATCTGATTGCTGTCTCCTTTAACCATGTGCAGTCACACACTGCATAATGACTTGAGTCAATGAAGGACTGGCAGTAGTCCCATGAGATTATAACAGAGTTGGCCGGGCACAGTGGCTCACGCCTGTAATCCCAGCACTTTGGGAGGCCAAGGCGGGTGGATCACAAGGTCGGGAGTTCAAGACCAGCCTGGCCAAGATGGTGACACCCTGTCTATACTAAAAATACAAAAATTAGCCGGGCATGGTGGCAGGCGCCTGTAATCCCAGCTACTTGGGAGGCTGAGGCAGAGAATTGCTTGAACCTAGGAGGTGGAGGCTGCAGTGAGCTGAGATCGCGCCACTGCACTCCAGCCTGGGAGATGGAGTGAGACTCCATCTTAAAAAAAAAAAAAAAGATTATAACAGAGTTGTAAAATTCCTATGTCTTAGTGAAGTCATAGTTGTTATAATGTCATAGCACAATGCATTACTCATGTGTTTGTGGTGATGCTGCTATAAACAAACCTACAGCACTGCCAGTCCTGTGAAACCACAGCATGTACAATGATGTATGGTACATAATACTTGATAATGATAAAAAATGACTGTTAATAGTTGTATTGACTATACTATACTTTTTATTATTTTAGAGTGCACTCCTTGTCCTTATCTTTTTAAAAGTTAACTGTAAAACAGCCCCAGGTAGGTCCTTGAGGTATTCCAGAAGAAGGCATCATTATCACAGGAGATGACAGCTCCATGCATGCTATTGTCCCTGAAGACCTTCCAGTGGGACAAGATGCCGACGTGGACGACAGTGATATTAATGATCCTGGCCCTGTGCAGACCTAGGCTAATGTGTGTGTTTGTGTCTTATAAGAAAAAAAATTAAAAATTTTGATAGAAAAAAGCTTATAGAATTAGGATATAAAGAAAGAAAATGTTTGTGTACAGCCATACAATGTGTTTGTGCTTTAAGCTAAGTATTATTATTATTATGAAAGAGTCAAAACATTAAGAAAATTAAAAAGTTTATAAAGTAAAAAATTGCAGTATATGAAATTTAATTTTTTTCTTTTTCTTTGTTTTCTTTCTTTCTTTCTTTCTTTCTTTCTTTTTTTTTTGAGACAGAGTCTCTCTCTTATCGCCCAGGCTGGAGTGCAATGGCGCGATCTCAGCACACTGCAACCTCTTCCTCCTGGATTCATGCAATTCTCCTGCCTCAGCCTCCCGAGTAGCTGAGATTACAGGAATGCACCACCACATCTGGCTGATTTTTGTATTTTTAGTAAAGACGGTATTTCACCATGTTGGCCAGGCTGGTCTTGAGCTCCTCCCCTGAGGTGATCCGTCTGCTTCAGCCTCCCAAAGTGCTGAGATTACAGAGGTGAGCCACCAGTCCCAGCCTATTTCTTTATTCTGAAACTTAATTTATTACTGATGAAAGAAAAAAATGATAAATAAATTTAGTGTAGCCTAAGTGTACAGTGTTCACAAAGTCTAGAGTAGTGTACAGGAATGTCCTAGGCCTTCAAATTCACTCACCATTCACTCAGTGACTCACCCAGTGCAACTTCCAGTCCTGCAAGCTCCATTCATGGGAAGTGCCCTATACAGGTGTACCACTGTTTATCTTTTATACCACATTTTTACTGTACATTTTTTATTTTAATTTTTTATTTACTTTCTTATTTTATTTTTAATTTTTTTGAGATAGTATCTCACTCTGTCACCTAGGCTGGAGTGCAGTGGCACAAATATGGCTCACTACAGGCTCGACCTCCCAGGCTCAAGCGATGCTCCCACCTCAGCCTCCTGCGTAGCTGGGACTACAGGTGTGTGCCACCATGCCTAGCTAATTTTTTGTATTTTTTGTGGAGATGGGATTTTGCCACGTTGCCCAGGCTGATACTGAAGCCCTGAGCTCAAGCAGTCCACCTGCCTTAGCCTCCCAAAATGCTAGGATTACAGAGGTGAGCCACCACACCCAGCCTATTTCCTTATTTTGAAACAGGAGCTTGCTCTGTTACCCAGGCTGGAATGTAGTGGTGTGATCATAGCTCACTGTAACCTTGAACTCCTGGGCTCATTCAATCCTCCCTCCTCAGCTCCTGAGTAGCTACGGCTACAGGTGTGCACCGCCTTGCCTGGCTAATTTTTAATTTTTTGTAGAGACGGAGTCCTGCTATGTTGCCCAGGCTAGTCTCAAACTCCTGACCTCAAGCAATCCTGGGAGAACAGGAGTGCGATTCTAGCTCACTGCAGCCTCAAACTGCTGGCCTCAGGTGGTCCTCCCCTCCTCAGTTTCCCAAAGCACTGGGGAGCCACTGCACCTTGATGATATTAAAATGTTTAAATATGATTATAACTCCTACTTATAACCACCCATTACACTCCTAAGTGTATCCCCCACCAGAATGCATGGCTATCTGCCTACCAAGACACATATCCAAACATTGTAATAGCTTCAATATGGAAACAACTTAAATGCCATTAGTACACGGATAAATTGTGGCATAGTCATATAATGGAATATTATATAATAGTAAAAATTAAACTACAGCTATAGACAAAAACAAAGATGAATCTTACAAATATACCATTGAATTTTAAAATACAAAAACAGGTGAATCTAATAAAGATAGCATTGAATTTTAAAAAGCAAGACACAAAAGACAACAGCGTAAGTACATTTATATAAACTAGAAAAATAGAGTTAAAGTGCATGGTTTAGGGGTATATATATGGTTGGCAGTAATGCAAGTGGTAAATTTATCAAGAAAAGAAAGAGATTTGCTACCACAAAATCAGAGTAGTCCTGACTTTAGGGAGTATAGGGGAAGGAAACAGGCAAGAGATTCCAACAGTGTTTCATCTCTTGTCCTGGGTGGTGGTTATACTAGCAATCACTTTTTAACTGTTTATTAAACTGTACATAGAAGCTTCATGTGATTTATTTCCTTCCTTCCTTCCTTCCCTTCCTTCCTTCCCTTCCTTCCCTTTCTTTTCCTTCCTTCCCTTTCTTTTCCTTCCTTCCTTCCTTCTTGCTTGCTTTCTTTCGAGAGTCTCACTCTGTATCCTAGCTTGGAGTGTAGTGGTACAATCCTATTCCATTGCAGCCTTGAACTCCTGGACTCAAGCAATCCTCCCACCTCAGCCTCATGAGTAGCTGGGGCCACAGGCACATGCAACCACACCCAGGTAGTTTATTTTTATTTTTGTAGAGACAGGGTCTCACTATATTCCCCAGGCTGGTCTTGAACTCCTGGCCTCCAGTGATCCTCCTGCCTCAGCCTCCCAAAGTGGTGGGATTACAGACATGAGCCACTGTACCTGGCCTTCATGTGCTTTTCTGTATATATGTTAGACTTCATAATTAAAATACTAAACAAAATAAAAGACCAGAGAGAAATAAATCCAAATGTCAATAGTGGCCATAGTTGTGAAGTTTGGGTGGAAGGAATTTGGGTGATTTTCTTTTCCCTCTGCTGTTTCCATTTCTCACTGCCACCCGCCCCCGCCCCCCACCACACCTTGCTGTTTCCATTTCTCACATTCATTCATTTAAAAGGATATTGCCTATATAACTTCAGAACACTAAGGAAAGTAGTCTCATTACTGTTAGTCTTCCTCCCTCTGATATATTTCAAAGTAATTTATACTGATTTTATTTTTGTCAAACCAATCATTATAACAAATATGAATGAAAGGAAAATTACATTTATCAACGAAACATTTTAATGAAAGTATGTAACTTCTATGATAAGGCAAATCTCTTCCACCATGAGGAACAGGAACCAGGGGTTCCTGTTTGGTTTTTGCCCTTGATGTTAGGTCTGTTTCTAGATCTAAATAATTGGAAGGACACAAATTTGTCTCATCACAAGTTTCCTAACACACCCAGGTTTTACTGTGGATTAAAATTATGAGTCACATGGTGCTTGGATTTACATTGAAAATGAATCATGGGTCGTTCCCCCTCCGCCTCCCCCTCCCTCTTTGCATGGTCTCCCTCTGATGCCCAGCCGAGGCTGGACTGTACTGCTGCCATCTCGACTCACTGCAACCTCCCTGCCTGATTCTCCTGCCTCAGCCTGCCGAGTGCCTGGGATTGCAGGTGCGCGCCGCCACGCCTGACTGGTTTTCGTATTTTTTGGTGGAGACGGGGTTTCGCCATGTTGGCCGGGCTGGTCTCCAGCTCCTGACCATGAGTGATCTGCCAGCCTCCGCCTCTCAGGTGCCGGGATTGTAGACGGAGTCTGGCTCACTCAGTGCTCAATGTTGCCCAGGCTGGAGTGCAGTGGCGTGATCTCGGCTCGCTACAACCGCCACCTCCCAGCCGCCTGCCTTGGCCTCCCAAAGTGCCGAGATTGCAGCCTCTGCCCGGCCGCCACCCCGTCTAGGAAGTGAGGAGTGCCTCTGCCTGGCTGCCCATCATCTGGGATGTGAGGAGCCCCTCTGCCTGGCCGCCCAGTCTGGGAAGTGAGGAGCACCTCTTCCCGGCCGTCATCCTGTCTAGGAAGTGAGGAGCGTCTCTGCCCGGCCACCCATTGTCTAGGATGTGGGGAGCGCCTCTGCCCCACCGTCCCGTCTGAGATGTGAAGAGTGCCTCTGCCCGGCCGCGACCCCGTCTGGGAACTGAGGAGTGTCTCTGCCCCGCCGCCACCCGTCTGGGAGGTGAGGAGTGTCTCTGACCAGCTGCTCCGTCTGAGAAGTGAGGACCCCCTCCGCCCGGCAGCTGCCCCTTCCGGGAGGCGGGGAGCAGCCGCGCCCGGCCAGCCGCCCCGTCCGGGAGGTGGGGGGCAGCCCCCGCCCGGCTGCCACCCCGTCTGGGAGGTGGGGGAGCGCGCCTCTGCCCAGCCGCCCCTACTGGGAAGTGAGGAGCCCCTCTGCCCAGCCGCCACCCGGTCTGGGAGGTGTACCCAACAGCTCATTGAAAACGGGCCATGATGAAGATGGCGGTTTTGTCGAATAGAAAAGGGGGAAATGTGGGGAAAAGAAAGAGAGATCAGATTGTTACTGTGTCTGTGTAGAAAGAAGTAGACATAGGAGACTCCATTGTGTTCTGTACTAAGAAAAATTCTTCTGCCTTGGGATGCTGTTAATCTATAACCTTACCCCCAACTCCGTGCTCTCTGAAACATGTTCTGTGTCCACTAAGGGTTAAATGGATTAAGGGCGGTGCAAGATGTGCTTTGTTACACAGATGCTTGAAGGCAGCATACTCGTTAAGAGTCATCACCACTCCCTAATCTCAAATACCCAGGGACACAAACACGGCCGAAGGCAGCAGGGCCCTCTGCCTAGGAAAACCGGAGACCTTTGTTCACATGTTTATCTGCTGACCTTCCCTCCACTATTGTCCTATGACCCTGCCAAATCCCCCTCTCTGAGAAACACCCAAGAATGATCAATAAATACTAAAAAAAAAATAAAATAAAATAAAAAAAAGAAAATGAATCATGGTAGTGTTTCTTCTTTAGGATTGAAGGGGCATTTGTTGAAGAGAATAGCTATTTAACAGCAGTAATTTTCAGGATGAAATATTTCCTAGTTTTTATCTGATAGAAACATGTACCAAAAAATATACACAAATTTTAAACAAGTTAGGACACCTTAAAAACTATGCTACAACTTACTGAATGTGTTTATCTCAGGACCTTGGTCTTATCTCCAACGTAATGTTTTAACATCATAGTTAAAATGACATGACCTTCCATTTCTGATATGACAGCTGAGGTTATTTTGGGTCAGATTTTTTTTATGTTGAAACTTCAGATGACGGCAAATAATTCCCCCCCCCACCCCCCACCCCCCACCATGTGAACACCTCTGCCTTTCTTTTCCTCATTTCTAGAGGCCATTGGGAGTCACTTTATTATTTTATAGACTGTTGTACTGAAAGTAGAATGGATACTCTCATCTAGTTTATAAGTTTTTATTTCTTCCTTTGATTGTATCAAGATTCAGGTCCAAATAATCTAATTTAAATTGACCTGTTCATTGCTTATTAGATAGTTGAGGAGTGGTATCCCACAGAGTTAGACAAATGAGAGTAGCAGGAACCCCTGGTTTCTAGGAGCTGGACTTCATTGTATCCTCTGTTCTTCACTCTGCCACCAGTTTGTAAGCCCTTGCCTTTGAAGTCAACTCTGACTCCAGGGACCATAAGAACAATGTATTTTCTAAATGGCTTGGTCCCCTGGCAAAAAAAACCACAACAACAAAAAAACAAACAACAACAAAAAAATCCCTCTATTATATAAAAGTATTACGAGTTCTGAGACTTCACACTTTTCTCAATTTCTCCTAACCTCTAACATTTCTCTTTATTAAGTGTGGATTTTTGGTTAGGACAAAGTACAAAATGAATATACTTTGCAAAGTCCCTTTTTCACTCAAAATAAAAACACTTTTCATTGGATTCAAGTTTATAATCTTAAACACATCAGTCACACTTCAAAAATATTTTCTTTTTTAATAAAAATTTTCTAACCCTTCTCCTTGTTTCAATCAATGTCTAACAGTTAAGATAATATTGATAGAAGTTCCCTAGAGGCATATGTTGAAAAATGAGACACAGTTGAAATCTGTCCACTTTTGCTTAATAAGCTACTTAAGTAAATAATATTATAATAACCACCATTTATTGAGGGTCTATTATGTGCCAGGCGCTGCTTATGCACAACTGGGAGATGAAGGACTTTGAGTATTCTGTGCCATAGTTTAGAAACTAATCCAGTACTTCAGCTTCCAGATGCCATGCTCTTTCAACTATACTGATTTATTCATGTTTTAAAATGAAAAGTTACTTTTGAAAAGATCTACATTATAATGGAAATGGACTATACTGGCATGGAAACATCACATAATTATTAATGGCCATGCTCCTTCTTCAGTCCTGGATCCTTTCTATATAAGTGAGCTGGTTGTGGATGGGATGGAAGGGCTGACAGTTACCCCTCTGGCCCTGATAACCCCAAATTTGCCGGAATTCACTTTATAACAGTTAGTTGCTAATTTATTCACATCAAAACAATCTGCCCTTTGTAAATGGGACATTGCCCAGATCACAACTGTGAGCTCACTATTTAACAACAAATTTAGCTGAAAGTACAGTTTTTTTGTTTTTGCTCTTGTTGCCCAGGCTGGAGTCCAATGGCACGATGTCGGCTCACTGCACACTGCAGCCTCCACCTCCCGGATTCAAGTGATTCTCCTGCCTCAGCCTCCTGAGTAGCTGGGATTACAGGCATGCACCACCACGTCTGGCTAATTTTTGTATTTTTAGTAGAGATGGGGTTTCTCCATGTTGGTCAGGCTGGTCTTGAACTCCCAACCTCAGGTGATCCGTCCGCCTCATCCTCCCAAAGTGCTGGGATTACAGGCGTGAGCCACTGCTCCCAGCTAAAAGTACAGTTTTTATTATTTATTTTTATTATCTTTTACTACCTATTTTATTCATATTTATTGTTATTTGTTTTTAACCACTTGTTACCTTATGGCTAACAAGTTTCTCCCCTTGACCTCCTTAACATTAACTAAGCTGAGAAATAATAAGAATGCTGCCAAGACATGGTGTTTGAGAGATGGGTCTAGAATCAGACTGACAGAGTTTGAATCTCAGGTCTGCCACTGTGCATGAGATCTTAAGCAAGCTACGTTAACTCTGTGCCTCAGTTGGCACTTCCATAAAGTGGGGATAATGGTACCTGCTTCTTAGGGTAGCCTGATAATTCAATGAGATAATGCTTGTGCCTAGAAAGTAAACATTTAGTAAGTGATAGTGTCTATTATTAATTACAGTTTAGCATATTACTGTTAGACAGTAGCCCTTGAATGAATCATTCTTCTCAAGTTCTCTTTAAGTACCTAAACAGGCAAAACTGTTAAACTCCTATTCATCCTTTGAGATTCAATCTCACCTCCTCTGTTATCCAATCTGACTTCCTTAGACAGAATGTATTTCCGACTTGTCCGTAACATGTTGCCAGTGACCACACTGTATCATGGTTGTTTACATGCAATACGCTATAGTCAGTGATGCTTTCCTAGAAGGTAGGGGACGGCCTTATTCATCCTGGATTCCAGTGCCTCACACTCTCCGACACTAATTAGTTCTCAAAAAATACTGACTTGACTATACTTAAAGCAGAAGCTTTCTGGGAAGAATGAAAGTTCACTTTGTCCAAATGACAATTACAACAAGAAAAACATACATAATAAGTCTACTTCTCCCGGCAAATAATTTTAAAAATAAAATCCCAAAGTTGGGTGCTTGCAACTTGTCTCCCTATGGAGAACATCTCCCTTTCCCAGAAAGTTTATGTTCAAGACAACTGTCTTTTAGAAACTTGAGAAATCATATGAGAACTATGTCTTATTAATGCTTTTTCTTTTGTTTTTTTTTTTTTTGCTTATAATTAGGGAAGCAAGTCAAGTTGTTGGAAGGCAAGAAAAACTTGGCACAGGACGTGCAGGGTTTTAGAATGGGATGATCTGTTGGGATGGCCACCGTTTCTACAGCATACTGGAGGTTTGCCCTCACTAAACTCAAATTCGAGTAATTTGGGAAAATTTGGGCATATGCAATGGTAAATGGATTTTTTGTGTTCTGTAAGCTTCTAAAATTTGAGTTCAAGCTGCATTTTCTGAGCTCATTAAGGTCCCCTTCAATTCTGCCCGAAGTTGAATTATATGAGAAAGGAAATTTAACACAAATCTGAGAAATTAACTTATCAATGACATGAACATTATATCATAGAAAGCTTGTATGGGAATTAAATAATGCATATGGCTGTATGTTTAAATGATGGCAGGCATTATTCTTGCACCTTGTTTCCTGATTAAGACATGATCTCAGGTCAATTATTCTCTTTCCAGCTAAGAAAAACAATAAGGGGGAAAGACTGGAAATACTAACGAAATGTTGGTATAGAAAAGATATTGGAGCTTTTGTAAACTTCTCATTTGACAAACAAGGCCCAGAGAAGTGCAGAGACTTGTCTGAGGTCACACAGTGACTTTTTCCAAAGCTAGTGCTACAATTGCCTCAGCAATTTTCTGACATTTATGATAGACTGGATTCTGCATTTCACCAGTCAGCTACGTGAGGAGAGTCTACCTTCATCACCCTCCAACATCTTTGATTCCAGCCCATGTATAACCAGAGAGTCCAGATCAAAGCAAATCACAAGTGAAAAGTAGAAAATGTGGCAGGTCAGGGCCACAAGGCAGAGAATTTGACAAGTGGACTTCGACTGAACACAGAAACATGTTAGTCACAGATGATCAGTCAGCAAGGTGGAGTGAGGAGAGAGTACAGGATCTGAACCAGATGGAACCAGTTTGAGATCCTGGCTCTTACCACTATTAACTCTGCAGCCTTGGACAAAGCACCTGACCTCAGATGCCACCTCATCTGGAGAACAGAGAGAGTAATATCTGTCTTGTGGGGGGTTGAAAGGACTTTATTCATAGCTAAAGTTCAGTGCCTTCTATACACACTTATTTTTAATCTCATAAAACTTTATGAGGTGGAATATTCATACCACTATTTTCTTATTCAAAAATACAGAAACCCAGAGAGGTTAAGATAGCTGTCCAACGTTACACACGTACTAAGAGGTGACCAAGGATTTTTATGGAGATTTGTTTGGCTCCAATGCCCACGGCCTTAGCCACTGCAATATTGCAGGACTGGTAAAAATGTAAGCCAAGAGGCCAGGCATGGTGGCTCACACCCGTAATCCCAGCACTTTGGGAGGCCAAGGCAGGCAGATCACCTGAGGTCAGGAGTTGGAGATCAGCTTGGCCAACATGGCAAAACCCTGCCTCTACTAAAAATGCAAAAATTAGCTGGGCGTGGTGGTTCGCACCTGTAGTCTCAGCTACTCAGGAGGCTGAAGCACAAGAGTCGCTTGAACCTGGCAGGCAGAGGTTGCAGTGAACCGAGATCGTGCCACTAAACTCCAGCCTGGGTCTCAAAAAAAAAACAAAACAAAACAAGCAAACAAAAAAAGTAAGCCAAGAGCCCAGCATGCTGCCTGACACTCAATAAATAGTGCCTAGTTCAGTGAAGCAGCAGATTCAGAAAGATGGCCACTTCCTTGCAGCCCAGCCATGAAGAGGGATGGAGTAGCTCAGTTAGATGAGAGGAAACAAATAGCCCTTAAGAGATGGAAAGCCCAGAGAAGCTGAGGCAGACACACAGACACATGAGCAGCAGGGTGTTGGCTCGCCTGGCAGCACTCCTGAGGGTCCATCTGATCACCCACCCGCCCCAGGTCAGAAAGCAGGTTTCAGACCTGTCAGGAGCCACTGTGTTTCTCTTCTCTTCAATGGAACCTCCCTTGCTCTCTCTCTCTCTCTCTTTTTTTTTTTTTTTTTTTTTTTTTTTGAGACGGAGTTTCGCTCTTGTTGCCTAGGCTGGAGTGCAATGGCACAATCTTGGCTCACTGCAACCTCCGCCTCCTGGGTTTAAGTAATTCTCCTGCCTCAGCCCCCGAGTAGCTGGGATTACAGGCTCCCACCACCACACCGGTTAATTTTTGTATTTTTAGTAGAGACAGGGTTTCACCATGTTGGACAGGCTGGTGTTGAACTCCTGACCTCAGGTGATCCATCCTCCTTGGCCTCCCAAAATGCTGGGATTACAGGCATGAGCCATCACGCCCAGCCCACTTGCTTTCTTTTTAGGTCAACATCTGTTCAGTTTTGGCTTTCCCAAGCCATTGATGGCCATGCCTCAAATGTTTGAAGTAAATGTTCTGGCCCTAAAAAGAACAATTTTTCTACATATGAACAAACATGACTTCTTAATCCTCCACTATCAGGACTCTTGAAGGTTAAAGTTTCTAGCTGCCATATTCTTGCCCTAAACAGATCATACATTGCCCCTGAGATGACATGAATTTATTCAGTTATGGGCACTGAACATTACGAAATATTCTGGAATTGAAATAATCAAAATGTTATCAACCTTCTCCCTGCCAAGTCTTCCAGCCCTCTCCATGAATCACAGTTGTGATGCACTTTTACAAAGCCGGATGAAATGCCCGGAGCCCTGGCTGGGGATCAGCTGTGCGAGGCTTCCTCAGAGAGCCCCAACGCAGCGGTGCCAGCAGACACTTGTCCTTTGAGTGGTGCGAGGATGCAGAAATGGGTGCAGGATGCAGAAACGGGTGCAGGATGCAGAAATGGGACTAGGGGGGCTTGTTTGTGTTTTTTGACCTGCAGAACTCAGATATCCAAATGAGTGTCATTCCCATTTGGAGTTGGTGAATGGAGGGGAGTGGGGAAATCTCTGGACTTTTTTGAGTATTCAAAGGCATTTGGCAAAACCTTTTAAACTGCCTACTTGGCCTGCAACACACACTCCTTGGTATAAATTCACTGGTGGCAATGTCTTTATGTTTTTAGGTGCAGATCTGATTTCTGAAACAAGCTGATTGTTCTTTGGAGTCAAGTTTAGCTGAAAATAGATGGTTAGGCTGGAGAATAGAATTTCAAGTTTAAATGACAGACTATGACCACCTTTAGAGCAGAAATGATATCTCTAGCATTTTCCACAGAGCTTGGAACAAAGTAAGTGCTTAATGACAATTTTTTTCCATAGGGCAGATGAGGTATGACTTTAAGGTGTTGCTCTTCTATTCTTCACAAAGTCATTACTTAGAAGGTGATACTTGGCCAGGTGCGGTGGCTCACACCTATAATTCCAGCACTTTGGGAGACCAAGGCGGTGGTTCACTTGAGCCCAGGAGTTTGAGACCAGGCTGGGCAACATGGCAAAACCCTGTCTCTACTAAAAAAAAATAATAACAAAAAATTAGCTGGGCATGTTGGTGCACACCTGTAGTCCCAGGTACTCGGGAGGCTGAGGTGGAAGAATCACTTGAGCCTGGGAGGTGGAGATTGCAGTGAGGTGATATCAAGCCACTGCACTCCAGCCTGGGTGACAGAGTAAGACTCTGTCTCAAAAAAAAAAAAAAAAAAAAAGTGATACCCAAGGAGGAGTACTGAACCATGAGTAAGCCCATTCTGACTTTTATAGACCCCGTTTTAGGTTAGCACATGGTGTCTTGCACATGGTAGGAATTAAATACATATTTGCACAATTAAAGTTTACAGAGGAAAACAAAAATCCAATCATATTTCCTGAGTTACAGAGCAACACTTTGGAAAGCAGGTATTGAGACAATCCTTCTTTCTGTCTTATCCAGACACACAGAATCTAATGTGGCAAGGGTGGAAACCAGTCTTTTGGAAACATAGAAAGACAGAGCAAAAAGAAAAATGTTAGAATGCTGATTATAATAGAGCACATACGTTTATGGAAATAATAGTTTATATTTTGAAGTTGTTTGGGGAGGTTTCTCATCATCGCTGATCTTAGCTGTAGACTTAATGTCTTGATTGCTAACAATATACCATCCTCCAATCCACCTGTCCTCAGCATTTGCATGGTTTACACTATTCTAAAAATGAAGTTACTAAAAGTAGTAGAAGTCAGATATCGCCTCTACAGTTTAAATTCATGTTTCCCATCAAAAACCATATTTGGAGGCTCTGGATTTAAATTGGAAACAAATGAGAGATAATTAGGAAGATTCAGGAAAAATTCAAAGAAGGAATTTATAAATTTGTTAAAATAACAGTCACTGTCACTATACTTGGCTTCTTATATACACTGAGTAAACCCCACCACGTTGTAAAAGAGACTATGATTCTCATTTTACAAATGAGCAAACTGAGGCTCAGAGTGGTTGAGTACTTTCTTAGGATCACACAGCTTGTATGTGGTCCAAGCCAGGGCTCAACAACAAGACCACATCTGCCTCCTTCCAGTTCCCTGTCATGCTTCCCTTACACATTTTATTTAGAAGCCTGGTGCACATGTTCAAGAATTGAACATACATAACCAAAGCAGAAAGCTATATTAGTCTGTGGTCTTGAAGAAGGATTGGAGTGTCAGGTTTTAACCCTGCTCAAGAGAACCAAGCGGGGCATTGGCCTTTCTGGGCTTCAGGGTCCCCCTTTTCTAGACAGAAAACATAGTGACCTACTTTGAAGGACTCTCAGAAGCACCCAGCATAAAGAAGGCTGCAAAGACAAAGAAAGCCTCTGGCTAAAAAACAAGGAAGGAATGAATCCATGGAACAAGACAGGTGCCCTCTCTGATCCAAACCTATAACAAGGGGGAAAAAAACAAAAGTGCCCAGGTCTCTTGTCCAACTACTCCTCCCCCCAATCCCCTACATATACTTTTCATATGTGAAAATTCTCTTTGAAATCACTGGAATTCTATTTGGAGAGAAAATACAAGGAGACAGGTCAAGCTGCAGCCACAGGTCTTGGTCAAGTAGTTTAAATATCGTTAATCCTTTGCTTCTCCTCCTGCCTTTATTTAACCAAAAGAAAATGAGAGGAGTAGAAATCTAATTCATTGGTCTCTCTTTATAATCAGCCTTATAAAAAGCAGAGAGATGCTGCAGGGAATAGGAAATAGGCTTTATGAGTCTAAGTGAATTTTAGCCTACTATGTTCTCCCTCTATCAGAAGCACATAAACTTTAGAGTCACACTAAACTTTCCTCCAAAATCAACGTCTTAAAATGCTACATTAAAAAACAAAACAAAACAAACAAAAAAAAAACACTTACTGTCCAGGGGTTCAATAAGCGAAGTCCAAAGTCAAGGGAATGATCTCTCTCTTTTATGAAAAACACCATATGGTCTTGGTGGATCAGGAGGCTCACTGGTCTGTTATTAATAACTGGCTTAGAGCTTTATGAAGAAACATGAGCCAGAATGTCACGGGAGGAGGCAAGTGGAAAGAAATTGACAGGCACAGGTGGAACAAATTATAACAAAGATATACTTATGCCCACACAGGAGCTCAAAGAACCCATGAGAAGGAGATCAGTTCCTCCACAATCAATAGACCCTTATGTCAAGTTTTTGAAGAGTTAAACAACCAACAAAATATCCTGAATGTCGGCAGGGAACATCACACACCAGGGCCTGTCGGGGAGGGGGTGGGAGCCGGGGGGAGGGATAGCATTAGGAGAAATACCTAATGTAAGTCAGAAGTTGATGGGTGCAGCAAACCAACATGGCATATGTATACCTATGTAACAAACCTGCATGTTGTGCACATGTACCCTAGAACTTGAAGTATAATAATAATACAAAAAATCAGGAATGTCAAAAAGACACCATGACTCATTTAATGTTATACTATCCTTTGCTCTTCTGAACAATTATTTTCCATGGACATCTGAATATCTTCTTAAATTTATACATTTTACCTTGTTTATATTGACTCCTCAATTTTAAAAATCTATCAACAAATGGATTTTGAAATGCATGTTATCAACTTTTTAAAGTTTGTTTACCTGTGAGCATATCAGCTGGCTTCCCTTAGAGATCCCAAAACAATTCCTGGAAACATATAGGTACATGTGGGGGTTGGAGGCTGGATCTTGGGATTGTATCATACATAAATTCATGTGGTAAGAATGGAGGTGTAATCATCACTTTACTTCTGGTTGGCAGTGGCTCTCCTCTTTTGGAAACTTATATTTCAAAACATTCCAAATTCTGTGCCTTCCCTCCTCCCCCATAAATGGCATCAAATTGTTTATAATATTAACAGTATGTCTTTATACCTAATTACATTAAACACTGGTTCTGTCTGAAGTATTAAAAGAAACTGACAATTATGTGGCTGGGAGTGGTGGCTCATGCCTGTAATACCAGCACTTTGGAAGGCCAAAGCAGGCAGATGGCTTGAGCTCCGAAGTTCGAGACCAGCCTGGGCAGCATGGTGAAACCCAGTATCTACAAAAAAAATACAGAAAAGTAGCCAGGTATGGTGGCACATGCCTGCAGTCCCAGCTACTCAGGAGGCTGAGGTAGAAGGATCACTTGAACCCTGGAGACAGAGGTTGCAGTGAGCCAAGATCATGCCATGGCACTACAGCCTAGGTAACAGAGCAAGACTCTGTCTCAAAAAATAAAAAAGAAAACTGACAATTAGAGAAAAGTTACTGAAATACATAAAGATTGTTAAATTGCTTCTTTTTTTCTTTTTCAATAGAGATAGGGACTCACTCTGTCACCCAGGCTGAAGTGCAGTATCATGATCATAGCCCACTGCAGCTTTGAACTCCTGAGTTTAAGCAATCCTCCCACCTTGGCCTCTTGAGTAGCTGGGACCATAGGCACGCGCCACTGCACTCAGCTAAATTTTCTTTTTTTTTTTTTGTAGAGATGAGGTCTTGCCTGGTCTTGAATCCTGGACTCAAGTGACCCTTTGCCTCTGTCTCCCAATGTGATGGAATTACAGCCGTGAGCCACTGCACCCAGCCAACTGCTTCATTCTTAAGGTTCCAGCTACTTCTCACCCTGGCTCAGATCTAGTAACTGCTCTTTTGTCAAACTAAACCTTTTTCAGCTAAACGCTGTGGTCGGTGGGGTGGATACCTCACTACAAACCTCACCCAGTGGAATGTTATTCTACTGAGGCAACTGTGAAAAAGAGAAACTGATATGCTAGTGACGCTCAGTTTAATAGATGGGAGAGAAGGAGTGGAATAGGTATATGGCCTTTCTTTTTTTTCCATTCTCTGGTCAATTAAAAAATTTTGAGTACCCACTGAATATATGTATTTTTATTTATAGAACATATGCATATACTATTGTAAATATATCATTTAAATCATAAAATATAAACACAATTTTTAAAAGAAGAAATGTAAAAATAAATAGACATTCTAATATTTTCTTACCACACTTCCAATGGGTCATCTTTACTGGTCCCTGGGGCATGGACACTCCACTCTGCAGCTGACTGATGAGTGTTCAGAACACCAGGCCCACCACTTATTAGCTGTTGTGGGTTGAACTGCATCCCCTAGAGACATTTTCAAGCCCAAGTCCTCAGTACCTGTGAATGTGACCCTATTTGGAAATAGGGCCTTGCTGATATAATCAAAATGAGATCATGCTGGATTAGGGTGGGCCCTAATCCAATGACCTGAGTCCTTGTGAGAAGTGGGAAATGGGGACATAGTCAGGCACATAGGGAGACATCATGTGACAAAGGAAATAGATATTGGAGTGACGTGTCCACAAGCCAAGGAATACCAAGGACTGTGGGCAACCACCAGAGAAGCAAGGAAGAGGCAAAGAAAGACCCTCCCCCAGAGCCTTCAGAGGGGCCATGGTCCTGCCGATACCTTAATCTTGGTCTTCTGGTCTCCATAAATGACACAATAAATTTCTGTTGTTTTAAGCCACCCTGTTGGTGGTAGAATTGAGGTTCTAATACTTTAAAAAGTATTTTTATAAAAAATGAAAGCAAATGTTTTAAGAATTCAAATTCAAAAAATTTAGTTAACTCTTTTTTTTAAAAAAAAGACTACTTTAATATTTGTTTTTGATAGAAAGAGCTGTCTTCTGAGTTATCCAAGTTCAGCATAATGCAAGCATACATTTGTATTCTATTTGGGCTTATTCTTCCTGAATTTAGACAGCTCTACTGATTGAATAATGTTTATTCAATTATTATGTTTCCTATTATTCAAGCATTATGTTTCCTAGATGTTTAAGATGATGAAAACGGGAGATGTGTGTTTAACTAAATTAATTATTCTGACAAACTTCATTTCAACAATAATTATGTTTTGTGGTATGTCAGCTTGAAGACAGTCTCTAAGATCTTTTAGTAACTTAAAACTTATGCTAGTTTAAGTTAATTAATGGATAGTCATTAAATATCTAGATCATTTCTAATAAGATAAAGTATTAAAATATTAATCACTAAGCATAATTTTAAGGCTGTATGTATTTTGCCACATTGAGAAATTGTACTATAAGGACATCTAAGCTATAAAACATTGTAAGGTGTATATTCATAAGCTTTGCTACAAAATTGTAGTGTCTGACTGCTCACAGGTATTTACCTCATAGCTATCTCTGTGAAATAGAAGTTAAAAAGTTATGATTAATATTCTGAGTGAGATTCTCTAGGAAAAATATTGCAGAGAAGAGTAACTTTGTACTCAGGATGTGTTTTTGTTAAGGTAAAGGAGCATAGTTTTGTCCTAAAGTAAAATGACTGGCTGTTCCAGAGTGAGGAAGAAGAATAGGTAGCACAAAACCTAAATGGATGTAGAAACCTGTAGAAGGTGCACAGAAAGGGAATTTTATTTGCCATAGTCGAAACTGGCTAAGGTTTAGTGGCTTTATTTACAAGATTTTCTTAAAAGAGTCTTGATATCAAACATTATGCTGATACAAAATTAAAACTGCTTTTCTTTCTGTTAAATGACAAAATTTTCTTGAATCATTTATGTACTTTTTAAGAGGTTGTTAAGATTTTTCTTTACCTTCTGAGAAATCTGCCTAAAAGGCAATGATTCTATTTTATCAGAATAATTTTCTGTGCTTTACGTTCAGTTTTTCAGGTCGTTGATTACTTACAGGAACAAAGTCTTCTCACTCTTGAAAGAATTAAGGTTCTTTACAATCCTGTTACCTCCTATGTTTTCTTTAAAAATTTTCTGTCACTTTGATTTTAAATTCACTGCTTTGTTTTAAATGCCACAGAAACAACCAAATTTCCTTGTCAATTGCATTATTTTTGTAACGAACTCATCAGATATTTCATTTTTGAAAAATTATCATTAACAAGTTAACCATGGTCATTTTTGGTCTCTTGGCCTCTAGAGAAAGTTTTTGTTGTTGTTGTTTTACTTTGATTCTTCCTGGAAAGCACTTGCAAATCAGCTACAAACCAGAGTGCTTTGACATTAAAAACGATGGTCTCAGAGCCCCACGGGAAAGGACTATGCTGAGTACTCATGGGCACAGGCTTATGATGGTATTGCTTAAATAACTTGGGGCCCATGCCATTGGACCATCCAGGATTTCCTGCATTCTCATTAAGAAGCTAACGGGTTCATGAGGCTACTAACCCAAGATGGAACAGAACAAGAATAAGCCTGAGCAAAATTATGAGGAATGATTTGGGTTTTGTTTGGAATGCTGCTAGTACTTTAACATTCTATTTTCTGGACATGAGGGCTACTTTCTCTTTTAAGCTATTATCTAAAAAAATGTAGATTAATAAAAACAAAACATTTATCTTTTTCTTCCTGTTTCCTCCAGAATTCGGAAACTTTTATTGAATACTTTTATTTCCATGGCAATATAGTTATTCACATAGGTTCAGTAAGAATCTGTTCTCCTTATTAAGACGATGTAATTGGAAACATTGGTTATACAACAAAGCTTATTCTGAATAAGGCTTTGTTCAGAATGTCATATCTGAGAATGAATCAAGATATGGCCAGTAAGTCTTAAGGAACTGAAGCTGACTTTACAGGGTTGTCTTATGGGGTTCTCAGCCTTACCGATGAATAAGGAAGTTCTCTTGCTAGTGGGCCAAGGAAACCGAGACTATTTGCGTGACCTCAAGAAGAGAGGAATTTACTCAAATCTATGATTAATATAGGTGAAATCTCATGGTGAATTCTTGGCTTGGCTTCTTAACTTCAAGAGGTTTGTGTTTGTTTATTTTTTAAATACTCTCTCTGAAGAATCAAGCCTCAAGAGGTTTTTAAAGGTCCATTTTGAACATCCTTATGAAATCTTCCACAAAGCAAACTTTGAAGAGCCAATATGTTAAATCGCCATTCTTGCTGCCTATGTTAAAATAATTAGGTTGAATTTAATGACATCAACTTTATTTTCTGACCAAGAATAATCCTTCGAGATTATTTATTTATTTATTTATTTATCTATTTAATTTTTTTAAGAGATAGGGTCTGGCTCTGTGGCCTAGGCTGGAGTGCAGTGGTATAATCATAGCTCACTGCAGTCTTGAACTCCTGGGCTCAAGCAATCCTCCTGCCTCAGCCTCCAAGTAGCTAGGACTACAGGCGCATGCCACTATGGTCAGCTAATTTTTGTATTGTTTTTATTTTTGTTTTTTGGAAAAAGAAGGTGTTGTTATGTTGCCCAGGCTGGTTTTTTGTTTTTTGTTTGTTTGTTTGTTTGTTTTTGAGACGCTGGAGTGCAGTGGCGCAATCTCAGCTCACTGCAAGCTCTGCCTCCTGGGTTCACGCCATTCTCCTGCCTCAGCCTCCCGAGTAGCAGGGACTACAGGCATCTGCCACCACGCCTGGCTAATTTTTTTGTATTTTTAGTACAGACGGGGTTTCACCATGTTAGCCAGAATGGTCTCGATCTCCTGACCTCGTGATCTGCCTGCCTCGGCCTCCCAAAGTGCTGGGATTACAGGTGTGAGCCACAGCACCCGGCCCCAGGCTGGTTTTGAATTCCTGGCCCCAAGCAATTCTCCTACCTCGGCCTCCTAAAGTACTGGGATTACAGACGTGAGCGACTGTGTCTGGTCCTTTGAGATTATCTTGCTCAAAAGGGAAGTATCTGTGGAGAGAATTTTTGTGTTTCAGTGGAAAACTATAGCACACCCTGGTGGGTTATCAGATTCTGGTCCTGTTCATTGTCTTCGAACTCTTTGTGTTTGAACCTCTTGTAAACTGCAGGTAACTGACAAATATGAAAAAACAGTTTCGTTACTGCCTGTAAATTGTACCAGATCTTGTCATCTTACACGCATTGCCAAACCTTATCAAATTTTAACTCTTGTTTTTCTCTAATATCTGCCTACAGCCTTCAAATTAACATTTCCAATTTTTATCTCTCCCTTCTGTCTTGGCATCACGAAGAACTGAATTCTGACAATCCAGATTAAAATTTGTAAACCCAGATCTTTACTGGAACTCTAGGTTGCCTTGTAGCTGCCACTTCCCTCAGCACCTGAGGAAGCACTGCACCTTAAAGCCCAGATGACTTGATATGTACCTTGAAATACTCATCACTGAGGCAGACCATGCAGGGGCCAGTTTCTCCCTGGAAAAGGCACTCTTTGAGCCTCAAAGGAAGTGTAATAAAATGTTCAAGTCACAAATGCCTTTATATGAGAGGAAACCAAGACCGTGGACAACATTGCCAAGAACATTGACATCTTAGCTTCGGCAAACTCAATGAGCAGTGCTGTATGACCAAAAGCTTTTCATCCAACGACCTCTTGGAATCTGCTGGACCAGATACTCTCAAGATCCGACTCCTGGCTCCTAACTTTATTATAACCTTTTATATTAATATTTCTCTTTTTCATTTCAGTCATCCCCCCTAGAAGATGATCAGCAAGATGCTAAAACTGTTGGGAGCAAGCTCCCCAAAGTCTGGCCATAAACTGGCCCCAAAACTGGCTATAAATAAAATCTCTGCAGCAATGTCAGGTCCATAATGGCCATAACGCCCAAGCTGGAAGGTTGTGGGTTTACGGGAATGAGGGCAAGGAACACCTGGCCCGCCCAGGGTGGAAAACCGCTTAAAGGCATTCTTAAGCTACAAACAAAAGCCTGAGGGATCTGTGTCTTAAGGGCGTGTTCCTGCTGCAGTTAACTAGCCCAACCTATCCAATTAATTCGGCCCATCCCTTCCTTTCCCTTAAGGGAGGCTTTTAGTTAATTTAATATCTATAGAAACAATGCTAATGACTGGTTTGCTGTTAATAAATATGTGGGTAAATCTCTGTTTGAGGCTCTCAGCTCTGAAGGCTGTAAGATCCCTGATTTCCCACTTCACACCTCTATATTTCTGTGTGTGTGTCTTTAATTCCTCTAGCACTGCTGGGTTAGGGTCTCCCCGACCGAGCTGGTCTTGGCGTAAAACAACTCACCTTTGCTACCACCTCTCAACAGATGCTTCAGCTGCTTTTGCAGGAATAATGCAAACAAGAGTCTTCAGGGAATTATTTCTTAGACCCTGTTTCTCCCCCACTCAGGAGATTCACTATCACTTTTGAGTTGTTCATTGATAAATAATATTTATTAATCTTGAATCAAAGGGGATAATTATAATGTTGAGTTTTTTTAAGTTTTTAATTGTAGTAAAAGACACATAACATTAAATTTACTATCAAAACTTTTTTTTTTTTTTTTTTTTTGAGACAGAGACTCGCTCTGTCCCCAGGCTGGAGTGCAGTAGCATGATCTCGACTCACTGCAACCTCCGCCTCCTGGGTTCAAGCAATATTTCTGCCTCAGCCTCCTGAGTAGGTGGGATTATGGGAGCGTGCCACCACACCAGCTAATTTTTTTTTTTTTTTTTTGTATTTTCAGTAGAGATGGGGTTTCACTATGTTGGCCAGGCTGATCTTGAACTCCTGACCTCAAGTGATCCACCTGCCTCAGTCTTTCAAAGTGCTGGGATTATAGGCGTAAGCCACCATGCTTGGCCTATCTAACCCATTTTTAAGTATACAGTTTAGTAGTGTTAAATACATTCACATTTTTGTGTACATTGTTGTGCAAAGTCTCCATAAAGCTTTTCATTTTGCAAAACTGAAACTTTGTATTCATTAAACAACTCCCCATTCTCCCCACCAGGCTGGGCAACCACCTTTCTACATCTGTTTCTATGAATGTGGCTACTTCAGCTACCTCATATAAGTGGAATCATATAATATTTGTCACTTTGTGACTGGTATATTTCACTTAGCATAATGTCCTCAAGATTCATCCATGATGTAGCATGTGTACAAATTCCTTCCTTTTTAAGGCTGAATAATATTTCATTGAACACGTCTACCACATTTGTTTATGCATTCATCCATAAATGGATGACAATGTCGAACTCTGCCTGAGCCCTGTGCTCCTAGAAGACCGCACTCAGGAAATCCTTCTTCCCTTTGTCCTTCCAAACAGCTTACAGCAAAGAACCACTCTTCCCCACACGACTTAGACAAGACTCGTGAATGCCCCCTTGTTTACTTAGGACAAGGCCAGACACAAACCCTCCAAGTTTTGTCTCATAAATGATTACCCAAATTGTTTGTCCCCACTCACCAATGTGGACAAAATACCCGCTAATAAGACTTGACCAAACTTTAGCTAGGCTTCTTCCCTCCCCACAAGCTCCTGAACTTTGACTCACCTTTAACCTGAGCCAGCATTGGCATATGGAGCAGCCGCCCTTCATGATCACACATCCGAGGTCTCTCTTGAGACTCTTGCAGATCTTGTGGTCTGTGTGTTGTCCTCTTACAATAGTCCCCCCCTCCTACTGCAATAGTCTTGTCAAATAAAATCTGTGTTTCTAGGTCTTAATGTTTTTATTTGACTGGGATCGGTGAGAAAGTGCTGAGAGGTGCACTAGATGTGAACCTGGAGGACAATGGGGTCTGGTTCCAGCAGGTAAGCAGAATTTTTTTTTTTTGAGATGGAATCTCACTCACTCTGTCACCCAGGCTGGAGTGCAGTGGCACAATCTCGGCTCACTGCAACCTCCACCTCTTGGGTTCAAGCAATTCTCCTGCCTCAGCCTCCCGAGTAGCTGGAACTACAGGCGTGTGCCACCACACCCAGCTAATTTTTGTATTTTTAGTAGAGACAGGGTTTCACCATGTTGGCCAGGCTGGTCTCGAACTCCTGACCTCAGGTGATCCATCTGCCTCAGCCTCCCAGAGTGCTGGGATTACAGGTATGAGCCACTGTGCCCAGCCAGAAAATAATTTCTTTAGTCCCATTTTACAGGTAAGAGGATGAAGATATAAGAAGGCTAAAGGACTTGCTGGCTATCACCAGCACCAGTGGCAGTGCTGGGAATCTAGGTGCTATCTCTGATCTTGTAAAAAGTGTTCTTTGCAGCAGAAACATGCCCAGCCCTGCTAAATGTTTGTGGATGGTGAAAAAACATTCTCCAATGTTCTAGGAAAAGGAAATGGATCCAAGAATGAAAGAAAGTAAATGGAATATCCCGAGCTTCAGAGAGCCTTTTCCAGCCTGTGGAAATGAACAAGGACCACCCAAATGAGAACAAACAAAGTCTGTTTATTCAGAATCTGCCCTAGCGAGGGAGTCAGCCATCATCATTTGCATCTGGTAGAGACACAAAGGCAGGTAGAGGAATGGGAATGCTTTATAGTAGGTGGGAATAAAAAGACTTCAGGCTATTGGTGTGGGGAAGCTGTGGGCAGCTAAGCAGCATCCTATGTAGTGGCTTAGGGTTGCATATTTGCTTTATCTTGTTGGTCCTAAACTGGAGGTCAATGCAAAAATTAGGAAAGCTGTCAGTTATTAATCAAGTTATGGCTGTTTTGTGCAGATTACTACAGGAGTTATTATTTGGCCTCCTACATTAGTTGACTTCCAGGATTGGTTACTATTGCCAGTAGGTTGGCTTCAAGGGCTGCTTGCAGCAGGTTTGGAGCAGGTTCTCAGTTCGAGTTCTACTTTTATTTATAGTGTGGCCACTGTCTGTTTGTATATTCAGTCTCTTGACTCTTTACAGGGATCCTGCATTTAGAAATGCCTTTCAGACTTCATACTCAGCCCCAGGACTGGTGGTGAGAGGCTTTCCACTTCCTGTATGCAGTGTCTGGGTTTGCCTCAACTACATTCCCTGCCCCCCATCACACTCTTTTTTTCACAAACAGGTGAAAATCAAGGCCTTCAGTATTATCTCCAGGTTCCCAAGACTCTCAGACTGATGCACTCCTGCTTGCCCTCCCCTCAATGCCTTTTTTTTTTTTTTTTTTTTTTTTGAGGCAGGTTCTTGCTGTGTCCCCAGGCTGGAGTGCAGTGGCATGGTCACGGCTCACCGCAGCCTCAACCACCCAGGCTCAAGCAATCCTCCCATCTCAGCCCTCTGAGTGGCTGGGACTGCAGATGCATACCACCATGCCTGGCTATTTTTTTATTATTTGTAGAGATGAGGTTTCACTATGTTGCCCAGGCTGGGTCTCTAACTCCTGGGCTCAAGCGATCCTCCCACCTCAGCCTCCCAAATTGCCTTCTTTCATTTATGCAGGTCATGGAATCTCAGGAAATCCAAAGGACTTTAGCAGCCTCTTCACACTGCCTGAACATTTACCAGATGGCAAGGCAGAGGCTGAGAGAGTCCAGTGTTTGGGTTCCAGTCTAATTCCATTGAGACCTCCTTGAGCCCAGTGCAGCAGATGTGACATCCTAGGAGCTCAGTCAAGTAGGAGAGATAAGGAAATGGATAAACACACTCAGCAATTTCCCCAGTCCTACCATAAGTGGTCTTAGCTCTGAGCCTGCAAGCACTGTTCCTTCTGTCTAAAATCCTTTCCTTTCCCCAATTCTGCCCTGTGAATTCCTTTCCATCCATGAGTTCCAGTTTCAACATCACTCCCTCTAGGAAGGTTTTCCCCACACTCCAGCATTACATTTTCCCTAAGTGCCCTATTCTTGTCCTTCCTGGACTACTCATACTGTTCTACTCCAGGGATTTTTCTTTTTGCTTCTTTTTCCTAAATGACCATAGAATCCTGAGGACCACCTCTAGATCTTGGTTTCAATTCTCCATCTAATACCTAATACAAAGCAGCCCCTCCAATAGTTGGAGGTGCACCCAGAATGCAAGGGCAACACAGAGAGCCAGGTGGGAAGACTGACAGAAGGAGGAGGTGATGCTGGGGCCAAGTTCTGAAAGGAGGAGTAAGAATTTGCAAAGGAGTCAACTGGGGAAGGCATTCCAGGCCAGGCTCCCAGCAGGAGCAAAACTATGGCAAGGGGGCACAGTGAATACGGGTGGGGTGAGACTGAAATGTAGCTTGCCATTGCTGGAGGATAGAGTATAAGGCACAAGTGGCCAGAGACAAGACTGTCAGAATAAGCAGGGATATATCAAATTGTTAATATCCTGCTTCATCACTTACTAGCAGTTTAACTCCAAGCAAGTTATTTAACCTCTCTATGCCTCAGTTCTCACCTGTAAAGAGGAGATTATAATAGTAATCCTCACATAAAGTTGTTGCAGGGATTAAGTGAGTTAACATGTGTGAAACATTGAGAAGTATACAGAGTAAGAATTATGAAAGTTCTTGCTATTTTTATGCAGATGGAAGATGCAGTCAGCTTTGTTGTTGTTGTTGTTGTTGTTGTTTTGAGACGGAGTCTTGCTCTGCCGCCCAGAAGTGCAGTGACGCCATCTTGGCTCACTGCAAGCTCAGCCTCCCAGGTTCACGCCATTCTCCTGCCTCAGCCTCCCAAGTAGCTGGGACTACAGGCGCCCGCCATCACGCCTGGCTAATTTTTTGTATTTTTAGTAGAGATGGGGTTTCACCATGTTAGCCAGGATTGTCTCGATCTCCTGATCTCGTGATCTGCCCACCTCGGCCTCCCAAAGTGCTGGGATTACAGGCCTGAGCCACTGCGCCCCAGCCAAGATGCAGTCAGCTTTAGTTTAGAAAGATTTGTGGGCCAGGTGCAGTGGCTCACGTCGAATTAAAGGAATAGGTTGGGCTAGTTAACTGCAGCAGGAACATGTCCTTAAGGCACAGATCGCTCATGCTACGCTATGTGGCTTAAGAATGCCTTTATGCGATTTTCCACCCTGGGCGGTCCAGGTGTTCCTTGCCCTCATTCCGGTAAACCCACAACCTTCCAGCGTAGGCGTTATGGCCATCATGAACATGTCACAGTGCTGCAGAGATTTTGTTTATGGCCAGATTTGGGGCCAGTTTATGGCCAGATTTTGGGGGGCTTGTTCCCAACATTTACTGAATGGATTCTTCTTCGTGTGGTTTGAACTCTACCACGTAACTGTTTTTGTAGTGCTATTATACAGTTTTTGCCCAAGGCAGCTGAGTCTTCCTACAGGAAGGGTGAAGTTCTTCCCCACTCTTGCTATACAGTATTGTCTAATGATTGAGGCTTTTAGGACCTAGAAGTGATCAGGGTGATTCTTTTGGGCTGGGAATTCATCAGGAACTGGGTCTGGAGGTACTAATTCTCAGGCTTCCCATGGCCATTGATCTCCTATTACAGTTCCTCCACATACATAACGTGAAGTGACATTGAGAGACTGGGCTACATGCTTGGCTAATTGCAAAAACAAATTTCTTGTTTTTCCTGGAATTTCTGGTACTGGCACATTTTGTTTATCAGAGAAGGTTTGAAATACTGGCTCAGGAGAGCGTTTATAAACTTTTTCTCAAACCACGATATTTATTTGAAGATCCAGTCCAGCTCCATCAATTTCTAGAGCTACAAGTTCCTCTTTTTTCTAGCGAGGATTAAGGAGGTTGGTTATTACTAGTTCTAAGGAGTTACACTGACCACTGGTACAGGAAGGGCCACTTTTCCCTTGCTGAAGGTGGACAGGATTTTTTTCACTTTTTATTCAAGTAGCCTAAATGACACAAGACCAGTATCTACATTTATTTTCACACAGTCCTAATTCATGATAAATGTACTTATTTTCTGCCATATAGCCTCTTTCCTAATTAAGAGAACCACATCCTACTTTTAACTTATTATTATTAATGACTGCACAGGCATCAAATTTTAAGGTGACTTGTTTGTGCACCTTTTTCTTCTGTTTTGGCTAACACTTTACTTGTATCGTTTATGAGCCCCCACCAGTCTTCAGTTCTTAATCTTATTTTAAAAACTGTGGTCATGGGATGCTCAGATGGGTCATAATACACATCAGGTTGGTCATTTCCTGGGCTACATACCTTCTATAGAATAACATTATACAAACAATTTCTTTTTAGAGTTCCAGTACACTTATAATCACCATAAAATAATAGGACCATAGCAACCTTTTATCCTACCTCAGTGACTTGATGTATACACTGAGAACAGTCCTTAGTCTGAGGAAGGTCAGTTGAAGTCCTTACTGTACAAGTCCAAATTTTAAGGAAAATGAGTCCTGTGATGAGTTTTCTCATGCTTCAGCTGTGCGTGGACGAGTCAGCTTCCGGGTGTGACTGGAGCAGGGCTTGTCGTCTTCTTCAGAGTCACTTTGCAGGGGCTGGCGAAGCTGCTCCCATCTACATACCGCTCACAGTCTACTGATGTTTAAGGATGGTCTCAGAGGTTGGGCCCACTGGAATAAACTGAGTCCAATACCTCTACGAAGTTATGTTCAACTGGGCTCTCTGATACCGGGAGCAAGGTGGTGGGGTTTAGGGTGTTGTAAACTACAATGGTTATGCGGGGATTTTCACAGAGCAAGCTTTGGTATCTAGTTAGTCTAGCATTCATTAGCTAATGATGTCCTTTGGTATTTATTAAAGTCACCACAGCATGGGGGGACTTTATGTTTAGGTTTTGCCCAAGAGTTAGCTTATCTGCTTCTTGTGCTAACAGGGCCATTGCTGCCAGGGCCCTTAGACATGGGAGCCAGCCTTTGGAAACCCCATCTAGTTGTTTTGAGAGATAGGCCACTGGCCCTGGCCAGAACCCCACAGTCTGGGTTAAAATTCCAACTGCCATTTTTTCTTTTTCTGACACATAGGGTGTAAAGGGTTTTGTCAGGTCAGGTAGCCCCAGGGCTGGGGGTGACATGAGTTTTTCTTTTAACTCATGAAAAGCTTGTTGCTATTGGTTGTAATAGATGTAGTTTATCTAATTTACATTTTTATTGACTGTCCCCCACTAAAATATTGACTTAAGTCCTGTAGCTATTTGATTTCAAGCTTTAAATTGATCTGGTATTCCTTGCAGGACTCCAATTCCATCTAAATAGATGTGAGAGTTGAAAGACCCATAAGGGGCTTCTTTCACTTTATGATGTCTTATTTTTTCTCCCTCTGGTTGATGAAATGTCAGGGTGAAAGGGATAGCCAAATGGACTAAAGTACAAGTGCCACTCCAGTTATTTAGCAGAGCGCCCAGTAAAGGTCCACCAAAATACCACCACACATCCGCTCGGGGATGAACAAGGGCTGACTGATTGATAAGCTCTTGAAAATTCTTAAGTTCATCACATCCCTTCAGGTCTCCAAGGAATGCTAAGTTTCCTCCCTGTCATGAGAGGCAGGAAGTGAACTTAGTGTTGGGAGACAGAAGCTGGATGGCCCTTGGGGGCTGACCCGCAGGGTGCTGGACTTCTGGATATAGCAGAGAGAGCTTGGCATGACTTATTACGCCAGGCAGTAGAATCCTGGAAAAGAGCTACCATGCAGCCTATGCCTGGTTGACTGGAGGACCACCTTAGTGGAAAGGGGACAATCTGGGCCTCTGGCCTGCCATGTGCACAAGCATAACAATTGCTTTTGTTTAACGTGCAGATGGAATATTTGATCCATTTTAACTAGACATTTGCATCTTGGTATCCTGTCTTAATTGCTGAAGTTGGTTTTAAGTCTTTAACTTCTATGATCCTCTAGTAAAATGAATGTATGATTTTAGGAAATTACAAAAACCAGTTGGAGCAGTCCATCCTTGCTCTTTAGTGGTCCACAGAATGTTGGACCAACTATGGCATAAACATAGTCCTCCCATGCTGTGGTGACTTTAATAAATACCAAAGGACATCATTAGCTAACGAATGCTAGACTAACTAGTTACCAAAGCTTGCTCTCTGCATTGGGGGACAAGACTCCTGGTTGGCACTAGGGTCTTTATCAAAATCTCTCTGGATTAAATGATCCTAGTTTACTAATGCCCAGTCTGAGGAGAGTCAGGAGGGACAGAAGTACTTTTCTGAAGTAGAAAGCTGTCTTTGAATTAGCAAGTCTCCACAGGGTATAACAAGGCCAGCATTAAATGCAATAGTTTGAGGTGAAATTGACTTGGTTATGTTAATAACGAGGAAAGAAGACAAAGTAATAGAATAGATGAAAAGAGTTAAATCTTTCTTAGCTTTAGTTTGGTAGAGTTTTCCCCTGGGACTACGGCCCACGACTCTGGAGGGGGTGGTGCTTTCTTGACTTGGGTGTGATGAGTCCATCCTTTTACACTGTACGAACAGCAGTCTTGGTGGTTAGTAGCACAAGGTAGGGTCCTTCCCAGTCTGGTTCGAGTTTTTCTTCTTTCCACCCTTTGATGAGAACGTGATCTTCAGGCTGGTGCTGGTTTACCGGAAATTCTAGGGGTGGTACATGTACTAAAAGACTTTTAGTTTTTGAAGGAAAGGAAAGTGGAAGATAAACCAAGTATATAATGTTTAAGAAATTGACCTTTTGTTTTAAATGTGGGGTCCTTGGCAGTGGACTTTATGTCCTCAGTGCCTTTTTACTGAGAAATCTCCTTTAGCACCTATTTTTATTAGTTTTTAAACCAAAGAAAGCCAAATATCATTTTACAATTAACAATGCTTTTTATATGATTTTTATACCAGATAAGCTAAATTTTACCTTTATTTTAGTGTGTTATTAATGTTAAACCTAATTTTAATAAAACCTTGTAGACATATTTATCCAATTTTTAATGTTTGACCATAAGGTAAGATTTTACAGACACTTTTTAACCTTTTAAAATTTTCGCTAAAGAGCAGGTTGGTGCTTTAAGAAAAACCTGCTATGCTTTTATTTTAATGTCCAGTTTACAGAAAAACTGGATGACACCTCTTTAACTTTAGCCAATGTTTACACACAGAATTTTCTTTCCATTTAACATTTTAAAACTTGATTAAACCTTTAAAACAAAATATACATATTTTTAACCTTTTAATGCACGTAAAAATTTATATTCTTATGCCTCCTTATAATTCTTTTACCAAAGGTATATTTTACTTTCCTTATACATCTTGCACATAAACTGTTTTTTTTGTTTGTTTGTTTGCTTGTTTGTTTAGTTTTACATTCAGGAGGCCTAGTTACTTTTAAATTATACAACATTTCTTGTGTAAATTTTTTTATAACATTTTTCTCTTTCATGACTTTTGTAGACAATTTTTTGACATGCTTTAACTTTCTGACTTATTACAAATATTTCTTTCTTTAAACAATGAGTTAATTTATTTCAGGACAAGAATTTACCATATAATACTCTTTTTACATAAATTCCACCCCCCTTTTTTTCTTTCTTTTTTTTTTCTAACAGAATAGCCCCATACTTTAAGATTTTTGAGTTAGTAAGCTACTTTTTTGCTTTTTTGATTTAGGATAGTTCTGAACTGAACTAGTGAGGTGTGCTCACAATGAGGTTTCCTCTAAAACTTATTTTTTTGCTTTTTTTCTGTTAGCAAAGCAGTTGCTGCTACAGATTGAATGCATTTGGGCCAGCCGCGGGTTACTGGGTTAAGGATTTTTGATAGGAAGGCCTCAGTGCTTTCAGGATATGCCCTTGTTTACACTGACAACAAAGTGGTATTGGAGTGTTATAGGGTAACAGAGAATACCCTCAATTATCAGTTACAGGTTTTAAATTTACCTTGGCTTTTAAAGGAATAGGGTACACTGTTTTTTTTCTTAACTGCTTGTATATATCTCTCTTTCTCTCTTTGATTTTCCTTTTGCCTCTGTCTCTTCCTCTCTCTCTTCTCTGTCTCTCTCTCTCTCTCTCTCTCTCTGCCTCGCTTATGCTGCAGTTCTCTCAACCACTGTGGAGAGATCTCACACCAGCTGTAACCAAGCGTCTGTGTACGGGAACTGGTCTGGGTGCCCTGGCTTTACAGGTTACCTTGTGCCATACCTTTGAAACAAGGGACCTGTCCAGGCTTCCTTCTGATGGCCAACCCACCTCTAATGCTGACCAGTCTATTTTACACAAAGTTTTAAATTTTCCTGGTGTCATAGTACTCCATAGTCTCCCTTAAATACTTTCTTGAAATTTTTCAACATAGTTCCTAGTAGATTGGGCTTATTTGTGCCTGACCCATGCTTCTTCAATACAAAACACCACGCTCACACCACACGCACACCACAAAACAAAGAATGAGTAAAAAGGGCACACACACACTTTGCAGTTTACACCAAACCAAAATCAAAACCAAATTCAGAGTATCCAGAAATCCAAGCCAGGTCAAAACCAAAACCAAAGTATCAAGCAATCCAAGTCAAGTCAAAAACAAAAACCAAAGTGCCAGTACAGGCACACTGTGGGTGATCAGGCCACGCTTCCACTCAAATGGAGTAGGCAAGTTCCCAAGACCAGTCCTGTCAAGCAATTCAAACCAAGTCAAAACCAAAACCAAAGTGCCGATAAAGGCACACCGTGGGTGATCAGGCCACGCTTCCACTCAAATGGAGTGAGCAAGTTCCCAAGACTAGTCTTACCAAGTTTCAAATGTCCGGACTCCAAGTACCAGTTCCTTCCCAGTGTTTAGCCTCTGTGTTGATCCTCCATGGAGGCCTGCCACACACTGCTCTGGCGATGTGTCCCACTGGGGCAAATGCCTACCAAGGAGCGCTCTCAGGATCCGCGTCACTTGGGCTGGTAGGAGTCTGCTGCAGGGATGTTCCACAGGGCAGGCTTAAGTCGCCTAAGGAGCTGCCTCGACCATCCACCAATCACCTCGCTTCCCAGTCAGGGAACCAAGAAATGTAGCAGGATGAGCCACAGACAAAACTCCTCAGAGTTAAAGAAGGAAGGGGTTTATTCGGCCGGGAGCATTGGCGAGACTCCTGTCTCAAGAGCCAAGCTCCCTGAGTGAGCAATTCCTGTCCCTTTTAAGGGCTGACAACTCTAAGGGGGTCCACATGAGAGGGTCATGATCGAATGAGCAAGCAGGGGGTACGTGACTGGGGGCTGCATGCATCGGTAATCAGAACGCAATAGAACACGACAGGAATTTTTACAATGCTTTTCCATACAATGTCTGGAATCTATAGATAACATAACCAGTTAGGTCAGGGGTTGATCTTTAACTATCAGGTCCAGGGCGTGGCGCTGGGCTGTCTGCCTGTGGATTCCATTTCTGCCTTTTAGTTTTTACTTCTTCTTTCTTTGGAGGCAGAAATTGGGCATAAGACAATATGAGGGGTGGTCTCCTCCCTTAATTTGGGTGGATAAGATACAGAAAAACAAGAAGTTTGTGAGCATCTCCTATGTGTCAGGCACAGAGCAAGACACTTCACAAGAGGTGTGGAGGAACTGATCCAGGACCACAGCAGGCAGGTGGCCAGAGACACTTGAAACTCTGCCTCTTGATACCCAGTTCCTGTACTTTCTAACACACCCCACTGCAATCTGAGAATGGTAATAAGTTCTTTTTATTCCCTTAGTTTTGATGTAATATGCATTATGCAAACTTCAATACTTTGCCTCTAACACTCATTTTTGTTGCTGGAGACAGACCTCTCACTATTTCTTAAATTTCAAAAAATGTAATTAAAAACTGCCATTGAACATCAGAAATAAAAAAAAATCCATGGAATTATGGATTAAGGCAGTTTTGCCAGCACTTTCCCCAAAATTTTAAGAAGCTAATTTTGGTTTTGGCCATTAAGCAGAACCTGGCCTGATAAATGTGAATTGAATGAAAGGGTCCATGAACCTAGCAAGAAAAATACATGAATCCTCAAACAACAAAATTCAAGAACCCACACATTCCCTCCTCATGAGCCCAACACCCCATCACATTCATCAGAGCGGCAGAAGGAAGCATTCGTCAAACTCCAGGCTCTGCACATCCTTTGGTGATGTTAGAGTCAGCAAGAATCTTTTTGTTTATCCTTAGCAGAATGATCCTTAGCAGGATCCCACGTGAGGGAACTTTGTTTTAGGAAGGGAGAATGGCATATTTCAGAAAGATTTATCCAAAGTGAGACAATTGGAAATATGTAACTAAAGGACTATACTTCAACAATAATATTTGTCAGGAAACTAACTTCCTGTCCTTAATTAGCCTAATAGTTTTTAAAGAGGTGAGACTGTCTTTGGGATGGTGGGGGGTAGTGGGGAGGAAGTGACAGATAACAGTAATCTAAAGGTATTGCCAATGTCTCTGTCCTGTCAGATTCAATTTTGGCCTAGTTGCAATTCTGGGCAAATGGGAGGAAGTGGTGCTGCCAACCCAGGTGAGTACCTCTGAGGTGGAGAGTTCTGCTCCGTTCTGGGGACTGACAGTATATCATCACATGGTCAAAGCAGGAACTTGGTAAGAATAAAGCACAGGAGTAATTCTTGATAAACCACACAGTGCTCCAAAGGAGAATATATACAACTCGGAAAAATTCTGAAAGATAATATTCCATATTTTAGCTACAGCATTTACACACCACTACTGCCAAGAAAACTAAGCTGGTTTTGAAGAATGCAATGGTCTTTTTAAATTACACTTTCAGACAATGAGCACTGAAATAGAAAAACAGAGCTATGACAAGTTAAGTTGACTTCTATCATCAGAATTCAATATTGTGACAATCTTAGTGTGGTGAAACCATTGAATATAGGACTATTTAATAACAATTCTCATATATTGAGGGCTTAACTTTCTCTAGTCCCCATTCTAAGAGCTTCACACAGAGTAACACAAGAGTAACACATTCGTTCTCATACAAGTCTATGAGAAAAAAGAAGAAAACCACTCAGAGTGGTTATGCAATTTATCTAAGGATATGGGTGATAGAGCCACTATTGGAATTCAGATTCCCTGGTACCATGTCTTAAAATATACAGAATAGCTACAACAAAAGCATATATTTCTATGCTAATTTTTTTTTTTAAAAAAAAAGAAAGAAAGGAGTCACACCTAGTATCAACTGAGCTGTTTGGTCTCTTTGTAGCTAGATTTGACAAGAGGGTAAATCCTGGAGCAATAAAATTCTTGGTAATTTATTAACCCAGAGAGATCAAAGTGGATGAGTGCAACCCCTCTTTATAGGCTGGCTCTCCTTCAGAGCCACTGATGGGCTGATCCAGCCTTATAGATCAGAGGTCCCCAATCCCCGGGCTGCAGACCAGTACTGGTCCCATCTGTGGCCTGTTAGGAACCAGGCCACACAGCAGGAAGTGAAGGGGGGGAGAGTGAGAATTACTGCCTGAGCTCCGCCTCCTATCAGATCAACAGCAGCATTAGACTCTCATAGGAGCACAAACCCTATTGTGAACCGTGCATGTGAGGGATCTAGGTTGCACGCTCCTTATGAGAATCTAATGCCTGATGATCTGAGGTGGGACAGTTTCAACTCGAAACCATCTCGCCATCCCCACCCTTTGCCCATGTTGAAAAATAGTCTTCCATGAAACCAGTCCCTGTTGCCAAAAAGGTTGGGGATGACTATTATAGATAACTCATTTATCATGCAAAAACAAAAATTCATTTCAGGGTTTGGGCTTATAGACGCTTCAGATCAAACCTGGCTCAGAATTCAAACTGTGAGTAATTTCTCCCTAGCCTTTGAAGGAACTCTCATAGCATAAAGAATGATAATAACTTAAAGAAGCTTCACTTTGTCTGAATGGCAATTAAATAAATTTAACAATTGAGGATCTTAATGCCAATGTAAAGCACCTGTTTTCCTAAATTTCACAGAAAGTAACATAAAACAGTACTTGGTTTTTAATTGCTTTAACAGAAAAAAATCACTCCTTTTTCTTTCCAAGTTGTTATAACTCCCATTTCAGTAAATCACCTTAGATAGCTGAGTCAAACTAATCTCCGTTTCTTTAGGAACAAGGAAATCAAGTACCTATTTCCAGAATGGGAAATAGAACAGGAAGGCAGGATTCATCAGATTTAAGAACATGGCTGGAAATCTGGGTACCAGGAGAGTCTGATGAAACTTTTGCTGGTTCCCTGGCTCTAACATAGACTCTAATCCAATCAGATCGACAAACTTGGCCCTTGTAGAGAGTTAGGAGAAGAGTAGAGAAGACTGGAGGCTTCCTTCACTCTATATTTCTCTACTTTTGGTTCTATTAAACCATTTTGTTTTACAGCCAAGACTAAAGGCATGATGACCCCCTTAGAGGAGGAGCTCAGAGCATCAGAAATGTGTTGCCCACATCCATGTAGCCATTTACAAAAATGTTTAAATTACTATTCTTAAGTACTGACCTAGGGCCAGTGAGACAAGGAAGTTAGAAGCTACTACAAATGTCTGAAATTGCTCAAGCAGGACGTTAAACATACCTTAGAGCCACACCATCAGAGGACTGACCACTTATTCTATATACCACCTTGATTTTTGTGCAGCCATACTACTCAACCTGGGGTCATACATTGCATAAGCTGAATACCTTCTGCAGTGAATCACAAATGTCCAGAATGGAGAAAGGCCAGCATTTTTAAAAGCACCCAAGGCTGGGTATGGTAGCTCACGCCTGTAATCCCAGCACTTCGGGAGGCCGAGGTGGGCGGATTACCTGAGGTCAGGAGTTTGAGACCAGCCTGGCTAATGTGAAACCCGTCTCTACTAAGAGTACACAAATTAGCCAGGCATGGTGGTGGGTGCCTGTAGTCCCAGCTTCTCGGGAGGCTGAGGCAGGAGAATTGCTCAACCTGGGAGGTGGAGATAGCAGTGAGCTGAGATGGTGCCACTGCCACTGCACTCCAGCCTGGGCAACAGAGCAAGACTCTGTCTCAAAAAAAAAAAAAAAAAAAAGCTGAACCTTACATTTTCTCTCTCTCTCTCTCTCTCTCTCTCTCACACACACACACACACACACACACACACACACACACACACACAAGAAAAAGAAAAATGAAAAACTGCAGTAAAATAAAGCCTAATGGACTTCCTCTTCCTAATCTAGGTCTTCACTCCTGCATACTTATAGATATCTCACTCTGATACTTGGTTAAATGTAGATTATTTCTTCAGAAGCCTCAGTACTGATGTAACTTCATCAGGACGCACAAGCTATGTGAATTCAACCCAATTGAGTGCCATGAGGTTAACTCAAAACATAATGACAGCAACATCACACTCCAACTAAAAGGTTAGAACCCCACAGGACAACTGCAGGCAGTGGTCTTTCCAAAACAAAAGGAAACCACCCCCTACCATGCCAGCCCTGTTATCCATGGAAAAGTATGTCTATAAAAAGGAATAAAAGAGAGAACATTTTCTTGGTTTCAAATTAACCAGCATGTCAATCACTCCAAACTAGTTGCCCAGAGCCCACAAACTTAAGCTCAGTTATGAACAATTCCTTCAATTCCTTTCTATGTTTCTCATTTTGGAAGGTGGTGTATAAAATACCATTGCCTGCTGGCAAAAACCATAATTTCTATGGTAGTATCACTAGCACTGTCTTTTCCAACACTCTCTTCTTCCTTTCCATCTTTAAAAATCTATTGATTCCCAACCTAAATGCCCATCAATGATAGACTAGATAAAGAAAATGTGCTGCATATACACCACAGACTACTATGCAGCCATAAAAAAGAACGAGATCATGTCCTTTGCAGGAACATGGATAGAACTGGAGGCCATTATCCTCAGTGAACTAATGCAGGAACAGAAAATTAAATACCACATGTTCTCACTGATAAATGGGAGCTAAGTGATGAGAACACATGCACTCATAGAGGGGAACAACAGACACTGGGGCCTACCAGAGGGTAGAGGGTTGGGGGAGGGAGAGAATCAGAAAAAATAACTAATGTTTACTAGGCTTAATACCTGGGTGATGAAATAATGCGTGTAACAAACCCCTATGACATGAGTTTACCTATATAACAAACCAGTACATGTACCCCTGAACTTAAAAGTTTAAAAAAACTCTGTTGATTACCATTCTCTCAATTTCTGAAAACTTTACTATAAACATCTTAAACACATACTGAAGTAGAGAAAGTATAATGAATGCTCTGGTATCCATCACCTAGGTTAGGCCATTGGCATACTGCCCATCGTGCTTCCTCTATACCCACACCCACTTCTCCATCCTCTACGAATTATTTTAAGGCAAATCCACGATATCATGTCATTGTCTCTGCAAATACTTCATTTACAAACCTCTAAAATATACATATATTTTTAAGGTATTTTTATTATAGAGATAAGAAACAGGCTGAATGCATCTTATGCATTAATAAAAAGTAGGGAAAAAAATCCAGTAACATTAAAGACAATGTAGGAGTTACCATAAATTAAGGAAGAGTCTACCTTAAACCTGCATCATCTGCTGCTTGGCGGTCTGCCCTTTTCCAGCTGTATTAGTTTGTTTTCATGATGCTGATAAAGACATACCCTGGGAACAAAAAGAGGTTTAATTGGAACTGGGAACAAAAAGAGGTTCTCCATGGCTGGGGAGGCCTCAGAATCATGGCGAGAGGCAAAAGACACTTCTTACATGGTGGTGGCAAGACAGAATGTGGAAGAAGCAAAAGTGGAAACCCCTGATAAACCCATCAGATCTCATGAGACTTACTCACTATCATGAAAATAACATCAGAAAGACCGGCCCCCATGGGTCCCTCCCACAACATGTGGGAACTCTGGGAGATACAATTCAAGTTGGGATTTGGGTGGAGACACAGCCAAACCATATCATTCTACCCCTGGACCCTCCAAATCTCATGTCCTAACATTTCAAAACCAATCATCCCTTCTCAACAGTCCCCCAAAGTCTTAACTCATTTCAGCATTAACCCAGAAGTCCACAGTCCAAAGTCTCATCTGAGACAAGGCAAGTCCCTTCCACCTATGAGCATATAAAATCAAACGCAAGCTAGTTACTACCAAGATACAATAGGGGTACAGGTATTGGGTAAATACAGCCATTCCAAATGGGAGAAATTGGCCAAAACAAAGGGGTTACAGGGCACATGCAAGTCCGAAATCCAGTGGGGCAGTCAAATTTTAAAGCTCCAAAATGATCTCCCTTGACTCCAGGTCTCAGGTCCAGGTCATGCTGATACAAAAAGTGGGTTCCCATGGTCTTGGGCAGTTCCTCCCCTGTGGCTTTGCAGGGTACAGCCTCCTTCCTGGCTGCTTTCATGGGCTGGCATTGAGTGTCTGTGGCTTTTCCAGGCTCACAGTGCAAGCTGCCAGTGGATCTACCATTCTGGAATCTAGAGGACAGTGGCCCTCTTCTCACATCTCCACTGGGCAGTGCCCCAGGAGGGACTCTGTGTGGGGGCTCCAACCCCACATTTCCCTCCAGACTGCCCCAGCAGAGGTTCTCCATGAGGGCTCCGCCCCTGCAGCAAACTTTTGCCTGGGCATCCAGGTGTTTCCATACATTTTCTGAAATCCAGACAGAGGTTCCCAAACTTCAGTTCTTGACTTCTGTGTACCTGCGGGCTCAACAGCACTTGGAAGCTGCCAAAGCTTGGGGTGTCCACCCTCTGAAGCCACAGTCTGAGCTCTACGTTGGCCCCTTTCAGCCATAGCTGGAGCATCTGGGACACAGGACACCAAGTCCCTAGGCTGCAAACAGCACGGGGACCCTAGGCCTGGCCCACAAAACCACTTTTTCCTCCTGGGCCTCCTGCCTCTGGGCCTGTGATGGGAGGGGCTGCTGTGAAGGTCTCTGACAAGGCCTGGAGACATTTTCCTCATGGTCTTGGGGATTAACATTAGGCTCCTTGCTGCTTATGCAAATTTCTGCAGCCGACTTGAATTTCTCCTCAAAAAATGGGTTTTTCTTTCCTACTGCATCATCAGGTTGCAAATTTTCTGAAACGTTTATGCTTTGTTTCCCTTTTAAAATGGAATGCTTTTAACAGCACCCAAGTCACCTTTTGAAGGCTTTGCTGCTTATAAATTTATTCTGCCAGATACCCTAAATCATCTCTCTCAAGTTCAAAGTTCCACAAATCTCTAGGGCAGGGACAAAATGCCACCAGTCTCTTTGCTAAAACATAACAAGAGTCACCTTTGCTCCAGTTCCCAACAAGTTCCTAATCTCCACCTGAGACCACCTCAGCCTGGACCTCATTTTTCATATCACTATCAGCAATTTTGTCAAAGCCATTCAACAAATCTCTAGGAGGTTCCAAACTTTTCCACATTTTCCTGTCTTCTTCTGAGTCCTCCAAACTGTTCCAACCTCTGCCTGTTACCCAGTTCCAAAGTCACTTCCAAATTTTTGGGTATCTTTTCAGCTATGCCCCACTCTACTGGTACCAATTAATTGTATTAGTTCATTTTCACATTGCTGATAAAGACATACCCGAAACTGGGAACAAAAAGAGGTTTAATTGGACTTACAGTTCCACATGGCTGGGGAGGTCTCACAGTCATGGAGGGAGGCAAAAGGCACTTCTTACATGGTGATGCCAAGAGAGAATGAGGAAGAAGCAAAAGTAGAAACCCGTGATAAACCCATCAGATCTCGTGAGATGTATTCAGTATCATGAGGATAGCATGGGAAAGACTGGCTTCCATGATTCAATTACCTCCCCCTGGGTCCCTCCCATGACATGTGGGAATTCTGGGAGATACAATTCAAGTTGAGGTTTGGGTGGGGACACAGCCAAACCATATCACCAGCCATACTCTGGTATCTCTCAGGCAACCCTGTTGACTCCATGTTGGCTCTGCTGAGTAAGCCTTTGAACTCATAATTATGGGGAAACCTCCTCCAAATTCATGATCCCATAGTAAACCTAGAATCTTTCCTGAATGTGAGATGTGAACTTCCCCAGCACCTTCATTCTAGGGTCCTGGTATTTCCCATGGATCTAAGGCCCAGATTCTCAGGTAAATAGCTATAACCAAGAATAAAAACTTTAAAAATAGGCCCGGTGTGGTGGCTCATGACTGTAATTCCAGCACTTTGGAAGGTCAAGGCAAATGGATTGCTTGAGTCCAGGCGTTCAAAACCAGCTGGGCAATGTGGCAAAACCCCATCTCTACAAAAAATATGAAAACCAGCCAGGTGTGGTGGCATGCACCTGTAGTCCTAGTTAGGCAGGAGGCTGAGGTAAGAGGACACCTTGAGCCCAGGAGGCTGACGCTGCAGTGAGCCGAAATCACGCCACTGCACTCCAGCCTGGGTAACAGGGTGAGACCCTGTCTGAAACAAACAAACAAACCCCTTAAAACAACAATAAGGAAATAAGTCCAATACCATTATCATATCTAGAAATTAACCATCATTTTTTCACATCAACTGTCCAGAGAGTGTTCAATCCATTTCCCCTTTGGTACAGGCATCCCTGGTCACACAGCTGCTGACCGGTGCATGGAGAGGCAGGCTTCTTTGTTTCTGAGAGCATGCCTAGCCAACACACACATATACACACGTGTAAGACGAGTACCTCTTCAGAGTTCACAGTCTTCCTTTCTCTCCAATATGAACCAAATCAGCCCCCCGCCTCTTCGCTCTGACACCTCCAATAGCTTCCCAAGGGTTTCATGACGGGGTCCCTACTCTGAAATTCCTTAAGTCTGACAGGCCTGCCTCACAATGCATACACCCACCTTCTTACCAATTTTTTCCCATCAAGTGGTTAAGATCACACGTTCTGGAGCCAGACTGTCTGGCCTTGTCATTCACTGCATGCATGATTATTGGCAAGTTAGTTAAACTTTATGTGTCTCAGTTTATAGTCAGACCCAGACAAAGAGGAAAAGGATGAAGGGCAGCCAGCCTAGTCTAGACTGCCTGACAACAGCACAGCTGCAAGAGAAGTGATCGCCCAGCGGAGCTCCTCAGGCCCCCTTGTAAAGTCCCTGCTTCTGCAGAATGAGCTTTTGGCCTCCTGTCCTGGCTGAAAATTAGGATAATGGTGAGGGAAGATAAAGGCAGGCTAGGGTGGAAAAACTATGAATACAAAAGCCATGCTGCCTAAGAAACTTGCATACTCAAGCTCCTGAGATGAGCATACCCCAGTGTAACGAACAGCCTTGCACTCGGCACATGGGATCCTTCCTCCAAAAGCAGCTGCCTCTGCTGTCTTGAGATTCCTGAGGGAGTCTCACCCAACCTCCTGTCTCTGCCAAATCCAGACCAAGCTTGTTCTGACCCTGCAGCTGTGAAGGGGATTTGAGCTTCCCAAAATAAATTACTTTCCCTACTGTCACCACTGCACTTGCCATGAGAGCTCCAAACCCCAGAGGCCTTCTGATGAAGGAGTTTCTACCTACCTCCGGGTGCAGAGACATGCTAGAACCAGCTCAAAAAGCTCACAAGAACCAAATGTTAAACTTCCATGAATTTTGTGAGCTGGCTGTTAAGCAGACAATATTAAAAATTAAATTATATAGAATGACATTTCAAAAGTTTATATTAGGTTATTATATTGTTATTATATTAAGTTATTAATTATAAAAGTTTATGTTGTTTCAAAAGTTTGTATTAAGAACAAAGGTGGTACATAGTCAAAACACCCCACCTTCCTAATTATTTTACATTGTACTTTTATCATGCTCTTAAGGTTATTTATATTTAATATATTTGTATGGTAGAAAAACTATGCAATGGTGTACTATGGCACATGTCTCTCCAAGTTCAGTGAATTCACATCGGTGGATCAAAATCAGCCATGGTGGGGGGTATTTACACTACAAAAACCAGCAAGCAATAAAAATCAGAGCTATTCTGCCAGGTGTGGTGGCTCACGCCAATAATCCCAGCATTTGGGAGGCTGAGGTGGGTGGATCACGAAGTCAGGAGTTTGAGACCAGCCTGAGCAAGATGGTTAAACCCCGTCTCTACTAAAAATACAAAAATTAGCCAGGCGCGGTGGCAGGTGCCTGTAATCCCAGCTACTCTGGAAGCTGAGGCAGGAGAATCGCTTGAACCCAGGTGGCAGAGGTTGCAGTGAGCAGAGATTGTGCCACTGCACTCCAGCCTGGGCGACAGAGTGTGAGACTCAGTCTCAAAAATAATCTATAAATAAATAAATAAATAAATAAATAAATAAATAAATAAATAAATCAGAGCTATTCTCTCAGAAAGCAGAACTGTTAAACATTTATCAACATATACCTGTCTGACTCACCTCTGTAACTCTAGACCTATGAGCACAGCCTCATCTCAGCTTGCTGAAATCATGCTATATATGGAATTTGGGAAGAGTAAGGGGCAAATTAGATAGTATCACAGCTGAGAACCCACTAACACTTTGATCTTATCTCATATCGTGACCAACCTTGAGTCTCATAATACTGATTTATCACAGTCCCTTGTGTCTACGAACCATCTTATTGTTAGCTGAACATGTGCTAGGAACTTCTGGTGCAGACCTCTCTCCAAACTGGGTTTCATTTTCACCTCTTTTTCCCAAGCATGCACGCAAGCTCTGGCTGTGTCAAACTTCTTTCACCCCTGAAATACTCTATGCCAGAGGATAGGTATTGTAGGTATTGTTCAGCCCTAGCTGATTGTGCAATGGACGGATGAGGCCCTGCTGCTACCTTATCTTTCAAGAGAAATTAGGAATCTGGGTTTTTACAATGCAAGTCTACTTCATCTTTAAATTAAAAACTATTTCAGGCTGGGCACGGTGGCTCATGCCTCTAATCCCAGCACTTTGGGAGGCCGACGCGGGCAGATCACCTGAGGTCAGGAGTTCGAGACCAGCCTGACCAACATGAAGAAACCCCGTCTCTACTAAAAATACAAAATTAGCCGGGCATGGTGGTACGTGCCTGTAATCTCAGCTAATCGGGAGGCTGAGGCAGGAGAATCAATTGAACCTGGGAGGCAGAGGTTGCAGTGAGCTAAGATTGTGCCATTGCACTCCAGCCCGGGCAACAAGAGCAAAACTCCATCTCAAAAAAAAAAAAAAAAAAAAGTATTTCAAATTTTCATGTGTTCAAGCTAAACCAAATGACGGTGAGAGCTTTTTAGCACCCCCAGTCCAGTCCACCTGTAACAGACCTAGTGCAAGGCATCATGCCCTGTGTCCCACCTGATTCCACTGTGGACACTCATGCACCTTGCCAGCATCCTTCATTAAGCATGAGGCAGCCACTGGAGGCTTTGCTGCCTCAGGGCTTTGAGGAATCCTCTTAAACACAATCCAGAAAACCCAAATTGGGCTGGGGGGTCATTCTCTCCAGGGGCACCTTCAACCAGTGGGTGAAAGGAGCCAGTGGACCCCAGTTCCAGCAGCTCGGTCCTCTAGTGGGACAATGCTGAAGCATGTTCTGAGTTATTCCTTGGGGATACCCTAGCGGCCTTGAGTTCCAATTGCCCACTCACTAACCAGCTCTTAACTTATCTTTCACTGGCCTCACTTTCTCTACTCTCCTTCTACTTCCTGGAATCACCTTGCAAGTAAGTTTTCTGCACCCAAGTCTGTCTCACGGACCCCAAACAGTCACCACCTGAACCAAGGGTCTTATGCCCCCAGTCTCCACATAGGCTGATCCTTCTGTCTTAGACCCCTCACCTAAATCTCACCTGTTCTTCAATAAACTGCTTAAAGATCAATCGCTTCCGAAGCCTTCTCTGACCCTTTCTTTCTTCTGGTGCTGAGGAGTCCCGATCCCAATACTCACCGCGCTTGAGAAGAAACTGCAGCCTCCTTGCTCCCCACTGCACTCTCAGTGCCACACACAATGGCTGATATAATTGGTGTTTTAAGAGTATTTGTCAGATGAGTAGGTTGCGAAAATTTTCTCCCATTTTGTAGGTTGCCTGTTCACTCTGATGGTAGTTTCTTTTGCTGTGCAGAAGCTCTTTAGTTTAATTAGATCCCATTTGTCAATTTTGGCTTTTGTTGCCATTGATTTTGGTGTTTTGGATATGAAGTCCTTGCCCATGCCTATGTCCTGAATGGTAATGCCTAGGTTTTCTTCTAGGGTTTTTATGGTTTTAGGTCTAACGTTTAAGTCTTTAATCCATCTTGAATTGATTTTTGTATAAGGTGTAAGGAAGGGATCCAGTTTCAGCTTTCTACATATGGCTAGCCAGTTTTCCCAGCACCATTTATTAAATAGGGAATCCTTTCCCCATTGCTTGTTTTTCTCAGGTTTGTCAAAGATCAGATAGTTGTAGACATGCGGCGTTATTTCTGAGGGCTCTGTTCTGTTCCATTGATCTATATCTCTATTTTGGTACCAGTACCATGCTGTTTTGGTTACTGTAGCCTTGTAGTATAGTTTGAAGTCAGGTAGTGTGATGCCTCCAGCTTTGTTCTTTTGGCTTAGGATTGCCTTGGTGATGCAGGCTCTTTTTTGGTTCCATATGAACTTTAAAGTAGTTTTTTCCAATTCTGTGAAGAAAGTCATTGGTAGCTTGATGGGGATGGCATTGAATCTGTAAATTATCTTGGGCAGTATGGCCATTTTCACGATATTGATTCTTCCTACCCATGAGCATGGAATGTTCTTCCATTTGTTTGTATCCTCTTTTATTTCCTTGAGCAGTGGTTTGTAGTTGTCCTTGAAGAGGTCCTTCACATCCCTTGTAAGTTGGATTCCTAGGTATTTTATTCTCTTTGAAGCAATTGTGAATGGGAGTTCACTCATGATTTGGCTCTCTGTTTGTCTGTTGTTGGTGTATAATAATGCTTGTGATTTTTGTACATTGATTTTGTATCCTGAGACTTTGCTGAAGTTGCTTATCAGCTTAAGGAGATTTTGGGCTGAGACAATAGGGTTTTCTAGATATACAATCATGTCGTCTGCAAACAGGGACAATTTGACTTCCTCTTTTCCTAATTGAATACCCTTTATTTCCTTCTCCTGCCTAATTGCCCTGGCCAGAACTTCCAACACTATGTTGAATAGGAGTGGTGAGAGAGGGCATCCCTGTCTTGTGCCAGTTTTCAAAGGGAATGCTTCCAGTTTTTGCCCATTCAGTATGATATTGGCTGTGGGTTTGTCATAGCTAGCTCTTATTATTTTGAAACACGTCCCATCAATACCTAATTTATTGAGAGTTTTTACGATGAAGAGTTGTTGAATTTTGTCAAAGGCCTCTTCTGCATCTATTGAGATAATCATGTGGTTTTTGTCTTTGGCTCTGTTTATATGCTGGATTACATTTATTGATTTGCATATATTGAACCCGCCTTGCCTCCCAGGGATGAAGGCCACTTGATACCATTTGACCCAGCCATCCCATTACTGGGTATATACCCAAAGGACTATAAATCACGCTGCTATAAAGACACATGCACACGTATATTTATTGCGGCATTATTCACAATAGCAAAGACTTGGAACCAACCCAAATGTCCAACAATGATAGACTGGATTAAGAAAATGTGGCACATATACACCATGGAATACTATGCAGCCATAAAAAATGATGAGTTCATGTCCTTTGTAGGGACATGGATGAAATTGGAAATCATCATTCTCAGTAAACAATCGCAAGAACAAAAAACCAAACACCGCATATTCTCACTCACAGGTAGGAATTGAACAATGAGATCACATGGACACAGGAAGGGGAATATCACACTCTGGGGACTGTAGTGGGGTGGGGGGAGGGGGGAGGGATAGCATTCGGAGATATACCTAATGCTAGATGACGAGTTAGTGGGTGCAGCGCACCAGCATGGCACATGTATACATATGTAACTAACCTGCACACTGTGCACATGTACCCTAAAACTTAAAGTATAATAAAAAAAAAAAGAGTATTTGTAGAATGAATGAAATGATATTGGAAATAGTGAAGTTACAATACAAAAAAAGAACCTTATAGTCTCTAAAGTTTTAACACTAATATGTTCATTTGATCCTAAAGACACCATTTTCATTCCTCTTTTATAGATGAGGAAATAGAAGCTTAAAAATTGCACTTAGACCAGACTTGAACTCACAGGACTCTTTCTACAGCACCTGGCTACCTTAAGCCTTGAGGCTTCATGCCCAACACTAATGTGATGAATTTGGGTAGTAAGTCCCCAGGATTAATAATTTCCCAATAGTGGTCTACCAGAACACAGGCAAAGCTCCCCTGGTGAAAGAAAAGTAGATCACAGGCTTAACTCGAATTTAAACAGTTCTCTGCCCCACCACAACCCCAATTTTTTTATTATACTTTAAGTTTTAGGGTACATGTGCACAATGTGCAGGCTAGTTACGTGTGTATACATGTGCCATGTTGGTGTGCTGCACCCATTAACTCATCATTTAACATTAGGTATATCTCCTAATGCTATCCCTCCCCCTTCCCCCCACCCCACAACAGGCCCCGGTGTGTGATGTTCCCCTTCCTGTGTCCATGTGTTCTCATTGTTCAATTCCCACCTATGAGTGAGAACATGCGGTGTTTGGTTTTTTGTCCTTGCGATAGTTTGCTGAGAATGATGGTTTCCAGCTTCATGCATGTTCCTACAAAGGACATGAACTCATCATTTTTTATGGCTGCATAGTATTCCATGGTGTATATGTGACACACTTTCTTAATCCAGTCTATCATTGCCCAACTTTTCTTTAGAGACAGGGTCTCACTCTGTTCCCCAGGCTGGAATGCAGTGGCATGATCATAGTTCACTGCAGCCTAAAACTCCTGGGCTCAGGCAATCCTCCCACCTCAGCCTCCTGAGTAGCTAGAAAAACAGGCATGCACCACCATGCCTGGCTAATTTTTAATTTTTGGTAGAGATGGGGGTCTCACTATGTTGATCAGGCTGGTCTCAAACTCCTGGCTTCAAGCAATCCTCCTGCCTTGGCTGGAAGGATTGTTGGGATTACAGGTGTGAGCCACTGTGCCAGTGCCCGACCAGCAGGGGTGCCTTTTAATGTTTCTCAGGTACATTCAAAGAGCACAAACATAAATCCACAAAAGACTTAAAACAAGTTTTTATTGTTTTAAATTTCAGAAATTGTATTTTTTATCTTTAAAGATCAACTTAGGTTTTATTTTCAATTTTTCTGACCATGCTTATACTTCGCTGTCTTCTTGAACACATGGAGAACGTTTATAAGTCTCTGTTTTCACATCCTTGTCTGTTAATTCTATCATTGTTTCCCTGAGAGAAAAACATCTGTTTTTCTGAGTCTGACTTTCCCTTTTTTGTTTTTAAGATGAAAAATTTAAGATTAATTACTAAGATCTCCTCTTGGGGTAATTAGTAATCTTGAAAGTTGCACTAAGTTATCAGTAGAGTATCAGAAAATAAGACCTTTGGAAAAAGATCTAAATATATTCAGCTCAATAGCACTCAATGCAATATGAAACCAGGGATGATACTGGACAGAAAACTTTAAGGAACAGGAATTCAATCCCTCATGTCAACATATGCATCAGACACAAACCATAATTTACCATGCACTGACTTCTTGTTTTTCTAAAGACAATGTTTAAAAGTTTGAGCTGAATTATATATTAGTGACAGAATTGCATTTCCACAAGTTTTTAATTTAAATAGCCTACATGTTAAAACAAGGACCTCTCAGATTTACTTAAGAGTTCTACATAAACACAAAAAATGTTCTAGACCAACCGTTTCAATTTTAGAGGCACCATGTGGACACATAGCCTTTAAAAGATATTAAAATTTTATAAAATACACATGCAGCTTAATCTTTACTTACTTGTTTTCAGAGCACTTTGTTTAAATAATTTTCTTCAAATTTGACCTGAAATAAGAACAGCTATCTCCACCAGTAGAAAACTGAGGCTAAGGCAGGACGAAGGTTAAGACTTGAATCCAGAGGTCCTGGGAAATTCCTTGGCTAATATTTTCACCAAGTTACAACTAAAATCCAGCTGCCACGGGTAGAGAGGAGTTTTGTCATTTGGTCATTTCAACCAAATTAAAAACTCATTGCTTTCACGAAGTTAAAATGGAATCCTGCTTAAGCCAGAGTCAGTCAAGATTCACTGAAGGTTTATTTACTTTTATATAGAAAACAGCCTAGATTTAAACAGTCTGCACTCATAAGATGGCATCACATCATGCCTGTAATCCCAATACTTTGGAAGGCCGAGGTGGGTGGGTCACCACCAGAGGTCAGGAGTCCGAGACCAGCCTGGCCAAGATGGCAAAACCCCGTCTCTACTAAAAATGCAAAAAATTAGCTGGGCGTGGTGGCAGGCACCTGTAATCCCAGCTACTGGGAAGGCTGAGGCAGGAGAATTGTTTGAACGCAGGAGGTGGGGAGGTTGCAGTGAGCCGAACTCCAGCCTGGGTGACAGAGAAAGACTCTGTCTCAAAAAAAAGAAAAAAAAAAAAAAACGACGGCATCACAAATGGGTTCTTGAAAACTATACTCCCAAGAGGATCCCACTGAGTACTGTGCATTTCTTCCACAGAATGTGGACTCTAACTACTATGGGCTTACGAAAATGCAACTGACAAACCATATACCCCCAAGCATGTGTAAAACATTACCCCAAATACTCATTCATTGGATGGATGTGGAAGAGACTAGTCCACGTCTGATTTTGTGTGTGAAGGACTATACTGTACCATCCATCAATTTTCTTATTTTAGCCAGGCACATAAATAACATTTTTATTTTACAGGTAAGGAACTTGAGTCCCAGAAAAGTTAAGTAACTATCCCAGGAAAATAATTGGTACTCAAACCTAGAATTGATCCCAAAGCCATGCTTCCAACAAAGTAGAGAAAAAAAACACCAAACAGGTGGATTGAAACTTTAAAGCTCACGAAACATCCCAAATGTGACATCCAAATCCTGTACATAAATATTTGTATGTAACATTTTGGAAATGGGCATGGTTTTCCTTTTCATAACCTCAGGTTTACTGCTTTAAACTGAAATACAACACAAATACAGAGCAGTGCACAAATCGTTAAGTGTACGGTTTCATGAATTTTCAAAACCTCAACACATCCAAGCAGCCAGCACTCTGATTAAGAAACAAAACTAGCCAGGCATGGTGGCTCACGCCTGTAATCCCAGCACTTTAAGAGGCTGAGGCAGGTGGATCACCTGAGGTCAGGAGTTTGAGACCGGCCTGGTCAATGTGGCAAAACCCCGTCTCTACTAAAAATACAAAAATTAACTTGTATTGGCGTGTTGGCACATACCTGTAGTCCCAGCTACTTGGGAGGCTGAAGCAGGATAATTGCTTGAACCCAGGAGGTGGAGGTTGCAGTGAGCCAAGATTGCACCACTGCACTCCAGCCTGGGTGGCAGAGTGAGACTCCGTCAAAAACAAATAAGCAAAACTATACCAGCCCTTTTCGTGCCATCATTCCTTATTTTTTTTTGGAGATGGGATCTTCCTTTGACACCCAGGCTGGAGTGCAATGGCGCAATCCTAGCTCACTACAGCCTCGAACTCTCAAGGCTCAAGTGATCCTCCCACCCCAGACTCCTGAGTAGCTGGGACTACAGGCTTGTGTCACTGCACCCAGTTGTTTAAATTTACTTTCTAAGGCAGCCTTTAGAGTTTACAATTTAAGTTAGATGTCTGTCAGAAGCAACAGAGAAACAATGTTTTATTCCCAAAAACCGAAATGAAAAAAGATAGGGTTTAAGGCTCAAGAGGTACATTTTAAAAAATTATCTTTATTTAGGTTTCTGATTCAGCACATGTATCAAAGACTAATCAACATAAAGGAGTAAATAAGACATTAATTGAAAGTCTTACATCTCTCTAAACTCTGACCAAGAATGTCAAGATTGCCACTATTACCAGAACTCCAACCTAGTCAAGTTGTAGACAAGCTATCATGAACAACATACAGTGTGCACAGATATGCAGAGGCAAAAGGCATGCTAGCGCTTGGCTCTCCTCTTTTCCTTGTTGACATCTTTCTGTTGGACAGTCCACTTTCGCTTTCCAGGCTAAGTTCCAAATCAAGTCCAAAGAAGGCTCAGGGGTCAACCTGACCAGATACTCTTCTGGAGGAATGCATTCTTAAACTGTTGTGCCTGCAACTTTGTTTTTGCCAGGATGAAGTTCAGACCGAGATGTACAATACAATCTAGATGACGGTGCAGACTAAGTCAAGAACTAAAGTTGTGCAGTAACCCGAGTTAAGGCATGAATGCAGACACACACATGCACACACACAGCACCCATGCTATCAAGACACAGGATTTTTTCAGTTGCCTCATGAGAGGCAACCTGGGCTTGGCAGTTAATCAGAACTGCTGAGCATTCCAGAAAATGCCCCCCACGACTTTATGCTAACAGCTGTGTGTATGTTTTAATCAAAAAATTAAAGAAGAAAAAAAAACCCTAAAAAACAAAGAAAAAAACAAACAAAAAATCACCAAAAACCTAGAAACCCCTTAATCTCTTACAATGGCTCTTGAGCATGGAACTCATGTAGCAGCATCAATGGCTGGCTCTTTAACAATTTGGAAATAAAAGGTTGTTTTACTATGTATTTCTTTGGTAGTCATCACTACAAAGTTTTCAGTGTTGGTTACCTATAAGACAAGTACTAGACAGAAGATCAAGTTACACAGAAATATTTCTTCTGTACTGATAAGATACAAATATTGAGCTCTCAAAGCACAAGTTACTATGCTTTTTCTTGCCTTATTGGGCATTCTCTAAAAGCAAGGCTTTGTGCAGGAAAAGTTCATGTCTACCTAACAAAGGGTGATACATGTTCTATTTTCCTACAAGTGAACAATTAACAAAAATTCACATTATCAATTATTTCTGGTTGAATTCTGTTAGAAGCCAATTACAAAGGGACAGTAGCACTTGGTGTCAAAGCCACTTTCTGGTCACACATTCATTCCATGGTTGCTAGTCAGTATCTCAGGAGCTCAGAATTTAAAACTCCTTTCAGTCAACGAAGGAGTAAGTTCAATTAAAGGCTTCCACTATCTGCCAAATTTCTAGAATTCTGTCTAGAGTGCTAGCATGCTTGATGAGAGAAAGCAGTTCAGAGCCCAAAGAGGTGTCAGGTATTAGGTAAGTTAATTTGGTTTTGTATAAAAGGCATGGTAATCTGGCAACAGAGTACTTATCCTATTAGCAGCACAGTGGTAGCCAAGGGTCTCTGTCTGCAAGACAGGAAAATGAAGCTACTGAAGCCCCTGTTGCTCCCACCTGCCTGCAGGACGGCTACTGATTTTACAAAGGCCTTCTGGGAGCCAATCCAGGGCTCACCTGGGAGAGTGGGTAACAGAATGGCAGGAACCATGTTCAGCCCCCATGAGAAGTGCCCGACTGAGGGAAGTCAGCTTCCCATAGGTGAGGGGGCTGTTGCCATTATGGGCTCAGAATCTAAATCTTACTGATCCCTAGTAGTAAGACAATTGCCAAGAAATTGTCCTAGCAGGTACTACCCAAGTGTTACAGGCTCTGCATAGGTCCTCAAACACTTTAAAGGACACGAACCATCAAATTCAAAAGAGTAGTGTTTGTTCTATCAGTTCTGAATGTCCACAGGGAGAGGCAACTAGATTTATGTGGAAAAAGTGCTGTTTGAAGGAGCTGTGTTTTATTTCGAAGTGAAATGACTTTGGGAACCAGAACATTTCTGCAGATGTCTGAATATCAAGAACCTATCTCTAAAAGGCATTTATCAGGAAATGTTCGCTCACTCCAAGTGCTTTTTAAAAATTCAACATATGGCAATGTTTTAATTTTTGTGCTTTCAAGAGGTAACTAAATCGATAGGAAGCTGAGGGAAGATCATTCCATTATGGACTTTCTTGTTTGGGTGCAAGACACTATCCACAGCATTGAAATCTATAATCTCATAAAAGATTCTTATAAACATATACCATATTTCTCCTATAAGAAAAACTGAGAACTGTACCATGAAGGCAAAATTTGTTTGCCTACTCTCAGAATTCCTTGGAATGGCAATGTACCAGGAGGGTGAGTGAACTGTTGGTGAAAATTCCGGGTTTGACATGGCCCAGTCTGATCACATCAAAAACCTAAAGCCTCAATGATTAAATGCCAAACTTCTTCCCTGCATCTGAGAACTGTATTATGATTATGTATATTACACATACATTATAAATAAAATTTATATAGACCTACAGTTTCTTCCAAACAATTGAGTGATGTTCTCAGTTTGGGGGTGGAAGCAGGAAGAGGTGAAAAAATCTTATTGTTGCTTTTACTCTCAAGTTCTTAAAACGCTAGTCAAACACTATTATCCAACAAGACTTTTTTTTTTCATTCTGTTAACTCTTAAATATGCATTCGAAGGCAAAAATGGAGGTTTCTATACTGTACAATATTAAATATCTACAATGTCATGGTTCCTTATTTTTAGGAGTGTGTTTAATAAAGAGTTGGCTATTAGAGATGGTTGTCACAAAACATGGACTCTTAAAAATTACTGATAAATTACTTTTCAGTTCTCTGATTATATCCAACAGATACACATTCTTGTCATAAAATATACATTCTCTAGTAAGTTATTTTCATCCACAGCATATATAAATATGCAAACACAGGTGGTAAAAATCACTTTACTACCAAAGTACAAAACAGCAACTGCTGAAAAACAAAAATTAAGATGTTGCACGTGTTAAGAAAAGAGTGACTCAGTGTTCCACTGCAAAGTGAAACCAAATGATTTATTTGTGCTAAATGAATGGAAATAATGTATTCAGAATATACTTCTTTGTACACTGCACTTGCTTATACTGGGTGAAATGAACAGCCATCAATGCTAATGTGCTACTTTCCTTTAGACCTTATTTTCTTTTCTGCCAAGCAATACAATATTTTCTGGCCATTATGCCAAGATAATGCGATAATGTCCATTTCAAATAGTATTTTCTAATGGTATTTTGCACCTTTAAAATATTTGTTCAAACTCTATTTTAAGAGAACACAAATGAAGTACGAAAGGGGGAAGCCGCATTGTTTTTGTTACAATCACACTGCCTTCTGCAGCAGAAATCAAATAACACATTCTAATTAGCCATTGAAACCACCGGTGAGTAGGACAACATTTATCGACTCATGTTAGAGGGGGCCAGGTTAAGTAGATTAACATTAAGGATAAAAAAGAGAATCACATCTTAATATACGATAATTATCCATCCCATTTATGTGGAGAAGGTACAGCCACATGATTCATTACTTTGGGCCATCTGTTTTACGAGAGACATGGATGTCAATAACACAATGAAAATAACCTGTAAAAAATGTATCTGTAGAAAGTTCTGTTAAACAGAAAATATGTCTTGGGCACTGATTCATCTAACTTTCTGTTCTACACTGAAAGCCAGATTTTCAAAGGTCTGAATTGTAGTGCTGAATTATTGGTATGTTTGGTAAACACTATTATAATGAGAGGAGGGTAACAACAGCTCAGTAATTTTCTGCAGATTCATGGAAAAAAATATAAAAAAGATATCCCTTTTTCTTTTACAAACCTAAAAGCCAGGAGAATGAAGCTCTGGGCCAAGCAAAAATTGCACACTGCTGCTGAAATACCAAATACCAAACAGCGAAGGTTCCAGCCAGGGAATGGACGTACATGAAGATTCAAGTAAAACACTGATGGAAAAAGTCGTCTGGTTAGTGTTGTAGACCCACAACACTGGCTGCATTTCTGACAAACATTTACAACACAATGGATAGTGAAGCCTAGATAACCTCAGTGCAAATAAGTCATATCCAAATATGCCAGAGAAGGAAGCCTTTGGCGTTGAGTAGACGGCTCCATTGGATGAGTCCCAACTTGAAATTCAGACTAAGCTCATGCATTAAGGCTGGGAGGAGGGGTGCGCCGAATGTTGCGAAGGAGTAGGCTGCGAGGTGGCTGCTGAGGGGACCGTGGGCTGCATGGGTGGCGGAGGTGGAGGCGGAGGTGGCTGGACTGGGGTCTGTGTGTTGGGAGATGGAGGCGGCGTGGGCCGTTTGAATTTGTCAGGACTGTTGCTTCTCCGTGGTGAAGGCCTCTGCAGAGGGGACAGGAACAGCAAGTCAGTCTAGGTACAGGTGGATCTCATTCTACCTAACACAGCCTGACTTGGCACTGGGGCTAATCAAACACTAACCAACAAAGACAAGAAACCAGGGATTTCTTTCTTCATCCCTACTGGTTTCTGAACTAGTAATAAAATTTAAATAAGGCAGTGTTTACACTTCCACCTATGAAAAAGCTACATAAAATTACTGCACAACTTGTGTTGAACAAACTGCTGGACTTGGGTCCTTCAACGAGAGCTGTAAAATATCCCCTTAAATCTTTCTTTCCGTGTGTGTCACCAATTCCCTCTATTGCTTATCTCCAATAAGTTGTCCACATCCTGAAAGATACAGCTCAACAGAAATGTTTCTATGTTTGAGGCCGGGTGCAGTGGCTCACACCTGTAATCCTAGCACTTTAGGAGGTAGAGGTGGGTGGATAACCTGAGGCCAGGAGTTCGAGACCAGCCTGGCCAACAGGGCAAAACCCCGTCTCTATTAAAAATACAAAAAGCAGCCAGGTGTGGTGCCGTGTGCCTGTAATACCAGCTACTCGGGAGGCTGAGGCAAGAGAATCCCTTGAGCTCCGGAGGCGGATGTTGCAGTGAGCAGACATCATGCTGCTGAACTCCAGCCTGGATGACAGAGTGAGGAAAAAAAAAAAAAAAGTTCCTACTTTTACATAAAGTCCATCAAACTGGCCAAACAGCTTCAGAAATACCTTAAGTGCATTCTTAGAATAGGGTTCTTCTTTAAAATATTATAATTTATTCTTTGAAATATTGGTATTTCTGTTATTGGAAATACCCTTAATAATACTCTCACTCTACTAGCTACATTTCTAATGGCTCTATTAGTCAACTATATTGCCGACTCTAAAGAAAAAACTCCCTTGGGTAGAGTTGGAACCAGATGCACTTAAGCTTCCTTGTAATTCGAGGAGAGAAAATTCTGAGTAACATTACAAACAAGGCTAACTTCAGGAAGAATACTGAAGGTCAGTGAACTGTGAAGGTGCAGACAATAAATATCTTTAGACATTATGGCAACCAACAATAATGCAAGGAGCTGGCCAGAGTTCAATCAAAGCACTGGCCAGAGTTCAAATTATATTTCACAAAGGGTAATTTTTCATAGGAAGTGAAGTTAAAGTTTTGTCTCCTGGGAAGGATTTTAGTTTCAATACCAGAATTTGGTATCAAACTGTTTAAGTCTCTACAGTTTCAAGGTGAACGGATGGAGGAGGCAGGAAGAAGGGCAAATGTCTAAGGGCACCGATCCTGTTCTCCAGAACACCAGTCGGTACCACTTTCAGGAGTAAAGTGCTGCTTCCTACCCCACGGACACTTACTGTGATACCATGGGATGTTCCCATGTGCTGCACGTGAAGACCCGGGGAATTGTAATAAGACATTCCAGCTCTAGTCAGTGAAGTTGGTGGCGTGAAACCAACCGTGTGACTTGCATATGATAGACCTAAAATATAACAACAAATTAAGTATCATTTTAAGCTCAACTATCTGGTGTCTTCAACTATCTAGGAGGTTTTAAATCGCAGTAGTTCTCTATCACCCACAAAAATACAAACAGATGAAAAGAATGATGGGCTCACTAAATGGTGTGGATAACAAGGGAAATAAATGTTAATTCCTAGGATAGAACAGAGAGCCCAGAAATAAACTCACACGTATATGGTCAACTGATCTTCAAAAAGGGCACCAAGAATACACAACGGGGAAAGAGAACAGTCTCTTCAACAGATGGTGTTGGGAAAACTGGATATTCACATGCAGAGGAGTGACACTGGACCTTATCTCTTACACTATATACAAAAGTCAACTCAAAATGGATTAAAGACTTAACTATAAGACCTTAAACTATAAAACTCTTAGAAGGAAAATAGGGGAAAAGCTCCCTGACATTGATCTTAGCAATGATTTCTTGGATATGACATAGGCAACAAAAAAAAAAAGCAAAAACAAATACGTGGGACTACATTCAACTAAAAAGTGTCTGCGCTAAGGAAACTTTCAGTCAACAGACTGAAAAGGCAACCTATAGAATGGGAGGAGATATTTGCAAACCATATACCTGGTATGGGGTGAATATGCGAAATACATAAGTAACTCCTATGACTCAAAGCAAACAAACACACTCAAATAGTCCAATGAAAAAATGCACAGAGAACTTGAATACACATTTCTCTAAAAAAGATACACAAATGTGCTAATAGATATATGAAAAGACGATTATCACCACTAACCATCAGGGAAATGCAAATCAAAACCACAGTGAGATATCACCTCATAACTGTTAAGTTGGCCATTATTATTTTTTTTCTTATTCATTTTTATTATTATTATTATTATACTTTAAGTTTTAGGGTACATGTGCACAATGTGCAGGTTAGTTACATATGTATACATGTGCCATGCTGGTGTGCTGCACCCATTAACTCGTTATTTAGCATTAGGTATATCTCCTAATGTTATGCCTCTCCCCTCCCCCCACCCCACAACAGTCCCTAGAGTGTGATGTTATTCCCCTTCCTGTGTCCATGTGTTCTCATTGTTCAATTCCCACCTATGAGTCAGAACATGTGGTGTTTCGTTTTTTGTCCTTGCGATAGTTTACTGAGAATGATGATTTCCAATTTCATCCATGTCTCTACAAAGGACATGAACTCATCATTTCTTATGGCTGCATAGTATTCCATGGTGTATATGTGCCACATTTTCTTAATCCAGTCTATCGTTGTTGGACATTTGGGTTGGTTCCAAGTCTTTGCTATTGTGAATAGTGCCACAATAAACATACCTGTGCATGTGTCTTTATAGCAGCATGATTTGTAGTCCTTTGGGTATATACCCAGTAATGGGATGGCTGGGTCAAATGGTATTTCTAGTTCTAGATCCCTGAGGAATCACCACACTGACTTTCACAATGGTTGAAATAGTTTACAGTCCCACCAACAGTGTAAAAGTGTTCCTCTTTCTCCACATCCTCTCCAGCACCTGTTGTTTCCTGACTTTTTAATGATTGCCATTCTAACTGGTGTAAGATGGTATCTCACTGTGGTTTTGATTTGCATTTCTCTGATGGCCAGTGATGGTGAGCATTTTTTCATGTGTTTTTTGGCTGCATAAATGTCTTCTTTTGAGAAGTGTCTGTTCATGTCCTTCGCCCACTTTTTGATGGGGTTGTTTTTTTCTTGTAAATTTGTTTGAGTTCATTGTAGATTCTGGATATTAGCCCTTTGTCAGATGAGTAGGTTGCAAAAATTTTCTCCCAATTTGTAGGTTGTATAAAAGAAAAAAAAAGGTAACAAGTGGTGGTGAGGATACGGAGAAAAAATCCTTATACACTGTTGGTAGGAATGTAAAATGGTGCATCCACTATGGAAATCAGTATGAAAATGCCTCAAAAGATTAAAACTAGAAGTACCACATGATCTAGCAATCCCACTTCTGGGTATTTATACAAAATAATTGAAATCAGGATCTCAAAGAGATATTAGCACTCCCATATTCACTACAGTGTTATTCACAATAGCAAAAATGTGGAGGCCTGGAGCGGTGGCTCACGCCTGTAATCCCAGCACTTTGGGAGGCTGAGGCAGGCAGGTCACAAGGTCAGGAGATCGAGACCATCTTGGCTAACATGGTGAAACCCCGTCTCTACTAAAAAAAATACAAAAAAATTAGCTGGGCATGGTGGCGGGTGCCTGTAGTCCTAGCTATTCGGGAGTCTGAGGCAGGAGAATGGCATGAACTCGGGAGGCGGAGCTTGCAGTGAGCTGAGATCGTGCCACTGCACTCCAGCCTGGGCGACAGAGCCAGATTCCATCTCAAAAAAAAAAAAAAAAAATGTGGAAACAACCTCACTGTCCATCAACGGATGAGCAGATAAAGAAAATGTGATATATATAGACATATAAAGGAATATTCAGTCTAAAAGGAGAAAATCCTGCCATATGCAACAACATATATTAACCTCGAGAATATTATGCTAAGTGAAATAAGCCAGTCACAGAAGGACAAATCCTGCCTGGTTCCACTTATATGAGGAGTTTAAATAGCCAATCTCATAGACACAGAGTAGAATGGCGGTGAACTGCTGCTCAACAGCCATCAAGTTTCAGTTAAGCAAAACGAATAAACTACAGAGAGTTGCTGCACAACATTATACTACAGTTAACAGTACTGTATTGTATTCTTAAAAATAAGAGGATAGATCTTATATTGAGAGGTCTCACCACAATAATGATTTTTTTAAGTCAAACCCTGTCAGGAATTCAACTGAGATTCAGGAAAGCAAAAGACATGAGAAAGAACAAGAATAAAGTGGAGAAAATCGAGCAAAGGAGTAAATATCAAATGCAAGAAAACCAGAAATGTCAAAAGATGTATCAACAATTGACCAAACTGGAGATAGATATTAAGTAGCCAATGAACTGAACCTCCTAGCAAAAAAAAAAAAAAAAAAAAAAAAAAAAAATCAACAAGAAGAAGACAGGGAGAGTGTGGGCATGAGTGAGTGAGAGAGAGAGAGAGTGAGAGTGTTGTGTGTGTGTGTGTGTGTGTGTGTGTCTCAGCCATAACAGCAAACAAAACCACTGGGAATATCACGACTTGAGAATATTCAATACAAGGAATGAAAGCCCTGCCAATGTTCCCTAAAAGAACCTGGTATTTAAGGAAGAAACAATCCCCAGTCCAATATAATGTTCTGTGTAGTCTTCATGTAGGAGTCCAGGATCATCTCCACTGTGTTTTAACATCTGTATGTCCAGACTCTCCTTACTGTTAGACAGGTTTGGATTGGGGTCCATATTTTGAGAACATCTAAAAGCGATCCTCACCTACATGTGGCATGTGAAGCCCTGCTCGTCAAGAGTCAGTGCAGAAGTCACCAGCCGGTCTGGGGAATTACTTGTTTTATCACTGCACAAATGTGGCTAGCTTTCTTTACACCTTTGAGTTCCCAACATCTACCACAATACCTTGCACAGGGTAGGTTCCATACTGGCAAAGTGAAAAGGGAAAACAGAGGAGCTGTCTGGGGAAATGTGGATAGGAATCACCTATTGACAATTACTCTGAACATACTATCAGCTATTAGAGGCCAAGCAATGTGAACTCCACTTACTGCTTTTCTGAATTACGTAAAAACAAGAAGCTGTTAAGTATGCTCTTCCATCTGTCTTTTTTGTTTCCATGACAGAGATATTCAGCCAAGCCTTCCTTTAGTTGTGCTATTATCGCAGGACTTTTCTGTGCCCTCAGCATCTAATACTAAAAGTTTATTTTGTGATTTGACTATGAATTAGTGATGCTTTCTATTTGACATATTTCCATTTCCAATTGTGGAGTTTTTATTCACATTTACAAAATGGAGGTCTGGGATAAAGGACAAGTCTTTGGGAACTAAGTGGTTTTTTAATGTGATATTTACTGGAATCACAAGAACTTTACTCATCTGGGAAAAGAAAGAAGTTGTTTTCTTTAAAAAAACATTGGAGAATAAAATCCTAATTTTATTTCTTATGAAAGTGATTACATTTAAGAGAAAGGCTATAAAATATAAAAGTGGGCTGGACGTGGTGGCTCACGCCTGTAATCCCACCACTTTGGGAGGCTGAGGTGGATGGATCACGAGGTCAGGAGTTCGAGACCAGCCTGACCAACATGGTGAAACCCCATCTCTACTAAAAATACAAAAACTAGGTGGGCGTGGTGGTTTGTGCTGATAAATCCCAGCTACTCAGGAGGCTGAGGCAGGAGAATCGCTTGAATCTGGGAGGTGGAGTTTATAGTGAGCTGAGATCATGCCACTGCACTCCAGCCTGCGCGACAGAGCAAGACTGTTTCAAAAAAAAAAAAAAAAAAAAAAAAAGTGGATCCTTGTCTTCAAATAGGGGATTCAGTTCATTTTTAAAAATATAGTCAATGTTCTAGTATTACTGAGTTAACTTTTCTGAAGGGTAATTATGAGTACTGCCTACTTACTTAAAAAAAAAAAAATCCTGGCCGGTCATGGTGGTTCATGCCTGTAATTCCAGCACTTTGGGAGGCTGAAGCGGGTGGATCACTTGAGGTCGGGAATTCAAGACCAGCCTGGTCAACACGGTGAAACCTTGTCTCTACTAAAAATACAAAAAATTAGCCAGGCATGGTGGCGGGTGCCTGTAATCCCAGCTACTTGGGAGCTGTAATCCCAGCTTAAACCCAGGAGGCGGAGGTTGCACTGAGCCAAGATCATGCCACTGCACTCCAGCCTGGGCAACAGAGCAAGACTCTATCTCGAAAAAAGAAATCTCCTTCTCTAGCTGTTACCAAGACTTCTGCATTTGGCTTCAAACTATATTCTGATGCTGCAGGTCAGTGGTTCTCAACAGTGAATATCAAAGTTCTGCTTGCCTTATCCCAAACCAATGAATCAGAATCTCCAGGGAGCTGAACCCCAGGGCAGCTGTGAAGAGAACTGCAGTGATTTTATTGCTCTTGATTCAGACCTCCATGCCTCTGTTAATGGTGTGCCCTAGCCTGAGAATGTCTTCTCTTTACCACAGCTTCTTCCTGCTCCCAGTGCCAATCAGCACCTCACTCATCCTTTGCAGAAGGCAAAGACCACAGAGTCTAGAGTCAGACTATGTTGGATCCTAGCTCTGACACTTGGCACTAAGTAGACAAGTTCCTTAATCTCATTGTGCTTTAGATTCCTGAGCTGTTCAATGGGAATACTGTAGCTACCTTGCAAGGTTGTCATGAGGATGAAAGGAGATAATATCACAAAGTGCTTTGAGAGTGCCTGGAAAAAGTAAGGGTTTGATGCACTTTAGCTCATTAACTCCTCTCAAAGCCCATCTCAAAAGCTCTCTAAGCTGGTCGCTCTCTCCTCTTTGAACCTCTTTTTAAACTATTTTACCTTGGGTTTATAAAAATTATAACTTTTTATTTTGAAATAGTTTACAATTCACAAGAAATTGCAAGAATATTACAGGGTTCCCATGTATCTTTCACTCAGCTTCCCCTGATTACACCCTACATAACAATAACACATTGTCAAAACCAGGAAATTGACATTGGTATAATATTAGTAACTAAGGCACAGACTTTGTGTGGATTTCATCAGCTTCCATGTGTGCTCTCTGTGTGCCTATGCATGTGTACAGCTCAACCATCCTTATCCTTCTACTACTCTTAACGCATCCTAGCAATGACTGATCTGTTCTCTATAATTTTGTCACTTTGTGAATGTTGTAGAAATGGTATCATATAGTAGGTAACCCTTTGAGATTAGGTCTTTTCATTCAGTTCAATGCCCTTGCAATCCATCCAAATTGTTCTAAGTGTCAATAGTTAATCTGTTTATTGCTGAACAGTATTCCATTGAATAGACATACTGCCATTTGTTTAACTACATAACTTTTTAAAGGGTATACAATATACACAATTTATGAAATTTATTACATTTAGCCTTGTATTAAAGTTTTTTTTTTTTTTTAAACCTGCTTCTGTAAGCCCTGCTGTTGATTATAAGCTCTTAGAGGTTGGAAATCATGTACTATTGATTTTTTTTTTCCTTAAGTTCTAATTATCATGCATCTTCACCCTCTGACCCAGGAATACAATAAAGGATAACCCCTCCCCACCAGAACCTAAGTTGAAATTGCCAAACCACAAACACCAGCTTACTAAATATAATACTATGGTTTTACATCAAGTCTTTGCTGGAATAAACTTCCCTTGCTTTGATATGGAAATGTATTAACAAAAGCCAAAATTCTAAGATTTATTTCACTGTCAAAACTGCAAACTTAAAAAATGATTAATTAAAAGCGACTCATGACTGAGAAAACACACTAAGCAATATAAAACAAGATACAAAAGCATTTCATAATATGTATGAAACCAACTACTTAAAAGAAAACTGCAAGGGGTGGGATAGGAGACACTTGAAAACACTAAAACATTAACACCGCCTTTGGATGAAAGAATTCTGGATGACTTTATTTCTGCTTTTTATACCCTTCTCACTGCCCCAAGTTTTAATATATCTTTGGCTAAAGAAAAAAAAAATTGTGGAAACAAATTAAAGGCAGGCACTTTTCCTTCCTATTTGACACACACAAGTTATATATGAAAACATCTTCCTTGTTAAAATTCAAACAATTTGGAAACAATATCCTCTTTAACTCTATCTGATCTGGCTTCTTTCCCTACCACTCCATCAAAAACTGCTCTAGCTAAGGTCAGTGGTAAGTTCTGTGCTGCCGGTCGCCATCACTGATCTCCACTCCTAATTGTACTTGACCTGGCAGCTAACCACTCCCTTCTTGGTGAAATTCTTTGCCTTGACCTCAGTGACATCATACATCAATTTTCTTTCCACTTTTCTGGTAGCAACTTCCTCATCTCCTTTGCCAGGTTTTCATCTTATACTTGACCTTACAGTCGCATATCCCACATTTAAGGAGTAGAGTTATTTCCATCTCCTTGAGGATGGAATATCTACGTATATTATCTGGAATTCTCTCCGTGAGGATCTGTGTCTTCTCCCTTGTTTATTTATTTAGTCATTTATTCATATCAGTATGGACTTTGGATATTTGTTTGATGTTTGAATTATATTTTATTATATTAAATAATGTTATAATATAGTAATTAATACTGCTCAAATTGTCCCAGTTTTGGTGTTTGGGAGCTCCTGTATCCCTCTGACATACCCTCATCACTTTGTTTTCTGGGCACTTGTTTACTCTTTTGCACTACAAGTTATCTCACCCAGCTCATCTCGTACATTCAGTGCCCCAGCTCTAGAAACATTCATTTCTCCAAGTAGCTCTAGTTCTTTTAACTGGATCGAAACCAATGTCTGTGGGGTACGTTCATTGCTATGAGGGTGCAGACCTATTTTTTAGACCTCATTATTGCCTATCCCTAATTCAGACACATCAAAACAGGCTAACTGGGAATATCCTTCATTATACTGCATAAAATGATGGACAAACTGAAAGATAACACTCTTCCTATATATAATTCATAAAAGCAGTCCAAATATAATAAAGATGATGCTCTTTCTTAGTTTTAGGCTATGTATTTTTCAAGTACATTTTCAATATGTAATTGCCAATATTTCAACAAGTTAGTGAAGTTAGTGAAAACACAAGATTTCCAATGTCAACCAGAAAAGGAGGAAAATTCAGAGCCAATATGTTTAAAATGGAAATGAATGCTATTCAAACAGCATATTTCCACTAAGGAAGTGATTAGATATTCTTAATGCTTACAGCCACAAATTTTTTCCAATAAAAACTAATGTGAAAAGAAAACTGGAATATTCAGGTTTTGGTGATCTACTATGTATAGCACTACAATGTACTAGATCAGAATAGAGTAATTCTGCTGCCAAATAGACAAAATCTCCTTTGGTGATGTTATAGAATTTAAAACAGGATAAAAATATTCTCATTTAGGCTAGCTGTAAGGAAAAAAAATCTAGGTGTTACTTATGACATAGTTTAAGAAAAGTCAAATAGCTTATCTATCCAAGCAAGCCCCACACTTGATGTAGGTCCCACTATGGGAACAGGTACAGTGAAAGTAAAAATTATGTAAATACAGTAAGATTTTCCTGAAGAATCTTTGTTAAAATAGAAGGAATATTCCTAACCAAGGTCTGACATTTGTTCTTTTTCTTTTCTCAATGATTGCAACAATCTCTTTAATCAATCGGAAATTACATGCCTCTAAGGCTTTACGTTTAAATAAATCAAACAGGGTATTAAATTATCTTTAATATGAATCAGCATCACCATCACAAAATAATGAAACAATCCTCCATTTTACTTCTTCTTGACTCATGACTTCCTTTTACATCAATAAATCAGAAGGCAAAAAAGACCTTTATCATGGTAATGAAACCCAAGTGCTATTTTGGGAAAATTGAGAGGCAGCTAGAAGAGAAGCTTCTGAAGAGAGATTTAATGGCACTGGAAGATGGAAGAAACAGGTTGGGGAACATCTTTTTGGCAAGAACAAGTTGTGATGATTGTGCCACTGATCTCTGATAGGAAGTCCTTCTGCTTTGGAATCAGCATCTTTACCCCTGCCTGACACCAGAGAGCACACTGGCCCATCGGTACAAAGGCGGCCACCCTTTGTGCTAGACTTTAACTTTTGATTGCCTCCTCTTAAAAAAAAAAAAAGTTAATGGCAGCACAGTGCTGTGAACTTTTGTTATCCTGATGCAACGCTGTTTTACTTTATAAAAACTTTATGCTGCCTTCCTTCAAAGCAGTCACCTCACTCTATTCTACTGCAAAACTCTGCCTCTGTCACAGTCCCCTCCATACTTTTCTCCCAACTCTGCTGAAAATCTGCTTACCAGCAAGCACAAGAAAATCAGTCTCATCATTTTGGTCACAAGATGTGATTCTTTGGCCCATCACCTTTTCTTTCCTCCCCCTACTCCACTGGCCACCCACTCCACCCTCTGCTCCTCTTTCTCTCTCACTGGATCAGCTACTTGCCTCCCTGGCCTGAGAGCCCCATGCCATGCTGGTATTGAGCCACAGAGCTCAGGAAACAGTTTTTGGGGTCAGATGGAGACAAGCAATCCTTTGAGGGAAAGGTTGTGAGGGCAAAGCCAGAAGCAGGCTGCCTGACAGAAGTTCGTTCCCTCTTCTGCAGCCTGCCTGCTAGGGCCAGGTCCCACTCACCAATCACTGGAAATATCAGGAGGCAGCTCATGCTAGAAAGAACACACAGGCTCTTTAAACAGATAGGCCCTGCCTTGCCACTTCCTGGCTGTGTAACCAGTAGTGACCCTCTGAATTGCTGCTTCCTCATTTTAACATGGGGAAAATGATGACTACATTAATTATTCTGAGGACAAAAATGAGATTAATGTATGTGGAATATGGTAAAAGAACCCATAAAAGGTGTGCTATGATGCATCTTGGAAATCTACCTAAGGCTTTTTTGTCTACCCATTAGCACTTAAAATCATAGTCAAAGACATTCTTCTTTTTAAAAGGTGTTTTACAGTCAAATTCCTTTTAGATTAAAAAAAAAAAAAGAAGAAGAAGAGAAACACCAGCTGACACTCTAGCATTTATGCTTAAAATTTTCAAACTCTTAGCCTTGAGAGTGATGAGTTTTTGATGTTTTTGAAAAAGACATGATTATTATCCCTGTTTCCAAGATTTTTATACACTAGAAGGGAACACAGTCAGGGTTGCCTATTCAATGTGCCAGGAATCAGTCACTGAAATAGCCAAAGACATATGCTCACCAGGTGATATAGGCCTGCTTGAACTCGGAGAAGGTGTGTAAGGGATCGGGCTGGACACAGTGCGAGGTCTTAATCCTTGTGCAGACATCTCATTAAAATACCTAAGAGGAGAGAGGAGGAAACGATAAAACCACCTGCATTTAAATAGGCCTTAGGAGAGTTTTTAAGAGAAAATGTTTGGGGTTCACACCTTGAGGTCAAAATCCTGAATGTTTAGAGTGATGTTATAGTTAAAAGGCATTTATAAAATGGACTCCTGAGTCACACCGCTCTGCTGTTTGACAAACCTCACTCCAAGGGTCACCAGTTGGGAGACCTAGGATGTTTTAGCTCAGGATGGAAGCCAGGTGAAAGAGGTGCACCACACCACAGAGAGGACCAGTTTTTCCTCCATCACACAACAGCTATGTTGAAATTCACCTCCACTGTCCCAAGAGTTACAAAGACACTCACATGTTAGTGGTGACATTTAAATTGTTATTTGAAACTCAAAACCAAGCAAGCCCTCTGAGATTTATGTCATCAAATTAAAGCCTACAGATACTTATTCCTATGAACTGAGTATCAACTGTTTACAAGCAAGCCCTGCTTAACAGACAGTCACACACTAGGATTTAATAAGCCTTGAGTACTGAACACCTACAGCAGGTCACGCTTAGTCACACCATGCTGAGTCTGCCTTTTTCCTGGATTCAGAAGTCACATCAGACCTGAAAATGCTGAAGTGTGATCATCAGGAACATCAGCTTACACTCTGTGAAATGAGCATGGTGCGCTGACGAGGAGAAATTGCTGCTTGAGAGACTTCCTGATAAACCATCCTGCACGAGCGACCCACCCTAGTGGCACCAGGTGGAACTTCTTGTACTCCACACATCCACTAGTAGACTAAGAGGCATCTTGTGGTCTCTTAAGTGCCGGACAATTTTCTTTCTCCCAAATGTAGTATCATTGTTCCTAGTAGGGAAAGTATTTATTGGGCAGCTGTGGATAATCTGACCTACAAAAGGTAGGGCAAACTTTCTGAAATGAATACCGGTTCTGGAAAAAAATATTTATCTGGAAGGCTGAAATTGCTTCACTATTGACACTGCAGTCAAAAGACATATTTCCTTAGAGTGTATCTTACCCCAAACTGGGTCCCAGATGCTATATATGATCTGTATCTGAAGATAGTTAATAAGCTATTTAGTATTCTAGCTGGCAGTTTTAGTCAAATGGTTCTTAAGGGATATAGATTTTAGGAAGAATGGGGAACTGTAGTTTTATAAGGCAAAGTTTTGAGAAAGAATAATCTTTATTATTTCCAAATGAAGAGGCATACACATAGGTATTTAAAATAGAATAACCTGTTACTGTTTTCCTTTTTTTCTCATTATAAAAATATAGACTTTCATTATAGATAATCTTAAATTTTTAACAATAAAGTCACTGTCCACAGCAAACTGATCAACAGCGTTGTTAGTCCTCTAGATCCATTCCATAATAGAAACAGAGTACAGATGTGCTAACATTGCCTACATGTTTTGGACAGCACGTATTGGCATCAACAGGCAGTACTACTCGTCACAGCCATGAGTAGGCCTGGTTTCAGACACTGAATGCCCAGTCCTGCTGGAGGGACCCCCAAGAATACTCAGTCTCACCTCTCACACTAAGATACCGCCCATGTAACGCCAGGGCATCGCTGATCCAGAATGGAGAATTTCCTTGCAGAAATGATCTGGTTCAGAGAAAGGTTAATTCTCTAACTTCTGGGTTTCTCTGCAGATTGAACATCTTTTTCCATTTATACTTGTTTGTTATCTTACCACTACCTTATCCCGAATTTAGAGAGGAGGAAGAGGGAAGAGAACTGGATGAGGCACAAATACTTGAGACCATTTCTGCTAGTTAACCAAAGGATGGGTCTGTTATTCCAGATCACTCACAGTGGGGCAATGAGGGGATTCATTGCTTAGGTTTGAACAGATGAATGCAATCCATTAGTTTTATTTTTTTTTAAGTGGCTACAAAAAGGCTCAAAAGTTATCAAGTGTGTTAAGGCAAGTCCTTGGGATTTCAACAACCCCCACCTGTGTCCCTACTGATTCTTTTCAACCTACGCATGCACTGTTTTCCTCGAGCTGCACTATAGCTTGCTTATCCTTATACAGTACAGGAATTAATATGTTCCCATGCTTTAAACAGATATGACACTGGATTAAACTAATTCAACAACAAATGCAAACTCTGCTGCTTCTCTAATATAACCCTGTCTCCATTTCTCTCCCCACCAAATGATTTTAGAGAGGTGATTTTTTTCATCTTTTTGTGTTTAAGGAAAATGTTCAATCTTTATCCCATTCTTGGCATCTACTATAACGCAGTGGCATTCATTAGCACAATAAATACATATTTAAGCCATCCCCTTATACACCTAACAGGATACCAAAGAAAACCTCTGTAGAACCTGGGTTTTATTTTTTAAACAAAAACAAGGCTCATAAGACATGCACACACCTTTCGTCGTCCATTTCTAAGCTGGACTCACTCTCGGAGAGCTGTCGACAGAGGGCTTCTCTTCTCTCCATCTCCCTCTGCAGCTTCCTCTGGAGCCTCAAGTTCTCTTCTCTCATGTGACGTTCCTCCTCCAGATACTGTGCCATTTTCTCTGAATCTGAAAAGTCAGAGTTTTCAATTAAACCATGTTTCATGCAATCATATCCAAATCTAAAAAAAAGGAGACTTCAGTTCAGCCCCTATGCCATAGACAGAGGGAATTGTTACAAGATGGTCTTTCTGGTCGGGTATGGTGGCTCACACTTGTAATCCTGGCACTTGGGGAGGCTGAGGAAGGCGGATCACCTGATGTCAGGAGTTCGAGACCAGCCTGGCTAACATGGTGAAACTCAGTCTCTACTAAAAATACAAACATTAGCTGGGCGTGGTGGCAGGCACCTGTAATCCCAGCTATTCGGGAGGCTGAGGCAGGAGAACTGCTTGAACTCAGGAGGTGGAGGTTGTAGTGAGCGAGACTGAGCTACTGCACTTCAGCCTGGGCAACACAGCAAGACTCTGTCTCAAAAAACAAAGAAACAAAAAAGATATCTGGTCTTTCTCATTCTCCCACACATAGATGAGATATGGATTTAAAGTTTATCTCAAGTATAAAAGTTTACCAATTATTTGCATTTAGAAAAAAATATAAAAGGCAGTGTTGGCAGGTTAGGCATCGTCACTCCCACTCATTTGCATTCTAAAGTGCTTTAAGTAGAAGAGGAAATGGTGGAATTGGAGTCTACAAGTAGCCACTACAAGAGCTCTTCTCTACATTGCCAGAGCTGGGAAAGGAGGGAGGCCCAGATTCTGCCCATGGGCTCTGCTCTAGACACCAGTTTGGCTGCCTCTCAACTCCAGACACAGCAAGCCATCTAGGGGAGCCTGTGACACTTGTTGGCATTCCCGCTGTGCACAGTGGTGGCGGCACACCAAGAACCACTGTACTAGAACATGTGATAACAGTTAACATTCTTTTCACGAGAATAGACATTGACATAGTAAACTAGAAAACTTCAGATTAATATTTCCAAGTCTAATTTGTGGTGTGTGTGTGGCTGTCTGTTACCCTGACTCACACACACGTAGCGGCAGAGGGCAGGTGAAGTCCTGTATATAGCTGGCACCTCTAGGGATGGCATCTTGCTTATGACAAATACCCCTTCCTCAGGAGCTCCCCCACAAATCCAGGTCTCTGCTACAGCACCCATCTCCCAGGACAGAGCTGACTAGCCCTGGCACTAGCTGTTGGACCCAGGCTGAGCCACTTAGACTACCTCTCCCAGGAATCTGAAATGGGGAACTGACATCTTTATGGGGATCCAGGGTCTGCTTCAGCTAAGTTCCCCGGAGCCATCAAAACTCTTGTCCTTCCAAGGTTATTCTTCACAGGATTCTGTGGCATACTCCACAACCTTCCAAAAAAAGAAAAACACGTCTTCCTTCCTCTTTTGACAACCTCCCCACCGCCCCCATTCCTTTCTGGTTTATCTCACACAGAATCTGCTACCAAGTAACCAGAATTATCTAATACAAAATGTGGTGTCTACCCATCTTCTTGCTTCATTTCTTTTCCTTGTCTTTGTCAATGAACTTGGGAAAAGTAAAATCTCCATATACTTCTCTTTTCTGAAAAGCAGCTACAAATTCAGTGGCCATGAGCACGTCTAAGAGAGTTTCCTGTAGGCTGCTGTTCCATATTGTCAGTTCGGTCCAAATTTAGGGAAGAAGGAGGGAGCTGAATGCCACAATGAGCATTTTTCTCCCACAGACTGACCCTATTTCAACTCTCAATGCCCATCAAATTAGTTTCAGTTTTAAGCAACTCTACAAAGGTCTGGCATTTTAGCCAATAAAGACTTCTGATAAGTATTCAATGATTTCCAAGACAGCATCATTACAGATATACAAAAGCTCTTGAATATCCTTATTTTAGAAATTCAAATAAAAATACCAAAATTATTAAACACTATTACGTGCACTAAACACTAAATCCCTTGGCTGTTTCAACATAGCCAGAAACCCCGCTGTCTAATCCAGACACAAAAATCTCTTTAATTGAAGGCATGCTGGGAAAATATTTACAAAGTACACTTTTAATATAAACGATTTAAATTATTTGATCCCAAATATGCAAGCATGCAGAATTTTTCACTTGGCTCTACAGGAAACAAAAGATTGACCCCTTGGAGTATTTGCTGTTTCTAGAACTAGAAGGGTGACTGTCAGAGCAAGCTGACTTTCTTTTCCATAATAGGACTCTTATAATGCCTTTTACAGGAAGGGTGCTGGAGACTACCATGAAATCCTTTGCAGAATTAACATTAGTGAGGCTCCAAGAACAATAACTTCAGAGAACATTGTCTTTCAAAGAAAAAATGGCAATCCTTTAGCATCGGGGAACTCAGCAGGGGGATCCTTAAACAATATATCTATAGATAAGAATGTCCCCTGCAGTGATCGGCTGGGAAGACTTCCTGGCAGTTCAGCAATTGACCTAGAAGACAGAGGCACAGAGAAGGCACCAGGTCCAACACCTCTGGGTGTCACTGACTCACACACAGAAGGCTGTCACCAGAGCATTCCTTGGCTGCCCCCTGCTGGCACACAGCCTCACCTGACCAGATTTGTTCCTATGAGTCCTCCTCCTTCCTCTTGCACACAGAACTCCCTAGTACTTAGGGGCCACAGCTTATATTTCCCCAGGTCTACAGCCATCTCCCAATATAGTAGGCCCTCACTTAACATCATCCACAGATCCTTGGAAACTGTGACTTTAAGTGAAACAACATATGTATGCCATAGGAACTTAACTCTTGTTTGTATCAGTTAGCCTACGGTAAAATTGGTTTGGTTATACAGAAAGTTGTTTCACTTAAAGTCTCAGTTTCCAAGAACCCAAGGATGATGTGAAGTAAGGACTTACTGTATTTTAGTCAAAGATGGTGTGAACTGCGGATGACTTCCACACAGATTCCAAAGAGGTGGCTCCCAAATGATCCAAAGATCTGCATGGCTTGCATTCCCTTCCAAGTTCACAGTTAGAAAATACCAGTGCCCAGACTATACCCCAAGCCAATTCAGTCAGAATTCCAAGGATGAGTCCTAGCCACTGGTCTATTAAAAGCTGGCCAGGCGATGCCAACGTTCAAACATTGCTGAGAACTGTTGAGAGAGAGGTTCAAGTTCAGATGCAGTCAAGCTTGGAGGGTGAGGAGCCACCTGCCATAGCTGCATCCAAAAGAGGCCCAGGTCATCTAACCTAAGGAGAATGCAAGGAATGGATGATGAAAAGTCACTAACACATCCTTTAGGCCCAATCCAATCACTGCAAGCAGCTAAGTGCCACTGCTGCTTCTTTAGTTCAGCTTTCTCTGTCCTCACAAAATCAGAAATAGCACTTACAAATGCCTCTGTTAGTATCTGCAGTCTCTTCAGACTAAACAGTGCAGTATGGAGATAGTAGTAAGCATACATTCTCCCCAAATTCCTTCTGAAATTTTTGCTAGGGGCACGATGGAGCAGTATAAAGGAGGAGGAAAAATGCAAACTGACAGCACGGGAAAAAGTTCAGGAAGGTGCTGAAAGATGTTTGTGTACTCACATGGTAAAAACTCAAAAATCTTAAAATAACTAATATTTGAGAACTATTTGATATATCTCATTTGATTTCCACCAAACACACATAGTAATTAACAACCTGAGGTCCACATCAGGATTACTTATATATATATTTTTTTAATATGCTCCTTTTTTACTCCATGGAGTAAGCCCAGAAACCTGTATGGTGCTAGAATAGTGATTCCCTAAAGATGTCCACATGCTAATCCCCAAAACCTATAAATGCTACTAACCTCACTTGACAGAAGGGCCTTTGCAGAAGTGATTAAGTTAAGGGGCTTGAGATGGGTAGATTATCCTAGATTATCACAGTGGGCCCAACATAATCACAAGGATCCTAATAAAGGGAGGCAGGGGAATCAGAGTGAAAAGAAGATGTAACAACAGAGGCAGAGGTGGGGTGGTACGACTGCAAGGAAGGGGCCACAAGCCAGGGAATCCAGGCAGCCTCTAGAGCTGGAAAAGGCGAGGAAACAGAGGCTCCCCAACAACCTCCAGAAGGATGGCTGCCCTGATGACACCCTGATTTTAGCCTAGTGAGTCCCATCTTAGAACTGTAAGATGGTTAAGTTTGTATTGTTTTGAGCCTCTAGGTTTGTGGTAATTTGTAATAGCAGAAATAGGAAAGTACTACACCATATTTCTCAAAGGCTCCAAGGATGATACTGATACACCATCCCAGATGCTCCACGGCACAAGAATTTGTAAGGAACTTCAGAGACGAAAACAAAGGTAGGAACCACTGAACTTTTTAAAATGCACATTCCATGTGGCCCAACAAATCCACTTCCTGGAATCTATCCTGAAGGTGTTCCTGCACAGGTATCAAACACGTGTATAGAGATGTTCATTGCGGTTGTAGCATAGCAACCAAAAAGGGTCCACTGGTATGGGACTAGTTGAATTATGGCATATTCATACAATCAAATACTATGCAGCCTTTAAATAAGGGATGAAGGCAGCTTTGTATGTATCAGCAGGGGAGAAAACTACAATGCATAGTAAGCGAAAAGAGAAAGGTGTAAATGAGTGTGCTCATTGTGTTACTACAGCTGTCCCTCAGAACCTGTGAATCCCAAGTATACCAATATGTGTGCATACTCAGGTCCTGTAGTCAGCCCTGAGGAACCCACAGATAGGAAAAGTCAGCCTTCCACATGTACAGGTTTGACATCCCATGAATACTGTATTTTCCATCCATCTTTGGTTGTGGATGCAGAACCTCCAGATACGAAGGGACAACTGTATTTATTGAAAAAAAAATCCACAATATAAGTAAACTAGCACAGTTCAAACCCGTGTTGTTCAAGGGTCAACTGTATGTGTATAAATAAGTTTATATACAAATATATCTGGAAGAATATAGTACAAATGTATAATTGTGGGAACAGGGTAGCTAGAGAATAGGAATGAGAGAAAGACCCATTTTTTCACTGCATACCTTTCACTGAATTATCTGTTCAAAAAAATAAATTTGAATAGCCAAAAAAAAAAAAAAAAAAAACCACAAATAGGAGAGACCCAAGAAACTACACAGGGACATAATCAAATATTCAGAAATCTAGTCCTTTGATTTTTCAACTCAACATCTTGGCCTCTTCCAAAATATTAAGTATAAATTTCAAAAGCATTTACTCTTCAAATAGCATGAACAAATGTCAGCTAAGGTTGAATGTAGTAGTAAGGAAGGTAAACACTACTCTCTGCCTTAATATTTTGAAAGTGCTTTGAGGTCTGCTGCAATATTTTTGTTAGCACAATCCTAGAGATAAACATGGCAGAGAAGATTAAAAATGTTACTTGTGATCCTGGATGTTCCTGAAATTACTTTAATTATTTTCTGGAAGTATTCTAAATGGTTTTGTTCTCCCCTACTATAACACTCAAAAAAAAAAAAAATTCCATTCCAGGATGATGAACTTAAGTAAACATGCATCAGTAATATATGAATTTAATTACTGCAAATTCAACAGTAATTAAATGTTGGTAATACCCTATATTTGGTAAAGTTATTAATTCTACAGGCATGAAACTAGTGAAACCAGAGGCTACGTACGCTGTAACTGAGCAGCTCTCAGTTGCTTCTTCAGCCGTTCCACTTCATTCTTTAAAAACCTGATGTGACGCATCATATTTTCTGGAGAATCAATCTCCATGGAGATATCTCTAGGCGATGGTGGAGCAGAGACGGGCTGGTCTAATTTTTCCTGCAGGATTCTTCATTGAAAAGAAAAATTCCAACAATGACTAACAGTTTTCCTTGAAAAGACAAAACAACATACTAGCTGGCAGGTTTGTTTTAAAAGCAAACTCCTGTTTACTGCCAGAATTCACAGGGTTGCTTAATTCCTCTGCCCATTTTACATCAAACTTCTGCCCTTACGTGGTGTCTCACTTCAAAGGGCAGAGCTGATTCTAATCTCCCTTTTTCCTTTTAAATGACTATTAAATGTTTTAAATTAAACAATACTGAAAAGTCTTTATTTAACAACAGGATCTGATAATTATGCCTGGAATACAGTATGCACTTAGAAATACCTGCTGACTCAATGTTCAACTTCTTGGGTTTAGTGCATGAAGATGCTGAGGAAATTCCATTTTCTTACGGCTTTTGATTGAAGCTTCTAAGCTACTATGAATCTCCTTGGAGGGTAAAGTAACACAGAGACTCAACTTCTAAAATTCCCTCCTGCAAAACTAATTGCAAGGGCATGGCAAACTGGACTAGCGGCCCTTTGCTTTTGGCCACAGCAAAGGTAAAAAGTTAAAAACAAAACCAAAATTGTTAGGTTAATAATTAGTAGTGCCACCTTCTTTACCAATTATTTTTATGTTGAAGGATATAAAATACTGATATTCAATAGCTCTGACCTACAAAATGCAAACTTCCATACTGTTCAACCCAATAATTTGGCACTAATACATGTAAAACCTCCAACTGCCTTTTACAAAGTCTTCCTTTGGCAGCAGATCTCTAAATCCCTTTCCATAGCTGCTGGGGTTTTTGTTTTGTTTTTGCTTTGTACCTTTGAGTTTGTCCAGGAGCAAACTGAGTTACCTCCATCCAGGTCTACCCTTGAGAAAACTAGTGTGTTAAATATTATAATGGTCCCTGCATTTATTACATAAAATGACTTTTCGTAATTCAACTTATTAGTACTGCTACAATAATACCTATCAGTAAAGCATAGTGGATATGATTATAACAAGTATTTCTTATAGATATAGCTCTAATTTTCACTTTTCTTAAAGCTATGTGGTATGCCTGTATTTTGCAAATGTAGACATGAACTCAAAACAATTACAAATATGCATCCAAACCAAATACTTAAGGAGGAAGGGCTCTGGGTAGCAAACAAAAGATCTTGGTGAAGTAGATTAATGACCATTTTTAAGAAACTCACTTTTTACACCCGTACACACATTCCACATACAGAATCTTCTTCCCATTCTTACAAGCCCTGCCTCACACACTCCAAAGTACTCAGTGCTTGAAAATAAGGGCTTAACTATCTTGCACAAAGAGGTTTAAGAAATGTTTGCTGTTGAGTGACATTCCACTTCCAAGTACATACATTTTATATAAAGAATCCTAGCCTTAAGTATGTAAAGGTATTTCTTTACAGTAGGTTTTAAAACAATTTTATTATTAAAATCTCAGGCTTCCTAAAGAAGTAAATTCCAGAGATGTATAAATAATAGTACGCAGTATACCCTATGTACTTTACAAAACAACTGAGGAAGCCAGTTCAATAAGGTGGAAAGTTGAAATTGCAACCATTCTTGAAAATACTTTAAAGGTGAACAATAGCAGCATGACTAATTCTCTCATAGCCTTGTAACACCAAATGAAAAGAAATTCTACTGGGACAGTATGATAGCAAAGAATAAAGAGGTGCCCAACATGGGAATAGTTCAGAAGGCTTTCAACATTTTTTTTCCTTTGGCCAATTAAAATGATGTGCATCACCAAAGAATTAAGGTGTCCTACTGCTATTCCTCAGTCACACCCAGAGCAGCAACACACACACACACACACACACACCCATACTGAACAGCAAGACTAAACAAACCGCTTTTCAGCTTCAAGCTTATCCATCCTTTTCCAGAGGCGATTAACTAGTGCTTCTTGTTCTTGTTCCAATGTATTTTCAAGGTCAATCTTCTCCCGTCTCAACTAAAGGAAGGAAAAAAGTGTTACCAAAGTGTCAGGCCACTTATACTTTGTTAATACATTTTTTGATTGAACAATTAGGACCCCTTTTCTTGGAGAATACTGCAAACATGTGGCCAATTTTCTGGCACAAACATATTAAGTGCATCTAGTTCTTAAACTTTGAAAAAAACTAGATAGGTTCATTCTTGGATGTTAATGCTTAATTGTTGTCTGGTACATGAAATGCATTGCTTGTTTCAGCATTTATTCAAGGCAAGTGGAAAGTCCTCCTTAGAGAGGTCTTTAGGGGAGTTCGGTGTACTAGTCATATCAGGACTTTTCTGGGCTTGTCCCTTACAGTTCTGGGCTTACAGTTATTCTTCCGGGCTTGTCCCTTACAGTAAGTCAGAAAGGTTATATTACTATTCATATAAATAACTCTTAAAAGCTCCCAAACACTCTACATACTGGCTAATGGAGATAAATAAACATGTACTAAGATATAAAAACACGCACAAAATATGATAAACACCAAATCCACAATACTGGTTACTCTAGGTTACTCTAAGGATTTAGGGAAGGAAGAAAATTTGATTTGGGGGAGGCTTTGCAGTTGCGGAGGGAACCCCAACAGTGTTCTATTTCAATGAAGCAAACATGGGAAAATTCAATTAATCAATATTGAGCAATATGTAATAAATACTGAGAACAATGACTGGATAATGGGGGCATAGCAGTGAATCAAGGAGTCAGGAATTTCTGCCCTCATGGATCTTCCTTTTAGTGGGGGTCAAGACAGTAAATGAAACAATTATATACTTGTGAAACAGTATGAAACAGATATGTAGAAAAAGAGGGCTGGTAAGAGAGACTGAAAGTGCAAGAGGTTTCATAGCAATGAGTAGAGGACATGTATTCTATCATTCTCCGTACTTGACATATTAAATAATTAAAAATTTTTTCTTAATGCAAAGAGCCTATGCTACTGCTTCCATGTTATTTCTTCAACCAGTGGCAATTCACCTTTCAATGGTTGAGTCAACAAATTATTCTTGATTGCACAAAGATGTTAATAGATTCCACATTTCCTTAGTGGGTCACAGAGGCAAGCTCCTCATCCAAAGATCCCGTGTGTATACATAAGGCAGAACCAAAAACATGAATAAAATGTAGTCTTTTAAAGCAATCAAACATCAGAAAATAATATCCAAAGTGCGGTTTTACTTTTACAGCCAAATGACATTCCCCTTTCTGAAACTCTTCGTAGCTTAGTCTTAAGAAGCAACAATCTCAACCTCCCGAGATGGTTAGTACTACCAACACCACCCAAGGTCCTTAAGGAGCTCACAGAGAGCAAAAGACTTGCCCATATTCACACAGGAGCACAGGACAGCCAATGAAGGTGAGCAGCTACTTGTTCCACATCTGAGCCAGAATGAATATGCATAAAATCAGCTGCCTCAGAACCTGAACAATCAAGACCTGAGAGGAAATGATATAAGGATAATGATATCATTATGTTCTAAGTTTAGAGAAAAAAAGGAGGTCTCAAACAGATGGGAAAAACTCTCCTGTGACGACACAGCTCTAGGCTTTTCTTTTCTCCTCTCAAAGCCATAAAAATAGCTGTAGAAACAACTGGCCATTTGAATATTTAAAATATTTCCTACAAACAGGTACAGTCACAAAACAGCAGCCAATGCATTGGGGGGAGACTCCTGTAATTACACTTCTGTCTTATGATCATAGACTTTGAGCCAAATGCCTAGGTTCAAATCCCAGCTCCATCAATCACTAGTTAGAAAATGTTGAGAAAATTACTAGATATAATTTTACCATTTGCAAAGTAAGGGACAAAAATAATGTCTGGCTCATTGGATTACAGTGAGCATTACATTTGTAAATCTAGGTAAACCATTGATAACTAATGGGCACTTAGAAAGCACTCAACACTTTTTGGCTATGATAATCACTATATCTGGATATCCGTTCTATTTCTGTTCCAGCCCTCCACAATGTAAGTCCTACAAGGGACTTGTCTTGTCTGTTTCATTCCTTAGTACATCCTCAGTATCTAGAATAACATCTGGCACCTTATAGGCCATCAATATATATTAGAGGGCTTATTTGACAAGTGAATAAGCCATGATTATGTAGCAAACTGGAAACAGAGCTTCAAAATATGTTGTTTTTGCATGGCAGAATTTGATTCTGAAGAACAGTTCAAGGGCAAAAAGGAGGAGGTGCAGGGTGTCAAAATAAGTCAAATATATTGTGCCGCAAAGTTGGGACCCCACTAACGTGCAAATGCTCCTCAGAATGTTAAACAATTCCTACCTGCAGCAACAATGAGAAATTGTGGGACCCTTATATGACTCCTATTAAACCTTGTGATTCTCTGCATTCATCATACACTTTGGCCAAGCTTTGAAGTACAATCCACAGTCATTTCTTTTCTTTTCTTGAGACAAGGTCTCGCTCTGTTGCCCAGGCTGGAGTGCAGTGGCACGATCATGGATCACTGTAGCCTTAACCCACTGGGCTCAGGCATTCCTCCTGCTTCAGCCTCCCAAGTGGCTGGGACTACAGGCACACACCACCACACCTGGTTAATTTTTTATTTTTTGTAGAGATGAGTTCTTGCTACGTTGCCCAGGCTGGTCTTGAATTCCTGGCCTCAAGCAATCCTCTGTCTAGGCCTCCCAAAGTGTTGAGATTACAGGTGTGAGCCACTGCCCCCAGCCTCAGAATTATGTTTATTTAAACAAATAACTATGAGGCATTTACCTTTAAGGATCCCAATTCCAGTGTTTAAAAGCATCATAGGAGGTAGAGGTAGTTGATAAGCAAGAAAAAAATTCAAGCAGGCATCATTTTGCGGTATGATGTCTAGTGGAGAAATGCATACTCAATTACTTTTAGAGTAAATACTCATAATACTAATCAATAACTCTGAGAAGCAAAATCAAGACAAAGCTGTCTTTACCCATATGTAACTAATGAGGCATGTGACTCTGAGCAGGTCACTCAGCTGCTGTAGCTCCGATGCCCTCATCTATGAAATGAGAAGTTTGGCCTGGATGATGCCTGTGGTCCCTTTCTGGCCTATCCATTCTGTCATTCCCTGCCCAATGTCAAGACAGTAGCTGTCTTCAGTCGGGGCTAGTTCCGTCACACGCATTTAGAGCCAGAAGCAGCATGGCAAATCATCATTTTAAAGCTGAGGAAACCACTAGCCTGCAAGATGACATGACTCAGGCAGTCATGCCACCAAGATAGGAACGGATATCGGTCACCATGGCAGCCAAAATTGCTGGGTCCTGTCCAACCAGCAAGTACAGAGGAACTTGAGGGAAACATGGATTTAGGGCAAATCAAGCTGTGGTTTGTGGGCCTATCTCCTTTGCCAACAATACTTGGGAGTAGCAGAGTTGGGGGTAGCTGATGCCAGGGAAATAAGGACAGTTTAGGGAGTCTATGAGCGATTTTGGAAACAGACGAGATCAGGAAACATGGGTTGGAGCTCTACGTGAATCTCGGCTCCTTCCTGGCATCTGTTGGTAGAGTTACCAGCTATCAATCTACTGCCCACCTCAGCAAACGTGGGCACCCTGAGTGTGAAACTTGGGTTTGCTGTCCCAATTTGCTCTACTAATTTATTTCCATGATGCAGGCAACACAGGAAGCCCCAGCTCAGCCGTGTGGATTCTCAAGTACAGTAGGTCCTTGAATGTTCAACGTCCTTTTATTATAATGTTGACGGGGGGGGGGGAAGCAGATTCTCAGTGGGGCCTCTGTCTATGTAGGGTTCACATGTTCTCCTTATGTCTGTGTGGGTTTTCTCCAGATACTCGAGTTTACTTCCATGTCCCAAAGATGTGCAATCGGCATGTCTACATAGTCCCTCTGGAGTGAGTAAGAGTGTGTGTATGAGTGTGTCCTACAATGAGTTGGTGCCCCATCCAGGATTGGGTCCTGCTTTGTGCCCTGAGCTGCCAGGACAGGCTCCAGCCACCCTTGATCTGAACTGGAATAAGCACGTTAGAAAATGAATGAGTACAAATTATTGTAAAATACAAATTCATAAAGTATATGCTAATCATACAAACACATGAAAATCAATGATGCAGTATGCAAGTATTCAGCAAGCCGCTGTAATTGTTACTATTTGCTTTTGAACTGTGAGTTGGGAGGAGGTGCTCCTTACAATTTTTACTTTGCAAACATTTATCCCTTGATTTAACACATCACTACTATGACCATCACTCACTGATTCACTAAAAATGGGGTAATTATACGGTTTTCATTAATCTTTAATATATGCATAACTCATATTTGTTTCAATATTTAATATCAGAAGTATGTTGGGTCTTTATTTAGAAGTGTGATAATGTTTTTGTGACCAGAAATATGTCATAGGAACTTAACTCTTGTTTATATCAATCAGCTTCTGGTAAAATTGATTTTCATATATGTTGTTTCACTTAAAGTCAGTTTCCAAGAACTATACTGACAATGTTAAGTGAGGACTTACTGTATTTCATTACATAGGCTGGCAGTGCTACAGGACTCTATATTATCTTTAACCCTGAAAAGAGCAGGGCCTCTTGTTTTTTCAGTTTTAAAAATCTCAACTTTTCAGCATTGTTGAGGAGCTCTGGCTGACATTAAAGAGCAGAGAAGTTAGAGGAAATCATATTGAGTCCCTTGGTTAATTTCCCCTGAAGTTCTTTATCAGTTTCCCCACCACTTCCTGCCCACCTAATTCCAAATCCTATATACTTAGAGCCAAAGTGAACATAACAGTTCCGCCAATTAAAACAGATTTTCAATGCTTACACTGTCCTGGTCATTGCACAAGCTCATAATATATGTTAAGTTTCCAGGGTAGTAAGTTGGAAATTCTTGCTTCAGGTGTAAAAAGCCAAGTGATACAGTGCTGTCAATATGCTGGTCTCTATCTGTAATAATCTCTCTTCCACATCCTTCCTAGTATCATCTGATCACTTTTTTAAAAAAATTGGTGTTCATGCAATACGTACCCCACTCATCCCTTACCAAACATCTAATTTTCAGGCTAACCCAAGCCCCGTACTGTGATTATTCTGCAAGCATCCAGCACCAAGGGATAGAGCTAATTTATTCATTGGAGCTGAATATTCATTGGAAAGACTGCTTTGTAATTAAGTCAGTTCAATGAACTGCCAAATTCTTTACTCCTCTTGAGTAGCTCTACTTTCCATTACAGGTTAATTAACATCAGACCAGGAGTTCTTATTATGTTCCCAAAATAAATTTAGAACTTCTTCAATGAATAAACTTAATATATAAAAATGCATCTGGCTTATTTGAATTCACAGCCGGTCCCACTTGTGTCTTCTCAGTAGACAGATCCTGACCAAAGAAGCAGAAAGGGAGTGGGCCAGCCCAGAGGTGGCTCCCAATGCTACCACAGTTCTTTCTTACTATTGCATTTTTCCATTTAAAGAGGACTACGATGCTGGGGTGGGAGTAAGGAACGTTTGGCAAAAAAAGCCGGATGAGAACTCTAGCTAAATCTAGCTCAGTTATAGGATTTTGAAAGGTTTTAGTGAACCTTTTCAATCTGCTTTGAAAGGTTTTAGTTTAAGGACCATATTATCATCATTACTATGGGAAAATCTGTTTTGAAACCCAAATATTTGATTTATAACACAAATTTTGGAAAGCAGTCCATTATAACTACGACATGTACTAATCCAGGCGTAATAAAGAAAAGGTAAAGCCTATGAAGTAAAGGCTATCATATAAATAGAACACAGTTTGCCAGGCACTTAAGCCTGGGAAACAGAGTGAGATCCCGTCTCTACAAAAAAAATAAAAAATTATTCAGATGCAGTGCCATGTGCTTCCAGTCCCAGCTACTCAAGAGGCTAAGGCAGGCGGATCTCTTGAGCCCAGAAGCTTGAGGCTGCAGTGAGCTATGACTGTGCCACTGTACTCCAGCCTGGGTGTCAGAGCAAGACTCTGTCTCAAAAAAAAAGAACGAATGAATGAACGAATGAAAGAAAGAAAGAAAAAAAAGAAAAAGATAGCAGAATACTTTAACAGCCACATTAACCAAACTCTAAAGTTGGCTAGATTTTTTTTTTTTTTTTTAAATAAGAGGCAAGTCCTAAGAAAACACGAGAGTGTGTTGGGGATTTAACACAACAACTTCCCAAAGCCTTTCAGCTTAGGTTATGTCTAATGCTATGTCTAAAGGCCATTAAAAGCTTAGCCCCATCTCCTATCACTTTACTATGTGATTTCATAGATGTTCAAGTGTTCAAAGTGCTGACCTGGGGGTACATCAACATCACCTGAGAAAATATAAGTACAATATTCAAAAAATAAATCAGTCAGAAAAATGGTCACAGTTTTGCTTCTACTACAAGAGCAGAGACAATCTCATTCCATCCTATTTTCCCATACACCTGAGTTAATCCAGATTGTACCTATATATTGGAAAGAAGTGACTAACAGAATTCATGAGGGGGCTATTAAAATACATCACGTGCATCTGACATGAAAATAGCTAAGAGCAATCCACAATGGTCCTTGACAAAGCCTTCACAAAGTAAAGCAATGGAGACAAGTCAGGTAAAACAAGCAATGTCTGTGTCAGCTGTCTGTTCAGGTGATCAGTGGAATTTTGCTCAGTCCTGGCAATTCTCCTAAGGTGGAAGACATCTGACCCTTGCATTCTGGAAAACTGTCTTTTAAAAAAAAGACAAAACAAGTAGTCAGTCTGTGTTACAGATAAACTAAGACAGGTGTTCATAGACCACAGAGTATCCCCAGGTGTCTATTTGATTAATCAAGCTGTGATTGCTTTCAGAATTTTAAGAACAAGTTCTAGGTCATCACACAGCTCATGCAATGCTGAGAACAGAAAGAGTTGAGGGAAGTCTGCCAGTGAGGAGCAAGGAAAAGGGGGAGGAAGAGTGGTCACTTCCTAGACTAGAAGATCAAAGTTATAATTGAAAAGAAACTTACCTACATATATCTAAAATACAGGAAAAAGGAGAAATACGCAAAAAAAATCAGAAAGAACTATACAGCAAGATAAATATGGTTGTCCCTTGGCTGAAAGTTATGCCGTTGATAATTTATCTTCCTATTTTTTCCTGGCCTGCCCAATTTCTTAATCAACATCTGCTATTTTTATTATAGAAAAAAACCCAGATATCTAATCTTAAAAAAACTGAGTTTCCTAGTATAATTGAATAGTACATCCAAAAACAGCAATCCATTAATATGGTATTATCTGGCATATTTAAAATACAGAATGAGCTAATCAACCTTCAGAAGAATAAATGACAGTGAAAGCTCAGTTATTTGGAAGATAGAATTTTCCAGATAGCTCAGAGTTTACTTTCTTTAATACAGCTTACATCTTTTTTCTTCTAAAAAATTATGTTCCTGTAAGAATTAGATTTGTTCTTTGAAACTGACATAATTTCAGGACAACATTAATATGCCATTATTAACATGAAAATGACACTATTTCATAACTTATCAGTTCAATAAATTTTGCTTTCAATGAGAAATAACTTTTGAAATAGACACACATTTAATTACTCAGATTAACACAGTTTCTAGTCTTAACATTTTCATCACTTTAACATCAACATAATATTACAGAAATTTGCATACTGGGTTCATTACTCGAGGGGATTCTTTTAACCGATAATTGCCGTTTAGGGAAAGCAAGTTTCACAGTATTGTGTATACATTCTTTTACTACATCAAGAGTTCAGTGGAGAAGTCCTCAGGAAAGAAATGACATCTGTAACTGTTGCAAATATACTATCAGATCAGTGGCTACCATCAGACTATTACCTAAAATAAGCATCTTGCTGGGTGTGGTGGTGCATGTCTGTAATCCCAGCTACTTGGGAGGCTCATGCAGGAGGACTGCTTGAACCGAGGAATTTGAGACCACCCTGGGCAACACAGTGACAGGGACAGGGGGGCAGAGAAATTCTAGGCAGAAAAGGGTAGGTCCCTGGCAAAACCCCATCCTCAAGCCAAAAAGCCTGAAACCACAGTCCAAAGTGAGAACTCATATCCCTGTTTTTCCACTCGAATGTTGCCTTTTCCTAAACCACCCATGGCCCTGTCCCACCCCACCCTATGCTTATAAAAAAAAAACAACCCCAGACTCAGCCGGTAGACAGGACTACAGCTGGAGGTTGGAGAGAAGCGGTTTGACTTCGGAGGGACAGCTTGCTGGCGTAACTTTGGAGAAGACTACAGGCAGACTTCAGGGGAAGATTACCTACCTGCCCCATCCCCTTTTCAGCTCCCCTTCCAGCTAAGAGCCACTTTCATCGGCAATAAAATCCCCCACATTTACCATCCTTCAATTCATTTGTGCAACCTCATTTTTCCTGGATGCCAGACAAGAGCTCAGGAGCTATGAGTGCAGATACAAAAGGCTGTCACACTGGCCCTTTGCCCTTGCTGGTGGAGGGCAGCCGACTCATGCAAAAAGGCAAAGGGCCCACTGAACTCTTAACACTTAAGCCGTCCATGGACAGCAGAGCTAAAAGAGTACAGTAACACACCCTCTGGGGCTTCAGGAGTTACAGGCACCCCCGCCTAGATGCTGCTACGGGGCCAGCACAGAGTTCGTTCCTGCCAGTACCTAAGCAGCCAGCCGGTGCCAGCACTTGTTCACTCCAGTTCCCACACTGGAGTTGAGAGTGGTGGGCTGAGTAAATGAGACACCCCTCTCACAACTACTGTGAAGGGGTCAGGGAAATATCCTGCTTCAATGGCAAGACTTTGTTGTCTCCCAACCCAAAATATTATTAAAGTTAAAACAAGCTTCTTTAAAAACAACAGGGCAACTTCTCTTGCCCTAATGTGATTTATCCAAAATGGAAGTTTTGGACAAACTTGATGTTCTTTATCCAAAATGGAAGTTTCCTTGATAAATCATTTCTTTCTTGTCATTACCACATTCATCCCACTTCCTTACATAGGGATGATGAGTTTATTTAGCCATTCATTCATTTGCTGTGTGTTCAGCTAGAGAGAACACCTAAGTCATCAAGCAAATTCTTGTTTTGATCATAAAGAAACAGACCTGTGCATTTCACAATTACAACTAGAAAGTCTCAGTACAGTATCCCTGGGTTTCACTGCTCTACTGCAGCAAACCACTGCCCTTCAATTTAACATGCAAGGTCTTTGTCCCCAGTGGGTAACCAGAAGATGCACATCATTGGATCATGATGAGCTGCCTCTCCTTTGACACAGGAAATACATTGAGTTTTTCCCCTTCCATCATGTAACATCATCTGTACAAGTTGACCTATATGTGGCATCTGATGCTTCAAAATAAAGTCTTACAAGACTTACAAGATGGAACACAGTGAGTTTTTCTATTTAATTGAAATTGAGTCTAGGAAAGGAATTCTGGGGGATTTTTTTCCTTTTTCATATCCTACAGAGAGACTTATCTGTGTCCCTTGACACAGCTCAGAGTCTATTTTCACAGGTCTGGAGTTGGCACCCCTAAGTTGGCTTCATCACATCCCAAAAAATGGATTCCAAAACAAATCAACTCAACAGACAGCCTCCTGAAGCTTCTTTTGAGTATGGTGTATTGACCCTAGTTTTCTCACTTCCAAGGCACAAAATTCCATTTATTTATCAGCTATTATCTGAGGTTTCTTCCCCACCTCTCTTGGACAAGCAGTGGGTGGGATGAATGCACCCAAGCTTCTCAGGCAACTGAAACATCACTGTGGATTCGCTATAATCAAATTCCCACCAAGCCGACTTCAGGGTTTACTATGATTATGTCTCCAATAGAGCTTATCTAAATGTGCAGACATAAGTTATGATGTTTTATTTTTTAAAAAGCAGGGCAGCCAATTACAAATCCACTTAAAAAAGAGAGGAAGAGAAAAGAGGAGGAGGAGGAGGAGAAGATGAAGAAAAACATCAATAGCTGTTTTTCTAGGGGAACGGCAATCTAGGTCATGTTTTCTCATTTTTGTACTTCTTTTTGTACTTGTTTTCCAAACTGTCTTGAAAGAACAATGGATTATTTGTACAATGCAAACGTTTGATTTGAAAAAAAATTCCAAGACTTCCATAATCTGAAATTTGTATTTATAACTAAACTACAAAGTATGCATGGTAGTCACTAAATTTCATTTCCTTAATGCAAGTGACTCCTCAAGGAACATGGTTGTTCTTTGTGTTTTCAAAATGGCACACAAAAATCGGTAGGTGCTCTACTCAGCACAATTTCATTGGATTCCTCTAGCTGTCAGAATCTGCAAGGGAAGCTTTTAGCATGAATGGAATTCTAAACAAGACCCAGTATGGTCACACTACCTGTGAATTTAAGAGAAACACCATTGATATGGTTTAGCTCTGTGTCCCAATGCAAATCTCATCTTGAATTGTACTCCCATAATTCCCACATGTTGTGGGAGGGAACTGGTGGGAGATAATTGAATCATAGGGGCAGTTTCCCCCATAGCGTTCTTGTGGTAGTGAATAAGTCTCACGAGATCTGATGGCTTTATCAGGGGTTTCTGCTTTTGCGTATTCTTCATTCTCTCTTTGCCTACTGCTGTCCATGTAAGACGGGACATGCTCCTCCTTGCCTTCTGCCATGATTGTGGGCCTTCCCCAGCTCCAAGGAACTAATCCAATTAAACCTCTTTCTTTTGTAAATTGCCCAGTCTAGGGTATGTCTTCATCAGCAGCGTGAAAAAGGACTAATACAACCATGTTTTACAGGAGTTAGTAAAACCACATCACCCAAGGATGCAAACTTGAATATGAGCCACTAGCCACTGAGTTCACTCATAAATCACAAGGACACAAAGATTATCTGTATAATTCACTAGAGTTAGTTGCTGTAGCTACTAAAACAAGTGGCATCAGAATTGTATGGGAACTGGCTATGATGTCAGTTTGGTTATATTTTTGAATGAATTGCCTTCTAGACAACCAAGGCAGAAAGGCCATCTTGTATCCTTAGCACTATCCTTAACTGTTTTTAACATCTTAAGAGCCACTATTCTAAGAACTGGAAATGTGAAAATTTTCTTTCCTTCCTGATAAGACTTTAAAATATACTAAATATTTTCCTGCTTAAGACAATGAATTTAAAAAATTTTGTCCTGAGGATTCAAATTCATTATTCTAAACCCTGGCCTCTGTGATTTGCTGCAGCTGTAGATGATGAGGGGCACTGAGATGAGTGAGGGTCACTCCCTGTACTGCCCCTGGAAGCTGGGGTCCCATCAAGCCCCTTTAAGTCATCCAGTGTCATCTAGTGGCTGAAGATAATCACTGAACATGGTTAGCACTGAGGCTTGCACAAGCCCTGGTAGAGCTATGTGGCTTCCTTCCATCTGGCATTCACTGTAAAGACAAGCCTAAACCCTCAAGTACACCACACAGCAGATACCAAAACCTCCTCTTACTCCATGACCCCCAAAGTAGAGGCAGGGAGTCAACTTCAAATCTCCTTCACAGCTCTTTTTCTGTTCTTGGCATCTTTACTCTATATAGTACCTGCAAATACTTTTTACTACCTATTTTCTCTCCTCATTTCTGCCTCCTCTCCCATCTCTGCTTCCCTGCAACATGGCTGAACATAGACCCACTTAACCAGTGGGTCTTTTCTCCTGCATCAATCTCAGAGCAGCTGCAGGCATTCTCTGCTGGCTAGGGGGCTGCTGTGCTATGGTGGGAGCACCACTACTCTCCTCCACTACAGTACTCTGCCCAGTGCATCCCTCAGCACTGGCCTCCCTGGACCAGGCTTCTCAAGGCCAGGGACCTCCCATCATCTTTCTTAGAAGAGTTTGTGACACACAGCAGACATGCAATACAGGTGTACTGGATTAATGCAGGATGCATGCCATACAAGGGCATCAACAGCAGCATGGGCAAAGAAGAAAGTTAAAGAGGCCAGATCACAAATGACATATGAGCATAAATATGTCCATACCTGAAGAGACAGATAACCAGTTCAAGGAAGGTAGTGAAACATTTGAGGCTTAAATGATATACACACTTATTTTCCTGGAAAATGGGTAGGGCAAAGGGCAAAGTACCATAGGAATTAGATGACATTTTTCAGTATAAATGGCAGCAGCTACAATTTTTGGAGAGCTAACAGATTAGAGTCACCAGGGATACAGTGTTAAGGTCAACCTTGTCTCGGCCCTCCTTCATCTTATAGGGAAGCTATTAGAAAGAAACAATTAAACAGAGTACTGAATGTTACAAGAGTAGTTCTGAATATTATAGAAATACCTCATAGCACAGACACCTAACTGACTGGAGGAGGGACGCTAGTAAGGCTTGAGCAGGGATAGGATAGAGGAGGGAGAAAGTGTTCCAGGCAGAGGAAACAGATCCATGAAGATCTGGAGGCACCAAAGCATTGGGCAAGGCAGAGCACTTTTTTCAAACTGAAGGTCAAGACCCATTACTGGATTTTGAAATTAGTCTAGTCTTTTATGACCTACATTTTAATAACAATGAAATATGATTAAATAGAAAATCAGTGCAAAGCATGTAAGTACCGTTTTATGAAAGTCATCACAGTGACACATACAATTATATATCATCAGTGACTAGGTTACCATATAAATGTATTTCTTGCTGTGTAGTCCACATTTGAATAATCCTGCATCAGAAAGAACTTTAGTACACATGGAGTGTGAGGACAGGCAGGAAGGACAACTAAGCCTCCCCAAAATATACAAATAAGAATTGCAACTGCTTCACAGAAGAGGTCAAATTGCATGCATGAGGCCACACTGTTTATTACAGATGAAAGGGAGATTTGAACCCAGGGAAGTTTCCCTAAACTACACGGGCTAAGATATCATTATAAATGGATGCTAATAAGCTAAAATTAATATACCAATCCTAAATCCAACCTTTATATATGGGTTTTAGTGCTATGGAAGAAGGGGGACATCTCAGATAAGAAAATATGTCCCTAAATTCCAGGAATAACTGAAAAAAAGACACAGGGCCAACTACAGGAAGGAAAAAGTAAGGGGTCTGGTACATGGTAGGCAATCCTGTTACACCATGTAAGTGTTAGCTGAATTAGATGACTAACCCTCCACGGATATAGTGCCCTATTTTTCTACAGTACTACTTAATAACCATGGAGTGTCTAAAACCCACGTACCGTATGCCACTGTTGTCTTCTTCCCCATCAGATAATTTTCAGAGCAGAGTACACAAAGGCCCTCATATCTGATGAGCTAAACTTCACTTATTATATAAACTAATGTGTGCCTTTTAATGCTAGACAAGTAAGGAAAATTTTCCCTAAGTGGCAGAACATATTATTCAGAATAAGATTTCTTGACATGAACAGAAAATTCCAAGTTCCAAATGTTCTTACCATTACCTAAGAAAATGTGAATAGCAAATAAGAGATGTATAGTGACCACGTTTGAAGAAAAATCTGCAAGTCAGGGTTTATAGGCACTGGCCACCAGTGTTTGTTTAGAAAGCCCCAATATCATTAAAGCCATGTTGACTAGATTAATCCAATTTACTAGACTAATACTGTGTGCTACAAAGACCACACAATTTTACATTATCCTGAATATGCTTTTTTACATCTGCTTATAAATTGACTTTTGGCATCAAGCATTTAAGATGCTAAATAAATGCCAAAAAGGTAACTAAAATAAATGATTAAGAACTAATGCAGGCTGTTTGAACAGGAAAGCAGTAGAGTTCTTTGAAGTATAAAAGAAAGATGACATTGCCTTTACTTTTGCAAAGGCTAAAGTCTTTCCAGGGTCTAAAAGACCACTAAGATGAGAACCAGGGGACCACGTTTGCCACTCATTAGCTGTGTGACTTAAGAAACCCTCCCAATCTCTCTCCGGATTTCCATTTCTGAAAAGGGAGCATGAGCAAGCTGGGCCACTCACAGGCCAAACTGATCTATCACTAAGCAGTGATTCCCACCAAGCCCAACTCTGCAGCAAACTCTGGAGGGAGAGGACATGAGAATAAGAGGCTGTTGTCCCAATTTCTAAGAGCAGAGCTGATGCCCCTACCCCTGGATTTATTTGTGATTTTCCCACTGTCTCATGTCCCCACTAGCGTCTGGGGAAAAAGGTAGTCTTCCCAACATCTTGGACTTCTAGCTCTACAATTCTGTGAATTATAATACTGCAAAACACCAACAGAACCATTTATAGCCCATAGACCTTCATGATCTAGCTGTGAACATTCCCTGTTTGAAGAATAAGTGGATTCCAGATTCAAGGCCTATGAAAAGAATGAATGATATCTGACTAATTGAAGTGTCCATACCAAAGGACTAACTTTCAGTGAGATAAACTTACAGTGAGGCCCTGCTGACATGTGAGTTAACTGGGGCCTTCCTAGGAAGAAACTCAGCCCAGTTAAGTTCTGCTTTACAGAGAACAGAAAGGAGCCAACTCAGAAACCATGATAACCCAAGCTCTACTTTCAAAACAAACACATCGTGACCAACTCAAATCTCTGGCAGAATGCCTTCCAATATCCCTTCTGCAGGTTCACCCACTACATGCAAAGTATGGATTATTTTAAAATTACATTTTGTTTCCACAATTTTAAGGAGAGTTACCATGTGACCCAGCAATTTCACTCCTTGGCATATGACTAAGAAAAATGAAAACATATGTCCACACAAAAAAATTATACGTGAATGTTCATAGCAGCATTCTTCATAATAACTAAAAGATGGAAACAACCTAAATGTCCATCAAACGATAAATGGATAATTGATGAGTGTGGTATATCCATACCATAGATGATTATTTAGCCAGAAAAAAAGAAGAGTACAGATACAACAGGGATGAAAACATTATGGTAAATGAAAGAAGCCAATCACAAAAGACCACATATTATGATTCTATTTACATGAAATGTCCAGAATAGGCAAATACACAGACAGAAAGTAGAACAGCAGTTGCTTAGAGGTTATAGGGGATTAGAGGTGACAGATGAATGGTACGGGGTTTCATTTTGAGTTCACAACAATGTCCTAAAATTGATTTGGTGATGGTTGCACAACTCCGAATACACTGAAAACCACTGGGTTGTACCTTTTAAGTGGGTGAATTGTAGGATATGTAAATTACATCTCACTAGGGCTGTTAAAAAGAAAGTGAACTGGTGAAAGGATTATTAAGTAGAGGGAACGGGTTCACAACTGGTTGCTTTGAAGTCAGAGCCCAGGCCCTGAACACTAGCCTGCGCTGCCTTCTGAAATACAGAGGACCACTCACCATTCACATGCCCAAACCTACACTTACTACTGATCTAACAAAGCAGTGGGACATGTGGGAGCATATGTGATAACTGCCTTCAAGTGGCTTATAGTTTAAAAGCATTGACTGTCAGTAAAGCAAAGACAAAAACTACATGTAAATCATGATAAGGCATAGTGTAGTGCATGCCTTTGCTCTTCTGACAATAATATAGAGTACAGGATATCCTTTATAATATAATATAGACTATAACATATACTACATCGTATCATACAATACAGATAATTCCAAGAGATGGGCTCAAGGGCTGGTCAGATCATATCCATGGAAACTAAGGGATTTATTTCTATTAGAGGGAAAAACCAAACATGCCCCCTAAATGCTGATTAAAATTATTTATAGTCAAAGAAAACACATTTAATTATCCCAGTCACACCCAAAGCAAAGTGGGGGAAATTTTTATGACAATGTTAAATTTTTCCACTTTAATTAAAACATAGGCTTCATATGCTGGATCTGAGGCTTACTTCTAGAATGGGCTTTGCATTAAACATATTTTATTGTGGAAATCTATTTCTTTACCATCGAGGACTGAAATAAGCCTAAAAGGTCACTAAGTTATTAACTTGGTATAGAGAATATACGCTTCAGACTTCATTTTAAAGAGGTTCAGCTACTAAAGTCTGCAAAGGGTCTTAAGACAGGGAGGCAGGACTTTTTCCCAGGAACAATAGGATGAGACTGCCCTTCTTTCTGACACTAGGCCACTACCTCCCCCTTGTGGCCATAGCTAAACCCTCTGGGTCACGGTCCTAGTTTCAAAGTCTCCTTTAGGAGCCTGTGAACAAATACCAGAGAGAAGCTATTATATTTAAAATATTGACAACCATCATTGTGAAGGGCATGGCCAGGCAAAGCTCTCCTAATACTAGCTTCTGTGAGGACTTCACTTGGTCACTTGGTTAACTCTTGATTAACAAGTAAATACTTGGTGTGTCAGGGACTTAAACACAAATCTTCGAAGCTTACCTTAACTTGAACAGAACTGGAGCTACTGCCTATCCTGGGAATTAAACGGGTGAAACTCAGAACAAAATGTTTTTAAACTGGTAGGGCACGGGGCATGGTGTCTGGTTAACTTAGACACTGAATTTAAATTTGGAAGATGAATGGTAAGAAGAAATTACTCGAGATGTATAAAATAGCCAGCACTTGAAAACTGAACTTTCATCACAGAAAGGATGACAACACTTTTAGGGTCATCATTCAGTGTTAGAAAACCTAGTACCATTCCCTGCTTTGCTACAGGTAAAAACAAGAATAACAGAATAACTAAAGTCAGTCTTACTTTAAGACAAACTCTAACTTCCCTTCAAACCTTGCAGCACGATCACTGTTTCATTCTCAGGTAAAATATTCAAACGAGAGCGGTCCTGAGAGTGACTGATGGAATGAGTTAACATGGAGTAAGGTGCACAGGGAGAAGCCTGAATGTGAGATAAATCAGACAACTTTAATGAGGCTTAGCCTAATCAGGGCAATCAGGATCTAAAATACAAACAGCTGGAAGATCTTCATCTACTGCATTTTACATGGAAACCCAGGTAGCAGTACACTAGCATCAGCCTCTTATAACTTAAGGGAACTAAAATTTCAGGACGCTAGCATGGGTGAAGGCATCGGGGAACACCGAGGCTAGCAATAATATAGTTTGACACACCCTGAATGGAGTGACAACAGCTGCCCAGAGTTCTCTGTGATAATGGGGCATACAGACCAAGTCTGGACTCCCAAGGCCAATGTTCCAACACCAATGCCTGCTGAGGGCAGAGGACAAAGGGATTGCGTGCTATTACTACTTCCCACCTTTGTCCCTTGTTAAGTTTGCCATTTCTGGTTTTAGTCTGTCCTGCTCTGTTTACAAATGGAGAACCTGAGCCCAGAGAAATTAATGAAGTTAATATAAGGTCATACAATCAGTCAGTGGTTGACTCAAGGTGAGTTACCAAGTCTATGACTCCATATTTGTACCAACAAGTCTGGACTGGGAGAAGAGAAGGCTCATGTAAGGTTGCCAATCAATCAAAGAGGAAAATGTTAATTGTTTATTCTGAAGAAGCTTTGAAAGACCAGTTTTAGTTCCATAGCAACATTGTCTTAGGAACTTTCACAGAAACTATCCTGTGGTCAAAAACATTCTTCTCCCTTTGCTTTGCAAAAAGGAAGCTGACATTTCCTGCTATAAATCAGTACATCACAACTTATCTCCTGAAACTTTATTAATTGTGGTTAAAAAAGAGAAAATGTGTGAGAGAATGATAGGAACTATGTAAACCTGTCAATGCTCACTTTAGAAATGAAGTCTCCACAGTGGGGAGAGAAAGCTGAAAACTACTTTTCACTTAAATTCCTCCAGGCATCTTAAAGCTTAAAAGAACAAGCTGAGAACGAGAAAATACAATGTAAAGGAAGAGCTACAGGTGCTTACCTGTTCTAATGTAAGTTGCTTAGAAATGGTGTCATTCTCCAGTTTTTTAATTTTCTTCATCAGTTTGTTGACCTGAAATTCCTGCTCTTGTTCAAGATGCTGTTCTAGTTCGGCTTTCTCATGCTGCAACTGGAAAATGAAAAACACCGAGATGTGGAAATCAGGCAACTCAAATGCCATGGAAACACTGGCTCCAAAAGGTGACTATACAAAGAAGCTATACCACAAAAGTTACATTACCCATTTTTGCTCAAATGTGCAAGTATATACCTAGTAATCTGTGCCTAACTGGTTCCTCTAACTTAAAACCAAAAGTCATAGGGAATGGAAATGCAATTTGTGTTTTGCAATATACTTTTTGCTACCTTTCAGGTTTTATACTATAGGCATACAAATAAATTTTTAAAAAATAGAAATTTCATACCAATTTTTATTAAATGAATTGCAGTTTATTCAGATTTGCATCATGTATGTAGACAGAGATGTCAAAATCACAGAACATACTTAGGTAAATTATTCAGAATGCTATTTCCAGTGTACAAGTAAGCATGCCTTCATAAAAATCAGCACAATTATTTTTCCATACAGAGACTGTATGCCACAGTTACTATATATTCCCTAAAAACCAAGAGGGAAAATGTTGGCTGGTCATGGTGGCTCACACCTGTAATCCTAGCACTTTGGGAGGCCAAGGCGGGTGGACCACCTGAAGTCAGGAGTTCAAGACCAGCCTGGCCAACACAGTGAAACTCTGTCTTTACTAAAAATATGAAAGTCAGCTGGGCGTGGTGACAGGCACCTGTAATCCCGGCTACTTGGGAGGCTGAGACAAGAGAATCGCTTGAACCCAGGAGGTGGAGGCTGCAGTGAGCTGAGATAGTGCCATTGCACTCCAGCTTGGACAACGAGAGCAAAACTCTGTCTCAAAAAAAGAATCTTATTCATGCAATTAAAAGATAAGGCTAAGGTGTCATTACCAGAGAAAATTTAAAAACAAAAACAAACCAAACTCCAACCTACAAAACCAAAGGAAAATAAAAGAAATCCAGTGGACCCATAGGGACTTGGGGAGGTTCTCATTAATAATCGCGCGTTATTTTTATAACACTCTCAACTGGGGGGGGGGGGGGTTTGTTGATCCACAGCAGGGGTTGGCCTGATGTTTCAGAATTAAGGGAAAAAAGTAAAAGCTACTAAAAACAATGAAGCACACAAAAGTTTTAGTTTTTGGCTGAATAGGACACTGCTCCCTAATTTTATGTTCAAAGCCATTTCTTTTGGCAGACACTATACACCAGGTTCTTCACATGCATTTAGACAGGCATGGTCACTTCCATTTTATATGTGACAAATCACATTATTAGACTGAAGCAATACAGCTGGAAAGTGGCAGAGCTTGGGACCCAGAACCCCAAACCAGTGCTCTCTCCCGCTGTATCACTGAGCAAAGCCAAGAGAGGTCGCCTTCAGACTGCTCCACCCATGAGCACCTACCACACCCTGTGCACCTGGAAAGCCAAATGATTAAACATAGAAAAAAAGCCACGTATGCTTGCCCAGGGGATGCAACGTTTCTTTGTAAACCCTCCTTAGGGTGGAGTGGACAACTGAGAGCTGAGGCAAGCCTGATCATCCTCAAAATGGCTACAAGTAACACTCTCCACATTTGACAGTGTCCACTGCCCTGAAAACACATACTCAGTTTAAGGAAAAAAAAAATTGTTTTGGCTAGGCGCAGGGGCTCACGCCTGTAATCCCAGCACTTTGGGAGGTCAAGGCAGGTGGATCACATGAGACCAGGAGTTCAAGACCAGCCTGACCAACATGGTGAAACCCTGTCTCTACTAAAAATACAAACAAACAAACAAACAAATAAATAAATAAGCCCGGTGTGGTGGCATGCACCAGCTACTCAGGAGGCTGAGGCAGGAGAATCCCTTGAACCCAGGAGGCAGGGGTTGCAGGGAGGCGGAGGTTGCAGTGAGCCAAGATCACACCATTGCACTCCAGCCTGGGCAACAGAGCGAGACTCTGTCTCAAAAAAGAAAAAAAAAAAAGAAAAAAAAATTTTAATCTGACGTAGTCTTCCAACACTGGAAATATTGACTAAATAGATGCTGTTTTCCTTCCAACTGTTTTTGATGTTCAAGGCCAAAAATAACCTCGTCAATCTTGCAGGGACCCAAGAGAAAAGCAGGTGTAAGGAGGTGCTTACAGTGACAAGTCTATATTTAGCTAGCTCTTTAAAACTCAGGTTCTGCAAGACCAAGCAGCAATTAAAAGAACTAAGACGAATGAATAGAGAACAAGAAGAGTTCCCAGCACTTTCGACAAAAAGAACCCAATGAAACAAGCATCGCTTAGGAGGAAAAATATAGCAAAGCATGTTCATCTGCGCCTAAGGCTTTCATTCAGTAAGCGTGCTGTGCTGTCTTCTATCTGCAGGTACTATGAGAATGGTAGGCGAGATCTATAGTTAACATATCATCCTTGCTCTAAAAATAGTTATGAACACTAAGCTTTAACAGTATCTACTAGTTATTGAGAGATGATAAGCTTAAGTCTTAAAACCTTTAAACTATTTGCATAGCTTTTTTAATATAGTAGCTATGTTTTCCTCCAATATGTTTTCAACTGCTGCCATTTTTATTTGAAAGAACCCTTCTTTTTTCTCAACATTATGCCTCTGCCCTGAGGTAAACTAAAACAATAAAGGATGTAATCTAACATTGAAAAATCTCTTGCCCACCAAGCAGCGTTTGTCATAGAATGTTGTAACATCTGAGGAAAGGCAAGGCTCTCACTGGCTTGCAGGAAAATATCCATATTTAGACAGATGGTCTAACACTGTCAGTAGCTTTAGGTACTTCCTTTAAGACTATAGATTGAACTAGTAACAAAGCCTAACAGAGCTCTCAATTTTAGGAGGCATTTTCCTCTCAAGAGCTGTACCCTAAGGAAAATTTGATGGTAAAGCTGTCATTACCAGAACTCAAGTAAGGTCACTGGGTTACACTAACCCATTTGGAAAATATCAAGCCATTCTGAGATCTAACTCTGTTTGCTAAAGATTCACAGTTTTTATCATCCCCCAAAGACAGTGCTAAAACAAACAGTTCTGCTGCCTGCTTTGTTCTGCCACCTCAGGTGACATGCAACAGAAGCAGAGCATGGAGTTCCTGAACAAAGACTAGAAACAGAAAATATAGTTCTTCCTGGAACAAAGAAACTGCCAATAAAAAGAGAAACACGGCCAGGCACAGTGGCTCATGCCTATAATCCCAGCACTTTTAGAGGCCGAAGCAAGAGGATCGCTTGAGCCCCAGAGTTTGCGACCAGCCTAGGCAACAGAGTGAGGCTCTGTCTCTACAAAAAAAGATTAGCTGGACACGGTGGTGCGCGCACCTGTAGTCCCAGCTACTCAGGAGACTGAGGTGAGAGGACTGCTGGAGCCCAGAAGGTCAAGGCTGCAGTGAGCATGAGTGCACCCCTGCAATCCAGCCTGGGTGACAGACTGCGACCCTGTCTAAAAAAAAAAAAAAAAAAAAAAGCTTGCTTGAGAGAAGCACAGAAGCACCTCAGTCCCCTAAAATCATGAGACAAGGGTTAAGATGAGCAAGAGGTAGGAGGCAAATGTGTGCATAGGGACCTTGAAGGACTAATAACTACAGAACTTGCCTCATATAGTTTGTCTAAGAAAAATTCAGATATTCTCTTTTAAACAGATACCATGTAAATTCAAGCAACGTGGCTCCAATAGGGTTTGAACCAACACCCTGAATTGACCTGCCTATTTTAAAGCTATAGCTCATGGCACCACAGACGTAAAAACCCTGGGAAGCCTGGTGCAGGGTGACTCAAGACTAGCTGTCAGTTTCACCTCTGATGCCCATCTTCAATATGGGCAAACTTTTCTAGGCACGACTTTAAATTTATAATCATAGGTCTTAATGTACTGTTACATGAACAATTTTAAATCTTCCAATAAAGTCAAAGATCCTGAACTAGAACAAGAATTATTCCATCTAATAATAATCAAGCATATTAATTAATATTTTGAAATGATACTTATGTGTCTGCCTTAAATATATATAAAGCTAAATGCCTAGGCAGATTAAATGGCTTTTTTCAAAAATCAATTTTCAACAAATACATTTTTTATATAAAGTCAATCTCAAAGATTATGGAACAGTTTTATAACCCTTATTTGTGCTATATGTTAACACTAATAAAAATATCCCTGTGGAATCAGAATCACATAACAATGATCCCTCAGCAGATCACATTTTCAACGGAATTAGGGTTATATAAATAAAAGTTTGTTCCTTGGGATACAAAAAGAAAAATATATTAACAGAACTGAAAAGGGCATAAATGAAAATGCAACTATATGCTCAACTATAAATCAGTATAATTTTAAATTCTAAGTCCTAAAGCAAGCATTTTCTTGTATCATCCACTGATTAGATATATAGTCTCAAAGCAAACTTCCAGCCCAATGAAATACACAAGTGTAGCATTAATTTGATCTTAAGCAGGCTAGCCTTAAGCATCATCCAATTACCAATAATTGTTGTGCTTATAATTTACAAAGGATTTCTGGAACCACTTCAATGAACCAGGCCTTTTACATAATAGATTCAAGAACTCTGCACCAAATGACTTTTTTCTCAATAAATTCTTTCTAGCAGGTAGAGGCATTGAAAATCATTTACCTGGGAGAACCTCCTCCAATAGGTACCACAGGTGCATGTGCACGCTGGATGCTGAGAGCACCTTCCCACCCAACATGCAGCAGGTTTGCTGGATCCTAGGTTTTGTAAAATGTCAATGTGCAGGTCTGGGCTTGTTGTCAAGTCAGTCCTTGCCAACCGAAGCAAGGCTTCTAGCCACTACCTCTAGGACCCAGCTTTTTCAAGACAACTTAAGAATAAACCAGGCCAGGCGCAGTGGCTCAAGCCTGTAATCCCAGCACTTGGGAGGCCGAGGTGGGCAGATGACCTGATGTCAGGAGTTTGAGTCCAGCCTGGCTAACATGGTGAAACCCTGTCTCTACCAAAAATACAAAAAAATTAGCCAGGCGTGGTGGCATGTGCCTGTAGTCCCAGCTACTCAGGAGGCTGAGGCAGGAGAATCACTTGAACCTGGGAAGTGGAGGTTGCAGTTAGCCGAGATCGCACCACTGCACTCTAGCCTGGGCAACAAGAGTGAGACTCTGTCTCAAAAAAAAAAAAAAAAAAAAAAAAGAAAGAAGAAGAAGCTTGAGAGGCCCCCAGCTTTGTTTTCACTAGTCAACTAATATCTGTTACCCACAGTACCACAACTAACATCCCTGGTTTATTGAAAATTACCAAGGAATGGAGCTACCTGCATTGGACCAAGTAAAGGCCACCCCAGGACAATAACTGCATTAAGCCATTAGACTGTCAAAAGCAATCATAATGTTATTAATATGAGCTTTGGAAAAAAGCTCAAAAATCTCTCTCAGAACATAGAAAGTCTCTCAAGAACCGACTTGTCAGCTGTGCTACTGAGCAGAAATTCAGACTCCCACTTCAAACTCAGTACTTCATCACTAAGGGCTTCTTGGGCCCACACTTATTCCCACCTCCTCCCCTTCTGTTACTGGTACCAGTATTCTGGGTCAATGCCTCACATCTCATGAGTTACCAAGGCCCATGAAGTCAGCCTCCATAACAGCTGTCACACACACACACACTCTCCTTTGTGTGTGCCATGTGCTCATGGCCCCAGTCTGGTTCAGGCCTTTTATTCCTTTTCCTTTGGGCTACTGCCAAAACCTCCTACTGGATCTCCCCAGGTCCACTGTAGATCATCCTAGCACAAGTCCTATTACTTCAATGTCCTGCTCAAAACTCTTCAATGGCTCCCTACTACCTGTGGACTAAGTCCAAACTCACTGGCATAACATTCAAGTCCTTCCATGATCCAATCCCTATGCAAGCTTCCCACGCCTTCCTCATACTATTTTCACACTACTCAGTTGATGTGACAGTCCAAGGTTTGCAAGCATAAATGCCTTCAGGGTTCATGCATGCAGCAAACAAAGAATGGATGGGTGTAAGCCAGGGAGTGGTAGCTATTGTGGTTAAAGGAAAAGCTCATGTCCTTTTCTGACTCTTGAAAAGAAAATCCCATCATGCCAACCAAACACTTTTGGTGACCATACTGGTCCGGGGCTTCTAGATCACAATACTTGCTAGTCATGCCAGATCACTCTTACAGAAACCATGCCACTCACTCTGCCCACATGCCCCACTCATGCTGTGCCTCTGCCTATAGGGTCTGAATCCCTCCCCTCAATTTACCAAGACTAGGGGATAGCATAAAAGACTTCCCCAATGCTTTCCCACAGGCCCTCAGCATAATGTGCACTCACCCTCCTTTAAGGGGTGAGAAGCACATTGTCATTCAAGTGCATTTTGATGTCCATTTCATGATGTGTTTCTGTATCTTTTCCATCAGCTACTTCTAAAGGCAGCTAATGCTTCAGGGCGATTACTACGTCTCAAGCACTTTATATACACGAACACACTTGATGGTTGAATCTTCATAACTCTACAGTAGAAACTGTTATCTGCATTTTGCAAAGAGTGAAATCACAGCTTAAAGGAATTAGGTGATCTGCCTGAAATTTCACACGTAAAGGGTAAATCCAGGGTTCAAACTGAGGTCCTTGGCTTCAAAGCCTTTGCCCTCATCTCTGATGTGTGCTGCCATCCTAGAACACCTGGGTACATTCTCAATCACTCTTTACAGGATTGAAAGCTCTAAGAAGGGCAGTGACTAGGATTTCCTTGATCCTACTCCAAAACATAGAAAATACATTGTGAATGCAAATACTGATTGAATAAATGATAACGTCCTCACTTCATATGGACTGTTTGCTCTAGATTAAGCCTGAGGATAAGCAAAACAACGGTTGGGGGTGGGGTGGATTAATCAAGATCTAGGACATTACCCATATATCATGGTCTGCCCCAAAGCCCCTGTTTCTCTTCCTGTTTATAGCCCCTCTCCAACTCCTAGACATAATCAATATCCTAATTCTTATGGTATTTACTTCCTTACATTTTTCCTAAAGTTGTTTTTTTAAACAACCTATGTATTCATTTACTTCCAAACATTGGTCTTGCTAGGTTTTGCATTCTTTCATATCCAGCTTCTTCTGCTAAATGAACTTGTTACTCATTGTGGTTTGTATTTTCATTGCTTCACAGTATCCAGCTATTTATACCACAGTCTATCCTCTCGACGGATGACAGGCATTTGGGTCATTTCTTTTCATTTATTTATTTTGAGACAGAGTCTCACTCTGTCGCCAGGCTGTAGTATAGTGGCGTGATCTTGGCTCACTACAACCTCCGACTCCCTGGTTCAACTGATTCTCCTGCCTCAGCCTCCCGAGTAGCTGGAATTACAGGCATGTGCCACCACACCCAGCTAATTTTTCTATTTTTAGTAGACACGGGGTTTCACCATGTTGGCCAGGCTGGTCTCAATCTCCTGACCTCGTGATCCCCCCACCTCGGCCTCCCAAAGTGCTGGGATTACAGGCATGAGCCACCATGCCTGGCCATTTCTAGTTTTTTATCATGATCAATGGCACAAAGAACATTCTTCTACATATCTGGTACACAGGTACATGTAATATGATATATACCCAGGAGAGAAACCACTGGGTCATAGAGAATAAGTATTTCCAACTTAATTAGGTACTACCAAATTGTTTTCAAATGCGTGTAATGATTTCAATTTTCTATCTGCAGTACATAAGAATTTATTAGTAGTCTGTTTAAATCATTTGCCATTTTTCCTCTGGGTTGTTTGCTTTCTTACTGATTTATAGTTCTTTGTCATTACATATGGTGCATATCTCTTCTCCCATTCTGTGGTTCATCCTTGCGTTTTCCTTATGATATGTCTCTGGTCCTCTCCTCTGGGCACACCTCCTGAGTAACAGCATTAATTTCCATGGGAATAAATAATTTCTAAAGAAAACACTCCCAAATTTATATCTCTAGCCCAGACTTCTCTGTTGAGAGTCAGAACCTCTGTCCCACTGCCTTGTCTGTTCTCTCCATATGGAAGCCCAGACATTGCAATTGAACTTCTGACCTTCTTACTCCAAACATACTCCACTTGCTGTCTTTTCCATCTTAAATGATGGTAACTATTCTTCCAGTCATTAAGACTCAAACCCCTAAGTCTTTCTTGATCCTTTTTTTCTACACCACTTCTAATCCATCCACAAATCCTATGAGGTTATTTCTTCAAAATGTACCCAGAATCCAAAGTTTACCATCTTCAGTACTACTTCCTGAATAATCCACTCCATCTCTTGGCATGTATTACAGAATATCCTTCTAATATGCATTGCTCCCACCTTGGCCCCCAATCCATAATCTCTTCATGACACAGCAACCAAAGCAATCATTTTAAGAGCTATGTAGGATCATTTTGCTACTCTGCTCAAAACCCTGTGGTGGCTCCTCCCATGCAGAATAAAAGCCAAAGTGCAGACAGTGGCTCCCAAACCTCTATCATATCAAGCCTCCAGACCCATTACCTCCCAATTTCATCTATCACTCTTCTCTCCCCATGACGTCAATCTAACCACACCAGTCTGTCTGCTGCTTCTCCAACATGGCAGGCACAATCTTACTTCAAGGCCTTAGCACTTTCCTATTCCTTCTGCCTACAATACTCTTCCCACAAAAATCTATTTGGCTAGCTTCTTCTCCCAGATTTTGCTTAAGTATTACCTCAATGACTTGAACTTACTTAGAACTTCAACTGTCCCTATGCCCTTTACAGTGTTCTATATCTTTCCATGGCACTTAATTCCTTCTCTTGGTTTTTGATGCTTTCATATTTTCACATTTAACTTCTTATTGCTGGTACACAGAAATACAATTTTTCATATGAGAAAACAGAATTCTAATCACTTACCTGTAGATTCTTAAGATTTAAAAGTTTTCCACTTACACAATAATAAGTAAATGGCAGTATTAGTTCCTCCTTTCAATCCTTACATCTTTTTCTTGCCTTTCTGCACTGGCTAGAAATCCACGACAACAATCAATATAGGTAAATGCAGCAGGCATCCGTGTCTTGTTTTTTTTGTTTGTTTTTTTTTTTTGAGACGGAGTCACTCTGTCGCCCAGGCTGGAGTGCGTTGGCGTGATCTCGGCTCACTGCAAGCTCTGCCTCCTGGGTTCAGGCCATTCTCCTGCCTCAGCCTCCCGAGTAGCTGGGACTACGGGCGCCTACAACCACGCCCGGCTAATTTTTTGTAATTTTAGTAGAGATGGGGTTTCACCACGTTAGCCAGGACGGTCTCGATCTCCTGACCTCATGATCCGCCAGCCTCAGCCTCCCAAAGTGCAGGATTACAGGTGTGAGCCACCGCGCCCGACCCCATGTCTTGTTCTTGATTTTAAAGGGAAAGTTAACTTTTCACAATCAAACACAATGGTTTGGGCAGCCTTTTTGTAAACACTTTATTTATGTTTGAGATGGAGTCTCCCTCTGTTGCCCAGGCTAGAGTGCAGTGGTACGATCTTGGCTCAATGCAACCTCTGCCTCCTGGTTCAACTGATTCTCCTGCCTCAGCATCCCGAGTAGCTGGGACTACAGGCGTGCACCATCACACCCCACTAACTTATTTTTGGTACTTTTAGTAGAGATGGGGTTTTACCATGCTGGTCAGGCTAGTCTTGAACTCCTGACCTCAAATGATCTGCCCATCTCGGCCTCCCAAAGTGCTAGGATTACAGGTGTGAGCCACCGTGCCTGGCCTATGTAAACACTTTTTTAAAAAGTCAGGTTTCAGTTCTATTCTTAGTTCACTAATTTTTATCATGAATTGTTACACTTTATCAAATCCTTTCTCTCCATCTATTAACATGATCATGACTTTTTCTTTTTATTCTGTGAATGTGGCAAATTACACTTACTGATTTTCTACTGGTAAACTAAACTTGCATTTCTTGTATAAACCCAGCATGGTCATGGTGCATTGTCCTTTTAATATATTGCTGACTTCATTTACTTATATTTTGTGTAGGATTTTTGCTCATGATTGAGGCTGTAGTATAATTTGCCTTTTCTGAACTACACTTAAGTTTGAGCTTTGAAGGTTATGTTACCCTTAAAATATGTTGGGGACCCATTTTTTTCCCTTTAGAATTTATGGAAGACAATTTTTTTTTTTTTTTTTTTTTGAGACAGAGTTTTGCTCTGTCACCCAGGCTGGAGTGCAGTGGCGCAATCTCAGCTCACAGCAAGCTCCGCCTCCCAGGTTCACGCTATTCTCCTGCCTCAACCTCCCGAGTAGCTGGGACTACAGGCACCTGCCACCGCCCCCGGCTAATTGCTTGTATTTTTAGTAGAGACGGGGTTTCACCGTGTTAGCCAGGATGGTCTCGATCTCCCGACTTCGTGATCCACCTGCCTCGGCCTCCCAAAGTGCTGGAATTACAAGCGTGAGCCACCACACCCGGCCTTTTTTTGTATTTTTAGTAGAGATGGGGTTTCACCGTGTTAGCCAGGATGGTCTCGATCTCCTGACCTCGTGATCTGCCCGCCTCAGCCTCCGAAAGTGTTGGGATTACAGGCGTGAGCCAACGCGCCCGGCCAGAAGACAAATTACTTTATCCTTGAATGTTTGGTACAACTCTCAATGAAACCATTTGGACCTGGAATTCATTGTTTATGAAGGCTGTTGATCTCTAATTCAATTTCTTTACGGGACAGAAGACAGTTTTCTTTTTCTTCCTCAGTCAGCTGGAGAAAGTTACGTTTTTCTAAGAATTTGTCCACATCATATAAATTTCAAACGTATTGCCCTATAGTTATTCATTAGTTTTTCACTTAACATTTGAATGTCTACAAGAAAAGTGATATGTTTCCAGTTTCCTGCCAAAGATTTCAAGGTTGGCTTTTACTTCTCTGAGTATAGTAAGCATGGTTGCTTTATAGTATACGCCCGGTAATTCCAATATTTGAAGAATCTGCGAAGTCCATTTCTTTTATTTCTAGTCACTTACATTCATGGAATCTCATATCTTCATGTGCATGGATCTTTAACTGTGGGCTGAATATTGTATTTGAAAATTTATCAGCAGGAGAAGCTTGTAGCCTAGGATGATAGTAACTTGCTCCAGAAAATTCCATCTCCTTTGGCTAAGCACCATAAGTCTGGGTTTACCTTAATCCAAAATCAAAGCCTTGTGTCTCTCATTTACCCAGCTGATGCAAAACTAGTTCACTCTTAGTCTAAGCATGCAGCCCTTCATGATTCCAGCTTGAGGTAGGGTTGACTGATCACTCTCTCTAAACTTTGACCAAAAGCAATCAACTGACTTCTGCAGCCCCAGCTCCATACAACGACCAAAACCACAATTTACTATCTCAGGTGTTTTTCTGGATGAATTCCAAGTGCCCTCTGAATAAAAGCAGCCTTGGGTGCTTCGTTCCCACCTTCCTTCAGATCTCTGCCCAACAGTTCTTCACCATCATGTTAATTATTTAACAAAGAAGGATTTTGTTAAGCTTTTGTTTATCTTCAGTGAGGTATGTCTGAGTGATCTAATCTGCTATTTTCTACAGGAAAAGCCACAATATAACTTTTATAAAGAGAAAAAATAGCTACGTTCTTCCAGAAATTAGTTATTTGTTATTTTGATTCCTTGTTAGCAACACTGAGGACCAGAGTCAGGCCCTCACTTCTGAGCAGATGGCTTCAGGATAATATCAGACTTCCTATCTACTTGGGTATATATCTAAAGGGTTAAGTTTGAGTTTCCTGGATTTCCAGGAGCATGATGCCACTAAAAGCATTAACATCTTTAAAAAAAATCTGGTTAGGAGGAATATTAAAAAAAAAAAAAAGCTCCATGGAAAAGATTTTTAAAGTCCTTGCAGGGCACGGTGGCTCATGCCTGTAATCCAGCACTTTGGGAGGCTTAGGCAGGCAGATCACTTGTGGTCAGGAATCCAAGACCGGCCTGGCCAACATGGTAAAACCCTGTCTCTACTTAAAAAAAAAAAAAAATACAAAAATTAGCTGGGCTAGTTAAAATTAGCCCAGTTACTCAGGAGGCTGAGGCATGAGAATCACTTGAATCACTTGAGCCCAAGAGACGGAGGTTGCAGTGAGCCAAGATCATGCCAGCCTGGGCAACAGAGACTATCTCCAAAAAAAAAAAAAAAAAGAGAGAGAGAGAGAGAAAATCCTTTAGGCTCTGGCATATTGAAAAATCCATTTTGTAAAAACTGGCATTTTCTCCTGAGGAAGAAAGAGTGTTTAGCCCAAAGAATTCATTCTAAGCTGAGGCATTATTGAAAATTACAATGAAAGGTCTCATCTTTCTTACCAAGTTTATGAGTGGAGGAAATAGGAAGGTGAGGACAGCAGCAGGATATAACTCCGTATTTTAAAGTAATTACTGACTGGGCTGACTGTAAATTGTTTAAAAATGAAATGCAAAACATTGTAACATTTAGAACTACAAAGTTTTAAAGTTATTTTAAAACTGTTCCTAGTGATAGCTAGGGTCCATCGATAGTGGGGCCTAGTATCCTTCAATAGACAAGATTTACCTTTCCAACTAGAAATAACAATATTTCTCCCATCTACTTTGGTAAATAAAGCAAGTTTAACTCCAGCTTCACCTAATTATTTTTATCTTTCTTTTCTTCTACCTTTGTTTTTCCCCTCTATCTACTTTTTCTCACATTTTATGTCAAAAAAGTCAGGATAGGAAGCTTCTGAGCCCTTACTTTTGCCCCTATGGGTTTTTTTTTTTTTTTTTTTTTTTGGGATGTTAGCACATCACATCTAGCCATAACCTTAGTACATGCACATGTGCACACACACTTTAAAAGAAACTCAGTAATTTCAACACTGAAGAACTACTTCAGTTTTATTGTATTATCTACTCATAACAAATTACATTGCAATGAGAGATTTTTGCCATGCTACTAACAGAATTCTGGCTTATAATTTGGCCACTGGTGGCTGTAGCATAAAATGCATTAAAAACAACTCAGTAGCTCTTTGTAGGCATACTGTGAATGCAATGTGTGAACCTCTTGCTCCTGAAAAGATCAGACAAAGCTGAGGTTCAGGTAATTTGGAATGAAAACAATAAGAAAAAGCTCTGTTCTGTTTTGAAAGCTATTTTGTGATAGCAAATTTCTCTGATCAGTATTAAGGGCCCTGAAAAACAAGCCAGGAGGGCCACAGATCTAGTCATCTAAATATAAAGGACATACTTCATTTAGATCTCTCCCCTAACACAGGGAGAACCAAGGTTTCATCTGAATGGATGCAATGGTGTCATAGTCTTGGCGCCTTTGAAATTAACTAAATGATATTTCATACATTATTTATCAGCTTGACATGTGATTTTGCTCCTTGCATAAACAAAATAATTTCATTGCCAACTTAGTGGCTTCGGAAACTTGAAGGGGAGCGAGGGTGAAGAGGATGCTTCAGATTCTAGTGTACATCCTGGAAAAGAAGAGAATTGGGAGTCTATACTCACTTCCTTTGCCTGCAGAAATGTCATGCTACTCAGAAAAAGAGTCTTTCAGGGGTTAAGTAAGCATACACTCTAGAAAAAAAAGAATCCAGTAAAATGGTATTAGGAGAAACCACTTCTCCAGAATTGACAGGACAAGTGAAAGAAGGCAAATGAAGTGCTAAGCCCTTTGTCCAGATGAACAGGCAGATCTGGAGACCTAGAAATTCTTCTTCCCAGTTTTATTTCTGTGTAAATGAGATAGAAGAATAATTCTGTTGCATGATATCCTTCTGAACTGCTCAGCTATAAATCATTTGGCAGAGGTAGTTTCAGCAGTTTTGCCCACAACTTCCTTCCTGTCCTCTCTCATCTTTCCATAGATGCTAGGAAAACTCCAACTATTTTAGTTCCAGGAAGCATTCTTACCTCAGGAGCCAAGTCAATAATAATAAAAATAAGCCGTATCATCTTAATAAGAGATCCAGGACTTTTCTTCTTAAGTATTTCAAACCATCAATGTGCCCCCTATTAGGATATGGCTACAATAATTTTTATTATAGTTAGAGCAGCATTATTTTCTCAGAATCAGATCCTATTTCAAATGTGAATTGAAAGTACCGTACTACAAATCTATTGATTATTTTAAGGTCTGAAATTTGCAAGCTGGATTAGATTGAAAAGATTAAGATATATGTAATATGCAGTACTCTTCCTACCCCAGTTGTAATCTATGGTTAAAAAAACAGTTTATTAACTTTTGGTAGTGGTATTTGTTGAGAAAAGTGTAGACAATCCAGAACAAGCTGAGTGTGCTCCCAAAGAGCAGAAAGCCAAGTTGATGCTTTGGCCCTGCATAAAAGCAGGTGGGAAAATCCACAATTGCTAAAACCATGATCAATCTCAGTGTCTGAGATAATTGATAAGTCTTCCAGTAGGCATTTGTGATTGGTGGTTAAGAGTTTGCCAGGGGAATTAGAAAATTTTTTTTTTTTTGAGACGGAGTCTCGCTCTGTCTCCCAGGATGGAGTGCAGTGGCGCTATCTCGGCTCACCACAAGGTCCGCCTCCTGGGTTCACGCCATTCTCCTGCCTCAGGCTCCCAAGTAGCTGGGACTACAGGTGCCTGCCACCACGCCGGGCTGATTTTTTTGTATTTTTAGTAGAGACAGGGTTTCACTATGTTAGCCAGGATGGTCTTGATCTCCTGACCTCGTGATCCGCCCGCCTCGGCCTCCCAAAGTGTTGGGATTACAGGCAGGAGCCACCGCGCCAGGCCTAGAAATTTTTTTTTAAATGAAAAGAAGTTTTACAATAGAGGACTAGTGGAGTGAATCATACAAAGACTGACAAGACAGTTAGGCTAATCATTAGAGCATTCTGATTATACTAGTTCTTAATGATGTGGGCAGTCAAGAATCTCCTGTCACTTGCAAATGAGCCTGACTCTGCAGGGGGGTTCAGTGCACTGCTGCCCATGACAAAGAGATGCTACTAGCATAGCAGGACTCTGAGCTCTCTAAGTCAAAGAAACAGAAGGAGGTGGTTTCAAAAGGTAAGGACAAACCAGGCATCACAATTTTTAAATTTCCTTTTCAAGAAATAAGATGTTTTCTAGTTACAAAAGTATCATGTTGCTGTTTCAGAATTAGAAGGACTAGGGCACAAAGAAAATAACATAACCTATAAGTTCAGCACCCAAGTATAATTACTCTATAACATTCTGGAGAATAGCCTTTTAGACTTTTTTTTTTTTTTTTTTTTTTTTACCCCTAATGTACATGTTATACAGCAGGTCCTCAAATAATGTCATTTCACTAAAACGTTAATAGGGAGTGGAGTTGATTCCCCCACTGGGGCCACTGTCTGTGTGGATTTCCTGTGTTCTCCCCACGTCTATGCGGGTTTTCTCCAGGTACTCCAGCGCCCTCCCACATCCCAAAGATGTGCACAACATGTTAACTAGCATTGTTTAAATGGTTCCAGTCTCAGCCAGTGTGAGTGAGTGTGCCCGTGTGCCCTGCGATAGAATAGATCCTGCCCAGGGCAGATTTCCGCCTTGTAACCTAAGCTACCCAGAACTGCCAAGACAGGTTCTGGCCACCTATGACCCTAAACTGGAATCACTGGGTAAGTAATTTTCTTACTTGTTCTTAACTAATCTCTTTTAAAGTATACATAGCTCAGTTTATTTTAATGTGTAACATTTAAAGTGTTTGGGGTCTTTATTTGGAAGTTTGGTGATGTTTTCGTGACCAGAAATATGCAGTAGGAACTTAACTCTTGTTTGTATCAATTAGTCTCTGGTAAAATTAGATTCATTGGCCAGGTGCAGTAGCTCACACCTATAATCCCAGCACTTTGGGATGCCAAGGCATGCAGATCACTTGAGGTCAGGAGTTCAAGACCAGCCTGGCCAATGTGGTGAAACCCTGTCTCTACAAAAATACAAAAATTAGCTGGGCATGGTGGTGGGTGCCTGTAATCCCAGCTACCTGGAAGGTGAACTGAGATCGCACCATTGCACTCCAGCCTAGGTGACAGTCTCAAAAATAAACAAATAAGATTCATTATATGTCATTTCACTTAAAGACACAGTTTCTAAGAACTTATCGGCAACATTAAGTGAGAACTTACTGTATAATAAATTCTTTCTTTGAGACAGAGTCTCACTCTATCCCCCAGGCTGGAGAGCAGCAGCGTGATCTCGGCTCACTGCAACCTCTGCCTCCCAGGTTCAAGCAATTATCCTGCCTCAGCCTCCTGAGTAGCTGAGATTACAGGCGTGTGCCACCACACCCAACTCATTTTTTGTATTTTTAGTAGAAATGGGGTCTCGCCATGTTGGCCAGGCTGGTCTTGAACTCCTGGCATCAAAGTGATCCACCTGCCTCGGCCTCCCAAAGTGCTGAGATTACAGGCGTGAGCCACCACGCTCAGCCTGTATATAAAATTCTGATAATTTTGCTCACAAACACTTCTTATAGGTTTTAATTACAAATAACGATTAAAGCACAACCTCTCTTCAAGGCATTCAAGAGTAGAATTTAGCTCTAATGTAGGTTCATGTTGAACTTACCAAAAGTAAGAGAGTTCTTTTTGGAACAATGTCTCACCAATCAGGTAGTGAATCCCATGGCCTGGGCTCAGAAAGATGTAGACTTCTCAGTCAAGAGTTCTCACGAGATAAAGATACAATTTTGTGTCTGTACTGGATAGACACAAAAGCAAGGGAGAAGAGCTGCATGCTCCCTTTTGTGTGTGTTTTCCTGTTGGTGAGGATGAACACATATGGAGGTGTTTAAGCCATCTCCCAAACTGGATCTTTTAAAGGGCAAAGGGATTTACTCTCATGTATCTTAAGCAAACTTGATTCTATTTTTTAAAGGTATTGGATACCCAACTTGGCCATAGCAGACAGGAAGGGACACGTCTCTTCTATAGCAAGTCTCATTTTGTTCTCAGGATCAAAAAATCCCTTTGAAATGCACATAAAAGCATTGTCCAATCACTATCAGAAATAACAGCCAAAGCACTCTGACAAAACAAAAATTGATCTGTATATAGCCTCTCAGTGGCCTTTGGGTGAAAAATGCTGAACACTTTCACAGTGAACAGGTCAATGCACCCATTTGTCTGTGAGTGACACTTGTAGCATGATTTCTCTTAGCAGGCTTTTTTTTAGCAAGGTCCTGTGCAGAAGCAAACATCCTAGAAAGCCATATTAAAATAATTACATAGTTGAAAAAGTCTATTGGTATCAATTACTCCAAGAATCTTCCAGATGGAAAACAGTATTTCCATGCTGGGTGGCACAAAATGTGGGCATTCAACAAAAGACTGGTTGAACCTATTAAGGAAATACATATTGGGAGCCTGAGGGATGAGTATCATAGGCTGAACAGCCCTTCCCCTGCTGCAGCTATGATATCCCTGAACTGGACAACAATAGAGGTCAGGTTCTTAGGCACTATCAAAAAATAGACATGTTGTGACACCTGGTGTCTAAAGCAACAGATCTCCTGTTATGCCTCAGAATGGCAACAGCTTCAGAACTTGCCAGAGACCTGAACCTAAAACTACCTGCTATCCATCCCTTTCAAACACCTAAAGACGAGGGGAAGAGAATGGGCATTATTGTTTAATGGGCACAGAGTTTCAGTTTGAAAAGGTTCTGGAGATGGACAGTGCTGACGGCTGCACAACAAGCTGAAAATGCTTAACGCCACCAAATTGTACACTCAAAAATGGCTAAAATGGTAAATTTTATGTTACGTAAAATTTACCACATTAAAATAAAAAGCCTAAAAACCAAGCTGGGATGCATGACAGATTGTCTCAGGGACATGCTAACCATCCATCTGTCCAGATTCTACAAGTTGAATCACCAACAAGCTACAGACCCATCTAGAGAACCCCAATGTTTTCACAGAATCACACCTTCATACTACGCCCTTTCTTTTGGCTGAGGGCAAACATAAGACATGCCCGCGTGAAGGCTAGGGCTACACATTGTATACCACTTTTGGAAATAACAGTTTATTTTGTTCAGTTTATATACTATTCAATCCCTTTAGAAAGATCCACTATCCACTGAAAAATTTTTCCAAGTTTTTAGTCTATGATTTTTTTTTCTCTTGACCAAGAACTACTGTTTTAGATATAAGAATTATGAAAACACAATCCCTACATTTCTATGTCATAGCATTATTTAGAGGATGCTTGGAGCTTCAATTTTAAGTTCAAGCCTTCTTACACCAAGTATACACAACTATAAATAACTTCCTTTGCTGTTGCATTATGTGCTTATGTTTTCATTCTTTTTTATGTTTTCATTCTTATGTTCTTATGTTTTCATTCTTTTTTAGTATCTTATTTTAAGGAACATCAATATCCTTAAAAGGTAGGTAGGTTACATAAGTGAACGAGAGGCCAATTACAGACTATACAATCACTCATACTGGAGATACATAGAGAAAAGGAACATGATCTGGCGAGGTCTTGACTGTCCTATAATGTACTTTGGTTAAAGACTCCAAAAAACAACCATGTAAATTGAAAAAAAAAAAAAAAAAAAAAAAAGGTTTCTTGCAGTGCCAAAAATTATGGCACCTGATTACACATACACCTAGGAAAAACAAACCATAATTACATCCCCATGATTCTAGAAGCACTAGGTAAAATAAGTCATTTAATGCTGCCCCAGTGAGACATACTAAAAGGTCAAACTAATCTTCTCCATCCATTTTTCTCTAAATCACAATGCAAATGAATAAACAAAAAGTTTCAGTACAAAAATTTTGCTATAAATCTCTGCTAGACAGTAATGCCTGGGTACCTATTCTTCACATTTCAGTAACTACCATATAAATCAAATTTTGTGCAAGATTAACAGTGTCTTTATTCAGTAATTAGGTAGAAAAATGAGACTAATAGAAAGACAGGGGTAAAAGCTGCCTGGAACATGTTATGGTCTTAACATTAAAGTTGCTACATCAGAGTTTCCAGTATCCTCTTACAGGATCATCTATGTGGGGAGGTAAGAAAAGAACTTAGGAAGATTTTTTAAAAAGCCTCGAATAACTTCTTATTACAACCTCACTAATATATATACTTCAAGCAAATTAATGAAATTGTTATTGATGATGTTAAAACATATGGGGGTGTTTCACAGACATCTAAAGACAAAATGGTAATAATGTTGATAATTTTATACCTGCTCACTATTTTGGACAAGCTATGTTAAATAATGAAAACTCAATATCCCACTTATTTTTAAGTTCATACTAACCCACAAACTATTGCCCCTAAGCAAATTTTACCTTGTACTTTACCAGTAAGCTTTGAAAGGGGGAAAAAAAAGGAGGGGGAGAGAATGAGCCTCTGAAGTAGAGAAATCAAACCTTCCTATATGTTTTGTGTGGCATCTTCTATATATTACTCGTGATCAACGTTGAGTTTTAATAGCAGTCTGATATTTGTTCAGTAACATATTACTCACCCATTTGAACACGGTTGATTGTGGGTAGTTTTAACTATCATGGATACCTTTCTACTTCCTAAAGATGTTTCACTTCATATCCTCATATTTTAGTGCAAAAGACCCACCTATGACTGCCAAAAAGTTTACGTACTTATTACAGGCTCAACATAAAAGGAGAAAAATTTCACATTTGGCATTAGTCCCCATACTTCCAAAATGCTACATTCAACATCTCATGCCAAGATCTTGTGCTCATCAGCAATTTTTTGGAAATGCTCGGGGTACAAAATAGCTTACCTAACATATGCAGATAAGCTAGAAAACCACAGTCTTGACTATTACACCGCTGCCACCCTTACCTGGTATTTTGAATCTCCAAAGAACTTAAGCTACAACCTCATCAGCAAATGTTACAAGCAAAGTGCTATATCAAAGTCATTTTCTCCTAGAAAGGAAAATAGGCAGGGAAGATGAGGGAGTAGAAAAGATAATTTACCTGCATCAATTTTCTGGAGAGCTCATTAGTGAGGAATTCTTCTTCTTTCTCATAATTTACAGCAAGGGTTTCTTTCTCCTTCTGCAAAGCCTGAATTTTCTTGAATAAAGTGTTACTAATGAATTCTTCTTCCTGCTCAGCCCTGGCTTGCTGTTTAAAAAAAAAAAAGGAAAGAACAAAACAAAACACATGTTAAGGAAACAGGAAATTTACTAATTGAAATATAGTTCTTATTTCCAGAAAGGGTACCCATTTTAAATAGAGCTCTATTTTTAGCTGTGAACCAACACACCCAAGAAATGCAAAACAGAGGAATTCAGCAGAGTCTACAGAAATGAATATCACTATTATGCCAAAGAGCCCCCCTTTACTATGTGTGGTCCTTATTCTTAAAGTGATATTTCAAAGAAATTAGCCAAGATCACATTGCAGTTTTTATGAAACTGTCCCAAATCAATAACCAGAATACAGAAAGATCCTTCTAATGTAGCAGACGGGTCCAGTCCTGTGCTATGGTACATCAATTCATGATAACTCTCACAGGTTGCTACATCTCCATGGTTTACAATTAAATATCTGGGCAACATTTTTTACTGGAGCAGAGCTCAACTCACTTAAAAGTAGAATTATATCACCTCCTTATGATGTCACTTAAAAGGTTTGGATAGGTTTGGATATGCCATTAAAAAGGCATTATGGGCCAGGTGCAGTGACTTACACATGTAATCCTAGCACTCTGGGAGGCAGAGGTGGGTGGATCACTTTGATCTCAAGAGTTGAGACCAGCCTGGGCAGCATGGCAAAACCCTGTCTCTATAAAAAATACAAAAAATTAGTCAGGCATGGTGGCACATGCCTGTGGTTCCAGCTATTCGGGAGGCTAAGGCAAGAGGATCACTTGAACCCGGAAGACAGAGGTTGCAGTGAGCCGAGATCATGCCACTGCACACCAGCCTGGGTGACAGAGTAAGATGTTGTCTCAAAATAATAAATAAAATAAAAAATAAAAGGCATTACAAATGTACATGGACACGTGTTCACTGAATAGCTGAATAATTACTAGAAAAAAAAAATTGCACCAAATGGCTGGAAACTAGTTATTAAGAGGTAGTGGAAATCTAGGGGTGAAGGGTAAAGGTGGGTGAGAGGGGCTTCATTTTTTACTTTATTTCCCTATTGGGAATTTTTTGGAGATGAAGTCAACGAGAGAGATTAGTGAATTGAATTTTAAAAACAGAAGAGAAGGGAGTCTTTTTTGAAGGCATTATTCAATGGAGATGAAAATATTCTTCTGTAGATACCCTCCTCTCTCCCTGAAAAAAATGTTTTAATAGATTAGGCTTATTATTATTCTGTCTAAACGGAAAAGCCTAACCATCTTTGAAGGAAATTAATCTTTTGGGAAAGGGCATCCATGTTTCAAACAAACTCAACTCTATTTAAATAACTTTTTAAACCACAACACTTTGATTTATACCAAATAATGCATTTGTTTTATCTGTCAAATCAAGGGAGGAAGAGCCACATGAATTCCAGGCCTCCAGAACCTGTTATTTATAATATTCCAAGAGAACCAGACAGGCAGAAGACGAAAGGGCACCCACATTAAACAATTACCACCTCTTACTGTAAAAGGCTCCGACAATCAATCCCAACTCTGGCAGTTTCGATTTCTGTATATACTCACCAGCTTCCCCAACATCCACACACTCTAATATCCACGGTTTCTGTGGAGTCCACCCTCCCTGCTCCCCATCACTGTGGCCCTAGAGGAGGTATGCCAGCTTCTGATACTGCTTGCTGAGCAATTCTACAAAGAGAGCCACACATAGTACACAGACTGAAAAACAGAGCTACACAAACACAAACAGTGGAGGCTTTGGGAGAAGGTCCAGTACTCACATTTTTAAAGCCATTCTGGGGTAGTCCAAGAGAGCTAAGCAACAAAGACAAAATCCTTCAGCTAATAAATCTGTATTACCAGCCAAGGCACCCAGTGAGCAGTCCATAGGTTCCCCCAGTGGTTCCCTTACATACCTCCTATTTCATTAACGCTTCTCAATGTCTTACTCTTTCCACTATAGTCAAGGAAAACTGCTGAGAACTCATACTTCTCCTCCCCCTTTAAATCAATCCCCACTTGCCTTCCGAACTCTCAAACTTCAGGATTTCACGCTAGTGCCATGGGCAGGAATCCAAAGTATTTATTTAAGACATATTTGACACATACATATCTAAGCCTGCCATCTATCCAAGCTACTTGTTTTTCTGGTTTTGACCGACAAAGTCCTATATGATTTGAATTCTGACTATTCTAAAAGTTAAAGAACAGAAAGGCTGAGAGGAACTGTAGTGCTCTTGCAGGTGATTCTAGACTTGGCATTCAAAAGGGTGTTTGCCATAAACTCATTTCATTATCAGATCAGACTCAACTTCTTGCACATTAACACACATTTAGTATTTTAGATAACTGGTAAATTTTATTATAAGCAGTAAAAGTGAAGTGGACTCAGAGACTAGGCAGATCACCTTTCCCTTTACACAGGGGCCTAGAAGTGATAAATAGAAAATAAGAAACTAAGAGATTATTCTTGTGAGAAGTTGAAAATCAACCTTAAGAGTTTATTTGTGAAGCCACCCCTCCCCAATTCATCTAGCTACTAAGTCATAGGGACAGGAGATTTCACCGTAACATAAAAAAGAACTTTCGGTAGAAAGTACATTGTGGCTCTAGGCCAGGCGCAGTGGCTCATGCCCGTAATCCCACCACTTTGGGAGGCCAAGGTGGGTGGATCACGAGGTCAGGAGTTCAAGACTAGACTGGCAAAGATGGTGAAACTCCATTTCTACTTAAAATAAAAAAAATTAGCTGAGCATGGTGGTGAGCGCCTGTAATCCCAGCTACTCGGGAGGCTGAGCCAGAGAATTGCTTGAACCCAGGAGGCGGAGATTGCAGTGAGCCAAGATCGTGCCACTGCACTCCAGGCTGTGTGACAGAGTGAGACTCTGTCTCAAAAAAACAAACCCCAAAAAGAAAGTAGATTAGTTGCTGAAGCGGAGGGGATGGGAATGACTGCTCATGGCTACACGGATTCTTTTTGGGGTGATGAAAATGTTCTGGAATTAGGGCTAATACTTTGTACAACCTTCCCAATATACTAAAAACCACAGAACTATATACTTTAAAAGGGTGAATGTTACAGCATGTGAATTGAATTATATCTTGATTTTTAAAAAAGGACTCATAATCAACACACTGTATTCACAGAGGACCAGTTTCCTTTGCATTTCTTCCCAAGGACAGCAGCAAAATGTAAAAATGAAGAGAGCTAGGCCTGCTCTAAATGTGCCTTCCAAAGATGTGTTACAGGTCCTGGGAGGCCGAGGCTTTGGCAAACAAAATTATTCACTGGTTTAGAATAGCTACTTATTTCTAAGCGAAGCTCATTAATAGAAAATGCCACTCTCAGGACCTCTGAATGAACATGAGAAACTGTTCTGGTGCAGCCTGTTAAAATCTGGCTAACTTAACAAAGGGTTAACATGGCCTAACACAGCTTTAATCACAGGGCTCCTTTAGCAAAGATTTTGCCAGTTCTTAGATCTAATTGGGGGGTGTTATTCTGCCTCTTATGGCATCTAAACACCCAGAGAAAACATCAGTACAAGATTTCCAGGTCCTCCAAACGTAAAACCCCAGCTCCCTCTTTTTCCAGTTGGTGCAGATCATCTAAGGAATGAGCATATAAACGAGTACAAAGGGCAAAATGCTATATCCAATACAGCCTTAGGTAAAAAAAAAAAAAAAAATTAAATGGATACAGTGTCCTGACAATATGCATAGAGTTAATTACCAGAGAATGAACCATGCATCATAAAAAAAGTATTAAGTGTCCATTTGACTTCTCCCTGCAGATTTCTCCCCATATTACACGCAGTATCATCTCAGTCTCTGTCTTAGTCCTGTTTATTCCCCCTTAATCCCAAGGCAAGACTTTTTATTTAAGCTGTAAAACAAATTACCTTTCCAAGGTATTTCCCCAAAATCAGCCAGCAAGGAGCCAGGTAGACAGTGGCCTACAAGCAAAGAAGCAAGCCCCAGGTACCATTCACAAGGCATGAAGGTGCACAGAGGGAAGAAAAAACAGGCTACCTCATGAAATCTCATTATCAGGTTTATCAATATATTTCCTTTTTACCTAAAATGCTTGCAAGTCTCAGCATATCTAAACACATCCCAATTCAAAATTAAAAATCCATTTCCAAAGCAAAATAAGTGAAGCAACATTTACCTATAGCTCTGTAAATTCTCAAATGAAAATGTGAACAAAAAAATTAGGAACTCTTTGAAGGAAGAAACATTTTCCTACTGTTTTCCCTTTTGTACGGTAGACTGGGAAAATCTGGAGGAAACAGAAAAATTTATGATATTTTCCTGTTCCATATTCAGGTTCTAGTTGCTATATTTAGAAATTTGGTATAATCATAATCAATTATTTGTGTAATTTAAAACATTGCCCCTCACCGAGCAGTAATCACTGTCTGTTAATGTGAGGACTAGACCACAAAGCGTCTCTTCATCATTCTTTTCCCATCCTACTAAAATCTAATAAAAAGGGAAATTAAAGGGAGAGTAGGATCAGGAGAAATTTACCAAGTCCTGTGGGAAAAATAAACACCAAAAAAATTACAGAAAATATTTTATCCTGAGTCACCACATATTTAGGCAACCACACTCTAAATTAAATTAGCATAATTTTCTGCAGATAAGGAAAACACAGTTTGTTCTGACCCACTGCTACCATGAACTGAGCACAAATTTGATAGGAGATTCTAATGTGATTGTTTATAGTGTTTCTGTTCTTTTATCAATGGCGTTTTGGAGATCAAGGGTTAGTACAGAAAGAATTTTAAAACCCTTCACAATAGCACTCAACCACTGAAGAGAAAATCCAAGTGCCAAAACCAAAATCACGTAGGGTGGTGCAATTCATAATCTATTAAGCATAAGAAAGAGAACGGTTCTCCAAAGCAAGAAATTACAAACATCTATTTGATAGCAGCCCTATGGATATGGTCAGGAGAAAGTTCAAGTGCCTACCAAGATAACACATTTGCACAGATTTTTTTTTTTTAAAGAATTACTTTTAAGTTAGTTGATGACTTGTTTTAATAACAAAGAATCATGAAACTAAGACATCCTGAAGCTTTAAGAGTCCAGGCAGGCTCTATTTATTATTCTCATTATTTAAGTTTACTAGTTTGTTGTCTAGTCACAAATTAATGATCTTAACATCTCAGTTTAAAATAGCATCTGAAACCACATTATTAGGATAGCAGGGACCACCCAACACACAGGCAACTGAATAAAAACTTGTTCTGTTTAAACTGTCCTTTCCTAGGTATACTACTGTACATAATGATTGTTGTGGGAGATGGTCAGAATTTAGCAGAATCCCTCATGACCAATGGCTGGCAATTCTTATAGGATTAGCTTGACTGTTGGTCACAGCAATGGGTTTATCAACACCAACCACTGTCCTGCAGACATCTGTTTAATATTTAAGTGCCGGTGCAGCAGGGGTAGGTAACAGATGACACAGAGGACAAGCCTGCATGTGCCTTTATTTTTTCTATTAGAAGAAGCAAGAAGAGGATTTCAGTCACATGCCTGAGAATTACAATTCTCCATTTAGTCTTTGGAAGCCCTAGACTAGTACACGCTTCCTCCGCATACTGCACACTAGCTCACAATAAAAGCAACTAATAGTTGATAACTGAAGCATTCATATTATTTACTCCATTCCAGTATTGCCAGCAAGTCACTAATATATACAGGGATTGGAGCAGAATCATTATTAGCCCTGGCAAATGCACTAATTCTGCCTCAGATACTAAGCCTAGGTCATTGTTACAGGACTGCAGAGCAAGAGAGAAAATAGCACCAAAGAGTGACTTTCTGGATAAGAATTCTTAAGTTACTAAATTTTACCAACTGTGGTTTCTCTCAAACCAGCTTTCATGAAAGACCAGGTAGTCGTCACTGCCCACCCCCATCTGCAGTGGACAGACACATGTCCTTCTGGGCATGTCCTAATGCACATGACTAGAACACAGCTTTGCATACACACCTCATCATGTCAGTTCAAAAACACTCAACCTGGTCCATACCTGGTTCAAGAAGATGGGTTCACTGGTCACTTACTTGGATACAGAGCAATGAAAAATTGCTAGAAAAGTAGCTAAATGTTTACGCTGGATTTATTAACTTATTTTCTTATGGGCAAGGGACACATAGTTGAAGTACTAGCCTGCAGACCACCCTTTAGAGGAGGTTTATAGACACTGTCAGACTTGACTCACACTGCCTGGTTTACAAGGTCGCTGTGCCTTTGTCCAGCTATATGACCCTAGCAGAGTCATAGAACCTCTTCAGGGTGCTGCTTTCTCCTCTAAAGTGAAAATAAGGGCAACTCCCTCTGGGTTAGTTGTGAAGATAAACTAAATAATTCACATAAAGAGCTTATCCTAGTGCCTTGCATGTGTTAGCACTAAAAAGATACAAAAAGGGTTAGGGAGGGAACATGAACACAAGGATTAATGAGAATACAAGGAAGGTTTCTGGAAAAAAAAATACATGTGTGTGCGTGTGTGTGTGTGTGTGTGTGTGTGTGTGTGTGTGTGTATGAAGGTAAAAGAATCTCATGTTGTGTTCTAAAACAAATCATACAAAAGACACAAACCACTATAAATAAGTTATAGCAGAAACAATCTATTTTGGATCCCATATATATGCACTAACTCCCCTAAATCCTCATCATTCACTAGCCTTCAGATATTCAAATTCTCAGAAACTATAAAATAACTTTATAAAACATTTAGAAAACAAAATATGATGAATGAGCAGCAAGAGACTAACACAAAAGATCAGGCAGGTTTGAAAAGAAAACAGAACTTCTTAAAATAAATGTTTAGATTCATCTTGGGTTTTCCATTTCAATAGCAAATCTGACACCACTGAATAGCAAAGCAAATAACCAAAGACAAACCTAACAATCCAAAATGTGGCACAAAGAAGCAAGATGATGGAAAATGAGAAAGATTATCAAAGCACATAGGAAGGAAAATGAAAAGATTTAATACACATGTAAGTAAAGACTAAGAAGACAAGTACAGAGAAAAAGAGGGAAAGAGTAACTGAAGACGATGGCTGGGAATTTCCCAGAACTAATGAAAGACATAAATCTAGAGATACAGAAACCACCTCTTTGGGAGGCTGAGGCGGGCATATCATTTGAGGCCGGCATATCACTTGAGGCCAAGAGTTCAAGACCAGGTGCCCAATGTGGCGAAAACCCATTACTACTAAAAATACAAAAATTAGCTGGGTGTGGTGGCGCACGCCTATAATCCCAGCTACTCGGAAAGCTGAGGCATAAGAATTGCTTGAACCTGGGAGGCAGAGGTTGCAGTGAGCCAGTTTTGTGCCACTGTACTCCAGTCTAGGCAACAGAGCGAGATTCTGTCTTGAAATAAAGTAAAATAAAATACCTCAAGCCACTCTGGGTGGAACAGTAAACCCTCCAATCCCAGAGTCCAGGCAAAAAGGCACTGCTTCAGCATGACAGGCATAAGCAAAACTGGTCTGTGTGTGATGCAAAGGTAGGAAACCCTCCCATCCCCAGGACTCAGACACAGATCCAATGCCCCCGAGGAAAGGCTGGAAACTCTTCTGCCCATATACACATCAGATTCAAGGCAGTTTGACTACCAGACGAAGAAAGGAAGAGGAATGCTGTGGAGACCCTATCTCCATGACCCAGGTACCAGGGCCTACCTTAAACTGGATCAGAAGAACTGAGAACCATTCCCCTGACTCTACAATGAGCCCAGATATGAGATCTAAACCACCAATGGTAATCTAATGCTGAAGAAGGGGCCAGGGCTAGATTATACTACAGCTCAGGCATTTGAGAACTACTAAAAAAGCTGAGAAAATAAAGCAAGAACACCGAGGAAAGTGGGGCACTCCAGGCACTATTTTAAGTATAAGGTAACAGCAGTTCACAGCTGGAAGAATTAAAAACCTGTGGTAGAATGAAGGAAATAACACAAAGACCCAAACCCAACTCAATTACTGATCAAATTAACTCACAATCCCATATACATGACCTAATAGAAAAAGAGGCGTGCTCATTTCCAGGCATAAAAACTACTGGGCGCGATGGCTTACGTCTGTAATCCCAGCACTTTAGGAGGCCAAGGCGGGTGGATCACTTGAGGTTCAGGAGTTCAAGACGAGACTGGGCAACATGGTGAAGTCCCATGTCTATGAAAAATTTAAAAAGTAAGCTGGGTATGGCTGGGCACGGTGACTCATGTCTGTAATCTCAGCACTTTGGGAGGGCAAGTTGGGTGGATCACTTGAGGTCAGGAGTTTGAGACCAGCCTGGCCAACATGGTGAAACCCCGTCTCTACTAAAAATGCAAAAACTTACCTGGCCGTGGTAGCGAGCACCTGTAATTGCAGGCACAAGAACTGCTTGAACTCGGGAAGTAGAGGTTGTAGTGAGCCAAGATCTCACCATTGCATTCCACCCTGGGTGATGGAGTTAGACTATCTCAAAAAATAATAAAAATAAATTTAAAAAAAATAATAATCCGGGTGCGGTGGTGTGTGCTTGTAGTCCACTTACTCAGCAGGCTGAGATGGAAGGATCACTTAAACCCAGAAAGGTTGAGGCTGCAGAGAGCCTTGATCGTGCCACTGCACTCTAGCCTGGGCAACGGAGTAAGACTTCATCTCAGAAAACAAAATAATTTACCTTGGTCTCTACTGGTCTTCTACACACAATGTCTGGCATTCAATCAAAAATTACCAAAAAAAAAAAAAAAAAAAAATCACAAGAATGTAAAAACAAAATCAAGATACAAGACAACAGAAAAGTCTCAGAGATGACCTAAATGTAGGAATTATCATACAGTGATCTTAAATAACCATGCTTAAGATGTTTAAAGATCTAATGGAAAAGGTAAACAACATACATAAACATATGGGAAATTTCACTGAGATAGAAACCAGAAGAGTTAAATGGAAATGACAGGAATTAAAAAACTAATTAGAGATGAAGAATTCCTTCAATGGGCTCATTAGTAGATTTGGCATGGCTTAAGAACCTTTACTCAGTAAACTGAAAGATAAGTCAACAGAAATTATTTTAACAAATAAATTGAAACAAAGAGTGATGGAGGTGAAGAACAAACAGATTATCCATGGGTTATCAAATGGTCCAACAATTCTTTTCTTCTAATACTCCAGTTACACTGGTAAGACAGAAGACTTGAGAAGATATGGCGAAAGTTTCTTCCAAAATTAATGAAACAGAATGAACCACAGATCCAAGAAGCTCAGAAAGTCCCAGTCAGGATAAATTCAAAAGAACAGAAAACAGACCCATCTCCCCAAATAATTATAACCAAACTAGAGAAAATCGAAGACAAAAGGAAAATCTTCAAGGCAGCCAGAGAAAAAGGACAGTATAAAAATAGTGAAAAGGCAGCCCTGAAACTGAAGGATACTTATAATACATTGTAACAAACAAGTGACTGGTATCCTACATAAAGAACAACTTGATAAAGAAATATAACCTCTGGCCCAGCATGGTGGCTCACCCCTATAAACCCAGCACTGTGTGACCCCGAGGCAGGTGGATCACCTGAGGACAGGAGTTCAAGACCAGCCTGCCCAACATAGTGAAACCGTGTCTCTGCTAAAAACACAAAAAATTAACCAGGCACGGTGGTGAACGCCTGTAGTCTCAGCTACTCAGGAGGTTGAGGCATAAGAATCGCTTGAACCCAGGAGGCAGAGGTTGCAGTGAGCTGAGATCATGCCCCTGCACTCCAGTATGGGTGACAGAGCCAGGTTCTGTCTCAAGAAAAAAAAAAGTATATATATATATATACACACACACACACACACACACACACACACACACACACACATATATATACACATACACACACACACACATATATAAAACCTCTGATGGGAAAATGACACAAGCAGGCATTTTTAAAAATGAAGATTAGAATGATAAATTATTAGAAGTTCATAATCACCCTCAGAAGTAGTTAAAAAGGTTTAAGATCACAGTATCTGACATCCCAGATTGACAAAAATTAACAAGTTTGATAATATCAAGTGTTGACAAGTATCAAGATCAGTGGGAATTCTTATATAACGTATATGGCAGTGTACATTGGTACAAATATTTTGAAAAACTAAATATTTTTGTACTCTACTATGTAGCAATTCTACTACGAGGTATATGCCCTACATAAAACTCTTCCATGTATAGAAGAAAGCAGTTGTAACATATTCATTGTGTTGTTGATCCTTAAATAAAATACTGGAAACACCCCGAATACCTACTCAGAAGAAAAACAGTATATTCACACAGAAAATTAAAAAGCAATGAAATCAAAAGAAATACATTAAATACAATATGAATAAAGCTAAGAAACACAGTATGGTGTGAAAGAAGCTGCAAAAAAAATACATTTTTTAATAAACTAAAAAAACAGAAGAAATGATATATTGCTTAGAGATAACTTATGAGATGAGGAGGTGGGAGGAACAGAATAGGAATGAAATTCACAGGTAGATGCAATGGTATCAGTACCATTCTTGAGTGGTAGGAATCCAGGTGCTCATTTTGTCATGCTTTATAACTTACACGTGTTATATGGTCCACTTTTGTTTGAATAAAATATTACATAATGAAAATGTTAAACAACGTTATAAATATAACTTGGTGGATAAATCATTTTCCCTCTTAGAATTCATAGATGTTACAATACAAAGCTCAAAAATATTATGCTACGTGATAGAAGCTTAATGCCAAAGACCACATATTATATGACCCCACTTATAGAAAATGCCCAGAATGGGCATATTTATAAAGACAGAAAGATTTGTGGTTGTGTAGGGTTGGGGCAGGGAAGGGTGGGTGGTGGGGAGAGGGATAGTGAGTGCTAAAACTAGATTATAGTTCAACTCTGTAAATATAATAAAAACCACTGAACTGTACATTTTACACGTGTAAATTTTATGGTATATAAAATTCTATCTCAATAAAGCTGTTTTTTAAAAAAGCATTCTCTATAACATGCACGCTTTTCATATATCAGAAATATCAATGAAATATAAAAATGTTAAATGACCTTAGAAAGCAAGGAGATACAGACTTAAATATATGACATAATTCAATAAAACATGAAAAAGCCCTAACTTTACATCACTATAACAATTCACTGTAAAAAATGGGGCATATCTAATACTTATCACTTTGATATATCTAGAAAAATAGCTAGCCCATCGTTCAAATATCATCTCTAATATAGTTACAGGCACATTCCAACTTATAAATGCTCTAAAAGTCACAAATGTTCTAATTTATAAGTTGGTTGTTGGGATAACATTTTCTATTGCAACAACATAAACTACAGTTAGTTCCCATGGCCAGCTTTAAAAAACTCATTCATGCCATGATGTAACTGAATTCTGCTATGAAATGTAGTCTGAATCTGGGTCCTAAAAGCAAAGATTCAAAGTAGAAGAAAGTTCCCCCCACCTTTAAGTATGGAACCAGTTTAAGGCATAATTTTCAAAAGCTACCTTGGTAGTTTCTTATTCTTCCTCTCAGAATTCTTTATCACCTACTGCTACACTTATCAGATGCAGAGTCCACTCAAACTGCTAAGTCCCTAACTCCAGTAAAGCATAACAACCAAACAATCCTTTCTCGAAAATAAATCATGCCCGCAAATCAGCAACCTTCTTTTCCTTACAAAACAAAGTTAGCACCTAACAACCCTTTCAGTGGGCAACTGAGAAGAAAGCAGACTGATCCAAATTATTAATATACTAAGATGTGAAAGGCTTTCTTAACCCTGATGATTGTTCTGCGGGGTGTAGGAGGGCAAGATAGGATCCCTGCCAGAGTATTTTCTGCCAGAACAAGCTTACTCAATCAGTTACCTATTGTTATGTAACAAACCATGCCAAAACTTAAGGCTATAAACAACAACAATGTACTGTCATTACTCTATGGGTTAATGGGTGGTTTCTTGGCTGGTTTCACTGGGCTCACTCACATGGCCGCATTCAGGGGGAGGTTCAGCTGAGACCCAAGATCAAAGCCAAGATCAAGGGATAGGAAACAGACTCCCACCTCTTAATGACAGAAACAGTATAGACCTCCTCAGATGTATGCATGATATATAAAAAAGAGATCAGACAAAAAAGGGCTGTGCCTAACAAGTCTCAAACCACACACATTTGTAAGAACAAGAGTCACAAACTACAAGGGAGCAATGAGTATATCGGTGTTCTGTGTTTGTGATTCACATCAACGATTAACTTAATACGCGATCTTCAAGTTGATCAAATTACTACCTCCAAAACGTTTTAGCTCAGAAGCTACTGGGGAAGTTCTTCACTGCCCTTGGAAGATGTGTTGTTAATTATGGAGGCCTCTAACCAGCTATTTACGAGAAACCTATCAATGTCCCACCCTCTACATCTCTACCTATACCTGACACCCGAGGTTTCCAACCCTGGCCCAGGGGCAATGACTAACACCTGAAGACCGGGATATAACATTCCAACAGCTATACATGCTTGGAAAACCTGCGGTGTTTCTCAGTTGCACCTGTGCAGAGAAAAGGAAGTAATCAAGCACCTCCTAACTTCAAAGAATCAACAGGGGGAGCTCTGTGATAAAGTGACCTCTGCAACAGAAAGTAGGGCCAATTACAGACAGAGATGACTGCCAAATCCAAGGCTCCTCCCACCCTTTCCCGGCAAGGTGCATTCCCCAAGACAGAGAAATCTTAAAGGAAATTAAAAACAACAAAACAAAATAAAAATCCAAACAAAGAATAAAACCCACTGGCAGTTGATCTCCATTTGGAGGTTGAATGATTGTAAATTGATTGCAAAAGAATATGATTCTAGCTGGGCACGGTGGCTCACGCCTGTAATCCCAGCACTTTGGGAGGCCGAGGCGGGCAGATCACGAGGTCAAGAGATAGAGACCATCCTGGCCAACATGGTGAAACTCTGTCTCTACTAAAAATACAAAAATTAGCTGGGTGTGGTGGCCCGTGCCTGCAGCCCCAGCTACTTAGGAGGCTAAAGCAGGAGAATCGCTTGAACCCAGGAGATAGAGGTTGCAGTGATCGAGACAGGGTCACTGCACTCCAGCCTGGTGACAGAGAGAGACTCCATCTCCACAAAAAAAAAAAAAAAAAAAAAAGAATACCATTCCAGATTAAATACTGGCCATGCATCATTCACTGTGTACCTACACCAGGAACCCTAAATTTCTAAATAAGTTCCTATGACTTCTGACATGGGCAGGGTGAACCTCAACACTAGCCCCAGAAGTTTATCTTCCATCTGCCTCCTCTCCCCACGCCCCATAATAAGTTCCCAACCAGAACTGCTGCCAAGTAGAAAAATAAGCTACAATCATTCGATTTCTAAAAGTTAACATCTGTGATGGAGAATCTCCTGCATGGGAAGCACCGTGTGGAATGTGACACTGCATACGACAGACACTGTCCCCACCCTGAAGGGGTATATAATCCTCCTAGCAATTAAAGAAAAGCAACATCATTAATCCATACATTTAGCAATTGGCCTTGGAATGATCTTGTCTTGGCTACATAAATAGCCTCAAGAATAAAGAGATTTAAAATGGGATTAAGCTGCACAGAGGAAAAAGCTAAGCATTTTTATCTACTACAGTAACAGAAGAAATACAAGAGACTACTCAAGGCCTAAGGTCTGGCACATAAGCATCCAAACACCTGCTGAATAGGGAGGAGCATAAACATACAGAAATATACCAGCTGTATATATGCATATACTCGTATAACACTGGACAATCATCCTTGATAATGGAGGAGAATGTTTAAGTATTGATTGTATTCCTGGCAACATGGCAGGCTCTTCCATACAGTATCACATCCATACACTGACTCCACACATTTCGGCCTCACGTCGTATATAGGGAAACTAGCTCAGAGAGGTCAAGCAACCTGCCTGAGGATCTCAGCTACAAAGTTATGAGGGCTATGATTCAAGCAAACCCTGGAATGGCTCCAAGGCTCCTAGTCCTTCTATGGTCTAAACTCAACAATCCAGTAACAATACCTTCCTCTGATCCAAAGGCTGCAGCATCATTCTCCAAAAGTCACTAACTTCCCACAAAAGTCAACATTATTTACGCTGCTGTCAGTGCCTGAACATCACAAAGCAGCTCATCTTCAGAATGACAAGCCCTGTAATTTGCTTTCTCAAACTGAGGGTAACTAAATGTTGGGTGACCAAGAGGTACTCTTTCAGACTTGCAAAAAAGCCACTTTCTGCTATCGCTGCCATCACTTCAAGTAGTAGAATACATATTCCCTGATGGCATACACGCCATACATAGTGTTCCTGTGTGTTGACAGCAAGCTTTTGTAGGGTAAATGCACCAGAGAGCAACAACTTAAGCATATCCCCAGAATGACCCATATGGCAGAGGCACCTGAATGTGTGTTCTGAGATAGGGAATTTGGGAGTGGCCAACCTGGAGGTTCACATCTTGTAGACCAAAAATAAAATTCTAAGCCTCCCCCAACCACCTGATGGACCCCTTCTCTCAGCCAAGGGCATTCCAAAGTTAGCCTGAAAAACTGATTCAGGCCATGATGGAAGAGAGGGTCACACATGCCTCATCATACCCTCCCTCCCTTTTTGAATTCAGGAAAAGCCAACCAGCATTAACATCAACATAGACCTTAAGTCTGATAAGAAACATTTATAATCTATTCTCTCTGAAGCCTGCTACTTTGGAGGCTTCATATGTATGATAAAACCGCAGTCTCCACAACTCCTTAACATAACGCAGACATTCCTTTCTATTGATAACTTTTTCAACCAATTGCCAATCATTTGTTTGTTTCTGAGACAAGGTCTCACTCTGTCACCCAGGCTGAAGTGCAGTGGCACTATCATGGCTCACTGCAACCTTGACTTCCCGGGCTTGAGTAATTTTCCCACCTCCGCCTCCGGAGTAGCTGGGACTACAGGTGCATGATACAATGCCCAGTTAGCTTTTGTATTATTATTATCACTATTTTGGTAGAGATGGGGTTTCGCCATGTTGCCCAGGCTGGTCTCGAACTCCCGGGCTCAAGCAATTCTGCTCATCTCAGCCTACCACAGTGCTGGGATTACAGGTGTGAGCCACTGTCCCCGGCCAAGAAAAATTTTAAATCTACCTATGACCTGGAAGCCCCCACTTTGAGTTGTCCTGCCCTTCCAGATCAAAACAATGTAAATCATACATGAATTGATTGATGTATTATGTTTCCCTAAAGTGTACCACAAACAAGCTGTACCACCTTGAGCACATGTCATCAGGACCTCCTGAAGCTTTGTTACAGGCGTGTCCTTAACCTTGGCAAAATAAACTTTCTAAATTGATTGAGACCTGCTTCACAGGCGTGTCCTTAACCTTGGCAAAATAAACTTTCTAAATTGATTGAGACCTGCTTCAGATACTTTTGAGCTCACAATCTGAGCTCATCCCATCCTGTGGAACATGCACTGTACAGAGGATTAAGGCCCTGAGTTTTGGGGTAAATGAAGGTTGCCAGGTAGAAGTTATTAAGGGGAAGGTGCTAAGTGAAAATTCTATACAAACTGCATGCTGTTTGCAAGGGTTGCTGTTTTCCTGCCAAGCCCACCACCACTGGACCGTGTGATTTTCCTGCCCAGCCCACCACCACTGGGCCATGCAGATACGTTGTCCAGCCCGCCGCCACTAGACCGTTCCTGTGATTAAGGTGGTTCTTCTATTCAGCTCACTGCCACTGGACACTCTTCCCTGGATGAAAGCCTCTAATAAAACCCCACATCTCATTTGCTGGCTCCAGGTCTCTTATTTGGCCTTTTGAACCTGGTGCCCTCCCTACTGAGGTTGATAGGGGTTTGGCATGACAACTCTAATTTAACTTTATTCTTCACGCTTTCCTCCCCTTCTCTTTCATGGCTCACTGTGCCTAAGCGTTACAAACAATATGGTTTATGATGAACACCTGCTTTCCTTTGAGATTCTGGAACTTTGGTACATGCTAAGCAGAGCCAGCCCCCAGTAAAAACCCTCGGCTCCAATGAGCTTCCCTGGTAGATGACACTTCACACGTGTGGTTACAATGCCACATTGGGGGAATTAAGCACATCCTGTGTGACTCTACTGGGAGAGGACTCTTGGAAGCTATGCTTGGTTTCCTCTGGACTTTGTCCCATGCACCTCTTTCTTATGCCAATTTTGCTTTGCGGCCTTTTGTTCTAATACATCTTAGCCATGAGTATTACTAGATACTGAGTCCTGAGTCTTTCTAGCAAATCACCAAACCTGAGGGTGGTCCTGGGGACTCCTGACACACCCTATATCTAAAAAGAATGCCTTTAACCTGTCTTTCAAAAGCCAATGGGAGCCATAGGAAAGAGCACACTTCATCCCTACCACGCCCTAATGATCTCAGTGTAGTGCTATAAACTATAGCCCAAAGTCTTCCAGTTAAGTGCAACTTTACTAAGAGGGACATGAGAGCACTTAGCCAGAAAAGCCTCCCTCAGATCTCCAGACTTAACCAACTGCCAACCTGTCGTCACCACCTGGACAGCATATAGGCACCTCCAACATAATCGACCCCAAACACCTCTCTGGATTCCTTCCCCTCTGTCCTAAGCAGTGAGACATGGACTTGCTCAGGCAAAAAAAAAAAAAAAAAAAAAAAAAAAAAACAGAAAAAAGAAAAAAAAAAAACAGAAACAAAAACAAACAAACAAAAAAACCAGCAAGAAGTAAGCCTTGGTTTTCTTTCCCTCACTACCCTTGTGCCTATTTAGCCCATCAGAAAGTCCTGTTTCTAATGGAAATAAATCTTGAATGTCTTTCTGGCCTTCTCATTGCCTTTGCTCCAGCCACTATCATTCCTCATCAGGCTTACAACAGCCGCCTACCTGGCCCTGCTGATCCTTCCACTCTTGTGCTCATACAACCCGTGCTCATTCTGCACACCCACAGTTTTAGAGATGGAAAACTGACCACTTTGTTACCCTGCTCAAACCCTCCAAAGGCTTCCCATCACACTAAGAAATAGTGATTCCTTGCCCTGGATCATCTACCGGCCCTCCCGTGGTCCAGCCTCTGCCTGCCTCTTGCCCCGACACCCACGACACTCCAGCCACTCCAGCATATCTGTTCCCACACATGCCACACTCATGATCCCTGTTGTGGTATCCAGGTACTAGCTAGATTCTCTGCCCCATAGCAGGCTGGCTACCTGTCATCTCAGATCCCCCTGAAGAGGCTGTCTCAGCCATCAAACCTAAAGAGCCCTCACCACCATTCACCACCCCATTACACTACCTTCTTTCCATCGAGGATGTATCTTGCCTACTGCCACAGAGATATCTTTTTACTGTTTGTCACCCCCACCAGAATGTAGGCTTATGAGCACAATCAGGGCCACTGGTGACTTCAGAACCTACAATTGTGCCTGGCATATGGCAAGTACTCCGATACTGGTTAACATATGGGCAACTCATTGAGACGTGGAAAAAGGCTTCTCTTAAACTCAACCTTTTCTCCCCACCCGCCTCTGCTGGTTAACTGAAGTTCAAAGCACTGAGTCAAGTTCTCATGACAGAAAAAATAAGGTACTATCACTGCTCTTGGAGGAGCTCAGAGTCTAGTAGTTCCAGATCCATCACCACTTTTCACACCCCCACATCCACTTGCACAGATGCCACTGATACCAAAACACAGCACTATACTTGGTAGCTCTAACTCTTCCATCCTGTCACCACTGTTGGATCATGAATAGAGCTGCAGTGGATGGTACGTGAGTGACCCCCAGCATTAACTTTCTTCATCCTCTTTTTGAAAAGAGGACTCTCCTACAATCTAGAGGACCACCCAGCTAGATTACATATCCCAGACTCCTGGACAGGTAGGTGGGGCTATGGGGCTAATTTCTGACAAACAGGAGATGGATGGAAGTGGTATGCAACTTTGGAGTCATAGCTTTTAAAAAGAAGCAGTTATCCATGCTGCTTCCCACTTTTCACAGGCTGGAATCGAACTAGAAGTTATAAGGCAGGTCCCACCACAATGGCAAGGCTAACATCCCGCAAGATGGTACAGCTATGAAATAGGAAGACCCCAGTGAACAACCTCATGGAGGAGTCAACCACCAGCCCGGGACTATTAAATGAGAGCACCATGAACTGAGCAGCTGTATTTGGGGGTCTCCCCATCAGCAGTTTAGCCTCTGCCATACACAATTCCTGAAATGAAAACTCATCAGTATGAGAGGAGAGTCAGTCAGATCTATGTTTAGAAATGAAAAGCTCGCCTGAGATACAGTAAATTGGAGAGGCAAAATGCTAAAGACTATGCACATTATGATCCCATGAGTGAAGTTTTATTTAACAAGAATATATAAATAAAATGCTTTCATGTATTATACATGAGGAGAGTTTATATTATATAAACATGTATAAGTATTATGTATATAATTGTAAATATTTTAAAAATTAATAGAACTGTGTCTAAGAAATGTTAACAGTGCCTCTGGAGTTGTTAAAGAGGCTAATCTGTCACACCACATTCGCAGAGCTAAGAACACCGCCTTGTATATACGAAGCACTCAAGTACGTAAAAATAAACATTCACCTTGTGTTTACATGTGTATACACGTACACACAAATCTCGGAGGGACTGCTTTGTAGGCAATGGATTCCCAAAGCTCAACATCAAGATTTCACTGGCATCACCTAATACTCATTAAAAAAAAAAAAAAAAAAAAAAAAAGTTGATGCACTACTGATGCCCAGACCCTTGCCCTGACAAACTGGGTCAGCTCTGAGGGATGGGGCCCCAAGGTTCCATTGAACAGTTTGGTTGGAGAGCCTGGAGCAGATAAAAAGATACAGCGCTAGCTAATCAGGAGACCTTAGCCCTCGTCCTGGTTTTGCTGTTAACTCTTAATTAACCTTGGCAAGCTACTTTCTTTCTTCAGCCTGCCTACATTTCCCCATCTGTAAAATGGGAGATAATATGAAGTCCTTTATGGCACAGCACACATCCTGCCTTGTGAGGGGGCAGGGGATCCACGCTGCTTTGAACAAAAATTCCCACTAAGTATTCCCCAAATTCAGTTGCTAATTGGCAAAAGAAAAAAAAATAGCACTCTGATTAAATATAAGGATACAAGTTCTCCTCCAAAAGTAAAAGGCTCCTCAAACAAGGGACTTAAAGGGAGGAAGAAGGGAAATGGATTACAGGAAACTAGAAAATTCTCAAGTATAAAGAAAATAAGGAGCCAATTATTAAAAGCACTGCTAATGTTATCCATCCCTTGTAACCTCTGTGCTTACACATTTTACAAAATTGGTTCACATTACACGCACACTGTATCCTCACTCCACTTACTAGATTTTAACTATCTCTATGATTAAATGTTCCTCCAATAATTTTTGATGTTGTAAACAACCTATCTCACTGATGTGCCAAAACCATCTCTCTACTGCCTGACATTCCTTCCAGTTGTTTCCAATGCTTCTGCCCTTTGAAGAATCGTTACAATGAACATGCTTGAACAGTCTGAGGCTGTGCTAGCTGGATGTTTCTTCCAGCAGATTCCCCAACCTTGGGTATCAGTATTCAGTTAAGATACGGAGACTTAAGCAAACAGCTGCCTACATTTGCAGCTACAAAGCTGTGTCTGTTTCCTGTGCTGTTGCAGGTAAGAAAATGGTAGCCAATTTACATCCTGTTCCTTGTCTCCTTGCTCGTGCGAAGGTGTCCAGGGGTTGGGCTTCTGAACTGACTTTCTATGGAAGCCAATTCCTCCGAAGAAGTAAAAGACACACTGCTTTAACTATAAGGCTGGCTTTGTGAGTTGGAGGTTATTGATGTATGAACATTTTCTAGTTTTCAGTGAGTAAAGAGGGACGGAAGGTTTAACCTCTAGCAAGGGGTTAACTTTCAGCATCAAGTTTCTATTCTAGTTGGACACAAGGATTTCATGGTCAAACTACATCTCACCACCTTGATACCTGGGGCTGCATCCAGTCAAAGAGGATAACTTTCCAGATGGGGGGGTGGGGGAAGGTAACAACATTAGAAAGTGCATAAGCAGTAACTCTTCCCTGCTAGAACTTCTAAGAAATATTGCTAAGCTGTCATTAGGAATTAAGGTGAAAATCTAGCACAGGTCCTCGATCCTTTAAACACAATTCCAAAACCCAGAAGACTGAAAACCGAAAGCTACATTTGGCAAGCAACCAAACAACTGCGTTCACTTGGTGGCAAGCCTGATCTGAATTGACATGAGGCTCTTTGCAGCTTTATCATCAAACTTAGCATGCCTGTTCACATGTTTTGCTGAGGTGGTTTGATGTGTCTGCTGTTTCAATCCTCTGGCGGTGCTACAGTATACGTGGTAGGTGCTCAGTACCTTTCCATAGCTCCACTCCCTTTTATGGGATGGACTGTGTCCTTGAAAAAGATATGTTCAATTCCTAACCCCACATACTTGTGAATGTGACCTTATTTGGAAATAGGTTCTTTGCAGATGTAATCAAGCTAAGATGAGATCACTGGAGTGGGCCCCAATCCAATACGACTGCTGTCCTTATAAGAAGGGAAAATACAGACAGAAACATACAAGGAGAAGATGACCACATGACTTCAGAGGCAGGAACTGAAGTGCTGCAGCTGCAAGCCAAGGAACGCCTGGAGATACTAGAAACTAGAAGAATCACAGAAGGATCTTCCCCGGCCAGAGGTTTCCAAGGGAGAACAACCCTTACCAACACCTTGATTTTGGACTTCTGGCCCCTCCAGAACTGTGAGAAAATTAATTTCTATTGTTTTATGCCACTCAGTCTGTGAAACATTGTTACAACAGCCTTGGGAAACAAACAGACCCAACTCCCACCACCAAAAAAACCTAAATTCTAAAACATATCTGGCCTCATGGGATAAGAGACTGTGGAGCTATATTTTAATATTTAGTATTTTAATATGCCACTTTATTCTGAATATTTCAAAGTAAATGCAGGTTTTTCAATCTTGGTTTCTGACAATGGTATTTACCTAAATTTGTGATGATTTTGTAATAGACTGCTAATTTTTAAAAAAAAAGAAGGACAGAGAACACATATGTAGCTTTTAAAATTATCAAAACAGAATAGTTAAAACAATCCAAGTACATCTTAAATCTTCTATATGAGAATGAATGTTCCCCATTCCTATGATGTTGAGGCAGTAGCACATTTAGACACAATACAGCTGTCAAAATCCCAAATGCTGCAAAATCAACCATGGTCAGTGAAGATCTATGACATCTAATACTGAAAGAAAACGAAGTGAAAGAATGGTGAAGCATGTCCGAAGCGTAGACATTCATTTCCTTACACATTTACCTAGCAAACACACACACACACACACACACACACGCACACACCCCTACATAGATTCCATATGCCAGAAGGCACAGGGAATATAATAAAACTATAATGAGACAGGACCTTACACTCTAACAGGAATGTAACAAAGGCACAAATTGATCTTCTCCCAGTTCTAAAATGTTTTCTTTGGCACTAAACTTGCCTTTTGTTCTCCTATCCAACCAAGACTAGAGTTTCTGTAATTTTATCATTTTTATCAAACATATTAAAATTATCACATTGAAATCCTCCGTTTACAGAAAGGTGGTTCATGGATTAACCAAAGATATACAGAGATCAATATACAAAGATATTCACAGAAATGCCATCCATACCAATGCAAACAACCAATTCACTAACAATACTCCTATTCTGCCAGTGAAGGCAGAATGCTCCCTCCTGCAAACTTTGCCTCAAGCTGTCTACATTTGAATCCCCAGAACCTATGAAAATGTTACTTACATGCAAAGGGGAATTAAGGGAACAGATAGAATTAAGGTTGCCCATCAACTGACTTTAAAATAAGGAAATTATCTTGGGTTCTCTGAATGGGACCCGTATAATCACAGAGGTCCTTTAAAATGGAAAATGGAGGCAGAGAAGAGATCAGAGTGATGCCTAATGATGACTTGACTTGCCATTGCTGGGTTTGAGGATGAGGAAGGGGCCATGAGATGCAGGTAGCCTCTAGAAGTTGGAGAGGCAAGAAAATGGACTCTCCTCTGGGACTTCCAGAAAAACTGCAGCCCTGTCACACTCTGATTTTAGCCCAGTGAGACCCATATTGGACTTCTAACCTATACAACTATGAGATGATAAATCTATGTTACTTCAGGCCACTACATTTGTAATAATTTGTTACAGCAGCAACAGGAAACCAATATAGGCACTAATAAATGACGGTGTATCCTGACAATGAAATAATATGTTGCCATGATTAAGAACAAGTGAAAATTGTCATGATACGTGTTCAGTTGGGAAAAAACATGGTGGGAACCACAACATGACCCAAATTTTGCTTTAAAGGTTCACACCAACCCTCAGATATGTTAGAAATGACTAGAAGCACATAAACCAGAATAGAGGTGGTTGTGAGGGATGGCACTGATGACCTATTATCTATATAATGAACCTGTTTTCCAAATTTTGTCCAAAAAATAGTTATTTATCATCACTAAAATATATTTAAAGTCTGGTAGAGATCTGCTCATCTAGGGTGGCTGTTACAGGGTACTCAGTGACTGAACCAGGAAAGATTTGGGAGAGGTGAAGTCTTTCTGAACACCAGAGGAAAAAGAAGGTTTGAAGGACACAGAAGTTCAAAGGTTCTTGTCCAGGTGAGCTTCAAGGACAAAGACCTTTTTTATGTTTCTATCTGTGAATGCTGAGTCCTGCATACAGTTGGCACCTCAAGCACTAGCAGTTCATCTTAAAGTTGCTGATCTGTTGAAAACTACATCACAAGTCCAAGTTGTACCTCCTAAGGAACCAAAAACTGTTTAATTCTCTAGTTACAACATGGCAAAGTTTGAGTTAGTGGTCTGCGCCGATGCTATTCTTCCATCAACCCTAATATTTTTAGTGTGTGATTCTGGAGAATGCAAAGGTTTTCAGGAACACATGCATCACATTAAGACAGAGACCTCTGTATGCAATTTGATGTTTAAGACCTACAAAGCAAGTTAACTAGGTAAACTAACGAAGACAAAAGCTCTGCCCAGCCCAAGCCTGCCACATGACATTCTGAATGTGTTTCATGATATTATGCAAAGGAAATTGCTATTTGGACATTAACCTGAGACTATATACTCCTATCAAAATACTAAATTCTGCAATCCCAAAAAAAATAACGGTTGTTAAAAAAATCTTAATAAATTCGCAATGCCAAGCACATGGCCAACAAGCCTACACACATACACGAGTGCATGCACAGATGTCTTTTTTTTTTTTTTTTTTCAGATCGAGTCTCGTTCTATCATCCAGGCTCACTGCAACCTCTGCCTCCCAGGTTCAAGTGATTCTCCTGCCTCAGCTTCCCTAGTAGCTGGTATTAAAGGCATGCACTACCATGCCCGGCTAGTTTTTGTATTTTTAGTAGAGACGGGGTTTCTCCATGTTGGCCAGGCTAGTCTCGAACTCCTGACCTCAGGCGATCCACCCGCCTTGGCCTCCCACAGTGCTGGGATCACAGGTGTGAGCCACCGCACCCAGCCTCACATATCATTTTTTTAAAAATCACTGATGCATTACATGCCCAGCTGCCTCACTAAATAGATTATTTGCCGTCACCATTCTGTCACCGTAAAAGTTTCTAACATTTTTGAAAAGGCTCCCTTACCCAGAAAGGATACCAGGCCCAGGTGTGACTTTTTTTTCCCTTAACTAGGCAAGGTCCACCAAACTTTTAAGATAAAGATAGCTGCCGTGTTATATAAACTACACCTGTTAAGGGGGAAAAAAAAAAAAAAAAAAAAGCTATCCAAAAGTAGCCCTGCTTCCAAACTGTCCTAGCAAAAAACCCAAAGGCCACTTTTACACAGCACATATACAGAACTCTTGAATAAAATATTAGCAGCATGAGCACAGCAATGTATTAAAATTAAAAAAAATTACAAGCTGGCAGAGTTTATCTCAGCAGTAAGTGGATAATTCAACATTAGACAATTGTATTTCATTACATTGAGATTTTTTGAATACAGTCATGTGTTGGTTAATGACAGGTTATGTTATGAGACATGCATTGTTAGGTGATTTCATCATTGTGTGAACATCAAAGTATACTTACATAAACCCAGATGGTATAGCCTACTACACACCTAGGCTATGTGGTATGGCCTATTGCTCCGAGGCCTGTACAGCACGTTATTATACTGAATACTGCAGGCAATTGTAACATAAGATTAGTATTTATGTATCTAAACATAGAAAAGGTACAGTAAAAATATAATATTTTAATCTTAAGGGACGACTGTCTTACACACAGTCCATCGCAGACTTAAATGCCATTACGCAGTGCATAATCATCTCAGCAGATGCAAAACATTTGACAAAATTCTGCTCATTCACGATGGCAAAACAAACATCCTCCATCTAGGCATCTACTAAGAGCTTTCCTCAGATAACGTATTTAATAAAGCACCAGAATCACTCCTGTAAAGTTTGAAACAAGAGTAGGATGTCTGCGATCATCAATATGACTCAACGTAGTACAGAACATCCTAGCTAATGCAGGAAATAGAAAGAAAATAAATGGAGGTGGTTCTTCTGTTAGGGCTAGGTTCCAAGGTTAGGATGTAAATGCGAAATGGCAGAAAGTCAGGTTCTCTTTGATTACGATACAGCTGGGGTAGGGTCAGGGAAAACATTTCTATAAAAAAAATCTGCACCAGTGGAAACCCGCACCAGGTCATGGAAACTGATGTGGCCATCTGAGGGAAGGAGACTGACTCAGGGCCTACAAATGTTTGTGGAGCAAGAGAGACAGTGGAGGAGCCAGCACTGTCTAAATTATCCCTCTCTTCTGTTTAGTAGGCATACACAACAGAATATGTTAAGTTAAATGTGAGTATGACCCCATTCTGTGGTAAGAGATTAAGAGATGCCAGAAAGGAAAAGACACAAAACTGTCACTCCAGACATCCACCTACAATGTGCAAGAAAACCAACCAATAATTGTTCATCAGGGTAACCAGAGCCAAGCAACAACAACAAAAACACAAAACAAAATCACTTCCAAATACAATGAGAAAGTAAAATTTTAAAAATCTTCACAATGGCAAGAGCAAAGCACCAGAGAAAATACTAAAAACCTGTAAATCCTGTAAAAGTGTTTTCAAAAATACTTGAAAGTGTTAAGAGGGTACACAACTAAGTTCGGGTATCTATGGAATTTAGATGCCATTTCAAAGCATTTCAATGGAATAAATGGCCATATACTGTGTTTAGACAAAATTAGACAGTACCTCAGTTCCTTAGTATCTTAAGGAATAAGAAGTTACTAAAGTTCAATCCTATTTTAAGAACACCCATATTATAAACTATAGATTTATGAAAAACAAGAGTTTAGAAATTTTTCTTGAGAAACAAATAAGTATCCAGGAGTTAATTGGATGCTCATAGCCAGACCTCATTATTACAAATATGCACAAGAAGCCCTACACTTGACAGCAAAATGTCTGCATTTCCAGCTCCCCCCTTGTTTATTTCATCTACTTGAATTGGTCTGAGTTTTGATTCCATTTATCCAAGCACTCCTCTTCACCTTCCTTCCCTTTCCTTTCTTGAATACTGTCAGGCTGGATACTGCAAGGGAAAACTCGCCATTTATATCAGCCAGTTTCACAATCTATCCCATGAAACCAAATGAGAAGGAATTCACAGCTGCAGTTTACGGATAAGGCTATGTAGCAAAACAGGGGTGCCAGAAATCAGAAGGTTCAATGCCCTGTTAGACAAGAAAATTAGAAAAGTATGTTCTGGTCAAGTCACATCCCAATCCATGTGAAAAGATTCAGGAGTCTAAGGTGACCCAGAATGTGACACACAAACCCCTACCCCTTCACAACCAATCATAACATTCAGCTTGCCAAAGTATCAAGTCTTCTACTCACACCCTGCCTTAAAAAGAGTCATAATGAGAGATTTCAGTGCCTCCATGGGGCATCCCAATGAAGTTTTTTTGGATGAAGAGCCCCCTTTCAGAAAATTTTTTTTCATAGGCAAGGAATTATTTAACAATTATGACTATTCATTTAGGCCAAGCCATAAGGGAAAGGAAAGGAAAAGATGCAGTTTGTGTGCTTGGAGGGAAGGGATATCTTCTTGGCCACCTCAAATCCATTTGAGAAGCAGGTACCGTATAAATTAGCAGTTATCATCTCACTGAGAGATCCAACAATTATTTCACAAGGGACCATTAAGAAATTTGGGTCACTATTATGATCATCCTCATTCAACAGGTAAGGAGTGAAGGGTCAAGTGTGATTACGCAATTGCCAAAGGTCCACATGACTTGACAAGGATTACCTAAAACCTTCAAAAGCAGTCCACACAAGGCAACCCCAGTCACTTAAGAAACCTGAAAACAAGGATCTAAAGGGTAATGTTCTAAATATACTTCCTGTTCAGAACACTTACTTAGTATCTTAAAGAATAAGAAGTTACTGAAGTTCAATCCCATTTTAAGAACACCCATATTATAAACTATAGATTTATGAAAAATAAGAGTCTAGAAATTTTTCTTGAGAAACAAATAAGTATCCAGGAGTTAATCAGATGCTCACAGCCAGACCTCATTATTACAAACTAATCTGACACAGCTAACTCACATCATTCTACTGTAGGAAGGACACAAGCAATCTCATTAAACATCTACACCAAACAAGGTCACTCTGAGACGATGACAAAGTGAGACAAAACAAGATCACTGTGAAACCCACAAAATACAAACATATCCCATCTCGGCAAAATTGAGTAACCACTACTTCTTTACTAATTACAGCTGTAGCCTGGCTCTAATCTGCCTTCCCTAAAGGTACTGAGATACCCAATCACAGAATCGCTCCCACTTTCTGAAAACACCCAATCTAAAAAGAACCTTTGCTTCCCTGCTTCCATCAACCCTTCCCAATATTACTCAACCAAAGCCCCAAGTTTCCAATAGGTTCTTTCTAACACCCCTTTCTGCTCTTTAATGTGTTTTCCCCTCAATGCAATGAACGATAAACCCAAGCTTGTTCAATATGTGCCTAGAGGTCTTTGAGGGCACAAATGATTCATCATTTTACCAATTTCCCTTTTCTTTCACCATCAGGCTCCCTCATACATTTACATTTTGATAAAACCGAATTTAACTTCATCTGCAAATAAACTTTTCAGGATCCTAGCTATTGCATAGAAGCATGCTACATCTATAAGAGAAAATGTCTCTGGCAGAGGCTCTGAGTGCATCAATATTTTTAATCCATTCTTTAAAAAATACCGAAGACATTTCCTTCTTAATATACAGAGAATCCTCTATACCAAGAACTCTGAAAACCAGGTAGCTTTTTCTTCTAATGCTCAAAGCATGGCAGACCACGATGACACCGAGAGGACCACATTTTCCAATTTTACAAGTTCTGAAAATACCAACTGTACACTCAGGGGACTTTACAGCCCTATAGTAACAAATGGTTTTGCCCTATAGTAACAAATGGTTTTTCTGGACACTCTAGGTTCTAAGACCCAATCTCAGACGGGAAGAGACCAACAATATAGATAAATCCCACAGACATAATGCTGGGAGAAAGACATTAAACACTTAAAAAGTACACACTGTCTAATTCCAGTTAAGCAGAGTTCAAACTCCACATAGTGGCTACCCTTGGAGGGATAATGGCCGGAAGGGGGCACAGTGGAGTCCAGGTATTAGTAATATTCTGTTTCGTGATCTGGGTGCAAGTTACACATGTGCCTTCAATCTGTGAAAATGAATCAAAATGTACACTTACCATATGTGTATAAGTTATACTCCAAAAAAAGTTTTTAAAAGGAAAAGATAAAGTGGTAGCATGTCACAGAGCAGCCTCCACTTAACTGAGGCTCTGAAAGTGGCATATGTCCACTATTTAGGCCAGTTCCTTAACCTCTCTGAGACACATCTTCCATCTGTAAATGAGGATAACTCTTATACTCACAGGCTCCTTTTGAGAGTTATGTGAGTTACTGCTTGTATTTAGCCTGGTGCACAGAGGATGGTGGTTCAAACCACTGATGTCCTGCTATCCAGTCTCTGCCCAGTGCCACCTCTGTGCAACTCAGGAAGGAACGATCAGTTCTGACATGATCAGAGATGACTACCTTTCTATAATCTGGCAGAGCAGAGCGTTGTCTGCCCGACCCCCTGCTGCACTCCCTTTATCTCCTCCTTCCCCAACCAAAGCCCTTCAGCCCCGCCCAGCAGGTCCCAACAGTCTCCTCAGCCATGTGCCTTCTGACTAAATCCACATCTTCCACCATAATAGCCATCTTCAACCAATATCTTGTCTACTGTTTTCACTGTATTATCACAGATGTCACCACTTCCTACCACTCACCACTGTTCCTGGGCCCCTGATACTGACAGTCACCCCAGCCCAGAGAATGAGAGGTCCAGGGCAATCCCCGAGAAGTGGGTGTGAGCCAGAGTGTGATGTGTCCTGTAAGACTTCAGAATGGTTTTAAGATGAACATCCCGGCAGCACATTCATAAGAAAAAAAGAAACTGTTGGGGCTTCACATGGGGGAAATTCCACCTTCTTTATCTTGGTGTCCCAGAAGGGGCATAACGAGGTGAGACAATTATGCCCCTTTCCTCTCTTAGGGATCAGCTGAGGGCCTACTAAAATTTCAGATTCATTTTGGGCTAATTTTTAATACATGAATTCATTCTAAAATTCACTGGGGGGTTCTTGCATAAATGTGTAAGATTTTAAAGGGAGAGGAGGCATGGATGGCCAGAGGAGAAAAAAAGTCCAATATTCAAATGAAGCCAAAAGTTGAAATTACACACATGCTGATCAACAGGTAGTATGCATTTTGAAAACTTCGCTGAACATCCTGGCTGCCTAAGCAGTTTTTGTTGCCCCAAAACTGAGGAGCTCTACTTGGTATTAAGACCAAAGAAAACAATTTTCTTGTGAGAGTCCCCATGAAGGGGACAATGTGTGATAGGGTAGACGTAACCTCAAAAATATCCTCACTCCACGTTCCTGTCCCTGGGAGGGGCACACTGAATACTTACGAATACTTAGGAATGAAGTGCTCTTGTATCCAAAACCTGCTTTCAGATGGTTGGGCAAAAGGGAACAGAAACAGAGAGGGAAGGAGAGGGAGGGAGAAGGAAAGCTGGGGAGAAGGAAAGGAAAGCCGCGGGGAGAAGGAAAGGAAAGCCAGGGGGAGAAGGAAAGGAAAGCCGCGGGGAGAAGGAAAGGAAAGCCGGGGGGAGAAGGAAAGGAAAGCCGGGGGGAGAAGGAAAGGAAAGCCGCGGGGAGAAGGAAAGGAAAGCCGGCGGGATGAAGGAATATGAAATGCCGGGGGGAGAAGGAAAGGTAAAGCCGCGGGGAGTAAGGAAAGGAAAGTCCGGGGTAGTAAGGAAAGGTAAAGCCGGGGGGATGAATGGAAAGGTAATGCTCGGCGGGAGAATGGAAAGGAAAGCCGGGGGGAGAAGGAAAGGAAAGCCGGCGGGAGAAGGAAAGGAAAGCCGCGGGGAGAAGGAAAGGAAAGCCGCGGGGAGAAGGAAAGGAAAGCCAGGGGGAGAAGGAAAGGAAAGCCAGGGGGAGAAGGAAAGGAAAGCCGGCGGGAGAAGGAAAGGAAAGCCAGGGGGAGAAGGAAAGGAAAGCCGGGGGGAGAAGGAAAGGAAAGCCAGGGGGAGAAGGAAAGGAAAGCCGCGGGGAGAAGGAAAGGAAAGCCGCGGGGAGAAGGAAAGGAAAGCCGCGGGGAGAAGGAAAGGAAAGCCGGCGGGAGAAGGAAAGCCAGGGAGAAGTGGTGACATGGAAGTGGTAACCTTAAACATTAGTGAAACTGGCCAGGAGCAGTGGCTCACGCCTGTAATCCCAACAGTTTGGGAGGCCGAGGCAGGCGGATTATGAGGTTAGGAGATCGAGACCATTCTGGGTAACACAGTGAAACCCCGCCTCTAGTAAAAACACAAAAAATTAGCCGGGCGTGGTGGCGCGCACCTGTAATCCCAGCTACTCAGCAGGCTGAGGCAGGAGAATCGCTTGAACCCGGGAGGCGGAGGTTGCAGTGAGCAGAGATCGCGCCACTGCACTCCAGCCTGGGCGACAGAGCAAGACTCTGCCTCAAAAAAAAAAATTAGTAAAATTAGGTGAGGGGTGTAAGGGTGTTTACCGTATTGATCGACTTTAACTGAAAAAAAAAGGTTTAATTCAGTAGGAAAAAGAAAAAAATGATATATTCGTACCCCCGAAACACAGTGAGTCCCAGGGACTTGGAAGGGTCCTATCAACTGGGTCCATTGCCCACTGTGGTCTCTCCAGTCTCTGTTCCATCAATGGACTCTGAGTCTTAGTCTTTGAGTTAAATACCATGTGTCTTTGCAATAAGCAGACAACACTGTCAGTTACGAAAAGGACTAAAGTATAGCAATGAGTGAAATGTGATACTGGAAGCTATGGGACAGGGAACAAGGAAAGGAAATAAACTCTCCCTTTTATGACCTCCAAGTGAAATGATGGTATCAATACCTTGCAAAGGTATTGCAGAATCAAAAACTAAGACGTACTCCGATGTCCCTGATGAGCCAACTGTCACACTTGATACAAGAAGCAATGCTAATACCATTCATGGCAGCCATCATCTCCCTCTCGCACTGTATTTAGAAGTCTAGACTTTTTCTTCTCTTTGCTCTTTTCAATTCTATCAGCTGAACTTATGTCAGCACAGGCTGATGACAGGGAAAAACTTAATGAATCACAAAGTTTTACTGGAAGGTTACTCAAAATTATAAATCCTATCCAACTGGACCATAATATTAAAAGTTTATATTCTTTTTGTTGGTTTCACGTACACAAATTGGAGTCAACTCAACTGATTATTTAATGAGGAAACACACTTTCCTCTAAAACTCCCTAAACTATATTTGAGAACAGAGGGCTAAGATCCCTATCACATATACTGATGGTGATCAGGGTAGAGCCTGCTTTAAGAAACTCTGTATGCAGTATAAACTGGATAAAGTTTAATGTATTGTTGTCAGAGTTCAAAACCCTCAAGTTTGACAGAAAGCCTCAAACTTTGAACAAATTTCCCAACATTTTCTAGCATTTTTACAAAGACCACCACCTTCTTATGTGACTTGAGAGAGTGACCCATACAAACAGGAGACATGTCTTTAATGGGCTCCAAAAACAGTTTTAAACTCCTAACATCAACCAATCTGTAGATTCTTACTAAGAGAAGCATTTGGTACTAAAAGCCATATTATCTCTGTTCTCTCACTTACTTCTAAGCCAATTAAGCAAAAGAGGAGTTTAATGTTAAGAAAGTTGACTAAGTTTCAGGAAAAAAATAAAGGTAAGTAACATGGCAATTTGTTCTAAGTAAAAGCAACCCCTTCAAAACAAACAAAAAAATAAGATGTTCCCTGCTACAGGACCAAAAAAAGAAGGCAAGAATATAAAAAGAAAGGATTTCAGGTCGAGACAGCGACGACAATAAGCAAAAGATGACTTACTGCTGCCCAAGTGAATACAAACAAAATTTCAAAAGCACATACTCTAAAAACTGGCAACTCTACTCCTAGATTATCCTACAGATAATAAAAACCATTGCTAAGACTTGTTAAAAACATTGTTAAAAGAATGTTTCCTTTAACTTGCTTTATAGAAAGAAGGAGACTGAAAACAATCAACAGAGGAAGAGTTAAAGAGAGTGCGCCCAGTTCCCAGAATACTTTACAGCAAGCCCTTGAAAAGAATGGGGCAATTCTATACCCAGTGCTGGGGATAAAACTCATGAGATGTGTAAAGTAGAAAAAAAAAATCAAGATATAGAACAGCATGTACAATGTGCTCCCATCGCTGGGTATCCTTTTAAGAGGACAATATAGGCACACACTTGTATTTGCATAATATGTATCCAGAAAAACACTTAGGGCATAAGGTGGCCCGGTGCAGTGGGTCATGCCTATAATCCCAGCACTTTGGGAGGCCGAGGCGGGCAGATCACTTGAAGTCAGGAATTTGAGACCAGCCTGGCCAACATGGTGAAACCCCATCTCTACTAAAAATACAAAAATTAGCCAGGCATGGTGACACACGCCTGTAGTCCCAGCTGCTTGGGAGGCTGAGGAAGGAGAACTGCTTGAACCCGGGAGACAGAGGTTGCAGTGAGTTGAGATCGTGCCACCGCACTCCAGCCTGGGTGACAGAGCGAGACTCCGTAACAACAACAACAACAGAAAGAAAGGAAAGAAAGGAAGGAAGGAAGGAAGAAAAGAAAAGGAGAAAAGGAAAGAAAGGACAGAGAATACGTGTGAATCAGGGAAAGGAAGAGCGAAATCTAGTTTGGATACATTTGTTATATCTACAATACTTCCATCTTCATTCTTTTTTCAATACCCCAGCCATGTCAGGAGGTTTGCTTAACAAGCAGTAAATTATTTTGCCACATCTAGATTTTAAAACACCAAGGCTGTTGGCAAAAACACATCCTAATGAAAAACTGTAAGAGAATGGATTAAAGTACCATTTTTGCAGGTCAAATTTATTCAACTAAAGAAAGTTCTAGACTGGCATGGTCCCCCGAATTTAAAAACCTACTCCTAATTTAAAAGCACATATGCCAACATTACCCCTTGAATTAAATTCAAGGAATAATTCAAGTCTAATTCAAGAGTGGTCTAATGCAGGTCCAATTCAAGATTCAGGACTGAGAGCCCTATCAGACCTGGCCCCACCTACTTCCAGCTTCAGGCCACATCCCGATCTCACTCTGACCACAACTCGTCTTTCAGTTCCTCAAACCTGCCCTGCAGTTCTGTCGCTTTCAGGATTTTTTGCATAGCCTCTTCCCTGGGCCCAGAACATTTTTTTACCAATTCTCTTCATGGTTAACTCCAAAAAAGATATACAGGGGATTGCAGCCTACATGTCACTTCAGGGAAGCTCCGTTGGCTGCCTTAAACTGGTCTGGTTCCCCCCATCATATCCTCCAAGAAACACATCTTTTGAAGGATTTATCACAGCTTCAATTCTATAACTGTGAAATCAGTTGTCTGATGTCTATTTCCAACCCCGCCCCCCGCCCCCCCAACTAGAATATCAGCTGCCAGAGGCAGGAACTGTCTCAAAACCTCTTAGCACAATGCATAGAACAGCCTTATATACAGAATAACCTCAGAAATATTAGCAGAATGAACAAAGTTTTGTAATATATACGTTATTTGTAATATCTGTGAGATGAACAAAGAAGACCGGCCAATATGAAAGAAGATTACATTTAAGGTCTGCAGCTTTAAATCTATCTTTAAGCAGGGGAAATGGAAAATACTGCAGAGTAAAATAAAACCACCAGATAAACAGAGCCCGAAACGGACCAGGATAGAAAAATAATGCCAATTACACTTGAATCCATTTAAGCAGCAGCTTCTGGAGGAAGAAGGAGGCTACAATAATAGTATCCAAAATAAACAATTCAGTAATTGATCAACTAGTCAGAGGAAATTATCCTAATTCAAGATCTCATATGAAATATAAAGTGTTATACAGACAAGAATGAGGAAAAAAGACACCAGGAGATGTATCTAATGTGCAGTTGTGAGTTCAATTGTTTATGCAATTTAAAAGAATATCTGGCATCGCTACTTCTACACACTCTTCTGAATCTGTCTTAAATGCACTATCATTTAAACAAAAACACAAAAGCAGTCTGTCCTACTTTTTTCCAAAGAAGTAAATATACAGAAAGGTTTTACCATAAAATGTTAGCAATATTTCCTGTAGATTATAAATGACATCAAGAAACCATAAAAATAAAAATTTTCACTGTGGCCAAAAAACACCAAAAGCCAAGTCAAAAGACAATTGACAGGTGGGAAATTTTTTTGCAACTCAAAATTGAAAAACAAGAGCAAGTCATTGTAACATATAGAGTTCTAAGAAAAATGGGTAAGAGAAAGACCAAGGTCCCCAAAGACAAACAAGAAAGGATATCAACTAGGCAGGTACAGAAAAAGAATACAAATGGCTCTTATAAACACAAGAAATGATGCTTATCCACCCCCTTGAGAGAAATGCAAAGACTGTACTAATATGTCACTGTCCATTTACCAGACTACCAAAATCCAGTTTGAGAAAACCCTCTGACAGTGTAGTATGGGGCCACATATCTCTCATATCCTACTAATGGAAGTGTAAATTGTAGAAGCAACATCTATTCGAATTACACATATATAGGGCAATCGACACAACAATGTCACTTCTGTGAATTTACCAAGAAAGGCAGCATCAAAAAGTGAGGGAATTCCCTAGAATCAGCTTGCTTAGCTAGGTGTCAATTCTGGCTCTCCTACTCTCTGCGGTATGACTTTAAGCAAGTCACCCAACCCTCTCTGAGCCTCAGTTTCCTGTCTGTAAACAAGGATAATATGCTACTGGCTACTTCACAAGACTGATGTAATGATTGAGTCAACATAAGGAAATGGTTGAAGAGAGTGGCTAGGAATTATCCCCTCTGATACACTCACCCACATACAAAATGACCTACGTTCAAGGTGACGGTGACATTTTGAGACAAAAGACTGAAAACAAATTAAATGCACAATGGTAAGAGATACCCACACAATGGCTTACCATGCAACTGTTAAAAAAAAAAAAAAAAAGAGAAGTATCCAAAATATAATTAAATGGCAGGGGGAGGGGCAGAACAGAATATAATATCATATACGCCACCTTTTGTGTTAAAGGGAAGGGGACCAAATACCAAGTGATGTCCTTCCTAGTCAAAAAAATTCAATTAAAAATATTTTTTAAATGGGGCATTATTTCAAATCTCAGAAGAAATATCATATGTACTCACAAATGTATAGACTAGTGGTTCCCAATTTTTGTTGCTGGGTCAAATGCGACATTGGAATTTCCTAGAAATTTTGGAATTGAATGCCCTTTGCTTGTAAGTGCTGAACTATCAGACCCTTTTTTTAACCTCCTCCTCTGCCAAGGAGCTAACAGAGGAGAAAGAACCCTAGCCTGGATGTGAGGCCACCTCCCTGGAAATGCCAACTGTCCCATTTACCAGCACTGTTCCCTGGCCAATAATTTAACAGCATTTCACCTGAGCCCCAGATCCTTTATTTTCTAAGGAGGTACACACTACCTACTCCCACAGACTTGCCGTGAGACTCAAATGAAATAATTTAGCTGAAACCACTCCATAGATGCTGCTCAAGCTGCAGATTTCAGAGCTGGAGATTCTGGGCAAAGACTGCTTGTTATTCTACCTGTCCAGAAAACGTGTCTGCACATACTGCTCACAGCTTCCTGTCTGGTGCTCTCCAGCCCTGAGTGGCTTCACACATAGCACCGCACCAGACTTTCTGGAAGCCATAGATGCCAGTCCATCTTCCGAGGGCATGACTCCCCACAGATGCTCAGACATTTCTCAGCTAGAAGCTTCCAGGGAAGGCTGGCTGCACAGGATGCCTCACTTCAGATTTCCTTATAGTAGAACCACATAAGCCAGGTCTGCTTCACACAGGTGAAGTGGTGACCTAAACTTTCTGCTGCTTCGTCATGGGGGCTGGGAAGCCAGTCTGCATACCTACTGAGGGCAGAACCAGCAAAACTGGGATGCTCGGAAGCTGGGGACCAGGAAACAGGGCAGCAGGTAAAAGGTCTCCAAGCCTGCTGTCAACAGCTTTAGGGAGGAAGGTTAGAGCTGGGGCCAGCAGCCTAAGGGCACAGGGCTTAATAGCAGAGGGGAGACAAGGATAATACCTTTGATCACAGAAAAGCCTGTGATGTTTACCTTTCAAACACTAATTTGCCAGGGGAAAAATTGCTAATTTTGTCTGGTATGATAATGGTATGGTGGTTATAAAGTCCTTATCAGAGAGGCAAACTGAACCATTTATGGTGAAAGCATTTTAAGACTATGTGTCAATAATCAGTGAAGCTGGTGGTTTGTGGATTCACTCTACTTTAGTATATGCTTGAAAATTTCCATAATAAAATAAGCTTAAACAAAATCCACTATCATCATAAAAATAAATTTCACAGCAGGGAAATGTGAGAAAAGTATTCTCACAGTCTGATTGCATGCCAGACAAGCAGGGCCACGAGATAAGGCCTCTAAGTCACTAACATGGGCAGCCATTTCTCCTCCCAGGGTATCAACATCCTCATCAGAGCTGGGGCCCTTGAATATCAGGGGACCCACGCACGCTTCACCCATCAAAACTAACTGGCACTGCCCATGAATTCCTTTTTAGGGCTATTGAGGCATCCCAAGATGCTCCCCACTGGCTACATGGTACATGCTCTGTGTCAGAAGCAGCTGGCCTGGAAGATATTCAGGTGCAGAGCTTCCCATCTGGCATTCCCTGCAGGAAAATGTGCATCAGCCATAAATGACAAATGACAACAGGGACACGTGAGAAAGCATTCTATGGGAGGGGCTTCTGAGGCAGGAGGAAGATGGATAGGAAAGACCTCAAACATCAATCCAGCCATTCTGGGCTGCATGGGATGCTACAAGTCAGCCTGCTGTTTCAAGCTGCCATGCCTTCATCCATGCTGATCCTTCTCCCTAGAATGCCCTTTATTCATGTTTTCCTGAGGGAATAAAAACCTTTGAGTCTTCCAACCTTCTGCTGTCCACAAAGTACTCAACAGCTGCCCAGGCCAAACACAGTCAGTTCCATATTCATTCATTTCTTCCTGGGCCAGCCCTGGGTCTGTCTGGCCCAAGATGCCTCACTGCCCTTCTCTCCTGCTCTGCAAGGTACAGGTGACCTCTGCAGGCTCCATCTCCCAGTTTCCAAAGTACGCCAATGAGATTCAGCCAATAAGAGGCACTAGCAAGAGATGGGAGGATGGAAGGGAGAACTCAGAGTATTTCTCCCCTTTCTCCAACTTGGGCAGCACCCACATCTCAAGGCCCAGGGGAGTTCCAACTTCTTGGTGACCGCAGCCCCTGGGCTCTGATGGCACTACCTCCTCCCTTTATCCTCCAGAGGGGTTGTGGGAGCAGCGTTCTGCTCCTGCTTATCCCTGGGTTGTCTCATCACCCACCCCACTTCAGCTTCTCAGCAACTCTACCACTGGGATGACCAATCTCTGAATTACATTCTTCTCTCTCAACTCCACATGGTTTGTTTTCACAACTCTAGAGCCAAACCCCTCACCTGGGGGCCAAATGCAAGCTGCCCTTCTGCAAACCCTAAATTCTAAACACACTTCTCTCAGGAAGCTGAGGCTCGTCAAGAAAGACATGACTGATGTCTCGTCCCACAGAGAAGGCAAGGCATAGATAGGCCCAGTTCTCCCAGTACCACTGCAGGCTGGCGAGGAAAGGAGACATAAAACAAGGGGTTTCGTAACATGTGGCCAAGTAACGGCAGATACCTGAGACATCCAGTCAACGATGGCTTTCAGAGAGGAGGAGACCAGGAAGCTGGTGTGGAAGAACAGGAACTGTGAAAGCAAACTGAGAGCCGCTGAGGAAGAAGTGGAGGCACCATCCTGAGAAGACTCCAAAGAGCCCCGCAAAAGGAGGGGATGCTGCCAAGGAGGGGATGCTGCGTCGGCTTCTTCTCAGACAGCAACCTGATCTCAGGTTTGTGGGGGAAGAAAACAGAAAAGGGAAGAAATGGGCAAGAAGCAAATCTATAATCATTGAATTGAGAAGGAAAAGGAAGAACTGTGCTGAATGCACCCTGAGAGCTTTCCTAAGTCACATCATTTATCCCCAAAACTGGAGAGCTAAGATACTATGATCGCTTTTTAGAGAAGAGGGCAAGATGGCTTAGAGGTTAGCTAAATTGCCCCAGGTTCACACAGCAAGGAAGGGGCAAACAGATTTTTGTTTTTTTTCTTTTTTATTTATTTATTTTTATTTTCTTTTTATTATTATACTTTAAGTTCTAGGGTACATGTGCACAACGTGCAGGTTTGTTGCATATGTATACATGTGCCATGTTGGTGTGCTGCACCCGTTAACTCGTCATTTACATTAGGTATATCTCCTAATGCTATCCCTCCCTCCTCCCCCAACCCCACGACAGGCCCCGGTGTGTGGTGTTCCCTACCCTGTGTCCAAGTGTTCTCTCATTGTTCAATTCCCACCTATGAGTGAGAACATGTGGTGTTTGGTTTTCTGTCCTTGCGATAGGGCAGACAGATTTTTAAACACAGGTCCTCTAGGTTTTAGGACTATCAAATAAAACACAGGAGGCCCAGTTAAATTCGAATTTCAGATCAACAACAAATAATTTTCTAGTATATATAGGTGCCATGCAACATGTGGGACATATGTATACTAAAAAATAATTCATTGTTTATTTCCAATTGAAATACAGTTGTGCATCCTGCATTTTTACTTGCTAACTGGTAATCCTACTTGGTTTCCAAGTGCTTCCGTTATTCCAAGTCAAGCCAAAGCACCCTAGGGTGGGAAAATCAGAAAGCAGTTAATGAATAAAATTGAAAGGAGGGAAAAATTCACACAGCCTAATAGAGAATGCTAATCTGCAACACATAAAATAAAGAAGCATAAAAACAAAAGCAATAGAAGCTATAGAAGACTTTGAGAACTGGGGAAAGAATACACTGTACTTATGGAAAGCAGTAAAGCCTACCGGTTTTCATTTGTGGCCTAACAAGCGAATCCCAGTTCCCTTTACACATCACTGTCAGGCAGCAATCACCCAGAGCTACAAGGCTCTGGGCCAAGTAAGAACCAACCACGGAAGGGATGACTGTCATTAGCACTAATCTTCCTTACCTGAAAAAGAGTTCAACAAGAAGGTGTTCAGACAAGTAGCAGAGAGGGAGGCAGAGAAACCAAAAGGCTCCAATAGTTTTGGCTAGAGGCCCCACAACTCTGATGGATAGACAACAGCAAAAGAGGGAAGGGCAGTCTTGAGCTTACTTTAACTTGTTTATTTACAATGCAAGCAGAGTTCATCAGATAAAATAGCCTCCTTGCCCTCTCTTACCATCCCAAAAGTCAATACAACCAAAATATTAATAGTAGTTTGGAGAAAAGCATGCTCCTCAATCTTCAAATGAAGTCCTCAGGCTAGAAAGCAACCCAGAGGCAACAAAGAAAAGAGGTCACTTGAGGAGTCCTTGGCAGAGAAAACTACTGCCTCCCACAGACCACCCTGGCCCATCACCAGGGGTTGTCCTTCCATCATTCGGCTACTGCAATCCTGCAAAGTCAGTCCATTTCAAAGATTCATGTTTTGGTTTCTGTTCTTTAAACCAGCAGCTAAGGAGAAGTGGCACTAGGGCGTTGCCCATCAAAGTCCACCTTCTAGAACCCATACCCCCATGAAAGAGGGTCAAAAGTCTCTATCAGAGAGGCCAGTTTTGACAGTCTTCTGTCTGCCGATAGTACTAAAGTCAGAAAACGTGTACTTTTTTAAAAAACACAATGGAAAGAGCTCTGTAACTGACCTATAGGGAAAAAAACCAGATCTTTTAGGAAGTGTGTTTACCTCCTGCAGTCCTGTTACTTTTACACAGCCACACAGACTGGTATAATCCTGGCTCACCAAACCCTTGGAAACCCACTCAGTTCCCAGGCATCCCCAAGCACCAGAGAAACATGGGTCGTTAGAAGCCAGGTTGCGAGGCTCCCCAACCTGCGGTGCACAGGGAGCTTGGTGCGGCCTCAACCACCCCCGCTCAGCTTTCAAGAGGTTATTTTTCTATCATAATCTTATAGGATTATCTAGAGCAGGACTGATTTTGAAATGTATTTTGGAGGACAATAGAAGGGGGTGGGGAAGTACTAATAATAGTTAATATCATTTTCTACAGGAATAACTCACACATTACCCCAAAACTTTCCTGTGTGTATCAATCTCATTTGATCTTCATTAACTGTGGGATGGGAGCAAGATTTGTGTTAACTCTACAGTCTCTCATAAGGTAAGTAACCAAGGCTCAAAGGCCCTAAATGCAATACAACTTAGCTAGTAGGGTAGCCAGAACCTAATTAATAAGCACATAAGTCCTGTAGGGCCTGAATGTCCTCTGCTGTGTCACACTCCTTTCACGTCATCCCGCTGCCCAGCACCAATACTGAGGGAAGGGGGTGGGGCCGCCCAGGAAGCTGACTCTAAAACTGAAAATAATTTCACAGATACTTATGCAGACCATTGCACAGCAATAAAAAATAACTCACTATATGCACTGCATGGATACTGTTTAATATTAGTGAAGGAACTAGGATAATCAAAGAATCCAGACACACAAAATACATTCTGTATAATTCCATTTATATGAAGTTCAAACACTAGCAAAACAAATCTATTAAATATATTGAGATAAATCAGAACAGGGTTACTTTTTGCGGGGGGAGGGATACTGACTGGAACAGAGCACATGACAGTTTCAGGGGTGTTGACAATTGCATGTATCCTAAGCAGGGTGGTGGTTACACCAGTGACTTCATTTTTAAATTCACTGAGCAGCCGGGTATGGTGGCTTATGCCTATAATCCCAGCACTTTGGGAAGCTGAGGTGGGAGTATCGCTTGAGCCTGGGAGCTGGAGATCAGCCTGGGCAACCATGTGAAACCATGTCTCTACAAAAAAAATCCAAGAAACAAATAGCTGGGCATGGTGGTGCACGCCTGTGGTCTCAGCAATTCAGGAGGCTGAGGTGGGAAGATCGCTTTGAGCCCAGGAGGCAGAGCCTGCAGTGGGCCAAGATCACCCCACTGCACTCCAGCCCGGGTGAAAGAGTGAGACTTTGTCTCAAACAAACAAATACATACATACATACATACATACATACATACATACATACATACATACATACAATGAGCACTGTTTGATAAATTTGTGCATTCAAAGTCTGTATACTTTAAAGTAAGTTATGGTTCTCCACCGAAGGCTTTACAAAGAAAAGTGAGCAGTTCCCAAAATCTATTCCACAAACTTTATTGAACAGCTGTGTTAAGGTTATGGAAAACACAAATGACCCTTCAAATGGTAGGGTCTTTACATGGCAGTCACCATGCAAGGTACCGTCCAACTGCTGTGTTCAATCCCCTGCTCTGCTGCTTACTGCGATCTTCAAGGGGTTGCTGGGACTCCCTGTGCCTCATGTCTTTCATCTGTGACACTGAGATCACAAAGGGTTGTCCTGAGGAGTCAATGAGTCCCTAACGGTAAAGGGTTGAGAACCATACCCAGAAACACCACAAGACTGCAATATGTGGCAACTGTTATCATGGAATAAGACAGGTCATCCTACTAATGATAAATAACAAGATACCTGCCTTCAAATATTTCATTAAAAAGACACAAATAAATGTCTGCACTGAGTAGCCAGAGTGGATTTCCAAGAGGCAGAAATGCTCTTACTCTTCCCCCGCCCTTCTGTAGTGAGCTCCTGAAGGGAATCCAGGCACACAGCCCAGAGTTGCCCAGCTGGTCACTGCTCTCCTCCCATCCTCATTTTTCTCGGCATTCAGGTTCTGCCTGGGTGTGGGAGGAGTGCCTTGTCCAATCATTACTCAGCCCCTACTTCTTTCAAATTAACTTCAATTTATCCTTTAGATCGTGACTAAGAAATCTCCTCATTCCAGAGCCTGCGCTCTCTAACTCTGCCTCCACTCCTGGATTGAATCAGGGGCCCACCACCAATGCCACCAGCACAAAATCATCCCAGTTGTTATATACAGGCACACTGCCTGGCATACAGCAGACACTCATGTTTGTTGAAAAAAATAAAAAAACCCACTTGTACTGTGCTAGTCAGGCTATTTTTAAGTAGAGATTGTAACATAAATGCAAAGGAAGAAACTGATTCCAGACTGGGATGGGGAGGGGTGGGGGGGAATCCATAAGGCTATGCCATGTGAAGAGGTGGCAATATCCTGGGGTAGCTGAACAGGGTGCAGGAGTGGAGTAGACCAAGGCCCAACTGGAGGGCAACTGAGCCAGGAAGGGGAGCACAGACTGTCCCCCATGCGATGAAGGAACCCTTCTCTAGTGTTATTTCTTTTCCAAGACAGGGAGTTTGCTACCCTGGCAACACTCCCTTAGGCCCAGCATCCTGGGAATTTGCTGTGGCAAAGGAGCAGCCCTGACTATCCTAACTGAACAGAACTGTATAGGAACTTCTAATAGGAAAATGCCCATGAGATGAAGATAAAACTGTCCCTGGGCTGTGCATGGTATCTTATGCCTGTAATCCCAGGACTTTGGGAGGCCAAGGTGAAAGGACGGCTTGAGCCCAGGAGTTCAAGACTAGCCTGGGCAACATAGTAAGACCCTCTATAAAAAATAATAATAATAGTGACCCAGGAGTGGTGGCACACATCTGCAGTCCCAGCTACTCTGGAAGCTGAGGTGGGAGGATCACCTGAGCTTAAGAGGTCGAGGCTGCAGTCAACAATGATGGCACCACTGCACTGCAGCCTGTGTGACAGAGCGAGACCCTGTCTCAAAGAAAACCGACCAAACAAAAAGGCCTGTCCCTAAATTAATTTATATGCCATCTTCCCACAGACTGTAGAAGCTCTGAGGTCAGACCTGGGCTCAAATCCCAGTCCCATCTGATAGTCATGGGACCTCAGGCAAGTGATACAAGCTTTCTGGGCCTAAATTTGTAGGCTTATGGCTATGGATAAACAGTAGTACTGATCGTATAGGACTGTGGTGAGGATTAAATGAGAGGATATACGCAAACCCCTTCCAATAGTGCCTAACCCATAGTAAGCACTGGATAAACATCCACTGTTATCACAGCAACACAAAAAGATTTGGAAGTGGGACAATGGTGGTGAATAAAAATTCTGTAAGCTTTCTTTTTCCTTCAAACCTTTTAAAACTCCGGTTTACCTTGCCTCAAAAGAGGTCTGGCTTTAGTCCTTGACGTTCTGGAGGCAATTTCTAACCCTTTCGAAGGTCATGCCTGATAAGAGTGTCTTTGTTTACCTGAGGGCGTTGGATCACACTGGAAAGCCTAACAGTGTGATTCAGCCTGAGCGCTTTAGGCCATGTGGTATCAGCACAGCCTACTCAGGGCCTGGAAACTGAGATCTGCCCTGTGGATAGGCGACCATGTCTATGTGATGAGCCCCAGTAAAAATTCTGCAGCCCAAGGCTTGGCCAAACTTCGCTGGTTGGCAATACTCCATGTGTATTGTCACACGTTGTTGCCAGGAAAGTAATGTTGTGCACACTCCACGGGGAGAGGATAACTAGAAGCTCCACAATGAAAAACGTTCCTGGACTCTGCCCTATATGCTTTTTCCCTTGACTGATTTTAACCTGCATCCTTTCCCTGTAATAAACTGTACCTGTGAGTATAAAAATAAGTAATTTAAAAAATAAAATTACAGTTTATTCCAAATGCTATCAAGGAAATTAAATGCATACATTTCATTAAAAATAAAAAATAAAAAGCAACCATGATCTGTGAAGTGTTGGGGGTAAGATATGGGGGGATGACCCTTCCCTCCTGGAGGACAAGCTCTTGCCATGGGTTATTCCCTCATCCAGCATCTCCACATCTGGGTGCTTACTGGCACCAAGCCCAGAGCTGGGCGTAGGGCTAGGGCACTGCACATTTGCTGAGTGACAGAAAAGAACCATATATGGGACAGCTAACAGGCAGTACAAACTTAAGTTAAAATAAGACATCAACACTTAAGGTCCAAATTTATAACTTCAAGACCAGGACAGTAAAAAGCAGCTAGCAGCTTTTGTAGACCAGAGTAAGTCTTTCTTTAAAAAAAAAAACAAACAAAAACAAGAACAAAAACAAACAAACAAAAAAAATTAAGTCACTAGGAATAGAGGTTTACCAGGGAGGAAAAAAAAATGGGTGTTATTGTTTAATGGGTACAGAGTTTCCTTTTGGGATGATGAAAAGTTCTGGATATGGATAATGGTGATGGTTGCAAAACACTGTGAATGTACTTAAAGCCACTGAATTGTACACTTACAAATGGTTAAAATGGTGAATTATATGTTGTGTATGTTTTTATCACAAAAAAAAATGCAAAAAAAGTCACTGGTACTCTTCTCTGGGTACCTAAGGTATTTCACAATATAAACCCCATGCATGCAAGGCTCAAAATGGCATAAAACAGTTAATATACTTTCCAAGGGACATAAACCCTTACCAGGTAGTGATTTGAACCTGAAGAAGTCTAACTCTACTTTATGGAGAATACACTTAAAACAGTACTCTTTGGTTAATAAAAACAATAAAATCACCTAGTCAATTTTTTCCTCAAAGATTAGTAGGGCTACTAAATGAAGTGAAGACACGATGTTTTGACTCAACGGATGTCTTTGTTTAGATAAACTCTGGTCTAGTGAAGAACTCCACCCCACAAAAAACATCTCTCAGTAGAATAAAAGTTATCATTTGAGTTGGTATATTAGGATAATTTTTTTTTTTTTTGAGATGGAGTTTCACTCCTGTTGCCCAGGCTGGAGTAAAATGGTGCAATCTCGGCTCACCGCAACCTCCACCTCCCGGGTTCAAGCGATTCTCCTGCCTCAGCCTCCCGAGTAGCTGGGATTACAGGCATGCACCACCATGCCCAGCTAATTTTTTGTATTTTTAGTAGAGAAGGGGTTTCTCCATGTTAGTCAGGCTGGTCTCAAACTCCCGACCTCAGGTGATCCGCCTGCCTCGGCCTCCCCAAAGTGCTGGGATTACAGGCGTGAGCCATCACACCTGGCCTATTAGGATAATTTTTAAAAAGTCAAGCTTGCATACAAGTAATTTCATGAGTTGAAAAGTTATCTATATGAAACTCCAGGTATAATTATTTTTCTCTCAGATCTGTCCCTTTTAGCCTCTCTAATTCAATCTCAACAAGCAGACAGCACAAAAGACTCAAACTGTTCACTTATAGAAGCAACAGGTGAAGTGTTTAACACAGGTAACTAGATTTCTAAGAATTTTCTTTAGGTCACCCATAATCCCTGCTGCTTTCATTCTTTTACTCTCGTCCTTCCTCCTATGGAAAACTTTTTGAATGATGACTTATGCCTGGCTGAACATCCCAACTCTGCTCTGCAGTACCAAGTGGCCTCATTTGATCCTCAGTGCCCTGAGATGCCCTGGTGGGTATTACCCAGATCACTTTGGACACACACCTGGCACCACAAGGCTGGATTGATCTGGAACAGATGCATGGAAGATTAGCCCATCAATCAGCACTGCTTTTGTAAAAAACTAGAATTCAAAATTTCCTATAAAATAGTACCTCTAATTTTACTGCAAGAAGTCTTTGCTTTCAGATAGTTTCGGATTAAAAACTTGAGAAATTCCGTCCATCCACCATTATTCCATGAAAGAAACAGGAATAGAGGGAAAAAAACCACCTAGATAATTTCCATGTACTGACAGATGCAGATTATGAAATTAAAATATCAATGACATTTCTTTTCAATCATCATCACATAAAAACAAAAATTAAAAACAAACCAAAAGCCTCCCAGTGCCACCTCAGCATAAATTGAGCAACAGCTCTCCCCATCTCTGCCTTACATAATAAACTACAAGCTAATTAAACTGTGAATGAATGTGATAACTTGTTACCCTTAAAGATATTCACAGAGATAGATGAACTTCATTTTGGAAGCTGGAAGGTAAAATTCCCCTCCCTGGGAACCCCTACAGGAGTCGGCCTAAGCTTCCCTTCCTGCATCCATGTGTGTGTTGGTTCCTTCTGCACTGCACAATCCCCAAGGCTGGAGAGAAAGGCTGTTTCCCTCTGCTCTGTATTCCCTACAGCACCAGGCCAGGGCCAGGCTGAATGAAAGTCAAGTGCAATCCTCGCTATGCTACCGGGAGAGCCCTAACATTCCTTTTGGATATTTGTATCCAGCACACAGTATTATAAGCACTTGACAGCTGAATCCTGCCTCTTTGAGGCTATATTTATTTTATTTATTACATGCCATTTTGTACCTTACTGAAGAAACAAAGGCGGGGGCAGAGAGGGGAGACCAGAAAAATCTCCCAGCAAAAAACAAATGAGTATTGTAATGAACTATAATCATTAAATTGCACTCCATATGTCTGATCCAGGAACCAATAAGTAAAGGGGAGGGTTAATTCTAAATGACCATCAATCATATTGTTAAGCCTTTTTTAAAAGAATACTTATCCCTAAAGAGAGAACCTACACAAAGTGACCTTTGCAATTTACTGGTATCAGGGTTGGAATAGACTTCACAGCTGTGCATTTCACAGCCATAAAAGATAAGAAAATTTGACAGCCTTGGAGAAGTAGGAAGAATCTGCAAGTTAACACCACCCCAAGATCCTCACAATTAAAAATATTTTCCAGAGGATTAGTTCCTCTGTCAAGAAAATTGCAACCATCACCAAGCAGGAACATATTGAACCTGTGAACATTTACTCTGCCAACTTTGACAATTCAATATACCTGAAAACAACCACAATGTGATTGAAAACAAAAAGCAACACCTACCCACTAAGGAAAAAAAGTATGCAGAGAGGACAGAAAAGATTACCATTATTCCTTACTCAGCCTGACTGCAGTTCAGTAGTTTGGATTAGCATTTTGAAGTGTAAACACAATTATTTCGGCAAGGCATGATTTAAGGAAAACACACACACACAAATACACTGTGGTGACACTTGTGTCTCTGCAAGACACAGCAGACGTAAGAATTCAACAATCCCCCTACCCTGTTTTCAGATGCTTCCCCCATCACTGCTACAGGTCACCAGTATTTATTTGCATTACTGCATCCCCCTGCAATGGGCCAGAGTTGTTTCCCAGTGGTGCATTTCAACATTAAAGAGTCATAGGAAACACCTGGAATGATCTGCCACCATCACCAAAACCAAGGCAGCAAATCTGAACACTTCCAATGGGGCTACTTTTTCCTCCAAGCCCTGCTCAGAAACACTTAGAAAGGAGAACCTGAAAATACTTTGTCCCCTTTCAGATAAAATGTTATCAGGAACACCCAGGTGTATGCTGCAAGGTAGCCCACATCACCCAAAGCTAGAAGGCAAGGGCACACTGATTGCAATGGTCCCCCAAAGTATACAATGCATCCATTCACATATCTGGTCTGTTTCATCAACTATGGTAAAGAAAGTGTTTGCTGTTGTGGCAGGGGAGTGGCTCTATGAAGACAAGGTCCCAGAGAGAGTGTTGGCACCTTCATCACAGAAAGAAACAAGTACATACATACCCGTGCCTCTGGAGCCAGCTCAACAAATTTCTGGGTGTTTCTCACATGCCAAGCACTGAGGAATGTGATGAACAAGGCAAATTCTGCCCCCAAAGAAATTTACACATGAACCGGGAAAGATCTCGATAGTCGAGTGTCAGTGACGTGGGGTGGGGGGGGTGGTGTCTATGGAACCACGGAAGTAGGTGCATACCCCAGTAGCAGGTGCATACCCCGGTGTGTGGCTGACAAAGAGGAAGTATCAGGGCATACCAGGAAGGGGTTCAGGTGGAGAAGGCAGTACAGTCTATTTCAACTGACAAGGTAGAAAAGAGGGGAGGAATACAGAAGAACATTTAAGGGGACGAGCGGCACCATTGAGGAGCCAGAGGAAATCTACTGAAGTTCTGGGTGCTAGTAGTAAAGGAGTGATGTGAGAGCTTAGAGAATGCACACTGGGCTAAACGCATGTAAGAGGTGTGGCTGTGAAGCAAGCAGGGCATTCCAATCATGCAGAGCCTGGTAAACCACCAGAAGGTTCACCTGGATCCAAGGACAATGGGGAGTCATTCAATATGTTTAAGCAAGCAATGGCTACCTTCAATTTTTGCTGTAGACCAGCCTCTCTGGTCCTGAACAAGAGTCACCACAAACCAGATACTGTGAATTCTCTAATGATTCCCCATCTCTAGCAAATAGGAAGCACTGTAAAAGACTGTCATGACCTTTAAAATTTCAGCTTTTGGCTGGGCATGGTAGCTCACACCTGTAATCCTAGCACTTTGGGAGGCAGAGGTGGGTGGATCACTTTAGGCCAGGAGTTCTGAGACCAGCCTGGACAACATGGTAAACACCACCTCCACTAAAAATACAAAACTAGGTGGGCATGGTGGCGCATGCCTGTAGTCCCAGCTAGTAGGGAGGCTGAGGCATGAGAATCACTTGAACCTGGGGGGCAGAGGTTGCAGTGAACTGAGATCGCACCACTGCACTCCAGTCTGGGTAATAAAGCTGTCACACACACACAAAAAAAACAAACGGTTTTTAAAAATTAAGTACAAATAGAGTATATGAAACACATAGAAGATACTTACAAATGTGAAAAAACTCGTAAATGCTGAAGAAATAGGAGAATGGCCTCTTTAAGAAGACTTGTGTACAGTTAGACCTAACTGTGAGGTCATATTTTCCTCAAAGTTGTGTCTAAAGTTGTGTGTTTCCATAAGAATCTAAGAAATACTTTTCTAAACGGGGGGAAAAAAGACATCACACTCTCATCGTCACATTTATAAAGGCAATATCGATTTGTAGCTTCAGAGTCTGACAAAAGTCTTAAAAATTGAAAATAACATATTAGACTTCCAGAGTAAATAATCCAAAATATACAACATCAACTATATGGCAGATTTTATTGGTTAATGAAACCATTACACTGTTGATGTTTAAAATAGCCAGGTTTTCTAATCATGCCAGACCAACATATTTTTCTATTATAACTTCAAAACACCTTGTACTTCTGTATTTCCCTTAACTTCTACAATAAAGGATTAATTTTACAGTCAGAGAGACACTTAAATATCAGTGATTTATTATAGGCCTTGATTTCCAAACCAAACACATACCAAAGGTCTGAAACTGCCTGGAAGAGGTACACACCCTAGAGAACCACCTGAGGCCCTGCTTATACACGGAGAATGCCAGCAACTAGCTGAGAACTTTGAAGCCATCCAATTACTGCCCACAATTGCATTTCCTCACCTTCTCTAAGACCACCACCCCACAATAACCCTCACTACACTGAATCATATAATCCACAATCACATTCTCACTCATAGGACAAACCAACAGATCTGGCCTAACATACAAAAGCTACTCAAAAAGGTGACTATGCATTTGTTTATTTCCCCTACTCCAAAAAAAAGAAATTATGATCTGTAATCAGTAGCCTGATTCCCCTGCTGACTTCATGGGGAAAATTGAATAATCACTCAAAATATTCTATTCCACTTTTAAGCCCCAAATAAAATGGCCTAGGGCAGGCTATAACTCACAGGTGCACTGGGCGCTTGTGGACACGACTGAAAGACTGCTTACTGTTGATTGTCTCCCACAGATGATGTTTACCACTATTATACAGATACTGAGAACACAGGCCCATGAAACTAGTCGTTCATTAAATGGGTAGTTTGACCAGAATAGCCGCTTACATACCAGAAGAGACCATTGGTTAAGAGCTTCTATTAGCCTTTGGACTTGGCTTTAAAAAGGGCATAACAGAGATATTACTATACACCTATTGGAATGGTCAAAATCTAGAACACTGACTACAGCAAATGTTGGTGAGCAACAGTAACTCTTTTTTTTTTTTTTTTTTTTTTTGAGATGAAGTCTGGCTCTGTCACCCAGACTGGAGTGCAGTGGTGCGACATTGGCTCACTGCAACCTCCACCTCCTGGGTTCACGCCATTCTCCTGCCTCAGCCTCCAAAGAGGCTGGGATTACAGGCATGCAACACCATCCCCAGCTAATTTTTCTGTATTTTTTTCAGTAGAGATGGGGTTTCACCATGTTGGCCAGGCTGGTCTCGAACTCTTGACCTGAGGTGATCCGCCTGCCTTGGCCTCCCCAAAGTGCTGGGATTACAGGCATGAGCCACCGCGCCCGGCCCCGCCAAAGCAACTCTTATTCACTGTTGGTGGGAATGAAAAACGATGCAGCCACTTTGGAAGACAGTTTGGCAATTTCTTATAAAACTAAACATACTCTTACCATATAATTCAGCAATCATGCTCTTTGGAATTTACCCAAATGAACTGATATCTTTCCAGACAAAACCCTTCATATGAATATTTCCAGCAGCTTTATTCATAATTGCCAAAAGGTGGAAACAACCAAGATGCCCTACAGGAGGTGAAGAGATAAATTATGATACATCCAAACAATGAAATACTATTTAACTCTGAACAGAAAACAAGATATAGGAGTTGGGGAACATGGAAGAAACTTAAATGCATTTACTAAGTGAAAAGTCTGCATACTGTATGATTCCAACTATATGACATTCTGGAAAAGGCAAAACTAAGGAGAGAGTAAAAAAAATCAGTGGTTGCCAGGAGTTTGCAGGGAGGGAAAGATGAACAGAGCGTGGAAGACTTCCAGGGCAGAAAAACTCTGCGTAATACTATAATGGTGGACACATGTCATTATACATTTGTCTAAACTCATAGAATATACAAGACCAAGTAAACTCTAGACTTTGGGTGATAATGATGTATCAACGTAGGTTCACTGACTATAACAAATGGACCACTATGATGAAAGATGTTGATGGTGGAGGAGGCTGTGCCCGTGTGAAGGCAGGGGTTACGTGGGAAATCTCTGTACTTTATGTTCAGTGTTACGTGAAGATAAAAGTGCTCTAAAAAAATAAAGTCTATTAAAAAACAAAACAAGTCGGGGGAAAAAAAGAGCCCGGCTCTTCCCCAGGGTGTGGCAAAAAGGCAATGTGTCTTCCTGAACTTGCTCAAGGAAAAAGAAGGCCACAATCACCTTTAGTGCCCAAGGACATGAACGTTAATATCATAATTAGAACTAAAAAGAGCCAGGAAGGCAATTACCAGAATTATGGTACCATCTTCCCTTCAAATTAACTAAAATAGTGAAAAATCTAACAAGGCCTTCACTTAATTATCAGAAACTTCCTAGCCTGCCACTAGCAAGGGTAATGCTTAAGTCAGCGATGTCAGGGATTGTACAGCTTAACCTTGACATAAACTACTTAAGTGTTGTTCAATGGACTCTACATTCACAGGCCCATTTCATGGAGTCACATAAATTTCTCCTCCCGCATTACATACCTGAGAGGTCAAACGTACCACCACAGAATCTGGATCCTAGGTCAGTTAACAAAACCTGCAAAATCTTGAAGGAATCTGTTTTCTGCATTTATCATTCAGCTCCTTAGTAACAACTGCCAAGTATTAGGAAACCAGGCGAACCACAAGCACTTTTTTATGTGTCTCCCTGAATATATTAGTCAGAAATTAAAGAAGAACTGAGAGGCTTCTGGTACTTGTGCAGTGTCATCTAAAACAATGTTAACTTTACTCATTAACACCACACGACATTTCACAAAGTATATTCGGTTGGATGTCAGTGTAGTTAAGGGTAAGTGCTAAGAAAGCAAGCCACCACCTTATACGCTCTTCTAGCCAAGTACTCAGAAGGCCTCTGATCTTAAACACCGGGAATGAACACATTTGTTCCTGCAAAGCCAACATGTTTAAGCACAATTTACAAACCTAGTTATAATACGGTCTAAGTGTCAAACAGATAACCCTTTCATAGTCTCTGCATCCCTCATTCCTCCCTCCCAAACAAAACCAGCCTGAATTGCCCACTGCATGCAAAAGGCTATTTTGCTTCATGCAAGTCTTACTACTTTCCATGGCTCACAGTCTCCAAGAGACTAACCCTCTCATTTACTAACTCAAACCTTAAACTGCCTCCAACAACTTCCCTCTCTTCTTAACCCCCACTCAGCAAAGACATCTCTGTCAGCGAAGAAAGCTGCATAGGAGGCTTGGAAGTGGCTGCCTCTGCAAATTCCCCGCCCCCCACCTTCCTACCAAAAGGGCACTTCAAGAACTTTACCATCTCACATGAAAGTTGCTCCAATTCCATTCTCCAAAATTGGATTTGAGCATGAAAAGTTTCTTTTTACAATCAACTGCTATTTAGGCTACTGATCACACTTAACTTGCAACTTGCTTTCTACACAAATTAAGAATGCCATCTAGTTCTCATGTATGAGCCAGCACTGGGGGTGTACACACGCGTGCGCACACATATACACAGCCTCCTCCACCGAAGGCATTTCCTGGCACAAGGGGCATCCTAAACTTGCTCCATTTCCAAGGTGTGACCCTCTATCCCCAAATTCATCCCTTTTTCTTCATTTCAAAGTTCAGCCTAATCCGCTATTTTGCAGCAGCTATGGCCATTTATCCCCCTTGATTTCTTGACATCATCTTCTCTGCTTCTGGCTGGGGAACTTTTGATTTGAATACAGTTGTCTGTGTGGGGATCCTTCATGTTAATGATGTGGTGAGCTGGCAGGGATGATAGGTGAGAGTACACAGTGTACTTTTTCTAGTTACGTTTCGCCTCATCACTGCTATAGGGGCCTTTCTAAACGCCTGCCACACCAGGAGAGAGACCTACAGACCCAAGCTTACCCGTTTCTGGGCAGCCTCCAGGGGACAGGTAGAAACAGAACAGATGGCCTGTTCTCCAGTATCTAGACTCAGAAGCAAGATACTTCTAACCACTCCACGAATGAAGCAAACACACGTACCTCTGGCTCAGCCAGGGAGTCACAGTCACTACCCTTCCCCTGGTTTCGGCCCCAGCCCTGTCCAGGCGTGGATGCTGCACTCTCCTCGCTGTAAACCGTCCACCCTCCCAACCCAAAGCAAAGAGCTTCCAACAGAGGTGGGAGCATTAGCGCCGTACCCGCCCTTCCCTCTCGATCCCGGCCAGAAAACTCCACTTCCCGGATTCCCGGCCACTCTCTCCCGCCCCCTCCCCGGGCGATCCAGCTAGCGCAGTCCAGATGCCAGCTTAGTGCCCAGTCCAGCTGCGAACCCCCACACTCCGAGCCAGGACCCAGTAAGAGATCCCAGCTTCCTCCCTCTTCCAGGACTGGGGTTCCCCAGATTCTGGACGCACCCCTCAAACATGCTAGGGCTGAAAAAAGTCCTACCCCGCCCCCCAGCCACGCCGCCAGCCTCCAGCCCAGCCCCGGAGGGGCCTCCTCTCCAGAGGCTAAAAGGGACCATGAATGGTTGCCACAGTAGCCTTCCCCCGCACCGCGCAAGGGTCCTCAGACCCCCGAGGAGGACAGACCCGCGTGGCCCCGAAGGGATACCTCCCTCTCCTCCCGGAAGCCAGCAGGTCCCCGCAGGGAGTGTGCTCTCAGAGGGTCCCCGGGAATCTGGGGAAGACTTGGGGGGTGGCTGGATTCGGGTGCAGCCCCTCCCGGGGCGGGCGGAGGTCGGCGCTGCGGCGCGTCCCCGGGGGGCACTCACGATGGTCACGCTGGCTTTGCGCAGGTCGCGGTTCTCCTCCTGCAGTGCCTTGCACTTCAGTTTGTAGGTCTCCAGCTCTATCTTCAGCACCTTGTTCTCTTGCTGCAGCGAGGCCAGGCGGTTGGTGAGCTCCTCCAGGCGGAACGGCGAGATGACAATGCCCCCCGACTTCCCACCGCCGCCGCCTCCCCCGCCGCCACCGCCGCCGCCCGAGGTCGACGAGCAGGACGACTGCATGGCGGCCGAGCTGCTGCTGTTGCCCCCCGCCCCGTCCGTGTCGCTCTCGCTGGCGCTGTCCGCCATGGCCGCGGCGGGCTGGGGAAAGGAGGAGGAGCAGCAGGGAGGCGGCGGCGACGAAGGCCGGGCTGCGAATGAGTGGGCGCCGGGCGAGCACAGGGGAGCGCCGAGCTGAGCGCCTGGCACCAGGGCGCAGACTCGGAGCGGCGGCGAGAGAAAGAGAGGGCGCTTCCCGCTGCCAAGGGACCTCCTCTGCCAGAGAACAGAGACCCCGCCCGGGCTTGGGCAGTATTGCACTGGGGCTCGCTCCAGCCGGGCTGGGCGCGCTCCCTAGGCCGCCCAGCAAAGCTGGCTGAAAGCTCCGGGACCCGCCCGCCGCCGTCTGGTGACCACGGGCGGGCTGGGAACGCGCAGGCACTGCGGGTGCGGGAAAGCCAAGGACTGCCCCCGCACCACCAGCTCGCCAGCCACACGTGTTCCAAGGGAGGGCCTCCGAGCCCCCTGATCTAAGCCCACGGCCGCCCAGCCTCTTCCGGGCTCGCGCCCGCCCCGAGAAAAAGGAAACCTGATGCCCCACCAGCCTCGCAGGTGCCGGGGACACGTGGAAAGGTCAGCCGGGCTCCGGCACCCATCCTCTACCGTGTTGTGGCCCCATCTTCCGCCGACTGTGTGTGCGCGTGTCTCCCTCTATCTGTTTCACACATACACGCAGTTTTATATTCTCAAAAGCAAGGTGTTTTTGACTAGGAAGGCTTGGATAAACCTAAGAGAACAAAGTTCCTCTACAAGAGGCCGAGGAGGATGAAACAACAGCAGCCACAGGTTAACCTTGTTAAGTAAGAATTTGCAGGAGAGACACACATCTCCTTTAATAACCTCATAAACCACACTGCGCTCAATTGTTTAAACAAGGTGCAACTGTTTTTTTCTTTTTCTCTTTGCATTTTGCAAACATTTCCAGCACATGTCTCGTAGTAGGATTAAGACAGTAACATTTACCTAATGAAGAAAAAAAAAAAGGAAGGCGAAACACTTTTAGTAGAAGATTGAAACACCTCTTTAAGTGCCAATTTTCCAAAGTAACTGCGGACATAACATTATGCTATACAAATAGTAATGATTGAGTGGGAGTGCAACATCACCCGTCTTTGCTATCCTCTTGCTCACTCCTAGAAAACTTTAGCATGTAAAAATAAAACAGTAATTACTGTAATGCGGTCTAATTCATGGTTCTAGCTTTGCAGTTTAAGAAATTAAAAATCAAAAACTTTTATTCCCCCTTCCTCTTCCCAAAGAAAGGCTTGCAGGAAATTGGCCCAGCAGGTGAGATGATTCTAAACACTTTGCCCTGTTGACACAAAACAGCTTTCACTTATGTATAAAAATTGGAAAGTGAAACTGACCAGACTAGTTTTATTACCCACGCTTAGTTAACATTACAACAAACACATGGTAATAGAAAATAGAAAAAAAAGTGTAATTTTTTTTTCTGTTGGGTTGAACTTTCTGAAAGATTTCTAAAGTGTTAGGAAGAAAGAAGAATGATTCTTATTCCCACTCCCTCATTATCTTTAAACCTAAATTTGATCTCATGATTAAACGGTGATTCAATGGCTCTTGGAAACTGGCACCTCAGAATAAACTCGAAAACACCAAGTGTTCCAAATGACATCATCTTTCACCAAGATGGCTGCTTTTAGCAAACAGCTTAAATGCCAACAGCAACTAAACCCCAGTTTCTCCCAGGTATTTTTTAGCTTAGTGCTGGAGGGCTTCTGAACTCTGTCACTGTTTGTATAGCAGGAGGGAGGAAATGCTTGGCTTTGCTCTTGAGAAACATATAGGCAATCTAAATCATTCTGTTACAAGTGATCCAGTTTAATTTGCACTGAAACTTAGTTCTCTCACTTTTTTGGGATCTAGTACATGAGACAATGAGTTAAATTGGAAACGGATTCTGGAAAGCTCACTTGAGGGTTGAAATGGAAGAGTAAAGCTAGCAGGGAGAAGCACCACAGGGGGAAACAGATTTAACAACATTCTTTCCCCTTTATTCAGCACTGTGATCGAATCTTAAGAGTAGGTCTGGCTGCCATACCTCACAAGTTTCTATTGCTCCCTATTCCATATTATCTTAAAGCTTCCACTTTTAGAGCTTATTGCAACAGGAACATTCCTTCCAGGCAGAGCAGGGGGCAAATTAACTCTCTCTTAGCGTCACCACAAAACTAACCGCCTTGGAAAGGCGGACTCACACTGCTTCAAGTCAGCAGAGGGGTGGAGTTTGAAGCGCCTGGTTTTCTTAAAGGGCCCAAGTCATGGTTAAGCTTAAGAATGTAGTGGCCTTCAGTGGAATTTGGAGGAAATTTGCATTTTGACATGGGACTTGTAGGTAGTAATCGTGGTTAGAAGACTTTAGGGAGAAAGCCATCTTCTAAAGCTTCCCTGCTGATACAGATGGGAATAAACTGGAGAATATTTTTTCACCGCGGTTTTTATTGTTATTGCAAAGCAGAAGCGTGTCTAATTTTCTACTTCTTGTAAAAGTGATTTCCCTTATAAACAGATCATTTATCACAACACTGGTTCCGTAATAGCATTACAATGGAAACACCAGTTACAAAACCAATAATATCATTATAAAATTCCTTCTCAGCTTTCTAGGGGAAATGAATCACAAGAACAAATGGTAGTATGTGCTGCCTGGAGGAAGAAGGGACAGATTTAGGTAATCACCTCCTTTGGAGAAATAATGAAATTTAGCTTTGCCCTCAATTTAAGCTGCAAAAACACATGAACAAAGGAAAAGAATACCTTGTAGTCTAACTGCAAGGCGCAACATCAAGATTTTTATTTGTCTAGTGCCATTTTTGCAAATCACTTACTCTATGGCCTTGGAACTTTAGTGTTTACAACAATAAAATAAAATAATAATGGCATAAATCATAGAGCAATTTTGTTAATTTTTAATATATATAAACAAATTGCTGTACATATCCAGTTACATTAATGTCAGATCTGAGTAATTTTATTCAAATTCTAAATGGATTTAGTTGTTGCAGGACCCACCATTACAGTTTTGAAAAAAATTAGGGTGAGCCAAGTATGAGCGGGATGTCACAGTGTCAGAAGTTGGATAGAAATATAGAAGAATGTGTCCATGTAGCCCTATCATTTCTCCTCCTTCTTTTTTTTTTTTAAGAGGCTAGGTCTCTCTATGTTGACCAGTCTCGTCTTGAATTCCTGGCTTTGAACTCCTGGCCTCAAGTGATCCTCCTGCCTTGGATTCCCAAAGTGTTGGGATGACCGGCGAGAGCCACTGTGCCCAGCCTAGGGCTATCATTTCTTGAAAAGTAGTTGATAGTTTCTTTATCTAATTACACCTTTAATTTAGAAGCTTTGTCTAGGTCTAGCAAGGCATTTCTGAACACTGACATTTGAGACTGGGTAATTTTTTGTTGTAGGGAGCTGTCCTGTGCATTGTAGGATGTTTAGCAGCCTCCCTAGCCTTTACCTAGTAGATTCCAGTAGTATGCCAGCCAAAAAATGTCTTCAGACATTGCCAAATATCCCCTGGGCAGCAAAATTACCTCCAGTTTGGAACCACTGAACTAGTAAAACAAAAGACAGCCCCATTTTGGAGTGGTTACACACTGATTAGATACCACTGAGTCACCAACAGAATTTCCTTCTCATTTTATCTTCTCAGTGTCAATTAGACAAGAGATCCTGGGCCCAAACAACCATATCCACACTTTATACTATTGCTGTCTTTAGCCACTCTATTTCTTTTTTTTTTTTTTCTTTTTTCTTTTTGAAGACCAAATTTCGCTCTATCACCCAGGCTGGAGTGCAATGGCACAATCTCTGCTCACTGCAACCTCCACCTCCTGGGTTCAAGCGATTCTCCTGCCTCAGCCTCCCGAGTAGCTGGGACTACAGGCACCAGCCACCACACCCAGCTAGTTTTTTGTATTTTCAGTAGAGACCAGGTTTCACCATGTTGGCCAGGCTTGTCTGAAACTCCTGACCTCAGGTGATCCACCCACCTCAGCCTCCCAAAGTAGGGGGATTACAGGCATGAGCCACCATGCCCGGCCCAGCCACTCTATTTCTACAACATGTTTTTTCAATATTTTACACTTTTTAACATTAAACTAGCCTTGCACATGCAACATCTCAACTTGTCAAGAGATCATGACTACAAGATTAATTACATATCTCATCCCTATGCTCCTGTTTTTATTCACTCATTATTGCTTCACAGGAACCAAAGCCATTAATACAGATGACAGTCTAAAGAAATAAGTCATCAGCTAAAGTAAATCATTTGAGAAGTAAGAATATCAGGCTGGGGGCAGTGGCTCATGCCTGTAATCCCAGCAATTTGGGAGGCTGAAGCAGGCGGATCACCTGAGGTCAGGAGTTTGAGACCAGCCTGACCAACATGGTGAAACCCCATCTCTACTAAAAATACAAAATTAGCTGGGCATGGTGGCACATGCCTGTAATCCCAGCTACTCGGGAGGCTGAGGCAGGACAATTGCTTGAACCCAGGAGGTGGAGGTTGCAGTGAGCCGAGAACACGTCACTGCACTCCAGCCTGGGCAACAAATGTGAAATTCAGTCTCGAAAAAAAAAAAAACAAAACACATATGATTTATGTGTCTGGAGCTTTGGCAGCCAGTAACATCTAAAACTTTGCCTGACACAGAACATCTAGAATTGCTGACCAGGAAATGCTGCTTTAATCCTATTCAATACACAGCAGAACTCAAAGAAAGTAAAGAGAAATCCCAGGCTCCAGTAGCAAAGAGGAAAATGAAACAACCCAAATGTCTGACTATAATACAAATCCTGTTGCGTTTGTGCAGTGGAATAATAACAGTAATGAGAATGAACAAACTGTGGCTACATGAAACAACATCAGTGAGCCTTACAAACATAATTATAAGCAAAGGAAGCCAGACACAAAAGAGTATATGCTGTATGATTGCATTTACATGCAGTTCAAAAATAGGCAAAATTCATCTATGGTGTCAGATGTCTGAATAATGATTCTTGTTGGAAGAAGGGAGTGATTGGAAGAATCCTAACAGCTTTCTAGTAATGTTCTTTTTCTTTATGTGAGTGCTTGTCACATAGGAATGTTCACTCATGAAGAGGTGTTGAGCTATATACTTATGATTGGTGTACCTTTCTGTATATACATTATACATCATTAAAATGTATGTATGAAAAAAGGGGAAGAGATAACCAAAAACCAAAGATGTAAACCTGGTAGCTTAAACTTGGGCAACAGGGACGGGTGCGGTGGCTCACATCTGTAATCTCAGCACTTTGGGAGGCCGAGGCGGGTGGATCGCCTGAGGTCAGGAGTTCGAGACCAACCTGACCAATATGGTGAAACCCCATCTCTACTAAAAATACAAAAATTAGCTGGGCATGGTGTCACGCGCCTGTAGTCTTAGTTACTCGGGAGGCTGAGGCAGAATTGCTTGAAACCAGGAGACGAAAGCTGCAGTGAGCCAAGATCGCACCACTGCACTCCAGCCTGGACGACAGAGCGACACTCCATCTCAAAAACTTGGGCAACAGCATTGTGGGTCTTATTAAACAAGGAGTTTTAGTTTAATATCCATCAAGAGCAGAACTTGAGGCCTTGGGGACATACAAGACAAGAAGATTTAACTAAGACATACACGGAATGCTGGAACCATCAAAAAGCTAAAAGCTACACCCACACCAAAAGGCTGAACTAAAGGGAAAAATCTCCATACCAACAATCAGGTAGAAAACAAGGAAGCTTGTTTGCCTTAAACAGAATTCAGAGTTTTGTTTCTTTTTTAAAAAACGTCTCTTTAGAAAAGTTATAACCCAGACCTAAGCCTGATGAAGTTAGAGGGTTCACATATGTACTTGATACTACCTACGTGGTCCAGAATTCTCCAAGATGGCATCTTATTTTGAAGGTTGACCTGAAATGGAAACTCTGAGTGACAGAAATGTTCAGTATCTTTTTTTTTTTTTTTTTTTTTGAGACGGAGTCTTGCTCTTTCGCCAGGCTGGAGTGCAGTGGTGCAATCTCGGCTCATTGCAACCTCCGCCTCCTGGGTTCAAGCGATTCTCCTGCCTCGGCCTCCCGAGTGTCTGGGACTACAGGTGCGCGCCACCACACCCAGCTAATTTTTGTATTTTTAGTAGAGACAGGGTTTCACCATGTTTGCCAGGATGGTCTTGATCTCTTGACCTCATGATCTGCCCACCTTGGTCTCCCAAAGTGCTGGGATTACAAGTGTGAGCCACCGCACCTGGCCACAAATGTTCAATATCTTGACTGTGGGGATGGTTACACAAATGTATGTATTTGTCAAATCTCCTCATACATAAAGAGTGAATTGCATTCTATGTAAAATATTCCTGAAAAAATAAACAGACTTTAAAAATAGTTGGTGCCGGAATAGTACTATATCTGCTGCACCTAGCAGAGGCAAACACAAATCCACCATGGAAGGACATAGTCTCAAAATGAAATGGGATTACAGTGGAAAAGTGTAAAACACACAGAAATAATCCATTTTTGAACAAAAATTAGCAAATAGTCAATAGTAGAATGATGTCCCACAACTTCAATCAATACAAGTGTTGGATAGACCTGGATTGGGAAAATTAAGTATGTTTAAAATAAGTGGAGCTATAAAAGAAAGAGTGGAAAATATAGAAAAGAAAAACACAGTCAAAATTAAAAACAAAACAGTCAGATTACAAACAAACCAAATAGAACACCTAGAAGTTAAAAATATAGTATATTAAAACCCACTTTGAAGCTATTTGAAAAAGCTAGCTTTATTTTGTTTCCTGCAGCAAAAAAGAAAACACACTGGAGGAATTGTGGGAGGGGGATTTGCACTTGAACTGGCTATTTGTAAGCAGGAGTTAAAAAAGCAAGGGTCAGCCAGGCACAGTGGCTCATGCCTGTAATCCCAGCACTTTGGGAGACTGAGGCAGGCAGATCATGAGGTCAGGAGTTTGAGACCAGCCTGACAAACATGGTGAAACCCCATCTCTACTACAAATACAAAAATTAGCCAGGCATGGTGGTGGCGCCTGTAATCACAGCTACTCAGGAGGCTGAGGCAGGAGAACTGCTTGAACCTGGGAGGCAGAGGTTGCAGTGAGCTGAGTTCATGCCATTGCACTCTAGCCTGGGTGACAAGAGCAAAACTCCATCTCAAAAAAAAAAAAGAAAAAGCAGGGGTCAGTTCTGGATCAGATATTGTCAAGAAATGGAAGAAATTTGGTGATTTAATAATTGATAAGTATCAGGAGTATTAAAGGAGGGCTAGAGTTATCACTGGCAAAAAAGCAGTAGTCACTTATATTAGTCAAGAGTAAGAAACTTAGTCATTTTTGTAGTTGCAAAGTGTCTTTTCTGTTCTGCTTTAACCATTGACATGAAGTATCCTTATATAGACATTTTCTATTCTGTTAGCATTGTTTTATTTGAGTTAGGAATATCATGATCTAGCTAGCAGCTGCTAGTTAGGAAGTTTTTAATTTTATCAAATGATTAAAATCTTAACCCCTTGAGGGGTAAATTAATCAGCAAATTAAACACAACTGAAGAAAGAGTTAGCAAAATAGAAGTTAGGTCTGAAGAAATTAGAATGTAGCAAAAAGACTTACAGAGATGGAAAATATAAGAGCAGATGAGAGATTCAGAGGATAGAGCAATGAGGTCCAACATACATATAATAGATATTCAGGAAGAACATAACATAGAGAAAGAAAGGAGCTGCAATATTTAAAGTGATGACATCTGAGAACTTTCCAGAATTGATAGAAGATATAAATGTTCATATTCAGGAGATACAATGAGAATGCAATAGAACAAATACAAATAAAACTGCATTGACAGTATTTAAGCATACACTGGTAAAATCTGTACACCAAACCCCCACAACACACAATTTACCTATTTAGTAAACCTGCACATGTACCCCCTGAAACCAAAATAACAGTTAAAAAAAATTGCTGGCCAGGCAAGGTGGCTCACACCTGTAATCCCAGCATTCTGGTAGGCCAAGGTGGGTGGATCACTTGAGGTCAGGAGTTCCAGACCAGCCTGACCAACATGGTGAAACATCGTCTCTACTAAAAATTCAAAAATTAGCTGGGCATGGTGGCGGGTGCCTGTAATCTCAGCTACTCAGGAGGCTGAGGCAGGCGAATCACTTCAACTCAGGAGGTGGAGATTACAGTGAGCCAAGATTGAGCCACTCTACTCTAGCCTCAGTGACAGAGAGAGACCCCATCTCAAAAAACAACAAAAAAAGTAAGTTTATAGAAATTACTACAAATTTATCAGGAAAGACAAACTGTAATTGAACCTACCTATTAAAACACAGAGATGATCAAATTGGAAAAAAAATATTCAGCCATGTGTTTTACAAGACTTAGAAGACACTAAAACCAAAACCTTGGAAAATTTGAAAGTAAAAGAATGAGAAATATATATTATGTAAACACCTACCAAAAAAACCTGGAGAAGCCCTATTAAAATAAGTTCCTTAAAGAAATAAAAAAACCCACTGTGATATAAGAAAGGGTAGACATCTAATAATTCAAAAAATAACCAGGGAAAATATAACAGTTCTAAGTTTTTATACACCTGGTAATATAGCCTCAAATATATAATATATATAAATATATAAAATTAACAGTATCATAGGAATAAGTTGACAAATCCACAATTACTGTAGGTGATCATAGCAGTTTTCTGTTGAAAAATTAAGCCAAAGAAAAATTTATAAGCATGTGGATGATTTGAACACTATTAACAAGCTTGATCTAATATACATATATAGAATTGCACTCAACACTTATAGAAAAAGCATTTTATTCAGGCACACAATATACAAAAACTGACAACAAACTTAGGCCACAAAGGAGGTCCCAGCAAAGTATACCTCATATGTATTAGGCATGTACCCTGTGCCAAACTAAATGCTTTAGTGCTTTGTATATATAATATGAAACAATATAACATTATATATAAAATCTAATCCTCACAACAACCCTACCTGGGTGGGCACTATTGTTATCCCCATTTTAAAGATGAGAAAACTCAAGCTAGAAGAAATCGCCGAAGTTTATCAACCAATAAATTGGAAGATGGGGTTTGAACTAGCACAATCTATAGATGTGCACTTTTTAGAAAAAAATTTTAAAGATACACACAAGCACATAGTCTCAACACCCTGAATTAATAAGTTCAGCTGTTTGGTTGTATTTCCTAGAATCTTTTCCTTTTTTCTAAAAGATATAGCACACTTATAGTCAAGTCCCCTTTGACAACCACTCACAGTTTGACTCCCAACTCCTCTTCTCCATGGGTATATATCCTTCAAGTTTACATTTTATATATTTTTAATAACCATTGCCACCATTAAAACCATACAATATTGCTTTGATGAGTATGCACATGTAAATGTGCATATATGTATGGTATCAATTTTAATAGTTACATGGAGAAGATAGGGTGGGCATTTTGAGTAGGAAAAAACAGCTTATGATATAAACCAAAAACAGTGAGAAATTTAGTGAGGCTGGAACGTAAGCTGTATGAAAGCAAGTGTCTAGAGACATAAATTGTGACCAGATAATAAAGCATTTTTTTTAAATACCGCACAGTAACAAGACTGGATTTTATCTTGTAGGAATAAGAACAGTTATTTTTTCTTTCTAAGCAAGAAAGTGGTATATTCAGATACTTTTAAGTAAAATAAAGACATCATAATGTCTTATCTCAAATAATGTTCCTATACAACCATAACACAATTATCCATAATACAATTAATAGTAATTTCCTTAATATAATAAAATATCCTATTGGTATCAAAATTTCCCCAATTATCTCCAGCATGTCTCCTGAAACTGGTTTATTCAAATCACATTCTAATCAAATACAACATTGCATTGCAATTGGTTCATCTCTTCAATCTCTTTTGTTTTAATAAAGCCCTCCTATCACTCTTTTCATGTCATTAAAATGCTGAAGACACTTACAGAACATCTCCCTTCTAGATTTTCCCCAACTTTTCCTTTTGATATTGTTTTAACTTTTTCCTCTGCCCTTTGTATTTCCTACAAAACAGAATTTAGGTCTAAAGCTTGTTTTGATTCAGGTTAAACATTTTTAGCAAGAATACTTCATAGGTGATGGTGTGTTCTCCACATTGTAATACATCAGAAGGTATATGATATCTGTTTATTGACTAAAAATGGATGCTAAGATTAATCACTGAGTTAAACATTGCAAGTCTCACCATTGCACTGTGGTAGTTTACGTTTTTCTCCCAGCAACTAATTTTTGGGGTGATGACTTGGCATTGGATACATTGTCATCCTGTCTCTCCTTATCACTTGACCAATGGCTTTAACATACATTGGTGATCCTAGTTTCAATCAGTAACTTCTTTCTTTCTTTCTTTCTTTTTTTCTTCCTTTCTTTCTTTCTTTTTTTTTTTTTTTTTTTTTTTGAGATGGAGTTTTGCTCTCGTTGCCCAAGCTGAAGTGCAATAGCGCGATCTCGGCTCACGGCAACCTCCGCCTCCCAGGTTCAAGCAATTCTCTTGCCTCAGTCTCCCAAGTAGTCAGGATTACAGGCATGCACCACCACACCCAGCTAATGTTGTATTTTTAGTAGAAACAGGGTTTCTCCGTGTTGGTCAGGCTGGTCTTGAACTCCTGACCTCAGGTGATCCACCTGCCTTGGCCTCCCAAAGTGTTGGGATTACAGGCGTGAGCCACCATGCCCGGCCTCAATCAGTAATTTCTTTAGGGGTTATAAAATGGTAATTTTCTAGTTTCGTTATTTCTTCTAGATGTATTTGCTGTCATTCCTTTGTAAAGTAGAGCCTTTTCTTATTAGCTGAGATTATTTAGTTGCCCTGATATATAAATCTTACTAAATACATACTTAGTTATAAATACTTAATTTATAGGACATATACTCTTAACAACCAGGCTATTTTGCCTCTGCAAAGAACCAGTATGAAGCTTTCTGATCATAATGCAATTGAATGAGAAATCATTAATAAAAATACCTGAAATAATATTTATATTTAGATTTAAAAATAGGTTCTAAATAAATTGTGGGTCAGAAGCAAATTGAACATGAAAATTGACCGATATTTATAAAAATAATAATCTTAAAGTAACAAAGTAACAAAATACCAGACAATGAGATTCAGAAAAAAAAAAGAGAAAATAACTATAAGGAATTTTACACCAAGAAATTAAAAAATGTAGACACAATGTACAACTTTTTAAGAAAAAATAATTTACCAAGAACAAGTAAAACACTTGAATATAACCATTGAATTAATTTAATCAGAAGTTTAAAATGTTCCTCCACTAAAAACACTGTCCACTGAGGTCAGAAAGATTTATGACAGAGTGCTACTGAACAATCAAAGAACAAATAATACTTGCCTTATGCAAACTGTTCCAGAGAATAGAAAACAAGGCAATAACCCACAACTATTTTATGAAAATAATATAAATCTAATACTAAAAACTGACAAGAGCAGTGTGAAAAAAAATTAAAGGCTATTAAACTGCTAACTGTTCACCAGAATTGTTCTCTCTTTTTGGGGGCATGCAACAAAACAATATTTCTTAATCTTCTTTATAGTCAGATGTGGGCATGTGACAATGTTCTCTATTGTGGAATAAAGTGGAAGTGATGTATCCCACTGACAAATATAGAGCATAAAAAACTCCAGCCACAGTCCTCCATGCTCTTCTCCTTTACGACTGACTGTAATGGTGACCCCCAAGGCCACCATAGAAGACACAAATTCAAGATGGCAGAGCCCCAGCCTGTGTCCCTGAGAAACTACATGCAGCAGATAAGATATTTACATTTCATATAACTGACAAAGGATTAGGATCCAGAGTATATAAACAACTCTTATAAGTGAGTAAAAAACAAAACAAAACAAAACAACCCATTGAGAAGACAAAGGATATTGATCAGATAATTCAGTAAAAGTAAACAAACAAACAAACAAACAAAAACCAGATGGCCAATAAAGAAATGCCAAAGTGCTCAATCTCACTAGTAACCACTGAACTCTAATGCAATACTACAGCCCTTGCTAAATTTTGTTTAGCAACAAAATTTATATCTAACAATAGCAAGTGTTGGTGAGACTAGGAAGCAACAAGAATTCTTTTCTTTTTTTTTTTTGAGACGGAGTCTAGCTCTGTCACCCAGGCTGGAGTGCAGTGGTGCAATCTCGGCTCAGTGCAACCTCTGCCTCCCGGGTTCAAGCAATTCCTTGCCTCAGCCTCCTGAGTAGCTGGGATTACTGGCGCATGCTACCACTCCCAGCTAATTTTTGTATTTTTGGTAGAGATGAAGTTTCACCATCTTGGCCAGGCTGGTCTTGAACTCCTGACCTCATGATCCACCCACCTTAGCCTCCCAAAGTGCTGGGATTACAGGCATGAGCCACCATGCCTGGCCAAAAACTCTTTTCTTTCATTCATTGATAATAGAGGTATAAATTGGAGAACAATTTAGTAAAATCTAATAAAGTTAAAAATAAATTATTTCTTATAATCCAGCAAGTCCATTCTTTGGTATACATTCTAGAAAACAATCACACATGTGCACAAGAAACATTAACAAGAATCTTTGCAGAATTTTATCTTTGCATACAGAGAAAAGCATAAAAACAAACAAACACCAGCAAGAGAATGGCTAAATGCAGATATACTATATAGCAAGAAAACCAAATTCTCTAAAGCAATATGTATGAACCTGGATAATTCTCAAAAACATTATGTTAAAGGTAACACAGGACAAGTAGCAGAAGCATAGTACAGAGGATATGCCTTACACAAAGTTCAAAAGCAGGCAAACCAATCATTGTGAGTACTTATATATGTAATCAGTATGTAAAGGCATACATAATGATAAACACCAAATTCAGGATAGTGGTTGCCTTTAGAAAGGGAAAAAAGTTGTATGGCCATATCACCCTGAATGTGTGATCTTGTTTGAGAGCAGAAGGTAATCAGGATTGGAAATGGTTAGTACTTGTATTGCAGGAATGAAGAAAGATGAAAACAGGGAACTTCGACTGAGTCTGTAATGTTTTATTTATTTATTATTTTTCTTTTTTTTTGAGGTGGAATCTCGCTGTGTTGCCCAGGTTGGAGTGCAATGGCGAGATCTCAGCTCACTGCAACCTCTGTCTCCCGGGTTCAAGCGATTCTCCTGCCTCAGCCTCCTGAGTAGCTGGAATTACAGGCATGCGCCACCATGCCTGGCTAATTTTGTGTATTTTTAGTAGAGATGGGGTTTCACCATGTTGGCCAGGCTGGTCTCAAACCCCTGACTTCATGATCTGCTTGCCTCAGCCTCCCAAAGTGCTGGGATTACAGGCGTGAGCCACCGTGCCTGGCCAATGTTTTATTTCTTTAAAAAATAAGTGTATGAAGGACCTGATATAAATATAACAAAATGTTAAGATTTGACAAGGCTAGATCGTGTATTTTAAGGTGTTCAATAATTTTTTTGCATGTTTAAAATGCAGTTGATCCCATTATTTATGGATGCCACATTCATTAATTTGCTTACCTGCTAAGATTTATTTGTAATTCCCAAGTCAATACCCATTGCACTTTTGCAACATTTGCAGATATGAACGTGGTGAAAAAATTACCACCCAATATGTACATTCTTACCTGAATCAGAATGAGATGACACTCTGCCTTCTTACTTTAGCTCTCATGCTGTGAAAAATGTCCTTTTCACAGTTTGTTTAGCACTACATTGCTATAGTTTGGATGTTTGTTCTGATGCAGGGCAGGTGAGTCCCCAGATTGGAGCTTATCCTGGGAGGGTTCCTGGCTTCACCCAGGAAAGAATTGATTGGTGTTAGACAGCAACTTATATTGGAGCAGCAGTGCACAGCAGCAGCAGAAATACTGCTACTTGCAGAGCAGGGCTACCCCATAAACAGTGTGCCCAGAGTAGCAGCTCAGAGGCAGTTCTGCAGCCATGTTTATGCCCACTTTTAATTATATGCAAATTAAGGGGAGGATTTTGCAGAAATTTCTAGAAAATGTGTGGTAACATCTGGGTTGGTTTGTTGCCATGGAAAAGGGTGGTAATTTCCAAGTGTTGCCATTGCAATGTAAGCTGACATGGTACTGGTGAGTATGCCTTGTGGAGGGTGCTTTCACCTCCTCCCTGTTTCAGCCAGTCTTCAGTCAGGTCTGCAGCCTGAGCCCTGCCTCTGGAGTCAAGTCCTGCCTCCTACCTCAGTTCCCTCAAACCTCATGTTGAAATTTGATCTCCAATATTGGAGGTGGGGCATAATGGGAGGAGTTTGGGCCATGGGGATAGATTCCTTATGAATGGCTTGGTTCCATCCATGAGAGTTGATAGTTAATGAGCCTGGCACCTCTCTCCCTTCTCTCTTTGCTTCCTCTCTCACAATGTGATCTCTGCACATGTTGGTCCCTTGTCACCTTCTGCCATAAGGAGAAGCAGCCTGTGGCTCGCACCAGAAGCAGATGCTAGTGCCTTGCTTCTTGTACAACCTGCAGAACCATGAGCCAAATAAACTTCTTTTCTTTATAAATTACTCAGCCTCAGGTATTCCTTTGTAACCACACTAAATGGACTAAAACATATGCATTTCACAATTTTGTGCTTTTTTTGGTAATTTCACTCTTTAAATAGCTCCCAAGCATAGTGCTGAAGTGATAGCTAGTGATTCTAAGTACAAAATGGCTGTGATATGCCTTAGGGAGAAAATATGATTGTTAGGTAAGTTACATTTAGGCATGAATTACAGTTTTCTTGGCCGTGAGTTCAATGTTAATGAATCAACAACATGTTAAGTAGGTGTGTTTAGATAGAAACACACATAAAACAAGCTTATGGATTGATTGGTTGATGAAAATAATGTGACCAGAAGCTTATTGGAGCCTAACCCTATATTTCCTCTAGGAGCAATGACTCAGTATTTACTAATTCTGTGTTTGCAGCAACAGTATAGAACATAACTACCATGAATAACAAGGATCAACTGCATTTAATTTAAAATAAGATAACATATGCTTCCAAGGAAGGGGCAGCCTTTCAAATTTTTTTCTCCCTGAAAAATTTGAAAATATATAAGAAAGAATACAAAACATATTCTAGGAAGATGCAGAGTAGGAAGCCCCAGGAATCTCTCTCTGCATATTGACAAAAATTGCACTAGCAGAATCTGTCTGATATAACTACTGTGGAACTCTGTAGTCTATTGAAAGTTTGCAACTACCAGAGGAAGGCTTAGATGGTAAATTGTAGCTAATTTTAGTCAATTTTAGCTTTTAGCACAGTAGCAGCCACTCATGCCCACACCCAGGCAAGTGTGCATGTGTTCCTGCAGCAGCTTGCTCTCAGCTTGTAGGAGCCAGGATGAACAAAAAGCATTCTGTTTTCCACATATTGAGGATTTGTGTTCTGATTGATGATTGCTGCTCTTGATCACTGTGGTACAGACAAGAAGCAGGCAGCCATCGTTTTTGCACTTCTCTCATTGTTTCAGGACTCTTTTCCTCCAGTGGAAGTGACCTCCAAAGAACTTAAAGGCCAGTGGCCTTTTCTTTCCCCCCTCATTTTCATTCTTTGTTTTTCCCCCTTTTGAGAGCCAGGCATTAAAGATTAGAACACTTATAAGACAACCATAAAATCTGGGAAAATTAGAAAGTGACCATGGATACCAAGGAGAAGATGCGGGCCCAGAAAAGACCTAAGAAGATCTTAAATTTATACCTCAGGCCTATCCTTGGCAAAGAGACACCCTCCAACAATCAAAAAACCCCCAAAACAATCTAAAAAAACACAATAACAAAAAGCAGCAAACCCTGGGAAGGAGAAAAATCTGATTTCCAGAATTACAACATTATTAGATTCAAATGTCCAGTTTTCAACAAAAAAAATCACAAGGCAAAACTAAAAAAAACCAAAAAACATAAAACAAAAATCACAAGGCACACAGATAAATTAAAAATGCATTGCTTGATATAGAAAAAAATAAACAGAAACTGTTCCTGGAAAGATCTGATGGAGGATCTACTAGACAAATATTTAAAAACAACTGCCTTAAAGATGCTCAGTGAACTAAAGAAGATGCAAAGAAAGCCAAGAAAACAATGTATGAAGAAATGAAAATATCAATTAAGAGATAGAAAGCCTAACAAGAAACCAAAAAGAAATACTGGAGCTAAAATGTTTAATAACTGAAATTAAAAACTCACTACAGGGACCCAAAGGCAGATTTGAGTAGGCAGAATAAATAATCAGGAATCTTGAAAATATGACAATGAAAATTATAGAGTCTGAGAAACAGAAAGAAATAAAATTAAAGGAAGAGAGCTGAAGGGACTTGTGGGACATCATCAAACAAACCAACATAACTAACATGAGAATCTCATAAGGAGAAGAGATAGAAAGAGGGGCAGAGAGAATATGCAAAAATAATAATGGCTGAAAACTTCCCAAATTTGATGAAACATATGCATATAAACATCCAAGAACCTCAATAAACCCCAAGTAGGATGAACTGAAAGAGACCCACAATAAGACACCTTATAATTAAACTTTTGAAAGAAAAAGTGAGAAAGTGGCGAGAGAGAAACAACATGTCACATACAAGGGATCCTTAATAACATTATCAGCATATTTCTCATCAGAATCTTCAGAGGTCGGTAGGCAGTGGGCCAACATATTCAAAGTACTAAATGGAAATAACTGCCAACCAGTAATTCTATATCTGACAAAACTGTCTTTCAAAAGTGAGGGAGAAAATAAGACATTCGCAGATGAGGGAGTTTGTGACCATGAGACCTTCTCTGCAAGAAGTGCTTAAGGGAGTTCTGCAGGATAAAATAAAAGGATATTAGTAACTAAAAGCTGTATGAAGAAACAGAGATCTCAATAAAGGTAATTACGTGGACAATTATAAAAGTTAGTATTATTATAATGGTTTGTAACTACATTTTTGTTTTCTATATGACTTGAGACTAATACATTAAAACATTATTAGATTAAAATCTAGTATTATTATAAATTGGTTTGTAACTTCATAATTTGTTCTCTACATAATTTAAGAGACTAACGCATTTTAAAAATCATTAGTTTATGTTTTGGGGTACATAATGTATAAATGTAATTTTGTGATATTGACAATTGAAAGTGATGAAAAACAAGCTGTAAAGGAGCAAAGTTTTTGTATGTTATTAAAGTTAAGCTACTATAAATTCAAATTAGAGCATTATAACTATAAGGTATTAAATGTAATCTCCATGGGAACCACAAATAAGAGATATTTGTACACTCAAGACTTTAGCAGCATTATTTTTAATAGCTAAAACATGGAAACAATCCAAGCGTCCATTGATGGATGAATGGATAAGCAAAATGCAGTATATACATACAATGAAATATTATTCAACCTTAAAAAGGAAGGAAATTTCAACATATGCTATAACATGAATGAACACTGAAGACATTATGCTACATGAAATAAGTCAGTCACAGAGGGACAAATACTATACGATTCCACTAATACGATGTGTTTAGAATAGTCAACACCATAGCGACAAAAAGAAGAGTGATGGTTGCCAGGGAATAATACAGCATTTCAATTTTACAAAATGAAAGGAGTTATGGAGATAGATGGTGGTGATGGTAGCACAACATTATGAATGTATTGAATATCACTGAACTGTGGTTAAGGTCATAAATTTTGTTATGTATACTTTACCACAATTACAAATTGTTTTAAAAAAAAAGAAAGAAGACAATATTCAGGTTGAGTCTAATCTAACTACAGAATGAGTTGGATTGGACCATATTTCCTCATTCTAAGATGTATTTTTATTATTTTATTATTTTTTATTTATTTATTTATTTTGAGACAGAATCTCGTTCTGTCACCCAGGCTGCAGTGCAGTGGCACAATCTTGGCTCACTGCAACTTCTGCCTCCCAGGGTCAAGCAATTCTCCTGCCTCAGCCTCCCAAGTAGATGGGATTAGAGGCATGTGCCACCATGCCCGGCTAATTTTTGTATTTTTAGTAGAGACGGGGTTTCACCATGTTGGTCAGGCTGGTCTCGAACTCCTGACCTCGTGATCCTCCCGCCTCAGCCTCCCAAAGTGCTGGGATTACAGGCGTGAGCCACTGCGCCCAGCCAAGATGTATTTTTATTTTATGCTTTTGGCACCTTCGAAACTGGAATGCATCCCACACAATCTATGGGCTCATTTAATGTGGACAGGTTTTTTTTATTCCCCTTAAAATGTGATCAAACTGATGATGGTTGTACTATTGCAGGTGTCTGGAATATAGGCAATATGGTCAGTTGAAGTAACTCTGATAAGCTGTATTGCTTGATATCCAGTGATTCCATGGAGTGGTGGGAGTGTGGTCTCTGATTGAGTAGACACGGGAATGTTCCACCTGAAGCCCTTGCTAGCCTCTGCTCTGCTTGGGCAGAATATATCATTAAGCTTCATCACAGTATTTTCCCCTTTCCTGATTAAAAACACAGGAGGAAAGAGGAAACAATCTCTGAAGAATCACTATTTCAGGTAGGAAAGGCTGAGGAATATATCAGCGTTTGGGGGTATCTGCAGATTAGTGGGAGTAAAAGAGTGGTTTTTCAAAGAGAAGAGAAAGAAGAGGAAGGTAAGATGGTATGAAGCCAAATCTTGGAATGTATCTGGTTTTACAATTTTGATTTTGGAACCATGTGAATGTTTTACAGAACTGAAACAAACAAAATAAAATATTTTACATAATTTAAAAAAACAACAAATTTCTAAAAGTCAAAACTAACCCAAACAAACGAATATGGGAATTATTGTATGTTCTATCTTTGCAACTCTTCTGTAAGTCTAAAATTATTCTGAAAGAAAATGTTTAAAAAATTACCTAAACAAATAATCTTAACTATGTTTTACGTTAGTGACATAATCACAGAGAAAATAATTTTTTTTTGAGACAGTCTCGCTCTGTTGCCCAGGCTGGAGTGCAGTGGCATGATCTCGGCTCACTGCAACCTCCACCTCCTGGGTTCACACCATTCTCCTGCCTCAGTCTCCCAAGTAGCTGGGACTACAGGTGCCCACCACCATGCCTGGCTAATTTTTTTTTTGTATTTTTTTTTAGTAGAGACAGGGTTTCACTGTGTTGGCCAGGATGATCTCAGTCTCCTGACCTCATGATCCGCCTGCCTCGGCCTCCTAAAGTGCTGGGATTACAGGAGTGAGCCAGTGTGCCTGGATGAGAAAATAATTTTTTAAATGTCTATATGTGGTAGGCAGAATAATGGTCTTCAAAGACATCCTCACTTTAATCCCTGGACCCTCTAAATAGGTTACATTAAAGTGGCAAAAAAGACTTTGCAGATGCAATTAAGGTTATAGATTTTATATCGGAAAATTAGCCTGAAATATTTAGGTGGGTCTGATCTAATCACATAAACCCTTTAAAGCAGAGAACGTTGACTGAAAGCAGAAGAAACGTTGCAGAAGTGGAAATCAGAGAGATTCCAAGCATAAAAAGGACTCAGTGTGCTGTGGCTGACACTGAGATGGAGAGACCCATTCCCCAAAACTAGAGGGTAGCCTCTAGGAGCTTACAGTGGTCCCAAGCTGACAGTCAGCAGAGAAATGGGGACCTCAGTCCTACAACCATAAGAAACTGATTTGTGTCAACAACCCAAGTGAGACTGGAAGTGGATTATTCCCCAGAGCATCCAGATAAGTGCCCAGGCTGGCCAACTCTTGATTTAGCCTTGCAAAACCTGAAGCAGAGAAACCAGCCAAGCCAACCTGGACTTCTGACCTATAGAACTGTGAGATGACACATTTGTGTTGTTTTACATTGCTAAGTTTGTGGTAGTATATTATGGTAGCAATAAAAAAGCAATACGCTTTAGAACACATTTTGGCTATGTTTTCCTGGAGGGATATTTTGTAAGGATAAAAAGAAGTACAAAAAATGGCGAAATGTTATACTGAGTAGTCTTATTTTAATAATTACAGTGGCATTGTTTTGAAACTTTTATCAATAAATATATATCAGTCATGGTTCTAGCAAGAAACAACAAACCTAAATTAGGAAAATTTGAGGAGAATTTAATAAAAAATACTACAGGTATATGGGTAGAATGTAGGGAAGCACACAAAGAGTGATGTAGGAATATACCTGAAGGAGCAAAGGACCTGTAAGGAGAGAACTGTGCAAACTCTGCTACCTGACAGAGTGGTAGCAGAGAGGTAAATGTTTGTTGAATGAGTGAATGAACTAATTTTGTTAAATAGCAGATCTGATCAAACTACCCATCCATAACGTATAAACAAAGAAAGCACTATGGATCTAATGCGAAAATACTTTCTCTAACTTGTCACTCACACCATCTTTACCCCCAGACTTTTTTCAATTGAGGTAGTTTGTCCCAGTTACTCATTTCTCTCTAATAAAAATACACATTTACCCCTCTTTCGCTTACCTTTGCAATACCCTGTCTCTGAGCAGAGTATATTTCCTGTCCCATTGACATAAGCAGAAACTATAGAGGTGTTTTCATGGCTTGGACTTAGCCTCTTGCACTCCAGTGATCCAACAAATATTGGTAGCTACAGGTTCAAAAAGACTGTAGAGAAGACTTAAACCCAACTTCCATTCTGGAGTCTAGTGCCTCAATCTAGAGCTATAGACGGTCATATGCAGTTGAACCCAGCTATGCCCAGACAAGCACAACAAAACTGGCCAACTTATAGACTCACACATTGATCCAGAAACATTGAGCTGGTGGCTCTAGCCATAGCAATTTAGCAAGAACAAGCAACAAAAGGCATCCAGATTGGAAAGGAAGAAATAAAAAAAACTCTTTTAACAGATAACATGGTCTTTCCTTAAAAAAAGTTTAAGGTATCCACTTAAATAAGGTATCCACTAGAAATTATTAATAAATAAATTTAAAAAGTTTGCAGAATTCTATATCAGTATGTAAAAATCAGTCATATTTCCATACACTAGCAATACAAATTTAAAAAAAAATTAATAAAGCAACTTTGTTTACAATGACATCAAAAAGAATAAGCACTTAGTAATAAATTTAACAAAAGAAGTGCAAGATTTTACACTAAAAACTGTAATACATGGCCGGGCGCAGTGACTCATGCCTGTAATACCAGCACTTTGGGAGGCCGAGTTCACTTTGGGAGGTCAGGAGTTCAAGACCAGCCTAGCCAAAATGGTGAAACCCCATCTCTACTGAAAATACAAAAATTAGCTGGGTGTGGTGGCACGTGCCTGTAATCCCAGCTACTCGGGAGGCTGAAGCAGGAGAATCGCTTGAACCCGGGAGGCAGAGGTTGCAGTGAGCCTCGCAACATTGCACTCCAGCCTAGGTGACAGAGCAAGACTCCATCTCAAAAAAGAAAAAAAAAAAGAACTGTAATACATTTTTAAGAAGATCTAAATAAATAGAAAGATGTCCTATGTTCGTGGATTGGGAGACTTAATATTGTTAGGATGGCAATACCTCCCAAATTGGCTAACAAAATCCTAGCTGCCTCTTTTCACAGAAAGTGTCAAGGTGATCACAAATTTCATATGGAAATTCAAGAGATCCAGAATATCCAAAATGATCTTGAAAAGAATAAATTTGGTGGACTCACACTTCCCGATTTCAAAACTTACTGCAAAGTTACAGTCATGTCATAGACAATGTGGTACTAGCATAAAGATAGACCTATAGATTAATAGAATAAAATTGAGAGTCCAGAAATAAACCCTTACATTTATATTCATTTGGTTTTTAAAAAAAAATGCCAAGACAATTCAGTATGGAAAGAATTCTTTTCTACAAATGATGCTGGGCAACTGAATATTCATGTTCAAATGGATGAAGCTGAACTCCTACCTCACCCCATATACAAAAAAAAAGAACTCAAAATAGATTTTAGACCCAAATGAAAAGGAATAAAACTTTCTTTCTTTTTTTTTTTTTTTTTTGAGGCGGAGTCTCACTCTGTTGCCCAGGCTGGAGTGCAGTGGTGCAGTCTTGGCTCACCGCAAGCTCTGCCTCCCGGGTTCAAGTGATTCTCCTGCCTCAGCCTCCCAAGTGGCTGGGATTACAGGTGCCTGCCACCATGCCAGGCTAATTTTGTATTTTTAGTAGAGATGGGTTTTCATCACGTTGGCCAGGCTGGTCTCAAACTCCTGACCTTGTGATCCGCCCACCTCAGCCTCCCAAAGTACTGGGATTACAGGTGTGAGCCACCACACCCAGCCAAAACTTTCTTTTAAGGATTCTCCTAAAAGAAAATATCTTCATAAAATTGTATTAAGCATTAAGGCCAGGTGCAGTGGCTCCCGCCTGTAATTCCAGCACTTTGGGAGGCCAAGGTGGGCAGATCACCTGAGGTCAGGAGTTCGAGACCAGCCTGGCCGACATGGTGAAACCCTGTCTCTACTAAAAATACATAAAATTGGCTGGGCATAGTGGTGGGTGCCTGTAATCCCAGCTATTTGGGAGGCTGAGGCAGGAGAATTGCTTGAACCCAGGAGATAGAGGTTGCAGTGAGCCAAGATGGTGCCATTGCACTCTAGCCTGGGCAATAAGAGTGGAACTCCACCTCAAAAAAAAAAATTTGTATTAAGATTGGTTTCTTAGACATGATAACAAAAGCACAAGTAAAACAAAAATAGATAAACTAGAATTCATTAGAATTTAAATACTTTTGCATTTCAAAGAACACCATCGAGAAAATGTAAAATAATTGCATAATGAGAGAAAATATTTGCAATTTATATAGCTAACAATGGAATGTATCTAGAATATCTAAAGGACTCTTATTACTTAACAATAAAAGAAAATTTCTCAATTTAAAAAATGAGCAAAGAAAAAAGAATAAAAGATTTACCTAGGCATCTTTCTAAAAGAAGACATACAAATAGCTAACAACACATGAAAAAATGCTCAATATCATTAGTCAGTAGGGAATTAAAAATCAAAACCATAAGATACTACTTCATAACACTGCAAACAAACAAAAACAGACATTATCAAGTGTTGGTTAGGAGGTGGATAAATTGGAATCTTCATACATTGATAGTTGGGTTATAAATTGGCAAACACTGGAAAACAGGTTGGCTGTCTCTCAAAATGTTAAACCTAGGGTTACTATAGTACCCAGTAATTCCATTTCTAGGTATTTAACAGAGAGAATTGAAAACATATATCCATACAAAAACTTGGAAACAAACGTTCATAGTAGCATTTTCAGAATAGTCAAAAAGTAGAAGCAACCTAAATGTCAATGTACTGATGAATGGATAAATAAAATGCTGTATATCCATACAATGGATATAGCCACTACAAGAAATTAAGTGCTGGTATATACTACGACATGAATGAACCTTGGAAACATTATGCTAAAAGAAAGAAGACATAAAATACACACATTGTATGATTCCATTTATATGAAATGTTCAGTTAGGGAGATCACAGGGGTAGAAAGCAGACTAATAGTTTTCAGGGACTTGGGAAAGGGAGGAATGAGAGACAAATACTAGTAGATATTGTTCAAAGTCACACACACACACACACACACACACACACACACACACAAAGGTAGGCTTCAGAGTTGTATTTGTTTTTATATGCATGTTCTCATATGATGAACAAAGCAGGGTATGTTAAGCCTGAGTGATTATTTTATGTATGTTTGTCACTCTATCTTTTCCTTCCTTCTTTCTTTCCTTTCTTCTTGCCTTCATTTTTCTCTTTCTTCTTTTCTTTTAATGTGAACTTTTCACTATAGATATTTTAATACAATAGAGATGACAATGGACTTCCTATTTTTTTGATAAATTTTATTTATTTATTTATTTATTTATTTATTTTTTTCTTTTTGAGACGGAGTCTCGCTGTCGCCCAAGCTGGAGTGCAGTGGCGCTATCTCGGCTCACTGCAGGCTCCACCCCCCGGGGTTCACGCCATTCTCCTGCCTCAGCCTCCCGAGTAGGTGGGACTACAGACGCCCGCCATTACGCCCGGCTAACTTTTTGTATTTTTTTTTAGTAGAGACGGGGTTTCACTTTGTTAGCCAGGATGGTCTCGATCTCCTGACCTCGTGATCCGCCCGCCTCGGCCTCCCAAAGTGCTGGGATTACAGGCGTGAGCCACCGCGTCCGGCCAAATTTTATTTATTTTTATTAGGCATTTTATTCCTTTTTTTTTTTTTTTTTTTTTTTAGATGGAGTCTCACTCTGTCGCCCAGGCTGGAGTGCAGTGGCGCAATCTCAGCTCACTGCAACCTCCACCTCCCAGGTTCAAGCAATCCTCCTGCCTCAGCCTCCTGTGTAGCTGGGATTGCAGGCATGTACAACCACACCCAGCTAATTTTTGTATTTTTAATAGAGACGAGGTTTCACTGTGTTGGCCAGGCTGGTCTCGAACTCCTGACCTTAGGTGATTCTCCCACCTCAGCTTCCCAAAGTGCTGGGATTACAGGTGTGAGCCACTGTGCCCAGTCAGCAAAAATTTTTAACTTTTATTTTGGTTTCTGGGGGTACACAGGCAGGTTTGTTAAATAAGTAAATTATGTGTTGTGGGGTTTGGTGTACAGTTTATTTCATCACCCATGTAATGAGCATAGTACCCAATAGGTAGTATTTCGATCCTCACTGTCCACCCTCAAGTAGGCCCTAGTGTCTGTTGTTCCATTTTTTGTGTTTATGCATACTCAGTGTTTAGCTCCCACTTATAAATGAGAACACGTGGTATTTGGTTTTCTGTTCCTGTGTTAGTTTACTTAGGATAATGGCCTCTGGCTCCATCCATGTTGCTGCAAATGACATGACCTTGTCTTTTTTATGGCTGCATAGTATTCCATGGTATACCACATTTTCTTTATCCAGTGTACTGTTGATGGGCATTTAGCTTTATTCCACGTCTTCACTATTGTGAATGGTACTGCAGTGACCATATGTGTGCATGTGTCTTTATGATAGAACAATCTATATTCCTTTGGGTATATACCCAATAATGGGATTGCTGGGTTGAATGGTAATCTGTTTTAAGTTTTTTGAGGTATTACCAAACTGCTATTCACAGTGGCTGAACTAATTTACACTGTCACCAGCAATGTATAAGCCTTCCCTTTTCTTTGCAGCCTCGCCAATATCTGTTATTTTTTACCTTTTAGTAATAGCTATTTTGACTGGTGTGAGATGGTATCTTATTGTGGTTTAGATTTGCGTTTCTCTAATGATTAGTGATGTTGAGCATTTTTTCATATGCTTATTGGCTGTATGTTAAGTTTTCTTTCTTTTTTTTTTTTTTTTTTTTTTTTTGAGACGGAGTCTCGCTCTGTCACCCAGGCTGGAGTGCAGTGGCAGCGATCTCGGCTCACTTCACGCTCCGCCTCCAGGGTTCACGCCATTCTCCTGCCTCAGACTCCCGAGTAGCTAGGACTACAGGCACCCGCCACCACACCCGGCTAACTTTTTTTTTGTATTTTTAGTAGAGACAGGGTTTCACCGTGTTAGCCAGGATGGTCTCAATCTCCTGATCTTGTGATCTGCCCGCCTCGGCCTCCCAAAGTGCTGGGATTACAGGCGTGAGCCACCGCGCCCGGCCCGGCTGCACGTTATGTTTTCTTTTGAAAAATGTTTGTTCATTTGACTTCCTATTTTTTAGACCGTACAGTGGATGATAAAATATACCCATCATTTACCTTTGACGATTATCATCAACAGATGGCCAATTTTGTGTGTGTGTGTGTGTGAGATGGAATCTTGCCCTGTTGCCCAGGCTGGAGTGCAGTGGTGCATCTTGGCTCACTGCAACCTCCGCCTCCTGGGTTCAAGTGATTGTTCTGTCTCAGTCTCCCGAGTAGCTGGGACTACAGGCGCGTGCCATCACTCCCAGCTAATTTTTTTTTTGTATTTTTAGTAGAGACGGGGTTTCACCGTGTTAGCCAGGATGGTCGCGATCTTCTGACCTCGTGATCTGCCCGCGTTGGCCTCCCAAAGTGCTGGGATTACAGGCGTGAGCCACTGTGCCCGGCCAGATGGCCAATTTTAAAAACTCAGTATCTCCGTTGATCTCTGTGTTAGTTTCAGAACTCTGAGAGACAAACGTGAAGATAGGATAAGATGCACAAGAGATTTATTGGGGAAAAAAAGGAAGGGAACTAGAGGGAGCTAACAGAACTGTCAGAATGAAATGCAGGTTTAACTCCTGTAGAGAAGAGAAGAGAGGAAGGAAAGTTGGGTAGGAAATGTCTTAGACCTCAGTGGAGTTTTCAAAAAGTTTCAGGAAAGCCAATGGGAAATTCTTAAGCCCAGGTGGCATGTGAGAAAAGTACCCCACTCCCTAAGAATAGGCCTGCCGAAGATCTCTGCTGCAAGAAGTCATTGACTGGGAATAGTCCATGAGAAACATGACCTCTGTGTAAACTGGTGATGAATTGATTTCAGAGCACAGCGGCTGGAGCTAGTCAATTGTGCTCTTGGCAGTGGAAGATCTGAGAGACATATTTTCATGACCACCATCACGCTTCTCTCACCCAAGTAATTATGAAGCAAACCCTTAGCATTATACAATCTCATCTTCACAGTTCTTTTTAGTGAAATCAGCCTATACCAAAATTTAGCAAAAGTATCTTGGGAGTGGGAGATGGGAAATAAAAGCAAACCTACAGATTAATTTCATTTTACTTATATAAAAACTTTCAATAAAATGTTAGCAAATAGAATTTAGTAGTAAAAAAAATTATAAAATAGGATTCATCTCAGGGATGCAAGGAAATTTATCAATAAAATTTACCACATTGGCAGTTCAAAGTAAAAATACAATAATAGTGGGAGATATAGAACTTATTTGTAAGATAACTCGTGAGATAACTTACACTATACTGGGGTGAGACAGGCAATAAACAAATAAACCTACAGTATAATGCAGGGATAGTACTGGTGCAGAAATAGCAATACGGGTTACCAGAAAAGAGGAAAAAGTACAGAAACGAACACAAGTTATACCTTGTGCATAACAAAAAAGGATTTCAAAGCACTTAGAAAATGATAGACTACACTAGAAACTGTGTTAGGATATTTTGCTAGCTACTTGGGATTTTATTTTTTATTTTATATATTTATTTTTGAGACAGGGTCTCACTCTGTTGCCCAGGCTGGAGTGCAGTGGCATGATCTCAGCTCACTGCAGACTTTATTTCCCAGGCTCAAGTGATCCTCCCACCTCAGCCTTTCAAGTAGCTGGGACTATAAGTGCATGCCACCATTCTTGGCTAATTTTTGTATTTTTTTGTAGAGATGGGGTCTTGCTATGTTGCCCAGGCTTGTCTCAAACTCCTGGGCTCAAGTAATCCTCCCACCTCAGCCTCCCAAAGTGCTGGGACAATAGTCATGAGCCACTGTACCCAGCCTCATTTGGAATTTTAAAAATAAATAGCTAGAACTACCTTATATCCTTATATGGAAATAAATTCCAGGTGGATTAAAACTTTGTCAACAGAGAAAAAACAATAAAATTACTAAAGTAAAATAAGTAAGCATTTATATTTTCTTGGAGGGAAGTTCAGTGACATGTTAAAAATTATAGAAACCTGATGAAAATGACAGCACAGATTTATGCACGTTAAAGAGTAAGAAATGTATACACTAAATACGGTATTTTACCTTGAGAAAGACTTGAAGTTTGGATGCAGAAATGGGCTCAGTAGAATTGCCTCTTGTGAATTCCTGTGTGGTGATCTAAGGAGGGTTTTCTGAAGTTAGAAAGTTTTAACATGAGATGTGGATGGGCCGGTTTGTAGCACACATAGTGATCTGAAGTAACTGGTAGATGTTTGATGTGTGTGCAGTATCTTTTGTGCATTCTTATTTGACTGTGTTCAGTTGGGTACAGTTTTCTAGTTACACCTAGTGTTTTACACAGATAAAAATCACACATAAACAAGCAAAAAATTGCCTTACACTCAAATTATTCTCTAATACATCAGTTGCATAGGAATAAATTCTCATTTTCAAAATAAGTGTCATAGCAAAACTGACAGAATAACAAAGATACCTCCACCTCTTCAAAGTAGCTCTGAGAAAATACATTGAAAAACTGTGGGAGTCTGATGGGTCGCTCAAGTCACTCCCTGTGTCCCAGGAAAGATTATGTGCCATGGATCTTCCTGGGCTAGAGTTCCATCTCATTTTCTTGAAGTGTATGCCTTTATCTACTTCTTTGTTAGAAAGGATGAGGTAGAATCAAACATGTCTTTGATATTAAGCTTCTGTGGTCCAAACTGAAAGGGAATTTTCTAGAGCAGTTTGTATCATCTGGAGAATTCTCTTTTTCGATTCATTGGTTTCCCAAGTTGTTCACTGTGGGCACATTTTTCTCTTCTTCCTCTTTCTTCCAAAAGTCATCAATTTCAAAAGAAATTTTACTAAAGTTCTCAGAAATGGCTAACCATTAGGAAATGATTTTTTTGTTGTTCAGAAAACTTTTAATCACAATTTTAAAAGGCTTTGAGTTCCTTATTCCCCAAAGGAAAAAATACTATAAGTCATATGTAATGTTGGCAGTATCGACACAGTATTTCCTTAGAGAGTAACACATTTTTGAAGAAAGTTTCTTAACATTTCTGTAATTCAGGAAGGAATGGGGTAGTCAGGAAAAGGTACCAAATGAACATAGGCAATTGAGTTACGCAGGTTTTGTTTTCAGTTTATTGTGATATAGTTATAATTTCAGGCCCCATAACATTGCCTGGAGTAAATATTTATTGGAGTCTATGACAAAATAAATTTTAGAGACTATATTGTAAGGAAAATGAAATATTTTTTCTCATCCATTGCCAGGTTTATGACTAAGGCCCTTATAACAAAAGACAAAATAACAAGAGAAAAGCAAATGCATTTATTTAATATAAGTTTTACTTGACATAGGAGCCTTCAAAAATGAAGACTCTCCCAAAGAGGGAAAGCTCAGTATTATTATGCTTAAGTTTGATGAAGAGGGAACAGTCATGGAGAAAGATGACTGGACAAAGGGTGTATGATGTTATGGTAATAAACTGGGGGTAATGTAGCAGCCTCATTTGTCAAATTATTCTCTGTGTTCCTTTCTTTAGAGATAAGAACATTCCTTGCCTCCACATATAGGATAGGCACCACTTACATGAGGGTCTTATGACCTACTTCAGGAGGTCAGGGAATTCTTTTATGGCCTGCTTCAGGGGGAAGGGCAGGAGAAGATCAGAGAGATCTTCCTGCTTCTGCAGTTTTTTCTCAAATGCCAAGCTGCCATATTTTGGGGTAGTGTATCCTGAAACCCATCAGTATATTCATCTCTACTGAAGTTTTGATTTGTTTCAACTATGGGAAACAATCAATTAATTGTTAAAGAAATACTGGTTCACTTTTTAACCTTCATATATTTATTATTATTTCATATATTTTTATTATTATTTCTGTCAATAACTTTTTATGATTTGGCTTCTTAAGATAACTTTATTGGATGGTAAAAGCACCAAACATAATATAATTTTATAGGTAATAATTTTTCATCTTTGCAAAAAAACTTCCACTAGTTCCAATTGGTTATTCATTCCTTTAATAAAGCAATATTTGATTCCTTAAATAATGTTTGGAAAAAAAAATGTTTGCAGCAGTAATTTATGGAAATGAATTACTAGCCACTTAAGTGCTGCTTTTTGAAACTTTGTTCTTGAAGAGGGTGAGTTTTCAGTTTTATTCTTATGTAATGACATAATAATTAGAGAAATAAATTGCATTTTGTAGATTGTAATTAAAATGTTGTTTTCCTCTTCTTTTATCGAGAAGATTAGAAAGAATTTCTTGCTTTTGGTTTGGAAATATTTACTCTGTTTGAAAGAATAGAAACTGTCTCCTTAAGAAAAACCATAAAAATTGCTTCTTCTTTTGAGACAGGGTCTCACTCTGTTGCCCAGGTTGGAGTGCAGTGGCACGATCACGGCTCATTGCAATCTCTACCATCCAAGCTCATGCAATCCTCTCACCTCAGCCTCCCTAGTAGCTGGGACCACAGTTATGCACCACACACCCAGCTTATTTTTTTTTTAATTATTCGTAGAGACACAGCCTCTCTATGTTGCCCAGACTGGTCTTGAACTCCTGGGCTCAAGCAATACTCCCGCCTAGGCCTCCCAAGGTGCTGGGATTATAGGTGTGAGTCACTGCACCTGGCCTCATTCTTTTTTTAATTAAAGGGAAAGAAATAAGCATTTACTTTGCCTGTATAAGAAGGAAATATAGTTTTGTTCCAGTTAATGAGAATAAATGCTCTTTTACAAAAGACTGCCAACTAATAAATGTAGAAGAGGTGATGTAATTACAAAGTCAGCATTCTGCACACCCTTCTGCCCCATGAAATAATAGACACAGGCAAGGGACATCAGTACATGCTAAATAACTCAGTGAAAGGTTGTTGGGAAACGGGATACTACCACGTTGCCAAAGCATTTCCCTAAGATAAACAGAAAACAGTATCTTTACTAGGAAACAACCTAACAGTTATCATCTTAAACAACTCACCTAATTTAGCAATACAAGTAATGGGATAGGGAAATATTGTGTGACTATTAATGGGATGCAATATGAACTACACAGTGTCATCTATGAAATATGTATGACAAAAATGTTTAACTCAAATTGAACCAGGTCTTTAGATGTAATAGGTCTTTAGATGTAATTTCCAGTTTATGGTAAATAAAGGTGATAGAGTTGAACACATCATAAACAGTAAATCAAATCCAGAAGGTAAGATATTCTACAACACAACTACCTGGTCTCATAAAATACTCATCATCAAAGAAGAGGTGGGGCAAGTACTAGATGAAAAGATACTTAAGAGACATACCAACCAAATGCAGTAGAGAAACTTGATTGCTTCCTACTTTAGAAGAAAAAAAACAGCTATAGAAGACTTTTTGAGATTGTTGGAGAAATTGGAAGGTTGACTGTGTATTGGATGATATAGAGGAATTAGTATGAATTTTTTACATGTGATAATGGTATTGTAGTTATGTAGGATAATTTTCTTACTTTTAGCAGATGCATGCTGAAGAGGTAAACCAATGTGTTGCCTATAACTTCTTTTGAAACGATTTCTCAAACAAAAATATAAATATGTATACAAACATACATATAAAAATATTTTTAAATGGCAAAATGTAAAAAAATTGCTGAATATAATAGTAGACATATAAATGACTATTGTACTATTCTTCCAACCTTTCATATTTAAAATTTTTCATAATAAAAACATGGGTGGAGGGGCAAGCTTCAATTTTTATTTTAATGAACTAGGCTTTATTTCCTACAGCCTGTATTACCATATCAGAGACTTAAGAATAAGTAGGAACTCTGTAGCCCAGAGGAAAATTGGCAGGGAGGTAAGGGATTTAGTCTGTTAGCATTGCATGCATCTATGGACCCAGTTCCTTGCATAGACCTAGAAGCTTTCTCTGAACGGAGGTAGCTCTTGGCATAAGTCCATGGGAGAAAATAATTCTCTCAGATGCTAAAATTATCTATGAATATAAATATAAATAGACAGGAAGAAAAGACAGGCTCAGGACTCTGAGGTGTCACCTTCAAGTGATTCTGTTGCTCTGGATCATTGCTCAGCTTGATAAATACTAGGAATCTTGGCCAGTTTTGAGTTGAAAGTACCCCATAGATATCATTGCAGCTTACTGAATTCCGGAGTGAAATGATCTTAAATAACATTAGTTTGAGTCCTAAGAAATTGCAGATATGTGACCATTGTTGACAAACAAAAACAGAAATTTCATGTGGTTCTACTCAGTACTTCACTCTCCTCTACAACATTCTTGACAAAGGGTCACCCAGTCTCTTCATACACAAGAGAAAGTTTCGAGAAGTTCATTTCGTTTTCAGACAGACTTGTTAGGATAGTCTTCCTTACATCCAGATGACATTTACCACTCTGTAAATACCAGCCTCTCTCCATTGGCCAGCTTGCTCCTTGACTCTTCAATTTTTTTTTTTTTTTTTTTTTTGAGACGGAGTTTCGCTCTTGTTGCCTAGGCTGGAGTGCAATGGCACTATCTCGGCTCACTGCAACCTCTGCCTCCGTCACTGCAAGCTCCGCCTCCCCGGTTCAAGCAATTCTCCTGCCTCAGCCTCCCGAGTAGCTGGGATTACAGGCGCCCGCCTCCACGCCCGGCTAATGTTTGTATTTTTAGTAGAGACGGGGTTTCTCTATGTTGGCCAGGCTGTTCTCAAACTCCTTACCACAAGTGAGCCGCCCGCCTCGGACTCCCAAAGTGCTGGGATTACAGGCGTGAGCCACGGCGCCCAGCTGACTCTTCAAAAAAAATTTTTTTTTTTAGAGGGAGTCTCACTCTGTTGCCCAGGCTGGAGTGCAGTGGCGTGATCTCCTCTCACTGCAGCCTCCGCCTCCCTGGTTCATGCCATTCTCCTGCCTCAGCCTCCTGAGTAGCTGGGACGACAGGTGCCCGCCACCACACCTGGCTAGTTTTTTTTGCATTTAGTAGAGACGGGATTTCACTGTGTTAGCCAGGATGGTCTCGATCTCCTGACCTCGTAATCCACCCTTCTCGGCCTCCCAAAGTGCTGGGATTAGGGCGTGAGCCACCGCGCCCGGCCTGACTCTTCAAATTTTTCAAAGCAGTTCTCATGCTCTGCGAAGTTTCCCCTTCTCTATATTAAACATTTATGGCTCCTTCAGCCATTCCTCTATCTAATACAATCTTAAGTTCTTTCATTATCATCTTTGAATTTCTCCTGGAGAAGCTTCTGTTCATCGATGACCTGGTGTTCCTCATGTTGGATCTATTGTTCTAGACCAGATCTATTATTGTGGACTGAATAACTCCTTGTTGTGGGGCGGCTGCCCTGTGCATTGTATGTTGCTTAGTAGCATCCTTGGCCTTTAAGGCTGGATGCCAGTAGTACCACTCCCTTTTCCCCTGATTTGACACCAAAAATATCTACAAATGTTGCCTGTGGGACAAATTGCCCTTAGTTGAGAATTGCCGGTCTAGCCACCAGAAAATAACATAGTTATTATTCCAAATGTAACAAATATTTAAATTTTCCATTGGAAAAGCAAGGGACTCTTGCAGTTTGGGAAGAGTTGATTGCTCTTTATAACAGAGGAAAGAAAATTTATAGTTTAAGAAGATGTGGTGAGGGTGAGAGGCGGAAGAGGGAGCATACTCAGAAGAAAGTCCTGTTTTTCTGCCTAAAGGGATTTCAGTACACAAATGTCTATCACGAGATTTTCAGAATTTGCTGCTGTGTTTATTCTGTAACAAATTATAATCAAGTTTACTATATTTTGGAAATCTTTGGGTCAGGTTGTATGTTTTGTGAACCAAAGAGGGAGGCTCAGTTCCTGGTCTGGGCTGATGTAGTGAAAATACAAACAAATTGTGTGCAACAGGAGCCCAGAGACAGTGGAATCTACAGAATTCTCATGGAGGACTTTGGCCTTTTGTGAGATATGGACTGTAGATTCAAACCAATCTGATCAGGTTCTTTTGGTTTTTCTTTCACCTCTCCCCGCCGCCTAGACAGAGTCTTGCTTTGTCACCCAGGCTGGAGTGCAGTGGTGCCATCTTAGCTCACGGCAACCTCTGCCTCTCAGATTCAAGCAATTCTCCGGCCTCAGCCTCTCGAGTAGCTGGGATTATAGGCACCCACCACCACTGCACCCTGCTAATTTTTGTATTTTTAGTAGAGATGGGGTTTCACTATGTTGGCCGGGCTGGTCTCAAGCTCCTGATCTAGTGATCCGCCCACCACCACCTCTCAAAGTGCTGGGATTACAGGTGTGAGGCACCGTGCCCAGCCTGTGATCAGGTTCTTAAGAGCCTGTGTAATCCCACCTGATATCCCTGTATTATGTACATCCTAACCATCAAAGCAGGGGAGAACTATAACCTCTCTTATTTAGATTTCTCTTTATATGAACTAGTGTTTTTCTCCCAGCCACATTACAGTGATGATTCCTTCTATTAATATATGTATCTTTTGTGAGAAGTATTATTTAATAGTCAAAAGAACTGACTCTGAAGTTAGACTGCTTGAATTCAACTATGGCATCATCACTTATCTCTGCTACTATGCAATGCTACTTCTTTAAGCTTCACTTTCCTCATCTTTAAAATAAGGACAATAAATCTCATGGGGATACTTCTGCGGATTAAATGAATTAGTGTACACAGCACATAGTAGAATCTGAAAAAGCATAAGCCCTCCATAAATGTTGGCTACTATTATTTAGTCTGTACTTATCTAAAAACTTGTGTTTTCTTCCACATGTGCTAACTATAATACTTCTATCATCCTGGGTTGTATTAGGCCATTCTTGCATTGCTATAAAGAAAACCTGAGACTGGGTAACTTATTAAAAAAGAGGTTTAATTGGCTCATGTTTCTGCAGGCTGTACAGGAAACATAGTGCTGACATCTGCTTATGGGGAGGCCTCAGGAAACTTACAATCATGGCAGAAGGGGAAGCAGGAGCAGGCATCTCACCTGGTGAAAGCAGAAGCAAGAGAAAGAGTGCGTGGTGGGAGGTGCCACATTTTTTTTTTTTGATGGAATTTCACTCTTGTTGCACAGGCTGGAGTGCAGTGGCATGATCTCAACTCACTGCAACCTCCACTTCCATTTCAAGCAATTCTCCCGCCTCAGCCTCTCGAGTAGCTGAGATTACAGGTGGATGCCACCACAGCTGGCTAACTTTTTCTTTTCCTTTTTTTTTTTTTTAACGGAGTCTCACTCTGTCGCTCAGGCTGGAGCGCAGTGGCATGATCTTGGCTCACTACAACCTCTGCTTCCTGAGTTCAAGCAATTCTCCCACCTCAGCCTCCCAAGCAGCTGGGATTACAGGTGCCTGCCGCTATGCCTGGCTAATTTTTTTTTTTTTGTATTTTTTAGTAGAGACAGGGTTTTGCCATGTTGGCCAGGCTGGTCTTGAACTCCTGACCTCAGGTGATCTGCCCGCCCCAGCCTCCCAAAGTGCTGGGATTACAGGCGTGAGCCACCATGCCCAGCCAAGTTTTGTACTTTTAGTAGAGACAGGGTTTCACCATGTTGGCCAGGCTGATCTCGAACTCCTGACCTCAGGTGATCCACCCACCTTGGCCTCCAAAAGTGCTGGGATTACAGGTGTGAGTCACCAGGCCTGGCCAGTGCCACACATTTTTAAACAACCAGATCTCCTGTGAGCTCAGAGTGAGAGCTCACTTATCACCAAGGCGCTGGCCCAAGCCATTCACGGGGGATCCACCCCCATAATCCAAAGAACCTCCCACAATTTCCCACCTCCGACATTGGGGATTACAATCCAACATGAGATTTAGGTGGGGACACATATTCAGACTATATCATGGGTTTATGCTGTGTTTTGTTTTAGTTTTGGGGTTTGTTTGTTTTGGCTCTAAGTGCAGAAATTTATATTCATCTCTTAATTTCATCTTGATGAGAGTATGCCACCTGGAAATCAGATAACTTTGGCTTCAATTTCAATCTACCTACCTCTTACCACAATTGTGAGAATTAATTATAAATAATATGTGGTAAAGACCAAGTCAGTTGTTCTCATCTGGGAGTAATTTTACCTCCCTGGTGACATTTGGCAATGTTTGGAGACATTTTGGTTTGTCGCAATTGGGAGCTGCCCCTAGTATCTAGTGGGTAGGCCAGGGATGCTGTTAACCATCTTACAATGTACTGGACAGCTCCTCACAAGAAAAAATTATCCAGCCCCAAGTGTTAATAACATCGAAGTTGAGAAACCTGCATTAAATTGAAAATGTTAGTTTTTATCTACTCCAGCACCAAACAAGCCTGATGAACTAATTTTGAATCCCGATTCTGTCCTTCAATACATTATCTCCTCCTCCCTGCTTTGGATTATGCTTAAATTTGCCCAGCATGCCATCCACATCTTCATCCAAAGTATTAACAGAAATAGTGTATAAGGACAAAGTCCTCAAGTCAGGTTGCAGTGGAGGCAGTATACATGGCCATTGAGCAGGAGTGCACTGATATGAATCTGCTGGAGTTTAATTCCCATGTCTATTGATTATTAACTACTGTGTGACCATGGAAAAGTTATTTAATGAATGTGTGCCTCAGCTTCCCTACCTGTAAGATAGAGAAAGAGTAATAATACTCCCATAGAGTTGTAGTGAGTGTTAAATGGAAGTAAAGCATGTAAAGCATTTAGTCTGATGACTAACCCATAGGAAGTGTTCAGTGTTAACCAATCATCGAATATTCTTTGTTGTTAATGTTGCTGTTGTTAGAGACAGAGTCTTGCTCTGTTGCTCAGGCTAGAGTGCAGGGCAGTGGTACGATCATGGCTTATTGCGGCCTCAAACTCCTGGGCTCAAGTGATCCTTCCACCTCAGCCCCCTGAGTAGCTAGACGTACAGGTGTGCACCACCATACACACCCAGCTAATTTTTTAAATTTTTTGTAGAGATGGGGGTCCCGCTATGTTGCCCAGGCTGGTCTCAAACTCCTGGCCTCAAGCAATCCTCCCACCTTGGCTTCACAAAGTGTTGGGATAACAGGTGTGAGCCACTGTGCCTGGCTGAGTATTCATTAGTTGTACTTGTTTAAGGAGTTGTATATTCCCTGCTCTGTAGCTCAATCAATAACATGATGATACTATTTGTCATATGCCTTGAAATCCTCTCATAATACACATTTTACTAAAAATATTCTCTAATGACTTCTTTTCTTTCCTTCCTTCTTTCTGTGGTTTTTGTTTATTTGTTTTTTGAGATGGAGTCTCACTCTGTCACTCAGGCTAGAGTCCAGTGGTGCGATCTCAGCTCACTGCAACCTCTGTCTCCCGGGTTCAAGTGATTCTTCTGCCTCAGCCAAGCAGATGAGACTACAGGTGTGCACCACCACACCCAGCTAATTTTTGTATTTTTTTTTTAGTGGAGACGGTGTTTCACCATATTGGCCAGGCTGGTCTTGAACTCCTGACCTCGTGATCCACCCACCTCAGCCTCCCAAAGTGCTGGGATTACAGGCATGAGCCACCCCGTCCGGCCCTTTCTGTGTTTTGAAAAGACAACTGTCAGAACTCCAGAAGCCTGAGCTTTTACTACCTTAAATGTTCTCTTTGAAATGACTGTAGGTGCTTTCTGATTTATGAGTTGAAAAATATGTGTTACAAATTTAATGAGACAATGCACGTAAACCACTTATCACTGAAATTGCCACATCCAATGCATTCAAAAATGTCAACTCATTGTTATTAAAAGTATCACTACTCTTTTTTTTTTTTTTTTTTTTTGAGACGGAGTCTTGCTGTGTAACCCAGGCTGGAGTGCAGTGGCGCGATCTCGGCTCACTGCAAGCTCTGCCTCCCGGGTTCACGCCATTCTCCTGCCTCAGGCTCCCAAGTAGCTGGGACTACAGGCGCCTGCCACCACGCCCGGCTAATTTTTTGTATTTTTAGTAGAAACGGGTTTTCACCGTTTTAGTCAGGATGGTCTCGATCTCCTGACCTTGTGATCCGCCCACCTTGGCCTCCCAAAGTGCTGGGGTTACAGGCGTGAGCCACCGCGCCCGGCCATTTATTTTTTTTAAAGATCTTATTTGGTTACACTGGATTTCTCAGTCATGAATATGCAGGATAGCAAGACTCTTCTTTTGAAGAGGTGTTCAAAATATTTTAAACCGCAAGTGCATCAGCCTGAGTTTCCTACTTGAGAGAAGTATTTGGGTTGAGAATCCTTAGAAAAGTGGCCAAGGGAGTCCAAGGAGGGGCTTAGGTGATGCAGGGGAAGGGCCACTGTCAAGGGATGGAGCTTGGATGTTGTAAAAAGATGGGGCTGGCCTTGGAGTTCTAGAGCCTAAGAGAAGGAAGACCTGAGCGATATAGGCAATCAGAGCTCCATAGAGAGGCAAGATTAGAGAGATGTAAGACCAAGAGCTGAGCCTCAGTCTCCCGCTGACCCCGCACCTCTAGCAGTGGCACAGTGCGAGAAAGCAGAGCTGACAGCCGCGCAGGCGCAGCGTGTACTCTTCAGGTGTGCCAGGACGACTGCTTCCAGAAGACACCGCGGGCCCAGAGGACGCTGGGAAAGACGACTAGATGCTTTCTGCAGATGCTAGTGCTTCATTGCCCGCTGCAACTGCCTTCTCCTGGGTATTGGGATCAGACAGTGGTGAGTCAATAGATGACTGCATCTACGAGTAAATAAACACACAGGGCTGATAGTCTGATGGCATCTTCAGAGGCACAGGTGCAAAAAGGCACCTGGCTGGCCTCAGGCTTGTCCACCTGGATCCCTGAGGTGCAGGTGGAATAGAGAAAGCCTCAGAGGCTGAAGAAGGTGATCTGCTGAAAAGACCAATTTTTATTTTATTTTGTTATATGATAAACCCATATGACGTAAAACAGCATTCTATCCATTTTAAAGGATACACTTTAAAATAAAATTTTTATTTTATTTTATTTTATTGTTGAAATAAATTTCAACAATAAAAAACATTTATTGATGTCTTACTGTGTTATGGTGCAACATTATGAATAAAATTCAGAGTCCTTATCCTGGCTTACAATGAGTTACTTTGACCTTCCTGCAGGATTGGAAAGTACTCCTTCTTCAAAATAGTATCTGTTCAGTTTAATTTGCATTTCATTTCCCTGGTGATTAGTGATGTTGAGCATTTTTTCACGTTTGTTGGCCATTTGTTTATCTTCTTTTGAGAAATGTCTGTTCACCTCATTTGCCCACTTTTTAATGGGATTGGTTTTTCCTTGCTGACTTTTTTTGAGTGCCCAGTAGATTTTGGATATTGGTCCTTTATTGGAGTATAGTTTGCAAATATTTTTTCCTATTCTGTAGGTTACTTATTTTCTCTGTTAATTCTTTTGCTGTCCAGAAGCTTTTTTGTTTAATTTGGTCCCATTTATTCATTTTTGTTTTTGTTGTCTTTGTTTTTGGGGGCTTGTTGGTCACCAGTTGGTCTAGGTGCAGCAGAGAGCATATCACTCAGCCCAGAGAAAGGGTGAGAATGCCTTTTACAAAGGGTAGTTGCATCTTGTTAGGAATAAGGTATTGCATGGAAATTTACATTATGTGTAAAAGGATGAGTAGCCAAAAAGTGAACAGTGCAGACTTTTAAACTATGGCTCTTAGCAGCCAATTTGCAGGAATCTCAAAGGGCAGAGGAATATTTGAAGTTTGTCATGTGTCAGCAAAACCAGGCGGTAGGAGATGCTGCGATTGTTATGACGAAACTTTAGACAAATTAAATTGAGCAAACTTTGGGTAAAGAATGATTCATGAACTGTGCAGCCTACAGAACCAGAACAGGTTCAGAGTGACTCCGGGGCTGCCACGTGATAAGACAACATTTATGTGCAGAAGATGGAAGTGAGAAATAGCTGAATTGGTTATTGCTTGGTGTTTGCCTTATGTCAACATGATTTTAACAGTTGGCAGCCTATGATTGGCCAAAACCCTGTAATTGGTACAAGAGTACCAATTATACATCCAGTTAGATTATTCTCACTATGTATGGAGAGACGTTTAGGCCAAACTTAAATAAGAAGGCAGCTTTAGTCTAAAATTAACAAGATAAAGACCTAAAGGAAGAGAAGCAACATGCATGGCAGGGGAATATCTAGGGGTTAGGGGAATGTGAATTCCAGGAAACAAGTGCAAGTTCCCTGAGACAGAAACATCCTAATGTGTTTGAGAAAGAGCCAGGAGGTTAATTTTATGGGGAGGGAGTAAGCAAGAGGGAGCATGAGAGCACTTGCATGCCACGGAAAAGATTTTGGATTTTGTTTTGAATGAGCCAGAAAGTCATTTAATGGTTTTTCCCCACCCCACTCTCCTTTGGGGTAAGGAGAAAGTGGACAGCGATGTAGATCAAACATAAATGGCCACAATTGTTGATGCCGATGATGAGAAGGTATGGGAGTTTTATTACATTATCCTTTCTTTTGTATTTGTTTGAAATTTTTCATAATAAAAATAAAGCAATCAAGAACCCTTCGCTGCTGTGTTAAAAGTACGTGGAAGAGGGGCAAGTGTAGAAGTAAAGGGGACCAGTTAGAAGGCTCCTATACTTATCCAGGGAAGGCTTGGGATGTTAACAGTGAAAGTGTTGAGAAGTGAGTGGATTCTGGATATATTCTTAAAGGGAGGAAGCAGAAAGGATTGGTTAATTAGCTGGTTGTGTTGCTGTGGGCATCCTGGGTGTTCCCAGCTACCCAGGAGGCTGAGGTGAAAGAATTACCTGAGCCCAGGAGGTCAAGGTTGCAGTGAGCGGTGATCACGCCACCAACGCACTGCAGCCTAGATGACAGAGTGAGACTCTGTCTCAAAAACAAACAAACAAAAGAAGAAAACGAAAGAAAGGGCTGCTTAAAGGATTTGGATGAGGAATGGGAGAGAAACAAGAATTAAGGATGACTGAGTACCTGGAAAAAAGGAGTACTATAAAATGAGATGGGAAAAAAAGGGGGATGCCTTATTTGCCATAAGCCTAGTCTTTTTTCATAAGGTTAGGTTTTTCTTTGTATAAGCCCTTTAAATAAGTTGGCTTCCAATAGGAAGCCACGTTTAAACATGGTCTTAGAGAAAAAAATGAAAAAGGAAGAGCTTTGCTATCATTAGTTGAGAATCCAAAGTTTAGTTTTAGTCTTGTAAACTTTTATATGTATATTAAAGTAAGTGTTGACGTCAAGTAAACCGTTAGGTATAAGAATCTGAGGATCAGGGGAAGGTCAGAGCTAGAGATATGAATTTGGAGCTGAAAGTATATAGATAGTATTTAAAGCCATGTGACTAGATGATACCGCCAATTCTAATTCTCTAATATTCTGTAATTATATTGCAAACAAAGAACCCTCTTTCTACAAAAAGGTTGCATGCACATATGTGCACATTTGTTTTGTTGTTTTTGTTGTTTGAGATGGAGTCTCGCTCTGTTGCCCAGGCTGGAACGCAGTGGCGCCATTTTGGCTCACTGCAACCTCCACCTCCCGGGTTTAAGCAATTCTGCTGTCTCAGCCTCCTGAGTAGCTGGGATTACAGGCACCCGCCACCACGCCTGGATAATTTTTGTATATTTAGTAGAGATGGGGTTTCGCCATGTTGGCCAGGCTGGTCTCGAACTCCTGATCTCAGGTGATCCACCTTGGCCTCCCACAGTGCTGGGATTACAGGCATGGGCCCCCACAGCCAGCCACACATATACACACACACAGACACACACACACAAACACAAAGTCAGTTCTCTGAATGTAGAAACAATAGATTATCTGAAAAATGTACTCAGAGCTTGGAGTGCACACATATTAATCACTTTTGTTAGGGTTTCCAAGTGTCATTTAATAAATTGTGTGGTCTTAGGCAACACCAAATGGAGTCCACTTGTTCTGGCAGCATGAAAGGAAATAATTTTACATCTTGAAGGGTACAATCGGAGATAAATAAGTCATTCTCTTTTTCAATATCAGTAATCTCAGCAGTTTCATTTAATATTAATTATGTAGTGTATGAATATGCTAGTCACCCTTCTAATAACCTGCCAGTGAAGATGCCCATAATTATTTAAAGCGAAAACCACATGTGAGAGCTATGAGAGTCAAATTGTACTTTCTCGAGTCTGAACCTGTTGAGTATTGTGCTCCATGGGTTCTTCTAGATTTTTTCCCCACAGATATTCTGTGTTTTCCAAACTGGCTGATTATTATAATTGCTAGCAATGATTCTTGGTTCCCACCTTTAGAAACTCCAAGTTAATGTGTCTAGGGTGGAGCAGAGGAATTTGTTTTTCACAAGTGCTCATGTTTGGGAAATACTGCTAAACAGTTTCAAGAAGCTTTTCATTCTTTCTCTCGAGATGTGCTTCCTAAGCCTCATTCTCCTGCCCTATTCCAAAATATTTTTTACTTCTGCTTTTCTTTTGCTGTTGGCAGCAGGGAGCCAAAATCACAGATAAGATGGGGTGGGCTATGGAGGTGCTAGGTTCAAGTTGTGGGGACTCTTCTAACCCGCCAAGTTACTCTCAATCTGGTCACCTTCCATAAGCCTAGGTTTCTCTTTGTATAAGTCCTTTATGCAAGTAGGCCTCCAATAGGATTTTGTTTTAAACACAATTATAGAGAAGAAACAGAAAAAGAAAGAATCTTGCTATCATAATTGAGGATCCCGCTACCCTCCTGAAGCCAGAGACAATTATTTAGATATTTTGGGAAGGTGAATTGTAGGGTTGACAAATAGAATAATTTTGAGGTTTTTTTCTTCTTTGAGGGGCTCACCAGGTAATTTTCTCCCATTCGAGATAATGAAGTTTCTGAATTCTATCTATGAATATCTTAGGAGTGTCTATGGATCTCATACTGGGAATCTCTGCCCAAAATCTATTTTCCACAGTCAAGCCAGAGTGAAAATGTGAAAAATATAAATCAGAGCATATCACTCCCCTGTTAATACTCTTCAGTAGCTTTCTCTTGCACTTAGAAACCAGACTTTCTTTTTCCTTTTTTCCTCTTTTTTTTTTTTTGAGATGAAGTTTCACTCTTGTTGCCCAGGCTGGAGTGCAATGGCATGATCTCGGCTCACTGCAACCGCCGCCTCCCAGGTTCAAGCAATTCTCCTGCCTCAGCCTCCCGAGTAGCTGGGATTACAGGCACCTGCCACTACGCCTGGCTAATTTTTGTATATTTAGTAGAGATGGGGTTTCACAATGTTGACTGGGCTGGTCTTGAACTTCTGACCTCAGATAATCCACCCACCTCGGCCTCCCAAAGTGCTGGGATTACAGGTGTGAACCACCGTGCCCGGCCGAAACCAGACTTTTTCAATACTTACCTTCCCCAAATCCCTCCACGAGTTGTCCCATGCTCACTTCTCATCTCATAACTCTCTCTTACTTTCTCCCTCCACTCCTATCATACTATAGAGCTACACACACTGGCCTTCTTTATCTACTTTAAGGCCTTTTTACTACTGTTTTCTGTACCTGCAATATCTTCCCTCAATCTTCACAGGGCTGATTTTCCTGTCATAGTTTAGTCTTAGGTATGATAGCACCTTTTTATTTTCTGCATAACACTTATTATTAGCTAGTATCTTTCTGTTTATTAACTTGTTTACTGATTTACTTTTTGTATTCTCTCACTAGAATTTATAAAACATGAGAACAGGGATCTTATTGGATTCAATGAAATACCAGTGTCTAGAATCATGTTTGGCTCAAGGTGCTCACTCAGTTAAGTATTTGCTGAATCAATAAATGAATAAACAGGAGAGAAATTGGCAAGACTGATAAGGACCAAACTGATAAAGGTGGCTATCTCAGGGATGGGGGTGGTGAGATTGGAGGGGAAGAGAGGAAAACGCTTACACATGTTTTACTTTATATTCTTTTCTACCATAAAAGGAGAGAAATGATTATATGTGATTTTAAATTTCCTTTTTGGGTTATAACTTATTTTTCAAATTTTCTAAAATAAACACTTTTTGCTTGGAAATTAGGAAAGTGAAATACAGTATAAATAGAGTATAATTACTTATCAAGTTTTGCATTTTTGGAGCATGGTAACCTCCACATTCTTGTACAAACACCATCGCTTTTTTTTTTTTTTTCCACAAAGGACCTAGTCATCTGTTTTGGTGTAAAGCCACATATTAGAATATTTTCTCAATAGGTACCTGTCTGGATCTTCTTAAACAATGCTAAGGGAAAAGCATAAGACTTAGTTGGTCTCCATGGTAACTAACTCACAGCCAAGACTGATCCCTGAGGATAACAACAGAAAATATTCCAGCACTGGAAAATTTTTAAAATTTCCCCCGGGTTGGGGAACACCCTGGGCATTTAGTTATCTGAGCATCCATCTCAAAAAACCTTCTTTAGTCAAAGGCTGCTTTCCAACTGTGATCTGAATCTAAACTGGGGAAGAACCTGCTATGCTGAAGCTGCCTCAATACAATAGTGTCCCCACTACACAAGTCCTCTCCTATCAAAATTTTACTTATGTTTTGCTCCTCAGAAAAGAAGTTAATTTTTAGATGGAGTGAAACTTGAATTCTGTATACCCCTCATTAGCCCTTATTTTATTCTGCTTTGTAAATATGACTCTTACATGTCTATTTATTTCCTGAGATACTGATGGAAAGACCAACTTATTTAACAAATATTAACAAATGTGATGGTTTTATTTATTTATTTATTTATATTTTTTGAGACAAAGTCTCGCTCTGTCACCAAGGCTGGAGTGCAGTGGCATGATCTCGGCTCACTGCAACCTCCGCCTCACAGGTTCAAGCAATTCTCCTGCCTCAGTCTCTCGAGTAGCTGGGGACTACAGGTGCACGCTGCCACGCCTGGCTAATGTTTTGTATTTTAGTAGAGACAGCATTTTACCGTGTTGCCCAGGCTGGTTGCAAACTCCTGAGCTCAGGCAATCTGCCTGCCTTGGCCTCCCAAAGTGTTGGGTTTATAGGCATGAGCCACTGCGCCGGGCTGTGATGGTTAATTTTAATGTATTACTTTGAGTGGCCCATTAGGCACCCAGATATTTGGTCAGATATTACTCTGTGTCTTTCTGTGAGGGTGTTTTTGGATCAGTTTAACATTTGAATCAATAGACTGAGTACAACAGGTTACCTTCTCTAATGTTGGTAGGCCTCATCCAATTAGTTGAAGGCCTAAATAGAACAAAAAGGCTGAATAAGAGGGAATTTCTCCTGCCTGACTGCTTTTGAGCTAGGACCTTGGTTTTTTCCTACCTTGACCTGAAACACGTGTGTGTGTGTGTGTGTTTGTGTGTGTGCATATACGTGTGTATACATATATACATATATAGCTCATATTCTGTTTTGCCAGAAAATGCTAATACAATAAATGAGATACTGTTATGTGTCAAGCCTTAGATGAGGAGATGGGTTCCCCAGCTGTCTAGCTTAAAAGAGATGATAGGCTAGCTCCAATGTGGTAAGTGCTTAACAAAATGTTATAATTGCCTAAGGAGTTGAGGGGACTTCACTGAAGAGATGACATAAGCAGGGTTGTGAAAAATGACACCAGATTGACAAGATTAAATAAAATAATTACTTGGTACATGTAACAACATGGATGAATTTCACAGTCATAATTTTGAGTGAAAAAAGTCAGACACAAAAGAGGATAGATGAATAAAGGTGCTATAGCCATCCTTGAAAAACAAATCCTTCCTAGCACTTTGGGAGGCCGGGGTGAGCGGATCACTTGATCCCAGGAGTTTGGGACCAGCCTGGACAACATGGTGAAACCTCCTTTCTACTAAAAATACAAAAATTATTCTGGCATGGTGGTATCACCTATATTCCCAGCTACTTGGGAGGCTGAAGTGGAAGGATCGCTTGAGTCTGGGAGGCTGAGGCTGCAGTGAGCGAAGATCATGCCACTGCACTCCAGCCTGGGTGACAGAGTGAGACTCTGTCTCAATGAAATACAACAACAACAATAAGTTCTTGATACTGAACTCAGGGAGAAAGCATCCCACATGTGACCATTCATTATGGTGTTAGCAGTGATATACCTGGTGTATATGATGCCCCAAGAGGATCTTTTGTTAACATGCCCCCCTCTATAAAAATTATTGTTTAATAATAATGTCATAATCAGTAAAAATTGTTTTCTTGCTATTTTAGCTTAAAAAACAATGAACAATTTAAAAATATATTCAGTTTTACAGATTCTATTACAATTTAGCAAAATATTTCATGTAGGAACTAAATTTACTCTTACTAAAACAATTACACTTCACAGTTAACATTGTTTAATTATTTTAAAATTTAAACAGAAATAAAAGCTCCAAATAGTCACATTGAATGACAGAATTGAAGTAACCTGTGTTCTGTTTGTTTTTACAATCACTTTTCTCATTGTTTTATTTTGAATTCACTGTTTAAATGCTGGAGTGTGTTGTACCATGGAAGTGGAGACAAGAACTATGTGTCAAGCAAGCTCAACTGTGGATCATTATGAACTTTTTCAAATGAAGGCATGTAGCTGAGACTATGTGTAATGAGCTAACTGTAGAAGTAGAGTTCTCCAAATTAACATATGCAAATAATAAAATGCTTAATTACACAGTAAGTGTTAATAATGTACTAATTTGATAATTACATGTATTACTAAAACTCAACAATAATAGCAGTTGTTTAAAACAGCAGTGATTAAACTTTTTGGTCTTAGAACATCATTGTACTCTTGTAAATTACTGAACTCTTTGCTTTTGTTTACGTTGGTTAAATCTATTGATATTTACCCTATTAGAAACTAAAACTCAGCAAAAGTATTAATTTTAAAATTAAGTTTACACCATAAAAATACATAAACTCATATTAACATACATAATATATATTTATGAAGAATAATTAATTTTCTGAAACAAAACAAAATTTAGTGAGAAGAGTGGTCTTGTTTTACATTGATGGAATTAGAGTCTCAAATATCCTTCTGCATCCAATCTGTTGCCATATATTGTTCTAAAGCAGATGAAACAAATCTGGCCTTACATGAATATGTAGTTCAAGGGGGGAGGGTATTTTAGTAGGCTCTTTAAATAATTGTAGGTATTCTTCTTTGACACTATATCAAAACTTGACAGAAGTTAGTTTCTTACAGGTTAGTTATAATGTGTTCTGAAACCATATAAGTGTACTTTTCATACTATCTCACATTAAAATCTGTTGACTTATCTTATATTCTGAATCAATCTTTTTACTCATGCCTGACTTTGTAGCATCAAGCATTGACAATTTGGAAAATATTACTTCCCTGGTTTAATTCAACTTTTCCACATGTTGACATATTTCTTTTTTTTTTATCAATATATACAAAAAGTTTATTTTAGAAATCACATATCTTTAAAAAATCACAGAGGATATAAGTTCTTATCCTGACCAGATAGTATTCATTATTTGAATGGCAGAGTGTTGTGTGGTACAATTAACGAGATGCAGATACCAAGTCCATATAATATTCCTGGCATTTACACCAGGCTCAAAACATTGTGACTTTTTTTTTTTTTAACTATACTTTAAGTTCTTGGATACATGTGCACAATGTGCAGATTTGTTACATAGGTATACACGTGCCATGGTGGTTTGCTGTACCCATCAACCAGTCATCTACAATAGGTATTTCTCCTAATGTTATCCCTCCCTTGGGCCCCAAGCCCCCGACAGGCCCTGGTGTGTGATGTTCCCCTCCCTGTGTCCATATGTTCTCATTGTTCAATTCCCAGTTATGAGTGAGAACATGTGGTGTTTGGTTTTCTGTTCCTGTGTTAGTTTGCTGAGAATGATGGTTTCCAGCTTCATCCATGTCCCTGCAAAGGACATGAACTCATCCTTTTTATGGCTGCATAGTATTCCATGCAAAGCAAACAAACAAACAAACAAACCCCCAAACCCACAAAAAACAAACCAAAAATAAAAAAGCCAGCTAATTTTGAAACACCTAAAACTATCTTGATCTTGTAAATACAGGTCCTGGAACTACAGATCCATTGCTGAGACTATTCCAAAAACTGTAAAACGTGGACATTATTTTAATTCATGAACAACTGAAAAGATCCAATAGAGTGCTGTGTAGTCATTTCAGTATGTGAGCCAAAGCAGAATAATAGGGAAATGTTAAAGCTCTGCTTTACAGTTTAATAGACTGAAAGCAAAAAGAAAGTCCGAAAAAAGAAGTGGGGAAATTTGGTTGGTAATGTTTTTGGTAGAACTGGTTATCCTTGTTACTATTTAGTGGGTGTCTTTTAGTCTTACAAGAGTAGCACTCACAGATGGCTGAGTTCAAATATCAGAGAATCAGAATGCAAAATACAACCGTAAATTTATACTCACTATGGACCAAAAAATATGTTTCTTTGAAAATCTGAGCTAAAACCCTGTGATTTAACATGTTAAGAATGCTTAAGATAATTTTACAGATCAAGGAGTTAAAACAATCCTCAAGGATGACTAAAGCAGAATTTTTACGCAATAACTTCAATAATTTCCTACAGATACTCCTACTCAGACCATAAGGTTTTTTTTGTTGTTGTTTGTTTGTGTTTAATTTTTATTTTTTTGAGATGGACTTTTACTCTTGTTGCCCAGGCTAGAGTGCAATGGTGTGATCTCGGCTCACTGCAACCTCTGCCTTCCAGTTTTAAGTGATTCTCCTGCCTCAGCCTCCAGAGTAGCTAGGATTACAGGTGCACGCCACCACACCCAGCTAATTTTTTTTATTTTTAGTAGAGATGGTGTTTCCCCATGTTGGCTAGGCTGGTCTCGATCACCTGACCTCGTGATCTGCCCACCTTGGCCTCCCAAAGTGCTGGGATTACAGGCATGAGCCATCGCACCCGGCTAGGTATTTGTTTTTTGGGATAAATATAAAGCAAAGTTTATGTTTGTATGGGGTATGAGTTTGTATGAGTTCAGGGTTCTCTGACTCAGCTAGAGCTGAATCCAGAGAAATATTGTCATCTTCTAAAAAGTTTCAAGAAAAATAAACCTTGTATCAATTGGTTAATTGCATAAATCTTCTGAGAATGCAGTTACTATGTGCATCCATGATGAGAAGTTACAGTTCATGCTGAAGAGAACTGAAAAGATTTAAAATCACCTAAGAACAAAGTCAATAGATATTAATCATTCGTGAAGATAAGCAACACCTGAGAGCAATAGCAAGCTGACTCAATTTGATTACATCGGATATATTTTCATTTGTTTCCCATGAAATCATAATCTTATCAGAAATACAGTTACTAAAGAAAAGTATTACAGGTAGTGGAGGATAATGTGGGCGGTATGATGAAAGATACTGTTCCTATAGTCAGGAAAAACCAGCCATTAATTTTATTGAAGTGAAAAATGTATAACATTAAAGTTGCAGATCTGGGCTTTATTATCAGAATAACATCATTTTGGATAGAATTGAGAGATTCTCTAAAATGCTATTGATAGACACATTTCATTTTATAGTAGCAAAAACACTATATTTATTAATATCATCACCAATCTCATCAGAAGAGTTTTCAAGCTCACAGCAGCTTTCAAGCTCACAGTAGCAGATACAAGTTTCCAACATGCAATTTAGGTTTAAAAGCTCAACTTTTAGATAACAGATATTTTAGTTCTTTTCCTTGAAGTGCCAGGCTTACTTTGGTCATTTTAAAGAAAATTTCTGCTGAATAACTAAGTCTGAATAACTACAGCCTATCAGTTGTTTTTTTAAAAGTCAAACTGGTGTTCCATAAAAAAAAAAAAGTGGCTGGATTAGCTCACAGTCAAATAATCACAAAGTGCTTTTCCTTGAGACAACAGAACTGCTTTATTTTCCATGTCATCACATAAAAAAGATGGGTATGCTAAGGTCCATATTTAATAAAATGTTTTATTTTAAAGTTAATTAATTCATTTTTTCCTAGCTTGAGGTATAGTTGATTAAAAGGTTATATATATATGTATATGTGTGTACTTTGTGAAAGGATTACCACAGTCAACCTAATTAATGTTTTCATCACCTCACACAGGCATAATTTTTTGGTGGTAAGAACATTTAGGATTTAATAAAGTTAAATGTTTTAGTAAATTTTTAAATTGTAATTGAAATTTTAATTAAAAAGTTAAATGACAATAATTTTTTTTTTTTTGTGTGTGATGGAGTTTCACTCTTATTGCCCAGGCTAGAGTGCAATGGTGTGATCTCTGCTCACTGCAACCTCTGCCTCCCAGGTTCAAGCAATTGTCCTGCCTCAGACTCTCTAGTAGCTGGGATTACAGGCATGTGCCACCACACCCGGCTAATTTTGTATTTTTAGTAGAGATGGGGTTTCTCTACTAAAGAGGTTGGTCAGGCTGGTCTCGAACTCCCAACTTCAGGTGATCTGCCCGCCTCAGCCTCCCAAAGTGCTGGGATTACAGGCGTGAGCCACCATGCCCGTCCATAAAAAAGTTAAATGATAATAAAATGTTTACTGCCTCATTAGATATATTTCTTAAGTAAAACTAGGTTTTTCTTATTGTTGTTAACTGTTCGTGTGTAGTGGTGAAGAATACAATGTATACTAGTATAATCTGTGCCACTGCCTTGATTCCTACTAAGGAATAAGTAGATTTAGTCACCATTGTCTTGAACCATCAGCGCACACAGTCAACACAATGAAAAAGGAAAACAATGTTTTAGTTATGAAAATATTCTGACTCCATGGACTCTCTGAAAAGATCTTGGATTACTCCAGATCTGTGGATCATACTTTCATTTAGAACTTAAACTAATAAAAGATATTTTTTCTAGATGAATATTTTATTATGATAATGTTTAGAATTCCAGTGCATGATAATAATAAAGTGCAGAGTGATTTTCAGTGAGTTTTAGTATTGCTTTTACATTTTCAGACAATGAACCCTTTTACTGTCTGCATACAAGGCAGACTTTCCCATTACCTTGCCCTTGGTACACCACTGGATGATGGCAAATATCTTCTCTCAGTTAGTGGTTTGTCTTTTCCTTCTCTGAACGGTATCTTTTGATGAACAGAAATTCTTAATTTTAGTGAAGTATAATTTGACAATCTTTTACAATTGTCCTTTTTATGCTGATCCCAAGATTGCATTCCTGGCATAAATCCCACTTGGTCATATTATCCCTTTTATATAAAGGAGAAAATATGTATATATAATCATCTCAATAGATACAGATTTTTTGTTTGTTTGTTTGTTTTTTGAGACAAGTCTCACTCTGTCACCCAGGCTGGAGTGCAGTGGCGCGATCTCGGCTTACTGCAAGCTCCGCCTCCTGTGTTCACGCCATTCTACTGCCTCAGCCTCCCGAGTAGCTGGGACTACAGGCACCCACCACCACGCCCGGCTAACTTTTTTTTATATTTTTAGTAGAGACGGGGTTTCACTGTGTTAGCCAGGATGGTCTTGATCTCCTGAACTCATGATCCGCCACCTCGGCCTCCCAAAGTGCTAGGATTACAGGCGTGAGCCACAGCACCTGGCCCAGAAAAATTTGTACATAAAATTTAATACTTCTTTATGAACTCTTAGTAATCTCGGAATAGAAGGAAGCTTCGAGGTTATGCTGATCTTATAAAATTAGTTGGAAATGATACCCTCCTCTTTTCAAGTCTCTGAGTTTTCTATAAGATTGGTATTATTTTTTGCTTAAATGTTCAGAATTCATCATTGAAGCTATTTTGATTTGAAGTTTACTTTGCGGGAAGGATTTTTAAATGAAGGAATCAATTTCATTGATATTTAATTTCATTCAGATTTTCTATTTCCTCCTGTATTAGTTTTGTTAAATTTTGTTTTTTAAGGAATTTGTCCATTTCATCTATTTTTTAACAGCTTTATTGAGATGTAATTCACATGTCATAAAATTCACCTATTTAAAGTATACAATTCAGTGTTTTTTTAGTATATTCTCAGAGTTGTGCAACCATTCCCACAACCTAATTTTAGAACATTTCCATCACCCCAAACAGAAATCTCATATCCATTTGCAATCACTCCCATTCCCAACCCCTAGCCCTAGACAACCACTCATTTACTTTCTGTCTTTATATATTTACTTTTTCAAGACATTTCTTAGAATATCTTGAAAATGTGCTGAGACAGCAGAAGTGCTGTATTTTTTCATTTCACCACATGAAAAAGATGGGTACAAAAGGGTACAGATTTAATAAAATGTCACTAAATGTCAGTGTATTTTCAAGGGGAGAGGAATTAGGCCATGCCTCTTACTAGGATGGGCAGCAAAGAATTTGTGGATGTATCTAATCCACCATACCAAATATACCACATCTGTTGGACCATAGTTCTGTTTTTATCTATTTGCATCTTTCCCAATTCCTCAGGTTGACAGATCCATATTTGCATCTTTCCCAATTCCTCAGGTTGACAGATCCATATTCTTCCAAACTTACCTCCAGTGTCACAAGGCCTTTCTTGAGTAAGGGGACACCTACATGTTGTTTTTTCTGTGATGTAGTTATAGACTACGTCCCTTAAAAAAAAGAATAAGCCAACCTCTGGCTGATGAACTATAAACCGTCTAAGCTGAGTTGATCTTTCTTTTTTGTACCATGACAGTGTGTTGTATTTATGCTTCATCACTTTTTTTTGCAATTATTTATGTATGTGGTTGCTGTGCTACTAAATTGACCTCAAATTCTCTGATTTTTATCTAAATGTTCTCAGTTTCAGGTAGTTAAGATCAGTGTAGTGAAAAGTATGCATGGGAGGAGGGCAAGAATTATTGCCTCAGGGTCATAAAATTGATTTTAAAAAAAGGGTGGTGGTGGTATTGGCTTGTGGCAGGACTGGATCCAGGCAAACAATGCCGAGTGGTATCCTTCTTATCTTCCTTTCCCTTCCCCCTTCTCTCTTTCTTCTTCCTCCTCCTTTTTTCCTCTCCCTTTCCCTTCCTTCCTCCTTTGTTTCCATCTGTGTGGTGGCTTCACTCCTGTAGGTGCTGTTCCTCCGAGATAGATAATTTGGCCATGACAGTACTAGGTTTCCAAAATGGCGTCCCCAGGGGTAACTGGAAGTCCTTCCTGATAGTTCCAGAGGAAAATTTCTGGAGCAAAGGTTCTGACTGAGGCCAGGGGGATGGAATACTGTGGTTGGCTAACCCTGTAGTGCTGAAGAAGGGCTTGTCTGTTATCAGAAGTGTGGTGGGCGATCGTCCCTAGTCAAAAGGCCACATTGAATTCATCTGTTTCTCCAGAGCTCTGTTGAGTTATTGGCAAACAGTAGGAGCTTCCTAAATGTTTATTGAAGAAAATGAATGAATGAGTAGAAATAAAAGAATGAATCTATGACTTGAAATGTTTTCCTTTTCGCAAAGAGGCTTTTGACCATATGACACACTCTCGGATGTTTCTCACTGACTACAGAAGTCAGGGATTTTGCTATTAACCATTTCATGGCCACCTCTGTGTGAGCTTACCTTAAAGGTACTAAGGCATGAAAGAACATGACTAAAATACCAAATCCCTTGGCTACCTTTGGGGTTTCATCTTCACTATAGGTCTGTTAGGTCAAGGGTTTAGTTAAGTGTGGTGTGTCCTCATGAAAGTTCCGTCTGGAAATCAAAGAGCTTCGTGGTGAGTCTGTGCTGGGGTTGGGGCTAAAACATAGCTTTGAGTCTCAGCAGCTTGTCATTATCAGCATGTGCTTGCCTTGAGAGCTATGGCAGTTTCTGGTGACTTTATTGCAGACAGCAGTCAATCCACAACTCCTCGCAAAGGCTGGTGATTGAGCAATAAGCTTTTTGAAAACTCTTCCTGAGATCTTTCATTCACATTCACTGTGTTCAGAGAGTAGAGAATTTCAAAGACCCTTCATCATTTCATTCTCACTAGAGGTTATTCCTTTTGTCATTAGTGAGAAAAATCACAGTCAGCGTCTTAGAGAAAAAGAGAAAGACAGGGTAAATGATTTCTGCAGCTCTCACACCTTCCCAGAATAACTCTTAACCGCACCAGCCAGGGCCTGGTACATTCTTTGTTTGTTTGTTTGTTTGTTTGTTTGTTTCCCCCTCTTGGTTTTATTTAGTTCTCATGTACTGTACAATAGTAAGGGAAAATAGTGAAAAATCAACCCACAGCCTCATTTCCTTTAAAAAGGTTTTCATGTTTTGATTTATTTTGATACCTCTCATTTGTATGCATTTCAGTATGAAGATGAAAATACCAATTAAGTTTTTCACTCAACTTTATTTCAGACCTTTCACCTCACTGTTTTATTTTGCTCTTAATGAATGTCTGTATTGTCTTCATAGATTTATTTAAAGGAACAACGTTATTGATACAGCTTAGTTGCTGTAGCCATTATAATGTTCCTTAATGTCATAAGAAGCAAAGCAGTCATTATGTCCACAGTAGCAAAAGGACAGAATCATATTTGTTATTTTTAAAAGCTGTTCTTTTTAAACTCTTCTGGTTTGAGAAGCATGTAACCATGAAGAGTTTGTTTATATTGTATGGATCATTCAGTTGAAAACTGCAAGTAATCTTTGCATTTAAGCATCCCTATTTTTCTTTTTTAGGAATTTTAACTGACACATAATAATTACACATAGTCATGGGGTACAATGTGATGTTTCTATAGATATATACATTGTGTAATGATCAAATCAGGGTAATGAGCACATTTGTCACTTCAAACATTTATCATTTCTTTGTAGTGTTAACATTCAAAATTCTTCTAGGTTTTTTGAAATATATATCACACTACTGTGCAATAGCACACCAGAACCTATTCCTCATAGCTAATTATAAATTTGTACCTGTTGACCAATCTTTCTCCATTCTCCCATCTGCCTTCCTCTCCCCAGTCTTTGGTAATCACTGTTCTATTCTCTACTTCTATGACATCAGCTGCTTAGATTCCACATATGAGTGAGATCATGTGGTATTTGTCTTTCTGTGTCTGGCTTATTTCACTTACCATGATGTCTTCCAGTTCCAACCCTGTTGTTGCAAATGACAGGATTCCATTCTTTTTTAAGGCTAAATAGTATTCAGTTGTGTATCTACATCACATTTTCTTTATCTGTTGATCTGTTGGTGGACAATTAGGCTGATTTTGTATCTTGGCTATTGTGATACACATAGAAGCACAGATATCTCTTGCACATACTTATTTCATTTCTTTTGGATATATACCAAGTAGTGGAATTGCTAAATTATACGGTAGTTCTATTTTTAATTTTTTTAAGGATCCTCCATACTGCTTTCCATAATGGCTGTAGTAATTTACACTCTCACCAATTCTCTCTCTACATTTTCCAATATTTGTTATCTTTTGTCTTTTTCATAGTAGCCATTCTAACTGGAGTAAGGTGATATCTCATTATGCTTTTGATTTGCATTTCCCTAATGATTAATGATATTTAGCATTTTTTCATAAGACTGTTGACTATTTGTATGTCTTTTGAGAAATGTCTATTAAGGTCTTTTGCCTATTTTAAAATTGTTTTTTTAACTATTGAGTTGTTTGAATTCCTTATATGTTCTGGATTCTTTTTTAGAACACATTGCCTGTCCTCTGTAAATGCTGTCATAGAAAAAAACAACATATTGATAACTTAGACTAGGTGCTTTGACAGTAGAGTTGGTGAGAAGTGCTTGTACTCAGGGTAGGTTTTCAGATAAAGCAAGACATTTGCTTATGAATTGGATATGGGGAAATGAAGGAAAGAGATAAATTAATTATGTTTGAAGGCCTACTTTGGTGTAGAGAGAAAGATTAGAAATGTTTGCCAAAAAAAAAAAAAATGGATCTCTTTTGGCTCAATGGGATAGAACTCATCTTTGAACTGTAAGAGAGCAAGAACCTTTAAAACTCACTGAGATACATATATGACTAAAAAAAATACCTGCAGGAATGGGTTCGGAAATGGTGGATTTTGGAACTTGTTAATACTTGTGATTGACAGGTCAGTGGGATCCATTGCCAAAGTGGTAGGAATCATTCTTAGGAAATTTTGATCACTACTGAGTCAGGTACATGGATACCCTGTAAATCTCACTTCTGATTACAAAGAGAAGATCTCTTTTCCAAGTCTCTACCAAGTAAATTATTTTCCTTGACAATTAAAACAAAAATTGCAGGCAGGGCACTGTGGATCACATCTATAATCCTAGCACTTTGGGAGGCTGAGGTGGGAGGATTGCTTGAGGCCAGAAGCTTGAGACCAGCCTGGGCAGAAAAATGAGACTCCATCTCTACAAAAAATACATAAATTGGCTGGATGTGGTGGCATGTATCTACAGTCCTAGGTACTTGGGAGGCTGAAGTGGGAGGATTGCTTGAGCCCAGGAATTCAAGGCTGCAGTGAGTTGAGATTGTGTCATTTATACTCCAGCTTAGGCAACAGAGTGAGAACTTGTCTCAAAATAATAATAATAATTGCTTTACTTACTTTTCTCAAGTTGACAAGTTTAACTCTACATTGTAGGTACTGAATGAAGGTCATTATCAGGAAAGACTTAGGTACGGGGAGGCTGATTAAGCACTTTGATGGGAAATTAGTAATTTGGAAACTATAAGCAAATATTGCACTGTGGCTCATTGTTTCTGTTCATGAAGGGATTTATTTTTGTAGAATAGGGCTGCCCAGGAGAGGAATTTATAAAAGCAAATTGTAAATGCTTACTTGATTTCTTAAAGACTATGTGATGTCAGGCAAAGCATTTACCATCTCTGGCCTTTTATTTCCCCACCTATGAAATGAGATTAGAAATTCCTGCTCTGTCTGCCTTATAGAAATCTTATGAGCTTTAAATTAAATGAAGATAATAATGATAACGCCATTACATTTGACATTTAGTAAGTACTTACTGTGTGCCAGGCATTGTGTTAAGCCAGACACCGTGCTAAATTTAGTGGCTTAAAACAACAACCATTGTATTTGCTCACAATTCTGTGAATCAGCAATTTGGGCTGGACTCCGCTGCATGGTATTTCTGCTTTTCTTGCCTGGGATCATGGATGTGACTGCAAATTATCTGCCAGCTCTGATGGCCTAACTAGTCTTCTCTTGTATGTGTGGTGATTGGAAATGGCTACAACTGGTTAGCCGAGGGGGCTTCAACGGGGAGTTTGTCTCTCTTCCATGTGATCTTTCATCCTTCTGTAGGTTAGATCAGGCTTCTTCACATGGGAGTTTCAGAGCAGAATTCCAAGAGGTGAGAGAAGCTGCAAGCTGCTTGTATTCTAGGCCTGGAATACATATCATTTCTACCATATTCTGTTGGTCAAAGCAAATCACAGGATCTAGGTATAACCTAGATCCATGGGGGAATAAAACATCACCTTTTGATGGGAGGAGTAGAAAAGTCACATTGCAAATGGATAGGTGTATAGGAACAGGAGGATCTATCATAGCCATCTTTGTGCACAATCTATTGTACTTGTCAACATACAATCTCACTTAATCTGAATAGCAACCCTATTATTCTCATTGGACAAGTGAGGAAACTGAGGCACAATGACTTGTTGAAAGTCACTTAGTCAATAAGTGTCTAAGCTGGGAGATGAACCCAGGCAGCCTGACTCTAGAGGCCATCCTCTATTTTAATGGTCTTCAAAATGGAAATCACATTGTGGTAGAGATTACTCGTGTTTATCTATATCCAGTTTTTGCCTTCTGGGGCACATGGAAACCACACTTCCCATCCTTTAGAATTTAATTGTGGCCATGTAACTTGTTCTGGGCCAATGAAGGCATTTAACAGCAGGTGTAAATTCTTCATTCTCTTTCATCCTCTGCCTCTGTGTCCCTAGAAACCGCTGGTTAAAATGGTGGAATTATAAGATAGAAGTAGACTGGATTGCCAAGTTCCTATTGGAAAGGAAGCTGCCTGACCTGCAGCAGAAAAGAAATAAAATTGCACGTGTTAAGCAGCAGATTTTCTGATTTATTATTTTAGTGAAGCCAGTTCTTTTCTAATACAAGCCTCATTGTATTATTGTGCTTATAAAGTGAATCTGTAATTATATAAAAATTGTAGTTAAAGGCTGGGCACAGTGGCTTATGCCTGTAATCCCAGCATTTTGGGAGGCCAAGGCGGGTGGATTATGAGGTCAGGAGATCGAGACCATCCTGGCCAATACAGTGAAACCCCATCTCTACTGAAAATACAAAAAAATTAGCCAGGTGTGGTGGCGCACGCCTGTAGTCCCAGCTACTCAGGAGGCTGAGACAGGAGAATCACTTGAACCCGGGAAGTGGAGGTTGCAGTGAGCCAAGATCACGCCACTGCACTCCAGCCTGGGCGACAGAGTGAGACTCCATCTCAAAAATAAGTAAATAAATTGTAGTTAAACAAAAAAGAATAAAGAAAAATTTAAAAGTCATTCTAAATCCTACTCCTCAGGGTCAACAATTCTCAATCTCTTGGCGAATGTCACTTCAGATAACTCTCTGTGTATAAAAATACACAATTTGTATAAATAATTTCATGCTTCCCATATTGTTAGGTAGTCTCCTTTTATCATCAAACAGTATTATTTCAAAATTCTTCTTAGTCAAATAAGAGAGGCGTATGTAGGAAACTCTTAATTATATAACACACAATAAGAAGGCTTTTGAGAATGTATGTAAGAGTACAGGTTCTGCATCAGAGTACTTGAGATCAAATCCTCATCCCATCATTGATTTAGAGAAAGTTACCTCATCATACTGTGCTTCAAGTTCTTCAACTGTAAAAGGAGGATAAGAATAGTAAGAATAGTACCTACTCCACAGTCAGGAGTAAATAAAATTAGGTTTTATTTAACATTTTGTACAATACCTGGCATGTTGTTGACATTCAATAAATGTTCATTTGATAACAGGGTAGCAAATTTACACATTCTATTGAAATGTGCAAAGAAAATATAGCTTCTTCCTTTTTTTTTTTCTTTTTTTTTTCAAACGGTCTTGTTCTGTTGCCCAGGCTGTAGTACAATGGCGCGATCTTGACTCACTGCAACCTCTGTCTCCCAGGTTCAAGCAATTCTTCCGCCTCAGCCTCCCAAGTTGCTGGGATTATAGGCATGTGCCCCCACACCTGGCTAATTTTTGTATTTTTAGTAGAGATGGGGTTTCACCATGTTGGTCAGGCTGGTCTTGAACTCCTGACCTCAAATTATCCACCTGCCTCAGCCTCCCAAAGTGCTGGGATTACAGGCATGAGCCACTGCACCTGGCCTACTTCTTTTAATAGATTTTTCTCCTAACCCTTTGCTGGATAGCAGGGTGTGGCTCATGGTGGTGGAAGAAACCATGTTACATTTTGGTTTTAAAATCCTTTCAAGGAAATATTTAATCAGTCTAAAGTCCATCTTTATAATGAGACTGTTGCCCCCACACTATGTAATTTTCTTTTAAAGATTTCTTTGTATAGGGTAAAAGCTTATGAGGTTTCCTGGTGACAGAGGAAATTTACCTGTTATCTTTCTTAATCTGTCTGGCCATGGAATGGATGATTAGTCACTGCACTGGCATCTATTGCAGGAAAACTGGTTCCTTTGGGTCTTTTGGTAAACAATGGTATCCGTTGCTGCCTTGACATGCCTGACTTGACATTGCCTCCAGTCACTGAAGGTCCTGAGCTTGCAGGCCTTCTTTTCCCAACTCTAGGCCTCTGCAATTCCAACAGTCTTCCCAGACTCTCCCTATTTCCTCACTGGCACACACAGGAACTTTCTAGATTCACTGCATACCATGTACAGACCATAGGGAACAAAGAGCACTACCTGCCTGTCCTATTTCTCTTCAACCCATCCACTCTAACCCTCTGCCAGAGGCTGGCAGAGTGCCTTGCATGGAGGTCTCATTCCAGTGTTTCAAAGTGGGAGTAGATCAAAACTCCCTCTGTTTTGGCTTTTTATTCAACCTAAGTAACAACCCTCTGCCATTCCGGCCAAATTCAGTTCACATGTCAGATAGCCTGCTTCCTTTACGTTTCCTTACTCTCTTGTCCATGCTTTTTAGGTGCTGATTGGGATAGGCCTTCTCCTTTATCTTCTTGTTTGCAGGAACTTCCCTTACACCATTAAGCTCCACTGCTCAACTTTGATGACAGAAAGGTTGAATCCCTACATGATAAGAAACTGCATGACTCTTGATATGAGAACTACGGGTCACTTAAGAACTAGAGTTAATTATAAATACAAATATATTTAATACTCTCTAATATTGCCCCATTATAATATTATCATTATCATCAGCATGTAGGACATGCTTATTTCTTTCTCAGTGCCCTTCGACTTTTCCTGTGATCTTGCATTGCCCACCACATTCTAGATTTTCTAGCTGATTTGCCTGTTAAAAGGCAGTAGGAAGGCAGTCCACCTGCTGTTTGCTTGGAATACAGGAAATGAACATCATACCATATGGGCTGTTTAACATCCACCCACATGGCCCCAGACACAAGCATCAGATCCTCTGGCAACTGTGGGCCAGGCACAACTGGGGTGGCTGCTTTACTTAGGAATGACATATTTTAAAAAATCTTCTTAATTAAATTTGTATCGCACTGAAACAAAATTAATTTTTGGTCTTTCTATTGACTACAAACTGACCGAGGGTCTCTCTGATTGTCCATTGTACATATAAGCCTAAAAATGAATAGTAAATGTTTATATCATTGGCAACTGCATAATTATCACTCTCACCTAGCAGTGCTGACCGTACATAGATTAAATAAAAAACTCTGAATGTGAGGCAAGGGGCTGCCACTGAGACCTTTCCTAAATGTGTACTCCTGCCTCAACTACCACACTTTGTCATTTATTTCTTTAAATCAAGACACAGTTTTTTATACCTTAATGTAAATGGGTTTGCCAAACAATTTAAAAGTTAATTTTTGTCAAGGGAAGGAAACTTAGGCTCCTATATCTCTGGGAGAATGAAGATTTATATACCAAAGGAGAGACAGGTATAGAAAAGGAAGTGTGGGGAAGCAACACAAACTTTACAGTTTATCAGAAGCAGGTGCTTAGGAGGAGTGCTATCTGGAAGAGAGGCCTACTGCATTGCCATAGCTCTGTAACAGGCCGCAAAGTGATCCCAGTTGTACAGGTCAGTTAGGGTGCTTCACCAGGTGCTTTTTCAGCTGATGTGGACCGGTATTGCCCCACAACAATTGAGAGGTGGTGGAAGCAGAGGGCCAGCATCTGCATGCTTGGGTAAACCTACCTAGTAAAGTTGAGATGGTATCTCTTGACTTCTCTTCATGGCTGCAGGCTCTCATTCTTTGAAACATGATCCCTTAATACCCAGCATGTAGCTAGCTGCAGGAATATGTCTGAATGAACTCCCTGCAGAGGCCAGGTGGGTCCTGTCAGTGCAACAATTATCAGCTGGACTTGGACACTATCTTCATATCTATCTTCATAGTTATCTATAGTAGTATATCTCCTCCCCATGTCTCTCAGATATACACAGGTATTCTCAATAAAAAGAGTCAAACGGGGAAGATATCTTAAGGAGGAGCTACTAAAAATACAAAAAATTAGCCGGGCGCGGTGGCGGGCGCCTGTAGTCCCAGCTACTCGGGAGGCTGAGGCAGGAGAATGGCGTGAACCCGGGAAGCGGAGCTTGCAGTGAGCCGAGATTGCGCCACTGCAGTCCGCAGTCCGGCCTGGGCGACAGAGCGAGACTCCGTCTCAAAAAAAAAAAAAAAAAAAAAAAAAGAGTGAACAGCAGAAAAGATCAAGGTAAGAGAGAGCTATCAATTGAGTGGAACCAGGAGTCAGAAAGAAGCTGGACAGCATCAGACCTGGAGAATTGGAATAGGCCTAGAACAGGCAACACAGGTATTGAACAATTATGGAGTGAATTCTCACAGCTGGGAGAATTTTATGAAGAGGGACCTGAATGTTTCATGGAGACTTTTCCATAGTGGAACCCTTTGAAATTAGAAAAAAAGTATGTATGTGTGTGTTTCCATAAACACATTGGTCTATGCTGTATATACGAATATACACTGGTTCTAAAGTGCTAGATATGGAAAGCCTGTTTCTTGTATGGCACTGGTAGTATCTCCTTTACGGTACTATCTGGAAACCAGTCCTTTCTGTCTTTTATGATGGAGTTTCCTCAGGGAAAATAAGCAACCTCAGGGAAAGAAAGAGAAAATATATAGGTAAGAGAGTGTAGAAGGGAGAGAGTAGCAGCATAAAGGGAGCAGAAAGGAAAAACCCAGCAAAACACAGTGCATACCTATGAAACAGAAATGGGGGTGTCAACCCTGCAGGAGGGAGAAAGCAGCCAGTTGCTGGGAAGAGGGATGTCACCATTGTTGGAATCTTGTATACAAGGGTGATATTCTGCAGGACCAGGGAGACATGCATTTAGAAACTTAGTCATGGCCAAAGTCCCGCAGAAGGAGTGACTGATAGTCACAGGAAGCTTAAATTGGTGGAGTGTACTCTTTGGCATTTTTCTAATTAGTTCGTGTTCATTAAATGATTCCAGAGTATAGTTAAGCTGTAGTACTTAGTCTGTGTAACAAATTATTCTCCCCTAAATGCCTCCTAAGAACCCTCGCCAGGTGCTGATTATGTCTCCCATACCTGAATCTAATGTGTCTGTCCCTCACCCTGATGATTTGCCAGAACTGATCACTGCTAGTCCCTCCTTCCAGAGAAACAAGGAGACAGAATTATTAACCAAACAGGAGGGCAAAAAGGGAAAAAAAGCCTATATAACACAAGAATAGATTACACTGCTGACCTGGGTTTCAGTTACATACAAATTGCATCTTCACAGAGGAGCTCAGCTCTTCAGGTTTAAATTAAACTTAGTCCAATAGACATTTATAGGGCACCTATTTTGTACTTGGCACTGGGCCATGTGGGAAAACAAACTGGCTTGGTCAGGTGCGGTGGCTTAGGCCTGTAACTCCAGCACTTTGGGAGGCAGAGGTGGGAGGATTGCTTGAGTCCAGGAGTTCCAGACCACCCTGGGCAACACGATGAACCCCTGTCTCTACAAAATATACAAAAAAATTAGCTGAGCATGGTGGCATGTGCCTATAGTCCTAGCTACTTAGGAGGCTGAGGTGGGAGGATCACCCGAGACTGGGAGGTTGAGGCTACAGTGAACTGAGCCATGATTGCACCACTGCACTCCAGCCTAGGTGACAGAGTGAGACCCTGTCTCAAAAACAAACTGTAAGGCATGGTTACTGCTCTTGAGAAGCTGAAAATATTCCCAAAGAGGCCAGTGTGAACAAGTATACAATAAAATTTGTAAATGAGAGAAAAATTCCTTGTGAGTAAAAATGCCAGGAAATTCAGAGAATGGAGGCACTAACTCAAACTGGAGTGAGAAAGCTCTGGGGAGAATTTGGGATTTGGGACCTAGGCCCTTGGAACATAAACCAGATTTTGAGGTGAGAATAAAAGAGATGAGAGCACCCAAATGGAGAAAACAGAATGATCTTATCAAGACAATCTCAGAACTACTGAAGAAGCTATTTGATAAAGGTAATCAGTAGGCATGAATCCCTCAGTGGACCATGAGTTCTTCAAGAGCTGGCATCATGGCCGGGCATGGTGGCTCAAGCCTGTAATCCCAGCACTTTGGGAGGTCGAACGGGGGAGATCACCTGAGGTCAGGAGTTCAAGACAAGCCTGGCCAACATGGTGTAACCCTGCCTCTACTACAAATACAAAAAATTAGCTGGGCGTGGTGGTGGGCGCCTGTAATCCTAGCTACTCGGAAGGCTGAGGCAGGAGAATTGCTTGAACCCCGGAGTTGCAGGTTTCAGTGAGCCAAGACTGCGCCATTGCACTCCAGCCTGGGTGATAAGAGTGGGACTCCCTTTCAAGAAAAAAAAAAAAAAAGTGCTGGCATCATGTCTTAGGCCTCTTGGAATTCATTCATTCAACAAATCTGGGTGTTGAGAATAAGCAATGAGTGAAACAGACAGCGTCTCTGCCCTCATGCAGTGCAGCTTACAGTCTTAATGGCAGAGGCAGACATAAACAATAGACAACTGGCCAGATGCGGTGGCTCACACCTGTAATCCCAGCACTTTGGGAGGCCGAGGTGGGCAGATCACCTGAGGTCAGGAGTTTGAGACCAGCCTGACCAACATGGCAAAACCCTGTCTCTACTAAAAATACAAAAATTAGCCGGGTGTGGTGGCAGGTGCCTGTAATCCCAGCTACTTGGGAGGCTGAGGCAGGAGATTCGCTTGAACCCGGGAGATGGACGTTGCAGTGAGCTGAGATCGCACCATTTCAATTCAGCCTGGGCAACAAGAGTGAAACTCTGTCTAAAAATAAAAAATAAAATAAAAATAAATTGCAGGAGGCTAGTTACAGACTTCTTTTGCTGGAAAGAAGAGAAAAATATCTACATTTTAGATTAATTTATTTCCACATCCAAAAAGTCCAGCTGAATGGACTCTGTGGAAGTAGTACACAAACATACATACCACTTACAAATCAAGCGGTCTGTAAAGATTATTTGCCTATGTTAACTTAGTGAGCCTGCAGCAAGACAAGTTCCTCTTTTTATTATTTCAGTGCTTACTACTCTTTTCCACATCATGCACACACTGAAGATGATAGTATTTGTCTGGCTCACTGGGGTAGAGGGAAGAGAGGGAATAGCCCTGGAGGTTCCACCCTCAGGCTCAAAGGGAGAAGTATTTCAGTACATCTCTAATCCATTTGGCTCATTAACTAGAAAGTTCTGTTTTATTTAATCACAGAAAAGTCTATTTTTGTAAAATACTTATAACCTTGATCTGTCCCTCCTACAAGCATCACCATCTCAGAGAATGACTACTCCACCTTTCTAATTGCTCAGGGCAGAAATCTTGGGATCATCTTTGATGCCTCTCTCTCTCTCACTTAGCATCCTTTCATTCCATTAGTAAATCCTGTTAGCTCTATATGGTCCAACACTTCTTACCACCTCCTCTGTGCTACAACCCTAGTCCACAGTCTTTTTGTGCCTGGATTACTTAAAATTCTTCTGTCTGGTCTCACTTCTTCCTCTCTTGCTCCTCTGCAGTCCCTTCTGTAAATAGCAGTGGGCACAATGCTGTTAAAACAGAAGTCTAATAATAACATATCTTCAAAATTCTCTCGTGACTCTCAATCTCACTTAAAGTGAAGTTCAGAGGTCTCACAATGGCCTGCAAGGCCTGCCCCCTAATGGCCTACCAGACCCTGCCCCATCTGCCGCCTCCTCCTTCCTCTCTGAACTCACGTTTTACCATTTTCTCCTTTGCTCAATTCTCTCGAGCTACTCTGGCTTACCTGTTCTGCCTTGAACACACCAGACAATTCCTGCCTCAGAAATTTTGCTTTTGATGTACTGCCTGCCTGCAATGCTCAGATATCTTCATGGCACTCTCTCACACCTGTTAGGTCTCAGTTTAAATGCCAGTTTCATAGTGGGACCTTCTTTGATCACACTATTTACCATCAGCTCCCACCTCCAAACTAACTCTGTTATATCCTATCCCTTTCCTCTATAGCACTTATTACTGTCCATTCTGTTTATTGTCTGACACCCTCACTGGAATGTAAGGTTCTTGAGGGCAGGGATTTTTTTCAGTTTTGTTCCCTGTTGTAGCTACAGTACACAGAACAGTACCCAACCTATAGTAAAAACTCAATAAATTTTTGTTGAATCGATGAATAAATTAATGAATGAATTCACATGTTACTTGGCTTTCTAAAACCTGAAGTTGTCAGTGTGATAAAAACTGTTTATTGTTTAGAACAAAGGCAGAGGACCTGGTTACAAGGTTAACCTAATGACTGTCTCTGAAATATTACAGTGTTAAAACTTTGCTAATGGATTATTTCCTGATGTTATCTGATCATTTCTTGTTCCATTATGATAATATAATGAAACATATCCAAAAGTGCCATGAAGAAAAATAAAGCAGGGAGAGAGGGCTTAGAGAATGATAGGACTGCTTTTTTAGTTAGTGTAATCAGGGAAGGCCATTTATCAGAGGCTGGAATGAAGGGAGGGACAACCCTCTAAAGGGCTGCGGGCAGAACATTCCAGGCAGAGTGAACAATGAGTGCAAAGTCCAAGCAGCTGGAACAAACTTGATGTTTTTGAGTAGCTGTAAGAAAGACAATGTGGTCAGACCAGAGTAAACATGCTGGAGAGTGGCAGCAGAAGGGTTTCAAAATGCAGCCAGAGGTCAGGTGGTGTAGGGGCTTTGATAAGGAGTTAGATTTTAAGTGTGATAGGAAGTCATAAGAGTATTTTGAGCAGGATAATAATATGGTCATATTTATGATTTTTTTATTTTTTGAGACGGGGTCTCACTCTGTCACTTAGGCTTGAGTTCAGTGGTGGGATCTCAGCTCATTGCAACCTCTACCTCCCAGGCTCAAGTGATCCTCCCACCTCAGCCTCCTGAGTAGCTGGGACAACAGGGGTGTGACATCACTCCCAGATATTTTTTGTATTTTTTGTAGAGATGGGGTTTCGCTGTGTTGCCCAAGCTGGTCTCGAACTCCTGGGCTGAAGCCATCCACCCGCCTTGGCCTCCCAATGTGCTGAGATTACAGGCCTTGGCCACCACATTCGGCTTGCTTTTTGTTTGTTGGTTGGTTTGTTGGTTTGTTGAGATGGTGTCTCCCTCTGTCACTCAGGCTGGAGTGCAGTGGCACAATCTCAGCTCACTGCAACCTCCCTTTCTGGGTTCAAGCGATTTCTGCCTCAGCCTCCCAAGTAGCTGGCATTACAGGTGCACACCACCATGCCTGGCTAATTTTTGTATTTTTAGTAGAGATGGGGTTTTACCACGCTGGCCAGGCTGGTCTCGAACTCCTGACCTCAAGTGATCCGCCCACCTCGGCCTTCCACAGTGCTGGGATTACAGGCATGAGCCACTGCACCCTGCCCTGGCCTGTATTTTTTATTTTAAGAGATCACTCTGGCTGCTGTGTGGAAATTGATAGTAGAGGCAAAAACCAGTTAGGAGGCTATTGCAGCAGTGTAAGTAAGCAAGGGAAGACAGCAGCTTGGACTAGGGTGATGGTGGTAGATTTGATGAGAAGTGGTTAGATTCAGGACCCAGGGGTTATTTATTTATTTTACCTTTTCATTTTGAAACAATTTTGATCTTACAGAATACTTGTAATAATAGTGAAAGGAACTTCAAACTGTATACACTTTAGAGGGTCTCACCACTAACTCTTAAAGTTTTGTCACATTGGCATTCTCTCTTGCCACACTCCCCGTTTTCTCTTTATTCACACACAGACTCAAACACACACATTTATAGATCCTTATCCATGTCAATATTTATATAAATTGTTTTCTGAACCATTTGGTTATAAGTTACATACATTATACCTCTTTACCTCAAAATTCTTTAGTGTGTATTTTCCAAGAACAAGACAATTCTCCACAGTACAGTTATCAATTCAGGAAATGTAAAACCAATACGATACTTGTATCCAAGCTGCAGTGCATGTTCCAATTTCATCAGTTGTCCCAATAACGTCCTTTATAATAAGTAGAATACAGTCCAAGACTTGTCTATTTTGTTGATTTTTACAAATTTATTACTTTGATCTATCTTTCTATTCTTCAGCGTAGTAACTTCTGATTTTTTTTTCCCCATCTTAAGTTTTTGTTTTTTTCCTAGTTTTTTGAGTTGTAGACTTGGAGATTTAATTCATTTATTTTTTGCTTTTTATTTTCCTTGATATAGATGTTTAAGGCTATGAATTTTCTTTTGATTATTGCTTTAAATCTATACTATTGATTTTTATATGAAGTGTTTTTCCTCATATAATTATCATTTTTCAGAAATTCTTTAATTTTTGCTTATATTCTATTTTACACGAGCTATTTAGTAGATTTTGCTTTTTAACTTCTAGTTTTATTAAATCATGATTTCAGAGTGTATTGCTATATATATATCCATATTTCCATAAAATATGGCTTATTTTCTCACTCTTTGTCTAATGGTCTCACTTTGTGCTGAGGGTGATATGTTAAAGGCTTCTATTATTACTGTTTCTGTTTCTTTTTTTTTTTTGAGATGGAGTCTCCCTCTGTTGCCAGGCTGGAGAGCAGTGGTGCGATCTCGGCTCACTACAACCTCCAACTCCCTGGTTCAAGTGATTCTCCTGCCTCAGCCTCCTGAGTAGCTGAGATTACAGGCATGCACCACCACACCCAACTAATTTTTTGTATTTTTAGTAGATGGGGTTGGCCAGGATGGTCTCGATCTCCTGAACTCGTGATCTGCCTACCTTGGCCTCCTAAAGTGCTGGGATTACAGGCGTGAGCCACAGTGCCTTGCCTATTACTGTTTCTGTTTCTAATTGTATCGCCTTAGTTTCTTCTGTGTCCTTTTTTTGGTCTCATTTAATACTTTTGGGGGCTGAATTTTATTTTGTTTGAGATAAGAATTGCAACCCTGCCTTTAAAAAACTTACACACAAACACACTTCAATTTTTAGAGCAATTTTAGGCTCATAGCAGAATTGAGTGGAAGATTTAGACATTTCCCATATATCCCCTATGCCTACAAATGCATAAGTCCCAACCTTTGTCAGCATCTCCCCACCAGAGTGGTACATTTCCTACAACTGATGGACCTACATTGAGATATTATAATCTCCCAAAGTCTGTAGTTTACATTGGGGTTCACTCTTGATAGTGTACATTCTGTGGGTTTAGATAAATGTTTAATGACATATATCTACCATTATAGTGTCATACAGAATAGTTTCACTGCCCTAAGAATCCTCTGTACTCCACTTATTCATCCTTACCTCCTACCTCCAACCCCTTGAAACCATGGATCTTTTTGTCCTCTCCATAGTTCTGCCTTTCTCAGAATGTCATACAGTTGGAATGTTATGGCATTCAGCCTTTTCAGATTGGCTCCTTTTATTTAGTAATATGCATTTAAGGTTCCTGCATGTGCTTTCATGGCTTGATAGCTAATTTTTTAAAGTGCCAAATAATATTCCATTGTCTGGATGTACGGCAGTTTAGGTATCCATACACCTACCAAAGGGCATCTTGGTTGCTTACACGTTTTGGCAATTATATATAGTCATACGCAGGTTTTTGTATGGACATCAGTTTTCGGTTAATTTGGGTAAGAACCAAGGAGCACAACTGCTGGATTTTAAAGTAAGAGTATGATTAGCTTTATAAGAAATCGCCAAACGGTGTTCCAAAGTGGTGGTATCTTTTTGCATTCCCACCAACCATGAGGGTTGCTGTTGCTCCCTATTCTTGCTAGCATTTGGTGTTGTCAGTGTTCTGGATTTGGGCCATTCTAGCAGGTATGTAGTGTTATCTCATTGTTGTGTGGGGTTTTTTTTGTTCTGTTTTGGTTTTTGTTGAGACAGAATCTTGCTCTGTCACCCAGGCTGGAGTGCAGTGGGGTGATCTCGGCTCACTGCAACTCTGCCTCTCAGGTTCAAATGATTCTCCTGTCTCAGCCTCCTGAGTAGCTGGGACTACAGGCACCCGCCACCATGCCCAGCTAATTTTTGTATTTTTAGTAGAGACGAGATTTCACCATGTTGGCCAGGCTGGTCTTAAACTTCTGACCTCAAGTGATTCGCCTGCCTCGACCTCCCAAAGTGCTGGGATTACAGGAGTGAGCCACCATGCCCGGCCTCGTTGTTTTAAGTTGCATTTCCCTGATGATGTATGATATCTTTTTGTATGTTTATTTGCCATCTCTATAGCTTCCTTGGTGAGGTGTCTGCTAAGATCTTTGCCCATTTTTTAATGCTTGTTTTCTTTTTATTGAGTTTTAATAGTCCTTTGTATATTTTGGATAATAGTTCTTTATCAGATATGTCTTTTGCAAATGTTTTCTCCTTTTGGTGTTATATCTAAAAAGCCATTACTAAACTCTAGGTCATCTAGATTTTCTCCTGTGCTATTGTATTAGTCCATATTCATGCTGCTTATAAAGATCTACCCAAGACTGGGCAATTTACAAAAGAAAGAGGTTTAATGGATTTACAATTCCACATGGCTGGGGAGGCCTCACAATCATGGCGGAAGGCAATGAGGAGCAAGTCACATCTTACATGGATGGCAACAAGCAAAGAGAGAGAAGGAGAGCCAAGCAAAAGGTGTTTCTCCATATAAAACCATAAGATTTCATGAGACTTATTTACTACCACAAGAAGAGTATGGAAGAAACTGCCCCCATGATTCAATTATCTGCCACTGAGTACCTCCTACAACACATGGGAATTATGGGATTACAATTCAAGGTGAGATTTGGGTGGGGACACAGCCAAACCATATCAGCTATTTTCCAGGAGTTTTATAGTATTGCATTTACATATTGGTTTATTTTCCAGTTTAAGTTAATTTTTGTGAAGAGTATAAGGTCTGTGTCTAGATTTTTTATTTTTTTGCATATGGACATCCATCTGTTCCAGCACCATTTGTTGAAAATACTATATTTTCTTCATTGTAATGCATTTATTTCTTTTTCTTTCTTTTCTTTCTTTCTTTCTTTTTTTTTTTTTTTTTTTTTTTTTTTTGAGATAGAGTCTCACTCTGTTACCCAGGATGGAGAGCAGTGGTACAATCTCAGCTCACTGCAACCTCCGCCTCCCTGGTTCAAGCAATTCTTCTGCCTCAGCCTCCCAAGTGGCTGGGACTACAGGTGTGCGCCACCACGCCCAGCTAATTTTTGTATTTTCAGTAGAGATGGGGTTTCACCATATTGGTCAGGCTGGTCTCAAACTCATGACCTTGTGACCCACCTGCCTCAGCCTTCCAAAGTGCTTGGATTACAGGCATGAGTCACCCCACCCAGCCACATTTATTAATGTAACTGATATGTTTGGCTTTGACTCCCACATTACTTTATATTATAGTTATTGTGTTTATTAGATATACTTTCTTTTTCTAAATGGTGTAACTTTGTGGCTCCTTCTTTAAACATTTTGTTTGATATTTAGGAAGGTTTGCATTTTTGTTCTAATGGTTAGCTTTGTATTTATAATTTAGATAGTGCTTAGTCATTTCTTGATTGGGTAAAGCTTTTCCTGTTGTACAGGAGTCAGCAAACATTGTCTGAAAGAGCTAGATAGTAAATATTTAGGTTCTATGGGTTAAGAAGCAAAACAGAGGCTATTAGGAAACTACTTATATAACAGTTTACAATATAATTGCTTAAAAATGTAAGTGCCATTCTTAGTTTACACACACACACACACACACACACACACACACACAATGGTAGCTGGTCAGGTTTGACCTATGTGCTGTGGTTTATTAACCCTGGCCAAATATATTTTCTAGGAAAGATCCATGAATAAATTATTCTGGAGTACTTATATGTTTAAAATTGTTTTTCTACATCTTAATGCTTGAAGCATAACTTGTGTGGATACAAAAGTCCTTGATATGTACTTTCTTTCATTGGCTTTTTTTAAAAAATGCTGTTCTACTGTTCTCATATTCATATTTTTGACACACTCTTGACATTTTGTGTCAGGTTTCCTATATACATAGTAGGACATTTCATTTTATAAATTTTGGATTAAAAATAGTTCTGGAAAGTTTTGATTACAGTTTTAAATATATAGTCCTCTTCCATTGTTTGGGTTATTGTCTTCAGGGTCTGCAATTATATGTATGTTGGATTATCTTTGTCTTCCCATCCAGCCACTTTTTTTCTGACCCTTTTTACTTCTTTCTTCATCTTATTTTCATTATCCTATAGGTGTTTTATGTTTGGTTGGTTTTGTTGTTGTTTTTTTCTTTTTCCTGTGTCCCTTATTACATTTTCATTGGACTCTATTCTCAGATACATTATAATGCATTCATTATTCTGAGATATCTGTCATTAAAAAACTCTTCGTTGTGTTCACTTGTTTCATTTCACTTATTCCTATTTTTTTTATTTTTTTGGAGACGAAGTCTCGCTCTGTCGCCCTGGCTGGAGTGCAGTGGCGCAATCTTGGCTCACTGTAAGCTCTGCCTCCCAGGTTCACGCCATTTTCCTGCCTCAGCCTCCCGAGTAGCTAGGACTACAGGCACCTGCCACCATGCCTGGCGAATGTTTTGTATTTTTTTTAGTAGAGACAGGTTTCACCATGTTAGCCAGGATGGTCTTGATCTCCTGACCTTGTGATCCACCTGCCTTGGCCTCCCAAAGTGCTGGGATTACAGGCGTGAGCCACTGTGCCTGGCCCATTTATTTATTTTTGACTATTTTTTTCTTTTTGATTTTAGTTGGTTTCTTTTTTCTTTTTCTTTCTTTCTTCTTTTTTTGAGGCAGAGTCTTGCTCTGTTGCCCTGGCTGGAGTGCCGTGGCAGAATCTTGGCTCACTGCAACCTCCGCCTCCCGGGTTCAAGCGATTCTCCTGCCTCAGCCTCCTGAGTAGTTAGGATTACATACACACACCACCACGCCCAGCTGATTTTTGTATTTTTAGTAGAGACAGGGTTTCACCATGTTGGTCAGGCCAGTCTCGAATTCCTGACCTCGTGATCCCCCTCCCTCGGCCTCCCAAAGTGCTGGGATTACAGGCATGAGCCACCATGCCTGGCCGATTTTAATTGGTTTCTTTATCTTCAAATACTTGTTTGAGGATATATTCAATTTGCAATGTTGTGTTACACTTTGATTTTGCTTCAGGGTTAGGTTTGGGTAAGTACATTTCATTAGCTGAAATGTTCAGCTTCTCAGTTTCTTTCATCTTCTTATGGTAGCTTCATATAGCATTGGTCTGATTATTTTTTAAGTCTAGGCATTTGTTGATAGGGTTTCTAATTTATGAGTGCTTAGTTCAGACAGCATAGTGAAATGTAATTTCTTTAATAAAATGTCTTAGTGGTGATGTCATGGAGGAGGGGAGAAGAGTTGGCATGTCTTGTAATTCTCTTCTGTTTTCATAGGATCCTTAATTTTTCTTCTTACTTTCTTTTTTCTCTCTGTGGCAGACATCTGAGGGGCATCACTACTTCTATATATTAATCTTCCTTTCCCCTAGAAGCAGTAATTCCTCTAGGCTGACATGTCTGATATCTCACTTTATTTATTTATTTTTTCAGAGGGAGTTTCGCTCTTGTCTCCCAGTCTGGAGTGCAGTGGCGTGATCTTGGCTCACTGCAACCTCTACCTCCCAGGTTCCAGCAATTCTCCTGCTTCAGGCTCCCAAGTAGCTAGGATTACAGGCGGCTGCCACCATGCCCAGCTAATTTTTTGTATTTTTAGTAGAGACGGGGCTTCACCGTGTTAGCCAGGTTGGTCTCAAACTCCTGATTTCAGGTTATCCGCCCACCTCAGCCTCCCAAATTGCTGGGATTTACAGGCATGAGCCACTGCACCCAGCTTGATATCTCACTTTCAAGCCCTTTCCTGTAGGTAGTGCTGTGTACTACTAAGTCCCAGATTTGTTTTCAGTATTTTAGCACTCAGTTTCAGAGTGTCTCTGTCTGAGGGTGATTTTCTCTGTGTTCTAAGTAGTAATCTCACTTCTTTCCTTTTCTCTTCTCTTTTCCACATAGAATTTTAACTCCCCTAACTTTCTGTATTCATAGGGTTGTAGCAGCAATGGAAATGCTATTGTAATTTTATGTTTATATCTTACAAGTAATTTGAAGTTGTTACAGTTGAAGGCATGGGTCATGTGAGACTTTATTTACACTTCTTCCACCTGTTAGGTTTATTATAGTTTGAGTGTGTCCCCCCGCCAAAGTTCAGGTGCTGCCAATGTGGTAATATTAAGAGGTGGGGCCTGGCCGGGCACGGTGGCTCACATCTGTAATCCCAGCACTTTGGGAGGCCGAGGCAGGTGGATCACGAGGTAAGGAGTTCAAGCCCAGCCTGGCCAAGATGGTGAAACCCCATCTGTACTGAAAATACAAAAAATTAGCCGGGCATGGTGGTGGGTGCCTGTAATCCCAGCTACTCGGGAGGCTGAGGCAGAGAATCCCTTGAACCAGGGAGGCAGAGGTTGCAGTGAGCTGAGATCGCACCACTGCACTCCAGTCTGGGCAACAGAGCAAGACCCCATTAAAAAAAAAAAAAAGAAGTGAGGCCTTTAAGAGGTGATTAGGCCATGAGGGCCCCTCCCTCCTAAATGCAATTTTGTGCCATTTTATAAAAGGACTTGATGTTAAGGGAGTTCCTTCTCTTTTGCCCTTCCATCTTCTGTTATGTGAGTATGCAGCAAGAAGACCCTCCCTAGAGGCTAGTGCCTTGATCTTGGACTTCTCAGCCTTCATAACTGTGAAAAAATAAATTCTATTTTTTATTATTCTAAAGAATAATTCTTTTCGTTATATGTTACCCAGTCTTAGATATTCTGTTACAGTAGCACAAAGTGCACTAAGCTGTGTAGATAGAAGCTGTATTTTAGGGCTGACTGAAACTCTGAGGATTTATTTTAAGATAGAAAAAAGTAGACTTGTTGACAATTTGGATATGAGCTTTGAGAAAAAGGGAAGCGTCAAAAGTACTTCTTAAATTATTGGCTGGCCAAATGAGGAAAAGGAGGTTGTGGAGGGGAATTGAGATAGAGGAAGTGAATAAAGATTTCAGTTTGGGATATATTAACTTTGGGAAATTTTTGAGACATCCAGTTGGAGATGTTGAGTAGGCAATTGGCTCTACAAATTTATATTCAGGGATAGGTTAGGACACATGTGGTATGGATATGATACATCTTTCACTCATTTTCTATTAAGAGAATTTTGAAAATGGATGCTTCTGAGTTGAGTTGGGAAACCATCTCTTTTAACCCCTAAGCTAAGTCTTGCTACCATTAGAAAAATGTGTTTTCCAGTTATGCTTTCTTCAGAAGATTAGCAGATAACTGATGTCTTTTGAAAAGTTTAAATGGTAAATAACTTTTAAAAATATGGTGCCTGTATTGTCTGGAAACATTTAAAAACAGAGAAAAGAAAAACACTAAATTCAGATGGAATCTTGCCACATAGAAATAATCACTACTGATATTTCTGTATATATTCCACTTTTTTGTATGCATATTTACAAATCAGAGACACACTTGAAATAAAACAAAGAAATGATAGATGCTTGAGGTGATGGATATCTCAATTACCCTGATTTGATCATTACACATTGTTTGCTTGTATCATAATATCACATGTGCCCCATAAAAATGTATAACTATTATGTGTTCATGATAAAGATGCAACCATGCTATTTGCTACGGTTCTTAACTTTGCACTTTTTTTTCCCCAAAAGTCAATGCTAAAAACCAAAAACCCAAAAAACCCACCAAAAAACCAAACCAAGTCAATATGCAATCTCACATTTCTGTATAATTAAATAAGAGCCTAAGGTCTGGATGATTCTTTACTTTTAACAAGAACTCCAGGTAATTAATATGATCAACCTCAACTTCAGCTTTTTTCCTGATGACTGCATATTATTTAAAAACAAAACCAAACCCTGCTATTTGTTTCTTCTTTCAGGTTAAATTATTCCAAGTGATTCCAATTAAGCAATCCTCATGTGTATCTCTTTAAGCTGTGACCAGGAAGATCTAAGAAGGTTCTATGGCATTTTGGAACTTTTCTCCCTGACTTGATTGTATTTGAAGTTTTGCCAAAATGAAAAATCAAGACCTGTGCCTTGGGGCAGAGCTGTAGAGCTACGTCATGACGCTTGGTTTTCATTTAAGACAGGGAGGCCATTCTGGAAATCAAACTTTAATTAAGCACACAGCTGGGAGTGGATAGGGGTCAAAGCCTGGAACTTGCCCCTCCTCCTCATACTACTATCCCAGGTGAGATGTATTTTCCTGGTATGATCCCCATTGCTGGCATGCCTGAACCTTTCCCCAGATAATTTCAGAAAGTGGCCTGTGATGCATGTTCTAAGGTAGGATTTATCTAATTTCTTTTGAATTGGTGAAGATTGTATTGGGAACTAGGGTTAGACTGTTTCTAACCTCAGGAGAGTCACTTCCATACTGTTCCAGCTGATAGCAAACACTGATAACAATTTCAAAGGAGGAAAATAAATGTTTAAATGGCAGTAACGTAGAAAAGTGCCTTGGTTTCAAAACATGTTGATAACTACTGCTCCTTTGTTATTCAGTTTTGCCCTCTATAAAAGTCTGCTATTATTTCTAGCGCTGTTTCCTGAGTAGTTTTCTAGTCAAGCAATATGAGGGATTAAAATGGTGCCTGGGGCGGGGGTGGAGGGGAGGGCAGGGGTGGGGGAGTCAAGCTGAAGTTTCAGTACCCAAGTCTCATTGTACTTTGCTAGGAATACCTATGGCATTAAAGTAGGAGATTTTCTTTTCTTTTCTTTTCTTTTTTTTTGAGATGGAGTCTCGTTCTGTTGCCCAGGCTGGAGTGCAGTGGCGTGATCTGGGCTCACTGCAGCCTCCGCCTTCTGGGTTCAAGCAATTCTCCTGCCTCAGCCTCCCGAGTAGCTGGGATTACAGTTGCCCGCCACCACACCCGGCTAATTTTTGTATTTTTGGTAGACACAGTGTTTCACCATGTTGGCCAGGCTGGTGTTGAACTCCTGACCTCAGGTGATCTGCCCACCTTGGCCTCCCAAAGTGCTGGGGTGACAGGTGTGAGCCACTGCACCCAGCATGAAGTAGGAGATTTTTATCTCTTAATATTAAGTGAAGTTTTGGGTCATCAAAAAAGAGGTGTGCATATATGTGCCTGTTGTGTATACACGCAGAGTGGAGATGTTGAAGCAGCTCTAGACTGGTAGAATCCAGAGGAAGAAGAGAGTGGGGAGTAGAGAAAGGGAAAAAACAGAGAACTATTAAAACCAATAGATGCTATAAAGTGCAAAGAACCATATTTTGTTTAGGACCTCCCTGCATCTTTAACTTTGTTATTCTCCATTTCAGGTTCCTGTGTGCTTCTGTCAGAGACATAATGTAATATTCTAATGAGTTTAATTTATTATACTCATTTATTCTATTATTCATTCTCCTCTTACTATTTTTTTTTTTTTCTTGAGACAGGGTCACGCTCTCTTGCCTAGGTTGGAGTGCAATGGTGGGATCATGGCTCACTGCAGCCACCATCTCCGAGGCTCAAGTGATCCTCCCACCTCGGCCTCCCCAGCAGTTGGAGTTATAGGCATGCACCACTACGCCAGGCTAATTTTTAATTTTTTTGGTATAGATGGGGTCTCACTATGTTACCCAGGCTGGTGTTAAACTCCTGGGCTCCAGAGATCATCCTGCCTCGGCTTCCCAAAGTGTTGGGATTACAGGCATGCATCACTGAGCCCTGCTGTTCCCTTATTCCACTTCTGAAAATGTGTTTTCAGAGGACAAAGATTTGTCTTTATTCAACACTGAATTTGTAGCACCTAGTAGGTGCTCAGCTTGTTGAATGAATGAAGATTTGAATACACTAAGCACATCGCTTACATGACCTCTTAATAATCTGAGCTTTACAATGTTTTGGACTAGAAACAGGACTTTCTCCCCCTTGTTATTGTTGTTATATGTATTTAAAGACAAAAACTTTTGGGTGACTAGTTTGAATTCAGGAGTTTAGGGTATGTATGGCATTTGGAATATGATCACTATATCACTAGGTATGTGCCACCATTCCATTATTTTTATGGAGTCCATACATTTCTCTGATACATGAGCTAGGAGTTGAAAACAGTCTATTAAGTTAGTATGCAACCTATTTTAGGACTGTTAGTCTCCACAGTCTGACCACAACTCTTTAAATTTGTCTGTCATTGTCAGTCTTCATTGTCTTAAGTCTAGCCCAGAGCTGCTACTCACTGTCAGCAGAATCCCAAAGTCAAAATGAAGAGTGTTCCAGAACCCATATCAAGGCCTCCTCATGTGGGCTCCTAACAGCCCAGCTTAGTCTGTTACTGCCTTCTAAATACAGCACCCTGGAGCTTTAGAGCTTCAATACTTCTTTTAAAGAAAGGTTAAAACTTGGAACAGGGAAAGTAGATGCATTCAGAGTAGAGAAACTGATAGGATATTTTTGGATGACAATTGGTTCATAAATTTTAATCCCTCTTCTCTGTTAAATCTCTCAAAGGAAATCTCTAGGTTTTGCACTCTTTGACTCTTATCCTCTGCTTAGTTTTGTCTTTTGTAAAGTATGTCCCCTTTTAAAAAATTATAAAAGGACACATTTGCAGTCTTGTTTTAGTACTCTGAAACCAGAATTGTTAACAGTAGGTTAACATGTGCATGCAAGATTACATTCTCCTCTGTACGTTACAGATCTGAAAAAGGGAAAAGAATTAAAAGAATTATAAATAGTTATACACTACTAATGTTCATCTATTTTTAAATCTATCATTCTATTTCTAAATTTCTTGATTTAGAAAAGGTTCTAAATTGCTTGATTTAGAAATAGAAAGTTTTTATACTTGCAAGCTTTTATTTTTGTCTTTCTTAGATTTTAATTATTCTTTGCAAAACTCAGAGTCTAATTTATTTGTTGCACACTGAGAAGGTAACATGTTATACCTGTTACATTAGAGGAAGAAAAAAAAAAGATAATACCAGAGGCAGGGTCTGCTGAATTAAAAGTGAAACATCCACATATGTATACTCACACTTGGCTGCTGGTAGGGATGACTCAGGAAAACTCATTTGAGAATCAATTTTACATAATAGCAAGAGCTGTTCACAGATTTTTGACCTGATAATTCCACTTTTTATTGGAGCATTTATAATATTTGGAAAAAATTGAAATATCCAAATATCAGAAAGTGTAAATTATGTAGTCGTATAAATTATATCTCTATTGGAAATAATAATATCTAGCTATTGAATTGTAAAGATCCTGCATGGGGCAAAGCCCTTTTTTTTTTTTTTTTTTTTTTTTTTGAGATTGAGTTTTGCTTTTGTTGCCCAGGCTGTAGTGCAATGGCGCAATCCCGGCTCACTGCAACCTCCACCTCCCGGGTTCAAGTGATTCTCCTGCCTCAGCCTCCTGAGTAGCTAGGGTTATAGGCATGTGCCACCACACCTGGCTAATTTTGTATTTTTAGTAGAGACAAGGTTTTTCCATGTTGGTAAGTCTGAACTCAAACTCCCGACCTCAGGTGATCCGCCTGCCTCAGCCTCCCAAAATGCTGGGATTACAGGAGTGAGCCACTGCGCCCGGCCCTGGCAAAGCCTATTTTTAAATGTAAGTGAATAAAGGAAATATAAAGTTACACCACTCTTATTCACCTGTGGAAAAAAATAAATACATTTGATGCAAACTAGAAGGAAATACTTGTTTTAGGGTGTTAGAATTAAGCATGGTTTTATTTTTTAATGTTTTTGTTTTTGAAATGGAAAAAAATTAAAAATGCTTATCCTAGAAGATCATGTGATTTTTTAGCAACTGTCTACACAAACTACATTGATATTGCAAAACTGGCATAAGCCTTTACTAGAAAACTGAAATAACAAATGCCTCTTGGTTACACAAAATATTCCATTTTTCAACTTCATTTATTCCAGCACTGCAAATGTTTGCAACTCAGCTTTTGTGACCCTCATAGTGTACATCCACTATTTTTGAAAGCTATTCAGAAATATTCAGAATTATATGTAGTACTGTTCAAGGTATATCCAACAACACTGTGAGGAAAATGAGGGCCCAGGTCACACAACTAGTGAGGGATACTTCATCCAGGAGTATAATATGTACCCCTTATTGGCCAACTTAAGGGAGAGAAGTTTGAGGAACACCAGCTGATATTACTACTAGGGGTACCCTTGGGAGACAGGGCCTAAGACAGAAAGGTGAAAACTCAGGGAAACCAGACAAAGGACTACTGGGTAACTAGGAAGGAGACAAGTCAGGACACAAACTAGTGGATCTGAGATTGATGCCATATTAGTCATAATCCTTAGTTTTTAGGGAACAAAAAACACAATTTGGACCATATTAAGTATAAAGAGACTGTACTGACTTATGTAAGTAGGAAGTACCTAACTTCTAAGAACTCAAATTACTTCAGAATTTTCTTTTCTCTCTGTCTCCATCTACCTTTCAGATCTGCTTATTTGTGCATTTTGGTTGGCCTCTCTCCTGTTTTATTTATTTTTATTTTAAGATATTTCTGTGCTTAAATTTTGTGGGTACAAACTAGGTATATATATTTATAGAGTATATGGGGTATTTTGATACAGGCATACAATGTATGATGATAACATTAGGGTAAATGTGGTATTTGTTTCCTCAAGCATTTATCTTTTGTGTTACAAATAACCTAGTTTTACTCTTTTAGTTATTATAAAATGTACAATTAAATTATTGGCTGTACTCTGTTGTGCTATCAAATACTAGATCTTATTCATTCTTTCTAACTATTTTTTTGTACCCACAGGCATCCCCACTCCCCCAGCCCCCACCCTTCCAGACTTTGGTAACCATCCTTCTACTCCCTGTCTCCATAAGCTAAATTGTTTTAATTTTTAGTTCCCACAAATAAGTGTAAACATGTGAAGTTTGTCTTTCTGTGCCTGGCTTTTTTCACTTAACATAATGACCTCCAGTTCCATCCATGTTGTTGCAAATGACAGGATCTCATTCTTTTTTATGACTGAATAGTACTGTATTGTGTATATGTACTCCATTTTCTTTATCCATTTTCCTGTTCATGGACACTTAGGTCACTTCCAAATCGTGGCTATTGTGAATAGTGCTGCAATAAATATGTGAATGAAGATATCTTTGATGTATTGATTTCCTTACTTTTGGGTATGTACCTAGCAGTGGGATTCTTGGATCATATGGTAGCTCTATTTTTAGTTTTGTGAAGAACTTTTAAACTGTTCTCCATAGTGGTTGTACTAATTTACATTCCCATCAACAGTGTACAAGGGTTCCTTTTTCTCTGCATCCTCACCAGCATTTGCTGTTGTCTGTCTTTTGGATAAATGTCATTTTACCTGGGGTGAGATGATATCTCATTGTAGTTTCGATTTGCATTTCTCTGATGATCAGTGATGATGAGCACCTTTTCGTATACCTGTTTGGCATTTGTATGTCTTCTTCTGAGAAATGTCTGTTCAGATATTTTGCCCATTTTTAATCAGATTATTAGATTTTGTTCCTATAGAGTTGTTTGAGCACCTTATATTCTGGTTATTAATCCTTTGTCAGATGGATAGTTTGCAAATATGTTCTTCCATTCTGTGTGTTGTCTCTTCACTTTGTTGATGATTTCCTTTGCTGTGCAGAAGCTTTTTAACTTGATGTGATTCCATTAGTTCATTTTTGCTTTGATTGCCTGTGCTTAAGGGTATTACTCAAGAAATCTTTGCCCAGTCCAATGTCCTGGAGAGTTCCCCTAATGTTTTCCTTTAGTGGCTTCATAGTTTGAGATCTTAGATTTAAGTCTTTAATTCATCTGGATTTGATTTTTGTATATGGTGAGAGATAGGGGACTAGTTTCATTCTTCTATATATGAATATCCAGTTTTCCCAGCACCATTTACTGAAGACTGTCCTTTCCCCAATGTATGTTCTTGGAATCTTTGTAAAAAATAAGTTAAATGTAGATGTATGGATTTGTTTCTGGGTTTCCTATTTTGTTTCATTGGTCTATGTGTCTGTTTATATGCCAGTACCATGCTGTTTTGCTTACTATAGCTCTGTAGTATAATTTGAAGTCGGGTAATGTGATGCCTCCATTTTTGTTCTTTTTGCTAAGGATAACTTTGGCTATTCCAGGTCTATTGTGGTTTTACAAAAGACCATCCTAAAATTTACAAATTTTGGGTTGTTTTTCTATTTCTGTGAAGAATGCCTTTGATATTTTGATAGGGATTACATTGAATCTGTAGATTGCATGGGTAGTATGGACATTTTAATAATATTGATTCCTCCAGTCCATGAACATGGAATATCTTTCCATTTTTTGTGTCCTCTTCCATTTCTTTCACCAGTGTTTTATAATTTTCGTTGTAGAGATGTTTCACTTCTTTGGTTAAATCCTAGGTATTTAATTTTATTTGTAGCTATGGTAAATGGGATTACGTTCTTGATTTTTTTTCAGATTGTTTACTGTTGGCATATAGAAATGCTACAGATTTTTGCATTTGACTTTCGTGTCCTGCAACTTTACTGAATTTATCAGTTCTAATAGTTTTTTGGTGGAGTCTTTACATTTTTCCAAATATAAAATCATGTCATCTGCAAACAAGGATAATTTGACTTCTGCTTTTCTAATTTGGATGCCCTTTATTTCTTTGTCTTATCTGTTTGCTCTAGCTAGGATTTCTAGTACTATGTTGAGTAATGGTGGTGAAAGTGGGCATTTTTGTTGTGTTTCAGATCTGAGAAGGAAGGCTTTTAGTTTTTTTCCCTATTCAGTATAATATTTGCCGTAGGTCTGTCATACATGGCTTCTATTATGTTGAGGCATTTTCCTTCCTTACCCAGTTTTTTGAGGGTTTTTATCATGAGGGATGTTGAATTTTATGAAATGCTTTTTTGGCATTAATTGAAATGATCTTACGGTTTTTGTCCTTTATTCTGTTTATATGGTGTATGATATTGACTGATTTGTGTATGTTGAATCATCCATGTATCACTGGGATAAATCCCACTCGGTCATGATGAATGATCTTTTTAATGTGTTGCTGAATTCTGTTTGCTAGTATTTTGTGGAAGACTTTTTTTTTTATCAATGTTCATCAGATATATTTGCCTATAGTTTTCTTGATGCGTCTTTGTCTGCTTTTGGTACTAGGGTAATACTGGCCTCATAGAATAATTCTGAAACTATTTTTTGAAATAATTTGAGTAGAATTGGTATTGGTTCTTTAAATGTATGATAAAATTAAGCAGTGAAGCCATCAGGCCCCAGGCTTTTCTTTGCTGGGAGACATTTTATTATGAGTTTAGTTGTAATGATCGTTACTTGTAGTGGTCTGTTCAGGGTTTAGATTTCTTCATGGTTCAATCTTTGTAGGTTGTGCATGTCTTGGAATTTATCCATTTCATCTAGATTTTCTAATTTATTGGCACATAGTTGCTCATAGAAGCCTCTAATGATTCTTTGAATTTCTGCAGTATTGGTTATCATTTCATCTCTGATTTTATATATTTGGATCTTCTCTTTTTATCTTAGTCTGGCTAAAGGTTTGTCCATTTTGTTTATCTTTTCAAAAAACCAACTTTTCATTTCATTTATCTTTTATATTGTTTTCTTCATTTCAGCTTCATTTATTTCTGTTCTGATCTTTATTATATTTTTTCTTCTACTAGCTTTGGGGTTGCTTTTCCAGTTCTCTAAGATGTCTCATTAGGTTGTGCATTTGAAGTTTTTCTTTTTTGATGTAGTCCCTTATAGCTGTAAACTTTCCTCTTAGTACAGTTTTGTTGTGTCCCATAGGTTTTGGTATGCTGTATTTCCATTATCTTTTCCTTCAAGAAATGTTTCTATTTCCTTCTTAATCTCTTCATTCACCCACTGGTCATTCAAGAGCATATTGTCTAATTATCATGTGTTTGTAAAGTTTCCAAAATTCTTCTTGTTATTGATTTCTAGTTTTATTTCATTGTGGTCAGAGAAGATACCTGAAATTGAATTTTTTTTGAATGTTTTGTCTCCTGTTTTAATTGGCTTTCCTCCGGGGAGGGGAAGGCTTTGCTATGGAGTACTCCAGCTTTGTCATCCATCTTAGAGACCCCAAAGAATAAAGGCTGCCCTTTCTCATTGTCCATATGTAATACATCAGAGGAGAACTCTGGCTAGATTTGAGATATGCCTTTCCTTAAGTGTGTCACTTATTGACAAGGGGCATGAAACATCATGATTAGCCAGGTCTGGGTCACAGGCCCATTCCACTTTTCCTGGAGATGAGTTGCTATCCTTGTCAGCCCCAGTACAACCATCTGACATGGTGGACTGGCAGCTTCCTAAAGGAAGAAGGTGTTCTTACCAGCAGAGAGGGGAAGGGATGTGTATTAAGTATCTAAGCCAGAAAAAGCTAAAGCAAATAAGCCAAATAAGAGAAGGAAAGGGAATACACCAAGATGGAATATCAGGTAGAACAGAGAGCGGGGATCCAGGCAAGCACTTGGCAATCACCTGTTGCAGCATCTGGACCCTTTTAAATATCAGTTGTCTTCCCCCTGGGAAACGTGGAGGAAGGCTTGATTTCTTTTTTTTCATAACCATATTTTGGTCAAGAGAAAGACTTTCAAGTGGAAAGTTCCAGTGGTATGGTCCTAGTTGAAAATCTTATCGTGGGTTTTGTCCACTCTATCTATGGATTGAGGTTTGTATAATGTCATTGCACTCATATGTTTGAAGATAATTTTTGGAAAACACAAACTTATGGAGTTCAGTTTGGCAGTCATGATAAACATTTTAATAGGCTTACTCATTGATGTAACAGTTTTACTTCTGAGAATTTACCTAACCAAAACGTTTTGTACAAATGTGTAAAGACATGCACAAGTATGTTTATTGCTTCATTGTTGTAAGATTGAAAAATTAATGGCACTAAGAGTTTGCCAATAGAAAACTGATTCATTTGTACAATAAACTACTAGACAGCCTTGAAAAAGGTGAAGTAACCATATATATATTAATGTGGAAAGGGTTCCAATATAAATTAAATAGAAAATAACAGGGCACTAGGTATAGTATATCCTTTGTGTGTATGTGAAAGTTATAGGTGTTTGCGTGTAGGATTGTGGGTATGAGTATATATGCCTTTTGTGGATAATGCCTGAAAGTATGCATAGCTGCCTTTAGGGGAGTGATATTTGGCTGGGGTGGGAATGAGAGGTGTTTTTTCCTAGTATGTTCCTGTATTGTTTTAATTTTTTAATGATCATGCATTATTTTAATAATATAAAAGGGTTTTAAAAATTGTGTTCAGTCAAATTTCAGAAGTGATAATAACTGCTTAAACATTCTTCGGAAAGATTTATTCTTTAAAAAAATCATTTTATGTATAGATACAGTGCCTGACTTGAAATTAGAAAAAAATACCTCTTTTACAGTTCATACCCACTCAGAGGTAAAAAAAAAAAAAAAAAAAAAAAAAAAGCCACTGGCTTGGGCAGATTTTTCTTTCAAGCTTTTAGTTCTCATAGTTTCCCCTAAGTAGCTTTGTATGACTGGTTTAGATGTAGCCCCCAAAGTGGTTATTTTGTCTATTTGATAAAATTCCAAATCCATTATTTCCCCTCTCTGTTGCACTAGGTTTTCATTACAAAACCTCCTTATGCTGCCAGCACTGAAGGGGCTGTTGATACTCAGGGCTACTGTGTTGTATAACTACCAGGTGTGCCTCACCTGTTATATCACATATGCAAATGATAGCTGGAGTTTGTGTACCTGGTGCCTGTGAATTGTATTTACAAGTGAATGTTTCTTGCTAAGGATGCTGTGCCTTGGATGCTGACTGCCAGTTGTGGTTAATAATATCAGAGCCATCTTTCTGTCTCTGATAAAAATACTGATACTAAGAATCTCCCCTTAGTGAAAAGTTAGCCCAGAAGTCATTGTGTATTATTGTAAAAACTCCCACTAGAAGTAGTTGTCTTAAAAAAAAAAAAAAAAAAAAAAAAGAGGGTTTTGCTAACCAGTGTCCTCTATGATTATAGAATTTCAGACAATGGAACAGAGCTCAGTGAACAAACTCGAGATAAGCTGGGGAAGACAAGCTATTTTACTTGTTTCGATTTCTTCCCTTTCTTTTATTCTGAACGCCCAGCTCCTGTAAAACCTTCCGTTTTCCTCCCCTCCCTACCTTGAGTGGTTCCCATGGCAACAGCAGTCTGGTGGGGTGGAGCAGTAGTGTGTGTCTGGGTCATTTGTAAGTTGAGTGTTTATGAGGTAGGAACTGTCTGTACTGCATTAGTCATTTGTATCTCAACATTAAAGTAGGTTGGCTCTCTTCTAATGAGGAAGTATCTGTTCTTTTAATATTCTGGCAAGCTTATGCATTCTCTTCCTCATACAAGTCATAGAGACAAATGTGTCACAGGATTTTGATCCCCAGGAGGTATATGGAGTGAAAGGAAACTTTGTGGATGAAAAAGAGGAACAGATGGGAATGGCAAGAATAGAAAACAGGAAAGAGTTTTCAATCTCTGTGAGAATGGTGGTAATTCCACAATGATTCAATCATATAGAGTAAACTATCACAAGTGAGCACTATCCACCCTCAGTCAGATTTTGCTTGAAAGTACAAATATTTGGTGGCTGTCCTTCCTAAAAGTTCTTCCCAGCAGGCTGTTAATGGGCCTTGACATCTTCATTAGCTGGTATTCCTTGAGGTTAAGACACTGACTGTTTTTGAAAAGGCAAAAGTGTGAGGGTGGAGGTCACATTTACATTTATTTTTATGCCTCCTGTGCCAGCTCCAGTGCCCTATAAATACTGAGTAAATGACCTGGCCAATATTATCACTAAGAATAGTTTACATTCTGTATTTTTAGCAGATTAATTCTAGTTATTTAATCATTCATTCAGCACATGTTTCCTAATGATGAAGATAATAAAGATAACTTTTGGCAGGGTGTGGTGGCTCACACCTGTAATCCCAGCACTTTGGGAGGTCGAGGTGGGCGGATCACGAGGTGAGGAGATGGAGACCATCCTGGCTAACATGGTGAAACCCCGTCTCTACTAAAAATACAAAAAATTAGCCAGGTATTGTGGCGCATGCCTGTAATCCCAGCTACTCAGGAGGCTGAGGCAGGAGAATTGCTTGAACCCAGGAGGCGGAGGTTGCAGTGAGTTGAGATTGTGCCACTGCATTCCAGATAGTGCCACTGCACTCCAGCCTGGGTGACGAGCAAGGCTCCATCTCAAAAAATAAAAATAATAAATATAGATAACTTTTATAGTACATGTACTATAAGCTGGGCAATTGTGTGTGCATTATTTCAAGCCTCAAAGCAACCCTATGGTAGGTACTGTTAGTATTACCATTTTACAGGTGAAGAAAAGTAAGCTTAAAGAGGTTAAATTAATTTCCCCATGCAAATGGCTCATAAATGGCAGAGGCAGAACTTGAGTGAGTCTTTCTATTGTGTAAAGTCTGTGCTTTAGGTCCCGTTGCTGTTGAGTGTTGGGAGACAATTTTTCATTGTTATCTTGCATCTTTTTCTTGTAATTTATTTGTTAACTGAGATGTTCTGTGAAGTTTCCTAGAGTTTGGGTTTTGTTGATTGCGTCCTTGAAGTATCATTTAATGTGTTTACTTTTCCTCTGTATTTTCTGTAAATTGGTAGTAGCATTATAGAAGCTTGATCAGATTCTAGTTTGGGTTTTTCTGGGGCAAATCTCCATAAGTGATACTGTGTTTTTCCATTTGCTGAGAGACATGATGTCTGATTGTCTCTCTTTTAATATTAGCAACTATTCATATTGAAATACTGGTTCAGCTACATTTTTGGAGGTTGTAGAATAGTGATTTTCTACTCTATTGATCATATATGTATTGTGTGTGTGTGTGTAAACCTCTTTTTAAATTTTATTTATTTATTTAGACAGGGTCTCACTCTGTCACCCAGGCTGAAGTACAGTGGGGCGATCTCAACTCACTGCAGCCTCCACCTCCTGAGTTCAAGGGATCCTCCCACCTCAGCCTCCTGAGTAGCTGAGACAACAAGTGTGCACCAACATGCCTGGCTAATTTTTTCTTTTTTATTTGTAGAGACAGGGTTTCGCCATGTTTCCCAGGCTGGTCTCGAACGCCTAGACTCAAGCAATCTGCCTGCCTTGGCCTCTCAAAGTGCTGGATTACAGGCATGAGCCACAGTACCCGGCCACAAACCATTTATTCACTAGAATACTTTTATAAAGAGAAACTTTCCCCTTATCTATTATTTGATTACCTAGCAGTACGCTTTCTTTAGGAAAGGACGGATGAATGCTTGATTCTTCCCCTTATAAATTTTCAAAATAATGAAATAGTTCTTAATCATCTTCCATGGTTATCAATTAACTGTTTTTTTATTATGATTATGAATTCACAGATTTAAATACACTTGATATTTTTCAATCCATTGCATTTATTCTTGTTGATGACTAACTCATCTCACTTTGATCTGTCATAGCCTCTTAGGTTCATTCCCTGAGTCATTTGACACACCCTAAGTAGTATGATAATTTCTTTTATCTCATATGGCAAGATGTTCCAGATTAGCTTTTAAAATTTCTTGCACCGACTAGGAATTGTCCATTTCTCCAGAGATCCCTTGTTCTCTTAACTGCAAAATGGTAATTGGAAACTCCTGGCTTTTATATTGATGACTAATTACAGGAAAATAATGTCTCTGATGGGATTCAGCTTATGGGTAGTCTGTTGGTGACCTCTGGCCAGAGTTATGATAGTAGCAGTGAGAATTTAAGAGAAAAGGATGGATAATAAAGAAGGCTCATGTTTCTTGTCCAAAAAGTAGGAAAAATTATTCATACTCCAGTAGGTTATTAGAATTAAATTACAGTTACACTACCTACTAGCTATGTGACCTTGGTCAACTTACTTAAGCTTTCTGTGCCTCCATTTCCCCATCTATGAAATGGTGTAATAATCTGACCTATCATATTTGGACTTGGTGACTACTTGGATAGGGAAGGGGAAAGAATATTTGATGTTTCAAATGAGAAGATTATAATTTTGTTTTCAAGTCATCATTGCTTGAAAACTTATGTAGTCTGCTTAATGTATTACATATATTATTTAATTTAACAGTGAAAGAGAGGGATTATTCCCATTTAAAGATGAAGAAATTGAGGCTCAAAGGAGGGGTCTCTGTGTGTGTGTCTCACTCATTTCTGGGGGGTTTTCTTGCTGCTCTCCCTTCCTTTCTCACACATAGAGTTAAGATATTGATGTGACCATTTTACAGAATAATGAAAATAACAGAGGCTTAATCAGGATTAAAGTTTATTTCCTTCATAATGATAGGCAAATGATCCGGGGATCTTCTGTTTTGCTGTTCCACCTTTCCTGGAGTTTTACCCTAATCCACATGTTTGAAATTGGTTTACCAGCACCCACTGAAGCAGGCAAAGGGAGTGGATGCCAAGTGGTTAGCTTTGAAGTAAAGAAGTTTTCAGAAGTTGCACCATTGTTCCTGTTCATATTTTATTTATTTATTTATTTATTGAGATGAAGTCTTGCTCTGTCACCAGGCAGGAGTGTAGTGGTGCCATCTCGGCTCACTGCAACCTCCAAATCCCTGGTTCAAGAGATTCTCCTGCCTCAGCCTCCCGAGTGGCTGGGATTACAGGCACGCACCACCACGCCCAGCTAATTTTTGTGTTTTTAGTAGAGATGGGGTTTCCCTATGTTGACCAGGATGGTCTCGATCTGCTGACCTCGTGATCCGCCCGCCTCGGCCTCCCAAAGTGCTGGGATTACAGGCATGAGCCACCATCCCCGGCCCCTGTTCATATTTTATTGGCAAATATTTAGCTACGTGGCGATGGCTAGGTGGAGACATGCTAGGTTGTATATCTCTAGCTGGGCAGAGGAGTTATATTACAAAAATATAGAAAGGATAAATGGATACTGGGGGGATATTTAGCAATCTTTCCACTCTTCCATTTCATATCTCTCTCCTCTGGAAAGCATACTCTAGTATTTTCTCTATTTAAGGGGGAGAAGAAGTCTTGGTTGTACAAAGAGAGAAGGAGACTTTGTTGTACAAACACACTGAACTTTTCAGGGAGGCAATTTTTATAGTTGTGGGATGGGGCCGATTGTGAACATCCCTGGGACAATATGTAAGTCCTAGGAACACACCTGGAGTTGGGGTGGTAGGTAAACTGGAGAGGTGCTGACAGCAAAATTTGGCTGTTTCACAAAGAACTGCCAAGAGCAAGATCTTTGTCTAAGCCCTGGTTTAATTCTAACTCTAAGCCTAATAAGTCATTCTGCCAAAAACATTTTATTTCCTCTAAGATTACAAACACTTGAGGTCAGTGAAAATGTCCTTATTATGCAGGGGTGAGTGCATTTTTTACAAATGACATTGTGCTTCAGAAGCAAGTTCTTCAACTCCAGTGTTTGCCAAGTTAAATAGTTCATTTATTAGAAATGAATTTCCAATATATTTCACCCTTAACTGAAATGAAGTAAGTTGGAATTCCTTTGTTCTTGCCAGGACATTGATAGGTATTTTCAACTGCTTTTCTGTGCTATTGGTATTTTTGTGTGTGTATGACTCTTCAAACTTGTTTGTTCTTGCCAGTGAAGCTTGAAGCAAGTGAGCATGCACATTAGTCTTCTGTAGTAATTGTTCACATATGGAGAGAACAAGAAACATACAGAACATTTTTATTTCCTGGAAGTTTTATTTCTAGATCCCTTATTTTCTGTCTGGATGAATGATTATTTTTGATATAAAGGAAACAAAGACCAAAGTAAGACATTTTTTAAAGGATTTAAGTGCTGCTATTGCTGTCGTTGGCCTGCAGAGAGGCATGGAGAAAGAATACTGATTGGCTTAGGGTGGATTCTAACTGCCACTTACTAATTGTGTGAATTTAGGTTAGTCACTTGACCTCTTCGAGGCTCATGATTCTTGTGCAAAAAGTAGGAAAAATTATTCATACTCCCATGGGTTATTAGAATTAAATAACAGTTATACTACTTACTAGCTATGTGACTTTGGTCAACTTAAGCTTTCTGTGCTTCCATTTCCTCATCTATGAAATGGTGTAATACTCCTATCGTACAGTGTTTGTGTGAAGTAAAGTGCTTACAATGGTGAACTCTATATAAATGTTAGCTATGGTTACTATTCCATGAATACGTAGTAGCCACCAGTGTGCACAGGCCTTGATTGGGACATTGACAAGGTAGAGAAGAGAGTCAGTCTCCAGCCTAGTTCTTCTGTGCAGGCCAGAATTCTTATCGGCTTCTGCATTTGCAGAAGACAATATGAAGGTTACTCAGAGGTGAGTTACACTGTTCTTGTAAGGATCTGCTGCGGATGCATCTGAGAGAATGTAAAACCATGAATTTTTGCTGAAAAAGTAAAAGAAAATTCTTAGAATGAAAATATTTTCTTGGGGTAAAACAAATGCCACAGATGTGTAAGTGGGAGCAATCCTAGAAATAGATTCCAGTGAAACCCATTCAGTGATAAGTTTTATTTCTTTTTAAACTTTTAATTATTTTTTTTTTTTGGTTTTATTTCTTATAGTCCTTGGTAACACAAGCCCCATCCTCCTCATGTGCATGATTTATTTTCCTCGGGTGATGAATGTTTCCTGGGATGAGGGGCCCAAACCTGTTAAAGTGATGCAGTTCTCATGTTAACAGGAAACAGCAGATAAAATGTTTCCTAGGGTACGGTTATCAAAGACCCTATCTCAAGATTTCACTCAATAGGCTGCCCAGAAACAGTCAATTCTTCAACATCCCCAATCCCCAAACTTTCTACTTTTGAGATTCAACATCTTCAGGGATGTTTAATTCAAGAAACAAGAACAGCATCTGATTTAGAAAAACATACTTTTTTTTTTTTTTTTTTTTTTTTTCTGAGACAGAGTCTCGTTCTGTCACCAGGCAGGAGTGCAGTGGCGTGATCTCGGCTCACTGCAACCTCCACCTCCTGGGTTCAAGCGATTCTCCTGCCTCAGCCTCCCGAGTAGCTAGGAGTACAGGTGCCTGCCACCATTTCTGGCTAATTTTTGTATTTTTAATAGAGATGGGATTTCACCATGTTGGCCAGGCTGGTCTTGAACTCCTGACCTCAGGTGATCTGCCCACCTCAGCCTCCCAAAGTGCTGGGATGACAGGCGTGAGCCACCACGCCCGGCCACACGTTTTTAGGTACAAAACTGTGTTGTCATTTCCCTTTTAGCTTTTTTTTAGTTCTTTCCTTGATCCTGGAAGAAGGTAGGGATTTACAATCACATTTTATTGGTACTTTTCTCTATCACACAGATGATAAATAAACGAGAAGCCGTTTGATCTATAAAAGTGAAATACACAGCTCATCCTTATCCAGCAGCCTGCTTGGACTGGTTCCAGCTGCTGTGAACTGCTAGGGCCCTGGAGTTGAAAAAGCAAAGCAAATCTCTTACACATTGTGGGCTTGGTTCTTTGTGGAGGGATAGAAACAACAATGACCTGATGGACTATTGGCTCAATGGGTGCTACTGAGGGCCACAGAGAGAGTCTGTTCTTTTATTGCCCCCAAGGAACTTTAATTCATCTGAATGTTGGAGTTCAGATTTTGTACCTATATTTTAGCTAGTTTTTGTTTTGGACTTTAATCAGAGATAGTCATAGCTTCCAGTAACTGACAAGGTTTTAACATTTTCTCATACTTTCCTACAGTCAATATCAACCCTCATGTGGGTCACATACACCTTTGAGAATCTGAAAAAATTACTAACTCCCTCCCCTCTTTTTCCACTGACGGCACTTACACACAAACACACAAAAGGCTTCAGAGTATTAGTGGACCCTCTGACCACTCAACTACTCAACTCTTTACAGATCCATGAATCTCTTATTAGATTATATTTTTCCCTGTGATTTTTAAAAAGCATATGTTTGAAAACATTGATATATTTTTTATTTTTCAAAAATAGAAGATTAGTTATTTTACCATGACCTTTTATGTGAAGATAAAATCAACTGAGGGTTTTTTTAAGAAATAAGATTTAATTTTAATTTTAGGACACCTACCTTTTAAAATTCTTAATATTTTAAATCTCAAATTTAGAAGCAGAGAAAGTTACTTCATATTCTAAAATCTATAACATTTTATAACTAAAATCCAGGAAATTAATTGAAACTGACCTAATAGTCCCATAGATAGTATTTGGATAAATATAGAAATTAACCCTTCTGGTCTTAAAGCTTGAAGTTTACATTTGTTATATCTGAGTTCCTTCCTCAGGAAATGACTTTCAGACCTCTCAAGAAAAAAAAAAAAAGTATCAAAATACTGAGACTTATCAGAATTTCAGGCTAAAGCAACCACATCCAGACAATGAGATATGGGATCCTCATCATGATTGCTTCTTTGCCCCTCCCTAGTTCGTATTTCCTTACACATTGTTAACATTTCTTCCCTGCTATATAAACCCCTAGTTTTTGTGGGTCAGGGAGTTGGATTTGAGACTGAGCTGCCTTGTCATTGGCTGCAACACCCAATTAAAATTTTCTTCCATGGCAATACTTGTCGTTTCAGTCATTGGCTTTCTGTGTGGTGATCAGCAGGACCTAGACCAAACCCCTGGTGTTTCAGTGATATAATCATTAGTTTAGTTTTCCCCCAACTTAAATTTTAATATATGTAAACTAATATGCCTGCAATATAATAGAATGGCATTTATTTTGTCCATTTAAGTAACCTCTAGTATTATATTAAAAGTTTTATGAGAACCATATTGATCAGATATTTTTGGTGAACTCCTGCTCACTTGTTTGAGCTGGAGGTGTGAAGGATTCCTTACTTTCCATTATCTCCTACTCATGTTCAGTGATGTTAACAGAATCATCACTTTGGGTTTTAGAAGGTAGTTTGTCATTGGCAGGCAGTTATGGGTATCTAAATCTTCCTTCTCACTATCACACTGAAAATATTTAACCTCTTAAGTGTTCCATTTAGGTGCTTCAGGTTGTTTGTGTGGTTTTTTTTTTTTTTGAGATGGGGTCTTGCTCTGTCACCCAGGCTGGAGTACAGTGGCACAATTATGACTCACTACAGCCTCAAACTCCTGGGCTCAAGTGATCCTCTTGCTTTTTAATTCAGTCTCCTGAGTAGCAAGGACTATAGGTGCATGCCACCATACTAGCCTAAGTTTTAAAGTTTTTTTGTAGAGATGGGATCTTGCTATGTTGCTCAGGCTAGTCTCAAACTTCTGGGCTGAAGAAACCCTCCTTCTTCCACTTTGCAAAGTGCTAGGATTACAGGCGTGAGTCGACTGTGCCTGGACTTAATGTTTTATGTCTAGGTATTGTATACTTGGGTGCCTTCAGGGTCTGGATTCCATCATGAAGATTGGCATCTGCTTTTTACTACTGCTGCATTGATATGTTATAGGCCATCACTTGCCTCCCTGTTCCTGCTGTGAATGGTGACACCAGGGCTAGTTGACCAACCAGTGAGACCTCATCTTTTAGTACATAATCATCACAAATCTTGGCATAGAGATAATGCTCAAAATAAGGATGTGAAGGGAGGGCAGAAATGAGTATGTGAGCAAATGTGCCTATTTATAACCTGAAAAACTAACTGGGGACATTGTTTCTTGTCAATATCTCTAATTTTTACTCCTGTCTCCCTTGGTGGATGCTATGGTTTGAAGGTTTCCCACAAAGTTCATGTGTTGGAAACCTAATCCCCAATGCAACAGTGTTGGGAAGTGATGCCTAATGAGGAGAGATTAAGTCATGGAGGCTCTGCCCTTATGGTTGGATTAATGTTGTTATCGAGGGAGTGGGCTCGGTATTTTGGGAGCATTTTTCTTATACAAGTGAGTTAGGCCTCTTGCTGTCTTGATCTTGGTCTTTCTTGCCCTTCTGCCTTATGCCATGGGATGACACAGCATGAAGGTCCTTGCCAGGTGCCAGCACTATGCTCTTGAACTTTACAGCATCTAGAATTGTGAACTAAATAACTCTGCTTGTTATTAAAAAGAAAATCTACTGGTCACCACTCCTCTGGCACATTTGGGATCCCCTACCAGTCATCACAGGAATTGTGCTTTGTGTGATGTCAAGTTGATAAAACTCCAGTTTTTTGTGAGTTAAGGATGCCTGTCTTCTCTGCTGTTAAGCTGACTTAGTGAGAAAGTTCATGGCCTAAGATCCTGGTCTTTCATCTTAGGTAGATGTGAGTTTAAATTTCAGTTTCAACACCTGCGGAAGCTAAAGCAACTCCATCTTGTATGCTAATCCACCATGTTGACTTCTGATTAACCCTAGTTCCAGGAATGCCTCTAAGATTTCTATTATATCATTTCCTGTGTAAAAGGATGTATTGACTCTTAGGTCTAAACATCCTTAACCAAAAATCCTGCCCTTATGCAGATTAACACAGCATTCTTGCCTTTCGCTATAACTATCCTACACATTACTCCCCTATGGTATGTAAGCCCTACGTCTGGAGGGTAATGGCATGGGGATCCACCATCTCATCTTGCCACCACCTGAGACGCAAGCATGGCTTCAGTTCTTAAGTCCCTATTAGGTGTTTCTTTCTGAGAAAGTGGCGATGTCAGTCTCTTTCTTCAACTTCTCCACTTTCTTGGACTTTGGGGCTAAGTTTGCACAGAGCTGTCCACCACGGAATAATACCTAATAATTCTGGCCAGGCATGTGGCTTACATCTATAATCCCAGCACTTTGCGAGGCCAAGGCGGGCGGATTGCCTGAGGTCAGGAGTTTGAGACCAGTCTGGCCAACATAGTGAAACCCCGTCTCTACTAAAAATACAAAAAAATTAGCTGGGCATGGTGGCATGCGCCTGTAATCCCAGCTACTCCAGAGGCTGAGGCAGGGGAATTGCTTGAACCAGGGTGGTGGAGGTTGCAGTGAGCTGAGATCGGGCCACTGTACTCCAGCCTGGGGTGACACAGCAAGACTCCGTCTCAAAAAAAAAAAAAAAAAAAGAGGAAAAAAAACCCTAATAAAAGTGCTACCACTTTTGCTGGGTTATTCTAAGAATTAAAGATAATGTATGTAAAACACTCTGAGGTACTCAATAAGTGGTAGCTGTTCCTACTATGACTTTCTAGCCGTATTCCCTATCTCTGAAATACTAAAGGGAACCAACAGGTGTTTGTTTGATTTGCTCAAATGTAAACTAGCAGAATATTTAATATTGGCCTGGGACAGCCATCATGGTATGGTAAGTGGGACAGAGAAAAAACAAGGGTTTCTGCCAATTGTTAATGCAGTTCTCATGTTGAAACAGTGCCCCTTTGGAAACACATTACAGTCGTTTAAGGACTAGATCATCCAAGGTGAAAGTTACTGTTACTCAGAAAAAAATGCAAGTGAGGTGAGGGGATCATTAGCTACAAGTGGAAGTTCTCACCAGTTTAGAAAAAATACTCCAGATCAGACTTTACCCGTGAGTGCAAATAGATTGCCTGTGATGGTTACAGTTATGGAGAAAATGGCTTCTTTGTATTTTGCAGCTTCACAGGAGACATAAGAAAAATTGATTTTTGCAGCTATAAAAACACAAAATCACGGTCTTTGCAGCAACATGGATACAGCTGGAGGCCATTATCTTAAGCAAATTAATGCAGGAACAGAAAACCAAATACTGCATGTTCTCACTTATAAGTGGGAGCTAAACACTGGGTATTCAGGGACATAAAGAAGGCAACAGTAGACACCAGGGACTACTAAGAGGAGGGGAGGGAGGAGAGCAAGGATTGAAAAATTAATAGTGGGTACTAGACTCACTCACTGCTGGATGATGGGGTCAATTGTATGCCACAACCATCGTGCAATATACCCATGTAACAAACCTGCACATGTACTGTAAAATAAAAGTTGAAATTATTAAAAAAGAAAAAGGAGAATTGATTTTGGGTTTGTCTTTCTTTCTTTCTTCCTTCCTTTTTTTTTTTTTTTTTTTTGAGATGGAGTTTTGCTCTTGTTGCCCAGGCTGGAGTGCAATGGCACAATCTCGGCTCACTGTAACCTCTGCCTCCCGGGTTCAAGCAATTCTCCTGCCCCAGCCTCCTGAGTAGCTGGGATTACAGGTATATGCCACCACGTCTAGCTAATTTTGTATTTTTAGTAGAGATGGGGTTTCACCATGTTGGCCAGGCTGGTCTTGAACTCCCAACCTCAGGCAGGTGATCCACCTGTCTCGGCCTCCCAAAGTGTTGAGATTACAGGCATGAGCCACCGTGCCCGGCCTATTTTTATTTATTTATTTTTTTCTGAGTGTGTGGGGGGGAAAGCTTAGTACTCTTTTCAGGATGCTGCTTTTATTAGTTTTAGGCTGGATTGCTTGGTCTTTGAGGCCCTACTCTGGGAAATTAAAGGCAATCTCTTCGTATTTCTCACATGGAATTGATAAGGGGCAAAGACCTGAATTTAGGCCTCATTTGGACACACTGTTCACATCATGAAAAGTAGACTCAATATCAGTCCTTGGAAAGATTTGGGGCAAATCTTTTCTGAACGTGCATATGAGCAGGCTATCTTAGCTATTTTTACTGTGTCCCACATCTGGAAGAGAAGGGGGCACAGTGGAATCCTGAGGGTTTAATTGTGACCCCAAACTGACTCTGTCCATATTTAAATTAAGTCCACTTGTTTTTTGTTTAAGTTGGCTCAGTACTATTTTTGCCCAAAAATCCAGGTGCTTTCTGGAGTACCAGTTGTTTTACTCAGTGTTTGCCCAAATTAGTCTTTTTAGGAAAGAGAGCATGTGGGGACTCAGACCAGGATGGACTGTTGAGTTATCCTTGGCCATGAACCCTGCCTCACATTTGCACTTTGGGACAAGGGCTCTGGGACAAAGTAGGTTCACACAGAAAACTCAGCTGGCTCCTTTCTGAATAACTGAAATGCTAAAGATTTTTGCTATCTGAACTGTTGCAAATGGTTTCTTTTCTCTCTTATCCTCTCTGTAGTTGACACAGATACAAAGTCTCTCTGTACTTGAGGGTCGATGGATGCTAATTTTCTCACTAATTAGCGAGTAGCTGCCAGGATCATTACATATGGCTGTGTAGGTTGAGCATGGCATAACTCCAAGGGATGCTATTCACATAACTACAATGTGTTTGGTGCCCCTGGAGTTGAGCACAACTGTGCCTAGAAGCCATTGTGTCTGCTTTAAATGCAGAGTAGCAGGGGTTTGCAACTCCATTTCTTATGGTAATTGCACTCCAGATGTTGCCTTTTTCTGGCAGAAAATGGTGGTTCCCATTTTTTAGTTTTTGCAGAACGGGAGCAGTCAGGGGTCCTTGCTCTAAGAATTCTAAGGATTATATGGTATCTCTCCTTCACAGCTGGTTCCCAGAAACCTTGATCCATCAGCAACAATTTGGTCCTGGCTCAGGGCCAAGCTGCTGAGATTCTGCAAGGTTCCTCACAGCCCCCTCTCAATGAATCAATCCTTTGGAGGACTAAGATGATAAGACACCTAAACTATTTTTTTTGGCTGAGTAGGGTGGGGGATAAGGCAAACTTTGAGATCCATGATCAGAGCTGGCTCCAGGCAAGGCTGAACTGAAACTGGTTTGCTTCCCACACCTCTCCATCCGCTGTTTCAAATTAGGGTTCTTTTGGCTAGAAGAGACCGAAATCCCAACTCTAAGTGGCTTAAATAAAGAGGATTTATTGGCTCACATTACTGAAAAGTATTTGTTGGCTTCAAGTGCTCAAATGATGTCATTAGAACCTAGCCACTTTCTCTCTTCTCCTCCTCTGCCCTCTTTTCCATCTCTCAGTTCTACTTTCCTATGCGCTGGCCTTATTCCCAGGCAAGCCTTCTGCATCTGGTGGTTTCCAGCACCTCCAGGCTTATGTCCTGCAATTTCAATAATACTAGAGGAAAGATAATTTCTCTTGGTAATCCCAGAGGAAAGGAGCTCAAAAGCTCTAAAAAAGACATCCTAATTCACACCAAACAAAAAGTACAACAAAAATATATGCCAACACCAAAGGATTGTGTCTCATGGTCTGGCTTGGGTTGTGGTTCATCACTGAATCAATTGCTATGGCCAAGGGAATGGAATCCTATGATTGGCCAGGTCTGAGTCATGTGTCCATGTGGTGGTTAGGGAATGTCTATCCTAAACCAAATAGACTCTGAGGGATGGAGGGTTAGTTGCTAAAGAAAAATCAAGATGCTGTCACCAGAAGAAGGAGGAATGTATATATTGACAACAAAACCAGAGTCATAAGGTTCAGGTCCTTTTCATCTTTTTTTCCTGAATCTATCATACAGGGTCAGTGGATTGGGCTTTTCACTGTGGACTCTACTTATATATGCCCTTCCTCAGATATATTTCCCTGTTTAGGGGTAACCACTGCCATTCATTAAGACTGTTTATACTGCTTTTACCAAAAGTCTAAAGGCCTTGTTAAATATCAATAAACATGTCTCTGCTCTTAACTTACTTGATCTTCCCATTACATACTGTTGACATCCATCTCCAATTAAAGTTGTCTCCTTTGTTGACTTTTATGACACTGGTATCCTTGTTCTCTTATTTTCCCTGATTTCCATAGATCTCTTTCCCTGATTTTCATAGATCTCTTTCAATGGCAGCACACTAGGTTAATCTACAAATTTATTAAACCACTAAACTTTTTTCCAGTCTTATCCCCATGATAGTCTTTAGATCTAGCATTTCTCCATCTCTACAGACACTTCATTGAAGCCCCATTATCTTTCATCTTTGATGTTGCTATCCCTTCTAATGGCTCTCTTTGCTTTTATTTTTATGCTTCCTTAAATCTTTCCTCCCAACTACTTCAGATCCTCTCAGTTTCCTCTGTTCTGTTCCCTACTTTTCTAAAGATAGTAATACCAGGTCCTCTATTAATTGACTCTAGATCTCCTCTCTAGTTTCATTTCTTCCTTGCTTTCCTCTGGATCTGTCACATTAAACATCTTATAGAGCCCATTATACATATTGCTTCAATCCTACATGTCTTTGCACATGATGTGTACTTCGCTTTTCTCCCACTTATCTACCTGGGGATCTCCTTTGGTCTTTCAAAACCATTTTCAGGCATCATGTCCTCTTGAAAGATTTTCTAACACCTTTACCATTCCACTCTGAGCAGAACGAATAGCTTTCTAGTCTCTGAATCAATTTATACATATGTTATTGCATATAATGTCCTATGTTTTAATTCCTTCTTTACATATATGACTTTTTTAAAAAACATGAGATTGAATACTTTTGGGTAGGACTTGCCATAGGCTCCACCACTCAATACTGATACATTAAAAAAAAAGCTGCCTCACACAGTTTCTCTTACCTTCTTAGCTACCAATGGCATTTGAGTTTTCATCCAAACTCTGATTAAACTATTAGTATGTAAGCTTCTTGAGGGTAGTAACCTTTGTCTTATTTGCTATGCTTATCAAATAGTAGTTACTCAATGAATAAGTAGATGAATGAGTGGGTAAAAAAGTCCATTGGATTGCTCAGAAACGCCTTACCTTTCATTATAGTCTTTTGTCAATTTAGCCACTTTGAGCACCATGATGGAGGTTAGATGGGATTCCTGTGGTCATCTCATTTCTAAGAGGTAAAGCCTTGAACTAGATATGGGTTTTTGAATGAGTCAGGCTAAAGCTCCTTCTTTCACAACACTTGGCCTCAATCACGGACTGGAAGATTTTGCTTTTAATACCTTGGCCAGTAACATGTATAGATTCTCAGCATTGTATATTAGTAGCCCTTTATATATAAACCTCAAGAAAACTGATCCAAGAAGACTGAAGAGCAAGTTCTAGAAACCCTGTGGGCCGGGAGTGCCTCTGTAAAATAACTTTTCACACTACTGAGAAGAATGTGAGAGGGAAAAGAATTAAAGAAAAAATAAGAAAAAATGTTCTCTTTCTCCCTCTAGCATCCTTTTGCTCTAATTTCCTAAGACCTTTCTGGCCTTGTCCCATGGCTTCTAGGTTTTATTCTTTTGTTTTAACACAGACATCGAATCAGTGTTTTTTATTGTTAGCCTTCGTTAAGTGTTCTCTGAAGATAGAGTATATAAATCAGAAACACAAAGGAAACCTTCTGTGAGGGAATCTTGGCATTTTGGGGAGGCTGCCAAACATCTAAGCCACCTTCTGTTTGGTGAGTCTGGTAGGAGGTGAGGGTTCCACCTTAAACTGTGGAAGTTGAAAAAGGCCAAATCCTTTAGACCGCTGACCACTAGGACACAACCTAAGTTCCTGAGCTTAGTCTGTCAGACCATCCCCGCCAGAACTTTGTGTCTGGAGTGAATGTCACAAAGAAGCAGGGACAGTTTCGGGTTCACACCAGTGCCAGCAGTGGTAGCATTGAGTGTCCTTCACAGTTGCAAGGTCTCCCTAACCAGGCTAACTGCAGCCTCGACCTCCCTGGGCTTCCTCCCAAATAGCTGGGACTTCAGCTTCCCGAATAACTGAGACCACAGGAATGTGCCACCATGCCTAGCTAATTTTTTGTATTTTTTGTAGAGATGCGGTTTTGCCATGTTGCCCAGGCTGGTCTTGAACTCCTGGGCTCAAGTGATCCACCAGTCTCAGCCTCCCAAAGTGTTAGGATTATAGGTGTGAGCCACTGCACTAGGTGATTTTTTTCTTACTCTTTTCCTCCTCCTCCTCGTCATTCTGTAGCCATCAATACCACTTCAGCTCCATTTCAGTTCAAGCTAGTGGATTACACTAGATACTTATATCTGAATCATGAATAATCAGCTTTCCTCCACATGGGATTGGCAAGTGTGACAAATACTGGTAATCACTTTGCACAGAATGCAAACATACCTAATACGATCCTCAGGGAATGTAGTTGCATGACAACAGCTTGAGACTTTAGACAAATGAGGGGATGTAAATATAAATATACTTAAAACCATTTTTTCCGTGCAGTACAGACAATAAGCAGACTTCAGATCTAATAGCAATCCACATAACTCAGTTTTAGAAGTCAATAAAATGTACTTAATAATGAGGTATCTTAAGCATTATGTGTTTTCTAAGATATAAACAAGTTTTACCCATTTTCCCCCTCTTTGGAGTAGGTGGTAAAGATGGACATTTTCAGTTCCATGTGTCAAGAATAGAAAGGCCTTTTTTGGTATACGTTTTGTTACAGTTTAATTTCTCTATAAACAATGTGAAATGTGTCTTAGTACTAATAGTTTTCAGAGTAGTTATAATGGGGCACATTTAAAGATAAAGAATGTTTTTGACTCACAATCCATTTGCTCCCTGCCATTTTTCTATCTTTTATTCCTACCCCACCAGGCTGCATTCCTGCCACAGTGCAAGGAACCTTTAAAATGACTTATTTGCTATGTCTGCATAGTGTTCAACCTGACTCTATTAGGGCCATGGTAATTTAATTTCTAATCAAAATTCTGTGTCTGACTAAAATAACAGCTACCATTTATTTTGAGGATCAATTATATGGTAGACTGGACAAGGATATATTCTCTTGAATCCTCAAATACCCATGCAAGGTAGGGTTAGTGTCCTAGCTATATATGGAAATAAAATTTGCCTACAATCCGAGTTAGGATTTGAACCCATATCTGTCACACTGAGAAGCCTGTGCCTGTTCACTTCTCCATACTTCTACCTACTTGCTTGATGTCTTCAGGAGACTTTGTGACAACAGAACAAGTTCCTTTTAACTAGTACTTAAATTAATCATTTTGTTGTTTTAAAACAGACTTAAAAAGAAAAAAGAAAAAAAAAAGAAAACTTATAGCACCCAGAAAACTAGAGAAATCAGAAGAAAATAACTCTTTGGAGTCTAATATTCCTACTTTCCCCTATTGGGTACAAAGTAGCAAAGAAATAAAAGCAGCAAAGCACTGGAATTAAGAATGTCTAGGCCAGGCGCGGTGGCTCACGCCTGTAATCCCAGCACTTTGGGAGGCTGAGGTGGGTGGATCACCTGAGGTCAGGAGTTCCAGACCAGCCTGGCCAACATGGAGAAACCCCGTCTCTACTAAAAATACAAAAATTAGCCGGGCGTGGTGGTGGGAGCCTGTAATCCCAGCTACCTAGGAGGCTGAGGCAGGAGAATCGCTGGAACCCAGGAGGCAGAGGCTGCGGTGAGCTGAGATTGCACCACTGCACTCCAGCCTGGGTGACAAAGCAAGACTATCTCAAAAGAAAAAAAAAAAAGAACACCTAGTCCCTTGGCCAAGAAAATAGTTGTGAAAAGCAAACAGACTTTGAATGATTTCTGATGAATCAGTGCCACTATACACTGTTGATAACAATAGCATTAAAAACAACCTGTGTTTTTGAGGCACTTTGTACTTTGCAGAAGACTTCGGAAGTCTAAAAGTGGTACCTTTAAGATGCTCCCAGAGTGAACAGCGCCACATTTGAAGGTGGCAGACCCAAGCAACAGGGAAAGCATTTAACAACAATCCTGAATTCTTTCCTGACTCACCTCCTATCCCAACTGCTTGGTTGCCAAACTCAGCGTTGCCTCTAGGTTAGTGCTGTCAGAAGCTTTCCAGTATCCTCATGAGAACACCCAAAGCCCGCCTTGACTTTGCTGCCTGCGATTACAGATCTTTAGTGTGGCATGGTCTCTCATCCATACCTGTAACTCAGCATGCTTTCTGGTTTGGGTCACTGCCCAGCTTGCACCCAGAAGAGGGAGTTCTCCCTTCCGATATCCTATTTTCTAGGGAATTCACTCATTTATGACTTGGTAAGCTTTGAACATTACCTCTTCATCATCCCAAATCGAATTAGATAAATCATCCAAGAACCAAAAGCTTCTTATCTTAATCAGTTGGCATAGTTAACTGATGTGGGCTCAACTCATAAAAATAAGTTCTGGATAGAAGTTTCCCATGACTCAACTGCTACTCCCCACCCAAGGTAGACACATATTTTATGACTCTGAACAACAACAACAAAATTTTCCCTTTTTCCTTGGAGCAGAAGTGGATTTAGAGAAATACAAATGAAATTGGAAACTATTATTCTAAGAGGGACCTTTCTACTTTAGAGAAGGGAGTCAGTGATTGACTTTAGAGAGGGGGAGCTGCATGGTAGAGAAGGGATAAAGTTTCTTAGGATCCTGCCTAAGGGGTCCTAAGGGTAAAGTTTCTTAGGATCCTGGGCTAGGAATGGAGCCCATTTGCCTTGGAGTGTGGGTGGGAGAGAGAAGACTGCTGGAGCCCTGAGGTCTTAGAAGCAGACTGGAGGCAGGACTGAAGTGGAGGGAAGCCAGAGTGGGTGTCCCCAGGCCTCTGCAGCAGCCTGTAGCATCCTAGAGCGTGAAAGGTTGTCATGAGCCTCCCACCTGCATGCACCACTACCCATAAGCCAGAGAGACCCAAGCAAGGCATTTTCCTCTGCTTTACCTCTAAGCATAATCCACCACCACTACCAGTAATAAAAAGCAGGTAACATTTATGGAGCACACTTACTCTGTGCCAGATATTTTTGAAGTGCTTTATATGGATGATCTCATCTTCACCATCTGTGGTTGGTAAAACTATCACCCCCATTTGCCAGATGAAGAAACATAACGGTTATGTAAATTGCCCTAGGTCATATAACTAGTACAGCAGGATATAAACTACATAAAATCATGTATGCACATGAAGCTCTGTTTTCCTTGTCCTTGAAATCTAAAAATTGGGACTGTTTTGAATATTAGTCTTACTCCAGCTGAATGGTCATAAATGCAATCTGGAAGGTTATAGAGAATAGGCCTTACATTGCACTCAAGTGCTTACTGTGATCCACATGGAATCATTCCCCACCCCACCCAAGAAAAACAGGAATAGTGATGGCTTCTCTACTCTGTTCAGCTCATTCTATTTAGTCCCTCACATATGATAGATTTTCCTTTTGAACTCTTGGGGCTGCCCATGCCATTGCTCTCACTGTTGCTGAGGAGCTTCTGCCCTCTATGGACTCCTTCATTTCTTTCCATCCCGATTCCTCCATCTCTGCTACACACCCACTCCTTTTTCTTCAAGGTCCAGCACCTGTTAACATTTAGCCTTTTTTGCACTGTCAAAAGTAACCAGCTTTGCAGTATTATGACAAAAAGGTTTCTGGCCCTTTCTTTGCTTGTAGTCACATGACAAATGTTCTCTTTAGTACAACTAGTTTAAAAGGGCACAGACCAAGAAGACATTGAGCAATTCTCCCAACACACACACACACACACACACACACACACACACACACACACACACACAGAATCATACAAATAACTGAGAGGGAAATTACAGAAACGAAATGTAGTTGTCTTGGTATCGGTGTGGGATTGGTTCCAGGACCCTTTGTGGATACCAAAATCCACAGATGTTCAAGTCCCTTATATAAAGTGATGTAGTATATACATATAATCTATGCATATCCTCTTATATAGAGGCATCCCTCAGAGATATTGCAGGGTTGGTTCTAGACCACTGTAATACAAATATCACAGTAAGTGAGTCGCACAAATTTTTTTGGTTTCCCAGTGCATATAAAAGTTACTTTTATGCTATACTGTAGTCTATTAACTGTGCAATAGCATAATGTCTAAAAGAGTGCATACCTTAATTAAAAAATACTGCTAAAAATACTAACAATCATCTGAGCCTTCAGTGAGTCATAATCTTTTTGCCTCAGTGTTGATGGCTGCTGACTGATCAGAGTGTGGCTGCTGAAGATTGGGGTGGCTGTGGCAATTTCTTAAAATAAGACAGTAATGAAGATTGCTGTATTGATTCACTCTTCCTTTCATGAAAGTTTCTCGGCCAGGCATGGTGGCTCACTCCTGTAATCCCAGCACTTTGGGAGGCCGAGGCGGGCGGATCACCTGAGGTCAGGAGTTCAAGACCAGCCTGATAAACATGGAGAAACCCCAACTCTACTAAAAATACAAAATTAGCTGGGCGTGGTGGCACATGCCTGTAATCCCAGCTACTTGGGAGGCTGAGGCAGGAGAATTGCTTGAACCTTAGAGGTGGAGGTTGTGATGAGCCGAGATCGTGCCATTGCACTCCAGCCTGGGCAACAAGAGCGAAACTCCATCTCAAAAAAAAAAAAAAAAGGAAAGTTTCTCTGCAGCATATGATGCTATTTGATAGATTTTTCCCACAGAACTTCTTTCAAAATTGGAGTCAGTCCTCTCTAATGCTGCCACTGCATTATCACCTAAAGTTTATGTAATATTCTAGATCCTTTGTCAGTTCAACAATGTTCACAGCATTTTACCAGTAGAATCCATCCCAGGAAAACCATTAAAAAGTTTTTTTTGCTCATCCATGAAAAGTAACTTCTCATCTGCTCAAGTTTTATCATGAGATTGCAGAAATTCAGTCACATCTTTATGCTCTACTTCTAACTCTAGTCCTCTTGCTAATTCCACCACATCTGCAGTTACTTCCTCCACTGAAGTCTTGAATCCTCATAGTCATCCATGAGGACTGGAGTCACCTTCTTCCAAACTTCTGTTAATGCTGCTATTTTGACCTCCCATGAATCATGAATGTTCTTAATGGCATCTAGAATGGTGAATCCTTTCCAGAAGGCATTCAATTTACTTTGCCCACATCCATCAGAGGAATCATTATCTATGGCAGCTGCAGCCTTATGAAGTATATTTCTTAAATAACAGGACTTGAAAGTTTAAGTTACTCTTTGATCCTTGGGCTGCAGAATGGATATTGTGTTAGGCATGAAAACAACATTAATCTCCTTGTACATCTCCATCAGAGCTCATGTGTGATGAGGTGCATTGTCAATGAGCAGTAATATTTTGAAAAAAATATTCTGAGCTGTGGGTCTAAACAGTGAGCTTAAAATGTTCAGTAAATTATGCTGTAAAAAGATATGCTTCATCCAGGCTTTGTTGTTCCATGTATAGAGCACCAGGAAGAGTAGATTTAGCATGATTCTTTTTTATTTTATTTTTTTTGAGATGGAGTCTCACTCTGTCACCTAGGCTGGAGTGCTGTGGTATGATCCTGGCTCACTGCAACCTCCACCTCCCAGGTTCAAGTGATTCTCATGCTTCAGCCTCCCGAGTAGCTGAGATTACAGGCACTTGCCACCACGCCTGGCTAATTTTTGTATTTTTAGCATAAACGGGTTTTCTCCATGTTGACCAGGCTGATCTTGAACTCCCGATCTCAAGTGACCTGCCTGCCTCAGCCTCCCAAAGTGCTGGGATTACAGGCGTGAGCGACCACACTCAGACTATTTAGCATGATTCTTAAGGGCCCTAGGATTTTTGGAATGGAAAATCAGCATTGGCTTCAACTTAAAGTCCCAAGTTGCATTAGCCCCCAACAAGAGAGCCATCCTGTCTTTCGAAGCTTTGAAGCCAGGCATTGACTTCTCCTCTTTAACTATGAAAATCCTAAATGCCTATTCTCCCAATATAAGGCTGTTCTGTCTACACTGAAAGTTTGTTGTTTAGTGTAGCCATCTTCATCAATGATTTTAACTGGATCTTCTAGATAACTTGCTGCAGCTTCCACATCAGCACTTGCTGCTTCGCTTTGCATTTTTGTTATGGAGACAGCTTTTTTCCTTAAACCTCAGGATTCCACCTCTGCTAACTACCAACTTTTCTTTTGTGGATTTCTCACCTCTCTCAACCTTCATAGAATTGAAGAGAGTTAGGGCCTTGCTCTGGAATAGGCTTTGGCTTAAAGGAATATCGTGGCTTCTTTGATCTTCTATCTAGACCACTAAAATTTTATCCATATCAGCAATAACGCTGTTTCACTTTCTTATCATTTTTCTGTTCACTGGAGGAGCACTTTTAATTTCTTCAAGGACTTTTCCTTTATATTCACAACTTGGCTAATTGCTTGGTGCAAGAGTCCTAGCTTTCAGATTATACTGGCTTTGGACATGCCTTACTTACTAAGCATAATTATTTCTAGCTTTTGATTTCCAGTGAGAGACATACAGCTCTTCCTTTTACTTGAACATTCAGAAGCCATTGAAGGGTTATTAATTAGCCTAATTTCAATATCATTGTGTCTCAGGGAACAGGGAGGCCCAAGGAGAGGGAGAGATATGGGGAACAGCTGATCAGTGGAACAGTCAGAACACAAAACATTTATCAATTAAGTTTACTGTCTTACATAAGAGTGGTTCATGGCACCCCAAAACAATTAAAATAGTAACATCAAAGATCATTTAATACAGATCACAGTAACAGATATAATAATAATGAAAAAGTTTGAAATATTGCAAGAACTACCAAAATGTGACACCAAGACATGAAGTGAGTGTGTACTGTTGGACAAATGGTGCTGATAAGCTTGCTAAATGCAGGGTTGCCACAAACCTTCAATTTTTTTTTTCTGAAGAGGAGTGTATGCAAAGCACAATAATATGAAGTATGCTTGCTGTATTAGTCAAGATTCTTTAGAGGGACAGAATTAGTAGGATATATATATATATATATATATATATATATATATATATATAAAGGGGAGTTTATTAAGTAGTATTAACTCTCACAATCACAAGGTCCTACAATAGACCATCTGCAAGCTGAGGAGCAGGAAAGCCAGTCCCAGTCCCAAAGCTGAAGAACTTGAAGTCCAATGTTTGAGGGCAGGATGCAGCCAGCACAGGAGAAAGATATAGGCTGGGAGGCTAAGCCAGTCTAGCCTTTTCACGTTTATTTTCTGCCTGCTTTATATTCTAGCCTTGGTGGCAGCTGATTAGACGGTGCCCACCCAGATTAAGGGTGGGTCTACCTTTCCCAGCCCAGTGACTCAAATGTTAATCTCTTTTGGCAACACCCTCACAGACACACCCAGGATCAATACTTTGCATCCTTCCATCCAATCAAGTTGACACTCAGTATTAACCATCACACTTGTGCTTTAAATAATCGCTAGGGCCTGTAATCCCAGCACTTTGGGAGACCGAGATGGGCAGATTGCCTGAGGTCAGGAGTTTAAGACCAGTCTGGCCAACATGGTGAAACCCCGTTTCTACTAAAAGTACAAAAAAAATTAGCTGGGCGTGGTGGCGTGCACCTGTAATCCCAGCTACTCGGGAGGCTGAAGCAGGGGAATTGCTTGAACGAGGGAGGTGGAGGTTGCAGTGAGCCAAGATCACTCCACTACACTCTAGCCTGGGCAACAGAGTGAGACTCCATCTCAAAAAAAATCTCTAGGTTAGATATAATACCTAATACAATGTAAATGCTATGTAAATAGTTGTTGTTCTGTATTGTTTAGAGAATAATTGACACAAAAAAAGTCTATAATTGTTCAATACAGGCGCAGCCATCTTTTTTTTTTTGAGACGGAGTCTTCCTCTGTCGCCCAGGCTGGAGTGTAGTGGCATGATCTCCGCTCACTGCAACCTCCGCTTCCCAGGTTCAAGCGATTCTCCTGCCTCAGCCTCCTGAGTAGCTGGGATTACAGGTGTGTACCACCATACCCAGCTGATTTTTGTATTTTTAGTAGAGATGGAGTTTCACCATGTTGGCCAGGCTGGTCTCGAACTCCTAACCGCAGGTGATCCACCCGCCTTGGCCTCCTAAAGTGCTGGGATTACAGGCGTGAGCCACTGTGCCTGGCCGCAACCACCCATTTTGTTAAAGACATTTTTGATCCATGCTTGGTTGAATCCACAGATGCAGAACACGTGGACTGGAGGGCCTGGTGTAGTCATGATGCTAGTAGGATTTTAGGTGGCTTTTTTCTTCTTTCAAAATATCCTTGATATTGTTATATTATTTCACTGGTAAAATATTAAGTATATTAAATCTATACACGTTTATTTGATTCATACTGGCCAGCTTTAATATATTCTATTTTATCCATTTCTTCTTTTCAAGTCCCTTCTGTCCCAGGATTTTCCCAGATGTCTGTGCAAATGGAAAACTAGGTTGATTTTGTTAAGTATCAATGACTTTCAAATGCAGTAAAGATGAATTGGGGATTTAAAAAATACATATTTCCATTTAAAGTCATTTTGAAACCAACCCAATTGCCCCATGGACTGTTCTATTTGATAATCATAGAAATTGACCCTTCTGGTCTTAAAAAGCCTGAAACTTACATTTGTTTTATCTGAGTTCATTCCTCAGGAAATGACCTTTAGGCCTCTCAGAAAAGTATGAAAGAACTGAAATCAGATCACCACACCAGATGCCGACCCCTAATTCCCCAAGATTGCTTCCTTGCCTCTCCCAGGTTCCTGTTTTCTTACACATTTTTATCTCTCTTGCCTGCCAAATGAACACCTGGTTTTAGTCAGGGAGATGGATTTGAGACTGAGCTCCCATCTCCTTGGCTGCAGCACCTGATTAAAGCCTTCTTCCTTGGCAATACTCGGCATCATAGTGATTGGCTTTCTGTGCAGCGAGCAGCAGGACCAAGACCGAACCCCTGGTTTTTCAGTAACAGGTTCTTCTACTCAGTATGAACACAGTAACCAGAAAAGATTTTCTCTGCTTTTACTGAAAGAATATTAAAATATTTCCTATATTTATAAATTAGATACTAGAAGACTTGAATGTGGAGAGGGAAGAAGAGTGGCCTGAATGCCAGACCCTACCACCCTGTGCCAAACACATCCTGGGATTAATGGAAAATCACTAAGATGGCCACAATTTCTTAGTATAGAATTTTTCCCTTACTCATCATGTAAAATACAACTGTAAACATAGGGCTTATGGGTCTCCTTGCTTGGAGATTCTGTCTTAATGGGCCTTGTATAGGCCCCAGAAATGATATTTTTGACAGGTACACTCCAGGTGATTCTTACGTCAGGGAACATTAGTAAATACTAATGTGACAAAAATAGCTACTATTTACTTGGTACTATTTTGTTCTAGGTATGATAAGTATTTTACAAGAATTATTTCATTTAAGCCTTATAACAATCCTCTTGATTTGAAATTATAAATTTTTTTTGCATTTAAAATTGACATGACAGTTTCAACTCTTCTTACACAGAAGCATTTATTTTGTTATTGTAGTAAAAGTTAGGGCAATTGTTTATAAGGTAGGGAAGTCCCTCATAATGCTGATATTTTAACTCCAATTTATGCCCAACCTACTCTTCTTTATCCTTCCTTGACTTTTTTCAGAGTGGCCTTCAGATTGGTGGTTTCTGAATAATTTCTAGTTCTCAGAAACTTTAATGGTTTCATCCTAATAAATGTATCCCATGTCCAAACCAATGGTACAAAAATTTCCCACTTAAAAAGGTCTTAAGAGTTACTAGAGAATGGAAAACCAGCCCTTGCTTTCCTGAGCCTTTGCATGTATTGGGAAAGTAGTTATTTAAAAAAATCTAATTATGGGTATGCATCTAGTTATGTATGACTGTACTAATAGCACTGGATCCGCCCAACTCTGCCACTGACTTGCTATGTGACTCCTGACACTCTTTGGTTTCTGCCCTGTCTACCTCCTAGGATGGTGAAATCAAACAAAAAAATGGCTGATAAAGAGGAGACAGAAGAAAGGAAGTGTATTATTACTGTTCGTAGAATTTTCTTTGGCCATATACAGTCTTCCCACCATATCCGTGGGCTGCACATCCACGAATCCAACCAACTGTAGATCAGAAATATTTTTTTGGGAAAAAAAAAACTGGATGGTTGCATCTGTCCTGAACATGTGTAGGCTTTTTTCTTGTCATTCACTAACTAGTACAGTATAACTATTTACATGACATGTACATTGTATTAGGTATTATAAGTAATCTAGAAATGATTTAAAGTATATAGGAGGGTGTGCATAGGTTATATGCAAATACTATGCCATTTTATATCAGGGACTTGAGCATCTGTGGATTTTGTTATCTCCTGGGGGTCCTGGAACAAATCCCCTATGGATTCTGAGGGATGACTGTATTAATAAAAGGAAGTGTATTTTGCAACAAAGTATGCTATGTTCAAAGAATTGGTTGAGCATACAGTAGGATGATAATCAGACAGTTGAAACACTGGGAGTGAGCTGTCATGGGGTAGGATGGGTAGTCCTCACATTTCATAGAGTATTTAGTACAGCAGAACAAATAAGGCATGATCACTTATCTTGAAGAGCTCACAATTAATAGAGAGGGCAGAGAGAAGGAAGAGATAGGAGAATAAACAATGCTGTTAAGCCACAGGGCAAGGAGAGGGAATCTAGAGAGGGGAGAATCTAAGTACTGCCAAAAGTACTCTTGTGAGGGAGCAGATTTTGGAACTGAGTTCCATCTCAGTTCCTGAGATCATTCCAGAATCACATTTTCTGAGAGGGTTTTAACAAAATATTTTAAAGGACCAGTGTGAGCCACATAAAGAATGAAAGATAATTGAGGGCCTACAGTTAGTAATAAACCCCAGTAGCTGCAATCTACTGAATGCTTCCTTTGTGTCAGGAACTTTGCCAATCATTTAACCTGCATCATTCAGTCTAATTCTCTGTATAATCCAGTGAAGTATGGATTATTGACCTATTACATGGATGAGGAAACTGAGGCTCAGAGAAATTAAGTGACATGTCAAAGGTCTTACCGCTAAGTTTTATATGATATTCAAAGGAGTTCATTCTTCAGAAGTAATATGATTAGAGGTTTTAAAAGAAATATATGCTCATGACCAAGCACGGTGGCTCACACCTGCAATCCCAGCACTTTTTTTTTTTTTTTTTTTTTGAGACAGAGTCTCGCTCTGTCGCCTAGGCTGGAGTGCAGTGGCATGATCTTGGCTCACTGCAACCTCTGCCTCCTGGGTTCAAGTGATTCTTCTGCCTCAGCCTCCCCAGTAGCTGGGACTATAGGCATGCATCACCACGCCTGGCCAATGTTTGTATTTTTACAAATACGAAATTATGGAGTTTCACCATATTGGCCAGGCTAGTCTTGAACTCCTGACCTTGTGATCCACCCACCTCAGCCTCCCAAAGTGCTGGGATTACAGGCGTGAGCCACCACACCCAGCCAATCCCAGCACTTTGGGAGGCCAAGGCAGGTGGATCACTTGAGATCAGGAGTTCAAGACCAGCCTGGGCAACATGGTGAAACCCCATCTCTCCTAAAAAAATACAAAAATTAGCTGGGCATTGTGGTGGGCGCCTATAATCCTAGCTACTCAGGAGGCTAAGGCAGGGAGAATTGCATGAACCTGGGAGGCAGAGGTTGCAGCAAGCCGAGATTGTGCCACTGCACTCCAGCCTGGGTGACAGAGCGAGACTCCGTCTCAAAAAAAAAAAAAAAAAAAAAAGCTATATTCAATTGTCAGAGGTAGAAATACCAGTTAGGAGGTTATTGCAGTTACTCAGATGAGAACTTAGGACCTAAGGTAGGGCTGTATGAATGGCGACAATTGAAGAGACTAGGAGATATGATGGACATGTTTTTGAACTGGATGGAGTAGCAGGGGGATTACCTGAGTGTTTCTCAAGTGTCTGACCTGGGCAAGAGATGGATGGTGATGCCATTCACAGAGAAGAGTATCTGAGCTGACTTCTTTTGAGGGGATGGGCATGTATTCATTTCTGGATATGAGGAGTTTGAAGAGCCTGTGGGGTATCTGAGTGGAGAGACCTTGAAGGCTGCTGATACATGAGTTCTGGAGCTTAGGGCAGAGATATGGTGGGGGGAGATAAAGACTAGGAATTGTCAGCACATTAATATTTACTAAAGTTTTGGGAATGGATAAGATCACTCAGAGTTTTGGTCTATCCCAATGGTAAAAGGATGGGTAGGAGAAGAGGATCTCGTTGGGACCAACTAATCAGGAGCACCTAGAGAAGTAGCAGGAGACCCAGCAAGAGGACTCTGAGGGAAGACAAAGGAAGAGAGAAGATGCTCAACAGGCTGAATGTTTAAAGGATACAAAATTGCAGCTAGAGGAGAAATGAGAAATAAGTTCTAGTGTTCTATACCACCGTAGGGTGACTATAGTTAACAATAATATATAGTTTCAAATAGGAGGATATTAAACTTTCACAACACCAAAAAATGACAAATATTTGAGATGATGTATATGATAACGACACTAATCGATCACTACATTATATGTATGAAAACATTGCTCTGTACCCTATGAATGCGTACAATTATTTGTCAGTTAAAATACACTTTAAAAATTCCTCTTAAATAAAAGATAAGGGCCAACGAGTCCTCATAACATTTTGATTTGCAGTCACAAAGACCTCAGGTGAATCCAGCTGGAGCGAGATACCTTTTTGCACCATCCCCTATACATGACTCTTTAGGTTCATCCATAAACCAAGTGGGAGGCAGTAGGGTGTGGTGCAATATGTGAATTCTAGTCTTGATTCTACCACAAGCTGTCTGTGAGACCTTGAAAGAGTCATTTAACTTCTCTGGGCCTTAGTTTGCTCATGTTGCCTCATGTCAGTCAGTCAACAATTAGGATTTCATAAGTAGTTGTTTCTTGTTCTGCAGTTGATCTTGATTAGCTTTTAAATCATGCAAATGACACACTCATCCAATGGCTTCTTTATTCTTATTCAACTGGCTTTAGAAAATGCATTTGGTGAAAACTATGCTTCACTTACTTGGGAGAGGGATGAGAAATTGCTTTGTTAAGGTTACGTGAAGATGGATTCCTATGGTACATGTCCAGAAAGATAGGTTTTCAAGCCCAGGTATATCTCCCACTTAACTCAGAAACACTTTTCAAATATGGACTCAGGTTCCCAAGCCTTAGAGTCTTGCATGGCGAGCCCAGTGTGTAATAGAGCCTTGCAGTCATTGAGCAGCTACTTTTTGCAAACATGCTGATGCGAGCAAATGCACACAAGATATGATTGATGAAGATGGCTGCTGAAAGCCGTGCCTACAATTCTTGTGATGTCTCTTAACGGTAAGTCACTCTTTTCCATCTTTGTTCCTCCTTTCTCCTCAAATTATGATCAAAACAAATTTTGCTCACACTTCTTTGGATGGCTTTATGCCTTCTAGCCTCTTATTCCTTTTGCCTAGACCTCCTTTCTTCACATATTAAAGTCATACTTGCTTCTCAAGTTCCAACTCAAATGCTGCTCTTCCACTAAGCATTCATTCATTAAACTAGTATTTACTGTGTGTCTAATATGTGCAAGGCTCTCTGCTAGGCCATTTCCAGTTCACTTCGTCAACCAATCCTGAGATCATTATGAAAATGGAATAATACTATTAACAATCATAACAGCCAACACATGTGGCACTTACTGTTTTGTGCTTTATACTAATATATGTTGTAATATTTTCTTGAGAAGAAAATGGTACAGAATTACAGGCTGGTACAAGTTCTTGATCTTGTTACTGGTTGATGCTCTGCATAGCACGGCTCTAGCCACACCAGCTTCTTCTTTCTGTTTCTCAAAAAATGTCAAGGGCCTTCTTTTCTCATCCTGTCTCATTTGTACTTATTGGCAGAGGGCTGCCAGGGAAGCTCCATCTCAGCTTCCAAATGTCACGCTCTCTATGCCTTCTTTGCATACCCTCTCTAGAGTATCTTGATTCCCCCCAATTATTCCGTCACATCACCATTTTTATTACCTTCATAGCATCTGCCACTATAATTACCTTGTTTATTTGTACACTTGTTTATTGTCCTTCTTATTCATTGCTGTATCCATAGCATTTAGCACAAGGCCTGGCACTAGTAGTCATGCAAACATTTATTGAATAAATAAATGAGGGATGAAGGGAAGCACAAATAAGTATAGCTTTGGATCAGTATCTTGTGAATGCTGTGAATGTCAAGGAAAACCACTCACATCTTCAGTGACTCACTGTAAGGTATCAAAACTTCAGTTTGCCTTTGAGGGTTGCTGTGCTTCCACCCCCAGTGAAGTCTTGCTGAGAAGAGCTTTATAACAACTCCCCCACCACAGTATTTCATGAGACTTCTGTTACTGTCAGGTGTCATCATAGTGTTTTTCCATTTTGTGCCAAGGACATGTGATGGGAAGGTTGTTAAAGTCATCTGGTATGTGTCATGGCATCAGATCTTTAGATGACTCTTTGAATCACCCAAGTACGCACAGCCTCTGCTAAATTGGTGTTAGAAAAATGAGCCATCTTTCTGGCTGAAATGAAAATCTTCCTGGTTAAACAATAACAGAAAAGAACTGTTCAGGCAGCCTGAGTGGCTACGTTCTATAATGGCTGCAACTCTTCTAACCCTAGTGGGGCAAAATGGTAGCTGCAATCTAAACTCTTTTGGCTTTACAATGGTCAAAAATCAAGTGCCACAGGGCCTTGTGCAAGGCATGATAGAATAGTAGAGACTGTAGAAAACTTGAGAGCACATGCTCCAACCAAAAACAGTGCTTAGTTAGCTCTAACAAAATACTGCAATGCAGGAATTCAGGCCTAGATTTGTCAGCTCTTCTGATTTTTCAAGAGAAGCTTGGAATCTGCATGAGGGGATGAAAGTGGGACATGGATGTATGGTGGGTATGGCTGTAAATCAAATTCAGCTCAAGTGGTATTTATTTAGTTTATACTGTGTCCAAGTCACCGCTCTAGACATATGTATGTATCAGGAATAAAAAGGAATAAGAGCTGAGACCCATGGACTCAAAAAAGCTTTATTCTAGTCATAAAACCAAGATATGTTCTGAAATAAATACAACGTAAGACTATATGGGGAGCACTATGTATTACATAAGTTAACATACTGTATTTTTTAGATCAGCTGAACTAAGGAATATGCTTAGTAATGCAGTCAATTTACATTCTGGCTCAGGTTTCTTGTCTCATTGCAGACAGGTAACAAGGGCTTCTCAGACTAAGCCCAGTCCATGGGCTACACTTTATCACTGGTCTAAAGTGTAATGAGAGAAAGAGATAAGGTGGCATGAGATGTGGTTATACAGGTAGGCAGGGAACCATACAAAGCCCAAATGGACTGGTGAAGTCTTCACTAAGAAGGCAATAAAATGTGAGTAAAAAAGCTTAAGTGACTCCTTGAGATCCTTAGAGTTCCAGGGTTTGAAATGGCGCATAGAGAAAAACCAAGCTGTATTGAGGTGGGGATAAGGGGTAGTCTGTGAATCCGACTCAGGAGTTATTTGCTTATGCACACTAGTCTCACAGGGTGTGATCAAAAATCATACATTAATAAATTTGTGTAGCATGATCTAAGAACGTGTCCATTTTGCAAATGCCAAGAGCTAGTGGCAGAGCTTGAAAACGGTGACCCACAGGCATGTTTCATTTGGCCCATACAATATTCTTAGGGAAAAAAAATTAGTTGCCAATATTTAGAAAACTTCAAAATCTGGCAGAGCTGGGCTTATATTCCCACAAGGCAGCCTCATTAGAAGAGGAATTTGCTTACCCAATACCCATCAGCCCTTAATGTCTTATACCTGACTTGTATATTAATTGGGGCAGTGGTTATGCCACAGTAACAAATGACTAAAACATCTCTGGCTTACTAGAAAGGTTTATTTCTTGCTCACATTGCTTATCTATGGTGGGTTGACTGTGGTTCTGCTCCACATCATCTTCACCCCAGCAGCAGAGCAGGGAGCAGTCTCTCTGGAGCATCACTGGAGTGAGGAAAGGGTACATTAACAAAAATACACTATCTCCTGAAGTATCTGCTGTTATTTCATTGCCCAAAGCAAGTTCCATGGCAAGGGTGAAGGCATTGGGGCTGGGAAGTGTAATCCACCCTCAGGGAGAGGCAGCTATTATTTATGTACAATAGTCTACAACAACCCCTTTGCTTAGATGACCTGCCTAGTCTCCACAGACACTTCAGTGTGACCACTCTGGCCTAAGGAACTTGAGAATCTAGTGTTATCATGGCCAGAAGCATGAGGGCTACTCTAAAGCTTACAATGCTACAGCTGTCACCACTACATCTGTTTTATTTTATTATTCTTTAGAGCCACATGTTCTTAAATAGGCTAATATTTCATAGGCTTTTCCCTAGATATTCTTTACTTATTTCAGGCTCCACCTGGGCAAGGCACACTATGATAGCAGTGTCAGAAAGCCAGGCTGTGTGATAGCTCTAGCTCCACTCTTCACTGCACTTAAGCACTGGCTTCCAGTGGGTGGGGTGTGCGCCCAGACTGAGCTATCAGATGTGTATTGCAGCATAGCTGAAGTCTAAGGCTTTACCATAAAGAACAGTTAAATGATTAGGCATGTGAAGCTCAACATTACAAACCGTCTGTATACCCAGCTCTGCTCATGGAAATGTGGAAAGCACAAGGCTTGTTGGAGAGCAAGGGGACTACCAGAGGATGTAGAGTTGAGTGCCACATTGTGAGGTATTCCTTTAGTTTACCAGTTGCCAGTGTGGACTGGCATCGGCAGGGACAGACTCTGTGAAGTGGTCTGATTTATGTAGGAGTTGACATATGGAAGGAGAACATCGTGCATGAGTTCAAAGTTACAACTGGTTTCACCTAAATTCAGAATCTCTGGAAGTCAAATGAGCTTATACAGTATTATAGAGTTGGTTAGCTACCTTTAAAATGTTTTTAAAGTTTTCTATTGAAATATTTTTGTCAGGCCTTGAGTCCCACTTAATTCTGACTAGCAGGCAGAATATGGAAGTGCAGTGGGGCTGGGCGGCTCACACCTGTAATCCCAATGCTTTGGGAGGCCGAGGCGGGCAGATCACCCGAGGTCAGGAGTTCGAGACCAGCCTGGCCTACATGGTGAAACCCCGTGTCTACTAAAAATACAAAAAAAATTAGCCGGGCATGGTGGCGAGTGCCTGTAATCTCATCTGCTTGGGAGGCTGAGGCAGGAAAATCGCTTGAACCCAGGAGGCGGAGGTTGCAGTGAGCCGAGATCACACCATTGCACTCCAGCCTGGGTGACAAGAGTGAAACTCCATCTCAAAAAAAGAGAAAGTGCATTGGTTACACTCAGCAGCCACAGGGCTGTTCCTCCCCATTCTACATGTCTTCTCACGTTCTTCAGCATGCACTCCCTATGATGTGCTGCGGTAGTTTTATTTCCACAAGTAATTCTACAGTTTCCTGTCCTGAGGAGCCCTAATTTAGATTTCACACAGAGGCTGGTGGTATTCTCCTCACTTTGACGGGAGTGGGTAGGGAACTGATGTATCCTGTGCCTGGGAGAGCACCTGGAAGGTGGTAGGCACTGAGTACATGTTGTGAAATGAGAAGAATGATTGGAGGGATGCATAGGTTTGGAGAACCACATGATCCATCTTTGTCTTCTCAGTTACATGCTCCTTTATTCCATCCTCCTCTTACTGGCATTGAGAGAGACGGGATGAAAATGAGGTAGATATCTGGCTTGCCAGAAAGAAGGATTTTAAACAGAATAGCATTCGTTTGCCTTCTTTTCCTTCCTCTAATGATATTAAACAGAGATGTGGGATAGAAATGAATAAAGTAAGTTGGATTTTAGAGGAAACAGGGAAAGGAAGAGGAGCTGTGGTGAATGGTGAAACACATTTACTCAGCAACACCAAGGTGGAGGCAACCAAACTAACTTTGTTATAGACAGGAAGGTTCATGATGGGTTCTCCACACTCTTGCCTGGTTTCTCAGTGGCCAGTCAGTGATTAGGATGAGCACCATAGCCCGTGGCCACAGGAAGGATGGCCACTTCAGCAGCATGACTGTGTGCTCTTTGCTCATGAGGTATTGGAACATCCATACCCCAATTACTAAGGACTCTTTGGCTAAGAAGGAGGTTGTGCAACTGGAATGGACCAGTGGAGGTTGGTGACACAAGTTAGTCCTTGGTGAATGAAGTCATTAGAATCAAAAGCTGTGCTTTCCTTCAATTTCCAAGTTGGTTGAGCCTGTAAAGAAAATGGTATAGAGTAACATTCCCTATTTACTGCTCCTTGCCCTCTGATGTTTGCTGACTCATTCATTCTTGCACTCAACAACTATTTCTTGAGCACTCATAAGGTGGCAAGCACCATCCTAGGTACTATAGATATAGCATAGAACAAAACAAAGTCCCTGTCCCCAGGGAGTGTACAGTCTAGTATGAAGACCTGGTGACATACGTCATGTGACAGAACATTTTTGAAAAGCTGGCAAGCCATCATTCTATCCCAGCTCTCAGAATTATGCCAATGGTTGAATTAGATGACAAAGGAGAAGCGGTAATTGAGGATGTTGGGGGAAATCAGGCAGGGAGATCACGTTTTTTGGGACATCAGAGTTCCATGGTGGTCCTAGAAAAAAAGTCCTCATAGGTATTGCCTCTGGTGTGCTTCCTGTGGCATTCTAAGGTGGTTCTTCTCACTGCCTTAGAATCCTCTGAGCATGTTCATCTCAACTTTGCTATGGAAAGCTTTTGGAATTGGTGAGGAGTCTCAGGATGTCCAGTTGGAAATGCAACCCTCAGGGCGTTTTACTCCCTAACTCAGGAAGCACTAGGGGCTGAAGAGTAAAAATTCTTCACTTCATGTTCACCTACTTGTACATATCATATGTAGCTAACAATGAATAAGTGCAGCAGATATAATGGTAAATTTCATTTTGCTCTATTTTTGAACTATCTGCATTTCATTCTATTAAAGAAATGAAAGCTGTTGGGCTTGTTACTAAGGATACTTATCAGAATCCGCTCTATTATTTAATTTTTGTATTGGTACATGTTTAGCCAGGTAACCGTGTAAAGAAATTACACCACTGCCTTCCACCTCTTATTAAAAGAACTCTTGAAAAGTTTGGTTCAAATCTCAATCTTGTAAATGTTTACTTCTGGACAATTTGATCAATTCATGAAACAGAAGCAGTGTGATATGCCTGGGAAATTACACACCTTGTAATATGTCACAGCCTCTTCAAGCAAATCAAGAATACCAAGACTCACTCAGATATGAAGTTAGTTTTTGGATCACTGGCTTCTTCAGAGAGACTCAGAAGATGCCTTATTATTTTTGTGATTTATTTCTGGGCTTCTCACATATCCCTGTCATACAGCCAAACGTGAGCTGATGCTGACAATAGTTTATTGGCCATGGAGAAAATCCTCAGTCTTGATGGAACTCCAGGATGATACCAAATGAACAGCGAGGAACATCAGGATGCCAAAAAGTCCTTATTTACAGAGGAAAGGAGGCTAGCTGCTTATGTGTTCAATGAAGTAATAGATGCCTCTTAAAGTATTGAAATAATACTGCATAGTGTATTGCCATAATTTGGCAATACAGTGATAGCACATTTTAATTTAACAAATTCAATAATTTAGTAAGAATATAAAATGAAAAAAACAGCAAATATCCAGAACTTCTCAATCATAATTCATTTTTTACAGTAATGTCAATCAATGAAAAGCTTAAATACATATTTATAAGCTGGCAGGCCAAATATTATGTTAGAAATACATAATGTCACATTCAATCTACATATACATGTATAAATATATGCATATACACACATATGCAAGTTAAATCTTGAATGTCATATTTTGGATACTTCTGAGTAAACTTATGACCTCCTGCTTGATCGGAACCAAAGCATATCACATATACCTAAAGTCAAATTTTTGGGCATATAAACACAACTATTTAATACCTAAACAGGTATACATCATTGAGTTTCTGGTTCAGGATAAACACCTTCTCTCAAAGACTGAGTCAGAAATTCGTAACTCTTAGATAGGAAGTTAGGACACCTATATTCTGATCCTGGCTTTACAGAGAGGCATTTTGGGAAAGTTTTTTTTTTTTTTTTTTTTTAAAAAAAAAACCTCTCAAGGGTCTAACTTTACCCATCATAAAATAATTTTGGTGCAAGGGTAGTGGCACATTTTATTTATTTGGGATACCATGCAGATGCAACCTAGCCCCATTCTTTATGCAAAGTAGATTATCCGTGCATTTCTTCTGCATTGATAGTGAATCCTTACTGGGGACAACTCACTCCATTTGGCAACAATCTTTAATGGACAGGCAATATATAACATTGCTGAAAGTCTCTTAGCACTAATTTAATTTTATAAAAGGATCATTACCATCAAAGAAAGACAGTACCTAATTCATAAAGTAGATATGAGGACTAAGTAAGTAAATGGAATGTGCTTAGAACAGAGAATAGCATGTAGTGAGCACTCCAGTTTTAGTGATGATGATCACAGTTACTACTATCACTACTACCATATGCTAAGCTGGTAACTAGAATAAAAGTTAAAACAGCCATGGTCTCTGCCTCAGTAGAATTTAGATTCACGCAGTGTATGGGTTGCAAATTCACAGTCAGGTTGTACAAATATAAGAAATGAGGCTGTGGCAGTGATACCTGTAGACCCCACACCTGGCTGGAGAGGGCAGGGACAACTTGGCTCTAGCAGGTTGTTACCTTCTGGGAATGAGGTCCATTGTTGCCAAATCTTGCTTTTTAAGAGATGTTAGCAACTTAATTATGTGAAATGTCCCAACTTGTAAGAATGGACAATAAATGTAAATTAATAAAACAAAACAAAAACAAGCTCTGTGGGCTAAAAGCAACTGCATGTTGATGGTTCCTAGAAGTGCCAGTCAACTTTTTGACATGCTGGCTATAGTATCTCCAATTCTTCACTTTTCAAGAAGGCCTGAACAGATGTGGGCAAAGCTTACTTGTCAATTAATCTTTAATTCTTGGCTCCCCCATGAAATGCACAGAATTTATAAGCTGGGAGCTTGCAGGGCACATATGAATGTTAGAGATTATCTCTTCAGTGACCACAGAGGCACAAAGAGGACCAATGGGGTGGATTGGCCAGGACTCATATGACAAGGGATTAGACAACTACCTTTTGCCAGAAAACACAAGGAGACTGTAGAGCACAGATAGGTGAAGAGTTTAACACAATTTATTTTATGCTTAAATAATCGACTAGGTCATCCAGTGTATGGTTTTTCATACATATGTCATTAGAGCTATGTGTCAATGAATGCTGATTTTATGTGAATATAATCAACAAATTAAAGAATTTCACCAAAACCCAAATAAAAATGCCCTTTAAAACACAGCAGCCTTATTAACCTAATATGACACTGCTAGAATGGTTACAAATGATTGGCTTACTGAAAGGTGTCTACATCTTATAGCCAGTACACAATACAGTAATAATTTTACAGCGTGCTGCCATTCTACTAGCTAAGGATTTCTGTTCAGTCCTTTTTAAATACCCCCGACTGGGGCCTTTTATGAGCACCATCCACCTCTAAAGCGGCAAGCATTTACCCCCTTTTAAGCACTAACAGATAGCATCCCCCCACCCCCTAAAGCAACTACCGTATAGGTTATTTTTTTTTGTTGTTTTTAGGTCATTTCATTGAAAAATTGGCAATAGCAACAAATATTAGATGAAGGGCTTTGTGTTTACAGATAAAATCTTTTGTGTTGCAGTATACTGTAGTGTTTGCAAAATTGGAAAAGATTTAATCAAAATAAGGTGATACACATGCATCAAAATATTAGTATTCTGAAGAAAAAAATTTTTCACAGAACTACAGAATTCCTCATTTTGGGAATTATTTAAATTTGCAGCAGATTTTAAAGATTTGTTTTTTTTTAAAATCAAGCTAGCAGTTTTGCATATACAAACATTATAATTGCTAATATACAAGAATCAGTGAAGAGTCACCCCCACCCAGAATCCCTCCCTCCTCTTCTAGGGTGAAGTCACTTGAGACCCCTATTTGTTAAATGCATTTGCAATATTCTGTTTGTGTTCTAAGAGGCAGTGCCTTATCAACATTTTATTCTATTTTTCTGTTAGAATTTATACAGTGTTATTATTTACAGCAAAACTATCGATGTTTTAAAAAAGAAACAAATAGTGTTTATACCCTGACAGTTTGGGTCCAAGAAAAATAAGGCGAGCTGTTGTAGATTTAGTAATTTTAGTGTTTCTCTGTGATTTGATCATTCCATCTCCTTCTGTCCCTTCTGATGGCAGGAATTTCTTCCTTTTGTAAATGACACCAAATTACTTGAGATAAACTGTTAACAGCATGGCTTCTTGTATATACACTGCATTGCTAATTGCACACGCGCCAATCCGGAAATGAAAGTGATTTCCATGCTCTGTAAATTGGCTCATGCTAAATTAAAATGTGGGTGGTTTTCTTTTCTTTTCTTTTTGCATAAAAAAAATCATGCCATTAATGTGTGGAAGCAGCGAACACACACACACTTCTCGGTGAATTTTTACTTCCTGCTGACATTTCTTCCACGAATTTCTCAATACTGGCAGTAAAAACTTATGATCCTGTGGAAAGAGACAGTAGATAGTGAGTTTAGCTTTCTTTTTCTTTTTCTTTTTTTTTTTTTTTTTTTTTTTTTTTTTTAAGACAACTAGTGTAAGCCTTACTTGCCATTCAATAGAAAAGTCTTAGGGAATAGAGGCCCTCCATTCCCTATGGGGTGGTTTAACATGATGCTGCTACCTGCTAGATGCCTTAGAGGACAAGGCCCTAAGGTGTACTGGAAAGCTCTTAGAAGGCAGTGAGCTTTTCTAGGTGACCTCCAGAGAGCCTTGCTTATTATTGTATCTGTGTTTTGTAATTGCACCAGACCACCTGGTTCAACTTTTTTTCTTTTTTGAGACGGAGTCTTGCTCTGTTGCCCAGGCTGGAGTGCAGTGGCCCGAAATTGGCTCACTGCAAGCTCTGCCTCCTGGGTTCACACCATTCTCCTGCCTCAGCCTCCCGAGTAGCTGGGACTACAGGTGCCCACCACCACGCCTGGCTAATTTTTTGTATTTTTAGTAGAGACGGGGTTTCACTATGTTAGTCAGGATGGTCTCGATCTCCTGACCTCGTGAGCCGCCCACCTTGGCCTCCCAAAGTGCTGGGATTACAGGCATGAGCCACCACGCCCGGCCCTCAACTTTTATGTAACAAAGTTGTGAGTTGTTTTTGAGTTGCCATGGACACCCCCAGGATGAAGGTCACATAATGTGAGCATGCCCAGATGAACTAAATATGCAACCATAGGAGGAACCTAAGTTCTCAGGCTGGGGAGCTAATTAAGAAGCTTATGTCTCATGGCAGGATCCAGTCAGATAGAGCCTTGGCGTCACCCCATTGCAGGATCCAGTCAGATCATGCCTCATTACCCTATGCTTCTGAAACATGACCCAGCCCCCAGCTTGGAGAGACAGATTTGAGTGGTTCCTCCTGTCTCCTTGTCAGTCAAGTGGCAATACACCTTTCTCCTGCAAAAACCTGGTGCTTTGGTGTTTGGTGTTCGACTGTCCATTGTGCACGGGCAAACACCCAGTTTGGTTTGGTGACAGTTTTAGACTGTGTTGGGAAGACCCTCTTCTAGTTCTGTCTGAAGCTCAGGTTATTCAGCTGCTTGGGGAAGCCATTTGTAGCCCTTTGGGCCTTAGTCTTATCTGTGAAATGAGGTGGCTGAGAGAGGTAATCTCTGAGACTTCCCTAAATATCAAAATGTAAGAAGTTTGGGACTTCCATGAGCAGAAAGGGCCAGAGATAAGGAGTCAGGATAGAGCATCTCAGCTATTTCTGAATGCTTTGTAAGTAAGTCTCTCACTTCTCCAAAAATTCAACTAATCTTTCAAAAGGAAGAAAAGCGTCATTACTTCATTACAATGAAATTTCTTTTCCATAACCAAATTAAAATTAGAGACAAACTTCTACCACTGCAAAGAACTTTCGCTTTTCCTGTCCATGTCAGTCATAATGGGATGAATTAATTGTATTTGAGCTTTTTAGTGGAGGCTCCACTGAGAATGTCTTGTCTTGCTGGAAGATTCCTGCATAAAGCATCTGTGTTTTATAACCAGTCTTACTGTGTCAAAATAAATCATTCTTTGGCAGAGGTTTTCATACTTTTGTGTGCTATTGTGGTATGAATTTGCCTTTTCCATAAAACAAAGTTCTTCCCATATATTGTCTCTCCTCCTTGTTTAGTGTGAAAAGCTGACAAACTTGCATGCCTACCTGCCTGAGAACAAGATACAGCTCCTATAGAAATCCTGAGTAAGGCAAGAACAATTTTAAGAATAACCCTGCTCACTCCCATATAAACAACAGACTATATTTGCAGATCTAGGACAACCTTTAGAATTCGACTTCTCTTGGGGCCCAGGAGTTCCAGTGACCTTGAAGATGTTTACTTACCTCAGACAAGTATCTTCCTCTTTAGATGGGTCACCTAGGACAGCCTGGCTTATGGAAACATGTTGGTAGAGCACTTCCTCTCTCTGCCCCCCTACAGGACCTGGCTTCCTTTTTAGTATTAAAAGTGCTACTGACCTCCATGCCCCAGGTCACTAATGCTTGGAGCCAAGAACATGAAAGTATCAATTCCTCCTATGTGATTTCAACACCCCTCCCCTGTGACTCTGCTGAGGTTCCAAAGAAGGAAAGTGACTCACTTGGGTAGATCATCTTGCAGAGGGTGGGCAAATCAGAAGATGATGATCAGGATTTTCTCACCTGTTTTTATCATTTAATCCTAATCTTGTAGGCACCAGGCTTCTTAGATGGTCCTATGATAATGTTACTACAGTCTCACTCCCTGCTTTCTCTAAACCCCTCCCCCTGACTTTTTGAAGCTTGATATATAATTTGTATATCATACTTCAGCTATTATAAATACACAGCTTCTTTTTTTTTTTTTTTTTTTTTTTTTGAGACGAAGTCTCACTCTGTCGCCCAGGCTGGAATGGAATGGAATGGCATGATCACGGCTAACTGCAACCTCCGCCTCCCGGGTTCAAGCAATTCTCCTGTCTCAGTCTCCCGAGTAGCTGGGATTATAGGTGTGTGCCACCAAGTCTGGCTAATTTTTTGTATTTTTAGTAGAGATGGAGTTTCACCATGTTGGCCAGGCTAGTCTTGTACTCCTGACCTCAAGTGATCCACCTGCCTCGGCCTCCCAAAGTGCTGGGATTATAGACATGAGCCACTGCGCCTGGCCTGGCTTGATAATTTTTAATATTTATGTAGATGTGTGATCATCACTACTTTTCTCCATGTCTCCTAAAAACCAATCCAACTTCCCAGGTTAATTTCGTAATGAGTAGCAAGGCCTTTCTCTTCTCACCTCAATCCAAGCAAATGTTATCTTTCTGGATATATTGGATATGTTTCTATCATTTAAAAAAATGCTGTGAATTATGCCCACTTATATTCCAGTGAGGATGTTTTGGGTGATTTTTTTTAAGTGGGAGTTAGTTCCTCTTATAACTTTTTCTTTTCTTGGTTATGCAATCAGAGCCTGTTGGCCCCAACCACACTGGGTACAGGAAGGTCATTCATTGGACAAAAGACTTTACACCAAGTACAATGTTGCATAAAAAGCATGAGAACCTTGGCTAAGTGACTGTGTACTTGCTATAAAAATATTGACACTTGGTATAAACTGTGATGACAGCGCCATCTGATGGGAAGGTGTGAGGGCAGAAGCCATCAAGATGACATTTCAGAAATAGAATTTTGACTCATCTCCCTTTTCTGGTTTAGATAATGGATATGAGATAGATGCAGTTGCACTTAGGAATCTGTCTTGCTTTGGGTTTTGTATGCCTTTCAAACCTAAAGGTGGGAGAAACTAAATCAGAAAACCAATCATTCCTTTTAGCCATTTCACTGTATTTTTAAGAAACATTTTAAAATATACGAAAACAGGGCCACGCACGGTGGCTCACGTCTGTAATCCCAGCACTTTGGGAGGCCAAGCCGGGGGCAGGGGAGGGGGGCGGATCACCTGAGATCAGGAGTTCAAGACCAGCCTGGACAACATGGTGAAACCCAGCCTCTACTAAAAATACAAAAATTGGCCGGGTGAGGTGGCAGGCACCTATAATCCCAACTACTCAGGAGGCTGAGGCAGGAGAATTGCTTGAACCCAGGAGGCGGAGGTTGCAGTGAGCTGAAATCGGGCCATCACACTCCAGCCTGGACAACATAGCGAGACTCAGTCTCAAAAAAAAAAAAAAAAAAAAAAAAACTTGGAAACAGCAATTCATTGGATTTTCATGGCAGCTGATACTTTACAGTTAAATATGTACTGCATACATCACATCTTCAAGTCAGCAGCATGCTCTGGTACAGAACTGACTTGTTTTTTATAGGCAAATGGACATACCTGTGGATTTTAGACCCTAATGCCTAGCTTTAAAAAGGGTCTCCTATCTTTAGTTTGGCATCTGAAGCTCTCTGGTCCAGCCCAATGAACCTTTTTTAGGCTTAATTCCCACTGTCCCTCACTGAAAAGCTGTTTTGCAATCTCCAGTGGTTCTCAAACTTGGTTGCACATTAGACTTACCTGGGAAGATTAAAACAACAACAATATCCAGGCCACATCCCATACCAGTTTATATAGAAGTTTTCGGGATGGGGCCAGCATCAAAAATTTTTTAAAACTCGATAATTTGAGAGCCAGTCAAATGTTCTGGAACAGTGCTTCTCAAAGTTTAATCTGCATTACACAGGAGTCTTTGAGTATAGATTCTGATTCAGTAGGTCAGTGTGTCTGAAATTCTGTTTTTGTTTTTTTTTTTGTTTTGTTTTTTGGTTTTTTTTTTTTTTTTTTGAGACAGAGTCTTGCTCTGTCGCCCATGCTGGAATGCAAAGGCATGATCTTGGCTCACTGCAACCTCCACCTCCCGGGCTCCAGTGATTCCCCTGCCTCAGCTTCCTGAGTAGCTGGGATTAAAGGCGCCCACCACCATGCCTGGCTAATTTTTTGCATTTTTGGTACAGATGGGGTTTCACCACGCTGGCCAGGGTGGTCTTGAACTCCTGACCGCAGGTGATCTGCCCGCCTCAACCTCCCAAAGTGCTGGGATTACAGGCGTGTCACCATGCCCAGCCTGAAATTCTGTGTTTCTAACAGACTTTTAGGCATGCTGATACTGTGGTCCACAGACTTCACTTTGAGGATCTAGATTACATGCCAGGTATCAACTACAAATTGTTTTCCAACTTCATTGTCTTTGCTCATGATTTTGTATCCACCTATACTTGCCTTCTCTGATTATCATCTGTGGCTAATTCCTCTTCTACCCTTCAAATTTGTTTCAAATGCCACCTCCTTGAAAGTTCAGATTTCTTTCCCTAATGAAATCCACCTTTGTAGTTCAACTCTTACTCATCTTTAAGACTTAGCTGTGTCATGGCTTAAGGAAAGCCTGAGCCCACTGAGGACAAAGAGGTCTTTACTCTAGTTCTTTGTTTCTCTCCCTACCCACCTCTCTCTTTCCCTTCTTTTCTCTTTTTCCTTCTCTGTAGTTACAGAAATCATGGACTAAGACTTTTTTCTAAACATTAATTTTAATTACTTTATGTAACTAAAATACACTACAGTGCAGTTTTAAAGTAATTCCCAATTCAGGTAGCTTTGTTTCTTCACTAATACCAATAAGTAGGGCTTTTTTGATTGTTCTTTTCTGTTCACTTGTGATTAAAAAGTATCTTAAGTCAAAGGGCTGGAAAAAAATACTGGAAAACTGTTCATTCGTGTTTTAGCAGTGAAAGAAAAACCTAACAGTAATAAAATTTTATTACTGTTATTATTTTTATTAGGTAAAGATATTTATTCTAAACTGTTCTAAAGTGGATTAGCTAATTTAATCCGAATAACCCTGAGGTACTATTATTTTTTCCATTTTGTAGATAAATAAAAGCTTTGTGGCTCTATTTTCTTATTTATTTTTTAATTAATTTAGTTCTTTCCAGATGGAGTCTTGCTCTGTCGCCCAGGCTGGAGTACAGTGGTACGATCTTGGCTTGCTGCAACCTCTGCCTCCTAGGTTCAAGCGATTCTCCTGCCTCAGCCTCCTGAGTAGCTGGGACCACAGGCATGTGCCACCATGCCTGGCTAATTTTTATCTTTTTAGTAGAAATGGGTGGGGTTTCACCATGTTGGCCAGGCTGGTCTCTAACTTCTGACCTCAGGTGATCCACCTGCCTTGGCCTCCCGAAGTGCTGGGATTACAGGTGTGAGCCACTGCGCCCGGCCAAAAAGAGAGCCACAAAGCTTTTAAATAGTGAGCTCAAGGTTACACAGCTAATATATAGTGGAGCCAGAACTGGAAATCAAGCCACCTGCCTCTAGCTCTTATCTTGAAGCCAAGGCTTTTGTTAACAGGAATTTTTTAAGGGTAAGAAAAAAAAGGCGGGGTGCGGTGGCTCACACCTATAATCCCAGCACTTTGGGATGCTGAGGCAGGCAGATTACCTGAGGTCGGGAGTTTGAGACCAGCCTGACCAACATGGAGAAACCCCATCGCTACTAAAAATACAAAATTAGCTGGGCTAATTTTATTTCTTAAAATAAAAAATATTATATATTTTTAAGAAAAATAAAAAATACATAATATAAAAACATATTTACTCTATATGAATTCCGGTAAAATATTCTGGAGGGCAGGGTCCTGAATTTGTAGTGAAGCAATTCAGCCCATAGCTCTGACTTCTGAGAATCAGAATCAGGAAATCCAGACCTGTCATTAACTGCACTCAGCCTTAGAGATTTTGCTCTCTCTTTGTCACTGTTCATTGCTTAGTAAAGAGGAATAAGGATACCTGTTGTACTAACTTCCTAGGGCTACTGTGAAAAACAAGTGATGTGAAATAGTGGAAACTTTTCTGAAGTGTAAACCACCATCACATGCAGAGGATTTCAGACACTGCTGTTCTCACTTCTCCCACTGTTATATTCTAGCCATCACTGGCTGCTGCTGCTTAGTCCACCAGCCTCTGTAATCCAAAGCTCTTCAAGGTTCTATTCTTGGTTTTTTTAATACTAGTAGCAATAGCTGACGCTTATTGAGTGCTTACTAAGGAGGGTCATGGTTGGAGCTCTGCGGAAGAGAGAGGTCAGAGGCAATTTTTTTTTTTTTTTTTTTTTTTTTTTTTTTGAGACGGAGTCTTGCTCTGTCGCCCAGGCTGGAGTGCAGTGGCAAGATCTAGGCTCACTGAAAGCTCCACCTCCCAGGTTCACGCCATTCTCCTGCCTCAGCCTCCCAAGTACCTGGGACTACAGGTGCCCGCCACCACACCTGGCTAGTCTTTTTGTATTTTTACTAGAGACAGGGTTTCACCGTGTTAGCCAGGATGGTCTACATCTCCTGACTTCGTGATCTGCCTGCCTCGGCCTCCTAAAGTGCTGGGAATACAGGCGTGAGCCACTGCATCTGGCTGAGGAAATTTTTTTAAACTCTGAAATGTTGCTTTTGAGGACTCAACTTTTGAGCCCCTTCTTGGCTTACTTCAGTTTTCTCCCTAGGTAATCACATCTGTTCACTGGTATTCAATACCCATTTCTTTTGTGATGATTCCCACATTTTTATATGCACAGCCCCAACTTTTCCTCAGAGCTTCGGACTTGCATATGTAACATAAATACTTGGATGTCTCATAGCATTTCAAACCCAAGTCCAAGCCTGAATGCCTGTCATTCTTCTTAAAACTCATTCCTCTTCCACTTCTGCTTCTTTCTCTATCATCCAGTTGCTTATGCCAGAAATCTAGGAGTCATTTTTGACTCAATGATTCTTCTCCACTCTACCCACCATGCTAATCTATCAAGTGCTGTCAATCTTCCCAGCTGAAGCCACCATTATGGCTTAGTTGAACTGAAGCAATAAGTTCCTAACTGGTTACCTTCATTTTATTCTTGTCCCCCTATCCATTCTCTAGATAGTCCGTGCTCTTGTGTTTTTTTTAAAGAGGGAAAAAAGACCAAGTTAGGTCCTTGCTTAAAATCCTTCAGAGGCTTCGAATTCCTCTAAACATGCACACAAACAATTATTTTATTAAGTTCAAGGGTACATGTGCAGGTTTGTTACACATTATTTTGCCACCCAGGTACTAAGCCTAGTACCCAATAGTTACTTTTTCCTCTCCTCTCCCCTCTCACCCTCAAGTAGATCCCAGTGTCTGTTTTTTCCCTTTTTGTGTCCATGTGTTCTCATCATTTAGCTTCCACTAAATGAGAACATATGGTATTTGGTTTTCTGTTCCTATGTTAGTTTGCTAAGGATAATGGTCTCTATCTATGTTCCGTTCCTGCAAAGGACATGCTCTCACTCTTTTTTTTATACCTGCATAGTATTCCATGGTGTATGTGTGTGTACATTTTCTTTATCCAGTCTACCATTGATGGGCATTTAGGTTGATTCCATTCTTTGCTATTGTGAATAGTGCTGCAGTGAACATACATGTGCAAGTGCCTTTGTGATAGAACAATTTATATTCCTTTGGTTTATACACCCAATAATGGGATTGCTGGGTTGAACGGTCGTTCTGTTTTTAGCTCTTTGAGGAATTGCCACACCACTTTCCATAATGGTTGAACTAATTTGCACTCCCACCAATAGTGTATAAATGTTTCCTTTTCTCCACAACCTTGCCAGCACCTGTTATTTTTTGAGTTTTTAATAATAGCCATTCTGACTGGTGTGACATGGTATCTCATTGTGGTTTTAATGTGCAATTCTCTAATGAACAGTGATGCTGAACTTTTATTCATATGCTTGTTGGCCACATGCCTGTCTTCTTTTGAAAAGTGTCTGTGCGTGGCTGGGCACAGTGGCTCACGCCCGTAATTCAAGCACTTTGGGAGGCCAAGGTGAGTGGATCACTTGAGGTCAGGAGTTTGAGACCACCCTGGCCAACATGGTGAAACCCCGTCTCTACTAAAAATACAAAAATTAGCGGGGCATGGTAGCATGTGCCTGTAATCCCAGTTACTCAGAAGGTTGGGGCATGAGAATTGCTTGAACCCAGGAGGCAGAGGTTGCAATGAGCCGATATTGTGCTACTGCACTCCAGCCTGGGCAACAGGTGAGACTGTCTCAAAAATAAAAGAAGAAACAAAAAGTGTCTGTTCATGTTCTTTGCCCACTTGTTAATGGGGTGGGTGGTTTTTTGCTTGTAAAAAGCAAAAATTGACAAACTGGACCTAATTAAGGAGCTTCTACACAGCAAAAGAAACTATCAACAGAATAAAGAGATAACCTACATAATGGGAGAAAATATTTGCAAACTATGTATCTGACAAAAGTCTAACATCGAGCATCTATAAGGAATTTAAATTCCCTTTAGAATGAAATCTAAATCCTTTCCTCTGGCCTACAGGGCTCTGAATGATGGTGTGTGTGTGTGTGTTTTAATGTTATCTTGTGCCTATCTTACCTACCACCAGCTCACCTAACATATTTGAAGAAATGAAAGATCACACACCAATCTTACATATTTGAAGAAATGAAAGATCATGCACTGATCTATCATTTCTTCAACTATGTTAGGCCTTTTCCCACCTCAGGGTGCTTGCACATGTTGTACCCTTTGCTTGGGGTCCTCTTCTTCTCCATTATTTTCATAATTGGTGCCACTGATGAGGTCTTAGCTTAAATGTCATGATTTCAGAGAGACCTTCCCTAGCCCCAAAGTCTAAGTACATTCTTACATTCTTTCATTGGATCCTGGACTTTGTATTTTCAGTGTTTAAACATTTGTCCCATTTCTTTTTCCCATTGCAGACTGGGAGATCCAGAAAGACAGGGACCATGAAGCATTTATTCACTATTGTATATCTAGTCCTTCCACTTTAAGCCAGGCAGATGGCCAAATATTCTTTGAAGAAATAAATGAAATGGGTTAACTTTTTGGCCTCAGGTAAAGGGCTGCCTTGACAAGCATGGGCACTCTTGCCACTCTTGGCTTACACATGGCTGTGAGAACCTGAGCATTTTCCTAGAGGAGGTTTAGAATACAGTATGTGTCATGCAAGTCTTTGCCATGGCTTAAATGACCTTTTATCTGGGGATCTTCCCTTGCCATGACCTCACAAATCAGCCCCCTTTTTTGGTATTTGAAGTAAAAATCTAGAGATTTAGAAATGAAGTCTTGCTTTGTTTAAGAAAAAAGAATAAAAAACTATGAGTCCTTTCACTGTGTAGAGTAAGAAGAAATTTACGACAGGTTGCTTTTGTGCTTGTATTTGATTCAGAATTTGCTTTTGGGTCTTTAATGATCAAATACTATTTATTAATATAAGTAGTAGTTAAGATCTATGTTCTAGATAAGTTCAAATTTTATTCTTTTGCTCCCTAGCTGTAGTACCTTGAGTAAATCATTTAAGTTTTCTGAACCTCAGTTTCCCTATTTTTTTAAAAAAGGGGTTGGGGGATAGTTGTATTTACCTTATAGCATTGTTTTGGGGATTTCCTAAGGTTATATATATAATTATTTACCTAGTGCCTGCCACATAGCAATCATTTCACAGAAGATGATTGTTATTATTCTTTGTAAATAATTTTAGAGAGATAGCTTAGTGTAACAGAACATTAGGCTGAGAATCAATAATCTTGACTTCAAGTCTTAGCTATACCAGTCATAAACTGTGTGAAGGCAGAAACATCATTTGAGCTGTCCGAGCCTTAATATCCTCATCTGTAAAAGGTCACAAGCAAAATTGCCTGACTTGCCTTAAGGCTTGTTGGAAGGATTAAATAAGACAAAAATGTAAAAGTACTTTGTAAACTATAAATCACTATATACTATGTACAAATCTTGAAAGTCATTGGCTTTTCTCTTTAAAAATAGGATGGCTATGACTCAATATTAAAGAAAAGCAGGGGCAGAGTTCAGATAGCTCAAAATTCAACTGCTTCTAAAATGGGAAATACAAATTTTGATGTTACCATCTAAGACTCAGTCATATTTGGCAGCATTCTACTTGCTTAGTTTTCTTTTTTTTTTTTTAAAGAGGCAGCCAGCATGACTATAAAAACTCTCAATATATTTGCAAATTGATTTTTCCGGAGCACATACATTCAGTCTCCTGGAATTCCAGGCAGTATTCTTGGACTCATTCCCTAAGTTCACTTACGGAAGGTAAACACTACCTGGAAAGTAAAATTAGGCTTGTCAAGTCACTGTTCTTTCAATCTGACACATTGTTTGCTTTAGCTGAAGTTATTTTCACATTCATATGAATCTACCCAACGTTCTCTCTCCTTTGAGTGGTGCAGCAAGTGAGTCTGACAACTTCTTTATAGGATGATTATTTAAAATTTTAAAACTTTCTTTATATTTAGTGAGCAAGCTGTTTTTAAATCAACACAGTCTAAAGGACCCTGGAAGCATAGCACTGTCATATTTTTTGGTGTCATTTATTCACAGGTATTAGGAATATGTCATTGTAGAAAATGGCTCAGCTGGTGTAGGTAACCCTTTTGGTTCTTTTCCACTAGGAGCCTGAGAATATGATTGAACAAGCTGCTAAACTTTAGGGGCATACTACAGATGACTGACCTCTTTTCTACTTTCGTTTCATTTTTCACTTAGAATTGCATAAATAGACGAATTCAAGATAACAAACTCATGCTTAGTATTTTGTGGATCTGCTATAGGGAGAAGTCTTTCACCAGGTTCAGCAGTAGGACATGCATAGGAGTGGGTTCATTCTAGCTACTGCTACATTGATGTCATCCTTCATTTTCTCATCTTGGATCCTTCTCATCCAATAAAAACCAAGTTGTGTTGAAATTTTTTTATTTAGCCATCCTCACTGCCAAGCTAGCTTCTGCAATAGTCTCTCAACAGGTTTTCTGTTCATCCACCAGTGCCCCTTCCAATTCATTAACAACTACCCTGCATTTAGAGCGAGTGATGCAGAACATATAAACTGGATCATACCACACTCTTGCCTAAAATCCCTTAGTGGTTTCCCACTGCTTTTCGGGTACAGCCCAGAATCCTTACAGGGATGACTGACTGCTACTCATTCTTTAAAATTCAGCTCAAACATCATATTCTCAAGGAAACCTTCCCCGTCACCTCCGACCCAGGTTAAGTCTCTGGCAAACAAGTGGACACTGGAGGCAGCTTGTTCGGGTTTGTATCCTAGTTCTGCCACTTTTTACTTATGTGAGCGTGGGCAATTTATTTAACCACTTTGGGCCTGTTTCCTCATCTATCAAATGGGGATGATGAAGGCCTTATCCAAGAGGGTTGGCTGTGAGGATTGCCTGAAGAGCACGCATGAAACACTGGGAAGAGGATGTGTAGTAAACATTCTTTCCAGAATGCTCTGCAGTTCTGAGTGGTCTTCTCAATGCCATTAAATGGTCATGTGAGAAAGTCTCACAGAAAGAAATGAAGTAAATGTTATACTGAATAAACAAATGATAAGGCTTGCGGGGAGGGAGAATTGAGAACTTACCTGGGCCTTAGTTAGCTCACACATAAAATTACAGGCAGTGAAACTAGATTACTTCCCAGTTCCTTCCCTCAGCACTCTGCATACCAGTATTCTGGCAAGCAGGGAACAGCAGATGCATGAAAATGAAAACTAGAATCTGTTTGCTCTTTCTTACTACTTTAACCTGTGGGGCTAAGAAGACTGGTGGTGAACTAAAGGAAGTGATTTTGCTTTACTTTACAGACTATAGAGGACTTTCTTTTTCACCCCATATGGCCTAATTGTAGCTAAGTAGAAATAAATAGGACAATGTAAAAGGAAAATAACGTGATCTGTAAAGAAAAGTCCAGGCAAATGTAAACAAAGCTCACTTACTAAACATTTAACTTAAAAAACAAACAACAGTGCCATTAACCTCCTATTTTTTCCTTTTGTTTCTATAAAACACCAGATAGATATGTCAGTCATTTAATTTAGACTTGGAAAGTCACTTATTTCAACCAAAATGATATCCTCAGATGCCGTTCTGCTAAAATGGTGAAAGTCTGGATCAATAAAACTCTGAGTATAACTGTAAGAAGTATTCGTTGCCAAATAGTCTTCCTGTTAGATTGTATAAGGCTATTGTATTTCATAGTGAGCCTTTACTCTTATCACTATTTATACTTGCTTCTGCAAACATAATTTACAATTAAATTGCTGCCTAATTTGTGAGGAGAAAGTTAATGGACTGTGAAACCGAAGTCAAGTTTCATTGTGTGTATATATGCAAACATCAACAGAACTTGAACAACTTCGTATTTGATTTTCAAAGCTGAAATTCAGTGAAAAGGAAAGGACGGGGAAAATCAGAATCACTTATTTAGTGAAAAATATAAGTTTCACAGGAATTTAAGTCCTACTGTTGTTGATATGAACACACCTCACCTTGACTGACCGTTCGCTGTTACGAGTGGCTCTTCTTTTCCACATGCCGGATTTCTTTCTTCGTTTTCACCTTAAAACCTTCTCCCTGCTTTGAAAGGAGTGTACATATTAAGATTTCACAGTGAAACAGTGTTAGTTATAAAGCAGTCCATTCTGATCCTTGGAGGCTGGATTAGGACAAGCGAAACAGTTTAAAGCATTTTGTCACTTCATGTCCAAAAATACGTACAATCTTTAGCTTAACCACACAGTTTAGCATCATCAAGCAAGCTAGAGAGCACTGTCAAAATGAATACAACATAATTGTACTTGACAATAATTCAGTAAGTTAGTGATAAATCAAAATAACGAGCAGCCTATCCATTTCCTATAGTAAGCTAAAAGAAATCAGCACCACAGCTCACAAGGCAGCAGAATTGTAAACAATCTGTTGCAATGAGATTCAGACTTCTTAGTTAAGTACTAATCCATGGAAATGCTGTTGATCTGAGGGACTTTTTTAAGTTAGTGGAATTGCCAATGACTTCCTCTTACTGTCAGACCAAGAAGGCATCTATTTTGCATAAACAAATCCTCTCTTCACTGAGCATCAGGAATACAGTTCCCCGAGAGCAAGGTTGTGGCACAAATACTCAGTTTTTACCCAATTTTTAACAGAAAACAAATGAAGCCTTTTCAATTTTGTGATTTGTACTTCTGATAAATTTTCAGTTTACTTTTTCTAATGTAAACATTGTCTATTGAAGTTTCTATTTTTAAATTGAAAAGGGTAGAGATCTGAGAAACAAGTGAAAAATAACCAGAGATGTTTTCTCTGAGAGAAAGGGGTTGACTGGAGGGATTCTTTAACTGGCACATTGGAAATGGGCTGTTATAAACCCAAAGAGGGGAACCCCCTCCTCAGACGAAGATGGAGGAATTCAGATTTCCCTGCAGAACATACTGGAAAGAGAAAATGTATGGATCCGATGTGCAGATCTTGAACTGAGCCTTTTGCCATTCTAACTTTTAAAGCCTGTGCTTTTGGAGTGCTCTCCGCCCCTGTCCCAACAGACACTCTGCTGAAGGCCAAGCCCTGGGTGGGGCTGAAGCACTGCTCTGAGGTTTGGTGGTGAATGGTGAAGGTTTTATCTTCTTTCTCCCTCAAACTGGCACATTCTGTCCCCTATAAATGACCTTATCTTTGTGAAAACTCTGAAGACAGTTAAAAAAAAAAAGTATGTAACAAAGAATGTTAGGAAGAAAAGTATTTTTCTTTGACCCTGATCAAATGCATAAGATGTCAAAAGCAGCAAACACTTCAAGCTGCCACACTGCAGATGCCAGCCTGTTAGCAGCAATTTCTAGGGAGTGCACAAAGCTTTTGTCCTCTACATTCTCTTTGGCAATCCCTCTCCATTACCACATCATCACGTTTTCTCTCTTGTGGGATAACAATTCGTCTTAATACTTTCCGAGTGATCTGTAGGAAGTAATGGTGAAAAGTAGAGATTTTTCTGTTTTAGGAGATGACACTACAGCACAAAAGTAGCAGAGTTTTTAATGCAGAAAATCTAAATTCCAAGAGAAGCATGAAATCTGAATGATGATTACTTTTCTGGTGATGAGGTTGCCTTCTTCATCAGTAAATTGTTCTTCTGTGACAGATTCACCAGGAATGTTTTTTGCTTCCTCTCCCTAAAGGATGTGGCATAAAGATTAGCAACATACTAGATGGAGAAATCTCCACACTACTCCAAACACCACACACATGCTCTGGAATTTTAGAGAAATAAGTTGTAAATTCTACTTGCTACTCCAGTGCAAGGGAAAAAGGCTGACTTCACTGACAGTTATTTAGCAGTCAACAACATTCAAGCATTAAACCTCAAGTATGTATAAGCGTGATGGTTAGCAACAGATTCCAGAAGGAAGAATTTGAAAATACATAATTATAGGATGCAGTTACACACTGTAAACCGAAAGGCTTCATATGTTGAGACAAATTTTAGCCAAGGATTAGAGCTCTGATTAGATCGTCTCACTTTAAGCACTGTTTCTTCATTAGTTCTACCGAATCTCTAGAGATTTTTGTGGATTGAGTTTTATCTAACTTGAACTAAGATAGTACCTTAGTTTGGGCATGATATTTATCACTCTGGTTTATTTAAAAATTCATTCACTAAAGATAATACACACATTTTTTGAAAGATTATGAGAAAAGTTGAGGGTACAGAGAGAATCTTGAAGACTGAATCTTTCATAGCTCTTAAGTGAGAATAATTGTGTCGGATATAGTACATAGTTTATACACTGAAGTATCTTCATTGCCATAGGCAAAAAAATAGATAAAATCAATACCAAGGGAATTTAAGATGATATCTTCTGATCTATGCACCCACAATCTATAAGAACACAAAGTTGTTTCGTAATAAAAAAAAATGAGAACAAAACAATAGTGTTTTAGTCTTTATTCTGTCATTTTTAAACCAGAACTGCTGCATCTCTATTGGCTGTAACATATGGCAGTCATAGAATGTGCTCACCATTGGCTGGCATTGACAAAATTATCAGAGTCACTATCTTTTACATTCCAGTAATACAGAGTTAGAATCTGGCTTTCTGATTTGTTATCTAATTTTGGAGGGGAAACTCTGAAAGGTCTCACTATGAGTTTTAAAAATAGAATACATTCTTAACTCTCCAGGGTGGGCGCCTATTTTCCTGTCATAGACAGCTTGGTGGATTTAGATGGCTCCATAGTATCTCTCCACTAGCTCTATGATTGTATAACACGACAAACTACTCAGCAGAAGTAGGACCATATCTGCAATACATTACCTTCATTTGTGTTTAACTTAAGATTTGTGCCACTTATAGTTCGGGAGAACAAGGATAAAGATCTTAAGGATGGACTAGTATTCCAGGGTCCTATTGATCTGTCAGTCAAACTTCTTACTGAAAAGGTGAAATGGATAATGCTGCTTGGCAGTGTACAGATGTGGTTTTGTTTTGTTTTAGGGAAAATGGCCAATCACAAAAACAGCTGCCTTCCTGGAAAAGTGAGATTCTAACTCTTTGTGTTACTGGCATGGAAAAGATAGTGGCTCTGATAATTTGGTCAGTGCCAGCCAATGGTGAGAACATTCTATGATTGCCATATGTCATGTGACCATATGTCACAATCAGTAGAAAGGCAGTTCTGGTTCAAAATAACAGAATAAAGACTAGAACACTATTGTTTTGCTAGCAAAGTTTTGTTCTCATTTTTTTTTTTTCTTATTACAAAGTGACTTTGTGTTCTTACAGTTTGTGGGTGCATAGTTCATGACAATGGGCGGGACATTTAACTTGTTTTTCCTCACTGTGGTATAGGTGGAATGAAAATAAAACAAGGTGTTGCTTGATCTTGTTTAGTGCATCTCCAATCTTGCTTATGACAAGTTTGAATCAGCGCAGTGAAGAGAGGGGAGAAAAACTGGAAAAATGTAGAGGTCTTGTGTAAATACACTAAAATTTGCAACACGTTTTTAATGGCAGTGTTATTTGTATTTTCTATGGTTGGTGGTTTCAAATGTTTGGAGAAAACCCAAAATTTTATTTTAAAAGTAAAGTCATAAGGACAGCAAAAAAAGCCAATAAAAAGTAATGAAAGTTTTCCTTATAGCTTAAACACGAATGACAAATATTTTTGAGCTAACTTTTGGAAATGTACACATCTTTGAGTGATAGACAATTAAAGAACCCAGGAAAATCCCTAAAATGGTATCCTATTGGGCAGGTACTGAATGAATCTTTTTGTGGGAAAAGATGTCAGTTAATTTTTGAATTGTTTGGACAATCTCTGAAAGGACTATGAAGTAAGCATATGTATAAGCATAGTGAATACATACAAGTATGTATTCATTGACTTAGATTCATTGACTTAGATTAATAGCCTTACAAAAAGCAAAACCTATTTATAAATAATAAGCCAAAATGAATAGGAGGAATAGATTAGATAGGAGTTGATTAAATAGATAGGAAAGACAGCAGGGAGTCATAAAATACATTTTTAAAAAATTTATCCATCTTTAATTCTGTCAACTATATTAGAGACCAAATGTTACCTAAGAGAGAGCTCTAAGGCCTCTCTTCAATGGGAGAAAGTAATCTCAATTTTTTTTTTTTTTTTGAGATGGAGTCTCGCTCTGTTGCCCCAGCTGGAGTGCAGTGGCGCGATCTTGGCTCACTGCAAGCTCCGCCTCCCGGGTTCATGCCATTCTCCTGCCTCAGCCTCCTGAGTAGCTGGGACTACAGGCGCCCGCCACCATGCCTGGCTAATTTTTTGTATTTTTTAGGAGAGACGGGGTTTCACCGTGTTAGCCAGGATGGTTTTGATCTCCTGACCTCGTGATCCACCCGCCTCGGGCTCCCAAAGTGCTGGGATTACAGGCCTGAGCCACCGCGCCCGGCCTCAATGAGGTTTTTAAAGTTCTTGAAAACACTTAGTATTTTTAAGTAAACAAAATTGTCCCCGTGGTCTTGTTGACAACATCATTTCTGGCAACCTCCCTTCCCTTCCCCCCAACCATTATAAAGGAAAATTATAGCACATGTGGTGTTACATTTTCACCTCTGGTGACGGTATTAATGAAAATTAACTGTACTTCCCTCTGGACTCCTGCTAGAAGCACTGCATTTTATAACTTTTATTTCTCTTAGAATTTTTGAATAAAATGGAAGAGTGACAATATGAAATGTACCAATTTGCTTTGATGGATACGTTAAAACTTGAATTGTCCAAAAATAGGATTGATGCGATATATTTTACAAAAAGCAAATACTAAGCAATATGAATAGTACGAAACCTACATATTTTACACACATATTTGTATATGTATGTAAAAACAATCTGAAGCTTGTGAAGAGTGGTTACCTCTGGGAAATGGAATGAACGGATAGAACTTACCATACGTTTGAACTGCCTGAGTTAGCAGAAACATACATGTAAGCTCTTATTTAGAAAACCAGTAAAAATGTTGAAAAATTGAAATAAAAATACAGTTGTACTATATAGTAAAAATTCAGTTATTTGAATTTTATGAAATTTCACAATAGTTTGGTTGTGTGTTGGTTTACAGTTTTTTACCTTTGCAGTTACTGGATTTGCTAAGCTAATAAGGTAAACTCACGACTGGTTAGTAACATAAATTGCTTCTAAGCATTTGAAACCACTGTATATTATCAAATTGTATAGAGATCAGAATTTTATCAGCACATTCATTTAAGTCCCATGACAAATGGGAGATTTTGTTGACTTGACTCATTCTATAGGAGTTTGAAAACATTAAATGTAAAAAAAAGGTTAAAACTTCATAGAAAAAGAATGGATCCACTTTGAAAGTAAAGAGAAAAATCGCCGTCACCTCATTTATTATACAAATGGAATTCTAAGAAGACAGATTTGCCCAGACTTTTGGCAATCCAATGCTTAGCATACATACTGCTTCCTCTGGGAGATACTTCCCAGCCAGAGCTAGCTCTGGGAGGGATGGAACCACCCCAGACTAGTTTTCAGAACTGGGATACTAAGTGCTAGGGGGCTTACTATGGCAAACAGTGTTAACTATGCTGGTTCAGTCCAGGTTTGGACAGCATCCATGAGGTAAGTCAAATTCCCAGCATTCCAGCCCCATCAAATGGTTCCCAGGAATGACAGCCCAATGCTGCCCTCTTCTGTGCTGCTGAAAAGATCTGAATGGTCAAATACCTGATTTAGCCTAGCAAAAAGGAATACTTTTTCATTTGTTCTGGAAGAGAATACACTTGTTCCTTAGTATCCACAGGGATTGGTTCCAGGACCCCTGCAGATAGCAAAATCTGCAGATGCTCAAGTCCCAGATATAAAATGGTGCAGTATTTGCATATAAGCTACACATATTCTCCCATATACTTTAAATCACCTCTAGATAACTTATAATACCTAATATAATGTAAATGCTATGTAAGTAATTGTTATACTATATTGCTTCTTACTTCTACTGTTTATTGTTTTATTTTCTCAAGGTTGGTTGAGTTTGTGCATGTGGAATGCCCAGATATGGAGGTCCAATTGTATAGTATTGAGGAAAAAGCACTTCACTAGAGGGCTAGGGATTAGGTTCTAGTCCCAGAGCTGCTGCTGTCTGGCTGTGTGATTTTGAGTAAATAAATTTATCTCCAATCTTCAGTTCTGAGATCTTGGAAACACAGTAATTTTAGTCTCAATGACCCATTTAGGTACTACATTCCCATTTTATGTTTTTGACAAGAGATGGTTCCCATGTCATATTCACCATATACTATTATAGTCCTCAAGCTCTTTTCCATTAGAAAGATAGATAGCAACATATGGAGTAAAGAGAAAAGCAACAGAAGTGTGACTCTTTGCAATTGCCCCAAAAATCTGAACAGAAAAATAATTTATAAAGTGTTTTTGTTATACCTATAGCTTCCAATGATGATTATAACTATTTTTTAGCCTTTGGTTTTTCCATCTCATATGAAAGATATCTCTCAAAGCTTGTTTGTGAATGATCCTATTGTTTATACAATGCCTTCCTCAGTTATAAAACCTATTCTCTGATGACTTCACTCAATCTCTCTAAAATTACATTAACTTCAAGAAGTAATGGGTCTGGGCGCAGTGGCTCACGCCTGTAATCCCAGCACTGTGGGAGGCCAAGGTGGGCAGATCACAAGGTCAAGAGATCGAGACCATCATGGCCAACATGGTGAAACCCCATCTCTATTAAAAATACAAAAATTAGCCGGGTGTGGTGTCGCACGCCTGTAGTCTCAGCTACTTGGGAGGCTGGGGCAGGAGAATTGCTTGAACTGGGGAGGTGGAGGTTGCAGTGAGCCGAGATTACACCACTGCACTCCAGCCTGGCCACAGAGCAAGACTCTGTCTCAAAAAAAAAGTATTTGGGGAGAATACGGACTCCCCTGTTTTTATGAAACCTACAACATTATAGTGGATTTTTGTCTTTTAAACCTAAGTTCTTAATAAATATGTTAATATGTTATAATCATATTTTAAGCTGAAAAACAAAGATAACTTACTCTAAGAAAATTACTTAATAGCTAACTTGCTGGTGCATATCTAGAATTCTAGGAGACCAAAGGAAATAGCCCTTATTGATTTGAGAGGTTTTGAAGTTATTGTTTTTGTTTTCTCAGAGAAAAACTTCTTTATCCCCGCCTTCCACTTTTTTTGCATGGCTATATTTGTTTTCTTTTGTCCTGGATAGAAGAAAGTCAACTTCTATCATGGGCAGCTATTATAAAGGAATGTGGTGGATTTAGATGTAACATTAGTATGTGATATGTTAAGCATAAAAGACAAGTTCGAAGCACTATGTGCTTTTTCTAGACCTTTCACTTTAAAATATCATATCTTGAAGACACTGATTATGAGAATAGCAAAAACTCAGAAAAACAGAATCAAGCATTCCCCCACCCCAACCCAGAGAACATGTGTGAGGTGACTGATTATGAGGATTTTATTGATAGCAGGTTAAATACTTGCAAATGTGCTAGACAGCAATAAGTAATTTGGCTTGCTTATATACATGGAATTTTCAAAGAAGTGATTCATGGTTTTTAAAGGAACCCTATTGAGCTTACAATTGATTTGCAGGATAACTCAAAATTTAGACAACGATTTATTTTCTTCCCTAATGTTTCCAGAGTCTTAGAAAAACTGTATTAGGGCAGATTTGGTGGAGTTTCTTCATGAAAAGTGAAAAGCACCAGGATTAAGAAATTTTGGACACCTGTGCCAACTTCTGTGCTTTCTGTTGGGTCTCTTGACACTTTGGGATTGGTTAAGTTTGATAAATGGTTTTCAATAGATATTCTCTTCCTCTTTCTCTCTAGGGCAGTAACCAAGAAGCCTCAAGTTATTTGGATCATATTCAAAAGTCTGCGCATTGAAAATGGCTTTCTAGTTCTCTGAACTCAATTATTCTAACCCTTAGAAAGATCTGATGACGAAGTAATGAAGACAAGGGGGAGACTACAAGAAGCATTCTGTGGAACCTTACTACGCAAAAGGTAAGTGCTTCAACAGACCTTTGTGAAGGAAAGACAGAATATTTATTAATAGTGTTTTCAATTGTGCCGTAATAGGGAAGAATTCTATTTTCCTTTTTTTTTTAAATTGACTCCTATACTTAAAAATGCAGCTTGATTTTTTTCTTGTGTGTTAGTAAAGTTAAACAAACACCTATTTCAGATTTTTTTTTTTTTTTACTTGACTTGCATTGTGTCACATATATCCATGCCAGGTTATAACCTCAAATTCTCAGCCACTGATTGCTTATGAAGAACTGGTTTTAATTTAAAAATTCTTAAGGCAGTAGGAATTTGAGACTGAGAAGGAAGCCTTTTAATTCTTTCATTCTCTTTCTTCTTTATCGTGCCTCATACCTTGTTACAGTTTCTAAGGTTTCAATTAAACATTTCATTTGATATGAACTACTGTGTCACCAAGACAGAATCTTTGCTCATTCACATAACACTTCTTCAAGGAAAGCAGGATACAAATGCCAAGAATTCTCAAATAAAACTACAACCGCCACATATCAAATAGGCCTATACAGAATACCATGCAACATGGCTTCTTTTCTTTTTGGTTGTTGTTTTTACAAGCTTTCAAGGGTGCAAAAAAATTACACAAAGCCATTTCATTATCAAGCATGCTGAAATTTCACAACCACAAGGAAGGAGTTTCTACAACCACAAGGAAGGAGTTTCTAATAGTAGAGCAATGCCACATAATGATCCAGCTACAGGATACCTTTATAATCAAACGCCGGCGAATAACTCGGGTAGTGACTCTCCGCTCTTCCTCTGAGCTTGAATCACTCTCACTGTCTTTCAAGTCCTGACAAATGCATTTTTAGTATAATTTTACCATCACACTTAAAATAAAAGACATTCTGAGAAGGGAAATCAAGAAAGAATTACACTTACTTGATGTTTTCTTCTTTTTTTTTTTTTTTTTTTGCCGACTAAAGAAAACCATGATGTATATTTGTGAGAGTCTTAAAAAAAATTTAAGTGGAAGAAAATTTTTGACCAGGATTCTAAGTGAAATTACTCTGTGCATGTGTGTGTGTGTGTGTGTGTACAGGTAAAGATCAAGGTAGTTATAAGTTATTAAAAAATAATTATGGAGACTTTTTGGCAGCAGAAACTACAATTAAATCATTCATATTCCTTTTAAAACTAGTTTAAAATCTATATTCATCTACCATGAAGGTGTATACCCTTGTAAATTGGGCCATATTTCATTTGATCTACAGAAAGAGGCATAATATTTTGGACTTCTATGAAATTTTGGTCAAATTTGACAACCTTATTAAAAGCTATTTTGAACTTTATTAAAAAGTAAAGAATCTAGCTGGGCACGGTGGCTCACACCTGTAATCCCAGCACTTTGGGAGGCCAAGGCGGGTGGATCACTTGAGGTCAGGAGTTCGAGACCAGCCTGACCAACACGGTGAAACCCTGTCTCTACTAAAATACAAAAAATAGCTCCTTAGGAGGCTGAGGCAGGAGAATTGCTTGAACCTGGGAGGCAGAGGTTGCAGTGAGCTGAAATCGCGCCACTGCACTCCAGCCTGGGCAATAGGGCAAGACTCCGTCTCAACAACAACAACAACAACAAGTAAAGAATTTATATTAGCATATTTTGGCACATATATTTATATTCAAGAGATTAATATCAGCATAATTTGTACCTAACACATAACTGGTACTGAGAAAGAATTTAATGAAGGAATAAATGTATGAAAGCTTGAAATCTTTTTTTAAAGAACTGATAATGAAATTAGAATATAAAATAGAATACCTTTCACAGACAAGAATATAGTTGCTGCACAAAATATTAATTTTTAGGCAATAAAGGTGGGAATCTGGAAAAACTACCAAGGGGCAAATAGTTCATAATTTGAAGGGGAAAATATCTTTAGCTTTCACTTAGATGCCATGGGGAAGAGTATTTACTGAGTGGTTAAATTTCTAAATTTTAATGGTGGAACTATGAAAATAATTCTGGTACTTTATCTTTGAAGTTAATTCATTACCTCAAATCTAATAGTCCCAGAGACAGAATTTAGTTAACATCCGCTGGAAAAATGAATTCCAGTATTTGTTTAAAAAAAAAAATAAAACTGCTATAGGAGGTACAGGTGTTAGATAAAATGCTTTATGAAATGTTAGTTGTATAGATAATAAACTAGGCCATCTTTTTCATCAACAGTAAACTTGACAAGTATTTTAAAATGTTAAACAGTACTATCAGCCTTGACTTTACAGGAAATTTCACCTCAACAAACCACCCCACTGAATAATATGGTTTTAAAAGAAAATCATAGCCACTATCCTTACAAGGAGTAAGAACTTGAACTAAGTTTGCTATTATTATTTTAAATTTTTCAGTAAAGGACAGTAAATTTAGGAGACTTAGAATGATTTAAGTATTGTGGAAGGAAGCTTTGCAAAGGCTCAAGAAGTCAGAAAGAGGTAAAAGGAATCTGTGTTGACGAAAGAAAAGAATTATTAGCATTCCAGGATTAATGGGTTGGATGAGGCAAAAGGGAAAACTGAATCTGAATTATCTGTACATGGAATCATAAGTTGAGGAAAGGTTTTCACTTGGGTGAATTCAAAAGTAGAAGAGCATCTATGTTAAAGCAAACACAAACAACAAACCTAGAGGTGATTATAGCATAATCCTACAAAAAAATCATGTGAGGCCAACCCCTTACATAAAGAAAAAGTGGCCATTTGGTCATTGTTTCAGTTTCCACTTTTTCCCTGGAATCTCTGCTAACCTTAAAGTGAAAATGGAGGAAGAATCTCAGGCTCAGGATTCCTTTTAGTGAATTATCTAGGAATTGGTAAAGGGGAAAACAAGGAAACCAAATGGAATTTTCTCAGTACTCTTTGCCATGGGTTGCTGCATGGAAACAGGTGGAAAATAGCAGAATTTTACCTTATAACAGCAGGCAGTCATCCGTGTAGGAGCCGCACCCGGACTTTTGACCTGATTTTTTAGGGGATAAAAAGGGGGCTGTTTTCTGAGATCATACATCAGATGACCTAGTTGGTTGCTATTATACTATGGTATAGCCACAAACGATACATCCTAAACATCTTTGGTTTTCTTGTGAGGTCAGGTTCATGTCTCCTAGAAGCTTTAACTCCATTATGGATTTTTTAGGTCATGAAGTCTTTCTGCATTATAATAGGACTCGAAACCAATATCAGAGGCACAAACTCATTTACAAGAAATCCTGAAAATGTTTTCTAATGGTAAATTATTTTCCATTACTGACAAACTCAGCTAAGTTTCCACTCAAGGTTTAAAACTAAATTTTCAACCGTCTTTATGCCAATGGCCAATATGATTTTCCAGTGGCCCATACATATGCACATGTACACACACAGCGGTGTTTATATGTGTTTGTATAGAAATTTGCCTTTAGAACTTTAACAGGCTTTTGCAGAATAAATATTCACAGGAAAAATACCACTATGTTATTGCTTCTCTCTATATTTTGTGGGATCATTTTAAAAGGAAACTTATCCAAAACTCACACCACTTAAATATACTAAAAGTCAAGTCAAAGACAGAAATCAGTATTCAAAACCACACTTGTCAGGACGGAGTTAAAGAAGGCCTGAAAAAGACTTAAAAGAGCTTAAAACTAAAACAAAACCATTAATAAAAATTTAGTGAAGGCAGTTATTAAATGAGCTGGAGATTATTTTAGGATATCATTTAAGCAACTGATTACCACCACCAAATCTTATATCAAAGCAACTTACTTACAGGGAAAAAAAAATAGATGATCTAGAACTAAACTTCCTCTTACTCTCCCTTCTAACAAGCCTGAAAATAGTCAGATATTGTCTGCAGAAGGGAATAGGAAAGGATGTGATTACTGATAAGCTGAGAATCAGCTCCTGAGCGATTGAGTTTGCTAAAAGTCTTCCTAAACCTCAAATCAATCTTGAACTCATTATTTCAGAAAAGACTTGTTTTTTCCTCCCAAAACACTAAAGTGGGTCTTCAGTGAACTGGATATGTCTCAGCGAAAACTGCAAGTGCTACTATTAATCTCTGTCTATTGCAGAATTGATGAAAAGACATAAAAATTGGGAGAGTAAAAAGCAGTAAAAAATGTAGGAAACAGAGCTGCTTTTTATTTTCTTATATCCACGTATGAGTCATCATTTCAGTTTAAAATACTTTTAATATCTAAAAATAGAGTAAACCTCAAAGAAAAAAATCTATTAGATTGTACCACAAAAGTACAAAGAACAAGCAAATCTATCACAGTGAGGTTTTAAAGTGATTAGAAATACATGTTAAGACAATCATCATCAACTTATATAAATTATAAAAATTATACTTCTAATTTTAAATTTCTAACTAACTGCTGTCAACTCACCTCATTTTAGGCTTGGAATTTCATCTCTTTAATTTTTAAAACACGCTTTCAGACAACAGACCATACAGAACAGAACTTAGATGGGTCAGATGCTATAGACTGTTTATGCCAAGGAGCCAGAAAGGATCAGAATGATTATCCTCCTCCCATAAGGAAGAACACGGAGTGGGAGTTAGGAAACCTAAATCCCAGATAAAATACTGGGTCTTAAACTAGTTACTTAACGTCTCTCTGGTTCTTGTCCCTCCTAAAAATGGCTAAACAGATACTTATTCCCTTTTCCTGCACCATGAATGAAGGTATAACGAAATGGCATACATTTTACTTGGAACTTTTTTTTTTACCTATGTGTTTAACTCAGTACTTTCTTTACCTCCACCATTAGTGCTACAATTTCACACATTTATAATTTAGAAATCGTAAAAAACCTTGGGCCCCCGGCTGCAAGATCAATCCAAAGAAGTAAAGCACCGATACTTTCCATTTCAATGACTGCTACCGGATGACCAGATGACGTACCTTTTGCTCAGACCCACTGGACCCCTCTTCTTCATGGAGGCTAAGCCTTGGCTTGCCATCTGCTGGAGAAGTCCTACTCATCTTTTTCATACTGACAGGCACACAGGGTTTAGTCTCTTCTATTATAAGCTTGCTGGTTTCTTCTAGAGATTTCTGATATGCTGCTAGTGGTGATGCTGGTTCTTCAACATGACCAGATCCATGTATTTTTGGTTTCAGAGTTTCCTTGGTACTCTGTTTTCCTACATCATTTTGGGATTCTGGAAAGTAAGATTTTGTCTTTGCTTCTGGAGTGATTTCTGTATGGCTTCCATTTGCTTCAAATTTGCCAGCTTCTCCTTTGAGATATGAGGTAATGGAATCTCTACACTGGTCAGGGCTGCAACAGAAAATTTGCAAATTCACAATGGCAAACTATGACTGAATATAGGTTGCAGAAACTCTAAAGTTTTAAGAACTGTGTCTTTTGCCTACTTCTGAAGGCATAAAATAGAAAAGTGTGAAAAGTGTGGCCACTGGATTTAAAATGTAGCTGGGCGCAGTGGCTCATGCCTGTAATCCCAGCACCTTGGGAGGCTGAGGCGGGAGATCACCTGAGGTCAGGAGTTCGAGACCAGCCTGGCCAACGTGGCAAAACCCCATCTCTACTAAAAATACTAAAATTAGCCAGGCGTGATGGCACGTGCCTGTAATCCCAGCTACTCAGGAACCTGAGGCAGGAGGATTGCTTGAACCCGGGAGGTGGAGGTTGCAGTGAGCTGAGATTGTGCCACTGTATTTCAGCCTGGGTGACAGAGTGAGACTCTGTCTCAAAATAAATAAATAAAATGTAAAGGGCTCTCATGGGTGCGGTGTCAGGAGGTGCTACACAGCTTCTAGACATCCCCCATATCTCAGTTGCCAAATTGCCTAGCTATGCTCTCGTCTAAATAAACAAACTGCAGTTCTACAGCTACTTGAATTCTATCATCTTGATGAGTGATCCTGAAAGGCTCATGGACATACCTAGAGTTCCAAGCCCACCAATCTTAAAGGAGAAGAGATTTCAGAACGCTTCTCTATCACCAGTAAAAAATAAACTGCTGGCCGGACTCAGTGGTTCTTGCCTATATTCCCAGCATTTTGGGAGGCTGAGGCAGAAGGATCCCTTGAGCCCAGGAATTTGAGTTCGGCCTGGGTGATGTGGTAAAACCATGTCTCTACCAAAAAACTACAAAAATTAGTGGGCACAGTGGTGCATGCCTGTAGTCCCAGCTACTTGGGAGGCTGAGGTGGGAGGATCGCTTGAGCCTGGGAGGCAGAGGTTGCAGTGAGCAAGGATTGAGCTACTGTACAAAAAATTGCGCCCTGTCTCCAAAAAAGAACAAAACAAATTCCTGTGGTCAAGACTGTGGTATTCCCCCAAGTACCCCAAATTCCAATTCTTTGTATATGTTTTCAGTCATGAATCCTGCCGTTACTTTTCCAACTCTAATACCTTTACTTGAATCTCATTTTTCTCTACTCTTGACCTCTGCTAATCTCACTAGTGATTTGAGGGTTGCACACCCTTTTCTACCTACTGAGAGAACTGTTTTTCCCTTAACTATTAAAACTCTTTCCTTTCCAATGCTTTCTTTTAAATTGACTTCTAAGTTTTTTACAAGTTTCAGTATAGACTATTTTTCACTTTTTTTGTAGCTTGCGTATTATTTTGAGCATCTTTGTTTATTACCGCTAGAAGGCAATAACTAGTACAATGCTTTATATGTATAATATATACTTATATATGTGTGTGTATTCCTTTAAATCAGATTCTGATTATCTGAACATACTTATTTTTAAAAGACATCCATAGCACACTCTATTCTTTATGTGTAAGGATAAACAATCCAAGCATACTGTGAAGATCCTGTAACATATAGCTTTATGACTTTGGTTTAATTTTCTATTCCCCAGTCCACATTGCTTGCCGGCGTTCTCCTACCCTGCATATTCTGATAACAGGAGCAAAGTGACTGGCATTTTCCTCCTTCTATGGAACCAGGGGATTCACTAGTGTTTTTTCTATATAATTCACTGGCAGAGCCTATATAAAACAAGGAATTTCAGCGGTTTAATAATGATGAACACCTTTCCTATATCTATTCCCTGATATGTAACTATAAATTGTGTGACTATATCTGAACATAGACATCAAAATTAGTACTGTTTGTCTTCTTTGCAACTGTCTCTTTTGTAGGCTGTAGATAAAGTTCATTCATGCCTGCAATTTTTCAAAAGTAGTTTTGTAAACTCCCTCTTTGGGAATTTTTATTGAGCAAGAAGCTTATTAATGACATAAAAATATAAAATATGGTTATGAAATAAGTTCTCTTGTGTCCAATTTAATCACTAGCTGGCACTGAAGTAAAATATATTTTAGTCTAATGTGTATGTAAATAAAAATAATGCCTAGTGCTACTGAGAAATTACTATTTGTGTCAGTCATTTGGTAGACATGATACATCCTCTCTTTTTCTATCTATAAATCTGTTTAAGGAAGGTAGTAGTATTCTTATATTTAAAGATAATTAGAGTGACATTCTTAGAGCTTAGAGATTCATCCCAAATCACAAACTACATTCCTAATGGTGGTGGGATTTGAAACTATGTCTCAGATTCTAGACTTTCACCTTTCTAGAGCAAGGCCAGTATAAGAATTAACCAAATTCATGACCAGGAAATTATTTTGGGTAAAGACAAATGTGACCAGGAAATTATTTTGGGTAAAGACAAATGTTCATCATGGCAATATTATTTGGTGTAAAAAACTGTGTATCTTTCAAATTATGAAAAATAAGACTCGTGGAAAAATAGAAGGATATGTAAAATCAGTTTTTCCTAGTATGGTAGGAGAATGGATGGCTTTTCTTTTTGCTACTCTGCACTTTTTACATTAAGACATTTAAAAAATCATGCGTAGAAGAAAATCCACCAAAATGTTATTGGTAGATGATGGGGTGTATTGATTTGTTTAATCTGCATTTTAAGTTTTAATAATGAGCATATTTATGTTTGCAGTTAGGAAAAAAACAGTAATGTTTATATTTCTAAATAACATGGACTTTCATTCATTATTCTTCTTATGTTTTTGAGACAGAGTCTCACTCTGTCACCCAGGCTGGAGTGCAGTGGTGTGATCTCAGCTCACTGCAACCTCCACCCTCATGTGTTCAAGCAGTTCTCCTGCCTCAGCCTCCTGAGTAGCTGGGATTACAGGTGCGTGACACCACACCCAGCTGATTTTTGTATTTTTAGTAAAGATGAGGTTTCACCATGTTGGCCAGGCTGGTCTTGAACTCCTGACCTCAGGTGATCCACCCACCTCATTATTTTAAAGGAACAATAATTACTGGCTATATGAAAAGAATCATACAAGTAATAAAGTAGAAAAGAATAGTATTCTAAAGTAAAGACAACGTATAAATCTTGGGCATGTATGTAAATTTTCTTGTATTTTATTTCAACAGTTTTGAGAATTAAATTTAAATTTAAATTCACTTTCCTTTCCAGATTAGCATAATGAACTGGTCTTTAAAGCAGGTTTTATCCCAGAACTAGAATGGTAATTTAGAAGAAGTCACCACTAAAAAGCATGTATTTAAGATAAACTATTAACAAGTAACCTGTGTTCACTTTCCTTTTTTTGAAACAGCCATACCTGTCATCCAGTCGATCTAGTAACCCACCAGTTACTCTTCGAGCTTGAGCGCAGGACTCTAGGTTTCCACTTGATGTCTCATTCTGCCAACCTGTAATTGAAGACATTTCCAGTTCTGCTTGCTGAACACGCTTAAGAATAGCCTGTACTTTTTCTTCTGTCATCTCCTCAGACTCTACTCCTTCTTCAAGTTGAATGTCCTCAAATAGAGATTTGAGTTTCTCTTCCATCATCTCCTCATCAGGACCAGATTTTCCTTTCTCCTGCTGCTCAGAGCTTACTCCTAGTTTTCTAGGCTCTGCTGGTTTAACATCTTTTGGGGACCCAGCCAAATTTCCAAGGTATTGAGGATACTCACTCAGACATACATTCTCCAACTGGCTCTCATCTACATCCACTGCTTCAGGCATTTCTGTTAAAGGCACTGAGTCTTCCAGTTTGCTGTCTTCTAAGGAAGCGTCTTCTGCAGTTACGACTGGAGGTCCATCTGCGGAATGCTCTATGTTCCCCTGGGAAGGCACTAGCCCATCACTCAGTCTACTAGGGGTTCTAAGGGGAGATTCTATGCTAGAGATATCACTAAAATAATCATCTTGCTGGAAAGGGGTAGGTGGTGTGTAGTGCAACCCTGTGGGGGTTTCCAGTTCCACTTGAAGGGAAGGATAACCTATGGAAGACAGTACATTTGGACTGACTGGAATGAATTAGAATACATCAAACAAAAACACATGGAATGACTAAAATTATATCAGGCATGAAAAATGTATGATGAATTACAGATTAATGTCAATAAATTTATCGGTTTAGTTCAATTAAATGTAACACAATGAAATAAAAAGCCTAGTGCAAACTCCAATAAAATAGAATACTAATTAAGATATCAATTGTTTCTGTTTTGGAAATTATGATACAATAAGTAAATATGCACACTAATCCAAAGTATGCAGACTAAATATATAAAGTTTATATATTTAAGTTTATATAAAGACCAATATAAAGTTAGTTGTCATTACATGAGATACTTATTATCTTTCTATATTTAGCATGCGAAGTTCATACTGTGGTGGACTGAATACAGCAAGCCACAAGAAACCAATTTTTATCATTAATTACCTACAACTTTTATATTAATTACCTACAACTTATTTTAAGAACTGTACATATGAGCAAAGCAACCTAGTTCTTCTTTCACATGAAATTATAGCACAGAAAAACGGATTTAATCTTTGGAAAGAAATGATTGTTTGTTAGATTTTAGAGCAGTGGCACTGGGAAAAAAATTTTAAACGATGTTAAGAAAAGGATTGAAAAAACAGACCAAGTTTAAAAGACTCCATGTAGTTTTAGGGTGTTGTACAAAAACAGATATGACCAAGATGAAAGGGTTGTGGAGTACATGAAGGTCTTGGTGAAGTCAGTGGTAGGGTCCACTCAGAACCACGAATCAAATAAACAGAAATGATACACAACAGAGATAGTAGGAAAACCATTCGCAGGGAGCACTCTGAATATTCACGACAATGCTATGAAACATAGAGTTTATTAACCAGCCTACACAAAAGGGGAGGGGGGAACGAATCCCTTGTTTTAAACATTGCTGCATGGACTATGGAAGCATTTTTCTGCCTCAGCAGAGAGAAAAGTCAACAATGGTCTGGTCATGGTGAGGAAAGGAAGTTTCATAAAAGTTCAACGAAGAGGAGAGACAGGAAAAAAGCAACAAACCACAGTTTCTGAATTGTTGGTCTACAAAATAAAAGTCTAATTTTTCCATCAGTCCCAGGTAAATACCAACTTAGCTGCTGTTGTAAACTCAAATTGCTATAGGTAAGTGAACATTTTTCAGTTATGGTCATCTATAAACCAGACTCTTGTTGAAAAGCTGGCTAAGATTAGCTGAGGTTTATAATCTGCCTAAGTGAAATTACTTCATATACATGTTTCTAAATTTCCCTAAGAAATTTTGAAAAAGGAATTTAAAAATATTAAGATACAGCAACAAAAAGCCATTTCATTTTTGACTGTATTTTAAGGATATTCCAATTTTAAAATGTTCAAATTAAATGAAGCTTTCAACACAACTACTTCTGTTGTGTTCTGGTGATCTTTTTTATTAGAGTTACTTAACAACTATTTTTTCCAATAAAGAATATTAGAAGAATGTATAAACTATAACTTATCAATAATTTAAAATTTGATAAGATGATCTATATTTATCTAGTGCAAAAAGCATGTGGTTACTAATATATGGCCTTGCATATAAGACAAGGCCTCAAAGGGAGCGTTTTTCCAAGGTTCTATGGTCTTTATAAACTTAAAAAGAACCGCTTTTTACTTCATTACCCATTGTGTTTGTTACATGTATAACAAGTATGCTTTAAATCTTTTGTTGACTTAAACTTTTTTTTTTTTTAAGAGACAGACAGTGCTTGGCCAGACTTAAACTTTTTAATAAGCAGGAACTTTCTAAGAATTTTAAGATTTTTTCCACAAAATATATGCAGAATTAGAAGTTAATTAGAAGTTTGTGACTCTTGTTAATCTAACTTTGCCAGTTTAAAAATGGAATACTAGAAAAATATCCTTAGTTCTTATTCCTGCCTCCACACCATCATCAAATTTTCTACTCAAAATTCATTATAGAGGCTGGGTGGGGTGGCTCATGCCTGTAATTCCAGCACTTTGGGAGGCAGAGGTGGGTGGATCACTTGAGGTCAAGAGTTCGAGACCAGCCTGGCCAACGTGGTGAAACCCCCATCTTTACTAAAAATACAAAAAATTTGCTGGGCACGGTGGTGCATGCCTGTAATCCCAGCTACTCAGGAGGCTGAGACAGGAGAATGGCTTGAACCCAGGAGGCAGAGGTTGCAGTGAGCCGAGATCGTGCCATTGCACTCCAGCTTAGGCGACAGAGCGAGACTTCGTCTCAAAAACAGAACAAAAATTCATTGTAGGAATAAATTTTCATTTGTGAGCCTAAGACAGGACTATTTTGAAAAACATAGGAAGATATTTATTATGTTTTTCTTAATATTTCAGTGAAGAAAGCACAATTTACATAATGAGGAAAAAATGACAAGATCATTATATAAATTAAGCTAATGTGAAAGAGGAATTGTTGTTAGTAACATGTATGCCGACTGAATTAGAAATTATGCTGCCTTTGATATACAATAGATCAAGCAGTTTTTCCAAAGAATAAATGGCAGCATATTCATGAAGTTAAAATAACAACGAACGCTAAATAACTAAAGCACATACTTGAATGATACATTAAATTTTTTCAGTGCACATTTAAATACCTGGTGCCACACAGTAAATTGCCATTTTACCTTACAATTTGTATACTATATGCTTACACTTTACTCAATACCTTGCTTATTTGATAAAAATGGCTCATCGTTTGTTTTACCTATATACGAATAAAAGAGGTAACTAGTTTAGGAGGGTTAATATAAAAATTAAAAGTGACAAAAGCAATGCATTCTCTAGATATTTAACTTTTATGAAATATTAGAAATACCAACTCTTTCAGATACCTTAGGCGTTCATACGTCATGATTTATATTGTATATTTATATTGTATATAAACAGAGGTATTTACCAAGTTTGCTCTGATATCAGAGTGTTTATTTGCAGACTCTGGCAGAGAAAATGAGAAACTAAGTCAAGCAAATCACAGTTTAGTTGCTTTTAAGTGACTGCCTTGTCTGACTGCACTTTCAAATTTTATCAAATGATTAAATAAATATGAACACTAAATTCGATTACCATCAACAGGGTCATGGAAAACATTGTTCTCATCTGCAAAACTTCTGGTGCCTGAAATATTTCCATAATCAAATATTGGTCCTTCTAGCAGTGTCACTATATCTATTCGATTAATTTTTGTCAAGACCGAAGTTAAGGCATCAGCTGAAAAGGAGAAAAAAAGGTTGAAAACCCAATTAAATTATGTTCTTTCAGTCAGCACAATATCTACACAAAGGCATGGCTTTTGCAGCCCTGCTGACATTTTAGCTCCTTCTTACTCCATCTCTGCAATCTCCCTATCCAGAGGACTCAGAATGCTCGCTGCTACAGGGAAGGTGTCAGAGTCTTAATCATCACTTTGTAAAGCTGTGTTCCACTGGAACAGTGCGGATGGGCCTTAAAATAACTAGATTCCTGTTGGCTATAAGGGGATCTAATAAAACTAAAGTTTCCTTTCCTCTTAGAATGTCAAAATAGGTCACCCTCATATTTGGTACTTAGCATTTTAATGACTTTCTAGGGTCAAGTTGACACAGGCAAACCCATAATAATTTATTCCACATTGTTGTGGGTTGGCACTTGCCAAAATATAGGACTACCACCCAATCCCACCAGCCAACAAAACCAAACCCAACAACAGTAGAGCCAACCAAGCTGAATAAAACTATTTGCTCCCCTAATATGATCCTGTCTTCCCTCTCTGCACATCCACCTCCAGCCATAGTGGTAACTTCGGAGTGTTTCTGATGACTGTGTCCCATGATTTAACAACTAAAATTATGTTTTCAGTTTTTATGGTCACAGAGAGAATGTCAGGCCAGATGCGAAAAATTCCCTGCTACTTGCTTTCCAAAAAGCTTCTGAAGAATAGAAGTTTAGACTGTTAACACTAAATTAAACAAGTATAACTTCAAAAGACTTGCTATTACCTCATGATCACTTAGTTTTCTATATTAAAGATTACAGAAAATTACAACACTACTTGGATGAACCTAACAGTTGGCTTATCTAAAATATTACATTTATGCAGTTTTGAAAGTTAAAATAATATAATTTCGGCATACTTGTGGCATTTTTTCCGTCTCTGGTAACCCATTTTTTTAATAACATGAAGCTCTGAGAAATTAAAGAATTTGGATTTTCCACACGTATTTGATTGATTTCATCCACTGAAAAATTCAGTTCCCTTGCCAGTTCTGTAGAAAAGAAAGAGAGTTACTAAGATTGCATATTCTACTTTTATCACACGTTTCATAAAAGTAATGCTCAATTGCCACAAAAAGAAAAGGGAATTTTATAGTCAAGCTCAAGTACAGCCTCAGGAATTAATTTTTATATACTTGGCTTCATAGCAAAGTAGTGACCATACACAGGCTGTGACTTAACTCTCCTTAGGTAATGACTTACAATCAGATTTTTTTTAGAGACCATCTTATAAAGATTTTTAGACTTAGGCTGGGCACAGTGGCCCATACCTATAATCCCAGCACTTCAGGAGGCTGAGGCAGGTGGATTGCTTGCACCCAGGATTTGAGACCAGCCTGGGCAACATGGCAAAACCCCGGTCTCCATACACACAGCAACAACAACAACAACAACAACAACAACAACAACAACACAAAAATTATCCAGGTGTGGTGGCACATGCCTGTGGTCCCAGCTACTCAGGAGGCTGAGTTGGATCACTTGAGCCCAGGAGGCAGGGGGTGCAGTGAGCTGAGATTGTGCCACTGCACTTCAGCCTGGGCAATAGAGCGAGACCCTATCTCAAAAAATAAAACAAGATTTTTGGAGTTTGCAAAGAGGATGTTGGATGATTGTTTTAATTCAGCCAAATTCTCTATAATTTGAGCAAATTACAAGATACGTAGAGGTATACAATTCATGTATATGGCACAAGAGATGCTGATAGGGTTTGTGCTAAGCAATCTTCATGAAGGTATCTTTTACTCACATAATATGCCACCCTCTATGCCTTCAAGTTTCATAAACTCCACACAGGAGGTTATATGATGACTCCAGGCCAGATCATCTTATATGATATGAAGCTACTTGAGTAAAAAATAAAAGGGAGACAGCTTTCTGTCCATCTACTCGTATACACTCAGATATACTCATATTCAATCTTGTAAATTGCAGAGTGTCTTTGGAAAGATACATATGATCTCACTATTAGTGGCTGCCTTGGAAGAGGGAAACTTAGGAGTCAGAGAAGGGAAGGAGACTTAGTTCCCACTGTATTTTTTTATATTAAAACAATTTATCAAGTGTGTATTACCTTAAATGATAACAAAAAGTAAGAAATGGGCAAAAATGATCCCATGGAAAAGGAATTGGTCAAGACTCTATCCCCCTTACAAAATACTTCCAGCAATTTTGCAAAATGCATTCAGAGGCTCAAAAAAGTCCATTATCTTTTGACCAAGTGATTCACATTTAGAAATTTACCCTGACAATATATGAGTTATATACAATGATTTATATACATGAATGTTCATTGAAAACAATCTGCATGTTGAACAAAAGGATAAGAGTTAATTTAAGGCAGTGGCTTGCAAACAACTGTTGTGATCATGGCCTACAGTTAGAAATACATTATATATCATGGTGTTTACATAAATAAAATCAGATCTCCCCGGAACAGAATTTAGCCTTAATACACTTAAACACAGTCATTTTCTTTTATATAATATTCCATTTAAAAACAAAAACAAAGTATGAACTGATTTCACATCTCATTGAAGCATTGTGAACCACAGTTAGAAAACCACCATCATAAGGTACATCTATTGGATATTTTTTTATGCATTAAAACCAAGATCAGAAAATATTTAATTTTGTAGAATGACACAGTTACAAATAAGCAGATTACATTGTATGTATAACATTATAAAACGTTCTTGTTTTAAAAAAAGCACATAAGATGTTAATAGTGGTTTCGAGGGACAGATATAAATTTTGTTCTCTTAAATGCTTAATATTCTTAATAATTATCATTGAGCATACAGTAATTCTAGTTAGAGAAGTTAATTATTTTAAGTTCTTCATCTCTGTGTCTTAAGAGACAATACTCCTACTGCCCAATAAGCCTTCATGACAAAACTGTATCCATTGTCTAGAGACTTAATAAAGAGCAAAGACACTGACACTAGGAATTTTAGGTTTATGGCTTTTCGTCTGGCTATTAAGCCACATCTCCAAAAATTTACTCTGACTGTATTTGCTTAAGGAAAATAATCTAACAGTTCTAGGCATATAATAATGCAAAACAAACATTTGCTCCAGTATATTTTCAGATTACAATGTCCAATGTTAAAATATAAAGTTGATATTAGTAAATATGTATACATAATAAATTACTGTTAACTCTCAACTGCCTACAAAACATTATTCAGACCACCTATCTATCTTTTCAGAACTCCACTCAGCTCCCAACCATTAGCAGTATACCTGAGAGCAGAGACTAGGTTGATGAAGAGAGGAGGGTTTGAAATGGGGTAGTGGTGGTGGGGGTGGACGGGGACTGAGGGCATTCAAAGGAAAAAAAAAATTAGATGAAACTGCTTCCTATTATCTAGTTTCATATTCTCCCATTAAATAGAGATAACTGTATGGAATGTATGTTGCTAATGGTATGCAGGATGAATTTAGATGTGATGATAATGAATATTTATTATTTGGCCATGCATTAAAAAATACACTTAACCTATAAAACTTAAAATTTCTCAGATTCATGTGAGGTAGGATTTTAAGGGTCCTGTTAAGCTCAAAATTACAATGCAGAATTGTCCAATTTGTCCAATTGATATGAAATCTCATCATCTTTTATTTTATTTTGTTTTATTGAGATGGAGTCTCACGCTATTACCCAGACTGGAGTGCAGTGGTGCAATCTCAGCTCACTGCAGCCTCTGCCTCCCGGGTTCAAGCGATTCTCCTGTCTCAGCCTCCCAAGTAGCCAGGACGACAGGCATGCACCACCACACCTGGCTAATTTTTGTATTTTTAGTAGAGACAGGGTTTCACCATGTTGGGTAGGCTAGTCCTGACATTAAGTGATCTACCTGCCTTGGCCTCCCCACAGTACTGGGATTACAGGCATGAATTTTATAGAATTCAACTTTTGTGAATTAAATATATTTATTTACATGTTTATCATATTTTAAAAATCACATTTAAAAATTTTTAATTCAAAATTTAAACTTACTGTCATTGTTTTCTTGTTTACATAGATAATGCAAATAATCCTTTCCCATTATCGAAGTGATATAAGATTTTTCTTTTAAATAAATATTTGGGCAGAAAAGTGAGTTTACTTAAAGAAGAGTATCAGATAAATAAACATAGAGTTTTATGTGTATATCGTACAAAATGTGAAGAGAAGTTCACAGTGAATGACTAAAATTTGTGCAGCCTAGGCGTGGGTTAATTGAACTGTTGCCTAGAAAACTGCCCTAAGGACATAAACCATGTGAAAGAATTTTGATTAATTAAGTCATAGGCCTTAGCTGTGTTTTCTTTTGTGCTACAAGATAAATTTGCTATTCAGTAGAAGGTTAACCTATATTACAGAAGTGACATTGTGAAGAAAATGCTTAAATTTAAGGTAAAATAAATTTAAATTTCTATTTCTTAGTGCATATGCATAGAAAAGGCTTTGGAAAAACACAGTATACAAGGTACAATCAGTATTTATCTCTGGGTAGATAAAATTATTGGTGATAAAAATGTTTTTTACTAGCTGCTTGTTTCTATTTTTAAAATATATATATTGAACTGCTTGTGAGTAAGACAAAGAAATGAAGAAACTAATTTGTTCCATTCAGGAGTGTATGCACTTACCTGTCCAACTAAGTCCCAGGTGATCGGCTACTATTGCCATCCTGATATCTGTCCGTTCACATGGACTCTGTGGACCTACGATTTACAATTTCTTAATTAAAATAATCATCAAGAAAGATACGATACTGGAAAATTGCTTTTAGCAGTACGCAGATTTTACAGAGAGACTAATGCTAACACTGTACACTGAAATGTGTCCTAGTCACCTACATGAACACTTCTTTGCACATGGCTCACTTGTTTTTCACCTGCATCAGGCCAAATGTCAGACTACATGGATGCTCAATGTAATGGGATTGAACATGCTGACGAGCTAGCTAGTTTAAACAGTTACAGAAGTGTCGTGTTGGTGAAAACACCATGATGGGATTTCAACATCTGTGCTTTTACTTTGACAGAATCATATCCATTAGCACATTAAAAAAGAAAAAAGAAGGTTGTTCATCTTGAATGACACCAATATCTTCAGCATGCTTCCCTAGCTGTCTACCGTGTAGTTTGATCAAAAGGCAGAAAGAAGAGTATATACGACAGCACATACAGATGACAATGACATAATGAGAAACTACGGTTAAGTCACTCCACAGGCAATCACAACAGTTCATGCACTAGGGTCTACGAGTTGGAAAGTGTTTACAAACTATGCTCGTTCTCCAGGATGTGAGCAGAGTGCTCGAGAGACCTGACTGCCTTCATTCTCACCAGTCCTTCTACTGCTCCTTTTCTCACTGCCGGCCTTTTCACTCTTTGATTTTAAAGGTGCTGCCTCTGTTTTCTTATCTCTAGCAGACTTCGTTGTAACCGAAGGCTGGCCACCCCGGGAAGTCTCGGACAACGACGTGTTTCTTGAGGTACTTTCTTCCTCATCGGACAACTCGGACTGCATCTTTTTTTCTTCTTCAGAGAGGCGGTCCACAAGCTTTAAGGTCTCACCACTAATTCCCTTAAAATATTCAATGGAATGTTTACATACTTCCTTGAGCTGACTTTTCCTAACTTTAACTGTGCAGCTGGTGGTGGTGGTAGTGGTGGTAGTGGTGGTGGTGGTGGCAGTGGTGGTGGTGGTAGTGACACAGGTGGATCTTACCTTTACTGGCAACTTGGATGGAAGCTGTTTGGCCTTGCCTTTCTCTGGCTGCCCTTGCTTTTGTGTGGCACATGCTTTTCTAACTGCAATTATGTTATCCCTGTGTGTGTTTTTCACTGGAATTCTGGACTTTACATCTACACATGAAGAAGTAGTAAGGGCTTTGGTTTTCTCGGATTGACTAACCTGCTTCATTTTACTTGCTTTAGTGTTTGACATATGGTTCGGTGGGAAGGTATCTTTTGGTGAAGTGGCCTTTATGGGAAGTTTGGATTTTTGCCTAATCCCTATCAATTCCTTTGTTTTTTGCTGTTCTCCAAGAACTTTCTGCTTATCTCTTACACAGTGTCCTTGTAGTACCCCTGTCTTTTTTCCTGATGAGACTTTCACTGGGTTATCTTTCTCTGTGGTACAAGTGGGTGCAGAATGTTCTGTCAGAACTATATTACTCATAATGTTATCTGTCTGTATAGTGGAAGAATCCAAATTGTTGTTGTTATTAAAGTTATCTTTTTGAAAATCATGTTTTTCATGGGGCCTAACGCCCATCTGGCTATTGGCTGTATTTGAAATCATTGTTATAGTTTCATTTTCTAATCCCTGACAACTGGTCATCACCGCTTCTATCTTATCTGTTATTTCTCCAGGGCCTTCTTTCTTCATGGTCATGGTGGATGCAGAAATTCCCATTTTTATAGGCGTGCGCAACTTGGGGTCAACTTTAGAGGTGTTAGTGGCTGCTGCTGATTTCTCCAGGGAGCCACTACTGGATGTGCCTTCCTGACACTCTCCGCTGGTCGGGATGCTGGGGTTAGGTTCCACTGTAGGTGTCTCTACATTTCTCTCTAGATTGGTTTCTACAGTGGTGTCCCCTGACTGTGGCTGTGGTGTGGCAGTGACCATACTTTTATCCCCTTCCCCCTGGTCCCCTGACTTCCCTTCAGAAGTATGCTCACCAATCTGGAAAAATTGGAGCCTCTCTTCAACAAAATCCCTCTTGCTCATGTCAATTGCACCACTGCGAGTCATCTCAAACATTTTTCCTTCATGAAATGGGAAGGGGTTAGGCTCACTAGTTGGGGTACTTTCATCAGTTGGCGTTCTGGCTGGCGTTGTATCAGGGGTTGTTGCTGGAGAGCGGTCTTCTACCGCCAGCCCAAATGGCTTAGTTTCATCTTCCCGTGATTTACTGTCAAAAACTTCATCATCCCCTCGGTTATTAGACCAAGGGTCAAAATCTAGACCTTTGGTAGCTACTGTTTTAAAAGGAGTGGCAAATTCTTCATCTACTTTGTAACTGAAGTAAGTATCAGGAAACACTGATCTGTCAGGATGTCTGCCTTCCAGTGTGAAGAACTGGGCCCCTGACTTCTGATCAGTCTTATCAGGAGTCTTTTCAGATGAAGAACTTTTAGAAGGTGGCTTGTCCTCATCTGGTCCCACCTTTCCCTCCTCCTCGATAACTTCAAGTTTACTTTGGCTAAAAGAGCGGTCAGCTGGCTTCAGAATGCCCTCTGTGTTCCAGATATCTTTCTTAATTTCCATGGCTTGAATTGGGAGTTTAGAATCACTCTCTGTCAAGCCATCATCTTCATCTTGCAGGTCATAGCCATCCAGAGAGTCGATCTCTGTGGCATCCGTGTCATGAGAAAACTCTGCTGTGGTGGCAATGGAACACTCTGTGATGGACTGGTCGTTGTTCCCATTCTGGGCAATTTCATTCTGAGGTGAATCAAGGCCAAGGCCAAATTCATTATCTTTTCCAGATCCATTACTTTCCAGTTCTTTCTGGTTGGAAGCCTTTTCAGCAGAAGCTTTGGGTTTTTCTTTTTGTTCATCGTCCACTTCCTTTAATTTGAAGGTATATTTTTTAACTGGGACTGGCTGATAAATAGATTCGTCATCGCTTGAATCACTGACGTCTGCCCCGGGAGGAACTGGTGAAGGTGGCTGCACTCTAATGACAGGTTCAGCCAGCTGGTACTTGTCATGCTCATCTTGCAGATTGACTTCAATCATGTCAACCTCTTTTTCTGGGAGATAATGATGCTTCTTATCTGACTCAATCTGGTCCGCATCCAGTGGTGGAGGAGGGGGAAATTCAATATAGGCAACTCTGTTATTTTTGGGTCTTTGGTTAGAGTCTTTGCTCACGTCATTAGGCATTTCACGCTCAACTGCTGTTTCCTCCACTGTAGTCTGCTTAAGGGAGGTTGACTTGGCCTGTTCCTCCTCCTCTGACTCCTCAGAAACCTCGGGAATTGGGCTGGGTTTGCCTGGTATATAAGCTATGAGCGAGTCAGGTGTCTTAGATGTAAATTCATAACTCACTTCCTCTGAACTGGGTGTTTCTGGGGTTAAAGGGCTTTTCCCAGAGCTGTCTAGAAAGGATACTTGCTCTAGAGTATCATCTTCTGGACTACCTTGGGGAGAAGGAGGTTGCTTTTGCTGTCTAGTTGTATAAAAGGTCCCCCTGGTTTCTTGTACTGTCTTACATTCCTGACTTATGATTTTTTTTACACCTCCTTGTTGTATCTCCTTTTCATATTGCTTCCCCACTTGTACAAAACTGACATAAACGGGTAAAGTTTTTATCTCTTTCCCTCCCTCTGTCTGGGCTAGTGGTGCGAGTTTTTCCAATCCATCAATGGGACTGTGGTCGAATACATCACTAGAGGGAGATTCCTTTCCTGGGCTAAACTCTAAAGAATCAGGAGATTTGGTGGGGGAGGTTTCGGTTTCCTCGAGAGGTGGGCATAAACCTACATAACTCTGGTGTTTGGAAACTTTGCTGATTTCTGAATAGGTAACTTTTTCATCTTCTATAGAATTAAAGTGCTGTGTCTCAACTGTCTCTTTACTCATGCTTGACTGGGACAATTTTTGTGATAGTTCATGTTTTGGAAATGCCGACTGTTCACAAAAACCATCGGGAATATTAGAAGACAGCATTCTCCTCTCATCAGCAACTCTGACGGGAATGTGTGACACTGCTGAGCTCTCGCTCCTCCTGGAAGGCTGATCAAGCAATCCGCCTGGATGGTCCCCTTCTTTCACAACATATTCCCTATATAAGACTTTTTTGGAGGGAGATTTTACAGTCATTTCTTTAATTTCTGAGAGAGAGCCGTTTGTTAACAATTTGCGTTCTCTCTCAGTCACAGACATAAATTCATTCTTTTGATCAACACTTTTACTCTCAGGGTGACCAATGTGATTCTCTCTTACATCATGAACAAGTACATGCGAAAGTTTTTCTTTCTGAGACTTATTGTTAGTGGCTCCCGAACTCTCCCATGTTCTAAAGACCTTTTTGTCCCATGGTCCCCTAGTTGCTAAATCTGAGGTTATATGACATGCCAAGTCTTTAGCCTGCTGCTCAGAAAAAGAGTCAGGCATTGCTTTACTTGACATTTCAGTTCTCTGTTTTTTCACATTATCAGAGCCAGAATCATTTACAACAATTTCGTTGCTTTGGGCATGCTCATCTTTGGTTTTTAATACCATAAAATCTTTTTGCACAGATACACTTTCATCTGGGAGGTCTATGGCCTTCTGCTGTTTTTCTCTAGCAAAAACTTGGTAGACGGGTAGCTTGCTCTCCTGTATTTTTTTAACTGGGATTCTGGACTGGCCATCTGACTTTCTGTCTTCTTGAGACATGTCCTTACTTTTTGCGTGTGTGCCTTGTTCAAATTTTAATCTAATGGAACTGAGTTTAGATTGTTTGAGCTGGAATCCAGACTGGGGCCCATCTGGTGCTTTGCTCTGTGAAATACTTCCTTTGGCTTCCACTGTGGACTTGCTGTCCTCAGTCTGTTGGGAGAGAACCATCTTCTCTGGGCTGCTGGGCAGACTGGGTGCCTTCTCCTCGGCCTTGGGGAAGCCTTGTCCATCAGGGCCATGCTGTCTTGCCTTAACCCACTCATCATTGGATGCCAGCAGTTCTGTCAGTAGCACTTTCTCAGGGCTGCTACTGGTAGGGCTTTGAGAAGAATATTCTTTGCCATTTTTAGGGCGTGCCTTTTTCTCTGGGGACTGCAGTTCATCATTTAGCTTTTCAGTTTTGTCACGAAAAAACTGTGACACTTCAGTCAGTTTTTCTTCAGCCTCCTTCACAGTCCTGTCCACCCTATCTTCATATATCAACTTCTCTCTACCTCTGTCTAATCTGTCCTCAGTAAAGCGCATCCACATGGCATGTTTTGGACTACTAACATTGCCAGAATAGTGCAACACTGTCACTTTATCAAAATGCTCATCTTTAGACACTTTACCTACACCATTTTCAGAAACATCTTTATAGATTTTGGAGAGAATTTCTTTTTTGGGGGCAGTGGCTATTTTTTCTCTGGACCGCTTATCAGACCCCTGTAACTCTGAGCTAGGGGGTCCTGCATGGTCTGTAACCGATTCCTCAGTATCAGAATGAGACACATCTAGCTTTTCTGACAGAAGCATTTTCTCAGCAAACCTGTAAGACTCCCCTCTTAGTTCTGACAACTCATCGTCATGGTATTCTATTGAGTGTTGACTCAAAAGCTTCAATGTTTTATAAGAGTCATCAGATATGAGTTGAGCAGAACTAGGGCGGCTATCTTCTTCTTGGGACACAGGAGTGTTTACTCTGGAAGACTCCAGATAAGAAGGCAATGACTCTTCAGCAGTAAGTTCTTCTTCTTCTTGCTGACCCTGTTCCTCTGAACAAGGAAAAGCATCGTGTTTTTCTGGCAGAAAATCTTTTAGGTTAATATCTCCCCGGGATAAGTCTTTCTGATATACATACATTTCTTTTTCTGGATGCTTTTTGGTTTCTCTAATAATGACTTCAGTGGGCTCAGCTTGGTTACCTTTTTCGATGTGGACTTCTATTATACGCTCCAGTTTGGGTTTCATTTGGTTGTCCTTCTCTGCATGCTGGGCTGAGGTTTCAGCAGCAGACTTGTGAACATCTGGAGACACTGCCGACTTATGTTCAAACAGACCTGCCAGTTCTTTGGAAGGATCCCGCCCGGACTGAAAGGCCTTCATGATGTCATGGACTGACATGGTTTCTTCAATTCTTTCAGATGCACCTTCACCGCCTGGTGGAGAATGATAAACCATTCTGGTGGTTGTGGTTATGTGAGTCTCTTCTTTAACACGCATGCCTTTGCTTAAAACCCGATTGTGGTCATCTTCTTCACTACTGGCTTTCATTTGAAATGCTTTAACCTTTTCTTTAATACTAGAGGTGGTGGGCTTTGGTTCCAATTCCATAAAAGTAGGTGAAGGTTTAGGTGACACAGGCTCCTCTGGTTGGGTCTGGGGAACATCCCCAGCTGAGGGATCATAGCTCCTGATAACATGAACCACTTCAGTTCTTGTTTCTGTAATGACAGGAGGGATGGGAACTTCATGAAAAAGTGGTTTAGGACCAGTGCTTTCAGCGCTTTGTGGGGCTGAAGGTGTCTTTTCACTTCTTGTTTCAAAGCCACTGTCAGACAAGGGACTTTTATCTTGGTCGTGTTGAGAAAAGTCATCAGGAGACTCTAAAATAGTATCTGTTCCAAAAAAGGAATCAGCCATTTTACACAATTCTTTCTCAGAGGTGGAAGTCCTCATGGAGGCTGGAGGCATTTTGAGTTTGTGTTCCTGCAAAGCAATTGCTGGTTTTAAAACTCTTTTCTGTCTCTCCTCACCATCCTTCTTTGCATCCTCAAACTTGTATTTTAAGTTTGTCAGTGAACTACTCCCAATATCATTTGTTAGGTAATCAATAACTTTGGTCAAGTTATAATCCTTTTCGGAGGCGGCTTTTGCTTTTACTTGCACTCTCTCTGGCAGAGATGGAGACTGGCTCGCAGCAGCTTGTTGTCTGGCTTCCCGGATTTCTTCCGAACTAAATTCTATCCAGTCATCTTCAGGAGAGTGTCCTTTGTCACTCTTTGGTGATTTGGGTGATCCTTTATTATCTACACATACATCCTTTTTAAGGATTTCACTAACTTTCACTAAGTCTTCCTTTACTTTCTCTACAATTTTGAAAGGTTCTTCATCATCTATTCTCCCTTCCTTTGGGAGTTCAGGTTGGAATGGCTTCTCCTCAGGCACATCTGTCTGTAGTATTGCGGTCATCCGCATTAGGTCCTCTTTCATTTCAGCTACATCTTTTAGTATCTCCTGACTGGAAGATAAAGAAGATGGTGTAGACAACTTAAGGGCAGAGGGTGCAAGGAACAAAGATGACTTAACTGGAGATGAAGTTCGACTGAAGTGAGGCTGAGGATGTGTCTCCGTAGTCAATGTTTTAATGGGTGACAGCAAGGCTGCTGCTGATTTTGTAAATGAATTAGAGTCTGGAAGTTTCTTTAATGCTGGTTCTGGCAAAACATTGACTACAGAGTATACTGGCACTGTTATAATTGATGAAGTTACAGATGAGGTAGTTGCAGATATTGACGACCCAAGGGATGTATAGAGTGCACTTGCGGAAGGAGTTCTTAGAGACTGAAAAGCTGATGGTGCTGCAGAAACATATGACCTGAGTGGGGAAAATGGCATTGCAGTCGTGGTAGAAAACACTTTCTCAACTGTGTCAGTGGCTGCACTGACCACAGAGCTCACAGAGTTTGTAGCAGAAGAAATTTTTTCCTGTAACGTGGCAGTGGCTTTGCATCCATTAATTAAAGTTGAGGATGATGGATATTTTAGAGGGGAAATAGATCCATTGACTAATGCTACCTCTGCATGTCCAGGCATCTGCTTCACAGGTGATGAGAGAGAAGATGCCATTGTAATTTTGGCTGATGAAATGACATCAACTGCTGATTTAACTGGAGACACCACTGACTTTAAAGGTGAAGATATTAGCGGTGCTGCTGATGTAATAATTGACTTAAATGGCAAACTTGAGGAATACATATTAATGTTTGATTTGGGGGAGGCAGGGGGTGTCATAGTAATTGATGACCTCTCCAAAAGAGACCCTGCTGTAGTCACTGGAGAGGTTCGAGAGGAAAACGTAGAATTGGATGCCAGCCCTTTTAAGGGCGTAGCTTCCGTGACTGCTGGAGCTCTAGCCAGGGTACCAGAGGAAACTTGGATATTGTATGGAGATTGTGACACCACAGTTTTTATCGGCGAAGACATTGTCCGAAAGGATCTAATTGGAGATGCCACGTCACTAATGGATTTAACTGAAGATGTAGTTGACGCGCCTAATGTGGATTTGATTGGAGAAGGTGTCGAAACAGACCATATTGATTTTAACGGAGAAGCTGATGGCGTATTAGAGGAAGAACTTGATAAGGAAGTGAAGCCTGACTTGGCTGGCCCAGGCACTGTAATCGGAGCTGTTGTCCAGGACTGGTATGGTCTTGTAGAAAAGAATGGCTTGTATGAGTAAGTGGTGGGGAGGGATCTTGTTGCTCCTGTACTCCGTTCAACTGTTTCTTAAATTTTAAAATGAAATCAAACACAAAAATCAACAAAAATGGTTGAGAAACAGAGAGACCAGAGAAAAAAATTGGTCAGTAAACTTTGAAATATTACAAAAGCAAGTACAATTGTTTGCATGATTTAGAATGGAAGAGGCAAAAGGAACAATTAAGAGGAAAAACAAATTTCTACAGACATAACTAATCTGAAGTTAAAAAAAAACAACTAAATAAAAAACAGAGTAATGTGAAATGAAAGAAAAAGCACATTGCAACCAAAGAGGCAAACAATGAAAAATAGAAAACATGAGGAAAGAATTAATGATGAGAAAAATAACCATAATGGAAAACTGTTCCCTACTTCCTATTGACTTTCTTATGTGTTGGTTTTGAAATATCAGTAGCCATTCTATTTTGCCTGTATAGGTACATGTTTGTTTCGTGCAACCATACAACTTTCATTTTAGTAATTTCTAATGTCCTCTCTCTCCTTTAGCCTTTCCATGATACAGATTGCACCTACTTAGAACCATTTCAATATATGTAGCTATACATTAAATATCTAAAACTTTTTTCCAAAACCACTCAAGCCTATTTCATGCAGAATCCAAAATAACTTTTAAGTGACAGGCAACTGATGTGCAAACTGTGAAGCCACTGGATTTTAAATCTGTATCTCCCATGCACAGTTCGGTTATGCTTTACACCCATAAAAAGCCAATAAGAGCAAGAAGTTTTCTGAGTCAGAATTTTAAACAAAAAAAACAAAGAAAAGGAATGTTTGCATTTATCTTTTCCATGCAGTATATTCCTTTTGATGAGAGGAAAAGAAAACATAATATGAAATGACTTTAAAATGCATGTGTACATATACACACACAAAGAAAAAAACAGAAAATATGGTTCATGGTTACCATAAGCAAGCAAAGCAACTGAAAACATTTTATCATGCACAATATATCATGGCAAACAAGCCAATGAAGTAATACAATTCGTATGCCATATTATGCACAATATATAAACTTTAAAGATACTTTCACAAGGGCATTTAGAAAGAAGAGTACACTTTTTCCATGAGATATGAAGTCTTGGTACCTTTTGAGATTTTAGGAAAATATTTTCTACTGCAAGTTATAAAATGACCTGCAACTACATACGTCCATGTCTGCAACTCTTCAATATGGATAAAAGCATATAGTTTATCTCAGATATTTTTTCATAACCTAATCTACATTTAATTTTCAAAAGCTATCATGGGGGACATCTAAAAACTACATTCATATTTTTAACACCCCATATTTAAGTACCTACAGTAGGATATGTGGGGTGTGTGTATATATGTTTATCAATTTCAAAGGTACCAATTCTGGTGCCTTCCCATAATATTCATGGGACTTATGGATATCACAAACACTGAAGCAGTCACGAGGGAGACCTACCACTAGGAAGAATGGATATAGTAATACCAGCATTTCTTCTGGCAATGGAGCAAGAAACACACAAATGAAGTAAGCACACTTGCTGGGGAGCACAAACACATACTTGGTCCTCTCTGCTTCTACAACTCAAACAAACCAAACTGGTCAGAGATTTGCAAGGCCTGCCAACGGCTAATGTTCTACATCAAAGGTGAATACAGTTTTGCTCCAAGAAAGCCCTGGTTCAGAATAGTGAAACTCAAAGAGAAAATGAGAATCTGCTTCAGCTTTTATGTTCTTCTTCATGCTGTGCCCGTGCCATTGCTACAGTCCAGTCTTTGGATTAGCAGCTACTCTCACAAGGGTGAAGATGGTCATTTCTAGTGTACATTTAAATTCAAACATTCCAAACATATCCTTTCCTAGGCTTACATATTATTCTAAAGAAAGTGGAAGAACTAAGGAAAAACTCGCCTATTCATTACCCCTTCTTGCCATAATTCTCAATATTATATTGCTGAACTCTTTTGGAAATGCCACGCTGCAAATGGAAGGTTTGCAGATTCCTTCAAATTCAATGATTTGAGCTTAGTCTGTGTCTCACAAGCATTTATTTTTGTAACTATCAGACACTGACAAAGCATCTATCCTTTACCACTGAAGGCTGGCTCTATCAGGCAAAGAAATCTTTTGAACCACGTCTATGGTTTTATACTTCGCAAGGAACAACCAACCTACCAATCAGTTACACATTTTATGCTTTAATGACATATATTTTGGGATCCCTTTATAAGAGGGAATTTCTGGATGTCAGGCACCGAACTAATCCAGAATCTTTTTCCTGGGGGGAAGGGGTTGGAAAGGCAGCGTGGTGAAGGAAAAGTGGCATTCACTTGGAGTTCCCATAACACCAGTTTTGAGACTTACTTTTCTTTTAGTCACTTCCTATTCCTATTCATTCCCTTGTTTACCACCCTTATGTACCCTTTCATAAAACAGAAAACTTCGCTCCTCTTCTACCAAAAGTCCAGGAACACAAGCTGCATACACCTTAGCTGGATCTAACCAGTAACACTATTATAAGTGGGAAACATTCAATTGACTTTGCCTTAGCAACCAGAATCAGATGGAAACTCACCTGCCTGAAGGGGCCTCCGACCTAAAGCGGCTGGTCCATTGAGCCTGTCCAAAGCTTAACGATGTTGCCTACAGGGTCTCAACCAACTACCCACTGAGGATCTCTAGGGCAAAATAGTATTCCAAAGAAAACTTCCCCAGTGTATTTAATTCTACTGGAAACCACCTAGCTACCTAGCTACACACACACACACACACACACACACACACACACACACACACACACACACACCCCTCTTCTGCTCTGTAGCATAATATGAGTTAATTTCAGCCCTTATGTTTCTGGGAGGATTTCGACATTTCTGCTAGAGGAGAACAGAGATCTGAGGAAACATTCTTGAATGTGGTAGGTTTCTTTCATTTCTCTTATATTCTCCATTTTGTATTTAAATATTGAAACTTCTCTAATAGTCAAGGAGCTAGGCTCCAGAAGATGACGCTAAGACCATCTCAACTAAGTGGTGCAGTAGTGTCCTGCCGCAGATCTTATATGCTATGCTGTTGGCCCATAAAAACAAGACTTCAGAAAAGGTGGGAAAAGCCAAAGATGTGACTCTTACTGGCAAATTTCCAGACCTCCTTGAACTTAAGAAACTGTGTCAGTGGGAAACAGCTAGGAATGATTCACTAATTAAAAAATAATTTTTGTATAATTTCCCCTCATTTAAAATGAGGAGAATGGTTAAAGTGGCACCAATATGTCAGTCAAATACAATGCTGAGCTCAATACCCTTAGTTCCTGCTGGTGGAGGGGGTTATCTTGAGGGCTGTAGAGATCACCAGAGGTGATGATTACAAGGATGATGGAAGGAAAGGGAGGAGGAGGCAGACAGAAAGAGAGAGAGAGAGGGAGAATATATAAACAGATAGGACTGAATGAATCTGTATCTTAATAAGTGCATGCCAGCTAACAATGAACCAAAACGATCATTGAGAAAAGAAAAGGGTCTAACTGGTCTAGTGAAGACCAGCCTTAGAACTGATATTTTAATAAAGGACAGGAGGAGAGGAAGTGAGAGGGAGGGAGGGAGGAAAGAAGAACTCTGTAAACAAGTGCTACCTCAAGAAGGTAAGGAAACGTGATTCTTGCAAAGTGGGAAGAAAAAGAATCGGGACTAGGATATGACAACCTATCTATACTGAGAAAAATGAGATGACAAAGTAACTTTATCATTTTTCTACCATTCCAAATATTTGAGTAATTTTTTTCATCTGAGCATAGATCTAAAGCAACATTCATATTTATCTCCTAGCATAGTTAATCAAAGTAAAAATCAAGGTTTTAAAAGAAAAGTAATACATGTTTCTAATTTAAAAATAGTTAATGGCTTTAAAAACTGTTTTGAAGTATGAGCTAGGGGCGTTTTTACCTCACATCTTCAACTAGGCACAAAATATTACTTAGGTTGTATGACAGGGTTTTCCTGCAGGCAATTTTTCTTTTGCCATTGAGTTTCCAAATGATAAAATTTGGTTTGTATAGAAAAAATGTCTCTTCTTATGAAAATCCACGTAGATTAGTAAATGTGTTAGGAAACTCACTCATTCCAGGCTCAGTCAAGTAGCTGTAGCGCTTACGTAAAGCTAAGGATGCGAAGCTCTGTCGTCTATCTGTTTTCTCAATCTGAAAAGGAAAAAAAAAAAGACAACTCTATTTCCAACTTCCCTGTGACATCTTCAGTTTTAAGACATTTTGTAGGATGGCATGTTGATAACTTGTTTATTTTCCTTCTTAGGAAATGTTAATTTCCCACTGGGATTTTGTAACCCCACCCCCCATGTCTTAACCAAAATCATCATTTGGCAAATTTAAGAGCACCAACACAGCAGACTACAGGGAAGTACAAGTAAAAGACAAGCATTACAGAGACTTCTGATGCTGAGCATTAAATTTTCCTGGAACTGTTCATATTGAAAGCACATATATCACAAAGTACACTCACTCTATGTGAGTACATTCAAGGGAGAAAGGCACACAAAGTTTATTATTCCAATTACTGCTGGGGATTCTGTATGTTAACAGGCATAAAGTGTAGATGAGGAGATTGAAAACAGATGAATGGTTTTGTTAGAAGTACTTTTTTTTTGGTGGGGCGGGCAGAGGAGGGTAGGGACGGAGTCTTGCTCTTGTAGCCCAGGCTGGAGTACAGTGGTGAGATCCCGCCTCACTGCAACCTCTGCCTCCTGGGATCAAGCAATTCTGCCTCAGCCTCCTGAGTAGATGGGATTACAGGCATGCAGCACCACGTCCAGCTAATTTTTGTATTTTTAGTAGAGACAGGGTTTTGCCATGTTGGCTAGGCTGGTGTCGAACTCCTGACCTCAGGTGATTCCCCCACCCCATCCCCGCCTCGGCCTCCCAAAGTGCTAGGATTACAGGCGTGAGCCACCACGCCTGGCCAGAGGTACTATTACTGCATCCTAAGGCTACTTGATTCTATTTATTACTATTGATGTGTGGGATTCAAAAACCTAATTATCATATAACTTAGAGAAACATTAGGAGACAACTTAATTGAACTATATTCTTAAAAAAATGGTCAAGATAAATTTCTTTAGTGAGAGTATCAAAGATTTATCAATAGCTAGTAAGCAAATATTTTGTATCACATACAACATAAGTTTATTTGTACAATAAAATTGCACATATTAAACGTGATCTTGATTTAAATGTTATAACATGCTGGATAGTAGGATATAGTTGATAGTAAAATAGGCACATGAAACTTTCACAAAATGTCTATTTGGCGGGTTCGAAGGTAGTGCGTTATCTCAGTTGACTGTTCTCGTCAGTCATAGATAGAACTTCCTGGTCCTACTCTTTTCCCCCTTTCTCACTATTGCACTTGACTTGTCTAAAAAAATTTTTAACGTTTATTTATACATGCCAATCTACCATATTTAAAAATGTTTAAAGACCTTCAGTTTCTGAATCATCAGCTGAATTATAATTTCGTTGAATATATTTAAGTACTCTTAAGTACGTGTGGAAGAAGAGTGAACCATTTAAGAAAAATATATACCCTTTTACCTACTTAAGACCTGAAAAATATAATTTATATGTTTCCCACACTTTAGCCCTCTGCAACTTCTGTCATACAGATTCAATTTCTATTCTACTTCTGATAGAATAAAAGCAGAAGTGTTTATATTACCTCATCATCTTGATCTGACTCTGTCTCCTTTTGGTTCCAAGATGCATTGCAGAGACAAGGAATATTATAATGGACAGCAGGGAAAAGAATATCAGGATATGAAAAGGACTGAGTAGGGAGCACAAATGCAAGCTGATTTAGAAAGCAAAGCAAATTTTAAAAAAAGCCAACAAAAAATATCAAGAACTGTACATCCATGGCAAATTAACATATGACGTTATTTAAAAGCATAAAAATCTATGCGCTACCAGCAGAAGCAAAAGCGATAAACAGAGAAGACTCCATCATACAAACTATAAGAATTTGACACCACATTAACAAGACTTAGGCAATCTACACGAGGAGACTAATACAACTTCAGTTTCAAGAGCTTTATTCATGTTACAAAGCATTCCTTAATTGCATACCAAAGGCCCACTTCTTCAAGACCAGGGAAAGACAATTTAAAGCAGTATTAAAAGATACCTTTTTATGTGCTGGCAGAGTGATATTTAAGTTGCAAACCGCTGTTTGAGGCAGTCCTTTTGTTGTCTTTGGTTCTTTCAGAAAAGACAGACGACCACAGGGCTCTTGGCTGGTGTCTCTAATCTAGAAGAATTTTGGTAGTTGATGGTTATAGAATGAGACTTATCTGAGGATTTTTAACTGTATAAGAGTTAAGCATGGTTGTTTTATCAAGCCCTATGAGAGGCAGGAAAGGTAAAGGGAAAAGATGATGATTACGATTATGCAGCAACCGGGGTGGTCACATCTGAACTCAGCAAGAGTTAGATGCCCGATTCCTAAACGCAGGATTGTTGTGTCTGATGATCTAATCCTGACAATTCATAGTACAGTCTGAGTTATGTGCATTTTCCTTCTAACAGTTTTTTTTTCTGAAAGCTCCAGCTTTTGCAACAGTAACAGCAAATAATAATGACAAAACAATTTTCCTCTCTCCTTCTGTTCTTGGAGAGAGAAGGTGATCCCTCTAGAACGTCCCTGGGCTCCACCAGAAATGAAAATGAAACTTGAATACTGTATTTGCATTTCATCCATTATTTGATTACTGAACATTAACCAGAAATAACACATTGTATTACTCTAAATTGTTTGGTTTTACAAATGTTTGCTTAAACATAAATGTTATTAAACTCTTTGAAAAATAATGATCCTTTTTACCAATTGTAAAGCTTTACTGGCTTGAAAGTATACTCTGGTAGAACCAGAACAAAATCTGACCTTATGAGTTCAGATTTGACGGGGTATTTCAAATTAAATAAATCATTAAAACCTTTTATTTTTATTCTCTAAGAGTATTTTTTCCCCATAATTCACAGATTCTCTGTTAAAGATGATTTACCTTGATGGAAAATGGCAGTCTATTTTCTTTGAAAGAATAAAAGTTAAAAACAAGTTGCTGTCCTCCTTTGGTAAGTGGGGCCAAATTTCCATAACAATCAACATAAATAGGTTTTCCTTCCAGAACCTTTTAGAGTAAAAGAAATAAACAATTTAATGTTAATCTGAGTTTAAAATATTTTGAGATTTTATGTCACGTAACGTTAAAAGACTGACGTTACTATGTTACACGTGTCTCTATTAGGCAGTTACTTCTGTGGTGCTATTTGCAACAAAAATAATGTTGTGTGCTTACAACTCACCAACTGTAATTGGAATCCATATCATGGACATATACAGAACAGAATTACACATTTATTTTTATTCTGGCAACTTTAAAAATATTTAAGAATGTGCCTGACATCAATCACTTATTCGTATAGATTTTGAAAGCTTTTTTTTTTTTTTTGCACTGTTAGATACTTACATGCTCACTGGGTTTGAAAAAGGAAAATCATAGTAATGTGTATAAACAGTGATTCTGAAAAGTAGGTAACTCAAGTGGCCACAGGAAAATGGAGACCATAACTTAAATTCATTAGTGCTATGTTTTAACCAGCTAAGACAGCCCCAGAGACACTTAAAATAATTTGAGTATTGGCCGGGCGTGGTGACTCATGTAATGCCAGCGCTTTGGGAGGCCAAGGTGGGTGGATCACGAGGTCAGGAGTTTGAGACCAGCCTGGCTAACATGGTGAAACCCCATCTCTACTGAAAATACAGAAAATTAGCTGGGCATGGTGGCAGGCGCCTGTAATCCGAGCTACTTGGGAGGCTGAGGCAGGAGAATTGTTTGAACCCAGGAGGCGGAGGTTGCAGTAAGCTGAGACCGCGCCACTGCACTCCAGCCTCGGCAACAGAGCAAGGCTCCGTCTCAAAAAAAAAAAAATTAAATTAAATTAAATTAAAAAAGATAAAAAAATTTGAGTATTAATCTATATCAAATTTTTTAAAGTAAAAGTAAAATCAATAATGCACTTGGTATTTTATAGTGAGTGCTATTAAGACCACAAAATAAAACCTCATATCTGGAGTACGTAATGAAATGAACTTGTTTTTGTGAACAAGGTACCTCAATATCTTTGCTTCTTGCGACTTCCTCAAAATTCTCTTGTTGCTCTAAAGTTTTGTCCACTTTGTCATCTGTCATGCAGAAACATCGCAAGGAAGATTCTACGGGATCATTCATTTTGGCAAAAACAACAAACTTGGCCATATATGGAACACATATCAATTCTCTGTACAGTTGCGTGGCTAACCCCACAGTTTCTAAAACTTGATGGCAGTCTGCAAGCCAAAATCTGAGCAAAACAAAAAACAGAAGTATGAAAATGTGGCTATTTAAAAGCCAAATCTTAAAAAGACTCACAATTAAAAAAATCAGAATATGTAAAGGAACTAACCCAAAACGTTATTAACTTGTTCATTTAAACAGCAAAGATGCTTTTTCGATGTATCAAACACAGAAACCCTCTGTTTGTTATTTGAGGATAATTTTGATAAGCAAATACTACGGATTTTTTTTCTCACAACAATTTTTTTTAGTATTGAACACAACAATTTTTACTTTCCAAAAGGTAATAAAAACTAATTCCTTACTGCTTTTTGGAATCCTTTATTTCCATACCTGGCTGAAACATTGGTTGTAAAGGAGACACAATCTTTTATAAACGTCAAAGGAGTTGTTCCTGTGATGTCTTCCCACTGAGCAGGCGAAGTGCCCCCTGAGAGAACAACAGCAGATATGTTGACTTTATCATGGGAGATGCTCCTTGTAAAATTTTCATCAGATCCTGTTCTTCTTTCTGCATAGCCACAAACTGGCAAAACTTCAACACCTTCAGTTTAATAGTGTGTACTAAAGGTAGTTTTCCTCTCTACTCTCCTTTTATACTTTTACCAGGCTTATTGTGATTTCCTTGTAAGATGATATTAAATTAAAAAAAAATTCCTTGTTTTTTGTCTGGGTACTAATGAATGGCTTAAACTTGGGGCAGCCACAATTTATAAGTATATTTTATAAATGCAATTTGTAAGTGCAAAGATTGGTTGTTTCAGATGGATAATTAAGTCTCTTACTCTTTTTTTTTTTTTTTTTTTTTTGAGACGGAGTCTCGCTCTTGTTGCCAAGACTGGAGTGCAATGGTGCGATCTCGGCTCACTGCAACCTCCGCCTCCTGGGTTCAAGCGATTCTCCTGCCTCAGCCTCCCCAGTAGCTGGGATTACAGGTGCCTGCGACCACGCCCAGCTAAGTTTTGTATTTTTAGTAGAGACGGGGTTTCATCATGTTGGCCAGGCTGGTCTCGAACTCCTGACCTCAGGTGATCCACCGCCTTGGCTTCCCAAAGTGCTGGGATTACAGGCGTGAGCCACCGCGCCCAGCCTCTTACTCTTTAAAAAGGTAAGAACTACCAAAGTTAAGAAACAGCTCATTCTGTACATGGCATTCTGTACAATTAATTACCGAGGGTAAAAAGGGGCATCAGCCATTAAAATTACTCCTCAGAGAACAAAAGAAGATCAAAAACAAAATCTATCTTTAATAATCTTGGAATTGCAGTTAAAAATCGGACTAGGATAATCAAAGGATGAATTGAGCTCTAGATTCCAGGTGCTTATCACAAAATGTGTTCTTCTGAGCCCTGAATGTTTAAACTCTCGGATTACACTGGCGAGTACAGTAGGTGAGAATAACCATGTACTGAACAATTTCCTATTACTAGTGCTCTGTGGGACATGTATTTTTCCCAAAGTCCACCCAATTTCCTTGTAGTTTAAAGTATGTTGCTAAGTCCATTACCTCTGTCTAGGTCACCAAGAAATTACCTAGATTGAATCTAGAAATTACCTAGATGCTCCAGTAGATTCAATGATACTTCTACTAATGCTAACCTTAATAGCAGGAAAGATGCTATCACTAAATTTTAAATGAGTCATGAGACCAGGATCTTGACCAGGATCTTCCCAAGAAATGATCCTTGGGAAACCAGAGATGAGGTGATGGACAAGTAAAATGTTTTGTTCTTTTATTTTCTCTTATAATGTTGGCATGGATATTTCAAAGGTTTTATATCTTTGTACACAAATATATCTTTGTACACAATCTTTGTGAATCAATAGGAAGTACAGCAGTGACTTAACCAAACCTGTAATGCTACAGAGAAGACGCAGATTGGGTGTAGTGTCCCCTTTGTATCCATTGGATACACCTTCTCCTGAGGGCGGGGGCACCGGAATGGTCATTGTGATTGGTTTATGGAATTTCCGTCTTCTTGGTTCCACAGTGACAATTGGGCTAAAAGTTGCTTTGTTTCCAAGGATCTTTTTCACAATTTCATCTGGAACAGGCTGGGCCTAGAGACAGAGAAAGGACTTTAAATGAAAGTGACTTTTTTTTTTTTTTTTCCCAATCATGAAGTTTACTTTTTAAGTGAGAAGGAAAAAAACAAAAACAGACAACCAAAAAAAAAAAAAAAAAACCCAGGTCTTTTTTAACCTTTCTTACTATTTTAGGAAAGCATGAATAAACGAAACCAAACACTATGACAGGAATTGGTCAGTCTGAGTATTTCCCCAGTAGAACACAAATAGCACTGGCTTGCAGGAAAGAGAGGGGATCCAGTCTCACGGCATAGAAGTTTCTTAGTCTAGTCCAGATTAAAGGACAATAAATGCTGAGTCCAATATATTTTAAACCTATGCAGGACATTCAGTAAAACCTCCTAAAGGCAACTCATACCCACATAAAAACCGAGGCTTTCAGAGTTAATAACAAAATGCATTCAAAATTTCAAAAGATTTCAATTCTAGTCTACTAAGCCTCTCTTCTACCACTTGGTTTCTTTTCTGTTTGGTAAAATAACTTGGTATGGGAGGCAGGTGAAGGGAGCTTCATACCCCTGAAATGTAAGGTGGTCTCGTTAGTGCTAACTACTTATTAAAGGTCATCTCAGGACTTAAGTATGCTTGGCTCAAAACAAACAAACAAAACCCAGTTAACTCCATTGGGCAGGAGAGTCCAGCCTCACAAGAAGAACATGAACCTTCAGTTAAACTATTAATTACAATATTAATAACATCTATTAAGTTACTTTAGTTCATTTTCCTTATTCAATAAAGAAAAAAAGAACTAAAGTCTAGCTGAAATAAACACAAGAAAAATCTTTTGATCCAAGATTTCCAGCCAGCTTTCCAAACCAAATCAAGTTCCAACTGGTTTGGATAAAACCCAGTATTTATGATTTACTTCAATCAAATGAAAACACTAAAGTCTGCAGGCTTCACTATAACTGATTTTTATGATGTGGCATATCATAAACCATGGCTTGGTATGTTGTTCCACATACTGAGACCAATAACCTATGATTTAAAAAATTATTTTTCATCAGAAACCAACTGAGACTTTTAAACAGAACAACCCTAAAATATGTACCTTATTTAACAAGCCAGTAAGCTAACTTTATACTTGATGCTTTTTATCTGAAATAGGTAAATGATTCCCCAAACGGCCTAATTAGCAGTATCATTAGGATGTTAGAATAACTCTTTCCAGAGCAAAACATGCACTCACATGCTCTCTGCGCATACTGAGGGAAACAACTTTTTGTGAACATTACCTGGAGGCCCACTCGAATTCTTTTAGTTAGGGCACCCTCTGGGAAAGATGCTTGAACAAGGGGCACTGTGGTGCTGCTCAGAATTCCACCTTCAGGACCAATCTGGTTGCTTTCCTGCTTAATCCGGGAAACCACTGCAAAATACTGGGGGAAATCTTTCGTGATAATCCTGCAGATACGCTTTTTCCCTAACTCTTCTGGGCTATCAAGTTCTGAAAAGACAAATGAAAGAAAATGCCATGAGAATAAGCATATCTACAACATACCTTAAGTCAAAATGATATATCTTTTTTTTTGAGATGGAGTTTCACTCTTGTTACCCAGGCTGAAGTGCAATGGCGTGATCTTGGCTCACCACAACCTCAGCCTTCTGGGTTCAAGTGATTCTCCTGCCTCAGCCTCCCAAGTAGCTGGGATTACGGGCATGCACCTCCATGCCCAGCTAATTTTGTATTCTCAGTAGAGACAGGGTTTCTCCATGTTGGCCAGGATGGTCTCGAACTCGCGACCTCCGGTGATCTGCCCGCCTCGACCTCCCAAGGTGCTGGGATTACAGGCATGAGCCACTGGGCCCAGGCAATACATCATTTTAATAGTCAAAATCATTTATACTCCATAGCCTAAACAGTTTTTATGATAAAGAGAAAATGGTAGTGACCATAAAATATTGGGTTTTGCAAAAATATTATAAAACTATTAATATAAGTATTTGTAGAAAATATTTTTACAGAGTGGGAACAAACATTTTCAAGAACTGACATTTTGCCACCTGTGGATAAATTCCCAGTTTTCAAGAACAAGAATGGGAATTTACAATAATTTGCCCCCAAGCTGCCAAAAGTAGAAATGAGTTAGGAAAAAGAAAAAAAAGTGAGGCCTCATAAGAAAGTGAATAAGAACTTAAGTATGCCTGAAAGTTCCAGAACTTCATTTAAAAACCTCTTTCAAATATTTTAAAGTTATCCAAATGTTTAGCATCATCATCACCAATTTCTTTGTGCCCACTGATGGCTCTCATGCGTGGAACTCAACCTGTCCACAAATGGATACATCTTCTTCCCTGCTGTCTACCTCCAAAAGTACTTTCCTCCATAGTCCTAACTCTAGGAAGGGTTTACAATCTGCTCATTCCTTCACTCTAATAGTTATGACTCAACTTCCTTAACAAATGGTCAAAGTCCAAGTCCAGTTGATTCTCTTTTGGACGTGGCTCACCCTCCTGTCACCCGGGTGTTCAGGCCCTGTTTTAGTTTGCCTAATTGCTAAGACCACCTCCCAACCAACTCACCTCTCTCACTCCAGTCCATCCAGGTTGTGTGTGTGTGTGTGTGTGTGTGTGTGTGTGTGTGTGTGTGTGTGTGTATGTATGTGTGTTTCAAAGCCAAATTTTATGCATAATTCTGGTGGGCTTCATTGGAATAAATGATTAAAAATTTTTATGGCATAATAAGTGTTTGAGATTAGCAAGAGTATTTTGGAAAAGTAGGTTTGTGACGGAGAATTTATCTTATATGATATTAAGATTTACTCAGAAGTACAATAATTAAACAGTTAAACACACACATATAGAAATATAAGAATTATACATAGGAATAGACAAATAGGTTGGGGGACAATAATAGAGAATCAAGAAATAGATTCAAGTTTAAATATGTATACTGAATATATATAAATCCACATATACTTTTATATATGTATTATGTATTTAAGTTATATTTAAATCAAGGTAATATATTTAAATTTCAAATAAGTGAGAGAAAGATGATTTATTTAAAAGATGGTATTTACATAATAGGAAATCTATTTGGAAAAACAAAGCTAAATCACATCTTATTGTATATAAATAAAAAATTACATTTGCTTAGGAGACAACTATTTTTAAAAATTAAAATCTGGCCAGGCGTGGTGGCTCACACCTGTAATCCCAGCACTTTGGGAGGCCGAGGCAGATTACGAGGTCAGGAGTTCAAGACCAGCCGGGCCAACATGGTGAAATCCCATCTCTACTAAAAAGTACAAAATTTAGCTGGGTGTGGTGGCATGCGCCTGTAATCCTAGCTACTTGGGGTGCTGAGACAGGAGAATTACTTGAACCTGGGAGGCGAAGGTTGCAGTGAGCCGAGATCACGCCACTCACTCCATCCTGGGCAACAGAGTGAGACTCCATTTCCAAAAAAAAAATTAAAATCTTACCAAAAAATTCAGGAAAATATGGTTTCGCTTTAGTTAGGGGAAACTTTCCTATACAAAACTGGAAACCCAGAAGCCTAAAAGCATAATATAAAAGGTAATATATTTGACTACATAAAAATGTAAAGATTTCCATGACAAAAAGAGTAAACTTGAAAAGCAAAAAGTAGACTGGAAAAATAGCCACACCTGACAAGTAAAAGATTAATATGCTCAATACCAAACGTATTAATAATAGGATGGCAGATAAGTCAATAGATGATAGCAAAATATTATAAACAGGCAATTCACAGAAGCTGAAAAATGGTCAATAAAACATATTACAATGTTCAAACTGGATAATTTACATGGAAATGCCAATTAGAATGAGATACTATCTCCCTCCACACCCACTTCTTGGATTAGCTAAAATTAAACACTAATCACATCTTGTTATCAGAGAAAAATTAAGGGAAATAAGTGCTTTCATTACTGCAAGTGGGTGTGAATGGCAATAATTTTTTAACAGTGTAACTGGGCATCATCTATTCAAATTGAAAATGCACCTACCCTGGACGCAGCAATACCATTTACTGACATCTTTTTTTTTTTGAGACAGATCTCGCCGTGTCGCCCACGAGTGCAATGGCACGATCTCGGCTCACTGCAACCTCTGCCTTCCCAGTTCTAGTGATTCTCCTGCTTTGGCCTCCTGAATAGCTGGGATTACAGGCACACGCCACCACGCCCAGCTAATTTTTGTATTTTTAGTAGAGACAGGGTTTCACCATGTTGGCCAGCCTGGTCTCAAACTCCTGACCTCAGGTGATCCCCCCAACCTTGGACCCCCAAAGTGTTGGGATTACAGGCATGAGCCACAGCACCCGGCAGCATTGCTTATAAAGACTAAAGCTTGAAAGAACTTGCATCTCTATGAATAAGGGAATGGTTACATAAGTAACAGTTTACCCATATCCTAGACATTCCTGCAGTTAGTAAACAGAATGATTCCAATTCATTCATTTACCAAGTTTTTACTGAGGGACCACCATGTAGAGCACTGATCTAGTCACTGGGGATAGGGTAGAAAGGAAATTAAAGTCACTCTCACATGGAAATTTTATTCTAATAGGGGATAAAGGGGGTAGATACATCACTAAACAAATATGAAGAAAAAATAAATCAAAGTGAGGGACTAGAATGTGACCAGGGAGGGTGGGGGTGGGAGGAGAGTTTCTCGTTTGAACAGGATGATTTGAGATGTGACACTAGAGGGTAGACTGGAGGGAGGATAGGAGGGAGCCAGACAAAGAGCGACTGCCCTGTATAACCTGCGGAAATTGCTGTACACCTGAGCAAGATGCACAGCAATGTGCACAGGATCATCCTTTATAGGGGAAAATGTAATCTGCACATTTTTGTTTTTTTTTTTTTGAGACGGAGTCTCGCTCTATCGCTAGGCTGGAGTGCAGTGGCACAATCTCCACTCACTGCAAGCTCTGCCTCCCGGGTTCAAGCACCCCTCCTGCCTCAGCCTCCCGAGTAGCTGGGACTACAGGCATGCGCCACCATGCCCAGCTAATTTTCGTACTTTTAGTAGAGATGGGGTTTCACCATGTTGGCCAGGATGGTCTCGATCTCTTGACCTCGTGATCTGCCCACCTCAGCCTCCCAAAGTGCTGGGATTACGGGCGTGAGCCACCGCGCCAGGCTACGTTTGTATATTTTTATAAGAAATATGTAGAAGAAACATTCTAGGCTGTTAGCAATGGTTACCTCAGAGGAACAGGAAATGGAATTGGGGAAGGAAGATGAGAAGAGGGTAGGGAACAGGGAGTATTACCCTTGGGTTGATATAGCTATGCTTGTTTTACCTATTAACAAAATAAAGGAAAAATTCCCAAACTTTGGGGGATGGGGGGTTGTTTTGTTGTTCATTACTCCTACAGGACTCTTTTCAGACCTCCGATACATACTGCACAGGTCCCCCTGTCCCTTCACTATTAACATTTCTGCCTCCTTTATCAGATACGTGAGGCTGAGATTATGGCTTATTTCAAATAGAAACTTGTAGAATGACAAAATGAATGATTAGGTAATTGGATCAATACATCTTTTTCATTTTACGGATCAACCACTAAACTCTGAGATGGGAGGATCAAATTATCAACTAGGAGAGAAACAGGGTTCAACCCAGATTTAAAAAATGAGCCACCAACAGAACTTTTATTATCAAACATTGATTTCCCAAATGGAACAATGACTATAGAACTATTTTCTTCTTTAATTAAAAAAGTAACTATTAGAAAAAAAAGGAACTGCAATTTTACTCCTTTTTGCCTCCTCAAGTATCTTCTTCTCTGTAAACCTAAACACTGAAATCCTAGTGTAGGAAAAGAAAAGAAAACAAATAATTTTGTTTTGTTTTGTTTTGTTTTGAAACAGAATCTCACTCTGTTGGCTAGGCTGGAGTGCAGGGGCATGATCTCAGCTCACTGCAACCTCCGCCTCCTGGGCTCAAGCAATTCTTCTGTCTCAGCCTCCCAAGTAGCTGTGATTACAGGCGTGTGCCACCACGCCCAGCTAATTTTTGTATTTTTAGTAGAGATGGGGTTTCACCATGTTGGCCAGGCTGGTCTCGAACTCCTGACCTCAGGCAATCCGGCTGCCTTGGCCTCCCAAAATGCTGGGATTACAGGTGTGAGCCACTGCACCCGGCCAGAATTTTTAAAAAGAAAGTTTTCCTACAGAAAAATAGGAAAGAATCAAACAGTTTGCTTAGGAGAATATTCTGGGGGAGTTTTCACCTATTCAATGTAACTGAAAGGAGATAAACGTTTTCCATAGAAAGCAAATATATTTCCCTCTCCATGATTTGGCTTAAGAGAGTGAATTCCTCAAGTTCATAACTCATGCTGCAACTGAGAAAGTTCTGATTATCTGTTTAAATCGCTATACAACATATCATCATCAGCTAAGCAGATATTTTTTCACTTCAGCCACAAAGATGTCATGTTCTCCTTCAAAATGGCTCAGGACTCCTTATGGTGCTAGCAATTTAAGAAGACAGATCATGAAATTACATCCTTCAAATGGGGCAGATTTCCTAATTCTGCTTATAACAAGCTGTGTATCCTGTGAGTATGAAATTTACTTGAGATCAGTCTAGACCCACCAGAGGAACTGAGGCATCTTTTGGGGAACTGGAAGTACTGTACACTTCTTAGCTATTTTTGTGTGTGAGAGAGTTCTGGGTATATGTGCACACATTTGTGAGGATTAAAAGTAGAAAGAAACAGCTATAACACCCCCGAAAACGATGACAGCACTGAATTGAGAAGAATTGCCACTTTGCGTGATAGAGGCAGGCTGACCACACTTAAGCTCTACTCTGTCACCTTTGATAAGGCATTAAAGCCACCCCAAATATAAAGTGAACATGTACATTTCAGATGCAGCAGACAAGTTGCAAGTGGAAATGCTCAGATTTCTAACTATATAAACAGAGAAGCTCCGAGGAGAAGCGATCAGTACCCTCCACATTCAAATTCTGACATATTTTATAATTTCCCAGCAGCTCAGGGACCCTCTGTGTTGTGTTCATTTTTTTTCAAAGCTTTTAGCAATTCTTTTGACACCATTAAAACTTGCATGGTTATTGACCTTCAATGTACATTTTAACAGTATTTTGAAGATAAGCCCCAACTCAAAGACACAACTAATGTGGGAATTTCAGGCACTGCTGTAGGCAAGGGGGACATTTAGTGTCTCCATGTACTATTCCTTAAATAGAATCACATGCACTGCCTTCTTCAACAGTCAGATTTCCAGGTGTCTACATGATGAAATGGAGAAACAGTATTCTATTTTTTTTTTTTTTTTTTTTTGGACAGGGTCTCACTCACTCTGTTGCTTAGGATAGAGTGCAGTGGTATAATCTCTGCTCACTACAATTTTCACCTCCCGGATTCAAGCAGTTCTCCTGTCTCAGCCTCCCAAGTAGCTGGGATTACAGCCATGCGCTACCATGCCCAGCTAATTTTTGTATTTTTAGTAGAGATGGGGTTTCACAATGTTGGCCAAGCTGGTATTGAACTCCTGAGCTCAAGTGATGTGCCCGCCTCAGCCTCCCAAAGTTCTGGGATTACAGGCATGACCCGTGAAAACCACGCCCAGCCTCTCTGGTTTCTTATAACCAGGTTTCATCCTGTTTGTGTGCTTAAGATATTTATAAGTTTTTTCTCTAAGAATAAAAGCCAAGAAAAATACAAAAATATACAAAAAGTATTACTTAAATATTCTTTTGTAAAGAAAGGCATAATCTCTTCTTCAAGGGCTGCAGTTGATGGCTAGGCTATGAAATTCTAGGATATTGCATAAGTCAAAAAAAAAATAAATGACATAGATAGTAGGTAAGTGTGAAAAGGCAAAAGGAGGAAGTAAAGCCATCAGTAATGTCACTACAGAATTCTTAGGATCTGAAAACTTATTACCTGACCATTAATAGGATTAGCATTAATAAATATTATATGTAAATAAAACCCTAGATAACATTTTAATGTGTTAACACATTCAACTCAAACCTGTTTTTTCCCTGTTTCTTGCTTTTAAAAAAGGAAAGTGAAATACAAAACAAAATATCCTTAGCTCAGTGCTGGAAAATAGAGAACGAAATCCCCAGACAGCTGGAGAGAGGCCCCAAGGGGGAAGGAGGCAAGGACCCTCCACACTCAGCTAACTCTCACACCCTGACTGTGGGCCGCATTGCTCGGCATCATGAGTACCTTCCCCTAAGGCTTTTGAGTCTAATAAAATTATTAGTTGTTTTAAAAATTAGGTGTTCTTTTCATAAAGAGCAAGGTAGCCATAGTTAAACTATATTAAATTAAATGATGTTTGATATTGAGACCCGGCACACAGCAGGTGCTAAACAAGCATCTACCAAAGAAATCAGCTGGGAATCAATGAGACTCAGACACTTTTCACATCAAACAACTGTACAGTTCTTTAAGTCTTGCTATAAAATATACGTACTAGTAGAGACTGGTTATTGTTTGTTCTTTTAGATTACTTTATTTTATTAGATACGAGGTTTCACTTTGTCACTTTGGCTGGAATGCAGTGGTATGATCATAGCTCATTCCAGCCTTGAACTTCTGGGCTCAAGCAATCCTCCCACTTCAGCCTCCTGAGTAGCTGACACTACAGATGTACATCACCACGCCCTGCTAATTTCTAAACTTTTTTTGTAGAGACTGGCCCTTGCTATATTGCCCAGGCTGGTCTTGAACTCCTGGCCTCAAGCAATCCTCTGCCTCAACCTCTCAAAGTATTTGGATTACAGGCGTGAGCCGCTGTGCCTGGCCTAGTTTTATTTTTATTAAAAAAAATGCATGTGAAAAAGTGGTTCTAATCTTCCTACTTTTTAATCCACAGTGAAATCTATTATGTCCATGTGTTTATAACTCAAATTACTGTTTACTTAATGAACATTTACACAAAATGAGTTTAACTTTCATAAGAATATAAACCTCTTTCTGGAAGTTTTGTATTACATATTTTAAAAGTATATCAGAGGCCGGGTACAGTGGCTCATGCCTGTAATCCCAGCATTTTGGAAGGCTGGGGTGGGTGGATCACCTGAGATCAGGAGTTCAAGACCAGTGTGGCCAACATGGTGAAACCCTGTCTCTACTAAAAATACAAAAATTAGCCAGGTGTGTCGGTAGGTGCCTGTAATCCCAGCTATCGGGAGGCTGAGGCAGGAGAATCACTAGAACCCGGGAGGTGGAGATTGCAGTGAGCCAAGATCATGCCACTGCACTGCAGCCTGGGTGACACAGCGAGACTCCATCTCAAAAATAAAGAAAGAAATAAAATAAAATAAGATAAAAGTATATCAGAGAAGTCAGATTTCCAGACAAATAGTAATAAAGCCTGATAATGTAAAAATGAACAGTGCCAATATTCTTTCTGGGATTGAACTTATATGTATTTAGATTTTAAAAACGGTCCTTACTAATTAGGTCAAAGAAGCAGCAATATATTACCAAGAATCCTTTGTTTTGTCCCATCCTATACATTACAGAAAAAAGCTCGACAAAATAATCTGCGGCACAAATGCAATGCCACTATCACATTCACATCTGCAGAGTTCCTAGCTCCTAATGCAATGTCCTCCAACCTGGCCAGTTCGTAAGAAACAATCGTACTACATGTTAGTACCACAGATTGCTGGGCTTCTGACTAGGCAGACCTGGAGTGAAACCTAAAAATCTGTTTTCACACTCTACCCAGGTGACTTTTTGACACATTTGAAAAAGTAATGTCTTGGTAGACTCTCATCCTGTACTTTGTCTTAAAAATTCAGAACCCAAATTGTTAAAAACATGACAACAGGACCCTATAAAAAATAAGAATGGTTTAATATGAGAAGAAAAGCTTATTGGCAAAAATAAATATTCATTACTTTTATATGGTTTTGTTTTTTAAAAGGATATTCTAAATAACTCCACAGCTACAGAATTGAGGGAGAAAAATGGCATAAGTTGCTGTAAAGTAAACAATAGAACATAAACATAAGAGCTTCTTACCTTTCAGGGTGATTCATAATGCCATAGACTATGAAAAGACCCTGAAATTCCTCTCTCCTCTCTCTTTTTAAAATCTGTTACTAAATTCTCACATACAAAAAGAGGATTAGAGGGAAAAGAGAAGTGAGTTCTGAAATAGGCAGTTTTGGCCAGGAGGAAGATTGAACTTTACACTTACTGAAGGTCTATTTTGTGTCAGGTCAATTATCATTTGGCCCACACAGCATTTTGGTAAAATAGGTGTCTGAAGTTCAGAGAGGTGAAGTGACTTGTCCAGATGGATTTAGCTCGTCAGTTTTAGAGCTTAGAACCTAGGTCTAGGAAAGGGGTGTTGGAAAGAGATGAAGTCACACAGACATGGACTTCAACCACTCTTTAACAGTGTCTTTGCAGACTACCTCACACGAGTGGTGGTTGATAAACGGATGAGTAATGAATAGATTTGCAAATGCCGTGGTCGAAAAGGTGACCTGACTTCTCATTGACCCATCTAAGCAGCAGGCCTGATTACAGAGCCACTAATGTTCTATAGCCTTCTTGCCTCATAGATAAATGATAAATTTCTTAAGCACCTTGTAACTCAGTTTATTTGTAAAAGGTGGGACAGCATTCTCTGTGACTGAGGCTTTGTTACAAACAACAAGAATCATAAAATGCTTTGCAAATATAAATGGTTATGGAGACCATAATACAACGAAGCATAAATAACATGACTGAAATCATGTTCTGACTAAATGGGTTACTCTTAACGCTTTCAAATGACCATCTTGATTAGTTTTTGCCTCACTCTTATGGGCACACAATTAAATGTCTCGATCACTTCGTTAAATGGGGACACAGCTCTGTTTCCTGTATCAATTTAGATTTCAAAGGCTACTTGTGACCTGGTCAGGGTGGAGTGTGAATAGTCCATGGAAGGAATACAAATGGCCTCAAGGTTTCCCAAAGGATGATTTGTGTATCAGGGTTAATTTCTAGTCAGGTGCAGGCTTTTCTCAGCTCCTCTAAGAATGGGGTATTTGATATTGAGAGGTGAAAAAGTAAAGGATTTTTAGAATGTTAGATTTCAAAAAGCAAGTTATGGGGTCTGTGGTAAGTCACTGTAGACAGGTGCCCAGGGTTGAAATATAGCTCTATAGTCAGTGCACCTGGACCTCAGGCAAGTTCCTGAACTTCTCTGAGCCATATGTTCCTCATCTATGTGATTAGGATGAGCAGTTTCCTCTGGGATGGATATGACAAAAAAAAATGACAGAAAACCACCCAGCACAATTCTGTTCACATAATAACTTAGAAGAGTTATATATTCTTTTCGAGGTCACACAGCTTTTGAGGGCAGCCAGAGAGTCAATCTGTAGCAGATCTAAGAAAATACACAAGTTATATTTTAAAAATAATTCTCTACAAAATATAAATATGAATTGCTATCATTTCCATTTCATTCCATTAAAGAAAATCACCAATTACTGAAAATTAAATATCAAATAAGTTGGGAGAAATGAAGAAAATAAAAAATAAATCTATAATATTCAACTCTAGTTATAGAATATGTAGAACAACATAGCATTGTAATATATTTACTGAACTAGTTTAGAAAACTACAGGCATTTATCCCTTTGGAATTAAAGTTCAGCTCCATCAAAATACACAAATTTCATAATAAGTTCACATAAGATGTTATAGGGAAAAATCCTCAAATGATATAACTTGATCCTTCTTCCTTGAAGTTAACATCATAGAGATCTTTTCAATGTTTTAAAAAACATTTATTTTAAAATAATTATAAATTCATGGGGCATGGCAAAGATAGTACGAAAGGCTCCATGCACCTTTTATAATTTTAGTGTTTAACTCATATTCTTATCCAATTCTGTCATCTGGTTTATATATATTTGGGTCAGCATTATTTCACATCTTTATTCAGGGTAGAGATCCTCTTTGCTGTTTAGATTTGCACGTGTAATAAGTGCTGATGATGCAGAATGTCTGGAAACAATGATATACCTGCTTGTTTTTCCCTCCAGTTTTAGCAGTCTATTAATATAATTTCTGACAATCATATATTTTTAAAGCTATTTTTAGAAGATTAATTTTTAATCATTATGTGCTTATGAGATATTACTTTAAAAATCAGGGACAAATGTGACCATTTTTTGAACTCTACCTTCAGTGTTGACATTTAAGATTACTTTGTACTCTGTGTGTAGAATGACCATAACCTGCCCCAGAGCCTTCCCCAGGCCCCAGACTTCCTCTCTCCATTTGGTGTAGCCTCCCTTCTTCCAGAAAGTTTTTCTCTCTCTTGGGTATGGGTCACTGGATTGAGAAAAAGTGTCACCAGCAGGGGGGGCATATGCCTGACACAAGTCATTCATTTCTCCGTTCATGCAACAGACTATGATGAACTGACAACTCTGTATCAAGAGTTGTTATATGCAGTGGGCATAATGGCTGTCAACAAGTCAGAGTTGGTCTCTGCCCTCTTGGACTTTTGCAGTGCACCAAGGAAGATATCAAAGTTCAAAGTTGCAGTTATGGTACTGTGGGTGTATTTACCAGTTTGATCTGAGTCTGGGGATTAGGGAGGGCTTCCTGGAGGAAGAGAAGTAGGGGACGTCTGGCCACACTGGAATAATCCTTCTAAGGTTTTCTTCCATGACTGCAGATTAAGAGACTTACATTTGTTTACTTTTCCATTTGTGCAAATAAAAACATGGTTTCAGGCAATTAGTCCCTATATGTCACTTTTTTCACCCCATTGTTTAAGCCATTACTGTTACATCTAAGGGAAAAATCAATTAATATGATTCTATCTTCAAAATCCAGGATCATAAATAGTGTCTTAAACACAATGAATCAATAACCTCGCATGAGCAGCAAATACAGAACACACTAAACTCCAAAAGCTTAGACCTGCAGTTTCTGGCACACTGGTCTCTCTGTTCACATCAACACTAAAGGTAGTGGAGGCTGATGTCCAACCTCGTGGACCTGCTTCACTGCCCTCAGAGGGCTAAAAGCTCTACTGTGCCTGATATGGGGGGTGGGGGGCAGGATGGCTTATGTCATTATTTTGATCCACTAATGTTTCATAAAGACATGTAATTTCTGGCAAATCCATATATGCAAATGCATTAAAAACCTGTCCTTATTAATGCTTATTTGCTTTGTCCTAATTTTCATTTCTAAACTAGAATTTTTATTTCTACTAGTTTGGGGGACTGTTCTGCTACAGTTTCCTTTCCTTTCCAACACGATGGACATCATTCAATTGATTTAAAATGCCAGTTTATGGCAATAGGCTGAAAGTCAGTATTTTGCTATGGTTTTTTTTTTTTTTTTTTTTTTGCACCCCAACCACAGTCCTGATTTGGTTAAATTGTATTTTTATTCTCTCCTTGGGAATTTTTCAAAACTGTTACTAGATTTCTCCAGCAGATGGTGCTGTGCACAACATAAAGCTACACATTTCACATCAGTGCTCAACTGCTTCTACAATGACTTAACACTATTGGTCTCATGGCAAAAACAATTAAATTATATTGAAATGAACCCAATTGGCAACTTCTGAGAAGTCTGTTTCTAAGATACTGTTTATGTAGTCAGACAGTAAATTTAAAAAATTTTCTGTTACATAGCAAGTACCAATTTCCCTTTCCTGTTTACAATAAAACAATAGTGTAACTATTCAATCTAAAATGTATTATCTTAAAAACTTCATTTGCTCTCATTTGAAAGTTCAGCAATGACAAGAAAATATGTTCCTAGCATTGTAAAATTGTTTGGGGGAACTTCAGCAACATTTTGTTCCAAGACAGCGATTGGGATTTTTAAATAATGGCATAATTCATATATACTCAAAGCCTTCCGTGTAATACTTAGGTAGCAACAATTTTTGTGTTAAAACAAAATAGATATGTAAAACAAAGCATACACACTGTCCAGAGAGGCACTGTCCAGTAAAAATATAATGTAAACTGGGTATGTAATTTTAAATTTCCTATAGCCACACTAAAAAATAAAAATAAACAGGTGAAATTAATTTTTTATTTGTTTTTTAGAGATGGAGTCTATGTTGCCCAGGCTGAGCTCCTGAAATCTTGACCTCAAGCAATCCCCCCACCTCAGCCTCCTGAGTAGCTGGGATTATAGGTACATTTTATTTAGATTAATATATCCAAAATATTACCATTTCAATGTGTAACCAATGTAAAAATTAATAATGAGATATGTATTTGGAGGAGGGTACTCATCCTCGCGTATCTGGTGTATTTTACATTTGCAGCATATTTCCATTTGTACTAATTTTATTTCAAGTGCTCTGTTGTTCCCTGGAGCTAGTGGCTACTGTATGGGACAGGGCAGGACTAGAACATTTCTGGAGCTTTTGGTTTGTAAATTAAGGACCTCTTCTACTAGAAAATTCCAGATCCAAGATAACAGCAAACTACAAAACACTCTTTGGGGTCTGACTTTGGAGATGTAACTTTAAACATGTTTAATTAAACTTTGTGAGTTTAATTAAAGGAAGGTTTTCATTAAACTTAAAAAGTTAATTCAGTTCGCTGCGTTATAATTTGGTGGGGGGAATGAATGTTTGTTTTCTGTTTGCAGCATCTTTTTCTTGGCTGAGAAAACAAAAATTGACAAAGACTAGAACAAAATCTATGTCTGCTGCCAAAGTTAAAGTTGTTCTTGTTGCATGATACCTTAGTGGTGATGGCAAGTTCTTCACACCCAGACCAACTGTCCTTTCTGTGATTCTAGCCTCTTCAATAGACCTTTGCTAATACACCTACTTCGTTAGCAAAACCACTGATATTTCAGTCCCTGGGCTTGCTGGTGATAAGGAGTAACTTTTAATTCCCCCTTATTTTGCAGCTACAGTTTTTCCTGAATACATACCATATTTTTTGTGTCATACAAAGAAACTAAGAGGTGTCTTCATTAGTAATGGACAACTTAAATACCAGCTGACATATATGTGGCTCTTTTGTTCTACACAAAGCACTTTCACAGGCATCATTCATTTGAGAGCATACAGAGGCAAAGGAGCAGTGCAGAGAGACAACTAGGTGTGGAGTCAGAAGTCCAGGTTTGGAAGACTAAATCTATTTACTGTTTCCGGGTGGTGGCGATGTTGAGTGTGTGTCATCATAATCAACGATGACCAGGGCTTTTACTAGCTGATGTAGTGTCTTTGTACGATTTGGAAAAGGGTGCCCACTTGGGGTGTATACAACCTTGTAGGTACACAGGTTGGCAACTAGATAGCAGCTTTGAGCAAATTAGAAGAAAGTACCCCTATGTCTTACAGGCCAGTGTCAGGGCAGATGGCTTGACAAGTGAAAAGGGCAAGATTTCAGACCCCATTTGCTCTCCTGCACAACTTACACGGCAGTTGTGACTATGACTAAACACTGATTGAGTGATTCTCATATATCAGGCATCAAGCTAGGAGCTTTACATATATTAGCTCATCTATTCCTTATTAGTTCACTATTAGGCATCCTCACTTTACACATTTAAACCAAGGCTCAGAGATTGAGTGCTTCATTACGGTCACACAACGAGTAAGCGGTGGAGCCAAGATGAGAAGTCTAGTCTGTGTAACTTCCATAAATCATGATCCCAACCACCACATTACATGGGGCAAATTATCCTGCTCCTTAAACTTCTCTTTCCCAGGAGTTATTCTACTAGTTAAATTTGATTGCGTACATGGAAAGGCTTCACACATTTTAACACACTATAGGAACATAAACTGATATTTACAATTGTGTTAATAAATCAGAATATTTGCTAAGATGATTTTTAAATACTTGAGTTTTAAGATTTTCAGAGAAGAACCTACAACAGGACTGGTTATAAAAGTGGCATGTAGATTGGTTATAAAGTAGCACATAGAATTCATCTATGGAGAAGGGGGTTGAAAAAGTAAACATTTATAACAAGACAGACATTATCAAGGGTCACTTGCCACAGATGACAGATAAAGCTTAATTGTTATGAAATTAATACGTTATATTAAATAATGGTAAGACAATTTATTTTTTTTTTTCTGAGACAAAGTCTTGCTGTCGTCAGGCTGGAGTGCAGTGGCGCGATCTTGGCTCACTGCAACCTGCGCCTCCCGGGTTCAAGTGATTCTCTTGCCTCAGCCTCCCGAGTAGCTGGGACTACAAGCACATGCCACCACGCCCAGCTAATTTTTGTATTTTTAGTAGAGACGGGGGTTTCACCATGTTGGCCAGGATGGTCTCCATCTCTTGACTTCGTGATCCACTTGCCTCGGCCTCCCAAAGTGCTGGGATTACAGGCGTGAACCACACTGCACCCGGCCTATTTGTCTTTTTTAAGGAAACCTTGAGTGACCTGGTCACTGGTTTAATTCAGGAACTATTTTTATCTTGTTAATTAACAGTTATTCAGTAGCAAAATGGGAGGGGAACAGAGAGGATAAAAGAACATAAAAAACATGAAACCTCCTAAACTGTGCTTATGCTTCTCTCTGAACTAGAACTTTGAACAGTTGTCCCTTCAAGGAAGAAGTTGGCTTTTTAAAAAGACAGATTTGGGATTTTTTTTTTGGCTGGTCTGCTTTTGAAGAGAGGAAAGTTCTGGTAAGAATGAAGTGTTTTTGGGGATATGAAAAGAGTGGCGAGAAGGGTTCGAGTTTGGCATACAATTTGATTAACTGAGCTTCAATTATAAAATGTGTGTAGTGGTTGCTTCATTACTATTAAGTTTAATACATGAAGAAAATCTGTGCCTTGAAAATTCCATCCTCATTTTTGCTCTAGTGGACTCCAGTACTTGATTCTTTAAGCCTGGAAGTATATGCATTTCCTTTGAATTGTCTAAAATGGAACCAAAGTTTATCTGGTCTTTAAAAATGTGGCAAGGAAATGCTATCCAGTTTTTCCAAAATAACACATAGAATCCAAGACAGAAGATTACATCATTGTTTCTTTACACCTTGGAAAACTATGCAGCCATAAAAAAGAATGAGATCCTGTCTTTTGCAGGAACATGGATGGAGCTGGAGGCCATTATCCTTAGCAAACTAATGCAGGAACAGAAAACCAAATACTGCATATTCTCACTTATAAGTGGGAGCTAAATGAGAACTTGTGGACACAAAGACAACAGACACTGGGGCCTACTTGAAGGTGGAGGGTAGGAGGAGTGAGAGGATCACAAAAAGTAACTAGTAGGTACTAGGCTTTGAACCTGGGTGAAAGAATAATTTGTATAATAAACACCTGCAATACAAGTTTACCTATATAACAAACCTACACGTGTAGGTTTGAGTTTGGCACTCAATCTCTCTGAGCCTTAGTTTAGGCTGAGGGAGGAGAATTGCTTGAACCCAGGAGGCGGACGTTGCAGTGAGCTGAGATTGTGCCACGGCACTCCAGCCTGGGTGACAGAGTGAGACTCCATCTCAAAAAAAAAAAAAAAAAAAAAAAAAAAAAAAAAAAGAAACAAAGAAAGAAAGAAAAGAAAAGAAAAGAAAAGAAGTAGACCTACATTTGGACCCCAGCCTTACTACTCAGTGGAATAACCTTAGATATGTTACTTGACATCTCTGAACTTCAGTTTCCTTATAAGTGGAATTAAAACCACCTGATTAGCACCCTTATCAGTAAAGTGGAATTAAAACCACCTGATTTGCAGTGCTATCCTTTCTTTTTAAATTTTTCACATATGAAGGCATTTATCAGTGCTTCATGAATGCTAGACACTCAACAATTACTATTCTCCCTCTACCTTGCTGTAAAGACATCTTTAAATTCATGGTTGGTGGCGATTGTGTCTTATACCAAACCTTTGGCATGACAATTTTTTCTACAGAACAAATATAATGGTGATAATAACTCATAATTATCAAGGGCTTACTATGTAACAAGGACTGTATTTCACATGTGCCTCACATAATTATTTTATTTATTCTCAACAATAACCATAGGAAGTTAGGAAGGTAATCTCCATTTTGCAGAAGAAAGACAGGCTCACAGAGTTCAATAAATTTGCCCAAGGTCATTCCTCAAGTACCCTACGGTTCACCTCGCTCCTTTGTTCACACCTTGAAACTCACTGGAGACTATGCTGAGTGCATTCCAAAAGTCAGTGAATTGAAAAAGAGTGGATCTTATGGAATATGAATTATATCTCGAATAAAGCTGTTGTTTAAATAATTCCTGGATTTGGAGTGATTAGGAAGTGAGTATAAAGGAAGAATTAGCTCTGATATTTTTCTCTCAGCATCAGACGTTATGGTGAGCCTGTTCTCTAATTTTTTTTTTTTTACATTTTTAAAGGAAAACTCTGCGTCAAACACCTATTCTCAAAACCAGACTATTCCCAATGTCTACTAAGAAAAATTGCTCTGGTTCTTAGGGTCAGACAGCCTGAAGAAGTTGTGTATGAAAAAGTGACATGCTCAGATATATACCAGTCTTACTAGGTCAAAGAATGAGACATTGAAACAACACAGACCCCAATAATTACCCTGAAACATTTTTTAAAGACTAATTATGGCCCAAGAGAAATCAAAAATTTATGAAGGATACTGAAATTATCTGGGAGAAACTTGAAAAAGCTGAAAGAGTCCAGAAATAATTCCAAAAATAAAATGTGAACATATTTTCTTCAAAATGCTCAGCATGCCTTGCATACTTTCCATTATTATTTCACCCTCTTCTTGCTCATTTTTGACTTAGAAAACTTTCTTTGGTATTGGAAAGATTGATGTATGTGATTAAAGATGGAATCATCAAAATACTTATACTTCTATATTACGGAGAATAAAGTTTGTTAGATTAAATGGAACTTCAGCATTATGATATAGAAAACAGCAACAAAAGCTGAAGAACTTGGGTCCTAGCTTAAAATACAAATGTGTGAAATTCAGGTCCTGTTTCATGTAATCTAGTCATTCCTTTAATTTCTGCCTGCAGACATTTACAGAACCAAGGAGCCATCATTATTACCTTCATCCATGCCATTAAGTAACTCGGTTAAATCTTCATTTTTGCTGTCAAACTGATGCTCCTTCCAAGTTTCACCATTTTCACTTCGAAGAACAATGAGTTCTCTCTCTTTTCCTCTCATGGACCCAAAGTGAGGGATTTCCACTATGACAGGGCTGGAAAAAAAATCCACATTATTTTGGTATCAAATTAAATATATTTATAGTATCATACTTAAAAAATGTTTCGTTAACAGTATTCATTTGAAAATCAGAGGTGCCACTAAGGTTGGGAATGATTTCAAAGCTGCAGAATCATTTGCTAATTAAAGAATATTTTCGAAGCCTGAAAACATGCCATCATTCATTCATTCACAAACAGTTCTTGGAGGACTACCATATGTTAGGCATAGGATTTAATGGGGGAAATTTTTCAGTACATATAAATAGGAATTTTGAATCAGAATGGAAACTTATTAAAGTAGACCATAAGAAAGTTGGTCCATTTTTAAAAGACACAATAGGTATATTATACAAATGCTAATGATTTAAAAGGACACAGTCATTTCTTTAAAAAAAAATTCTATAAAGTTCCTAGTTTGAAAGATGATTGCTATATTTTCTCCTTAGCAAGAAAACAATCAATATGTTAACGACTCCTCCAACAGGCAGATTCCATGCTTTTCATGGCCTGTACAGTTAAGACAATTCCTGTGTTTTTCAATTTGTGAAATGGTAGTAGGTAGCTTCCATTCCTGGCTCTAATATAACCTGCATAGGAATACTTACACTTTCTGTAAAAGTACTTGTTGGTTTGAAATTGTCACATAATGACACAGTAATTTTTGACAGTGTCCTTTTGCAAAGGAATGTAAAAGAATGGCTGCAAATTGAACATAGCCAATCAAGCCACGGGAAATAATTTTGTTAAATTTTAAAATAGGATAAATACTAAAAGAGATGAATGGAAGTAAGCAGACCACAATCACACACAGTTTATGTAGTTGGATTGTGCAGCTTTATTTTATGACATTTAAGTAGACAGTATCATTATTCTCCTACAGAGGTTGTATGGAACCCCATTTCTTAACCTATGTGTTTAGGTATATGTGATAACAGAAGATACAGGCTTAAGTAAGTAAGAGCAGAAAAAGGGATAGTAGTTGTAATGATCAAATAATATAAATAAAAACATGAATATCGATTTATTAGAAAAGCATTTGCTTCAAACGGGGATGATAAATATGGTCATTTTGCTTTTAGCAAAATCATAATTCATTCAAATTAAAGATTAAAAAATAATTTTTATAATGCCTTTATTCTTCAATAGGTAGAAACAAAATCAAGTGTTCTTAGCAGTATTAATAATTTCAAGATTAAGATATTTACCAGAGTTTTTAACTACACCTTATAATTAAACATTAAATTGTATTTATTTTTGAGAACAAGATACAATCTTTGCAGGTTAATATGTCAGATACTGTCTCTGTAAATATTTAAGGAATGTGGCTTTATGTATGATGTTCAATGATATTGGAGAGAAGGTATGAACAAGGGTCTTTGATCAAGGTGAAAGCCAAGCATAGCTTTTCATTAACAGGTTTCTTCATGCAGACTGCCAAGGCAAATACAACAATCAAACAGACAAGTGAACAAACAACAAATACCAATGCATTTCAGCTCAAACAAAACCAAACGAAACAATTTTATAACTTTAAAAGAATACTCTATCTGCTGCCTATTTAATTTTATTTAAATATCTTATTTTCCCAACACTTTTCAAAATCAGTTTACTTATTGATGACTTCTTCTCAAAGCCCATAAAAAATTACACAGTACTCATGTACTTTTAAAAGATCTAATTACACACACACACACATGCGCACGCGCACACACACACACAGGTGTACATACATGTAATTGATAGCAAATGTTGACTCAAAGCCTGCAAATACCTTCTCTTACACTGGGTTAAAGACTTTTGCTGTCTTAAAAAGTATCATATTCAGAAGAAACATTTCAAATAAAAGAAAGGTTTACAAAAGCACGAAGTTATGAAAGCAGAATGCTTGCAGTGAATTCCACATGCCTGAAAAGCACAAGATAGGTAGCGGTGCTACATTAAGTCAAGCCACTATGATTTTTTTTTCTTTCAGTGACACACATCAACTGAAAGCATTAAAAAAAACTTAAAAAATAAAAATAAACTTAAGACAAGAATCAGACCATGGGTGTGACAGAAAAAAATTGAAAATGGAAAAAAAAAAATTGTAGACATTCTGTATCTTGTCTATAAAGGTCCTACCCAATAAATTTTGTTCCTTGAGGCCCAAGCTGCAGGATTCGGCTAACCAAGCTCTCACCCTCATTTACAGGGGGAGGATTGGTAGGAAGATGCAGTTTACTGAATAACATCCATGCAGCAGAAAGAGAAACGAGAAGGGGAAATTGTGAACAAACTGTCAGTCACGACAGAGCCTGCCTGATTTGTACCCAAGTGCCACCTCAGAAAATGAATTAAATTCATTTTTCCTTTTTGTAAAATACCATATCACAATGAACTGTTTCCCAAAAAATTTTCTTTAAAAAGACATGTCCCCAAAGTAGCCATATATTCAATGCGGTAAAATAATTCCAGCATCTGTATTTTTTCCCTAGAATGGTGCCTTGACTTCTACAGGGACCACTGGGGTTCCGTGCACTTGCTGAGCAGAGAACATGCTTCTCGGTTAGTAAAAGCCTTGACTAGCAAACTGAGTTAAGAAAGTATCAGCCTATTAGCCTTTCACAGAATCACACAGCTTTGTGACCTTTGACACTTTACAAAAAGTATACTCAATCAGGTACAACTAAGCAGTTTTAAGAGTTATCTCCTTGAGTTAACAAGGGTAAAGAAAATCAAAGATGCATTGTGAGGGCCAAGGTTAAAATTGACAAAACAACTTACCCTAAAAATTGTGCCCCTGCAGGACCCATTTCTACCAGCCTACTGGCTAATCCCTCTCCTTCCACCATGGGGGGTGGGTTGGCCAGTTTATGTCTCTTTACCAAACGGCAGGTGATTCGAGTGGGGGCCGTACACTTGCGTGGAGGAATGATGATTCTCATCCCGTGATGACGGCTTCCTCTCATGGAGCCCCCTCTCGCGTCCACCATAAAGCTAACCAGAAACCTGAGGGGAGAAGATCAGAGGCCAATTCAAGGACGGAAATAAACTGTGCTCACAGCAAGTTTGGAAATTAAATGTTTAAGTTTATTTAAAGCGACAGACAATGTAGCTATCATTTCCTCTAAAGATAAATCAGAAGTCAATACAGTGGAGTCACATCAAACATGCATTTAACTTGTGCACTTTGCAAAAACTGAAACACAACTTGTTTTTGGTGGAACATGGCCCCCATAGAAAAGCCAACTACTTTACCAGGCTCAAATGGAAGGAATAAGGAAGGTTTCAAAACTGGAGTAAAATCGGTCTAGTAACAGGATTCTCATGCATTTAAAACAAAAAAACTGTGGTCTTTATATTCAAAGGTCATTTTAACTATAAGTGGTTTTTGCCATATGCTGCCATATGGTCTCTTACAAGTAAGATGAAACTCCACAGTATGTCTTGATATTTACGACTCATAAAATAAATGTATTTTTAATCATACCAACACTAATTTTTACTATGATGAAGCAGAATATAAGAATAAAAGCAGGAGATGACTAGATTTGCTACGGTGATTTTGATGGAAAGAGATTAAATGTTTTCAGTATAAATATGGGCTTAAAAGCTGTCTGAAATAACCTACATTTGAATATTTTATACAATGATTAAAAAAGTGGAACTTAGACTTTTAGAAAATGGCTCTAAATAACATAATTCTGTCATTGGCCTTTTATTAAAGCTAATAAGGAAAAAACTGTCTGCATGTATTAATAGGTATAGAACTATAAAGAAATTAACTGTTATTTTTGGGTAGAAGCATATTGGAATCACTGTCTTCTATCACATATGCATGGTCCCACTATCATCATCACAGAGTTATAACACAGTTATCGTTATCACAGAGTTATAAGTAAACATAAATCAATGAGTTCAATGTGTGGAAGAGTTAAGGTCAGACAGGGGAACACAAATATATCCCTGTATTCTAGTTTCCACGTATGAAAATACACAGATTACTACTAGCACAGTACAAAATGGTGATAATTAGAAAATTGTCGGAATTCTTAAAGTGTTTTTAGAAAAAAAAAGTCCCATCCATCAAAAATCTTTACTACTTTTTCCCCTAAAAACAATGCTAACATCCTGCAAACAGATTTTAAGACCTTGCATGGACTTCCTAGCTGGGGACCGTCTTCTGAAGAATGCTACCTCTTGACCTTGAAAGAGTGACCTTTTCAAGCAAACTGGCCTGTGATCCCCACAGGCAGAGGCAATGGGCTGGCGATCATTTTTCAGCCTATCAGATTCCTAGAACCAACTCTGCTCATCAGTAAGGTGGACTCGTCTTCATACCCTTTTGCTCATTTTGGATTTAACCATTTTACTCTGAATGAATTTATGTCTCTTACAACATTCTATCGATTTTGGGAGATTGGGACCACTACGATAATCAAGGTAAAAGGGGAAAACACTGACTCTCTCAAAAACAAAAAGAAAACAAAAATCACTCCTCCCTAGTCAAAGAAAAAGATACTTGTTCACTTGTACAAGTGTCGGGATGAATTGTTACCAATGCTAAAAGACATGAGGCTCACCTGAAATTGCTCTGGGCTGCCTACATTTTCTTAGACATACGTATATTTAACAACTACTTTTATTCAATAATGAAGGCAATATGGCAATATTATAAGACAAAAATCAAATCATTCCCTGCACTTCGTAGTTGTAACTACAAAAATCAATTTTTCATTAGGAATAATAGTAACAGAATGGATTTAAAACGATTCACGACAAACTCTGGGCTTGAAGATTCAGTTGTGTCAGTACACACATACACACATACACACACACTGGAATGTTTCCACTGAGAGGGGAATGTTTGCCCTGGCAACCGCTGAGTCTCAACAATATAGAGAGTAATTCTGATTGGGTCTGTCTTGTTCACTGATTGACCTGCAGAGCCAAGCACAATTCTAGCACAAAATAGGGACGTGATAAATGCTTACTGAATGAACCAATGAATAAAACTATTTTGCTTAGAAACTGTGTAGGTGAGACTCGGTTACTAATACTAATGGATTGATGGGTGGATAGATAGGTAGATAGCTGATTGGAGCTGAGTGGACTGAAGGTAGCGTACAGTTTATCAGATTAAAATAAAAATATCTCAGCTGTAAAGAATATCAGAACCAATGGAAAAAACACTAGTTAACATGATATTAACAACAAACTGGAAGAGTCTCTTTCTCTGTGTTCTGTATAGCACACAGTACATGGCTGGTGCTCACCAGCAACCATTTATTGTTCTGAGGTTCTCAACTTCATAGAGTCAACAGACTGAGGAAAAGTGGGACTATTCATTAAACAGGACATGGGTCCTATTATTTAATAACATTATAAAATATAGTGATTTGTTTTACAAACTCATGTCTTACATATTGTGTGAAAAAGTCATGCAACATAACTTATAGAACAAATTAAAAAGGTGATATATAATAATATTTGTATCATTAATATTTAAACTATAGCACAAATTCTACAAATGATCCTAAAACTAATACATGAATGTTTCTAGTTTTAGGAACAGCAGGATGACAAATGCTGATATACTACAGACATTGACACGATCTAACTATGGCAAAAATTCACATAAATTAAAAATACAAAAAGGATGGTTCACATAAAGGACACAGTTATCACCTTGAATCATACTGAGGAAGTGGAGAAGAATAGCTGCAAAATAATTTAGAAAGCAAATGGGAAGAATTAATGTAATATAATTAGAAGCAAGCAACAGAAAATGTCAATGACAAGCAAAGGAAAAATAAAAACCATCAGAAAATGAAACCAGGGCATCTGGCATTTGTGGGACAACCTAGAAAAATATCTGCCTTATGTAGCTGCATAAACTGCAAGGACCTGGCATCAGTGAAATATTTCTAAGTGCACACCAGGTCTATATTTTCCTTTTCAAATAAGCCCACACCTGCTGCCATTACTTTTGCTTTCCTGCACATGTCTATTGTCTCTCTTGTCTTCAATAACATTCAAGGTGAAGGGGAGATAACTTGCATACTCAAATACTTCATTGTTTTTAATGTATGGGAAAGTTCATTTCTGATTTTGTTATCATGTTTCTTCAACTTCTCAGTTTACTAAATTAAGCCCTAGTACCTTGTCTTTGATTTGTAGAGAATACAAAGTGATGGTTTCAGGTCTTTGAAATATGGCGGCAATTCATCAAGCGTGATTCAAAAAACTCTTCAACATCTTTGCTCCCTGAATGTATCCCAGATGTTATATAGTTTCCTTCTTGAATCTGATTTTTTCTTTTGCTTTTCCAATATTAGACCCATATGCATTGAATATAAATTATATAAATATTTTTAGCAGTTTAAAATTATAATAATTCAAGGTTTCTCTAATTGAGTTAAAGAAATGCAATGTTACTAACTCAAAAGCCACCATAAAGTTTATAATTTATGAAACACTTTCATGTCAATTATTCCCATTTGAACGATATTGTTCTGTTTCTCAGAATTGTAGTATTACAAAGCCAAAATCTATAACGGTATTTTAACCTGAAGCATTCCTCTGAGTCTGATTTTTTATTTGTAAAATGAGGATAATGAGTAATACGTATCTCACAGTATCATTATAAGGTTCAAGTAAATATAAATGAGACAATACATGTAAAAGATTTAGCACAATGCCAGGTACACGACAAGAAGTAAGTAAACGTTAGCTATTACAATTTATTTTAATTAGGAGCAGCAGCAAATACTTCATATAATATATGAAGCACTTCACAAAAGTTAATTGTTGTTAATTTATTTAATTCCAAAATAATCTGCCCTTGTCCTTGATCACAATTAACTTATGGCCTAAATGCCAATTTCAAAGGCAAAAACACCTTGAGATATTCATCATTTTAATGAATTATTTTGATTCTACTTATATGGATGTCAATTATCCCAAATTTGAATTACCCAAAGATGAAGAATCCAGTATCTAAAGATACACTAATTTATTAATTCAGTAATTGAAGCAGGTCCCCTTTTAGCCTCCTGCCTCGAATTCCATTGACCAGGGAGGCAGGATGAGGAGGCTACTCGGTGTGGTTTTTAACCACAGCACTTCCAGTGTAGACACTGGTATGTTTTTTTTTTAAGTAAATATCTTTATTCTTTTTATTCATTTTTTAAAATTACAATTTAATACAACTTAATTGTAATTTTACTTCAGAAATGCAGAGGCACCAACTCGAAAGTTCAAATTTATATATTCTTTTAAAAGGAAAATCACACAAATCATTTATCAAATCAAAGACCTGTATCATATGAGAAAAAAATGACAATACCAGAGCTTACTGCTCATTTAAAAACTAAATATTTGCTAGGTGTGGCGGCTCATGCCTGTAATCCCAGCAGTTTGGGAGGCAAAGGCGGGCAGATTGCTTAAGCTCAGGAGTTTGAGAACAGCCTAGGCAACATGGCGAGACTTCATCTCTATGAAAAAATACAAAAATTATCCGAGCATGGTGGTGCACACCTGTGGTCCCAGGTGCTCAAGAAACTGAGGTGGGAGAATGGCTTGGGCCCAGGAGGTAGAGGTTTCAGTAAGCTAAGACTGCACCACTGCACTCCAGCCTGGCTGACAGAGCCAGACCCAGTCAAAAACAAAAAACAAAAACAACTACTAAATATTTGAGAGAAATTCTTCTATTATTAAGGGAAGCACAAAAGTCAGTTAAGGTAAATTAACAGGCATACTTACATATTTAATTTTCTATTGGAAAGAAAAATCAGATACCTAGAAAAACTTCATTTGAATAGAAAAGTAAAACGGAGAAAAATCATTATGTTTCAAATTTTAAAAAACTTAAAAAGGAAATTTTCTGAAAAGGAAAATTAAAGACCTAGAAGATTAGAACAGCCAGGAAAGTTTGTTGTACTAGTAATTTCATTATTTTTCTAACAAAATTAAATTTTTCTCAAAAAAAAAACTCATACAGAATTACTTAGAAAAAAACAATGATTTACAAATACATCTCACATATACTAATGAATATACATTTCATACATGAATGTATTCATATATATGAAGCTTGTTGATGTGAATTTATAACTCTAAGTAATAAATGCACTGTTCATGTAGTAGGATAATGAAAAGTGACATTTAGGTTACTTACCCAGAATGAATGGGGCTTGAAACAAGATTGACATTGTCTAAGGTGTCTGCAGCCCAGCTGTAATGTCTAAGAGAATCTGAATCAAATTCCCTTGTGAATGTTAGATGCTGAAAAATAAAATGGTAAATTAAATTACATCAACAAACCATACAAGACTGATTTCTCTACACATATAAAATATATTTGTATTCCTCTAATTCCAGATAGACTTACATTCAACATAAATAATTTTTAAATTCTCCTCTATAGAAATACATTGAAATCTGAGTGTAATGTTAGAAAACAAAGTCTATTGATGTATTGTTTTATTTCAATCTTTTAAGAAAGCTCCCTGGGTAACTGACATGGCAAAGAAATATCACATAACTAACTCCAACTATGATTTTAAGCACATGTCACATTTTCAACATGTCTTCAAATTAATCCTATAACAACTGTAATTTTTTTTCCCAATTCTCAAAATAAAAAATGAAAAATTCAATCTTGATGACTTCTGGTTCCAAGTGGGGCGGAGTAGCTAGTAGCAGCCTAGTGCTTCTTCCAAGTAAGCCAGATAAAATACAGCAATTGTATCTGAATGCAGCAGAGGGCGGTTGAAGCATCGAGAACTAAAAGAACTACCAAACTCTGGGAGGGTGAACATCTTCAGGAGTTGAGTTGACTTTCTGTTGCCCATTTTTAACTTACAGGCTTTTGTCAGTTACCAGTGCAAACAGATTTGTACTTTTAACCTACAGGGGTCACTGTTGTTGAACAGAAAAGCCAGGAGAGTTTTGGTGGAGATTTGGGTGGCCTCAAGCATGCTACAGTTTCCTGCTAAGAACATTTGCTGAATTCCGAAGCTGTGCAGAACAGGAAGCTCAAAACCTAACCAGAAATATCTCTGAAGAGCATAATGGAGATTTTTGGCAGTAATGAGAAAATGACTTAAAAGTTTAGAACTTATAATGGGAAGAGATTTGAAGATCATACAACGATTTTAAATAAGGATGCTGGTGTGCTGGGGGGAAACCAGAGGTAGTGTGAGCTTTCACCAGGGCTGCAGACCAGCCTCATTTCAGCAAAATCTTAATTGAATTAAAATTTACTATTCTATTTGCCTAGCAGAGGGAGGGCAAACATTCTGTGAAGGAATATATCACCATCGGGTGTGTCCACAATTTTTTATACACCATGTCTAGCATAAAGTGAAAAATTGCCAAGCATGGTCAGAGTGTGTGGATAAAACCAGAAAAATGAAATAAAACCAAACCAAGCTAGAGAGACACTATAAATAGACTCCCAGGCCATCCCGATTCTGAGGTAAGCTAATAAGTGCTTTATAATAACTATGATTAGTATGTTTACAAAAACACAGGGAAAGATAGAGAAAATAAATTAAATGGGATAGAATGCTAGAATATACATAAGAAGGAATCAAATGGGCATTGGTTCAGTGCTAAATACAATGTCAGTTCTTTACTTAGACACAATATAAAAGAGGGTTAAGTTAGAGCCCTAAATGGAAAAATATACAAAATGAAGGATAGGTTAAAAAAAAGAAAGAAAACAGTACAAGATGTGGAACATTGAGAGATTTTAACATAGGTGTAAATTGGACCCTTAGAAATAGAAGAGAAGAAGAGAATAAAGTAGAAGCTGTATTTGAAAAGATAATGGCTATGAATGTGCCAATGTGATAAAAGGTATTAGCCCACAGATCCCCCACAATCTGCTGCCTACTGAAACCTCAGTGAAATGACAGTCACATAGTTAAAAATACAGACACAGAAAGGACAGAGAGAATAAGAGAAAACACATCAGCAGAAAAACAGAAGGATTGGCTAGAATTCTCTTTAAAAAGTGATTTGACCTTCATAATCCCCTCAGTTGTCAAATAATGATCCCCTGCCATCACTACCACCAACCCTAGCAGAAGACTACAGGCAGGAGACTAGAAGGCTAGAGGCACCATATTGAAAATGGGGATTGTACACTGAATATTCAGAATCGCACCCTTCCTTTACTGGTCTCCCAGACACAGCTGGGGACAGAGTTCTAGGCAAAAAATGGGAAGTCTCTGAGGATTCTGACCTGCCCATTGGAATTTCCCAGTGAAATGTTCTGGCTTATTACTTCAGTGGAAATCATGGATAACAACCTCTACACCATACAGAGAGCTTCCAATGAGCTTATTAATGAGTAGACAGCTGACCGTCACTAGACTGCTGAAAAAAGCATCCAGTATAAAAACAAAACAAACAAGCAAACAGAAGGAAAGCAAATTGCAGGAAACAGGCTTTTCAGGGAGAAGAAAACTTAAAATTATTCATTAATATCTAGAGAGAGATGAGATATTTTTACACCTATGAAACAATAGACTACTTATTAAAAAAAAAAGAAACATTTAGGGAAAAATAACTCTTAGAAGTAACAAATATATTGAAAAAAACCTTAGAAAGTATAGAGAAATTTTTAACTCTAGAAAATAGGAGAGAAAATACAAGAAAGCAAAAGATAAGTTCAGGAGGTTCAAATCCTCCCCTCAGTCTAAAAAAAAAGAAGTCCTAGAAAGAAAAAAAATTGTGAACAAAGGAAAATAAATCAAGGAAACAATTTAAGAAACTTTTCCAGAGCCAAAGACAGAGGTTGCCAGCGTAAAATGACCCAGTGAGTGACCAACACTATGAATACAGAACCCATTATGGTACATCATCGTAACATTTCAGAATTCGGAGACAAAGACAGGGTCTATAAACATGGAGAGAAAAAATGGTCACAGATGGAGGGTCTGTGTCAGACTTTTAACAGCAAAACGTGAAGGTAAAAGGCAATAGAGCAATTCCTTTAACATGCTGACAGGAAATGACTTCAAGTCAGAATTCTATAACCAGCTAAATTAAAAACAAGTATAAACTAGACAGATATTTTCAGATATATAACACCTTAAAAAACATATTTCTCATGCACTCTCTGAGGAAACTAATGGAAGATGTACTCCACCAAAGTGAAGGACTGACCCAAGAAAAGGGAGGGCATGGACTCCAACACAAGAGAAAACAAAGGGAATTTTCATGGTTATGATGAAGGAAGACCCAAGAGCACATCTGTGTGCAGTGGACCTACAAGGAATATGACAAGTAAGAAAGCTCTAAGCGAGATGAGGTAAGTAGACGAGACACATAGATCACCTAATGAATGTGAACACATTGAGAGATTTGTACAACTGGGGGAGAGTTTTGGGGTTGGACTATTGATATGCACAGAGGACATCAAGCAAGTGAAAAAACTCCAGGGAAAATAAAATATTGTGCTGGAAAGAAAAAGCAATCAGGTCAGGCACGGTGGCTCATGACTAATCCCAGCACTTTGGGAGGCTGAGGCAGGTAGATCACTTGAGGTCAGGAGTTTGAGACCAGCCTGGCCAACATGGTGAAACCCCTTCTCTACTAAAAATACAAAAAATTAGCTGGGCGTGGTGGCACGTACCTGTAATCCCAGTTGGGAGGCTGAGGCAGGAGAATCGCCTGAACCCGGGAGGCGGAGGTTGCAGTGAGCCGAGATTGCGCCACTGCACTCCAGCCTGGGTGACAGAGCAAGACTCCGTCTCAAAAAAAAGAAAGAAAAAGCAATCATAATATAAGCCACATATGTGAGTAACATTTACACAGGCATAACAAGATAAGCATCAAATACAGATATAAGCAAAATAAATTACAACTGTTTGCGGAAATGGGAGGATACGAAGTGTGCATAGGGAGGAAAAGTGTGGAAAAAAAAGCTTCATCTTTCATTTGGGGAAGTCAATAAATAATTCCTGAAATGGAGAAAAATCAACAAGAACAATATACATGCAGTATTTAGAGATATCCAAGCACATCATACGAGTTATCAAAAATTATTCCAAGCACTCGTCTCTGGAAAGCAGAACTTGGGGACTGAAGGTGTATATGGGGATTATGTTTTTTCCTAACAAGTGTGTCTTGTAGAATGATGTGGCTTTTTATTTAATTGCATAACTTTGGTAATAATAAAATCTAAATTTAAAAACTTACTCTGAATTACACAGATTTTTAAAAAATAGCCCTGAAGTCAAATTGAAAAATAAATTTGTAGAGCAATTACATGCAAGTCACTATCTCACCCACATCCTAGGAAAATGCAAACATGAATGAGGAACAGCTTTATCTGCATTTAATGAGCGAGGACACATCTAGTGAATGGGTGTGCAATTAAGCTTCTAATAAGAATCTACGGAACCAAGATTCTAACCCGTCAAAAGCAATAAACCATTTAGGAAAGTTCCCAAATTCTATATGGATTAACCAAATATGAGGTGTTGGTTTCAGTCTGGCCTCATTTAACAACAACTTATACTGACTTTTGGAGACCCAAACCAACAAACCTTCAGAGTAGGGCAAAACACTTAATACAAAGTAGTGATGTTCCTTTAATTTTTTTGGCATGAGTGGAGTGGAGGGCAAGCTACAGTTCCTACACTGGGGAGCCTAAGGTTATTTTTCACAAAGGTTCATTTTTTTAAAAAAAGTTCTCATAAATAAATAATATCATTCCTCTTTGGTAATTACAGTAAATTATTTACCTTTGGTACTCTTAGAAACATGCACTGGTGCCATTAATTATTGAAACAATGAATTATGTCTCACAAAAAGGTATCACTGCAATCATGTAATATTTATCAAAGCCAGAGTGTGCCAGGACATGGATTCCACATCCCTCTGAGTCCTTTCTTAACTTCTTTAGTCTTGCAACTCTGCCACTCATTGAAGCTTTGTTGTAACACGAACAAATCTCATACTTGATCAAAACAATGAGCTATATATTATTTTGAGCTATATGTCCCAATATTTGTCCCAGATAGTAACACTTAAACATGTTTTTAGGTACCTTAGTGCTTTCTCTTCTGAGTTTTGTGGTTTCCTCAGGTTTATGAGCAGACGTAACTCAATTTTAATAACCTAAATACAGGGAAACAAAATACTCTTCCTATGGCGCATCCATCTAAATATAAAATGAAGCAATTCAATGGAACCTACGGTTTTATACATAGATACTGAATTGGTATTTCATTTCCATGCTACCTGTCTGCGAAGACTTACTCCTACAGATTAGAATCTACTTAAAACCGAAATATAAAATTTCAACTATTCACTTATGTTTGTTCTGACATGTTACTGTGCATAGCACCACAGTACTAACAAAAAAACTTTGCCTCTATTTAATTACTGAACAAATACACATTTAAAATGATTAACAGGGCCAGGTGCGGTGGTGGCTCATGCCTATAATCCCAACACTTTGGGAGGCTGAGGTGGGTGGATCACTTCAGGTCAGGAGTTCAAGATCAGCCTGGCCAATATGGTGAAACCCCATATCTATTAAAAATTCAAAAAGAAAACTAGACGGGTGTGGTGGCATGCACCTGTAATCCCATCTAATCGGGAGGCTGAGACAGGAGAATCGCTTGAACCCGGGGTACAGAAGTCGCAGTGAGCCGAGATCGTGCCGTTGCACTCTATCCTGGGCGAAAGAGCAAGACTTCATCTCAAAAAAATAATAAATAAATAAAAAGAAATAAAATGATTAACAGAGATTCCATGTTCATGGATTGGGGGAATCAATAGTGTTAAATATTGTTAAATATTTAACAGTATGTCCATACTGCCCAAAGTAATCAAAGGATTCAATGCAATCTCTATCAAAATAATGATATTCTTCACAGAAATTTAAAAAAAAATCCTAAAATGTATGTGGAACTACAAAAGACTCAGAACAGCCAAAGCTATCCTAAGTAAAAAGAACAAAACTGGAAGAATCACATTATCTGACTTTAAATTATACTACAGAGATATAATCACCAAAACGGCATGGTGCTGGGAAAAAATCAGGCACATAGATCAGTGGAACACAATATAGAACCCAGAGATAAATCCATACATCTACAGTGAACTGATTTTTGACAAAGGTGCTAAGAACGTACATTGGAGGAATAATAGTCTCTTCAATAAATGATGCTGGGAAAATCAGATAGCCATATGCAAAAGAATGAAACTAGGCCCCTATCTCTCGCCATATACAAAAATCAAATCAAAATGAATTAAAGACTTAAATCTAAGACCTCAAACTATGAAACTACTAAAAAAAAATACATTAGGGAAACTCTCCGGGACATTGAACTGTGCAAAAATTTCTTGAGTAATACCCCACAAGCACAGGCAACCAAGGCAAAAATAGACAACTGGGATCACATCAAGTTGAAAAGCTTCCGCACAGCAAAAGAAACAATCAGCAAAGTGAAGAGACAACCCACAGAATGGGAGAATGTATTGACAAACTCTCCATCTGACAAGGGATTAATAACCGGAATATATAATGAGCTCAAACAACTCTCTAAGGAAAAAAAAAATCTAATAATCCAACTAAAAATAGGCAAAAGAACTGAATAGACATTTCTCAAAAGAAGACATACAAATGGCAAACCGGTATGTGAAAAAGTCCTCAACATCACTGATCATCAGAGAAATTTAAATCCAAACCAGAATGAGATATCATCTCACCTTAGTTAAAATAGCTTTTATCCAGAAGTTAGGCAATAACAAATTCTAACCAGGATTTGGAGAAAAGGGAACCCTCTTACACTGTTGGTGGGAATGTAACCACCACAGAGAGCAGTCTGGAGGTTCCTCGAAAAACTGAAAATAGAGCTACCATGCTATCCAGCAAGCCCACTGCTAGGTATATACCCAAAAGAAAAGAAGTATATCAAAGAGACATCTGCACGCCCATGTTTATTGCAGCACTATTCACAATAGCCAAGATTTGGAAGCAACCTAAGTGTCCATCAACAGATGAATAGAAATAGAAAATACATACACAATGGAGTATGTACACGCAACGGAGTACTGTTCAGCCATAAAAAAGAATGAGAGCCTGTCATTTGCAACAACATGGATGGAACTGGAGGTAATTATGTTAGCTAAAATAAGCTGGGCACAGAAAGACAAATTTCTCATGTTCTCACTGATTTGTGAAAGCTAAAAATTAAAATAATTGAGTTCATGGAGATCGAAAGTAGAAAAATTGTTACCAGAGGCTGGGAAGGGTAGTGAGGGAGTGCAGGGGGTGGAGGGTAGTGGGAATGGTTAAAATGCACCAAAAAAAAAAAAAAAAAGGAAGAATGAATAAAGGCAGGGTGCATGGCACATGTCTGTAATCCCAGCACTTTGGGAGGTCAAAGTGGGCAGATGACTTGAGCTCAGGAGTTTAAGACCAGCCTGGGCAACATGGCAAAATTCCATCTCTATAAAAATTGCAAAAAAGAGCCAAGCGTGGTGGTGTGTGCCTGTAGTCCCAGCTACTTGGAAGGCTGAGGAGGGAGGATGGCTTGAGCTGGGAGGTGGAGGTTGCAGTGAGCCAAGGTAGTGCTACTGCACTCCAGTCTAGGTGAGAGGGCCAGACCCTTTCTCAAAAAAAAAAAAAAAAGTATAAGACCCTAGTATTTGGTAGTACAACAGAGTGACTACAGTCAAAAGTAATTTAATTGTACATTGTAAAATAACTAAAAGTACATAATTGGATTGTTTGTAGCACAAAGGACAAATGCTTGAGGTGATAGATACCCCATTTGCCATGATGTGATTGTGCACTGCATGCCTGTATAAAAATATCTCATGTCACCCATAAATATATATGCCTACTATGTATTCACAAAAATTTTAAAATAAAAATGATAAACAGGATACCACATATGATGATGGTTAAAGATGAACTAGACCTGACTTTTAAGTTTTCTCAGCAAGGAGGGGTGTTGCCTGGGCTCAATGGAAAAGCTTGGCTTTGAAGTTGAGTCACAGACTTAGATTTGGAAATTGCCTTTGCCACTTGTTAATGAAAACACTTCTTTCCCACTCCCGATTTTTCCAGTTTGAAAAGACAACCCAGTTGTGTAACTATGGGCCTCTCCCTACCCCTTTATATTCATTTTAGCCCTGGAAATTAAAGTGATGTATCTGAATGATAGATTTGGGAAAGGTAGCCAGGAAGGTTCTGCTCAGATCCAGTTTTCAATCTATGGGCACAGAGAGTGAGCAGTCTCCTCTTCTCTCCAAAGCCTACTTCTGCAAAGAGTGTGCCTGGCCTGGGCCAGCACCACAGTCATTGGGTAGGGGAGTGTGCCTATCTCAGGGATTCAGTTAGCAGGCCCACGTGGCTCAGACACTAAGCCAGTCCTCGCCTGGCCTCCATCAGGAATAAAGGAGATATTTTGTCATTGACCTTTCCTTATCTTTACTTATTGAAAGCTCCTTCAGAGATGCCCCAGCATCACCTGCTGGTTTTGTGATCATTAGCAGATTACTCAACTTTTTTCAGTCTTAGTTTCTGCATTTTCAAACTGGGGATGGTTGATATGGAGATAAAAGAAAACATATACGTCAAAGTCTGGCACCAATGCAGTGCTGGTGTTGGCATGGAATTATCATAATGTCTCCTTATATGTGTAAAGCCTTCTATACTTTTCAAAAGACTTTCACTTATATTAGCTCATTTGTCACAATCTGATCATTTATGGTGGAAAACAGCAAAAATAAAAATATTCCAGTCCCAGCACTGGGGCATTATAGTAATACACATAGGATGCTTTTATCAAACCAATGGAGGCCATTCAAGAATGCATCTTATCAATGCCTAGGTCTTATTATTGACTCAAAATATTTACATTCCTTTGTTAACAGCACTACCACAACTTACTGTGCATCAGTTCAATGGTAAGGACTGACCTAGGCCCATACATTCATTTTTTGTTTGAGTTGTCAGAACCTATTAGCCCTGAGAGTAATGGAGCCATTTGACAGATGAGGAAAATGAGGTTTAGAAAGACTTCAAAAACTAGGCAATACGAAGTCAACACCTAGCACTGGGTGGCTTTAATAGAACACTATGTTAAAGAAAAATTCACACGGAATTTTTAATAATTTTTATTCCCATGTCAAAGATAATATGAATAAGCACATTACTTTTCATTTTGGAAGTGATGTCAAGGATTATTCAACTGAAAATGCACATTATTTAATGGAGTCCAAAGCCTGACTAATGATGATATCACCGTCTCCAAGAGCTTAATACTTTCCAAAAATAGTTTCTCACTAGTCCTATTCATCAGAGCAAAGAGGAGAACAAGTACACACTGGCCTTACAAACAAGGACACACCCAAATGCCCAGGTCTGGAAATAATTGTCCAGGCAGGGAAGGAAAGAGGCAGGGTCAAGAAAGTGTTTGCAAGAGAGAGAGAAAAAAAGGAGAAATCCAATTAACTCCAATATTAGTAATTCTCTACGTTGCTGACTGTCAACCTCCAGTGTTAGATGACATGAGTTAAGGTCCAGAACTAACCCTGCAAGTTTCCTTATCTAACAGCTCTACCATCTATGGGTGAAGGTGGTCTTGCAAATTAACTGGTAGCCTTGACAGGCTAATGTTAACAGCAACCAGGAAATCTCCCAATAACAGGTCACATGCAACACTCAGTGCAACAATTCTGGGAGATTGTAAATACAATTTAGTTTAGTAACAGTTGGATGATACAATCAGACTAGGAGCCACAGAAAGTAAAGGGCTATCAGGGATAACTTCACTCTACGGCCACAACTTGGACAGGGCCAAGGCAGAGGAAGTCATGTGGGTGTCAGTTCCCCACACGAAGAATAAGATGACTTGGGTTTGAATCAGGCTCTGTCACTCCATAGCCCAGTGACTGGCAAGTCAAAAAACTCACTGAATCTCCATTTCTGCATTAGGGTGACAGGTAGAAAATATTAATTGCCCTGATTCACTGTGAGAATGGAATGACCCAAGTAATGTGAAAGTGGCTTGAAAACTCTAAATTACCATGCAAACAAAAACACAGATGATGCTAATCTCATACCCCTAGATATTTATTTATTTTATTTTTTGAGACAGAGTCTCACTCTGTCGCCTAGGCTCAAGTGCAGTGGCGCTATCTGTGCTGGCTCACTGAAACCTCTGCCTCCTGGGTTCAAGCAATTCTCCTGCCTCAGCCTCCCCAGTAGCTGGGATTACAGGCATGTGCCACCACGCCCAGCTGATTTTATTTTATTTTTTTTTGTATTTTTAGTAGAGATGGGGTTTCACCATGTTGGCCAGGCAGGTCTCGAACTCCTGGCTTAACTGATCTACCCACCTTGGCCTCCCAAAGTGCTGGGATTACAGGAATGAGCCACTGTGCCCAGCCTACCTCTAGATTTTTAATAATTGAAGATAATTTATTTCTTATATTTCTATAATGTTGCATCCCTCTATGTAGATATTTAGGATAGCATATCCTTTTCACATCACAGGGAGAAGTCAGAGCTGCCTGCTGGATTAACAGAAATAATAGTGGTGTTTTTGCTTTGCAAAATACTTGTCTACGCATCGATTCTTCCCATGGCTAACATGCTTTACTCAGATCTGCTATGCTTTGCTTATTAGAGTGGCACTATTGCCTAGTGGCCAGCAGGAGAATGGGTTTAAGCACCCATCAGGTTTACAGTCCATTCTCAGCTCTACCGCCTAATAGCTGTGGACAAGCTATTTAACTGGACAAGCTAAACACTCCTCACAGCCCTAGTCTCCTCGTCTGTAAAGTGGTAATCATAATACCCCTTCCATTAGGTAGCCAAAAGCACGAAATGAGATGATGCATTTAATAAAATATTGTGGCAGGTAGTGTATTAAGTATTATAATTATTGTGACGTGCAGTGGATATTGAGTGAAATGGCAAACCGCGACCCAAATAGATAGTAGTAGGTTTAAACATCCAGCACTACTACATGGAAACACTTTTAAGAAATGGATTCCATAAAAGGAAACCTGACACAAGTAGTAAAATAAAATAAAAATTAAAGGCCTACTATAATAGAAAAAGCAGGTCTTTTTTCCCTTACGGTATTTATTTTCTTGAAGTCAACTATTATTACTCTTAAGACTTATTTTGAGAATAGCATATAAAGAAATTTCGTTCATTAAATTTCCGAATTGGATTGATTTCAAGACAATCTGGTTATGAACTCGAACAAAAGAAGGTGAATCAAGGTCAGAGTGGAAGCTGAGCGTGTCAACACCCAGCTTGAGACATCAAAACTAACTGCACTACCTTAAGGAAGTCACAATACCAACTTCTCTGCCTTAAAACAAAAAATCTGTAATCTTGCTGACCAATTGTTGAGAGGTGTTGAATGCATCACCTGAATAATGCTGGCAAAGCACATTGAAGAGAGAAAGCAGCATATTAAATGTCACCAGTCAAAGATGCCTATCTTCTAGGGGGACTATCTCTAGCAAATCTTTAATCTGAGGCTGGCTACCTTCTGCCACCATGCACGTTTCTGAGCACCCCCCTTAGAAATTAGCTTATGTGAAAGAAATAGCAAGGTTAATCTGCCGACGGGTGTGGGAGATGGGGGTGGGAGTGTGGGTGGAATAGGGTTGAGAGGTAGAGGAGGAAAATCTGACTGTTAGCATAGGCAGTCTTTTGGGTTAGGTATTCTTCTCCCTTCCTATTACTGAGGTAATTGAAAATGCTTGGATCTTGAAAATACGAGCAGGAAGTTTCTTCTGAAGAATGCTCCAATTTTCACACTACTTGCTAACATATCAAATTGTACATTACACATTATATGACTAAATGTATATGAAATCATCCTTAGCCTCAAAAAAGACCAAGTCCAATCCAAAGGAACCAGAATCCTTGGCTGTGAAATAAATGAGAAGAGTTATGGGGTGGAAGATGTGACAGCAGCCTTCCTGTACATGATGGCTATAATGAGGCCTCCAATATCACTTACAGAATTTTCTCCACAGTCAGCATTCAAACAGCCAGTGCAACTGTTGACATCATAGTCTAGTTAAGTCTTCTAAACCAGTCACTATTGAAGGCCTGCCACTAGTCCCCTCAGGAACAAACCATGTAGGCAAATCTGGTCTGAAAAGGAAGTCTTCAAAAGAAAGAAATCTACTCAGAGAGAGAACAGGGCCAAACAGCTGTCCCATTCCTCTCTTTTCACAGATGCACTGCCCCTAAGTCAACAGAACTACAAGGAAATGGAAGGTGTTCATTTTAGAGTGATCAATTGGCAAGGGGCTCCTTTCTAAAGTTTTTGTTTAGAAATACCCAAGTTTATCCAGGTGTGGTGGCTCACGCCTGTAATCTCAGCACTTTGGGAGGCAGAGGCGGGTGGATCACATGAGGCCAGGAGTTTGAGACCAACCTGGCCAGTATGGTGAAACTCCATCTCTACTAAAAATACAAAAAAATTAGCGAGGTGTGGTGGTGCATGGTTGTAATCCTAGCTACTGGGGAGGCTGAGGCATGAAAACTGCTTGAATCCGGGAGGTAGAGGTTGCAGTGAGCTGAGGTCATGCCACTGCACTCCAGCCTGGGTGACAGAGTGAGACTCCGTCTCAAAAAAAAAAAAAGAAAAGAAAAAAGAAATCCCCAACTTTATAGCATTCTCTTAAATCATAGTTCCTCATTTTCTCTTTTGTTAATATTGGATTTACTTATTTCTAGAGAGAAAGCATAAAATAATAGAATCTCAAGGTTGAATGGCACTTTAAGATGCTAGACGTTTTATGTTCCCATTGATATGTGGTTGTTCCTACCAGGTTTCATTACCACCAATAGCAACCACATTAGTAATGACAGAAAACCAAACTGAACTGGTTTAAGATACTCCCTTTCCAGGGATGGGGGAAGACTGAAATTAAATTGCTGGTTTATATGGCAAGAAAATCTGTATGGTGCTAACTTCAAGGTCGGTTGAATCCAGCTCAAATGATGGTAGGAATCATTGGTCTTCACATTCTACTCCCAGCAGCTTTGGACGTATGTCATCTTTATAGCTTAGGAACCCCAGTAGAGTTTCTCTTTCCCAAAAGGTTAGACAAAGTCTCAAATTTGAGTCTCACTAGATGGGCTCAGATTTCACTTTTTATCCTAAAGTAATTGCTGTAATCCAGGAGATAGGAATGCTCTGAACGGCCAGAATTGGGTCTCACTGTTGCAGAACAGGAGGGACTTATGCCCCTTCTAAACAACATTAGCTGAGAAATGGGTGGGGTTAGGGATTCGACCATCAGATCCAGGCACTGCCACGGAAATGGGTATATGTGGAAAGCCAAATGGGTGTATGCAGGCAAAACCAACCGACATCGATAAGTGACTTATGCTTTTCTCCCATCTTTGAATGACTCTATAAAAAATCATACTGAATTACATGTTTCTGCCTACAGTATATACATACCTTTTAGTCTTACAACTAATTCTGGTGTCATTTAAAGGAAGATAAACTAATTGGTTAGCCTGCTAAATATTTGTAAACTGATGTCATGCCTTCTACCTTTTATCTGTCTGAAGGTCAAATAGTTCCATTCCTGTAATGATGCCTTCCATGCCATAATTTTTAGTTTTTCATACTTTTTTTTTTTTTTTGGAGACAGAGTCTCGCTCTGTCTCCCAGGCTGGAGTGCAGTGGTGCGATCTCGGCTCACTGCAACCTCCACCTACTGGTTCAAGCGATTTTCCTGCTTCAGCCTCCCAAGTAGCTGGGATTACAGGAACGTGCCACCATGCCCGGCTAATTTTTTGTAGTTTTAGTACAGACGGGGTTTCACCGTGTTAGCCAGGATGGTCTCGATCTCCTTACCTCGTGATCTGCCCACCTTGGCCTCCCAAAGTGCTGGAATTACAGATGTGAGCCACCGCGCCCGGCCAGTTCTTCATACTTTTTATAATTGTTACTGAATATGTCAGTTCTTTTTAAAGCACATTGAATAAATAAAAGACTTTATTAGGATTAGAAATAAACGTTAACAAAGAACACTGTCTAAATATAATCTTTCATGCTAAAAAATACATCACGATGGTGGTTCTGTGGCCCAACCAAGAATACTAGCAAGTATAAAATCCTGGAGGAGAGACTATAAATTACGTGGACTCCTCAAGGGCCTTTTTCTTGCACTGAGCAATGCAGATGTAGAGTGTTCAGGATAAAATGAGGCAATCTGGAGCCAGATGGCCAGTGACTCTGCCACTTACAAGCTGTGTCCCCGGGGGTGAGTTACTCATGCTCTCTGTGCCTCAGTTTCTTCATTTTTTTTCTTTTTTTTTTTTTGAGATAGGGTCTCACTATCTTGCCCAGACTGGAGTGCAGTGGCGCAATCTCAGCTCACCGCAACCTCTGCCTCCCAGGCTCAAGAGATTCTCCTGCCTCAGCCTCCCGAGTAGCTGGGATTACAGGCGTGCACCACTACCACTCGGCTAATTTTTGTATTTTTAGTAGAGACAGGGTTTCACCATGTTGGCCAGGCTGGTCTCGAACTTCTGACCTCAAATGATCCACCCACCTTGGCCTCCCAAAGTGCTGGGATTACAGGTGTGAGCCACCGTGCCTGGACTCTTCATCTTTTTAATGGGGTTAACAAATTATTTCATAGGGATATTGTGAACTATAAACAACTTAATACTGCTAAATCACTTAGAATAGTTCCAGGCATATAATAGGAGCTCAAAATTAGCTGTTTTCACCACCACCATAAGTGTTACCACCATTATATCTCCTGACACTGAAGGTATCTAGTGAATAGCATTCCATTTATGTAATGAGCACTGTCTAATCTGGATCACACACAGTAATGTGTCTTAAGTACATTAGCTGTACCAGACAGTTGCTTTCAATAATTACATCAGAAGAAATGAAAGCACCATGCTATTACATTCATCCCAGACAATCAGGCTTCAGTTTAGACTCATCCCTTTATTTATTAAATCCTATTTGGAGAGGAATGGAATGTTTCCAAGCACAGGTGTTGCTCTCAGACAATCTGACACATACAAATCTGAGCTTATAAAACAAATACATTAGATGTTGACATACCAATACACACCAAGCTTCCAGTGAGAGTTGCCTTAAATCGGCAGTTACTAACTAAAGGTACACCTTAGAATTGTCAGGGGAACCCTTAAAAATACATATGCCCAAGAACCCAGACATGGAAATTCTGATTCTGCAGGCATCTTGCTTTTAAAAGAGCCACAGGTAATTCCATTGGGCACCCCCAGTTAAGAATACTGACTATGAATCAGTGGCTTTCAACCTTGGGTTCATTTAGAATTGCATGCCCAGTCTCTACACAGGCCAAAGAAATCAGGAACTGAGCAATCGTCTTTTTAAAAGTTCTCCAGGTGGCCGGGCATGGTGGCTCACACCTATAATCCCAGCACTTTGGAAGGACAAGCTGGGCGGATCACTTGAGGTCAGGAGTTCGAGACAAGCCTGGGCAACATGGCAAAATTCCGTCTCTACTAAAAAATACAAAAATTAGCTGGGCATGGTGGCACATGCCTGTAATTCCAGCTACTAGGGAGGCTGAGGCACAAGAATCACTTGAACCCAGGAGGTGGAGGTTGCAGTGAGCTGAGATCACGACACTGCACTCCAGCCTGAGTGATAGAGTGAGACTCTGTCACACACACACACACACACAAACACACACCCCAAAGTTCTCCAAGTGATGCTCGTAAGTGGTCTGGATTGAGCCATTGCTTTAAATAAAAAGATCTTTTGACAAATCCAAGACATGATTTCATTTACATATACATTTTCAAAAACATATCTTCAGGTAATTTTTGGCTAACAGAATTCTTTCATGTTTTCTGATGAAATTATTGCTGTGGAAAGGCTACATTTTGAAATTTATAAATACAGAGTTAGAGGAATGAAAGACAAAAACTAATGATTTTGTGTCACTTAATTCTAATAGAAAATGTTTAAATGCACTTCTGAAGTAAAGGGAAGGTAAAAGAATAGGAAGTTCATGATAACCTGTAACAAAACAGTCTACTGTTGATTGTCCAGGAGGGAATTAAGTGGATTAGGACTAAGTACTCAGGCTCAACAGGGGGTGGAGATGGCTCCACCTCTCCCACTCCCCTCCCCCAGCTCTGGCCTCCACATGTGCCTTCAGCCAGCACAGGTCCCTAGAGGGTGAGGTGGCAGTCCTGCACTAATCACCCTGGGTCTCAACTACACTTTAACTGTGGTTAATATGCAAACTGATTAATCAGCAGGATAATAAAGAGGCAACTGTACTTTGTATGAGTGAGATCTACTCATTGAAAAAGAGAAGTGTATGAGAGTTCATTTTTACTCATTTTTCACCTTTACTTGTCAGGGCAAATTTAACTGGGCAATGACAGTGCAGTTTTAAATCTGACAGTAAGTTATATGTCATTGCTTTGGGAATTCTAAATACTGAAAACTTCTTTCACGCTTTCCAACAAAATTATTACTGTGGAAGAGCTATATTTTGAACATTATAAATACAAAATTAGAGAAATGAAAAACAGAAACTAATAATTTTGTCATTTAATCCTAAAGTGTTTAAATGCACTTCTGAAGTAAATGCTTCCCATGAGTCTTGCACAGTGTATCTAGACACTTCTGTCTGCCAGCTTCTTCTTTGAGCAATTAGCCTTTTCCTTCTCCTCTGTATCTATAATTTTATTTATCTATAATAATAGACAGAGATGCATTAGCTTTTTTTAGTCTCAAAACTAGAGACTTAAAAAGTTAATGCACCTCTTTCAGGATTTTTCCTCCTTCCTCCAAGTTACTATTTTGAAATTGTTCACACAAATGAAAAAGTTGAAAAACTGTATAAAAAATACCCATGTACCTTCCACCTGGATTCAACAATTAACATTGCTATATTTGCTTTAACTTTATCCACATGCATTTTGGCTGAACTATTTGGAAATAAATAGTTGAATTAATGATTGCTTAATTCTGGAAAACTTCAGCATGCATACCCCAATATTCTCTGAGTAGGTCCAATAAGTAGCAGTGATAAGCTAAGAAAATTATCAATGCTAAAATTATCACTGCTAAGAAAATGATCAATGATTTCCTACATACACAGATATCTCCAAGACATTTTCAAATGCCCCCAACAGTCCCTAAAATGTCTTTATGACTCTCATTTCCCGCTCTGAAATCTCCTGCCAATTTATTCTGGATTTGCATGGATCTGAGTAGTGTTATATGCTTATTAAACATGCTGGTTCCACAAGGAATGCCTATGTGGGTATTCTGTGCTCATTAAAGACAGCAACTTTCTGTTTCTACATTATCAACTTAAAGTTTATTTTGAAAGATTTTCAGATGTCCTATGCTCTCCTTTCCTCTGATGGGTCTATAGAAGTGTTCATGATGTCCACAGAGGTATTTTTGAGTTGGAAGCAACAACTGACTACAAGAGCATCAGTTTCATCTCAAAACTTCTCTTTGTCTTCTATTTCTGTTCACAAATCCTTAGTTCTGAGTAAATGCTGCCCCCACAGTCTACCTGAGTAAGTAGGTCTTGGTAATGGTTAATAGGCAATGGTGTGAGAACCCTCAGAAGCCATTTTATAGCACCACAAACACTTGCATTTTACTTCAATGTTGATGTGCAGAAGGTGGGTGGTAGAGTAACTATGGTGGTAATAGTGGTGGTGGTAGCAGTGGTGGAGGTGACAGTGATGATGGTAAGGTCATGGTGATGGTGGTGGTGGTTCCAATTTCGGGCCCTTGACCCATAGCAAGTTAATATGCAGAAATATAAGCCACAATTAGGTTTGATCAGAAATTCCCTGGCACATGCTTTCTACATTAGCAAAGTGTCATTGATACCTGGGGAGTCTCCTTTCACCTGTGATTTTACGTTTTGTGGGGTCTCCTTAGAGTGTAGAGAATAACAGGCATTTTTATACTTACAAGTGGTATCAATATCTCCACTGCCATCTCATTTCAATTGGGAATATGAAAAGAGCAGGATTACAGACTGAAATAATGACCACAGCCAACCAAGCAGAAAATTTCAACCAATTCCTGGCAACACCTTATACCCAAGACTTAGTTTCATTATTTGAGACAAGTGCTTTCTCTAGTGCTAATACCCATTTAAAACCCATGACATGCTATTGCACTGAAATGGTTTGGCTGTGTCCCCATCCAAATCTCATCTTGAATTGTAGCTCCCACAATTCTCACCTGTTGTGGGAGGGACCTGGTGGGAGGTAATTGAATCATAGGGGCAGGTATTTCCCGTGCTGTTCTCGTGATACTGAATAAGTCTCACAAGATCTGATGGTTTTATAAGGGGGAGTTACCCTGCACAAATTCTCTTCTTGCCTGCCACCATGTAAGATGTCTCTTTCTCTTCCACAATAATTGTGAGGCCTCCCCAGCCATGTGGAACTGTGAGTCAATTAAACCTCTTTTCTTTATAAATTACCCAGTCTCTAGTATGTCTTTATTAGCAGTGTGAGAACAGACTAATACATGCACCTATAATCAATTTTTTTTTTTTTTGACAGAGTCTCGCTCTGTTGCCCAGGCTGGAGTACAGTGGTGCAATCTTGGCTCACTGCAAACTCTGCCTCCCAGGTTCAAGCAATTCTCCTGCCTCAGCCTCCCGAGTAGCTGAGATTACAGATGCCCACCACGACACCTGGCTAATTTTTGTATTTTTAGTAGAGACGGGGTTTCACCACGTTGGCAGGCTGGTCATGAACTCCTGACCTTAAGTGATCTGCCTGTCTTGGCCTTCCAAAGTGCTGGGATTACAGGTGTGACCCACCATGCCCAGCCTATAATCATTTTTAATAGAGTTTTTTTGTCTGACCAAACACTGAATAACCACTGTATTCACCTCTGTAAGGCCTGCTTATTAAGAATGTTCTAGAGAGTAAAAAGTAATAAAATATATATTGTAGGTTCCTATGAAGTACAACACACATATGTAGGTCTAGACATCAGCATCTGCAGACATGTGGGAGTCCCAAAAGTCTACCTATTGCTTAACTTCTAACTTGGCTATGATATGTGACTATCATTTATTCATCTGCTCCAATTCACGTTCATTGTGCAGTAAGTCAAAAAGCCCAGCATGATTTCACCAATTATTTACATTGTTTAAATATTATAAGCCACCTTTAAAAGTTTTATTGTCCAGATAGTTTCATCTGTCATTAAATCACTACTGTGCATACTTAAAGCCAGGTATTATCTGTGTAGTAATTATTCCAGGACCATCCTGAGCCCACATGCAGGAAGACTGTGTTACTGGAACTTCTTATAGTAACCCGCTATCTATTCAACCACAATTATTGGAAGAAAACAATTACACAAACACCAAATGCATGTAGCAGAGATTCTGGTAGAAAGCAAAATACTATCACATCTTCAGACACCCATCAAAGGCAGCTTTGAAGCTAAGGGAACAAAAAATGACCAGTCTCATCTTTACTTACTAAAAACAATTCTAACAAATTCCAACATAGATACACAGTTTGTTTAGCAAAATACAACATTCAGGCTGGGTGCGGTGGTTCACACCTGTTCCCAGCACTTTGGGAGGCCGAGGCAGGTGTATCACTTAAGGTCAGGAGTTCTAGACCAGCCTGGCCAACATGGTGAAACCCCGTCTCTACTAAAAATACAAAAATTAGCTGGGTGTGGTGGTGCGCCTGTGGTCCCAGCTACTTAGGAGGCTGAGGCATGAGAATCACTTGAGCCCAGGAGGCAGAGGCTGCAGTGAGCTGACATCATGCCACTGCACTCCAGCCTGGGTGACAGAGACTCTGTCTCCAAAAACAAACAAAAACATTCATGAGGTTAATACCAGCAACTTCAGCTACCAATGATTATTAACTCTCCTTTTAAAAAACTGAAATAGATTTGACCTAGAGAAGAGAAAGGTAACTACACATCTCCTAGGACTTTCTGAGTTCCTCTCTGATATTCCTATCTTCCTCACCTGCAGAAGACAGGAATATTTCTGCTTATAGTACAACTTATTTTTTTTTAACTGGCTAGTACCAGAAGATTTACAAATGTAAAATCAAACATGCAGAAATATATTTTTTGTCACAAGACAGAGAGCTTGATTAAATCATACAAATGTAAGTTTAATGGTCAAAGGCTATTTTGAAAAGAATGCATACCTGCTCTTTGGATGGCACAAGGAGTTCTTCAATCATCATGCTGTCCCGTGCATAGGAGCTTCTGTTCAAGGTGTAAGACCTATCCGAACTGAAGGAGCGGAGGCTGTTGTATTTACAGTTAACCATTCAACAGTGGTAGATGATGATGAGATGAATAAAAAAAAATTAATGCATGCAACTTTAAGAACAGGCAAGATGGCTAAAAATATCAACAAAAGTTGTTCTTGAAAGGACATAGTGAAAAGTAAAATCCCTTGTATTTGAGAAAATGTCTTCAGTGTAGACAACCTTATGATTAGAATTTGTTTAAAATTAGGCCAATTTTGAGAATATGAAATGCATGAAAACTTTGGATGTTTCACTATGAAGTTGAACTGACATGACAATTGAGAAGAACCAGATGATTCTAGATAGTTGACAGATTTTTCTAGGATGAGATCTTATGTTAGAATGTCTCCTCTTTCTGGTCTATGTCTACTTGACATGCGCTACTGATAAGAATTATGTCTACTTTAAATGGGTCTGTTTATAAGTCTTTGGGACTTACTGAGAACTCTGGTTTGTTGTTGCTACTCATAGAAAACATCAAGAAGGAAGTAGTGTTATGAATACACTTTGCATGATCCTTTTTGCCATCTTCCTGGCTTTGAGGAAACATTCATATTCCCTGCATGGTTATTTGGTCTTTTCTGCAAATATTCTTTCTTTGCTCTACTGTTGTCTTTCTAGCTCCTCCAACTGTTCTTTCCAGCCACTGTCAAATCCTCCATATGGCCCTTGAACTTCTCAGATGCAGGTACCCTGATGCCCTGATATGCCATCATCACAGTGACCTCTAAACTAAAACTCAATAGAGTCAGGGCCCTTGGGAGAACAGTTCTGCCATGTCACTCTCGTGACCTTGCATATATTCACATAAGTCATACAGGCAAAGACCGGAATTGAAGCTAATCTGAGTCTTCACAGAACACCCTGTGATCTTCCAGGAACTGAGAGGATGGAGGTTGGTGAGGAGCTTCCACGAGATCATCTGCTACTCACCTCCCCATCTCACCTGGGAGGCTGTCATGAGATAGCTTTCATCACTTCCTCTTTCTAATGATGTATGAGGCTTCCTATTCTGCTCTCCTTGGAATAGAGCTGCAGAATATAAAACCATTTAGCTGAAGTCTAGAATTGGCTCCTCGGCAATGGGGTATCCCATAACTAGCATTGTAGACATCCAGCCCCTTTTGTTCTGGTGTCCTTTTAGGTGTAGGGGACAAGGATCATGAGAAGCTAGCACCTTTCACTTCTTCTTTCACTGCCTATATAATTAAAAAACCATCTGGATCTAAAAGTGCCTTCTTGTATCTTTACCAGTTGAACCAGCCAGACTTTGGCTTTGGCCTTGCCTTTTGTGTGCTTGATGGGGAAATGAACAAAGAAGATACACATAAGAGGTAAATAAATGATTCTTTGCATGAAACAATTTCTTTTCCCCACTGCCTGCTATACTAAAGAAAATCAGAAAGTGGGTATCCTTTTATCAAGGTACAGAGCCTCCTGACATTAGAGGCCTCATTCTAAGTGTCTACACAGATAGGTACGTACATTCTTCTAGGATTGGAGCCTTCACTTTTATCAGAATCTCAGATGGACCTCTCTTATCCCCAAACAACCATCATTCTGCAGTCATTATTTAATGTATTCAGCAAAACTTACTAAAAGACCATTATAAGCATAATTCCTGCACAGAGGAACTTATCTAGTAAGCCACATGACTCTAGCCACTTGCACAGTCAGGCCCTCTGTGCCCAATCATGGGACCCATTACTCTCTTTTTTCCCCAGTTTCAATTGCAAGCCCTTCTTTCCGCCATTCCTGTTTCTATTCTCTTACCTTCTCTCAAATACAGTAGAAGCTTCCTAAGAGCAGGAATTCTCTAACTCAACACTGTCCAACAGAACTTTATCCTATGAAGGGGATGTGCTAAATCTGAGCTATCCAACAACAGCGGCTACTGAGCACTTGAAATGTGGCTGGTGTGAACGAACAAATGAATTTAACTAATTTTAATTTAAGTAACTATAGGTGGCTAGTGGCTACATTATTAGTGCAGCTTCTAAGTATTAATAACAATGTTAAATTTTGCTCCAGTGGTGTGATTTGAGAGTCGCCGGCCACTCTCTGCATTAGACATTCATTTCTTCAAATTATGGTCCCCATGGCATGATATGTTAACATTGGGGTGTATGAAACAGTTTTCTATGTAGACAAACACTTAAAAGTTTTAAAAAATAATTACCTATTCATTTTAATTTCATTTTTAAATGTATCTAAACTTTGTTGATACTTCTTAAACATCTCCTCCTTCTTTTAATTTCTCTATGAGTGCCAACTGCAGAACAGAGCCCTGAATTGGGAGCTATCAACCGAAAGGCCTAAAGATGTCTTCATTTTGCATAATGTCTAAAGTTCCTACTTCTGATCATTCCAGACCAATTTAAATTAGACATATGGAGTCAATTAAATCCATCAAGTTTCACTCGGAATCCTTAATACTTCGAAGTACTTTCAGCTGAAAATTAAAGATTATTTGCATGAGGATCTAGAAAACATTAAATTGTTTTCAACTAAGGCCAACTATTTGTAGCCATCAGTACACCCTAAGTGTTAAATATAGGAAGTGTTAGAAAAACATGCCTCAGAATTCTAAATTTATACTAATTTACCTAGCACAACTCAAATAAAACAGAAACCAGCAAACAAACAGCCCTTCACATCAGGACTTTTTCTGCAAACCCAGTGAAATTCCTTTAATTACTTCATGCACTATACAAAACTTGTTAAGGGAAAGAAATTCCTTAAGTATCTGGTAAATTTTGCGTAAGTAATATTTATTATATACTTTCTACTTTTCTTAAAATCAGAAAATTTTTACTGATGTTTCTAAAGCTTTTGAGCAGAAAAAAAGAAAGCACATCGCAGCACATCACAGCACATCACATTACAATGCTAAAGAAAATAAAAATGAGAGCATGAGCCAGGAGAAGGAAGAGAAACACTATAAAAGTGCCATGTCTTCTTACCTTATCTTGGGACTATTTTAAAGTAATTTTAGGAAAAAAAAAAAAAAAAAACAAGAAATAGAAAGCAAAAAATCAGACAGGGAAAAAAGAAAAAAAATGTTATGGTTGAATGAGTTACACATTTAATGTACTCCTTTTAAAATGTTACACTCAGAATATATTTTACTTGATAATACTCTAACAATGTGCTTAAAAATATTGGCTTTATAGATTTTTAAAAAATATTTGCCTCTGAGCATAACATGAGTCATCAAAGTAAAAAAAATGAGTTACATATAATAGCAACAAATAATAGTGCAATCAAAATTAGAAGTGTGAAAGCCTTGGAATTATATTAAGAAAAAAAATACAGTGCGATATTCTGGTTTCCTATGTCACTGGAGGTCAGCTACTACAGTTTTCTACATAAAAATGACTGATCACAAAATGTGTCATATATTATCAGAAGAACAGAAGGCAAGCTAGTTATTGGATTTCAAAAGCTATAAATCTCTACAATTTAAACAAGATCTACAGGATCTCAAGAACCTTAAAAGTTCTACATATTTTCCATTTTAACTTGTTGCTATCTTTGATCGCCTAAAAGATTGCATATTTTTTTAAAGTTATTTTTCCTCTTCCTGTTAATGACACCTGCTACAATAAGACTTTAAGGCCTTTTATAAATGTATTTATAAGGCAAAAGTTCTACCAAGCTATATGAGTTTCAAATTCCTACTAAAAAAAAGACTAGAAGAAAAATCAATTCAATATCCATACTGGCCACACCAACTACACTGAGAATAAACTCCAGGGTTTACTTTGTGGGAAGTGCCATTTACTATTAGACAATGAAACTTTCTACAACAGATCCTTAAACTATAGGAAAATGTCCTCAGGGCTCTGGCTTAGAAGGTTTAATTATTAGCTTTAAAATCCACACTAGGGCAAAGAAGTCTCCAAATTCTGCACAAGGTTCTGTTTCTTTCAACTAGTTTAAGAAAAGTTTGAGTCAAGGTTTTCCCATACAGAAGTTTTCCACTTCAGTTGTAAGAACTGAATTTGTCACCATTCCTGTCTGTGACTTTTGGTAAATCACTGTTATACTTCTTACATGTCCCTTGTAAACAAAATAATGGAACAGTTTTAGAAGAGATACTCAAACACTTGGTGGACAACTTTAATAAACAACATAATTTTTTTTCAAAAATGCTCTCTTTTAATCATGAATTATTATTTCAGTAACAGAGAATAGTGAACAATCTATACACATATTTCTCACTTATTAGCAAATAATACTTTCTTTCAATATGGAACAAAACTTAATTTTGAAATATGTGACTCAGATTGGTTCTCCCAGTTTTGTCAGTGAGCTCTTTTGCTACTGTGCTGGCAGCATGACTGCAAAGTGGGAAAAAAAAAAAGAACACACAATTAACATGTTCAATCACATGAAATTAACAACCGCAAACCACAAAAGAAAATAGCAGAGCATGTGTATTTGCGTCGAGAACATTTCGCTAAATTCACATCTTCATCCAAAGAACACATTTTGGGATAATGTGAAAAATGAACATGATTTTGATTTATGACAAATCATGGTTGTTTTAAATTAACTATGAAAGACAGCAACAACGAAGTACCTGGCAGAACGCGCTCCGAGACTAAAGCCCATGTAACCCTCTGCAGGCAGGGAATCATCACCCAATTCCTTAAGGTCCTGTGGCCCAAGATATTTGTCTGTGTCCCCGGTCATTGCATCTTCACCTGCAGATGTAGAGAGTAAGCCCACATCAAAAGCTTCCCTTTTGAAAGTGTCAGCTGTGGAGAAAATCACTCCTTTGGTTATCAGCAAATCCCCCAATATCTCATATTCACCTTCCCCTATCACCTGGATAATTTTTGAAACTCTCATTTAGAAGGAAAAGGTATAGGTAAAGGTTAGTACACAATTTCAAGAGTGAATTTAAGTAGCGGAAACAACTCCTGGTATTAAATACAAATCTGAAAACATTACCCGTATCCCTTTGCTTCCCTGTAAGCCTCAGCTGACTAGAAAGGTGGATGTTTTATGTCAGTTATAGTTTTCCTCACCTCACCTCACCCACGATGAGGGCAGCTTGTTTGAATGGACATGGATTACAAAATAAGAACCACCTCTTCATTACTGTTCTTGAAATTATATGTGGGAAGGAAACAGACATTTAAAAAAAAAACTGGTTTTCTCACACACAGGATTTCAGTTTGGGGCTTAAGTAAGAAACTAGCAAGTTATGTGAACTATAACTTGCTTGGTTGGAGAGCCTTGGAACACATCAATTTTGAAATGCTTCTAAACCTATCAAATTAACAACAGCCCAACTGTCCCAATGCTTGAAATCTACATGGAAAGCAACACAGCCTTCTCCAGAGATAATATGGGTGCTTTAGCACTTTGAAAGGACTATATAAATTGCTCTTTAATTATCAAGACAAAGAGTTAATTATGTGAAATACTTTTACCAGCTACGTATGCAAAACATGACATCATATGGAAAAACCACATTCCAAGAGTGACAAGGCAGGTTTTTCAATTGTCTTTTGCCCTCTGGGACATTTCCCATCCTTCTCAAAAGGTAGCACAGGCTGCAGAAAAGTTCCTTCCCCACACAGGCAAACTCTTACCCTCTTTCTGGACGCAAGCTTCACTGGCCAAGAGATTGCAAAAGTGTACATGTTGTGTTTTCTCAAAGGTAAGTGATTCATTCCCCCAGATATATTTTCCAATTCCTGCATTCGGTACTGTTTACATTTTCCATTCATTTAAACTCAGGAAACCGCAAGAGCTCAGCTTTTAAACTACCAATCAAGTCTAAAAATACACTGTCAACTACTGTTTTTGCAAATGTAAAAACTAAACAGATCAACTTTCTACTGCTGCTACCCAGTACCAAGAGATTATTTTAAGTAACTATTTACGGCTGGGCTATTTGCACATTCACTGCATCTCAAACAAAAACAGCACACACCAAGTACAACTCAAAGATCTTACTCTGCGGTAAAGCCATTTCCACTAGGCTTGGATGATCAAATGTTTTCCTGATGTTTCCAGGAATTCCTTAAGCAGTGATTTAGAATCAACCTCCAAAACAGCTCAAGGAAACCAATCCCTGGTTTGTATCCACTCTCTTCACCACCGCTGAATTCCTCTCAGCATCTTGATATCCTCGTAGGCAATTGAGGAATTATACATCTTTCCCCACTCAGAGTTCGAAGATTTTCAAAATTTCAGGCCCCCAAAAAAATCTTTTTAAAAAACCCCACTTAATTGAGGTTAAGATCCTTTTGACCACTTCGCAGACATCCTTTTAAAGCTCCTTCTGATTGGATTAAAAACTCCTCTGGCAAGCCTCTAGCAGGACAGAATGGTGACATAAATGCAAGCCCCTGAGTTATTTGTATGTAAATATGAGGACTGCTCCGGTGTAGACTTTCGGTAATTTGATACCAATGCGCGTTGCCTAGTCGGGTAACCAAGACAGCCTTCATGTAGGGAGAGAGCGAAGTGCTACATTTAATTAGGAGGTGATTCTTCTCAAATATGAATGAAGAAACAGCCAACCCAGGTAGAGGAAAAACATTAGAAGAAAACAAAGCAGTGGCCCAGGCGGGGAGTGGCATGGAGCTCCAGGCAAACTTTCAACTTTGTTCTCAGCTGGGAACACTGGGAGCCTCAGTTATTTATGGTCCCTGTCAGGTGGAAGGAGGGGAAAAAGAGAGAGGGAGGGCCTGCCCTTGAGTTGAGGTTGTGAAACTGGGGCTAAGGAAAGCAGCAGTGATTCCCATAACTCTCCAAGAGGCACTTTGCAATACACTAATTGCCGCTGCTTTTTATCAGGAGTTTGAAGAAGGGAGCAGAAGTGAGACAAGTTGGAAAAAGCAAATGGGTGTTCTGCTTTATTTTTGGCCCAAGTTCTTTCAACTATTTAATATGGAGGGACTCACTGGTGCTCCTTCGAGAGGTCCCTGGAGGAAGTGCAAAGCAAAGGGAGAACTGGGGTTGGCTGGAGAGGCCTCTGTTGCCCCAGATAGGAGGCAGGACTGAGGTCTGTCACTTTGCTGTTACATTGTTTCTTTCTCTCTCCACTAGTGGCCTTCCTTCTCAGCTGCTCCACCCTGTTTATGTTGGCAGTGAAGGAAAAAACTAGCAGGACTTCCCCATCTTCCATCTGGGTACACTGGAGAGGCCATTTCAATTGCTGTTTTTTTTTTTTTTTTTTTTTTTTTGCTTCCCTCCAGCCCCCACCGCCCCCGAGAATACCTGGAGAATTGGGCTCAAAAGTAAAGGGTTTAGAAACTGTCTTGCTGAAGTAAGCAGTCTTTTATAAGAGCACATCTATCCCCTTGGAATGTTACCTAAATATACAGGAATCTGAATCTGTAGAACCGATAAAGTAGGGGGAAAAATCTGTTTTCCCTGGATACATGCATAGATGAATGGATAAATGCATGATTCATATAATATTAGGATGCTATGACACCTGGTGCTTTACTCTGATCAGCCTGGCTGTAATCAACATGGGAAATACATGGAAATAGAAGGGAAGTCATTTATAATGTCTGGAACATATTGAAAACTATTCCCAAGCAGAGAATAATTTCCAACTCTAAAGAATAGAAGGGGAAGTCTTGTTTAAAGAGAAATGTCTGAATGTTCATCGACTTTTTAAGTCTGTATTTCGAATCGAAACTACAGAACTGAGCAAAGCGTTATTCAAATACTGTCATTCATTCCAATTTCTCAGCAAGGCCTATGATGCAATGTTCCTTCCACTGACTTCTTGGCTATTTTTCCTTCTTGGCTATTCTTCCACACCCACCTTCCCTCCTGTTATACAGAATTTTTTCAGTCCCTAGAAGTCCTTAAACTCTTTAGACTTTGAGCCTTTACTAGGGTGTATTCTCTTGATGGAAACTTTATCGTTTTTTCCTGATGAACTTCTCTAATCTTTGACTCTTTCTAGAAGCCGTCGCACCCTCTACTCACCATTAGGTGTCCCTCATCAGAATGTATTGCCAGTAAACACATCTGCTTAGTCTTTCCCATTGGCTGGTGAGATCCCCTAAGTTAGGAGCCATATTCTTCCTGGGCCAGGTATATTGGAAGTTCTCATAAATAATCTTGGAATCCATGACTGATAATAAATATAAGTTATTTTTATGTTTATCTTTTAAATCTACATGTCATGGCAACTTAGCACTCTTTTCAAATATTATGTTAAATGACTGGTATACAGTAAAATTTCAATGAAAGTAAGTTTCCATTATTCTTTAGCCGTACTTCTTAGACTTCAGAAATGGTCACTATGAAACAAAAAGAAGTCTGGGGTAGGAGTGGGAGTTGTCAACACACTTGGCCAAAGATTAATGAAAATAAAATAGCCTTATAACATTAAGTAATTATCCACTTAGCATTTTAGAATGGTGAGAACATTTCTTAAAAGACATGGAATTTAGAAATAAAAGCAATGGTATTCTTTTAATGCTGTTTTCCACAGTAGGTGCTCTAGGTTCAAATCCAAGCTGTACCATGTATTGACTGGGTGACCTTTGAAATACCATTTAACTGCTCTGAGTCATAGTTCCAACCTCTATAAAACTGGGGGTAATAAGTCTGCCTCTACCCTCAAGCCTCCTGGGGAGATTTAAATGAAATAATGCACAAAGTAAGGGCTTAATCAGCACGATTACTATTATTCTGTTGCACAATTTTTTCCAATGCCCAAATATCTGAATGCATGAACTCAAATAGCATTTAAATTGCTACTATTTATACTGGTAAAGGCAAAATCCAATTACAGCAGTAAAATGTCCCTGTTCTCCATTACTTATAAGCCAGGCATTGTGTTAGGAAAATTTGTTGATGGAATGAATGAATGAACAATAACAACAACAAAGTTCATTCACACTCCTTTCAATGAACAAAACATTCTATCATTATTATATAGTACAACACACTACTGTACCAAAGATTAGAAAGGAATGAGATGAATTGTATTGTGTGATTTGTTAACTTTCTCTAATCCACTATATAATCCAAACACATTTTGGCTAGTGGCAGCTTCTAACACGTGTGTATAAGCCAACCAAGGTAATTTATTAACAGATGACATGCATTTTATATCAGATATATTTAGCTTAAAAATGTTACCAAGATCACATATTTTCACTTACTAAAAAGGAGCTGTGTAGGTTTATGTTTTCTAAAGTTATTTGGTGCAGTGAAATAAGAGCTGTGTTATAGAGGAATTTGACTATTTTTAGGCAAAGAGGATTTTGGTAGCTCATCTTTAAAATGCCCGCCTCACCCTTACCTCCAATGAACTATGTTTCCTTCTATTCATGCCCTTGCATAGTACCCCTAAATTGAATCTGGGTTGGCTGAAATTTTGAACAGTAAAATTTGGCAAAGTGATTTTGAATGAATGAGTTTGTGTTCAAAGAAACCTTGCAGACTCCTCAAGTCTCTTGAAACAGTGGTTTGGGGGAAGCCAGTCCCAATGTAAGAGATCTGACTATGATGATAGCACCATGTTATAAAGAAGCTCAAGGTAGCCATATGGAGAGGCTGCTTAGAACCAGGGAAAGAGAGAGACAAAAAGAGAGTCAAAGAGAGAGAGAGAGAGAAAGAGAAATGCCCAGCCAACGCTCAGCTGTCGCTGCCATCCTAGCTGAGGTGTCAGACCTTTGAATGAAGACACCATCTTGGACATCTGGTCATGTTCCTCCACCTCAGCTGCTGACTGCAATCTCATAAAAGATCCCAAGACTCAGCTGAGCCCCGATTAACTCACAGAACCAAGGTAGATAATAAGACCTTAAATCACTGAGTTTCGGGGAGGCTGTAATTTTGTAATAGGTAACCAAAACAAAAATGAGAAATGACAAGGTCCAAAGGTAAACCAAAGAGGTCACACTCTGGTTGCCTAATGTATCACTAATAAATTAGAGTTAGCTCTGTAGTGCATTAAATGATGTGCATACACAAAGCCCAGGAGCACAGTGGCAAATGCCATTAGAGAAGGCCTCACTTAGTATTGACTTGATGCATTTCGAAACTTTTATCTTGAGCACTGATGTTCTTATTGTTAATCTACATCTGTCAATAAATTATCAGAGCCTACAAAATATTTAAAAAGAATACAAAACTCCCCAAATCTACCTGATCCCACCACTAACCAATTAATAAAAGCAGTTCAGAGGCATTTTACTTCAACTACTCAGCAATCTCCTCTTCCTAGTCCTCCCTACATCATGACTAGGCTGAAAGAAGAGATTTCCTACACCATAATCAACCATTCAAAGATCTGTCAACTTCGTCTGCCAGGAAAACAATACAAAATAGAAACAGGAACAAAGGAGAGAAAGAGAGTATATTAAATGATTATCAGGACTGTGGTGGGCCAAATAGGTGTGCCCTCATTCCTTTTTAGATTCCAAGTCAATGGTCCAGTACATGGTGTAATATACCCAACCCAACATCCTCACAATCTTTCATTATGCCCCCTAATGATCCTTTTTCATGTCGAATAAAGGAAATAGTTATTGGCCTAATATTTAAAAGTGTTTTCTTATCCTAGAAGTTATTTTCTCTTCTTTTCTTCCCCCACCCGATGTACTTTTCTTCTAATCTCTTTCCACCTTAAGACCATCACCAAGGAAAACTTCTGTCACTTTTCCATGAACTGAAAGCTGTTTTCCCATCTGGCTGGAGACTTCAGTCATAAAGTTCCTTAAGACAAGGATACCAAATTGTATTATTAGAAACTTTGCTCAAAAGTGTTTAATTCTTCTGTAAAATACAGAATCTCCCATTATAAAGTTTAAATTAATAGTTAATAGTACAGACCAAATAGTACAACCCTGCAAATTACATGGGATTAAGAAAGATTAGAAAGAATAAAGAGAAACAGTGTCTCTATACTCTACTGATTTACTAGGAGTTGATTTCTTAATAGAACTCAGCAAATAGTCTAATACACAAGAGATTAATGATCAAACTTGACTTAAATTTACTGTTGCTTATCCTTTAAAAAGTGATTTTCTTTGATCATACAGCAAAGAGAGGAAATGAAAACTATTGGGAAAATAAATCCTTTATTTCTAGTCAGCATTACAGAACAGTAGAATCAGATCAATTATAATTAACACTAATATTTATTGAGCATTTACTATGTTTTAGGCACTGTGTTTGGTGTTTTATATGTATTATTTAATTCTCATAATCTTATAAAACAGAATTGTTATTTCCATTTCAAAATAAAACACAGTTTAGAGTGGTGGAATAAATACTCCAAGATTACTTAGAATATACAGAAAATAGGATTCAAAATCAGTTGCTGTCACTCTAGAGCCCTTCTTTTAACTACCACAGTGCGCTGGCCATACAAAACTTAAGATGCTATTGAATGAATATTACAAGAAATTCGTAATCAAAATGTAAGCTCCTTGAGGGCAAGGGGGCTTTGTCTGTTTTGCTTCATATCATTGCCCAGAACAGAACCTGGCACATAGTAGGTGCTCAATAAATGTGGAATGAATGAAAGAGCAGTGATTGCCTTTCAAAATGGGAACTATATTTACTGGGGCAAAGAGGAGGGAGACTTACTTTTCACCGTAAACTCTTGTACCTTGGGAATTTTGTACCATGTGCATCTATTACCTATTCAAAAAATGAATAAAATTAACAAAATAAAACAAAACAAAATATAGGGACCACAGATCAGTCATATAAGCTCTATGTTCCATCCACCAGAAACAGTATTGTCACTTACATAAGTCTGCCATGTAGATACGAAGATGTGTTTGTGTACCAGTGGATATCCAGCAAGCAAGCAAAGGGAACACTCAATACTTTGATATTCTACCTTACATGCCTCTTTAAGAGATGGAACAGAAAAAGTGAAGTAACAAGGCAGGAAGAAGGAGATGCACGCTATTAATGTGGTACTTCTAGTAGTTTCAGGGGTACGTGTGCAGGTTTGTAACATGGGAAAACTGCATGTCACAGGGGTTTGGTGTACAGATTATTTCATCATCCAGGTAAAGAGCATAGTACCTGATAGACAGTTTTTCAATCCTCACCTTTCTCCCACCCTCCACCCCCAAGTAGGCCTTGGTGTCTGTTGCTCCCTTCTTCTTTCTTTGGAGACACAGTCTCACTCTATTGCCCAGGCTGGAGTGCAGTAGCATAATCTTGGCTCACTGCAACCTCTGCCTACTGGGTTCAAGTGATTAGCCTGCCTCAGCCTCCCGAGTAGTTGGGATTACAGGCACCCGCCACCAAGCCCAGCTAATTTTTGTGTTTTTAGTAGAGACAGGGTTCCACCATATTGGCCAGGCTGGTGTTGAACTCCTGACCTCAGATGATTCGGCCTCCCAAAGTGCTGGGATTACAGACATGAGCCACTGCGCCCGGCAAAGATTTATATCTCATTCAACATTTAGACGATAAATTCTCAGCCTAGAGAATCCAAATGACATATTTGCTCACATTACTTTTCCCTTGATCTCCTGATATTTTCATTCTCAAAAGAACAAGGAAGCAGGAGTAAGAAAAAGAAATATGGTAGGATTAGGATCCTGATCCCTCAAACTTGGATTCTAAAAGTCTAATTCTGGCCCAGAGTTACAGAATAGTTGATGGGAACGTTAGTTAGATGCCAGATCTGCATGTATTTCTCCTTTCATTTTTCAGTTTGGAGCAAGAGCTCGTGTTAAGTAAGGTTTCCTGTGAATATTCTGAGAGGTGATAAAAAGCACGAGGTGGTGTTTGGAGGATGGAATTGTGCCATCTGCTTCAGGAGGTTCCTGCATGTAGCCCAGGAACTTCTGTGTCAGGCTGGAGGACCCGCAAGCCTTGCACTGGTGATGCTGCAAGCCCAGCTCATCTCTGTACCTTCTGGCAGGACTGGAGCCTCAGAGAAAAACTGACAGTCCCGTGCTCAAGGTATACAATAGAGTGAGCATTCACTTCCTGCCCCCTTCACTCTCCACCTCTCCTCTCAGTAGGAAGAAGGAGAGGATTATTTATGGGGTGGGAGAGAGGGTCTTCACTTTAACCCTTTGTTTGCCATCATATGCTGGCCATGGTTGTCGTTCTTTCAAAACAGAAAATAAGTGCTAGGATATACTTTTGATATGGTTTGGCTCTGTGTCCCCACCAAATCTCATGTTGAATTGTCATCCCCAGTGTTGGAGATGGGGCCTGGTGGGAGGTGGTTGGATCACATGGGTGGATTCTCATGAATGGGTTGGCACCATCCCCCTGGTGCTGTTCTCGTGATAGTGAGTGAGTGAGTTATCATGAGATGTGGTTGTTTTAAGGTGAGGGGCACCTCCCCTTCCTCTCTCTTCCTCCTGCACCGGCCTTGTAAAGTACTGGCTCCCCCTTTGCCTTCCCCTATGATTGTAAGTTTCCTGGGGCCTCCTCAGAAGCAGAAGCTGCTATGCTTCCTGTACAGCCTGCAGAACCATGAGCCAATTAAACCTCTTTTCCTTATAAATTACCCAGTTTCAGGTATTTCTTTATAGCAGTGTGAGAATGGACTAATACAACTTTCTGGCTTTCCTTCTGAAAATGGGTGGTAATTATGGATTAAGTTGAGAAAATAGTTAAATAAGCATTGGGTAAACTAGGTAAATTAAGAAGGCCAAAGAAGCGTGTTCTCATTTTAAGGGATGCATGTGCCTCCTGTGGGATGGCCATCAGCAGCATTCTGCCTTCCTTTCCCTAGTTCTAGGTGCTCATGAGAGCCTGGCATTGTAGGTGGCCAAAAAAGAATCAGGTTTGAATGACAAAGTTTGCACACCTCTGAAAGAACAGCAAACTGCCATTATTCATTCCACAGAACAAATGACCCTGCTTAAGCTGTTTTTTTTTTAGTACAAACCAGTTTGATTCTTTTTCTACCTCTTCATAGAAAAACCTGAATTCTCTTTCCTTTCTGAGATGGGTTTGTTTATTAACCCAAACAAGATCACATAGGACATTTTTCATTGCTCCACCTGGAAAAGTTCCAACACTGAGTCATGCATGCTTACTTTAGAAACTATATCTAGCCTGGATTAAGAAGCAGTAAAGTGCCATACAGGTTTTAAAAAGAAGCACTTTTAGCCACAAAGAACAGAATAAAGAGAATTCAGGTTTTTCCTATGAAGAGGCAGAAAAAGACAATGTTGGGACAGACTCTAAAATTCCTTCATATTCTTTCTTATTAGTACTCCTTAACTCAGATACAGAAATTCCTTTAGTCCTCTAAGTAAGATCAAACACCATACTGACTTGGTCAAAGGAGCACTGAAGTCTAAAGACAGAATGCAGGTAGAAAGAAGTAAAAGATTACTTATACTGTTCTCATTATCTAAAATCTAAGCCACTTGTGAAGAAGACTAGACAATGAACTAATTGCTAGCCACAAACTAGCCCTGGAAAATCAGGCACAAAAATGTTGGTTCTCACTTGCAGAGAAACTAGGTAGCTAAATTCAAGGTGGCAGTATCATGACAGCTGATTTGTCCTATTCATTCTTCCTTAGCTATTTGTCTAGCCTCAACCCCAAATCCAGACTGCATTATTCTCACCTCTTCATTGCCTAGGCACACAAGGACCATGAGTACAATACAGGAACACGTTAATCACTGTTCCCAGGTATAAAGAAGTACCAGGCTCGTGTATAAACAGCGATTTTGGCCTTTTCTTTCCCTTACACCCAAATTGCCTATCATTGTGCCTGGCAATAAACATCCATTTATTGGTTTGTTTTGTACTTCCAACCTATACCCCAGAGATGTGTACACACAAGGCAAAGACACATGAGGCCTGTCCTCAGTTCTCATTCTCACTGGGGTTCTGACTCACCCCTCCCCATTGGGACATCTTTCCTGGGCTCCTCTCACTCCTCTTGCTCCTAGCTCCCTGTGCACCACCTTGTCTTCCCCTTGCTCATTCATTCTCACTGTTGTGTTCTCTGAGCTAATGAGAGGGCTACAGGGTGGTTACATTAGGACAACCTTCCACAGGAAGCAGGTCAGACTTTTCAGGTAGATGGAAGGGACAGACCTGATTTAGGGGGAAAAAATATTCAAAATTACAATTTGTTTGGGGCAAATAAAAAAAACCACAACAGCCTGTTGTTTGCAGTTAAACAAGCACACAATTCCTTGGCGTCTGTTAAATATTTCACAGGCTGCTCTAGCTGCTCACTCTATCATAGCTTCTTGGAGGAAAAAAATATACTCGCTGTGACCTTCCCTACCTACACTAGAACTCTTATCTTCTGTCTATATCCAGGATATTCCATATGGCATGGCAGCTGCTGAGGTCACCAAGGATTCCCATACCCCTTATTTTGTTTTGTTGTTATTTGAGACGAAGTCTCGCTCTGTCGCCCAGGCTGGTGTGCAGTGGTACGATCTCGGCTCACTGCAACCTCCGCCTCCTGGGTTCAAGTGAGTCTCCTGCCTCAGCCTCCTGAGTAGCTGGGATTACAGGCACCCACCACCACGCCTGGCTACTTTTTGTATTTTTAGTAGAGACAGGGTTTCGCCATGTTGGCCAGGCTGGTCTCAAACTCCTGACCTCAGGTGATCCATCCGCCTCACCCTCCCAAAGTACTGGGATTACAGGCGTGAGCCACCATACCCGGCCTCCTATACCACTTGTGCTCTTTTGATTGGAGCTTTCTAGGAAAGTTCCTCCCAGGCTTCCTCTAGCACCCACTCCTCAGGTTTTTTCCCCTTCATCCTTCACCACTCCCTTTCCATGTCCATTAGCATTCTTCTTCCTCTTATGTGTGCCCAGAGTTTTCCAGAACCGCTTCTCTTCCTCCTTGTGTGCTGCCCTGGGACCTCATCCGGTGCCTGGCGTCTGCACCCTTGTCCCCACTCCTGTGTGCTGAGCTCTTCTGTGGGGGCCTGTGCTTTCCTGTCTCTGACACTTTGACCAACAAGTTTTCTAAATATGAAACACCTCTTCCCAATCCCCATCCTTCTACCCGTGCAAAATTTCTGTGTGTCCAAATCCTATCTATTCTTTAAAATGCCTTTAAAGTTTGTTTTTGAGGTCTTTAATAATCTCCCTGTCTTTTTAATTTTCTTGTCACTTAATCTGTTATTCTCTCATGGCACCTGACATGGTTTGGATGTCTGTGCCCTCCAAATCACATGTTGAAATTTGAGCCCCAGTGTTGGAGGTAGGGCCTTGTGGAAGGTATTTGGATCATAGGGGCAGATCCCTCATGAATGGCTGGATGCCCTCCTTGTTGTAGTGAGTAAGTACTCACTCTGTTTGTCCACACAACAGCTAGTTGGTTAAAGAGACTGCCACCTCCTCCTCTCTCTCTTGCTCCCTCTCTTGCCATGTGACATTCCTGCTCCCCCTTCTCCTTCTGCCATGAATAGAAGCTTCCTGAGGCCTCACCAGAAGCCAAGCAGATGCTGGTGCTATGCTTGTACAACCTGTAGAACCATGAGCCAAATAAACCTCATATATATATATAAATTATCCAGTCTCAGGTATTTCTTTCTAGCAGCGCAAAACAGACTAACACAGAATCTCGAGTAGAAAGTCTAAGGTAAAAAATTCTAAATGCAAATTCCAGTTTCTGTAACTGTGTGAACGTGAGCAAATATCTTAAACTCCTTGAGACTGACTCCTTAATATAATTAGGACTAATAGTACTTTAAATTAGGGTATTAAATTAGGACATAATGGAAATTAGGAGTAAAAATAGTATTAATAATGCTGTTGAATACTTTGAGAGAAGTAACAAAGATACAGCACCAAGTAAGTAACATTTCCTGAGTTCTTACCACATGCCAAGTTCTAGGCTAAATGCTTTTCACATATGTCATTATATATACTTTGAAGGTCTATCCCCTCCAAATCTCTTGTTGAAATGTGATCCCCAGTGTTGGAGGTGGGGCCTAGTGGGAGGTGTTTGGGTCATGGAGGTGGATCCCCCATGAATGGCTTGTGCCATCCCCTCTGTAAAGAGTGAATGCTTGCTCTATTAGTTACCGTGAGATGTGATGTTAAAAAGAGCCTGGCTTAGTTAGGCTTTTAAGATTCATTCATACTGTTGTATATAATTGAAGTTTCCTCCTTTCCTCTCTCTTGCTTCCTCTCTTGCCACCTAACTCTCCTTTACCTTCTGTCATGAATGAAAGCATCCTGAGGTCTTACCAGAAGCAGATGGATGGGCAAGGACAGATACAATGCAGAGGAAAAAAAAAAGTGTTCAAAATTACAATCTGTTTCAGCCACCATGCTTCTTGTACAGCCTGCAGAACTGTGAGCCAAAATAAACCTCTTTTCATTATAAATTACCCAGCCTCAGATATTCCTTCATATGAATGCAAAACAGACTAGCATAGGTATTCAAACTTAACAATAACTCAACCATTATGGGGCTCTTATCTAAATTACCAGACAACATCTATATTAGAAGTACAAGGATTTGAATATCAGCTCCAGCACTGATGTTGTGTGACCTTAATCAAGTTCCTTAACCTTACTGAAACTTATTTTCCACATCTATGAAATGAAAATGACAATGGCTCCAATTTAATCATTGTGAGGGTTAAATTACATAATGCATGAAATGTGTCTAGCTTAATGCCTAGCACATAGAAAGATTCAATCATGGTAAATACCTTGTTTCTGATGGTGAGAGTATTAATTTACATGGAATCCTGAGGGGGGACAGAGACACAGGTAAATGTGTGGAATTAAGCCAGTAGATACATTCATGAATGAAGGTACAGATGTATACACCCTAAGACCTATGATAGACACCAGGACAACTCTGATCCTATGGCACTGACTAGTCTAGTTTGAAAGAAAATATAAAAAACTAACCATGAGTTGGCAAACTACAACCCATGGGCCAAACCCAGCCTCTTGCCTATTTCTGTAAATAAGCTTTATTAGTATCACACAATCAGGCCTGTTGATTTAGGTATTATCTCTGGTGGCTTTTGTTCTACAAAGGCAGAGTTTAGTAGCTGTGACAGAGACCAATATGGACTAAACATTCAAAAATATTTACCACTGGCTCTCTATAGAAAAAGTCTGCTGACTCTTGAAATTAATGACTAATAAAATGAGATGAGTATTAGGATGAAATAAAAAAGCATAAGTGAAAGGAGAATGGAAAGGGGTTAGCCAGGGACCATATCACACAGGACTTACTAATCATGGCAAACTACTGAAATTACTCTAAATGCAATATAAAGCCTTGCGTGGGTTTTAGTTTTGTATTTGTACTACTTTAAGGGTGTATTTATATTATTTGTGTGGCTTGGTTACTTTTGTTACAAAATACGGCAACCACACAGATGAGAATATAAAATATAAATATACATTTTAGCAAACTGTTATAAAATAAACACCATCCAGGTGAAGAAATAGAACATCATCAGCACCTCAGAAGACTCCCACATCCCCCACCCCAAACACAGGCCCCTCTTACCTCCTCAAGGTAATTGCTTTCTATATATTCTTTTCCTTCCTTAAAAATCTCAGTATCTAATTTTACAAGCATAGTTTATTGTCATCTGGTTTTGATGAATTCTGTTGTCTTCACATAATATACAACTCAGCAATTATACTCCTAGGTTTACATCCTACAGAAATGTATGCATATGTGTACCAGGAAACTTATATAAGAAAGTTTGTAACAACAGTTCAAACTTGAAACAACCCACATTCTCATCAACAGTAGAGTGGATAACTCAGTGTGGTACAGGCAGACAATGGAATATTGTATAGAAATGAAAATGAATGAAGTTCAATTATATGCAGCAGTATGAATAAATCTTAAAAGCCTAACTATAAGCTTTGGATGGTTTTAAGCTAAGGAGTGGAATAACATGATCCAATGTATATGTTTAAAGGCTTGTGTGGATGCTGTGGAGAAAGCTGAGTCTACTGGGTAAGAGAAGAACTGGAGATCTGTAAGGAGGCTCCTGCAGTATTCCATGTGAGAGATGTGGTGGCCTGGATGGGGGTGGTGAAAATGGAGATGGAGAAGAGAAGAGAGATTTGAGATGTATTCTGAAAGTAGGACTGATATGACTTGCTGATGGACTGGATAGAAGTGCTGTGGGAAGACAGATTGCATAAAACTCAGATTTTGCCTTGGGCGATGGAGCCATTTATTGAGATGGAGAAGGGTGAGAAAAGACACTATTTTCAAGGGGTATGTTTAGGTATCTTAAGGTGACTTAAGATATCAGAACCTAAATGAAAATGTACATAGCTGGATAAGTGGATAGTGTGGGTGATAATCACTATATAATTCTAATTCCAAAGACAGGATACCAATGATGGAACAGACTTTGCTTTAGAATAAAGGCCCTTGTCCCAGTCCACAGATCTTCTTCTTTAGCTGGTAATTCTTTTAAATTCATCAACTATTCCTTGAGATGCAGATATGCTTTGGGAGAGTCATTATAAAGCTGTTTATCAACTTAAACATAGCCTAGGACTGTCTCAGTAAAAAGGAGCTGAATGAAAGGAAAAGGTAGCATTGTCAGCAATCTTCATCTTGCTTCATCTCAGAAACCTGCTAAACTATCCCTTGAGTATGACTTCATGTTGATGCAACCGATCAAACATGTATTGAAGATCTCTGTGTACCAAGCAGTATACTAGGTTCTTGCGATAAAACAGAGAATAAGATTTAGTCTTTGCTTCTGGTATTTTAAAGTTACCATTTTGGCTTTATCCCTGAGAGATACAAGCAATTATGTAACATCGATTTGAAAGGCCAATTGTAAGCAGAGAAATCTTCAGGCAAAAGGCTAAATGATATAAGAGGTTCTTGTAAAACAACAAAATTTCAGGTGAAGAACAATTTCTGAAGCTGCTAAGAACAGTGACTTAATGAAACCAAACCCTTGAATCACCTGAGGGCAACCTGATCTCCATGGCCTCTTTCCAGATCTATTAAGCTAATAACATAACAGTCCTATTTATTTAGAATGATTAGGAAATTAGGGTAGCAGGAGAGTCCTAGACATTTGGCAAGAAGAGGTCCTAACTGGTCTTTTCCTGGTGGTCTTCTTCAGATCTACCTTCACATTTCCCAAAGTAATTCACCTTACTTTTTTGAGTTTTGGATTGTGTCAAGTCAAAATCTGTTTATTCCACCAGGCTTGGTGCCTCACGCCTGTAATCCCAACACTTTGGGAGGCTGGGGCAGGTGGATCACATGAGGCCAGAAGTTTGAGACCAGCCTGGCCAACATGGTGAAATCCTGTCTCTACTAAAAAATACAAAAATTAGCCAGGCATGGTGGTGGGCGCCTGTAGTCCCAACTACTCAGGAGGCTGAGGCAGGAGAATCACTTGAACCTGGGAGGCGGAAGTTACAGTGAGCCGAGATCATGCCACTGCACTCCAGCCTGGGCAACAGAGTGAGACTGTCTCAAAACAAAACAAAATGAAACAACCAAAATCTGTTTATTCTTTCCTAACGAGAATACACTGATACGTTTACTAAAACTACTGGCTTTTAGTTAAAATCTATTTGAAATTATGTTTATATTTATTTTACTTGAATTTTCATCTTGGTGTATATAGTTCTTTTGCCAAAAGAAACAGAGGAAGGTTCTCTAAATATTTATCATTATTGTAAAGGGGAGGAGAGGTAGAGAAAGATGGCTGAATAGAACACTCCAGTGATTTTCCCCTCACAGGAACCCCAAACTGAACAACTATCAATGCAAGAAAGCACTTCCATAATAACAAAAAAATTAAGTAGCAATCACAATACCCGATTTTAATGTAATATCAAGGATAGAGGCATTGAAAAGCTCAGAAAGACAGTCTTGCATTATCTACACCACCCCTCCCCCAGCCCCAGGCAGCACAGCATAGAGAAAGAATCTGTGGGCCTGGGAAAGAGAGAGCAAAATGAGTGTGCAACATTGCATTGGAGCTCAGCACTGCCCTGTCACAGTGGAACACAGTACAGGACAGAATTCTGCCAGTGCCCACGGAAGGAGCATTTAGGACAGTGCTGGGCCAGAGGGGAATCCTCCACCCCAGCAAGAGGAAACTGAGTCCCAGCCAGCTTCACCATTGGCTGACTAAAGTGGCTTGAGGCTCAGAATAAATTTAGGTAGCAATCAGGACCCAAGGAGTGCAGTCCTTGGACAAGCTCTGGTGCTACCCTGGTCTTGGAGGTTGTGATAGTTAATATTGAATGTCAATTCGATTGGATTGAAGGATGCAAAGTATTGTTCCTGGGTGTGTCTGTGAGGGTGTTGCCAAAGGAGATTAACATTTGAGTCAATGGACTGGAAAGGCAGACACACCCTCCATCTGGATGGGCACATCTAATCAGCTGCCAGCAAGGCCAGAATAAAAGCAGGTAGAAGAACACAGAAAGGACTAGACTGGCTGAGTCTTCTGGCCTCCATCTTTCTCCCATGCTGGATGCTTCCTGCCTCAAACATCTGACCCCAAGTTCTTCAGCTTTTGGACTCTTGGACCTACACCAGTGATTTGCCAGGGGCTCTCAGGCCTTTGGCCACAGACTGAAGGCTGCACTATTGGTTTTCCTACTTTTGAGGTTTTGGGATTCGGACTGCCTTCCTGGCTCCTCAGCTTGCAGATGGCCTGTGAGACTTTACCTTGTGATTGTGTGAATCAATTCTCCTAATAGACTCCCCTTTATATATCACATCTATCCTATTAGTTCTGTCCCTCTAGAGAATGCTGACTAATACAGAGGTGGTAGACTTCAGTTGTGACACCAGCTGTGGTGGCCAAGGGTGTGCCTGTGTCACTCATCCCCCAATTCCAGGCAGTGCAGCTCAGGGACTCTTTTCACTTGGAGAAAGGAGAGGGAAGAATACAGAGGGCTTTGTCATGTAACTTGGGTACCAGCTAAGCCACACTAAAATAAAGCACCAGGGAAACTCCTGTACCTCCTGATTCCATGCCTTTGTTTCTGGACAGTGTTTCTAGACCCACGCTGGACCAGCAGGGAATCCAATGTCCTGATGGGACAAACCCCGTTCTGCTGAATAGAGTGGCTTTGGCTTGGAATAAACATCAGCGACAGCCAGGCAGTAGTGACTACAGCCGTGGGGTGAGCCCCAGCACTGTGCTGGGCTACAAGGCTTTACATGTGACCCTGTGCAGTGCCAGCTGTCATGGCCATTAGAGTGACCGCATTATCCCTCCCCCAACTCCAGGCAGCCTGGTGCAGAGACTGACTTCCTTTGCCAGAAAGAGAGGGAAGTGGGAGAGACTTTTTACCTGGTAACCCAGGGAATTCTCCCTTATTTTCCCAAAATCTACCAAAGCTGTGTATCAAGGAGTCTGTAAGAGTTGCAGCATTCCGGGGCTTAGGGCACTCTCTAGTGCTGAAATGGCTGCAGTGACCATAGGCTTAGGTCACAACACTCAATCCCTTTTGAATTCTTGGAAAGTCCTCTCAAAAAGGATGGCTAAAAACAAGCCTATACTGTGAAGACTGGAATAAATACCTAACTCTTTAATGCCCAGGTATCAACAAATGTCTACAAGCATCAAGGACATCCAAGAAAACATTACCTCACCAAATGGACTAAATAAGGCATCAGTGACCAGTCCTGGAGTGATGGAGATATATGGCCTCTCAGATACGGAATTCAAAATAGCTGTCTTGTGGAAGCTCAATGAATCTTTTTTTTTTTTTTCGAGATAGAGTTTCACTCTTGTTGCCCAGGCTGGAGTGCAGTGGCATGATCTCGGCTCACTGCAACCTCCGCCTCCCAGGTTCAAGCCATTCTCCTGCCTCAGCCTCCTGAGTAGCTGGGATTACAGGCACGTGCCACCACGCCTGGCTAATTTTGTATTTTTAGTAGAGACAGGGTTTCCCCATGTTGGTCAGGCTGGTCTCGAACTCCTGACCTCAGGTGATCTGCCTGCCTCAGCGTCCCAAAGTGCTGGGACTACAGGCGTGAGCCACTGTGCCCGGCTTTTTTTTTTTTTTTTTTAAAGGGGTTCTCACTCTGTTGCCCAGGCTGGAGTGTAGTGGTGCAATCACAGCTCACTGCAGTCTTGACCTTCTGGGCCCAGGTGTTTATACCACTTAAACACTGCAAGTACTTGGGATCACAGGTGTATGCCACCATGGCCAGCTAATTTATTTTTATTTTTTATAGAGACAGAGTCTCCCTATGTTGCCCAAGCTAGCTCAATGCACTTTAAGATAACAAAGAGCAGAATTTTATCAGATAAATTTAACAGAGATTAAAATAATTTTTAAAAGTCAAGCAGAAATTCAGGAGTTGAAAAACTTAATTGACAAACTAAAAATGCATCAGTTTCTCAATAGCAGAATGGATCAAGCAGAAGAAAGAATTAATGAGCTTGAAAACAGGCTCTATGAAAATTCAGTCACAGCAGAAAAAACAAAAAAATAAAAAGGAATGATGCATACCTACAAGATCTAGAAAATAACCTCAAAAGGACAAATCTAAGTTATTGGCCTTAAAGAGAATGGAGAGACAGAGAGAGAGAGAGAAAAAGAGAGAGAGAGAGAGAGAGAGAGAGAGAGAGAGAGAGGCAGCGGCAGGGAAGGAGGGAGGGAGATCAGGGTAGATGATTTACTCAAAGAAATAATAATAGGGAACTTTACAAACCTAGAGTAAGATATGAATATCCAGGTATAAGAAAACCAAAAAACAAGCAGATTCAACCCAAATAAGACTACCTTAAGGTATATAGTCATCAAACTCTCAAAGATCAAGGATAAAGAAAGAATCCTAAAGGCAGTGAGAGAAAAGAAGCAAAGATACTTTCCCAGACAAACAAAAGCTGAGAGATTTCATGAAAAACCAGACCTATCTTATAAGAAATGCTAAAGGGAGTTCTTCAGTATGAAAGAAAAGGATATTAATGAGCAACAAGAAATCATTTAAATGCATACAACTCACTGGTAAATGTAAGTACACAGACAAATACAGACTACCCTAACACTGTAATTGTGGTGTACAAACCACTCATACCTTTGTAGGAAGACAAAAAGAGAAACCTATCAAAAATAATAACTAGAGCAACTTTTGAGATAGATAGTATAAAAAGATGTAAATAGAGGCAACAAAAGTCAAAAAGTGGGGAGGATGAAGTTAAAGTGTGGAATATTTCATTTTCTTTTTGCCTGTTTTTCTTTTCTTTGCAATCAGAACGAAATTGTCACCAGTTTAAAATAATTGATTATAAGATGTTATTTGCAAGTCTTATGGTAAGCACAAAAACCTATAATAGATATACAAAATATTAAAAGCAAGAAATTAAACATACTACAAGAGAAAGCACTTTTTTTCTTTTTTTTGAGACAGAATCTCATTCTGTCACCCACGCTGGAGAGCAATGGTGCTATCTTGGCTCACTGCAATCTCCGCCTTCCAGGTTCAAGCAATTCTCCCAACTCAGCCTCCTGGGTAGCTGGGACTACAGATGCATGCCACCATGCCCAGCTAATTTTTGTATTTTTAGTAGAGATGGGGTTTCACCATGTTGCCCAGGCTGGTCTTGAACTCCTGGCCTCAAGTGATCCACCTGCTTCAGCTTCCCAAAGTTTTGGGATTATAGGCATGAGCCACCGTGCCCAGCCAATAAAAAAAAATCACTTTTATACAAAGAAAGACAAGAAGGAAGAAAGGAAGAGAGGACAAACAAAACAATCAGAAAACAAATAACAAAATGGCATAGTAAGTTCTTACCTAGCAATGATAATGCTGAATTTAAATGGACTAAATTCTCTAATCAAAAGACATAGAGTGGCCAAATGGATTTAAAAACAAGACTGAACGATATGCTGTCTATAAGAAACTCACTTTACCTATAAAGACACATACAGGCTAAAATAAAGGATATTCCATGCAAATAGAGGCCAAAAAAGGAACAGGAATAGCTATACTTAGATGAAATAGATTTCAAGATAAAAACTGCAAAAAGAGACAAAGAAGGTCATTATATAATGATAAAGGAATTAATTCAGCAAGGGGATATATAAATTATAAATATATACACACCAAATGCTGGAGCACCCGTATATATAAAGCAATTATTAGAGGTAAAGAGAGAGATAGACCCCAATACAATAGGTGGGGACATTAACACCCCATTTTCAGCATTGGACAGATCATCTAGAAAGAAAATCAACAAAGAAACACTGGACTTAATCTACCATAGACCAAATGACCCTAATAGACATGCACAGAACATTCTATCCAACACCTGTAAAATACACATTATTTCCTTAGCACATGGAATATTCTCAAGGATAGACCACATGTTAGACTACAAAACAAGTCTCAAAAAATTTAAAAAAAAATTGCAATCATGTCAAGTCTCTTTTCTGACCACGATGGAATAAAACTAGAAATCAATAGCAAGAGAAACCTTGGAAACTATGCAAACACATGGAAATTAAACAATATGCTCCTGAACGACCATTATGTCAACGAATAAATTAAAAAGAAAATTTTTAAAATTTCTTGAAACAAAAGAAAATGGGAACACAACACACTAAAACCTACGGGAGACAGCAAAAGTAGTACTAAAAGAGCAGTTAATAGCAATAAATGCCTACATCAAAAAAGCAGGGAAACTTTGAATAAACAACTGAATGAGGCAGCTTATAGAATTAGAAAAGCAAAAGTAAGCCAAACTCAAAATTTATAGAAGAAAATAAATAATAAACATCAGAGTAGGAAAAATTGAGACTAAAAATATACTACAAAAGATCAACAAGACAAAAAGTTGGTTTTTGAAAAGGTAATCAATAAGCTTTTAACCAGACTAACTAAAAAAGAGAAGACCCAAATAAATAAGATCAGGGATGAAAACGGAGACATTACAACTGATAGTGCAAAAATTCAAAGGCTCATTAGAGACTATTATGAGCAACTACTATATGCCAATAAATTGGGAAACCTGTCAGAAATGGATAAATTATTAGACACATAAAGCCTACAAAGATTGAATCATGAAGAAATAGAAAACTTTAATAGACTACTAATGAATAACAAGATATAAGTAGTAATAAAAAGTCACCCATTAAAGAAAATCCCAGGACCTGATGGCTTTACTGCTGAAATCTACCAAGCACTTTAAAAAAGAACTACTATTAATCCTACTTATATTATTCCAAAAATTTGAGGGAACACTTCCAAACTCATTCTATGAGGCCAGTGTTACCATGATACCAAAACCAGACAAAGACACACACACACAAAAGGAAACTAGAGGCCAATATTTCTGATGAACACAAATGCAAAAAATCTTCGAATACTAGCAAACCATATATAACAACATAGTAGAAAGATCATTCAACATGATCAAGTGGGATTCATCACCCAGGGATGCAAGGATGGTTCAACATATGCAAATGAATCAATGTGATACATCATATCCAAAGAATAAAGGACAAATCCATATGATCATTTAATTAATGCTGAAAAAGCATTCAATAAAATTCAATATACTTTAATGGTCAAAAAAGTAGTATAGAATGAACATACCTCAATACAATAAAAGCTGTAAACAACAGGCCCACAGCTAGTATCATACCCAATGGGGAAAAACTGAAAGCCTTTCCTCTAAGATCTGGAGCAAGACCAGGACACCCACTTTCATCACCTTCATTCAACATAGTACTAGAAGCCCTAGCCAGAGCAATTAGACATGAGAAAGAAATAAAGGACATCCAAATTAGAAAAGAAGTAGTTAAATTATCCTTATTTGCAGATGATAAAATCTTCTATTTAGAAAAACATAAGGATCCCTCCAAAAACCTATCAGAACTGATAAACAAATTTAGTAAAATTCAAGATACAAAATCAACATATAAAAATCAGTATCATTTCTATGTGCTAACAGAAAATGGAGAAAGGAGAACCCTCATATGCTATGGGGTAGAAATGTAAATTAGTACAGTTACTATAGAGAAGAGTATGGAGGTTCCTCAAAAAACTAAGAATAGAATACCATATGATCCAGAAATCCCACTGCTGGGCATACATCCAAATAAAAAAAAGAAAATCAGTATTTCAAAGTGACATCTGCACACCCTTGTTTATTGCAGCACTATTCACAGTAGCCAAGATATGGAATCAACCTATGTGTCCATCAGCTGATGAATGGATAAAGAAAATATGGTACATACACATAATGAAATATTATTCAGCCACAGAAAAGAATGAAATTCTGTGTTTTTTGCAAAAACATGGATGGAATTGGAGACATTATCTTAAGTGAGGTAAGCTAGGCACAGAAAGATAAATTTAGCACGTTCTCACTCATATGTGGGAACTGAAAAAAAAAATTGAACTCATGGAGATAGAAAGTAGAATGATGGTTTCAGGAGGCTGGAAAGAGCGGGGATAAAGAGGGGATGGTTAATTGGCACAAAAATACAGTTAGCTAGAAGGAATAAGATCTAATATCTGGTAGCACAATAGGGCAACTATAGTTAACAATAATTTATAGTTAACAATAATTTATAGTTAACAATATATTTCAAAAGAATTAAAAGGGTGGAACCAGAATGTTCCAAACACACAGAAATGATCAATGCTTGAGGTGATAGATATCCCAATTACTCTGATTTGATCATTACACATTGTATAATTGTATCAAAATATCACATATACCCCATAAATATGTACAATTATTATGTATCCATTATTACAAATTAAAATATTCTTATTACCTTGTGATAGTTTCCAAGAACATGATTTGTTCCTTTTCCTTAACACACCTCCTTTTTTTGAAGCTAAAAATATGCATTCTTGGGTTCTATATATAAGAAACATTTCAAGTTGGAATAGCAATGAAAGAGATGATCTATGCAGTGTTGTTTGCAAGTAATTGATCACAACCAGTTACAGATCTATGTGTTCCTTCTCTACTCCCAGTGCTTTACTTGACTAGACTTTGGGGGCAGGGGAATGAAATGATCTAAAACTACAGAGTGTCAGACCAGTCTTCTTGTCCAGCTCTGCCACAAACCTCATTGGAAAGACCATTCAATGTGTATTTGGGCTTTCCTACCTCATCAGTGTAATGGCAGGAATAGACTTACAAGACTCCAACTTGCCCATTCAGTTCTTTGAAATCGGTGGATTTTAATTTACTGTGGCTTCCACTGGCCACCAAATTTGGCACGAAGCTGAACATGATTCTTCTTATCCCTCATGTCACTCTATTATCTGCTAAAATTTTATTGCTTTATTATATCTCAAACTTATACCTACTTGATATTATTTTTACATGTATACTTAGCCTCTTATTTTTCTTTTAATATTTAATGTCTGCATTTGATTCAGAGAGATATTTTTCAGCCCTATCAAATTTGAAAGTAGCTTAGAATTAGAAAATTCTTCCTAGCAGGAGTTTGCCTCACCAGCTGCTGTCTCCTAAACCTGTTCAGTAGAGTCATATTTCATAGAGCTGCCTCTTAGATTTTTACTTTGCATGGCTTAATTCCACTTCTCATTATCTCCCATCTATAGTTCTTTCGATCTGTAACTACACTCCAATCCACTAGAATTCTACAAGCTAAAATAACATTTTATACCCCCCTGCCCCAATTTATAAAATACATTTTATAGGCAGTTGCAATTTAAGATCAGAGTTGAACCAAAGCCAATGTAAAATCCCTTGGGAGGAGACGCCAAACTCAATCACTTGAACCTTAATCTCAATTTTCCCTCTTTTTCTTTCTCTCCTTTCTCTTTCTTCTTCCTTCCTTCCTTCCTTCTCTCTTCTTTCTTCTATACACACACTCTTTCATATTTTCAATTACAAAATATGAATTGCAAAACATAAGAATCAAACTAGCACTACAATCAAGATACTAGTTTTGTACGTATATTAAAGTTTTATGAATGTTATATGCATAGGTATTTTCTGGAACAGGAGACAGTAGAGCAGTAAGGTATCTACAAATGCATCTGACCCTCTGAGGAGCTCTGCTTAGCCCCCACCTGCCTAATGTGAGCTTAAAACCCTGCCTTGGACAAAGTTGCTTGACTTCTTCTACGGCTCTGCTTTGCTGATGCTTCCACCTGTGTTCAACTTTGCAACTTGGCCCCATTGTTCTCCCACCTTATTAAATGATAACATTGTCTAGTCTTGTATTCCTTAATTTTTATTTTTTTGAGAAATGAATCCAAACATTCTTTCACTTGCACTAGTTTCTCATAGTGTACAAAAGAAAGAGAAGACGATAAGGAGAAAGCAAAGAAGAAAAAGGAAAAGAGAATGAAAAAGAAGAGAGAGACTACTCTTGACATTTCTTCCTTAATATTTATTTTACTTTTGCTTTTTAATTTTTTATCTTATTTATTTTAAATTTTAAATATCTACTTACAGCAGATTATTTTTAGAATCAGATTAAAATTTTATTTTCCCTTATTACAAACTCATTTTCATTTTCTTTCTTGAGACAAACTGGCAGCCTATATTGCTTATTATTTTTATTTGCTTTTAAAAGCTGCTGTTATTCTTTAGTGTCTGGGGATACCAATGTGATGATCTCTCACTAGTTCTTGTAGATAGTTATACTCACAACATGCCTATGGCTTCATGGAAATGAACATTTGCCACAGCTGCATAGGAGCTTACTCAAATGGCCAACACTAAATCTAACTAAAATGACAATCAAAGCTCTGGCAAGACTATCAGGCAAATGAGTCAGAAGTTAAAATTATCATTCAAGTTGTAGGGGTCCTTTTAGAATCCAAATTTCAAAATGATTTGTTTTGGGATTTGCAGTAGTTAGAAATGCTAATTTATGCAGCAGAGGACAACATAAATACATAATAGGGCAAATGTGGCTTACTAGAGCTCTTGTAAGCAAAATTTAGGGACCTTAGCAGACAGTAATACTAATATGACTTGAATTAAAAGTGTATTATAACCTTAATCTTCAAAAATAGACTTTTAACATCTTCCATGGAGAATGCAATAGTCCTGCTATACTCTGCTTTGACGAGACTAAAAATATTGTGTTCAGTTCTGGTCACCTCAACTTGAGATGGCACAGACATATTGAAACATGCACAGGAGAGGGCGACCAGGTTGCTGAGGGGAACAATAGAAGGAGGTAGCAATGATATACCTGAAAAAAAAAAAAAACTAAAAAGAAATAGAAAAAGCATTTTTAAATATCTGAAAGATTGTCACACAGAAAAGGCAGCTTTTGTTCAAAATACTACATAGAATGTAGTCTTCCCATCAACTTGGTCAAATACACCAAAGCTTGAATCAATGAGTAGATGCTACAGGAAGTTCAATAACATGAAGGATTTTTAAAGACAGAATTGTCCAAATGGACTATGCAGCTTAGGAATTAAAGAATTCTCATTATTTGAAGGGCTTGGGCACAGGAGATCCTAAGCAGATGAGATTCCAGCAGATGTTTGCTCAGACTGAGTGACCTTTAAGGAATCCTTTTCAACATTAAATTCGGCAATACCACAAAATTAAAAGCCATTTGATTCCAATAGCCCTGGACACATTAAAGTAAGGGCCAAAGATTTTAAAGAAAAGATGCATAAAATGAGAATTTAAAATTGCCAATTTCAAATTCCCAAGCTGAGATAAACACATTTCTAGTTAAGTAACGAGGTCAATTAAATTCAAATTTCGAGATTCAAAATCTCCATTTTTGAAATTATTTGGTTATCCATATGTATAAGGCTGTTAGTCCATTCAAACTTGGCCTCTCATCAATGGGGATAATTTTAGATATTTCGTTAATGAACAGTAAATTTTTAGGTCTATGATTGTCATACCATGATTCCTAATAATTTCATTTGACAAACATACTTTTGACATCATGTTTTGTGTGTGTAAACATCTATGTAAGAATATCATTTTTTCTTTTATCTTCTGCACAGAAGTTACTCTGAAATGTATGAGAAGGCAATGAAATATAATATGACAGTAGGTATATTATTCTAAAAGTCCTAAAGACGATAACAAATATTATCCATTTGGGGATAGAAGGGAGGTAAATGTATAGCAGATGTTTCAGAGAAAAAGAAAGAAAACTGAGTAAAAGCCTTTAGCATTTATCAAAACAGCATTTACAAACATTCAGCCAGATCCTCCGAGGTCCCTAAATGACCAGCAGGACATTAGCTCACTGGGGTGTGCAGTCCCTGGCCACAATGCATTATAGTGGGAAGTCATTGATTGGATAACGAAAAGATTAAAGTGGCTTCAGACTAGGCAAGCTTTTCCACTATTTAGGTTCCCAATGAAATGCATGCAACTCAAAGAAAGAAATCATATGAATTAAAATAGGGAAGATTACTTAAAGGCAAAAAAAGACTAGCAACACTAAGACTAACCAAAAGAAAGCTACTACATGACAGGTGGCAAATGGAGGTCATAATAGGGTAGACTGTATTTGATGATCTCCCATCATTTGGGAGAGTCAAATGATGCAAGAAAAACAGTTAAATATAATTTTCCCATGGTAAATATTTTGTTATTACAGTGACACTCCAAAATGTGTCATCAGTACAATATTTACTCACTATAAAAATGCTTGTTTTCCAATGGACCTTTTAAAGATGCCATTCATTGATATATCTGTATATCATGACCTGGTCAAAGTATTGGTTTTTAAGCAAAACAGAAACCAATTTCTGAAAACACATAAAGTATAGCTACAATAATATTTTGATCTCTTTCATTAAATCATTATTGAAAATTTCTATTTCAAAAGTTTTTTTTTTCAGGTTGTTTTCATTATCATTTCAAGATCAAAAGCTGCTTTTTCTACAAAGTTTAGCAGAATGGGCAAATCTCAGGGCATTTAAAAGGATTTCCTATAAGGAAACTTCGCTTGTTTTAAAAAATATTGTAATCATAAACATTAACCAGTTTTCCCTTTCTAGATTTCAGATGCAAACAATAAAAGCATCAGTATTCTGTTCGATAGAAACAAAGAGAAGGCAAGTAATCCAGATAATTAGTGACACTTTTATATTTTAAAGTTAGGAAACAGGTTCAAGGAAAGAGGATTCAAAGAGACTTAAAAAGGAGAGCTAGTAGTACCAGATATACATTATTTAAATAATACACAAATTAATAATCTCAAGATAATATGAAAAGTTAGTAACTCAAGGAAATATTATATTTCAAAGATAAGAAATGAAAGATAAAGTTGGTAGTAGTTAAGTTTCATCACAATAAAAATTTACAAATACCTTCTTCAACATCTGAGATATATTCGCCATCACTGAGCATTTCAGGGGCATTGGCTTTACGAACTGCATGATTGAAGTGAACAATATAAGTGGATGAAAAATACATACTCTTGATATTACAACAAAACGTTTCAATATTCCTGATAAACATTTTTGCAATGGACTTTCTTCAGGAAACAAACAAAATACACAGTCACTTATAATTATTGTGAACTCAAAGAACATTTTCATACCTTCATCATCAGACATATCAAGAACTTCATTCATCGTTTCTGGAACATTCATTTTGTGCTTCTCTGTGACAGTCTAGTAACAAAAAAGCAGTCATTTTAGTGTGAGCAGACTGTACATTTTAATGGGTCTTTTCATTTATCTCTGAATTAATCAGTTTCTTGTGGAATGTATGTGTTGAATATCTTGAATCTCCCACATATAAAATAACATCAAAATTGTTGTCCCTTAGTGTCACAAAGGTTGTCACCATATACAAAGCACAGGAGTACAAAATGAAAGAATTCTAGTGGCAAAGTACCACAGCTTAAAAGATTTAGGTCTCTAATAAAGCTTTTCAAAGGAAAAGAGAAGATTCTGCCCCTCCTACTCCACTGCTATACTTTTTCATGGTCTGATGAATCTGCCGCCCCATTCCACGAAAGGTCTCGGCTGAAGAGAAGCCAAATGAGCTGCAAGAAATATGTCTCTATTACTTGTGCCAAGCTTTCCGTCTATTTTGTGTTCTCCTCTTATATGTACTTTTAATTCATAGGATAAAACAAAATATTAAAATAATATTTACAACAATAATCTTTACAATATTGTGTATGAAAAAATACTTAAAAGGTGATGCATTGGCAGATCATTTTAGCCTCCCCCAAAATTTAAAGAACAGTATATTATGCAGCAAATGCCTACTGCCTCTTTTACTTTCTCTTTGATAACTTAGATTATACCCACCCAAAAGACACTGTCAGCATCACTGGTAAGAAAATCTTAGATTATATCCATCCAAAAGACACTGTTAGCATCACTGGTAAGAAAATCTTAATGACCTTAGTTTAAAAGTGAGTTTTTTTTTTGTTTTGTTTTGTTTTTTTAATTCTCAGCATATGAGACACTAATGGTACAAGGGAAGATACACGTTTAAATGAGACAACTGAAAAAAAGCCAGGTTGTTAAAACTAAAAAAAGGTACAAATTCATAGTTTCTTAGAGATAATACTTGGTAAATGTGATTTCTACCCCTATCCCCAATTATTGTGTTGAAATCAACCATTATTTGATGTCTTTTCCAGCATGTAATACTGCAATGGAGCAGTTTTAAAAATAAACTTTTATTTTTAGAAGAGGTTGAGATTTATAGAATAATTGTGAAGATAGTATAGACAGTTCCCATATACCCCACACCAAGTTCCCCTTATTATTAAAATCTTCATTGATAGTATTATTATTATTTGAGACCAAGTCTCGCTCTGTTTCCCAGGCTGGAGTGCAGTGGCACAATCTCGGCTTGCTGCAACCTCTGCCTCCCAGGTTCAAGCGATTCTCTTGCCTCAGCCTCCCCAGTAGCTGGGATTACAGACGTGCATGGCCACGCCCAGCTAATTTTTGTATTTTTAGTAGAGACAGGTTTTCACCACGTTGGCCAGGCTGGCCTCGAACTCCCAACCTCAGGTGATCCACCTGCCTCAGCCTCCCAAAGTGCTGGGAATACAGGCATGAGCCACCGCGCCTGGCCTATTATTAAAATCTTTTATTAGCATGGAAAATATCACAATTAATGAATCAACATTGATACATTATTATTAAAGTTTATATTTTATTCATTTTTCTTTAGTTTCTGCTTAATGGCCTTTTAATGTTTCAGGATCCCATCGAGGATACTGTATGACATTTAGTTGTGTCTCCTTAGGTTCCTCTGGGCTGTGACAATTTCTCAGACTTTCCTTGTTTTTTTAAAAAAATTAATTTAAGTTCCAGGTTAAATGTGCAGGACATGCAGGTTTGTTACATAGGTAAACAAATGTGTGCCATGGTGGTTTACTGCACCTATGAACCCATCACCTAGGTATTAAGCCTCGCATGCATGAGCTATTTATCCTGATGTTCTCCCTCCCCACCCCCAGGCCCCAGTGTGTGTCCTTCCCCTCCCTGTGTCCACGTGGTCTTATTGTTCAGCTCCCACTTGTAAGTGAGAACATGTGGTGTTTGGTTTTCTGTTCCTCCGTTAGTTTGCTGAGGATAACAGCTTCCAGCTCCATCCATGTCCCTGCAAAGGACATGATATCATTCCTTTTTTATGACTGCACAGTATTCCATGGTGTATATGTACCACATTTTCTTTATCCAGTCTATCATTGATGGGCATTTGGGTTGATTTCACATCTTTGCTATTGTGGATAGTGCTGCAATGAACATACACATGCATGTATCTTTGTAACAGAATAACTTACATTCCTTTGGGTATATACTCAGTAATGGGACTGCTGGGTCAACTGATATTTCTGGGTCTAGGTCTTTGAGGAATTGCCACACTGTCTTATATGATGGTTGAACTAATTTACATGCCCACCAACAGTGTAAAAGCATTCCTATTTTTCCACAGCCTTGCCAGCATCCGTTGTTTTTTGACTTTGTAATAATTGCCATTCTGACTGGTATGAGAGGGTATCTCATTGTGGTCTTGATTTGCATTTGACTTTCCTTGTTTTTGATGACCTTGACAGTTTTGCAGTATACTAGTCAGATATGTCCATCAACTGGGGCTTGTCTCATAGTTTTTTTTTTTTTTTTTTTTTTTTAATAGACTGGGGCTGTATGTTTTACGGAGGAAGATCACAGAGGAAAAGTGCCATTTCATCACATTGTATCAAGGGTACAATACCATCAACATGACTTATCATTGTTGATGTTGATCTTGATCATATGTCTGAAGCAGTATTTGTCAGGTTTCTCCATTGTAAAGTTACTCTATTTCCCCCTGCTTCCATACTGTTTTCTTTGCAAAGGAATCACTATGTTCAGCCCACATGTAAGCAGTGGGGAATTATGTTCCACTTCGAGAGTGAAGTATTTTCATACATTATTTGGAATTCTTTTGCCTGAGAAATTTGTGTCTTCTTTTCCATTTATTGAATTACTTATGTATAATAGTATGAATTCATGGATAGTTATTTTACAGTTTGCACTATACTTCAAGACTATTATATTTATTTATTTTTGCTCAAATTGTTCCAGCTATGGCCATTGGGAACTCTTTTAGTTAATTCATATGTCCCTTCAACATACCCCCTACCATTGTGCCTCTGTATTAGTTTATTTACTTTTGTTGGGGGAGGGAGGAGCATTTCCTTACTTTTTGACACTCTAAGATGTTCCAGGCTCATCTTATATATTTACTGTGCTATCCTTAGATTCAGCCATTTCTCCAAGGAGCACTGTTTGCTTTTAGTAGAAAATAGTATTAGCAACCAATATCTGTGTGCTAGAGGTGTTCTGCTCCTTACATATGAAGTAATTGGGTATTTTAAACAATGCAGTTTTGATAGATACAATTCACATCTTTTGAATATCAGCTTCTATCCATTCAGTTTGGTATGCTGTTTTGATTGTAATCTAATTAACTAAACCGTCTTTCTCAGCATTGCCACATCATGTATTTTACTCACATGGAAAAGACATTCTCTTTTTGTTTTGAAAAACTGAAGTCTGTTTATAGAGTCAATGGCTGCTGGAGTCCCAGTAACTAGCTATACAAATATCATGCCTGTGGTGGAGGCTGAGCTAGAGTTATTAGCTTAAAGTCATAGACTCCACCCTGAATTACATCAGTCCTGTCTAAGCTAGTTTACATGTAACCGCTAAAGCAAGGCTGACAAGGTGGTGTCTCAGCTTGAGATAATGTACCAAATACCACAATGCTGGGCGAAGTTTTAGAGACTTCTCTGGACTCTTTTTTAATCAACGTGAACACTTCTTTTGGTGGAAGCCTCATTTTCTTCACTAGGCAAACTGGACCTTTCCAATTAGCATGCATAGTGTCTTCTCTCTTTTGCAGAAAGTCATCAACAAGGACAGCTGATGATGTTGAGAGTGAAAAGGCACTATTCCTGTACACATTCTGTCTTCTGATGGGAACCTGATGGAGCTCTGAGACCCTTCTCTGTCTTTCAGTTGATTTTTTGAAGTTGTAACTTAATTTTGTTCTTAACTCTACTTTCTCTTAAAGCTTTTTTTTGATTTTGAAGAAAAGTTTTGAAATTTTGTAATGGGTGAGAAAGCCATTTACATTCAACCAAATAAGATGTGTATTTTGAACTTTTACATGTCTCAAGTCTTTTAACATTGAAATAGAAGTATTAATATTATATATTTACTGCAATGACTTCAAATCTTTATAGCATTGTGACACTTGGCTATCGTTAAATAGTTTGTTCTCTTCTCCTTTCCTATCCTAGATAGAGCTACATGGGATATAAAATTAAAGGTAATAAACATTATTGGTTTGAACACTTTTTTTGAGAACTTAATGATAGATTTTAATATAATAAAATCCTCAAGAGGTGTATGAAAGCAACATGTGGAAATTTCTCTCTTAGACAAAGTATAACTTGAAGTTCGGAATGGGTGCTGCTTGACAATCATTGTTCTATTCCATTAAAACAACTGTTTTCTCTTTTGCAAATTACAAAATTTTTCTCCCGTAATCAGCAGGCTTGTTTTTTAGTTTCTAAAGACTAAGAATTATACATTGAGTAACACTGCCAGATAACTCAAACTGCAGGTAGTTACAGAGACCTTCAACCCATGTTTTTCACAAAAAGCAGTGGGTATACAAACTAATTTGCAGATGCTAACCATTTTCTCCTTCATGTTGGAAGGTGGTCGAAGAGAAAAGGGGACAGAGCTGATAATTCAAAATGTTCCAGAGTCCTATATTTACTTTGTTAAGAGTCAACCTCAGGTCTATGTGTTGAGTCATGGAGTCAGGAATAACTCAAATAAGCCTCTGATATCATGTAATATTTGCTTTTAATTCCAAAGTTACCAAATGTTAATGCTGTTCAAAGGTACCAGATGGGGTTGGAAAGAAATGACTTATCCTAGAGGCTGCAGCTTGTAAAAATGTAGTTGATGCAATAGGGCCTCCTGGTAAAGATCCACTTTAAATTTTAACAAAACAGCCTATTGTGTTTCTTATGAAAACTCCAATAGGACAGAAGATGAGTGACAGTAGCAGGCAAAACCAGTTCTGATCCCATCTGGAATTTTTTAAAACAATGTAAACATTTTTTTACAGGAATGATAATGTATCCATGTACCATTTGTGCATTAAAACATTTTTAAGGAACCAACTTAGAGTTTTCAATTTTCTTTACGCTGCCAAGGAAGGATGTTAAAAAATTTCTGCCTTCACCATCATTTCATTAAGAACTTGTTATATCAAAGCAAACAAATAAATAAATACATTTAGCTGTATATGGAAGTAAAAACTCTATAGCTACAGATGCATCTTTTAAATAGGTATTCTTAGTGTTTTAAACTTTTATTCATATTAGCAATAAGAGTTTTGCTATCCTGACTACCAACAATGAGGTGACTGTATTTTAAAACATGGTGCTTAGTTTATGAATGGGAAAAAATATTCATCTCAGAAAAACCCAAGAAAACTGGCTGAAAGCTGGCTCCTAGGGTAACAAGGTTCTGCATTCCTTACTTACAGTTGTGGTCATGGTCTCTTCGGTCACTATCTTCAGGGTGTCCACTACTGAGATGTAGCCGAGGCGCCGGGCAATGCCAAGGGCAGTATTCCCATTCTGGCAAAAGGAAAATGTGAGTGAGGAATTAGCAAGCCTTATTCCACATTTTTTTTGCTGATACAAAATGTAAGGTGAGTGTCTCATCAGACCCATCCCACTGTCATACACAAATAAGTGTTTCATTAGAGACATACCTTGCACAAAACCCACCTAACCTGTTTGTACAGCAAAGTCTGGGCAGCTACACATGCAATCCAAGAGGCTTTTTAACGTTCTAAGTAAGCAATCAATGAAACCAACACAATTTTTTTTTCTTACATGTGTACTTCCTACTAGGTGACAATGCAGTAGGTAGTTTTCACATATAAAACACTAATCATCTCTCTCTCTCTGAACAGCTCAGAACAATATGGTTATTGTCCTTCTTTCCTCATTCTACTGAATGCTCTGTTTATGCCTCTTCATGAAAGTACAATGAAAAACGTAAGAAGACACCAGAGTCCAGGCCCATCTATCTCCTCCCTCTTCTCCTGAGCTGGCCCTGAGCGCTTACCACAGTGAGTTCATTGGGGGAGGCGTTGTTCTGAAGTAAGACATTTATTATATGCGTATGCCCCTGCTGTGCTGCTTGATGTAATGGCGTATACCCATTCTGTAGAAGGAAGATGGAAGAGATGATTCTTAATTCCTTTGAAGCAAAAATAAATGATTCTGGCAGAAACAAAAAAGGAAGGAGCTTACCTTTGTTTTGGCATTAACTTTTGCAGAATGCTGGAGCAGGAAATTAACAATCTTGATATTTCCATAGTGGCAGCCCACATGCAGTGGTGTGTATCCCATCTGTAATTATTATTTTTTTAAAAAAGAAGCATCATAATTACACTTTTACTAACAGCTATCCTAAACAGAAGCAAAATCATTATTTAACCTTTCTTTTTGAGCTGGCAAAAGTAGGTTTTTTTCTTCTCTATATTAAAAAAATTGCCCTTGATAATTCTCAGCATAAGACTTAGGTATAAATTAAAATACCACTGCCCATAAAATTGTTAGCTCCCCAAAGTGCTTTATTTTTTATCAGGTCATCTTGTTCTTAGAACTTTTCAAGATACAAAGGAAAGATGGAACAACTGACAGCATAGACAAACTGATTCAGTGGCTTCTTATTCGGGGTCAGAAGAGCACTTTATGGAGACTTGACTTGTTTATTGAATACTTTCTGAAAGCTTTAAATCTAGGCAAAAATGAAGTGGCTAAATAATAACACATGGCAGGAGGTGATTATCAGAATGCCTGATAGAGATAGGAAGAAGCACAGAAACACTAAAAGGAAGAGGGAGGCTGGTGAGAGCTCAGGTGGTCTGAGAAGTATGAACTTGAACAAGGTATATCAAGTTAGTCTTTTGCCTTCCTACCTAGAGTCCCAGAGTTTGAAAACCACTGATTCACTGATTTAGACAAGAAATGGTTTGTTTCTCAAATTAGTATCCACTGACCCCTGAGGGGCTATAAGTTCTCTGTGTGTGTATATGTGTGTGTATGTATGTGTATACAATCTAGATAATTATTTTCTTTAAAATAAGGATATTCCAGATCCTTCTCTAGATGGCTGTGTTCATTATAACATACTACCCCGCAATTTCAGAGCCCCTGTTCATAATGACACAGGCAGTACCAGATCTCTGAAAGGGAGAACATTGACCTTTTATCACAATATTTCTAAACAGGAATGGGGGTGGGTGATCCATATTTTCAAGGGTCTGTATCTTATATGATGGCACTAGAGTCTTTATGGTGACCCCAGCAAATGAATACATTTGAATTTGAAAAAGAGATGCCCAAACCACAGTTGACTGCAGAAGGTGAAGATACCTTACCAGGGATGTGCTGCCCTAGAGCGGTGACTCTTGGTAGACTTTGTCTCACTAAACACACTGTCAGTGCACCCACACTGACCAGACTGTCCCTGGAAAGCTCACCATAACCACATATAGGAAACTGACTTACAACCTCTAACGCTACTGAATACACGATGGAAGATATTCCTTTTTGGTGACCAGAATCCATTTGCCTGCTTTGCAGGGTTCTCCTTTTCAATACAGAGGAACTCAGATACTGCACCCATGATCAGAATACTGCTTAATAAGGGAAGCTTGAAAATAATGTGTCCAATCAGTGCTCAGTACAATGGTTTAACTGATTGAAGTAACATTATTTCCAAGTTCAAAGAACTTCCCCTTACAAGTCAAAACCACGTGGACCCAATATTTTTTAAAAATCTAAATATTAAAAAATTCTTTGAGATTTTAGTCAATTTGCCTAAGTTATAATACAACCATTTCTAATAGTTGTTGAGATGGATGTGTTGATTAGGTATATATAGTTGAGACAGGGTTGTTTATTTATTTATTTGAGACAGGGTCTTGCTCTGTCACCAGGCTGGGGTGCAGTGATGGGATCATGGCTCACTGCAGCCTCCCCTCCTGGGCTCAATCTATCTCAAGTAGCTGTGACTACAGGCATGCACCACCACGCCTGGCTAATTTTTCTATTTTTTGTAGGGATGAGGTCTCACTATGTTGCCTAGGCTGGTCTCAAACTCCTGGGCTCAAGTGATCTTCCTGCCTTGGCCTCCCAAAGTGCTGGGATTACAAGTGTGAACCACCATGCCTGGCCTAAATATGTTAATGCACAGGTTCTATTCATCCTCATAGTTTCCCATCTCATTCTTATTAAAACCCTAAGTCATTATAATACAGTGTTAGGAGCTGTCTAATTCTAGTCTCCCCTATCCTCCTCATCCCCCATCCATACATCTTTTAGTCTTCCCACAATTCTCTCCCTTGGTCGCTGTGCTCCAGGACACTGGTCTTCCTGCTGTTACACAAACACTAAAGTGTTTTTTCAAAAATACATGGGCATGGCCAAGAAGATTGAACTTGCATTCAGAGAAATCAGATGTGGGCTCCTCCATTCATCGGGGTTAACAGCATTCCCATACAAAATAGCACCTCGCATAAATACGCTCAGAGAGGTGGGACATGAGCAATTCTTTCCAATCAGCAGTAACAAATTTTTCAAAGACTCCCTATTTTTTTCTTGAGTAGCTAAATAAGCAAACAAATAAAGAGCCATAGCCCAGGGAACAGAGCAGCCTCTACCTCTTTGTCATAGCTGCCTCACTGATAACATCATTACAAGCTGATTAGGTTTTTCCTTCCTTCCTTTGGGCAACACTGGATAGAGCTCAGCAAAACCCTGCAAAATGCATCCGAGTCTTTAACAGCATTCCTTCCTTTTTTCCTCTCTTGATTACCAAGTAGTAGATGTTTACATCCATTCACTGATAAGACTGCACTTCTGACTGATGAGAACGGGGGAAGGAGGGGCTCAGCAGCCAGGAGCCCGGGCCTCAGAGGCAGACTGGGTTTGGGACCCAGCTCTGCTACTTACTATCTGTGTGAATTTGGATAAGTTATTGAACCTCTCTGTACATTGGCTTATGCATTATAAAATGGACTTTAGTAGCAGTACCAAAGTCATTGTGTTGTCATAAGGATTAACTGTTAACAATTATTTCAACAGTGTCTGACACATAGGGTTAGCTATTATTACCTCGTGCTGAAAACAGTGCCTGGCATATCATCAGTGCTCAATAAATATTTTAAATCTTTGGTAAATTAATGACTGAAAATAGGAAAAGATCAGGCCGGGTGTGGTGGCTCACGCCTGTACTCCCAGCACTTTGGGAGGCTGAGGCGGGCAGATCACTTGAGGCCAGGAGTTCAAGACCAGCCTGGTCAACATGGCAAAAACCCTGTCTCTGCTAAAAATACAAAAAAAAAAAAAAAACAAAAAAAAACAAAAAACAATTAGCCGGGCGTGGTGGCATGTGTCTGTAGTCCCAGCTACTCAGGAGGCTGAGGTGGCAGGATCACTTGAACCTGGGAAGCTGATGCTGCAGTGAGCCATGATCATGCCCATGTACTCCAGCCTGGGCAACAGAGTGAGAGACTCTGTCTCCCAAAAAAAAAAAAAAAAGAAAGAAAAAAAAACCAGAAAGAAAAAGAAATTGTCATTTCTAACTCTGGCTCAGCCTATTCCGCTTCTGATACCCCTTATAATTTTGCTAACCAGGCCAGGCACAGTAGCTCATGTCTGTAATCCCAGCACTTTTGGAGGCCGAGGCCGGCGGATCACCCGAGGTCAGGAGCTCGAGATCAGCCTGCCCAGTATGGCAAAACCCTGTCTCTACTAAAAATACAAAAAATTAGCCAGGCGTGGCGGTGCCTGTAATCCCAGCTACTTGGGAAGCTGAGGCAGGAGAATCGCCTGAATCCGGGAGGTAGAGGTTGCAGTGAGCCAAGATCACACAACTGCACTCCAGCCTGAGTGACAAGAGCGAAACTTCGTCTCAAAAAATAAATAAATAAATAAAATAAACAAAAACAAACAAACAAAAAAAACCAAGTAATTTTGCTAACCATTTTTCTTTCCTCTGGCATGCTCATCTCAGCTTATAGACATATTTTTATGTTTCCATCTTAGAAACAAAAAGCACTCCTTTCAAATATTTCTCCTTTTCTCTAGGTTTCTATCCTTTGAAAACTAAACTTCTTGGAAAAAAAAATAATCTTCATTCACTGTTCCAGCTCATCCTCCCTACATTTCACCATCTCCACTGCTCTAGTAAAACTGCTTTTTAATATCCCAAGTGCCCAGCCATGCATGGCATGCATGGACTTTGAGCTTCTCTTATCTGAAACACCTTGACAGTTTTTCATAATTTGACAGCCCTATCATATTCTTTCCTGATTTCTCCTCTACCTTTGGACAGCCCTCCTTTGCCTCCTCCATCCACTGTAAAATGGAGTGGATCCCGAGGGTTTTGTCTTTGGTTTGCGCCACACTTTTCCTTGAGGATCATATCTACTTTCACAGTGTCAGCTAATACCTTGACTGTGATGATTCCGAAATCTGCATCTTTAGTCCAGCCATCCTTTCTGTGTCCAGATCAATATGTGAGTCATTTCTTGGGTTTTCCTACTTGATTGGCCCCCAGTAATCTACAATTCAACACACCCAATAGGAAACTCATAGTCCTCTTTCCCCAGCTGGCTTTGTCTCTCCTTTATTCCCTGTCTCATTGAATGGTACTTGTGATCACCCAGTTGCACAGGTCAGATCCTTAGTTTCCTCCTGAATTTCCTGCTTCTCCTTAGTCCCCATACCACACATGGTCTTCAAATCTTTTTTTTTTTTTTTTTTGTTTGAGATGGAGTCTCGCTCTGTCGCCCAGGCTGGAGTGCAGTGGTGCGACCTCGGCTCACTGCGAGCTCTGCTTCCTGGGTTCACACCATTCTTCTGCCTCAGCCTCCCGAGTAGCTGGGACTACAGGCACCCGCCACCATGCCCAGCTAATTTCTTTGTATTGTTTTAGTAGAGACGGGGTTTCGCCGTGTTAGCCAGGATGGTCTCGATCTCTTGACCTCGTGATCTGGCCGCCGCGGCCTCCCAAAAGTCTTCAAATCTTAGCTGTTTGTATGTCTTTTAATTATCTCTCTAATTTCTCTCTTGTTCTCAGTGTCTCATCTGCCACTTAGTTCAGGCCTTCTTTATTCTTCATTTGGATTTCACAATAGCCTAACTGACCCTGCTGCAAGGTTTAAAATCAACTTATTCTTCGCATTGCTTCCCAGGATCTTTGTAAACCAGATTGTTGATCTTATCACGTTTGTGTTTAAAACCTTCAGTGGCTTCTCAGTGCAAACAGGATAAAAAGCTGGACAGCTTAGCCTGGTACATTAAGGCCCTCTGAGATCTTAATTTTCTAGCAACATCTTAAGACATAATCCCCATTTTTCTTCACATGTTCCCATGATATTGAACAAGCTTCCTCTATCCTACCCACCTTTGTCAAAAATCTTAGTTATTACCGAATACTCTAAAATTATATATATATTTCTAGATATAGACCTGTGGTTAAAATCAGGCTTTGTAATAATTAGCTTTGGGACCTTATGCAAGTAATTACTTTTTCTGTGCCTCAGTTTCCTCATCTGTAAGACGAGGATGCTAATTTTACCAGCCTCATAGGGTAGTTGTAAGAATTAAACAAAATAATAAATGAAAAGCACTTAGAATAGTACCCGGCATAGAGAAAATGGGTAATACATTGTTTTATTTTATTATGATGATGACTTTGTTATTATAATACTATGAGTTTTGCTCTCTAAACTATGAATTCTATGAGGGCAAGGAATATATCTCCCAGGTAAGAATTTGGTGACCAGCAGGAAATCTACACATAAATGTGAAATAGGTAAGTATCACATAAGTTCTCAAAGCTTTTTATGCTTTTACACACATTTAAAGAAATCCAGTGTAACTCCTGATCCCTAATTAGTGTCCTCTAAGAATCAATGCCTTTCAGGGGTGGTCTAAATAAAATGCTTCCGGACATTATCCTTCTGAAAAGCAAAAGCAGTGGCTTCATCTCTATCAAACAACACTGATTATTATACCCTGTGGCACAATTTAGCTTAAACTCATTTGGTGAACTTCAAATGCAAAAGGGGGGTGGGGTATAAAGGGTCAGCAAACTGGAGGGGTGCGGGGGGAGAGGACTGCAAAGGCTGTTACCAGGATTTTCTAGTCTTCTCCTCATCAGGGAGAAGAGGTCTTGATATTTTTATTATTATTAATTATTTTTGCATGTAAGCCAATGAGTTGAATGGTATACATCCCACCTGTGGGCTGCTTGGGGATGTCTTCTTTACCAGTGAGAATGTGAACATTCCTGGGATACAACAAATTCCTTATTCACAAAATTAAGCAGCAAATGCAAGCAACCCAGCTATCTGCACTTCTGCTGTGCTCTAGTTATGGGACAATCATGGCTTCACTTCCTTTTGGTGGCTGTGACCTTTGCAGAGAAGAGAAAGGAAAGGAAAATAACTTGTAAAGGACAGAGAGATGCTTTCTGAAGTGAGACGCTCTGCTCCGTTTGTAAAGGGCAGGAAAGGTTACATGCTGCCAGATATCATACGGGGTACAAAAATGACTACGTGGCCGGGAACGGTGGCTCATGCCTGTAATCCCAGCATTTTGGGAGGCCAAGGCAGATGGATCACCTGAGGTCAGGAGCTTGAGATCAGCCTGGCCAACATGGCGATACCCTGCCTCTGCTAAAAATACAAAAATTAGCTGGGTGTGGTGGCATGTGCCTGTAGTCCCAGCTACTCAGGAGGCTGAGGTGGGATTGCTTGAATCCGGGAGGTGGAGGTTGCAGCAAGCCATTACATTCCAGCTTGAGTGACAGAGTGAGACTCCCTCTTGGAGGAAAAAAAAAAAAAAAGACTACCAACTGGGACCTGAGTTGGGCTGGGTTAGAAGGAAACTGTGGTGGAGTCCTGAGACTCGTACATCGAGGGGCTGTGTGTGCAAATGGAAAACAGATGGAGGCAGCACAGTACTTGTTTCTCTCCTCCCCGACCTGGCCTTAAGAATCCTCACCATACTCCCTGGCTGAATTTTAGGGCATGGCTTGGATGTGCTGGGGCAGAAAAATGTTGAGAAACTTGACCCAGACCTTGCCTTCTAGAGTTTTATATCTATAAAAAGGAGAGAGAACCTAAGAAAGTGTTTAAGTCTGTCTCTCTCTCTCTCTGTGTGTGAATAAAGCGGTATGGAATGAAGACATTTACCATAAAGTTGCAAATTTCCAAAGTCAAGAATTATTTCCCGATGAAAGTATTCAAGCAGCATAAGAAAATAAGCTAAATTCAGTCTCATTTTGGTGTCAATACCCTTTTATCTGGCTAATTTGGGGTAATATTTCTGTATTACTAGTTACTTCAATATGCCCATATACCTCAGAACCTGCCTATATTACATATAAAAATTTTATTCACAATATTTAGTAGTCATTCTTTTTCATGTCAAACATGGCATATAGAAAGAAAGCATATGTGGCTGGGTGCGGGGGCTCACGCCTGTAATCCCAGCACTTTGGGAGGCCGAGGCATGTGGATCACAAGGTGAAGAGATCAAGACCATCCTGGCTAACATGGTGAAACCCCGTCTCCACTAAAAATACAAAAATTAGTTGGGCATGGTGGCACATGCCTGTAGTCCCAGCTACTCGGGAGGCTGAGGCAGGAGAATTGCTTGAACGTGGGAGGTGGAGGTTGCAGTGAGCCGAGGTCAAGCCACTGCACTCCAGCCTGGTAACAGAGTGAGACTCCGTCTCAAAAAAAAAAAAAAAAAAACCAAAAAAAAAACATGTTAGAGTAGATGACACAAATGACACAAATCTGATATGAAGAAATAACAAAATTAAGCATATAAAGAAAATTTTCAAAGAAATGTGATTAATGTGAAGCTATATCTTTGATGATGACATGAGAAGTCCTATTTTGTGTGTGTGTTTGAGTTGTGGCATTATATAAGATTAATTAGCAATTTTTTTTTCTTTTTGAAATGAGAGCTTTCTCGTCTGAGAGAGGGAGAACACACGCATGACCGCACAGACCATTAGGAATTTAGCAAGTGAGTAATATTTAAATAAGCCTTAATTTATCCTGTTTCATAAATCATGCTGAACGAACGTAGAGGTCACAAATTACAAGTTTTTCTATTTGTCTATTTGTCTGCATTTAAAACATCCATCACAAAAACTAAGAAAGGTACAAGCTTTCACACTCTGCCCCGAAGGACACATTTGTTGTAAGGAGGCTCAACAGTGTTAATATAGGGGGAAATTACTGTGCAGCTAGAATCAAGTACCCAGGCCGTTAAAGACAAAAGTCCCTGGAATACGGCAACCGGAGACTTTAGTGTCCCTTGCATAAATAAACATTTAAAATACTACGTAGAAAAGAGATGATTAAAGGGTTTGTTCTCCTGATACAATTATAGTTTCTTCCTTACTGCAGTCACCAAATGGACACATTCTTTTCCGTGTGGCAAGGGAGGGCCGTATACCTTTGTCTGGGCGTCCACATGAGCCCCTTGGTTTACGAGGACTTCTGCCACATTCACTCGATCTTCTTGAGCAGCCAAATGGAGTGGGGTCAGGCCGCTCTGCAAAAGATTCAAAGGGCACAGTCATCGTACAGGAAGGAATGTCACACACATAGCCATGTTTGAGAAACCATTTGTGAATTCTAAGATGGTAAGCCGAGAATTTCTATGTTAGAAAAAACCTATGGAATAAATTTATATGCTTGGGAGGCTGAGGCAGGTGGATCACATGAGCCCATGAGTTTGAGACCAGCCTGGCCAACATGGCAAGGTCCCATCTCTACAAAAATTAGCCAGGTGCAGTGGCATGCACCTGTAGTCCCAGCTACTTGGGAGGCTAAGGCAGGAGAATTGTTTGAGCTCGGTAGGTGGAGGTTGCAGTGAGTTGAGATAGCGCCATTGCACTCCAGCCTTGGTGACAGGGTTGAATGAAACCTGTCTCAAAAAAAAAAATTATATGTTATACTGTCTTAGCACTGTGGCAACATGACTATCTGTAGGCTGCATGAAAAATTGTAGGCATACTCGAAAGTGTAAGAAATGGAGTGAGCCTTGTATACTCATCACAGACTTAGCAATTATCAAAGTTTTCCTATATGTGTTTCACCTATCCCTCTTTTCCTTTTCATTCATTTGTGGCAATATTAACACAAATCTAGACACTATAACATTTACCCCCATACATTTCAGTGTTCATCTACAAAAATTAGACTTTTTTTTTTTTTTACAAAATTATGCAAGAGTTTTAACATATTGCCAATGCCACTAGCTTTACCAAAAATTATTTAAATGATATCTGTTTACAAAGTGAACACTGACATATGCTGATAATATTTTCTCCATATTAATTCCCAAGGTCTAATGAATATTTTCTGTATGTCACTCTGGGTAGGAAAGATCGCCTGTGAAATGTAATGTGAATGCAAGATCATGACAATTTCCAGGTCATTTAGATGATGTATGGATTTAACAAGACTGATACAGTATTTGAAACTAACCCTATTAGAGAATTTGCAGAACACATGGTTGCTCTCATGACCAAGAAAAAAAATTACTAAGATTATACTCCGGTTTTAAAAAACCTCTTTAAATTGTAAAGCATTTTTTATAATATTTAAGAGAAAGTGAGTTGGTGTTAGTACTTTCAGATTTTTTGCTTTCATCCATTATGAGCACAGAAGTTAATATCTTAATCCTGGAAGTCTTTTCTCCCCCTCTAGCATCTGTGCAATGAAAATATCAGCCTGTCCTATTTGTCAGAGGAAAGGAGGTAATCAAAGGCAGTTTCAGGAAGAGCACAGAGTCTTCTAGATGTGAAACATTATTTATTCAGGGGTTGCTATTCCATCAGAGCAATTATGGAATGCAGAGAGAGTCAAGCTGGGACTTTTTAATAATGTTTATAGAATTTTGGAGGAAGCTCACTTGAACTGAATAAAGGGGGAAATGTGAAAAGGAGGACTGATGCATTCACTTGAAATTCAAGAAAAATAAGCCAGAGCCAAAATTGGCACCACCCAAACACTGACCTCATCACAGAACCATGTTCCGTGTTCTCCTTCAGAGGAAATAATATTGTCAGCCACAACATTTTGTGAGTGTCATGGTCACCTATTCTAAGTTTGAAACTTTTGACACTGAGGGTACCTTACTGAGTAGCTCTCAGCAAAGACTGAGAATGTGTTGTGGGCACATGTTGTCCCCTCATGCTCCCATGTCTAGGTGCCTGCTGCTCAGCTGGCTTACCCACTCACTGATGGAGTCACTTCAGGCTTCCCTGGCCTTTCTCTCTTCTCGTTTCAATAAAGGGCCAAGTTATTACATTTATGTGCAAACCTACTATGTGCTCACTTCTATTACAAATATCATAATCCTGCATTTAAACTCTGTTTTCTTGCTTGTCTTCCTCAAACCACTGTGAGCTTGTTGAGGCAAGTATCGTATCTTTGATTTTTATATAACCAGTGTCTAGCATCTAGCATTTAATCCACTCACTCATAGATTAAATCAGAGAAAAAAAATCAAACATTTTTCTTAGGTAGAACAGTATAAATTATATAAATAACATTTTATTTTTATATTCTTGGTTATAATTCAAAAGATTTTAAAAAACAATATGAAGGTAACCACAGCCCTGTTTGAGTTCAGAAGTTACCTGTTAATCTTTTATGGCATTTTGATCATTGCTCATTTTAAAAATAGCACTTAGGGCCGGGCACAGTGGCTCACGTCTATAATCCCAGCACTTTGGGAGGCCAAGGCGGACGGATCCCCTGAGGTTGGGAGTTTGAGACCAGCCTGACCTACATGGAGAAACCCTGTCTCTACTAAAAATACAAAATTAGCCGGGAGTGGTGGTGCATGCCTGTAATCCCAGCTACTCGGGAGGCTGAGGCAGAAGAATCGCTTACACCCTGGAGGCGGAGGTTGCAGTGAGCCAAGATTGCATCATTGCACTCCAGCCTGGGCAACAAGAATGAAATTCTGTCTCAAAAAAAAAAAAAAAGGTATTTATTTGAAACAGAGAAAACATCAAATTAAAATAGCAACATCTCTGTTTAATATTCTTTCAGTTGTATAAAAAATATAAGCATTGGGGTCTGCAAAACCTATATGGGAAAATAGGAACATCAAAAGCAAAATTGAATCAAATCGAACACTAGCACCTCAACAATAACTTGGGGTTCATGATCATTTTTCCTTAAAAGTACTGGGAAAGTGCTGGTTACTAGTAAGAAAAAAGAAAGTAAAAACAATAAAGTGTTTAGTTCAACATAAATTATGAAAGCTAAATCTTTTTTAATAGTTATTTTTTAGCAAGGAAATAAAATGTAGTGTTATGTGAGAAGAGGGAAAGGTAGGCAGGAGAAGGGAGGAGGGAACAGTGAGTAATTGATGCTTAAAACACTGGCAGCTCAGGAAAAACTGACAAAAACTGAGAGACAGTTCCTTATTGAATAATAAAAAGTTTTGCTGCTTTTCTGTTTTCACATCAGGGCATATTTAGTGCTTTATACTGAAAACGACAACGGAGAAAGGATGCAAGGATTTACAAATGCCTTCTTATTAGATAGTTTCTAATGAGAAGTTAGAAGTTAAAAGTATTAGAAGTTCTCAGAAGTTCCTTAAGTTCAACATGCTAATGGAAAGCCAGTTGATCTTTTAGAATTCCTTTAGGAATATCTCTGCTTGTGTATCATTTACTCAGGAAAGTGGCCAGAAATTTCCAGGTTTCCCTGGTTTGCTATATGTCTTTGAGTCTTTAGAATTCCTTTTGTTAATTTCCACTCTACTAAAACAAGCACTGAGAAAATTTTTGCCCTAAATATTTTTAGCCTAAAATCACCCTATGAGGCTAAGATGAATTCAAGGCTGGGCATATATTGTACCAGTTGGCTGCAGGATTTTGAAGAAACAAAGTCAGTCACACTGCAGTTTGGTATCAAACCTACTGGAAATATTCAATTTAAACCAATTGTGAAAGTACTACATTGTTTCTGGAAGAAATGATGAAATACAATATTATGGGCTCACAAGAGAAAATACACTCTGATACCAGCATGTGCTTCAATTTGGGAAACACAAGGTCCTCTTTGTCATAAAGACAAATTGAGTTTTGAGGCAAGCCATTACAATTCTGGTCTCTAAATTGGTATATAAAACTATAGAAAATTCAAAAGATCAAACAAATCTTAACTATAATGACGATTATGAAATTGCTTTTTGATTCCCATTAATGCTGAGACATGCACTCCTAAAAGGAATGTTTAACAAGAAAAAAATAAAATTAAAAAAATGTGTTTGCTCTGTAATGACCAAAAAAGATTTTCACAATACTAAAACTAAAAAAAGATATCCCTGGTCTCCTGTATATGTCTTTTGGTCTATAGAATTTGTTAAATAATAACCTTGAGAATTCAGATTGTTATGGAGTAACCTTTTTCCAAAACTGTAAAAACTCCAAAATTAAAAAAACGATTTTTTCTTACTTAAAAGTGTTGAATGTTTTCTCAGTGTATCCTCAAAGCAACTCAAGAAGTCAGTATTGCTATCTCCATGTACTAAAGGACAAAACTGAGGCTCAGAGAGGTAATATAACTTGCCTAAATGACACAGGAAGAATCCAACTTAGGATTCAAACTCTCTGTGATTTCAAAACACAGGCACACGTGTTGAAAGTATTTAAATTACTTGTTATTTGTCAACATAAGACTATTGCTATTTTGCAACCCTACTCCAATATCTGAGCTAGGCCTGAGAAATATCACAGCTATGCCCACACCCAGCAGGCAGAAGAGAAGCTAAATGCCAGACAGGGGAGGTTATCAGAATCTGAGGGCCCTTTTGTGTGGTTTCCTATTATCTGAAGATTTAGAAACACCTGTCTTGTGTTTTGGGTCAATCTTAATGAGCAATTCAGCAAACCTAAATTTGATACATACAGGGAGAGGCAGTAACTTCATTAACAAGTTTCTGGTTAATTGTCGGCTGAACTTTCACTTTGCTTGACAAAACTCTAGTCTTTTCTTCATGAATAATGAGCATATCAAAGATGACAGCATGGGTGTTTGAAGAGTTTAGGGAACAGTCTTCACAAGTTCCTTCAAAATTGCCAACAACTTCTCCTATCTACTCCATAAAATAGCTACTCTAAATTTGTTATTAAAATGAACTCACGAAGGCAGCAATGTTTCCCATTTCTCTTTGTAACCTAGAACTTAAAAACGGATGAGCAAGGAGCAGGACCCCAAACATGTTTGTGAAATAAAGCAAAGGGCTACAATTTGCAGCTTCTTCTTTGCTATGTTATGGTGAAGTAACAATGGTGCTCTTTGAATTAACATTATAACAAAACTTTATGTTACTACAAAAACTTCCTGGACTTCATTTTTATGGCTATGTGTACATAGAGCCACTTCCATATATACTCATTGTCTGACTGAATTATCTGAATTATTTATTTACCATTATCTTTCTGTCTTTTTTTTTTTTTTTTTTAAAGAGACAGGGTCTCACTCTGTCACCCAGGCTGGAGTATAAAGAAGCAATCAGAGCTCACTGCAGCCTCCATCTTCTGGGCTCGAGCAGTCTACCCGCCTTGTCTTCCCAAAGTGCTAGGATTAAATGCCTGAGCCAGAGCAACTGGCGCATTGACCATTTTTCTTATTGTTTAAACAGATTGTTTCCAAATTTTTGCTCTGTTAAGTAACACTTTGGTAAACAACTTGGTGCAATATTACACTTTACACATCCTATTTGACTCAGATCTTCTGTGAATTCTTAGTGACCTTTCTGAGGGGTGAGGTTTTGGTGTGCTGCATGCTTTGTCAAGAAAGAAGTGGGTTACCTTATTGCTCAGGTTCACATTCGCATTTCTACCGAGGAGCAGCGACACCATGTCCACGTGCCCTTCCTGAGCTGCGAGATGGACGGAAGCAATTCCTTGCCGGGTAACTGCGTTGGCATCAGCACCATATTCCAGCAGAGTTGTCGCTATGTCCATCTGGTTCTTTTTGGCAGCGATGTGCAGTGGCGTATAACCATTCTGTCAACACAAATCACTTGGTCACATGCCCAGGAACAAGATAAAAATGTGCACAGTGCATTTTCAAATAGTTTATGTCTCTTTCTAGTGGTTTTCTATGATTGCTTAAGAAATCATGATTAAGTAAGCAAATACTGGTAAACCAAGTGGTACATGAATATAGTGCCCTCATGTATCCTGCATTCCTAAGTAGGGAAAACATAATTTAATATGGACATTTTATTTATTTTATTTTATTTTATTTTATTTTATTTTATTTTTTGAGACAGAGTCTCACTCTTCGCCCAGGCTGGAGTGCAGTGGCTGGATCTCGGCTCACTGCAAGCTCCATCTCCCGGGTTCACGCCATTCTCCTGCCTCAGCCTCCCGAGTAGCTGGGACTACAGGCGCCTGCCACCATGCCCGGCTAATTTTTTGTATTTTTAGTAGAGACGGGGTTTCACGGTGTTAGCCAGGATGGTCTCCATCTCCTGACCTCGTGATCCACCTGCCTCGGCCTCCCAAAGTGTTGGGATTACAGGCGTGAGTCACTGCGCCCGGCTTAATATGGACATTTTAATCAAAAAGAGTTAGAGCATTATTGGTTTTCCAAAAGGAATATAAATTTCCCTTTTACAGGAAATTATGTTACAACATGCTCGATAATTACTTGCTTTATTTAAATTGAGGACAGGAGGAAGAAGCAACAAACAATCAGTTATCACTAGGGCATGTTCAGAGCCATTCATTCTTTTATTTAAAAAAATACCTTTAATTGCCATCTACTGCTTACAAGTTGAAATTTTTAATGTTCATGGAAGTTAAGACACTACCATCTCTCCTCATTTGGCCTTTTGATTTCCTCTTTTACAAAACCTGTCTTCATGCTGGTCTGTCATCCTGCATGTCCCCCAAACAGAATATAGTCTCATGTTTCTCTGTCTTGCCTTACTCTACAAGAATGCTTTTCCCCAACATGCCCAGCAGCCAGCATCTGTCAGCTGAAAATTCAGCTCAAGGGTCACACCCTCCATGAGGTTTTTTATTTCTTCCCATCCCTCAAGCCTCAACCCCTACCCCCAACCCTGACTGACTCTTATCAAAGTCCTGGGGATATTTAGTGGCACTCTTTTGTTTATTTATCTGTCCCCTCCTACTAAATATACATTTCTTAAGGGCGTATATTGTGTTATATTTGTCTTTGTATCTCTCTAGTGCCTCACAATAACTGCCATGTATTAATTACATGAAGAAAGGAATCCTCAGGTTTTGAATCAAGAGTACTAGAGCTTTCAGCATATTCTGGCATCCTTTTCTTGGCTGACCCCTGATACCCAGAGAGAGACAATCAAGATTCCCTTGATAAACTGTTAGTCAGCTGTGCCTCAGGAGCCATCAGGGTCTTCTGCCCCAAGAAAGAGTTTTGGGGGATGTTGCCCTGGTTCACAGTCACTTACAAGAAGTGTAAGATTACACTTTGACATGGACATAAACCTGAGTATGTAAAATATGCTAATGACAAATCAGAATGATTTTTTTCCATAGACAGGAAGATTTAGAAAAAGAAAATAGAATCTAAGAATTTATATTTGGAAGTATGATCCAAATCTTGACAATGGATCAGTCACAATCTTTTTGAGCCATGTGGAAGGATCACAAACAACACAGAGGGTTTTGAGGGGCTGCTGCACCCAGTACTCAGCCATCCTGCTGCAATGAACCTCACATTTAAGTCACTGGCATGTCCAAGTCCAACAGCATTCCTCACTTGACAAACCCTTATATCAACCCATGAAAGTGGAAATGTCACTTCTAGACTCTTCTGAAACTAGCCTCTGCCAAACTGGATGAGCCAGGGTAAAAGAAGATTTTATATCCCTATTTTTAATTTTGACCTATTGCCATCTGAAAACCCCAGCTGCCCTGAGAAGCATTTGGCCCTCTGCTGGGACACACCCTTCAGAGACTGATGCCCGCAGAGCCAAATGCAGAGCTTTGGTCTGAGCCCAATGCTACAATAAGTGACCAGCATAAAAGAGAAAATTCACAAAGCAGCACTAAAATAGGAAATATAATTAGTCAATGTGTCTAACACTAACCTAACTACTTCGAGTGGTAAAGGCAAGATAAACTCAGAATTTAGCTTCTTATCATGCATCTTCTCTTTTTGCTTTTGCTATTGATATAATATTCAGGTTAGTCACTTCTCAACCCCCTAACAAGGTAAGGCAGCTCACACATGAAAATCTTACTTACTTCTAATGCCACCAAAAAGAATCCTATGTCCTAAAAAAATGTTTTAATCAAGAGAGCTGTGGCAGTCAGGCATGGCGGTGCATGCCTGTAGTCTCAGCTACTTTAGAGGCTGAGCCAGGAGGATCACTTGAGCTCAGGAGCTCGAGACCACCCTGGGCAACATAGGGAGAGCCTGTCTTTAAAACTCTGAGAGAGACAGAGAGACAGATACAGGGAGAGACAGAGACAGAGAGAGAGACAGACAGAGACAGACTCAGCTCTGTAATATATGCCAATTACAGACAAATTACTATTATTGCTCAAGGATTTATCTTGAGCTCCTTACCTGAGATACAAAGGAAAGTATAAAGCAAGGGAAAAGTGACTCAGGTATTATTTTAGTATGAAAAGTTAATCTCAGAAAGACTTAAGAAATATCTTCAAATAATAAGCACATTTATCTTGAGGCTTATAATGAATTTTCTAAATTTTCTAAGTTGTTTCTACTTTGTGAAAAGTAAAAATGATTCTCACTTGCCATACTAAGAAAGGCAGATGCATCTATCAAAAGAAAAATTCAACAGGGAGTGATTCAACTGTAGAATAATTCTGACCTACAGGGTTTTTTCCCTCTTGATGTAGAGGACCAAGTGCTTGCCACATGTGCTTTTGCATTTCAAAATTAAAATAAAAGCAAATGCAATTTGAAATTATCAAAAGTAATATATAGCATTTAAATCATATTTTAATTTTTTTCAAGAACTTTCACAAATATACTGATCCATATCAATAGATATGTTGCACATTTTATGGAAGAGAAACCTGATAAATAATACTTAAAGCTCACTATCTCTTCTACAATTAGTATCCAGGTTATGCCTGAACTCAAGCCAATCCTCTTGCCAGCATAAGGTCCTGCCACAGGAAATAGATTGGACTAAAATAGATTAGAGCTGCCCATCTACTTTTCAGTACCCCAATTTCCTGAAACCTCATCACATTTCTAGGACATGTATGAGTAAGACAATACATTGGCAATTTTAAAAAAGAGAAGAAAGGAGAAGAAAGGGTAAGGAGAAGGCATCACATGCTCTAAGAAAAAGGACAAAGGATGTGATCTGATGATGAGTTAACATTGAGGTTGCTGCTGTCACATCCATGTGGTAATCATGCCCTATTGAGGCTCTGTACCTTATCTCTCACCACTGCCGGAATTCAGGAATGCCTGAGCTTCCCTGGAGTAAAGAAGGCAGATTGCCTACTCTGTATTTATTCTCCTTTCTTTCTTAGTGAAAACAAACAAACAAACAAACCCCCAAACCAAAATACAAAAAATAAAAGCAAAACAAAACAGACAAACTTCTCTGGTAGTGTGCTTAGCACTATTTCTCAACCTTTTTTTGCACATAGAAGTGGCCAGTGGGGTGTAAGGAGATGTGGTTTGGTGGAACTTCTGGGAAAGCCTTGTTGTGCTGACTTTCTTGCTGCCTGTGGCTTGAAAGTAAATTTGGCAACCCAGTCAACAGTCTTTGGAGGGAAAAGCCAAAGATTCACTGCAATTCCTGTTAAAATATCAACCTCATTTTTCACAGAATTAGAAAAAGCAATCCTAAAATTCATACGGAACCAAAAGGGAGCCCAAATAGCTAAAGCAATCCTAAGCAAAAAGAACAAAGTTGGAGGCATCATATCACCTAACTTTAAATTATACTACAAGGCTATAGTAACCAAAACAGCATGGCACTGGTATAGAAATATATGCATATATCAGTGGAACAGAACAGAAAACTCACAAGAAAAGCCACATTCCTCCAGCCAACTAATCTTTGACAAAGTTAACAAAAACAAACACAGAGAAAAGGACATCCTATTCAATAAATGGTGCTAGGAAAATTTGATAGCCAGATGAAGGAGAATGAAACTGGACCCATAACTCTCACCATATACAAAAATTAACTCAAGATAGATTAAAGACTTAAATGTAATACCTGAAATCATATGAACTCTAGAAGAAACCATAAGAAAAACTCTTTTGGGCATTGAACTAGGGAAAAAATTCACGACTAAGACCTCAAAATCAAATGCAGCAAGTCAAAAAATAGACAAATGGGACTTAAGTAAACTAAAAAGCTTCTGCATAGCAAAAGAGATAATCAACAGAGTGAACCAGGTACCATATAGAATGGGAGAAAATATTCACAACTATGCATCTGACAAAGAACTAATATCCAGGATTTATGAGGAACTCAACTCAACAAGAAAAAAAAAAATCCATTAAAAAGAAGGCAAAGGACACGAACAGACATTTTGTGAAAGAAGACCCACAAATGGCCAAGAAGCATATGAAAAAATGATCGTCATCACTAATCATCAGAGAAATGCAAATCAAAACCACAATTAGATACCATCTCACACCAATCCAAATGGCTACTATGAGAAGTCAAAAATAATAGATGCTGGTGAGGATGCAGAGAAAAGGAAATGCTTATACACTGTTAGTAGGAACGTAAATTAATATAACCTTTAAGGACAATTGTAAGGAGATATCTCAAAGAACTAAAAATAGAACTACCTTTGACCCAGCAATCCTACCACTGGTTAGATACCGCTGGTTAGGTATTTCCCAAAGGAAATAAATCATTATATCAAAAAAGATACTTGCACTCGTATGTTCATTGCAGCACCATTCACAATAGCAAAGTCCTGTAAAATCAACCTTTGTGTCTACCAATGGATGATTAGATAAAGAATATGTGAATATGTGGGATATATACATTTTATTCTTTTTTATTATTTTTTTGAGACCGAGTCTTGCTCTGTCACCCAGGCTGGAGTGCAGTGGCGCGGTCTTGGCTCACTGCATCCTCTGCCTCCCGGGTTTCAGTGATTCTCCTGCCTCAGCCTCCTGAGTAGCTGGCCACCATGCCCAGCTAATTTTTGTATTTTTAGTAGAGAAGGGGTTTCACCATGTTGGCCAGGATGGTCTCCATCTCCTGACCTCGTGATCCACCCGTCTCAGTCTTCCAAAGTAGTGGGATTACAGGCGTGAGCCACCGCACCCGGCCTATTTTATTTGTTTTTATAGCTGAGTAGTATCCCATGGTGCGCGTGTGTGTGTATACAGATATATATACATACATATAGTAGTATTCCATGGTATGCACATATTGCATACCATGTGTGTATGTGTGTATATATATATATGTATATACTATATGTTTATAGCTGAGTGGACTATTACTCAGCTATAAAGTCTTGTTTGACAAATATAAAGCTGGAAATAAGTTGTATATAATTATATATAATTATAATATATACAATTTATGTGCGTGTATACATATATACCAACACACATAAATACACACACACACCCCATGGAATACTACTCAGCTATAAAAAAGAATAAAATTATGTCTTTTGCAGCAACACAGATGAAACTGGAGGCCATTATCTTCAGTAAAATAACTGAGAAAGTCAAATACTGCATGTTCTTGCCTGAAAGCGAGAGCTAAATGTGTGCACATGGACATAAAGAGTGGAATAATAGACATTGGAGACTTGGAAAGGTGGGACGGTAGGAGTGGGGTGAGGGACAAGGAATTCTCTAATGGGTACAATGTACACATTTTGGGTGATGGTTTCACTAAAAGCCCTGTATTCAGCACTAAGCGACATATCCATGTAACACAACTGCACTTGTACCCCCAAATTGATTTTTTAAAAAGTCACAGGGAACTTGCCTCAACACCCTATATCAACATCAACAACTGCCCTGTCTACCTCCTGTTTGTGCCATGAGAAAATGGAGGCTCATCAATTTAAACCATTGTAGCTAGGACTTTTTTTTTTTTTTCCTAGCAGATAAAGCCAATACCTAAAATTATATGACTGGCTTTGCTTAAGATTAAAGTCTAGAAAAAGTTCCTGACCAGTACCACTGCCCTGAAGACAGGGATTATTGGACATGTGCCAGAGATGGCATTACCCAGGCTCTTATGGAGGCAATTGTGTATGGAAATGAGAATCAATGTCCCATTAGAAAAGCCTGTGTTTAATTGACTATAAAAATATGCCTGAGGCTAATGGAATGTTATAAAGAATTATTTAAAGGATTGCTTTTCTTTTCAAATCTTTGTAAAGGATGTTTTGCAGATAGAGAACTATGAATACTAAGTCTTGTTTGACAAATGTAAAGGAGAAATCAACTAGGAATGTACCAACTATTGCCCTGTTTAAGAGTTATTTGTGCGCCTAGCACAGTAGCTCATGCCTGTAATCCCAGCATTTTGGGAGGCCAAGGAGGGCAGATCACTTGAGGTCAGGAGTTCAAGACCAGCTGGCCAACATGAAGAAACCCCATCTCTACTAAAAATACAAAAATTAGCTGGGTAGGTGGTACATGCCTGTAGTCTCATCTATTTGGGAGGCTGAGGCAGGAGAATTGCTTCAACCTGGGAGGCGGAGGTTGCAGTGAGCCAAGATCGTGCCACTACACTCCAGTCTGGGTGACAAAAAAAAAAAAAAATTATTTGTGAGTAGAAAGAGAGATTGGAGTCATTTGCTGCACTTACTGCTTTATAACTTTGGTCAATTTTACACTGCTTTTTGTGCCAAAATTTTTATTCTCATCCAAGGAAAAAATAGTTCACTTACTAATTATTTACTTGTTATCTATGAAGGACTTGGGGTTATTTATACATAAGAAAAGTAGGGGCTGGGCAAGGTAGCTCACCCCTGTAATCCCAGTACTTTGGGAGGCCAAGGTAGGAGGATCACTTGAGGTTGCGAGTTTGAGACTAACCTGGCCAACACAGTGAAACCCTGTCTCTACTGAAAATACAAAAATTAGCTGGGTGTGGTGGCACACACCTGTAATCCCAGCTACTTGGGAGGCTGAGGCAGGAGAATCGCTTGAACCCAGGAGGCAGAGGTTGCAGTGAGCCAAGATCGTGCCACTGCACTCCAGCCTGGGTGACAGAGCGAGACTCCGTCTCAAAAAAAAGAAAGAAAAAGAAAGAGAAAAAGAAAAGTAGCCCAAAAGCACAGAGGTAAAAATGAAATGAAATAAAATGTACAACCATTAAATTCCTTACAAATTTTTCTCCTTAAAATTATGCTAAAATACACATAACAAAATTTCCCATTTAAAGTATTTTCCAGTGTACAGGTCAGTAGTATTAACTACTGTGTATTCACATTGTTCTCCAACCATCACTATTATCCATCTGCAGAACTTTTTAGTCTTCCTAATTGAGACTCTATATCCATTAAACATTAACTCCCCATTCCCTTCTCCCTCTACCCTTGACATCCACCATCCTCTGTCTGTCTCTATAAATTTGACTACTCTATATACATCATATAAGTAGAATCATACATTTGTCCTTTTGTGGCTGGCTTACTTAGCACAATGTCTTCAAGATTCCTCCATGTATTATAGTAGAGTATGTCAGAATTTCCTTCCTTTTAAAGACTAAATAATATTCCTTTGTGTGTATATGCACAGTGAGTATATGCATTCATCCATCAATGAATATTTGCATTGTTTCCACCTTTTGGCTGTCATGAATAATGCTGCTGTCTTTTTTTAAATTAAAGTTTTATCAAGTCACATTGTGGTTTTGTAATAGAAAGAATGTTTGTCAGGGTCAGAAACTGTGGAGGGGAAAGCTACATTTAGATTAAAAGCAAGTTTGGGAGTTTGATTTTGAATTTTAGATTTCACTGGGTATAATTCTGGAGAGGATGGGGCAGAAAATGATCGAAAGTTTCCAGGAAGAAATATCTGTCGAAGATAACATACTCTCTAAATGGAGAGAGTACCTAAAACTTGATCTCTTAGGGTATCTAAAGTAATCTAGAACCCCAGTTCATTCATCTGTGTATACAATGATGTGATCTAAACATTAGGTTTAAAGGAGAGCACTGCAGCTGCCCCAACATGGATTAGCAAATCAAAGATGTAAAAAGCATAAGGGAGGCCGGGCGCGGTGTGTCACGCCTGTAATTCCAGCACTTTGGGAGGCCAAGGTGGGTGGATCACAAGGTCAGGAGATCGAGACCATCCTGGCTACGGTGAAACCCGGTCTCTACCAAAAATACAAAAAATTGGCCAGGTGTGGTGGCAGGTGCCTGTAGTCCCAGCTACTCGGGAGGCTGAGGCAGGAGAATGGCGTGAACCCCGGAGGCGGAGCTTGCAGAGAGCCGAGATTGCGCCACTGCACTCCAGCCTGGGAGACAGAGCTAGTCTCCGTCTCCCTCCAAAAAAAAAAAAAAAAAAGGAGAAGGATCATAAGGGATACTCAATGGTCCTCCAACCAATAGTGTTTAGCGAAATAACTGAACAACACTGAAATGGTTTGCATCATTTCAGTGTTCTCTGATCATAGCCACCTGCTCAACAATAGGAAGCTTATTAAACCAATAGCACTCTATTAACCTGTCTTTAAGGAAGCTCTTCTTTATGATTTGTCCCTCAAATTAGATTACTAAAATAATAATATAGCTATATACCCACTCAGTTTCTCTTTTCTCAGAAATCTAAGTTGTCTACTGATCAAAAAGGCCCTAACAATAAAGATCCTCCTTAGCAATAATAAAAACACACATGTAAAACCTCTCAACCTATTTTACTAAATGCAAATAAACAACTTGAAGGCAATTATGTGGCCAGAAAAATGTAACACATGTTTCATAATTCTGACAAATCAGAACTTTCTTACTTCCTCAGGCTGTGCTTATGTTTTTCATCTGGCTAAAGAGTGTTCCAGCTCTCCTTCCTCCAGGAGGTCCTGGATTGCCAAAGACAATCAACTGACAAGTAAATATTTCCTGAGTATCTACCATATTAGCAGACTAAATCACTGAAGGCACAGATGTCCTAAGGTGCTTCTATTTCTGTGATTTTTTAGTGGTGCCTAAACTAGGAGGGTGCTCCTGCTGAAGCAGAAGTAGATGTGCAGATAGAGACTGATAGACCTTACCCATCAGTCTCCTTAGGCTGTGGAATTATAGGTACCTTTGCGGCTGCGTGAGGTGAGGCTCCTTGGTCCAAAAGCAGAAGGGCCACTTTCTGATTATCGTAATGTGCAGCTACATGCAGTGGTGTTAGCCCGCTCTGAAAACACGTGCAGAAACAACAACCAGTGTCAAAGGTGTCTTAAAACCAGAGGCTTAGATTGAGGAAATGAAATTAGATTGGATACGACATAGGGCATATTTACATTCCGGTTTCCACAGTACTTGGACCCCAGCATTTACCTTTTATTTCCCAAGTGCTCTTCATCCTAGTGGGACTTAAATATTTAGTTATAATTTGAGTGGCTATTAGTGAATATTAGCAAGGGTGTATTTTGTTATCGTGGAAGTGGCCTGCTTCAGGGTGGCTGGTGACCTCTTACCTTCCCAGCAGCATCTGGAGATGCACTTTTCTGTAGCAGGAGATTGGCGACTTCAAGCTTTCCATATTTTGCTGCCACATGAAGAGGAGTAAATCCTTTCTGAAAAAAAAAAAACATAAAAATAATGAACAATAGAAATGACATAAGGAAAACACACACAAAACCCAAACCAAACAACAAACAAACAAAAAGATATGACATAAGGGCACTGCTTTCCAGAACTGATTAATTATTCTATTGATGATGAGCAGTGAAGTCTGCATTTAAAGTCCAAGACTCACAGATAAGAGTTCAAGAGCCTTCTTATTGACAGGGTGTGAGCATAACATACCAGGATACCTAATCTTTCTCCCTTCTGCTGACTGAGCCATGACATGCTATTGGTTCTGGAAGTCTTCAGGTATCTCACCAGGATGAAGTTGGAGAGCTGGATCTGGGGCTTATTCTAGGGCTGTTTTCAGAGTTTCATATTGTGGGAAGAATAAGTTATAGGGTCCCAGACTCAGTTTGGAGGGCTTGGGAAAATCCAGGGCAAGTCTGAACCTCTCACAATCTCACATCACCAGACCAGCCACTTTTCTTCTTCTTTCCCCGTTTCTCCATGTATACACAATCCTTATGTGTCCTCTAGTCTTCAGGAGGAGGAGTGAGAAATTCTCTCACCTTTGCCACCAGAGGTGAACTGAATAATGACATGGTTTTAGAATGACGACGTCTATTCTGTAGGTGAACTGAATAATGACACATGGACAAATATGCAACACTTGGATATTAATAGCTGAGTGGCTGGCTCCCTCAGACTTCCAACTCCTACAAGAATCTGTGTATCAACCAGCCAATCAGCACACTGTTGTGGGGGTCCCAATCATGAGTCAGGGATTACGGGGTCATCAGCACATTTGACCTCATGAGACTACAGCAAACTAAAAGGAATGTGCAGCTGGTATGGTGAAATGCCTGAATACTCAAGACCCTATCACCCATTATTCTGTTTCACATCAAATGAGCTTCCTGAACTTGCATCTCAACTCTACTGAAGAGCCCAAAGAATCACAAGAAATGAAATTTGAGGTAGTCATCATTTATCCCGATAGTTTTCTATTTGTAATTGTCTTCTATATTGATTACACATTAATCTTTCTTATCTGCATCCAAATAAAAGAGTGCAGTACCAGTTACTAGCTTTGGAAGATGCGCCACAAGCCAATTCATCTTGCTATCACACTTGCAAGGCTTATGTAGTATCACAAAAAAAATGAGCTCCAAATTTTGCATTCTGCACATGCAGAACAACTGTTTATGTTAGGGTATTACTCTAAGGCATCAGAGTTGAGATAAAAATAAATCAAACCATAAGTCAGACAAGACAATAATGACACAAAAAAGAACAAGAACAAACAAAAACAACCCCAAGAAAAATTCACTGCCAGTTTTGCAAGTATTATAAAAGCATCTACCAACCGAGCTGTGATAATGTGGTTTGTGTGCTTGGCCTGAGCATTTTGCTAATCTGTGGCTCTGTTTTTAAACTACCATTTAAGGCCACCAAATAATTTACAAGAAATCTGACTCTGGATATCAGTAAGGTTTCATTGGAAGATAACATACTAAGAAACTTAAGGCAAAAAACCCCCCACAAAATACTACCAGTTACCCTCTCCCACCACAGAGCTTTGCTGGCCATATTAATGACTACTGTGGGATCGCAAGAATAGATGCTGTTGTGCAGCTTCTGGACCTGTTACTATGCGGGGAAACGTAAGGAAGATGTATTTGGGGGGACAGAGCAGGATTCTGAGATTTGCTTTCATACCTTTGTTGTTATAGATAAAGACGCTCCATGATCCAAAAGGAACGCGGCCACATCCTCATGCCCCTCTCGGGCGGAAAGGTGAAGTGGGGTGTACCCAGAAGTTGTGGCTGCATTTGGAGATGCCCCTTGCTGCAACAGCTGTTGTACTATGTCTGCTTTCCCCAGTCGGGCTGAAATGTGGAGTGGTGTTTGGTCATCCTAAACAGCAAGGTAGAAATGTAAGGCTGATGAGCTGAGGAAACAATGGTGCCTTTATGAAAAATTCAGGGAATATTAGCTGCTTGATGTAAGAGGTACAATCAACTTTTTGAGTCAATGCTAAAAAAACTCATTTGTCTTTTTCTTCAATGCTCAGAAATGAGGAGATGGTAGCTCTAAGCTAATTAAATACCTGTGGAGAGTGACTCATTAATAAGAAAACCATGAAATGCAGTTGTCTATAAATTACACCCCACCCACACCTGCCACAGAGAATCAAATTTGAACTTTAATTGCTCCTTCTTTGGGAGATAAGAGAATGTATCCTAGTAAAACTCATATACCTGGGAGGGATATTATACCTCCACACCAGTTATTATGCACTCACATGGAATGAATTATTTTGTTGGTTCTGCCTTCCCATAGACAAAAGCAGAGTGTGAGGAAGGCAGTGTGGGGTTGCGCAGTATACCTGTGCAAAGGCTCCCAGCTGAAGGGTCAGCAGGGGCTGATGCCCTCTGCTTGCCAGGCTGTGCATCCTGGCAAGGGCTGCATCTGTCTAAACTGGAGAGCCACCTCACTACAATTCACCCAAGGGCAGGAGGTACTCACCAAGTCCTGATCCCCTAGGGTCTTATCCCCAAGTGGGAGGCGCAAATCATCTTAATTTGCTCAAAGATCCCTGTGGTAGTCCTCTAAATAGAAATTCTCTACTGAATTGTGATAAGGTTCAGGTAAATGGTTTAAGTAGGAAAGGTAGAGAAACGAGGCTAGAATAGAGGACACCATTTTGGAAGAATAAGGAGGATGAGGGTCAATGTCAAAGTAAGAGGGGCTATCTAACCAGTAGGAAGCATGAGGAGTTAGGGAGATGCTGCAAGGGAGAAGAGGAATATTGAAAGCAGAAACGAATAGGTGCCAAGGAAAAATCTCACATACTGCTACTACTGCCACCCCTTACTTGAAACTAGAGACTGCAGACTTGTGCAAATGTATATTTACATATTGTAGGTTGAAATTAAGTGGTTTATGATTCTGGACCTGAACTGCCATTCTGATAGCCTGACCGAACTATCTATCCCAATAGCAGCAGATAAGTGGGTTTCTCCTGCAGGTGAAATACGAGGCCAATTCTGAAGTGGCCATACAGCTTGTGTAGAAAAAAAAAAAAATCCCCCATTTTCCTTTTGTGGCTGTTGACAGCTGACTTATAAGTCAACCAGAAAAGCTCAGTTATGCTTCTAGGTTGTGATTGTTCTAGAAGCTTTGTGCATAAGCCCTTCTCCACGGAGTGTGAAGAACTTTGGACCAAGTCTAGATTCAGTCCCCAATCTGTTAGGGACTAGCCGTGTGCTGACAGTTTCAGGCACAAGTTCTCATCTCATCCTATTTCATTTTGTTAAATAATAGAATGAACAAATGTGCAGGGAAGGGATTTTTTACAATGTTACTTGGGTAGGGACTTTTATCATTGGAGGTTTTTCAATATTTTTAAAGTATTCTTGAAAGACTGCATGTATATACTTAAAAGTTTTATGAAAATCCAACAGTTTTTCCTCAATTTCAAACACTTGTCAAGTATTGCGCATACCTTAGCTTTAGCTTCTACCTGAGCTCCGTCTTGTACCAGATACCGCACAACTTCAGCTTGGCCGGAGCGAGCTGCCATGTGCAGTGCTGTTTCTCCTCTCTGGGGAACATGAGCCAAAGTAAATTAGCTGCAGCTCTGAAGAAGAGTAGTGTATTTTATTTGGCATAAAGCTTATGATGGACTTTTTTCAAAAATAAAAAATAGTCCTAAGCACTTCCTTATTGAAAAGATAGGAAATCAAATGCATGAGAATTTCACAGGAACCTGGTCCATGAGGCAAAGACTTTGGCATAAGCCTCGGGAGTCTTGTCACCCACTGTGCCAGGGGTGCTGCTCAGTAACCTACAATGTGGCCTCCCTCAGGGCTGGAAAGGTCAGTGCTCATAGGAGCCAAGCAGGGGGGTGAGTGAGTGCAGCTGGGCAGGTGTGGAGTGCTTGAGAGAGCCCACACCTGCGCTGAAGCAGGCAGCCAACCCCCCACCCCACACCCCCCACATCTGCAGCTCGCTGCTGTCACTGTGCAAGATGCCAGCCTTACCATGCCACACCATGCAACTTTTCAAAAGAAGTGGCAGTCTGGATTTTATACAAATTTTCTAACTCTTAAATATTGACCATAAATTCAGAATTAAAAACAAAACACTACATGGGCAACCTAAACATAGCCAAGGGCTGGATTTGGCTTGTCAACAGCCGGTTTGCATTTCTTGTTTTATCTGAACAGATCAATATCTTAGTCTTTGGGCATTTTTCCCAGTGGGTCATTTTCTTTGCCCTGGACCACCCTCCCCCTACTTTTTCACCAAATAGATTCTAATCCAGATTACTTCTTTACTTGATTAAAAATGAAAATGGTATTAGAAACAGATACACTGAAATGGACAAATAACAAAAATGAAATATATTCTCTCACATAGGTGATGCTCACTTTTAAACTGCCTTTATAAATTGGTCTTTGCTTTATAGGCCACCTACTTCCATGGAAGGACACGTGAAGACAGATTCCACAGGAAACTGGTGGATTGTGTTTACTGGAAAGGTGCTGAGGATGTCATTTAGTATATTACTCAGTGTTCCCTTTACGAATGAAAACATTCTGTGCAATTAGTACTAGGAAAGACTGTATTTCATCTCAGAAGCTGGCCTATTTCTATCTTTTGGTTGTACTGCTTGGGGCTGCTGGAAGATGCACTCTTACTGGGGAGCCCCACTCTCAGGGTAAGCGTGCAGGGCCTCCTAGCTTGCCCCTTCTGTGCCAGGATGGTGCTTGTTTTATTGTTACTTCTTTAATGCTCATGAGTCCAATGAGTGTTATTATGTCTATGGTCTGTTGTGCTAATATTATGATGTCAAATTTGAAATTCTATAAAACAATGTCAAATGCCACATGCAGATCATGGGTGGTAAGTTACCACTCTGATAGCTACTCTGAAGTGAGCCTCATGGTTCCTACAGAGCAATGTTTAGTGTGGGAAAAGAATACCATCGAGTAATCTATGAACACAGAATTCCATGGGTTTGCTATAACATGGTGAAGCACATTAAAGAGAGACTACCTTGAAGTTAGTTGAAATCACTTCTTTTTTTTTTTTTTTTTTTTTGAGACAGAGTCTCACTCTGTTGCCCAGTCTAGAGTGCAGTGGCATGATCTTGGCTTACTGCAACCTCTGCCTCCCAAGTTCAAGTGATTCTCGTGCCTCAGCCTCCTGAGTAGTTGGAATTACATGCATGCACCACCACGCCCAGCTAATTCTTTTTCGTATTTTTAGTAGAGACAGGTTTCATCATTTTGGCCAGGCTGGTCTTGAATTCCCGTCCTTAAGTGATCCACCCATCTCGGCCTCCCAAAGTGCTGGGATTACAGGCGTGAGCCACCATGCCCTGCTAAAATCACTTCTTTGTATAAACGACGATAGTATCTAAACAACCTCTCCAACATGCGGTACTTTTTAATGTTTTTGTTGTAGAAAAATACCCCCCATACTTTATTTTTTATTTATTATTTTTTTTGAGATGGAGTTTCACTCTTATTGGCCAGGCTGGAGTGCAATGGCTCAATCTCAGCTCACCGCAACCTCCGCCTCCCAGGTTCAGGCAATTCTCCTGCCTCAGCCTCCCAAGTTGCTAGGATTACAGGCATGCGCCACCATGCCTGGCTAATTTTGTATTTTTTAGTAGAGACGGGGGATTCTCCATGTTGGTCAGGCTGGTCTCGAACTCCCAACCTCATGTGACCGGCCTGCCTCAGCCTCCCAAAGTGCTGGGATTACAAGCGTGAGCCACCGTGCCCGGCCACACTTTATTTTTTAAAACATAATATCCAGTAGTAATGCACCTGTAAGGTTAATGAACGTAGTTCGTAAGTCCTAACAATTTGTGGCCAACTAGAGACCGAGTGTATCTTGCCTTTGAAGTAAAGGAAACAAATGTATTCTTGAACTTTCTTCTTTTAAGTAGTCATATTAATTACATATTAATTAATTATAATAACAATAAGGCCGGGCATGGTGGCTCATGCCTATAAGCCCAACAATTTAGGAGGCCAGCGCAGGAGGATTGCTTGAAGCCAGGAGTTCAAGACCAGCCTGGGCAAAATAGTGAGGCCCCCGTCTCTACAAAACATTTAAAAATTAGCCAGGCATGATAGCACATTCCTGTAGTCCCAGTTAGTTGGGAGGCTGAGATGGGAGGAGCACTTGAGTCCAGGATTCAAGGCTGCAGTGAGCTATGATTGCACCACTGTATTCCAGTCTGGGAGACAGAGCGATACTCCAACTCTTAAAAAAATAAAAAATAAAAAAAGTAGATAAAAACCACCTTTGCCAGTTTATTAAATACTCACAATGGACCTCCTTTGTTCAAAGAATACTTACCACATTGGTGGTGTTTGGTGAGGCTCCATGATGCATTAGTTGTGATACAATATTTACATGCCCCATGAAGGCAGCAACATGGATTGGGGTAAGGCCCGACTAAGGGGAAAAGAAGAAAATGGTGGTTTGTTGGCTTAGCATAAAAAAGGTTTGTCTGTGAGCCTGCCTGCCTGTCATCCATCCACCCATCTAAATCAGTTTAATGATCGGATTAGAAGACATCAGGACATTCACCATTATGTTACAGATTCTATATGGTAAATATATAAACATATAATCATCGTTTTCCTAAAGCAAATTCTGTTACTATGAAAGACTTATGTCATACCTATTAAAAAAGAAAAAGAATTTATTTCATACTTTTAATGTAGATCTTTGAAAAAATTGATAAATAACTTGAAGGTTGTTTTCCCCTTTACTAATAAACCTTCCTTATCCATATGTGTGTGTGTAGAAGGAGGAGAGCTGTGATTTCATACATACTAGTAAAAAGTCAACTTTTATTTCAGATCCTATTCTGGGCTTTAAAGAGGATTCCCATTTATGTCACATATAAAAGAGCAGGGTACCTAACACAAAGCTGTTTCTTTAATAAATGAACAAATCAGCATTAATAGTTTCAAACATTTAATTGTTTAACTTTATGGGTATTATAAATTAAAGCAATCTAAATAAAGCAAATATTACAATGGTCACTAGACTAGACTTGAATTGCTTCAGATCCTATGCACACATACATATACATAAATGTACATAGACCCCAGAATACTCTTCAGCGTAAAGCAGAATTTATTGATTCCAGGATATTTTATATTGAATATGTCCATGATTGTGAGATTTAGAGTGAATAAGAAAGATAAAAATCTCAAGTCATTAATATTTTAAAGAGTATAATTTACTCGTGCTTTTTATATGAAATGATTCCATTTTAAATTTTTCAGTTTAATTTAGCTTACAACATGAACATCATAACTTGATAAAACATTTTTTTTAGTATGTTTAGAAAAAGCTAACCTGTTTTTTAAAAAAGGGACAGAAGGGGATAATTAATCTCAGCAGAAATTTGAGAAATGTCAAAAATATATGAAAGGAATTCTATACAATCAAAGTGAGGTAAAAGACAGAAAAGGAATAATTCCGGCTGTCCAGAATTCAAAAAGTGAGAAGAATGGAGGACAATTAGGAAAATGAGAATTTTGTTATAGTCTTGGCACCTTTTTCCATCAGCAGGGGGAGTAGTTAGAGCTTGTGCAAGGCAAAATCTTGGTCTGAACTGCCTTTTAAAGCTCTTAGGGAACAGAGAGCTGGATTACTGGTTGATATCTCTGGACATTTACTCAAACATCAGCCAAGAATTTACTTTTATTTTAGAGCCTATTCTTATCTCTAAGAGGGTTCCTATGCACTGAAAGTAAACTTTCTATTTTATACTTAAAAATAACAGGTTGCCTAATATGAACCCATAAGCCTGACAATATGGCAAATCAGTATTCATATTGTCAACCATTTAATATTTTAAAAATTCTAAGTGTAAATCTAGGCAAATATTCCATTTGCAGGCAAGAAACTGAAGCCAAGCAACAATCACTAGACTAGACTTTAATGTTTATGTTTGCTTCAAATCCTATAGTTAAGCATCAGGCATTCAACAAAACTTTACTGAATGATCTGTGTATGGGCCAGACAGTGTGGGTATATGAAGACCAGTCAGACTCAGCCCTGCTTCCAAGGAGCCTTCAGCCTCTGGGGTTCTTGGGGGTGCCACTGAGTCATAAGTCAGAGAGCTGGATAAGGGCTTTGATGGAAATATGCACACGATGAGGTGATGGTTCCTAGAAGGAACATGTAGTCCAGGCTGGGGAGTGAGCGGGGGTTTCCTGAAGAAGGTGGCCCAGATCTGGTTCTAAAGGACGTGCAGGATTTGCCTGGCCAAGGGGGTGTGACACACAGAGGCAGAGACATACGGAGGCAAACAAGAGAGTGTCTAGTCTATGGAAGTGCCAAGGGTTAGAATTAGAATTAACAGAGATCAATCAGAGTGCTAGGATGTAGTGAGGTGGAGGTTGGGGGTCTGGGACAAGTCTGAAAGGGTAGGTGTCAGGCTTGGTTTGCTTTGTAGAAGGCACAGCCCTGATTCTGATGGATCATTTCTCTGAGTTCTGAGTTGGTTCCTATGAGAGAAACTTAGGTCTAATACTTTACTAACCTCAGCAGCTGTTTCATTAATTTTGAGTTTTAAGACAGAGTAACCCTTACTTGAGAAAAGCACCAAGGTCGTCTTGTGCAGGGTTTCTCAACCTCAGCACATTTGACATTTTGAATCAGACGACTTTTTGTTGCGGGAGACTGTCCTGTATACTGTAAACTGTTTAGTAGCATCCTTGGCCTTGACCCACTAGAGACCAGTAGTACTATCCAGTTGTGACAATTAAAAGTACCTCCAGACATGACTAAACGCCCCTTGGGGGACAAAACTGCACCCACTAGAGAAGTACTACAGTATAGGATTTGATATAAATTATGCTTTCTGTGAAGGTGCCCTTCCCCTTAAGCATGTGTTTTAGGTTACATTTCTTGACATGGTGATACATTTGCATCAAACTCACCCACCAACATGTTTGTCTGCTTCTCCTAGGGACTGGCAGCCCTCTTCCTAAAGAGTTCAGAATGCAGTCTATGGCCATGATATGCAAACAAACTAGCTGGTCCCTGGAGATGGCCCTGGGGCTCTGGCTGCTAAGGCTATACTCTCAGTATCTCAGGACTCCCAGAAATCTTAACTCTTCTCACCTCGGTTACAGCTTGGATGGATGCACCGTGTTTCAGAAGGAGTTCCATTACTTTAATTCGATTCTTCTTGCAGGCAATATGAAGAGGGGTAAAGCCATTCTGCAAGGGACAAATACATATACCTGCTTGACTACATTCCATCAAAATCCAGTTTCACTGTGTGCAGTAAATAGTTTTGCTAAAATGATGTGTGGTAAATTGAAATGAACAGAAAGTACCAGGGTTAAGCAGCATGTAGATTCTATTCTAGAAGTAGTCCAGCTGCCCTGGGAACCCAAGGTACCCTGATAATTGTGAACAGGAAGTGAATTTTTATTACACTCTCCTGGTTAGCTGAGGTAAAAATGATCATTCATTTCATTATTTTATTTTGGAATTCACTCTTCCAAATATGTCTCAGGCTGGGTGTGGTGGCTCACATGTGTAATCCCAGCACTTTGGGAGGCTGAGGTGGGTGGATCACCTGAGGTCAGGAGTTCGAGACCAACCTGGCCAACACGGTGAAACCCCATCTCTACTAAAAATACAAAAATTAGGCAGGCATAGTGGCGTGCACCTGTAATCCCAGCTACTTGGGAGGCTGAGGCAGGAGAATCACTTGAACCCAGGAGGCGGAGGTTGCAGTGAGCCGAGATTGTGCCATTGCACTCCAGCCTGGGCAACAAGAGCGAAACTCTGTTTCAAAATAATAAATAATAATAATATGTCCCTCCTCTACCTCATTTCAAATACAGACTGAAAACGTCTGGCCCCAACATTTGTCCTCACAGCTCCACTTCACCAAGGTTTATTCTGTTCTCTTTGCTGTGTTTTAGGACAACTACAAGACCAGCTCTAAAACGTTTTGATTTCTTCTCTAGCTTTATGCTTCAAGTAGGTGTTTACTCCAAGCATGCAGAAATGTAAATAACCCATTATTTGAATCATTTTGTTTACTATTTAATCTAATAAAAGAATCTGCTTTTTAATAAATTATGTCCTAAGTTGTCCTGCCTGCCGATTGAGACTGTGGCACGTATTTCAGCTGCCAGTGGAGAACTATAAAATACCAGAGTCCACTGTAAAAGCTTAGGTCAAAGTCACTGCAGGTGCTTTCACCGAGGCTTCTCAGACCATTTGGCCACAGTCCATCCCAGGATGACTGGCTACAACCTCCATATGTTGTGAAATCTTCAGAGTCAGAGGAAAATGAGAGTGGGAGCCCACGCCCTGTTTTAGGACTTATTTTTTTCTTGTATGGAAAAAAGAGTCATGACTGCTAATTTCCTTTCCTCCCTTCTCAGAATTCAGACACATTTGATAGACTGGGTGGGTCAACAGACTGATCTTGAAATGCTGCTTTGGTAAAAGGTTTTAGAATTATAGTGGCAAGGAGGTGTCTGGGGTCTGGAGAGTTTCTCTTTCGTCATTCTTTCCTGTCCACTCTGAATTTTAGAGCCCACAGAGTACAAGAGGTGGTACGGATCTATCCAGACAGGATGACCGCACTCTTTGGAAAGGGGCAAAAACCCTTCCTAAAAGGGTCAATTGGATGATGACAACCTTTACCTCAAAATTGCTAGTAAACTCACATGTTTTCCCTAAAATTGGGTGACTTATTTTTTCCTAAACTTGGGTACTTATTCTGAAATAGACAGCTTACTAATTTGGGACCATTTATTTTTGCAAAGACAACAAGTACCATCTTGCTGAGAAAACCAAAGTACAGCATAGCTAAAGGTTAAAAGAACAAATTAAAGTGAAGCCTATAAACTGGACCAAAATTCTGATTGGCAAACGGAAACAGAAGATTACAGGCAATATTTCATTAACTTACAAGGTTAAGATATATAAAATTTTAGCTCACAAATTCCTAGACCACTTATGTTTCAAATAGAGTTTTTTGATAACTTTGCCTTGTTTTCAGATCTCAGAATAAACTTTTAATTCACAGAATTATAAGTTTATCCACAATAAGACGACGTTGGCCACCTTAGTCTTTTTATAATTGTATAGTCTTTGGGTTCATACGGGAATCACTTATGTGACCATAAAAACATTAACAGTTTGGCTCCCTCAGCCTTTCTCATGTCAGAAATAGAAAATTTTGTAGACTTTCCTGAAGGATATTTGAAAAAATTGACAAGAAGTACACTTTAACTAGCACCTTCTATTTTAACCTCCTCAAAGCATTCCCTTCACATACAGAGGCAGCACGTTGTGAGCAAGACAACTGAGGCTGGACTCGCTGGTTGAGCCACTCACCAGGGCTTTGGCATTGGGGTTAGCTTTCTTATCCAAGAGAACCTTGGCAACTTTGTAATGGCCACAGTGGGCAGCCACGTGTAGGGCAGTCAGGTAGTCATTGGTGACATCATCCACGGGTACATTATGCTGGAGGAGAAGCTGGACGCAGTTTAAATGATCCCCTTGTGTGGCCATGTGCAATGGAGATAATCCATTCTGGAACACATAAAGAAATCAGAGTTCATTCTTTTACCTTTTAAACACAAATGTGCAGAACACAAAGTGCAAATATAAACAGATAAAAACTCCAGTTCTTCACATGAAAATACCTTCTATTTGTAAAAGCTTTTGACAACTATTTTGAACTACAGCTATTTTTAAAACTGGTCCTCCCAACTGCTTATGCCAGTCAATAACAAGTTGTCAAGGATAATGTCTTTTCCCAATTTAATAGAAGTGAGAATTGCAGCATGGGTCATAACTTAGAGGCATATGAATTTTACTTTTCTTTTTCTTTTAAATAGAGATGGGGTTTCACTCTGTTGCTCAGCTGGTCTCAAACTCCTGGCCTGAAGCGATCCTCCTGCCTTAGCTTTTCAAAGCACTGGGATTATAGGTATGAGCCACTGTAATTTGGCCAGATAGGAATTCTTAATATTTAAGACTAAAAGAAAAAATGAAGGTAAGAACAGTGGTATTCATTGGACTGGTATTAATTTTGTCCTTAGAGATTACTAACACCCAATATTGAAGACTATACTGATTTGACTTTAAAAAAGGTCTGAATGTAACGCATTTCATCTCACATCAAAGAAGAAAGGAAAACTTTTCCCTTTTCTATCAATCTGGTGCCCCCATGTGTCTATGATGAGGAAAGGCAAGGCATTGACAAAGCCACTAACTAATGCTTGACTTGTTAGTTTAAATCAACTGGGTTCAATAACACAGTTAATCACGTGCAGTAGGAGCGAGTTGAAAATTCATTTAAAGAGCAGAGAGAATAAATAAATAGGGTCAAAGGTAAATAAAACCTAGAATGACACTGGCACTCAATATGTTTCCTAATGAAGGCAAAACAAGCTATGAAGATGTCAGTCCTTTCTTTTAACTATGATGGCGAAGTGGGGGAGCCTGGGAAATTCCTAGAGAATTCAATTATCAAGAGAGGCTCTATCAATTATTGTAACATAATTTAACATATATTAGGGAAAAGTAATTTGACAGCAAATTCAGTTTCTAAAAAAATTGTCATCAATGAATTTTGACAATGACAGATCAAATATGTACCAAGGAACCAGAGGTTTCTGAATCCTCTGAGCCAAGTTATTTGCTCTGAATTTATCAATGGATGACACAAAGAAGGAGTTCAAGATAAGAAAAAGTAGTATAAGCTCCTTGTTAACCATTCTAACGGCATTATCCACTCTCTGACATATATTTCAACTATTTGTGTTCCGTGAAGGCAAGAGGTACATGGTTATTATTTTTTCATTGCCCAGAAGAGAGCTTTGCATATACAGAAAGAGCTCAGCAAATATCTAGGTCAATTTAAAGGCCTCGTACACTGTCAGCCCATCAGGATATTTCTGCCTAAAAAATTTCCCTCAAATATTTTAAACCGTAGAAATTAAGGTGCAGGAAAAGGTAGGAACATTTCCCATTTGAGATACTGCTACCCACGAGCATATGGACTGCTTTATTCCTGCCAAAATATTCTTTTGCTTTATGTTTTGATACAGTCTTAGAGGAAAACATGAAGTAAACAAGTGAACAAACAAAAAAATCCCACAAAATCTGAGAGAACAAGTAATAGTGGAGAGTAAAAATGGGAGGCAGTGTCAATAAAAAAAAATTCTCTAGCAATGCAAAAACACAATGATTGTGTGGATGGGAAACTTAAAGATAATTGGAGAAGGACAAGAAAACAGTAAAGAAAAGATCATCTGCCCTATGGAAAGAGGTGGTATTACATATGGTGCCTGAAAATATGGAACCAATGTGATGGGCTTTCTTAGCTCAGTAAGATGAAATTCTTGAAGAACGGGTCAGATGGCCTTAAGGCTAGGAATGTACTCATTCACTTAATAGTCATTCAACAAATATTTACTGAAGCCCTACTGTGTTCTGCGCATGAAAATAGGTGCTTGTGGGTATTGCACTCAACAAGGAAAAGTTCTTGCTTTCATTCTATTGAAGAGAACCAGACAGCAAGCAAGTAAACAAGCATATAATTTCAAGATGGTGTTAAAAGCTCTAAAGAAAATAAAATATGGCCAGATGGCACTGGCAGGAGGTGGTGAAGATGGGAGGGGTAAATCGTGAGAAAACGCCTGTCTATGAGGAAGACATTTGAGTTGAAGAATATACGGGGACCACAGAGATCTGGAACAAGCTGAGGGAACTCAAACCAAGCAAACAGGAAATGAGAACAAAGGCGTATTCTAGGAAGTAAAAGAAGGCTGGTTAGCTAAAAGATGGCAAGGAAGGAGCAAAACCGGAGGAGATGAGGAAGAGAGGTGGTCAGAATCTGTTAAGAAGTCTATCCTCAGTGCAGAGGGAGACTTCTGATCAAACACAGCAGGTGTAATAGATATATGTATCCTTCCTCTCCCAAAACTCCACCAAAAAGCAGTAATGGATTTAAAGGGTAAAATCTAGAAGGGCACACATGTGTGTTTCCTTTTCCATTCCCACACACACAATGGGGAAGAAATAAAAAACCAGATGAGGGTTGTCTCCAAACTTCAGAATATGAAAAGAGGATTTGAGTGTGGTAATTCATCCAGCTGAAGAGAGAGGCTGAAACCTAAGTGTCTGAAGCAGTAGAATCAGTGCTGTGCTGACAAATGTTTTAACACCCAACTCCTGGAAAAAGAAAAGCCCCAGTGTGTAGCACTACCCAATTTCCATGCTGTAAATCCCCCCACAATAACCCATTTCAAGCCGTCCATCTGATGTTACTGAATGGGGAATTGGAAAGAGATGTACACAACCAGCTCATGAGCCGATACAATCAGGATCCAGCACACTGCTGGGAATAAAAAGACAAGCTGATTTGCCTCTCAAATCCCAAAAAGGCAAAGGCTGTGGAAGCGTAGTACCTCAGAAGATAAAGTGAGACTTGGGGCTGCAAATAAGATTGGTTCAAAGACTGTGTATGGAGCCGTCAGGTCTCCAGGCCCTTCCCAACTCAGCAAAGTCAGGTAACTGCCTCCTGCTAGCCTGAAGGACACCAGAATTAGTGTCTGGAGAAGGTGAACTAGAGAGATTCAGACTCAAGGGCCCAGGCAGAACAGAGGGCAGTGACGAGGATCTGGACCAAGAATAGGTGATCACAGAAAAAGGAAGGAGAATGGAGGCGTTAAGGATGTGGTCTCTGGAGTTGGGCTGCTTGGGTTCAAATCCTTGTTCTGCCACTAATTGGGATATTTTGAGAAAGCTACTTTACCTCTTTGGGTTTCAGTTTCCTCATCTATGAAAAGGGAATAACAGTAATACCAGTATCTCATTTAACGAGGATTAAATGAGTTAATATGTGTAAAGAACATAGAGCCTGATAAGCAGTAATCACTATGTAAAATATTGCTTATCATTATTATGATTAAAGTATGCATAAAGCACAAGACTGGCAGCCTCTTTCCCCTACTCAGAATGTATTCACACATGTGTGCACTGCAAAGGTTGGTGGATTTGTCTCTCAAAAAACTATACCGCCTAAGGTAAAGGGAACCTAATTGTGACATTAAAGAGCCCCTCTTAACCACTGCCACCTGATCAGCACTGCCTACACTCTTTAGAGCTGCCACTCACATGTTTGTGCCTGACACAATTAGGTACAGCCATTGTGGGAAGCCTTCATTGTAAAATACAGAGCCAAAAAAAAAAAAAAAAAAAAAGGAAAAAAAGGAAATCTGAGGAATTAGGGACATTTGGGAAACAGAAAAACTAAATTAAAAGAAAAGTTATCTCAAATGTTCTCAGAAAGGTAACAGAAAAAAATGTACCCATTAAACAAGAACAGGATACTTTAAGAAAAGAAGCTATCTGATAACAAGAAAATGTTCTTGAAAATTAAAAGATTGGAAGAAAAAAATTAAGAAGATTTCTCAGAAAAAATCCAAAGCAATGAGATGAATAGGAGAAAAAATATGAGCAACTCTCTGATTTTTAACATTGGTCCTTACTGCTCTGAGAAAATGAAAATCAATTTGAAAGAGAACAATGGGGATTAATGGGAGGGTTTTTAAGCAGGAGGCTGACATGATTTGGATGACAGTTTATATGGCCACTCTGACTGCAAAGTGGGAACTGATTTGTAAAGGAGCAAAAAGGGAAATGGGGGACCAACAGGAAGCTACTACAGTGGTTAGGTGAGAGATGATAATGTGGCTTAGAAGATAGCAGTGGAGGGGGAAAGAAAATAGATATGGGGTATGTAAAAGGAAAAGAACAAATAGAATCATCAAGATAAGAAACACTCAAAAGGCCAAGATGTCATCATATACAATGAAAACATCATGGCTGTTTAATTCTGTTAGACAATACCCTCAACAGCTCACCAATCTAAACCCTACGTTTTAAATGAGTGATGGAATTGTCCAGACCATCTCAACCCTGTCTAGCCTTCCTAATATTGTTGAGGAAACACTGACCAGAGTGAAGACAGAAATAATATGTGCTTTTGTTGCTTTGATAATGTTTAGAGATTAAAGCTCTTAGTAAAGCTTAGTATCATTTCCAAAAAAATCACTGGTTTAATTAATAAAAGTAGTAGTGACAATGAGGTGGTTTACATGTCTCAAAATTTATTTGCAAATATTCTCCTCTTCAAATGATGTCAAATGGTTTTACTATTAAAAAAAAGTCTAAAAGAGAGTCAACCATTAATTTTTTTCAGGCAATCATCATGTGTTCCTTTCAGCTATGTCAACATTCCCAAAAGCCCAATCAAGGTGCAGTCTTTCCAAAGTTTCCAGTCTTTATCAGCTAAGTGATATCCTTGACCTCCTTAAAAGTCTATGAACTCTCAAGAAGTAAGCTGAGGTGCTGAAGATAGCCGGCACCCAAACGTTAGAGAGTGTAGAACTTTAGTCTTTCTTAACCTGACAAGCAATTATTTCTGAGCTATGAAAATTTCACAGAGTAAAATCAAGCAGTAAGCATTCCTGAAACACAACAAAAACCACACACACACAAACAACTTTGTGGTATAGCACATTCTACATAAAATCTTAATTAGCCCAAACTTATTCTGAGGTTCTATAAAGATCTGGTGAACATAACTACTCTGACTGCTACATTGAAAATGTCATTTTCTATGTGATTCAAAAGGCTAGATCATATAACCATCAAAATAAATACAGTCCAATGTCCAGAAACCTGAAAAGAAATTACCTTGGTTTTTGAAAGAATGGGGGCAGCTCGATCAAGCAACATTTCTACCACCTGCTCGTGGCCACTCCTTGCTCCACAGTGCAGTGGTGTCAGACCATCCTGTTGAACAAAGGAAACATCACCAATTAAATTTGACAATAAATTCTATGAGTGCAGTGTACTTCTTCAAGATCCAGCATGGCACCCAACATGCTGTGGTCAAGCGGGCTTCAAACATTTGCTCATTTATTTCATAAAATAATTCCTTATTTTAGGTTGAAAACTACATTTTTTCATAAGTTTAAGTAGCTGCAAAGTATGTAATTTCCCACAAGTTTGAATATTGACGTTTAAATATATAACTTTTCCACTAGTCTTTTGAATAGCCAATAAAATCTAAGTACTACAAGTAATTTGATGCTCACCATTAACAAAAACACATGAATAAACTCTAAAATAGAAATTTGTAATAGAAATTCTACATTGGTTCTTTTTCCATTCCATTTCCCCTACATAATTTTATCTTAATGTAATTTTATGCTTGAAGGTTTTTTATTGATTACTACATATTTCTCTGCCATGAAATTATATAAGTTTAAATTTAAGAAAGGTTGAAATATTTCCTGACAATACATTCCTCTAAGTGTAAAAAACAAATCACCTGACTGGATTATTATAATTATTTGAATATAACCAATCAAAACAGCAAAAATATATAAAAAGTTTTGTGACCATTCCACAAAAACAATGTATTAAAAATTTCTCTTTTAATTAGATATGCTTTTTTCACGACTAGTTTATGTATCTGCTAATGAAGATTAGTTATTGCTAGAATAAGACAGGGTTCAGCATCAATATTAGCCCTGATTTTTGCTTTTATACATATTAGTGCTGAGAAACCTTGTTCATGTAGACTGTTGTAGTAGAGTTACGAATTCTCTGAATTCCATGTGAAAAATTACTTAATGATCTTTTTTTGTCTTTAAAATCTTTTTGAAAAATTTCTGCTAAAAGAAAAAAATGGGATACATGTGCAGAACGTGTAGGTTTGTTACACAGGTACATGTGTGCCATGGTGGTTTGCTGTACCTATTGACCCATCCTCTAAGTTCCCTCCCCTCACCCCCCAGCCCCCAACAGGCCCTGGTGTGTGTTGTTCCTCTCTCTATGTCCATGTGTTCTCATTGTTCATCTCCCACTTATGAGTGAGAACATGAGGTATTTGGTTTTCTGTTCCCGTGTTTGTTTGCTGAGGATGATGGCTTCCGGCTTCATCCATGTCCCGGCGAAGGACATGATCTCATTCTCTTTTATGGCTGCATAGTATTCCATGATGTAAATGTACCACATTTCCTTTCTCCAGTCTATTGTTGATGGGCATTTGGGTTGGTTTCATGTCTTTGCTATTGTAAATAGTGCTGCAATAAACATACGTGTGCATATGTCTTTATAGTAGAATGATTTATATTCCTTTGGGTATATACCCAGTAATGGGATTGCTGGGTCAAATGGTATTTCTGGTTCTAGATTCTTGAGGAATTGTCATACTGTGTTCCACAATGATTGAACTAATTTACATTCCTACCAACAGTGTAAAAGTATTCCTATTTCTTCACAGCCTCCCCAGCATCTATTGTTTCCTGACATTTTAATAATTGCCATTCTGCCTGGTGTGAGATAGTATCTCACTGTGGTTTTGATTTGCATTTCTCTGATGATCACTGATGTTGAACTTTTTTTCATATGCTTCTTGGCCGCATAAATGTCTTCTTTTGAGAAGTGTCTGTTCATATTCTTTGCCTGCTTTTTGATGGGGTTGTTTTTTTCTTGTAAATTTGTTTAAGTTCTTTGTAGATTCTGGATACTAGCCCTTTGTCAAATGGGTAGACTGCAAAAATTTTCTCCTATCCTGTAGGTTGCCTGTTCACTCTAATGATAGTTTCTTTTGCTGTGCAGAAGCTCTTTAGTTTAATTAGATCTCATTTGTCAAATTTAGCTTTTGTTGCCATTGCTTTTGGCGTTTTTGTCATGAAATCTTTGCCCATGCCTACGTGCTGAATGCTATTGCCTAGGTTTTCTTCTAGGGTTTTTATGGTTTTGGGTTTTACTTTTAAGTCTTTAATCCACCTTAAGCTAATTTTTGTATTAGATGTAAGGAAGGGGTCCAATTTCAGTTTTCTGCATATGTCTAGCCGGTTTTCCCAGCACCATTTACTGAATAGTATATCCTTTCCCCATTGCTTGCTTTTGTCAGGTTTGTTGAAGATCAGATGATTGCAGATTTCTGAGGTCTCCGTTCTGCTCCATTGGTCTATATGTCTGTTTTGGTACCAGTACCAGGCTGTTTTGGTTACTGTAGCCTTGTAGTGTAGTTTGAAGTAAGGTAGCATGATGCCTCCAGCTTTGTTCTTTTTGCTTAGGATTGTCTTGGCTATATGGGGTCTTCTTTGATTCCATATGACATTTAAAATACTTTTTTTCTAATTCTGTGAAGAATGTCAATGGTAGTTTGATGGGAATAGCATTGAATCAATAAATTATTTTGGGCAGTATGGCCATTTTCACGATATTAATTCTTTCTATCCATGAAGATGGAATGTTTCTTCATTTGTTTGCATCCTCTCTTACATCCTTGAGCAGTGGTTTGTAGTTCTCCTTGCAGAGGTCCTTCACATCCCTTGTTGGCTGTATACCTACGTATTTTATTCTCTTTGTAGTGATTGTGAATGGGAGTTCATTCATGATTTGGCACTTATCAGTTTAAGGAGTTTTTGGGCTGAGATGGTGGAGTTTTTTAAATATAAAATCATGTCATCTGCAAACAGAGATAATTTGACTTCCTCTCTTCCTATTTGAATATGCTATTTCTTTCCCTTGACTGATTGCTCTGGTCTGAACTTCCAACATTATGTCAAATAGGAGTGGTGAGACAGGGCATCCTTGTTTGTACCAGTTTTCAAAGGGAATGCTTCCAGCTTATGCCCATTCAATAATGATATTAGTTGTGGGTTTGTCATAAATAGCTCTTATCATTTTGAGATATGTTCCATCAATCCCTAGTTTGTTGAGAGTTTTTAACATGAAGGGATGTTGAATTTTATCAAGGGCTTTTTCTGCATCCATTGAGATAATCATGTGGTTTTTGTCTTTGGTTCTGTTTATGTGATGGATTATGTTTACTGATTTGCTTAAGTTGAACCAGCCTTGCATCCCAGGGATGAAGCCGATTTACTCGTGGTAGGTAAGTTTTTTGATGTGCTGCTGGTTTCGGTTTGCCAGTATTTTACTGAGGATTTTCTCATCGATGTTCATCAGGGATACTGGTCTGAAGTTTTCTTTTTTTGTTGTGTCTCTTCCTGGTTTTGGTATCAGGATGATGCTGGCTTCATAAAATGAGTTAGGGAGGAGTCCCTCCTTTTTAATTGTTTGGAAGAGTTTCAGAAGGAATGGTACTAGCTCCTCTTTGTATTTCTGATAGAATTCAGCTGTAAATCCATCTGGGGCCTGGGCTTTTTTTGGTTGGTAGGCTATTAATTACTGCCCCAATTTCAGAACTCGTTATTGGTCTATTCAGGGATTCAATATCTTCCTGGTTAATCTTGTGAGGGTATACGTGTCCAGGAATTTAACCATTTTTTCTAGATTTTCCAGTTTATTTCCATAAAGGTGTTTATAGTATTTGCTGATAGTAGTTTGTATTTCTGTGAGGTCAGTGGTGATATCCCCTTTGTCATTTTTTATTGTCTATTTGATTCTTCTCTCTTTTCTTCTTTATTAGTTTAGCTAGTGGTCTATCCATATTGTTAATTTTTTCAAAAAAACAGTGCCTGGGTTCATTGATTTTTTGGGGGGTTTTCACGTCTTTATCTCCTTTAATTCTTCTCTTAGTTATTTCTTGTCTTCTGCTAGCTTTTGGATTCATTTGTTCTTGTCTCTCTAGCTCTTTTAATTGTGATATTAGGGTGTCGATCTGAGATCTTTCAAGCTTTCTGATGTGGGCATTTAGTGCTATAAAATTCCCTCTTAGCACTGCTTTAGTTGCCTCCTAGAGATTCTGGTACATCGTCTCTCTGTTCTCATTGGTTTCAAAGAACTTCTTGATTTCTGCCTTAATGTCATAATGTTTACCCAGGAGTCATTCAGGAGCAGGTTGTTCAATTTCCATGTAATTGTGTAGTTTTCAGCGAGTTTCTTAATCCTGAGTTCTAATTTGATTGCACTGTGGTCTGAGAGACTGTTGATTTCAGTTCTTTTGCATTTGCCGAGGAGTGTTTTACTTCCAATCATATGATCGATTTTCGAACAAGTGCCATGTGGCACAGAGAAGAATGTGTATTCTGTTGATTTGGGGTAGAAAGTTCTGTAGACGTCTACTAGGTCCACTTTATCCAGAGCTGAATTCAAATCCTGACTATCCTTGTTAATTTTCTGTCTCATAGATCTGTCTAATACTGAGAATGGGATGTTAAAGTCTCCCACTATTATGGTGTGGGAGTTTAGTCTCTTTATAGGTCTCAAAGAACTTGTTTTATGAATCTGAGCGATCTTTTATTGGGTGCCTATATATTTAGAATAGTTAGCTCTTCTTGTTGAATTGCTCCCTTTACCATTATGTAATACCCTTCTTTTTCTTTTTGGACCTTTGTTGATTTAAAGTCTGTTTTGTCAGAGACTAGGATTGCAACCCCTGCTTTTTCTTTTTCTTTCTTTTTTTTTTTTTTTTTTTTGCTTTCCATTTGCTTGGTAAATTTTTCTCCATCCCTTTATTTTGAGCCTATGTGTGTCTTTGCACATGAGATGGGCTTCCTGAATAGAGCACACTGATGGGTCTTGACTCTTTACCCAATTTGCCAGTCTATGTCTTTTAACTGTGGCCTTTCGCCCATTTATAGTTAAGGTTAGTATTGTTATATGTGAATTTGATCCTGTCATCATGCTGCTATTTGGTTATTTTGCACATTAGTTGATTCTGTTTCCTCATAGTTTCATTAGTCTTTATATTTTGTCATGTCTTTGCAGTGGCTGGTACTGGTTTTTCCTTTCCATATTTAGTACTTCCTTCAAGAGCTGTTGTAAGGCAGGCCTGGTGGTAATGGAATCCCTCAGCATTTGCTTGTCTGTAAAGGATTTTACTTCTCCTTCACTTATGAAGCTTAGTTTTTAGCTGGATATGAAATTCCGGGTTGAAAATTCTTTTCCTTATGAATGTTGAATATTGGCCCTCAATCTCTTGGCTTGTAGAGTTTCTGCTGAGAGGTCCGCTGTTAGTCTGATGGGCTTCCCTTTGTAGGTTACCTGGCCCTTTTCTCTGGCTGCCCTTAACAGTTTTTCCTTCATTTAGACCTTGGAGAGTCTGATTATTATGTGTCTCGGGGTTGATCTTATCATGGAGTATCTTAATGGTGTTCTCTGTATTTCCTGAATTTGCATCTTGGCCTATTTTGCTAGGTCGGGTAAGTTCTCCTGGATAATATCCTGAACTGTGTTTTCCAGCTTGTTTCCATTCTCCCCATCTCCTTCTCATATTCTAGTAGTAGGTCCAGTCTTTTTATGAAGTCCCATATTTCTTGGAGGCTTTGTTCATTCCTTTTCATTCCTTTTACTCTAGTCTTGTCTGCATGCCTTATTTCAGCAAGGTAGTCTTCAAATTCTGATATCCTTTCTTCTGCTTGGTTGATTTAGCTATTGATACTTGTATATGCTTCATGAAGTTCTCACGCTGTGTTTTTCAGCTCCATGAGGTCATTTATGTTCCTCTCACAACAGGTTATTCTAGTTAGCAATTCCTCTAACCTTTTATCAAGGTTCTTAGCTTCTTTGTATTGGTTTAGAACATGCTCCTTTAGCTCAGTGTAGTTTTTTATTACCCATCTTCTGAAGCCTACTTCTGTCAATCTGTCCATCTGATCCTCCATACTTAATGATCTTTCACCCAAAATTCTTCTCAATGATCCGTCACAGGACAACTTTATTAGGTCTTTCATTTTTGTGGGCAGCAAGGGGTTTATCAGATCATTAGAATCAGGCAGTTATCAGCAGAATACCAATATTTTGAATTTTTCTGCTTGCCCCCGCCACCTCAGGGGTTTTTGCACCCTTGGGCAATGTGCGTGAGAGAGAGCTAGGCTTTTCTTAGTACTAGGGCAGAAGGAATGTGTGTTAAAGGATCAGTGGGAAGGGAGACTCTGCAGGAAGTTGAGGAAGTAGAGAGTTATTCACTTAAAACTAAGTGGCCCCAATCCCGCTGGAGAAGTTTTCACAAGTGTTCTTGGTTTAAGAGTTCCCCAACTTGAAGATCCCTGAGACTGGTACTTAATACCTACCCTAAGGATAATCACATTAAAAAATACAACAAAATTTGATTCAATACGTTCATGTAACTTTCTGGATTGTGTGAGCAGATATTGAAAGTAAGCCTAATTATTCTAATGTATAAGCAACAAGATACAACCCTATTTCTAAACTACTAGCCAAATCTCAATAGTATTAATGTTATTTAAAAATAACATTTGAATTGCAAATAGTACATGGCCTAATTTGAACATTCTTTGGAGCACGTTTATATCTTCTGCCTTTTATGTTGATTTAAAACATTTGCTTTTATAAACCAAAGTAAAGCAGCCTTTCAAGTGAAAACAGCATTTTACTATTAAAATAAAATCTGGAAACATACAAAAAATAATGTCCAAATGTCTACTTCATAATGTAAAACCTGAAGACATCTGATGGAGAAATAATATACAATAATCACATCCACTTTCCACCACCTACACAAAAAACATTTCATACAGACTGCAGTACAGTGATTTTTTTTTATGAACTAAAAGGTCAAAATTGTTTCATTTTCTCTTCTGCAGATTCTAAGTAAAAAATGACAAAATATGCATAGAGATGTTTGTAAACCAAAAATAAATGTCTAAGGCCCCGAACCATCTGAATGGACCCCTCCTCTCAGCCAAGGGCATTCCAAAATTAACCTGCAAAACTACTTCAGGTCATGATGGGTAAGGGAAGCCAGGCATGCCTCATTCTGCCCTCCTCCTTTTCGGAATTACTGATAGAACAGACTCTTTAAATCTGATAAGAAACATTTACAATCTATTCTCTCTGAAGCCTGGGAGGTTCAACTGCATGATAAAACCTTGGTCCCCACAACCCCTTATCATAACTTAGATATTCCTTTGTATTGATAATAACTCTTTCAACCTGAATAACTCTTTCAATCAGAAAATCTTTGAATCCATTGATGACTTGGAAGACCCTCTGCTTCCATTGTCCTGCCTTTCCAGATGGAAGCAATGTACATCTTGCATGTGTTGACTGATGTCTTGTGTCTCCCTAAAATGTATACAACCAAGCTGTACCCGAACCACCTTGGGCACAGGTTCTCAGGATCTCCTAAGGGCTACATCACGGGCCACCAGTCACTGATATTTGGCTCAGAATAAATCTATTCAAATATCTTACCAGTGTCTGACTCTTTTCATCAAGAATTTCAAACTGTGCTCACACAGAAAAATAACTATTTTAGCTGCACTCATTCATCCTTGAAAATTATCTTCCACAAAGCAAAATGCTACATACTGAATGCAAAGTGTTTGGCTAAGAGCAAAATCTATCTCATCCATCAACTCCTTAATCCTTTGAGGTATACTGTTTCTTCTTACAGATACATATTTTTTGTTGATTTTGCCTTTTTTTTTTTTTGAGATGGAGTCTCGCTTTATTGCTCAGGGTGGAGAGCAATAGTGTGATCTCAGCTCACTGCAACCTCCGCCTTCTGGGTTCAAGCGATTCTCTTGCTTCAGCCTCCTGAGCAGCTGGGATTACAGGCGCCTGCCACCACGCCTGGCTAATTTTTGTATTTTTAGTAGAGACTGAGTTTCACCATGTTGGCCAGGCTGGTCTCGACTTCCTGACCTCAGGTGATCCTCCCACCTCAGTCTCCCAAAGTGCTGGGATTACAGGCGTGAGCCATCGTGCCTGGCCTGATTTTTGTCTTTTCAAAAGAAGTTTTAATTATAAAAAATGTCAGACATATTGCAGATTAACATAGACAGAATATTATAACGAACCTCTGGGTACCTAACTCAGCTTCCACAATTGTCACCCCATGGTCAGTCATGACTCATCTATATACTGACCAAAAGTCAAACCCTTTTCTTGTATTATTTTGAAGCAAATCCAAGACATCATATTATTATATCCTCATGATTAGTGCTATAAGAGTATAATATTGATTTGATAAATAGAGATTCCAAGGTTCAAAGAAGTGAAATTACTCATTCAAGGCTGCACGCACCAAATTTAGAACGAGGCTTGGACTATGAGTGCTGGCTCTACAAGACAATCAAGGCATGTCTTCAGAGGGGTTACTAAGGCAAAGTCCCTGTGCTCACACTTGCAGCCACTCTTAGCCTTCCCTTAGCTACATTCAGAAGCTGCTACCTCTGATCTCTGATGTTTGTTTACTAACAACATGTGGCATCTAAAGACTCAGTAGGGAAAGGTGACATTTCACCAGTGGAAGAGCTGTGAAGTATTATATTCTTTAGCCATTGTTCCTTTAATCACCTTGCTTCCATGACAAAGTCAGCTGTTTCCCCAAGGTACAACTCATCAGTTCTAGCTGAACTGCAAAGAGCTACCTGAAGCACAACTCTTTCAACTGTAGTTTTCCTTGTAGTATTCTGAACACTGACTTCAAGTGTCAGTCTCCTTTGGATCTTCTACAGATTCAGTCTAGCTCTTTTCAAAGGCATGTAGCTCTTCAAGTAGCCAAAATTGCTGCAGGAGGGATGCCTCATCAGGAAGCTGCACAAGATATCAATGATGCGACTGCCTGGCTGCACAGGCAGCGCTGGCCCAGCTGCTGGGACATTGACAGGTCAGTGGAAAACGAGTGCCTAGGGTGAATGTAAGATCTTTAATTAGCATCACAGTTCTTGCAGTCATGAAGATGGGCAAGACCAGCTGATCCACAGTGGGACTGAAAAGTACCTGCCATTTAATGATTCACACTTAATTCAGTTAAAAAAAAAAAAAAGAGGAGGAAAACTAGCAGGCATTTGTTCCACTTCACTCCACTTTTTGGTTAAAAAAATAAATTTTGAACTCATTTCTTTGGCTTTGAAGCTGGTGTGGCCTATCACTCACTTTCCTGACACACGGTTCTGATTTAGGATGCCATTCTGTTCAAAATGATCTTCACTAACTGTCATTCACAGTTACTCCTCAGTCAAGTCTAAATTCTTCAAGTTAGCATTCAAAGTCGTCTAAAATCAGTTCCTGCTATACTTGGTCCAACTTGGCCTTTCCTGATTCCCTTAACTTATACTGCAATTAACAAACTCTCTGCAGCTTCTGATAAGAGTCCCTCCGTTGTTTTACTGTCTTGCCCACGCCATTTCATGTACCTGAGAGTTCCTTTCCCACTTCCTACAGGATCCTTACTATCTTAGAGCAGAGCATTTCTTTGAAATCTTTTCACAAATTAAATGGAATCTTTCTACCTTCCAGACTCCTGTCTTATTTTCTATACCTCTTTTGGGGGACCTGTAACTTTTTACCTAGTATTTTCTTTACCTGTGGGCACACATGAATATTTCCAGTGACAAAGATGCTCTTCCTTGACTTAACTCTAGTCAAGCTTCTCTGAATTCTCTTCTCATCTAGACTTTTGGCTTTCCATATGTTAGTGTCTGCTTAGTTCAGTTTTAGCAAGACTCCTACTGGATCAGTTTAATGAAAATCCCAACCCTTTCTATTAGATCAAATTCCTTATCTCCCACCCTGCCACTCTTATCAATCTGACCTGCCTTTGGCAATAATCTTGTCAAGTCAGTTTAGCCAGAAGTGCCCCTACCCTTGACATTTCCTCTTAGTAATTTTCTATTTACTGACCTCAACCCTACTCCTTGGCTATAAATTCCCACCTTTCCTTGCTGTATTCAGAGTTGAGCTAGATCTCTTTACTACTATAAAATTCCTTTGTAGTAGCCCCCTTTGGATAAAGTCAGCTTTACTGTTTTCTTACAAGTATCATGAATAATTTTTTAATTTAACACTAGTTTATCTCTGAGGACAAGATTACCAGCTTAAGGGATAAATGAATCTTACAGAGGAGGTAACTTAGTACTATGTCCATGAAAGTTGCCTAATAAAAATTACTGAGTAAATGAATGAATGGAGTGAGTGAATGAATGTGTTTTCAGGCTAGTGAAAAAAAATATTTTCTAGTTAGTTGTTTAAAATTATTTTCCTTGTTATCCTTTTTGTTTAAGAGTAGACTCATTTTGTCTACTTCAGTAGCACTATTAAAATACCTTATTTTTCCAGAAAAGTAAAATTCTCGATAGAATAAGTGACTTGTAAATTGGGATTTGATTTAAGGATGTGACTAAGTCTCTTAGCTTTCAGAATTTGTTCTAAATAAGATTTCCTTTTTCTACTCAGAATACTAATAAGCGTAATAAAAGAGCTATGGTTGATACTGTGCTTTGCAATGTAGCAGAGAACTGGCATATTCATTTCCCTAAAATTAGAGCCACGCTTTTTTTTTTTTGAAGCGGAATAAGGATTCTTACTTGCCTCCAACCCCTAGAAATGTATAATTAATGAACAAAGTCACTTAGAATGAGCTGGAGACCAAAAAGCAGTTTTTCAACTGCATAGAATAGTGTTGATCTCCAGTTGAAAAATGCTAGACAAAGGCAATTTCGGGGGATTGAGGGAGGGGGTGCCTCAAGAAAGGCAACATATGCAGTTGGACAGGAGAGAATGAGAGGGATGCTGAGTTGCCATAGTAACATTACGGAAGGGAAATGAAATTGCATGGGGTTAGTAATATTTTCCAATTCCCTTGATTTTTAAAGCACTCACATAATGAACAAGTTTCCCTTGGGCAGAATTCTAAAGCAACACAAACTGGCTAGTCCAGATCTCATATTTCATTTTAGTGACAGTAATCTTATTAGTGAGGAGGGGAACTGCACGTTACTCGCCGGACAGAATGCTCTCATGTTAGCCTAAGAGCAAATCCTTGTACATGCGAAGGTCAAAAGACTTTCCGGTCTGATTTTTCTGAAAAGCATGAAGCAGGATGTTAAGGCATCACACCTAGGACTATGAAACCAGAATGTGTCTTTAGCAGGTCAAATTTGCTCAGTGTCACTGAAGTGACACAAATTCGTGGTTTGGGAAATATTTTCAAGAAGAGACATATTTATTTTGATTTGTATCCTTTAGGATACTCTTTCTTTTCTTTTTCACCAGCAAAATAAATAAATAAATACAAACTCCTCACTCTAGAGAAAGAAAAGGAATTCAAGCAGAGAGAACTCTGCAGATAGATCATGGCTGTAGAACAGGATATAATCTTTAATTAAAAACTGAAAACAATGAAAAAAATGTAGAGAGTCCTTCAAGAGAAGAGAGCTATGATGATAGTGAAAGATAAACTAAAGGGCATCACTTACAGTCTAATAGCTAAGCTCTTTTCTTTTCTTTTTTTCTTTTTCTTTCTTTTTTTTTTCTTTTTTTTTGAGACAAAGTCTTGTTGTCACCCAGGCTGGAGTGTAATGGCACAATCTCAGCTCACTGTCACCTCTGCCTTCTGGGTTCAAGCAACTCTCATGCATCAGCCTCCCAAGTAGCTGGGATTACAGGCATGCCCCACCATTTCCAGTTATTTTTACATTTTTTGTAGAGATGGGGTTTCACCAAGTTGGCCAGGCTGGTCTCAAACTCCTGGCCTCAAGCAATCCTCTCACGTCAGCTTCCAAAAGTGCTAGGATTACAGGCATGAGCCACCGCACCCAGCCAGCAAAGCTATTCCATATTGGCATTTTCACCAAAAATTTGGACTGTGTCCTCATTTTTTTTGTGTTAGGCAGTTATCGAGATAGCCTAAGAGGTGAAATAAAATTTTTTGAATGTCCTCTATGATATAGGCACATTATAATTGTGATCTTATTTAATCTTTGCAGCAATTCTATGAGAAAAGCATCAGTAGCTACATTTATAGATGAGAAAACTTCTCCAGGGGATTCATATACCTACTCAAGGTCACATGGCAAGTACATAGAGTAAATAGATAGAATTAGAATTTACATTCAGGATTGCCTCCCTTGGAAGGACTGGGTTCCTTCTACTATGCCAAGCAACCTCTTCAAAAAATATAAGCAGTCAATGTTCTATTTAAGATTAAGAGTTCATTTCTGCCTTTTATATATAGGAGGGAAAATACATTAATTAGCTTCCTTGTTCTACTGCCATACCGCCTATATGTTTAAATGAAAATAAGGTAAAATCCTTTTGTGTCCTCTCTACTTGGAAAACTACAGCCTTCATTCTGAGACTAGAACACACCCTTATGTTATTTGTATTGTAGTTTTCCACTCTGTTCTTTGTGTTTATTGTCCCTCGTTGCTTGTCTCCTTTTGTGCTGGAATTATTTAGTATACTAATCATTGAAACATTATATATATCATTGGCTGTCTTCTGATTTTTTTAGTTAATTTTTTTTGGGGGGATAGTTGTTTTATAAATTAAAATGTGTATCTTTAACTTACTAGTGTGAATATTATAATATTACAAATTGTAATTCCTATAATGTAATAAGATAATTGTATATCATATATATTATATATAATAGAGAGTGTATATAGTATATATTATATATAATATAGAGGATATAGTATATATCTAAATAGTATTTACTGTAATATATATTATATATTATATACTATATGTGGTAATATATAGTATTATATATGTAATACTATATATACTATGTATATATACTATATTATATAGTATATGTAATACTATATATACTATGTATATATACTATATTATATAGTATATGTAATACTATATATACTATGTATATATGCTATATTATATAGTATATGTAATACTATATATACTATGTATATATACTATATTATATAGTATATGTAATACTATATAATATAGTAAATTATAGAATAAATTATAGTATAATATAGTATAACATATATAACATACTATACAACATATAATATATAACATACTATAAAATATAGTATATATACATAGTATATATACTATATATATACATATACTATAGTATATATACATAGTATATATACTATAGTATATATACATAGTATATATACTATAGTATATATACATAGTATATGTATATATACTATGTATATATACTATATATAATCAAAAGCAAAAGTCACTATATATTATATATAGTATAGATAATATATCATAATAAATTATAGTATAATATAGTATAACATAATATACTATATTATATAGTATATATAATACATAGTATTCATTATATAAATAGTATATTATAAAGTAATATTAATATTACATATATACTGAATTAATATACCACTTTATGTATAACAAGAATTCTGCCATATTATAATTATATTTACACTGTTAGTTTTATCTTTTGTGCTATAGCATATATTTTATTTCTACATACTATTACATATCATAGACCTCACAATAGATTGATATTTTGCTTCAACAATTGACTTTTAAAGAACTTAAGAAGAATAATATTTTATTGTATCCACATATTTCCTACTCCTAGCTGTTCTTTCCTTTATGTAGATCCAGTTTTCTTTTTGGTATCATTTCCCTTAGATGGAAGAAATTTCTTCAGTATTTTAGTTCGTCTGGGCCTGATGGTAACAAAGTTATGTCAGCTTTCGCTTGTATGAAACAGTCTTTGTTTTGCTTTTATTATGTAAATATAATTTTTAGTAGATATAAATACCTTTTTTACTAGATATTTATATCAATCTATGTAAGTAGATTGCTAGATATTTTTCATTCAGAACTTTAAAGGTGGCCCATCATTTTCTGACCTTCAGTGTTTCTGATGAGAAGTCAGATAACATTCTTATAATTGTCTTTCCCATTCATGATATGTCTTTTTCTCTGGCTACTTAAATTTTTTTCTTTTTGATTTTTTGACTCTTTGTGTGATATGACTCTGTGTGGTTTTCTTTGTATTTATCCTCTTTGGGGTAGGCTAAGATTCCTTGATTTGAGTGCTGCAGTTTATGATCAAATTTGGAAGTAAATATAAACTTATTTTATGCCCCATTCTCTTTCTCCTTTGCCTGTTGGACTACATTGTATAGATTTAGTCGACTTGCTATTATTCCACAGGTTACTGACATAGCAGTGTATTTTATTTTTAATCTTTTTTCTTTCTGTGCTTTAGTATGGATGATTTCTATGACTTGTGTTCAAGTCCTCCAATTTTTTTCTTCCTTTGTATTCAATCTGTTATTTATCCCATGTAATGATTTTTAAAATATTTCTGATACTGTGTTTTTCAATCTTAGGATTTCCATCTGGTTCTTTCCCCCGCATTATACTCGTTTCTCCTATAGCTTAACATATTTATCTTAGTTATTTTAAATTCAGCAAATTTCAACAGTGGAGTCATCTGTGGGTTTGTTTCTATTATCTAACTTTTCTTTTGACTGTCGGTCATATTTTCCAGTTGACTTTGTTTAGTAATTTTAAAATTACATACTGGGTATTATGTATGATATGTTATAAATAATTTGGAACTTACAGCAGCTTGGTTTTGTCCAGAGCTGATGACTTTTCCCAGCAGAAGGCTTAGTCCAATGCATGCTATTCCATCATAACTTAATGCCAGAACTCTCATATATTTGAATAAAAATAGGATATGTGACCTCTGCATATTACGCCATCATAGTTTGTATTTCTTTCTATCATGCACCACTTACGAATATTTCTTCTATGAATACATGAGAGAATTCTTGACTTTCCAGTTGGTAGATACTGAATAACCTACTATAAAATATGATTTTGGCCAGGTGCAGTGGCTCATGCCTGTAATCCTGCACTTTGGGAGGCCGAGGTGGGCGGATCACGAGGTCAAGAGTTCGAGACCAGCCTGGCCAATATGGTGAAACCCCGTCTCTATTAAAAATACAAAAATTAGCTAGGCGAGGTGGCGTGTGCCTGTAATCCCAGCTACTCAGGAGACAGGTACGAGACTCACTTGAACCTGGGAGACGGAGGTTGCAGTGAGCTGAGATTGCGCCACTACACTCCAGCCTGGGCAACAGAGTGAGACTGTGTCTCCAAAAAAAAAAAAAAAAAAGATTTCAAACATACAAAGGTGCTTTTATATGCTTCTTATAAGATGTTACATGTTTGAAACAATTTAGTATTCATAATTTACAAAACACTAATAACTTCTTTTATCTTTATCTTTCCTTTGAGGAAGGAGGGTAATTAAAGATGGTTATAGTTGACAGCTATAGGGTAATTTTGTGTCTAACTGATGTAGAGCTATTTAAAAAAAAATTAGATGTGAGCATTACCAACATACATTAAGAAACAGTAGGAGAAAAAGCAGACAACATTCTGACCATTAGCACTTGGAACCACATAGCAATTATCTAAAATAAAACTGTCCTGAGCCTATTTTGTTGACTCTTCAACAGAACCAGGCATACGACATTTATTAGGTTGGTGCAACAACAATTGTGATTTTTGCCATAATACTTTTAGATCTCTAATTTGGCAAGGGAAATGAGGTTTACAATGTAGTGTAAAAACTTTAGGAGAGGGAGAAAAATAAAACAAAAGATGCTCCCTCCATGTTCTCAGAATGCTTTGCAACTGTAAAAAACATTCTTTCCTTCAAAGATATTCTCTCGTGTTTTGAAAGCTAGTGGCATTTCATGATTACTGGTCCTTCTTTTAATCTAAATAAATATTTTCAATTAACTTGTAATTTTTTGACATAAAAATGAAAAAATTGATATATTTTTATATGACATGAAGAAACATTTTCAGGCTAGTTTCAACTAATATAGAAACCCAGGGTCTTCTTCACTATTTCTAATGTTCTTGTCAACATATCTATTTTAGAACTCAAGGAGGAAGTACTGTTTTAGAATTTCTTTTTCAGAGAGACTATTCTATGACTTTGAAATATTTAATATTTTATTCAAGGATTTATTTTTAACTTTGGACAATCACATCCCTTGAAATATAATCAAAAGCAAAAGTCAGTATCAATAATTCTTTTTTCTTAGTATTTAACCTGAGAAACAGAATCAGTTACATTTCTGGGAAAGCATGGGCTGAAATTATAGTACATCCAAATGTCCCCTGACACCTTCCCAGGCAGTAAAAATTTAACAATTGACAGATTGGAAGTGCCTTGAAAACACTTCATCTACCTGAGCATAAATACTTCTTTATTCTTGTACATAAACCGGATGCCATTAACTTCAGTGGAAAAATTACGTTACCATAGGACCAGTATAAAGTCAAGTAAATTAAGATGTTTTGACAAATGTAATATTAAGAAGTATATCTTATTTCAATATATTCAGCAAACACTTATTAGGCATTTAATATGCACCAGGAAGTGTGCTAAGTATGCTAAGTGTGGCAGACACTAAGATGACCACGTGCATCTTAGAGTTAAGGTGTAGCTTTGCAAATAATACTGTGGTAATGGGTTTCTCTGAGGATGCAGGCAGTGGCAACTCGCTAGAAAGGCTAGAAGTTGGGAGGGGCACAGTTAGAGTAACATTCTGGCAATGAGAGTATTGTTATTACCAACACTACCGGGGATTCTGCATCTTCTCTGAAGCACTAAATACAAGTATAGCTGCTTTTATTATTAGATGGAGAGGAGTCAGTGAAAAGAGATAGAGAACTCAAGTCTCAAAATGGTTCGGATTTAGGGTCTATATTGAGTCTCTGATTGGTCTGTGAATTGATGCAGAGCAAACTAAAAATGACAAGAGACCATCCACTGCAAAGTATCTTCCTTCAACATGTACCAAATACTCACGCTAGCTTTAAAGAGGGAAGAATTCAGTGGAAAGAAATAGGGGCCATTCTCAGCAAAACATTTTAGTCTATAAAGAAACGAAGCCATTGTGATCTTGTTGAAAAAATGAACTACATAAATCATTTTAAAATTAGAAAGCTGCATATAGACCAGATTGACAAATATGCCTTGATAGGTGTTTATATCTCAGCACATGTCCCACCACTATGACAGAGATTCTCTATATACTTACTATCAACAGGAACATGAGTTAACAAGCCAGTTGATATTAATTAGCATTATGGAGCTGGGAAAATGGGAAAGACTTTCCTGAAATGAGGTAAATAGAAACATGAAGGGTTTGGGGGCTGGGTGCGGTGGCTCACGCCTGTAATCCCAGCACTTTGAGAGGCTGAGATGGGCAGATCACGAGGTCAGGAGATCAAGACCATCCTGGCTAACACGGTGAAACCCCATCTCTACTAAAAATACAAAAATTAGCCGGGCGTGGTGGCGGGCACCTGTAGTCCCAGCTACTCAGGAGGCTGAGGCAGGAGAATGGCTTGAACCCAGGAGGTGGAGCTTGCAGTGAGCCGAGATTGCGCCACTGCACTCCAGACTGGGCGACTGACAGAGCGAGACTCCATCTTAAAAAAAAAAAAAAAAAGAAACCTGAAGGGTCTGTAATTCATCATATCCTAGCTAAACACCTCTAAGAAGATTCATGTGCAATCATCCTAAATTTTACAATAACTAATTATTCTTAAAGTTACAATTTCCAGTGCCCTTCCAGCTGAGAGAGTGAGATCTTCAGGAACAACTTTCTATCTGTACTGGCTGGAAAACTATGACTCAGAAGGGTGAACTTTTCTCAGGTCACAATTTCACTACTTGCTAGTCACACTTAAGATTACAGATCAGGCACTAGGGTGAAATTAAATTCACTCATCTGCCTTTCCAGCTGGTAATATCTTGCTCTGATCCTACCTAAATTACACTGAACACAATTCAAGTTTACATCCTTGAATGAAAGAGCTCTAAGAATCTTCTTTTAAACTGAATCCTCTATTCTGTGAGCACCCAGGCAGGGCACAGAGCAATAGGAACAAGGTCCCTTACAGTGCTGTCCTCTGAGGTGAAATCCAGTGATGCTTTCCTGCCTCTAAAACACGGGGGATAAGTGTGTACCAGATCAGATTTATTGAATGCAAGCAAGGTTGCCACAATAGTAAGTACTTGGTGGGAGGCAGATGGATAGATAACGGTATCTATTTTCTCAGGGGCTACCGGACTGGGTAGTTAGAACTTGTTTTTGTGACAAATTCTCCTTTCTATTTTTAGGCTTGCCCCCATGGCTTTCTGACATTTTAGCCCGCTCCTTCCCTTTCACCCACACACCCAATCACTACTTCATCATTTCAGCAGGAGAGAAGGGACATTTTGATGAAGAGAACACAAAACAGTTTACATATTTCAGGTATATACTATAATTTCTCCCATTTAGTCTGCCAGAAATTCAGTCTGCCCAACTGACACCCTTCCCCCAACCCATTCCATTCAGGACAACTGCAGAAGAAAATGTCAGGCTTTTCTGTTCTCTGGTTCTCCATGTCTTTCCTTCACATAATACAGGAGGAATGTAAATCCAAGTCAAAACTGAGTGGGAGGTACAAAGGAATCTGTATCTTTGTCGAAAATAAGACAGCCCTTCGGAACAGGGAGGCAAAGTGGCACAGAAACCAAGTTGCACACCAAACTTTGCCTATGTAGATTATTTCCTATATTTGGTACTTTCATCAGAGGAATTTGTATGTTTTTCTCCTGGCCCTCCCCTGTGACCCTCTATGCCCTCTAAAGATGGGGCCTGAACTTCCTATGTATCCTTTTCTCCTCCCATTGAACGAAATAGGACATGTAAGTGTTTGACAAATGATGAAAAATGACTGACAAATCATTTTGCTGTTCTGTTGATTGACTATATCACCAGAGAGAGAAATAAGGTAATTTCCAATCCATATGCCAACTGAAATCTGTATATCCGGGCACCTCTTCAAGCTTCTCTTTTCTGCGTGTCTTGGTAACCCTCATTTCCCTTTGCAAAGATTCCTCCTCTTTACAAATGTTCCTTTTTCTCCATGTGATAATCAGGCAACAGATGCAATGCATCTCTACTTTTTATTCCTTACAACTCCTTAAATAGCCTGCGCTTTTTAAATGGCAGAAGACCCCTGCCATTTAAAGCAATGGTTCTAGCATTCTTTACATACTGATAATTGCTTCTTACTGGAATGATGCAAAATCAGTTCAGTAAGACCTATATTCAATTTACCTCTCCAGTAAGACAGTCATTTAGGGGTCGGCCTTCCTTTCTTCCCTTTTCCTATTTAGAAAGTTTGTTTCTTTTAAGGTACATACATGGTTTCCAGGTTCAATGGTAATCAAGAAAAAGAAGTCTAGGTCTCCTGCCTATGGCTGGGCTGTCTTAGGGTCAAAGTACAGAATACAAACTAGACCTTTTGTTTCATAAGGGCAGGGGAAGTGTTGTGGTGTCTTGCTCTGTCACCTGCTATGTCTGGCCCACAGTAGACACTCGACGATCATCTATTGGTTGAGTAAATAAATGCAAGGAATAAAAAATGAAGTAGTAAATCAAAGCACTACAGAAATTAAGCTGAGGTTACCAGGCCAGTTTTAGGATCATGGAATCAGAATTTTTAGAAGAAGGAAGCACAGGATTGCAGGAGTTGCAGTTACAAGAAAACTACTTAAAACCCTTCGATAGATGGATGTTTGTCGTGAGACCATCTTTTGATTAGATTGCTTCTTGCACAAGAAATATTGAATAAGAAAACCCGTGGCTAGAACTTTAATACTAACTGGAGCTCTGAGATATACTAGCAGTGGCTAGAATTTATTTCTGCCCTACTTTATGCCAGCACAGTTTACAAACATTATCTTGATCTTTGCAACAACCCTACAAGGTGGCCATTAATTTTCTTTATTTTCAGATAGAGAAAGGACAATCAGTAAAGTTAAATAGCCTACCTAAGTCAGCTAGCTAAGTTTAGAATTTGGATTCAAATCAAATTCTAAGTCTTGGTTTTTTCCCCTACCCACAATGCATCACTCCAAAGAAGCAACATGACATAAACACCTAGATTAGACATATTTGTGGGTTTTTATAATTTTTTAATTAAAAAATGTTGTTTTGTTTTGTTTTAGAGACAGGGTCTCACTCTGTTGCTGAGGTGTGATCAAAGCCTACTGTAGCCTTGAACTCCTGGGCTCAAGCGATCCTCCTGCCTCAGCCTGTTGTACAGCCAAGACTATAAGTGCATGCCACCACTACCAGTTAATTTTGTTCTCTTTTATTGGTAGAGATGGAGGTTTTGCTGTGCTGCCCAGGCTGGTCCCAAACTCCTGGACTCACGTGATCCTCCTGCCTTGGCCTCTAAAAATGCTGGGATTATAGTTGTAAGCCAGTGGGCCCAGCCTTTAAAAATTTTTAATTGTGGTAAAATACATACAACATAAAATTTACCCTCACAATCCATAAGCAGACACTTCAATAATGTTAACCACATTCACACTGTTGTGTAACAGATCTCTAGAACTTTTTCATCTTGCAGAACTAAAACTCTATACCCATCAAATAACTATTTCCTCTACCCCCAGTCCCTGCCAACTACCATACTACTTTCTGTTTCCATGATTTTCACTATTCTAGATGTCTCAGATAAGTGGAATCATACAGTATTTGTCCTTTTGTGACTGGTATATTTCACCTCAGCATAATGTCCTCAAGGTTCATCAATGCTGTAGCATGCAACAAGATTTCCTTCTAAGGGCCGAATAATATTCCATTGTATTTTAAAATTTTTAAATTCATTCATCTGTCCATGAACATTTGGGCTGCTTTTACCTCTTGCCTATTGCTGCTATGAACATGGTTATGCAAATATTTTGAGATCCTGCTTTCAATTATTTTGGACATATACCCAGAAGTGAGATTGCTGGATCATATGTTAGCTCTATTTTTAATTTTTTTTGAGGAAGCTCCACACTGTTTTCCATAGCAGTCACATCATTTTACATTTCTACCAGCAGTGCACAAGAGTAGACAGATTTGTTTCTAAATAGAATAACTTGCAGTTTTAGTATCAAACTGACCGAACAGCTTAGCTTACAGTGTCTTGAAAATTAAATGCAACAAGAACTCTAGAACTTTTAAAGCCAGGTACCATTTAACTGTGAATTAAGTATTTATAAATATAGATGGATGGCCATACCATTTTAAAAAGAATAAAAGTAGCAGTCATTTTCCAAGAGACTATAACAAATAGAACAGAAAACAAAGCTCATGTTGTATCAGTGCAAAGGTATCAGGAAAAGTATTCCTACTTCCTGAATACAAGTAGAAGCAGGTACATAAGTTGCACACTTACCCTGGTTTTGGCATCGATTTTAGCTCCTCGATCGAGCAATAGTTTTACCATATTTGCATTTCCTCTTTTTGATGCAACATGTAAAGGAGTGATGTCATTCTGGGAAGAAGAGGAAAAAGTACAGATTTGATATTTTTGGTTTCAACAAAACGTTCCTTTCTAAACTTCCCCCAACATATCCCCATTTCCCCCTCTCCTTTTCTAAACATCCTTTATGAACAGTGTGCTTCCTAATACTTCTGACAGGAATTTTCTTCAGAAGGAGACTTTAAAAAGGAATGAATTGTAAGGGAATCTGTGAGGCAGGGTCCAAGTTAATTTATTTCAATCACTTGAGGTGACTGATGGATGAAGTGATAATTTGTTTTTTTGCTCAAAAGTCCTGCATTTTTAAGTCAATGTATTTTTCTATAATTTGAGTGATACATACTGGCTAGTGAGTGGTTGACTAACAAGTAGCTGATTAAGTCAGTACAGACTCAGTTTAAAAGAGTGTCATGTGACTTGGAGCCTTTCCCAGGTTCCAGTGGGAGCATCAGGTTGTCAAGGAGAGACAATAGGAACTCAAACTGGAAAATCTGTTACTTCTATACATAGTCACATAACATCCCATGCCCGTGGTGCTTAAATGTGTTTACAGGCATTTGTTAGCAGTCTCATGAAAACTGTAATGCTTATTTGACAAATATTTGAAGAATAACCAGATTGTTAGGATTATCTGAAATTCTAATTGTGTTCTCCTTGATTTCAGTGGTAGGCTACCATAGTTATTCTTCTCTCCAAGCATCTTACAGGCGCTATGATTATTTCCAGACTGTCAAGGAAATGTACGCATACATCAAAAACAATTCCCTGATTTCTTGTTTTTTTTTTTTTTTTTTTTTTTTTTCTTTTTAAGTGACAGAGTCTCGTTATATTGCTTAGGCTGGTCTCAAATTCCCGAGCTCCAACGATCCTCTCGCCTCAGCCTCCCAAGTAGCTGGAACTACAGGTGTGCACCACCATGCCTGGCTTCTTATTCTTGTGTAGCAGCAATATGAGTTTAAGTTCTGCTGTTCACAAAGAATCAATTACATCATAAATGAACTAGGCTCACAGGGATTATGTATTTATAATTCGATAACAGAAACAATATAGTAGCTATCAAGTATTGATCACTTCCTGCATGTCAGGGACTATGCTAAACTCTTTACTACTTCATTTAATTCTCACAATCCTCATATCATCATACATAATCTGAATTACAATCCCCATTTTACACATGCAGAAACAGTTGGCAGAACCAGGATTCAACTCTTCAACACTTAAACTCTTGAATGCATGATTTTAAAAAACACAATAATGAAAAGTTCCAACATACACAAAGTTTGGGCAAAAAAACATAATGAACTTCAAGTGCTCCTTACCCTGGTTCAGTAAACATCAACCTTTAGCCAATATTATTTCTTTTATGCTCCCTACTGTTTTTTTTTCTTTCTGAAGGAGTTTAAGAAGAGGAGAAAGAAAATTCTTGGCATCATGTTATTTTACCCATAAATACTGCAATTTAATTATCTCTAACAGATGAGGACATCTCAAAAAATCACGATACCATTATCATAATGAAGAAAGTAAAAATAATTCCTTTATAGCACCCAAGACCCCCTCCATGTTCAAATTCTCCCATTATCTCCAACTATCTCCATTAGTTTGCTCAAGTTGGAGGGTCGACATATTGCATTAGGTTGAGTCCTTTAAGTCTTTCTTAATCTCCACAGCTCCTCTATCCCACCTTTTTCCCCCCGTGTTCATTTATTTATTGAAGAAACTGGGTAATTTATTGTGTAGACTCTTCCACACCTGGATTTGACTGATTGAGTCCTCATGGGGAGTTGTTTAACATGTCCTTTTCTCCCTGTATTTTATGTAAACTTTTCTAGTTAAATGCTTTTAATGGTTGTATGGTTAGGGTTAGGTTTACAACCTTTCCACAGATGGAAAGGTTGCACATTCTCTTTGCTCACTATTCTTAGATGCTAAAATATAAATCTTAAATGAAAGAAGAAAGAGACCTGAGGAAAACAAATTTCTCTTAGTAATGCTGGTGGAAAGTAAACAGACCAATATTGCTGTTACCCAGGGTATAGGCAAACTTTGTCCGCAAAGGGCCACATGGCAAATATATTCTGCTTTGCAGGCCATACAGTCTCTTGCATCTACTGAACTCTGCCATTGCAGCACAAAGGCAGCCATAGGCACATGCAATATGTAAAGAAATGGGAGCGGTTGTGTTTCTAAAACTTTATTTATAAAAACAGGCAGTGCGCTGGATTTGGCCTGTGGGCAGTGGTTTGCTGACCCCTGCTCCAGACCTACCAGCTTGCAGCTGCACAGCTTTCGACTGTGTATAACAGGTTACAAAAGAGGAAGTGAAACTATAGGCTGTGCCTTTGGGCACGCTGTGGTCTTTTTTGGTGTGGAGGACTATTTGGTTTGAGTGAAAGCTGGCAGAAGGAAATAAATTTCATGACGACTTTCAGATCTGCTTATGTCTGTTTTCTGAGTACAAGTGTGTATTGCTCTAGTGACCCAAGCGGCACAGTGGATGAATTCTAGAGCTGAGACAGCAGATGGAGGGTCAGGTTGGGAATAAAGGAAACACCGACCAATAGGAGAGCTCACTGAGCCCCAAGTGGGACGTGACACGAAGACCTCATCACTTCCCAGTGTGAGTAAGGGCTGGCATGCCATTTCCCTTTAAAACTATGCCCTCACTGGTTGAGAAAGACTTAATTAACCTTTATCACAAACAGGCTAAGTTTAGTAAGAGGAAGAAGTCTGTTTCTAATTTCACTCTCTTCCATATTCATGCACTCTCTCATACTGTGGATGTGTAGATGACAAAAAGGTGCCTTGAGTTTCTTTTTTTTCTCTTTTTTTTAAATTTAATTTAATTTTATTATTATTATACTTTAAGTTTTAGGGTACATGTGCACAATGTGCAGGTTAGTTACATAGGTATACATGTGCCATGCTGGTGTGCCTTGAGTTTCTAATTCTCACATTTTCTCCACCTCTCTGGCCCTTCCTAGAGAAATACTTTATATTCTACAGCACTTAAACAGCGTTGTAAAGGACCTGAACTTCTGTAATTTCATTTTACCCTCACAGCAATCCACTGAAATAGGATAAATATCATTAACCCTATTGGATAAAGAAAGTGAGGCACAGAACTGGTAATTTGCAGATTAAGAAACAGCTAATCAGAGGCAGAATCAGGATCAGAATTTGGGCTCTAGACCCTCAGGCTGTGGTATTTTCAGGCAGGATTCAGAAGACGTTTGTTTAAAAACCCTAGCTTCTCATCTCTGTCAAATGCAGCTTCCAATAAAATGCAATCACTTTTTACTCCTGAATCATATCGTAGATGCCTCTGTGAAGTAGAAACAAATCAAAATGAAAGTGGTACCTCAGGGCCACTCAACGGACTACTCATATTTTGATTCCTCAGCTAACCAATAAAAATGTATCATGCCCTACTATGAGTAACGCTGTGAGCTGCACTTCCACTGTCTAAGCAAGCAACAGAGTTAAGAAATCCCAACATATCAAAGAAACTCAGTGATGTTAGAGCTCGAAAGCCTGCCTAAGAGAACCCTCATTTACTGCTGGTGAAATGTAAATTTGTACATGCTTGCTAGAATGCAATTTGGCAGTCTGTACAAAGAGCCTTCAAATCCGTCACCATACATACAGGGCAGAGTTTGGCTGCTGTGGTGGAAAGGGCAGGAATGTGGAGAAAGACACAGCCTTGAACCCAGACACACACCCTAAAGACTGAGTCTGAGCTTACATGAAAGACCCCCAACCCCTAGCACTAGCCTAGCACAGAGTAACAAGCAAGAGTAGTCAACTGCTGAGGTAAGGCAGGAGTGTGGGGAGACCTCCTCTGTGCTGCAGGTGTGCAGAGAAAGCTCAGGGTGGAGCACTAACACTAAGCAAAATTCTCTGATGCCCCAGACTCCACCCCAAGCAGAAAGCAATGGCAGCCTTCCACTGAGGAATCTGAAGCCTGAAACAAAATGTAAACTCAGCTCAACTCCTGCCAAAACAGGCTCCACCTCTCACATTTGCAGCACAGAAGAAAAAGTATGAGTATGCTCATTTCCAGGTAAAAATATTATTTAACTCAATCTCTCCCCTCCTACACACAATATCCAGTGTTCTATCTAGTAGGAACAACATGCATGAAAAATAGGGAAGTGCAGCAAAGGCATGGGATTCTTAGCAAAGAGTCAAATGGAAACATTTGATAAGAAAAATTGCAATATCAGAGTAAATTGCTTTGTGGGCTCCTCAATAGACTTCACACAGTTGAGGCAGGATCCATTGAACTTACAGATATGTCACTTTAAGTTATTTAAAATAAAAACATTAAGGAGAAAAAAGAGTGGAAAAGAAAGAACAGAGCCTCCAAGAGCTGTGGGATGATACAAAACAGCTAATGAGAGCTGCATAAGGAGAAGAGATAGAATGGGACAGAAGACATACTTGAAGAGATAATGAATGGTCAAGAATTTTCTTGGAGTGATGAAAGGCAGAAAAATACAAATCCAGAAAGCTCAGGAGATGCCAAGCAAGATAAACAATAAACAAACTCCAACTAGACACAATAGTCAAATTGCTGAAAATGAAATATAAAGGAACAATCTCGATGGTAGCCCAAGGAAAAAAGACACATCTCATACAGAGAACAAAGATAATAGGTAGAGTGGCCTCCTCATCAGAAATTATGCAATCCAGAAAAAAAGAAGTGACATCTTTAAATACTGACTGTCAAATAAGAATTCTACACCAAATGAAAATACCTTCAAGGAGTAATAAAGACTTTTTAAGGTAAACAAAAGCTAAGAGAATTCATCATCAGCAGACCTGCAATACATAAAATGTTCAGTTCTTCAGATAGTAGGAATATGACAGTAAACAGAAACTTAGGCCTGCACCAAGAAATGAAGGGCTCTGGAAATGGCAAAAAATGAAGGTAAGTAAAAGAGATAACGGATGGTCCAAAGTAAAGACAAAAACAACAAATTGTGGGGTTTATAATATATGCAAAAGTAAAACGTATGACAACAACCACACATAGATGAAAAGGAGAAACTGGAACTATACTGTTGTCAGGCTCATACCATATTTGAAGGTATACTGTGATAAGTTAATGACATGGAAAACATGGATGTATTATTAAAGATATCAAACTATGAAAAATAAGATAAATTTTTATACATAAATATATATGCATTCTAAAATATATTGATCCAAATATATATGTATGTGTGAATATATACACATATATACACATATATATACACATATATATACATATATACACATATATACATATATATACATATATACACTATATATACACACACATAAATACATATATATACACACATATATATACATATATATACACATATATATACATATATACACATATATATACATATATACACATATATATACACACACACATATATATACACATATATATATACACACATATATATACACACATATATATACATATACACATATATATACACACACACATATATATATATATATATATATATATTTTTTTTTCTTTTTGAGATAGAGTTTCGCTCTTGCTGCCCAGGCTGGAGTGCAATGGCATGATTTCGGCTCACCACAACCTCTGCCTCCTGGGTTCAAGCAATTCTCCTGCCTCAGCCTCCCGAGTAGCTGGGATTACAGGCATGTGCCACCACACCCAGCTAATTTTGTATTTTTAGTAGAGACGAGGTTTCTCCATGTTGGTCAGGCTGGTCTGGAACTGCCAACCTCAGGTGATCCACCTGCCTCGGCCTCCCAAAGTGCTGGGATTACAGGGGTGAGCCACCACACCCAGTCAATTTTTTTTGAGACGGTCTTGCTGTTGCCCAGGCTGGAGTGCAGTAGCACAATCTCAGTTCACTGCAACCTCCATCTCCCAGGTTCAAGTGATTCTGCCACCTCAGCCTCCTGAGTAGCTGGGATTACAGGTGCTCACCACCATGCCCAAATAATTTTTGTATTTTTAGCAGAGACGAGGTTTCATCACGTTGGCCAGGCTGGTCTTGAACTTCTGACGTCAAGTGATCGCCCACCTTGGCCTCCCAGTGTGCTGGGATTATAGGCATGAGCCACCATGCCTGGTGAGATATTAATCCAAACGTTAACAATTTCTTTCAGTAATGAGATTATAGATGACTTTTTGCTTCTTCATGCTTTTCTAAAAAATTTCTACATGTACATTTGTACAGTGGAAAGATGGTTGTATTTTAATATTGCCTATTTGCAGCCCACTACCACCATCTGTTTCAACTCTCATCCCTTGCTTTCTATACTCTGAATGCCCCAGAGAGGTTTAACTTAGCCATTAACTTCCCTAATATGTAAACTTTGAAGGAACCTGAGAATATCCTGCACCTAAAAATATGATGATTTTTTTTCCCATTAAGGTAGAATATTAAGTATGGCTAGAATTAAAGATCTATATGCACTTTGTGAGAAGAAGCATGAATTAACATTTAGATAAAAACAAATTCAACCTGGAGTTTTGAATTTGACCTGATTTAGTTCAAACAAAAAAGTAAATACGATTGTAATTTTATATATATTAGTTTCTTAATACAATGTTTGTTCTTGTACCAAATAAATTTTTTCCTGTTCATTCAAAATGTTATAGAATACATTAGCATTTGGGAAGTTTCTGAAAGACCTCTGAGTTCATTCAGTCTAATCACCTATATTACAGGTAAGGAAGAGACCAGGGAGGAGGCTAAGTGATTTACATGGAGTCACAGAGCTTGGTGCTTGGCCAAGACCCCAGGTTTCCCAACTCCCAGGTACTACCCCTTCTATTTCACTAAACTCTTTGGGTTTATTTATAAACCACTATTTTCATCACCGGCACAATAGCATCTTATTTAACTTAACTTTCCCATCAAACTACTCAAGGTAATATTTATTCACTCTAAAAAACTTAAGTATACATATGATTAACCAATACTTTTTTTTCTCTAGTATTTACTTCTCCTTAATCCTTTTTGAAAAATGGTGGATAAAGACAAAAAGGGAATCACATGTATACGCAGATGCATTTTATAAACAACAAAGGGAATCGGCTATACATACATTTATATAAAGCATTAATGAGACCTGGATAAATATTCAGAAATTTGACTGAGCAAAATTACAGTACACAGCAAGTTTAATTCTCTCAAATTTCTAGGCCAATAAATTAATTAAGTACTTAAGAAAACAACATGGATCACTGCTATATCCTCTAATGTGTGGATTTTTGTTCTTATGTATAATACCATTTCTAGCCCTTTTTTCTTTTGTAGTTTATTCACTTTCTTCCATGAGGATCTCCTTCCACCTCGATTTTCAGACAAGGTTTTTAGTCTCTAACCTACTCCTGGAAGGCCCCTACAACTGAAGTTAGAGGATAAAATTCCAATTTAGAAAAGATTTTGCCTTCTACTTTTAGGAAAAAGAGAAGCAAATCACCCAGAACAAACTAAGATCACTTATGATTTGTAAAAATTCAATATATTCCTTTACAACTTCATCACACCGCTCTACAGTAATATATGGTATTATATGTTACATTATATCATATGATATACTTTAGAATAACTCTTAAAAGGTCATCTAACTCCAAAAATAAAGATGACTTTTTACAGTACTTCCTAAACTATAAAACTGGCTTAGAAATGTACAGAAAAATTTTAATAATGAATTGGGTAGGGGGAGAAATTCTATCCTGGTTATAACTTTATTTCAGTCCTGTCCTTAGCATATGTCTAGTGGGAAGCACATTTCATCAGGAATGAGAAGACAAGGCCCCACTCTCACTCTTCTACACCCACTTTCATGAGAGCTGATACTGAGAATGTGCCTTATCCTTAATGAACTTATCTCCTCATCTGTGCGGTGGATACAATACCTCCACTGCCTCCATCACAGGGGTGTCAAGAGGAGACATGAGATAATTTGTATTAAAAGAAGGACATTCACAGGTATTTCATATCTTTTGTCTCATTTAATATACACAACAACCCTAGAAAGAAGTACTATCGAATGTTTTTCTTTATTTTACAGATGAGGAAATCTGTGAAAATCTGAAAAATTTGATTTTTTGAAGACCCTAAAAATGAAAATACCTTGCCAAAGGTCACAAAGCTCCCATCAGTTGTCTAACCCCAAGTTCATATTTTTTTCGCTAGACCAGGTCATGCTGTCACCGTACTTACTTTGTAGTGTACTAATATATACTTATGTCTTACTATTTTTGCATTTTTGGAGCACCTAAGAGTGTGTTAAGAGAGAAACATTGCATTGTGGCAGGACAGGACAGTGGTTAAGGGCTAGATTGCTTAGGTTCAAATTCCAGGCCTGCCCCATACTAGCTAATTAACCTTAGGTAAGTTTACTTAAATTCTCTGTATTGCAGATCTCTTATCTGTAAAATTAGGCTAATAATAGTACTTACTCATATCATAGTTGCTATGGTTTGAATATGCCCCCCTAATTTTATATGTTAGAAACTTAATCTCCAAATTCATATGTTGATGGAATTTGAAGGTAGGGTCCTTGGCAGGGATTAATGATTAGATAAGATCATCAGGGTATGGCCTCCACAATGGGATTGGTGGCTTTATAAGAAGAGGAGAAAGACCTGAACTGGACATGCATACTCTTGTTCTCACCATATGATGTCCTCCGCCATCTTGACAAGGCCCTCACCAGATGCAGCCCCTCAACCTTGGACTTCCCAGCCTCCTGAACTATAAGAAATTTTTTTCTTTATAAATTACAAGTCTGTGGTATTCTGTTATAGCAACAAAAAATGGACTAAGACAATAGACTGTCATGAGGATAAATGAGTTAGTAAGTGTAGAGTCTTAAGAATGGTGCTTGGCATTTAGTAAACATTATAACAATTAGATGTTATATTATTTGTATTACTTATTATACAGACATTTAGAAATGTATGAAATGACTGCATCTCACAAGGATATTATGAAATAATTTGGGTAGAAAAGACATGGCGATCTAAAGTAAGCCTTGAAAGATAAGGTACTAAATCAGGTGGATCTTATGAGGGATGCAAAGGGTCTTAGAGGAGCATGAGCTCAGAACAGGCTGTGTCTGTGAGCCATGCTGGGATCAGGAGCAGCTGAGAGGAATGGGAAGCTCAGGCAAAGCTGGAGTTGATTTAAAATGATAGACATATGTGGTATATAACATGATCTACATGATAGAATATGATAGAAATATATGGGTACTATTGATGTCAGGGACCTGGAAAAACAACTGCCTCTGCTGGGAAATGTGGAATTGCTTGCTTATTTCTTCTTTCTCAGTGTTTCTGAAAAACCCAGCCAAATTTATTTCATGAAATAATCATCAAAACAGGGGCATGTCTGCAACTGCCCAAAGTGAAATCAGGGCCATTTTCTATATTACTTGTGATAAATGGGAAACTTTTCATTTAAATACGAAAAGGATGTATGTGAATTACTGATGTCTCCCCCAACCCTCCCATGTCTCATCTCTTCTTTAAAAATGTCTGGGAGAGGTTATCATTAAGGGAAGAGTTAAGTGGATGATATCACTCAAAATCTTGTAGATAATGAAAGATTAACTTATACAGCCTTTTAGTTTGGTTCCTTGACATGCTCCCACTGAAGACAAATTCTAAAATAATAAAAGTTGAGATGGAATCCAGTATCTTCTGCTAATTCTTACCACTTGTCATAATTTTTGTCACAAAGTTACTATTATGATTAAAAAATAAGTCGAAGTGGCATAACAAATTGAAGATCCAGATTTCAGTGTGTGATTTACATTTAAAACACATACATTTTAAGATTTTTATGTTTTCTCATTCTATTTTCTTATACTTTGGCATTATTTCTAGTATATATAGAAACGGAAAAATGATTAGTGAATACGTTCACAGAGAAAGCACAGGAAATACACGGAAGCAAAGATTACTACCATCCTTGTTCACGCTATAAACATATATCTTTTGAAAACTCTTTTAGCCTCTGAGGGAAGAGGTTGCATCTGCTAACTCTCCAGCACATAAAAGGTAATCAATAAATGTTTGATAAATTCTATTTAACAGTCATATAGGTTTTGGGCCGGGCGCGGTGGCTCACGCCTGTAATCCCAGCACTTTGGGAGGCCGAGGCGGGCGGATCATGAGGTCAGGAGATCGAGACCATCCTGGCTAACACGGTGAAACCCCGTCTCTACTAAAAATACAAAAAATTAGCCGGGCGTGGTAGCGGGCACCTGTAGTCCCAGCTACTTGGGAGGTTGAGGCAGGAGAATGGCGTGAACCCGGGAGGCCGAGCTTGCAGTGAGCCGAGATTGCGCCACTGCACTCCAGCCTGGGCGACAGAGCGAGACTCCGTCTAAAAAACAAAAAACAAAAAAAAAACCAGTCATATAGGTTTTGATACAATGTAGAAAATTAGAGAACTGAATTTCTGTTCCCTTTAATTTTCTTAAGAGTATAAAAACATATTTTCTGTAAGTTTTTATTATCTTCCACTGAAAGTTTTCTCTAATGGTTTATTTTTATAATGGCATTATTAAGATTGACATATAATTTTCATCATTTTAAAGTGTACAATTCAGTGATTTTTTTATTCCATTCATAAGGATGTGCAATCAGCAGCAGTATCTAATTCTAGCACATTTTCATCATTTTCAAAAAGGAATCCCATACCATTAGGTGGTCACTTCCCATTTCTCTGTTTCCCAAGCCCTTGTTAACTACTAACCTACTTGTTGTCTCTATGGATTTGCCTATTCTAGATCTTTCACACAAATGAGATTATATAATATGTAATCTTTTGTGACTGGCTTCTTTCACTTAGCATGTTTTCAAGGTTCATCCATACTGTAGTACTTATCAGTACTTTATTTCTTTTCATGAGGATGCCAAGTTTTTAAATTCCTTAAGAATCCCATAAAACATATGCAAACAATGATAACTTCCAATGATAAGGATTTGAGATTTCAAGGATATACTCAGGAAAATTTCTAATATTTGAATAGACTGATAAGAAAACACTCCAGCCTTCCTAGTCTGACACTATGTGCAGGACATTTCTTTTTAAAAATTTGACTTAGATGACCTATTATTAGTGACACAAGTATAAAATAAACTCAGAAACTTCCTTCATACCATAGTGATCATTATTAAGATAACCACTAGGCCGGGCATGGTGGATGACACCTGTAATCCCAGCACTTTGGGAGGCCGAGGTAGATGGATTACTTGAGGCCAGGAGTTCAAGACCAGCCTAGCCAACATGGAGAAACCCTATCTCTACTAAAAATAGAAAAATTAGCCAGGCATGGTGGTGTGTGCCTCTAATCCCAGCTACTTGGGAGGCTGATGCACGAGAATTGCTTGACCCTGGGAAGCGGAGCTTGCAGTGAGCTGAGATTGTGCCACTGCACGCCAGCCTGGGCAACAGAGAGAAACCCTGTATCAAAAAAAAAAAAAAAAAAAAAAAAAAGAAAAAAGAAAAAAAGATGATCACCATTGTAAGTTTTTTTTTTTCCTCTTTCTTCATGAGACTTTAATTAAATGAAATAGGTCTTTTTAGACAAAGTCCTTTTCTCTTTTCCAGTTTTGCTAACTGTTTGCTTATTCTACACCAATTTTTCTCTGTATGCTTTCTGGATAAGGAGATTAAGTCCATACTGGATTTGCTGAGACTGACACCGAAGATACTGATGCCAATGACATTTCCTTAACCTCACTGCTCTCAGAGAGACCAACTAATCCCATTTGATCAGACACCTGATAGTGCTGGCCTTCCCAGGAAGCAGCAGCAAATGCTTGGATGTTTGCTGTTTGTTGTGAAGTCAGGCTCTGAGTGTTGGGATCTGTTCTAAACTCAAGAGCCTTATTTTCTTTTAAGGACAGTACAAGGCTGTTTATTGTTAATCCTGTCAGAGGGCTCCCTTTGAATTAATAGAGGATGGCTCATCAACAATTCAGATAAGGCACAGCCAGGTCTTCCTTCGGTTCTCAAGTGAGTTAGGGGGAAAGCAGACCATATTTAAAGATTCCCACACCTGCTTCTCCCCACACACACCCTCAGCCAATACACACAATCTCAGGAGTTGCCAGAGGAGAAAGACTAGGATGGAAGCTGATCTTGGATCTCCTCCCTTAATTACAAATTCTCTTCCACCTTTGCATGATTAGATGTTACAGATGACTGGGTCTTTGGAGCCAAGTGATTTTCCTATTTATTTATTTGAGATGGAGTCTCGCTCTATTGCCCAAGCTGGAGTGCAGTGGCATGATCTCGGCTCAATGCAAGCTCTGCCTCCCAGGTTCACGCCATTCTCCTGCCTCAGCCTCCCGAGCAGGTGGGACTACAGGTGCCCGCCACCACGCCCAGCTAATTTTTTTGTATTTTTTAGTGGAGACGGGGTTTCACCATGTTAACCAGGATGGTCTCGATCTCCTGACCTTGTGATACACCCACTTTGGCCTCCCAAAGTGCTGGGATTACAGGTGTGAGCCACTGGACCCAGTCAGAGCCCAGTGATTTTCAATATACGCTTTAAAAATTTTTTTAATTTAAATTGTGGTAAAATATACGTAACATAAAACTTCCATTGTAACCATTTTTAAGTGCACAGTTCAGCAGCATTAAGTACACAGCATTCTGCAATCAGTCTCCAAACTCCTTTTATCTTGAAAAGTGAAAAACTTTATAGCCATTAGCTACGCCTATGCCCCTTTCCTCCCAGCCCAGGACAACCACCATCCTACTTTTGTCTCCGAATCTGACTACTATAGATATTATAGATACCTGTGTTAAGTGCAATCATAGTATTTGTCTTTTTGTGACTGGCTTATTTCACTCAGCATTTTATTATTTTTTTCTTTTTTGTGGTGGGAGGAGACAGGATTTCACTCTGCCGCCCAGGCTGGAATGCAGTGGCGCGATCTTGGCTCACTGCAACCTCCGCCTCCCGAGTCCACGTGATTCTCCTGCCTCTTACTTCCAAGTAGCTGGGATTACAGGTGCACATCACCACACCCAGCTAATTTTTGTATATTAGTAGAGATGGCATTTCACCATGTTGGCTAGGCAGGTGTTGAACTCTTGACCTCAGATGATGTGCCTGCCTCAGCCTCCCAAAGTGCTGGGATTACAGGCGTGAGCCACTGCGCCTGGCCAGCATAATGTCTTAAGGTTCATTCATGCTGTAGCATGCATCAAAATTTCCTCCCTTTTTAAGGCTGAGGAATGTTCCAGTGTATGGATGTACCACATTCTGTTTATCCATTCATCTGTTGGACTCGGCTTGCCTCCACCTTTTGGCTACTGTGAATAATGCTGCTATGAATATCCATGTACAAATACCTCTTGAGAACCTGCTTTTCATTATTTTGGGTATATACCCAGAAGTGGAACTGCTGGATCATACGTTAACTGTATTAACTTTCTGAGGAAATGATGAGCTGCTTTCATTGTGGTTGTATGAATTCACATTCCCATCAACAATGTACAAGAGTTCCCATATCTTCACATCCTTGCCAAGACCGGCTATTTTCTGATTTTTTTTGATAGTAGCCATTTTAATGAGTATTCCATATATGCTTTTTAAATATATATTTTTTCAGGCTACATTTCAGAGTTTCCATAATTCCATAAAAAATAAGAAATTTGGGGGCACTAAAGATTGACATAGTAAATGCCTAATTCCTGTAGAAATTAGTTAGAAAAAGAGTTCTGCTACAAAAAAAAGGACACCACTGATTTTGACCAAGAAACTATTTGTTTGACATGAGAACAAACATAATTAAAATGGAAGAAAATTACCAGTTATGGGACCTCTACTTTGTGCAGGCTCTATGAAACATGCCTCATCTCATTTCATCTCCATAACAACACATGAAATAGATGCTATTAATGTCAGTTCACAGAGGAGCAAAGTGAAGCTGGAATGGGTTACAGGTAACATGGCTAGAAAATACCAGAGCTGAGGTTTGACCCTGAGCTGTCTGATTCCCAAAGCTGTGCTCTTTCCTGTGGGTCACAGAAGAGAAAATATATCCTGATAGTGAGTCTCTTCCTAACTTGGGCAAACATTAGCTCCAGCTCTGAATCCAAGTAGCATAGTCTCTATACAGAAAATGTTGCCGAGAAACAATTTCCAGCCAAAAGGAAACAGCATATTCAGTGACAGCAAAAATAGTTAATGTCTAAAAGAGTGGCTAGTTCAACTCTTTCATTTTAAATAAGAACTCATGGTTTTTCTTTATATTTCTTTAAAGATGTCACTATCAAAGCTCAATCAAAAGTAGCCTGCTATCTGTTTTACAGTAAAGAAAGCCCCTCCCAGCTAGAAAGATCTATGAGTAGAGAGATATATATAGCAGTTGAATGGAAAGGGGCATTTAAAACTCAATTGTGGAGGAATCAATTACTTACTCTACTTTGAGGAAAGTTATTTTAACATTTGAAACAATTTAGAATATGTTGATCTAATGATATTAGATTTCCTGAAATGTTTCTAATGAATTTTATAACTTCAATTAAAAAGTCCATCCCCTTTTGTTTTAACATTCTGCCATCAAAAATTCTTAAAAAAGTAATGGGGATTTATATTACAAATTTTCTATACTCCTGTATCACTTCTGACAAACCTGGAACTAAATTAATTTCTGTTTTGAATATTTTTTCTTACCCCCGCAGAAAGTAAATCACTCTTGCAGGCTTCTGAGATATCAGTTAACTTGAAATTCTTAGTTTCTCAGGTATCTTGCCTTCACTTGATCTTTTAACAAATTAGATGCTGGAGTTTCAAACATGTCAAGAAATGAAAACAATGTCTTTGAAGTTTCTAAAGAAAGATGGTTTGGAAATACTAAAGTCAGTCTGTGCCAACAGCTTTATCTGTGGGCAGCACACATGTCCTAAGGAGCTGGAGCTACTCTTCTAGGTGCCATGAAGACCCCAGCTACCATCAGTGGCCGATACCCCATCCTCAACGAGAATGAGGCAATGAGGCTGCCCACTGAGCACCGTGCTGACTCTCCCCACAACCCAGCATGCCCCACCAGCTCCACAGGTCACGCACTGAGGCGTACCAAAATGTGTTAGAAGGTCTGGATTCACACCTGTGTTCTGCCACTTTATTCTTAGTAGGGCCCAAGACAAATGGGGGCCTCACTGACTTATCTATAAAATTGTATATTTTTTGTGAATTTCATATGATGGACTATACCTAAATGTGTTTTGTAAGATGTAAGACATAAAATAAATTCAAGGCTATATTAAGGGGTTATCAACACAAAAATAATTGTTACAAGTAAATGATTTTTAAAGACTTCCATGACTCAACTTTGGGCAATTTATATAGAGAAACATTTTCATAACATAGCATTGGTCAATATTTTCTAATCTTGCCTGATCAGAAGAATCACCTGAGGAACTTGTTAAAAACACAGATTGCAAGTCCCCAGTGCAGAGTTAATGATTCAGAATCTATGGGAAAATGTGGCTGAGACAAACTGGGAAAAACCAGTTGAGAGGTCTTGACTTAGAAACTGTTAGAACATTTGCTTTTATTTATTTTTTTCTTTTTTTGAGATGGAGTCTCGCTCTGTCGCCCAGGCTGGAGTGCAGTGGCACAATCTCGGCTCACTGCAAGCTCTGCCTCCCAGGTTCAAGCAATTCTCCTGCCTCAGCCTCCCCAGTAGCTGGGACTACAGGTGCCTGCCACCACGCCCAGCTAATTTTTTTGTATTTTTAGTAGAGACGGAGTTTCACCATGTTAGCCAGGATGGTCTCGATCTCCTGACCTTGTGATCTGCCCTCCTTGGCCTCCCAAAGTTCTGGGATTACGGGCATGAGCCACCGCACCCGGCCTGCTTTTATATTTTAAACTAAGGGGACCTCACTCCTTTTAGAGACAAGCCTGCCTTATATTTCTTACCAGGAAATATATATCATATGCTTTTGTCATAAGATCATCAAGTTTCTAAATGTCCAGAGTCCATTTCAAAGCCCGATTATTTAGGGATTCAAAAATGTATTTAATTTATCTCACAAGCCTGGCCCAGGTAGAGACCAAATCACCAGCCAGAACACAAGAGGCTGCTGTCAATTCTGGTTTTCTTGTGATGATATTGGATTACGTCAAAGCCCAAACACACATTGCCTTTGATGTTACAATATTATGAACTACACAGTTTTTTATTGTCTTTACTGTATCTTAGCACTAGCTCCACTAGTTTGTGTGGCTTTGTACAAGTTATGGAACTTCTTGCTTCCTAGTATAAAATGGAAATCATATCCACACCTCATGAAATTATGAATAATAAATGAAATACTTGCTACTGTACCTGGCACCCAGTGATACATGAAAGCTATTAACTAAATTAGTTTGAATTTTGTGTTGTTTTTTCCACCTCGTATTTCAAAGTCTTAGCAGTGGGAGCTGAACAGAGCCTCAGGGTCTTCTGACCAACCGCTCTCTGGGGTGCATTGCTGGGGGATGCTAGACACTTTCTGAGGAGCATCTCAGACCAACCATGGATTTCTGGGCCCTTCCTTCCCATCCTGGGACACCTCACTGCTCCATTTCTTGGCTGTAAAGAGATGTTCAATCCAGCATGTCTGATGGGTGCATCACTGGCCTTTCGGTTGGGACACTGTTATTCGTGTGAGACTGACCCATGCATTGAAGGAGCCTAAGCCATCCTGGGCCTCTCCCATTACATGCCAACCACCACTGTGACAACCAAAAATTCCTCTACAAATTTTCAAATCTTTTAAGGCAGATGATGCTCCTTTTCCCTCCACTGAAAACCAGTGGCTCTGGCCAGACTCCACAGAGGTCATCAGCAAGTAGAAGTGCATCATACTAGGGGGCAACATGCTGCCCCTGTCGGTACTTTTCTTTCTGTGACTGGAGTCAGCCACAGCTTGTAACTTCAGTTTCCTGATTTCCCCTTCATATGTGTCATAATTCACCTTATACACTACTGCCATCATTCTATCCACTTAAAGACCTGCAATAAGTAACTCCCTCTACCTGCAGGATCAAGGCCAGTGCCTACAGCCCAGGCTGGTATTCACTGAGCCCCTTCCCCACCGGGCTGGACTCTCATAATTCATCTTCAGTCTCATTTCACACCTGCATCTGGGCTTCAGCCTCCTTTTCTTGGAGCTGATCCCCATTTCTATATTTCCATCACAGTCTAGCTTTGCAACTTTTTCCTACCAATTATCTGGTCCATGCTGATCTTCTATCTGAATTTATTTTCTTAGAACTTCTTGCTTAAGTTTGGAAGAGGGCCAATAAATGATCGTGCCTGTGTCCAAAGGGGCTGACACCTGTGCAATCCTTCAGTTCTATGAACCCTAACCTCTACACTCTAGGTACCCCTTTGCCCTTTCTGTATATTCTTCAAACCACCAGAGGAAGAAGAGCAATGTTTTTTTCACTGCTGTGGAAGAACTGCAGTGCTCAAGGAGGGGACCAGGATTCATCTGAGCAGATCCAAATGCACTGTCTGATGACAGGGAGTGTGGACAACGTGCTGGAACATTTAGCAGAGCATCAGTCTGGGGCATGGCAGCCCCTAGCTGTTATTTTCACTGAATGGGGGAAATAAAAATTCTACAGCTAATGAATAATTCTCTTTTAAAGTGCAAATGAATAAAGTGAGTTTTGCCAACTCCTACCTTAATAGAACTTCATTTCACACAATTTCAAAATAGGATTTTTTTCGGGTCATTTAAAAATGTTCTCAGAGCAACAATTCTAGAGCAGCACCCCAGGCGGCAGGGCACATATTCAAGGAGAAAAAGTGAAAAACCTTCCAATTTCCATGATTTCTTTTATTGGCTCTCTTATTGTCTCAGTGTCATTAATTAACAGTTTCTTATTTCTCATTTATTATTTCTTATTTCTTATTATGAGACTTTCTCATGCTGACAAATAGCACCACAAACAACATAATTCATTCTGAGAAGCCACATTCCTGACTACTTCTGGATGTACTTTAGAGGGCTACCTTGGTGCCATCGACCTGACCTGCGTCATGCTTTACAGGGGAACGTGACTTGCAGTGACAGCGTCCCCTCCTGGATGCAAGCAGTGACAACCATCACCATGTCTTGAGCCCTTGCCCATGTCTTGTGGGCCAGGCACTGTGTTAAGCAATTTCTGTGGATTATTTCATTCAATCATCACATTGATAGCATTAGGTTCTACCATTGGACCCATTATATGGATGATTAGGCTGAAACATAAATAACTACTCAAGAGCACCAGGATAAGCTGCAAGGCCAGTGTGGGACTCCAGCATTCTGACAGTGCGGTTTACTTTGCCACTGTCCCATATGTACTCTATTGTGAAAGGGGGAGGGAAGCTGAAGACTACCTCCATTGCTGTCAGACAAGGTGGTTGGGCAGAGGACAAGGGCTTGGGGTTGGCTGATGTCTCTCTCATTTGGCTAAAATAACTGTAGGCCAGGTGATGAAGGGACTTGCCCTGGACCACATTAGTGATTGATGATACAGCCAAGATAAGAGTCCAGAGTCCAGCACGTATTCCTCCCCTCACTCCACTGTCACTTAGAAATGGCACCTCTGTAGGTGAGGAACATAGATCCCACTCCACACGGGAAGATGTCAATGAATTCAAGTATATAAATGGACATCAGATAAAAATACTCCTTTAAAAAATGTATGTAAGAGATTCTCCTTTGATGTGGCATTCAGGAAAAGGCAGAAATGAGATTGCACAGCATAATTATAAGAGCAAATCTATGTAAACATGCATCTCCTCCATTCTGTCACCTTACAAAAACTTACTGGTTTTGTTCCTCCTGAAATGTTAATATCACCATGGCAACAAGAATATGTTTAATGCAATAGACACATGGCTACTTTCCCATAACTCATATTCCTTTGCTAAGGCTCTCAAATCCCCATTTTCATGGGGAGGTTTACATAACCCTTAAAAGAAAGAAAAGAAGTCTTTGTCTTTAATGCTGTTGAGCCTATACTAGGAGATAAACCTATTAAAAAATATGTACCAATAAAAAAGAAATGTATGTGTGTGTGGTCTCTGTTGGGATAAACATTCAAATGCCAAAAAAAGTCTGCTATAAGTGGTTTTTATTTTCTCACTTGTGATTTATTGTATTTTGTTTAAAGCATGATTTGTATAATAAGAGGAAAATATACAGTCATCCTATGGTATCCATGGGGATTGGTTACAAGACTCCTGAGGATGCCAAAACCCATGGATGCTCAAGTCCCTTATATAAATCAGCATTTGCACATAACCTACACACACTCTCTGTACACTTTAAATGATCTCTAGATTTATAATGACTAATACAATATAAAAGTCATGTAAATAGTTATTATACTATATTTTAAAATTTGTATTCTTTTTCTATGTTGTATTCTTTTTTATTGTTTTTTTTTTCCCCCCAAATATCTTCCATCCATGGTTGGTTAAAACCATGGATGTGAAATCTAAGAATGTGGAGAGCCGTTAGTATTTTAAACATATGTTTGCAAATGCATCACTACACAAACCAAAGTAGAGTCTCCAAAAGCCCTACACCCTTGTAAAACCATCAGGAGTTTGCCACACTCTTACTGGAGCCAGGCTCACCTCCTCTCCATGCTCCAGTAGCTGATGTCCTTTCTAGCATCTTCTGGTGGTCACTTGGGGCCTTCACAGCCCAGAGCCTGAGGCCCTGCTTAAAACACTCTTAATTTTGAACAAAGCTTGGCGATAGACTTTTAGCCTAGGCTTAGCCCAGTTAGCCTAGGCCTGTCTTCCAAGGTCATCTACAGAGCTGAATGCAAAGTCTCCTTGCTGCTCAAATAAACTTGCCCCTCTGCCTCTGACATTGGGTTTGGTGCACTGGTCTAAAATTCTATTAGTATCCTGTGAATTTTTCCATCTCCCTTAACGCAGCTGAGTTTAGTTTGGAAAGCAGCTCCTAGACCAGGAGAGATTCAAGTTGAAGTAACAGGAATTTTGATAGGCTAGGGAGAGGAAAGCAGGTTTGTATAGGTGCTGGGTGACCAGGAGTGGTGGACAGGAAGGCCAAGAAGTGATTTATTCATTCATTTTTGAATTCAATAAATATATACTGAGTCCCTCCCAGCACCAGGTACTGGGCTATACTCCAGGGATTCCAAAATGTGTAAGATGACACAGGTCTGTTCTTGGGGAATTCAAAATCTGCATGTGAGATGAAAAACAGGATGTGGGAGAGAGCTATATTTTATTACATTTTTACTTTAGCCCTCATAGGATTGTTATGACAATAAGTGTAAAATGCCTAATAAAGAAGCTGGATAATAAATTATAACTTAAAAAATCATTATTACTATAAATATCACCTGCAGAAGTAAAGAAGGGAATGGACATTTACTGAGCACTTATTTCGTAGCAGGCAGAATTGTTGATGTTTTTACATTCATTGCCTTCTAGGTGAATGAAATGCAGCTGAACATTTTGGTGACTCTATTAATATGTCAAGGAAGGTAAATAGAAAAAAGGCTATCAGGCAGCAAAAACAAATCATCCTCTGAAAGACTGAGAGAATTAAGTTCATGTTAAAGTCACTTGCACAGAGCCAGGCACATGGTAAGCACCTGGGGACCAAAGGAAAACCTAGAGACAGAGGATGACTAGGGCATCTCAACTTTCCAGGGGCTTAGATAGCAAATAGAGTGTGCAAAATGGACAATAGCAGATAAATAAAATTATATTTGAGGCCTAATGTGAGTGGAAGTACAGGCTGTGATGCTCACCTATGGGGTCAGGGACTAACCATCTTCCTTGAGGGAAATGTTGCATTTTCAGATCATTATGACATTGAAGGGAAGGAAGGCCTAAGATGGATGGTGTCATGGCTTCATTCAAAATAACTTTCTATGATGATGGACATGCGATATATCTGTGCCATTTAATAAGACAGTAGCCACTAGCTATTGAGCACTTAAAATGCTCTTGAGAATAAAAAAAAATTTATTTAAATCAAAGCTAGTTCCCCAGGTTAGTGGCTACTGAAGTAACATAGCCCAGGTGTAGAGAAAACAGACTTTCCTTCCTCACTGGGGCCCAGAGGTGGTTAAGAGGCCTGGACTCTGGCTAGGAGAGATCTGGTAAAGGGGTTCCCACTTGGGGGAAATGAGATAGACTCTGCAACACAGTGGTCTCCGGGGGCTCAGAAGGGGTCACCAGACGAACTCCAAGGAAGGGGGCACAGCCTGTGGTCTTTGGGGACACTGTTACAGAGGACCTATCCTTCAGCTTTGCCTTTCTGCTTTCAACTCCTTTCATCAATTCCTGAGTTTTTAGAAAAGTCCTATTCAGCATTATAGCCTAGATGCAGCTATGCTTTGGGGACTTACGGGAGAAATTGTATTATATGGTTTGGCACCTTGGTGCCTGAACAAATTGGTAGTGTAGGGACTAATAAAGTACTAAGTATTCACACATTAGTAACAAGTACTAATGGTAGAGTAGGTAACTCAAGTCTGAACCTTCAGGTCCAGCTTATAGTAGATGCTCTATAAATATTGCTAAATTGGATTGAATTTAGAAAAGAAATCCCCCAGATAATGCTCATCCATGGATACTGTTTTGCTCATGCATGTGCTAAGCCATGTTGGCCTCAGGTTTGGACAGAACATAATTCTTTTAAAAAAATAATCTCAACCTTTATATTCAGGAGGTATATGTGCAGGTTTGTTACGTGGGTATATTGCATGACACTGAAGTTTGGTGTACGAAAGATCTCATCACCTAGGTTGTGAGCATAGTACCCAATAGGTAGTTTTTCAACTCTGCCACAACAGTAGTCCCCAGTGTCTATTGTTGTCATCTTTATGTCCATGAGTACCCCACATTTAGCTCCCACTAGTAAATGAGAATACGTAGTACTTGGTTTCCTGTTCCTGCATTAATTTGCTTGGGATAATGGCCTCCAGCTGCATCCATGTTGCTGCAAAAAACATGACTTTGTTCCTTTCTCATGGCTGTGTGGTACTCCATAGTATATATGTACCACATTTTCTTCATCCAGTCCACTGTTGATGGGCACCTAGGTTGATTCTGTGTCTTTGCTATCATAAATAGTGCTTCAATGAACATGTGAACACGTATTTTTTGGCAAGACAATTTATTTTCTTCTGAATACATATTCAGTAATGGGATTGCTGGGTTGAATGGTAGTTTAAGTTCTTTGAGAAATCTCCAAACTGCTTTCCAATTTGTGGCTGAACTAATTTACGTTCCTACCAACAGTATATAAGTGCAGAAGAGAAGTCTAATCCTTTTATTTTTCCACCAACAGGCTTAGTAGTTCAAGTATCTAAAAACATTGCTCTCATTTTATCCAAACATTAAAATATCTTAAATAAAGTAACCCTTTGTATGATTTAGTAGGGTTCTGAATGTGGTCCAATATCGATCAAAACCTTGTATAAAATACCCAATATTTGAAAAAGGCAGCCCAATGGACATGTTAACCAGTCACTGATCTGTGCCATACATGCCAAGTTCTTTCCTACACAACTAGATCATCATAAAGTTAAGTAGCTGGGCCACAGTCTCTCAGCTTCTCTGGGCAAGGTGCCTTCACAGATGGAGTTATAGCAGTCATAGGCAGTAGGAAGTAGAATTGAGCCTTTTGAAGTATAGTAACTAAAGATATTGCTAACTATTTAATTCTCTGTTCTTAAGGATTCATATGATAAAAATAATGTTTGAGTTATTTCACACAAAAATTGTCTCTATAGGTAACTACAGGATTTCAGTTGTCAAAAGTGGAAACTCTATTATCCATGCTTCCCTTTCCACTATATATATCAAAGCTTTTAAGGCCTATATTTATTTTCCATTGTATTTACTGGCTCATTCCTGCTGCTTGGTAACATTTACTTTTTTGGTTCCGCCCTTCACGTCTGTATATTTTAATCTGTAAACCACCCGAAATCTTTTTGGAAACAAATGAGGTATAGAATCCAAACACATAAATCCCTAATCCTTTCAGAGATCAAAACAGAAAGTGCTAAATGGCAAGACTAACAGAAGAATGCTTTATTCAATTATCTTCTCAAAATGGGAAGTTGAATAATAATTTACAAGAGAAAGGCCAATGACAAGAGTGAAGATTAGATTAGGTGGTCCATTGTATTTGATGAAAAAATTCAGCCAGCAAAGTATTAATCTATCTTATTCAATCAATAAAGGGAACTTTGCAGGCAACCACATAATACAATTTGGCCTTTTGTTACTCTAGTGCACAAATGCTCCTTACTGGAATGACAATCAGTACTAGCTCTAGTATGTTTTAGTTACATTCTCTTTCCCAAGAGAGCTAGAATGATTTGCAAAGAGAGCAAGGGTCATGCATAAATTCAGACAGTGTCAGTGCCATCTCAGCAGACTCAGTTCAAAGAATGAAGAATGCTGACGCTGCATTGCAGCATTCAGCAGCTACTACATTAACTCCCTGCAGCAGACCCATGAGCCTGAATAGATCTCCAAGGATAATCCAAAAGGAAATATTGACGATGTCAGACAGGATATCTTACATATACCTAGTAAAATTACAATGCAAACATCATAATAAAAATTGAAGGAAAGGTGTTATTGAAACAGTTAAGTATGCTATAAATCAGTTACCGGAACTGCTACTCAGAAGTATACATTCACCACTGACTGGGACCTGCTTTACTGCTGCATGAATTAGTTGGCACTACAAATGAATACAGAAAGCAATTCCTTCTATTGTTTACTCCCTTCAGTCACATCGCCTTTGTTTCTACCTATTATCTGCTTTGGAAAGGAACATCTATTGCATGCAGGAAAGATTCCAGAAGTGTTGTCATTCTTCCTCTTCCCCAGCTCTCTTTGCTAGCAGGTGGTCACTCTCTGGGACATTCCCTCAGTCTACAGTGCTATAAAGAACTGCAAGACTTTATCTGTCATACTTCTTTCTTCACTGATTTAAATCTTCCACTCCCTACTGTATTTTGTCACAGGCAGAAAACAGAAATTGCAGCCCCCCAAGACAAAGGGTGCTGCTGTTTTTTAATCTACTTCTAACCACCTCATCAATACCTCTCTCCAAACCTAGCTCTGAAGCATATGATTTATGGTTACAATTTGCAGCCAATTCTTAGCAAATGAGGCTTAATAATGCTCCCTTTATTGCTCTGACTGGATACAATTTGATCCTGTCTGCATTCAGGGGCCTCTTACTTTCACCTGCTATTTCTGTTACCTTCTTGAGAGAACTATGACCTAGAAAGACTCCTTGGAAGCTGGGAAGGGAGAAGCCTCTGTAATATGAAAGTGGAGATGCTAGATTATTATACAACAAAATTGCTACAGATGTGGGACCTCAAATGGATTGCTTGAGGCAGCTGGCAGTTGCCTCAGTTTAAGCTCTTTAAAAAGAGTTCTCAGGTACCCTAAAGCCAGTCATCAATCACCCACTGCAGAGAGAAGCATAGCTCATTTGGGAATATGCAACAGCCCAAGCCTCCTATTAAATAAAATCAAATTCCACCACAGCCTTCAGCTCAGAATGCTATTAGACCTCATTAATTAGGAAAGACTGGGAAAAATGCATTTCTGAATCAGTGAAAAGTCTGAATTTTAACATATTTTAAACAAAAGCACAGTGTAAGTATTTTAAATCATATATGGTAACTCAGGAAGGTTAACAACGTGGGTCTGATGTCTCCACTGATTTTTAATCAATAAATAAGCATCTTTTGTCATTACCACAGTCATTGTTTTAATGCAAATGAACACTTTAGAATCACTTGGAAAAGTCTGAATATACTGTAATATGTCCTCTTAAATTGCTTAAACATTTCTCTAATCCTCTTGTTTTTAGCAACATCAGAAAATTTCTGAACAAAGGCACAAAGACAAACTTCAAACACCACCCTGACATAAATTTTCTGAATGTCCTAATTAGAAGATGTAACTTAATGAGGTTTTATTATGCTATGAATTACAGAAATAAAACCAGAAGAATGCATCTTGAAATGAACTTCAGCTTCAACACTGACATACCCTGTTTATACTTGACTTAAAGAAGGGCTTAGCTTTGTCCTTCAAAGTGTCAAACTAGGCCTTGGATCTGCCACATCAAGGATGTAGTTAACACAATAAGAAAAATTGTGAATAAAACTGACTGACGCTCTCCAGTCATTTAAACTGATGAAGGCTTTCGGCAAGCTCATGACAACAGGATAGGAAATAGCTTTTCTATTAGTACAATCTCAGCCCTTATTAATTTTTATAGAACTAACAAATTATAAGAGGGAAAGTAAAATAAACCCCTTTAAGTTACCTAGGGGAGAGAATAGTGGTTAAGAGCTTTGGGGCTGAAATCCTGCCTCTTCCAACCTGCTAGCACTGTGATCCTAAAGCAGCTACTTCTTATCTCTAAACCTAGGTTTCTTCTTCTGTAAAATAAGGATAAACTGTACCTTTCCTTATATTAGTATACGTGAGATAAAATGCATAGCCTGGCATCTTACAGTCAGGAAAGACTTCAGAAATGATATTATTTTTACTGCTGATGCAACTACCACTGTACTGCTGTTGCTAGCATTATACACTATCTCCCTATCTAATCTAGTTTCATTTCTCTTCTAAGAAGTGAGGGTTCAGCAAAAAATAAGACTTCAAATGCTACGTTCAAAATAACAGTGCTGCTTGATATTGTGTAGATGTATGTCCCCACCCAAATCTCACGTTGAAACGTAGTGTCCCATGTTGGAGGTGCAGTCTGGTGGGAGGTGATTGGATCATGGGGAAGGACTTCTCATGAATGGTTTAGCACCATCTGCTTGGTGCTGTCCTTGTGATAGTGAGGGAGTTCTCATGAGACCTGGTCATTTAAAAGTGTACAGCACCACTCTTCTTGCTCTCTTGCTCCTGCTCTGGCCATGTGATGTGCCTGTCCCTGCTTCGCCTCCTGCCATTATTCTTAAGTTTCCTGAGGCCTCCCCAGGAGCCGAGCTGGTGCCAGTATCATGCTTCCTGTACAGCCCGCAGAACCAGGAGCCAACTGAACCTCTATTCTTTATGAATTACCCAATCTCAGACACCTCTTTATAGCAATGTGAAAACAGACTAATACACTACTGCCGCTGCTGTTAGTGATGATACTACATCAGGCACCGGCTGAGTGATTTACATATGCTATCTCTTTTAATTTTCAGTGACGCAGTGAGGGAGAGGTGATATTTTATAATTGTTTATTTAATTTCATAATTCATATTATCTCATCTTATAAATGAGGAAACTGACAGACACAGGGAAAAAAGTGAAAGCCAAAATTTGAACCTAAGGAGTCTCAGAGTCCAGGATTTCAGCCACTACTTCATCCTGCCTCCAGCTTCACTTGTACTTCCAACAGTGTTTCTGATGGTCAAGCTGAACACCAGTTTTTAAATTGAGAGCAGTGCTACTATGTTTGGATGTCCAACCTGCTGTGCAGTGGGCCATATGACATTGTAATTCCTTTCTTCAATGGATATGAGCTTACTCAGGTTACACCAACTTGTTACTCATTATGAAAGTTTGTAGGGGACAGAAGATAAAGGCAAAAGATGGTCTCATTATTTGGATTCTGTAGTTTAGGCCTCACCCAGGTATTCCAGAACATTCCCATTGTAAGGTCAAGACCCTGATCTCTAGAGCACTGAGTGCCATCTGACCAATTTCTAAGGGTTTCAGAAATTTTAACTTAGGGAACTATTTGTTGTCCCCAGCCACGATTCCTTGAATCACATCTTCTATATATGCATTTATAGATTTATTTATCATCCATCCCAGCTAGCATTCCTGATCTTGGTTTACCTCTCCTGCTAGGAAACAGGCACACCTATGTAAAATCAAGAACATACACTAGGATGAGTAGAAATCATAGCCTTCACTGACTGGAAGGACTCTTGGAGAAAATTTGTCCCAACATCCTCATGTTGGGGAAAGAGAGTATAAAATAGTTGCAAATGCTTTAAAGGTATTACACATTGCTGTGCTCTTACCCTTGCGGTGAAATCCACAGCAGCCGCTCGGTTTAACAGCAACGTGGCTACATTGATATTTCCATAGTGAGCAGCTATGTGGAGCGGAGTGAAGCCACTCTGTAAAGAAAACATAGCAGACATTCAATTGATTCCTGCCAGCCCCCTGCCTGACAGGCAAATATCATAACCCTGCCCAAATAAAAATGAGGAAGCAAAATATGCTGAGGTCTATGTTCCATTCTGTACTAGGTTTCGATCAGTGCCAATTGCTCACAGGGTTTCTAATAAACCCCAAACTTACAGGCAGAAGAATAGCCAGGGAGGAACCAAGGGTGGAGACTGAGCAATTTTAGTAATCCAATAACAGAACTATATAAAAGCCAACATTTCAAGAAATTAAGATAGAGATGAGAAAAATCTTTATAGCTGATAGCTTGATTAGTGCCGCTGTTTTATTACTGACGATAGAATTGTGCATTGAAACTCAAAATTCAATTAGTTTATATATTTGATATAGATTCATATTACTGAACAGTAAATGCCAATTTTCATGACAAAAGCAGTTTTGGGGGGAAGACGTACTACCACAAAGTTGGTTTTATATAATGGGCAATTGTATTCCATGAAGAATCCACAAGTTAATCTCTTTGTTAGCCAATGCCTATTCAATAACACATGTTTTTGGATTGTTCATACCAAGGTCATTTTACTTCCTTAAAAAATGCTAAAACATGCAGCGATTCACTTAGTCCCCAAAGATTGAAACCTTATAGGAACTAGATGCATTTCTAATTTGTTAGCAAGCTTCTTAGCCATGCTAGCTATCTCACTGAGTCTTGTAGAAGGGTGGGTCATATTGACACCATTCTGAAATACCTTTCCTTTTGCTGACACCACAGAGGGTAAGTGTCATGCACAACCCTAAAAAACGAGTCCTGGATGAGTAGAATGACAGGGTTGTCTGCAGCTTTAGATATAGCTGATAAACATCTAAAGTGTCCAGACTCTTCATCTCACACAGCTCTATTGCAATACCCTTAAGAGTCAAGGATTCCTCATCTCTTTCAAACACCAGGTTCAGCTGCAGAAAGCCCTGGTAATCAAACTACTGCTATCTTATCTGGCACATGCTCCTTTGGGGAGAGGAGGGATTGGGGATAAAGCAGGTATCTAGCCTACAGAAGGCGATGCAAAGAAGAAGGGAGAGACATGAGGCAGCAGCACTAAGTCATGGGAAAATGATGATGCAGATATAGACTACACGTATATGCATATATATATATACCTCTGTTGTTCTATTCACCACCATCTAGGTTAACACATTTGGAAGCAAAGAGGAGGAAAAAATGAACGGTTAGTTCACTATTGGTGATATGGATTGCAGAAAGCTCATGACAGCTAAGTAATGAGGATGGAAGCTCTGATGAAAGCACAATAGGCACAGAAAGAAAGCTAGACTGAATGATGGGCTACGCAACGGCCTAGTCCAAATGTCACATTTCCGTCACAGAGACTTTCAGGTACCACATGTCAAGACGATGGGAATTTTTGGCTGCGGCTCTCTTGCTGCTGGCATGCTTTCCGCAGCTGATCTACGCTCAGTGCCTGGCCTGTCATCTTGGGTATCAACCAGAGGTTTGTTTGTGTACACTGTCTTCAGTATTTTGTAATTTTTCGCCCTGATGTTTGAGCTGAACTGTTGAATATATTCCAAAACTATATTCAAAGGAAAGAAATGATCACTGCATAGAAATTGATTTCTTCTGAGGTGGCCTCCCTTTTAGCACGCATAGGGCCGCATTCCCCTCACCCCCCAACTTCTCATGTGAAGGGAGGCTGTGCCTTCAGTGGCTAGCTCAGACACACATTGTTCCTCCCTTCAATGAAGTTAAAGGCATGGCATAAGCTTGCGAAGAGGGAGACCGGGTGCTCTTAAAGGTTGTGTGTCTAACACCGGAGAGTTGCATGACAGGCCCGTGTCCCTCGTGCCTCACCTTTGATTCCACATCTGCATTGTTGTCATTCTGCAGCAGCAGGGCGGCGGCTTTCGTGTCGTCTTTTCGGGCCGCGATATGAAGAGCTGGGAGACGCACTTTTCCTTTGGTGTCATTCTCTAGCAGGAGCGAAACGACTTGGTCGTGACCTTGTTGCAAAGCCACTGCCAATGGTGTGAAGCCATCCTGCAAATAAATGGATGGGTCAAGATGGGCTCCAATGAATATTTTCTTTTTTATTAAATTAACAAATAAGAAGGCAACCAAGTGACCAAGCATCAATTTTTGTTTGGGATTATTAAAACTAACAACATATTTGAATGGACAGAAATGTGAAAGATATTTTCAAAAAAAATTTATCTATACAAAGTAAAAAATACTAAGAAATTTGTAATAAGTTCATGGGTTTTGGTTTTCTTTTCCATTAAAAATTAATATACATTAATTGGGAAAATTTTGAAAGTGTACAAAAATACTACATATAAAAGAAAAAGTTGCTATAATATCAATATTCATAAAATAATCTCAGGGCCAGGTGCGGTGGCTCATGCCTGTAATCTCAGCACTTTGGGAGGCAGAGGCGGCCAGATTGCCAGAGGTCAGGAGTTCGAGACCAGCATGATCAACATTGTGAAACCCCGTCTCTACTAAAAATACAAAAATTGGCCGAGGGTGGTGGATGCCTGTAGTCTCAGCTATTTGGGAGGCTGAGACAGAGGAATAGCTTGAATCTGGGAGGTGGAGACTGCAGTGAGCCAAGACCATGCCATTTCACCTGTGTGACAGAGCAAGACTCTGTCAAAAAAAAAAAAGAAAAAAAAAAATCTCAGGCTAAATCCAGGCAAAGTTTTCAAAGGAGATCATTTAAATAAGATGTAAACATTTCCACTGATTTTTAAAAACTGAGATGTATGTCTGTCTGGTTCATTACTGTGCCCTGTTGCCTCGCATATTCCTGGTGCTGTCAGGATAGGTGAATTCATGAACTGTACTCATTGTTGCTTTATGAAAGATCTATAGAGGCTAAGGTCTCTAGAGCTAAGAGAAAGACTCTTGGCTTCTGTGACCATTGAGAGAAGACAACACAAAGATCATGCAAAACATGACTCTATATATTTATTCTGGTTATTGTCTTTTTTCTTTTTAAATTTTATTTTAAATTAAAAATTATAAATATTTATAGGGGTACAAGTGATATTATGACTTATGAATACAATGTGGACAAATCCAGCTAAGTAACATCTTCATTACCACACTTATTTTTTTGTGGTGAGAACATTTGAACTTTATTGTCTTAGCAATTTTGATATGTACAATACATTATTACTAACTCTGTTAATCAAGTTGTGCAATAAATTTCAAAAAAAGCAAAATAAAAACAAAAACTTATCCCTCCTCATTGACCATTACCTCCTGTCTCCCCATTACTCCCAGTTCCTAGCCTCTGGTAACCACCATGTTCCTCTCTGCTTCTAAGAATTTGATTAAAACACGACTTTAGAATAAATTCAGACATAAGTGCACACATACATACTCTATACATTTTGACTCTCCCCTTTGTGTTGCCCTGGGACTTGATAAAGGGGACACAGCTACAGATTTCACTGCAGTGAAATTAACTTGTGGATTACCTAGAGTTGTTGAATGTAGAAAAAACAGCACAGGGTAGAAAAATCCTAGGACTGGCTCACAAATTGTAATTCTGCAAAGGTTTCATTATTATATACTCAAAAGGGCATTTTTTTTTTAACTAGAGAACTGGCATGCAAGTTACTTATTATTTTATTTGGGTCATGATATTTTATTTCTGTAGTCCCATGGTAAAGAAAAGCATTTGGAAAACACATAGGAGCACATATGCACCAAGGTCTTCCTAAAACATCCCTTTCAACATTCCTTCCCTTGCTAGCATATGGAGAAAGGCTCTCATAATTCATCTGACTGAATGCAAATCAGCATACTTATATCCAAGATGTGCAAAACATTGACCCAAAGCACTTAAGGGACATTATTGCTCAGTACTGTCCCCTATAAAGTCCTTTCTGCCAGTGTCTGTACTGATTATGCACGTACAGACTTCACTCTCCTCTGACACCTGTACTCATGCTATTTCCCCCACCCTGAAATGCCCTCTTCTTTTCTCTATGTATACAAATCCCCTCTACCCTCCATGCTTCAAGATCTGGCTTAAATGCCACCTGTTTCTTTTAACTTTACTACCAAAGACAGCAGGAAAAAGGAAAACAATAACATAACCAAAACAACTAGAAGGTTATTCCCTGAAGCCTTAAGAAAGATAACAAACAGGGAAAGACTAGATACATCCAAGATGTCACAAAAACGATATCATAGGTTTACACTTAAAGACAGGAACTTTAGGATATAACAAGAAAAGTAGTCTACATGTCAATGTAAATATATATTTTCATTTTCATAAAGGTACATACATGTATCTAATGTGTACATGTGCAAGCAATCGGGTAAAATGTTATCTCTAGGGAAAATTAACAGAGATTTCTTGCTTCTTATTGTACTTTCTCATTTATGTAATGTATTACTTTTGCAAAAAAAAGAAAATATGCATTGTTTAAATAAGAGTGTGGCAAAAGGAAAATTGTGTTTTGAGATTTAATTTTGCATCTCACTTAAAAAACCTGAACAAAAGCTAAGGGGTAAAAATGACAGTCCACTTCTGCTCTGAAACCAAACAAAATGGCTACATTTCCACTGATGAGAATTTTAAAATTCACAGGACCTATACATAAAGGAAACTACTTTGTACCAGAAAATAAACTGCAACTGAGCCGATTAGCAGTGACAAGAATATGTTTCCTGCATAAGCCAATTAAAGACACAAAGATACCAGCTCTAAGGTGTTAATAGCTAAAATTAGCAGCTCCAGATTTTGTTTCAAAACCAAGTTTAAATGGTGTGGTTTGCTTTGTGCAGTTATTCTTCAGAGAAAAATGAGCAGAAAGGAAATGTGATAGAGGCTACTGGAAAAAAGGTCCATCCCCTGGTTGCTCAAGGATATCCAGTACCTTATGAAGTGTCTGAAACATAATAGGTGCTTAATAATTACTCATGGAATAAACGAACAAACAAATATACTGTGTGCTTCAGAATCGTAATTAGCAAAAGGAAGATTATATATAGAGAGAAAAGATATGAGATGCAGTACACAGTAATACAAAAACGTTTTAAAAACCACAATTATACTTAAGTCTTGCTACATATATACAAGATTTGAAGTGTGCCAGGCTTACTGAAAAAAATACATTTGAAAGAATTTGGCAATATCCCATCGTGTAGTGAATTAAAGATTCTATTAAAAACTTGCTATTTAAAGGATCCTTTAATTGCCCCCTACTGTTTGTTCTGTAAATACAGACTTCTCTATAAATAACACCAATATTATTGCTAATGAGAGAGCAATACAGTAATTAGAATATCATTTGAATAAAATGTCTTATTTCCTGTTGTTGTTCTTATTCTCCAATTCCAATAATCCAAAAGAAGAGAAAAAATTCAAAGGTTCAAACATCTCTAGGTAATTAGATGTTGTTTATATAGCAATATAACAGCAACCTCCCTGAAGACATGAACGTGACTTAATAGACACCATGTTTCTTGTTTTTTCCCTTAAAACTACAAAAATAACATGAAATTAAATCAATGTAAAAGAGTAAAAACTTTAAAATATATATCCTTTGCTAAAAGACTGAAGTAGTGATTTGAAGATCTCACGTACTATTTTTCTTTAAGTTAGCTGTAGGGCTTCTTTTGGGGCCTTGAAAACTTTAAAAAGTACTAGAGAGCTCTGAGAGTTACTGGTAATTGGTTTACAATCTAATTCTAATCTATTAGCAGTAAATTGGGGTTATGTTTGCTTCTAAAGGAGAGATACTTAGTGATCCGTACATCACAGTGTGAAAAAAGAGTCCTACGCCATCTTCACAAAGAAAGCTATGGAATCACTTTCATTAGGTTATTTACAGTACTTAATATTTCCATCCAAAAAATGAGGATGGGTTTTCTCTTAACCAACAGTCTCTGCCTGTCTCTATTTCCCCTGTCCGCTAGGACACAATGTGTGTATCGTAGTGTGCTTAGAATAGCTACTCTTGAGTGTGAAGAGAGGCACCGTTCTCTGCCTAGCAAGTTTGTTCTTTTTTGTTTGTTTAGAGACAGGGTCTCACTGTTGCCCAGGCTGGAGTGTAGCGACTACTCACAGGTGCAACCACAGAGCACTGTATCCTCAAACTTCTAGGCTCAAGTGCCTCCTGTCTCTACCTCCTGAGGGGCTGGGACTACCGGTGTGTGCCCTTGCACCCGGCTAAATGTTTGTTATTTTGATATCAACCAGTGGTTATTTCCTAACTAGCTTTAAGAATACTATTACAAAAATAGTACATTCTCATGATAAAAATTCCCCAAAGCACTGATGGGTATAAAATAAAAAAATATGTATAAAAATTCCCAACAGTACTGATGGGTACAAAGGCTCCCTCCGAATTCTCAGGGCAAACCACTGGTAACAATCTACTATGGACATTTTCCTATATCAGTACATAGAGCCTTGCCTCGTTTTTAACAGTGCTAACAGCGTGTTATTGTATAAATATATGAACATTTACTAACAGGTTTCTTTTTTCTTTCCAAGCCAAATAGTTCTGAATAAACAGGATTCTTATTGGTGTAAATTTAGATTCTGATTTTTAAAAATTGCTATTATTAATTGTGTTGACAAACATCCTTTATACTATTTTTGCATCCTAATGCAAACATATCTATAATATATATTTGATATATCTAATATTTCTATAATATAACTTTTTAGAAGTGCAGCTGCTAAGTAAAAAGGCTTGTAAATACTAGTTTTTGATAGTTACTGCCAAATGTTCTGTAAAAGTGTTGTAACCAACAATCAATTTCACCAGTATTGTAGGAAAGTTCTGGTTTCCTCTCCCCATGAAATTTTTGTTTTTAGTCTCATGGGCAAAAGATTAGATCTTATTTTGTATCTGACTAATAAATTAGTATTTGACTATAAATGAGGATGAGAAATTTTCATATATTTATGTTTGTTTGTGTATGTTTTCTGTGAGCTATCTCTTAATTTATTTAGTGGTTTCCCTAGAAGGTATAATCTCAAAAACTAAGTGAGATTAGATGCAGTTTATCTACTGCCATCTTTTCTGTGCTATTCAGGAAGCACATCAGCATGCAAGCAAGAGTAGTGGTTTATAATAGGGATAACCCTGCATCTGCCCTAATTCACTGTGTTGTTAGAAATAAAAAATACTCAAATATTGATCCTTTATTATTAGCAATAGATATCTGGTGACATGCTTAAGTGATTCCAGTCTTCCATCCAGATTAGTTTAAAAAATAAACAACATTACCTAAGACAGTGCCAATGGCCTAAATAACTTTCTATTTTTAAATAATTATTCTATTCTAGACAGCAAAGATTTTTTTTCTTCAAATACCACATCTATTTAACACTTAAAAATGTGTAATAGTTTTGGCTGGGCGTGGTGGCTCACACTTGTAATCCCAGCACTTTGAGAGGCCGAGGCGGGTGGATCACGCGGTCAGGAGTTCAAGACCAGCCTGGCCAAGATGGTGAAACCCTGTCTCTACTAAAAGCACAAAATTTAGCCATGTGTGGGTGGTGGGCACCTGTAATCCCAGCTACTCGGGAGGCTGAGGCAGGATAATTGCTTGAACCCGGGAGGCGGAGGTTGCAGTGAGCTGAGATTACGCCTTTGCACTCCAGCCTAGGTGACAGAGTGAGACTCCATCCCCCCTCCCCCCCCCCAAAAAAAGTACCATAGTTTTATTTATAACTATGAATTAAGTCTAGTTAACTTAAAAAATACAAATTCAATCATTATAATTAGGTAAACTTAAATTTGGAAAAACAATTTAAAACTAATGTTTTATTGAAAAGATAGTTCACATCAATTACTCCAAAACAATGATTGCCTTTGCCTATAAGCCAAAATTGTAAGAGACAGAAAAGAATTCTCAAGCAAATACGTTAAATATTAAAATAATAGCATAATTATAGCATAGAATCGGGCATTTAAGAGTAGAAAGAGTATCTATGCAACAGAAGATTTGTAAAAATTAAAAGTAGACTTATAGTAATGTATTTCATAAAACTTATGAACCCACACATTAATATAAAACTTCAATTGAAATACTAGTAGGACAAATTCACAACTCCAGGTTTTCAAAATGCCCTATAAATACGTGAACTCACCCACAGGAAAAAAACAGTATCTTACCTCTGTGGCTAGGCTCTGGCTTGCACCATTGTCAAGAAGAAACTTGACAACTTCCAGGTGATTTTCCTGGGCTGCCATATACAATGGCGTGAAACCATTCTGCAAAATAAGAAAAAAAATGTTTGTCTGCAGCTTTCCAGAGACAATCTATTTTTCCATGGTACTGATGATTTATGCTCCAAGAAGTGCTCACATACAATAACTTTAATAATACTTTCATATAGATATAAATATTTATTAGAAAACCCAAGCACCATGGCTTAAGCTAAATTCCTGATCTGTGTAATTCAAAATTATATTTCATAATTCATAATTTGAGTATAGCTCATAGTTAATAGTTCATAGTTAATAGTCCAAGTATAATTCAAAGCAATTTACCCACTTTAAAGAAATAAGTACACTCACTTAGTCATCAACCACTTATTGAGAGTCTACCATGAGTAAGTATTTTACTAGATGCTATGAGACTATGAAGAAAAACACATTTAGTCACTGTAGCTCCCAAGCATCAATTATCTGTTTTAAATAAACATGTAATATTTTCACACAAAAGTATCTGAACTAGTTTTGACTAGTTCAGGGAGGAATTTATATTAATCTCAAATAGCTTCAAAGCTTTTCAAATAGCTTCAAATAGCTTCAAAGTTACCACAGATGTGGTCTTTAAGAGCAAAAAAGAAATGCCGATTTGCATAATGGTATGATTCAATCTAATTCACAGTCTGTTTTTTGTAGGCCTCCTTTCTTTGTGTTTTTTTGCTAAGGTAGTTTAATGTTCAGAATACATATATGGATACATATTACATGTACATACATATGCACATATATTTAGTTTGAATGTGTCTGTGTGCCTCTCTGAAATGTGCATCAACTCTCAAAGAATTTGGATTCAAGCAAATTAATATGCATATTACATCTTTTCCTACTAAAAAAATGTTGTATATATATTTTTTCTCTAGAATAATGTATTTCATATCTATGAAATACTATACTATTTTAAAATCTTATTGCAAGATATAAGCATCAAACAATTTTCAAACTATAATTCTTTTATTATTATTATTTTGAGACAGGGTCTCGCTCCATTGCTCTGTATCAAAATAATAATAATAATAAACAAATGGAGTGCCGGGGTATCGTCACAGCTCACTGCAGCCTTAATCTCCTGGGCTCAAACGATCCTTCTGCCTCAGCTTCCCAAGTAGCTGGGGCTACAGGCATGCACCGCCACACCTGGCTAATTTATTTTTATTTTTTATAGAGACTGGGTCTCCCTGTGTCACCCAGCATGGGCTTGAACTCCTGAGCTCAAGCCATCTGCCTGCCTTGGCCTCTCAAAGTGCTTGATTATAGGTGTGAGCCACTGCACCGAGCCAGTAAATTCTTTTTGAATATACTTTTCAGAATGCAGTTCTATTTAACTGAATGTTCCAGAAATTTTACTGTATACATTACGCAATTTCAAAGAATAAAAGTAAATATATTCTAAACTACAATGTTACCAAATATTCAACCTTTTGTGATTCAAAAAGTTTAGGTTCATTATTATAAATATCAACTACTATATGATCACCTTACTTATCCATAAGTTCAGCCTCTGGCAAACACACTGCTTTTGGCTTATAACTGAGAATTAGAAAGTAAGTTAAAAAGATCCTCAAGCAGATAAATGCGATGCCACATAACAAATCCACCATAGCTATGTACTTATCAGAGAGTTCCTCTATTCTACTTCCTCTATTTGGCACAGAATTGTAACAAGTTAGGTGATCTAGTTGCCAAGCTCAAGATTAGAAACACAAAATTAGAGGCAGTGGAATGCAACATCACATTCAATCTTCTTCCTTTTAAATTGTCTACCTGATAATATCTCTGGAGCCCACTGTTACTCTGTTTTATCATGAAACATTCTACCACATTTAAACATGAAGCATGGAGTACTTGGAACACTGTGGGATTTGTGTGTGTGTGTGTGTGTGTGTGTGTGTGTGTGTGTGCATGCCCATAGGTCCGTGTGTCTTTCATCTTTGTCCCTCTTCCCAGTGCTATGACGCTATGAGTGAAATTCAAAGGGAGTTTAGGATTATCCTCATCATATTGCTATTTTCTCATTTTCTAATTGGACCAAAATGAAAGATCATTACATCCTTAGTTAATTTAAATATTCTTTAAGCAACAAAACAAGAAAAGAAAAGAAAAGGCCAAAACCAGTATGGCTTTTTCTCATAGCTAAACTAGGTACTAAGCATCTATCTTCCCTCATCAAGTGCTCTCTCCGAAAGCTGAAACTTCCAGAGGGCAGGTTCAGATTTTTAGAAGTTTTTTGTTGTTGTTGTTGTTGTTGTTCTTGTTTGTTTTTTTTTTGTTGAGACAGAGTCTCACTCTGTCGCCCAAGCTGGAGTGCAGTTGTGAGATCTCAGCTCACTGCAACCTCCACCTAACAGGTCCAAGAGATTCTCCTGCCTCAGCCTCCCAAGTAGCTGGGACTACAGGCATGTGCCACCTCGCCCGGCTAATTTTTGTATTTTTAGCAGAGGTGGGGTTTCAACATGTTGGCCAGGATGGCCTTGATCTCCTGACCTCATGTTCCATCTGCCTCAGCCTCCCAAAGTGTTGGGATTACAGGCATGAGCCACCACACCCACCTTTTTTTTTTTAATTCCAAAATAAGTGTTTTTCTTTCAGACATGAATATCAACAAGATATTTATGTCAAGACAAGTAATGTCAGTTCGTTCTCAATGTTGGGGTGGAGGTCTGCTGTGGCCCAAGATTGCCTAAGAAACACTAGTCTATCCACACATCTCTGGCTCTAGTGAGTGTCCACTGTTCTCACAGTTTCCTTCCAGAACCAACCATTTCAGGATCCATGAAGAAAGCCCAGACTCAGGCACTGGGTTTTAAGGTAATGCTTTCTTACAGACCGGGAGTTTCTCAAGAGTTATTCTTAAAAGGCACAACTCTGAAATCACTCTACATGCCCTGTTTTATGATGACAGAAACTGAGATGCACAGAATTAGGACTACTTAGAAATATTTGTAGACAACAGCCACAGCAAGATGCAGCCCTATAATTCATTGTTTTCCTTTTCCACAATAGCTTTCTACTTTCTTTTTGAGTGCTTGCCATCCTAAGATTATTACCTGAAAGTTGGTCATTTTCTGAACAGTTACATACTTCCTTGTTTTTTGATTTTTAAAATATTTGTTTATTAATATATAATTTGCATATCATAAAGCTCACCTTTTAAAAGTGTACAATTTAGTGGCTTTAAGTATATTCATAAAATTGGGCAACCCTTCCCACTATCTAATTCTAGAATATTTTCATCACCCCAAAAAGAAGCCCTCTATACTCCTTAGTGATCACTCCCCATTTCCCCCTAGTAACCACTAATGCACTTTCTCTCTCTAGTTTTGCCTATTCTGGATATTCTATATAAACAGAATCATATGATATCTGTCCTTGAATGGTCTGATACTATTTCTTTAATTTTCTTAAGAGATAGTGATATGATTTGGCTGTGTCCCCACCCAAATCTCACCTTGACTTGTAATAATCCCCAGGTATCAAGGGCGGGGCCAGGTGGAGATAATTGAATCATGGGGGGGGTTTCCCCCACACTGTTCTTGTGGTAGTGAATAAGTCTCATAAGATCTGATGGTTTTATAAATGGGAGTTTCCCTGCACAAGCTCTCTTGCCTGCCACCATGTAAAATGTGACTTTGCTCCTTATTTGCCTTCCACCATGATTGTGAGGCCTTCTCAGCCATGTGGAACTATGAGTCAATTAAACTTCTTTCCTTTATAAATTACCCAGTCTTGGGTATGTCTTTATTAGCAGCATCAGAACAAGCTAATACAGATAGGGTCTTGCTCTTATTGCCCAGCCTGGTGTGTAGTCGTGTGATTATAGCTCACTGCAGCCTTAACATGGGCTCAAGCGATTCTCCACCCTTAGCTTCCTGAGTAGCTAGGACTATGGGCATGCACTACCACATCTGGCTTTTTTATTTGTATTTTTGTGGAGATAGGGTCTCACTATGTTGCTGAGGCTAGTCTCAAATTCTGGCCTCAAGTGATCCTCCTTCTTTGGCCTCCCAAAGTGCTAAGATCACAGGCATGAACACTGTGCTTGGCCTTCTTATGCTATTTCTGCTATCTATATTGATAAAATGTTTTTGGTGAGTGTTTCATGGTGGAAATTTCAATTTTACAGTGGTCATTTGTAGTGCATGGGTGTTTGTTTTATTTTGCTTTAGTTTTGGTCACCAGTGCCCACACACCCATTTCCCCTTCAGGACAATGTCACCCCTATTTTCTTTCAGAGAATTACCTATTCCCCATTATGCAGGTAGGACTTGTCCTGGATGGACTGAGACAGAGAAGCTTGCCCTTCATTAATTACAGGGTAGACACACATGCAGGCTATCTTCTGTTTTCTCTTTTAGGTCCACCCTTGATTCTCCCTCTCCAGTCTTGATTGACCTGTAGGAACCAGGTCAAAGGGTAATCCTACTCTCTTTCTTCTCACTCTGTTCTCCCACTCTCCACCCCAGCTATTGGGTTTCCAAAGCTTTCTGAAAGATTCTTTAGCTTTCTATTCTCTGTGTTCCTTAACTAATTCCAATAAATTCCCTCTTGTGCTTAAGTTAGTTTCTCTCCCTGTAATTCAAGTAACACCCCAAAATTACAAATTTTATGTCTCAAGAAATGGTCAAGACATGAGAACACATACATAACCATTTAGTTATGATTCTAGAGAGAAAATTAGAAGTGTTCTTTGGAAAGAGCGAATAAAAATATTGCCATCACTCCCTAGCTCAAAGAGGTTGAGGCATCATTAACTCAATGTGTTGTCATTAGACAACCTAGAGCCATAACTGTTTGCTGTGAAATGGCACATGGATTGGGAGAATGGTCAGATTTCAAAATAAGAGAAAAAAGTACACCACTGTTTTTATAACAATTTCCTAACTTAGAACATTTCCAAAACAAAGGTAGCTAAAAAGGAATATATGGGTGCCCAATTTGCATTTTCTTTTCTGTAGCAACAACAGATTAAATTCTCAAAAGGCAGAGCAGCTTAAGATGGAACGAGTATGCTGTTTGAAGTCTGATTTTATCCAATATATTCAATACCTTCTGCTCTGAATGTTTATAGTGGTGCTATTATAAGCATGCAAATCTGCAGACTTATAATTTTGTAGATAGTACTGAGGCATGCTGTCTAATACACATCAAAATGAAATAATAAGTATTCCTATGACTTCATTTGGAAAAGGGCTTAAATTTCATCCATGAAATTTTTCTACTCATTCTAGTTTTCTATGGCCAGCCTTTGCACATCATAAAGTGCTGTTTTTAACTAAGATGTTAAGGGTATGGTGAAAGATTTGCATTGATTCATATACGTTACTAATTTTCATGAAGGTCAGTTAGATTAGAGGTGCAATATAAGGTCACAGAGGCTCAATCTGAACCATAACCAAAGTCCCATACTTGTACTGTCTAACTTTGTCAGGATCCGACTTTCCCACCATAGGGAATATCAGAGTACCCAGAAAGACCAAGGAGGCACTGGCTAACCTAAAGGGTCTTACCTTTGCAAATGCCACTAGAAAAATCTGTTCACTAAAAATACTTTGGTAGTTAAAATATTATTGGAAACAGACTTTGCTTCTTTATAAATTCAGTTGGTATTTTATATTATAAAGACAGAGAAGGAGAGAAGAGTGGGGGATGTCATTTGACTGTGCAGTTTGAGATTTTTTCAATAGCAAACATTGTTAATCATTGTTGATACATCTAATATAAAGTATTAAGGACTTAATAATAGAATTCTTTATAATCACAATTTAGTCAACTCAATTTCTTTCTCAGAGTAGGACTAAATGATTACTGGAATGTTAAGTACTAAAAGAAAGAGTTAACTTGTTAAGACCTAAGATCAAGGCAATGACAAAAATTACTTTAAAATCTACAAATTCCTAGTTTATAGAGCCTTGGTTTATAAGATGAGAACTTGATATTGCCCAATGTCATTTTTATATTTAAGATAAGGAGAATTTTTATAGTAAAGAAGAGTAAGGGGCTCTTTTTACCCTATTTTTTGTTGGCTATTAAATATCACTTACAGGTTAAAATTTCATGTCAACAGAGATGCTGTCTTGAATATTAATATTTCTGTCCTGTTTTATGTGCTGCTTCCTAAATGGAGGTGACATCATTGTTTGTTACTCTTTATAACAGTTCCTACTGAAGAGTTGTTACCAGGAATTATCATTGAAACTCCATTCCTCTGCAGGGTCATCTCATTACTTATTCCATCCACAGAACAATGCAGTTCAGAAGGCATATGAGGGCAGGTGTTCAGATGAAGGGGCAAATGCTTTGCTGTGCCATGTGTGGCTGGTAATTCCGAGCACAACTGTAAGTAACAGGGAATTTCACATGTTCTTCTGCCTTACTGCATCATAGGTGTGGAATGCGTATAAATTGAAATTAGAACTAATTAGGATTTTATTTCAACTGCAGTTTCTCCCAAACATTGCCGAGCCAGTTTAAAACCATGGCTACTCTAACCATTAATAGTCAATAATGGATGTGATGTTTGAAAGGAGGAGGTTGATTAGGTTGATTTTTTCCTCCCTTGAGAAAATAATAAAAGAAATGAAAATGGATTAAAGAGTTTTCCCACTATCTCAGAGCCTAAAACTACCTAGCCACATTTCAGTAAAATATTATTGGGGTATTTTGAAAAACATCCGTTTAAAAGCATGATGCTTCTATTGTAGTAAGCTGGTCTGTGTCTCTCTCAAAGTACCATACTTGTTGCTATTCAATTTTACATCATTCCTTTCTGGAAAAGCATTATTACTCCAAGAGAACTCTCCTAGGGAATCAGAATAATTGGCATAGATCATGTAACAGGGATCTAGAATTAATTTAGAGCAAATATACAAGAACCATGCAGTTGGAAGCACTGTGCAGTTCCTTTTCTTTGACTCTGACATTTGATGGCATCAGAGCTATCACTGCTATGTCGGTAGTAAGCAGGGGAGGAAGTCACTACAATTCTGTGAACCCATAAAACAGAGGAGACTCCCAATATCCAAAGATAATCATACTAGAAAATCCTGGTAAAATCAAGTGCATTTAAAATGGAGAGCAAAAGGCCATAGTAAATAATTTTGTAAAGTTTGATTCAGACTTACTCTTAAAAGATAAAACTGGAAATTATAAAAATAGGCTTATATGATTTAATAAAATGTAAGTTATAACTGGATTCATATATGTTCTCAGAATGAACAAAGACTAAACCAAGTGTTATTTTTCCCAACAAAATGATATATGTTGACATTCTTCACTTTTTAATTTTCATAGCATAAGCAAAAAAGACCATCTTTTGGAAGAAGTATTTGCCATCCAAAGATCTCACTTATCTTTTTGTCTTCATTTAATCTATGTATTTTCAAATCATTCTTATATGAAACCGCTAACAGGAAATCATCCTAACTTTTCACATGCTTCCTAGCCTAATACTGCCAGAGTGTGCCATGTACCCACAGCTCAGCTGTGCACCCAGAAGTTCTCCAATATCACTTTCCTTGACTTCAGGAAACTTAGTGTCTTTGTCAAAACTTGCAGTTTTGTTCTGCAATCAATTTGTTCAATATCCAACACCCCTGGGGAGACAATGACAAATAAGGATGGAAGTCAGCATTCGACTGGAAGGAATGTTTGAGTGGGAACCAGTTTTAAATGTGGTCATGTCCTTAGTGAATATTTTTGAATTATGATGATGTTTGCTTTCCTACATGACCTGTCTGTGGAGACTCAAATAATGAATACTTGAATAATGAGGACCTATATTTTTAAACATAATAAAGCAAAGTTAATTCTTTTAGATTCAAAGTCTATCAAATGATAAATGATAACCTATTGGTGTTCCTCTTAGAAATTCAATGAAAGACCATGTAAGATTTATAGGAGGACCTATGTTCATTACAAAGAATCTGAAAATTTTTATTAAACTTGAGGACTTTTAAAGTTCCTTCTGCCTGTTTTTAAAAAGATTGAACCTAAGCTAGCATCATAAAATAGTGTAAGACCCTGCATTACAGATACCCTTTAAACATTTGTGTCTATGACTAGTATCTTTTATAGATAGGCCGCTTTAAAAATCTCTCTCTCACACACATATATATTGCAAATGAAAATACATATGAATTTAAATAATCTGCAATAATTTATCTTTTTGAGACAGAGGCTTGCTCTGTCACCCAGGCTGGAGTACAGTGGTGCAATCTCGGCTCACTGCAACCTCCACCTCCTGGGAACAAGTGACTCTCGTGCCTCAGCCTCCCAAGTATCTGGGATTACAGACACCATGATGCCAGGCTAATTTTTTTTATTTTTAGTAGAGACAGGATTTCACCATGTTGGCCAGGCTGGTCTCAAACTCCTGCCTCAAGTGATCTGCCCGCCTTTGCCTTCCAAAGTGTGCCAAATATAACTTTTTAAATATAGTTCTTAAGTATTCTGTTCTTAGAGGATATGTGAACTAAGCAAGCACCTGACCCAAAGAACATTGTTTGTAAATGATAACAAAATGTCTGTGGCATGGAGTTGTAGGCTTACCTGAGATTGTGCATTGACATTGGCTCCATTTGTAACCAAGACTTTTACCACCTCTGCTTGCCCAGCCAAAGATGCGATGTGCAATGCTGTGTTTCCTTTCTGTGAAATGAAAGTCAAGATATATCAACTCATCGATCTTTTGAATTTTCCTGTTCTCCCCAAAGAGAACAAATTTGACAAATATCTTATGAGATATGTGCCCCCATTCTTACTGAGGGCTGAATCCTCACAGAACATGGCGAGTGGTTCAAAAAGCATTAAATATGTGATACTGACCTTTGTAGCTGCATCCACATTGGCTTCTCTCTGCAGCAGCTCAGAAACAACCTCTACATGGCCTTCTTTGGAAGCAAGGTGGAGAGCGTTCAACCCATTCTGATTAAAAGTAAAGGAAAAGCTCTACTCAGCAGGTTGAAAATAGAGCAGTAAACAACCGACCAAGAACTCCTGAGATATTATAAAGTCCCACCTGATGATCACTTGCATGTATGCTGTGCAGGAACTTGAATCTTGAATTAGGAATCAAAGTACTTCAAAACTGGATGGGTTGTTCTGTTATCATTATTTACTAAATTTTAGAAATTAATTATTAAGGGACATATGCTGACATTTCTGAATGTTCCTCTAACAGAGAATAATTTGACAATGACAAGCTGATAAAATTCAATGGAAAAAAACCCCACAAATAAATGAAGTCTTTAAGGAGCTTGAAGTCTGGATTTTTAGAATTTTAAGTAAAAAATTCAATAATAACTCCAGCTAACCTGATTGCAAATGTTGATGTCAACTCCATTTTTTATGTAGTCGAGGGCCTTTTCAAGGTGTCCAGCTCGAGCTGCTCTTAAGTAACTTGCATTGGCATCAGACTAAAATAAAAAAGAAACACATTTTGATGAAAAATGAAGCTAATATGCATGTTTATAAACTATCCAGCTTAAGGTCCAAACTAAAATAATTGAACTCTTTTATTTCTAACATGAAAATATGAATAAAAGTTCTTTGTAAAAAGAACCAAGAAAAGGACACATTTTTTAAAAGTTAGTTTCAAGGGTACAATGTTATCCCTTGTGTGATGTCAGAATTCCTTCTGAATTGAGAGATAAAATTTCCTATAAAGTATAGGCACCTTAAATCAACACACAATTTCCAGAGGGAAAAGAGAAATTCTATAACTTATTGATAATTACATTATGAAGACCCCACTATTTTCTTGTAGCAGAAATGTAACATCTATTCCTTTTATCCATATCTACCACAGCAATTTTTTCCATTAATGGATTCAAAATGGCATTATTCTTTTTCTTCTTAGAGACAGGGTCTCACTTTGTTGCTCTGGCTGGAGTGCAGTGGTGCAATCACAGCTCACTGCAGCCTCGAACTCCCGGGCTCAAGTGATCCTCAGCCTCAGCCTCCTCAGTAGCTGAGACTATGGACATGCGCCGCCATGCCAGGCTACTTTTTTATTTTTTAGAGACGGGGTCTCACTATGTTCCCAGGCTGGTCTTGAACTCCTGGCCTCAAGCAATCCTCCCACCTTGGCCTCCCAAAGTGTTGGGATTATAGGCATGATCCCAACTTAACCCATTATATGTTGTACTTAATAGTCTAACAGATATTTGCAGGCAATGATGTTCTACTGGATTTTCCTACAGTACATAGCCATATGTAGGAGCAGCAGCAGAAAGAAATACATATACAATTTTAGAACAACAAGACATGTAATTCACTCATTGAAAGCTTGCAACATTGAACTACTGCTAAACTCTAACATCTATAATTTCATAGTTGAAACCACCTACTATTGAAATCTCTGATAGAAAGATGGTGAGAGGAAAGACACTGCAAAGCTGGGCCTGCAAAATTTGTAAAGAAGTCTTGCTTAATACAGTACAATACAAAAGCAGGTTTTCCTGAAAGAGCAGCCAAAAACATCTTGTCACCAGTTATAAATGCAATCATGCAGGGTATGGCTTAAAAGAGAAAAGTGTCTTCTTTCAGCAATATGGTAAACACCGCCTTCAAAGGCTTTGTTCATGCCGCCTCATCTGTGAAGCCTGCCCAGACCCCCCAGGTGGAGTTTAGTTTCTCAGTGCTCCCAGCATTAATTTCATTGAACTCTCTTCGTATTTACTACACAACATCACAGATTTTGGTATACCTGTCCTTCTTCCACCCTAAATTATGAGCCCCTTCAGAATAAGCAGAGGAGGCAGATTAAGGAGTAGGCAACTGGAAAGCAGCCAGGATGCCAGTCTTTAAGAGAGGAATGCTAATTCTTTCATGGAAATGTAATTGAGAAGAAGAAAATTCTACCCCTCAGAATGGTCTTTGGTTCCAGTGTGGGTCAATTCACTAAGAGTCAACTTGCTCAGAACCTCAGAGGAGAGGCCACTGCCTCTGGAGTCACCTGCCCCCTTCTCTTTTACAGTAATGAGCCTCTCTCAATCACTACTGTGCCTCTAAATTGGGGCTTCTCAGCCTCAGCAGTATTGGCATTTTGATCTGAATAATTCTTTGCTGTAGGGGACTGTCCTGCTCATTGTCCAATGTTTACAAGCATTTTCTATTGACCAGGTGCCAGTGGTATCCCCCATTTGTGATAACTAAAAGTGTCTCCAGAATTGCCAAATGTCCCTTGGGGGAGGGGGCAAAGTCTTCCTAGTTGAGAACCACTGCTTTAAATAAACAGTAACCCAACTTACATAAAGATTGTACACTTGAGGAGGCTTAACTCTTTGGCCTGTTTGGGTTGCCACAAGCCTTGTCTCAGCACAAGGCAATGTGACTCCATGTAATATTCATCTTACTGTTTCCCCCGCAACTGGAAGCATTCTTGGCATATAGCAAGTGCCTGTAAGTTTTTTGTGAATGAATGCATCAACAAATAAGTAAATTGGGTGGAAATAACTATTAATTAAAGTATTGCCTGGAATAATATAGGAGGCTTTATTAGCAGCAGCAGCAGTTTAAGTTGAGAATCTGATAGATACAAAGGTGAATACCAGAGATTATAAACTAAGTCACCGAGTCAGGTGTCTGAGAGCACACACAGCTATTACTTAAAATAACATAAAATTGGAATTTGAGATAAGCATGAAAATCATTTAATCAGAGCAGAGGGTTAAGCAGATGACAAAAGATAAAAGTTCAACTTAAACAAAGGACAAATAAAAGTTTCCAGGGATTTAAAGAAAAACAGAATGCAGTTTTTAAAGAGGTTCACTATTTAGAGGTTAGTTTTTTGTTTATAAGTTCAGTTAGAACTAAATTAGCCACGCAAGGATGGCTCATTGCACCGTAAAATATCATCTTCTTTGTGCCTGTTCAATGACTTATCAGTGAATTTGCCCAGAAGGGCTCTGATGCCGTTCTGGGAACAAATGACATCAGTCTGCCTGGATATTTCAACTGCCAGAGATAACAACTGTGAGTTAAGCATCCCAAACTCCAACATGGAGTACATAACAACAGCGGCTAAAGAAGTTAAAATAGAGGTATTATAATTCAAGAAAAAAGCCTTTGAATTGATCGCATATCTGGAAAGATTTAATAATTCCATACACTGTCCATTTTGCTCTCAAGTTTCCTCAGAATTTTCCCATCCAAACCTCTAAAACAAAACAAAATCGGTATAAAACAAATCTTCGAATTCAGTGGTTCTCTACCTATTTGGGATCTGGATTCTTTTGAGACTAATAAAGGTGATGAATAAATTATCTTCCTTCAACAATTGCACACACACACACACACCAAATCTACATCTGCATACACAATTTGCACATAATTTCATGTGGTTCAGGAGTGCTAAGCTTGCTCATGAACTTGCATTTAAGAACTCCTGCTCTACTGATACAAAATTCTCTGGTGGACGCCTTCATTATATCTATTTCATTCAATGACCCTGATATCAAACAATTCTCTGAGATAGCTAATTGACCACCTCAGAATTTTAGGAAGTACACGCAGAAACAGAAATTAATTTTCTTCACTTTCCTTGGCCCTGTTACGTATCAACATGCTTACCACACCAAAACCATAACAACCACCCACTTCAAATAAAAAGGGGGAAAATGTAGAGAAAAAGCAAGAAGAGGCGAATGAAGACTGCCCTGAAGAAAACTTACATCTTAGGAAGAGACATTACAAAGCCCACAGAAAAAGAACCAATAAGTTCCTCCTTTTACTCTTAGCCACCGGCAAACAAAACAGCCACCACTTCCTCAAATATTTGTTGAATGTCTACTATGTGTTAGTCATTGTGTCAATATCTGGATACACATTGGTGGAACAAAATAAATGTGGCACAAATAATGACTTATTTGCTTTCATTTCACAGCTTCTTACTCTCTCTCCTCTAAAATAACCTTGCATAAGTGGCAGGGCAAATATTGGATTCTTAACCATTTTCCCACCAATTTTGCCCATAGAGAATATATTGCTGTTTATATCCTTCGTGTAAAAAACACACTATTTTGTCCTAGACTCAGTATCAGTGGGTTGTATCTCACTGCCGTCATTTCATGGAATAACTAGGAGTTACTCAACACAGTCTATAGCTGGTTTTTTTAACCTTTTGATAACCTTGTATCAAAATAATGCCTCTTTTGATGCTATATCTAAGATGCATCCAAAAATGTCAACAAATTACTATGGAGGAAATTAGGTTCAAAGACAAGCTGGGTGCAGCCACATGGAAAGTCACACAGACAAAGCCACTGCCTAAGGAATTAGTTGCACAAAAATGAATATGAACAGGTTGTTCAGCACTTTTTTTCCTCTGGGTGACCAAAATCTGAGGAATTTGGAAATGAAAGTTTATTTTATTACCATTTAATGTCCTGTCTACTTAGTCATTTTACTAGAAATATGAATCATGTATGTTTTTCAAGGAAATAGCTTCACGGATAGAGTCAAGCATTATTATGAATTAATCTAGTAACTCAGCATCTTTACCGGCAGTGGAATATTGATATTATTCAGCAGAAAGCAGTTATTGGAAAGAATAAGCATTTTCAGAGTGCCAACCTCAGTAATACTTCATACCTTTGACTATAAGCTAGACATGATTATAAGCACTTAATATTAACTTAATTATATTATTCATCACTTAATATGTATTAATTTTATAAGTCCTTATATTAATTTATGTAATCCTTATAACAGTTCCATTAAGTAATGTAGTGGGTTGAATGGTGTCTCCCCAAAACTGATGTTCATTAGGAACCTCAGAACATGACTATATTTGGAAATACAATCTTTGCAGATATAATTAGTTAAGATGAGGTCACACGGGATTAGAATGGGCCCAAAATCCAATGACTGGTGACCTTATAAGAAGAGAAGTCACATGGACACATAAGAGAGATGATGGCCAAGTGAAGAAAGAGGCAGAGACTTGACTTACGCTACCTCAAGGCAGGGACCACCAGAAGTGGGAAGAGGCAAGGAAGAATTCTGCCCTAGAGTCTTTAGAGGAAGTGTGATTCTACTGATACCTTGATTTTGGACTTCTGGCTCCAGAACTGTGAGATAATACATTTTGATTATTTTAAGCCACCCAGTTTGTGGTGGTTTACTATGTCAGCCCTAGCAAACTAACACAAGTAGGTACTATTACTAGCTCCATTTCATAGATAAGAAAATTGAGCTGCAGGATGAGTGACTTTCCCAGGGACACAGAGCTTGTGAATGACAGGGATGCAAACCCAGTCTGGCTCTGGAGTCTAGGCTGTTAATCACCATTCTAAGAAAGGGCTTAATACATGTTTGGTCTATTCCAAATGAGAATTCTTAGCTCATTCATTCATTCGTTCATTTTCCATCAGTTCATCCATTTGTCTCTCCATCCATTGAATTAACTATTTTAGGCACCTTCAGGTATATCTTCCATGGATCAGAATTTCCTCATTAAGTTTATTATGAGACTCAAGATCAGGCTAACAGTGGATCACCTGAAAAAATGCAGACTGGAGACCCAGTGAGTACATAACATAGCTCTGCTCCTTTGCTTCTAAACTTTTCTGGGGGGCGGGGGCAATCTCAGGAGCCTCTTTCTACTTGATGTGCCAAAAAAATCTCTAATCTTTCCCCATTACCTCATCTTCCCAGCTACCTGTGAGCCATGTGAAGGGTCAGATGCTCCTTCCTGTAAACTTCAAATTCCTTTTTTCTACTGGTGCCCTGTCTTCTGCCTACCAACATAGAAAACAAAACCAAAAATACAAAAAAGTTTCCTTCCACTTTTCTACCCAGCACCCCCTTGCAAGTGATGATCGCCTCTATTTCCCAGTGCAGTGGACTAGGTAAGAACCAAAGCACTGGAATCACACAGCCCGAATCTGCATTTCAGCTATTCTACCTCTTAGTGTTTGGTAAGTTTTTAAAAATATCTATGTACCTCAGTTTTCTCAGCTGTCAAATGAGAATAAAATAACCTACTGTTAGGATAAAATTAGATAACTCAGGTAATTAACAATGTGAGTGCACAGCTAGGCACTCAATTAAATAGATGTTTATGAGTTCTCCTTTAAATATCAAACATTTTGAAAGACTGGTGTAGGTTCACACTGACTTATATCCTTAATACTAATTCATATTTGCACTTCTGGCAAAACAGTTTCTCTCACTAATCAATACTGTCTCTCTGTATAAAATCACCAATGACCTTCCAGTCATCAAGTTCCATGACTTTTAAGTTTCTCCTCTTGTAATGTTTGACAGTACCAATCACCTTCTCTTTCTTGAAAATCTTCCCTCGAGCTTTTCTTCTGTCATCTCTTTGTTCACTTCCTTCTGTGCCTCACTGCCTCAACCCATCACTGAAAATGTTCAGAACTCACATTTCTTTCCTTCCTGCATGCTCTTTCTAGGTGACCTCATTGCTTCTATGGCTCCCACTATTCTCTCTAAGCTCAGCACTCCATATCCACGTAGTGCTCATCCTCACCCCAAGACATTTCCATGTCCCACAATTCCCTCACTCAACAACAGCAAAAACAGAAGTGTGCTGAGATATATAATGCATCTGCCTGCAACCAGACGCTAACAACAGAAATATGAACAATAGATTTCCTTGTTTTTATTTAAATATCCGAAGATTATCCTAGCCACCCAGGCATGCAATCTTGGTGTAACTCTCTGATTACCTTTTTTTCTTCACTCTCTCCCTCAAACCCCCTTCCAGAAAGTTATGTGTACACATCTGATTCAATATTCTGTCTTAGGGACTTTTTTAGTTCTTTCTCATTTTTTAAAAAAAGTATTTATCTGATGCATATCATACATTTAAAAAATACATAAAACATATATGAACAGTTCAAAGAAAAATCATAACATAAACACCCACATACCCTCTTTTCAGCTCAAGAATGCAAGTTACAAGTGGATTTGAAGACTCCCAACGAGTCCCTTCTTGAGTGGTTCTCCTAAGGCATCCTCTGTTTTAGTTAATCACTCTCATGCCTTTCTTTATAGTTTTAACATTTATGTACCCCTCTGTAGGCTAAATATTATGTAATTGACTTAGTCTTAGTACTTAAGAGTCTTAGCACTCTATATAAGTAAAATTATATATTATGTATCATTCTGTCTTTTTTTGTCTAATGTTGTGTTTCTTAGAGTCATCCATGTTGACATGTAACATGTGGGTAATTTATAATTGCTAACATATAATAGTCCATTATGTGATTATGACATAATGTATTTATCCACTGTGGAGTTGATGGATGTTTGTCTTGTTTCCAGTTTGGACCCTCTATGAAAGATACTGTCATTAATATTCTGGCACTACTTGGGGTGCATAAGGGCAAGAGTTTTTTAAATCTTAGGATCATAAATGCTGGGTCACTCAGTATGTGCTTATTCAGCTTTACTAGTTAATTTCTAGTTAATTGCATTTCAAAGTGATTGCACCAATTTACATTTCCCTGGCTTGTGACTGTTGCTTGTGACCTCATATTCCTTAGAAACTAATCTTTGGTAAGTCTTTAATGCCTGGATTAATGTTGTCATATTCCAAAGAGAAATTTGAGATTGGTTCTGCCAGTTGCCTAGAGGCACTATCAACCCAAGATTACTTTAAAAATAAATGCTTGGCTTGAGGTTTTTTGTTTTTGTTTTTGTTAAGACTACACGGATAAATTTAGATCTCAAACTGGTATAGATATGAGGGATTCCTTGTGGTTACAAATTCTCAGGACAGACTTTTTTCCCTTCCATCTGGTGACAAATGGGGAGAGGAATATTTTTCCTGTCTCTTCTGTATGGTGGGTTTATTTCCTGTCCATTCTTATACTGGGGGCTCACCATTTGGAGCCCAGGTTAATGTGGGGTCTCTTATTAGACTATCCACCTTGGGCATGTCCTAGGCTTTGTCTCCTGTACTCTGTACTCATACAACCAAGTAAAACAGTTTTTGCTTTCACATATATATATTTTTAAATCTCTACAGGCCTCTTACTTTTAAAGTGCTAGTTCAAAGATGTACTTCAGAAGACTTATTTTTATTGTTTTCCTAACTTCTTAGCTTTCCCTACAGCTGAAAATATGGTCACTTTCTTTTTCCTCATTCATCCTTCTCCCTGGCCAGTTCAGGCCCTTACTGTATAATGTCCAGATCATTTAAAAAATCTCCAGGAGGCTGTAGTTGGCACTAGTTACTCTGCTGGAAGCACTGAACAGTGTATAAAGGTCCACTGAGGGTTCTAAGAAAGTCAAGATAAGGAAAATAGCTGCAATTAAATGAGTGCCTACTATATACCTGGGACCTCACTAAGCATTTTACATGTATTATTATTATGCACTATGTCTTACTATACATGCATTATCATTTATTTCTTAAGTATTCAATCAAAACAGGAATCTCATTACAGAGGCAGAAACCTAACTTTCTTAAAAATTAAGTGGCTTGCCCAAGGTCACATAACTAATAAGTAAGCAGCAAGGAATGAAACCCAAGTCTGCTTGATAGCAAGCCCAGGCTCTTCCCTCAACACCAGGGGTTTTCCATTTGAGTTCTGTGAAGCCCAAAAGTTTAGAACCACTGAGATCAAGGGTAGGGCTCACTGAGCAGAGTTGTGTGTGCCTATCTTCAGTTTCGCCCCCAATAGGTCTACTCTTATCTGTTTAATAGATTGCTGTTTTATACCATATCTCATTTGTTCAAACGTTGTTGCTTTTAAACCATAATATCCAATCCACTTCTATGGCATAGGCTCACAGGCCCTTTAAAACCTGTCCCAAACACATACTTCCAGCCTGAAACAAAACATGAATCAACACTAATCTTGAAAGCAACCTAGATATCTTTTTATTCCTCAACTGCCCCCTATAATTTCCTGGCACTGTGACTTCACCCAGGACATTAGTAATAACAGTAATGCCCGGCTAGTAATGCTCACCAACCCTCCTCACTTTCCCTCCCCGACCAACAGACGCACCTACTAAATTCTGGGTCCAGCTCAAAGATCCCTTCATATTTGCTACTTTCCCTGATAAACACTAGGCATGATCCCTTCTCGCTCTGGACTCCAACAGCACTTGGTCTGTTCTGCTTAGGATCACATATCCTACAGAGATGGATGATAATCTTTTTTAGGGTAGGTCTTTGTCCTAATCTAGCTGTGCATACTGGAGCCTGAATTCATGGTAGATGAACCTACAGAAGTTCATAAAGTCAGAGAAGCTCATCGGGAAGGGCCATTTCTGCATCCTGTTACAGCTGGGAAAACAGCCAGTAGGAGGAGGCAGGATTTCAACAGGGGATTTGGTCAGTGGAGAATAAAAGGAAGAAAAGGTAGGTAGAAATAAAGAGCCAGAAAGGTTTGAGGAATTGTGAATAGACAGTCTCTATGCAAAGGGGATTCCCCTGGGACGGGGGAGTAGGCGAAAAGGACAGGTTCAGGAGAGGTTTGGAACACCAGATAAATCTGATTTAACTTCGCCATAAAGATACCAGGAGGAAATAAAGAGTTTTGAGGAGTGAAAAGACATCATTGAAAGCTATATATTGACCCAATTAACTGATGTCAGATTTGAGTGTGGGAGAAAATGGAGATAAGATCTGTGGGTCCTTGTTGTCAACCCCACCGTGCCTCAAGGATCTCCCAGGTAGGAATAACACACACACACACACACACACACACACACACACACACGTCACAGCCAAGGGATTCAGATTCGATTGGTCTGAGATGGGATGTTTTGATCAATGCTGCTCAAACTGATCTCCTTTGGTGGCACATTAAGTTCTCCTTCACCAAAGGAGAAAGCCACTGAAGTAGGTTACTGTGAAAATATGGTTGTATGTGACAATGTGATAAGAAGACCTAGGGGGGCTAGCTGTGGAATGGACAAGAAAGTGATATAAGAGGCATTCTGAAGGTATACTGACAGACTTCTAGTTTAACATACAAGATTAAGATCTCAAGGCCAGATTTTAAATTCTTCACTTCATAATTACCTCCCCCGACCCTTTTTCATCTATGCCCTGCCTTTTTTTTTTTTTTTTTTAAAGAGATGGGGTCTTGCTCTGTTGCCCAGGCTGTATTCAAGCTCCTGGGCTCAAGCAATCCACAGCTTCTGGCTTATGCCACCCTCTTTCTTCTTCTCCCCTCCCCCTTTCTCTTTCTCTCTCCCTCCCTCCTTCTTTCTTTTTTTGAGACAAGGTCTCACTCTCGCACCCAGGCTGGAGTGCAGTGGCATTATCATGGCTCGCTGTAGCCTCGATCTCCCCAGGCTCAGGTGATCCTCCCACCTCAGCCTTCCAAGTAGTTGGCACCACCACACCTGGCTAATTTTTGTATTTTTTGTAGACATGGGTTTCAGCATGTTGCCCAGGCTGGTCTCAAACTCCTAGGCTCAAGTGATCTGCCTGTCTCAGCCTCCCAAAGTGCTGATGTAAGCCACAGTGCCCAGCCTTATGCCCCCTGCTTTTCATAGCCAGAAACTAAAGATGAGAGGCTTTGCTTGGTAGCACTGAGAAGTAATTTTTGGTGAACAAAGTAACATGAGTTTGAAAATTATTCTCCATCAGAAACGGGACTTGAACTTTTCAAAATCTAAAATGTGTTTATTTAGAATAAGATAACGTCCAACAAAAAATTAGTCTAATGACTTGAAAGGCCCATTCTTCTGTGTTTAAGGCTTTCGTGTGGGACACAGGGCTGTGGCTCTGCCCAAGCACATGAGAGGGGAGCCAAAGGGTGGATTTTTTTTTCCTATGAGACTAGAGCTGAATCACTGGGACACGGCCATCCCGATTGTGACCACTCAGTTGCCAGATATTTTAGAGTAAGATATTGTGCACTGATATTTTTATAGATATCTTGCACAGTGATCTAATTTCCCACCGATTTCAGAAGAATGCAACCAATTACACAAACGAAAACAACGGTGACATTCATACTATAATCTGCCGTCTGTCAGTAAAAACCTTGGATCTTTAAGAGATTGATATTTCTCTTTTTAAGAGATTGGTCTATGTCAGCAAATGCATTATTTTCAAGTATGTGTTTTGGGTGTGGAGATCTTAAATAAAGGGGAATTTTATGTGCCTTTTTCATGGTAAGAGCTTGAAAAAACTTGAACCCTTTTAGTTAGGAAAGACCTCAGATTATTAAGCTTTTATTCTTTTTTTTTACTTAACTGTTATCCAGTTATTAGAAATAAACCAGCATTTCTCATCCATAAATCAGCCAGAAGAGGAGTAGAGAGGGGGTTACTTAACCAATTAAAAAAAATGCTTCTAAATTTCTAAAGGTGGTCTATATTAGTAATAATCACTGTCAAAACTAACTGAAGTAAAAGGGGCTTGCTCCTCAGATTCCCTCTGATAGCTACAAGGCTGCCTTTGCATGGATTTTGCTTGGAAGTACCCTCAGTTCATCCCTGAAAATGAGGTCACTGACCCCTAACACATGTTAGGCATGGTTAGCATCTTTACACTGGGACCTGTGCCAGAAAGGCCCCTGCTGGTGCACATTTCAAACCTGCTGGGGTGTCTGTGCACAGTGGCCACTCTCATGCTGAAAGGCAAAACAACATTCCCAACTTTATCTTTAAATAGAGGGGAGTGGGAACCAGTTAAAAAAAATACAGTGCTGGCAGGCTTTTGTTTTTGTAAAGGCAGTGTTTTCAAGAGATTTACCTTGCCATATGCTGATAAAACATACCCTCATCCAGTCTGTCCACTATGATCTGGTTTACATCAAAAGGAGGATCTAGAATTCAGGCCGTGGGGGTATTTTTTCTCACTCAGAATTCAGACCCCTAAAAATTCTCTTGGAGACTGATTAGCAACAAAAACAAATATAGAGAAGAAAAAAAATTTTCCCATGGGAGGAAAAACACATGTCAGGTGCTGGTGGGTGGGTGGGTATTTCTAATATTCCTCAACATAGACTTGATTATGTTCAGCTGCAAAATAGGATCTGTGTTTGTCTCAAATTTTCTGATAATATAAAGTAAGATCTTAAAAAGCCAGTTTCACTTGTCTCTTAGAGGATATAAAATCATAGGTATCAGGAGAGGAGAATTTGTGTCTTAATAATATGAGGTCAATATAGTAACATTTTGTCTTGATTTGCACCAGGCTATGGCCAACTATTTTGACTTCAAACTATTTTGACTCAAAACTTTCATTTTCCTTACACTATGGAAGTTGCAAGGTATCTTACTGTGCTGCAGACACAAAGTCACTACGCTGTATTAGGCAGAAAGCCATAAATGATGTAAGGAACTGGTAGGATGATTTGACTAGATGACAAGCAAGATCCTCCCTGCCCTAAAAGCTCCATGATATTATGCAATGCACAAATGCTTCCACTGCTAATGGTAAGTGTTTAATTTTCCAAACAAGCAAAGACGGAGCAGTGTTAATAAAAGTTCTATTGTGGCCAAAGTACCTAACCCAAGATGTGAAAAGAAGTATAGCCCTTTATCCAAGATACATTTCTTTCTTTCTTTTTCTTTTTTTACCCCCAGACAGTCTGTCTCTATCACCCAGGCTGGAGCTCACTGCAACCTCCACCTCCCAGGCTCAAGCAATCCTCCCACCTTGACCTCCCTAGTAGCCAGGTCTACAGGTACAGACCGCCACGCCTGACTAATTTTTGTAATTTTCAGTAGAGACGGAGTTTTGCCTTGTAACCCAGGCTGTTCTTGACTTTTTGTGATCAAGTAATCCACCCATCTTGGCCTCCCAAGTGTTGGGATTACAAGTGTGAGCCACTGTGCTCAGCTCAAGATGTTTTTCAAATTTAAAATGAAAACGAATTATTCAACTTTATTTCATTAGGATATTTTAGGACAGCATGAGTTTGCCTTTACTTGGGTTAAGCTATACAAGAGGAACAGACAGTTCAACCTTAAAATTAATAAAATGTTTATATTTGGTTATTCTGAAATCTAAAGATTCAAATAAATAAGTAAGCCTGGAAAATAACCGCAGATGGAGAAACCATTTCTGAAAAGTATGTTTTGCAGGTGTATTCATTACCAGACTATTTTGAAACCTCCTCTGTGTTTGAACCTGTTTCTGATTACCTCTTGAGACAAAGAAGCATGAGAGAAATAGTAATATCTTGCTCTGGAAAAAAAAAAAAGTCTATCCATTGCATTCTCAGGGCTAAGCAATTCAAAACATACAGCAGCCCTGGAGAATTTTTTTTTTCTTAATACACGCTAATGGAATGTTAATATAAGGAAGATTTAGTCCTTTGGAAAAGTGTAATCATGTTTATTTCAGGGAATTATTTTCCCCATTGAGTTAAAATAAGATAGTAATCAAAGGTTTAATAAAATAGCAGTTAATGGTTTCTAATCTGTAAGTGTTCTAGATGCCAGCCTTCCCAAAAATACCTAAAGTATTTTTCATTTGTTTGGGAGAAGGCATGTGCTGAACAAAAAAAACATAAAGCCACTGGGGTCCTAGACTTTCTTTCTTTTTTTTTTTTTTTGACGGAGTCTCACTCTGTTGCCAGGCCAGAATGCAGTTGTGCAATCTCAGCTCACTGCAACCTCCACCTCCCGGGTTCAAGCGATTCTTCTGCCTCAGCCTCCTGAGTAGCTGGAATTACAGGCACCCACAACCACGCCCGACTAATTTTTGTACTTTTAATAGAGACAGGGTTTCACCACGTTGGCCAGGCTGGTCTCAAAACTCCTGACCTCAGGTGATCCACCTGCCTTGGCCTCCCAAAGTGCTGGGATTACAGGCATGAGCCACCAAGCCCCGCCCAGGGTCCTAAACTTTCTATCAGTCACCCCCTCCTCTCTTTTTGCTTTGCTTCATCTAGCTCATCTGTCTCAATTATTTCCCACATGAACATGTCGTTAAGAAATTCTCTTTTGCTTTCCTGCGAGCCAAGCTGCCTAGGAAATCCTTGATGCATAATCTATTCTTCCTTGTTTACCAGAGAGAGTGGCTGCTTTAAACATCCCCCTCCTGGAGGGATCCGCTGGCATTCATCTCATCACGCCTTCATTTATCATCTTGTGATAGCATTAGTCATTTACATACATACCCTCGGCTCACCTTAACATTAAATAATCTCATGGTTCATAGCGCTGAACTAGTAAACTGGTAAGCAAAGATAGAGTAACGATTAACTCTTAGTCTTAATAAACAACTTGCTTTGTATTGAACAAAAAAATACATACAATCCTATCTGTTATACACATCTTATATTTTGGGGTAAGCAGTGGTCACCGTATCATCTCTATCAAATAGATAGAAAACTGAAGCGAAGAGAGGTGTGATTTGCTTAACTAGCTAGAGAAAGTGCTGAAAATAGAATTTGGGTTCCCTGGCTTTAATGTTCTTCCTACCACCTAATGATACAGAACAAGAATGAATTGGACCCACTCCTCACATACAAAGAAGGCTAAAAATGACCGACAACTTTGTCCCATTAAACATAAAATGAAACGAGATAGTATTATGCAGTTAAAATCTGGCAGTCTGCGGAGATCCTTGTTTATAAAACAAATTCCAATTTTTTGCATAGCTTGGCTACACAACAACCACCACAACACAAACTGCTGAGTCCCTTAGAGAGGTACCTCATAATACTGAGATATTGCTATATTCCGCTCAGGAAATACATAGCAGTAACTTCTGGCATTATACGTGGTAGATTATATAAAACATGACAACTGTTTGCGATTTTTCCATTTATTTGGTATGTTATGAATCAGAACAAGGATTTCAGGCCTTCATGCTTAAGGATCCTTATTATGTAGGAGGCATTGGCATGAGTCCTAAAATATTTAATCCAAGCAACTATTCACATTTTATATATAGCAACTGAAAACAGTGATAAGCTAAAACTGGTCTAGGTAGCAGAGAGAAGAGAAAGTATTTGAATAGATGAACATTTTCCCAACAGTTTTTTTTTTAGACCAGGAAATAAACAGCTTGATTTTTAGTGTGCATAGACTTAATACTGCAAACATAACTATTTTCTTGCAATGCATAAATATACTCTATATGGTGCGAATCAGATAGGAAATTACAATACAGTGGACTTCAGCTTCCTGGTCAGATAATTAGAGGCCTGAGGTTTAAAAGCCCAGAGGAGTTGAAGGGTGAGGCCATGGCACCAGAGGGAGAGGAGGCATTAGCTAGTGAGTTCTTGAATTTATCATCCTAAAATGTTGGCCACCAGCTGATGCAGCTGGAGCCTTGCTAGAATTGTTGGTAAATGAAACTATGTGCCTTTTTTGGGAGGTAGGGGGCTTGCAGGGAGGATGGTTTCATGCTGATTTTTTAAAAAACAAATATACCAAAATGCTATTGTTCTTTTCACTTAAAATGTTTCATTTTTACTTAAGTCTGTAATCAACAAAGGGATTTTAGGAGGCCTTGCTGAAAATATAGCTAAAGAAGTTCTTATTTGAATGTATAAAAAATATTTTTAAAAACAAGGTTAGCTCACTAGAGAAGTCAGATAGACAGATAGATAGATAGACTGATTTGGGATTGTAAATAATCTGTAAGTGACATTTATATTTTTCCTTGACTAGATTTGGAATTGGGAGGCTTAAACAGCTTTACATTAAATACAACAAAAGGGCAAAATATAGAAAGAGCACATACATAGACACACAAGAAATCTTTCTAGAAGTGCGAAGGAAACATGTAGTAAAGAAAATAAGGAAGGACGTTATTTTCTATAACAAAAAATGAAACAAGGAAGAGTGGACTTTACCCCAAATTTAAGGTAACCGCTGGACTCTGTCATTATAAGTAGTTATAACATGGAAGGTGACTTTCCGTTATGTTACCGTCTAACAGCTAAAATGTACTACGAGGGTTACTAGGAGCAAAGACTCCTATTTAAGGAGCTATGTGATATGTGTTTTCTAAGTATTTGCAGATAGATCTAGACTAATATGTCACTTTCTATTGGCAAGTCAATGTAGTTTAGTGATTTCAGAGTTCAGACTCTGGACCCAGGATGCCTAAGTTCACAACCTGACTCTGCAATTCACAAAGGATGTGACTTTGGCCAAGATACTTAAACATACTGTAGTTAAATTTCCTCATCTGTAAAATGAAATTAGCAGTAAAATTTAACTCAGAGGGCTGTTGATATTAAAGGAGATAATACATGCCGAGCAGTTAGAAATGGCATGGCACACAGTTGGTCCCCAATTAACATTATCCTTTATTAATTATCACTTTAAAATTATTTTAAGTTAATATTCTAGTTTGTTTGGCTACAATTATAACCATGAGAGTCAAACAAACATACAGGGACTGAACCCACGAACTTGACCTCATTTGCCCAGTGCTTTCAGGAAGTAAGGGAAGCAAACAAAGCAGAGAACACTCACATTGTGATCTGTCTACAGCAGCGGTTCTCAAACTTATTACTCAAGGTACCTTTATACTCCTAACTATTATTGAGGAACCCCAAAGAGCTTTTGATTATGAGGATTATAACTATTGTTATTTACCACATTAGAAAATAAAGCTGACAATTTAAAAATTAATCATTAATTTATTTTAAATTAACAATGGCAATCTTGTTACATGCTAACTTAAAATATTTATCTTATGAAACATAACGGTATTTTCCAAAACAAATAAAAAAGATGAGATGAATGGTATTGTTTTACGAGTCTGCAAATCTCTTTAATGTACGTATTGTTTTGGTTGAAGTAGGTCAAGGATACCAGTCTTCAGGGTACTCTAGAAGGGTCTCAGGGACACCCAGGGGTTCTTGATTGACCTCATGATACAAAGGCCTAACACCTCCGAAGAGAACATTTAAGCAAAAGGCAAGACTGAGCAGGAAGCAAAGTCTAAATAAATATAGTGCTACTATTTTTGCAAAGTACAGATCAGGATCACTCTAATCAGTACCTATTCATTGCTTTTCTGCTACCTTGCTTTAGTTCTCCTAGAGTCTTTCCAAGTGGCTATGTCCACACAGTCGAAATACTTGAACACTAATACACTTCCCCAGTGGATGACACTGTCCATAGGATGTCCACTTAAGGTCCTTAGAAATGACATGTGACAAATAAGCAACAAATTCCATTGCAAGTGATGCTGCCAAAAAGATAGCATGAGAATTCCTTAAGGACAACTTGTCATTGTTGCATAAACACAACTACAGATACAAATCCTCTGTTCTGGGAAACTTCTACATGGAAAATGACAGCCTGATTCTGGTCACTAAAATGGAAAGTTAATTAGAGCATGTTCCTTTCAAACATTTTTAAAAATATTTAAATATTTTAAAATAGTCTCTTGTTAGGACTAACTGGTAACTAGAAGGCCATGATTATGAGAGGCTGTACCCTTCAAAGATGAAGTTTTGCTTAAAATCTTAACAAATATTTATTGAATACATATTATATTCCAGGTTTTGGGGATCAAATAATGAGCAAGTCACAGTCTGTGTTTAAAAGTCTACAGTAGGGCTAGGTGCAGTGGGTCATGCCTGTAAATCCCAGCACTTTGGGAGGCTGAGATGAGAGCCTAAGAGTCTGAGATCAGCTTGGGCTGAACATAGTGGGGCCCTGTCTCTACAAAAAATATTTTAAAAATTAGCTGGGTGTGGTGGTCTACACCTGTAGTCCCAGTTACTCAGGAGGCTGAGGTGGGAGGATCGCTTGAACCTGGGAGTTCAAGGCTGCAGTGAGCTGTGATTGTGCTACCGCACTCCAGCCTGGGCAACGGAGTGAGACCTTGTCTCAAAGAAATAAATAAATAAATAAAAAAGTATGCAGTGTTCAAAATGTATCTGATCTTACAGATACAAGTGTTTTCAAAATATGACAATAATCACTGAATTACAGAAGTATGTAAATTTACAATATATCAAAATGATGTTGAGTTAGAATACAAAATAATCAATAATTCAAGACTAAATAAAGCTGAAACATATCCAGATTCTGAAAAGCGATTTTTACATTATTGGCTTCTACTTTTCAAACTGGTTGCCATCACTCACCGTCACTTGACTAAAGAAAAAAATGGCATTCACTACCCAACATTATTCTCTGGAAATGTTTGCGATCATGAATATCTACAAAGATATTCTTACAAAAATCTTACTTACAAAAGTAAAAAGAGACTCCTAAAATAAAAGAATTAAATTCCTTACAGAGTCTTATGCTTAACGAGTGATTATTAGTAACTATGAATATTTCCCTGAAATACACTGAAATTTATGTTATATTATCTAATTATATATTTATCAACAGTCCAATTAGAAGACACAGTTTAATTTTTATTACTAGGTTTTGCAATATATTCTGAGGATCATGATAAAACATTTAAAAAATAAACATTTGCATTAGGATAGAATTGGCAAACGTATTTACTTTGCGACTAAAAATGTCTTAACATTATAAAGAGAATGACTTCGAAAAGATATCTCATTATATTGTAAATTCTTTTTGGTCTTACAGATAACTTAAATTTGATTATCATCCAAATTTATAACCGACCTGAGGTAGCATCTTTATATTGTCACACAGAACAAATTTAGTTGGTAAGTAAATATTATATTTACTACATAACTAAAAGTTTCCATTTCAAAACAAACACTATAATAGTCTCAGCAGCAAAAGACAAGTTTTGTGATTTCTTTTTTTGAGTTTGACTATATAAAATATCCTACTTGCCCCCAATTTTCTTAAGTGAAAATCAACAATAAAATGAGGGATTCCTCCAACAGTTAAATATGTATTTATTACTGGATCAATCATTGAAAAATATATATATAACATAGGAAACATCCAAATTCAAAGATTTTCTATTTGGCATTATAGGGTAACTTCACAGGATTTAAAATTAATGCACATCAGTTGCTGTTGAATGATCTTATTATTAGCTACCTCTAAAATGCACACTAAAATTGGATTACATTTGGGCTTTGTTCAATATTAGAGTCTAGGTTTTTTTCATGAGCATTATTGAAGAGTTAAACTTTAAAGTTAACTTTTCATCAATCATTTATGTCAAAACTAGTTCTAGTTCTTCCATACAGAAAATCTCTAAACAATACTGTAAAAACCACAAGCCGAACAGAAGCAGCAGGAAGTATTAATGATCATTCATGAAAATGCAATTATCTACTATACCCTCTTTGCAAGGATTTTGTCCATAGTTCAGCTCATGCAGATAAAGTGTTCAGTCTTCCATTCAAGTCAGAGATGAAGGCAGGAGAGGAATAATTCTACATTTTCCAGCAAAACCCAGTACAGCAATAGTATATGCTACTCTGTTGTGATGGAACTTCTATATGATTCGTATCGGGTCAGTACCCTTCCAGAGTTACTGCTTACGGCATGATAATTTCAAATTCAGTCTGTCATTTTATTACACGTTTTTTCAAACAGCATGCCCACCAAAACAGAAAACACTGCACATATGGGCTGAGATCAAATGCTTTCACCATTTAGTTGATATATTCTGACAGGAGGCAGAAACAAGATGGTCTACTTTTATTTAGGCTTTCCTTTTGGATCTCAGATTTTTTAAGTTATTAATTAATAAAAGGCCAGAACTCTTCAGGTACATTCTTTAAGACTCGTTACAGCAAGCCTTATTGCTCAAACCCTTCCCAGCAATGAGTATTTCTCAAAGCTGTCTAACTATGTAATTTATGATCATGCATATGCAAAGTTTTCAAATCCACAACTAATGGAACAGAATACACATCAAAATTTAACAGTACAGTTTGAAAGTTTTGGATGGGTAAGTTGATTATTTTTAGAGTGATACGATTTTTAGGACTCACTTGCCAATATGCTTATATTACTAGTAAATTACAGTTGACATTAATGTCTGGCATTCATGCACAATCTTATAGCTTTATTACGAATCTCAAAGATTACCCTTAAAAACTCTTTCTCTGAGACACACAGAATGTTTATAAAATCTCACTTGATTAAAATTTCATAATTGTACATATGCAATATTGCCACATTCCATAAAGGTCACGAAAGGTTAATATTTTCGCAAAAAATATTCTGTCTTTAAGAGTACAAAGATGAAAACTGAATCCATTTAAAATAAAGATAAAAATTGTAAGTTTTCCAAATTGCTTTTTGTAACACTGTGAAATGACAGCTGTTTTCTCAAAACCATTAGCATGTTTGTCCACCTGATATTAGAACAAGCAACAATGTCCTCATTTTTATGATGTCTCGTTCTAGTCATTATGACTATTTCACTAAATGTTTAAACACAATATTCAGGAATCTAAGGTGTTCTCAGAGTTAGATACACTGATGTTAACTGTGTAACATCACACAGTTAGATGAAAGGATATAGGTAGAAACAAGAGATCACATGACCATTTTCAACCATACCATGATCTACATAGCATTAGGTGAATCCCTCAGAATCAAATACTTCAAAATTTCACAAACATAAAGCAAATATTTACTCCCTTTATCTACACAGTATCCCTTAAGGGGGAGATGGCTTACTATGCCAATTCTTTAAAATTATTAAACAAGATGACTTATTTATATCTATGTGCAATTCTATTAAGATGGAAATAAAATTACATTTTCCAACTTCTAATTACATCCTTCATCTACCATTTATATGAGTTTCAAAAATAAATTTTAATTCTATGTTTTCTCCCCAACTGTAAAATTTCATATTGCCCCTTGTAATTAATACATCAGAAAAAGCTGAATTTTAAAGCTGTTGGATTTCTCTTGAAAAAAGTGCAACCATATAAACCTTTTTACGCTCTTGGATTTACCAGGCTTTTCCTGCACTCCTAATCGCCCCCTGTCTTTTTGTATTTTGTTATGCATCCTCTTAAGGCAGGCCTTAGCTGAACTCACTCCAAATTACATCACAGGCAAAACATATCTAGAGTCCGGATCGGAACAAAACAGAAAGGACAGTCCATTGTCCTACACATATTTAACTCAAGTGATCCGTAGTGCAAACAGGTTAATTTGCTTCCTACCCAGCAACAAACATTTTTTAAAAGGCACAACTATTCAGGGCAAAACAGAACTTCTATAAGGAAAGTACATTTCATTTAGGAGCTGTAAATGCTTACTTGTTCTGGGAAGCTCTCTCCCTCTTCCACTGCCATTCTCTGTGGCCAAGTAAGAAACCTGATAACTCAATTAGTTAACACTTTGGACAGAGCATCACATCTAAAAATATCTGCCTTCGGAAATGTAAAGGTTTCCCCCACTTCCTAGGAAGGAGGTAGGAGCTGGTCAGAAGCAACTAACTAGAGTATTTAAATGGAGGGTGGGCGGGGCAGACAAGAGTACAGAATCCGCCTGGGCCCTTATAAACAGCATAGTACCTCCCAGAATTCCCCACGACTTACCATATTGGCTCTGTGGATTTAGTCATGATATGTGGAATACCGAGAATAGCAGGGCAATCAGCTGGGGATTGTACCCTGGCTTTCTGGCTGCTTGGAATTACTCATGAGACCAGCTTTTGTCATTCTGCTTATCAGCACTTTCCTCTGTACTCACGCTACTCTGACATTCCTTCTAAAGACAATACCACCATTTTCTCCTCTGTCTTTCTGGAATCCAGTCAGGCTTGACTTTTATTATTGGGCTTTTTAAACTTTTAATTTCCTTCTCTGTATTAGCTTTTCTAATGAATATATGTCTGCGTAGACATGTATACCTACAGTTATATACACACTCACACAGACACACATGCACACTCTGAGGGCATACTTTACTGCCGAGGAGAGTTACTTTACTAAACCAATTTCCTTTTGTCAAAGGGCAAATGCAACTGATGATCATCTTTTTAAAAATACAGCACTATGCCAAACTCATGTGTATAACCGGGTGGGAGAAAAAAACCAAACAACTCATTGAATACTTCCGATATATATATATATATATATATGTATCTGTGTGTGTATATATATATACACACTATATATAATCTATGTGTGTGTATATATATACTATATATGTATGTATGTATATATAAAGTATATATACATATACACACACACATGCACGCACACATATACACACGCACACATATACACACACATACATATATACACACATACACACACGTGTGTATATATACATATATATACACACACATGCACGCACAGATACACACACACACACATACATACATACACACACACACACAATATACATTTTTTTTTTTTTTTTTTGAGACAGAGTCTCACTCTGTCACCCAGGCTGGAGTGCAGTGGCAGGATCTCGGCTCACTGCAATCTGTGCTTCCCTGGTTCAGGCAATTCTCTTGCCTTAGCCTCCTGAGAAGCTGGGACTACAGGGCCCACCACCATGTCTGGCTAATTTTTGTATTTTTAGTAAGGACGGGGTTTCACCATGTTGGTTGGCCAGGCTGGTCTCAAACTTCTGAGCTCAAATGATCTGCCCACCTCAGTCTCCCAAAGTGCTGGGATTACAGGCATGAGCCACTGTACCCGGCCCAGATAAATATTTTTTACTTAGCTTTTTTCAACTAATACAATTCAGCTTTTCAGATATGCAACACTTTAGGCAACTTTTTACTGTTCTCACACTTCAGATAACTTTCTACTGTTCTTACACAAGAATCAGAGCCCTAAAGAACCCATCATTATAACAACCTTCATTTATATTTTATTTAGTACAGTTCTAATCAATAGTTCTCTTAAACCTTTAAGGCTTGAAGGAACATGACCATGGTAGGCTCAATTAAGCTTCAGAAAGATCAGTGTGTAAGTCTATTCACTCAACACATAATTTACACAGAGACTACTAAGTGCCAGACATTATTCTAGGTACTGGGGTACAGTGGGGGAGGAAAAACAATGAATAAAACTGAGAAAATCCCTATTTTTTATGAAACTTATATACACCAGCAAATGTGGGAAGACAGATGACAAACCATAAACATAATAAATAACTTGTTGAATATGTTCAAAGTGATAAATACTATGGGAATAAATAGAGCATGGAAGGGGGAATCATAAGTGTGTGTTTAGGAAATGGGTATATAGGCTTTAATAGTGGCAATAATGTCACAATAATGTAGATGGGGAGGATTTTATACAAAATATTATGTTGAACCATATGAAATTGCCATTTTTATAGTTTAAAACCAAGCGTATACCAGCAATTTTATGTGGATCAACATGATATATTATATCAGCTATTCATTATTATAATATCAGATATTATAATAACATTTATCAAACATGCAAGGCACTATATTAATTTCTTTACATACATTATTTTAGTTCTCACAGCTATGTTGTGAAGCAATTTCTCTGTTTGTGAGAAAGAAGCTAGAGTTCAGAGAGATCAAGAACTTGCCAAGGTCAGCAACCAGTAAATAGGCAGTATTTATATCTAATTCTACATGATTCTAAAGATAAGGCCACACGCTGGCAGCAAATAGTAAACGTATGTCTTCTTGACTACCATAGTATTTTAAAATAAATTTGAATTAGCAAAACAATTTTGAGCAAAAACAACAAAGCTAGAGCTATCAGACTACCTGGCTTAAAAATATATTACAAAGCTATGTAATCAAAACAATCTGGTATTGGCCAAAAAAACAAAAACAAACAACAAAAAAAAAAACCCAGACAATTTAGAACAATGGGACAGAATAGAAGGCCCGGAAAAAAATCTGTGTGTCTAGTCAATCGAACTTCGGCAAGGGTGCCAAGAATGCACAATGGGCAAAGAATAGTCTCCTCAGTAAATGGTGCTGGGAAACCAGGATATCCACATGCAGAAAAATGAAATCAGATTTTATCTAACACTGTATACAAAAGTTAACTCAAAATGGATTACAGGCTTAAATGTAAGACCCCAAACCATGAAACTATAGAAGAAAACACAAGGCAAAAGTTCTCATAACATTGATCTGGGCAATGATTTTTTGCATATGATGTCAAAAGCTCAGGCCACAAAAGCGAAAATTATTAAATGAGACTACATCAAACTAAAAAGCTTCTTCATAGTAAAGAAAACAATCAACGAAATGAACCAGCAACTTAGGATTCAGAAAAAATATTTGTGAACGATACATGTAATAAGAGGTTAATATCCAAAAAATATAATGAATTCATACAACTCAATAGTAAGAAATCAAACAACCCAATTTAAAAAATGGGCAAAGAACCTGAATAGACATTTTTCAAAAGTTGACTTCAGGAAGGCTGGTGTGTAAGTCTGGCCTTACAAATGACCAGCAGATATAGGAAATGGTGGTTGACATCACTAATTATCAGGGAAATGCAAATCAAAACCACAATGAGCTATGACCTCACACCACTTAGAATAGCTATTATTAAAAAAACAACAGATAATAAGTGTTGGTGAGGATGCAGAGAAAAGAGAACCCTGGTACACTGTTGATTGGAATGTAAATTGGTACAGCCATTAAGGAAAACAGTATGGGAGTTCAATGAAAAATTAAAAACAGAACTACCTTATGATTCAGCACCCCACTACTGGGTATATTGCCAAAGAAATAAAATCAATACCTCAAAGAGATATTTGCACTCCTGTGTTTGGTGCAGCATTATTCATAATAGCCAAGACACAGAAAAGAACTAAATTGTCTGTTGACTAATGAATAAAATGTGGTGTATATATGTGTGTGTGTGTGTGTGTGTGTGTGTGTGTGTATAATTAAACACTATTTGATCATAAAGAGAGATAAATCCTGCCATTTGTGACCACATGGATGAACATGGAGGACATTATGCTAAGTGAAATTAGCCGGACACAGAAAGAAAAACATTGCATGATCCCATTTACATGAGGAATTGAAAAAAGTCAAGTCTATAGAAACAGAGAGTAGAAGGGCTAGGAGTAGAAGAGAAAATGAGAAGATGTTGGTCAAGGGGTACAAAGTTTCAGTTATGAAAAATGAATGAGTTCTGGAGACTTAATACACAGTAATGTGAATATAGTTAACCATGCTTTATTATACTTGAAATTTGCTGAAAGGGTAGATCTTAATTGTTCATAACACACACACACACACACACACAGCAAAAAAATAACTATAAAAGGTGACAGATATTAATTAGCTTGACTGTGATTATTTTACAATGTATATGTTATCAAAACATTGGCTGGGGGTGGTGGCTCATGCTTGTAATCCCAGCACTTTGGGAGGCTGAGGTGGGTGTATCACCTGAGGCCAGGAGTTCAAGACCAGCCTTGCCAACATAGCGAAACCCTGTCTCTACTAAAAATACAAAAATTAGCTGGGTGTGGTGGCGCGCACTTGTAATCCCAGCTACTCAGGAGGCTGAGGCAGAAGCATCACTTGAACCCCAGAGGCGGAGGTTGCAGTGAGCCAAGATTATGCCATCACACTCTAGCCTGGGTGACAGAGTGAGGCTCTGTCTCGAAAAAAAGAAAAAATTGAGTTATATACTTTAAATATATACAATTTTTGTTAATTTTTACCTTTATAAAGATGGAAAAAATATTGAAATTATTTGCCACTGTTTGAAAATTGAGAGACTGCACATCAAAATCTAGAGTTCCAGTTACAGGTTGTTCATTATTCACTGCCCCTCTCCTCTTTCCCACCCCTGCTTCATTCATTTATGTATACAATCACCATGCACAGGGTAGGCACTTAGTATGTGCTGGAAACTATGCTTTAGCAGGGAGGCCTGGAAAACCATCACCCTGCTTGCTCTGTGCCTGTTTCTCAATTGACATACAGTGAGGTGGAGCCAGTCCTCTCTGGAAAATAGCAAATCTGATCTGCCTGTGGCAGGCACAGTGGGTGGGGGAGATAGTCAGAAAGGGAAGAATTGCCATGAGTTGATGCTCTGGAGAAGGTGAGGCTGGCTTAAAAAGTCTTCACTATCCCCATGCCCGGCTTCACCCAATTCAGATCAAACTCTTCCATAAACTTCCAGGACACACCCCAAGCTCAGCTAACTTCCCTGAAGCTGCAGATTTTGTTCTGATGAAAATTGCTGCGTTTTTTGGTCTGTTCTTTATGTCTGTGTGGAGCACCTTTGCTTTATCAAAATGCTGAGGGCCAGGAGTCCAGGCCTGGGGGTCTGTCCCTCAGATCTTGTAGGCAGACCTTAGTTCCAGCAACAAAAACCAGAAAATAAGATGTCTGGCTCTAGGCAGGACATTCGTGTCCTCCTATCCACCGAGACCTCCCCTAGGAACTCACTTGGGAGTTTAATCATGCTTACTGGCAAGATATTACTCTGCACATTTAATTTAGCCCTCTGCTCTCAATTTTTTAATCTCTGTCTTTAGTGAGAAGAGACAGCAGTTGGTTATCGTCTTTTTAAACACTCCATGCTGTTACTGAGTCATTTCCCTCCCCACAGTCTTCCCCACTCCAGGATAAATAATCCCTACTCATTCAAACTTTCTGTGGTGCTCTTGAGAGAAAAACACTCTACAATTATACGAAATAAGAAGACTAATAATTCCCATAATTGTGTCTTTCAACCCACCCCCTGGCCAGGACATTTTGTTTCTCAAACTACTGTCACTCATCTCAAAGATACTGCAGCAGCAAAAGGAGACGGAGGCAGAAGCTGAATCCCCAAAGGGTGAGCCCAGGCAGATGGGGAGGCTGGTGGAGCCTGAGCTGGGACTCTGGTGGATGGACTGAAAGTGCCGCTTTCACAGTCGGATATGGCGTTAACATTTTCCATCTCATTTGATGACAATAATACGCCCTGCCTCAAGGAAAGTCAATATGTAAAAATACATTTTTTTTTCACAGAAAATAAACTGAAGAAATCACATAACCTCAGAGCCCATTTAACTGAACCCCTTCCTTTTTAATTATTTCAATGGTTTTTGGAGTAAAGGTGGTTTTTGGTTACATTGATAAGCTATTTAGAGGTGGTTTCTGAGATTTTGGTGCACCCGTCAGCCAAGCAGTATGCAGTGTACCCAATTTGTAGTCTTTCCTCTCTCACTCCCTCTCAACCTTCCCCGTTGAGTCCCCAAAGCCCATTATATCACCCTTATGCCTTTGTGTCCATCATAGCTTAGCTCTCACTTATAAGTGAGAACATTTGATACTTGGTTTTCCATTCTTGAGTTACTTCACTTACAATAATGGCCTCTACCTTCATCCAAGTTGCTGCAAAAGACATCATTTCACTTCTTTTTATGGCTGAGTAGTATTCCACGGTGTATGTGCATATATATATATATATATATATATATCTATCTTTATCCACTTGTTGGCCGATGGACATTTAGGTTGGTTCCATATCTTTGCAATTGTGAATCGTGCTGATATAAACACGTGTGTGCATGTCTTTTTCATATAATGCCTTCTTTTCCTTTGGGTAGATACCCAGTAGTGGGATCGTTGGATTGAATGATAGTTCTACTTTTAGTTCTTTAAGGAATCTCCATACTGTTTTCCATAGTGGTTGTATTAATTTACATTCCCACCAGCAGTGTAAAAGTGTTGAACCTCATCATTTTTGAGATGAAGAAACAAAAGCCCAGAGTGATTGCATGATGGCATATTGTGAGTTGATATTGCTGTGTCTAGAATTCATAACTGTATTCCGTGAACAAGCATAAAGACTTAGGGTATTTATGAATGGTCCTCCTGCCCTGGCCTCCCGAGTAGTAGGTGTGAGCTACCACATCCATCTAATTTTTGAAATTTTTTGTATAGACAGGGTCTATGTTGCCTAGACTGGTCTCAAACTTCTGGCCTCAAGCGATCTACCCGCCTCAGGCTCCCAGAGAGCTGGGATTTAGGCATGAGCCACTATGCTCTGCCCAGCTTTTACATTTTTAAATGGTTGAAAAAAATCAAAAGACGAAAAATATTCTAACATGTGAAAATCATATGCCATTCAAATTTCAGTGTTCACAAATAAAGTTCTATTGAAACACAGCAATGGTCATTTGTTTACAAATTGTCTATGACTGCTGTCATACTACAATGACAGAATTAGCAGTTGTCAGAGACTGTTTGGCCAACAAAACCTAAAATATTACTCACCTTTTCAGAGAAAGTTTTCTGACCACTGATCTAGAACCAGGAGTTTGGCAGTCGTGGCCTCATGATATAGTTGTAAACTTTTTGTTATTTTTTTATAGAGACAGAGTCCCAGTCTGTCACCCAGGCCAGAGCGCAATGGCATGATCATAGCTCACCACAGCCTCATCCTCCAGGGCTCAAGCAACTCTCCCACCTCAGCCTCCTAAGTAGCTGGGAATACAGGTGTGTGCCACTATGCCTGGCTATTTTTTTTTTTTTTAATTTTTAGTAGAGATGAGGTCTTGCTAAGTTGCCCAGGCTGGTCTCAAACTCTTGAGCTCAAGCAATCCTCCTGCCTTGGCCTCCCAAAGTGCTGGGATTATAGACACAAGCTTCTATGCTTGGCCTATGATGTACTTTTAAATGAAAGGCTGTGGACTCCCATGAACCTAGAATGTTGTGTGATCCTGAGATTGAAAAAATGGTAGAAACCACACATGCCCCAGAAGAGTCCACTTACCCATTAGCTTTATATGACCAAAAAAACCCTACTATCTTTTCATGTAATAATTTAAAGCATTAATATCCTCTCTAGCCACTCTTTGTGTGTCACACATGAAACGCTGAGCCCCAGGACCTGGATTCTATATAATTTGCTCTGTTCAATATTCAGTAAAACTATGAAATGCTTTTTAAAAAAGAAAATGTGACAACAGCATTTATATCACTGATGTGACTCCTGAAAACTTGTAGTAACAAAATGTGCCCTTTTTCTTGTTTTCTCCCTTCTTTCAAACTAAGGCCATGACACAGACATTATTCAAAGGAACACATGGAAAAAGCAGCTCATTGAGCCTGTAAGAGGGCAAATGATCTAATCTACAAGGAAGCTTTTAAGCAGCCAATTAATCTAGATTGACTGTATTCAATATTTCCTGTGATCTTCATTAGAACATATTCTACTTTCCTTTATCAGCCAAGATAACAGATAAGACAAAGGATAAAAGAAAAGTTTAGAGACCCAGTTTTGACAGGAGACCCTTGACTTTGGAGGGAATCTGGCTTTTTTTTTTTTTTTTTTTTTTGAGATGGAGTCTCGTTCTGTTGCCCAGGCTGGAGTGCCGTGGCATGATCTCGGCTCACTGCAACCTCCGCCTTTCAGCCTCCCGAGTAGCTGGGACTACAGGCGTGCACCAGCACGCCTGGCTAATTTTTATAATTTTAGTAGAGATGGGGTTTCACCAGGTTGGCAAGGCTGGTCTCGAACTCCTGATGTCAGGTGATCTGCCTGCCTCGGCCTCCCAAATTGCTGGGATTACAGACGTGAACCACTGTGCCTGGCCGGAATCTGGTGTTGGATGTCTGTTGTTGGGACCATGAGGTCAAGGACTCAACAGGCTGAGGGAGGGGAGGAGGGAAAGTGGTTAGGGAAGCTGTTTCCAACTGCATTTTCTCTCCCATCCCTCAGGTCCTCAGCCCCTACCATCCAAAACCCAGCGATACACTGTCTAGGCAGGGGCACATGACAGTTACCTTGGAGGTTGCTTTTACTAATATGACTGATTCTAAGGTGGGAATGACCACTTTACTGAGCCCCCAGGAGGCCTGGTTTATCCCTAATAGAAAGCAGTCATAACTCCCCTGGCATTGGATGCCTGGGGGAACTTTTGCTTCGGGTGCTGTTTTTCCCACTGAGTTCATAGCTTCCTACTCACATTTCCCTCAAAATCTTGTAATCCAGGAGAATTCGAATAGTTGAATTCACACATCCTATCCTGCTCCCCTTCCTTAACTTTTGCAAATGGCCCTAGATGCAAATGAGGCCAATAGAAATAAGAAAAGATACAAAAGAATAAATCATGTGCAATAATAATGCCTTCAGGACTTCATACGTGTGTTCTTGACACCTGCACACTTTACAGCTAAGACATAAAAGGTGCTGTCCCTTAATGATGAAAGCATGCTGATTTTTATAAGCCCAAATCACATTAGGAAAGCCACTTTATTTCTTGACGATCAAACTGTGCTCAGTGTAGCCTGAAGAAACACAATGATGAGATATTTCTTCATTATTTCATATGTTCTTGAATATATAAATGTGAAGCATGCAAAACTCACAATTGATTATGAAATGATTACTTTTTTCTCCTTCTCTGAGGGGCTCCACTGAATGATAATATTCTTAGCTAGATGAACTTGACTATGTTCATTTCTGCTGTCATGCATAATAAGGGCTTGGAGGATTTTGAAAATGTAATGAACTCTGTGGGGTTTGATTAGCAGAAGAACAAGACCTTTAAAGTTGATGAGCTTACAGTTGTGCATTTGACATTGACACATTACTCCAGGGGGGTGTTCTGAAACTATGACACCAACACACATCTCTGGAGATGAATAAGGAGGTTGGAATAACTTGCAATAGGTAGTTTTGTCTGCAGTTTGAAAATTAATATACTCTGTTTAAAATACTTGTGATTAAAGAAAAAACAGCTGTAGAAATATACCAATCCCTTTAAAAATTATCTATTTAAAGCATCAGAAAAAACAAACAAAAACAAAGGTAAGAAACAAAGGAATAAGAGTTACATATGCAAAATCAATCATCCCAGAATCAAGCATTTAGCAGTTTTATAACTGGCATTTTATCAGGCATATATCAGTGAAATCAATTTCTTTTCTTTTCTTTTTTCTTTTTTTTTTTTTTTTGTTTTGAGACAGGATCTCACTCTGTTGCCCAGGCTAGAGTGCAGTTGTGTGATCATAGCTCACTGTAACCTCAAACTCTTGGACTCAAGTAATCTTCCTGCTTCAGCTTCCCAAATGGCTAGGAGTACAGTTATGTGCCACTATACCCAGCTAATTTTTTATTTTTTGTAGAGATGGGGTCTAGCTATGTTGCCCAGGTTGGTCTCAAACTCCTGATCTCAAGAGATCCTCCTGCCTCGGCCTCCCAGAGTGGTGGGAATATAGGTTTGAGCCACTGTGCCATACTGCAGTTTTTTAAAAAGTCATTTCATGAGCAAAACAGATACACATGTGCACACTCACCCGCAGGTTTCCAGGAATCTTCAATAATTATTTGATTCTAATTGCAGTGCTTTTATTCCAAGTTTTATTTATGGATGACAGATCTTCATCCACAAATAAAAGGAACAAACTTAGATCCTATTTCCAAGCACTGCTTTTGTAATAAACAAATACTCACACGCATTTATTATATGAATGAAAAGCACTATTATTCCAGAAAATTGTTCTTTGGACAAAATTATGCATGATTTGAATACATGAGAAAAAAGAGTGAATAATAGTTTAATGCAAGGAACTAAAAATGCATGTATTAACAAAAGTTCAGGAGATAGGAAGAGAACAAATTAATAAATCAATGTGACGGTGCATTAAGAAGAAAATCTAGACTTAGGAGCCGTAATGCCTATGCCAGACAGATCTGTAATCAATTCTAACACAAGTAACTCCCAATGTCTAAAATGTGTAGAAATAATATAATTATTGAAGTTACCTCCTCCTTTCTACTGAAATAATTTTTTTCCCAGAAATTCAAAAAGGAGGTAGAACTAAATATCTTCATTCATCACTCCTCTCTGCAATGTCCTTTTCTTCAACTCTATAAATCAAAAGGTCAAGTGGAGCAAGTCACATCACGGTCCACTACTCTGCAGAAAGGACTGGTGCATGTCATGTGTTTCGTTTTAAGGGAGAGAACACTTAATGACTCCAGCCTGCATTCCAGCCACCTTTAATCTCCCTCAGGCAAAGGATGAAGGGGGATTGGGGAGGAGTAGTCAGTTATCAGAGATAGGAAACAAAAAGAACTTCTCTCATTAAAATGCCAGACTTAGTGGAGAAAAACCATCTTCTGGTGGTGGTTGTTCAATTACAAAGACTTGTGGAAGTGTCCCTCTGCCTGCTTCTTTATCCCCTAAACCATATTAGAGGGCTGTTGGCTACTGGGTCAAAATAACATGCAATGAAACAGCACACAGATGAATGAAGAAGCAAGGAATGAAACTTTGTCCTCAGATGGGTACTGCCGAACTAGCCATCAAGAAAGGGCTGTTCAAACCTCCTAGGCTGTTATGTGTAGCCCAAACCTTCTGAATATTCCCAAGTCAAACCACTGAAATGTAACCCTACTTTGCTACACTAAATACTAAATGATTAGTGAGTTCCTCACATTCAGTCAATTAACTAAATAGTAACTAAGTAATTGGGTATATGGAAGCCAAAAAAAAAAAAAAAAAAAAAGAGAGAGAGAGGGAGAATAGTCCTAGTTCCTTCTAGAAAATTTTACTCCAATTGGGAGAATGGGGGAAGAATACTTCCCTGTTTTCTTTTTATACCTGACCAAATTCTCTGGTCTGGTCTCACCTAGTACGTCTCCCCTCTGCCTCTAATTTATGCTCCAGACACACTGACTTCTTATATATTCCTCCTAAAGGCAATTGTATTCCTCCCTCAGAGAATTTGAATTTGCAGTTCCCTCCACCTGGAATGCTGTCTTCCTCCAGATCTTTCAAGGCTGCTTTCTTCTTATCAATAGGTCACAGAATATGTATTGCCTCCTGAGAGGGGCTTTTCCTGGCCACTCAATCTAAAGTAGGTCTGAAATCACTACCATATCACCCTTATTTTCCAGGTAATACCATTTAATCAATTTCTCACTTATTACTGGTTCATAGTTTGTTTCCTACTTGCCTCCAGCCCTGTAGAATTTTAGTTCTTAAAAGCAGGACTTTTGTCCATCTTGTGAACAGTACCAGGAACATAGTAGATGCTCAATTAATATTTAAATGAATGTGAGCAAGCAGAATTCAGAGTTTGCGGGCAGGAATAAAACAGGATAGACTTGAGCTGGTTTTTGAGAGTAGTTAAAATTGCTAAAGAAAGATAAACATATCCTAGGCCAAGGGAAGAAGTCAAGCAAAATGAGTTCTGGAAGAATTCTCCATGGGAGCAGCTTCAGGGAAGGAGGAGAAGAAAACCAACAATTACTGAGCCCCAGTTCTGAGCCCAGTGCTGGGCTGGGTGCCTGAATGTCACAGCTAGAAATAATAAATCTCCTTATCCACATAAAGAGGCCTGATGGATGGTGACTGGCACAGGGCTTGGCACAGTGAAAGCTCTTGATAAATGTCTGTTGAATGCTAGAAATGTCTGCTCCTTATTGATGTGTTTACTGATGATCCAGAGAGGTAGACATGACACATGGTCTGTTCCTACCTTAAAGGGGTTTGGCAAGGTGGACACAGTCCTCTTACCTATGGACATTGTCAAGTCATAGCAATTCTGTCTTGCCTTCCAACTATCAAACATTGAATCTTAGGCCTAGATGGGACCTCATAGTCAGTGGGACCCAATTTTCCTGATAATGAACCCATACAGGAAAAACAGCTTGTTCAAAGTCACACAGCTTGTTAACAGGTTTCGCATCTCCCTTAATTACAATCTTTATTAGGGTTAAAAAAAGCTAATTAATTTCCAATATTCACAAATAAAGAGATTTTATGAGTTCAGATTTTTGCCCCTTCTTTCAAAAATCAGATGTTTTAAGCAAAGCTAAGCCTTCCTTTCCATGCAGCAACAACTGGCTGCATCAGAGCCACAGCTATGGCCTAGAGCTGGGCATTTTCTCTGCAGTTTGCTCTAGTTCTCCCTAGCCTTGTCTTGGTAAACAGTGGACTTTGCAGTTCCATGATTGAGAGCCATCAAGAGGCCAAACTGAAGACATCTGAGGCCTCCCCAGTGTGCAAAATAGGGTGGTGCTCTTGCTGGGAAGGCCAGTCCCGGTAGCTATGATTAATCTTTAGGGACAGGTGTCCTCTTCACCTTTGCTCCTTTTTCACAGAGCACAATACCTGAGATATGTCTGCAGAACTGACCAGAACAGAATTGAGCACGTCTAGTCTGGAAATGGCGCTTACTCCCAGGACCCTGCGGATAACATGAGCTGCAACTTTGTTAGGGTCAACACCACTGTCGAAGAGATATCCTCAAGAGAGTTTGGAGATTCAATCAAAGTTAAAGGAAGCCAGTAACTTCTGAGTAATATATGAGTCACGGGGAAAAGGAATAAGCATATTTATGAGAACCATGTGAATGTAATATTGTAAAATATAATTGAGATTGCAAAAAAAAGAGCCTCACTTGACTCAAGTATGTGCAGAGAGTAAGGAAAAAGTGCTGACTTCATGATATCATTAGTTTGTCTTTCCTGCAGGAAAGGATGAGCTGGAACATATAGATCTTCTGCTGTCCACAGCTTATCTCTTTGCCTGTCCTCCAGGGCCACTCATTTCCTCCTTAACTTCAGTCATCAATCACTCTATTTTCTTGAATCTTCAGTTGGTCTTTTCCTGAACTTGGCTCTCCTGCAACTATCAGCGCTTTCATAAAATATTCTTTTCTCCAGTTTCAAACCAAGTTCATTAAACTCAGCTACCCTAACATCCTCAATATTTACAGAAATGTTTAGCAAAAACAAAAAGTCCCAAATGAAACACAAGAATAAATAGTCCAACAGTTGACATTGAACAAAGTTTATAAATCACCTCTAATTGATGACAATATCTCATCTGTAACCTTGTCAGAGAGATTTATCCTGAATATCTCAGCTAAAAAAAATAGCACCTCCAGCCTGCATCACCCATTACCCTTGTCCCTGCCTCTGTTTTGTTTTTGTTTTTTTTTTTTTTGCTTACTGGCTCTTATCTCTATCTGAACTTATATGTAGCTCTAGTAGTTTATTCTCCATCTCCCTGCTAGAGTGTGCACTCTTCTAAGACAAAAAGTTACCTATTGGTTACTGTGGTATTCAGTAAATATTTTTTTGAGTGATTGAATAAATAACATTTACTACAGTGGTGATTCTGATTAGGATGATATTTTGAGAGAATCAAGTTAAAAAGCAAAAATTTTCAAAAGTCTTAGCTTTCATCAAGTGATGTCCAGTTACTGTTTTCAGTGTAGACAGAAACGCATAATGCTAATGCTATTAACTGAACACGGACAATATATTCCAGGCACTGCACTAAGCATTTTGCATTCATTTTCCCAGTTAATTTTCACCATACTGTAAAAAGTCATTGTTATTCATTTTATAAGCAAATCACTCAAGGGCTCTTTACTACTGTGTTATACTGGAGAGAGCTTGCAGGACATTAATCTCAACAGGAGTTAACCAAATTAACCCTTAAAATAGCAATTTTTCAATTATGTTATGTAAATAGAGCCAGGTCTAGGCCAGACAGGAAATGCAAATGAGGGCACACTTCTGGGAATCTGTGTTATATGAGTAGTACATGACTCATCTGGAAAGAGGATAAGCGTATTTCTGTGGAACAATCCCATGAATATACAACTGTAAAAGCATAACTGGGACTGAAAACATGAGCTTCACTTTCATCAAATGGGGAAAATTTTATGCAGAAAGTGTAGACCCTGATGAGTGAAGGTACAAACTCCATTCGAGGAGGACAGCACACACCTGGCTCAAGTTGACAGGTGCAAGAATGTGGATCTTCTAATAGTTCAAGAAAGGCTGTAAATCTGGATGTTTTAAAATGCCACTCTCCAGTTATTATATATTGGCAACTAATTTAAAAAAACTGGACATAAACTATGAAGGGAAGATCTAAAAGGAAAACGCTTGTGTTCTGGATCTCAGAGTTAAGTTAAAATTCACATGATTTTAAGTCTAAAGGTAAAGTTCTTACGTTGGCTTAGACTTCTGATACCACACAATTATAGAAATGTAGACGAATGATGATATCTTTCACTTTCTCATGGTACTTTCCATTAGAGTGGAATTTTCCAGTTTACGCAGCCCATTATCCACCCTTTTATTCTTTCCTAGTGTGGCTTAGCACTTTATAGGATGGTAGGGGTTAAGAGAGGGTCCAGATGAGTTTAAAACAGTCAGAACTGTAGGGCCAGAGATAGAGGGTGTAAGTGCATAAATAAGTAGTAGCTATGAGTTCTTCCTCTGATAAACAGAATGGATTCCCAACTTGACATTGTTTTTATATTTCCTAGAATATTAGGTTTTTATGTAAATTCTTCTTGAAAGTATTTTTATATTACCGTGTTTTAAAGTCTATGTAACTTTCACTGAGGTGTGCAAATGAAATCCACAGTAGATCACTGGTTAAATCCAGTAAATGCAATGACCCTTCCAAGAACCCAAGAAGAAGTTGGGCATAGAACCCAGCCAGAGCTCACTAAGGTTGCAATGATTCAAGCACTTATCAACTAAAAAGTAAAAACGGTCCAGAATCACTGATTCTGCCAAAAGAGCTGTTAGAAATGAGTCATTTGTTAAAATACTAACAATTAAAATGGAAATGAATTAGGAAATTGTCTAACCTGTCCACCTGTTACTGTGGAGAGAATGTTTTGGTAAAATTTAATCTGAAGATTTAGCTTCACTTGTTTAATTTTTTTTCCACAGGATTTGGGAAAGTTCAAAATATATATATATATACTGCCACTCTCTCTAACTTCTTCCTCATCTCAGCAATTCATGGCAGATTTACTGTGCCACGAGTGAGCTGGCCCCATTTGCTACCATTCTCTTCCCAACCAGCATGTTAAGGATTTATTTTAAGTGTTCCAGCAAGATTCTGCCAGCAAATATTATGAGCGATAAGGTGATAATTCAGTGTATTCTGATGGTTATATTTCAGGAGTGTTTGAAATCTCCTCAGCTTTTACTCTATGTGCTAAGGTGGGCTAATTGCAATGGAAATAATCACGAAAAATGCTTTTGGCTCAGCAGACAGCATTTCCAGAGACTCAGGGCTCCCTCAACATCAAAAACCTGCCAAAATCAAGGTTCCCCTGTGCCACAGCTTCTGTGGAGAGAGACAGGGAGGACTTGAGAACTCCATACAACTTGGTGAGCTATGAGGACATGCTTGTTAATCCTTGGATTCTCCTAATCTGCCATCAAAGGCAGGCTCTGGGGCAGCCTGGTGCTCGCCCTGTGAAAAACTGTTCAAGTAAGCAGAGACAGAACAAGAAATGCTAGGTAAATGTATGACACCTTAGCAAACTAGATGTCCTCACACAAACAAAAAAGCAGGAAGTCTCATGGTTCCCTATGTTAAAAGTCAGGTTAGGGGCTGACAACCTGGGTTTAAAGTTTGCTTGGCTCCTTCCTAGCTCTTAATCTTGGGCTAGTTACTCAGCTTCTTTTCGTCTTCTGGAGTTACTTCTCACTTTTTTCATCTTAAAAATGAGCATAATAACAGTTTTATTTGACAAGGTTTCTACAAGGAATAATTTAATATAATAAATGTAATATATACAATGAGGTTAATTAATGTATATAAAGTAGGCACTCAACAAATATTAGTTGTAATTTCCATTGTTATTGTTTACAAAAAGGAAGAGAACGTGGTTTTATAATTGTCCTTTTAGAGACACTGCAACCCTGTCTCGCATATGCCTATATCGTAAGTATAGTTTAACCATCCATATTCCATATGTTTTTATTTTTATTTTTATTTTTTTTTATTGAGATGGAGTCTTGCTCTGTCACCCAGGCTGGAGTGCAGTGGCACGATCTCGGCTCACTGCAAGCTCCGCCTCCCAGGTTCACGCCATTCTCCTGCCTCAGCCTCCCGAGTAGCTGGACTACAGGCGCCCGCCACCACGCCCAACTAATTTTTTGTATTTTTAGTAGAGATGGGGTTTCACCGTGTTAGCCAGGATGGTCTCGATCTCCTGACCTCATGATCCGCCCACCTCAGCCTCCCAAAGTGCTGGGATTACAGGCGTGAGCCACCGTGCCTGGCCCCATATTCCATATATTGTATGGACTTGGATTTGCACATGGCAAGGGCAAATTCCATCCATATACATGCATACTAACTTTTATTGAATACCTGATAGGTTTCAAGTACTTTGTATACTCAGAGTCCTACTCAGATGCCCAGGCTGGAGTACAGTGGTGCGATGTCTGCCTCCTGGGTTCAAGTGATTCTTGTGTCTCAGCCTACTGAGTAGCTGGGATTACAGGTGTGCACCACTGCACCTGGCTAATTTTTAAGTTTTTAGTAGAGACAGGGTTTTGCCACGATAGCCAGACTGGGCTCGAACTTCTGGCCTCAAGCTATCCCTGGCTTTGGCTTCCTAAAGTGCTGGGATTACAGGCATGAGCCACTGTGCCCGGCCCCTACTTGGATGCCTTTTTAAACTCCCTTGTGTCCCCCATCCTCCTTAGCCTGCTTGATTTGTTCTCATAGCACTTAGCACCTTCTATTACATCTCATAACTTACTTTTGTATGTATCTATTTTTAAAAAATCACTAAATATATGAAATTTGACTTAATGCCCATAGCATGTCTGTAAAGTAAGTATTATTATCTCCATCTGACAAATGAGAAAAGTTGCCTGAAATAACATCATCAGATATATGATGAGTTGTAGCTATGGCCCCAAACATCAACTCATGAGATAATTTTTTTTTTTTTTTTTTTTTGAGACGGAGTCTCGCTCTGTCACCCAGGCTGGAGTGCAGTGGTGCGATCTCGGCTCACTGTAAGCTCCACCTCGCGGGTTCATGCTATTCTCCTGCCTCAGCCTCCCGAGTAGCTGGGAATACAGGCACCTGCCACCATGCCCAGCTAATTTTTTTTGTATTTTTTAGTAGAGACGGGGTTTCACTGCGTTAGCCAGGATGGTCTCGATCTCCTGACCTCGTGATCAGCCCGCCTCGGCCTTCATGAGAGAATTTTGACATATTCATAAGATTATAAAAAAAATACACAAATGCTCCAAAGAAATGCCATTTACTATGCACAATTTATAGAAATGGTTTATTTTGGGTTATCTGTACCTATTTCATAATTTGTAAAATTTTAAGTTCTGGGATACATGTGCAGGATGTGCAGGTTTGTTATATAGGTAAATGTGTGCCATGGTGGTTTGCTGCACTTATCAACCCATCACCTAGTTATTAAGCCTGGCATGCATTAGCTATTTATCCTGATACTAGCTCATATGTTTAAATAATAGTTTTTCAATTATCTACTCAACACCCAGCTTTATAAACATTTCCTAGAGTGCCCTTCTTAACAGTTCACAGTGCATTTTCACTTAGACTATACAACCAATAATACATCCTTCCAAAAATTTAATAGATTAAAATTTGAATTTCCAAGATCAGACTCTCAAATCAATGGCTGTAGATAATGGGATCGACTTTACCTCACAAGCCAAAACCAACAGAGCTCTGACTTACTGAACATCCTTCATGACCACATACAAATTGACTCAAAGCAAAATTCAATTGTAATATACCAGACCAGGTAGCCTCAATGTCACAGGATTTAGTGGTTCTCTGAACTCTGGGAAGCAGAGTGCAAATTGCTTTTGTGTTTCTGCATGAGGCCATTGGGGAGAGGAGGGGGGATCATAATTCAACAAATTAAGAACCATCACTCCAGAACACCAAGAAGAAAAGGTCACTTCCTCGCCACCCTGCCCCCTTTCAAAACATTATCTCTTTTTTTAAATCTCCCTCTTCATGTTATGACACAAAACATCATCTCTTAATGCTGATAGTGATAGGATACTTAAATAACTGGATTAGAAAATTGCCAAATGCTATGATAATTTATGGAAGAAAACTTTCCTGAATCTAAGAAACACTGACAATTTCCCCAAGTGCCCGGTGGCATTTTAGGTTGCTGTGATCCTAAGTATGAATCCATTTGATACCACTGAATTCTGAAGAACTCTTCACTAATCAGCAGCGCCTTGCAGAGCCTAATGTACTTGGTAATGAGGACTTGCACTCTTGCTTGTTCACTACAGAAGACTGATGAGCTGGCATTGTTGTTGCAAATGATTACTAATTACTTCAAAATATTGCTGGACTGTAAATTCTTGCCTTTGAAAAAAAACACTGTTCACAGGCTGCTATAACAGACACTTGCAAAGGGCAAAGGGATGGTTCTAGTTCCAAGGCTTTGTTATGTTTTATTTCATTTGATCATCACTAGTACCTGAGATGTAAGGTACTCTGGGCAGGTTTATTATTATTATCCTTCTTTAATAGGCCAGGAAACCAATGCTCATAGAGATTAAAAACCTTTCCCCAAACAGGTAGTTGCACTAGAACTAGGCCTTTTAATTTCTAACTTGTTCTCATTAACGTAGTCTCCCATCATGACAACAGTAATAAGACAACACGACAAATGCCAGCCTGGGGAAAAACAACTGGATAGTAAGATAGAATTTGTTATAAAGAAATATATCGTCTATTCTGTACCCAATATTTACTATTTAAGCACATATTTTGCCAGTCCCCAAGATGCTTTAAAACACACCCATTTATTGATTCAACAAGTACCTAATGATCACTCACTGGGCACCAGGCACTACACTCCATGTTAGGGATTCAAGGAATGAAACCTTGCCTCAACCCACAGGTAACTGGCAAAGTGTTTAGAAACAGCTATGCTGTGAAGACTTCTTTCTCTACTTGGCCACAAAAATCTAACAAAATGTAAAAAAAAGTTACAGTATATTGATTGGCCTAAAAGTTCTATCTCTATCTTGCCCATAAACCATGCCTCTTCACCACTGATTATGACTACTTATAACCTAAATACTGTTATCTCTTTCCCTAGTCACCCCAACTTTCCCCATGACATTCCAGACAAGAGTTTCTCAAACTGGTACTCCAGAGGAATTCCTGGAGAAAAGGGACCCCAGTTTCCCTCAGCCTTCTGTGTCCCTTCTTCATATAGATCATGTCTAACTAAGCTAGGCTGTCCTTCCTTGAATGCCTTAAAACTTGTTTCTCCTCAGTTCCAACCACTTTCTTTCCTGGATTAGAAGGAGCTGGGCCTGTGCCTAACTTGTGGCAGCAGCCCTACTACCACCTACAATTTCTCTTTTGGAGTAACTTGGAACCATTTGCTTGACTTTGTCTCAAATCTTCCATGTGCTTTGCCCATGATGGGTACCTTAAGGCATAGAAATGCAAGGCTGGATAAAGGAGGGAGCTCACGGCTCCAGCTCTCTCTGGTCTTGTATTCAAAAAAGCACCATGGGCCTGGTATGGTGGCTCATGCCTCTAATCCCAGCATTTTGGGAGGCCTAGGCAGGTGAATCACTTGAGGCCAGGAGTTGGAGATCTGCCTGGCCAACATGGTGAAACGCTGTCTCTACTAAAAATACAAAAAATTAGCCGGGCATGGTGGCACATGCCTGTAATCCCAAATACTCAGGAGGCTGAGGCGGGCATGAGAATCGTTTGAACCTAGGAGGTGAAGGTTGCAGTGAGCTGAGATTGTGCTACTGCACTCCAGTCTGGGCAACAGACTGAGACTCCATCTCAAAAACAAACAAACAAAGCAATATGTTTGAAGGCTCGCTGTGTGCAGAGCACAGGAATTGTCTTGGTGGTTACAGAAATCTGAAGGGAACACACAGAGCATGGCACCACCTATAGAATGACTTCCCCATCTATTTTGGATGGGATAGTTCGAGTTGAGAGAAAAGGTTTGTTTGGTGCACACCAGTATAAAATACCACCAAACAGGGTGTTCTCAATCTGTGGAATACAATCCCTCCCTTCTCCACCACCCCATTTGCAAGAGTGACTTCATGCAGCAGTGATTCAGACTCTCTACTGGGTATGTGTAGGGTGACAAAATCCTCCCAGCAAGCTCTGTCACTAAGTCCCCCAGTCTGGTTGAAAATCACTATTACAGAGAAACTTTCTAAGCTTCCTTAGTAAAATCAGGACAAAAAGGTATTCCTTCCAATTACAATGATGCTATTTTGAACATTAAAAGTGGAAGGTGTTATACAAACATAATAATGATGTTATATAAAATCATAGTTGGCTGGGCATGGTGGCTCACACCTGTAATCCCAGCAATTTGGGAGTCTGAGGCAGGAAGATCACTTGAGCCCGGAGTTTGAGACCAGCCTGGCAGCATGAGACCCTCTTCTCTACAAAAAATTTAAAAAATTAGCCAGCGTTGGTGGCACACATCTGTGGTCCCAGCTACTCAAGAGGCTGAGGTTGGAGGATCACTTGAACTTGGCCGCTCAAGGCTACACAGAGACATGCAGTAAGACCCTATCTCAAAAAAAACAAAAGGAAAAGAAAGAAAAAAGAAAAGAGAAGAGAAGAAAAGAAAAGAAAAGAAAAGAAAAGAAAAGAAAAGGCATAGCTTACATGTCTTGGAACTCACAGTATAGCCTGGGAGAAAGACAGGTAAATATATGTGGACATGACCCAAACGGAAAAGAGTATCTTCCACTAACTCAGGGCTTACTCTCGCTAGGCATTCTACTCTGAACTCTGCATGTATTAGCTCATTTAATTGTCACAGTGTCCTCGTTAGATAGACACCACTATCAGTCTCACTTTATAAGTGCAGAAACTGAAATTAGAGAGGTCATATAACTTTGCCCATGGTCACACCGCAGAAGTGGGTGTCAAAGCTGGGGCTGAAATCAGCAGACTGACTGCAGAGCCCATTCTCTAACCACTGTGGAGCCCTGCCTCCCCTTTGTTGATCATCAGGGTCATGAGAACAGTACATTTATTGACCCTGACAGTAATTCACTTAAAGTGATTCTGGACATTTCAATTTTTTTTCAATATACCCACATGAATAGATAAGTTTCTGTAAATCTGAGCACACAGAACTCTTGCGGTGGGGGGTGCGAGCTGGCAGAATCCATTACTAAAAATGATTCCCTAGTTTTTGGACCTCCCTACTTTTGTAACATAATATTTTACTGTAGTGCCCTATGGTGATAAACCTTGAGTATCTAAAGTTGTCTTAGGATTATTTTCTAGTTGTATAAATATTTTTATAATAAAGACATTTGGTATAAGCTTGATGGGTTCTTAACTAATATATTAAGTAATTACAAAGATTCATTTTTTTACAAACTTTTAAGCTATTTTAATAAAATGGCTATAGACCTCACTATACTTCTATTTATCTGTGCATTAATAAAAACCTGTTAAAATTTCTTTAGTACTTCTGAAAAAGTCTAGTCAAATAAGATCACTAAAATTACCAGAAAAGCTTTGAAATACTGATTGCAGATTCATTTCAAAGTAGATTTAACACCTTTCAGGATCTGGTGTTTAAATCATGAATGTCTTCACCAACTTCAGCTCTGAAAATATAAAAATTTTAGCCAGTGCTGGCTATAGTTAAACAGTAGTGGTATTATTTGAAAAAATAAAAATAAAAAATATATTGTCAAAAAAAAAAAGACATTTAGTCTGGAAAAAAGCACATTCATCCTCCCCAAGCATTCTCTGTAGCATCCTTTTATCCCTTTCTTCCCCAAGGCCTTTTCTCATTAATCAACTTTTTTAAGCATCCGTGCAACTCTCTTAGCAGATTTTTTTGTGTGTTTAATGTATGTCAGACTCTCTTTTAGGCATTGAGGGTACAGTGACAAACAAAACAAATGAACACTGCTTTTCTTATAAAATTGTCTGGATACAAACAATTTTGAAATGTCAAATATTATACTATTCCAGAGGGTGAAAACCTATGGGGGGGAAAAAAAATCTAGTGGTTGAATTTGGGGTATATTTTAAAGGCAGATCTGCTGACTAATTGAGTATGAGGTGTGAGCACAGATTTCTGACCTGTAACTGGAAGAAGTTCTTCATTTACTGAGACAGGCAAGACTATGGGAAGAGCAGGTTGGGCATGAAGATCGTGAGCTTGGTTTGGAGCTTGTTATCATTGAGATGCCCATTTGACATCTATCTTTGGATATCCCCACAAGCAGACCTTGAGACACACATTTGAGTGCAAGTAATCTACCCGGGAGATGATCCCAGGAAACATCACAGGGAATTGAAGTGAGATGGGTAAGAAACGGACTCCAGTAAAGGGTGTATTAACAAGCCAGTTGATACCATAGGCAACTGGAACTCAATCTCTCTGGGGAACTCTGAGAAACAGAAGATACCTCAAAACAAATGTCTGTGCAGGAGCATAGAAGTCCCTGAGAAGTGAACGAGCTGGAGCATTCATCCTTTAGCTCCCATCAGTCACTGGTTGACAGCAGCTTATGGAGGGAGTTAACTCAGCCTCATACACAGGCCAAGTAGGCTGACTAGGCTCTAGTGCTAGAGAAAGCCTTCTGGCTAAGTTATAAATATTTACAACTGGAAGTCAGGCCAAAATGCATGGGAATTGTGCATTCCAAAGCAATATGGATGTTACAGCAGCATTGTTTATCCCGACATGTGGGTGGTGATTTTCAGTAGGCTATTAGAGATACACACACACACACCTCTAGAGTTTAGGGTTTAGGGGAGATGTCTCCAATGGAAATATAAATTTGGTAGTTATCAATATATTGCCAGGTTTTTTAAGCCATGAGAGTGGATGATATGACCAAGGGAAAACGAAAAATGGACAAGGGATATCACCTAATGACTGAGCTCATGGTTACGCCAGCATTCAGAAGTTGGAGAGATGAAAAAAGATCAGACTGAGAAAATGTAGCTAGCAAGGTAGGAAGACAAGCAGGAAAGAGGTGTCCTAGAAGTGAAGTGAAGAACATGTTTCAAAGAGGGGGAGGTGGTCAAATGTGCCAGATGCTCCTGCCAGGGCAAGTCAGACCAGAGCTGAGAACTGATTGAAGCATTTTGTGGTAGAGAGGCCACCTGTGTTCCTGCAAAAGCAGCATGGATGATGTAGTAAGGGATAATGTCGTTTAGAGAGGGTTCGTGAGGGACCCAGAGAAGAGGCTTGGAAGCAATGAATGTGAGCAACTCAAACATCTGACTATAAAGAGGGACACAGAAAAAGAGGTAGTAACTAGAAGAAGACAGGGGACAAGCATGTGAGATACTAATGGGAACCACCCACTACAGAGAGAAATATGAAAGCAGAAAGAGAAGGGAGAAATGCTGGAGTGATGTCCTAGAGTTGGCAAGAATAGATGAATCTCATGTACATGTCGAGAATATGTCCTTAGACATGGACAGTTGGTGCCAGGACAGAAGACAAAGTGCAAGTGGAAGGTGAATATGTGTGGCAGCAGGGACTTATTAGTACCATCATTAGCTGAGTGCTCATCTGGATCTCCAGTTTAAGATTTTACTTAGAGTGACCTAGGGAGTCTGCTCCTGCCAAGAAGAAATATTTTCTCTCTGATTACAATATTGCTCAAATTATCTCATTTCATGTTTCTGTTTCTCAGTGACAGTGTCCCTTTATTGGGCTCTCATTAATTCCCTGAACTTTCAACCTGGAAGGAGCCTAAGTGAAGGCTGTTCTCAGTCTCCCTATCTCACAGAATCCATGCAATCCCTCTAGAACATTTGTGGTAAATGGCCAGTCAGCTGCAGTTTGAAATCTTTCAGGAATGAGAAGCCCAGAGACCCGTAAGTCTCCTAATTTTTTTTCTTTTTTTGGAGCGCTCTCCCTTTGCCTGCCTAGACCATAAAATCTTTTCCTACTCTCACAATTCTAGAATATTCTCCATGCCACTCAGCGATTCACCAACCAAGATTATCTATTAAAAATATAAGGTCATTGAGCAGTAAAGTTGTGTTTATTGTGGCCACTGCTATATCCCTAGTGCCTAGAATAGCATATAGTAGTTGTTTAATAAATATTTGGTGAATACTGAAATGAGGTACTCCCAGCAGCCTCTAGATTGAGGTGGATATTCTTGCTGTTAAACAAACAGCTCATATTCATATCCTAGGCTGCTCCCTAAAATTATTTGATTTCCTTAGGGTTTAACTCTTAGCCCGTCACTACCCATAATGTACTCTGCTTACCCTGGTTAGATGGTGAACACTTGAACCAAGCTAGGCTAATCAGACATTTCTTCTCTGATATTTGAATCTTAATGACAGCAACAATGAATCTGAGTATTGTTCAGCTTCAGCTGTACCAGTGGAACTGCCCAGACAAGACCATCTGAGATAAGGTTACTGTTATTCCTATTTCCTTGGTCTCTGGACCTGTCCTGCTTCTTGCTCCCATCATAGAGGCACTGAATACTTCCCTATACATGGTTTTCACCTCTTTCTGTGCCTGTGAGAAGATTACATCTCTCTGCAGTTAGCAGGAGACAAATGTCCACTTTTGGCCAATGGGTGGTAGGTGGAAATTATACATGTCCTTTCTCAGCTGGAACACTTAACTGCCAGCCTGAGACCACCCCCCTGCCCCTCCACCACCAACCCAGGGCTTTCTTTCCTAGCTGCAATGACCATAAAATTGTAAGATGGTTTGGATCAAACTATGAGGAGTGGATTTTCATGCTCCCCATTCCTGACACCTAAAATGAGCAACACACTTTTACTGATTCTCTGTTTTCCAACCCTGGGTCTCCTGCTCCCCTTAGACACAAGCTCCTGGTATCTTTCAGAAAATTATCCTTTGTGAATGCTTATACACTGTTGGTGGGAGTGAAAATTAGTTCAACTATTGTGGAAGACAGTGTGGCAATTCCTCAAAGACCTAAAGCAGAAACATCATTTGACCCAGCAATCCCATTACTGGGTATATACCCAAAGGAGTATAAATCATCCTTTTATAAAGACACATGCACACATACGTTCTTTGCAGCACCAGTCACAATAACAAAGACATGGAATCAACCTAAATGCCCATCAATGATAGACCGAATAAAGAAAATGTGGTACATATACACCATGGGATACTATGCAGCCATAAAAAGAACAAGATCATGCCCTTTGCAGCTCACGGGTGGAGCTGGAGGCCATTATCCTTAGCAAACTAACACAGGAACAGAAAACCAAATACTGCATGTTCTCACTTACAAGTGGGAGCTAAATAAAGAGAACACATAGGCACAGAGAGGGGAACAACAGACACTGGGGCCTTTTGGAGGGTGGAGGGTGGGAGGAGAGAGAGGATCTGGAAAAACCACCAATGGGTACTAGGTTTAATACCTGGGTGATGAAATAATCTGTATAACAAACCCCCATGACACAAGTTTACATATATAACACACCTGCACGTGTATTTCTGAACTTAAAAGTTAAAAAAATAATAATAAAAATAAATTACCTTTTGCTTAAGAAAGCCAAAGCTGGTATCAGTTTTGACACAAGCCTCCATGTGTCATTTGACTCAAGATCAAGGGGGAAGTTCTGATGATTGCCTCTAACAATTTTCAGTGAGAGCCCGTACCTTACTTTTACCTCCAAATCTTTCTCTATCCTGATGTGAGTATCTATCATTGCTTTTTTTTCATACCACGTCTAAATATTTGAACTTGAAAAAGTATTTTTCATCTCTGGGTTCTAACGCTTCCTCTCCCTCCTTTCAGTCATAGTCTCCCTGGAAGACTCTCTGACCATCGCTGCCACCTGTTCTCTAAATGATCAGCCAAATCTCACAACCCCTCTCAGGGACCCTCCTACTGACACTCAGTGATTTAAATGAATAGGTGGATGTGGATTCCCTGTCTTCTCTCCTTATTAAAAAGTGAGCTCCCGACCGGGCGCGTTGACTCATGCCTGTAATCCCAGCACTTCAGGAGGCCGAGGCGGGCGGATCACGAGGTCAGGCTATCGAGACCATCCTGGCTAACACAGTGAAACCCCGTCTCTACTAAAAATACAAAAAATTAGTCGGGTGCGGTGCGGGCGCCTTTAGTCCCAGCTACTCAGGAGGCTGAGGCAGGAGAATGGCTTGAACCCAGGAGGCGGAGCTTGTAGTGAGCGGAAATGGTGCCACTGCACTCCAGCCTGGGCGACCGAGACTCCGTCTCAAAAAAAAAAGTAAGCTCTCTTAAGGCAGGGACTGGCCTCATAAAGCAAGTCAGATCTTTATTTTTATCGGAGCATGCAGCTTTCCTAAACATTCGGTGGGATGAAGGCATAAAAGGAAGAGCCAGACTGATTGATTCAAGTGTGGCATCAATGGAGGGCGAGGTGACAGTTATGACCATCCTTCACTTCTATGCCTATTCTTTCGTAGGTTCTTGGGCTACTGATATTCAGGGTGCACATGGATTTAGCAAATAAATACTTATGGAGATTGACTGTCCTCTCTCTTTTGAGATAGGAAGGGGACAAGACACATTTTCTCTTAGGTTAAGATAGCAAGCTGTTTTTTGTTTTTTCTTTCTAAGTGGACAGATACAATACATATTAATATGTAAATTTAGAACAGTGGGATGGTTGGTAAATACTGCCTATACAAAAACTTACTTTTGCACTGACTCCCACATTCTACTAATCTTTTCCTCTCCTTATACCGCAGTAAAACTGTCTTCTAGATCTGGAGTCCCTCCCTGTCCTCTTAAATGGTCCAGAAAAGAATAAGGGTGAGGATATGGGAGAGTGCTATGGGATTTCTTGGAAGTAAAAGAGAGGCTCAAAGGCTGTGTCACTTTAACTAGTAGACGTTCCTCACTCTTCCATGCCTTCTTTCTTCTGTTTGATATCTTTTTAGCATCATAGGATAAAACCTAAAAGATGCCCTTGACTCTACAGCTCCGCAGCCTGGCTGATCATCAGAATTAACAGGTCAGATTTAAAAAATGCCAGTTCTCTAGGGCCACTCATTGGACTTTCTGCTTTAGTAGGCCTAGTAAACTGTATTGTTAAAGCACTCTTCAGGCAACTGGAGTCTCATCCAGGTTCGCATACTACTGTTTCAGAGTCAAAATGATTTATTTTTAGAAAGGTGTGTGTGTGTAAATGGAAGTTTGGTAAGTTTGGCTGTATTTTACATACTCTTGGGTTGACATCAATTAAATAAACTCTTTAGTGAACATATTCTTAAAAAAAAAGAATCCCTTCTAAAAGGTATCCAGTGGTTTTCAAATTTGTCTGTTTTGTCTATTCAAACGTAGGCTTGATTCACTTAAACTAGATATTTCCAAGATAGGGAACTCAAGTCGATGCAGTGGTGACTTTTCTGAGAGACAACAATTGAAACAATGGAAGCAAATACAACAAGAAATAGAAGTCTAAGTGACATTTTTAATACCTTCAATCTCTCTTATTGAATTATGTAGGCTTATGAAATCAGTTATAAGATGGTGGCAGTTTTAGATGGTCAAAGACAGAGTTAAAAGTGTTATTGCTAAAGAAATAACATTAAATTTGGACAAATATTTACCATTAAATATTCATTGCATCTTTATTTATACTTAGGAGCAATTGTAAGCAATGCTCAATAATAGAGAAGTGATTAAATAAAAGGATTATATCTCTATGGTGGAATGTACTGCAGGCATTAAATCAATGTTTATGTACCTCTACACAAATAAACTAGAAAATCTAGAAGAAATGGATAAATTCCTGGACACATACACCCTCCCAAGACTAAACCAGGAAGAAGTCCAATCCCTGAATGGACCAATAACAAGTTCTGAAATTGAGGCAGTAATTAATAGCCGGCCAACCAAAAAAAGCCCAGGACCAGATGAATTCACAGCTGAATTCTACGAAGAGGAATTGGTACCATTCCTTCTGAAACTATTCCAAACAATAGAAAAAGAGGGACTCCTCCCTAACTCATTTTATGAGGCCAGCACCATCCTGATACCAAAACCTGGCAAAGACACAACAACAAAAAAAGAAAATTTCAGGCCAATATCCCTGATGAACATCAATGTGAAAATCTTCAATAAAATACTGGCAAACCAAATCCAGTAGCACACCAAAAAGCTTATCCACCATGTTCAAGTTGGCTTCATCCCTGGGATGCAAGGCTAGTTCAACATATGCAAATCAATAAACGTAATCCATCACATAAACAGAACCAATGACAAAAACCACATGATTATTTCAATAGATGCAGAAAAGGCCTTCAATAAAATTCAACATCCCTTCATGCTAAAAACTCTTAATGAATTAGGTATTGATGGAACATATATCAAACTAATAAGAGCTATCTATGACAAACCCACAGCCAATATCATATTGAATGGCCAAAAACTGGAAGTATTCCGCTTGAAAACCGGCACAAGACAAGGATGCCCTCTCTCACCATTTTTATTCAACATAGTATTGGAAGGTCTGGCCAGGGCAATCAGGCAAGAGAAAGAAATAAAGGTATTCAAGTAGGAAGAGAGGAAATCAAACTGTCTCTGTTTGCAGATGACATGATTATATATTTAGAAAACCCCATCATGTCAGCCCCAAATCTCCTTAAGCTGATAAGCAACTTTAGCAAAGTCCCAGGATACAAAACCAATATGCAGAAATCACAAGCATTTCTATACACCAATAATAGACAAACATAAAGCCAAATCATGAGTGAACTCCCATTCACAATTGGTACAAAGAGATTAAAATACCTAGGAATACAACTTACAAGGGATATGAAGGACCTCTTCAAAGAGAACTACAAACCACTGCTCAAGGAAATAAGACAGGATACAAACAAATGGAAAAAAACATTCCATGCTCATGGATAGGAAGAATCAATATTGTGAAAATGGCCATATTGCCCAAAGTAATTTATAGATTCAATGCTATCCTCATCAAGCTACCACTGACTTTCCTCACAGAATTGGAAAAAACTACTTTAAATTTCATATGGAATCAAAAAAGAGCCTGTATAGCCAAGACAATCCTAAGCAAAAAGTACAAAGCTGAAGGCATCACACTAGCTGACTTCAAACTATACTACAAGGCTACAGTAACCAAAACAGCATGGTACTGGTACCAAGACAGATATATAGACCAATGAAACAGAACAGAGGCCTCAGAAATAAAGCCACACATATACAACCATCTGATCTTTGACAAAACTGACAAAAACAAGCAATGGGGAAGGGATTCCTTATTTAATAAATGACGTTGGGAAAACTGGCTAGCCATATGCAGAAAACTGAAACTGAACCCCTTGCTTACACCTTATACAAAAATTAACTCAAGATGGATTAAAGACTGAAACGTAAGACCTAAAACCATAAAAACCCTAGAAGAAAACCTAGGCAATACCATTCAGGACATAGGCATGGGCGAAGACTTCATGACCAAAACACCAAAAGCAATGCAAAAGCCAAAATAGGCAAATGGGATCTAATTAAACTAAAGAGCTTCTGCACAGCAAAAGAAACTATCAACAGACTGAACAGGCAGCTTACAGAATGGGAGAAAATGTTTGCAATGTATCCATCTGACAAAGGGCTAATATCTAGAATCTACAAAGAACTTAAACAAACTTACAAGAAAATAAATCAAAAAGCAGGCAAAGGATATGAACAGACACTTCTCAAAAGAAGACATTTATGCGGCCAACAAACATGAAAAAAAAGCTCATCATCACTGGTCGTTAGAAAAATGCAAATCAAAACCACAATGAGCTCTCACGCCAGTTAGAATGGCGATCATTAAAAAGTCAGGAAACAACAGATGCTGGAGAGGATGTGGAGAAATAGGAACACTTTTACACTGTTGGGGGGAGTGTAAATTAGTTCAACCATTGTGGCAGACAGTGTGGCGATTCCTGAAGGATCTAGAACTAGAAATACTGTTTGACCCAGCAATCTTATCACTGGGTATATACCCAAAGGATTATAAATCATTCTACTATAAAGACACATGCATATGTATGTTTATTGCGGCACTGTTCACAATAGCAAAGACTTGGAACCAACCCAAATGCCCATCAATGTTAGACTGGATGAAGAAAATGTGGCACATATACCCCATGGAATACTGTGCAGCCATAAAAAAGAATGAATTCACGTCCTTTGCAGGGACATGGATGAAGCTGGAAATCATTATTCTCAGCAAACTAACCACAGGAACAGAAAACCAAACACTGCATGTTCTCACTCATAAGTGGGAATTGAACTATGAGAAAACACGGGCACAGGGAGGGGAACATTACAAACTGGGCCTGTCAGGGGGTCGGGGGCATGGGGAGGGGGAGCATTAGGAGAAATACCTAATGTAGATGATGGGTTGATGGGTGCAGCAAACCACCATGGCATGTGTATACCTATACAACAAACCTGTACGTTCTGCACATTTATCTTAGAACTTAAAGTATAATAAAAAAAAATCAATGTTTATGAAATATTAAATGATCTGATAAAAATGCCTAGGCTGTAATGCTAAGTAAAATAAACAAGATCTGGAATTATTTTTATAAATATGTATCTACATGTGTTATACACCAAAATTAAACAGAAGATTGGAAAAAAAACAAAACAAAATGAAACAGTGTTTTTCTCTGGTTGACGAGTTAACAGACGACTTACTTTAAAAAATTTCGACAATGGGATTGATTAAATTTTTTAAAAGTTAAGATCTCAATAATTTGGAGGAAACCCCCCTGTGAAGTTAAAACAGCCTAATTAAAAAAAAAAAAAAAACAAAAAGACTCTCATTGCAGCGAACTTGCAGGTCATTCTTCAAGCTTGCTTGAGGCCTAGAATCTCCTTCCTGCCCATCCTTCTTTCAAGGCAAATCCAAACAGGTCAGTCTTTTTGACAAACACACTGTCCTTGAGTTAAAATTTGCTAATCAATAAAACAAATTAATTTTCTCCAGGAGATTTAAAAAATAGTTTATATTTTAAACTAACACCTATTAATTTATTGCAAGAAGCAACCAATTAGAACTGAAGACCTGACTTCATTCAGAAATGAATATTAAATATTAAATTACCTTTGCAGAGAAACCATTTTAAAGATAAAATCAGAAAGAAATTGATTCTTTTCTCCCTTTAATTAGGTAACATCTTTTTTTCTTTTTTTTTTAAACTACAGACCTAGTCTCTGAGTAATTCATTTGAACAACTCATAACATCAGGAAATTTATCCATATGGCTAACTCAATTTCTTTTTGTCGCGGTTTAAGCCCATTTTCTATTGTGCTAACCTCAGCAAAAAAGGACATCAGCTAGTTACCATTCTCCTCATGATTAAAACTAATTAAGACATCCTTCCATCTCTGTCATTAGAAGCACATGCAAATGGGCATGTTTCCTTAATTTCTGATTCTAAATTGAGAAAAGTATAAAGAAGCAATTCTGGGCTTTATTCAGAACGACTAGCAATTTCCTGGTGAAGACATATGTAGCTTAATTATACGCATAATATTTAATACAATGTGTCAAGAAAATAGGACACAATTTCTTTTTAGAAGCTCACCTCATATCAAGTACATATTCTAATGCAAAGTATGAATTTCACAAAGGGCTGAGTATGTAGGTGTTGGCGCCACTGTTCTGATGTTAGCACCCAGCACTTATTTTTCTAACTTTTAGAAAAATGTTTACTAATTTCTGCCAGTTGCACCCCTTTGTAGTCACCTCCCAGTTGGCCCAGTGAGAGGGACACATGGAGGGGGACAGAAGGGAATGGCAAGGCTGCTGTAAAGTGACAACTGTCAGTATTGCCACATTTGTTTGGCAGCAGCTACTGAGGAGGAAGAAAAGGAACACAACAGATATTTGGGAAAGGCCAAAAATAAATATATAAATAAGAGCACCCTATTCTAATTTCTAAACAGTATTAAATGAAGGCATCAGTATATTTTGATGGCTCTGTTCCGCCTCTGAAATTGCTGCTATGTGGTTTAATTTTGACCATTCCAAGAATCGATGCTTTAAGATAGTATCAGATAAATCACTGAACCGTAAAAAGTGGTTACAAGACAAAAATAATGGATCTGTTGGGAGGATTAATAGAAATAAGAATAAACCACACCATTCCAGTATTCTAACATTAAGCAAATTTTAGGCTAATTAGCAGGGTCTATTTAAAGTGTGTGTACACATATATACCCTTTTCAGGCATTGAAGTATAAAAACATACAATTTTATAGGTTATTTAAAGTCTCTTTAATCTTTTTATTTTGATAAAGAACTATAAAATGGGACATATGGATATACATCTAAAGTCTCCAAATTTCCATAGTGTGTTTTTTGAGCATCTTTTTATTATTATTATACTTTAAGTTCTGAGATACATGTGCAGAATGTGCAGGTTGTTACATAGGTATACACGTGTCATGGTGGTTTGCTGCACCCATCAACCCGTCATCTACATTAGGTATTTCTCCTAATGCTCTCCCTCCCCTAGACCCCAACCCCCCGACAGGCCCCAGTGTGTGATGCTCCCCTCCCTGTGCCCATGTGTTCTCATAATTCAACTCCCACTTATGAGTGAGAACATGCTGTGTTTGTTTTTCTGTTCCTGTGTTAGTTTGCTGAGGATGATGGTTTCCAGCTTCATCTATGTCCCTGCAAAGGACATGAACTCATTCTTTTTTACGCCTGTGTAGTTTTCCAGGGTGTATATGTGGCATATTTTGTTTAACCAGTCTAACATTGATGGGCATTTGGGTTGGTTCCAAGTCTTTGTTATTGTGAATAGTGCTGCAATAAACATATGTGTGCATGTGCCTTTACAGAATGATTTATAGTCCTTTGGGTATACACCCAGTAATGGGATTGCTGGGTCAAATGGTATTTCTAGTTCTAGATCCTTGAGGAATTGCCACACTGTCTTCCACAATGGTTGAACTAATTTACACTCCCACCAACAGTGTAAAAGTGTTCCTATTTCTCCACATCCTCTCCAGCATCTGTTGTTTCCTGACTTTTTAATGATCGCCATTCTCATAGTGTTTTTAAAGAAAATTTTCTTTTCTACAGATGAACCCAATGAAAACACATATTATCCTGTTATTCTGAACCTGGGATACTATTTAGTTCTAATTATATTTTTTTATTTACTTCCATCAGTTGTCCACTAATGATGTATACATGTATTGGTTAGTTGTGTTTCATTTCCTACCTATGTGCTCACAGGAATTTCGGCAGAGAGCAGAAATTAACACTACACTAAAAAAGGTTAAAAATCCCAGGTGATGGCAATTGGGTAATCTCTATTAGTCTGTTACATAGACTCTTCCACAATGTCTGCAGTCTTGAATATGTTGGTTACTAATTATCTTATACTTTTTCCCCTAATAAAGATTTTTACCAACACTTAATACAATGAATATGGGCTTCACATGTTTATTTTGACCACATAAAATAATCTTTGTAATTTATTTAATTTGAAACTGTACTTCAATGACAAATGTTTCCCCTGATAAAAGTGATCTATATTAATAGCACCCAAAAGCCACCACACCACAATCCTCCCTTCCCCCCGCACCTCATAAAATATTTACTACCGTGGTTAAAATTTGCACTCTTAGCAAGCCAGCATCACTGTACTTTATTACATATCTGCCAGTTAGAGAGGTTCAAGTCTATCTAGGTGCAGAGGAGCAGAGCTGGAAGACCCAGATGAGTTTCCTGGGCTAATTTTCTGATTGATCCCAAGTTGCTGGGCCAGGGTCTCTCCCCTTGACTCCAGGAGGTTTAAGGGAAAGCAGTGGCCTTGCATAACTTCGCAGCAAGTTTTCTAATGTAAGATGATGGATTTCTGAAGTCTTTTATGATGCAGTAAAATTTTTCTTAGCTAAAAAAATGGGAAATGTTTTATCCTAAAATTGAGAACAAGAGCCCAGTACAGTCCCCTTCTAGTGATAAATTTATTATAACTTAGCATCTTATGGGCATAAAAATAATAATCTAAACTTGAGTTTTTTATTATTAAACTGGACTCCATGGGACAAATTCAGGAGATTCATGAACCTCAAACAATTATGTGCCTACTGGGTGTTAACGTATATCTGGAGTGGAAGGTGGAGTCTATCACTTTCATCAGGTTTTAAGAGGTTTGAAACACTGTACTGGCTTTATACGACCTTATATTTATATTCCCACTATTAGGCTAGTTTCAAGGAGACACTTGACACTGGGGCTAGGTCCTCTATTTCAACTTACACCATGTTGAGAAAATGGATTTTAAGAAAAATGTGCATGCGTGTGTATGTCTGGGGGTTAAGGAAATAGAAAAAATGATTACAATCCACGGTATGGAATGCTTCCCGAGTTTGCAGTAGAGACTCCTGGATGCTCAAGAACAAGAATGAGGTTGTGGCTAGTAAGGGAAGCGAGGGTTACTAATAAGAATCTTAAAGACAAGCTCTACTTCACATTCAATCTCCAAGCAGCTAGAAAAAAAGTTTTTGTTTTCTCAAAGGAATAAAGCTACTGTGGGACATTAAAAAAAAAACTGTAAACACATGATCTCTGCATAGTAGAGGGAATTTTTTTCTGGTAGGCTTTAACCAGGAGGTTGTTCTTTTCTAGACCATCTATAAAATTTTCTCTTCTGCAAATGAGAAGTCAGGCCTGGACCATTCCTGCTGTTTGGCAGGGTGAATGTGGCAGGTTGGCCCACCTAAATTGCAGCCTTTACAAACAGCTGCAGAATAGCAAACCAGGGCAAGACATCAAACTATATAAACACAGGCAATGAAGGCAATTTTGGAACTTAGGATTTTGAGCAACTACAGATGGAGTGATCAGAATTTTAATGAGCTCATCGGTCTTGACTTAAAAACTAACCTTAAAAATGGGCAGGTATGGCAGGACATCATCCATATCATCATTTATTATTGTTTCTTGAGGTAATAGTATAATTGATTTGTAAATTTTTAATTCATCTAATCCTGTAACAACCCTACCTAGCAGATTCTATTATTATGCCCAATTTACCAATGAGGCAAACAAAGCATAGAGAGGTGGAGACACTTGTCCAAAATTACACAGCTACCTCTAGGTGGCAGAGATGGAAAGCCAGCCAGGCTTAGATACAGAAGCCAATAGACGAGAATTTTAAGGAGCAATAACCGTAAGTGCCCACTATAATTCAGAAGCCCAGTAAGAAAAAGACCAGAAAATATTCTTCGGATGCGGAAGTTTGATGATCACTGGTGCATTATTGAGAGGATTTTTAACATAGTTTGGCGGGGGGGGGAAGCTGGTGCCAAGGAGCAGGCAAAAGTCACATTGGGGCAGGTTGGGGAGTCGAGGCCAAACTAGAGTACTCTTGCAAAAGGTGAGGTTAAAAGGGGAGAAGCAGGCATTGGAGGTCCTGGGGGCAACTAAGGCTTAATTAGGCTGGGAGAGAGTTGAGCATATTTGCAGGAGAATGTGAAAACTCTTGAGAAGGAGAAAAGTTTAAAATGTAAGAGTGAGAGGGAAGAGATGAAAACCCAGATTTCACTTTCTCATAACGTACCCCTCAATTCAGTAAATCATAGCAACTGATAGCTCACAATACAGAATGTAAACTGTAAGCCCTGGATGCTCTTCTCCCAGTGCATTTTTCCTGCAGGAATGCATTTCTTTTTGCTAGGACACAAACACATATACACACAGAAAAGCACAATGCCAAAATGGTCATAGTAGTTGCATATTTCGGGTATGGTGGAATCTGGAGATCTATCTATCTATCTATCTATCTATCTATCTATTTACATATTTAGCTAGCTGGCTTATCTATATTTTCTAAAATGAATGTGCATTTTAAGAAAAAGCTATCAGTGGTTTACTAAAAAAAGAAGTTAAATGTGCATTTTACGTAAGACAACTGTAAATGAATAGCCAGCATATCTACTGATGCCAGATGATGCTTTTAACTAGCTCAGACCCCTTTGAAGATTGAGAGCACCTTCACAGAACAAAGTGTATATTCAGTAAGAAAAGTACCCAATGTTTAGACAAAGAGAAGGACTCGTCCCTCGGACCATTTTGTGTGCATCTACATTCTCTTTGCGGTCCAGCAGATGAGGATGGCACCTGAATGATGAACTGACCCCTGAACCTGCTGGCCTGGCCTCTTGGTTTTCAGGCTGCAGAAAGGAATTGCTGCTCAGTGGCTTGTCATCAAGAAAAAGGCTTTAAAAAAAAAAACAAACAGTGGAAGATAAAGAATTTCTGTTGCCAAGACCAAATTATGCAGTGGGGCTCTCTGGGAAGACAGTTGGGCAGTGTGGGGACACTAACAGATGGTTTAATTATGAGTTGGACTTCGCTTTGGTTATGAAACAATAAGATAACAATGAACTTTAAAGTCCTTAAGTCCAGATGATCAAGTAAAATAGAAAATACTAGTTCCCCAGCCCCATGATTTTATCCTCTCCTCTTCCACTGCTCAAGGTAGTTCCATGTCTTCCATGTAGTTTTTTCTTTGCTGCCCCCATCTTGCTCCATTCTGTTTTCTGAATTCTCCATTCTTGCCAAGCCCTATAATCTAAGTTCTGATCCTTATACATGACCCTCTCTGTTTTCCTCCAAACATCACATTTTCCCACCATTTCTCCTTTCTCTTTTCAATCCCAGACTCCTACTTTCAATCATAGCATTTTCTCTTATCAGGCTCCGACTGAATACTTTCCCTATTAAATTCCATGTCTCCTCTTTGACCCCACAATCTCTTGAGCTTTCCCCTAGTTTGTCTTCTTAGTATGTTTCCCCTTCACTCTCAGTGACGTCTCTTTTATCTCATAATTGGCAAGCATGCAGCTTGCCCCAAACCAGAAGTGCCTGATTCAATTCCACAGCTATCCATTAAGCCCCCTAATATATGTTAGGTAGGTGCTAAGGCATACCACAAATGAATAAAGCAAGATATTCCCTGACTTCACAGTTTTATAAACATAGGTTAACAAGTAATTCTTATTACTCACACATCCTGGTGAGTGCTATAGTAGAAAAATATATTATTGGAGTACCATATTAGGAAAAAGCATTTTGTATATGACTGGCCAGTGAAGAAGCATTGAATTTATCCCATTATCTGATTTTATATTTGATTTTCCATATGACATTTCATTTGGCTCCACTTTTTAACCTCAGTCCCACTGTTTACAAATGCTTGAATTGCTGTTGTGAACTATGAGGAAGAAGCTGGATGCCTGACCTCTCTCACCTGTACTGAGAAAGATGTACCTGTGTTCCTGTTACTCTCTCCATCTCTGATTTCTTCCCGAGTCTTGGCTCCCACTTCTCTGCACTCTGAGGTTCAGTATAGTGTGAAACAGAGTACTGATTGACTTAAAGTACAAACAGTTAACTAGTATAAAGATTGGGCAATAGGCTAGAATAAACCTTCCCCCATCCAGCAGGCATAGAAAGCAGTACTCAGGTTAATTCAATACTTTAGCCAGTACTTAGACCATTTGCATCAGAATTACCTGGAGGACTTGTTTAAAACACAGATTACTGGGCCCCACACCTCAGAGGTTCTGATTCAATACACCTGGACTGGAGCTCAAGAATGTGCATTTATAACAAGTTCCCAGGTGATGCTGATGCTGCTGGCCTAGGAGCCACACTTACAAAATTGATATTGTAAGAGAAATGGGCTATAAGCAGACATTTCTCAAATTCAGTAGAATGCAGAAGGTCAACAGCATCAGGACACGTGCATGGTATGTCAACATGTATTGGGCAATGGAAATTCAAGGATGTGTATGACGTTGTGTCCCCCCAGCCCTTGTGGGAACTATTGCCTCCCCAATTCATCATCTCCCATGGTGATTTATAAGGTAGAGGAGACTGGGCTGAAAGTTCTCCCCTTTGATAAAACTGTGATACTGCTTTTCTAAATAAATCCCTAATTCAGGCTTGCCCTTTAAACACTTCCTAGAATCTTTTCCCCCATAGCGGGAGTTTAATCCCACATCTGTGGGAGTTTAATCCTCTGCATTGTGATGAAAATGCAATCTACTCAGAGGCCAAACATATTTAATGTAGAAAAATTTTAGTTACCTGAAAGTTTTGTTTGTTTGGTTGTCTCCAAATAAATAGGAGCCGTATTTGGGTCTGGAAGCCATGAAGTCTTGGGGAGAGCTTCACAGATGTTTGGTGGGTTTCCAAAGACAATTAGCATATACTCCAAGAGTGGAGTGAAATAGAATGTGTGCTTGTTTCTTTTCTTTGTTAGTACCAAAATAGATTTGTGTTTATTTGATAGAAAAAAAAAATTCTAGCATGATTAAAAGGTTCAGACATTAAGTGGTACATTTTGAAATTGCTGCATAGCTATATGGTTTCCACTAACATCTGTGGGAGTTTAATTTTCTGCATTGCGATGAAAATGCAATCTACTCAGAGGCCAATCATATTTCTGGATTGTGGAATAAAATTAAAATGTTAATAGAGAGATAAAGCATCAGCAAACCTTAGAATCCTATAACTCTTCTCTGAGGAAAGGATGGATACCATACGATAATACCTGTACATGTCTCTCTTAATTATAAACATGTCATCGTGTCCCATGCACATACCTATTTCACCATAATCCTCTCATATGGTCTCTGAATCAGTTCTCCCTGTCATGTAAAACAAGGACAGGCACTTCATCTGAGCAGGCTGTATGTGTTATCAGAAAAATATATACAAAGCTAAGTTTATATTCCAACTTTATCAGTCTATCACTTGAGGCCATTTGAGGCTTTTCAGTAAGGAGCAGAATATTTTCTTTCTCTATAAAATGCAAAACAAATGTATCTTACACTGTTTTTGAAAATAGTAAATGAAATAATAAAACCAGAGTAGCTCTTCTGATTTGTCCAGACAACTTTCTCCTCCCAGGGCAGGATTGAGGCTTTTGGTGAACAGAAAACATGAGTAGAAGTGGAGGTAAAAATACTAGGAATTACTGGAGCGGCAAGAACAGCAGCAGTAGCGGTACTAACTAGAATTTACAACGCGCTTGCTGTTTCCCAGCTCTCTGCCAACAAATATGACTTTTTGCAAATTGGAAAATAATTGTCACTTCCTCAAGAAAAGGTACTGATGATTACATGTATCTATGATGACAGTGAGCAGATTGATGCCTCCCTTGAAATGTGCAGTGTAGAAGTCATGCAATAGGAAGCTGCAGCCCTGGCTAAGCTTTCTGCATACTTTCTCATTTAATTCTCACAAAAATTTTCCATGTATGAAGAGGTACTTTTTAAAATTTTATTTTAGAGACAGAATCTTGTTCTGTTGCCCAGGCTAGGGTGCTCTGTTGCCTAGGCAGAACCTCTGAGGGTGAGGCCCAGTAACCTGTGCTTTAAACAAGCCTTCCAAGTGAGTCTGATGCATGCAGATATTTGAGAACCACTGGTCTAAGTATTGGTTAAAGTACTGAATTATCCAGAGTACTGAACTATAATGGCGTGATTATAGCTCATTGCATCTTTGAACTACTGGAGTCAGGCAATCCTCTTGCTTCAGCCTCCTAAGTAGCTGGGGCTACAAGTTGTATATATCCAGGGCCAGCTAATTTTTGTTTTTTTCTTTCTTTCTTTCTGAGGCAGAGTCTCACTCTGTTGCCCAGGCTGGAGTGCAAGTGGTGCAATCTCAGCTCACTGCAATCTCTTCCTCCCGGGTTCAAGTGATTCTCATGTCTCAGCCTCCTGAGTAGCTGGGATTGCAAGCATGTGCCAAAACACCTGGCTAATTTTTGTATTTGTAGTAGATATGGGGTTTCACCATGTTGGCCATGCTGGTCTCGAACTCCTGGGCTCAAGCAATCCTCCCTCCTCAGCCTCCCAAAATGTTGGAATTACATGCATGAGCCACTGTGCCTGGCCAGAGATACTATTATTACCTTTTCTTACAGATCAGAGAAGATACTATAGAGGCAGTAGTACAAACGGTGGCAACGCTGAGCAGCCAGCATCAACTAAGCACTTAATCTGTGCAAACACTGATCTAAACACTTCATGTGCAAAATTTTGCTGTATCCTCACAATGACTCTATGAATTCTATTATCGTAACCATTTTACTGATAAGAAAACAGAGGCTTAAGGAGATTAAAAAACTTGCCCAAGTTTTCAAAATGAGCAAAGTATTAGATCTGGGACTCAAACCCAGGGTTATTTGACTCCAGTGCAGAACTTCTAAGCCGTCATTCTGTGTTGGCTGTCTCTTATCCCTTCTAGAGTCTGCTCAAAGCCACTGCCATCTGACCACTTCCTCAGTCATTGATGCTGCTCCTGAGAATTCTGATCTTTCTTTTCTCTCCAGTCTTGACATGGGCTACTCAACTCTACATTGTTATTACTAAGCATCTGGGACATTCTGATTTCTTGAGAAAGTATAAAAAATGAATCAAAGCCAGTAGGGAGAGTTTCTGAAACTCAAATCTGTTCTTCTGGTGATTAGTCATGCTCTACTTTATAAGAGCTCATGTATCTTCTGGCTTATGTTGGTTACCTCCTCAATTATTATTATCATTATTGTTATTTGCATTCATGCCTTGTCTTCTGATTAAGTTTTTCAAGGGCACAAAACAGGCCTTATGTTTCCCTAGATTCTTCCCAGAAGCTACCAATTAGGGCTCATAATTAATTGATATAAGTAGATAATATCAGAGGTCCCACTAAAATAACCTAAATATGAATATTATTTTTATTCAGAGAACTCCAAAAGAATTGTATTCATGGTCTTGTTACATGGCAGGCTTCTGCTTTGCACTTTATCCACTTATGTGCCTGTCCATTTTTCCCAAGTAAAGAGGGGGCATTTAAGGGTAGAGATCGTGCCTGGTTCCTTTTTGTGTTCTGTTCTGTGTTTGGCATAGTGCTTTAAAGAGAGTCAGCACTGAGTGATTGGTTTTTGAATGAATGGTTATGCAAAATACACAGTTTAGTCAAAAGAAACCTAATTTTAGGTTAAAAATGTTTAGATTGGTTTTTAAGTAGACCACGATAGGGTTAATTCACAAGAGGCATAGGTTTTTTGTTATAATATCATATTTTAGGGTAAATGGTTGTCATCTTCCCAAAAAAAAGAAGTATCTCAATGGTGGTTTAGCTGGAGATATCTTCCAGAAAGATAAATATAAACCAGCTTCCTACACATTCATGAGAGGGAGTGGGTTTGGAAGCGAACCAAATTTGTAGGAGAAAAGGTAGGAAAGTTTCATTTGGTAAAAATTAATAAATATTTTTATTAAGCATCTACTCTGTGTTCCATTTCGTGTGCTTGCCTAGACTTTGCAGTATGCTGCAATATGACAAAACCTTTGTCCTCAGGATGGTATATTTTATCTTGAGAAGCATGAATCAGACTGAAATTAAATATCTCCTACACTGCAGTATTCCAAAAAAGTCCTTTCCAAAATAAAAAAAGTTTTTATTTCAGTAGATAAGAATTCGGATATTGAATCATAAAATTTTAAGAACTGGAAACGCACTTCAGGGGTTTTCTTATTAAATGAGTCAATTTGTTTTATTATTAGATGGCTCTGCTTTTCAGAAAGAAAATATCTTCAGAGGGGAAGGCTGGTTAAGGTTACTACTTCTAGGACAATTTGGAGGAAAACTTAAGAGAAACCAAGCATTTAGGAAACATGCATATCACCATCATATGATCTGATAAAAGACAATCAGTGAAGGGACACTCTGACTGAGGCAATGGTATTGGCAGTACTTAATTACATCATGGATCATACACATTAGCTCTTTGAAACTAATACGGTAGCTGAGAGAAAATGTATTTTCTTGGGTCGAAGTCAGGGCTAGGATCTCAGTGAGCAGTGGTTCACTAAGTCTGAGCATTGAACCAGACAAGTTAGGTAATAGGCTGGATGTAGAATCTAGGCAGAAATGAGGTCATCTGGATCTGGAATCGAGAGATCCTATATGGCAGTGCTTTCCAAAATATTTTCTACATAAGATGAAGTCATTGAGATAACTTGTGAAAAAGGGGTTCCATGACCCAGTACATTTGAGAAATGCTATATACCAATCCCTCTCTTGAAGATTAACAATTCTCATTAGAAACTAAAGGCTTTGATGAGTTCTACAGTCGTGTGTTTGTTTACTCAAGTGTCTCCCAAACTTACTTTGCCATGTTTTTCCTTAAAAACCTATAGAAAACACTTTGGGAAATGTTCTTATGATACAGTGTAAGGCTGCAGACCAAACACAGGCAAGCAATCAAGGACAGGAGGACACATACTCGTGGGTGAGTTATTAAGTCAAAGATCAGTCCTATCCCTTTATTCTGCAATGAATAATATTTATACAATCATCCTATTGCAAACACTATTTCCAATTTTCAGAAGCAATGTATATATACATTATTAGATAATTTATCACAGTAAAATAAAAATGTCAATAATCTAAAGTTAGTGGTTTTGCATTCAGCATAACAAATAAAATAAAAATTAATGGTTTATCTGAAAGAGGAAGGGAGGGAGAAAAGGGGGAGTAGGGAAGTGGATATCCATTTATTTTACATAGTACTCTCTAAGTTCAATGAGTAAAGACTTAGGAATTTAAAGTTATAAACGTAATCTCTGGAAGAACCAAAATTTCAAAAAACTAAGTGATAAACAATTGGGAGGAGCCAGAGGAAAGAAAGGGGAGTATAAGTAAGCTAAATCCTCATCTCTCAAAGCAGGTTGCAATAAATGGTTATCAGAGATGATACATAAAGAAAATATTTAAGAGTTGGGAAGGACTACCAATATATCTAAACCCAGAAATGATCAGAAATGGCTCCTCTGAGGAGTGAGAATGGAGACAGATCTAGAGGTACCTTTCTCTAAAGTTTGAAATTGGATTTTATGTATTAAGCAGTCATAAAGAGAGGTGATGACAGCGAGAATACAGTTGTGGGTGAAGTTTCTGTTCTTGTAAGAGTCGTGTTGAACTCCAGCATACATGACAGTCACCTGGAGGGCTTGTGGAAACACTGCTGGACCCACCCGAGCATTCCTGGTTCAGTCTGGCTGATGCGGGGCTGGAGAATCTATAGTTCCAACAAGTCCCCAAGTGATGCTGATGTAGTTAATCCAGAGACCACATTTTGAGAACCCTTGCTACGGCAAGTGCCAGTTCTGCACATCCATGGACCTGGGCCTATATTTTTCTAGCATGCTTACTCCTTTTTGAACATGTGAAGGGGAAAAGGGAGAGGCAGATCTAATAACAGCCTAGTACTAAACCAGCTCATAGAAGCAGGCCTTGCCTGCCCGCCATTGCCATTTTCACCTAAATCACTTGCTTCCAACATCCAAAATCCAACAGGTAACAAATGAAAAGAGAACACTGAAAATCACCTGTGAACTAATTTCAGGCCATCTAATATCATGTCTATATCTTAAGCATATTCCACATTAGTTAATGTTCCTAATTTCATATTCCATATTAATTCTTAATTCTGTATTCCACATTTCTTGGATGCTAAGACAAATGTGATCTGAAAAGGTACTTTTATAGCTGTAGAAAACTGAAGAATAAAACAATAATATAGTTACTAATCCAGATTATCCCGATGCCAAAGATGCTATGGGAGTGCCTAGATTTCACAGGAGATGTGAGCAATACAGACAACAGCTCTGTTTGAGGAACACTACAAAGACGCACAGCAAAGAGGTATAAAAAAGCGTTCTGCATCCCCAAGGTATTCCCACGCACACGGGCCATTATAAAGAACACTCCTCTTAAAAATGTTGCCACCACCCTCCTGAAAATATCTTTCATATTTGTTATTGGCACTAGGTACACAACTTCAAAACTCTTAAAAAATGTTAGATCAAAATATATGGCTATGATATTTTACCAAGAACAAGATTTCATTAGAATATACAACATTGAAAACAGAGCTTAAAAAGTGACTATCAGTGGGAGGTACTTCACTTATTTTGTAGCCACAATAGAATCCACAGATATGTGTATCAATCAAATTCACTCTGTGATCTGCAAATTCAAATGAAATATTTGGTTAACTTGGAAAGATGAGATTTAAAGAAATGTGTTGCGTGTGAACACACAGAATGGAAAGTAGGCATCATTTTGGGACACATTCATTCTGAAAAGGCTAACAGAACTTCTGACATTTGTATAGTTGGGTCTTCAAATACAGGCCCAGGTCCATGGGTTTGCTAGTAAATGTCCTTTTGTTTTGCCCCTTTCTTGCTGCATAAAGCTCAAAATATTGAATCAGCAGCCAATATTGTGAAACAAAGCCCAACTAAGGATGCTGTACATGTACCTATGCCTCAACTGAGCATTAAACTAGATTCATGGTGCTATTTGTTTTATTACTGTAGAAACAAAAAACTGCATTAACATTTTGAAAATAAGCAAATGGGGTCTGAAATATTACCTCCCAGCACAATTTATCATTTTTCATGTAACTCATTCTAGGTTTTTCCCATTTCGTGCATGTGTGTATGTGTGTTTTAATAGTTGGCATGCCATATCCCTACTTTTGTATTTGCTTCTAAATTATCTTATCAGTCACTCATCTTATTGGTCATTTAGATTACCTGTTACCAACATTTTGCAAATATAAAGAGTACTGAAAGGGTAATTTTTTAAGTGTAATTTTCCCTTTCCTGTTTGATTCATTTTCTTCAGATAGATTCTCAGAAAGTTTTATGGCTTTTAACACATAGTACCCAACACAAAATGGCTGAATTATATCCATTTAGGTGTATTACTTTCTTATCTGGATGAACTATGTTAGCCTTTTAGAAAGTAAAGAAGATAAGACAATACTAAAGCTCCAGTTCATTCATCCAACACATGTTTATTAGGAATCTGCTCTTCTCTGTTCACTGCTCTAGGTCCTCATGGATCTTACATTCTTGGAGAATATATTCATTAAAAATCACGAGTCTTATATTCTTAATAAAAATACTCTTTAAAACTGCATCTCACTTCTTTTCTGTAAATTATACTGGAGGCAGTGTTAAGAGGAAGCTGTTTGGACAAATGTGGTCCCTTATTAACTAGCAATTGATTCTAGGAGCATAGACTGATATGGGGAAGATGCCAGGAAGTCTAAAAACTAGTTCAAAAATAATTAAATCACTCAAGTAAATTTGGGAGTTTAATATATAATAGAGGTGGAATTTGAAATCAGTGGGGGAAAAGGTAGATTATTCATAATGATTGGGTCGAGAACATGTGGTTGGCCACTAGAAGAAAAAACAATGAAGCTAAGTTCCTTCCTCACTCTTTGTAACAAATACAACTTAGATTTCTTAAAAATACATGTATACAAAATAAAACCAGAAAACAACTGGATGAAAACATGGATAATTTTGCTTTGAAGCAGGAAATTCTAAGTAGGAGAAAAATGCAAAAGCCACAGGGAATGTATAATTTATACTTTTGTGTACATGAATATGTAACAGTTCTATATGGCACACAAAAAAGGTTAAAAAAAAAGAACAAACAAAAGGAAGTATATGCAACTTATACAACAAAGGCTGCTATCCATACAGTACAAAGAACTCTTAACAATTAAGGAAACCCTTCAATCAAAACTATCTGCAAAGGACATAAAATGAAATAGGCATACAAAAAAGTACTCAAACTTATAACTCTTTATAAATTCAGATAAAAACAATATTATTTTTCCTACTAAATTAGTAAAGATTAAAATATAATAAATGCCCCACATTAAGGAATAATAAACCTCCCATGTTAAGGAATACAAAGAGAGGTTATCACACATTGTTAGAGAATTATCTGCTTGCAGGGGATGGGGGCAATTCAGCAATTACTGTTGATGTTTTACATGTACATACATAACCAACTCTCATACTTTGGAAATATATATGCAAACATATATACACAAAAGTACACACACAGAGTAAGCTATGCCTCATGTCTTTTGCCCTAGGCCCAGAGTAACTAACTTCATTTTACCAATCATACAGACTTATTCTTCTGGAAAACACTGGTGGCTTGAATTATTTACAGAGAATGGGTGTTCTGAGCCTCACTGATCTCACCCTTTACTCAACCACTATTACGTCATGTTGTTTAGGCCCTGATATTCTATCTTTTATTGTTTCCTAATGATTTCATACATAAGAGTCTTTTAAACAACTTGAGACCATCTATTAGTAGCTTTTTTAGTTTCTATCTAGTATGTATGTACAGTACTGCATTAGCAAGAAATATATGATATATATATATATATATATTGCATTAGTACTACCTAATGCAGTACTGTACATACATACTAGATACATGTTTACTGAATGATTTGCACACTAGCAGGTGTTCAAAAATGTCATGGTCTTCAAATATAACAATTTATACAGGATTCCATGATTATAAACTGTACATAGAAAGACTGCTTGCTTAGTCTCTTTACCAAACCCCCCTAGTCTAGAAGAGTTTATGTAGATTTTTAAGGGAACATCAGCTTGATTAACTCTTTGCATGCTGAAAAGGTTAATTTCATCACCATGAAACTACGTAGATAGTAAGGTTTTCCAATTTTTGCTTGTGTATCTGTCTTTCTGCTTGACTATGAAGCACTTCCTTGGGATTGGATATTTTCAGAGCATGTTTCCAGAAATGTGAGTCAAATCCCAAGACAAGTATTTGCTGTGTGATGTTGGACAAGTCACCTAACACCTCTGAATCTCTGTTTCCTCATCTGTAAAATGAGGATAAAAATATCCTACAGGGTTGTTTTAAGGATGAAATCAATTGAAACCTATCAAAGTGCCTGACACTCAATAAATGGTAATGAATGAATAGTTAAGTTCCAAATTGGTGAATTGATACAATCATAAATCTATTGCTTTTTTCTTATATCACTAGACCTATTCGTAATGATATAAAGAGGTGTACCTTAAATCAATGGTTGCAACACTTTGCTATGCATCAGAATTTCTTTGTTAAGACACTGATGGCTGGGACTCACCCCCTGAGAATTTATCTTTCCAACAAGTTCTCAGCTGATGCTGATTCTGTTGGCTCAGGGACCAAGTTTTGAGAACCACTGCCTTAAACTCTCAATAAAGTGTGCCTGTATTTGGACCGCAGCTTTACAGCATGAGAGCATCAGATGGGCTCTGAGTCTCAGGTGTGACTTTGAACTTCTTAGCCCCAACCCCCAACCCCTCACCACCACCATGCTTTGCTTTGTTTGCTTGCCTTGTACTTGAAGTGTCAGCCAGAAAGTGGACTTTGTTTCCTACACTAATTTAGGGCCTTATATTCTCTCCAGCCTCATTGGCAATAGGATGAGGATGGATCACAAATTCTTTAAAGGGCCAAAGGAGGCTCCTCCATCTTGCCTCTGCTATTTCATACCAAACAGACTCATATTTGAGTCTTACATCTTTGAAACCCCAGCCAGCCCATTCTAAGTCTAGGTGACACAGAAACCTGCTGGGATGTAGGGTTTTAATTATTCATATCTATGTCTTATCTGTCATATGAAAGAAAACCCTATCACTAGCCAAAAAAAAAAAAAAAAAAAAAAACACAAAAAACAAAAAAAACGAACTAACTGGCTGTCTCAGGAAGCACTGGCATTTGAAAACCTCCCGGAGACAGCAGTAGATAGTGACTAAAGACACAGACTTAGGGTAAGATCGACTTGGGTTTGAACTTCAGCTCTGAAACAAATTAGATATTTAACTCAAAACAAGTAATTTAACTTCTATTAGCCTCAGGCTTCCCAGCTGCTAAATACAAATACATTACCCACTTCAGAGGGTTGAAAGATTCATTATAGTGTCTGGCATAGAGTAAAGCCCTTGTATTTGGTAGCGGCTAACAGCAGTAGTGGTGGTGTGGTAGTGGTGGTTTTTACACTCATGATACATTATATTTCTATTTTATAGAAGGGTACCTTTAAAAGAAAATGTGATTTCATAAGCCACACAAGAAATCAATTTATAGTAGTCTCATCCAGACCATATAGGACCACATTGTCTGGTACAGTAAATGATATGCGCATGATAAGGTCTCCATAATTGTACATTGAATGAAAGGGGTATATCCATTATCTGCTAAAATATCTTAGACTATAACATCAAAAGACAGAAGGGATGCTAAAGCAATGTGTACATCTCTCATACATATTTATAAGCTCTCTACTGCCATTTCAGCCTCCCCAGCATGAACTGTACTTGAAGAAGCCCTGCTCCAAGGGTGAGTAAGTGGTAACAAGATGGGCTCATGAGAAACACAGAGAGGGAAGAGCATCAGTACCGCCACAACTTAGTTGAGCAACAGCTGCTTGAAGGAGAAAAATGCAGAACATTTTTGCTGCAAACTGTTTAGTGTTGCATTTTGCTTTTCATTTGCTACTTGAACTTAACCTTTCATTCAACTTGTGATCCCATGAATTCAACCAGAGAAATCAGAAAAAGATCTTTTTCTGCAAGATGTCTACGTAGACAGCTTGAATTCTGGATTTCATCAACTACTAGAGAAAGAGTACAAAAACCTCATGTGTTATAGCTCTGGCAGGAAATTCAAAACTGAAGCAAATAGGAATTTTAGCTCTCATGAAAATAGTAAGCAAAGATTAGTTAAGGATAATCGGTTGATGCTAAGGAAGATAACTGCTTAGTAAACAAATCCATGAAATATTCAGTGCATCTAGAACCACATTTTTTTTTAAACATGAAAAACTCCAAAATGTATGAAAATCTTAATCCTTACCCTTGACTTGTAATCATTGCTCCTCATAAAGAGAGACTCAAAATAACTCAAATTCTTTGGCTACGAATAACTCTATTTATCTGCAAAAAGCCACATGAACCCTAATTCTTTCTAAGCACAAAGAAACAGAGGAGAGGATATATAAATAGTAGCAATCATTGGAACAAAAGTTGAAATGAGGGTAGAAATAGAGACTCCCACCCTCTGTTCTCCCTTCTAATAGGCACAAATATTCATGGAAGAATAAGAAACTTCAGAGCAACATGGGTCTCTGGACAAGTCATAATTTTTAGAAGTGAGTGGAGACTTAGAGGGAACAGTAAGACAAGAAAATAGCAGGGAAAGACCATAAAGTAACGGACTTGTCTAGTTAATAAGCATTTTCCTGGAAATGAATGGAATAGGATACAATGGTGAGAATACACACCTAATAGCTAACATATCCATTTCCTATATATTTCAAGTCGAGTGATAATCACAGTGATGGCCTCATTTATTCAGCACTTACTAAGTGCAAGGCACTACACGAAGGAGAGGCAAAGGCAGATAATGCTTTGTCCTTGATTTTAAGAAATTTACACTCTAGGAGGGGAGATAAGACAATGTATTCAATGTATGTAGATATCTATAATATGCATAGTAGAATACATAGTCAACAGCCAATAAATGTAGGCTAGCTAATTATCGAGCAAAATGGTAGCTAAAGGTTTTGGCTTTAAGGAGACCAGTTGTATACAGCAGTGGAGGGGATATGGGGGAGGGAATGAATTAGGAATGAGACAGCTTAAACAAACAGAGGAAAGAGCTATGGTTTAAATAAATGTGGTTGAAAAACTTCAGGTCACGAAAAGCTCAAGCAATATGGGGTCTTCTAACTCTTGTGATGTTACAAATGTGGGCAGACAGGACAGATAAGAAGTAATTTACAGAAGCTATTCCAAGTTTGTCTCATGTAATGAAGCCAGTCCCTTAGCCTGTTCAGGCCAATCCTCTCAATCCTATTTCCCCAGGAAAGAGACTCAAAAATCTAACCAAGAGATTCTCTTAAACCTCAGCTCTAATCGCTAAAGGAAAAGCAGCAGCTGTGGAGATCTACAAATGTAGCTGTTGCCAAGATAAAAGCAACTGAAGGTTGCTGGTACAGGCAGAGGGGAAATACCACAGTGTGAGCAGTTTTTTAGGTCAGCCATCAAAAAGGAAAAGGATCCCAGGAAAGGTGAGCTGGGTTCCACAGGGTCTCAGCAGCCCCTGGCTCACCAGGTGGACAAAGGTAATGATGCTGCTGCTGCCCACCATAGAGTTCCCTGTGCCCTTTGATACTTCCCAGGGCCACTGACCTGGCTGTGTTCCAGGAAGAATAATTTAGCTCCAATTACTTAAAACTGCTTTATTGGTTTCATAGAGAAAAAAAAAAATCTCCTAAGCCGACTTTTATAAAACCAGACAATACCATTCAGGGGGCATATATTTCCTCATTTTTTTAAAGAAACAATTGGAATTTAAACAATGACAAAGGCCAGGCTTACTTCTTTCTGTTCAGTGAAAATCTTCCAATTCAGTGCTTCCAATAGTTACTATGACCACAAACATTTAAATAGAAAAGATCCATTTAGAGATTCAGACTGAGAAAGTTTTGCTCCCAATAGTTAATAGGACCACAAGCATTTAAATAGAGAAGATCTATTTAGAGATTCAGACTGGGAAAGTTTTTCTTTGGGGGCAATCACTCAGAAAATAAAACAACAAGGGGTAAAGTCCTGGTTCCCCTTCCTTCACTATCTTCTACCCCCAAATCTGCCCATAACCAGTCAATAACCCCTCAGATGCACGCTAATGGCAGTCACCCAGAACGTACATCTGCTGTGTTTATGAGACTTGCTTTGACATAGAACTGCCAAGTCTAGAATTATTCACTTCAGTGCTATCACAGACTGCTCCATCCCAGGGCAGGAGCATTGGGGAAGTTCCTTATTTGAAGAAGAAAAATAAAAGACTACTCATTTGCATTTTTTAGTCCAGCTTCTTTTATTAAAACACAAACTACCGGACCATGTAAAGGTGTTAAGTTCTATTTTGAACTTTATTGGGAAACTGTATGACAGGCTCAGGTAGAAGTGCAGCTACCTACAATTCAGACTCTGAAACAATCAAGACAAGTCACAGGGAATTTAATGGGGACTGGGCAGCCACAGATGGGCAGAGGATCACTGCTTAGGCCATCGGGGTCTCAGAGAACAGTTCAGCAAGAACCCAGAATGTAAAGGTACACCTCCCTGTTACTTTTAAAATTTCTTTCTAATAAGGATTATAAAACAAGTACCTCAGATAACAATGCATTAAAAAGACCAAGAAATGCATTTAGAATGAAAAAAAAAATACCACTATAAAAGTATAAGTGCACAATGGAAATTTATTCTCATGTTCATTTGAATTCTGTATTAAAATAAATAGCAAGGCCAGCACGCAGTGGCTCATGCTGATAATCCCAGCTCTTCAGGAGGCTGACACAGGCAGACACCTGAAGTTGGGAGTTCGAGACCAGTCTGGCAAACATGGTGAAACCGTGTCTCTTCTAAAAATACCAAAAATTAGTCAGGCATGGTGAGGTGCTTGCAAGTCCAGCTACTCAGGAGTCTGAGGCATGAGAATTGCTTGAGCCCAGGAGGCGGAGGGGTGCAGTGAGCTGTGATCACGCCACTGTACTCCATCCAGCCTGGGTGACACAGCAAGACTCCGTCTCAAATAAATAGCAAATTGAAAAACAAAACAGAAACTCTTTCTCACTTGTGATAATAAAGTCCTTGCTGAAGGTTTGCCTTTGGACTTCATTCACTCATGCACATAAACACAGATGCTAGTCCTGAACACGCTATGGGACTGGCTAAAGTAAGAGCTCTCATTTAGACAGATGTATAATCTAATTTCAGTTACTGCAGCACTTAGAAGTTCAAGTTAATTGGTAGCTGTGGAAGTATGATACCAGATCCAAGGAAACTATGGTGTTTGGCATACATTGGTATTATCATGGCCCCTGAGAGCACAGGTGAGAACTTCCTATGATGTTCTTCAGAATAACTCTACACCATCCTTGGACTCTCTTTCAACTCTTCCAACACATGTTTCTCCTCTCCTTACTTTCATTCCCAAAAGAACAGAGGGTAAAGTTCTTAGCAAGTAGAAGATGTAAGTGTTGAGCCATTTACTTTTCTATTTCTACTTAGAAACTAAAATTTGAAGACTCAAGGATGGTAAGTTCTATGTTGTGCTATGTATATGTGCACAGTACAGTTAAATTATACTTGTATTTAGCGTGAGTAAATGGAACTAGACTCTCTTAGGAGAGGGAGGGAAAAAAGAGGCAAAAAGGGATGGAGAAAGAGAGAGAATATGAAGAAACAAATGAAAAATAGGAGGTGTGAATTTTTTGTCTTTTTCTTTTGTTGAGACAGGGTCTCACTCTGTCACCCCGGCTGGAGTGCAGAGGCGTGATCTCGGCTCACTGCATTCTCCACCTCCCCAGCTCAGGCCATCCTCCCACCTCGGACCACAAATAGCTGGGGCTAAAGGTGCACCATCACACCTGGCTAATTTTTGTTTTGTTTTTTTTTTTTTTTTTAGAGACTGGGTTTCACTATGTTGCGCAGGCTGGTCTCAAACCCCTGAGCTCAAGCGATCCACCTGCCTCAGCCTCCCAAAATGCTGGGATTACAGGCATGAGCCACGGTGCCTGGAGGAACTGTGAATCTTAAATCTAGTATTTCTTTAGTCCATGAGTTCACCATAACTCTTGTAATATGCACTGTAATAAGCCATGAATAGAATATCTTTTCATTACTTATTTTAATTATAAGCCCCTGTGTCAAACTTTCCTTGGTTACCCCTGCCTAACACAGGTCTTTAGATTCTCATACTATTTACTGCCTATAGGATTTCCTGCCACACAATCTTCCTTTTGTCATTAATTTTGCTCATTAACAGAAACTGAGCCTACTCTCCTGTGAGGGAACTCTGTTTTGAAGATGCTAGATGTAGTTAAGACCTTTGGCCCACTGCCCCAGCTGAACAGCCGAGGCAGAAGATAACAGGCGCCATCTCTCATTCTATTCCCTGCATGTGCTGTTGCTTGTTCTGGGGAAAGGGGAAACCAGGAACATTCAGTAACCACTAAAGGAATACAAAGATCACACGGGCAGTTTTTAGAATGAAGACCAATTCTAAAATAAACATTGCCTCAGAAACCTACTGTTTCACCCCACTAACCTTTGACTCAATTCTCTTAGGATTCCCCAGGGAGATCCCAGCCTGTTAATTTTCCCCAGTAGTTGTCAGCAGGCAGGGCCAGCAGAGCTACGTGCATTGTTATCAGCTCAGCCTGTGACCAGGCACGAAATGGCTGTGCTTGGCTTGCGCATCTCCATATCCACGTGCAGTCCATGATGTCATGGAGGCCGTGTTGCCTCCTGCACAGCATTGTATACTATCTATCAAAGTTGAATAAATAGCCCAGTTTTCAGTTCCATCCCACCTTCTCCAATACAATCAGCTAGACTTGACCACTGAGTACTTTGTGAATTGTGAATTGTTTCAGAATTGTGAAAATCAAGCCTTAGAGTTTAGGCGATTCTTCCCTTCCCCCAAGATGCATGGCACATCTGCCACAAGAAATGTGAGAGAAGATCTGAGAAACCTTTAAGTCTGAGTGCTTCCCAAGATGCATGGCACATCTGCCACAAGAAATGTGAGAGAAGATCTGAGAAACCTTTAAGTCTGAGTGCTTTATGCCTTTTGATAACTGAATGGTTCTCCAGGAATTATAGCTGTCTTTAAAGACACAAGATGGATTACATCTTCACCTGCTTGAAACGCTGTCTTCAGTAGTAAACTGCTTTCATTACCACAAAAAAAGACAGATACTATCTTCAAACTCAATAGAATACTGAATTTGATATTGTCTAGTAAGTCCTTAATGAAAAATAACCAAACCAGTGTTGTTTTTTAATAACACTTTCCAAATAAACCAGAGTTAAGAACAGCAGTTAGGAAACCGTTTGCTGCCATTTCACTTGCAAATCCCAGAAATAAAGAACATATAACATAAAAATAGCTCTTGCCCCAGTTCTTCCTGGCTCTTGCTTACTGATAAGGAGAGGGAAGATAAGATGCAAGTTGTGTTTAATGTTAATTCCTTGTTTTTATCCTATTTTAGAAGAACTACCCCCCTACAATGCAGTTGTATAAAAAGTGGAATGTTATTATAATACACGTTTATCTTATGCTTATGAATTTTTAAATATAAGAAAAATTTTCTTTTGTATTTTTTGATATTGATGGTTTTGAATTTTCCAGAGAATTCCACATTTGGTATTTCTGCTAAATAAATACCCTGAGTCTGATCATCTCCATAGTTAACTTTACAACTAAAAGATTTTGTTTCCTTGCTTAATCTAAGGACAGCTTACAAATTTATTTTATCAAGACTATTTATAGTATATAATTTAGCCACTTAAGAAATAGTACATAAGAAAAAAGACTAGAAGGAAATATGCTACATTGTTAACAATGTTTAATCCCGGGTATTGAGGCTATTCATGATTGCTATTTTCTTCTTTTTATAATCTGTATTGCTAATTTTTTCTTTCAATAATCTACATTTCTCATAATTTTCAAGATTTACAAACCAACAAATGAAAAACAATGGTATTCTCCAAAAAGTTTAATTGAAACAAAAACAAAACCTTATCAAAAAGTCAACACCTTTACTTCCTTCTCAAAGACCTAAAAGGGAGGAAAATCAGTGATCATTTTTTTTTTAAACCTAAGTTTAGCTTTTGTGCCACTGTCTTGAATAGCCTGTTCCCTCGGGATCCTTTAGTGGCACCACTAGTTTTTATTGGATTGTCATTGCCCATGACCTTGTTGGACAGAGCTAGGAGATTGGGCAAAGTTCTTCCATATGGCTTTATCACTTTTAGTCACTATGAGGTATCTGAAGCCAAAAATAGTTTGGAAAACATTGCTCTCATTGAGGAAAAAGACAAGCTGGCTGAACAACCAAAGGCTCCCCCTTCTAACCTACTCACAAAAGACCATGAAGTGCTCGCTCACCTCCACGGTCATAGTGCAATATTCCTTTGTTTGTCGATTATAAGGTGCACTTCAAACCTTCCCCAACATCTCCCTCCAGGCTCCTTTTCTTAATGTGCCTACAATTAGTCAGTCGTATTTTGCCACCTCACAACTTTAAACAAAGTTCTACATTTCAGACACAAGTGGAAAAATGAGGCCAGTAAGGATTTTCTTCCTTCCTTCATTTATCCTTCCTGTCTTCTCAAGATTCCTTTCTTGCCCTGCCAAAAAGGACAGGGCAGAAACAGAAGCCAGTTATTTCGGAGTGTTTTTCAGGGCAATTTAATGTGGGCATCGTGGTAGGATTCAAAGATCTTAACAGTCTAGTAACAGCAACACACACATAAGAAGTTCACAAGAACGAACAAAATATGTGCCGGGCTGCTTATGTGAGAGCCCAGGGAAGTAGCAGTAAGTAGAATGCACGTTTCCAGTAGAAATAATCTGAGGCATGGTGAGCACTGTAGTCTCCTTAGACCTCTGGTTTAGCCATCCTGCATGTGAAATGTCTTCACACACTTCCCTGAGAATGACACCCTCTGTTGTTAAACACAATTTTCACAGGAAATTTGAGTTCTGAGTTCACATACATAGATTTCTAAAGTCATCTGGGAGCTGAGAACTGCCTCTGTGCATGTATCTATATACTGGATTCAGTCTACATATACAGTCAGTAATAACCCTACTGACTCTGGAAAGATTGTATGCTCAGAGGTTTCCACTTGCTCTATGTCCCCAGAAGGTGTGGCATCTACTGGCTTGAGGAGAATGACCATTCCAATTCCTCCCTTGGGGACTCCTAGCTCATGAAGCTCCCTCAGAGAAAAAAATCCCTGTCTATCCAACTGTGCAGTAGCTGGAGGTTAGAACACTTGCACATTGGCCCCAGCTAAATGCTTTGGACTCTATTGGATTGCCAACCATCCTCCCGGAGAGATTTCCAGGAGCAGTCTCACCTCACCTAATATCCAAGGTCCCCTTGATCACTATCAAAAGTCCATGTTTCCCAGACACTTACTATGCTTTCTTTTTCATTTCCTTGAGATGGAGTCTCACTGTGTGACCCAGGCTGGAGTGCAGTGGTGCAAACTCAGCTCAGTGTAACCTCTGCCTCCTGGGTTTAGGCGATTCTTGTGCCTCAGCCTCCCCAGTAGCTGAGATTACATGTATGCACCACCACGCCTGGCTAATTTTTGTATTTTTAGTAGAGATGGGGTTTTGCCATGTTGGCCAGGCTGGTCTTGAACTCCTGTCCTCAAGTGATCCACCCGCCTTGGCCTCCTAAAATTCTGGGATTACCGGCGTGAGCCACCGTGCCTGGCCCACCAGACAATTACTATGTTTTCTGATCACCCTACTATTCCTATCCTCATCACTGCCCTTGGTCACTGGTGATTACATTCCATGGCCCATCGTTTTTACTCCACTATTGATCCTGGCTTTCTTTGCAGCTTCAACATTCAGGTAGTGATGTTTCTGAGGCTCTGGCCTCTTACATCCTTGACCTCCTTCACTCCAAGGCTCTTTCTCCAATCCACTTCAGCCATACACTGGTGTGGGCACATGCTAAATTTAATCACCAACAGCTGCGTCACCTCCAAAGTAACTATTGTGGGTATTTCCAGTTAACCATTCCCTTGTGTCTCTTGGCTCACTTGTTCTGGTATTCCATTCCATACAGACCTTCATATCCAGACTCCGCCTATCCATCACCTCCCTCTTATCTTCCACTATCGATCACCTCCCTCTTATCTTCAGTTTCCTCCTTATCAGCTTATATTCTATGACCTCCTCTGTAATCACTTCCTTTATATGCTTTGCTCTCAGCATTTCAGCCATACCTTCAATATGTATAAGGAAATCGAGTTGCACAGTTGAATAATCCCAGAGAAAACCACCTGACTTTGCTGACTGGGCATACTTCAAATTTGTTACTATGAATCTTGAATGGACCCTCAACAGTGCCAGAAGGTCTTATAAACTTACTTAGCAAATTTGCTTTTTCAGCCAAATAAGAAAATTATTTCATACCTAATCTTTCTCCATTCTTTAAACCCTCTTCATTTTTCACTTCCAGCCATCCCTCATACTTCATAGAGAAAATGGATACGATGTGATGAGTACTACTTCATCTCTGACTGCCACTCTGCCAACCTTCTGAATCTGTTCCAGGCACCCTACTCTCTCTCCTTCTGCAATGGCAGAAGCATCCCTGCCTTTCTCTAAGGCCAACCCTTGAATGTGGGTGCTAACTTCCTCACATCATTCTGGGCTTCTCTTGCCCTCTCAAAAACTCAGCTTTTGCCATTATCTCCTGTCCCTTTTACATTGTCAATTTCTCCATCTCTACAGTCATCTTCCCATCAAGGAGATGCTTTTCCTATCCTTCTCATACTTAAAACATGCATATGTATACACACACACACACACACACAAACACACACACACACACACACACCCAAAACTTCTCTCTTATCCCACTTTTCCAGCTACTATGTCATTTATCTGCTGCATTTCACCATAAAATGCTCCAATATATTGTTTTACTTCTTTATCTTGCTCCTCTCTTTAACCCACCTAGCAAGACTGCCAGTAACCTACATCTTACAAAGCCATTATGTAGATAGGGCATGCAATCATATGTCAGGTATTCCTTGAGCACCTCCCTTGTATCAGACACTGTTGGTTGGCCACACCCTCCTTCACAAATCACTTTCCTCCCTAGACAATCATGCAGGCTTACCTGGTCTTTCCCCTGCCTCACTGTGTTTTACTTCTCAGCCTCTCATTTGGTTTCTCTTCCTTTTCTAGATCTCTAAATGATGGGGTGCTCTGTGCTCAGTCATCCTCTATTCTTTAGTTTCCCTCTCACTGAGTTCCATTGGTTTAAAATTCAATACACTCACAGATGGCTGTCTCATGTCTCAGATTTAGGCTCCTGATTGACATCCCTACTTGTATATCTGACTGACTTGCTGATGTAGCTACAGCTGGCTGCAGAACAGACCCATCAAGGTCAAATTTAACTTCACCTGCTGCCATTCTTTCTGTTCACTTTACTTCTAGAACACTGGCCACCTTTCTGAGCCTAACACACACCAGCTTAGATCAATCCACAGGGTCTTTGCACTTGTTGTTCCTTCTGTTTGATAAACCTTTTTTTTTTGGAAAAGATTTTTTATTTTAGTAATTCAGATTATAACTCAAATGTCATCTCTTCTGAGAGGTCTATCCTAACCACCCTAAATAAATAAAGCAACTCTTTCTAGTTACTACCTACCCACCTTAGCCGAGTGTACCTTCTTCACACATTTATTTGGACCTGCAGTTATCTTATTGGCTTATTGTTCACATGTTGATTGTTTGACTATCTCCACTAGCTATAAGCCCTATTCTTGCAGGGTCTCATGCTGTCTTATTCACTACTGTAACCCTGGTGTGTAAAACAGTGTCTGACACTAGGGAGGTGCTCAAGGAATGCCTGATGTCTGCTTGCATGCCATGTCTACATACATGGTAATGAGAAATAACAGTGGTTCATAAAGACATCTGGCTCTCCTCTTTTATAAGCACCTGCTGCCCTCACTCTCCCAATTTGATTGAGACCCTGTGATGTCAGTGGCCTCAATAGCACTCCTCTCCAGCTAAAGCATATGCCTCACACCTTGGTTGGAAGTGTTAGTCAGAGTGGCTCCCTTGGATCAATTTCTCTCTACAAATATATACCAAGCCCAACTTTGGCAAAGAGCTAATAACATCTTTCCAATTCACACATAAATTAACTACTATTATTTACTAAAGCACCCTATCATATACCAGTCAGTTTGAGGTTCTTTTAAGCATTTGTCACATGTATTCTTAAGTTCAGATTATATTTTATTGGTGTGATTTATGATTTCCTTAGAGTAATTTGATCTAAATCCTTACTAATTGGTCTTTTAAAAATCCCTTTAAAAACAAAGCTATTTGGGCCAGTTGTGGTGGCTCATGCCTGTAATCCCAGGACTTTGGGAAGCTGAGGCAGGAGGATCGCTTGAGCACAGGAGTTCAAGGCAATGAGCCATGATCATGCTACTGCATTCTAGACTGGGTGACAGAGAAAGCCCCTGTCTCTAAAACTAATCAAAGGATTATCAATCAGTCAAAGCTCTTTTAAGTCACATGCCAATTTGAATGAAGAGTTCAGCCATACTATCTAAAATATAAAAATTCTTAACCATTATACTAAGTAATCAAATTAGACCAAACTTAAAGGATTAAGCACAACTCTACTATTCGTTTCTAAAATTTCTATTTGGCATCAGTACTCTCCAAACTTCTGAACTAGTATAATAAAATAGTACATTAACTGATTCCTAAAAGATATCTAAAATATCTAGTGTTTTTAGGATCCATAAAATAGTTTTGATAGTTATAGAGCTTCTTAACCACAGTTTCAAATCTTGTTGCATCTGGTACTCTGTGTGTACATGCGTGCCTATATGTGTGCCTGGCAGAGTGAGAGACAACTGCGCTTTTAGGCTTACTTTATTTGCCTGTTTTGACCAAAATCTGAAGGAATTAAGTGAGGATCTACTTTTATCAGAAACAATTCTTTTATTCCAGGGAGCTAAAAGAATAAGAGTGCTCAGCTAAAAGGTCAAGAAACTTACAGTGGGACATCTATTTCATTTTGTTTTTAATAAAGTTGGTATGAAATATTTCTTACTATGTGAAGAGAAAAATAAAGAGTACTATCTAGGGCCTGGAGCGTTGGCTCATGCCTGTAGTCCCAGCACTTTGAGAGGCTGAGGCAAGATGACTGCCTGAGCCCGGGAGTTTGAGACCAGCCTGGATAACATAGTAAGACCCTGTCTCTACAAAAGATTAAAAAGTTAGCTGGGCATAGTGGTATGCACCTGTAGTTCCAGCTACTGGGAAGGCTGAGATGGGAGGATTGCTTAAACCCAGGAGGTTGAGGCTGCAGTTCACGCCACTGTACTCCAGCCTGGGTGACAGTGAGACCAGTGTCAAAAAAAAAAGTACTGTCTAAAATACTCTCTTTTCCTTCTAGTGACAGGATATCCCGGGAGACAGGAGCTGGATTTATTGAAGCTTAAAGATTTTTTTTTGAATAAAAAATCACATTTAACCTTTAAATCTAATCGTGTAAAACCCTTATTTAAATAGAGAAACAATTATATTTCTTGATTTCTACCTATGATCTACCCATGAAAGAAAAAGGAAGATTTACACAGAAAGATTATCAATTTTTTTCTAAGAAAGATTGGTGAAAATGAAAAATGCCACACCTGCTTAAATTATTATTAAAAACAATAGACCAGATAGATTTTCTGAATTAATACAATGTAAAAATCTTTACTAGTCTGAAAACTCATGCAGGTTTTTATCAACAAGAAGATGAGAGATACTGGACATATTCCAGAATCAAGACATTGGATCAATTCTATTTTTTGAAATCTTTCTTCTGGGGTTTTCTTTTCTTTCTCGACTAAGGAAGCTGTTCAGTATTCCACAGAATTAATGTGTACCTTTACCTTTCGAATATATTTTCCACTTGAGTTATCGGAATTTTGCTACTAACAATTATTCTACTTACCAAAAAGCAGGGCAATACAATAGTATGAGTGAACTGCTCTCGGGAGTTTTCACCTGTATTTGTGGTTAACAGTAATAGTCCTTTGATACACTAGAATTTCAAAGTGAGAGTTTTAAAACCACTTCTTCAAAGTTTCTATGGTGAATGCTTTATTAATTGGAATGTTTAGGGAATAGAATTGTGAATTTAATTTTCGGTTTAACTCAAGACTTTTCAGAAAATACCTTTTGTTTAGATCTTGATGTTGAAAATATTTCATCAATGTATTATTCCACTTGTATTTCATATAGTTCAGTCACTTTATTCAGTAAGAAAGGAACTGGCAGGAGTTTGTAGTCAGGGATATCATTCATTGTAGTGGAACAAGGTATGGGGGAAGTGGAAGAGATGTAGTCCAAGAAATATTCTGAGGATTATTATTTACAATATATTCCTAGTTATAGTTCACTTTTTGTCCTGATTTTCCATTCTTGTGAATTAGAAGAGAAAGGTCGTTAATCCAGTTTTATTGTTAATTTGGGTCAAGTAAGTTGAAGTTTTGTACATAGTTCTTCAGACTTTTTTTTTCATTAACCTAAAGCATTTTTTGGGAAAATTATGTTTTGTGAAAACTGCTTTTTCTTATTGGAAAACACATACACACGGTTTCAAAAATAAAACAATACAAAAAACTTTAAGGTTGAAAAATGTTACCATGAAGAGATAATCATTATTTAACATTTTGGTGAACAGCCACCCCTATATATGCATAATTTCAGCTTTGTAAGCAGAGAAGGTTACTTCTCACATACACACAGCCTACTTGATATGCCCCACAACATATCTATACTCTCAGGATGTCCTATGTGGTCACTTTTAATGATTCAATAGTGTTCCATTATCCATTTAACCTAACTCCATAGTGAAGAGCTGGAATGTTTCCAAATTTCATTAAAAAACACTGCTAGAAAAAAACAAAAAACAACTTTGTACATATATCTTTGCACACTTGTTTAACTATCTTATTTGGGTAAATTCCAGGAAGTATAAACTATATTTTGAATTATATGCCTATTCAGACATAACCAAGAATAATTCCTATGAATAGATATTTTGTACATTTTCTCGTTTCAGAAAACCGCACTGATTGTTATGCTGAGCTAAGATTTATATCATCAAGAGACTAAATGGCTATCACTATTTAAAACTGTGTAAGAATTTTAGGAAGGCAGAAAGCTTACTGTCCCAAATGAGAATACTTCTATCGCACGTGAGCCTGCAGGGGTTTGGCCAAAAGCTCCCCATAGGATCTTAATGAATACGATTGAGTGGTCAGGGCTGTGGTTTTGCATTTCATCAGGGAATGTCCAGGGACAAGGATGGAATGTCAGGTGGAAAGGAGAGTTCCTCATTCAGCACTCTGCATACCTCCAGCAGCTGGCTTCAGGTAACACTGAGAGGATCCCCACACATTGATTCATTTCTTAGCAAACCTTCACTGAGCACCATCTCTCAGGTACCATGGGCGGTGATGGAGCCCTCGCCCAGAGAGCACACTCAGTCTAGTTGATGATGACCGCAGAACCAGGTGGATTCACAGAGAAAAACTCTGTCTGAGGAATTTGGGAAAGGCTTTACCCGGGGACATTAGAGCTGGTCCTGGAGAGTAGATAGGGTGGGCTATCCTGGACATAGATGACTTGTTCTCTGTTCATCCATTGGATATTCCCAAGCCGTTTTCTTTTGCTACCCTTTCCAGCAGAAATGCCAACTACTTACTTTTCCAGTCTCCCTTGCAGCTGGGGTTGCGGCGGGCGGGCGGGGGAGGGGGGCGGGGGGCGCAATACAACATGCAGTTCTGGCCAGCGGGATATAAACCCAGGTTGGTTGTGACTTCTGGGAAGGCATCTGCTTTTTTTGATAAAGGCACTGAATAGCTGGCCCTGTCGTTCACTTCTTTCCATCTTGAATGCAGATTTGCAGCATGGAACGAAGGGAGCGAAGGCCAACATCACTAAACCGAAATAGCACCAGCAGCTGTCTACCTTCAGATTGCTTGTTTTGTGGGGGAAAAAGAAACCCCTCTTTGTTTACCTCACTGTTAGTCAGACGCACTGCTATTTGTAGCTAAAGACATTCCTAACAAATATATCACTCCTCCAACCACTTGTATCTGGATAGAGGCAAGAAAATTAGAGGAGAATAAAGGGCCCAGATAGGGCAAAATAGGGAAGATTCCATAGAATTGAGAATGTGCAACTTAAACAACTATCTGAGGTTCTCAACACACGACCCTTTCTAGGTTGGGGCGCGTGGCTAAGTGTACAGGGCAACACTTCTCCGACTGTGATGGCCCCAAAGGGCATATGAGTATGTTTTCATTAGAAATTATAAGGGCACAGCCCAATAAGAAATTCAAAACATTACAATTTCCTTAAGTCACACCAATGTCAAAAGTACCAAAACAAAACAACCTTAACATGAATCACAGAACAAAAGAGTAAATATGATGTACATATCAAAAATGAGAATGAAAAAGGCAGTACAACCAGGAAAATGGAACATATGCATATAATGTCCTTTCTAAATCCCTTTTCTTATAGAAAAACATCGTAAGTTTTTATAAAAAGATAGGATTAATTTATTTTTAAGCTAACAACAAAGGTGTTACCAGCCCACTGTAGTTAAAAAAGAGGAAGGAGAAGTGTTTTTTTTTTTTTTTTTTTTTTTTAACTTTAAGAGAAAACAGGCCGGGCTCAGTGGCTCAAGCCTGTAATCCCAGCACTTTCGGAGGCTGAGGCGGGCAGATCACTGAAGGTCAGGAGTTCCTGACCAGCCTGGCCAACATGGTGAAGCCCTGTTTCTACTAAAAATACAAAAATTAGCCGGGCATGGTGGTGGGTGCCTTTAATCCCAGCTACTTGGGAGGCTGAGGCAGGAGAATTGCTTGAACCTCGGAGGCAGAGGTTGCAGTGAGCCAAGATCACACCATTGCACTCCAGCCTGGGTGACAGAGCAAGACTCGGTCTCAAAAAAAAAAAAAGAGAAAATGATTAAGGCTGCTCAAGTGATCTAGAAATGATGTAAAGAGGTATCTCAAGAGAAGAGTTAATAATAACAATGGATATATTAGTTTGCTGAGAATGATAAACCATCATTCTCAACAAACTAACACAGAAACAGAAAACCAAACACCGCATGTTCTCACTCATAAGTGGGAGTTGAACAATGAGAACACATGGACCCAGGGAGGGGAACATCACACACTGGGGCCTGTTGGGGGGTGGGAGGCTACGGGTGGGATAGCATTAGGAGAAATACCTAATGTAGATGGTGGATTGATGGGTGCATCAAACTCCATGGTACGTGTATACCTAAGTAACAAACCTGCACATTCTGCACATGTACCCCAGAACTTAAAGTATAATTAAAAAATGGACGTAATTTGTTAGAAAAATAAGACAATATAGCCATAGAGCCTACTAGTAAACTGTTTCCTAATGTAATGAGAAAATAAGGTAACAATTTTTAATGTGGACAATTTACAAAACTGTAAGTAAATGGGGAAGAACTGTATGTTTTAAACAAATAACAAAAAAAAAAGGAAACATAAATTCAGAGACATTTTCTATATTTCCAAAGGGTAAAGACAACATCCACCTTTTGTGGATTTTTTTTTGAGAACAAATACCCCCAAATTACCACACACTTAAATGTGAAATATTTGTGTAATACATTTCAAGGAATGAAAAACACAGACTTTAAATTCCAAGTCAAGGCTTTGGCTATTATTTGCCATTTTCCCTCATCTTGTATGGTGCCTAAAAAATAGATGCTAAAATATTTATTGAAAAAAGGAAAGAATAGAAAATGAGATGAGGGAAATGAAAAACTTCTTATATTAGCAAGATATTCTTTATAAAGATCTTTTAGCCTTTTCTGTTACAGAGATATCATTCAATGTAAAAGATACATAAGTTGCTAAATGATATTCAAGAAATCAAAAACTATAAAAAATACTTTCTTATGAAGTTATAGATCCCCATGCTTTGAAGATTACTCCCAAATTCCACTTTAAATTCTATTAATCCAAATCTGATAACACCTATCACCATTTTCCTTGAGCAGTTTTCATGTTTGTTGTAAAATAAATCTCTAAAACAATAAAGGGCAATCAATCTGCTCTTAAAAGGGAAAATTGAATTATATGATATTGCATGACATTATAAGCATTTAACAGTTATTAGAAGCATTTCTCTCTTGGTTGTCTAGTGTTTAAGAAATACCTGCTGTTGACAAGTATTGAGAAACTTTAAAAGTCTCAACCAAGATTTAATCAGAAGTATACTCTTTAAATGGAACGAGAGAAAAACATCAGGGACTTATTTAGCACTTCTAAAACAATTTACGTTGACCATTTCAGGAAATTTTTCCAATGATCCCCTTGAGAGACGGATTATTGTTGTCTCTATCTTATACATGAGGAAATTGACTGAGGTTAATTAACAAGCCCAAGGCCACACTGTTAGTAAGCAACAGAGGTGAGACTTAAACACAGGAAATCCAGGAATCCTACTCCAGAGCTGACTGACTCCTAACCACCAAGATAAACTATGATTGTGTCAGCAGCAGTGAGAGTGGTAACAGTAATAATAATATGACAATAAATTACCATATACATACAGCTGTTGAAACAACTTCACACACATTTAATCTCTGTAAGTTGTACCAAACCTTAGTCTCTCACCTGTTAAGGGCAAAATACCTGTGTTTTAGGACTAAAATATTAGGCCAGGCATGGTGGCTCACACCTGTAATCCCAGCAGTTTGGGAGGCCAAGGCAAATGGATCATCACTTGAGGTCAGAAGTTCGAGACCAGCCTGGTCAACATGGTGAAATCCCGTCTCTACTAAAAATACAAAAATTAGCCAGGCTTGGTGGCACGCACTCCCAAGCTACTTGGGAGGCCAAGGCAAGAGGATAGCTTGAACCCGGGAGGCGGAGTTTGCAGAGAGCTGAGATCATGCCACTGTACTCCAGCCTGAGTGACAGAGACAGACTCTGTCTCGAAAAAAACAAAAAAATTAAACCACTGTACTTACAAATTCTTTGTTAAAGCCCAACTGCTCTTTCTCTGTTTTTACCTTAGTGATAATGACCCTGCCAGGAAAGGAGGCACTTTCAGCACCTCCTCCAGGTCTCTGTGATACAATCTGGTTAGGCTTAGACCTTTCTTTCCTGCTTTCACCATGGATATGTGCCTGAAATGGTTATTCTAGCAGAATAAGAGGAGATACTAGACTTTTCCTGTTTAATACATTGAAGGAAGAAAGAAGGGGGAAGAAGAGAGGCAGGAAGTGAGGGGGCTTGGGGAGGAAGGGAAGGAGGAAAGAGGGGAGGCAGGGAGGAAATCACTCAGGATTCAGAGTAACTTGGTAGCCAACTGACCTTGAGCAAGTAGTATAACTTCTGTGAAAATGACACTATCCTTTTTCACAGAGTTACAAGGATCAAATGTGATAATGTACATGAAAGTCCTTTGTAAATAATAAATCAATATGTACCGCTTAAGACTTCAGAACTCTTATTTTTTCGGTTTCCCCTTCAGTGTCCTTGGAGGTCCTTCTCAAAGCACTGTATCCCATCCCTTTATCCAATGAAAAAACGTGCTCTATTATCATTTTTATTCTTACTATATTTACCTAATTATAGTACTGCGTGAACATTTTATTTTACTCTCCAAGGAGAGAATATATATCCTCCTTTCCCAACATCGTTCTAAAGAGATTAACCTTGTTAAAATTTTCTGTTACACTTAAGTTAACAGAGGCAGAAATACCACAAACATGAAGTCTTCAGGGAGAGACAAGCATTAGAGTTTCCTGGACCCTGGATTCCTGTTAGATGTCTATTACTGAGATAGATGGCACAGACTGCCTTACATAACCGTTCCTACCAAATGGGAGCTTGGCGTGACATCTGACGGAAGACTTGCTCCTAAAAGAGTTTGTTTAAATTTTTCATCAGACTGCCTTTATGAAAAATTGAAACAGAATATTCTCCAAGTGGGGGAACAGTTTGCTAAAAAGAGGATTAGAATTTACAATTACCTTCTTAACTATCTTTATAGGACTCTATGCTTTCTATGCCTAAAATGTCAAGCAAATGTTTGGCTTTGAAATTAGAGAAAGAAAGAAATGAATTCTTCCTCTAGCCAGAGAAGGAGGCTTTCACTTTTACATGCCTTGGTTGGCAATTTCCCATTATTAAAAGCTTTTCTCCTTCAGGCAGTGGGGAAAAATGTGCTAAAACAACAATCGTTGCCTTGCCTCTGGGGTGATCATCAGCACACTGCAAAAATGCCTTTTGTTTTCCTTCTGAAGGTGATTAGGCTGGTAGGGTGATAGAAGCAGAACTACAGCAGAATTACCAAGCTGGGAACCCATTCATTTCCCCCTGCTGCACTGCAGATCTTTCTGACCCAACTCCTGTGTCCTCAGTGACATTTAAGTATAAAAGGCGAGCTTTCTCTTTAAAATGGATGCAGCAGTTGAAAGCACTGATGAGGATAACCATCGCTTTCAGAAATTAAATATTATAATTCTCTTGATCCCCAATATTAAAATGTTTCAGTCCTGGGTGTTTTCAAGAGAAGGGGGAAAATCTGTATTTCAGATGGTGGGAGCCTGCTGTGAATGCAGATGGAAATTTTATGGCTTGTCTAATGCTTGTCTATTTTAATAAAGAGAATAAATTACAACAGCAGTGCAATTTCATTGTATACTCCACGTGTTGCAATAATGAAATACAAGTAGCCCTGTATCCTAGAATTGTGTATCTCACTGCATTGTTCAGTTTATTACAACCTTGCCTCTGAAATTTATTTATCAAGAAGAGCACATTAACTAAAAGAAGGGAAGAGAAAATCTCTAGGGGCAATACATGATGCTATACACTAGTGCATGTACACACACACACACACACACACTTTCCAAGAAAAAGAACAAAAGTATTGTCTGGCTACCATGAGATCCAAATGACGGAGCTTCACATTTCATGCAACGGCACATAGTCATGGAGAAGGTACGTATGTGGGGAGTATTTGACTTGATCTCCTATCACCCCACAGAGGCTGATAGATACCAAGGCAAACATTGCTTCTCCAAACTCAGTGCGGGGGGTGTACTGAGCTGTTTGGCTTTATTCATGATGTTTATTGATTGTTCTTACTAACTTTACATGTATTGATCATCTACGCCCTACACAAAGGGAGTATACACCACACAAAGTTAAGGTATAATCATGATGGATTGGCAGCAATTTTTTAGCATAAGTGGAAATTAAAATAGAGCCAAATGAAAACAAGAAAGAAAATTACTTGAAATATTTTTGACAGGCTGGAAACTGACCTGCTCCTCCTTTAATAACAATTAGACACAGAATGCTGTCATGTGTTTTAGAAGCAATAGAATGGAAATCTGCATGGCTGAGTTTTAAATCCCCATTCACGTACTTCTGAATAATTCTCTATGGAGAAAAAAACTCCTCAGATAAAACATAGTTTTGAAAATCCTTTTTGACATGTCAGTCTGACATATAACCTCTAAGAATTAACATTAAGATCCAACCTGGTGCTGGAAATCCTAACGCTGACTGCTTCAAGTAGCAGGGGGATACTGACTATAGAAGGGAATAAAGGAACTTTCAGGGCTGATGAAAGGTTCTACATCTTGTGGAAGGAATAGGTTAAATGACTGTGTGCATTTGTCAAAGCTGATTAACTATACCCTTAGGATCAGTGCATTTGACTGTATCTAAATTATACTTCGGTTTAAAAAAAAACTCCCTAGAAACAGTAAAAACTAACAAGATCTAAGCACAGAGTTCCTTTCAGAATTTTCTGGACATATAATTGTAAAGCAAATAAGCAAATAAAATGAACATCTTTGGCTGCACATTTACACGAAAGCTGAAGGATTCCTTGTGCCACATGTCTCAGATTCAGTGCCACACTTTACTAGGACATTACCATAAACAGTTTATTGTTATGAGATGAAAGTAAACATTGCCGAGAATGCAACTAGAAGCTCAACATTATTAAATTGCAAGTTCAAGCTAACGTTCTGGGCTATTCATTCCTGTTATATTCCCCATTCTGACAAGAGGGACTATGGGACTTCCTAGTCCTATCTGAAGTCAATGACCCAGCTGTGGTCTACAGCACAAAAGGCTGAGTCTAAGAAGGCCTCTTGCCTTAGAATATATGTATGCCTCATTTTATGATAATTGAATATGTGACCTCAAACACAGATACAACAAGACACAATTATTCTTATTATAAAAAGATTTCTTTACATTGGTAAATGTCATTGTATATCTCACAATCATTCCATCCAGGGAACTTCCTGTTTAACATAACTATTTGAGCAGTAGATACCTGTTTCATCTTAAAACAAAATGAACTGTGAACTGTTCTCTCTCATGTTTGTCTACTTCGACTCTTATCTAAGATAAACTCTTATCACGTTAGATATCTGTTTATTTATTTCTGCTAGAACTATTAACTGCCTATACTGATATACAATGTCAGGTTAATGAAATTAAACATACAGAGAGATTTACAAACACACATTAACACAAACTACAAGAAGAGTTAGAAAATTAGTCTCATGGATTTTGGGGTAACGGCATTCTTTACTGGTAATTTGAGATTTTAATATTAAGGTGACATTTTTCATTAAAATATTATGTACACTTCTTCAGAGGTATTTTATAAAAAGATCAGCCAAGTGCATTTTAATGTTCTTGCAAAAATCTTTAAAATGTAGCTTCAAACTTTAAACAATCTTTCAATAAAGGTAGCACATTTCAGACAAGTGAAACCTAGTCCATGTTGTTTAGACTTAGCTTGGCAACTTTTCCAAGCATTCTTACATCTAAGTGTAATCGTGCCTATTTTTGTTAACAAAAAGATTTGAAAGGAAAAACTATTCTCATGTAAAATTGTTTTTCAAGATGCTTCCTTTTTCATTTCTCTAAACTTCTGAAAATTAAACTTTTAATGCTATTACAGCATGTGAAAAAGAAATGGATTATATTAATCATGCAGAGCTTACTGTGGATGATTTTCTTCTAATTTTCCATTTTTTAAAAATCGCTATGAATAGCATTGAAAAATTAATTTAAAAAGAAAAAATATATAAAAATCACTATTCAAATATTGCTCTCAAAGTAGAAGAATGCATTAAAACATGACACTGTTTTGAAGGCCCTATCATGAATCCAACAAATACTTACAGCGCAGTAAATGGGAGAACACAATTATAACATCACAGTTCTTATCACAAAGATTGCCATAGTCTAGATCTGAGAAGGCTTTTAATTAGTATTTCTAACATTTATCATGCCCAGTGAATGACAGCTTAGACAAAAATCAGTGGCTTCAACACTTCTCAAAATTATTCAGTAATTATTCTCCAGGTTTCTAATTCATCAGCTTGGTAGATTTCCGTGTTCTCGGATGTTCCAAATCTAGAACTTCAGCATTTGTGAGCTAGCTCTGAAAACTCAAGCTAAACATCAACCTGAGATAACATTTCTTACTTTGCAAACATACTGTTAATAGTTGAAAGTAATAGGGGAAATCGGGAGGAAAGGAGGGGGCATAACCTAAATAAGTGGAAACCAATCCCTGTGCATTCCATTCTCAATACAAGGTATCACCACATATTGGTTACAGACACTCACACATGACATCACTGACAGGTTCTTTCGGGATCCTTCCTTTCTCTTCCAACCACATTCAGTAAGTCATCATGTCCCATTAATTTTCAAAGCATTTCTATCTGTGCTCCCTACAATATCTGCCACACTTCTCAGTTTTCAAGACTCCTTCAATCTACACATCTGTCTCATCTCTACCCTCTGCCCTGGTAGATGTGCCCCTTCATAAGATCTCCAAAAGAAGACATACGAGTGGCCAACAAACATATGAAAAAACGCTCCACATCACTAATCACCAGAAAACTGCAAATCAAAACCACAATGAGGTCCACCTTATACAGTCAGAATGGCTATTGTTAACAAGTCAAAAAATATCAGATGTTGGTGAGGCTGCACCTTATACATTTTCTATATCAACTGTAAGACTATTTTAATTATTTTAAAGTTGTCTGTCTCTCTTAATAGGCTGCCAGTTCCCAAGGGACTGGAAGCATGTTTTATTTTTTTGTACCCCTGGAGCATAAAAATATTTGAACCAAAATGTTGAAATATTGTTGAATCAAAACATGTATGTTTCATATTCACTGCACTACAACAAATACTCAAATGTTTCAGAATTTTGTTCTTTTTATGTCCTTCTTATGGGGTAATTCTCCAGTCAAGATAATTCTACATACTTGCTAGTATCTAAGGATTCAGTCCCTAAGAAGCCAACTGTTTATTAAATTTGTTATTCTGAACTATATGAAAATCAGCCTTTCATAAATTTTAACACATTACATAACTTGTTCCTTTCTGGTATCCAAACTGATATTAAAATATTTCCATCTGTTCTAGTGAATTTTAGTGAAAACTTCTCCGATGAAGAAGGTGAGAAAAGAAAGCAGAAACATAAATAGAAGGGTGGAAGCCAAGTGGAAGTAGAAAAAAGAGAAAGCAATGTAGACCATAGGGTTGTTCCTTAATCAATATTTAGAATATAATTTCTAAGTGTGAGGCATAAGGTAATGGGAAATACTACAATGGAAAACACAGACGATAGAATATTAGAGGGAAAAAGCTTTCACATCTTTATAATTCTACACTTTACCGCTGTTTATAAATGTTGCAGTATATCCACAAATCAGTTAAATTCATATATTTCAAAGCCAACCAAGAGATAAAACTAAAAGTTAAAGAGGAAGAAAAAAATTTATGTGAAACAGAAACAAAGTTCCCATGAAAATGGTCTGAATGGGCTCTCAACTGCCTTCTCCCCAAAACAACTGTGACTTTGGCCCCTTTTACCAATTGTGGCAACAACTGTGGATGTACTACATCAATATATTATGATCTAGACAATCCACACATGAAATAGTGTCAATTCTAGTTATCTCATGATGGCTAAGAGAGGATTTAAGGGGTATCACGATTCTCTGTCTTATGAAGACCAGCTAAAGAAACAGGGAGCGTTTAACTTGAAGAGAAGCAGCAGCACCAACATATCACTATCTTTATCTATATAAATAGCTGGCATATGGGTGGCCATGACAGGGTGCTAGGTTTAGTCTCAAAATAAGAGAGCATGTTCTAACAATCAGAACTGTTCAGCAATGGGGGCTATGTTCAGAGATAGGACATTTCCAGTCACAGGCAATTCATAAGCAGAGACTGACAAAGCATAGAGCTGTTGTCAAGGAGAGGCTGGCTCTGCAGAGGCCCCGGCTTACTGACCTCAACAGTCCCTTCCATCTCTAAGATTCCTTGACTCTAGAGCCTCTTTGGGAATTTTCCATACAACTCTGCCCTTCGAAACCGATGTATTTATATAAATCCTATAGATTTAAATTCAGATGTCTACAGTAGCTTTTCTTTTCACTTAAAATAAATGAAATCATCCATTTACTCACTCTAATGAAGTGACTGAATCATGTGTTTTCATCTGCAGCCTATAAAGTCATTAAAAATGCATTAAATATGATTTGAGTGATTGGTATAAAAATAGAGGCATGATCAGTAGATTTTTTTAAAACCAGTATTTATTGTAAAGCAATTTGAAATCATGTTTGTCATCTCCATCATATGAATTTGAGTAAAAAGTGATCCTCTTGCACATGCAATATTTTAGTTACATAACTTTGTAGCATCCCCCATCATTTTCTAATAAAACAATGGTGGGCTTTCTCTGACTGGGACAGGAAAAAATGAAACTAGAATTAAATTAGAAAGTAGTAATGTTCTTTATGTCTATTTATGTCCAATATCTCATCGGGTAGAAGGTGGCCAGGCCAGGGGCCTCTTGTGTGGGGAGAAGATTTAAATGTCCGTCCCTTGGCTAAGGCAGTATAGGCAGGGGAAAGTCAAAGTTGGAAATAATCAAAATAAGAATGCAAATGAATAAGAAACAAGATCCTGGGAGTTGAAGAGAGATAAAAACAAGGCAAGAATTGGGTCCTGGGTGAGACCCTAAATAATGAAAGCAGGAGTTGGTGTGCCCAAAGCTGAATTTTATATACTTTCATATAATCGATTCACCATGACATGACATGGGGAAGATGTCACTGTACTTAAACAGTCAGGAGATGGTAGGAAATTTAGGTAGGAATAAAGCCTATTGATGACACTGGAAATTACAAAATGGGAAATGGACTCCTAGAGGAAAAAAAGTGATCTCATAGTCACAGATGGAAGGCAAGGTCACGGAAGGCAAGCAAGGCTGAGATGGTTTTAGAGACAGGTGGCATGGAGGATCTCTCCCTTGCTTTACAATTTGCCCCACCACACTCCATGAATTCTAATATGCTCTTGGAGTGAGGGATATAGCCGTCCTTGTTCTAGCACTGAAAGTGGAATCCTGGGAAACCTTTCAGTCCTGGGCAAACCAGGCCAGGTGCTTACGCTAACCCCAGATGAACCTGATGAAGCCTCTTCTCTCATCAGTTGAGAGTCACTGGCCTAAAAGAATTGCAGATGAGTTAATGAAGGCTGGAGGAAAAGTACAGAGCCCTGGGCAGAGAGCTGTGTACCCACTATCATTTCTTCATTCTACAGGACAGTGTCAAGGGAGCTAGAAGAGGACACACTGTGATTTGTAGTCCTGCCCAAGTGCTCCTTGTATGCCTTGTGCTCCAAGTATCCCTTGTGCTCCTACTGTGTCCTGCAGTAGGAGCACAAGGGATACTACTGGAGCTGGGAAGGACTCTCAGGACCAGTGTCAGGGTCCTCGAGATAAAACAGACAAGGAAAGGGGATCCGGCGGGCAACCTTAGGGGCCTTGCCAACATTCCAAATCAATACCTGTGACTTTTCATCAGATGTCTTCAGAAAAACTATACTTCCATGTAGAGTATCTTTGGTTTCCTGAGAGATACAAACAGTTGTAAAATAATAGTTAAGATGAAAGAAATTCCTTCCAGCTGGATAAACTAGCATTTCAGGAAGAGGGTGAGGCAGGAGATGAGCCCCAGCAGTTGGAAGGATTTGTATATATGAGATAGAAGGAGTGATTGCAGGCAGACCAACACAAAGACCCACAGTGACAAAGTAGGGTATGCTCTGGGGATGGTGAAAAGTAGAGTTATTCTCACCAGAACTAAGGTCAGCTAGTGGATTTTTGGAAAATGAGTTCCAAATACCAGCTCTGGCTTAAAAATGGAGGACCTGGAATATCATGTTAAAAACAAAACAAAACAAAACAAAAATCACCAGAAACCCAGGAGAGTAGAAAACAAGAACACTGTGGGTTTAGGAAAAAGATGAAGTGCTGTTGTCCTTTGTGGCATTTTTCATAAAAACAAAAATGAAAATAAACTGAATATAGAAAAATAAGAGATTCGTTGGTACTTTTGGTACACTCATAAAGTAATATGCTATAGATCCTTTGAAAATTTAAAGAAATATATTTATTGAAGTGGACATATGTTCATTTTTATGTTCACATTATATTTTTAGTGGAAAAATGAGGTTACAAAAAAGGAGGTACTATTATTATCTCATCTTCATTTGGGAAGAGGAAAAAAGGGAAGAGAAACAAAAGAAAGAGAAGGGAGGAAAGAAGAAGTGACGTATATACACGCACAGAAAAACATTGAAAAAATCTATTTCAAAATGGGAACAGCCATGTTTCTCTGGGTGATCTTTGCCTCTCTAGGTTTAATGTGGTTTCTACAATGGACATCTATTTAGATGTGAGAAAAAATAAGTCCAAAGAATACACAGAATGCTCTAGTACATTACAAGTAATCAAGCACGAGTACTAGGGGCACAACAGGTATTAAACACTGTCAAAAGCTCTGAAAGCAGTCTTCTTTGCATTGACAGTTAATATTTAGCAAGAAAACCCAACAATTCATGGTTTGCCTACTTCTAATTGTCCCTGAGAAACTGCATATGAGCACTCTTACCAGAATCACTAGAACTGAACTTCTGCTGATGAATTTCTTCCAAGTGGTTTTTGCTCTGGGAGTCAAGCAGCACTGCCAGTGGGAGGCCTTTAGTGAGAACTCAAAGGTAACCCATTAAGGCCTGCCTGGGGGGGGAGGGGGGAAGGACTGGTTTATCACAATTTAGAAAATCTCCCAAGCAGGCCGAGGCACCTTCACTGACTGTCGGGGTGCTGGTGCAGAAGCAGCTGGAGCTGCACTGGTTGATCTGGGAAATACCACCACACTTCGCTAGAACCCAAGCCTCCTGCCCCACGTTTAATGCCTCCATAAACCACATTTCTTCCTACTAGAAATTTGGCTCTGGTTTTAACTGTCCTTTCTGGAATACATATTCCCTACTTCCCCCAACATAAACACATACAGGTATTTATCGTTTCCTTATTTATTTACCCTCAGCTTGTAATTCACTTTAGCAAATTTACTTTGCCCATTTTCACTGATGACTATCACTAAATATGCTTAGCATAAAATAAACCCTCATTTCTTCCAGGTGGACAAGGGAATGAAGAAAGGAGTGGGGAAGTGGGAGGAATTAACATTTGTTGAATCACTGCATTGGGATGGCCACTTCATGTTCAATTTAATTTAGCCTTCATAGCGTCTCTTCATGGTAGGCATTATTATGGATGAGGGCACAGGGGCTCAGAGAGCTTAAGTAACCGACTTCACACTCCACAGAGAAGTAGTAGTAATTGTGTCAAGATTCAAACCCAAGCCGGTCTGCCTCCACAGCCCATGCCCAGGCCCTTTCCCTTATTCCACAGGGCCTCCAAAAATCTGTTTTCCTATTACTTCAGAGATTCCTGGTAGCACTTTAAAAAACAGGCTGGATAAAGCTCTCTGCACAGGCACAATGCAGATCGTATTAATAATTTAGTTTCCACTAAAGCTGAAATGGAGGTCTAGGAAAACAGGTCAAAGCTGAGAATGCCAAATGAACATGAGTACCCTCCTTTCCTGTGCCACAACAGAATCCTAACTAATCCACCAGAAAGCAGATAAGAACATAATGTCTATCAGATGCCAAATGGATGGCTATATAATTATTTGAATCTTATCCTACAGAAAATCCACTGAAACATGTTATGTAAAATCAAATTACAGCCTGCCGCTGAAGACAAGGCTCTTCCATGGAGAGCTCAGGAAAAGACCAGAAACTGGACTCATATGCTTTGGAGCAAGAGAAAATTCATGCTACCTTAGCCACTGGGCAGGACTGGAAAATCAAGACCAGCACTTGCATTGGCCAGGCCATGACCCAGTCAGCAGTGTAAACACATATTTTAAATGCATTCATGGTCACCCTCAAAGATGCAATTCAGCAAAGATGAGGCACACTCAATATCTTTTGAAACGAATCAGACTGGAATTGAGGAGATCAGGATCACTAATTCTATAATAATGAAGACAAACGAATGGGTGAACTTAATCTGCCTGGATTCCTAGTATTAATATATTAACTGTAGTTGGAATAAATGCAGATGGAATAAATGTGCATAACAAAGCCATTTATTTTTAGATGGCAAAGAATGGCTCCAGCTGAAGAGGCATAGTAAAACAGGGATCGTTAACAATGGCCATGCTTCAAAGGAAAGAAATTAATTACGGGCAGCACTTTTAAACATCAATATGGTTATCTTCCTGTTACTTAAGGACAGGCAAATGTATTTTGAGGGTTGACAGAGCTAAGTAAATATACCCATCATGTTATTGAATCGGGGTGCAGTGGCCAAGCCACTGAACAGAGGGACAGCAGGTCCTTGCAGAAGAGGGGAGGGAGCAGGGAACAGTGTGGGGATTCAGTGACCTCTGAAGCTGTGTTCCTTTCAGCATGTCCTGTCTCCTTCACCCCTAACCAGCCAGGTAGCAGATATGTGGCCAGGATTTTAAAAACTGGACATTTCAAGGGGTTACTAGAAGAAAACAAAATGCATTGTTCAAGGTTATGATTTTGACAAATGTTGCTTCCCTAGACTATTGTAAATACACAGTGCCAATATCAATTATGAGCTTTATGCACCTGATTCAAAATAGCTTTGTGCTTTTGCAATAATATTTAACATCCCCATGTAATATTTGAAGTTAAAAACATAAAGCTTCAGTCATGCACCATTATTTAAAAAGCACTTTTTAGCTAGTTTTACTACATAAAACAAATGAGCAATACTGGTGATGATGAGGGAGAGATAAAAATTACATGACATAAAAATCATTTATATATAGAAAATAAAGTAATAAAAATGAAAGTAAAAGCCTTCTCCAAATGCATGAATCTTATATGACTGGTGAATAATCTGCGAACAGAATAAAGGCCAGGGGCAGGGTGCCTTAGAGTCTGATAGCCATGGCTTCAAGTTCAGCCTCTGAATTTATCAGTAATAGTGATAAAAAGCAATTTCTAAGCCTTGATTTCCTCATCAGCAAAATGCGAATAATGTCACCTTACTCAGAGGGTTCATTTAACTGTTATGTGAGACAACAATGTTTGACACCTACCAATTATTTTTATCGTAAATTGAACCTAACTTTTGCTAGCAGGTTTCCTATCAATCCAAACTGAGGTTTGCTAGCAAAGTCTAAAAGCATCTGTTTTTGTCTAATCAATTTTTTGAGAAATTTAGTAGTTTTTGCCAAGCCCCCTCCTCAAATTCAACTTTTTATTCATTGCTTCTATTGTCAAGGAGGAAAACAATCCCCATCACTTCGTAAGGCCTGTGAGACTTTTCTATCCTGATAATAAGAAAAGAATGTGGTAAAGTCCAAGGTGACTCATTTCTAACATTTTGTCTGTATCATCAGCTGAAGTAGTTTTTTTGATGCTGGTGTTAATTTCTTACCATTCTACAAATTGCATTTAATTTCTCATCTAAACTCTAAAAATTAGTCTGTTTTAAAGCCCTGAGTGAGATATTTAAAGCCAGCTTTTTCCACAGTTTTCTCATAAAAATGATAAGCATAAAATAAAAGGTGCTGGCAAATGTGGGAATAGACTCATTTCAAAAAGCAAAAAATTGACACTATCAGACTTAAAATATACTACAAACCTATAGTAGCCAAAACAGCATGATACTGGCATAAAAACAGACACATAGACCAATGAAGCAGAATAGACAATGCAAACTTTAATCCACATATCTACAGCCAACTGATTTTTGACGAAGGTGCAAAGAACGCTCATTGGGGAAAGGAGAATTCCTTCAATAATTGGTGCTGGGAAAATTGTACATCCATATGCAAAAGAATGAAGAATGAAACTAGACTTTCCCTTCTTACCCTACATAAAAATCAGCTGAAAAGGAATCAGAGACCCAAATATAAGACCCCAAATGATAAAACTACTAGAAGAAAACACAGGAAATACTGTAGGACATTGGTTTGAGAAAATATTTTATGACTAAGTTCTCAAAAGCACAGGCAAAAGAAGCAAAAAGAAACAAACTTGATTATATCAAACTAAAAAGCCTCTGCACAGAAAAAAAAAATAAAAAACAATCAACAGAGTGAAAAAACAATCTACAGAATGGGAGAAAATATTTGCAAACTACTCAGCTGACAAGGGATTACTATCCAGCATATACAAGTAGCTCAAACATCTCAACAGCAAAAATCCCACACAATCCGATTTAAAAATGGGCAAATTATCTGAATAGACATTTCTCAAAAGAAAACATACGACAAATATATGAAAAATGCTAAACATCACTAATCACCATGAAAATGCAAATCAAAACCACAATGAGGTATCATCTCACCCCAGTTAGGATTGCTATTATCAAAAAGACAAAAAAATAAAAATAAAAATAACAAATGCTGGCAAGAATGCAGAGAAAAGGGAAATTTTATACACTGTTGGTGGGAATGTAAACTAGTACAGCCAATATAGAGAACAATATGGAGGTTCCTCAAGAAATTACAAATAGAACTACCATATGATTCAGCAATGCCACTACTGGGCATTTATGCAAAGGAAATAAAATCAGTATGTTGAAAAGACATCTGCACTCCTATGTTTTTTTGCAGCACGATTCACAATAGCCAAGATATGAAATCAACCTAGGTGTCCAAAAACAGATGAATGGATAAAGAAAATGTGTACATATACACAATGAAATACTATTCAACCATAAAAAGGAATGAAATCCTGTCATTTGTAGCAACATGGGCAGAAATGGGGGACTTCATGTTAAGTGAAATAAGCCAGGAACAGGAAGTTACACACTGCATGTTCTCATTCATACGCAGACACTAAAAAAAAAGTTGATCTCATAGAAGTAAAAAGAACAGAATACTAGAGGCTGGAAAGGTAGGGGAAAGGGAGGTATAGAGGAAAGATTTGTTAAAGGATACAAAATTACAGCTAGATAAGGGGAGTAAGTTCTAGTATTCTGTATCACAGTGGGATGACTACAGTTAATAATATATAGTTTCAAATAGGTAGATGGATGATATCGAACATGTCCAACACACAAAAAAATAAATGTTTGAGATGATAAATATGCTAATTATCTTGATCTGATCACTTTACATTATATTGAAACATCACTACTTACCTCATGAATATGTACATTTGTCAATTAAAAAAAATCGAAGAACCCCCCCCAAATCAGCTGACACAAAGTGATTTTGCCACTTATCTTCAAAAATACAAACATTGGGAATTAATCATATTTATATTTTTTATTTTAGCATTAATAGAATTATAGTACTGTTAAGGTAGAATACATTTCCAGTAAATGAAGTAAAAGTCATTTGAAGTTGAGTCAATTTATTTATTACATCCAGTAATATCACCCTCCTACTATCTACATCCCGTTCTGTAATGTTCTTTAGGGGGAAAGAGATAAATCACAAAAAGGATTCTATGTGAGATTTCCTAGGGGGAGGAACCCTTGCATGGCATTTCATGGTCCAGGAAAGACTCATCTCGTGGAGCTCAGTATTCTGTAAAAACGATGCTCTCAGTGTGACATAGAGGCAATTCCAGGTGTGAAGAGTGGTGGAAAAAGCACAGGGCTGGAAATCAGACCAACTGGGGTTTGAATTACAGCTTTACACTTACTAACTGTGAAACTTTGGGCAAGTTTTTGAAACTTTCAGAGTATAACTTCCCTAATCCAGAAAACTGGAAAATAATATCCATGCCATGAAGATTCAATACAATGATCTACGTCATGCATGTGGTAGAATGCCTGGCCCACTGTAGTCCCTCAATGAATTATAGCCCAACAAATAACAGGACAGGTAAATTCTGCTTCATATACTTTTGCTGTTGGATGTATCACTGGGTAGACCTTCCTGCAATAAAAAAATCACAGAGGGTCTATGATGAAAATGTCTAAGGAAAGATGTCCAGGTTTCAGACTCACTTCTTCTGTTTTGTTTAAGACAAGTGGGAGCGTTTGAATACACTGATAATTCTAAGTGGCAGTTATGGAAGTGGGCCAGTTTGGTCAGGTGAAGGTTAACTAGCTATATGTGATTGAAAATTTTAGAGGCTCTTGCAAGTAGCAATCAGATCGCAGGGAGAAGGGAATCCGCCGATAAAGGAAGACAGCCACTGGGCCACCTTAGGTTCAGAAACCAGGTACAACAGATAAGTCTACATTGGTCAGATTATTCATTCCTCTCCCAGTCCCCGACTGTCCCAAAACTGTAACAATGCCTCTATCATGGACACTGCCTAGATTGGGGGATAAATTGGTTGGTAATGAATCTTATCTTGTATAAGTAATATTTTGTTCCTTCTACATAATCACAATACATAAACTATATAATGAAGATTTCTTCATTCAACCCAAGCAGTCTTTTTTTTTCCTTTTTCAACATTTATGTTTGAATGTGCAAAATAAAGTTCATTTATTAAAGGAATCATTTGATACTTCCTCTGTCTGTACATAGGGTTCTTAAGCTTTAATACCTGCCTCAGCAATCATTTAGCTACTGAGATAAGCTAATTAGTACTATTGTTAATGAATAGAAAAATGTATTTAACATATGAGTCTTCAGGAGTATTTCTCAAAATGACAGATTTAATTCCCTGAGGGCTGTGGAAAGTTTGCAAAGAGCTAACTGTGGGACTTAAATGGTTGTTTGGGAATGACAGTCTCTTAGTAAAACTTCATTCACTGTATCAATTCAGCAAATAATTTCGAGTGCTTATAAGGTGCAAAAGTTGTTAAAAATATTCCCTCTTTTTCTCAGTTCTTCCACGTCATTCTTGACTACAATCCCTCAATGACATTTAAGAACCTGTACTTTAGGAGGGGAAGCTGGAAACTTGCTAAATACACTCTTTTTATGCAAGGAACCTGGCAAATGCATTTATTTGCAGTATCTCTACTCTTCACAACATGTATGTAAAGAAAAAATAGTATCCCTATTTGATCAATGTGCAAACTGAGGCCCAAAGAAATTTAGTTCATGGCCACACAGCTAATTAGTAGCAGCTTCTCTGTGAACTCACATTGAGCCTCAAGGCCCATTCTCTTCAATACCATGAATTGTAATGCTTAGGCCCAGATACTTCCCCACATCGCTCCTTATTGCTTGCCTGTTTTATTAATGTTTCTAATCTTCTATTAAACAAAATTTACCATGTTTTCATACTTTCTTTCACTGTATAGATGTCTTACAAAATTGTACTTTATTAGGGTAAAAGAATGCTATTCATCTGATTGGTTCCAAGACAAGGTATTTCTGATTTCAGGGGTACCTTCATGGTACCTTACAAATGCCTCAGTGTCTCTGACTTTCAGTACCTACAAAATCTTGAACTTCCTTCCTTCCAACCCTCTTAGGGCCTAGTTCTATTTCCCCATTTTTTACCATGCAGTCCACACATCCTTCTTCTCCTGTGGTGATGGTATTAGTAGACTTTTTTTCTTCTGCCAAAAGGTAAGCTATATCCAGCAGATATGAATGGTAGTCTCTGTTCTTCCCATTCTAATGAGATACATCTAAGTTCAGACAAAACTGAGGATATGATCCTAATTAATCAGAAAGTCACCCATGACTGAGAAATCATTTACCAGAACCAATTAAATCTAAATTGAAATCTATATATTTTATAAGCACCTCCCACATTTGACAATAATGGACGATCCCATTTCATGACTCCACTTTGGTCCATGAAAGCAGAATCCTGGGTGAATGGAATAAGTACCAGAAAAAACTCTGACGTATATGTGAATGATTCAAGCTTGATGTCCTCTGGTTTGCTTTTAACTCTTCTACTTTCAATTCACATAATATAAACTAGAACAACAATTTGGGCAAAACTATAGCAAATTGCTTGTTATTTCTTGAAAATAAAATTTGAATTATGTGACTGACAATATAATGTTGTATTTAGATATTCTCCTTCGATATTTAACCTATACCTAAATCTATATATATATATATATATATATATATATGCCAATGCTTTTATTGTTTTTTCAGTAAATGGATTCTATTTTAAAATTTTAAATGCAGAAGTACACTAAGTATAAAGGAATATACAAATCTAGATTTTGCAGTTAAATTTAAATGATTTATTAAAATTTGAATTAGTAAATAATTTAACTTTCAACATCTCAAAAGTGATAATTTTTTTCTTGATGTAAGAATTCACCCTGGATGTCCATTAATAAGAATCACCCTTAAGAAAACCTCTCTTGTAGAGGTTTTGATGGCCCAAGCAAGAAACTTACAACCACACAGGCCTTGGTTCCAAGACCAGGTATTTCTGTGACCTGAGGCAAGTTGCATAAACAAACCTCAACTTTGGTTAATGACTCAGTACATTGGCTAACACTAAATACTCACACTATAGTCCGTTTATTCTTCTGTTCATTTGTCTGTACATTCTGAACAACAACAACAACTGCAACAACACTATGGCTTTTACTTTGTGCCAAGCACTGTTTTAATATTAACTCACTGAAACCCCATTACAACCCTATCCTAAGCACATCCTACTATTACATCCATTTTGCAGGTGGAGAGCCTGAGGCACAGAGAGACTAAATAACTTCCCCAAGGTCAACAGCTAATTGATAGTGCCAGAATCTGAACTCAGACAACCTTACTCTATAGTTCACACTCTTAATCATTACATGATACTGCCTCTCATACACTCATTCACCACCCAGCAAGCCCCAGTTTGGTTGTAGTAGATAATTACACCATCTCCAGCCTCAAGGAGCTCATAGTCTCTTGGTAAGACAGACATGTAAACACATAATTATGGTACAGAATATCAAGTATGCTAATTGACCATGCTCCCTGGAGACCTGGAGTCCATATACTCAATGCAGCAGGGAACAGAGCAAGTTTCCTTGATCTCATAAAGATCTACACAATCTTCTACCATAAAAGTCCAGCTGCTGCAGTACAAAACCTTACTCTTGCCTGGCATCTTAGGGTGTCAGAGATACCCAGGTAATTAGGAATGGGGAAAGCCTGTAAAACATCAGGAAGCACTGAGCTTCAATAGCAAGAAATAACAGTATAGTTCATGTCTTTAAAAAATCTGTTCTCAAACCCTTATATTGTGGCTGACCTTAAAAGAGACTGCTAGCATCTCATTACAATAAACCCAGTGGTTAAATACAGAACCCAAAGTCCTTTGACCCAAGTTCAAGCCTAGGTCCACCAATCACTAGCTATATGACCTCAGACAAGGTATTTTTAAGCCTTAGTTTTACCTACAAAAATGGAGATGAAAATAATGCCTGCCTCATAGGAAAGTCATAGGGAAGAAAAAAGAATAACCCATGGGAATCCTCTGCACATTGCTGACATACAACAGGCATCTAACACACTGTTATGTTGTCATTACACAATGTGTCTGAGGATTTGAAATCCTTGTGTTGGTAATTTTCATTTCTAACTTCCAAAAAATTTTAAAAAAGAATCTTAAGAAAAAACATTAAAATTTACTGCAGAGGGTAAGAAAAACAGACACTACAATACTGAATTAGAGACATAAAGCCTGTCGTTTAAAGTTTCACATGTCTAGAAAATAGCTTATTACTTAGAAGATTTTCTGAAACAAGCCCACTTTGATGTGTAGCTGTGAAAATATTAATGCCATATACTACATACCTTGTATGGCACAGTAGTTAAGAGCACAAGCTAGAGAGTTAGACTGTCCAAATTGGAATCTTAGCTCTACCACTGTCTGACTAGGGTGAAAATTTGGGCAACTAGCTTCAAGGCTCAGCCTCAGTCTCCTTGTCTGTAAGATGGGGATAATAAAAAAATACTTTCTCTTCTCAAAGGGTTATTAGGAAGACTAAATTAGTCTCCACCTATAAAGCAATGTAATACCCTACCTAGTGTAGAATAAGTGGTCAATAAATGGCCTGGGAGAAAAGACATGAATCCAGGACATTTAATTCTTCCTCTTCCCCTTCAAGCCAGGAACTTGGCAGTTATCCTAGAATCCGATCTCTCTCTCACATCCTGCCTACAATCCATTGCCAAGTTCTACTGAGTCTTCCCCTAAATATCTTTGGTATGCAACACCCCCTCTCCACTGGCATAGTCTCCACCTTGGTTCACACTCAGCATTTCGTGCCTGGATCCCCATCAGAGCTTCCTGACTGCTCTCCCTGCTGCTGCTGCTACAACACGGATGCTTGAGTGATGGCTCTACCCCATAAAGCTATTCACAGTCCTCTCTTCTACCACCACCATTAAGGTCTCTCCCCGCTTTGAGCAGGGTGATTTCCAAACTATGCAAGATGGCATATGAAGATCTTCATGCTCTGGCACCTGCTTACTTTTCGTGCCACACACTCAGGTCCCCTTTGCTCCAGGAATTCAAAAATACTGTTTCCCACACAGCCTAATAGTCTCTCCTACTTCTGTTACTTTGGGCATGAGACTCCTGTTCTTCTGCTTGACTATCTTGCTGACTCCTCCTCCAAAGCTCAGCTTCATTGAGATTCTCCTCTGAGTGCATCTGAGCCAGGTGAGGGTCTTTCTGTGGGCTCCTGGGGCTCCCTCTTCATTCTCTATGGAGGGTGATTAGTGGCTCTTATCTTTCTCCTTCCCTGCCTCTTCTGGGTGTTACTGTAGTGTTGCCACTATGCTTTGATTGGCTTTGTCTCCAACATTTGATGCAATGCCTGATCCACAGAAGTCACTTAATAAATGTTTACTGAATGAATACATGAATACAAGAATGAAGCAATGAATATTTGTTCCTGCTCTGTCACTGATTAACTGTATGTTTGACATCAATAATCAGAAAAGATGTTAATCATGGAATTAATTGTCATTTTATCCCAGTATCTAGCACTGTGTCAGGCGCATGTATAGAGAGAGATCTACCTACCTACTTACCTATCTGTTGAGAGCAAACTCCAAAATGTTTCCTTTTTTAATATAAATTTCATTAGGTCACCTCAAATTTTTTGACAGGACTTGGTAAATATATACAAGCATGTATTCATATACTAACAAAACCCACTTATGGAACAAATTAGGGTCAATTCTAGTAATATCCCTCACTGTTGAAACGTATTTTATAGTGTATGTGGGGAGAGGGCATGACACGCAGGTAACATGGTACCAGAAGCCAACAACGACAGTCAATGTGCTAGGACTGCAGCCTGACCACAAAGAGAGCACGTGTGACTTCAGCCCATCATGGCTTTATGGTAGGATGAGCCACCTACCAACCACTGCTCATGGACCAGGGCCCTGCTGGGAGCAGGGGATATAAACAGCTCTTCTCAGCTACTTGCTCAGTCAGGGCAGGGATCTAGTAATAACCCACCCAAAGGCACTCTATCTACTTTTGGCATGCCTCCCACTGGTTGCCAACCTAAGCGGCCCGTGAGCAGAGAAGTGTGAAGGGAAAAAGATATGGCAGGGAAGGGCAGTGGGAAAGTATGGCTAAGGGGCATTTGTAAGTGCATTGATAAGCACCTTTTAAAGAAGATACTCATTCAAACTTTTTTTTTTCAAGCCAGACAAATTAGTAATAAAAAAGTAAAGTTTCATCCACCTAGACGCATTTCCTTTCAACAAATAGGAAGATTTCCTTTTTCTTAACACTACTTAAGTTATGTCAAGAATAAAACACATCTTTATTAAAACTCAACTAATTATAAATTCCTAGAAGTTCTGTACTGCTTTTTTTTTTTTGGACTGGTAATCATGTACTCATGATTAACATATTCAAAATAGACCATATGTATAATTCATTGAGTTTTTAAAAACTTGATGAAATGTGAATCCAATGTTAAGTCTACATATGTATTATGATTTCATGATAACACATAGTGATATCCCATACTATACGATTCTGTGTCATCACACCTAATCAAGAAAGCTTCGTCTTTGGCCTTGCTCAAACCTGAACTGCAGGAGTGTCATGGACCAAATTCCTTATTTTATAAACTAGATACTCTTTAGGATTTTCCCAAGCTTTTGAGCGTATCCACTATTACTTTTATGTGATTAAAAGCTCCTGGCCCGGTGTGGTGGCTCACGCCTGTAATCCTAGCACTTTGGGAGGCCTAGGCGGGTGGATCACCTGAGATCAGGTGTTTAAGACCAGCCTGGCCAACACGGCGAAACCCCATCTCTACTAAAAGTACAAAAATTAGCCGGGCAGGGTGGCGGGTGCCTGTAATCTCAGCTACTAAGGAGGCTGAGGCAGGAGAATCATTTGAAGCCAGGAGGTGGAGGTTGCAGTGAGCCGAGATCATGCCACTGCACTCCAGCCTGGGCAACAAGAGTGAGACTCCATCTCAAAAAAAAAAAAATCCTATACAATATTTCTGCATATGAACAAGAGCAACTATCCCCATAATAACCCACAAAATATTTAGAAGCAGCATTTTTTATTGACATGAGGTCTACAACATGGAACGAAGTAGCCCATAGGCCTTCATCAGGATCTTAGAAAAAGGTGGGGATAAAGAAACTCAAAGTCATAACAATTCACTTTATAGAGGAATGAGGGTCATATATGGCTATGCCACTGAAGGAAATCTAGAGTGTTTTCAAAATAATTCAGTCTTAACTTTGTACATTACAAGTAGTATATGAAATAATTGGACTATGAATATTATATCTTCTGTAATACACTGTATCTTACAGAATATACCTATTTTACTATGTTAAGAATTAACAAGTACAACAGCAATGAAAGTGTTATCCATGAGCCAGTTTTAGGATCTACTCTGTGAGTGTCCTGAGAACAAAACATTTAAATCCACTTGCACATTTACAATAGCGATATTGATATTTCTCCTTGTTCCCTTCTGGTTGCTAAGAGATTTACATTGGACAGACTCTGTTGTACTGGTAACAAAGCACTTTGGTCCACAAAGCATTTGCTACAGCTCATTGAGTCCAGAAACTCCCTCTGCCTCACCCCTTCCCTATTTTGCTTCCAAGTCAAACAGGGACCCAGGCACAAAGGTAACAGATCTGTCATCACTGCTACCGAAAACTGCTGTACATAAACCTAGCTAGCCTAACAACCCTAAAATATAGTGTCAATATTAATATGACACCATATCTTCATACAAATATATGTACCTTTTCCATCTTTCTTAGAAGCTAGTTTATCACGGTGGGGGTAGGCAGAGATGTATGGACAGGGGGCAAGTGGTAGTGACCTACCCACAGAGAAACCTCACACAATAAAATTAGACCAGAATCTAGCAAAGTATGGCAATTTCATAACAACTGTGCTGTGCAAGGCTTTGAAATACGCCTGCACACAATTTCTTAACCCAAGTTTGTATTTTTATGAAAATATATTCAAGAAGTTTATTTACAAGAATATCAAAGTAGGAACTATCTATATTTAACATCTTGCAGTGAAACAACTGCAGCTCTCCAGCTTCAATCTCAAAGTCAGCTATGCAACAAAAGGCAGAGAGTCTTCTATAGATCCTAACTCTGAAGAAAATGGCAAAGGTACCAGGAATATTCATGGTCACTCCTGAAGAGGGGTACATGTGGGAGATGCAATCTGCATGTCATTTAGAAAGCACATGCCTTACTGCTCAAATTAAGGATATCTTTCCTTTGGGAATTTTCACAAAGACACATAAAAATGCTTTATGACCTGCCTTTCCTATTCAGATCACAGAGTTTTAGTCAATTTTTATTAATTATCATGGAGGAAAAGTGCTTTGGGGTCTTACTCCCAGCTCAGTACCTAGGAGTCATATTTAAGGGCACTCTAAGTACTCACGGGCTATAATAAATCACCACTGACCCAGAATATTCCTCCTATTTTCCCCCTGCCTTGGAATATCAGTAAGGAATCATCAATGCCCATGCTTTGATCTAAAGCAATCAGTGTTGAAGGTTGCAGGTTACTGGAATTCCTGCGTTCAGGATAATCACTTTCACCCAGCAGGGAAAAACAAACCTCTGTGATTTCAGCTTTATTTAACAAAAGAAAGTTATTTCTAGCAGCTTATTTCCATTGCACAACTTGACAAAAAGCACCTTATAAAAATAAGAGGCAAAAGGAAAGAAAGAGGAAATAAAAGCAAAGCAGGAAATGACTTTTGTGCTACTCCTCTAAGGTCACAGATCTGCCTGGGAAACGCACGCATGTGACACAGTTCCAGCACAAAAGCTCTTTTTCCACGAGACAAACCTCTAAGAAGTACAAAGCCTGGTTCTCTGGCCTCTCCCTCTAACCCAAGTCACCGCAGTGCATTTCACCTTGACTGGGCTGTGAAGAAACTACTTTTGTAACTCCCTCACAGCACCTTTCCATGTCATGGAAACATGCCCATGCCTATATAAAGTGAAGCACACTTTCCGCATAGCCCTGCAATCACCCCACAGGAGAAAACCGTCCCTCTTGCCTTGCCCATCCTATGGCCATGTTCTGCCATAGGGTTTATCATCTGTTCCCAATTTACACACCCAATTTACACTCTACCCAGCATGTAAAAATAACCCTTAATGCTTCTAACAGATGCCAGAGGGAGATTAAAACAAAAAGAATCCAGGCAAGATATATGCTCTGGCATACATAGATACCTTTTTCTTCCGATCCCGGGACCGTTTGCGGTGTTTCCTTTTTTTCTCAGGCTCTTCTTCAGCATTGATTTCTAAATCCCTGTTTTTCTTTAATTGTGAGGCTGCATGAGCCATAATGCATTTAAAAAGATCCTCTCAAGCACACACGGCTTCCTTGTAAAAGGTGATATCCTCAGGCACCTCTAATCAGGCTTACAGCAGCATTCCAATCACTAGAGAGAAAGCTTTGACTAGAAGCAGGAAGATATTCACAATGCAAAGATGCTGGAGAAGCTGAAGCTTTTAAAAACCCAAATGATGGTGTCCGGACTTCATCCTACACCTTCCTCTACCTGAACCTTTACAGGAGAGTGCAGCCATCGTAATGCATTTACCGTAGTGAAGAAGACAGCTGGGACAGAGGAAGCTGTATTATGGCTGTATCCCCTGCCACCAGCTGGAAGTGTCTAAGTGATTCCTCGGAAGGGGGAATGCTGCAAAGGATGCTTCTCCAAAGGGGAAGAATCAAGAGTCACCACACATGCAGAAGCAAAAATCCAGCGCTAATTCTGAAAACCTATTTTAGAATCCTTTGAAAAAAAGAAAAGGCTGCAATTTATACATCACCACTAGATCTACACGGAGAATAATTTAACCCCTGATAGAATGGAGCTGTTCCTACTTTAGTTCAACTGCTGATGGTGACAAAATATATAAAATAAGATTTCAAAAAACACACTAAATTTTGCTATGGAGATCCTGACTGCATTACAGGGAAAACAATGCATGTATTGCCTGTCTCAACAGTGCATCCTTTATGCTGAACTATCAATCTAAATGCATTTTGTGGGGAGGACTACAGAAGGGCTTGTTGTCTTTTAAAAACAACATGCTGATTACAACACATCATACAGAAAGACGTGAGCATATTGGTGTATGGAACAGATGCCTGATTCATAGGAGGTTCCCCAGGACTCTCCTCTCATGGGGTCTGAGGGTCAGGAATCTGTGCTGTAATCAGTGTTTCTGAGTCACTGAAATGCAGATTTGCTTTCATGTTAGGGTTTGCTTCAATCACCTTACTATTTTTGCCACCTGAGTTCTCAATGACTGCAGCCTCTGAATATTCATTATGTGAAGTGAAGCAGCAGCAGTGCTCAAGGCCTGCTGGGGTGTCTTCTGCTAGGATGCACACACCGGAAGAAATCTAATAAGTCGGGAGTCATTTGCACACATACTACACAGTATTCACAGTAAGCGCTTTAGCAAGAAACTGCTGAAATGTCAGGCTGGGCCTAAAACATATGAGACCTAGTAAAAAAAAGAACACACACACACACACACACACACACACACACACACAAACAACAATTTCACCAAGAAAATGAGTCAGAAAAAAAAAAAAGATGTTCTGATGAAAATACTTTGTTAGCATGTGTGCTTCCGATACAAAAGTCCATAACTTTGGCGGTCGGTGCATTTGACTTTGTAGGGCTGAAAGTGTAGGTGTGTAAAGGACACAGCACCAAGTCCAATGCATCATGTGAGGATTTGGTTGGGGTTCTCTGGAGCTGTTGTTTGTCTGCTTCACAAAGAGTGCCAAGTGTGAGTTCCTGCAAACAACTTTTACTCACCATACTTCTAGATTTGGGGTTCAAAGGTCTTTCCTCTTTTCCTCTTGTAGGACGCTTTATAGTCTCTGCGAAGCAGTGATAAAAATGGGAAGGGAAAGAATCAGGGACCATGGCATCCCATTCCTACTACCAATGGACTGCGCACTTCTCTGAGGCCTCACGGTGAACCACAGGGAAACCACGCTGGTCATAGAGTTACCAAGGGCCTACTATGTGCACCGATGCTCACATGCTTGACTTCCACACAAACTATCTTCATGAAGAAAGAGTTCTGGAAAGTTTCTCCATTGCCTATGAAACCATACAAAAATGGAGAAAAATGAAGGTGGGGGATTAAATGTAATTCAGCTCCAAAAGCAGATGAAAGGTATTTGGGTCTTTGTAGTAAAAATGAGTGTTTTTCTACTAAGATATTTTACTGTATTAGTAACAGCTGGGGCAGAGTAAAAATTAAAACTTCGTATGCATTTTCCCAATATAAATCGTCTTATACTTTTGAAAAACGTTCATACAATTTCTTTTATTTTCAGCAAGTTGAAGAGAACAGCCAGCTAAAAAGCTGGCGTCTTTCCCACTGGCTCCTGGATCATCTTTTCTTTCTTTATAGACGCTAATGATACTTTAAAATATATTTAGAAGTGTGCTTGATCAAGTAACTTCTCCGTCTGAGGCTGGCAAAGCACTATACTTTCTCATTGATTTCTATCGGCAAAAGTATAGTTGGAAATTAGGAAAATAAGCCACAGGTATTTTTCAACATACTTCTCTCTAGAATAACTCTTTGCTTCCCCCAAATGTTCAGAAGTTGAGAATGTGTCATGGCTTTTTAGGACTCTATAATGTGACTTTTTTGTTGCCTTGGATTTTCCCTTATCTCAGTAAGTGGTTAGCCCATCAAAAATAAATCCTAAGGTATAGCTTGCTCAGATTACTTTTTTAACAGAAAATGTGATCTTTTATCTTCCATTTCTAAACTAGAACTTTGAACAGTGACTCTACTAAGAAAGGCAGCCCTGTGGGTCCTAGGTTTTGACTGTGATATTACTAAAGGCTAAATCCCTTTCTCCCTACACAGCAGACATCCTGACAAGTAACTCTCAAGCTCCTTGTGTACTTATTCTCAACACAAAGGCATTGACTCAAGATAGCCACAAATGCCAGTTTCCCCCCAAAACTGAATTGACAGTTTTATCAATAGTTCCAGAAAGCCTTTATTATAGCTGAAATGAAAACATTAAAACAACTTTTAAAAACTTTATTCCTTGACTAAAGTTTTATCAAAAATGTCCACTTAAATTTCAAGAACTTATGGTCATTTGGGAGATTAAAAACTGGTATGAATCTTTAAAGTACAACCAATCGTCCAACTGGTACAAGCTCATGTGTCTGAGAAGTGGGGCAGATCCCTGGTAGCAACAAGAATGAGATGCAAACATGGCCTTAGAGGAAACAACAGTACAAGGTCCAGTCAGGCCGACGGTCACCTCCCTCTACAGCAACTTCTCCAGTCCTACTACTTGCCATTGACCATGAGAATGTTTACATAGGATTTACATAGGATGGGCGTGGCCCATGCACGGAATGTCAAAGCTATTAAAAGCTTAGGGTATGCCGGGCGCGGTGGCTCATGCCTATAATCCCAGCACTTTGGGAGGCTGAGGTGGGCAGATCACTTGAGGTCAGGAGTTCGAGACCAGCCTGGCCAACATGGTGAAACCCCATCTCTACTAAAAATACAAAAATTAGCTGGGCGTGTTGGTGTGCACCTGTAATCCCAGCTACACGGGAGGCTGAGGCATGAGAATCACTTGAACCTGGGAGGCGGTGGTTGCAGTGAGCTGAGATCACACCACTGCACTCCAGTCTGGGTGACAGAGCAAGGCTCTGTCCCTTGGCTCCCCACTCCCTCCCCCAAAAAAGAAAAAAAAAGCTAAGGACAAAAATTCTTAAGTGACTTCCCTTTCTCAAGAAAAAAAGAAAAAATCTGTTCTTGTTTTATAAAAGTCCCAGGTACAAGAATTCCTAAGCCATGCTTCCAAAATGTAGTACAGAGAGATCTTTCAAATTTTTATTAGCTGAAGAAATCATTCTTCAAATAAGTCCTACAGGAAAGGTACTTATAATAAACATAACAGCGGAGCTGCATGGCTGAATGGAAAAATGGTATCCTGGAGCCCCAGCTCTTTGGCTCTCCCAGCCCTCCTCCAGAAGGCAGCTTTGGTGAGCACAATTTGAAAGCCACCATACTGCCCCAAAGAGTCTCAGTGTTTTCCCTGCTTGCAGCTTTGTTACTAGAAGTTATGTCAAAAAAGTGATTCTCCCTGCTAAAAATTGTCCGAAATAATTTTTTTTAATTTATTACCAGAACTAACAAGTTTCATGTAGAGTGCTTCCCGCCTGGGCATTATTAGAGCATGAATCTTCTATAAAAACAATAAAAATATCTTTCCATGTTGGGCATATGGAGTAATGGGCATACTCCAGATAACATCTAATCCAGGAATCAAACAATTGTGACTAAATATTCCACCAAAAATAAAGCCAAATCAGTTCATTAGGATGCCTTAAAGACTTTAGATATCACAGCCAAGTATTTCTCCCCGCTCATTTTTCACATACACCTTTCCAGGATTTCAAGAAAAGCTCTAAATATTAATTCAGCCAATTAATAACTTGACTACTCTCTCTTGTCATTTCATGTTGTGTGTCTACCTTGTTGAGCTGAGTTGACACACAAACTAATAACAACATATGCGGTTTCCACAGAGATGACACTGTCACTTGGGGATTTTGAAGTTACAAGAGCTGTGCACATTTAAAAAATATTACACTGTACTATAAAGAAGGAGAAGATGGGGAGTATATAGAATAATGGAAGATGGAAGTAAGAAAGAAACTAAAGAGAGAAATGGTTCCAGGGCTGCCAGGGAGGGTGTGCCTCCTCAACCCTAATCCAGGTTCCTGGTAATGAGGCAAGTGTGTGTTTTGATGAAATGAGAACGACTTCATGCTGCACCCACTTCAGTTTTCTCAGAAGCAGAGCAGCCTCGCCATAAGAGATAGTCAAAATATTTCTTCTTCACAAAGAAATCCGGATCCACGATCATTTCATTAATTATTGGCATCCTAGATGATATCAAGAGACCTAGAGCAGGTTTGGAACAAGGTGAAGGAAAAGGAAAGAAAACAAGCGCTAAACTTGTCAATGGTTATAAATGACAAAATAAAAAACACACCTGGAAAATTTTTAATTCACAGTCTCATATTATTTTTCACTTTTAGATGAGACATATGAAGTTCTTAAAAAACTGTGACTGGATAGCATTGAGGGACTGGTAGCCATTCATACACCCCTTGTAGGGGGTGGCACCTCTGGATAACAAGCACTGGCCTTGGTGCCATCTGTCTTAGCACTTAGTCTGCCCTCTTTCCCCATCTATCTGACTATCCAGCTTGACCTCAGTGCTGGAGAGAGAGCCAGCTGGTCCCAAGCATGCCAGCTGCCTCTGTGACCTCACATGGGCAGACAGGAACAGGCACATGAGGAGGCTTCCCCAAGGTCTCTCCATCACACCCACACTGGCCTGCAGAGAGGAGGAGATCCTCCGTTGCACACAGAAGGCCCCCACAACCATATCTGTGGTGTCTGTTTAACCCAAAGGAGTAGACTGGTAGTGCCTGGCAGAGTTCTGAGTGCAAAGCAGGCACCAAGAGAGGAGTGGGAGGAAGATGAACCACATGCCACTTCCTCTCTGTGCTCTGGCTCTTGTAAAAGGAGGCAGCTGGACCAGATGACTTCGATGACAGTCCTCACTCTTCTAGAATACTGTGATTTGATGTGATAGGAGGGTTTGGGTGTTTGCAAATTTAAAAAAATATATAAGGAAGTTTTATTCAAGCAGAGTTTATATATAATCTGCACTGGCCAATACAGTAGCCACTAGCCATATGTGGCTACTGGTAGGGAAATGTGAGTAGTGTAACTGGAGAACTAAATATTTAGTTTTATTTAAAATTTCAAATTAAAATTGATATTCAATTCAGATACTAGAACACATGCAAGTGTGTTTGGAACAATTTGGATATGCAAATCTACTTTTCTAACTTTAAATTTTATGATATAACATACAGATCAAATATTTCTGACAAAAATTTTGCATCCAAATTGAGACGTAAAATACATAACAGGTTACAAGATTTAGTACCAAAAAATGCAAAGTAGCTCAATGATTTTATATATTGATTCATGTTGAAATAATATTTGGGATGTGTTCAGTTAAATAAAACATATTATTAAATTAATTTCACTTTCTTAAAGCTTTTTAAATGTGGTTATTCGAAATGTGAAATTAGATGCATGACTTACACTCCATTCCTACTCGACAGCACTCGTCTACATAAAGAACTTACACAGTACTAACAAAAAGAGAGCCCGATCTGTCAGAAATTGTCTTCCTGAAGGCAGGTGTTTCATCAAACAAGCAGAGAACACTTAGCAATCAACTACTATGCCTCTTTCTTTCTTTCTTTCTTTCTTTCTTTCTTTCTTTCTTTCTTTCTTTCTTTCTTTCTCTCTTTCGTTCTCTCTCTCTCTCTCTCTCTCTCTCTCTCTCTTTCTTTCTTTCTTTTGTAGAGGTGAGGCATGAAGATATGTCCTCAGGCACTTGTGCCGAAAGAAGCATTCGTGTGCTCATGGACGTGTTCCCTCACCCTGCTGGTCACTGTGTTCAGCACCAGGGACATATAGAGAAATGAGACTTGGTCCTTGCCCTCAAGTTTCCATGGGCGAGAAAGACAAGGACACCAATAATTAGAACACACAGACAGGTGCTACAGAAGCAGGGATGGGGTAACGTAAAACAGAATGAAGAGGTCAGCACTCAGCACAATGCTTTCTAGGTCAGATCTCTTTTCGCTACCCATGAAACTTACAATTTCACAAGTGACCCCTTGATATTCTAGTCAACATGCCCAACTGCTCATAACCTGAACAGAGAATACAAAACTCCCTTTACGCCCTGGCTACTACTGTTAGTGCTGGTGATACAATGGGGAATGAAGCCGATAAGATCCCCTTTTCAGAAGCTTCAATTCTTGAATATCGAGCCAGGGAGTAAACAAATAAAAAAATGAACAAGATAATTTTAGATAGTAACAAGTGCTATGAAGAAAATAAATTAGTATGGGTGAATTGAAAGTGACCAGATAGGGAACAATTGTTTTTGAACTCTCTGCTTCCTTCCATGTTTACATTCCCCAGGAAAAATAAATCAAGACAGTGAGGAGCCAGCTGAATCAGGTATTTCACTCTATTAGGGTAGTAATTCTCCAAAAATTGCCCTCTAAACCAAGAAATTCATTTAATAGTGAAGACTGACTGGTTTCTCAAGTAATGTGTTCAATTCAAATATACTTATTACTGAAGATAATAGATATGCTTTGGTAACACTTATCTCTTAAACTATTTGTATAATTATAGTTTCCATCACCTTTATTAACTTATAGCTTAATAACAATTCAAAAAGACTGATAAAGTATAACCACTGAGTAATGAAATAAATTCTCCTGTGTACCTTGTGGAAATAAGTCTTGTTGTTTCATAGTCAAATGTAACATTCTATGAAATGATTTCTTCTGATAATTCAATAAACTCTCGTAATTTAATGTCTATATAGTAATTATATTTAAGCTGGCCAAAAGGAAATATAATGAAAGTAACTAAGTAAGGCAAAATAGCTCTTACGCCAACTTTGTCGCTAAGTAGCTATGAGACCTTACAGAGACCTTATCCTACCTAGTTTCTGTTTCTGTATCTGTAACATGAAAGGAATTCTTAACTCTCCCAACATACACGCTGTGATGCTGAAATACAATTACAGTAAGGATGAAGTGATTGATTTTTGCATCCTTTTATGTTAGTGAGTTCTGACCAAGATGTAAGGAAAGCAAATTCACTTTCAAAACATTTCTTTCAAGAAGCAACTTAAAGGCAAAGGTACAAAGGAGATTGTATTTGAAGATTCAGGAGACTGTTGGCCCAGGAATCATTTGCTGACTCTGTGTAGGAGGAATGGAGCAGCACATATAAGAAAGCAAAGGATCTTATCTCTAGAGAATGAAGCATTTAATTCGTTGATTTAGGAGGTCATACTTATAGTAGGATTAAAAAAAAAAAAAAACTAAACACTACTCCAGATGCTATAATGAAAATCAGTCAAATTTCAGACTAAAACTCAGATAATAATTCTTTAGCATATTGTGGAACATATCCACCATGCAGAAATTTAAGTCTAACAAAAAGACATCTTATTTTCTTGGATTTAGCAATGAACTGACTTCCTGCCATGGAAAGGGCTACATGTAGAGTTTATAGCCTCATCCTTCTGTAGAGTGGAAATAACACCTGCTTCTTCCCTATCTTACTAGTGTGTTTCAATAAGCAATGTCTATGAAGCAAGACGGACATCACAGAGAACAAAAACATTAACACGCAAACACAGGACATCATCTTGTTGGGGAGACAGTAACACAGATTGGCACTCAGGGTTCCTGAGTAGATTTGGGATTCACCCTCTTCCTACTTGTCCTTGAACTTGGCAAGTGTTAGCAGGTTTTCTCTTTCATGTTGTTTTGGAAGGCAAATTGGAATCAGACTAATTGAGTTTCATGTTATATGTTCCACAACTTTGCAACTTTTTCCTTGCCCTTCCATTAGATCATGCCAATATAATCACAAGAACGATTAAAGTTTGAATATTCAAAACAGTCTGTCTGGAATATAAGGTCCTATGTTTTGGAGATAAAGGTGATGAGGTCCTTTCAAAAAATACAACTCGAGAACAATTTTTTCATTCTTTCCCAATATCTTTTAAAAAGGGGCTGAGAGTGAACAGCATTGTTTGTAATACTGTGAGGTATTCGTTGATTCAGGCAGATTTCATCCTACTTATCTTTTGTATCTTCTAAGACATGAGTCAGCAAACATTTTTGTAAAGGGCCAGAGAGTAAATATTTCAGGCTCCAAAGGCCAGGTGGTCTCTATTGCACCTAATGGACTCTGTGAAAAAGCAACCAGAGACAATATGTAAGGGTATCAAAATGTCTCTCTAATCCAATAAAACTTTATTTATGGACATTGAAATGTGAGTTTCATATAACTTTCAGGTGTCACCAAATATACTCCTTGTTAATTTCTTTCTAACCATTTAAAATGTAAATAACATTCTTAGCTTACAGGCTATACCAAAATAAGGCTGGATGTGGCCTGCAGGCCTGTTTGCTGACTGCTCTTCTGAGGTAGCACATTGTTAATAACATATCATTCTGAGGGTCTTTGGGAAAGGGTGAATGGACAGCATGGTCAAAACCTGATGCTTGGAATATTTATGTGTACATACATGTATATGTGCATACCTGTATGCATATACACACAGGTATATGTGATATGCATACATGTATGTATACATGTGTGGATGTGTGTATTCACATAATACCCATGAAAATTTGTCCTCTGGATTTGAACATGATCACTGACATTTCAGTGATGGAAAAACGTATGTTGCTATGTACATTTTCTATACCATGTCCACACAGATAACGTTTCTTTAATTCACTCATTTAACAAATATTTATTGGGTACCTTCTTTAATGAAGCAGCATAATCCAAACATTATTTAAGACACCCAAACTCAACAAATGGTCAGCAAGCATAAGTAAGAAAACAATTTTAAGTAGTACAGGTGATTGCATATGGCATTCACTCAATGGTCATCTTCCCTGGAGTGAACCTCTAACAGTGTCATAAACACAATGCCCTGTATGCAATACATAGCATATCTGGTTCACTATGTCCAGTTCCTCCCCTAGGGTGGGGAGAGGGCATAGGAAGTTCTGATGCTTTATATTTTATTTGTAATTTCCTATTATATACGACACATATCTTACTTCAATTACTTTGTAGAGCACATAAATTACTTCAATTACTTTTAGGGCAACACATGGGAATACATAAATATTTATGGGGTATCGCCTATGTATGTAATACTGTACTAAACCCAGTGGAAAATTAAAGAGAAAATGCATAATCTTTTTAAACATCAGAATCATGATTACAGACTTACAGGCTTCTTTTTGGCATTATTTCATTAAAAAAACTAAACTTGGAGGTTTGTCAACAGTTAATGAGTGTTGCAAATTTTAAACAATTATCTGGCCATTAAAGATGTGGAAGTTATGGAAAGAACGAGCTCAGGTCTGTGACCTAAAAGAAACTCTATCTACTCTGAAAGTGAATACATTGTCCTTTAAGAAATGTAAGATGCTTGTTCCCCTTCTCTCACCCCATCCTCCTCCCTCCCACCACGCATGCACAAAATTGTTATTCAGAGAAAGGGAAGGGCCAGATGGTTTTGGGGATTAGCAATGAGGAAAGGCCCAAGTTTCACCTCAAGGTTGTTATTAAATTCTAGCGCAGATTGGCAGGGATACAAAACCAGGGCCATCGGAGAGCTCTCTGGGAGTCTTGGTCCAGTTCCTAATGAGCAGGTGTTGACATGTAACAAGCTGCCTGAACAACGGAGCTGCAGGCAAGGAGCCGCTACAGTTACCCAGGTGGACTGAATCTGCCCCAGTGCTTCCGCCGGCACAAGAAAGCTTGCACTAAACTCCGTACACTTAGCCATCAGTAATCAGTATCTAGGTTTTGCTCCTTCCCGCAACAAACCAAATAATTTAATGAAAAAATTTAAATTGTGGTCTTTTCTGCAGAGGTGGTGATATCGCAACACTTTGCTCCACTCTAAAAATTCTTTCCAGCATACATCTAATTTAAATCAAATTTAATTTGGGTTACAGAAAGTTTCAATATCCCTGGGCATTACCGAGTGTCCGTTGCATTAGCCCTTTTCTAGATGAAAATTAGCTTGAACAATCTATTCAATGAAAACAAAATATAAATCAAAACCTCCAATACAGTGTGTGTGTGTGTGTGTGTGTGTGTGTGTGTGTGTGTGTGTGTGCAGCCATGGCACTAAAATCTAGTAAGATTTGGCTAAAGTCTGTACTACACCAGTGATAACAGTGGGATTTGCTAAATAGAAATACCATTTTACTACAGATGTGTAATGGATATTACTTTGTCAGTGAGCTCTTCAGTCAGACTGGTGAGACAAGCACAGGATAACAACCAGTGGTTTAAAACAGATGCGATATTTGTGTCTATTTTTAACAATAATTTTCTAGCCAATTTGAGTTTTTAAAAAGATTTCAGATCCTATGAATAGGAGTTATGGGAAAGGAATAAGAATGCTGATTCGGCTTCCAACCAAAATCTTTTACAAGTCTTTCTCACAGTAATGTCAAATAAAAAAGAAATCATGCTTATTTAAAAAGAATTGCCCCACTTTATGAGTACTTGTGAGTATTAACAGCAGAAACAACAATCCTAAGGTAACTACTGCATTTCATGATAGCATATTCTATCAAGGTGGCAATAAAACCAGTCTTGGGGATAAGCAGATCATTCCAAGGTTTTTTTTTTACATTACAATAAAAACTTTATTTATAAAAGCAGGTGCAGTCTGCAGGTGCAGTTTGCCTTTAGATTCTAAAGAAACAAGTCTTGCTTCAGGTTAGGGGAATTTCCTGTCATATCTTGAATTATATTTTATTTATTTTTTAATTTTTAAGTTCTTGGGTGCATGTGCAGGATGTGTAGGTTTGTTACACAGGTAAACGTGTGCCATGGTGGTTTGCTGCACCTATCAACCCATCACCAAGGTGTTAAGCCCAGCATGCATTAACTATTTTTCTTAATGCTCTCCCTCTCCCCACCCCACTTCCCAACAGGCCCCAGTGTGTGAAGTGACTCTGCAGGCTTTCTAAAGCTCAAGAGCTCTTCCTGCATTGAGGGTGGCAACAAAAAAATAAAAATAATTTTGAAAACTGTGGCTGTGTAGAGCTTTTCTGTAAAAGCCATTTTTATTCATTTTTCCTGCCTTCAACATATATTCATTCTAAAAATTTCAAATCGTGGATTTAAAAATCAGAAGAACAAAAAATATACATTATGCTAAGTGAAATAAGTCAGTCACAGAAAGACAAATACTGCATGATTCCACGATATGAGGTATCTAAAACAATCTACTTCATAGAATCAAAGAGTGGAATGGCGGTTCTCAGGGGCTGCGGAGAGTGGGAAATGGAGGTTACTAATCAATGGGCATAAAATTTTGGTCAAGCAACATGAATAAGCACTAGAGACTTGCTGTATATCTTTGCACTGATAGGCAATGATACTAAACTGTACTGTACACTTACAAATTTTGTTAAGAGTGCAAAGATCATGTTAAGTGTTCTTAACCACAATAAAATAAAATTTTAAAACTGCCACTCAAAAAGCACAGGATAAATAAAAGGAAAATTTCAGCTAGGAAGAATTTTTTAAAAATTGTATTGCCACTATTCAGAAATGAGTACCATTAGTATTTTGTTGTATATTATCCCAAGCATCTCTTTATGTTTATATGTATTTAAATGTAACTATTTTACCAAGAATATAATCATTCAAGTAGTTTTACAATCTACTTTAAAATGTATTATGTGTTAACATATATAATGAATATCCATGCAAATCACTAAGTCCTCTTCTATAACTTTTAAAAGGTTGTATAATATTCCATGTGATGTACATGTCATTTTTTAAACCAGTCCCTTTCTATTACACATTTAGATTGCCTCCAATTTTTTTTATGAGAGAAACAATGCTATAAATGGCCACTTATCACCAGATGAGTTCATATACCCATTAAGTAACTTAGGATAAATTTCTGGAGGTAGATTTCAGGAAAGGTGAAATCAACCTGACTTAACGGCTAGGCTAAAATATATACTGAAGAGACTGGTGGAATTAAACTGTATTTCTATCATCCCATTCCCAACTCTACTTATATATTCTCTGTCCAAGAATTTTCTGTGACAGTTGGCAGACAGAATGGGGACCGGGAGAAATATATTATCTATGCTATGTTTCATTTTACTTACAACTTATTAACAGCTGTAAATTATTTAAAACCCAAGCTGTTTTTTAAACCCAAAGTCAAAATATTCACGATAATATTTACCAGTGCCACATTTTGAATTATTCAAGTATTATGGATCATAGAGCAGTAATATTGATCAAAAAAGAGCTTAGAACTATACTGGTTTGGGGTTGTGTGGATAACCAAAATAAATGATTTATAAAACTAAGAATATAAATAAAAAAATGCATAAGTATTAACGGGGTAAATGGTTTTGATGAGACACCAAAGAATTTACTGCTCAGTAAGGCCTGGGAGGATGCCTGAGGATTACTGTATCATAACATTGATGGTAACATTAGACTACTTACATGAACTGTTAAATTCATAACAAATGGTGTATACATTTGTAATATGCCTTAACATGCAGGAGACTGAAATAAATGATCCTATATGCACACTCACTTGGAATTGTTGGTGAACTATATTTTTCCTCCCTATAAGTCTGAGTTGTTTATGTGACTGGCTTTAGGCAATATAATGTATAAAAAAGAACAAAAGCAATTTTGCACTAGTCCAAGCCTAGGCCTCAAGAGAATTTGCACACTTCCATTCTGTTTAGGAACATGGCCAAGCTACCATGTCAAAAAGCCTGGGTTAGCCTGGTAGATAATCAGAGACATGTGGCCCATCACCCCCCACCCCAGACAACAGCCAGCCAAGCCCCAGCAGCAGCATCACCTAGCAGACTGGCAGGTAACCAAAGACGCTATTTGTGGGAACCTGCCTGAACCATAAGAACTGCCTGGCTGATTCCAGCCCAGTGGCCAGCCTACAGTTACATAAGTGGTTATTATTTTAAACCACTAAGTTTGGGGTGGTTTGTTATGCAGTGCAAGTAACTGATACCAAAAAAGGCTGAGAATATGAATCACAAATACTGGGCATAAAAGAGGGACTATCACTACAAAACATATAGATAAGAAAAAGGAAAGTAAATATTATGAACAACTTTATGCTAATAAATTGAAAATTTAGATAAAATGAATATATTTCTCAAAAAATACAACTTATCAAAACTGACACAAGATGAAAAGGAAAATCTAAGGAGCCTATGTAGAAATTGAAATTACTACAAAAACAATCATTACAAAAACAATTACACAAAGAAAATTCCACACCTATATGGTTTTGCTGGTGGTTTCTATTGAACATTTTGGGGGAAAAATCAATATCACACCAACTGTTTCAGAAAACAAAGCAAATGAGGACACTTCAATTTGTTTTATGAGGCCAGCATAACCTTTGCACCAAACCTAGTAAGCAAATTACAGATATGCACACATACACACCCCAGACTGATCTCTCTCATCAAGAGAAATGTAAAAATGCTTTACAAAATATTAGCAAAATCAAATTTAATAAAGTGAGGCTTATCCCCGAATACAAGCTTCATTTACACATAATGGTGAAATATTGAATGCTTTTCCTCTAAGACTGACAAAAGTATTGGCCCTTTTTAATTTTTATTTATTTATTCATTTAATATTGAGATGGAGTCTTGCTCTGTCGCCCAGGCCGGAGTGCAGCGGCGCGATCTCGGCTCATTGCAAGCTCCACCTCCCGGGTTCACACCATTCTCCTGAGTATTGGCACTCTTACTATTTCTATTCAACATTATACAGGAGACCTTAGCCAGTATAATAAGGCAAAGAAAAGAGAGCCACAAGATTGGAGAGGAAGAGTAAAACTGTCTCTTTTTACAAATGACATGATGGTTAACACAGAAAATCCTAAAGAATTTATGAAACAACTCCTAGAACTAAAAAGTGTATCTTGCTTGGTTTCAGGATACAAGATCAACATACAGAAATCAGCTGTATTTTGTATGATGGCTGCAAATGATTGGAAAATCGAATTTAAAAAAAGAACAATTCTACTTTTTAAAGTATCAAAAACCATAAAGTACTTTGGATAAATTTAATGAAAGACATGTAAATCCTCCACATTGTGAACTATAATCATTGCTGAGAGAAATTAAAGATCTATATTAAGGTAAAAATCTACTACACTCAAGGATTGAAAGATCCAATATTATTAAAATGAAAATTCTCCTCAGAACTGTAGATTCAACATGATCCAATCATAACACCACAAGTTTTTTTTTAAAAAAATAGACAAACTTATTATAAAATTTGTATGTGAATATAAAGAACTTTGAATATCCAAAACAATCTTGAAAAATAATAACAAAGTTGAAAGAGTGACACTACCTGAATTTAAAATTCACTATTACAGAAAGACACAATAATCAAGACAGTATGGTACTGGCATTAAGATAGACACAAAGATCAATGCAAGGGAAACAGACTTACACTTATATCATTGATTTATTTTCAACAAAGGCACCAAAGCAATTCAATCAGGAAAATCATTTGAAAAAATCATGTAAAACAACAGAATACCCATATGAATAAATATAAACCTCAACTCCTACTTTACACACTACAAGTAATCCAAGAAAAATCATACATCTAGACATAAAAACTAAACTCTAAAGCATTTAGAAGAAAACATAGGAAAATATCTTCACAACCTGGGGGTAGGCAAACATTTCTTAATACAGTATACAGAATATAGTAGTTACAAAATTTAAAAAAAAGTTAGACTTCATTAAAATTTAAAGCTTCTGCACTTCAAAGCCCACTGTTAAGAAAATGAATAGGCCACGAGTGGAAGAAAATATTTTCAAGAATATATCCGTCCAAGGATCAGTGTCCAGAAAATATAAGTGACTCCAACAAATCAAAACAAAAAGATAAAAAACACAGTTAAAAATGAACATAAGACTTTAACAGACACTTACAAATTGGTCAATACATACAGAGTTGGGGACTAATGCAAATGAAATCTGACATGAGATATTACTATCATCTACCAGAAAGGCTAAAATTAAAGACTGACAACACCAAATGTTGGCAAGGATGTAAAACAACCAGAACTCTAATACGTTGTGAGTGGAGGGTGTGAAATTGCACAACCACTTGGAAAAAACATTTGGCAGTTTCTTATAAAATAATACAAACACCTACCCTATAACCTAGCAATTCCACATCTAGATGTTTCCACAAGAGACAGAAAACATATGCCCAAAAACACTTCTATAAGAATGTTTATGGAAGCTTTATTTGGAACAAAAAAAATAAAAGCCCAGATGTTAATTAACAAGTGAATGGATAAACAAACTGTGGTGTACTCATACAATTAATCTTAAAGAAGGAAAAAACCCCTACTGTTACTGAGCATATTATGCTGAGTAAAAGAAGCATTTCTCAAATGAGTATATACTGTATGTTCCATTTACATGAAGATCTAAAACAGGCAAAACTAATCTATAGTGAAAAAAATCAGAACAGAGGTTGCTTCTGGGAGTGGAGTGAGGTGGGAATTGACTGGGAAGGGAGAAAATTTTCTGGGGTGATAGTAATGTTTTGTGTCTCAAAAAGATCTGTGTTACCAAGTATATGCTTTTGCCAACATTCATCAACTGGTACATTTAAGTTTTGTGCATTCCATTGTATGTAAATTTTACCTAAGAAAAAAGTAAATAAATACCTCCAATTAATGACAACATATAAGCTAATGTGTTTAGGGTGAATTTTACTGACATCTATGTATCGAAATATATAAAAAGAAAGATAAATTAATGAATGTATAGAGAGATTGACAGAATGTATATAGGTAATAAAACAAATACAGCAAAATGTTAATCGTAGAATCTAAGGGCAGGTATGTGGGCATTCATTGTATATTCTTCCACTTTTTTTGTTTTACATTTGAAAATTCTCCTAACAGCATGTTGGGAGAAAAAGCAACCAATACTACATGGTAGACCCTTTTTCAGTTTACATATAATTTTCATATACAACAGGTTACATTTTTGTAACACTGTACATTAGACAAGGCCAGCAACATTATCTCTGTTTTCTTGTGGAAGAAACTCTCAAAGAGGACCTTGCTCAAAGTGTCAGGGCAATAAAAGGGGTCAAACTTTTTCTGTCATCAAACTTTCTGTAAGGGGCTATATAGTAGATATTTTAGGCTTTCCAGACCATACATAATACCACAACAATTGAACTCTGCTTTTGTAGCATGAAAACAGCCATAGATGATACGTAAATGGACATGGCTGCATTCCAATAAAACTTTATTTACAAAAACAGGCAGGCACTAGATTTGGGTCATGGGTTGTAGTTTGCTGACCCCTAGATCAGCAGCCCCCAGCCTTTTTGGCACAAGGGACTGGTTTCATAAATGACAATTTTCCCACGGATGGGGAAGTGGGTGGTTAGGAGATGGTTTCAGGATGAAACTGTTTCACCTCAGGTCATCAGGCATTAGTTAGATTCTCATAAAGGGCAAGCGATCTAGATCCCTCACATGTGCACTTCACAATAGGGTTTGTGCTCCTCTGAGACTCTAATGCCACTGCTGATCTGACAGGAGGTGAAGCATAGGCAGTAATGCTGGCTCACCTCCTGCTGTGTGGCCTGGTTCCTAACAGGCCTACAGACTGGTACCAGTCCACAGCCCGGGGGCTGAGGGCTCCTGCCCTAGATAAGTTAGGTTTTCTCATTAAAGATTATCAATAAAAGGACTGACTTAGAGTCAAATTAATCTGGTTTTTCCTATCACTTGGGTTTATTACGACAAATAAATTAGCTAACTCTCATAAAGTAACTAGCACAGTGCCTGTTTTATAGCAGATAGTTGGTAAATTTTAGTTGTTTTTGTCTTTTTTCATTACCTTGCCTTTTCCTCATTCACCATTTTTTGCCACCAAATCTTTCACCCGGGCAAATTATAACAGGAAAGCAAGCCGTTTAATGTCATTTGACCAAATTAATCAGCCATAATAGATCTTTTGTTCAGTAAATCTATAATAGTTGCACTATAAATGGAAATATATCATTTTCCCTGCATTTTCTAGGCAAACTTTCAGATAGAAATTCATTGAGAAGCCTGCAGATTTTCTACTCTGTTGTATCACATGAAAGTCCCAGTTACTCTTTCTCACACTAAACTAGAGCAAACAAATTGGTTAACCCCTGCTTTTGAGTTTCTCTCAGGTCACTTCCATAATCCACATTATTTTATTTATTTCTTGGTGCCAAGCTGTGTATTCAAAATCCCACTGAAAATTGATCTTTTCTTGAAGTATGTGGCACCCCTAAGCTCTTATTTCTGGCCTCTGTCCAAATACCTTGAAGGAAATGGAGGCAGGAAAATGTTAGCGATAATTATAATTTATTCTCCTCTACAGAATTGTGAGGATGCAAATTATCCAACCATTTCTCACTTAATTAATATATCATTGGACAAAGTTGCGAGGGTATATGTGAGTGTTATGTTACAAGGGAAGAGATATCTTCCACCTTCTTTAATGGCTTACCAAAATAATACCATCATAGCAATAATAGATCCATTTAATGAGTATTATGTGCCAAGCACTGTGCTAAGTAATTCATTCATTCATTCATTTATACATTCATCAATGTGTACGGAAAAGCTGCTACATGCCAAGATTTATATAAACCATCTTATGACTTTGTAATTCCTGTTTTATAAATTGTGTAAACTGAGGCTCAAGAGAGATTAAATGACTTTCACATAGGGCTCAGAAATGGCACAGATCAGATATAGCAAATTATCTGAAGACTGTCAATAAATATTATGACTGGATATTTTATGTCACACATTTAATGAATTTCTGCCCCTTTGAAGCAATGCAAAATGATGCTACACTTTTCTATTATGTTTGCCCCATCTCTGCCACTTGATTATTTCTGTGAAGAATGAATGAGGAAGCTCACACCTTAGCCTGCCCTGACTGTGTCTCCCATACTCTGCACACAGTGGATAACCGATGATAACTTTTGCTGACTTGCCCCTACCCCTGCTGCCATCTGCTCAGGCAACTTACTTTCCAACCCACCTTCTATGTGATGTTTTCTCATTTTCTTTCTGGCTTCTCTGGAATAAATCCATGGAAGGCAATAGAATAAGGAATTCCCTTTCCTAAGAAACACTCTTACCATTTTGAACTTTCTGTTACATTCTATCAGCCTGACTGCTTATGATTTCTCTGTCACTGTGGTATACTTTGGATCTGTGTCCCCACCCATGTTTAATTGTCACCTCCATCATGTTTAATTGTCAACCCCAGTGTTGGGGTGTGGCTTGGTGGGAGGTGATTGGATCATGGGGACAGAGTTCTCATGAATGGTTTAGATCGTCCCCGCTTTGTACTGTAGGTGAGTGCATTCTCATGAGATCCGGTTGTTTAAAAGCGTATGGCACCCCCTCCCCAACCTTCCTCCTGATCCAGCCATGTGAAGATGCTCGCTCCTGCTTTGTCCTCTGCTTTAAGTGAAAGCTCCCGGAGGCCTCCCCAGCCATGCTTCCTGTACAGCTTGCAGAACAATGGGCCAATTAAACCTCTTTTCTTATAAATGACCCAGTCTCAGGCATTTCTTTATAGCAACATGAGAATGAACTAATACAAACTGTAACAAGAAAGAATAACTCTAGAGAAATGAGCAGTAAAGATCTCAACATAAAAGAAAGTATCAATCTCTTTACTCCTTTGGGGACCAAAGTGCTATCTCAAGAGATCCCTTCCCGAGTGCATACACAGAAAACGCTTCCGTCACTGGGCCTGATATGGAGGCTTTCCTCTTACAGTTGGGTTTTGGCTTTCTTTTCCTCTTCTTCCCCCCTCCCAAACCCCTCAGCCAGGCTTTTATATGAACTCAACTCCTTCTGAGTAAAGATGTGGTTCTGAGATCAGTTAATAACACTGGGCACATTAACTAATTAACAAGAGTAAGGAGTTCAGAAAACAAACAGTCATGGAGCAACGCTATCATTATGTGGCTTCTGCCTGACTCTCCTGTCCTCCTTAAGCAGGCAGCGATGTCAATATATCTGGGAAGGCAAAGTGAAAATCCTTACTACAAGTTGCCTGCTGAGTTCAAATTTCTTTTTCCTAAATTAACAGAAATAGCTAGCACTGCAGTGAGGGTTACAGCTGATTTCTCCGTTTTATGGGTTTCATTAAAAAGAAAAAGCCTCCCTTCATGCCACGTATTATCATCTTGCATTGCTTGCAAGTTCAGTTCATGAAACTTGCTACCCAAACCAAAAGCAAATTTCCCATTTCTGGAGAGACCAAGAGATAAACAATAGCATTAATTTCACCTTTCCCACCAATTGGAATTGGTCTCCATTCTGAAATGAAGAAGTTATTGCAAATATTCCTGCATATAGCTCATGGCGGAGAATATCAGTCTATGTGGGTATCATTTGTTTAAAAAACAATGAATTCTTTTCTGATTAAGTAAAAAGATGTATACATAAAGAAGTTGGCTGATTCACTTTCCACTGGTTAGTTTTTTAAAAAAAGAAAATGAAGCTTACAAAGTAGCTTTTGCAGAAGAGTTCCTTTTGCAAAAGGAGTCGGGCTCCTTCTGTTTCTGATGCAGAACAGCTTGCTTTCCCACTGAACATTAGAGGCCATCCAGTCTCCACTTTGGGACTTCTCCTCTCCCACTCTGTACTCTCTGCCTAGGACACCTCATCCATGCCCGCAGCTTGAAGGATCATCTATGTGGAATGACTCACAGCCTAGACCCCTCCTCTAGCTTCTGATCCCAAAATTCAACTCTCTGTTTGATGTCTTCCCTCGGAAGTATCAAACTCAACAACATTTAAAAATATATGATGTGCCTCCCACGAGTCTACCAGTGTTCTTAGCTCAGAATGACACCATCTTCTGCCACCTCCCTTTTATCACGGATCACGTGCTCTGAGCCCTAGTCTCTCAGCTTCATCATGTCTAGGCTCATCTCACTCCATAGGTGCATCCCCTCTGGTCCACTACCAGTCCCTCCACTTCCCCTCTCCACCTAGATTATGCCTCCACAGTCTCCAAGAATCAGCTCAAGTATTGAATTTTGATATTCTGATTGAGTAAACTCCTAACCTTGTAGGTTTCACGGTATCACACACCTTGCTTCAAAGTAGTAGGCAGGCCAGGTGTGGTGGCTCATACCTGTAATCCCAGCACTTTGGGAGGCTGAGGCAGGAGAATCACTTGAGCTCAAGAGTTTGAGACCAGCCTGGGCAACATAGTGGGACCCCACCTCTTTATATAAAAAACTTAAAAAGTTAAAAAAAAAAAGACATTACTCATAGTTGCAACTTTACATGCTTTTTGTGTGATTTCTCCACACCAGGTGTTTAGCTCCATGGGGGGAAGGGGCAACGTCTGTTTTTCTTTGCTAATGTGTTCCATAGAGCTTAGAGTGTTTGATACTTAATAGGTGGTTCTCCTTAAATATTTGTTGGAAGGATGGAGGGAGGGAAGAAGGAAGACGTAACCAAAAGAACATTCATTCTTACCAAACTTTGGTTGGTGTAGCAGAGACTGGCTAGATATTTTTCAAACAATTTTCATGATCCTGGGTGAAGCCATGTGTCTGAGGATGAAAGGGGATGCAGATTGATGTGACATGTGGCACCTCCAGGCCTGGTCCTTAAAAACCTCTCACCCAATTTTTTTTTCTTTGAGACAGGGTCTCAATCTGTTGCCCAAGCTGGAGTGCAATTGTGCAATCATAGCTCACCGCATCCTCAAACTCCTGGTTCAAGGAATCCTCCTGTCTTAGCATCCTGAGTAGCTGGGACTACAGGTGCACACCAGAATGCCTGGCCAATTTTTTTTTTTTCATTTTTTGCAGTGACAAGGTCTCCCTATGTGTTGCTCATGCTGGTCTTGAACTCCCGGCCTCAGGCAATCCTCCTGTCTCTGCTTCCCAAAGTGCTGGAATTACAGGCGTAAGCCACTGTACCTGGCCTCTCCCATCCAATCTTTATCCCTCTCCTTCCTTTTTCTTCTCCTGGCTTTTGACCCAGCTACCAAGGATCCACTGGGGGAACTCCAAGGAACTGGTGGATAATGGAGCCCCAAGCTGGAAGGCGCTTGGTTTCCAAATAACTGCAGCCTCTACACCAAGCCACATTGGACTGTGACGTGAACCAGAAACAAACTTTTATTATGTTAGATTTGGAGGTTGTTTGTTTTAGCAGTTAGGTTACACTGACTCACAGAATTAGGAAGAGGAGGGACAAAAATTAGGCCAGTTATGTTCGGGGTTCAGAGGTAAATATCTTTCAGAATGTACAACTGGTTAGCAATAACTGTACTTTCTGGTCAAGGCAACCTAAACTGAGAAATGCTAAACTTCTTTAAGCCAGATGAAGTTGTTGTGCTATTAAGGATAAGTAGATGTTTTCTTGATGGTTCTTTTGTGTGTATGAGAAAATAACAACAGCAACTAAAAGAGAACCACTTCTAATAGAGCAGGTCTGGGGAGAAGGGAGCATGTGGCAGGCAGTCTGCTTCTCAGTCTCTGGAGGGGTGGAGGTGGGGAACACTGGCAGAGAGCCTAACTCCAGCTGGGGCAGGTACCTCTGTGCCCCTCTCACCAACCCTGTAGAAGTAGGAATAGAAATGAATTAAGCAGCACCACAGTGGACTAGAGAAGGGCCCAGACTCCAGGACCAGACTGCCTGGATATGAATCCCAGCATGGTCACTTACTAGGAAAATAACCTTAGATAAGTGACCCCATCTGCCTGTGCCTCAGTTTCCACATTTCTAAAGTGTAGAAATGAGGATATAGAAGAAAGTACTCATGAGATTTTGAAATGAAAGAGTATTTATAAAGTGCTTAATCCAGTAAGTACTATATAAAAATAAGGAGTCAAATTTAAAAAAATTAGAAGACAGCCAGGGCAATTAATCCCAGCTGCATACTGCCTAGTTCTAATGGATCCTGCAATCTTTCTTGAAGAAAAGCTACCTTTGAATCTCTAAAAGGCTTATGAACACCATAGAAGAAATAAGAAAGTAAAGAGCCATAAAAGTGGCTCGTAGAGGGTATGTAAGGAGGGGATTCCTCAATGGCTGCTGGTTAGGAAGCAAGTGGGAAGATGTTCCCAGCCACCAGGTAGACAAACTATGTGTGTTAATTTTTTTCGTCAACTTGACTGGCCGTGCAGGGTGCTCGGGGTGCATTATTCTAGGTGAGTCTGTGAGGGTGCTTCCGGATATGATTAATGTTTGAATCTATGGACTCAGTAGCGTAGATTGCCCTCCCAATGTGGATGGGCCTCATCCAATCCCCTGAGAGCCTGAAGAGAACAAAAGAAATTGATCTCTTCCTGCCTGATTGCCTGAACTGCTACATCCATCTTCTCCAGCTTAGTTCTCAGACCTTCAGATCCACATTGGAATCTACATCATCGGCTCTGCAGGTTCTCAGGCCTTCGGACTGGGACTACATTACACCACTGGCTTTCCTGGGTCTCCAGCTTGCAGATGAAGATTGCAGGACTTCTCAGCCTCCAAAATCAAGTGAGCCAATTTCTGACAACAAATCTCTTTCTGTGTATATTTTCTATTGGTTCTGTTTCTCCAGAACACCCTAACTAATATGCTGTGTGAGTGTTAAAAAATCTCACTGTCAATTACTCACTAGCTATTAGGAAGCTTTAGCCATAGTAGCTCTCTTAGAGCTGAGACTGTCTGTAATTTTCACTATGGTAGCCCCATTGCTAATTACACCCAGCACAGAGAGAATGTGCAACAAACATTTTACTGATTAATTTTCTCTCTTTAATGACAATCAGAACTTTCTATTTAGAATTATGATTATTTCAATGTGTGTGTCTTATTTCTCCCTCTAAAGCCACTTGAGGACAGAGTGCACACCTCATTTATCTTTTTATTCCCACCCAGCATGCTATCTGGTACATAATAAGGTCTCAATAAATACTTGAAAGAGTTGATGAATCGATAAAAGGTTGGATCATCCACTAAAGTCTACTCATTAATAATCCTTCCTTCTAGTTTCAGAAACAATAAAACCTGACTTTACAAAACTGAACTGTAAAGTGTAAAATAATTATCACCTTTCTATGACACTAATATTGAGCCTTTTTATAAAAGAGAATTGTAGCAATTCTAGCCACTTCTTCCTCAGTAAAGTTTTATGACATTGAATGAAGACTTTATTTTGGCCAATTTACTAAAGGCAATATTAAGTTCATAAAAGAAGTCTATTTCCTCTTCTGATGCTATGGCACATAGTATACAAGTGAAGAATTCATGAAATGAATGAGAATGAATATGAAACTGTGGGCTACCACGTTCCTTTATGTTACTACCTGTAAAACTTCCATGCCAGTGCCTCAGCTAAAGCTCTACAGAATAAGTGCTTGAAAAGATGACAGATAAAATTTTTATTATACTGACAATCTTCTCTAGTTCCCAAGGTAGTTATTGAGTAACTTCTCTTCTCTATGGAGACAATATGAAAACCTCTAAGACCTATTACTTGAATTCCAAAACAATATTGCTCAACATCAAATATCACATTAACCTTTGGGAAATCTGGGAAATTCTGCAAAATAAAATAAGTAATCCTACAGAAGTCTGGGGAAAAATCAATTTTACCCCAGAAAAAAAGGGACTCGAAATGTTCTATTCAGAATCATGCAGAGTATTTAATTGATATTTCATAAACTAAAACAGGTGGGCTGTAGTGACTCATGCCTGTAATCCCAGCACTTTGAGAGGCTGAGGCAGGTGGATCACTTGAGCCTAGGATTTCAACACCAGCTTGGGCAACATGGTGAAACCCTATCTCTACAAAAAAATGAAAAAAATTAGCTGGGTGTGGTGGTGCTTGTTTGCAGTCCCAGCAACTCAGGAGGCTAAAGTGAGAGGATCACTTGAGCCTAGGAGGTTGAGGATGCAGTGAGCTATGATGGTGCCACTGCACTGCAGCCTGAGTGACAGAGTGAGACCCTATCTCAAAAACAAACAGAAAAAACTAAAACACTCTCTCAAATGCTCTGTAATTCATGAAAGTTGAACATAAGAGGAAATATTGATATTACAATATAGGCACTGTAATTTTGTCTCCAATTTTTAAGACATTTGTGATTTGAAAAAAGTGGTTTCAATTAGTCTCACATCACAGAATCAATGGCATTTTAAGTTACCAGCATTTATATTTATCATGTAAAACATGCCCACAAGAGATCTGTTCTGTAGAATAGATTCAATCCTGTTCCCAGCAAGTCCACTAACCCACTTCCTGCTGGGGAGGGCAGCACTGAACCAGAGCCTGTTGTGTTCAGCCATTCAATACACTCCCATATCCATGGGGACTGGATTATGAAACATAACAGGAATATACAAAATTTCTCAGGAACATGCAACTTTATAACAATGAAGATCGATCTTCAGTGCAGTTCAAGGAACACAAGGCGTATCCACAAATAACCACAGTAAAGGACAAGCTTGTCTAATTAATTACAAAACAAAAAAGGTGGTATATACAAGAAGCTGTACAATTTTTTTGAGGGAGATCTCCTTTGGAGATAGGGAAGGAAGCCATGGTGGAGGAACAGGTATTGGAAGGAGGGGAAGGTTTAAATAAATATGCCTTCTCTCCTACGTGCCATGGACTACCAGAGAAGGGTAGATGGTTCAATGCTGGCAAAAATCTTACTTTATATATTACTGGATGTCCAAACAATATGGTTCCATCGCTTTTTTTGGCTGAAGTCATAAAAAGTTGGTGGCAGCTACCTTCACCTTTCAGAGTGAGCTAATAGACACCTGAGCAGCATTTGCCAAAGCAGTAGCCTTAGCGTTCTCACCTTCAGACTGTATTAGAAAGGCTGAGAGGAGGCACTGAAGATTAGAGAGGAATCATTTGGAGATATTATCAGTATGCTGTGACTAATCTCCACCCACAATGACTGTGAGAACAGAGTCGAGGAATTTCCTTCGAGGTCCTCTGGAATTCCAGGGGCTGAGTGGACCAGTCCCTGACACACGCCTGGGGGAATCTCCATGCCAGAGGCTTTGGCTATTGAAGGGAGGCAGCAGGAGAAAGAAAAACCAGATTGTATTGTCAGCTGCCTACAATTCCGTGCCCCACCTGCAGCAAGGCCAGAGGGCACAGGTGTTTCTTGTGATCAGCTGTGGGGCATGGGGTAGAAAGAGACAGTCTGGCCTGGAGCTACTGAAAATCCTGCCTACAAGGACTTGTGGAAGGAGCATCATGCCTCCGTTATTCCCAGAGGCCGAGGGAGGAAAATGAGCAGACCAGCCTGTGTTTTTGGAAGGAAACTCCTAAAAACTACAATCATTCAGAGGCAGCCTGGATCATCTGCAAAACGTAAAAAGAACCTTTAAATTCCTCTTAAATGACCAGCGGGAACTACTGCCAGATGACATCAGTGGTCGTCCCCGCCTCTGCTCCCTCCACCTGCTGCAACCCGAGTGTCCAGAGTTAGCCACCTGTGGGAGGGAGGATAAATGTGCAGCAGGAAAGTGGGCACAAAACCTCGATGTTCCCACACCCTGCTACAGGCTTCCAATCAGGCTGGAGCTGGAGAAGGGAAGAGGCTTGATCATCCAATGAAATTCTGGGTTATTATTATTATTGTTATACTCAAATGAACCTGTTAATTTCCTAAATGAAAGTATTTTTTGTGACCAAAAGTGGCCAGAGGCTGTTTGTTATAGGAGAGTCATGGGGCTTTAAGCCCTAATATTTCACCCAAGCAGCAAAGAAAATAGTACCTGACAAAAAATTTTAATGGGCAATAGGTGCATTGAATAAAGTTCCTGTTCATTCAGATACTAGTACACTTACATATGGCATTGGTAAAAGCAGTAATAGTTTATATTTTGGTTCATTGTATGGTCTGAATTTGTGCCCCCCACCCCCCCGCCATTCATGTGTTGACATTCTACCCCTCAATGTGATGGTATAAGGACATGAGGCCTTTGGAAGGTGATTAAGTCATGAGGGTGGAGTCCTCATGAATAGGATTAGTGTCCCTATTAAAAAAAAATAAAAAAGACCCAAGAAAGACCCTCATCCTTTCTACCATGTAAGGACACAATGAGAAGACACCATCTATGAACCAGAAAATGGGCCTCAGACACCAATCTTATCAGCACCTTAATCTTGGATTTCTCAGCCTCTGACACTGTGAGAAATAGATTTCTGTTATTTATGATCCACCTAGTTTGTGGAATTTTGTTACAGTAGCACAGATGGATTGTTTCTATTAAAATAGAAGATGGATAATGAACAACTATTGTTACATGGAACCACACAGATGACTCTTAAAAACATGTTAACCAAAATAAGCCAGACACATGTATCTGTGAACATGCTAAAAATCATTAAGCGCATGTTAAATGGGTGCACTGTGTGGTGTGTTTATTATATCTCAAATGTGGTGTTTTTAAAAAGCCAAACCAAAGAGGACATCCAATATGATTTCATTTATATGAAGTTCTAAAGTGACAAAATTCAGTATCTGTGGTGCTTGGTGAGTTGTGGGGAGGAGACTAACTGAGAAGTGTTACATTAGGAAACTTTTGGAATGATGGAAAAGTTCTACATCTAAGCTGTACAATATAGAAGCCATCTAAGGCTATTTACATGTATTAACATTTTTAGAATTAAACAAGTTAAAAATTCATTTTCTCAGTCACACTAGCTCATTTCAAATGCTCAATAGCAACATGTAGCCAATAGCTACCATATTAGACAGCATAGAACATTTTTATCACCACTCAGACTTTTACTGGGCAGTGATGTTCTGTATCTTCATTCCACTGGTGGTTCCAGGGGGTCTCATTTGTTACAATCCATGAAACCGTACACTTAAAGCTGAGTGTTTTAAGATATATAAATTACACCATAATAGAATTGACTACAAAAATGGTTTTTGAGAGAAAATTGTACCAAGAATAAACTGTTCTCCAAGACTTGGAGAATGAGTCTAAAGGGAAGAAGATGGTGGTAAAGAAAGGATGGCTGAGAGAAGCGGAGGCTAGGAAAGATATCCAGATGAGGCAGGAAGACCTAATGGAGGATAACACTCAGCAAACAGCAGGCAGGAAAGAACTGCATTAACTGCACAGTGCTGAACTGACAAGAAAAAGTTTGAGATTAAGCAGAGATCTCTGGGGAACATGTGTGCTCAGGGAAAAAGTGAGTCCTTGATATTAGACATAAAGGTTCTGGAAGATGTCATGAGTAAAAATGAATCATTAGGCCATGATCCAGGTGGTTTGAGAAACAGCAACTTGACGGGGGGTCAGCTGAGAAAACTGAGTGCCCCCAGGGATAAAGAAAAAGTTATAAACCTGGCCACTGCCTGAAACCTGGAATGAAAACACATATAGAGGCTGATCTGACTATCCAGCTAGTTTACTAGTGCAGGCCTGGTTTCCTGGGAATGGAGGAATTCTGTATAAGGTTGGTGTTTTATAAAATAGTCCTGATCTCAGAAACAGATGTCTGAGCAGGCATTGTTTGCAGCTGGTTGCAATTGAACAATGGATGAAGAAAAAGATATAAGTGAAAGGTGATGTGCCACCTATGAAGTTAGCAACCTGCAGAAAGAATGGATGAAAATCTGCAGGAATTGCTGTGGTTTTCATGGAAAGCTAGCTGGTACTACTGGAGGGACACAGACTGGCAGGTGGATGATGTCACAATTAGGACCAACAGAAATAAATCAGATCCTACTCCCTAAAGAGAATTCTGGGGAAGGAACATTAAGAAAATGGGTACCAGTGTCTTTTTCTTGAATACCCTTGGATCCCCTGCTTAGTAAACAGGCATTCATGTAGACACACTATCAAGATAATCACTCAAAATAAAACATTTATTAATCATACTTGAAAGGTTTTTTAAAAAAATTTTGCTTTTACCACATACACATTTCTATTTTCTTGAAGTGAAAACACTTCAAGAAAAGTTACCACCTACTATTTGTGAGATCTACATCTGACTAATAAGAAAGGACAGGTGATTTTGCCTGTGGCATATTTTTTGATCTGTTCCTTCTCCTTCAGTTGTCAGAGCCCTAGTTCTGACTCATCATTCCTGAGATGGACTATTGCAGCAGCCTGCAAGCTGTCTTACCTCTAATGCCGGCCTCCTGATATGCACTGTCCAGGTCACAGCCAGAATGGTCCATCTGAAGCACCACTGTGACTATGTTTTCAAAAGCTTCCCCAACTCTGACTTCCAGTAGAGCCTCAATAAATATACACCACACTGACTCACTGTTCCCATTGCTTCTGCCTGGAACCCCATTCCTATGTCTCGTTAGGTGGTTAACATTCCCTCATCTGCTACACCTGCGCCTAAGTATCATTTCCAGCAAAAGCCTTCCCTAATCACCAGGCTGCCCAAGTACCCTTTGTCTTTGCTTTCATAGCTGCAGTTATTGCATTATTCATATTTCCTCTATATTTCTTGAGGAAAAGTGGGTTTTATTCATTTTTTAATGCCTAGCACCCAAACTGTGGATAATCTAAAGAAAATCTAACAACATAATAATAATATCAAAATAATAAATATAATGAAAATTGGGTTGCCATATTAAGTAAAATATAGGACTCTCAGTTAAATCTGAATTATCAGATAAACAATATTTTTTAAAGTATAAATGTGTCTCCAATATTGCATGGGACATACTTACGCTAGAAAAAAAAAAAAGCCTTGTTTATCTGAAATTCAATTTTAACTGGGCATTCTGTATCTGACTTGGGAACCCTAAACAGAAATTTTAAGAGAGCCTAAAAATTATTTAATTCCTGTATTTATTTAGGGTGACCTTTTCAAACGTATAAAACACCCTGAGTTTCATAAAATTCTGTTTTCTTAAACTGATCAAAACCGAGATTCTAAATCTATATTCTTTTGAAGGCATAGTGTTAGAGTTGTATTTGTAATATTTACAATACATATTAAAAAACAATTCTCTCCTAAGTGTTTTTGATTTCAAAAACAAAGTACAAGTTTTAGGTTGAAATTCTCAATTTGATTGTCTTAAATGGCTAATGTGTGAATCCAACCTCCTACTGAATATAAACCTGTTTGTTTTTAAATGAAGTTTAAAGTTTTGGAAACATTTACAAATGTCCCACAAGCTCATTTTAAAAATCCATTGGAAAGAGATGAATTTAAAGAAAAAGTACTGGGTCAGGAGTTTGGAAACCTCATTTCAGCTTCATCTTAGTCATTGGCTTGAAATGGGAGCTTGGGCATGGCACATCACTCATTCTTCCCATCTATTATATGAAGAGCAAAAATTTAAATGATCTCAGAGGCCCCTGCTCCTACTCTGACAGTCTATAACTGTATTAAGCCAAAGACATGGGCCCTGGTACCACAGGCTCTAAGTTAGCATACCTGGCCCTATCCTGCATCTGCTAGAAAATTTGCACATATAAAGAGCACCTGGCCTCCTGGGCTGGCAGAAAAACTCCATGCACCACAGTTCTTAAGCCTCTGAACTTTACATTCCTTCCAATGTTCATCTCATTTTGCTAAAACAGGACATCATCAAAGACAAGAATGTCAGAAGCAAAGTGTCTGCATTGATATGTTGGATGCCCTCTTGGCCTGTTACATTCAGGAAGAAACAGAGTCCCTTCTCCTGCCTACCTAAGCCTGCCTTCTGATTTCTAATTTTTAGTCCAGGGACCTACCTTTTTAAAAGAGAAAACAGACACCTGGAATGAATCCTAACTTCAGGTGAGGCCACACTTTCACAGGGATGCAGACCTCAGTAAAACATCAAAACCGAACTCGATAACTCCAGTATTCATCTGTGGTAGTCATTTTTTTACATCCAACCTCTCTGGGCCTTGCTTTTCTTTTCTCTACATATCTTAGAGTATTTCTGCTAGCAGTCATTACCTTTGTTTTCCTGTTAGGATTCAATCTCCACTGTAGCAAATTAGCCAATGACCTCTCACTAAATAACAAAAACCAAACATCTGACACGGATGATCTCCAAATAACAAGTCCACTTTGACGCCATTAAGCAAAACATTGTACTGGCTACTCCCAATGGCAGGCAGAAACAAACAGCTTTGCACACCAGAGCAGCTCTGTTTATATACCATAGGGAAGACCTAGTGAGCTGTCTGGAGCACTCACCTAACATGGGTTGATTACTTTTTTTTGACTACCACACAGAGGCATATTTTATCACCCAATTTATTAAATGTCCATGCAACACTATTTAAAAACAGAATAAAGTGGCTCCCAAATCGCTTGTACTATTCACTAGCTCTTTATTGGGTCATGTTTAAGGCACTGACCCACGTTGAGAGCCTGGACCACAGAAAGCATCTTCTCTCAGAAACTTACAGTCTAGCTGAAGAGAGAAGGAGCTTTATGAATAAGCATCAGAAGAGAGAGAATGACCCCAGGCCTTTTGGCACAGTCTTTCCTCTTCAAAGAGGTAGATCATACAGCTACTGAGATGGTTACTGGTCAGCTTATTAGAGGAATGCAATGAGATCCCACCCAGAGAATAAAAGTAAGTGTCCCACTTAGTGGGCATATATTAAAAAAAAAAGTTTCTAGGACAGTATTGTGCCTTGAATTAGTCTGTGTCAAAATGAACCATTATTACACCTGAAATCCTGTTGTCCCCTAAATGAACAGTGTTTACACATAAGATGCAGATTCTGAGCATCTGGCTATCTTCTGGCTTGGGAGGAAGAAAAGGAGAGATCCCTTTTATAAAAGGGAATAAAAAGTTACCTTAAGTGGTTCCTCCAAAAGTTAAACAAAGAATTACCCTATTACCTAGCAATTGCACTGCTAGATATATATCCAAAAGAAGTAAAAACAGGGATTCAAACAGATACTTACTTGTGAAATATTCATAGCATTATACACAATAGCCAAAAGGTGGAAACAGCCCAACTGTTCATCAGATGAATGGATAAATGAAATACAGTAATTACATACGATGAATACTATTCCACCTTAAAAAACAGTAAAATTTTGATACATGCCACACAAATGAAACTTGAGCACATGTTAAGTGAAAACACACACCAAAAAATACTGTATGATTATACTTATATAAAATACCTAGACTAGGCAAGTTCACAGAGAGAGAGAGATAAGAGATTTCCGGAGCGAAGAGGAGAATTGGCAGCTATTGCTTAATAATAGAGTTTATGTTTGGGGTGATAAAAGAATTTTGGAGATAGATAGTAGGGATAGCTGTACAACATCTGAATATAATTAATGCCAGTGAATTGTGTACTTAAAAATAGTTTAAATGGCAAATTTTGTTATACATCTTTTATTACAATAAAAAAGTGGAGAAAAAAGGGAAAGTCTTAATAAACGTGGGGGAGGAAAGGAAAGGTTGCAATCTCTGAGTACTCCATGTAAACTAGAGTGACACAATGAGAGTGGGGAGGGGGCAGTTGCACAACCTACCAGCCTGTGAAACTAGAGAAATCAGGTTTTGATTTCTCAAAGGAAAATCAAGTGGAGGACAATGAGGGGAGGGAGCGCACAATTACTGCCAGAAGGTACTGGAGGTAGATAGTGGCATGGTCTTGTGACTGACCTCCCTTGACTCCCTAGGAGTTCCCCTCCCATCCTCACCCTAAAAAGCAGGCTACCATAGATCTCATAAGTAGACAGGCACTCCAAGGGTGTGTTAATCAGGCACAAGTAATCCCACTAGATCTTTTCAAGTGTGTAGTTAAAATCCAACCACACTCTTACATTGTAAACACAGCATTTGTATCCTCCTTCAGAATTGGTCATTACTGTATAAACAAGTGGTATCAGTCAGGTCTGTATTCAAAACCTACAGGCTTTAGTTAATTAGGGGATACTCTGGTGACCAAAAGGAAGAAGTTTATTGAAATGTGGCTTTAGTTTGGAAGGCCCTGACCCCAATGTGGATTGTTAAAACTAAGGGTATAAAAATTTTACATTTTTATAAGTAAATAAAAGGTCTTAGACAAAAGTTCAAATCAGATACTATAGAGCAGGAATTTGAACATGGCTTGAGTTTTAGTGATCAAGAAGTCTATTTGCAGACTCCGATTCTTTGCTTGCAGTAGTTTTTAAATGTTGACCCTGTCTTGTCTTTTAATTTTGAACAACTTCCACCAAAGTCTTTCCCCAAAGTTTCTACCATTAATTATCCTTGGCTAAGACTTAGAGCCACAGATTACTAGTTACTAAAAAGCCACAAGGAACAAAAATTCATTCATTCTTCCATTAACTTATTCATCTATACAGCTGCCAACAAATACCTGCTGAGCATCTTCTATGTACAAAATTATTCTGCTTCACATGTTATTAGCAATGTAAATTTTAACTGACAAAGACTACTCTAGACTTTTGATTTGTCAAGAGATATAGATCCTCTTGCTATCCAAGTTCATTGAAGTAATCATAAAGATCTGCCTAAAATATTAAAATCTATGCTTCTAGGGACACGGGGTGACACGTCTTTTTATAAAGTTCTTATCTTTTGGATTTCAGTTCTACCTGGATTCAGCAACACATTATTTTATTCATTTCTAGGTAATAAAGCTTCAGCAATCATTTACTTTAATAATGCCTTTCATTAATTTGGTTCATAAACATAGCCTATTTCTTTTTTCCCTCCTAAGCTGTAATGGCATTTGCACAGCTGTTACAAGGGAAGTTTTAAAAATGCAAATAAGAATTAGGTAGACTGCACAAGCTAATAAAGAGAGCTTTGCCAAATATTAAAAAACGTTCTCAGTCAAAATAATCATACTAATGAAATAGAAAGCTCATGTGGGAGTGATTTTCAGTAGTTTTAAAACGTGAAAATTTTGCTTTGACTTTTATACATACGGAGAAAACAGAGTACATGTTACCAAATCGGAATACATGCTTTCCACGGCATTTCACAATGAGGCACTATTGACATTTGGTGAAGGACAATTCTTTACTGTACAGGATAGTTCTGTGTACTGAAGGGCAAAGTGCTGTTACTACCCCTGACCTCCACCCACTGATCCCAGTGGTGTCCCTTCAGTCACCATGACAATCAAAACACCTCCAGATAATTTTAAAAGACCCATAAGGAAGTAGTTTTTGTCTACGTGAAAACCAATCTAGTGAAATTCTCCCATGAATATGTCCTAAATATACTTTTAGGGCAAGAGGAGCACCAAAGAAGACAATCACTTCCAAAAAACTTGCTTGTGGTCTATTTCCACATTAGGTATCTGCACATCACCTTCCTTTATTGACAATCATTGATTTTTAAATAAAAGAAATAAAAAGAAAACAATATCCATAGCTGCCTCTGAGTCAAAAAGTCTTAATACAAGGTGGAGGTAGGGCAGTCTGGAATATCTATTCTGCAACAATGATTCTCCATCTTTTTTTTTTTCACAGCACACTCTGCTATTTTTATTACCAGGACTTTTTAATAATCAAACTATAACAATATACTAGCTCAGAACATCTAGAATAGTATCTGTGGTTGTCACTCTTCATTGCAATAACCTTCAGGCTGGAGTCTCTGTGGACAACTGCCTTGACTATATCCCTTATGTACTAATAAAACAAAGTTCTTGTATATCCTTATTAAAAACTCTTTATATTTACCAATAGCTTCATGTTACCCAGCATTTTCTCTCTTAAATAAGAGCAAGTTGGTCCCCACTCTCCACTGTATTTCATGAACAATTAAGTCAGCCAGGATGCTACCAGACAGGCATGCCAATAAATGTATGAAAACCCAGAATATACACTTTATACACTGATCTAAATTTGGTAGTATCCCTGTGCAAGGTTTATGTATTCTAGAGTGCCACAGCACGCTGGTTGCAAACAACTCTCCTACCATTCTTTCATAAAAGTTACCTCTGATGGTGGTTTTAAAGAAAAATAAAGTTAATTTTGAGATTCACATAAGCGTTTTAATATTGGCAAATATATATTATTTCCTTGGGCATTCCAGATTTTGTCAAGGAATTTTACATTTTGAGAAGTTGTGCTTGACTGTCAGCACTTTGCTATGCTATGATAAAATCAGAGGACAACAAAAGTTTGATTTAAGGGCTTGGTTAAAAGTGTTGAATTTAAGTTACCCCTATCTGTGAGTCACTATACTTAGGGTGACCACACATCCTGGTTTTGGCCAGCACAGCTCCAGTCACATTTGTCCTCTCAAAATAATTGTTAATAGTGTTCCCTTTCATTCTCAAAAGTGTGATAAATCATACCATCACTCTCATTATACTGAGAGTCTATGAGAGACATTTGATAAGGTCACCAATAAGAGAATCTAGAAAACTAATTTTAGGGAAAAAAATACCAATCAAGTCTTTCATATTTGTCAGTTGAACAATTGTGGAAATAGTGACTCTTTAGTATAGACAGTATTCAAAGATAGAGATGGAAGCTAGCTCCAAAATAAAAATAATCAAGAAGGGCATACGAAGAAAATTCAGGTCAATTACACCAAACATTTTTGAGCTCTTCCTATATTAATATGCTTGGGTTCAGGAAATAAGAAAAAAGTTATTTCTGCCCTTGAGAACCTTACAATTCCACCCTTACGATTTTCTGGAATAGACAGAAATTAAAGCAGAATTGTGGGATACATTGTAGTGTGGCAGTTAGTTCCCTCAATTTCCTAGTTCTGAGCCTTGGGAAAGATAGTGAGTTGCTCTGAAAATGATTTTTATCACATGAAAAATCTAGATGATAATATCCCTCTTATAGGTTGATTCTATTCAACTGACCTTTTCTAATTGCCTGAGTGCCAAGTATGAGGTGGTTGCAGGGATTACATGAGATGCTAACAATGGTAAACAATGAAATTTAAAGACATTACTTTGTAATCAATTTCTTCTTTCAATTGTATACACAGAAAGGCATATATGACCCCTAAAGAGGGGCCTTTAGGTCAACTAGAGATGGGAAATGAGTACGGTTCAGGGCAGAAATGCACAGAAAGGAAGACACAGAAAAAGGAAGCAGCAAAGATATGAAAAGGTGACACTATGTTCATAGGGTGCTTGTGGAAATTCAAGTAAGGTGAAATACATTTCAGGGTAGAGAGTGACAAAAAGGGAAGCTGGAGAGCTGGGTGGGGCACGTGATGGAGTCTTTGTATATTCAGGTAGGAAGGCTGCATTGTTCCCGTGGGCAAGTGAGGGAGCTGCTGAAGGGTTTTACTGCGTAAGTGACAGAGTCAGACTTGTGTTTTAGACCAATAATTTTGGCAGCACTGGAAAGATGGATTTGAGTTCAGAGGACAACAACAAAAGAACACAAAAGGAGTTTGGGAGCTACTACATTGACAAAACTATAAAATAAGTATTCGGAAGAAATATTGGAATACGTAGTGATTCTGTTTCCCTTTCCACTTCTATTGTCAAGTTCTATGTGTTTAAACAATAGATTTCTTGCTGCAGTTATGGCCATTAGTAAGTAGAAAAGGTTTTGCCTTTCATTTCACCTCTGCAAGCCAAGCTGATTCAACAATGCATCCTTCATCACATGCCATTAATCTTGGCTAAAGCCCTTCCTTAAGTAAACAACCAACCCTGATGATACAGCCATAATCTGTGAATTCAAGATTTTGTTCCCAAGGCAGGCAGTTTCCTTGCCTAAAAAATACATAGCAAATAGATCATGAAAGATTAAGGAAGCTAAGATGGGCTCCTCTGGCATGACAGGGAACGGCTGAGGTAAGTCAGCAAAAGCTACATAAAGGACTGGGTCTTGGGCTTAAAGTTCAAATAGGCTTAGAGATAACCAAGGGGTAAGAAGAGGAAGTAGAATGAGTGTCAGTTACCAGAGGATTAAATGATATTAGTATTGTTTAGTCTTTGCCAATTACCACGGGACCTTGAGAAAGCCCTTTAGGTTCTCTAGGTCTCAGTTTTCTCATCTGTTAAAATGGGTATAATATGAATCATCCTATTTATATCTCAGGTTTGGAAAGAAGAAGAAAAAAGAGTACTTGACTAAGAACAAACCTTGGAGATTATCTGGGGAAGCAAAAATATTTGAAAAAGCTTGAAGTGGTATACAAATGTTTACCAGTTTTTAACTACCTTTCTTCCTCTTCAGTTGATTTGTATTTTCAGCTTTCCAGCCCACCACATTGTCTAATCCCTCTTGATCTCCCCTTGATTCCTGCTTCCAGTTTGGCCAATAAAACTTCTGTTGTATGGTTGATGCCTTTTCATCATAAGCTGATTGCTCCTCTCTCCTTTCTCCTTGTTTTAGCATAAATCTATATTCCATCTCACCTGCTCCCAAAGCTGCCATGTCCCTAAATTTAGTCACAACCTCAAGTTGCGATACTACTGTCTTCTATAATTTAATAACCTATACAAAGCCTCCTGTGTTTCTTTCTCATCTCATAATTGCATATCTCATTATGATAACTAATACAAAGCCAGGACTTTGTCTTACAATTTCTTTAATCCCAATAATTTAGATTGAACTCATGGGCAGGAGACGCAATGAGTCATTTGGCAAATCTTTGCTCAAAGTTTTGTTGAATCATCCAGATGATGAAATCTGTTGCTTTAGTTCCACAGGGATGTTGAAGATAAATGTGCTAATATGTAAGAAGTGCTTTTAGCTCTTATAAAAAAGAAACTCTATCAATCCAAGAGATTATTATTTCAGCTGAAAGGCCGTCAAGCATCTTCCCACAATTACTTATTTATAGCTTTAGAAGCTTTTAGCAAAGCAAAAATCAGCATCTTCAATTAGGTCACCCAAGTTCCAAAATTATGAAGTATAGAAGCCAATATGTAACGAACAGCTAATGGGAATAGATCCTATGAAAAACTGTAGGCATTGTATAGGCATCTTAAGGAAGAGGCTGAAATTTAAGCAAAATCACACCTGATTTCCAGTGAGACTCAATGGCAGTGAACTTGGAGCCTCAGGTTCTCTTCTGTAAAACTGAGAGGACCCAATCTGATGCTTCGAATTCCTTTCCTGCTCTGACAATTCTATGCCACCAGGCTGGCAAAATTGCAAGTGATAAAGAAGGTGTTATCACATGGAAAACAACTGAGCATTTGCTGAAGTTCATGAAGAGAATAATTCACAGAGTCAGAGCAATATTTATACCCAACATTCCAATTTAGGTAATTAATTCAACAAAATGCTACATGTAAATCAAATAAGCAGTCAGAGAATATCAAAATGGATAGGAGTAAACATTTCTTTCTGGTTCAGATTAACTAGTGAAAGGTACTGAGAGAAAGAGAAAGGGAGAGATAAAGAGAGATAGACTAACTGACATATCCTGACTCTGACCTGTATATGTGTGGGCATCTGATGTGAAAGCCCAGGGATGTTCACAGTCAAAATAGAGTAAACAGTAAAGTAAGCTTTCCTGACATTCTTGGTGAGGAACCACAGAGATAAGAGAAAACCAGAAAGTGGTTCTTTTAAAAGCACTTTTGCCTAAATAGGTCTCATGACAGAATATAAGGTTTCGGGCCCTAAAAAAAAAAACCTCAGGAGTTCAAACTTGGTAAGTGAAAGAAGTGGCACATATCAGAATCAAGTTAGTGTCAGATATCTTTCAAAAGAACATTATCCAATATGAATGCCATTTTGATTATAGTTACCACGGACATTTTGTGATTTAAAAAAATTAGAGAAGGGCATGAAATTTTAATGTTTTTGAAAATATAGGTGGGTTATTAAAAAAGGTAAACAAAAATACTGATGCCATCCAATCTTCATGCACAGAGAGTCAAAGCAATTTTCCCAAGGTCACCAGGTTAGTTGGTGGCTTTGATGTAGAGCTAGACTAGAACCCAGATTTTCTGACAATGCACTGAACAGATGAGATTACTCAAGTATCTGAGAAGGACACATTTGAGTAAGCAGTTAAACAATGCACAGTTACTAGGGAGCATCTTAACACCTCAGATCTTCCTTGAGGAAGAGGCTGGCATGCACTTTAGAAGGCAATCTGTACCATAACCTGTCTAGCCCCAGAGCCCACATCAGCAGTATCCTGCACTTATCTTTTCCCAACTGCTTCATTTCTTCTAATACCCAATTCTGAAAGGTTAATTAAATAGCATTTCCATGCAGTGAGTCTAGGCAGTGAGCTCTTCATAGTTGTTTATAGAGTCCCTCAAAGACCTGTATGGGTCATCACTGAATTAAACAAGCACATCAAAACATGAAGTTCAAACAATGAGGCTGTCTGAAACATGACCAAGCACGAGAATAACGCTTCTATCAAATTCCTAAGTGTGGAGCCAGGCCTTGATTCTGTGCTCATCCTTCCTTTGAAAGACGGTTAGCTTCTGAAAACACAACTCCTCATTTTACATGGTGCTGTGACTAGCTTTAGTGGCTTAGCCCAAGAAAGACAAATTAGGACACTATGAAGATTGAAAGATTGAAAATAAGCTGCCCCTTACAATTTCCTATTGTTCATGGTTATTTTTTAAGTGACTTGATTGCTTCATCACTACACCATGACATCGTTCCCAGAGGAGCCAGGGACGTAAGGCAGACGCCACAGCCCTGATAACAGTGACTTACTGAAAATTCAAGCAACATTTGTTTTTAGAAACTGCATTGGCATTGAAATCACATCTTAAGACTCAAGGAGGAGCTAGATAGGGAATATGTTGGGTTTCCCTGAATAAATCAGTATTATCTTCTCCCTTGAATAGAAAGGGCAAGGTAATTTCCAACAAGGTTTCCATGGACATAGAACGAACTCTGACCTCTTGGGGACCACATCTACTTGTATTAAATATGCATAAGCAAAGGAGAAATGCTGGCAGAAAGGTTTTCTAGATTTGGTAGGAGAAAGACATGTCTTAACTTGCCTTCTGTGTTGTGAGGAAGATAATTCACAGAAGAAATTAGAAATATGATTTCCTGTCAAATCTTCAGGAATAAGGGCTGCTTATTTTAAATGTCTATGTGTTATTGGATAATATAAATAACTTATGTATTTGGAGCCCAAAAGTTCAGTGTTAAAATCTAGCTTTAATTCAACTGCCAAAAATAAATGTGATTACAGGACCCAGGGACCCCATCTCAGGTATTTTATGACAGGCAAAAACCCAAGGGAATTCCAGAGCCTGCTGATATGAAAGTCACATGGTTTTGAAGTTATGATGCTGAATCTCTGTAATCCATCAGATCCAACTATTTGACAATTGTTGAGTCACTTATAAATAACACATCTTGAGGTGCTTTGTTATCTTCTCTCAAGCAGCCTATCTTCCTTCCTGTTTCTCTGTAAGTCTAGGAGAAAGTAAGAAAGAAAGGAAGTAAAAGGGACTTATATAAGGAGATGTGGAATAGGAAAGAAAGGCAAGGAGAAAAAGGGGGAAAAGAGGGTACACATATTCCAAGTAAAATAGGTACTCTTACCCCAAATAGAATGGATAGAATTTTCTCTAAAAAGCCTTTACAGATTAGTAAAGATTAAGAGTTTATTTTTGTAGGAAAAATAAGAAGTGAGTATAAGAAAGTAAGCATGATTTTTAAGCTTTTGGGTGAATGTGTTGACAGAATAGAGATGAACAGTGGGAACATTGGTTCAGCAGAAGGCTTTTGGCCTGGAAGGACAGTTCTTGGTTTTGGCCCTGGCTTGGCTCCCAACTGGCAAAAATTCACTTAGCTTCTCCACAGTTCAGGTGCTTCCTCTATAAAAATGGACAAAATTCCCTGTCCTACTTTCATCACACGAGTGCTGGAGGATTAAGTAAGCTAATCGATGCAAAATTTCTTTAAAACACTAGAGCTCTATATACAAACATATTATTAACAGTATATATTATTCAGTAAGTCATCACTTTGAATCTCATATTTTAATGTAACATTTAAATACAAACCATTACTTTGATCCTCACACCGTTTTTCTAAAAGAAAAAAAGGAAGGTTTGGAAATTGTTAGTCCTACTTGACTGTGGTGACTGGTAAAAGTATATTTATCCTATGTGGATGCAGATATGCTTATATACAAGTAGTAAACAATCATATGAAGTTATATTTTTGGAAATTTTACTTGAGCTTTTTTATCTGGCTCATCAAAAAATATAATGATCATTTCAGAGTCCATTATTTAAAGTTTTTCTGAACAATGCATTTAACTAGCACCAGTGTGGTAGATGGCTCATAGGCTTGGAAGTCTGGGCAGAAAGTCTGCCTGAAGGCTGAATGCCAAGAAAATCAAAGAGGGAGAACTGGAATGTTTAGACATAGGAGTGTGTGGGAATACCAGCCCAGAATTCACTGGTCTGTACCCTGTAATATCTGCCTTCAAATAGTCCAAAGACCAAACATTGTCATTCCCCTAAAGATGCCTAGAATGAGGTGGTATCGGTGGTCCATAGAGTGCAAGAGAAATGACTAGCCATCTGTTCATCAACTCCAAACTGGCAGGGCTTCTCTATTCTCAGAATCTGCTCTGGTGAAAAATGAGGTTAAATTCGGGGTGACGATGTAATTCTTTGTTCAAATCAGGACACTATTAAGATTGAAAGGGGGTGCTATCAATAACTGCACCAGGGTAACAGAGCTGAATGATTTGTCCCAGGCAATCGATGGGTATGGTTATCCTAGTTACACGTATTACTGCTGTTTTTTACCCCAGAGAATTTTTTTATTAGCATAAAATACACACAGTCAACTTGTGGGTAATGAGAGAAAAATCATGACTTCTTATTTCCTCATTTCTCAGAAGGCTAAGTTTTATGGAGTTTTAAAGGCATATTTCATAACACAAATAGGTGTGAAATAAAAAAAAAACTTGGATTTGAATTCTTACTCTACTATCTCTTAGCTGTGTAAGCCCAGGTTAAAGGAACAGCCTCTCTGAGACTTAGCCTCTTCATCTATAACACAGGGAAAGAAATGTAAACCTTATAAGTTTGTTTTGAGGATTAAGTTAATGCATGTAAAGCAGTGGTTCCCAACCTTTTTGGCACCAGGAACTGGTTTTGTGGAAGACAATTTTTCCACGGACCAGGAGAGGGGGATGGTTTTGGGATGATTCAAGCACATTATATTTATTGCGTACTTTGTTTCTATTATTAATACATTGTAATATACAATGAAATAATTACACAACTCACCATAATGTAGTCAGTGGGAGCCCTGAGCTTGTTTTCCTGAAACTAGATGGTCCCATCTGGGGGTGATGGTGATAGTGACAAATCACCAGGCATTAGATTCTCATAAGGAGCATACAGCCTAGATCCCTCACACACATAGTTCACAGTAGGGTTTGTGCAGTTCACAGCAGGGTTTGCTCAGTTCACAGTAGGGTTTGTGCTCCTCTGAGACTCTAATGCCGCTGCTGATCTGACAGGAGGCGGAGCTCAGGTGGTAATGTTAGCCATGGAGAGCGGCTGTAAATACAGATGAAGTTTTGCTCTCTGGACAACTGCTCATCTCCTGCTGTGCAGCCCGGTTCCTAACAGGCCACAGACCACTACTGGGGAATAAGGACCCCCGAAGTAAAGTATTTATCATAATTATTATTACCATCATTAAAATATAAATTACTCTCATAAGTGGGAGTTGGACAATGAGAACACGAGGACACAGGGAGGGGAACATCACACACTGAGGCCTGTTAGCTGGTGGGGGGGCTAGGGAAGGGATAGCATTAGGAGAAATACCTAATGTAGGTGACGGGTGGGAGGGTGCAGCAAACCACCATGGCAAGTGTATACCTATGTAATAAACCTGCTTGTTCTGCACATGTATCCCAGAACTTAAAGTATAATTTAAAAAATGTAAATTCCTAGGACAACATCTAACACAAAAAGGTCCCACATTCAGCCATATACATCTAAACAATTCTTCGTGGTGTCTTTGCCCTTCTGACTCATTCCTTTCCATCTGTCTGTTAGCCTGTTTTCCATGCCACCTGGATCACAAACTGTATGCCTTAACTCTATCCTACCTATCTCATGAAATGAAATCAGAATTCCAAACATTCAAAGAAGCCTAAAATGTGTCTGAAGAGGTGATCAATAAACATTATTCTGATGGCTGTTTGCCATCCCTGTTTATAAATAAGTACTTGACTTGCAAAGTGGATATTGGCAGTATCACATTAAATAGGCCTAATATCCATACAAGTCAGAATAACTGTTCCTTCTTGCAGGAATTTGGGGCTGCATCAAATATTATAACAATTGCTATTAACATATGAATGGTAATTTTTCATCAAACCAGCTGGATCTTTCTTTTCTTTTCTTCCTTTTGTTTGCTTTATATGAAGGTATCAAGAGTTTGGTGCCCCCAGTAGAGGGCTCGTCTCTAAGGTATGTTGTATTTTCTTGGGAATAAACTTTTAGAGAGTTCACACAAAGGTATTCTCTGAAGGACATTAGGCCACAGTATCTGATGACCATAAACTCTTACTTCCTAGTTCCTCCCTTGATTCAGGGTGACACTGATAGCAGAAGATCTCCTAACACATATAAAGGTAAACATCCTTATTGGCACTTTTAATGCAAAGATATCTACTGTATTCTTTATTAACTCTAGGAATTGACTATCCATGGAGTATGTCAGCTCCCTTCTTAAATAATGATGACAAAATAATAAAAAGGGATAACTTTTAGAACACGGAGTTGCATTAGAAAAAGCTGAACAAACATGAGGCCAAATATTACAGCTCTTGTACATTCAGGTGGAGGCCTAGGAGGAGGCCCAGCATGGGTACAGGAATAAAATGTTTCTCAGCATTATTCTAAGATCTTGCAGTAATGAGGAGAGCATGACAAGTTCTTACCAAGTGAAATTATCCCACTGTGGCTCTGCTGCTGTTCTGAGAAAGTCATTTACAGAATAAATATCTTCATGAACAAGTTGAAAATTTGACCCAGGTTCCTGTTCCCGCATCAGCCCACTCCATCATCAAGAGTCCCCTTCCTTTTTCCATCCTCAGCCAAAGGTTGGCCACAGCGATAGAGTCCCTTTGAGACCAAGACAGTGGGATCATGATGACAGAGACTGCCCCCAGTGCTCTTTAAAAACTGTTCCACTTCAGGTGCTAATCACAGTCTAAATGGCCAGAAATGATTGATAAAAAAGAAACATTAAAACAACAAAAAGACATACAAAGAACAACACTGAAAAAGAGAACATAAGTAACACCAGGCATGGTGGTTCTTGCCTGTAATCCCAGCACTTTGGGAGGCCAAGGTGGGTGGATTGCTTGAGGTCAGCTGTTCTGACTTTCTCAGAACAGCAGCAGAGCCACAGTGGGATAATTTCACTTGGTAAGAACTTGTCATGCTCTCCTCATTACTGCAAGATCTTAGAATAATGCTGAGAAACATTTTATTCATGTACCCATTGAGTTTGAGACCAGCCTGGCCAACGTGGTGAAACCCCGTCTCTACTAAAAATATAAAAATTAGCCCCAGGTGTAGTGGTGCACAACTATAATCACAGCCATGTTGGGAGGCTGAGGCATGAGAATCACTTGAATCCAGGAGGCAGAGGTTGCAGTGAGCCGAGATCATGCCACCGCACGATCGTGCCACTGCAGCCAGGGCGACAGAGTGAGACTCTGTCTCAAAAAGAACGAAAGAAAAAGAAAAAACAAATGTTTAAGTTGCCTAGGGATGACAAAGGAAGTAGGGAGGTGGAGGGCAGAGAAGGGAGCAGGAACCAGGAAGAAGGCTTGAAATAATCGAATTTTGCTTTTACAATATTTTAGAAAAACACTCTTACTACATCATCGAGATAACCACCCAGAGTATATCCAAGTTCTTGATCTATTTCCAAATTCTGAGTACATATATCAAATGCAGCTCGAATGAGTAGTGCTTTCCTTGGAGGATCCTGCCAGCAGGATATGCATGGCCTGCAGAATAACTCTGAAATCTCTTACTATGCATCATCTCCAGCTGCTGAAACTTTCTACACTTGGCATGTGCTAAACAGATTTTGTAGAAATTCACAGCAAGTACCAGCTATGTTTATTACTCATTAGCCTTAAAAAAGTCAACTGTGTCATAAAAGTGGAACAAACAGAATATACAAGCAACTAATTTTAGAATACTTTATATAACAATAAGGAAGTCCTTGATTAAACATTCAAAACCTCTATGGAATATCAAAAATGTGTTTGTGCTCTCATATTTCTTGATTAAAGAAAATGGTTTTACCTTTGCTTGTGAATATTCATCTTAATTTTAGTATAACATACAGATACTTGTCAGCTTATAATTTTGATTTTCAAAAATTTATTTTCATATTAATGGCCCTATAGCATAGCCCATGTTTTCAATATTCAGAAGGAATATAGTCTACTTATTATACTATAGGTAATTAGAATATGGCATTTAAATCAAATCACACATTGAATAGAGTACATGAAGTCACTATTTAAAGAAAATTAGTGATTTTAACAAAACAAAATAACAAAGTGAAAACATTTTTAATGTGAGTTATCTTCCAATTTGTTTTCTTTAAAAAATTAAATCCACTTGATCATCAACTCCTAGTTCAGAATTGTATATAGAGAGCCTTAAATTCTTTGGCAGGTTCATCTTGAATGGAATTGTTAACAGCATATGGCCTTCCTGCACTGCCACCCTGTGGAATATTCAGAGAAAACAACCAGACTTGGAAAAGCATAAACTTAGGAACTATGCTCCCAATCTGCATCCCAGAGTACGACTAGATCTTTTTATTATTTAGTACAGTGTATGCATTTTTGCAGAAGCTCAAATCAAATGGTTTCAGAATCTATACACCTGCAATAACTTTACACTTTAGAATTTTTCAGAGCATTCTCCAAACTGAAAACTCAGTGAGGTTTTATTTTTGATTAATGTAAAAATTTGTTTTATGTGAACTTGAGTTTCTTTTCAGCAAGTATGCTCACTTTTTTTCAAAGAGGATTATGTATAAGGCTCTGTGAAAATGCCCAACAGAAGTAAATGAAAAAGTGTATTGGGCAACGAACTATAAGCATAACTCTGAAAAGAGGGTTGCGATTATCTGAATACTACACCTTTTCCTATGGACCAACCTCATTCTTGAGAACGGTGTTACTTTAACAGTGATCATTGGAATAAAATGTCATAATGCATTGCTCAGTATTTTGTTTTTAATATATTGTTTCTTTGTATTACAAAACAGTATAGGATTACGGGTTGAATCTGTTTTCCTTTGTTGGTCATTGGAATGTATATTTTTGAAAGTTTGTACACTTTCCTAAGAAAAGTTGTTTCCTACTAATTTGATGTAAATGATATTTTACATTGGAAATAATAATCCATTTATCAAAACAAGTGTATAAACTGTTGCCTTAAAAGACAAATTTAGTTCTGTCTCCATATTATTTTCTCTTACTTCCAGCACATTTTCTTTTCTTAGAACAATCTTTCCTCTAGGTGAGTCCTAATCACCATATAGACCTTTATCAAAAATCTTCCTTGGGCAAAAATTATCTTTTTTCCTTAAGATGAATTTTCATTTTAAAAAATATATAATTCAGATATAATATTCTCCCATTTAACAAAGCTATAGAATTACCACTATCTAATTTCAGAAAATTTTCATCACTAACCAAAACAAAACAAAAACACACGGACCCAAAAAACCTCATGCCCATTAAAAGTTATTCCCCATTCTCCTCTCTTTCAGTCCTGGTCAACCACTAATCTACTTTCTGTCTTTCAGGATTTGCCTACTCTGGACATTTCATATAAATGTGAACATGGAATATTTGTCCTTTTGTGTCTGGATTCTTTCATTTGTCATGTTTTTAAAGTCTCATCGGCCGGGCGCGGTGGCTCACGCCTGTAATCCCAGCACTTTGGGAGGCCGAGGCGGGCGGATCACGAGGTCAGGAGATCGAGACCGCGGTGAAACCCCGTCTCTACTAAAAATACAAAAAATTAGCCGGGCGCAGTGGCAGGCGCCTGTAGTCCCAGCTTACTCGGGAGGCTGAGGCAGGAGAATGGCTTGAACCCGGAAGGCGGAGCTTGCAGTGAGCGGAGATCGCGCCACAGCACTCCCGCCTGGGCGACAAGAACGAGACTCCGTCTCAAAAAAAAATAAATAAATAAATAAAAAAAATAAAGTCTCATCAATGTAGCATGAATCAGTACTCTAGTCCTTTTAACAGCTGAATAATATTCCCTTGTATGGATATATTATGTTTCTCCGTTCATCAGTTGATGAGTGTTTAGACTGTTTCCATTTGTTGGCTATTATCAACAATGCTGCTATGAACATTTGTGTTCAAGCTTTTGTGTGGAAGCATGTTTTCAATTCCCTCAGGAAAATACCTAGGAGTGGAATTGCTGGGTCATATGGTAACTGCTTAATTTTTTGAGGAACTGCCAAACTGTTTTCCAAAGTGGCTGCACTATTTTACATTTCTACCAGCAGTGTGTGAGGGTTCCATTTCTCTACATCCTTGTCAACACTTGTTGTATGCCTTTTTTATAGTTATTCTAGTTGGTGTAAAATGATATCTCATTGTAGTTTTGTTTAGATTTCCTTGATGGCTAAAGATGTTGAGAATCTTTCATGTCGTTGTTGGCCATTTGTATATCCTCTCTTGATAACTACCGATTCAAATGCTTTGCCTATTTTTCAATTTGGTTATTTATCTTTGTATCATTGAGTTGCAAGGATTTTTAAAATATATTCTAGATAAAAGTCCCTTGACAGATAGGTGATCCGCAAATATATCTCCCATTCTCCAGGTTGTCTTTTCACTCTGATAATGTCCCTTGAAGCACAAAAGCTTTTTTATTTTGAAAAGTATAATCTATTTTTTTCTCTGGTTGCACACGGTGTCACATCAACACAATCTATTTTAATCCACAAATATTGTGGTGGATTTAAACAGAAACAGAACAACAGATTTAATCAGGACATTGCAGAGAATCAGTTATCACATGGGGTCTGTCAAATCTTCATCTAGTCTGTTGTAGACTGGAGTCAGAACGCACAGGACCCCATGTAGCCTTCAGGCATGTGGGCCTTTCTTCCACCTGGAACACTGCTCCTCTTAACCAAGCCTCTGGTTGAACTACCACTGATTCCAGAGTGTTTAGACCACTTGTTTGGGCATTACAAATTCACAATTACTATTTAAATGTGGTGGAAAGTGAACACAGTCTGAGATTCATGAACACAGGCAGATGGTCCTGATAGAGGAAGTTAGAGTCCTAGAGGACTCAGCGCTGGCCAGACAACAGATGGGGTGGGATTTCTGGGTGCCACATTTTATGAAGGATTAAAAAAAAATTGAAATGCCACTAGGCAAAGGTGGACAGGATATTGACAGGTGGGAGAAAACAGCTGAAGACACTTCAAAGAAGAAAAGATACAAGAAAGACCTTTAGCATGTCCTTAACTCAGCAGTAGGGCTGTCATGTAGGGGAACCCTGCAGTGCTGCAGGGGCCAGGGACCCAAAAGCAGAGTTACAGAGACAGGGACTCAGGATCTGATGTAAAGCAGTTTTAGCACAGTGCCTGGCACTGAAGAGGGACTTAATAACTATTGCTAAATAAAGGAATGAATGAACAGATTCAAGCTTCCAAACAATGCAAGTGGCTATCCAAAAATTTAATAGGTTCCATGACCCTGGAATGCTCGAGCAGAAGGATATGGTAGAAAGGATTCCTACAGTGTGCATAAGGGGGAGAGGGGAACAGGGATATAAATTTAGTAATCTCCTGACCTAGAGCAAAGCACTCACATCAAGATTTCACATTAGATCTTTTCACCCTAATTGTCCTGTCAGATGAAGAAACAGACTTAAAAGGATTAAGCAACTTATGCAGTACCTCACAGAAAGTGAGACTTGATTTGAAGTCTGCCTCCAGAATGTAGGTATTTCTATTTAACCACACCATCATGAGTTGGCTCAGAGGTTCTTATACACTCCAAAACTCTATGCTTTTATTAAATTTCTAGCAATTATTATATAACAGCAAAGAGTTATTTACTATTTTTTCCAAATGGAAAAGCTGAAGTGTCCATTAAAGCTGAGAGGAGGCCAAGCTTATCTTAGCCAGAAATTCATGCTGACCCTTATGTATGATGGTCATACCTAATTTTCTACTCTCCAATTCCTAAATTAGCTAGTGGTTTTAGGAACACACCTAGCTTAAACATAACTTTCAATACACCAGGTTGCTCTTGCCCAAAGTTTTATATATATATAAATATGTATGTATGTACATATAAATACATATATATATATGTATGTATGTATGTATTGAAGAGTGAGGCTTGGATGGCCAGGACAGGCATTAAAAATGAGAACTCCGTTGTCTGAAATAATACAGCCTCAACTCCACTTACAATTAGGCCTACATTGAAAGGATGGGATATGAAGCTTCTATGAAAATTTACTCTCCCACCTTCCCGCTCCTCTGCTAAATCCCTTTGAAGACCTAACCTAGTTCCCACATCCCAGCATCCAGTACTTTAGTTGTTAAAGCAATAAAAAGCCCAGTTTAAAATGCCAAGTGTGGGGAAGAGTAAGGCAAATGTGAATGCCTAAGCCATTTCCAGCTATTCACAACCTCACAATGATTGGATGATTAGGTGTTAGATGAAAAAAATAAAAAGTTTCTATTAAGTGAGGAAGACCAAATAAGTGATCAGTACAAAACCTCAATGGAGCCTTGAGCGGCCAGCAGTAATGACATAAGGAAGGGACGAGCAAAGAATAATTGTGTTCTCTATAATTTACCATAAGGGAAAGTGCATCAGACCTCTGAGATATTTCCCCTGATAACATTTTGATTCTGATTCCCTCAAGAGCAGATGAGCTGATCCTTTGCTGTGGGGAGGGAGAAAAGCAGGAAGAAAAATTTTTAAATCACGGAAAATCCCTTTGGCCATTTCACAGAATGAACATCTCTCCCCTAAGAGTCTTAAAACAAGGTGAACCTAGTCTGTCATTCCCTTTCAAAGTCTCATGGATGTGGGAACCCCTGGGATTCTACTGTTTAAAATAATATTTTTTTCTCATAACATGATCCTAAACACAAACCAGCCAATCCAACTGAAGAAAGAAAGAGCTATTCCAAAGCTGCAGGCAACGTTTGTACTGTTGAAATTATTAAGAAATGATAGATTATCTAGGAGCCTTTCAAGGTGAATTTTGATGAGCCTTGACTTCGAGACCTTAGCCACTGAGTAAGATGTGGCTCCACTGTAAAAATGACTCAATGTGGTGGCTCCCTGTAGCTAACTTCTGTGAACTGCTAGAGAAGGGAATATCTTATTTATCAAAAATATTGCATTAAACAGAATCCTGTGGTAGAGACTGGCAAAAACATTTTGTTATTTCAAATAACACATAATAGGCTGGGTACAGTGGCTCATGCCCGTAATCCCAGTACTTTGGGAGGCCAACGTAGGAGGATCGCTTGAGGCCAGGAGTTCGAGACCTGCCAGGGCAACAACACAGTGAGCCCTCATTTCTATGAAAACAACAAAAAAAAATAATTTAAAAAAAAACAAAAAACACAGACCGTGTTTGAGAATTTATATATGAAGTTGTGTAAACCGAAAGCAGCCACCATGGGACATTTTAAATTGTTAAACCCTTGTGAGCCTCAGGAATGCCATCCAACTGAGGATACACGCAAACACTAGATGGAGGTGGTTCTCCAGGATGAAACAGTTCTAGAGCTGATTCTGACTACAACTTGCTATGTGGCTTTGGGTAAGACATTTCACCTCTCTGGGCTTTAGTTGCCTTCTCTGAGAAATAAAAGCATTGCTTCCAATGACATCTGAAGTTCTTGGATCTCTGACAATTCATGACTGTAATTTTTTCCTAAATTTCCACTTTAGCTAGATATTCCTCCTTCCAGCAGCTGAAAAGCCTGTGTCAAAACCTAAACCAAGTGTAGCACATTTCACTTCATGGAAAAAATTAGTTAATTAATACATTCTGCACTCTGAGTTTTTCAATCTGTACAAAGTACATTTCAATATGCCCTTCCCTGGTGCGTGCCCCCAGGAACCTTCCATGTTACACAGAATGCTCCGTTGCCAACTAGTATTCACAAGTCTGGCTGTTACAACAATTCATGCAAAAAATCAGAGTAAGAGTAGAAGGAGGATAAAGAGAATAACAGCTTAAATAATGTTCACCTCCTTGCCCTTGACTCGGTGGAGTTTCTCAAAGTGTGGTCTCAGAGCAGCTGTACGAAATGATCTGGGATAGAAGTGGCCTAGTGTAGTAGTCCACTCTCACCCTGCTACAAAGAATAACCAAGACTGGGTAATTTATAAAGAAAATAGGTATACTTGACTCACAGTTATGCATGGCTGGGGAGGCCTCAGGAAACTTACAATCATGGTGGAAGGGGGAGCAGGCATCTTCTTCACAAGGCAGCAGGACAGAGAAGAATGAGCAAGAGTTCTTCAACCAAGAGTTCTAACCACCAAACACTCATAAAACCAGCAGATCTCATGAAAACTCATTAACTATCATAAGAACAGCATGGGGGGAACCACCCCCATGATCCTCTCACCTCCCATCAGGTTTTTCCCTCAACACCTGGGGATTACAATTCAAGATGAGATTTGGGTGGGGACACAAAGCCAAACCACATCATGTAGGAAACAATGCAGAGTACTGAGACTCCCACCCAAGGATTCACTGACCCAGGATCTTTAGGAGTGGGGAACAGGAATTTGCATCTTTGTCATGTTTCTTGAGTGACTCCTTTGCACAGTTTGAGAGCTCCCAATGTTAAGAGACTTACGTAACAAAAGGTACATAAATTTCATCCAACCACCCAAATTAATGTAGGAAGTAATGTGTGTGAGGTGGCATATAGCCTCAACAATTGGAACTAACAGTAGATACATTTTAAATGGAAAACTAAAAAAGGGTAGTTCTTCATACGCCAGTTTTAAAATACTGAGTTTGAGGAGCTTGTGGGACTTCTGAATGGCACTCACTCTGGAGACAGATCTGAACTGGCAATGCTGATTTAGGAGTATTGCCTACGGGCAGGAGGGTGGGCAAGAGAGAGAAGGGAAAAGAAACAGAAGGCAGGAAAAAGTTTAGAAAAGATGTTCACCAAAATATTAACCGTTGCCAGTCATGTCTGGGTGGTAAGATGGATTGTGAGAGACTATTTTCTTTATAATATCATTCCTCTTGCATCGTTCAGATTTACTTTTCAATGAGCATTACTATTTTTATCAAAATATCATTCCACTCCTGATTTTAGAGATGAGAAAAACTGCCAAATAGCCTGAGAACATGCAATTTCTTGAGATTTAGAAATCTAGGATTGTTATCCTAATACACTTTCTAAAAAATCTAGGTGAAAGCATTACTTTTATTAACAAAGAATGAACTAATATATAATAAAACCTCTGACTCTTATTATCAGAAGCCCATTTTTTCCTCTGGATATTTTGTTAATATGTAAAGTTTCTGAAGCTTGATTTCTACTTCTCCTATCTTGAATTTTTCTCTTAGAAATGCTGTGTGTAGGTCCTATACATGCACAACAGCAATTACATGGCTGGAATTCCTATTAAAATCTGTTTCATGCTTAAACAACAAAGGTGTAGAAAATGTTTATATCTGGCATAATAAGTAAAATTATATTTACAGTAAGTACAATAAGATCACTTAATTCCTACTCATTTGTTTTGTTGCTATTCACAACACTTCCCTCTAGTGTTCATACAAGTACATAAATTTCAGCGAAGCACCAGACACCTAGATTTTTATATATGGTAAGCTTAAAATTCCAAGTATTTATCATAATTTGCTTATTTTAACTTTCTCTGCCATATAAACTAACCAAGAGAATTTGGGATATATTCTCTTTCCCCATGGTCTGCAGCCATGGGTTATTTTTCACTCAGCAGAATTTTAAGACACATTTTGCTTAAAATTTTGCACTGAAGAGCAAACAAATACAGTTGTCTCTCTGCAACCACGAGATTGGTTTCAGGACCCCCTGCAGACCCCAAAATTCAAGGATGCTCACACCCCTGATGTAAAATGATGTATCATTTGCATATAATCTATACACATCCTCCCATATACTTTTTTTTTTTTTTTTTGAGATGGAATCTTGCTCTGTTGCCCAGGCTGGAGTGTAGTGGGGCGATCTTGACTCACCACAACCTCTGCCTTCTGGGTTCAAGCAATTCTCCTGTCTCGGCCTTTCCAGTAGCTGGGATTATAGGTGCACGCCACCACGCCTGGCTAATTTTTGTATTTTTAGTAGAGACAGGGTTTCACAAAATTGGTCAGGCTGATCTCAAACTCCTGACCTCAGGTGATCCACACACCTTGGCCTCCCAAATTGCTGGGATTACAGGCATGAGCCACCACGCTGGACAATCCTCCCATATGCTTTAAATCATCTCAAGATTATTTATAATACATAATACAATGTAAATGCTATGTAAGTGGTTGTTATATTGTGTTTAATTTGTTTTACTTTTTATTATTGCACTGTTATTTTTCACTGTGTTTTTTCCCGAATATTTTCAATCTATGGTTGGTAGAATCTGCAGATATGTAACCTATGGATGTTGAAACCACAGATACAAAAGGCAGACTGTACTTAATAAATTTTAACTCAGTATTGTATTAGGTATTACATTAAAAGAAAAAACTGAAAACTCTTTCATGATTCACTTGGAATAAAGTATTCTTCATTCAATCATTACTGCGTAACTTCTTCTTGTTTTACACATTATGCTAAATTTCTTACATAGATTATAGCATTTGATCCCCCACAAACTCTATGCAGCAGTTGTTGTTATCCCCATTTGACAGATAAAAAAATTAAAGCACAAGCAGGTGAAATGATTTCCCCAAGGTAACATACTTATAGAGACAATTCAAACTTAGACTGCTAAATCAAACCCAAGGATCAATGTGAAAATAAATACATGTAAAGTTATACAGTTAGGTACTCAACATTATCTGTCTTCAACTTAGAGCTTCATGATATTATAAACATTGCATCAGCACATCAAGTTTCAATGAATGCTTTTTTGGAGGAGGAGGTCTTAGAGCTCAGGTCTTAGAGCTGAGCATTAGAGGATGTCTGTCTAAACATTTTCTGAGTTGACTGTTAATTGAAAAGTATTTATTGTATATCTGCTTTGAAATAGGCATTATGGCTAAGCTAGTACCTGGGTACTATAGGTGAGGAAAGAGGAAGGTTAGTTTAAGCAGAAAAACATAAAGGTGGGAAAACATAAAGGACATTTGTTAGAATAAAATGTGTGTGTGTGTGCGTGTGTGTGTATTAAGAGTAGGGCTAGGAGTGGGGTGTGGGCTGAGGATGGATCACTGCTGTCTCATAATCTAGATGAAAAGCTTCACTTTGTTTTTTCTGGAATCTGCATCATATTCCTTCTGGGAGCCTGAGAATAGTGAAAGTGAAAAAAGATTTTGCACCACTCTGGCACAAAAATAACAAATCACAGATTTCTGAAGTGGCCCAATCGTGTTTTTCAATGCTTACTGCCAACATAAACTCCTTCATTTCAGAACCCCCGGCGTGACCCATTGCTTTTTGCCCAATTTACTTCAAGTTAAAATGCTATTTTTTCCTAGGGAATATTGTACTAAAAAAGATGACTAAAAATAAAAGCCTTTGACATTCCAAGGAGAGTACCCCAGTGTGATACTGACAGATGCTTAGTGGCAACCAGAAAATGGATGTCCTTCTTGGCTAAATATATCACAAAAGCCCTGCTTAGTTCAAGCTTCTTCCTACTCTTCAAAGCTTTTGTTTAATAGTGAGGTTACTTCACTGATTCTTTTAGCAAACATTTCCTGATCCTCTGATAGGTGCCAAGCAAGATGGCAGCTGCTGCTTATTTGGGAGCCCATGTCCATCGCAGATGTACTAATATCAGAATCTACTCAAACCTACATTTACCAAGGTACCTTGGGCTCTTGAACTCACCTTCAGTTAACCAGAGGCCCACCTCAATGACGCTTATGCAGATTTTTTTAGGATGAAAATGTCAGAATTTTCATTAAAAAAACATGAAAATATATATGTATCTCAAATGTTAGCATGGGCACTTCTCAGTAATGGGATTGTGTTTATTTTCTTCTTTTGGCTTATTTTTTTCTACTTCTTACCTTATATCCATTTATTGTGTATCACTAGCACTAAAATTCTGGCAACTGATTATGGTATCAGAATTAAAACAGTTAACCCCAGCTAGAGAGCAAAACTGAATAATTCTGAGGTTAAAATGCTAAGTGATTCCAAATCAATCTCCAAGCTTGTACATTTGAACTCATTCACATGATATAATGCTCCTGAAAAAAAACCATATATATAACATATAAGTGTATATATAACATATATAATACATAAAACATTATATGTATATATAACATACGTGTGTGTGTGTGTGTATATATATATATATATATAAAGACTAATGAAAGGAGATACAGACTGGACAAAAAGTGGCTATTAACACTTAAAAACAAAAAGTAAATGTTTTCCATTCACCCACTTTTCTGCCTTTTAATTTCTTTTAATTCCAGCCATAAATCCTTTCATCTAAAATACAAGGCTTTCCATCTCCACAGTGTTTGGAATTTTAACTGAATTTCATCTTGTGGCTAATTTTTGTCACTAGAGGGAGTGGTTGATCTTTTTTTCTTTTTAAGCAAGTTCTTAAATTGCTAAGAAAACATTCCTTTTTTCTTTAGTATGCTTAATTTAATGTACAGTTTTGAATTGTGAATACATGGTAAGAGTTGTGGGTATTTATGAAGTGTCTGAAGGGCCTTCTAATTTTCTATGTTTTTGATTACAATTTTGTAGCTACTCCTATTGAATTCAGCACAATTCTGAGGTTGGTAAAACTTTTTTTCTTGCATTTTAATTGTTCTAAAAATGAACTCTTTCTGCTAATATCACAATTATATAGCTGTAAAAGTAAAAGTAATGTAAGAGAAAGTCATTAGTGTTTTGAGAGAGAGTTTTATCCTTTAATAAACGATTTTGGAGTAATTCTGAAGGCACAAAAATTAATGCAATATTCTAGATTACAAGAAAACTAATTATTGAAACTATGTTTTAAAAAACGATAAAACAGTTCTTGGCCTGGTACAGTGGCTCACGCCTATGCTTGAGCTCAGGAGTTTGATACCAGCCTGGGCAACATGACAAAATCACATCTCTACAAAGATATACAAAAAATAGCCAGGCATGGTGGTGCACGCCTGTAGTCCCAGCTACTTGGGAGGCTAAGATGGGGGGATTGTTTGAACCCAGGAGGCAGAGGTTGCAGCGAGCCGAGATCACACCACTGCACTCCAGCTTGGGCAAAAGAGCAAGACCCTGTGCCAAAAAACAAACAAGCAAGCAAGCAAACAAACAAACAAAAGCTCTTAGCATATACTTGGATCATAGTAAATAGTTATTAAGCTGACAATAGTGATTTAAAAAAAAAAATCAGGGCTCCAGGATTAGTCAATCTTTAGTTTGTCTGGTATATCTTCTACTAAAAAAAAAAAAAGGAGCGCTGAAATTCAGATGTAAACACCATTTATATTTGTACAAGTCTCTCTATCAAAGGCAGGTTTCACACATTACCAGCCAACAAAATTCCCTAAATAACTGCAATAACAGTTTTAAACAAGAATTTCTGGGTAACTCCCAATCAGAATGGTAACATAAACAGTGCACCACAGTTCTTAAGCTTTTTGGCCAGGCCAGGTCATCAGGGAAATTTTAAGGGGCTGCTGCAGAATTGTATCTTGTTTCCCAGGCCTGTTACCAGCATGTCAATCAATGACAAAAATACAGACAATGAAAGTAGACAAAGGCTTTCTCAGATGATCACAGAATATGAAAAAGAACATAAAAATATAGAAAGCTGTGTTTTATGTCTGCCCAATGTAACCACTGGCATTTGTCATCAACATTTTTCTCCATTAGTGCTGTTCTTAAAATTACAACCTGTTTGTTCAGAGGAGCAAAAGGAAGGGAAAGCAGAAAGCAATTTGTGACCTGCTTTAAATACCCAGCTTGAAATCACAGCAAATCTGGTGCCTTGATGCGTTGATGCCGGGGTACTTTTGATGATGGCTAGCCATTTAGAATTTTAAGCCATGGAGGATTTTGTCTTTCTCAACCACGAAGAGGTATATTTTAAAGAGCAATTTTTCTTGCCTGTTGTGAAAGAAAACCTTCCCAGGAAGCAAATACCTCCTCCGTCACATTGGAATGCACTCATCCAGAGCCAACTAAGTTTAAGAAAATTGCATCTCAGAGCATGGTCCATTATGCCCTGCAAATTTACTCTTCTCCAAGCCTATGCACCCTGACCAGGGATCAACTGGCACTAATTCTGGGTAGTGCCTGATATTGCTAGTGAGCCCCCCCTTCCTCTTCATCTTTTTATTCCTACAGTCAGCATGACTTAGTATGAGTTCCCAGTTTACAGATGAATTAGAGGTTTGGAGACTTTCTGGTGTCTTCTTTGGGTTCAAAGACATTCAGTGACAGAGCTTTATCCAAACAAAATATTTTACTCCTTTTTATCTCTCTCCTTGTTTGTTCTTTTGAGCTTTTCCATACAGCCAAGGGCAGATAACATGTACAGGCTCTGAAGCTTGATACCATTTTTCCAAATAGCAATGCCAAGGTTGCTTTCAAAGGAGCTCCAACTTAAAAAGTTTATTTGGAGGTTTATCTGTGCGAAAGAGGCTAGGATACTACAAGATATTTTTATATTATCAAGACAAATGGTCTCACCCAAAACTACCATAACCAATGAAAATGCCTTTGAAAAAAATAATACAATGGCACCCAAGAAGTACCTGGAAGTGAAGCACCACTTAAGATGAGCTTACTTTGACATTTAATCATTGCATTTGATCCACAGATTACTCTGGGTCTTGTATGTAAGAAGTACTACGGAAGCAGGAAGTGTCTGCTTAAAATACAGACCTTCATGGGTTAGCGAAGGTATTAGGAAACAAGTTCCACAAGTGACAGGAAATACCAGGGGAGTGAGAGACTGAGCACTCTCCTAGTGCCAACTGCTCTGCCAAATGCCACACGGCCACATCCCAGGCATCTGTGCATATTTGCTTCCATTTCAGGGAAGGGGGTGACTTGTGTGTTCAAAGACTAGAGGGCTTCCCTCAGAGAGGAAGAAGAAGAAACCCCATAAGAAAAATGAGGAATTTCATTTTCAAGCATTCTAAAAACATCACAGCCTGCGACAAAGGGGTATCAGGACAAATGGAGAGTAGAGATAAAGTATCCAACTGAGGGTGTTGAGAAGGATGGTGATGGTTCAGGAAAGGCAAAAATAGAACCATTTCTAAGACTGCTAGACAGGGTAATTCTTCCCTCAAAAGCTTACTTATTGAAGGACACTAAAGTTTTTGTTTGTTTGTTTGTTTTCTGGTTAAAAGGAGGGGGTCCGTGCTACTCCAGTAGTAAAAGCATCTCAGTTCTTGTCATTGACATTAACTGAAATAAATGATGTCTGCATGTGGGGGGGAAAAAAAGCAAACAACAAGGGAATTCCAAAGTCATTGTGAGAAGGGGTGTTCCCTGGGCAAAATGCACCATGCCAAGATTTTCCTGCTGAATGTCAAAAATGACATTTATTCCTGACCTTTATACCAAACTAGTCTCTTGCCCTCTACCTTATTCCTGTGAATGAAATGAGGGACTTGGAAGTTGTTTACTGAAATGGGATGGCCTAATATGGTGGAAAGAAGCCTGGACTAGCAGTTGGCAGGCCTAGATACGCAACCCTCCTTGAGTGACTTAACCTTGCTGTGTCACTTACCTAAAAATTAAGGGGTTGTGACCGATAATTTTAAGAATCTTTTCCTTCTCTAAAATCTTATGGTTTTGTTCCCCTTAAAGGAATGACATTCACAAATATAGGGACCCTTAAAATGATTGTGCTCTAGAGATTAATGAAGGAGGGGCAGATAGGCTCCCCCTGCCAGAGGGAATCCTTTCTGACATCCTTTGCAAAGCCCATTCATTCACAACATAGCAGCTTAGATGAGACTCACTTTCATACACCTGAGAATCCAGAGAAGAACAGGCAGGGAAAGTCTGCAGCATTCTGCAACTGCAATCAGAGATGGCCATAATGACCACAGCCTGTGCGCTAATGTCTATGTTCTACGACTGCAAAATTGGGGAGATTCATTATTATTTCTGGGAATCGGCAATCAGAGAGACTCCGAGCACTGAAGAAAAGCCAAAATAATTATATGAAACTACATCACTCTGGAGAAAAATAAAATGTCATCATAACATTTTCAGAATTTATTTCTTCATTAGAAAGTCAGGAAAATTAGGGTTCTCACATCCTGTCTTTCCTTCTGACTCAGACTGGAACATGTGAGAACTGCCCTGGCAGAGGAACAGAAAAGCAGGGAGGCTGGTTAGATGCATTTTACTGACATTTATTGGTGCTCCATTTTCTGTTTTCTAAGACAGTTAGTTGACCTATTTACACAAATTGTTCCTCTTCTTTTACTACTTGCCTTCTGCGATAACCTGGTAGGATAGAATGGCTAAGTCTTAGTTACCTGCTTCGTGCATTTTCTCTACTCATCAGTTTAGAGCGACTCCCCAGTCAACTCCATGACCTCAACCTAGCCAGTTGGGGAGAACAGCAGGATTCTAGCATGGCTTATTTTGCGTTTGCTGGAAGCAGATTCCTGCCCTAAAGGAAGAGAGGAATTGATTACTAATTCCTTTGAGATATCTTCTTTTGAGCTGTGGCTCCTCTCCAACTGAGCAAACACAAGAGTTATTGTAACCGATATTCACAGATTATTCAGAGATAAAATTTTGGCCAATGGCTCCAACCTTGTCCCATGAATCCCTGGATGCCCGACCTTTTCACAGGATGCCAATTTGACTGAAGCGCTGACCTTTATCTCTTCATTCATAACAAATGTCTCATCTCAAAGGGTCAGTAAAATGACCAAGAGGCAAATTTCAGAGGAGGTTAGAAACATGTGAAATAGTCTCTGAATGAACATGCCTTGGCCCTATGCTAAAATAAGCATGGGTCTCTCTGGACATATAAATGCTAGTATAGTAACAAGGTGGCTAGAGGAGAGTTCCAGGTCCTAGGAGACAGTAGTCTATATTTCTATGAAAATATAATGCCAGCCACATATGTAACCCATACATTTTCTAGTACCCACATTAAAATATAAAAAATAAATTTTATTAATAGATATTATTTAGCCCGATATATCCAAATCATTATTATTTCAACATTTCAATATTTAAACATCCTTTTTTGCACAACAAATGTTTGAAATCTGGTATGTGTTTTGCACTTCTCAATTCAGGCTAGCCTGAATTGAAACACTGAAACATATTTCAAGTGTTCAGTAGCCATACGTAGCCAGTGGCTACTCAGTTGGATGGCAGAGGTCAGTCTGGGATAGGAAATTTCGTCTCATTAAAAAGTATTCACATAGTACCATTAAAAAATATTCAGATTGTACTTAAGAATTTAGGGTACAGGCTCAGACTCCTGGGGTCCACCTATTAGCTGTGTGACTTTGGACAAGATACTCACCTTTCTAAACCTCAGTTACTTTCCATAAAAGGGCCTAATAATCATACCTGCTTTCACAGAGTTGATGGGACAGAGGAGGCTCAGTAAATGTGCATTGGCATTACTCTCTTCATTTATTTACCCTAATCTATTTACTGAGAGCCTTTTATGGATTAGGTGCTCTGAGAAATAAGACAACTCCATATATTTTCCAGAATACAGAATATTCCTTTGGCCTCAAGGGACTCAAAATCTAGCACAAGTGATGGCTGTTTACACAACTAAGTAATAGATGGTTAAAATGTTAAAATAGAGGTAAACATAAAATGGTCTAAAAGTCTAGAGAACCAAAAAATTTAGTGGTGCGATGGAAAGAAAAGAGGAAAAGAGAAAAGAGAGAGAAAAAGATAAAGAGGCTGGGCACAGTGACTCATGCTTATAATCCTAGACTTTGGGAGGCCAAGGCAGAAGAATTGCTTGAGCCCAGAAGTTCAAGACCAGCCTGGGGAACATAGTGAGACCCCATATCTACAAAAAATAAAAAATTAGCTGGTCATGGTGAAGTGCCTGTATTTCCAGCTACTTGAGAGGCTGAGGCAGGAGGATCACTTGAGCCCAGGAGTTGGAGGCTGCAGTGAGTTGGGATTACACCACCGCACTCCAGCTAGCCTGGGTGACAGCGGGAGGCCCTGTCTTAAGAAAAATATATAGAGAGAATGAACAAGCTCTGATTTGCGGTGTTTGCCACTTTCCATGATGTAAATACTCCCATCATGGCTGATTTCGAGCTGCCAAAAGTATTACTGAATATTTAACAATCAGCAATCAGCTCTTTCTAGACAGTATGAGCTAGCTCCAGCACACCCCTGGAAAAATTTCAACTTACAGGAAGAAGCATTGTTAGCCAAAGAAGTGGGTTAGCAGCCCAGCCTGGAGAGATAAGTAGGAGAGGAAAGAGAACTTACAGTAAAGTAGAAGAATGAGTCAAAAAAATTAAGAGGGATGAAAATGCATGATGAATCAAAAAAAGCGTAAGTTCTTCGGGCTGGAGTATAAGATGCCTTAGAGGATAAAACAGGAAATGAATCTGGAAAGATGGCTTAGGATCACATCATAATGAAAATGGAATCAGGAATAGGAGAGGAAAACAAGAAATTTACCAAAGCCACTGAGTTGGAAAGTAACAAGAAAAATGTAGCACTTCATATTTCACAGAACACTTAACGTGAATTTTCTCACTTTTTCCTAATACAGACCTATGCAGTAGGCACTCCTGCAGTGGGTTAAATACTGGCCCTCCAAAAGATCTGTCCACTTGGGAACCTCAGAATGTGACTTTATTTGGAATAACGGTCTTTGCAGATGTAATTAAGGTAAGGATCTTGAGAAGAGATTATCCTGGATTAGGGTGGACCCTGAATCCAATGACATGTGTCTTAACAAGAGACAGAAAAGGAGAGACTTGGAGACACAGAGGGAGAGGCACGGGAGGAAGGTGAAGGCAGAGACTGGAGTGATGCATCTGCAAGCCAAGGAACACCGAGGATCCCCAGCCACGCCGGAAGCTAGAGGAGAGGCATGAAAGAGAGTCGCCCTCAGAATCTCCACAAGGAACCACCCTTGCACATACCTTTGTTTCAGACTTCTGGCCTCCAGAAGCCTGTAAGAACACATTTCTGTTGTTTAAGCCACCCAGTTTGTAGTCACTTGCTATGGCAACCCTTGGAAACTCATATAGCCTTTAAAAAGAGATGAGCATGAAATTGAGGCTTTAGAGAGGTGAAGTTACCCTTTCAAAACCATTGGCCTAGAATTTGGTGAGGCCAGAGCTGGAACTCAAGTCTTCTGGCAGCTGGTCTAGTGCTCAGCTTATTTCACATGGCCTTGCCTTTTGAAGAACACATGGGGATCCAGGAAAAGTGTAGAAGCTACATTAGGCTGCTTCACGCTAGGGAGAAGCAAAATGTAAGCTTCACTTCCTACCCAGAACACAGAATCAGACTTTTTTGTCTTTTCCTTAACATCCCCAACTGCCTATACCTATGAATGTGTTTACAAAGAACCCAGACCAGGGCAGTCAGCTGGGGCCCAAGGACTAGCTGGCATTATGGTAGTGCTGGGCCTCTGGGCAGCTCCAAATGTGGTTGTCTTTGGGCTGTTTGTTCCCACGGCTCACGCTCTGTGGGTGTGTGTGGAGCTACCCTTAGGCCTAGCCTGAGAGAGAAAAGTCACTTGAGGAACTGAGTGATTTTTGCCACCACTGAAGGATTTGACAAGTGTATACCAAGGGTTTCCACTGTCTTCAAGGACACTGAACATACCCTGGAGGACCTGTGGAAAGGTTACTTCTAGAAACAGAGTGGAGTCTCACCAGCACATGGATGTGAGGCGCATTCGCTCTGTCTCGCTCTATAAACTCTGCTGAAGTACTTCACCTTCTGGGGGGAATAAAATGGAATAATATGTTTCTGTAAATTCACTGAAAATGTTATCTTTACATTTCTAGACATCCCCATGACCCTAGGGGTAAGAAAGGAGACATCCAGCCTCTAGCGGTGCACACAGTGCAAACCAGCAGAGTGGACTGATCAGCTCTGGAATTCTTTTTGCCATTCTTTCTCCAGGTACAAATTTCAAGGAACTGTTTCTTGGCTATTCATGCTGCCAGGGCTGTGCCCTTATTGATTTCAGTGTAACCACCACAGCTATGTGCACCCTCAGCACGAGAGTTGCTTCTATTGTGGTTTCTTCATAGCAACCAGGGTTGTTCCTTTGGGATGAGGTTCTAGCAGGAGGCAAGAATGGCTGCTCCCACCTCAGCCTCCGCACTGAGAAACTGTGCCTGGCCATACCCTTTTAGTATTATTGATACCCTATCTTCAGTGAACTAAAGAGGAACCTTAGAGAACCCGTCTTCCTCCCCTTCGATTGCCTTAAAAGGAGGGGGAACCCTCATAATAAATCTTAATATCACTAGAGTAAGGAATGCCAACTGCAGTTCAGAAAGAGAATCTTCTCATATGAAGAGCTTCCAAACTTTATAAAGATACTCAGAAATTCAAGCTCCATCCAATTATGTGAGTTTTTACATTTTTAAAATAATATTTCCAAAAGTTCACCTTTGATTTAAATTGTTTGCAGGTTTTCCTGCAGATTTGGGTGTCTCTTACTTCTCATTTGATTTCTCCCTTTATTAGTTGTGCTGGGAAGGCTTGTTTGTTCTGTGGCTACTGGAAAGTTCCACATAAACTGAATTCAAGCTATGCAGGTGCTCACAGCTTTTAGAGAAGAATGCCATCACATACACCTGGACACCAATCATCCCAGCACACTTCCTGTGATGCCCAAGCACTGCTGACCAAATCAGTCAGACATCTTCTCTGCTTCACATGGCAGCAGGGGCTGAAAGAAACTCTGCAAGTCCAATTTGTAGTTTTAAAGAAAACTAAATTTATGAAAATGATCTCTAGGGGAAGTTGCACAGTGGAGTGGAAAGAACACAATCTTTAGAAACAGACTTGAATTTGAATCTCAGTTCCAGGATTTACTAGCTATGAAAGCCTGGGCAAGTTGCTTAACCTCTCAGCCCATTTAATCCTGCATAAGGAATCAATAATAACATGCAATCTACAAAGTAGCTTCGAGGACTGAATTGCACACTGCTGGCAAGTGCCAGCACAGACCGGGGGCTCTTTTCACCCTCTTTCACCACTCTGCACAGATGCTTTCTGGAGAAGAAAATTCTATGACCTACTTCCAAAATCTGCTCTAACTCCTTCAAGTTAAGAATTCTTTGTTGAATTTAAATACATTTTCCAGCCATTTAAATAGTCTTCGTGGTGTTCTGTTCTCAAAGAAAATTAAAATGTGTCCCAAACGTATCTGTGCATGTGTGTGACTACAAAATCCTCCATGTCTTAGAGACTTCAAAGCTAAACAGTAATGACCTTGGGATTCAGGTAGGATCTAGAAGATACACATGAAAAAATGGCTGAATAAATGTCTGAGAAGTTAAACTCCTCATTACTTTTGTCTTTGTTTTCTTCTGTACTCTGACTGAAAATGGACCTTTTTTTTGACACTGGACCAAACTGATAGGAAACAGCCTCTCTCTCTAAACACACAGGCACACACACACAGACAGACACACACACACACACAGAGTGTGTGTTAAATAGAAATCCCCAATTGTGATTGTTTCTGAAGTCATAACATCATTTTTCAAATTTTATGCCTAAATATTAGCAATCGTTCTATATATTCCCATTATAACTCCCATATGACTTACTAAAATTTGGTTACTGTTGGTAACTAGAAACTGAAAATAAATGAAATATAAATTTACAGCCAGATGAAATATGACTGGTTTATAGGTTTCTCAACATTTTAAGTTAAACAATGAATCAAACAGCTGGCATATTTTTTCCTATATGCAAATTAGGCCTTTTTAAAGCCATTCTTGTCTACCACTTTCTTCCCTTCCCTTTTGAAAGTGTAGATTTAAATTCACAAGGAACTGGATGCTTCCTTTACATTTTTGTTCATCTACTAAATTATAAGAGTTGGATTATAGGTGCTGAACTGTTATGTTGACTTGGAGTAGAAACTTCTCAAGAACTGTGTCTTTTGATAACGTCGTTCTGTCTTCCTCGACATTAAAATGTACTGTTCTGTATACACTGGAAAATGAGAGAGGGAGAAAAAGAACAATCCACAGAAAATCAGTAGAAGTAAAGCACAATCTAGGATGACACTTTTCTCCTTCTCTTTTCCTATCCACCGACTGCCCTCAGGCTCCTGCCTTCAGTTTCTATTAATGCCAGCCCAGCCTCTTAGAATCTCTCCTGTGTCTCCCGGCAGCTTTAGAGCCCTGTGAAATTGTAACCCCAACATTGATAGGGACAGGAAGAGCACTTCCTTTACAATAGGGAAGAAGGCCAGGACAGTCAGTTTACAGGATGCCCCCTGCCAAAGAGAAGTCCCATTCAAAGCACCAGGACAAAAATAGGCCACCCTTTGGCTCTGCCTGAAGTAGGACATCCTGGGATGACGTTTTTATTACATACACAAAAGGGTTCTGCTGTTCAATTTGACTCTACCTGCAAATCAAAGATAAAATAATTTATCTCCTGACTTGAAGTTGTTCGAGTTCACAAATAAGCTTTCTGGGCTTGAAGCGCTAATTGAATGGGTTATTACTGGAAAAATTCAGTCACAAAATAATCTGAAGTTAACATAGTGAAACCTTATATAGCACTGCAACTAAGTTCTCAAATAGTTTTTTATCACTCAAATTGAGCAGGGGGAAAGTAAGATCACATTCTTAAATATGAAAATGTTGGACATTATTGTAAAAACTCCATTTCTGTAACATGTGGCAATAAGTAAATAAGTAGCATTCTTTGGTGTGGTGTGCCCAAACATTTGAAGTTTTTGCTGTTAAAATGTTTTTAAAGAAGCATAACAACTTTCAAACAAGATCTTAATAAGAAACTCCAATGCATAAAACAGAAAAAAAGAGGTTTCTGGTTATGAAAAATATTTTACAAAATCCAATCTCACTACCAAATTTACCCACTACAAAATTAGTTAGTGAGAATAATAAGGTTGCTTTTAATTTACTCCCAAATTTCAAACTAGGCATTATAGATAATAATATTTGTCTCAGCGCTGCATGTTTTCTTTTTGTTTGCAGAATACTGAAACATTCCTGATTAATACAGATGACTAATTTCAAAGAATAACAGTTCTCAATTTTTCACCCTCTTATGTCAAGATATTCTTCAACTAAATATAGGTAATGAAAATCTTTATTCAAAGTATGCACAAAACAACTTAAGCAGCAACAAATAATAACGCACTAGGGGCCTTCAATGTACTAACATTTTATATTTCATTGCAGTTTTCAACAGTTTATAATTGGTCACCTTAAAACTATTATATGTTCATTGTTTAAATAGTTTAAAATGTTTCCTTTACTTTGCCTATAAATATAAATCACTTGTCTACATCACACTCGGAAATTACATTGATTTTAGTCAAAGAGGTGACTATAATTTTAATTATGTGCCTGTCTCATCGTTGTATATATTTCAAATTCTCTACATTTGAGGCACCGTGATCCCATTCATAGGCTAACCCTATAGGAGGCTTTGACCATTTTTGGCCCTTATCAGCCAATGTCAACTCAGTCTCGGCTATTCGTCTAAGAATAAATCCTTCTTAGGTCTTCATAGAATCAGTCCTTCCACTCTAACTTCAAGAGTCACTCCCCTTGGGAGATGCGATGGATGATATGGGTGAAGGTATGTACAATGAGATTATTAAACAGTTCCCTCTTCAATCTATCCAACCAAGTTCTGTGTGACCAAAGGTGAATCTGTATTATAAGCACCCTAGGCAGAGAAAGCCAGGTCTCCGTAGCTGATTTAATTCAGCATGTCATTTTTAAAGTAAATGTCACACATGTGACAGAATTTGGAGGTCCACCTATATTAAAAGGCCTGAATCAACTGTCCTCCCAATTAGTGGAAGATACCTGCCGTGGGGTTTTCTTCTGAGAGGACATCTTTCTTATCCTGCATCTAACCAGGGAAGTAAAATGCCTGTGAGAGCCGGCAAAAAAATCCAGTCAGGAGTCAAGCTGCCAGCGCCCCCTTTGGGGAAACATAGCGCATCTTCCCTAGGAGATTGAGTCACTCACTTTCTTGGAATGAATCACTCTATTTCCTATCATTAGTCAAAAATATCTCATCAAGCATTAGTTTCTATAATTTACACTGTAAAAACAATGGGCCTATTTTCCCCATGAGTAAGAAAATTATATTACAACACCAATCAATGGTTTTTCAAACTACCTCCCTCCTACCCTGATCTCACAGAGGGAGGAAATACACCCTGTCCTGACACTATTCGCCTAACTGAACTAACCAGCAATGACGCTATAATAACGAATGAGACTGCAACTGCCAATTGGAATTTTGATGATGTCTTCTAACTGTATCCTAATAATTCCCTACATTTGAGGCACTGTGATCATCAATAGGATGGTCCCATAGCAGGCTCTAGCACCATTCATTCTTGACCCTCATCAGCCAAAATCAACTCAGTCTTAGCTGCTAGTCTTCCTTTGGTCCTGTACCCAAGTTCCTCTAAGACTCAAGTCCTGGCTTATGAAAGCCTACTTGGGGATTGCCACCTGACTTCCAAATCGCAATCTCCAACACTAGATTTTTGCTTCCTGCTGCTAGGTCTGGTTAACCTTAATTTATTGTTTGACTGCTCTCTAACACTGAATAGGATTCTTCTTACTGCTCCTCTCTCCCTTGAGCCTGGGCCATGTGCTTAGTTGCCTGCCCGAGTCTTCAACTATCAACTATAGTTGGGACTTTTCTAGTCTTCTGGCCAAAAGGTCAAACATTGGTGGGTCTCCATTCCTGGAGTCAATCTAAGGAAGGGGCATATTTCTTAGGAAGTTGGGCCTGTAAGACAGCCTTAAGTCTCTCTACCTTGACTTTAACCATGGTTTGTCATACTCAGAAGGAGCTCCTGAGCAGAGGGCAATAATACATCACCCTCTCCATAGAAAGAAGCTAAACATGTGCAAAGTTAGAGCTAAACTGTGGATACCAGGAATGGGTAGAAATGATGGGTATGGTAATTGAAAGGAGCCTACAAATTCCTATGAACAATAAATGTTGTCTCTTACTAAGTAAGTAAAAGTTGCCCTCATAATGGAGAAAACCATTAGGATCACTGTGCTAATGTATGGATGTTGAAGGAAATGAGGAGAAGATAAAGGCTCTGCCAGTTCTGGCAGAAGATGAAGTCAGGTAGAACAGAAGCCTGGAATTTATAGAATAGATTGCTAATATGTTCTAAAATTGTGTTTATATCCCTTTTGCTCTCCCTTGGTGTTTAGCAAGTTCCAGTGGTCTCTGTTGTGTTAATGGAACCAAAAAAGGGGATTCACCCTTCAGGTCGCCCTTTAAGTCATAGGATAAAATGATCATCAGTGTCTCCTTAGAGTATTGGAAGAGGAACATGAAAGGATGGAGCCTCATGGGGAAGGTGAAAATGACAGGAAAAGAGTTAGAGTTAGGGCCTCCTGATTTCTTTGAGAGAATATTCTCGAAGATTCTAGGCTCTGCTTATTAAAGCAAACAACCCCTCATTCATGTCTGCCTTATCCTTGGGTCCTTACTATTCCTAGTGTGGTATATCCTGCCAGAAACCATTTAAGTCTGAGAGCGAATCAGTGACATGCAGTGGGCGGTAGTGTAGTAGAGTAGAGAGAAGACATGGCCTGAATCAGGAACAGGCACAATCACGGGTCTGTTGTGCCATTTCACAAATGTCTTGGGTTAGTTAACCTGTCTCTTTCTATTCTAATATGTAGAATAATATACAATCTTTTTCACCCTTTTTATAAGGAATAAAAGGGGTAAGGATGGAAAGTGCCTTCAGCTATCTAGCACATAGCATGAACAAAAAATGTTGGCTGTTATTATTTCCCATACATAAAAATTGCCCAGGGAAGTTGTGATGTTTTGTGCACAAAAATCTCTGACTCGGCATCCTGCAAGTACAGATGGAAGTTACTGGGAAATGAAAGTGTACTCTCTCCTTTCATGTTCTTTCATTTGAAACTAGCTTCTCCCACAGTAATCTCATATTGCCATCAAAGTAACTCAAGAAAATGAGATTTGCTAGCAGCCCAGGTACTCCATAATTCCATTTACAGGAAGGTACATTCCAACATCTCTTAGGGAGGGTCCTAATATGTGTCTGGTACACCTTAGGTTACTGTGATAAGTAATAATTAGGCACCCCTCCAGACCCCAAAGACATTCACAATCTAGAGGAAGAAACAGGCAAATACCAGCTGATTATGACCTCATATACAATGGTTGTATGTAGTAACAGCAGTACTGAGAAAATTCAGCAAGAGCACAAGGGAGAGAGAGACTGGTTCTGACCTTTGGGAGCAGAAGAGATGAAAACAGAGGTTACTTTTTCTTGTGAACTTGCAATATTATTTTGGATGACTAGATGAGAGAAAGGGAAACAGAAAACAATAAGCTCAAGTAAAAATATCTACCACATAGCAATGGATAGTTTAAGGGAATAATAACAGAAGAAAGTTATTAACATCAGCCAGATTTACATGAGGCTCCCAATTATTTCATTGGAATTACGCCTGTGTGAAGACGATGGGGTCATGCTTGAGGGTCTGCAAATGATGTAGTGAAAGTGAGAAGCCTTACTTACGCTATTCAGACCTAAAACATCAAGGAATTTATGAATATGCATCACCTTTAAAAAAAGAGAATTGGATTGGCCTTAATGCTCCTAACAAAAAATGTTGATGACATTTATTCTATGTAAAATATGGGAGAGTTTTTTAATACAAAGTTAGGACACTAAAAAGTACCATAAAATATAATACATCGAAATGAGTGATAGTGCATATCCAAGAGCCTAAACTGAAAAGTACTCAACTGTGTCTTGACAGAATCGGCTTACGAGGAACAAATATATTCCGTTTCCAAAGGATAGACATGTTATATACAGAACAATTTGAGATTGTGTTCCTGTGACAGGTAAAAGGTTAAGTCTCTTGGTCTGAGGGTGAAAAGCTTTGAGCGTATTTTCAATGTTTCCTTTATCTGAAAGTCACCCACATCTGTCATAAACAGCACACCTACCTGTCTCATTCACCATATTTCTCATTTCAAAACCCTGTATGATCTGGCAGGTCGGGGACACTGCCACTGGTTCCTGTACTAACTAGGAACTTCAACCTGACAATCACATAATGGATGTGGTGAGGCACTCTGGACATTGTCAGATACCTGTTGCTGCTACCTTTGTTAAATAACGACCTCAGAGTCTTTACTCAGCTATTTTTTTGCAACTGCCTGGAACCCTCTTCTACTTTATTAAGATCATCTGCTTTCAATGCTGATGCATCATTCTAGGTCTTTTCTCTTTCTGACTGATTGCTTCTTTTGTCAGCTTTAATTAATGATGCCTGCTGGATTTTAAAACTGTTTCCATAAAGATTTCCCAGTCTTTCTCACCCAGCAAGTAAAATGCAGCTTCTTTCTGGAATATGACCTTAATGAACCAAAGGCATCTCAGATCACTAGCCCTGAGTTCCTTCAATGGGCTCCTAGTAATTTACTGTTTTTAGGAACTTACACACACTCTCCTAGACATTTGCCAATCTCCTTTGCCAATATTTTCAGTGCTTCCTTTATCTGAAAGCCATCTGTCTCCAATCGGTCTTTGTAAAACTTCCTTGTGTCTCTGAAATATACCACAGCTCTGGTGGCAAGAGCTTCAAAAGCAGAGTCGAGCATATGAGACACAAGCCTGAGAAAGCTGGAACAGCTCAGCTCAGAAAAGCAGATGGCAGAATGGTTTTCTCACCTTTGCCCTCTAACATCTGAAACATGAAGACAAAAGCCAGCCTAGAACACACCACCAATTCCTTTGAGCACACCCACATGAAATTCCCTATTCCTGAGCTTAGCTGTACGATCCCTTCACAAAAACTGTGATTTATCTAAAAAGAAGCCAAGCAGCAGAAACACCTAAGCTGCTAATATATAGGGAATCACTTGCCGTCAGGAGCAAACCCTTTGGGAAATAACCACCTGTCTCCCAGAGGCAGATACAATGACTCAGCTGATGAAGAGGCCAGAAAGGCAGTATTTAGGAAAGCAAGAATCATTAGAAACTTGGGGAGAAAATACAAGTTTGCATGGAAGTTACATAAGAAATTTAAGGCACAAAAAGATGATTGCCAGAGTCAGCCAAACAGATACATTTTTCCTAAGTCTCTTGAATATTTCTTGGAGAACTAACAAGGTATCTCCCGTGGCATTCAAATTAGACTGGCTGGTGTTCTCAGGGTGTTCTGAAGGCCCTGTTCTGATTTCACCTCAATGTATTATTTATTTTGTGTCATTTTATATCTGAATTTATGTTAAATTTATACCATCACTAATATTCTGAAATATCTAAGAAGTTGAGGAGAAAGTGTCTTAGTTCTCCGGATTGTGAAAGTATTACCACCAAAAAAATTGTACCTCAGAGTTCTTATTGTCCATAGTCCTAAGAATTCATTTTATTCTCATATTTTCCACATAAAGACACTAACAACTCAATGCAGACAGAACCATAAATTTAAAAGTTTGAATGGACACTTCAATTATTGCTGAATTTTATTAAAATACAAATCTATGGCATAATACTGTACATACATGAGATATGACTCTATAATTCACAATACCATAGAGGATTTTGAGTGAGAAGTTTGAGTAATTCTGTTAAATAATTTCACTTTGCAGAGAAAGACACTAACACCCAGAAAAGTAGTGACTTCTAGTGGAACACTGGCTGGAAGCAGGGATGCAATTTAAGCACAGGTCACAAAACTCAAAATGCATGTTCATTTTCAACTAAGCGTGAATCTACCCTGAATGGCCACACTGGCCTTTATCATATGCTCTCTCTCAGCACGTCACATCCTATCACAGGCTGCTCATATTTCATTAAAATAAAGGCCCTGGTTTCTGGTCCTTTTTTCTCAAGGGGAGAGCATCCTTTCTCCAGTATTAGATCTGAAGAGAAAAACTCTTTTCTCAAACCTAAACCACAATCAATGAATGCTATACTTACCATGCTACTTCTTTACACTACCAAATAATAATAATTAAGATTAAAAGAACTAATGCAGTTTAATAAGTAATGCTTTACAGTTATTAAAATAGTCACCCTACATATAACTGGATCAAAATGATATTTTCAGTGCATACATTTGTTGGTAATGGATAGGAACATCCAAACATGTTATGAAGCACAGATAGGTACATCAACAAGCAGGGTGAATAAAGACGGCCAGGGTGGGCCCAATAATGCATTTGTTTAAATTGAATCTGTATACATAAGACATACTTTGTCTGACTTCGTCTAGGTGTATGCCCTGACTTCAACATTCCATCAAAAATTGCAGCAAAACCATCCTCAGGAAAAGGCAATCACTGACTTGAGGACAAGTTAATAACAAGACAATATAACTATTATTTGAACGGCTTAGTATCAGGAAAAGTGTTTGAAATGACTCCCCTGCAAACTCGGATTGGGCAAGGTCGAAAATCACGCAATCAAATATAAATTCACACATTTCACCCCTGACAGAGTAAAGAGATTGATATGAAAATAGCTTCTCCTCACATTAATCCCTCTTCTGCAATCACCAAGTCAGCACTGGATACCTCCCTGCCACAAGACGGGAAGAAAGGGGAAGTTCTGTACAATGCTGCTTAGATGCTGAAAGAGGTAGTCAGCGGGTGGGGGACCCAAGGGGACTGAAGAAGAACAATGGAAGTACAGGTTTACGGATGGGCAATTTGTGCTTTGAGAGAGAAACTAGAACAAAGAAGAGATTTACTAAACTAGCTAATAAGGAGGGGCAAAATGGGAAGATTTGGTCAAGAGCTGGCAGAAATCAGTGCTTTTCCATGATTGGAAGGCCAGGGTCCTATATTCTAGATAACTGTTGACAAAGTTAAAAAAACAAACAAACAAAAAAAAAAGGTTTGATAAATGTGTCCAACTCCAAACTACCAAAAGGAGAAGACTCGTTTTAATGAGGCCCCTATTTCTTACAGGATAGTCTCTGTGATATTCTGATTCTCTACAGACAATCTAGTCTATATTTTTGGAGACATTCCCAAATAGTAACCCCAGTTTTCTTTGATAACCCTGAGTGTAAAAGCATGCATGCTAAGATCTGTTCCTTGAAAATGTTTACTGCTATATACGTGTTTATATTAAGAGTTTAAGTATTTACAATTTCTTAAAGAGTTCTAAGACTTTGAATCATTTCTCCATTTTAGTCTTGTTCTTCCTGTACAGACTTCCTTTTTCCCCTAAATTTCTCTAAATGTGATCAGATCAACAAAAAATTTAGCTTTTTTTTTTTTTTTAAAGAGATGGGCAGTCATGTACTGTTAGTTCTTTATTGGATTTATAAATCTATCCATAAAATAAAATCAGTGGTTTTCTACTTAGGATGCACTATAATATCATGTGGGGAGATTTTTAAATGTATCAGTACCTAGGCCTCACCCCCCGAGATTCCAACTTAATTGGCTGGAGTGATGCCCAGGCATTGAAATTTCTTAAAAACTCTCCAGGTACCCACATAGAATGTATAACCAAAGCTAAGAATTTCTGTCATATCTCTGTTCTTTGCTATCTTCTTTCCCTAGGTTCTTTTTTAAAGTTTTATTTATTTTTTTATTCTTTGAGACAGGGTCCCACTTTGTCTCCCAGGCTGGAGTTCAGTGACACGATCATGGCTTACTGCAGCCTTGACCTCCCAGGCTCTGGTGATCCTCCCACCTCAGTCTATCCAGTAGCTGGGACTACAGGCTTGTGCCACCATGTTCAACTAATTTTTGTATTTTTTGTAGAGACTGGGTTTCACCACCTTTTTCAAGCTGGTCTGGAAGTCCTGGTATCCAGTGATCCATGCGCCTTGGCCTCCCAAAGTGCTGGGGTTACAGGTGCAAGTCACCACACCCAGCCTCCCTAGGTTCTATAGCTAAGAAAGTTCTTTCCTCTTTTGGACTTGTTCCATAAGTTTTCTTAAACCTTACATTTATCCCTATTAAGAGTCATCTTTTGACCCACTTTTTCAGATCTTGTTATGGTATTTTTGGCAGTCAATATATTTTCCGTCTGCCTAGATTTGAGGGGATGACCACTGTGTCTGTTTTATCCTGGCCACTGACAAAAACAGTGGCTAGGTCAAGGCCCAAGACAGAACCCTCTGGCATGTTTTTGTAAAGCTCCCTGTCATCTTTGGGTAAAATCACTCAACTATTTACCATTATTTCTCTTCCTTGCATTTCCCTATCTTTTCCATAAGAATATCAAGAGTGATCATATTGAACATACATTAAAATTCTCTGATCTATCAGGTTAGTGGCCCTGTTGCAAAGGACAGTCTGATATAACTGTTCCATTTTATTCTCAATGGTGAACATTTTACAATCTTGCTTAAAAAAAAAAACCCAAACCAAATAATTTTCCAGGAGATTTTTTTTTGAGACAGATAATAGATTTTCTTTACACTTTTCATTTCTACTTTTTTTTGGAGCCTTAAATTTCATGAACAAATATAATAAAATCAGCTCAACTCTTTCTCCTCTAGAAAGATTTTTTTTTGTGTGTGGAGGAAGGGAGCTTTTTGTATATCATGCTCCAAGGGGAATGATGGCTACATTCCACCAAGAAGACATTTTTAACTCTCTGCTGAGGAGCTAAAAATGCTGTCTTCTTTGCCAAGAAATGTAATCCACTAAAACTATGAAATGGTCCAGAAACACTGAAAAGATTAGCATTGTTTCACACAGAGATTTCTCTCCACACTGTATGAAACTTTGTGCCTTCTATGTGGGTACTATAGGTATATACAGTAAAGAAGAAACAGCTCTAAGTCTGCAGAGAGATAATAATGCCAGAGATAAGGGTGCTAATCGGTGCTGTTGTCGCCATTCATTAGAACAACTTCTATCACAGAGCTAATCAAGAGGTGAGAAAAATGTTAAGTATTTATTCAGGAAAGAAAAATTATATGTATTAGATTATTGGTTTTCTTCTCATCTTTACATTTTTAACTATAAATACTTTTATGTTTTGCTTTAAAATGTGATGCTTCAAATTAACACATATCTTTTTCCTAAAAAATATTTTTTCTGAAAACAAGATAATAGTAGACAAAGTAATAACCTGCTATTTATTCCAAGATATCTGACATAATTGGTCAAAGATTCACAAAGCCTTGTCTGTGGACAGGGAGATAGGCTGTCTCTATAAGAACACTCTCTAACTAAAACATCTTAAACATTACCTAACTAAAAGTGATCCACATGCAGAGAACCCCCGATGTAATGTGCTGAGAAACTACTGTTTGTCAAAGTGTTTCTGATTCTTTTCTTTAGCATACGAAGATGGAATATTTTTGCTCTATTTCTAGCTTTCAAAAATTATGTTTAGCTCTACTTGGTAACCCCCAATATACTGTCAAAGTGCCTCATGTCAAATATTCAACAACAAAATTATAACACAAATGTCACTTTTAATTAGGTGCAATGTGTGGAACTAATTCTATGCTCATGATATTAAAAATGCGAAGTCACCCTAAAGCATCAAAAAATGCTCATAAAAACATTTCCTTAGCCTGCTGCATTCATTATCTAGAAATCAATGAGCCACACCCTTAGGCCTTCCAAAGCAAATGTTTCAGGACTCTATTTTCTAACTATGTTTCTGTGATAAACCAGATTCTCATGAGAAGTTCCTGCTCCAAGCACAGTGGCTTACACCTGTAATCTCGGCACTTTGGGAGGACGAGGCAGGTGCAATCACTTGAGCCCAGGAGTTCGAGGCCAGCCTGGGCAACATGGTGAAAGCTGTCCCCACAAAAATTAGCTGGGCCTAGTGACACATGACTGTAGTCCCAGCTACTCAGGAGGCTGAGGTGGGAGGATCACCTGAACCTGAGAATTTGAGGCTGCAGTGAGCCATGATTGCCCCACTGCACTCCAGTCTCCAGCCTGGGTGACAGAGTGAGACCTAGTCACCAAAAAAAAAAAAGAAAGAACAGAAAATAAAAGAGAGAGAAGTTCTTCATTTACTACTGAGACTTGTGTAGGAATTTTTAGATCCTACGTCAACTATAAAAATTCCCATGCACATTGCACAAAATTACAGATCAATATGTATGATTTCCAGTTGCCTGGAATAACATAAGTCCACATCTAAATGACCAGCAAAAATAAATATAGTCCTGATCAGTCATCATGTCTGTATCCATAGGGCAGGAAACTGTACAATTCAAAAGAAAGGAGAGACATTCCTCTTGAAGAGTTTTGGGAGGAAATTAAACCAGAGTGAAATGAGTAAGAAAGTGTGACTAGAGGGATATTGAAAGGCTAGGTCACTCTGCCACTGAGGCCAAACATTGCAGGATTCTTCCCTTTGTTAGAAGCCAGGGACATCTTCTCAAATGATTTCCGAAATAAACTCAATAGTAAAACTTGACAGAATGCTTTACAGCAGTGTAAGAATTCCTAATAGGAATAGTTTTCTTTTTCTTTTTTTTCTTTCTTTTTTTTTTTTTTTTTCAAAAAAAGAGGACTTAGGATGAAGAGTTAGGGTATTTCATTGGGAAAAGTCTAGCTATTTGTGAAATTAAGCTCTTTTTCTGGCTATAGTAGAAACCAAATATTAAGTAGAGCTGGAACTACCCTAGAGATCATCTCATATGAGCCTTTATTTTATAGAGGCATTAAGTAACAATTCAATGATTCACAGTTAGTTGGAGAGTTGGGAGCAGATTCTAGCCAAGAGCTCTTCCTCCTGCATCACACCATGGTCCTGCCACTCACTCTCTTCGTTTCTCTTGAACACTTCTATAATTATGTAAGAAACAACACATGGGTCTATTTATGAAAAACGGGTATAGAAAATAGATTATCACTGAACTGGTTTAAGTAGGGCCTTTGATAAAGAGGGCATAATTGTCTTCTAGTATCTGAAGGACTAGCTTCGGAGGAGGCAGTAGATTCATTTTCTTTCTCTTCAGTTAGAGTCCTGTGGCTCAAGATTTTGGATCAGGATAAGAGGTGTTTCTAATAATGACAAGGAAAAGAAAGAGACATTTATTAAACCCTCACGATGCCAATAACGCCCTAATCACTTTACATGTTTGCCTTGTTTAATCTTCAGAACAATGGTGAAATAGGTTTTATTATTCCTATTGTAATGATATAAGAAGCCTCATACACTGCTGGTAGGAATGTGTAGCTGCTTTGGAAAACAGTCTGGAAGACTCTCAAAAGGTTAAATATAGTTACTATTTGACCTAGCCATTCCACTCTAAGATATATACCCTCCAAAACTGAAAACACTGGTCCACACAAAACTTGTATATGAATCTTCCCAGCAGTAATTATTCATGGCGGGCAAAAAGTAGAAACAACTGAAATGTCCTTCAGCTGATGAATAAACAACATGTATATATCTCAATGGAATATCACTCAGCCATTAAAAGAATGAAATACTGATGCATGCTACAACATAGATGAACCTTGAAAACATTATGCTAAGTGAAGGAAGCCAGAAACTAAACACCACATAATGTATGATTTTGCTTATGTGAAATTTGCATAATAAGCAAATGTGTAAAGTAAAAACATACATCACTAGTCACCTATAGGGCTGGGAAATGGAGGGGTTTCCAGGGTAATGGAGGGTGCCTGCTAATAGGAGTAGTGTTCTTTTTGGGGGATGAAAAAGCTCTGGAATTAGATAGTAGTGACGGTGACACAACTCTGTAAACATACTAAAAACCACTGAATTGTATATTTTAAATGAGTCAAATGTATGGTATGTAAATTATATCTCAGTAAAGCTATTAAAAAGAAAATATGGAGAGTGAAACTCAGGAAATATATGCAATTCATTCAAGATTAAAAATTTATTGGCTGACTCAAAATGCAATTACTTGGCAATTTAATACATTATCAGCTTACTACCCCTATGAAACAGAAAATGAACAAACTTTCATAGGAGAAAAGAGCAAACTCAAACATTTTCACGTAGCCACTGCTTAGGCTTCAACACAGCAATTCATTAACATATAGTTGCTCTTCCACTCCCCATACTGCCACTCTAGAAGTTTCATTTCATTTTGATAATAAAATTATTCCACCAACGCTTATATCCTAATCCTGAACACATCTTTAGCAGGATGTGGGAGGTATCAGATTTTTAAAGAAGTAAGGCTCCATTCTTTACAGAAGGTTTTTGAAAAACTGGCAAACAGGTTTACGTTTATGATATTTAAATATCAAAATTGTTAATAGAGGCATATTTAGCCACAGGCTGGCACTATTAATCTTTTATGAAAACATCTTTCACCTAAATATTCACAAGTAACATTTAAAATACATTCTTTTTTTATAATTAAAGAGCAAAAATTATTCAATTATTTTATATTATTCTTTTCGAACTAAAAAATATTTCCCAGTAAATCATGTGAAGTATGTACTTAAACTATTTTTTCAGAGAAGAACAGGTAATAAAAGAAAAAGGAAAACAGTTTAAGCAAACAAACTCGATTTATTCCTTGGAAATTTTATAGACTGTTTATGAATACATAAGTTGGAGAAACCTAATAAATACGGAGCTGCAAGTCATTGAAAGGCAAAGTAACTGAACTTACATAAACACAATGTGAAATTACTGAGACAAAGTTAAATTTAATATTTCAAGATAAAATGGAAAAAACATATAAAAACTTTTTTTTTTTTTTTTTGAGATGGAGTTTTGCTCTTGTTGCCCAGGCTAGAGTGCAGTGGCATGATCTCGGCCCACTGCAATCTCCGCCTCCTGGGTTCAAGTGATTCTCCTGCCTCAGCCTCCCAAGTAGCTGGGATTACAGGCATGCACCACCACGCCCAGCTAATTTTGTATTTTTAGTAGTGATGGGGTTTCTCCATATTGGTCAGGCTGGTCTCGAACTTCTGACCACAGGTGATCTGCCCATCTCGGCCTCCCAAAGTGCTGGAATTACAGGCAGGAGCCACCGTGCCCGGCCTAAAAACTTTTCAAAAATATGTAATTTAGCACCATACATGCTTGAAGTGTGTATTGTCTATAAATGTGTGAAGAAATTATGAATTAAGTAAAAATGTGGAGAAGCTCTCATTTGTGAATTTTGAGTATCAAATTTCTGAAAGAAAAAGGAACAGCAATAATTAGGCTGTACTCATATTTAAGTATGGGTGTCTGATATTCTACAAATCTACAATTTTCAAGTAAAATAGCAAAATCACATTTTACATACTGGACTCTCTCTCCTCCTATTCCAACCAAAATTTTTCCCTGACCAATCTCTTGTTTACCATGATTACTGATTCATACACAAGGATATTCTAGCCTGGTTTCCAGTCCCAGCTCTGTCATTTACTAGATGGGTGAACTTTGGCAGATTTTGCTTTAAAATGCAGCTTTAAAATAAAGACAACATTAAGGTGAGAATAAATGAGATGATGGAATGAAAGAACTTCAGCATAATATATTATATCACTCAATATACACTGGTTATTGTGATTTGTTATTGCACACCATGCATTAATAAAAGATAGGGCTAAAATGAAATACTGAGACAGACTTGTCTTTTTAATATTCTAATATTTCTTTGCGGTCATATACAAAGTGGTGTGTGCATGTATGTGTGTGTGTATATATACACACATGTATATATGAGAAGTATATATAGGACCACTATATATATACCACTTTTAGTGTGTATATATATATATATATATATACCACTTTTAGTGTATATATATATATATATATATATACCACTTTTAGTATATATATATATATATATATATATATATACCACTTTTAGTATATATATATATACCACTTTTAGTATATATATATATACCACTTTTAGTATATATGTGTGTGTGTATATATATATATACACCACTTTTAGTGTATATATATATACCACTTTTAGTGCATATATATATATATATACCACTTTTAGTGTGTGTATATATATATATATACCATTTTTAGTGTGTGTATATATATATATATATATACCACTTTTAGTGTATATATATATATACCACTTTTAGTGTATATATATATACCACTTTTAGTGTATATATATATATATACCACTTTTAGTGTATATATATATGGTGGTATATATATATATATATATGGTGGTATATATATATATATATATATGGTGGTATATATATATATATATGGTGGTATATATATATATATATGGTGGTATATATATATATGGTGGTATATATATATATATGGTGGTGTATATATATATATATATATATATGGTGGTATATATATATATATATATATGGTGGTATATATATATATATATATGGTGGTATATATATATATATATATATATATATATGGTGGTATATATATATATATATATATGGTGGTATATATATATAGTGGTCCTATATGCCATTTTTTATCTCACACTGAACATGTGCTGAATATAATATTTCTCTTCCAATTGTAAACTTTTACTAACATTAAAGACTGGCTATCAACACATTATCAATTAGTCACATCCTTTCATTTATCAGATTGGAAAATGAATCCGTGCCAATGAAACCCATTCTCTCACCAAATTGACTGTGCCTCACATATGGAACTGTGGTCTCATGGACATCAAGCTTTACAAGTTAATTGAATGGTCAAAGATAACTTCTATAATAATCTATTTATCTGTGTGTAATTTCATTCCCCAACTTTAGACTTAGTGATAGAGAAAACAGGGAGCAGAATCGGAGTTGAATAGTTTTCCTCTTATAGATGGGAAAATATTTACAATAATCTTCCGTGTCAGTCTACAAAGTTTTTCGGCTTTCCTTGGTTTCCAGCTAGTCGAATCAGAAAAATCACAGAAATGGTGGGATATGAAGCATTTGAGCATTGAAGAACTTACAATATCACAGGGGAAATGTGTATTTTACAGCTCTTTGTTGTTATTTTAGTTGGATAGAAATTCGTCATTTTGGGTAACTGTGTGGGCCTCAGCTGTTCAATTGCACAACTACACATTAGGGGAGCTATGCTTGGTAAATTAAGTTAGATAACCATGACAATAAATAAACCACAATGATTTCTTGCAAGTCAACATTTTCTGCCATCATGCAGTACTTTGCATTTTCCAATAATATCAATGCGGTATTATGTTTAAGCAATTTTATACTCTTTTTTTGAAACAAAAAAAGCCCTAGCAATTCACTGTCTCCTAGTACAAAAATAGAGAATGTCAGAATTCGTTGACTTGAGTAGAAGAAATACACATTTGAGGTGGTTCAGATATCAGGCTGTTGGAGGACAATCACCCCCGTGGCTGGTCAGTGATAGGCACAGGATAGACGCTGATGTTGACTTTGGTAACAATACCCAAAGCCCCGCTCTTACTGCAACCCTTCCAGAAAAGAGGACAACAAAGAACCACACAGACCAATAGTTGGGAGTGGGAGGAAATGGAATAGCACAGAGTAGAGAGGTAATCTAATAAAGAAGCCAAAGAATAAAAAACAAACAAACAAAAAACAAGTATAAAATAATAACGTTTACAGAGAGAACAAAACTTGAAATAAGTGCAGTTAATAAAATTAAAAGCAGTCATCCTTTCCCACATCCCCCAAACAAACCCTTTTTCTCATATTTTTCCCTGACTTGCAATCCTCTGACTTTCTAGGATATGTCTTTTATCTCCCCTGGTGCCCTTATTATTTCTTCACAGCACTGATTTTTAAAAACCACATTGAAACAATATCAATATTAGCACTGCTCTAGCCTTTTGACATGTGTTGTCTCATTTGACATTTACAAAAAAGACCCCAAATCACACCATACAGATAATTTACACTGACAAAAAATAGTAATAAATGCAATTAGTTTGAAATTCCAAACAATACAGAAAAATACAAAAAGCAAATTACAAGCCAATTGGTCCCTATCTTCAAGGAAAACAAAGCCAAGAGTTCTTGCGCATAGTCCCAGAAAACAAACAAACAAAAACGTATATACACAGATATACAGTGTGTATGTGTCTGTGTGTATTACCTTTTTGTTACTGTTATTACTTTTAAGAAGATATTCTGCATAAACCAGTTGGTATCATTTTTCCAGTTACTGGTATACAGTATACTGGTCTATGCTGAAGATCTTCCCATGCAGATATATTTACACTTATTAATGGCTGCCTGGTATTCAGTTGCATGGATGTACCAACAGTCATTTGTTGAATGCCTTATAGGAAGACAAAGCTGCAATGATGATTCTTATACATTATCATGAGGGCTTGTTTTTATGAGGATATCTACTGGATACATTCATAGCAGTGAAATTGTTTGATCAAACACTATATACCTTGTGACAATTGAAAAATATTGCCAAATTGCCTTTCAAGAATAACATTTTAAAACCCCCATCATTATTATAAGAAATTAATAATTTTTTACCTTAGATACATCAAAATACTTTTTACCCAAGGCCTGACAACAAAATTCTATACTAAAATGCTAAACAGGACTGGAAAACATACATGCATCAAAGGAACAAGCTGAGATGAAAATGTGCTTTCATTCAATGGAGCTGCCACTAGATACTGGAGCTTTCCTATACCGCAAATAAAGGCCCTAGAGAGAAGAGTTACAAAAAGGAGCCAAAAGCAGATTAATAATAATATTAATATTTGATAAGGAGTCATTATCAGTGAAAGCCCTTGTATGCTCAGAATTTATTTCGGGGAAATTTAATAGAAAAAGTTTTAGAGAAGGAGAACTTAGATCTTATCAGATAGAGTGGCTCTAATTTAGCATTTCAAGTGAAGCTTATGACAAATGTCAAGTAAGACTTGGAAATAAAGATTTTCAGAAGTTCAAGGCAAAGACTAATTGAATGATCTGCAAGCAGACATACATACGTGGTTAAGCACCACTGCAATCCTCTTTGCAATTACCTAGCAGTGCTGAAATCTCAGGATAGCACTTTGGTATCAATAGTCCTCATGCTATTATTTGAGACTAACTCAAGGTCAGAAAAAAAATCCCTTGATAATTTATATCATCACATAGATTTCCAGTAACAATTCAACCTTCAGCCAAGAACTAAGCCATCACAAAACACTGTAGTGCTAAATAATTTACTGTATTCATTAGGAGAATTCAGGGGCATCTTAATGTGTTCGGATAAAGGTTTCTGTGATTAGAAAAGTTCTGGAAATGCTTGATTTAATAAAGCTGAATAGAGTTGGGTTTTTGTTTAGTTTTCTTTTTCAGCTATGGGACTTCTCAGAGCTCTATTTCAGAGAGTGAGATATAGTTGCAGCATTTTATAAACTTATCAGAACAATGAATTCTTTTCCTCTTAAAATAATTCATGTATGTCTTAAGAAGCAACATTGTTACTTTGTCAACAGAGACTGGGTCAGGCAACAGCAACCGCACAAGCATTAAGGATAGGATTATGTCCTACTCCATCCCTACTGCTCACACATTTCTTGACACATGGTAGAAATTGACTGAATATCAGGTGAATGAACAACTTATCATAATAAAGAAAAACTGAGATTTTAAACTTATACAACATTTGTAAAATCATAGCATTCATTGCCTATGACAGCATCCTCTTCTTCATGGAGCTCAAAGATTCAGGAAAACAACCTGAAACACCTGATAACAAGGGCAGCAACCTACAGTTCCCCCGTCCTTCCCCACAGGCAGCTCTAAGGTAGGAATTATTTCATGCATAAGTAACAGAACACACACTTGAGAGTATTTTGAGCACAACTGAAGAATATTTCATGACATCAAAGAATGTGCACAGAATATCAAATAAAAAAAGATACAAACCTGAATATAAAACATGATTCCAATTTCGTAATATCCACAGACATGTCTATAGACACCCACAGACATTCACACTCATGTATTTAAATAGAAAAAATTCTGAAAGGAAATGCCTAAAAATATGTTAATAGTGATTTTTGTCTGAGTGATGGATTACCATTGTTTTTTCTTTGTATTTCTATTTTCTAAAAGTTTACAAATAACATCAAGAACTTACATTTATTCATTTTATAAAGAAAATCCAGGATATAAATCTATTTCCTAATGCTTCAGAAACTTCCAGATGCCTAAGTATTCTTTGTCTTAGGAATTACATTCTATATTCAAATGCAAGAGTATAAGTCAGGATTTTACATTCACTAAGATGATCAGAAGACATAAACAAGGCAATAATGCGCATCTCAAATGTGATCCTATCATGAAGATAATAAGAAGATGAGTATGAAGGACCCCTTAAGAAAAGGACAACTTTCCTATCCTGTTCATTTAGGAGCACTAGGTAATGCAATTCACTGAATGAATGACTAACGTGACTTCTCAACCTCAATAGGCTTGGGGTGAGGAGATTGAAGCATAAAAACCCAAGGGCAAATGTGGACATCTTCCTAGAGCGCTGGTTTAACTTAGGGAGGGTGAATGGTAATATGACTTGGCAAATTACCCTTCTATGAAAACAATGACATATGACAGAGTGGAATGCAATGTTTACATGAACTTTTTGAATAAACAGGCTAGGTGCAGAGGCTCACCTTTGTAATCAGTACTTTGGAAGGCCAAGATGGGAGGATTGCTTGAAGCCAGGAGTTCAAGACCAGCCTGGGCAATAAAATGAGACCCTGTTTCTACAAAAAAAAAAAAAAAAAAAAGCCAAGCATGGTGGTGCACACCTGTAGTCACAGCTACTTGGGAGGCTGAGGCGGGAGGATTGCTTGAGCCCAGGAGTTCGAGGCTGCAGTGAGCTATGATCACACCACTGCACTCCAGCCTGGGCAACAGAATGAGACCCTATCTCTAATAAATAATAAATTAATAAATTAAATAAATATTTCCAAAGAAATTTCAAGCTTGCTACAGTTAGTAGCAGATAGAAATCCACTATCCTTCAGCAGTTTTTCAAAAAGTCCAGGTAGTGCAGGAAAGGGACAGGAATACTACTTACAGAGAATGGACATGCTCAAACTTTATGGAGACAGTGCTTCCACGCACAGGCAAACTTAGAGATCTTTATGGGATTCTAATGCCAGAGGGCAGGACCAACATTCTTTAGATCACTGAAGTCACTCTGAAGAGAAGGCTGCCAAGAAGAGGGAAAGGATGAAAGATGCCTCCGCCTCTCTCTGAAAATGGGGGTCAGTGATAGGAACAATGGGTTGAATCAAAGGAAAAACAAATTTCCCAGCTTATATTAAAAACTTAAAAAAGATGTGCAATAAAACAGTTAAGATTGGGTGATTTTAAGATCTGTGATTTCATACTTCGGCCTCTAGCAATTGTGGCCTTTCAAATAGTAATCACACCTGAGTTTTTCTTTTGGCTAAGAATAAGACTGAATAAGAGTTTCTGTAGCATTTAGGGTGTTTTCCAGTATGAATTTAAAACCTAATTATTACATATGCAAGTCTATTTGTTTTTTAAATATTCCATACTCATTTTGAAAACAGCACACATCTCTGTGTGTGTGTGTGTATTCACAGAAAAAAGTATAGAAGAATATATACTACTATGTGATTAGTAGTTATTTCTAAGTAGTGGGAATGTAGGAGATTTTTATCTTCTTCATTATGCTTTTCTGCATTTAAATTTTTTCTGCAACATTTTTATATTTTAAAATATCTAAAAGAGAAATTGTTTATCATCTATATAATATAAATGTTATCTTGTTAACCCCAAACCTTTAGTCTTACCTATTGAAATGTGTGTCATTCAGGAGCTACCATTCACATCCAATCAGAAATTTAAATAAAATTTATAAAACTTGCTGGCAGCACTGAAAGTAGCACATTCATTTGAAGGATTTGGAAGGACTAACACACATATGCCACTATATAGTAATGCTGAATGAAAACAAAGCAATGATATGAATCTCAACTTTTTTATAAAAGCAAATGGATCATACCGATAGCCATCTATGACCATAATCCTTATCAGAAAAATACACGTCAACTATGACAGAAAAAGTTTTACCATCTCCCCATTTTATATAAATCTGAGTTGAAAATGATTATACTGTAACTATAGTTACTGATCATAGACAAGTGTTGCATTTCCTGTTCACTACTGTTCCTTGCGTCCATAAATTTTGGCTTCTGTTTGTCACATCAGCTCTATAGACATGTTTTAGTCCTATTTCAGAGCGGACAATAGAAGTCTGATTTTACCCATGTGGGAGAAAAAGCATCTCTAGATCTGTATTATACACAATTTTTCCTACCCCAAACAAAAGCATCTGAACAAAAACCTGTTTTGTAAAGAAAAGCCAAATAGTTTAATTTTGAAACAGTCTATCAGATCAGGAAACAAAACCCAGTTATAAAATTTAGAGGGATTTTTTTTTCTCCTCAAAGGAGAGAACATATTACTAAGTGATAATTATTCCCACTACCTACTGGTATATCTTCACTAACTAGAGAGCCCTTCTCAAAGACTCTGGCCATATCCCACCAGCCTGTCTGGACACATTTCCACTGGTCTCATGGGACGGAGTCGCTTTCGAAAAAATCTGGTTCTGAAGCAGCCAAGATACACCAAAGACACACACCATGCTGATAGATATATTCCAACTCCACCTAAAGCAGCGCTTTAAAAGTAAGGGTTTATAATCCCAAAAAGATCATCTCTAACCAATGTACAAAAAAGAAAACAACTGAAAGAGAAATCTTGGTTAAATCAAAACAACAGGACTTAGCAGAAACCTCTATGTTTTATTGTTGTTGTTTTAATAATATTTTGTCTTCAACATTGAAGCCAGGAGCTAAGAGAAATGAAGTCATACCTACATGTTTGTTATGAATCTGGTAACTGGGATCTCAGAATAAAATAACAAATAAAGTATTTTTAAGAAGACTTTAATGGAGGAAAAGAGAACAATGAAGTTCCAAATTTTTTCTCCAAAATCATGTTCATAATGAAGGAGTTAATAAAGTTGAAGGAACAAAAGGAGGAGCCTTTAGACATATCAAATGCTCGAAATATGGCAGCCCACATGTGACTTGATGATGTAAATTGTATAGAGGATAAACAATAATATAATTTCTGTAGGCACAGCACATTATAACATCCTTTTTTAAGTGATTTTAACTTGTTTGCCTTGGTTACCTAAGAGAACGATCAGGAAATAACGAAAAGTAGGTAGAAACTATTTTCTTTCAGCTAACAAAGAGCTTCATAGAAAACTATAAGCTCCTACTCTGCTATTTTAAACTACATTATGCAATGCCAAAAATTATATGTAGGCACTAACCATATGTTTTTGATAAAGTTTAAGGGGGCAACTTCCAAAATGTAGCTTTACTCTAGTGGTGAGAATACTGAATTTACAGTCAAAATTCTGGATATAAATTGGATTTACAGCCAAAACTCTGAATATGAATTGGATTTACAGCCAAAACTCTGGCTCTGTTATTTCATAGACTGTATCAACCTAAGCCAGTCAATGGACCGTCTGGAGATTCAGTCCTTTCATTTGTAAAATGAAGTCCTTGTGTAAAAATTAAATTGGATTACAGGTACTAAATGAAAAACAACAATCATTTTCGAATTCTAGTTGAAAACAATTCAGTCACAAATAGAGAGAAGTTTTTCTCCTAAATTAACATGCAAAACTGTTTATGAGCATCTTCCAGCTTCGAAATTGCTAATGGTGGCACACTAAAGGAAAGAAAGCCTGCAAAAAAATCTTCTAGAACACCCACCAAAAAAGGTCACTTCTATTCTTAAGTAAAGCATGTGCAATTCCACAATTCTGCATCCCACAGGAAATTACTGCTTAAAATATATACTTATTTTAATTTCAAGAAGTGGGGAGAGAGTGAAAGGGGCTTTGATGCTAACATTTTTGAAAAAAATTAACATCTTTCTGGAGACTTGATAATTATGGGATTTAATTTGTGGGAAATAAACATGGCAATGAGTAAGAAGCGTAAGGGGAATGGCCAATTTCTGTCTGGAAAAAGGAAAGATCATCATTCTCAACTGGAACAAGATCTTGCAAGTCCAAATACCTGAATTATATAGAATAAGCAGCAAAATGCAACACTGAAAGTCAAGGAGAGAATCACAGAAATTATATTTTTCTGTACTCTTGAATTATGTTCTAATTTCTAAAGCAAAATGAGTTGGGGCTACGAAGTACAGGTGAATGCAAAATATACATACCTACTGACAGACAGACAGACATACACACACACACACACACACACACACACACACACACACACACACCAGGTAGCATGAAGAATAGTGGAAAACAAAGTGTTACAGGGCTATTAAAACCAACAAGCACAGTAACATAATAATAAATGTTAGCTCCAGTTTGGTCAAGTCAATCTAAAATGAATAAATAAAAATACATAAATTTAGAAAGTTCTTAGAAAGCCCAGGAAGTTCCCACATAAAAATTATATAAATGACTGAGAAAACAGGTAAGCAAAAAAGGATAATAGAGTTATTCTAAAAAACATTTACCAAAAACCTAATTGTATATCCCTGTTCTTTCCACAGTAAAGAAACAATAAAACTAAGAAAGAGGTTGCAAATGAACAGATTGAAACATTTTTATGTAATCTATTAATTATCCTGCAGGAAGGACATTCCTAGGATAATATGAAGTCAGGTGACTTTGTAAAACTTAAAATATATAATTGACAAGTATGTAAAAAATCAACTATCATTACCCACTAAGTGAGACTTCCTTTTAATGAGAAATTAAATGCCAGTCTTCATTTGGGCAAACGGAAACGGGGAGAATGAATTCATCATTAATCTTCAAAGAGATGAATTTCTTTCCTGATATAACATTTATAATAAGAGGTTCTCCAGAGTCCAACCATGAAGCAGTCAACAATTAACATTTTTAAGAAACAAACCTGAAGAGGTTATTAGTCTGACTCAATGGGTTTTTCATGGTCCAATTTCAAGTTCAAAATCAAAACTTCAGAAAATTGCCATTTCTCATACTTCCTGATTTTGTTCGTAACAGTCACATATTTTTCTGCAATGCTAAAAAAATCTGTAGCTATTTCAGTAGGTTATATGATAGATGATTTTAATACAATAGTAAAAACAAAAACTGAATGGAATGAAGAATGACTAATGGAACTTTGTGAAATTACCATTATAGCTGTGTTTCAAATCTGACAGCAAATATTTAAAGACAATTGAGATGAAATAAATGGTTATTCTTTCAAGAGTGGGTACAGATCATTAATATAAGCCAATTATTGCTGAGAACAAAGAAATACTGTACAAGAAAGATATAAATTTCTGATAATTTTGTTAGCCTGAAAAGGAAGGTGAAAGGAGAAAATGATGTTTTTGAGCTAATCACTTTCATTGACAGAACTACTACTGTGTTTTTAAAGAGAAAAATTTGATAAATATATTTCATTAACACAAATCATGGAAAACCAAATGGAGCATCTTAGTGGTTAACAGCATAAGCTTTAGGGTCAAAAGACCTGGATTACAGTATCTCTGAAACTTAATTTCCTCACATAAAATAAGGATTGTAATATCTACCTTAATAACCATAAGGGTTATTATGAAGTCTGAACAGGGTAGCTAATGAAAAGTATATATTATAATGCTGTTCTTGGCATACGAACACGGTGGTTATTTTTATTGTCATTATTGTTGATATTTTTCAAAGAAAAGGCAGCTGTTCCCAAACCACGATCTCATCTTTATTAGCCAAATTTTCTAAATACATGGAACTAAAGCCTCTTCTAAGATTTATTTTATTTACCAATATTTAACAAGCTGAACTTTGGTTGTCCTAGGAATCGCTTGAAATTTAAGTAATAAAAGCATCATAGCAACTGAATGATTTTTTTCCTTAATAAAAAGCGTACTGTCATGCACCACATAACGTTTCAATGATAAACCACATATATGATGGTGGTTACATATTATAAAACCACATTTTTATACTGCTTTTTCCTATGTTTAGATAGATTTAGATACACAAATACCATTGTGCTACAACTACCTACAGTGTTTAGTACAGTAACATGCTGCACAGGTTTGTAGACTAGGAGCAATAGACTATACTATATAGCCTAGGTGTGTAGTAGGCTATACCATCTGGGTGTGAATAAGTACACTCTGTGATATTTGCATGACAAAACTGCCTAGCTGCATTTCTCAGTACTTATCCCCATTGTTAAGTGACACATGACTGCATATTAAGAGGATTAGCTGACTCATTTCTGGGTTTTGAGAGTTTTTGAAATCCTAAAATCAAATTACAGAATTATATGTCAGCTAAAAATTTTCAAAGTCATCCAGTGAAATACATTTCTTTACTATGAGGCTATCATGAAACTGAAACACCGAGAAGTGGAGACACTCCTATCTTAGATACCTCTTTTTATAGGCTGGTAGCATATAAAGAGACAGCCAACTATGTTGGTCGAAATCATCCTTCAAGGTTCAGTTCAAACACAATCATCTCCATGAAGCCTCATACACAGCCAAAATTAACCTCCAGAATTTCACAACGCTTTTGATTACTTACCACACATTAACTTGTTTTCAACATGTTTATGACAAACCTCTTTCTCCTTATAGATTACTTGAGGGAAGGGGCTTGGTCTTGTTTATGTTTGATTGCTCCCATTACATCATATACAGTAACTATTCAGTACATTTGGAGGTTAGCAATAAATACAAAAAGCTGGCGGGCACTGCCTTGGTGAAACAAAACTATTGTTCAGGAAATGTGGCCACTTATGACCCCTGACACAGCAGTGTTGATTAGATGAGTAGTGGTAGAGACAGGAAGGGTCAGGGACTACTCCTAGAGTTCCAACATGAGCACTTGACTCATGACAAGGAAGGAAAGTTCTAGAGAAGAGTCAATTTGGGGTGATATGATGAGTTCAATTTGGTCTTGTTCAGTTTAAAATGTCCATGAGAGCTCAAGACCTATTAGGTTTACAAGTAGGGATCATCAGCATTTTAAACATGTTTAAAGCCATGGGCACAGACGAATGCTTACGGAAAAAATATCTTGAAGGGGAAGAGGAGAATGAAACTAGAAAAAAATTCACACCTAATGAATGAGATTACAAAGTAACCTAATTTGTGGCCCAGAGATCTGGGAACATTCAATTTCAATTGGAAGAGGTGAAAGAAAAAGGGATGTGAAAGCTAAAACAAAACTGATTGTTGGTCAATTTCCAAAAAAAAAATCAAGTCAATATATTTGTGCATCTACCATTCAGTCATTCAGCAAATATCTCTTAAGCACTTTGTTAGAAATTGGAAAGACAATGATAAATAAGACAGAGTTTACCAAAGAAGATAATGAACATGGAAATAAGGCAGGGGGAAAGGTTTTCACAGAGGGCTCCCTGGCCAACCAACTTGGTTATTCACTACTTTTGGTAGTTTTATCTGCGAACTACAGATAAAAATCACAACTTGATGATACTTGCCAAAAAGTCACTCAAATAATCCCCCAAGCTCTGTGCAAACTCTGATAGTAATGCCCTTTTTAGGTTAATTTTCCTTTGGGCAGCAAATTGCTAACAAAAGTTTTGGATCCTTTCATGCATCATTATAGATTACCATGTTCATTTATACATCAGCATCTTGTAAATTTGGTCTGTTAGGATCAGTTTTCATGAACTAGACTGCCAGTGCACACACCGACAGATGATTCCGCTGGACTTCCGAAGCTTAAGTCCCAGATCTTAGAAGCTAATGGCCTCCCTGAGATATTGCATCTTGTGAATCTCTGACTGAGTAAACATTCAACCTCCCTGGTTATTCATCTCTATGAAACTTTCTTTTAAAGATTAATCAAAGTGATCTTAACAAGCCTGAACAACAGAGGATACTGTTTGTCAAACAGTAGCAAGGAGTACTTTACTGCTAAATGCTGATCTTTCTACGTGCCTGTGTCCAATCCCAAATTGTCATGATGAAGATTTTTGGAAATCCTACTGAACGACTGGCACAAGGCAACATGAGCACATGTTTTCAAAGTGATTTCACTGTATCTGCCAGCATGACTAATATCCAGGCCTTTAGCCAAAGCCAGCCTTACATTCTGCTGCCTGGCAGCAGCAGAATGGAATTGAGCAAAATTCCGTAGTTCCTATTGGCTATGAACACAAGGAAGATATATATATATATTTGAGATAGAGTTTTGCTCTGTTGCCCAAGCTGGAGTGCAGTGATGCAATCTCGGCTCACTGTAACCTCCACCTCCCGGGTTCAAGCAATTCTCCTGCCTCAGCCTCCTGAGTAGCTGGGATCACAGGTGCCTGCCACCATGCCCGGCTAATTTTTTATATTTTTAGTAGAGATGGGGTTTCACCATGTTGGCCAGGCTGGTCTCAAACTCCTGACCTCAGGTGATCTGCCTGCCTCGGCCTCCCAAAGTGCTGGGATTACAGGCGTGAGCCACTGCACCCGGCCACAAGCCAGATATTTGAAATTCCTATTAAACTGGAGAGCAAAAGCCGTCATACCATACTTTCATTTGCATCCTAGCACAGACACCTAAACATTCATATTGTCTTTATCCCCAGTGAATTGCAAAGGCCTAGGGTTTCCCCAGAATTTGGGTTTACAGTACACACTCCCTGAGCGATATTCCTTAAAACAGGCATGTCCAGAAGCGTCAGTGGAGACTGCTATGAAATCCTGGCATCGCTCAAAAAATAGAAGTCAGATTAGAGTTCCTGGCACTGCTCTCCTTTTCTGTTCTTCAGTTCTCATATTTCCTCCCACTCCCCATATTGTTCCCTTGATTATGAAAAGTAATGCCTTCTGTCATCTCCTGTTGTTTCTTAATTCCTACCTCAAACTCATCAGCCTTGCTCCCCTTGTTGCTCTGACTCAAATGGCAAAGCTCTACCTGCCCAACAATAATCACAGGGCATTGGACCTGAAGCATCTGCACTATCACCTATTCCAAACCCCACATTCATAACAGGGGACACTGGTGTCCAGAGAAATTAAGTAAATTGCCTGAGAGCAACAAACTGATTTCTGCCAGAACCCAGATCTCCTAATTCCCAAACCAAAGATATTGCCAGTTTCTCCTTCAGCTAATCTTCAACCATTTTAAAATAAAATCTCCTTCACCAGATTTACAAGTGTTCTGAGATACCTACCCAAAATAATCAAAACTACTCTCTAACAACATTTTTTTTTTAAGACAGAGTCTCACTCTGTCACCCAGGCTGGAGTGCAGTGGCTGATCACAGCTTACTGCAACCTCGACATTGTGAGCTCAATAGATCCTCCCACCTCATTCTCTCTAGTAGCTGGGACTACAGGTGCATGCCACCATGTCTGGCTAATTTTTGTAATTTTTGTAGGGACCAGGTTTCACCACATTACCCAGACTGGTCTTGAACTCCTAGGCTCAAGCGGTCCACCTGTCTTGGCCTCCCAAAGTGCTGGGATTACAGGTGTGAGCCACTGCACTCAGCCTTCTACCAACATCTTAAGAAGACTCATTTACTAAAGTAAAATAAAAAGCAAAAAGACTTAAGATTTCATCCAAAAGATTCTAATCCTTAATAAAAGAAAAAAGAAATAAAAGACAACAGATTATGTTATAGAATCATGTTCCCAAAGAAAAATTAAAGAACTAAGCACAGGATTTTCTAAATGTTGAGCATCAAGGAAGAACACATGAGCGTCACATCGTTCTCGTGCTTAATGTGGATATGTCAGTGCTGAGTTCTGTTAGATACATTATCTTGTTTAATCCTTGTAACAATTTATAAGGAGTATTTTTTATCTGAATAGTGTAAATGGAAAATTAATGAAGTTATGTATCTTGTTAGTCCCAAGAATTGGTTATTAAGTGGCAGAGCTGGTGTTTGGAAAAAGGCCTGTTTGAGTCCAAGGCCCAGGCATTCAATCATCATAAAACACCTGATCTCTGGAGGACAGAAGCATGAAATACCATGATTCATACTAAGCAAAGAGACTTCTATCTGTAATATCTCTATTTAAAAACTTTAATTCCAAAATAATGAAAATATCTAACACTTCCAAAATATTTTTGCATGTAATGGGATTTTCATCAAATATATAGCCATAGAAACCAAGGTATAAGTCTGTAAATAACTACTTGTCGTTTTGCAACCCTTGCCGCCCATTTTCTTCTTTACTCAGGCTCATGTTCCTTCAAAGATAATTTTCAGCATGGTTAAAAATAAGATGACAAAGACCTTTGATCCAATGGGTTCTGTTCAGCTCTTTTTGTATGCTTAGGAAAGTTAACTGATTTTTTTTCTCTTTGATTTTATATCAATGTGTAATAGCAATTTTAAAATGACACAGAGCATATTTTGTTAGGCTTTCGCTTTTAATGACAATGATTTCGAAGCCTGAATGTTTTCTCGACCTCCCCCTCCAGCCCCCAGGAACTCATGGAGCCCTCACCATGGGCCCATGTCAGCTACACACTCCACGTGCTTGTCTATACCGCCGAACAAGACCTTATGAGAAGGCAAGAAGAGAGTCTCTATTTATTCTTAGGTCACAAAGGGCTTGAATAGGCTTGCAAAAGATATGACAGTCGGACAGAACAATGTCGAGGTACTGTCCACAATATACAGATAAGCAAAGTGACTAGTTGACTTGATTAAGCTAACATTGTTAGAGAACAAAGTTAAGATAAGGAGCCTGGACTTCCACCTTCTGATACCATGTGCATTCTTTCTGGAGATACCATTTCCCTCCTTATTAAACTCACATCCTAAATGAAGATAAGCAATAATAAAGTATTGCTAACATTCACCACCAATGATGCTAAATAAGGAAATACTGAAAATGCATAAGCCATTCAACAGAGATCTAAGATGGAAAAACCTGGAAAAGAAAAATAATAAGGAAAACTGAAAATCATTGAGGGGGATGGAAATGAGAGACAACCTTAGATGACGGTTGTGTCAACTGGGCTTATAATGAGAGTAAAGCTTTATCAAGTTAATTAGTAAAAGACAGGCACAAATCTAGGGTATTCATTATTCAAATCTTGACTCTTCCAATTGGGGAAATTTGAATGAATGGGAATTAGATGATATCAAAGGATTATTTTTTAGATGCAATAATGGTAATCTTGGTTATTTTTAAAGTCCTATCTATTAGAGATATGTGGGAAAGACTAAAGAAACAAGCGTGGCAATGAGTTGGTCATTAAGCTGGGTGATGGGTAATCAGTGGTTCATTACATTATTCTCTGTTAAAAAAAATCTAGGCTGTTAATTATCAGAAAGAATTGAGTGAAGAGCCTGGTAAGACACATAAAGGCAAAACAGGAATGTCTAACTACATAGTCTGTGGAAGGACTCACTTGTTTTCTCCTGATGATGGACTCAGCATTACTATTGCACAGGCGAAAACAAAGACAGAATCTAAGCAACTTCCACCTATCACACATTAGGCCACTGAACTGAGTATTTCCCATTCCTGACTCAAAGTTAACCTTTTCAAAAATTATGATATGGTTTATATTTAGAAACTAATTTAAGATGAATCCAATGTTACTTTCCTTTTATATCAAGTAAAATAATGAATTTCAAAGCCACATACACACACATATGTGTGTCTGTGTATTTTGGCGTTTCTAAAAATGACATTGACTTAACTAGATCATTGATATAATTAAATCCGATATTTCCTTGATGACCATGAGAATCATCAAAGAAAAATAATAAAGTACCACTAATCTCAAAAATTAATATAGTAAAAAGAGTAAACAGAATAAATGAAGAATTAGGACACCCAGGTAATAGCACCAGAAAAACCTCTTGCTAACTCAAGCAAGTCACTCAACACTCGAGTCGGTTTCATCATCTGTACCATGACTGGATTCTATTACATGCTACACAAGATTCTTCCAGTTCTAACATCCTAGAGGCTGAAATCTGTTTCTTTCCATGTCTACACCTGTTCAGGATCCCAGTGCTCACCAGAGATTATGACACCTCCAATTTTAGGAAGGCTACAGTCTCGGCAAGTCCTACTGATGGAACAGCAAAAAGAAGTCTATTTCTAGCTTTTCTCATCGGATGTGAATGAAGCCATGCAAACAGGCAGGGAATCTCGGAGATATGTTACAGTCATGTGGAAGGGATTATCCTCAGGGAAGGCTTTAACAATGTGATCAGTTCTGTTGCAGGGATTATGGGGTTCTAGGGACATCAACAAGGGACACTAAACCTCTGGGAGAGGGCAGGAGGCAGGTAGTGAAGATGCTGGTAAATCAGCCAAGCACAGCTCTCTAAGGGCGGGGTAGGTGTCCCCACCTGGTGTTCCCATTGTCTTTGTGATCAAGTCTCTGTACATCTGCCATACTGATTTAAAATTAGGTGTGGGCATTGTTGTGGCAGAGCGTGTGGCTTTCTTATTGTGGTGTATCTCCAGCTTTCAGTGTCTAGCACACTTGAGTTGTATTTGCTGGGACAACATAGGATGGCTTGGAAAATGTCAGCATGATGGGCACATTGAGAACATTCTATCTAAAGCAACTGTAAATTTTAAAGTAATACATTGAAAAACTGGCTTTTGGGATACTAAAAATGGAGGGGATTGGGAAAGTTATAACTAAGAGAAAGTATAGAAAGATGATGAATGAATGAGATGGAAAAATGAAGGAAAAAAAGCAAAGAGGAAACCAGTGGAACAGGAAAGGGGTGCTTGAGAGCCTACTCAAAGAAAAACTTCCCTCAAAAAGAATGGAACGTCATGTTTCATAGGCTGATGCTCCAGTTTTACCAACTGGCAAGAGACTGACCCACACACTAGAAGCAGTATTTCTGAACACGAATTCCCTGGAAGTGGTACAAATACGTGCAATGAGAAAAATAATTAGCAATTTCATAATTAAATCTCATTGATCCTCTAATAAAAAGAATAGTGAATAAAAAGTTGCTGATTAGTTTTAAATAAAATATTAAGCCTCAATTAAAATCTACAGTTATTTGTGGTCAGGCGCAATGGCTCATGCCTGTAATCCCAGCACTTTGGGAGGCCGAGGTGGGTGGATCACTTGAGGTCAGGAGTTCAAGACCAGCCTGGCCAACATGGCAAAACCACATCTTTACTAAAAATGCAAAAAATTAGGCTGGGTGTGGTGTGCGCACCTGTAGTCCTAGCTACTTGGGATGCTGAGGCAGGAGAATCACTTGAACCCAGGAGGCAGAGGTTGCAGTGAGCTGAGATCATGCCACTGCACTGCAGCCTGGGTAGCAGAGTAAAACTGTGTCTCAACACAACAACAATGAAACCTATGGTTATTTGTAACAAAATTGTGGTCACATTTTATAAGCACGTTTGAGTTCCAGACTTTCTGATTTTATTCTCCAATCCCTCTGCAGTCAAGACTTTATTCTTAAGACATTCCAAGCCATGGAATCTTAAGCTAAGAAATAAAAGTTTAACAATATATATTAAAATAAACTAAACTAATAACTGAACTGCTCTTACTGATATATTCAATTAACACTAAAAAATGTGTCCCTCCAATTTTCTGTAGTATATACAGCAATGCAATTTTAAAAGATACGTTTCAAACTGGACTTTAATTCTTAAAAGTTATATGCTAAATTTTAGTCTGTTTTATAATAAACAAAAAATATTTTTTACTTAAATTCCACGCTATTTATGCACAATGCTGAACTTTTAAGTTGAGGAGCCATATGTAATTATTCCCAAATTTAATAACACAAATATATTATTTGTTCCAAAAGTTAGAGCGATGAGCAATTAAAGGAAAAAAGAAACTTAAAAAGAACCTAATTCTTGAGAGGGGAAAATAACTAAACCAAATAGTAAGAACTCTATACTATCAATATTTTTTTGGAAAATATCTGTATTTTATTAATCCTGCATTACTCAGAATATTTAGTGTTTAGCACAACACCTGGAATCATCCAGTACTTTGCATTAAGATAAGAGAACAGGGAGTGGTATGAAGGAAATAAACTACGCAAAGAAGAAAAGTAAGATATTTAGGAGTCCTCACAAAGAAATCAAATATCTCAGGTAACCACGTTGGCCCCAATCTTCATTAAGCAAACACTAAAGCAAAGGAGTTTCCTAATAGCCTGAAAGAATAAGCCAAATGAGATAGAAAAGACATCAATAATTGTTGAGCATGACAGATGGGCAGGACCATTAATAAATTAATAAGCAGTGATTCTTAAATTTTAGTGCACCTGAGAATCACATAGGGATGGTGGCAGTGCAGAGGGAGGAATACTTGGTAAAATGCATATCTCTGGGTCCCAGCAAAGAAAATCTGACTTGGAAAGTATACTTGGTAAATCCCAAGAGTCTCTAGAAACTAGACCTAAGATCTGCATTTCTAATATTAATAAATTCCCCCAGATAATTCTGATGATGTTGCATTTTTTTTTTTGAGACAGAGTCTCGCTCTTGTTGCCCAGGTTGGAGTGCCATAGCGCGATCTCGGCTCACCACAACCTCTGCCTCCAGGGTTCCAGCAATTCTCCTGCCTCAGCCGCCCGAGTAGCTGGGACTACAGGCATGCTCCACCATGCCTGGCTAATTTTGTATTTTTAGTCGAGACGAGGTTTCTCCATGTTGGTCAGGCTAGTCTCGAACTCCCTACCTCAGGTGATCTGCCTGCCTTGGTCTCCCAAAGTATGGATTATACTTTTCAAAACCCTGGGCATCTCATCAAACTTTCCTCCTAGAAGTTGAGAACAAACACATATGAATAGAAGTCAGGTTGAGTGCTTTTTCTACTATACCAAAATAAAGTAAGATACAGGGAAAAAAGAGGTGTACAGAGGGTAGAGAAGCAGAAACAAATACTAAAAAGTGTTTAATTAAATGAGATAGATGCCATTTGGATTTTCTTTGCATGTCAGCCAATTAAAATGTTTGCCAAAAGTAGCTTGATTTGAGAAAAATCCCTTAGGCCAAGTTTTGTTTTGCTTCAAAGTCTAAATGCTTGGACAAGTTTACACATGCCCTGGAAGAATGGGAAGGTGAACAGGAAAGGGTGGGCAGACGAAGAGCTCCTGAAAAATATGTTGAGAAATATTTTTTAAAATGTTTTGTAATCATTTTATTGAGATGTTATTCACATCCTATACAACTCACCCATTTAAAGTGTAAATTTCAATAGTTTTAGTATATTTACAGAGTTGTGCAACCATCATAATTAATTTTAGAATATTTTATCACCCCCAAAAGAAACCCCATCCCCACTAGTAATCACCCTGTTCTCCCCTTTCTCCCAGCCCATTCTCCCAACCATGAACCTGCTTTCTGCCTCTACAGATTTGCCTATTCTGGGCATATCATATGAATGGAATCATAAATCATATGATATATTGGCCTCTTGTGTTTCACTTCTTTCACTTTGTTTAATGCTTTCAAGTTTCATCCACGTGATAGAAAATATTGGTATTTTATTCCTTTCTTTGCCAAAAAATGCATTTTTCAATCAAATGTTTAGAAAAGATGAGTCTTGATAAAAGCTGTAGTTTATTCATGCATTAGACAACTGTACCATATGTTACTGGAGGATGTTAAATTGTTTAAATCAAATAATTAATCTTATTTGCTATGATTTGACATTACCAAACATAGCCTTGGAAATTTTGCTCATTTTCATGAATAGATTTCAACCAGAAATGGATATGGTATCCTACTTTTATTCAGATAAAATACATTTAATTTTTTTTCTAGGCAAAATTATAGCACTTTTATTACAAGTGGTTACTTTGGAAGCAAATGACAATTTTCACAATGACCATAGTCCATAGTCTCAAGAAATGTATAATCCAAAAGAGGCAAACAACATAAACATGAATAATAGTACTTCAAAGCAAAATATACATGTGCAGTTACCCTGTGCCAAGATAGCTTCTCCAATGCACAGTGAATTTAATCATTGATATTCCAAAATACCAACCCTGAAAGTAGAGGGACATTTTACTTGTTCATTGATACATCCCAAGTGCCCAGGAGCCAAGACTAATACACTAGACATAGATTAGCTTTTATGCTGTTAGTTATTATTACATGTTATGTATTACATTATATTTTATTTATTATGAGTAGTTTGTTTTACAAATAAGTTTTATGAAAATAACTCACTCATTTTAGAAACACAAAAAGCAGAAAAATATAGAAAAATTAAATTAAAACCATCTGTGATCATATAACTCAAAGAAAAGCCACAGTTAACATTTAGCACATTTCCTTCTAGTTTTTCTGTAAACATAAACAGGTATATTAATTGGTATTACTATACATAGTTCAAATTCATCTTTCACCATGACTGTGTTGCTTTTCAATATAATTCATGTATATACAACAAAAGGCTCTTTAAATATTAATATATATTTTTACAGTCATATTTGCATAATTTTCTTTAAAATATGTATGTATCCTGGTTCCACAAAAGCATGTGCATGCAAATAAAGAACCAGCCTTTTAAAAATAATGTAAACATATCTCCATTAATGAACATCCTAAGAACAAACCTTCTTCACAGGAAAAAAAGCAAAGCCCTCCTAGAATCTGAAGCTATGCTCATATGTACTGAACAGGATAAAAACATTTTCTTGCCCACATTTATTCATCAGGGAACAGGCCATAACAAACTAAGGTGACCTTAACAAGATTTGCTTTGGTGATATCAGTTTCTCCTTTCTCCAAAATTCCCTGCCTAGTGCACACTCCCCACTTAACCCCTGGAACCCACTGCCTTCTGCTGCTCTCCCTCCCTGAAATCAGAGCGCATATGTAGGATGAGCCCAAGCTGGAGGCAGCAGCCTGGACTACTTACTAGTCACAGTTCCATCACCTTAGATGAACCATTTTATTATTCAAAGCATGAATGTCTCAGCTATAAAAGTGAAAGCTCTACACCAGTGGTTCTCAGAGTCTTATCTAGATCAACATCATCTAAAAACTTCTTGGCACATTCTCAGGGTCTTTCCCAGTCCTACTGAACCAGAAACTCTGGGATGAGGCCCAGAACATTTGTTTTAACACACACCATGCTTCTGATGCATGAAAAAGTTTGACGACCACTGCTCCGCACTTCCTCAAACCTCCTGCACCTCCTCCATCCTTAACCCTCACTAAAAACTGTTGTCCTGCCTTCCTACTTCCCTGTGAAAAATCAGGAAAGAAGACTTGGGTAGACTCAGAACATCATGACCAACCAGCCATTATCATTTACAGCTACACATCCTGTCTTTATCCATGACTGTTCTAAAGCTAGTCCCTCCACCTGTGCACTCACTCCCATCCTCTCTCCTGCTCAAGCACATTGCTTCACCAATTCTCCCTTCTCTCTTATTCATCAATACTTTTCTTCCACTGGATCATTTTATTTAGCATACAAACTTGCTGTTATTTATTCTATCTTGGAAAAAAATTCCTGGGCTCCCACTTCCCTTGCTATTGCCACCATTTCTTAAAAATAGAGGCATGACTGGCATATAATAAAATGTACAGATTCTAAGTGTTCAGGTTAGTCAGTTTTGATAATTGTCTAAACTTATGTAAAAATCACCCAAAACAAAATATAGAGCATCTCCATCCCTCAAGAAAGTTCTTCCCTGTCCCTTTCCAGTAAATTCTGCCTCACATGCTCAGGCCACCACTGATCTGATTTATAGAACTAAGATTAACTTTGCCTGTACTGCAACTTAATCTAAATGGAATCATATATTATATACCCTTTTGTATCTGGCTTTTTTGTTCAGTATAATGCATTTGATGTTCATCTATGTTGTTGCATGGTATCAGTTATTCATTTCAATTTTTAATTGTTGATTAGTATTTCATTCTATGAATATAGCACACTATTCATCTATTGGTGGATATTTGGACTGATTCTAGTTTTTTAATAATATGACTAAGGTTAAAATCAACATTTGTATATTAGTCTTTTTGTAGAATGACTTGTGTTTGATGAAGAAACATATAAAGTGAGGGATCGACCTAGGTGAGTTATTGTCTTGCATAAATCAACTGTTCTTAAATTGCAGACTTGGCAAAATGCAGGAAGAACCTCTTTCTTAAATGAACTAGATAGCTCAATCAAAAACCGTGCCTCTGTGAATGCAAATCATAATAACATTTTCAAGGCATTTGAGAGAAATGTTGACTCATTTCTTTACCCATAAATACTTTACCAATCATTCTTTCTATTCCTTTCTATCCACATACTATCAACACTTTGTGCCTACTGTGTTGAGGACTAGATGTGAATAAGAATTGCTCCAGCCTCAAGGAAGTTTGATATAGTTGGGGAACTTAGACATGAAACACAGTGCAGTAAAATATCTTAAGTGCAAAATAAAACTGTGTCCAAGGTAAAATGCTTCCCAAGAAAAGATTGATCAAATGATTGAGACACAGTACGGTGTAGTGCTTAAGAGTACTGATCTAGGAGCCAGACTGCCTAAGGTCAAATCTCAGTTTTACTCCTTGGTACCTCTGAGTCCTTGGGCAGGTAGTTTCATCTCTCTGCACCTCTGTCTCCTCATATATAAAATATGGATATAAGAGTGCCTACCTCACAGTATTTTTGCATGGCTTAACATGTGGAAAGCACTTTGAACAGTGTCTGGTGATATATACGGTCATGCACTGCATAATGATGTCTCAGTAAATGACAAACCTCATATACAACTGTGGTCCCATAAGATTATAATGGAACTGAAGATTTTCCATTGCACTAATACCTACCATTGTGTTATTATCTTCTTACACTATTCAGTACAGTAACATGGTATTCAGGTTTGTAGCCTAGGAGTAATAAACCACACCATATAGCCTGGATGTGCAGTAGGCTATACCATCTAGCTTTGTGTAAGGACATGTTGTGATGTTCACATACAAAATCACCTAACAATGTATTTGTTAGATTATATTCCTCTCATAAAGCAATGTGTGATGACTGCATTAGCTACCATCACCATCACCATGATTCCCTCATCCTCAGTTCTCCTGGCAGAGTAAAAGAGTTGTGAGGTCTTTAAAAGGGGATAATGATTGTCCTGAGACATAAAAGTAAATGAAACAGCATGAGGATAGACACTGTCAGAAATGGCACCGTGGGGCTGGGCACAGTGGCTCACACCTGTAATCCCAGCACTTTGGGAGGCTGAGGTGGGTGGATCACGAGGTCAGGAGATCGAGACTATCCTGGCTAACACAGTGAAACCCCATCTTAACCAAAAATACAAAAAATTAGCCGGGCATGGTGGCGGGCACCTGTAGTCCCAGCTACTTGGGAGGCTGAGGCAGGAGAATGGCGTGAACCCAGGAGGCAGAGGTTGCAGTGAGCCGAGATCATGCCACTGCGCTCCAGCCTGGGCAACACAGTGAGACTCTGTCTCAAAAAAAAAAAAAAAAAAGAAAGAAAGAAAGAAAAAAAAAAGAAATGGCACTGCGTGTTTGGGGGAAAATAATAAGAAAAGCTAACTGAGCCGGGCGTGGTGGCTCACACCTGTAATCCCAGCACTTTGGGAGGCCGAGACAGGCAGATCATGAGGTCAGGAGATCGAGACCATCCTGGTTAACACGGTGAAACCCTGTCTCTACTAAAAATACAAAAAAAAAATTAGCCGGGTGTAGTGGCAGGCACCTGTAGTCCCAGCTACTTGGGAGGCTGAGGCAGGTGAATGGTGTGAATCCAGGAGGTGGAGGTTGCAGTGAGCCAAGATTGTGTCACTGCACTCCAGCCTGGGCGACAGAGCGAGACTCCTTCTCAAAAAAAAAAAAAAAAAAAGAAAAGAAAAGCTGACTGAATTGTAAGTTTCAAAGATGAGGGCACTGGGAAAGGCACGACTCATTTACATGCTAAAGAGGTAAGATTTAGAAGGTCCTGCTATATAATGGCTAGGAATATTGCTAGACTAATGGGAGTTGCTGACAGTAAGCAGGAAGTGTCAAGATCAGATATAACTTTGGGATGTTCTCTTAGTAAATGTGAAGAAGAAATTGCACGTGGGGAGCAGCATGAGTGGAGATGGAGAGATCAGTTAGAAAACCATGCTTAAGATAGAAACAGTAAGAGCCCTATGGGAGGAGGCAGCAACATGGAGAGGAGGAGAAGAATGAGCACAAGAGAAGGGAAGGAAGAAGAAGCAACAGAATTTGGTTCCTGACTCATTCAGTGGTCATGGATGACCCTTAGGGTTGTAGTTTAAATGACTCTCCAAGTTGGTAGTAGGGGATTGAGACTTTTAGGTAAAGAGATTAATGAACTAAATTTTGGACTATATTGAATTTGAGATTGTGCTAACAGTGTCAAGTTGAGTTTTTTTAGAGAGAAATTGTGTGTTCCCACATCTCTATATAGCCAACCCCAAAAAATGGGTTGGCTATATAGAGATGTAAGAACTACATAGCCAACCCCCCAAAATGGGTTGGCTATATAGAGATGTAAGAACTATCATTACACATAAAGGTGGTTAAGACACAGAATTGGATAAAATCACACAGAGAGTATACAGTAAGAATGAGAGATTCTCAAACACAATCTTTGGTAATACTAACATTTTAAAGTTGTCAGAGAAAGAGGATAGTGGACACTGTGATTGACTGCCCAACTTCCCTTCCACCTTACTACAAATGATCAGAACATATTAATCATGATAATATCATTTCCTCTGCTAGCAACTAGGAGAGATATGGACCCAGTCAAGGCCAAAGATAAGTATGGTGGGAGACTTCTGGGGAATTTTTCTTTGTTTATAGAAACAGAAAAAACCTGACCTTTAGTGAAATTGCTGAACTAATCTATCAACCAGATCCAAAGCCTGTCCTGCAGATTTTGGACTTTTGGTTATATGAGAGAATAACTGTCTTTAATGTATGAGACTATTTGAGTCAAGATTTCTATTACTTGAAGTGGAAAACATGCTGATAGAAAAAAAATGTATCCACACTAGAGATGGAAAAAAATCATTAGAATGGAAATGGGAAAAGTGTGCTTTTATTGAAACCAAGAGAATAAACTTCAATATGGAAAGACAAGCTTAAGAGATACATTATCTGACCTATGAAGGCACTGCATGTGTGTATGTGTGCTTATATAAAAACATTATTTATGCTGATATATAGTTCTATGTATCTCAATTTAGGCATTCTTGTGCTATCACTTTTGATCATTGTATTAAAATATTCATGATTAAGAATAATAAAAATCCTAAATACTTGCCTGTTCTCTCTCTACAGTAGAACCTGATGCTTGACATATAGTTTGCGGTAAATATTTGTAAAATGAATGCAAACTGGTTCCAACAAGGTAAGGTGTTTTCTTTTAGCCTTATTTTTAAAAAATTGAGTGACCAGTTTTATTTTTTATTAGTTACTATAACAGATCCTCTCTCAGTTACATTCAAGACGTATACACTTTAAAATTCAGGAATGTTATATGTTTCTGGGAACATGATTTGATTTTTTAAGTATTACCACATAAAGTTAGTATTATGAATGACATAGCACAGATTTGATGGTATATCGATGTAAATATATACTTATAGATACAGCATAATGCAAATGATTTGTTTCACCATTCTAAAGCATTACCACAGAATAAGATGAATCCTACAGGGATTAGCAAAGGATTTACAAGGCTAGACAACTCTAGCTGTACAAGGAACCAAGAAATCTAACAATACCTTTTCCACAAAAGATCAGATTAATAGCAGAAGGCAAGCCAGAACATGTCATCGCTCATCACTCATTCTTTTGTAAAAAAGAGAAACTCTACCTCCTTTAAGAAATGTTCACAAAGTAGCAAAAAGTTCAGGTCAACAGCAAAGTACAATTATTTTGTAGTGTAGACTGGTGGGGCAATTTTAAGAAGCTTTTCTAAAGTTTTATAAACCAAGACTAAAATTTCAAAGTCAATATCATCTATAACTATAGTAAGATCCCTGAGGTTAAGGCTCATGCTATAGTTCTAGAATGCTACTACTCAAAATGTGGTCCAGGGATGAGCAGCATTGGCATTACATGGTAAGATATTGAAAATCAGATTCCTGGGCTACACCTAGACTTACTGAATCAGAATTTGCATGCTGACAACATCCATCAGTGCTTGGTAGACACATTACAGTTTGAGAAGCACACTTCTAGAGTATCCTCCATTTGACCTCTGGCTTGAGTTCTCATTGAAATAATACAGAGCCCATCATTCACAAAAGCTAGTCTCAGAATTCGAGTGCAATGCTTAATTGCTCATTGTGCACAAGGGGGCTCCAGCAAAAAGCCAATAGTCTGACTCAGGACAAAACAATGTTATGAGAACAGCCTTTATGAAGCAGTATGAAAAATATTGGATATAACTTTTAATACTTAGACAGAAATTTCTGTGATCCTACTGCACATTCTAGCATATAGGGTAGAGGAAAGAGAAGAGGAAATCAATTTGCAATTTTATAATTATAATATTAAGTGGGGCAAAGAGAGTTAAAAGATGTCAGCCCTCAAGCACAGAGGCAGCAGTTAGTTGTGATTTTTTTATAAGACTCCCAAAGGCTTGTCTTCAATAATTAACTTGTCTTTGCAAATCCCTATTCAGAAAGGCATTTAATAAGTGTTCTTATAGCTGATGTAGTCTAAATTAAGGACAGATTACTGGTGTGTGCATTTTTCATTTTTCTTTTTTTTTTTTCTCTTGTTTCCAATGTCAAGAATGGCAAAATTGTCTGCTTCTAATTTATATAGCTAGGGTCAACATAGTGTCTGGTATATGATGGAGCTCAATATGGAATGAGTAAATTCAAACAAAAATAAATTTTCTTTTCTCCTGTTGAGTAATTTATGATTTAGATGTGGATACTACCAAGGTTCAACATGGAACTCTACTTGCTGTATTCCCAGTCACCCATTGAACCCAAGAGTTTCCTAAGTTACTAAATACTAAGCAGTACTTACCAATTCAAACAAGTATTGGGGCATAATAAAAATGTCCTTAGACTTTCCCGTGTATTAAACCAACCTACTCATAACAGACTCTGTAGTACTCATGATGACAGAATTGTGAATGAGGCCCTTTCCTATGTGTTGAGCAATTAGGTTGCTTCCAAACAACTGAAGATAAGCTCAAAACAAACCATTGGTAAAACAAGCCAGGCAAAATTCAATGTAATCTTCTTCCTATTTCTTTATCACTTTTATTTCTTCATAGAATACTACATAACATTTCGTCTCTGGGGGAATTTAATCTGCTCTTTTTTTTTTTCCAAAACAACTTCAAGAAGAAAATCTTCCATACAAACATTAGCTTTTCTTTTTATTATTATGGCTCAATTTATCCAACTTTAATTACTTTAAAGGCAAAGTACTTTCTGTCCAAGATAAGAGACTTGTTCAACTCTCATTTGGTATTCTCTGCATAACTTTTTGAGACCGAAAAAAAAAAAAAAAAAGATCACCCTAATTTACAAAGGAGAACGTCACAAGGCATGGTAAGGTTGAACTGCTTGGCCGGGAGGTAGGTCAGAGGCAGGTGGGAGAATAGGGCCTGAGTCTCCTATTTTCTACCTATTTGTACCACATCTTTGTATCTTTACTATTTACCAAAATTATACAGACTACCATTGGTGTTCAATTCTCTCTGAAAAGGACTTGTTGCAGAAAGCATTTATTTTTCTTTTTGAATACAGTATCAGTTTTAGAAAAAAACAAAACAAAAACAGGCTGGGTGTAATGGCTCATGCCTGTAATCCCAGCACTTTTGGAGGCTGAGATAGGAGGGTCACTTGAGCCCAGGAGTTTGAGACCAGCCTGGGCAACATGGTGAGATGCTGTCACTATAAAGAAATTTAAAAAATCAACCAGGTGTGGTGGCATATGCCTGTGGTCCCCAGTTACTCAGGAGGCTGAGGAAGGAGAATTGCTGGAGCCCAGGAGGTTGAGGCTGCAGTGAACACTTCAGCCTAGGTGACAGAGTGAGACCCTGTCTTTAAAAAAAGAAAAAAATGGCCCAAGTAAGTTGTAATAAATATGTGCCTAGTATCAATCTTCTTAATAGCATAGTCAGAATAATTGTAGTTGTTCTGGTACCTGCTTAATTACATTTAAATATGCTTAACCCCAAAAGCCAACAATAGAAAACACACAAAGTGAAGTCCCAGGCAGTCATGTATTCACACTTTGTACTTCAGAGTTTGTGAGATAAGCCATAAAAATGCACAAAGCAAAATGCTGGAGGAAATTCAACATATACATGATTGATTTATTAAGCTTTTGTTTTTATTACATTTTGGCACACTTCCTGTACATGCCTCTCAAGATTCTTATAAGGAACAAAGAGAAGCATTCTTTGCTTGGTATTCTTTATAATAGTATTTACAGACTAAAAATGTTCATTTGATTGGCACTGTAGCCATCTATTTTAAAAATAATGCTCAGATCCCCTTCGCAGTTTTAAAAAGCTACTCAGACAACTTTGATGCACAAAGTTTGAAAAGTACTGTCCTAGATGATAACACAGAGATATAGATGCACCATACAAAGCACCGCACACTCACAAACAAAATATGGTTGCTATAAATCACCCACAAAATTTCATTTTACCCCTGTATCTCAGAGAACAGAACTTTCAGCATCTCTTAGGAAAGGAAAGTATTTTTAGAGGTTTTATCTGCAGTTATGTTTACCTTTTGTTGGAACATCCATTATCACCGTCGGACTCCTGACAATCCACCCACAATCTCTATCTCCAAATTGCCTCATCTTCTGTTCTCATACAAGGTTTTTTCTAAAAGCCTTCCTTCCCATTTCTACCTCGCTGCCCCCAGACCTTTTTCTCCTTTCTGTCTTTGAATCACTGGGTATATTCAACCTTCTGTGATTAGAACAACTGTTCTTCACATTCTCTTGATCTTTTATAGCTCAAAGCTAATTTCATAAGAAAACAAAACAAAACAAAAACCCTCCAATTTACAGAGCACAGTTTGTGATATGCAGTTCAGTAAATATGTTGACTCTGGGTTTATTGAAGAGAATACCACAAAACTTCAAGCTTGAAGTTAGCTTATTTTTATCTTTTGACTTCATGACCTTTTTATTTTTATTTTTATTTTGTAGCAGGGCCTCACTCTGTCACCCAGGCTGGAGAACAGCACAATCACAGCTCACTGCAGCCTTGACCTCTTGGGCCAAAGCAATCCTCCTGTCTCAGCTTCCTGAGTAGCTGGCACCACAAGTGTGCATCACCATACCTGGCTAATTATTTCTTATTTCTCGTAGCGACACAGTCTCACTCTGTTTCTCAGGCTGGTCTCAAACTCCTGGCCTCAAGTGATCCTCCCATCTTGGCCTCCCAAAGTGCTGGGATTACTGCCTTGATAATATTATAGCCAATGATAATATATTTTTAATGCACACACTAACTCTTTCAATCAACATTCTATCCCATTCCATTGTCTTTAACTGACTTGACTGATTTTGTCATGTAAACTGCCATTCAAATCATTACTATTGTATGTCATTAAACTACAAAATTGTAAGGTGGCCATCAGGCATATTTGTAAAACAATCAATATACCTATGTTAAGGATAAAGATTTTATAAGTCCTTCACACTAATTCAATAAAAATGATTGATTTCAATCTATACTTGTCACATCAAGCAATTAATTAAAAGTCCAGTCACATTATCTTCTCACAGTATCTTAATCACAATTTTGTAAAGTGGCAGTTCTTTTAACCACTGTTCGTTTATTTGTTGTTATAGTCAAAGTACCCATTATATTGTCCTCCAGGATGTTGCAGGGGAGAAAAGACAGATTAAGACACATTCTCGCCCTCAGAGGTTCTAGTAGCCTCAATATGTCCATAAAACTTCATTAGAGTCCTGGCTACTTGACAAAAATGCATGTTCTTCCTCAAAAGGGTCATGAATAATGCCATACACTTCACTTCTAAAAAGTAACAGGAATCTTATTTATAATACACCATGCGAAAATAAAATTAGCTAACTCATATTCAGCTGCATGTGGGCACCTGCAGGTAGCAATTACCAGTTGTCTATAAAGTATGACTTATAGTGCTCATTATTCTTATAATACATATTTTTATAAGTCATCAATAAAGGAAAAGAAAACTAGAGCTCAACTTTTCAAAAAACTATACACAATAGGTAAAACATTATGCAATATCACAATCAAGGGGTCAAATTACTATCCACATAACACCAATTTCATTTTACCATTTCTGTCCAGATTAAAATGTGAGAGATACGGAAAGAAAACACCACATTCATAAGGGATACTTAACACACAATGTTTCGCTAACATGGGTGCATCTTCCCATTCCATTCCTATTCCTACAGAAGAGCCAGACACTGACAGGATCAGAATGCCACATTACTAAGAGGCCAACTCAAAAATAACAAAAAGGAAGGCTTGGCCATGCTTGGTGAAATGTTATAAGCCCATTTTAATGTTTTGTGGTAAAAATTTGAAACGCACACATAAGAGAGTGTTGTATAATTTACTACTCTGTACCCATTAGTTGGCTTCACTGAGTATCAACACCAGGACAATCTGCTTTGTCCATACTGTTCCCAAACCCCACCCCCAAGCCCCATCCTATATCTACTGAATTATTTTAAATAACTGAAATAACTGCTTAAATATTTACCTTTCACATCTTTCAGAAACACTTAGGTTGACTAAATATCATCTAATATAGAACAGAAAACTATGGCACTTATCAAAAGCCAAAGAGCTTGACTAAATTACCTGAGCTCCTGCTGCATCAATTATTGAGCAGAAAATGCTACCACCTTGGCTTGGTTGATGTCAGGTCTTAATAATATCTTAGGTGTTGCACGATCAGAGCAGTTCCAAGAAGAATGATCCTTGCCCTAAATCATGTCTTCCCATGCCCATTCCCCAAATCGGCCTTACTAACTAAATTTTCACTATAAGAATTATTCATCTGGGCTTTGTAAACTGAACTCTAGGAAGGGGTAACACTTTAAGCAACTGTCAATCATGCATACCAAACCTCAAATTTGGCTTTTATGGGTAACAGCTAGTTAAGCATGATGAAGAAAAAAAGAGTTTCAATTTGTGGAAGGTATTAGGAATATAACTGAAACAGGTAATGTGAGGAAACCAGGTACCTTGTGCACAAAAAGAGGTGGGTGGAGGAGGGCTGCAAAGGCTATTCAGTTGCTTAACCTACTCTAGGCTCTATCCCAACAGTAAGTGCAGATACTCTAAAATAACAGTTGAAAATACAGTGAGGTTTTGAGATAACAAAGCCACCCTAGAACAATGATTCTCCAAGTGTTTTAAGAGGATCACTGGCACAGAAGCAACTGGGATAATGTTTTAAATTATCCAGGTTTCTGGGCCCTGCCTCATCCTTAATCTGAACCTCTATCGGTGTGATCTAAGAATCTGCATTTTATAGCAAGTACTTCAGGTGATTCCTACAATGCCAAAGTGTAAGAACCACTGCACTAGAGGGTATTAATATTTTTCCTTCAAGGCCCAGAATTCTCACCTTGAAATCTGTCACATACATACATAATATCATATTTCTCAATTAAATATTTGATTGTGGTAATTATATCCTGTTATTAAACAAATATTACCATTTGCAAAGTGCTATCTACCTTGAGATATGCAAGCAAACCATATAAATATTCTGCCTTCCAAGTCCTTATAGTCCCAAGTTAATCAACCATGTCATCAAATTGAAACATTAAAAGGTAGGAAAAAAATCACCATCAAGAAACAAAGAAGCTGCTATACTCAAAGGTATTCTTTAACAACAGGTAAATTCTCTGCAAGCCCAAATCAACATAACCCTGAGAGCTTTTGACTTTAAGACAACCCAAGGAGGAATAGGGCAGAGAGGACAGTGGGCTGAGAGCAGGCAGGAGGTGAGAGGAGGAGGACGGAATGAAAACATCAGTGCTGAACACTCATTCTGATTTGAGTCCTAATAGAAAGCACACTACATCACAGGGAACTCGCTTTCTTAAAGAGGGTGTATTTTTCTTTCCAAATGACAAACCACAGTGCTGACAAAGTGAATGTATTTCTTCAAGTAATGAACAGCACCTAGAAAATGAAAACTTGGCCGGGTGCAGCGGCTCACGCCTGTAATCTCAGCATTTTAGGAGGCCGAGGCAGGCAGATCACTTGAGGCCAGGAGTTTGAGACCAGCCTGGCCATGATGGAGAAACCCTGTTTCTACCAAAAATACAAAAATTAGCTGGGCGTGGTGGTGCACACCTGTAATGCCAGCTAGCTGGGAGGCTGAGGCAGAAGAAATGTTTGAACCCTGGAGGCAGAGGTTGCAGTGAACCGAGATTGTGCCACTGCACTGTGGTCTGGGCCACAACAGTGAGACTCTGTCTCAAAAAAAAAAAAAAAAAAGAAAAGAAAAAGAAATGAAAACTTGTCCTTTAAAAGAGGACACAGTTTGAGACCAGCCTGGGTAACATAGTGAGACCCCAAGTCTACAAAAAAAAGGAAAAAGAAAATTGAAAAATAGCCAGGCTTGGTGGTGCAAACCTGTAGTCTAGCTACTGGGGAGGCTGAGGCAGGAGCATCGCTTCAGCCCGGGAGTTTGAGGTTGCAGTGAGCTATGATTGCACCACTGCACTCTTTAGCCTGGGTGACAGGGTGAGACTCTGTCCATTATGCAGGGAAAAAAGAGGATACATTTTAACATCTCCCCAAATGACTACAGGATACCCCAAATGACTACAGGATACCCCAAATTTAAGCAAAATAATGGAAAATACTTTGACCAGAACTTCTGACCAGCTAGAAAAGTTTTAGCTCAGGTGACAAAGCTGTCTGAAGCCTCAAGAATGAATTGATGGTAGCCTAGGTACTAGAGCTACAGGGACAGTTCATGTAGTTACAGCCCCTGTAGCAGCAACTCTTGGGCCACAAGATGCAAATACTTACTCTTGCTTCATGGTAACATATCACACTAACAAACAGATGCCAATAATAAGCCCCTTGATTGAAAACACATTAGAAAAAAGAGTATGTGGAAGCTAACAAGTGGCTCCAGTGCTGGACAGACCTGAGTTATATTCTAGATCTTCCGTGTTCTAACAGTGTGGCCCTGGTCCTCAGGATAACAGTGGCACGAACTATATAATCGTTGCCAAAGCTCAATGACGTATCTATGTAAAACATTTGGCAGAATATCTGGCATTAAAGAAAGCTCTTGTCGGGCATGATGGCAGATGCCTATAGTCCCAGCAACTTGGGACACTGAGGCAGGAAGCCCGCCTGAGGCCAAAAGTTTCAGGCTGCAGTGCGTGATGATTGTGCCTGTGAATAGCCACTGCACTCCAGTCTGCGCAACATAGGGAGACCCTGTAGGAAGAAGGAGGGAGGGAAGGAGGGAAGGAAGGGAAAGAAAGAAAGGAAGAGAGGGAGGGAGAGAGAGAGAGAAAGAAAAAAGAAAGAAAAGAAAGAAAGAAAAAAGAAAAGAAAGAAAAAAGAGAAGAAAAGAAAAGAAAGAAGGAGTAAGAGAAAGGGAGGAAGGAAAAGAAAAAGGAAAATAAAGAGGGAAAGAAAGAGAGAAAGAGAACAAGACAGAAAGAAAAAGAAAAGGAAAGAAAAGGAACGAAGGAAGGAAGTAAAGAAGGAAGGAAGGGCGGGCAAGCAAGCATACTCTCTGGTTCAATTACTTATGCATACTTAACTCTGTAATATGTGACCTTATATAAACTTATATTAATATATATTTGTAATTTACCATCCATTTATACTCTCATACATAAACAATCAGCAAGTAGGTTGAATGGATTCTGTTGACATGCTGCTCTTTAAACTTTTTAAATTTAGTGTTTATCATCAGAGGACTTTGGCATACAAAGAGTAATTCTGTAAATTAAATAACGGTCATTAGCCAAAGAAATCTAAACTCTGAGAAAATGCAACTTATAAATTTAATTCTCTGCCAGAATTTGCTATGAAGTTTTTAATAAAGGGAACAACCATTAGTTACAATCAATAATAAAACAGTAGAGGTGACATTTATTGATCATTTCCTAAGTACCAGAACTATGCAAGCACTTTATATGGATTGTCTCACTAAATCCTCATAATAGCCCCATAAGGCCAAGGTCTATTATTAATACCATTTTACAGATTCAGAAACTGAGGCTTCTCAGAAAGTTAAGTAAATTTTCTAAGGTCACATGAGCAAGAGGCCACCCAATGTGAATCTGGAGTTTGGGCTGTTGATCACCAAGCTACAGTGCCTGGAACCCAGGACTGAAGCTCAGTATCTCTTTACTCCTCATCCACTCTTCCTTCTACAGACCACAGAGCCTGGGATAGGCATTATCAACATAATTCAGTTTATTAGAAACCAGAGGCAATAATCCCAAGATATCTCATATTCTCCTTTTGAAGTTCTCCACTTCTACAACAGAATTTGGTCTTTACAAGCTGTTTCCCAGGTGTCCAGAGCCCAAGAAAAATTCCAAGATGAGATGTTTGTCCAAGGTCAAGACATTCTTTGGATAGTGCCTACTGAGATCATCATCTCGGTTTAGGTGACAGTGAGTCTTATATATGCGTTATTTTTCCCAAGTAATGTGATACCTTGATTTCTCTTTAATAAACATTTCCAGAAAGACCAAAAAGAATGATTCTAACAGTGAGAATTTCAAGCCCTATGACTAGAAGTAATGGAGATGTTGAGTTAAAAATACAAAAGTATAAGAGGGAACCAAATGGATACAGCAAGGTCTGTAAGCAAACCAAACACATATCATAATTTCTTGTGATCTGTTTTACTCATAAAAGACATACATTGGATGTTTATCCAAAACCTAAAAACATGATGCTTTAATATAGAGATGGGAGTAAAACCTTGATGGACATCAAAGCTCCAAATAGTAGGTCTATCTCAGTAAGAGTTCACTAGAGCATGGAGATACTTGCTCACAACAGGGGCAATGTGAGGGCAGCAGGTTCAGTCTGACTGGCCATTGACAGTTTATGACAGGCATGGTAGGTGCAGCTTTCTTTATGCATAGCCAAATTTAGAGAAATTAAAGGGTTCACTTTGTCTCTGGTATTTTTCATGCATCAATTAATTGAAGTTTACTCCCATAAGGATTTGATTATAATAAAGACTTATTGGGTAGGAAAAGGCTTTTTTCCCCCCCAGAATGTAATTACTTTTGAATATTGCAGCAAGAAGTCCATCTGAAGAGTGGAATAAAATGACATTAGTTACTAAACAAATGTGTTTGGGATACTGAGAGAATGTATCAAAACCTCATCTATGAAGTATTCTTGTTGAAAATATTAAAATAATAGAATCCCTCAGATTCAATTTCTAGTTTGCATGAAGTATGGGGGATGGAGGAACAAATTAAAAAATACAACTAGGATGAAATAAGAAAAATGTAGAATACAGAACATTCTATAGGACCCCTGGTCAAATTTCATCAATATCAATGCCAAGAAACAGAGAGGAGGGAAAAGTAGAAATTGTTCTAAAATTTAAGTCTTGAGAGATATAACAAATGCAATGAGTGGAAACTGACTTGAATTGAGATTCAAACTAGCTACAGAGGGCATATGTGAGCCATAAGGGAAACTTGAATGTAAACTAGGGATTAGAGCATATGAAGGGATCATTATAACTTTTCTATGTGTGAATATTGTTGTAGTTATCTAAAAAAAACTCCCTTTTTTAGACACGTATATGAAGCATTTAAAAGCAAATGATATGTCTAAGATTCATTTTGTAATATTTCAGCGCTCTCTACCCCCAATGACAAAATAGCAATATGGCAAAGTGTTGAAGCTTGCAAGATGGGATTTATTAAATCATTGTCTCCACTTTTGTGCGTGATTTTTATAGTAAAATGTTTTCTTTAAATAGAGATAATCTAGAATTCCAAATATATAAAACTATTATACATAGTGTTAATCAACATGAATTATAAAATGCATGACCTTTAAAAATTATAGCATAAAAGATATATATATAAATTATATTTTTGAAAGAGTTGACATTTTACTTGCAGACTAAAAAAATTCACTCATCTCATTTGCCTAATATTTTATATTAAACATTAATCTTTTATTTCATCTACCAAGATATATTTTGTCTTTAATATTTTAGTTCTTGAAGACTAATTTTTGTTCAAATTAAGCATTAGCAATTGTTCTTCTGGAAATTACAAGAGACCATATTTTTCATCAGGGAAAGAACCGGAAGTTCTTCCTGATCAAGATTCTGAATTCAACCTTACATTTACTGGCATTTCCAAAGCTATGACATCTTCAATTCCTTATGCTACAAAATCCTTTTGGCAGAGGAGGATCCAGAGGTACAATGAACACCCCAAGTCCTCATTTCCTCCCACTCCAACTCTTTCAGAATATTCCAGTTTCTTTTGGACCCCATAAATTTCCAGCATCTGTATTAAAAAACTCTGAAATAAGTTAGACTATTTTTAAAAAGCTCTTTTTTTTGATTTTACAAAACCTCCAAACTGTATTTTCCAAGCACAATTAAATATATTGCGATCTCAAGCAGATCAAACAACCTATTGTGGTTTACACAGTAAAATGGCGAATATCACTGTGTGGGGCAGGTTCAAATTTGTCCAGCCAGCCCTCAGAAACAACTTGCTTCTGCAGCCACCTGGATCAAGTTTCTCCACCCAATTAAGTATTCATACTCACAATAAACCCCCCAAACCTATTTTCTCAGAAGAGCACAACAGAAGAGAAAAAAGGACTGGGTGATTATTTTATATTTTTTAAAATATAAAAAATAAAACTGATGAGAGTGCTCACTGATGCAGGAAAATATGCAAATACAGTTATTTCCTTCCCATCCAGTTGTATTATTTTACTAACAAAAAAGTGCTGTTCTTCTATAACAGCTATTAAAATGATTCTGCTCCTACAAGGGAAGCAACTCAGTTAACATCAGCACCCTTTAAAGGACTATGCAAATGACACATAATGCAAACAAAATCACTCAAGAAAATCCCAAAGTGACTCTAGAAAGCTTACCTGGGAATAACAACTTTGGCTATTTCCGAACTTCTATTAAAGAGAAAGATGTGGCTGGGGCATCTTTCCAAAGTTTGGGGACTCAAAAATGTGTTATGATGTGAACCATATACTCCAAACATAAACACAATTCACTGTATATTAAGCTACCTTTAAGTTTCACGGGCTTCTGAAGAACCTCCAGTTTTGCCAGGATTAAAGGCTCTGGATTTTAGCAGATGCAGACATGACTCTGCTTCTAATCAGAATTAAATACTTGTGTGACCAGGAGTATCCCAGTAAAATCCACGATATTTGAAACTAGTAGTATGATGCTTATTGGGTCAAAGCATAATGTTGATTGAGATTTTAATTTCTGATGAATAAACTATAAAGAAAATTTACAAGATTCAAGGTCCAGAAGGAGGTAAACTAAAAATTTCACAGGTCTGAAGTTCGTGCCCAGTTCTCTCAAGGCCTCATCTTGAAAGTTCTTACATCCAAATTTTTTTTAAAAGGACATTTTCCCATTAGCAGTGAAAGCAGTTACTTTGCAAATACTACGTGGGAAAAATATTTTATTTATAATTCATAATCCCTAATTTATGAAATGTGAAATATATTAATTTGTTGTGAAAATAACCACCATTATAAAATGGCATTTATTCACACATCCATCCAGCATTTAGAAATGGGTTGTTCAAAGAAATGGTAGCTGTTTAAGATGATGGATATGCTAATTACCCTGATTTTATCATTACACAAATATATACATATATGGAAACATCACATCGTGCCTTCTAAAATACGTACAATTATTATGTATCAATTTTTCTAAAAAGAAAGAAATGGTTGTTTAAAAACTTGTATGAAACTTGGTGCTTTGGTGGGGGGTATATATTTGTTTACTTTAACAATAATCACTGCCAAAAATTAATGCGTCACAATGGCATAATAATTATGAGTTAAAAGAATCATACCACCTAAACATATTCACTTAGAAAAAAATCAAAATGAAATAGGTTAGCATTTAGAATACTCGTAACATTGAGCCACTCAAATAAAATTTCTAAAGGTAATGACAAGATTTCTATACATTTATCCCAGATGAAGCTATAATAAATAGGAAACCAATGAATCCAGGTACTATCTAAGTATGCCAATCTGAAAACACACTTAGGCATATTTCAACAAATACTTTAATGCAGTATCTGTTTTCCAATAATAAATGAAAAGAACAGCAAAGAAAACCATCAAGAATTTATATTTAAGTGTAATTTTTCTTAATTTTCAATTGTTCAGAGTGAAAAAGTAATAACCATTCTCAATGTAAAGAAATAGCCAACTAGTAAATTAGACTTCAAATTTTACCAAAAAAAGCAAAATGTTACTAAACTCCTAGAGAATTAAGAGTAATGAAGATATTAAAAGGATTTAGCTATAACAGTCCTATAATGTTTTTTAAAAGCTACTTAATACTTTAAAAAGTCTATAATGACAATGTATTTTTCCAATAGTAAGTTGAATAGGAATCCACATTCCTATTTAGCTTAAAATGCCTCTGGACTTCCTTCTAAATATAGATCTAATATTTGAACATCAAAATAGTAAATACAGTCTTCAAATATTTAAAAAGGAAACTCCAATTACACTTCTTTGATTAGAACTGTGAATTTTTTTAAATAGAAGTCTAATAATACTGTAGTCTTTAGGCAACTATTAATTTAGAATGTTTTACTTTGGGTGGGACTTCAGACCATTCTTTCAGCCAAGTGTTTTTCTTTTCTCTAAGCTACAAAAACCACTTCATGACAATTACATCACTATAGTCTGGTGATTTTCTAAGTTTCATTCCAAACTGGCCAGATGTGAAATGCAATGTGCTGTGATGCAGATGCATTGAAAACACCAACAATGCCAAATGATTTCAGGCTTTTGGTAAAAATTATTCTCCAGAAGCTCACCCAACAAGCTTGCAAAGTGAATCTCATTTTTCATTATTTCCGCTTTGCAGGGTAGAGATGCTTACTAAACCAAGAGAGCCGCTTTTGGAGGAAGACGGGAGTCAGGGAATGAAGGGAGGGGGCAACTTGATATCACGAGCTATGTTTAAAATGGAAAACCAGCACTTACCCTCTCTCTTAGGACACACACTCCAACAGCATCCATGGCACCTGCATATCAGTATTTTTGAACTGCCTTGAGTTTTAGTCCACAAAATGGCAACATGAGTAAGAGCCAGACAGGAAGCATAATAAGCAATGGCCAATGCCAAGTTCACTTACCTACAAAAGGAAAAGCAGAGGTTTAAATCTCTCTAATCATGAAGGCACAATTACCTCTTCACATCTCTACTAATTAGCTTTGACTTAAAGCAGATTATGTGACAAAGAAAAAGACAAATATAACTGTGTGGCCTTTAATAACACTGCTTGAAAATAGAAGGTCCCTTCCCCCACCTACAATCTATAAATTCTTTGACAGATACAAGTTAATTAGATGCAGAAGTAGAATATTTTCTTTATGGTGAGTTCATAAACAATTGATTGCTCTTCAGTTTGTTGAAGACAATAAAACAGGTGATTGAACCAGGAATCGCTTAAGATCTTGAGGATGTTTCCCAGGAAGTGTCTAATGATTGTTGCTGGATCAGTTGCAACTCTTTCTTTACAGGACTAAATGGTGCTAGTTATTGCTGGGAGTTTGCCAATGTAGTTCTAGGGCAACTGGCAGCTAAAAAAGCCGTAAATAGAGCAGCAAATACCATCACTGTTCACTACCCTGCAGTTTTCTGCCCTTAAACACTTTGGTGTGCACATCCTCAAAAGTATATTTTAAGACAAACATTCCTCTTGTCTTGAGACATAGGAAATATGCAAAATAGTGAAGCACCAAGGACATATAACTAGCAAAAAAAAAAGTCAACATAATCTCCTCTAACTCTAGCACAACTAGTATGCATGAGCTCACATATTGTGTCAAATACCAAAGCATTTTACATGTACAAATTCACTTAATATTTTAAACAATTATTTGAGGCATAAACTAGTAGTATCCTCATTTTTTTTGTAAACAAGGAAGAAAAAGAAGAGTTAAGAAACTTGCTGAAAGCCACATGTTCAAGAATGGCAAAGCTAGAATAAAGATATGTGTGCTTTGTGGGATTCATATAATGTCTGTATTTTGTGTATTATTGTCAACTCAGATTTCATAGATTCATGAGTTAAGACATAAAGTTCTTTCCCTCATGGGATTCATTTTGACATGTTTTTGAAAGACTTGAGGAAGAGTCTGCAATTGTGCACTTCAAAAAAATCAAAATGATAACAGTATGGTTTTATAGCTATTTTCTCCAAGATAGTGAATATTATTCCCTTAGAACAAACTATTAACAATCAGTCTTTGGTAGAAATAAAACGCTTCAGTGGATCAAAGTTTGCAAAGTATCAAATTATTATTTGTCCTTAGATGAATTATCTAAAACCAGTCCCACTAAAGTTTCTTTAAGGATTGTTCATAGGACTGATACCTGATATATAAAATATGAGATAATACACATAACATAACCTTCTATAGTCAATGGCATCAGACCTCCTTTCAAAGCATCCCCACATGGAAGCAGTGTACTCACTCCCCTGTAGTTACCATCTCTCATTTTTTAGAGCTGTCTTCAGACATTATATGAATCCCACAAGGCCATGGTCTCTTTATAACATTTTGATTTTGACTTAAAAACCATATTATTTAGTGGAAGTAGTCCTTCATCTAGTATCAAATAACTTTTTATTTTTGAAAAGTCAAATCTCCCCTTACAAAATATTTGCAATCATTAAGGTTATTGCATAGACACATAGGTAAGTGATAGGTAGACAGAGCTTTCATATATATATCTACATATCAAGGCAAGTATCCCTTGAATACAAATAGTACTTTCTATCGTGAAGACTCTGAAGGGCAAAGTATTCCTTTGAATGTTCTGGCACATGCGTGGTTTTCTCCCTCCACTAATAAACTTATCTTTGGGGCCAATCATATAAGGGATCTGATTCAAAAGTCATTGATTACCCACCATGTGCCAAGTACAATACTAAGCATTTCACCTATGTCAGCTGATTTTAGTTTAGCAAATATCCTCTTTAAAATATAGTGTAATTCTTATTTTACAGATAAACAGATTTAGAAATGTAGCGTCAGAGCATGGCACAGTAGCTCACGCCTATAACAGCACTTTGGGAGGCCCAGGCAGGCAGATCACTTGAGGTCAAGAGTTTGAGACCAGCCTGGCCACAACATGGTGAAACCCTGTCTTTAGTAAAATATATTAAAAAATTCAGCCAGCCATGGTGGCAGATGCCTGTAATCCCAGCTACTCGGGAGGCTGAAACATGTGAATTGCTTGAATCTGGGAGGTGGAGGTTGTAGTGAACTGATATCGCATCATTACACTCCAGCCTGGGCGACAGAGAAAGACTCTGTCTTGAAATAAATAAATAAATAAAATAAAATAAAATAAGAAATGTAGCATCAGAGGTGAAAGCCCACATGGGTCTCCACTGGGATTCCAGCCTATGCCTCTACACTGTAAGACATGCTTTGGGCTGCCTGCTTCCATTTGACTGCATGACTATCTCTGCTTTATAAGGAAAAAGTGATATATGCATCTACAGAGTGAGAAAACATTTTTTTAAGGAGAAAATAGCATTCATCAGGTCTAGTTAACTTCTGTTTCTTATGACTATATTTTAGATCTGTGTACCCCATGTTATTGACTGCTCTGGATATCACTTGAACACCGGTATGAAATTAAGCAGGCATATTCATGAGCCAATTTTATTTCAAATAGAAATGGTCACAATTGTTTAATCCTTATTTATCTCCTTTCTACTCTCAATTTGTCAGCAAGAGAATGTTGGCCAATAAAAAACAGGTCTGCAATGGGTATTTTGTTACTATGACTTACTATGACTTTAACTTTTAGCCGTGAAAGGATAAAAGAGGAATATGACAAGAAAATGAATGCGACTACAAAACTGAAAAGGCAGCTCCAAATAATTGTAGAATTGTGAATTCTACAAGATTAAAAAGTAACTATTGTGTTGGAAGAGCAGTAGTACAATCTGTGCTTTGCCCTAACAAAGTTCCATCTCTGAATTACATAATAAAAGCTATTGGCTAGAGATAAAATAAATACTTAATGTGTCTCACAGAGGGTATCCTTAATAAAAGGATTATTTTATGCAAGTAGCTCTTCATGTGTCTCAGAATATTATTTTCAAAGCATTCACAGATGACTGCAAGTGGCCTCCAGCCTCTTATGACACACATTAAGAGACAAGACCTCAACTCTCTATGGAATACTGAAAGGATAAGCTCAGTTCCACCAGTACCAGAAAGAACTCCTGCTTCCCCCACTTTTCTCGCACTATCAGCAGGACAATGGGGAAAGGCATTTTTTTTTTTTTTTTAAGGAGAGGAGACTTTGCAAATTGTGCAGTACACAGAATATTTTCCTATCTAAAGAGAGATTCAAATGCCTCTGGTAATGACAGAATTTCAGAGACATTTAAAGGTCTCAATTCTTGATGTAAACATTGAGTCAAGATTGAAATAGCTATCCTGAAATTATCTAGGTTTTGGAAACTTTAGCAGCTCTCCACAGAGCACAGAGTGTCCTTCTTCACTGTGGCAACACTCAGGGAATCCCCTTTCCTGGACAAGAGGCACACATCACATGTTTCCAGGAACTTTCGTCTTTTCCATCAATTAAAAAAAAGTACAAGGTGCAGACACCAGTCTGGGTCTTATCTTGTATAGGAAAAGTTCATTTTCATCTCCCAGAAGTCAGGGAAGTAAATAAAACAAAACAAAAACCAAAACCATAAAAACAGAATTGAATAGGGTCATTTTGCATCAATGGTCTTAGTGCAGTCACTAAAAACCAACACTCTCATGTCTTCAGCTGCTTTTACCCCCTGCATCAAACAATGCAAATAATCCTTGAAAAGCCTTTTTAAACTAAAGAATAAAGAATTATAAAAGGAAATGTTCATCCAATTAGTGAAAAAGCACTACTGATTTTAAGTGTTTAAGATACCACCAATTGGGAAAGTATCATGATGTACATGACAGGGGTTATTTTTCATACTGAGGAAATAGAAAAAAGATCTTTCTGCAGGAGAAAAGAAAATTCTTAAGCAAAATCAATTATTCACTGCAGTGCAAGGAAAACGATTTTGCTGCTGGTCCAGGATGCTATCAATTTCCTGGCTTCAGACATTCTTACTCTCTTCATTTAATGGGAAGATGATTCTTTCAAAACCTTATGGCAATCTGGAAAAATTGTCCTTGAGGGAATAAGATTTTTTAGAATATTACTGACTATGGTTCTGATGCAGAACAAAGAAATATTAGCCATAAGAAAACTACTTCTGTGTTATCATTTGGATTAAATATATGCTAATGAACAAGTAGAATTAAGAGCTGCAGGAACGGTTAGAATATAGCAGTAATGGTGGCCTCTATTTCAGGAGACCCAGGGAATTCCTGCCAGGTAAACTCCAAGTAGAAATAACAAGGAAGGCATTATTTTCCATAATTTACGTGATTCATATTTATTTTCATTAAAAACTTGCACTTAGGAACTGCTGAATCATGAACAACTTTAATGTTAAAAACACAGCTGTGTCTCAATGAGGAAAAATAAAAAATTGACAGAAATCTGAATTTGTTTCAAGAGGTTCATACCTTTATTAGTGTTTTTCCTCTCTAAACTACGTGTCTTCCTCCCTCATGAGATTAATAATTGAGGAGAGGAATTCATTCATCTTTGTATTTCTAGCATCTAAAATAGTGATTGATCCATAGGTTATGTTCAATATTGCTCAGTAAATGAATAAAGACACATCTAGGTGTGAGTAGCTATGGTGGAAACAAAGATTATAAGATGTGGTCATTACTGTCAAGGTTAACAAAGTAATTGGGGATATTTAAACATAAAAATCCAACTACCAGTCAAGATTCTACTTTATATGAGGGTGTTTGTTCCAATGGTGTTACTTACTATCCATGGGGGTTCAGACTAATGAGATACCACTCTAGGTTGGCAGTGAGAACCAGGGAGACTTTTTTGAGGAAGTGAAACTCAAAAAGAAGTGAAACATTGAAGGGAGTTGAGTCTTAATATAAGGGAAGTTTGGTTAGAATAGGTGGTTAGTGTGAGTAGGAAAAAAAGAAAAGGTTGGTAAAATATGAGTCCAAATTTGAAAGTCTTATGGCTTCAATTTGACAACAAATCAATCTCTCCCTAAATATACTGTACTGTTTGCCCTCAACATACTGTGAAAAATTAGAGACCCTATCTTTTTAATATCTTTTAAAGTAATGCATAGCATATGGAAGGGGAAACATGTTTAACAGACATTCTTATGCATAGCACTATCTCGGGTAGTCATAAGAAACAAGTAATTATTAATGAATTAAAATAGCCTTACATATAAACAATTGAACCCTGAGCAACATGCGTTTGCACGGAGTGAGTCCACTTATACACGGACCTTTTTCAATAAAAGTTACACTGAGTGGGTCTGCCTCTCCTTCCCCTTCCTCCACCTCAGCCTTTGCTGCCCTTGAGACAGCAAGACCAACCCTTCCTCTTCCTCCTCAGCCTATTCAACCTGAAGACGAGGATGAAGATCTTTATAATTATCTACTTCCTCTCAATGAATAGTAAATGTTTCCCTCCTTATAATTTTCTTAACCTTTTCTGTAGCTTCCTTTATTATAAGAACACAGTATATAAAACATATGCAAAATATGTGTTAGTTGACTGTTTACATTATCAGTAAGGCTGCCCGTCAACAGTAGGCTATTAGTAGTTAAGTTTTGGGGAAGTCAAATTATACACAAGAGTTTTTACTGTGCAGGGGGTCAGTGCCCCGGCCCCCTCTCTGTTCAAGGGGCAACTGATCAGCAGATGGATAAAATAAAAATTCCAAAAAGAAGCAAACCCTATCAGGAGTGATATTTAAAATGTAATAGCCAGTAAAGTTTAGGTATTAAGCAATCAGAATGGCCCAGGTGAACTGGGCTTAGAGTTCACCTGGTTGATTATTGGCTCCAGTTCTAACATCTCCTTTCTCAAAATTACCTATTATCAGCTTTCTGTTCTTTACATTAATCTTGCAGTTGGATCCCCCCATATACATCCTTTAATCCCTTCAAATAAGCTCTTTTCTATTTGAGTTTTCTTGAGTGAGTTTCTCTTCTTTGAAATCTAAAACAAATAGGAAAAACACAAAGCAAATTGATGGCCTATATATATCCCTATCCCTCACTGCATGTCAACGTTATTCTGTGACTGTCCTTTCAGGGGCCTTTCTTCTTCGAGATTGGCAATAAAATGTTCTCCTAATGAAGAAAATAGAACCACTAAAGGATAAAAAACTAGTGAATATGTTTCCAAGTTGCTTCTATGTCAACTTATCTGACTCAAAAGTGATTTAATAAAAATAAACACATAAAAGTGTATCAAATAAGCTGTTTCTCTCATATTTCATATAAAATGACAAATTTTATTGTAGAGAGTTGTGTCTTTGGTTGATAACTAACTAGATCTCTAGGCTCTAAATAAAACTGATAATTTTAAAAAATATACTATTGCCAAAATTTACATACACTATTGCCATCGGATAAATAAATGTGAATATGTTGCACTTAAAGCTAAATAGGCTTAATAATATGTAGGAATACTAGAGCTATACTATAAGAAGTTCTGATCAGGAAACTATATAGGTAATGTGTTATATTAGACATTTTGGGGTGATGCAGGTACAGATACTTCCAAAAGGCATCTGATATCATAGGCAAACAAGGGCAGAAATTATTAAATCAACTTAGCAAATACTTCCCAGTGTTCTTATTACTTAGGGAATGAACTGAGACTGCAGGAAGCATTGACCATAAGCACTCCCCAGTGGTTCTAGCCCCTGCACATTCAGCAGGGTCTGGGCTGGCCTAGCATGAAATGAAGAACCTCCAGGCAAAAATCACAATTTTATAAGAAATGCTATATCCAGAAAGAGGATCTTCATGATTACACAGGAACTTCTCTGGCCTATGAGAAGAAGGGAAATAAGTTTTCAAAATAAAGCAGTGATAGACAAGGCCTAGAATAATGATTAGTTAACTTTAATAAAGGGCTTTAATGTAATTATAAATCATTATTAAAATATATGTGCCTGGGATTTACTTGAAGCTGTTGTATATTATAGTAGTTAACCAGCAGGGTATTTTAGAGCCACCATCATCTCCTTCAACACCAAGTTCCATCCTTGCTCGAGTGCCACCAGGGTTCGTGGTTACAGCCTTGGGACATGAGAAATTGTTATTTCCTCATATTCTACCTTGCTTAGAGTTAGGAATCAAAGAAAGCAGCTAAATAGAGAAAACCAGAAGCAAACAAACTGACAAACATTAAAAGCTAAAATCATGTCATTATACTAGTAAAAACTATTCATTCCACTGGTATCTTTTGGAACCAACTATGTACCAGGCCCAGTGCTAAGTGCTGGATAAACACCAAGTAAATGCATTCTCTTATAATCCAGAGCTTGCAATCTAGTAAGGGAGATAGATGACCTCAAGCAAATAAATCAGTGTGTCACTACCAGTTGTGGTCAATGCTTTGAACAAAATTGACAGGGGCAGGGATAATGTAATAAATAGGGAATTGTGATCCCTATTTATAGGGGATAGAATAATGGAGAATGTAGTAGGGACCTACTAAGTGTGGCCAAGGAGGAGGTGAAATTTATGTGAAGGTCACCTCCCTCCAACAGTCATCTGAGGACTCAATTCCATAACAATGAAGATGTAAATGAAGAACAGTCATAAAATGTTTATAACAGTAGCCCCCAAAAAGAGAAAAAGGTATCAAGAACCTTGGCTGAAATAGAAGAAAAACCTACTTGTAACACAAATCCATGGGACTGAGGGCACAGGTACTGGGAGCCAGGATCTGTTCTGGGAAATCTCATTTAACAGACTTAAAACTACTGACAGTACCCCTGGAAGAGAGAGGGACAGAGTGGTGGGAAAACCACAAGATTGGCATCAGTAGAGCAGCTTCAAGCTTGGTTTTCACTGTAACGTCCTACTTTAATTAGCCAAGTGTCTAATATTTTGAAAGACTGTAGCAACTTACTCCTGTAGACAAAATAATGAGGCTGCTGTTTTGCCAAATATTTTCTCACCATCTCTAACCACTCCCATCAGAAAATGGAGGAAAAAAAAATTAGGAGTAGTTAGTAGTGAGCTCCTATGATCCCAGTTACCCAGAGGATCACTTGAGCCCAGGAATTCAAGGCTGCTATGAACTATGATTGTGCCTGTGAATAGCCACTGCACGCTAGTCTGGGCAACATAGCAAGACCCTACTTTGTACATTTTTTTTAAAATGCACCAACACTCCAAATATGTAGGTTTAGCTGTCACTAAAGGGATCACAGAGCAGAATTTTCTTTTTCCTAAAGAGAAGGGAGACAATGCTCTTCTTAAAACCTCTGTGAAAAATAGCCTCCTTGATCGTTGCAGACTAAGGAAAATACTGTAGAGCCACGTTCCATGGAAAGAGCTTTGGAATGGAGCTGCTCTGGCTTTGAATCCTGGACCTCAATTTATCATCTCTGGGTGGTCTTGGGCAAGTTATCTGACCCACTCTGATTCTTAGTTTTTTCTGTTTGGTTTTTTGACAGTCTCGCTCTGTCACCCAGGCTGAAGTGCACTGGCGCGATCTTGGCTCACTGTAAACTCCACCTCCCAGGTTCAAGCAATTTTCCTGCCTCAGCCTCCTGAGTAGCTGGGACTGCAGACACGTGCCACCACACTGGCTAATTTTTGTATTTTTAGTAGAGTCGAGGTTTCCCATGTTGGCCAGGCTGGTCTCAAACTCATGACCTCAGGTGATACATGCACCTTGGCCTCCTAAAGTGCTGGGATTACAGGTGTGAACCACTGTGCCCAGCCGATTCTTAGTTTTCTTAGCTATGAAACTGGTAGGCTTGTGAAGATGAAATGAGATTACCCATCTATGGCCATACCATCCTGAACATGCTCCATCTCATCTGAAACGAGGTTACCCAGAACATGCACCCTTTGTACAATTTGAATTTGGGGCCACGTGTATGTATTTATTACCTGCCCAAAACAGCTAACGAAATAAAAAGACAGAAAAGTAAAAGCTATAACTACAAGCCTGGCCAAGTCATAACTTTCTAAAACTCAGTTCTCTCATTTACAAAATCTAGAAATAACCTCTCAGGATTGTTGTGGGGACTCACACAAGATGGCACATTTCAAAGTACTTTGTAAACTGTAAAATATAGACCAATATAAGACACTATTATTAAAAAAGAGAGAAAGAGAGAGAGAGAGAGAGACAGAAGTGCGCTCTGTATAAAACAAGATGACTCTCCCAGGGTAGAGACAAATCAGCCACTGGGGCCTCCCTCCCCAGCAGACAGTAAAGGGTAACTGGGAAGGGAAGGCACAGGAACCAGATAACCACCCCACTGGCTAGCTGTGCAAACTCAGCCAAGTTGCTTAACCTCGCTCTGCTCCTATTATGCATCTCATCATAAACATGAGAATAATACTACATCTCAGAGAAGTTGTGCAGTTTAAGTGGCATGACTCACTGGCTTAGCAAAGCCCTGAACAGCAGAAATACTGAATAAATGTAGCCAAAATACGTTAGCACCACGCTACCCTAGAGGTTGGCATGGCTAAAACTTACTCTAAAGCCTGGGGCAAGGACATCATGGAAGAACTTGTTCCATGCTGCCAGAAGTTTCTGGTGTTGTCATCCCATAATTTATGTAAAATGCACCTACTTCTTCTATCTTCAGATGACATGGTGCATATCAGCAAATGTCAAAAGAGAAAAAATAGCAAGCTCCTACTTCCCGGCAGATGAGATGCTCCCAGTGACACGTAGCAGGCCTATACTGTTGCTGCTCTGGCCTCCTTGAGCCACAAGCCCCCTAACGTTACTACAGGAAGCTGGATTCTTCAGATACCTATGAAAGGCACACACCAGGTTTTCTCACTCTTAGCCCATCATAAGAATCACCTGGGGTACTTGTTAAACATCTAGACTCCAGGCTCTACCTCAGAACTCCTGAATCAGAATCTCTAAGAGCCCTGAGAATCTATACCCCAAATGAACCTTAGGATCAGGCCTGTTTAGGATACAGTGTACTCAGAAGCGTAGCTGACTACTAGACACCGATGGTGATTCTTTATCACTTTCCCCTCCCTTCCAACTCCCAATCTCACGGCTTGTGAAACCATTATCTGCAGATTCATAAACACACATACACACTTACTAATTAACTTTAATGACAGGAAAACTATTTTCACCTGAAGACTACCAAGGGCTTGAATACAAATTTTTTTGATGGAAACAGCTTTTAATTATCCAAACCAATATGCAATTCTGGCTTGCGATGCCTGAAGGCATTTTGATAATTCATGACTTACCCAAACTGATAAAAAGAACCCAGCCATGGCGTTGCTGGGAAGCACTGGGAGGCGTCCCCATCTCTTCCTTGGCTCAGATCCCAGTCTCCTTTCTACCTGGTTTCCTTCTGCCTTAGGGATGAGCAATGAAGTTATTTCCCCTTTATAATAAAAGCCTTTTCTGTAGATGCTGGAGAGCACAGTAAGAGAATATTACCCTTGCTTCCCTCCTTGCTGTAGGCTAAAAAGTAGGAAGAATAAAGAAAAAGTAACGTTGCAATATCTATGGAGCTGAGAGGAGCCCCTGGCCTAGACCCAATGCCCCGGGTGAGACATTAAAGAATGACAAGCTCCAGCAAAGAGGCTGAGAAAGTTGCTTTTGTGGCTTGAGGCACTTACTGGAACACAGACTAGCTCCTCTGTCTATCCACTCACCAAATATCTCATAGTGTCCTGTATTTAAGACACTAGACAGGTGTCACAGGAAAAATCCATGTTCAGGCAAAATCCCTGCCCTCCAGGAGCTTATAGCCCAATGCTGGTGGAAATGTTAATCCAAAGGAAGGATAAATGACAATATGTCCCAGAGGTTTGGAGGAGGAAGAAATCATTTTCTGCTAATTGAACTGCAAAATACCTTGGACACATTTATCTTGCCCCAGTTCCTCATTTTGCCAGTAGAGAAGCTGCCTCTCACTCTAAATTCTGATAACCTAAATAGGTTATTGGAGAAGACAAGTGCTTGAAAATGAACTAAGAACAAGCCTCAGCATTCATCCTAGGTTTTCTAATTTCAAATAAGTCAACAAATGTATATTCGACACCTACTATGCTCTAGGCCCTGTTCTAGATACTGGGGACACTGGGCAAAAAGAATAAATCACTGCCTTCAAAGAGCTTATATTCTCTTGTTCATTTTATTACACCTGACCACAGTAAGAACCAAGGCATAGAATCATAAAGATAACACTGGGAAATACGGATGACATCAGAGATGATGGTTTGTATATGTGTGCGTATAGGATGAGGAAGATGGGTTAGAGGGTTGATCAGTTATTAGATTATTGAAATTTTTGTCATGAAGTGATCAGATATTATGCTCTGATCATGAGTTTCAATTTTAACACAAGCAACACAAAGTCAAGTAACTCTATTGTATATTATGGGCCCAAGATTCAAGCTCAGGTCTGTTGATGTAAAATTCCATTTTAGCGGTACATATACACATGGAATACTACATAGTCATCAAAAAGAATGAAATCATGTCCTTTGCAGCAACATGGATGCAGCTGAAGGCTGTTATCCCAAGCAAATTAATGCAGAAACAGAAAACCAAATTCTGCATGTTCTCATAAGTGCGAGCTAAACATTGGGTATACATGGACACAAAGATGGGAACAATAGAATAGACACTGGGGACGAAGGAGGGAGGAAATCAAGGGTTGAGAAACTACTTATTGAGTACTATGCTCACTACCTGGGTGATGGGACAATTCGCATCCCAAACCTTAGCATCATGCAATATAACCATTAACGAACCTGCACATACACTACCTAAATCTAAAATAAAAGTTGAATTTAAAAAAATAATAAATTTTGACCATCTCCGTTCCATTCCAATCCATTCATAGGAATGAAAAGAAGTCATGAAATAAGAAACATTTCAAAGGATTAAAATATGGCGATGAAAAAGTTACCTTCTAAGAGGCCTGCTCAGTTTGCACACAATTCCAGTATGCTAACAATCCTTTAATTGAACTTTTGTCTGTATATTCTCCTGACCATCTAGGTCATAAACTTCTCCAGCAAAGGCCCAGTCTTTTCTATTTTTTGTATTACTCCCTAGAGTACTTACTATGGTGTTTCTGCCCATTGTTGTCACTCAAATCATTTTGATTGGCAAACAGAAATTATTTGTCCTTCTAAAAACTGTTTGACATGATTCCTTGGCAAAAGTGAAAATCAAAAACAATTTTTACATATTAATAGACCAATTATACACAGTGACATGTTTCGAATTCTTTGAATTCCTACTTTGCTCAAAAGTCCTAATCATTTTTCCATTTTACAATTTTTGTCTTAGTTTTTTTTTTAATTTGATTCATAGACTAGCTCAGCACTCTATCTTGAGTACTGTTTCAGCAGCCAACCAGCCATTATAATCTAGAAAATCTGTTATCTCAAAAATAAAAGTAGTTAGAGTTGTCAAGTGTTATCTATTTTGTCACAACATAAATAAATCATGCCTAGGAGACTAGGTTATTAATTATGGACCTTATTTTATTTACTGTGTATCAGCTTTAAAGAGGTTATTTCTCTTCTTTGTAGAACATCTATATGTTACATCAGCTGAGTTCTAATTAATCTGCCTTATGAGTCAAGTTGCAACAGTATATTATTTTAAGAATGAATTACATCGTATTGCAACTAATTTTTTTAAATACCTAGTACAGTTTTCCATCCTTTAAAGGAATATATTATACATTATGTAATGCAAAAAGCTAATGTGTCTATAGCAAAGAAGTACTCTACCTAGAAGCTATTAGCTACTTAGGCTCCTGATCAGACTGGGGAAAAAGCATAGTGGTATTAACTGTCTTACAGTTTAAATAAAGCCTGGAGTTCTGAGCAATGGTTAGTATCTGAGCACAAAATATAATTAGAAAATTCATGACAGGACTGATAAAGTTTATTTGTAATCATGATGAATTACCTTTGTAAGACCCATAGGTAAAATTAAAGACCAATACAGACAGTAGCTGCAACATTGGATAATGCTGTGGAATTAAGCACCCTAGTCATTTTAATGTTTTACATTTGAAACATCATTTGTGGTTTCTTAGAAGCCATTCCAGGGCCCAATTTGAAATAACTTTTTTCCTTTGTAATGTAATTGATCAAAGTTGTGAAAAGGGTTGCCTTAACTTAAAGGCCATCCTACCCCAAAAAAGCAATGACAAAATCTCCCATTTTCTAAATCACTTTCAATACATCACTGTCTTCTGGCTGTAGCAGATAATGAAAGCTACTAAAATATCAACAATGCTTCTACTTTAGAATGGCAGCAAACATAACCTCAGGAATAATTTAAGCATGGAGGGATGGAGGGGAGACTAGGTAGCATTGCTGCCATTAAGGGACTAAGAATACCTTGGGCAGAGAAGTTTCTTCACTTTGAACACAGTGTGATTAATCAGGGTAGTAAGAAAATGTCAGCTCCAAGGGATTTGGAAAATGTGAGCAGTTTTCAGAAATAAACCACATGCCTAAAAATCAATGCAATTCCTTGCAGCTGAGCCCAGCTGAAGGCTATTGTCCTTATCTAGTTATCAGGAGTTGCTGCCTGCCTCAACCCACAAGCGCCTCCGTTTAGCCAGGTGTTTCCAATTTTATGCTTAGTTTCAATGCTCACGCTGGGGTTGTTTCCTGCTGACACAGGATGACATAATGGCTCTGACACAAAGGGACTGCTAGGGTTCCATATTGAGACTTTTTTTTTTTTTCTGTAGCCAATGCATGCTTTTGGGCCAGATTTCTGCTTGGAACATGGCCCTTTTCTGTCTCCTTTGCTAGATTAAAAAAAATTCCTTCCCTATATCCCAGCTCCTTCCCTATATTCCACAATTGTTGCTTGTATAAATCTTTGACCTTCTACCTGGACCCAGGTTTTAGATCTGTACCCATTCTCTAGCTTTGGGCTATCTGAGCTGACACTCTAACCTGCTGGGTTCCAGATCCTCTGGTCCAGCATAACTGCAAGTTGCTACGTACTTGTCTAGGAGGTTTCTAATCCTATCCACTGGCTGAATTCCTATCCTCTCCTAAATGGAGATAGTAATATCCATTTTATAATCCTCATAAGGCTTTATAAGGATGATATGAGTTAAAGGATATTTTTAAAGACTAAAATGATGATTCTTCTATGAATATGAAACAGACATGTTTCAAAGATCTTATTGAAATCCTTAAATTAATGAGGAAACCAGTAAGACATTACAACCAGTTCAAATAGCAGACACATACACGGACAATCTGAAATGCTGAAATGAATTAGAAGACACAAAACCTCTTCTACAAGAAAGATGGGTGGTGTCAATTGAATCTTCATAGATAAAATTTATTTGCCTATCAGTTTTCTATAGCCTATGTTAAAGATAATGAAAAGAACACACCTCTAGAGAATTAGATAACCAAGAACAGTATACTAGACATCACCTAACGGTCCATTAAAAAGATATCAAGTAATCTACTTTTGCCCATTTCAGAGTCTTTAACAGCCTTTCCTGGTATATGCAGAAGTAGATTTGTGCCAAAGAATTTTGAGAATAATATTTATGTACCAAAAGTAGTTCGTCAGAGATACACATTTTTCTTTATTTTATTTTATTTTATTATTATTATACTTTAAGTTTTAGGGTACATGTGCACAATGTGCAGGTTAGTTACATAGGTATACATGTGCCATGTTGGTGTGCTGCACCCATTAACTCATTATTTAGCATTAGGTGTATCTCCTAATGCTATCCCTCCCCCCTCCCCCCACCCCACAACAGTCCCCGGAGTGTGATGTTCCCCTTCTTGTGTCCATGTGTTCTCATTGTTCAATTCCCACCTATGAGTGAGAACATGCGGTGTTTGGTTTTTTTGTCCTTGCGATAGTTTGCTGAGAATGATGATTTCCAGTTTCATCCATGTCCCTACAAAGGACATGAACTCATCATTTTTTATGGCTGCATAGTATTCCATGGTGTATATGTGCCACATTTTCTTAATCCAGTCTATTGTTGTTGGACATTTGGGTTGGTTCCAAGTCTTTGCTATTGTGAATAGTGCTGCAATAAACATACGTGTGCATGTGTCTTTATAGCAGCATGATTTATAGTCCTTTGGGTATATACCCAGTAATGGGATGGCTGGGTCAAATGGCAGAGATACACATTTTTCTACTGATAAAATAAGAGCATGTGGTCATATACACTCTTTGTCACTACCATTAAAAAATAAAAGTTGTTGTAAGATTAAATGGGATGCTTACATTCTGAACAATGATACCGGGTAAAAACAACAAGCATCTACATCTGCACACATATGTATAAACATACACTGGTCTATTCAAAAGGTGTACAAGCCTTTGGCCAGGTCTTTTCTTGTATTAAATTAAAGGAATGCTCTGGTGCTCTTATACTCACATTCTATTCCTTCTGGCCTCTCCCACTTACTCATTCCACCACTACCATCTAAGTTATCTCTAGGTCCACTAATGTCCTGTCCTATACTCAGTGGTATAACCAAAGAGTTACAGACTCCTGATAATAAGAATCTCCTGGACTAAATCAAATCTTGTCTCCAAGAAAAGGTCTTGGGGATTTTAACCAGCCATCCCAGGTAATTCTAATTATCAGGCAAGTCTGAGAAACACTAGGTTAAGCAGCAACCTGGAACCTGGCTATGAAGAGAGTAATCCACAGAAGAGTATAGACCATTGATACGGTTTGGCTCTGTGTCCCCACCCAAATCTCACTGTATAGCTCCCATAAGTCCCACAAGTTGTGGGAGGGACCCAGTGGGAGATGATTAAATCATGAGGGCTGGTCTTTCCCATGCTCTTCTAGTGATAGTGAATGAATCTCATGAGATCTGATGGTTTTAAAAATGGGAGTTTCTCTGCACAAGCTCTCTCTTTGCCTGCTGCCATCTATGTAAGATGTGACTTGCTCCTCCATGCCTTCCACCATGATTGTCAGGCCTCCTCAGCCATGTGGAACTGTAAGTCCATTAAACCTCTTTCTTTTGCAAATTGCTCAGTCTCGGGTATGTCTTTACCAGTAGCATGAAAACAGACTAATACAACCACAAAAGCTGCTGACTAAAACCACATGTTTCATCATGCCTGGGGGGTGGCGGATACTGAGATTGGGGTCAAGTGAACTTGATTTGTCATAAACTCCCACGACGACACATGTACAAGGATGAAAGGGAGCATCATGTGAAAAGCATGAGGAGTCCATGAACCCACAGTTCACTTGATGAACTGGACCCATGAACAGAAATATTGTGCAATGTAATCATTGAATACCCTAAGCTGAATCAATAATTCAGCACTGTATTTTGTCAGTTTTTGCTTATTCAAATCATTGTGATATTTGATATCAAAACAAATTATTTAAATTAAGTACTTTATTTTCCCTCCTAATAATTTCATCTGACATTAATTTCTTTGTAGAAATTCCAACCCATAGGACAGTTCTTTCATGGGCAATTGTAGGAGAAACTGGTTAAGTCTAAAACCACAACACAGTTTCCATATGTAAACAGAAGCGTCTCATTTTGAGAAAAATCTCAGAAGATTCTATTATAAATATAAACATCCATCTTGAAAAGAGACAGGATTTTTAACATTTTCACTCCCAGAAACCATGTAAAAATGTCAAAGCTGATTTTCAATATTAATAGTCACAGCTGTCCTTCAGCATCTCAGAAAATCCATGTAAATGCTCTTTATTGATATGACTATAAGGTATACTAGGAAAATTGCATTTAATACACATGTTGTTTCAATAATATATAAAATTTAGAAGAGTTGAAGGAAACTATTAGTTCCTTTTGAAAGAAAGAGAACACGGTATTTAAATAACTCATTAGGTGTCTTAGAAAGATATTAAGTACTTGCTGAGAGCCTACTATATGCGCTAAACTGCAGTGGTTACCAAGGAAATAAGAGACGTGGGTTCTGTCCTATATGACTGTAGTCCTTTCTGGGAGGAGACACACCAGACTTTGTCAACTATTTTTATTTTGCCAATATAAAAGGATTCCTGTCCCTTTACCATGTATTTTGGTCCTATCTGTTCAAACTGTGAATTTGGACAATCACTTAACTTCCTTGCAACATGGAGGGAATAGAATGCCCACATTATTCGTGTTATTGTGGGGAACAAATGCATGCGAACGCACTTTGTAAATGATGAAGCACCTGGCAAATGCTAATTCCTGTGAGTTCACTTATTCTGCGCAGATGTGAAAGCTCTAACATTATTTGCAGAAAGGGGAGATGGTCCAGACTGCCTGATGCTGCATCAAGGAAAACCAGGCCAAATGGATTTAAGCTCTTTCAGAGATTGCAGAGAAAGGATATTTGAGCCTTAAAAAAATCTAGAAATAAAATGTAATGTGAGCTAGCCCAGGTTTACATGGAACTTGTCAGAAACTCTGACTCCTCCAGGACAGTACAAAACAAGTCAACTATGAAAGAATTCCCCATCCTAATGGTATTTTTCACTTGCATAATTCCCTTAGTTAACAGAGTCCTCTCAGTGAAATCCAATACACTCATTCTTCACACACAGTTGACAGAAAAATTAGAAGGCCTTTTGAAACTGTTATTTTCCTCAGTATACAAAAGACGTATTTGATAGATTGTTCTCTGAGTACTGTAATGTTGGTTTCCTACGAATGATTTCATCAATGTTATTGGAACAATGAAATCAGTAGCAACTTTAAAAACAGTATCAATCTCAGCTGAGGCGATTATAAAATATAACATTATCCCTAATACTCTGCTTCTATACATTGGAGTCCCTTTTATTGTGTGTTCCATCAAACAGACATTCTTTGAATTTTACAGTGACTCATAAAAATGTCAGGAGTGATTATTCCAGATCGTTGTGACAAAACAGCTCTTTAGTGTAATACGCTTACCCATCAAGAATTTGAAACAAAAAAGGCATTGTGGTAGGAATATATTAGGATCATTCTAAAGAGGTTGTTAGGATAGAGATAATCAGCTTTTCCCAGTGCCAAATTAATATTTTCTACAACAGATTTCCAGAAAATTATGTCAATGCAGTGGAAAAGAAATGAGAGACCCACATGGTATATTTAGAAAAAGACTAGTATGAAGAAATAAAAAAATGTAGGTTGATAAGAGCCCAGGCTCAGTGCAGTTTATTGTTTTTGCCCCTTTTTAATGCTCATAGAGAAAACAAAATGCAAACTGGACAGTTAGTGAGTCTCCAAACCCCAAATCTCACTCAAGTGAACAGCACTAAAAATTTTGGTGTGTCTCCCTAGAAGTCATTTTCTGAATATATGTATTGTGTGAATGTCCATGTTATACACACACACATACATACACGTATATATACATACATGTATACATCTAATAAATATCCATGTCTTGCTTTTTTCACTTAAATATATAGATATTGGAGACCATTTCCATAGCGTGCTAGATGGGCAGTTAAATTAAAAAAGAAATTGTAGAAAACAAATGACAATTAACTTCTAAGTCAATGGCTCTTAGCACTGACTGAAAGCTAGAATCACCTAAACACCATTTAAAAAATACTTATTTTAGGGATCTACCCCAGATCAGGTATCTGGATTCTTCAAAGCTCCCTAGGTAAGCCTAACATTCATCAGTTGCTTAAGTGCTAGGAAGATAAGCACCAGATCTCTTCAACATGCTTCATAAGATCAATGTACACTATGTAACCATACGCAGGAGAAGTCTTTTGTTTTTAGTAGTCCATATTGATTGCAGGAAATTTAAGAACACGAGAGAGAGAGAAGGGTTCAGAAATACACACCCACATGAGTTCTTAATAAATACCACCAGATAAGCCAACAAAACAAAAATAGCATATAAACCTGCCTAAGGCTAAGAACCTTAAGAAAATCAGATTTTTTTCTGAAAGTATTACTAAAAGAAAAAATTTGCCTTTCCATAATTCAAAGTCCTCCTCAATTCAAGTAACATTTTCTCTGAAATTCATTCAAAAGAGCATTTATTGAGCAGTTGCTATGTGCTACATATTGAGCATACAGAGAAAGGAAATAATCCCTGTACTTCAGAAAGTTACCATCTCCTTCAGTGGTTTTCAAACTGTAATTTTGCCTGCTAAAGGCTCTCTTGCAATGCAATCTAAATGAAGGGTGGATATCTTAAGCATTTCAGGGAAAAGCTGATTCAATTCAGATGGCAAACAAGATTAGAGCCCAAATTCCTATAGGTCTGTCTGCACTACCTGAGGCAGCCAGTCACCCTAGACATCACCAAGGAACCCCTAACTGCTCCAAAGAGCAAGTAGGAGAGTGCTGTAGCCTAGTAAACTGATGGCTGTCACATCAACCTTCAGATTAAACGAAAGTCTAGAACAGTGCTCACCAAGATGGGATACATGCAAAACGATCCATAAGCAAACAAAAAGAAAATACTAAAATTCTGAATAACAGCCTTTATAAAAGTCAATGTTTTTTCTTTTTTTCTTTTCTTCTTCTTCTTTTTTTTTTTTTTTTGAGACAGAGTTTGGCTCTTGTTGCCCAGGCTGGATTGTAATGGTGCAATCTCGACTCACCACAACATCTACCTCCTGGGTTCAAGCGATTCTCCTGCCTCAGCCTCTCGAGTAGCTGGGATTACAGGCATACACCACCATACCTGGCTAATTTTATATTTTTAGTAGAGACGGTGTTTCTCCATGTTGGCCAGGCTGGTCTTGAACTCCCAACCTCAGGCAATCCACCCACCTTGGCCACCCAAAATGCTGGGATTACAGGTGTGAGCCACCTGGCCCTGCAATGTTTTTGAATTTTAAAATGTAAATAATTTATTTGTACAGCAGTTCATTCAGAAATCCATAATTACATTAGGTTGAACTGTATGAAACTGCCATTTTTACAAACCAAAATATTTGCAGTTTTATACGGCTCAGCCTAATATGTATTATTAAAAATTATATGCATTTCATATGGTTCAACCTATGCATTAGGGTTTTGAAACTTCAGCATTATTGACATTTTAGGCTAGATCATTCCTTGCTGTGGGGTGATGCCCTGTGCATTTAGGATGTTTGGCAGCATCCTTGTCCTCTTCTTCCTAGATGTCTGTAGCACCACTCCTCACCCTCCTCCCCAACCACTGCAGCAACCCAAGTGTCTCCAGGCATTGTCAGTTGTCCCCTGGGGGACAAAAATCATCTCCTGTTAATAATCACTGATCTATATTCAGTACAGATGCTGAGTTTTTACTAGTGAATGATTAAAATAGTTTGGGGACCACTGCCTAAAGAACTGAGATGGTTGACATTAATGTTTATAATAATGCTGAGATACTAACCCAATATGGACATTTGCATGAATTTCACATTTGAGTCATCTGTTAAAGATATGATGGGTTCACCATTACCATGAACATTGTGATCTACCAACCCTCAAAGGATACTCACGACAGTACCATGCCATGCACAGAAGGTATGTGCAAAGAACCATCAGCAAGGGAATGCACAGCAGTTGCTCTCCCGAGATAAAGTGGGGGTAGACAATAAGGGTGAGAGAAAACATGTCTGCAAAGTGCCAGAAACAACAGTCATGTATATATGCCAGGCTAGCATGCAGTCATCAGGCCTGAGTGTGCTTTTCCCAAGCAAAGGCTTTCAGAAGGCTCTGAAACATTGGATCACAAAATGTTCTCAAATGCCTAGGCATAAACACAATGAGAGTGGCAATCAGGACTGTCTTCACAGATGCACATGGTGGAAGAGGCTGTCAGTTACCAACTGATCTATGTGCCACCCCCACACATCGATAGAAGTTTAGTCAATACAATTTATTTTGAAAATTAAGATTGATTATATATGGACATGTTTGGGGGCTCAGGTGCACGCACTCCAGAGTGTTGTAAATACATACATATAGTAAGCTGGTTTTCCTCCTATCAAAAGCAAGAATGGCAAAGTTCAAACACATGTTTATTTATTCACATGCTCTGAACGAAGATTTATTCTAAAAGAAAAGAAAAAAACATGGCTTACAAACACCAGCTAACAGCTTTTAGTCATGAATCTGTTAGTCTTGGTTCTGATTAAGCACTGGCATATATGAGATGTGACAATATAGCATTTAGACATTACATTAACACCATCTATAGGCAACCCCCAATCATCTTACTGTCTAAACCAATATATAAGATACATGATAGACATTTTCAAAGGACTTATTTAAAAGCCTCAGAATTTGTTTTCGTTCTCAGGCATTAATATTTTTGGATATTGAGTGGGAGGAAGTGTGGGAAGGAGGGAATTCTCAAAAGGCATTGAATAAATGCTGGCATTAAAAAGGAATTGGGATTCCCCCATCCCACCCCCTGCTTTTGAAGGAGAAGGAAACAAGACTCCAGTCTTGAGAACGTCTCCCTCTGGCCTGACCCCTTGCAGCCAGCTGGCCTTTGCCAGAACCCTGCCTCCTTTCCCCCCACCACAAGACAGAAGCCAATCTTGGTGCCCAGGCAGTGGTTTCTGTTGGGTAGATTTTTAGGAGATGATGACTTGAAAGGAGATGTTGGGATCTTCCTATTTAAGTCAGTCCATGAAAGGAAGCTCACAAGAAGCCATCAAAATTTTTCTTTGTTCTTTTTTAAATTTTTGAGCATCTGGAACCCTGTTTATTTAATCAAGATTATGACTGTTCTACATAAGGGAAGAATCAAGAAACTAAATTTAATGATAACTAAGTTTAACTAGAACTTATAACAGGCGAGGCACTTCTAAATATTTTATGTGCTTAAATTTTATTAATCCTCAATTCTGTTAATCTTCACCAAAAAAAAAAAAACCCTATGATATAGGTACAAATTTTATAGATAAGAAAACTAAGGCACTGGGGCTGACTAGACTGCAGCAAATGAGGCACCTCAGGCACACGGGCAGGATTCTGAGAGTGGGCGCCTCTGTAAGTTTGTTGCCCTATGTGCCTTCCTCACCTTACCCTAAAGCTGACCCTGCTAAGGAAGGTGGGATTTGAGCCCCCATGGCCTTGGGCACCCCTAACCTGAAGACATTCATAAGGGAACGCACACACAGGGTTTTGGATCTTGGAAGAAGTGAGTTAACACCTTAGCTCCACTGTTTGCTAGCTCTACACCTTAATTTCTCAGAGCCGGATGCTGTTTTGTGTGGTGGATGTGGGGGTTGGGTGGGGGACATATCCACCTGGCGTTTGCCTCCTAATCATTGAATCTGTGAACACCTCAAACCAAGAACATGGCCTTGAAGGTGCACTCAATAAATATTACTCTCCACCCTTCCTTACACAAGAGAACTCTTCATTTAATACATTAATGGTAATTTTTAAAATTATATTTTACATTGAGCAAAACTAAACTTTGTCTTTAGAATCAGTGAGAATACAAATAATGGACAATGTTCAGAAATCGATCTCTTCAGGAGTGAATGGAGAGGATGAGGTGATTTGCTCAGATGTGATGTTTTTGGACTTTGGGTGGCTGCTTGTTATTTGTGGACTCCATGACTGGCAACTCAATTATGCCCAAAAATAGAGGCTGTTTAAATAGATTATGAGACAATCATGCAATGAGTACCACACAACCACGCACAAAGAACCAGGGAGCCTTCTAGATACTGAAAGGGAAAGATTCACACAGTATATTAGGTGAAAACAGCAAGGTACAGAACAGGGAATGCTAGGATTTTAATTACAAAGGAGGTTCAGTGTGTATATATTTATATACATGTGCCTTTGTAAACATAAATATCTCTGGAAAGATACACAATTAACTGTAATATTAGTTGCCTCTGGTGAGGGAAAATCAGTGGCTGTGGGCCAGAAGAGAGAAAATTTACTCTATGTCTGTTTATACATTTTATTTTTCTTGTTTTTTGAAATAGCTGATATATTCACATAATTAAAAGTTATTAACTTTTAATTTTAATATTCATATAACTTTAATATTCACATAATAAAAGTTAATAACTTTTATGTGAATATATCAGCTATTTCAAAAAATAAGGAAAATAACAATAAATAGGGAACTTTAGTGAGATTGGTACAAGTCTTGGTGAGCTCATGGAAGTCAAGCCTGACATTTATTTGGGAGCTCAGAAGTTCGTATTGCAGTTTTCTGTGTCAGAGTGCTGAGGTCCAAGAACCAGTATCACCTAGAAGTCTGTTAGAAAAGCAGATTCCTGATCCCATTTCAGACCTCTTGAAAAGATATCTCTAGGAATGGGGCCAGGAATCAGGCTTAAGAAGCCCTCCTGGTGACTCTAATGTTCACTTATGTTTGAGAAGCACCATCCAGATCAGTAATTCACAAACACTCTGCAGACTGGCTGCAGACACATCTGGAAGGTGTATTTTAAACAGGCACCTGGGCCTCAGATTAGACTGAATTTTAGTATTGCAGGTGAAACACAGGAATGAATATTGTTTAAAAGCCTGATTCTGACACACAGCCAGAGCTTAGGAACCTCTTTCTAAAATCAAAATGGGCTGTGATCAATTCAAATGATTTTTACTGAGATTAATCTGCATGTTGCAGTCTAAAGAGACCCAGTTGCATACTTACTTCTCACAATCAGGCCTCTCTGTTGAATGTATGTGTGGCCATCTTTGTGCAGCCGACCAAATTTTAGCAGGCACCAGAATGCTAAATGGGGTGCACTCTTTCATTTACACAACCAGGGTGCTGCTGTACCTCCCAGGACCTGGTAGCAGCTACATTTGGTTGAGTCCTATCTAAATTGAGTGGCAAGGGTCCAGGGCAGGCAAGAGCCGAGTTCATGAGAGCAACACTTCTCAAACCTTTAGAGTCCCAGGATCAAGTTCACACACAAGAAATGCTGGAGGAACATTTCTAGGACTTGCATTCCAACATGATACACTCTATTTTATGACTTTTGCTGGATGAGAAGAACTGTTTGCAGCCCTTGTTAAAACACAGATTGCGCTCTCCCAACTGCAGGGTTCTCATGCAGTAGAGACTGGGGGTCGTGGTGATCATTTGGTGATATGGATGATGATCTCTTGGTTCCAGAGCTTTCAGAAACACTTCTTTGGACCACAGGTTTTCAACCAGAATGCTATAGGCCCTTTTCAAGCATGCTGACAAATATGATCACCAAGTATAATAAATGTTGCTATAACTGAAGATGCATAATGTTATGGGTGTAGGTGTCAGACAGACCTTTGAGCTGAGCAAGTTCTGCTGGGAAATGTTGGGCAGGGAACAACCTGGCGAGGGTAATTCTAAGAGGAGTGGCTGAATGTTTAACAAGTACCCTCAGGAGGATGTAAGAAAGCCTGCTCGGGGCTGCAAACAGTTCTTCTCAGCCAGCAAAAGTCATAAAACAGAGTATATCATGTTGGAATGCAACTCCTTGAAATGTTCCTCCAGCATTTCTTGTGTGTGAACTTGATCCCGGGACTCTAAAGGTTTGAGAAGTGCTGTTCTCATGAACTCAGCTCTTGCCTGCCCCAGACCCTTGCTGCTCAATTTGGACACGACTGGACCAAAAGGAACTGGTACCAGGCCTTGGAAGGCACAGCGGCTCCCTGGTTGTGTAAATGAAGGAGTGACTAAGAACAATAGAATTTATGAGGACTCAGAACTTTAGAGCTGGACTGGATCTGTGTGATCCTGAAGAATCCCATCATGTTTGGATCAAGGAAGCTGTCGCTCAGAGAAGGGCTCAGCACCCTCCCAGGAGCTGGACAGAGGGTTTATTTCTTCTCCAGAGCAGCTGAAGAAGTGCTCCAGGCTCTCCAATCTTCTAAATCCCAGGCTAGGCACTCTTCTTCTCCAAAACACTCCTCCACACATGCCAGTAACTACTTCTCAGAGACAAAAGATGAAGCTAGTGGACATTACAGCCTAGTAGTATCATGGGAAGTAGAGTTATCAACACTGGAAAAAGCAAGTGGAGGTTGAGGGTGAAGAGGGAACAAAGTGCACAATAAAACTGAATCAGTTTCTGACCCCATTATTTGTAATGCATGTTCATTTTGTCATGAGCTGGGCCGAATTATTTTTAGGGAATAGCTGTCTTATATTCCAAAGGTAAATGTATAATATAAGATTAGCTGGTAGAGAAGAAAGTTAAGGAAGAATATGGACTATTGTTCTCAAGCCTCTTTATACCATCTACCTTTATTTATCTAATTGTAACAAAGACTTAATTTAAGAAATTATTCCATTATCCATTAGAATATCAACAAGATTTATCTTTGTAATATGGTAACACTGGATATATTAAAATATTTAATAAAAAATTAAGGTGTTTTATTTCTATTGTTATATTTAAGCCTCATTCCAGTTGGTTTCTTTCCTCTGCTTCTTCTTCCTGCCCTGACACACCTGAGGATTTATGACACAACCTTTTCACTACGGAAGTGATTCTCAGAAGGCCCATATTAGAATCTTTAGTTGGTGGTGTTAAGAGTCACCGCTCCGATATTTCAGAATAGTAACAATAACAACAGAGTGCTGATATTTATGACTAGATAAGCTAGAGACCTCTGTGGTTCCCCAAATTCACGGATCCCTCTAGCACATAATTTCCTTCCTAGGTGCAAACAAATAATATAGGACAGTCAGAGTGCAATGGTTGGCACGTCCTGAGTGGGTGGCTAGGTTTGTTCACCAAGTGAATTGCTTCTGCGCCTCAGCCTTCCAGAACTCCAAACGCATTCATGTCTCAGCAGAATTGCAAATTACTCTGGATCACTTGGGAAACACTGAGACTCTCCTGTTAAATCTGTGAAGGTCAAGAGTCAACTACACGGTAAAAGATAAATGGGTGTTCTAAATTGCAATAAGTCAAAGAATTCTTCAGGATATATATATTTTTTCTAATTGAAGTTGCTTCAAAGGGTCCTATGCATAAAATATATTGGCACTCAAGAAAAATAATACATCTCATTACTGTAGGGCAGGGCATGAAGTCTGCAACAACCTAAATTTCCTCCAGGATATACACAAAGCTTTCACTTCTCAGAAGCTTGTCAGTTCTACCTGAGAGTGTGATTATTTAAAAATTCTAAATTAGCGTTATTAGTATATGTGAGAAAACTGTAATTAGCCTGAAATCATAGCCATAAGCCAGCTGTAACAGTTAAAATGGCAATTTTCTATTTTCAAGTATGCGGAAAATGCATGTTTCTTATTACCACAACTGGTAAACTATTGGCTTGTGACAAAAGTCCCAATGCTATAGGATGGAAAAGTACTTCCCTAGCTTTTCAGCAAGAAACAAACTCAAAACAAAAATCCCCAGCAGGATCACCTAGTGTCAATCAGCCTCCACTGTTAAACCTTCAGGGATCCTTAAAACCAAACCTAATTTCATCACAGCTGGGTAAATATTCATACAACTGCTGGAAGCAAGTTGGGCTCACTGCAGCTACGGCTCCAGAACTCCTAGCTTGAGACATGTTTTTCTTTTTGTGAAACTATTCAGCATTGCCACTAGCAATACAGGTCACTGTAGACTGGCAGCCTTAAATCATAGCACTTGTAGATTTAGAAACATCCAAATTTATTGGGCTCTAATGTTTGCGGTTTCACAGTCACTCAGTATCAGTGGGCTTTTCAATTTAGGTCAGAAATGAAACCAATATACTATATGAGCCACATCCAGAAAGGGAAATTCCTCACTTTTCATTTCTCTATTTTATAGCAATGAAAAATACGTTCACTCAAAATTTCTGATTTGGTGATGCCCAACAGAAATTGTCCTGTCTCAAAATAGTCCTTTATTGCAGAAGACTCTGAAAGCCCCTTTATCTGAAGAGATCGTTATTTTCCCTTTGAATATATGCCAAATACATACTGGTGGGCTATATATAGTAGAAATAATATTCAGGCAGCCTAATGTTACATCTAAGAAAATTATGTACCCTCCACAAGACTTAGCAATAAAGAGGAGGGGCTGTAATTTCTTGGCTTGTTACTGATCTTACCTCAGTCAAGGTTGAATGGAGTTTACTCTGTCCACATCATGCATTCTTGGTGAGGGTGTTAATTCCCCTCACAGGGCAAATATTGGTTCTGGGGTTGGGGGAAGAAAAATCTTATTCATTGCACATTATTTTTATGCATAAAGTACAGATATACATATACTACATAAAGAGATAAAAAGTAGATCTATAGTACTAACATTTCACTGTGGGGAGATGATTAGAAAAAAAAATTGTATACAGAAGCCCCTTAAGTGAGCAATGATAATGAAACAATGGTTGCTCTAAATATCGGCAAAGCAACTGTTTGAAACCTCCAGCTAAAAAAAAAAATCACAAATAGTATTTTGGAAACAATATTGGTTGTTTAAATTCAAGATTTCGATAACAATCAAATTATTTTCTCTTTGAGGATAGCCATTGCAAATTGCAACTAAGAGAAAAAGAATTCTATGTGGTTGCAAATATTTTACAAAATGCTTGTGATCTTATTAGGAGTGACTAAAAACTACTTTCAACAAGTTTATCTGGTTATTTTTCAGGAATTCACAAACTATTTCTCTCTCTTATCAAACCCATTATAAAATGCATATGTAATTATTTCTGTTGAGATGGTGATCACTGATTTTATAATTGCAGATGAAAAATGTGACAATCCTACTTTAAAGATGTAACAATCTGCATCCCCTTAGTTAAGCTTTGGAAAGCTTGTTTTGCAGAAGAGTGCACACATATTTTAAAGCATGCATGAAAAATTGAACAAGCTGTGTAGTTACAATGATGTAACAGCAAAAAATTAGAGAAATGCCACCTGAAATTCATCCGCTTTCCTTCTTTAAAATCCTTTTAAATAAAGTTTTACAAACTAAACATGGAAACATTGCCTTCATAAAAAACTTAATAGAGTATGTTTCTAAAATAGTCTACATGATCAAGGAGAGGAACGTTCTTTTCTGAGTATCCTGAAATATACCCAACACAAGTTCATATATGATTCCTTTTTCAGGGATCTTCTCATACGACTTCAAGAAAAGGTGAATCACATAAACAAAAAAACACGTCCACTTCTACTGAAAAGAGGGCTAAGCAAGATGCATCCACCCAGTTAACTGTGGTTCGATGGGTGACAAAGCTTTCCACAACGGAGTCTGACTCATCTCTAATAAGTCATCTTCTTTCTTCTAGTTTCTTCTTCTTTAAGTAATAGTGCACCCAAGAGTATAAGAGCCAAGAAAACAGATCTGCTGTCTATAAAAACTTTTAATTTTATTTATGCGAGAATAAATCATGCTTGCAAAAAGGGACTGGCACTTTTCTAAATTAAAGTAATCCCAATAATTGTAATCAAAATTCTTCAGTTGGCTGAAACAAAGCCAGCAGAAGCATTAACCTAAATGTCTGACCCACCAACAGCCAGAAATTGCTACTGTTGACATTCAGCTTCAAGAAAAATTGTACGGGAAAAAAATGTCAAAAAATTCACAATTCAGTGGAAGGATTTGAAAGAAATGAAAATTTAGAGGGAGGATTTTAAATTCCACATTCAATTAAACAAAAGTTTTCTTTTCATTCAGAGACTGTTATTTTGTAGAATGAAAACAGTTATCGTATTTGCTGAAATGCCTTTGTTATAGCTACTCAGTTCTTCTAACAGTTGGTATAAGATTTGGGGAGAAAATATAAAAAAGGATGTGTTAAACAATTCAGCAATTTAATGTGATGCATACCTAGTTTTAGATTTTTCATGTATTTCTTGAACATACTAATTATTTTAAGATTGTTGTATGAAAAATACTTTTAAAGTGGACAGTAGAGATCATTTTCAATTGAGAACCTCAAACCATCACATCATACGCACAGAAAACAGAGGGATTAAGTGGTGGGATTAAGTCAAATATCTACTAGATATCCCACCTAATTATTCAGAGTCACTCTTAGTATATATTGCAATATTATATTCACAGTACCCCAACTCACTGGCTTAAATGATAAGCCTGCTTTTGAAATTTATGGAAGAAAATGGAAATTAATTTATGTCATGGAAAAACTATATTCATTAATTTCTGTATCATAAAAATAAGGTATTGCACAAATGAAATAAATATTCCCAAGCAGGCTTATTTCACAAATTAAAAATTCATATTTGATTTTCAAAAATATGGTAGAATTGGAATATATGGCTTATTGGCTATAGGCTATAACTTAAAAAAAATCTGAATCTTAAACCACACAACATAATGGAACAAACAAGGTGACATTTCATTTTCCTTTGTCACTGTTTCATTTGTGTACAATGACTAAAATGCTCCTATAATGTGTGATTCATGATGAGTCATTCTTATAAGGGAATACATTTAAAATGTATTAGTGTAATGAATAAATTCTCGGTTCTTTTTTAAAATTTGAGCACATCAAAAATAATTTCAGATAAATGTCATTTCCCTCTAAGCAAGGCAACTGTGGTTATACTTAATTTTGTGTTATTCCATATCCATGGGGCCGCCAACCATAGTTTCATATTTGGGTTGGGTCATATGTCCCTTGATAGTTGTTTTTAGAAGTAGAGAAGATATTTCAGGATGATGATTAAAACTGAATGAGGCAAAGAAAAGGGCCAGTGGTGAACAAGGATAACAGATAAGGGAAATGCATTCTCTACAGAATTCCAAATTTGTCCACCACTAAAGAAAAGTCTTATACACTAGACTTTTCTGTATAGTCAGGTGTACAAAAATCTTAAAAGCCAAATCCTCCCAGTTACCTGTTTGTCAGCAGGCTTCATGCCACATTATCTTTTCCTTCCTTGGAAAAGCAAATCAACTCTTATTAATTCTCTCTGCCTGGAATACTTGCCTTCTGGCTCCCATGTTGCCTCTTAAAAGCCTACCTCTTCATCAAGCCTTTTGCTTTAATCACTCTACTTGGAGGTTTGTTCAAGTATCCAGTCATGCATATAGCCATTCAACAAACATCTATATACTCTATTCTATATGCTATGAAATCCACTCGACACTAGGCCAGATATGTAGAAAGAATGCTCACACACATTTAACATACACCATGGTTCTGCAGTTATTTTTTAGTGTGACTTTTTCTTCTGCATTTAAAACTTCTAAAGGCAGGGGTTATCTTCTCCCATATAGAAAATAGTAAATATATATTTACTACTGAATGAGACACATACCAAGAGCATCCATTTTAATAACTTTTACACTTTCTAAAAATAAATGGTATGTTTAAAATTATAAGCTCTATGCCATAGTTATTGAAACAATGGCTTCTAATGAAAATATTTAGCCTATGCATTTCCATTTTTTTGTTGTTGGTTGTCTGCATTTCACTGACCCAAGCTGTTTCCACGAAGTTCTTTAAACATAGCGCACAGTAATCTCTCCATTAACAGTGAGTGAATAAGTAGTAATAAAAGCCAAAGGAGGGCAGATGCAGAGTAGCACAGCATTTGTTCTCTGATAATACATTTTCAGAGATCTGTTACCAAGGGAAGCATAAAACAGGATATGAGTAAAAAAAAATGAAACTACCATTAATACTTGAAATGTCACAATTATGTCGACATTATCTTGAAATAGAAATCTATGAAAATAGAACTATTATTGTTAGAAATTTCATGCATATAAAATTGATCCACAGGAAGTTTTAAAAAGCAGATATACACTATAATACCATTGATTTTTCTTGGCATGGTCCTTTGTTGTACCTTATGAAGAAATAGCACTTTTGAGTTGGAACTAAAAGTTCCTTGTCAACTGCAAATAATTAATCCTAGGAGCTAGGCATTATTGAGAGGAACCCCAGCAAAGACATGAGTTCTAGAATGAGCTCCATTGTCTACTAGGTATTTGATTTTGAACAAAGCATACAACATCTCAGTTAATATATCTACCAAAGAAGATGGTACCTAACTTGCTCACCCTATGTGGTTTCTACGAGATTAAATTACAATAAAACTGTAAGCAGTTTGAAGGTAGGCGTGCCCTGTTTAAATCAAGAGGTAGTGAAATATATGGTCTCCAAATAAGAGAAGTAGTCAAATGTACATATAGGACAAAACAGCTCTGAGAGAAGCTGAAATGTACAATTTCACCAGCCACTAAAGTCCCAAGAGACAGCCTCTGCAAGACAAAGAGGTGTCTTCTAGGTCTGTCCACCTGGGTCTTCACCCACCATGTATTTATTGAGTGCCTGCTATGAAATCAAGCCCTATTTCAGGCCCTGGTATTATGGCAATGAATATGATAGATACGTTTTCTTATACCACGAAGCTAATATTCTAGTGGGAGAAAAAAACAAACAACAAAGTAGCTCAAAATTAAGTGCCTCAAAATAATAATACAAAATCAAGAGAGGAAAAGTCATGGACAAGGGGTACATTTTGGGTGGGTGGAAAGGCCTCTCTGAGATAGTAACATCTGAGAAGGAGGAAGTGATTGATAAGAAGAAAATGACAGGCTCCTTCACCTTCATTCCCTAACTATACCAGGAGTGAACACATGACTACACAGACCAATAAAACATTCTGCCCTAGGAAATCTGGAACCACGACTCTAAGACAGTTGATCTTGTTAAATGCTTGATGGCCTTGGGTGGCTTGTTTCCACTTGATGGGTCGAGATAATTGATCATCCAAAAAATGAATGAGAGCAGAGAGACACAGAGATGAGAAACCCCAAGGTCTTGGGAAGATGAAGTCACCTCAGTTCTATATGGCTTTTCAGTTCCTGGTTCTAGTCTTTTCTGAGGGACGACTGTGTTTTAAGCTCATGGGATCCATGAAATTCATCTGGATCTTTCAGATAAATCCCCTTCTTTGGTGTAAAGTAATCCAAATGGGCTTAATCTTTCTAAAACATGGTTATTACAACTGGGTTAAATTGCTCTCTGAGCTCCATCTGGAAGCACATTAGGAAACCATTTACTGAGTTAATCCTAAACACGGTCAGCTAAGAGAAAGCATGGTACAGTGGGGAAGGTACATGGATGAAGATGGCCATGACAATGAGATTAAGAGACACCATGGTGAGAGCTTCACAAAGCCACACAAAGGACGGTTTAGAATGTCTCTAAAACTCAAGAGATTGGGCAAATTATTGCATCTTGGCATTTTGAATGTGGAGCTGATGAGACCTATCACCAACATAGCCATTGGGTTTAGGCTTTACTTGGTTTCCTAAAATAATTCTACCTTTAAAAAGCCTGTCACGACAGTGACAATTTGCTCATGTAAAGGCTTCAGTTTTTTTAAATGTGCATATCAAAATTTCACTCCAAGTATATTGTAGAAATATTTGCAACAGCATGTATAAAGATATTTATTACTATAGTATCATCTAAGTGAAAAATTGGAAATAACAAATATATATCAAAAGGCAACTGGTTTACTAAACTATGATATAGTCATAATGGAACATCAAATAGTTAAAAAGTAATCTAGTAATGCTACATGTATTGGCATGCAACCATGAGCAAAACACACTGACAAATGGAAAAAAAGGAAACCTTCAGGAAAGAACATATAATATTATCTTAGGTCAAAAATAAGCACGTATGCGTGCACATTTACATATGTAATGAAAATATGCAGAGAAAAGTCTGTATGACTCTCCTCAAAACTCTTCATTGAGATTTCATCTGATGGTGATTAAAGCGGGATTTTCATTTTCTGATTTGTTGGTCTCTATATTGTTCATATTTCTTGCTAGTAGGCATCACTTTTCTAATCAGTAAACCAATATTGGTATTAAGCTCAATCTATGCCTGTGCAGAAAATAAAAGATAGGTTTAAAAATATAAAAATGGCAAGCAAACTCAGATTTAGAAATGTGAGATAATATTACGTTTTCTTTCTTTTTAAACTGCTCTGCAATACTGTAAAGAAAGAAATCTAGTGATTTTTACATCTTGTTCATAGAAGCCAACAGTTTTGGAAAAACACAAAGTGCCGAAAGTACTAAAAATAACCCCCATACCACCACAGCACCCAGCTTTCACTCAACTCCCTTTGCTATAAATAGCTTAAGAATAACACCCAGACTCTCTAGAGTACTCCTAAAAGTGTGGCTAAAGATGAAGTCTCACTACTTACTAGGCTAGAATATGGTTTTGGCAAACGAGGGAGTTCCTTTGGGGAAGGAAAATGAGGATTGTCATAGCATCCTGACAGGCTTTTCCCAAAAAGCTAAATTGGGAAATCACTGTACTTGGCTTAAAAATAAAGCAGAGACTTTTATTCAGGAGCAGGTAACTGAATTATTGCTTTATTTGTGATGATCCTTTTATTTTGGTACAGTAGGCAAAGTTCCTTGTGGGAATCCTTCATTTCTGAGCACTAAAAACTAAAATCTGCTTCCTTGGGACTGAGCTGCCATAGATTAGCGTGCTCTTAATTTGTAAACTAATTTGTAGTTTGAGAATAGGATGCTTGAGCCAAGAAACATCCTCTCACGTCCCCTCATACTAGTGAACACCACTCACCAATTACCAACCCTTTGGCTGTAATTTTTTTTAATCCTTTATCTTTTTAATCCTTTTATCTCCTTCCTGTGAATTTTGGACTCATTTGATGGTACTTCCAAAAAATATAAAAAAATTATATATATGTGAGTCCTACATGAGTCTGCACCCTCAGAAACTGTCCAGTTCTTTTATTGAGACTGAGATGCTGTATTACAGTTACAATAGCAGAAATTTACCCCACATCCAACCTTAATCTTCCTTACTTTGGGAATGACATTCCCTCAATACACCACTTTACAACATGAAAAAATGCTAAGAATGTTTGGATTGGCTGTATTCTCTTTTATAAGCAGGGTTGGGTTTTTTGGTTTTATTTCGTTTTTGTTTTTCTACTAAGAAGACAAATCCCGCAGGTTTATTAATTTTAAAAATACCTTATAGCAGATGTGGATAAAAAGAAAGGGGAAAAAAATCACAGAAAGAAATCCAGAGCCATTTGATCAATAAAGTACATTATTTATTATTTCAGGACACTAAGGATAATATAATGCATATTTCTTCATTCTGCCCTTGATTAGTCTTTGGATGGAGAGAGAATTAAAATAATTAGATAATCAGAGAACAAAACCAGAACGTGAGGTTTATCTCTCCTGCCTTGAAATCTCACCTTTCTAAAGGTTAAGATTCCCATTCATTCTCTGAGTCATTAATTCAAGCTGTTGAGAGCCCACTCGGCGCAGGTTGAGGTTTGAACCATTACGTTTTCTTTTACTTATTTTAATGATGTTTAAAGCTGTGGGAGCCAGAAAAATGTACAGCAACAACACTAAGGTAATTAACACCCTACATACCCAACATGATTCAGCTTGTCCTTAGTATGGTTTTGTAGCTGTCACTGAAACCAGTAAGTATCCAATAAGTAATCTTTCTAGTAAAATGTCATATTTTAAATAGTCCTTAAGGGATTGTGCTATCTATATTACTTAGAATCTCATGAAACTAAGAAACACACATTTTAACTACAATGAAATATATTTTTCCCTTTCACATTGACAAATATCAAAAAGTCTGACAAATATATGTGAAGGCAGAGCTGTAGGGAAAAAAGATGTCCCATATATGACTGAGAGGAAATATGGGACAATTTGGGGGATACTCTGTGGAAATTTGGCAATATCTATAAATTTAGAGTATACATCTTTTGCCCCTAGATTCCTGTTTCTAGGAATGTATACCACAGAAACATTGATATGCACAAAGATATACATATAAGATATTTACTGCAACATTTGTAAAAGCTAAAGATTGGAAGTGACCCAAATGTCTATTAATAGGCAAATGGCTAAAGTATTTAAATAAAGTAAGCACTCTCATATATTGACTTGAGCTGTGGTGAAGAGCAAGGTATCTCTTCATGGAAAAGGTCAGTTCCAGGGAAAAAAAATACAGACAGATAGGCACACATACACGCATTTTTGTATACACAGGCTATCTCTGAAAGGGAATTGACAACAGTGATTGCCTCTTTGGGGAGGGATTTCTCTGTTACTGGATAGGTACCCACTATTTATACATTTTTATTTTTATGTCATGCACATGTATTTATTCTTAAATATTTTTAATCTCATAAAATTTAATCTAAAATTTTCAATCATTCATTTCCTGAGATATAAATTCCATTTTCTCACAATGCCCACCTTCTCCCACCTACTTAATTACAATTGTCAAAACCTTCAAAGTTTACCTGAAATCCCAGCATGGTGCTTTCCCTAGTCAATCTGTCCAGACTCAATTCTTTTCTCTTCTAAACTTCTATAGGACATAGAGTTTATGCTTCAATTTGACTTAATAAGCTACTTGTGTTATTGTTTTTGTTGCTTCATTTACCATCCTTTCAATAAGAATGTAAACTCCTCAAGGGGAAAGACAATGGAATGTGAGACAGGGCTATTCCTCTCTGCCTGGCTTGCTACAGTGCAAAACACTCAGTAGGATCTAGACACTGGTATGTTGTATGCTCAGAAATTTGTAGAAAGCAAAATGTACTGTATAGAAAACACCGTCCAGAAGGCAACCCAGAGAAGGGGGCAGGCATCAGTAAATATCCATATATGTTTTATTCTGAGAGCCCACTTAATGTGTCCTGGCAGGAAATAGTCTTGTTATAGTTCAACCCATTTTGAGATAATACCCTTTAACTCAACAGACTATCTGATGTTGATGCTGTTATATAAGAGTTTTAAATTAGAATGTAATTATGGTCTCTGGGAAGTAAAGAAGAGTAAAGAAAACATGATTACTGAATCCTAAATGTATAAAATAATTTAACATTCTCCTTTGCCACCCCTGCTGCATTTCTGCTTTCTTCAGTACCTCATTTGAAATATGGCTTTCCATTTTTCCCCTATATTTAATCACCATTAATAACCTTCAAACTCTGACAGGTTAACAAATTCTTCCTTTAAAACATAATGACTTTGCACTGAACTTCAAGTTATCTCTAACTGGCAGTTACACATATGAAAATATTATTAGACAGCTCACTCTAAAGTGACAGATTTAGATTTTAATCTAAAACAACACATACAGATATCAAAATAATGTAAAATTAGTAAGTTCTAGCCATATTCTCTCATTTATAAGGCTGTCTTGATCATTTTGTTTGTGTTAATCTATTGTACTCCTTAACCTAGGACAGTTGAAGAAGTCTAAATATTCATCACCAATGTTTGTAAATTTCCATATAGCTTTATCTCAACAAATAATATTTTAACACAAATCCATTTAAAATCCCCAAGTAATTCAGTGGTAGATGTGTAGTTACATGACTTGCTAGTGAATTAATCATTTTAGGGCGTGGACAATATTTTCAGAAATGGAGTGTTGTGCCATGTTATCTTGGCTAAGATTGTCCCTTCTTGATTCTTCCCCGGAAGGCTCTTGTAACAAACGCTGATGTTTTAAAAACGTTAAACAACCATAATCAGTAAGTACGAAAGACCCATAAAATAGTAAATCCAAGTCATGACGAACAGTGATGATGCTAGGGTGGGAAGAGGATTGATAAAAGACTGTAAAGGAAACCTAGGGATGCTTTTAGAAAGACATGATCAGCAACATCAGATGGAACCGAAGAAGAGATGGAAGCCAAATCATACAAGAAAGATACCAAAGTTGTGGGAGAGAACAGAAAAGAGAGACTTGAAAACTAGCAGTGTCAGAAATTATTTGTCCAGGGATTGCAATTTCATCTTGTTTTCCAGCTATGTATCTCTGGGGAGCATATTGGTGTCTTTTATTGAACTAAATGTTTTGTGAAGGTACTTCCAGAATTGAAATTCTGTGGTTCTAATCAAATGAAAAAAAAAAATAGTTCTACAAATACTTCATAGAGTTTCTAGTCAATTTTGTGCTAGCAAGTATTATAAACCTTGGTTATAAAACTTGAAAAAAAAATTCTAGAAGCCTTCAAGCCTGCAAGTATGATGGCAAGAACAGTTCTTGTAATTCTCATGAATGTGTAAGATTTTCAAGGGATTGAAATACTAGATCTAGTCTAAAATATTTATCAAGTCAAAGGAAAGAATATTGTATATCTAGATCTGACTCACAAGGTCAAAAGATCAGGATAGACATACAGAGGGCACTATAAATTAAAATCTGGTTATATGATATTTAGATTTTCTTAAATTAAGGACATTGCACAATGGCTGTATCACCTCAGTTTATATCACTAAAATTATATAATTGTCACAATGCTAAGCCTGTGCTATCAACCACTTACAAGAAAAGATAATGATATAATGAGTTTTCAGAAGGAGGCCTCAGCCCAGAGGGACTGAGAGATAACTTGCTCTTCAAAACAGCATGTTAATTTTTGCCATGTCTTCCAGAAAGCAAGACTCCTCTGCAGAAGGCAAAGATACAACAGATAATAATAACCCACATCTGGATAGTATTTTTATTATTTAGAGACAAGGTCTCACTCTGTCACCCAGGCTGGAGGGCAGTGGCACAATCATAGTTCTCTGTGGCCTCAAATTCCTGGGCTCAAGCAATCCTCCCACTTCAGCCTCCTGAGTAGTTGGGACTACAGGCATGCACCACCATGCCTGGCTAATTTTTTCATTTTTTGTAGAGACAGGGTCTCACTATGTTGCCCAGATTGGTCTCGAACTCCTGGTCTCAAGTGATTCTCGTGCCTCAGCCTCCCAAAGAGCTGAAATTATAGGCGTGAGCCATGGTGCCAAGTCTGGATAGTCTTTTTATAATTACAAGGTACTTCCACATTCACAATTATAGTTACCATGCAATATTATTGCAATTCTTTATTCCATTTTTATCCTTCTGAAAGCAATTGAATTTACAGCTTATCACTGAAATTAAAAGGATCTACAGAAATGACTAGCCACTTAAAAATTTAAGGTAAATACTAGGAGTTTTGCATGACTTTAGAGTAAATTCTTATTCCAGTATATTCTGTACTGATTTTAACTCAGCAATAACCAACATTCCATTACATTCAACTGCTCTATTTATTCCTGCAATTTCACTTCCTTTAGACATTGTGGCCCCTCCTACAACAAGCAACTGAGCTTAATTTCTGCAAAGAGGTGGAACGTACACACAGAGGAAAAACAATAATTACATTAAAACAATAATTTCATTAAAAATGAAACCATATTTAATAAACATTCAAATTAAAAGAAAAGATCAAGAAAGTTTATAACATCAGGCCACTCTATGAGAGGCAGATCCTCTCATAGTGCTTCCCAGTGCCAGGTGACATTTTAACTCATAATCCTCATAGTGATTCCATAAGGTAGATAATATTAACCTCATTTTACAAAAGCTAAAATGGAATCACAAAGAGGTAAAGTGATTTGTCCAAGATCACACAGCTGGTAAATGTCAGCCTGAACTTGAAATCAGGCATACTTTCAACTACTACTAATGTTGTCTTTGCTTCCTCATCTTGTCAGTTTGTCAGTTCCCTCAATGCAACTCTTTTTTTTTTTTTTTTTTTGAGAAGGAGTCTGGCTCTGTCTCCCAGGCTGCAGTGCAGTGGTGTGATCTTGGCTCACTGAAACCTCCACCTCCTGGGCTCAAACAATTCTCCTGCCTCAGCCTTCTGAGTAGTTGGGATTACAGGCACCTGCCACTATGGCTAGCTAATTTTTTTGTATTTTTAGTAGAGACAGTGTTTCATCATCTTGGCCAGACTGGTCTTGAACTCCTGACCTCATGATCCACTCGCTTCGGCCTCCCAAAGTGCTGGGATTACAGGCGTGAGCCATCGCTCCCGGTCCTTTTCTTTTTTCTTTTCTTTGTTTTTTTAAGACAGAGTATCGCTCTGTTGCCCGGCTGGAGTGGCGCGATCTCGGCTCACTGCAACCTCCACCTCCTGGGTTCAAGCGATTCTCCTGCCCCAGCCTCCCAAGTAATGTAGCTGGGATACAGGTATGCGCCACCACGCCCTGCTAATTTTTGTATTTTTAGTAGAGAGCTGGTCTCGAACTCCTGACCTGGTGATCCACCTGCCTTGTCAGGGGAGGGTGGGGAGGGTGGTGGTGGAGACAGACAGAGAGACAGAGAGAGAGAGACAGAGACAGAGACAGAGAGACAGAGAGAAGGGGCGGGAGGTGGGGAATAGGGAGGAGAATTGCCCTTATCAAGCAAATTAACTACATTTTTAGGAAGAGGATAGAACAAAAGACAAGCAGTTACCTATTCAAACTCTTCAAAGTAGTATGAAACCCTGTTTTACAAACTGATCTGCAAGCAATATAGAAGGTTGTAGCCATCTGGACATCATAGCCCTAAGTTTTATTTAATTTCTAAGAAAAAAAACTACATAAATTTCCTTTCAGTAGAAATTATTAGTTAAAATTACAAGATACTGCAAAGGAAACACACAAGTCTGAAACAGCATAATAAGCACCATTTGCTCTGAGGACAGGTTCTCATCATTTTCTCCCAAAGAGGAAAATTTTCCAAAGTATTTGAAAACGTTCACAGAGAACTTTCATAATACCCAACAATAAATAACACATAGTTTCAGAAAATATCAAAATACCTGTCTTATATAATCAAATGAATTTCAAACCCATTTTTAAATATTTCCTTTTTTTTTTTTTTTTTTTTTTTTTTTTGAGACAAGTCTCTGTCAGCCAGGCTGAAGTGCAATGACATGATCTCGGCTCACTGCAACTTCTGCCTCCCAGGTTCGAGTGATTCTCCCACCTCAGCCTTCCCAGTGGCTGGGATCACAGGCACCCACCACCATGTGCAGCTATTTTGTGTGTGCGTGTTTTTTTTGTTGTTGTTTGTTTGTTTGTTTGTTTTTTAGTAGAGACGGGGTTTCGCTATGTTGGCCAGGCTGGTCTCGAACTCCTGACCTCAAGTGATCTGCCCACCTTGGCCTCCCAAAGTGTTGGGATAACAGGCATGAGCCACTGCACCCGTCCATATTTCCCAAATATTTTAAGTGTGAAAGTTCAAAATAAGGGTTGGGTCCTGATTTATTAACATTCCTCACTTACAGACTTAAGTAGTTAAATATACCTTACTAGTTCCCATTGATTGCAATAGTTTATTCCTTCATTCTAATGCATAACTAATTCCTAAAATACTATAGTATAGGATTATTATAATTTACATTCTATGTAAATTATATGGTTATAAACCATAGAAAAATTTCCCATTCCCAATCTCATTTAATTCTTACAACAATCTCATGAGGTAGACAAGACATCATGCTATCCCACTATTATGGCTAGGAAAGCTAAAGATGAGAGTTCAGGGCTTTCTATAATAAGAATTTACAGCTTCTGCTCACTTAATCCACAACTTGATACCAAAATCCAAATCATATGCACAACAGAAATGTGTAACTGTTAAATTCCTCAATTGGAATATTGTGGGCATTTCCAATTCCCATGGAAATTAAGTAAGAAACCAAGCCTTTATTACCAGTCCTTCTGAATGACAGAATTATTAAGGAAACCAAGGTAATCAATAATTGCTACACAAATGAGTGAGAGAAGGGCATGTTTCATACACACACACACACACACACACACACACACACACATACCATCATGTTGACCAGGGTGTACACAAAAACACCATGGTTTTCCAGGAAATGTTAGACACCATGAGTTTAAAATATTTAATAACATTGAAATAGGTTTCAAAAGCTGTAGTTTAGAATATTAATAATTAATATTTGGCTTACTGCTTATGATTCAAACTTTACAACAGGGATAAATGTTGTATAATGTTCTTGCTATTAACTTACTGCAGTTTAATATTTTATTCTTATTCTTCAACAGTATAAATACTATAACACAACATTTTTCTTACAACTAATGTGCGTGCTGTTTAGAGAACAATCCCCTTACTTCTACCTCTGGGAAAAGGCCTAGTACTTATTTCTAAGGTACATAATTAACTGAACTAGTGCTTATAACATATTTTAACTCACTGAAGCACTTAACTATATTCCAGACACAAAAAACATGAATCTGCCCAGAATTCTAGGCAATTTGGCCACTTAACTTGGATTTTGTTGAGGACTATCAAATTTATTACTTCAGGAGGAATGGAAATTATATGTTGAAATTGTTTTATATCAAATCCAAATATGAATATCATAATTGACATTTGGAAATATAAATGAAAGAGGAGATCCAAAGCAGTACATATACAGGTACATAGAAGGCATTTTGAAAAAAGACCTGTTCTGTGAAATGGCTTTAATGCATGATGGACTATTGATTGAAAGTTGTGAATTCTTTATAGAGTCACTAGGTGGCATATTACTCTGGGTTGTTTGCCCAGGTACCTAGAAGGAACATGCTATCAAGAAGAGTAGAAGACATGGAATGCCTTCAAAGAAATAAGCAAGAGTATTTACCGTGCTTCCATAAGGAAGTTTGTTTTCATTGAAGTGAACTAGAATAATTCAAACTGAAAGAACAGACCTGTTCAGTAACCTGCCATTTCATATGAAAATTATTGAAACTAAAAATCACAACAGTAAAATCATATATAAATCACACCATTTTTGTTATTAAAACATGATAAAAATATGACATTCATATCTTTATATAAGTATATATTTTAATATATTGCATATTTATGATTATATAAATGTAATAATGTGTAAAAATATCCATGTGTCTTAGGGATGCATAGGCTTGATTAAGACACATAAGCAGCTTTTAGATTCCTTTCCTGTAAGTAACTAAGAAGCATTTGCCATGTGTGATTCCTTTAAAGCTTGATACAAATGTATCTTGAAATTTTTCAGGTGAATATATCATTTTTATTAGAAGAAAGGGAAAATATATATGCTTAGAGTTTTTAAAAGAGTATAGAAAAGATGTAAATTTCTAAAAAGTCTAAAACACTAAAAAGAATTTTTTAAATGGCTATATAAATTTCTTCTTTTATTTGTATTTTTCTGGTATTTTCATGACAAGGTATATTTCTTGTATTCTTAAAAGACAGTAAAATACACTCTCTAAAAAACATAAAACAAAATGGCAGCATGAAAGTATAAACATTAAAAAATAAATGATATTTAACTTTACAATTATGCATCTGCATTTTAAATTCAGCAGAAAAGCATGAACACAGCGCATTCTGGCAGCTAATATATCTTTGGAGAAGTCATTGCTATAATGAAGTGAATTTTACTTTGCGAGTTTTTCATAAACTGGGAAGTTTTTTTGTTTTTGCTTTTGATTTTTACTCATACACTAGATTTTATGCCTTTTTGTAACTTCTGCTTAATACATCAACCATATCATTCCAAATATTATGCAATGTCTCTTCAGGAGTGAGGCTTCCATCACTTCAATATATCTACAATTTACAAAATGGTTTAGTGTATCCTTATCAAGGATTTTCTATGCACGAAAGTTAAGTTAAACATATCCTATGTCTTCAATTGCATATTTTACCAATGTCATGATACTGGCTCTATTTTCAATATATCACACAATAAAGTGCCTGGTTTGGATTTTTTGTTTTCTTGCTTTTTCAATATAACAGGATTTTATACATGAATTTAGAATCTGAATATTCAAGGATATCTATCACTGTAATATTTTAAAAGTGCGGATTCAAAATGAAAAGGCATGGTCAATACATTCAATAACAGATCAAAGAACAACTGTTTTAAAAAATAAGAATCAGATTGAAAATAGTAGAAAGGGCCATTATTGATGAAACATTTACAGAAGGAATCCAAGTGAGAACCAATTAATTTTTCGGCCATTCAATTATGTTTCTACTTTTGATTTTCTCTTACTTACAAATTTAAATTAGTACACACTGCTGACTTTTGGGATGCCATTTACAAATTAACCCACAAAAATTTAAAAGAAGATATGTATGTACAAACAAACAATACTATTAAGTTTCTTATTTTAGTGATGAAAATAAATTATTTCTGAGCTTTGAATTTTGATTTGAAGTGTTATTTACTACTATGTTTAATCACATGTAAGATGCTATTGCTTATGAAATACTATTGCTTATGAAATTTAACACAAAGAAAAACACTGTCAAATTATGACTGAATTGATTATCACACAAACTTTCAAATTTAGTCTTTTTGAAAAATTAGGCTCATTTATATAGAGACTTTTATCTCATATGACCTTTATATGCATGTAAAACAGGAAGATAATAAGTAAAATAAACTGGTTAAGGTATTCTTAATACTTCTTCATATTCAGAGTCCTACTCTTTTAAGTCATCAGTGACTTGACTTCAAGTCATCAATGCCTTGTTTCACATGTAACATCAACCTCTGTGCCATCAATATGGGAGATGATGCAGCATTTCTTAATGTGCTCCACAACTGTCTCCAGGAACTTCTTCCAACCTACTATCTGAAAATTCCTTTCTCAAAGGATCTTTGTTTGTTAACTAAAATTTTGAGGCATTGCAATCATACTACCTGCAGTAACAACCAAGCCTGCACACATGAGAGCAATGACAACTTCATCAAGGCGGCCGCCTGGACAATACCAAGGATAAGACTTTATCAATTATAAGATACACTCCAATTTCAGAGACAGCAAGATATTATATCACTTAGAACTGAGAAAACATGATATTCATATTCATTTCTTGTTAATCTACAATTAGAAATAGGAGTCTTCATGTATCTTCTAGTCTATGATTATAAAACGTAAGCTAGTTTTTGTGCTGCTCTCAACTATTTAATGAGATTGAATGCATAACACTTTTTAAATATCCATGTCTCAGATTTCACAACCTACTAAAATATACATATGTGAGATTTCAACAAAATACTTTTATTACAACAATAAATATAAACATCACCGGCTTTAAAGTTTTATGGATAATTACAAAGTACAAGCATATGTTTTTGTTAAGGATCTTGGACACCTTGTGAATTTGGTATTGCACTTTAGTGAAGATTTACTTACTACTGCTGTTCATGTATCAGTCATGAACTCTCAATATGTGAGATTTGAACTGTTTTTATGAACCTAGTTTGCTGTAGAGTCTTGGAAATTTGCTGTATGTAGTAATAAAGTGTAAATAACTAAATCTACTAAAGCTTTGCTAAATCTACTAAAGCAGGTGTTCCTGCTTCCTTCACTTTGTGGTTGATACGGCTTGGCTATGTCCCCACCAAAATCTCATCCTGTAGCTCCCATAATTCCCACATGTTGTGGGACGGACCCGGTGGCAGATGATTGAATCATGGGGGTGGGTCTTTGCCGTGCTGTTCTTGTGATAGTGAATGGGTCTCATGAGATCTGAAGGTTTTAAAAATGGGAGTTTCTCTGCACAAGCTCTCTCTTTGCCTGCTGCCATCCATGTAAGATGTGACTTGCTCCTCCTTGCCTTCCACCATGATTGTGAGGCCTCCCTGGCCATGTGGAAGTGTAAGTCTAATGAACTTCTTTCTTTTGAAAATTGCCTAGTCTCAGCTATGTCTTTATCAGCAGCATGAGAATGGACTAATACAGTGATAATACCAGCTGATAAATTACAATTATTGAAATTTAATTACACCGTCTAAATGGCAAACTTCCCTAATACGGGGAGGTGCTAAAAGGGCAAGAGAGAAGATACTAGGCTTTGGATTCTGAAAGGCTAGAATCCTTGGTCTGCCTTATACCCACTGGGTAACCTTAGACACGTTTCTTAGGTTAAGCTTGATCACTAGTGAAAAAACGAAGAAAACACTTCATTGGTTTGCTGTAGGACTTAAGAATGAGATGACTTACATAAATCTCATAGACTATACCCAGCACATAGAAGGGATCCAGAAAATATTAATTTCGTCTTCTATTTTTCTGATATAGTTAATTCATAATATATTTTTAATAAAATAAATACCTGCTGATATGTACTAATTTGGAAATCTGAAATTCTACCTCCATTTATAGCACCTGAGCTGCTCAGGTGTTATCCAGATTTTTTCAGCTACGGTCTCTGTATTCCTTCTATTACTCAAAATTATCTCTTCAGTGCCTTGGGGAACACAATGCAGCCAGTGCTCATTAAATCATTTTTCTAAGAGGCATTGCCTGGGGCAGGGGGAGGAGGTGCAGGTGAAAACTGAAATCAGTATTTGAACAATTAAAAGAGTAAAAAAATTTTTTTTGAAAACCAATAAAGGAAAAGAAGATAGGTATATATTAGATAAACATTTACCACAAAGATTCTCTGCATAGGAACTCAGTTGCAATGTTCTGCTCAGTGATAACTGATTATGGCAACTAGCCCTTTATAACACAGTTCAAAACAGTTACAGACTTGGAGTCCAAGGACTGAGCTGGTTGATTGGTTGGTTGTTTCGACCCATGCTAAGTTTTTAAATAAATATTAGTTTCAATATATCAGCATCAAGAGCTTTCACATAGAAATTAGATTTCTGGCTTTTCTTAAATAATCATTAAAAGTTGGCAAGACTGGCTCCAATTTATTCAATTCTATTACTTCTTTGGCTTTTGATTTATATGAATTTGCCACCAGGGTTCAAAATAAGCTTTCTCCCCTTTTTCGGATACACCATAGCACAAAATGCATCTTTAAGTCTGTGTTCTTCCTGGTCTTAAGCTATGCTTTTTATTTTTTTCATGTATTACCCTTTTCAAACCATATCTCTTAGAGCCCTTTTTCTAAGTAAAATTCAAAAGTAGTCAACCCATGAGACTGTAATCTCCCTGAGAACAGGGACAGGACTGCACCCAGGGAACCCAGGACAGCATGTTGCACCATAAACGCAGGTAAGCACAGGTGGTCCTGCTGGGCTCCAAACTGGTGGCAGCTCAAGGAACGAGCCTATAGTGCAAAATCCTAGCCTTTCTTTGCTGTAGCATCTTTTTACAAATGATATCTGCTTGCTGCTGACCAACTTCAAAACGATGAAGCCAAAAATTGCAATGGTATCAGGTTTTGTAGCACAAAAATAAAGGAAGTAAATGAATGCATTCTAAAGTAGATGATGAGCCAAAAACCACTATGAATTTCATTTAAAAATCCAAACTTCGTCCAATAGATGCTGACATCTTCATGTGTCAAGGTGCATTCCAAAGAGAATTTTCTTCTATTACTTAAAAATAATAGCAAAAACCACAATACTTTTGCAACAACCTAAAAACAAATTTAATTTCCTGATAAAATCAATCATACATTACCATGTATATTTGTCATCCTGATAATTATACACAGTTTGAATAATTATTAGACACTATACAAAAGTTACATTACATCATATTAATGCCATGAATCAATATACTGTGTCACGTAAGACCCTAAAAGAGACTTAGGGAAAAATGTATTTGGAAATAAAAAGATGAAATAGCTTCCAAGTTGATTCTCTCCGCAGAAATATTCCCAACTTTTCAGCTTTGTAATTCTTTTGTTTTAAAATGGAACCAGAGTACAAAATTCTTACAGAAGCAGGCTGGGAATAAGAGACACATTTACAAGAAAAAAAAGACAAAACTTCCAGTTATAAACAAATTTAAAGCAAGAAATTTTAAGAAAATGTTAAGGAGATCAGATTTTATTGGAATATATCCTATTAGAATTGAAATTACAAAACTTGGCCAGGCATAGTGGCTCACACCCATGATCCTAGTATATTGGGAGGCTGAGGCAGGAAGATAGCTTGAGGCCAGGAGTTCGGGGCCAGCCTGGGCAACATAGTGAGACTCCCATCTCTATAAAAAATTTTAAAATTAGCTGGATGTGGTGGTGTGTACCTTTAGTCTCAGCTACTCAGGAGGCTGAGGTGGGAGGATCACTTGAGCCCAGGAGTTGGAGGCTGAAGTGGGCCATGATGGAGCCACTGTATTGCAGCCTGAGTAACAGAGTGGGACCCTGTCTCCAAAAATTAAAAATGAAAAAAAAAAGAAATTACAAAATTTTTTAGTTATAAATAAATATAAGGCAAGAACAAATTTAAAAGCATTCGGGTATGAAGGCTACATTGTATTTTGAATCTGAAGACCATAAAAGAAACTTGGGTGGTTCTTCTGAATAGGTCATTCTAAATCTTCAATATTGTAGCATATGTCATGACTAGAAAGTACCCCATGGAGTAACATCAGTTTGGACCGGTAGACTGTGGAATAATTTGCACTAACTGCATATTTTTATAAGGTTGGGTACCAGCAAAAATGAAAATAAAAAACCTACCCCAACCAAAAGAGATCTGGGTCCCTGATATGTGGGAATTTTCCCGTGTTGTCTGTAAAGCTCATGTGACTCATGAGCAAATACGTTTCCTCCACTTCTCTCATTCCTGCAGTGATCAAGGCAGTAAATAATTGTTTGATGTCAACTTCCCCATTACAGTCACATATTCATCAGGCCTTTATGAAAGGAAATTCCCAGTGGTATAGCTCACCTGGTACTGCCCAAAATCGTGGGCCAAAGCCTTGGCTGCAGTTGTCAGTCATAGCCCACCTGCTTCAGAAACCTCTTTATAACATCGCTCAGGGGCATCCTCTGACTCCAGACATTAAAAGAGAATCAACTGAGGATGACTGAACTTCTACTAGAAAATGATAATTACATACTATTTGAGCCATGGTTAAGTTAACCAATATGCAGAACAGAAGGCATATATCTTAAACCTCTGAATTACTTCTCTTGAGAAGAAACCTTAAGCCAGCTGTAGCTAAGTGCACCATCTATTTTCCGGCCTGCTGTAAATTTTTTTTTTCTGGACTACTGTTCTATCTTATGCCCTCTGTTCTGGAACAGTTGACATGTTGTGTTATGGGATGTAACAGGAATTGCAAGTCTTCTCAGTTTTGCCACTGTTCAAAGTTTATACTTCAATTACAAAGTCCTCAACAGGAATGTGACCAGAGTGATTTCACTTGTCTCCAGTGCTCTGGAATGCACCTGCTGCCATTGACTAAAAACTCATGCAGGTATCCCCTCTCTATTTGCAGCAGAACAGTGTCACTGTCTTTATCCACACATCCAGTCCCACTATTTCCATATCTCTATGATGAATATATACAAAATTTTTACTATATTTTACCCAAAATCTTCCAAAAGAGTAATATGTAATGTGACTAGATAAGTAATAAAACAGTAAAATATTTAATACAATAAAAATCAAAGTACAGAAATCTATCAGAGGAGAACAGCTTGGCAGTTCCTGGATAAGTTAAACATGGAAGTATAATACTAGGCCATGGACTGGCACTGGTCTGTGGCCTGTTAGGAACTGGGTCACACAGCAGGAGTGAGTGGTGGGTAGTGAGCATTACTGCCTGAGCTCCACCTCCTGTTGGATCAGCTGCGGCATTAGATTCTCATAGGAGCATGAGCCCTGTTGTGAACTGTGCAAGCGAGGGCTCTAGGTTGCTCTCCTTATGAGAATCTAATGCCTGATGATCTGAGGTGGAACAGTTTCTTCCCAAAGCCATCCCCCTCCCCCACTGCTGTCGTCTGTGGAAAAATTGTCTTCCACAAATCTGGTCACTGGTGCCAAAAAATTTGGGGACCACTGTACCATATGACCATTGATTCCACTCCTAGGTATATACCCAAAAGAACTGGAAACAGGTGTTGAAACAAAAACTTATACAGGATGTTTGTTGAAACTTTATTGACAATAGGCAAAAAATAGAAACAACCCAAATGTCCATCAACAGATGGACAAAATGTGGAACATCCATACAATGGAATATTATTCAGCTAAAAAAAGAAAAGCAGCACTAATAAATGTGACAACATGGATGAACATTAAAAACATGCCAAGTGAAAGAAGCCAGACACAAAAGGACAATATTGTATGACTCCATTCATATGGAACATCAAGAATGGGAAAATACATAGAGAAAGAAAACAGATTAGTAGTTGCCAAAGCCTGGGGAGAGGGAGGAATTTGGAGGGACTTAATGAGTACAGGGCTTTTGTTGGGGGTGTGAAAGTTCTAGAACCAAAGAGTGGTGATAGTTGCTCAACATCATGAATATAGTTAATGCCACTAAACTGTATATTTAAATATATATTGTAACCAATGTATTTTGCAATATAATATATAATTATTACAATAGTAAATTTTATGTTATGAGTATTTTGTCACAATTTAAAAAGAATGACAAATTGCCCATGACCTACGTGTAAGCAATTGACAAAATGCCCCAGAGGGAAATTCTATAAAAGGCCCAGACATAAAAGGGTCCAACTACTTTGACATTAAACGGGGTGTTCTTTTAAAAACGATTTTAAAATTCAAAACACTTCACTGCATTGTTGTTATTAAATATAATATAGGATGGCAATTGAAATTCTACTTGAAAAGATTAGGAAACGTTTCTTGTTTTCTTTGCATCTCAATGATAAAAATACAAAAACTAGAACACAAATTAGTAAACAAGGTGGCTGTATTGTTAGAGACACTGTAATGGTAGAGATGTTGAATGGAAGACAGCAACTACAAAGAAGAGGTTCTCCTAGGCCTTTGCACCTTCTTCAGCAAACACACAGCAATGCAGCAAACCCCACCTATTACCCATTGCTTTGAAAAGATGAATTCAATACCTTTTATAGAGTAGTACTCTCTTAAAACCCATAAGGGTCACAAGTATCATCTCATTCAACCGCATTTCTGATATTAGAAAATGGGAGTTTCAGTTCAATGTCACACAGTAAACTCAATGAACATTTTTATATTTTCAGGTATATTGTCTTAAAATACAAACAGTTGTGGCAATTTAAGCTTGTAAGATTGTAACAACTTGAAGTAGGTGCTAGGTATTCATGGCAGAAAACAGTGATATTTGTGTGTGGTCATATAAATGGCAATGGGAAATTCCACATCACCTGATTCTGAATCTCATATTCCTTGCAGCACACTACCTCTTGCTACTATTACATCACAGCCAAGACAACTAACCAAGACTTTGAACCGCTCAGTGCATAGTTCTCTCTTATATACCACCCTATTCCCTCCTCCTAAATAAATGAGAGTGCCAAGGATTTTTAGAACACAAATATGTGTAAAATATACACTATTATGCTAATATACTTATGTTAATAATCCAAATCCTATCTAACATGTATCATCAGAAGTTAATCTTACACAAATATATTAAGAACTATCTCTGCCAACTTTTATGATTATATAATTCAGTATGTTCTGTAAATTTGTTCCAGAATCAAAATTTCCCTAGAGATAGAGTAAATATATAATTTTCTAAAGCAATTTATAAGATAATATTTGTACAGCTCAAAAGACAAATTTCTAATTTTCTTATTAGGGAGGAAGGAACCAACATTACATATTACTTTTACCATCATGGAACAAATTATTCTGATTTGTAAAGAAGAAAATAAAGCAAGTCAGATTAGGATGGCAAAAATTCTGACTTGGGAGACAAGGACCTGTATTTATAGGCCCCCAAATTTCCTTTCTTATCAAATGTGATAAGTAGCACAAAATCTATTCTTATGCTAGCAATGCTTTTAACACTAATGAGAACAATAGTTACTATATGCTCCATGCCTTCTTTTTAAAAAAAATTTTCAATAGGTTTTTGGGGAACGGGTGGTGTTTGGTTACATTAATAAGTAGTAATTTCTGAGATGTGGATGTACCCATCACCCAAGCAGTGTACACTGTACCCATTGTATAGTCTTTTATCCCTCACCACCCCCCAACCCTTTCCCCAGTGTCCCCAGAGTCCATTGTATCATTCTTAAGCCTTTGCATCTTCATAGCTTAACTTCCACTTATGAGTGAGAACATAAAATGTTTGGTTTTCCATTCCTGAGTTACTTCACTTAGAATAATGCTTTCCAATTCCATCCAAGTTGCCGTGAATGCCATTATTTCATTCATTTTTATGAATGTGTGCCTACTTTTTGCTAAAAACTGTGCTAGCTACTTGACATATACTGTTTCTAATCCTTACATTAAGGCTCTAGGTAGACAAAATATCCCTATTTTACAGAAACAAGGACTTAGAAAATTTAAGTAATTTAAACTTTGAATAGCTTTTAAACAGTTGTACAGAATTCAAACTCTAATATATGTGATTCCATTCTCTGCTCTTTCCAGGTCACCGTGCAGAGTATTTTTCTTTCGACCACAAGCCCATGATTAAAAAATGTTTTGAAGAATCTCCATGTTAAAGATTCTAGAAAACTTCTATAAGTAGCAGACAAAAGGCATATATTGACACATTAGTTTAATACAACCACATCAGTACATCAATTATCTAAAAAGAAAAATGTTAGCCTGGCCAACATGGTGAAACCCCATCTCTACTAAATATACAAAAATTAGCCAGGTATGGTAGTGGGTGCCTATAATCCCAGCTACTCAGGAGGCAGAGGCAGGAGAATCGCTTGAACCTGGGAGGCAGAGGTTGCAGTGACCCAAAATCACGCCACTGCACTCCAGCCTGGGTGACAGAGAATCTGTCATTCATAGATAGATAGATAGATAGATGGATAGAGAGAGAGAGAGAGATAGAAAAATATAATTGGCATATTTATAACTTATATATAATATCTAGAGTTTACCTCCAAAAAACCTTTTATACAAAGATAAGGTATTCGGGTTAAAAGCACTTTCATCAAGTGGACTATTAAAAGAAAATTTGTCATTTAAGCAATTAAAATTAATATTTTGTAGTTTTTACACTCTGATGATATCAAGGTCATTCCTTCATTTTTAGAGCTTTGTTCTAGAAATTCCCTAAAATAGCAAAATTCTATGAAAGACAGTGAAAACTTCTCAATTAAGGACTAATGTGTTGGTATAAGTTGGTACTAGCACCTATTTCAAGCTCGTTCACATAATTGAATTCATCAAAAGCCATATGTGGCAATTTTTTTAAAAGCTGGAATCTAGAGCATATTGCTAGTCTAACTTTATAAGTGCCCTGTACATTTTTAAATTTTAACTATAAGACATTTAACTTTAATTTTTAACTTTAAGACATAGAGAACAGTTACGGAGAAAAAGTGCTGCTTAATGGGTCAGAACAGGGAACTTCAAATGTCTGAAACCAAGCTGTTTCCTGAACTTCTCTATTTGTCCAAAACAGATTCAGTGAAATAACACCACATTTGTAGTAGGAGGAAATCCATTAAATTTCTGATAGGCATCTCTGTTGGGGGATAGGGATGAGAACCCATAAAATCACAACCACAGTTGCTTTTGTTTTTAAAAAGAAACTTTGAAGTTAACTCATAAATATTTGCTTGAATACACGATTCACTTAATTACCTGTAATTATACATAAAATCTTTTTCATTAATAGACCACCGTGGTTCAACTTCTGTATTTTTGATGTTCCTGCTATGTTAAAATGAACTGGCTTGAAAAAACAGAAATCATCACTCAAGATAATATGAAAATATTCCAAAGAGATTTTTCAACTTTGTAAAATGCCAAGGTAAATTATCTAGTGGCAAAATCACTGTATGTAAAAACTAAATAAGTTAGCATCATGAAAATAACAATGGGAAATTGCACAATGCTCTCAGAAATTATGTGGAGGTTAAGCTTTGTTTCAAGGAATTAGCGTGGTTTGCTATAATTATTGCTTAATTTTTCACTAAGTACACACAAAATGCTGACATTAAATATGACACAAATGCATGGAGTGGTGCAGCCTGTATTCCAAGGTAATATTTCATAAGCTTCATTGATATCATTTGCAAAAATTATCATGCATAAGCATCATATCAAGGTTTAAGTTTCTGATGTACATATTTTTATTTCCGTTTTATTGAGTAGACTGGGTACCAAGGGGGAAAGTAATTGTTAAATGGAGGCTTGAGAGATGTGGTTTCCTGCAAGAAGTTTTAAAATTCCTCACGTACATAAGGCACAGTGGCTAACAAGGAAAGTGGAAAGTAAAATAAAAGTTCATCATTCATTCACTCAGCAAAAATTCACAGGATGCTGTACTGTTCAGGTATCATGTATCCCCAGCTAACACCCTAAAATATTTTTCGTGACGTTTAAAATTCACAAAACATTGGTTGGATTCTGGGAAGAAAAAATAAAATAAACATTTGAGGAGTGTGTGAAGAAATCTTTAAAGTTCATGCCAACTGGGACAGTCCATGATGAGGTCAAATGATGTTTCTTCCTCAGAGCCTGAGCACCACAAGGCCTTTCCCAAGCCATTCCTTTCTCCTGCAGTGTCTTCTCTCCAGAGTGGACCCAAGTCCCTGTGGTGACTGAGCACACTCACCACTCAAGAGTCATATCAGCCAGACCTTCCCTGGCTACTCTGATCATGAATTGTGTCTGAGCCCTAGCCTCTCTCCACTGTAGCAGCCTCTTGTGTAATTTTAACTAGTGATAACTAGTGATAGTTAGCATTAGTTATGCACTGTGTATGTTTATTGTCTGCCATGTTCACTCATGTATTCCTTGCACCTAGAATAGTAAATGCTTAAAACAAAGGAAGGAATCAATGGTATGGCACTGGGGCAGAATCAAAATGATAAAACAGACCTATTAAATAGTTTTGCATCATTACGCTTATTTTAAAACACCCACTTGGTAGAAATGCCCAACAAACATATCTCATGGAATATATAACTTAAAAGACTAGTGAGTTAGAAGTGAAAGATGAAAGTTTTAAGGTTGTCTACAAAGACAGCCTGCATTCAGCAAATTGCTTAATGTTCCAAATTTCACTATCAAAACTCTTCTTATGCATTAAAACTTCATAATTGATTAAAGTTTTGTTTTTCTTATGGGTGCTGTTAAAGCTAGTATATTAATGGCATCTCTAAAAATGTTAACAATATGTCTTAAGGGAGCATTTGTTTCGGGGGGGGCATCCGTGGGGTAGGGGGATGGAGTCTCGCTCTGCCTCCCAGGCTGGAGTGCAGTGGCGTGATCTTGGCTCACTGCAACCTCTGCCTTCCAGGTTCCAGCGATTCTCCTGCCTCGGCCTCCAGAGTAGCTGGGACTACAGGCTCACACCACCACGCCCAGCTTATTTTTTGTATTTTTAGTAGAGACAGGGTTTCACCATGGTTTAAATACGCTTTGTTTCTGTTACTTCCCTGGTGATGACAGAGGATTTCAGAGACAAAGGTTGTAAAATCAATAGAGGTTGAAAGAAATTTCTAGATTTTTAGCTATTAACATAGCCATGGGATAAATTACATCATCTAACAGACAGAAAAAAAATGCATTAAAAACTTAAAAAAAATTAAAGTGCATAAAAGTCATATCCATAGATGGGAATTTTTGTTTGAGACAGATGACAAAGAACTCCATTGTATGTGCTAATCGTGCAATATTAATTATTCATATGATTAACATTATTTTCTTGGCAAGCAGGTACAATGACTCAAACAACAAAGTCTATATCCCCCCCAAAGTCTATATCCTTTCTTTCAGAAAATATATACCAGAGTTATTTATTATAAACTCATCAAATGATTATGAACAACAAAAAATTAAGAATTTCAAGAATAGTAATCAGGACTCTTTTTTTCCTTTTGTTATTGATAAATCACAATTCATTAAATTCACTGGGTTTTTAAAAAACCAAGCTTTATAAATATCATCTTGAAAACCACCTGGTCCAAATGTTCAGATTTATGATTAAGCAAGCAGTTTTCTGTTAGAGTGCTTCTAGAAATATTTTTCCTACCAAACTGAAAACTGCACTACAGACCTTTGCTATAGTGCTTGGCATTACAGAGCACCACTTTATCTGGAATTTATTAAGGACAAAAACAAGCCCCTTTCCTCTCACCCCAAGCTAACCTTACTGGCTCCCAGTCCCAGCTCAGAACTCAATACAGATTCACAACCCATGATCTGAAATCCTTGCAGCCAGCCAAGCTTTGGAATTCAGAACTTTTTCATCTTAGAAAGGTATGTATAAATATTATGAACATCCCCAGCAGTGTCTTGGGGCAGCATCCCATAAGCAAAGAATTTTTACTTTTTCAGCAAAACATATGAATACTCACACTAAGTAGGATGAATAAAGACTATAAATAGCTTCACGTAGGTCAGATCAGGTTTTGCTACCAAATGTGCTCAGGTCAGGTCAGATTTTGCCGCCAAAGAAGTTAAGGAAAAAATTTCAGTTTTTCATTTTGGATTTTGAAATTATGGAGAAGAGATTTTCAGTACCTCAGTCTGAAGCCATGCTCAGAGTCTATGCCCCAAGGCTACTATATATAAAATAAATTTATATCATGTTTTTTCCATCCTTTTTATAATAAAAAGCTTGAAGAAAATCTCCAGTAAATCTATCTCACTAAGTTTGATTTTTAAAAGGTGATATTATACTACAGGTCTAACATTTTATGAAATTCTGATATCAAGAAGTAATATCCCAGGTTCATCCAATCTCTCCTTACAAAAAGAAAGTTCTAAGTGCACAATCACCTTGTGCAAAGACAACATAAAAATTTTTGTACTAAAATAAGCAAATTCCAATGCTAAGTTCAAAAAAAATCATTTCAAATTAAGTACTGGAGGAGTCAAAATTTCAGTTTCATGGATGTGTATGCACAAGACATTGAATCATTTTGAATGCCTACTGACTATAAAATGGATAGCATTTATAAAAATAAAATTAACAGCCCAGCAGAAAACATTTTTTAAAAAATTTATAGCTATGTAAGACTAAGAGAAAAAAATTCAACAATGATGTTTAAAGTAAAATGGAAAAGGATTAACATGCCTCTTGATATGGAGTGTATCATTAGAAGAAACAATGCACTGAACACGTGACCATGCTCAGTACACCATTACTCAAATCACCTGCTCAACAACAAAAGACTTCAAAAGGTTATTTGCCTGTAGAGCAGTAGCAATCAAATTAAGCAATGTCCAAACACGAGAATGAAAATTATAGGTCAATGAAACTGCCGTGTGCTCAAGGTCTGCCAGCACACCACCAACTTAGTAAGAGGGCATGGTGTGTTTCAAGACACCCTAATCAAAGACTCCAGGACCAGATAAGAATACAATATAATTCCAGCAGCATTAAGAACAGGGAATGAAAATTAGAAATGGACATTCCTTTGACTCGCCCTTAAAAAATGAATGTATGTTTGGATAATGTGAGATTCATCAGAGAGGAAACAAGTACAGCTCTCACACATAAGGCAAAGCTATGGTGGTCTGGTAGAAAGAAAAAGAAAGAATGAGATACAGTTACGAAGTCTACCCTTAGAAGAAACACAAACCATAAACACTAGTTTAAATAAAGTAAGTTAGTTTTTATTCTTAAGATGGAAAAGGCAGCTGAACTGAAATAGTGAAAATCCTTTTTCTGACATTCTCTAAAAAATAAGCAAACTCACTGCAGTGGAATTCCTTACCTAGTAGAATCCTAAACATATAAACATTTTTCTCCAATTTGCCCCTTAAAAAATAATCACTAAATGAAGCACTCAAGGGACCAAGTCTTCAGTAATCATTGACAATGAAAGTATATATTCTGGGCCATGGTCCAATGGAACATATAGTCCTACGAGATAAATGATGGTACAAAAGTAAAGACCTGGCCTTTCTACCAAATAGTTGGGATGTTTTCCTGTGAAGTAGTGGGCTCCAATGGCATCAGAGACCAGTTTCATAGAACACAATTTTTCCACAGATGGTGGAGATGGTTTCAGGATGAAACTGTTTTGCCTCAGATCATCAGGCATTAGATTCTCATAAGGAGTGCACAACACAGATCTCTTGCATGTGCAGTTCACAATAGGGTTCACACTCCTCTGAGAATCAATGCTGTCTCTTATCTGACAGGAGGTGAAGCTGAGACCGTAATGTTCACTTGCCTGCCACTGTGCGGCCCGGTTCCCAACAGGGCAGACTGATATCAGTCCACGTCACAGGGGTTGGGGACCCCTGCTATAAACTATGTCTGACCTTAATACTTCCCTGCTCAAGTCCTTTTGGGAAACCCCAGGTCGAAAATGATGTTGTTAACTAAAATTTCTTGGGATGGTCCTTGTTTTCTTCTTTATTGTATCTTGCCGTAACTCACCCCTGCACTCTATAGTCCAAATATACAAACCATTGCTTAGATTCATAAGCTTACACCAGGCAGCTCTGAATCATTTTCTCTCTCATCTCACACTCTCTAACTGGAACACTCTTATCCTCTGTCATCTGGGAAACACATATCTTCTTAATCTCAATGTAAGCATGCCTTTGACTATCCTTTCATGACTTCATCCTCCAAATGGAAGTTACCACTCCCTCCTTTCTGCCACCAATAAAGCCTGAATTCAGCTTTATTTGATTCCCTTAACACTTTCTACACAGATTGGTTTAACATACCAGCACGATTCATTTTATTGTGCTTTGCAGATATTGCATTTTTTACAACTTAAAGGTTTATGGCAATCCTGCAATGAGCAAGTCTATCAGTGCCATTTTTCCAACACCATGTGCTCACTTTGTGTCTCTGGGTCACATTTTGGTAATTCTCAAAATATTTCAATTTTTTTCTTTATTATTATATCTATTTGGTGATCTAGGATCAGTGATGTTTGAAGTTACTATTAATATTGTAACTGTTTTGGGTAGCCACAAACCACATCCATATAAGATGGAAACCTTAATTAGTAAATGTTGTATGTGTGTTCTGACTGCTCCACTGACATGTTCTTCTCTCTCCATCTACCTGGGCCTCCCTATTCCCTGAGATACAATAATATTGAAATTAGGCCAAGTAATAACCCTACAATGGCCTTTAAATGTTCAAGGGAAGGAAGGGCCACACATCTTCCACTTTAAAGCAAAAGCTACAAATGATTAAGCTTAGTGAGGAAGGCATGCTAAAAGCTGAGACAGACCAAAAACTAGGACTCTTTCACTAGTGAGCCAAATTATGAATGCAAAAAGCAAGTTTTTGAAGGAAATTAATGTGCTACTCTAGTGAACACATGAATGATAAGAAAGCAAGATAGCCTTATTGCTGCTAGGGAGAAGGTCTGAGTGCTGTGGATAGATCAAACCAGCCACTAGCCAGGCATGGTGGAGCTCACACCTGTAATTCCAGCACTTTGGAAGGCCAAGATTGGAGGATTGCTCGAGGCCAGTAATTAAAGACCCGTGTGGGCAACATTGTGAGACCTCATCTCCACACACAAAAATAAAAAAGTTAGCCAGTTGTGGTGGAGCACACTTGTGATCCCAGCTACTTGGAAGACTGAAGTGGAGGATTGCTGGAACCCAGGAGTTTGAGGCTGTGGTGAGCTATGATCATGCCAATGTGCTCTACCTTGGGCAACAAAGAGTGAGACCCTGTCTCTTAAAAACAAAACAAAACAAAAACCAGCCACAGCATTTGCAGAGCATGGCCCCGACTCTGCAATTCTGTGAAGACAAGAAAGTTGAGGAAAATGCAAAAGAAAAGTTTGAAGCTAGTAGAGGTTGATTCAAGAGGTTTAAGGAAAGAAGCTGTCTTCATAACATAAAAGTGCAAAGTGAAGCAGCAAGTGCTGATTTAGAAGTTATAGCAAGTTATCCAGAAGATCTAGCAAAGAAAACTGATGAAGGTGGTTACACTAAACCACAGATTTTTCAGTGTAGGCAAGACAGCCCTATACTGTAGTGGGAGAAGATCCTACCTAGGACTGTCACAACTACAGAGAAGTCAATGCCTAGCTTCAAAGGACAGGCTGACTTTCTTGTTAGGTGCTAATGTAGCTAGTGACATTAAGTTGAAGCCAATGCTCACTTACCACTCTAAAAATCCTAGAGTCCTTAAGAATTATGCTAAATCTACTCTGCTTGTGATATATACATGGAACAACAAAGCCTGGATGACAGTACATCTGTCTACAGCATGGTTTGCTGAATATTTTAAGCCTACTGTTGAGACCTGCTGGCCAGAAAAAAAATTTCTTTTTAAAATATTACTGCTCATTGACAATGCACCTGATCACCCAAGATCTCTGATGGAGATATACAAGCAGACTAATGTTGTTTTCAGGCCTGCTAACACAACATTGATTCTGCAGCCCATCATCAAGGAGTAATTTCAACTTTTGTGTCTTATTATTTAAGAAATGCATTTTCTAAGGCTATAGCTGCCATAAGTAGTTGTTTGTCTGATGGGTCTGAGCAAAGTAAATTGAATATCTTTTGGAAAGGATTCACTATTCTAGATCCCATTAAGCACATGTGTGATTCTTGGGAGGAGGTCAAAATATCAACATTAACAGGAGTTTGCAAGAGGTTGACTCCAATCCTCATAGACAACTTTGGGGGCTCAAGACTTCAATGGAGGAAGTATTAATAACGGCAGATGTGGTGGAAATAGCAAGAGAGCTAGAAACCTGAAGACATGATTGAATTGCAAGAGAACTAGAAACCTGAAGACATGACATGCCTCATGATAAAACTTGAATGGATGAGGAGTTACTTCTTATGGATGATCAAAGAAAGTGGTTCCTTGAGATGGAATCTACTCTTGGGTGAAGACACTATGAACATTGTTGAAATGACAACAAAATATTTAGAGTATTACATAAACTTAGTTGATAAAGCAGTGGTGATGTTGAGATTGACTTCAATTTTAAAGAAGTTCTACTGTGAGTAATGTTATCAAACAGCATTACATGTTACAGAGAGATCTTTCACGAAACGAAGAGTTTGTCAATGTGGCAAACTTCACTGTTGTCTTATTTTAAGGAATTGCCACAGCCACCCCAACCTTTGGCAACCACCATCCATCAATAGCCACTGACATCAAAAAAAGAACTTCCACAAGCAAAAAGATTAAGACTCGCAGAAAGTTCAAGTATGTGCATTGCCTTTTTAGACATAAAAAACACGTACTTAATAGATATACTTAACAGACTACAGCATAGTGCAAATATAACTTTTATATGCACTGGGAAACCAAAAAATGTGCATGACTTGCTTAGTTGTGATATCCACTTTACTGCAGTGGTCTGGAACCAAGCCTACCATATCTGTGAGGTATGCCTGTAGCTGGCTCTAGCCAGTAATTGAAGGCTCTCCCCTATGTAGCATCTGCTAAGTGAATTGAATTAATAGAATTTCAGTCAGTATCACATGATTTATTAAGCACACCTAAGTTGTGAACCTGGATAGTATACCCTTCTTTGGATGCTGCTATGGACAAAATTGTGTCTCCCCTCAACCCCCCAAATTTATATGTTAAAATTCTAACCCCCAATGTGACTGTATGTGTATGTTAAGGTTAAATAAGGTAATAAGGATGAGGTCCTAATATGATAGGATTGCTGGTCATAAAAGAAGAGCAAAAGATGCCTCTCCTTCCACAGATACACACTGAGGAAAGGCCATGTGAGCACATAGCAAGAAGATGGTCATCAGCAAGCTGGGAAGAGTGTCCCCACTAGGACTAACCATGCTGACACCCTAATCTCAGCCTTTCATTCTCTAGAACTGTGAGAAAATAAATTTGTGTTGTTTAAGCCACCTAGTCTATTGTATTTTTTTAATGTCAGTCCAAGCTAATACAGATGCTAAAGAAAAAAAATCTTTAAGTGTCACTTCCTACATTTTATTCTTGGCAGCTGGTTAAAATAAGCACTTCTGCAGTATAATATCAGAGGGGGCAATATGTTATCCTGTGTCATCTCTTCTATAGGATCAGTTACTCTACATCAAGCTTGAAATTCCACCATGATGACCACTTCGAGGTTAGGTGTTATCATTTTAAAAACTTTAAAAAATACGGTCTTATTGATTATTTTTATTTTACTTTCCTAGTATCCCCAGTAGCTGCCTCAGGTACATGATCCCCATTTTATAGAAAAAGAGAGTTTGATTCATCTATTCAAGACAAGATATCAAGTTAGAAGCAACATTACAAGAGCACCCAGGTCTCTTCAAGCAAATCCTTCTTTGATAACTAGCATAAGTTGACATAAACAGCTATGGAATATGGATACACACAGACACCCTCTTCACATTCCAGAACAAAACACAGAAATTATTAGAAAAAGCATTTCCTAACACCAACTTGAATCATTATATTCCTGATCAAAATACAAAAATACTATGCGCTAACAGAGGAATAATATGATTCCATCACATTTACCTTGATGACTCCATATTAAATGTCTCAAGAGAGACTTTATACCCAAATGCCCTAAGCATGTGATCTGTTTTTCTGAAAACACTCAACACCAACACATAATTTTAAAGGCCATTTTAAGATAGATTTTTTTTATGGAAAATGATGTCACACTAAATTTTGTTTTAAAATAATTCCATATGTCACTAGGAAATATTTTGAATGCTTGGGGAGCTTGTTGCCACAGAGTTTGGCAGGTTGCCTATATTTCCCACCTGAAATGCTTTTATTTGACCACACCCTCCCCTGCTTCAGTATAGGTCATCTGGAGCACCCAGAAAACTTATGGAATATTTGCTTCAGAATAAAAAGGTATATATATATGTATACATATTTTTCAGCAACAAAATATTGTATCCTTTTTCCAGAAAATATGGGGAGAAAAGGCCTACTCCTTTGAAAGATATCTACTTTTTGATATGTATCTGCTCTAACACTGAAAATTCTTAGTAAACTCTGATCAGTAAACTGGTAGAGATAATTCAATGGGACATTTATTTAGTGTCAACTGCATACAAGGCAGCATGCTGAGTGCTTTTGGAGGAAAATATCAGGAGGTTCAATGTGGTCAAGAGAATAAAGTAGGTATCTGATAGCTTGAAAAAGAAGCAGAATGTGTTAAGTGTCCAGACAGTATAAGGTGCTGTGTTCATCCAGAAGACTAACTTCCAACTAGGGAGAATCAAGACATTTCAAGAAGAGGGCAAGATATGGGTTTGACCTTCAAGGATGGGTAGGATGTCACCCAGTGGGCTGGCACAGAAATGCATTCTCAATGGACAAAGAACAAGCATCAGAAGAATGATTTAATTCAGGGACTGGTAAAAACCCTGGTCTGGATAGAGTCAGATGTGAATGAAATATAATGAGGGGGAAAAAAACAGAAATGTGGGTACAGGTTAGACTGGAGAGCTTCAGGCCCTATGGTCAGGAATTTGGTATTCACTGAGCAGGCAGTAAGGAGTTTAGAAGGTACTAGACAGAGGGTGATGATCAAAGCTTTCATTAAGAGTGCCCTAGCAGCAGTTGGGAGAGTGTGGAATGAAGGAAGAAGGGCTCAAAGCAATTGACTTTATATTGTGCTCTGAGCAGGATAACCTCATATGAGGAGACATGGAACACAGCTGGGAAAATTTCAAGGTAGAGAGAGGGGAAAAAAAAGCCCGTGTTAAAGGATTCCACATAAAAGCTCGATGATTTACAACGAATCCAGCCACTGCTCACTCTAATATGGATTGCACCGTCGTGGTTCATGTGTCTGTCTCGGCTCTCTATGACACTCTATGTTCAGAATCATGGTGGAGCCTGTCAAGACACTTAAAGCCATATCTTATAAACATGAGCAAACCTGACAGGTTTTTTTTTTTTTTTTTTGAGACCAGTGCCACTATGCTAGGCATTAAACAAATCATTTGTGCTGTGCAGCTGAGACCTGCTCCCTTGGGAAATCAGACTAACACCTTTGCAACATCATCAACCCTTGCCAAGGCAATGTACAAGAAGTCAAGGCTGACTTAAAACCAGTCTGCACAGATTCACTATCTGGAAGACATTGAACCACTGCCCTAGAATGTTGGCATGTACATAGACATGACCTCAGAACAGTCTGCTGGTAGTAGGTCCCTTAAGAACATCATATTCAAATTAACCTTTTAATTAATAATAAACAGATTATGAACATTTTTTTAAACGCCTGATATATTCCACGAGTAGCTGAAATCTTTATCTTCTCTACTATAGCCACCATTCTGTATGTGTCCACTGTCTGAGCATACATTACATTGGGCCAAGGAAGCATTTTAAAGAGGTAAAATTATATATGAGTCCTAGTAATTAAAATATTATATCTGAAGATTTTGACTATAGATTTTAAAATACAGCACACATTCTCCTTAAATATCTATGAGCTATAATCCTATTTTAGATATTTGTTTTTCTTTGTTACAGATGCACAACTGTCTTTTCCATTGGTGGCACACCCTAAAACCAAGACAATTTATAAATCACAATGGATCAAAACCAAATGACAGATCTAGAGAATTATCTTTTTTCCCCATTTCAAAATGAATTAAAAAGTTAGGAGCACCTTTGAAGATATACACATTCAAGAAAACCAAAATGAATCTACAGGTTTACCATAATCATCTATTAATATATTGATGATTCCTCAATTTACATGGAAAACAAAATTAATTTTTTGGATTATAATAGACAAACTGGGTATATGGCTGTATGACTGCAGGGTCGAATGCAAACCTGAGATCTGTCAGCCATAAAGTGATCAATAATTAAAATGGAGTTCACCTCCATGCTGTAATTTTAAAGTATAACTATAGGTTTCTCTAAGTTTCCCTAAAATATATGTTAAAGCTAAACATCTATACCATAATAATATTCATTAGTAATTATACCCTGTTGATTAACGAGCATTCTGTGAAATTTAAAGGAGAAAAAAACACACCCACCCACATAATTAGGACGTGTTTACTTAATAATCCTGAATATCACTATGAAAAACACACCACGTCAGTGAAATCTAAATGACTGTATTTAACTGTTTAAATATTTTAGCAGTGTATCCGAGTTGTGATGATTTTCCTCCAAGACAGAACACACCCATTAATAGACTGGAAAAACAAAAGCATTCAGATTCTAGCAGCTTCTTAAAAATCTAAAGCCAATCTCTTAAAAATTCAGCCTAAAGATCACTTCCTCCCCAGAGCCAGAGAACAATGAAGAGAACATGTTGCTTATTCATTTCTTACCTTTTTTCCTTTCCTTTTCCTATGAGCAGGTTTTGCATTTTTCTCCTTTGGTTCTTCACTCATCTTTCCTTTAAATCAGGTGAGTTTATAAAAGACAGATCACCGCCGGTATTCCAACATCCAAAACCACGGCAAAGAGTCAAAGCATTGAGACCAAAGTCCATTTACGGGTGCTCCCCAGGCAAAGCAGCCGCTGCTTAAACCCAGCCCCTGCTGCTGTCAGAGAGACGCGGGCTGCTAATGTAGCCCTGTTCAGCTTTCCTCAGGAAGAAACTGGGTGTTCTCTATATCAAACAGTCAATTATTCTTCTAAAGAAAATCAATATTTTAGCCTTTCATTTTTAACTAATCGTTACCCTGAGATAAGGTCCTGACAAGACTTTGTTGCTTGTTCCTCCACAGTGATTTGAGCCTGGAAATGGTGAGAGAGAGAGAAAGAGAGAGAGAGACACACACACACACCCTCACACACACAGAAATAAGCTACAGACTGCTGACAAGTCTCCGAAGCCTTCCCAGGGGCTGATTTGCTGCTTCTAGCAGGCTGGGAAGCTGAATGTAAATTGCTCTCCGTGCTGCTAGCCTCCCATACTAACACATGTGTTGAATGCATCAGGGCATACCGGAGGAGGCAGTCGGGAGAGTGATAAAAGATCAGGTTACTTGGTCTGTAAAAAAAAAATTCAATGATTCAAACAATAAAAGAGACCTACCACTACTGGAGAAGTCACATCACAGGCTAGATTTTCTCCATGATTACTCTTTTTTTTTTAATGTGACATGCAAAAAAGATGCCAATCTTCACCTAAGGATTTCTAATGCAGGGTTTATGACGGAAAGCCCCATACCCAATTTGCCATGATTCATATTTAATCATTGGTTTCCTTCCATGAATATACCAACCAACCAACCAACCAACTAACAAGAAACCCTCCAGAATATTCAGGAAATACTAAGAGCAAAGCTGCTGTCTCTGTGGCAGAAACATTCTGTGCTTCTTGACTGTGTTTAGGGCAGTGCAGGTCTCAGATCACATTACACACTCCCCAGCTGCCCTGGCCACACACTGTGCCCACACTCCCCACTGCACGCCATCCTGAGCCCCAGGAATCTGGTTATTTTCTGAGTGTCTGGGGTATTTCACACCTGGGTGGAAACCCCCTCACCATGCCTTCCATCCATTTAAACACAGCCAAATTACTATTATGAGCTGTCATTTAAGCATCTTTAGAAGCATGCCAGATACATTCTGATTCAGGAAAGCATAAGGTTCTAGGAGCAACCACAGACAACCACTAAGATGAAAACAGAGCACTTTGAGCAGATAACTGACAGAAGTACAAAGTGAGAGTGGGGTAACAAGTGGGAAAGGGAGAAAGAAGGGGAGAGAGGGTTCAGGTCCATTCCTAGGGGCTGGGAGCCAGGAATAAATCATATCAGTTCCACACACAGTAACATTGTTATTCAGGAGACATAGCATTCAAATGAATATTAACTTTTTCAGGAGAAATGGGATTCAAATGAATGTAAAACACAGCCATACAGGAAAAAACAAGTCACAGAGGGCTAATTTTTCAATGGTATGTGTGGGGGACTTAACAGTGGTTGAGGACATGACGCTAAAATATTAAACCAAAAGAACAGATCTGTTGAGGCTGAAATCGTCCCCATTTTTTACCTAGCATATAAAGGGGGTTTGTGTCCATATTCAACCAAGATTCCTTCTCCTACACCTGAAACACCAGTCCCAGAGAAAGACATGAGTTAGAGGGATGCTTAGATGCTTTACCCAGGGCTGAGCAGGCCAAGCATAGGGATTCAAGTGACACGCTCAGAGAGCCACGTGGATTTTACCAACCACAGGGCAGCTATTTGAGCTAATTTCTATTTGAGGTGTGCGCATTAATTATAATAATACACATCTCAGTAAGTCTGGGATGGCCAGAATTCTGAATGGTGTTGGGCATCTAATCATCATGTTCTACATTTCTGCTCAGACACTGAACTGCTATTTAACCACAGTTTCCATTTTCTGCCACTATTCAGTAACATTCCTCTTGTCATGCAATATAAAAGGCAGAACATCTCAAGACGGCAAAATAAACCTTTCAAGTTCTTCAGTGATTCAACCCTTGCTCATCTTCAAAACACAGGGAAATCTGGGGAACTGGCAGTACCTTTACTGCTTCTACCGCTCATTGACTTCAATCGGGTGAACCTTGTTTATTAGTCGTGTGTCTTTTGAGGGATGAGGATGAGGTAGGTGCTTTATACAAATTCTTCATAAGCTGAAGAGTCTAAGCAGGTGGATTCAATTTTGACTTTCCCACCTAAATCTTGACATTCTTTACTAGGTAAGCAACAGAGATAGTACATCCACCTAAAGTAATTTGTCTATAGTAGATTCCAAGCAGTAGGATTTACCTCCCAAAAGAAGCCTTTGTCAACAACTATTTACTGACTATCCAAAGAACATGGGCCTCTTTCTTTAAAAACAAAAAGCAAACAAAAACAACTGAGGGGGTATAAAAATTGAGATTAAATTTAGTTCATTTACATAAAAATTTACAAGTTAATTGGGATTATAAAATATACAAAATACAATTAACATGATATGTCTGGCCAAGGGCATAGCACAAGAATATGTTTGAAGAAAATGTCTTTATAAAATTCTTTTTAAACTATAAACGGGTGTTTAAATTAATGTAAAATTTAGGAAATTGATCGAATAAACATGAATTGGCAGGAAATGAATCAACCTGTGACTAAGGGTAGTTGTTCGCCCATTTCTTTGATAAAGCATGATCTTGGCTGTATTCATTTGTATATGTAAGGTTCGTATTACAAGCTGAAGTGCTCTCTGCTGGTTGGATGGAAAAAAAAAAAGGACGTTTGAAGACTGGATTATACGGCAAAATTCTACAAAAGATCATTTTAAGAAGGAATTATTCTTCCTGATGAGGAACTTGTGACTTTGAATAATATTTCAAGATGTCACATTGTTTAATCAGGTCTGACAGAAAACCCAGTTTTGAAGAATATGTTTAAAATATGTCAAATTATTTAGATAGCAAAATGTATCATTTAAAGTTATAATTTAATAATAAAACTATGTGGCATATAACATGTTTTATGTCCATTTTCTGTAACTTGATAAGTTCCAGACTTTTTAAAAGAAACAAAGAATTACATCTCTGAAACTGTGTTAAGGCCAAAAGAGCTCCTATGCTAGAGTTAAGGCCTTAAATCATCACAAAATCAATAGTAATTTAATTTCTAACAATGTAAAAACATATCTTCACTTTATAAAATAGGGCAAATTTCATTTAAGGGTTGAAAAATTAAAACAACTTACCTTTAATAGAAAAGGTATTAGTTATTATTATTTAATGATGTTTCTCTACACCTCTACTCTAGAAATACGCATTCAAAGAAATAATGATTGTTTTAATATGCCCAAAGGTGTGCCAGTGCATTTTAAATTAAAATTGCTCTGTGTAAAAGAGTAATTTGATTGACCTAAAAACAGTCTAGGGGTGATTACTTGTTTCAAAAATGTTAAATGTTAACTACTTTGCGGCGGTAATCTCTTTTCCACCCAAATTATAAAATTCCCTCAGCTCTTGGGGAAGTTAAATTTAACCTCAGAAAAAACATAAGCTGAATACATGGAAAATATCAATTTGGATGCAAAGCTCTATCAGTTCACCAAAGAGGAAAACACGACTGGATTATAATGTTCCCACACTTAACTCCACAGAATTCACTGCCTACTTAGAGTTCACTCCCGATAGAAGTCATCACAAACTAGTTGATACAGATCTGAGACTGTTCTATTTTTAAATTAAATAACTCGCATAAGAGGACACCAACCAGGGCCAACTGAAGTCTCGTAGAACAGATCTATTTTTAAAACAGAAAGTAGCTTGCCATAGGAGAAATAACAGGGTTGGGGTTATTAGGAAGCAAATTTTTTTAAGCTATCTTCCGCATAAAATTCACTTGAAAACACTAACACTGAATACAATTGTTTGACTGACATGAAGGTATATCACATTAAAGGTAAAACAAAACGAAGCAACAACCTTCCATTGATATTCAGCAGAAATGCCTATATGAATAGGCTAATTTTATTTTTAAGGTTAGGATGTCATGCACTTACTGTAATTTACACTGCTAGTTGGCAAGTTAAAATAGTTACTAAATCTTACTAACAGCATTCCCTTGATACCATTCATCAATGTTTAAAATACTTGTAAAAGTGAAAGACAAATCCACAGGCAAATAAGCTGTTCTTTCTGAAAACAAAGGAATCTTTAGAGCTAAGTGAAACACTGAGATGCTGTGCCCTCTTCCTCCACCTGTGGCAAGGGTTTCCCCTGAGACACCTAGCCAGTTCACAGCATAGCTGGTACCAGAAGCAATTCTACCAACTGCTCTGAAGAGCTTTCTTTGCACTACACCAGTATCTCCCAGAGAATGTCAAGTTAGCAGTGAAATTTGAGATGATATTCAATGGTAAACAAACTTGTCCTTAATAGTTATGTATTTACTTTCAATTTGAAAAAGAAAAAAGTAACTAGGCTCCATCAGGTGCATTTCATGAAAACTTCCCTGTGGGGTTTTGGTATTTACTTTGCACTACTTTGTGCAAATGCCATCAGAGAAGGGAACAGTACAAAGAGAGTGAGAGGGAATAGGTGGCCATTCTTCTTCCCACAGAGCTGGCATTGTCTTAGGCTAAGGATGGTCTTGTAGTTAGTTCCACCACATCCACCAGTACTCTTTCATTCTCCTGCTTGCCCACTATCTCAAGTGATGTTCCTGGGGCCCTAAACTTCTAGGCCATAGAAAAGATTTACAAATACTAAAGCCTCAGCGTATAATTGTATTGATATGGTTTGGCTGTCTCCCCACCCAAATCTCATCTTGAATCCTATAGTTCCCACAATTCCCACCTGTTGTGGGAGGGATGGGTGGGAGGTAACAAATCATGGGGGCAGGTTTTCCTTGCACTTTTTTTATGATAGTGAATAAGTCTCATGAGATCTGATGGTTTTATAAACGGGAGTTTCCCTGCACAAGTTCTGTTACTCTCTCTTGTTTGCCACCATGTAAGATGTGCCTTTCTCCTTCCACCATGATTGTGAGGCGTCCCCAGCCATGTGGAACTGTGAGTCCATTAAATCTCTTTTTCTTTAGTAAGTACCCAGTCTCAGGTGTGTCTTTATCAGCAGCATGAAAACAGACTAACACAAGTATGTATAAAAGTCATTAAGTTTTATAAAATGTCTTGGTATTTTTAATGTGATGAAAGCATCTGAAGAAACATGTTCTATATATTAGGCTTCTAGTCTTCTTTGAGTCTTCATATTGAAAAATGATCACAGTGACATTGGTACATCTTCTTACAGCAACTGGAAATTCAGATAGGTGTGGGGCATAAGGTGAAGCAGAATGAGATTGTGAATTGAGTTGCAATTTCCAACCCATCCTCAAATATCTACAATGATTTTTGCCATATCTAATGATCATTTGTAAATTAAGATAGAAATTTTTAAACCTAGCTTAACTGTAAGCAATACTCTTTGTGACAGTATGGTTTTGATACACTAGATTCATTTTTGACAATGCATTGAACACTTCAACCAGGTCCATAGCAGGATTTTCCTGTTTTGTTCCGAGTTTTCTTTCTTTCCTGGTTATTCAGCCATATGCCCATTAAAATACAATGATATAATAAAAGTATATTAGTAAAATAGGGAGACACAGAATGTTCAAAGACACATAGCTGTTAAATGCATGGTTTGCTTTTTGTTTATTTACTTCCTTGAACCTTTGCATTTTTGTTGGTATGGTTTTTTGAGCAGTGTAATTTTCTTTCACTGGGCTAACAATTTTCTCTAGAGGCCCAGTGATATTTACATGACAGATATACATTCTTTTGTGAGGTGAGGAACTGATGAGTCATTCCTTTGATCTTCCCTAAATCCATGTGTTTTACTTAATAATAATAAAGATCCTAAATGATTTTAAAAGAATGATGATGATAGAATCTAAAGATATTCCCTTGCTTTGTAAAAGGTAATTTCCAGCAATGCTCATATTAAAATGACTAAGAACTAAGGCTGCTTATATTTGAGTCCACAGTGAAATGGGGTCAGTAGTTCTGCTTGGCTTTCTTTTATTGCTGTGGAAAAGTCGTACAAAAGATGGACAGATACAGCTCCACTGGAGTTCTTTATTATCAAATATCCATCCAACACAGCAGCTTTCCAACTCTCCATATTCCAACAACATAGAACTATCAAGACCCTTATTTGTTCATCTCCTAAAATAAAAGGGATTAGAAAAGGAATTAGATTTCTTAAAATTTTAACTTAAATGATATTTCCTAGTATCTTAAAACTTTTTTCTAATCTTAATGGTACCTTGCCTAAGACCAACATGATATAATGATGAGTACGTCTGGATATCTCTTACCTTTTATTTGGTTTTGCTTAATAATTGTTGGCATAGATGCCTGAAATCATTTGTTCAAGGAACAGGAGAAAAAAAAATGAGCTTAAAAGATTTTTCTGGCCGGGCGCAGTGGCTCACGCCTGTAATCCCAGCACTTTAGGAGGCTGAGGCAGGCGGATCATGAAGTCAAGAGATCGAGACCATCTTGGCCAACATGGTGAAACCCCGTCTCTACTAAAAATACAAAAATTTGCTGGAAGTGGTGGCACGCACCTGTAGTCCCAGCTACTCAGGAGGCTGAGGCAGGAGAATCGCTTGAACCTGGGAGGCGGAGGTTGCAGTGAGCTGAGATTGTGCCACTGCACTCTGGCCTGGCACCAGAGCGAGACTCTCTCTCAATAAAAAAAAAAAAAAAAAAAAAAAAGATATTTCTAGTTGCAAAATAAATAAATAAATAAATAAAATAAAGGAGAATAGGAGAAATTACAATGAAAGAGGAATGAGTTATTGAAGTGGGGAGTTTATGGAATGAAGATTATGCAAGCTGTTCTAAGAAGCTCCTGCCTTATTTGTACCCTCACCTGTGACATCAAAATATTGCCTCAGCCCCATGATCAAAAATGATACTGACATTAAAACCAGGACCAGGTTCTAGCCAATGATATTTTCATCATGTCATTATTAACCCTCAGAGTAGTTGGAAGTCATAATTATAAAGTTAAGGTAAAATCCTTAATTTTAAAATAAGTGTATACTGATTGTCATATAGTCTTCTGGATTTGTCATGGTCCTTGACCCAAGTTTCTCCAACCAAATAACTGAGAACACATATTCCTCTTAAAGTGACAGACTGCAGGACGTCAATCCTTTTATAATTATCCTTTAATTATTTGTAATATTGATGCTTTTGACACACAAATATGCCCCTAATCTTAAATGATTCGTACATTTAAGACATGGTAAAATGATTCAGAAAATCCTATAAGAATCAGCAGTGAAAATGACATTCCTCTGGAGTTTACCATTCATTATCAATCTAAACATTCCTCAATGAGGTATAAGGATGTGTGTTTGCTTATAACCTCATCAACATAAGTTAGCAACAATCTTTTGTCATATTTACCAAATTGATAAGAAAAAAATATTATGCTGTGTTTTAATTTGCATTTCTTTGGCTGGTAGAACACTCTTCATATTTCTTCACATTCTTCATATTCACTAATAACGTCCATTACTTATTTTCTATTTTGTAAATTTTATTTTCATAACTATGCTTAGTCTATCAAGATAATCAATGAGGATGGACTTATTTTTAAGTCTAAGAAACAGAGGACTAAAGAAGACACAGCCTCTATTCTAAATCAAAGTGAGAAATGAATAAGTGATTGGAGAGCCACAGGTGATATCTAAATAAGCTTCTATAAAGTCCTGTTCAGATGACAGCCAGCATATAAACACCATGGTTTCTTTGGTATACTGTCTTTAGCTAACTCAAACCTACCACTGCTATTATAAACATATTCAAATTTTGCCCTTTTCTAACCACCTCTATAAAAGAATTTTAAAATAAGAATTTTCCATGTAAATTAAAGTTAGCTTGAGACAATGATTATATGATTCTGTATGAAAATTTATTTATCCTCTGGGATTATTCACTACAAAATCCTCCAAAGTTATTAAGAAATCTCTCCAAATAATTAACCTCAGTATACAAGTATTCTTTATTATTTAACTCTTGTAACATAGTGTATAAAATTTTTTTTTCACTAAAACAAACCCAACTTTTATACTGACTTTGACTTACAAACTAAAGATATGCTCACTCAGAAACTGAAAATGTCCCCAAATAACTGAAAAGAACACCTTCGCAGGGAATCTGGTCTAGCCCAGCTGGCCAGGCATTTTTCAGGCTTGAAGGGTGGAAAAAATTATGAAAGAAATGAACTACAAGCTTGCTTTCTCTACCTATAAGGGAGAAGACAGAGTAGTCAAAGAGGGTCACATCTAGGTCCAGGCAAACTTTTATCGTCTTTGAAAATGCTATCCCCAATATTCTGATGCAGTACAATATTCTGAAACTTAATAAACATGCATAGCCTGTAAGCTCCTGGAACAAAGCTTATATCAACTCATATGTATGTCTTATGTGCCAGCACAGGGCCTGGTACAGACGAGGTGCATTATAAATACCATCTGAATCAACAAATTGACAAGCAACAGAGTTACAGAGTTTTGTGTCATGCTGGACATTGTCCTACACTAAAAGTGTCATTCTGTCTAAAAACTGAAGCCCCATTTTACACTTTGATGTGGTGTGAGAGACAGCATTGACATAGAAACCTCAGCAGGCCATTTCTCGCACACCACCAAAATATAAAGGTCGTTCATAATGTGCATTTATCTGATGATTAGGGGTACCAAGCATCTTTACACACATCTGTTCAACATTTGTATGTCTGCTTTTGAAAACTGCCTATCCAGGTATTTTGCCCTTTTTTTTTTTTTTTTTTTTTTTTAAGACAGAGTCTCGCTTTGTCGCCCAGGCTGGAGTGCAGTGGCACAATCTCAGCTCACTGCAAGCTTTGCCACCCGGGTTCAAGTGATTCTCCTGCCTCAGCCTCCTGAGTAGCTGGAATTACAGGCACCTGCCACCATGCCTGGCTAATTATTATTTTTTTTTTTTTGTAGTTTTTAGTAGAGATGGGGTTTCATCATCTTGGCCATGCTGGTCTTGAACTCCTGACATCGTGATCCATCTGCCTCGGCCTCCCAAAGTGCTGGGATTACAGGCATGAGCCACAGTGCCCGGCCATTTTGCCCATTTTTTAATCAGGTTATTTGCTTTTTTGCTGATGAGTTGTTGGAATATATTTTAGGAATTGGAAGCCAACATGAGAAAAGGCTGCAGCTTACTATTCACAATAGCAAAGACTTGGAACCAACCCAAATGCCCATCAATGATAGATTGGATAAAGAAAATGTGGCACATATACACCATGGAATACTATGCAGCCATAAAAAAGGATGAGTTCATGTTATTTGCAGGGACATGGATGAAGCTGGAAACCATCATTCTCAGCAAACTAACACAGGAACAGAAAACCAAACATGGCATATTCTCACTCATAAGTGGGAGTTCAACAATGAGAACGCATGGACACAGGGAGGGGAACATCACACACTGGGGCTTGTCAGGGGTTGCGGGGCTAGGGGAGGGATAGCATTAGGAGAAATACCTAATGTAGATGATGGGTTGATGGGTGCAGCAAACCACCATGGCACATGTATACCTATGTAACAAACCTTCATGTTCTGCACATGTATCCTGGAACTTAAAGTATAATAATAATAATAAGAAGAAAAGGCTGCAGCTTATCCAGAACCACAAAGTGACCTTGAGGCAGTACATCTATCTGAGGCAGTACATCTTCCTGAGGCATTTCTACTGAAGTTCCAATTGTTTCCTGAATTTTCCTTCCTTCCTCTCTTTCTGTCTGAAACTCAATGATGCCCTCATATAATTAGATTTGTACACATTCCCAATCCAGTTTGACAAATATTCATTATTCCTGTAATATGTGCCAGAGTTGAGCAAAGGGCTGAAGAGGCCAAGGTCACCAAGGCCCAATGGGACTTCAGGCAGATGTACCACCTCAAGGTCACTATGTGGCTCTGGACAAGCCACAGCCTTTTCTCATGTTGGCTTCCGATTCCTAAAATATATTATTTTTATATAATATATTATATAAAATATAAATATATTGATTCCTTCTACATTTTGGATATGAGCCCATTTTCAGATGTATAGTTTGCAAATATATGTTCCCATTCCGTAGGTTGTCTTTTTGTCTGTTGACTGCTTCCCTCACTGTGTAGAAGCTTCTTCGTTTGATCTTATCCCCTCACTCCAGTCACAGTGGCTACTATCAGAATAGCAAAAGATAACAAGTGTTAGTGAAAATGTGGAGAAAAGATTGCTGGTAGGACTCTAAATTAGTACAGCCATTATGGAAGGAGCAATATGGAAGTTCCTAAAAAAATTAAAAATAGGACTACCATATGATCCAACAATCCCACTACTAGGTATATATCCAAAGGTTATAAAATCAATATGTTGAAGAGATATCTGCAATCCTAGCTCATTGCAGCACTATTCACAATAGTCAAGATATGGCATCAGCCTAAGTATCTATCAGCAGATAAATGGATAAACTGTGGTACATATGCACAATGGAATACTATTCAACCATAAAAAAAGGATGAAATCTTGTCATTTGCAGCAATGTGGATGAATCTGGAGAACATTACCTGAAGCGAAATAAGCCAGGCACAGAAAGAGAAATACTATGAGATCTCACTCATATGTAGAATCTAAAAAGTTATTCTCATAGAAGTAGAGAGTAGAATAGTGGTTACCAGGGATAGGGAAGAAAAGAGGGAAGGGGGATAGTGAGACATTGATCGACGGTATAAAGCTATAGTCAGATAGGAGGAATAAGTTCTGGTGGTTTATTGCATAGCAGGATGATTAGAGCTAAGAACAATGTATTATATATTTCCATATAGCTTACAGAGAGGTTTTTTGTTTTTTGTTTTTTGTTTTTTTTTGAGGTGGAATCTCGTTCTGTCACCCAGGCTGGAGTGCAGTGGCGCTCCAGTTCTGTCACTCAGGCTGGAGTGCAGTGGCGCTCCAGTTCTGTCACCCAGGTTGCAGTGGCACGATCTTGGCTCACTGCAACCTCCGCCTCCGGGTTCACGCGATTCTCCTGCCTCAGCCTCCTGAGTAGCTGGGATTACAGGCGCATACTACCATGCCTGGCTAATTTTTTGGGTATTTTTAGTAGAGACAGGGTTTCACTATGTTGGCCAGATTGGTCTCGAACTCCTGACCTCGTGATCCACCTGCCTTGACCTCCCAAAGTGCTGACATTACAGGCATGAGCCACGGCGCCCAGCCACAGAGAAGTATTTTAAATGTTCTTATCATAAAGAAGTGATGTTTATGGTGATGATATGTTAGTTTTCCTAATTTGATCTTTACACAGTTTACACATGTATGGAACCATCACATTGTACCCCCAAAATATGTATGATTATGTGTCAGTCATTTTTAAAAAGATGATGGTTCTTATTATCTTAAACCTTCCCTTTCCTTAACCTTAGCCCATCTCATCCTAATTATGACCAACTCCCTCTACCTCCACTTCTTACCAGAAGTTCAGAGGTAGGTGAGAGGAAGATTGGGAATTAGGGTTAAGAGGTCCATAGGCTGGACCAATTACTTGGTTGTTTTTAAGCTAAATAGTAAATGGCTTATTATTAAGATGACATCAGAATAGCTATCTGGTGTCAAAACTACGTCATCAAAATGTCCTTAGCATTTTGATTATGGAAGGAACAATAAGCACGAGTCTGGGTGTAATGGCTCATGCCTGTAATTCCAGCACTTTGGGAGGCCAAGGCAAAAGGATTGCTTGAAGCCAGGGGTTCAAGGACAGCCGAGGCAACAAAGAAAGACTCTGTCTCCACCAAAAATTTAAAATTAGCCAGGTGTGGTGGCAAGTGCCTGTAGTCCCAGCTACTCAGAAGGCTGAGGCTAGAGGATCACTTGAGCCAGGAGTTTGAGGCTGCAATGAGCTATAATTGCACCACCATACTCCAACCTGGGCAATAGAGCAAGACCCCATCTCCTAATGAAAACAACAACAACAACAAAAATGAAGAGCATCAAAGTGTACAAAAGACACATAACAAAGCCATGTAGTTCCTCTAATCTACACCTTTCCTGAGACATTTCTACTGAAGTTCCAATTGTTTCCTGAATTTTCCTTCCTTCCTCTCTTGTTGTCTGAAACTCAATGACATCTTCACGCAGTTAGACTTAGACATTCCCAATCCAGTTTGACGAATATTCATTAAGTCTCTAGTATGTGCCAGAGCCAAGCAAAGGGCTGATGAGGCCAAGGTCACCAAGGCCCAGTGGGACTGGTAGATGTACTGCCTCAAGGTCACTATGTGGCTCTGGACAAACCTCAGCCTCTTCCCATGTTGGCTTCCGATTCCTAAAACGAAGGGGCATTGGGTATCCTTCAAGATCTCTAAAGTCCTGTTTTAGTTCTAAAATTTTCTGATCCTGTGACAGTCCCTATTACAGCAGCCAGCATTACCCTAACAAATACTGAAATTAGTACCTTCAAGCGAGATCCTGCCTAACAAATATCTAAAATTGGCCTAGCAGTCGGGCAGCAAGGAAATTGATGCTGCATGCTGGAGAGTTAGAGAGCCTTGATGTATACAGGTGGTGAAACACTTGGTAAACCTGGCCTGCAGTAACTTGAAAGGCGGACTGCATGCTTGTTGTGCCTGTAAGTTTTATGTATATTGGTTGTTATTGTCAACATTTGGCAAAGTTTTGGAAGCAAGAGATGAGCTTAGGCAGAAATTATGAGAAAGTTTAAGTATAGGATAGAGAACATTCAGAAATTTGGGGACTTGCAGAAGTGAAAAGGCTGAGTGCCCCCAAAGACCCCAGACAGTAAGATAGGATACTGAGAACAACTTTGAAGGAAAAAACCCATTGAGATTTAGCCCTGGAACAAAGGTCAGATTAAGAATACGCCCTTCTCCCTATCACTTCAGGTGACATATAATAGCTACCTCTAAATGAGAGATATAGCCAAGGGAATTAGGAAGTAAAGGAAACAACAAGGTTTGTAGTTATACCTTGACAGACCTTTGAGTGAGGTTATTGGCAAATGGAACTAACTGGAAGAATATAGATTAGACATGTACCAAGGTGAAGAACTGTACTACTAGGCTGGGTGCAGTGGCTCACGTACGTAATCCCAGCACTTTGGGGGGCCAAGGTGGGTGGATCACCTGAGGTCAGGAGTTCAATACCAGCCTGCCTGACACAGTGAAACTCTGTCTCTACCAAAGATTCAAAAATTAGCTCGACGTGGTGGCGGGTACCTGTAATCCCAGCTACTTGGGAGGCTAAGGCAGGGGAATTGATTGAACCCCAGAGGCAGAGGTTGCAGTGAGCTGAGGTCACACCATTGTACTCCAGCCTGGGCGACAAGAGTAAAACTCCGTCTCAAAACAAAAACAAAAACAAACAAACAAAAAAAAGACTTTGACATTTTGAGTGTTAAAAAAGGGAAAAAAAAAACCTTAGAATTTCCAAAGTTACCTTCAAACTTGCAAGGGTAGGAAGCAGAATGCAAGAGGTGTATAGATTCCAAAGATGGTACAGTCTTCAATAATCACTTTAAATGTGAACGTGGATGAAAATGGATAAGAAAGAATTTTCCAGAGTAGTGACAAGGGCTACAGAGAGCAATCAGCAGGGAATTGTTCTCAGAGGGTAGAATTTGAGTCTAATCGAGAAATTTCTTTCAATGTCAGAGCAGAAACACCTCATAATGTATACCCAACAGTAGCCCAAAATTTCTATGGACCAGTGACAGCTGTGGCTCACCTTCGTTTTTCCAAACGGGAGTTTTTTTGTGGTTGCCTATCTTTACCCCACCACTATATATTTATTTAATGTGATGGAAGATACTATACCTTGAGCCAGATGCAGTAACCAACTGAGACTTTGGATTGACTCTGGAGGAGTAGGGGAGGGCACATGATTTGCAGTGACAGAAGAGCTGGTTTCTGGCAGAGACAGCTTGACATCCAACCAAGATGTGTGCTCTGCTTCTACAATATATTGTACAATGTGTATTCTATACAATGTACAATATCTATACCATAGATATTGTAGCCAGGGGCCACATTTAGTACCATGTTGCTTTGTGGTAGGACCACATGACTAATTCTCACTAATAAAAAGTAGAAATTGCATGTATCACCTCCAAAACAAAGTAGTTAAAACGTAGGTATCTGTCCACTTTCCTTTTTGTATTTTTCCACTGAAAGTACAGGATTCTGAGCCACTAGGGGTTACGGCAGCTGTAAGATAAAAGGCTTCTGGGTCTGCAAATTACTGCATGGAAGACTGTCTGCCAATATATTAGATGTATTAGTCCATTTTCAAACTGCTATACAGAAATATCCAAGACTGGGTAATTTATAAAGGAAAGATGCTTAATTGACTCACAGTTCTGCATGGCTGGGGAGGCCTTGGAAACTTACAATCATGGTGGAAGGAGAAGGGAAAGGAAGGACTTTCTTCACATGGCAGCAAGAGAGAGAAGAAAGCATGTGTAGAAGGAACTATCACTTATAAAGCCATCAGATCTTGTGAGAACTCACTCACTCTCAAGAGAACAGCATGGGGGAAACTGCCCCCATGGTCCAATCACCTCCCGCCAGGTTTCTCCCTAAACACCTGGCGATTACAATTTAAGATGAGATCTGGGTGGGGATACAAAGTCTAACCATATCATTAGGTGAAGATAAACTTGAATTACATTAAGCCACTGAGATTATGGCTACTTTCATTAGAGTTTCCCTAACTAATTCCTTAGGCTTAAAACTCGAGATGCCCAGGTGTGGTCTCTAAAAGCATTTATTCACCTCCAAAAACCTTGTAGAAATGGCTGATTCAAGATCTGGAGCGGAGAAATGTAAGATGAGCCTAGAACATCTTGGCACTACAGAAAGCAAGGAAGCTGTCAAAATCCACTGCAGTCATGGACTCAGTGCCAACTTAAAGAGGCTTCCAACTAGCCAGAGTGAGGCATCAAAAACAGTAATAGATAGAATGGATTAAAATACATTTAGCATGTTTAAATCCAGAAATTATAATAATACTTTAAAAAATACCCCAAAACATTATTTACCTTTAGAGGATACCTCAGGGAACCAACAAACCAAACTACTTAATAAGGAAAAAATCAAATATTAATCCTGTCTTTACTTTAGAAACTGTACCTCAAAGTAACCAAATTGTTGATAAAAGCAAGTTTTTCTATGTCAAAATATTCCAGGTAATAAGTTAAGAAAGAATGACAGTTTTAGAATTTTTGTGATCCTAATGAAATGATGGATCAAAGCAATCATCATCAATGGCTGCTAAACCCATTAGCTGAAAATTTGATAGGGAATTTTATAATGGATGGATGGTCCAAGCTAATAATGCACAAACATGTTCACCAATGTTAACATCACAAAAAGAGAGACAGCTAGACAGCATGTGTTTCTACAGGAAAGCACACAATAGCACCTATGAAATATTCCTAGCAAAAAAAAATTAAATATAAATCTGGTTGAGTTTCTCAGTTTTTATTATTATTATTATTATTATTATTATTATTATTATTATTTGAGATGGATTCTCACTTTGTCACCCAGGCTGGAGTGCAGTGGCGCGATCTCAGCTCACTACAACCTCTGCCTCCCGGGTTCAAGCAATTCTTCTGCCCCAGCCTCCCAACCGGCTGGCATTACAGGCGAGTGCCACCATGCTTGGCTAATTTTTGTATTTTTAGTAGAGACAGGGTTTCAACATATTGGCCAGGCTGGTCTCGAACTCCTGACCTCATGATCTACCTGCCTTGGCTTCCCAAAGTGCTGGGATTACAGGCGTGAGCCACAACGCCTGGCCTGTTTCTCAGTTTAATTATTATTATAATTATACAAGAAATGCAGGAGATAGAGGCACATGATAACCAATATCACAGGGATGCAACCAGCAAAATCTAAACTGTGAGAAATTCTAAGAACAAATTACCTAATTCTCTCAAAAAATATATTACAAAGGGGCTGGGTGAGGTGGCTCATGCCTGTAATCCCAGCACTGTGGGAGGCCAAGACAGCCCAGGAGTTCGAGACCAGCCTGGGCAACATAGTGAGACCTTGTCTCTACAGAAAATAAAAAAAAACATAGTTGGGCATGGTTGTGCATGCCTATAGTCCCAGCTATTCAGGAGGCAGAACTCAGAGGATGGCTTAAACCCAGGATGTTGAGGCTGCAGTGAGCCATGTTCGCGCCACTGGACTCCAGCCTGGAAGGCAGAGTGAGACCCTGTCTCAAAAACAAACACCAAAACAAATAAACAAAAATATATTACAACGGGGAAAGGGGAGAAAGAGGAGGTCTGTTGATTAAGAGACTTAAGCCTATCAACCAAAGGCAACATGTACATCCTGATTGTAGCCTGACTCAAACAAGTCTATTATTTTAAAAAATAATTTCAGAAATACAAACATTTAATGTTTCATGATATTAAGATTCTTAAATTGTTAGTGTGTGTAGCATTTTATTAAGGATACTGAAATTACTTATGGATTGTCAATGATTCTAAAATTCTACTTTCGGGTAAATGGGGATAGAGTTACAAATGAAAAAGAAATTAGGTACCAGTTAAAATTGTTGAAGCTAGACTAAAGGTTACATGGAGGTTAATTATCTTATTCTAATTTTGCACATATATGAAATTTTCCATGATAAAAAGTTTAGGCAAAATAAACAATATCAATCTCATAGAAGCTCTTAATAAGTCTGATCCTAAAATCCAAATGCCTAGTAAATATTTATGCATCTTCTATATGAAATGGCATCATATAAACATGGTTTTTGTGCCTGTTATAATCAACTAAGTTACTGATAGACTTTTTTTAAGTTCAAGGTAGCACGTTGACTTGGCTCATTAACCATGTGATGACAACTGAAGTCACAGATGACTGTGGCTTGAAGCAGGATAAAACTGGCAACATACAGCATGAAAGAAGAGAGCGCCTTAATCTCCATGGCAATGCCTTCATTCCATAGAAACAACAAAACTGGTTTAAAGAAAAAAAGGCATTGGTATGCCCAACCAGAAATAAAATAATCTTGTAATTCTTTCCTTTCAACAATTTTCATTCTGAAAGGTCTTAGATGGAAAAAGATTCCATTGGCTATTATGGATAATTTATCACCACCATTTTTTAAATGTACTATTTCAACAAACTTCCTTTCAGTATTGCTAAATTGCGATTGGTTTTCCTCTCAACCAATCCTAACTGAAGAAATAGCCTTCCTTTCAATTTCCACAATTTTGCCCCTCTCTAATAATTGTTTGCTGCTACTTGGATTTCTAAAAACAGTAGGTGTAGTCTTCAAGCCACAAATTCTTTTTTATGTTTACTCTGGATACACTTTATAAAAAGCACATAATGAAAATACACTTTAGACAAGTTTGATTTATTCTATTTCTGTATTTCTCCTTCCAGGTGAGGATCTGAGAATAGTCCAGAACTATTTACTGAAGAATTCATGGCCAACTCTTGGAATCCAGTAACATAATTTAGCCCTGCCCTATCCAATATCGTAGCCACCAGTCATATGTGGGGATTGCACCCTTGAAATGTGTTGAGTGTGAATAGGGATGTACTGTAAATGTAAAATACACACTGGACACTGAAGACTCAGTATGGAAAAACATGTAAAATATCTCTTCAATAATTACTTATACTTACTACATGTTGTAATGATAATATTTTGAGTATATTAGATTAAAATGTTATTAAAATTAATTTCATCTCATTCACTTTACTTCTTTATGAGGCTATTTGGGAACTACTTGAAAAGAAAACTGGCCAAGATAAATGGAAATGTCAGTCAACCCACACAAATAATTGGGAACTGAGTGTTTCAGATTTAATGGTTCTAGTTTACTATGTTTTCAAGATCAACTTACAAGTGAAGAACAACATGAAGAATGGTTATATATATCTGCAGTAACATCATAAGTATAGTTCATGAGTCTTTTGCCCAGCCTTTCTCAAAAGTCTTTGTGGCCATTTAGTAGACATGGACATTGGGAAATCTGCAGATACTCAAGTCCCTTCTACAAAACAGCATAGTATTCGCATATAACCTACTCACATGTTCCTGCATACTTTAAATCATCTCTAGACTACTTTTATAATACCTAATACAATGTAGATGCTATGTAAATAGTTGTTAAACTATATTGGTTTTTTACTTGTATTTTTATTGTTGTATTGTTATTTTTTATTGTTTATTTTTCCGACATATTTTCAATCCACAGTTTGTTGAATACGTGAATGCAGAACCCGTGGATACAGAGGGCCAACTGTAGTTAATGACATTGAAGACACCATGCATAAAGGTGCTGAAAACTAGCAGTTATCCCAGATACCTCAAAGGACACAAGTGTGCCAGAGAGCAAGAGACACAAAACACAGGGGTAGCAGCAGGTTATTCACAGAAGTGATGACTGGGGTTGGCGTCCAGCAGCGATCATGACCAGCTCCATTAGTAAAGTCCTAACTGGACATTTTCTGGGGCATGACCTTGGCTGTATTATTTAGCTTGCCACATTCTTCTGCTTCTGCCATAATTCCAAGCCTTCTTCTCCAGGCTTCCATTCAAATCTGCAAACTATCCAACATCCGTTATTTTTTATTTTTATTTTTATTTTATTTATTTATTTATTTATTTATTTATTTATTTATTTATTTATTTTTGTGGCAGAGTCTTGCTCTGTCAGCCATGGAGTGCAGTGGTGCAGTGGAGCAATTATGGCTTACTGCAGCCTTGACCTCCCAGGCTCAAGCAAATATTCTTCAAATGGATGATTTTTCTGCTAAAGTTAGCCAGAATCACAACCACTATGGAGAACAGTTTGTAGGTTCCTCAAAAAACTAAAAATTGAACTACCATATGATCCAGCAATCCCATTGTTGGGTATATACCCAAAAGAAAGGCAATCAGTATATCGACAAGATATCTGCACTCCCATGTTTCTTGCAGCACTGTTCACAATAGCCAAGATTTGGAAGCAACCTAAGTATCCATCAACATATGAATGGATAAAGAACAGGTGATACATATACACAATGGAGTACTATTCTGCCATAAAAAGAATGAGATCCAGTCATTTGCAGCAATGTGGATGGAACTGGAGGTCATTATTTTAAGTGAAATAAGCCAGGCACAGAAAGACAAATATTACATGTTCTCACTAAGTTGTGTGATCTAAAAATCAAGTCAATTAAACGCATGGACATAGAGAGCAGAAGCATGATTACCACAGACTTGGAAGGATAATGGAGGCTTGGGGGAGAGGTGGGAATAGTTAATGGGTACGAAAAAATAGAAAGAATAAATAAGACCTACTATTTGATAGCACAACAGGGTGACTATAGTCAATAATAATTTAATTGTATATTTTGAAATAACAAAGAATGTAATTAGTTTGTTTGTAACTCTAAGGATAAATGCTTGAGGGGATGGATACACCATTCTCCATGATGGGCTTATTTCACATTGAATGCCTGTATCAAAACATCTCATGTACCCCATAAATATATACACCTATTATGTACCCACAAGCTTTTTTTAATAATTTAAACATTTAAGAAAAAAATAGAAAAAAATAAAGTTAGCCAGAATCAGTTTCTTGTTTGCAACCAAGAACAATATTTTGATTTCAGATTATAGAATGTATAGGACAATGAATTAGACAGTAAACACAAAGATTACCATCCTTGAGTGCACACCATAACCAGCCTACTACATGTGAAGCAAGGCATGGAGAGATTGGAGAGGAATCAAGTGAATAATTGAGTAACTGAGTTAATACAAATTTTGGCTGGGCATGGTAGCTCACGCCTGTAATCCCAGCTCTTTGGGAGGCCAAGGCGGGTGGATCACCTGAGGTCAGGAGTTCGAGACCAGCCTGGCCAACATGGTGAAACCTGTCTCTACTAAAAATACAAAAATTAAACTAGCCAGGCTTGGTGGCAGTCACCTGTAATCCCAGCTACTCGGGAGGCTGAGGCAGAAGAATCACTTGAACTCAGGAGGCAGAAGTCGCAGTGAGCTGAGATCACGCCACTGTATCCAGCCTGGGCGACAGAGTGAGACTCCGTTTCAAAAAAAGAAAAAAAGAAATTTAGACTGAATTACTTCAAGACAGACTAGAGTTCGAGAGTATTCCCCTCACACACTCCTTCTGACGGTTCTGGTAGGCTCTTTGAGCTGTTGACTGGCTAAATATAACAAGAAGTTATTGATGAAAGTAACACTCCACAACGAATCCAGAGAAAACACACCCTAACCTTCTTTCCAAAGGCCCATATCCTGGTGGAGAGAAGGGGTAGAAAGAAAACTCTTTCCCTTTTTCTTCCCTCTTTTTGAAACCTACTTAGAATTTCTGTTAGTCAAGAGGCATGAATGACCCCTAATGTCTTTGTTGAGATCAATATCACATAGAAGTTTTTAGAGTTGCCAAGGGCTACCTTAAAGATAATTAGCAGTGGCTAGAAAGATAACTGATATTTAAGTGAATACAGCAATTAATCTTAAGGATCTTTAAGCACCTATTAATTAACTCTTATTATCATAGGTCCTCCATATCCAAGGAACTGATGACCATTTTCCCCCAACCCTTTTAAGACATTCTGTGCCTGTCCTGTAGCTGGGAAGTAAAGAAATTTGTTTTAATCAAAACATACAAATTATTACCTTATGTAAAATGTTATCCATGGATTTCTACCCCAGGATATCGTGCCTTGATCTCAAAGGACTCACTATAAAGAGAATTAAGTACTTAAGGGCAGGTAATATAGAATAATAAAAGGCAGCTTTAGGACAAATAGCCTCCAAATCTTTTTCATGTAGCAAATAAAACATTTTAATCCATAATTAGGAAAATTTTTTTTTAAATCATGACCTTTGAGGTTTCTATTGCTTTCTGGACATTCTCAATATTTCTAAAAGTATGAACAATGTTTATTCATCTCCTTTAGGGCCTTTAAGGCTAGGAGGCCAAATGTGTATTTACTACAAGAAAATTAAATATGTACCAAAGGTAATTTTGATGAAAGGGCTCTAAGAAAAATATCTCCTGTTCAAGGGAACTGTGGTGAAGTGGATGGTTGCCTCACTCAAGTTTTAATCCATTAATTTTTCTGCTGACAAAAAAAGCTACAAACAGGAAAATGAAGGTATCTACATGGGTTTCTGTGAATGAAATGCCTGTAAGCTTTGACTTAAAAGTGGTTACAGTGAAAGCACATACTTACACATTAAAAATAGATGGCCTGGAACCAATATCTATTTTCCACATGCTCTAAAATGCAAATTAGGATAAGTCACATGTTTACGTAGTCCCATTGAAGCTTCCTTCCCTACATCATTGCACTGGGCAAATGACCGATATTCATAGAAGAGATTTATAGAACTAAAACTTATTAAAGAATTATCTGTTTTAATTTTCATAATTTTCATATGAAACATGAGAAAAAATTAAAATAATCAGTTTCTCTTCCTCTTCTCTCTTTCCCTGTTCATCTACCCATATAGAAATCTTTCTACCTACCTTTCTATATCTTTCCCTATAATCCTCTCAATGTTTCTTTGTAAAGATTGTTATAGCAGGGACTATAGCCACAAAAAGACTCACACAATCTTAGGCTAATCCCCGGACTACAGCTTTCACACCCATCATACTAGGCAACAGTTATTAATACAGTGTATGCTACTTGGTCCTTCTGGGGCTTTCTCTAAAAATAATACATTTTTCAGTTAAAGACCTTATGAACTTCTTCGAAAAATCTGGATTATAGCATGTACCTGATTCTTTCCAGTCTTATTCTTTCAAAAATATATTATTTAATCATTCATTACATTTAATAACATTGTGCAAATTAATGTTAACTTACTATCATAGTTTTTGCATTTCAACCTATAAGGATAAGGATATATGCCTATTTTTACACACACACACACGACTATATGTGAAAAAAATATATATAAGAAAAGTAAAATGTAGACACAGCAAATTTTTTATGAGTTTTGCCATTTGTGATCTGTAATTTATCTGCAGAAAATTTACATTCATAGTAATGTTGGTTTTTTTCAGGCATTCCTTTGTGAACTATTGCTATGTTATAGCAATAGTTTCACTATGATGAGGTCTTTGAGAGGTTTACAAGGGTTAGTCCTGCTGGTTGTGCCTGAGTAATGCATGTTCTCTGGCTTCCTCACAATCACCTTGCAGGGAATGATGACTGTTCTTTTCAGGCAGCCATTAGCAATTTCAGGCTGATTCTGGCTTAATGGGATCCTTTAGATTACTGCTACTTCCAACAAGGTAAGTATCCCCTGAAGTCTATGGTGTCTGAAGGAGTGAAACATTCTAGAAAAATAAATAAAATGTTCAGACCTTGATATGAAGCACAGAACCTGTCAACTCAAACAAGTCCCTGGAAAATCTATTTTTTTTAAAAATTGATGAACAGTAGCAGGTAAAAGAGCTTCACGTTTTTGTAACTGTCCCATGGCTTCTTCTTGCCCACAGCCCAGGGAGAGCTAACTTATCAAGATAGGAGAATTGCAATAGTGAAAGTTTAGTACATGTAGAGTCAAATAAACATGAGGCTGGAGTTTTATTACTACTCAAATCAGCTTCCACAAAAATTTGGAGGCTAGGGTTTTTGAAAGAGAGTTTGGCAGGCAGGGGGTTAGGAAATGGGGAATGCTGATTGGTTATGTTGAAATGAAATCATAGGGATTGGAGCTGTCTTCTTGCACTGAGTCAGTTCCTGGTTGGGGCCACAAGACAAGATGATCCAGTTTACTAGTCCAGATGGCACCAGTTGGTCTATCAGAATGCAGGGTCTGAAAAATGCCTCGAACACCAACCTTAGGTTTTACAATAATAATGTTATCTATAAGAGCAACTGGAGTAGTTAGAAATCTTGCGGTCTCTGGCTGTGTGACTCCTGAGCTATAATTTCCAATCCTGTGGCTAATTTGTTAGTTTTTAAAAGGAGGTCTGGTCCCCAAACTAGAAGGGGGTTTATTTTAGGGAGGAACTGTTATCTTTGTTTCAAAGTTAAACTATGAACTAAATTCTTCCCAAAGTTAGTTTGCCTGCAACCAGGAATGAACAAGGGTAGCTTGATAATTAAAAGCAAGATGGAGTTGGTTAGGTGAGATTTCTTTCACTGTCATAATTTTCCTATGTCAGATTTTTCTCACTATCATAATTTTTGCCAAGGTAGTTTCATTTTCCCCAGATATTGCCAACAAGAAAGTAAAACAAAAACAAACAAAAAAAGGCACAAGAGGCCTGATTGACAGTTCACACTGAATCCTTTCCCCGTAATTCTTCAGCTTGAGGCTCTTAACCTTTTTAATATTCCTAACAGCACGCCTGCAGTATCATGTACAGCATCCCTGCTAAGAGGCTCAGTGAGGAAAAGAAGAGAAATTTGAGAAATGTGGATTTTACCCGACATGAATAAGACTATGATACAAATAAGAATATAACACTTCTGGGATTGTCAGTTTTGCACATGTGAATTTGTTCTACATATTATATGTTCTCTTTAATAATTAGATACTGGGAAACTGTGCTGAAGGAAAAACAAATGCTTGAAATAGATCTTTAACAAGCTGTGAAATGGCTGAACACTCAACAATAATGAAATCACCAACACTGAAATTAAAATTTACCCAAATAAATCCACTGCTATGAACATTAATAAGAACAATATTTTATATGTCAAATATGCATGCCCTAATCAAACATGGCAACAGTCGCATACACAGTTGCAGCCATTACCTTACTATACGCTATGGTAGAATCAACTCTTATTTTTAATATTGTGTAAGAAATAATTTTCCAGATTGCCTATCCACTAAACCTGATAGGATTTTAGAATACATGTTGAGAAGTACCGATAGATTTGTCCACTGGATACTTTAATGGTCTTAATATAAAGTCAATAGTATATTAGACATGTTTCACTTTAAGCAAATCCAATATACAAAAGTACATTTTTGAAACAAGTAAATTACAAGAAGACTACTTAAATCAAAAAATGAATTCATATCAGGGAATCCACTGAATATAGAATTCTCCTGATTAAAAAAATGCAACTATTTAAATGTAATCTTTGAAACTCTTTTAGGATTCCCATCACTAATGTGAGTGCCCCCAAATAAGAAAACAGAAGCATGAAATCACCTGTTCCCTTACAAACTTTCTGTAGACTGGGACATTAGAAACCCCAAAATTAAATCAGATTTATAAGAAACCAAGTTTTTAAAATCAGTAAATTATAGAAAGACTATTTACATAAAAAATTGAATCCATACCGCATAAAAAGATTCAATCAATATGAAATTTTCCTGATTTAAAAAATGCAGTTATTTTAATGTATTCCTTAAAAATTCTTAGCATTCCCCTCCACTAAAGCGAGCCCCCAAATGTAAAAAAAATAGAAACCATTAAATCAACTGTTCTTTTACAGAGTTTTAGACCAGGAGACTACAAACCAAAAGCTCATCTCAGAAATGTCTATCAATATTTAGCCAGAGGAATCCCTATGAATTCTCCCTCCTACCACACATGTTCTTTCTTCTTTTGATCTGCAGCAGTCAGATTAGGAATTACAAATGAGATGGGAAGCAAATAAAACAGACTGCCGAGATATCATAACATGAATGTAGCTTATGGGATTCTGTTGCCTTGTTTAATTGATTCAAATATACATTAGTAACCTGTATGCAAATCAGCAGGCAAATATGTTATCTACCTATACTACTGTATGTATTTAGCAGCCTCTCTGTTCAGGGTACCTTTCAAACTTCCCAGTGACCAGTCAAGCGATGGGCACAATCCCTGGTTATAACAGGCAGGCCAGAATGAGTGCTGTCATTTCCCGCCTCCTTCACCTCCCCCAAGGCTTCTTGTCATCTCCCTTTGCTTAAATTAAATTCTACACACCCCTGAAGAATCAGCTCAAATCCTAGATGCCATAGAATTTCTCAAGAGTTTCAATAGAGCTTTCTTTCCTCTTTGTTCAAGCAATGTAATCAAAAGATCAACATGATTCATAATGGCAACTTTTGGTTTTGTTTTTTGTTAACTCAAGGAGAATAAAATCTCCTTGAGCAATAGGAACTGCAACCCTTTCTTAAGAATAACAAGATAAAATATCAAAATATTCTTATAAGGACTGAAGCAATTTTACATATTTCTTCTTGTTTTCATAATTTTAAAGTATATATTCTAAAGTGGTTCACGAAGCTTGGTTCCTTTTTCTGAACTTCACATAATAAAATAGCTCTAATACTTTCGGTAAGGTGATGCTAAAGAATATTCAATACATAGAGTTAATTATATTCCTAAAAATAAATTTGGGCAGAAGTCTTTGTTTGAAACTAACAGGTTGTGATAGAGAAATCCATTTCAACTTACAGCATCTTATTCTTTAAAAAAGAACAACAACAACTGGGGATCCAGGAACATCTGTTACATCGTAGCAGAAACTAAGTTAGCTGAGTGTTATCAAATTAAAGTGCAGTTACACCTGCCCTAATAATCAGACAAGAGCCATACACAGTGTATCAACAACATCCCTTTGTTTAGCTTTGGTGATATCCATATACTTACGCAGTATTCTTTAAAAGTTTATTAAAGAGACAAATATTTCCCTTCTCTTTAACTCCTCAGTTCCTTAGCAAATCCTTCTTTCTAGGATACAAAAATAAATTGTACCTATCTTGCCTACTTTATCTAAAAATATTAAATTGAGCCTGACTAATGAAGTTTTTGTTATATTAACAATAATGTTTCTTTATACAGAAAAGATTACCTTGGAAATGTAAAGCAAAGCAAGTGTATAAAATTAAACTCCAAGTGCTCATGAAAGGAATTGCTGTATTTGATATAAGTCAAAATGTCAAAATTGTGACTATATTTAGTTATTCATTCCAAAGAAAGCTTTGTAAAACCCTTTATCAAAAAGTATTTTGCATGAAAGTAACGGTACAAAATTAAATGTTTCCTCAGTAATCTCAAAGTTAAACATCAATGTATGGTTGAACCTATTCTGCTTTGCTAAATAGTAACATCACTATGACATAAAAGCAATTCATAGTGAACATTACATCAGAAATATTATTACTAAAATGAGAATTCCCTGAGGATGAATGATTAAATAAATAGGAAGGCTAATCCCTCAGTTGGAAATTAACTGTTAAAGACAAAGTTTTAACATTGTGTGTCTGGTAGTTATTTGTGTTGTTGTTGTTTTTCATGTTGAGACAGGGTCTTGCTCTGTTGCCCAGGCTGGAGTACAGTGGCACAAACATGGCTCATTGCAGCCTTGACGTCCTGGGCTCAAGCAATCCTCCCACCTGAGCCTCCTGAGTAGCTGGGACTACTGGCACACACCACTGTGACTGGCTAATTTTTTTTTATTTTCCATAGAAACAAGGTCTCACTATGTCACCCAGGCAGGTCTCAAGCTCCTGAGCTCAAGTGATCCTCTCCCCTTGGCCTCCCAAACTGCCGGGATTACAGGAATGAGCCACTGAGCCCAGCCTGTGTTTGGTAGTTATGACAGACTCATCAGATGGTAAAAATTAAGAGCCCACTAACTTGGTAAGCAAGGTTTCTCTTCTACTACAAAATATGTTAACTAAGTTATAATGGACACGACTCCCTAACTTATTCCTAGTGTGTTAATGTGGATATTCGATACCGCGCTTCTTTTAAAGTATTAATTAAAAATATAAAGTCAAATACTTTTAACATTACTCACATGAAAGGCTATTTCTATGTGAGGCAGTTTATATAACATCATCACCTTATCTTTTCTATTGATTCCTTTCTGCAATAATTTATTCCATTTCATCTACTAATTCTAACAGTTCTAACCGCACAATATTTCCCAATCTGTCTACTTTTGTCCATGTCACTGTTACTGCCCTAGTACAACCCATCATCTATCTCTCACAAGGACTCTCACAATGATATCCTAACTGGTGTTCTTGCTTCCTCATCTCTCTCCGTAATCTATTTTCCATACAGCAGCTAGAAGATTATTTTAAAACACTCACGTTTTTTAAAACTCATGTCCCTCTCCTCTGATTAAAGCCATCTAGAGATTTCATATAAAATTCAACTTTGTCTGTAAAGCCCCACATGGACAAGGCCCTGCCTTCCTCTGTAACCCTTTCTCTACTTCTCTGTCCTCTCTTCTACAACTCTGGCTTTCTCTTTGTTTTTTGGTTTTGTTTCGTTTTGTTTTCGCACAGCAACCATTTTATTAAATAATTAGAATGTACCAAGGTCCATATTAAATACTTTACATTCTTTCTTTTACTCCCTTCCGTCCAGCCTATTAGACAGCTTTAAATAACCCCAGTTTGTACACTCAGAAAAATGGCTTAAATGACTTGCCTAAAATTATATAGGTAGCAAACAATATTTGACTCAAAAGCTCCTACTTTTAACTGGATTTTAGTCTTAGTTGTTCCAAGTGCTAGGAGATAGTGAAGAATTTAGGATTCTGTACTCATACAGTGTCTTGGACAATGACACTGTTTTCAGTTGAATTTAATCAACATTTGTTTAAAATCTACTTGTGTCTGACCTTCTCTTTATTCCTGGAATTTGCCAAGACTACTCCTAATTCCAGATTTTGCTGAAATGTTCTTCTCCCAGGTTTTCATATATCTGATGCTCCTGCATACCCAGACTTCAGTTTAACTGCCATCTCCTGAGGACTTCCATGATCACAAAACTTACAGCAGTCCCTAAATAGTCATTATGACCAAGTAATTCACTAGCACTTCACCCTGCTTTCTGGTTTTTTTCTTCAAAGCACTTACTACTCTCTAAAATGATCTTTTCCATTAATTTTTAATGTGTTTATTCTCTGTGTCTCCCACTAGAAATATGAACCTTCTCATAGCAGGCATCTAATTTGTCTTTCCACCAAACCATGGTGAGAACATAGCAGAAGCTCAATAAATAATCTGCTAATTGAATAAAGAGCCCCAAAATATGTGAGTGCATACTGAAGTTTTAAGTTACAAGGTTATATGTAACATTTGATTAGATATTAGATATTAATGATTTCAAAAACATAGTTCTATGAAGGACTGATTATTTAGTTACCTGGATCAAATAATTTGCTGTCAGGTAAGTAGCTTAGCCATTCTCATCTACGAATATAGATGAGAACAAAGCCAATAAGGTAGCTCATTGTTTATTTTGAATTCAGCTATCTACACAAAGCATGCCAAAAATAAACTAGAAACATATTTGAAAACAAACAAAAAGAAGTTTCAGGAAAACTAGACAGAGGTGTCCCCAAATAAGAAATATGTATGAAGGGAGAGGTTAGATTTTGGGAAATATCTTTTGGAACTCTAAATCTAATTTTTATCTGGGGAGAACTAATAGATGTCAAAAATAGACTTTCACATGTCTTGCAAAGTTCAATGGATGATTACAAAGTCATTAAACATTTATACAACGCACACACACACACACACACACACATACCCGCACACACACCCAACATCCCCCTCTCAAGGAAATGGATCTTTAACTTCCCACACCTTGAATATGGGCTGTACTCACTGCCTTGTTACAAAAAAAGTAGAGTATGGAAAGAGAGAAAAAAAAAAAGTTATAACGCAAAACATGGCAAAAATTGCCTTGTTCAGGTCGTCAAGGTTAGCAACATCAATGGTAAGTCACGATGACAGCAGATAATCTTGTTATTAGTGATAAGAATGGTACTTCAACTCTGTGGTCAAGCTCCCAAGACCCATAATCCCAGTGTCACCATCAGAAAAATTTCAGACAACCTCAAATTGAGGGGTATTCAAACCATCTAACCAGTATCCCTCAAGACCGTCAAGGTCATCAAAAACAAGAAAAAACTGAGAAACTAGCAGACATTAGAAGAGGTTATAGGAGACCTGGATAATGGGTGGGATCCTGGAACCAAAAAATAAAAAAGGACATTAGGGAGAAACTAGTGAAATCTGAATAGAGTGTGGAGTTTAGTTAATAAAATATAATGTGGTACTGATGTTGATTCCTTCATTTTGATAAATGTGTCATGGTAATAGAAGATGTTTACAATAGGGGAAACTGGGCATGGAGTCTGTAGACTCTGTACTGCTTTTACAACTTTTCAGTAAGGTTGAAATTATTCTGAAAGACAAAGTTTACTTTTTAAAAAACAAAGCAATTCTATATGCAATAATCTCAAATATATTTATTGATATGCTCAGTGAAGTACAGCGTATATAGATGCAGTCATAAAAAGCCTGTGTGCACAAACTTGCTTGTGCATAAAATCTTCCTTTAAAGATAGATGGATCACTTTTGTAAAATGTAGTAGTAATAGCTTACACTGGAATAGTAAGAGCAGCATTAATACAGGGCTTACCATGTGTCAGGCATGACTCTAAGTGTTATATATGGATTAACTCATTTATTTCTCACAAAAATCCATAAAATCAGTATTATTATTTATGCAGAAGACTTTCAGTTTGACTACTGGCATTATTTACTAATGTGTTGGGCATTTCTCCTGGTCACTTACAGCCTCTTCAGATGAAATTTCACCACTTAAACTATGACTTCTTTTCTTATCCTCCCTCCCCACAATATAATGGAAGGTTGGCAGTGGGCTTAGTCATTTGGCATCTTCTGTAAAAATTTACCATTCTATTGATAACTAGGCCACATGGAAAATACACATTTGAAACTCACTTGTCTCCGCTAATATGCACGCTTAATACAGTTTGAGTGACATATATCAATTGGAATTATCCCCAAGGATACCAACCCTAGAGACCTTACCATTTGAAAAGGGTATATCATAACCTCATTTTAATATTAAATTTTAGATTTTATGTCAATGGGGCCCATGTAATCAGAGGTTCTTAAATTGGGATATATGGACCCCTCCAAATGGGTCTGTGGATAGAGCTTGGATGGGAAAAGTACATCTTTATTTTCACAGGCATCTCACTGAAATATAGCATTTCCTTCCATTATAAATACGGGCATGATACAAGTCACAGTAGTATTCACAGATTACATTTAGGCAGATATCTCCTGATATGACCTAAATCATCATGATATCAAAAATATACCTGGTGTTAGACCCTCTCCTAGATCTCATTACCTAATGCAACACTAATATATAGCTATTACTTTATTACAATTTTTAAATTTTTCAATAATGATTTCAATATAATTTCTTATATTTCATTTCACACATTTAAATTTTTCCTTCTTATAGGTTCATCAGGCTGCTAAAGGGATCTAAAAAAAGGGGGTCAGAATGAGAGTTTAGTACATGATGCAGAATGTATCTGCTCCACTCGTCTTGAAACAAATGAAGGGCCCTACTCAGCAAATGCTTGTGTCTTGAAGAAGTGAAAGAAATCAGCATTCCCAATTCATGTTTTATGGTTTGATTTAAAATGGTTCATTCTCCACTTTTCTATGAATAACTCAAAAGGAGTTTGGAAACTAAGACAAGGTATCAGGCCTTTTTCCAACAGCCATTAGTGCACTGACATAGCATATGCAAACCCCCAGCAGTGACAGGGCCCTAACTAGAACCTCACTTGCTCTAGGAGGGCACAAATGGTAAAGACAGCTCATCCTGAATGTTTTGAATCACATTTTCCTAAAATGTGAGTGTGGCATCATGCAATGAAGTGCTAAATATTGACTTTAAAAGGCAAAAGAGTAAAAAGGATCTTCCTATAGTAGGCCAAATTAGGAGGGAGAAATGCAAATTATAAAGTTTATATGCAAATATTATATCCCTGAATTTCAAAAACATTTACATCAGTTTCAATGTTCTGTTTCATTTCTTCAAATAATTTAAATAGAAAGCCATTTGCAGAAAAAATGCTAAATGCTATTTCTCAAGCATTAAAATTAGAGATTACCATAATGAAATGTTGATTATCACAAGAAATACTTCATCAAACATGTTACGAAAACCCATATCCAGTGGCTATGGAATTACAAGCTATTAGTTCAAGAACCCAGACTGCAATTTTGCCAGATACTGGTATCAAGTTAATTGATATGTAGTTTCTGCAATCCATCTTTTCCACTTTTGGGACACTGGACAAGAGCTGTCTCATTTTAGTGTCCCCATCTCTGCTTGTCTATCTGTAAGAATACAGTGAACAGTTCTGAGGCACACTCCTCAGTCTCACTCAATACACATCCATGTATAATTGAAAATAGATAATTTAAATATAAACATTGGTTACAAGCATTTATTCAAGCATTTGTTTAAAAACTGTTCATTAGTATTGGAAAGGCAAAATCTGTAAAGGTTAAGAGGGATTTAAGTAAAAGATGGCTCCAAAGAATTCAGCTAGAACAAATCCTGACCATAAAGTTTTAAATGATCTTGTATTCATTCAGAGATGACTTTCAAGGTCAAGAGGACAAAGGCACGGTAGGTTCCGAGTCACTGATTTATGTCAAAGAGTGCACAATAAGTAAAAATAAGCAGTGGAAAGAATGCAAAGCTACATGTATGTTTTCTTAATAAGATAGTAGCAAAAGCAGTATTGTGACATCATCATGTTTTTATAAGAATTCTTTTATTTGCTTCAAGGTCTAATTCAATACCTACTGCCTTTGAGGTGGAGCTCACCTTTTAATGTAGCAAGATCAAACCAAAATGCCTTCAACAAATAAAGTTTCTCTGGAAAAGGCATTTCTACAAATAAAAACTTCCCAAAAGATGTAAACAAACAATATCAAACACAAAAGTTGACAAAAAGAAAACACACATAAAAGAAAATATTGCCTCTAATTTGATTGCTGGCTTGTGACAAAGCTTGTGAACTCCTCTCCTGGTTGCATAGCAACGAATCTAAGCAGCAGTTCTAGCCTGTAAGAAATTTCCATGCCAGAGCTGTGGAAATAGAAGCTAGCTACTCAGTATATTTTTCAAGGTTACCTAAATTTGCAAAAAGTAAAAAAGGAAAATAGAATAATGCTTTGGGGGTTTCCAGAACCAAAGATGTGGAAGGAATTTCTCCAATGCCCATCTATAACATTTTCAATGAGTGGCCACCACCTATGCTCAGAGGAGATAACTCCCATATAGGAAAGAAAGGCTCCAACACTCATAGATAGTGTGCTTTATTATTGAAACAAGTAAGCTCCAAACAACTAAATCACCAAGTTCAAGAGCCAGAAGGTAGAAAATGGACCTTCTCTCCATAAGCACCAACATTGTAGTCCACTTGCTGTGCTGCTCCCTAGATGGCTATTGAACAGCAGAATGAGATTTAAGTTTTGCTGCCTTAAATTTTCCAGTAAACACATGATTAGAGCTTAATCTTTTAGTATATTCCACCATTCTTGTAAATGGCTGATTGCAGTCCCGTTCAAGTCCCTAAAATGGGCAATTCGTTTCCATAGAGCCTCATTTTAAAAGCTTGAGCCTGGTAAACGTGATCAGTAAACTGAACTGGCATCAGCACAACTGATAGCCACAGACCAGCTTTCAGTCTCTCTCCTTTTAGGTTCTACGGGAAACACATAAATGACACACATGACAAGATGTGATCTGTCTACAGACTCAAATGCACTTAAAGAAGGGAAAGCAGGCCAGGTGCAGTGGCTCACACCTGTAAATCCCAGTACTTTGGGAGGCTGAGGAAGGAGGATCACTTGAGGCAGGGAGTTTGAGACCGGCCTAGGCAACATGACAAAATCCCATCTCTACAAAAATAAAATAAAAATATAAAGAAATAAATAAATAAAAAGGAAAATAGAGACACACACAGAAGGATTCATAAGCATTTATGAACTAGTTTTAGTTTCTCTATACTTAGTTATAGATTCTATCCATTAGTTACAGATTTTATCCATTCATGTTTAAAGTCCAGGCCACCAAGGAACAAAGCTTGCTTGCTTCTTACAAGGAAACTATGTGAATGGGAGCATGTGGTCTCTTAAAGGAGTTGAGTCAAATAATGGGATGATGGAAAAATCAATGGACAAAGGCCTGTGCTGTATTCATAGGCAGGTCAATATGTGGCTTTGTGCAAGTCATGTAAGCTGAGATTCAGTTTGTTTATCTATAAACTTGTATTAATAAGAGCTTCTCTGCTCATTTCATAAGGATGATTTTTAAAAATCAAATAATTTCAAGTAAAGTGACAGAAAGCATTTACAAACTTCTGAATACTCTTTATGACTTCATGCAAAAGTTCCTGCCTTCTAAAGTCATGTTGTAGGAGTGCCATATTGGTACTGACAATTTCTAGAGCTTCAAATTATCAGTCGAAAGTGGCAAATTTTAATTTATTTCTGTCTATAAAGAAGTTCTTGGAAAAAAATAAAAATGTAGCTTTATTATTAGACTTTAAGCCATCAGAAAATTTAGTGTTAGCAGTTGATGAGTAGCAATATTGACAATTAGAAAAGGAACATACAAATGAAAGGTAGTCAGTCTCTTCTCAGTTCCCTATACTTCCTGATTTTTAAAAATGATGCATTTCTTAGTTTTTCGATGCTGAATTAGAAAAATAATAAACACAGTTATAAATTTGGGTTGAGGAACATTTTCTTTTGGAACACAGTTAACAGTACAATACTAAAAATAATTTAAAAGTTTTTTATTAATCAAATTAATTGGTCTCATGAGATTTTTTTTTTAAAGTACACAGGATCCTTTCTAAAACATACATTTCTGTAGAGAGAAAAGTCTTCCCTCATTTGGTGATTAAAATATTATGTTTTCATTTTAAAAGTATGGCTTGTATATAAAAAGCACTTATATAGCTGTTGAATTAAAAGTGAAAGAAGAGTTAACAAGTTTTAGACACTGGGGAGTATGTCTAAGAGCTGATTAAGGTAAAACCTTGCTATGCTTGTACTCATCAACTGTAAGCCTTTGTTTGGCCACATTTGACATCATTGGAAAAAACTGTTGAGTTTACTTTAATAAGGTATCCTGGTAGGAAAGGCCAGTCTTTATCAGGGAGCATGGAATTCACAGAAGAGAGGAGTCTGAGAAGAAACACATTCCCTACCCAGCCGAGAAGTGGTTCCTTCTATGGCTGTAAGCCTTGACTTGCCACATTACTCATTTCAGCTTCCTGCACAATTTCAAAAGCATCCCCTATGTCATGATAAATGTTGTGTTGAAATCATCAACAGCTAAGTCTACTAGCAAAATGTGACTCTCACTGCTCCCCAGATCCGGCAGGAAGAACACTTGCACATAACAGATGTATGGAACACACCCAACAAGCTGTTGCATATTGAGTTCAAGTCTTATCTCATGCAGAGGTATCAAGGAAATGAGAGGGCTTAAACCTTCCTTTGAATTGGAACAGATAAAGGCCTATAAAGAAAAATAGTCTTTATGTAAGAAAAGGCTTATTTAATCAGCCTTCCTGTCCATATATATGCACTCATTGAACACAAGAACTTTAGAAAGCATTATCTTCCAGTCAAGATGAAGAGAACTCATATTTGCTCAGTGATGGCCTGTGCTATGCACCATACTGGGTGTTATAAACCATCCCATAAGGTAGGTATTATATCTATTTTGCAGATAGATAACCAGAGCTCAAAGAGGTAAAGTGTCTAGCCCAGGGACACACAGACAGTAAGGATTGGGACTAAAATTTGAGTCTGAATCAGTCTGACTTTCAGGCTCACCCACTTTACCTTACACCACATACTGCCTCCCTTTCTAATATAAAAAAAAAATTACTAACGGAGGCTGAATCCAGCCCAGAATACCTTAATCATTGCAAAAGGCTGCCTATCGAATCCTGGAAACTTTCCATTAAAGAGCAACATATTTACATGCCAGAAGGTTTTAGCATATGCTCTATCTATATCATTTCCAAGTACCTATCAGCATAGTGCTCCGGAATCCTGACAAGGCTGACATCTTAATTGCTGACTCTTTCCACAGAAGGTTATACATGCTTCAAATTATAGCTAGATATTCAAAACACTGGATCAAAGTTGAAATAAATAAGTGAAGCAAATAACTGTCACCAATATGTCTTTGCTGGTTAGAATGCAAATCTAGCAAATAAAAAACTATGGTGGGACATAGGAGGTAGGGTACAAGTCAGAGCACGCAGATGAGTAGCCAAGAGTGAGGCTGTACCCAAAAACCAGAGAATGGTCACAGAGAGAAGAAGCTTATGGCTGAGGGAGAAACCTACCTAATGTCGTTATCAGCCACAGTGACCTCCAGCTGATTGCCCTGAGAGTGACCAGCTGGGACCAGCACTTCAAATGTCATACCTGGAAATCCTTGACGAATTTTTCTGTTTTCCTTTATCCAGATGTATCAGCAGGCAGCATGGCCCTGGGTGGGGCATGATTTGGGGACTCACTGAAATCTGGGTTCAAACAGAGCTTTGCTATATACCAACTACTTTGAACCTCTGCTCCCCCATCCATAAATTGAAAGTAATCAAGCCAATTTCACAGAATCAGTAGAGAATCCAATGAGTTAACATCATATAGCACATAATGGCCACTCGGTAAATGTTAGCTCCTTTACTCTTGTTTTTTACTGCACCATTTGAAGTAATTAAATATCAGCAGACTGGCCATAAGCTCAAAATACAAACCACAATCAGCTACATCAGGAAGTCTTTTTCTCCTTTGTGAACCTAAGAATATATATATGTCCTACTTTTCTATGGCCTGAGAAGGAAGCATTTTTTATTGCAATAACGTCTTCAGTTGGGAGATACAGACTAAGTAGTGAGTGATATGCATTATACTTTATTGTGAAGAGAGAAGCATATCATTGTAGCTTAGAGAATACAGTATTTATCATGTCAAAGCTCCTCCCCCTGGGATGAATTAGCAGAGTAACTCCCACCAGAGGCTCAGCAGGCATCTGAGACTTTCTAGATCTCTAACTTACATCATTATATATTCTAAACAAATACACATGCACAATGTGAGTTTGTGTATGCAAACATATATATTTTACGTCTAGGAATATCCAGATTACATATGTTTAGTGATAGTACACAGGCTAGATAGACAAATAAAGATGTATTATTAAAGACCAAAGTAAGATTAACATCCTCAAATCCTGTTCCTCTATTTCGGATCCCACTGTTAGAATATCTTAAATGTGGAGTATGTGACATGTGAGTCAGGGAGATGGGCATAGGAAGAAACCTTGACCCTTTTGAAACTGAACTGTAAAGCATCTTTTCCTAGCTCCATCACCAAGTTCTTGTCTACTGCTTTACTATTATACTTTAACATTTTTTTAAGCCCTCATGATTTTCTATGTTTTAGCATCATCTTCTTAAAACCTGCTACCTGGAAAATGGGGTTAGAATGCCATCAATTGAAGAAAAGGAAAGAGGAAGGAATGACTGTATAGTAGTGGTGGTGATCATTGAAATTTATCAAACGTACTTGCCAAGAACTTTTTGAGAACAGTACATTCTCAGTTAATTATCCTAACAACCCAGTGAGATAGATACCTGTTATTAATTACCTTTAGAAATGAGAAAATTGAGGAATAAGGTGGTCTAGTAACTTCTTCATGATTCCTAATGAGTAACTAGCCAGCCAGACTCCAACCAAGTCATTGTCATTGCAGAGCTCTCACTCTGAATTACTAGGCTATACTGCCCTCCAGATGGAGGGAGCTTGTGATCAAGAGCTATTGCATTACCCAAGTTAGGACCACAACTTCCATCACAGAGATGAATATTGTAGAGTAAGAATTTACCTTAGAATCCCAGGGTGCGTTTAGATGTGACAATAGATGTAGATGTGACATGAATAAATCCATAAAAGGGTCTACCACAAAGGGGACTTCTTTTTTCCTTTTTTTTTTTCCTTGCCAACTATGGTAGATTCAAAAGGGGACTTCTATGAGAGTTACAAAACAGTGAGATAATATGACAGAATATGAGATAATATGACAGTGACATATTACACAATGCAGACTGCTTGAAAACCACTGCACTGCATCAAAGAAATAAGCATTCATGGATACCTTACCATATCATAACCCATAATTGCATCCAACAACATCTGTGCTAGACTGAAACACATTTATACTGGATGATCTCTTGCCTTAGAATTTAAAGCCTAACTTTAGCTTATCTTTCAGCCATATTTACCCCCCTAACAAAAATATGATCCTTAATTGTGCCTAACTATATTTTCTAAAGATTTACATATTAGAAAACAATTATACAGTTAACAGTTCCAGCACAGTTGGAAAACAATTGTTTACTAGATTTTTAAATTAAACTTTAAGGGTTAATCAGAATATAAAGAGAATTAGAAGGCAAAGGGAGTCTAGAAAAATATTCACCACCAAAATGATAAAGGAATAATAGTATTAATATATAAAAAGCTCATATAAATTAACAAGAAAAATACTAATACTCTAATAAAATAATACCCAAAGACATGTACAGACAATTCACAAAAGAAGTCATTAAATATTTACGAAGCATGAAAAAATATTCTATCCATTAGTAATCAAAGAAAGGCAAGGAGGGCCCCTTTTGTAGAAAGATTGCTTCCTGCCTGTAATCCCAGCACTTTGGGAGGCTGAGGTGAGCAGATCACCTGGGGTCAGGAGTTCAAGACCAGCCTGGCCAACATGGTGAAACCCTGTCTCTCTTAAAAATACCAAAAATTAGCTGGGTGTAGTGGTGGGCACCTGTAATCCCAGTTACTCAGGAGGCTGAGACAGGAGAATCGCTTGAACCTGGGAGGTGGAGACTGCAGTGAGCCGAGATTGTGCCATTGCACTACAGCCTGGGCAACGAGAGCGGAAAAAAAAAAAAAATGCTTCCCGAATAAAATCTTCATGGTTGGTCTCTAAATATTGTATTTTTCTAAATGAAACTTTACTAACTGCCAAAATCTTGAGTCTAATAACCAACCCAAACTTGAAGAGATCACTGTCATATTTTTAAGTCATTTTCCAGGGCAAATAATATCCTCACCACAGACTTGAGCAAAGCAAATTAAACCTGTAGGAAAAAAATAAATAAAATGGATGATTCTTCCACCTTCAGGAAGAATCAGATGTCTGCAAGAAAATACTGTGATAACAGACTTCGTTTCTGAAATCTTTAACAACTTAGAGTGGCTCTAGAAAACAGAGGGGCAATTGAAAAATTAGATTTTCTCAGGGGCTAAAGGATGCTAAACAGTATGCTTTGTGTCAGCATGAGATAAACAGCTTGTGGCTATGCATCTTTCGGTCTGCCAAACCAGAATTCTAAGCTAGTGGGCTCGAAGCTGGTGTCAGTTACTTGTAATGTGATAGCTAGATGTCAGTTAACTAAAGTGATCATTCATAAGATAATTTCTATATGAGTAAATTATATACTTTTATAACTATTCTTAATATTTTATTCTTCCATATGCAAATATTTGCATTTCTAACACATTTGTTAAAGGGCCTACAGTAACACTAGTCTCCTTAGAACAGAAACCAATACAAATACATCTTCCTCAAACATCACAGAAAGGTGTTTAGGGACCGATACTCCAAAATGAAAACAGGAGTCTTTTCCTCCTACAGAGCACACACCTTCAAGAAGGGCTCACTTGAATCAGCAGAGGAAGGACACACCTGGCCGCCCGCTGGCTCAGTTGTGAGGATAAATAAATGCCAGAGGATGCAGTCAGAGTGCTCGCACTTCTGAACCTAACAGAAGGCAGTCTCCCCACATACAGACCTGCAGGGCAGCCTCGCACTGGAATAGTGGTAGCCCTGACTTCTTCTGAGTGTAGAATGAAAACAAACTTTTGCAAGCAACCAAAATCACCCACCCACTTTTAGTCAGCCTCATTGTAACCCATACCCTTACACTGGGCATGAGTCAATTCTGACAGTTCTTAGAATTGTGTCATTGGGATTCAGACTTTGCCTGATATGCTGCAGCATTGTTCCTGATGACTCATATTCCACAGTTCAAAGACAAAAGAATTCTACAGATAGGCTCACACTTTCCTTCATCCTTTCTATTAAGTAAATCGAATGCCCTGACAGCACACCTATCTATAGATGTCAAGTCACATTTACAGGCATCTAAATCAAAGGCTTGCCTAGGCAAGTGTTTGGCATACAAGATCTAAAAAGTGACCTCGGTTTCTTAAATGTTGCCACGGGAGTCATATTCTATAGAGACACATTATCAAAGCAGTGGAGAAGTGGGGCGAAGAAATGGGGAAAGAATCAGATACTACACAAAATAAATGGTTTTCCTTTTATTTTTATTGACACTCTTATCTCATTCAATTCAGAATTCATCCAAACTACCTCTTCAATTTGTACCCTATGAAGTGTACACTGTCTCATTACCTAATCCCAGGAGGATTTTAATATTTTAGCTGAGTGAGGATATTCAATAACAGAGATTCTGAAAAAGGATTCTGCATTTTCCGCAGAGGCCCCAGACATTTTGCTGGCAAAGAGGGTTGGACCATTAAGTGACAGGAGCTGCAGGGGCTGAGTGGGTGCCAAGCAGCAAGTTATCTCTGTCGAGTTCAGAGCTCTCACATCTGAAATGGACATTCTTTGAAATTATGACAAGAAAGAAAGAAGGCAAACTGAGCAGACAGGACAGTCAGGGTTCCAAAGCACTGAGGCAGATGAGTATATACCAGATGGGTTAAAGGCCAAAAGAGATGCTCCCAAGATACCAAAAATGTAAAATAGAAGATACTTTTAAGTTGGGGATAAAAGGTATCAACTCTCACCTCTTTTTGCCTCACTCGGTATTTTGTTGTTGTTGTTGTTTTGTTGGTTTTTATTTCATTTTATTTTTTAGATGGAGTCTCGCTCTGTCTCCCAGGCTGGAGTGCAGTGGCGCGATCTCGGCTCACTGCAACCTCCGCCTCCCAGATTCAAGCAATTCTCCTGCCTCAGCCTCCCCAGTAGCTGGGATTACAGGCGCTTGCCACCATGCCCGGCTAATTTTTTGTATTTTTAGTAGAGATGGGGTTTCACCGTGTTAGCCAGGATGATCTCAATCTCCTGACCTCGTGATCCACCCGCCTTGGCTCACTCAGTTTTAATCACTCACCTAACTGAATTCCTGGTGGCGTTGGAGCCTCTAAAGAAATCATTTCAGCCTGGTATTCCCAGTAGTCTTTGTATCTTCTGGCATCACGGGCACAGAGTCAGAATTTCAGTAAAGACAGCATTTATACCATATATAAAAATTGCTACAGAAGGTAGCATAACCACACATTCATTTCAGAAGCTGTTTAAATGGCTGAAGGCTATAAATGAGGTTGGACTGTGCACAAATATGTGAGTAAAACAGAACAAGAAAGTCCTAAATCCATATATGAATAGTTGTTTCATTCTTGTAGAAGGTTTAAGATAAACTAAAATATTGCAATCTTGAGATATGACAGCCTATATTTTTGTTCTTCATCAGAGTATTGTTGAAATTCATGTTCCATTCATTCTAAAAATTGTATTAATTATTAACTTTACTAGATATAAATTTCTAAAACATAGAGAATGCTTTTGAGTAACCACAGAATCCTGGAAATATAGTAGGAATGGGAGAAATTGGGAGGATTTTATTTATCCAATTATATCAAATGAGTTTGGGATAAGACCTATAAAAGCCTATATTAGCTTTGAAATTATGAAGACCTTTATTTAACTATCTGAATAGCCACTAACTAGATCTATGCTCCTGATAAAGTTAGTTAACGTATGGCTCCATTTTTAATCTTTAAAGGATTAAGATAGTTTTACTTTTGCTCCTTAAAATTATTGAGAAAGTAAATACAATAAAAATGGAAAAATACTTTGATAGGTAGAACATATCATATGGCTAAGATAAAATTGTGTGCCTGACCCAGATAAATCTGACTTTAGCTTATTACTGGTGACACAGTTAATATTGACCAGCAACATTACAACATCCTGCTGGAACCCAGCTAGTATCATGATGAGCCTACTGAACCAATGTCAAAGTCTTACTAGACTACATTATCATTCTTAGGAGTCCTTCATGAAAAAAACCAGCATCACTCAGTCCTTTCACTGAACAAAAACAAAAAAAAAAATCATTTTAGGAAGACAATTCAGACCGGGTACCATGGCTCACGCCTGTAATCCCAGCACTTTGGGAGGTCGAAGCAGGCAGATCACCTGAGGTCAGGAGTTCGAGACCAGCCTGGCCAACCTGGCGAAACCCCATCTCTATGAAAAATACAAAAATTAGTTGGGCATGGTGGTGTGTGCCTATATTTCCAGCTACTTGGGAGACTGAGGCAGGAGAATTGTTTGAACCCGGGAGGCAGATGTTGCAGTGAGCTAAGATCATACCACTGCACTCCAGCCTGGGCAACAGAGCAAGACTCTGTCAAAAAAAAAGATAATTCAAGTGTACCACAGAATTGTGTAGCGAATATGTTACAGAAACAAAATAACTAAAAGACCATAGATAGAAAATAGAATTATAAGTTAATTAATAGTTAGTTTAATCATATGAAATAGCTGGTGTTAGACTATTTTTTACTTACCAAAATGGCAATTTCACAAAATTCAGCCTAGTAAAATATATACATATGAATGCGGAAGACATCTTAGGAAAAAATAATAATAATGTGAATTATATTGATATTTATTGAGCTCTTATTATGGCACCAAGTTAAACGTTTTGTTTCAATAAATTCTCACAATAAACTTATGAGGCAGATACTATTATTCATCTATTTCTATATGAAGAAAATGAAGCAAGGAGAACTGACATTCTAATGCAGTCTGTCCTAACCCTTACCTGACCCTGCTGGTTGAAAAGAATAGTGGATGGCATGAGCACATGGAAAGATGAATGGTGATGACTCCAGGAAGATGAGAGGCCAAGAGGGAGAGAGTTGAAGCATTTACACGTCACTATATAGGGGAAAGGTAGCCTGCATAGCCCACTGAGCAGAATATCCTTCAAGGTTAGACAGACATATCAGGTTACCATAGCTAAAGCTCTTTCACTATTAAAATAATTGAAGTGACTCTCCTTTTTCTAATTCCAGATCTAGAAGCAAACATCTGATCATAATTGGACTCCCATGTAGACTTTTCGGTTTAGCTAAATCAAACATTTAATTTTCATGGCATTATCAATGGAGAAATGGATGCTGTATCAGTCTCCAGGGGGTCTTGGTTACTCTGTACCTGCCATTAAATCAAGCCTCAAATGCACAGCTGAGAAGCAGATGTGAAACACAACTAATAGCACCAAGGAATTATCCTACCATGAGCACAAGTCCGGGTGACCAGGTTGCTCCACTAGGCGAGAGTATAAAAGCCTTCAAATTGTTCTCTAGTTAAATAAAAATAACAACAACAACAACAATAAACTGGTTTAAAAGGACCATCTCCTGTAAATAATTCATTCAACTCTATGTTTATAATTGTAAGAAGAAACTTGTCCACACAAAATAATATATTTGTTGAGTTTAGTGATAATTTTCATTACCTTTCTAGAGCTTCGTGAATAATCTGATCCAAAGCCACCCTAAAAAAGTAAAGAAACAAACATTTAGCAAACATGAAAGAATTCCATATATTTACCATGACGGTGATTTACACATGCACATTATTAATTGACTTATAAACATAGTAAGTTCCTTAAAAGGGGAGAACACAAAGTAAAATAGAGGAAATAAGATGAATTCTAGTTTAAAAAAAAAAAGACATCTGCAGGAAATGCTTAGATAACTACAAAATAAAGAAAAGCAGGGACACCAAATCAATAGCATCAATGGTTTAAAGAGAATTTTTAAAAATGAAATTGTGCCAGATACATTAAAAAAGTATGATCTTGAACTTGAAATGAATATGCCAATGAGATGCAACTGTAACAGTAATAATAAAGGTAATTTAAAATTTTTTTCCTCCGCATGAAAATGCTGGCATCAGAAAACATTTTCCCATATAACTTTCTTGCACAGCTATTATGAGAAATCCATTTTCTCCCAAACTTCATTACTGTAAATATTGTTTACCAAGGGTCAGAATAGCAAGGCTTGTAAAGCCAAAAGTCTGATTATGCAAGAGATGACATGGTTCCTATAATATTATTACAACCTCAAAATAGAAAACCAAGGATCTACTCTGACTACAGGAACTCCAAGATGAAGATTAAGGCTGACTTTCTGTTTTTACAAAATGCTAACTTTATTCCATCAGGGAAGAAATACCTTTAGCTCATTTCCTATCAGAATATAGTAATATGTGCAATATGCAAATTATTCCAACTGGTACTGAAGTTTAAATACGTAGAATGTAAAGAAAGGAACATTCTACTTTGAAGTTAACTCTAACTACACTTGTGTACATTTCATTCGACTCTATCAAAGGCTATTCAAATTGACACCATAAAAATTATTTCATCTTGTCAGCTTTAAAAAGCCCACTATCAAGTCATACAGAATTAAATCTGCAATTTCATGTTTCTATTTGAGCTTCCAATAAAGAAAAAAATAGAAGGAAATTAACATTTCTAAAACCTTAACTTTATTCCTGGTGTCTCAGCTACATTTTCTTATTTAATCTTCACAACTTCTAAAACAGTAAATGTAATAGCTTTGTATAATCATAAAAGCAATGCACATTCATTACAGAAAATGTGCCAAGCACAAAAAATGAAAATCAATCATAGTCCTACCATTAGAGGAAAGTTAATATTTTGTGTTGTTCTCTTTCAATACACACAGTCTCACATATACAGTGTTTTAAACAAGATTGAAATTATTTCACATATACAGTATATCTTGCCTTTTCCCCTTAAAATCATATCATTTTTCCACATTATAGTCTCAAAATGTGGTCTTGATAGTTGCATCCTAATCTACCTATTTACATGGCAAGATTTTTTCAAATACTTCCTAGTATTTATGATATACATTTTTGTCTAGCACATCTAACATTGTAATAATCTCCTTGCACAAAAATCTTGACTTTACATCTGCTGATTTCCTTAAGAGAAATTCGCCAAAATGGTATTGTTGAAGAAAAGGAACAAACTTTTTTCATGGCACTTGCGTATCATGTGCCCACCAAAAGGTCAAAATCTATAGATTGCTCATCAAAAGAACAATTCACAGTGTAGGCAAGTGCCCATTTCTCTAAACATTCACAAATATATCTTAGCATTTTCATAAAATGCTTTTTTATTTCATAGTGAAATGGTATGTACTTTTTATTCGAGTTATTTTTTCTTGTTATTACAATGAAGCAATTTTTACAATCTATTGCAGTTCTTCCCCTTTATGCCTTTGACTGTCTTTACTCAGGATGTTTGTGGGTTTCTATTGATTTATAAGAGCTCTTTAGAAATAAGGCTATTAATCATTTGTGTATCATAATTATATAAATATTTTCATTTGCTTTCCCAGTCCGTTATTTGCATTTAGGTTTGGTTTATAATGGTTTTGATGCACAGAAGTTTAAATTTTATGTAATGAAACATATCAATCATTTACTTGGGGATGTCTGCTCTGGGCTTCTATGCTTAGAAAGTTCTTCCTCAATCCAGCATCAATTAAATAGCTACTTATGCTTGTCCTCCCAGTCCCTATCACTATCTTTTACCCTTGGCTTTTTTTTTAACCCATGTGGACTTTATCATAGGTATAACGTGAGATGAGTACTTACTACAGTTTTTGACTACCACCTCTCACAGACTTTCCCCAGCACCACTGGTGAAATCATTTATTTCTTCCTGGGTCATCAGTGCAAAATTTGCTTTGAGGCACACCTGAGCTCTGATGTCAGTTTTTGACACCTGGGCAAGTCTAGCTTGTCAATATCTATCTTGCAGCCTTGTTGTAAGGATTAAACCAGATAATGTACAGAAATCCCTTCAGTGCCTAGCACAGCATAAGTGCTTGATTAAGCCAACCAGACACTAGATTCAGGGCTGTTCATTTCTCTTCCTCTGATCCATCTGTCAATTCTTGTGCTCACAGTATAAACTTTATAGAGCACACAACATTTGAGCAGAAAAGATACTCTGAACTTCTTTTTCAAAAAATGTTCTTGGCTATTTCTACCTGTTTGTTCTTTACACAGGCCCAACTCACTTTTCATTACAGTTATTCTTCAGATGCTCTTTTCCTGCAATTCTCTCTCTCATTTTCTTTTTTGCACATCTTATTACATAGGCCAGAATTTCCAAAACAATGTTTAAAAGTAATAGTAAACACAGATATTCTAGTCTTTTAACTGATTAAAAGAGCAAAGCTTCTAGAGGCTCATAATTGAGTTTGATGTTGACTATGGGCTTAAGACAGGTAGTCTTTATAACATTGTGGAAGCATCCCTCAGTTCTTTATTTTATGATATTAAATTTTTTTATCTCCTTCTCACAGAGGAAACTGATTTTTAAAGCAGTAATATGAGTTGCCCAAAGTCATGCAGCCAGTACATGGTGGGGCCTGAATGCACACCCACGTTATCTGGTTCCAGTGTCTATTTTCCATTGCAACCATGCCACCATGCTATAATGTAGTCAGTCTCCAACCCAGTTATATGCTTTGTCCAAAATTTATATATAGCCAAAAAGAATTGTTGTTTAGACCTTATAAAACGTCTTCTAATAAAAGTAAAGCAATAAAGCATGGCTAGTTTATTAGCTTACCTAAAGAAATGTAGGTCACTCATTATTATCTGTAGAAATATTTTAATATTCATCAATATTTCTATGGGAAAGCAAATTAGTAGGAGACACCAGAGACACAGGTGGGACTTCTCCTTAGTCATCCTCTAAGCAGAGAGAATAAAAAACTCTCATAGCTTTGGCCACTGGAGGTACAAACACTGAAGCAGAAAAGAGTAGGACTTTGAAGCAAAAGAGAAACTCTTGGAGGAAAAGGGTTGAGTTAGCAGGTAAGAAGGAGATGGTGGTAAACAGCAAGGTAGAAGGAGAAAACCAGAGTGAAATGTCTCTGTGGCACCCCCTGGCCTTCTCCTTCTTTCTCATACACCCATTAGGGTTGAAGGTGTCTGTCAGAGCAAATGCCAAGTATAAATAAGATTTGGCCCATCCGCTTTCCTTTTCATGACCACCAGCCAAACTCTGATCCAAATGTTTCTCCTCTACAGCTCACCACATTATGGAAGGGCAAGTTTGGCTCCTATTCACCTGACCCTAAATAAATACATGTCTTTCTGTGCTACTCTAGGACAATTTAACTTTAGCAACTGTTGAAAAATTGACAGGAAATTAAAACCAGAAATAAGAAAAAAAATGTCCAGTATTAGAAAGCTTCATAATCAAAGTTGACCCTATAGTGGTTCCTAGAATAAAATTACCCAGGCCATCCTCTTTCTTTAGGTTAGTTCTGCCCTCTTCTGGAAGAGCTCCTTCACCCCCAGGCTTTCTCCCATCTCTCTAACAGGAACCTCAGATCCTGCCCCTCCCAAACCTCTCTGTACCGCCAAAACATATAGATCCTACCCTCTTTTCCTTCCCCATGCCCAGGCCCACTCCCAAAGAGTCTTGAGTCTATCTTGCTAAGACCTCATCTGATAACCAAGTCTTGAAAAACACACCCACACCCACCTTTTCTGATAACCAGCTGCACACCAAGACCCTGTTCCTCCCTAACCCTGCCTCCAATCTAAGTTCCTCTTCCCAGATCTCATTCTGCCAAGCAGGTCAAAATCATATGCTATGAGGTAAAGTGATGTGCTTAAGTAGAATCTGAATAAACAGAATTAAACTAATTATAATTAAATTTAGTGGAATACAATTTAAATAGAAAATATCTCTTTTGCTTTGCCCTTTTCATAGGCCAGGCCATATATTCAGGTTCCACAGAAAAACAAAAATGCTTGGTTCTTGACTCCTGTCTTGACATTAGTAAAAATGGAAAGCACAATCATGTGCCTAGGGCTCTCACATTTTATCTTCTTTGGCTCACAATCCTGTAGAGCCTCAGGGGAGATGTTATTATTTTTATTTGATAAAAGATGAAACTGATGAGCAAAGAAATGAGCGAATTGCCTGGAGTTACACAGTCAGTAATGGAAGCAACAGAACCTGAACCCAGGACTTCTGTTGTCAAATGCCAAGTTCCTCCTGTTTGCCGAAACTGATGCCTACAGTCTCCAGAACCATTAGTTACCAAACATTTACTATTTCTACTAGAGCTACAGAAGCAATCATGGTTCGTTTCTCAGCAATTGCTCTCCAATAAGACTATTCTGAAGTCCACAGTAATTACTTTGAGACTGTGTTACACAGTCCTTGTTTCTTCCTTGACTGAATAATCTCTTCTGGTAACAAGCCAGGATATATGGGCCAAATCATGCCTGCATTTATAAAGCCAGGAATGGGAATTATAATATTACTACAAATGCTAAATTAAAAAGATTGAACACTGTTTATAATAACTATATACCATCTTATAAATGATTTATTTTAAATAATGACCCTGTTTCCAAGGAGATCTTGCATTGGTGACTTTCCATATCTGACATATTTCTTATTTTACATTTCCAGCTAGTCAATGTGTATGATAAAAAAGAATTATTCTATCCATAATTCAAAATGCATCTCCATCAAAGGTGTTTATTATATTTGTGTGAAAATCAAGTTTAGTTATATTAGGACCATCCATTTAAAATAACTGCAGTTAATCCTTGTATCTGTCAGGTACTGTTCTAAAGAGTTTACAAACATTATCTTATCTAATCCTTACCTAACAACCCTATGAGGCAGGTACTTTTATTACCTCCATTTTACATAAAAGGAAACTGAGGCACAAAGAGAATAAGTAACTTACCCAAAGTTACACAGTAAATAAGTAACAGAGCCTATATCTGAACCCAGGTTGAGGGACTCCAGAGTCCAGACAGTTTCAATAACTTGTAGTTTCCAGAGGCTCATTTGATACCAAGGATTAGGCATGAATTTAAATGTTTTTATATTGACCACTAGAATCAAAGTGTGACATCTTGACAGCCCACTTAAGAAACCATTAGTTGTGTTATTGCTTTTTGTTCTTCTTTGAAGTGGCTTTTTTGTATTTAGCAATAACGCTAATTACCAAGACCACTTGTTCTTTTAAAGTAGTGATTTTTTTAATGAATAAAAAGAAAATGGATACCTTCTCTAATAACAAGTAAAACAGCCTTTTGGAGTTACTGGGCATTTAATGTATGCACAGCATAAGCCATATTTGATCATTTAAACAACGTGAGGTAGGAATTAGTATTGTTCTCATTTTATAGATGAAGAATCTGAGACTTAGAGAGATTGACTAAATTGCCCGAAGTTACGCAGCTTATATACATTGCAAAGACAGCATTCAAACCCAAGTCTGTCTTCAGAGCCCTGCTCCTAGCTGTTCTGTGACCTGCCTGCAATCTGCTCTACTGAAATAACACTGGTTAAATTAGAGAAAAGCAATTCGGTCAAATATTTCTCCACTGCAAACGATGCCAGGCAATGCAATGCAATGCAATGCAATGTGTTCGCTTATACCTACAAATGCACCTGCCAAGATGTTGAAGAGAAGTGCCTACTGGAATGCAGCATTCTAAAAAGGACCTTTGAGAGAGAGAGGTGCTAGAACAGTACTATTTATCTCACTCATTTACATAACTAAAATTCTAGATTGTTTTGTCCTGAATTTGACATTTTATTTTTAATTTCCTTAAAGAAATGTCTACTACAGAGCTCAGAAAGTACAGATCTCCAAATATATCATTTTAAACACACTTGAATAAATGAACTGAGATGATTCTCATTTACAATATTTTTGCATTAGAGAGCAGTGAAACAATTTGTCACTATCACATCAACATTCCAGACTCTCCTGGGGTCGTGTAATTCATGGCAGGTTTGAGGAGCATAATATCAACCAATTTGTTGAGAAAAGTCATCATCCACTTGTTGAACTCAGACCAACTAATACAGTTAGAATTAACTACTAGCAAATTCCAAGTAACACATTTATTGTTAGCAATTTTTATCTAGTTAAAAAATATTTCTAACATCATCTATGTTTTTTTCAAGATGATATTCGAGCAATATAATGAGGCTCTGTAAAGAACAAAGACAAATACTACCACTATGGATCCAGGAGCAGGTCTGATCCAATTACTCAGCTGATAATATAGTGGCAACTCAAATCGTAAATTTTAACAGTCAGATAGGAGATGTTTGAACCCTGGCCTGGAATAACAATGCAAGATCAAAGTCAATTCAAGCAAAATGGTGCTGAGGCTTACTCAATCTAGTAGTAATCACACAGTGGTGAAGAGTGCAAGTTCTAGAACACGCAAACCTGAAATATTGCCTGTTTCCTCATTTATGATGGAATAATGATTATGCTGCTACCTAAATTGTTGTTAGGATGAAATGAGGTGATGGATGTAGAATGGGTGAATGCTTGATAAATATTAGCTGTTGCAGATGTTATCAATTTAGCTCTCCAATTTCACAGACATGTTTGGAAAGCCAGAAAGTTGGTTTGGAAAGCCAGTAAGTTTGTAGGTAGGTTAACTAAACCTACAAAAAATAGGCCTGAGGCTTTTTTTTTTTGAGGTGAAGCCTTGCTCTGTTGCCCAGGCTGGAGTGCAGCAGCATGATCTCGGCTCACTGCAATCTCTGCCTCCCAGGTACAAGTGATTCTCCTGCCTCAGCCTCCTGAGTATCTGAGATTACAGGCATACCACCACACCCAGCTAGTTATTGTATTTTTAGTAGAGATGGGGTTTCATCATGTTGGTCAGGCTGGTCTCAAGCTCCTGACCTCATGATTCACCTCCCTCAGCCTCCCAAAGTGCTGGGATTACAGGAGTGAGCCACCGTGCCCAGCTACCTGAGGCTTTAAAGTCACTTCTAAGAGAGAAACTGAGGACAGGAGCTACTGTTGTCTTGTTTACCACTGTATCTCTTGTACCTGACATAGCATCTGATAAATACATGCTCATTAAATACATGCTGAATCATTATATGAATGAATATATTAAAAGAGCTATCTTAGTAAAATGCATACTAGAATCCTGGCAGGGAAGAAAATGGGCTTTTAAAATGAGAGAGAGGAGAGAGCATAGATCTGAAGTTAAGTGAATCCTATCAAGTTATTTTTCACATGGGACCAACGGAACCCAGTCAAATCCTTTAGGTTAGATTCTACAAAATCCCTGATCTATATGTAGTGTCAAATGCTGCATACTGACCAAAGAACGCAATGCTAGTGTTTACGTGCTCAAGTGAATTCAGTTATTTAAAACTCCTCAAAAGAATTTCCCCTAACCACCTCAGCCCATACAGAACTTAAGAGGGCTTATTACAGAAACTATTCATTTGGCTTTAATACAACAGAGAAGCCACCATTTTAAGGAGTCTGTACTTGTGACAGTAAACATGTATTGGGTCTTCCCCCAGAAGGTAGGATTTAGATTCTCCCCATATTCCATCCCTTCCAGATTCAGGCATGATCTTGGCTTTTACAGGAAATATGAAGAGGAATAAGGTACGATCTTTACTCTGGAGGCACTTACTGTCTTAGAAAGAGCATAAGGCAGGTACAAAAATAACTGTAATGCAAAGCCAACCGTAGCAAGTGCCACAGAGATGTACAAAGAAAGGGATCCAAAAAGGAATCAAATAAATCTATTTTAAGCAATTAAGCTTTTTTGACAGTGAGGGCACTATCATACGCATGATACCACAAGGATGGGTTGGAGTTTGAATGGGCAAGGACACAGCAGATAGATAGCAAGGGGAAAGGCCAGGTAGGAAAACATAGGGTGATTAAGTAACCTGGGACCACTTTGACATTTTGTTAGTTTATGGGGCCAAAAAAGAAAATATTTATAATAAAAGCCACCTGAAAAGTATGGAACATAGGGACAAAAATGCATTAATAAGATATCATAGGTTGTTGAGCAGGAAAGTGACAATGACTAAGACTATTCATTAGAGAAATTTACCTGGCAAGGATATTAAATGGACTGGAGAGGGAAGTAGATGAAGGACCTCAGCAGTAAGGAATTAACCTTGCCCAAAGAGAGGTCTGGTCTTCACTCTTAGCACTCAGGCAGTAATCTCTAAGCCCTTGGGATATCCTGCAGGAAAAGAGTGCCTTTGTTCTCTTTGGGGCTATAGGCCACCTCTCAGAGTCTATGCAAACAATGTGATTTATATATGGTAGGGTGCCTGTGGCTACATGGTATCAGGAGCAATCAACAATATCTCTGTGACCAAACACGCCTGTGTGACTGAGTCTCAGTCACATAACTCTGTATGTTCTCACTTATGAGTGGGAGCTAAACACTGAGTACACATGGACACAAAGAAGGGAACAGACACTGAGGCCTACTTGAGGGTAGAGGGAGGGAGAAGAGCAAGGATGGAAAAACTACCTTTTGAGTGCTATGCTTGTTACCTGGATGGTGAAATACTCTGTACACCAAACCTCCATGATACAATTTACCTACATAACAAACTTGCACATGTACCCCTCAACCTAAATTAAAAGTAAAAAATAAAAATAAAAATAAATAAATAAAAACTACTCATCACTGCAATCAAAGCTAATGGGGATGTAGGTGATATATTTAATACAGTCGATAAAGTACAAAGTATTTTTAAAAAAACTCTGCACACCAAGGCTTGGGTGTGCTTCCCTGGTTGGCACTACCCATGTATGTTGTCACACACTGTTGCTGGAAGAAGTGGCATCATCCACACAACTACACTGGGAAAGAACAACTGGAAGCTTGGAGCTCTTCTAGACCCTGATCTGTGTTCCCCAGTCTTCCCTTGCTCGATTTGAATCTGTATTCTTTTGCTCTTATAAACTGGAACTGTGAATATAATAGCTTTCAGAGTGCTAGGAATCTTTCTAGCAAGTTATTAAACCTGAGGGTCGCCTTAGGAACTCAAAAACTTACAGTTGGTGTCAGAAATGAACATGGTCTTGGGATCTTCCTAACTTTACACCAACCAACACAAGAAACCCTCCGCAACAGTGCATGAGATTATAGTGGCTTTAAAAAAAAAAAAAAAAAACTGGTGGAATTGAGGAGGCATGAATGCTAGAACTTTATAGAAAACAAACAAAAATGGGTAGAGATCTGATAGATACAGGAAACTTAAAGGAGTTTTCCTGAGAGAAAATAATCAATTAAATGGTTAGTAAATGAAAGTTGAGAACTAAGAAGGAAGATCTAGTTTGAGGAGAACAAGGTGAAGCAGGGGAAATGAGAAGTACGCGTGACTTCAATTCCTTCTTCCCTGTGCACACACACACCAATACCCCGCTTGAGAGGTGAAGTCTGTTCCTTTACCCTTTGGCATCTTGTCTGGCCAACAGAACACGTACCCACCATGTGCTGTAGCCACTTTGAACCTAGCCTTTAAGAGGACTGGCGGGCCCTGCTTCCTGCCTCTTGGTACCCTGAGCCACCATATGAAACAGTCCAAGCTACTCTGCCAAGAGAGGGAGCCACAAGGGGAACACCGAGGCACCAGACTTGGGAGTAGAGAAGACATCTTGGACGTGCAGAGCAGTGGGGACTTTAGATGGCTGCACACACACAAGAGACAAGAACCCCACAGAGCCATGAGAGATGATAATGCATTGTTGTTTAAGCCACTGTGCTTTGGGATAGTTTGTTATGTGGTAATAGACATTTGAATTGCAAGACAGTAAATATAATTCACCTACATCATTGTCCCTAGCTAATTTCTTTATTTAGAAAGTATGTGATCACCTAAGATAATGGAGGTCAGAAGAAGAACTAATTAAAATCCACAAATGACGCAAAGAGCTTGACAACATTCTATTATGTGGCTACAGATTATCAAAATCAGTTTATTTCCCAAAGTACCTAATTTATGTGTTAAGGAGCCACTAGGCTAATGTACTCAATTACATCTCTGATTATACCTGGCTCATCCTCCCCACTTATTTCCTATCTCCATTATTTCTGGCTTATTAATATCTACAATCTCATCCTGTTTGATAAATTACTGGCAAGCTCATGTAGTTTTGTTTTATTTGCCGTGATACTAGAAGGTAACACACACACACATATCTTTATCTTAGGTTTATTTTGCTGTTCTAAAAGTTTTTCAAAAGAATGCATGGTTCTTATAAAATTAGGATATTTTGACCCTAAAAACTGAGATGAAATATAGATTAAAGTAACACCTAGGACATTAGTACATATTTTTAAAATGCTGAATGAATAAATAAACAGAGCAATGACATTCAAAGCTGTCAACTTTTATATGAGCACTTGTTCCAGGAAAATAAGGGTTCTTATATTTCTTTATTGAACAAGAAAAGAAAAAAGAACAAGAAACATCTTCTTTTGGAAGACGGTCCCTTTGGGAGACTGATGAATCCTCTGGAGCCCTTCTCAGAATAGTGTTTTTAAAGGCATAGAACAAAACAGGGCTGGTAAGGAAGACAAACAAATTGAAATACCATTATTTCTCCTGACCTCCATTATCTTGGGTGATTACATACTTTCTAAGTAAACAAATTAGCTAAAGACAATGACATCATTGAAATATATTTACTGTATTGCAATATCACAGTTTTAAGACATTTTAAAAAACAAATTTGTGATAATATATTTGCTTCTTTATTAATGCATTATATTGTACAAATAGTAGGTCTAATAACAACTATAATTTTTAAATAGTAAAGAGCATAAATAATACTTCAAGACATCTTCAACAAAGATAATGAAATATAATAGTATTCATAATTACTACAGTGACAAAGTCACAATTCATACTACTGTGGTTTATGCCTATGTTCATAATTAAAGAAATAGCTAAATTTTCATTTAGGGATTACTGAAATGAATATTTTTTACCATCCAAGAAGACCTTGGAAATTCTCCTCACAGCCAGTTGATTTAAACCTTCTGCATTAAAGCCCTGGATAGGTCTATTGTTAATTACATTGAATTCACAGTTCTTCCAAAACATTGAGCCTTAGTGCCTGAGAGATGCTAGTACCCTGACAAAATTTAAAAGGTAAAAGGAGACACCTGCTTTAAAAGACAGTGGGAATGAGGTTAAGAGGTAGAGTTGGACAGGGTTAACAGGTCCAAAGGGCCTAGGGCTATATGCCTATTTGAAGTTTTAGCAGTATAATACTCAAGTTGAAATACTAGCATGTAGTCAGACTGAGGACCAGCTGGGGAGGGAGACCAGGACAGGAACAGAATGGTTTTCGAGAAAACCACATAGAGGTAAAAGCGGGATCATGAGATTGGAGGAAGGAAATAAAAAACCCTGGAAAAGATAGGAGGGAGAAAGAGAACAGAGCCTTGGGATTTGCCATATTTAGGGAGAGAAGCAACGGACTGAAGACAGAGAAAGGCCCGAAAGTAGTGAATAAAAAATAGTAAAAGGTTCATTCAATCCAGGGTCACATCAGAAAAGAAACAAGATAGTCTGAATCAGAGGTGTAGATTAGCTGTGATGTCCAATTTAAACATACAACACTAAATTCATTGATATTAAAGGAACTCATAACATGAAATTACATAGCAAATCAAACTGCAATTTCTAGAATGAACTGCACTTATCTTCTACTTAATTCTTCCATTCAGTATTGACTCAAGATCTATCAAGGGGAAACAAAGACAGTTAAAAGGGGGCTATATACCATAACAAATTCTACTTGACGTCGTTATTGTCCGTCATTAAAAAAAAGATAAAAAATAAAAATAAAAAAAAGGCATCTGTATTCTGCTGCCAGAAACCTCTACACAGGGAATAAAGGTCTTAATGATCAAGGCTAATTAATCATTGTTGGGTAGGCTTGATAGGAAATGGAATCTTGGTATACAGTATAAAAGACTACTAATGTTATGTCAAAGTCTTACATGCAATTTTTTAAATCTGAAAAACATGAAAGAAGCTAATTAGCTATGATATCGTTTATCTGACTTATTTGACATGAATTAATCTTTTATGTGGTCAAGAGTCTGCCCTCTGATCAGCTATGATCAGTTGGATGACTCTGAACCCCAAACTTCCTACTTTTTTCTCTTTAATTAACATACACCTGAATAGTACTTTTTGTATATCAGACCCAATTCCAAGCCCTTTACAAATTTAAATACATTTAATCCTCAAAATAACGCCATAACATCACTAGTGTTGTTATCTTCATTATACGAATAAGGAAACTGAGCCCTGGAGAGGTTAATTAACTTGTTTGAGATCACAGAGCTAGTAAATGATCAAACCAGAATTCATGCCCAGGGAGTCTAACTCCAAAGTTCATGCTTTCAAGCAGGACACTCTGTTGCCTACTGCTCAAAGATATCCTGTGACAGAGAAAACGAACGCACACAATAATATTTGTAATGTATTCTCAACAATAAACCCTTAATTTGCTAAATGCCAAGGATTTCATTTTATACTTTTCCTAAATTCAATACTCTTATCCTCAATTGATAATATCCATTAAGTTACTAATTCCCTTATCTGTAAAACTATCAGGACTATGTCAGATGCCATTTATAGGTGAACGTCATTGTTCCAGAACCCCATAGCTTGGAATTCAGGGTAATTTGCTCTCATTTTACCTGAAGCTACTCTTTGCTAAAGGTTTTATGACCTGACAACATCATGGATTAGAATATCTGCTTTTGATTTCTATCAAACCCAACATACCTCCTCTATGCAAGCTGCACCTGATAAAGCATTGTTTACTTTTATCTTTTTCTCTCAAATCCCCCATGATCATCCAGGAGCAATTCATGTGTTCTCTGATTCTCTGAAGTGCTGAATTATGACCCTATGATTCTGTGCTTAGCCTCTGCTGCAGAAAGGAATAGCTTTACATGTCCCACGGGAAACCCCAGCTTCAGGAAAGATTGTTGGAGAGCTCCCAGACAAAATGGTTTCAAGAAAATAAAACAATGGAGTCCCAACATCATGTATTGCCACAATTTCAGAGGAAGAATTGGCAAGTTAAATAAATAAATAAATAAACCAGATCACAACATTAAAATTGTAAAACTTGAAGTTCACTCATGTTTAAAAAAAATCGTTAATATACATGGATCTAATTTGCTGACTTGTTGTCATAACACTTTTCCCACTTAATGGTGTGTCACTCTATGAAGTTAAAAATGATTATTTGTAGACAATTGACATGACATGCCTAACATTTCCAATTGGTTAGGAATTTCAAAGTGATTGCTAAAGGATTGAATATATCAAAATGTTTTTGAGTAGTATGCTTAAAACTTCTCTTCAACTTAGGTATTTGCCATTTTATTGAAAATAGTTTCTCTGCTTTTTTGTTGTTGTTGTTGTTGTTCTTTTGAAAAGCCACATTGAGCAACGAGTCACCAGGTGATTTCCCTTCTTTATTTCTGAGTTCCATTTCAAAGACAAAAAAAAATACTCTTCCTCTTCTTTATCTTCTAACATGTACCTGAGCTGCTAGGGTTCAAGGTTGTTAAGGAGACCATTAAAACAAAAACGTATGCTTATTTGACAAGGAGCTTTATTACATGGAAGTTTATATCCATGTCAAACATTTAAGGCAATTTAAATTTTTAGTATCTCCAGAGACCAAGTTAAATGGCTGCTAAAAACTAGCTTTTTAGAGCAGTTTTCAATTTCTATTTAATTTATTTGAATAAAAGGTAACAAGCATCATATTTAAAATATCTGTTGAAGTTAGCTATCAAAATATTATGTTTGCTTTATTTTTCTTTATTGGATCACTAAATAAATATCATTCAGATTCACTATCATCTCAAGCTAGATGATATTGAAAAATACATAATGGCGGATTGTTGCCATAGTAACTCCTCTACAACCACACATTTTCTATGGCAACCCAGGCTCCACAGAATACTAATGAAAACCCATAGCAACAGAGAGTCAAAGAGGTGATGTCTAGAGACCAAATAGCTCATGTAACATTTATTACAAATGTTATGGATGCTTTTGTATATTTAATAAACAAAATCAGTGTTCAAAGGCAATATTAGCTAGAAAATATAAAAGACATATTAAAAATCTTTTATAAAAAAAGAATGCCTCTGGTATTTAAAGAATCTACATCAATATAATAATAAATGTGAGAATATGTAATTTATATTTTTTTAAATACAGACTCATACTTTTTTATGAAAATGGATATACCTTTCCCCAGTTGCAAAAGATGTGCATGCTACATTGCAATGTGAACCCTCAAAGCAATTCAATAGCACTTTGTTTAGATTTTATTTTTTATTATTTGATTTTACTTTATTTTAACATTTTCCTAGTTCCTATTCTTTTCAAGAGTCCAGCTATGTAACCTCTGAAAGCCTTGGGTTCTCATTTGCAGGAGGATGTTGTATTTAAAGGACATTAAAGACTCCATGATTCCTATTCTATCATTTACCAGCATATGAATTTGCATAAATCATTTAATCTGAGTGTCAGTTTCTTATCTGTCAAAGGGCATGATATCTCCCTCCTCCTCATTACCAATTTGCTGCAAAATGTGCTAGATATAAAAAAGCACTCTGTGAAAAAAATTAATACAGCTAAAGAAAAAAACTAAAATGTTTCTTTACATTTTTATTTTAAGACATTAGAGTTAATTATAAAGATCCATTTATAATCCATGCATATTATAAATTATTTGGATGTACAATTATTTATTTTGTACCTACCATGTTACCAATTGTTGCTGCAACAGCAAGGTGAACGAGATAGGTAGGTAGGTCCCTGCATTCATAGAGCTTATGTTCCAGCAGAAAATGTTAGAAAATAAGTAAGTAAACAAAGGCAATTAAGAAATGTGAAAGTGCTGCAGAGGAACTAATCAGAGTGAAGTGATTAGAGGATTCTTAAGATGTGGGCTAGTTTGGGTCAGGTTGCAGGTCAGTGATCTGGGAGGAAGGAAGGGGCTGTGAAATTGAACTTTCAGGATAAGGAGCCAGCCATGGGAGGAGATGGACAGCCAGGCAGCAGGACAGCTGTTATAAGACACTGCAGTAGGAAAGAGGTTAATATGTTGATAAAAAAGCACAGAGGTCAGTGGGGGTAAAGAGCATAGAACACGGACAGGATAATGTGGTATGAAAACCTAGACGGAGAGAAAGCTAAAGCTGGACCCTGTTTTTATGACTGTGTGGACAATGGATTGCACAGAGGGACCAGAAAGGAGGCTACAACGTCACCAATATGAGAGATGATGGTATGACTTGTGCCAAGGACGTGGCACTGCTGACAGCAAGAAGTGAACATAAATAAGATCTACCCTGGAGGCAGAGAAAACACAATTTGCTGCTGGATTTGGGTACAGGAGATAAAAGCAAGGGGGAATCAATTATGACTCCCAGGTTTTTGATAAGAACAACTGGGTGGCTGATGATGCCATCTCCTATGATGGGAATTATGAAGAGGTGAACAGGTTTGGGATGGCAGGAAGAGGTGGACTGTGCCAGGTAATCAGGGCTCTATTTTGTACTGATCTGCCTGTTAAATATTTTCCCAGTCCAAAGTCATAGATTTCCTTATAAATAGTTAATACTGGCCGGGCATGGTGGCTCACGCCTGTAATCCCAGCACTTTCGCAGGCCAAGGTGGGTGGATCATGAGGTCAGGAGATCGAGACCATCCTGGCCAACCAAGTAAAACCCCATCTCTACTAAAAATACCAAAAAAAAATTATCTGGGCATGGAGGTGCGTGCCTCTAGTCCCAGCCACTTGGGAGGCTGCGGCACGAGAATTGCTTGAACCCGGGAGGCAGAGGTTGCAGTAATCCAAGATTGCACCACTGTACCCCAGCCTGGTGACAGAGTGATACTCCATCTCAAAAAATAAAATAAAATAAAAATAAATAAATAGTTATTACTATTTCATTAATTGTTATCCATAAATATAAAACCTATAGCAATCCAAAAAGACTCTTCTTTCAAAACATGCATCAAAATTATACACGGAAATTGTTAAATCATCAAAAGTATAAAAGTAGATTAGACAAATAATACTTGTGTGATAATGAAATAACATAGGGAAGAATACAGATCTAGAGCAATACATTCAAACTTTGGAAAATATGGAATAGCTTAGAGAAAATAAAAATTACCTCTAATCCTATCATCCAAAGATAAACCATGTTAATATTTTGATTAATACAAGTCGAATTTTTTTAATCTTGGAGTATTTAACTATTTATGGTAAGGCTACCTAAAATAAAAATTTACATTTCAAAAAGTATTGAAATGAACTAGGGGATTACAATTTACACCTAGATATTATCAAGTGCCTTAAAGTCTAGTCTCAGCCAAGGAATGCAATTAAAGACACAGGAATGGAACCAGTTGGTGGGGAGGGCTCAGCCAACCTTTGGGATGCTGGTGTTTCCCATCAACTAGTTCTCTGCTATCAACTGCTAACTTCAAACCCTGTATCTACAAAATCAGACATTCAGCTCAGATAAAATAAACTTAAAAAATACCATTTAATGTTATGTTATCTTGGGGCCTTATAATTGATATGCTACCTATTTATTTAGGTAAAAACCAAATTGCTTTCATCATCAGCAAGGCATTCATCCTTTAATCACATTTCAATCTCTTCTAATTTACTTATAAGACAACACTTACATATAGTTTTTAGAATTCTATATTATAGCTCAAAACATTTGCTTTCCAAAAATCTTGACTGTTAGCAAAAAGAAAAAAAAAACAGATTTAGGAAAGCATAAAGTTTAAGATGACAGGTCTTTGTTTAAAACTACTTATTCTTGCCAGGGCATGGTAGCTCGTACCTGTAATCTCAGCATTTTGGGAAGCCAAGGAGGAAGACTCATTTGAGCCCAAGAGTTCAAGAGAAGACTGGGCAACACACTGAGACCCTGTCTTTACAAATTTTTTTTTAAAAATTAGCTGGGCATGGTGGTTCATGCCTATGGTCCCAGCTACTCAAGAAGCTGAAGCAGGAACATCGCTTGAGCCCAAGAGTTTGAGACCAGTCTGGGCAACACAGTGAGAACCCACCTCTATAAAAAAATTCAGTAACATTAGCCAGGCACAGTGGCTCATACCTATAGTACAGGTCCCTAGGAGGCTGAAGCAGGAGGATTGCCAGAAAGCCGAGGCTGTAGTGAGCCATGGTCGTACCACTGCACTCCAGCCTGGGTGACACAGCAAGACTCTGTCTTCAAAAACAAAAAAATAAAAAACAAAAAAAAAACCATACTTATTCTTGCTTTGATAGCTGACTTTATTGTAAAAATTAAAGCTGTAGGAATTTTTAAATATTCTATTTTGAGGTTATTGTCTCTATTAGGTATTTCCAGATAGACTAGTGTATATAGAGATTCTATACTTAGCTCCAATTTGATAAATTCAAATAAAAGTTATGTTTAAAATTTTATTATTATTCACATTGGGTTTAACTAAAATTTTCTTTAAAAATTCTGAAATGCAATTTCCACCTAAATTAAATCCAAGTTTAGCAGGTATGCAAAACAATGCAGTCATCACAATACCTACTGAAAATAATCACTATCATGACATACAGCAAAGCTTAAGACATTTTATTGCATGCAATAATTGCACATTAAATAATGCAGAAAATATGCCTCCCAAGACTGAAACAAAAATGTAAATCACAAAGACTTCCTTAAAGTTATTTTTAAGTGTTATCATATGGCTAGGAATAATTTATTTTCTAATAATAGACTGCTGGAGTTTTTTTAAGCAAATACAATGAATCATCATATAAGTTAAAAATAATGAACATTTATTGATACAAAGGAAATACTAGTTCCTAGAGAATATCAAAGCATGTAAACCCTATGCAATATGAACATATATATTTAAGGAAATCTAAACAAATGTATAGATTTGGATACAAAATGTGGTCATGATTTATTGCTTTAAATTTTAGCTGGCCAATCCAATAAAATCAAACAAGGATTTTAAAAAAATAGAGCTGGGCAGGGAGGTCAGGACATTGGGTAAGGGTATTCCACCTCTTTGGTTTTCTGGATAACTATAGGTGATATTTACAAATATGCAACATGGTAAAGGAAATCATTGGCAGAGCAATTTCCTAAACCTCCACACCACCTGAAGCATCCATATTGGGTTCTCTCTTTTTCTTTCATTTTCTCTTAAGTTGAAAATCCACGCTTGCCACTGAATATCTGCTGTTGTTTTTGCCTAAGAAATATTGCCAATGCTTCCTGCCTTAGAGCCAAACACAAAAGAGAGGGTATTTTAACATAAGACGGACAAAGAAATAGAATACATATCTCATGGAACTTGTGTAAACTCCAATACTTTGATCAAAATAAGAGACATATCTCAATTATAATAAAGTCTGCATGGAGTTCAGGTGTAACTATTTGAGTGGAGAATAGTTCACTTCAATTGATTCACTAATTCTGTATAATGGGATATAACAAGCTTTACAACCCACAGAATAATGTAGAATCCTTGAGATTAATTTGGAAGTTTTTTACCTACTATTTCTGTTTGGGTTTTGTTCAGCTGGTCTAGCTTGGTTGGGTGGAAATCTCTGAAGGCACATGATAATTCAACAAGAAGAGGAAAATAGTACAAGATTGTCAAGTATTTGTATTTCAAAATTCTCCCCTAAACCAACTTGTTTATGATTTATACCATGAGTAAAAAAATGAGCTAATAAGAAATATTGAGAAGTGAAGCCAGCTGGACTTCCTGGGTCGAGTGGGGACTTGGAGAGCTTTTCTGTCTAGCTAAAGGATTGTAAACGGACCAATCGGCACTCTGTAAAACAGACCAATCAGCACTCTGTAAAACGGAACAATTGGCACTCTGTAAAATGGGCCAATCAGCTCTCTGTAAAATGGACCGATCAGGAGGATGTGTGTGGGGCCAAATAAGGGAATAAAAGCAGGCCACCGGAGCCAGCAGCAGCAACCAGCTCGGGTCCCCTTCAACGCTGTGGAAGCTTTGTTCTTTTGCTTTTCAAAATAAATCTTGCTGTTGCTCACTCTTTGGGTCCACGCTACCTTTATGAGCTGTAACACTCACCGAGAAGGTCCGCAGCTTCACTCCTGAAGCCAGCGAGACCGCGAACCCACCGGGAGAAACAAACAACTCCGGACGCGCCACCTTTATGAGCTGTTAACACTCACCGCGAAAGTCTGCGGCCTCACTCCTGAAGTCAGCGAGAGAACGAACCTACCAGAAGGAAGAAACTCCAGACACATCTGAACATCTGAAGGAACAAACTCCGCACACACCATCTTTAAGAACTTTAACACTCACCACAAGGGTCCGTGGCTTCATTCTTGAAGTCAGTGAGACCAAGAACCCACCGGAAGGAACCAATTCTGGACACAATATGATTTACTGAATATTAAACAAAGGTTTATGATACTATTGGGAGCTCACGCATTTCTAAAACCTTAATGATTCAGGAGTTAAACTTCAGGTTTATTTCAGTTTTCTTAACTCTCTATCCTATCTACACCTCCAGATATAGTCTTGGTGGAAAGACCTCTCATCATTTAAAAGGTGGTTACACCTAAATTCTTTTTACCTATCTGTAGAGAGTGGTCTTTCTGAGACTTCTTCAGATTTAATATCTACTGATTTATCTGTAATTTGAATAAACTCATGTAATTAGAGTCCCAGCCCGGCATGAATCTTATTAGAAGCAGTTAATATAAATGTGAGAGCAGCAAACATGCCTAAAAAAAATCTATAAAATTAGATTGAATAGATAGAAGTACAACAACCAAGGGCCACTCCTTCTAAGGCCTGATAGACCTAATATCAATAGTTTCTGAACACCTTATCAGTTTGTACCTGATTTCATACAAGTGGTTCCAAGTCATTCATAGAACATTTCACATATGACCTCTATACTAGTAAAATCCAAACTATGAGGAGGTATTTGCCCAAAACTCAAGCACAAGTCCATTATTCAGGACTTAAAATGTTCGTAGTCATTTTAAAAAATAAATTATTATAGCTTAAACCCTGGATATTACAAAAAAAAAAAAGCTCATTGCAGCCAAAAATACCTGAAGAATCAGATTAATAGTGCTTTAAACAAAAATTATAACACACAGCCCCAGACAGCCTTTTCTCCCATCTCACATTGCACAACAGGTAAAAGCCTTAAAATTATGGCATAAGTAGAAATAGACAAAGGCCAGGGATGTCCACAAGCAGGACAACTACTCTGATTTTAACTCTTGACATTTGAGAACTCTTAAGGAAATATTTCACAGCCATATAAGCATCTTATTTTAACTATATTCATAGTGAAACATTTTAAGCTTCAATATCTGCTAAGATAAATGAAAAGTAGCCCAATAAATTCTGCTTAGAAATTAAGTTGACACATCATGGTGAGAAGAGAATTAGTTTAAAAACTAAAATCATGCTTATTAAAAGAATCTTTGGCAAGCTGGAAATTTAAATCATTACATAATATAGCTAAATGTTGCTTTTAATAGGCAACACAAATTTAATTTCTATATCCACAATGAAGAAATTTAGCTTCTCTTTTTCTAAAAAAAATTTTAACCCTTGCTTATACATTCAAAACCTAGATCTAATCGTGAATATAGAGGCCACTTTATACACCAAGAAGCAGTGGTTCAAAGGGGTTAGTGACTTGACCAAGATTGCTAAACCTATTAATTCCTAAGCTAAGCTGGAAAAAAATCAACCTCCAAAGTCTCAATTCCTCTGTTCTTAACGTTGTCCAACTTTCTTCTCTTCGTGTGATGGCTAACTTTGCATCTGGTTTTTCAGTACAAAATACCTATGATTTGCTTATGTTTTAATAAGGCAGACAGCTAAGATGAAATCTTCACCCTGAGAGAGCCTGAGTTATTAGTAAGAGCCCAGACAGAACATCCATCCAGGAAAAACAGCAGATTCTGTGTTCAGCTCAAGAAAGACTGCTTCAGGCAGGGCTATGCCTGCACTGAAGTGCAATGTCTACTGCTTAGATGACAAGAAAGAATCAACACTACTGAATTTACAAGAACAGACAAGGCATCAACCTACTCTCCTAAAAAACAAGCAACAAAAAAGAGTTGCTACCATATTTAGCTGCTGGGTGTTAACTCTCAAATGAAACAGAGCCCATGATATGAAAAGATTTGGGAACATTTGTAAGAAGTAAGAAAAACAAAGCCAATGGTAAGCAGTTGAACTTTACTACATTTAAGGTTTCTGCAAACCCATGAAATGGAGAAGATAGGGCAGTGGATTTCACTTGCTCAAGACCATGCAGAACCCTTCATACCTGTTTCTTACTTTCAAATTCTCCTTTATTTCCTACTACATTCTCACTCCAAACACGCCCATAGTGCCAGCTAAACCATGGAGTGCCTATGCCATGTTGTTTCACATTTCAGTCACCTTAAATAATCCATTCATCTTTCTAATATTTTTTCTCTCTTTAACCTTATTAAAACTGCTTTTCCTCAGATACTTAATGAAAAACTTTACAGGTTCTTCCTAGGCAGAATTTGATCACCCTTTTCCCCATGCTACTAAGTTCCCCAATTTATCACATTCTGGTGATTGGCTTACCATCTCTCTTCATAACTCACTTATGAGCCTTTAGGGGAGAAGGTTGTGCTTGATTCTTCCTGGCAATGGACGTTGCATAGCAATTGCATTTGATACACATTCACTTAAAGAAGAAAATAGACAGTGCTATTGAGGGTGTGCCAAAATAAGTACTTTCATACAATGCCAAAGGGAAACTGGTACAATCTTTCTAGAAAGTATTTAGCAATATATTTGTAGTATCTTACTACTCTCAAATTCTTCGAACTAATAATTCCACCTTAAGACATATATAACAAAGATATAGCTGGATATATAAAACAAAGATTCATGTTCAAGGATTTTTAACATGGCCTTCTCTGACATAGTGAAAAACTGGAATCAAGTATAATATTCTAAAAATAAGGGAAGAATTAAATAAATCATGGAGCCTCTTCAGGGTGAAATGAGATTATAAGAGATGACATGAGAAAAATACTATAATGTTAAGCGAAATATGCATTTATGAAATAAACCCAACTACATAATATTTCTTATTCCTATTTCTAACCCTAAAAGATTAACTGCTATAGGAATTTCCTTTCTGATGTAAATTAAAGAATATTTGTAACAATGTTTATTCAGACATTGAAAAACAAGCAGCTCTGACTTGTGATCCCTAAGTGAAGAGGGAGGAGTGAGTTCAGCCCTGAGTGCTCATTTTGCCACACCCTCAATAGGTTGGCCCCAACTTTCTGAGAGCCAGTTTCAAGCCACAGTGCTGGAAGGAAGAACCCCAACATAGTGCAACAGTCGGAAATAATTCCAATTTGTGAGCTGAGTACAAGACAGGAGTGAACTGCACTGAAGGTTCCAAAGATCTGCAAAGAAGTTCACTGCATCATTAAATGAGTACAGATCTATGCATGGATGAGGTGAAACTCCATGAGGTAGAAGAAAGAACCAGTAGGCTGAAAAGTTCCTAGAGATTACACAGGTTTACAAATAATTCATGTTGCCATCAGCCAGAGTGGAGAGACTTTGTAATACATGCGATATTGGGTAGACCTCAAGAAGGTCATGCCTTAGTAGTAGGGCTAAATTAGCCTGAGAACAAGCACTACTCTGGACCTGCCATAACAAAACTTACAAGCAGCTCCAAAAGATTAAACTGATCTGCAAGTAACAACTACATAACAGAGCAAAAAATCCAATCCTGTTTAAAGGAACAAAACAAAATCCAGCATTCAACAATATAAAAATCTTAATGCCTGATACCTAATCAAAAATTAGCAGACATACAAAGAAGCAGAAAAAAAAATCCATCAAAACAGAAACAGAAATGAGAGAGATGATGGAATTAGCACATAAAAATGTTAACAAAGTTATTTAAAATATTATAAATATTCTCAAGCCTATAAAGGAAAATACAACCATAATAAAGAGAGAACTAAAAAAAATATAAACACCCAGATAAAATTTCTAGAACTGAAAATATGCTCAATAACTTCTAGAGTCAAATGTAGTCTAGATGAGCTTAACAGAAAATTAGACATCATAAGAACAAAAGATCAATGAGTTTGAAGACAGAAATACACATTATCCTAAATAAAGCACAGACAGAAAGATGATTGAAAACGTGAACAGAGTATCAGTGACCAGTGGGACAATATCAAGCAGTCTAACATGTATAATTGTAGTCTCAAAGAAAGGGGGGAGAAGTACAAATATATTTGAAGAAGTTATGGCTGAAAATTTTCCAAATTTGATAAAAAGCCTATAGATTTTAGAAGTTCAACAAACCCCAAATAGAATAAAAATAAAGAAAACCACACAAAGATACATCATAATCAAATTGCTGATAAAGAGTGATAAAATGATAAAGAAAATATGCTAAAAGCAGACAGAGACAAAAGGACACATTAAGTAAGAGCAAAAATAAGAACGACAGAAGATGTCAGAAACCAAGCAAACAGGAAGATAATGAAATGTTAGCTTCAAAGTTCTGAAAGAAGAGAATTATATAGAATTCTATATTCAGCAAAAATATATTTCAAAAATGAAGATGAAATAAAAAGTTTTAGACCAAAAAGAAAAAAAAAAGCTTAGAGAATTTATTACCACTAGACCTCCACTAAAAGATGGAAATTTAATTCTTAAGGTCTTAGAAGAGAAATGAAGCATGCCCAAAGCAGCAAATATAAGAAGTAATTTTAAAAATATTTTAATCTATTAGCAATATTATATATATTTATATTTTAAGTTACTTTTTAATGTAAAAATAACAATTACATATTATGGTGTTTATAACATGTAGAAGTAAAATATGTAATAACCTCATAAAACAATGAGATGAACAAATAGAAGTACACTGTTGTAAGATTCTTACATGGGTGGTATATTAGAATTTGAATATATAATGATATTAAATATACATAGAGCAATCCATAGACAAACCACTAAAGTAAATAACTACTAAAGATAAAACACAGAAGTATTTCTAATAAGCTAATAAATGAGATAAAACCGAATCCTTAAAAATAGTCATTTCTAAAGAAGAATGGAAAACAAAAACAGAACATATGGATCAAATAGTAAACAGATAGCAAAATAAGAGATGTAAACCAAATCATATCAGTAATTACATTTACCATAAATCATTTCACATTCCAATGAAAAAGAAAAAAGTATCAAGCTGGATAAAAAAATAAGACTCACCTATATGCCTTCTATGAGAAATCTGCTTGAAATTTATAGACACAGGTTAAAAGTAAAATGACGAAAGAAGATAGATCATACAAATACTAACAAAGACAAAAAAAAGCCAAAAAGGCTAAATTCATATGAGAAAAGTAGGCTTGAGAATAAAGAATATTATCATCAGTAAAAACAGGCATTTTATAATTGTGGCAATAATCAATAGCTTACCAACCAAAAAGAGTCCAGGACCAGATGGATTCACAGCTGAATTCTACGAGAGGTACAAGGAGGAACTGGTACCATTCCTTCTGAAACTATTCCAATCAATAGAAAAAGAGGGAGTCCTCCCTAACTCATTTTATGAGGCCAGCATCATCCTGATACCAAAGCCGGGCAGAGACACAACCAAAAAAGAGAATTTTAGACCAATATCCTTGATGAACATTGATGCAAAAATCCTCAATAAAATACTGGCAAACCAAATCCAGCAGCACATCAAAAAGCTTATCCACCATGATCAAGTGGGCTTCATCCCTGGGATGCAAGGCTAGTTCAATATATGCAAATCAATAAATGTAATCCAGCATACAAACAGAGCCAAAGACAAAAACCACATGATTATCTCAATAGATGCAGAAAAGGCCTTTGACAAAATTCAACAACACTTCATGCTAAAAACTCTCAATAAATTAGGTATTGATGGGACGTATCTTAAAATAATAAGAGCTATCTATGACAAACCCATAGCCAATATCATACTGAATGGGCAAAAACTGGAAGCATTCCCTTTGAAAACTGGCACAAGACAGCGATGCCCTCTCTCACCACTCCTATTCAACATAGTGTTGGAAGTTCTGGCCAGGGCAATTAGGCAGGAGAAGGAAATAAAGGGTATTCAATTAGGAAAAGAGGAAGTCAAATTGTCCCTGTTTGCAGATGACATGATTGTATGTCTAGAAAACCCCATTGTCTCAGCCCAAAATCTCCTTAAGCTGATAAGCAAAGTCTCAGGATACAAAATCAATGTACAAAAATCACAAGCATTCTTATATACCAATAACAGACAAACGGAGAGCCAAATCAGGAGTGAACTCCCATTCACAATTGCTTCAAAGAGAATAAAATACCTAGGAATTCAACTTACAAGGGATGTGAAGGACCTCTTCAAGGAGAACTACAAACCACTGCTCAAGGAAATAAAAGAGGATACAAACAAATGGAAGAACATTCCATGCTCATGGATAGGAAGAATCAATATTGTGAAAATGGCCATACTGCCCACGGTAATTTATAGATTCAATGCCATCCCCATCAAGCTACCAATGACTTTCTTCACAGAATTGGAAAAAACTACTTTAAAGTTCATATGGAACCAAAAAAGAGCCCGCATCGCCAAGTCAATCCTAAGCCAAAAGAACAAAGCTGGAGGCATCACGCTACCCGACTTCAAACTGTACTACAAGGCTACAGTAACCAAAACAGCATGGTACTGGTACCAAAACAGAGATATAGATCAATGGAACAGAACAGAGCCCTCAGAAATAACGCCGCATATCTACAACTATCTGATCTTTGACAAACCTGAGAAAAACAAGCAATGGGGAAAGGATTCCCTATTTAATAAATGGTGCTGGGAAAACTGGCTAGCCATATGGAGAAAGCTGAAACTGGATCCCTTCCTTACACCTTATACAAAAATTAATTCAAGATGGATTAAAGACTTAAATGTTAGACCTAAAACCATAAAAACCCTAGAAGAAAACCTAGGCATTACCATTCAAGACATAGGCTTGGGCAAGGACTTCATGTCTAAAACACCAAAAGCAATGGCAACAAAAGCCAAAATTGACAAATGGGATCTAATTAAACTAAAGAGCTTCTGCCCAGCAAGAGAAACTACCATCAGAGTGAACAGGCAACCTACAAAATGGGAGAAAATTTTTGCAACCTACTCATCTGACAAAGGGCTAATATCCAGAATCTACAATGAACTCAAACAAATTTACAAGAAAAAAACAAACAACCCCATCAAAAAGTGGGCGAAGGACATGAACAGACACTTCTCAAAAGAAGACATTTATGCAGCCAAAAAACACATGAAAAAATGTTCACCATCACTGGCCATCAGAGAAATGCAAATCAAAACCACAATGAGATACCATCTCACACCAGTTAGAATGGCAATCATTAAAAAGTCAGGAAACAACAGGTGCTGGAGAGGATGTGGAGAAATAGGTACACTTTTACACTGTTGGTGGGACTGTAAACTAGTTCAACCATTGTGGAAGTCAGTGTGGTGATTCCTCAGGGATCTAGAACTAGAAATACCATTTGACCCAGCCATCCCATTACTGGGTATATACCCAAAGGACTAGAAATCATGCTGCTATAAAGACACATGCACACGTATGTTTATTGCGGCACTATTCACAATAGCAAAGACTTGGAACCAACCCAAATGTCCAACAATGATAGACTGGATTAAGAAAATGTGGCACATATACACCATGGAATACTATGCAGCTATAAGAAATGATGAGTTCATGTCCTTTGTAGGGACATGGATGAAATTGGAAATCATCATTCTCAGTAAACTATCACAAGGACAGAAAACCAAACACTGCATGTTCTCACTCATAGGTGGGAATTGAACAATGAGATCACATGGACACAGGAAGGGGAACATCACACTCTGAGGACTGTTGTGGGGTGGGGGGGCGAGGGATAGCATTAGGAGATATACCTAATGCTAAAGGACGAGTTAATGGGTGCAGCACACCAGCATGGCACATGTATACCTATGTAACTAACCTGCACATTGTGCACATGTACCCTAAAACTTAAAGTATAATAATGATAAAATAAAATAAAGAGGCATTTTATAATAAGGAGTTAATTTAATGAGAAGATTTAATAATAATTTACAATGTGCATGTGTCCAATAACAGAGCTTCAAAATATTATACATGATATAAAACTTGATAGAACAGAAAATTCAGCTACATAATTAAAACATACACACACATACAAAAACAAATGTATTATAATAAAATGTGAAGCATTATTTTCACTCTTATATTTTCCTGTATTTTGAGATTTTTTTCAATAAGCACATACTCAATGTTAATAATCCTGGTATCCTGGCTCCATCTTATTTTTAATCTGTCAGCCCTTCCTTGACCTGGTGACAGACCGTGATGGTTAATAGTGAGTGGCAACTTGATTTGAAGGATACAAAGTATTGATCCTGGGTGTGTCTGTGAGGGTGTTGCCAAAGGAGAATAACATTTGAGTCAGTGGGCTGGGAAAGGCAGACCCACTCCTAATCTGGGTGGACACAATCTAATCAGCTGCCAGCACAGCCAGAATAAAGCAGGGAGAAAAATGTAAAAACGTGAGACTGGCCTAGCCTCCCAGCCTACATCTTTCTCCTGTACTGGATGCTTGCTGCCCTCCGACTCCAAGCTCTTCAGTTTTGAAACTCGGACTGGCTCTACTTGCTCCACAAGCTTGCAGACAGCCTATTGTGGGATCTTGTGATTGTATAAGTTAATACTTAATAAACTCCCCTTTATATCTATCTATCTATCTATCTATCTATCTATCTATCTATCTATCCATCCATCCTATTAGCTCTGTACTTCTAGAGAACCCTAATACACAGACTCTCATTTTACCTTCTAGGGACCAACCTTTCTCACATGGTAGAGCTCTCAATTTGAGTGACTACAACCGCTGCCACAGTGATGGGCATATCCACATAGCCCAGATTGACATGTGACCCCATCTCCCGAAGCCCAGTGGTTAATCCACAAATGGAACATGACTCAAGCAGAGCCCATCAGGTTTCTTGTTCAAGCATTTGTATGGATACTGGAAGACATGTTTATCTGAGGGACTTGTAACCCAGGACCAGGAAAGAAAATCTTTATCATTCCCAGAGAATGTGTTCCTAGAACAAGAGCCTACCAAGAGGGAAGTTGTGCTGAGTATCAAAGAGAAAGAAACATAAATGTGACAGTGCTATTTGAGTCCCTATCCCCAGCCCTGTATGCCTAAAAATATCCCCTCCTGGCCCTTTTAACTACATTAGCCAATTATTTTCCATCTTTTGTTTAAGCTAATTTGAGTGTGGTTTCTGCCAGAGGAAACCAAAAGAACCCAGACTAATAGTAAATGAGTAATGTAATGAATGTCTGTTTTGCTTATCTGTTGGAGAAGAGAGTAATGAATGTAAGATGACTTCTCGTCTCTTGGTTTTATCTACACTCACCATGCAGGTATTGGCTTATCAGGCATGGTCAATCTCTTGATAGAAGTGCCCAGAGAAAATAAGGAGAACATAGCATCTGCCCAAACCAATAAATATACAAGGTAGATTCCACTAATTATTTCAGCCTTTAAAATACAGTTTTACTCATATTTTAAAATGTTTTCAAGTAGCATGAAAAAGGAATCTTCAAAAATTTCTGCTCTAGATTCATGAAGATTTTTCCTTCATGTTATGTTTCTAAGTAAATACATTCATCACTAAATAAAAACCACTACGTTTTAAATTATTCTTTGAACCAAATGAAGGCATAATTGTCTTTAAAAGTACCAATTTTTCTATTGGAAAAAAAATGCAGCAAAGAGATTTATGAGTCTAATCACCATCACAACAGGATTCTTAAAATTGCAGCTTGGTTTATGGGATTGATTACACTATTCTTGGCAAATAATTCTCCTCCAGCCACACACTGATCCTCTTCAACCTCCCCTTCCTCTTCTCCTAGATTAGATAATGGAAGAGATCACGTATCTTACAGAAAAGTATAATTGTGAGTCATGTAGTAGGGAGGTATTCAATACTTATGCCAAAAGACAATTTTAAAATCAATAAGAAAAACTATCCAAGGAAGTTAATTTAGTTAAAAGAAAAAAAAAGCTGAGATTCAGGCCTGAATTACAGATAGTTTTAGTTTAAAAAAAAAAAAAACGATGAGTCATTGCTGCTCTTCCCTGATGTTCAAATTTAAACATAAAACTCAGGTATATTTTTAGGAGTAATTGTCGTCTACATGGTTGCTTAGGACTAAAGTTTTATTTACTGTAAAAATTTATGAGGCTTTTATACAAATATCTTAATGCTTTTTCCATTTAATTTTAGATATTTCTGGAAATGTGGGTTAGGATGTATATAATTGTCATATATCCTAAGAAAATCTTTCCTAATGAGATTTTTTTGATGCCCAGAATTTGAAATCCTCTTTTGTCACCCAATTTATTTTGTCCACAATTTTCTGTAGGCATTACAAAAACAAAACAAAATAAAAATGTGCAAACATTCTATTAAAAAATTATTGATCTTTAAAAAGAAAGCTAAGCCACTTCTTATAAATCCACTTGTTATTCTAAAAATTGCATTTTGACATGAGTAATTTTTCTCAGAATGATATTTTTACCAAAGTTATTGGTCTAGTAATTTAATATATAATCTATGACAATGAAAAGCTAAGCTTTAGAAAATAGGAATAGGCCAGGCGCAGTGGCTCACACCTGTAATCCCAGGACTTTGGGAGGCTGAAACTGGGTGGATCGCTTGAGGTCAGGAGTTCGAGACTAGCCTGGCCAACATGGTGAAATCTCGTCTCTAATAAAATACAAAAATTAGCTGGCCATGGTGGTGGGTGCCTGTAATCCCAACTACTACGGAGGCTGAGGCAAGAGAATTGCTTAAACCCAGGAGGTGGAGTTTGCAGTGAGCCAAGATCACACCACTGCACTCCAGCCTGGTCAACAGAGTGAGATTATGTCTCAAGAGAAAAAGAAAAAAGAAAATAATAAAAAAAAAATGTTTCTGAAGTTCCTGAGGCATTTATTAAACACAGTTGATCTTATGTTCATAGCAGCCTGATCTGTCCGAAAGATTTTGCTAAGAATTAGCATACAAAAACAATCAGGTAGTAACAGTCTCCCTTCTTGCGGAGCTTACAGTCTAGGAGGGTACACATGGTTACACAAAATTGTATTTAATTAGAGTTGTGATAAATGCTCTGAAATAAATGCAACATAAAATGAGAACTTGTTACAGGAGGAAGATCTAATATCAACTATGGGGAAGAGAAGGAGCTCTTAGGAAAGTGGCATTTAAACTGACACTGGGTTGGGGGCCTTCAAGAGAGTACCAGGCAAAGATTACAACATGTTCCAATATCAGCAGGCAGGGAGCCAAGGTCTTTTGTGGAAATGAAAAAAAAGAAAAAAAAAGCTATCTGGTTAGAGTACAATGAGTGAGGGAGAATGGCTCAAGATTGACGTGGCAACATTAATTACTTGGGCCAGAAATACAGTACGGTGTTAAGGACTTGGGACTTTATTCTTAAGAGCAATGAAGAAACTTGGAAGTGTTCTATGCAAAAAAGTAAGATCACTTTGGAAAAGCTCTTTCTGGAGAAATGTGGAGAAGGGATTAGTAGAAGGCAAGTCTAAAGATAAGAAAACCAGATAAAAGACAACTGCAGTCTGGACTAGGTAGCTCATGCCTACAGTCCCAGCTACTTAGGAGATGGAGGCAGGAGGACAGCTTGAGGCCCGAAGTTCTAGACTAGCCTAGGCAACATAGCAAGACTGCATCTCTTCAACAACAAAAAGACAACTACAGAGATCCAGTTCCAGGCTCAGGGCCTGTGGCATCCCTGGGGTAGGAGCCTATTATGGAGAGAAGTCACTGGTTTGATTATAGGGCATAAAAGAAGGATGTCAGAGATTACCGTGACCTGAGGAACCCCAACATTTAGCTCAAGAAGAAGAAGAGGAGGAATTTAATGACTATTAAGCAGTTACTGCTGGAAAAGGAAGGGAAAATGTGAAAATGTAGAATGCTATAAGCCAAGAGACCCCAGTGTAGAAGTTGCTAAGGACAAGGAATATGAGCCCTGAAATGTGTCCCTGGGATTTAGCAACATGGAAATCCCTGATAACCTTCACAGAAGTTTCACATATGAAACTTTCTAATATAAATTATTCTATGTAGCATGGTCATTGGGGTATATTTGTATATGTTGCATGTGTTTGTGTGTGTGATGTATATAGACATTACAGACTTTCAGGGCTTTATGAAACAATGTTTTGAACAGAAAGCACAATAACAATAACATATTTGAATCATTTTTAAGCGAAAACACTGATGAGCAAGTAGGTGAGCAATTATGTGCCCGGCACTGTGCTGAGCAATGTTTAGAGGAGAAATAAAAGGTATAACATGTTATGCCTAACCTTAAGGTGTTAGCTATGTGGTAGGCAAAGCCAAGACACCTGAAATGATGTAATTTAGGTTATAATCAAGGAAGAAATTGCTCAGATCTCATTTAAAAGCTTTTTGGTTGAAAATATACTTTTCTAAATGAAATATGAAGTCATTTTGCCTTAATAATGCCAAATTGCGGCTGCAATACAATGTCCTCAGCAAAGTTTTATTTCATGTACAACGCCATGCTGCCATCTACTGGCTATTGCTTGAATTTTCTTTGACAGGTTTTTTAGTCATATCACTGGACAACTTAATTGACGATTTACTGGGACAGTAAAATATATTTAAAATGCCCTATAACAAAATTTAAACACAATATAAATACTTAGATGATACAGAAGAATCTCAATTTAAATAAAATTTTAAATTCATAGTGTCTAAAAACAGTAAAAAAAAAAAAACTTGCCTTGTGAAAAAGTTTTATAATATGTCCTGTATGGACCTGGAAAAGGGAGGACAAATTCTATCTATAATGCTGTTCATAGATATCAGTTGCACAAGGAACAAGTTAGGGTCTAAAAACACGTCATTGTATAGCACAGAATAGAGGAAAACATTTCCCTTTTCAACTGAAACCACATTTTTAGGAATAAAAACAGGTTTTTCAAATTTTCAAGACAGAAACAAAATTTGCCTTTTTTTTTTTTTTGAGACAGAGTCTCACTCTGTCACCAGGCTGGAGTGCAGTGGCGCGATCTTGGCTCACTGCAACCTCTGCCTCCCAGGTTCAAGTGATTCCCCTGCCTCAGCCTCCCGAGTAGCTGGGACTACAGGTGCCTGCCACCATGCCTGGCTAATTTTTGTATTTTTAGTAGAGATGGGGTTTCACATGTTGGCCAGGATGGTCTGGATCTCTTGACCTCGTGATCCACCCACCTCAGCCTCCCAAAGTGCTGGGATTACAGGCGTGAGCCACTGCGGCCAGCCTCTTTTTTTTTTCCTTTTTTTTTTTTGAGATGGAGTCTCGCACTGTCTCCCAGGCTGGAGTGCCATGGCACCATCTCAGCTCACTGCAAGCTCCACCTCCCAGGTTCAAGCAATTTTCCTACCTCAGCCTCCCGAGTAGCTGGGATTACAGGCATGAGCCACCATGCCCGGCTAATTTTTTTTTTTTTGTATTTTTAATAGAGACAGGATTTCACTATGTTGGCCAGGCTGGTCTCGAACTCCTGACCTCATGATCTACCCCTCTCGGCCTCCCAAAGTGCTGGGATTACAGGCGTGAGCCACCGCACCTGGCCTGGGAAGTTTCTTTAAAATCTTGTTGGGAGGGCTGGGCATAGTGGCTCACACCTGTAATCCTAGCACTTTGGGAGGCCGACAAGGGTGGATCATGATGTCAGGAGTTCGAGACCAGCCTGGCCAACATAGTGAAATCCTTGTCTCTACAAAAAATACAAAAATTAGCCAGGTGTGGTGGCGTGTGCCTGTAGTCCCAGCTACTCGGAAGGCTGAGGCAGGAGAATCACTTGAACCCAGGAGGCGGAGGTTGCAGTGAGCTGAGTTCACGCCACTGAACTCCAGCCTGGGTGACAGAATAAGACTGTCTTAAAAAAAAAAAAAAAAAATTCTTGCTGGGAGTAGATACTGCTTCTGCTCCTCTTCCCACCCCAGATACACCCCTTCCAGCTATTTCCAAGCTGCTTCTGCTCCTGCTCCTGCTCCTGCTCCTGCTCCCCCAAAACCAAGGAGAATCTGCTAGTCATATTGGCCACAGCCCAAGGCAACCATAACCTGCAGGGTGAGTGTACCTTATGAAGGCACAAAGCTGTGCTCCCACGACTCTTTTTCTTGGTTCCATGCATCAGCGAGTATAAAGGGACATAATGTCCTTCTTAGGAACTGGCCATTCCTGGCTAATTTTCTGTGCAGAACCACCTAACCCTCTGTTCCCAAGACAGATTCAAGATACCCCAACATAGCTTCCCAGTTACTAAGAGAGAGCATTTTGCTTCTTGGATTGCCAGTATTCTGACATATGCTCTCCCAGGAACTCCACGGGGAGGAAAAGCATAGAGCAAGTCTACCCATCAAAAAACCACCCACATCAACACCAACTCCTAATAAATACATTAAAAACTGTATTATCAAAAAAAAATACTTTTTAAGGTACACTGTCTCTACAGTTCTTTAATAGTATAATGATTTTTACCATAGTAATCATTTAAGCTATAAAAGCACAGGCATCTTAATATGTTTATGGGAACAGTACTTCTGATAACATCCTAGATAAGTATCTTAAGATGAAATACCAAGGGTAAGAACTATTATAAAAGTTTAGCAAAGTCAGTGAATTGCTTCAAAAATGATATCTTATGTGAAATCAATTCAGCTCAACATATTTTTGATACACATCTTTGAAATCTAGAACTAGTTCTCCCAATTGAGTAGGCGGTTGTTTTCTCTAAGGCAGAGCCTTTTAAACTACAATCTACTGAGCCCTAGGAGGCCCCTGAAGGTGCCTTAGGAGAGAGCTTTTAGCCACCTCACTACAGCTTCAGCCTGAGCAGCTCTGCGTTTATATGTTTTTATGCTCTTGTATGTTTTATCTGTTAATCATTCTTGGGCTATTCACAAACACTCCATTTCTCTTTCTTCTAGGTTCATGATAGGATTATATCTCCCTGCCTGTTCCCTTTGAAGTTAGGGTTGGCTATGGGACTTGTTTCAACCAATGAAATGTGTCACCTTCAGATGGAAGCTCTAAGAGACAGTTCATGATCTGTCACCTTGCCTTTTGTTCACTGCATGAGAGCACATGTCTAGATGAAGTCTCCATCAGCCTGGGTCCCTGAGGGTCTAGAATGAGCAGAAATCTCCTGCCAATTCCCACTAGACAGAAAGCATAAGCAAAAAATATGCACTGATGTACAAAGCCACTGAGATCATCGAGTTATCTGTTACACAGTGCAGCCTATCCTTCTGACTGCTAGATAATTTGCTAAACTTATGCTCTAAGGAAGGGATCAACAAACAGTGGCAAGGGGCCAAATCCAGCCTGTTACCTGTTTTTGTAAACGAAGTTCTGTTGGAACACAGCTGCACCCATTTATTTACATATTAGCTAGGCTGCTTTAGAGCTACACCAGCAGAGCTGAATAGCTGTAACAGGGACTGAATAGCTCACAAAGTACTATCTACTACTTTACAAAAAAAAAAAAAAAAAAAAATTTACAAGCTCCTGCTTTAAAGTCCCATGCTAGCTAGGTGCTGCTAAAGAAAACTAAGGTGAATAAGATCCATGCCCTTTGACATCAAGTGCTGAATCAGTCAAAATAAACATAAGAAAAAATTTGCTCCCTACATGAAGTACAATAGACATTGGCATGCATAGTTCTAATATGCATAATTGTGACAATCCTCTGGCTTCTGTGAAAGATAATGTGAAAAATCTGAAATTTTATGGAGGGAAGGCTTTGAATTAGAGGATGGAGAGACTGCTTTGTAGACCAGACACTAATCTAATAATGGACCCCAGGAGGCTGTTTGCAGCAATTGTATCTCATCACAACTTTGTTATTCTCCACTCAGCTTCAAAGTTTTCAAATAAACTGTCATGAAAGGTCAAAAATATTATGTATCTGGGCCCAGCATGGTAGCTCATGCCTGTAATCCCAGTACTTTGGAAGGCCAGGGCAAAACAATTGCTTGAGTTCAGAAGTTCTAGACCATCCTAGGCAACACAGTGAGTCCTCCATTCCTACAAAATTTTAACAACAACAACAAAAAATAGCCAGATGTGGTGGCACACACCTGTAGTTCCAGCTACTCAGGAGGTTGAGGTGAGAGGACTGCTTGAGCACAGAAGTTTGAGGCTACAGTGAGCTGTGGTTGAGCCACTGCATTCCAGCCTGGGTGACAAAGCAAATCTAAAACAATATATATATAGATATTGTTTTATATATATGTGTGTGTGTTTATGTATATGAATGTGTACACACACGCACACAATGTACCTGTCTAAAATTAGCCCTGAAATAAAATTAGCTACTACTGAAATAAAATTAGCTGATAGAAGTAATGAAGTCTTAGAAACTGTTTTTAGCCAGAAAACAGATACTTTGTGTGTTCAAGGATAACACATCAAGATCAGCAGTCATTCCAGCTTTTGACATAGGGAGCCCACTACACTCTCCTATAGAAATTGGTCAAACTGTTTCAGCAAGGGCCTCAGTCAAAACTAACAGAGCTCCTCACATAAAGCCCAAAACTTTAAAGAAATTCATAAAGACATTTAATTTGGCAGATTGAGGACATATACAAGAAACATACTTTTTTGAGTAAAATGCAAATGAACTTCATGTTCTATTTTAACAATAACATTGTGAATTAACATGCATGTTTTTGCTATATAATGCAGCACAGATTAGCAATTTAGATAGACTTTGGGGCCAGACTCTCACTTCAAATATGAGCTCTGTTATTTATTAGCTGCCTGTCCTTGCTGTGGATTTCCTAACTCCTCTCTGCCTCAGTTTTCTCACTGGTAAAATAGAGATAATGAGAGTATCTACTTTGTTGGGTTTTTATGATGAAGACTTATATTTGTGGTAGTGCTAAGAATAGTGCCCAGCATATAGGAAGCACTATACAAGTGTTTGCTAATTAAAGGTACCCAACTGTCCTCCCTTCCACTCTAGGCACTCTGACCTCTCACACACAACAAAACAAACACTCAAATAGTGCTCAGCTAAAAGACTGCTAGTCTAAAAACTAGATACTAAAATCTTATAAAATATAATTTTAAGAAAAAAATATTAAACTTACTGATAGTTGTTTAATTTCTGCCTATAAAAATAACAGAATTTTTCTGGAAGAACTGGTATCATCTTAGTGAGTTCAAAGACTATACTAATAGTCTGGGGACAGTGGCTCATGCCTGTAATCCTAGCACTTTGGGAGGCCAAGTAATCCCAGTGTTTTGGGAGGCCAAGTAATGCCAGCACTCAAGTAATCCCAGGTGGGAGCATTGCTTAAGCCCAGGAGTTCAAGACAGAGCAAGACCTCGTCTCTACTAAAAATAAAAATAAAACAATTAGCCAGGCATAGTGGCGCACACCTGTAGCCCTAGCTACTCAGGTGGCTGAGCTAGGACGATCACTTAAGCCCAGGAGATCAAGGCTGCAGTGAGCCATGATTGCACCACTGCACTCCATCCAGGGCAACAGAAGGAGACCCTGTCTCAAAAACAACAACGAAAACTATACTACACTAATGAAATTAAAAGAAGGAGAGATAAAGAACTTGAAAAAGGTCTTATTAAGAAAAAGAACCTTAAACCCTTAATCAAAAGCCAAGGAGAAAAGGAAATAGAGGCAGAGGCATAAATGGGGGCATGATCGTGTAAAGAGTAACAATTAAGAACAGTATTAGTCAAGTACTGAAATTCCTTGGGAGGTTTTTATTGAGGAGGGAAGACACCAGCTTGTTTACCATATTATTGTTTGAGGAGGTGACACCCTTCCAGGCAAAATGTAAAAAAAAAAAAAAAAACTAAACTGGGCAAAGAAATGGGACCACGAAGGTTCCAGTCTGATAACTTTGAACCAGGAAGTAGTTAGAAGTCGAAGCAGAGGCAGGATAAAGAACGAAACCAATATCAAAAACTATACTACAGAAAGACTGGGCAAGGGCTCTCTAGAGACCAGATAGGAGGTGGAGTCTGGGTACGTTCTACAAAGTGCAGGCCTTTACACATTTGCAGTTCCCCAAACACCACTCACGATGGTGAGCCTCTCCTGATGTGTTTATTTGACCAAATATATATTTTCATTTGTGAAGTATCTTTTCTTCGGTTGTCTTGTTATAATTATAAGAGACCTCTATAATTTCTAGGTACAAGTTTTTAGATATATATATCATAAATATTTTCTCCTATTCTGTACATTTTCTGTTTTCTTAATATTTTTCAAGAAGCAAAAGTTTTTATCCTGAGAGTACCCACTTGACGAATTATTCTCTCTTGTAGTCATGCTTTTTGTGTCCTGAGAAATCTCAGACAAGATCACAAAGCCAAGGTCACAAATATTTTTCTTCTAGTTTTCTTCTAGAAGATTTACAACTTTAGCTTTTATATTTAGGGTTACAATACGTTAGGGTTAGTTTTATAGTATGGTATGGGGTAAAGACTGGTGTTAATTTTTTTTTTCCCATACAGATTTCCCGTTGTTCCAGTAGTATTTTTTTAAAAGACTTTTATTCCCCCATTAAATTGCCTTGATATTTTTGTTGAAAATTGATAATATATGTTAGTCTTTAACTGGACTTTCTATGTTGTTCCACTGATGCATGTATCTCTCCTTTCTCCAATTCTGTAGCTTTATAGTAATCAGGTAATGTGACTCTTTTGTTCTTTTTAAAATGGCTTTTGGGCTGGGCGTCGTGGCTTATGCCTGTTATCTCAGTACTTTGGGAGGACAAGGTGGGAGGATCCCTGAGCCAAGAGCTCAAGACTAGCCTGGCTAACACAATGAAACCCCATCTCTACAAAAAATACAAAAATTAGCTGGGTGTGGTGGTGCACACCTGTGGCCCCAGCTACTTGGGAGGCTAAGGTGGGAGAATCACTTGGGCCCAGGAGGCTGAGGCTGCAGTGAGCCAAGATAACACCACTGCACTGCAGCTTGGGTGACAGAGCAAGAACGTGTATCAAAAACAAACAAAATTGCTTTGGCTATTCTAGGTTGAAATGTTTATGGGCATTGCACTGACACTATAGATGAATTCAAGGAGAAAGCTGAGTCTTCCAATTCATAAATATATCTCTCCATTTGTTTGAGTGTTTTTAAACTTCTTTCAGCCATGTTTTTGTATTTTTCATTGACAGATCTTGTGCATCATTTAATATTGCATGTTTTTGAATGCTATTGTAAATGAATCTGTTTTTGTATTTTATTTTTAATTGTTTATTGCTACTATATAGAGATACTATTGATTTTATATATTTTTCTTATATCCTGCAACCTTGCCAAATTCACTTCTTAGTTCTAGTAGCTTTTATACATTCCAGGGATTTTCTACATAGACAAGTATGTTGTCTACAAATAGACAGTTTTACTTCTTTCCAATTTGTACATATTTTATTTTTCTTGCTTTACTACATTAATTAGGATCTCCAGTACCGTGTTGAAAAGAAGTGAACATTCTTGCCTTCTGCCCAGTGTTAAGGGGAAAGAATTTAGTCTCACCATTAAGTATAATGGTAGCTATGGATTTTTCATAGATGTCTTTATTGAAGTTGAGGAAGTTCTATTCCTTATCTGTTGTGAGTGTTTATTATGAATATCAATGGTGTTAAATGATATCATACTATTTTCTTCATTTATTAAGATGATCATAAACATTTTCTCCTGTACATTATTGCTATGGTAAATTACATCGATTTCTGAATGTTAAACTTGCTTTCCTGAAATAAATCCTACATGGTCATGACATGTTATCCTTTAAAAAATATATTATTGGGCTTGTTTCTGAAGAGTTTTTGAAGTTCTTGTATATCTGTGTTCATACAAGATATTGATTTATAGGTTTTTTTCCTTATAATGTCTTTAAGTATCAAAACAATTATGAATTTAGAAAATGGATTGAAAAGTATTCCTTCCTCTATTTTCTCAAAGAGTTTGTGTAGGTTTATTATTATCCCTCTTTTAAATACAGTCATACACTGCACGTTGACATTTTGGTCAATGACAAACCACATATATGATGATGATTCCGTAAGATTTTAAGGGAGCTGAAAAACTCCTATATCCTGGTGACATCATAGCCGTCATAACAGCATAGTGCAACACCTTACTCACAATTACTCACATGTTTGTGGTAAGACTGGTGTAAACAAAGCTACTGTGCTGCCAGTCATTTGAAAGTATTGTACAATTACATACAGTACATATTACCTGATAATGATAATAAACAATTATGTTACTGCTTTATGTATTTACTATAGTATACTTTTTAATCATCATTTTAGAGCATACTCCTATTTATTTAAAAAAAAAAAAGAAAAAAAGGTTAACTGTAAAAGAGCCTCAGGCAGGTCCTTCTGGAAGTATTCCAGAAGGCACTGTTATCACTGGAGATAGCAGCTCCAGGCATGTTGTTGCCTCTGAAGACCTTCCAGGGGGACAAATTGCTGAGGTGGAAGATGGTAATATTGATGATCCTAACCCTGTATACACCTAGGATAATGTGTGTATTTGTGTCTAGCTTTAAACAGAGACGTTTAAAGAGGAAAAATAAAATGAAAAATATTTTAAATAGAAAAATGTTTCTAGAATAAAGATACAAAGAAAAAATATTTTTGGACATTTGTACAATATGTTTGTGTTTTAAGCTAAGTGTTATAAAAACATCAAAAATTTTTTTAAAATTAAAAAGTTTATAAAGTGAAAAATTTACAGTAAGCTAAGGTTAATTCATTATTAAAAATACAAATATTTTTATAAATTTAGTGTAGCCTAAGTGTACAGTGTTCATAAAATCTAGAGTAGTGTACAGAAATGTCCTAGGCCTTTACATTCACTCACCATTCACCCAGGGACTCACCCAGTGCAAGGACTTCCAGTCCTGCAAGCTCCATTCATGGGAAGTGCCCTACACAGGTGTACCACTGTTTACCTTTTAGACACATATTTTACCGTATCTTTTCTATGTTGAGATACATAAATACTTAGCATCGTGTTACAATTGCCTACAGTATTCATTACAGTAACATGCTACACAGGTTTGTAACTTAGGAGCAACAGGCTATACCATACAGCCTAGGTATGTAGTCGACTATGCCATCTAGGTCTGTGTAAGTACACTTTATGATACTCGCACAATGACAAAATCACCTGATGAATTTCTCAATGTGTATCTGTATCATCAAGCAATGCATGATTCTGTTTGATAGAACTCACTAGGAAACCATCTTGGCCAGGGGTTTTGTTTGTGGAAAGGTTTTTACGACAAACTTAACATTTTAAATAAATGTAGGTCTAGTAAAATTTGCTATTTCTTTTTTTGTCAGATTTGATCATTTGTGTGGTTCAAAGCATTAGTACCTTTCATCTAAGTTGTTAAATGTATTGGCATAAAGTTGTTAATGATATTCCAGTATTTTCCTTCTAATGTCTGTAGTATTTGTCTTGTTATTCTCTCTTTATTTTGTGAAAATGGTAATCTGTGTCCTCTCTATTTTTTTAAATCAGTCTAGTTAGAGATTCATCAATGCTACTATCTTTTAAAAAAAAATCCACTTTTGGTTTCACTGATTTCCCTCTATGGTTTGTCTTTTTGTCTATTTTACTAATTTCTAGTGTAATAATTATTTCCTTCCCTCTGGTTGCTTAGGGTTTACTTTGTTTTTCCTTTTCTAGTTTCCCAAAGTGTGAATGAATGAGCCTAGATCAATGATTTTGCAGTCTTTCTTTTCTAATAGAAACATTTTAAAGCTATAAATTTTTCTGTAAGCACTGCTTCAGCTGTACCCTATACAACTTATTTTTTACAAACATTGATATGTGGTATTTTTATTATCATTGAACTCAAAATATCTAATTTCTTTTTTTTTTCTTTGAATCTGGTACCTCTCATGTCGCCTTGACTGGAGTGTAGTAGTGCGATCATAACTCACTGCAGCCTTGATCTCCTGGGCTCAAGAAATCCCCCTGCTTCAGCCTCCTGAGTAGCTGTGACTACAGGCACATGCCATCTTGCCTGGCTAATTGTTGTTGGTGGTTTTTTGTTTTTTGTTTTAAGAGATGTATTAGTCCGTTTTCATGCTACTGATAAAGACATACCCAAGACTGGGCAATTTACAAAAGAAAGAGGTTTAATGGACTTACAGTTCCACATGGCTGGGAAGGCCTCACAATCATGGCAGAGAGCAAGGAGGAGCAAGTCACATCTTATGTTGATGGCAGCAGGCAAAGACAGAGAGCTTATGCAGGGGAACTCCTCTTCATAAAACCATTAGATCTCGTGAGACTTATTCACTATCACCAGAAAAGGATGAGAAAGATCCGCCCCCATGATTCAATTACCTACCACTGGGTCCCTCCCACAACACATGGGAATTATTGGAACTACAATTCAAGACAAGATGTGGGTGGGGACACAACCAAACCATATCAGGAGACAAGGTCTTGTTCTGTTGCCCAGGCTGGTCTTGAACACCTGGCCTCAAGTGATCCTAAGATCTCTGCCTCCCTAGTCAGTGAGATTACAGGTGCATGCATCATGCCTGGTCTAATTTCCTTTTTGATTTCTTCTTTGACCTATGGTTAATTAGAAGAAAGATATTTAATTTCCAGGTATTTGGGGGTTTTCTAGATATTTTCTTGTTATTGATTTTAGTTTTATTTTATTGTGGCCAGAGTACACATTCTATAAGATCTCAATCTTTTGAAATCTATTGAAACTGGTTTTAGGGCCCAGTATATGGTCTATCTTGTGGAATATTCCATATGCACTCAAAAATAAGGAGTATTCTGTAGTTGTGTGTCGTGTGGTGTAAATATCAATTATATTACAATGGTTATGAATATTGTTCTAATCTTCTATAGACTTCCTGATTTTTTGGGTTTAATTATATCCAAAAAACTTCATTACTAAGAGATGTGTCTGTAACTATTATATGATTATATCTATTTATTCCTTTAGTTTTCTCCTTTTAGTCTCATATATTATGAAACTCTGTTACTAGGTACATATACATTTATAAATGTTACATCTTCTTATTTTGACTGTTTCATTATTATATGCTGCTCATTGACTCTAATTTTACTCCTTATCTTGAAGTCTATAGCCATTCCAACTTTTTTTTTTTTTTGCTGTTTCCATGGTGTATTATTTTCCACCCTTTTATTGCCAATGTAATTGTATCCTGTTATTAAAAATGCATCTTTGGTAGAGAGCATTACTTGGTTCTTGCTTTTCTTATATAGTCTGACAATCTGCCTTTTCATTGGAGTGTTAACATTTAATATAAGTATCCATGTGACTATATTTAGGTTTGCCTTTTAAAAAAAAAATGTCTCATCCTTTTTGTTCCTTTATTCCTTTTCTCCTGCCTTGTTTTCTATTAATCAAGTATCTTTTTAAAACTCAATTTTATTGCCACTATTGGCTTTCTGCTGTATCTCTTCATTTTTTTTAGCAGTTGTTCTAGGAATTAAATATGCATCTTTAAATTACCCTTTTCTAATTATAGTTGATACTGAATTCATCCAGGTAAAATATAGGAACCATGTAATGGCATATTTCTACTGACCTCCCCCCACACACATCCTTAGAACTATTATTGTCATTTATGTTATATTTATATATATTATAAACCAGAGTTATAATATAGAGTTATAATTTTGTTTTAAGCGATTATAGCTTTCGTATTTACCCACATATTCACCATCTCTGGTGCTCTGCATTCTTTCCTGTGGATCCAAGTTGCAGCTGGTATCATTTCCCTTCTACCTAAATTTTTTCTCCTGAGTATAGGTCAAATGTTCTTGTTTCTTTGTATGTCTAGTGGGATAATATATGTAGCAACTCTGGATTGTGTTGCATTTCTCTAAAGATTATTGGTCTTTCATCCTAATAGGCAGTTGACTGGCCTATTAGGGGAGGGGAAGGGTAGGGAGGGAAGGAGGGAAGCAGAGGAGAGGTGAAGAGGTGAGAAAGAAAAGAGAAAGAGAGAGAAAAAGGAAAGGAAAGAAAAGGAAAGGAAAGGAAAAAAGAAAAGAGAAAAAAGAGGCAGGCAGGAGGAGAGGAAGGGGAAGGGACGGGAGGGGAGGATCTTGTCAACAAATACTACTAAATAGTTCGAAATCTGTATGGGAAAAAATTAACAACATTCTTTACCTCAAACTGGACTAAAAAATTAACTCTAAATGAATTGTAGCCCTAAATATAAAAGCTAAAGGTATAAAACTTACGAAGAAAATATCTTTGTGATCTTGAGTTATGCAAAGATTTCTTGGGACACAAAAAGTAGAATTAATAAAGTATCTATTTTTCCAGCTCTGATTTCTGATCCCTGGTACCTTTAGCAGCAAAGCTGCAGTTTTGACATAATTATGGCAGGGAAAATATACTATTGGGCCAGAATGACACAACTCATCATGTTGACCCCCTTCAGTCATAGTTCTTTTTCCCAGTTCCATTTGCTCTTTTCCAGTTTCTTTTCTAGTTTCTATCTGCTCTGCGACACTTTCCAGTATCTGTAAATAATTGTAGTTTCTCATTTTTAATTATTACTTTATTCTATTTTTATCATTGTTATCTGCAAGAGAGTTTGTGTGACCTTATCACCTCTCTGCTTATGCTGGAAGTAGTCGGCAGTTGTACAACTTTAAAACTCAAAGATACATAATTGTTATTTGGCCTTTCTGAAACACCATAATCACTGTACATATAAACATTTTTAATAAAAGAGTATATCCTTAGTTTATCATAAATTTTTTATAAGATACAATAATCATTAAAGTGACTAAGGAAAAGACTGCCCCTTGCTTTAAGGTACATTGTTGTAAATATAAAATCTGTGGGGAAAAAAAATGCAAGTAGGAAAAGACAACTGGCTGCCTTCTACACAAAGGCAAATTAAGATCTAGAAAGCTTAAAAAATGGGACAAGGTATATAAAGGAATCTGATAATGGGCATCCTTTGTTTCTATGAGACTTTGAAACAAATAAGATAAAATATTACCAAATGTTCTCTGTAAGCTTTTAGGATTTGTTTCTACTCTACTAATATGATCAGTAATCTGCCTGTTCTTAAAATTTGGTAATATTAGAGATTGATTTTCCTATCTAGACAGAAAAGCAGGTAGGTAAGTAGGCAGGTAGGTATATATGAAGGTACATAAGTATATTTTTCCTTGTGAACTCCCTGGACTCATGGATTATGCCTTTCTTGTGGCACCTGTTTTTCTGATTAGACAGTTGCTTGTATATTAAATTTTGAGCTGTGTCAGAATAAGAACCCTCTTTTATTCAACGTCCTATTCACTGAAGCTCCTACCACATGCAGGCACTAAAATATTTCTTGAATATACATACCTCTGCATGAATATGTCAAATATTTACTGCAAAGTTAACATGTGTGTGGCACTGCTCTAGGCACTAAGGATGCAGAGAGTCTTCAAATAGCAGCATCTCTCCCCTCAATCAGGTGAGATACTGTCATACTTATCACTAAGTAAAACACCTGTCAAGTCATAATTATTGTTGCAACAGTAATCATAGTTTGTATTTATGCATATACTTATCATTTCTGATGCTCTTCATTTTTTCTGTGGATCCAAGTTGCCCCTGTTGTCATTTCCCTTCTACCTGAAAATTTTTTCCTGAATATAGGTCAAAAGTTCTTGTTTCTTTGCATGTCTAGTGGGATAATATAGCAACTCTGGGTTGTGCTGGGTTCCTCTGAGGATTATGGCAGAAATGCGATGGAATAGGGAAAAATATTAATAGTTCTCTGGGGTAGAGGCTGGAAGGATTCCTGGAAGAGCTGGCATTTAAGTTGGTCCCTAAAGTGGAAGTAAGATGATTCTCCTACACAGAGAAGTAGGGATAGGATGGGGGAGCATTAGAGGCCAATAACATTGTATGAGCTCAACAGTGTGACTCTGTAACAGTCATCTCAGGAATCAAGAAGTGATCTTGCCTAAAGCCTTGAGAAAAAAAGGAGCAAACCTCTCAGAGTTTTAAATACACACTCACACACACACACACACCCCACATCTATAAGACATAACACATAATGTACAACCAATCAACTTGGAAACTATATCAAGAAGTTTAGGCTTAGTTCTCTAAGAACTATGGAACCACCAAGAAAGGTTTCTAAGTGGGTAAGTAAAATGATCAGAAAGATGAGTCTGGTGGCAATGTGAAAAATAAAATATAGAGGAAGAAGTAATGGGGCTAGGGGTAGAGCAGGGAGAGGAAGTGTTTTGGTTTTTTTTTTTTTCAAACACTGTCAATGACGGAACCATAACCAGTATCTAGGTTACAGTTTTATGTATACTTGCCAAAATTACATATAAACATATAAGCAAATATTACAAAAATAGTATATTTATACTTCCAATTCATAATCATAAAACTAAAGAAATTGTTTCTTAGAAAGTGAAAGAATGAGAGCCAGAAATAAAACTACTGTAAATTCTAGGCATTTCTTTTTCCCTCTACCAAGGTAATGCCCTTCGGGGAGTCCTTCCAATTCATAAAATGCACCATGCCCAGACATACAGATTATAAGGGCCTAATCATTTGCCCTTCTAGTTTCCTTTTCTTTAGCCTATACAAACTTCATTGTTTTTACCTGTGTATTCTACAGCTTTGTTTATGGATAGCAATTGACTCCAGGAAGATTCCACTAACTTTTATCCTATATTTTATCTTTTTCTATTGTCTCTTTACTTTGGATTTTAAGCCTCCAGCACCGTGATGGCCTGCTCACTGTACACGACCTTGCAGACTTAAAAGTCTCAAGCAGCCATTGCTCAGATGAATGGCAAACATTTTGTTTCCAGGCGTAGCTGCAAGAAAAAGCATCTGAAAATGGCAACAAGAATGATGCCGGCCACCCACTGGGAGGCCCTGAGCACCCTCATCTTCATCTGGCTCCGTTGGGCTACAAAAGCATTACTACTTCCTCTAAGTTAAATTTTTGTGAGCTGACTCAAACACTAGTATGCACTTTCATCCCCCAAACAAAGCCAGACGGGGATTTGAACCAGATCGTCTGGTTCCAGTTTTAGCTCTAAGCTGCTATACTACCAGGCTGTCAAGAATAGGAATCAAGGCTAAAGAAACTATTTTAAATCAATTTGATGAGATTTTTAAATTAGATCAGTTAGAATATATCAAAAAAGAATATAAATTATAAACAAATTATGAAAAATTTATAGACACTTTTTATCTATGACTACTATTGGTCGTTTTTGAGTTTATTTTGGAAAAAGAGAAATAAAGGATGAAAAAATGCCATGTCTAGCCAATTACAATTGTGGGATTGTCCTGCAATGAGAAGAAAATGCAAAAATGTTTTCAACTGGCACACTGATATATTGTGATCTGAAACATAGTATGTGCCCACTTCATATCTGATAGATATTTTTGTTAAGTACTAAAAAATAAAAAAGACAAATGTATAACATGGAAATTATATATGAATTCAACTAATACTTTGCTAATCTTTCTACAACAAAATTCTGGGGAAAATCAACAAAAATAATAGCTATATGATCTCTAGAGCCAAATCCTTAACAATCTTAGGATTTGTTAGAACCAAATCCTAACAATCTAACCTACTGCTAAATATGTGTATATATTTCTAAACACATTCATTATTGTCTGTCACTTTATAACATGTAATCTGAATCATTTATTAAAAGAAACATATAAAATATACTGACCGATTTCTTAAGCAAGTTTTAATTAGAACAAATACCATTATCAATCCCTAGCAAATGTTTATATCTATGTTTTATACACTGAAACATAAACGCAAGCTTCAAGAGGACAGGAGCCTGTTTTCTTCACTACATTATCCCGAGTATCTAGAGCCAGGTCTAGCATGTCGTTGGTGCTCAAAAGATATCTGTTGAATGGATGAATATATTAAGAGTACAGTCTGCTATTAAACTGGCCTTTAAGATAAACAATTAAACTATCCCAGAACTTTATGTTTTATTCATTTGGTTACTGGGAAATTTACAGAACACTTGTGTAAGACTTCAGGAGCTATACAAATAAGCCTTACATAAAGTCCTTCAAAAGTCCTGAAGAGCAAACTACTTGAGGAAATGAGTCAAACAACCTAAGAGTTCATGGTAATACCAAGTCTTTTCTCCTCCATGAACTCGCCTCACAAAATCAGTCCCCCAAAATGAGCAATTCACATAAAAGTAATGTGCTAGCTATGCAAAGAACACACATTCCCCCATCAGATTGCTGCCATTAAAGCACTTCGTATTGTACATTCTTGGCCACCAGGAGGTTTGAAATTCTGATTCAAGAAACTACTACAAGCATTTTGTGGGGAAAGGGCCACTGATTTTTATACAGTGGTCATAGGGAGAAGGCAGAGGCAGATTCCACTGAGAAGGCTCCTTGTTGAAGCTACTGGCTAATAGAAAGGGTCCCCAAGCCCCTCGTCTCTTGTTTCCACCCAAGCAGCTCTACCTTGACCAGTGTTACAAGGCTCAGCTGAAAGGAGATAACATTAAACCACAGTGAGTCAGCTCTGTCCAGGGCTATGACTTCCTCACATCTGCTTAAGAGCACGAAGGGAAAGCAGAGGTAGTGACAGTGGTCCAGGCTTGGAGGGAAGCCCCAGGGTCTCAACCCTTAGACTCCATTCCTGTGACTTCAGTCACAGCACTAAAACTGAGTTTTCTTATTCACAGAATACGTCTGATAATAGCATTTCCTCCTACCTTCATGATGGTGTTAAAATACTCAAATGAGAACTTATATGTAAAGGCACTTTGAAACTGTAAAAGTACCATTTAAAGTAAATTATTTTAATTCTTTCATCTTTAGTAGGTAGCACATTAACTTATTTCTCCAAATTAATACATACAAGATTATTTCTGTATAAAGCTTTTGAATTTACAATGAGCTTTCACAAATCGTATTTTATTTATTCTTGCAACAATAAGCATGAGGTAGTTAGAACAGAGCAGATCCTAATATTTTTAAGTAAGAAATGAAATGAGACAGATGAAAGGGCTTACTCAAAATCAAATGCATCTTATCTGCCGAATCATGTAGCACTCTTCCTCTTATTGCATCCTGCCTGTCTCAGAAGGCAAAACAAACAGCCTTCCTGGGAACATAAATGCAGTCTACTGTTTACCCACCCACTCAGCTTCCCACCGCGCTGTCAGGGCGCAAAGCAGAAAGAGGACACGTGAGATAGCACGAACCCTGATGGGAACTCAGCTTAAAATCTGATCCAGCACTTCCAAGAATTTCTAGATGGTTCGGATGAATAAAGAAGAAGAACTTAGTGTCAAATTTCTTGTACTAATACTGTCAAGTTAGGGCAAACTGTAAAAGAGATTTTATTATGGGATAATTGTATAATTGTACATGAAATAATAGTTATCACATTCTGTGAAATAAGGAGACAAAAATTGAGAAGCAATGACCTTGTCTTAAATCTGAGACACAAAATATTACACCAAATAAAGATATATATGTGTGTACAAAGATAGCAGAGAACACTCCAGAAAGAAACATTTAATCAAATGAGTTGAGAATCGGTCACCTTGATACACCAGATGGTCCTATTGTAAGCTTGTTTCATGCAAAGTTAGCCATTGAAAGTCTCAAAGCACAGAGAAACCAGAATAAATTAGCTCAAAACAAACCAATGCAGGCCAAAATGGTTAGCAGAAGGCTCATGAGTTAAGACAGAAATAAAATCTAAAAAATAATTGACCCCAAGATCCATTTAAAAGCATAAAATGCAAAATTCTAACAATGACCTCCATTAAATAAGGTACTGATCCATTATTTTCAGAAGGTATTGCATAGATATTTGCTTCATGTCATATACAATAATTCTCAATTAAATCACAAGGTAATAATTAGTTCTGAATGAAGTTGAAATATTTTCAAGTGCATAGATGCTAAATGTCGATTAAGAAGAATGTAAGAGGAGTAAAATGTGAGGGATTTAAATTGCTTTTATATCCAATATGCAATTTAGTTTAAAAAGAATAAGCCTTAAACCATAGAATCAATTATAAATTTTTACAGGATCGTGTTACAAAATTGAAACACAGAAAGTACTTCCTATCCCGAATGGCCAGCATGCCTCAGAGGAAAGAATGAGCATGTTGCCTATGATGACTCAGCTGCTTCCCAGCCCCATTGGGTACTCAGATTAGAACCCTGTAGAAGTAGCTTAACGATGCGAACCCTCTGCCTCCTCATCAATAAAATGAGGACAATACCTTCTTGAGGAACACTGGGGGCACAAAACACTGTTAAAAATTTATTTTTAAGCATATTAATATTTAAAGAAATATACAAGGGTAATATTGTCCACTCTTATTTTGTTTGAACTGCCAGAGAATAGAACAAGAGACCAAAAACATCAAAACGCAGTTATATTCAAAGAGCATTTTCTAAGATGCTAAAACATGCTCGTCATTGTGCCTGATGAGCACTAAACAAAATCTAAATGTGCTGGTTCTTCTTTGTGTCCTCAACAACAAATGTGTTGTCTGGCATGTAGCAGATGCTCATGAAATACAGGCTGAACAAATCCTTTGACACATAAATCCTGCTCTTGAGGCTACTACATTGTCGTGGGGAGAAGGGTGGTATTCTAGACAAAACATACTTAAACTCAAACTTGGACTGTGTCTTCAGTATCTGTTTTAAGATAAATACAGTTGATATTCCAGGAATTTATGAAAAATAAAATAGCAATTCTATTAAGTGTATCTTGAGATATTTTGTTAAAGTTATCCAGTTTCTCCATCCTAATCCCAGCGTAATTTCTGCCAACCTAGTATCACAGAATAAAATAGCAGTTCTCAACCACCGTGTAATAACATAGTCATGTACTTGAATCAAATAATGTTACCAATAATTAAGTATTATATTTTTTAGTGACTTAATATTTAAATATTAGAAGAGCCCACCTCACACTCATTAGGATCACTACTGGAAATAAACACAAATTAACAAGTGTTGGTAAAGATGTGGAGAAATTAGAACATGTATGTGCTATTGGTCGAAATGTAAAATGGTGCAGCTGCTGTTGAAAACAGTATGGAGGTACCTTAAAAAATTAAACATAGAATTACCATATTATCCAACAACTTCACTTTGGGTATAGACCCCAAAAAATTGAAAGCAGGATCTCAAAGAGATATTTCTACACCTATGTTCATAAGGGCATTACTCAAAATAGCCGAAAGTATAAGCAACCCAAGTGTCCATCAATAGATGAATGGATAAATAAAATGTGGAATGGAATATTATTCCACCTTAACAAGAAAAGAAATTGTGACACATGCTACAGCGTGGATGAACCTTAAAGACATTATGTAAAGTGAAATAAGCCAGTCACAAAAAGACAAATACTGTATGACTCCACTTATATGAATTATCTAGAGTTGTGAAATTCACAAAGACAGAAAGTAGATGAGGTTGCCAGGGGCTGGGAGGGGAGGGGGAATAGGGAAATGGAAGTTGTTGTGTAATGAGTACAGAGCTACAGTCATTAAGTCAGCGTAACATCCATTTGCAACATGAAAAGAGTTCTGGAGATGAGTGTTTGCACAACAGTGTGAATGTACTTAGTACCTCTGAACTGTACACCTTAAAATAGTTAAGATGGTGACTTTTACTTGTATTTGACCACAGTTCTTAAAAATATATTAATAGGTTTCTTAAGTGTAGAAAACTTAAGAGAGAAAAAAGAGGTGTGCATATATTACCTATTCAAAAATTATATTGTAAAAAATAATGTAGACTATCTTCAAGATTATCTCTATAAGTCTATCATTCTCATTCACTGAATTCCAGTGTGATTTCTGGAGAAGGAAGGAAAAAGGTGGCATTTCCTTCAGGGTGCCTAAAACTGCACATACCCCATGGCAAATCTTATTCAAGATGATAACTCTTCTCTTAAATCTTTTAGTTAATAATAGCTGGAGCAATTTTGAAAGACTGTAATGCTTAGATGTTTTAATTTTAGAGTTACTACCAATTTAGAGTTGTCAGATAAAATAGAGGATGCCTGTTAAAATTAAATATCAGGTGAACAATGAATTCTTCATATAAGTATGTCCCAAATACTGCAGGGAGTATACTTACACTACTGTAAAAAAAATTGTTTGATATTCAAATTTAATTATGCATTCTGTATTTTTATTTGCTAAATCTGGCACACACACCAATTTCTTCTTAGTTTTTTTCCTGTGGTAAAACTTTATATTATATTATATTATATCATATTATATTATATTATATTATATTATATTATATTAATTATATTGAATTGAAGAAAAGTGTAAGAGCCACCCCATTCCAGAGATAAGCCAGGTTTTAGAGATATAAAAGAATCCCCCATTTCCTACTAAGAGAATGTAGAAAGGCCCACTCTTAAAAGTCTAAGGAACCAAAAAAGAATGTTCTTAACTACAAATAAAGAAAACCAAAAATGTGTTATAGACATTGAAATAAAAAACTAACACATTAAAAACAAGTTTTGCTAAACACAATGATTCTTACCACTGTTTGAGTATCAAAGAAACCAAATGATATAAAAATTCATAAAAATTAAAACTGTCCATCTCTAAAGAGACATCAAAGTCATCGTAGATATAGGAAGCCAGATAATCTTCTGGAAATATTTCTAATGCATATTTTTACACTTTACAACCTTGTCATTTTTTTGTTCCCTTTGTAACCTAGCTTGTCTTACTCAAGCTGTCTCCATTTCCTCCACTCCTTCCTTTCCTTTCCAGTGAGTACATGGGACATCTCCAGGGCCTCAGAGTGGGTTTGGAACCTCTAGGTTTGTATTGACATGTAACATGGTCAATCCTCAGCTCAGTTCTATCCTCAATAATTTGTATCAGTGTCCCTTATTCTGGAATGGCCCTGAATCTCTCTCTTTCCTGGTTAGAGCAATGTTTCTCAATATTTAGCTTGCAACAGAATCACTCAGAAGGCTTGTTAAAAACACAAGATTTTAATAAGCTTGCTTGGGTTCAGATTGCTGGGAACCATCCCTCAGCTTGGATACAGTAAGTCTAGATTAGGGTTTTAAAAAATCCACTTCTAGCAAATTCCCAGGTGACTTTGATGATGCTGGCTTGCAGAATCACACTTTAAAGACCACTGCATTAATATGTGCAATCCTGCTCCTTGACCGATTCCAAATAATCTCACTCACTTTCTAAAAAGGAAAAGAAGGAGGAAACTCAGAGGAGAACGTAATTCTCACCCTCCCCCACAGCAGGATGGACTAGCCATAGGAGCTGGGAATAACTCATCAGACGAAGGGCTAACTTAAATCTGGCCTGCCCTCTCTCCCAGTTACTCATGAGCAAATTAAGATCTTCCATAGAGAAGGTGCCCCTGAAACATAAGAACTACTGAGGAAGTAGCTATTCATAGGCCTGGGGACCACTGCAGTGTGGCACTGATTATAGTACTTAAGGGGCACAGCAATCCACAGAGGCCATCCGACTCATGGTTATAAATAAGTACCAGCTTTACAATATAAAGATCTGGCAGACTGTTTTCACATCATTGGCATCGGGGGTGGGCTTTTCTTGCTACCAGGTGCCAGGAATTTCTTAATCATAGGGATATTACTCATTCCTGCTGGATAGAAGAAATGCAGAGAGAACAGAAGGGACTTTCTCTTCCACTGGGAGATGGGAGGAAGTTTCAAGCAGGTGCACATCAGCCAGGCTCAGCTGTTACCCTCCAGAAAGCTTTGTCCAAGATTCTTTAAAAATTCTTCAAATGACCAAGCACGGTGGCTCACACCTGTAATCCCAGCACTTTGGGAGGCTGAGGCGGGTGGATCACAAGGTCAGGAGTTCGAGACCAGCCTGGCCAAGACGGTGAAACCTCATCTCTACTAATAAATACAAAAATTAGCCGGGCGCGGTGGCGTGCACCTGTATTCCCAGCTACTTGCCAGGCTGAGGCAGGAGAATCGCTGGAACCCAGGAGGCAGAGGTTGCGGTGAGCCAAGATCGCGCCACTGCACTCCAGCCTGGGTGACAGAGTGAGACTTCATCTCAAAAAAAAAAAAATTATTCAAACACAAGAATTGACACTGTGACAGCTGTGGGGGTCAGCAGTTCTTCACTGTGATCTCCAGGTTTTGAGAAAGGGGCTAAGTGGTCAGACCTATGTTGTCTCCACACACGTGTCAAACAGGTTTTTCTCCTTTCAGGCTGGATTGAGGATTGAACTGATTGTATTTATGAGCTACACTCAGGACAGGGCCCTGGACCAGCCTCTTCACAATCACATTCGCTTCTGACAAATGTCGGCACAGAAGTGCAGCGCTAAATAACTTGACAAACTTTTCTTTTGTTCCAAAAGCTATTTTTCAAATGCATTCTAGCTGGCAGCCACTTACACCCATTTTATGGGATCCATTCTTCTTCTGATTATCTACTGGTGATTTTGGTTTTTTTGCCTTAAGAAACACTCCAACTTTCAGAGGCTTGCACCCTTTACTCAGCGGTTGGGTACCGCTGGGTCCCTAATCCCACTTCAACCCACTTTTGTCTGGCTTCCATCCTCACCACTTCACTGGAATGTTTTTATGATGCTGCCCTGGGGAATCACTAATGATCTTCAGGTTTCCAGATCTGATGGATGCCTTTCTGACCATATCTTAGCCTCCTTCTCAGCAGCCTTGAACAGTTGACACACTACATCCTGAAGCCCTGCCTGGCCAGTTTTCCATGGCACCACATACCTCCTGGTTTTCCTTGACTCCCCCTCACTTTCTTTGGTTGACTTCCTCTCTATCGAACCTTGAAATGTTAAATATTTCTTGGAGCTAGGTCACAGGCCCTCTTCCTTTCCCTTTCTATAATCTCAGCCTAGTTGATTTTACTTATTTTTTACTTTTTTGAGACAGGGCCTTGCTCTGTCACCCAGGCTGGAGTGCAGTGGTGTGAATAGAGCTCACTGTAGCCTTGACCTCCTAGGTTCTAGTGATCCTCCCACCCCAGCCTTTCAAGTAGCTGGGACCACAGGTGCAAGGCACCATGCCCAGCTACTTTTTTTTTCCTTTTAGTGGTAACAGGGTCTCGCTATGTTGCCCAGGCTGGTCTCAAACTCCTGGGCTCAAGGGATCCTTTCGTCTCAGCCTCCCAAAGTGCAGGATTACAGGCATGAACCACTGTGCCCAGCCCTAATTGATTTTAAATATCCCATGGCTGCAAATACAATGAATATACTCTGACCTCCCCCCAAACAACTGAAATGTACATCCAATTGTTTACTCAACACCTCCCATACCCTAACCTCTCAACCCTAACATGCCTAAAATCGACCTCCTAATTTTCCCTCCAAGCCAGTTCCTCCACCCTCCCCTGCTAGTCTTCCTCATCTCCATAAATTGCACCACCACCCTCAGAACTGCTCAAACAGGAAACCTGGATTTCATTCTGGATTCCTCCCCTTTCCTCACACCTCGCTTATCACCAAGACCTGTAGATCTGAGCTGGGTTATATATCCCAGATCCACTCGGTTCCAAACCACCACCTCTAACCTAGCCTAGGCTCATTATCTAACTTTTGGATTACTGCAATAGGTTTCTCACTGGCCTCCCTGCTTCCACTCCTTCCCTCCATAAGCCGTTTTCCACCAAGAGCCGGAATATCCCTTTTATAAAGCACCATGTCACTCCCTGGCTTTAACCCCTGGAGTGGCTTCCCGTTTGTGACACAGGCTGCTGGTTGCCTACCCCCACACCCAGTTTCCCTTTCCACTAAGTAGCAGGGACACGATATTTAGTTGGTACTATTTGTCCAAAATAAAATGCACTCTCTCCCTTGAAATTGAAGAAGGGCATGTGCCTAAGGTCTGGCCAATTGACTCCAAGTGGGAGTGTTGTGCGGCACTTCTGAAGGCCACTGAAGGGGATTGATCAGTTGGGAGAAGTCCCTGTTTTGCTGTTTTACATTTTCCTTCTTCTTCTGACCTACAGCAAGGATGTAACAACTGAAGGTGTAGCAGCCATATGAGGACACAATGTAACTTTCAGGGTGAAAAGTCATTGAAGCCAAAAATAGTTGAATAAATAAGTAAATCAATAGGAACCTGGGTCGGAAATTACCCTGGATTTCCTACCACATGACTCCTTTCATAAGAGAAATAAACTCTTATCTTATATAAACTACTCTTTGGTTTCAGTCACATGCAGCTAAATCTAAATATAAATATACCATTGCATTTGTATTAACAATCCAACTCTGTGATCCACAAGGTTCTGCATGATCTGACTCCGCTTACCTCCCCACCTGTCCCTCACCATCCTCTCTTTTCTACTACATTTCAGTCACCTTGGCCTCCTCTGGATTCCTCCAACCGGCCAAGTGCTTTCCTTTCTGGAGGTCCCTACACAGGATCTTCCCTCTCCCCTCCCAGCCTTTCTGTGACTGGTTTTTAACTCATCCATCTGGGCTCAGCCTAAAGGTCACTTCCTCTCAGAGGTCTTCCCTGGTATCTCAATCTAAGTGGGTCCTCCCATTTACACTCTAATTCAGCACTTCCTTTGTGTTTGTCATAGCACTTTTTGCCTTTGTAAATCTTTTTTGTTATTGAACTTATAAGGGTGTATATATGTAAGTGTTCCCCTGGCAGGGCTGCAAGCTGCAAGGTAGGTCAGGAATGTGTGCCTATATGTCTGTTGTTCACTATTGTACCCCAGTATGCAGCCCAGCCCAGGACACTGTGGAAATGCAGCAGTGTGCCTTATGAGGTTAAGTTATAAGATATTGCAATCTCCATCTTACTCTCTAGGACCACTCACAGTGGGGAGAATCCAGCAGCCATGTTGTGAGGATGCTCAAGCAGCCCAATGGAGAATTCCAATTGTGAGGACTTTCAAGCACCCTATAAAGAAGTCCATGTGTTGAGAAACTGTAGCCTCCTGCAAAAGATCAGCACTGGCTTGCCAGGCTTACAAACAAGCTTCTCTGGGTCATGTATGCAGATAACTGCAGTCCCAGCTGACATCTTGGCAGCAACTTAGTGAGAGATCATGAATCGGAAACCCCTAACTGAGCTGCTCCTGGATTCCTAACCCACAGAAACTGTGTGATATAATAAATACTTATTGTTCTAAGCCGCTAAGTGTTGGTGTAATTTGTTACTCAACAATAGACAATTATGACATTGCGATAAATAAAAAAGATTTGGTCTCCAACCCTGGTTTCTGGGACAGAGCTCCTAAAACCCTTGTAATTTCCTGAGCAGAGGTGCTAGATGCATCTTTTGTTTTGATATTGGGTCTTTGACCCCAATTGCTGACACAGGGCCCCTAATTCCTTGGAATTTCCTTGTTGATAGGAACATCTTCTGTTCTAATGAGGTGACTCTTAGAGGGCCACTAAATGGGGTCTGATCACTGGAAGGACCAGGCCATGATTAGAAGCTTGGAATTTTCAGCCCTATCCCATCCTCTGGGAAGAGGCAATGGGCTGGAGATTGAGTTAATAAGCAATCATGTCTACATGATAAAAACTACATAAAGTTCCCTGAACTACAGGGTTTAGGGAGCTTTCAGCTTGACAACACATCCATGTGGCTGAAGGGTGGTGCATCCCAACTCTATGAAGACAGAAGCTCCAGTGCTCAGGACCCTTCCAGACCTCACCCTCTGTATTTCTCCAACTGAATGTTCATCTGTATCCTTTATTAATATAATAAACCAGTAGATGTGTTTCTCTGAGTTCTGCTGGAAGCCATTCTAGTAAATTAATCAAACCCAAGGAATGGGTCCTAGGAACCCAGATTTACAACCAGTTGATCAGAAGCATAGGTGACAATCTACTATCTGTGATTGGTGCCTGAACTGAGGGACAGTCTTGTGAGACCTTGCACTTAACCTGGAAAAGCTGACTCTACTCGAGGCAAGCAGTGTCAGAATTTAATTGAAGTATAGGATGCCCAGTTGTTCACTGGAAAATTGGTTGTTAGTGGGGAGAAATCCCCACACATTCTGGTCACAGAAGCATGATGACTGTTCACTGTTCACTGTTTAAGAGAAGAAAACATGTATTTTTTTTTCTGATACAACAAGCAATATATATTTCTGTAAAATTTGGTAAAAAAAAAAAAAATCACCTCTGCATGTAGATGAGGACCATCTATCTAAAACCTATAAAAGGTAAAAGAGTTCATGTGATAGAATGATCTAATAATTCTTGAATATTTAGAAACTTCTACTGTAAACATGTTTTACTCAAAAACATGTTTTTTTTTCTTTTTCATAGGCACAGAAGAGGAAAGACATTCATGAGAGATTAGAAGGTCCCATTCCTTCTCCTTGACAAGCTGGAAAAACCACAGAATAGGAAATAACTCATGGGATTAGAGATCTAACTTTAATTTTTACCTCTCTTCAGACAAGATTTTTTTTTTTCTTTTTGAGACAGAGTTTCGCTCTTGCTGCCCAGGTTGGAGTGCAATGGTGCAATCTCGGCTCACTGCAACCTCTGCCTCCCAGGTTCAAACTATTCTCCTGCCTCAGCCTCCCGAGTAGCTGGGATTACAGGTGCCTGCCACCACACCTAGCTAATTTTTTGTATTTTTAGTAGAGATGGGGTTCCACCATGTTGACCAGGCTGGTCTCGAACTCCTGACCTCAGGTGATCCACCCGCCTCAGCCTCCCAAGGTGCTGGGATTACAGGCATGAACCACCACGCCCAGCCATCAGACAAGTTTTTAAATAAGGTCTCACAAGTGTTCACGGTAAAAATAAAGATTTTCAGGACACAAGTATCTACTAAACTCTAACCTTCTTTTGAGTGCTGCTCTATTGGATCTCCTTCCTTCTGCACTCTTCAAGTTACCCTCCTCTCTCTTCCCCTAATGTGACTACAATGGGGGAAGGAAGAATATTCAGAGGAGTAGTCCAATTAGAAGCATGAGTTGAAATCAGCATGATGCAAGGTGTTTGGTGGCATAAGACGCACTACATAGGCTGTCTCTACACTGGGTGCAAAGAGTCTTCACTGCTCAGATACGGTCAAGTTCAGTTCACCAGGGTAGGAAGCAGTACATGAGTTTGGGCCAAAGCCTACTGGAGCCATAAATGTTTAGTAGCCTTCCTTGATTGCGGGTTCCAAACTAAAGTCCATACATCCATTCTCAGAGTATGAGAGTTCTTGTATTAAAAAAAAAGAAAAAGTTAAATATTGTGTCTTCATTCCAATAATTTTTTTTCTTTACTAAGGTAAACTTTACTACAGTGAAATAAAATGTTTAATTTGATGAGTTTTTATAAATGTGTCGTATTAGTCTATTTTCATTGCATAAAGGAATACCTGAGACTGGATAATTTATAAAGAAAAGAGGTTTATTTGGCTCATGGTTCTGCAGGCTGTACAGGAAGCATGGTGCCAGCATCTGCTTCTGGTGAGGCCTCAGGAAGCTTCCACTCATGGTGGAAGGTAAAGGGAAAAACAGGCATGCCACAAGGTGAGAGAGGGAGCAGGGAGGAGGGAGATGCCACACCCTTTTAAACAACCAGATCTCACGTGAACTCAGAGCAATAACTCATTCATTACCATGGGGAGGACACCAAGCCACTCATGAGGAATCTGCCTGCATGACCCAAGTACCTCCCACACAGCCCCACCTCCAACAATGGGAATTACATTTCAACATGAGATTTGGAGGAGACAAACATCCAAACCATATCATGTGTGTACCTATGAAAATAATGCCCAAGTCAAGATATTAAAAATTTTGACTATCCCCCAAAATGTATCTTATGTCCCTTTGCAGTGAATCTCCCCCATAGAGGTAACCACTGTTCTGATTTATATAGCCATAACAATTATAATCTTTAATAAATGAACACATATATTCTGAGTCATCTGGATGACCGTCTCATAACTGATCATTGTGCCTATTTTATCTTTACAGTCAAGTTGATATGAGGTAGTAATATTTCAAATATTTGTAAGCCAATTAAAAAAAAGAGAACAAAAGCATAAACCATATATTTGAGTCCTGGTATCAGGGGCAAGTTGACCTCAAAAGAACTCATGCCATAATGGCCAGAACCACATTTGCATTGCAAGTAGCAATTTATTTGCAGCAACATATCATTATCATTGTTTGTGGAATTTTTAAATCAGTTTTGGATTTTACAGTTGCATAAGAGTTATGAGCATAAAACATTCAGGTCAAGTTTTATGTTTTTACATATTTAAGTAACATTAAATAAAAATAATTTAAGTCAGCATTGACAGGCCACAATAATTTCCTTTTAAAAGGAGTCAGTACATTAATCAAGTTTGAAAAACATTGCTCTAGCCTACATATTTATCCTATAAGGATCTAGGCTACCTCCCTTCAAAGATAAAAGGATTCAGGGTTTGAGGTCATCACTAAATGTTTGCAGCCAGACTAGCATCACTCACTTCTTCCACCCATCTTCCCAGTTTTCTGAAGCCTAATTCAACCCAATATAGCCAAGAACATCTGTGACCATTCCAGTCCACACAATTTGTCTTCTAAATTTGTGCAAAAGATAGTATAGATCTGTGTTTCTCTGAGAATTCCTGGCTTCCTCTCAATACCTAAGTTCTATAGCATGCACAAAACTGATGATTCATAAGTATTTTTTGAATGAATGCAAAGTAGTCCTGTAGAAATAAGAAGTTCCAATGAAACAAGTAACATATACTAAATTTGAGTGGTTACTTTCTGAAATTAGACCAGAATAGTATCTACATATAGGACAGAGCCAGAGTTCATAAAATGCCTAGAATTGTACACTAAATTTTGTTTATAAATATGTGCATTGTTCTCAAAAGAGGCAGTATCACATTCTTCAGATTTCAAATGGACTCCAGTCCCAAAAGGTGATAAGAAATAAAAAAGATATGCAAAGGTCAATTCACCGTCACACTTCTCTACACATTTGGGGCCACAGTTCTTCAGGAACATAGCCAACAAAGAAGTTGAAATATTGAGATAATTGGAGAATGAAAAAAAAAAGAATCTACATTTAAAACCATAACTTAAAAGTTAAATTGCACCATTTATATATCTAAACACAGGCTCTCTTCAAAAATAAGAATATTCCACTTTTTCTACCTCATCTGGACATTGGAAATTATACAAATTATGACTACCTCAAAAAGGCTTATTTAATTTTAAGATAGAACACCATAAAACAGTCAAAAAAATAAGTGAAAATACTATAACAAAGCAAAATAGTTGATGTTGCAATTTTTAAAAGCAAAATTTCCATTACTTGCTCTACTAAACTAACAGTAGATAATTCTTGCAAGTAATTTGAAAATGTTTTACCTTTTCTCAATAGGAATGAACTAATAGAAATTGGCTTAAAAGGATATATGTGTTCATATGTCCGTTAAATTTTAAAATATGAATTAGACCATCAGTTTTACATACAAGCTTATTATTCTACATTTTCTATAAATCACTACAGGTATATGCTAACTGAATTATAAATTAAGGTCTGTTATATACATTTTCAGTAACCTGTTGTCATGACACATACCAGTACTTTGTCATATTTGCTGAAGAATTCATTTCTGTGTTTCTAAAGCAAAAATAATACTCATCAATTATAAAACACTAACACAAATACATTTCAATCTCAGAGTAAAATATAGTCATAGGACTCATTAAGGATCATTAATCATCATGATTCCTTCAATGTCGTGTTGAAAAGCATTAACTAGAGGGGGTACAAAATATTAGGAACTAAAGATGCTTAACTATGATGAAAGGACGGAAGCAAAGTGATTCCTTATTCATTCAAAAGCATGGGGTAAGGAGAATGAAGAGAGGTTGGTTAATAGTTTCAAATATACGGTTAGAAGGATAAGTGCTAGTGTTCTTTAGCACAGTAGAGTGACTACAGTTAACAATAATTTATTGTATATTTCAAAACAGCTAAAAGAGAAGACTTGGAATGTTCCCAATACAAAGAAATGATAAATGCTTGTGTTGATGAATACCCTAAACAGCCAGACTTGATCACCACATATTCTATGTATGTATCAAAATACCACATGTATCACATATGTACAATTATTATGTACCAATTTTAAAACTTTTTTTAAGAATCTGAGGGTTAAGTGATTTTGTTATCAGCTCTGCTCATACCTGAGGACAGGTTCCCAGAGCAGAGGGTGGCCAAGACCAGGTGCCCTTAAGTGGAATAGTACAGTTACAGTTCAGAGAAAGTACAACAGCAATGTTCCTAAATAACCTAGATCAAAGAAACAGCAACATTCTAACTATCTTGTTCTTTCAAAGAACTGAATGACCACAATTTAGTGAGACACACTGACTGTGAGGCAGTCAACTGGAGAAGGAATTAAGACAAGAAAAAGAACTATATGTATTTATAGTTATACGGTAGTAAGAACATATTACATTTTTCTAGATTTAAATCAGTACATGCTACTGCCCAGAGATATTAGTCTTACAATATATTATGTCATTTAAAAGTTTAACATATGTCAAAAGAAAATCTTTGGTTTAGAGGCTGCAGAGATATAACTTTTTAAAAAAACTGATTTTAAGTATGTCATTTAGTTTTCCTACTCTAATAAGCAGTTTACAAGGTTGCAACCTTACCATTCCAGTTTTCAAAGAAATAAGTATATTTGAAACATCTGAATTCCTTAGATGTGCAGATGGTTATGGAAGATTTAAAATTATTTATGAACGATAAAAGCACTGGCTTTTTCATTGAAGCATTAAGTTTGATCTCCAGAGACTCTCAAATTCCAAAGCTGTTTCTCACAACCTCACCTCGAGACTGAATCCCAAACTAATCCTTTCTCAACTACCCAAAAAAAAAAAAAAAGAAAAGAAAAGAAAAGAAAAAGAAAGAAAAACCACCACCACACTACTAGCTTTTCCTTACATGATACTCCTTTCAAATGCTAGATCCTGCTAGGCTTCTACTGGTCCTTTGTCACAGAAGTCCAAATTCCATCCCAGCTGCCCAAATCCGCTCAGACTGCCCTACTTACTAACAGTACTTTGCCACACTAAGCTAGGGAAGAAATGGAAATGAGGCCATTATCTGTAAGCTGGTGATTTTACCCTCACAGATGGAGAACAAATGATATAAAACACAGACTGAGAACAAGGCACGGTAACTTAGAATAATTTTCTTACATTCCAGGTACACAAAGGCAATGATAAAAGCTCTAAGAGTTAGCTTGAATATTTCAAAACCATAACAGAAATTGAATTTTAAAATTTATTAAGGTTGCAGAATCCAACAAGAAAATACATTGATAGGGCTTTGGTGAGAATTAAATTGTCAGCTTAGTAAAATAGGTTATCGTATGCTGACTGTTGTATTGGCTTTAACATAGGAAAAAGGAGAAAAACAAATGATTACTTAAGAAACAATTTAGTGGGCAAGGTTTCAAAACATTGGGTCAGGGGAATAAAAATAAGAGAGTTTGGCATAGCTTTTAAGAACCGCAAAAGCCAAAAGTCTAGATAAGATTATATGTACATAAGCAAAATACAAGGCTTACCTTAGTATATAAACACAATATGACTTTATTTTCCTTGGAATTAAGAAAATATTTAATTTATAAAATGCTTCAAAAATTATTTACTAGATTATATCAAATATTATTCCTAAATAAAATCTACAAAGGCTATTACAGATAATGTTAACAGACCACTAGCAAACTTTTATTTTATTCTGCTTTAGTCAACATTTATATGTTATAGTACTCATTTATAGATTATTGAATATTAAGACAAAAATAAGCAGATGACTAAGACCTCACAGTTTCAGAAACAAAATATTTGGAGGCAAATTAATGCAGTTCTGTAACTTTTCTCTTTAATGTTCAGAGGCTCAGAAGAAAATAAAGAAATACACCAACCATAGGCTTAACCCAATGCTTAGACTTGGATTTGGAAGTTAAGTTACCTGGGAATAGTCTCAGATTGGGTTTTAAAGGGTTGAATGGCTGATCACAGAAAACAGGTTGAACTGAAAAGCAAGGGTGGAGATCACATAGCAAAGGCATTTGAGGAACAAGAAAGATGCTTGGTAAAGAGAGTGCTCAGGGTGGAGACAGCACTGTGTCCTCAGCCTGGTGAATAGTTAAAACATGGGTCTCTGGATTATACAACCCGGGGGGCAATGATCTGAACAAGGGCCACAAACTGCATATGAATGCCAAATACCAAAATTGCTGCATGGACAGGGCAGGCAAAGAGCTTAGTCTGAGAAATACTCTGGTAATGTATAATTGGGGCCTGAGTAGAAGGGAGATACTGTTACAGTACGTAGTTAAGCGGACATAAGCAGGGCAGGAGAGGGCCCCCCTCCCACCAGGAATGTCAGGCAACCATCAGGTGATGGTCAGGCGGTTGTTAAACAGTTTCTCTAAAATAAAAATTGGTTGCAAGCTGACCCCAAGTAAAGGCAATCTCCCAATAGATAGAAAACACCTGAAGCTGGTGATTAGCAGCTTTCCATTAAGATTTCAGGAGTTGAGTGAGTAGGCTCAAGCATGCACACTAGGAGGCAAAATGGCAGTTTAACCAGTATATGACCTTCTTCTGGGAATGCTTGACTGGTAAGGAAAAAATGCCTCAAACGAGCATGTGCGCAGTTTGGTAAACACACTGCACATGTGCCCCTCTCAAGTGCTGGCAGGCCACCGTGCATGCGGATAGCCTACCCCAAGAAAGAATCAGGGGAGAAGAAATGCAAACCTCGGAACCATGCCAATGTATAAAAACTCCACGTCAAGGGTTGGACAGCGCACTTGAATCTCTCAAGCCATCCACTTGGCCCTCTTCCAAGTGTACTTTACTTCCTTTCGTTCCTGCTCTAAAACTTTTAAATAAGCTTTCACTCTTGCTCTAAAATTACCCTGGGGCCCAGCGTGGTGGCTCATGCATGTAATCCCAGCACTTTGGGAGGCTGAGGTGGGCGGATCACTTGAGGTCAGGAGTTCAAGACCAGCCTGGTCAACATGGTGAAACCTCTCTCTACTAAAAATACAAAAATTAGCCAGGCGTGGTGGTGGGCACCTGCAGTCCCGGCTACTCAGGAGGTGGAGGCACAAGAATCGCTTAAACCCAGGAGGCAGAGGCTTCAGTGAGCCTAGAGCATGCCACTGCATTACAGCCTGGGAGACATAGTGAGGCTCTGTCTCGGGAAAAAAAAAAAAAGGAAAGAAAGAAAGAATAAAAGGAAAAAAAAATAGATTTTAAAAAATATAAAACTTGCCTTGGTCTCCCTGCTTTAAGCCCCTCAGTTGAATTACTTCCTCTAAGGAGACAAGAATTGAGCTGCTGCAGACCCATACAGATTCACTGCTGCTCGCACCACAGTAATGGGTATGCCTTGAGGCCAGGGACAATGCAGTGAGGGCCAGCATGGCCCAGTGGCTCTGAGTTACAGAGGGAGGGGCAGTGGGGACTGCAGAGGCCTCCTTTCAAAACCAGTTACCTCCATGAAGATGTCACTGAATATCTAGTCCATGCTCTCCTGGTTTTCTTCCTACTTCTCTAGCCTTGCCTAACCTCAGTCTCCTGGGAATGGTTCTAAATAGGTGTTCCCAACAGGCCTTCTCCATTCACTCTACCTCCTCTTCCTCACACAGGTCAATTACTATGTACAGGTAAATGTTTCTCAAATCCGTGTCTCTGGCTTAAATTTTGTTTTTAAACGCCAAACCACCGGGTGACTCCATTTAGATGTCTTGATGGCGCCTCAAACTCAGCATGACCAAAATTGAATTTATCTTCCCCGTTGATAAGACAGCAGGGTGCAGTGGTTAAGAACCTGGGTCTTGGACCAGTCTGCCTGGTTTGAATTCTGGCTCTACCAGTTTCTGGCTATGTGGGGAGGTTGTTAATCTCTGCATGCCTCAGTTTCTTTAACTATAAAATAGGAAAAATGAGTAGTAACTATCTCATAAGGCCACTGTGAACAGTTAACAATATAGTATCTGTAAATCACTTAGAACAGTGCCTGGTACACATGAAGTGCTTTATCTAGGAAGTAAATAATAATATTTTTCCTCTTCACTTGGCACTCTCTAACTCAGGGGAAAGTTAACCAAGTGAAAACCTGAACATTATGTTCAACTTCTCCCTCTCCTCTACTTTCCAAGTCCAAGTCCTGCCAGTTCTACTTCCTAAGTATTTCTTGAAGATATTTGCATCTCCCCATTTCTACTATTCTGTTGAAGTTTGGTCTCTCATCATCTTGTTTCCAAATCTTGACCTCCTCCCACCTACTTTTCAGACAATAATCAGAGTACAAATCTTATCATGTGGCAAAGTCCTTAAATTCCTTCAGTGGTTTCCCACTGCCCTCAGGTCCAAGTCCAAAACCATTAACACGACTAGCAAGGCATTTCCTGAGGTGCCCTTGCGAATTTTTCCATCTCAATTCTCACCACCTCCCACATGGGCACAGGTTGAACTTCCAGTTTTTGGAAAACATCATGATCTCTTGCATCTCCTAGATTTTGCAAACATCATTTTCTCTGGAACACTCTTCTCCCTCCTCTTTACCTGGCTAAATCCGAATCATCCTTCATTCTCAATGTATAGTTCCCAGCAGCCTTCCCTTCCTATCCAGCCCCACCAGTCTCAGGTGCCCCCACTATGCCTTCCAGTAGTATCCTATGTGGCTGCATTCATTGCTTACACCACCATAGTATAGGTATCTCCAGTAAACCGTAAATTCCACAAAGACAGAGACAAGAACTGTCTTGTACACTAGTATGTCTCCAGTGCAGGGCAGACTGGCTCCGACTTGGACATGGAAGTAAGTTACCATGGGACTGAGTATACATATATTAAGACCTTGATAATGAAGATGGTTAAAAGACAGAGAAAGGACAGGGATCTAGAAAATGCCCCTAAAAGATAACTACCAGCTGGACACAGTGGCTCACGCCTGTAATCCCAGAGACTTTGGACACCAGGGCCGGAGAATCACCTGAGGCCAGGAGTTCAAGACCAGCCTGGACAATATAGCAAGACTCCATCTCTACAAAAAATGAAAAATTAGCTGGGCATGATGGTACCTGTGGTCTTAGCTACTTAGGAGGCTGAGGCGAGAGGACTGCTTGAGCCCAGAAGTTCAAGACTACAGCAAACTATGATCATGCCTCTGCAATCCAGCCTGGGTGACACAGCAAGACTCTGCCTTTAAAAAAAACAAAATAATTATTAGCACTCCCACGTTCTAAATGAGAAAACGGAGGCTTAGACAGCTTAAATAACTTGTCCAAGGTCAAAGTCACACAACCAGATTCTAGAAGCCACATTACTAACACTAATCCATGCTGTTTTCCAGTGGAAGGCACGTGCAACACCAAATCGGACATCCTGGGCTCTAATCCTGATTCTGCCACTTGATACCTGTTGATTTAAAACAAGAAACAACTTCTCCGAGCCTCATTTTTTTTTTTTTACATCAGTGTGGTGTTATGATATATATTGGATTTTGGCCCAGTTCCTGGCTCCGGACTCCCATTGCCCTTGTTACAGTCTTTTGTTATAATATTGGGTGTGTTAGGCCGCAGGCACAGGCCTCTTACCTTCTCCTGCCCTCCTTTCCACTGCCCCAAGGAAGGACTCCACTCTTCTCTGCCTTTCTGACTGAGGGTCTTAAGACCCTTCCTGGTTAGGGTCCTACCCCATACCCTGAGGGAAGGAATGTTGATGTCCTGAAGCTTCCATGAAAACTCAACAGAACTGTATTGAGAGAGTTTCCAGAGAGCTGAACACCTAGAGGTTCCTGGACGGTGGTGTGCCAGGGGAGGGCTTGGAAGCTGTGTGTCCCATACCTGGCCCTATGCATGTTTCCATCTGTATCTTTTGTAATGTCCTTTATAATAAACCAGTAAACACAGGTAAATGTTTCCCTGAGCTCTGTCAGCTGCTCTAGCAAATTAATTGAACCCAAACAAGGGTTCATGGGAATCCCAACTTGAAGCCAGTTGCTCAGAAGTTCCAGAGGCTCTGACTTTCAACTGTGGGGGAAGGAAGGGGTGGTCTTGTGGGACTAAGCCCTCAACCTATGGGACCTGACACCATCTCCAGGTAGACAGTGTCAGAACTGAATTGAAGGACACCAGCTGGTGTCCAGGCTTGGTATATGAGGAAAAACCCCCGCATCTTTGGTCACAGAAGTCTTCCATGTCGATGACTGCTGTGGGGGTCTGAGAGCAGAGAAAACTCACGGTTTGACAAAGTTTCTCCCTACATATCAGTTAAATTGTTATCACAACATCTGTTTAGTAAGATTATTAACATAAAATAAGTGACAACTGATAATTTCTGGCCTTTAGAAATTATTCAATAAGTGCTGAAACTATCCCACAATATCTGGTACAGTTATCAACTTTGAGCAAGCATGAGGCTTTTTGGAAGAAACAGAATAGTAAAATAAGTCAAATCCATGCTACCAAACTTCATAATTAATGGGGGACTGACTGCAGCCATATCACCCTCTAACACAGGATGTAGTACTTTGTCCTTATCCCCAAAAGGGAAGCTGAACTAGAAACATGATTATGAATTTCACTTTGAAGATATTTCACAAGTGGGGTTTCCTTTTAGAAACAAAGTTTGCCTTCTTCCATATCCATTCTAAAAGTCAATTTGCTCGAAATTTATAGACAGCAAAATCCACCTGATTGCTCTCCTTTTATATTTTTCTAAACTCCCTTACACTCCTTTCTTCAGTTTCCTTTCTTCAGAAAACAAGCAGCAGCCTTGTTTCCCAAATTAACATTGAGCTTCAGAGAATTTAAGTTGCCGAGCCAGAACTACACCCAGGTCTTCAATTCCCATGTCAATGTTCCTGTCCATACATGACAACCACATATAAACATTTCTTTTAATTAAGAAAGGTAGGCATGCAGGAAGAACAGAAGGATGGAAGGACAGACAGATGAACAGATGGACAGACAGAAGGAAGGAAGAAAGGTAGGTTTACTTCAGATAATCTTACTCTTTAAAACTCATGGAAATACCGTCATTCTCTAAGAATACTTTTAAGCTATGTGCCCTTAATTTTTGTTTATGTGTTTGTTTAGTCAATGTGAACCAAAAGAATTATATATCAAATGATTACATGGGGTCAAAATAGGTGGGTGATCATGGATGAAGCAAGAAAAGTATTAACATTAAATAAAGAAAACATGAATAATAATTATCTTGGAAGGGAGGGAGAAGCAGTTTGACATCTATGTTAATCCTTGGTAGTGATTAGGGGCGCGCAGGCAGGGGGTGGGGTCTGTTGCGTGGAGCTGCCGGACAACCACCATTAGGACAGTCTGGCGCGTCGCGCCCACCTGGCGCTCAGGCCTCCACCACCGCCCATGCCTCCCTGGTGCCAGCGAACAGGTATCAGCACACCTCCCCAGCGGCTGAGAGAGACGTTGAGTGAAGGGGAGGGAAGGATGGTTAGTCAATCTTATAGTTGGATCACCTACGAAGAGAAGTCCTAAGGCAAGAAGTAGAAAGCGTTTCAATTTGGGACATTTATTTGCAGCTGGAAATGGGGAATGGACTATCAGACCAGACTTCTATCCTGTCCAGTCTGCCTTCATTTCAATCCTTCCACATTGTTATGCTGGGTTTGGACTGTGCTGGAAAGACAACTGTCTTATACAGGCTGCAGTTCAATGAATTTGTAAATACCGTACCTACCAAAGCATTTAACACTGAGAAAATTAAGGTAAACTTGAGAAATTCTAAAACAGTCACTTTTCACTTCGGGGATGTAGGTGGTCAGGAGAAATTAATGCCACTATGGAAGTCATATACCAGATGCACAGATGGCATTTTATTTCTTATGGACTCTGTTGATATCGAAAGGATGGAAGAAGCCAAAACTGAACTTCACAAAATAACTAGGTTATCAGAAAATCAAGGAGTCCCTGTACTTACAGTTGCTAATAAACAAGACTTGGAGAACTCATTATCTCTTTCAGGAATTGAGAAATTGTTAGCAACAGGTGAACTGAGCTCATCAACTCCTTGGCATTTGCAGCCTACCTGCGCAATCATAGGAGATGGCCTAAAGGAAGGACTTGAGAAACTGCATGATATGATCATTAAAGAAAAGATGAATATCAATACCTATTATATCTGTGTGGAGGAGGTTTTCTCTGGTCTGATTTTGACAAATGGAAAAGTGTCTACAGCCTGGTTTGCCTGTCTGCCCTCCTGGATGCTATTAAAGCTTTGTATTGTTCAATGATCAGATGCCTAACTCTGTTGATTTGTAGAGGATGAGTAAATGCATGCTTCTTAAAGTGGTATCTTCTCCCTATCCCACAAATCTTTTGGTACTACCATTTGGGGAAGCCAAGCAAGGATAGTAAATTGACCAGAACACAGTTGTAGAAATTTGACCTGAAGTTAGTGAAATAAAACTCTAAAGAGTGAAAAAAAAAAATGTGGACATGGTTCTTAATGCCCCTCCCTCAGTTATTAGAAAATGCTCATTAAAGTTCTGGACTAAGAATGTGTTTTAAATCATTTAGATTTACAAAGCCGTAAAGTACAGTCAAATTATTAGCCTTTGCTGAAGATTTACAACAGGTTTATTATACAGAAATAACCCGCGCTCATGAAGAGAAGGCTGGCAAATCTTCAGCTAATCTAAAAAACATTGGCAATACATTTAAGAATGGATAATATTTGTAATTGAAAATGGGAATGGAAAACAAGGACCTAGAATGAAGACCTTGGGAATTAAGAGCAGGACTAGACAAACTATGAAAGAGACTGAGGATTCATTTCCATAAGATGATAGTTGGAACTGTGAATGCTAGCAAGATCTGCAAAGAAGAAAATGTAAAGAACAGAGGACTTTTAATGAAAATGTCAAACTCACCAATTAAGTGCATCTGCTCCAAACACAAAAGAATGGGAGGTAATATATAAACATATAAATAGAATAACAAAAAATACAGAACAAAATAATAGAGCAACCCTAGGTATAAACAGAAAAACTGTTCTTAGTAAAACTTTTCTCACAGATCAGTTCTCTCCAAAATTGATCTATAAACTCAATTCCAATTAAAATAAAAATCGAATTTTTATGCAAATTGACAAACTGATATCAATTTTTTCAGAAGAACAAGAATAGGTAAGATAATTTTAAATAAGTGTGTATGGAGGTCACTATTAGACATCAAGAGTGTTTACAAACCTTAGTATTTAAGACAATAGGTAAAATACAAAGAGCCTTACAGGAAAGAAAATGAGTGAAGAATATAATTAGGCATTTTATAAAAGAAGAAATTGAAATAACACTAAATATATTAAAAGTTGTTCAATCTCATTTTAAATTAGGAAAATGTAGCAAATTAAAGCCACAGTGAGATTCATTTCACAACCAAAAATTGACAAAAATTTAGAAACCTCATTATTTCAAGTGGTAAAAGAATATGAAGAAATGTCATCCCTTACCCATGCTTGTGGCATTTGGAGTGGGATGAAGCTATAAAATTCATTAGTACTAATATTTTGCAGAACAATCTGGCAATATCTTGTATAGTTAATGATGTTCATATATTTTACATAACAAATACTTGTATAGTACTTTCTATGTGCCAGGCACTATTAAAAGTTTTTTATAAATATTAACTCATTTAATCTTCCTAACAACTGTAGGTATTATTACATTTTTACTTTTTATTTTGGTGTAATCTTAGACCTCATGTACACAATATGAAATCAATCATTATCCTTTGTTCATGACACAGTCTCTTCATAGGTCCATTTTTGAACCACGTGAACTCATTATTTTGTTAATTATGTTACAGATGTAACAAGCATGCATAAACTTAGTATTCGATAGGAATGCTAGGATCTTCACAATAACCTACCTCTACCCATATACAATCATGCACCCTGCAAAATAGAGTAAAGTGTAACAATGTTTCAGTGAATGATTGACCACAAATATGATCATGGTCCCACAAGATTATAAATATGCTATTTTTACTGTATCATTTCTATGTTTAGATACACAAATACATCCATTGTGTTATATTTGCCTATAGCATTCAGTACAGTAACATGCTGTACAGCTTATAGCCTAGGAGCTATAGGCTACAGCCTGGGCGTGTAGTAAACTATATCATCTAGGTTTGTGTAAATTCACTCTATAATGTTTGCACAAGGATGAAATCTTCTAATGACACATTCTTCAGAACATATCCCTGTCATTAAGCAACACACAACTGTATATATCGCAGTCCATCCCCTCTCAATAGTTTATTAATATTTATACTGCAACCTAGGGAATGAAAATATTTGGAAGCCATATCTGATAAAGGATTAATCTCCAAAATATATAAGAAGCTCTTGCAACTCAACAGCAAAAAGCAAATAAACACCTAGGAACCTGATTTTACAATGGGCTAAGGGCTTGAACAAGCATTTTTCCAAAGAAGACACACAGATGGTCAACAGGCACACAAAAAAAATGCTCGACATCACTAATCATTAGGGAAATTCAAATCAAAACCACAATGAGATACCGCCTCACATGCATTAGGCTGGTATAAAAAAAAACACACACACACACACACATGCACAACAAGCATTGGTGAGGAGGTGGAGAAACTGATGCCCTTGCACACTATTGGTCACGATATAAAATAGCACAACGGCTATGGAAAACAGTTAAGGAGGCTCCTCAAAAAATTAAAAATAGAACTACCATATGAACCAGTAATCACACTTCTGGGTATTTATCCAAAAGAATTGAAATCAGGATCTTGAAGAGATATTATCAGTTCTATGTTCACTGCAAACTATTCACAATAGCAAAGATGTGGTTATATAACCTAAATGTCCATTGACAGATAAATAAAGACAATGTGGTATATATATATAGAATGGAATACTATTCAGCCTTAAAAAAGGAAATTCTGCAATAGGCAACAACATGGATGGGCCTGGAGGATATTATGCTAAGTGAAATAACCCAGTGACAGAGACACAAACATTTCATGATTCCACTTACATGAGGCACCTAAAATAGTGAAGTTCATAGAATCAAAGAGTGAAATGGTGGTTCCTAGGGGTTGGGAGGAGAGGAAAATGAAGAATTACTAACTTTTTTTTTTTTGAGACCTTTCCTTACCCAGGCTTGAGTGCAGTGGCGTGGTCTCGGCTCACTGCAACCTCTGCCTGCCAGGTTCAAGTGATTCTCATGCCTCAGCCTCCCCAGTAGCTGAGATTACAGGCACATGCACACCTAGCTAATTTTTTGTATTTTAGTAGAGACAGGGTTTTGCCATGTTGGCCAGGCTGGTCTTGAACTCCTGGCCTCAAGTGATCCACCCGCCTCAGCCTCCCAAAGTTCTGAGATTACAGGCATGAGCCATCATGCCTGACCCAGAATTACTATTTAATTAGCATAAAATTTCAGTTACGTAAAATGAATAAGTTAGATCTGCCATACATTGTACTTATAATCAATACTCTATTGTACACTTAAAAATTGTTGAGGATAGATCTCATGCTAAGTGTTCTTACCACAAGGAAAAGCTTTAAAATTGATATAGCTAGATTTTATTTCTGTCAGCTGCTATATAATATTCCATTTTGTGAATATACCATAATATAAATGAGGAAAGCAAAGCAAGAGGGATTAAGTCACTTGCCCAAGGCAAGGCAGCTATTAAGATATAAAATCAGGCCGGGTGCGGTGGCACATGCCTGTAATCCCAGCACTTTAGGAGGCCGAGGCGGGCGGATCACGAGGTCAGGAGATCGAGACCATCCTGGCTAACATGGTGAAACCCCGTCTCTACTAAAAATACAAAAAATCAGCTGGACATGGTGGCATGCACCTGTAGTCCCAGATACTCAGGAAGCTGAGGCAGGAGAATCACTTGAACCCAGGAGGCAGAGGTTGCAGTGAGCCAAGATCGTGCCACTGCACTCCAGCCTAGGCGACAGAGTGAGACTCCGTTTCAAAAAAAAGAAAAAAAAAAAAAAGATAAAATCAGTATTTGAACCTAGAAAATACTTTCAGTATCCCTGTTTTAGCCACTATGTAATGCTGACTTTGTTTCTAATGTAATGGGATAGAAACAAATAAAATGTTTGTCAACAGAGAATGGAGGTCTACATAGAGGTATATTTGGCTAGGAACAGTGGGTCACACCTATAATCTTAGCACTTCGGGAGGCCAAGGCAGGAGGAGTGCTTGACCCCAGGAGTTTGAGAATAGCCCTGGAAACATAGTGAGACTGTAACTCTACAAACAATAAAAAATTAGCCAGATGTGGTGCCACGTGCCTGTAGTCCCAGCTACTTGGGAGGTTGAGGTAGGAGGATCACTTGAGCCTGGAAGGTCGAGGCTGCAGTGAGCTGTGGCCATGCCACTGCAGTGCAGCCTGAGCAACAGAGTGAGACCCTGTCTCAAAAATAAATAGATAAATAAAGGGGTATTTATCAAATGAAATCACTTACAGCAGTTAAAAATGAATGAACTGGCTGGGTGCGGTGGCTCAGGTCTGTAATATCAGAAGTTTGGGAGGCTGAGGCAGGTGGATCACTTGAGCTCAGGAGTTCGAGACCAGCCTGGCTAACATGGCAAAACCCCGACTCTACTAAAAATACAAAAATTAGCTGGGCATGGTGTCGAGTGCCTGTAATCCCAGCTACTCAGGAAGCTGAGGCAGGAGAATCGCCTGAACCCAGAAGGTGGAAGTTGCAGTGAGCCAAGATCATGCCACCATTGCACTCAAGCCTGGGTGATGGAGCAAGACTTCATCTCAAAAAAAAAAAAAAAGAATGAACTAGAGCCATTCATTTTGTAATTTATATTTATATAGATTTTAGATTTATATAGATAAAACTCAAAATTATGTTGAGGGAATAAAGAGTACAAAATTGTATGTATAGTATAAACACAGTTATATGATGTTTGAAACATATTAAATACAAAACAATACTCCACATTCTTTATGGATGCAAACATGCCATTGTAGTATACAAACATGCTTGAGAATAGCAAATTTCAACTTGAAGGTAGTATCCTGGGCATGTAAAGAGAAAGAAATCAGATTAGAAAGTAGTACAAACTAGGATAAATAGTATTTAAATAATTTATTTCTTAAGAAATATCTGAGGATCGTTCCAAGATGGCCGAATAGGAACAGCTCCGGTCTACAGCTCCCAGCAAGATCAAAGCAGAAAACGGGTGATTTCTGCATTTCCAACTGAGGCACCTGGTTCATCTCATTGGGACTGGTTGGACAGTGGGTGCAGCCCAAGGAGGGCGAGCTGAAGCAGGGCGGGGCATCACCTCACCCGGGAAGCACAAGGGGTCAGGGGATTTCCCTTTCCTTTTCCTAGCCAAGCCTTGACAAGACGGTTCCTGGAAAATCGGGACACTCCCACCCTAATACTGCACGCTTTTCCAACGGTCTTAGCAAACGGTATAAGGAAGTCCAAAGTAGTTCTTATTTGTACTGTTACAGAAAATAGTATAATTTATTGAATTTTTTATGACAGGCAATGTTTTTTTCCCTAAGTTTTAGAAAACTTAAAACTTAATACTTAATACTTTAATACTTTTATGAAACATAAATTTTTGAAAAAAAATAAATGAGGATTTTGTTGTGCTTCTAACTAGCTGGTGCTTCAGCATTTTTAAAATATGCCTACTGGACAAATCTAGGGCTGCTGCCACCACCATCGTCTCCCAAATCTCTGGTAAAAATAACCAAAAAATAGTTAATACAACCTACCAACCATGTATGACCTACCACCTCCTTTGAGTGATTTAACCAAGAGCTACGCACTCAGAAGTCTTCAGAGTCCAGGCCGGAAAATGTAAATGTGTGAAGCTTTGGGGCTACAGCATCGATAGGAGCTGTTACTGAGTGTTTCTGCCCCCATGAAAAGGCATTGCGAATTCTAATTTTATTTAAATATCATACTGGGCTATCACACAACCTGTAGGTTAAATCTGCCCATAGACCACTATTTTTTAACTCCTGGATTAAACCCATACAGATTTTCTTCACCATAAAGAACTCTATTAATAACGTCACTGAACAGGTCAATTGTGTATGTGTGTTTAATTCTTTTTAGTGCTATAGAGTCAATTTATGGCATCTACCCACAGATCTGTTAGGTCAAAGTCAGCTCTCCTACGCTCCATGGCAAGTCTCCCCATCTTTTACATTTCTTGACACATAGAGAAAATACTGGGTACTGTGCTCAGTAGCTGGGTGACAGGATCATTCATACCCCAAACCCCAGCATCATGCAGTATATCCAGGTAACAAACATGTACCCCCGAATCTAAATGAAATTTGAAAAAGAAAAGAAAAGAAAATACTACTTGAAATTGCACTCTGGGTGAGTAGAAAAGGCTGCTCAGTGCTGTAGGCAAATTGCCAACTCTGAGACTGAGAGGATCAATATCTCTGAAACTCATTCACGAGGGTTATTATGAGGATTAAATTAAAGAACCAACGTAAAGCATTTAGAATCGTACCAGGCACACAGAGAAGATCCACTAAACGTTTGCCACTTTTCACTTACTTAAACTAACGGCATGTCAAAGGTAATTTCTTAAAGGACATTTTGCCCTACAGAGGGGAGCCCCTGCTGCTCACAAAAGGTAAGGTGAGATGACCTTTTTCCCAGCCAAAATATATGTCTGGATCCTTGACCTTTTATTATAAAAGGTCAATTATACCTCTTGCATGACTAACAGATTACTTTTCTAACACAGCAATACCAAATACAGTATCTGCATTTTAATTCCTAACCCTGGGCTTTCACCTGCTCTCCTCTTTCCCTCAAGAGCTGAGCTGAGGTTTTTTAAATTTTTAAGAATGAATAATTTAAGGCTGTGGTTCTGAAATGTTTTCTGCCAAAGCACATGCATGCATATACACGTGTACCTGTGCCAAAAACTGATTTCCACCAGGAAAAGAGTTCATTCCTATCTCTTAAACCCAGTAGGAGGGGTTGTCAAGAATAGATAGCCTTAGCTGGTAATGAATATGCCAAGTAGCCCTCTATTTCTCATCACTAGCTAAATTCAAGCCATCATCAAGTAGACTGAACAAAGCTATGTGAACCACATTATTTAAGATACAAATAGGTGTTATGGGACAGAATTAAAAGCCAATGTGTGTCAAGGGATTTTGTTGTTTGAGTGACCAACCATGTATCATCTTGCATAAAACATTCTTGTGAAGACAATATCAAATCACTGGGCAGTGTTCCTACATAAGCAATACTGGCATACGTTTTACAGAGCACAGGAGCTCTGCCTCTGCTGACACCCAGCTGCTGTACATCTTGTTGTTAGACAAGACCAACGTAGCCCAAGGTGTTGGCCTTTCTGTCATGGGCTGCCTCAAATGAGGGTCTTCAAACTGGGGCTACTAGGTGTAACCTACAAGGTTCAGGATGACAAATCTGAGCATAGGTATTTCTGTATATCTATTTCTAGGTTCTCAATTTCCATTTCTAGTTTTCCCTAAAACTGATCTATTAAGAATGTATGGAAGTGTCACACATTCTTCTCCTCTTGTCATAATTCCTGTCTGCCCAATTTACCAATAAAAGTGCAAACCTCTTTTCTACTCTGAATTTTTCTAGGGTGCGTGGCCTCAGGGTATAACAACCACTGGGACTCCAAATAAAGGGACAATTCAAATTTTACTGCAGTCAACTTAATAAGGTAAAATCAGAAAGAAATCAGACTCTAACATCTGATTAGTCAATCCTTTTGAAAGTCAGATATTTCCAATTCTTTGCTTTGAACAAAGCAGAAGGAGAGCAAAATTCAGGTGTTAGCTGATAGCTGATTGTTAAAAGTGATTTTTGATAACAGATTGTTTTTGTCATATGATATGGAAGCAGGTCAAAGAATTGAATGACACTTACAAAAAACAAAAAAATTATTTTATTACCACTTATTAGGCATGTGATGTAGGCTTCTTAAGATTATAATAGGGGTGATTTCTGCATTTCCATCTGAGGTACCGGGTTCATCTCACTAGGGAGTGCCAGACAGTGGGCGCAGGTCAGTGGGTGCAGTGCACCATGCACGAGCCGAAGCAGGGCGAGGCATTGCCTCACTCGGGAAGCGCAAGGGGTCAGGGAGTTCCCTTTCCTAGTCAAAGAAAGGGGTGACAGACAGCACCTGGAAAATCGGGTCACTCCCACCCCGAATACTGCACTTTTCTGATGGGCTTAAAAAACAGCTCACCAGGAGATTATATCCCGCACCTGGCTCGCAGGGTCCTAAGCCCACGGAGTCTCGCTGATTGCTAGCAGTCTGAGATCAAACTGCAAGGCAGCAGTGAGGCTGGGGGAGGGGCGCCCGCCATTGCCCAGGCTTGCTTAGGTAAACAAAGCAGCCTGGAAGCTCGAACTGGGTGGAGCCCACCACAGCTCAAGGAGGCCTGCCTGCCTCTGTAGGCTCCACCTCTGGGGGCAGGGAACAGACAAACAAAAAGACAGCAGTAACCTCTGCAGACTTAAATGTCCCTGTCTGACAGCTTTGAAGAGAGCAGTGGTTCTCCCAGTATGCAGCTGGAGATCTGAGAACGGGCAGACTGCCTCCTAAAGTGGGTCCCTGACCCCTGACCCCCAAGCAGCCTAACTGGGAGGCACCCCCCAGCAGGGGCAGATTGACCCCTCACACAGCCAGGTACTCCAACAGACCTGCAGCTGAGGGTCCTGTCTGTTAGAAGGAAAACTAACAAACAGAAAGGACATCCACACCAAAAACCCATCTGTACATCACCATCATCAAAGACCAAAAGTAGATAAAACCACAAAGATGGGGAAAAACAGAGCAGAAAAACTGGAAACTCTAAAATGCAGAGCACCTCTCCTCCTCCAAAGGAATGCAGTTCCTCACCAGCAATGGAACAAAGCTGGATGGAGAATGACTTTGACGAGCTGAGAGAAGAAGGCTTCAGACGATCAAATTACTCTGAGCTACGGGAGGACATTCAAACCAAAGGCAAAGAAGTTGAAAACTTTGAAAAAAATTTAGAAGAATGTACAACTAGAATAACCAATACAGAGAAGTGCTTAAAGGAGCTGATGGAGCTGAAAACCAAGGCTCGAGAACTATGTGAAGAATGCAGAAGCCTCAGGAGCCGATGCGATCAACTGGAAGAAAGGGTATCAGTGATGGAAGATGAAATGAATGAAATGAAGCGAGAAGGGAAGTTTAGAGAAAAAACAATAAAAAGAAACGAGCGAAGCCTCCAAGAAATATGGGACTATGTGAAAAGACCAAATCTACATCTGATTGGTGTACCTGAAAGTGACGGGGAGAATGGAACCAAGTTGGAAAACACGGCAGGATATTATCCAGGAGAACTTCCCCAATCTAGCAAGGCAGGCCAACATTCAGATGCAGGAAATACAGATAACACCACAAAGATACTCCTCGAGAAGAGCAACTCCAAGACAAATAATTGTCAGATTCACCAAAGTTGAAATGAAGGAAAAAATGTTAAGGGCAGCCAGAGAGAAAGGTCGGGTTACCCTCAAAGGGAAGCCCATCAGACTAACAGCGGATCTCTCAGCAGAAACTCTACAAGCCAGAAGAGAGTGGGGGCCAATATTCAACATTCTTAAAGAAAAGAATTTTCAACCCAGAATTTCATATCCAGCAAAACTAAGCTTCATAAGTGAAGGAGAGATAAAATACTTTACAGACAAGCAAATGCTGAGAGATTTTGTCACCACCAGGCCTGCCCTAAAAGAGCTCCCGAAGGAAGCGCTAAACATGGAAAGGAACAACCAGTACCAGCCACTGCAAAATCATGCCAAAATGTAAAGACCATCGAGACTAGGAAGAAACTGCATCAACTAACGAGCAAAATAACCAGCTAACATCATAATGACAGGATCAAATTCACACATAACAATATTAACTTTAAATGTAAATGGACTAAATGCTCCAATTAAAAGACACAGACTGGCAAATTGGATAAAGAGTCAAGACCCATCAGTGTGCTGTATTCAGGAAACCCATCTCACGTGCAGAGACACACATAGGCTCAAAATAAAAGGATGGAGGAAGATCTACCAAGCAAATGGAAAACAAAAAAAGGCAGGGGTTGCAATCCTAGTCTCTGATAAAACAGACTTTAAACCAACAAAGATCAAAAGAGACAAAGAAGTCCATTACATAATGGTAAAGGGACATTCAATTCAACAAGAAGAGCTAACTATCCTAAATATATATGCACCCAATACAGGAGCACCCAGATTCATAAAGCAAGCCCTGAGTGACCTACAAAGAGACTTAGACTCCCACACATTAATAATGGGAGACTTTAACACCCCACTGTCAACATTAGACAGATCAACGAGACAGAAAGTCAACAAGGATATCCAGGAATTGAACTCAGCTCTGCACCAAGCAGACCTAATAGACTTCTACAGAACTCTCCACCCCAAATCAACAGAATATACATTTTTTTCAGCACCACACCACACCTATTCCAAAATTGACCACATACTTCGAAGTAAAGCCCTCCTCAGCAAATGTAAAAGAACAGAAATTATAACAAACTGTCTCTCAGACCACAGTGCAATCAAACTAGAACTCAGGATTAAGAATCTCACTCAAAACTGCTCAACTACATGGAAACTGAACAACCTGCTCCTGAATGACTGCTGGGTACATAATGAAATGAAGGCAGAAATAAAGATGTTCTTTGAAACCAATGAGAACAAAGACACAACATACCAGAATCTCTGGGATGCATTCAAAGCAGTGTGTAGAGGGAAATTTATAGCACTAAATGCCCATAGGAGAAAGCAGGAAAGATCCAAAATTGACACCGTAACATCACAATTAAAAGAACTAGAAAAGCAAGAGCAAACACATTCAAAAGCTAGCAGAAGGCAAGAAATAACTAAAATCAGAGCAGAACTGAAGGAAATAGAGACACAAAAAACCCTTCAAAAAATTAATGAATCCAGGAGCTGGTTTTTTGAAAGGATCAACAAAATTGATAGACCGCTAGCAAGACTAATAAAGAAAAAAAGAGAGAAGAATCAAATAGACGCAATAAAAAATGATAAAGGGGATATCACCACCAATCCCACAAAAATACAAACTACCATCAGAGAATACTACAAACACCTCTATGCAAATAAACTAGAAAATCTAGAAGTCATGGATAAATTCCTCGACACATACACTCTCCCAAGACTAAACCAGGAAGAAGTTGAATCTCTGAATAGACCAATAACGGGCTCTGAAATTGTGGCAATAATCAATAGCTTACCAACCAAAAAGAGTCCAGGACCAGATGGATTCACAGCCGAATTCTACCAGAGGTACAAGGAGGAGCTGGTACCATTCCTTCTGAAACTATTCCAATCAATAGAAAAAGAGGGAATCCTCCCTAACTCATTTTATGAGGCCAGCATCATCCTGATACCAAAGCCGGGCAGAGACACAACCAAAAAAGAGAATTTTAGACCAATATCCTTGATGAACATTGATGCAAAAATCCCCAATAAAATACTGGCAAACCGAATCCAGCAGTACATCAAAAAGCTTATCCACCATGATCAAGTGGGCTTCTTCCCTGGGATGCAAGGCTGGTTCAATATACGCAAATCAATAAATGTAATCCAGCATATAAACAGAACCAAAGACAAAAACCACATGATTATCTCAATAGATGCAGAAAAGGCCTTTGACAAAATTCAACAGCCCTTCATGCTAAAAACTCTCAATAAATTAGGTATTGATGGGACGTATTTCAAAATAATAAGAGCTATCTATGACAAACCCACAGCCAATATCATACTGAATGGGCAAAAACTGGAAGCATTCCCTTTGAAAACTGGCACAAGACAGGGATGTCCTCTCTCACCACTCCTATTCAACATAGTGTTGGAAGTTCTGGCCAGGGCAATCAGGCAGGAGAAGGAAATAAAGGGTATTCAATTAGGAAAAGAGGAAGTCAAATTGTCCCTGTTTGCAGACGACATGATTGTTTATCTAGAAAACCCCATTGTCTCAGCCCAAAATCTCCTTAAGCTGATAAGCAACTTCAGCAAAGTCTCAGGATACAAAATCAATGTACAAAAATCACAAGCATTCTTATACACCAACAACAGACAAACGGAGAGCCAAATCATGAGTGAACTCCCATTCACAGTTGCTTCAAAGAGAATAAAATACCTAGGAATCCAACTTACAAGGGATGTGAAGGACCTCTTCAAGGAGAACTACAAACCACTGCTCAAGGAAATAAAAGAGGATACAAACAAATGGAAGAACATTCCATGCTCATGGGTAGGAAAAATCAATATCGTGAAAATGGCCATACTGCCCAAGGTAATTTACAAATTCAATGCCATCCCCATCAAGCTACCAATGACTTTCTTCACAGAATTGGAAAAAACTACTTTAAAGTTCATATGGAACCAAAAAAGAGCCCGCATCGCCAAGTCAATCCTAAGCCAAAAGAACAAAGCTGGAGGCATCACGCTACCTGACTTCAAACTATACTTCAAGGCTACAGTAACCAAAACAGCATGGTACTGGTACCAAAACAGAGATATAGATCAATGGAACAGAACAGAGCCCTCAGAAATAATGCCGCATATCTACAACTATCTGATCTTTGACAAACCTGAGAAAAACAAGCAATGGGGAAAGGATTCCCTATTTAATAAATGGTGCTGGGAAAACTGGCTAGCCATATGGAGAAAGCTGAAACTGGATCCCTTCCTTACACCTTATATAAAAATCAATTCAAGATGGATTAAAGACTTAAATGTTAGACCTAAAACTATAAAAACCCTAGAAGAAAACCTAGGCATTACCATTCAGGACATAGGCATGGGCAAGGACTTCATGTCTAAAACACCAAAAGCAATGGCAACAAAAGCCAAAATTGACAAATGGGATCTAATTAAACTAAAGAGCTTCTGCACAGCAAAAGAAACTACCATCAGAGTGAACAGGCAGCCTACAAAATGGGAGAAAATTTTCACAACCTACTCATCTGACAAAAGGCTAATATCCAGAATCTACAATGAACTCAAACAAATTTACAAGAAAAAAACAAACCCCATCAAAAAGTGGGCGAAGGACATGAACAGACACTTCTCAAAAGAAGACATTTATGCAGCCAAAAAAAACATGAAAAAATGCTCACCATCAGTGGCCATCAGAGAAATGCAAATCAAAACCACAATGAGATACCATCTCACACCAGTTAGAATGGCAATCATTAAAAAGTCAGGAAACAACAGGTGCTGGAGAGGATGTGGAGAAATAGGAACACTTTTACACTGTTGGTGGGACTGTAAACTAGTTCAACCATTGTGGAAGTCAGTGTGGTGATTCCTCAGGGATCTAGAACTAGAAATACCATTTGACCCAGCCATCCCATTACTGGGTATATACCCAAAGGACTAGAAATCATGGTTCTATAAAGACACATGCACACGTATGTTTATTGCGGCACTATTCACAATAGCAAAGACTTGGAACCAACCCAAATGTCCAACAATGATAGACTGGATTAAGAAAATGTGGCACATATACACCATGGAATACTATGCAGCCATAAAAAATGATGAGTTCATGTCCTTTGTACGGACATGGATGAAATTGGAAATCATCATTCTCAGTAAACTATCGCAAGAACAAAAAACCAAACACCGCATATTCTCACTCATAGGTGGGAATTGAACAATGAGATCACATGGACACAGGAAGGGGAACATCACACTCTGGGGACTGTTGTGGGGTGGGGGGAGGGGGGAGGGATAGCATTAGGAGATATACCTAATGCTAGATGACGAGCTAGTGGGTGCAGTGCACCAGCATGGCACATGTATACATATGTAACTAACGTGCACATTGTGCACATGTACCCTAAAACTTAAAGTATAATAATAATAATAATAATAATAAAGAAAAATAAATAAATAAATAAAACAGACTTTGGAGTGAATTAAAGACATTCACAGTGACCTGGATGAGATTGGAGACTATAATTCTAAGTGAAGTAACTCAGGAATGGAAAACTAAACATGGTATGTTCTCACTGGTATGTGGGAGGTAAGCAATGAGGACGCAAAGACATAAGAATGATACAAGGGAATTTAGGAACTTGAGGGGAAGGGTGGGAGGGGACGAGGGGTAGAAGACTACAAAAAGGGTGCAGTGTGTACTGCTCGGGTGATGGGTGCACCAAAATCTCACAAATCACCACTAAAGAACTTATTCATGTAACCAAACACCATCTGTACCCCAGTAACCCATGGAAAAATAAATAGATTAAAAAAAAGATTATAATAATAAAAACAAACAGGAAAAGAACTGCTGAACCCTGTTTTATTCAAGTAATAACTAATATTCAAAGAAGACATGTAAAAAGTCTCACCCATCTCTTTAAGAAATGCATTTCCAATAAAATTTTACTTTTTAAAAACATACAATGATCAAATCTTTTAATACAATTGTGCTACTTATATAGAATTTATGCTGTTAATTGTAATAGAAACTGAAACCAATAAAAAAATTCTTAGCACTTAAAGCCTATGTTCATAGAAAATTTTTAAACAATTATTTTAAATCAATACACGTTATTACCAAGAAGCATAATATAATGATCAATTTTTTAAAATTAGTATAAAAATATATTTAATTAAGATGTAATTCCATACAGGAAGAGGAAGGAAATATACATTTAAGGAGAGAAGAAAATGTAAAAGTTGGCTCTCAAAGATCTTAGTTCATATATTGTTTAATGATGACCAGAGGTCTTAAATTGTTACTTTATTTTAATCTCATTGGAAAAATTTTAAATAATGATGTAATGGTATCATTTTAAAATAACATATTTAACATAAACAGGAAATCACATCATCAACAACTGTTTAAATTCGTGATACAAATGTTAGATGTCGACTACAAAATGTACAAAGAGGCAAATAGTTTTTCAAAATTCTTTTAGGGGATGTAAAGATCCCACTGGCTTAGATGCTCATATAAATGTTGTTATCAACTGTAGACACCTCCAGCATACATTTCTATACCATCACCTCTCTTTCCCATACCCACTCCTCTCCCAGTCAGCTTCTGGGGACTTTTTGATTGTTTTTGGTTTTGCTTTTAGTGGGCTAGGGTAGAGAGCATTTTGCTTCCTAAAGATACATGCATTAAAAATAAGTTGAAATAAACTACAAAAGATAAACTAGATATCAATGACCTAAATAATTCCAATACAGATAAATACAATTTATAAAGCAATAATTCTCAATTTTCCTGCTTATTACAGTAAGTTTTATGAGATGTCTTAAGAATTAAAGTGTTCACATAATTTAAAATGCCTAAATCTTAAATAAGTAATATAAAACACACTTTAAGGATAGGAACGTATACAAACTGGAAATTTTTTTAAGTTTTTATTAATTTGTAGCAACCCCTGAAAAAATTTCCCCCCTGGAATTAGACGTCAATTCTGAAGTTGATTTGGAAAAATAAACATATAATAAGCCAGGGAAACCCTGCAAAAGAAGATGGGGCAGAGGTGGCCAGCTGTGCAAGATACTAAAACATATTATCAAGTCTCTAATATTAAAACAGTCTGGTATTGAAACAATAATAGGCAGACCAAGCAAGCAAAATACAAAATCCAGAATTACTTCTAATTGCAAATGCAAATTTAATATTTGATAAAGATAGGCTTTCACTTCAGGGAGGTAACATTTTAGCAATTGAATAGAAAGAATATGAATTAGACCCATTCTTCTTATCATATACTAAGATAAATTCAAAATGAATCAGAGATTTAAATGTAAATATGGAAGCCATCTAAACACTAGAAGATAACCTGAGTGAGTTCTTCTATAATCAAGGAATGGAGAAAACTTTTCTAATTAAGATCCAGAACCTAAAAACAATAAGATAAAGATAAATTTTAATAGTAAAAATAAAAATGTATATGGCAAGCAGAATAATAAGCAAAGTAAAATAAATGACAAGCTGGTAAAAATATGATTTACATCACAAATGAAGGGATTATTTGTTATACATAAATAATTTATAGAACAATAGAGAAAAAAGATATTGTTTAAAATGGTCTAAAGAAACAGTTGAGTGAGAAAAATTGCTCTTACTTATATGAAAAAAAGGTTTAACATTTCTCATAAGAGAAATGAAAAGGAAAACTGCCAATATATGATTATTTTACTCATTAAATTGGTAAAAATGATGTCTGATGACATATTCTGGGCAAGGCTGTGAGAAAAAAAAACATTTTCATATGTGGTCGAGAATATAAAACAGTACAGTCTCAATGAAAGGGAATTTGGCAATATTTGAAGGAGTGAAATACTCATTTGCCCTTTGGCTCAACAATCTTGCTTTAGACATTGATCTCAAAGATACACTAGAAAAAAAAACATGAAAAGATACACAGTGGGGAAAAAAGAAAAAAAATGAAAAGACGAGGCAATTCACAGCAGGACTATTTATAATAGCACAAAACTGGGAATAATCGAAATACTCATGAAGAAATGACAAGCTAAATAAAATTATGGTACATTCAACACAATAGCATTTATTGCTGCTGTGACTTAATCTCCAGGCTATATTAAGTAAAAACAGCAAGATGGGGTAAGTATGTATAGCATGCTACATTTATCTAAACAAAGGAGAAAGTGGCAGACAGCCCCTTCTCCGCTGTGCTGCCCATTGCACCCTTCCAACATATCTTTGTACTTTCTCTAATTAATCTGCCCTCCTTTATCTACAAAACAACAAAAAATAAAAAAGGGGATGCAAGTATATATATAAATGTGTATCAAAAGTAGCCTATTACGTTTAAAACTATGAAAAAATTAAACCATAAGCTCTAAAAATGGTTAATTAAAGGGGAAGGAAATAAGATAGAAGGAAGAGATACAATTTACATAATTATAAATAAAACTTTACAGCAGAAATTCCTAAAAACAAAAATTAGGCTGGGTGCAGTGGCTCATGCCTATAATTCCAGCACTTTGGGAGTCTGAGGCAGGAGGACTGCTTGAGGCCAGGAGTTCAAGGCCAGCCTGGCCAACATAGTGAGTCTCCATCTCTACAAAAAAAAGTAAATAAAGAAATTAGTCAGGTGGGGTGGCACACATCTGTAGTCTCAGCTCCTTGGAAGACTGAGGTAGGAGAATCACTTGAGCCCAGGAGGGTGAGGCTGCAAAAAGCTGTGATTTCGCCACTGCACTCCAGCCTGGGAAATAGGACAAGACCCTGTCTCAAAAAAAAAAAAAAAATGTGGCCAATTGGAGGCCTATCCATACAAAGAGGGACTATGCCAAATGACCTTACAACAAATAATTTGTACTCTATATCCTAAGTGAGATATATGCAAAAGCAAAAAGAACTGGATACAAAACATTGTACAGTAATCATATTGTTGGTGGTAGTGCTGGTATTGTTATTTTGAGACTGTTGGGTATATACTGTGGGATAAATCCAATGAGTAATTATTTGATATTCTGGTGTTACTATTCTTTGGGTCCTTGAGAAATGTGATTATTGGTGTGTAAAAAAAAATACAGATGTAAGATAGAAGACTAGTGATCTAACTCATTATTTTGAAAACTTTCTATATGAACTGTACCAAAAGATAAGCAAATAGTGGATATAAGAGATCTTCTCTTATAGAAGCATTTCGGCTAATAAAGAAAACGAACTATGGGTTTAGAAAAGAAGAATGAATTCTATAATCAGAATATCATCATTTTGTAGTTCCAAAACTTTTGTGGATCTGTGAATTTTTCAACAGTGGCTAAGATCACAAAAAGAGACAACCAGGCAAGTCATTATTTTGCCTTCACATGGAAGAATATACCACAATCTAAAAAGAAGTCTTACAAAAAAGTATCCAAGCTTGAATCTGATAGAGCTTCTAAATCCAACTACAGTTTACAGGAAACACAGGGAATAAAAGAACTTATTCAATGATACCACAGGGATGCAATCAACAAAGGACTTAGTTTCCTTGACAAATAAATTGCCTGAAATACAAAATCCAGAAAAGCAGAAACCCACAGATTAAAGACTCAGGAGATATATCAACTAATCAAAATGTATGGACCTTCTTAGGATCCTAATTCAAGCAAACAATTAAAAAATATTATGATATTTATAAGACATTTGGAAGCTTGAACTTAGTGGATATTTGATAATTTCCAAATGGATTGGAAAAATATTGAAGAAATTATTATTGAAAGTTTAGGTATGACTGAAGATTTAGGTATTGTAAGGTTAGGTTTTTGGGGTTTTTTAAATTTTTATCTCTCAGAGATACAAGTGAAATATGTGGGGCTGAAATGTTAAGAAGTCTTTCATTTGCTTCAAAATAATACAGGAGAGAGGAAAGTAAGGTATAATGAAACCAGACTAGTCATGTGTCTATAATTGTTATGGTTAGTGACAGGTAGATGGGAGTTCATTCTACTACTCTGTCGGATTTTGTATGTTTTAAATTGTCCACAATGAACAGTCAACCACAGCGTTTGGTTTCTATCTTCAAACACCAAATTTATTTTGATGACTATTTCCTGGATATAAGCTCTTCTTTAAAACAATGATGCTACAGAATCTAAAAAGAAATAAAAAGTATACATTTTTATTATGAAGTATTTCAAAAATACCGAAAAGCATAATAGAACCAACAGCTATGTATCTACCACCTAGTATAAAATATGTAAGAAATACAATGTTACCTCAATTGTATTTCACCCTCTGTGCACCTCTTCCTGCCCTCCCCAAAGGTAACCACTGTTTTGAATTTAGTGATGAGTAGTTCCATATGTGTAGTAGCTAGTCTTCAAAGACAGTGTTCCAATGAACACCTCCAGGTGTTCGTGCCCTTGTGCAGAACCGTCTCCTTGAATTGGGGTTGACCTTAACACCGGCTTTTGATCTGATAGGATGTGGTGGAACTGATACTGTGTGACTTCTTGGGCCAGGTCATAAGAAGCCCCGCAACTTCCACCTGGGTTGCTTGGAATACTTGCTCTTAGGCCATTGCTTTTGGAACCAGCTGCCACACTGTGAGAAGCCCACATCACATGGAGAGGCTATGTTCTCAGCCCTTATATCTTGCCTCTTATATCTTATTGCCTCTACAAAAGTTAATTCTACATTGCCAGATAAGCATAAGCTTAATAATACAGGCATGGTATCAAAATCAAACATAGGCTGTTAAGCCTCCAAGATGTTTTAAAGTCACTATCATAGGTAATGTCAAGTACAGTGTTTTTTAATCATTTCACATCCATATCAGTTTTATTTCTCTTTTTAGACTATCTCAATTTAATACCAGCTGAAATAAACAACAGACCTATAATACATTTTAATCAATCCAGATTGAATATTTAGCTTGCATAAATAGCAGCAATCAACATATGCCTAAATTCTGAACGAAGTTTAGTGTAATTACACAAAAAAACAAGTATCTGAGAAATAGAGCTTTTAGAGTAAAAGGCCTTTATATGAAAACTCAGAGAAAAAAAAATAACCCCAGGAAAAGCAATAGATAATGGGGGTGACGTTAGAAAAACCTAAAGAATTTTAATAACGTTGTCCTCCTGACCTTTCCCAACAAAGAAACACTACAAAGAGGAAGTACAAAGGTCATTCTAGGAAATGAGTGTGAATGAAAGGAGAATCCAGATGCATCAGACTGTTAATGTTCTACTCAGATTTCAAATTCATTTTAATTCAGCAGGGGGTTAGCCAGTAATTTTCCTTTAACAATACTATGCTATCATGGTGGGACAATTACAACATGTTTTATTAATAGATCTCCTAGCACTCCAAGTTAGGTGCAAACAACTGAAAAATAATCGTGTTTTAAAGTTAGAACTAGATCATAGGTGGTATCTATCATTCTCTATATGAATCAATAGAATCTTCAGAGTTGGTAAAATGAAATATTTTTAAAGCTTTTAATCTTTATTAGGAAAATGAAAGCCAACTAACCCATTCAGGGACAAAACATAGCTTTCCTAGAAAAGCTAAAAATAAATGAATTACTTAATTTTCAAAATATGCTATGAATATCATTATTTGACAGATATTATCTCTAATGCTTGATTATTCAATATTAAAGGCTGAGATTTCTCAGAATTTAATCAAGTTAGATTTTTATAAGACTGTAAGTCTGTTGTCTTTTGAGTTAAGTGAGAATTCTTTCCCTAACATACCTTAGTTTCTTTTTAAACTTCAGTACCTGTTTTGATTTATGTCCATAGAAGGGAAGACAAGTTACTTCTATAACCATTGACTTAAATAAATAAAGGTGATGATGATAATAATAACAAACACTTCACCTAACATTCACAGAGTAACAGACACTATATGATTTTTAAAATAATATTCACATTTAATTCACATGAGTATCCAATGAAGTAGGTATAATGTTATTATTCCTGATTTAAGATATAGGAAATTCAGCATATAGGAAAACAGAGGCTCTAAGTTATGATGAAACTAACTCAGGCACTGGTTCCAAAGTCTATGTCCTTAATTAACCATGACACTCAAATGTCTCTAGAATTTATGACACGTTTCCTTACTTAAAACTTAGATAATGGCATAGAGTAGCTGTGTTTCTTCCCCCACAAAATATGAATGTACAAAACCCACTAAAACCCCCCTTCAAGCAAGCAGCATCTATCTGTACAAGCCCATCTATTATAAGGAAAAGCTATCACCAGTGCTATTATGAACCACAGTGATTTAACCTTGGGTATCATTATACATTCCCAGTTTTGTTTTCTACTAGAGGTTTTTTTTTTTCTTTCTTTTTTTTTTTTTTTTTTTGAGACAAAGTTTCACTGTCACCTCCATTGAGTGCAGTGGTGCGATCATGGCTCACTGCACCCTCGACCACCCAGGCTCAGATGATCCTCCCACCTCAGCCTCCTGGGTAGCTGGGACCACAGGCACACACCATCTTGCCTGGCTAATTTTTGTATTTTTTTGTAGAGACAGGGTTTTGCCATGTTGCCCAGGCTGGTCTTAAACTCCTGGGCTCAAGCAATCAGCTCGCCTTGGTGTCCCAACGTGTTGGCATGAGCCACCGCACTGGTGTGCACCACTGCACCCAGGCTACTAAAGGTTCTTATTTTCTGATTCTCTCTTGACAGAGCAGAAGCATGGCCATCTTGCACAAGCACCACCATTGTAAAGTTCCCCTTGATCAAAAACCACCTAAATGCAAAGGGCATCAGCCTAATGGCTAAGGTCAGCATGACCATAAACCACAAATGATATCTCTGACCAGAAACATTCCAACCATAAGATAAACCCCTCCCTCACCAGAGACATGCCAGCCCCAAGGTAACCTCCCTCCCAGCCGGAGAGATGTCAGCCCCAAGATAACCTCCCCTCTGACCAGAGATATTACAACCCCACCATAAACTTCACCCCAACACAGAAACATCCCAAGCCTGTGATAAGCTCTCTCACCAATAAATACTCTTAGTCTGTAAGAGAGAATGCTCCTAACCAAAAAAAAAAATCAGGCAGAAGCCCCTCTCAGGTGTATACTTCCAAAATAAACCTGTCTTTGACTGTTGAGTCGCTTTTTTGTGTTTCTTTCCTCTTTCTTTAACTCTTACATCTCTCCTTCGTATTTTAGAGTATAGTAGGGATAATGTTTGTGTAATAAAGCTTTACATGTTATGAGTAGTAAGATTATCTTTTCCTATGGCCTTCATTGTTCTCAAGATGGCCACAATTACTACTATTATTTCCAGTAGACAAATTGTTCAGGTTTATTAGACAATTAACAAAGTCAAGTCAAACAACCTGTAGAACACATAATAACTAATTAAAGCACAGTAAGTTCAGGTCTGTAAATGAGTTTGAACTTGAAATTCCCTGGCATACTTTGAACATAATTTGACTATATATTTGAAACCAAAGCAAATGAAGATGGTATATATTTGTGTTCATATATACATGCTTATGTTTCAAACCTAATAATAATATATAAATGTATGTTTATATGTAAATATTCCTTCACTCTAAATTCTAGGAGTTCATAATCAATAATTACAGTAATGTCACTTTTTTGCCAAAAAATAATTTTTAAAAAACCAACAATCGAACTCTAATCTTATAGTCAAAAATCACTGAATAATTTGGATCATGTAAAATCTAATTTTAGACTACAGATGTCCTAATATGAAATTATTAACAAGCTACATAAAATCGTTCAATTTTTGAAATCTGAATCCTCAAAAGCCAATCAATATGAAACCTTACATCAAAATATGACATTTTAACCACTCACTTTAAAGCCCCATTTGTCACATTTCAATTGAGTTAAGAGATTGGCTACCTTGCTTGAGTTAATACAAACACAAGTGTGGAGCAGGTATGTAAAATTAGAGCCTCAGTTGTAAACTTGATAAAGTGATTTAAATCTAAAATCATCAAGAGAAAACACTATAATAATTAATAGAATGTGGCAGAACTACAGATACTCTGACTTGGGCCAGTGTAGAATTTTTCCTGAAACTCCACAAAATACAGTTCTGATACACTTAGACATGATTATAGATTTATATGATTAGATTATATATTTAAATATATAAATTTAAATTTTATATAGATTATAGATTTAAAATGCCAATTTTTAAAAAATTCAAGTTGATTTTGAAATAATTTCTTGCATATTATGAGTTTTTTTAAGCTGGCAATTTGTATGTTTTGCTGTTGGTGTTTTCTTTCCTAAACAAAAACTTCATTCCAGAAGTTTTATTGCTGCAGGAATTTTCCTTAGTTCAGCTAAAGACAAGGTCCTTGTCACAGAACCACGAAAAAATTAGGCTCACAGACAATTTGAAGGGTGAGAAAAACAAGATTTATTCAACAAAAAGGAAAAAAAGGGAAACAAGGACACTCTGCAAAGTCAGAATCCTGCTAGTGCGCTTCCCGCCTCACAAATTGAATCCCAGGTACTACACCCTGGGAAAGGAGAGGCCAGGCTCCTCCCCACTGCAAAGGACATGAACTTCCCATGTCTCCACCCCGTGTGCATTCCTCCCAATGTACAGGCTGTCAGAGGTTCTGCCAGGGAGCCCTTCCCACTTGACTGTCTCATTATCAATTTACCTCTAACCTTGCTAAGATACCCAAACCTTAGTCAAGTCCAGAATTCCAGTAATCCACCAGAGTTTAATTTCCCATCTGTCTTCAAAGTTCCTTTGCTGCTGTAACAGGTAGACAATCCTGCCTACCTACAGAGAAATCCTCTCTTCAAGTCAAAACACAAAGCTGAATGTAATTCAATGCATTCCATGTTTTTGGAATGTCACAGGTACAACACCAAAGGTGAGAAAACAAAATCCATGAGAAGAAATGGTCAAAACAGAACCTCACAGGGGAGAATATATTTAACATAAGCCCTGAAGAATGAGTTGAGTTTCAAAAGGTAGAGATTTTTACCTCCAAGAGCCCCACAAGTTTCTCAGAGCAGATAGAAGAAAACCCCTCTCACGAGTCCAGCAGGGGAAGGGGAAAAGCAGCCATTTTGAAATACACCCAGAACATTCTGTTTTCCTTAATAAAGAGTTTCCTCAACGGAATCTGATTTGCCAGAGCCTAACTGACTTGGGATTTACCAGATCCTAACCCACCTGAGGGAAAAGAAATACCCAATTCCAGTACCCCCTAGCATTTCTGTCTCACCTAAGGGGGAAAAGAAAGGCTGAGAAGCACTTGTGAAGGCACAGCTCAGGAGTACAGGCACATTAAAAGACTGAGTGAGACCCAGTCAATCTGGCTTCTGTGTAATAACAGGAAATTACACCTGAAAGAACTGCAAGCCTCAAGCCTTATTTAAGAAAGAGTCTCTAAGGAAACCTCAAAGCAACAGGAGAGACAAAAACGAAGATACTATAGGATATTTCAGCCACCACACCAAAGCTACATCAAACAGTAAACACAACCTGATTTCTAGCAAGATAAACACAAAACCTCACAATAAAGGCCTATTGATTTCAGTGCCTTGTACACAATTCATTGTGTCTGGCTATCAAAAACAAAACAACAACAACAACAACAACAAAACTTGCAAAGAATGCTAAAAGGCCAAAAGCAGTTTGAAGAGACATAGCAAGCATCACAGCCAGACTCAGATATGACAGAGGTGTTGGAATTACTAGACTGGAAGTTTTAAGCAAGAGTGATGAATACACTAAGGGCTCTGTATTAGACTTCTCCAGAGAAACAGAACCAATAGGATATATCTATATCTATATCTATATCTATATCTATATCTATATCTATATCTATATCTATATCTATCTACATAGTTTACCCTTGAACCACATGGAGATTAGCCTAGGGCACCCACCCTTGAGCAATAACAAATTTGTGCAAAACTTTGATTCCCCAAAACTTAGTTACCACTAGACTACTGTTGACTGGAAGCCTTACCAATAACATAAATAGCTGATTTGTATACATTTTGTATGTCATATGTATTATGTACTATATTCTTACAGTAAGATAGAGAAAATAAAATGTTATTAAGAAAATCATGACCAGGTGCAGTCTGAAGCAGGAGGATCCCTTGAGCCCAAGCGTTTGAGACCAGCCTGGGCAACATGGCGAAACCCTGTCTCTACGAAAATAAAAATAAAAATTAGCCGGGCATGGTGGCACATGCCTGTCATCCCAGTTACTCAGGAGGCTGAGATGGGAGGATTGCTCAAGCCCAGGAGGTTGAGGCTGCAGTGAGCCATGATTGCGCCACTACACTCCAGCCTCACTGACAGAGTGAGACCCCATCTCAAAAAAAAAAAAAAGAAAAGAAAAAAGAAAATCATAAGGAAGAGAATATATATTTATAGTTCCATACTGTATTTATCAATATCATAGGTTTACAACATCTGTTTACAAGATGAATCATCTGTCTGAAATGATGGGCAGCCACAGCTGTAGACCTCAATCTAAGGTACATATCAAGCAACTCAACTTTTTCTTTTGATAACCTGACTTTTTTCTGCTTCTTGGGAGCACTTCCAGCATCACTAGTGGCCCTTTGTATGGGTCCCACAGTGTTACTCAAGGTTTATGGTATTGCACTAACCAGAGTGAAAAATACATAAGAACTATAAGAGAGCACTTTTTACTGCAATACACAATTTACTGGAGAGATGAACTGCTCACACAGAGATGATTAGCATCACAGGGCACTTTAAACAGATACTCAACACTTGAGCTCACCACAGTAGCAACAGGAAATGACTACAAAATTATTACAGTAGTTCAGTATGTAATACAGGTAATTTTTATAGAGTTAGGATTTAATACTGCATCTTTACAGTTGTTTACCTTTCTCTCAAGCGTAAATGGCACCATGAATGGTCTGTGTTTATAAGTTTTGATAAATTTTAACTTTTTATAATAGAGTTTCCTATATTTTATGATAGTAAATGATAAAACAGACCAGCATCCACATATATTTTATGCATTCATAAAATACCTTTTTCTTAATTTTTTCAATATTTCTACACTACATGGTTCATCTGTGAGTGTTTTCAAATTGGTGTAAATCTCAAAAATCTTTTCCAATATATTTTTTAAAACAAGCCATATATAAGAGGACCCACACAATTCAAGCCCATGTTGTTCAGGGTCACCTATATAATGGTTTATTACAAAGAATTAGCTCATGCAATTATGGAAGCTGAAAAGTTCCACAATGTGCCATCAGCAAGCTGGAGACCCAGAAAAAATGGTGGTGTAGTTCAAAGGCCAGAGAGCCACTGGTGCAGATTCCAGTCCAAGTTTAAGGCCTGAAAACCAGGTGTATCAAGGACAGGGGAAGGTTGATGTTCTGGCTCAACTAGTCTGGCAGAAAGCAAATTCAGCCTTCCTCTGCCTTTTTGTTCTATTCAACCCTTCAACAGATTGGATGATGTCCACCCACAATGGGGAGGGCCAGCTACTTTACTAGGTCTACCAATTTAAATGCTAATGTCTTCCAGAAACACTCTGACAAACACATCCCAAAATAATGTTTAAGTAGCTAGTTGAGCATCTTTTGGCCCAGTCAAGGGGACACATAAAATAACCATTACATGTTCTAATGGGAAAAGTGAACAACACAAAAAATAGATGGGTAATGTAAGCAGAGAGATGTAAACTCTAAGAGAGAATCAAATGGAAATGTTAAAAATAAAAAACACCACAAAGGATAAATGCTTGAGGGGATGGATATCCCATTCTCCATGATTGGATTATTACACATTGCATGCCTGTATCAAAACATCTCATGAACCCCAAAAATATAGGCATCTACTATGTACCCACAAAAATTAAAAATTAAAATTGAATAAAAATAAATAAATAAATAAATAAATAAAAATAAAAAACACTGTAACAGATATGAAGAATGCCTTTAATAGGCTCAGCTGTAGACTGGACACAGCTGAGGAAAGCATTAATGAGTTTCAAGATGTCAGTAGAAACTTCCCAAAATAAAATACAAAGAGAAAAAAGAATATTTTTTTAAGAAGAAATCGAATATTCAAAAAGTGTGAGACAACTACAATAAGTGTAATAAATACATAATGGCAATGCCAGGAGAAGAAAGAGAGAAAAGAACAAAAGAAATATTTGAAGAGATAATGACCAAAATTTTTCAAAATTTAATGACAGACACCAAACTACAGATCCAGGAAGTTCAGGGAAAGCCAGCAGAATAGATACCAAAAAATCTACATCTAGACATATTATATCTAAATTGCAGAAAATCAAAGATAAACAGAAAAACTTTGGAAGCAGCCAGAGGAAATAAACACCTTACCTAAAAAGGAACACGGATAATAACCACATTAGATTTCTCTTCAGAAACTGCACACAAGCAAAACAGTGGCATGAAATATTTAAAGTGTTGAAAGAATAAACCCTCAACCTATAGTTTCACTTCCAAGAAAATTATTCTTTAAAAAGGAAGAGAAATAAAGACTTTTCTGGACAAAAATTGAGGGAATATGTCACCAGAAGACCTGCCATGCAATAACAGTAAGCACAGTGGCATATGCCTGTAGTTCCAGCTATTCAGGAGGCTGAGGTGGGAGGATTGCCTAAGCCTAGGAATTCAAGGCCAGCCTAGGCAACATAGTGAGACCCCCCCAGTCTCTAAAATAATAACAAGAGTAACAAGGTATTCAGTGATTATAGTTTATTTGGTGATTATAGCTTGTAATTCAGTGATTATAGCTTATCCTGCTGGATCTGTTAATTTACCAGTAATTTAGAGATCCTGCAGGATAAATCAAATGAATGACAGCAATATTATAAGGGATGAAAGGGAGGAATTGGATAGCCTCTGTTATAAGGCACTTGTATTATTCATGTACTGGTGTGGTATTATTATTATTTGAAAGTAAACTTGGATTGGTTGTTAATGCAAGCCCTAGGGAAACCACCAAAATATTTTTTTAAAGAATACAATTTATATGCTTAGAGAGAAAATGGAATCATATAAAGTGCTCAATACCAGAGAAGAAACAGAGAATAAGGGCAGCAAATACAAAACAGTGAAAAATATGGTAGATATTAACACAACTAAATACTTTAAACACAAAGGGTTTAAATGCACAAATTAAAAGACAGAGACTGTTAGAATGAATTTAAAAAAGAACACCCAACTATATGTTGTCTATAAGAAACCCACTTTAAATATAAAGAAACACATAAATTAAAAGTAAAAGAATGGAAAAGATACACCATGCTAACATGAATCAAATGACAGCTGATGTAGCTATATTAATTTCTTAAAACGCTGACTTCAGAGCAAGGAAAAATATCAGGGATAAAAAGGAGCATTATATAATGATAAAAAGATCAATATTCTAAGAAGACATAACTATTAATATGTATAGGTCTAAAAACACAACATCAAGATATGTAAGGCAAAAACTAAAAGAACAACAAGGAGAAACAAATAAATCCACAAGTACGGTGGAGACTTCGACACCTTTTTATCAGTAATTGACAGATCCAGCAGGCAGAAAATCAGTAAGGACATAGTTGAAGTAAAAAGCACCATTAAGCAACTGCACCTAGTTGATATTCATGGAGTACTTCATCTAACAACAGCAGAATACACATTCTTCTCAAGTTCATATGGAACATTCCCCAAAACAGACCACTTTCTGAGCCACAAAATATACCTTAACAAATGTAAACAATAGAAATCATACAAAGTATGCTCTCACACCACAATGAAATTAAGCTATAAACAAGTAATAGAAAGATAACTGAAAAAAATCTCAGCATAATTGGACATTAAACAATACACTTCTAAATAACATGTGAGTCAAAGAAGAAATCTCAAGAGAAATTAAAAATATTTTGAACTAAATGAAAATAAAGATGCAACTTATCAAAACCTATGAAATGCAGCAAAACCAGTGCTTAGAGGGAAATTTATAGTATTGAAGAAATATATCAGAAAAAAGACAAAGATCTAAAATCAATAATCTAATCTAAGAAACTACAGAAGTAAGAGCAATGTAAGTGTAAAGCAAGCAGAAAAGAAGAAATAATAAAAATTACAACAGGCTGGGTGCAGTGCTCATGCCTGTAATCCCAGTACTTTGGGATGCCAAGGCGGGCAGATCACCTGAGGTCAGGAGTTCACGACCAGCCTGGCCAACATTGTAAAACCCCATCTCTACTAAAAATACAAAAATTAGCTGGGTGTGGTGGTGTATGCTTATAATCCCAGCTACTCGGGAGGCTGAGGCAAGAGAATCACTTGAACCTGGGAGGCAGAGGCTACAGTGCAGCCTGGGCAACAGAGTGAGACTCCGTCTCAAAAAAAAGAAAAAGAAAAAGAAAAATTACAACAGAAACCAATAAAATTGAAAATGGGAAATCGATAGAGAATATAAAAAAAAAAGCTGGGTCTTTGCAAAGAGCAATAGAATTAATAAAGCTCTAGCCAGGCTAACCCAGAAAAAGAAAAGACAAAACACAAATTACTCATATCATAAATAAAAGAGGGGCCACCATTATTGATCTCATAAACATCAAAAGAATAATAACAGAATGTTATTAACAGCTGTATGCCTATAAATTTTATAACCTAGATGAAGTGAATCACTTCCTAGAAAGACATTTTGAAATCTACTAAAGCTCAAATAAGGAGAAACAGGTAATCTGAATAATCCTTATCTATTAAAGACATTGAATCAATAATTAATAACCTTCACAAATGGAAAGCATCATTCCCAGATGGGTTCACTGGTGACTTCGACCAAAAATTTGAGAAGAAAATACTAGTTTTCTACAATCTTTTCCAGGAAACAGAAGCAGAAGAAAAACTTCTTAGCTCATTCTATTAGGTCAGCATTACCCTAATACCAAAACTAGACAAAGACATTACAAGAAAGAAAAACCACAAACCACTATCTTTCATAAACACAGATGTAAGAGTCCTCAACACATCAAATCCAGTAATGTATAAAAATAATCGTACATCTTGACCAAGTAAGATTTATTCCATGTATGCAAGACTGATTCAACATTTGAAAATAAACTAATGGGATTCATCACATCAAAAGGCTAAAGAAGAAAAATATCAATAGATGCAGAAAAAGCATTTGGCCAAATCAAATGCTTAATCATAATAAAAATCTCAGTACACTAAGAATAGAGGAGAACTTCCTCAACTTGATAAAGAATATCTACAAGCTACTCAAGAAGCTAAGGCCAATTGCTTAAGCCCCTAGAGTTTGAGACCAGCCTGGGCAACATGGTTGCCAGGGGTTCATGGGCAGGAGAGAGGGATAAATAAGTGGGGCACAGAAGATTTTTAGGGCAGCGAAATTATTTAGCATAATACCATCACGGAGAATACAAGCATCATACATTTGTCAAAACTCATAGAACTGTACAACACAAAAAGTGAACACTGATGTAAACTATGAATTTTGGTTAATAATCATATATGAATATTCTTCATCAATTCTAACAAATGTATCACTTTACCCAAGGTGTTATTAACAGGGGAAACCATGTATGGGGTTAGGGGAGGTGGGATATATGGGAACACTCTACATTTTCTACTCCATTTTTCTGTAAACCTAAAACTGCTCTAGAAAATAAAGTCTACAATTGTTTTAATTTGGTACAAATTCTATTATATATATTTACATATACAAATGTGTGTGTGTGTGTGTGTGTGTGTGTGTGTATAAAATTGCTTTGTAAAGTTCGTGAAAGCAAACACGGTGTTTGATTTACCATTATAAATCAAGTACCCCACAAAATGCCTGGCACAAAGAGGTGTGTCACTGTCAGATAAATTAAAGGAACAATGCATAAAGGAACACAAGCTCTGAAAATACACACATACAGACACACATAATATCTGGTGGTGGGATAAACATAAATCCAAGATTTTACATAAGAAATGAATTCATAGAATCAGCATAAAGTATCTAAGACCCTTCCTGGGTAGATAAGGGTGGGGAGAATATACAAAGAGAACAATTTAAACAAAAGCACAGAGACAGGCAGGAGGGTATATTTGGGTCACAGCAAGAGGAGTAACTTCTGGAGACTTTGTATTTCTTTCTAAAACCAGTATAAAAGTTATTTCAGATAGTTATTTCAGATATTACAGTAGTAATATTGACTGTTGATAAAATGTATTCTTAAATGGTAGGTTTTGCATATTTGCAACTCTATTCTACCATGAATGTTACGATTTTTGTTCTACGATTTTTTTTAATTCAACTTTACAATGGCTTTCGGCCAAAACCATTAAGGTTCTAATCTGAAGATCACAGGTTTGAAACTTAAGGACCATGCTGACCAATCAGCTTGACTGTACTCCTTAACAAGACTCTTCTTCAAGAAATATTAAATGTGTATGTACAAATTAAGGTAAATCTAGCTTCAACACTAGAAAATGTGTTTCAAGTGGATGCCTTTCAGGTGGTCAGTTAGAAATGTCATGCTCTCATCTGAAAGGTAATACACTATTGCTACATGTGATACATATTCACATATTCAAGTTTTTCTTGTGTACCTATTACCAGACATGAATATTACATGAAAATAATTCCTATTGAGAATCATTAATACTATCGCTCATAAAAATTGTATTTTAACATCAAAATCCAAGAAAGTTAAAAAAAATGTCGTTCTAGTATAGAATTAACTTTAAAAAATTAACTTTCTTGCCCTCTCAAGAAAAACTGCTTAGGGGGAAACAAAAACATGTAGGAAAAAAATGATTGCTACAATCAGAGTATTGCTTCTCATAAATAAAAGCAAGCAACTGGAGAAGCAAAATGTGTATTGCCAAAGTATGCACTTAAATATAGGTTAAAAAAAAATTTCAAAGACAGTAGGGACAATTCTTCATGAAACTCTAGTCAAGAAAATAAATCTCAATCTTCCACTCAAGTCATGGATTGTTCTCTATTTTCTCTTACAATCTCACACTCAATTTAAAAAAAAAATTTAGGCAATTTAAGAAAAATTTTTTTGTCACCGAGGCTGGAGTGTAGTGGCACATTCACAGCTCACTGCAACCTCCACCTCCTGGGCTCAAATGATCCTCCCACGTCAGCCTCCCAAGTAGCTAGAACTACAGATGCATGCCACCATGCCCGGCTAACTTTTTTTTACTTTTAGTAGAGATAAGGTCTTGCCATGTTGCCCAGGCTGGTCTCAAACTCCTGCGCTCAAGTGATCCTCCTGCCTTGGCCTCCCAAAGTGGTGGGATTACAGGCATGAACCACTGTGCCCAGCCTTCATCAATGTTAAAAAGGAAAAAGCTGAGAGTGGAGATTTCCATATTCAATCTTCATTTAGTAATAGATTACACAATTGTAACCAGAAGCACAAAGTGTAGCTATGAAACAAGAGTAGCCAGGCTCATAAGAAACATCTAAAGAGCGGAGACCCAGCAATTGCTACTTATACAGCCAGTGATTTATAAGATTATCAGGTATTAGCTCCTCCTCACTTTATCCCTTGAGGATTTTTTTATTAAGCCGGTATTCCACATTTTACTTTTACATTGACCAAAAGCTTACAATCACAATGTAAAGCAATGTGAGGCTACTTTTCACCAATCACCCTGGCAAAGGTAAAGAAAAAATAATACCATGCTGTGAAAAGTTTAGAAAGTGAGCTCTCTTCTACACTGTGAGATGTAAATTGGTATAACCTATTAGAAGGAAGAAGTAGTGGTACTCAAAAAATAAAGGGTGCATAAAACTGTCAAAATATCCACACCCTTTGCTCACATTCCACTTCTGGTAACTTATGCCTGGCAAGGGTTCTGGGAGTGAGGAGTTATTAGTCTTCAGGGCAATGGCAGAGTCTAGTGTAGACACAGCCCCACAGCATCAAATTCAGCTGGGAGCAGCCTGTCTCTTTGAGTCCAGTGTGCCATGTTATTAAAAAGGTTCATCTCTATATTGAACATGGATTACCTAAGCAATATGTAATAATAAACATATGTGAAATCTTAAAGCATAATAATAAAAAGAACTTACTATGAACCAAGCACTGAGCTTTACAATTTAGTGTTTATAACAATCCTATGGGAAGTTAATAATATTTATTATGCCCATTTTCCTTAAAAGAAACTGAGATACAAGTCAACAAAATCAAGTAATGAAAACTCAGATTAGTCTGACTCTGAAAGCCCTTCAACTTCATTACCACTCATGAAAACTATTTGTAATGAAAGGTTTGAAAGTTACCAAGAGACTGAGAGATTGACACCAAATTGGTGAGATTTGCATCATTTAAAGAAAAATTTCAGTCAAATTAAATTTAGTAGAGTTTATTGGAGCAAAAACCAATTTATAAGGCAGGCAGCCCTCAGAACCAGAAAAGGTAGAGTGAGCTACCAGCAACATGAGCAGTCAGTATTTATAGACAGAAAAAGGAAATAACACACAAACAGTTTCATTGGTTACAGCTCAACATCTGCCTTACTTAGGCAGGATGCCATCAGGCATTTGCCTTATATGGACATTGTCTGATCAACTATCAGCCTGTGATTGGCTGAGACTCAGCTGCTGTGATTATCTGAGACTTAGCTATTTGTTACAAGAATATATGCTGTTTGGTTGTAGTTTGTTTACATACTAAGTTAGGTTGCAGCTCACTACATGCAAAGACAGTTTTAGGCCAAATTTAATTTAATAGCATTCTTGTTGTTGTTTTAGAAGTAGAAGAGTTGGTTTTGTTGGTATTTACCTGAACATGACTTTGATTTTTCAGTAATAAACAACCTTTGCTTTTGTAATTTAAAAAACATTATTTTAAAACATTTAAACTTTACAGGCAAAGTAATAATTTAAAATGGGAGGAGTCGACGAAGCAAGGAATGTATTCACCTGAGCAATAATTTGAAATGGGAGGAGTCAATGATACAGAGAATTTACTCACCTGAAATTAAAAAGGATGAGGACAGGGCTACTTAATTTTGGGCTTCAAACATAGAAGGAAAAAAAAAAGTATTCTTAATTTTACTCTATAAAAACATGTTTGTGCTACCAACATCTCAACAAAAACTATATGCTCCAGCTCAGTTCCAAATGTAATTTCTAAACAGTAGGACAATATACACATCACCAAAAACCTTAACTAGGGATGAGAAGTATTCCACAAGGACAATTACCAAGCCATTTTATTTCACTTAAAAAAATTTTTTTTATGGCCACCCCATTCAGAGAGAAACCAAGCCATTTTAGAGAGTGGAATTCTGTGACTATGTGAATAAGAAGCACTCGTAAGACCAAATGTACAACAAATGATAGTACACAAAAGTTATGCAAAGAAAAGATACCCAAGAGAAAAACTGCTCTCTGCTTTTCCTTCAACCTAAATTTTTTTCTTGTGTTTTACTTTATTGGATTTATTACAAAACACATGCTTATTTTAATATATCAAACTATACAGCAGAAAGAAAAGCTAATAAATCTTCCTCCCCTCAAAATTCCATTCCCCTGAGACAACCAAATCCTTGAACGGCCTCAATTCAGACAAATATTGTGACTTCTTTCTTTTGCTTTTTGTTTTGTTTTGTTTTTAAACTAGTATTATGCAATACTCACTGCTTGGTAACTTGCTTTTTTGCTTTACTATTTGTAGCTCTAACTCACTTTTAAATTATCACTTTCCATATAATGAAGAAACCATAAATATATTCAACCAGTCCCATAAAGGTAAATTTAGTTTGTTTCTGGTCTTTTTGCTTTACAAACACTGTTGTAATAAGCATCCTTGTAAATATTAATATATCCTTACATATTAATATTTTCATTTCTATTGCAGGAGTTCCCCAAAGTGGTTTGCTGTAACAAACAATAAGCATGTTTTTATTTTAAGAGATTAACCATTTGCCTAAGCTTTCCACCAAAAAAGTTGTACCAATTGATGCTCAAATCAGCAATATTTGGAAGTGCCCATATCCTCAACATTATAAAGATTTTTTATGTTTGCCAATCTGAAAAATAAAATGCTATCAAATGAAAATTAGTCATTTTAGTCTTTTATGATTTGTTAATGTATTTTTTATACATTTATTAGCCAGTTACTTTCCCTCTTCTATGAGGTGTCTATTCATACCCCAGAGCCATTTATCCTTTTGGTACTTTGTCCTTTTCTTCACAATATGTACAAGTTCTTTGCATAATAGAGATATAATATCTTGTCACATTTTAAATATTTTATTAACCTTTCTTCTGACTTTAATTATGATGTTATTTGCTATATTACTTGGTTATACATTTTATAAACCAATAAAAAATATATGGCATTGATTTTGGTGCAGTAAGCACATTATGGCACTGTTTGCTTTATGCATGAGATCACTGGAATCTTCATAGACTTTAGCTGCTATCTATCATAAGCAAATAGAAGAGAGATTAGCTTCATTTTAACATCAACTGATTATATCAATGATCTCTATTTTTAAGATCACTTTAAAGAAAAATGTTGAACGAATTCCCATCATTTTATTACAAGAGGATGAGAGAAGAGGAGGAAGTTTAAGCAAAAGAATCTGATGTCCTTTTGCAACAGAGAATTTGTGAGAAATGTCCCTTCCTTACAAGGATAATACACAGTAGAAATGCATATTATTAACATATATTAGCACAGATATTACACACACATAGTAAAACTCAATTTTAACAGTAGATGCTCACAAGATGGTAGCTATGTGCGAGACACTGTTCTAAGTGCTTTCCATGAAGGATCACATTTAATTCTCTCAACAACCCTATGAGATATGCACCCTATTTAAAGATGAGGAAATGGGTCTTTGAGAAATGAATTCAGTTACCCTTGTCACACAGCTACTATGAAATCTACTATACTATGTTATTTAGCAGAAAATTGTTGCAGGATCAAAGCTTCCAAAAATACAGAAATACAAAATACTATTAGGTTGGCGCAAAAGTAATTGTAGGTTTTGCAATTAAAAGTAATTATATTATAAAAGTATAGTCTTGCCAGATTTCTAACACATTTGCAAAATCTTATATATCTATATCTGACTTAAATATAAGTATCTTTGAAGGTTTTCTGTTTGTTTTCAGACAGGGTCTTGCTCTGTTGCCCAGGCTGGAATGCAGTGATGTGATCACAGATCACAGCTCAGTGCAGCCTCCACATCTTGGGCTCAAGCGGTCCTCCCACCTCAGCCTCCTGAGTAGCAGGGACCACAGGTGCACACCACTATGCCCTGCTAATTTTTGTATTTTTTGTAGAGATAGGGTTTTGCCATATTGCCTAGGCTGGTCTCAAACTGCTGAGCTCAAGCAATCTGCCAGTCTCAGCCTCCCAAAGTGCCGGGATTACAGGCATGGGACACCAAGCCCAGACCTTTTGAAGGTCAAAGTGACCTTAATACTGTCCCACAGGAGATCATGTTAGTAAATACCATCCAACCAAGCATTTTTATGATTAACAGCTGTCAACTGAGCACCAGATGTGCTAGATCCTAGATGTGAGTAAGCAGATATAAAAATATCCAATTAGTAAAAATACCCTCTAGAAGTCCATTGTCCAGTTAGTTAGGGAAGAAACAGTAATTAAATAGTTCCAATAAGCTGTGTGAAATGCCATGACTGCAAAATATACATGAAGTACTATAACACTATAGAAGACAGACTGACTGTCACCATCTGCAGAAGACCATGAAAGTTGCCCAGAAGAGGAGTACTTGAGCTTGTCTTGAAGGAAGATTTTCCAGGAAGAGAAAAATGAGAATGGCACAAATTAGCAGAGAGAAGACTTGTATGTAGAGGTGGAAAAATGCAAAGGCAGACTGCATTTAAAGAAAGGTTGAAAAAATAAGTATAGCATGGTCACAGGATCAGATGTTTCACAAAAATAAAGAGTAAAACTGTTTTGGGTCAAGATGGCAAAAGATATTCTGTACAACCCCCTAAGACGTTTGGACTTTATCCTATTTATAATGGGTAATCATAAAAGGTTTTTAAACAGAGGAATGACATCATATCTTTGTTTTGTACATATAAAACAAAGATTGGATTCAATGGACATTTGTGGAGTAGTATTAAAATGATTTGTACTTCATTCCATGAGACAGGGAGAAAGGTCTTATTAATGACACCGATATCTAACTTGGGCAGACAATGATTACTAACAGATAAAAGCTGCTTCAAGAATCCACATAAATGCACATTAAGGTATTTACTCATCCCTGCAGAGTCCTCATCAATTTCTAGGCAAACCTAGAGCTTAAAATTAGTTTAGTGGAGGTTCTGCAAAATAGCATGTACTAGTTTTAATTGACACCTTCATCATAGTTCATATCTCAAAGCATGGAGAATCTTTAAATTGGCTGAAATCTTACCAGTTGGGAGGAAACTCTGCAGAAGTGACTTTGCCAAGTGTACATACATTTTGAATGATAGGCTGAACCCAAATTTCCCAACTCAGAGAGCAACTCATTACACTGATTTTTCAAACATCTGAATAATTTCTGGCTGATCAGTTATACACATTGAGACAGACTTAAGTCTCCATGGAGACTTAAGTGGACATCCGCACCAACCTAAACTATGCCATTTCATACCCCTCGCACCCCACAGCAGCTTTTCAATCCACCAAGACTCTGCAAAATGAAGGATAGGGCCGCAAAGAAATTTTAATTATTGCTTATGCACCTGTTCTGTTGGATTCAGTAGACTAAGAAAGCATAGTTTCTGGCATACCTGATGTTTAATAAAATTTAAAATTGCCAGCCAGGTGTGGCAGCACACCTGTAGTGCCACCAGCTCAGGAGACTGAGGCAGGAGGATCATTTAACCCCAAGAGATGGAGACTGTAGTGAGCTATGATCGCACCACTGCACTCCATCCTGGGCAACAAAATGAGATCTTGTCTCTAAATAAAAAAATTAAAAATTAAAAAAAAAATTAATTGCCAAAACCTCAAAGACAGGCTAAAAATCCCAAATCTCTTAAGATGTCAAATTTTAAAGTGTTCACTTATCACTGAGATAGTATTTGCTATTATTTATCATGTTTGGCAAGATGCTAAAGGATATGGTTTGGATGTTTGTCCCCTCCAAATTCCATGTTGAAATATAACCCCCAACGTTGGAGGTGGGGCCCGGTGGGAGGTATTTGGATCATGGGGGCAGATCCCTCATGAAGGCCTAACACCATCCCCTTGGTGATGAGTGAGATCTCACTCAGTGAGTTCATGGGAGATCTGGTTGTTTAAAAGAGTTTGGGACTTTCCCCTTCTCTCTCTTGCTCCCTCTCTTGCCATATGATATGCCTGTCTTTGCCTTCCAGCAAAATTGGAAGCTTCCTGATGCCTTAGCAGGAGCAGATGCCAACACCGTGCTTCCTGTACAGCCTGTAGAACCATGAGCCAACTAATAAACCTATTTTCTTTATAAATTGCCCAGTCTCAAATATTCCTGTATAGCAACACAAAAACTAACCCACTAAATTACTTCAATGGAAAAACTACTACATTGAAAAGAGCAGCTCATTTTTTAAAGAGTACATTAAAAATATATCAATATTTTCACATAGTACTAAGCAATTTGAATTAATTACCTAATCATACAATTTGATCCTTATGACTTGACAGGAAGTAGGAATTATTATTCCCAGGCTGCAGATAAGGAAATCATCTCTTGAATCTAATCATGCTCTTGAATCTAATTTTCACCACTTGCACTCTGGACATTCTTTGTATCCCTTCTTCAAGATCACAACACCTTCCTTTTCTGAGTATTTCATTTCATTTGTGGAGAAAACCAAAACATAGCATTGAAATTCATTCTTTGATGTCAACATTTCATTGATATTTATAAGAGGCACATTTAGACAACAAAGTGTTAGTGTAGATGAGACTCTTACACAAGAGCTAGGCCTTTCCTTGCATTTTACAGATAAACCTGAAACTCTCACCTGTATGCCACTCATAAACAGGTGGACACTGGGGTCAAAGATGTAATCAGTTTCTCTCCAGCTTCTATACCTATCATTAAAATAATTGGGTGACCTTCTTTTCTCAGGAGAGTTCTCCTACTGAATACCAGCAACACCTCCACAGTAGCAATGGGTAGACACTCAAAGGCTGACCATTTTGAGTTGAACTTTTAACCATTAGGGCCCCTTTTTTTAAACGACCAAGATAGCTGATTTTACAAAAATGTGCAGCATACATAAAACATAATTATAGCCATTTTCTATAACTATCATCTCAGAATTACAAACAGTGAGTAGAAAGGGAAGATAAATTGAAAAGCAATCTGATGATGTGATGACTAAAGCTGGGATCTAAGTGATGTGAGGTCAAGAGCCAGGAAACACAGGCAGCCTCTAGCAGTGGAATAAGGTAAAGAAATGGAGGCTGGGCGCGGTGGCTCACGCCTGTAATCCCAGCACTTTGGGAGGCCGAGGCGGGCTGATCACGAGGTCAGGAAATCGAGACCATCCTGGCTAACACGGTGAAACCCCGTCTCTACTAAAAATACAAAAAATTAGCCAGGTGTGGTGGCGGGCGCCTGTAGTCCCAGCTACTCGGGAGGCTGAGGCAGGAAAATGGCGTGAACCCGGGAGGCGGAGCTTGCAGTGAGCCGAGATCGCGCCACTGCACTCCAGCCTGGGCGACAGAGCAAGACTCCGTCTCAAAAAAAAAAAAAAAAAAAAAAAGAAATGGATTCTCCTCTAGCGCCCCCAGAAGGAACATAGCCCTGCTGATCTACGGTGGACTTTTGGCCTCCAGAACTGTACCTAGTAAATCTGTATTGTTTTTAGTCCCCTCTACTACAAAAAGGTGATCTATTATACTTCAAAGTTAACTTGGAAAACAAGTATTACAATAGAATGTGATATATTTGCCCTCTTCCCCCCAAAATTTACATATCGATATCCTTTAAGGATAGTATACACATAGCAAACTATTTTTAGATACAATAGGATACTGAGCACCTTCTAAATCCATGAAGTATGATAAAGATACAATACTTTAAGTATCACTTTAGAATTAAATATTTAGCATATTACATTCTAATTCTGTAAAAACTGGTAGTACTATATGGCACATCAGTCTCTATTATCCAAAACGCAAAATTAACAAGGAACTTAATTTTTAAATTCACACTAAATCAAGTGTACTGTCTTGTAAACATTTTAAAAAGAAAAAGATATTCCTCTGAAATTTCACTTGAAACTTTAGAAAACCAATCCAAATTTTATTTCACTTGGAACATCCATTCCATATAATGATAATGTGAGGATCTCTTTGGTTAAGCCTTGTGGTAACAGAGTTAATCACAATAAAAGGAACTCAAACAGTATCAAATAACAACGTGTTGTCTAGTTTTGTTTAACTTCACCATCCAGAGGGTTGAGTTAACTATACTTCCCGGTTCATGGCACATTATCATTATTTTCTTTCTTTATTCCTTTTCATCTCCATAGCCCACTCCCATGCTCTGGATCCCACGCAGGCAGCCATTCTAACGTGTTTAAGGAGTATCTTTATGTAAGATGTACTTTATGTAAGTACTCTTACAAAATGTGCACTGTGCTGGGCTAATGAATTTTAAACTCACATAAAGGATTTAATGTTTATGTACTTCACACTCTTATCTTTTCACCAAGCACTATATTCTTAAAATCTATTTGAATTCCTTATGTTTATCTAATCCTTTGCTTCTACAGCTACAGACAACTCCATGACGTGCACCCGCCATTTTTCCTCTCCCCCAAGCAATGCTCACTCAGTTACCTCCCATTCCCCTCCACCACTAATAACAGAAGTAAACAACCTTGGACATGTCCTCTTGGGGACCTCTGGTACACATTCCTGTGTCCACCTGTAGGAACGGAATTGCTGGGTCACAGAGTAGATAACTAGTCAATTTGCTTAAGTAATGCCAGATTGCTTCCCAGAACAGCAGCCCCCATCTGTGCTTCCACCAGCACACGCAAGGCTTCCTATTTATTCCCTCCTTCCCTCATTTGGCTTTGCTATTATACTTCTTAGCTCCCTAAGAACCAGGAATAAGTCTACCTCAGAACCTTGCTTTTCTTTTCTTTTCAATAAAATGAGACTCTCTACTTCAACTACCTGATATGGTTGTTGTGAGACATGAATACAAAGAAATAACATGAGAGTACTTTTTAAAATATATAAATAGCTGCTTACAAAGGTAAGCAATTAGTGTTATTTTTGTTCTTATAATGAAAGTTTCTAACTATTGTCCCCCCATCCCAGCCCCAAAAAGAAAGGAGATAAGTGAATGAGCCTAAAGCTTGGAAAATGAAATTTTCCGAAACATAGGGAAACTGAAACAGAATGGGGAAAGTAATTTTTCTTGTTTACTCATCTATGCATTTATTTCATCAAATATTTTATTAAGAACTATGTACCTGGCCCTCTACTAGTCCTAAAATATAAAAAATTGTACAGCAAATATGCACAAAGTTCACATCCAAGTTTTCCATGTATGCCTTGAATTTTGTAATTACTTCAACAATGTAATTACTTCAACGATGATAGCTTCTGGTATCACAGAAGAACAGCTCCTATTTATTGATCATCTACTATATCAGCACATCACATAGCTTCTCTCAGATACTTAGAACAATCCCACAAGGTGGATGTGATTACTTTAATCCTTCATATAAAAAAAAACAGACACAGTTAGGTGATTTGCCAAGTCAAGCAATTAAATTGTACAGCCAGAAAACCCCAGCTCATTAAAGTCCAGGTTTCTCCTTTCCACTCCATCTAATTTCTGCCTAAAACATAGGTTCAAAGTTATTTGTAGCAGTGTCAGACATAAGGATATGAACAAAATGTCATAGAAAGTACAAAAGTGGACACAAGGTTCAACAGTAAACACTACCATTTATTTATTTAATATTCATCATGTACCAAGTGCTCTATGTGCATTAGTTATAATCCTTATACAAATATTGTAAAGGAGCTGCTTCATCTCCATTTTAAAGATGTGGAAGCTGAGATTCAGTTTACCAAGGTCATGCAGTTGCTACACCAGTAAAATCCAGACTAAAACATAGCTCTTCCTAACTCTAAAACCATGGTTTTGTTTTTGTTTTTTTCTTCTTTGCTGTAAATGGGTACTTCCTATTTGAGAGTGATAGAAATTTTCTAAAATTAGTTTGTGGTGGTGGTTGTACAACTCTGTAAATAAACAAAATTCACTGAATTGAGCGCTTTAGATGGGTGAATTCTATGGTATATAAATTATATCACAATAAAGCTGTTTTTAAAAACTTGTTTTCCTTCTGTAACTATATTTTCTTTTACAAGCTTGTAAAGTCTTATTTAACATCAACGTCTTTTTTCAATCAATATTCACATTTCATCAATAGTTACAATTGCATTTAAAAAATTCTCAGATTAAGTAAATACCAAAGGAACAATTTCCCCAATGGATTTTCCTCTACCCTACCATTCTGATCTAAAATCTTTCATTCCCTAGAGATGTGAGGTAAGACATGAATATTTTCTTACAGAGTTAAGTACATACTAACCTTAGATCCTACAATTTCAGTCTTAAGCACTTACATACCCCCGCCCCAAGCAAAAGAAAGGGAAAGGATTTTTGTACAAATATATTCTTGGCATCTTTATTTGTCACAGTCAAAAGTTGAAAACAACTCAAATGTCTGGTGAATGGACAAACTGTGGCATGTTAATGCAATGAAATACTACTTAGCAATAAAAAGGAATAATCTACTAATACCTAAAACAACATGGATTAATATCAAAAACATTATGCTCAGAGAAAGAAGCTAGACACAAAAATGTATACATAGGCAAAACTCATCTATAGTGAAAGAGATCAGACTGGCAGTCTCCTGGAGGGTTGGGAGTTTAACTGGAAAAGAACTCAAGTAAACTTCTCAGTTTGGCAAAAATATTCTATTGTGATAGGGTTTGATAACTGTCAAAATTCAACAAATTGTACACTTAAATGTAGTGAGTTTTATTGTATGTGAATTATACCTCAATAAAGGTGATAATTAGACATGTACACATACCAACACATACACAAGCAAAACAAGAATCTATTATGCTTAACTTGACATCCTTAGAAACAGGGTCTTAAAAATCATAATCCATCATCCTAACATCAAATAAGCCAGTTACAGACCTCAGTTCTCTCATATCTAATCTAGGTATTTAAGGATCTACTTGGCATTTATTTTGTTCTCAGTGGAAAAAGAGAGACCTAATCAACTATTCTCAGTGTAAGAGCCCTTTCCCTACTTAAAAGTTCATTGAAACAGTCTGCTAAACTATGACATTTTGAAAAGTAAGAACTAGTTATTTATCTGTGCTTCCCCATGTGTGCCTGATACCTGGTGTCACATAAGTTTGAAAAAAAATAAACCGTTCATCCAACTAAAAATGAAATCTGTGCATCTCACTGTACGTAAGTGGTGTGCTTACCAATTCTGTGCTTCTCTTTCCAACTCCATGTTCATCGCCTCTTGGTAACTTGAAATCAGCCATAGTAAAGGTAGGAATCAGCAAATGCTACAAATCAGGGCTTTTTTTCTTTTAGGGACATTTTACCAGCCTACCACTGATAATATCTCAACTTTTTAAAAAAAGAAAGAAAACCTCAAGGACCCACAGAGGCCAAGCAGTTATTCTCAATTGTTCTCCACCTACTACGGGAAATGTTTCCGTTCTTCTACACCCAAGTCCTTGTTTTTTGGTGAGTGTTCAATTACCAGCCGAAACTCACTGACATGTCATCTTACCACTTCCTGTTGGAACTAACAAATGTTTGTTGTCTAAGATGCCATCAATCGTAGGGAGCACAATTGCTTTAAAATAAGATTTTCTGAGAAAACGAAATCATTTTTTTAAAAACAATAAATGTAAAAGTTCCCAACATTTGGAAAATTATTCTAACATTAGGAATTCCAATGTGAGGGAAAAAGTGTTTCCTAGAAACAAGGAAATGTATCACTTATTACTAATTGTCTATAACTCTTTCAGCATTTAAATTTTTTTAAATCGTAGACTGTTATAGTTGGAATAAACCTTAGAAATACTTTTTTCCAACCCTCTCCTTCGTCTAGTGAAGAAATGGAAGCTCAGGAAGTGATACATTTCTGAGGTTACAGAACTAGTTAGTTGGAGAACGGGGACTTCATTCCTTGACTCTTGGTTTTACTACCATTGGTCTCTCCATCAGTTACCAGACAAAGGTTCCAATCCAATTTCAGGTTACCAAATTACAGCTTGTATAGTCTTCCTGAAGGTCAATTTCATCATGTATAAAATGCCAGGGGTGGTGGGTAACAATACTTACCCTCTAGTTTATTGTGAAGTACATAGTATCTACTGTGAGAGGCATAATAAATCATGGTTGTTATTATTACTAGACAATGCAGTTGTATTTTCAAGATGCATATGTCTTCTCTATCTTGGATTATATACTTCTTTTTACTTAACAGTAAACCCCATGCTTTCACTGTGTACCTAAGAGTGCCTTTTACAAGATAGGAGCTCAAAAGTACGTGTTGTTTAAATAATGGAAGCTGTTACTAAATCTGAATGTCAGGTCCTTATCATTTTTAGATTCTTAACTTAACAAACATTAATTGGAGTTAATGTGTATCAAGCCCTATGTTTGATGCTAATGAGCAACACTGCAGTCACATAGCTGCTTTTTGCCAGATTCCCTATAAAGCATCATGACATGAAAAAAGTGGGGAAAGAGAAGCCCTACACTTGTAGAGCATATCCTCAGCATGAAGCCTTGACATCCCCCAGAGAAGTAGCACAGCCCAGAAATGAAGCTAGATGACATAATAGCTACCAATAAATCACCATAGTTATCTTCAAAACACATAGGAAAATAGCCTTTCCAGTTTAGCAACACATAGTTCTTAATTCAACAATGGCATTCAAATTAACTTCAGTTCTGGCATTCAAATTAACTTCCCCTATCAAGCCAGGTCCAAAATATATGTTAGGGCCAATTTTTCATTACTTCCCTTCTCTTAACATCATCTGAAAATGACAGCGCCAAAGCATCATCTGATCAAAAAACACCACAATAATTTATTTCATATTTTAAAGCTCTAACTCCAAACACTAGATCATTTAGCCTCAGGTTATTAATATACATCAAATACTAGAAGCAGTTTGTTCTAGGAAAAATACTACCATCTACTCAGAACTGAAAACACATAACTTTCATCTGATTGCTTTCTTCTTGTCCATCACACCACATGACACTTGGTAATTAATCCATATAAGACCTTCCTAAGAGAGAAAATTCAGGAGTAATTTCCATAAAACTTCAACAAATTACTTCTATTTTGGTACCACTGATCTCACTCTCATAGTCAAACAGGAATCTGATCAACTCCTGGAAAAATCTATGTCCTTTTGAATGGACAAACCCTTTGGATGATTTTGTTTGTCCACCTTCAAACATGCTGAGACAAGTGTCTGGGATATATTTCAACCATGCATGTAGATTTTGGAAATGTTACCACATTTTTTAGAGTCTAATCAGGAAAAAAGATGCATGGTCCTCAAATAAATACTGTACTTAATGCTAAAAGATTTTTGTTTTTGAGACAGGGTCTCACTCCACTGCACTCCACCCTGTCACCCAGGCTGGAGTGCAGTGGCATGAGTATCACTTACTGTGGCCTCAACCTCCCAGGCCCAAGTGATCCTCCCACCTCAGCCTCCAGAATAGCTGGGACTACAGGCACTTGCCCCCATGCCCTACTAATTTTTTCATTTTCTGTAGACACAGGGTCTCGCTATATTACCAGGGCTGGTCTCGAACTCCTGGGCTCAAGTGATCCTCGCATCTCGGCCTCCCAAAGTTCTGGGATTATAGGCATAAACCACCATGCCTGCTCTAATAGAACTTTCAAATTATAACTAATAACAGCTGATCTTTTAATACTTAAAACACATGTCTAGGAGAAAGTAGACTATATTAAAACAGCTTTTAAAATTGTATCATGGATAGAAGGCAAATGAAAAATTTTAAGCTATTTTCACATGTCGACAAAGGATGAAAATAAAAAATTGCAATTAAATGGCCCTATTGTTCCAAGTACCTTAACATTAACCCAGCATCTGACTGGCATTCACATTTGCAAGATCCAAGGATATAGTTATGTGAACAACAGCCCAGTCAATACATACAGGGAAAAGTTACTTCAGATCTGATTAGATCTTTAGTAACCTTGATCTTTCTAGAAGTATAAACTTTAATAATGTGAGTTTGGGGAAGCTGTATCAAGGCTAAACATTCCAATTAAAATTCATTATGTGTTCTAACTCAGAATCAATCTTGTGTAAAAGTGTCAGATAGTTGGACTTGTCAGTTTCAGGTATTTACTTCATTCAAAAAGGTAAAAATGCCATTTACCTAGGCTAGAATTTTATATAATCTCCAATTTGGATTATACAGATTCCCTATAATTACAATAACACATCCGACAAAAATATACAGACATTTTGTGCATAAAAATGAATAACTTTAAATAAAGAAGTAATTAATTGGAGATTAACCTGGGGAAAACTGCTGAGAGTCCATAACAATTATATTCTTCTCAGTTATCAACATATTATTCTAGAGTTAGGCACACTTATTTCTTTAAACTCATGAACACTGTAAAAAGAAAAAAAAATTAAGTACTGAAAAAAAGAAAACCACAGATATACATACACTAATATAAACACCACCACAAAAATGCAAACAGATTCAGAATCCACACTGTTTCCTTGGATTCCAAAACACACCATTGGCCTTTACATTGTCTGAAGGATCTTGAGCTACAATATCTGCTATGGAGTGTAACACATCACTGTGAGATTATGAAACATATTTATTTATGTCTTAACAAAAAGAACACTGAGAACCATCATAAATAACAATCTAACTACAGTCCAAATTCAAAGCTCACTTATTTATCCTCCACTGATTTGAGAACTAAGAGAAGTTGGCCCTCCAGATATTAGTAGCTGATTTGGAGATATTCAAAGGATTGTTTTGCTTCAGTCAATTTTTGTTTCAGAACTGTGGTTTTAACTTTACATTCACTTTCATTACAGAAATTTGCTTCCTTAAACACGCACCGGTTTGAGCCCAGGTCAGCAGATGACAAGGCTGCCTGAACTGCTAAAGCAGCAATCTGTGTCCAATCTGAGACTGCCTCCCTATAAAGCCTACCTGCCCTGACCTACCCTCCTGGAATGAAGTCCCATGTAACCCCAGGATGACTCTTCTATGCTTTTACGAATAAGAGAAAGTGACCTCTTCCAAAATTAGACAACCCACACTCTCAAGCAAGCAAAATCAAAATCAGAATCTAGGTAGCAATCAAAACCACCAATTGACTTGGTTGAAACTTCAGAGTCTTCTTTTGAAGACTTCTCATTGATTCCCTGAGGATTTTTAGAGACGACAACTAAAGGAAAAACATGGCATGGGCAAGATTTGTGTTTCAAGGGCAATTCTACATAACTTAAAACTAGGTGAACTGTTGTTTTCAAGACGATTCAAATGTGCCTCATTTTTAAAACATGTAGTATTTATTCTTCTGCGAAAATAGTTAATGCAAGCCCACGATTTAAAAAAAAAACCAAAAGTCCTAAAAGGTATGTGAAAGGTAAGGGTAAGTCTCCCTCCTCACCCTCTCATTTGTCTCCCCAATCCCCCTTCCCGGGACGACTACTGTTTCTCAGGAACCTTTCCCTAGCCATTCTATGCAAATGCAAACATAAGCGAGTGTTTTAAACCAATTATGCCACATTATACACACCGTGGCAGCACCAAAATTGCTATTAAACGCCTCCGGGCGTAAAGGTGGCAATCTGCTGAGGGGTGTGGGGTGGGAAGAAGGAGACTATCTTGATGCAGCGGTTTTGCTCGTCAGGCAACCGATTTCTACTTCTTGTTTTTGTTTGCATGCCTTTACAAGGCTCTCGGAGATCGGAGATCGAAGAGAAGGTAAATCCACCAAAGCCACCCCCTGGCACTGCCACGATAGCCACCCTGCTCTGCACGTTTCTGTCTCAATCTATGAAGTATGTTCTATACTTTCATGGAGTTAAATCGACTCACTTTCAAAAAAGAAAACAAAACAAAACAAACAACAACAAAAAAACGCCTAACTCTGAAGGTAACTTTCAGAGTCTGAAGGTAACTTTCAGAGCCAGGTGATTTCCGAACCAGGTGATTTCCTCCCCGCCAAACGTGCAGCCTCTGCAGCCTGCTTCAGTCGTGTCCTTAGGAAAGGTTCAGCCTGGCACGGAGTTGGAGGGGCGAGCCAAGAGCAGAGAAGCCCCAAGACGAGAGACCGAGGTGAGGGCGTCCTGAGCCCGGGGCCCGCTTTTCTTTTTCCAGACGAATGTTTCCAAGCAGAAGCCCCAAGTCCTCGGGCCCCCCTCTCTCCTGGGGATGCTCCAGCACTGGGACCGAGTTCGAGCTCTCGCCTCTGTCCCGGGCCGCAACTTCCAGGCGCAACTGGACTCCCACGATCCGCAGGAACCGGGTCCCCTCCACTCGCCCTCCCGGAGCCTCGCGGCGCCGCCTGGCACCCCCAGGAGGGCAGGACTCCTGGGGCCCCCCGGCCCGGGCCTCCCGCCCGCCCGGGTCCCCGCATGCCCCTGGGTGAAGGCAGCCGCAGGTAGGGGGGCGGCGCGGCGCTCACCTGGGCAGGAGCGGAGTCCTCGGTGCCCGCGGGAGAGGAGGAGGCGGAGGAGGCCATGTTGTGGGGCTGCTGCTGCTGCTCCTTCCAGGAACTCCAGTCTCTCCTCCCCGTCCCGCTCCTCGGGCCTCCAAACGTGGGACTTCTTGGGAAAAAGTTCGGCCGCGGCTCAGGAACACCAAGCGCGGCCCCGCGACGCCCGCCCAGCGCGGCCTATCCTCCTCCTGCTGTGTCCGCTGCGACCGCCAGGTGCCCGCGCGGGCCGGTGCGCCGGGGGCGGGCCCGGCTCAGGTAAAGGCGCGGCTGGGCCGGAGGCCGAGGCTGCGCTGCACCCAGCTCCCGGCGATCACATCCAGTCGGCCAGGGCCCAGGGGCCAGGGTAAGAGGAAGACGGCCTTAGGGTGACTAGGAGCAGCAGAGGCAGCTCCAGGAAGAGAGGGAGGGCGAGTCCTCTTTCCTCCGGGCTGCTGAATAGAGTTTCATTAGCCATCCCCATAATAATAATAATAATAAAATAACATGGCTTAAGGGAATAAAATCATCTTTAGGCAATTTTGTTTTTGCATTTTTATTATTATTAATCTGTAGCATGCGATCTATGTAAAAGCAATGTTTCCCAGGCAGATAGCTTCCGAGCAATGCCCCCAGCCTCCCTTCCACCCCGCCGAGGTCCTGGCAGCACTCAGATTGCTTCAGCTACGTGCCCAATGAAAATATTAAACTCTGGAGCTGTCCGGGGTGGGAGGGAGGCACTGAGCCTGGTCCAGCAACAGAATGGGGAGCAGGGGACCTCTGAGCGTCCTTGTTTCTAGGAGCTCATATGATAAGGGTTTTGCTGCACTCCTGTCCTGGACAAGGCCGGCGGGATAGGTGGATATCAGGCCACTGCCCCCACAGAATTTACTATTCTACTTGGTGTGGGGCGAGGGGAGAAATTGCCCTCACGTCATGTCTCCTAAAGGGAGGACATCTCACTTGGAGTCACGGAAGATAGGTCTAGTCGGTGCACCGAGCAGGGCCAGGGCATTAAATGACTGTGAATCACATAGTAAGAAATGGATTCCTTTTTGCATTCTCTTTCAGTTCTTCTGTATACAAGGAGAAAGTATTCTCTCTCAAACAGTAAACTCCCTTTTATCACAGAGCAGGCTCCAGGCTCAAAGCCCTAGGTAAGCACTGGTATCTAACTGGAATTTATAACATTGTTTCATTTTCATTGTTTAGTTCCATTGTTTATTGTTACTGTTATTTTCTATTTAAGGCAAGTGAAAGTGGGTTTTCTATTTAAGGTAGGGATCCAGAAGTTCTTTCCTAGCAAATATATATGTTTAAAAAATATTTTAAAAGGGTAATTGTCCAGGTGGGACTGGGATAAGCAAAATTTCAAAAGGTAGGCAGGGAATGACTAAAGTATGGGAAACATACTTTTACCAACAAGTAACAACTAAATACTGGAATGACTTTATTACCAGAGAACACTGCAGTGAGTTAGCTATGTCTCCCATCTAACACCTTGCTCATTTTCTCCGTAACACACATTAAACTGAAATAACATTTATTGGGCATTAGCTCTGTGTTGGACCCTGTGCTAAGCACTTTATTCATGTGGTCTCATTTAGTCTTCACAAAACCCTTGCAAGACAGGCAGCACAATCTGGAAACTGAGTGTCAGAAACATTATTTAGCCAAGGTCACACACTAATAGAGTAACAATAACTCTTTAGGCATTCTTAACATGAGCTTTATAAACCACTTCAGAATTTAGCAAGTCCATAAACCCCTTAAAATTTTATGTTAAATTCTGTGTGCTATTTCATAGGGAGAAAGCACATCATCTTCATCAACTTTTCAAAAGGATTTGTGTGTCCCCAGAAAGTTAAGAACCACTGTCATCATTATTTCCAAGGCTATCCTATGCCTTGGATTTTAAGGTCCGTTGGGGCAAAAGTCCTGTTTTCTTTTATCTCTCACTGTGCCTAGCCTAGTTCTCTATTCCCTCAGGCACTCATAGGAATTGGTTGCCCAAATTGAATGTGTGAAGCAGACAATAGAGACTACAAGGGCCAGGTGCTAGTGGCTTGGGAGACGCATCACCTTGGTAAAGCCTGCAGAGACACAGGTATTTTACAAGCCAACTCCCTGGCACCGATACAGCCACAGAGCCATCTTAAACAAGAGGCAAGCAGCCAGCCAGGTAGACAATAGAGGGAGAAAAAAACTCTACAGGAAGTTAGCACAAGGAGCAGCACCTGGGAGAGAAGCTCAGAAAGGGGTGCTTCCCTGCAGAGCTATTCCAGGCAAGTCTGTTGATCTGGCTGTCTGTTTCTGAGAAATACTTGTATTCCAGAGCATCAAAGACACTTCCCCTCCTCCAGAGGCATACTGCAACACAACTGAAAAGCTAACTGGAAGAAGTAACTGACAGTCTGGCAACATCTCTCCTACCTTTAAAGATTAAACCAAAAATCTTTCCATGCAGCCTAAGTTTGTCTCTAAGTTTGTCCTCCTCTCTGTTTCTCTTTTCACGGCCAAGTATCTTGAAGGGATAGTAGTTGACACTGCGGTCCCTTTTTTCTCACTTGCACACTACTTTATTTATAGTTATCAGGCTTCTGCCCTTCCTCAGCTACTGAAACTTCTCTTTTCAAGTTATGGTTGATCTCCTCTTTGCCACAGCCATGAAAGACTTTTCTAGACCATATCTAGGTTATTTTTTCAAGATCATTTGGTATGGCTGACTGTTATCTCCTCCTTAAACATCTTCTAGGATTTTGACCTCCGTCTGCCTTATTTCTCACATCATGCACTATCTCTTTGTGATCTCGTTCACATTAAGGCTTAGCTATCACATAATGACTCCCAAATCCAACTAAGACAATTTCCCTGAATCCCAAACCCAATTTCTTCTCATCCAAAAGGGAAAACATCATTTCTCCTTTCCTACCCCCAAGGACAGCAGAATCATGTACTACCAATGCTCCCTAGCCTAGCACCACCAAGCAAGCAAGACCTTGAAGTCAGGGGAGGAGACTCTGCCCCCCATCTCCCAATCCAATCAGATATTGAGCCCTTAAATGTCCCTTCTTATACATCTCCACTACATCCCTGCCTTTGATTCTCTAATGGCTATGACTTATTGAGCAATTACTATGTGTCAAACCATGCCAACTTGCATTTTCTCATCATCTCTTACCCGGACAACTTCAATATCCTCCTAATTTTGTGTAGTGTATCAGCTCTGTCCAATCTTATGATTTGTCTAAAATTTCAAATCTGTTCATATGTTTATACAATGGTAAATAACTACTTAGTAGCTCATTCTATCTTCACAATAAGGGTTAACTCAGCATGGGTCCTTGTCCTCTTCTTCCACTGGATCTCAGTTACTCTCCATCACCATTTCCATCTCCATTCCCTTCTCCCTCTACCTCAGGCAACACACACACACAGCCATTCTGAAATACTTGCAGTTCCCCACAAACACCAAGGCCATTGTCTTTCTACAAGCCATTTCTTCTGCCTAGAAAGCCCTTTTCCCCATCCTCCAGTTCTCTGTTTCACCCATCTTTTCTGCCTGGTTAACTCCTATTCATCCATCAAGACTCCTCTCAGAAAATACATCTTTGAGGAGGCCTGACTCTTTTTCTATTACAATGTAGTTTGTTGCCCTTTGTTCTGCCAAAACACCCTGCAGCATACCTCTAACAATTTTGAAGAATATGTTCCCAAACATTTTCTGCAATTCAGAAATCTAAACAATTACAAAAACTGGAAACCTAAACAGAATTGATATGAGGTTATTTATAGTTTTTATCCCATTTAGTGTGACTAGTTCTATGTCTTAACTATGAAGTACTTCCCCAGGCCCTTTTACTGGTATTATGTGATATATAGTGTGTATACCATATCACTATTCTAAAAATTCTGAATCGCAAACATATTTGCCTTCAGGGGTTTCAGATAAGGGTTATAGACCTATATAACCATTGCCTTCATTGCCTGTGTGCCATTTTAATCATGTGCTTCTTGATGCTTTGACTATCTTTTTCATGTCCAAATCACCATGACCTAATGCAGTGTCTGGCTCACTCAAAGTTTGCTGAATAAAGGGTGTAGTTATGAACTTGGACTGTATTTCGTAGAACTGATTCCTAAGGTTGAAACCTGACACCTCCCCTTGCTTCCCAATCGATTGTTCCTCCTTTAGGCTACTATACCTTGCATGCATGTCACATTTCTAACTGTAGAATAATTGTTTACACTTCTGTCTCTCCAGTGAGATTGAGCAGGTTAAGAAGAAAGATGATGATATATTTACTAATCTTTGCATTTCTGAGTTTGCGATGCCTAACACAACGTCAGGCACATTATACACGCTAGGAATCCATTCTGTTAAATGATAGAGGTTAGAAAGGAAGAAGGGAGAGAGAAAGAAAAGAAAGGAAATTTTTTTGTTGTTTGTTTGTTTAAGATGAAGTCTGGTGGAAGGTGAGTTAATCTCTAGAGAACTGTAACATTGGGTTCCAAACTCAGTCACTTCATAGCATTTGTCTTTTTTTTTTTTTTGTCACCCAGGCTGGAGTGCAGTGGTACAATCATAGCTCACTCAACTTCCTGAGTAGCTAAGACCACCAGCAATGAGACACCCCACTCAGCTAATTTTTTGATTTTTCATAAAGACAGGGTCTCACTATGTTGCCCAAGCTGGTCTCAAATTCCTGGGCTCAAGCAACCCTTTGGCCTAGGCCTCCCACAGGGTTAGGAATTACAGGCGTGAGCCACCAGACCCTGTAGTTTGTCACATTCTTGCACCACCTTTGTTACTTAATGTTTTTATTTACATTAATTTACTTTTTATCTAAGCACATATTTTAACCCTTATCCCATTTTATTAAAGGGAAGCTGAGGTACAAGGAAATATAGCCACTGAGTCAGGGTCACACAGACCATGACTGGCCAATTAGAGCCACCAGATTTCTGTCTGTAGTCATAGATCTTCCTTCCTAGGCATCCACTGTTTGAAGCTGGAGATTCTGGTCTGTTCCTCATGATGACACTGTGGTCATACGGTTAGGTCCCTCAAATGGTGCGATGCATAAGCCTCTGGTGTTTCAGTTAGACTCCCCCCAATTTGGACAAATTTGGTCAAACTCTAGTCGTGTTTCTTGTAGTGGATAAATGATCAGAGCCTCCCCAACAGTCCCAGGCTGGCTGACCATGGACAACAGGACTCTCACTTTACTTGGTATCATAAGGAATGACATAGTACCTCACATTTACTAGTTTGTTATAAAGGATATTACAAAGAATACAAATGTAGAGATGCATAGGGCAAGGTATGGGGGAAGGGGTGTAGAGCTTCCATGCCTTCCCTGAGGGACCACTCTCCAGAAACCTCCGCGTGTTCCGCTATCTGGAAACTCTAAACACATTTATCTTTAAAAGAAACTTTCTCTTAGTACCTTAGGAAAAATCACTTCCACTTACACTAAACACACAGGATGAAAACATTATTATACATTTCTTGTTTTATTCTGTATTCTGTCTCAACCCCTCTCTGTTAGAAAGAAAACTTAGCAAGCACTAAAGGGGCATGAAAACCAGAACTGGATGCAAACTTTCTCCTTGAAATTATCAGGAGGGAAAGAGAAGCAAAAAAGTAATCACGTATTATGTGATTCAATATTATTTAATCCCCTGTCCTTAAGCCACCTACTGTTATCAAGAACCATCAGTAGAAACGGGATTGAACTTTTCTCTCTCTCCCTCACTCAGCTTCTGAATTTATGACATTTCCCCATAGCTACACAGAGACACTATTCCTTCCAGAGTAGTTTCTACTATAATTAGACACTAACAGTTATGTTTAAACAGCAGAATTTTTTTACCTGACCATTAGCAAGAGAGAAAAGCTGGTTTTTTACGTAGTATCTGTGAAATCTCCAAGAAACAAGGAAACAAGAGTCAATACAGAAAGTTTTAGCCTGTGAGAAATTTTGTGTAAAGTTCAAGAGATGATGTTTAATGAATGTGTGTTTCTTTCACAAAAGTAGTAATAGAAAACATTTCTCAAAGAGATATATATTTGTTTACCACAAGCCGTGGGGAGTATGATGGTATGTAGAAATATGTCCCTTAATTTGTGACTTTAATGAAGGAAAACAGCTCACCAAGCGCAAAGTTGAATCAAAATGTTTTCTCTCCTGTGGCTTTTGGCCTTTCCCCTCCAGTATGGTCTCAACTGGGTAGAAACTCATATTTTTAAATACACAATAAATATCATGGCTTAGCAATCTTTTTATCAAAATCAAGTGGAATGAGAGTATAATGTTTATTTATCAAGTTAGTTTTGCAATCCCATGTAGAATATGGTTAAGTAACTTATTTTAGTGTCTATTTCCATTTCTTAATCCTTTAAGTTTTTCTAAAACATTTGAAAGGAAATAGAGATTATCTGATATATGCTGTAAAATGACAAACATTGTCTGACTCAACATATTTGAGATAACCAATTGTTGATTTTAAAAATCCAGTCCCAAAGTAGCTTATGAAATAGGATAAGAAACTTCATATTAGAGTTACAGAAGACAAAATAATCAGTGTGATTCATTCTACTTTATCTCCACATTTTGACTGGAACTTTTCATCACTTCTTTTTATTCACTTTGGTCTGGGATTTCAAAAACATTTAAAGTGATGGCAATATGTATAATGGTAATATCAATCTTTAAAAATACACATAAAAAGTTAACATAAAGGAAAACTAACTGATTAGTGACAGAAAATAAACTGGTAACTTTTAGCCACTTATAAATAAGAAAAAGCAAACTTTGTTACCTTTGCCTGAATTCCCAGTGAATTGAACTGTGTTGGTTCTAGTTGCGCGTGTTTGGGAAAGAAAAGGAAAGAGAAACTTTATTTTGTTCATTGGCATGGCATCTAGGATGCAGGGGAAGAGGAATAAAAAAAGTGACACCTTCAGAACAGAATTTGGGGGAATAAAGAGGGCCAGACTTTCAATTAAAATATTTTCATCTGGCCAGGTGCTCTATCTCACAGCTGTAATCCCAGCATTTTGGGAGGCTGAGGCAGGTGGATCATTTGAGCCTAAGAGTTTGAGACCAGCCTGGGCAAAACACCATCTCTACAAAGAAAAAAAAAAAAAGAATTAAAAATTAGTCGGGCATGATGGTGCATGCCTGTGGTCCCAGCTATTTCCAAGGCCGAGGCAGGAGTATAGCTTGACCCCCGGAGGTGGAGGCTGCAGTGAACTGTGATTGTGCCACTGCACTCCTGCCTGGGCGACAGCCAGACCCTGTCTCAAAAAATAAAATTTCATTTTTATTTCTTCCCACATAACTCCTGTTAGTCCTTTCTCGTTTCACCCTTTATTCTCCCCCATTCTGATTCTAAACCAGAATCAGCCTCTCTCAATTCATACATGTTTTCATCTTATTTCTGAACAAAGGGAAAAAATAATCTGGAAGGTACTTGATCTACTCCATGCATGCTTTGATTCTAGTGCCTACGGAATTGCCTGCTTTAGCCTTTGTATTTTGTAAAACTGTTTCTAATGGCCTTGTATGGAACTTCTTCACCTAGGAATTCTAATCATATACTACTTACATGATATGAGTCTTGAACTTCAAATCTGGATTTTTCTATTTAAACCAGAAAGTAAATAAATGTAATAAAAATAGAAACATACCAACACAACTCCCCAAAACTATGTGCAGCAACTCTGGCTACACTCTCAGAGAGACCCCAACATTTTTGGTTACTTGGACATCCTGTAACTGATCATTTTATTTTGCCACACGCTTCCCCTAGCACACTCTTTCAAGTACAGTATATAGCTTGCTTAAATTTCACATTGAAAGTTTTGGAAAGCCATATGAAATTATTCCAGATAGCTGCAGGTTGCTAATAAAACCATAGTTAGGGATCACCAACTTAGTAAAAATTGAAACTAGAGAAACAGTCTTCATAATCTTTAGCCGAGGCAGTCCCTTCTTTCCATATTATCATCACTTTCTGTTCAAAGCACATACTTTTCATGCTTCTGTGTATAGTTAAACATGTTTCTATACTCCGAAAAGTTGTCATATCCCAGAGCCATTCACATCATAATTACAGTAGAGTTGAACATTTATATTAAAATTGTTCGCAGATGGCAATTAAGGTACTAGAAAAATTAATCTTTTTTGGAATGTTTCTTACAGATGGAGATAAAGTATTTTGAGGAGGGAGGAGAGTGTATTTCTTCATTTACACAAAGATACTCATATGGAGCTGGGGGCAGTTCTTCCCCAAAAGGAAACATTGAACTCAAAGTTCCATGTAAGCAAGGACTGTGGCTGTCATGTCTACCATTGTATATCCCAGCACCTAGCACTGGACCTAGTATAAATTTTGTGCTAAATTAATATTTATTGACTGCATGGATGAACTCTCTATTTTATTTATGGTTCTTCCAATTTATTGCTATCTGTTTTCCATTACTTGCCTTCTCTTACCCTGAAATTATGCATCTGGAATGAAGTATTTTAATAAAATTATTGATGAACATAATGGAAATATGGGGCATTATATAAATATTACATACTATTGGTTGATTTGTGTGATGATGACATTTGAAGTTTATTTCAGATGCTTCCTTTTATTAATCATGTCTTTACAGCCGGGGTCTTCTCTTTGGCAGAGCACTTACAAAATATAGTGCATGACACACCACTAATGTTTCTCTGAATTATCTGCCTCCTTCTTGTACAGATACATCTCATCTCTCTTACATTCCTTCTACCCTCTACTGTTCATTACAATCTAGATCAGGGATCAGTAAACTTTTTATTTTGAGGGCCAGATTGTACATATTTTAGGCTTTGCAGGCCATTAGAGTTTCTGTTGCAACTATTCAACTTTGCTATTGTAATGTGAAGGTGGCCATAACTAACAAACAAACATGGCTGTATTCCAGTAAAATTGACCCACACAAACAGGTGAATGGGGCATAGTTTGCTGACTACTGATCCAGATTGCTAGCACACTATCCTTTCATTTTCTAAAATATCACCATGTACTTAGTATATGCTGGGGATTATCACACTTAGTCCCCAGAACAAATTTCCAAGAGGACATGATTATACCCTTTTTATAGGTAAGGAAATTTGTGCTTAGAAGGCTGATTTGATCAGCTTCACCTAGCCAGTGGGTCAAGTAGCCTTGTCTGTCCATATGACAGCCCCATCTCCTTTCAGTGGCCACTGTCTCTCACATGCAGTGCTTCCATTGTCTCCTAATTTGCCTCCTTGTTTCCCTTCCTCCTACCTACAATTGACTCTTCTAGCAGCATCCAGAATGATTTCTTAAAATGTAAATTACATCATGTGGCTTCCCTACTGAAAACCCTACAATGGCTTCTCTTGCCTTTGAAGTTGAAACCAAACTCCTCACCCTGCCTACAGAGTCTGACATTGTGTGGCCCCTGCCTGCCTCTCTGACCTCATCTTTGCCCTATTGTTCTTCTCCTGCAGGCCCCAGCCACACCAGCCTAAGTTCTGTTTCTGAGCCATGCCTCGTCCTTTATGGCCGCTGCACATGATGTTCCTTCTGCCCAGATCATCTTCCCTGCTCTTCCCCCAAGTCCTCGTCATTTGCTTTCTTCTTGTCATTTGAACCACAGCATCCAAGTCACTCCCTGCCCCCTGCCCCCGACCCCAGAAAAGCCTTTCCTGATCCTCCAATCTATGCTTTATCATCAAACAGTTTTTTTTCTCTGCATAGTGTTTATTACTATGTAGATTTGCTATTGTTCTTGACCTGTCTACTTCACTAGAATATAAGCTCTATAGAAGCAGGGATCTCTTTCTCTCTTATTCACCACTATATTGACTCTGAGTATCCAGTAGCACTTGGCATATAGTAAGGACTTAAGAATTATTTATAAATATCTGCTAAATTAATGTTTATTAACCAAACTCTCATGCTCTTCTTCACATTTTACTGCCTCAGGACTGGCTAAGGCCATTTCCCATGACACACATCATAGCATTTCTGGGGGGAAGCATTTGGTTTGTGTTGTTCCATTCACATCCCTTAAATTATAGTCCCACAGACATAGCAGACAAAAACAAAACACACAAACTATGTTTGGCCAGTTCAATGAACAAAGATGAAGATATGCTCCATTTAATGAATAATACCTGTAAAAGTGACAGCCCCATCTTGATGTGGCTAGAGTATGATTCTCCAGACAGGCAGTCTTGCTGAAATGATTTAGCTTTTAGTGTCATTCTTCAAATGTCTCATTTAAAAATGAAAAAGTTGTGGTCTAAAAGAGAAATAACTTTTATTTTATACAGAATTCAGGGGAAATTGACAAAATTTCCCCATAATTATGCCCTGTCATAAATAAGGCCATGTGTTTCTATGAACATATATGATTATAAGTTCTTCAAGGGTAGGGACCATGTCTCTGCTTTCCCCTTGGCACTGAACACACAGGATATTTAATAAATACTCCAATGTCTTAAGTGAAAAATAAGGGGGTGGGGGACAGTTGAAGTGATTGATTTCAAGGCAGATTCAGACTCTAAATTCTGAGGCTATTAAAAGGAAATGATAAGCACTTGTCTTGTAATGCTAAACAGTATGATGAAAGGCCAGGATAAATATTTAGAAGAACTACTCTAAGGCCCTGGATAAATAACTTCAGCTTTTTCAATCTCAGTTTCCTTATCCACTGAATACAAAAAAGGATTGAATTATATGATTGTTAGGGTATCTTCCAGTACTGACATTCTACGGTTTATGATTTCATCAAGACTTTAATCTCAGAAGGCAAAAAAAAAAAAAGCCTGAAATATAGTTAAATAAATTATGGCTATTAATATGAAACACCATTAATATAAAAAAAATTAAAAAGAGCAACCAGAATATTTGGAGATGCTTGTAACTATATCTTCATTCACTTAGTTGCTCATTCATTCGTTAAATGATATGTATTTGAATTCTTTTAGGCATTTTACTAGATGTTTTGAGAGGACCGAAACTTAGGAATATTTATCAAATACCCAGTACATGATGAGCTTTAGGAATATTTATTAAATATCCAGTACATGCTGAGCTTTAGGAATATTTATCAAATACCCAGGACATGCTGAGCTTCCTAAGCAGAGGGGAGAGAGAGCATGAATCTTAGAGTGTGTCTACCTGATTCTAGTCCAGGCTCTACCTCCAACTTTCTGGTAAGTAATATTTTTCAAAGATTTGGTTTTCTTATCTGTTGTAAAGGAATTGGATTTACTCTCTGAGCGTCCTTGAAGAGCTGATAGTAGACACATAGCTGAATAGAAGGCCTGGCTCTTGCTTCAGAAGGAATATCGCTTTGCCCACACTGAGATGATTGCACCCATAGTGCTTGGGAAGGAACATGCCTAATTCGGTGCTCCACAATATGTGCTTGGTGCCCTTTGCAAGAGCATGATGAGTTGCCCACAATGGTTTTAGATATTTAGATGCATCCCACTTAGAAATAAAACTTGAGGACATTAGGACATACTGGTCAATGAGTGTCATTCACCATAAAACTGTTTCTGATTACACACTGCACAGCAAACTTGAGATGCTCTAAAATCTTAGAGCTCATGTATGAAATAAAATTGATAGTGGTTTCCCAAATTAGAGAACACCTTGAAACTTTATATGGCATAGTCAATAATAAGTCTGAAGCCAAAATAATTTTTTCTAAACAAATTTGGATCAACTCAGAGGAAAAATTGAATTATCTTTTCATTTTCTCTATAGAAAATATTATAAAACTGTTGTCAAGTTTCAGCCCTCTCAAACTCTGAATTCTCCCTTGAATATATCAGTATCAAAGAAGAGAAATATAGAGAAGGCAACAGTATTATAAGGGGTGGCTTCTCAAAATGCATAAGATGGGGCCTGGGCTTTAATGAAAAGGTAGAATTCAGAAATTACTAAGTGGATTCACAACTTAGGAAGAGATTACAGAGTACCTCATCTCCAAATGCATGTCATATTCTAGGCATGCCAAATGAGTTTCCTCTACTGTGTTACCTCCAATTCATTGGTCTGAGTTCAACGGAGAGTGCCACCATCCATTGGTGATGCCTGTCACAGGTCAGAGATGGGGTGAAGGGATCATGTGTATCACATGCTTGCCTCACCTGTTCAACTCTCTCAGGGATGTGAGAAAATAACCAGAGACATTTGTTTTCAGGAGAGGATCCTCCTTCTTCCTCCCCAAATCCTACTGCCTGTCAGCTCCTCTGCCTCTCAGACACCAGTATGTGTGTGGTAGAAGGTGAAGGCATAGAGGTTTCTGGGACGATGTCAGTGCATGCAGAGAGATGTGCATAGGGGCCTTTAAAGGGCGAGAGGGAGAAGATCGCCTTGAGAGGATGCCAGGTGAAGAGAGGCTCAATCTAAGAGGGCCGGACCCTCTATGCATGCATTTTCTCCACTCATTATTCTTTCGGCTACAGCCCCTTTATTTTCTCATTTCTGGAAATGATCAGGTATGTCAAGGGAGGAGGATAAAGAAGCAGAAGAGCATATGCATGGCTTTGAAGCTCTTCAGGGACATGGGGTGTGGAAAGGCCAAAGGGGCCTCTCCATCTGCTGGGCCCTAGGCCACCATGCCTGTGGCATTGCTCCACGTACACTCTGATGGGCAGCCATAGTCATAGACATAAACATACAATGATATCAATAAAAGCCAACACTAAGACTTTACTATATGCCAAACACTGTGCTAAGTACTTGGGGGTACATTTTCTTTTGATCAGAAACAATGTAGCAAAATGGAAAGAGTTTGTGAGATCAGGCCGACCTTGGTTTGAATGTGTGTTCCATCATTGATCACTTGTAGGATTTGGTATAAAATAGTTCATTTCTCTAAGCCTCTATTAACCTATGTATGAGAAGATATTATAATAATACCTACTGTGAATTGTTGCTATAGTGATTTGGTAGACTTTGTGTAAAGCGCTCACCACATAGTAGACCTTCACTAAACAGATATGATTGCTCTCATGGTTATTATTATCACCATTGATTCCTGGTGAGATCCTGGAGGAAATGATTATCAGCTGCCAGGGATAATTAGACCAAAGAACATCCAGGAAGGTTATAGACACAGGCTTTGTTTGGAGGTGCTGGTGGGTCCTTGTGGCCAACAGGACAGATAGTAGAGTCAGAAATGAATGATCCTGACCCATTGCAATAGCAACAAAAATGTCCTCCCAGGGCCTTGATAAGGTAAAGTGTATGTGGTCTTAGAACGAACCTGGCAGGAATTCAGGGAACAGAGGAGGTAGGCTTGGACAGGTCCTCTACCTGCTCCCGTTTTCCCTCACCTCCAGCCCCTGTTCTCCTGGTGCCTTGTGCACAGCTGACAGTAAGCCCACAATAACTTCTACGAAGCATCCACAATATGCCAAGCCTTGGGCTGAACCCATTATCTACTAAGACAGAGTGCCTGTCAGAGATATTGCAATTTGAATAGATAATGGAACTCTCTAAGATCTAAAGAAAGGCAGCTCTAATGTTGAAGGGCAGGCAATGTGATTCATTGGTCATCCCTCTGATTTACCAGCTATAGCCATCCCCATTGAAAACTTCCACTTTGGGGATCAGGAGAGTGTCATGCTGTTCTAAGCTTGATGTATCCATCTTTTATGGCTGCTGTAACAAACTATCATAAACTCGATGGCTTTTAAAAAAGCACAGATATATTATCTTTCTGTTCTGGAGGTCAGAAGTTTGAAATGAGTTTAAAGGACTAACATCAGGGTGTCAGCAGGGCAGGTTTCTTTTGGAGGCTCTAGGGGAGAATCAGTTCCCAGACTTTTCAGCATCTGGAGGTTGTTCTCACTCCTTGGCTCGTGGCCTCACATCATATCACACTTTCTCCCCAACTTCTGTCATCACACGGCCTTCTCTTCTGTAGTCAAATCTTTGCCTCCCTCTTAGAGTAATACCTGTGATTACATTTGGAGCCTATCTAAATAAGACGGGATAATCTCCACCATCTCAAAATCTTTTTAAGAATACTCTTTTAAGAGATAATCATATCTGCAAAGTTCTAACACCACAGAAGGTAACATTCACATGTTCTAGGAATTTGGATCTGGATATCTTTGGGGTTCATTATTCAGCCGACCGCACCGTATGTTAAAGGATGGCATGAACTGCCTCATTTTGACACATTTGAGCAGACCCTTTAGTGTTCAAATGAGGTATGTTCCAACCCTAGAGCCAGATCTTATCAGTGTTCTTGCTCAAGGAAGTTTCTAGAACCACAGCACTGCAAGAGGCTTCTGAGAATAAATCTAAATTCCTCATCTTATAGCTGAGAAGACTGAATATTTGCAAAATGCCATGCAGTGACTCGCCCAGGTTATTCAACCAGACTAGAGTCCAGGTGTTTACACTCCAAGTCTCCTGTACTCTCCTTGATTTCTTTAGAAAGCTTTGAATGTAACTGTTTCTTGATAAATGTCCATAAGTTTCTAAATAAGCAAATGTTCTCTCTTTTGTGGAAAGACTGTGGCAAAACATTCCTATAAAAGCCAGTGCAGCTGGAAATTCACCTATCAGAGGGTAGAACAACCAAAATGTATGTGTACTATAGTGTTGTGTATTTTTGTTTGAGTCCATGAGCTTTGTTCCATAGCTTTGGAAATGTTTCATAGCCTATTCCAAGCTCAGCTGGCATTGCTGGCAGGATGGAACTTGTCAAGACACATTGATCTTTTGGAGAAAGGAGGAAATAAACCCACGATCCTGCAGTAGGTGGGCACCCTACCTCAATCAGATTCACCTGGAGTGCTTTTTTCTCTGCCATTATACCTTATGGCAGTGGTCTCAAGATGAGATGACCAGAGCAGAAGCATTATCTGAAACTTGTTAAAATGCAAATTATTGGGCTTCACTCCAAGCTGGATTAGAAGTCTGAGGTTAGAGCCCAGCAATCCATGTTTCAGCAGGCCCTCCAGGTGACTCTGCTGTAAGCTAAAGTATGAGAACAACTTCCTTAAAGTAATGCCAGTTTTCTCAGGGTGAAGAGGGACGGTGGGCAGAAGGAAAGAGTGAGAACACAGCTGGCTTCCCAAGTAGAGAAGGACTGTGGAAATGATTATGGTTGAGGATGTTTTCTTTTCAGGTGTGTTTGGGTGGAAAACTCTATGACTGACTGGACAAAAAGCATTCACTGGCAGCTGAACAATAAAAGGATGGAGGCATGCGCATAATACTGTGTAATGCATTCAGGAAAACTCAGGAGTGTGGTTTGGGGTGACAACAAGGAGAATAATTCCAACCAGTATGACAGAGAGACTTGTACTATAGAGAAAAAAAGATCTCACTTCCCAGTAAGCCAGAGACCTGAAAAATAAATTAAAAAAAAAAAAAAAGTCTTCTCTGAACAAAGGAGTAGGGAAAGAGAGATGGATTACCGGCAGCAAAATCATTAAAAGAGAAACTGGCAATCTATTGGGTAACAGCAACAGAAAGTTGTTAAACTGGTTAAAAAACAAAAGAATTTAGGAGCTTTTTGTTGGAGACTGCCCTGAGTTCGATTTGTCATGGTGGGGTGTGAAGTGCAGTGGCAAAAGGACTTCTTTCTCCTCTTAGGTCAAGGTGTGAAATATGGAGATAGGATACAGCACTCTTCAAACTTGCCAGAAAGCAGAAATTCCTCCTTATGCCTGATGGGACAGAGATCTAGCACAATGGTTCTCAACTGGGGGCTATCTGTCCTCTAGGGCACATTTGGCCAAGTCTGGACACCGTTTTGATTGTCACAGCCTTTAGGGTTGCAACTGGCATCTAATGAGCAGAGGCCAAGGATGCTGCTAAACATCCTACAATACACAGAGTTAATATTATTATTCTCCACAAGGATTACGCAGTTGCAACATAAAATTAAAAAGCTTCTGCACAGCAGTGGAAATATGAGCGAAGAGACAACCTACCAAATGGGAGAAACTATTTGCAAACAGTGCATTTGACAAGGGATTAACGGCCAGAATACATTAAAAACTCAAGCAACTCAATAGCAAAAACACCAAATAATGTAATTAGAATGTGGATTGAAGACCTGAAGGCATTTCTCAAAAGATGACATACAAAAGGCCAGCAGGTATATGAGAAAATGCTTAATATCACTATTCATTCCAGGAAATGCAAATAAAAACCACAAGATATCACCTCACCCCAGTTAGAAGGCCTATTATCAAAAGGAAAAAAGTAAATGCTGATGAGGATATGGAGAAACAAAAGCGCTTGCACACTGTTGGTAGAAATGCAAAGTAGTACAGCCATTACGGAAAATGGTAAGTGGGTTCTTCAAAGAGAACTACCATATCATCCAGCAGATCCCATTACTGGGCATTTATTGAAAGGAAATGAAATCAGTATGTCAAAGAGGTATCCTCACTCTTGTATTTATTACAGCATTATCCACAGTAGCCAAGATATGGAATCAACCTAAGTGGCCATCAGCAGATGAATGGATAAAGAAAATGTAGAATAAATGCACAATAGAATACTACTCAGCCATAAAAAATAAAATTCTATCATTTGTGGCAACATGGATGAGCCTGGAGGACATCATGTCAAGTGAAAGCCAGACACAGAAAGAAAAATACTGCATGATCTCATCATTCGTGGAATCTAAAAAACCTGATCTCACAGAAGTAGAAAGTAGAACAGTGGTTACCAGTGGCTAAGGAGAGTAGGAGGAGGGTGGGAGGAGGAGAGATGGTCAACAGGCACACAATTACAGTTAGATAGAAGGAATAAATTCTGGTGTCCTATTGCACAGTAGGGTGAAAATAATTAAGAATATTATATTGTATATTTCAAAATAGTGTGGTGGCTTACGCCTGTAATCCCAGCACTTTGGGAGTCCAAGGCAGGTGGATAACCTAGGTCAGGAGTTCGAGACCAGCCTTACCAACATGGTGAAACCCCATCTCTACTAAAAATACAAAAATTAGCTGGGCATGGTGGTGTGTGCCTGTAATCCCAGCTACCAGGGAGGCTGACACAGGATAATCGCTTGAACCCAGGAGGCAGAGGTTGCAGTGAGCCGAGATCGCGCCATTGCACTCCAGCCTGGGTGACAGAGCAAGACTCCATCTCAAAAATAAAATTAAATTAAAACTAAAAAAAGAAAATAGCTAGAAAAAAGGATTTTGAATGTTCTCACCACAAAGAAATAATAAATATTTGAGGTAATGAGTAAGCTAAATACCCTGATTTGATCTTTACACAATGTATACATGTATAGAAACATCATACTGTACCCCATAAATATGTATAATTATTATGTGTCAATTAAAAATAAAATAAAACTTAAAAGAATTGCCTGTAGTCCCAACTACTTGGCAGACCGAGGCAGGAAAATCACTTGAGCCTAGGAGTTCGAGCCTCAGTGAGAAGTGATCGTGCCGCTGCACTCCAGCCTGGGTGACAAATAAATAAATGCATGAATACATAAATAAAGAATTATCCAGCTCCAAATATCCATAATGCCAAGGTCAGGAAACCCTGGTCAAGGGTAAAGCGCCAAGCCAGCACCATCTCTGTCACATGTTAAATATCATGAGGAAGCTACAGACATGAATTTTAGCTTAATGCAGATGCTCCTTTACTTACAATGAGGTTTCGTCACAAAAAACTCATCATAAGTTGAAAATATTGTAAGTCAAAAATGCACTTAATGTATTTAAGCTTTCAAAGATAATAGTTTAGCCTAGTCTTCCTTAAATATTCTCAGAACATTTACATTAACCAACAATTGGGCAAAAGCATCTAACATAAAGCCTACTTTATAATAAAATGTAGACTTGCGTATATCGCTAGCCTGGGAAAAGATCAAAATTCAAAATTTGAAATACAGTTTCTACTGAATGCATATTGCTTTTGCACCACTGTAAAACTGAAAAGTCATAAGTTTAACAATAGTAAGTCAGGGACTGTTGGATATCAGTCTTCTTAATGAAAACTTCATGTCTGCAGGCAGTAAAAGTTGTACTTTGGAGTATTGAGGCTGGGTTCAAGTGACTGAGGAGCACAATTTAAGTGATTGGGAGCCCTGGGGATGGTGACAGAGACAGAAGTAGAGACTGACTGCTGGACACAAAAAAGAGAAAATCAAGTAAACAGGTCAGATATGCGACCCCTAAGATTCTCCGGCTCAAGGACACTGGCGCCCTAACATCCAGTCACCTTATCCCTGTTCTTCCCCGGTGTGTGGGTAATGGATGTCTTAACATTAGCAATTCCAGCCTTACAAGGGGTGGTAATAGAGGATGCATATAGCTTTGGGATGGGAAATGTACGATTTAGCCAACCATTCTGAACATCAAACACAAATTACGCCCATCCTGAATCACTAGCACGATTTCGTCATTTAACTAGCAAAAGTAATACCTATTCATTATAAAAGAAGCCCTGTAATAAACTTCTCCATAACCTTGCCTGATGAAAGATCCAAGAGGCTACTATTTTGCACTTAATGTGCGCCAAGAATGCACTGTGTATTAAACATAAAGATCTACCTACTTCCTGTCCAAGATTGCCCCAGGCTACCAGCTGTTCAATTAAGAGAGATATGAAAATAATTCACTAAAGTCATAGAAGAAATAAAAATCAGATCATACCCATCTGATCTGATAAAAGGTACCATCTCTGGTACCTTTTCCCCAAATTGTTCATATTTAAATATAATCCACCCCCCATCCCCCCGACACACACATTATTTTTGCTTACTTCAATAGATAGTGATGATGTAAAACTTCCTTTCCAGGTAAAATGTAAGTTTATTGGATTACTTTGTTGATTTTTACTGCTCTTCTAATTAGAGTTGAGTAACAATTCTATGTCTGTCTTAATTGTTTTTAACCCCTTAATTAAAAATCGCCTGGAATTTAATTAACTGCTAATTAATTCCTCCACTCTAACAAGCAAAGTGGTTGAGATAAATTTAGGATATGGTTTTCAGTATTTAAACTGAAATTAAAGCAGTTGTAATTTTTTTGACAGTCTCGCTCTGTCGCCCAGGCCGGAGTGCAGTGGCATGATCTCAGCTCACTGCAAGCTCCGCCTCCCGGGTTCACGCCATTCTCCTGCCTCAGCCTCCCGAGTAGCTGGGACTACAGGCACCCGCCACCGTGCCCGTCTAATTTTTTGTATTTTTAATAGAGACGGGATTTCACTGTGTTAGCCAAGATGGTCTCGATCTCCTGACCTCGTGATCCCCCCGCCTCTGCCTCCCAAAGTGCTGGGATTACAGGCGCGAGCCACCGCCCCCGGCCTGTAATTTTTTTTAAATGGATGATTTGACTAAATGAACTCAATCCTCTATCAGGATGTTTTTTCCCGGGTCCTTACCTGGTCACTTGCAGTAATTTTACTTCCACCTCTGGGCACCACGAAGAATAAGCCTAGGCACTTCCCTTGTTTTTAAAAGGTTTTTAAAATTGGAAGATGTCATATATTTATGTTGTCTGAAATAACAAGGGCTAAAATTCCGTCTGGATAAAAAAGACATTATTTTGAGGCTTGTTAATTTTTCCCCCGTCACTGAATAATGAGTCGTCATACCGAGGAAATTATTCTGACTGTGTTTGCACATGGCTACCAGAGTCAGTGAAAGGAATTCATGTGCCTAAGCCAGAGCAGAGGGAACTGGCCTACTCACAATTACTGCAATTACTGTTAATGTCAGAAAACAAAGATGTGATATGTAACAAGATCTAGCGTTCCACTAGATGTAACTGGTCTTTCTTTTTCATCTTGTACACTCACATAGGCTTGCACTTCTCTCTGTGCACAATTTCTAAATCCTCCTTCTCCTGGCTACTTTGAGAGACCCATCCACATAGAAATGATTAGGATTCTTACCAGAAAAGTACTTTCTCACAATTTTAATGGATAAAGTAGACTTCCCTTGACTTCAAGCTCCTATTAGAAGTGTCGCCTGGTTTATCCTCCTCCTGTCCACCCCCTTACTGTTAGCCTCATTCCTACTCATCCTTTGAAACTCAGTGCAGTCCACAGCCACCTCCTCTGGGAAGTCTTCCAGGATACTCCATCCCAGTTGGAATGAGTTATTCTTCCACTGGCTCTCAAGCAACTTGTGTGTTCTTCCATCTCTTTGTAATGAACCAGTGACTAGACACACCCTTCCACTGCCTCCTGCTCCAGCCTGAGTTCCTTACAATCATAAAGTGTGTTTCTATCTTTGTACACTGGGTGCCTAGAACACAGCCTGCTATGTGCTAGGCACTCAATACATGTGTTATAAATTTTCATTGGCAGGCTTAGTGGTAGGATAAAAAATTATACCTCAACTATACAGTACAGAAATGCATGACTGTCAGAAACATGGACTTCAGAGTAATATGTCTGGACAGTTGTTTCTGACAGGCAACATAGAAGGAAAGCAACCTGTATGATTAGGAACCATCATACTAGATCATATCCAGAGGGCCGCCAAAGCTGAACCACCTCACCAGCTTTCAAACAAATTCATTCATTCATCCAGCAAACATTAAGTTGTGTGTTACAAGCCAGGTGCTGAGCTAGTTTGCGGGAATCCAGAAATTAAAGAGAGTGCCAGAGTTGCCAGGATTGTATAGTTATATTGAAGTGAGATAAGAACAGGTGCCTGTGGAATGTGAGAGCACAGTCATGGTGGTTACATGTTTTAGCGTCAAACCATCTAGGTTCGTGATTCACAACACTGATTATATCCACGTGACCTGGACTAGGTACATACCCTCACTAGGCCTTGGGATTCTTATCTGTAAATGGAAATAGAGTAACTCCTACTTCATGATACCGTTCTGATTATTAAATTATGTAATTCTTGCAAGGTGCTTATAACAATCCCTGGGACATGGTAAACAATAAATGTCAATCCTTCTACTACTGATATATGCTAGTAGTAGCAAATATGGAAGGACATACCGCTGAATGAGTAGAGAGAGGACAAGGGACGGTGAGAGGTAGTATTTTTTTATTTACTTGATACATTAAAAAAAACTTGTTAGCTTTATTAGAAAACAAAAGTTAAACAAAAATCACCTGTATTTTCAAATTAACATTTTGGTGTATTGTTTCACAATTTTTCATTTGCATATATAGAGATCATACTATGCATACTATTTGGTATCACATTTTCCCACTATGACTTAATAAACATGTATTTACATCATAACAACTCCATGTATTCACTGCATAATTGCACATTATTGTGCTGGATCAGTTGCCTATCACAATTATTTTTCTTTGTTCTACTAAAAGCAACACTGTCATGAACGTCTTTCTGTCTCTCTGCCAGTTATCTGATAATCAACTGATAATTTTGTTTATGTTTCTAAGAGGTGACGAACACACAGCAATGGTTAAACAGTTTTATTTCAACAGATAAAATATTTGCATATTTCAAATATTAAAACAATATCAAAAATCATAATTAAGATATCTTGTTTTCACTCACCTTGCTTTCTATTTCCTCCCATTATAGGAGACTGTTTTAATTAGGTTCTTATGTAACTTTTTAGTGTTGTTATGTAAATAACAGCAAATACTCCACATATATTCTTATTTTCCCATTTCTTACACAAAAGCTAGCATACAATAATCACTGTTCTGCATCTTATTTTATTTCCATGTAACAATATATTGAAGATGATACCATTTTGGTACAGAAAAAGTTCTCTCTCTTTCCCCCTCCTTCCACCCTTGAACCTTAATTTTTAATAGTAGCACAGGATTGTTTGGAGAAACTACAGTTTATTTAACAAGTACTTCATCGATGTAAGCTCCCTGCTGTAATTCCTAGAGTAGGTTTGGATAGATTTGATGCTGCCCTCTCTACCCAACTATCCGCTTGTCACCTATTAATGGCAAGGACAGGAAGAGCAGGTCAATAGCAAACTGCCTGGATTATTCCAAACCCAGGTAGACAGTGAGTATCTTTCCCAAGTCTAGGTTCTTGATTTCTAGGGTTCCTTCCAACAGCAACATGAGTATGAGAGACACTTAGAATCACAGGCTTTATTAGTTTTCACTGACTCTGACCAAAAATAGTGGGACAAACACAGGTGCATAGTACCATAAAGCTCTCCCAAGTGCAGGATCAAGTTAATCCTGTATATACATACAACATTTCCTTTCCCTTCATGATTTTGTTCATTGTTTGCAGCAAAGACCCCCTCCCAACATCATCCCCTTACTTTCTTCCAAGGATATGGTGACTAGTCCAAAATCCCTAATTATTATTTATTTCATTTGCATGTAGGTTTTCTCATTATGGAATAATTACCATAAAATGATGACCCCATTGCCAGGCCAACAAGAACTGGATACTAGACAATGAAACTTTAACTAACAGTTCTATTTCCTCTCGTTGTTTTGCTTCTCACTCTACAAGGCTACTCTGTCTCATATTCTGGCTGACCTTCTGTTTCTCTTGATGTTACTGAATTTATTGCCTCCATTTTTACCACCTAACTTGAAACTTTCTCCTCCACCAAGCCAGATTTTTGCTGAACCTTCTTACTCGACAAAGAGTAGGTAAAGTGGGTAGACATTCCAGATAGAGAGAGTGCAATATGACATGTTTGAAGAATCACAAGTTATTAACAGTAGCACAGGATTATGTTTTGAGAAACTACAGTTTATTTAACAAGTACTTTACTGATGTCAGCTCAGTAAAGAAGATATAGTAAAGAAGTAAAGAAGAAAGAAGAAGGTAGAATGGACATGCTGAATTAGATGTGATTCATGAGGAAAAATGGTCATCAAGATCAACATTGAGATTTCTGCCACGGGCAAAAGTGGTAACAGTTACTAAGATGGACAGACTGTATTTGGTGGGGGAAGATATTGGAGGTTAAGGTGCCAGTGGGAACTCCAGGTGGAGCAGTCTAGTATGTAGTAAGCCTAGAACTCAGAAGAGAGGTGAGGATTGCAAATATGGTTTAGACAGCATCATTGTGTAAGTGATAGCTGTAATCTTGGGGTTTGATGAGACCATGCAAGGAAAGAGAATAGAGTGAGAAGAGTGCCCGGGACAGAACCCTGGGACCCATGGTGGAGAGAAAAGAAATTAGTCAGTGAAGGAAATGGGGGAGCAGAAGTCAATGGTAAAACGGTCGGGCATGGTGGCTCATGCCTGAAATCGGAGTACTTTGGGAGGCCGAGACGAGTGGATCTCTTGAGAGCAGGAGTTCAAGAACAGCCTGGCCAAAGTGGAGAAACCCTGTCTCTACTAAAAATACAAAAAATTAGCTGGGTGTTGTGGCGCATGCCTGTGGTACCAGCTACCTGGAAGGTTAAGGCATGAGGATCGCTTGAACCCTGGTGGTGGAGGTTGCAGTGAGGTGAAATGGTGCCACTGCACTCCAGCCTGGGCAACACAGCAAGACCCTGTCCCAAAAAAAAAAAAAAGTAAAGTAAAAGAAATTAATGATAAGAGAAAAACGATAAGAGAGGCTGGTAGTGGAAAGAATGCATCTATCAAAAAGAGTTTCAAGAGAAAAAGTTTTGGCAATAATATTGAATGTCTCATAGAGGTGGCATAAAATCATATATACATGTGTGTATATATATATATATATATATATATATATATGTACAGAAAATAAGTACTTCTTGTCTGACTTTTCTGTGTGTATGCATAATGAACCAAATAATTTTTATTTCTGTAGAACATGATGAACTTAATTTCAAATTTCCTTTATAGCCTTACCTTCTATCTTCAATCTTTGTTAAATTGTCAATACATGTTTGTAATTGATTTGTAAGTAGCATTCTTGTGCCACCCCCAGTCCAGTTTATAACTATTTCAGATTATTCCACTGCAAAAAAATTTTTTTCAGCTTTTTATAATCTTGAGTTTTATTTATTTTCATTTGTTCAAATTTATGGGGCACATGTGAGCTTTTGCCACAAATATATAATGCATAGTGATTAAGTCAGGACATTTAGGGTATCCATCATCCAAGCACAATACATTTTTGTTTAATTATAGCCACCCTACTCTACTATCAATTCATTCATCTGTCAACTGTTTGTATCCTTGAACCCACTTCCCTTCATCTTCCCTCCTCTCCCCGACTCACCCTTCCCAGTCTCTATCTTTCTCCCTCCATGTGATGAAATGCACTATAAAATTATTTATTGGATCCTTACCAAGTGCCAGACCCTATCCTGGTCCCTGTGGATGCAAAGATAAACAGTCTCTGTCTCCAGGCTCACATAGTTTGCATTCTTATCTTCTTAAATTAAACAACTAGAAGTCGTGAGGAGACTGGGGAGAAATGCTGGATCAGATTGTAGCACAGAAGAGCTTTGCAGGTGAAGAGCAGAGACAGCAGATGCGGACAGACTAGTCTTAAGCAGTTGCTTCCCCACCCCTCCCCCTTGATACTCCTGGGCTCAGTTACACACTCCTGCTTTCAGTAGAAGCGGTATTTCCACTGAAGGCAGCTTCATCCAGCCAGTCATGGAGGGAGGAGTGCTTTTCTGTGCCTGGTACTGTCTCCCCCAGGATTCCTCACACTTCCTCAACACCTAGTCAGGGATGGACTTTAGCTTTTCCCAGCATATGAAGCAGGCACTACTTCTAGAACATAGGATCTCATAGGCTAAAACAAGCAGATACCTATTTATAAAGAAAAATAGCAAGTGATTACAGACTTCCTCATAAGCAATGTTAGAAGAGACAATGAATTCAAAACAAACCTAAAACATGTATTAAACAAGTAAGAGAAAAAAATACATATAGTAAAAAAAAAAAAAGACAAAATTAGTGGAAGTTCCGATTGAGGAATTCTCAACAAAGGAAGAAGGAGAAAAAAAAGCTAAAGAAAATACAAAGATAAAGCTAGGTGATAAGAAAGAGTGTAATTGTCAACATCTGGGTAAAAGGAGTCACCAAAGTAGAGAAGAATAGAAATAGGGAGGAATAAATATTTAAAGAAATAAAGAAGACAAACTCCTAAAATTAAAGAAAGATGAAAGACCTAGGATGAAATGGTCTATAAAGCCCAAAACATAAGAAATAAGGGGAAAACACACTTCTCCTGGATCTACTAAGTGAAAAACTTAAATATCACATGAAAAAGAAATTCTAAAAGCTTATAGAAAGAGCAGATATGTTTTTTAAAAAAAGGAAAATGAGGAGCCAGCGTGGTGGCTCACGCCTGCAATTTGGGAGGCCAAGGCAGGCAGATCACTTGAGGCCAGGAGTTCGAGAACAGCCTGGGGAACATGGTGGAACCCCATCTCTACTAAAAATACAAAAAAAAAAATTAGCTGGGCATGGTGGCACTTGCCTGTAATCCCCTCTACTCTGGAGGCTGATTGACACACGAGAATCGCTTGAACCCGGGAGGCCAAGGTTGCCGTGAGCCGAGATCGTGCCACTGCACTCCAGCCTGGCAACAGAGTGAGACTCTGTCTTAAAAGGAAAAAAAAGGAAAATGAATCAGGACTTAGAATTTTTTAAACAGCTAAAATATAAGGATCTGGCAAAAATATTTTCAAGCATAAAAGACCTCAAAAAACTTAGCGCACAAAATTCTACCCTGAGAACAATTATAGATAAAGCACTCAAATAAAAGACAACTCTAGAAAATATGAAAGATACATATGAAGTAAAGGTCTTCAAATACTGGGTAAAGTTTTTGGTGTTTAAAATTTCTACATGAGTTTTCTATTACCGTTATGACAAATTAACACAAACCTGGTGACTTAAAACAATATCAGTGTATTACCTTTCAGTTCTGTAGGATCAAGTCCAATGCAAGTCTTACTGGGCTGAAATCAAGGTAGGAGAATGGTATCATTCCTTTCTGCAGACTCTAGGGCAGCAGTCCCCAACCTGTTTGGCACCAGAGACTGGTTTCATGCAAGATAATTTTTCCATGGATGGAGGTGGGTGGGGGGTTGGTTTTGAGATGAAGTGGTTCCACCTAAGATTCTCAAGCATTCCACCTCGGAGTCTCATAAGGAGCATGCAGCCTAGATTCCTCGCATTCACAGTTCACAATAGGGTTCGCGCTCCTATGAGAATCTAATGCCAGCGCTGATCTGACAGGAGGTGGAGCTCAAGTGGTAATTCTCTTCCCACCTCTTACCTCCTGCTGTGCAGCCTGGTTCCTAACAGGCCATGGTGTGGCCCGGAGGGCTGGGGACCCCTGCTCTAGGGCTGAATCCATTCTTTGCCTTTTCCAGTTTCTAGAGGCTGTCCCATTCCTTGGCTCATGGCCCTGTTCTCCATTTTCAAAGTAGCAACCTTGATTCTTTCCAATCGTTCTTCAAAATGGTCACCTCTGACTTTGACTCTCTGACCCCTTCTCCTACTTTTAAGGATGCTTGTGATTAGATTGGGCCCACCTGGATAATTCAGGCTACTCTCCCTGTCCTCACGGTCCTTAACCTTGATCACATTTGCAGATACCTTTCTGCCATGTAAAGTAACATATTCGTGGGTCCCAGAGATTAGAATACAGTTATCTTTGAAAGGCTGTTATTCTGCCTACTATAAATCTGTACAGTACAGGAGGGGAGAGAGAGAAATATCCACAAATACCCCAAATTTAATATTTTATATATTAAGGGATGTAAGGACCTGTCAAAATGGAAAGATATATAAAGAGAGGACGAAAACAGGAACACTGAAAAAGTGTTACATATTTAAATAATAAACTATGATTATAGAAATAGTTACATATATTAATAATTACAATAAATTTAAGTGGACAAAACTTACTAATTAAAAGAGATTGTCACATTGTATAAAAGCAGAACTGAGATCTAGAAACCTTACTTCATCAAATCTAACATGCCATAGAATGTAAGATTTATATTATGTAAATCTAAGGAGAAAAGAAGAAATGCTATCGATTAATTATGACAAAAGCTTTCTGATCAGTTAAACTTTATTTTATGCTAGCTTAAGGGGCTCTTTTACTTATATTTAGACATATATGTTAATCATATATAACTAATGTACACATAGAAAGTAAAATAGAAGCTGGGGCCGGATGCAGTGGCTCACGCCTGTGTAGTCCAGCAGTTTGAGAGGCTGAGGCAGGAGGATTGCTTGAACTCAGGAGTTTGAGACCAGCCTGGGCAACATAGGGAGACCTTGTCTCTATTTTATTTTTTTTTAAAAAAGAAAGTAAGTAAAATAGAAGAAAAAAAATTAATTAAAGTGTTTCTAAAATTTCATCACATCCACTCAGCTCTCATGAATCACCTTTTTATTTCTCATTATTATTGTTCATGTTATCAAGAGCACTGGTAATTCAGCACTTTCTAAAATAATCCATAAAATAACTAAAAACCATTGGTTCTGTGGTCTTAAGACAACCTTGCGATTATGTGGAGCTAATTTATTTTGTTTATTCTTGCTTTATGAATGTTGCCAAACATATTGGATTCACACCTTTCTCCACTCCTTTCCCACAAACCATTTGAAACTTAGGGGCTAAAAGAGCCCTCAGTATGCTCTTCTGAAATTTGATTCTAAGCTACTGACACCCATTCTTCAAGTTTTGATATGCTTGGGCATGTACAGGCAATGACAACCATAATGCTTGTGCATGTACAGGCAATGACAACTATGTCACAAATGCCACCTGGCTGACAGAGATTGTAACATTCCATTAATTATAACATGCATCTTGATTTCAAAGTTGTCCCAATGCCAGATTTGATATTTATCTTAGACTCCATAAAATAATGCATGTGTCTTTTACAAGGATACAGAGCTTGAGAATACAGTTTCAAATACAAGAAGGAAAAAAAAGTAACAGACTAACATTAACTAAATGTAAGTTGATAAAGCAATGTAGAACTGCACTGTCCAATAAGGTAGGCACTGACCACACTCCAGGCTAGTGTAAATTGAGATGTGCTTTAAGTGTACAATACATACCAGATTTCAAAGACTTACCACAAAATATAGAGAATATACAACATCTCATTAATTATTATTATACTAATTATCTGTTTAAGTGATAATGTTTTGAATATATTGAGTTAAATAAAATGTATCATTGGCCAGGCACGGTGGCTCATGCCTGTAATCCCAGCACTTTGGGAGGCCGAGGTGGGCAGATCACCTGAGGTCAGAAGCTCGAGACCAGCCTGGCCAAGGTGGTGAAAACACCTCTCTACTAAAAATACAAAAAAAATTAGCCAGGCATGGTGGCACATGCCTGTAGTCCTAGCTACTTAGGAGGCTGAGGCAGGAGAATTGCTTGAATCTGGGAGGCACAGGTTGCAGTCAGCCAAGATTGTGCCATTGCACTCCAGCCTGGGTGACAGTGCGAGACTGTTTCAAAATTTTTTTAAAAAATGTAATATTAAAATTGACTTAACCTGTTTCTTTTTACCTTTATAGTGTGGTTCCAAGAAAATTCAAAAGTACACATATGCCTCACATATTTCCATCAGACAATTCTGATATAGGTTTTAAGAACAAAAGCATTATTAAGAAAAAAGATGGTTGCTACATAATGATTAAAAGTTCAATTCACCAAGAAGTTATAGAAATACTAAATACATAGCAGCACAATAAAATATTCTAAAAAATATGAAGCAAAATTTGATAGAACTGCTGGTAGAAATTAATAAATTCAACTATCATAATGAGAGATTTCAACACATTTGTCTTATCTATTGATAGATGAGGCTGTCAGAAATTCAACAGTGCTTTCAACCAAACAAGGATTGAAAATTAAAAGAAAAATTCAACTATGATAAAGAGATATGAGTAATACAAATAATGAGCCTGAACTTAGTGGACATATATAAGATTCTGCTTTAAGTTTAAACAATTTTAAAATGATAAATGAAGAATATTTACAAGTTTTAAAAACACACTTCTAAATAACCCTGGGTTAAAGGGAAAAAATTATACTGGAAATTTAAAAATAAAATGTAGGATACTATAGGTGCTTCTGCTTGGAAGCCTGGAGTGACAGGTACTAAATTTATCCCCCCCACCACCTTAAAGAATTATAAAAAATAATAAGATAGACAAAATATATGAGACAATACTTTTCAAAACACTCAACATCAGGCAATTTAAGACAGTGATCCAAGAGAGATAAGAATCAAATGGGTTAAACCCAGTGATTGCCCCAGTTCACTGTCTTGAGACAGCCTGGTGCAGGAAGGGGACCCAGGCAGAGCCAGTAAAATCTCTGAGTTGAAGAGACAAAGCTGAGAATCCAGAGAGACAAACCCAAAACTCTAGCATTCACAGGACAGAGTCCTGAGGAGGAAAGCACAGAACCCCCTGCAAATGTGAAGCTGGTCTCCCTTGAGAATTCAGGTGAATGAACTACAGAGGGCAGGAAAAGAACCATTGTAATGGTTAATTTCATGTGTCAACTTGACTGAGCCATGGGGTGCCCAGACATTTGGTTAAACATTCTTCTAGGTGTGTCTGCGAGAGTGTTTTTGGATGAGATTAACATTTGAATTGATTGTCTGGGTAAAGGCAATGGCCCTCCCTAATGTAGGGAGAGGTTGGGCCTCATCCACTCAGTTTAAGTCCTGGCTAGAACAAAAGGTTGAGTAAAAGGGAATTTCTCCTGCCTGAACTGGAATGTCAGTCTTCTGATTTTGCTCAAACTGAAACATCAGCTCTTCTTGGTTCTAGAACCCCCTTCTGGCTTTCAGACTGGAAATTATGCTGTTGGCTCTTTTGGGTCTCCAGCTTTGCCGGCTGCAGATCCTGAGCCATTTCAGCCTCCGTAATCATATGAGCCAATTAACACACACACACACACACACACACAGACACACACATACACATCCTATTGGTTCTGTTTCTCTGGAGGATCCTAACTAATACAGCCACCCCAAAAGATTAAAGGGAGTAGTACCTGCTGCTCACCCAAGGCCAGGAACAGTGTCTGCTTCTACCTGCCAGAGTAGAAAAACTCATAATTTCTGGGACAACCAAAAGAGTAACCAGGAGGGTCTTGCCTCAGACATGGGGAATAATTAGCTCTAGACTAAACACAGCTCTGGTTCTATCTATTTTTTCTCTTACAAATCATAAAAGCAGGACTGGAAAGGATCAGAATGTTTCCAAGGAAGTTAATCTGCACCTCAGAACAAAGTTCAGAAATATTTATAGCAATACAAAAGGATCCGGCCCCCAACAAGGTAAAAGTAATGCCTGATGCGGTAAAAATTACTGCATGCAAAGAAACAGAAATTACAGGCATGGAAAGAAGCAGAAAAATACAACCAATAATGAAGAGAAAAATCAACTAAGAAGGAAAATGAAATGATACAGATGTCAGAATTAGCAGACAATGATATTTAAACATTTATTTTTACTGTCTCTATACATTCAAAAAGTTAAAACCCTGTATATCGAATCTCATAGTATACAGCAAAAATGACATTATGAGGGACATCTTTAGATATTAATACTTATATTAGGAAAGACAAGATACTAAATGTTAATGCATAGGAGGAGAGAGATAATACAAATAGAAGCAGAAATTAATGAAATATAAAATTATAGATACAACGGAGAACGTTAACAAAGGCAAACATGGGTTCTTCCAAAACAAACAGGGCAGGCGTGGTGGCATGTGTCTGTAATCCCAGCTACTCAAGAGGCTGAGACATGAGAATCGCTTGAACCTGGGAGGCAGAGGTTGCAGTGAACCAAGATACTGCCACTGCACTCCAGTCTGGGCAACAGAGCTAGACTCTGTCTCAAAAAACACCAAAACAGAAACAACAGTAAGAAAAAACAAACAAAGATAACCTTCTGGCAAGATTGTACCAGAAAAAGGAGAAAAGTCACAAATAAATAGTATCATGAATTAAAACAATGTATAGACCTGCTGGAGATATAAAATGTAGTAAGAGAATACTACTATCACCTATGTACCAACAATTTGAAAAATTGTACCCAATGTAAAAATTTCTTGAAAAATATAACTTAATAACCAAATATTAGCACAATATCTGCTTCCAAGCTCATTCACTAGCAGAACTAGTTCATTGCTGGCTCTTGGAAGGAGACTAGTTTCTCACCCAAAGGCCACTCCAACCATGGCCTAAGTGTTCTCATGGCATACTGGCTAGAGGGAGAAGAATTAAGACCCACCTCATGAGTGGAAGAGTATTAAAGAATTTATGAACACAACTATAAAATGGAAAAATTTATATTTAAAAATTTTATTTTATTTGAGACAGTGTCTCGCTTTGTCCTCCAGGCTAGAGTGCAGTGGTGCAATCATGGTTCATTGCAGTCTCAAACTCCTGAGCTCAAGCAATCCTCCCACCTCGGCCTCCAAAGTAGCTGGGACTATAGGCACATACCACCACACCCAGCTAATTTGTTTGTATTTTTTGTAGAGATAGGGTTTAATGATGTTGCCCAGGCTGGTCTCAAACTCCTGGGCTCAAGTGATCTGCCCTCCTTGGCCTCCCAAAATGCTGGGATTACAGGCGTGAGCCACCATGTCCAGCCTAAAATGAAAAGATTTAATTAAAAATTACAATTAAGTGAAGTGGGCCACCTGAATCATGTCCCTCTTGACAGAATACAATGTGAAATGCACAACTTCACTATTAAGTATCCTTACCAAAAATGCATAACCTGAACTTAATCAAACCTACCAGACCAGTATACAACACAGAAAATATTGTATGCAATACAGGGATATTGAAACAAGTTAAATGACCCCAAGAAGAAATGATCAGATAAACTTACCACGTGGGAACCGTTTCAGAACAACCAGCTTAAATATATTCTCACAAAACACAAACAAAACAGAAGATGGAAGACTATTAAAATAGAGATATAATAAACAGATTCTAAAAGACATTTTTTTGGAAAAGTATGGATATTTGAATGTGGATAATATATTAGAGTATTATGGAATTAGTGTTACTTTCCTAGGTTTTGATAGTGGTGTTTGGTTATATAGGAAAACATCATTCTCAAGAAATGCAAGTGAGGCATTTGAGGAAGCCATGATGTCTGTAATTTACTTCAAAATGGTTCAGGAAGTGGGAAGAGAGAAAAGAAGAAGAAGAAGAAGAGAGCAAAGAAAGAGAAGGTGAAGAAGGAGGAGAAGGAAGAGGAAGGAAGAAGAATGACAGAAGAGAAGAAGGAAGAGAGAAGAGAGGAGGAGAGGAGAAGAGAAGAGAAATCAAATTTGGTCAAACGATAATTGGGGAATTTAGGGTAAGGGTATAAGAGTTTTATTGCTACTACTCTCAACTATTTTGAGGTTTAAAAAGTTTTAACAGCACTTTGGGAGGCCGAGATAGGCGGATCATGAGGTCAGGAGATCGAGACTATCCTGGCTAACACGGTGAAACCCTGTCTCTACTAAAAATAGAAAAAATTAGCTGGGCGTGGTGGCGGGCACCTGTAGTCCCAGCTACTCGGGAGGCTGAGGTAGGAGGATGGTGTGAACCCAGAAGGCAGAGCTTGCAGTGAGCGGAGATCGTGCCACTGAGCTCCAGCCTGGGTGACAGTGCCAGACTCCATCTCAAAAAAAAAAACAACAAAATTTAAATAAAATTCAAGGGGACTTTTTAAGACTATACATTTTTAAGGCTATACAGATAAGACAAAACTAAATAAAAAGGTAAGCAAAGGAATGATGATTCAAGATGGCAGCAGTTACCTGAGGTTTGGGCAGTAGTCAAATGAGATGATGCAAAGAGGAGCACACACACACGTAAGTTATTGTTCAGGATCCAGTTTTAATGTTGGGTTAGGGTTTCATGGGTGTTTATTACTTTATTACTATAAATTAATAATTATATAAATAAGGATGCCCGTAAATGCACCAATAGTGACAATGTGTCACAAACCAAGGATTACATTAGTCCACTGCTGTGTTCTTATGTAACCCCCTGCCTAGTCCCACAAAAGCACTGAAAATAAACAACCATGTATCTTGAGTGGAAAATTCTAGTGATGAGAGAAAATCTGGACCTACAGCTATATAAGAATAAGTTCTAAAGTGTCTCATCCATTTCATCTGAAGCTAATGATTGTGATGTTCCAAGAAAAATGGACAACTATTTTAAATACTCTACTATTAACCAATGATTCAACCTTCTCTAATCATGTTCTTATTTAAAGAAAATGATACACTTCTACTGTGATTTAGGGAGATATTGGTGAGAATGAAATCATCATTCAGACACAACAGTATAAGAGGACAAAATATATTATTTCTATATATCAAAATTAATGTTAATAATATTTCAAGTAATTTATCATCTTAATACAGTGCCATGTATTTATTTTATTGCACATAAGAGGAACATTGCATGCAGGTAGAGAAGCTCGGCTTTGAAGTCAGGAAAAATCCTAGGTTCAAGTGTCCATTCTGCCCCTTGCTAGCTGTCTGGCACTGCACAAATTATCTAAACTCTTGAGATGTCGGTTTCCTCATCTGAAGCTGGCTCTGCACCAGCAGAATTGTTGCATCTTTAAACATAGTCCATTTAAAGTACTTAGAATAGTACCTGGCACAATTTTAAATATTATAAAAGATGGTTATTATTACCATCTGGAAACATTTAATTTCTTTTTCTGTCTGACTACCTACCTACCCACACAGAGACACACACACACACACGCATCCTACTTACTGACAAAGTTACACTATTATCAGAAGCTTAAATAACAAAACAAATGTAATAAGTACATGTTGCTCTAAAAATGAAAGGAACGTAACACTCCTTAAGACTCTCTTCCCTTTTCATTAGGAAAATTAGGGTACTTTTCACTAGATGATCTCTAAGGCGTCAACAACTTTAACATTTTATTATTCTATAACTCCATGCTTATTGCCTTTGCGAGTGTTTAGAAGCCATTAGAATGAAGATGAGTTTAGTTTTAGTTTGGGGTTTTCTTATGTTGTTGTTGTTGTTTTGAGACAGAGTCTCACTCTCTCACTCAGGCTGGAGTGCAGTGGTGCAATCTCAGCTCACTGCAACCTCCACCTCTGGTGTTCAAGCAATTCTCCTACCTCAATTTCCCAAGTAGCTGGGATTACAGGTGCCTGCCACCACACCTGGTTAATTTCTATACTTTTTGTAGAGTCGGGGTTTCACCATGTTGGCCATGCTAGTCTCGAACTCCTGGCCTCAAGCTGCCTGCCTTGGCCTCGCAAAGTGCTGGTACTACAGGCGTGAGCCACCGCACCTGGCCTTTTGTATTTTTAAAGATGGAAGAGGATGTTCAACTACAACGTTTTCATGACTGAACAAGTTTCTGAAGCTTCTACTTCCTGCAGTAGGACACACCCATTTGAAATATGGTAACACACTGTACTTCTGGTATGGACAAATTCCATTTCAGAATTCTGTTTGCTCTGCTGGCCTCTTTGCACTCCTTTCCTTAAGCTATTGAGGAAGGTACTTAATAAATCTTTTTTAAATACTATAGCTTACTCCAGAGATATTTCATTGTAGATATGATAGCAGATGCATTCTAGGAGTCTCAGTTTCCTCCCTCCCTCCCCACCTCCTTTCCTTCCCTTCCTTCCTTCTTTCCTTCCTTCCTTCCTTCTTTCCTTCCTTCCTGCCTTCCTGCCTTCCTCCCTCCCTCCCTTCCTTCCTTCCCTTCCTTTTAACAATATAAAGTAATAGAAGAGAGTTACTCAGATTAAAGTATTAATATAGTGATCTTTGGACTGAAAAATTGTAAGGTGTTAGCTAAGTGGCAATGTCTTGAAGTTGTAAGTAAAACATTATTGACGGTATATTAACCTTTTTGTGTGTGGTCATTCTAAAAACAACATAAAACTAGTTGGAAGAAGTGTTTTTAAACGATGACACATCCCATAACACTAAGTGAACAATTCTGTATCTGCTTACTTTTAGTACAAGTTCTTGCTTTTACAAACTTGCTATCACAGTATGTGTCTGTGTATGTGGTATTTGATTAAGAAAAGTACCCTAATTTTCCTATTTAACCATTTCCCGATTAGATTCTAGGCTGGCTATAAATTTTTATTAATTTAGAAAATGTTACAATGAACTTTTTCAAGTATATGGTTTTATACATATATAATTATTTCCTCATGATAAATTAACAGTAAACAAAATACAAGTTGAAAAACAAAACAATATATGCAGTATAGATCTTTATTGCTTATTACTTTCCAAAAGTGTATGTGTATGTGTGTGTATGCTAAAATATAGCAATGTATATAATATAGCAGTATCTATTTTAGGATATTATCTGTAGATGAGTATACCAAAGAAATGCCTTCCCAACTTAAATTACTTAACCAAGAGTGCACACCAGAATTAACTTTTACCAATCTTTTTTTTTTTAATATAATCAACAAGAGATTTGGATGTAATTTTCAGCATTCAATTTAAAAGAAGGTTTTCAGTTCAATGCCATAATGAGTTATTGGTTATTGTAAAAAGGCTAAAGGCCAGTCAGCTTTCTGATTTTGTCAGTCCAGCTTTATTGTCTTCTAAAAATTGATACCTTGAACTTACTAAACTGTCTAGAGCTATAACCCACTAAATGTACTTGTCATATTTTTCTTAGCCATGGAGTAACTAAATTAAACTTGCAACCATTACAAAATATAGACAAGAAGATAGTTAGCCTGTAGCAGGTAGGGAAAAATAGCAGCCTATTTTACCAATTTGTCTCTACTACCCTCTAGTGGAATCACAGTCATAATATCCTTACGGCATAGCCTCCAGATTAAACACACACACACACACACACACACACACACACACACACACACAGAGTAATTTATCGATTTTAGCTTTATAGAGTTGGTCCCAGACTTAGATGTTAATGAACTCCTAGAGAGTATTGTCTTTTAAATGGCATTCTTGCTCCTCTCTCTTCCCACACTAATCCTTTCTGAAAGTACTGTCAGATTAATCTGTATAAAGGGAAAATTTGATTCTATCATGTCCCTGCTCAATCAAACAAAAAGAACCTTCCATTCTTCCCATTGGATTGCTTGAAGTGCTGCTGGTAAACTCCCCATGGTGGCTTCCAGAGCTCTTCACAATGTGAATCCAACTCTCCTTCCATTCCTCTAAGCCCTTCAGCCCCTGTACCCACCCTACCCTCCAGACAAATCCCACTCCTGGATGTTATCTCACCCCTCCCCATGTTTCCCTCTTTCTGCCTGGAGTGCCACCCACCTAGTCGACTATCTCCACCCCACTGACTTCCTTCTTCCATCTCTACTTGCCAAAGTTGTGCTCATCTTTCAAGAATTACTTCATATGCACTCTGTTAAACTGTAACAAGCTCCTTTCATCAGTCCCAAGCAAGCCAGGTGCCTTTATGACACTGCATAGGCACTGTTGCATATGCTGTTCCCTTTGCATGGATGTTTAATCCAGTCCTACTCTCCCTCATTCCCATCTGAAAGGATAACATCATCTTTCCTTCCAAACCCACCGCAGGGATCACACTGCCTTCCCAAGAGTTATTTTCCTTTCTCCTGTGACCCCATAGCAATGTATGCAACTTTCTGTTCCAGGACCCACTATGCGAGCTATTTTTGTAAGAATAGATAGTAATCAATGAGATTAAGAAAAAGAAATCATGTGTGAAGAGCTTACCTCAGGCTAAGCACTGATCTAAGTAAATGTTATCTGGATAACTCATTTTATGACCAAAGCGTTACAACTGGGTACTATTATTATCAACACTTGAGTGGAGAAGGCACAGAGAAATGAAATTATTGCCCAAAGTCACAGATGAGGTAAGGCAGGAGCCAGGAGTTAAAAAGATTTGAGCCCAGGTGGTCTCTAGATCTGAGCTTTTAACCACCATGATGGCACACCCAATTTAGAAGGGCCCTTTGTCATGATAGCACAGCCAACATGCCTTTTGAGTCTCTGGTTTAGGGATTGGCTGTGGAAAGAAAATATGATTCCAGGGTTAAGAAGAAGTTTTGGTTTTGTCTTGTTTAAGAAAAAGTTGATTTTTCTCTTTAAATTATTTTTCTTTGTATGTGTCTCCCCACCTAGATTCTGAAGCACAGAAGGGCAACCTTGTATCTTAATCTTGTTTCTGTAGCCATTGTTTAAGCTAGTGCTTGGGGCATAGGAAAGGCTCTAATAATGTTATCAAATGTTGTTGACATAGCAGATGAAATATTTTCCTTTTTGTCCCATCTGGATGTGACCTCTTTTCTTTGTGTCCCCACTGCACTTGGTTCAAAAACCCAGCCGAAGGAAGATAATTGGTGTAAAGGAAGTATAATCATTTGTTGCATTATTTCTTATCTCGTCTCCTCTCAAGCTCCAAAATCTCACAAATAACCACTAAAGAACTTACTCATGTAACCAAACACCACCTATTCCCCAATAACCTATGGAAATTTTAAAAAATTAAAAAGAACAGGTAGTCTAGTTCATCTTTGCATCTTTAATGGTCCTCAGATAATGCCAGGCAAACAGAAGACACTCCGTATTTGGTGAGTGGAACTGACACAATTTGGAGCTTTTGTATAGTGTTATGTGTTGTACTTCAGCAGCACATCCCTGCTATAAAATGATGCACAGCACAGAGCCAGATAAGGGATGTTCATAAGGAGGCCCTCAGGCACTACAAGACCCTGAAGTACTCATCTCATTTTTGAGAAATGTCATTGTAGCTTTGCTCTTTGAAATTTGTTAATTATAGTAAACATTTAAAATGAATTAGAATATTTCATGATGTTAAATCTTCAGGCCTGTTTCGTTTCAGATGACAGAATAGTGAGTTAAATTAGAACTTCATTTGTTTAACACCATTAGAAAATGAACTTTTATATGAATTCCTTAACTTGCTGATTAGAGATCTAATCATAATCCATTGCCTTTGTTCAGTGGGATGACTTTGTAAAGATAAAAACTTAACCACTTCTCACTCTGCATTGAAGAAAGGCCTATCTTAGGCATAAGTAGTATTGTGATCAAGTTTAAGGGACATCAGGAATCCATAAAAAATACCTAAGCAATTCAACTACAATGACTGCCCTGATCATTTCTCTCAGCTTCAACTATATATAAAATTGTCCACAGGTTAGATGTACTATATATAAAATTGTCCACAGAGTTAGATGTACCATGATTCTAATGAAGCTTAAGTGTCCCTCTCATGGCTCTGAGAGGGACACTTAGCAATATGCTCATGTAGTCATGTTTTTGTAAAATGTATATAGTAAGATATTTTAACTACAGTTGATTAAAGCTGCTGTTTGTTTCCACTTCAATTCCCTATCAGTCACATTTCCCTACCTCTTCAATGGCATTGAGTGACTATGAACATTTTTGAGGTTCAGCCCAGGGGAAGTTGAGTTAAGGATACATTGCTGTGATCTAAATGTTTATGTCCCCTCAAAATTCATAGTTGAAATTCTCATCCTCAAGGTAATGATATTGGGAGGCGGGTCTTTGGGAAGTGATTAGCTCATGAGAAAGGACCCTAAAAGAAGCCTGAGAGTCCTTGCCCCCTCTACCATGTGAGGTTCGAGTGAAAAGAGCTGTCTATGCAGAATCAGGCCCTCACTATACACTGGACCTGCCAGAACCCTGATCTTGGACTTCCCACCTTCCAGAACTGTGAGAAATAAATTTCTGTTGTATATAGCCACCTAGTCCATGGCATTTTGTTATAGCAGCCCGAGTGGACTAAGACATACTTTAGATCGGAATTAACGGTATCCAGATGTTTATCCACAGCACTTCCAAGTTATTGCCAGCAGTCCTAATGTAGGCACGTCTCCCAGGAAACCCTTTCCACCTGCTCTGCAAACTCTCCTGGCATCTGGAAGTGAAGGTGTAGGGTAAAAGATCTTAACTGAACCAGAAGTAAGTAAGTAGTGGGTAACAGAGGAGAAGCTAACCTGTGGAAAGTTCTTTCAATTATCAGATGTGGCTGGGCATGGTGGCTATGCTTGTTAATTCTAGCACTTTGGGAAGCTGAGGTGGGAGGATTGCTTAAGCCCAGGAGTTTGAGACCAGTTAGGGCAATAAAACGAGACCCTGTCTCAACACCACCACCACCAACAACAAAAAATTAGCAAAGTGTGGTGGCATGTGCCTGTAGTCCTAGCTATTCAGGAGGCTGAGGCAGAAGATCACTTGAGCCCAGGAGTTCGTGGTTACAGTGAGCTATGATTGTACCATTGCACTGCAGCGTGAGCGACAGAGCAAGACCCTGTCCAAAAACAAACAAACAAACAAACTTAGATGTATAAAATTATAAGCAGATAGGACTTTGATATTCATCATTACCTCATGTAAACTGAACTTCTCTTGCATCAGGAATATACTCATTAATACACCATAAACAATTATAAAAACATAAGATAATTTTTGGAATCTGGAATATTAGGAATCAACAAATTAGGATTACCATAAATCTTGCATTTGTAGGGCACACACTTAGAGCAGCAGTACAAACAGCTCAGATGTGAAATAAATATTTTCTCAGATTGGACAGAAATTCTAAAAATTTACATGATATGACCAGTAATGACATAGGAAGCCAAAGAAACTTTTTTGAAATGATCAATCATACAAAACCAGTTTCGATTAACCATGCCAGAGGAAAGACTAAATTATCTTTTTTCTCTATATAGAAAATATTATAAAATTGTGTCACGGAAAAACAAAGATGAAGGAGCTTGTAAGGTGAGTAGATAACAAAACAGTTAAAATATGATTCTAAAAAATGTAGCTAAGAAAAGTAGGACAAAAGGCATTATAAAGAGGTATCAACTAATAAAAATATAATTTGTGGATTTTGTGATTTTATATGATTTTACAACTTAAAAAAATTCTATAATTTTGTGACTTCTTATTCTCAATACATATTCCCCCTCACACTTAATTTTGGATTCCTTTTCTTAAAAGGGATCCCTTTCTAAGTTTGTTCCTGCTGCTGTAACAAAACACCGTAGACTGAATAATTTATAAACTATCACAGTTCTAGAGACTGGGAAGTGCAAGACCAAGGCACCAGCAGATTTGGAGTCTGGTGAGGCCTGCTCTCTGTTTCCAAGATGGTGCCATCTTGCTGCAGCCTCACGTGGCAGAAGGGCAAAAATAATGGACTCTGGGTTCTCACATGGAAGAAGAAATGGAAAGATACCAGCAGCTCTCTGCAGCATCTATTATAAGGGCATTAATCCCATTAATGAGGGAAAAGCCCTCGAGGTTTAATAATCACCTCCCGAAGGCCCTACCTCTTAATACCATCACCTTGGGGTTTAAGTTCCAACATATGCATTTAGGAGGGGCACATACCTTCAAATTATAGCAATCCGCAAGTGATATACACTTCAGGCCCTATGGAACCTACACTTACCCTTGGCCATATCCAGCCACGTGGATGTCCCACAGTACTTCACTATCAATATGCCCAAAGTGATGCTCCATGCCCCATAGCTGCCCCTTAGCATCTCTCTAGAACAGCAGGACCCTCAGCCTGTTGCAAAGCCACACACCCAAGTCATCCCTGATGACTCCTTCTCCCTTTTTTAACCCAGTCCCAGCTCCTAAAAATATCTCATTGTCATTTCTTCCTCTTGAAACTGACATCTCCCCAAGTTCAGCACCTGCTGGGACTGTTGCAGAGCCCTCCATTGTCTGCTGGCTCTGATGCTGCATCACCAGCCCTCTTCATGACTTTTCCCCCCTAACTCCCACTTATGACCATGTCACTGCCTTGTTCACATTTTTTTGTTCAAGTCCAACGTCTAATCCAAAACTTTTAGCATGACCTTGAACATTACCTTCAAGGTATAGATATTATTTAACTACCTAGCCTAATGTTTATGACCCTTGCTGAGCACCCAGATTCTGTTTATGTTCAGCGTACTGAATTAATTTCAGTCTACAAACTTGCATTGTTCTTTCTTGTCAATGGATCAAGCTCTCCACCTTCATTTGTCTTCTTGGCAAACTCTTTTTATTCCTTAAGACTCAGTTCAGTCAACTTTGCTATGAAGCCTTGCCTGATGCCCTCTCCACTATGTTCTGCACACAGCAGTCTTCACCATATTGCATTGTAAACATTTGCACCCCACCTAGGTGGAAGATCCACAGCTACTCACCTGTTATCCTTGATCCTCATTAGTCCCAAGGTTGACATATGAATCTCTTCTCCCTACACCATGCCCAGTTTCTAAAATTCCAATGAGAGATTAAGGTGGGTTGACATGTATGCATTTAAAGTACAACTACCAACAGGTTTAAAGTGATCTCTTTCTCTTTTTGTGGGGCGAGAATGAAGATAGGGGGCATGGAGGTTGTATATGACAAACTTTTATTATCTGTATTTTACACTTTGGATTATTTCTTAAAATTTACAGAAAAATCACATTACTTTTATAATCAGAAAAACACCCAACTCTGTCATAGCAACGATAGTTCAGTATTTTCACTTGTGGTGAAAAGACCTGAATCTATATATCTTGTATTTTCTGTCACTTTCCTTTCTGAATTAACATGAAAAAGGATAAATCTTCTTCTTTTGCATACATTTTCCGGCAACTTTTAAATTTTTTTTTTCTTTTTATATATTTGTCTGTATAGAGACAGGGTCTTACTATGTTGCCAAGCTGGCCTCAAACTCCTGGCCTCAAGGGATCCTCCACCTTGGCCTCCCAAAGTGCTGGGATTACAGGTGTGAGCCACTGTGCCTGGCCAATTTTTACCATTTTTATCCAGTAGCAATGGAGGCCTTGGCAAGACTGATTCATTCATTCATTTATTTATTCGTTCATTTTTGGGCTAGGGTAGTACATTCACGTGGCTCAATATTCAAAAGATACAAAACTCTCCTTTCCACCTCTGTACCAGGTCACTCTTGTATTCCACAGAGGGCACATTTTTATTAGTTTCTTCCACCTCCTTCCCGAAGTGTATTTTCTTTTCTTTTCTTTTTTTTTTAGAAGGAGTCTCGCTCTATCACTAGGCTGGAGTGCAGTGGCGCCATCTCGGCTCACTGCAACATTCGCCTCCAGGGTTCAAGCGATTCTCCTGACTCAGCCTCCCGAGTAGCTGGGATTACAGGCATGTGCCACCACGCCCAGCTAATTTTTGTATTTTTAGTAGAGATGGGTTTTCACCACGTTGGCCAGGATGGTCTCGATCTCCTGACAACGTGATCCACCCGCCTTGGCCTCCCAGAGTGCTGAGATTATAGGCGTGAGACACCGCGCCCGGCCCGGAGGTGTATTTTCAAGCAAATGTTCTCACATTTTTCTTATCTAAAAAAAACACTTGTCTTGACCTGGGCTGCCATAACAAAATGCCATAGACTACGTGCCTTAAACAACAAAATTTTATTTTCACTCAGTTCTGGAGGCTTGGTGTGCAAGTTCAGAGGGCGGGCAACATCAGGTTCTGGCAAGGGCTGACTTCCTCACTGACAGGTGCCTTCTCATTCTAACCTCACATGAGAGCAACCAAGCTCTTCAGCGTCTCTTCTTATAAGAGCACTAATTCCATCACGAGGGCCCCACCCTCATGTCCTCATCTAAACCTAATTACCTCCCAAAGCCTCATCTCCAAACACCATCCCAGTGGGGTGAGGCCTTCAACGTATGAATTAGCGGGGTGGGGGGACAACAAACATTCAGACCATAGAAATACGTAAATATAAGAAACAAAACCAAAAAGACTTATGTGCAATACCAACTGATCTTTTCTTTTCCTTCCAAAATGGAGTTTACCAAAATACAAATATGAAGTTTTTCAGAGCACATACCTTCCCCTGCTCTCCTCTGCAGTTTTTTTTTTTTTAATACCACCTCTAGGGTAGTTTTCCTAAAATATGGTTCCAAGGCTGTGTGTACCTCTCCTGCTCAGATCCTTTGGAACAGTGTTCAGCGCTCATCAGGATTCTGACTGTAAACTCCCTTCTCTGACTTTAACATCACAGGATGCAGTACTCCCTACATTCTACCATGGGGGGCACCCTGAATTACCTGGGTTGACTTTCTGGCCTCTGTGCTCTACTTATACAATTTCCTCTGTATGGAAGGCCCACTCCAGAATCCTTTCCCCAGCCTTTGTTCAAATGTCACTTCTGCTAGCATTAGCAGTTTCCTCCTCTGGGTTCTCACATTGCCCTGTAACATAAGTTACAAGGTAAGTACCAGAAGAGAATTCCCAATTATCATCCTGCTCCCCTACCCTCAACACCTCCAGCGGTAACTGTATCTTATTCATTTTTGTGTCTATGAAGCACAGTGTTGCACTTTGGAGATACTACATAGAAGTTGGCCCAAAGGGTAATAAACTGTATTTGCCAAGATGATAGCATGGATTTACAATAACCTCTGAAACTTTATAAAGAAAGATGATTGAGTTAAATTGATACACCTAGCATCACAGCTGTGGAAGCTTGTGGTCTTCTTTATGTTAAAGGTAAAATGGATATAATGAATTAGTTGCCATTTTTAGATGATATAGAAGTTGAATTCCTCTTAAGCCTCTCAAAGAGAAAGACATATTAAAATTCATTAAAACCAGTACCATAAACTGCACAGAACAGCCTGGTTCCCTAGAGCACTTCTCTGGGGCAGTGAGTTTTCATTTAAAAAATGAAGTTTGGATTTTAAACATAAGTTTTAAAAGTGATTAGGCTCCAGCAGGAGTTCTTAAATTCCTACCTACACCATGACTCCCAAATGCTCTGCCTCTGTTGCCTAGGAACAAAAATTGTCAAGGTTGAGCCAGATGCAATGTATAACACCAGATGATAGATGCAGCTCATTGTGTTAAAAGGTGTTAAACACTTAAGTGCATGTGATATACTCTATATCACAAGGGTAAGGAAGTTCCATTCCATATCCTGATTTGGGTCTTCTAATACATACTTGTAGTGGATGTGGTAATCAGTCTTTGTTCTATGTCCCATTAGGATCAATGCAACCAGAAATCCTTAAAATGGATTTTTATTATGTCTAGCTCTGTTTTACTGTTCTATTTGTTTATTTTAAAAAGATTTTAGAATGGTGTTTAGGTTGGGCTGGTGGCTCACGCCTGTAATCTCAGCACTTTGGGAGGCCAAGGCAGGAGGATTGCTGGAGCCTAGGAGTTGGAGACCAGCTAGGGCAACATAAGGAGACATTGTCTCCGCAAACAAACAGAAAAAAAAAAAGTAAGAAAGAAAGAGAGAAAGAAGGAAAGAACAAGAAAAAGGAAAAAAAAATTAACTGCAGTAAGTGCAGAAATCTCTCTCAAGGATATGATGGATGGCAATGAAGACAGAGTTTTTGACACTGGATTATTTAAAGCATAATTTAAGCCTCTTTCTCTCCCCTCATAGAATTGTGAATTTTTGTGTTTTAATTATATTTAAGCCAGGCGTGGTGGCGAGTGCCTGTAGTCGCAGCTGCGCTGGAGGCTGAGGCCGATTGCTTGAGCCCAGGATTTGGAGGCCAGCATGCGCAACATAATGAGACCCAGTCTCTAAATGCATGCCTCTCTCTATATATTTAAAATTCTGATGTGAAAATATTTTAAAATTTAATACATTTCAAATGTTTTTAATTGTATAATAAACAAAATGTAAATAATAAAATAATTTAATATTAAATTCAAAAATGAGGTAGAAACAAAGCACAGCGATATAAATAATAAATTTTCCTTTACATTTTTGAGGCGGTCTTTTGAGTTTTCCATTTCCTTCTTAAGGTCACTGAAATGTGCTCCTTGGAGCCAGCCCGCAAATCACGCATTTAGAAAAACATAACTATACACTCCTAACCCTAAGTATTAGAAGTGAAAGTAATGGAATCTCGATGTAAACACAATATCACTTTTTTGATGAGCTATTTTGAGTATAATAAATTTGAACTGTGCCAATGCTGGGAGAAAAAATTTAAAAGAAGAACGGAGCGAACAGTAGCTTCCTGCTCCGCTGACTAGAAACAGTAGGACGACACTCTCCCGACTGGAGGAGAGCGCTTGCGCTCGCACTCAGTTGGCGCCCGCCCTCCTGCTTTTTCTCTAGCCGCCCTTTCCTCTTTCTTTCGCGCTCTAGCCACCCGGGAAGGCCTGCCCAGCGTAGCTGGGCTCTGATTGGCTGCTTTGAAAGTCTACGGGCTACCCGATTGGTGAATCCGGGGCCCTTTAGCGCGGTGAGTTTGAAACTGCTCGCACTTGGCTTCAAAGCTGGCTCTTGGAAATTGAGCGGAGAGCGACGCGGTTGTTGTAGCTGCCGCTGCGGCCGCCGCGGAATAATAAGCCGGGTACAGTGGCTGGGGTCAGGGTCGTGTCTAGGGGACGGCCGAGGGCCTCGGAGGGCGAGTATTGAGGAACGGGGTCCTCTAAGAAGGCCGGACTGGAGGTCAGGGATCTGCGCGGGGCCCGGCTGGGCCTCGGGGGGCGGTGGGCAGGGCCTTCGCCTGGGTCTGGCCGTGTGAGCCACACTGGGCTGGCTTTAGAGGGAGGCTATGGGAGCCCAGCCTGGCGGGGTTAGGCGGCGTGGGGGTGGGGGTTCGGGGCTGCAGTCATGAGTCGAGGTCGGCTGTTCTCAGGAACTGCCTGAAGAGGCTTTCGGGTCTTGATTGAAGCAAAATCCGCTCCCCCACGCTGAGCGCCTGCGGAGTAGCAGGCTCTTTCCTGGGCCCGGCCCCTGCGCGCCCTGCCATCCCGCCTCGGGGGTGGGAAAGTGGGACCGCACCTGGGCCAGGTACAGGCGCGGGTCCCTAGAGCCAGGCCGCCCTGAGAAACCGATCCTGGAACTCGTGGGCCTTCTTGGGCTTGCTCTGCCCACGGCCCCGGCCCACCTGGAGCTGTTAAGAACAGTCAGCCCAGGCACTTAACTCTCATGAGCAGTGTAGTGCAGTTTTTTTCATTTAAAAAGATACATCTCTGCTTCTTTCTGGATTGATTTTTCTTTGAAGATGAATGTGAGAAATAGAACTTAAAGGTCTATTCTGAGTGTGCTTTATAAATGATTTTATCATCAGTGATGGGTGTTAGAAAAATCTAGGTAATTATGCCTGGAGTTCTGACGTTTCATTGGCAAACTTCAGAGGAAGTCTTGAACTTCTGGTTGTCAGCTTTTTTTTTTAACCCATTCATTGTGATTCAAGTATACCGTTTTTCTGCTTAGTCCTTGACATTGTTTAGGTTATAATTAGAATTTTATCTGTGGAATTGCACTTTTCATTCTTTTGTTTTACGGTGCTTAAGTGATATTTCCTACTCTTGGAAAAAGTACCTTGAAAGTCTTGAGCATGTTTGTCTGTGACCTCAGCAAGCAGAGGAAAAAGATTAAAATTGTCACGTGGGCAACTGTAAACACTTAAAATGTTTTTGTCGTTTTAAACAAAATTTTCCTAATGAACAGTCTGAACACATTTTAGTTCTGTCCTCATAACTTTAAAAAATAATGTTTTGAATAAAATTAGGAGTATCATAAAGCGGTATAAATTTGTTGAAATATTTGGGTATAACTTTGGCACACGCAGGTACTACTTTAAAGTGTCACAAAAAGGGAACATAATTCTGGTTTTTGTTTGGAAAGAATAGACAAGTTGATACCTGAATTTGAGGGTTATTTTGATTGGAAGAAGCTAAATACTACACTAGTATAGAATATACACGTTTCCAATGTCTCAGGAGTCAAGAAGGATGGAAAGTTATTGTAGGAGTCCTTACCCTTGTAAATATTGTTTGAATGTAATTAATATTTATGGAATACTTATGCTGCAGTAGGCACTGTGGAAAATGCTTTACATATAGTGTTTCATTAATGCTTAAAACTACTCGAGTTAGTGGCATGTAATTAAGTCAGTTTTTCCTTCACTTTAGGATCTACCATACCCATTGACTAACTATGGAAGATTATACCAAAATAGAGAAAATTGGAGAAGGTGAGTGGTTTTAGTAAAATAAATTTTATGGAATGATTTAACAATGCTACAACTTCTGTAATATGAACACATTTAAATATTTATTAAAATTCAACCATTAAGTTGTCTTGTAGTACCAGTGTGCATTAACATATGTTCTTTACTTAATAAACGCAAATTTGCTCACATTTCAAGAGAATTGAAATTACCGAATCCCTAATGACCGTTCGCCTCACCCCCATAGTCTTACAGTCTTCTGATACTAAACACTTATAGTAGTACTTGTATTTTGAAGACACTATTGATAACTTGCATGTGTGTTGAGGGGCAGAGGTTAGGGCTGCAGAATTATGCTAACTTCATAATATATTTTTAGTTTTAGTCTCTTTCAATTGTTTTTAGGATGATAAATATTTTTATCCAGACTTTATAGACTGGTTACAATAATTGACTTAATCTAATTTAAATAAAATTTCTATTTAGTTACCCTAAGTATAAATGACCTGTCATATAGACATGTTTAAGCTATTCTAAAATTATAACTTATGTATATAATCCTTCCCTTTCTGTGGTACTTGAAGGAATGTTTAGATCTATATATGGCACAAATGAGGGGTATATCCCTTCGCCTGTTCCTCGACTCCAGCAGAACATTCTCGATTCTCCAGGTACAAAATAATTTGCTAATAGAATCCAGTTTATATAGGTTCTGCCAGAAGAAAATTCCCAACTATATTTTTAATGTGATCAAAGACCCCACTTGACAAGAAATAGTGAAAAACAAGGGGGAATACTGGAGGGAATTTAGTGGAATAGGAGTGACAAGTTAGTGTGGTGTTCGATTGGAGGTGTGTGTGTGTATACATATATATATATATTTTTTTTTTAAATCACTTAAATACCTCATACCCATTCTACTAAACAAATTTTGCTGCTGAATTAAAAATATGTGATTAGTATGTCTAATGCTGTGTAGTGTGTTTCTTAAATTCCCAGAGAATTTGTGTTGGTTTTAGTTTGGCATAAAAAGAGACCTTCTTAAAGTATAAATATATTTTTCTTTAAGATGATAGAACTCCAAACATACAGGAGACTGCAGATTTGACTTCTGAGAAAAGTACTTTAATTGCTACTAGAAATAGGAGCAGTTAAAAGAATGTAATTTTAAATTTAATCCATTACATACATGTAAGTCATAAGACTTCCATTCTTTATTTCTAGCAGTGTGACAGTGGTAAACCCTCTTAACTTTTCTGGATCTCAGTTTCTGCCTCTGCAAATGGTGATAATTGGACTTAACACGAAAGATATGATTCAATTGAACAATATTATGGAAAGCATTTGTTATGAGCGCTTTAACTCAGAAAACCTTCAAATGTTTATCATTTGAACATTGTATTATTACTATGAACACTGTCTCCAAAACCATCTCTTCACCAGCTCCATCTAATGCCACTTAACTCTTAATTTGGATTTCTTTGATGTCCTCAAATGTATCCTGTGATTTGGCCTATGAGTTTTGGCAATGGCTGTTCTTTCTACCTGGAGGCCAGTTTCTACTGGCTTCATTTTTTATCTCCTCCTCTAGTCCAAGAGCATTTTGTAGTTCCCTTTGCATCATACCATAGGATCCTTGAGGGCTGGGGTTTTTGTCTTGTTCACAACTGTTTGCCCACTGCCTATCAGTAGTGCCCAACCCACAGGAGATAGCCAAATAGATAATAATAACATCTGTTTTCCTTGTTTGCTCTTCTGAACACTGTTGTTTCTTTTTCTGGCTTGTATTGTCATTTCTACTCCAATGCCTGATTGTTTTGGATTATGTGCTGGATATTGTTTTGGAAAAAGGAACTTGTGGAAATAAATGGAGGCCTAAATGATTCACACAGAATTTTCTTTTGGTTCTGCCAGGTATCTGGTTAAAGTCTAGTATTAAAATACTACTTTAAAAGTTATATTTTTTCCCCTCAACTTTTCATTTTGAACATCTCCAAATCTATATTGAAAGATTTATGCAATGAACTTGTAATATTTTTACCAAGATGTTGGTGTTTTGTCATGTTTACTTTATTATCTGTATGTATGTTAGCATTATTTTTTATTTTTTTCATTGACATTAATTCTGATTTAGAACAGTCTCTGCCTTTTCTCTCACTTGACAGTGAGTCTTGACAACCTAATTCATTTCTTAAATACCTCCAGACTTTACTATTTTAAATATTACAAAAATTGTTCTCTGGTTTCTTCTGAATTACAGAAATCTGAGTGTTGTGATACTAATCTTTGAAATCCTTCCTGTCTTAAGAAAATGTCTTTTTGGATCATAGAGTAGCAGTATCCATGATGGTGGAACCTTGCCTGGCATTTAGTAGGCATTTGATAAATACTTGCTTAATGAAGGTTTTCTGCTTAAGGGCCTCCATAACTTGATCATATCCTACATATTTTTCTTTTGTTTCTTTTTGTTTCCTGGGATAAATCTTCCATTAGACTTAGACTGATCTCCTTCTAGGCTTACCTGTGTTAATGATTTTTGCCTCCTTAGTTATTTATACTTAGTTAAATACCCTAGAGTATTTCTGTCTTTAGAATTCTTAGTTCATTTTGGAGGATATGCCATGTATTTCAAAAATAATTTTGGATGATTAACCAATAGAAAGTTCTGCTTTGTTTAACCCCTCTTCCAGTAGTTCAGTGAGAAGTGATATTATCTCTAAAATTCAACACATTGAGTGTTGGCCACTGGTTAATTGTTAATTCTGAAAATTATTTAGGATTAGATGAGATTGTACACTTGAGGGAGAAGAAAGGATGCTAGAAAAAAAATTAGTTCTGAACTTACCATTAACTGTTTATGTGACTGTATTATGCAAGTGACTAATTTTCCTGAGATCACTTAAACAGTATGCCAGATGATTGTGCTACTGGTTTACCTACTTTTTGTGTTTAATGAGAGCTGAATTTACATCCAAAAAAATGTAGATTTTAAGTATATGAAGGTTGCCTACTTTTAAGGATGGCTGTGAGGATTAAATATAGTCAATTCTCCTTTAATGTAGAGTAATTTTGGTTATCAAAAAGTTATACATTAATCCACAATTTAATCAAAATAGTATAAAATGACTCATGTCAGTTTATAGTTTTAAAATGACACCAGTATTTAAGAAAACATAGACTTTTGTATAGAGGTTCTGTCAAAAAAATTAAGCTTAAGTAGCATCAATTTGCTACTGCTCAAACTGCTTAATTTTTTAACCAAGCAGTTGGTAATTTGTTGGTTGTTAGCCTTTTTTAAAATATTGCTACTTTCAGAGAAACTCATAAAAGCTATAGAAGAGGCCTTCTTCCTAGAACAGTGCACTCTAATCACTTTTGAAGTTAAACCAATGCCATGGAAAGCAAGCTATTCAACAAAATTTTGTGTGTACTTAAGGGGTTCAGGACCTCCCTAAACTCCAACTCGAGTTTAAAAAGACTTATCTAGGGAATTCAGCCACGTATATGACAGATTTTAGCTAGTCTTCTCCCTTATTGCCATTTCATTCCCTGTATCCACCTCCTCCCTCCCTGCTATCCCTTATAATTGATATTGTTGCTCATTACCTGAAGCCCATATATCAAAATCAGTATTTTCATCAACTTGCAAATGGGTGTGAGGCTTTCCTAATATGTAGTACATACAATGTGCTTTATTAGGTTTAATACACAAACACCTGGTCTTTTTTCTCCATTCTTTTGAGAATGAGGACTGTTGACTGTATTTTGAGATACAGATAAAAGTGTTTTGAAAAGCATAAAGCACTCTACAGTATTTTCTGAAAGTGTCATAATGACTTTTATCAGTAATATTTCCTGAGCCCAAATTTTTACACTATATTTTATGCCCACTTCGTTGCAGGGTAGGATATTGACAGAAGGTTAATTTTAATTTGCAAATGATCTATTTTGTTCTGTAAAATATGCTGGAACATTAATGGTAATTTAGATGTATAGAAAACTTGTGATGACTACATGAATTTTATTTTTAAGCCATACAGATTGTAGTTACTCTCAATTTCTTTTTGGAAGCAATGAGGGTATGAGTAAGATACTTCCCATATGGCCACACCAGACATTTCTATCATGTGACCCTTATGGGATTCAATGATCTTGAAATCCTTTAGTTTGACCAGGTGCGGTGGCTCACGCCTGTAATCTCAGCATTTTGGGGCGGCGAGGCAGGTAGATTGCTTGAGCTCACGAGTTCCAGACTGGCCTGGGCAACATGGTGAAACCCCATCTCTACCAAAAAGACAAAAATTAGCCGAGTGTGGTGGCATGTGCCTGTAGTCCCAGCTACTTGGGAGGCTGCCGTGGGAGGATCCCCTGAGCCCAGGAGGAGGAGGTTGTAGTGAGCCTTGATTGACCCACTGCACTCCAACCTGGACAAGAAAACAAGACCCTGCCATAAGGAAAAAAAAAAAGAAAAAAAGATCTTTAGTTTGTGGGGTGTGTCACACAGCATATTATTTACTTTGTTTCAGGTACCTATGGAGTTGTGTATAAGGGTAGACACAAAACTACAGGTCAAGTGGTAGCCATGAAAAAAATCAGACTAGAAAGTGAAGAGGAAGGGGTTCCTAGTACTGCAATTCGGGAAATTTCTCTATTAAAGGAACTTCGTCATCCAAATATAGTCAGGTATGTTGTAATATCTGAATGTAAGCCATTTTCTGCATGCTATTTCAAATATAAATTTCAACTTGGAAATCTTTACATTTGCTCAATTTCTTGGTCTAGCCTTACTGAGTGGACTAGAACCCTATTTTTGGTAGTTGAGAATGCCGCACATATGTAAAAGAGAACAGGCTGTTAAAGCAGGAACAGAGTTGGAGGAGCTGGGTGATGTAGATTAATATTTGGGCCTAGAATAGCAAGGTAAATTGGCCATGGGAGTAAAGCCGTTTTCATAGAGCTTTGTCAACTCTCTCCTACTTGGGGAGCTCTAGTTCCTGAAGACCCTTTAGTTAGAGTCTTAAGAAAAGTAGCTAGGTCAAATGAAAAAGATTTTTTTTCCTTAAAGTATTTGCATTGGGTGTTTTTGGAGACCTGTCTTCCTAACAGTCCAAGTTAAAATCTAATTGTACTTGGCTGGGGCTAGAGATTGGAAGTAGCTTTTAAGGTCAGATACCACTTTAAAATTTATTTGTATAATTCACTTCAGTGAAAAAATAAGCTCTCAGCAATTAGTAGCCAACCTAGATATGTTCTTTTGAATACAGGCTCCTTATAAATAAGCACCTCCTGTACAAGGCTTAATTTTAAATAGTTGCCCTGAGATTCCTTTCTTAAATTTGAGTTTTGAGTCTCTTCCATTAGGGAAGCTACTACGTCTTCCCCAGTTTTTATTATAGCAACTGAAATTATGGAAGGAGTTTTATTTTGTGAAACAGAGGTCAAAAATGTTTGCTGGATTCTTCTCTCATATATTTTTTTTCCCCAGTCTTCAGGATGTGCTTATGCAGGATTCCAGGTTATATCTCATCTTTGAGTTTCTTTCCATGGATCTGAAGAAATACTTGGATTCTATCCCTCCTGGTCAGTACATGGATTCTTCACTTGTTAAGGTAAAAGCTTAACTAATTTTATTAATATTTATGCACTGTGGATATAAAGGGACTATATATAGAAGTCCCTGCATTTTGTGGGAATATGCTTGGAAAAAGTGTTAGAATAAGAAAAAGTATTTCATTTTTCTCCCTCATGGTTAGTTTATACAGGTTAGAGATACCCATGTTATTACCAGATAGTGTTTCTAGTAAGTAAAAATTAGTGCCTGAGATAACATAGAACTGGTAGGTATTGTTGGAAGCTAGGGTAGTCTGGTCTTTCTTTGGCTGTCAGATACATGTAAAACAAAGTAATGAAAGCCTAGGGCAGAGTGGTGGTTGTAGGTGTTTTATTCCAGTTTTGAACATGTTTTGGTCAATTTATTGTAGACATTTATTATATTTCAGGTAAATTATAAAATTGTATAGTTTTAAGTACTGAAGTATATAAAAGTGTCTTATTCTTGCACCAGTTCTACCAAACCACTCTGCAGAGGTAGCGCTGTTAGTTTTATTTGTAATCTTACACTTGTATGTATGTTCACTTTGTATGTATATAAAGATTTTTTTTTTTACACAAGGTGGACTTATTTGCATATGTATATATACATATTTTCCCTTTTTTGTGTAAAACATTATCAAGACGTAGATCTACCTATGTCTATTTACATTTTTGATATAATTAAACCACTTCCATATTGATGAACATTTAAATTATTTTCCAACTTGGTTATTGTTGCTCTTATTAACAGTACTGCACTGAATGTCCTTATAGATATTTATCTTCGTATGCAACTTTATAGGATAAATTTTTAGAATGGGAATGATGGATTGAAGATGTTTATTTACATTTTGATAGATATTGCCGGTTGCCCCCTAAAAAACTTGTAGCAATTTACTCTTAAATACTCATGGTGTGTAATACTTATTGTTTTAGTACATCATTGCCAAAACTTGGTTTTATCAATCTGTTAACTATGTGAAAAAGGCATATTAAGATTGTTTTAATTTTATATTTCATGACAATTTAACACTTCATATTTAGCTATTATAAACCGCCTATATTTTCGTTAGGATACGTTCTTTAACAATCTTGCATGACTTTTGGACTTTCTGCTTTTATGTCTTGCTTAAGTCTTCCTCACTCAAAGATCGAATGTATTAGAATAATACATGTCAGTATTTTTCTGGTAGTTTTAGTAAGTCCTGTCTTCCACACATACTTTTTTTGTCTTAAATTCTGTATTAAGATTTATTTTGACTTAAAAACTGGGATACAGATTCTGCTTTATCTTTTTCCAAATGGCTAGCCAGTTGTTCTAACTGGTTTTATGTACAGGCAACAATGGTTTTACTTACAATTTTTCAGTTTTACAATGAAGCAGAAATGATGCACATTCACTAGAAACCATACTTCATTTACCCATACAACCATTCTGTTTTTTCACTTTCAGTACAGTATTCAATAAATAATGAGGTATTCAACACTTCCAACTATATGCTAATGTAAGTGTTTTGAGCACAATTAAGGTGGGCTACGCTTAGCTACGTTTGGTAGGTTAGGTGTGTTCAATGCATTTCGACAAGGTATTTTCAGCTTAGAATGAGTTTAACCAGATGGATCATCCGTTTTGTTTTGTTTTTTGAACACCACTTGTCCCTCTAAGATGGAGCATCTGTATTACTTTCCAATTTCAAACTGTAAGTCATTTTTCTGTGTACTTTGTTTTTGTAATATCCATGCTACTTCAGATGTCAATGACATTGTCTTTGGCAACAAATGTCTTGTAAAGCACTTTTCTCTGAACTAAGCAGCATTTTATGATAATTTTATCCATTGAAATATATAATCATAATATCTTTGCCATCACTTTTAGAATCTAATTTTTTCAAGAAGGAAATGAATATGTAAAAATGAAAGATAGAAAAGGCCAACTGTATTGAAGATACAAAATAGAGTTGGTAGCGGTATATAGAAGAAAAATCAAGAGGCTTCTGTGTAGAAAACCAATTTGTAATTTAAGGATCGGGGACCAAAAATGTTTAAAGACTAAATGTGTTCACATTACTATAGATATGTCTATAAGGTGAAGATTCTTTTCTTAGGTATACAAATGTGATGTTGTATATAAATGGGCTTCCCACCCACAAATGCTTATTAGCCTAAAATGGCCTGAAAGCTCTAGTAATTAAATTATTTCTCTGCGTCCTAATTTTTTGTCTTTGAAACAGATTATTTAGAAAATCATGTACTTCGCTTAAGTTTCTAACTTTTACTTGCTTTTTCCAGAGTTATTTATACCAAATCCTACAGGGGATTGTGTTTTGTCACTCTAGAAGAGTTCTTCACAGAGACTTAAAACCTCAAAATCTCTTGATTGATGACAAAGGAACAATTAAACTGGCTGATTTTGGCCTTGCCAGAGCTTTTGGAATACCTATCAGAGTATATACACATGAGGCAAGTGGAATAGTGGTTTTTGATGGCTTTTGAATGTGTGTGATTGCTAGATTATTTTCTGTATTTGTGAAAGTCAAGAAATAACTCAATAAAAGATATCTACTCTGTGGCAGTATCAATTTATTGCCTCTCAGCTCCAAATTCATTGCATGCTATGTGAAAATGGAACTGAAGCCTTTAAGTATTTTTTCTTTACCAGCTGCTATGTTGTTAAGGTAGAGGGTACTAGAGGGACATGGCAGGAGGAAGGAGTTTTCCTAGCTACAGTTTTTACATTTTCATTATTTTTTACTTTATTTATTTACATCATTCCCATCCTTTGTTGTACTTTAATTCTTTATATTAAACTCTCCCCATTCAAATCACCACCTTGGTTTCTGTCTCCTGACTGAACCCTCCCTGATTATAGTCAGATTGATTCAAAGACAGGTTTTGTTCCTTAAGGTATATTATTTCTGATACATTTAGGAATTGCTAACTATAATTTATGTTTGATCTGTGTTATATTGCTGACTTGGCATTTAGTGTTTCTGAAGGAAAGGGAACATTGTATAATAAAGGATTATTGAAAGGCTGTCTTCTGTGGAGTTGTCTACCCTTGACCCAAAGACTGTCTCCAGATCAAAACTAGTAACAGTGCTCATCTGATTAGATGTCTTGGCTGCTTGTTAGTCTTTATCATTTTTTTACATGGCTATATAAATAAACTAAGATTATTTTGTTTTCTTTGTCTTAAACAAATGCTATTGACCTCATTAGCTTTGTTCTAACAGGCAATATTTTTACCATATGATAAATATACTAAAATGGTTGGTTAGTTCTAGATCACTAATCTGTTATTTGACTTATTCACGTTTTTTAAATAATTTAAAAATCATTTTTTATCGACGCATTATTATACATATTTATGGGGTACAGTGTGGTATTTGGATACATGTATGCAATGTGTATTGATTAAATTGGGGTAGTTAGCATATCCATTGCCCCAAGCATTTATTATTTCTTTTTGTTGGGAACATTCAAAATTCTTTGTTTGGGCTATTTGAAAATTTACAGTAAATTATTGGTAACTGTAGTCAGCTTACAGTGCTGTAGAACACTAGAGCTTATTTTTCCTTTTGAGCTGTAATTGTATCCATAAACCAACTTATCTCTGTCTTCCTCTACTAAGCCCTGAATAACCACTATTCCACTCTATGGCCATTAGATCAACTTTTTACGTTTTCAAATATGAGTGAAAACATGTGGTATTTATCCTTCTGTGCCTGGCTTATTTCATGGCTCATCCTTGTTGTCATAAATGACAGAATTTCATTCTTTTTTTATGGCTGAGTAGTATTCTAGTATTCCATTGCGTGCACGTATGTGTGTGTACACTACATTTTCTGTATGTGTGTATGTATACACCACATTATCTGTTGATGGAAACAGGTCGATTCTGTATCTTGACTATTGTGAATAGTGCTTCAATAAACATGGGAGTGCAGATATCTCTTTGACATAATTGATTTTATTTATTTTGGACATATACCCCCAGCAGTGGGATTGCAAAATTATATGGTAGTTCTAGTTTGTAGTTTTTTGAGCATCCTCTAAACAGTTTTTCATAATGGCTCTACTAATTTAAGAGCCCACCAACAGTGCGTAAAAAGTTGCCCTTTCTCTGCATCCTTATCAGCACTTATTTTTTGTCTTTTGATGATAATTACTCTAACTGGGTGTGATAGCTCATTGTGGTTTTGATTTGCATTTCCCTGATGAATAGTGATGTTGAGCACTTTTTCATATACTTGCTGGTCTTTGTATGTCTTTTGAGAAAGTTTTATTCAGATTGTTTGACCATTTTTAAAATTGGATTCTTACTATTTTTTTTATTCTGGATGTTAATTCTTTGTTGTATGAATGATTTGCAAATAATTTCTCCCATTCTGCAGATTGTTGCATTATTCTGTTATTCTGTTCATTCTGTTTCTTTTGCTGTGCAGAAGCTTTTTAGTTCGATATAATCCTGTTTGTCTATTTGTTATTGCTGAGACAGGGTCTTTCTCTGTCACCCATGCTGGAATGCAGTGGCGTGAACAGGGCTCACTGCAACCTCAACCTCCTGGGCTCCAGTGATCCTTCCACGTCAGCCTCCTGAGTAATTGGGCCCATACACAGGCATGCACCACCATGCTAGGCTGATTTTTAAATTTTTTAGAGACGGGGCTGTCAGCATATTTCCCAGACTGTTCTCGAACTCCTGGGCTCATGCAATCCTCCCGCTTTGGCCTCCCAAAGTGTTGGGATTATAGGCATGAGCTGCTGCACCTGGCCTCATTTGTCTATTTTTGATTTTGTTTCTTGAGCTTTTGAGGTCTTATCCATATGATTTTTGTCCAGATCAATATCAATAACAGTGTTTCCTCTGTTTTCTTCCAATAGTTTCATAGTTTAAGGTCTTATTTAATCCATTTTGAGTTGATTTTTGTGTATGGTTAGATATAGGGGTTTAGTTTCATTGTTCTGCATGTGGATTATCCAGTTTTTCCAGCACCATTTATTGAAGAGATTGGCTTTTCCCTAGTGAATGTTCTTGTCATCTTTCTCAAAAATGAGTTGACTGTAAATACATGGATTTATTTCTGGATTCTCTATTTTGTTCTGTTGGTCTCTGCGTCCTTTTTTATACTAATATCATGATGTTTCGGTTACTATAGCTTTGTAATACATTTTTGAAGTCAGGTGATACGATGCCTTCAGCTTTGTTGTTTTTGCTCAAGATTGGTTTAGCTATTGTGGGTCTTTTTTGGTTCTATATGAATTTTAGGATTTCTTTTTATTTCTGTGAAGAATGTCCTTGGTATTTTGATGGAGATTGCACTGAATTTGTAGATTGCATTGGGTGGTAATATGGTCATTTTTATATTAATTCTTCCAGTTCATGAACATGGGATGTCTTTTTTGTATCTTCCTAAATTTTTTTCTTCAATGTTTTATAGTTTTTAGTGTAGAGATTATACATCTCATTTGTTAAATTTATTCCTAGGTTTTTTGTACCTATTGTACATTAGATTGCTTTCTTGATGTTATTTTTCAGCTAGTTATTGGTGTATAGAAACTATTAATTTTTGTATGCTGATTTTGATTTTGTATACTGCAACTTTGTTAATCAGTTCTAAGAGTTTTTGGTGGAGTCTTTTAAGTTTTTCTATATATAAGATCATCTCTGCACACAGGGACAATTTGACTTCTTCCTTGGCAATTTGGATGCCCTTTATTTCTTTCTCATGTTTCTTATTCATGTTATAATGGTACTGTTAGTACCATCTTAGCAAGTAAGCAGTACCTGCACTTTGTTCAGTGTCACCCCAAATCTATTATCAATGGGTTTGGTTTTTCAGTGGGGGGAAGATAAGGCTGTATAACTGTCTTGATCTTTAGTGATTTGAAAAGCAAAAAAATATTTATTATGCTTTTATCTGTTTTGTCTTCTAATGAATAGAACTTAGAAATGAAATATTTATCTTCAATTTTGTGTACCTTTAATTGACTTAAACAATATTATTGGTGGCAGTCATACAACCTTTAAAGGACAGCCCTAATAAAAATATAAATGTTTAAGTGTAGGTAATTTTATGCACCACATTTATTCATTGTAAAAATTTGCTTTTTAATAGGTAGTAACACTCTGGTACAGATCTCCAGAAGTATTGCTGGGGTCAGCTCGTTACTCAACTCCAGTTGACATTTGGAGTATAGGCACCATATTTGCTGAACTAGCAACTAAGAAACCACTTTTCCATGGGGATTCAGAAATTGATCAACTCTTCAGGATTTTCAGGTAGCTATTAAAAACTGAGATAATAAAGGTAACATATATGTAACAATGAGATTACATTTATGCTTTAAGAAATTTTTAATTTCCTGTTTTTTAGAGCTTTGGGCACTCCCAATAATGAAGTGTGGCCAGAAGTGGAATCTTTACAGGACTATAAGAATACATTTCCCAAATGGAAACCAGGAAGCCTAGCATCCCATGTCAAAAACTTGGATGAAAATGGCTTGGATTTGCTCTCGGTAAGGAGTGCCCTTGATACTGACTTTCAAATTATTGATGATTCTGAATATATTCAGTTCTTTGTTTTGCCTAGAAAATAGGAAGAACACTAACATTTTTGAGCTAGGTGTCTGTTATGTACATTGTATTATACTAGCTTCATTTTAGATATCAGGAGGCACTAGTGGCTTTGAGAGGAGGATTTAGCATTAGTTTTTGTTTTTTATCTGACAGGTAGCTATGGATATTCTGAGGGAGAAGCCAGGATTAATACACATTTTTTTTTTTAAGTTGCTGAATTGTAGTGGCTCTCCTTTCTAGCATTTTTGTCACTATTGAGCCCTCTTAGTTTATGCTAGACGTGTTTTTCTTATTGGTTGATATTTTAAATTATTAAAGCCATCTTCTGAATAAGCTTTATTCGCACTTTGTACCTAGTTTCTCCATCAGAAGGATCTATTGCTATACCATTGTATACATTTTCTCATTGGTCTTCGGGTTACTTTCAGAGTGTAAAGACTCCTTATGCCACAAAATTAAGCTTAGATTTCCCCCAAATCAAATACTATAAATCAGATTCCTTAGTCTAGCCACAATTGACATATCTTGGAGTGGATAAATCTTTGTTGCTGGCATTGTTCTGTGCATCATAACTTGTTTAGTGGCATGTCATCACTGTCTTCTACTCTCTAGATGCCATTAGTATACTCTTCACAGTTAGGACAACCAAAAGTGTCTCCAGATATTGCCAAATGTCTCCTGATGGGCAAAGTCTATCCCAGTTGCGAACCATTATTGTAAATTAAACTTGGTTTCAAATTTGAGCTTTATTCCTTAGCTCTGGGAACTTGGGCAAGTTACTTCCCTTCGAGCCTCAATGTCCTCATTTGTAAAATGACATTAATACCTACTTTTAGCTGTGGGAATTGAGTACCATGATTTATACAAAGCAGTTTGTATGGTGCTGGTTACATGAGAGTTCAGATGGTAACTAGTTAGTAAAAAATCTCTAGTGTGCTTGTTGATTTTATTTTATTTTAGTATTTCTTAAAGATCAAATTTAACATCAATCCTAAACTTTATTTAGCTTTTTCTGGCGCGTAAACTAACATACTAAGTTGTGTGACTATAATTCATTTAGTGACTCATTTTTAGCTATTTTTATAACACATTGTGCTATGGGGGGTTTTGGAACTTGCTGGAAGCTACATCAGAAACTGCCATAGTTAATTGCCATTTCAAGAATGTTGTAAATAACTCAGGTGGCCGTTTAATTCTCAATGTAAATATAATTAACTAGACGTCTTTCCTATATTTGTGTCTCAGTTTTAAAGCTATTTCTGGATGCTTGAGTCTTACCGTAATTGATAACAAAAAGAGGTTATTGAGAATATCTATGATTTACAGAGTAAGTTATTCTAGACCTCAAGAGTGAAATGTAGGGGAGGAGACATTTGTGTGTTAAACTAATGGAAATGCTCATTTAATAGATATTCACTGAAAGTATTAGTTTTGGTTTATTGCTAGAAAAGTTGAGGTTTTATGGAGATTTTTGTAAAAAATGGTTTATTTCCTAAATAAATATCTCTTTTTCTTTTTTCTCCCAGAAAATGTTAATCTATGATCCAGCCAAACGAATTTCTGGCAAAATGGCACTGAATCATCCATATTTTAATGATTTGGACAATCAGATTAAGAAGATGTAGCTTTCTGACAAAAAGTTTCCATATGTTATATCAACAGATAGTTGTGTTTTTATTGTTAACTCTTGTCTATTTTTGTCTTATATATATTTCTTTGTTATCAAACTTCAGCTGTACTTCGTCTTCTAATTTCAAAAATATAACTTAAAAATGTAAATATTCTATATGAATTTAAATATAATTCTGTAAATGTGTGTAGGTCTCACTGTAACAACTATTTGTTACTATAATAAAACTATAATATTGATGTCAGGAATCAGGAAAAAATTTGAGTTGGCTTAAATCATCTCAGTCCTTATGGCAGTTTTATTTTCCTGTAGTTGGAACTACTAAAATTTAGGAAAATGCTAAGTTCAAGTTTCGTAATGCTTTGAAGTATTTTTATGCTCTGAATGTTTAAATGTTCTCATCAGTTTCTTGCCATGTTGTTAACTATACAACCTGGCTAAAGATGAATATTTTTCTACTGGTATTTTAATTTTTGACCTAAATGTTTAAGCATTCGGAATGAGAAAACTATACAGATTTGAGAAATGATGCTAAATTTATAGGAGTTTTCAGTAACTTAAAAAGCTAACATGAGAGCATGCCAAAATTTGCTAAGTCTTACAAAGATCAAGGGCTGTCCGCAACAGGGAAGAACAGTTTTGAAAATTTATGAACTATCTTATTTTTAGGTAGGTTTTGAAAGCTTTTTGTCTAAGTGAATTCTTATGCCTTGGTCAGAGTAATAACTGAAGGAGTTGCTTATCTTGGCTTTCGAGTCTGAGTTTAAAACTACACATTTTGACATAGTGTTTATTAGCAGCCATCTAAAAAGGCTCTAATGTATATTTAACTAAAATTACTAGCTTTGGGAATTAAACTGTTTAACAAATAATGCTGCTCATTGTGATTCTTACCTATAAGCAGCCTAATTTGAATTATTTGCTGCAATCAAGAGAAGTGTACAATAGTTTTATTACTTTTTTAGTGTACTTCTATCCTTTTTCCAACTATATCTCCTCTATTTTTCCTCCTCGTTAACAGGCTAGAATGTGCATTCCTGGGTTACCGATTTTTACACTCAATTGGATGTGTAATGAGGGATCTATCTAATCCATCTTGTCTTGGAAATTTTGCACTCTAGAAGAAAGTGTGTCACTTTCTTCAGCAGCGAGACCTTTTAAGATTGGTGGTTTGGTTGTCCTGTTCTGTGGTCTTTGGTGGAAGCCAGTTTGTTGTAAGAGAATGTAGAGCTTATTAATGTAAGTCATTTGGGGTTATATTGTGGAGGGTTGTTTAGGATTGCATGGCAGGAATTGGGTAAATGAAAGGTAACACTAAAGATTGGAGATGGTATAATGGCATATCTACAGGTCTGTGTTTCCTTATCTGCGAAGTGAGACATTGAAATAGATCTGTTTTGCAAATTGTGGATTGCAACCCTTTAGTGATTTACGACCAGCATTAATCACTAACCCCTTTCCTACCCCAGTGTAAAACAGAAACTATCAGTGTATCCTATATAATTATTTACTTATTTATTTTTTCAGTAATATATAGATACATGGGTGATACAAATGTTTGGGGCCTTGTAGATAATGTAGAAACAGCATGCAACCTCACCGCTCTTGCTCCACGGAGTCCAAGTGTCTGAAAAGTTGATAATACATCAAATTAGAACTGACTTGGTAGACCAGGGAAATGAGATAGCTGGTAGGACACTGTCATCACTTGCTATAATGAGTGACCTACTTTTGATCCTATGTCAACTTCAGTGACTAGGTGAAAAGCTACTGAATTGTGTCCTCATCTCAAATGTATTTTTAAATTAGTTTGTGCTGTGGTACTTCTGATTAATTTTAAAATGGAGCTTGTCTCTAGGCCAGTGACCCTTAAGTCTGTTATGTGCTAGAAACACCCAGAAGCTAATTCTGGCACTACTGTGAATTCAGATTTTGAAAATTGGGAAATGTATCCCAATAATGCATTTTTTCAGAAGCTTGCCAAGCTGATTTAGATGAATTCCATTGTCATCAGTAGTGGTGAGTTTGACCATTAGGGGCCTATATCTGGTTTTAGTTGTCTTAAAACTTAATGACATCATGCAATATTTTTAAAGTTACTCTATTTCTCTTTGAGTTTGTACTCTTTAGTGGAGGGGAAAAAGCTGCATATTTCATACGTATACCAGTATAGGCTTCATATATGTGAGCACAGCAATGAAGTCTTTACTAATTTATTTGGGCATGGCATATATAAATTAAAAGTTTTTGAAAAAATGGTATTTGAGAATTTAATAAAATGGCCCAATAAAGGGTCTTTTGGGGAGTATAGATTAACAGGGTGAAATAGTTTTTAATTATAGTAAAATATTTTAAAGCGCTTGAGGAGACTTGAAAACAGAGTTTTTTTTTTTTAAACATTAGTTCCTTTGGCAAACTGGTTCATATGTCAACTTCGGTCTCATTCATGTTTAAATAATTGCCATATTCAAACGAGTCAGTGAGTTTTCACAGGACCATAGACTCATTTTGCACTGTGGACCAAGACGTGTGTGGGATTTGGAGTGAAGAGAGTAGAGGGCATTGTTTAAATGGGTTTGGGACAATATGGCTAGAGTGAAGCATGACTAATGGGGACAATGAAAAGATAGAGGGGTAAATTAAAGCTGAGAAGACTGAAGAGAGAGGTATTTCAGACTAAAAAATAGGGCCCAGGAGAAGGAAAAGGTGGGAAAGTGATGGTAGTGGCATGGATTGTGACTTTAGTTTGTTAGGGGTAGGAGATGAAATTTAATGGATTTGGAAGCAATAGTACACATTGTCATCTCTGTGCCATAGTATAAATTGTATGTGTCTAAGATGCCTTAAAATTTTCAAAAGAAATGTACCTGGGCTGGGCACAGTAGCTCATGCCTATAATCCCAGCACAGTGGGAGAATCGCTTGAGCTCAGGAGTTTGAGACCAGCCAGGGCAGCATGGCAAGACCTCATCTCTTTAAAAAACAAAGTGTACCTGAGAGTCATGGACTAAGGAACCACAAACAATAGCATTTTAGAAGCAACAGCAACATTTTAGAATCAATAGCTGCATTTTAGAATGCTGAAGATCAGTGGTTTTCACACTTGGATTAAGATCTCCTGAAGAACTTGTTGAAACAGATTGCTGAACCCATTCTGGTTTTCGATTCAGTGGGTCTGTTGTGACCTAAGAATATACTTTCCTAACAAGTTCCCAGGTAATGATGCTGGCGGTTAAGGGACCACACTTTGAGAAATCACTACATAGGCAGTTCTTAGAATTACAGAGAGCTAAACAGAGGCTCAGCCGTTTGGTCAGCTTGCCAGGTTTGTAGACAAAGCACAGAAGTACAGGAGGAGAAATCAAAGGTCAGGCTACATTTAGAGGCTGAACTGGAATCGGAACATAAATCTTTCATCATCATCCCTGAGAAGTGTGTAGTATAATGTGAAGATTCCAGGCTTCAGAGTCAGATAAGAGTGGTTCCCAGCTCCACCATTTCTGTCTGTAGTCGAACAAGTCAGTCAGCGTCTCTCCTCTATTGTGAGCACATACTTGTAGGTTTGACATGAGGGATGGAGATAGGGTTGCTGAGCATCCTGCATATATAGGACGTCCTAAATGTCCTGCATTCAGCTTTTTTCAATACATTACGAAAATTGGGCAGTTACAGCTATTGCTTTGCAACAGTAATTGGCACTTAAATCCCTTAAATCAAGAGTATAGGTAAAGTGCTTGGCATGTGATAGTATCTTTTTCCTTTGAACTCAGCCCTTTTTCCTTATATTACCTTTTATAACTTTTTTTCTTTCATTACACATAGGCACATTCATTTTCTCCGTTACTAAAGCGTAAGTCCAGTGAGGGAAGGGGCCATGTCTTTTTCATTCTTACTGTCTTTGTCTAGTATCTTGAGCCTTCGATCTAATTCCAGTCCTTAATGTCCAAAGGTAGAGGCACCTCACCTTCAGTAATAGCTACTAATTGCTGCTCATCCATTAGGAGCTGCCACTATGCTTTATATACATTTTCTTTTTTTTTCTTTCAACCATATCAGGGAGTGGGTGCCTTCATCTTACAGAGGTTGAAACTAAGGCTCATAGAGATTAACTTGTGGAAGGTCACAAGGCTAGTAAGTGCCAGATCATGGGATTTCAGAGCTTTCTGAGTTGAGACTGTTCTTTCTTTGCATCATATTGGTTCCCAAGGCAAATCCCTAAAGAGAATGTGTATTTAGTTTCCAAGGCTTAAGAAAGAAACAGGCAAATGCTAAAGTCAATGCAGGCCGGGTGCAGTGGCTCATGCCTGTAATCCCAGCACTTCTGGAGGCCCAGTCTGGTGAATCACCTAAGGTCAGGAGTTCGAGACCAGCCTGACCAACATTGTGAAACCCCGTCTTTCCTAAAAATAGAAAAATTAGCTGGGTGTGGTGGCAGGCACCTGTAGCCCCAGCTACTCAGGAGGCTGAGGCAGGAGAATCACTTGAACCCGGCAAGCAGGGGTTGCAGTGAGCCGAGATCATGCCACTGTACTCCAGCCTGGGTGACAGAGCAAGACTGTCTCAAAAAAAAAAAAAAAAAATGCAATCCAGACAGGCCAAGAAGCACCAAGGTTGGGGTTGCCAAAACCAATAAAATAGGACAGGCCTACAGACCTCTCATTAGCACTGAATCTCCAGACAAATCATCAGAAACCTGCCTCAAGGTTGAAAAAGCCAAGGTCATCAAAGTAAGATGCAGTTTTCAGTCCAGCTGGTTTTCCTATCTCATTTAGGTAGCAATATCCCCTTTTATGTGTGGAATTCTACTGCTTGTGGTCCTCATGGGGCTTTAAATGCCGGCTTTCCACTCCTTGTTCACAAGGGTGACCCAGGTGGAATCCGTCACAATATGCCATAACCCAGCAGTAGTAAATTGGTGCAAGGCGTAGGCAAATGACCTCACAAGACACAGGGCCCTTTTTGCTATAGAAACGTTGAGAATGAAGTTTAGGAGACTAGGCGTGGTGGCTCACACCTGTAATCCTAGCACATTGGGAGGCCAAGGCAGGAGGATCATTTGAGCCTAGGAGTTCCAAGACCAGCCTGGGCAACATAGCAAGACCCCTTCTCTACAAAAGAGGAATGAAGTTCTGCCAACCTTGCTAAATTGGGATGACATGACTGGAGAGCCTCAGAAACATCCCTATTCTGGAGCTAGCTGAGACGAGAAAGATTCCTAGGAGCATGATGTCCTTGGTCTGGTCCTGAGGCCCTGGTTCCTGCAATACTGCCTTACTATTTGTGAGCTGCCCAGTATTCCTCCTAGGTGCAGGAGGGTATGTGTGTATGTGTGTGTTGTCTGAACCTACTTTCAGTTGGATTTCTGTCATTTAAACCTCAACTAATAGTAACTAATAGTTAACGAGTAGAGTCCCAATGGATACAGCTGTCAATACGAAGACAGCAATTGGGTAAATAATTTTTAAAAACCCTCATTTTAAGAACTCTTGTAGTTAGAAGTCATTTCATAATTAAATTTCTCAAATTCCTTCTTTAAAAGCTTTTTGTGTATCGCTCACACTTTTTTTTGTTAGGTGTTTTTTTTTTGGTTTTTTTTTTTTTTTTTTTTTTTTTTTTTGAGACAGTTTTGCTCTTATTGCCCAGGCTAGAGTGCAGTGGCTCAATCTCGGCTCACTGCAACCTCCACCTTCTGGTTTCAAGCGATTCTCCTGCTTCAGCCTCCCAAGTCGCTGGGATTACAGGCGCCCACCACCATGCCCAGCTAATTTTTTTTGTATTTTTAGTAGAGACGGGGTTTCACCATGTTGGTCAGGCTGGTCTCAAACTGCTGACCTCGTGATCCACCCACCTCGACCTCCCAAAGTGCTGGGATTACGGGTGTGAGCCACTGCTCCCAGCCTAGTTACTGTTTTTAACTGCGACTTCTAGTATTGGTTGTGTATGAAGTTACTGATATAAATAAATTTTATGCTTACTGATCTTTCAAAAGACCTTTTTAGTACAAACTTCTGGGGAATGTTTATATATGGTACCTACTCTTTACCAGTCAAGAGTAGAAATCTGTAAAATACAGTTTTCTACAGGCATTCATTCCTTATTATGACTTCAAAACCATGCTCTACTTCTCTGTTGAGGAAATAATGCAATTACAAAAGCAGAATGTATTTGGAGAATTCATTTGCTAATGAGTATTAGTAGTTCTTTATATTTCTAAAGAGCTTTATAGGAATTAAGGGCCACATGCTATTTCAATAGACAGAAGCTTCCTATACTCTAAAAATTCTCTGAACTATAAAACTACAAGAATAAGTACACCGTAACACATTCTTTCTAATGCAGAGAGAAAAGATACATTTCCCAACTGAACATAACCATTTGTCTCAATGGTTTTGGTATCATGACAAATGTATTTATGTGCAAGAAAATATAAATGTATTCTTCATGAAGTGTGTTCACTGCTTCTAGGATCCAAATGGGAAGCAGAGCATTTGCTCCATCTTAAATCTTGCTAGAATCTGAACAGTTTTAGAAATGTGCTTTGGCTTCTTGTTTAAAATACTTCTCATGCACAAGCAGTAATAGAAAATGGCTCAGAACATAAAAAGATTGCAATTTCCCAGATGAACACAAAATGGTAACTTTTTGACCAGTCAACATTGGTCTGAAACCCCATGAACTAGCTGACAAATGTAATGTTTGGGAGCTCTTAATTACCCATGCTAACAGAAGGTCATGGCAGCTAGAATAACCCCCAAGAGCAAACACCTCACCTCCATTGCACCAAATTTTGGCATTCACTATGTAACCCACCTGCTTTTAGCAATAAATCTCATTTCCTACTTAGTGAAATCAAAATTTTAAAATTGAATTGGATGTTGAACATCATTCAATGCAGTCTTTATTTTCCCAGTGAGGAGCCTTCAGATCTCAGCAACAGTGATAAATAGAACCTGGGTTTTCTGATCTCCAGTTTAAAAAGATTTCTACTCTGTTTTAGATAGGCATCATGAGGTCAAGGAAGAAATTGTGTATTTTGAGGATAAAATATCCAGGAAAAAGAGAATCCAAATGACCAGTGAGGAGAAAATAGAAGAGAAAGTTACATAGAATGGGTTTTCAGTGAAATTTGAAGTGTAAAGGCATGCACAGTGTACAGTGCAAGTAGCTATAGACCAAGCATGTTGCAATGCTAAGTACTAGGTGTGTTCTCTGTAAAAGCAACAATAATTTTCATTCTCTACCTTTCTTGGGAGGGTAATTGGAGATTTAACTCAGATACCACAGGTATTTTTAAATAGCCATAGTCCAAACATAGCAACAAAAAGCTAACTTTATCCAACTTCAGTTTAATTAAAAGCATGTACCAGATAAGATTTATTGTGATAGTTAATATTGCATATGCATAAAGTCACTGGCACAGAAACATCTAACGTATGTATAGCAAAGGAAAAAGGCAAAGAGCTCAACTTCATCTCTTTTATCGTTTTTTCAGGAGAAATATCTCATGCGTTACCATGTTTGGAATATTTCCTAGCATGTGCAAAAAGCAAGGAATAAACAATAATTCAATGTGCCTAATGGCATAAAATAAAAGGATTATTCACAAACAGAAAACTGGACTTTTGAGCAGATGTTTATTTAAATACAAACAGCAACTCCTACTTTTCCTGTTATCTCCAATTATGTGATGCAACATTTTTAGCAGAAGAAGTGCTTTTTAAAAACAGCCTTCCAGGGAGTGAATAAACAATACTATATTTGGCTAGCAGCTGCTTTTGGAAAATGAGATGTCAGCAAAGCTGAATATTGTTTAAAGAAAACTAATTATCCAGCTACCTTTGACTTGGATCAGAGTAAATAAAGCACTTCCTGATTTGCACTGAAATGTTTTGTCTAGAATTTAAATATTAGGTATTAGTCAGATACTTCTCTTCTTCCTTCGCTTGCCTTGTGGACCCAATGGATTTAAATAAGTACCCTTTGTGTTTGGTTGTGCTGCCAGTACCCCTTTATGTTTTCTGGAGTGCCTAGCATTTGTTGCTTCTTTTCTTATTTGCCATCCACTAGTTATTGTGTTAGGTGTAAAGCAGTGTGTTTATGGTTACATTAAAATCTAGGTAATCTATGATAATATAGGATGGTTGCATTTGTATACATTTAATTATGCAAATGTAAAATATATATTTTATGAGTAATTTTTAAATTCTATTTAAAAATTATGTGTAGAATTTGAATGAATGTAAATACCCTCCATTTTTGAAAATTCATTTCAAGGTTAGCAAGCCAAAGAAGCTGCAAACTGGTTTATACTATTGCCACATGGCACTTTGGCCAGTAAAGAGAAATTCCTGCAGCCCTTTTTCAGGGTTGCATGCATCAGCCTGCAGTGTCCTTGGATCACAGCTCCTGCAAGTACCTGTGGTGATACCTTTCTACTTGTTTTAACATTTACTATAATTTGAAATACTTTTATATTCTAAAGCAATCTCACCTGAGCACTCATTAAGTGCGGGTGACATAGTGGGCCTGAGAATTAGGAAATTTTGAAGAACTTGAGATGTTATTTTAATGTCACAAAGAAGGCCAAACAACTTCCATAGTACATTTTACAGTGAGCAATTCATACAACAGTATACAACAGTGATGATCTTGAGAAAAATAAAAAGCTGCATTAAAATACACATATACAATAGTTACAGATTTCAAGGAAGTGTCTCCCTACTTAATACTTTACTGTGGAAAAATTTGTGTTGAATTGTGCAAGTTTTTCAAGAATATATTCTCTCTATAAAATCTGGTATATGATATTCATGTAAGGAGTGTTAATAGAAAACAATTCTAAGACAAGCAGAAATTTAATGGTTCTATAAATGTTTGTTCATCCAATGAATATTGAGCACCTATTATGAGTCAGATACTGTGCTAGGACATGAGGACATATTAATAGTTTTGAACTTAATAGGTTTATACTTCTTTACCTCCATTCATGAGAGATTATATGCAAGTGAATACATGTAACAGGATCTTAGAATGGAACTCTTCCTGCCTCAGTTTTGACTAAAGACAATAAGGTAATTTCCAGAATTCCATATCTGATATACATATTTATAAGGAAATGGCTCTAAGAACCTGTCCCACTACTTGTAGGTTCAGGATAAGCTACATAATTTGTGGGGCCCAGTGCAAAATGAAAGTGCAGGGCCTCTTGTTAAAAAACTATTAAATTCCAGATAGCAACAGCTGAGCATTAAACCAAGCATAGGGCCCTTCTAAGTGCCCTGTGTGACTGCACAGGTCAGACATCCATGAAGTGTCACCCTGCTTGGATCCTTCAGCCAAAGAAAGAAAATGAAAAGGGCATAGAGTGAAGAAGGGAGATTTGGGGGAGGGTGATTTTTGGAAGCTGTTACATGCTTTTAGAATGCTGCCATCTAACACATGCTCAATGGAGAGGGCTTCAAAGGGACCTCTTGAGGAGCTCTGAAACATGCCTGTTTGAAGTCTCATTTACGCTCAGACTCGCCTGGGGTGTAAAGCCTACCCAAACGATCTACAGGACTGTCAGGAGAATGCCACTGTGGTAGAATGCCACTGCTCGCCTAGAGGTGATGGGGGCAGGGGTTAATTGCCTAACCATGTTGGGGCCAAGAGGGAGAGAGAGTTGGAAAGGGGAAGTCTTGGGCCAGTATGCCCTTGGCAATTGCATCAAGTCCTGCCTCCAAAACAAAGATAATAGAGTCTCTTCCTACCATTTAGAGCAGCCAGGCCCGCATCACTCATACTCCTCCAAGCTCCTTTGTAAAATTAAAATTTAATGTATTATGAAATATTTTAAATGCAACATTATCAATAACTATACAGTGACCTCATGTATCCATCACTCAGTTTCATTATTATTACATTTGAAACCCTCAATGTCTCTCTCCCTGATTACATGCCCCTTTTGCCCTTAAAATAAAGATTGATTTCTTTATTCTTTTTCAGCTTTTACAATCTATCTAGCTATCTGTCATCATCATATTGCATATAAAGGGTATTACACTACACATTTTGAAATTTATTTGTCTGGCTCTGCTTTGTGAGAGTTCTCCATGTTGATAAATGTAGCTATAGTTCATTTGCTTTCACTGCTCTAGGGTATTTCACTGTGTGACTCTACCACAATTCATTGATCTATTCTGTCGATAGACACTTGTTTCTCATGTTTTGCTTTTAAGAACAATGAGGCTATAAGTTCTAGTGTATATGTCTCCATTTTCTTGGGCAAGGTTGTGTTTGTTTCCTTTGCAGATCAACTCCTTGCCCTTATGCTGCTCTGCTCTGTATCTCGGGACCAGACCCACATGGGTTGCATTTCCCAGGCCCCTGTATCTACCCGGCTTGTTTTTCAGTTTAGGCACTGGTGGGAGAGGGGAGAGAGAAGCCAGAGTGCTTGGCTCCGTATCTGCCAGTCTCAGATGGCCTCATTCTGCACATCTAGCACCCACTGGACAGACCCACCCCAGTTCTATCCTTCTCTCAGAAAAGCCAGTTAACTCCTGGTGGGGCTACCCTTTTGTCTTAGACTGGGGTGCCAGAGGTTTCCTGAAGTTGCTCACTCCTGGTTGCCTCGCTGACTACTCTTTGACTTAACTCTTTCAATTCCCAGATAACCTATTCTGTGGATTAAACCCCTTCTGTTTCAATACTTGGAATGATTTTTTGTTTTCATGGTTGTAGGTATGGTTGTATACATCTTCAACTCCAAATGACTCTCCACACATGCTGATTTAGACCTCTGCCTGCAGTGTGTAAGAGTTCTCGTTGTTATAATCTTCACCAATATTAGGTATTACCACACTTTTTAGGTTTTACTAATCTGACTGGCCTGAAGCAATATTTCACTGAAGTTTTCATTTCATTTCCTTTATATATTATTGACCATTCAGGTTTTCCCTTTGGTCAATTGCATGTTTGCCCATATTTTGATTGTTTGGTTCTTACTGACTTACAGGAGTCACTTATATCTACAAGCAAATCTTTTGTTATATGTGTGGCAAATATCTTCTCCCATTCTTGGTCTTGTCTTGCCATTTTTCAGTGATATCTTTTCACAGACAGAAGTTTCTAATTTTAGTGTGGTTCTCAAATACTTTTAATGTTTCCCTGAGTGGTGCAGAAGATTGCTGATGAGACAGGACCCTCCAATCATGAGCTAACCTGTAAACCAGGCGTGTCTTATCTGTGTTGACAAGTCTTCTGCAACCCAATCCCCTGGACAGGGCATGTGCAGAGAAGTGGTTCATAGCTGGCTAGCCAAGGAACACAGATGGCTGGACTCAAGAAACATCAGGCTCTATTTGCTGCAGATCCCAGCCAGGAGACTAGAGGAGGTGTGGCTTCACTAGGGGCAACTTCCAGGCTTTTCTAGCCTAACTGTACTCCAGGTTCAGCTGAACTCAAGCCTATAATGGGAACTTGTTTCTCTCCATTTTTACCGAGCCTGGTTTGGAAAGTTTATTGGATAGGGCAAGTCCCTGAAACGTAACCAGCTCCATGCAATGTGGCCAACTGGCAGCCAAGAGCCATGCTGAGTTGGAGCAGAGAATACACCGACACTGTATGGCCAGAGCCTAGTGCTGCCATGGGAAGCCTAGAGAGCTGAGCATGACTCCTCAGCAGGCTGAAGAATGAGCTTAGGACCTGCCTGATGCTTCCCTGGCTGCATAGGCTTGGACGTTCGTCTCTCCACTGGCAATGGCAGCCTCGAGTATAAACCCACTGCGAGGACTGACTCCCCAGAGCAAAGGTCAGGAGCTTGTGTAACGTGTATTTTAGAACAGTTATACTTGCATATGCTATTTTTAAAATTCAAAGAATATAACAAAAAGAACACAAATTCTTAATTCTTCTCATCAGCTGGGTTCTCACCTCTCACTCCCCTCTCCAGCTCCTTAACATTTTCTTTATACAAACTCAAGCAAATTTGAATATATCTTGTTATACTTCCCAATTTTTATACAAAAATAACATACAGGCAGTTTTTAAAAAAACTACAGATTTAAGTGATGTTTAATTGATAGTTTTTAAACTCAGGTTTTAATTTTTAATTAGATATTTCCTGTGAATTGACTATCATTTGGATAATTTTTCCTTATCTCCTATGACAATTTTCAAGTTTTCTTTTAAGAGTCTGTGGTTAGTCACCAGTGCAAGACAAGTAAGTCTGGGGTGTCTTTGTTTTTATTATTTCAGAATCGGAAAAGTTTATATGTGTTTGGTAAAGAAAATTTGAAGAAAAGAGAAACCACAAAAAAGAGTAATCCTACTACTCAGAAATATGTAATGATGACTGTTATTGTGTTTAGGACTCTGGTACTGTATAATAGATATCTTGAATGTCCCAATAAAACACAAACAAAAGTAACATTTACTTTAAACTGTAAAGTGGAGAAGCATTAATTTACCATGAAATCACAAATGTTCAAAATTTCCAAGTTCATGGGTGACAGCAATGAGATGTGTTTGTCGATGTGTATTAACTTGCTCTCTCTATATTTTATTTTTATCTATATATCCTCTTTATTTTATTTTATTTTATTTTTTTTTTTTTGAGACAGGGTCAGGCTCAGGCTGGAGTGCCGTGATGGCTCACTGCAGCCTCCATCTCCTGGGCTCAAGCTATCCTTCCTGCCTCAGCTTCCTAAGTAGTTGGGACTACTGGTGTGCACCACCATGCCCGGCTAATTTAAAAATTTTTTGAAGAGATGGTGGTCTCACTTTGTTGCCAAGGCTGGTCTCGAACTCCTGGGCTTAAGTGATCATCTCACCTCAGCCGCCCAAAGTTCTAAGATTACAAACAGGAGCCACTGTGCCCGGCCTTATTTTATTTTTAAAAGGAGTCTTAAATAGAGATACATGTTGATTATGTGCATAGTATAAGGAATTTCATCACCCCTCTATTCAGTGCAATGTACTTCAACAAGTATGTATTCATTACGATTGTAATAGTAATTGTTTACATTGATATATAATACCATAGTTTACAAAAGTCATTTGCTTTTCTCAACATTCCTTTGAGGGAGGTAGTACTATTCTCATCGGTTGGATGAAGAGACTGAGGGTAAGAGAGGTGTTAAGTGCCTTGAGGAGTTGGTGGTTTGGACTCCAAGTCTAATTTTCATTCCACTAGACCACGCTGGGAACAGAAGAAAGGAGAAATGCCCTACATTCCTAGGCCTCTTTAAGCTTACAATGTAGTTGATGAGACAAGTCTCAAAACCATTAGACACCCAGATAAAAATACTTAGCCTAATGGAGGAGAAGATGCCCGTCCTCATCAGTCCCTAAGCACTCTCCATTTTGCCAATTTGCACTGCTTCTCCCTGTTGCCTTTCTTGATCTTTAAGCATATATGATACCTGCCCAGACCCTGAAGGCCTTTGAAGGAGAGCTCCTGATAAGATATGGGGAGGAATTTGGCTGAGTTCTGGTCCCAGGAGTTCTAAATTGCAGGCAAGGCAGAAGCTGTGCATTCTACCTGCGATGGAGACTTTTCACTGACAGGTGAGAGTTGCATCTTAATTGTGTTTTTCCTGTGGCTTAAAAATGTTTTTCACATATTCAATCATTCATTCCTTCATGTTTGATTTAAACAGGCATCCCTGAGGACCCAGTATGTCCCCTAGGGCACTGTGCTAGCCCTAGAGGGAGGCAAGACAAGTAAAGCATGGCTTATCTTCTTAAGGATCTCTATTTCCATGTCATTCTTCTGGTTACTCAGGCAACAGACTTCAAATACAGCATTAGTAGATAATATGCAAGCCACACTTTCAACCTAGACACTGAGGGACAACTCTATAAAAGCATCACTTCAGTGTCACATAAGCCAAGAGTTTTTCATCTCTTTTTGAAACGACAATCACTCTTTTAAAGACAAAGTCTCTGTTCTGGGACCAGGATTTAAGGTCATGGTGTCGAACATGAGGTGCAAAAGACAATCCACATAAGGTACACGAAGAAAATATTGTGTCTTCTTTAATCTTTCTTTTAATGTATCCTTTTAATATTTCTATTATTGGGAAGATGTTTTGTATCATGTGTAGTAAGTTAGTACAGTAGCATATACATATGCTTTATGAATAAATGAATATACATATATTGTGCTGTGTGCTCAATAGCATTTTATTGAGGAGGCGGGCACTCAAGAATTTGGAGTTTACTGCTCCAAAGCCACAGCTACACTGCCTCTTCTTTCCAAACAGCATATAAAACTCTGCTGAAAAGCTCATTTGGGAAGCTTTCCAAAGTCAGTGAGTTCAGATTTGGCCTGATGGCTGAGGAGATAATTAAATAAGGTTTCTAGAATGGTGAAGTTTGAATACAACATGGTAAAGTTCTGTAGACTGTGCCAAATCTTCTCTCTGACATAGACGAAGGATAGATTTCTTCTTACCTGGATATGCCCTTTCCGTCAGGATCCAGAGTTTTAAGAACTTACTTTCTTTTCTTATTACTTGGAGAATCCATTTTATTTTTATTTTGTTGTTGGAGCTCTTCTCCACAGTTACTTCCCAGCCATTTTCCCAAATGCCAGACATCATCACTGCTTCCTGTAGCCCTGTTCCTCTTCTAGCTGGAGTTGGAGGAGCATCAGTCGGGGTCCTGAGTTCCCCTCTCTTATACTGCCAGACATTTACATTTGGCTTAAAATGTCCAATAGAGTCCCCCATTTGTCAATTCCAGAGAGCATTCTACCAACTTCACTGACAAGTGTAAGTTCTTCTCATTAACCTAATCTGTTCATTGAATATTCTTTACCTGCTTTCTTGCCCAGGAATCCTTTCTGCTGTGCAACTGTTGATGTCTGGACTGAATATTATTTTTCACTTTCATCTAAAGCAAGCTTGTCCAACCTGTGGCCCAGGATCGCTTTGAATGTAATCCAACACAAATTTGTAAACTTCCTTAAAACATTATGAGGTTTTTGTGGGATTTTTATTATTATTTTTAGCTCATCAGCTGTTGTTAGTGTTAGTGTATTTTATGTGTAGACATAAAGACAATTCTTCCACTGTGGCCCAGGAAAGCCAAAAGACTGTACACCTCTGATCTCCAGTGTTCTCTTGTCTTTTTCTTCATTCTGCCCCTCCCCACACCTCAGTGGAATAATCATTTATGGCTTCTGCAAAATGTAGGTTGTGTTTAACTAAAAACAAAACAAAACAAATCTATGATAATTCAAAAAATACTTAGGTAGAGAAAGCGGATTGTCATGATCTGAACTGCAAGAAGGTCTTTAAAGACAGACTCTTCTTAATCTTCTTGATGTATCATCAGGCTCATAAAAATCTCAACTTCGTATGACTGTTCTAGGAAACCATCTTGTGCAATGCAAATGTTGTGTAATGCAGTGTAGTTGAAGTATCCCTTTCCTCCAGTTCAGGCCATTATGAAAGCCTTTGCTTGGAGTGTCTGTGTTTTGATACGAAATTTGGGAAATTGCCTCATCTACATCAGAGATAAACTAGATGATCCTTGGAAACATCCACTCCTGGCTTTAGAGTGTTAAGAAGGTTGAATTTATCAAACCCAGGGCCTCCTGGGGACAAAGGTAGGCTGGCAAAATAGCTTTTGGATAGGTCATTCAGAGTGATTGTTTCTTCCAAAGCAAACGAGGAATTCCTGTCCTTGAAGCCCAAGCATAATGACATGTTAATAACATATATAATTAGATGGGGAAGGCTAACTGTTGTAAGCAATAGACCCTATGGCGTATAGTGGTTCAAACACAGTAGAAGTTTATTTTTTGTTCTTTTTTTTTTTTTTTGAGACGGAGTCTGGCCCTGTCGCCCAGGCTGGAGTGCAATGTTGTGATCTCGGCTCACTGCAACCTCCGCCTCTCAGGTTCAAATGATTCTCCTGCCTCAGCTGCCCGAGTAGCTGGGATTACAGGTGCCCGCCACCATGCCCAGCTAAGTTTTGTATTTTTAGTAGAGACGGCATTTCACCATGTTGGCCAGGCTGGTCTCGACCTCCTGAGATCATGATCTGCCTGCCTCAGCCTCCCAAAGTGCTGGGATTACAGGTGTGAGCCACCGCACCCAGCCTATTTTTTGTTCTTACGACAGCCCTGGACAATAAAAACGATGGCAGGATGGCTTTCCTGCAGCAAATCATTCAGGGATCCAGACCGGTGATGCTCTAGCATCTTCAACTTGTGGCTTCCAGACTTTCCCCAGGAGGTGTCTCCATTGCAGCCATCCAGCAGGCACATGAAACATGGAGAAATGTGCAAGGCCAGGTCTGGACGTGTTGCCCCTCACTTCTGCTCACATTCTACTGCTAGAACAGTCACACACCATGCCTAAGTGTAAGCAAGACTGAGGAATGAGGGCTAGTTACACACGGAGGAAGAACAGGAGAATGTGAGTGCCGGTCTCTGCCAGAGTGCCAGTATATGCACTCTTTTGCTCATGGAAAAATTTATTTCAAAGTCCCCCTTTACCAACCACTGAGAATCAATTGTGTATTCAGAGGTAGCTCTGGGATCACCACAAGCCTCTTCTAATAAGAGTTAATTGTCACAGAGTTGATTTGGGTTTTCAGATGATCGGCAAATCTCCATTGGAGGAAGGAGCAGGGGTGACCTCTCTGGAACTGTACAAACTGGTTCAGCCCGTCTCCTCGCCTGAGCCTGTGATTCAGTGCTCCCAAGTGTCTGAAAAGCCCATGTGCACTGCTTCTTATGTGATCAGGGGAAATTCTGGTCTTATCTTCACAAATAAAAATAATTATTTTGCTAAAATTGCCCACTTGTTATCTGGAAAGACAGCAGGAATCACTTAGCAGGAAGGGCCCTAGGAACACTGCCACAAATACAGGCCAATAAATGGGCAAAAGTAGGGAGACTTTCATCTTTTGGAGAAACTAATACATAGGGCATCAGCTGAGTTTCCATTTCAGTGCAACTTAAGCCTGAGTGATAAAAGCAGCAGTGTTCTGTGAACCTTATATTACATAACCCTCATGTGATTCAGGGCTGCTATTTATAGTTTTCCATTGTGTGGGACTCTAGACTGGGTTACAGGGATGCAGCTTCCTCTGGACTCGGTTACAAGGATGCAGGAGGAGATCAAAATGTCTCTGCAGTTGTACCCAGCTTCCAACTAGCTTAGGTCTTTCATGGCTGTTTCTGTTTTATTGTCCAACTTAAGTTTTGGCTTCTACTTTACCCTGTACTTGATTGTTCGTTCATTCATTCATTCATTCACCAAATACTTACTTAGTGCCTGCTAGGCACTGAGAATAAACAGTTGAGTAAGTCACTCCTTGGATGGATGTAGGGAGTGGAAAACTGACTCCTAGAGCCCATCCAAGACCAATTAGAACTGTCTGGGTGGTGAGTTCTGGGCATAAGTGTAATTTAAAATCTCCCTAAGAATCCAATGCACCGCCAAGATGGAGAACCACTAGATTTGTAGATCCTGAAGCCAGAGGAGTGTATGAAATGTAATACTCCAGGGAGGAAGACTAGGAAGATAATCAAAGAGAAAGTGCTAAGTGGGTGTCAAAAAAACCGTAGAGGGAGGATTGAGAAGTTGCTTGATACAGAGAAAGAAGAATAATTTTGTTGTCAGATCAATATGTGGTGCAATTTCAACCTTTTTACTTTTTAGCTTTGTGTGATTCTGGAAAAGTCATTTAAACTCTGAGCCTTTGCTTTTTCATTTAAAAATGAGGATAATAAGAATCTTCATATCCTAGGATTGCTGTGAGCATCTAAGCAGAGTCTGGTGGGCAACAAATCTCAGTTGTTTTTGTTATTATTTGGAGTTCAGGAGGAGAGATCAAGAACAGAAAGGTGGACAATTTAAAGGTGATTTTGGGTCCTGCGGGAAAGTTGGGGAGAAGGCCATTATTATTATTTTTATCTTAAAACTAACACAAAAATATTGTTAATTAGAGTGCCAATTAAGATAAAAAGAAAACTTCATGTGTTTTTAAAAGGCTCCTTTTTTGGAGGACATGTCAGGGAGTGCTCAAACCTCCCTGGGGATCTTTCACTGTTTTCTGCTATTAGGCGAACCCTAGCAGGCAGGTGGAGAGCACAGCTTTGAGCATCATGAAAGGTCTCACCATTCTGATTGGGTGAAAGCAGCAGACCCTTTGTGGTTGAGCCATTCAGATACCATTCTTTCTGGGTATTTAACTAACCACTGTTAGCACTTTTTGTTTGTTTGTTTGTTTTGTTTTGTTTCTGTTTTTGTTTTTTGAGACAGAGTCTCGCTCTGTTACCCAGGCTGGAGTGCAGTGGCGCAATCTCGGCTCACTGCAACCTCTGCCTCCTGGGTTCAAGTGATTCTTCTGCCTCAGCCTCCTGAGTAGCTGGGACTACAGGCACGCATCACCACGCCTGGCTGATTTTTGTATTTTTATTAGAGACAGGGTTTCACCATATTGGCCAGGATGGTCTCGAACTCCTGACCTCGTGATCTGCCCGCCTCGGCCTCCCATAGTACTGGGATTATAGGCATGAACCACCGCACCCGGCCTGTTAGCACTTTTTTTAGTGATCGACTGTGCATACATAAGCAGAAATGTATATTCAGTATATTCCTTTTTTTCACTTATAACACAGTCCTAAGCCCTGGTTTTTTTCTTTTTTACCTTGACAATATATCTTGGTGATTATTTATATCAACCCATAAATAGCTTCTTCATTTTTTAAATAGCTACACAGTATTCTTTAACGTGGATGCATTATAATTTATTTAACCAATATTCTCTTTATGGGTATTTATGATGTTTTTAGCCTTTTGTTATTTCAAACGTTGCTGCAGTAATAGGCTGTGTACATATGTCATTTTGTACGTTTGAGAATCTTTTGAACTATAAATTCCTGGAGGTGTTAATAGCTGGGTCAAACGGTACATGCATTTACAGGTTGCTCTTCACAGAGGTTTCTGTTGTATCGGGCTCTAAACCTAATTCCCACTTCTACTGGCAATGTAAGAGAATGCCTGTTTTCCCGCGCTCTCTGCTACAAAGTTTGGTTTCCGCCAATGTGCTTCGTGCGAAATGATAACTCCCAGTAGTTGCAGTATGCATCTCTTTGATTGTGAGTGATGTTGAACTCCTTTTCATGTTTTAAGATCATTTGAGTTGTCTTTTCTGGCAAGAGTTGGTTCATATTCTTTGTCTAATTTCCAACTGAGTCATTGTTCCTTGTGGATTTTTAAGAATTCTTTATATGTTTAGGAAATTTAGCACTGTGTCTATTGCAAATATATTCTCCCTTTCAGTTCTGTCTTTTCTCTTTTGACTTTGATTGTTTTGCGGAGTTTTGTGGCTTCTGTGTTTTGTGTATGTTATAAATAAAAAGATATTATTCACTTTGAGATTATTAATTCTTTTTAAATTTTTTTAATTTTTAAAATAAATTAAAAAAATTTTGGGTCAGTTTAGCCAGAAGAGATTATTAAATAATTCTTTCTTGGTTTCTTATATCACTCATAACATGCTATTTTTTACATTAAAAGTTTTGCACCATTTGGAATTTGTCCTGGTATAAGGTGTGAGGTTTGGGTTCCAACTTTATTTTTTTAAATTAATTAATTAATTTTTTTTGAGATAGGGTCTCGCTCTGTCACCCAGGCTGTATTGCACTGTGCAATCTCGGCTCACTGCGAACTCTGCCTCCTGGGATCAAGTGATTCTCCTGCCTCAGCTTCCCAAGTAACTGGGATTACAGGTGCATACCACCATGCCCAGCTAATTTTTCTTTTTTCTTTCAGTAGAGACAGGGTTTCACCAGGTTGGTCAGGCTGGTCTTGAACTCCTGACTTCAAGTGATCCACCTGCCTCGGCCTCCGAAAGTGGTGGGATTACAGGAGTGAGCCACCACACCCAGCCCCAACTTTATTTTTAAATGGCCATCCAGGCTGGGCACAGTGGCTCACGTCTGTAATCCCAGCACTTTGGGAGGCTGAGGTGGGTGGATCATCTGAGGTCAGGAGTTGGAGACCAGGCTGGCCAACATAGCAAAACCCTGTCTCTACTAAAAATACAAAAATTAGCTGGGTGTGGTAGTGTGCATCTGTAATCCCAGCTACTCAGGAGGGTGAGGCAGGAGAATCACTTGAACCCAGGAGGCAGAGGTTGCAGTGAGCCGAGATCGCACCGCTGCACTCCAGCCTGGGCGACAGAGTAAAACTCCATCTCAAAAAAATAAAAATAAAAAAATGAAAATAAAATAATAAAATAAAATAAAATATAAGGCTGGGTGCAGTGGCTCACCCCTGTAATCCCAGCACTTTGGGAGGCCAAGGCAGGTGGATCACCTGAGGTCAGGAGTTTGAGGCCAGACTGACCAACATGATGAAATCCTATCTCTACTAAAAATACAAAAATTAGGTGCGGTGGTGGGCGCCTGTAATCTCAGCTGCTTGGGAGGCTGAGGCAGGAGAATCTCTTGAACCTGGGAGGCAGAAGTTGCAGTGAGCCGAGATCGTGCCATTGCACTCCAGCATGGGCAACAGAGCGAGACTCCATCTCAATAAATAAATAAATAAATAGCCATCCAGACACTCTAAAACCCTTAATTGAATAATCTATCTTTTCCTCATTAATTTGAGATTCTATTCCTTAACATACATTAAACCTCTATGATATGTGAAATTTCCATATGCTCTTGTGTGTATTTTTTAGACTTTCTATTCTTTTCCATTGATCTCTGTCTATTCACCCATCAGCATTACATATTTTTAATCACTATAGCTTTAGAAAATACTTGAATTTCTTGTTTGAAAAAAAATCTCATAATTATTCTTTTTCAGGGTTTTCTCACTCACTCTTGTTTATTTTTCCATTGGAACTTTAGAATCAACTAATTCAGCTTAAACCGTTAACATTTTCTTGGTACTATAGTACACTTATTGATTAGCAAGGAGAAGCCTGATAGTTTTATACGTGTTACCTTCACAGTGTGGTGGTCCTGACCCTTGGTTAGTGTGATCCAAGATCACCTATCAAACATACCACTACTCTGCCTAAGAGGCCAAGTGAGGGAGGGGGAAGAGGGACAAGCTGAAGTTTACCCGTGCCACTGCATCCTGGGGAGTAGCGCAGGAAACCTCTCTTCCATGGAAACATGAGCAACAAGTGGACTAAAGATGCTCACCATGACACTGGACCTTGAAGAGCACCTAATGGGGATTCTTCTTCAGGATATATTTCTACGGCTCTTAAAGGAATTTGGTCTTATGATTCTGAAGATGTGGGTCATTAAAAGTGTGTGTAGATAATTTCACCTGCTGAAAAGGACAGTGAGAGGCAGGTATAGTACAAAGAACATGGGCCCAATAGAACTGAGTTTAAATCCAGCTCTACCAGTTTTGTGATTTGGGGCGCTTAACTTCTCCAAGCCTCATTTTTCTCACCTTTATAAATTCATTGTGGAATTGTCAGGATTATAATTAATATGTCAAAATTCTAGCACAGCACATGGCATATGTTAGCTACTGAATAGTCAGGTGTACATTTTGCCACCAAAGACAAACTTGAATTATTTTATAGTCTCTCTGAAGGCGTTGGAAAATCTCTGCTGCAGAGAGTGTCCCCGTAGACCCCAGAGAGACCTCCTGCCACCCATCAGCTCCATGGAGAAAGCACCTAGGAGACAGGACAGGTCTTTATATTTCCGGGATTCCAAGCACTTCAATGCTCTCAAGCATTTGCTGTTGTCCCTCCTGTGATTCACTTAGGTTCTCTCATCTCAATGCATTTCTATGCATTCCACTTGCAGGAATTTTTTTTTATGTTTGTGTCATCCCAAGAGGGAGATATCCTATATACAAACAAAGAGAAATTTGATCCTTTAAAAAGTCCTGAGTGTTTTTCCTGATTATGATTTTAACATATGCTTAGTTAAGAAACAATGAAAAAATAGTGAAAAACAAAATAAATGAAAACATGAAACCGAAAATATTTATCAGTGTGTATATTTCTTTCTGGGCTTATTTCTATGTCTACACTTTCCACATGAACCTTGATATTGACGTTTACATCCACACTTGTGTAGGTATTCACACCCATGTAGCTATTCATATTGATCTGTATATAGGATCATACATTATACATAATTTGGTGTATTGCATTTTTAACATTATATCATATATTTCATGTTATGCAACATTTCTGGTAAACACAATTTTTGATTACTGTATAATATTTTGTGTATTTTTCTTTTAAAAGTCAAAAATGATGCAAGCAGATTTTATCTGCACTGACACTAGTTAGTTAGATAAATAATAACCCCACACTAGATAAAGAGTGTGGTGTTATTATCTATACATTTCTGTTTAAATGTTATACAAGTGACATAAAGAAACCAATTAATTTCTGAATTAGAATAATGAATGAAAGCCCATTTAGAGTCATTGTTTCCTGTCACTTTTTTAGGAAAAAGATTTCAATACTTTTCAGACATTACTGAGTGACTTGCACAACACTTTTTATGAGGAGTCTAACGAAAGCCAAAAGCAAGAGTTATGTCGCTCCTTTTGTTTCCAGAACACAGAGTGTTTATCCTTTCTATGGGGGCGAAGTTGAATATTTTCCATAAAGCAAAACAACATGGAAATCTAGAGCAATTTGAGCCAAATGGTAAATAAAAAGCAAGTAAAGTAAATCAAGAAATGCTTGTGGGAGAATGAACTAGGTCACTTCTCTCATCCCACTGTGACATGTTTTGCAGTGTCTTCGGTGGTTGACCACTAGATGTCACTATGGCATCTTTAATCCTAACAGTCATGTAGCTAGCTGGGGGTGGGGAAAGAACAAGAAGAAAGAAAATCTTACAGTTCTATGCAAAATGGAATAGTACTTTTTTTTTTTTTTTCCGGCAGGCAGCCAGGCTAATAAAAAAAATTTTTTTTTAAACCAACACTATGAATTGAAAAGGCTTTCAAGAAACATCTGCATAGTGAAACTGTTAACTCCAAAGAAGTCCAACATCGTATTTATACTGTATAAATTAAAATGGAAAATAAAAACCTGTTTGGGCCAATGTGCAAAATCTCCAAAGCAAGAGAAAAATACTTCTGAAGTCAATCCGTTTTCAAAAATGATAGCATTAAATATGGAGGATGTAAGAGCTGAAAACAACTGAAATCTGGCACAGTGGAGCTTCAAATAACCAGTTTCCAAAAATGTGTATTCTTAATTGACCACATTTCCCTTCACACTCAAATTTTAGGAGAAAGAAACAAATCATTTTAAAAAGGGCAAACTCCTCTCGTGTTACTTGGGGAAAATGATTTTCAGAGATGACCTGCACAGTCAGCAGTGCCCCTCCATGTGACACATCTGTAGGTCAATAAAGGAGAGTTGATGTTCTCAATCATGATTCTGAGGAACTGAAAGTTCCCTGGTCATCAAAAACACTATTTCTTTATTTACACTGAAGGCAAAGAAGTACTTGTAAAAAGCAGGCACACATAAAATAAATCCTGGGATTTGAACGGCCACCAATTGGATGGTCTCCCCGGCTCGCCACCTTTATGTGAATGTCCATAATGCATCCCTCCATCCACAAGGTCTTGGTGTGACTGGCATACGATGTGGCCTATCCACTGACCTCCTGGGTGGCCAGTAGCCTGGCCAAAATCTCTTCCTCAGGAATTTGCAGTTGAGTCACTTTAGTCTCTCTCTAGATGACAGGACAAACTCTGCAACTGCTGGTCACCATATTTTCCATCTTGTGGACCAAGATGCAAAACAAAACAAAACAAAAACAGAGGTAAGAATGAGTGGGCACTGAGGAAGCCTTGATGGCATCCAGGTGTATGGTTCCAATTTGTCTGTTACACCTAGAGTCAGCCACTCTTGGATTCCAAGAGAAAGCCCTCATCGTAAATAATCATTTGTTCAACCAAATGATTCTGGTGGTTGCAATTAGTCGCAACCCAAAGAGTCTTAATTTATGAAGAGACCTTTCAAGATAAACTGTAATTTTTCCTCTTTGCACCTCAACTCTCCTCTGCTCTCCAACTCTCCTCTTCCCCTATCATTTATCCAGGCATTTAGGTTATGGGGTACTTTATTCGGTGCTTTGAACTAGCTCTCCTGGCTTGTTGAGGGACAGTGGGGGTGATCCAGAAAATCTTCAAGGAATGCTTTGAAAGATGACTTTCAGCATTCATGATCTTTGGTTGAACTGTATCTGTAAATCAGAACTTTACAATAGCTGTTCCCAAAATTTGTTCATTAGAACATTAATTCTGAAAATGTTAAGAAAAAAAAGAGGATTCTATAGTAAAATAAGTTTGGGAAAAACTGCAATATATAACCCCCTTCTGGAGACTCACAATTCATGTTAATATATTAAAGGCTCTGACAAGTCATGTGGTTTCAAAAGGAATCTGAAGTTGTTTAGCCTGGGATTTTACAAGCATATGTGATAATAGATTTATTTTGGGGGGTTACTCCTTATTTACAACATTTTAGAATGTTACTTAAGATGTTTGTTTAACTCTGCTTTACAGCCAAACTGAGTTTGAGGTGGGTCCACTTTGGGAATTTTGATACCAAAGACCCTGCAAAATCTCAATGTCTCACCCGTCTAGCCCTTAATTAGTGAGGCGATTAGTCAGAAGATCTGGAGAATGGCCCAGACATCAGTGCTGTGGGAAAGACTGCCTCGTTGCTTCTTTTGAAGCTCCTACATTTCCCAGAGTCCTGACTCAATGCCCTGATTTTATGCCTTTTGCAAAATATAATATACACAAAGAGGTGGAGTTTCACAAAGTGTTTCACACGCTTACTGTAACCAGCACCAGGTCAAGAAACAATATTCCTAGCTCTCAGAAGCCCCCTGTGTCTCTTTCAGTTATCCCCACCCCCATCTCAACTCCCAAAAGATAACCACTACCTTTAAGCCTTTTTTCCCCAACTAAACGGATACATCCTGGAGGACTCGGGTCAACCCTTGATCTCTTTGTATCCCAGCAGTGTCCTGAATAGGACTTAGTCAGTGAAGGAGAGTTAACTGCTCATCTACAAGCATGAACCACAAAAGCACAGCTGCCCATCAGACTCCTTTGTAGGTTGGTAGAAGACCCTGGAGTCAGGCTGCCTGGATTCAAACCCTGCCTTTATGACTGGTTACCTATCTGACCATGGGCAATTGCTTCATCTTTCCAGACCTCAATTCCTGATTTGCAGAAAATCTACTTTATGGGAATGTTGTAGGAATCAAGTGAAATATTAACAAAAAGCTCCTTGCAAAGAGCTGGCCAAATAGTAAATGCTCAACACACACTTGTTTCTCAGATTTGTCGCCCCTAAATGTTCCTTCCACATCCCATGTTCCCGTTGTAAGTCAGCCAAGAATGAAGGGGTCAAGTTAGTCTCACCTGCAATTTTTTGTAGAAGAGTGAAGGCAAGTGTCCACTTATAGGCTGGTGCCAGTGACTCTTCAAGCTATGACGCCCCTTCCTGTCCAAGCTATGATCTTCTTCCTGTTCATGCTCAACGAATGTAGGTCAAAGGGCCTTTCTAGGTGATTGCTTGAAATAGAGGTGATGAATTTTTACAAGCGGGGTGGAGAAAGATGTTTTCTGCCCTTATTAAGCCTACTATTCAAAGAAGAACTCGGCAAAGTGGTAAATGGTACACTTACACACATCTCCCACACATTAAGCAGCTATATAGTAAGATATTGGGATTGGATTGGTTGCAGTTTTCAGTGTTTCTCAAACTTATTTTGTCTGAACAAAGAAAGCAAGAGCTTTTTAGGAGCAGCTACTTCCAAGTAGGGAGCTGAGGGCTTACATATGTTCATCAATACATTTCTCTGTGCTGTTATTAGCATAATCCAGAACAAGCTTTCAAATATTTTGAAATCAATTGGTGTGTGGGATAATTCATTTATTCAGCCATTATGTCTTGGTCACTGTGGTAGGCTAATCCCTGGACATGTCAATGTTACTTTCATGGCATTTATATTCTCATGTGGAAGATAGACAATAAATAAATAGATAGATGCACAATCTTCTGTCAGAAGATTCTGCACGCTGTATACTAAAAATAAAGCAGGTGGCTGAGGCCCAGGGAACCTGGGAGCAGTCAGGGGAATGGTAGAAAATGAGTTGAGCAGGCTATGAAGGGCTCTGCAGTGGGTGCACTATGAAGGGGTTAAAGGCTTAGTATTTTATTCTAAGTATGGCTTTAGGAGTTTTCAGTATGCTTGAGAAGCCAGTAGGTTCACCCTCAAGATGTCCTGCGGGCTGACTGATGTTCCTGTCCTGATTTAGCCCTTAAGTCACTCTGTGACCTTGGGAGATTTCCTTGACCTCTCTAGATTTTAACGTCCTTAGCTGGGGTTCAAGTAACTATAATTTATAAGGTTCTTCCTCTTAAAATAAGAAACCAGCACTCGTAACCCCTTCCTGAACAGGAAGACATTAATCAGAAACACAATGGCTCCTCTGGCCAAGATGATCTTACTCAGGACCACTAGAGGGAGGCCAGTGAGGCCACCTTTGCAGAATTGAAATGTTAAGACTGAAGGCATGTTGTTAAAAAAAGCTCTTGCTCACTTTTATGGTCTGCTTCTAATTAGATATAGGGCTAGACTCTAAACCACACACACGTTTTCAGCCAACCCTAGAAGGCCCAGGCCCCTTTTTCAATCTCAAAACAGTCAAGCCACAAGCCACAAGCAATGAGCTTTCAGACCAGAGGAGAGGCATGAAGAATCACAGATTCAGCGTCTCGCCCCTGACCATGGCATCAAGGACCTACTCAAATTGAGAAGCAGCTTCTGTTAACATTCCTTGTGAACTGCCCCAACTCCTGATGATTAAAGAGCTAAGATACGACTCACGGGTCTCTCAATTCTTCCAAGAGTAATTTTATAATTTATCTTTTCCCTCTAGGTTCAGTGTTAGAAGCTGGTAAAACATCCTCTTTCCCCTACATCAAAGTGGAAACAAAATAATTTGGAGTTCATGTAATGAAAACCTCAATTTCAGGGATCTAAAGGCCCTTTTAAGAAAAATCACAAGGAAGGAGGTAAATTCTGGAGGCACTTTTAGCTCATACGGTTAATGCAATATAAGAATATAATATTAACCATTAAGAGAATTTTCTTTTTCCTCCACTTCATCCTTCTAACACCTTCTAATGCCTAAATCCAAAAACTGAAGATGGTGAGGTTTCCAGAAATGTATTCATTTAGTAAACTTAAAAAAAAAAAACTCCTTATTTTGACATAATGTCTAACAGAGAAGTTTTACAAATAATACAAAAAATTCCTGAATACCCTTCTCCCAGATTCCAAATATAAACACTTTATGTTTACTCTCCTCTCTTCTCACTCTCTCATATTGCTTTCTGAACTATTTGAAAGTGAACTGCAAAAGTTACACCCTTTCTCCCATTGAGTGTATATTTCCTAAAAACAGGAACACTCCCTTACGTAACTGCTGTACAATGATTAAAATAAAGAAATTAATATTAAAACAACATACTGTCCAGTCTACAAACTTTATTCTGATTTTTCCAATTGCCATAAATATTAGAACAACATATTGGTAATCTATAGACTTTATTCTGATTTTTTTCCAATTGCTGTGTGTGTGTGTGTGTGTATAAAATTTAATTTTTTTAATCTAGTAAAAGAAGTTCCTGGATAATATGTGGCATTCAGTTGTCATGTCTCTTTATTCTCCTTTAAACTGCTTTTGCTTTGTCTTTCTTGATATTGACACTTTTGAAAAGTACAAGCAAAATATTTGGTAGAATGTCTCTCCATTCGGGTTTGTCTAATGTTTCTTCATGGTTAGATTCAGGATGTGCATTTTTGTTAGGAATACCATGGAAATGATGTCGTGTCTTCTTATTGCCTGACATCAGGAATAATGTTTATTTGCCCAGTCACTGGTGATATTAACTTGTATCACTTGTTAAGGTGGTGTAAACATATAAAAACTCATTATGTATTAGGAAATATGCTAGGCTAATGGTTCTTAATCTTTTCATCTTAGAAATACTTTACACTCTTAAAAATTATTTTGGCTCTCAAAGAGCTTGTATTGATGTTAGTTATAGCTATCAATATTTACTGTACTATATTAGAAATTAAAACTGAGAAATTTAAAAATATTGATTAATTTGTTTGAAAGTAACAGTAATATGCCTATTGCATAGAAACATGAACAACATGTGCTTCATAACAATAACTATATTTTCCAAAACAAAAAATACCAGTGAAGAGATTGTCATTGTTTTGCATTTTTGCAAGCTTCTTTAATGTCTGGCTTAATAGAAAGTAGCTAGATTCTCATATTTACTTCTGGATTCAGTCTATTGCAATATGTTTTTTGGCTGAAATATACGAAGAAGAAAACATACATCTGTAATCGGAAACGGAAGGACTATTTTAGAAGCCTCGCAATTGTGAATAATGTTTTATGATACTATTTCAAAACTCAATAAGGCAGTGGTATCTTAAAAGTTAGTTACAATGTAAAATATGAAACCATATCAATGAACATTTTGTTAGCTGTTAACATTAAAGTCCACTGGTTTATTGTGCACTTCTTTTACTAGGCATGACTTTTGTAACATCATACATTGGTCATTTGGAAAATATTGGCTCCCTGAGTTGTACATATCATCCAAATGTTGCCACTTCTTTATACAATCACTGAAAATAAATCATTTGTTAATATCACCACTGATCTCTTAGAAAGCACTTAAGTATTGGGAAGCTGTGACATTTACAGGGATACATACAAATTTCCAAAATTTGAGTTTTCACTTTAAGATCAAATTTTTATTATTGGCAACAAATATTGTTAGTTGTATTCTTTGAAGTCACAGGTTTCCTTTGTTGATTTTGAGAAAATGTCCTCTAAATTCCCAAGTCTGAATAACCAATGCTTGTCTGTCAGTTGTTCTTTCAAGTAAAAATGATGTTACATGAAGAAAGTGACGAGTTCAGCTCACAACTCAAACAATTGCACAAACGCTTTTCCTGGACAACCATTGTGCTTCAGTATTCAGCACAAGTGCTTCGTGCACTTTCCCCATTTATCACACAGACTATTTGAAAAGTTAGGCAGCCAAGGGTCAACGTTTAGTACAATTAATACATTTTTACTGCTTCCTCAGGGACATTTTAAAGTAAAACCTGAATTTCTTTTTTAAGCCCAAAGTGCATAGCACTGAAGATGACAATGGCTGCTAGTAAAGTTTGGTTATCACTGCCTTGATTAAGGTGCCAGCAGTTTTACACGCTGTTGCTTTTGAAATATGTGTAAATATCAACACAGTGAAAAAGGCAAATAATGTCTTAATACCATTGTAAAAATCTTTTTGACCTAAAAGTGTCTCAGAGAAGCCTGGGGTCTAGGGACCAAAACTTGAAGAGACAAAGAAACACTAACATCTATATATTATACAAGTTCCGTCCTCCAGGAACTCAAAACCTAGTTGAAGAGGCAGACCAGCTGACCAAAAGCCATTTGAAGGAAGAGTCCAGATGTATATTTAAGTTATTGGTAATATTTCACTTCCTGTTTTGGGTTGTGAGTTCAAGGGAGTTAGTTGTACTATAAACCTGTGCTGTGTAATATGAATGTTTAATTTGTTCATTTGAAGTGTGACTAGATCTAACTGAGATACACTCTAAAGGTAAAATATATACCACATATTGTTTTTATATGCAAAAAAGAATGTAAATATCTCATTTATAATTTTTATAATTGATTAATGTTGAAGGGATAAACTTTCAGATATATTGGGTTACATAAAACATATTTAAATTAATTTTGTCTGCTACTTTTTACATTTAAAAATGGAGCTATTAGCAATTTTAAAGTTACAAATGTGGTTTGCATTATATTTCTGTTGGGCAGTGGCTTGTATTATATTTCTCTTGGGCAGTAATGTAAATAAATACACAGATGAAATAAAATACTGATTATAAAACAAGGCCAAGCATAGCAGTGATAATAGTGCATTCATTACAAACCAAGGATTATTTTTCAACTGATTTCATGCATCCGAGGTCAAGGGTGAAAAAGAATTTTATATAAGTAGTGTGGTAAAGCTTATTTAAATCATTTGATAAAGATAGAGATTGCTAAGGGAATACAGAGGTGAGCAGCCACCCAGCCTTGGGAGGTCACAGAGGCTTCTGAAAGAAAGAGATGTGTTGGTTGCAACTGAAGGAAAATTAGAATTTTTTTTTTTTTTTTTTGGAGATGGAGTCTTGCTCTGTCGCCCAAGCTGGAATACAGTAGCATGATCTTGGCTCACTGCAAACTCTACCTCCCGGTTCAAGGGATTCTTCGGCCTCAGCTTCCCAAGTAGCTGGGACTACAGGCGTGAATCACCACGCCCAGATAATTTTGTATTTATCACACAGACGGGGTTTCACCATGTTGGCCAGCCTGGTCTCAAACTCCTGACCTGATGTGATCTGTCCACCTCAGCCTCCCAAAGTGCTAGGATTTCAGGTGTGAGCCACCATGCCCAGCTAGAAAATTAGAAATTCTTCAAGTGAATCAGGTGCAAGAGGGGAGATATGAGGAGAGTACTCCAGGGAGAAGGAACAGAATTTGCAAAGTTTTAGCCATTGCTCCATAGCCCACTTGGGGAACTCCAAAATTTATAGGGGCTTATTGTGATACTATTACATCACCACCTGCAGCTATTTACATAAAGTTCTGTTTTCCCTGAGGCACTTGTATATAAAAGAGAAGATTTATTTTACTTTCCTGCATTTCTCTAAAGAATCATGAATTTAAAACTGGGTATTTAAAAATCTGGGAAACAGCTTGGGCTCATAGTAAGAGATACTTTGCAATTACTATTTAGTTTTACACACACACACAGGGTTTTGCTTATCTGCATCTTGCCAAAAATTCAACCTTTTGCTCCAGAATAGTAACAACTTGACTCCATAATGCTGAGAGCTGCACATGACTCTCAGAAAGAGGGAAAGTGAAAAAATAAAAGTCTGCAAAGGCATAAAAATGATACTAAGTTAATTTTGCAGTGACCTCACATGGATGTTATGGTTGATGCCTAACTGAGCAGGGGGATCCCAGAGCGTCAGAATTGGAGAGGACATTGATGATGAACAATTTTCCAGCCCATTCGCTACCCTGTCAATAATGAGAACAGTCCCGAGTGAATGTCGGAGCTAGGATTTAAAGTGGTGTCTGGACCTTTAACTTGACCTCTCCCCTTCTTGGATGAAAAACATGTCTGAAGTCCTCAATCTTTCCAAAACTAGAGACTAGAACATCCTCAGTGTGAAAAAAGCATACCCAAAGCCCAAACCAACTTCCTGAGCTCCACAATTTACTTTCAAGACCATCTCACTCGGGCAGCACCCCGCAAACACGGTCCTCATTCTCTGTGCTTGTTTAGGTTTGCCTCACTTCTGCTGGGATGTAGGCGCTATGAGAGCAGGGGCTTCACCTGCCCTGTCGGTGGCTGTATCTTTAGGGCTGGGAACAACCTTTGACACACAGTAGGTGCTCAAAACGTGTTGTACTTGTTTAGTGTATGGCACAGTGTAGTTCCTGACTGGTGACCTATGCCAAAATTGTTCTATTTGGCATAATTGAGAATGATAATGAGTCTACTTAACCCAGATGCTCTCTTTTCCCCAGGAGGCTAAGTGAGCACATGACTCACTAACTGGTCTTCAGTAGTTAACCCATCCCCAACACTAGTGAAACCGCTTCGTAAAGATTATGACAGTGAGAGGAATCTAGCATAGCTGACTCCATCTTGCTTCTCGCCTCAAAGGCTGGTTGTTCTCCCCCATTCTTGGCCATAGGCAAAGCTGACCATGTGAAGATTTAATTTGTAGTTTAACTTTGAAGCAAGAATGATAATAGTCTTTCCCTAAAACTAGCCCCCTCCTTGTTCCAGGATGAAAGATCACCTTTGTAAAACTAATGAAAGGCCACGATATTAGGATTATGGGAGAAGACTAAATTCTGCTAAAATGTAGGCATAATTCCCATAATCCCTGACTGCTCAGGAGTCCTGTGGCCAGAGGTCACAAAAACTGTGACTTCCTCAATTGCTCCTACAGATAACATTACTATTATAGAGTCTAAGAGCCTAAGATTGCTTTTTTGAGATGTTGTTCAGATTTTTGCATGCTGGCAACCGACTGACCCCACCTGGACCTATGGCTCACGACTCAGTCAGCCCTGTGGCTCCCACCCAGAGGTGGACTCAGTGCACAAGGACCATTTTCCAGAACCCTATGATTGCATCCCCAACCAATCAGTAGCACCCTTAGCCGCCTGCCCACAAAACTATCCTTGAAAATCCCTAGCCCATGAACCTTGGGGATACTGATTTCAGTAACAACTGTCTTCTGCCTGGCCCAAGGCATGTTACTTAAACTCTGTCTTTACTTCAATACCGTGGTCTCAGTGTATTGGTTTTGTCTGTGCAGCAGGCAGGAAGAACCCATTGTGTGATTACACTGGAAGAGAAGAGCTGGAACTAAAAGCCATTCTGCTTGTCTTCCAGCCCCTCCTTTCCTCCTCCTCATGATAATGGCCATGGACTCAGTGCCTCCTCAGTGCCAGGCACTTTACAAATGTAATTTCTAGTCCTTACTTCAACCCTACAAGATGGTGGTAATTAATATTGTCATCATCACTGTTTTACAAACAAGGGAACTAAAGCTCAAAGAGTTGATGCCACTTGCCCAAGTCCATACTGTTAGTGGTAATGGATTTGTCTGGGATTGGAATGCTGCTCTGTGTCACTCACCCCAAAGTCTGGCCTTACTCTTCCATCCACAGGTAATCTGGTCTCAGATTCTGGAATGCAGGCAGCTTGAGGAGGAGAATCAGTGTTTTGGTGATACCTGGAATAAAATGAAAGTGAAGAGCTAGCAGTACTTTGTACCATGACACTTCCTGGGCACATACCATGGGCCAGCACCACACTAAACACGTTATTGGGACATCTCAATTACCAGTGGGCACAATTTATAAGGAGAGAAGAATCTTGGGCTTGCAGAAGTTGTTTGTTATTATACACCTTCACGCTTTGCTCTTTTCACTTTATGGTATATAATAGTGACTTCTCTGCTGTGCACCACACCTAGTTCTAAGTGCTTCATGCATATTAACTCATTTAATGCTCTCATCAATACTGCGAGGCAAGTTGTGTTATTATCTCTACTTTATAAATGATTATATTGAGACACAGAGAGGTTAAGTGATTGTCCAAGATCACACAGCTAGTAAGAACCAGATTTCAGACTTGGGCAGTCTGGCTCCAGAGTCTGTGTTCTTATTCTCTACTCTAAGCTGCCTTTCTGATATTATATATTACATATTACATATAAAGAAAATATATCATGAATGTATAATGCAGATCACATATTAAAAAATCAATTGTCTTTTATATTATGTGAATTATATACCTTCTGTATGGAATGTTAAATGCCTACCCTGTCAGTACATAGAGGGCTGTCTCACTTTTTAAACATCTGTTTAAACATCTGTGTAGTACTCTGTTATGCCAGTGTTGTGTAATTTATCTAACCAGTCTCCTATTGATGAACATTTTGGTTGTTTCCAAACCTTTTGCTATAATAACAATGATAACAACATAGAATACAGTAATTATGTACTTATATATAACATAATTAAAATATAATTTATAATTAGAATAAAATAATGTCATAAAATAAATGCAATAAATATCCAGTACATGTTTATTTCTTGCGTGTGCAGTCTATCTGTGAAATAAATACCCGGAAGTGGAATTACTGAATCAAAGGCCATGTGCATTTGTAATTTTGATAGATTGTGCCAAGTTGCATTTCAAAGGACTTGTACCCTTCACCATCTCCACCAGCTATAGAGCACATTGTCTATTTCACCATGGCCACACTCCCATAGTGCTCTGTCATAAGACTCATGCCCTTAACCACTGCACCATACCGTCTCCCGAGGACAAATTAGTGGGAAAGCTGCGTGAATCCAGTGAAAACTAAGTTATGTAAGAAAAGGTCAGAAACTTGACCTTGAGTCAAATGTCTGGCCAGAAGTACGAGAAACCAGAAGCAAAACAGAAGGTATTTGATAATGACACTCAAGGGAAATTTTATCAAGACTTTTATGCCAATGACTCAGTCCTCGTTCTGGGGAGCCTGGGTTTCTAAACTGTTCTCTTCCCTTGTTGAGAAAGGAAGGTAGTTGAATTCCAGGAAATACCACTGAATTCCAAACACAGACAGGAAATGTGTTATCTTCTGACAAAGGGGAAGAACTGGCTGTCTGCAAGGCTAAAAGCCCTCTGAGCTTATGTGGGATAAAATTGTCTTTCTGGTTCTAATTCTGGTGACCTAGTTGAGTGCAGGTTTCTGGGAGCTGATCAAAAGGAAATAAGCAAGACCCAGCTTCTCCCATGGGCAGCAGCCTCTACAGGGGTGCAAGTGAGGGTACAGGGTATACAGATGGCCAACAAGTATATGAAAAAATGTTCAATATCACTAATCATCAGGGAAATGCAAATCAAAACCACAACAAGATATCATCTCACCCCACTTAGAATGGCTATTTATCAAAAACACAAAATAAATGCTGGCAAGGATGTAGAGAAAAGGTGACTCACATGCACTGTTGGTGGAAATGTAAATTGGTACAGCCATTATGGAAAACATTATGTAGGTTCCTCAAAAGGCTAAAAATAGAACTACCATATGATCCAACAATCCCACTGCTGGGTATATACACAAAGGAAAGGAAATCAGTACGTTGAAGAGATATACACTCTCCTATGCTTATTGCAGCACTATTCACAATAGCCAAGATATGAAACCAAACTCAGTGTCCATTAAGGGATGAATGGATAAAGAAAATGTGGTATATTAGTGGTTACTAGAGGCGAGGAAGAGTAGGGGTGGGATAGAGAGAGGTTGGTTAACAGATACAAAAGTATAGCTAGATAGGAGAAATAAGTTCTAGTGTGCTACTGCACTGTAGGGTGACTATAATTAACAACACTTTATTTTATATTTTCAAATAGCTAGAAGACAGGATTTTGAATGTTTCCAACACAAAGAAATGATAAATGTTTGAGGTGGTGGAGAAATTAATTACACTGATTTGATCATTACACACTGTACACATGTATTGAAACATCACTGTGTACCCCAGAAATATGTATCATTATTGTGTGTCAATTTAAAAAGTTTATATACAGAAGAAGAAAAAAGAATGAATTGAGCCTCCACTGCTGATAGGAGTTAAAATCAATCCAACCTGGATGGCAGTTTGCTAATACAGATGAAGATTCCAACAGTGCAATTTTATTCTTGGGAATTTACCTTGAGGAATTTACCTTGAGGAATTTACCTTGAGGAATTTACCTTTCATATTTCATATTTTGAAATATGAAAAAAGTTGTTGACCAAAATAATTACAGCATTATTAATGAATCTAAAAATTAAGACATAATTTAAATGTTTAGTAACAGGGAAATAGCTATATAAATTAGGGTATATACACATAATACAATATTATGCAGCCATTAAAAATTTAAGTTGGCCGGGCATGGTGGCTTACACCTGTAATCCCATAAATTTGGGAAGCCGAGGCAGGAGGATTGCTTGAGGTCAGGATTTCTTGAACCAGCCTGGTGAGTGAGACCCCGTCTCTACAAAAAAATTAAAAAATTAGCCTGGCATGGTGGTGTGCACCTATAGTCCCAACCACTCAGGAGGCTGAGGTGGGAGGATCACTTAAGCCTAGGATTTTGAGGCTTCAGTGAGCTATGGTCACCACTGCACTCCAGCCTGGGTGACAGAGAAGACCCTGTCTGGAAAAAAAAAAAAACAACTTTAAGTTATAATTTAAAATAGGAACCCATGTATCTGCTTTATAATTTAAATTATGCAAAAAATATGCTTAGAAAACTCTAATGAAATTTACTAAAATGTTAAATGTTAGTCTTTGGGTGGTTGGGATTATGAGAAATTTAGTATCTTTTTCTTCTAATTTTTATAGTGAGTATACATTTTTAAAAATTAAAGATATATTTATCTAAAAACAGTAGATTAAGGACTTTACATGTATATATTATATATATGATTAATTGCATTTCAACGTACGTACATGATTAATATAACTATGTGTGAAAAAAATGGGTTAATTTTCTGAACCACTAGTGAATTAGTGAGAGGTTGACTTGGAGCTCAGTATATATAATCGCTAAAGTCAGTACCAGGAGTCAATAAAATGCTTCAAGGGGTCCTGTTGGAAGTATTTTAAATAATTAGAGGTTCATTTTAAGTAGCGCAAGTTTCACATAAGCAATAACAGATTCAATAAAGCCCTAAGAATTTTCTCCTTTGCTAAGAATGGTAAACTCCTGCAAATTCCACTTATGTTGTTACTTTGCTTGACAAAATATACCCTCACAGAAAACTCTCAGGTCAGTTTCAGACTGGACCAGATTGGCTCCAATTGGATAATTAAAACTTAGTAAGGTTTTATTATTCATATACAGTATTTTTGTTTAAAGCTTGCTTACTAAACTTGAATCTTTTCTTAGGGTAGCTATAGGGGGCCCAACTCTATAATCTGTACACCTAATTTAAATTTTGTTAGTTATGTTTGTATATTAGTCTATTTTCTGTCGCTTATAACAGGATATCTGAAACTGGGTAATTTATAAAGAAAAGGAATTTATTTCTGACAGTTATGAAGGCTGAAAAGTTCAAGTTCAAGTGGCCACATCTGGTGAGAGTTTTCTTGCTGATGAGGGCTCTCTGAAGAGTCCCGAGGTGATGTAGGGCATCACATGGCAAGGGGGCTAAACATGCCAGCTCATGTCTCTCTTCCTCATCTTATAAAGCCACCAGTCCCAATCCCATGATAACCCATTAATCCATTAATTCCTTAACCCATTAATCCATTAATCCATCCATGGATTAATCCATTCATCAGGGCAGAGCCTTCATTATGCAATTATTTCTTAAAGGTGCCTCTTCTTGATACTGCCACATTGGGGATTAAGTTTCAACATGAATTTTGGAGGGTACAAACATTAAAACCATAGCAGTTTAGTATCATTTGCTAATGGCTTTGTGAGTAAGTGAGATCTTACCTCTTTTTGTTTCTCTGGAAGGCCAGGGTTTGATAGACACTTGTTGAACTAATTTTAACCATGGGCCCAATGCAAGGGCTGTACTCTGGGGATTTATTGTAAATTATTAAAAAAAAAAAAAAAAGGATAAGGAACATGCTCCAACACACAGCTTTTCTATAACAGGGGAGAGGTAACAGTTTAGGGATATTTATTGTACCTATGCTATTTATCATGTGCTGTCCAGGTGCTAGGGATGCAAAGATGAATAGGACATGGTTCTTGCCCATGCTGCCTTAAGCAAGTAGCATAATTTAGTTAAGTGGACTGAATATGACACAATAGGGCATAGTGAAGACTATGGCAAGCAGGAGAGGGCTTTCCAGATTTAAAGGCTTTGTTCAAATCTTATCACTGGGTCCTCTAACTTTCGAGACACGCTAAAAAATGAATTTTTACATTAACTCTCCTGATTTTAAAATGCTGTTGACTAATTTAAAGTTTTAAAAAATACCATGACTTTGGATTAAAAAAAAATTTCATTAGGCTACATTGCAACTCTGGGTCACTGAATAGCCAAGGCAAAAAGAACAAAGCTGGAGTCATCACGTTATCTAACTTCAAACTGTAACACAAGAGTATGGCAATCAAAACAGCATGGTGCTGGTATAAAAAAAGACATATAGAACAATGGAACAGAATAGAAAGCCCAGATATAATGTCGCACATCTACAACCATCTGACCTTTGACAAAGTCGACAAAAACAAGCAACGGGAAAAAGATTCTCTATTCAATAAATGGTGCTTGGGTAACTGACTAGCCATATGCTGAAGACTGAAACTGGACCCTTCCCTTACACCATATACAAAAATCAACTCGAGATGGATTAAAGGCTTAAACCATAAAACTGTAAAAACCCGAGACGATAACCTAGGGAATGCCATTCTGGACACAGGCCTTGGCAAAGATTTCACGACAAAATGCCAAAAGCAATTGCAACAAAAACAAAAATTGACAAATAGGACCTAATTAAACTAAAGAGCTTCTGCACCGGAAAAGAAACTATCAACAGAGCAAACAGCCTACAGAATGGGAGGAAATACTTGCCAACTATGCATCCGACAAAGGTCAGTCTAATATCCAGATTCTATAAGGAACTCAAACGAATATATAAGCAAAAAACAACCCCATTAAAAAGTGGGCAAAGGACATGAACAGACACTTTTCAAAAGAAGACATACATGCTGCCAACAAGCATATGAAAAAATGGTCAACATCACTAACCATTAGAGAAAGGCAAATCAAAATCAAAATGAGATACTTCTCACACCAGTCAGAATGGCTATTATTAAAAAGTAAAAAATAACAGGTGCTGGCAAGGTTGTGGAGAAAAGGGAATACGCATACATTTCTAGTGGGAATGTAAATTAGTTCAGCCATTGTGGAAAGCCATATGGCGATTTGTCAAAGAACTTAAAACAGAATTACCATTCGACCCAGCAATCCCATTATTGGGTATATACCCAAAGGAATATAAATCTTTCTACCATAAAGACACATGCGCCTGTACAGAAAACCAAATACTGCATGTTCTGACTCATAAGTGGGAGCTAAACATTGAGAACATGTAGACACAAAGAAGAGAACAACAGACACTGAAGCTTACTAGAGGGTGGAGGATAGGAGAAGGAAGGGAATTAAAAAACTACCTATCAGGTGCTATGCTGATTACCTGGTTGACAAAAAATAATCTGTACACCAAACCCCCATGACATGCTACTTACCTATATAACAAACCTGCACATGTATCCCTGAACCTAAAATAAAAGTTAAAAATTAAAGAACTGTGGGCCACATTAGTGCAACTTCTGTCTTTGGGAAACTGTCTTGTTGAATGACAAAGCACTGATAATCTGTCTAATTGTAAACCAATATAATAATACCTAGCTCACAGGTTTATTAACTATATTAAGATATTGGGTGTAAAGTATTTGACAAAATGATTGCTGTTAGTAATTATAAATTGGTGATAAAATTCATGTGTCAAGGATAGAAGGAATCAGATGATGGAGTTACAGATGTTCAGGGAGAAATCAGAGAAAGTTCCCCAAAAGTGGTGATATCTGAGCACTGTTTTTTGTAACAGCTTTACTGAGAGATAATTAATATATCATACAATTCACTCATTAAAGTGTACAATTCAATAGCTTTATTATATTCATACAACTGTGCAAACATAACCACAAATAATTCTCAAACATTTTCATCACCCTGAAAAGTAACCTCGTACACATTAGCAGTCACCTTCCATTTCCCCCAATCCTTCTAGCCCCAGTCAACCACAAATCTACTTTCTGTTTGGACACTTAATGCAAATGAAATCATACAATATATGGTCCTTCGTGACTGGCTTCTCTTACTTAGCATAATGTTTTCAAGAGTCGTCCATGTAGTATGTATCAGTATTTCATTCCTTTACATTGCCAAATAGTATCCTATTACGCGAGTATACTACATTTTATTGATCTGTTTATTAGCTGTTGACCAACTGGGTTGCTTGCACATTTTGCCATTTATGAATAATGCTGCTATGAACATTCATGTACAAATTTTTGTGTGGATATTTTCATTTCTCTTGGGTATGTACCTAGGAGTGGGAATGCTGGGCTAAGCATTGTTTTGAATAATAAATAGGAGTTTTTAAGCTGAAGAGGCAGGGAAAGTCAGAGTAGGGAGAAAAGAGGGGTTAGAATTGGGAGGATGTTTTGTATTTTTAGTAAAACCATGAGGTCTAAAATATAAAGGCATATGCAGGAAACTCATAGTGGTTCTGTATGGAGAAAGTGGTGAGAAATAAAGCTAACAAAGAAAGCAGAGTTCAGGCCATGGAGGAGCTTCTTGGCCTATCCTTTCTTTGGAAGGTACTCGGAGCCATTGAATGCTTTCAAGAAAGGCAGGGCAAGATCACTCCGGAAATCATGTAGAGGGTGGGTTTGGTTCCACAGCCGGGATTCTTCCTGGCAGGCATCTTTGGTCAACGTCTTGCTACCCTCAGAGAATTTTACTCTTCAGAGCGCTCCACCTTAAATATTTGGACTGGCTGCTTGTAATCAAAATAGTGTAATACAGATTTATGATATGTGATGTATTTATAACATGGGCAAGGGAGTTTTAAGTTAAACCATTTTGTTTTCTAAAAAGATATTGCAAAATTGAGCAAGTTTTATTTATGTTGGTACAAAAATGTGTTTAAATTAAGTTTTTGAAAATGAGTGTGCCAATTGCTTAGATTCTTTTTTATTTTTACTTTTTGCAGTAAGAAATATTCATTTCAACCAATAAAAAGTCTACCAGAATGGTAATTGAAATGGAGAAGATGACTCATGATTTGAACCTGAGTTTTCTGAAATTAAAATTCCTTCTGCATTGGCAGCTCTTACAACAGAATATTCTGAAGGTACTCCTTGTTTATTCTTGGTTGAAGGACAAGAACCTGAATTGAGAAGCTGTCATCTGGAATGAATAGTTTTTGTGTCCCTATGGTATAAGAACTGTTAGATACTATTAAGAATGTTGTGTATTTCCTCTCTCAAAGCTGCAAATATTGGCTATGACTCTCTTCTGAGTTTTATTTAATATGTTTTCCAGTCTTTTTCAGTTATGGGCCTTCAAAAATAATATTTCTCCATGCTGATTCCAAATTGAATTTGTCTTACTATTAAAACAGCTTGTAGTTGCTTTTTAATTTCCTAACTCACTTGGTAAACATCAGAAGTGGAGCAGTATGAAACGATTTGGAAAAGTTGTATAAAGCCTTCTATTTTCTAGCATTTAGTTTATTGGACTTGCTTCCTTCCTTTTGAAATGAAATAGAAGTTGGGAAAGTTTAAAACGCTATCAACATACATCCGGTCCAGAAATATGTATTGATTTGTGTGTATCAGATACCACAGGGGTATCAGTATACTATGATATAGTGTCAGATACTATGGGAGGCATGGGGGTCAAGATGACAAAGATAAAGGCCCATTTAACAGAGTTTACAACCTGCTGGAGGAGATGAGAAACATGCACAAATGACTGCTGTGAGACAGTAAGGCAAAGTCTGGGAGTGGCACAGTTGCAGCGCATAGGGATGTAGCAGTGACAGCAGTCCTTTGGGACTACTTCCATGTGACACTAAATGATGGGGTATGTTCTGAGAAATCCAACCTTAGGCGATTTCATCATTTTGCAAACATCATAGAGCATGCAAATATAAGCCTGGATGGTATAGCCTACTAGACACCTCAGCTATATGGTAAAGCCTATTATTCCTAGGCTACAAACCTGTACAGCATCTTACTGTACTGAATACTACAGGCAATTGTAACACAATGGTCAATATTTATGTGTCTAAACATAGAAAAGGTACAGTAAAAATATACTATGAAAGATAAAACATGGTACACCTGTATAGGGCACTTAGCATGAATGGAGCTTGCAGGACTGAAAGTTGCTCTGGGTGAGTCAGTAAGTGAGCGGTGAGTGAATGTGAAGGCCTAGGACATTCCTGTACACTACTGTAGATCTTATAAATGCTGTACACTTAGGCTACACTAAATGTATAAAAAGTTTTTGGCCAGGCGCAGTGGCTCATGCCTGTAATCCCAGCACTTTGGGAGGCCGAGGCTGGTGGATCACCTGAAGTCAGGAGTTCGAGACCAGCCTGGTCAACATGGTGAAACCCTATAACAAAAATTAGCTGGATGTGGTGGCGGGCGCCTGTAATGCTAGCGACTCTGGAGGCTGAGGTGGGAGAATCGCTTGAACCCAGGGGGCAGAGGTTGCAGTGAGCCGAGATCGCGCCATCGCACTCCAGCCTAGGCAACAAGAGTGAAACTCCGTCTCAAAAAAAAAACTTTTTTTTTTTAATAAGAAACTAATCTTCGCTTACTGTAACTTTTACTGTATAAACTTTTAACATTTTTAAAAACTTTTGACTCTTTTGAAATAGCACTTATCTTAAAACAAACACATCGTACAGCTGTACGAAAATATTTTCTTTCTTATATGCTTACTCTATATGCTTTTTTCTATTTTTAAAATATTTTATTTATTTTTCACTTTTTAAACTTTTTTGTTAAAAACTAAGACAAAAACACACAAATTAGCCCAGGCCTACATAAGGTCAATATCATCAAGATGTCACTAGGACGATGGACTTTTTCAGCTCCATTATAATCTCATAGGACCATTATTGTATATGCTGCCCATTGTTACACACATTGTTATGTGGTGCATGACTGTATTGTTTTGGGTGATTTTATAAGGGTTGTGCGGAAAAGGAGTCTGTGATTGAACATGTTAGGAAGCATTCCTTTATTTTTATTTTTATTATTATTATGCTTTTAGATGGAGTCTCGCTCTGTCACCCAGGCTGGAGTACAGTGGCATGATCGTGGCTCACTGCATCTTCCGCCTCCCAGGTTCAAGCAATTTTCCTGCCTCAGCCTCCCAAGTAGCTGGGATTACAGGTGCACGCCACCACACCCGGCTAACTTTTGTAGTTTTAGTAGAGACGGGGTTTCGCCATGTTGGCCAGGCTGGTCTTGAATTCCTGATCTCGGGTGATCTGCCTGCCTTGGCCTCTCAAAGTGCTGGGATTACAAGCGTAAGCCACCATGCCCAGCCAGGAAGCACTGATTTAAACAAAATCAAATGGGGAGTGCCTAAGAGGTTCTGGGTTCAAATCCTGTTATCTTTCCTTTTTTTTTTTTTTTTTTTGTTTGAGAAGGAGTCTCTCTCTGTCTCCCAGGCTGGAGTGCAGTGGCACGATCTCAGCTCACTGCAACCTCTGCCTCCCTGGTTCAAGCAATTCTCCTGCCTCAGCCTCCCAAGTAGCTGGGACTACAAGCACGCGCCACCACGCCCAACTAATTTTTGTACTTTTAGTAGAGACGAGGTTTCACCATGTTGGCCAGGATGGTCTTGATCTCTTGACCTTGTGATCTGCCTGCCTTGGCCTCCCAAAGTGCTGGGATTACAGGCGTGAGCCACTGTGCCCGGCCTAAATCCTGTTATTTTTTAATTACCCATTGTGAAATTTTGGTCATGTTATTTAACCCTAGAATTTCCTTATCTACGAAAACAATCTATTCCATAAGTAGTAGAAAGGATTATATGAGACGTGTAAAACATTTAGAAGAGCTTGCTATAGAGTATGCCCTCAATAATGAGTATTCTGGCTGGGTGCAGTGGCTCACGCCTGTAATCCAGCACTTTGGGAGGCTGAGGCAGGCAGATTGCCTGAGCTCAGGAGTTCTAGACCAGCCTGGCCAACATGGCAAAACCCCGTCTCTACAACAAACAAACAAACAAACAAAAACAAAAATTAGCCAGGCATCGTGGTGCGCATCTGTAGTCCCAGCTACTTGGCAGGAAGCTGAGGCAGGAGAATCGCTGGAGCCTGGGAGGTCAAGGCTGTGGTGAGCCATGTTCATGCCACCACACTCTAGACTGGGTGAAAAAGTGGGACCCCAACTCTTTAAAACAACAAAAAAATTATTCTTTGATTGTGGGACTTCTCAGAACCCAAAGTGCTAATATGCATTCTGAACTGAAAAGTGAGAGAGAGAGAGAGAAATCATGCAATTTATTTCAAACACTTAAAAAAATACAGTGTCTCAAAGGCTAGTGTTCTAAGGAACAGATCTTGAAAACCCTAGGACAGGAAGATTAGAGATAAAGAAGACAGCAGTTGAGCTGGGCATTGTAAGAAGGAAGTGACTTGATCAACTAAAACTGGGGTACAAAGCATAAAAGAGCAAAAGCAAAAAACAAAGCGTTATTATAATTGAGAGCAGCAAAAATAGTTTGTAGAAGTTATATTTGTTCCCAGGGGGAAAAAAAATGCCTCCTTGATGGATAGGAAAGAAGCCAAAATGATTGCAGTGAATAGCTACTGTTTTCCCCCTTCTTCGGGTAGCAGCATCAGAATTTCCTTGGGGAAACACTAGAGGTGAAGAGGTGGATATACTGTGAAAGGGCTGCAGCTAAGACTTCAAACAAAGTCCTTGTGTTGTAAAATGGGCAAAAGTGAGATACTTTATCCTCCATTGGTTAAGACCACTGTCTCTTTTTGTTCTGACCTTTCCTCATTCACCCTTCCATTGTGTTTGAGATATTTAGAAGGGCTGTTGGCCTATTTTTGAATCCATTTGAGGGAAGTTGAGTTGGGAATCATACATTTAGTCTCAGTTTAATGGATATATTTATATGGTTCACAGTCACTTCTATGACAGTTCAGTTAGTGCTGGCATCCTAATGTAATTCCTGACTTCCAGAAATACCCCTGTTATCCTGTGATGACTGCCTTGTTGTGATGAGCGGACACCGACAGGAAACTGGTTAATGAGAATCATCTATTCTAAGAATATTTAATATCAGTCCCTGGACAAGAAAACTTGACATGTCTGGAAATCTTCCAGCTCATATGGAGAAGAAATTTGAGAGATTCCAAACTTGGCAGCAATGATAAAAATACACAGAAAAGTATCAATAACAAGTTGTGAAGCTGAAAGAACATTTAAAAGCCATCAGTAACCAATGAAACCTCAAACAAAAGGCCCCGACGAATTCTGATCAGCGTGGTAGAGGAAGGACTGAATTATCTATTTTCCTTAAAATATGATACTTTGAAGTTATTGTTGTATGAAGAAGTGATTGAAGAGTATTCAGCCAAAAAATGTAGCGGGGAAAGAAAAAGCCATTATGGACATAGGTCAGGGAGGATTTGGTGATGATTGTGGTATTTCTTAGCTTTTCTGGATCTGTGATTTGTTATTTCTTTTCTTGTTTGAAATATTTGCCTACAATATCTAGTTTTATATTTGTTGTTTTCTATTCTTTTTCTTAAAAAGGGCTCTGCAAACTGAAAAAGCTTTAGAACTCACAAAACTTGATCTGCCTCTGGGAATGGTCCTTGTCATGGCGCATGGTGGAGTCCAGGTGGGGCTGATTCCATCCCAGGCTCTGGAAGGGTAAGTCTTTCCAAGCTGGCCAGTGGAGCATTGCAATCAGCTGGTTTGAGAGAATGAGTCAGGAATGGACATGTGACATGATCAGAGCCAGAGACTCAGTTCTCTGGTTTGTGCCAGGAAGCCAGTTGGTTGGGAGGCAGACCCTTCCCTAAATGTGCAGGGCACAGGTGGAGGCTTTGTACCATGTGTCTAAAAATGATCAAGACACCAAATTGGTAATCAACATATAATCTTTCTAATGTGACTAGTATAATTTCATAAGGACAGAATCAAAATATATGTTTAAGGTCATGATTTTTATATGATTGAAAATTATCAAATAGTCAAAGACAAATGAATTAAAATTTTGTGAACATGATTGGGCATTCTGTTAGTAGGCTGGCAATGATTAGAGGGATAATAAACACACATGGGCACACACATATATCTCAAATTATTACGTAATTATTTCATAAAATGTATTTTTAAAATTTATAACAGCAAAAATAACTATTTTATACTCAAGATTTTACATACTTTGTTCTATTTATTACAATATTACAATAATGATCCAATGAATTTTTAAAATTTGAATATATTTTCATCAAAAGATACAGAATTAAGGTAAATGCATTTTAAAGAATTAGCAATATTTTTCTGTTTTCAGTTGTTTTGCTTCTAAGCTATGTCTATTAAAATAAAATGTAAAATGCATATTACAGATAATATAAAAGTGTAAATGAAAGGTATATGAATATAGCTTAAATTTCAAAATAATTTTGAAATTGAAATTCAATCTTATTAAATAAAAAAGATTCACAATTCCAGTGTTCAATATTCTTCTAGTTGCCATGGTATTATACCAGGATCACATCTTGTGCACAAAGCAATCTAGACACATTGTAAAAAATGTAAGGTTGATATGAATTCTTTAGTATTATAAAATGTCTCTCAGCTATAATGTGCAAATATTAGAAATATTTCTCTAATTGTTGGCTTGCTCTGTAGCCAAAGTTGGGACATGAAGAAACACACAAGAAAAGGGTACTTGGCAGTACTGGGAATTAATATTTCATTTGCAAGATTCTATTGCATTCATGCTAATTGATAGAAAGGACTGGACAAATGAATTAATTTGTCTTTTTTTGTACCTCAACTCTTCCTCCTCTCAAATCCCCTCACACTTCTAATCAGTGTCCGTCTCTGACATCGTCAGCAGGATAACTCACAAGATTTCATGGTGTTCAGATACAGGTGAATTTGAGGACACAGAACGAGGGATGGGGAGAAGCATTTCCCGGGTGTCTAAAAGTTGTGATTGATAAGAATGGATGTTTAAGACACTCTCTAATGAATATATACATAGCATATAGTTTTGTGTGTGTCTATGACAAGTGGAGTCTAAAACCAGAAGACCCAGAGAAGAAATAATACCCTACAGGACCATTCTGTTGCTACGCAGAATTCCCAGGGCTCAGTCTCCTAGGTGACTTCTTCTCTCCATTGAGGGGATGGGGAAGGCGATCCTACCCCTCACCCAGGCTGCTTCCTGAGCGAGTTTCTTCTCTCTCTCACTATTTGTCTAATCTCTTTCATGACAAGTATTTAAAAAAGGCTTTGACTCTAATTAGCTTCAGAGTTCTGCCCCTCGTAGGGGGTAAGAATCCCCTAGTCAAGGAATTATGAAGGTTTGGCAATCTGCTTAAAACACGAAGAGAGGGCCAGGCGCGGTGGCTCACGCCTGTAATCCCAGCACTTTGGGAGGCCGAGGCGGGCAGATCACGATGTCAGGAGATCCAGACCATCCTGACCAACACGGTGAAACCCCGTCTCTACTAAAAATATAAAAACAAAAATTAGCTGGGCGTGGTGGCGGGTGCCTGTAGTCCCAGCTACTCGGGAGGCTGAGGCGGGAGAATGGCGTGAACCCGGGAGGCGGAACTTGCAGTGAGCTGAGATCGAGCCACTGCACTCCAGCCTGGGAGACAGAGCGAGACTCCGTCTCGGAAAAAAAAAAAAAGGAAGACTGCCAGGTGCGGTGGCTCACGACTGTAATCCCAGCATTTTGGGTGGATCACTTGACATCAGGAGTTCGAGACCAGCCTGGCCAACATGGGGTAACCTCATCTCTACTAAAAATACAAAAATTAGCCCGGTGTAGTGGCGGGCGCCTATAGTCTCAGCTACTCGGGAGGCTGAGGCAGGAGAATCGTTTGAACTGGGAGGCAGAGGTTGCAGTGAGCTAAGATCGCACCGCTGCACTCCAGCCTGGGCGACAGAGACTCCATCTCAAAAATAAATAAAATAAAATAAAATAAAATAAAATAAAATAAAATAAAATAAAATAGGAAAAGAGAATAATTCAGGAAAAACGAACAGAAATTAATATATCAATAAATTATCCTGCCACAGTGACAATGGCGACTTGCTTTCCAAGTGGTGGGAAAATAAGTTTTAGTTGTTTCTTTTATCCCCTGTATCTCAATAGGGGCCAATCATTCTGGAAACCAGCTAGAGAAATGAGAACAGATATTAAAGAGAAGACTCCAAAGTCCTACCTGAGAATAACACAGCTTCATTGAGGGCCTGCTGACAAGGAGCAGGGGGCGGGGGCGGGGCCAAGACCTGGAGATTTTCTGTCCTAGAACTTCTTCCAGAAGCGTAGAGAGACAGTTGTCTCCATGAAACAGGTATTGTTAAATAGGACAGTAGCTGAAGCAGCCAGGTTATATATTGGTGAGCCTAGCATGAAAAGAGAGAATGTTTTGCATAAGACTGAGCAGGCATAATTACAATATGGGTTAGAAGAGTGGTAAAAAAAAGTTAGGTCCAGAGGAAAATGTATCAAAAGTAAATTGTAATTTTATGTTGTGAACTAATTGGAAGCTTCAAATGGCAATTGAAATTCTTTCTGGGCCTTAGGGAGATGAGGCGGCCTTCTTCAGGATGTTTGAACTTAATTACCAGGTGCAGCAAAGGCAGAATAGATTTTGTAAAATTACTTAAAATAATTGTGTTGGGCACCAGCAATAGTTATATTTATCTAAAGGCCTTAGCACAACTTTCAAGTTGAAAGGTAATTTGTATCATTGAAAATTTAGTAGAATTTCAGTGCATCTACAGATGAGTGGAAATAATGTTTGAAAAATGTGTTCTGTACCCTGTCAGGAATACATTTGAGTTTTAAAGTGTATATGGATGTTTCTTTAGTGGTATAGTGGCAGAAAACTGTTTTTATGTTCTTAAAAATATTTTTAAATGCTAAAAGTAATATAACAACATTACAAAGTTTTAGAAAAATAGAAAAAAGTCATGTATAATCTTAACAGCCTACTACAAGAACTCATCTTTTCTTTTTATAATCCTTTGTGGGCATATGGTTTCCATATTGTTATGCAATTTTGTATCATGCTCTTTTTTCCCTTATTATAAAATAAGCATTTTCTTATGTTTTTACATACCCCATATTTTAATTTAAAATTTTAATGGCTGCATGGTATTCCTTTTAGGAACTGTGCCAAAATTAACTTAATGGCAGTCTCTAGGATAAAACACTTAGATTGTTTTCAATTTTAGCTATTAAAATAAAAATGCAATGAAGGTACTCATATGGGAAATGCCCCCCTTTCATCTCTTGTCCTGGCTCCAAGTTTTGAATTATTTCTATGAAGTAGGATTAGTGGGTAAAAATGGGGATAGGACATTTTCTTGGCTCTGGATATGAATTGTTTTTTTTTTTACTAAAGGGTAGTGACAATGAAATAAAATGTTACAATGTTTCAGACCAGCACATTCATCATTGTACTCGCTAGCATTTTGTCTTTTCCCTCCCTCCCCTCCCCTCCCCTCCCTTTCCTTCCTTCTTTCCTTCCTTCCTTCCTTCCTTCTTTCCTTCCTTCCTTCCCTCCTTTCTCTCTGTCTCTAATTTAATACAGCTCTCCTTTCTGTTCTTTTGTGAGCAGAGTTAAATGTTTTTGCATATGTTTATTTCTTCTTAGGTCTTTTATGAATTGTATTCAGGATCTAAAGGGTAACCTCTCAAACATGGACCTAAATTGAATTGATGACAAGTTCATTAAAAGTTCCTGAAAATTTGTTAGATGAAAGTAATTACATGCCCAACTCAAGTGAATGAAAATAAACTTTTAGTTATATATGAATCAGAAATTAATATTTCTGGCCAGGCACGATGGCTCATGCCTGTAATCCCAGCACTTTGGGAGAGCAAAGTGGGAGGATCACGAGCTTAGGAGATCGAGACCATCCTGGCCAACATGGTGAAACCTTGTCTCTACTAAAAAGACAAAAATTAGCTAGGCATGGTGGTGGGCGCATGTAGTCCCAGCTACTCGGGAGGCTGAGGCAGGAGAATCGCTTGAACCTGGGAGGTGGAGGTTGCAGTGAGCCAAGATTGCACCACTGCATTCCAGCCTGGTGACAGAGCAAGACTCTGTCAAAAAAATAAAAATAAATAAAAAAAAAGAAAGAAAAGAAAAAAATAAATTAATATTTCTAATGAGGGTTATTTAATAGTTTCAGATAATGATTTTCTCTGGTTACCTCAATCCAAACTAATTTCCTTCAAAATGTTAATAAGTCTGGATTTCGTGAGTTCTTTAAAAAAAGAGAATAAAAACATTTAAAAATAAGGATTCACAAAAAAGAGTTCTGTGATGACATAATTTGTGATATAACACTCAAGGGGATAGTGGGCAAAAAGAAGAACCTTTCCTCTTTGTGACACTAAGAGTGCCTAGACAAATTGAATCATATAATCCAGTATCCCCAGTTTGTATGATTTCCCAAATTCTGTTCCAAAGGACCTGACTCCAGCCTCTTCTTGGAATTTATAAAGCACATTAGCTAAATAAATCTGTTTAACAAATCACTTGATCATACAGTTTACATTCTTCATGGGCGTGGTCATGAGAGATATGGATGCTTTTTGCTTTGAAAAGAGGAAGACTTGCTCCTTTGACTCTGCCCCTTCCTACCCTAGAAAGCCAAATGAGTAGCAAGGGAGGTGTGGGAACAGGGGGTGCTTATCTGGGCCTCAGGGAGAAGACTTCGTTGCCTTGGGTTCATGGCGTTTTGCCTTTTTTGGTCATTAAATGGTAAGATCCATAGCAGTGGTTAAGGTTGAGAATGCTCAAGAAGTACATAATAAAAATCCACGGGATCTTTAGACAAATGTAATAGAACCTCTAACTATTTTTTATTTTCCATCTTATTTTTTGGATGTTTCCATTTCTATTGTAGAGTAGTATATGTTTATAGTAAGTAAACATATATTAAGGGAAAATGCTGACATTTGGATACTAGTGATCTAAGATGGGAAAGAATAGGTTGTGGGCTTAAAAGAAAATAAAGAGGATATTTATTTAAAAATATTCATTCAGCAAACAATGAGCGTCAAATATCCTAGGCACTAGTATAGAGCATATAATAATAAGCCAGGGTCCCTGCCTCCAAGAATTTTAAGGACTTGAGCCAGAGGGACAAAAGATGTTCTAGAAACTCATGTGTAATCAATGTAGCTCATCAGGCAAGAACATTCAGATTTAGAGCATGTTTTTACTTGGAGTTTTCTCCCATCTCCAATCTATGGTGGCAGCTAATGACTTGTTAAGAACCCTCTTTTCTGTTCATCTCTTTCTTTTCCATGTCTTTCCATATTAAAGTTATGCACAATGATGCTTGACTCTAAAACCCATGATTCTCAAAGCTGTGTGCACTTTAGAATTGGTATAGCTAAAAAAAAAACCCCACAAAACCCAGAGTGTACACATTTCTCAATCATTGACCAGATTTCTATAATGAGAAGGAAAACAAAAAATAACTGGTCTAGCTAAGAGGTTCATTATTATGTGATTTATCTGGTTAATTGATATCCACTTGGGGTCATTTAATGGTATATTTGCTGGGACTCCTATAACAAAGTGCCACAGACTGGGTTGCTTAAACAACAGGAATTTATTGTCTTATAGTTCTGGTGCCTAGAGCCAGAGAGGAAGATGCCAGCAGTGTTCCTTCTTTCTGTGGGCTTAGAGACAATCTTTTCCTGGTGCCTCATCTAGCTTCTGGTAGTTTGCTGGCCATCTTTTGCATTCTTTGACTTGTAGATGCATCACCCCAATCTCTGCTTTCACCTTTATATGTTTTTCTCCCTGCATCTATCCAAATTTTCCCTTTTTAGAAGAACACCAGTCATATTGAACTAAGGCCCACCCTAATAACTTCATCTTAGTTTGATCATCTGCAAACACCCGATTTCCAAAGAAGATAATCTTCACAGGTTCTGAGGATTAAGGCTTCACCATCATTTTGTGGGACACCATTCAACCCATAGCAGATGGTTAGAATATGCTGGCAGATGGAAGGATGGCTTGACAAATGCCACCATGATCTACAATGATTTTATGCTACAATATTTTATATTTCAGACTTAATCAATCTGCCTTCTTTACAGGGACCATTTTGTAATATGTAATTACATTTATATATGCAATTCCATGTAGATAAAGAGTGAGTATTGATGTGATTTTGACGGCGACCACGCAATAGTCTGTAATTCTATTTGGTGGTGTCTGAGTTGTGCCTGAGCTCACCACTCCTGCATGGTATCGTTCATGGATTCTGACCATTTTGGAAGGGCACATTTCCCATCTGATTCTGTTAGTTCAGATGACTCCAATCCTCTCAGCTCCAGGCAACTAGTTCTTATAGTTCTAAGTCTTATTTTTTGAGATTTACCTACCCCCTGGGGAGTTCATATTAACTCCTTATACTTCCTCTATGTTGGCCTCTAGATTGTCCTCAATTTTTCTGAGAAGATTTTATGATATGCTTGAAAACACAAGGCTCATGCCTATAATCCCCACATTTTGGAAGGCCAAGACAGGGGGATTGCTTGAGTGCAGGAGTTTTGAGACCAGCCTGGGCAACATAGGGAGACCTCATCTCTACAAAAAATAAACAAATAAAAACAAACCAGAAGGGAAGCAGATATACAGAAAAACAATCTGATAACATGGTCCCTAAATACTACTTCATGAGTTGGGTGCAACACAATCATTGGGGGGAAATAAATATATTGATTTCAGACTCCATCCACGGAAATTCTGATTCAGCATGCCTGGGATTGGGCACAGAAACATGTGATTCAGGAAACAGGAATGTAGGGGATGTAGCTTGCTTATCATCCACTTCCTGTTTAGCTCCTCTTAGTGACAGAAGCCATCTGTCCCACTCTATCTAGGGGTTTTCTCATTCATGTTGGGACTCCTAGAGGTCTAGATTCTAGACTCCAAGTCTTAGAAAGACCTGAGAATCCCCAGGGTGGCAGTGTGGTGTAATGATTGGGAGCCTGAGCAATGGATTCTGCCTCTGGCTAGCTGGCTCACTGTGGGCTTAACCTCTGTGGGTCTCAGTCTCTTCAACTATAAAAGTAATAAGAGCTGTTTTCTAAATTTGTGAGCTTTAAATGAGTTCCTACATTTAAAGCACTTATGATAGTACTTGGCACATATCAGTCTCTCAATCAATCTTGTTCTTGCTAACATGATTATTTTCCTACCCATCTAAGGTTTAATGTCTAAATTCCAGTTTCTGTCTAAGGAGCTACCTCATTCTAGGAGACTTACAGTAGGAATTACATGTTTGATTTCAAATACAAACTCTTGCCATTGGACAAGTTAAACCTTCTCTTTACTCCTCATCCAGTTTGGTATGGACTTACCCTAAAGCGGCAACAAGAACACCATATTAGAATGTATAAGGTCATGTGTCTATAATCAGCATAGGAGGTACAGTGGTAGGGCGTTTCTTCCTTATAGCTGCAGTGGTGGAGTCTGAGTTGGTCTACAGATGCACAGGGAGACCCTGGGTAACTCAAAGCACCGGAGTGAGCTGTAGACTTTCCCCCTTAATCATATCCCATTTGTCCAATTCATAGCATTGGGCTGCGGCTTTTGTCTTGCATGCTAGTTCCATGCTGGAACTGGAGTCCTATCCAGGGCCCTGCCCATGTGGCTAGAACTCACCCCAGCCACTCAGGCTACTGCAGCCTGGCTCTCTAGGGTAATGAATCCTATCCTTGCTGTCTCAGCACTAGTTTCAAACTTACTGGCAAAAAAGGTGGTAAGTGAGGTGGGGAACTGCAGAGGGTGGTTGGTGCCTCAAGAGATTTGGGAAGCTGTGTGTTGATATTAAAAATGTGTGTATTGATAGATATGGAAAATGTCATGAAAATACATTGCCATCACAAACACAGAAGTGCATAAGGCAAGACATATATGAAAGGGACAATTATTTTTATGTTAGAGGAGACATATTACTCAGCTCTCTCTACAATTATTATCCTTGCTAAGGATTCTCTGGGAATCCTGCTATCTGTGACAGGGACTTCTCTTTTCCTACTCTGTATATCCTTTATTACAGTCTCTACTACACTGTGAATTTGTTTACTTGCCTGCCCCTTCAAAGGGCTGTGGCAAGGCCCTTAAGGATTCATCTTTACAGCTCATCACCTGACACAGTGCCTGGGACTTAGTAGGTGCTCAATAAAAGTTTGCAAAACAAAAGATTTAAGTAACTAATTTTTTTATTAAACCATATGAAGATATCAAAAATTAAAAATAGCAAAAAAATGGAAACCAAAAAAATCATCAACATTGAGGGGTGGCTAAGTAAATCATGACAAGATTTACTTATGTGACAGAATTTCATGATTTGAATAATAATGTTTTCAAAAATATTTAATGACACAAGATAATATTAATCTATTATTAAGTTAAAAAGCAGTGTATAAAACTCTGTGGTGTCATCCCATATGTTAGTATATAAAACATAATTGTGTGTATATATTAGATGTATGGGTCTAAGAAAGGAAAACAATGTTACTGGTGATCATCTCTGCTTGGTAAACTAGTTGTTATTTTCTTTGCAGTATTTTATCTTACAAATTTTCTGCATGTATTTTTTTCCTTTGTGGATTTGTGTAGAGAAGTATGCGTGTATTTTTATGTTCTGAGAGAAATCGAGAGATGGAATTTAAAAAATAAAATACAAGCTAAGAAAGCCTAGTGAAGCATTGCTAAGGCTGTTCTCATGGGGTGGGGGAGGGTAAAAAGAGGGATGAGATCATTTATTACTTCAAGATTAAGTTAGAAATTTGTCCTCAGGATCTCCAGGCTTTAAAGGAACCCTCTGCTGGCTCCTTTCTGAAAGTGATTCCTTGGAATCATGCCACCTGCTCCAGGATGACCTGGGTCAGTCTGGCTCTTGCCTCATGAGGGACAGCAGCTGTTTGCAATTTTTGCTGTGTTCTTCCTGTTACAAGCCAAGGTGTTACAAAGAAAGAACTCTATACAGAGGTGTCCTCAAGGGGTGGCCCCCTCTCTTTGTCCCACCAAGGCAGATTCCTTCTCCTGAGGTGTGGGCAACCTCACAGCGGGGCAGAAAATATAACACAACCATGTGTTGTGCAGAGCAGTCTGTCTGGTCACAGTTCAAAAGCCTTTCAAGCAAAAGTTTCTCATTTATTATAGAAAGGAAAACATTATTGCAAAGATTCTTAAATGAGGGCTAGTGAACCATGTTGAGGCTAACTTAAAAAGGGGTGGGGTTGCAAAATTGCCCCTGCTAGAGGAAGATGAGGAATGGACTGGGAGCATTTGAAAGCCGAGGTGACCTAGGAGAGCAGGGGTGGAGGCTAAATTTATACTCGGCATCTAGGTCATGCTGACCTGCTTGGGAAAGGGAATTTGAGAGGAGGGTTGAGTGATAACTGTGAGGCCAGTGCATAAATAAAAGTGGCCTAGGCCAGTGCTTCTCAGATTTGCACATGTGCACAAATCACCTGGGATCTTAAATGCAACTTCTGGTCCAGCAGGTCTGAGTGGGGCCTGAGAAGCTGCATCTCTAGCACGCTCCCACGTGATGCTGATGCGGCTGGTCCATGGACCACACTTTGAGAAGTGAGGGCTTAAAAGCTGGGAGGCGACACAAAAAGGGCTTTGAGGGGCTGAGAGGAGTGCAGTTTACCTTGTTGTCTGAGCACACGAGGCCGGTTGGGGAAGGATTTCCTAGTGATAGCAAAAATCATTTGATCAGGTTGGAAGGGAAGCCATCTGTTTTCAGCCAGTAGTATTTGGGAAGCCCTGTGGTGTGGTGGAATAGAGATCAGGATTTTGAGTCACATTGACATGAGTGTGAATCCAAAGGAGCTTGGTGTTTATCTTCTAGGGGACAGGAGGCTTTGAAGGGTTTAAGTTTCTCCTGGTCAACGCATTCCTTAGCCTGCTGGCTAAGGGCCTCATGCATGCTTGAGACATAGCTGGAAGCTTCAGTGGAAATGGCCCACCGCCACCCTCCTGGCCCAGTTGAGGGACACTTCCTGGCCAGAGCCACTTGCCCAGAAAGGAAGAAAGGTTTGCAAAGCCCAACCTCTAGCCACAGTCAGGGCACACACTGGACTCAGGGCCCCTTCCCATAACGAGGCTGGCTCTCTGTTCTGTGTTATCAGCATCTTGCACCCTTGATACTCAAACTCGGGTCTGCAGACGAGCCATGTCTGTATCACCTTGTTAGAGACTCAGAATCTTTGACTCCATCTCAGAGCTTCTAAATCAAATCTGCATTTTAAGAAGATTCCAAAGTGATGTGCATGCACATTAAAGTTGGAGAAGTACTACCTCACATAACTCTTCCATCAGCACTTTTCAGGCCAGGGAAAGAAAATTAATAAATTAAACAAGTGCTTACATAGCCTTACTGTTGACCAGGCAATGTTCTAAGCACCTTTCAAATATTAACTCATGTAGTCGGCCATCAGCCACATCACTGCACTCTTCTCTTGCCTGAAGCCTATGTCACAGCCACACTGCAGTGTCCAGGAGGGCAGTAGGTGTCCTGTCATGTAGAACTCTAGCACCTGCCTGGCCAGCTGGGAGGTGACTTCAGGCTCTTCCTGGGGCTCAGCAAAAAGCACAGCCTATGGGGGAGATTTGCATGTGAGGGGCTGTCTTTGTGGAATCATCCTTTCTAAGCATCTTGGAAAGCGTTCTGGGTTCTGATAGTGATTGCATTCTAGAAATGGGTTGGTAGATTGGCTTTCATCATCTCTTTCTCTCTAGCCATTCTTCAGACTCTAGAGGGAGGGGAAAGATAGCTGTTTGAAATCTCAGATCAGGACAATGGGGTGAGTCTCTGGCATGGAAAACCACCTACTTGGGTTTTCTATGCCAGAGACTCACCCATTGGCCTGATCTGAGATTTCTGATCTAAGTCCACTCTCAGGGTGTGGACTTTTGGCCATATCAGGCCATGGTTTAGATTTTGGACTCTGGAGAAAGACTTCCTGGGTTCAAACCTGTGTCTATCACTTGCCAGTTGTATGGACCATGGATAAATTACTTAACATCTCTGTACCTCAGTTTTCCCAACTGTAAAAGGGACATATAAAGTACCTACTTTATAGATGTGTGGTGAGGATTAAATGAATTAATATGTGTAACATACCTAGATGCACTCAATGTTACCAATTGTTGTGGTTCTGCCCCAAGTCAGAGTTCACATCTCCTTCATCCTGATAGGGCTGGATGGCTGTGCTATTCAGGAGGCCTAGAACTAAGCTGGGGATTCCAGGCATGTCCCCAGAATTGAAGAGGGAGTTGGCAGAGGAATTAAGGCTGCTTTCCTTTCCTACTGCTGGTGTAACGAATTACCACAATTTGGCCACTTAAAACAATATCAATTTACAGTGTTACATTTCTGGAGGTCAGAAGTCTGAGATGGGTTTCATTAGGCTCAAATCAAGGTATTGGCAGGATTGAATTTCTTTTGGAGGCTCTAGGGGAGAATCCATTTCTTTGTCTTTTCCATCTTCTAGAGGCTGCCTGTATTCCTTGGCTCATGGCCCCTTCCTCAAGCTTCAAAGCCAGCAGCCTACCATCTACAAATTTATGCTGCATCATCCAGTCTCTGCTTTGGTCTTAACCCCTCCTCTCCTGTCTCTCATTCTCCTGCCTCTTTCTTTCACCTATAAAAACCCTGGTGACGACAGTAGGCCCACCTGGCTAATCCAAGATCATCTGCCTATCTCACAATCCTTAACTTAATCACACCTACAAAATCTGTTTGGCTATGTAAGGTAACATCCAAAGATTCTGGAGATTAGGATGTGGACATTTTGTGGTGAGGGGCATTATTCTGCCTACTACAAGGGCCAAGGAGACTTAGTAGCAGTTTACTTTGCCTTTATTAATGCTCAAAAGAGATTGGTAAGAAGCTCTTGGATAAATGTCCGACATTTATCTGTGCTGAGCCCTACTGTAGGTACCTCCCATTGTTTTTACCATTTAATTTGCATAGAAGCCCACTTTACAAATGAGGAAACAGAAGCCAAGAGAGATGAGGATGCTACTCCAGCAGTAGGGCTGGTATTTAAACTCAAGTGTATTTGGTTGCAAAGCGCATCCTTTTCACACCACAACATGCATTTCATTTAGAGTAAATAGAGCCCAGTGGGGCATGACTGTTTAGAAGGCTTAATGTCCTCAATATAATCAATTTTTACAAATATTGTTTGAATATTTCTGCAGCTGGGAGCTGGCCAGAGCAGAATTTGTCAGTAGCCTTTGGAGTCTCATTTAACTAGAGCAAGAGAGGGCTGTGTGAGCACCCTGGGGAGGAGGTCTCAGTTTACTGTGGGCCCCTCTAGGGCCTCATCTCAGAGCCCCATGGTTTCCAAGGTAATGTGGCCCAGAAACCCAGTGCCCTGCACTATGTGACCCAGTTTGATGTCCAGCCCAGGGCAGAATCCTTTCAGATAAGTAAATGAGAGCATCTCAAAGTGAGCAAACCACTCTACAAAATCAATTCTACGCCTCTGGCAGCAAAGCTTTTGGCATTAAGAAAATTAGAAGAGTTCATGAATAATGGAGATCACACTAAATGGCAGGAGAGAGAGAAACATGGTTTGGTAAAAGTACTCTTTTGTCACCATAGCCCTTGGAAGTGGAACATTTAAGAAAACAAACAAACCTAGGCAAAGGCCCTCCCAGATGGGATTATGAGCAGGGCAGAAGTCCCAGAAGAGATGATGATGGAGGTGCTCTTGTACCGTCAGGGGACAGTGCTTCGCATATACTCACATCAGTCCTCTAATGTTCTTTGGAATCACCCTGCTTGTTGATGTCACCTACCTCCAAGTTACTTGAGGAAGACACTTCAAGCCCATCACTGCTGCTGGTGGCTCCGTGATTATGTGGCTGATTGCCAAACACCCTATATGCCAAATGCACTGTATTCCCAAAGAATGGGAAGAAAGTAGTAAGATTCACTGGTTCTCCAGAAAAAAGAATAAAGGCCGTGATTTGTAGTGTTTTCCAAATTCTATGGTGCAAATGCTCTCATCCTGGCTGATTTCAAACTACCAACTTGATGTCAAATGGCTTGCAAAATTCCTGACAATTTAACAGTTTATTCTCTTAACCTGGTGCAGACGAGCACCAGCACACCACTGAAAGTAAGTTTTCACTTTGCGCCTATTTGACATTCAGGAGCCCTATTGTGTGTTCCAGAGTCCACTGTGAAAGCAGCCACTTGGTTTCTGCGCATAGCATTCTTTTCCCTAGGGGCCCACAGCAAAGTTCTTGGGGGCAGGCTGGGGCAGTGCTTCCTGCCTCTGAGCATCTGACCATAAACTTACCATTTCAGGAGAAAACTTCCTGCGTGTATATCACTTGGGCAAATAGATACCTGATGGAGTCTCCAGATCCTCCCTCCAATCTCACTTTAAGTTTAGCTAGTTCCCCAAAGTGGCTGATCATCAGAATTTCATGAAGAGCTTTCAAAAATATAGAATCCTGGGCTGCCTCTTTCTCCAGTGAATCTGATTTGGAAAATCTGTAATTTTCAAATGTTCCTTGGGTGATTATAATGTTGAAACATTTTGGGGAGTCACCACACCTTGCTACTTTCAGAAAGAGGTTAGAGAGGATAAACTTAAATGGCCCTTCCAGAAAAGTCAAAGCCATCAAATCCTACCATTATCTGGGGGTGATGTCCTTAGAAGAGAAGCAGCGAATCCAAGGGATATGTCCGTATCTTCTTTCTCCCTGCAGCAGGGCAGGCTTAGGAATCCAGTGGTCAACACACCACAGTCCCAAGACAGCTGCCAAGCCCGAGTGTGGCAACTGCCTAAATTAGTAGCTCTGAGCCATGTAACACCCAGTGCCAAAGGGCTGTGGCTGGACTAACCCGTGGCTCTGCTAACCCTGCCCTTCTCCCCTGTTCTTTCTCCCCAAGTCTTCTATACTGGATCCTGGTTGCAAAGCTTGCTGCTCAGAGTCAGGCCTTGGATACTAGGTTTCTCCAAAGGGAAGAGGCATTTTCTTCTGAGCCTGGCCCAAGAGAAAATAACCTCAGAGACAAGCAAAAGATCTAAGGTGGCTGCAGTGGGAAGAGAGAGGGAGGGGTTCATGACACCTCACTGACATATACAGTCAACTTTTGACATAAGTGGACCCATCGGTTTTGTTTTGCTTTGCTTTCCTGCCTTGGTATCTGTAATTCATGTAGAATGCTTTGTTGTGGAAATGAAATCAGTTGTTCTCTTGGCCATTGTGGCTGGAATTGGAGACTGTCATATGAAACAAAAAGCAAATGGCCTTTGGCCCTGCCCAAGAGAGGTGCTTTGTACCCGGTGACATTAAACTAACTCCACTGTATTTTATCTGGGAAAGATAAATGTAGAGTGGAAAATGAGAGGGCATCTCAGCTTGGAGGTCAGTCTCTGGTGCTGCTGTGCCCCTCCCTGGTGCTGTGAACCACATGCATCCAGAACTGAAAGTGAGACTTGGGATGACCGCATCCATTCTCCTCCTATATGGTGTGCCTAAGGATCCTTGCAAGGAAACTCTCACTGCTTGCTGGGATCTGTAGGCTCTAAATGCATTTCTGCCCTGTGACCCTGAGGAACTTGACTAAATTAATGGATACTCACCCCTAGTTTTAACTCATCAGCCAAGTATTATGATGCTGACTCCCAAATTCTCCAATCCTACAGTGCCTGAGGGCATGTTTGCCTAGACCAGGATGAAGGGGGAGTCTCAAAGTGCCAACCCAGGCTATAGGCCCTGCTGTGAGCAATGAGGTTTAGAATAGCAATACTGTGTACAGGAAGAGGCTTAGGGCTGGGAGTGGGGATGGTAAACACTGAATGGAGCCTGGGTAACACTCTTTCTCCAGCCTCAGTCTCTTTGTCTCTAATCTGCCCTTCCCTGAACTCCCAGTATGTTCTGTTCCAAACACACTCTCATTGATTACCTAGGGTCTCCAACTGTGCTCACTTTGATGCCTCCTGAAAGATGAGGGTGGCTTTACATGAGCTCAAACGTGCCTTCTATCCTCCTAATTTCTGCATTTGCTGCCAAGACACTTGAGGGCAGGGAATAGGTTCTCTATGTTATTATCTCTCCTAGTGATCTATCTTCTAAACTGGGATTATCAGAGAAACACCTACATCCAACTGGCCTCTTGCCTCCCTAGAGAACAAAGATGCAGCCTCAGAGCCCACTGGTGCCAGACTCAGGGCTCATCTACTCGCTACCTGTAAGTGCAGATTACAACGCTGGTGAACTTTGGATGACTCCAGAATCCCATCACAGGTTAAACTTTAGTCAACTAGCCAAGGGAAAGTGAGATGCACATTTCATTAAAAGGACCCCAGGACCTAACACCCAGGCTCTGTGCACATAGTGATAAGAGGGATTTGTGGGTGTGAGAGACAGTTTGCAGGTACCAACTCAAGTAGAGAACAGGAGGGTTTGTCAGTAATGAAGAGAATTAGGGCGGACAGCAGACGGAAATTCCTAAGAGTAGGTGGCCAAGGAAACTGACCTTGGACTCAGTAGCCCTACATGAACTCTATGTGGCCTGGGGCAAGTCACTTACATTCTCCAGACCTCAGGATCCTTATACCTAAGTGTGGGGTGCAAAGGAAAGAGTGAATGAGTACTGAAGCAAGTTCAAATCCCCGCTCTGGTGCTAGTTGCATAAAATTGGTAAGTAATTTAGTTTCTCTGGGTCTGTTTTGTCAGTTGTTAGACAAAAGAGAAGCTAGATAGCAGAGCACTGGAGAGTGGATCCAACATTCAGACAGAAATCTGGGCCGCTTGCTAACTTTGTAACCTTGTGTAAATGATGTATCCTCCTAGAGCCTCCCTCTCCCCACTCAAAGCAGGGTTAGCACCAGGGTCTTGTAAGGACAGTGTAGGGTCATAGTAAGTGGAAAAGAAAAAGATGGTTGGGCTCTGGAAGTCACCTAGTTATCTCTTCCTACTTTCAGGTTCTAGCTGGAGGAGAAAAGATACAAGCAGCCAAAACATGATCACTGTTTCAGCGATACTAGTGGTGTAAGGTGCCCTGGAATCCTGAATTTCAGGACTCTCTGGTGAAGGTGAATTGGAGACCTGGGCCTGGGGCCCTGGGCCAAGTGACAGCCTCCTGCTGCCTCTCAAACCCAGGCCTTAGCCCCTGCCTGCGGGGTATTGGGGCACAGTGGGCTCCCAGCATCCCTACCTGGCTGGCTTCAGGGAGGGCCGGGGCTTTCTCACACATCTGGTACATAGAGAAGGGCCTGTGAGAGAATAGCAGCCTGTGGGTTACCTCTTGAAGTCCCAACCCAGAGAGTCCTGGCCCTTTCTGCACTTCCTCAAGGCAAGGGAGAGAGAAACTGAGCAACCTGGTCCAGTGAGTATCCTGCTGACACCAACCAGGTTGGCTGCTGCTCCACAGGGAGGAGTAAGTGTAAATCAGGGGTGTCCGACTTGTGGCTTCACTGGGCCACACTGGAAGAAGAATTGTCTTGGGCCACACGTAAAATATACTAACACTAACGATAGCTGATGAGCTTTAAAAAATTGCAAAAAAAAAAAAAAAATCTCATAGTGTTTTAAGAAAGTTTATGAATTCGTGTTGGCTGCATTCAAAGCCATCCTGGGCCTCATGTAGCCCATGGATTGCAGGTTGGACAAGCTTAGTGTATATGGAGGGGCTCTGGAATTGTAGTTTTAGTAATCCACAATTGTGGAGGGAGTGTTGTTATGGACTGCATATTTGTGGCTCCCTCTACCCCCGAATCACCTCCAATGGGAATGGTACCTGGAGATGGAGCCTTTGGGAGTTAATTAGGTCATGAGGGTAGAGTCTTCATGATGGGATTAGTCCCCTTATAAGAAGAGACAGGAGAGCTTGCTTCCTCTTTCTCTCTCCTGGCTGAGGATACCAGGAGAAGATGGCTTTCTACAAGCGAGGAAGACAGCCCTCACCAGAACCTTACCACACTGGCTCCCTGATCTTGGGCTATCAACTGCCAAAACTCTGAGAAATAAATGTTTGTTGTCTGAGCCACCCAGTCTGTGGTAATTTGTTATAGCAGCCTGAGCCAACTAAGACAGGTGTGAAAACACTTCTCTGCTGAAGCATGGACAGGTGGCTGAGGGTTCCCTCCTAAAATGGCTGTGCCTCTTGTGATGAAAATATCAGTTATACTATGGTGAAGAGACTGGGCTCAAAATATTTCCAAGTCAGACAATTGGATGGCTCTAGGAATTCTATTGGATGAGTAGCCTAACACCTGTCTTAGGCATAATCTGTCCTGTTCTCATTCACGTTGAATGATCTGAATATCAGTTCCTGTTGAGATCTGTAAAAGCCAAGGGCAGAACTTCTGAAGCTTTATAGTGCCAGATGCCCAAGAATATATATGATTTTGATAGTAAGAAACAGGATGCCTGTTTTTGGAAAGGTTACCCTGGGAAAGGGGGACTTTTTTTCCCTTAATACTCCCTTCTTCTGGCCCCCATCACTGCTTTGAGGCTTCCTAATTGGTGTCCCTGCTGGCCGTGTCTTCCCATCCTGCATCCTCTGCATACTCATCCAGCCTCCTTAGAATTAGGGAAAAGGAGCCACCAGACTGTGGCTGGGACTGCAGTCAGGCCAGAGGACTGGTCCAAAGGCAGAACAATGAGACTACCCAGAAATCACTGAGAGACAATTTTCAGAGAAGGAGACATGTAGGAGACCAAGTTGCTGCTTCTTTGTTTTGATGGTGAAATAGACAAGCAAGCAGTGATGTGTGTAATTGTAGAACTTCAAGGCTGAATTCTTTTCAACTCTAAGCTGAGATGGCTGCTTCTATTTGTGCACCAGCCCTTTGGGCCCCTGAGAAGATGGTTATATAAGTGGACAGAAACTCAAAGAGATCCTTGTGGTGGGACATCCAGGGAGGAGGAAGCTACTACGCAAAGCTTTATGGCCCTGGTATAGGGGCGAGGACTAACCCATGAACCCTCCCACGCTTCTGGTGGGGATGGGAGAGGAGCACAGGGAAAGGGGGAGATTGAGGGCTTCTTTTACATATTCATTTATATACTCATCCCTCACTTCAGCCTCCAATACCATTTTACAGGTAAAGAAACAGAGGTTCAAGAGATCATCACCTGCCCCAGCACTTATACTGCTATTAAGTGGCCTGAGCCAGGATTTGACCCCAAACCTGACTCTAAGAGCTTCTACACCAACTGCACTGTTTCCTATTATTATTCAATGAGAAGGGAAGACACTTCAAACCTCATTAGTCATTAATACTTGTTCTAGTTACTACTGCTGGATGTCTTAGTCTATTTCATGTTGCTATAAAAGAATACCTGAGGCTGGGTAATTTATAAAGAAAAGAAGTTTATTTGGCTCATGGTTCTGCATGCTGCACAAGAAGTATAGCAAGCATAGCACCAGCAGCTGTATCTGGTGAGGTCCTCAGACTGCTCCCACTCATAGCAGAAAGCAAAGGGGAGCCAATGTGTGCAGAAATCACATGGCAGGAGAGGGAGCAAGAGAGAAGTGGGGGAGGAGTCAGGCTCTTTTTAACAACCAGTTCTTGCAGGAACTAATAGTGAGAACTCACTCATACCCTTCTACCCCCAGGGAGGGCATATTCTATTCATTCTATTCATGGGGGATCATCACCCCCATGATCCAAATACCTCCTGTTAGGTCTGCACCTCCAACAATGGGATCAAATTTTAATATGAAGTTTGAAGAGACAATTATCCAAACTACAGCACTGGATAACACAACATCTCAAAATTTAGTGGCATAAAACAACCATTTTTATTATTCTCATGGATTCTGTTAGTCAGAAATTTGGAGAAGACATAGCAGTACCAGCTTGTTTCTACTCCATAATGTTTGCAGGTGCCTATACTCATATATTTGGTGACTGATGCTGGCTTCTGGCTGAGACCTCAGTGAGACTATTGATTAGAAGAACACTTACACTGGACCTTTCTGTGTGGTTTCTCCGCCTGGGCTCATTTGGGCTTTCCTAGAGAATGGCAGCTAGATTCTGAGAGTGTGTCCTCGGAGAAGAAAGTGGAAGCACATGGCATAGTTTTGATCTAGCCTTGGGAGTCATGTGGTGTCACTTTTACCATATTCTATTGCTTGAGGTAGTAAAAAAGATCCACCCAGGTTCAAAAGGAAGGGCCAGTGACTCCATAACTCAATGGGAGGAGTGTCAAGGTCCCCTAGTAAGAAGAACATGTGCAATGGGAGATATTGTTGCCACCACCTGCCAAAACACCTTAGAGTGAAAGAGTCTGATGGTTTTCTTTTTTTTTTTTTTTGAGATGGAGTCTCGTTCTGTCACCCAGGCTGGAGTGCAGTGGCATGATTTTGGCTCACTGCAGCCTCCACCTCCCGGGTTCATGCCATTCTCCTGACTCAGCCTACCGAGTAGCTGAGACTACAGGTGCCCGCCACCACGCCCGGCTAATTTTTGGTATTTTTAGTAGAGTCATGGTTTCACCATGTTAGCCAGGATGGTCTCCATCTCCTGACCTCATGATCCGCCCGCCTCGGCCTCCCAAAGTGCTGGGATTATAGGCACGAGCCATCGCACCCGGCCGAGTCTGATGGTTTTCTAGAGCTTGCTTTTTACTGGAGAAAGGATGAAAAGGAGATGGAGAGGCAATGAAGGATACTCTATGTCTTAAGGGAGAAAAAGAGTCCCTGGGGTGGTGTCAGGGCTCAGAGCAAGAAAGAACTCTGCCACTGCATACTTTATTATTTGACGTCTTCTTTCACATGAAATGTGATTGCCAGAACTACTGCCTGGTCTTTCTTCCCTGGTTCTTGCATTGACCTATGACCACTTAACCAAAAGAAATTTTGCCCTCCTCACCCAAGGTTTTGGTCATTAAGATGGTCACCTCTCCAGGTGGAGCACCCTCTTGATTTAGCAGTTTCAACAATTTGAAGATTATCGACCCTAACCAACCCAGCTGTTTCTCTATAATATCTCCCAGATGAGAAACAACCACCTTAAAGGCCATGCTCTCTTATCCTTATATAAACTCTCCAGAGAGGAATTTAACTTTTTGAGATAGTGGTCTTTGGTTCAGTAAAAGTTCAGAAAATAAATATTTCTGGCCAGGCATGGTGGCTCATGCCAGTAATCCCAGCACTTTGGGAGGCTGAGGTGGGCTGATTACCTGAGGTCAGGAGTTCGAGACAAGCCTGGCCAACATGGTGAAACCCTGTCTCCACTAAAAATACAAAAATTAGCCAGGCGTGGTGGCACATGCCTGTAATCCCAGCTACTCAGGAGGCTGAGGCAGGAGAATTGCTTGAGCCCGGGAGACGGAGGTTGCAGTAAGCCTAGATCGTGCCACTGCACTCCGGCTTGGCCAACAGAGTGGGTCTCTGTCTCAAAAAAAAAAAAAATTTCCTTATAATCAACAACAGCAGCAGCAGCAACAATATTATATTCAGTAAAGGAAACGGGGACCCTAAAGCCAATAAAAAATTCAGATGGGATGGTGCCAGGATGTCCATACATTTAAAACATACTGTGCAATTCTATTGCACATTGATTGAGAACAACTGTCTGATGTGATTTGTCCTGACTAACCCCTTAAATATGTCTACCATTCTTCCTCTTGCTCATATTTATCTCCAGGCCACAGGTCTACTTGACCAGCCTCTAATATACTAAGTCGGGTCTTGTCCTCTGGTCTTTGCACATACTTAGCCTCCAGATGCCATTTTCCTAGTTGTTTGCTGGACTCACTTCTTCACTTAATTCATGTGGCGAGACTTATGCAGGTGTTCTAGTCAACAGCCCTGCTGAAGTCTCAGCCAAGAGCCTTCAAGTCTTAGCTGAGGCTACAAACATTGTGGAGCACAGACCAACTATCCCCAGTGTCTTCTCCAAATTCTCTTAATTCAGGTCTCTATTCAAATAATACCTCCTTGGAGAGAATATCTCTGACTACCTTTGTTTAAAATGATATTCTTAATCATCTTCTATCCTCTTCTTTTTTTCCCTTTCTAGCACTTACCTGATAAAAGTACATATTAGTTTGTTAGTTTTCATTGCACACCTCCCACAAAGGAATGTAAACTCCATAATGATAGGGACATTGGTGCCTAGAAAAGTGCCCAACACATATTAGGCAGGTATCAGTACAATAAATATTTGTGAATGAATAAACACCTGACAATTATGCCACTAGTTCATTTTCCCAGAGCCACATCAGATGCTATTGTACAATCTCAGCCCTCTTTGCCCTTAAACTTTGCCTTGGATTGTGCCTCAGAATCCCTCATAACACAATCATGCATTACTGATCTGGGTCAGTAGATGAGATGAAACCAATTTTCCATACCTGGTCTATAGCATTAATTTGGGTATGTTCATTTATTGTTGTATTGGTATTTGGGTGTGTACAATCAGATACTAGTTGCTCTGTGAGGCCAAAGACTGAGTCTCATACTATTTTTGGCATATAGAAGTTCAAAAAGTCCTAGATGAATTGAAATTATTTGTGATAATTTTCAGATCAAGCCTTTGGCAAGGCAGGAGGAAGGCTGAATCAAGATATGATCACCAGGCTTCCCAAGATAAGAGGTAGATAATTGGCAGCACACTGGTGGAAGAAATTTCCAGAACTGACGGAACCGGTTACCTCCCTGCAAAATAGGGTGAAGATGAGAAAGTCAGTTGGGAAGGCAGAGATTTTAGGTTATAGGACGTTCTGTTTGAACCTCAGTAAGATTTGGGAATTGTTTTCCGTTTATCCTACCACAAAACATCTAGAACTTCATTTGCATCATCTGTTTGCATATGTTCCGATATTGGTCAAATGGAATTTCTCTAGGGCCAGGCCTAGATGCTTGGGGTGAGGGAGAAGGTGGGAAGGGGAAACTGACAGCTGTAATGTATTCTCCAGACTTGAAGATCAATGAGCCTGTTATTAGGTGGTTTGTTTTAGGAGAAATGAGATGTGAAATTATCTTTAACCTGGCAGGCTTTCACTTCCTGGGTAGATTTCAATGGAATCTACCTCTTAATCTTTTCATGGCTTTCATCTGAAGGCCTTGCTCATGCTGAGTGTTTTTAAGACAGGACAGAGATCCTAACTGGTTGTGATTGCAATCATTTCTCCTTTGGAACATGCCTAGTCAAGAAGAACATCCCGTTGAAACTGAGAGATAAATGCCATTTTTGGAAAGAGCTAGTTTCAACAAAGATTACTATTACATATAGAAACATCATTCACCCATATTACCAATGTATCCATCACTCACCCAAACTGTGAAAGAACGTAAAAAGATACCCACTAAAATAAGTTCAAATGTTTACTCTCCCTCCACTCCCCCAGCAAATTGCAAGATCTAATGGTCAATAAAACCATTTTATTCCCAACTTAAATGCATGAATAAGACCAGAAAGATGATCCAAGGAAAGATGTTGCCTTTCCTTGCTGCAGCTGGCAGGGTTGCTTAGAATTTGGGCAGTTGGAGCTGGAGAAGATCTTTGTTAGTTTATTAAAACTAGGAGTCAGGTCGGGTTCTACATGGGCTCTAAGCAATGACTTCCTTCCTTCCTTCCTCCCTTCGTTCCATCCTTCCTTCTTTCCCTTCTTCCTTCCTTCCTCTCTTTCTTCTCTCTCTCCTTCTCTCTCTCTCTTTCTTTTTCTTTCCTCTCTCTCTTTCTTTCTTTTCTTTTTTTTCTTTTCTTTCTTTCTTTCTTTTTATTGAGATGGAGTCTCACCCTTTTACCCAGGCTGGACTGCAGTGGCGTGATCTCGGCTAACTGAAACTTTTACCACCTGGATACAAGTGATTCTCCCACCTCAGCCTCTCTAGTAGCTGAGACTACAGGTGCCTGCCACTATGCCTGGCAAATTTTTGTATTTTTAGTAGAGATAGCGTTTCACCATGTTGGCCAGGCTGGTCTCGAACTTCTGACCTCAGGTGATCCGCCTACCTCCGCCTCCCAAAGTGCTGGGATAACAGGTGTGAGCCACCATGCTCAGCCTTTTAGAAAGAATACGCTGTCTCTCTCTCCCTTTCTTTCTCTTTCTTTCTTTCTTTCCTTTCTTCTTTCTTTCTTTTCCTTTTTCTTTCTTTCCTATTTCTCTCTCTCCTTCCCTTTCCTTCCTTCCTTCCTTCTCTTTTTCCTTTCTCCCTTTCTTTTTTCTTTTTTTCTTTCCTCTTTCTCTTTACTTCCTCTTTCTTTTCTCTTTCTTTCCTTCTTTCTTTCTTTCCTATTTCTCTCTCTCCTTCCCTTTCCTTCCTTCCTTCTTTTTCCTCTTTTCCTCTTTCTTTCTTCCTTTCTTTCTTTTCCTTTCTTTTCTCTCTTTCATTCTTTTCCTCCCTCCCTCTCTCCCTCCCTCCCTCCCTCCCTTCCTTCCTTCCCTCCTTCCTTCCCTCCTCTCTCTCTCCCTCTCCTCTTTCTTTTCTTCTTTCTTCTTTTGTCATATGGTGGGTGAAATAAAAATCAGGCAGAAAAACCCATGGAAATCAGGCTGTTGGTATTTAAATACAAGTTTTAAAAGTTTACCTCCCATTTTTAGTTTTTGATTCATTTCTCCTGGACTGATTCTGTGCATGTGTAGGGTGATGATGGGGGTGGTGGAGAACTAGAATTGCCATCCTGGCCTTTTTTAGAAAGAAATTGCTGTAGATCTGTAAAATGCTGTGTGGCAGAAATTCATTTAGGTTCAAGTAAATCATGAAATTTGTTTTGCACAATTTAGAGGAAATTTAATGAAGCCCTTTCAAATAAGCCTTATGTACATTATTTGGGGGGAGTACAAATAATTATGTTTTAGGTTCTATAACTTTGAGACGTTAATTACAATGAATTTATTTTTTGATCTTTAAATTGTTTTTTTTTGTTTTTACACAGTGGCAACAGAGGATGCAATTTTTTTCATCCGTATTTATTTTTTGTCTGCTGATAGCGCACAAAACTTCCATTAGTGTGTCCATCAAATAGTCTAGGTTGTTCTCAGATTTTCAAAATAGTGGTTAATGCACAGATCAATCTGAGCTCCTCCGTGGGGTCTTCACATCCCCTTTTTTTTTTGAGATGAAGTCTCTCCCTGTTGCCCAGGCTAGAGTGCAGTGACATAATCTCAGCTCACTGGGACCTCTGCCTCCCAGGTTCAAGTGATTCTCGTGCCTCAGCCTCCCGAGTAGCTGGGACTACAGGTGCCTGCCACCATGCCTGGCTAATTTTTGTATTTTTGGTAGAGATGGAGTTTCACCGTGTTGGCCAGGCTGGTCTTGAACTCCTGACCTCAAGTGATCCGCCCACCTCGGCCTCCCAAAGTGCTGGAATCACAGGCATGATCCACTGGCTGGTCCCTTGCATCCTTTTAAACTTGTCTGGGTGCCCCTTCCCAGCTTCTGTGTTCTTTGGTTTGCCTTTAAGAGTCCACATTGGAGACTCCCATTGCAGGACTCCTCGTATGCTGCTGCAGCTGCTTTCCCTGCCTCCGGCCTGAAATGCCTGGAGTTTCCATTATCCCCTCCCCCTCCACTGCCTGAGCACTTAGCCTTCGACCACTCGTGCAGGAATATAAAAGCCTCCTCTATGGCATAGTCTTTACTCCAGATCACCCCTTGAGACCAGACTGAGTGGGGCTTCCTGGCTTGGCTTCTCACCCTTTCCAGTCGCCCCCTTCCTTACTGGTCTCATGGAAGGGCATTTCTTAAGTGAACCACTTGCTTGGGAATCTTCACCTCAGGCTCTGTTTCTGGGGAACTCACTATCCTCCCCATAAGGCGCGGTTGTGGGAACTAAATGAGACAAATGCAAACAAGGCACTTATCACAACGCATGGCCATAACATAGACTCAAAAATGTTATTATTATTATGATGAGTCTCACATCAGTTTTTTGGACTCTGGTAGAGTGGTGCCAAGACTTACAGCATTGATCCATCCAGTTGGCCATGGAAATATTTGAATAAAACGGAAACATTTGAATAAAACTGAAAGAGCATATAAAAGTGCATCTTAACATGCCTGAGACCTTGCCACTGGGGTAACTATGTAACTATGCAAATATAAGCAAAAAAAGAGCAAAAGCAACCAGCGGAATAGCATTTGCTGAGGAGAAAGTTCACATTAATTTTTCTTTCTTTTTTTTTCTTTTTTGGATTGTTAAGCCCATTTCTCTAAGAGTTAAAAATTTCAGATGACTACTTATTTTATTTTATCTATTTTTATTTATTTATTTTTGAGACAGAGTCTCACTCTGTTGCCCAGGCTGGAGTGCTGTAGTGGGATCTCGGCTCACTGCAACCTCCGCCTCCCCAGTTCAAGTGATTCTCCTGCCTTAGCCTCGCATAGCTAGGATTACATGTGCCTGCCACCATGCCCAGCTAATTTTTGTACTTTTGCTAGAGATGGGGTTTTACCATGTTGGCCAAGCTGGTCTTGACCTCCTGGCCTCAAGTGATCTGCCTGCCTTGGCTTCCCAAAGTGCTGGGATTACAGGCTTTAGCCACTGTGCCCGGCTTGACTACTTATTTTAAAAGAAATCTCAGGTGTATAAAGAGAAGTGATATCTTGGTGACAGTTGCAAAGGGGTCCAAACCTGGTAATGGGAGAGGGGCTGAGAGAGAAAACATAGTGATTTCAGCACTCTCCATCTAATTAGGTGGCATGCTCTGTGGGGGGACAGGAAACTAGGAGATAGGGATGTTTTATGTCCAATAAATAATTTATCCAGGACTTCTGAGACAGTTTTAACAATCTCCAAAATTTGTACTGGAAGCTTACTTTTTCTTTAGATTTCATATGTAAAATAAAATTAGAAGATATCCTTCAACACATGTGCACAATCTCACTAGGGAATTTTTCCTCCTGCTTTATTAAGGTATAATTGACAAATTAAATTGTACATATTTATAGTGTGTAATGTGATGCTTTGCTATCTGAATACATTGTGACATGATTAAATCAAGCTAGGGAAGTTTTTTAAACGCAGAAAAACAGGCATCTTAGTATTCAAGGAACTCTTTAGAAGTCATCTTGGCCTCTTGCCTTTCACGAGGGTCAGATGATACAAAAGGCCAAGGCCAGATGGGATGGAATAACTCATTGTAATAGGTAACAACTTTCACAATCAGGGAAGCCTCTTGAAGCCTCTCAGATGGCAGGAAGCTAAACCTAGTTTCTCTTCTTGCTGGTCAGAGGAACCAGTCTCCAGGCTGGCCCATAGCCTTTCAGATTCTTTGCATATTGTCTTAGTGCTAAGGTAGGGAAAGATTTTTGTCATTGAGTTCAGTGTTCCCTTCCCACACATGCCTATCACCTTGGGAGGCTTTGATTCAGTACATCTGGAGTGGGACCTGGAATTCATTTTTATTTTTTCTGAGACATAGTCTCGCTCTGTCACCCAGGCTGGAGTGCAGTGGTGTTATCTCGGCTTACTGCAACCTCTGCCTCCCGGGCCCAAGCAATTTTCCTGCCTCAGCCTCCTGAGTAGCTGGGATTACAGGTATGCATCACCACACCCGGCTAATTTTTGTATTTTTAATAGAGACAGGGTTTCACCATGTTGGCCAGGCTGGTCTCAAACTCCTGACCTCAAGTGATATGACTGCCTTGGTCTCCCAAAGTGCTGGGATTGCAGGAGTGAGCCACTGTGCCCAGCCTGGAATTCATTTTTAGATCTGGACCCAGGGCATGTACAAGAAGGCTCACTGTAGCGCCAAGGAATGGGAATTGGCTAGTGGTTCTATCACCGGTGGAATGGAGGAACCACAAGGGATGGATGCAGCCTATGGGAGGCTAGGCAGCCCTGGAGAGCCATGGACTAGATGCACACATTGTAAAATGGCTGGATTTCCAGAACAGTGTGGAGTCAGAAAAGTAGATAGAAGGAAATTTGCTATGTAACACCATTTGTGTAACAATTATGCACATGAAACAACACTGTATATAAAGAAACCCATGTTTAAAGACATACATTGAACAGAAGATGGGAGTGGGTATTTTGGAAGAAAGAGAAAATATAAAAAGAGAGGGCCTTGCGTTGACTGAGGATGACAATGTGACAAGCACTGAGAAGCATGGCTAACTAGACTTTTTGCATCCAATCTTCAAGAAAAGTAAGAAAAAAATGATTGGGAGCAATGAAAACGAATTGCTCCCGAGTGAATCAGTGGTTCAGCCAAGCTCAGCCCAGAAGTGGGCTGACTTTACTTAATAGAAAACATGGAGGCCCTAGTGAGGGGAAATGTTCTCTTAGAAAGGGTCACCCTTTCTTCTTTTCTCCCACCACCCACCTTTCCCTCCAGCCCATTATTATTAATAATAATTATTATTTACTTTACCATAGCTCCTATTTTCTAATTGTTAAACCACTGTCATGAAGCACTAAGCAGCAAGGTCAGCATTTGGTTGAAGAGATTGGCAGGAAAAGACCACACTGCTCTCTTCTGCAACATGCATGATTGTCTTCTCTCTTGGATTTTTGGCCTTGGTTTTGGCCTTGAAAACCAAGGTCAAAAATGCTGAGCACACAGGTTCCATTTCATTTGTGTTTCGCTTCCATTCACTAAGCACTTATTATGTCCAAGGTACTTGGCATATGGGTGCCTTACCTAAGTCATCTCATTTAACTTGTACTGAAAACTCAGTGATATCTGTTCCCATTTTCTAGATGACTAAAGCTTAGAGAAGTTGTGTATCTTTTCACATGACAGTTGAACTTAACCTTCCAGGGGAGTATCACCCTAACTGGGACTACCATGAATCATCAAATCAAAGGATATATTTATTTTTTATCATATTGGGAGGGAATTTTAAGAATAGTCAAACTTTGGTTGGCTTCCAAGTGGAAAGAAATGAATCAAGTTCTGTCCTCATCGATTGCCTGTAATATCTAACCATTCTTGTATTTGGGATTGAGAACATATTCAAAGAACTTAAATACTCCTTCGAAGCATGGGGCCACATTTAGGTAGCACCCATTTCATCTATGTTCTGTTGTAAATCCATGTCGCTGTGGAAACTGAACGACAGGAGAGGCAAGTCGCTTCACGTCTGCTACTGTTGTTGATAATTCTTTCACGTCTGTGGATATGCAACTGCATGATCGCTTGGTTTCCACCCAAGAGTTATCTGTTCATAAATTACTTTCATATTTCATAGACTACAGTCTATAAATATCTAACTGATGAGCACCTGTATGTTAGCCCAGTAAAAAACTATGCATCTAAATGGCTCAAGTAAAAATATCCAATTTAGAAGCACTGTCAGCACAAGGGAGAATTTTCTAATGCAGCCAAGGGATATAGCATTACTTCTACAGAAGTGTAGCTTTTAAAGGAGGTCACTAGTATTGCCACACCAGTGTCTTCACTTCTAAGTCTAAACCTTTCATGATGCATATATCACCTGCTTCCTAATTGGAAATTCAAGAAAGCTGTCTTCATCATACAATAAATTAAGTCGAGGGATATGCAGTAATCTCTCGACTTAAGTTAGCACTTTGAAATAAATAATATATCTGTGGCTCACAGTGTTTAATTCAATTCTGTGTCTTTCTTCAGTGGCCCTTTCCCTCCCTCCCTTCCTTCTTTTTTTCTTTCTTTCTTTTTAAATTGCCCTTTTCTTCATTATGCTGTTTCTGGTTACACACACATAGACATACAACACAAATGCATTCTCTCTGGCTAACTTTTACCTCTATGACTTTTATGCAATAGTCACATTCTTCTAGAAAAGAGAAATTATTGCTATTTGCCCTCTAACATCCAACTAGGAGATCTGTATCTATCATCTATCTATCTGTCTATCTTCTATCTCTCTATCTATCTATCATCTATCTATCTATCATCTATCTATCTCTGTGCCAATTAAAAAAAATCCAATTCATGGAAAGGGCGGACAAATCTTCAGCTTGCAGGCAAGCATTCATTCAGAAGTGCTGAACTCATAAAACTGTTTCCAAACTCAAGATTCACTTTGTTTTTTCCCTCTGACTAGTAGTATTTCTTCTGCCTAGCCAATGTCATAGTGACGAAAAACTGAATTTTGACAACTAATATACCATATATTGGAAGCAAGCATGAAAAAATCTCTTAGAAACATTGGACTTTTGCTTCTGAGTGTCCATAATGAAAATATTTGAGTTCCAGCTAGACCAGTAGGGTCTGTGGTTCTCAAAATGCCAGTATAGGAAACTTTGCTGAAGTTGTATAAAAGAAAAAGAATGCCAACATAAGGGTGCTGACATCCCTGATGATTTGCCAGACATTACTCCCAGAAACTTAGACCAAGACTTTCTAAAGGTAAGAAGAAACCGGTATACTTTATGTAAAAGGTGCCATGATTGGGACCATCCACCTCTAAAAGGTGGAAATGTGTTGGACATCTCATTGTTTTCTTTTCACAGCTATTTCTTACAGTGGTCAGCACCTTCCCATACAGTTATGGGTAGCCTGTCACTCAGAAAAGTCCCTCAATGACATCTCACTGAGACTTTCTTCCCTCTGAGCTTGGGTAAACATTGTATTACCTAGAAGTCCAGAAATTGTCCAGATATTTTCACAAAGGCTTTCTCAGACCTGCTTTGCAGGAAACTTTTCATGAACTCAGCAACTCAGACCTATCACTCAACTGCTGGCAGAAATTATCCAAACCCAGATTATACTAAGTCCTGTAGGATAGTTCTAGTTTCTCCCCCAACCCGCTCTCTGGCCCCAGGCAGTACTATGTCTAGTGACATACTGTATTAGCCAAGAGCAAAGCACCAGGCACTTCATTTACATTATGACACTGGAATCTCTGCTGACAATACCCAATACAAAAATGACAAGTCATTCAAGCTGCTTTGTTACTGGAGCATGCACAAGCCCCCATGACCCAGCACCCTTAATGTTTTGATAATTTAAAAAAAGCTGTTAAATCACACACACAATATGATGTCTGTCCTTAAAACAAAACTGGAGGCATTTTATAGCTAAACAATTTTATTGGCTTTTTGTGAAATAAAAAACACACAACAAACCACCATGGTTAAAGGCCATAATCAGCATCAACCAAATGAACCAGCCACTTGGTTACAGTAGCTGATAACAACACTAGTGGATATTATTGCTTATACCCCAAGTTCATTTATACATCCATTATATTTTGGCAAGATTACAATCAAATGGGAGCTTTGGTTGTAAAATTTCAACTATGACTACTCATTGAAAACTCATCTTCTACCATTTTATGGTGGGATACATGTCAATTCTTCCACATCTTGTCTCCTTTCTCCTTCCATCGATAAGATTTACAAGCCTATTGAAAATAATTAAGATGGATGCATTTGTAACTATCCCTACTCTACTGCCTTCTCTTTTGTCATGACAAGGTGATGCATTTCTGGGCCTCTCCTAAGATCTTCTATCTGGTGTTTCCACTGCCAGTAATAAATGCCCATCTGTAATCTAGATAGATTTTCAAATGCATATGGCTGTCAGCATTGGGGTTTGGACTCAACTGTCTCATTTCCATCTTCTGAAAAGCTAGAAGAAAAAATAAAAATAAAAACAAAATCAACAGTCCTTGGCATTGGTAATTTGACCTCCCAACAGAATGAGCCCCACCCCCTGCCACATTAACATCCCATGGCAGGTGTGGAGCTGTGGCCTTGAAATGCTCTCTGTGTGTGTATGTGTGTGCTGTAACATTTTAATTTACAGAGAAGCAATGACTGACTGCCTCACGAAAGCTCCCCTGCTGTCACACTTCCTAGTTTAACACTGAAAACTCAGAATGAGAAAGAGTCAGAACGAACTCACAATAGCACCATTTCCTAGACTCTTGGAATTAGATTCCTTTCCGTGTAGGAGAACGCAGGCGCCCAGCCTCCAGCTTTGTGCTTTCACAGGCTCCCAATGCATTTCAGCAGAAGTGGGTGGTCTGCCTTAGCCTACTTCTGCAGCAACATGAATTTTCCCTGGGAAGAGTTAAAAATATGGGTCTTACAAAGTGAAGTTGGCCACAGGTGAGAAGCCTGAGGAAGCCTGTTTCTGGTGGTGAGATGTGACAAGCCTGTAGATGGCAGGAGGGAGTCCAGGGACCTTTTCCCTTGCCCATCTCAATTCAAGTCAGTGAAGAATCTGCATGCAGAAGCATGGCAAGTTCAAGGAATACTGAGAGATGTAAACCCTAATACAGCAATCCGAACACCAGCGCACTAATGGTATCTTATGTATTCAGGTCCACCAGTGAGTTTGCCCTGGATAATGCTGGGATTTAATAAGCCCTTCTAATGATTATAAAGATTGTCCTCTTGAAACTAGACATTGGAAACAACAGAATATTTGATATCACTATATTTTACATGGCACATATAACCATATAATTACCAGCACTTAACATGGCAAATATTGTAAATACACATTCTTGGAGTTGACTTTGTAATTACACCGATGTTATTCAACAGAACAAAGATTAAACACTCTCCAATTTGCACTTTGGGAGATTTCAGTCCCCTCCTTCCTTTCACAACAAAAGGATAACCCTCTAATTACGTAATAATGCTCGGTGGTCATGTGGGCAAAGAGAATCACAGGGTGACTTCATAATCAATTGTGGCCTGTAAAATAAAGTAATACACAGTATTTTCATTTCAACAAAATACAACAGACCATATAAAAATATTTTCCAATCTGGAATCAGAAACATGAAAGCTGAATTTTTTTTCTTTGTATAAAAAGAAACAAAATAACAGACTAAAGTTTATTAAGCCTCCTAACAAAAAAAATATACATATCAGTTTAAGGAATGCAGTGAGAGTCAGCTTCCCTTTTTGTCCAGGCTCATTGATGGTGAGCTTGTGCTTTGATCCTAACAAAGATAAATGCACAAAAGTGGAGGAAGATCAGTGCCCGAAACCTGAACTATGTCGTATCTCTAACAAGACGAATTTTATAGTAGTGCTTTGAAAAGTGGTGGATCAGATTACCGATTGGTTTCTGTTTTTTGTTTTTTTTCTCTTCCTCTTCAGGCCACTGCTGGAGATGAATTCCAGAAGCACCACTTTCGTCTTGAGCGATGCTTATTTAGTGCAATATCTTCCTTCTCTCGTTCCCTTTTCACACGCTGGTAGTGATCTTCTTCCTTCAGGTACCACACAGGGGGCCAGCGGTGCCGCTCGAAGTATTCCTGGTTGTCTGGTGAAGGAAAGATGCAGACCATAAGACCTGCGGTTCATTGATGCCTTTTATGTGCTAGGCCTTGAGCTTAAAGCTTCTCAAATATCCTCTCAAAAACGTGATGCGGCAGAGACTGTGATTAGGGCCATTTGCAAAAGGTGACACTAACGTTCTGAGAGGAAGAATCTCTTACCTGTAGTCATGCAGCTGGGCACAGAGAACCTGAACCCAGGACCACCTGATTTCAGAGTCTAAGCCTGCTCCTAAGCTTGTCTCCCTAAACAAGGGGAAGGCCACCACCTCTGCACTCTCTGCAACAGGGCACCCTGGACTCTAGCCCACCCAACTCCCCTCATCATCAAGTTCTCCAAAGACAATTCCCAGCCTTCAATTCCTTATGTCATCTCACATTAATATGTGACCACCAGCCAGTCTCGAGGAATCATCCATGAGCTGCCTGCTGACCATGTTCCTTTCCAGGGACATAGAAGATAAAAGCTTCCATGAGAGGTGAGGAGAGCTGGATGAATGGGGGCCTCACACAGTCTCACCTGCAGATTTTGATTTGATTTCCTTACGGAACTTGGAGCATACACTGTTGTAGTTGGTGCAGATGTGGTGCAAACACCAGGCGGCCAACTGGTGGGCATTGTGAAACTGCAGAAAAGTGAGCAAAAGGAGGGTAAGACTATTTTCTAAAGAGGGGCTACAAAGAAATTGGGGAAGCCATTTTAAGGGTGAAAAGAAATGAAGGGCTTATATAACTAATTCGGTAAACCTCTTGTTTTGACCTCAATGTTTTGACTTTGGCCATGGCTCCAATGCCAGCCAATGTAGTGCTGGGCACACCCCTCCTTTCCCTGCTGTCATAGGTGCACAAAAATAATTAATATCGAATCACGAGCTTAAAGTATGCCTCGCCCTCCCGCCCTCCCCTGCCACCTGGCCCTCTAGTGCTAAACAACCGTGGCCTCTGGAAGGCACCAGCCCACAGCAGAAAGCAGCGATGTCATCTCTGTTTAAGGAAGCCTCCGCAATGGAATACTTCGTGTCGCATGTCAGAGCTCAGCTTGCTGGGGCCAAGATCCGAAAGAGGAGACTGCAGAATGTGTGACTGTCCTATACCTCTCCTTTGGTTACATAAGAAGAGCAGGCGGTATGGGCAGGGTGGAGAGATCCAGATACTCCACCCTTCCATTCTAAGCAATGCTCAGGAAGGTGGCAGCTGAGGTGGCTATGATTAAAAAAGACTAGATCCTCAAAAATCAACTATCTACTCCCCCATTCCCTCCCCAGACCTGGTGGGCCTGCTGCGATCCCTCACTTTCTGTCTGTGCCCTTCTCTGACTTCCCTTCTGTTGTCTGTCGCTCTTGATGTTTCTTTGGTCAGGTGGATCCCTAGAACCTACAGCATGCTTCCTCTGTGGCCCCATATCTCCACTGTGAGGCCAATAGAAAAGCCAGAGACCTCAGAAACCCACTCAAGAGACTCACTGAAAATCACAACCCAAACATCAGAGACAGTTTTAGCTGGTGCTTCCAACTTCTCTTGCTGTTAGATTTCTCTCTGAAAACAAGGCTGGGGCAGTGTTCTGCCAGGTGGGTTTGTTCCAGCTTGAGAGAACCAATTGTGTGCATTTCTTCCCTACTTTGAGTTTAGTGACTTCATATGTTATCATCAGCCATGATGGGAGTATTTATATCATAGAAATTGGCAAACGCAACAGATTGGGGTCCCACTTGCCCTCAAGCTGACTGTTAAACACTTACCAGCACATCACTAGGTTAGGGTCTAATGAATGAGCATGGGAGAATCCATCCTAAGCTCTTCCTGCCAAGGCTTGTCAGGGCTTAGCAATAATCATATTATTTCCTTGTAGTGGGTGTGTATGGGGGTAAGGTGGGAACACAGTGCAACAAACAGACACAACTGCAAATCATTCCCTCAAGTGAATGGTCCCAATATGAAATTCTGGATCATTACATTTTTCTCTAGGAGGAATACTTGCTGGAGAGAGTACAGGTTATAAACCATCCCCTGGAACTGTTTCAAAAGACCCCAAATTCCAAGTGTGAACAACCAGTTTTGATGGGGGCTTGCTGATTCGACTGCATTAGATGTCTATTCTCAGTTTCACTGTAATCCCTAATTGGATTTTAATAATTTGTGTTTGTGTCTGTTTCCCTTACTTGCCTATGATTGCCCTGGGGCAGAGGATCTACCATTTATATGTACACGGCCTTTGCCTAGGGCGGTGCCTGGTATTTGGGGAGAAAAATAACAAATACTTGTTGAATGCTAAGTCATAATGAATAGGTCGCTGTAAAGTTCAATTCCGCCTTTTCCCCCTTTTGCACCAGAGCAATCTCCTCTGGCCACAGTAGGAAGGGCCTGAGCAGCACCTGCTGGATGCCACCTCCTCTCCCTGAAACCACCTCCTTTCCTTTGATTGAGAAATATTGATTTAAATGGACTGACCTAAGACTTAGTAAGTCATTGTCTTAACAGAAAGAGGGAGCACAGGAAGCCAAACCCAACAGGCCGAAGAAAAGACTGAGGAATTTATTCTTAGTTTCCTCAGAGTGTAAATTCATTGTTAATCAGCCTGTGCCAGGGACTAGATAATTCTGCAGATGTGCCTGGCATTGTAAGAGGGCTTACACTCTTCAGTGCTCGCTCTTGAACATTCTCTCCCACTTCATTCTCAGAATAATCTGTAAGGTTGGTAGGATGCAAACTGTCATCCCATTTCCTGTGGATGAGGAAAGTGAGGCAGAGTTTAGCTTGTGCTTTGGGGAAGTTACTCCATGGTGAAGCTAAAGCTGAATCTTGGACCTTCTCTGGAAGAAGAGGGCAAGTCTGTATTGGGATTATGTTATTACAATCTCAATATTAGCAACTTCTGACTTTAGAAAACTCCAGAACAGCTGCAATGAGATGTTCATTAACAGGGGAGGCACTACGGGGCTTCATGGAATTCTAGAAACTGTCTCTTCTTGGCCAAATACATGTCCAAGAATTCAAAGAAGGAGGAGAGACAAAACCTCCCCCAAGTGATTTTCCTACATATGAAGCTGGTGCCTTAGGGGACAATGGGACTGGCATGGGGGTGGGGACCGTTTTGTTTATTCAAATGAAGCCCAGCAGGCTGAATGGTACATAAAAGGTAAAACTCTCAGATCTTCTTAGTGTACACAGGGGGACTCTGTGACTCAGTGGTGACATCTTCATTTAGACAGATGCAACAATGGAATGTTTTATCAGCATTAAATGAACTGATTGAACACACTTAAAAGGTAAAAAGCAAACTGTTACAAACCTGAGCCAATTCCAAGTAAGAGAGCACTTCTCCGTCAATGCCCACGCCACTCGTGGCGGCTTTGGTCAACTCCTGAACGGCATGCTGTTCTGGGGAAGAGAGAGGGGGCAGGAGAACATTAAACCACGCCCTGCGAGCCAGGTAGCTTGCCTGGAGGGTTGGTCTGGGACGACTTAAGAAGGGAGGAAATGTGGGACACAGCTCTGGGCAGGCATCTGAATTAAATCCAGAAGCTGCTCTGATGTGTGGTCTTTCACTACTTGGGGTTCTGCTGCCAGCCACTTCACCCACACCTCTGGGGACTCTAGTTCATGGCTCTGAAATAGCCAGAATCCTCCAGTCCTGCAATGTTCTGTGCAGGATGATAACTCCTGGCCACACGAGACTATTTAAACTTAAATTACTTAAAATTAAATGAAATTAAAAGTTCAGCTCCTCATTCACGCTAGCCACAGTAAGTGCTCAACAGCCACATGTGGCCGCTGTTTGGACCATCCAGATATGAAATGTTTCCATCACTGCAGAAAGTTCTACTGGATGGAGTGGCTCTAAACAGTCTAGCACCTTCCTAGAGTCCTCTAGACTTTAGACACGTTCCTGTTTGACAGTTTCCCCACTCACATCACTGCAATCCTTAATATCCCTGATGGTGAAGAGGTTGAGTGACAGAGGAATGAGTCTATTTGAGGAATTAAAAATGTGATTGCGTACGTCTGTCTCAACAGCTACAGATGGATAACATATTGTTCAGCCTCTTGGATTCTAAAGACTGGGGAGACCTGCAGTTAGAAGTAACAAAAATGCAGTAGGAAGAGCCATTTTTGCTTGGGAGCTTGAGTCCAAGGCTTCCAAGCTGAATTTACGTTCTGGTCTGAAGCTAGGCCATCTCTTGCCTTTGTAAGGGCTGTCACCTGCCTCTGAGACTGACGTGTGAGGGTACAGCCTTGGCTCAGCATTTCTAGGTCTTTGACATTGATGTCATCTGTAGCATTGCATTTGTTCTTCTAATCCAGCACATTGTCCAAATCATGCTTACTTTCTGCTCCAGCTCTGCATGCTTATTGGTCAGTATGCCTATATCTGGTCAATACAGTATCGGGAATGGAATGATTTCTTTGGCACAAACCTCCTCAACTAGATTGAACTATTTGGAACTAAATTTCCCAGAGAAGTCATCTGGGCTTTGCCGTTTTAAGTAACTGCAACATTTCCTGACATTTATTTAACACTGGCTCACAAAGCATTGTCACTGTAGAAACTGATTTTTAAACACCATGTTCTAAACACTCTACACTAGACAGTACAAAGCAAATACTATAAAGGATTAAAGGAATCATCTTGGGAAGCTGTATATTAAATAATCATAACAGTAATAATAGCATTTAATAACTAAACTAAGTGTTCATAGAAGTCTAGAGTTCACACAAAAAGCTTTACTTGGGTCAGTTAAAAAAAAACTTTCATGGAGAAATCAATCCCATGTTTTCATTGCCAGACTTAATATTTAAGCAAAACTGGTACTAGTCTGAGATTGATCACAAACCTTGTTGGGCAGATTTGGCTCCAAATTACATTTGACAGTTTCAAAAATAAATAAAAATGTATCCTCAGGAATAATTTATAAAACCTGTGGATAGTTAGATGGCTTGGAACTCATGTTTCTGAAAAAAGTAATTGCCCATGGAAGCCTCCCAGAGTGAGTATTTTAAAAAACTAGTGCACTCATTTGGATCTATTAAGTATATTGGTTAAAAACAGTTTTTAAAAATAAATCTAATATTGATGCCTCAACTCGCTCTTTCTATCTAACTGGGGAGGAAGTAGGACAAAGAGAGGACTTTGATCTCCAGGTGGTTGTGTGTAGTAGAAATCTGGAGGACAGAGAAATTAATCTTTTATTTTTTCTAAAGACATTGCCAGAAAGTCAAGTGCAGATAGGACTGGTTGGTTTGTTCATACATTCATCTTCATTCATTCAATTGTTCAACAAATATTTATCGAAAGCTAATATGCTCAGGCACTCAGAAGAAAGGCCAGTGAACAAGACAGGCACTGTTTATCTCTACTTTGGTGGTTAACAGGAATCAACTAAACATTGTGATAAACACCCAGCTTGCAACTTAACTCCTCTGGTGTAAAGTGAATGAGGCTGAAGATCTGAATTCCAGAGAAAGGCATTTAAGTTCATATATCCTATGCAGACCTGCTTCAGCTTCCCAACTGAACAAATCTAGAAATGATACATAAGATTTTGTGAAGTTAAGCCAAGTTTCCCTTTTTTCTCTTTCTCCCAAAATGAACTTGACAATGTCAGAACATTTTCTAAAATAGCTTTAAGAAAACCACTTACATAATGCTTACTATGTGCCAGACGCTGTTCTAAGGACTTTATATTTTAACTCACTTAATCTCCATAACAGCTCTATGGCTGAATAATATTAGCCCCATTTTAAAGAGCGAGAAAGCTGAGACACAGAGCTAAGGTTACAGGACAAAGTCACCTGGTCAGTAAATGGTGGAGTCAGGGTTTGATCTTAGGCAATCTGGCTCTGTCATCTGTTTTCCTAAACAGTGCATCTACTGCCTTCTTAAAGACTGTGTCTGTGCACTTATTATGGAGATAATGTTGACAAAATAGTTTTATTTCAAACTCTGGGGTGCACAAATGATTCAGCATGCATACAGCGTGTGCCTCAAGGGCAGGGGTCATGCATTACTCACCTTCATAGCTGTATCACCTAACAGGGCCCACCACAGAGTGGGTGCTTAAGAAATATATGTTGAATTGAATTGGGCTGTCTGATGCAATTTGATTAATTCATATCATTCTACACAAGACAGTCCTATTTTGGGTGATAAAAAATCAATTTTTATTCTCTGTAAGAATATTTTTATTTAAATGTGATTTTGACAAATATGACAGACACTGCATGGCCCTGAGTCATCATCCTTACCTGCAAGTGCAACCAAGTGTGGCAGGCAAAATCTGTTTGCCAAGGCAATTAATTCCAGCGGGTCCAGATCCAAGTTAGGAGACAACTGCTTGGTATAGAGATAATCCAATACTGCTTGCATTGATATCTTGTTTATGTTCGGGAGATACACCTGAAATGTTATACAAAAAGCTAAATTCTGCTGCAGAAAGCAGGGAGTGGGCACATTTTCAGGCTATGCTGCTTATAAATATCCTGTGTGACTTGATATTGGTGAGTGTTGGACACCTGCTTTGAGGCTGTGCATAGGAATCCTTCAGTATTTATGACTTTAAACATAATGGTTTGATTTGTAGTTGACAAAAGAGTGGAGCTGCCTGACACAGCCTGATGTGGAATTTTTAAATGACTATTTGGACTTCTAAATCAGACAAATGGACTGGAAATGTATGATGACATTAGGGGCCCTCATGCCAAGCACCTTATAATACTCTACTGTGGGGAAAGAAATCTCCTAGCAACATGACAGGTGTTGGGCGGAGCTGCAAACCACACTGTTGCTGACATGATGGAGCCTAGTTCTCCAAGATGTCAAAAGAGAGGATGAGCAACCACCCTAGCTGCCACAGTGACCAGCTTGATTTCGAAATTCTGTCAGTATATGCACAATATATTACAATGTACTACACAACGTATACACTTCATTATTTTTTACTACAACCACATGGATTCAGAACTACTGGAACGTTATCAGTTATCAGTAGATTCGGAGAATCCAAAGGACTCCTTGCTTGGGACTTCCAGGGGAGTATGACTGGGTACAGGTGAACTGTCCCTTGTAGGATTCCCACAGTCTCCTTCCTGAGTGCCTGTAGTTGTCCATATAAATGCATGCTGGAGTTCGCCAGAGAGCCAGGCACTGCCTGGGAGGTGGAGAGCTGTAGAGGTGGGCATGGATTAATGGAGATGTACACTGCGTAGCAGCTACTCTTTATTTTAGGTCTGTAACTCCATGAGACAGGCCCTGGAGTAGTTCAGAATGGTACCACTTGGATTTTTGGAACATTGACAATTATAAACATTAATCGTAATTGAAGGCATCCTATGCACCAGGCACTGCACTAAGATTTCCACACATATTCTTTAATTTGATGCTTATATCTGCCCTAGAGAGAAGGGACTTACTTTTGCCATTTTACAGAAAAGGAAATGGAGGTTCAAGGAGGTTAATTTAAATCTTGTGTCCAAGGTCACAGAGCTAGGAAGTAGTGACTGGGATTTAAACCCAGGGAGTATGATGCGAAAGTGTATGTTCAGAATTTCTCTGCGGTGCTGGAAATGTTTAATGCCAAGGAAACAAAGGTTTGAGTTACAGAACAATAAAGCATCATATTTTATTAATGGTTTGTAAGAATTCTACTTCAAAAGGATGAACAATTATGAGCTTCTTTTTCTTTCTTTTTTATTTTAGTTTTTTTGAGACAGGGTCTAACTCTGTTGCCCAGGCTGGACTGCAGTGGCTTGATGATAGCTTAGGCCTGGGCTCAAGCAATCCTCCCACCTCCACCTCCCTAGTAGCTGGGACTACAGGCAGTGCCACCACGCCCGGCTAATTTATTTTATTAATTTTTTTTTTTTGTAGAAATGGCGGGCTTGCTATGCTGCCTAGGCTGGTCTCAAACTCCTGGCCTCAAGTGATCCTCCTGCCTTGGCTTCCCAAAGTGCTGGGATTACAGGCATGAGCCACTGTGACTGGCCGGTTATGAACTTCTTAATTCTGGTACTTAATAAACATCTATACAACATATAAAGATATATATCTATATATTATGTATGATTACATCTTTATAACATGGTTACATCTATATATTTTGTATGATTGCACCTCTCTCTCCATACACATGCACTTGCACACAAACACACACACACACTCAGGCACACACATGCATGGAGCCAGCCATCTCTATCTGTGGGTTCCACATCTGTGGATTCAACCAACTGTAGATCAAAAATATTTGAAAAATAAAGGCATGACTGCTTCCGTTCTGAACATGTACAGACTTTTTTCTTGTCATTATTCCCTAAACAGTAAACAACTACTTACACAGCATTTGCATTGTATTAGGTACCAGAAACACTCTACAGATAAGTTAAAGTATACAGGAGGATGTGCACAGATCTATGCAAATACGATGCCATTTTATATGAGGAATTTGAGCACTCATGGATTTGGCTGTCTGAGTTGGGGGGGTGGTCCTGGAACCAGTCCCTCACAGATACTGAGGGATGACTGTGTGTGTGTGTGTGTGTGTGTGTGAGAGAGAGAGAGAGAGAGAGAGAGAGAGAGAGAGAGACAGAGTGAGAGAGAGTGAGAGACAGAGAGAGAGAGAGAGAGAGTGTATGTATGTATAATGGCCCCACATTCTACAAGGTGCTTATGGCTTATGCACTCTGGCAGTGTGGCTCCAGAGCTCTTTAAGCTATAGAAACTTTCTTTGTTATTCTCCTATGCAGCCACCAGACACCTCAGAGAGGGAATATCCTTTCAGATAGGTAGACCCATCCCTTAACGTATCATAGGGAAGGTTTAGAAAAATTCCTAGAAATAATAAGAAATTTATCCCCCACTTTCAGACATGGTTGGTGAAAACGACAATTATGATTCCATAAATAAGTTACATAAGTCATTACCATAAACGATTTGACAAGCATGATCATTTTAGGTTTCCAGCACAACCTCGACAACAAATAGAACTCAATGAGTTGAAACTATTACTGGGATTATTTTGAAATAAAGTAGCTGTTGTGCATGCTAGATCATCTGCAATACACAGATGTTGGAACATTATTCTTCCCTTCAACCAGCTGTATGTACATATGAATAATTAATTATTCAACTAAATCTAGCACCAGTTACACTGCGTGTATGCTCGCATACATATATGTTTACATACATATGCATTTATCTTACACAAATAATGGATTTATTTACAGGTATCCATACAAATTTGTTTCTGTGTGTAGGAACATGTAACATTTCATTTCTTTGATGAAATAATGTTTGGATTAGTGATATGGTTTGGCTGTGCCCCACTCAAATCCCATCTTGAATTATAGCTCCCATAATTCCCACGTGTTGTGGGAGAGACCTGATGGGAGATATTCATGGGGGTGGTTCCCCCCAGACTATTCTAGTGATAGTGAATAAGTCTCATGAGATCTGATGATTTTATAAGGGGTTTCCCCTTTTCACTTGGTTCTCTCTCTCTTGCCTGCTGCCATGTAAGATGTGCCTTTTGTCTTCCACCATGATTGTGAGGCCTCCCAAGCCATGTGGAACTGTGAGTCCATTAAACCTTTTTCTTTATAAATTACCCTATCTCTGGTATGTCTTCATTAGCAGCATGAAAATGGACTAATACAATTAGTATAGTTTTTTAAATAATTGAAGGTTAAGTTGTGAAACTTTAAAATTTGAACCATTTTAATAGTGAAAGTATCCACATTTTACAAAGCGCTAAGTGCTCTAAGATGTTAGTAATTGTTAATATACCAAGTCCCAGAGCTTCCTGTTAATACCTGCTCTCTCAGAGATGGGGATGTCTGGTGTTTCTGAAAACAATGCCTCTCGTGATAGCGCAAGAGCCTGGGGCAGGCCCAGGGATATATCACTAAAATGCTGTGTGACCTTTGATACATCTCTCACCCTCTCTCACCCTCAGTCTCTTCATCCGTTACATGGGAGGAATTTGGAATAGATGCTATTAAAAGCTTTTTCTTCTTCACGGAAACTCTGGGTTTTGAAAATCTTCAGATTACCTTAGCGTTTTTTGGCAAGAGTGTGTTCTAAGTCATTGCTTAAAGAAGAAATAGCAAAATGAACATCCTAAATAAAAAGAAACTATTTCCGGCTGCAGCAGATGACAGATTCCAGTGAGCAGCCCTGCCCAAACACCCTCAATGCCCTCAAAGTGTTCTGATGTTTGTAATCACCTATGACCTGCTATCTTCTTTTTGCTGAATATAACGTTAACATTTTTTGAAGTGATGGCTCTTTTTGGCAAACAACATTAGGGACCTTTAGAAAAAAACATTAAATTAGAATAAACTAAGAACACTTTTGGAACATGCATTTTTTCCCCTCATGGCTGATTTTTTAAAAAAGCCCGTTTCTGTGATTTCAACATTTATAATTAACTGCATGACAACAGAAAGACCTTTATTTATAGCACTTTAAAAATAATATAAGCAAAGCTTCATAAATAATGGAATCAAAAAATTTCTATCCTACCTGCTGGATATAGTTTCTTTTTTCTTAAAAAAAAAAAAAGAGTGATCAAAGAGAATATAATGCTACCCTAAACAATGTTCTATCTTGCAGTTTAGTTGGTGTAAAATTTTAATTGTGAAGATTAGCTGAGACTATTAGGCTTATAATTAGAGGCAGTCTCATAGAGAATGAGAAAGTATCCTAGATCCAAAGCATTGCTTACTACAACCCAGGCATGCATTTTTAATGAACCACTTGCTGAGTACCTCTGGGGAGAGAATTATGCTTACTGCTACATTAAAAGTAATGAGAAAAAATATAAGTAAGATACAATGTTTTCCTGAATATTAAATGACAAAAAAGTTAAATTAAAATCATTGGACATAGGCATATTTCACTCTTTTCTGGATATGCACATTAATTCTATTAATTCTCCAAAAAAGGCTGATTTTCATGGTGTGGGGGGTGGGAGGGTGGCTGGCATCAGATTTTCAGATTTTCTCAAGATAATAGAAAGTTAAAAGGTGGCCTACAACAGCCAAATCCCAAGTGTGAACATGGACCTATGTTAATCATGGAGCATTAACTGAGTGCCTTTCCCCTACAACTATAACCACCTGTATTGTACTTTCCTAGTTCAGAAAGGGAACTGGGGGCTTTTTAACTTAGAGCTTTCCGGGGACAAATACCCTTAACCCCGTATGGAAAGAATTTAACAAGAAAACTCTAGCATAATAGTCGCTAACATTTATTGAACATTTGTATGTTCTAGGCATCAAATTCAATGCTTTACACATGTCCTCTCATGCCTTCTCTGCCCTTTGACAAAGGTTTTCTTGTTATCCCCATTTTACAGATGAGGAAACAGGTTTAGAGTGAGCCACTTCCCCAACGTCAAGCTGAGAGTATATTATAGTTTACACAGGAAATAAAGTGAAGGGACGGGAAGGGGCGAGAATGTCGACAGCTCATTGCATTTTCAATATACTGGCTAAAGGAATTGTGGCACAGGTCTTCAGTGGCTTGGTTCCGTGGTCTTTGTCTTTTGAGCTGGTCTGAATGTATACAAACCTATTAGCCTCAACTCCAGTTCTAAGTGGTGAGGGACCTCATCTCTCCAGCAGGGTGTGCTAAACAGGTGGCCTCCTCCAGGAGAGGCCATCAAACAACCATATACATGTGCATTCACATTCGCTGCCAAGTTTTTGTTTTGGTCACCTCTACTGCACATTTTAATCTGGAGACGATTACAGTCCATTCTTGGAAGGGATAAAGGAGATTAGCATTCGTGAGGTCAGCTCTGACAGTGTCCCTTTGTGCCTGCGTTCCTGACCTCGATCAACTTCTCCCTACTCTGTGAATAGCAGGTCCTCTGCTGCACAATCAGCATGCACTTCAGTGAGCTGGACAAAGAAGGGGAGCAATCCTCCCAGCTCTTTATCTCCAGAGATTGCTGAAGTCAGTCAAATACCAACTGGATGAGGTTTTACAAATTGGTGGCTACCCTAGCTTTTTTCTGGATACAAGAGGTAAAGAATACCATCACTACCAACAACATCAGAATAAGTCCAGCGGCAGCTACTATTTATTGAATGCTTCTGAACTGCTTTGCAAGTAATGACTCTTACACCCCACAACCACAGTATGGGTTATAACTGTGTTTTCCAGATCAGGATACTAGAGCCAAGAAAGGTTAAGTCACTTGCCCAAGTCACTTGTAAGTGGAGGAGTTGAGATTTGAGTCCCACAGTCCTGTAACTGTGCAGATTCCATGTGCTGCAGTTGTCTCAGTAATGATGCTCCAAAACACCTTTGACCCAAGCTCAGGAGAGATTTTCATTAGTCACAGGTGAGAGTCTCCTGGTTTAGAAAGGCTGTTAGACACCATAAGAGGCCATCAGGATAACTCTAATATTTTTTCCCTGAAAAGCAGATAGCCTTTTGCTGGGGGGTTGGTTTAGGAGCAGCTGCAGTTTGTTATGGGTGCATGAGAGTGGCCTAGTGATCTTCTCAGCCCCTGCTATCCAAGGCTTGTGATTCTAGGATTCTATTTCCCTACTTGGGGATGCAAATGCAGGCTCCTGGGTCACAATGGGAGTGCTCGAATTTCTTGTGCTAGTGCCTCATGTGAAAAGTTAGCTATTGTTTTTTGCATTTCTTTGAAAAGTTTGGAAAGATGCTGAGACAAGTAAAACAAGCCTCTTAGGACAATAAACTGGGTGGGTGTACCCATGTTTTCATTTCTACTTTTTTAAAAAAGATGTTAAAAATACTTGCAAAACTCCACAAAAATGCTTGCTCACTCCTAAAGTTAGAAGTGCTTGAATTGAATTTTTTTCTTTTCCAACAGTTTGTAAAAAGACAAAGAGGCTGTACTCCCATGTTAACTGTAGCACTATTCACAATAGCCAAGATATGGAGTCTGCCTAACTGTCCATCAACAGATGGATGAATAAGAAAATGTGGTACTTATACACAATGGGATACTATATAGCCCTAAAAAAGAGGAAAATTCTGTCATTCAAGACAACATGCATGAACCTAAAGGATATTATGTTAAGTGAAATAAGCCAGGTACAGAGAGACAAATATCACAGTATTGCACTTATATGTGGAATCTAAAAACGTTGAACTCCAAAGTAGAGAGTAGAAGAGTGATTACCAGAGGCTGGGATTAGGGGGTGAATGGGGAAAGGAAAGCCATCTGTCAAATATACAAAGTTTCACTTAGATGGGAGGAATAAATTCTAGTGTACATTTTTTTTGTCCTTTTTTTTTTAGAGACAGGTTCTCACTCTGTCTCCTGGGGTGGAGTACAGTGGCACAATCATAGCTCACTGTAGCTTTGAACTCCTGGGCTCAAGTGTTCCTCTCACTTCAGTCTCCCAAGTACCTAGGACCACAGTTGCATATAGTCTAATGCACCTGTAACTTTTTTGTGGTGTTCTATTGCACAGTATGGTGACTATGGTGGACAATAATGTATCGTATATTTCAAAATAGCTAAAAGACGATTTTAAATGTTCTCATCACAAAGAAATGGTAAACATCTGAGGTGATGGATAGGCTAATTAACCCGATTTGATCATTCCACAGTATATGTATATTGAAACATCATGTACCCCATAACTATGTATAATAATTATTATTTGTCAGTTAAAAGTAAAACAACAAGAAAGACAAAGACACAGGGTATCCAAGATGCTGTTTGCTCTTCTCTAAGCATATGTCTCTTCTAGAGATAGAGCCAGGGGCTGACAAGTGATGTAGCTGCTTCCGCTAGACCTAAGTACCTTGAGAGGTGTGTTCAGGGGAGTAAACATTTGCTCCATTACTGTTGCCCTAAAGTTAACAAACCCTCATATCCCCTCAACACAGGCAGAGTCAGGGCAGAGCCTTAGACAGTATTGTAGCACATGGTAACCTGAAGGACAATCTAGTGCATCCCTCAGCTTGCAGATGAGGAGGTTGAGGCACAGGAATGCGGCTTCTCAAGGTCCCCTGTCTGGTTAGGGGCATAGCTAAGCCCAGGACTTAGGTGGCTGAAGAACTCTTTTCCCTTTCTGAACTACTGGGAGACATGCTCCTCTTGTACTTGGTTTTGATAGTACCATGCCTGGTGACATTTGCCAAGAGGTACAGCTGATCTTGTCTTCATGGATGAGGACGGCTCTGAGGATGAAAAGATATATGGCATGTAAAGCACCCAGGTGCCCCCACACCAGTGACCAATAAACAATAGCTCCTCAAAACTGCAGATCTAAGAAAAAGGTGACCAAACCCTCAAGCACTACTAAGGAGCAATAGCTCCTTATGATTATGACTAACAGTATGATGACCACTCATGGAGCCAGTTTAAGGATTAAAGTCATCTGGCTGTTTACCCACTTTATATAAATACACAGGCACACATACATTCATAAAGACACCACTATGCTTTTAGGAAGGCACGTACCTCACTGTTGGCACTTTCCACAAATGACCCCCCGAACATGGCTGCCATCCACTCACAGCTACAGATCAGCAGCGGCTTGTGGGCACTGATGGCTCCATCGTCCAATTTAAATGTCACGTCTGCCAAGGGATTGAGGAAACACAACCATGAGCCAACTTTGCTGAGAGCTTCAACCAAGGCTTCTGCTCCCATAGCCACCAAACTGCGACTCCCTTACTCTCTCTTGCATGTCTTTACTTACTGATTTTATGTCAATCCCCATCTTTGAGCTTTGACACACCCAGCTCCCACCTAAGGCAGCATGCTGTATTTGACATCATCACACATAAAGTCACGGCACAAACTCTCTGAACCAGAAAGTAATAGAAAGGAGGGAATATTTTTTCCTCCTTGCTATGCAAAACTTCAAGCATATAAAACAGTGGAACGAACAGTATGATGACCACTCATTTATCCTTGTTAACATTTTGGCATGTTTGTTTTACGTATATTTTTAATTTACACCATTTTACTTATTAATACTCAATTAAACCTTACATTTATAATATGCTCTACTCGTATGCTATACCAAAATGTAACCGAATTACTGTTTTTTTTAAGAGATGTGGGGGGGGGTGGGTCTGGCTATGTTGTCCAGGCTGGATTTAAACTGCCGGGTTCCAGCAATCCTACTGTCTCAGTCTCTGAAGTAGCTGGGACTGTGGGCAAATTAGCCACCATGCCTGGCTATATGTGTATTTTTGTATAATTTTGTGTATGTGTATAGACTTTTTTTTTTTTACAGATAGCATGGCACTTCACTCCTAACTACCTTATCACAAGTTTTCCCAAAATAACAACAGTCTCCTAAATAACCATACTATGATTACACCTAAGAAAATTAAAAATAATTCCCTATTATCATCCACTATATTGTTCATATTCAAATTTCTCCAATTATCCCTAAATCGTATTTCATAGCTTTAAAAAAAAAAAAACAGAATCCAATTGAGACTCCCACATTGTATTTGATTATTATGCCTCTCCAGTAAGGAGGAGGTGATTTAATCAACTCTACCTAAAGCTCACTGTTTAAGTTACTGTAGGTTTGTAACATATTCTTTTCATTAATTTTCAAGACTGTTTCTGTAACACAATGGCCAGTGTTTGAAGTAAATACTACTCATAAGCTTTAAAATGAATGAACTGAGTCTTTAGGAACCACTTACTAAATGTGTAATGCCCTGGCAGGGATTATAAAAGATAAAGACAAAGGTAGAGGTATCCATATAAATAGAAGTCAGGAAGTCAACATTTTACGATGAAATTACACACACCCACACACCAGCCCAGAGAACAATTTCAGAACAAAAATAGTCCAAGTGTAAGACAGTACAAGCATGGGTCAATAACCCATATTGGATGCGGGCCACCAGCATGCTTAACAATTATGAAAGGGTGCTGCGGGCAGCATATGGCATAGTTATCAAAGGCAAAGGAGGTGCAGGAAAACTACAGAAGTGCAGGGCCAAGGAGCATGAGGACGGAAAAGGAGAGGGGATGGAAACAGATGAGACACCCCTTGTAGGAAGATGGAGGGCCACCAAAATTGCCTCAAGGACTTTAGTGGCCTCAGGACTTGAGATCACTGATTTTTGTCATGGGTCAGTGCTGAAGGGTCAATGGAGAATAGAATTGGTCAGAGAATAGATTCTGAAGGGGAATTGTATGCAACAAGCCCACTGGAGATAGGCTTGGGGTCCCTGATCCACTCTTGAGGAGCAGTGTGGTACCATGGTGGTTTATGGAACAGGTTTTGATACCCACAAGAGCATGGGTTCAAATCCTGGCTCTACCATTTATTGCTGGTGTGACCATGGGCAGATTACCTAACCTCTCTGTCCCTTGGTTTCTCCACCTGCAAAATGGAGACAATCATATTTAACCTTTAAGTCTGATGAGGATTAAAGAAGTTAATGCCTGTAGCTTAGAAAGGTACATGGGAAAAAATAAGTACGTATAAATGTTAGCTATCGTTCTTCTTTCTCCTGCTCATGTCTGGCTAACGTTCAATGAAACACAATCAAAGGTATTAATGGCTCTGCCCCGCGGCCCACTCACCCGAGAACGTTCCCTTGCTGAGACACTCTTTTATCCGATTGGCTTTCCTTACGTGAAAGGCTTTCGTAATCTCCTGGTTCATGAAGGCTTCCTTGTTCATGATGTTTTCCACCATCATCCTCAAATCGAACATCTCGAGGACCTCTGCGATCTGAGCCAGGCCCACCAAATCCTTTTCCTTTTCATCCAGTTGTCCCGTATAAAGAAACTGGAGCAGGGTCCGAAAAGGGCCTGGCTGGACTGAAGCGTCCATCCTGACCACAGTCATGGGCCCCATCCGCTTTGAAATGGGGTTGACTTGCATTTCCCTGTGCATGCCAATGAACCCCTTACTCCATCCGGTCAAAGTCTGTGTCTCAGGAACTGCACCCTCGGCTTCCAGCCCCAGAGCCTCCACCAGGCTCTTGTTTGAAGACTTCCACTGGTCGGCCTGAGGAATCCTAGGCGGGCCCTCCTCCCTTTCTTCCTCTGGGTCGACACTCAATATCCGCCCCTGGAAATCTCTGCTCTGCTTCTCTTTCTCACAGGCTCCTTCACTCCCATTTGGGGATTCTTCACATTCCATTAAAAACAGATCATAAAATTTGGAAGAAGAGGTAGCGAGGTAAATTCGATGTGCAAAGATGTGTTCCTGGTCCTGAAGGATGAACAGAACATCGGCACATAGAGGATTGTCCAGTAAACAGGCAGCTTCATTTGTCCCCATGGAAGGACACTCTGGAATTTTGATGACCGGTGGAGGGGCTTTTGGAGGTAGGAAGGGTGCCTGAAGTAAAGGTTTCTGGACTTTCTTTAGGTGGGATTTCCAGAATTGCAGGTGCCTGCGGGAAATCAGCGCTGCTCGGATTGCATTGTCAAACACATCCTTGATACCAAACTGGTCAAACACGCTTGTTTCATAGTATGGTAAGCCAAGTTCCTTTGCTACCTCTCGGCCTTTTTCTGGGGGCAAAATATCCCCTCTCTTTATGGGCCTGAAATAGAACATTTTAAAAATTATAATCAGCCTTGTTTTAGGAAAAAAACAGTAACAAGGGCCTATCTAAGCACCTAATGGAACTATACACTGAAAACTCCAGTCAGGCTTTTAGTCTCTGGAAAAATCTGCCACCACCTCAAGTCTTTGAACTATAAAGGAGTTATGATTGAAGGAAAAAATAATGCTTTCAAATATTTCAGAGTTTCAATGCACATAATTTGTGAAGCTTATCCATAAATATTCCATGTTTTTATGTTATTATAAATGGCATTGTTTTTTAAATTTTATTTTCCAATTGTTCATTTCTTAGTTTATATAAATAAAATTGATTTTTGTGTATTGACCTTTTATCCTATTATTTTGCTAAATTAATAGGTTAATTCTGATAGCTTTTTTTGTAGATTCCTTAGAACTTTTCATTTACATGACCATGTGCCTAAATAGAGAGTGTTTTACTTCTTTAAAAAAAAATGCTGTCAGCCGTAACCACAGTAACTGAAGGATCATCACTTTACTAGCTATTTAATCTTGGGTAAGTTACTTAACCTCATTAAACATTAGTTTTTCCATCTGTAAGACAGGAATAATAATAACAATGAGTAATTATATCTTGAAGGACTATTGAAATGTTTAAATTATTAGCATGGCAATGCTAAGCATAGTATTTTGTCGACAGTAAGTGCCTGATAAATGTTAGCTGTTATCATCATTATCACTACTCTCTTCATCACCTTCACCTTTATCAACAGCATCTCATACTTGAATTTTACTTTATAACTTTAAAATCCATTCATATACATTTTTCATGTAAGCCTCACAATAGCCCTGTGAGGTATTATTTCTGTTCTACATTCTGAGGAAACTGAGGCAGAAAGGTTAAAGGGTTTGTCTGAAGTCACATTTTCAGGCTGCTGAGAGACCTCTATTAAGCAATTAGAGTCAAGACTTTCCCACTTCTAGTTAAATGATCCACTTCCTACAGCTCTTCTCTGTTGGATTTGTGAATTCTCTTTCAAATCTTTGCCTTCTTTTTTCCTCCAATCCCTTCTTCAAGCCTTCTTTTGCTTGGACTGGTGCATTAGCCCCTTAACTAATCTTTCTTCACACCCACTCCTCACATTTTAGTCCACAGTCCTCACTGCTGCAAGAAAAGTCTTTACATAACACAACTATGACCTGGCGGCAGTTCTGTTTTAACTTCCTCTGATGTCACAAAGCCCCTGGAATAAAGTCCATACCCTTTAGGCTGGCACACAAGGCCCATTTACAACCTAATCAAACCCTGGGAGGACAAATCTTTGGAAACAGTAGATGCAGTACAGTGCTGGGGTTATGGCATAACCATGGCAAAGGCATAGATGGGTTCCAGAACACAGGCAGGAAGTGCTTTATTGTGACACACATCACAAAGTATTGATTCTAACACACACCCTTAGGAACTTACCTTCTTATATAAATATTTGGCCTTTAACACCAAAGGTAATATATAGGACAGACACTGGTCTTAGGAGGAAAAAGATAATACTGGATAGAATTTGGATTTGACGACTTAGATGAAAAGGAGGGAAAATTATAGGGTGTTGACAAAGGTGGAAGGGAAGTTCAGGGAAGAAGGTTTAACTCAAAAGTTCGCTCCTGAGAGCATTGTGTTCCTTGTTCTTAAGACTGACTTGAAATTTACCAACTGATGAAACTCTTCAAGGCTTAGCTCAAATACAAACTCCTTCACAAAATCTTCTTAGAATTGCTCTGTAGAAGGCACTGTCCCCTCCACTGTTCTCTATAGCTCTGCAACTCTCCTCCAGTCCATGATTGTGAGGACTGATTATCATAACCTATTTTTATACAGAAAGTTGCTGAGGCCAGGACAGTCTCTCATTTACTGTGGACTTCTTAACCTCTACATGGCCCCTAATATTCAATTCCTAGTCCATGCACTGAAGAACAGAAGGATTGTGAAAACTGAATATAAAGTGTTTTTAGAAATTTAATGCAAAACATACCTAGAACATCAGAAATTGTCTAAAGAAAGTACCATTTACTATTGCTTGGAGAGCATAAAAAGTTGTGTCAATATAAAATTTTGTAATAAGCCTATTAGGTAAATGTCAAAATAAGGGATTTTTGTTGTTGTTGCTGTTTGCTTTTTTTTTTTTTTTTTTTTTTTTGAGACAGGGTCTTGCTCTGTCACCTAGGCTGGAGTGAAGTGGTGCAATCATGGCCCACTGCAGCCTTGTCCTCCCAGGTTCAGGTGATCCTCCCACCTCAGCCTCTCAAGTAGCTGAAACCACAGGTGTGCACCACCAGTCCTGGCTGATTTATTTTTATTTTTATTTTTCTAGAGACGTGGTCTCACTATGTTGCCCAGGCTGGTTTCAAAATCCTGGCCTCAAGCGATCCTCCCACCTTGGCCTCCTGAAATGTTGGGTTTACAGGCATGAGCCACTGTGCCCAGCCTAGAGGAGGGTATTAATATCAAAATTTTTTGAAAAGGAGTGCTCTCCAGCCAAAAAGTTCAACATTAAAAAAACATAAAAAGTTGTTTTTTTATAAAGGGGATTTGAGGGAACTGACATTTTAAAAGAAACGTATTTCCCTCCACATGGTTTGGCTATGTCCCCACTCAAATCTCATCTTGAATTATAGTTCCCATAATCCCCATGTGTCACGGGAGGGACCTGGTGAAAGGTAACTGAATCGTGGGGGCGGTTCCCCCATGCTATTCTCATAATAGTGAGGAAGTTCTCATGAGATCTGGTGGTTTTATAAAGGGCATCCGCCTTTGCTCGGTTCTCATTCTTCTCTCTCCTGCCGCCATACGAAGAAGGATGTGTTTTCTTCCCCTCTGCCATGATTGCAAATTTCCTGAGGCCTCCGCAGCCATGCTAAACTGTGAGTCAATTAAACCTCTTTCCTTCATAAATCAGTCTCAATTATCTCTTTATTAGCAGCATGAGAATGGACTAATACACCCCACCAAAATCAATATCGACATTTTATATATAGTGAAACAAATTCTCCTTCAAGTTGTATTTTACATTTGTGACACTTAAAAATGTAACCACTAGAGACATTTAAAAAGTAGTAACTGTTTGTTTTGCAACTATAGGTCCGAATGATTTTCAAAAAGTGGACACTGTCATCTTGAGAATGAAATACTGTAACAGGTTGGACTGAGGAATATAAGGAAGATGAAAAACCCTTCAATATGTGTGTTTGTATGAATCTGATGTTCTCTGGGGCCCAGATACCTCTAAGTGTTAACTAATTTTATTGTAATAATTATAATTTCAAGGATGACATTATTATGAGTAACCAACATTTTGTCTAATACTTTATACTTTTCAAAGTGCTTTTAATCACACACTTTCATAATTAGAGAATTTACTTCAAGTGCTGTCCAATCATTTGACAAAAATGAGTTCTGACACCAGAGATGATGGTGCCTGTTAGAAGGGCTCAGGGCACACTCCTCATGATTTATGGGCTGACTTAAAACCCATGGCTGATTGATGGGATCCAGGAGTGTTGAAGAGCAGAACACCAGGCTACAGAGACACCTGCTGCCTGTAAATTTTAACTTGGTCAGGACAGGGAAACACTGAGTCCCTTGGCTTACCTTGCTAACGGGCGCCTGGCTCGATTAACAGCTTCCAGGTCGGCATAGCGGAGATCAAGCTGGCACCCAACAAGGATAACGGGTGTTCGAGGGCAAAAGTGCTTGATTTCTGGATACCACATGCTTTTCACATGATTTAGGGAATTGGGATTAGCAATCGAAAAACAGAGGACCACAACATCAGACCTAAAAGGAAATCATAAAAGAAGCTTGTATTGCCTTTTAACAGGTTTTTTCTTTTACCATTATGGTTCCTCTCAAACCCCATCCTTCTAATGCCATCTCATGTCACAATTAAAAAAAAAAAAGACCAGATATTAAAAAACATCTTGGAGTCATGCAAACAGCCTGATAAGCCCCCACATTCCAGCACCAACACAGCCTAACAGTTCATTTCCATATTGCACTGCAGAATGCTGATGCATTGACGTTTCCGATGAAGTTATTTTATGGTAGAGATGATTACCCAAACTTGTCTCAGTCCTGGAACCACAACATGCTGAACTATTTCTCTTCATCACAAGAAATAGTTTCAAGAGAAAAGAAAATACAAACTACCTTTCACCAGTTTAAAAAACATAAAGGTGATGATGACTCATCCCAATGAGATAAAGCAAACAATTTAAACATTACTGAAAATGTAACAAGTATTTGCTGTACAGGGTCAGCAAATACACAGAAGGATTTCTGCCCTTCTTCCCACTTATGCACACATGTAGACAGCATAGCCACTTATCTGTTTCCGAAAAGAAAAATCCTGAATTTGCAGGAATTTTGACTCTTTACTAAGTAAGGCAAGAAGGTAATATTTAACATATAACTAGGCGAGAATTAGATTGATGACTAACAAGATGAGAAAATATTGGAAGCAGATTTCTCAAATGTTACATGAGATACAAAGCAGGTATATGGGGAAAAGAAAAACTGCTTTATAGTAAATTTTGACATAAGGGTCTTCCATTTTTACATAATAACTTACCATTCTAGGAGTCAAAGAACTATTTTACAAAACAGTTGTCCAATTATGGTGTTTGATAAATAGCTGCTAAAAGGAATCTTTCATAGGAATTATAAACCATCATTCTAGGTTAAAATGTGCTGAATGATGACTTTCAAAACACTGAGGCAAAAGGATACAAAGAATAAGAAAAGTTACGCCCAAGGATTCAAGACTATCTTGTAGCTAAATTCAGAAATAAACTCTTACAATTTCATTAGATGTTAATTTATTGCCATTGCCTTTACTGTTTATGTAATGAGAAGAGTCAAGTCGATGAATCAAAACACCTTCCTTTTAAATCATTAATGAGCTTCCCCCCCTACATATCAATGAAGACAAACAAATATATGCAGGCAACCATAAAATTTCTAAAAATAATCACTTGCAATGCAGAAAACTGCAGGGTGCTTACATTAAATGTAATTCACAAGCTGTGTCTTTAAATTTATATCCAAGAAAAGCTGCACCAGACCACAACAAATAGAGCAGAAAATCCTGAGATTAAAATATTTCCAAATTATAAGAGAGGACCTAGGACTTAAAGTAGATGAATGTATTAATCTGAATGTTCAGAATCATCTTGAATAAAGATATCAAGATTTTTGGATGCTGGGATAATATGAGCAAAAATATGCATAAATATATAAATGAAAAGGAAACATGTCTTGTCTTTGGGATTCTGATTTACTTAGTGAAATATTCTGCGCTCAGTCTTACTTACAATCAGCATAAATAACAGTATCCAGTAAAGCCAAGAATGCTTTGAATTTTACATTTTTTATGGGCTGAGTTTTCTATTATTCATAATCATATTTATATCAGGTATCTGATGAAACTCTGCTATAAGCTTCATCCTGAACACAAAATAAAGCCACCATGAATTTTGGTACAGTGAGAATAGAATGAGAATATCTGAGGTTCAAAATTATACAAAAAGAATTGAGGAAATATATCCAGCACCTAAATGTGTTATAATATGTATAAAATAGTTCTAATTGGTGCCTTCTATTTCCCTATTAAGACACATGGCTCTAAGGGGAATCATTCTCAGAGCTTAATTTATATGACAGACATGTAGCTAAATGTCAATTCTGTTCTCTAATTTTATGATACAGCATGTGAGGTTTTGAAATCAGAGCTAGCTTGGTTGTCAAGGTTACCATGATAACACTCATGGTATTGAACACATACTAGTTGCTATCCAGATGACCTGTAAACAAGTACAGACAGGACCTTGGGGGTTGGAAAAAAAGGAATCTTGTGATGATAGTAGCACAATGCCATCACACAATACAGGTCCTGAGGGCCCAACTTCTAACTATGTCACATCAATATCTAAATGCATGAAATGCCATTGGAAAGCTGGAAAAATAATTCAATGTCCTGTAAATATTTCACCTCAAAATAATGATAGTTAAAGAAAAGAGGTTGTGCTGAGAGCAATACTACCTCTGAAGATAAAATAACTTATTGAGTCAAAATTCTATCTGTATATCAGAAAAAAGGTCTTCTTTTTTTTCATATTCACATTTAGGTGCTATGAGAATCTGTGCTCATTATTTTACACTGAAAGCAGTTAAAAATAAGATTATTTTTTATTTATTTATTTTTTGAGACGGAGTTTTGCTCTTGTTGCCCAGGCTGGAGTGCACTGGCATGATCTCAGCTCACCACAACCTCTGCCTCCTGGGTTCAAGCAATTCCCCTGATTCAGCCTCCTGAGTAGCTGGGATTACAGGCATGTGCCACCATGCCCGGCTAATTTTGTATTTTTAGTAGAGACGGGGTTTCTCCTTGTTGGTCAGGCTGGTCTCAAACTCCCCACCTCGGGTGATCCACCCACCTTGGCCTCCCAAAGTGCTGGGATTACAGGCGCAAGCCACCGCGCCCGGCCCAAGATCATATTTTAAGTATCACAATGCTTAAATGTCTTGTGGTTAACCCTTGTTGATCTAAATACAAATGCAAGTTAAGAAAACTTTACATAAAGATTACACAGAATTCTATTCTTAAGGTCTGCCATATGAACGTAGCTCCCTAAAACCAAGTTTAACCAAAAGGCTAAGCATTAGGAATCAATGGACGCAGTGACAGAGCTATAGAAAGATGCAGCTTTGATGCATTTCTCCTTACCAACATTCTTTTGTAACTCCTAATTCTCAACACATCAGTATCCTCTGTGATATAAACACATATACAATCAAGTAACTATTTTCAGAATGCCATTTATTCCCTCTAGATTTTGAGCCATTTTTTTTTAATCTAGTCAAAGAAGGCACAAGACCTGCAGCTAAGAATATCTCCAGCTTTAGGCAGAATGCCAAGGAACTAGAGATATTAAATAACTTTTAATCAAAACATTCATTCCCATGTGGAGACTGTTCAATGTCTGACATAAGCTTGTGTTTAAAAAATACCATTCCTCTGAAAGATAAAAAGAAACAGGCAAGTTCTAGCATTTCTATTTCTATGGCTCTGTTACATTTTTTAACTTTGAAGAGTCAGTTTAAAAATAATTGGGAGTGGTGAGTGTGATGAGGACATTCTCACATATCAGGCAGTAGGGTTAGTCTAGAAATGACCTCAGGGGTCCTGTTTCAGCTGTAAAAGAATCAAATAGGATTTAAATGGAGTCCTACAGATATTTGGGGTAAAAAGCATAAGAATTCGAGAATGCAGAGGCAGAGTACAGGGTACATGAGATTGTAAACTCCAGAACCTGAATACTGAAAAGGGGTAGGAAGGAGTTTGGAATGTTTATTGTACTTACTTTTATTAAATATTTTATGTTTCACTGGGCTAAACAGTTTTATTAGAGAAAGCCAGAATTACAAAGGACTTAAGGATATATGGTCTTAGTTGCTTGCCCTTGCCCACGGAATGTTTATATCTTAGGGAAAAATGACTTCTTCTTTCTAAGGAGAAAATATCAATATAAAAATTTCGCTGGGTACTAAGACATCAAATAATGTCCATGAAATAATGTTTTGACTAGTCAAATCAAAAACAATCTGAAATAAATCGAAATGTTGAAACAATTGGAGATCTTGTTTCATAGAGGAGTGGGAGTGAATCAGAGAGACCAAGTCATCCAAAAATGCCTGAGCTGATAAAGCCAAGCTCAGCTGCATCAGTTTTACTTCAGATTTTAAACAAACAAAAAAAAGCATTTTTTTTCAGTTATCTTTCGAGGGGAACACTGGCCAAAGATAGCATGTGAAAGATTGGCAAGGATATTTGAATAACATAAGGAGTACATGCAAAGTTGGGACCAATCTTTGTTGGAGGATTAAAGAAAAAAAAATCCAAAAAAAGTGCATCTTACCCACATATCTTGGCCCTAGCTAGACTTTGAACAGCAAAATACCACACATGTTCTCAGAGACTGTCTTTATAATGTCTACAGTCAAATATAGCAGAGTTGGTGGGAAAAGATCAGAGAAGCAACCAGAAGCTCAACTTTTTTTCCAATCTGAAATACCAGATTCATCCTTTGAAGACATGGTCGGAAAAGAATTGATAATCAGTAACAAACTTTTATTGTTAAATGAATTTTCTTCTAAATTCTTTCCTGTCACAAAAGTACTGTCTTCTTAGTTTGACTTTCCTTTTCTAGTATCATTTATTTTGCCACTATCATCCAGCTGAGGAGCTGTGGGCCTTGGGTTTTCTTACCTGGTTAAGTGAAAGAATAATTCTGACATTATCTTTTTATCTAGAAGCTTCAGATCAGGTAAATTTTACGGGCAATGAGAAGGACAGTGGACTCCACCAAGTTCTCCAGAAAGCTATGAGTGGGACAGCCAAATGCCCTTCTCCAGTTTGTCTGAGTCTGGTTGGGTCTCTTGATACAGTAACACTTGGTGACCAAGAATAAGCTAACAATTACATACATATACATATAATTTTTTTTTTGAGATGGAGTCTTGCTCTGTTGCCCAGGCTGGAGTGAAGTGGCTCAATCTCGGCTCACTGCAACCTCCACCTCCCGGGTTCAAGCAACTCTCCTGCCTCAGCCTCCCGAGTAGCTGGGATTACAGGCGCATGACCATGCCTGGCTAATTTTTTGTATTTTTAGTAGAGATGGGGTTTCACCATGTTGGCCAGGCTGGTCTTGAACTCCTGACCTTGTGATCTTCCCACCTCGGCTTTGCAAAGAGCTGGGATTACAGGCATGAGCCACCGCGCCTGGCCGCTAATAATTATATTTACCCAAGTTCTGCTTGAAGTATCTCCTTTCAATGTACATTTGTACAAATTCTTTTGTTCCATGGTAGGATCCCACCTCTTTATATGTCATCATTGACTATTATTACTTATTTTTTTAGGAGAGACTCCCCATATCCAGTATATGGACAGACATTGTGGTCACATTTTAATGGGCTTCTTTTCTTTGTCACTGTGCATGAGTCCCCCTCTGGCAAAGATTCAAGTAGGAGTGTCTGACCTTCTTTGGGGCTTCAAGCTTCTTTTTCCCTGCTGGTAACTGAGGTAGGTTCTTTACAGAAACATTTTCAAAACCATTCATGTCGACAACATATCTTTCATGCATATAGTCTGACAGGGCTATGCAAACAGACAGATCAAAACAGCACAAAACAGCTGGGAGCATGGCAGAGAAAAGGAATGTGTAACACGTGGCTTTGGAAAATTTTAGTAGGGGAGCAGCCCAGTGTGTATGAGATGCAGAGGGAGTTGTCAGTGATGGTGCACATAACCACCAGGAGATGAATGGCCGTGTAAGCTCATACTCATGGAGGATGGAGAGGCCTGTAGGGGAGCGCCTGGCAGGGGATCTGGGGATAGCAGGGCAGAACCATGCAGTGCCCTGGATGTGAGCAGATAAATCAAGTTAATACTTTACCAATAGCGTGAGGCTTCTTAAGTACAGATGTTATGTGGGGAAAACTGTCAAAACATCCTGAAATATATCCAGATTTGTGAGTGATTAGCTTGTGCAACTATTTTTTTCCAAGCCCGTATCTGCATGTTTAGTAGGAAGCAATATTTTAAACCAGTCTTCCACCACCCTCTGAAAGTGGGGCCAAAGCAATGCATGCTCTTAAGTGCAGGGAAGTCACATCAGCATCCCAGCAATGCCACCAAACCCTAAGGTAGATAATATTGAAAGCAATGGCAAAAACCGCAATTACGTTTGCACCAACCTAATACTTGAGTCTTAGAAATGGTTGGTTCTACCATCATAGTACAAATATCATAGGGGTTAATGGCCTTGCCAAAGAAGGTTGTGGGTTATCATCCAATGAAATCAGGCCATTTTCCACTCAAAATCTCATTTTCTATACTTGGCAAATCATACTCCCGTTAGTTTATTCTTACACCTCACATAATCATCAGAAGTTGAATGCATGTGAAATTGCGTGAAGCACAAATAATTTATTAAAAGAAACAGCTTAAACAGTCCTACTTAACTCCTGGTCAACGAATGCAGGAGGCACTGAAGTAAAGAAGGCTTGCTAAACAGACGAAGGTGAAATTGTGGTAATAAACTCTCTTTCAACTCCGTCTGGAGTTCATATTCCTCTTTGGCATTCCCTGAAGCTGAATGACTGAGGAACTTCCTTCCTCTACTTTTCATGTTTTCTTCTGAGGGCAAGTTGCACGCATAAGAAAACTTCAGTGTCAGCTACCGCGCTACATGGGAGGTCTCTGGGATTAACCTCCCCGACTCTTCTGAGACCAAACTGGGTAAACCAGCACGATCATTTGACCATGATGACAAAAGGACTCTACCCAGCCTCCTTGGCAACTCTCTTTGAATCAGTAAAGGTATCAGGAATGGTCAAGTCACTTATCCAGTATTATTCATCAACCATCTAATCATTTCTTGCAGAAATAGTAATTGAGAACCTACTGTGTACCAGGCATTCTTCTAGACATTGGGGATAGAGTGATTAGTAAAAGACACAAACTGCTGTCCTTGTCACACTTGATCTCATTATGTTCACATTCTAGTGAAGACAGACAATCAAGAAGAAAAATATTAAAAATAGGTAGTGCTAAGTGCCAATTAGAAAATAAAGCAGGGAAAGGGGACAGAGATATTGGGAAGCAAAAATTGCTGTTGAAAATGAGGTGGCTAGGGAGGGCCTCGCTGAGAAGGTGACATTTCCAGAAGCCCTTGGGGAAGGGAGGGAATCAGTATGCCAGTATCTGGGGGAAGAACCTAGCAGAAGAGGAAACAGAGCAAAGGCCCGAGGTAGGAGCCTGCCTGTGGTGCCCTCCTGGAGGAAGGGACCATGCCATTCTGCTGGAGCACAGTCGTGAGGGGAAACTGAAGTCTTTGAGCAGAACGTAGTGATATAATTTATGTTTGAACAGTGTCAGTCCATTGCTTTAATGAGAATGGACTAAATTGGTGGCAAGGTAAGAGTGGGAGAGGACTGGGAGGGTCAGCGGATAGGGAGGGAAAGGCAGGAAGAAGCAGAGGACCAATTAAGAGGTAAGAATTCCGAGAGAGAGGATGGTGACTCTGCTGAGCCTGGGAGGGGTCCCCTACAGGTGGAAGTGGCTGCATTCTGTATACACACACTGAAGGTATAGCCTGAGGATCAGATGTGTGATGTGAACCAAAAGAGTTCAGAATAATGATAAGCTTTTTCGTGAGCTATTTATTTCTGCTTCCCTGTTCCGGGAACTGACACCTCTAGTTCAGCATTGTTAACCCTGAATTGTAATGGTTTATGTAGCTGTCTTTTCCACCGTACTATGAGGTCATTTTCAGGGATTTTGTCCTGTTCCTATTAATTTCTCTCTCATTGTGCGCACACAGTGTAAGGAAACAGGCCCTCAATTAATTTTTATTAAATTAAAAGGCCTTATGGATATCAGAAAGTAAAACCTGCATATACAAATGTGTCTGCAGACTCAAAGTCTAAAACAGATGAATTTAGGCTTAAAGTAAGTCAGAGAATCACTTGGAACTTCAATAAAGAATGAAAATATAATGTGAGCCATTACAGTTCTTCAGACTGTTAATGCTGAAAGACTGCCATGTAATACCTCTGGTATACGGCAGAGGTTAACCGGTTAATCTCTATATATTTTAATTATTTGAATTTCTCTAAAAAATCTCTTTACCCCATGTAATTGGATAATTTCATAACATCAGAATAATAATGCATTAATAATTTCTTCCAGGAATTAGATTATCTCCAGAAGCAAAGGAAATGTAAAGAAATGGACAGGTTACTTTCAGGATTAATTCCAGGTAAGTTACAACAGAATTAAGGCTTAAGAAAGCCCTCTATTGCACAGACCATCTTGCTTTTAAAAAACACACAAAACAAACAAGCAAATCACTAAAAGCATAGTCAAGATGATACATTGAAAAAAGAATTCACTAATGTGATTTCTGTGTCTGCAATTCAGAACTTCCTCCTTCTGACTTATTCTCTCTAGGCTGAGGGCAGAGGCATTTTTGGGGGAGAATAAAGTGGTGGACTAATTTTGAAAGTCTAATCATGGCAAATATTAGAAATTACTGGTAGAATTGTTGTTAAGATTCACTAAGGAAAATATCAGTGAAAGTGTTCTGTAACCGTTAAGTGCCAATTATTATCAGACAAATATAATTATGGGTTCAAAAATCACTAAGAGTGTATCTTGTATGTTGACTTTAATAAGAATGGCAGAACACTTTCATCAAGAGATCCTTTCCTTTTGGATTACCAGCTGTGTCCTTTATTGATATGGAATAGCTGAAAGATAGGTAACAGAATTATCCACTGAGGATATGCAGAATTATTTAACAGTCTCTTTCTTTTCACCACCTACTTTGAAAGGAAAAACTGTATGGGCTGGAATATATTTCTTCATCAGAAAGTTCCAGTATAAACACATCACAAACTGATGTTTTCTTTTCTTCTTTCATCATGAAAAGTCAACATACTTAGTTGTATTTGACCAACTTGTCAAGCTTCCTGTTATTAAGCAGTAATAGAAAAAAAGTAAAAGGAACGCAGAACATAAGACATTAATGTACTGAACAATGCATATATTCCTTATTCTCTTTGCCCATTGCAGTGGCCTCATTAATCGCACTCCTGTGGACTCTCTTGGGCCCATCAATGCTTTTCTGGGCTGAGCCACAAAGAACCCAGCCATGTGACTGGTGCTTGGGCAGCAGCCAAAATCCTTCCTGGCCCTGGCACATGGGTGAGCCCCAGGCATCAATCAAGCCCTGTTGCTATCTCATTTGGCACTCCGCTTTCCAAGGACAATTTCATCCTGGGGACAAGGCTGGGTCAGGCATAGGAATCCCAGCTCTTCTGTTTTTCCCTTCTGGGTAGAATACAAGATGTACCAGTTCAGAGCGCGAAGGACAGTGTGGGACAGCAGGCTGAGGGTGGCACAGAGAATGGTACATGTATCTTCTGTGCGCCAGATGATTCAGCTTCACTGCAATTCTATGCTTGAGTTCTTTAGTACAGAATCCCTAAACTTCCATCACAGATTTAATTTTTTGAATTATTTGTATGCATGTAGTCTAACACGTATCTGTTTGTTTTGGATGATCACATAACAGCAATAATCCACCTTTAATTGTTCTACTTAATGCTCTCATCTTTAGGCAAATGGATTAAAAAATGTTTCTCTATATAATTATTCTTAAAAATTATTCTTATAAAGATCTTGAAAATGATACCCAGAGGAGAAACAACCTATAATTGGAAAAGCGTTATTATTCATACAAGTAATTCACTGTTTAAGAATACTCATTCACAAAAGGCATTACCAAAAAAATTTACAAGTCCAAAAACTTGGGGAAAACAAGGGAGGATTTGAGGGTGTGGCTGAGTGTAACTCTCTCCTTTTTCTCCTGGGGGCAGCTGATCTTTCCGTTTGCTAATTCACTAAGGAGAGGCTAAGCACCAGTATTTTCCATCTTCATCACCTGCAGGTTGATCCATCATTTGTTATTCTTATTACAAAAGGGCATATATAAAATTCAACTTAGTAAAATAATTTGGCATTTGTTATAAGACTATTTCCTTGTCTATGCCTTAGAAGATCCTGGAACACATGAGAGATTTGTCAACTCGTTCAACTAACATCGATCAAGCTCCTACAAGACACCAGGCCACGTATCGGGGATAGAAAATAGAAAGACAAAATCTCTGTCCTAAATATACTAGGATAATAGGATAAGGGGAATGGGAGAAAATTAAGGAGCCAATTTTCCCGCAATACAGTTATTGCTACGATAGGGATTTGCAAAGCTGTCCTATGGGAACATACGGAGAGACACCTCACCTGGATTCCGAAGGTGACAGAGAGGGTGGGAAGAGTGCAGAGAGGAATTCTAGGAGTACGTGACACTTGTTCTAATTCTTAGCATATGAGTAGTGATTAGCTAGCTTGAGAATAGGTGGGATAGGGGCCTAAATTCTAACATAATGCATGTTTGTGGGCCTGGAGGGTACAAAGGGCACAGAACTGCAAATACTTTGTTATGTCTGGACCAAGACAGGAGGCTGGGAAGGCAGGCTGGGATTCAATCCAGAGAAACAAATAAGAATGGAGTCTCATGCCCATGAGTCTAGTAACCAACCCCAGTGAGAGGACCCACTTGATCACTCAACTCGGCACCCAATTTCTAGTCAGAGTGACTGGGTACAAAACAGAGGTCACGTGCATGCTGCCAGAGATTACCACCATGTTCACCAGTTCCAGAACGAACCAGCTACAAAAGACAAAATTGTTACTATTTGATGAAGAAACGGAAAATTTTCACAGAACGTGGTGTTCTCTATTTGGCTATCACAGGGTATCTGGTGAAACGTTTCTTGCTAGAAAAAGATATAAACATAACCACAGGCTGAGAAACAGGCCCCTGGGTCAGACTATGGGCCCCTGGGTCAGACTATGAGCCACTGAGGCAGGGGGGGTTCTATCTCTGAGAAAAGGGAACCAGCATGATTTTGTGTGACAGTATGACAGTGTCCCATCGTTAGTTTCAGGGTTATATTCAGCTATTAAGGATCTGGTTCCATTTTTTTAAGTTCACATAGTGATTTACGTTTTCAACGAGACTAACTTAAAGTTCCATAAATAATTAAAACATATATAGTCTAACACACAAACCTTTCTTCATATATCATAGACTACTTTGTCCATAAGGATATTTCTTTTCTTTTCTTTTTTTTTTGAGACAGGGTCTTGCTCTGTTTCCCAGGCTATAGTACAGTTGTGCAATCCTAGCTCACTGCAGCCACCACCTCCCACACTCAGGTGATTCTCCCACCTCAACCTCCCGAGTAGCCACAACACCTGGCTAATTTTTTGTATTTTTTTAGTAGAGATGGGGCTACACCATGTTGGCCAGGCTGATCTCAAACACCTGGCCTCAAGTGATCCACCTGCCTCAGCCTCCCAGAGTGCTGGGATTATAGGCATGAGCCATTGCACCTGGCCTATTTCTCGTCTTAAAGAATTTTTATTGAGATATAATGGAAATATACCAAATTTGCATATTTATTGTTTAATTTGATTAATTTTGACATACGTATTCCCCATGAACCATCATCATGATCAAAATGGCAAACATTTCCATCACCCCTAAAATTTCCTTATGTTCCTTTGTGATCCATCCCTCCCCTCCATCCTCTTCTCTAGGAAACCAGTGATCTACTTTCCGTCACTATAGATTAGATTGCATTTTCTAGGATGTTACAGAAATGGAATCACACAGTATGTGCTCTTTTTTGCTTGGCGTCCCTTACTCAAAAGCTCTCTCTCTAATCGTCAAAAATTCTTCCCTTCTGGCTGAGGTTTGGTAACGAGTATCAGAAAATTCCAGGACGGTGTTTACCAAAGTGGGGCCAGAGGACCATCTGCCTCAGAGTCTTCTAGGTACTGGCTAAAATTGGCTGATTCACCTCTTCCAGAACTCTTACATCCGAATGACTGCTCTGTTCAAATAGGAGAGCTAACAGTTTTAACCTAACCTCTTAGGGAACAACTATTTCTATCTCTTGGTTCAAATTGCTGCTTTTCTTTCATGCCTTTCTACTTTTTTCTATAACCTGAGCAATTTTTAGTTCTTTTTGTTACAGCAGCACACTGAACTGAATGTCTTTAAGACACAACCAGTAATAATTTTCCAAGACCTCTTGGTACCATATATTTAAAAGTGTGGTTTGGATTACTTTTCCATAAAAAGCACATGCATTGCTAACTTTCTTCCCTTAGTTACTTTGCTATCTATTTATAAAGTCTGCCATTAGGGCCAGTACTTGAGTGAAGAAAATGAAGCACTTCTTCAAGTGCAAAATGTAAGAGGGTACCAAAAAAACTTCAGTGATCCAGATAATACTTAAAAAAAAAAAAAAATTCAGGCTGGGCATGGTAGCTCATGCCTGTAATCCCAGCACTTTGGGAAGCCAAGGCGGGCAGATCACAAGGTCAGCAGTTCGAGACCACCCTGGCCAACATAGTGAAACCCCAGCTCTACTAAAAATACAAAAAATTAGCTGGGTGTGGTGGTGGGCACCTGTAATCCTAGCTACTTGGGAGGCTGAGGCAGGAGAATCACTTGAACCTGGGAGACGTAGGTTGCAGCAAGCCAAGATCGCGCCACTGCACACCAGCCTGGGCAATAGTGAGAGACTCTTTCTCAAAAAAAAAAAAAAAAAAAAAAAAAATTCAAATTAAGGCAAAAAAATCCATGGTGGACAAAGTATCAAAATTTTAAATAAAGTCAGCATGAGTAACAGTGCCATATTGTGTCTGAGGCAGAAGGGAAAAAAAAACCAAAATAGCAATTGTGATCCTGTCTTTTTAAGATTATTATTATTTACATTTTATGCCCAAAGCGAGTGACTCCCTCAGTATGCCCTAGTCCTGGCCCTGGTCCACCTCCTGGTCCACTTGAAGTTTCACTGTGCAACGGGCTGCTTGCCATCCTAACATCATCATTACAATGTTATTTCTGGCCCAGGCTTTAGAATGTGCTATGAACATTAAGAGCTAACTCAAAATGCTGTATCTAGACACACTCACTGATCCTTACTTTTTTGCTTGCCGTAAAACACAAGCACAACCAATCCCAGGCAAAGATACAAACACCAGTCACTACAGTCCTGAATTTTTTAAAGGGCCTCAACTGTGCATTGAGAATGGGGTGTGTTCATTCGTGTCTGATTACAGGTAACTTCAACATGAAACTAGACATACAGAAACCATAGCTCTGATTAATGTTATCATTTAAAACATGTACTTTACTTCTCATAGGAACCAACAACATTTGAGAAAAATCAGTGTCTAAGAATAAACTAGATAATAAATGGGTTCTAACTGGACTCAAAATAAGCCCAGAAATTGCTGGGGATAAGGGCAAGTACAGTGGTTCTGAATGTTTTTGTTAAATGATTTGGGGAAAACATGCCAAGATTCCCATTCACTCTCAGAAGGTTTGCTTGGATGTATCATTTTTACTGAAAGCAAAAGGACTCATGCTCCGCTACTTAATGGATGCATATAAAGAATTAAGTTATTTGTTGTGGAATAAAGAATTTAAGAGGAACACTGGAATATCAGAGCTCGTAATAGATGGTGAGTGCTGGTCTTCAGGGTCTACACAGTACTGTGTAAGATTCAGAATGTACCAGGAGGAAATTTCAAGTAATTTTGTCATCCATCATCATCACAAACTACAACAGCATGGTGGATGGGGAAGATATGGGCTTTGGAGTCAGACAGATTCAAGAGGAAAGTCCAGCTGCACTCTGTCCTGGCTGTCTGACCTTGGCCCTTTTTTGTGCCTGTTTCTCCAACCGTGAAATGAGCCTATTTTGCAGGCTCACCACAAGAGTGAAGCAGGACAGGACACATGCAGCACGTAGCACAGGCCTGGTGCCTGGGGCACCCTGATTAAACTGTAGTTGTTATCACTGTCAGCAACATAGGCTTTATTCAGTGTCTGAAGGTTCTCTGACCTGCAGACAGATCAATGAAGGAAATTTTATAGGGGAAAAAAAAAACAATAAAATCTGCAATTATTTACCTATGTGTGACTAGACAAAAGGGACTGATATGGTTTGGCTGTGTCCCCACCCAAATCTCGAATCGTAGCTCCCGTGATTCTCACATGTCGTGATGTCGTGGGAGGGACCCAGTGGGAGGTAACTGAATCTTGAGAGCAGGTCTTTCTCATGCTATTCTCATGACAGTGAATAAGTATCATGAGATCTGGTGGTTTCATAAAGGGCAGTTCCCCTGCACATGCTCTCTCTCTTGCCTGCCACCATGTAAGATGTGACTTTGCTCCTCCTTTGCCTTCTGCCATGATTGTCAGGCCTCCCCAGCCACACGGAACTGTGAGTCCATTAAACCTCTTTTTCTTTATAAATTACCTAGTCTCAAATATGTCTTTATTACCAGTGTAAGAACAGACTAATACAGGGACTGAAGGGCCAGATTCCTGATAAAGGCAGAGCCCATCCTGTTTGCCTATATTTTCAGTGCTAAGTCCTTAAATGTGGACATTTCATTTTTATAAGAGCTCCAGGAGACAACTCTTGAGTTGAGCGACATCCCTTTAAGAAGAGGCGCTTTCCTTGCCAAAAAAGAGCAGCTGATCAAAGTCATGGTTACTATGTATGGTTTTGTTCCTGACATTTTAAAAGATCCAGAAAAGAGCTTCAAAAGTTCATCCAAAAGTGGATATAAAGTAGGTGGTGGAAAAAAGGCCATAAGAGAGCTGGAGTTATTCACCCCAGAGAAGAGAGGGTTGACAGATTTCAAAGTGCAGAGCGTTACAACACTCATGCTACTCTGTTTCCTTCATCTCCATGGAATAGAAGGGCTCCTATCAATACTTTTTTTTGGATAGATGGATGATTTCCCTTCCTGAAGACATGGGGTCAACCAGATGACCTTTTGAAATCTCTTCTAGTTCCAATCTTTGCACAAATCCAAAAGAGCAAATAGAAATCCAGCTCACCAATGTAGGGTCCCAGTAGGTTGAGGTAGCTTGGCACAGTGGAAAGAGTGAGAGCCAGGAGTCAGGCAGAGTGGCTTTGAATCTGCCTCTGAGACTCACTTGTTGGGCAAATTTATGGTAGTAAAAGAACTCAACCTTTTACTCAATGGTAGCACCAAGATCATCTCTGCCTCCTACAGTTCCTGAAAGGATTAACTAATGTTGGCAAAGCACCTAATGTGTTGACTGGCACACAGTAGGCTTTTGAAAAATTGGAGCTTTTATTCTAATTGGCAAAAGAATGGGTAGAATAGTTCCATTTAAATCATAAGAGAGCAATAACACTGTGGTTATACCACATCAGGAACATTGCAAATTCAAGTTGGCCAACTGCCTACCACTGACAACTCCTCATCCCACAGAATCCTCTCTGCAAACTAGAGCTTGTCCATGCCAAAGAATGTTTGAGGGGCAACTTATTAACTACCTTTTGCTATGAAGCAGAGGAAACCGAAGGCAAGGTCTAAAACATGTTGGTTTAAATCTGGCTTCTCTCACTGTCACCACAAGAATCAAATTAATTATTTTAAAAAGGTTTCGAATACATTTTCAAGAATAGGGAATGTATTTCACATGCCTCAAAGTTTATGTCTTGAGTACATCCCACTGAACTGTAATTCTCACTAAGTACAGTAAAAATGTCAGTCACAAAACAGGTTTGCAAACCAAACAAGTTTTGCAAAAACAAAAAAGGTTTGTAAAAGCTATAATTATGATTCCTCTCCTTCACAAATGATATAAAGGTAAAACTTGAAGTCATTAAGAAATTAAACAGCTCTCTCAGAGCCGGGAAATGTACTGGTTAGGGACCTATAGTGAATTAAAAAACTCCTACTTCTCTCAGTTTTTTCCATAAAAATGTAACTTTTTGGCATTACGTCAATGTGATATTACATATTTAGCATTTACAGAAAGATGCTGGAGTGCAAGAGAGAGGAGCTCTGGTTTTTATTCTTTAACTAGAGGTGGGGTCTGTGTCAGGACGCCTGGAGGCTGTGAGGAATTGGAAAAGGCAGAGGAAATACAAGGTACAAACATGCACACAAAGCAAGGCCCTAAGGAGAACGTGGCCAGAAACACAGGAGTGTTCCTGAAGCCCCTCAATGTTGCTCAGAGAATCAAACTTGGCTTGGGGGAGCACTTCCTGTTTCTATCAAAGGGATAATGGGTTACAGTTGACAGAACCAAATGTTACAGACAAGGGAGCAGAACAATGCACTTTGAACCGATGGAGTCACAGGAAAGAGCAGCTTATTTTTGTTGGGAGGGAACACACACGCAGGTATGGCATGTTGTATTGTAAAATGACTCCAGCTATGTCAGAGAGCTGGACGGGGCCCAGTGTGGATCTATGAAGGCCATCGTGCCATTAAATAAATGCTATGCAGGAATCTCACAAGATAATGAAGCAGCCCTTTTATTACCACCACACCAGCTTTACGCTGAGGGGTCATGTTAAATTTCGTTGTTTGAAATGAATACATTTCATTGTTGTTGTTTTCTCTTTTTTTTTCTGTTATTTTTTCACAGGTATTGACAAATGCATAAATTTCTAGTGGCAACAAACCACTGAGCTGTTGAAATAGTCTCTAGATTCTAAACCCAAATATTTCCATTAACTCATCATCAGGCTCATCATTTTCATGACACTGTTTTAGAAGTGGGGATATAAAAAAGTCCTTTGAAATCTACTGTATTTATCCTTACACTGCCTAAAGTCATCAAATCAAGCTTCCTCAAAACCATAGGTGTTACAAACCTGACTGCCCAGCAGTTACAAGCAGGTTCATTTATAATTGTTATTTTTACATGTAGAACAATTGGACAAAAGAAAAAAGCAAAATGGCACCTAAGATAACAATCAACAACATTATAGAAAGAAAAAAAATCCAGGAAATTCAAGGAAAAGAAAACTATCTATGATGTAGGATACTAAGTTCAAAAGTCCTTGTTACCAAGGGGACATTAAAATCGTGTTTTGCTTCCATAACTCTCTGAGTCCCCTTGAAAGAAAGTGGTCTAAGTCACAGATTCTTTCAGTGTGTGAAATAATTCCTGGGAATAGGGCAAACTCTTTCAGCAGTTTATTCATTATTTTAGGCCACTTAGATAAATGACAATAAAAGTCCGTTCAAAGAGCTACTGGCTTGTAGAAATAGAAGAATCTTCAGAAATGCTTATCTCAATACCAAGGAGTAATTCACGTGCTTGGAGTACCTAACTAATAAAATCCTGTAAGGTGATATGATGTTTGATGTTAAGAAGAGACAACAAGGCCATGATATCTACGTTCTACACTGAAAATGAAATGTGTTCATTTATAATTAAGTGGTAAAAAAAAAGTCTCCATTAATACAGAATTTAACAGCTATAACCCATTCATTGAGAGAGACGTTAAGTTATGGTGGCAAGGAGAGGTTGCTAAATATTTTAAGGCACTTTGACCATGTTCCTACCCATATTAATGTCCTTCTAGAGGAGTTTTCCCATTACTAGATTTTTTTCTCCTTTTTAAAAAAATAAACGTTAGTGTTTCTGTTCATTTTGGAAATATGTCTTGCGAAGGACTTTGGAGATATTTTTCTTTCTTTTTAAAAATGACCTTCTAATAAAAATAATAGACTTTTCAGATAACACAAAATCCAAAGCAAATAACATTAGACTCTGCCAATATGGTCATGAAAAGACCAAACAGTCTTTCTGAAGTAGGGTGACCAAGTGCCAAAATAACTTAAAACATTCTAACAGAAGGCAAGTGAAGTGTTACTCAGAGAACCAGCAATCAAAGCAGCCCGCAGTTGGAGGGTGTTACAGAATCCTAATCTAGCAAACCTTCCAGCTTGACCACTGGTTGTTTTCAACACAGTACTTCCTCATTGGCAGGGCACGCTTCTTTTCTTGACATCAGGAAACAATACCATTTTTTTTTCTTTTCCTTTTCTTAGACACAGTGCAGAACCCAGCACATTTCAAGGCCATATGATGTGGTTTTTGTTGATTTGTAAACCCGCTGCTGGTTTTGAAAAGGAAATTGCATTCAAGCTCAACCACGCTGTACTAGTCTTGGTTTACCTGCCATATGCAAAGCGTCTGTCTTTGTGATGATCACCAAAAGTATCCCAAAGCCTGAGAGAAACACTCACTTCATCAACAACATCCCGAGAACGCTCCAAGACCTGCAGGAGAGAGAGAGAGCATCTGTGCTCGGTGTCAGTCAGAAGTTCCCCAGGAGAAGCGTGTTCAAGTCAGCACCCTCAGTGCCATCAATTCACTTGCATTAAGTTTCCTTATTCTATCTGACGGGATTTAAGCTAAGTCTTAATTCCCTTCCTGGAATCATCTGTCTCAACCCTCATTCAGGATACCAGAGCCACAGTCTCCGGTTTGCATTTTGCTTTTGTTTTCTCTCGTGGCACTAAAAAGGTTAGTTTTGTTTTGAATGTGTAATTTATCCACGCTCCTCCTTTAGAAAAAATCAGACTGGCAACCAGCAATGATGTGCCCTAGGGATGCTGAAGACACTCTGTGCATCTTACCTCCTGGCACACGCGGTACTGGTCAATCGCCCACACTGTTGGCACGTGGGTGGCCAGCAGCTGATACTGCGTGAGTGTGGTGTTGCACGCCCTGGCACAGATCAAGCGCGTCTTCCCCACGGCATTGTCACCCACGACCACACATTTGATAGTTTCAACGTTGGGTCTTTCGTAGTCCATGTCAGCGTCCATTTATGAAACTCTGTAAGAAGAGAGTGAACACCACAGTAAGGACACCAAGGCTTTCCAGAGCAATCAAAGACGTAAGAGGTTCAGGGAGTTTTGCCTTCGTCCAGCCACTTCCTTGGAGGTGCACAAGCACAGGAAAGAATGTTTGGAAGTTCGTACTAAGCCTAATTGACACTCAAGTTTTCTTTTTATATCTCACACAAGTACAAAAACATGGGACTGTTATTTTGACCCCAAACAGTTTATTCCCGTTAACTGTTATTTTCTCCTTGGTTTTCTCTAAACACAACCTGCCTACTGGAGCTCCATTCAGCCACTGTCGGGACAGCTGGCACACATTTATAGCCTACTGGATACTCACGTTGGCCTGCTAGCAAGTCCGGTCACCTGTAGGGCTGAACTTCAACATTGGGCAATAGGTAGCCTTGGCAATGCTAGCATCTACTTCATCACAAGATCGCTCATTAGCCAATATCTGTTGTTGAAAAGCAGTTTTCTATAGGTTCAAAACTGTTATGGGGACTTAGAGAATAATCAAAAGTGCAGGCTGAAAGACTACCTGATGTCAAAGAAGAGTAAACTGCTAAGTCTAAATTTAATCAAATTAACTTATATTTATTTGTATTAATCAAATTCATAATTCATAAATATATATGTGTGTGTGTATATATATGTGTATATATATACACACACACATATATATATGTATATGGAATCTCACGCTGTCACCCAGGCTACAGCACAAGCACAGTGGTGCAATCTCCACTCACTGCAACTTCTGCCTCCTGGGTTCAAGCGATTCGCCTGGCTCAGCCTCCTGAGTAGCTGGCATTACAGGTGCCCACCACCATGCCCGGCTAATTTTTATATTTTTAGTAGAGATGGGGTTTTACCATGTTGGCCAGCTGGTCTCAAACTCCTTATCTCAAGTGATCTCCCCACCTTGGCCTCCCAAAGTGCTGGAATTATAGGCATGAGCCACCATGCCTAGCCTTAAAAAAGATATTCTTGAGGGCCCACAATAAAGCAAGATTCAAAAAAATTATCTTCTGTGTTTTCATCAAGAAATCTGGAACATATGGCAAAGAATAATTTTACCAGGAGAGTTACTTTGGAATCTTCCTGAGACCATCCAAGAAGGTTTAAACAGGGCTGCTGATGAGAGGCCAAGAGGAAGAAAAAAAGCACCTGCCAGCTTGGTCTCCCCAGGGACAGGACCCTCCACAAACAGGGGTGCAGGCTGCTTACCAGTAGCAGCTGGACAGGAGGCCAGCCATGTATGATTTTAAGATTTTAATTAATTGTAATTGCCTTTTTGAGGGAGTCTATTGTTAAACTAATAAGAACAGATGCTACACTTGATCTTAGCCAAAAGGCTGACAAGCAATGGAAGTCCATTGTTAAACTGAGAAAAGTGGGTGGGCGGTCATTTTTAAGGAGTCAGTAATGATTTTAATGGCTATGGTAAAGAAACTGTTCAGAGTAAAGCCTAATACATAATTGGGACTCAAGTGTTTGTTTAATTCATCTGATTGAGAAAAATGATAACTTGGATAATGAGATTAAGGGCATTGACAAGGATATATAGAAAGAATATTAAGAAGAATTCTTTTTCACAGTTAGGACTATTGGAACATGGACTGTCTCAGAAGTGAAGGGTATGGAACTGTCGACTGTAACGCCATCACAGGAGGTGTTAAAGCTGAGGCTGGAGAACGATTTGGCAGGAATGGAGTAGAGTGATTCAAGGAACAGATATGTGCTTAGGTTAGGATTAGATCTGTAATTCCTACACTGTGGAGAGGCTCAAAACAGTCAGATACCTGTCCACCTGACACATACTTATCCTGAACATCCTGGGTGGGGAAAAAGAGTCTTTAAAAATCTCCAATTCTGATGATCGGCCAGGCATGGTGACTCCTAAAATTGATTTCTTGAAAATTCAGTTTTAAACTTCTATGGTTTTCTTAGTTACCCATCTAACAGTATAACATAGCAAAAGCATGAATTTGGTGTTAGATTGGTAGGTCCTAAACAAATCCCAGGGAACACTGCAGTGTCTGGAAACGTGTCTGGTTGTCACTTGGTGGGGGGTTGAGGAGGGAGTTCTGCTTCTAGTGGGTAGAAGATCAGAGACACTGCTGCTATGCACAAGACAACACCCCACAACAAAGAATTACCCAGCCCCAAATGTTACAGGGCTGAGGTTGTGAAACCCTGCCTTAGAAGGATGTGAGTTTGAATCCTAGCTCCCCCATTTTCCAGTCATTGGACTTTGGGCAAGTTGTTTGTACTTTCTGAGCCTCAGTCTCCTCATCTGTTAAGTGGGTATCATAAAAATACTCATCTCCTAAGGTTGTTGTGAGGATTACGTGAACTGATGAATTAAGTCCTCAGTGCCGTAACTGACACACTGATGGTTTCAAAAATTATAATCATGATGCTGAAGACGAATGTCTTCAGATGACAACAAAATTGAGTCAGGAGGAAGGCCAGAATTAGATGCAAACTCATAAACCTAATAATGACAAAGATCTATAAAAAGGATACAACTTGGAAGAATTAACCAAGCAGTAACTCACTGAAAATTAAAGAATACAGAAACAAGATGTGGTGTAGCTGATCTTAAGCAAAGAAGACAGAAAAAGTTTTGGGTGTGGAGGGGGCAGGGAGGAGGTCACAGTTAATGAGAAGATAATAGAGTTGGAAAGATGGGTTAAAAATGCTTGTCTGAGGCATTTCTCAATTCCAGAATAAAAATAGTAATACCTAACCCTCTTCGACAAGTTTCTGGTTACATTAGCATGGGGTAGTAGCCTGAATCAGAAACACAGGTTCTAGTTGGAGTCTCCCAACTTTGGAAATGGAGGTTCATTACTTTAAATGTCCTCAGTGGTGGGAAACCTTACTCTTTTAAGGGTGAATTTTTTTTATTTATTTATTTTTGATAGATAAATGTCATATAGAGCCAATCCCTAAAATTTGGGAGAATGTTTAGACTTAGTAAAAATGGAGAATGGGACACTAATAATGCAGAATTAGTTTTCTGGTAGGCTTGCAAACTAGCCCTGATAGCAGCCCCCAAGAAGGAATCCCCCAAATAAGCTGAATCATAGCAGCACTGACGGAATGGCTGTGTCGCTTTCACTGAAGATTACTTTGAGAGTAACAGGAGCCCTTCTAGTTTTGTATTAAGGCTATGATTACAAAAACTATCATTGCTTCACTTATTTTTAGACACATTTCATGAGTAGTCCTAAGAAGAATTTCTGTGTCAAAGGTGAGAATAACATCTATGGGTCCTCTAATCCCTAGCAGTCCGCTCCAGACCAAAGTGACTGCCAAAGGTGCTGACCCTTGTGCAAAAGGGATAATATGTAAGGGAAAATAAAAGGCAGGGCAGAGTTAAATATTCAGGGCCCAGATCACTTGCTCCAGATGTGGAATTTCCAGGAAGCATTCACTGAATTCCCAAATACTGAAAATCTTTTATTTGGAGTAGAAATTTCTCTTGTGGTTCTCTAAAAAGCATTTTAAGAATGTGAAATCACAGCCAAGGATGGAAACTCATGCTACAGTTGCATTGTTGTAAATCATTTGTTCATTTGTTACACATAAAGAAACATTAAATTATGGTAGTAATTATAAAAATATGCAATTTTATCCTTCTCCGCTTGTTATAGGCTCTAATTTATTCATATCTAGCATTCTGATGGTTGAGTGTACTCTTAGGACCATCTGGATAATGACTGTCTGGTTTCTGATTTTTATTTACGTAGAATGAGAGTAATAAGTATTATTCATTTAACACTATTAATAAATGTCATCACTATAAATCCTGCTGATCGATGTGGAGACCCTCTCATACTTAGATACATACCTGAGGAGACAAGGAAGGTAGAAAGAAAAAAAAAAGAAAAGCCTGAAAGAATGGACACTGGTAATCTGCTACTATGGCAGCTCTGTCATCTTACTCAAAACTGACTTGAACGTTATTTCATATTTTCACCAGTACCCGATGAATCCACTTGCACAGTATTCAGAAGTCAGAAGGGACAAGCTTATTTGAAAAATTGTTAAATAAACAAGACAGTGCAGGTGGGGAAGTGAAGGGCATGGTGGAGTGGTTCTGGTCCCCACCACTCACAAGGCTGACCTAGAAAAGCGTGATCATGCTCTTCATGGTCTACAGAATCACCCCATCTGGTCTGATCATCCTATACCTGCCCGCTATTATTGCTGTCATCTCCTGGACTTCAAGCCACTCCTCCACACTCCCTGCCCACACAGCGTTCTTGGGCCTACAGGATGGTGCAGCCCACATCCTAGTCTCACCATTTCTTCTCTCCTTCAGTGCCAGTGATCTTTACCACATTTTACTTGAGCCATCCATCCTTTTGGACACGTGCTGGATATTGTTGTCATCCAGAAACATTTTGCCTCTGAAATCTCAAATTTCAAAATTCCACTCTCAGAAAAAAAACTCCTACCTTTACAGCCTGTGCTGGATGAAATAAGGCCACGGCAGCAACTCCCATCAGGAGGTGAAATCTATTTCCCTTCCTCTTGAATTAATGCTAAGCTTCTGACTGCTTCGCCCAAAAGAATGTGGTGGAGGTGATGCTGTGTGAGGTCTAGAGTCTAGGTCTCCAGAGGCCCTGCAGTTCCACCTTCTTCCTGTTGGAATGCTGCCACAAATCCGCCATGTGAGGAAAGTGGCCTAGCCCAGCAGGGATGAGAATTCACATTGAAAACCGCTGAGGCAGCCCTGCCAATGGCTGTCACCAAGTGCTGGATAATGCAAAGCCATCTTGGACCTTCCAGCTCAGCCAATCCTACAGCTGAATGTAGTTTATGAATGAGCCCAGGTGAAACCAGCAGTGGAATCACCAGCCAACCCTCAGAATCATGAGAAATCATAAATCATTACTGTTTTAAGCCACCAAGTTTTGGGTTTATGAACCAATAGTCAACAGAAACATACCCATTAATACCTTAGGGAAATCTCCAGTACCTTCACTCCTCTATTTATTTTTAAATGTCAGATGATAGGTCCCTTTTGAATGGATGATCTTTTCCACCTAGGGATGATGGGTCATGCCAACTTTTCTCTTTACAGTCGCCCTCAATTTCTTGCATTGCATATGTGGTATGCAGAATAATAGCCTCCCTGAATACGTCCACGGAATCCGCGGAACTTGTGAATATGTTCCATTGTGTGGCATGAGGGAATAGGGTTGCAGATGGAATTAAGGTTGTTAGTCAGCCGACCTTAATATAAGCAGATTATCCTGGACTATCTATGTGGGTGCAACGCAATCACGATGGTCCTTTAAATGCGGAAGAGGTAGGCAGGAAGTCAGAGTCAGAGAGAAATATGAAGTTGCTATACTGCTGGCTTTGAAGATGAAGGAAGGGGCTGCAAGCCAGGTAATGTATGTGACCCACAGAAGCTAGAAGAGGTAAGGCAACAGATTCTCCCCTAAGGCCCCCAAAGTAACACAGCCTGCCAACACTTCAAGCTCAGTGAGACCCATGTCAGACCTTTGATTTTCAGAACTATAAGAAAATAAACTTTGTTTTATGCTACTAAGTTTTGACGTTTGTTACAGCAGCAATAAGAAACTAACGTAGCACACTTTAGCCACACAAAATGGCTTTCTCAAATTCTAAATGTTGTTTGTTACCTTTATATACACCTTTCCTTCTTGCCAACTCTCCTCCATTCCTTGTCTGCCTGGCAAATTCTATTCATTCTTTAAAACCTTATTCAGATATCCTACTGTGGCAGCTCTGTCACAAAAGCTTTCCTAACTATCCTCTAAAAAGCTTTTCTAACTACCCCCTTAGTCAGCTTCAGCTGCCATAACAAAATACCATAGACTAGGTGGCTTAGCCAACAGAAATTCATTTCTCACAGTTCTGGAGGCTGGAAGTCTGACAGCAGGGTGCTGGTGTGGCTAGGTTCTGGTGAGGGCTCTCTTCCTGGCTTGTAGGCAGCTGTCTTCTTGTGGTGTCCTCACATGACAGGCAGAGACACAAAGCTCTGGTGTCTCTTCCTCTTCCTAAAAGGGCACTAATCTCATCATGGGGCTCCACCCTCATGGCTTTATCCAAACCTAATTACCTCTCCAACAGCCCGCCTCTTAATACAATCACATTGGGGGTTAGGGCTTCAACATATGAATTGGGGGAGGGGGCAGACATTCACCCTGTAGCACTATCTCTGTGCCTATACACACGCCACTCCTTCTTACCAACCCTCCTCCATTCCTTGTCTGTCTTGCAAATTCTAGTCATTCCTTAAAACCTTACTCAGACATCACCTCCCCTGGAAAGATTTCCTAACTAACCCTCCACCTCATAAACTAATTTACTTTTTTCTCTGTATCAATAAAGAGTTCTAGCAGAAGCAATTACAAACAAAAACAAATGTACACGCATCCATACACACATTTTTTTCTTATATTAACAAATCATGGAATGGTAGCTTGTGAATCTGTGTGCATGTGTGTGTGGTTATACCTTCAAAGTGCCCATTTCATACACTGAACGAATCATCAAGTGTTTGTGGGGCATAGCTATTTGCTACAGTGCTGGGAATATATGCTTATACAACACCCCTTTTCTGCAAAGCCTTTCTTGACTACCCCTCTGGTCCAAAGGTCCCCTAATTTAATGGTGACTCTCTCTGAGGGCAACCCATTGGAAAAATAGGGACAGAGCCAAATGTGACCTTAGTTAGCCTGGTCTCCTCTTCAAATCATTTCCCTTCCTTTGGTGGTACCCCAACCCAACCTTCAGTCTTTGCCTTGATGACCTTCATGGTGTTCTGTCCCTCTCTTATGAAAGAGACTCCCAGGAAGTTCTGCGCATGCCCACTCCCTCACTCACAAGACACCTAGAAGACCTCTGGAGTTCTGCCCCCATAACTCAATAACTCAGGGCACTGTGGCTGATGTACTTGTTTGCTCAGACAGGCGCACTTCAGTGTAGGGCCACTAATTGATTTCAGGCAAGCGTGCAAGACTCCTCTAACATTAGAAATTCAGAAATTAAGATGAGTGGGTAGGAAGAGAGTTATCACTTGTCTAAGAAACCCCACTAGGGGTCTCCTAATTGCTGTGAATCATCCCGCCATTGGAATATGCTGCATCTTATCACTTACACTATGTCTCTTGTTATATTTGCATTTCTTTTCTTTTCTTTTTCTTTTTTTTTTTTGAGATGGAGTTTCACTCTTGTTGCCAGGCTGGAGTGCAATAGCGCAATCTTGGCTCACCACAAACCTCCACCTCCTGGGTTCAAGCAATTCTCCTGACTCAGCCTCCCGAGTAGCTGGGATTATAGGCATCTGCCATCAGGCCTGGCTACTTTTTTATTTTTAGTAGAGATGGGGTTTCTCCATGTTGATCAGGCTGGTCTCAAACTCCTGACCTCAGGTGATTCACCCACCTCGGCCTCCCAAAGTGCTGCGATTACAGGCATGAGCCAACATGCCTGGCCCTATATTTGCTATTTCTATCAAGGCATGGTGAGCAGTCTGCTTAAAGACAAAAATTGAAGGCCCATGGAGGGACCTTTGTAGTCTTATCTCCATTTAGCTGTTCACAGACAGTCTGAATGATGCTATTGCACGGACACTACATTTTCTTATTCCTCCCAAAAGCATATAATCTGAACTTTAAGAAGTAATTTAGCTCAGCCATTAAAAAATACTAGTGCAACAAATTTTAGTGTATTCAAAGAGTTAGCCCTGAAATAAAAAACTGACAATTTTATATTATTGACAGGAAAAAAGGAAAATGTTAAAAGTTGCATAATAACTATAGCCAACAGCCAAGTTTCGATTGTGCAGATTTCATTATTCTGAGCTTTTAATCAGCAGTTGTAGGTAGGTGGGAGCTGTTTCATACATAAAATAAACATCTCAGCTGGAATAAAGAATAGACCCAGAGCCGGGAAAGAGATGCAAGGGCTGGGCTGGACTTCCCTGAATCAAAACTTCACAGAATTATATCTCCAGGATAACATTGCCTTCCACCATTTAAATCAACAGAATTCATTGTTGTAATCAACATTATTTTTTCAATGGACTGTTTTGATTAAAAAAGAAAAGAGTAAGTAACAGAAAGGATGCTGCATAGAAGTCTATGGATGCAAATACTACAGAACCACCTGCTGATATGAAAGAAGCACTTTTTACTACATCCGCTCATGATTCTCACCAGGGCTCTCTGACAGTGGAGACCCACAGAAGATCGTGCTCTCTATGCTTTTAAAACTCAAGATCAGTGGGGGAGATGAACCAAGATTAGAAACCAACCTTCTTTTCTACCTTATGTGCTGTTCTTAATAAACATTGCCCTCATTGAAAAAATAAAGACTTCATTTATTTCTTGAAAAAATAAACCAAAAATTTAAAAGATGCATGAAAATTCCAGGGCAGATTTCAAAACCACCATAAGTGAACTGTGTGCTGGGTTCAGACACATGGGTCTACTTTCTTCTACAAATACACCAGGGAACCTCTCCTTTGACAATTTGCCTATGTCATTACTTCTGCACAAAGGCCCTTTCCTCGTGCCCTTAACTCACCTGCTGAAATTTTCTCACTAAGGCAGTCTTAATTTAAAAATTACATGCTAAGCACTGAATGAGTGCCAGGCCTATAGGTGTACAGTGAAAAGCAAGCCAGCGGTGGTTCACAGTCAGGTGGAAAGAAACAAGTAAACAGGTAGACAAATACATCATCACAAATTTGGGGGGTCCTTGAAAAAAACCAAAGGATGTCGAGAAAAAATAATGGATGGGAAGCCTGAAGGGCAGACTGGGTGACCTGTCTGAAGAGGCCTCATTCCTGCCATCTGGAGAATGAGAAGGGCCCGTTCAAGAGATGGGAGAGGAAACAGGCCTGAAGAGCCCGAGGGATAGGAAGTGGGGAAGCCGGAAGGTTAGAAAGGTAGGTGGGGATAGATCATACTCAGCCTTTCAGGCCATAGTCAGGAGTTTGGATCTTATTCTAAATGCAGTGAAAAGCCACTGCAGTGTTTAAGCAGAAGTGTGGTAGGTTCTGATTTGCTTTTTTTTTTTTTTTAAGTTTTGTTTTGTTTTGTTTTGTTTTGTTTTGAGTCAAAGCTTGCTCTGTCACCCAGGCTAGAGTGCAGTGGCACAATCTCGGCTCACTGCAACCCCTACCTCCACCTCTCGGCTCAGGCCATCCTCTCACCTCAGCCTCTTGAGTAGCTGGGACTACAGGCATGTGCCACCATGCCCGGCTAATTTTTTGTATTTTTGGTAAAGATGGGGGTCTCACTTTGCTATCCAGGGTGGTCTTGAACTCCTGAGCTCAAGCGATCCTCCCACCTTGGCCTCCCAAAATGCTGGGATTACAGGACTGATTTGTTTTTTTTTTGTTTTTTTTTTTTTATGAGACAGTGTCTCGCCTTGTTGCCCAAGCTGGAGTGCAATCACATGATAGCTCACTGCGACCTCTGCCTCCTGGGTTCAAGTGATTCTCTGCCTCAGCCTCCTGAGTAGCTGGGATTACTGGCACCCACCATCATGCCTGGCTAATTTTTGTATTTTTGTAGAGATGGAGTTTCACCATGTTGGCCATGCTGGTCTTGAACTCTTGATCTCAGGTGATCCTCCTTCCTTGGCCTCCCAAAGTGCTGGGATTACCAGCATGAGCCACCATGCCTGATCCTGATTTGCTCTTTAAAGGAATCCCCAATATCACTGAGACTGCTGTATGTACAGAGAACATGTCATGAGGGCAGGGGTGCAATGGCAGAGGAATGGTGAGGAAGCCCTAAGTTCTCCAGGAGAGAAAGGATGGTGCCTCTGACAGGCAGAATCAGCAGAGATGCGGCCAAGTACAGATTCAAGTTACATTCTGGAAGAAGACACACTGCAAACATCCTTCCTTTACACTGTCTTTAAGAGGGTTTATCAAATTCTGATTTGTAATACTGATTATTATGTTTATATGCATTCCACTTCCACCCCACTGAGATTATAAATTTTTGGCAACAGAAATTGTTATTCATCTTTAAATCCTCAAATCTTGTCACAGTGCCTGGCCTATAGGCAGCTTTCAATAAACGTTTGTTGAATTGAATATAAAAATACAGCCACTCCACCTTTCTTAGAAAACCTTCCACCTGGGGCTGGCAGAGAACTTGCATGCAGCTATCTCTGGTGACTGATCATTAAGCCCTGTGGCCTTGAAAGCAGCAGCGTGTGGCTAAGCCTGCAGTTGGTGAGAGAAACACCTTGAGGGACATCTGTGTGGCCCATCACAAGAGCAGTGTTTGACAGATGGCATTGCACCAACCATTGCTCCCTAACAGGAAGTGCATCAGTAACCATGGGAGCCACCAGAGACCAAAGGCCACACCCTTTCACCAAATGGGAAGGTGGTGGTGGGGAGGAGAGCCCCAGTAATTGCAGGCAGGAGGGGCATAGGATTGGATTGGATTTAGAAAAACAAATGAGTGCTTGTTTATTTTGTTCTAGTTTCTAGAGCCGATTTATAAATGTTAATAATATTTATATATAAGGGTCTCATAAAGTTCTCATCCACTTTTAGACTTAAACATCCTAATTCAAGGGATTCTCAGCGCTTTTTGGTGAGTCACTACTTCGCTGGAAAAGAAAGGAAAAAAGGGAGGCACACGTACCCATTACATATGGATAATGATTTATAACTAATATGAAAGTGAGTCTTGAATAAACGAGTTCACTCTATGCCCAAAAGAGCCACACCACAAAATGCAATTAGCTGCACTTCAAGGCAAGATGGCAATGAAGGCACTGATGCCTTGAACCCTCCTTTACCATCATCTCATTGCAAGTAGCCTTAGTCTGTATGGAGCCTCTACAACAGTACCAGAAACTAAGGGTGAAAAGTAACCACATACCAGAAACTGGAAGGATTTCCGCCAAATTCACTTCCATGGAGCCAAATGATAACACCACTGATGACCAGCAGACTGCCATGTCCACGGGGAAAAGAATTGGCCCAGGAAGTAGGGAGACATTCTTCACCACAGATGCCCATAATCTGGAGTAATGAGAGCCACACTGACTTGGGACCAAGGTGAAGAGAGAAGGGTGGAGGAAGAAGGTTTCCCAGTGGCTCCAATAGGAAACCAGCCTGCTGCTATCAGCATGGAGTGAGCTTGCTGACCATCCCTTGCTGAGGATGGACCAGGTAGAGAGAACAAAGTATGGAAAAAGATTCTCTCTGTTCTGCTTTTGCTTCCTCCAGCCCACTCAACCAGACCCTTTCAGTTTTGACCCTATGATAGAACTGATTGATCTTCTGGGGTTAATCCAAGAAGGAGTCAGGTGAGGGGGTGCTGCCTCTTAAGACTGAACATTAGTATAACTTCCATGGTCACATTCCTCACTGTTGTCCTTAATTCACCCTCAAAGGTTCTCTCAACTCACATTATATTGAGTAGCTTTGCTTGTCTGCTCTGGAACTGGGTGACTTCCTGGGATGCTATCATAGAGCCCTACCTTGATCTTTCACAGAGCCTATGGTTATCCAAGTATTTGGAATATACTTCAATCCTTGGCCTTTGTGAATCCTTTTGTGTATGGATAGTGTAAACAGAGACCATTCAACATATGACCTATTAAAAACCTTGAAGCATAGACATGTACAAGCAATTACCTAAAGGCACAGAAAACAGGTGTTCCACTTAGATAAACATGCTATATAAAACAGCAGAAAAAAACTTCAAACATCTGATTCATGTACTTAACCATGTAAAAGAAGATAATGTACATTTATAAACTAATAGCAGATGAAATTATAAGTAGTTAATGAGACAAGATAAAGACCAAGTACAAATGAAATATAAGGTCACCAAATTGAAAGCCGTGCTGGCAACAGTACATAGTAGACTTGAAAATGTTGTAAAATTAATTAGTGAGGTACAGGTCAAGCCTAAGAAGTTCTCTCTAAATACAGAAGTAAAGACAATCTTTCTTTGTCTTTACTCATGATTGACCAAAGACAATAAAGAGACTGACTGTCAAAATGCAATCTCTTGAATAGTATGCGATATGGTTTGGTTGTGTCTCCATCCAAATCTCATCCTGAATTGTAGCTCCCCTAATTCCCATGTGTTGTGAGAGGGACCCAGTGGGAAATAATTGAATCATGGGGGTGGTTTACTCCATACTGTTCTCGGGATAGTGACTAAGTCTCACAAGATCAAGATCTGATGTTTTTGTAAAGAGTTTCTGCTTTCACTTGGATCTCATTTTTTTCCTTGTCTGCCTCTCACCTTCCACCATGATTGTGAGGCCTCCTCAGCCACATGGAACACGAGTCCATGAAACCTCATTTTCTCTATAAATTACCCAGTCTTGGGTATATCTTTATCAGCCATGTGAAAATGGATTAATATAGTATGTGTTCCTGAAGAACTGAGGAGCGGAGTGTGATTTAATAGAACAAAATGTTCCCACTACAAAAAAGAGGAAGGAGCAGGGAAAAGCAAGGAGGAGAAGAAGGAGGAGAAAAACAATGGAAGACTCCAAATCTGTGTATTTTTTTTCAGTAAAATGTTTACATATCAATGACAAACAAATTGTACAAGAATCCCATTGTATCTTATCAAAATGTCTTCCAAAACTAATGGACACAAACCCTCTCCATAAAGAAATAATGATACGAATGACTATAAATTTCACCAAGACACTATTTGAAGACGATTTTAAAAACATGTAACAGAGACTTAAGGATGGAAAAAGGTATTCCATGCAAATAAAACCCGCCAAAAAAGAGCAGAATTAGTTATATTTATATCAGATAAGATAGATTTCAAGACAAAAACTGTAAAAAGAGACAAAGAAGGTCATTATATAATGACAAAGGGGTCAATTAAGCAAGAGGATATAGCAGTCAACACTCGAGCATCCAGATATATAAGGCAAATATTATTAGAGCTAAAGAGAGAGAGAGAGAGACCCTGATATAGTAAGAGCCAGGGACTTCAGTATCCCACCTTCAGCATTGGAAAGATCATCTAGACAGAAAACCAAGAAAAAAACATCAGACTTAGTCTGCACTATAGACCAAATGGACCTAACAGACATTTACAGAACATTTCATCCAACAGTTGCAGAATACATATTCTTCTCCTTAGCTCATGAAACATTCCCAAGGATAGACCATATGTTAGGCCACAAAACAAGTCTCAAAAATTTTTAAAAAATTATATCCAGTATCTTTTCTGACCACAACGGAATAAAACTAGAAATCAATAACAAGAGGAACTTTGGAAACTTTATGAACACATGGAAATCAAACAATATGCTCTTAGATATAGTTTGGGTACTTTTCCCTGACCCAATCTCATGTTAAATTGTAATCCCCAATGTTAGAGTTGGGGCTTGGTGGCAAGTGTTTAGATGACGGGGATAGATCACTCATGAATGGCTTGAGCCATCCTCTTGGTGATAAGTGAACTCTTGCTCTCAGTTCACACAAGATCTGGTCATTTAAAACTGTGTGGCTCCTTCCCTACCCCATGCTCTCTCTCCCTATTGCTCCTCCTCTGGCCATGTGACATTCCTGCTCTCCTCTTACCTTCCACCATGATTATAAGCTTCCTGAGGTCTCTCCAGAAGCTGAGGAGATGCCAGCACCATGCTTCATGTAAAGACTGCAAAACCATGAGCCAATTAAATCTCTTTTCTTTATAAATTATTCAGTCTCAGGTATTTCTTTATAGCAATGCAAGAAAAGACTAATATGCTCCTGAATGAATGTTGAGTCATTGAAGAAAGTAAAAAGAAACCTTAAAAATTTATTGAAATAAATGAAAATACAAACACAACATTCCAAAACCTATGGAACACTGCACAAATGGTACTCAGAGGAAAGTTTATTGCAATAAATGCCTATATCGAAAAAGTAGAAAAACCTCAAATAAACAACCTTATAATATATCGTAAAGAACTAGAAAAGCAAGAGCAAACTAAACCCAAAATTAGTAGAAGAATTAATAAAGATCGGAGCAGAAATAAATGAAATTGAGATAAAAATAGAAAAAATCAACAAAATGAATTTTTTTGACAAGATAAGTAAAATGGACAAATCTTTAGCCAGACTAAGAAAAAAAAGAAGACCCGAATAAATAAAATCACATATAAAAAAGAGATGTTACAACTGATACTGCTGAAATTCAAAGAATCATTAGAGACCATTATGTATAACTATATGTCAATAAACTGGAAAACCTAGAAGAAATGGACAAATTCCTAGACATATACAGCCTACAAAGATAGAGCCATGAAGAAATACAAAATCTGAATAGACCAATAGCAAGTAACCAGATTGAAGCAGTAATAAAAAGTCTCCCATCAAATAAATGGCCAGGACATAGTTGGGCGTGGTGTCTCACACCCGTAATCCTAGCACTTTGTGGGGCCGAGGCGGGCAGATCACTTGAGGTCAGGAGCTCAAGACCAGCCGGACCAACATGGTGCACCCCGTCCCCCGTCTCTACTAAAAATACAAATATTAGCCAGGTGTGGTGGCACATGCTACTAATCTCAGCTACTCGGGAGGCTGAGGCAGGAGACTCACTTGAACCTGGGAGGCAAGGGTTGCAGTAAGCTGAGATCGCACAACTGCACTCCAGCCAGGGCAACAGAGCAACACTCTGTCCAAAATAAATAAATAAATAAATATGGACAAGACCTGATGGCTTCACTGCTAAACTCTACCAAACACTTAAAGAAGAATTAATAGCAATCCTACTCAAGCTATTTCAAAAAATCAAGAAGGAAGGAATACTTCCAAACTTATTCTATGAGACCAGTGTTATCCTGATACCACAAGCAGACAAAGACACAACAAAGAAAGAAAGCTATAGGCCAATATATCTAATACACATAGATGCAAAATTCCTCAATATAATGCTAGCAAATCAAATTCAACAACACACTAAAAAGATTATTCATCATGATCAAGTGAAATTCATCCCAGGGATGTAAGGATGGTTCAACATATGCAAATCAATAAATGTGACACATCATCTGAACAGAATGAAGGAAAAAAACAATATGATCATTTCAATAGATGCCAAAGCAGCATTCAATAAAATTCAACATCCTTCATGATAAAAATTCCCAAAAACCTGGGTATGGAAGGAACATATCTCAACACAATAAAAGCAATATACAACAGACTGGCAGCTAGTATCATACTGAATGAGGAAAAAGTGAAAGCCTTTTTTCTAAGATCTGGAAGAAGACTAGCATGCCCACTTTTACCACTTTTATTCAACATAATACTAGAAATTCTAGTCAGAGCAATTGGACATGAGAAAGAAATAAAGGACATTCAAATTGTAATGGAAGAAGTCAAATTATCCTTGGTTGCAGATGATATCTTATATTTAGGAGACACTAAAGATCCCACAAAAAACTATCAGAACTGATAAATAGTAAAGTTTCAGGATATGAAATCAGTATACTAAAATAAGTAGCATTGCTATATGCCAACAATGAACAATATGAAAAAGAAATCAAGAAAGTAATCCAATTTATCATAGCTACAAATAAAACAAAATGCCTAGGAATAAACTTAACCAAAGAAGTGAAAGTTACCTACAATGAAAGCTATAAGACATTAAGGACACAAAAAATGGAAAGATACTCCATGTTCATAGATGGGAAGATCGATATTGTTACAATGCCCATACCACCCAATGCAATCTACAGATTCAACTGACTCAAGTGTTAATCTCCTTTGGCAACACCCTTACAGACACACCCAGGATCAACACTTTGCATCCTTCAATCCAGTCAAGTTGACACTCAGTATTAACCATAACAGCTAACCTGAGCAAAAAGAATAGAGCTGGAGGCATCACATTATCTGACTTCAAATCATACTACAAAGCTATAGTAACCAAAAAAGCATGGGACAGTCATAAAAACAGACACACTGACCAATGGAAGAGAATAGAGAACCCAGAAAAAAATTCCCACATTTACAGCCAACTTATTTTTGACAAAGGTGCTGAGAACATACACTGGGGAAAAGGCAGTCTCTTCAATAAATGATGCTGGGAAAACTGGCTATCCATAAGCAGAAGAATGAAACTAGACACCTGTCTCATGCTGTATACAAAAATTAAATCAAAATAGATTAAATACTTATATCTAAGACCTCAAACGATGAAACGATTATAAGAAAATATTGAGGAAACACTCTAGGACATTGGGCTGGACAAAGATTTCCTGAGATCTCACAGCAAAAATGGACAAATGGGATTACATCAAGCACAGCAAAGGAAACGGTCAATAAAGTAAAGAGACAATCCACGGAATGGGAGAAAATATTTGCAAATTACCCATCTGACAAGGGATTAATAACCAGAATATATGAGCAGCTCAAACAACTCAACAGAAAAAAAATCCAATTTAAAAATGGCAAAGGAACTGCATAGATATTTCTCAGAAAAGGATGTACAAATAGCCAACACATATGAAAAAATGCTCAACATCATTCGTCATCAGAGAAATGCAAGTGAAAACTACAATAAGATATAATCTCACCGCAGTTAAAATGGCTTTTATGAAAAAGGCAATAATGATTGCTGGTGAGGATGTACAGAAAGGGGAACCCTTGCAAGCTGTTGCTGAGAATGCAAATTAGCACGGCCATTTTGGAAAACTATATGGATGTTCCTCAAAAACTAAAAATCAAACTATCTTATGAGCCAGTAATCCCACTGATGGGTATATATCCAAAACAAAAAAAAAAAGAAAATCAGTATATCAAAGCGATATCTGCATTCCCATGTTTACTGCAGCACTACTTACAATAACCAAGATATGGAATAAACCTGTGTCCATCAGCAGATGAATGGATAAGAAATCCTGTTGTTTGAAACAACATGGATGGAACTGGAGGATATTATGTTAAATAAAATAAACCAGGCACTAAAAGACAAATATTTCATGTTCTCACTCATATACAGGAGCTCCAAAAAATTTGAGCTCATGGAAGTAGAGAATATAATAGAATGGTGGTTAGCAGAGGCTGGAAAGGGTAGTGGAAAGGGGAGTAGAAAGGGGATGGTTAGTGGGTAAAAAATACAGTTACATAGAAGGAGTAAGATCTAGTGTTTGGTAGCACAATGGGGCAACTATAGTAAATTAACAATAATTTATTGTATAGTTAAAAATAACTAAGAGTGAAATTGGAATGTTTCTAACACAAAAAAATGATAAATGCTTGAGGTTATGGAAACCCCAATGTAGTAGTCTGTTCTCACATTGCTATAAAGAATTGAGAATGGGTAATTTATAAAGAAAAGAGGTGTAGCTGACTCACAGTTCTACAGGCAGTACAGGAAGCATGGCTTGGGAGGCCTCAGGAATCTTAAAATCATGGTGGAGGGTGAAGGGGAAGCAAGCATGTCTTCACATGGCAGCAGGAGAGAGATACCAAAGGGGTAAGTGCTATACACTTTTAAACAATCAGATCTCCTGAGAACTCCAATATGAGAATAGCAAGGGGGAAGTTTGCCCCCATGATTCAATCACCTCCCACCAGGCCCCTCCTTCAACATGTGGGGATTATAATTGGATATGAGATTTGGGTGGGGACACAGAACTAAACCATATCACCCAATTACCATGATTTGATTATTACACATTTTATGTTTGTAGCAAAATATCACATGTACCCCATAAATATGTACAACTAACATGCATCCATAATAATTGAAAATGAAAAATTAAAAAAACAGATTCTTGAAAGAAAAAGGACATAATAATACATTTCTGACTTGGGCCAAATTGATATTTATACGAAAGCAACATAAAGTTGTTCTTAGATATCAAAGACTCAGGTCAAAAACCCAAGTTCCCTTAAGGAAACTGCTCAAAGATACTAGCGAAAACACCTAGAGATAATTGAAAATTAAATACTAAAAACAAACAAACAAAAGGTACCCAGGCTTTAAAGAACTATGGAAACCAAAGCCAAAAAAATGTAAGATCATCCTACATAGTTATTTTGAATTTAGTTACAAAATGGTATAGAAAAATTATCTGCCAGAGATAATCTAGAAGGTTACAAAAGGCCAATTCATAATAGAAGTAACATGAACCTTCATAGACCAAAAAGCATATAATAAAATGAAGAAAACTTTTTAAGTATAAGGAGAAATTCACAACAATAACAAATATATGGAACAAAAAATCAGAATAAACCAATGTCAGATTAAGAAAGTGAAATAAACAACACATGGAGGATCTGAATAACAAATACTAAGGCTAAATTAATAAATATCCCACATTTTTTAAACCTACAAAAAGACAGCTTTCTTTCAAGTGTTCTTGGCACATTTAAAAAGCTGACCACATACTGGGCCATAAGGCCCCAAATCCCCCAAAGTGTAAATTGTTGTCAACCAAATTCTCTGGCTGCAAAGAAGTAAATGAAACAATTGAAAGGAAAAGCTCTATAATATGAACAAAAAAATCTCAACCCTTGGAAATTAAGAAAATACTTTCTAATATATCCATCTAAGGTAACAATTTTATAAATGGGAAATGTTTTAAAAGCAAATATATTTACCACATCTTTAAGAAAAAAAATGAAAACAACCTATGACAAGTGAGGGAATGATTAAGATACTTGCTAAGTGATTTTAGGCAAATTAATCTGTCGGAGCCTCTATATTCTTATCTGTGAACTGGGGATAATTATCTCCTTCCACGGATTGTTGTGAAGATTATATTAGATAATGCTTGTGAAATATTTCAATCTCTGTGCTTGGTATCAAGAGAACATCAGTAAGTCTTATCTATTAATATTGTCATAGAAGTTATGCTTATGATGAGTTTGCAATAATCCAGAGAAATGCTGCTATTATTGAGGGGAAAGTGTGGAATAGTAATGTGAAATACATTCGACTGAAACAACAGTAAATAAGTATGTGCAACCCAAATAAAATTGGGCCTCATGCATTCACATGAAGCACTGTCTTAGCAGAGTGACATAGCAGAAAGAAACACAAACTGATTCTTGGAAAGCTGTGAACCATGTAGCTGCTTATGAATAGAGAGGCATGGCTTACCTCACCTATTATGCACCTTACAGTGAACCTCCTAAAAAAGTCTCTTTGAAATGTTTCCCTCTGGAGTCTCACCTTTCATGGCAACTGCTCAAATCTGTCTTTCTGCCTCTCAGGACCTGGGATCTCTTCCCTTCAGGTTCTTCTTCATCCCTTCTTACAGGGCTAGCCATCATTCTCTGCTTGTCTTATTGGCATTCCCATCCATTATTCCCTCCGACAAATAAACGAATCTTTCTTGGGACCTGCCCTTTTTTAAGGGGGTTGGGTTGATTTTAATATGTGACTATTTAACATTTAATAACTGTATCTCTGTCATGTAACAGGAAGCAATATTGAAGTCTTCCCTCTGCAACAACAATACATGAAAAACAAAACAAACTGAAAGGAAATACACTAGAAAGCAACAGTAATTGTTGCTGGACAATGAGGCTATAACTTGTTCCTGCCATTTTCTACTTTTCTTTTGATTCCAAATTTTCTACAATGCACGTCTTATTTTTTTAAAAAAATGTGAGATAAAATCCACGTGCTACACATCTCATTCTTTTAAAGTATACAATTCAGTGGTGTTTATGATATTAACAGGGTTGTGCAACCATTCCTGCGATCTAATTCCAGAATATTTCCATTATCCCCCAAAGAAACCTTGTGCCCACTAGCAGTCATTCTTTATTCTCGTTCTCCCCAGCTCTGGCAACCACGAATCTACTTTCTGTCTCTACAGATTTTCCTATTCTGGACACTTCATATAAATGGAATCATGCAATATGTGGCCTATTGTGTCTGTCTTCTTTCACTTAGCATAGTATTTTCAATTTTCATCCATATTGTAGCACCTTTCACTACTCCATTACTTTTTATGGCTGAAAAATATTCTTAGACATATTACTTCTATAATGAGAAAGACGTTTTAGCTTTTTAAAAAACTAATGGGTATATTAAGTATAACCCTTGATTTTCACTTCTAAGAGTACACTTATACAACCCAATAATAATACATGATTTTTGATAACACATAAATTGTTTTTTCAAAACTATATGTATATATAAAGCATAGAGAGCCTGCTAAACCTGTTTCTTTCTCTGACTCAAGCTCTCACATAAAAAAAACCCCACAGGAATCAAAATGATGTTTTTCTGAGTATCAGACACAGAAATTGAACCATATAAAAAGACAGCTGTGGATATTCAGGACAAACACATACAATTCTACCTCAAACAGAAGATGAAAAATTCTTGGCTTTGAAATCTTGAGCATTCAAAAGGAATACTTATGGTAACTGAAATGAGCAATTTTAAAAAACTGGAAACAGGGCACATGAAATATTCTGTGGCAATCAATTGTAGTTAAAGATATTCTAAGCTTAGATCAATATAGCATAATTCAGTTTTACATTCATTAAGAAGAAAGTAGTTCCAGATTTGTTGGTATGCATGCCATGTATGTATTTGTGTACCTGGAAATCACAAACACATAAATATTGATGTACACTCAGTGCCCAAATTTAACATTGTAATCTTTACTTAGGCAGACGTCTACACATTTTCAGTGACAAGGGAGACACCTTGATGTAAGCTAACAGTAGCTAGCTCATATAAAGTAATGGTTCAGGCAAACATAGAATTCTGTAAATGAAGGACTTACCCTGGACATAAAATGTGAGGTGTTTCAAACACACTGAGGGTGGAGTGGGGTGGTGACCAGAAGTAGGGCACTGGTGGTGTACTGGTTCTTGATCTAGGTGCCAGTTACATAGATATGTTCAGTTTGCAAAAAGTCATCAAGCTGTACATTTGCGATCTGCATACATTTCTCTATGTGTTATACTTCAATACTTTCTTAAAGTAAAAAAAAAAAAAAAAAAAGACAGAAACAAGAAACCCTACACATGGATTTTGGAGGCCCTATCGTCCTCATGGGGGTGGGGCACATCTAAGGGCTGGATCGGGAAGCTTTGTCAAGAATTAATAATCAAAATATTGGTCAAGTCTTTAGAGATGGCAAAGATGTTCATGATACATCTTTAAATTAAAAAAGATTTAAAAATTTACAGAATAACACCACTCCTTAAAAATTATGTGCCTAAATACACACAAAAAGATTGAGATAGAGATATACTAAGCACTCATTTGAGAAAGCTAATATCAAGGCTGTAGACTATGGGTGTTTAAAAACCCATATTCATGAAGAAAAGTCTCCACTACCTTCTGTAGTAAGTTACTCACTGAAAGCATTCTCTAAAGATGTTACCGAGTTAGCTTCTGAAGCAGCAGCGTGACCACCTGCTGTGGTCTTCTGATACAATGACAATCAAGCAATTGTATGTAAACATTTATGAGACTATCATATGCTCGTTAGGACTAGGCTATGCTTTGATTCAGGCAAACAAGAAACTTTTTTCAGGTTTTCACAGCAACGTTAGACCATAAATGCAAAAGTGCTGGTGGAAAATTAACCAGACTTCTTAAGATCTCTTACTTTATTTGAAGTTATTGGCTAATAACAATGAATAGCTTCTAGCTAGTATTTTTCAGGGCATGTTCCTATACCTTCCAACTTTAGGTAGAAATTATTACATGAAAGATTGTACAATTTTAAAAAGCAGGATGAAGCACTGTTTGTGGAAGTGGAAAATGATACCAGTCTGGAGTGCGACTAGAAATTTTAAGGCAAAAGACTTTAAAATGTCATAACTTTCATCCAATTTTAAGGTTTTATTCCTGGAAAAATAATAAATGTATAGAAAAAGATTTCATTTAAAGAATGTTCATTGGCTGGGTGCGGTGGCTCACGCCTGTAATCCCAGCACTTTGGGAGGCTGAGGCAGGCAGATCACAAGGTCAGGAGTTCGAGACCAGCCTGGCCAACATAGTGAAACTTAGTCTCTACTAAAAATATAAAAATTAGCTGGGTGTGGTGGCACGTGCCTGTAGTCCAAGCTAGTCGGGAGGCTGAGGCAGGAGGCGGAGGTTGCAGTGAGCCGAGACCACGCCATTGCACTCCAGCCTAGGTGAGAGTGAGAATCCGTCAAAAAAGAAAAAAAAAAGGAATGTTCATCATCATATCACTATTTGTGGAAACAAAAATAACTTTAGAAGTCCAAACACAGGAGATGGATTAAAAAAAAACTAATATATGTCCATCAAAAATGTGTTATAGGAGTACACTCATTGTTATATTGAGATGTTCATGAACAATCTTTAAATTAAAAGAGATTTAAAAATTTACAGAATAACACCACTCCTTAAAACTTATGTGCCTAAATACACACAAAGAGATTGAGATATAGATATACTAAAATATTAATGCCAACAACTTTTTATAGGATAGGATTATAATTCATTTTAATTTTTTTCATTTTTCTCATCTATATATTCCATCTCTTCTATAGTGAACATGTGTTCTTTGTGACATAAAGAAATTTTACAAAAAAGAGGGCAAGGAGGTAGGAAAACAAGGAAATAAAATATCTTTGTGTGTGAGAAAACATTCTTCCTTCATTATGTGAAATTAACATCTACTCTTGACCTTCTCTCTGTGTACCTTAAGAACTTTATGTGAACTGCCTTTCATATGGTAGGGAACAGGCTTGCTGCTCCTGAAACCTTCTTTTCAGTCCTGAGCAGACGTCCCACTCATCAATATATCATCTTGGAGTTCCTGGTTATTCAGCTCCCTTTACTTATATCAAAGGAACTAATACCTCAATAGGCCCAACCACAAAACCTACATAGCCCCTCAGCATAGAACAATGCAACAAGGATACACCTGTTGAATGCTAGGTACAGGAACAAGACCATGGGAAAACATTCTCTAATCTTTCCAGATCAAGACATGAGACTTTGAGAGATTTCAGTAGTCATGTCAGAAGAGAGTCCCTGGTCTACTTCAAATAAATAGAGTTTAAAGAATATTAGAATCTGATATAACGGTTCATTGTTGACTTTTGTTTGATATACACAAAGGGAAACAAGTTCCTTTACTTGAAGCCTCTTTCCAGGAGCCTTAATGATCAGCTGCCAAATTTAGCCTTTGGCTCCATGTCCACTGTGTCTATTATTCTCCCATGCTTACTGAAGTGAGGCCAAATCTCATCCCTATTTAGAGAGAACAAATGCAGATATCTTGATGAAACGGAGAGCTGGTGAACGTGTATTGTAAAGAGCCAGGAGAACATACTTTAATGAATGGAAGCACATGGGCTTCATTGCTTATGTTTTAAAAGTACATTCACATGAAAGGATCAACAGCCGTGGGCATGTTATATGAGACATAGAGAGGAGGGGAAGATATAGAGAAGGCAGTCGAGATTGGCTGCTCATTAGACTCACTGGGGGATTTGTTTTGTTTTGCATACTGCTATCTGTACAAGAATGTTCTTGGCAGCACTATCCAAAACAGCCAACAACTGGAAACAACCCATCAACAGTAAAATGGATTAAAAATAATAAATTGAGGACTATTTATACAATGGAATATTATACACTACTAAAAATGAATGAACTACTGCTGCATACATTATGGATGAATCTCACAAACATAATATTGAAGCCAGGCACAAAAGAATACATAGGATATGATTTCATTTATATAAAGTCCAAAAGCAGGCAAAACTAATTTATGGTATTAGAAGTCAAGATAAGGGTTACATTGATTGGGTAGTGGCTGGATAGGGGCATGAGAAGGGCTTCTGGGTGCTGGTAATGTTCTGTTTCTGTATTTAGGTGCTGGTTATGTGAGTGTGTTCAATTTAGGAAAACTTTTTGTTATATACTGATAATTTTTTTTTAAATATAAGATATACTTCAATAAAAACGTTTTTAGTTCAGATTCCTGGGCCCTAATGTGGATCTACTAAAACTGTGGGCTCTAAGTTCTTTGAGGTATTTCAGTGTAAAGCAAGGTTGGGAATCACTACACCAGATGATCTATATGATCTGTGCAGAAGCCAGCCCCTACTAGCCCACAAGAACTAGTTGTTAAATTTTTAGGAATTTTGCAGGCCCATTAGTGCCAGTATTAAAAATTAAATTACATAAATTTACAATTAAATAAATTATACCAAAAACAAAGATAATAAGTACTCAAAATGCATCATTTTCTGGTTATTTCTATTTACTATTAACTATATTTTGAGGCTATTCATGCCAATTTTATCTATATGGTGAAAGTACAATATAATGGTGTGACACTGCATCATCTCTTTCCAACTCTGTGCTCAGCCACATCAGTAGCTTGAAATTGGCCATGGTGGGAATATTTACACCACAGAAATCAGCAGCCACTACCAATCAGTGCTTGCTTTATTGTTCTAGATCTAAGAAAATAATTTAACAGTGTTAATAATGGAGATTAAACTTTAAAGTGTGCTATATGTGTAGGTGTTACACTATGAATAGTACATTTGAAAAATATTCTTTCAGTATTAAAATTTATCATCTGGTTCAGCAAGGAAGTGATTCCCATCATGGATGAATGAGTAGAGTTCTGACGTACGTCTTTGATGTTTCACTTTTGTCTTACTGATTAACATAAAGGAAAATACCTGCCAGCATTTATATGGGAGCTGCACCCCTTAATCAACTGCAACATAGGTTGGCCTATGGATAGAAGAGTTCTGCAAAAAACAACAAAGGCATTCTGTGAGACCCAACTGGCTATATTGAATTTATAATATCAAGTATTATAGAGTTTATTATTATTTGTAAAGTGTGTACCACACATTCTTTATGTGATTAAAATTTATGTCAATTTGCGTATGCACATACATGCATTTTACTTTTTTCCAGGAGAGCTGGTTGATTTACCAGGTCATCACCGCCTACATCCCTCCTATATTTAAGATTCCATGACTCTATTATGATTTAAGAAACAAGCAAATAAAATAAGGCGGTCTGGTTATGGCCTATTAAGCATGAATTTCAGCGTAAGATATAGTAACCACTATTCTTTAGAACCTCATGACTCAAAGTGTGGTCCACAGAACAGCAGCACTGGCATCAATGGGGAACTTGTTAGAAATGCATAATCTCAGGCCCCATCCCAGAATTACTGAATCATAATCTGCACTTTAACAAGATGCCCATTTTTGTTGTATGCACATGAAAGCTTGAGCACAGCTCTAAAAGCAATTAATTCCTTGGTAAAAATAAAAACTTACATATAATCAATTTGAGATTAGTAGAAGGTTAAGGACAACATAGCAGTTGGTGAGTTCTCAGCACCTAGCCCCAGTTCAGCCACTTCATAGCACTGGGAAAGACATATACTTGCTACTTCTAAATTTGAAGAAGGACATCCATCTTGCAATATGCATTTACCAAATACTAAAAGTGAAATTGCACCACCAGGATAATATAGTCTATTCTAGGCCACTTGGATTATTACTAAAAAAGGAAGAACAGGTACAAGTATTTAAAAAAAATATCAAAGCAGTAGCTTTCTTCCGCGTATGTGATGAATTGGATGTGTTGGCAAGGACTCGGTTCCAAAAGTCCAAAGCAGGGCAGCAAGTGCCACATGAGAAAATGTGGCAGCTGGGGAGAGGAGTGCACAAAACACTTCCCAGTGATGTAATTTAGGCCAGGGTAGTTATCAAGTGCTGCAGATGAAATGGGGAAATTGTGGTGTTTATGCTTTTCCTATCAATATATCAGTCAGCAACACGTGACAAAAAGAAAAAACAGGAGCAGCATACCTCAAATACTCAATACTACAGTGAATTGAAATGAAGGTAGGAAAGTCTCATGTTTCAAAATTGAAAGCAAAAATTTTCTACTGGCAATAATATTCTCTGGAAATATTTCTTAGTTATCTGGCTGGAAATAGTGGCTTTGAGATACAAAGTTCCATGTAGAAAACACGTTAGCTACTTAGGAACAGTGTCTGGAAGAAAATGAGAGCCACAAATCTGCAAGAGAAGCTTGGTATTCGTTTGCAGCAGAAACTAAGGCAATAAAATAATTCAATGCAAGTAAACTTTGGCAACCTTAGAGTGTGAAGAAAACAAGTGTAATGGAGACTGGGCCACTGGAACCCAGAGAGACCACTCGGCCTGTTGTGTTCAAGAAAAAAAGGTTCCTATAACCATTCCTTAAAATATCAGAATTCAAATGACTCCAGTAAATTTAGAGACAAAAATGATACAACTGCCTAATATGTTAAAAGACTTTCTTTCGAGATACTCTAGGAAGGCTAAGAAGAGAGCTAACCCTTACTGAGCACCTACTATGTGCTTTACATGCATGAGGATTTTATAACATCCTCATAACCCTCTGAGGGGGGAGGGGATGCTGTTCCCATTTTACAGTTGAGGAAAGTAAGGTCATATTTCACCGAAGTTGCATAGTTAATGAAATGCCAGAGTTTGGTCAAAATGAAAAAGCATCGAACAGATCACTTAAGAAAGACAGCTTGGAAGGGTTTATGTAACAAAGACAGCTTAGAAGGGTGTTATGTTTTGAATAAGAGAAAAAGACTATTTTATCTCAGCACCACTGAAGATAAGTGAGGTTTCTCCTAGTACCCACCATATCTTTGCACGACTGGAATTCTCTTATCAGCATTTCTGGATGTACCTTGGGTTTCAGATGTATATCATACTTGCTAGTTGTATTTCAGGCTACATTGGAAGATTTAGAAGACTTGGCACTTTTCAGGCAGTGTTATGTAATGGAACTGGGCTCTGGCTGGGACTTGGAAGCCTGGGTTCAGTTCAGACTGTGTCACTTATTAACTATGAGAGTAGTCAAGTTACGTTGTTTCTCTGGGTGCCAGTGTTTTCCATCCACATGAGGTTGGGCTAAGGGTCCTTAATAAGGACATTCCTGGCTCCATGATTCAACTCTCTATGACTCAACTGTTTAAGATTGTGACAACTTCCATCAAAATACATTTAAAATGACCTAAGCAGTTAGCCAATTTATCCAGGCAAAAATGTTGTGTAGTTCAAATTTAAATACAAAATTTACAAAGTAGAAACAAACCCAGAAGAATAACTTCTATACTCCGACATCTGCAAGAGTAACCTGGAATGAAATGGTTTAAAGTGTTGTTTTTTTGGAGGGGGGGTTTGTTTAGAGCAAATATATATTCAAGTTCTTAGACAGCGTTGGGTGCAAATCCAAGCTCTGTTTCCTAGTAGTTCTTTAAAATCTCTGAGTTCCATTTCTTGCCTCTGTAAAATTGGAATTGATAATGAATATTAGCTGTAATTTAGTTAACGTGTTTGGCATCTAGTAGGGGCATAAATGCTAGTTTATTGTTATCACAGCAGTCATTAGGAGTTTGGTCTACAGTTGGGTACCAATTCAAAGGAAATTTCTCCACAGAGAGACGGAACCTGAGATCATAACCTCATTAACGCTGGGAACTTGCCATTAACCTGTGTCTATGCAATAAGTAAACTCAGGTGCAGAGTGGAGACATGTAATTGCTTTCTTCTAGACCTATTGGCATCGCTTTCTTTGTAAAACTTGCTAATTCGTTCTTTAGTGGATAAAGCCTGATCAGAGGCATGGTGATGTATTTGATGACAGAGCTCAAGAAAGTATCTGAAGACAGGAGTGTCCTGGGACATCTGGAAAAAGTGGCAGTCATACTCACACACACATCCATCATTTTTGGCGTCTTTTTGCCAATTTTCCAATTTCTGTCCTATGGGCACAAGAAACAAAAGGTGCCAGGAAGAGGAGGAAGTGGGTTCTATTTGTTTACAAACTAAAAATAAAAAAATTATGATGCTAACAAATAACTAATCTGTAAATATCCCATCCACTGGAGTGACTGCCTCTTGACCCTTCCCTTAAAAGCTTCCCCTTTCCTTTTCCTCTTCCCTGCTGCCCACACACTCGCCCATCTCCTACCCTTGTCTACACACACTTTTTGGAACTCATTTTTCCCTCCCTCTCCAAGTTTTGTTTTGGTGTTGTGATGTTGGTGGGAAGCCTGGCAGAGAAGAAAAGAGGAACAAAAGAACCACATTCAAATCACCTATGCTCTTTAAACCCTAAAACATGGAGCCAGAGGGAAACGTGAATGGCCTATTTTCTAAAAGGAAGACCAAGCGACAGTTTTAAACATTTCTCTGTTTTCTTGAGCAAAAAATGGCAGAATTTCAAATGTTTCCAGCCATTTTTAAAGAGGTAAGTCATGCATACTAACCAAAGCCTTATGAAGTTCAAAAGAGAAAACAAATGATTGCTAAATGATTATTATTAGAGATGCCATGCTAATTCCTAGATCTCTTTTGTTCATAACATTATATGATTCAAAGTATAATTTTAGTGCTTTATAGATTTATGGTTGCTTTATTGATATTTTTATTATATACCATTATCACAACTAATCATGTTGATGAGGTCTTGGCCTGTAATGGGATCTTCCCAATAATAATAGTGCTGTTATAGAATGTGACCTATTTTGTAATGATCCATTACATAACAACTTTTACAGGACAGACGTGTTATAGGACAGCTTATAATATCCCTTTAAATGCTTAAAAAATATCTTCACTAATTAAGATTTTAGAGCTATTAGCTTGAGTGGGGGTTATCAGCACATTAAAAAAGATGATATCCTAAGGTTTGCTTTAATAATTTGTTCCCCATTTCATTTTTTAGTACCCCTTTATATAAAATTAGCTAAGAAGGATTAACAACTGTTACAAATTACTCTACGAAAAGAAAGAGGGGAGAAGGGAAGTAGGGGAACAGAAGAGAGAGAAGCCTGTTAATTCAGGCAAAACCTGAAAAAGTCTTGCTTAATATTTGGTTGTTATCAGGACTTTGGTTAGGATTTATCTATTATGTATCCAAATCCATCTACGTGGTGCCTTTCAGACAAACTGAGGTTCCAGGAAAAATCCAGTACTTTTAAATGTCATGCCAAATTATGCTTTCTCAAAGATGCTGTGCAGATTCAAACAGCTCACAATTTTGGGTTACCATGCTTGTGAAGCAATAACATCTTTGAGTTTGAGATACTGCAATTTAGCGGTTCTGGATGACTACATAATCTCTCCCTGTTGGGTTGAAATTCTACATTCTGTCCTTTCCCAAACTCTCACCGATTAATCATCTATCCAGACAAAAAAAATGTGCTTGGAAATTTTTTTCATGCATATATGGAATTGCAAAGTAATTCCACAGAGTGGAAAATGCTGAACTTCTCATAAATGTACCATTGATCCCCAATTCAGCCTTCTGGCAAGTATAATCTTGATTTATTCTCTATTGTTGCATACCTGAATGTTTAACATCTTGCCTTTTAAATCTTCCATAAAATCTTCAAGGCCAGAGACCCCACAATAAAAACTTTCTTATATCTTTGACAGTGTCATGCCAGAAAGTACACATGAATACTTACAATTTCACTAATTTACTTAAGAGAATAGAATTTATTATTTTGCAACAACTGGGCCATTGTTATTATATGTGCTAGTAATTACCAAGCTATCTTAGACAAGTCACTTAACCTTCTTTGTCTTCAGTTTCCCTACTGGAAAACAATTTTTCAACTAGAGAGTTTAGGTCTTAGAGTAAGACAAAAACTTTTTAAAAAATCCTATTTGTGCCATTTAATAGAAGTAAGAATTGAACATATTATCTAATGTCTCTAAACTTCCAACTCCTCACCTATAGTTTGGGACTCAAGACAGTGGTTTCACCTCCCAGAGATTTTTTTTTTCTTTCTGAAGCAGAATAAGAATATTAACATAAAGAATGCAGCACATTACCTGAACCGTGATTCATGCTCAATAAGTCAATTATTACTATATCAAGTTTCTTCCAGCCCCAGAGTGCTAAGATTAGGATAGAAGTAAACCCTCAATTATCAAGCATCCAGATCCCCAGTATTCTCAACCACGGGCACCACTCTGATGCCTAAAGTGAAAAATAAAAAGTCGTATGATGGACAAACTGGTTTGAGGCCCATATTTGTACCATTGTACTCCCAGAGTAAGCAATAATTTTAATAATCATTGAACTTATGACATTCATAACTGAGTCCATAAAAAAGTCAAAGACAAAATTTTTAAAAGACAAATGATTAAGAAACCTGTTCTGAAATGCATGCTCAAAATTAGACACAGGATGTTACCAATCTATAGTCATGGGTTTGCACAAAGACACTGACCTGGCTTGCTGGAAGTGAAGAACAGAACACTCTGCTCACAGCTGGACTTACCTACATAAAAGAGAGAAATACTTTATAAATTCTACTGCCTGCCAGGAGTACATGGGGAGCCACTAAAATTTTCAACATACGTTGTTTTCTCTTTTTCCCCCGAGAAAGGGAAGAATCTGCTTTACTTTTGCTAAGTGCCAGTGTTAATGTGGCATTTCTTTGGGTCAAATACATCCTGAAATAGCTAGGTTAACATTTTGCAGGATTTGTGAAAATATATTTTTGAGCTCTTGGGACGATACCAAAAAAACAAACAAAACAAAACAAAACCCTAAAAACATTTGGCCACAAACCGATAGATAACAATGAAAATCTTACAGGCATTTTACAATACAGAACTCATAGATGTGGTCATCCTATTCAAAATAGCATTTTTAGACAATATAATCATAATTAAAAGACCAAACAATTTTGGCTTTTCCTGTTGTATTTGTATAGCTTATAATTTGTATTATTGAGCCAATAACATCAAACTGTTACATGTGTTTCTATTTCCACCTGTGTGATCACAGAGCCTGTGTTATGCACTTAAAAAATTTTACACTATCTTCAAACTCTGGGAAAACAATCATGGGCAAAATTAGTATATTGACTATGATATTCCTGCTTCCTAATGATTTTCCAAAGCCTTCTGCACTAGGATCAACTGGTTAAACCTTTTTCCCATTAATATGTCCAAATATGATTCAGGAATCTCAGAGGAAACCATGTTTAATATAATAATTTACTGCCCACTCCACCTGGGGAGCAGAATGCAGACATTATTTATGCTGAAAAGAGCTTGTGTTTATTTTCTAGCAACCAGTGACTCTCTTAGGCATCTACAAGGTTACTGGAAATGAAACGTAGTTCCAAATTTCTAAACAGGGTTTGTAAACAAACTTACCAGAGTATGTTTAAAAAGGTCTAAGCCTTGCTAAGACCAAACAAACACAGCCTATTGACTATTTACTATCTGCTGCTCGTCAGAGGACTTATACAAAGATGAAACCACCGATAACGGTATTTTTTTTTTTTTCTGTTTAGAGTATGTTAGTGCAGAACGTACACCACCGCAGCGGTTGGGGGTGGGGGAGCCCCAAACCAGTGAAATCTCAAGCTGAGCGTCTGGCTGGAGTTCAACAAGGCTCAGTGAACAGCACAGGATGGGGAAGTTCAAAGTCAGGGCGACTCTTCTGGTCTTAACTTCCTAGATTTTCCTAGATCTGGGTGCCTCTGTGTATATATTAACCTTCATGCATTTTTGCCCCCAGCAATTGTGTACAGTCAGCTCCAAAGGCACAGCTTGTGTGCTAACGTGCAAAGCGAAGTCAAAACCCTGTGCTTGGCGCTCCCTTCTAACTTTCTGGCTTGTCCAAGTCTAAATATTGACATCGCTCCTCAGTTGAGATGTTTGATACTGCTGGGGATGGAAACGGTGCAGCTAACAGTAGGATCTAATGATATATTTCTACATAGTTGCCTTCCACTTCTTTTCGGGGGGCAGAGGGCTGGATTCTCCTGTCTGCACATCACCCCTTGGTTGTTTTCCCCAAAGCTGAGCACACACAGACAAGGTAAGGTGCTCTGCAAGCCCCTCATGGCAGCTCCTCCTGTTGTCACAGCAACTCACAACAGACTCCATAGACACGGGGTTGCGGGGGAGGGGAGGGGAGCGACTGTGGGCTGGCCAGTCAACTCTCAAGAGGGTGCAAGCGCCAAAGGGGCTAGCGTATTCCCCTGTCCGGGTCCTCCGGTCCCCGCCCGGCCTCCCCATACTGGCCTTCGAAGGGGAAGCGCCTTCTCGTCGGCGCGGCACCACCCCCTCCCTGGCGCAGCCAGCCTGCTAAGGGTGCCTGTTGTACATTTTCTCAGCTCCAAGTTAGGGGTGCGGCTGTGCGGGCGCTCCTAGAAATCTCTTGTGCTTGCCTCTGATGGGAGGGTCCCCGGCCTCTCAGAGAGGCGAGGGAGGCCCCCCTAGCGGCTCGGTCCCACAACTCTCTCTCGGGGCGCTGCTGGCCTCGTGGCACGGCCCAGGGCCCCCACTTGCCACCCGCTGGGGCCGGGGCGGTGGGGGCTCCGCAGCGGCTGCTCGGAGAAGTTTCATAGCATAGAGCACTCACGACACAGAACCTACCCTGAAGCCGAGCGAGACGCGAGCTCTCTCCGCCTTCAAGGGCCGGGGGGAGCGGGGGGGCCCCCGCCACTCAGCAGCAGCCACGGCTGCGCGCGGTCGCGGGTGTGCGGGGCCCCTGCGCGCGGCGCGCCGCCCGCCGCCCAACTTTGCACAAAGGCAGCATGGCACTGCCTCGCCCTGCCGCCTCGCCCGGCGCCGTGGCCGCTCTTCCCAGTCCCGGGCGAGAGGGGCTCGCCCCTTTCCACCCGCAGCCCTCCCCTTCGCCTGCCCCCACCCCGCTCCCAGGCGGGGCAGCCAGGCGGAACGGAGCACCCGGCACCTCGCTCCGCCGCCGTGGCGGCCGCCGCTCGCACTGTGACGTTAGCAGCCTTCGCGGCTATTTATATCCACACGATTGGATTTCATTCATGAAACCGGGGCCTGGTGTGTCTGTGCTCTGGGACACGGGTGGCAAAGGTTCCTCGGCTCTACGCAGACCCGACGGGCCCGGGCACGGAGGCGGATCGCCCGGGACAAACCGACACAGAGCATGGGAGACCCCGGCCCTTTCCCCGCGCTGCCGGGAGGGGAGAGTCTGGGCCATCTGTGTCCCCGTACCCCTGCCCCAACATCCCACCCACTCCCGTGCCTTTGCTGGCCCTTTGTCCCAGGCTCTGGAAAAGTAAGTTGGGCCACTAACCGGCTGGGCAGCATGGCTTTCTTCCCCCTAGGAGCTGACCGGCCGCGGACTCCGAGGGAGGACATTGGCTTTTGTTTCAAAACCGAGCCCAGCTGCTGACTAAGGGCTGCATTAGCCCAGCCTCCTCCTCCCTGGGCGGCTGCACGTGCTGGCTGGCTCCTCCACTCTGGGTTACCTTCCTCCGCGACTTGGCGGGAGGGGTCCCCCCAGGGGGCGTAGGGACGCACCGCTGACCCCGACCCGGGTACAGAGGTGATTTATAACCTCCTGCAAATGGCTGAGTGAGGAGGTGAAATTGACTGTGGCCTCCATGGGCTGTCTTGGTCTTCCAAGACAGCCCATGCCTCCTCACAGAAACTTCTCTCTCTTCCAGGCTGACCGTGAGTTCTGAGGACAGAACCAGGGGTAGTTTTCATGCATTCACATAAATGCTTATAGAGTGACAAGATGCCAGGTGCCTGGCCAAGCTCTACGGAGGTGACAGTGAAAGCAAACAACCGGGTGCCTGCCATCAGGGAGCTTTCAGTCAGCCTGCTAAAATTAGTATGCCTTATGAAACCCATCACTCCTAGCCTGTAAAGAGATCACTGGGGAATAAAGACACAACTGTGTTCAGCTACCGAGAGGAATGAATATATTCATTTAATAAACCTTTATTGAGTAGGCTGTGTGCAGAGAGCTAGGGATACAAAGATGGAAACAATGTCATTCTTGGCCTCACCGGTTCTCAGGTAATGTGTTCCTAAGATACTGAAGGACTGGGAAAAGAGAGTCCATCCTATTATAAGGGATGCTTCTTTGGCTTATCCCCCCAAAAACAGGATGCGTGAAAAAATTCTAAAAGCAAACACACTTCTTGGTCCCTCAGTTTCTTCCAGGAAACCGTCTTCAGTTTCCTGATGAATTACCCTCCAGCCAAGATTCCCAGGTGACTTCCAGTCCAGTGGATATTTCTACTCTTCCTCACTTGCTTGTATTCTCTTGAAGTCAAAGGCTTGCCTGGTGCTCTCTAAATCCCCCAGAGACCCCAGAAAATAGTGGAATCCAATGTTTTTACGAGGAAAGTTATCACCGGCAACCTCATTTGTTTAAGCCATTCCCACGGCAGTATTTTTGAAAATGGAGTTACCAAGGCCCTAGTCTTTGATATCAGAAAGAGAGGGTAGTGAAAAGTCAAGTACAGGTGTCTACTCCAAGAACACATCCAAGAGGTGGGTGATCATTTACTTGGCATAAAACTGACTTCCCGGCCCAGGCGGGTGGCTCACGCCTGTAATCCTAGCGCTTTGGGAGGCCGAGGCGCGCGGATCACGAGGTCAGGAGTTCGAAACCAGCCTGGCCAACATGGTAAAACCCCGTCTCTATTAAAAATACAAAAATTGGCTGGGCGCGGTGGCGCACGCCTGTAGTCCCAGCTACTTGGGAGACTGAGGCAGAAGAATCGCTTGAACCTGGGAGGCGGAGGTTGCAGTGAGCCGAGATCGCGCCACTGCACTCCAGCCTGGGCGACAGAGCAAGACTCCTTCTCAGAAAAAAAAAAAACAAAAAACTGACTTCCCTTAGTATTTTGCAAAATGACTCCATCTTGAAAGCCTTAAACAAAATACATTCTTTTCAGGTACAAATTTCTTGGGAAAAGTTAATTAACCCTGTTCACTCCTAGCAATCAGTCCTCTTCATTACAAGCTATTTCTCATCAAACTGCCCTGGCAGCTAAAAAATAGGGTAGAAACTCAAAAGAAATGGGAATCAACATGTATCACGGCCCTCATATGTGGGGGGGCACAGGGCTGAGTGGCTTAAAACACATTTTCTCATGTAATCCCCACAACAACTGATGAGGCAGATGCTATAATTATCCTAATTATTTTACAGACGAGGTAACAGGCATGCAGAAGTTAGTTTTCTGATGTCTTGACAGTTGCATTTGCACCTGGGGTTGTCTGTGCCAAAGTCTTATTTTATCACTGACCTGCTTTTTAACAGCCTGCTTTTCCTCAGTTTCTTCCATTTTCTCAGTTCTAAGTTAAAAAAAGTTCAGTGTCATGCTTCTCTTAAATAATAGGCAGGTGCCTATACCAGAAAGACACACAAAGACCCCACTTGTCAGGGTACCCTTCAGCTCTTGACCTCCACCCCCAGGGCACACCAAGGCTCACAGGCTTCCAAAAGATGCTCCTTCTAAAGGGGATAAAGAACAGTCAGCCATGTTGGAATTACCTAGTTGAATGCCTAAATCTGAGGGAAACTGGAAGACCTTTCAAGAAAATAAGTTGGTATCAACAGTAATTCAGATAGAGCAGAGGAAAAGTCATTGTTCTGGAAAGTGCCTCCAAACAAGGGCAGTGATCAGAGAAAGACGTTGCCACATGGTACTATGCAGCCCCAAACTTTACTTATAAAATCTCAGACTGTGGAAAAGTTGGAGAAAATGCAGCAAGTAGTACAGACCGTATTTTGCTAATAGGAAAAGAGAGAAAAGGAATCATATCAAATAACGCCTGTAATCACTGTCATGAGTTTATCTCTGCTCTTGTTATTTCCATGAAAAGATCCATTTTTGTATACTAAAATCATTGCTTGCTGATAGAATCAGTACCATTCCTTTAAGTAAACATAAAAAATGGTACCTAAATGGAATTCAAGCAACATTGTATCTTTAAACACTTTTCATGTTTCTGTTGCACAAAGGTGATTTTAAAACTTTTGACTAGTTTTTATGGCAAATATTTTATCAAAGTCATAGGATTAAAAAAAATCCCACAAGCTAGACATAGAATTGTTCCACTATCACAAAAGAATCCTCTCATACTACCTCTTCATATTTGCACCCCCAATCCCCAACCATTAATCTGTTCTCCATCTCTAGAGTTTTTTTATTGTGAGACTGTTATATTAATCGGAACATAAGTATGTGATGTTTTGAGATTGACTTTTTTTGTTTGTTTGTTTTTTTACTAAGCTTAATGCTCTTGAATTTCATCCATGGTATTGAATGTATCAATAGTTCATTCCTTATTATTGCTGAATTAAATTTTTATTGCATGGATGTATCAGAGTTTGTTTATCCATTCACCCACTGAAGGATATTTGAGTAGTTTCCAGTATTTTGCTATTAATATTATGAAAAACACTTCCGTAAACATTTGTGTATAGGTTTTGTGTGAGCATAAGTTTTTATTTCTGTGGGATGAATACTGAAGAATGCAATTGCTAGGTCATATGCTAAATAAAAAACTGCTAAACCATTTTCCAGAATGGCTGCACCGTTCACATTTCCACCAGTAATGTATGAGAGATCTCCACATCCTCACTAGCATTTGTATTATCATCATTGTTTACAAAGTTTCACTTGTTATAATAGTTGTGTAGAGACAACTCATTGTAGTGTTACTTTGCATTCCCCTAATGAATAATAATGTTGAATATATTTTCATTGGCTTTTTTTGCCACTCTTATCTCCTCTTTGCTGAAATATCTGCTCAAGTCTTTTGCCTATTTTATAATTGGATTGTCTGTCTTTTTACTGTTGAGTTTTTAAGAGTTTAAAAAAATACATTCTGGGGTGGTAGAATTCTCAAATTGCAAATTAAGTACTACCATCCCAAGGGAACTCTATTTTCAACTCAAATATATTGTTCAACATTTCTATTGCCATCAATTTTATCAAGAACATTCTTAGGTAAGAGAAGTACTTACATAAAACTCCTATAGAAAGGGTCTTTTCAGGTTTATTTTATAAGACTGCATTTCAGTGGTTGGTAAGAAACAGGGAGACCTTAGCCACGTGTAGTCGAGGCTGAGCCTTGTGACAGGTGCAGATGCCTCCTGGGGCCAATGCAGCTGGTCACAGCAGTGGCTTTGTCCAATCAGGACTAACCTAAGAAGAGAGATTCATGCTGTCCATCTCTCTGCTCTGGATGCAGCATGTGATGCTGTCATTGGCTATTTAGGAGAAATTATCCTGGATGATGAGTTCCAGGAGTTACAGAGAAATTTTGGGGACTAGTACTAACAGGGGTTTGAAGCACGAAAGAGAATAAGCTCATGTATGGCCCATTTTAAAGAATAAGTGTTTGGTAGAAAGGTATATTGGGAAACAGTTGTTGGAGTAGATTCTTGCAGTTAAGCCAGTGGCTTTAATAACACCCAACAACTTTCTGGCTTCCTAAAGAGGAAGAGGCTGGTGACATATTTATACTGCTCATGCTTATGGATTTTCTGACTTTTAAGGAAATACTTCTGGACTACACAGGAGAATAAGAAGGCTGGGCACTGGCCTTTAGCAGTGGTTTAGTGGCAGCTTCCTTGAACAAATCATTTTACATGTTAGCTTCTAGCAATGAGGTCAGTCTGGACAGCACAGGTCTAATAGGCTGTTGGGCTCCAGCTAGTGATGACAAACAGGAAAGACTGACTGTTCTGAGGCTCTTCATTAATGCTAAGTATTGATGGGTCATAAAGAAAATGACTTGACCTCCTGGGACCTCTGTTTCTCCTAAAATACCTTATTGCGTTCAGTCACTCAAGTATTCCTGCTAAAGTAGATGCTTCTCCAAGGTGCTTCTGAGTCAGACAAGTCTCAAACAAGATGATGTCCAGCCTTCCATCTAGGGTCCCTTCCCCAGCTTTCATGTCATGGATATGTCAACATCAAGGCATAACCTACCATCACTAACCCTTTCTGTCCCAAATACCACGGGCTGTCTTTGAAAGAATCTGTGTGTTCGTAGTTTTTGCACTTGGGTAAAAGTGAAAGACCCTTCAGCGTGAGTAGCCCAGCTCTGCAGGATTTTGACTACTTGGGAATTATCTCAGGTATTACTCAGACCAACTCTTCAGATCTCTAAAGCTCCTATTTTCTTCCCACTGTTCTGGGGGAAATTGGAGCAAGTTTTGGTGTAGGAATCAACTAAAAAGTGATGTCTTTTTCCTAAAAGCTACAGCTGGAAATTAACTCTTAGGTTTGCAGTCCAGTTATGACTGTTGGTATTGATGTGGTTTCCAGGTGAAGCTTTTTTTTTTTTTTTTTTTTTTTTTAAAGCATAACTTTGGAAACAAATTTATAGATAAATACTTAAGCTAACCTAATGGATCTATTCTTGGCATTTCCTATGATTACCCATTTAAAGACAGAAGCATTAGATACTGTGTACTTTTCATTGTTAGTTCTGTGAAGACAAAGTATCTTTTCCATTGCAGTTTCTATTTTACTGGGCACCAATGAAATGTAGGCTATGTACTGAAAATAGACCAAAAGGTATCCTTTTCTTATAGCATGTTACATTATTTGTGTAGGTTTACCTAAAGTCCTTTCTGTGTGGATTCATTCATTAGGTTTTCTGTTGGGGTAGGGTGAGTTTGGTAAAAATGTGATTTTGCAAATTCTGCAACTCTAACTGCAGTCTTTCTGTCAAAATTTGTCCTACCAAGATGGTGTTCCACTGGTCTAGCTCAACATGCATAAGAGGAGGTAGCAAACAGTTTTTATGGTCATCTGTCTGACTTTGTTTAGGCATGGCATAGCAGATTGGAAAACATGTATGTCACAACTCTAGAAAAGAAAAAGACAACAATTTAATGTATAATGTGTATCTTTGACATTTTAAAAAGCAAAAATATGATTTTGTACTGGAAAAAATCTACATTTGAGAGAGAAATTTATTTCATGAACTACATTCTTAATATTACAAAAGGTGTTAATGCTAGATTTCAACTTTACCTAATTAAAAATAAATTACATTTATGTGTCACAGCACATTTAAGGCTATCTTGCCTGACCACCTGTTTCATATAACTTTCTCTTTATGAAACAAGTTTAAAAAACCAAAAACGAAACAAAGATTAAAGGGATCAGAGGGTAACAGAAAGAGAAAGAAAGCGGTATTGTATTTTGGCCATCTCACTAACTAGGATGTAATTCTGTGCTACTTCCTTAACCCACTACACCGCAAAGTTCCATATGTCAAATGGGGACAAGAATAATAACTTTCCAAAAAGTCCTTAAGGTGACTAAATGAAATGATGTTTGTGGAAAATGTTTTGTAAGATGTAAAGCTCTATACCTACTCATAAGTGTAAAAACGGGCTCATTATGAGGCCCCTTAAACAATGCTGTGCAGCATAGGGTATCATTTGATTTAGGAGTGCCAAAGATTAATAATATAGCAACTGTATCATTCCCCCAATTCCTCCCTCCCCAAATGCTGACTGTAAGTATTATACATAAAAGCTTCCACCAAATTGTATGAGGTAGAAAGTTTAGTATTTGAAGTTTGAATGTTTTGCTCTGCCGTTGACTTGCAACTGCTGTGTCTTCTCCCATCTGTACAAGTTAGCTAAACTACATGCAGAAACTAGGAAAATAAGTGGACTACAAATACATACACAAACACCCTACTTCAGAAAAATAATTTCCCCTATGTTCATATCACATTTTCCTGCATACCAAGCATCTGTAATATACATGTCATTTAATCTAACCCTGATCTTCTGACTATGTGGATGCAAAGCTTTTGAAGTAATTTAGTGTATAGTACACTAACTTGTATATAGATACCACTTCAAAAGGAATACAAGTGCTTTAGAAACACCAGTGTCCTGGAAGGAGACCTACCCATCAGTTCTTGGAAAGAAGCTGAATTGTGAGGCTTTCCTTAATTGGCACCACCACTCCTTTCATAATGGTTCCTAATCTAAAAGCAAAGATGACCTCACTTCTTGCGCCTGACTCAATAATATCCTTCTCTCTGCACACAATTTCAGAGTATCCTTAGCTCTGTAAATATTTATGCCTACTTTAATACTTCACATGACCTAAATTTATCATTTGGTAAACTCCCCCTTTATGGTCAAGTAGTTAACTGCATCACATGTGGGTGACATAAGCCATTAAACACTTCAGGGTCAGCATCGAAGGTGCACAATCACTTAGCTTGTAAACATAAGCCGATGATTCCAGGGATCAGAGGCTAAGGCTCACATCCTGTCACGGTATCCATCTTAGAAGAGCTTGAAGATTTGGTGAGAGGCACGGAAGCTTCATGCTTCTCCATCCCCATGGTGCTTTGAATGGCACTTTGGGCAGGAAAGTGCCCAATGGTTGTTAATAATGGTAAATGGTTGTTAATAATGGTAAATGGTTGTTAATAATGGTAAATGATTTGGGAGGCCAAGGCGGGCAGATTGCCTGAGGTCAGGAGTTTGAGACCAGCCTGGTCAACATGATGAAACCCCGTCTCTACTAAAAATACAAAAAATTAGCCGGGCATGCTGGCAGGCACCTGTAATCCCAGTTACTCAGGAGGCTGAGGCAGGAGAATTGCTTGAACCCAGGAGGTGGAGGTTGCAGTGAGCTGAGATCATGACACTGCACTCCAGCCTGGACAACAGAGCGAGACTCTGTCACAGCCCCCCACCCCCCCAAAAAAGAACGGTACATGATAAAACTTTTATAAGATGAGTTAGTTATAATTTCTTTTAATCACTCATATATAAAGGCCAGCTATATGATTTATGCAAAGCTGGAATTTTAAAGCTGGAATTTTAAAACTGTCTTTTATGGTGTTATCTGTTCTACTGTGATCACTGTCAACACTGATCACCCATGAAAAGGCACTTTGAGATCATAAAAAAATGTTTCACAAAGATTACAGTGTCATAAACAAGTATGGGACTAGTGCACATGATAATAATAAACACCAAGATCACCACCTGTCTTTTTAAGCTGTAATAATACTAATTAGCACTTAGTAAGTACCCACTATGTGTTGGGCATGAAGCCAAATGCTTTTATACTCACTTTCATTAACTCCTCACAATGACTTAATGAAGGAGGCACCACTATTATCCCCATTTTATAGATGAGGAAGCCGAGGATCAAAAAGAGCAAGTCACTTGCCACAGGTCAAATACTTAGAAAGTATTATTCATCTTAAAGTAGGTACTACTGACAGAGAAAGATTCTACTTTCATATAATTAGCATTTCATATTTACCCTTCCCTATTCATTCAAAGTATTGCTGATTACAATGCATGACATCATCCTATATACTTGAAAGACTAATGGGCTACAGCTCATCTTAAATTCTGATATTAAACTCAGGTAAACTACCTTAGTATTTTATATATCCAAAGTTTCATGTAGATTAAAGGTTGAGTAGAGTTGAAGAGAACTGATCTCTATGACGTGACAACTTCAGGATTCTCGGGGTCCTTGACAAACAGCCAATACTTGTGGATCAGGTGTCGATGAGCGATATGCCCTCACAACCACAAATTCAAAGAAAACACAATTTGTGGGAAAACACACAACGCAAGCTTTAGTTCATTCCTTGGGATTTCCTTAACAAATTAAACTATTGCTCCACTTCCTGATGAAACAAGCAGGATACTACAGTGATTGTACCTTGTGCCAGCAAGGTCAGGTTGATGAGATAAAATGGGAAAGTCATGCGGAAAAACACACAGCCCATTTCAACAGATGGAGTTATTATAAAATTTCATTTAAATATATGGACAACATGGGTAAGGTTAGCCTCCTCGTGAGTGTATCGTTTGTTCTCAACTATTCAAGTAGAGAATAAAGATTTCTCAATGTTTAAGTATCCATATCTATCCAGTGGGGGAATAAGCTATACATACAAGACCCCATTAGTTCTAAAGTGAGGCTTCTTTCTTCTTAATTCTTAGCCAGTCCCATATCCTTGCTGAAGGCCCGGCTTCTCTCATGCCTTTCTCTGAAGTTACATGGCACCTGAAGAAACAGTGGCATTTGTGTGGAATGAATACCAAATGAGACACTCCTAGGAAACAAAAAGTAGTACCTAAGCGACTTTTGTCTTAACAGTTTTCAATACCTCAATCCGAACAATTCCTCTTTTTAATAACAGAGGTGATATGCCATGTACTGTGAAGATAAGGAGTTCTGTTTTCTATTGAAAGAAATCTATCACACCTGTTGTTTTTATAAGCATTATCATTTACACTGTAATTACAGTATACAGTATACTGTTATTACAGTGATAACAGAATAGTCTAGTGTCATAACAGTATCTTGTTTATACTGTAATATTTCTGGGCTTGATGTTTCTTCTCGATAAAACAGTTGAGGTGGCTAATGATGAAAAAAAAAGCATATATATCCTGAACAATAGTTTATAAATAGAAACACAAAGACACATGAAAAACCCTTTGAAATTCACTTTCAGTTTATACTCTTTCTTACTACACATTAATGAGGGACTGAGATATTGGGAGATGGTAAAATGTCCTGTTAAAAGAAACATTAAGTTATATAAAGTGTAATTTTAAGCTTTAAATTTACTTTAACTCTATTCCATGTTATTGTGGTTTAATCAATTAAAGCGGTAAACTTGGCTAATTATAACCACTACCTTTTTTAAAAGTGTATGTGTGTGTGTGTTTGTGTGTAGTTTTATTTATTTATTTGGCTCTACAAATACAATGAACATTAGCCTGGTGAGAATATAGACCATTGGCTTGAAAGTAGAAAACGCCTCAAGCCTGGCAGTTATCAGCTCCTGTGGGAGAATTTCCTTGGGCAAGTCAAGTCACTTCTCTGAGTCCAGTTTCCTCCTCTGTAAAATGAAAGTGCTCTGAGTGGAGTAAAAGAGTTTATGACAGACCAGAGTACCAGGGTTATTACACTCTTCATGTTGAAATTATTATAAAAATACAGAAGATATAGCAGTCTCAAAAAGGCTTTACACTTTTATTTTGGAAATACTTAAAAACATATTCAATGAGCACTGAATGAATTCTTTCCATGTTCTTTTTATTAAATTAAACTGACAGTTTTATTATTTACTCACTGATTGCTATCATTTGGCTTGGGTTTAGGGTTGCCAGATAAAATAGAGGACACCCCATTACATTCAAATATCCCATGCAATATTTGGCACATACCTGTACCAAGAGATTATTCAGTTTGTTTAAAATTCAAGTGTCAGTGGTGTCGCGTATTCTTATTTGATAAATCTGGAAACCTACTTGAAAAAATGGATGAGAAAGAGGAGAAAAATTGGATGGAAGGAAATGTGACAAAATTATTTTTGAAATTACCCAAAAAGTGAATTTAATAAATAAAAGGAGATAAGTTGGTCAAGTAACATTTCCCAAAGTGTGTTCTGTTGTACCAGCCCTGAGTGAAACTATTAAAAAAAGGGAAATAGTCTTTTATTATTTAACATAAATGGTCAAGTTTCGGAAATAGTTCATATTTTATCCTCCTCTTAAAGAAAATTATAATTTCTAATAAGGGTTCTCAGGGCATTTATATGTGAAAGTAAATTATGCATTTATAAGAGGGAAATAGTCCACTTTGAGCTACCCATACTTATTTGACAAGGGGAATCTTTTCTTTTCTTTCTTTCTTTTTTTTTTTTTTTTTTTAAGATGTAGTCTTGTTCTGTTGCCCAGGCTGGAATGCAGTGGTGCCATCTCTGCTTACTGCAACCTCCACTTCCTGGGTTCAAGCGATCCTCCTGCTTCAGCCTCCTAAGTAGCTGGGATTACAGGCGTGCACCACCACTTCCAGCTAATTTTTGTATTTTTAGTAGATGGGGTTTCACCATGTTGGCAAGGCTGGTCTTGAACTCCTGATCTCGTGATCCGCCTGCTTCGGCCTCCCAAAGTGCTGGGATTACAGGCATGAACCACCACACCCAGCCAGCAAGGGGAACCTTCTTTATGGTTTTAAAATGCCACAATTCAATTCATGTGTTAACTGAACACACTTTGTGAACATCAGAGTAAATAACAAAAAAATGCTGTACAGACATGGATCAATCATGCACAGCAATATAACAAGAATGCTTCCTTCTGATTGAGCAGGGTAATTATTCAAGGAGTATCTGTCCTGAGCTATCCCAAACCACAGAGAGTTGCTAGCTATCATTACAAAGCACAAATACTTCCATTTGAATTGCCAGACTATTGTGTACCAGCAATGCTGATTATAAAACAGAGTAATTAGGGTAGCAGAGAGGCAGCTGACTCAGTGTAAGAAAGCCTTCCCTTAGTCTAAATTTGTGGTCTACAATGTGTCAGTTACAGATACTCAGAAGGGTCCAGAGTTTGAATGCAAGGGAAACAGGAACCCATATGTGCATCAAACTTGTTTACAGCTTGAAAAACCAACATATCACTATCTTGAAAACTAAGGATGTGCTATCACGATTGATGAAGTATTTTTCATTTAAATATTTTGTTACATTTATAACAACTTTTAATTATTAATTTTCTCACTCAACACATTGAACTACTATCATGTGGTATTCTGCAAAAATATCACAGTGGGCCTCATTTGTTAATAGTCTGGTAATACAGTCATGCATCCCTTAACAACAGGGATAGATTCTGAGAAACATGTCCTTAGGCAATTTCATCGTTGTGCAAACATCATACAGTGTGCTTACACAAACCTAGATGGCATAGCCTACTACACACCTAGGCTATATGGTATAGCCCGTTGTTTCTAGGCTGCAAACCTGTACAGCATGTTACTGGATTGAATCCTGTAGGCAATTGTAACACAATGATCAGTATTTGTGTATCTAAACACAGAAAAGGTACAGTAAAAATATGAATAAAAGACTAAAAAAATGGTATGCCTGTATAGGGCATTTACTAGGAATGGAACATGCAGGACTGGAAGTTGTTCTGGGTGAGTCAGTGAGTAAATAGTGGGTGAATGTGAAGGCCTAGGACATTACTACACATTCCTGTAGACTTTATAAACACTGTACTCTCAGGCTACACTATATTCATAAGATAATATTTTTCTTTCTTCATTAATAAATTAATCTTAGGTTACTATAACTTTTTTATTTTGTAAGCTTAATTTTTAAAAACCTTTTGGCTATTTTATAATAACATTTGGCTTAAAATACAAACACATTTAGCTGTACAAAAATATCTTCTTTATATCCTTATTGTATAAGTTTTATTATTTTTAAAAGTGTTTTATTTTCATGTTTTTACTTTTTAGACTTTTTTTTTTTTGTTAAAATCTAGGACACAAACACACACATTAGCCTAGGCTTACACAGGGTCAGGATCATCAATATCACTGTCTTTCACCTCCACATTTTGTCCCACTGGAAAATGTTATTATCAAACAGTAATTAGGGTAGCAGAGAGGCAGCTGACTCAGTATTAGAAAGCATTCCCTCCATCTAAATTTGTGGTCTACAATGTGTCAGTTACAGATACTCAGAAGGGTCCAGAGTTTGAATGCAAGGGAAACAGGAACCCATATGTGCATCAAACTTGTTTACAGCTTGAAAAACCAACATATCGCTGTCTTGAACACTAAGAATGTGCTATCATGATTGATGAAGTATTTTTCACTTAAACATTTTGCTATATTTATAACAATTTTGTCTTCTGGGGCAATAACATATATGGAGCTGTCCTCTCCTATGATAACAATACCTTCTTCTGGAATACCTCCTGAAAGACCAGCCTAAGGCTGTTTGACACTTAACTTAAAATATATACAAACAGGAGTACGTTCTAAAATAATGACAAAAAGGATAGTCAACACATAACCAGTAATAGAGTCCCTTGTTATCCTTATCAAATACTATGTGCTGTACCTAATTGTATTAATATGTTCTATACTTTTATATGACCGTCAGCTTTGTACATTTGTTTACAGCAGCAGCATCATAGAATGTGAGTAATGTGTGGTGTTCAGATGGCTGTAATGTCACTAGGCAATAAGAATTTTTCAGCTCCATTATAATGTTATGGGACCGCTGTCGTATGTGCTGTTCACAGTTGACTGAAATGTCATTATATGGTGCAGGACTGTAGTCTTCTGAGGGACTTAAATGGTTCCCAGATTGGTGCAGTGGTGCAGCCACCACCAAGCCTTACGGTCAATACAAATTCCCCTCTTCTCCCATCCTCAAAACCAACCAATCTGAATCAAATGCTAAAATGATATTGAAAGTGCTAAAAAGCAGATCCAAGTGAGTAAGTAGTGGTAAAAGAAAAAAAAAAGGTTTTTGGATAACTTGGAAATTTAATAACCTGCTTCTGAATAACTGAAAGAGATTCATAACTTGTCCAATGGTAATGATATTTATTGAATGCTCACTCCATAGCTGACACACTGTTCAGTGCTTTTCCCACTGTATCTCCTTTACCATTCCCACTGTACGGACAGGAAAGCTGAGGTATGGGAGGTTAAGTCACTTGTGCAATACCACATCCCTAGAAAGGGGAGTTCAAGGATTAAAACTGAAAGTCTAAATGAAACTCAAATTCACAACCATAATACAATATTACTGAAAAGTGGAATGACTTACTGTGAGCAGACACCACTTGTGAGTGTCTGCCAGAACAGATACAGACCCCACAGTTAATCTCATTAAAAAGCCAGTAATTGGGTCCTCGGGACATGTGGTGAAAAGACTCAGTACACAAAACAGCCAACGTCAAACTAAAGGAGGTAGAAAAGTCAAGCACCTCTAAAGGAAAGAAATCATAAGGAACTTGAGGTGAACCCATTTTTATATGCATAAGGTTGAAGCCTGAAAAAATTTAGTTTTGAGCACAGCATGTTACAAAGAACACTAATGGGATTCTAAATTTTCTGAAAATATGTCCAATATAAAAATGTTAAACTCTCATTTCTTTAGAAGCCCAAACTTCTGAGCCAACCGTCTTGCAAAAGGAACTTGACAGATTTTAGTTTTTAAGAGGTTTGGGATCTTAATATTGCACAGGTCAGAGAAGTTAAAATTTTACTTTTTTATTTGAAGAGTAGGAATAAATGGATCTATAGGGCAAAACTTGGAATTGAAACACTATATAGATATGGATTTCCAAAACATTTTTTTTCAGGAGAATCTCACAAAATATCAACCATCAACCACATCTTCAACACAGAAGACAGAGTAGAAGCTTTTTGGGTTTATGTTGTTGTTTTGTTTGTTTGTTCAAAAAGGGGTCTCACTCGGTTGCCCATGCTGGAGTACAGAGGCATGATCACAGTTCACTGCCTTGACTGCCTAGGAAGAGGTGATCCTCCTACCTGAGTCTCCTGAGTAGCTGGGATTACAGGTGTGCACCACCATGCCCAGTAAATTTTTGTATTTTTAGTAGCAATGAGATTTTGCCATGTTGTGCAGGCTGGTCTCCAAATCCTCAGCTCAAGTGATCCTCCTGCCTAGGACTCCCAAAGTGCTGGGATTACAGGTGTGAGGCACCGCACCTGGCCCAGAGTAGGATATTTAAATAAAAAGACTTCATTTTTGTAATTAATATAGTGGCATCTTCATTTTGGTAAACTATTACTTTGGTGGTCTCCAGTGAGCCCTGCCTCCCAGTATATACAAACAATAGTACATCAGGACTAAGTGGTCAGGAATGCAAAGTTGCCTCAACGTTCAAAAATCAGTCATAAATCACCACATTAGTAAAATAGAAAACCATATGTTCAAGAGATACAAATAAGCAACTGGTAAAATGTAACACCCATCTGTGACTAAAAAAATACAAAACAAACTCTTATCTGAGTGTTTAAAGCAAGGGAAAGACATGGCCACATATTTGCTGCTTAGACTGAAAGGTTCTTTATGAAACAGTCACAGTTCTTGCTCTTGGAAAACGGACCTACAGTATGGCACTCTCAGGAAAAAGTTTCCAGGGATGTAGGAGAAAGCAAAATCCAGATATCTAACTCCACCATTTGAGGAACAATGCCAAATACTGATTGCCAAGTGAGCAATAGATTTACTCCAGATCACTTTAAAAGCTACGTGGACAAGAAAGGACTCAGACACACAGTCCATTAAAAATGTGATTGCTCTACACATCACAGGCAGCAGTGCTAGTGGATGTTGCTCACATGTCTCTGAGCCTGGCTGCTATTGGCTGAAACAAAAATGAAACAAACAAACAAACAAATAGCTGAACTTCTCAGTCCTACAGTGATGGCTCTGGCAATAAAACTAACAGGCAGGAGTCAGAAAACCTGAGTGCTAGTTTTGTCTCTGCCACTTTCCAGTTATGTGTACTTTGGAAAGACACTTTATCTCTCTGGGCCTGTTTCTGCAACTAAAAAATAACTAGATGGGACTTGGAATGAATCAGAACTGAGTAAATCCTGGCTCTATTCTTTACCATCTAAGTGATCTGTGCCTCAGTTTCCACCTCTGTATAATGGGAAAGAAACCTCAAAGTGTTTCTTTGAAGATTAAATACAATTATGTAAATGGAGCACTTAACATATTCACTGCACATATTAAACACACAATAAAGGCAGATGTATTAATGTTAAGATTGAGCTATTAAGCTCTAAAATGCCATAATAATAAACAGTAGGCTGGAAATACTAATTTGTTCTGACATGGAGATTGGTAGGTGTTGTAGAAAGCTTTGAAATTCTGTGTATCCTGCCTATCATCACAGGTGGTACTGTAAGAAGCTTTATAATTTTAGCAGAGAGGAAAACAGAAGGGTAGACATTCTTGTATGATTTAATCTTGGTAATGTACCAATGATTTCATTACCATGTGCAAAAAACTATGATGACATTTCTTATACTCTGTTAAGTACTAAGTGAAAAATCTAATTAAATGATGCTTCCATAGAATTTCCATAGAATGTAATTAATGTGACAACCAGAACCCCCTATTGATTATGCTGGCGAATTTAATCAAATAGTATGTTTACGTAAGTAACACAACAGAGTCTGACGTCTAGTCAGACATGTGGATCTTGCCAGTTGTAAATAAACTACTCACACAAACAAAATGGCCCCTTAGAGAACTAGAAATTTAATAATCTGTATTTGTAACATAATATATTGTACCAAATAAATGACTGTTTTGTCTGAAAGTCATATTCATACTATCTGTCTGAGAGTTTGAACTATTTGGTTGGATGGAATATTAATACTGGAAATATTCTTGAGTGGGGTTTAAGTTATATTCCTCTTGGATCATGTCCCCACCATACATCTGATGCTTTCTTATTTATGGGAGATCATAATCCAAGTCGTAAAGAACTTGAAATGATTACAATTAGATTGCATTTTCTGTAGCCTCTTGGGCTGCCCTGGCAGCTACCCCTAATGGCCTGCACCCTTTGATGTCAGTGGGTGCTGCCTCTTGGCAGCTACCTTGTTGCTTACCACTGCTAATATCCATGAGCTTGTTATTACCACTTCAGGAAGATTTTTTTGTCACCATCATGTCCACAGAGCTGACAGCAGGATTGTGGTCATTGTCAAACTCTCCCCTTCTAAAGCTCTTCTTTATCTTTTCATTGACTTGGGGTTCGTGGGGGTGGAGGGTGGTTAAGTATGGGGATTCACTAACTCTATCTGTACTGTACTCAGAGAGTCAACTGTGCTTTACCCAGCCCCTCTTTTTCTTCTAGCCCTTCAACCAACCAAAGGAAAGGGGTGTGGGGCTGTCATTCTCAAAGGACCCTGGGGCTTCCCAGGTGACTTCAGTTGGTCTTCTGTTGATGTTCAAGAGGCACTGTGGCATGCCATGCAAATTACACTCAAAATAGAGCTCACAAAAATGTCCTTGTGAACATATAGGAAACCTTGTATTCAGGAAGAACATACTATGAGATGACACAGTATGCCTAGAGCTGGACACATCTGGATTAGAACCCTGGCTCCACTGCTTACTAGCGGTACAATTCTGGATGTATTATGTGACCTTGCTGAAGCTCTGCTTTCTCCTCTCCAAAAGGGGGGCAAATAACACCGGTGCATTAAGTATACTGCCATTCACACAATAATAACACCATTGTGAATATTTTACATGAACATATAAGTAGGCTGCCTTGTACAATAAAATGAATACAATGATGTAGTAAATACAGCCTCATAAGAATGTCACATGGATCTAGATTCAGAATGAAAGCTTGTCTGAGAACCAGCTTAACAATTTTCAAACTATGTGACCTTGAGAAGCTCCCCCATCCTCTCAAATTCTTAGAGATGGGGGGACTTAACCATACCCACCTAGGATTAGCATGAAGTTCAAATGCATTGCTGTATATATGAAAGTGCTTTCACAAGCTATACATTCTAAGGAAGATAAGTTATTTTTCTATGAATATATTATTGCAATGCTATTAATGCAGTGGTGATTTATAACCTTTTTTTGTTTTTTTTTTTTTTTGAGACAGAGTTTCCCTCTATCACCCAGGCTGGAGTGTAATGGGATGATCTTGGCTCACTGCAACCTCCGCTCCTGGGTTCAAATGATTCTCCTGCTCCAGCCTCCTGAGTAGCTGGGATTATAGGCATGCACTACCACGCCTGGATAATTTTTGTATTTTTAATAGAGATGGAGTTTCACCATGTTGGCCAGGCTGGTCTCAAACTCCTGACCTGAATTGATCCGCCGGCCTCGGCCTCTTAAAATGCTAGGATTACAGGCCTAAGCCACTGTGCCTGGCCCATTTATAATGGCTTTTTTTTTGTACCTGAGATCCAATGATAGGATCGTTGTAAGTGGAAATTTTCATAATGAGCCACAAATTAGAAAATGTCTATGCATTATAAAGTTTATATGCAGCTAGCAGTCTGTAATTCTTTGTTGGAACTAAAATTAAAATAATCTGGTTGTCTGTGACCACCAATATAACTCTTCCCAACAGAAAAAGAGATACTTACCTACAATAGATAATATATCAAAATATGCCCAATGACTGATAAATACAAGTGCGCAGACATGACAGGGGAGGAAGAATGATCATTTAACAGTAACCATTTACAGGTTTGTCTCAAATTGCAAATGCAAAATAAAGTCGAAAGTATTTATAAAGTCCAAATTGGATCTTATGTATAAAGTATGCTCTTTATACAAAATAATATTTGTTGCTTTTTAGGGAAATTTCCATACTTCAGGAAGAAGCAAATTATATAGTATTTTTTTCTGTATAAAATAATTTTCTAGGTCTTTATCCTAATTTTGTTTTCCTCTAAAGAAGTTTTCCATTTAAGAAGTATTTAAAGCTTCTGTCCTTCGGTAAAGTCTTAAAACAATTTACCATGATCTTGGAAAAAACTGCTGGCCCAGTCAATTTTGGGGAAGTAGAAATAGTTTTTTAAAATGTTCTGATTTCTGGTCCCATCGTAACAATTTTGTCTTCTTTCTGAGTCAGTCCTGGTTTCCTAAGCATAACCTGTACACTGACAATACTGTGATTTTACTACTTTAACTCTTCAAAGCAATGCCACTTAAAATATCTACCAGTTTCAATGTATGCCATTCCTAATCTAGAGTTAGAATATCATAAATAATCCCCAGCCATGTTGTTAGGACTGAAAATCTATTTTCTAACATCTAAATAGTCTTGATTGTAATACAGACCACGGCTACAGATGTGATGGCAGAATTCTTCCAAGAAGTATTGCAAATATGTATAATTTGCAACCAAAGCAATCTTCATAAACAAGTGATCACATAAACAAACCACACCATTTGGTTTGACCAAAAGTTATGGCAGGAATGTTCTCAAAGCCACTCATTGCTGTATGGGTAGGCAATTTTCATTGCCCTCCGCTCCATACAGAGACCCAAATGGCTCAGCAAGTATTGACTGAATTATAATTTTGATGTCATCAATCTTTTTCTTTGCATACTTGAGGTTTGTATCTTGCTCCCAATTTCAGACGATGAAAGTGAATTTAATCAGCAAATATTCTGACTACAATAAAAGAGATCCTGAAAGATAAATTCTCAGGTATTAGAAGAGGCTTTTAGGGCAACCCTGCAAAAAGGCTCCTTTGAAAGTTGCACCCTTTGCATAAAAATGTTTCTCAGAAGAATAAAATATTTAGACAGCAACATTACAACAGAAAGCCTCTGCCTTAGAAAAATGCATATTCAGGCTCTCCCTTTGTCTATCTAGGAAGCTTCCTGTGGTTAGTCATCACCTTTAAAACATGAGGTCATGTGTTCCATTGGAACAGGAAAAATATTTCAGATCTGTGGTCCTCCAAAAGATATCCAAAGCATTTGTAAAAGGAGTAATGGTTTTTGTGTTATGTTGCTACTAAAATTCACAAGTTGGATACCTTCCTGTGTCATCCTTCCTTATACCTGTATCAAGTAATTTAGTATCACTTTCCAAATTACAAGTTCCCTGAAATATTTTCTTTGTTCCACACATTACCAACGATAGCATCTAATAATGGTTCTTAGACTATTAGGTAACTCCTCAGTGAATAAATGATTGGGTGAGTAGTCATTCAGTAATACTTAAGGATTGTTTCAAAATGAATTTCCAACTGAAGGGAAAAAACCTTGATTTGTTTGCCTTGACACATCTTGTCACCTTTCCCCACTGTCTCACAACATTCTCTACCCCCAAATTCATGAAAAATGCACAAAAAAGACCTACCAACCTTGGTGCATGTGTTAAGGCAGGCAATACATGCAAACATAAAATATAATCTTAGCAAAATGAGATTTTTCTTTTCCATCTTTGTAAAAATATAACGCATGCAACGTTATTTTCTAATATGTAGTGGTTTTGCTCGTTAGGTACTTAGGAATAAACATGTTACTGCCAATTTGCTCACAGAAGACAGATTTGTGAGGTGAATTAGCAAAGAGGCTGGAGAGAAGGTTGGCGCCAGAGAGGATACAACTGATTATAAACGCTCTCCTGGGTTTTGGGCCACCACTGCCCTCTAGGGGACACATGGAAAATAAGCAAAGTCTCTCAAGCCAAAAATTTGAGACCTTGGGAAATCATCTCATCCAATCAACTTGTATTAAGGAAGACAATTTTAAAATTACAATTACTTCAAGGATTGCTGTATAACCCTTAAAAACTTTACATTGCATGCTTTTCTAAGGCCACCTGCTTTGGAGTCACTCTTGCCAGATAAAAATTTCTTTATTATGTCTATCCTAATTTTCCTGCAGCATTTTAAACACGTCATTTCTTGTTCTATTAGAAAACAGCTGCTTACTATGACTAATGTGTTAGTCATTGTTTAGACTTTCAGCTTTTCATTTTCAATGCCCCAGAAACCAGAAACTCCAGCTCTTTTAGTCTTTCTTAATGAAGTTAGTTTGTATAGAGAAAAATATGCGAAAATTTCCAAACTGTTACTTATTTCTGGGAAGAGAAGCTTCAATAATTTCAAGTGGAGAGCAAAGATCAACTTGTGATTTTTACAGGGTGGATTAAACTTCAACCTTCTTTATAAAAATTAGGGATAATATCTAATGTAATCCTACCTTATAGGCAGAAATTAATCTGCTCTTTCATTCCTAAAGTCTTAAGGAAGAATTTAAATTAGTAATACTAAAACAAAGTCTCTGGAAATAAACCCTCTGCCTTTGGGAGAGAATTTCACAACTTTAGGGTGATAGGAAGAGTGAGTTACTTATAAGGCATCTATTTGTTCAACCATTTAACATTCGTTGAGTATGCCATTACTTATCAGATAGTATGTTAGGGGTTGTACATATACAAAGAAACTTACCATTCAGTAGAGAAGACAAATATTATAGCAGCATATTTTGCCATGTATTAAATTTAATTGTATTCAATAAGTATTGTTGAAATGCTTAGGTTTTATATATATTATATACTAAACTCCTAGTACCTTGAGAATAGAGCATTTATTTTGCTCATCTCTGTATCACTAGACTCTTGGATGACTTAGTTTTTTAAAGTCTCATAATAGTCCTTTAAGTGGACTATTATTAAGTCCTCAGTTTATAGATGAAAAAAATGCTTTGGCAATTTATAAGCTAGCATGTAGTAGATTTAAACTCAAGTGTGTTTGTATTGTTGGTATCATGATTCTTCCCTATTTGTGTGCCTAGCATGGTGCCTGGCATGTAGTAGGTGTTCAATACATATTTGTAAGAGAATTAATTGGTGTGCCTTTTGTGAGTAATGTGCTCTTTGATTCTAAGGTAGTATTTCAAGTGCCTCCATGTTTGACACAAAATAGGTCTTCAAAAATTAATAACTGAATGAATGAATGAATGAATGAATACAGGTTTCTTGGCAATTCTTCAGGATTTTTCCATTACCTTAATTCTCATGGTCTATCCGTAGTTGGGGAATAAAGTCATAAGACTAAATGAGACAAGTGTTTTTATGATGGTAACCTCTAACCATCCATCCTAGAATTCATTTTCTGCTAACCTCAGGACATCTGATAGGACATTGTCTTGCCTTGTTGGCAATTTCATTGTTCGAAAATTTGAGGAAATAAAGGGAGGAACTGATATTTAAAAAAAAAATCAAATTCTAACTCATCGGGGGAAGTGGTTGGCCATGCAGAAATAACAGGAATCTTACAGACAATAAATATATAATTTTAAAAACTGTGATGGGGATAGGTCTGAAAAAATCAGACAAATATGGCAAATTTATGAGAACAGATTTTTTTAAAGTTTGAAGAACAGACTAGAAGAATTCTATAGCATAAGAATTTGAAAGGAATAATGTCTTGAAAAGATTGAGATGTTTGCAAAAATTCTAAACATACCAAAAAACTTTTAATATTAGTTTTCTCTGATGTTAGGATTATGAGTAATTTCTTTTCAAGTTTATCTGTCTATATTTTTAGCTGTCTACAAAGTGACTTTTCAGGTTATCAAAGCAATTCTGATTATATTCGAAAAAAAAAAAAGCAAAAGTTACTTTAAAATAGCAAGTTCTACCATGTAGTTGCACATAATTCTGAAGTGAAAGACAGTTGGAGGCCAGGGGTGGTAGCTCACCCCTGTAATCCCAGCGCTTTGGGAGGCCAAGGTGGGAGGATCACTTGAGACCAGGAGTTTGAGATCAGCTTGGGCAACATAGCCAGACCCTATCTCTAATTAAAAAAAAAAAAAGTTGGAAACTATAATGAAGAAACCACTACAGTGGTTATTATGTGATCTTCTTTCTAGTTTCTGTGTAGCTCTGCTTTACATAATCTTTAAACCATCTATTTTGCTTCATTAATTGAGCACACATTTATTGAGAAACTTCTTTTTTTTTTGGTTCTTTTTTTTTAATCTTTATTTTTTTTACTATACTTTAAGTTCTAGGGTACATGTGCACAACGTGCAGGTTTGTTACATATGTATACATGTGTCATGTTGGTGTGCTGCACCCATTAACTCGTCATTTACATTAGGTACATCTCCTAATGCTATCCCTCCCCCCTCCCCCCACCCCACAACAGGCCCCAGTGTGTGATGTTCCCCTTCCTGTGTCCAAGTGTTCTATTAAGAAACTTCTATATAGCAGCACTGCGCCAGGCACTGGGGATACAAGTGTAAGCACGACAAAGTTCTTGGGGAGAAATATTATAAATAAACAAGGCACATCTTTAATTCCAGTTAACAATGGTGCTTTTGGGAAAAATAAAGCAGGGTGGGGGTGAGGGAGCGATGCAGTATGGTTGTTTCGGACACCGCAGTCAGGGTTTGAGGAGGCACTGACTCTAGGTCGGAGACCTGAACGGTATGCATTGGCCCTGTGAAAATCCAGGTAAAGAGTAGTAGTCCGGGCAAGGGAATAGCAAGTAAAAAGGAAAATTCTCAAATGATCTAAGACCAATTAGAAAAAAAAAATATAGCAGAATACATTTAGGTTTTTCTTTGTTTGCCTGTTTTTTTTTTTTTTTTTTTCTTTTTTAGACAGAGTCTCACTCTGTTGCCCAGGCTGGAGTGCAATGGCCCTGTCTTGGCTCACCGCAATCTCCACCTCCTGGGTTCAAGCGATTCTTGCACCTCAGCCTCCAAAGTAGCTGGGATTACAGGTGTGAGCCAGTGTGTCCAGTCTTTGTTTGCTTTTCAGGTTCAAGGAACACATTGTTCCCTCAAAAAACAGACCGGCAGCTGAGAGAGGATGGCAATCCTGATGGATGAGAAAAAGAACAGAGCTGTAAGATTTTTTTCTTTTTGTTGTTTATGTCAAGGAGAGAATGATGTTTGGAAGGGAAACGATAGACTACTATTGCAGAGAGGGAAGAGAAGATGAATAAAGAGAGGGTAAGAGGACACTTTGCATTCTAAATGCCTTCAGGGGTGAGAGCTGTGTCCCTGTTTATCCATTTCTTTATTCCTTAGAAATGATTGCAACCCCAGGGCAAAGAGACAATGCTGGTGTTTCTATATTTTGATTAATCCAAATAAATTACCAGAATTTTATTGAAATGTGAGATTTGGTCATATTACCCTTTCATTTGTGTTCAGAAGTTGTTCCACTCAAAATGTCCCTGTTCTGGCTTAAATTTACTTAAGATGACTAGGAAGGGAGAAGTTCCATTATGCTGGTAGAAAAGGGGTCTGGTCCTAGGAGAATTTAGCGCTGGAGGGAAAGAAGGGAGCAGAGGGACTGCAGTCCTAGGACAGAGGGACTGAATTGGAAACCTCCCCACAACCCCACTTCTCTGAACCCTGTTCTGCCTTCCTCTTGTTTTCTTCAGTGCCCCATGCTTTTCTCTCCTACCTCTTCACCAGCCAATTCAAATGTAGCTCCATCTGCACCTCTACAGGAAAACTGGTGCTCAATGTGTCTCTGGAGAAATGTAAATTATCTTTCTGGAAACCCAGAGAATGTCATTTAAAACCACAGAAAGATGACATGGAAGGGTGGTAAGTGGGCGTGGCATGTGGTCAGGTGTAGGAGTGTTCCTTTGTTCAATTCAAAATTCAAATGTAGTGTGTAAATGAATTTTGTTTCCAGACATATGTAATTCCTAGTTCAATGTTTTAAAACAGGAGTATGAGCACCAAAATAACAAGTTTTTAGTGTTTTGATTCTTAAAAATAGCAGGATATCTCTTATGTTGCAGACACAGAGCTGGGTGCTAGGGACAATGAGTAAGCTGAGGTCCCTGCTATCAATGAAACCTACTGAGCCCTTGCTGACCATCTTTGAGGAGCTGCAGAAAGCAGGAGAGGTGTACACAAGCAAAGGATTGTTGAATGTGGATCTGATTTTCAAAATGGGGAGGGAGATAGTTTCTCAAAACCTACATATAAGTAAGCCTCAAATAAACCATTTTGAGACTGACAGCCGGGCACCAAATGATTCACTAAGGAACAGATCTTGTAGACAAACATCATTTCCTTTCCCTGAAAGAGTTACTAGGTTAACCAATGGTGGTTATTAAGGTATCTGGATTTCTACAGGATGTTCGCCAAGGCATCACATGGCATCCTTGGGGCTAAGATGAAAAAATATGAGCGAGACATCAGGGGTGTTGGCAGTTTGTTGAATGGTCACAGCTAGAGATGGCAATGGATGGCAGTCTAGAAGGACATTTCTAATGCTGATGCCCGTGTTCTTGTTATTGTCAATATTTTTTAAAAATCAGGTATTTGAATAAATAGAAAGTATAAGTATGCTAGTTAAATTTACAGCTGATGCAAAGTTAGGATTTCACTTACTGAGTAAGTGAGATGACAGAATTAGAATACAGTCTACATTCCAAATGAAAATAAAATTGAAGTTGAGATGGAACAAATTTAATGAGGTAACATTAATGGAAATAGATGTGAGGTCTCCTATGGAGGTCCAAAACAAACAAAAAACCTAAACCCAACTGTGCAGATACAGGGTGCGGCACATATGACTTGGCTTAGATATTTGAGAAGCACTTAGGAATTTCAGGTGTCACTCTGATATAGCAGCCACAAAAGCAACTTTGGTGTTAAGAGAAAGACAGTGCTTAGAATGAGCTGTTGCTAATTGTGCTTTATCCTGTTTTTGCAATACCCTGGGTTTGTAAAACATTAAAAATCAGAGTATGTTCAGGGGAAAGTGAGTAGGGTGTTGAAGGAAGGAAAACAGAAGAAATAGTGAAGTGTTGGAAAGGAGCTTGTCAGGGCATCAAAGAGGAAGTCAACAGTTCATTAGCCCCAAAGGTTACATCTGGGACCAGTAAAGGGAATTTATAGAGAGACAGATTATGGCTCAATTAGGATTTTCTATCAATCAGAACAGCCTGAATTTGGAAGGTCAAGAGAGTCCTATTGTCTGTGTGTTTTAGCATCACTTCAGTTGTCAGAAGAGTTTAGGATCATCATCTATGACCTTTGAAGTCACCTTCAATCTTGAGAGTCTTCAGTTCTAGAGTTGTTTACTAGGCATTTATTACATCATAATATGACTTAGCTTTTTGGATCACTTTTAGGCTATGCTTTTAGTATTTAAAGAAATAGAATAATAATACCTTGGATGATAATGGAATATAAGGCTTATAATCCCTTCCTCCATTCTCAGGTGGACACCTGAGAGAAGACTATAGGACTTCAAACATCAACCCATTTCAGTTCTGATGTCAGCAAGGAGAGAACTGGCAAACTGGGCCAACCGTTTGATTGACACATAGAAGGCCAACTGGGTAAAATCATTACTCAAAGACTGTATTTCCAGTGCACTCTCCAGTTGTATCTGGTCAGGGCATCATCCAATGCTGTGGATGAAGCTTGCTGTCATTTAGCAAAATGTCATAGTGATCACTGATTGTTTGCCTGTAATAGTTAATAGCAACCTTTCTGTCAATGCTATAATTAAAAAAATTGGTTATTTGTGGTTACAAGTCTATTCCAATTTTGCTTATTATATTAAAAATGTTTCCTAATTTTGAGTACAGTGGGGCTTAGGTGATTTGAGTGGTAGTCACAGCTTATATTCAGCATAACTAAACCCTGCTCTCTTCAGGTATATAAACTCACTATTCCACCCAGAAGTCATGTATTTATTCAAGAGACAGGAATATTAATAATAACATGCATTTTTCCTTTTTAGTTCCTTAGATCAAATATTTACTGATCCATATAATTCAGATCGGTATTGAATATTAATTCTGTATTTCATAGATCTTGGTAATTGTATTAAGTTCAATGCTTCACATTTACCTGAGGAACTAATAAATTTTTGATAAAAATAGTTCACTATGAAACTTTAGAATCATTTTGGACAGTAGCATAATTATTTTCGCATTTATAGTAAGCACAATAGAAACGTTACCAAACAACATAAGACTCAAATACTTTTTAACAGTTCCGTGGTCAGAAAAGAGCTTACATAGCTTTTTTTTTCTGCTTACTTCACATTTATATTTTTGTCACAATACAAATAGGGCTTTTACAGTGCAAGATTAATGCTATGGTTTTCTATGTTCATTCTGTATCATCTAAACTGCAGTTGGACCAAATAACAAAAAATAATCAACTGAATGCTAAACAACTCCTTGTAAAAATATTCATGGAGAGTCAAACTCAGTATCAGAAAAAATGTCCCAGAATATATGCATAACTCACCATTTTTATTTCGGTAAAACTTCAGAGAACTTTTGTGACGATTCAGTGAAAATCATACATATAAAGTTTTGCCACAGATTAGCTCAGGGTAGCTAGTTTTTATGGGACACTCTTACCATCATCATTATCATTATTGATGTAATTAATAATAATAACATGAGCACCTGAATTTAAGTAAATTATCCATCTGATACATGAGGTCTATTTTTTCACTTTGTATTTGTAGAAATTATTTATAAAATTTTCTACTGGTTCCAAAATAGCTGAAAAAGAGCCTATATAGCCAAGATAATCCTAAGCGAAAAGAACAAAGCTGGAGGCATCACGCTACCTGACTTCAAACCATACTACAAGGCTACAGTAACCAAAACAGCATGGTACTGGTACCAAAACAGATATATAGACCAATGGAACAGAACAGAGGCCTCAGAAATAATGCCACACATCTACAACCATCTGATCTTTGACAAACCTGACAAAAACAAGCAATGGGGAAAGGATTCCCTATTAAAAAAATGCTGTTGGGAAAACTGGCTAGCCATATGCAGAAAACTGAAACTGGACCCATTCCTTACACCTTATACAAAAATTACCTCAAGATGGATTAAAGACTTAAACATAAGACCTAAAACCATACAAACCCTAGAAGAAAACCTTGACAATACCATTCAGAACACAGGCATGGGCAAAGACTTCATGACTAAAACACCAAAAGCAATGGCAACAAAAGCCAAATTGACAAAAGGGATCTAACTAAACTAAAGAGCTTCTGCACAGCAAAAGAAACTATCAACAGAGTGAGCAGGCAACCTACAGAATAGGAGAAAAATTTTGCAATCTATCCATCTGACAAACTGCTAATATCCAGAATCTACAAAGAACTTAAACAAATTTACAAGAATAAAACAACCCCATCAAAAACTGGGAAAAGGATATGAACAGACACTTCTCAAAAGAAGACATTTATGAAGCCAATAAACATGAAAAAAAGCTCATCAACACTGGTCATTAGAGAAATGCAAATCAAAACCATAATGAGATACCATCTCACACGAGTTAGAATGGCAATCATTAAAAAGCCAGGAAACAACAGATGCTGGAGAGGATGTGGAGAAATAGGAATGCTTTTACATTGTTGGTGGGAGTGTAAATTAGTTCAACCATTGTGGAAGACAGTGTGGCGATTCCTCAAGGATCTAAAACCAGAAATACCATTTGACCCAGCAATCCCATTATTGAGTTTATACCCAAATGATTATAAACCATTCTACTATAGACACAAGCACATGTATGTTTATTGTGGCACTATTCACAATAGCAAAGACTTGGAACCAACCCAAATGCCCATCATGATAGACTGGATAAAGAAAATGTGGCACATATACACCATGGAATACTATGCAGCCATAAAAAGGATGAGTTCCTGTCTTTTGCAGGGACATGGATGAAGCTGGAAACCATCATTCTCAGCAAACTAACACAGGAACAGAAAACCAAACATCGCATGTTCTCACTCATAAGTAGGAGATGAACAATGAGAACACAGGGACACAGGAAGGGGAACATCACACACTGGGGCCTGTCGGGGCATGGGGGGCTAGAAGAGGGATAGCATTAGGAGAAATACCTAATGTAGATGACAGGTTGATGGGTGCAGCAAACCACCATGGCACGTGTATGCCTATGTAACAAACCTGTATGTTCTGCACATGTATCCCAGAACTTAAAGTATAATAAAAAAAGAAAAAAAGAGAGAAAACTAATAACCTAATTGTTGTGCTTCTAAGTATGATCATCAGCTTAGCACACAATACCAGTAGTGGTGGATTAAATGGCAAGCTCAAGCTTAATCTAACTACTGCTAAATCTTCCCCAGACAGCCTTGTCAAATGCAATTTGCTCTATGGCAACCCTGCTTGGAAGGTAGCCTCACTTGGAGGCAAAATACCCACTGATGTTAACAAAACTCCCCTTTTAAATAGAAACAAGTGCAGTGTCGAAAGCAAGAATGATTTTAGTTTGAAAAAATGGGGTTCATGAATCCTTAAACCGTGACTATAGAAGTAAATATTTCTAATGCCGGGGCAACAAAGGCAAAAGCCAAGGATTGATTGCATATCATTATATAGTATGTCTGTTAATTTTTTTTTATGATTTTCTCTAGATTTAAGGATTCAATATGGACTGCCTCAAATATAAAGGTAAGCAATTATTAAGAAAATTACTTCTGAGAAAACAAGCAGCGTCTTTCCTCTATCAAAAGGTTCTCATCTGTTAAACACTCACATATCTCAGGGCAGATAAGATTTTAGTGGTTGCAGAAAATGAGATGTTACAAGCTAAGATTATTACAAAATCACAGAGCTAGGAGATCATCAGGGGGTCATTTAGTTTATCTTTCTGTCTACATTCAAAACAGCATCCAAGAGAGAAAACTGTCCATCGTCTTCTTTAAAATTTTTAGCATAAACTGTATTTGAGCCTTCTTAACAGCCTTCTTTTTTGTTGTTGTTTTTAATTAGCACTTCATTTCTGAAGGAATTCTGAAAAAAGTAATTTAGGGATTACATCATAGAAACATCAGAACTAAATGAGGAGGGCAAAGCTTGCTGAGTTTCATATTCAAAAGAAACAACACCAACAACTGAGATAATGCCATCAGTAACACAGAAGGCCCATGAAGCAATACTAGACTAGGAGAAACCTGGTGGCCTGGGATAATGGGAAAAGAACATAGATTCAAACTGAGCATTAAAAGGATGAAAAATCAAGAATAAGCAAAATAATTAAGTATTTATTACATTACTTGCAGAAGAGAACATATGGGCCATTTGGGGGCTGACTTGAGTTATATGTTAGGAAGAATTTCTTCAAAGTGAGGAGGGACACTAAACACTGAAATGAGCTCCCGATGTAGGTGATACAATTTTATCTTTGACGATGATCTTTTCTCAAAGTAAAGGTTCTAATGTTTGAAGTAGTTTAGGCCAAATAGTTTACCTGAAGATGGAAGAATGACCTTATTAAACTAAATCAAAATGACTGAATAAATGCCATTTGGTGTCTGTTATTCTTTAGGATAAAAAATAGTCATCAGAATTTTCTATCTCCATAACATGAAATATAATACTCCTAATATCTAAAGTGTGTGGTGCAAATCTAAAATATTTTACCTGTGCATCACTAAGTCTATAATCAGTTAAGAGTGTTGTCACCCCTCTTTCCAGCAGTTTCAAATACATATATTTAAAACCATTTTCAAATTAGTTGCAGGTAAATAATATAAATGTATACTTGGAAACAAAACAATATTTCAATTGACAAAACGTAATAATGGAAACTGGGTTCATGACTAATTACATACTCTGACTAAATCAAGAGATATAAATAGACATGAAAGACAACTATCAAACTGCTTGATAAAATAACTATAGTTTCTCTTTGTTTTTCAAATTTCAAGATAAGGAGAATACAATGAATACTTAAGTTCACTATGAACAAAATGCCTTTGTGTTTGTCATTCATTTTAAAATCAGACTCCAAAAAATATACATAGCTAAATGATTAGACAAGGTTTTTCTACACATCCATCGAGATTGGGGGGTCAGTACAGAACACCCATTTCTTGGGCATGGGATTTGAGTTTAGACTTGTTTAGAGGAAGTAACCAATATGATCAGTGTTTATTCTCTAGCAGCCAAAGAAATCTCATCTGTTTCTCCTAGTCAGGGCATGTTGCTAGCAGTTGATTCTAGACAGAGACACAAGTTTAGTTGAAAGGACGTCTGTCAGAACTGAGTTTTAATGTCACCTCTAATTACTTACTGGTTGCAGGAACCTGCAGAAGAGACTTTATTTCTCTGAGGATAGTGGTAAACTGACTGTAATTTCTTACAAACATTAGTTCTCTTTTCTGTGGGGTAGAGAAGGCATCGTGATGGCATGTATGGGGATGACTGTATTTTTTATAAGCAAATGTGAATAAGAAATGACTCATCTCTTGTTCCAGAAATGGAACTTCTACCTCTGTATGTGTGGCTGAGAGCTGTATGATCTTAAAATGACCTCATTGATAACAACCACATTAATTAAAATGCTTCCTTATAGCAGCATGCCAATATACTAATTTACAATAAAAATATGTCCATCAAGCTAATGAACTATATTGACTGATTGCTGTATTTTTCTCTAAAGGTATAGATATAGATATAAATCCAGGTATATGGGAAGGAGAATCATAATCAATGAACTGGTTACCAAGTTAGTCTGGGTTCAGAATCAGGGGAATTCGTCAGAATGTGTAAATGGCTGGTGTTTTTAGGCCATGACAACCTAATGCATTTTTCTCTCACCAGGGACACATTTGCTACATGGTCCAGAGACTTGTGTTCCTGGCCCAGAATCTCCTTGTCCTATCAATTGTTGGAAAGACACTGCCTGCATTTGCCCTTTTGCCTCTCTCTGTTCTGTACTTGCACTATCAAATAAAAACAATTTCTAATGGATAGGCATGTTTACTCATAAGAGTTTTTAAGTGATGTGTAAACTAAATGCTGAAATTTTAAGCTAAAATGCTACTTATTCGCTTGCATGGAAATACTAGGTAATAACTGACTAAGTGCTGTGCTGACTTTATGTGGAAGCAAGATGGAGTTTCAGTAACATTCTCCACGTGCTGTTCTGAAAAATCATGAATACCTGATTATACATAAATTCTCTTTGAAAGGGAATACAGTGTTTTTACTTAGCAGGAACAAAATGGTTTTTCAGTTTTTCCATATAAGCATCTCTCTTCGAAATGTTTCATTTTGGCAAAAGCTAACAGAATAATATATACAAAGATGACCAATGAAAACAGAAACACTGTAATAATGGGTTCTGAGATTACAAAACTGAGAACCTGGGAATCAAGCCCAGTTCAACATTTACAATAATGGGATGCTCACTTGCACCTCATGATCTATAAGGGGATGGTGGAAAATGAGGAAGTGGAAGGGAGGAGTCTTATCTGGTTCTCTGCCCAGTCAGTTCATTGTTGCACTAGAAAGTGATATAAATTCACAGTTCTCTTGTAAGGCTAGGTAAGGACAAGAAATTCTCAGGGGAAAATGATATATCCAATTTAGAAGCTGCAATATGGGTCAAATAAATATAAATGGGAATAATAAATGCCATCGAAAAAGTCTTGGACTAGGAAAAGCCCAGGGGTACTAGATATTGCAACGGTGGCACATAAGGAAAGCAGTAACAGCATTTCATTAGGATATTTTATTACATGGAAGGATTTTTTAAAGGAGAAAATTTATGTACTTCATATATTTAATTTGTACTCGAATATTTGAAATGCTCCTTTTGACTATATGTATATATATTATATATATATTCTTTTCTATTTTTATCACAGAGAGTAAGATCGCTGAAATCTCCATATTTATATTCATATAGTAAAAGCCTTCATTATATAAAAATAATCTCCAATGCCCACTCACAGGTCAAGTGTATCTAACTCCGAGTTAAGAAACTGTATACTGAAGTACAGCCCCGTCTTGTTCCTTTTATAGCCAGTCTTTATGCAAGAAGTCTGAAACAAATATTTCAGTGACATTCCTCTGTAGTAATGCCCCTTGTTTGTTTTAAAGATTCAGTTTTTAAAACTTCTATGCCCAATTAAGTAGACATTGTCCAACAGACCCGATAGGAAATCACACATTTAAAAATATTACCTCATAATATGTTGTCTTATTGGTAGATCTAATGTAATGGGTTTTATATTTCACTATATACAAAATTTTTAATAATAAAAATATTTTCTTTAAATTCACATCAGAGCACTTTCTGGATTTGTAAGTACTTTTTGGTTTCAAAAATACATGTTAAATTTGAGAGAGAATTTCTGGATTCAGAAAGAGTTTAATATTTAACACACAAAATGTGTTTTAAATCATCTGCGCCTTTGACAGCTCAGCTAACAAGCCAATCTTTAGACTTTATCAGAAACTTTTGCATGTGGAATTAGGGCAGGGACTCCTTGCAATAAATTTTTTAAAATCTTAGCTTCATTGGCTAAATTTAAGAGTCTTGAGATCTGTAAATGAAGGAGAATTATATATTATAAATTGTCATGGAAAGAAGGCACGTTTCTAATTAAACAAATTCTGACTTAGAATAAAATGACTGAAATTTTTGGTGCTTTTTCCTCTCTAAATTGTAGCATTAGAGTAGTAGATTGATATTAGAAGTGTATTAGCTGAGTCAGTGCTTAGGGAGCATTTTGAGATCCTTGGCCTTTAAGTACCATACACTTTCAAAGAAGCAATTTTACTTATAGCTCAATATAATATAATGCAATATGGAGAAATAATGCCAATGACAGCTTCATGGGGTGTTGCCCTATTTATGAAACCTTAACATGTCACTTATGTATGGCTGCTTATGCTCCTCCATACAAGCAGCTAAGACAACAATTTTACAGATGCAAAAATTAATAAAGAAAACAAAAGGAAGAAATGAAGGCAGAAAGTGAAAGAAGAAAGAGACCAAAAAAGATGTCTCATGATCACAAGCTATTCCACAGGCAGAGGCAAATGATAAGATTTGTTTACTTTTTTCTCACCAAATGTAATTATAAATCACTTGGTTCTTTTTTTACTGTTAATATTGTAAATTCTGTAAATCTCAATACATCTTTTCTGTCCCAATCCCCAGATGCCATGTGGTCATTTTATAGAAGGACCATTTCTCACCCACATGAACCAAGGTGGTGAAAAAGGGATGGTTGATTTAATACCCTAACTCAGAATTTATGTAGATTTAAAAATCTCTGACTTAATGTTGCATTAACTACTGGTGGCTGCTTTACTGCCTTTAAAACATGCATATATAATTGGATACTGTAATGCTTTGTGGGTAAAATAAATACCAACTCACACTAAAATAAATATTCTGCATGATGAAGTTCATGTAGACATAAATTAATCATTTACCCGTTAACTGATATGCACAGGAAAGAAATAGATCACTTATTAAAGGTTGCCTCATCTATAAAATGGGAAAATAAAATGCCGATATATTTTACAGTGCTGCTGTGAGGAAAAATGTATAAAATTATTGCTAAGCAGTTTATAAACCATAAAATGCAGTATGAACATTAAATTAATAATATTTGTACTAATTCAGATTCAACACCCTCTGCATTAAATATATATTTTTGCCTATTGAAGCATACACAAAACTGAGCTGAGGCTTTTTATTTAATTTTTAATGGCGTCTTCAGAATTCTGCAAAGCATCACAGAAGTTATTGGCCATGTTAAAACAACTTTTTAGTGGCTTATTCCTACCGTTTCTGAGACAAAGTTCCTGGCTGTTCACATCTCCAACCCCATATTTAAAGTCTTCTCCCAAAGGGCTTTATGTCTCCACTTGCATAGACATAGTAGTTACAAAGGGAACATGGGTTTGCATTTCTCAATCAAGTGGAAGTTATTAACATGATTTGGTCTTTGTTTTATTCTACATTATAGACTGAGATAAAGAATTAAGGCTAAGTTGGGAGAGAGAGTGGGTATGTTGGGTCTCTGCGTATTGTATCAAAACGATCTGCAGTGTAAACCCGTGCTGGGACAGTAGCATGGCTGTGAGTCAGCAGGGTCTCAAGGCTATCAAGCTGCTCAAAATGTTGCTGGTTCTAGAGATAAATCAAGCTTTTGTTTCTCAGCTCGCATCCAGAAATGTCATTCGAGGGCACAAGAGAGAGCTAAGCAACATAGAACATAGTTCCTTTCTTCTTCTACTTCTTCTTTTTCTTTTTTTAATAGAGCATTGTTATTTTGAAGAACTACTTATACAAAACCTGTAATCCACTCAGCACATTTTTAACATTGTCAATGTCCCTTTGATTCTCAATGACAAAACATATCAGACATTCCTCTACTCACTTCCTTTTATAGAGGCCATTAATATAGAAATACCTCCTCTTCTTCTATGATATGATAAATGGCTGGCTGGAGATGTCTGAAACACTGCCAAATCTCCCCCTATGTATCATGTGTCACCAGCAATAATAAACAGTGACTAATTTTTGGTCATAAATTATATTTATGGCTTCCTTGTCATCAGTAGGTAGGTATTTTCTCGAACCAGGTTCAAGGCTCTAATATTTATGCTAGGAACATGTATGCTAGGAAAAGTGTGCCTAGGTTCAAAGGAAACTAATCCTCTTTTGTTTTTTTATTTAATTGCTTGTGGAGCTTGTTATTTTCATCTGTATCTACCTTTTTTTGCCTAAGAATTTACCCAGTGTTTTGATCATGATTCTAATTTATCCCAGTAAATTTACCATTTTGGTGATAACAGTGTCTTGCCCAATAGGAAAAATAATAAGGAAAGGAATATGGCTAAAATGCAAACTTACCTAGTTAAAGTTTATCAATGGTCAAAAAGAAAATACAATGAAACCATGGCCTCCATCTCGTAAGTCTAGCTGTGGGTAAGGGGATCAAAATTTTCCTAAACAAACTATAATAAAGGCAGAACACCAGAATATACAATCACTATATTGCAGAATGGCAAATTATGGCTCTGAGGGAAAAGAAATGAGGTGAATAAGGGTGCAATTCAACTTCAATTCAATTTAACCAATACCAGGCACTGGAGTACATGGTTGGGATACACTAGTGAAAGTCAACAACAATCATTGCCTGCCTGCAGCTTATGTTTTAGATGAGGGAGAAAGACTGTAACAACGAGTGAATTACATCATTTATCAGAAGTTGGCAAGTATCAAAGAGAGAAATAAATCAGAAAAGGGAACTAGGAAGTGTGGGAAGAGATTACATTTTTAGAGGTAGTTAGTGAAGGTCTTATTGAGAAGGTGAGATTTGAACAAAAGACTTCATGGAAGTGAGAGAGCAGGTCGTGGATGTGTGACTGAAGAAAAGTGTCCCAGACAGACTAAACAGCAAGTGAAAAGGTCATAAGGCAGAAACACACTATATGTTCTGGCAGGGTGGCTGGAATATAGTAGAATGGGAGAGGGAGGAACCGGAAGGAAGTGAGGTCAGGCAGGTCACTGCTGGCTGACTCTGAGTGAAACAGGGAGCCAATGGAGGTTCTGAGTCAAGGAGCAAAATTATATGATTTATACTTTATTGAAAAAAGACTATAGGAGGCAAGGGTGGAAGCAAAGTGATCAGTTAAATTCATTAAAATTAATAGTTCAACTCTCCGCTTTGCATTAGCTTAATGAATATGAGCAAGACATTAATGATAGGTGATAGTTTAAAATTAAATGCAAACATATTAGAGTTGTAACTACACAAAGCTAAAACTGGCTGGAAGAGAGAATTCAATACAAAAATCAATAAATGTCCGCTGGACCAATTGGTAAGTTGAACACATTTTTGACTAAGGTTATGAATATACGATAAAAAAATGATTAAACTTTGGGAACTTCAAGCATTGAATGCTAAGGAATAGATTAAAAATGTCCCTCCTTAACATTGTCTGGGTTGTGGAATTAAACAATTGTCTATTATGACATTGAGATGCTCTTCTCAGGTACCTTTCAGTCCTTTGCTTATTGAGAGTTTTAAGTTGGGGAAACATGAGCTAAGCAGAAAGCATACCACCAAGAAAAATGAAGGAACCCAGAGTTTGGATTAATTGTAAATGTTTTATTTTCAAACTTAGAACATACGAATGATGGGAACACACATAAAAAGTGGGGTCTTCTCTGGGGAATAAAGAAAAAGGAAAAACCTAAACATTGATGAAAGGTGAATTTAGAATTTAGCCTTCTACTCAATCTTTCTGGCAGTAGAAATGATTAGGTTATGAAACAGAGCTCTTTCCCATCTCTCCTGAGCTGTTTAAGTTTAGAACAAATTGGGACTGAAAAAGTGTCAAATTTCATAGTAGGAATGCCCATTCAAAGAGCCACTTCCCTCTCTGAAGTAGGTTACTACATTCACCTGGGGAAATTTGTAATGGTTTATAATTAGGTGGCTAATTAAAAAGTGGATTATCAACTATATTAAAATATGCTAGAAAGATGTGTACATTATTCATTCTTTAATTTTGGAAATCTGCCATTTCCTTAAAAATATCCTTACTGGGAAATTCTATGTTTGATATGTAAGTTTTCTTTTTTCTTCAGAAATGAATTTTTTTGAAATGAGTCTAAGATTTTTGTTTATTGAGGTAACAAATGCCATTTGAAGTTTCTCTGTCAGTAAAAAGTACTTAACATCATAGTTATCATTCTTTACAATGAGAAGAGAAGGCTATAATTAGAACTCCAAGGCAATGCGAGGTCCCCAGAATTACTTTAGGGTCAAAATAATAAAGATGATGAAAATAATAACTGTTTTCATTTACTCACTTCTCATATATGCCAAATATTTTGTGTCTCAATTCTCTCAAGAGCCCTACAAGGTAAATTTATGCCTGTTAAACAGATGAAGAAACTGAGTGCAGAGAAATTAGGTAAATTATCCAAGGTCACACAGCTTGAAGGTTGTAAAGCTGAAATGCAAACTCACGTCTGACCTCAAAACTCTTGCATTAACCAAGATTTTTTCCCCCTTTAAAATGGTTTAGCATCAAGTCAAAACTATTTTGATGCATTCAACTGGTTTTGAAATTGATAATATTCATGTATCACATAACCAATTAATCAAGATCTCATATTAATCAGACCATATTTCTGAGCCATTTGTCCAAATATTAGCTTATTTTATAAAGTAAAACATGACAATCAGGAGACTCCTGATGCATTACTAACAGCAAAAGTTAAAAAATTAACAGTCACTTGGTATTATAAGTTACTTTTTTTTTTTAACACGGAGTTTCGCTTTTGTTGCCCAAGCTGGGGTGCAATGGTGCGACCTCGGCTCACTGCAACCTCTGCCTCCTGGGTTCAAGTGATTCTCCTGCTTCAGCCTCCCAAGTAGCTGGGATTACAGGTGTGCACCACCATGCCTGGCTAATTTTTTGTATTTGTAGTTGAAATGGGTTTGCACCATGTTAGCCAGGCTGGTCTCAAACTCCTGACCTCAGGTGATCCACTGGCCTCGGCCTCCCAAAGGGCTGGGATTACAGGCATGAGCCACTGTGGCTGGCCTGTAAGTTACTTTTTATTTGTCTTTTTCTATTTCTTCCAATTTCTAAGAAGATTAAATGACTACTTTCTGAGAAATTAAATGGCGGCCCATGAACTTTGCTATAATCATATCTATGTGCCTTCTAGACTAGTCAAGTATTAAGTGGGTCACTCTACTCCTAAAGGCACCTATATATTGGCCACTTCAAGTAGGTAACTTAGCAGATAGGCCTGACTAACTGTACTGGGATGGGCTTGCTGAACTGTTGACAGTACTCAGTACGGATACCATTTAGGTGATGTGGAGTTCCTTCTCAAATGACAACAGTAACAACATAATTATACTAAGATTTTTGAGGGTGTATTGTGTATCAGGCATTGTGCTCATTGCATATATTACTTCACATTACTCCAGGGTTTCTCAACCTTGATACCATTGATTTTGTTGGCCAGATGACTCTGTTGTTGGGGGCCATCCTATGCATCTAGGGATATTAGCAAGCATCCTTGGCCTCCCTAGATACCAGTAGCACACTCAACCCCTCCAATCGTTATAGCCAAAACAATCTCCAGTCATTACCAAATGCCTCCTGATGGGCAAAATTTCCTCCTATTGGGAACCTCTGTTTTACTTCCTTTATGACTCTAAGAGGCTGATACTGTTAGACTAATATTACTGATGAGGAAATTGTGACTCCCAGAGACTTATGTAAAATGCCTTTCTCACACATAGTAAGTTACAGGGCTAGAATGCATGTAGACTCTCACTCTTGAACACAATGACATTGAGGTTGAAATTCACATGTGAATTTCATGTGCGTTTCATTTGCCCTCTTTCCTCTTCCGCTCCCTTCTTATGGTGGGCATGGAGCAGTGGGAGGGAAAGGCGGTGCACATGACATAAGGCACAGAACTTTTATTGTTCCATGGTCTTTTAATCGACAGATTAATTCCATTTTAACTGGAATTCTGGAAACTAATGAAAAAAAATTACAAGTGCTAGATGGTCTATTCTCAGTGTTCTTGAATCTGTCTGATTTAATTCTAACCAATTAGCATGCCATTATGGAGGAATATTATGTTGGGAATCAATATTAAGCTAAATACTAATATTTTATTCAGTATTAAAAATTTATACAAATGGTAATACAAGTGCTTTATCCCTACTTTCTCTAAATGAGAAGAAATGCTTCCTTAGGGCTATTCCAGTGAAAATGATATCTTCTTAGGAGACTATTGGTATTACACTTTACATAGATCATTGCTTAAATGAATAAATAACAATTAACTGAATGAAATTTGCTTATTATAAGACATATGATTTTTCAGGGCATCAAAAATTGTTTTTCTTCTTATAGTTATAGTATAATCCCATGTTAAGATGAGAACAAAAGCACATTATTGTCCAATATTGTTCTATGTAAAAGAATAAAATAAGTGTCATGCTTATCCTGATTTTAGGATATCATTTCTTTCTTTCTTTTTTCCTCTTGGATACTTTACTCTTTATTGATTCAGATATAATACTAGGCTGGAATTTTTGAATCTAAATGTATTCAGATTTTGCATTTTACATCTTTGCAAAGAGGAATACACCTAGATGCACTCTAATACACCTAAACACTGAAATAGGTGAGCATGTAATAACCCCCTAAAGATAGTTTAGTATGGCATGATTTCAAAACTAGATTTCAAACCTGCTTTCCAAATTGTGCCCCTGGGTACCTTCCCCAATGTCTGGCCTTGCCTTGCTACACAGCATGGACCCTGCAGAGCTTCCCGGCCCCGCCCTCCTTCTGGCCTGTCCCTCTACTTCTTCCATCTCCTAATTTCAGTATCTTTTTCAAGCTTCCCAGGTAGGATAGCAATGAAAGATTTCCATAGTTTGGATCTAATGAAGACGTTTACAATTTTTATCACTTACGTACTTTAATTCCCAACTTCTTGGTCAAATATTTGACAACTACCTGAAAACTATACCACTTAAAATCTCTCTAACTTTCTGAATTGTTGTACTCTGTTCCTCAGTATTAAAATTAGAAAAGTTTTGCTCCATATTTTTGCTCCAATTGGGTAGGCAAGATCAACCAGTTAATATGCACGTACCTTGAAAAGGGTGCTTGTAATTCTAAAGGCATATTAGAAGTTAAAAACTGACATGCAAAATCAAAGCAAAAAAATCATTGAATAAATTAAGTTAACGGAAACATTAGAGATTGGAAGTCTGTTCAGCATAGTAATCACCATTACAAATAGGAAAATTTAAACTAAAAAAATAACATTTAATGGATTGACTTTTCTAAAATATTGAAAGGATTTTATTAATAAGTGTTTTATGCATATGACTATTCTGAATGTTCCTTTAAAAATGAAAGACTACAGCCTTAATGAGAGATATTATTACATGAACATATTTGAATCTGGCTTATGAAACGTAGGGCTTGAGAATTTGAAATGTGTGCATAAAATGCAAATAGATTTAATTAACTGAAAACCCATAAGACAGAACTTCTTCAAATAAGCAATTACTTTGGGGACTAATAGTGTAAATAGGATCCTGGTTCATTAGCACAAATACCCATATGAGAGAAGGATCAGCAAATTTTATTCTTTAAGTTATTTATGCACACATGGTAATATCTCATTAATTTGGGACTTCAATAAATTTAAAATCTTTCGATAATTTGTTCATGAGCTGGGTGGACATTTACTTTTGCTTTGTAAATACTTTATTTATAGGTGGATAATATATGGTGTTTTAAACATTTATTTTCAGTCTTATGTACACATTTTAGACACAGAATAAACAATTTTCAAGGAACCTCAGGCACTTTACAAGTTCCTACATACATCCAATCTATATGCTAATAACAAAATGTTCATATGATTTATTATAACAGGTCTCCTTAAGGACTTCTACTTTATTATGATTTGTTGAAGTTACTATATGTAGTTAAAGATAATAAAAGCCACATTTGTTTAAGAGTTATCTATAATTCAGCTTTCCCACAAATTCAGATATGCCCACCATCTTAATTCTTTGGAATAAATGAAATTTTACAATATTTGCAGCTACACACAGAGAGTTTTCCTTTTAAATATGCATTAGAACATATAAACATATGAAGAAAAATAAAATACAATGAAGAGTGAAAATAACAAATAATTTTATGGGTGGACAAAGGAGAGTAAACTGTCCATTTCAAATAATTCTACGTTTTTTAGGCACAATACTCTGGGGAAAAAACTCAATAATGTGGACCTTTTTTCAAAAGCTGATTTTACTCACTTGGGATGACTCTAGTTCTAATAAGATTTTCTAATTAAAGACATTCAGTGCCCAGGCCAAAAAGGGCGGATGCTCCAAGCTAAGGCATCTGGGAAAAAGAGAAATGCCACGCACAGCAATCTGGTCATTTCTAAATCTTCCTTGTATATGGCCATGACTTTTCAGAGTCCACATGTCAATTTCCTGTACAAAATGCTACGCACTAAAGAATTTTAACTGTGTATAAAGTGGATAGAAGAGTTATGTTATTTTAGTAATCAAAACTCATATGTAGGTCCAAATGACTCAAATTCTAAACCAGATAAAATATATTCAAGTAGAATTTATAAAACCCATAATTGAACTAAAAAACGAAATATTTCTATTTTTTGTGAAACATAATGAAGACAATCTAGATATTATTCATAAGTCATGCCATCTTTACACAAGATGCTTTTCCATTTCTTTGTTAAATATTGTAAGAAAGGGGAAAGCCAATTCTGTTACCTAAATTAGTAGTTACTTACCATATGAAGGGGGAAAATAAACTTCAATTCCATTTTCATAACTTAGTCAAGAATGCTTGATGAAGAGGCCTCTTTCATGTGCTTCTTGATTATTATAAAACCTAGGAAAGAGATATATACAAGCATGGAATGTTTCACTATCAAGAAGAAAACCACTCAAACAATATTAGTTTCTCATGTCAGTGATTATTTCTCATGAGAATGAGAAGTATGCCAGCCAACTACATGCCATTTACAAGTCTCCTAGCTGCTTACAAAAGTTAGAGCAAAGAAGGCTGAAATGACTACTGCCTTTGGAGACAGAATATCTGGGGTCAAATCGCACTCATAGTTTCCATCTGAGTGAACTTTAAGTACTTAACTTCCTGGTGATGCTTCCCTCATCTTCCAGGTGGAAGTAATAATACCAGTTACTCAGTGGGACTGTTTTGACAGTCAAATGAGATAATGTTTGGAAAGGAATTTAGTTAACAGTAAAATTATTTATTTATGCCATGACTTTCTTTTTACCTTGAGGATTTGAGGTGCTTTCCAAGAAATTAATGAAATATAAATAAAAGATATATATATATATATATATATATATAAAATATATATAGGCCATATATACTGGTCAACACAGTTGAAGTGATTGAAGTTATAATATGGATTTGAATTTCTTGGTAATTTAGGTGAAAGGAAAACGAAGTCCTATTCTTAGGAGAAACCCTGTAAGTCCTATTCTTAGGAGAAAACATATCACTTCCTCCAAAGAAACCAAATATTTTATCCTCCTAATAAAAAATTCATTGAGAAATTTTTCATGTAAAACCTGAAATAGAGGCATTGAGATAAAATGGACTATTTTATGAGTACGACTGACTACCTAATATAAAAACTGAAGGGCAAAACAGTACTTTTGCTTGGAGGTAGTTATTATTGCTGTAAAAACTGTATTATTCCTAGAAACAAACCTGAAGCTTGAATCAGGAAACCTTAAATACAAAACCAATAACTCCCAATTAGCAAATCATCCAGCTCTCCTCCCTTTCTGTGCCTCTCTAACAAAGACACAAGCAGCTTCCTTACTAAGTCATTTTCTCAACAGTAAGGAGGAGTTTCTGAAGGAAATTGTTGATTGCCGGTGGCTCCAGGCCAGTTGCTGCTCATTAATGAGTAAGGGCAGAACTGCAAAAATGAAGTGTGGACCCAGATGTGAGACAAAACGGACAGCTGCACAGCCCATTTCGTGGGGCTGTGCCACAGGGAAAGGAAGAGAAAGAGAAAAGGCACAACCTAGTGATTATATCAGTGAAACAAATCACAGCATGAGGCCTCTTCCTTGAAATCCACATCTTTTTCTTGACTTCCCTGAAACCTCAATTCCCATCTCAAGAAACTCCCCTGAATTTTCTTCTTCTGGCTTCTCTTCTGCCTTCCCTTAAACGTGGGCCTTCCACAAGGTTCTCCACTTGGCAGCAATTTTATTCATATCTAGAGCTTAAATTATATCTTTTTGGATGCTTCATCCCCATCCTCTCCTGAATTTGCCTTTTTCCCCTGTTCCTTAAAATCAGTGGCACTGCCACTCTCCCTGGTTCAACACTTGGCATCATCTTCATTCTCTTACTCCCCACAACACACATAACCAATGATTAGATTATGGCCACCTTGCATACAAAAAGCCCTATTTCCCATTGACATATCCAAGGTCACTGTCATAGTTCAGAAACTCACCCACCATCCTCCATCTCCCATGTAGGCAATGACCTCTCATCTAATGTGTTCCTGCTTCCAATCTCCCATCATTTCCCAGGTTTCCGGGTGCTTCTAGTCTTTTTCTTAAACCTCATGCTTCTCCCCTTGCTTGAAAACTTCTAACAGCTCTTCAACAGACCTCAACAGGATAAACTTTTCAAGTACGCTTTCCAAGATCTGAGATCAATATGTTTTACCACTTTCCACATAACCTTTGCAGACATTCTAAACCATCTCCCCTCACTATCAAATGCTCTCCACCCCCTAACCCCTGACAAAAGTTGTTTCCTGCCTCTGAGACCTTGGTTAGTAGCTGTCTGCTGTCTGAAATACTCAACTTTTTTTTTTTTTTTTTTTTTTTTTTTTTTTTAAGACCGAGTCTCGCTCTGTCCCCCAGGATGGAGTGCACTGGCGCGATCTCAGCTCACTGCAAGCTGTGCCTCCTGGGTACGCCATTCTCCTGCCTCAGCCTCCCGGGTAGCTGGGACTACAGGCGCCCACCACCACGCCCGGCTAATTTTTTTTTGTATTCTTATTAGAGACGGGATTTCACTGTGTTAGCCAGGATGGTCTCGACCTCCTGACCTCGTGATCTGCCCGCCTCGGCCTCCCAAAGTGCTGGGATTGCAGGCGTGAGCCATCACGCCCGGCCTGAAATACTCAACTTTTAACACACAGTTATATTTATTTATTTCAAAGAACTAAGATTTTATTTTTTAAAAAATATAATTTCTACTTTTATTTTATATTCAAGGGATACATGTGCAGGTTTGTTACATAGATATAATGTGTGATGCTGAGGTTTGGGGTACAAATTTTCCTGTTACCCAGGTAGTGAGCATAGTACCCAACTGGTAGTTGTTCAGCCCTTGCCCCTCCCTCCCTATCTAGTAGTCCCCAGTGTCTGTTGTTCCATTCTTTATGTCCATGTGTACCCAACATTTAGCTCCCACTCATAAGTGAGAATATACAGTATTTGGTTTACCAGTTCTGTGATAATTCCCTTAGGATGATGGCCTCCAGCTGCATTCACATTGTCGCAAGGGACATGATTTTGTTACTTTTATGGCTACAAAGTATTCCATGGTGTATGTACACCACATTTTCTTTATTCAATCCACCACTGATGGGCACCTAGGTTGATTCCATGTCTTTGCTATTGTGAATAGTGATGTGAAGAACACATGAATTAATAGCAAGTTTAAATGCCACCTCCTTCAGGGGTCTTCCTGAATCCTTGGTTAAGAATTCATTGTATCCTCCTCTTCTACAAACCAAGGATCCTTAATTGTACCCTTCCTATGAAAGTCGCATTTATAGTACTCTGGCTTTATTCTAGATAGCTATACACCCAGCAGTGCCTTTGCTATCAGGAAGTTTACAGTCTAGCTAGGGAAACCTTGCTTTATTCACATTTCTAACTTCCATGGGATAATATTCAATGCTCTAAAAATTATAGGAGATTAAAGGATTTTTTTCAGTCAAATATCACTGTGAAAGGCTCTGAACACTGGGTTAAGGACACCATTTTAGAAAATATTTTTTAATAATAAGTGACAACAGCAAGACTGTCTGATTTGAAAGACAAAAAGAATGAAAAGAGCAAATGAGAGAGAAAAAAAGTAGAAGTTGATGTGTTATTTTTCTTTCTTAAAACACAAATTTGACTGTTTTATAAAAATCAAGTAAGTATTTAAATCTGAGGGAAAATGTTGCACTTGTTTTAAGACATCAGATTACAAAATGCATTTGAGATTATCACATGAATTTATTTCATTGCATAAGTATATTTTATGGTAGATTTTCCATGAGGGACGGAAAATGTCTTCCTGGTGCCTGTCCTAGTCCTAATGCCTAGTACATATAAGATACGTTGATACTTGTTGAATGAATAAATGTTTACTCAGCCTTATCTCTCTCCAGTTGCCCGCTAATCTCTCACTTCCTCTTCATAGGCAAACTACTGCAAATAATCATAGACACTCATCTTTCTTCTCTTACCACCCAGTGACAGCTCACAGCAGTTCAGTCTAACCTCTGCCTTAGCACCTTGTTTCCTGTGCTGAGACAGTGACGTCCACTTTGCCCCTACTCTGGGTAGGTTTCCAACTTTGGTGCTGAAGCAGAAGCAGGAAGGAAAACTGAGGCTGTAGCTCAGGGAAGTCCCCAGACATGTGCTCTGTGATGTCCTAGGCTCCCTCCACCCCTGCTCTCTCCCCACACAGCAATGCAAGCAGGTGGGAGAGGCAAGCCAGCACTGCTTCGTGACATTTATTTACCCTGGCTGTAGGAGCACCACTGATGGGAGAAACAGGTGGGGCTGTGCTCATACAATACTCTTGGTATGCAGGTTCAATCTTTTCTCTCCAATTCAGACCTCAGAACCTCAGAATGTCCTTTTTTTTTTTTTTTTTTTTTTGAGATGGAGTCTCGTTCTGTCGCCTAGGCTGGAGTGCAGTGGCGCGATCTCGGCTCACTGCAAGCTCCGCCTCCTGAGTTCATGCCATTCTCCTGCCTCAGCCTCCCGAGTAGCTGGGACTACAGGCGCCCGCCACCACGCCTGGATAATTTTTTGTATTTTTTAGTAGAGTCGGGGTTTCACCATGTTAGCCAGGATGGTCTCGATCTCCTGACCTCGTGATCTGCCCGCCTCGGCCTCCCAAAGTGCTGGGATTACAGGCGTCAGCCACCGTGCCCGGCCAACCTCAGACTGTTCTATGCCCAAACTCCATCCTAGTTTCTCTCTCTTTCTAGTGGACACCAATAGGCCAATGATTTTTCTCTCTATCTTGTCTACTCCCCAAGAATCTTTTTGAGACAGATGCAAGACATGAACACGTAAAATACTCTCAAACAGGCAGGACGACAGACAGAACCAGTTACAACTGTATTTCCTGTACATATCACTTAGCAATTTCTCTTTATTTTAATTCAAAAATAATTCTCTCCTGACCAGTATTCTCCATCCGTGCTCAATAAAACACACATTTCTCAGTCTTCTTTCAACTCAGCTGACCACTGCTACTTTCCTAGAACCCTTGCTCCTCTGCCCCCCATGACCCAGGAATCCCTGCATTTCCTTCTGTTTCTTTTGCTATTCTTCCATCCTCTGTGGGCTCATCTTTCACTACTGGGCCATTATGGGTTTGATTTCCTCCAGGCATTTTGGCCTCAGTGTTTTCTTCTATAACTTGCTTCATTATCTTTCTCTAAGCAATCTTATCTGCCTCCAGACCTATGAATGTCACAATGAGTCAGAAGTTTATATCTCTGACAAGCCCCACACCCATAATCCAATGTCTGTCTGCTGTCTCCCGTGATGTCTCAAGACATCTCAAACTCAACACATCCAACACTGAACTTAGCATCTGTTTTCACACACATGTTCCTCCACCATTGTTCCCTGACACTTCCTCATGGGGTGCACATAGATATCACAGAAGGTGGCCTGTCAATTTTACCTCCTACATATCTCTTGAATCCATTCACCTTTTGGAAGTCACTGACACCTCATCCTTCTCCTTTAGGCCAGGGTATCACTATCTCTCTACTGAAATATTTCACTGATATGCATACTCTTCCCCCTTGCCAACCCATATTCCACACGGTAGCCAGAAATATATTTTCAAAATGTAAAATTGATGATGTAACTAACTACAGCACTCCCCACACCCCCACCAAAAAAACGATAAACAACAAAAATCCTCAATCTTCTCACTGGTCCTAGGATAAAGGCATATTTCTTGATATGGCTAAAAAGGCTCCCTTGGTGATGGACCTGATGACATCCCCAGACTTAAGCAGTTCACTCCTCTTCTGCACTCCAGACAGTGTGGCCTTCCCTCAGTACTTTTTTTTTTTTTTTTTGAGACAGAATCTTGCTCTGTCACGCAGGCTGGAGTGCAGTGGTGCAATCCTGGCTCACTGCAACCTCTGCCTCCTGGGTTCAAGCAATTCTCCTGCCTCAGCCTCCTGAGCAGCTGGGATTACAAGCGCATGCCACCATGCCCGGCTAATTTTTGTATTTTTTTAGTAGAGACGGGGTTTCACCATGTTGGCCAGGCTGGTCTCAAACTCCTGACCTTGTGATCCACCCGCCTCAGCCTCCCAAAGTGCTGGGATTACAGACATGAGCCACCGCACCCGACCTTCCCTCAGTCTTTCATGCTGCCTGTTCTGTCTCCTTCTAGAGGACTTCCCCATGTAGCATGCCTTCTGTGTGTATGCCCGGTCTAGTTGATGCCTGTGCATCATTTGGATCTCATTTTACAGAACCTTCTAACTCTCTTTTGTAGCACTTAGAAGAGTTTCGGTTCCATATTCATGTGTGTCATTCTTTTATTGTCTGTCTTCCCCTTCTAGTCCATAGGCTAAATGGAGGCAGAGAGTATCTGATGCAATTCGGTGTCTAACACATAGTAGATTATCAATAAAGACAACTTTTTTGAAAGTGTGAGTGTGTGAAATCAGTATGAAAAGACATAAATTCAGTGAGAAACATGTACCCCTAGGCTGGCATTTAAAAATCCAACTCAGGATTTTTAAATCCTGGGGTACATTTTGCACAGAACTGGGGTCAGTCACAAGAGCATTGAAAGCCTTGAATGGATATAAGAAACGAAAGTAGGAAGATTTACCTTCTCATTCACGCTTAGTAGTGGGTGAATGGGAATAATAGGGGTTTTTGAATGAAACATTTCACCTGAGCAGATGTAACTGGTTTTATGATATAAGATGTGTGCTAAGATATGAAGGTAGTATTTTCCAATCCTATTATCTTCATTTTCGCTACTGTATATATTGAATAAGAGTCATTACAAGGGGAGGAATGAAGGACAAAGTCCACAGACATGCTGGAGGGGACACAAAGGAGAGAAGATATTTCAAAAATGCCTAAGTCTCTGGATTGTAGATATTCTGCTGGATATGCCTTTTTATATCTTAGCTTCTAAAATTTATGTCATCAAATGCAATATAATTGTCTCTGCTTCCATATGGTGACAGAATTCTAGCAACTGTATCAGGATCTCAATAAATAGGCGAAACTCAAATGTTGCATAAGATGTTTTCCCTCAGTCACATTTTTCTCATGCCCCCAAATCATGAAACACAAATTTTGTAAATTAGAATAGTATCAGTTATGAATGCACTTCTGCAATTATGAGAGTAAAAACATTCCACATTGAAATAAGAAATGCCATCTGATTTTGATCTAACACAAAGGGGAAAAAAACACATTCCATTTAAGAATGACAAATAAAGCTGTCAATGTGATCCATTTATAGCCCCACAGAGAATGCCACAAATCCACATAATGTTCTAAAGAAGCCAGTTATTGTATTTGCTCTCTCAAAGAAAGAAATCGTAGAAGTCCCAGATAGACTCCTATCCAAGGAAACTAAGGTTAGCAGGAATAACTTGCTTTAGTCAATGTCTTAGGTGCATGCCTCTTTAAGAAGAGAACGAGGGCTTCGGGCATTTTATTAAATAGTGTGTAACAATGGAAATGGTGGAATGATGGAGGGGACGTGTCTCTCTGCTTGGTTAGGTAAAAAGAGGAGCTGTAAGAAAATGGAGAAAACCCATTGTCTTCATTGCACCAGCTCCATCTCTTCTTACTGGTGTAATGAGGCCTCTTTCCAAAGGTCTACTGCTGACAAAAATTACAATAAGCCATAAAACCTTAATTATAAACGTTCAAAGTGCTAGTCATTTTAAAGCATTTTTTAATGGGTTATTTCAGGCTCAGCTACAAGGGCACATGCCAAAAACAAAACACCAGAAATATATCTCTTTATTCCTTATTACAATACTCAAGCTTTCTTCTTTTAAGAGGTAGTTTCTATTATATACATATGCATATATTCATGTGTAAGTATATATAAAATATGACCCTCTGCAAGGCATAACTGATTTTTTTCTCCTTTGCATTGCCTGCTCAAAAACTGAGAACAAAATTTGTTACTATCTTCTAGCAAGAGTGTTGAATTTCATGGCATAAATTTTCAGTATGAATCTCTCTCATGGCCCTATCTTATGTTCTTAGCCTTATTTTTTTCCTTTGACTCATTTTTTCTTACCTATTTGAAATACATTTTATATTGCTCTACGGTGTATATTTTATTAGCCTTTTTCTGTAGGCCCTAAATCCTTTCCAGCATATAAATAAAATATATAACATTTATAGGTAGTCTTTTTTTTTTCCTCTGGAGGGTTGCAAAATTCTCCAAAGGCAACATGTAATTGATTACTGTAAAAATATGAGCATTAAAATTTATAATTCTTTTGTAGTAATTAATTTTTTGGTGACATTTAGCTCAATAGTGCAATTAGATTTTCTTAATATTTGTATATACACTTTTAGAGCTGAGGTTCTTAGCCTGAGATCCATGAACTTAAATTATATGCAAAAAATTGTGTATGTAAATTTTCACTGGGGAGGAGTTTCAAAATTTTAATCCAATTCTGAAAGGTAAATGTGACTCAAAATATTAGAAATTATTGCTATGTGTTAGGATAACACTAAAAAACCATATCCTGATCTTTATTAATTCAACGAATTGACAAAATATTTGTTGAGTATCTGTGAAATGCCTGGCACTATAATAGATCCTGGGAAGACAACAGTAAACATGCAGGCTTGACCTCTGACCTCAGGGTACTTCTAGTCCAGTAAGGATGAGGATAAGCAATTAAAAAATGAAATAATCAAATGGTAGTATACTACAATAAATAAAACAAAGTGATGTAATAGAAAGTGAGTGAGATTAGGTGGTCAGGGAGGACTTCTCTGAGGAGGTGACATCTTATCTGGGCCAAGCACCATCTGAGGGAAGAATATTCCAGAGAAACGTAACAGCTAATAATGCAAAGACCCTATGGGAGAAACAGGCTTGTGAAAATGATAGCACTTCCAGAAAATACAAATGGTAGATCTCCAAGTTCACATTTTCCATAATACTTCAGTCTTGAAATATCTGCATGATGTTTCCCTTCTCTTTTTTTAAAAAGTTAGATTTTCTAATGTGAGGGAAAGATATCCTCAGGAAAAAAAATGCAATGCATTTTATTATACATTAAATTCATTCAATAAATATTTGAGTCTACTATCTTTAAGGCACTGTGGGAGATGCTCTCCAGGTGCTTAGCATAAACTAAATAAAAAATAACTGTCATACATGCAACTATGATGTACCTTAAACCAATCTTGTATTGTTCCATCTCATAAGTTTATGAGCCAAGTAAATTCTAGGGCCCAGACACTTTAATGCACAAGAAACCCAAAGCTCTTTAGAAAGGCACCAATCACCCTGTCACAGTTGAAGATAGATAAGTAAAAAAACAAAACAAAACAAAACAAAAAACAGAGCACATAATGAAAGATGCGGCTAAAAATTCTTTCAAATTTTCCAAGCCATGGAGTAACATTGTACTCCATGGCTTGGAAAATGGTTTAAACAACCCTGGCTGCGTACATCAATACATTAAGGTGTGACTAAAGATCATAAATAGCTCCCACATTATTAGATGCTTTCTTGAACTAAATTATTTATGAGTATATCAAAGAAAATAATATACCAGTAAGAGGACTATATTGCTTTGGTCACAAAATTCCATGCTGGGAAATTCTTACATGCTGGCAAATGCTTACTGTGTACCAGGCACCTTACTGAGGACTCAGTGCACATACCTTTGAGGAAGGGATGTTACTACTTTTATTTTACCTATAGGAAGAAACTAAGGTGTAGAGAAGCAAAATGACTGGCCTGGGGGAGGAACCATCAGAGATTGGAACCTAAGCAGTCTGGCTCCAGAGCACCCAAGATATCATTTCCAAAATTAGTGGTCAGCCTTATTACCTACTCAAGGGAAACCTGGCTGCTTTGCAAATTATCTCTGATAACCTCATTTTATCTTACTGTTTAAAAGGCTTTGGGGAACAACATTCACACGCTGATTAATTTAAATATTGGCCAAAAAAGATGGCAAACCTGCTATTAAGAGTAACACATACAATTTGAAAATGTTTATTTGGATCAGAGTAAATTATCTGAATTATCCATAATATTTCCTCTTAGGAGAAATAATAAAGGGTTGAATGTACTTATTTAAAAAATCTCAGAAGTACACACAGCATTTTGCTCACTTGTTTCTGCCCTTATTGTTTTTTGTTAATGCAATTTCAACTTGGAAAAGGGAGATTTTAAAGCTATATTCAAATCCAGAAATCAATCATTTTCCTCTTTTTTTCACTTCCCCCAAGATAAAAAAAAAAATCAGGTTCAAGCAGGTTGCTGAGACTTGCCTTTCTTGAACAATATTAGGGGCAGCAGGAGCATATCATAGTATTTATGCACCATTAATTGAATATTTATGCAGTATCACACACTGTGCTAAGCACCAAACAACTTCATTTTATTCTCACAACAACCCCATTAGTAGCTTCTATTATTATTCCCAATTCACAACTCAGGAGATGGGGACTCACAGAAGTTGCTCACAAGTCAAAGAACTCATAGCTCGTAAATGGAGGAGCTCTTACCAGGCTGATTGACTCTGGAGCTTGGGCTTCCTATGATTTTTCTTATTCTTTCCTTTAGTTTGATCATGTTCTCCCCACTTACATATCAATGAAGACTCTTTATTTTCCAACATGGGCAGTCTAAACCCTTCAGAACTTAAGACTGTCCACAATCCAGTTCTTTTTTTTACCTGCCCAAGCTGATTTATCAGTATTCTGAACTAAATACCCTCAAGGCCTGAGGGAATCTGCCTCCTTTCAAAGCTTCAGATGTCTTCCCACCCACAATCCAGCTAAATTCTACTGCTCTTTAAGGCCTAGTTCAACTATACTTTTCACAGTCACCTTCCAGACCTTTCCAGCCCAGAGAAAATAGCCTGAGGAATTTGCCTCGCTGTCCACCATTGTAGATGACCTGATGTCCCCCACTGTAGATGACCTGATGTCCCCGAGAGCTTCGGCAGCCTGGAACCCAAGGGATGGTTATGCGAGGGCTGTTGGAATGTGCCATGGGGGCATTTTTCTCAGGAGGACGTCCAGAGCTTTTATCAATTTCATTAAGCTTAACAACCACCACTCAGCACCCTTACTTCTAGAAACTAATGACACTGAACACTAATGTTCTCTGATCAGGAATGCCAGATTTAGCAAATAAAAATATTATACGGGAGACACAATTTTACTAAAACATGATTTGTTGTGTATTTGAAATCCAGATTTAACTAGGCATCCTGTATTTGATTTGCAAACTTATCCTGAATGTTTTGTGGATATTAATCTTATCTCTCAGCTGTACAGAATGTAACCATCTGGAGAACAAGGGACTTCACTATTTCCTCATGAAACTTAACACTCAACTCTTATTACTACTTATCAATTTATTTTTGTGGTCCAATAGAAACATTTTTGAACATGCTTGATTTGAGCCAATATCAAGTCTAGTAGCCACAGCATGGTTATGTACACACACACACACACACACACACACACACACACACACACAGCTTTTGCTACAATGAAACAAATGTCATCATACCTAGCAAACAATTTTAATCATCTCTGCTATTAGCTGGATTCAAACACACTGAGTTCCTCCCGAAATATCTTTTTTAAAAATATCCTCTTAGGAAGAATCTGGGGAAATTAAAAAGATATCAAAATTGTGATTGGATCTCAAAATGAGATCTTCGGACCATTTGATTGAGAAATCACCAAAGATATTTGTCAAAATGCAGTTGTGTGGGTGCAATCTCAAACCTATTAATTCAGAACTGTGCATAATGGCTCCAAGCAATCTGTGATTTTAAAAAGCCTTCCAGATGATTTTTATGCCCTCTAAACTTTAAGAACTGTTTGTTTATAAAATGTAATACTTTAGCAAGGATTGCTGTCTATGTTAGAGAAGAAAAGTTAACATTTTGGTGCTTAAAGATAAGCCATCAATATTTTGAGGTTCAAACTAGCAATCATCTTTTAAATGTATCTTTAATCTATCACACCAGTGTTAAATGCTCAGCCCTGTAAATTTTCTATTTGGACTGTCCAAGCATTTAAATAGAATTGGTAAACTAATGATAAGTATTAAAAGGCTGCTTGATGGATTATTAAAATAGTAAATGTGTCACCGAAGTTTATAGAGACCAGAAGAAATTTAAAAATAGGTTATACATACTAAGATGTTCTAATGCTGCTACTCAGGATTGGTCTGGGCAACCTAAGGCTCTTTTGAATTTCTGAAAGAAAGCATCATTGTCCAAAGCTCCTTACTGCTGTTGACTGGGTGGTCCTCACTATTTTTGATCTGAGTGAAAAGAATGCTGTTTATAAGTCAGAAGGCTTAGGTTCTATAGCTTATGGTCTGTTTTGGGGGGCTTCAGTTTGCTCATCAATAAAACAATGGCTGAGACTATTAGCTGATCTCTAAGGTATTGTCTAGACCTAAATTTCTATTATCATTCTGAGCTTCAGTTTCCTCTGCCGTAAAATATGGGGTTGTACTAGGTGCAGTGTGTCCATTTGTCCTGTGTGTCTGAGGGCGGCCCTGTCGTCTCCATTATGGTACTCAGATCTCCATTCATAATTCAGGCTCACCCTCTCTAACACTATAAGATCAATGATGCTTCATTTAGGCTTTCCCAAGGAAGGGACAATATATTAGCCATTCACACGTGTCTTTTATAAGAGATAATTACTTATTCAAACATACTTACAGACCAACAACTATGTGCTATTCATCACTGTGCTAGGCCCTGGGAATACAGTAATGAAAAAAGTCAGAAAACAGAGTTCTGGCCTATGCAGCCTACATTCTGATGGGGAAGTAAGGAGTGATGGGGAAGAAGACAAAAACAACAGTCATATTAAACAAATATAAATAAGAGACTTCGGTTTGTAATCGGCTCCGTGAGGGATAACTGAGGGCTGAGATAGAGAAGAACAGAAAGGTGTTCAGAAGAAGACTCCTAGAGGAAGTGCAATTTACTTAGACCTAAAGGAAGAAAAGAAGAAAAACGGGAAGGAAGGGGGTGGAAAAAGGGGAAGGGAGAGCATATGCTGGGATCCTGTGGGAGAAATAGCTTATGTGCTTGGCATCCAAAATCCTGGAACTGTCTCTTCTATCTCTGAGAGATAATTTAATCCAAAGCTAGTGAAAGGAAACCAGAGGCCCAGAGGGTTTAAAGGACTTCTCTGAGGTCAAATGGCTAATTAATAGAAGAACTCTTCCACACTTCAGTGCAGAATGTGAACTCTTCTTAGAGACTGCAACGCAGCAGGAAGTACCAGACTGTAGTGGTTCAAATCCTGGCTTTTCTATTCATAAACTGCTCATCCTTGGGCATGAAAGCTTCTTTGAGCCTCAGTTTTCTTTTCTGTGAAACACAGACAACGCCTGCCTCACCAGATTATTACAAGAATTTAATGAGATATTGTGGCACAGTGCCTAGTATATCACAGCTGCTCCGGAAATGCAAGCTCTTTTATTTTTCACCTAGTGCACTTTCACCTGTACCAACTTGTTGTCAAATCAAGACAAAGTAGAGCAGAGGTTAAGTTACTTGGATAAAGGAGGAGTGGCGGCAGAGGGAAGGTTGTAGAATACTGGAATGGAGCCTATTTAGCAACTGCGCATCCAAATTTTAGTGAAGGAAATGAAAAGAAAAGTCCACTAAAATGGACAAGTGTCAAAAAAAAGACATCCCCAACTTCATTAAGGTCACAGCTTAACCTGCTAGTGGTAAATCTAGAGTTGTCTACCTAAAACAACAACAAAAAAGATCCCTTGTATCAGTATTTATACTTAAAAGTAGCGTATAAGAAACGGGTTTTACTCTAGGATGTCGGTAAACAGAAGAACGACACACTTTGTTATTCAAACCATGCTAAGAGAAAAATGTTAATATGCCACTAAATCAACTGGGAACAAACCAATTATCTGCAGGATATTAAAATGATAGCTGGTGTTAAGGATGCTTCAAAACCAAGCCCATGATATTGGAGGAATCAATAATTAATCCAAGTAGGTATACAGATTTTCTTCATTGTCTGTGAACAAAACCACAGGTTGAATTCAACCTTAAAATGCCAAGAGGCATATTTCATGGATTAGACTGGAAAGCTATGAGGCTATTCCACAAAAACCTGCATGCCCTCCCTGTTAGGGAATGTTTATGGTTCAGACACACATGAACCAGGGCTGACTATTTCTTAGTTTCAGAAGTTCACTGGGTCCCTCTTCACCCAACCGTAAGGTAAATGCCATTTCATATACAGCTTTTTGAAATGCAGCTTATTTTACGATTCTCTGCTGTTGCTTTATGGGAGAAATTTTATTTCAAAGTTTCATAGGATGTGAACTGAACTCGTTATTTTGCTCCAAACTCATTGTTTAATTGACAGGAAACATGCATCTAAATCATCTTACATGCATGGCATAAGCAGCTACATAAATTTAACAATGGGTGGATTATTACTATTTAGCATATTTATAGAATTTTAGACTCAGGAAGCATTTTACAAATCTTTTATTAGTTAATCCTTACGCTTCCGAGTGCATCTGACAGGTGGTAAACAATGCTTTGGGGTTTAAATTGCCAATACATGAAAACTTTAATGGGGAAAAAGAAATCTACAGCCTTCCTCCTTGCTCCCAAATGTGTCTAGGGCACATTTTTGATACCTACTTCTTCTCACCAGAGACTAAGGCTAGCGGCCCAAGAAGCAGAGTTGCACACACTGAAACACTAGTAATAAAAAATATATATTTTGGGTTTTTTCCCAGATCTGGTGGCCAACACCAGGGGAGACCTTCTCACCAAGAGCAAGATGATGCGACAGGATTCTCAGCACACACACCTCTCAGTAATACAGCGCATAAAAAGGCACATAAAGAAGCAGTCAATTTCTCTAAAACTATACGGTAAACTTAGTTTCGAATTCAAATTCTAACAATGCCACACCTGCTGGACTCATTATTTGAGTGACATCACCAGTGATTACTTCTCTTAAAATACATGCATGTGTATTGAAAAATAAAACTCAATTTAAACTAAGAGAATGTATATCTTCATTTTTTTTTAATTCCCAAGTGTTAAAAATCAAGTGAGTATTCAAGCTCACTTGAATACCAGTTCAAACTTTGTATGAGTGCTCCAAAATACCCCATCTCCAGACACCACAAGGTGTGGCATAGCAGGGCAAAGCAAGCCTCAATAAATCAAAGTCTAGTTCTTGACCCAAACCTTTTTACAGCCCGGGGCTTTCACGGCTAACAAACCAAGAAAAATCAATCCCGCATCACCTTAGGGCCGGGCATGAGGAGCTGCAGATGCTGCGCCTACTTTCAGAAGACCCCAGTGTGGCACGTCCAGCCCAGATTCTTATCTTTTCTGACTGACAGTGACTTTATCTCTCTAATCCCTCTGGCCACCCCCGCCTCCGCCAGTGTGTGTGTGTGTGTGAGTGCGCGCGCGCGCACGCGTGTGTGTGTGTGTGTGTGCTGGGGGACGCTTAGGTAGGAGGCTGCTCAAGACACCCAAAGTATTCTGGAAGCAAGCACCCTCTGGGGCCCTGTGCTTTGTCAGAGCAGCTGGGCTAGCTGTGAGGAGGTCAGCGAAAGGTAACCAGGTCACCCTCCTTTCAAGGGTGCAAAGGGATGCTCCAAGCTCTCGCGTCCCCATGAGCCTGCGGATGTGGGGACTGCGGGTGGGCAGAGAGACCCCCCATAATCCCGCCCACCCTGGCGCGGCTCCTCCCGGGCGCGCTCCCGCCCCGCCACGCCCCGCGACGCCCGCGCTACCTGGGGACGCTGGAAGCTCCCGCGGCGGCTCTGGGTCCCGCCGGGCGGCCGAGGCTGGCGCGGGCTTTGTAAAGCCGCCGGGACAGCGCCGACCCCGCCCCGCCCCGCCGACCCCGCCCTCTCCCACCTCGGCCGCCTCCCCCGCCTGCATCCCGGGCCACAGTCCCCGTTCCGCCACCTCGCTCCCGGCCCGGCAGCCGCCGCCCTGCGGGGCGGGGACCACGGGTCCCTCCACATCCTCGCGGCCTGCCGGACAGTCCTGCGGGCGGGGCCCCAACGCCTAGGCGGTCCCGGGAGCCCTGGGCCGCCTCCCCCCGCCCCCCAGGGCTGTCACCCGCTGGCGCGTGGGGCTCCTACTGGGACCCCGGTCTTTGGACCTGGCCCCTGTGGCCCCAGTGCCTGCGGCCTCGCCATTCTCCGCTCAGGGCCCGAGGGGCCGCCCTTCCTGGAGGCCTCCCCAGGACCCACCCACCTCTGGGACTTGCGGGGGCATCTCCTGCAAATGGACGCCAAGTCTGGGGAAAGTTTCTGGCGATGTCAAGGGTCAGCCTTTTCTTATAGGGACGTTCTCTAGCCAACTGATGGAAACTCAAGGATTCCATCAGGGGGTTCTGCTGACATCACAAATCACACATGGCTTAGTCGTTTACTAATGGTCCTGTCGTTACTTAGTCGTTACACATGGTCCTGTCGTGTCGTTTACATAGAGACTCTCCATCCTTACTGCAACCTTCTGCACGTTCGCCTTTGGAGGCCCCAAGCTAGTGACATGTCAGCGACAGGGTGTAAGGAACTTAATTTTTAAATAAACAATTAATATTAGAAACCCGCACATTTATACGTTTGCTGTGCACCAAGCTCTAAGTGTGGCCACCTTTGAATAGTTCAGACCTTCCAGTGGTCAAGATGATCTAGGCCAATCACTATCCTGCACTTCCTCATCTACAGAACTTTTGGTCTTTTTACTCTTCTTTTTCATTTTCCCTTTGATATTAAGGAGAGGTAAAAATAAGATGCAACAAAATCAGTTTGAAGAGCTTTTAACAGCTGGTGTAAAACTTTATGGGAGAGGCAGTCTGCAATCATTGGAAATAAGATTAGAAAATTATCTGTACACCTAACTGCAGTTTTACCATTTTTTTGCATGAGCTTGCGTAATGAAGGGCTAGAGATAGCTATTATTTTTAGCAGAAATAATGCTTTTCTAAGAATTAAGTAGATTAAAAGTATGATATAGCTGGGATGTCAGATCAGGGTAAAACTCTATTGACAGAAGAACGAACGAAACGAGCTGATAGTATAGGAGATCCAACAACTCTTTGAAGTAGTAAAATTGGTTTTGTCTTGGAGTTTATGCAAATGGTTATGCTAGAAAACAGAACCTTTATAGTCCTAGTTGCCTTTTAATGAATTCTTTCCTTTTCAATATCTCTATTTCCTTCAACTGTTTCTCTTTCTAATAAGATATAATTTAAAGATTGCTCAAAGCTTTGGACATCCATTCATTCTTCATTTCTTTTCTTCTTCTTCTTCTTATTATTATTATAATACTTTAAATTCTAGGGTACATGTGCACAACCTGCTGGTTTGTTACATAGGTATACATGTGCCATGTTGGGTTGCTGCACCCATCAACTCATCACTTACATTAGGTATTTCTCCAAAAGCTATCCCTCCCGCAGCCCACCACCACCCAACAGGCCTTGGTGTGTGATGTTCCCCTCCCTGTGTCCCTGTGTTCTCATTGTTCAACTTCCACTTATGAGTGAGAACATGCGGTGTTTGGTTCTCTGTTCCTGTGTTAGTTTGCTGAGAATGATGGTTTCCAGCTTCATCCATGTCCCTGCAAAGGACATGAACTCATCCTTTTTTATGGCTGTATAGTATTCCATGGTGTATATGTGCCACATTTTCTTTATCCAGTCTATTATTGATGGACATTTGGGTTGGTTGCTATTGTGAATAGTGCCGCAATAAACATACATGTGCATGTGTCTTTATAGTAGCATGATTTATAATCCTTTGGGTATATACCCAGTTATGGGATTACAGGGTCAAATGGTCTTTCTAGTTCTAGATCCTTGAGGAATCACCACACTGTTTTCCACAATGGTTGAACTAATTTACACTCCCACCAACAGTGTAAAAGCGTTCCTATTTCTCCACATCCTCTCCAGCATCTGTGGTTTCCTGACTTTTTAATGATCGCCATTCTAACTGGTGTGAGATGGTATCTCATTATGGTTTTGATTTGCATTTCTCTGATGGCCAGTGATGATGAGCATTTTTTCATGTCTATTGGCAGCATAAATGTCTTCTTTTGAGAAGTGTCTGTTCATATCCTTTGCCCACTTTTTGATGGGGTTGTTTGTTTTTTTCTTGTAAATTTGTTTAAGTTATTTGTAGATTCTGATATTAGTGCTTTGTCAGATGGATAGATTGCAAAATTTTTCTCCAATTTTGTAGGTTGCCTGGTCACTCTGATGATATTTTCTTTTGCTGTGCAGAAGCTTTTTAGTTTAATTAGACCCCATTTGTCTATTTGACTTTTGTTGCCATTGCTTTTGGTGTTTTAGTCATGAAGTCTTTGCCCATGCCTATGTCCTGAATGGTATTGCCTAGGTTTTCTTCTAGGGATTTTATGGCTTTAGGTCTTACATTTAAGTTTTTAATCCATCTCGAGTTAATTTTTGTGTAAGGTATAAGGAAGGGATCCAGTTTCAGCTTTCTACATATGGCTAGCCAGTTTTCCCAGCACCGTTTATTAAATAGTGTTTTTGTCAGGTTTGTCAAAGATCAGATGGTTGTAGATGTGTGGTGTTATTTCTGATGCCTTTGTTCTGTTTCATTGGTCTATATCTCTGTTTTGGTACCAGTACAATGCTGTTTTAGTTACTGTAGCCTTGTAGTATAGTTTGGAGTCAGGTAGTGTGATGCCTCCAGCTTTTTCTTTTTGCTTAGGATTGTCTTGGCAATGTGGGCTCTTTTTCAGTTCCATATGAACTTTAAAGTAGTTTTTTCCAATTCCGTGAAGAAAGTCACTGGTAGCTTGATGGGGATAGTATTGAATCTATAAATTACCTTGGGAAGTATGGTCATTTTCACTTCCTATCCATGAGCATGGGATGTTCTTCCATTTGTTTGTGTCGTCTTTTATTTTGTTGAGCAGTTGTTTGTAGTTCTCCTTGAAGAAGTCCTTCACATCCCTTGTAAGTTGGATTCCTAGGTATTTTATTCTCTTTGTAGTAATTGTGAATGGGAGTTAACTCATGATTTGGCTCTCTGTTTGTCTGTTCTTGGTATATAGGAATGCTTGTGATTTTTGCACATTGATTTTGTATCCTGAGACTTTGCTGAAGTTGCTTATCAGCTTAAGGAGATTTTGGGCTGAGACGATGAGGTTTTCTAAATATACAATCATGTCATCTGCAAACAGGGACAATTTGACTTCCTCTTTTCCAATTGAATACTTTTTATCTCTTTATCTTGCATGATTGCCCTGGCCAGAACTTCCAATACTATGTTGAATAGGAGTGGTGAGAGAGGGCATCCTTGTCTTGTGCTGGTTTTCAAAGGGAATGCTTCCAGTTTTTGCCCATTCAGTATGATATTGGCTGTGGGTTTGTCATAAATAGCTCTTATTATTTTGAGATACATTCCTTCAATACCTAATTTATTGAGAGTTTTTAGCATGGAAGGCTGTTGAATTTTGTTGAAGGCCTTTTCTGCATCTATTGAGATAATCATCTGGTTTTTGTCATTGGTTCTGTTTATGTGATGGACGATGTTTATTGATTTGTGTATGTTTAACCAGCCTGCATCCCAGGGATGAAGCTGACTTGATCATGATGGATAAGCTTTTTGATGTGGTGCTAAATTCGGTTTGCCAGTATTTTATTGAGGATTTCCGCATCGATGTTCATCAGGGATATTGGCCTAAAATTCTCTTTTTTTGTTGTGTCTCTGCCAAGCTTTAGTATCAGGATGTTGCTGGCCTCATAAAATGAGTTAGAGAGGATTCTCTCTTTTTCTATTGATTGGAATAGTTTCAGAAGGAATGGTACCAGCTATTCTTTGTACCTCTGGTAGAATTCGGCTATGAATCCGTCTGGTCCTGGACTGTTTTGTTGGAACCTGTTATTGGTCTATTCAGAGATTCAACTTCTTCCTGGTTTAGTCTTGGGAGGGTGTATGTGTCCAGGAATTTATCTGTTTCTTCTAGATTTTCTAGTTTATTTGCATAGAGGTGTTTACAGTATTCTCTGATGGTAGTTTGTATTTCTGTGGGATTGGTGATGATATCCCCTTTATCAGTTTTTATTGCATCTATTTGATTCTTCCCTCTTTTCTTCTTTATTAGTTTTACTAGCAGTCTATCTATCCTGTTGATCTTTTCAAAAAACCAGCTCCTAGATTCATTGATTTTTTTGAAGGGTTTTTTTTGTATGTTTGTGTGTCTCTGGCTCCCTCAGTTCTGCTTTGATCTTAGCTATTTCTTATGTTCTGCTAGCTTTGGAATTTGTCTGCTCTTGCCTCTCTAGTTCTTTTAACTGTGATGCCAGGGTGTTGATTTTAGATCTTTCCTGCTTTCTCATGTGGGCATTTAGTGCTACAAATTTCCCTCTACACACTGCTTTAAATGCGTCCCAGAGATTCTGGTGCATTGTGTCTTTGTTCTCATTGATCTCAAAGAACATCTTTATTTCTGCCTTCATTTCATTATTTACCCAATAGTCACTCAGGAGCAGGTTGTTCAGTTTCCATGTAGTTGTTCAGTTTTGAGTGAGTTTCTCAACCCTGTGTTCCAATTTGATTGCACTGTGGTCTGAGAGACAGTTTGTCGTAATTTCTATTCTTTTACATATGCTGAGGAGTTTTCTACCTCCAACCATTTGATCAATTTTAGAATAAGTGTGATGTGGTGCTCATAAGAATGTATATTCTGTTGATTTGGGGTGGAGAGTTCTGTAGATGTCTATCAGGTCTGCCTGGTCCAGAGCTGAGTACAAGTCCCAGACATCCCTGCCAATTCTCCGTCTCATTGATCTGTCCAATATTGACAGTGGGGTGCCAAAGTCTCCCATTATTATTGTGTGGGAGTCTAAGTCTCTTTGTAGGTCTCTAAGAACTTGCTTCATGACCCTACCTGGGTGCTCCTGTATCGGATGCATACATACTTAGAATATGTAGCTCTTCTTGTTGAGTTGATCCCTTTATCATTATGTAATGGCCTTCCCTGTCTCTTTTGATCTTTGTTGGTTCAAAGTCTATTCTATCAGAGAGCAGGATTGCAACCCCTGCTTTCCTCTGCCTTCCACTTGCTCGGCAGATCTTCCCCCATCCTTTCATCTTGAGCCTATGTGTGTCTTTGCATGTGAGATGGGTCTCCTGAATACAGCACACCGATGGGTCTTGCCTCTCCAACAAACTTGCCAGTCTGTGTCTTTTAATTGGGGCATTTAGCCCACTCACATTTAAGGTTAATATTGTTATGTGTGAATTTGATCCCGCCATCACGATGCCAGCTGGTTACGTCACCCATTAATTGATACAGTTTCTTTATAGCATCGATGGTCTTTACAATTTGGCATGTTTTTGCAGTGCCTGGTACTGGTTGTTCCCTTCCATGTTTAGTGCTTCCTTCAGGAGCTCCTATAAGGCAGGCCGGGTGGTGACAAAAATCTCTCAGCATTTGCTTGTCTGTATAGGATTTTATTTCTCCTTCACTTATGAAGCTTAGTTTGGCTGGATATGAAATTCTGGGTTGAAAATTCTTTTCTTTAAGAATGTTGAATATTGGCCCCCACCCTTTTCTGGCTTGTAGGGTTTCTGCCGAGAGGTCCACTGTTAGTCTGATAGGCTTCCCTTTGTGGGTAACCTGACCTTTCTCTCTGGCTTCCCTCAACATTCCTTTCTTCATTTCAATCTTGGTGAATCTGACAATTAGGTGTCTTGAGGTTGCTCTTCTCAAGGAGTATCTTTGTGGTGTTCTCTGTGTTTTCTGAATTTGAATGTTGGCCTGCCTTGCTAGGTTGGGGAAGTTCTCCTGGATAATATCCTGAAGAGTGTTTTCTAACTTGGTTCCATTCTCCCCATCACTTTCAGGTACACCAATCAAACGTAGATTTGGTCTTTTCACATAGTCCCATATTTCTTGGAGGCTTTGTTCGTTTCTTTTCACTCTTTTATTTTTAATCTTGTCTTCTCTCTTTATTTCATTAATTTGATCCTCAATCACTGATACCCTTTCTTCTGGTTGATCAAATTGGCTATTGAAGCTTGTGTATGCTTCACGCAGTTCTTGTACTGTGGTTTTCAGCTCCATCAGGTCATTTAAGCTCTTCTCTTCACTGGTTATTCTAGTTAGCCATTCGTCTAACCTTTTTTCAAGGTTTTAAGCTTCCTTGCGATGGGTTAGAATGGTTAGAAGATGCTCCTTTAGTTATTGTTATTACTGACCTTCTGAAGCCTACTTCTGTCAGCTCGTCAAACTCATTCTCCATGCAGCTTTGCTCCCTTGCTGGTGAGGAGTTGTGTTTCTTTGGATGAGAAGAGGCATTCTGGTTTTTGGAATTTTCAGGCTTTCTGCTCTGGTTTCTCCTCATCTTTGTGGTTTTATCTACCTTTGGTCTTTGATGTTGGTGACCTACACATGGAGTTTTGGTGTGGATGTCCTTTTTGTTGATGTTGATGGTATTCCTTTCTGTTTGTTAGTTTTCCCTCTAACATTCAGGCCCCTCAGCTGCAGGTCTGTTGGAGTTTGCTGGAGCTCCACTCCAGACGTTGTTTGCCTGGGTATCACCAGCAGAGGCTGTAGAACAGCAAATATTGCTGCCCAATCCTTCCTCTGGAAGCTTTGTCCCAGAGGGGCACCCACCTGTATGAGGTGTCTGTCAGCCCCTACTGGGAGGTGTCTCCCAGTCAGGCTACATGGGAGTCAGGGACCCACTTGAGGAGGCAGTCTGTCTGTTCTCAGATCTCAAACGCTGTGCTGGGAGAATCACTGCTCTCTTCAGAGCTGTCAGGCAGGGATGTTTAAGTCTGCAGAAGCTGTCTGCTGACTTTTGTTCGTATATGCCCTGCCTCCAGAAGTAGAATCTAGAGGGGCAGTAGGCCTTACTGAACTGTGGTGGGCACTGCCCAATTTGAGCTTCCCTGCCACTTTGTTTACACTCTGAGCATAGAACCCCCTACTCAAGCCTCAGCAATGGTGGACACCCCTCCCCCACAAGCTCCAGTGTCCCAGGTTGATCCTAGACTGCTGTGCTAGCTGTGAGCAAGGTTCTGTGGGCATGAGACCTGCCGAACCAAGCATGGGAGGGAATCTCCTGGTCTGCTGGTTGTGGAGACCATGGGAAAAGTGTAGTATTTGGGCAGAAGTGTGCCGTTCCTACAGGTACAGTCACTCACAGCTTCCCTTGGCTAGGAAAAGGAAATCCCCTGACCCCTTGCACTTCCTGGGTGAGGTTACACACCACCCTGCTTTGGCTCACCCTCCGTGGGCTGCACCCACTGTCCAACAAGTGCCAATGAAATGAACAAGTACCTCAGTTGGAAATGCAGAAATCACCCGTCTTCTGTGTTGATCTCACTGGGAGCTGTAGACCAGACCTGTTCCTATTCAGCCATCTTGGAAGCGACCTTTTTCTTTTCTTTTTTAGAGACAAGGTCTCACTCATTTTCTTTTCCTTTTTAGAGACAAGGTCTCACTCTGTGGCCCAGGCTGGACTGCAGTGACACTATCATAGCTCACTATAACCTTGAACTTCCACCCTCAAGCCATCCTCCAACTTGGCCCCCCAAAGTGCTGGGATTACATGTATGAGTCACCACACCTGGTCCCATTTAGTCTTTTTTTTTTTTTTTTTTTTTTTTTTTTGAGATGGAATCTAGCTCTGTTGCCCAGGCTGGAGTGTAGTGGCCGTCTCTGCTCACTGCAACCTCTGTCTCCTGGGTCCAAGTGATTCTCCTGCCCCAGCCTCCCAAGTAGCTGGGATTACAGGCATGCACCACCACGCTCCACTAATTTTTTGTATTTTTAGTAGAGACAGGGTTTTACCATGTTGGTCAGGCCGGTCTCGAAATCCTGACTTCAGGTGATCTGCCTGCCTTGGCCTCCCAAAATGCTAGGATTACTGGTGTGAGCCACCTCTTCCGGCTGGTCCCATTCATTCTTTAAAGAATGTAATGAGGGCTCAGCAAATGGTTGGCATTGAGCATGGTGCAGGTAATATAAGGGGGAACCAGATAGACATTAGGAGCTTACATTCTAATGAGAGAGGAGACACCTGCTAAACAGACAAGTACAAAAATGACCAATTGCACCTTTGAAAAGTTGTGTGTGGAGAAATGGAGTGGTAGGAGAGCACAGCCTCTACGTGGTTTTAATTTTAGATTCCTCTTTTGATTTGAACCCTAGAATTATTTTTTTTTCTTTTTTTTTTTTCTGATACAGGGTCTTACTCTGTCACCCAGGCTGAAGTGCAGTAGCATGATCTCAGCTCACTGCAACCTCCGCCTCTCAGGTTCAAGAGAGGCAAAGCTGCTGGCACATGACCATGCCCAGCTAATTTTCATATTTTTTAGTAGAGATGGGGTTTCCCCAAGATAGCCAGGCTGATCTCAAACTCCTGGCCTCAAGTGATCCACCAGCCTTGGTCTCCCAAAGTGCTGGGATTACAGGTGTGAGCTACCGCACCCGGCGGTATTATTTCAAGCCAGCAAAGATTTTGATGTTGTTGTTATCCTTTCTTTCGTATCCCATATCTAATCCATTAGGAAATCCTGATACCTCCATCTTCCAAAGGTATTTCAAATCCTAGGTCCACTCTCTTCCAAACTAGCATTGTTTACTTGGATTTGCGAAAAAGCCTCTAAACTTGTCTTTCTGCTCTTAGTCTTGCCCCATAGTCTGTTATCCAGATAGCATTTAATGCGACAGTTTTTGAAAGTATATATCATAATTCTTGTCAGTCCTCTGCTCAAAAAAAAAAAAAAAAACCCTCAATGGCTTTCTATTGGTCTCAGAATACAATACAACAGGACCCTGTCTGTCAAGGCCTTACCTGCTTGCCACTTCACCTCTCTTACCTCCTTCTCTACCACTGTCCTCTCCTACATCTTGTCACAGATTCTCTGGCTTTCTTTTGCTCTTTCAACCTCATTCTCCTGTCTCTTGACCTTTGAGCTAGAACTCTTCCTGTTAATATTTAGAGTCTTGCTCCTCAGCTACATCAGATGTCTACTCCCATGTCTGCTATTGGAGAAGCAATCCATCACCACCCATTCTACAAATAGCCCCCTTTCTCAACCTCCTCATTCTTTGTCTCCTTAATTAATTTAGTTTTCCTTTTAATACATAAGTTAACATGTGTGTGTGCATTGTCTGCTGTTTTCCCCCTACAGTGAGAACAGCAACTTGGTTATAGTGCCAGGAACATAGAAAGCATTCAATAAATATTTGTTGAAAGCAAGCATATAAATTATATTATAGAATGGAGGTTTGTGTTACCACAAGATTCATGTGTTGAAACCCTAATCCCCAAATATGACTGTATTTGGAGACAGGGCCTTTAAGGAAGTAACTGGGCCCTGATCTGATAGTATTGGTGTCCTTATGAGAAGAGACATCTGAGCACTCACTCCCTCTCTTCATATGCATACACTGAGGAAAGGTGGTGTGAGCTGATACTGGGAAGGTAGTCACTTGCAAGCCAGGAAGGGAGCCCGAACTGAATCAGCTGGCACTTTGATCTTGGACTTTCCAACCTCCAGAACAGTGAGAAACAAATTTCTGTCATGTAAGCCACCCAGTGTATGATATTTTGTTATGGCAGCCCAAGCAGACTAAGACAAATTACAAAGAATATAGCACAAAAGAAACAAGGAGTTTAGATAGAATCTACACACACATTGTGTCACAAATCATTTCAGGATCACTCGTGCAATTGAAAGGTGTAATGGTGTGACCTTTAACCAGTAAATAACCCTTTGCAGCACTTCTCAGAATAATTGAGGCTTCAAGAATACTCTTATCTTAACCTGAGAGTACAATAGGTGTTCAAGATGAACGAATACCTTTTACAGCTTTTTTTGTTATTTTTTCTAAAGTCATGAATGCTTGAAGCTCAGAGGAGAAAGAATTATCTAGTTACAATAGGGGAAAAAAATGCTCTATGAAAGTTCCCAACTGATCACAATGAAGGAGTCACATGCAGCTGGGTGCCTAGAACATAGCCATGACCTGTTGCTATTCAAGTAAAATATCAAATGCTTCCAATAACAGCTACAGCTACCTACCACAACTGTTTTTACTCTTGGTCTCCAAAGTAGGCCATGAGGAATAAGTATTAGAGCTTCCACTTACATTTTTTATTATAAAAGAAACTAAGCCTCTGCAAATGTGCAATAAACAGATTGAAATTGGTGCCCTTATTTGCCCAGAGGTCAGCTGGTCTCTTGACCTCCCTTTCAGAGATATCCTGAGGAAATATTGGGAAAGTCACTGTATGGAGGGGCTACCATGTGGTCTTTACACTTCTTTCATTTCCACTGTGTTGCCTCTATTGATGTTTATGTGTGTTCACTTAAGGAACTGAAGATTCTATTTTCCAATTTTAACCAAGTAGAAGTATCAGAATAGAAAAGTGGTTTACAAGGATTTCTGCAGAGAAGACAATACTAGTAATATAAGTTTAAGCAACAACAGGAAATCAGTGCAGTTGACAGATTTCCTACTGTATTCTTAGCCTAATGGGAGAGGTTAGCAACACTGATGATCTATCTAATTCAGACTTACAAAAAGTCAGCTCCTCCCTTCCACTGAGATATAGGTTTACATTTACTTTTATTAATGATGAACCTTGCCTTGAATATATTTATTGTATTTCGAGACATAGGCCAATGCCAATGATAATATGAAACATTGTGGCAAGCAAAATATTAATAAATATTACATGTTTAATCATTAAATGATTTTTCAAATTTACTTGTGTGTATGTTTTATAATGTACAATGGTGTGTGTAATAAATAAGCAATCTTATTATTAAGTTAACAAATAAATAAATATTGGGGACATATAATGAACATTTCTAACTGATGTAGTATCATAAAAGTTTGGAAACCATGGATTTACATATACAGGGGTAAAATAATTTATTAGAACACAAAACCCTGGTCTTGAAGGAGAAGAACAAATAAATCCAACTTTTTTTTTTTTTTTTTTTTTTTGTGTGTGTGAGACAGAGTCTCGTTCTGTTGACCAGGCTAGAGTGCAGTGGTGTGATGGTTCACTGTAACCGCTGCCTCCCAGGTTCCAGAGATTCTCATGCCTCAGCATCCGGAGCAGCTGGGACTACAGGCACAGCTAATTTTTGTATTTTTGGTAGAAACGGGGTTTCATCATGTTGGCCAGGCTGGTCTTGAACTCCTGGCCTCAAGTGATCTGCCCACCTCAGCCTCTCAAAGTGCTGGGATTACAGACGTGAGCCACCGTGCCCAGCCCAAATCCAACATTTTAATTACAGGATATCTGCTAAGGGTATGGATGATTCAGCACCCTTCTATATCTTTCTTCTCTCCTATGCCTTTTAATCATTTCTCAATTTCAAGAAAAATGAGAAGAGAAGAAAGTTTGTTAATTTACCATGATATTTGGAGAGGAAATTTAATTTGCCAAATAAAAGAAGTTTGATATCTATTTAGGGGTTTTTCAGTTTTGAATTCTTACGGATGATAATAATATGACTTGAGATTCACCCATCTTCTTTAAATTTGTTGATTTTTCTCTTACAATGGAATGTACCCATAGGACTTGAGATTTGAAGTAATATTCATACATGGTCAAATTCTTCTCACTGTTCCTTCTCACATACAAGAAAGGTTTGTCCTACTTTTTCAAGCTATCGAAAACTCCCTTCTTCCCACTCTAAAATTTTACATGTTCATTGGCAGCATGAATTTTTACATTTTCATATTCAGCCACATGTATTGTGTAACTATTGGCATAATATTTTAATTAGGACTGTCTAGTTCTAGTTTCTTAGCTGAGTATCATCATATCATAAAATTTTGAGGTTGGAGGGATCCTTGGCTACAGTTCACTGTGTGAATGAAGATGCTGAGTTTCGAGATGCCCGAGGGGCTTGCTCATGGTCAAACCACTAGATCCTGGCAGAACTGAGACTAGATATCAAGCTTTCTGACTTCTCATTCTGCGTATTTTCTACTGCGACACGCTGCTGCAGAGTGAGCTTGATGAGAATCTTGTTTTTCTTGTCAAGTATGAGTTAGAGAAAGTGGGAGGTCTTAGGCTGTGCCTCACTGTGCTCATACATACGTGTGTTAGGCAGCCCAGGGAATTTCAGTTCCCCAAATATCCCAACCCCAAAAGGTGCCCATGAAGGAAAAGGGATCTCTCCTAGATTTTTGTTTATTTTACAACTAATACAAAATGAGAGGAGACCTTATAGGTTATTTTATTTTTCCCTTTGGAGTCTTAGAAATTAACTCACTGCTAAGCCGCTGCCAGCTTCTATTTTCCCGATTAGAACTTTAACCTTCATAAAAAACATTATTTTGATAAGATGATCCTAGTGAAAAAAAATAGAAATAAGAATATCAGTAAAACCTAGGCATGCAGCATACTTTAAACTAGTTGGTAGGGATTATTGGTTACTGCTTAGCAATAATACCTAATGGTTTGGTAGAAAATTTTTAAGGAGAGTGAATGGAAACCTAATTTACTGAGGTACTTAAAATACGACTAAATAGAATAGTGAAGAGTGTATTGTAGAGATAATCTAGTTGCCCAGATGGCCTTTCCATAGTTACAGCTTTTATTGTTCTCAAAATGTGTGTGTTCTTTATTCTTTTATGAAAAAATAAAGATTTTCTTTTTCCCAGGGGCATGAAGTTACCCTGCAGTTTAGTTGTTAAAATACACTGAATATTTTTCTTTGTTACTTCTAGGACACTCATATTTATTCTGGAAGTCACCTTAGTTCCTGTGTTTTCCCTCTACATTTGAATTTCTGGCTCCAGACTCCGGATTTTAAGCTTGATAGTTATTTCTCATGATATTCCTCATAAGCTAGTTAATATGAGATTTTATGCCATGGATTAAAGAAAAAAAATGTTAAGGTTTGGATGTAGTCTTATCTTTTTAACTTTGATAGTTTTTTTTTTTTTCTCAGCCTTGGAAGCTGCAATAGGATGGTGTATGTCTGAAAGGAATTTGGAAATTTATTTGTAGTTGTTACAAAGGTGACTTGTAAATTCTGTAACCAAATTCCCATGGATTGTGCAGAAGATTCATTTCATTTTCTTATTAACAAAGTCTCAGAGTTTAAAAAATACATATTTTTACAGTACTATGCCTTCTGAGTTTTATTACAAAAGAAAACATTGAATAGTAAAATGACATCTCTATAAACTCTGTCCAGGTGGATTTTGTACATGTGGGCACCAACTTTTTTCATTCCATAAAAGAAGATAAGTCTTTGATTATAAGGATTCTGTCTGTTTTGCTTTCTCAATATGCAATGCCTAATAAATTATTTTATGGTAGTAATGTATTCATTTTCCACCTATAACATGCTTTGTGAGTAGAAACTGTAGACCTTGGAATTTATTGCAGGGAGTACCTGGAATTCTGAAACCATAATGTTAGAGTGCCAATATGAGAGCAAGTATTTGACCTTAAGAGGATATCCAAGCTTGAAGAGATGACAGCCAGAGATCTTAATATCATTAAATATTAGTAAATTAAAATCTGATCCTTCGTCTCCCACTTACTCCATTATTTCCTAGGATAGAACGGATTGCTAAAGGTACAAAAATCTGTTTGTTTTTAGGCTTTTATGCTTTGGTCTTTTTACCTTATACTTTAATATCTTTCTTGCGCCTCTCTCCATTATTAAAAAGGATGCATTACCTATACTTAAAAAATTATGTTACAGTTATGCCACTTCCCTCCTTAAAATGTGGCTCCCATTGCACCTAGAATTAAATTCTCTCAGCATAGCTGGCAAGGCCCTGTAGGACCAACTCTAACTCTATCTACTCTCTTATCACTAAGTTTGGTGATACTAGATGACTTTTCATTTCTTGAAGATAGCTTGCTCATTTTTGACCTTGCATCTGTAAACTTGTAATTCTCTCTGGAATGTTCAGAGCCCAAAATTTCAAATGACTGGTTCCTTCTCAATGTTCCTTTCCTCCCTACCCATCTAATGTGGCCACATACCCCTCCAGTCCTTCCACATCACTTTAACCTATTTTTAAAAGCCAATTTTGAAAATGGGATTATTTATTTATTTACATATTATGACATAATCTCCATTAAAATGCAATTGCCATGAAACTAGAGACCCTGTCTATATGTTCACATCTCTATAATCATTATTTAGCACAGAACCTAGAACATAGTAGGTGCTTGGTAAATATATATTTTTAATGAAAATATGGTGGCAGAAATGATATAAGTAGTAGTTAAAAGTATAGAATTGAGATCTGTGATCAAATCCTGGTCTCTTGCCATTTAATTTTCTCAAGTTTCTTCGCTGCCCCAATCATGATAATATGGTAAATACTCATCAATCAGGCTATGGTGGATATTATTTTGAGGTGATAATATATTAAGTGTTCAGCACATGCCTAGCATATAGCAATTGCTCACTAAATAGTAGCTATAATAGTTTTTCTGCAGAACAGTAGCAGAGCAGGATGGGCTGCAGGCCATTTACACTGAGAATCCTGAGGCATGCCAGGGCGTAAAAACCAGAGAACAAATTCTTTTTGTTTAAGTTCAAAAGTGCAAACATCCAAAGTTCAGAATTTGGGTAGAGTAGGTGAGAGCAAGAAGCAAGGATGAAGGAAAGGGAGAACACTGAAGACAGTGTTTGCTAGTGGGATTTAGTCCATTTTTATTGGCAGGATTGCACGTGAGTAGCTCTATTTGGCTTAAAACTCCAGAAGCAAGGCTAGAAACTGATTCTCTACAGGTGAAACTTACATTACTTTGTTTGTTGATTTTTGAAACTATTTTGGATATTTTATCTATCTTGTTCTAAATAACTAAGAAGAGCCTAATTTGATTATTCTGTGAGGTAAACTATCCTCTTTTATATGTATATGACTCTTCTCAATTTCATACTGAAATTTAGTGACTACACAAACCTTATTTGATCACTTGATGGTAGTTTGTTCTAAGTTATATAGGCACAGTGCTTAGGGCTATAGCAAAATAATGGACAAAAAAATCTCTTTTGAAAACAGTTTAATCTTTGATGTTTTAAAAAATAAGAAAGAGAAATAAGGAACAACAGTGTAGTTATAAGAAAAAACATCTAAACTTGGTTAGAATTCCTTACTCATATTTATGACTTTGCTTTGCCATATTGAATTACATATAGATAGAGGGATCAGGGCCAAACAAAATATCTCCAGGGCTTGGTTCTCCAAAGGCTTTAATCCAATCCTCTCTAGACACATTTTTATAAAACAGGATTGAAGATTTTAGATCTCAAATCTCAGGTCCCAGTTGCAAATTTTCAGTCTCCAACCCTAACTAACTCTTCCTTAAGACGAAAACAAACAAACAAAACCAAATACCTACACATCCAAGACTTTTCTGGAAAGGGGGCATATGCTGTGGGGAGGGATGTTTAAATTTTCTGTTTTTAATTTTTTAAACAACTCTCCAAAGTAGAGAAAATTTGAAGAATTAAAAAATTAAAAAGATTATATTCTAATTTCTGATGTCATTTTACTGTAGTTCCATTCAATATTCTTTTTATATGCATTTCTTTAATAGCCTAGTAATAAGCAGAGTATTTGAGGAATTACCAGTTGTTTGGGCCCTGTATGTTTTTGAAGTTAGTTGTAGTCAGGATAGATTAGGTTATTATGAGGTAACAAACAACTCCAATCTCTCAATGCCTTTACACAATAAAAGTTAATTTCTTCCTCATGCAGACCCAGGGGATTTGAATGATTCTTCAGTTGTCTTCCACAAGGTGGCTTGGCAATTTAAGGTCTTTTGATTTTGTTTCTCTGTAAACTCAAAATCTCAATTCAAGGCTTCCTTGATTGTTACAGTAAGAAAGGGGGCTATATGGGCCTTTTCAGTTTTTCAGCCCTGCTCACATTTCACCGGACAGAACTCAGCCCCGTGGTCCTGCCTAACTGCAAGTGCATTGGGAAGTGAGGTTTTCCATGTGCTGTGGAAGGAGCTAGGAACCTGAAATATATAGGCTAGCTATGTCTATCATTCCTCAAATTAATTTTTTTTAAAGCAAAGGATTTAGCTCAGAGCTCAAAATTATTCAAAAAGAGGGTTTGACACGCATACAAGTTTATAACCAGTAGAATTGGATTATTGGCCACTTGAGGATAATTGACAGTCTAAGGATTGTGCAAGGATTGCTTTAAAGAAAATACATTCTTATGGCAGATTTGACATAGCCAACTACATTTTCATAATGTTATTATACTTACGTTCTTCAGCTTCCTTCAGAAAATTGGTTCTTTGCTATTTTGTCTAACCTCTTCACTTGGGCAATGGCCTTTACAAGAATAGATTTAAGTTATTCTGGTCTGTGATGTAGACTTGCAATGCTATGCTGAACTCAGACTATGTCATGAAGAAGCCCAGCCAAACTATTAGTTTGCCTTATGAAATTACTGTTATTTAATTATTTTTTATTACCAAAAGCAATTTTCTATGATTCATCTTTATAGTTAATATTAGGTAGAAAAATAACCAGAACATTGCCATTTCCCTTATTTTACCTTTTTGCATTGGTGTAACTCCAATCTGGGTCTTATAATGGGATCTTTGAGCTCAAGTAAGGAATTTTATACACAGAATTTTGTATTGTAAGCATCACTGTCTTACATAACCTTTTCAACCATGACCAAAGGGTTCACAACATGACCAATGGTTAATTTTAGTGAATTATTTAACAAGTTAATTATCCCCAGTTTCTTCAGAACATGTGGTTCTTCCTTAGGTCAACTACTCATTTCACATCTCTTAACTACATGGCTTATAGTAATAAAAGATGTGTGAAGTTTATTTTTTCCCAGGTTTATTGAGATATAATTGACAAATAAGAATTTTATATATTTAAGAAAAAATGTGATAATTTGATATATGTCAATAAATAATTGTCACAATGAATCTAATTAACACATCTATCGCCTCACAGTTACCTTTATTTTTGAGAACACTTAAGATCTACTATCTTAGCAAATTTCAAGTATACAATATGGTATGATTAATTACAGTCATCATGCTGTATATTAGATTCCTAAAGCTTATAACTGAAAACGTGAACCCTTTGACCAACATCTCCCTGTTTCTCTCTCTTCCTGGACTTGGGCAACCATCATTCTACTCTCTGCTTCCATGAATTTGACTTCTTTACATTCCACACATAAATGAGATCATACATTATTTGTCTTTTTGTGTCTGGCTTATTTCACTTAGTATAATGTCCTCTGGGTTCATCTATGTTGTCAAAAATGGCAAGCTTTCCTTCTTTTTTTAATGGTTGAGTGATATTGTGTTTTATATATATTTCACATTCTCTTTCTTCGTTTGTCCCTCAATGGATACTTACGATGTTTCCCTATCTTGGCTGTTGTGAATAATGCTGCAATGATCATGGGAATGCAGATATCTCTTTGAGATTCTGATTTTATTTCCTTTGAACATATGCCCAAAAGTAGGATTGCTGGATCAAACGGTAGTTGTGTTTTTAATTTTTTGAGGAACCTCGATACTGTTTTCCTTAATGGCTATACTAATTTACATATAAATGGCCAGCAGACACATGAAAAGTCCCTCAAAATCACTAATCATGAAGGAATTGCACTTCATTCTTCAGCCCAACCCAAACTTAGTTGCTTTACAATAATATACCAAGGAAGTATAGATAGTGATGTAAATTCTTGTTGTTGTTGCAGTTTTAAAAATTGTTGTCACTTTGGGAGGCCAAGGCGGGTGGATCAGGAGGTCAGGAGTTTGAGACCAGCCTGGCCAACATGGTGAAACCCCATCTCTACTAAAAAAATACAAAAATTAGCCAAGTGTGGTGGTGGGCGCCTGTAATCCCTGCTACTTGGGAGGCTGAGGCAGGAGAATCACTTCAATCCTGGAGTTGGAGGTTGCAGTGAGCCGAGATCGTGCCATTGCACTCCAGCCTGGGTGACAAGAGCAAGACTCCATCTCAAAAAAAAAAAAAATTATTGTTATGGCATCCCTGAAAAATGACATATTACCTCTTCCTCTCCAGATTACTTCATTTCTAATAATTATGAAGATGACTACCATTTATTGAATAAGTTCTTTGTTCCTATCATTGTGTTAAGTGCTTCAATTACATCATCTAATTCTCCCAAAAACTCTATTAGGGCAATAGCACAATTATGTCTATTTATGGATGAGAAAAACACATCTAAGTCTATGTATCTGGTAGGGGGAAAAACTAGCATTGGATCCAGCTGTGTCTCCTATAGTCCACTAGTTCATAACCACTTAGCACGTTATCCCTGTTCTCCTTCACCTTCCATTTCTTTAAAAAAGCAATACAATTCTTAAAAATGTACTCCTGTAAAATCACCCTTGTACATAAGTATCATTTCTATTTCAATTGAAAGGCAGTCTTAATGGACGGTTTGGCAAACCAGAAATGTTTGTAGTGCCATATGTCTCAGAAGGCTGGAGTGTACAGAATTCTAAGTGAAAAACTGAGTTGTCGATATGTCTACTGGATTTTTACATAATAACAATAGGCTAATAAATATTTAACCTTTCTTAAATCTAGCTGCTGTGGAAGCGATGTCTGTTTTATTATTTTCATAACAAAAACAAACAAAATAAACAAAATAGTCTAAAAGATGAGATCTTTGAAGGCATATCCCATAGAGTATGCCTCATAGGGTCTTGAATATGATAAACCTTCAGTAAGTTTCTGATGCGTGACTAGAACAGTGGTTTTGAAATAGACCATAATGCATTGTTTTGCTCTAAAGTCTATTTGGGTGAAATCCTTATATTCTCAAGTAACTTAATTTGCTCCCCAGTGTAAATATTTAAACTTTTTACTTTTCATAAAACAAAATTAAAGCAAGCAGTATTTTAGCTAAATGTCGTATAGTTTTGGTTCCAGATAGTGAACCAGGAAGTATTCCTGAATTGTAAGCTACCTTTATTAAGATAATATGTTAGTCATATTTTCTAAAGGGCTCATAGGTTTTTAAACTTTCAGAGAGAAAATGGTTTCATACTTATTTTATGCACATAATCCTCATGAATATGATACTAATTGGACTACAGTAAATGGAAAATAATAAAGGAAACAATGAATATCAGATTTTACATATTTGCTTCTTTACAAAAATCAATTCCTGAAATGGATGGAATGTAATGTGGTGCTATCAAAACCTTTGTGGTTAAATTTACTTTTAAACTTTTTGCTTTATTATCTTTTGGCGGCTAGAAAACCTTTGATTAATCTCTGTGAAAGAAATTAAACTTTAAACCTTACACACTAAAGAGAAAACGCTTCCAAGGTACACAGTGAATAAGCTTATTAACTTTAAAATTAATCAGTCAACACTAGCAAATTCACAGTTAGGAAACTATGCTGATAATTATATAATACTTACATTATGCTCCTATTTGATTTACTCTATTTGCTAATTTCTCAGTAATAATAATTCATTATATTTTTGATAGCCTATAATTTCTATTGCAAAGATTTCAATTTGCACTCTTTACATACTTTTGGTTTTATGACAGAATTTTAAAATGATATGCAAACTTGAGTTTAGAGAAATAATTATGCAGATACAAGAAGTATGATGGATAACTTCCAAAATAGGCAGATTCATCCTCACCCTCAAAGCACAGTAACATGGAATGAAAGGGTTTGGGTTTGACTTCTACCTCTATCACTTATTAGTTTAAATGTTTGTGTAATTATTTAACCTGTCTAAGCCTCAGTTTTCTTCTCTGTAAAATGAGGGTAATTGAAACTTCTACCTCCTAGCAACTTTGTGAACATTGATGAGGTAGTCTACCTTAATGCATTTAGTGTTGGAAGAGTAACTGACACATGGCAAGAACTCAATACATCTTAGCTATTATTTTTATTAACATGTCAGGAACTTTTTAGGAGTAAAAGATCATTTGGTTCTTTTGAAGTTTATATAGACATAAATATGTCCATGTTGATTATGAGGGACCTGATAAAACAAATATTAAATACATTAAGGATGTTTCTAACAATTGTGGTTTATTGGTAGCATTTATAACAGTAACATAAAATATTACTTACAATAATGAAGATCCCTACGAACAAATCATATTTGTAATAATGAGTCTAATTATAATGGATTAATAGCATAATTAGAATTGTGGTAACTATTTAAAAGTGAGTTAGAAAATATTAACATTATATATATGTTAATATAGATTGTTTATGCCAATATGGAATTGCAAATTTGTGAAAGCTAGGAGATAGCACTCAAGGAACTTATGTTGCCTGAAAAAAGAACTGCATGTAGGAAAAACAACCCTCGACCAGAGAAATAGACACGCCTGAAAATAAAAAGACATTTTCTTTAAGAAAATGGAATCACATGGTAAGTCAAGAGAGGGCAAGACATCTCACTGGGACTCAATATTGTGCTATTCTTTCATAGCATGCAGAGTAGTGGACTATTAACATTTGACAAAGACTCTATTGAAGCAACACAGAGATAATTTGCATGCAAGTCAGGAGAAATGCTTATGCCACAACACTGCATTTTATATAAAATGAAAACATGAAAATACAATTCTATTAAGACTGTTTTTTGGAATCACAGCTGAAATTTCACAGGCTTCATGCTTTCTCTGCTCTGTGAGATCTTATTGGATACATTCATTATGAACTGACCATATATGAAGGAAAAATAAAGTAACCAGGAATAAATGATTTCTTTTCAGAGATGAAAATTTAAGATTAATATAGAGTGAAAGGGTAACAAGTCAGAATTTTATCGTCACTGATAACTTGTTCCAAACCTTTTTCCCTGAAAAAAGTACTTTGTTACAAATACATCATTTATTTTATTTGACCACTATTTTAAATTCACTTAATCAGTTAAAATTGGTGGAAGACTTCATAAGTGCTTTGAATAGGTATGCAACTGTAGGATTAATCAGGCACACAGATCTTGTTCTCAAAAAGCTTATGGTCAAGAAGGAAGGTTAAGAGTATGTGATCAGGCAGGAAGAGCTCAAGCTCTAAGAGATGTACTGTGAAGTCCATTATGCTGTGAACAGGCAAAATTATATGTAAGTGCTAGTTCTTCAGATAAGATTCAGGATTATGATCTCTGGGCTATTTACAGAGATAATGTTAAATCATACACTTAAGCTCTTCTTACTATTAAGTTGTAGCAATAATTCCTTTATTCGTCCATACCTCAAACATTTATAGAATATCTGCTCTGCCAGGCATTGAGCCTATAAAAATGAGTTAACCTTTCATGGGGTTCATAGTGTAGTAACAGAGACATCACACTATATTGTATTTTATTTTCTTGTCTCAGTGCTAGAGCTGAAATATGAACCAGGTATATAGGGGCAAATGGGATGTAAGTTTAGGGTACAAGCATAATAATTGTTGTTAGGCTTGGCTTAAAAATAATCAATTTAGAAATACAGAGATTTAAATCTTAGGGGTCATAAAGTTGACCTTCTTCATTTTACACAAGACAAAATGTTCAGAGAAGATAAATGATTTGCTCAATGTTACATGGGTTATTGGCAACTGAACTGAAAGTTGGATCCACCTTTGGCTCTTTCAGTTCCAAGCCATTCCTCTTCTGATCAAGCCCACTGCCTCAGGAGGGTTAATAGTTAACATAAATGTTTTATGTAGAGTCTGAGCCAAATAAAGCATGCCTAAATGGCTATTTTAAAGGAAAATAAATTAGTGATATGAGCAGCTTAATAGCAGGTACCAGATTAGAAATAGACTTACTCTGCAAAGACCAACAAAGGAATTAATGCAACTCTATGAAGATATTGTCTTACAAATTAGAGAGTCATCAATATTCTGCATGAATCTGATGTGAATGCCGAGAGACATTTTGTAGAATGTTAAAAAATGTAAAAACTGGGGACAGTTTTATAAATCCAATAGGAAAATTTCCATGCCTAGTCAGAGGTGAATACAAATGGAATTGTTTTTTTTCAAACTACAATTCCCTGTGATAAGGCTAAAGTAGGCTCTTAATAAATTAAGGATGTCTTCTTTGTCTTCTTTTTCTTGACCTTTTTCTTCTTTTGCCACACAGGAATCTGTAGGCCTATATTCAACAGCTGATAGAGAAAAAAATTAGGACTCTAGGATAGTTATTGTAATAAGACAGTCTGGAAGCGTGACTCTCTGCCGTCGAGTAGCTGTTGACTTAGGACAGGTTACTAAATCTCACTGAGCCTCAATTTCCTCATTTAAAATGTGACATATGTAATATAAAACTATTAGGGCTCCTTCCAGCTTAAAAACTCGATGTCTTCTCAGTAGATAATAGTTGCTTGTTCAAAAGGTACCTCCAAAAACGGTTAGCTGAGCTTTGTGTTCTACTTAATACGCACTGGTAAATAAAGTAGCTGATAACTAAGAATAGAAAGAAAAATGATAGCTCACTCATTTTAATGAGAATGCTGTAAGCATATGCAATGGTTTATTATTAAACTATTCCACTAGTGGAGAAATTGGAAAAATCACAATAAAATTTTTCAATTTTCCATTTCAGTAACTTTATTGAATTGCCAAGGCATATAACAACAGCCAAAGTTGATACATTAAATGTGGATGTTTAAGAACAAAGTTAATATGTAATATTATTGTTTCTCATTTTAGTCCTTTTCTGCCAAACCCCTCCAAAGTTAAATAAATCTTCTTTCTTACTTATTGCTAAAAAGTGTCTTGCTATTTCTGATAGTTTGAATATTTTTTCAGTTAATTCTTTATTATTATGTAAAGGTTGTAAATCACTATGGATTTCTATTTCTTTACTGCCAAGTATAATACAATGTCAATATCCCCTTCCTTTCCAGAGTCTGTCTTATGGTTTCTATTTTCAGTTTATGATCCTTGTGTCTATATTTGGTAAAAGTCTGCTTATGTTTTTCAAATCTGATGTAAGGCAATCTTTTAACAAAATGTTTCTGAGTGGAACCTAAAGCAATCTGAATTATAATTTTAGATATATGCTTCCCAAGAAAGCAATATAATTTTTTTTTCAAGGAGAGAGTTGCTATTTGGTTTCAAGTGTTGTTACATTTTATGTATTCACACTATATTTAATAATATTCTCATCTTTTTCTTTGACTATCAGGAACTGCCTGCCTCCTGACCCAGATTCCCTCTTTGTGCTTCCATACCGGGACAGAGGAAATTTCTTCTGGGCTCTAGGCACTGTTTGCTGCAACCGCTGTGGGCCTTTACTGTGGCCACTAGGGGTCTTTGGCTTTGCTCACAGTCTAACAATTAATTAGAAAGAGCAATTTTTTAAAGAAGTTACACAAAGAGCTCATTATAACCTATGTTCCTTTGCCTTAAGAGTTCTCAGTAGATGAGTATGATCCACAAGGGCACATGATCAATACCCTCTAAGGATGATCGCTGATGGCCTGGATTTTTTGCTAGAGAGGAGATTGTCAGGCTTCTGTAGCTGAGATTCCCCAAATCTCAGCCCTATTCTTGTCCTTTCTGAGGTTTGGTTGGTCATCATCTTTAATTCTACAAGAAACTCTTGCATTCTTCTATTTTTCTTCTTTTTTTGCCTTAAATTATGCATTTTCAGTTTTGTGCTTGCAGCCCAAGAATGCTCGCTGTCTTTGTCAGCTCTGGCTGCTGTAACAAGTTACCATAGAATGGTTAGCTTAGACAATAAGCATTTATTTCTGACAGTTCTGGAGGATGAAAGTCTGAGATCAGGGTGCCAGGATGGTTGGGTTCTGATAAGGATCCTCTTCCTGGCTTGTAGATAGCTGTTCTATCCTTTTTCTTATGAGGGTACTAATCCCAGCATGATAGCTTCACCTTCCAAAGGCCCTACCTTCAAATAATATGGCATTGGGGAATGGGTATTCAACATATGAATTTTGGAGGAACAAAAACATGTGGTCCATAACAAATACCGATGATAACTTGGTATATTATTTTGCTCTATTTGTATAACAGAACAACACATTACCTGTGCTCAAATAATACACATGAATTCCATTGTTATTGACTGCAAATGCTGAGAGGAATGAATTTGACTTCTTCCCATTCTATCTCTTCAGTCAATGACAGCAGAATTGATATTCTATTTGTTCCTAGGTCCTGATGTCAGCTGAAGAGAGAAATGGTGCCTCATAGAGTGTCCTCGGCTTACCTTTCTGTCTGGAGGGTGTCTACTCAATTCAAGCGTAAAACGTTTTTGAGAGAAGACCCAATTTTCCTATTTTGCCATTCCAGTGGTTTTTGGCAAGCCAGGACACCCGTTCATCCTTTCGGAAACTGATCTAGCTGTCATGTTTGCCTTAGCTGAGCCAGGAACTGCACCCACACAGACTCTTTGTTGGGCCAGTCAAATCTCTGCTCATTTACTAGGAAACTTCTCTTTCTCCTCGAGTTTTCCTAGAGAAAGATATTTATACATGTATTTGTACATGGATTTCTCCTATAAAATGATGACAGTGTGGATTTTGATTTGACTTTTCTCCAAGATGATGCCTCTTAAGTCACCCTTCTTATTTTATTGTTATTATTTCTATGAAATCATTTAACTGGAACCTTTCTAACTACACAAATCATCTACATCTGCAGAGTCTTCACTGCTCCTTCACCAAGAAACCTTACACCACAACAGATCATAGTGATTATACTATGTAATTTTGAAACTTATAGCATTTAAAAATATATCTGTGGCTCAAAAAATAAATTCAAGGTCCTTTTCTGATATGAAATTGTGTGTGTGAAGATCCACTATAGAAAGTAAAATTAAAAAAAACAACCAAAAAAACCTGAGAGTGACCGTGGTGGAGGTGGAAGCCAGGATGTGGGATTGGGCTGAAACTCGATGTATTTGATACTTCTCTTATTTTCTGTGCAGCTTTGAGAGCTACCCTACTCCCACCCCAACACTTGGGGTTACCTGGAGCACAGTTTGCAAACTACTGATCTCAATATTGTTCACTTAACACTTAACCAGTTACTGTCCTTTGATATTTTTTGCACTGCAACCTTGTTATTATATTTTGCATGGTTATTTAACTTTCCAAGTATTTGTGTTGACTTCCCCAGGAGGTTGTAATTTTCTTGAAAGTAGAAACAGTATCTTGTATCTCAGAGAGGAGCCAAATCTAAATCCACATAGCCAAAGTTAGTACTCAGCTTGTGAATATGGAGCTCTGTCAATTATTAATTGATCATTGATTCTGTCTGGTCTTAGACTCAGAGGAGGAAACCGTTCAGGAACATGGACATGAGTAGGTAGTTAAGTCTAAGTAGCACAATCAGGTGGTAAGTTGGGCTCTTGCTCTGAAAGGTCAAGATATGGATCCTAGGCTGCTGACATTCTTACAAAAGAATGCCATCAGGCACAGTGATTCAGAAAACAGTGCATACTTTTTACTAACGGCAATATTTACTTGATATAACTGAACGGATAGGTGTATAAAAGACTCAGAATATGGCTCCACCTATTCCAAGTGTGATTTTGATGTGCACAAGGTTTCAAATCACAAGTGGAATTGATATCAGATTCTGTCCTTATCCCTTCATAGAACACTGTTCAATACCCAAGAAATCAGAAAAGATATGGGAAACTAAGTTCTCTTATCAAAACTAGCAATGTGACTAATTACATGGAGAATGAATGGGCAGTATTATAAGCAACACTTCAATAGTCAGCTTAGGATAAAATTTTTCGTTCTGTTCATTGGTGTTACCACTGTCTAATGGCCAGCATGACTCAAAAAATATATTTGTATCCACAATAGTTGGTGACTCCCATGATTGTTATTTATCCAACATACAATATCTGAAGATGGTTGTGTTTTTCAATATGTTTTATAATCATAAACCACTTGTTTCTCTCCATGTGAACTAAATGTTTTATAAAGGAAGAATAAACATATAACATATGCTATAAGATGAAACTTCTTTAATATCTATTATAAAGCTCTAACTTGTTATTTTAAAAAAAGTTAAAACTCGCTTGAACAAAGATCATATTGGAAATATTTAGTGGGAAGTGCTTATATAGCAATCTATAGTAGAAAGAATATAGTATATATATATGTAGTAGAAAGTAGTATATTCTTCTACTATATAGTAGAAAGTAGTATATTCTTTACTACTTTCTATACTATAGAATATAGTATATTCTTTCTATTATAAAAAGAATGTAATATATTCTTTCTACTATATTTAGTATAAAGTGATTATATAGTGATCTCCTGTTGCTTAAAAAAGTACCTTCAAATTTCCAAAGACTAGGTAGTACAAATAACTGGTATCATTACAGAGGAATTACACATGCCTGGCCGTTTGACAAAAGTGTCTAGGCAGAATTTTTGAATCCAATTTTTATTATTAATAATATAAGGTATGCACACATTCTCATCTTCTGAAGAGTGTCTCCACACATGAGATCTTATTCCCTTTTACAAGTACCCTCTGCAGGAGAAATGAACAGAAATGGCTGTGATCCTTTTACTGCTGGAGCAGCTGAAGAACAAAGAAGTGGTTGATTTGCCACTGTCACAAATGGATTGGGTTGAAATGAAGATCTCTGGTCTCCTAGCCCAGTGCTCTATTCACCAGCCATGAAGTCTCAGTCTTGCTTCCCCACTGGCATCATGGATGTGAGGATGAGACACACTCCATGGATAATCACATATCACAGTTCTAGAGATTTTCATGGGACATGTGTATGTGTGTTGGAGGGGGTGTTTCAAAGGGGGTGTCTCAGAATTTTGGTGGGGTTACTGAGTGTAGTTTTAAAATGCTCCAAGAAATCCCCTACTCTTTTAAAATCATAGTAGCATTAATGCATTTTCTGTGCTTTTCCCAAATCTTTCATTCTATACCTCCTAAGCTTTCCCTTGGGAGTCCAGAAATCTTTTTACTTGGGAAGCTAAAATGCTTCCTCGTTGGACTTACTTTTTATATAATATATGTTGGCTGTTTCATTTATACAGTGAGCCCTTTGCCGTAATGATTATTTGGGATTTGGTTCAAAGCCAACCTGCTGCCCAGTGAAACCCAACCTCTCTCTCCTGACAGATTGTGACCTGGCTTCTGGCTATACGTTTCCCTACACCCTTGAAAGAGCACAGTGTGCTCCTCTCCTTTCTGCTTACCCCCTGAATCCTGGCTGAATCAGCCAAATATTTTCCACGCTAACAATAGTAATGAGTATGAGGTAGCCCTGTCTTCCTGGGAAGGTGGTCCCAGGATGAAGGAGAGGTGGAGAGAATGTGACTCTGTCTGTTGCTGGGACAATGAAGTATTCTGCTCAAGACACTCCTTGGTGAGATACGGAGACAACAAAGGGATATGACTGAGTTTCCAAAGAACGTAGGAAGGCATGATCATAGCTGTGATGTGAGGTAGTCTGGGTTGGGGAGAGTGGGTGTCTTAGTCCATCTGGGCTGCTCTAACAAAATACCATAGAATGGGTGGCTTATAAACAAAAGAAACGTATTTTTCTCAGTTCTGAAGGATGAGAAGTCCAAGATCAAGGTGCTGGCAGGTTCCATGTCTAGCGAGGGCTTGATTCCTAGTTTATAGACGGCTGTCTTCTCACTGAGTCATCACATAGCAGAAGAAGCAAGGAAGCTCTCTGGGGTTTCTTTTATGAGGGTATTAATCCCATTCTTGGAGGCTCCACTGTCATGACTTAATCACCTTCTAAAGGCTTCACTTCTTAATACCATCATATTGTGGGTTAGCATTTCAACATATGAATTTTGGGGGAACATAACATAAGCATTCAGTCTATAGCGGTAGGCAATGGGGGTGTCATATTCATTACTCCCTAACCCCCAAATTCCAGGGAAAAAAACATTAGTAACTGTCAGAAACATGATAGAGCCAAGTAACAGATATTTGCTGAAGGTCTACCGAAGTAGTAAAATTAATGACTAACACACAGAATGTGCTGACAGTGTGGTGTGTCAGGTGGTGTGTGGAACACTTTGCACTCATTATTTACTTAATCCTTACAAAAACCTGTGAAGTATGTCATGATTTTACAGGTGAGGAAATAGAGGCTCAGAAAGGTACAGTAAAATGCTTACAGTTACACAGCTTGTAGGTGAAAAGCAGATTTAGATACATGTTTTCTGATCCCCAAATCCCCCATATTTAACCACCACACTCCATTACTAGGGGCCCAAAAATGGAGATGCTCCAGAGCGTAAAGCAGATCAGGTTATCTGCTTTCGTGAGACTTCTCTGCCATCAGCGTGGCCAACTATCTTGATTAGCCTGGGATCATCCCAGTTTTAGCACTGAATGTCTCACATTCTAGGAAACATCTCAGTTCCAGGCAAATTGAAACAACTGGTCACAAATGCTGCTGGTGCAAATCTAGGTCTCTTTTGGGAATGGAAAAACCTGTCACCACTATGTCCAAGGGATCTATGCCTCCCTTGTCATGTTATCTCTGTGAAGCCCAAACTGGAAGGAGTCAGAGGTGTGGAGGAACCCAAGACCCTTTAAAGGAGTACACTTTTCAGCCCTCTTTGGTGTCCATGAGGACATAAACACGGCACAGAAAAATGGCTCCAGGCTGGGCACGGTGGCTCATGCCTGTAATCCCAGCACTTTGGGAGGCTGAGGCTAGTGGATCACCTGAGGTCAGGAGTTTGAGACCAGCCTGGCCAACATGGTGAAACTCCATCTCTACTAAAAATACAAAAATTAGCTGGGTGTGGCGTGGCATGCCTGTAATCCCAGCTACTTGGGAGGCTGAGGCAGGAGAATTGCTTGAACTTGGGAGGCGGAAGTTGCAGTGAGCCGAGATAATGCCACTGCACTTCAGCCTGGGTGACAGAGTGAGACTCTGTCTCAAAAAAAAGGAAAAAAAAATGGCTCGGATGGAGGAGACTTAGCCTGGAGAGGAGTCTGAGGGAGACTTTCCACCCTCTCCTCAATTTCCTCTCTCCCTCTTTCAAAGTGCATCCTCTCTCATGGTACATATTACCTACTTCTCTTTCAATCTGTACTTTCCTTTTGAGGAAAGATTCACTGCTTAATAGCTAACTCTTCGGTCATATAAGTGAATCCTACTATAACAACCTCAGCATCTAGAGATACAAATGTATTATATAAGAGACTAACTCTGGACATGATTAATTTTCTACTAGGATATTCTTCAGTGAAGAGGAGAATAAAGTACCTGTATTCTTGCCACCAGTAACTCCAATTGCCACTATCATAAGCACAGGTTTAAACTGATGGAAGCTTTGCATTTTACATTTGTTTTACATCTGTTCTTTTCCTTCACATCATTCACCTCATGCATTCTAACTGCACTTTATTTATGGTTTGACCTCCTCCCTACTAGACTGTAAACTCCTCGAGGGTAGACACTATAATTATTTTCCTCTATTATTTCATTATGCATTCAACACAAAGCATGACATGTGGTATGCCTTCAATAAATATTTCTTGAATGAATAAATAAATCCTATATCAGAAAAATAATAGCATTTAACTTAATTTCCACTTTTTAGGCTTACCTCATGCAAAACAACAAGGGAAGAACTTACAAAGTAAAGTGTGAGTCTAAGCTGTTTTCCAGTATGCACAAAACAACTAAAATGTATTCAGTGTCTATTATGTGCCACACACATAAGCATGAAATACACACACACACAAACACACACATACACACACACGTAAACTCACTGAATTCTTACCTAGTTTCATGAATGAAAAAAAAAGGCAGAGAGAGATTAAATCATTTGCCGAATATTTACTAATAAGTGAGCTGAACTTATTACTGACCAGAACTTAAGCACGGGAAATCCAACTCCAGTTTTCCAAGCATTGTGGACAGCTGCCCTGCCTACTTACTTTGTGGCTGACTTTGTGAGTGTGACCCAGCAAAATGACTCAGGCCATGCACCAGCTTCCTCATGGGGCCAATGCTCAAAAGAAATGGGCCAGAAGGTACCCTTTTCCATCCCCAAAGGGCTCTACAAATATGCTTATATAATCCAATTTGTTATTCTCTCATTAAAGAGGTTTATTTCTGGCCCAAATAAAATTGATTTTGGCATTCACTTATTCTGATATCAGTCTTTTAGGAAAAGATGTTGATGCTACTACAGAAAGCATCTGAAGGCATAGACTTGTTGACAGTGGCAGAGAAAGGAAAGGTTGAAGCCATTCAAAGAAGGAAAAAGAAAGTGAGGCTGCTCAGATGGGATTATTATAAAGGATCGTGTGGTTGGGACTTTAAATTTAAAGTATATTACATCTAAAAACAAAATTATGATGTAGAGATCAAATAATATGTTAGCTAACAGTGCTCCACGAGTCACTCCAGCTCCGGTCTTTTCTGGGCTTTAGTAACCTGGTGTCCTGGTTTTCTGGGAAGCTGATTACACATTCTATCCTTGAAATCATGGGTCCCCCAGTGACCTTATGGCTGATGCTGCCCCAGGTACTCTTGCAGCAAATCTCAAACTTGCCTCTTCCACAGCCACAAATAGCCCAAGTGACACAGCTAAGGGATGTACATAAGTTAAATTTTGGCCACTAATTGCTATAATAACAGTATTACTGGGTTATTCCACTTGATATATTGGCAAAAGAGTCTTAAATATAACAAAGGGTGAGCAAGGCAAAAAATAAGTAAAATATATTTGAATCAGTATAATCTGATATTATATGCCTTATTCAGTGTATATTTGAGTCAGTATAATAAAAACTCCATAGGTAGCACTGAAATTTTGATTACTGCTATTGAATTATACATAAAGCGCGACATAATATACTTAGTTTTTAATAGAGTAAATATTCCTTAAAATGGTAGCGTGAAGAACAAAAAATAACTAGTCAACCAAAACTTCCCCCCAATCTTCAAAAATCAGCTGAATCTCATTCAATACTAATTGCTGTAAACTTGTAAATAGTTAAGAGAAAAACATTTTTAATGAATTGATAAATTTGGTGAATTGATTCTTTGCTTAATTGATTTTTCAGCAAAATGATTTTTAAAAACTTGCTCAGTTCCCAAAAGGCCTCCTTTTCTAAGCTGCCTTCTGAAACGTGTCATGTATCATCTCAAATGGGCATTGAATGGGAACTGCTAAAATGGCCGGGTGTTACCTACCCCAGGAGAGCCTTAGATATGTTTCCTTTTAGCTGTGCTGACAATCATTCTTCCCTGACAGGCCCTATTAAGAAAGGGTGTGGGCTTTCTTCCTTATTGTCTTCAATACTGCATTCCAGGATTTTCTTATATGTGCTTTATCCCTTGGATGGCCTTTCTTCTTCCCAAACTTTGCTTCATTTTTCATATTCTTTCTTATCTAATTCTCATTAAATTTCTTTATATTTCCTCCTCATCCTAGGCCTATGACCTCATTCAATGTTCACCCATCCTTTCAACTAATTTCTTTCCACTCTGTGTTCCAGTGGTCACCCTTCAAGTTATTTACTATTTTATTTCTCTCTGTATCTTTTTACATCTTGAAGATATTGTCTAATACTTATTATTCTGATTAGCTACTCATTAAATTCTCAACCAAATGTACTTGGCATCCAACATTTCACTCCCCTCCACTGAAATGGTTCTTAAGATCATCAATGATTTCTTAATTTCCAAACTCTGTAACCTTTTATTGGTCCACATCCCTAAAGCCATCTATGCAATATTTGATTCTCCTTCTTCATTTGTCTTTTGACATCATTCCCTTAGTGTTCTCTTACTTTCTGCCAGGCTGTTCTTTCTTAGTATCTTTTGCTCAACTTTCCTCCATAGTTCTCTTTAAAGAGCTGTAGAGCTCTACACAAATGTAAGTGGAATTATTGTCATTAATTTATTGATGTTTAAATTCAAACAAGGGATGGGAGGTTTGTTTTCCATATTAAGAAGAGTACACACACACTCAAAAGTGACAAGCAAGTCACTCAGAATTCTATATAGAATACCCTTTCTTGGACCTTGATTACTTTGGCAGAAGTAACTATGCAATTGTTACTGGGGCGGGGGGGGGTGGGCGTCAGTCCTTGTTCTTAGAGCTCCCAAGATGATGGCGGGCTGCTCCCAAGATGGCAGCCCGCCTCTTGTAGTCTGACCTGGGGTTCTTGGCCTCATGGATTCCAAGGAATGGAACCTTGGGCCATGCAGTGAGTGTTATAGCTCTATTAGAAGCCATGGGTCACGGAAGAGAACCGTGGAACCCAGCGACTAGTGTTCAGCTCGATTAGGAGAACCCAGGCACTTAGCCATGCAGGAACAATGGTGAGCCTTTAGCCCGATCGGGAGCGGCAATGGGCACCTCGCTGGATCAGGAGCACAGCAGACATCCTGCCAGATCCGGAGGGGTGGAAGTCAGTGGCAGGTCTGCAATGGCGGCAAACAGCAGTGGTGGATGGCGAGTGAAAGCTCAGCTTGATCTGTAACAAACATGAACCAGAAGAGTGTGCAGTTGCAAGATTTAATAGAGTGAAAACAGGGCTCCCATAAAATGGGAGGGGACCCAAAGGGGGTTGCCACTCCCTGCTCGAATGCCTGGGTTTACATCCTGATCACTGTCCTTCCCCCTGTGCTCTCAGGCGATATATGACTTGACTGTTTCTTTACCTCCTGCTTTAGCCTAATTTGTATTTTAGTGAGCCCTCTTTACTACCTGATTGGTTGGGTGTCAGCTGAGTTACAAGCCCCGTGTTTAAAGGTGGGTGTGGTCACCTTCCCCAGCTAGGCTTAGGAATTCTTAGTCGGCCTAGGAAATCCAGCTAGTCCTGTCTCTCAGTTCCCCCTCTCAACAGGAAAACCCAAGAGCTGTTGGGGAGGTTGGCCAATGACCGCTGTTAACAGCTTCCTGCTGAATTGGGGCATAGTAGGGGTCGTGCAGTTGAGATTTCCTCAGGGGGGGTGCCTTCCATGTCATTAATATCAGAGCATGGGCTAGCAGGCCAGTCCAGGGGTCCGCAGTAGAGCTTAGTCATGGACTGCATCTGGGGCTCCATTTGAAGAGCCATTTGTAGTTTTACAGCTTCAATTCTGGAAGAGACAAACTTAACAAGGAGGTTAAAGATACAGGGATTGAAATGTATGGCCTGAAGTGCAAGGGCATATGAGTGTGGGCAGTGAAAGTGGGGTTTCCTTTAGAAAAACTCCTATACAATGGGGCATCAATATTTCTGGGAAGCCACATTTCTCCATAGAAGCTCTTGGTAAGGGGAGCTACTGGTAGTACAGCGGCATGGAGGAGGTGCAGTGAGAGTGAAAGATTTGGTGAAGCGTTTTAAGTAATTTCCATTGGTTAGCTGCAGGCAAAACTATTTTTCCTTCTTCGGTGGCTAGCCCTCCCGAGAGGAGGAAACTATGTCCTTGTGAGGTTCCCCAATCTATTTCTTCTGTTGAGTACTGGTGCTTTGTTTCCTTGAGGGGATTACTCCATACCAGGGGTCCTTCTATAAGCATTTCTAATGGAGGGTCCAGCCTTGTGGCTCTTTTGGCTTCAATATCCGCTTGGTAGTTCCCTTCTATTTCCCTTTCCTTTCCTTTCTGATGACCCCAGCAGTGTAAGACTGCCATCTCTTTAGGTTTCTGTACAGCCAAGAATAATCTCCTAATGGCTTCCCGATGTTTGATAGGTGTTCCCTCTGAAATTAGGAATTCCCTTTCTCTCCATATTGCTGCGTGGTCATGGAGAAGTAGGTAAGCATACTTACAGTCTGTATATATATTTACCCTTTTTTCTTCTCCTAATTCTAGTGCCCTAGTGAGGGCTATTAGTTCTGCCAGCTGAGTGCTAGTTCCTGGAGTGAGGGGATTACTTTCAAGTATTCCATTATTACCGACCACTGCATACCCTGCTTTTTGAAGTCCTTTTTCTACAAAGAACTTCCATTAGTATACAAGTTGAGGTTGGGATCAGTCAAGGGAAACTCTAGAAGGTCCCCTCGAGTGGTGTAGGTTTGAGCAATCACCTGTCGACAGTTATGTTCTATCTTTTATCGTTTGGAAGAAATGTGGCTGGGTTAAGAGTTGCACAAGTGCGCAGTCACAGCACTGGCCCTTTAAGTAATAGAGCCTGATATTTAAGCAAACGGTTGCCTGACAGCAACAAGTCTCCTTTAGCAGTGAGTATGCCGTTTACATCATGAGATGTCCACACAGTAAGATCTCTTCCCTGTATTATTTTAACTGCTTCAGATACTAAGACTGCTATTGCTGCCACTACCCATAAACAATGAGGCCAACTCTTTGCCGTTACATCATTTTCCTTACTTAGGTATGCCACAGGTTGCAAGCTGGTGTCTTGGACCTGTGTAAGGACTCCTAGAGCTATTCCTGTTTTTTTCTGTGACATACAAAGAAAAGTCTTGCCCCGTCGGCAAGCTTAACACTGGGGCTTGGGTTAGGGCCTTCTTTAGGGCCTGGAAAGCTGCTCTGCTTCAAGTGTCCATCTTACTAAATGGGTATTGGCTTTCTGAGTTTCCTTAATTAGTGTATACAATGGCCTGGCTATTTCGCCGTACCTGGGAATCCATATTCGGCAGAAGCCTGTTATGCCAAGGAACCCTCTTAGTTGCTTTAAGGTTTTGGGATAAGGATGAGCCAGTATAGGCTGGATACATTCCTTACTGAGGGCCCTGGTGCCTTTGGATACTTTTAGCCCTAAGTATTTAACCTGCTGTGAGCAGAGCTGAACCTTTGTTTTGGAAATCTTGTAGCCACAGGTGGCAAGGAAATTTAAGAGTGCTTGGGTGGCTTGATGGCACAAGGTTTCTGAATGGGTGGCTAAAAGTAAATCATCCATGTACCAAAGGACAAGAGTGTCCAGGTATGAAAACTGGCTCAAGTCTTGGGCTAATGCCTGGACAATTAGATGGGGGCTATCCGTGAACCAGGTGAGTTGAGATATTAGGTTCGAAGGATCTTCAAAGGCAAAAAAGAATTGAGAGTCAGGATATACAGGATGCAGGAAAAAGCATCCTTAAGGTCCAGGACTGTAAACCACTCTCCTTCCTCTGGTATTTAGGAAAGCAGAGTGTAAAGGTTAGGTACAGCTTGGTATAGAGGGACAATGGCCTCATTGATAATACTGAGATCTTGCACTAACCTCCACTGTCCATTAGGTTTCTGTACTCCTAAAATTGGAGTATCAGAGGGGCTACTGCATGGTTTTACTAGGCCTTGGGCTTTTAGGTCCTTAACAATCTTTTGGAGTCCTTGTTGGGCCTCAGGTCTAAGGGGGTACTGCCTTTGGTAGGGAAAGGGGGCGGAATCCTTTAGTTTAACTTGAACAGGAGAGGCATTCTTTGCTCATCCATATTGTCCTTCTGTTGCCCAGACTTCAGGATTAATTCCTTCCTCAAGCAGGGAACAATAAACGAGTGTTCCTTCTCCTGTGTTCAGGTGTATAATGGCCTCTGCTTTTGCTAGAATGTCTCTCCCTAACAAGGGAGTGGGGCTTTCAGGCATAATTAGAAAAGCATGTGAAAAGAGTAAAGTTCCCCAGTTACAACTTAGTGGCTGGGAGAAGCATCTAGTTACTGGCTGTCCTAGGACCCCTCAGATAGTGACAGATCTGGAGGACAGTTGTCCAGGACAGGAGAGTAAGACTAAGAAGGCCACGCCAATGTCCAGGAGATGGTTAACCTCCTGGCCCTCAATGGTCAAACATACCCGGGGCTCTGTGAGGGTGATGGCATGGGCTGGCGCTTGCCCCGGGCACCCTCTGTCCTGCTGCTGGATCATCTGGTTAGTGGCTTCTGACTCAGAGGACCTTCATCCCCTGGGGCAATGGGCCTTCCAGTGATTCCCTTGACATAAGGGGCATGGACAAGGGGGCGGTTTATTTCTATTCGGACAATCTTTTTTAAAGTGTCCTTGGAGACCGCACTGGAAGCAAGCCCTATTAGGCATTCGATTTGCCCAGGCTTTCCGCGTTCCAGAGCCTCCAAAGTCCGCTTGCCCGAGGGCCATGACTAAAGTGGTGGCCTTTTTCTTACCTCGTTTGTCCCGTTCCGCCTGCTCCTCCTGATCTCTATTATAAAAAACAGAGGTTGCCAAGTTCAATAGGGTTTTTAAGTTTCGCTCTGGGCCTAAGGTGGACTTTTGAAGTTTTTCTTTAATGTCTGCAGCTGACTGAGTGATAAACTTATCCTTTAAAATTAGTTGGCCTTCAATAGAGTCAGGTGACAGAGAGGTATGCTTCCTCAGTGCCTCCCTTAGTCTGTCCAGAAAGGCAGTAGGATTTTCTTCCTTTTCCTGTGTTATAGTGGACATCATTGAATAATTCATAGGCTTCTTCCTAGTTTTCCTTAGTCCTTCTAGCACGCAAGTTAGCAAATGTCTGCTGCACTAATCTCCATGTTCTGATTCTGCGTTCCAATGAGGGTCTACATTGGGAACTGCCTGCTGGCCTGTGGAGAATCGTTCTCTTTCCTCTGTTGTCATCCTTTCATTGACCTGACTGAGATACCCGAGATCGCCAAACTCGTGGGCTGCAGTTATGGTGGTACTTCTCTTATTTGGGGTTAGTGTCTGATCTAGCAGTAACATTATATCTCTCATGTCAGATTAAAGTTTTGTCCTAACCCTTGTAAAATGTCAATATAGATATCAGGGTTATTTGAGAATTTACCTAGGCCTATTTTAATTTGCTTTAAGTCTGACAGGGAAAAAGGTACATACACTCTGACTGGGCCAAATTCTCCAGAATACATCTTAGGGGCATTTGCCTTAGGGGGAATGCTTCCCATCTGAAAAAAAAAACAAAACAAAAAACAAAACAAAAAAATCACAGGGATGCCAGCACCCCTAGTCATTTTCCGATGAGCATTAGTCCTAGAGCGTCCTCTATGGTCTTAATGCTTATTCCTTTCCAGGGTGCATAACCACCCATGGACCTCTGCTTATCGGATTAGTTACACTCACCATGTAGCAGTCCTGCACCCCTTTTCCCACCTTCCTTGATCACAAAGAAAGGGGTCTGGGCTGCTGGACTCCAGTGGTCCTTTACCAGCATGCCCAACATTGCCTTTGTGCTCAGTGGTGAGTCCTAGAGCTGGGGTGGGTTCCAGAGTATTTCATAACAACCCAGTTGCCCCATTAAGATGCATTCCCACAAACAACAGTTCTTATGCAAATTCGTTTCAGAGAGGGTGTAGGTAACCTTTTGAGTCAGGATTGAGATAGAGTTTTTTGATTCTTTAAGCAGTTTAAGGCTTGGCTGAGTGCAAACAGCTCCAGCGTTTGAGCAGACCAATTATTTGGCAATTCTCCTAATTCTGCTTCCACAAGAGTCTCCCTATCAATTAGTGAATACCCATTGTGGTTTTTTTCTCAATCACCTGGGAGCAACCATCTATCGTCCTGTCCTGAAGGGAGTTCCTCCTAGGTCTGGTCAGACCTTTGTATGGTAGGGATAGGACAGAATAGCAAGTAAAAGTGGTCCAATATTACTCACCACTTTGGATGTCCCTTCATGGTCACCAAAATGTTACTGGGAGGGTCCTTGTTCTTAGAGCTCCCGAGATGGTGGTGGGCTGCTTCCAAGATGGTGGCAAGCCTCTTTTTCTCTGACCTGGGGTTCTTGGCTTCATGGATTCCAAGGAATGGAACCTTGGGCCATGCGGTGAGTGTTATAGCTCTATTAGAAGCTGTGGGTCACAGAAGAGAACCATGGAACCCAACGACTAGTGTTCAGCTCGATTAGGAGAACCCAGGCACTTAGCCACGCAGGAACAATGGGGAGCCTTTAGCCCGATTGGGAGCAGCAATGGGCGCCTTGCTGGATCAGGAGCACAGAAGACATCCTGCCATATCCGGAGGGGTGGAAGTCAGTGGCGGGTCTGCGATGGCGGCAAACAGCAGTGGTGGATGGCGAGTGAAAGCTCGGCTTGAGCTGTAACAGACATGGACCAGAAGAGTGTGCGGTTGCAAGATTTAATAGAGTGAAAACAGAGCTCCCATAAAATGGGAGGGGACCCAAAGGGGGTTGCTGCTCCCTGCTCGAATGCCTGGGTTTACATCCCGATCACTGTCCCTCCCCCTGTGCTCTCAGGTGATATATGATTTGGCTGTTTCTTTATCTCCTGCTTTAGCCTAATTTGTATTTTAGTGAGCCCTCTTTACTACCTGATTGGTCAGGTGTGAGCTGAGTTACAAGCCCCGTGTTTAAAGGTGGGTGCGCGGTCACCTTCCCCAGCTAGGCTTAGGAATTCTTAGTCTAGGAAATCCAGCTGGTCCTGTCTGTCACAATGGCATCACAGACAGCATGGGCCATGGGATCAGAGAAGCTACAGAGAAGTCATGGGAGTCTAAGCCTGACCTTAGGAGAATAGATTTAGCCAGAGGTGTCAGTGCTGACAGGAACATGAGAAGGCAAACTCAAATTCCTGGATTTCTAAGTGTTGTGCAACAAATTGTGCCCCAAACCCCAACCACAATCCATAATGTTGACCTTCTAATGCTCAGTAACTCAGAATGTAACTGTATTTGTAGATAAGGTCCTTAAAGAGGTCATTGAGTTAAAATGAGAATGTTACAGTGGGGCCCTAATACAACCAGATGGGTGTCTTTTTTTTTTTTTGAGACGGAGTCTTGCTCTGTTGCCCAGGCTGGAGTGCAGTGGCACAATCTCAGCTCATTGCAACCTCTGCCTCCCGGGTTCAAGTGATTCTCCTGCCTCAGCCTCCTGAGTAGCTGGGATTACGGGTGCCCACTACTGCACCTGGCTAATTTTGTATTTTTAGTAGACATGAGGTTTCACCATCTTGGCCAGGCTGGTTTCGAACTCCTGACTTCGTGATACCTCAGCCTCCCAAAGTGCTGGTGAGAGGTGACAGCATGCTGGCAGCCCTCGCAGCCCTCGCTGGCTCTTGGCGCCTCCTTGGCCTCGGTGCCCACTCTGTCTGCTTGAGGAGCCCTTCAGCCTGCCGCTGCACTGCGGGAGCCCCTTCCTGGGATGGCCAAGGCAGGAGCCGGCTCCCTCAGCCTGTGGGGAGGTGTGGAGGGAGAGGCACGGGCGGGAACCGGGGCTGCACACGGTGCTTGAGGGCCAGCTAGAATTCCTGGTGGGCATGGGCTCGGCAGGCCCCGCACTCAGAGCGGCCCCGGGCAATGAGGGGCTTAGCACCTGGGCCAGCAACTGCTGTGCTCGATTTCTCGTGGGCCTTAACTGCCTCCCCACGAGGCAGGGCTCGGGACCTGCAGCCTGCCATGCCTGAGCTCCCCCCGCCCCCCACCGTGGTCTCTGGCGCCGCGGGAGCCTCCCCTATGAGCACCACCCCCTGCTCCACAGTACCCAGTCCCATCGACCGCCCAAGGGCTGAGGAGTGCGGGTGCACGGTGCTGGACTGGCAGGCAGCTCCACCTGCAGCCCTGGTGCGGGATCCACTGGGTGAAGCCAGCTGGGCTCCTGAGTCTGGTGGGGCTTTGGATAATCTTTATGTCTAGCTAAGGGATTGTAAATACTCCAATCAGCACTCTGTATCTAGCTCAAGGTTTGTAAACACACCAATCAGCACCCTGTGTCTAGCTCAGGGTTTGTGAATGCACCAATTGACACTCTGTATCTAGTTAATCTAGTGGGGACCTGGAGAACTTTTGTGTCTAGCTCAGGGATTGTAAATGCACCAATCAGCACCCTGTCAAAACAGACCAATCAGCTCTCTGTAAAACAGACCAATGGGCTCTCTGTAAAATGGAACAATCAGCAGGATGTGGGTGGGGCCAGATAAGAGAATAAAAGCAGGCTGTCCCAGCCAGCAGTGGCAACCTGCTTGGGTCCCCTTCAATACTGTGGAAGCTTTGTTCTTTCATTCTTTGCAATAAATGTTGCTACTGCTCACTCTTTGGGTCCACACTGCCTTTATGAACTGTAACACTCACTGCGAAGGTCTGCAGCTTCACTCCTGAGGCCAGTGAGACCACGAACCCACTGGGAGAAATGAACAACTATGGACGCACTGTCCTAAGAGCTGTAACACTCACCACGAAGGTCTGCAGCTTCACTCCTGAAGCCAGCGAGACCACAAACCCACCAGAAGGAAGAAACTTCGAACACGTCCAAACATCAGAAGGAACGAACTCCAGACACGCCGCCTTTTAGAACTGTGACACTCAAACGGCAACACTCACCGCGAGGGTCCACGGCTTCATTCTTGAAGTCAGTGAAACCAAGAACCCACCAATTCCGGAAACACTGGGATTACATGCCAGTGCCCAGCCGGTTGTCCTTTTAAGAACAGGAGATTAGGATGCACAGAGAGACACCAGGGATGTGGGTGCACAAAAGGGTGACTATGTGAAGAGGCAGAAAGAGGGCAGCCATCCACGAGCCAAGCAGAGAGACCACAGGAGAAACCAAGCCCGCTAATGCCTTGATCTTGGATGTTCAGCTTCGAGAACTGTGGAAAATAAATTTCTGTTGTTTAAGCCACCCAATCAGAGGTATTTTGTTATGGCAGTGCTAACAAACGAATATGCTAAATTCCTGGATAATCAGTTTGGCACCTAAAAGCTGAGGGGTTTGTCAGTAAAGGGATTGTACCCTAATAAGGTGTTCCTGCTTGAAGTAAGTAAAATTCTCCCTTATGGATATTTTTCCCTAATCAGAAGGTTGGAATTGGCTACTATTTCCAGAAGAGTGAAGTAACCCTCCTCAATATGCCACTTGCTTTTTTAGTTGGAAAGACTATTAGCTATGTATTACCGGCACATAAAGAGAATTGTTTGTGACAGTGATCTAGCAAATATCAAAATTTGCCTCAGCAAAGAGTTAAAAAGCAAAGCAAAACAAAAAATCCTTGATATTTAAAGAGCTTGTGTCCCTTACTCCAGAAAAAATTTTCTGCAATTCAAAAAGTTTTCTGCATCAGGCTTTGTGCTGGCTTCAACAGAGGATATATACTCAATTGGAATAGGGCTTTAAATTGGTTTCATGACAAAGGCTATGAATTTTACTAGGTGACTCAAATTATTCATGAGAGAGAGAAGATCTTGATTTATGCTCTAGTTTTGTGTAAATTTCATTTTTGTAAAGTAAATCACTTTTCCCATTGACTCACATTACAACTTGAGAGACTCTTTATCTTCTTTTCTGAGTAACCTCCTATTGACAAAGGCTTTTTGCACTTCTGTGCAAGCATTTAATGACCTAAAAGCAAACTCTTAAATGAAGCATAACTATTTTCAGAAACTGCAAGAAAACCATATATTCATCCAACAAACATAGCAAGCACTGAATGCCAACTAAGTGGCAGAGGCTGTGGATTCAAAGACACTGACCTCCTGTCTTCAAGATCTTTACTGTCTTTGGTAGATTGAAAAAGTCTTTTGAGAAGCAAATAATCAGCCCTCACATGCAAATGCTCTGTAATATACATATATTGGATGTTCTTAAAAATTGAATTATATAACTGTCAAAAATAAGCAAGACTAGATAACTACTTAAAGTGGTAAGTATAGATATTTATCAGCAATAGCTATTATAACAGGGAAAAGTACCCAGCCTGAACTGAACTCAATTTCAATTTGTACAGGGGTGACTGGGGATTTTAAAGGGAGAATGAGGGAGTAGGGAGGGAAGTGAAAAATTATAAAAAGCTGCATGAGGTTGGTCCATGTTCATTCCCTTTGGGCTCAGTAGTTGTAGCTTATCCAAGGTACAGTTCTTTCCCTGCTTCTCCACCCCAGAGACTTTGGAGACAGGACTTGTATCTACATGGTGGCTGGAAAAAACAGTAAATGCTTTGGGCAGTCTTGAGTTTTCTCAGGCAGGCACTTTAAGCAGGGCTAGGGTCATCCCTAGGGTCATTAACGGATATGGCCTTCAGCTGTTAGAAATGATACTAGAATGTGTTCAAGTCTTTATTGGCCAAGGTTGAAGCCTAGTTCAGAAGAGAGCTCAAAGGAGCCTGGCTGAAGTTTGGTCAAGGAGAGAATCTTTGTCAAACACCATAAAGAATTTCGTCATTGTTTGCTCAGATCCAGTCTCGTAGACACCACTAAAATTGATGTCATGTGTATCACCAGCATTTCCATGATCATTTTATTGCTTTGGATGTACAGGAATTCTTAATCTGGAATTAAGTACTTTAAAAGGTGTATTACCTAAAATTGATGTAATATCAAATGTGTATGTGTACATGTAGATTTTTCTGGGAAGAGAGTTCATTACTTTCATCAAATTTGCAAAAGAATCTCTGACACTAAAAATGATTCTTTTGGGCTGGGAGTAGTGCCTCACACCTGTAATCCTAGTACTTTGGGAGGCCAAGGCAGGAGGATAACTGGAGGCCAGGAGTTCAAGACCAGCCTGGGCAAGAGTGAGGACCTGTCTCTATAAAAAATTTAATAAAAAGTATTTTAAAAATATTATTTATTGTCTTGGTCCAGTATCCACAGATAATATTTCTAAGAATCCAGCTTCACTACAAACAATTTGAGAGAATTTATTTCTATACAAGAAGCATTTATTGAAAACCTAACATGGTCATTGCATTGCACTAGCCCTTGTAGGGTCAATGTGGAATCTTGAGATAGATCTGAAGAAACCATAACATTAAAAAAAAAATTAAATAGAGGTGGGGTTCCACTATGTTGCCCAGGCTAGTCTCACACTCCCAGGTTCAAGTGATCCTCCGACCTTGGCCTTCCAAAGTGCTAGGATTACCAGTGTGAGCCACTGCGCTTGGCTGGTAGCATTTTTTTTTTTTTTAAATGAGGGAATGGGTGTGGGGTGGGTAAGGCTAGTTGACAGGAATAGCATCAGGATGGACAGTTGCCATGAACAGCTAATAGTTCTATTAGGAACTATATAATATTTGTGCAGAAATCTTATTAAACATCGATGGCTAGTTACGTAAGGGAATTTTAAAAATATTGTGCCAGCCTGTAAGTAGTAAGCAATTATTGACTTGAAATGTTTTATTGCATGGAAAGCATTACTAACATAGAGTATTTTCCATTTTCTAGTCAAGTTTTTCCTCATTATTTCTCTTGGGCTAATATTGTTTGGACACAATGAACACATTAACAGTACCCACCCTTGAATGCTCTTTAGAAAAACACAAAGTATTTATTGATTCTTTATGGGTTTTTATACCTAATTAAAGCTGGTTAGAATCAACAACCTTAACAACAATGTGTTGTATTCTCCCTGCTGCTAAAAAACAGCAGGAAAACATTTTTTAAGCAACAGAGTCATGCTGCAAGTTAGAAGTAAATGAGCACTTTCCAACAATAAGATCTGCGAAATTACTGCATTTATATCCTTTCCTTAATCCCTATTATGAAGATCATACAATGAAGAATATCTCTGTATAATGAAGGCTGTTGCTAACTCAAACACGATACCACAAAGCAGGATGCCATCTGTTAGAATAATGTTGGAACCTCTAATTTTACAATTGTTGGGAGCCCATCATTACTTTTCTATTTATTTAAAATATATATTCAAAAACTTAATGCTTCAAGCTTCATAATAAGGCTTTGGTGATAAGTTCTATAAAAACATGTCACTATACTTTTCTCTGTGCTTGTCAGGCAATGTCTTTTACAAAGGAACAAAGGAAACCTCTAATATTGAATCCAAGACATTCATAACTCAAAGAAAACAGATTGACAAAAACAGTCTATCAATTTTATTTATTGTGAGTTCTGGTACATGGAGTGGATGTTTGGACTCCATTATAGGAGTGGTGGATGTTGTAGCATTCTGGTCTTGATTCTTCAAGCTGTGTGAGCACTCTCACCCTGGGTCATTCTCAGGCAACTTGTTTCCCTAAAGGCACAGCAGACAGGCAGGAGCTCAGTTATTTCAGAGAATCTGGGAAAATGAAGAACATCAGTTGAGATCCAGGGGGCTTATCATACTGCTGAGTATAGCTGCTGGCTAGCAGAAGCCATAGGAAGCTGATTTGTCAGCTATCTGAAGGAAGACTTTCATTGTTTTTGTTTTTTGAGAAGCCGTGTCACCATGTTGCCCAGGCTGGAGTGCAGTGGCGCAATCATGGCTCACTGTAGCCTTGACCTCCCCAGGCTCAGGTGATCCTCCCACCTCAGTTTCTGTATTTTTAGTAGAGACAGGATTTCGCCATGTTGCCCAGGCTGGTCTCAAACTCCTGGGCTCAAGTGATCCATCTGCCTCGGCCTCCCAAAGTGCTAGGATTACAGGCATAAGCCACTGTGTCCGGCCTGAAGGGAGACTTTGGAGAAGCTCAGTTCTGCTTGGCCATTTGGCTTAAATATATTTTAGCTATGAACAGAGGTCGAGGTCAGAGACAGAAGAAGGAGCAAACGTCCATTCCTGGGCAAACAACCTCAGAGATATGCTATGATCACGCAGCTCTTGAGGGGAGCAGGATTGAGATTAGAACTCAGGCTCCCTGGACTTTCAGTCCAATATTTTTGCCCTTTGGTGTTATGGTGCCTAATTGCAGACGCCATTCTATGTTTTCATTTCTGAGCAGATCTCCACCACTTCAGAGTTTCTTGCCTTTTTCTAAAGAGTTCCAATGACAGGGTTCTCCACGGAACCCATGCTTCCACCAGTTTGACCATTCGATTTTAATACCAACTCTCTCTTCCGCTTCTCCTCCAAATTTGTTTATAAGTCCTCTTCCACTTTTCTTTCCTCACATTTCCTTCCCATATTCACAAGAAACAGGTAACATAAGATGGAAGAAGAGCTCAATGTACCATTTTTTATTTATTTCTTCTCTTTTTCAAGTTCTAGGGATAAAGACTTCAGAGGAAATCATGCAAACTTACAGACTCTTTCCCTCTTGGCTACAACGATGACTACCTATAGCTCACTGCCTGGTCCTCAGGCTTTGCCTGTCTGTTTTGGTGTCCTCATCTCTGAGACAGAGATAATACTGTACCTCTAAGCAGAGGGGCAGATAATTTAACTGATGATTGTTAGGTATTTCCTTTCTTGGCCAGTCAGCTGCAGTCCCTCTCTATTTCAAGGGCAAGTTACAGCTTAAAGAGAACAACAGCATCACCTGACAACACTTAGAAGAAATGTATTCTGTACAGAAAGTGCATTTCCTTATACTCTGAGGCTTTCTTCTCACAAAGGCTGTTTATCTATCACAGCTCAGAAGGTTGTGCAGTTGAATTTCCTAATGTGACAGCTGGGTGTTCCAATATACAGATGTCCCGGGAGCCAGGGTGGTGGCAGAATGAGGGGAGCTGGTCCAGAGGTAATGTAGGGACCACCAGTAAATACCCTTCCCGGGTGCTTGGGTGGCTTGGATGCCGTGTAGTCTATCACTCTCCCAGGCAGAGCTGCCTCCAAGTCGGGAATATTGTCAACAATTCTGAACTGCACATTTGGAGGTGGTGAAATATTACAGTAAACATGTGATTTTTATTTTTCTAATATTCCTTGCTTCCCTGCTGCTGTCTATGTCTTCTCTTCCACACTCAGCCACATCGGTTCCTGTTGCTCATTTGGCATTCCTGGCTTCATAAATATAAATTTTATGGTTTACTTCCTTGACTCTATCTTAAATGCTTCCCACTCTGTCAGTTTCCCATGCATTTTTGAGCTACAGCCAGTTTTCTTTAACAAGCTGTACGTTCCTTCACAGTCTGTTAAAAACCGCTATTTCTTTACTGCTGTCCTATAGACTCTTATCAATATTTTAAATCTTGTGATCACCAAGTTGCCTAAGAATAGCATCTGCAGTTAAATTAACAGGGATAAAATTACAAGATCTATCAATCTTTATGCTTCACAATGTAAGGAGGTCATTAACTGAGGTCAGGAGAAACTTTTCCCTGACAGCGAGCTCCTTCAGAATTAGTGCGTTATGAGAACATTTACAAATTAGTCTCATTATATTTAGGAGCATCTGGTATGAACCTCTTGTCACAATCATGATTCTGGGAAGGCAATTAATAGGTTCTTGTGAGTTCTCAGTAACCTCCAGCCTAATTTAAAAAAGAAATTTGGATGAATTTCAGCTATTTTATCCAAAAAGACTTTTTCCCCACTCTCTATGGTTGTTAATCCAGCAGCCAAGAAGTCCATCATGAATTGTGGGTCTTGCTGTAATTGTATAAGTAGTGTCAGTTAACACAAGATGATAATGCCATTACTTGACTTTTCGTCACATATATCCTACACTTTCCAACTTACTATTGGTCACAGAGTCACAAAACACCAGAGCTGGAAGAGACAACAGGGGTCACCTTCTCCAGCATTTTCCAAAGCCCATTCTGCGGAACACCACTTCTGTGTCATGCTGTGAGGTGTGACTTTGCGGGGCAAAGATGTGTGGTCATATCATGGGGTTCAGCTAATTTAAACCACGTGACTTTTCTTTACCACATGACTTTTCAAAAACCATAGGATGTCAATGCCCTCTGAGTGTCTCCAAGAGAAGGAGACAGTATGCAGACTTCTTTATAGGTATTTAAACACAGAATTCTTTTGTCAATTTCTGTGCTTTGTAGCAGGTACTTTTGTAAATGCTGATCCAGTTGCACCCTTTCATTTTGCAGCTGAAGACTCAGCAGAGAAGCAGAGGCTCAGGTAACACACCAATATATGGCAGAGGCAGCCTTGGGAGCCTTGTTCCCCAATTTCTGGCCCAAGGTTCTCACTGCTTTACTCTGTGCATGCAGAGAGGATCTATAGAGGCCTCTCGTAGTGGGGTGACTCATGTCAGCGACTTATGTTTACGTGGCTTCTTCCTGCAGCTTGGCTTCTTCCGGGTCTAGTGGGGAGCCACAATGGGCTGGCCGCTGGCATTCCCAATCCATGTTGGAGGAATCAACTGAGCTATGCTTACAATTAGAAGTCTTCTCATTTTGTCCACAACTGAGAAGGTATCTGGTGTATAAGGTTTTCAATGCTAAACCAGTAGAATCTAGGGCAAACTAGGACTAGTTGGTCACCCCCACTAGGCTGCTCACCCAGTATCTTGAGGGGTCACTATGCTGAATAACTTCATATTGCTTCCTCACCCCCTAGATCCTCTCTTCACCTTTTTCTACCCTGTTCTGTTTCCCAAAAAGGGATCCCTTACCCTTTGGATTCCAGATGAGCTGGATCATGGGTGGTATTATTAGGAAGAGGTGAGGGTATTTATTCTCCTGCTTCCCCCTTGCCACTGCCGCCAGAAGCTGTCGCATCCCTCTTCTGAGGGCCACAACTCCTTGTAGATGGTCATCTTCATGCAGCTACTCCCCACAGCTAATTACCCTGGATTCTGGTTCTGGTAACCACAGGTTCCTCTTGTCTTTTCATTTCTAGGGGTGGTAATAGCTTTCCATTATTGCTGGACCTGTAATGCTGCAATATCTCTTCTTTTGTTTCCTTAGATTCTGCCCACAATTTTATAAACAATTCCTTTATTAACTTCTCCTCACATTACCCAGTCTGAGAGTCCCATCTGTTTCCTGTCAGACCCCTGGCTGAGACAGTCACTGGTTGATCAATGTCGCGTTCGGATTAAACTAGCTTTTGCCCCGGCAAAATGATGGCATAGCTTTGGAGGATGCTGTGAGAGCAAACAGAGCTTGCACTTGAGGACACTTTTCCTCTTCATGCTGGATGGGAAGCCAGGTAAAAGGAACCTCTGATCTTAGACAAGGCCTACATTGCCAATAATTAGGGGCAGTAATTTCTGCCCAACATAAGTCTTTGGACTAGCTCCTATTCCATTTGGAAGCACAGATAAGATAATTATGTGATAATTCTTTCAAAAGTAAGACTTCTTAGTCTTACCTTCATTCCAAGGTTGAGGGGAATAGCTGAGGACCTAATTGTCTGTACACTACCAAACTTTTAGGTGGGCTTTATATAAAAATTAGAATTGGAGGCAGAAACATATATCTGCAGGCATCACAAGAAGACAGGGGCTGCAAGACTGGCTCCCTTCCAGCCCAGCCTTGTTACTTCTAGGTTTGAATTTACCAGTTCCATGGCGCAGGTCCAGGCAGCATTTGGCATTTGATGCAGGGTACTGTAACATGACTATTGCCGTTTGCAGAAAGATGGTTATCTACAAAATCTTGAGATTGGACCCAGCTTCATGGAATATGCTGGAGTCATGTTTTCTAAATGACCCTGATCCAGAACCTCATTTCCTGAACCAAAATCTGAACACAGCTTCAGTTTAGCATGATAGTTGCCTCAAGTAGGTGATCTCTCCAGACTATGTAGAGAGTTCTTTAATACTCGTTCATTCATTCAATATAAGTGGACTCCTATTATGAGCCAGGTACTGCACTCAGTGCTGGGGATGATGCTGTGAGCAAGGCAGGCAATGTACCTGTGTAAAGAATATTCTGTGGTGGCTCACACCTGTAATCCCAGCACTTTGGGAAGCCAAGGTGGGAGGATTGCTTGAGCCCAGGAATTTGAGACCAGCCTAGGCAGCATAGTGAGACCCAGTCTCTACAAAATTTTTTAAAAAAAAAATTAGCCAGGAGTGGTGGTGTGCATTTGCAGTCTCAGCTACTCAGGTGGCTGAGGTGGGAGGATTGCTTGAGCCAGGGAAGTCGAGGCTGCAGTGAGCCATGATCACGCCACTGCACACCAGCCTGGATAACAGAGCAAGACCCTGTCTCAAGAAAACAAAATTTTAAAAAAAAGAATATTCTTGTGCAGGAGTCTGAGAGAAACAAACAAGCTGACTAAGGTAAAAAATAATTACAAATTATGCTGTATTTTATGTGAAAGGTACAAGTAAGGGACAGAGACAGAGAATGACAGGGAAGAGATGCTTAACTTTAAATAGGGTAAAAGGAATGCCTCCTAAGGAGGCAGCATTTAGGCTCTGAGCGAAAAGATGAGAAGATACCAGCAGGGAAGGGTTCTGCAGGCAAAGAGACCGTGTACAAAGTCACCAGGTTGGCGAAAGCCTCTAAGGGATCAAAGGACTGGAAAACAAGAGGGTATCTGGAGTATGAGCAGCAAATATCTGGGTTTGAATCATGGTTCTGGCATTCAGTCTGTGATCTTGGGCAAGTCCCTTAACTTCTCAGGGCTTGATTTCCTCTTCTGTATAATGGGGATAAGAATAGTATCAACTATTCTTGACATTAACTAAATTTATTAAGTTAATATTTGCAGAATCCTTAAGACTTTTTATATAGTAAATACTCTCATTACATAGCCAGTGCTGTTAATATGAGATTGCAAAGAGAGAGACATAGAGATACACAAGCCCAGACTGTGTATAGGACTTCAGAGAAATCAGTCACAAATAAGGTATTAAAAAAGATAAAATATAGTAGAACATCTTTTTTCAAGGCACATCACAAACTAACGCCTGATGATGGAATGTGTAGTGCACAAATTACTGGATTTATTTTTAAAGACAAATGATGTCTTTTTTGTGGTCTTTTGAATTCATCAGATGTTTACATAGGCAAATAGGGCCCTCTTTGACCCCCTTATTCATCCCCCGCAATAATTCACTCTGACATATACAGAACATTTTTTCTCAAGGACATTTGAAAGTTCAGAACTATGGGGTACTATTGATTATTTTAGTCAGTGTACCATGCCTGTCATTTTATCCTGCTTTTGTACCTCATCAGAATTTAAACCTATTTTTAGTTCCACATGGGCATAATTGTATATGATCTAAAAAAATCATGGTGAGAATAACATCGGACAAAATCTAAAATGCTCCCTATAGCTTGTATGGCAATAGCATTCATTGCAAGCATTTCGTATAGGTTCTTTAGGAATGCCACTTGTTAGTATATTTTATTTTCTAATTTTTCCCATATTTTGAAGGAAAAAAAGCACACATCGTTTTCATATATGTCTCTACTTACAAAACTGAAATACAAGGTGGTGAGGGAGGCGGAAAGATAGAGAAAATGTCCTCAAGCCATATGTTCAAAAATCTGCTCTAGAGAGAAGAGGAACCAGAATAAATATTTTGGTGAAAATTAGAAATGTGGTTGCACACCAGAAGTTTTCCAAAGCCCTTCAGTTTTCTTGGTACGCTTTCTGCACACAGTTCTAAAAAAGTTATTCTTCCCACTGCAAAATTACCTCTTTGGAATAGATTTTAGAATTGGTATATATTCAGGCAGACTGCCCGTTCCTAATTCAGAACTTGGGATGAATAGTTTAGAATATTGAATATGACACTCTTTCCAGTCTTGGCCAAGAGAAATCATACGCTAAGGGCCTTGACCAGAAAAGCCAATTGGAATAAATAGAGTTGAAACAATGCCTTTTACTGCCTTTCATTTTGAAAGTGCACACTTAACAATAGATGTTAGAGATATTCTGTGTTTTTGGGACTCGGCAACTGCGAATCTCGGTGGGCTTTAGAAGAGTAGAGAGGGAAGGGAATGTAAGATTAAATAACATGTTGGATATTGAGCTTTGACAAGCTTCTTAACCTTTATACACAGACAACCATGATGCAAGGTGGTAGTTGATTGGGTAGAACAGAATGACTATCAATAGTATTCTTTGATGTTTTCTAATCTTCTTACCCTGATCTTTACTTGCTCATTCTACCTTGCTGTTGTTTTGCTGCTGTTTACAGTGTTCTATCAGGTGGGAGATAAACCAGTGGCCATCAGATGCAGAAAAATGTATTTTAAAAACCTTAACCTAGGTTTGCCTCACATTCTTGAACTCAGAGAAGAGGGAGTAATATAAAGTTCACAGCTATTGAATAATTCTTAAGTTAAAATATTTTTAATGTCCTGTAAGTGATTATAATGACCAAGTGAGTAAAACTGTAGGGTCTTACAAAGTATTTTATTTTACGGTGACCAACCATCCCGGTTTGCTTGGAACTGAGGAGTTTCCTGGGACATGGGGCTTTCAGTGCTGAAACCAGGATAACTGGGATAGTTAGTCACCCAAATAACACCATGTATCATAGGCCTTTTCCTTCTTCCTTCCCCCTCCTGGTGTTCCTCCCTCCCCAAAGCTGCCATTTCCCTTAGTTCCATGTCTGTTAGGATGGTGGCATTCTTGGCAGATGCTGTATCCCTTCCCTTCAGGCATCCAGAGCTCTCTGCCTTTTAGGTCAGTGGAATTTGAGAATAAGTACACTTAACACTTCTCACAGCAAGCTCACATTCCTTGTAGCATTTGATTTTCATAACAATTCAGAGAAGCAGCAAAGGCAGGTATAAGCCCCAGTTGATACCTGCTAGGTAGGTATCAGGAAAACAGGAGCTCAGAGAGGTTGCTGGTTACTTCCCTGGATGACAGAGCTCGATTTGACTCTCCATCTCCTCACACTAAGGGCAGTGGTCCTTTCAGTTCACAGTGCTGAGGCTTCCAAATTTTTGTGACATGGACAGCTGGAGAATAGTCTTAGGATAAGAGTCTGAGCTATTCCTGGGGCTGGTAAATTGGATAGTGGAAAAGAACATTAGCTTGGAAGTCATGGGATTTGGGGTGTGCTCCTGAGCTGTGAGCGGAGTGTTACTGGACAAGTCATCATCTGTCTGGGCCTCATTTCCTTCACAGACAAATGCTGAAGTTGGAGTAGATGAACCTAAGATCCCTTCTTGTTCTAAATTCCATCCTATCTTCTCTTTGCTGTCCATGCCCTCTTTTGGATGTCCTTGCAAATCATTTTAAGGTACTTTATCTGGACATAAAGATGAAGAATGGCAGAAAACTCTTAGCTGGCTAGCAGGAGGACTGGAAAGGTTAATGGTCTAAGTCAGGCCCATTGAGCACCTCCTAAGTATTCCAGAACTCCACCTTTTAAGGAATAACTCTGATAGGAGGCTTTAGCTAAATGATCTCTCAATGATACGACTCATCTTGGGGCCAGTTGTGTGGAGGCATTAGAGGGAAAGATAAATGAAAAAAGTGGACACACAAACTAGAAAAGCAATTGCCTTCAGAAGAAATGATAGTTCCATGTCTTTGATGTCAAAGTTGCAAACTGGAAATTCAGGCTAGATATTCTACTTAAAATATAAGGTCCAAATTCTAAGCAAACTGGAGTTTGTGTATGCTCCTCAGAGCTAAACAGATATCCACTGAGAAGCAAATGGGCCTTCCAGCACACTCCCTGCAATCTCTGTCACTCCATGAGAAAAGGCTATCTTAAGGACATACTTGTGCATAACAGGATGCTGTACTAGATTTTTGGAGTCCTTTGTAAGTTTGGGATCCTAGATCTGTGCACTAGAGCTAAGATGATGCTTAAGGGTTTTCCAAAAGAGTTTGCAGAATTCCAGAAGAAGAAATTGGAAAAATTGCCTTCTCGCTTCCATTCTGACACATCAGTAAATAAGGCAAGGAGGTAACTTGGGGAAGGAGATACTAAAGCTCCCTTGAACCTCATATACAGCCTTAAGGACAACCTACTTGCTTCCAAAAAGCAGCCTTGGAAGTATGTTCATACTTAGAATTGAGCAGCATTTATTTATTGAGGGGTTGCCATGGGCTTCTGGGCTGGGAACTTTATCCAGATCCTCTAATTTAACCCTCGCAACTACTCTACGGGCAGGTACTTTCGTGGCCTTTTTACAGCTGAAGAAACAGAGACTTACATTGTCAAGGTTATGTAGTTTGAGATCATACAGGCTGTAAGTGGTGGTGCTGAGATGACTCAAACCCAGGTTTCTTTGTTTTTCGGATCTGCACCGATCAGCTGTCTCTCTAAGGCCATCTTCAACCACAAATGACAAAGCTTGCTATGGCATCTAACAAGCGTAATGGATAAGATTCACATTCAATAATTAAAAAGAGAGGAAGGAGAAAAGGGACTAAGAGTTTCTTCGTTTCTGCAAATGAACAGTGTTGTAATAATTGTATGACCTGAGGGCAAATATGCGTCCCCAATTTGTCAAGTATTTGATGGTGGTGATTGTATTTTTCCAAACCCACTTCTCCTTCTTCTGTGAGCCACTGAGCAATAAACAACAGGCCAGGAAAAGAATGGCAAAGATATCACCCATTTGCTGGGAGATCTTTTTTATGTACTCTGTATACTTTGGGTGAAGATAAAAGAGGGCAGCCAGAAGGAAAGAGCCCTGGATCCAAGGGGTGACGATGGGGGCTTCAATCCCCACTTCTCTTCCATGTTGGACATCCTTGGACAGGTCCCTAAGTGGCTCTGAGCTTTAATTTCTTCATCTGTATAATGGTCACCACAATTTTATATATAGAAAGAGTCATGAAGAGGTAATACATATGAGAGTTTCTAAAACAATTCTTACTTCCCCATAAATACCTTATGGAGTCTAAATAATTCTTCTGATAAAGGTTGTGTTACAAATGTAAACATTTAATGGCCCAGTAAAAACAAACATCCTAAGTCTGCTTCCACAACCACCTCAAGGCTTCTGGGCTTACTTTTCTTGCCTCCCGGGGCATTCTTTTCCCAGATCTCTGTAGAGCTGCCATGACTTATCATTCAGGTCTCAGCTTAAATGTCACCTGGCGAAAGATCTATCCTGACTGTTCTATCTAAAGAAAAGTATTCTGGCACTATTTAATATTTTGTAATCTTCATAGCACTGCTATCTAAAATTAATTATTTACTTGCTCGTTTTTTTATTTTTTTATTTTTTTATTTTTTATTTTTTTATTATACTTTAAGTTTTAGGGTACATGTGCTTGTGCAGGTTAGTTACATATGTATACATGTGCCATGCTGGTGCGCTGCACCCACTAACTCGTCATCTAGCATTAGGTATATCTCCCGATGCTATCCCGCCCCCTCCCCCCACCCCACAACAGTCCTCAGAGTGTGATATTCCCCTTCCTGTGTCCATGTGATCTCATTGTTCAATTCCCACCTATGAGTGAGAATATGCGGTGTTTGGTTTTTTGTTCTTGCTATAGTTTACTGAGAATGATGATTTCCAATTTCATCCATGTCCCTACAAAGGACATGAACTCATCATTTTTTATGGCTGCATAGTATTCCATGGTGTATATGTGCCACATTTTCTTAATCCAGTCTATCATAGATGGACATTTGGGTTGGTTCCAAGTCTTTGCTATTGTAAATAATGCCACAATAAACATACGTGTGCAGGTGTCTTTATAGCAGCATGATTTATAGTCCTTTGGGTATATATCCAGTAATGGGATGGCTGGGTCCAATGGTATTTCCAGTTCTAGATCCCTGAGGAATCCCCACACTGACTTCCACAATGGTTGAACTAGTTTACAGTCCCACCAACAGTGTAAAAGTGTTCCTATTTCTCCACATCCTCTCCAGCACCTGTTGTTTCCTGACTTTTTAATGATTGCCATTCTAACTGGTGTGAGATGGTATCTCATTGTGGTTTTGATTTGCATTTCTCTGATGGCCAGTGATGATGAGCATTTTTTCATGTGTTTTTTGGCTGCATAAATGTCTTCTTTTGAGAAGTGTCTGTTCATGTCCTTCGCCCACTTTTTGATGGGGTTGTTTGTTTTTTTTTTGTAAATTTGTTTGAGTTCATTGTAGATTCTGGATATTAGCCCTTTGTCAGATGAGTAGGTTGCGAAAATTTTCTCCCATTTTGTAGGTTGCCTGTTCACTCTGATGGTAGTTTCTTTTGCTGTGCAGAAGCTCTTTAGTTTAATTAGATCCCATTTGTCAATTTTGTCTTTTGTTGCCATTGCTTTTGGTATTTTAGACATGAAGTCCTTGCCCATGCCTATGTCCTGAATGGTAATGCCTAGGTTTTCTTCTAGGGTTTTTATGGTTTTAGGTCTAACGTTTAAGTCTTTAATCCATCTTGAATTGATTTTTGTATAAGGTGTAAGGAAGGGATCCAGTTTCAGCTTTCTACATATGGCTAGCCAGTTTTCCCAGCACCATCTCACTTGCAGAGACACACATAGGCTCAAAATAAAAGGATGGAGGAAGATCTACCAAGCCAATGGAAAACAAAAAAAGGCAGGGGTTGCAATCCTAGTCTCTGACAAAACAGACTTTAAACCAACAAAGATCAAAAGAGACAAAAAAGGCCATTACATAATGGTAAAGGGATCAATTCAACAAGAAGAGCTAACTATCCTAAATATATATGCACCCAAAACAGGAGCACCAAGATTCATAAAGCAAGTCCTGAGTGACCTACAAAGAGACTTAGACTCCCACACATTAATAATGGGAGACTTTAACACCCCACTGTCAACATTAGACAGATCAATGAGACAGAAAGTCAACAAGGATACCCAGGAATTGAACTCAGCTCTGCACCAGGTGGACTTAATAGACATCTACAGAACTGTCCACCCCAAATCAACAGAATATACATTTTTTTCAGCACCACACCACACCTATTCCAAAATTGACCACATACTTGGAAGTAAAGCTCTCCTCAGCAAATGTAAAAGAACAGAAATTATAACAAACTATCTCTCAGACCACAGTGCAATCAAACTAGAACTCAGGATTAAGAATCTCACTCAAAACCGCTCAACTACATGGAAACTGAACAACCTGCTCCTGAATGACTACTGGGTACATAATGAAATGAAGGCAGAAATAAAGATGTTCTTTGAAACCAACGAGAACAAAGACACAACATACCAGAATCTCTGGGACGCATTCAAAGCAGTGTGTAGAGGGAAATTTATAGCACTAAATGCCCACAAGAGAAAGCAGGAAAGATCCAAAATTGATACCCTAACATCACAATTAAAAGAACTAGAAAAGCAAGAGCAAACACATTCAAAAGCTAGCAGAAGGCAAGAAATAACTAAGATCAGAGCAGAACTGAAGGAAATAGAGACACAAAAAACCCTTCAAAAAATTAATGAATCCAGGAGCTGGTTTTTTGAAAGGATCAACAAAATTGATAGACCGCTAGCAAGACTAATAAAGAAAAAAAGAGAGAAGAATCAAATAGACGCAATAAAAAATGATAAAGGGGATGTCACCACCGAACCCACAGAAATACAAACTACCATCAGAGAATACTACAAACACCTCTACGTAAATAAACTAGAAAATCTAGAAGAAATGGATAAATTCCTGGACACATACACTCTCCCAAGACTAAACCAGGAAGAAGTTGAATCTCTGAATAGACCAATAACAGGAGCTGAAATTGTGGCAATAATCAATAGCTTACCAACCAAAAAGAGTCCAGGACCAGATGGATTCACAGCCGAATTCTACCAGAGGTACAAGGAGGAGCTGGTACCATTCCTTCTGAAACTATTCCAATCAATAGAAAAAGAGGGCTTCATCCCTGGGATGCAAGGCTGGTTCAATATACGCAAATCAATAAATGTAATCCAGCATATAAACAGAGCCAAAGACAAAAACCACATGATTATCTCAATAGATGCAGAAAAAGCCTTTGACAAAATTCAACAACCCTTCATGCTAAAAACTCTCAATAAATTAGGTATTGATGGGACGTATTTCAAAATAATAAGAGCTATCTATGACAAACCCACAGCCAATATCATACTGAATGGGCAAAAACTGGAAGCATTCCCTTTGAAAACTGGCACAAGACAGGGATGCCCTCTCTCACCACTCCTATTCAACATAGTGTTACTTGCTTGTTTATTCTTTTCTCCTTCCATTCAAGTGAAAGCTCTTTAAGAGAGAGGGCTTGTCTGTTTCACTTGCTGCTAAGCAGTAGGGAGCTAGATCAGGGCTGTCCAATAGCAGAAGAATCCTTACAAACAGTAAAGAAAACAAGGAAAATGCATTTTGATGACACATTTTGTTTAATCATATATCTCAAATAATAGCATATCCACATGTCATCAATATAAAATTATGGAGATATTGTGCATTCTTTTTTAAAATACTGACTGTTTGCAATCTGATGTGTATTTGACACAGCACATCTCAATAGTGACATGTGTGTCATAGCTGCAGCACTGGGCAGCACAGGCCTGGAAAACTAGCATGCCCAGCTATTCCATATTTGCTGGGCGAATATGTGTGAAAAGATTTGGTTGAGACTAAGCTTGTGTGAATCACTCTAAACCCTTTGTTTTCAAATCAAGGAATTAGAGCTTTAGAGATTACCCCCATCTTCCATCTGAATATAGATGAGAAAATCTTCATCCAGGAAGGGGCAACATTAGTTTCTACATTGTCTTATGGAATGTAGGTGGCCCCATAGAAGGTGGCAGGGCCATGGAATTCATGTTTTCTCATTCTATAGTGAATGCCCTTTTCAAATACTCATGCTGATATAGAGATTTAAAGAAATCCTCTGTGATATACACTGCATCATTTTATGTCTGAATATACCAAATGATTGTATGCAGCACTTCTTGACATATTTGTGCATAACTTCCAGAGTTTGGCATCAATAAATGACCAAATTTTAGTTCCCATTGTTATGAGAAGTCTTTCTTCATACCTTGTTTAATTCAGTCATTTAATCTAGATCACTCTGAGAACTTGTTTTTGTTTTTGTTGTTGTTGTTGTGTTTTGAGATGGAGTTTCGCTCTTGTTGCCCAGGCTGGAGAGCAATGGCGTGATGACCTTGGCTCACCACAACCTCCGCCTCTGGGGTTCAAGCAATTCTCCTGCCTCAGCCTCCTGAGTAGCTGAGATTACAGGCATGCACCACCACGCCCAGCTAATTTTGTATTTTTAGTAGAGACGGGATTTCTCTATGTTGGCCAGGCTGGTCTCAAACTCCTGACCTCGTGATCCACCCGCCTCGGCCTCCCAAAGTGCTGGGATTACAGGCGTGAGCCACCGCGCCTGGTCCACTCTGAGAACTTCTTAAGAACTTTAGCTAACAGCTTTAAAAACCAAAATGTTCACTTTCTTGCTAGGATTGTATATTCTAAGATGTTAAGAATTCAAATGTCACCCACATACCTGTAGACCATGTGACCACCTTATTCACATTCCTTCCTTTCTTGAATCACTGGGAAGAAGGCGAGCAGCTGCTTGTGAGGTGGCATAATATTGATTAATGGTGTCTACAGGAAATCAGCTCAAGACAATTAATTTTTACAGCACCAGCCTGGTACTTTCAAGCATTCTATTATAAAATTATGCGTTGTTAATTGATACTACTGGGAATTAGGAGCAAAGACCAGTTTGCCAAAAAAAAAAAAAAAAAAGAAAGAATGATACAACTCTATTGCATATTCATATTGACTTTCTACTTAATAATCCAGTGGGGAGGGGAAATCAGAGTCATGGTCTATCAAACACATTACAGATGAGGAATTATTGCCCGTTTCCCTTTATTGTTAAGTTATGAACATTAGGAATTGTGTTCTAAAATAATGAGTTGTCACTTCTGCCAACAGAAACACGGTGCATATTTTGTCAGTCTTCCACTTTTGAACCTCTAGGGGCAAAAAACACGCTGCAGTGTGTGTTCTGATTTAATTCTCTTTTGGTGTCTATTTGCATCTTCAGAGCATGGGACGGCATGGGATTACTGCCATCTTCGCTGTGCAGGGTCTGGGGAAGGGGACTAAAGAGAGACTTCCACAGTCGCTACCCACATCTCCAAGGCACTCGCTAAAATATATTACAGAAAGTATCAAGTTGAATGTGGATCCTAAAGAATGAGAATTTTCTTGGCTTAGAGAAAAATTATTCTTTGTTATTCGAGTTTAAGTAGTTATGTTTTCCAATATTTCCCACAGACCTGCTGCTCCATTCTTTTGCAAGAAAGATTGTCACCCTCATAAACGCATGCTTATGGTCTCTATAAAATGTAACCCAGAGAACAAAGAAAGGTGAAGTTTTCTAGAAATTTTCCGTATAAAGCAACAACAACAAAAAGAATTCTATTCATTAAAGACTCTTTTTTTATAAAAAATTATGTTTTATTGTTATCATTCTACAAAATAAGAAAACAAGGTGTAGAGAAATTATTAACTGTGTTCTTTTTTCCTGTCTTTTAAACAAGATTTTTATGAGGTTTTTTTTTATTTTTATAGATTCAGGAGGTATATGCGCAGGTTTGTTACATGGATATATTGTGTAATGGTGAGGTTTAGGCTTCTAGTGTGCCCATCACCCAAATACTTCACTTTAATAGTTTCAGTAAACAAGGAAAAAATGTGTCTCTTAACAATGGAGAAAGCAGATTAAAATCCTGAAAGTTTTTGTTGAAGTAAAATGCCTTTATTTTGAGTTAGGCATTTCAGCTTAGCTGCTTTAGATTTCGAGCTTTGCTTTTACATTTTAAACTTATTAATAGATTATCATTCATTGAGTCTTTATTTGAAAAGAGCCCTCTAGTTTTAGTAAGATTGGAAAGAGGGGCTGAAGATGGATGAGAAACTTAACTGAGAAGAATCAGCTCAGGATACCCACCAGTTTACTTGTTTTTATTTATATAAATCTGCAGGATACAAGTGCAATTTTGTTACATGCATAGATTGTGTAGTGATCAACTCAAGGCTTTTAGAATATCCATCACCCAAATAACATACAGGGTACTCATTAAATAATGTCTTATCATCCACCCCCCTCCCACCTCCTCACCCTTCCTAGTCTCCATTGTCTATCATTCCCCTCTCTATATCCATGACACCCATCAATTTAGAGTGTGCTCATTTAGAGGTGATTCGGGGTGGAGTTAAGGCTTTAGGCCATGACATCTAGTGGACAGGGGCCCCACCGCTGCTAGTTGTGTGATCTTGGACAGGAGTCTTATTCTCTTCAATCTCAGCTTCTTCATTTGTAAAATATCATCACCTTAGACCCTATGTCAAATTGCTATAGTGAGATTAAGTGAGAAAATACATGTAAAACTTCTGTCATGTTCTAAATGTCCAATAAACATTAATGACTATCATCATTACTATAATTTTGTTTGAGTAAAAGTGTCTTTTTTTTTTTTTTTTTTTTTTTTTTGTCTGAGACACGGTCTCACTCTGTGGCCTAGGCTGGAACACAGTGATGTGATTATAGTTCACTGTAACCTCCAATTCCTGGGCTCAAGTCATCCTCCCACCTCAGCCTCCTGAGTAAATAGGACTACAAGCACCTGCCATCACATCTGGCTAATTTTTAAATTTTTCACAGAGACAGAGTCTTGCTATGTTGCCCAAGCTGGTCTCCAAATCCTGGGCTCAAACAATCCTCCCACCTTGGCCTCCCTAAGTGCTAGTATTACAGGCATGAGCCATTGCGCCTGACCTGTAGTTCATTTATCCCAGAGTAAAGCAATCGATGTCTGGGTACTGAAATAACTGTATATTTTTGATATATTACTTTATAATAGAGGACTTTTGTCATTTTTTCATTTTCTTGATTGGATTTATTTTTAGTACTCACATATATCTGAGTTTCAAATGTACACAATATTTGAAAATAATAAAGCCATCTTTAAAATAATTTAAAATATGGCCTTGAACTGATGCCTTGACTATTTTCTCCTGAATTTCTGAGATTTTTTAAGAGACTGTAGTGATTTTACGTCATCCCAGAATGACAGCCCTAATATAATTGCAAAATAAGGGTCAGGGCAAGATGTCACAAATTTTTTGTTTTCTGCAGGCTCTGTCTAAGATTCTCTCTGCACAGTACCATGACAACGGGTTTGAAAGAGAAAAATTTAGTTAATCAGGCAGTTGTTTTAGCTACATGAAGCCAAACAACGGGTTTCAATCTTATTTTCTTCTGCTTCATTGCATTGATGAGATTCAACCCATAGTTCTGACATCATGTGTGTGACCTAAATCACATTCTTTTACGTTCTGGAAATGGCTTTAATTGAGTATTTAATGGAGTATTTGCTCTATTCGAAAGACCTTCCTTTGCACATGTGTGTGAGGAGAATTGTAATCCAGTGATTATGTTGCTGGGAGAGGCTCTGCTTCAGTCAGTGCTGGTGCTTTAAAATATTTTTCCTGTCGTTGGATGGGGGAGTGGGTGATTGTAAGATGGGCTCATCTGCAGTAGTTTCACAGCAATGATAGATGACTTCGATGAAGGCTGTTTGTATGTATTTATTTTCTTACTTTAAGTACAACTCAGATCTACCCCGACTAGTTGCCGCATATCGTGTTAAATAAGAATAACTGTTCTGAAATAAAAGAGTCTACTTAGTCTAAGAGTTTAAAAGTAGAGACTCTTAGTAAGTTGCTTCATGCTAAACTCCTGTTTACTTTTTAGTAAAGTATTTTTGTTTGCTTGTTTGTTTATTAGAAGGAAACAAAGCAATACTATATGTGGAAAATCCATAGCCCAGTAGCTGACATATTATAAACATGCAATAGGCAGCAACTATTTTTATTTTTTTTCTGTGCTCATACCTATAACCTCAGCATGGTAGAACACACACATAAATCTTATTTTCTTACTAATGTGCCCTATTAATCAAAACTTCAAAAAAGTCTTCTGTTCAAAGGGAAATGGAAGCTGCTAAACCGTATTACTTTTCAATTAAAAAATGTTCATCTGCCCTTCTTGCGCCGGCGATTTCGGTTCCAAGAAGATTCCACATGGACCTTCTGATCTGTGTGAAAGAACAAATAAGAAAAGCTCCTGGAGATGGGCTAAGGAATGACACTGCAGTTTCACCCCCCACTTCCCCAGGATTTGGTGGCAATGACAAATGGCAACTCAAAGCAGTTTTCCAAAGGCTTCTTTAAAACAAGCCAAACAGTTCTTGTTTGAATTGGCTGTTTACTGTCATTCTTACATGAAAAGAAAGAAATGTTTGGCAAGAGCAAATTTCAGCAAGCTGCCAAAAGGGAGCTTCCAAGAGTCAGTGTGTCACTGGGCAGTCGTTCAATCCACCAGGGGAACATCATTTAAACTCAGCTTGAATAGGCCCATTTCTCCGCAAACCGCATGTCTGATGACAGCTATTAAGATTCACACATGGGTTTCAGATGTATTCACACCTTTATCATTGTTTTAACTTTTTATTTCAAAATAATCTGAGACTTAAAGAAAAGGTGCAATAAATAGCATAGAGCTCCTATTAACTTTTTCCTTCAAAACATTGTATATAACCATGGACAACTACACTCTTATTAATTCAATACCTATTATAGAACTTGCAATTATTGTTAATACAGTTCCTCATTCTTCTCAAAATCCTATGTGTGGGTAGAATGAACATTTTGTTCATATTTATGAATGAAGAAATTGAGGCACAGGTCATAGAGCCAGCTAGCGCTGAATTGGAACTGGATTTGGTATAGTTGATTCCCAACCCAGATGTAAAAATAAATGAGTTTAATGTAGAAGAAATCATTTATACACACACACACACACACACATTATGTGAATCATTTTGATTATTAGTTTGCTAATAAAATAGCTCTTCCCTCCCTCGTATTTAGTCCACCCTTTCTGCCCCAAATATCCCTAGAACCTATTGCCTGCTTCAAGTACCACTAATGTTCCCTAGAATTCAGACGTTCCCCATTCCTTACTTGTAGTTTTGCAAAAATAAATCTCTTATTTATCTTCCTGACTCCACACTGTTGCCAGAGTGTCTTTTTTCCCTAAGTCACTGATCCAATTACATCATTCTTTTGTTTAAACTCCTTCAATAAGCTCATGTGTGTTGTCCACTCATTTCCAAGTACCATACAGGGTATTCAGCATTCATCATCTCCCTTAATCCACACAACAACACTATGAGTTAGGCCTTATGTCATTTCCTTGGTTCAATAGGTTCACAGGTTGAGATTGTGTGGTAGCTAAATGGCAGAGCCAAGAGCTAAACTTAGGACTCTAGAGACATCAGACCACCCAGTCTGCCCATTGCCTATAGGATAAAATCCAGATTCCTGAGCCAGTCCGCTAAGATTCAGGCTTGACTTTAGGTTATCCTTACAGTAATTTGGTTCCTTGTATCCTGTGCTTAGGTATAACAAATTTCTTGCCCTGCCTAGTTGTTTTTTCATACTACCATGCCTGTTCAAATATAGGACTTCTCTCTCTGCCTAAAATGACTGTCCCCATTTTTGCTATTAGGCAAGACCTACTTCAAATTCACAGTGGCGCCCTAGGGTAGAGAGGGCAGTGTGGTGGGAATGCTCCACCTGGGTGCGGGCAGTAGTGAATTCATTCTGTAGAGACGGCAAGTAGTAAATGCACTCTGTAGAAAGTTAATATCAAAATTGAGTAAAATCATCTGCTTCTTCTTAGCATCAGGTACCAGCAACTGAAAGAATGTCGGTGACAAAAGACTCCTCTATGTGGGAGGTGTCAGCTACCCCTGCCTAGGTGACCCTCCTGCACATTCACTATCTCCTAGTTTCTACTGCATTTACTATGGAATCTCCGTTAGAACTGCTGTCAGATTATGTTACAACTACTTCATTGTCTCTTCCTCACTCAGGCCATGTGTTTCTTAAATCCAGTGACAATGTCTTAGACACCTTTGTGTTCTCGGTGCTGAGCATAAGGCCCAGAGTAGATGTGTGGATAAACGAATTAAAATAAAATCCCAGAATTATTCTCTTTATATCCTTCCTTGGAAGTACTTCTTATTAATAATGAGTATGAATACCTTTGTGTTCTGAAGAAATTTTGTGAAGAATTATCTAGTATTTTAAAATTATGTAATTACACATTACAACCAGTGATTTCAAAACTGTATGCGGTAACTTTTAAAGATAAAATCTGGATAGCCTGAAGAATCTAGGGGCCTTTAGTTGAGTAACATCAAAGAGGCATATTCTGTAGAACTGCTGATAACATCATAACGACAATAAGCACCAGCTTTAGAGCTCAAGAGACTGAAGGCCAAGCTCTGGCTCTGCCCCATACATCACACACAGTGACCATGAACAACTTTTTATTATCTCTGGAACTTAATTTTCTCATGTATAAAATAAGTGCTGTTGAAAACAAACATACAAACTTGGATAGTGTTTAGCAAAGTGTCTGGTACATAATATTACTAATGATGACCAAATCTTGAAATTTTGCCCTAATTATTAGTATTTCAGAGATTTCTATAACAGAGTTATTTTAGAAATATAAAGTCATTTAATCAATTTGTATTATTTGTAAACATAAAAGTTTTCATGAGATCATGGAGTAAAAAGCCACCTCACAATGGAGAATTTTCCATAGGCATTACCTTGATTTTAGTCCGCTGCAATGTAAACTTTGCAGTAGGTTGACATGATTGTATGTTGAGGAGATAATTTCTATGTTGACAAGCGTTTAAAACATCATACATTTGGTAGAAATATTACCTTGTTTAGATTAAACATAAGGTTTATTTGAAATGTCCATAGTAGCAGCTCTATTATCTAATGTGATTGCCATTGGTGGATAAATTTGTCAGTAATTGAAAAGAGATTCGTGAAAATAAGATGCACATATTTTAAGTATTTATGTTATTTGTCAATTTTTTCTGATGAAAAGCCAGTGCCTTTCCTTTGAGTGTAGGTACACTGATTGGAATGCTCACTCATCTTTCTTGTATAAATTATACCCACAATACATTTTCTACTGTTTCTACTAGTTCCCATTTATTAAGAGCAGCGCTTGAAGTTAAAGACCATTGTAAAGCTGTCTGAAAGCAGAGTCTGTCTAAAGTTTTACAAATGTATCCTACTCTTTCATGGATATCTCACCCACATCTTATTGATTAATTTTCTTTCAAACTTGCTTTTATGAACTCTTTCTAATGTACTCAACTAGGTTTTTATAGAAACCAAAGTCTCTCTTTCCACATTCATATTTCCTCAGTCTGTGTGTATTTAATTGTGTAATTCTAATAGTAAACTGGCATAAACTGACTTGAGAAAAATGTAAGCAACTCATTGTAAGCATAAAACCCGTGAGTAGACATTCTAGAAAATAACTTACTAAGTGTAATTGTTCATTGTAACGTCAGTCAAATGTCTTATAGAAAAAATGGAGACCATGGCTCAGTCAGGTGTACTAGTTAGGAGCGCTGGGAGCGTCAGCTGGATTTAATTTTGAGAGCTTAGTTCCCCTCTATGAACTGAATTTTGCTAATTAGAAATGCCATGGGATTCAGAGCTTTTGACCCTTAAAATGTTTTAAACTTTTATAACCTTGTTGTAAGGTTATTTCAAGGCAATTCAATTTAAGATGTTGCTTAGTGTTTGAATTTTATCTTTTGCCAAGCAATTTCTCTTTTTATTAGGGCACATGGATCCTCTCTAATCCATGTGCCCTAATAAAAATACTAGCTTAAATTTAAAGAAGGAATTGGACAATCATATCCTGAGGAAACAGTATCTGCCAAACACTTGCTGGGGAAAAACACCAATAATGTCCTAATGCTCAACTGAACACTCACATCCCTAAATCCTTCCTGAGCAGCCAAGCTTTAAGAATACTTCCTGACACTTTTACCTAACTTGATGTCAAACGTTTTTAATGCAACTCACAGAGAACTGATCGTTGGTCAACTCACATAAGTCTCTTTTGGCCTCTGATTAATATAAATATTTTCTTAAATAGAAACAATTCAATGTTCTTTGTTTAGGCTGAAATCCCATATTTCAAAGGATTATGAAATAAATGTGTTTGCTATAGGGTAGATGAAAAGAAGATCTGACATTTGAAAATCTTGATATAATTGATCTGATAAATTCTTAACTCCCGCTGACGTCGATGAGAGAGAAGGGCATGTGTAAAGAGCCAGAGGTCACGTTTGAAGTATCTGAAATTTGGAAATGTTGCCAAGAGGGTTATCTAAACCTTACTGATGCCGCTCATTTGTTGAGCTGTTTGGCTGGGAAAGATAAAAATTTGCATGACTCTCTAAAATGTAACAGGTTAGATTGGTGCAAGTTTACAGATTTTTTTTTTCCTTTGTAGCATTTTAAAATCTGGGAAATTTTACAATTAAAGAGTGAAACAGAGGTTGATACTAGGCTTATGTTATTGCATGACAGCAAATGGCTGGAGCTAAGCAGCAACTGCTCCTATATAGGATCTTTCCCCTCTAATACCCTATGGTTCCCCCATTCCCATCCATAACACGTGCCCATAGCCAGTCATTTCTGTTACCTCCTGACAAATTACCCGTAAGCAGGTGAATTTGCAATTCCTCTCATGGACTTTAACTTTTTTTTTCTTTAAATGTAAGTTTTGTATACAAAGGTATACTTATCTAGAAGGATTAGGTTCTTCCAATGTAATGAATTGTTCCTTCTGCTGTCTGCATGAACACTTTCAGGCTGTTGTGTTGTACCTTAGTCTACTGCAAACACTCAAAGCAGAAGATGCCTCCCCCTGACATTAAGAATCCCAGTTTAGACAGATTTAAGAATTTACAGCTTTAATGCAGACGTGACATCTTGCAAATACATCTTCAGATGAATATCTCCCTAAACCCAAGGCATATGTGGTCATTTACCTTTTGAGTGCCCTGTGCATTCCTGGGTTTCCTGATTCTTCAGATTACATGCAATTTGCATTGTGTTTTCTTGGTGACAGTATTGAAGTATGAAGGGAACCCCAGGATTGACTGGGTTTTTGTCCTGATTTCCTGAAACGTCTGAACAGGTTGCCCTTGACCAATGTCCTTGTCACTAAGACTTGTTGATGGTGCTTCCCCAGTGGTTTGGCATAAGGAGCAGCAGGGTTGGAGATCATCCCGGAAGGAGAGGGGATCTGAGGACAAAGACAGACTAAAGATAGTGGGGAGGTTGGAGAAAGTGTGGCAAGTAGGATCAGGCCAAGGCTGCAACAGGAAAGGTACAGCTAAGGACAACAACTAGAGTGGAAACGAAGCTAGAAATGAGTGGAAAATGAAAAGAAAGAAGAGTTTTCTTGTCTGTTTTTATACTTACTGCTAAGGTCGGGCATTCATTTCTGCTAGATATGAAATGTGTGAACCAATCTTCATAACTGGGATTATATGGAAGCTAAAGAGAAAAAAATGATTTCTAAGGAAATAGACTTACATTTCTAGTTACTTAGAACCCTTCACACATATTTAAAGTTTTATTTTTGGTCATTAGCAAATGGAAGGATAAATTGGCTAATTAGAGTCTTATACTTAAGTGGCTTCCTAATCCTTAAATTCTCTTAGTCTGCAGACCAGTGTGTCTGTCCATGGGAGATTCCAGTATTAGTAAAGGTATTTCTTGTGGTCTATTTACAGCCCTCTTTCTGGGAACCCTGATTAGTACATATGATAAAACTGCTTGAAAAGGAATCTGTGCATGAAAGAAGGTGGGGAAATGGGCTGTGGTTTGACTGGAGAAAGCAGAGCTTATATGGCAAAATAGCTCACTTTTAAAATCCTCATATAAATAAAATGTTTTTCTTAATATTATTGTTTGGCTCTTTTCTCGGGTAAGTGCATGAACCATATATCTTTGACCTTGGCTCTAAAATATGAATTTTATCTTGCAAGAATGCAGGGTCACGGGTTATAGATCATAGGTTGTTTGAGGTGAAAAAGACTTAGAGATCTGCTAGTCCAATCCTTAATTTTATGTTCGAAAAAATGTATTCCAGTCTCTGTCATATTTAAATAACTCTGAATACATTGGAACATATGAGGTGATATATCTGTTTTAATTTATTTTTTTGTAGAGGGAACTTCTGGGGAGCCTTCTTTGCTCATGCTCTAGTCTAGATTTGTGCTTTCTGAGCCTGGGCACAGGGGTCACCCTGGGACTTCACTACCATCTTAGGACTTGCTTTGCCTCTCTCTTATGTGGGATCCTGAGTTTCCTTGTTTCTATGTCTTTCTCTTTTTTGGTTAATATATTCCTTTTGGTGGAGAACATTGTCCTGCATCTTTTAGAGTATGGGGGCATAGATGATAAAGGTTTTGAGGTCTCCCATGCTTAAAAAGTCTTTATCTCCACACTTATTGATAACTTGGCTAGATATATGTCTGTATTAGTTTGTCCTCACACTGCTAATAAAGACGTACCTCAGACTGGGTAATTTATAAAGAAAAGAGGTTTAATTGACTCACAGTTCCACATGGCTGGGGAGGCCTCACAATCATGGAGGAAGGCGAAAGGCACATATTACAAACTGGCAGGCAAGAGAGAGCTTGTGTAAGAAACCTCTCTTTATAAAACCATCAGATCTCATGAGACTTACTCACCATCACAAGAACATGGGAAAAACCTGTCCCCATCATTCAATTACCTCCCACCAGGTCTCCCCCATGACACATGGGAATTATGGAAGCTGCAATTCAGATGAGATTTGGGTGGGGACACAGCAAAACCATGTCAATGTCGTAGTCCATTTGTGTTGCTATAAAGGCATACCCGAGGCTGAGTAATTTATAAAGAAAAGAAGTTCATTTGGCTCATGGTTCTGCAGGCTGTACAAGAAGTGCAGTGCCAGCATCTACTTCAAGTGAGGCACTCAGGCTGCTTCCACTCATGGCAAGTGTGTACAGAGATCACATGGCAAGAATGGAAGCAAAAGGGTGGAGGACATGCCAGGCTCTTTTTAATAAGCAGCTCTCCTGGGAACTAATAGGGTGAGAAGGCACCCATTACAGCAAGAATGGCACCAGGACATCCATGAGGCATCCTCCTGCATGACCCCACACACCTTCCATTAGGCCCCATCTCCAACACTGGGGATCAAATTTCAACATGAGACTTAGTGGGGGCAAACACACCATATCCAAACCATAGCAGTACAAAATTTTGGAAATCACTCTGATCTCTGAATTTTGAAGACATTTTGTCTTTGGGTTTTAGCTTCTAGTGTTGGCATTAAAATGACTGATACTGGTTTGTCTCCTGATTCCTTCTATATGACAGTTTTTCATTCTAGCAGTTTTTATTGCTTGTGTACTGGTGATGGGTCTTCAATTGGTCTTTTTCATTATACTGGGTACTAGGTTAGTCCAACAAATCTGGAAACTTTTGCCTTCCAGTTCTAGGAATTTGGTATAAATTATTACTTTAATAATTTTCTACCTTTTTTTTTTCCTGTGGTCTTTACTTTCTTTCAGTTTCAATATCTACTCTTTTCTCTGATGCTATAATGATAATTTTCTAAGTTTTCTTATGATAATATTTTTGTATCTTTTCATCTTTGATGGTCATTTTTAATGTATTTTCCACCCTCTTTTTATGTTAGAGAACTTTCTTATTTACTTGGTAATTCTAATTTTTCTCTTACTGATAAGGAATGAGGAACTAAAAAAAGGTTTTAAAGTTTATGAGCAAGGAAGAAAAACTTGTGATCTGCTAAGTTCTTGTGTCTATAATTATTTGTAATAGATTTGGGGAGAAAAATGAAAGTAAATGCATGTGTTCAATCCATAATGTTTAGCTGGATGTTCTGGCTGGTATACTCTAAACTAGCTGCAACATTACCAGAGCCTAATAAAGCTTCGGTGCTTGTCTTCCAACTTGCCTCCCTTTACCGATATCCTATCTCTCTCTCTCCTTCCTTGTCTATCTGTGTTCATTCCTTCTATCATATTCGTATCATGTTCAGGGGACACTTTTGCAGTAGATTTGTTTTTCTTTATCATTTTTTTTTTTTTTTGAGACAGACTCTCACTCTGTCCCCCAGGCTGGAGTGCAGTGGCGCAATCTTGGCTCACTGCAACTGCAGGCTCCGCCTCCCGGGTTCACGCCATTCTCCTGCCTCAGCTTCCCCAGTAGCTGGGACTACAGGCGTCCGCCACCACGCCCGGCTAATTTTTTGTATTTTTAGTAGAGACGGGGTTTCACCGTGTTAGCCAGGATGGTCTCGATCTCCTGATCTCATGATCCGCCCGCCTTGGCCTCCCAAAGTGCTGGGATTCAAGATTTGTTTTTCTTAAGCATTTCAAGCAATCTGGAAAAAAGCAGTATGGATTTAAGGCTGGGCGCGGTGGCTCACGCCTGTAATCTTAGCACTTTGGGAGGCCGAGGCGGGTGGATTGCCTGAGCTCAGGAGTTTGAGACCAGCCTAGGGAACATGTGAAACCCCGCCTCTATTAAAATACAAAAAAATTAGCTGGGCATGGCGGTGGGCGCCTGTAAACCCAGCTACTCAGGAGGCTGAGACAGAACAGCTTGAACCTGGGAGGCGGAGGTTGCAGTGAGCTGAGATCGTGCCACTGCTCTCCAGCCTGGGAGACAGAGTGAGATTCCGTTTCAAAAAAAAAATTGATTTATAACCGTCAATATTTGTCTAAGGCCAGAGCTTTGAGTTAGGATGATATCACCAAATATCAGACACCTTCCATTTAATTCAACAACAATGTATTGCACTCCCTTGTTAGCATTCCACATAATTACCACTGAAAGAAAAGTAAACAAATAAAAAATAAAATAGTACACTCTATCTCACAAGGCTTACGTGCTAATATAGTCATGCATCACTTAATGATGAGATTACATTCAGGTAAATGCATCCTTAGGCAATTTCACCATTGTGTGGACATCATAGAGAGTACTTAGACAAACCTAGATAGTGTGTAGTCTATACTGAGCTAGGCTATATAGTATAGCCTATTGCTCCTAGACTATAAAACCATGCAACATGTTACTGTACTGAATATTGCAGATAATTGTAACACAATGGTAAGTGTTTGTGTTTATAAACACATCTAAATAAAGAAAAGGTATGGTCAAAATATGATATAAGAGATTAAAAAAAAGGGTACAGCTACACAGGACACATACCTTGAATGGAGTTTGCAGGACTGGAAGTTGCACTGGGTTAGTGAGTGAGTGAGTGGTGAGTGAAAATGAAGGGTTAGAACATTACTGTTCATTACTATTGGCTTTCTAACCATTTAGTCTACACTAAATTTATAAAATCTTTTCTTTCTTCAATCATAAGTTAATCTTAGTTACTGTAACTTTTTTTTTTACTTTATAAGCTTTTAAATTTTGTTAAACTTTTTGACTCTTTTGTAATAGCACTTGACTTAAAACACAAACACAGGGCGGGCGCGGTGGCTCACACCTGTAATCCCAGCACTTTGGGAGCCCAAGGTGGGCGGATCACGAGGTCAAGAGATCGATACCATCCTGGCCAACATGGTGAAACCCGGTCTCTACTAAAAATACAAAAATTGGTTGGATTGGTGGTGCGCACCTGTAGTCCCAGCTACTCAGGGTGCTGAGGCAGGAGAGTTGCTGAAACCTGGGAGGTGGAGGTTGTGGTGAGCCAAAATCGCACCACTGCACTCCAACCTGGCGACAGAGCGAGACTCCATCTCAAAAAAACAAAACAAAACAAAAAAACCCACAAACACACTGTACAGCTGCACAAAAATATTTTCTTTATGTCCTCATGCTATGAGCTTTTCTGTATTTTAAAAATTATTTATTTATTTTTTAACTTTTTAAACGGTTTTGTTAAAAACTAAGACACAAATTCACACATTAGCCTAGGGCTACCCAGGTCAGGATTATCCATATCACTGTCTTCCACCTCCACATCTTGTCCCACTGGAAGGTCTTCAGGGACAATAACACTCATGGAGTTGTCATCTCCTATGATAACAATGCCTTCTTCTGGAATATTTCCTCGAGGACCTGCCTGAGGCTGGTTTACAGTTAACATTTCTTTTTTTAAGTAGAAGGAGTACACTCTAAGGTAATGATTAAAAAGTATAGCAAATACATAAACCAGTAATATAGTTGTTTGTTATCATTATCAACTATTATGTACTATACATAATTGTATGTGCTAAACTAACACAGGAACAGAAAACTGAACACTGCATGCTCTCACTCATAAGTGGGAGTTGAACAATGAGAACACGTGGACACAGGGAGGGGAACATCACACACCAGGGCCTGTTGGGGGATGGGGGCAAGGGGAGGGAGAGCATTAAAACCTACATCTAGGCTTAAAACCTAGGTGATAGGTTGATAGGTGCAGAAAACCACCATGGCACATGTATATCTATGTAACAAACCTACCTGTTCTGCACTTGTATCCCAGAACTTAAAGCAGAATAAAATAAAAAATAACTATATGTATGTAGACTTGTATAGGACTGGCACTGCAGTTTTATTCACACCAGCAGCACCACAAATGCATGAGTAATTTGTTGCTCTATGATGATGTGAGGGCGACTATGATATCACTAGATAATATGAATATTTCAGCTCCATTATAATCTTATGGAACCCTCATTGAATACCCTGTCTGTCATTAACCAAAACATTGCTAATCAGCGCATGACTCTACTTTCTGCCTGAGTCATGACATTGGACCTGCTACTGTGCTTTCAATTATTTTAATGGGAACTCTGAATTAGCTCACATAAATATCAAATTAATTAAGGTCCTCAAAAGTTTAAAATTGGAATTTTATATCCGCTTTTTTCCTGTGATCATTGTATGATTTCTGAAAATACTAATCCTATGTTGAACTTCTCTGTATTGCCTCAAACTGCCTTGCACCACGCATTCCCTAGCAGGTGTGCCATATGGGTTTGTGGTTATGAGGCTGACAATAAAATTCTGGTCAATATGACTATAATCTCTTAGATTTGATAGAAAAATCAATGCCTCACTTAAACTTGGGAGGTAGGGAGTGGGCGAAAAGATCCCACTGTAATTGCCACATGTGGTGAAGGAGATTCAGAGGTTAGGATCAGGTCCAGAGAAATGGAGCGTGGTAGAACTTGTACCTTCTTGTTATTTCTCAGATAAACAGTTTCCATGGTTCCCCAGTGAATATCGTTACTGGGACAAATAACAGAAGCAGTGATTGACTGGTTCAAAGTCAGATCTTTCATTTTTCATACCCTCGTCAAGATTGTCCCACACTGAGTATTTTATAACCTCTTATCTGCTGGCACTGGATGGAGTAGACCCTGAGTTTTCTGACCACAGCTCCATTTTTGGAATGTCATGTTAAATACAGAAAGGATAGTGTAGCATTTCTCCTAAGAAATGGGAATTTGAATGAAAGTCTGCCTGTACATGATGCCAATTAAAGATCTATGTATATATGGTGACTATAGTTAATAATAATTTACTGTAATCTTGAAGGTAGATTTTAAGTGTTTTCACCACAAAAAAAAAAGATATGTGAGGTAATGCATATGTTAATTAGCTCAATTTACCATTCCACAATGTATACACATTTCAAAACAACATGTTATACATACAATTTTTCAAAATCTCTTTTTTACTTTTTGAGACAGGCTCTTGCTCTGCCACCCAAGCTGGAGTGCAGTGATATGATCACGGCTCACTGCAGCCTCGACCTCCCTGGCTCAAGTGATCCTCCCACCTCAGCCATCTGAGTAGCTGGGACTACAAACTCACACCACCATGCCCGGCTATTTTTTTTTCAGTAGAGAGGGTATCTCATTATGTTGTCCAGGTTGGTCTCTAACTACTGGCCTCGAGGGATCCTCCTGCCTTGGCCTTCCAAAATGCTGGGATTAAGGACATGAGCCACTGTGCACAGCCAATTATAAACCATTTTTATCTGTCAAGTAAATAAATATATAAGAAAAGAAATAATGTGTATATACATTCACATATGCATATTATATATGTTTGTACGGTCAAGTCTCTTTATTCAAAGTAGTTACATTCTGTATGGTAACTGTAAATACTCAGTATGAAATACTGAACCATTACTTCTAGGAAAATTATACAGTTAGATTCCCTGTGGGCTCACAATATTCATTCTTACCAACTGCTCAATATGTAACCTTGTTTTATGTGATTATTTATTTAATATATATTTTGATTCATTTGCCTTGAACTCACAGCCAACAGCACTATAACTCATGTTTAAAGGAAGTTTATCTAACACACATTTTCTCTGTCAGGAACATCACAGCCTTCTTGCACTCAGGAACAGTAGACAGCAATTCAGCACTGCAGTTGGGGGCCATTTTAAACAGTGAAATCACCACCAAAAAGCACAAAAAAAATGAGAAAAACATGGCACTGAATAGACTGTGGAAAGGATGCTTGGTAGCAGTATGAGAGCTGAAACAAGAAGACAAAGTGTTGTGGCCTTGTTCACCTCGGTTGGGACTGCATAGGCAACTAAAATTTTTTCTCATTCTGAGTATGTCTATGAAAACATCACAGGTATTGATTTTGGAGTGACAGATTTTATCACAGCGGCAAATTTGCAAATACAGAATCTGTAAATCCACCAATAATGAGGATTTCCTGTGTGTGTGTGTGTGTGTGTGTGTGTGTGTGTGTGTGTGTACTATGGGCAAACAGCAAACAAAAGTAATCCCCCAAGATTGATTACCTCTTCAGCTTCACAGGTGAATAAAAACTGACAAGCCTGACCTTGACCTTTTACCCAGTGGAAGGACAGTTCCTATTCCTATCAGCTATGGCAGCCAGCATGTCACAAGAGCCTCCAGGTTTGTTTTCCTTTCTCCTTGTTCCAGTAGGTTCTGTTTTATGAAAGAAGACAGATGAGTACACAGTGACCAGTATTTTGGGCTGATATCAGATAGGCATTGCTGAAGCAGCTGAAGCAAGCCTCTTTCTGCCTGGGGCAGAGATGTTAAACTCTTAACTACTGTGAGCCGCCCGAATTGCCAGAATTATCTGCTGTTGAATTATTTAGTCATGCCACATAGGCAGGGTTTGATCAATTTCATTCCTTTGTCCCAGTTCATGACATTTTAAAAAATCTATTCTGCTTGAATAATTTCTATTCTTATCACATGGTACAGTGACTTACCTGGATCTGGAGGGAAAGACCAAATCATGTGTTAACATGTGGGATCAGGAGGAAACTATAGAAAGAAACATGGCTGATTGTATTCACCCATACTATGGATAAGTAAAATTGTGAAAGCTGTCAATATTTGGTAGACTCATTTTAACTGTGTAAAATAAATTTGTGGCAACAGTGGACTTTTAAAAAATTATTATTTTATTTTTTATTTTTGTATAGATCGGGGTGGGGGCGGGTCTCACTATGTTGCCCAGGCTGGTCTTGGACTCCTGGCCTCAAGTGGTCCTCCTGCCTCGGCCTCCCAAAGTCCTGGCATTATAGGCATGAGTCGCTTCATCTGGCCTAAAATTTATTTTTAATTGGCACATAATAATTGTTCATGTTTATGGGGTACAGTGTGGTATTTCAATGTATGTATACAATGTGTAATGATCAGATCAGGATTATTAGCATTACCACTGCCTCAAACATTTATCATTTCTTTGTGTTGAAAATATTAAATATCCTCTCTTCTAGCTATGTGAAAACATACAGTTAAGTTATTGTTAACTATAGTCACCCTGTAGTGCCATAGAACCCTAGCACTTCTTCCTCCTATCTAGCTGTAATTTTGTATTCGTTAACCAACACTTCCCTATGCTCACTTCCTCCTACCCTTCTCAGCCTCTAGTAACCACTATTCTATTCTCTACTTCCATGAGATCAACTTTTTTAGCTTCCACATATGAGTGAGAACATATGGTATTTATCTTTCTGTGTCTGGCTTATTTCACTTAACATAATGTTCCCAGGCTCACCCATGTTGCTGTGAATTACAGGATTGCATTCTTTTTTATGGCTGAACAGTATTTCATTGTGTATATATGACACTTTTTTAAATTCATCTGTTGATGGACACATAGGTTGAGTATGTTTCTTGGCTATCATAAATATTGCTGCAATAAACATGGGAATGCAGATAAAGAACTACAATACTATCTAACAGTCTCACGTCTGGTTATATACAAAGAAATTGACTTTTTCAAAACTCCACTGACTAACTTATTTTGAAAGTTGTTTTCTGACTCTCCTTGAATGTTGCCAAGGGACGTTGGTATTTTATAACACTATGTCAAAGAGAAGTAATAGTATGGGGTGCATTGGAGGAGAGGAAAAATCTAGCATGGTCCTCAAAACCTTTTGCAGTTTAAAGTCCATGAGTGAGAGAAGGGTATCTGAAAAAACACTAGTTAAGAACTGATTCTGATCCTGAGAGGACTAATTACATGATTTTAGATGGATCTTGGGACAATTTTAATCTTCAGGGATATTAGTTTTGGATTAGTCAGGACTCCTTTTTTAAGTGGAGAAAACCTATTCAAAAGGCTTCATGGTGAAAGGAAATGTATTGGTTTTCATAAAGCAATGAAAGTTCTATGCAGGCTTTAGGTATGGCTGGATCATGGGGTTCAAATGATGTCATCAAGAGTCAATTGTATTTTCTCCTTCCCTCAGTTCTGCTGTTCTCCTTGTTGGTTCTTTCTTTACACTGCCAAGTTGGCTTACATTCTAAAAATCACAGTAACACCAATTAGAAATGAGCTATTTTGTGTTACTGACAATTTTACAAAAGTCCCAGGATTTAATCCCTTTTTTCTTTTTTGGACCTGATGTTCATCCCTGAAGCAATCACTACAGTCCAGGGAATGCAGTGCTCTGATAGGTCAGACATCCATCACTTGACTGTTTCTGGATTCAGGGCAGGAGTTAGTGCCACATCTAACACTTGGAATAAAAGTAGGGTAGAGATTATTTTTCATAGAAAATCAGAGTATTGGTGTCAGAAGAAAAGTAAATGAATGCTGGGCAAGCAAAATAATAAATGCCTATTTTGGTTCCATTAAAACCATTGGCTTGCTATATACTTAAATTAAGACAATGAATATTGAAGTGCTTTGGAAACAACACATAAATGTACTATATTAATATAATTATTATTACTGTATATTAATAGGGTCAATTTAATTAAATATATGTTTATATTTACATGTATATGTATATAGAGCTAATGACTACTCTTTAGTAGGTGTTATGGAAGATATCAATGTAAGTAAGAAATAATGCTTGTTCTCAATGAATTTAAATGTATTGGGGATATTGATGGGAAAAAAATCATTCATTATAACAAAAAGCAGGAGGAAATAATTACTAAAGAGCAATGTGGGTGGAGAAGGCAAGGAATGTTAGAATATATTAATTTTGAGCAAAAAAAAGTTTAGAACATAGATCAGTGCCTTAGTAAACCAAAAGATCTCACAGTTCTTGAAGAGAGCATGGGAGCCTCTGCTATCTGCAAGGGCAGAAGGAACAAGAAATATAATAGAAAGGGGATGAAATGGACAACAGAGTTGGAGATGAAGAGGAGAGAAAGGAGAAAAATAATAGCATACAGAGAGACAAGGAGTACCCTGGGGTAAGAATGTGGAGGGTTCATTTCTTGTGGTTTACAATGGTCAGAATTAACTGTGAAAATTAAAAAACTCAGGGAGGCACTGTTTCTCCTTGACCTTCAGAAGCAGAGTCTCCAGCTGGGGCCCACAGACACGTGTGAACAAGCCAACAAGCTCCTCCTGGGACTCTGAAGCATGTGACTGGTATAATTCTTTGAGGATTCATCAGAAGAGTGTTTACTAATATGCTGCCTTTTTTTTTCAATATGCTGCCTTTTTTTTTCTCTTTCCAAACATTTATGATCCCAAAATTAATACTTTGCTCTTTATGTGTTAAATGATGTTTATGCTCAATAATATTTTATTTACATTGCACATCAAGGTTGCACAATGTGGAGATGGAAATGAGTTGGTCTTGAAAGTTGAATTGTGTACTTAAAGCTTCAGTTGAAAAGAATTTATATACTATCATGGCCCATTGATACCTCATTTATCGGAATGCCACTTAATCAGCCACATCGACTATTGGGAGCCTAGCTAAGAGCCAGGGGAAAGAAAGGGAACTCTGAGCCATCAAAAGTGTGGCTATCATGCCCAGTCACTAAAACTCCTGACTTTACTCTTGGAAGAGTCCTTAAAGGCTGATTTACAATCCTATGACACACAGACACACACACAAACACACACACACACATACACATGCTCCCTAACATTTAATCTACTTGTACATAGCAGATTAGATAGAACTAAGGATTCAGAACAGGATTCAAAACTAAGGTTTCAGAACAAGAGCATTTGGGGTGGCTGAGAAAGATTCTTAGAACCATCAGACTGAAATAATGCTGAACAGCTGAAAGTAAAAAGGAAAGTAAAGAACTATAAAAAGCCAAATCAAAATGAATGAATGAAAATATTAGGATACTGAGAGTGCCACAGAGATACATGGTCCTGATTAGGGAGCCCGTGTTATCAAGAAGTAGCCACGGTCAATACCTTCTGCTTTAAATGGTAAAAAATAAGTCGTAAATTTGTAATTTGTATGTATATAATTATATAACATGTATTAACCTTATAAAGTTGTAATTTATATTTTTGTAATATATGTAATTTAAAATTTATTTCTCTATCTCATGTATTTTTAAGAAGTTGATGCTTAATGCAGTAAATTTCAGTTATTTCAAAAATTCATTTACCTGTAACTTACTATTCTGTTTCTGTTAAGTGAGACATTATGGCATTTTATTATTTAATCTCCCCCAATATCTAATGTTTCATGAAGGAAGGAGCATGTCTAGGGAAGAAACAGTGATACATATATATTTTTTAAATATCTGTTTTCTATTTTGTTAGTTAACATTGTTTTCTAGCAAACCAGCAAATCAGAAACTGACTTAACTACTTATCACTGAGGTCTTTACTGCTAATAAAACATGCTTCACATTTCATTATAAATGTTCCTTCCTAAAAATGGAAACTTCTTTCTTTGTGGGGCGAAGCTGGAATTCTGGGGTTTGAACTTCAGTGGAGACCTAAGCTGTATCCAGTTGTCTTGGGTGTCCATAGTTGTTACCAGGCAGAAATCACAGGGCTATATCCTAGGGGGCTCTTGGCTATTTCTTCTTTACCTACTGGAGTCCCTAATTTCTCACTTTGCTAAAAATGAGACAAATACCTAGCAACAAGCCTATGGTTATGCAAATGAAGTTATAATTTAAAGCTCTGTGCAAATCTCGATAGTGATGAATACAAGCAGAGATATTCCATATTCAGTGTAGAATGTTAAGGTGTCAGTAAAGAATGAAAGGGTCTGATTCCCTCCAGATTCTTGTGCAGTAGCTTTCAGATGTACATTTAATTACACCTTCAAGTCAGGTATGTTAACACCTAATATTCTTGTTGAGGGTGACTGTACGTTGCTGGATCAGTTCGCCAATCTTTCCTTGTGTCCGCTTGAGACTCAAAATGGTGAATTGGATAAATATACACAATCCATGTTATTTTTATTGTTAACAAAATATTAAAATAACCTGATTACAAGATGGGTAATATTGACTACAGGTAAGCCTGGGCTGAACCTCTACTTTGACTGTGTTTGAAATTCACAACTATGAATATTTCTGCCAAGAAATATGTTACCTTGACTAATGGAAAGCAGTGGCATAGTGGATGCCTTTTCCTCCTACCTCATAGAGGTGCGGCTTTATAGATAGAAGGTGGGACATTCTTTTTTTTCGTTTCTTTCTTTCTTTTTTTTTTTTGAGACAGATTGTCACTCTGTTGCCCAGGCTGGAGTGCAGTGGCATGATCTTGGCTCACTGCAACCTCTGCCTCCCAGGTTCAAGCAATTCTCCTGCCTCAGCCTCCCAAGTAGCTGAGACCACAGGCATGTGCCACCATGCCCGGCTAATTTTTTGTTGCATTTTTCGTAGACACGGGGTTTCACCGTGTCAGCCAGGATGGTCTTGATCTCCTGACCTTGTGATCCGTCTGCCTTAGCCTCCCAAAGTGATGGGATTACAGGTGTGAGCCACCACACCCGGCCGAAGGTGGGACATTCTTCACTAGCCTAAACTACATTCAATTCTGGGTTTGATCTCCTGCTCTCAAGTGGTAAGCTGGAGAAGTTCACTCAGATCTTAAGAGCAAAGACTATCCTCCCAAATGTGCTAGCTGGCCAAGGATTGGGCTCCTTATGAAAGATGTCAATGGTTCAGATCAAAAGCTTTCAAAAACTTGAGAGTAAAAGGAATAATCTGCTTCTTTACACATAGTCTTCAAAAAGTATCCATTCTTAACAAAAAATTTTCCTCTGTGGTTTAATAGATGCCAAGACTTCAGATTTTCAAGACTTTGGAGATTAAGATCTCCTGTGAGTTCCCCTCATTAATCCATATTGCCCTTGGTTTATTCCAAGGGCATTAAAGCGTGAAGAGGGCTTCGGGCCAGCCAGTGCTCAAGGCCAGCATCCACTGCTCCCATCTGAAGCAGGGAAATTCATGACACATTGTTTGCTTCTTCAAAACAGGTTCTCAGGGCCAAAAAAAAAAAAAAATGCATATCTCATTAGTTCTTTAAGCCAGGCAGTTTCATAATTGAGGTTTAGTACTTTTAATGTTCAGATTGAATCCTTCATCAGAACCTCCAACCTCATGGCTTGTGTTTGGGATTTGGGATAATAATGTGGTGACAAAGATTCACTCTGCAGAAAAAATAAAAGATATTCCAAAGGAGGTATTTTTAGTTTAGTAAAAGAAAGGTTTTCTGGAGAAATGAGGAAGTGTTTGATTTTTCTAGCTTTTATCTTTTGCCATGGATATACTGCTGAGGCAAATGAAATGTCTTGTTCCTCGGGCGCACCAACATCACCTTTTAATGACAAGCCATTAACTTCAGTTAAAAAGTGGTGCTCTGGTGAAAATGCAGGCGATGGAGCGAGATTGCCTGTAATCTCTTATGAAGAACCCAGGAATCTGACCTTCAGAAGCATGCGAAGGAGAGGGAAAAAATTCAGAGTAGATCTTTTGGAAGAGAGGGTGGGGAACTTAACTCCTATGGAGGCCTAAAAGGTAAAGGACAGGAACACAGCTGGGCAGGGAAAATAACAAAGCAAGTACCACCTGGGTGGTGCAGGATGTGAACTGAAGGTGACATGTTATACCCCAAAGGGTCAGCAACTGCTCAAAAAGTGCCCAATTTAGGTCACGCAGAAATGTGGGCTCAGTGATGCTCCATCTAGGAAATTTTTTTTCAAAAAAGATGAAGATCCAGATCTTATGTAAAATCTTCTTATATATAAATGCTTGTCCAGATTCATAAAAACATGATATGACCAAGCAGAAAATGATGGAGGTTTGCACCTTTCGGTTTAGAACGTCAGTATTACACCAAACTTCTTATGAAGTCAGTGGTCATATGTTGTTCAAGTGAGCAGTTTGTGGTTCCAAAACTCAAATATATGTATGTATGTGTATATATATATATATATATACACACACACATATATATATATATACACACACATATATATATATACACACACACACACACATATATATATATGTAATTTTTGGGGGTGGAAGTAAGGATACAACTGGCTGTCTCATAAACATTATATATGACTGGAAAGAAATAACCCCCAGGGTTCATGGGGACAGGCCTGGGAACCAGAAATTGGGAATTGTAGTATCTGTCTCTGTGTCTTTCTAAAGCCACATGGTCCTGTGTTTCTGCCTTTCTAGAAACACCCCTCCATTTCTCTCTGCAGACCAGCTTCCTCTATTTCTAGGTAATGCTGCTCCACATACATGACTTTTTAGCTCCAGAACCTACCAACAATGGATGGCAGTCTCTATATCTCACTCTAGAGAACTGGATTGGCTGAGGTAAGGCTATGAATTGGTTTCCCTGGGTAAACAGCTGTTTGCTGGTCCAATTACCAATGGCTGGACAGAGATTGAGTTGGGTTGAGGCAGAACGTAATGTAATCAAAGATCCATGGGCAGGTTAGATTAAGACAAAAGGGGAAGTTAAATGTGGAAATAGATTGGCTGACATCATATATACTACACATACTAATGTTTATATTTTTTATTTTAAATGCTGACAAATTTAAGTTAAGAAATAATATGTGATTATTGAAGAAAGTCTGGGAAATTCTGCAAAGGCTAAACAACAAAATCACTCGTAATCTCATTACCCAAAGTCCAGTGCAAATATTTTGATATATTTACTTCCAGTACTTTATTTTATAGATCTCAAAATGCTACAAGAGAAAATCTTTTGTTTTCTTCCAACAAAGAATTTACTTTACATTTTAACGGAAAATTTTAGTTGATTATTGATAAAAACTCATCAACTTCCTGCCTCTACAACTCTGAATATAGCCCAATAGCAATGTTTAATCTTTTTTCTTTCCATTTCAGAAGACAAAATATTATTCCACTTCTTCAATACCAATTCCTCTATTTCTGTTCTTAATCTTATCCCCACATATTTTCTTTTTTTTTTTTAACTTTTTTTTTTCTTTCTTTTTTAACTTTTATTTTAGGCTCAAGGGTACATGAGGTACCACATTTTTTAAATCCTGTCTTCCACTGATGAGCATTTACATTGGTTCCATGTCTTTGCTATTGTGAATAGAGCTTCAATGAACATGTGTGTGCACGTGTCTTTATGGTAGAATGATATCAGTTCCTTAGGGTATATACCCACTAATGGAATTGCTGGGTCAAATGGTAGTTCTTTTTTTAGCTCTTTGAGGAATCATCACGCTTCTTTCCACATGGTTGAAACTTACACTCCCACCAACAGTGTATAAGTGTTCCCCTTTCTCTGCAACCTTGCCAAGCATCTGTTATTTTTTTAGTTTTTAAAAATAGCCATTCTGACTGGTGAGAGATGATATCTCATTGTGATTTTGATTTACATTTCTCTAATGATTAGTGATGTTGAACATTTATTCATATGTTTTTTGGACATGTGTATGTCTTCTTTTAAAAAGTGTTTGTTCATGTCCTTTGCCCACTTCTTATTGAGATTGTTTTTTTCTTGTAAATTTGTTTAAGTTCCTTATAGATGTGGGATATTAGACCTTTGTCAGATGCATAGTTTGCCAATATTTTCTCTCATTTTGTTTATTATTCTGTTGATAGTTTCTTTTTCTGTGCAGAAGCTCTTAAGTTTAATTAGATCCCATTTGTCAATTTTTGCTTTTGTTGTGATTGCTTTTGATGTCTTCATCATGAAATCTTTTCCAATTCCTATATCCAGAAGGGAATTGCCTAGGTTGCCTTCCAGAGTTTTTATAATTTGAGGCTTCACATTTAAGTCTTTAATCCATCTTAAGTTGATTTTTGTGTATGGTGTAAGGAAGGGGTCCAGCTTCAATCTGCTGCATATGGCTAGCCAATTATCCCAGTACCATTTATTGAACAGAGAGTACTTCCCCCATTGCTTGTTTTTGTCAGCTTTATCAAATATCTGATGGTTGTAGGTGTGCAGTCCTATTTCTGGGCTCTCTATTTTTTTCCATTGGTCTATGTGTCTGTTTTTATACCATACCATGCTGTTTTGGTTACTGTAGCCCTGTAATATAGTTTGAAGTTGAGTAATGTGATGTCACCAGCTTTGTTCTTTTTGCTTAACATTGCCTTAGCTATTCCACATGAATTTTAAAATTGTTTTCTTCCAGTTCTGTGAAGAATGTCATCAGTAGTTTGACAGGAATAGCATGGAATCTGTAAATTGCTTTGGTCAATATGGCCATTTTAATGATATTGATTCTTTCTATCAATGAGCATGGAATTTTTTTTTTCATTTGTTTGTGTCATCTCTGATTTCTTTGAGCAGTATTTTGTAATTCTCATTGTACAGACCTTTCACCTCCCTGGTTGGCTGTATTCCGAGGTATTTTATTATTTTTGTGGCAATTGTGAATGGGGAGCTTTTCTGATTTGGCTCTCAGCTTGACTGTTGTTGGTGCATTGGAATACTAGTGACTCTTGTACATTGATTTTGTATCCCGAAACTTTGCTAAAGTTTTTTATCAGCTGAGGGAGGCTTTGGGTTAACACTATGGGGTTTTCTAGTTATAGAATCATGTCATCTGCAAACAGGGATAATTTGACATTCTCCCTTCCCATTTGGATGCCATTTATTTCTTTCTTTTGCCTGATTTCTCTGCCCAGAACTTCCACTACTATGTTAAATAGGAGTGGTGCGAGAGAGCATCTTTGACTTGTGCCAGTTTTTGAGGGGAATGCTTCCAGCTTTTGCCCATTTAATACCATGTTGGCTGTGGGTTTATCTCTTATTATTTTGAGATATGTTTCTTTAATACCTAGTTTCTTGAGAATTTTTAACATAAAAGGGTGTTGAACTTTATTGAAAGCCTTTTCTGCATCTATTGAAATAATCATGTGATTTTTGTCTTTAGTTCTGTTTCTGTGATGAATCACATTTATTGATTTGCATACATTGAATCAACCTTGCAATCCAGAGATAAAGCCTACTTGATCATGGTGGATTAGCCTTTTGGTATGCTGCTGGATTCAGTTTGCAAGTATTTTGTTGAGGAGCTTTGCAACAATGTTCATCAAGGATATTGGCCTTAAGTTTTGTTTTTGTTGTGTCTCTGCCAGGTTTTGGTATCAAGATGATGCTTGCCTCATAGAATGAGCTGGGGAGAAGTCCCTCCTCCTCAATTTTTGGGAATAGTTTCAGTAGGAATAGTACCAGCACTTCTTTGTACATCTCGTAGAATTTGACTATAAATCCGTCTGGTTCTGGGCTTTTTTTGGTTGGTAGACTCTTTATTACTTATTCAATTTTGGAGCTTGTTATTGGTCTATTCAAGGATTTAATTTCTTCCTAGCTCAGTCTTGGGAGGGTGTATGTGTCCAGGAATTTATCCGTCTCTTCTTGGTTTTCTAGTTTGTGTGCTTAAAGCTGTTTGTATGTAGTAGTCACTGATGGTTATTTGTATTTTTGTGGGGTTAGTGGTAACATATACTTTGTCATTTCTGATTGTGTGTATTTTGATCTTCTTTCTTTTCTTCTTTATTAATCTAGCTAGTGACCTATTGATCTTATTAATTTTTTTCAAAAAGCCATTCATTGATCTTTTGAATGGCTTTTCATGTCTCAATCTCTTTCAGTTCAGCTGTGATTTTCATTATTTCTTGTCTTCTGCTAGTTTCAGAGTTGATTTGCTCTTGTTTCCCTATTATTTTAGTTGGATGTTAGGTTGTTAATTTGAGATCATTCTAACTTTTTGATGTAAGCATTTGGTGTTATAAATTTTCCCCTTAATATTGCTTTAGCTGTGACCCAGAGAGTCTGGTATGTAGTATCCTTGTTCTCATTAGTTCCAAAGAATTCTCTATTTCTGCATTAATTTCATTATTTACCCCAAAGTTATATAAATGCATGACTTTGAGTGATTTTTTTTAGTCTTTTTTAGTCTTGATTTCTATTTTTATTGCACTGTGGTCTGAGAGCCTGTTTGGTAGATTTCTATTCTTTTGCATTTGCTGAGGAGTGTTTTATGTCCAATTGTGTAACGTAAGTAATACATTTTAAGAAAGACTTAAAAATATGTATAATCTTTGATCCTGCAATTTCTTACTTAATGATTCATACAGAAGAAATTCTCAGAGATGTGTATAATAATGTATGTATGAATACATTTATGAATGTACTCATGATCATAGTCAGAAACTGGAAACATCTGAAACATCCAACAATAAAGGATTGGTTGAGAAAAGTGTAAAACAGACACCAGATGGAATATTTTGTGAAAAATAGAATTTTTTTTTGAGAACCAGCCTGGGCAAAATAGCAAGACCTTACCTCCACAAAGAATTTTAAAAGTTAACAGACTTCTGTGGCATGTACTTATATTCCCAGTTACTTTGGAGGCTGAGATGGTATGATTCCTTGAGCCTAGGAGTTTGAGACTGCAGTGAACTGTGATTATGCCACTGCATTCCAACCTTGGTGACAGAGTGAGATCTTATGTCTTAAAAAATATATTGGAGAAATATATTTAGAGTGTTTACAATAATTTGCTAAGCAGGCTACCAAATTACATGTGCAATATATGCATATTTTTGTATAAAATTATATACATATTAAAAGAACTTGGAAGATATTCACCAAACTGTTAATAATGGTAGTCTCCAGGTAGTAGAATAATGAGTCGTTTTCACTTTTTGCTTTTCAGTATTTTCCAGTATTTCTGCATTGAGCATGTATTAGTTTTGTAATATGTAAAGAAACCCATCCAATACATACAATACAGGAAGAAAGAAATTTTCTGACAAGGAACTGCATGAAAATGAAGAATAAAATTATGGTGAGAGAGTGTTTTGCAGTTTCCAAGCTCAGTAAAGAGTGAGACTGATATTGAGCTCCTTGATTAGAATTTCTTTTAGAAAGCTGTCTAACCATGTGAGACAAATTCGAAATGTAGGCACTTCCTTTCTTGTCTTATAAATATGTTGTATGTAATTAAAATGCATCCCTCTTCCTTTCATAATTGAGATCTCTCAAGTTTTCATTGGATTTTTTCCCTGACGACTTTTATTTTCTTTTAAAATGCCAAAGATAATATGTCTATATTATACACAATCAGAAAAATATTAAAAGATACAAAGAAGCAGAAAAAAGTCCCTCAGTTCCACCGAGTCACCTTTCTGAACCTCAGTGAGTCAAGGAAGATTGAAATGAAATTATACTGGTATGCTCAGGAACTTAGTATTTCCACTAGATTGGAAGTGGATTGAGATGTGTACATGCATATTTCCTTTCTTCTTAGAGGTAAAATGCAACAAAACAACAACAATAACAGCAGCAGCAACAGCAACAATTCTGGTTAGTTTCCGAGGGTTCTACAACACTGAATTCTAAATAATCAAGAATTTACTTCCTTTGTAATAAACTAAGCATATTTTCAAAGGCTAAGTACTAAAATACTTCCTGAACATATCTGACTCTGCAGGTAAAATGAGATTATTTCCTCTGGTTTCTCTCTACCACTTTATTTTTAATTCAGAAATAGATCACTCTGTGAAATAGGTAGAAGATGGTTGCTAAGGAGGTTTGGAACGGCTGAAAGATGACTCCCATGATGTTAAAATGCTGAGGCAATTGAACAGCCACCAAAGAAATACAAAAGGACAGAGATAGCCCCTCAAATGGTCTGAGATTGAGGCCTATGGAGGCTATTTGGTTTCTTAACATTTGCGTTAAAATGAAATAAAAGTATATATTTTATTTAATGCTCGTGGTTTAAAAGATCAAATAGTATAGAAACACATAGAAGGAAAAACCGTAATTCTTGCCTTCCGGTAATTTCCTTACTCCATTTCCACTTCTCAGAGATAACTACTTATCATTATCTCTGCTTTTGTCTATTCATGTGTTTTTTTCCATTTCTTCATATACAAATTTTCATATTGCTGTTTCCAAATTTATTTTTCTTAATTTATCACTATTCTGTCTACTAACAGTAGATAAGGATTTATTTAGCTTAATAATACTGACCTTTATAGTCTCATCCTCACCTCTATCCAAAGGTACACATAGGTCCTTCACAGGTCATTTTTGCACCACTCAACAATATTACATCATCATTTCTTGTTCCATTATAATTGACAGTATCTACTGATTTCTTATCATGAAGATAATGGAATCCATGTTCCTACACTTCTTCCACATTCGTCCTCCCTTCATCTATTCTGTTCTTGGTAAGGTTGGAAATGTATACATTCTGTTCAGTAATTATAGTAAAGCATTTTGTACTTTGCCTACAAGATGATTCTAAAAATTTAAAATAAGGATAATTCATATTATTTAAACAGGATATAACAGTATTTTCCATCTCAATGTCTTTGTTCTACTTGGGAGATTTGCTTAATTTACTATTACAATATGTCTATTAATTTTTCAAAATTTGAGAAATTTTGGATTTCTAAGAGTCTTCTTTTGTCTTTGTACTTTTTTCATGGTACCCTCTTTTTGGCTTATGGTTGCAATATCTTCTCAACGTTCTCTTTGAAGACCAATTGGAAGTACTTTTGTTCTCTCTCTCTTACTCTCACTCTCTCCCCCTTTACTTCTATTTTATCTTCAGTCACTTTTGTCTATTGCCTTTATTGTGCATGTTTCAGCTTTTTCTCAAATCTCATCATTGGGGGCATTAAGAAACTGACCATAAGCCCTGTGTATGTGAATATGACTTGTTGAAGGGGAAGGAATAAATTATGGAAGAGATGATAGGAAACCAGAGATTATGCATTGGGACTCCTAAATACCAGAATGACGAGAGATTTGCTCCATGTTGCTCATTCCTTCACTGACTGCCCTACCTCTTCACAGATAATTTATTCAACATATCCAGAGGACACTCCTTTCCCAACCCCCAGGGGAAAGGATACATATATCTCACTTCAGAGTGCTCTGCCTGGGTAGATGAGAGAAAGAGTGTTGACAATTCCATCTATAGGCTTTCAATTAACCCTTCTCTTTTCAAGCCTATGCTTTGAATCTGTCCTCCATCATATTTGTTCTCTTACAGATTGCAATCCACTTAACTAGTATCCTTGGTTATGGCCTTCTCCGTCTTTCTCCAACAGTCTTCAGACTCATCTGTCTGTTTTTTTGTCTTATAAAAATTTTATGAAATGTCTTGATTACAGATGATTTCACTCTCGTTCTCTTTGTTGCTGTTGGGTTATATCTATCTGTTCCTTTAGTAACAGTATGATGGTGTCCCAAAAGAGAGAGGAGATAAACGCTGATGCCATATTGAGATATAAGCCCCTGCTACAATTTCGTCTAAGAAATTTTCTGGACTGTAAGTTCAGAACAATTAGAGGCTATCAATATCCTAGCAAGAGGCATACAATACAAGAGTTAATAGGTACATAGGTTTCATATAGCATCAGGCTACCAAGTATTACCCTAGAAGAGGAAGGAGGATATAACTTTTGATTGAGAGTGACAAGAGATCTGTTGCTTTTGAAAGGTGGTGGATTGTGATTCAGACATTCACAGTCACAAATTCTATTCAATTGATGCATTCAGAAAAGCAATAGCTGACAATTATGATGTATGTTGCACAGCAAAAATAGGTGGTCAGAGGTAAAGTGATGTTTTTAATAACAAAATAACAGATTCTAGTATTTTTAATAGATTGTAAGACAAAGAAAATGCACTAGTATATACTGACTGAGACTTTGAAATGCTGAGAAACATCAAAGTTGCCTAAAAAGATAATTAGGGACCCCAAAACGTGCACAGTTATTATAGTGGATCTTCTAATAGCCCTTTAAAAGTTAAATACTCTCACATCAAGATAAGATCATTTCCTTCAGGATGTAGGCTGCTGCTATTTACAAAAGGCAAAGCATATTCCAAGTGAGCAGACTAGCACTTTGTTTTGACTATTAACTTCTATAGGACACTCATTGATGCCAGCTATCATTTTCTAAGTGTTCACTTTATGCCACTACTGTACTAGATACTTTACATATATTACTAGGTATCTAGTATAACATATGCCTTTCCAATATATCTTAATAATTTTTAACTACTTATTAATGCTATATATTATTTATTAATATAAATCATTATACATCCAGTGAACAATCTTATTCTTTCAGATACATCACTTAATAAATCCAGTGGTCAAAATCTAGAGAGAGCAGTATTTAGTTGTCTGCACAAATGAAGTTTTGTAAGGTAAAAGTAGATTTTGTCAAGTGCCTCTTCCTATGAGACCTCAGATATGCATAGAGTGTTTTACACAGGTTTTATGCACTATATCATTTTTAAAATAGGGAAGAACATTTTAGCATTACAAGTTGTAGGAATTATAAGACGGAATTTTAAAAATTAAGTGAACAAATGCTTAGAAAAATGAATGATTTGTAAAGCAATGTCTTCATATTTCATTATTGACATAGGAACTGATAAGGCACAGTTTTCATATGATGTATGTTGCAGGCTTGGCAATGCGATCCCCAGGTAAACCTTCTGGAGACAGTGAAAGTCACACTCAAATATGTTTAGATTTGAACTCTTCACAAAACCCTGTGAAATAGATAAAACTACTTGTTAAGCAGGAAGGAAAACAGAAGCCCAGAAAAGTCACTTTGCCAAGCACATCAATGCTGGTTCAATGGTAGAGTCAGGATTCAAATCAAGATCTAGTACTACAGTATCTCCAGCTTCTTTCACTACCTTGCCTTCATTCTCCAAACAGCAGGCAGTCTCAGACCATTTGCCTCTTTGAGAGGCCCCTCACTTTATTTAAGAACTGAAAGGTAAGAAAAAAAAACCTTACTTTTATGATTGACCCTGCAAAGGTATTCTTTATATGCTCACCTGGTGGGTCATATAATTCACTTCCACATTAGTTCCCTTCACTTGGATTCCATGTGACATAAGAAAGACAGGCCAGTGCAGTAGTCATGATGTTCAGAGAAAATTATTCATCAAAATATTGAATTATGATTGCTATGAGACCTGCCTGTCAGCGTAATATTTTAAAAACCATCTAATTTGAGCATAAGTATAGACATGAAGTAATTATTCACCATCAGCTCAGCTGAAAGGGTGGCCATTTCCTTTTGAAATTTGCATCTGAAAACCCCAAAGTTTGAGCTGTCAGGGCACATCATTGCCTTGCCACAGAGATGTTCTTCTGTTGCCATTTCTTTGAGCATCACTCTATTTCTCTGATCTTTGTTTTTCTTTCTTCCAGCACATTCTTGACAATGTGAAGGTCTGTGCACTCCAATTCAGGTAGAATACCCCAGTTCTGTCTCAGCAATGCTCTAGTCTCCTGTTGACACTATTGAGGTGCTTACAGTCTATCACCATAATGCCGGTGTGGTTCTGAGTCTCTTTGGCCAAAGCAGAATTTTGCAACATGTTCCTTGTGCTGGGATGCCTGAAACTTTCTCCCCATTAAGGCACATCATCCTCTCTCCTCTATCACTTTTAAGCTACACCTTGACATAGAGTTATGTCTTCTTAAAATACCTTAATTTCAGTAGTTTTTTCGCCATTCATTTTTGGCCCCTGGAAAGCCAGCCGATGGTCTTGAAAGAAAATTTCTTAGATTTAAATAGATATACTTTTGTGTAAGTAACAATTTAAACCAGTTAGAATGAAGTGCCTAAAGTTTTCTTCACACGGAATTAAGCTCTCAATAAATGTTAGTTTGTTTATCTCCTACCTGGTTTAGATACTGTGCTGGCTATTTGTGTGTGTGTTGCTGTTGTTTTTGGTTTATAACTGCTCAGAACTCAGATTGAATTCTATAAGAATGTGCTGCTTACCTGGATTTCTAGCTTGATCCAGGTGTTTTGTATATATTTATATCTTTTTATAGATACCTATAAGTCTGTATCTATCTGTAGATACCTATTTATCTATCTATATATCTACATATATGTATATATATGTCATATGCATTAAGTGAATTTCTCTTATATCTAATGAAGTATTTAATAAATGCTCTTTCATGGTGATTTGAGTCTCAGATTCATCTTCATAGAGGATTTGGTGATAATCTGTAGAAAGCATAATTCTACAGATTATGCTAGTAATCTGTACTACTAGCCCTTGTGCCAGTCTGGTCCAGGTCATCCTCAGAAGATGGTCTGACCTAGGATTTTTGCTTCATGCTTCAGGGCTCATCCAACTAATTTCTGAATGTTATTAGCTTTTCCTTACATATGTGACCAAAATATAATCTTTGGGTAGTGTACTTTTCCCATGAATATCTGTAGATACATAATTGGTTTTTAATAGCATTTATGTAATAGAGTGGCTAAGTGTACTGAGTGAGTTATAATATGTAAAATACCCGAAGAAGTTCTGTACATCTAATAAGGACCATGTCTGCATTTGGACTGTGAAGTCAGACCTCTTACATTCTAGTTCCAGCTCTGCCACTTCCTAGCTGTGCTATCCATAACAATAGAACTACTTCACAAGGTATTGTGAGATTAAATGTAGTAAAGTATTAAAATGCTTCAAATAATGCCCAGCAACAAAAAGCCAGATACGTTAGCAGTATTTTATCAGTAGCGTTAAAATCACTATTCTTAATGAAAGCTTTGCATTTATCTATAGTGTTTGAGTATGATTCCCCTCCCTGATCTTTCATTCCACCCTGACCTCCGGGCTCTCCTGTTAAAGGCCCTCTAACTTTACTCAGGTTGGCTCAGCAAATGCTTTCTAGCTGCCCATTCTTGGCCTTACCTGCCCACGCATGTGTCATGTGATAAGACATCTCTTTTCCTTCATTTCTTTTCTACTGCATCCAAGAACTTCACTTAAAAAAAAAAAAGAAAAAGAAACTTTTTCTTGCTTCCCAAACCTGTTTTTACACAAAAAAGCTTACTTTTGCCCCAAGTACCCCAACAGATGAGCTCATATACTTTCACATGTGACATTATCTCCCCGGACACTGATGAGAGACAGTGAGGAGGGTGGAAGGCAGGTGGATGATATTCTTTGAAAAATGCTGGCTCCAGCTTTATTGCTGAACTGTGGAGCCCATCTCTTATTTTAGGTAGTCTTTAGCTTTTGCTTTAGCCTTACATTTTTTCTGCACTGATTAGCATTCATTGCGACCTGCAACTATTCAAGGGTGGGTGTTTTAAAACTCTCTTGCAGAAAGATAGTTCTTGGAGTTCAAGGAGACAGTGGCTTCCTGATTGTACAGCATAAGAAACTTCCTCTGTAATATCATTAAATACCCTGCCGGCATTACTCTTAGGTCAACTCCTGCACAACATAGTATGAGTTACACTTTCAAGTGTTACCACACTCAATTCTTACAACAGCCATACGTAATATTATTCCTGCTTAATAGATAAATGGAGGGGCACCGTGGCGATTCCTCAAGGATCTAGAACTAGAAATACCATTTGACCCAGCCATCCCATTACTGGGTATATACCCAAAGGATTATAAATCATGCTGCTATAAAGACACATGCACACGTATGTTTCTTCACAATAGCAAAGACTTGGAACCAACCCAAATGTCCATCAATGATAGACTGGATTAAGAAAATGTGGCACATATACAGCCATAAAAAAGGATGAGTTCATGTCTTTTGTAGGGACATGGATGAAGCTGGAAACCATCATTCTTAGCAAACTATCACAAGGACAAAAAACCAAACACTGCATGTTCTCACTCATAGGTGGGAATTGAACAATGAGAACACTTGGACACAGTAAGGGGAACATTATGCACTGGGGCCTGTTGTGGGGTGGGGGGATGGGGGAGGGATAGCATTAGGAGATATACCTAATGTAAATGATGAGTTATTGGGTGCAGCACACCAATATGGCACATGTATACATATGTAACAAACCTGCACATTGTGCACATGTACCCTAGAACTTAAAGTATAAAAAAAAAAGAAAGAAATGGAGGGGCACATTAGAACATCTGTGCAGTCACCACTCTACTCTAGCTGCCTGAAGGCACTGGCCTCTTTACCAGTGTTGGAGACAGTAGAAATATCTCCTTTCCATGACCCCTTACAGACCAACTAAATGGTCAAAATGCTCACCTTCAGCTTCTGGGAAAATACCCCTGTAATCAGCAGCTTGGGAAGAGGCCCAGAACATAGTCATTTTAAAAGTTTCACTTATAAGGAGTTGCTAAGACACGTAATATTAATATCTGTTTTGTTCTCACAGTTACAAGAGAGTTGGAAAATAAATGAGGGTTATTTTTCTCTTTTTTTTTTGTTTTTAACTTTCACAGAGTGACCAAGCTGAGAGTGCCAGAAGTTGGGCATTTTGTGCCCTCAGGGGGAAATTACCACTTTTATGTTTTTGAAAATATAAATTCACTGAGGGAATGGATTGCCTAAAAGGGAATAGGTCTCAGAACACCAGAAAAAGGAGATGTGGTTTGACCCAGAAAGGAGAGAACCGGATTTCCTCACTCCTATTCAAGGTTGGCTACCTTCTAGATACTCCAGGTGGGCATGTTCACATAAATACTTGAAAAAAATCTCTCCACTGCATCCCAGCCAGGGCAAAATGTCCCATGCCCAAGCTTAGCAAGACGTAGGGAGAAACACTTGCCTTCAGAGAGCCTAGAGTGTGTGTATGTATTTATGTGTGAATGTGTGTGTTTGTGTATGAATGTGTGTACCCTGGCTAACAAGCATCTCAAAGACAGTCATGATGGTTTGAAGAAAAGAGTCCTCTTTCACCAATTTAAAGATTGGATATACCCTCTGGCTCTACTGAATAACTCCCTAGAGAGAAGGAGAACTCCCTAAATATAAGAGGATTTCAGAAGGTTCATGGAGAATGTAATTAAAAGATAAAAACCAAAAATGTAAACTTTATTTCTCAACATAAGCTTCATCAATTCAAGACGCTTTTAGAAGCGATGATATCAGTCCATCCCTAAAGAATTGAGGGTCATGGGAATTTCACCATGTCAATAAAGTCTTTTTCACATTATTAACTGCAGAAAAATGGGTGCCTTTTACGGATTCTTTTAGGATTAGAAAACAAAAACAGAAGGTACCAAATCAGGACTGTAAGGGGGATGCTTAATTATTTCTTACTGAGACTCTCACAAAATTGTCCTTGTTTGATGAGAGGAATGAGCAGGAACATTGTCATGGTGGAGAAGGTTTTCCCAGGCATTTTTCTGCTAAATCTTTGGCTAACTTCCTCAAAACACTCTCACAATAAACAGATGTTATTGTTCTTTGGCCCTCCAGAAAGTCAACAAGCAAAATACCTTGAGCATCCCACAGAACTGTTGCCGTAACCTTTGCTCTTGACTGGATCACTTCCATCTGTTGGTAGCCATTACTTTGATTGTGCTTTGTCTTCAGGATTGTTCTAGTAAAGTCACATTTCATCTCCTGTTACAATTCTTTGAAGAAATGGTTAAGAATCTTGATCCCACTTGTTTAAAATTTCCATTGAAAGCTCTGCTCTTTTTATGAAGCTAATCTTGGTGGAATGGTTTTGGCATTAATCAAGTGGAAATTTTGCTCAACTTAAATTTTCCAGTCAGAATTGTGCACACTGAATGAATTGAAATGTCTGTGGTGTTGGCTATTGTTTGTGCTATTTATTGTTGGTCCTCTTCAATTAGGGCACAAACAAGATGCATTTTTTTCTCACAAACTGATGTAGATGGTTTGTCACTGAGGGCTTTATCTTCACCATTGCCTTGTTCTTTGTTAAAACGTCATATCCCTTTGTAATCTGATTTCTTTGGATCATTGTCCTCATAAACTGTGAAGCACCAACAATTTCACCATTCTTCCACCCAAGCTTCCTTATAAACTTGATGTTTACCTCTGCTTTAATTTTAGCAGAATTAATGTTGCTATGATAGGGTCTCTTTCAAAGTGATTTCTTATCCTTCATAGTGCTTCAAACTAAATCCTATTTAGACATGTTATAACAAGTTAGTATGAGTTTATTTTGGTGCAAAAAAATTTGAAATTCATAAATAGTTGTGTCATAATTTTCCATAAACTTTTACAAAGAACATTTGCATGTCTAAGATTCAATTTATTAACTCTCTGATTAGTGAGGGGCTTAGCACAAGAGTAAATTTGATTTAGAACAAATGAAGCAAGGTAACATCTGTTTTATCCCTATTATCCCTTAGACATCTATTTTATCCCTGATATCCCTTAGACATCTATCAATAAAACTTAGCTACTATAACTTGATTTTAGTATTGTATACAGATCCCAATTTAGTTCTGGATGGAATTGAGGGCTGAAAAACTGGAAAATGAAGGAAGAATAGAAGAAATGTTAAGTAAAGTAGTTGGAAAGAAGGAGAGGGATTTAAAATGTTTGGTTAAGGGAGGAAGAGAAGGCTTCATTACAGACTGTGAATTGTGGGTACACCTGTGCAAGGGGGTGACTGTGTGCAATATATGTGTGGGAGTGACTAGACATATTTACAATAGGTGAGAGAAGAAATGGGAAAGGCAATAGGCTTAGCACTATTTTCTAATTTTGGAGCTGCTTGAGAATTTCTGTGGTTGTTGTGGGACAGTTATCTGAATAGCCTTGGACTGACCCACTTCCTTTTCCTTTCTCATTTATAGTTCTCAAGAAAAACTGTAGAATGTGCTGGGAATGCAATGTCTCAATATAAAGAGAAATTGGCTGAAAACACCCTGGGCTTTGTTTCTGTCCTTCCCAGAACAAGACATTTTACACACTGTAGCTCAGCGTGTCACATAATCCTGGGGTATATAACTCAGAGTGGGCTACTTTTCAGGGTCCCTCAGCTGAAGTATGATATGTGGAATGCACAGACAAGATTCCCTCTGCCCCGTGTAGTTTTCCTGAGCCTTGGAAAACTGGCTTGTCTTAAATCATTGGCTTCTACTGTCCCTTGTTGCCTACCTGTGAGTAATAAAGTTATTTCACTCAACTCGTTTTGTGAGTATTCCATCTCACTCATGAAACAGGTAGAAATTACTACCCAAGATGAATGGGCTGAAGGGATAACCAGTGCAACATGAACCTGCTTTGCAGTTGCTTAGGGCCTGACTTTCAAAGTTGTTCATGATCTTAGTTTTTGAGAGACATGACAACTATGCATGCTCATTGACCAACAGCACTGTGCTGCAGCTTTACCAATATCTCTGGGCTCTTGAGGCATAAGAAACAAAGCCAAAGATAACATCTTATTGAGAAGCTGAGTTGACCTTCTTTGGGTTGCATCCCTAATTTACACTTTCTTCCTTGGGAACTGCCCCGAGTCATAGCCGTTGCTGAAGGGATGGGTCTGAGTAGCTGCTTCTTCTGTTTCCCCCTCCTGTCACAATCTATCAGAATAGAGATCAACTCAGTTTGCCAGAGACAAGCCGTATTGTTTGTCTTGCAAGTCTGATGTTAAAGACTCTGAGTGTGTACTCATAGGAAGATGCATGCTTACATGCAGCTACCATGTAGTAATAGGGCTGGGACAGGGTATATTTTCAGCCACATGCTTTCCTGATTAATAAGAAGAGCCCTCAAAGTGACACAGGAGAGGAAAGGAGACAAGAAAAGAGAAGCAGGGAAGAGAGACCAATTGGCTTCAGAGGGAAAGACAGAGAGAAGCAGAGCAGTTGCCTTGGTCACACGACATTTGTGTTCCTAAGTCATCAAAGACCTTTCCTTGCACTTTCCCCATATCCTTCCAATCTCCCTGCTTTATTTGAGCTTAGTTTAAATGAGTGTCTATTCTTTGCAGTCCGCAATTTCTGATAAAGAAGAGAAGCTATCATTTAATGAGGGGGCTTTATAAAAAGGAGATTAACAAAAATGGCTGTCCCTGTCCCAGCCCTCTATAAGAATACAGAAAAAGAACACTTATGAGAGGACCCTCTAATCCTAGGGAAAATAAATGTTTATTAAGCCAAATTTCCGTGTCTGCCATTGTGCTTTACAAATGATTTTTCATTTAATTCTCACAACAATCCTGCAAGGTATGTAATTATTTATCCCCATTTTACAGATAAAGGCAGAGACCCAGAAAAGTCAAGTAATCTTTCACTTTACATGAAAGACCCAGGAATCAAAATCAGATCCTTTTATTCCTTCTAACATACTCTTTCATCTGAATTCATGTAAACTGGGATTTTGAAATTTTTCTTTCCCCATGGTACTGCTTTAAAATTTCACACAGTTTGTTAGCCTTGATAAGTAAAGTACTTTTAGTATTTGTGTCAGCATTGGCCTTTGTGTCCTCACATTTGCTATTTTTGAACTTAGAAATGTTATTCCTGATTCTCTGGGAACTTATGAAAAATTTTTACCTGTGCTTCTACTCTGGGACTTTCAGACTCTGAAGAACTTCTGAAACTGTTGAGAAAGTGTTGTTGAAACCAAAGGGATTCAGAGGATGCTAAAGGAATCTGGATAAATTTAAGAAGAATGCAGGGTAATTATTCTGAAGAGCCCAATAATTCCTGCTAGTGTACTGTTAGCTTAGTAATTTGTGGGAGCCACCTGGTTGGCCGTGATTGTATAATGTAAGAAATTACTGGAAGAATGTTAAGACATTACTTATGAGACTTAAAATTTAGAGGGAAAAAAATATCTTGGAATCTGCCCTGAGGAAGTTCTGAATGGATTCCAGGCACACCATACTGTTCTTTACTGATTGATGTTCTGTTTAGTTAAATCCTGCTGTTTTGCAGTTTCAGTGCCATCCTATAACTTCATAGAAATTCCCTGAGGCAAAATTAGCATCTGTCTCCTATTCCTCATCACCTTAAAGAATTAGTGCTAAGGACTGTGAGAAAATGTTTTAGGAAATTATGAGATGCTTAAATCTGCCCATCAATCAAAACCTTTTCTAATTCCTAAAGAATATTTTAGGATATTTTCAATAAAATTGCAGGTGGCACTTAAACTAATTCAGATAAAATTATAGTACTTAAAATCTATATTGTACATGCTTTTAACCCCTGAAGGATGCTGAACATCTAGGATATCTATGGATTTTGAAATGTATTTTTCAAGGAGAGAATTTGAATTTGAGCTCCTTTGCATGAATGCAAACTCAAAAGTCTGGCTGTTATGAGTTTTGATCATACAACATGAATGGGGAGACCTACTTATTAAAGATAACTGTATGGGATTCCATTAAGGGATGCTCATGAAATGTAGATTTTCAGTTTATTGTAAACCATCCAACAGTTTTTGAGCAGGAACCCCCGTGAGAGAGATCCACTTTCCCATCAGATTTCCATTAAGATCCATTTGCCAGAGCCGCTGTTTGTTACTCTGCTCTTGGAATGTCTTGAGAATCAATCATTCAGTTTTATTTGCCTGAATGTCATGTGATTATAAAAACACATGGTCAAAGGTTTGCGATCAGTCAATCATAACAAACGCTCCTTATATTTGTTTTTGTGTAGCTGTGCATTTCAGTTATTGGAGCAAAACTTGTTGATGCTTGCTTCAGTGGGAGGTGTAAGGACCAAAAATTGGCTTTGTTTGTAATAACTGCAGGCTTTGTCATGATTATTTTTTGCAAGTTTCTTCTAGGGTCATAATCACTTCCATGCTATGTTGTAGTATTAAACTCTCAAAGTTAATGCCATGTAGGTACTGTCACAGACTAAGAGCTGAATGTGCTAGTCTCTCATTCCTAATAATGCTCCAACTCTTCTTCTCTGGGATATAATTAAATAGGAATGGGAATTCTGAAAAAGATTTAAACACTGACATGAAATGTTTGAAAATTGCAACTGGCATTCCTTTTGCAAGAGTCCTAAGACCCACTGGCCTCTGAGACTGAAGACCGAAAGTTTTATCCATTTCTCTTTTTCTGGTTTTATAACTAAAATTGATTCAAACATTTGCCAAATATAATTCAGACTTTCTGGTTACAGGCCAAGTGTTCACACTAAGCATTATGAATTTGCAATGAATTCATAACATTTAGTATTCATGGTAATAACACTGATCATTATGAAAAGATTTAATATTCATGAGGGTTACACTGCTATTTTCTCAGGTGCCATGATAATTTTTAATAATAGTTCAGCATTTCTTAATGGGCAGTTGGCATAATAGAGTGTGATCCAAGAGTCTTGGTTAAAGGATATTAGAAGAAAGAAAGCAGGGCATTAATACAAATTTTAAAACTTGATCTTCCATGAAAACATTTGATCAGTATTATTCTATATTATTAAAAAAAGCTGTCTCTGTTAAATGCCTCTGAAATGTCAAACAAATCTCTCCATTGCGTATTCAAGCTGATGACTGGCACAGTTCACAGTTTAAAAGGGGAGGGAAAACAAAAATATCTGCAAGACCATTTTTCTGAGGGAAAAAGTACTTTTAGTATTTGTTTCAGTGTTGGCCTTTGTGTCCTTAAATTTGCTTTTTACCAGCGCATACACTTCAGAGTATTTTTTTTTCCAGCACGCCATCTGTTTCTTTGCAATTGGGGATGGTTGAATAATTTCCTGAGGAATTGCTGACAAGATGTGTCCCAGGAACAGTAATCCAGCAGGACTAGATTTCTCATTAAAATCGCTAAGCTCAGCTGTGTTATAGCAAGCTCTTGATTTAAGGTGGTCACCCTGGGCCAGCGAAGGTCAGCGGCCACCAGCTACCCATTTTTTTCTAAATATAAGACTGTAACATCTATGTATATACACTGCAAATGATGCCAAGTACAGGATCATTTAGGTTGGAAAGTGTCACTCATCCCAAAGGGATTTTCTTGGGGTCACCTTGGTAGCAGTGATCATCCTCGTTTACCTTCACATAGTACTGCCTCTCATCCCCTGAGGTGAGTGATTTATGGGTGAACATCTCCCACTCATTACACCATTTTAGCTTACACTACTCTACTGCCCCTTTCTTCCCCAGTCCACAGATAAACTGGGATGCATATGTGCTTTTCTGGAACTTTCCATGGTTCTTTTAGCAGAGCCTGACCCTTTTCCCGCGTTGCTCTTGAACTGCTGGCTGATGGCAGGAGGCATCTAGAATTAGCAAGATTCTTAAGCAGGGCAGATTGGAATATGAACTTTAGCTATGTTATCTCACTTAATGTCCATAGCAACCCCATGACTTAGATATTATTATTTTTCTCTTTTTACAGATAAGAAAACTGAGTCTTGGGGCATTTAATAACTTGCCCCCAAACACACAGCTATTTAGTAACAAACCAGGAGTTTGTAACATCTTGCCAGCTTTCATTACCACCTCCAGAGCATGTAGTCTTATAATTCTATATTTCTAGAGTAGTGTGTCCCAGAATGTTGTCAACTGATCACCAAAATCAGATGCAGCAGGAATGACTGTTAAAAATAAAATCCCTGCTCCACACTTCAGACACACTGAATCAGAATCTCTGGGTTGGTGGGTGCCTGGAGTTCTTAACAAGCTCCCCTGGTAATTCTGTTGCACACTAAAATATGAGAACCACTGTCCTACGGAATAATAAATGTTATTTAATTAATTGGTTCATTAAATATTGAACAGTTAAAGTCATTATAAAGCTAAGAGTTGAGCTGGGTGAAATTAAAAGTAAAACTATAAAGCTATGGTGGAGGTGGGGGTGGGGTTGAGGCCCAGAAAAGAGAACCAGGGAGGGACCCTCTTCTGTGGAATAAATCATAGCAAGGTTTTGCCATCAGATTTTGGTACTCAGTAACAATGATGGCCTTAAATGGAATGAATCCTGCTTTACTACCTTGTTTTGCAAGTTTCAGTTGACCCAGTTGTAGGTGGACCCAACCACTCTGCCTGCACTTTTGCTATGGTCTCTCACTTCTCTGGAAGAAAACAGAAAAAGAGGCAGCTTTATGTTTGTACGGACTGTGCTCTGCCTAAGGAGGTCCCCATTTCAGTGAAAGATTCATCATGTCATGTTTCTTCTTACTTTCTCCATAAAAACTTGACTAAATTTGGATGGACACCTCTAAAGAGACACCATGAGTTTCATTTTCCAGCCAGCCATTTTGAGGTAAAAAAAGTTGTTTAGTTTTTATATTATACAATGTCTTGGATTGAACTTGATAAGGTTTGCAAAAGAGAATTGCTGTTGAACTCATCAGTTCTTGATAACAGATTTGAACTGGCTTATGAAAGGAAGAGGAGTATTTGTTTTAAGGGTATAGAGTCGTCACAAGGAGCCCAACAGCGTGAATGCTGACAGGCAGTAGAATGCATTTAGAAACATGAACAGCAGTTCCCAGAACTTTCTCCCTGTCTCAAAGGATTGCTCCATCTCTCTGCATTACTCTTTGCTATTTCTTAGGCTGGTGGAAGGTAGCCACATCACAGGTGCCCATTTCACATCTCCTCTATTTAAAACAAAAGCTCAGATTGTTTCTTAGATCCCACTTCAATTATGGGGGTAAAAAGATCTAATTATTTAGCCTGGGGCAAGTCTCTTGGCCAAGTGGATGCCTGTAGCAGGCAGAGAACCTAGGATGTGGGTGAGGGTCGTACAACTGGCAGGGGAGGAAAAGATTCCTACCTTCCCAGTAAAGAGGGATGGGGAAGATGGTCCAAAAGTTGATCCTTTAAGAAATGAACCAGAACATACCTTGTCAACGCCCTGAATCTTGTTTTCTCTTTGGGTGGGAGACAGGTGAGGTATAGAATTGGAAAAGGAATGCAAGAAACACAGCTTTCCATAGAAAAACCAGAATTTTGCAAATCCTCTGAAATTTGACCTCAGCTTTCTTCTTTGCTCTTGAGGTATCTTCTCCTGAGGGTGACAGTCATCCATCCCGGAGAAAAAATACACAAACAAAAACCATGTTAGTTATTTGAGGTATGGGTTTTATATGTAATGCATCTTGCAATTAAATCCTAATGACATAATATTATGTGCATAACTTTTTATGCATGACTTAATGTCATCATCTTGAAGTAATATTCATCATAAGTATGGGAAGGGTAGTAATGTTTCCAATTTGACATTTAATCAGGTGGTGAAAGTCCACACCTATTTCATCTATAATGACATCTTAACTAGGGATCTTTATGAAGTATTTGTATAACAGAGAAGAAATGACATTTGATGGCAACTTCTCTCAGTCATTTCCATAAATCTTAGCGGCCAATTCTCTTTATAGAACAAAGATGAAAACCAATGTTGTATCATTCCGACAATCCCAGCTGCTGGTCTGAAAATACCAGGACTGATGTATTCCTCAATTGAAGGGAGAAGCAGTGTATTCTAGGATAGTTTTGATGTCTTCAATTAGTAAGTATTTATTGCCTATGGCACAGGTTAAAAAGTGGCGACCTGTGGGCTGGACTTGTCCTGCAAATGTGTGTGCATATGTATATGTATACGTGTCAGGGGCAGGACTATATTTATATCTGTATAGAGAGAGTCTAAAAATGTCTAATTGGTTGCCAACATTTAAAAGTTAGAATATTTCACATAAAAATCCAGATTTCAAGCTTTACTTGAAAAATCAGGAGATGTGGCAGCACTAAGTTTACATATTTACAAGGTAATATTGGTTAGAAATCTGGAGTAGGAAGGGCCCTTTAGACGAAGCACATACTCCCAGTTTGCTACTATTCCCACCACTCCCTACCATTTGTACTTTTGACCAATTATATTCATTTGCATTTGCCATGCTTGTTCCTGTGAACATTTGCATTTTCAATTCTGTATATGTTCATAGCACATTAAGTTAATTTGTACTAGAATGTTCTCTTAAGCTGTGTAAACTTAAAACAAACAAGCTTCTTCTCATTATTAAAAAAAATGGATGGCTTGATAAAAAACAGAGATCTAGCACCAAATAAGATGCAATAGCTTTGTGACATAATTAATTCCAGTTCCTGCTTTATTTCTACACCATGATGTGTGAAAAAAGGAAGCATTGGAGTTAATCAAGTTAACCATTTACGGAGGGAGGCTACCGATGATCCTAGTTGCCTTAGTTCTTGGGCCTTAATCCATGGAGCTGAGTTATCTGCCCTTTATTCAAGTTCATTTATGTGACCATTTCCCCAGATTCATGCCCTCTAAACAGAAGATTTCTTGGCAGGAAGTTGGTTTGAGCCCAAAAGGTGAGAATAAAATTTACTTTTCATTTCTTTCTGTTTCTGTGTTTGGTAGCCTCCAAAATGATTATCATGGTGTAAATCTTTCTTCCTAATGTCTTAGTAGGGCAATGTTGGAAGTTGGTGGAAGGACATACATAGGCAGAGAAGTGAATGAACACATCTGATTTTTAATGTTGGAGGTTTTAGCCATGAAATACTCCTATCCTATCTACTCATCCTGAATCAGTAAATTGCTCATACTCCTGAAATTTGATGAGGGCAACAGCTTAAAACAGACCATTTTACAGATCCCTCAAATAACTTGCTAAATTTCCCCTTGGGCCCAGGCTAATTTAAATCCTACCTTCTCAGTAAAAGAGCCCCTGTTTCTGCCAAAGTAGGCTGAATTCACCCTACTAAATCTCTATTATACTCCATGTTTTACCAGCATTTTCCAAACTGCTATCAACTGAATTGCATCCCCCTCTCTCCACCCCTACAAACTCATATGTTGAAGCCCTTATGCCCAAGGTGACTGTATATGGAGACAGGACTTTTAGGAGTTAATTAGGTTAAATTAGGTCCTAAGGGTGGGGTATTAATCTTGTAAGATTTGTGGCCTTATGAGAAAAGGAAGAGAGAGAGCGAGAGAGAGAGATCTTTCTTTCTCATCATGTAGAGACATAGTGAAAAGACAGCTATCTGCAAGTCAGAAAAAGAGCCCTCACCAGAAACTTACCACACTGGCAACTTACTTTTGAACTTCCAACCTCCAGAACTGTGAGAAAATAAATTGCTTATGGTGAATCCACCCAGTCTATGGTATTTTGTTATGGTAGCCCACGAAGCCTAAGACACAAACCATGTCCTAAAAAATATTGTAGCCCAGCAGATGGTAATAAGTGTTGCAATATGAGGGGAAGGTTGGAATGATCAAGTAATTTTGGAAGTACTGAATTAATTTAAATAGGATTCTTTATCACATGACTTCTCAAAACCTTTAATTGTTAATGTACATTTATAAATCTCTAAAGGGAGATATTTTACGCAGGGTTTTCTAAACTTATTTAACCATAGAACACGTTTCTGGAGAAACACATTTTAATATCTTGAGCAAAACTAATGTTCTATGAAGCACGATTTAGAAAATGCATATCTATTAATCTAAAAATTATTTTAAAACTGCTTTATGGTATCTTTTATTCTGTTGGATTGTTACTTTACTTATTTGTTTGTTTTCCATCAACAAAAATTTAATTAGGACCTTCTGAGTGTCAAGTGCTATGCTATTTGATCTCCCAACTTCATGCAATTTAATCATCCTAACCACCCCATGATCATGATTTTACAGATTATGAGACTGAGGCTCAAATTAATTGGCTCAAAATAATCATTAGCAGAGAATATGAGTTGGTCTGATTTTATAGTCTATGCTTTTTTTCCCTGATCTCCCCCAAATCCACACAGAGAGGGCTATTGAGATTGAGAAGTTCAGTAATCTGTACAGCACCTCACAGTTAATAGAGTGATGGTCTTGATTTGAAAACCTGGCTTATTAGACTCCAAAGCCTCTGCTCTTTCCACTAGAACATGTATATTCTAGGCCAGGGGATCTTCATGAGCCAAGCCATAGAGGAGGACAGGCACAGCATACATTTAGGAAACAGCACATTTAGCTGAAACACAGTTTGTAGAGAGTGGAAGGGTGTCAGGTGCAACTGAGAAGGTATGCTGGGGAGGGATTGCGAATTTTTTGACACTATATGTATTAGTTAGCTTTTGCTGCAGCAATAAGCAACTACAAAGTTACAGTAACTTACTACAAGAGATATTTATTTATTGCTCATGTTACATAAGGCACTCAGGCTTTTGCTGGCTCTTGCTGGGCTTGACTTGGTTTGATTTGTCTCAGCTTGACTCGGTTTCACGTGCCTTCTCATTCCCAGACCCAAGCTAAAGGAAGAGCCAACATATGGGATGTGTTGTTTTCGTGGTAGGGGCTTAAGCTTCAGGGTGCAAGCAATGCCTCTTAAACTCTCTGTTTTGAAGTGTCACACTCTCTTTCATCCACATTCTTCTGCTCAAAGCAAGCCACATGACCAAGTTGAGTGTAGCATTGTGTATTTTTTTTCTCATTCTACCAGGTGGGACTGAAAATCAGATGGCTAAGGGTGCAGATGCATTTTTTTTTAATAGAAAAGGAGTGAAGAATTGAAATGATAATCCACTCCATCATACTGTGCTACAAAGTTTGGACTTTATATAGAAAATGAAGAGTTACCAAAGGTATGTAAAGATGTTGATATTTCTTCTTTCTCCTTCTAGATTAAAAAGCAAGAAGTGAAGTTTGATTCTATTTTTATTTCATAAGACTTTTTACACCACCATGCATGTACTAGGAACCCAGTTAATGTCCCTTTCCAACTCCATAAATATAATGTAAAAATAAGTTAACCACCACAGAGTTTTTCAGTTTTGGCCTCATAAGAGTTAAACCTTCACCTTAAATCTGAACGTTGTCACTGATAGACAGCTCTTGACACATTTATTGGAAAGCAGAAATAATTCTTTTTGGTCTGGAAAAGTGGGTGTGGGCTGTATATGTGAGAAAGAGTTATGTTGGATAGACCAATTGTTTCCCATCCCAGACTGTGGTGTGTAGGTAAACTTTTGTGGCAGAGTGAGACTCTCTGTTCCCTTATCACTTTTGTTTCTCCCCATACTCACATTGCTATGAAGAGTTTTTTAAACCCATCTCAATATTACTGAGAGAGAAATTGAATTATCTTACATGAACTCCAGTCTAAAGAATATCCATTTCCAGCCTTGCCTTACCAGCAGGAGGGGAAAGGAACCTGCTTCTATGTCCTTGGACAGAAAGACAGCAGTAGAATAAACCAGAAGTTTAGGTTTAAAGCTGAGAGGTAGAAAAGGAGGGAAAGAGATCAAGAAGAGGAGACATCTAGATACCATGTAAGGTGCATGTAATAAGAACACAAAATTAATGTTTCACATTAGTTTTTAGATTCTGAATTGATTTTCAATTAGTCAAAAGTAGAGTGGTAGGATTGTTTCTGATGGTTTTGTTGTTGCATGCTTTTCAAGACATCGCTCTGCAAACTGTCAGGATTATGCTATCTAGATTTTTGACCATAACTCCATGGGTGAGAAAGGAGACAAGAGGGAAAAGGGAATGAGGAGCTTTGCTTCAGGGTGTGCAAGGCAGTAAAAATTTGCCAGGTCAATCTAGACCAGTGATTGGGAACCTCTGGAATAAGCAATCTCCAAGGGAAAGGACTTGTCTCAATGGCTTGGCTGTCAAATTGTTAGCCTTCTCGTGTTGATCTGTACTAAACACTCATGCATTTCTCCACTGAGACGGCAAGAACTGAGATTTTAATAGCCTTTTGTGTCTTAGTGTCTTCTGTTGGCTATGTCACTGGGGACTCTTTACTATTGTTAGTTAAAAGCTTGATAACTGTGTTCTGTTACAATATAATTAAATATTTGATTAATTGCTGCAGTTTTATTCCATGGAGTATGCAGTTTTCCTGAATCAAAGAGTTTGTCTCAGCACAGTGTCAAAAAACACAAAGATTTAAAGCTCATCCAACCATCAATTCAGAGCTAATACAGGGACCTTGACTCTCAAGGCTGCTGAATGGTAGGATTAAACAAACATTTTTAAAAGGGGGACTGTTCCTGCTACTGAACAAGAATGATAATAAAGTGGGATAAATATAGAAGAATGCAAACTTACATTTTTATATCTGAAATGTGTGCTCTGGCTCCCTGGTTTGGATCTTCCCTATTAATACAGGAAAAATGAAATCTAATCTATGAGAGAGAGATCAAGGTGTTGAATAAACTGAGATGTGAAGAAAGTGTTTCCCGAGTCACCAAACATTTACTGATCACCTTTCGTGTACCAAATACCTAAAGCAGTAAGATTGCTTTCAAAGTGCTCATGTTCCATTAGGGAATACAGATCTTTGTGAAATACATTACAGATAGATAAATACTAATAAGTGCACAAACAGAGATAGTGTGGTGAATGTGGTGGGGCAAGACAAGAGTGAGAAAGAAAATCAGAAAAATAAATTCTAAAATAACTGACTTTTTAAAAAGGGTCTCTAAAGAAAAGCTAAATGAATGGAGTGAGAAGAAGGAAAGCAGTATGGGTAACTCAATATCAACTTTACATGCATGCCACTGTGAGTGGAAATCATCTAAAATATGAAAGACCTGGATTGGAGTAACTGGTCTGTTGCAGTTCTCGCTCTATGTGATTGTCAGTGTCCTCCCTTATAAAATTATGACAGAGTTGGCAACTTAAATCCATGCTTTCTTCCATAGTGTGGATTTGTTTCTGGGAAGCTGCTGTTCAACTACATTTATCCTTCCCTGCAGCTTAGCCAAGGCCACGTGACTATTTCTGGCCAATGGGATGTGGAGGTTGGCTATCTGATGTGCCTTCCCCTGCTCTTCTCTCTTGCTATGTTGGTATTGAAGATGGTGATGTCACAAGGGCATCTGAGAGCTGCCTGGATTTTGCAGACTCCACATCAACAAAAATCAAACTTCTATTGTTCTGAGTCACTGAGCTTTTCGGGTTATGAATTGTAGCAGTTAGCCTAACAGGAGCAGTATAAAAATGCAAATAATAGCTATTCTACATTTCATATGGTTGTTGAGAGCCTCAAACATAACAAATGGGAAAGACATTGTAAAATTTTAAAGACTAGACAAATGTTAGGGATTGTGGTTGGAAAGAAAATCAAAATGTACCAATTGAAAATTCATATCGAGTTTAATAAGAAATGTAATTGGATCAATTGAAAACATGTTTTCGGTGATTACTCTTGTGTTATATGCTGTTATGAAAACACCTTTAAATTTTAACTGAAGGCCTTTTGTTTTGAGTGATTCTTAATGCTATAAGTTTAATAAATACATACTTTTGAACATAAAATTCTATGATATCTGATCTGGGTTCTTTTGGTTCACTGTTTAACAAAATATAGATAGATTGTCTCGAGGGAGATGCAACTTGAATTTGGAAATAAAGAGCAGGAAAAGACTAAGTAAGGAGGATTTATAGGGAAAAATGGCGAATTAGTCAGAAATCTTTCAGGTACAAGTGACAGGATCTTGACATGAAGTGGCTGAAGCCAAAGGAGGACTTTATTGATATGACATAACTGCAAGAATGGCAAGGCTGTGGCTGGGGCTCAGCAAAAGACTAAAATTCCATTAGGTTCCCTCTAATTCCCCATTTCAGCTTCCCTCTGCAGGTTATATCATGCCTTTATTGGACATTGCTTTTTCTCTTCATGGTTGTTGACAGTTCCCTGGTTCCCTATCCTAAACCTTCAGTTACCAAGGTAGGCGTTACCTGCAATCTGTTCTCTTTCAAGTCCTAATATTCTATGGAAGGGATTTACTGGGTTATTTGAGTTACGCGCCCACTCCTGAAGAGGATGAAGTCACTAACATGGCTGCTTCCAGGTTAATCATGTGTATGAGGCAAGAATTTACTGGGAAGAAATCTCACAGGCAAATTTAGCAGCAAAGAGAATTTCTAATGCAAAATCGTCAATTAAAAATTACTGTAAAAATACTATTCTAGACTGTTAAAGGACTGTAATAAATGAACAGACACTACTGTTCTCTGGGAACTTAAAATCTGCTGTTCTCTGGGAACTTAGAATCCACAGTGGAGATAAGACAAATAGACTTATAAAATGTTTATTTATAATGTAATTTGAGTGCACAAGGCAGATCTTTGTTTACTTTCCTTTAACATACATGATTTCTATTATGATTGAAAAGTCTTGATTCTTGGACAATATACAGACTTGTGACTCATATATTTTGGGATTCTCACCAACTTTAAGATTCTAAAGAAAGTTTCCCAGCTTAGTATTTTCATATAACTAATTTCAGCCACACTTTGTAAAAATATACATATGAGGTTTCTTAAAAAAAATTTTTTTTATCTCCACTGCTGAGATCACAAAAAGGGAATTTGTGTCTTGGCAACAGAAACTTATTATAAGAGATAATAATGTTTGACTTTGATTCTATGAATCAGAATGTTGGTATGGATTTAACTGGATTTTTCTAAAAGCATGCTAAAGTCAACATTTGCATGGTCAGAATTTGAGTAAATTTGCCTACATTCTGAGACATCTGATTAAGGAATCTTTAATCTTGTCTTTTGTTGTCTTACTGTCAGCATTTGCTATTACTTTCAACAAAATTTAATACCACCTAGGTTTGAGGTGGGATGGAGGAGGATTGTGTTTAAGAAAGGGAAGGCTCAAAAGGATTTGCTTTCAAGGAACATTGAAGAGAGTATTTTAGATGATGACTGTGGGTAGCCATAGATTCAATCTGCTTAGGGCATAGACACAGATGATGCTTTCAAACTGTTTTCAAGGATTCATTGCATGAATTGGCAATGGTGTTGAATTCCAGGGTAATCTTTTAATCATTCCAAGTTCAGGTGTTATTTTTCTTCCTCATAGTTACCAACAAAAAGAAAAAGCAAGATGTAAGACATGAACACACTGGTCTCACCTCTTCACTCTTTGTACACTCAATGTTCATACTCTGGCACTTCCTAGATATGTAAACAGGACTTTTGGAATGTGATCTAAGAATCAGCAAAGAGTCTTCCATTTCCCAGTATGTACCCTGCCTAGATGCACCCAAAGGCTTCATCATCAAACTCATTCAAGTTGGTTAACTCAGTGTCCATCTGGGATACTTTGTTAAACTGCAGAGGTCAACGGGGTTGAGCAAATCTGGAGAGGCATTTAATGGAGTCCAAGAGACAACATATTTATAATTTGTGCTGTTCTATAAAATGTGATATAGTCTACTCTTCTACAAAAAATGGAATAATACTATGCTTACTTGTTTGTAATTATTTTTTCTTTTGAGACAGGGTCTGTATCTGTTGACTGGCACAATCACAATTCACTGCAGTCTCGACCTCCTGGGCTCAAGTGATCCTTCTGCCTGTGACTACCTCATAATTAGAGTGTATTTTACTATTTTGATAATTCTCCTATTGTAGAAAATTTAGGTCATTTCTAAATTTTTACTCATATAAACAGTGCTTCCCAAACTTTATCACTATATCTTCAATTACCTCTTGGATATTGACTAAAATTTTTTTCCTAGAAATATAATTAATGAGCCAAAGGACATATCTTTAAACATTTTATTTTTCATATGTGCTGCTCAGTTGCCCTCAAGAAATATTGTATGGGCTTAGACTCCTAATATTCATGTGAGGGGCCTAATTATCAGCAACTTTTTAGAAATCTCAGTGTTAAGTTTATTTTAAACACTGACCATTTTATACCTAAAACATTCTATAGCATTTTGGTTTAATTTTTATTTACACTATATGAGATTAAATATTTTTCATGCTTATTAGACATTTATGTTTGTTTATTTGTGAATTATGTATATACCCTGTGCTTGTTTTAATCTTAGGGTGTTTGCATTAAAAAACTGATTTGTAAAGACTATTTATCTATTAAAGATAATAGTTTCCATAGTTATATAACATGTATTCTAACATGCAGATTTGTAAATATATACTTTTTATATGGTTATGTTTATTCTTTCTTTCATGGTTTCCCTTTTTGGTGTTATGCTAATAAAGATTTTCATAATGCTACATTATACACACAGATACAGAAATTTTTTATTTCTAGTATATATTGCAATTTACTACATCATTTTGAAGATGTTATTCAATTGTCTTCTAATTTTCGTTATTATTTTTGAGATATTAGCTGTAAATCTTATTAGGATTTCCTTTTAGGTAATGTGCATTTTATTCTGGTTTCTTCAAAGATTTTCTCTTTGTCATTGGGTTCTAGTAGTTTTACTACAATAAGCCTATGTGTGTTTTTCTTTGCATTTATCCTCATTATGTATTTGTGTCTTGATATCTTTGATGATAGGAACCACTGATTAAGACAATCAGATCTGAATTCCCTTCCAATCAAGCTTTTTCTTTGTGCAATAATATGGAAGTAATCTTTCTAGGCCTGTCTATCACGGAGCTAGATGGGACTGGGCTTTTGAGAATGGAGAGTGAATGAGTTGGTTTGTGATTTTATGCCTGTGAATGTGAACACTGGACTCTGTATAAATAATGTTGTATGTTTATGCTGGTAATGGGAACAGTATAGGAGAGAGGGAGAAAGAAACTGTCTGTTGTGCAGATGAAAGTGTGTTTCACTTGGGATTTTTTTGATTATCCAAGACATCATAAACCTATTAAAAAAGAATTTGTTGGCTCTGGTAACTTAATATTCAGTTGTAGATTTAGCTTCAATCTCTGTTGGCTGCAGGGATCCAAATGATGTAATCAGGCCCTGGTTCTCTTTCAAAGTCTGTCAGCTAGCTATTCTTCTCTCTATTGGAGTTATTCTCAGATAAGTAGTCTGTTGTGTTAAAAATATTACCTCTACCAACTTTAACTTAATTATTTTAGATTCAAGTCTCATGAGAAAGAACACTTCCCTTAGTGTCAGAGTTGCAGCAAAATTGTGTCTTATTTGCTCTGATTTGGCCTTTTGGTCATCCTTGAACAATTATTATGGCCAGAGAAAGGAAATGCCCTGATTGGCTAGACTAGTGTCACATGGTCACTCTATCCTAGGTCTGAAGACGGGAGTTAAGTCAATATGAAGTTTGCTAGTTGATAATGGGTGAAGGGGTTATTTGTTAGAAGAGAATTGGGGTTCTGTGGTGACCTAGCCTCCATTTCTTCATCCTTTGGCCTTTTGAGACTTTTATAATTACAGTATTTTATGATGCAGAACAGTCTTTTTTTTTTTTTTTTTGTTGAGTGGCTATCTGGAATTGTTATATGCTTCTGAAATACTTGAATATACTCATGTCCTATATCGATGTTTGTAGTTCCTCATTCAAATCATCTGCAATAGTTTTATAGCTAGAGGCAGATTCAATGGTTTTGGACTCTGGATACACATTAGAAATACCTGGAGAACATTTATGAGGAGATTACTGGCTTTTCTGTAGATATTCTGATGTAAGTCATCTAAAGTGAGACCAGGGCATTGAAGATTCACTGTAAAATCAGGATGAGAACCATAGGTTAACAAATTCTGGAGCAAATCAACTATAGAATTTCTTGGGAGGTAGGTGGATTTTACTTCCTGAAGTGTTTGATAGTTTCCTTTAGCCATTATATGTTGACATCCTTTATTTCAATGCTGTTTGATTTTGAGTTAAGACTCATTGCTAGACATGCTGGGTTAGCAAAGGGGATGATGAGAATGAAGGTGGGAATGGCAGGAGAGTAGATACAGCTATAAGTGAGATGCTTTTCCTTAAAGACCTCTGAGAAGCCACAATAAAAATAGCCCACCTTGAAAATCTACTTGGTGAAACACTCATTTACTGATATCTAGGCAGAGGGCACATGGCGGATGTTTTCCTTCGATTCTTAGCTGCCTGCCATTAACTGTTTCTTTCTAGCTGGGGGACTTCAAAAGACAACATAGCACTTGTATGTATATCCAGCTGTCCCATGCTGTGGACTTCGGTTTTAACCAGGTTCCTTTCAAGCCCTATTTTCAGTTTCTACAAGTGGCTTAGAAGAGAGGTGTTTCTAATGGACCATTTCAAATAAATAGATAGACTCAGAAAAATAGTGACCCAGAGGGTGCCTGGATAGTGTCTACTTCCTAGCTACATAAGACATTTCAGCATAAGCATCATGGGCACTAAATGTTTGCAAAGGTTCGAACACTGTTTCCAAATAATAATGAATGAAAATCTTGTACTTTCTTTTTTACCTTTAATTCTATATTATTTTTTCCTTTGCCTTAAATTCATAGCCAATTACAGTAACAGAGGTGAATATTTTCGTGAGATCTCAGATGCCAATATCCAGAAGTACGCGGCTGGCTCCAGTATTTTTGAAAACGTAAGAACTGTTCTCTTAACATTTATTTATTTATTTATTTATTTATTTATTTATTTATTTATTTATTTTGAGATGGAGTTTCGCTCTTGTTGCCCACGCTGGAGCGCAATGGCGCGGTCTCGGCTCACCGCAACCTCCGCCTCCCGGATTCAAGCGATTCTCTTGCCTCAGCCTCCCGAGTAGCTGGGATTACAGCCATGTGCCACCACACCCGGCTAATTTTGTATTTTTAGTAGAGATGGGGTTTCTCCATGTTGGCCAGGCTGGTCTTGAGCTCCCAGCCTGAGATGATCCGCCTGCCTCGGCCTCCCAAAGTGCTGGGATTACAGGCGTGAGCCACTGCGCCCGGCCAACATTTATTTATGTGTTAATTTTTGCCGGAGAGCCAAGAGTTTGCCTTTGCCTTGCCAGTCTTCATGTCTGTAGATTGAGGTGGAGATAGGGACCTATTGGAGTTGTTGGTCTTCAGTCTACTGTCCTCCAACCAACCTCTCTCTTTTCAGCCTGTTTCTCCTTCTTGTCCATAGGCTCACAACGTTTTATCCTGGAGCCTGTTTAGTTCTATTGGCTCCCTGGCTGCCATTAGCCTTATATTCCCTTTGGTAGATTCTGGACTGTGGATTATTACACTGTTTTATCCATCAGCATATTTACATCTGCTTTCCAATTCCAGAAATGTGAAGAATTGCCTTTTTCTCCCATTGTCTGTGTTCTTATGCTTATAGTCCTTTTTTGGTGGGCTTTTTGATGGAAAGGGAGGGGAATACCTGGTTTCCCAACCTGTACCTGTAAGTTCTTTGTTTTTGTTTTTGTTTTTTCCTTTTTTTTTTTAACCATATCATGTGTGATATGGTTCTTCATTCACTTAATGAAACACACCATAATAGTGCTTTTGGAAGTAAATGTACTCAAATCTGTTAGTTTTACACATAAGGATATGGATGAGCGACAGCATTATTCATGTGGAGGAAGGAAAAATGAAGCTTAATGTTGCTTCTACTGCCAAAGTCTACTATGAGACTTTGGAAAACAATTTAAAAACCAAATAGGTGAGAGCTTTTATAATGTAATTTGTAACATTTTATAAGGATGACAAATGTCCTAGAATTAAAAGAATGAACCTTTTGGGCAGACTATAGGACATTCATCTAAGAATAAATTACTTTGGAACTTCTGTTCCTTCTTTAATATTTGTAAGCAGTTTTTACCCAAGGCATAATGCCAAGCAGTTTCAAAAGTATAAATTATTACCCGTAGCTCACACCATTTTATCCTTTTTTTCTATTTAATTAAATGTGCCTCTCATCTCTCTATCAAGAGGAATAAAACTCAATTGTGATGTATTTAGTCCTTTCTAGTTTATCTTTCTGGTACTTTTAAAAGGTAGCTCCATGCCATATGCTATGCACCAGAATGGCTGTAAATAATCATAAAATTAAATGCCAGAATTTACCACTACATGTGGTTTCTCATTAAGGTTTGATGTGGCTTCTCTAAACTGAAAATGGTTGAAGGGTTGATTCCTTGTATTATCAAGCTGTTTTCTGAGCTTTCTTGCTGGCCCACCTACCTGGATATATAATTAACTTCAGCTCTGGAAGGCTTCTGATAGATTTGGGCTACATCTTTGGGAAAATAAGAGGTTATTCTCTGAAACACATATGTGCTTCAGAATAGCAACTCCAAAGTATCTTCAGTGGCTGTTCCCTAATATGATGGCAACCATATGTTCTGGATATTCCCTACCAATACTATGTCATGTACCCTGATCTGGGGTTTGGAAAATACAGCCAATACCATATGTAACACTAAGTAGGGAGAATAGATCAGGCTGCTATTGCTAATGAGCTAAATGTTATTTTAAGACAAAGCCCAAACTAACCCAGACTATATCAGTCATTATTTTAGATTCATTACTTTAATTTTCTTCTTTAAATAATACTGTATTCTAGAGAATTAAAAATTTTCATAATGAGAAACCATGGCTCTATGATAACAAATCCATTTAGGGAAGAGATTATAGACAGTAAAATCAATAGAGATTAGATTATTCATATTTTTAGCTCAGTTGTTTTGATATTCTTCTTTAGATATTGTGCTATAGAGAATTAGGAATTTCCAAATATAAATGACAATGGTCCTATGCTCACAAGTCAATTTAGAGAAAAGATTATATAAATTAAACTTAAGTTTTTCTGTGTGTGTGTGTGTGTGTGAGTGTGTGTGTTTCTGTCATGATGGCAACAAGTAAACATTAACTCCACTAAACAGTGTTTTAATATTTCCTTATCTTCCAATGGACTGTGTTTCATTCTATCATCAGTAATGATCAGGGTAATTATTTCAATAAACATTAGTTTTGAATGCCATTTATTGTGCAAGGTAGTGTCCTGGGGACTGAGGACATCCTAAAATAGATGTCTTAACTTTTGTTGCAAAGCAGCTAAGACTAGTGCCTAGAGAAGAGTCAGCTTCTTCTCCAGCCACAGTGGTTCAGTGTTATAAGCCAGACAGATATATGCTTGTCACTTATCAGATGTGAGACTTGAGCAGGTTAAATAACTTCCGGTGAGCCTCGGTTTTCTCATTTGCAAACTGGGGCACATAAGACCTTCCCTACAGGTGGTTGCATAGGATAAATGAGGTGATATTAGTAAAGTGCTCAGCACAGTTTCTGGTACACTGTAATTCAGCAAATATTGGCAAAAGTAGTCATTACTGTTATAATAATATAGTTTCTATTAAAATTGGTTGATGATATATGTCAATATCTGGCAGTGCTTTCATTCGGCAGACGGGATAGGAAGTATTTGCCTTGGTTTTATCAATATTATGTCAGAATAAGAGTGGAGGTGAAGTATGGCAAGAATAACAAAACTGTGTCTCTGTTCCCTAATGGTTGGCTTCACCAATTCCTATATACTCTATCCCTGTTCATTTTTCCTGGTTTTTCTCCTATTTTTGCCCATGCCCAGAGGTCTCCACTTGTTAATATTCTACCCAGCTTCCTAGAGTGCTGAGCAATTTCTCTGCTTGATGGTGGGTCTGGTCTTATCCTAGCATCAAACATAAATTCAGCCACCAGAGCCAAGAATAGAGAAAGACAGAAAAATAGTTTTTTCTTGATTTTTGAATTCGTTACATAAGCAGCTTTACGATGTAATACATTTTTAACATGCCCATTTAATTGGTTTTATTGATATAGCTAAAATCAAATGAAATAGGGTCTATACTGGAACATCTTGGTTGCTGCAAGTAGGGGGGCTGTCTATAAAATGCATTACTGTAATGCAAAATAAAGAACCCACATAAGAAAGGAAGGTGAAGTGCCAGGGAGCTCATAGAACATTCAATCATCTTTAGAAAAAAATGTGTTCCTATTTCAACAGAATCAAATATCCAAAGTGATGATCAGAAGAAAGAATGACCATATACTTATTCTCTGTGTTTATTTCTTTTGAGAGACTCATGAGGTCTTTGCTGGAGAAGATCTTACAGACCATCTAGTCTGTAGTGTTTCCCAACATTTTTGTTTTAAGACTGTAGCAGCCCTTGTTGAAGTGAAGTCCTCCGTACAGCTTGCATTTGAAATAGAGAATAACTAACCCGTACGGGAGTGGAGGCAGAGCTCCTAGAGCTCTGGTTTTCCACCTCTACTCCATTCACAATCTCTGCTTGCACCAAGGTGTTAGCTCAGGGTTCTTGAAGGTTTTAAGAACCATGGACTATGGTAATCTCATAGAATCCTTTATTTTATATAAAAAACTGAGACCTACAGAAAGAAAATTTTATGTTTAAAATCATTAACTTGGTTGGGCATGGTGGCTCACCCCTGTAATCCTAGCACTTTGGGAGGCTGAAGTGGGAGGATCACTTAAACTCAGGAGTTCAAGTACAGCCTGCACAACACAGCAAGACCTCATTTTTACTTAAAAAAAAATAATCTGGGGGTGGTGGTGCACACCTGTAGTTCCCAACTACTCAGGAGGCTGAGGTGGGAGGATCACTTGAGACCTACAGCCTGGGTGACAGAGTGAGACCCTGTCTCAAAAATAAATAAATAAACATAAAATCACAAGCTAATTACTGTCAAAACAGGTAATAGAACCTAGGTCTCCTAACATCCAATCCATTGTACTTCACTTACAATATGGTATCTCCTCATTTAGCCTGTTTATTTCCTTCAGTAGTCTCAGTAAAGAGAAAACAAGGAAGTACAACCACCCATAAAGGATATTACTGCTGTTACTGCTACTACTACTTCAGCTATTACTATTTTTACAGAATGGAAAAAGAAAAACAAATAAATACATCCATGATGAAAATGTTAATATAATCCGTATATACAACTGGACACGATGTGCTTCTCTCTTCATAAGCACATATTTTTCAATAGACCATATTCTGATTGTATTTGAGGAGATACCAAATACAGAAGAAATTCTCCAGCTAATGAAGATGATTAACTGCGTTTGTTCTTTTTAATATAAGGTTGATTTTCAGTAACTTACAAATGAATCATTTCATGCTTTTCTATCTGAAATTGATTATGTGGTCCTTGAAAGAGAGTGACAACAAAGAAATGAAAATGCTTTTCCAGGCACTTAAACCACATCTGAGAATTGGGCAATGAAAAGAAGACATCATTGGATACTATATCTGACCTTTGCTTTTGCTACCAGCAACATAAAGTAATACCATTTACTGCACAGGCAAGTAACAGATTCTGTTGACTGATAGGCTTTTACATGTGCTTGTCAGTGTATTAGTTTTCTATTACTGCATAACAAATTACGAAAAGCTTTGTGGCTTATAGCAACAAATTAATTTTCTCACAGTTTCTGTGGGTCAGGATTCTAGATACCAGTTAGATGGGTGTCCTGTTCAGACTGTCACCACGCTGAAATCAAGTTGTCAGCCAAGACTTGAAGTCTGCTTGCAAGCTCACTAGTTGTTGGCTGATTCATTTCTGTGTGTTTGTATGACTGAGGCTCCTGTTTTTTTGCTAGCTGTTGGCTGGGGACTGCTCTCTGTTCCTAGAGACCACTCTCTTCTAACAACATGGACGTTTTCTTTAAGGCTAGCAGGAGAATGTCCCTCTGACATTCCACCTTCTTTTATAGAATGCTCTGATTAGGTCAGGCCCACCCAGAATAGTCTCCCTTTTGATTAACTCAGTCAGCTGATCAGTTACTGAATTATGGATGTGATATCTCATTACATTCACAGGTTCTCTCCATACCTAAGAGGAGGCAGGGGTTTATTCAGGGCTTGTACAGCAGGGAGCTGTAATCTTGGGGACCAGTTTAGAGTACTGCCTACCACATTTGGATTTTTCTAATTTATGGCCAAGGTAACTGAACATCAGGCAAAATTTTCATTTAAACCAAATTTGTATCTTTTTAGCCCAAAGGAATAAATTTCCAAAAATATTTGGTTGTTGGGGGAAAGTCGCATGGAGGAAGGAAAGAAGTGAGGAGGGCCCTTTCCAAACTAAGAAATATTACTTAGAAATAAAAAGTTTATGCTTCAACAGATTTCTCAAAAACAGGGAACTCAGTATTTTAGCATGAAAATGTTTTTCCTAGGAGTTATAGTTGTCATTAAAATTCTTAAAAACAAACAAAAGAAATCCTCTAGATTCAAGTTCCATGGTTTTTTTTTTTTTTTTTTTTTTTGAGATGGAGTCTCGCTTTGTCACCCAGGCTGGAATGCAGTGGCGTGATCTCAACTCATTGCAACCTCTGCCTCCTGGGTCCAAGCAATTCTCTGCCTCAGCCTCCCAAGTAGCTTACAGATGCCCACCACCATGCCCGGCTAATTTTTGTATTTTTAGTAGAGACGGGGTTTCACCATCTTGGCTAGGCTGGTCTTGAACTCCTGACCTCATGATCCATCTGCCTCGGCCTCCCAAAGTGCTGGGATTACAGGCATGAGCCACCGTGCCTGGCCTCCATGGTTTTACTGTATCCATGAACATAGCTCAGATCTTGTTACCAACTTATAGGGATACAAACCTAAGAAGCTTAATAACTTTATGACTAAACATTCTGAGTTATAATAAGGTAGGGGTGGGCACTATTTTAGCAAGTGTGAGGTATCTATTAAATAAAGAATAGTTTATGGTCAAAATAATTTTTGCTTTGTTCCACACAAAAATCATGTAATTTCTCACAATTTTCTCTTTGATTTAATTTGATGAAGAATTCTTTCCACCTGATTTCAAGTTCTTTTAGAGTTTCAGGTTGAATTCTTTATAAACTCTTTCAGACTTTACCATAAGTCAAAACCATCTCAGTGGGACTTCTGGAGCTGACTCCATTTCAGTAGAAGTTTGCAAGCTTCTGTCTATTGGGGTTAAGTTCAGATTGGTTAGAAATTCTGAAACTGTGGTTTTGGTTTCAGGAAGGAGTGCTAGCATTTGGTTTGGTTGTTCTACAAATGCCTTTGGGCTCTAGTTTGCGGCCTAGTGTTTCAATGGAAGACAATACATGAGGAATTTGATTCTACCTATAATTCGGCCATTCTTTGTGACTCTCATCACACCTTAGTACTTAGTACTTAGAGTACATAGTATTTCAGACCAGTTGCTGAATGTGGTTCCCCATTTCAGTACTTTCAGCCCCCAAAGCCTCCCAGATAGATGAAAAAATGGAAAACTTGAAGTACAAATGAGAATTATTCCTCTGTGTTAATATTATTGCCCTTCCTCTACTCATGCTTCCTTTCCTTCCTTCCTCTTTCTCTGTCTCACACTCTGTCTCTCTCTATTCATCCCCCAAACTACTTTGAAAACAATAATCGCAGACAAAGAATAGAGAAAAGAAGGAACCTACTCATTCTCAAGTATCTAGGGTTGGACAGAGCCACAGATAAAATTTGTGGTCCCTGGTCCCTAAGTCCTTAGAGCTCTGCTGAGACAAATATCAAAGACAACAGCTGTGCAGCAGTTTCTCAGAGGAGTCAAAATTTGGCTACATCTTTAGGGATTCAGATCCTTGTCTAAAGAAGATTTTCCGGCCCTTAAAATTGAAGAAGTTATGACATATTACTGAAGATGTGTTCCCTCCTCCACCCCCAACCCTGCTTCCTTTCTTTCCTTTCTTCCTTGGTGGTGGTAAATATTTTATCACTGTGAAAATAACTTAGGTGATGGATGATTCTAAAAGGCATTTCACCCACCCTTACAATGATGTAGTCAGGCCCAGTTGTTTAATGATTATGCCTCATGGTTAAATTGTTTCAATGACATTTGCATTGCTTTCTATAGATAAAATACTTATTTTCAACAGGTAAATACCTAGGATGAATTAGCCCTGACTGTACTGCTCTTGGTATTAGTGAGCTGGTTTTTAAACTGGCCAATACATGGTCACCTAGGACATTCAACCTTAGTATGAGCAATGTGTTAAGCGACTCTGACATCATAAGGATATACGTTTTCCATTTTGTCTTGGGCCTGAGAAAGGCAATCAGGGCATTTTCTGAAGCTGCTCTTGTGTACTAAATCATTCTTTCTTTGTCCCGTGGATGAAGCGATCCTGGTTCAGAGGAAATGGTATGAAAAGATTCTAACCACTGGCCTTGTGTGAATTTGAGGAAAAGTACATGGCTCATTTATTTGTCATTAAAAACCAAACACCACATGTTCTCACTCATAGGTGGGAATTGAACAACGAGAACACGTGGACACAGGAAGAGGAACATCACACACCGGGGCCTGTTGTGGGGTGGGGGGAGGAGGGGAGGGATCGCATTAGGAGATATACCTAATGTCAAATGACGAGTTAATGGGTGCCACACACCAACATGGCACATGTATACCTATGTAACAAAACTGCACGCTGTGCACATGCACCCTAAAACTTAAAGCAGAATTTAAAAAAGATAGAATGTGATGTGCATCCAGCGAAAAATAAGATATATTAGAGAAGCATTATGAAAAAAAAATGTACAGCCAAATCAGTGCAATATTGTACGTGTATCTCAAAAGCTTTGCCACTAATGAGATTATATTTTTCTTTTAAATGAGGCACATTAAGTTCTAAAATTCAAACAAACCTCTTTCTATCCTACTCAAAACCTTCTGAAGAGCTTCATGACGTCAAAGATGTGGGAAATTTAACTGAGTTAAGTGCTTTATACTAGAGTTAAGTTTTGAATTCTCATTGGAGTAGTGTTTTTTGCAGAGTTCACATAGTAATTTCAGAGTTTGTGGCATTACCAAAGACTCACAGGATCATAGCAGAGAATGGATAAATCAATAAAGGCTCTCATGCCTGACATTCTATTTTCTCTTAGTTGATTGCTTTCTTCCAAAAAATAAGAAAACCCAAAACCCTATATTCCCCAAAGTACGATCTTGTGCTAAAATATTGCTTTTTGAGCCTAAAATTTCCTGTTCTTGCTACTGTGTAAAGCCCATGGTTCATATTAATATAGATTATTGATTTCACTAACTCTCTCCAGTAAACTTGAGGTATTCTGGGTAAGAACTTAGACTAAGTGTAGAAGTAGACAGCAAATGATTAAACCTGTGACACATGCCAAGTCTCATAATTCTTATAATCATATCCCTTAGGTCAAATCGAAAAACCATGTGAAGATGCCATGGCCTTTTTTTTCTCCAGAGCTACCAGTCACACTTCCTAAATCTTCATACCCAAGGAGGGTGACCTTCACAGACTACATGGTTCTCCAGCCGAATATATGCACTTTCCCGCTGGATCCACCAAACAAATAAATAATGGTAAAGCAAGAAAATTCAATATCTTAACTACAATAAAGTCATCCTGAATAGGTACAATAGAATAGGCCCAGCAACCCAGACAAAATGCTTCGTTCCCCTTTTCTGTTTTGTATTTTAAGTCTGTGCATGAAAAAAAGACTTCATGCTTATATGAAAAAGGATTCTCCTGATTTAGTGACAGTAGGACCTGTATTTTTGGTGTCTTCCACACACTCTGATTCAGGTTGTCTTTATGTAACAAGCATTTACTCTGAACCTACTAAGAACCTGGCACCACGTTGAGTGCTTAATGAACAGTTCTTGCTTTTAACAGCTCACATCTAGTATAGCAACAGCTGAAGTAGCAGGTAGATATAATGTGATATTGTGAGTGCTGAACTAAAGAGATACAGGTACAAATAGTTTTAAAAATGCTAAAGAAATTGAATGAGTCAAGATTGGGTTCACATGCAAATGATAGAAAATATAAGTTTAGTTCTTTCCACATAGACAATTTTTGGTAGTAGGCAGTCCAAGCTGCCCACTGTCTCCACAGTCACCAGGAACTCAGCTTCCTGCTATCTAGATACTCTGCTGTCATCAACACTTGACTTCCACCTCATGGCTATTCAAGCATCAGCCACCAAATCAATAATCTAGCAAGCAGAAAGAGGAAAGGAGTGAAGAATGCCATGCTCTCCTCTCTTTAAGGACACTTCTAGAAGCACAGCACTTCTGACTACATCCTGTTCACCAAACCTTGACCATACGACTGGCCATACCTGGCAGCAAGAGAGGCTGATACAGTCTTTATTCTGGAAAGCCATATGCTGGCTGCAAACTGGAAGTTCATTAACTGAGTAATAAGAGAGGTCAGTTATTAGAAGATAATGGACTTTTTCTGCCTCAGGATTTCAGGCCCGGGAGAAAAAATTTTATCTGGAAAGGAAGAGCATGTCTGGAAGGCTTCCTGGAGGTGACATTTAGTCTGGGTTTCTGAGGAAGGGAAGGAGTATATCGAATAAAAAATCAAAGGAGGCACTATACAGGCAAAGGGAGCAGTACCAGAGTTGGCACTCAGAAACAGCTAGCCTGAGTATGAAATGTAATCAGTCACAATAGATCCATTTTATGCTGAGTGAGAATCTAAAGGAAATATTTCACAATGTTCTCAATATCTGAGCAATTTTGTCTAATCACATGCATCTAGCTGCTAAAGACTAAATTATCACATCATGCTCACAGAAGTGAAACATAATTAGAAAATATATTTATTGAAATCATTGTCCATGTACATTAAATTGGATAATCACTTGTTAAATTAGGAAAGATATTCAGAAAGTTAATTAATCTTGGATTTCGGTTATGACATGTAGCAAGTGTGAAACAACCATCTCTAAGGCCATTTACACACATGTTCATTTATTAATAGGCATCACAATAGCATAACATCTTGCTTAAAACAAAGAAACAATTAGTCCTGAAACAGAAAAGCACACAACACAGAACAGGCAGGATAGCATAGTGATAGTAATAACAACAGCACACACTTAGCAAATACTTGCTACGTGCCAGGTATTCTTCTAAGCACTTGGCACATATGAACTTCCTTAATCTTCACAACACTGCGAGCTAGGTTTCTATCACTGTCTCCATTTTTACTGAGGAGGAACTGAGGCTCGGAGAGGTTAAGTAACTTGCTCAAAGTCCCTTGGCTGATATATAGGGACACACAAACACAAACCCATGCAGCCCAGATCCTTAACCACTCTACTAGGTCATAAAAGGAAGAGGGTTATGGGATAGATCCCACCTCTATGACTAACTAGCAATGAGACTCTTGGGTAAGTTATTTCACCCCTCTTTGTCTTAGTTTCTTTGTTACTGTGACTGAATAAGAGGCTGCATGTAAAAGTTGTCTCCTGGGGCCTGGCACAAAGTAAGTGCTCAGTAGTTAAAAGGGCCTGGCATGGCGGCTTGTACTTGTAATCTCAACTACACGGGAGGCTAAGGCAGGAAGAATCACTTGAGGCCAGGAGTTTGAGATCACTCTGGGCAACATACTGAGACCCCCTACTTAAATTTTTTTTAAAAATGGCTGAAAGGTTTAATGAGATCGAGTTATTAATTATAAAGACTAGCCAATATTTGGTCCTTAAATACACTAACAAAAAGGCAGACCAAAAACTATTTCTGACACGCTGTTAAATTCTCTTTCAAAAGAATAAAATCTCTCTTTCTTCTACCCATTTACCCCAGTCCCCTGAGGTCTGTCTCTCTGCTGGTTCTTGAGTTTGAGCTGCTTTTTACAGCCATCTGTTACAGTGTTGTGTAACAACAAACAATATCCTCCTAAAAATGTTTACAAATGCTTCTTACATTAGGGCTGTATATTTTTTCATTATGCTGTGGCATCTCCATTGAAAAATTATTTTAATCATTGCAAACTGAATTACACAAGGATAATGCATAAAGAGATAGTACTTAAAAGGCTGAATGTACATTAATTGCTTCAGCTAATGAAAGAAACATGACTTAGCCAATGCACACAACATGAATCCTAAGATGCATGGACAATTGACTACGGTAATAAAACAAGTATTAGTGTGTTAAATCTGAAATCCTCATTATGCTTCATGCAGCAAAACCGACTGTGTACCTGCTGTTCAGTGTGCATTTCCTCCTCTTGACACCAAGAGCTAATTATAGAACAAGGCACAGAGTGAAAGCATGTGACCTACGTTTGGGGACCTTCAACAACACTGCAAAGTTATGTTTGGTGACTTCTTATTTTCTTTTTAAGCTGATAAAATATGTGTTGGCCTAAATGATTTTGGAATATCTTGATGTTCTGTAGGCAATTTTAATTAAAATATGAATTATTTATATATGCACACAGTTTATTTCACTTACATTGGGATCTTGCTTTATCTCCCTTGGCTCTATCAATTAGTAAATTGTTAATGCAGGGATAATTTATGTCACAGTGTTCAAGATGCTGGCCATTGATTTCTTTGCCTGTCTTTCATTTCACGAACCCAAAGTAAAGATGATGATAAAATCATGGCATTTAAGAGATAAGAAGAGAAGTAAATGTCTTCTTATTGCTGCTTATCTAGAATCACATGGCATAAATGTTATAGTAAGTTATAAACAGACTGCATTAACCTACCACCTTCCATTTATAGAGTAAAAATATCATGTTATTAGGAACCTCACAAAAAGCTGATATACTTTAAACCACCACCCCCATTTTTGAGAAACTTTGAGGGCACTACCAATATACTTCAAGGGATATGAACAGTTGGCTTAATTCAAAGTAACTGCTTGATATGGTTTGGCTTTGTGTCCCCACCCAAATCTCATATTGAATTGTAATCCCATAATCCCCACGTGTTGTGGGAGGGACCCAGTGGGAGGTGATTGAATCATGGGGGTGGTTTCCCCCATGCTGTTCTCGTGATAGTGAGTGATTTCTCAAGAAATCTATGGTTTTATAAGCATCTGGCATTTCCCCTGCTTGGGTTCATTTTCTCTCCTGCTGCCCTGTGAAGCAGTGCCTTCCACCATAATTGTAAGTTTCTTGAGGCCTCCCTGGCCGTGTGGAACTTTCAGTCGATTAAACCTCTTTTCTTTATAAATTACCCAGTCTCATATATTTCTTCATAGCAGCGTGAGAACAAACCAATTACCATAAGTGGGAAAAGAAAGTATTTCTTTTCTGGTAGAACCAGATCTAGAAAATAAATCTTTTTCTCTTTCATAGTTTATACTACATGTTGTCTTTTTAAATTATTTTCTCATAAAGCCTTGGATATGTTTAAATGTATTTCTTTTGTGTTTCTTCCCAGATTTGTAAATTGATGACTTTGGTGCCAACTAGCCTCACATTTTGGATGGACACAAGGGCCTTTCAGAGTTCTTTTTAAAAAAAAAATGTTGGGCAAAATTCTCTTTAACTGGCAATACTTAAGAACTCTGCAGATCAGATTTTAGGTGATTTATTTAGATGTTTTTGTCTCTGAAGAAAATGATATATTGGCTTATTTATTGTTTCGACTAGCTAGTATATACTCTTTTGATCAATATTATTTTAATTTTTCAATTTTTCTAGTTCATTTATCAGAGTTCTTTAGAGATACCATTTGGAAGCATCTGCGAAGCCAAGTCAGCAACAGCCATACTTCAACAGCAAAAGTATAAATTAAGTAGAAACCCCAGGATCTCAATAAGTGACATTATGGGAAATTTTACTCTAAGGGTAGATTACAGAAAAAGTGGAAAATTTGTGGGAAGAGGTGAGAGAAATAAGGGGAAATGTTTTCAATCTATTCAACCTATGGTTCTAAATGATAATGCACACCAGAACTGCCCAAAGAACCTTTTATACATTTGGTCTTCAGGACCTACTCTGCAAAGATTCATCACATCCCAGCAGGGTCCTGGAAATCTGTATCACTCACAGATTACCTGAAACTAGTATAGAAACTGTCCAGAAGTGTTGATTTCCAAAAATTAAACATTTTTTACTCATTTAGTTACTCAACAAATATTCAGTGAGCCCTTAAGCCCTACCCCCAATCTTAGCCTTCAAGGAGGGCTTGAGGGAGTCTGGTAAGGAAGATAGATGAGAAAATAGCCAAGTTCAATTCAGCAAGATAAGTGGGTAAGAATGGGATGCTATGAGGAACATGGATCATTTAACCCAGTCTAAGATGTCATAAAGGGTTGGAGGAGATGGTTTCTAAGCTGAAACCGGCAAGGTAAAGAATAAGCAAAAGGTAGGAGGACTTGGCCTCTGTGTGTGTGTGTGTGTGTTTGTGTGTGTTGTGTTTTGCAAGGAGGCTGTGGGTTGTGGGGCTGGAGGAGGAGAAGGTGTGAGAAAGGTTAAGGAACTTGTTAAGACACATTTTCAGGTCTCAAGGAGCTTACAATGTAATTGGGGAGATAAATGATGGCAAAAGATTTTGGTAACAGATGAAGACAAGAGAAGTGACTTCCTAGGAAGCCTTTTGATCAATTACCAATGGAATAATGCAGACTCAGCATGCTACAGGATTTCTCTGGAGAAAGTATCTAGTTTCTTCCAGCAATAAAATTCTGTGATCTACAGACTTCATTCTGTAGTGGGAAAAAAGGTTTCATAGAAGAGGTAGGGATTCCACTGGGGACTGAAGTATGGGTAGATTTTTATAACTTTTTATTCTGATAGAATTTTAAGCTTACAGAAAAGTTACAAAAATACTATAAATCACCTTATGTTGTATCCATATTCACCGACTTACATCTTGCCCTATTTGCTTTTGTGCTCTCTCTTGCTCTGCGCACACACACACACACACGCACACACACACACACACACACACATACACACACCACAGATCCATTTTTTTTCTGAACCATTTGAGAGCAAGTTAGAGACATTGTGCTTCTTTACTCCTGAATACTTTGGTGTATATCTCCCAAGAAAAGAACATATACTCACATCTCACAGTAAAATAAACATGATATTTAATATTGATATAATACTATTATCTAATTGACAATCTTTCATCAAATTTTGTCAGTTGCTTCAATTATGTTCTTTATAGACTTTTCTTTCTTAGTACAGGATACAATTCAGATTCATGTATTGCATGTAGTTGTCTCTGTAATTGTCCATTCACTTAAACAGCTCTTTAACTTTTCTTTGTCTTTATTGATCCTGGCATTTTTGAGAAATACAAACCAGTTTTTTTGTAGAACATCCCTCAGTTTGGGTTTTTCCATTGTTTCTTTATGATTAAGTTCAGGTTGTACACTTTTAGACAGAAAGAAGAGAAGTTAGGTTGTGTCATTCTCAATTTATTATAGAAGGAGACACATAATATAGGTTTGCCTGAATACTGGTGATGCCAACATTGATAACTTGGTGGGGTGTCCTCTAGCCTTCTTCACTAGCATTATTCATTTTCCCCCTTGTTATTAATGAGAATTTTGTGGGAAATACTTTGAGGCTATATAAGTATCATGTTCCTTATCAGGCTTTCATACGATAGCTTGAACATCCGTCAGTGATTTTCTAATCTGTCATTGCTTCTATATTTATATTACTCCATCTATATTACTATAAGGAAGAGCTTTCCTGGCTCCCCTGTCTATTTATTCATTTATTTATATCAGTATGGGCTCATGGATTTTATTTTTTTTAATGGATTATAATCCACCACTGTCATTATTTATTTTCATGTTCAAATTTTCTCTGATTTTACCACTGGGAGTCCCTTCAAATTGGTTCCCGTGTCCTTTTGCTAGGTTCCATTGTATTTTGAACACTTTCTTACTTTCTGGAGTGGTATACTACTTCAAGCTTATGTTGTATTTTCCCTGTTCAAACCTTAGAATCTACCTTATGTCCAAGAAGTACTGGTTCCTAGTACCAAAATCTAGGTGCACTCATTGCTACTGGGGTCACAGTTTTTCTAGATTCCCTCGTTGGACAGGCTAGGATATAGATATCTCTATTTCTCTATTTATTTATCTATATTTTAAAAACCATGAGTTCATACTGATAATGGTAGATTCTAGTCTTTCTTGCCTTCATATTTCTCCAATTGCCAACAGTGAGAAACCTAGCTCAGAATACATACATTTTTAAAAGGCAGAGAAAAATAAGGAAGTTTTTCTGATCTTGAAGGATCTGTGAGATATCCAGGTGGAGATGGGTCTGGATCTGAGTTATCTCTATCAGTGAGAAAATTCCCATTGACTTATGGCAATTTATGAAGTAGAATAAATGCTAAGAATGTTGCAGTTGCAGGATCTGCATTGGAGTGAAGATTTTTTATTCACATATATGCCTTCCATTTTATACACAAAGAAAACATCATCTCTGGCTTTCATTGGTGGAGGATGGGGAGCCCCCTCAGTGCAAGAGGCTTGCATTGAAGTTAGTGGCTCCTTGTTTTTAACAGTGAGATATTTAAGGTTAACCTCCTATTGAACTATTTGTGGTGTCAGGTTTCTATACCAGGCAAGCTTGACCATAATTCCTATAAAACAAAACTCTCCTAAAAAACCTTCTTTCTAATAAATTTGGTTAAGAAGTTCATCTTTCAGGCTAAATGGTAAAACCTCTTCAAAACATAATTGCTGAGCTTTTGTTCAGGACTGAAGGAATCTCTTTTCATGACCTGTCTCCTTTCATAAACTTTCTAATCATGGACAGTCATTACAATGCTAGCCATGGTTGAGCAAGATTACTTTTACTAGTGATCCGCTGAAGGTAACTTGAGACTGCAAAACCAGATGCCAGAGTATCATTTATTTTTCAGCATGTGGTGAGAGAAAAGTCATTTTAAAGCTTTTTGCTAAGGTATGTGGGGATCACAAAATGTTTCCAAGTTAGACCAATGACTGTTTGCTTCTTCCTATCAGAGAAGGTACACTGAGTACTGGATGAACAAATTCTCTCAGCTGGGAGGTGTGAAATTGTGGCAATTGGAAAGAAAATTTTCCCTCTTCCAGGTGAAAAGAATTGTAGAAAATAATACTTTAACTGAAACCTTGGCCCAAGACACAGACTATTCCTTATAGGGTTACAAAGCTTGGAAGAACTTAACTTGATTACATGGAAGGTGTCAAGATCTAAGCCAGGCCAAAAAAATATGCCTGAAGCAAGGAAATTAAATATTTACATCAGGACTAATGCTTTTTGCCTTTTAACTGGAAGGGCAAGAGAGATTAACACAGGCCTGGCTCCTGAAACAAATATTTTGTCTATTTGGTGAAGTGTATTTCTGGGATAATTTTTTCTTTATATCTGAATTAGTTTTCCAGCCAGAGCCAGACTAATCAATAAGTGACGCAGGCATAGATTGATGTCTCCTGTTCCCCTCCTCTTATGATCTCCTCACCTACTCCCCAAAGTCTGACACTCCATTAACAAAGGGCTGCTTGTGTGCCATAATCATTTTGTAATAAAGAAACCAAATAATGTAGATAAAATATTTAACGTGGTGCATGTCACATAGAAAATACTCAATATTTAACAGTAATGATTATTATTTCACAGTTTCAAAGGTAGCTTCACAAAACTAGTTTTTGAGATGTCACATTATTTCCTTTAGATAAAATTGAATTCAGCTCTGAGTCTTTTTCTTTGTTCTCTTTCATTGGTAGGAAATTTTCTTTCAGTCATTATTAGGCTACCCCCTCCCAGTCCTGTGGCCTAATAGAGAAAAGAGTAGTTGTCTAAATACATATGGCCATTCACTGTTAGGGAACACTTGTATCTGCCTTGCTTGGTCCTGGGACTTTGCTGCACACTCTAAGGCCAAGGGCCTAGACCCCTGTGGGCCACCATTTAGTCCCTCTCCACTGAGGTCCCACAAGCTCTCTTTAGTGCTAGGGGTGAGTTCAGACCCAGTTCCCGAGGGACCCTCAGAATTTGTCCTGGACTTGGGGGTTCCCCTCTCTCCTGTTACTTTCTTTTCCCTCATTTATTCCTATGTCATATTTGCAAAGTCTCTCTCCTTTCACCCCTATAGCAGGGTCTCCAGATTTAGAAAAAAGAAAAGAAAAGAAAAAAAATCTCTGCCCAATTAAATTTGAATTTCAGATTAACAACATTTTTTTTTAGTATAAATATGTTCCATGCAATTCTTGGGACAAACACTAAAAAAATCATTTATCTAAAATGTATATTTAACTTGGCATTCTATATTTTATCTGGCAGCATTACCCTAAGGGTTTCTGCTTTGGAAAGACCCAGGAATGGAAGTTTTGGGTAGGGTCAGATCTTTCAGTGCAAATATTCATTGAGATAGAAGAACAATCTGCATAGACTTAGAAAGGTACAGGGGAAAACCCAGGATCGACAAAATAAAAAATAATATCCATAAATAATCCTGTTACTCTCGTCATCATTGTAGTTTCCATCATCATGTTTATTCCCATCATGATCATTGCCCAAGGTGAGTTGTTGTTAAAGACTCAAGCCCCCTGGGGAAGGCCATAATTCATGGATCTTTTTCTGAACACAGTTTAAATTAAGATAAAAGAGAAGGAGAAACTAGGAGGCATGGGAAGGATGCAAGCTGAGTCAGTGGAACAGAAAGCAAGAGGAAGAGGTTAGGGCCAGAAAGGCAGCTTTACAGCTCATAATTTCACTGATTGGCTTGACTCGGGCAGCACAGGCTGGTAGAACACACTCTAGCCTGACTTCATTCAAGTCTCAGCACCACCACCACCAAGCCATGTAGCTTGGGCAGGTCACTTGACTTGTTCCTCCAGCTGAAATCCCTCATGAGATTCAAACCCAGCAATGCACCCAAATGTTTCCTAAGTGCCCCAAAGTCAACATGTACAAATGCAAATGCAAACTCATCTTCCTCTTCTCCAGACCTGCCATCTCTATATTAGTGAAATGATACCACCATCTTCACAGGGATCAAGGCAGGACACCTACAAGTCATCTTAGACCTAGCTGCAATGTGTTACTCCTGGTGACTGCCACAGTGAATTACCTGGCTGGTAAAGCCTACATCCTCTGCCTCCTTCTCTGCTATGAAAAGTGAGGAGCTTCTCAGACAGAAGAGGCCCATTTGAGGTAGGAGCTGGGACTTTACTTTGGAGGCAGGGCTTAGACTACAGGCCAGATTGAAGACTGGCTTAAACAGGGAAAAGGAAAACACCTCTCCATGAGACATGCCCAACAGTGCCATGTCAGTTTACCATTGCCATGGTAACACCCAGAAGCTACCATCCCTTTCCATGGCAATGAACGAATGATCCACAAGTTACCACCTCTTTTCTAGAAATTTCTGGATAATCTACCCTTTAATTTGTGTAGAATTAAAATTAGGTATAAATATGACTGTAGAACTGCACCTGAGCTGCTACTCTGGGCATACTGCCTATGGATCAGCCCTGTTCTTCAAAAGCAGTACCTCTGCTGTATACTACCACCTCAATAAAAGTTGCTGTCTATTACCACCACTTTGCTCTTGAATTCTTTCCTGGGCAAAGTCAAGAACCCTCCCAGGCTAAGCCCCAATCTGAGGCTTTGCTTGTCCTGCATCACATCCACACTTTTCCAGGAGGACAAAGACACAATGAAGTGTTCAGAGAAAGCAGCAAATGGTTCTTCTGTACATTTAGGGGAAAAGTTGAATTACATATCCTCCTGTATTTTTACAATGACTTTGTGATAGTCCACTCTATCTTTCTTTTCTTTAATTGACTTGAACAAGTCTCTGTTCCTGTCTATCAAAATAACAAACAGAAAATCATTTTACTCTCTTTTTCTCCATGGACATTTTACCAGAAGATGTTGAACAAAACTAGAGTGGCAGGGTACTACTGGGGGATATTTACAGCCTGGGGAACTTCTTGTGTCTTCCAGAGCTAAAAAATACATATTAGAACTTACCATAATGGCAATCTTCTTAATAATATCCCAATGAACAGAAAATTATTTTGGATGAATCCATTGAGTTTAAACCCAGTAGAACAAGGTAAAAAGGCTTTTGAAAAGAAGCAACCAATCTTCTCTACTCTTAAAATAGCCTTTTCTTTCCCATAGAACATAGAGAAAGAAACCAAATAAGTGGGAAATGGATGAGAAAGCACAATCAATACTAATTCATGGTTCCTGCTTTGAAAGGCAGCAAAAAGTCATTCATAATCTCATGTGCTTTTCTAGTTGTGTCACACGAAGGCCTATGGTAAAAGGATAAGAGGAAAAGTAAGGTCATTACCCATGTTTGAAAAATTGTTAAATTGTTTGCGAAAGGAAAAAAATCTCTTCTTAATAATGTCAGAGACACAGGACCTAAGTGAAATCAATTTTGGGTAGTTTGGGATCATTCTAGCCCAGTCAAGAGAAAGTTTCAAAACGGACTGTAGCAATGAGGTCCATTTGTTATAAAACCACCCTAGAGGAGAATGCACATGTAGGCACACGAACACATGCACACCCCATACTTTGTATTTTTTATATATTTGTGTATATAAAGTGTTCTGTGTTTAAAATTTTATATATATTATTGACACTCAAAGTATAAATTCCTGACCCTCTCCCAACAAAAATTAGATTCAGAATTAAGTTTAGATCTTTGGTCAGCTTTTGGTAGGGTTTGCAAATAATTGAATATAGAAAGCAAGTGTTTTCTGTTTTCTGAGTTCTATAAGAATCCAGTGTGTGTATATTTGCATGTGTGCATGCATAGAATTCTTTCCCTTATGGTTTGCGATCATCCTACTTTATGCCTCTCAGATATTTAGCTAGGAAAATGACTCAAGTTTCATAAATGTCATTCCAATATCGGATCATATCCAGAGCTGTTGGTGTGTTTGATGGAGACATACCTTAAGCAACTGTTTATTGAGTGCCTGTTAAGTACTAAGTACCTTCTTCATGACAATCCTCCTAGTTCAGATTTGTACCCATTTTTCAGGTTAAGTCACTTACTCAGGATCATGTTTGACCCCCAAGTAACTGAGCTGGAATTCAGTTCTATGGTGCCAAACTTGAAAGCCCAATCTTCCCATGACTAGTGATGACTCTATGGATCCTGGAGACAGACTGACTTTGAATCCTGTTCCTGTTGCTTTCTAGCTGTTTTACCTTTGGCAAATTACATAATTTTTGTGCCTTAGTGTCCTCATCTGTAAAATGAAAATAATAGTCATTTTAATATTATTTATTTCTTTGCTAATCATTTATTAATTTAATAAGAAATTGCTTAACAAGATTGTTGGGAGGATTAAATCATACAATATATATAAAGTGCTTACCCAACCCATTGTAAGATCCCATCTATATTGGTCATTGTCATGATTATTCTGTACTTTGGCAAGAGATTCAAGCCTTGAAGCTCTCATGGCCCATGGAGATGCTAGTTTACTAGCAATTTGCCCCATAGACTGGTTGGTTCATGGCTAGCAGCAACTACTTTACCTGTCCTATCTCTACGTGCTTCTAAATGGGGGAGGGGAGGGGCTCCAGGGTGTGTAAGCACATCAAATGCAGACAGGATTTCCCCAAATGCATTGCAGGTGCCAGAGGACTGGCAAGCCCATGTTTACTTTCTAGATTACTTGGGAAAACTTGAGAACTCGCTGATGGTGGGATGGCTTTTCAATTAGAATAACCTCACTCAAAATCATACATATTTTTTCCTTTTGGGAAGTATAACTTGTTTGATTCTAGTGTCCAAAACTTACCTTCTCTGAATGCCTCCCACCATGGTGCCTGAGCGAGGGGCTTTCCACTTCAGAATGAGGTCATAAATATGCAAATATTCTTCTCTGTGGAGTTGACTTTACCAGGCTCATTTACAAAGTTACTCAGCTGTGACTTGGCCACTTAAATAACCCTGTTGCTTAAAGATATCCCTTACTCCAGCCATTTACCCTCTAAACCATGTTCATGTTATAGAAAAATACAAATACAAGCACGTTCTGCACGAGCAGTATTACAAAGCTGTATTTTGTCAGTTGTAAATTATATCTGGTTTTGAGGGAGGAAAGGGAGATCAACAATTCTATATTCTATGAAACAATTTCATAAGAAATATTAGACCCTCATAATTCTGAAGTCTCATATGCTAGTTTTATTTTGTTCTGGTAGGTTTTAGAAGCAAACAATTCTCTGGGTGCCTAAAAGTAATGCCTAGGTTTCTGTTTTTACATATTTAAGCTATGCATTTAGATACAATTCAAGCATTCCAGGGTGTTAACGGTGTTTACAAAGAAAACTGCCAGAGGCAAATTCAGGCAGTTTCTTAAATTAATAATGCTTTTGTTCAAACTCCAATTTTTTCTTCCAGTTCTGCTAGAACCAATGTGCATCTTCCCCATTTGTTCAGAGGATAATGATGACAATTTCCATTTACACATTGCATTTCATCTGGAAGGCACTCTCTCTCACACACTACATCACTGTCTTCCACCTTCAGCATGGCAACAGGAAATGCCAACTGCATTATCACAGTCATTGGTCAGTGAGGAGAAGAGAACCCCCAAAGCAAACACCGCATCAGAGGCTGGAAGAAAGGCAGGAAGGCCAAAAGTGCAGTCAACACATTGCTGTGTTTGCTTGGAAGGTAGGTCTGGTTCAAGGAGCAGAATGTCTTCCAGTGACCACCCCTGTATCTTTGTAGGAATAAGTGGGACTGCGGAGCTAGTGGTTTGGAGCTAGACAGACGCACATTTAAGTCATTGGCTTATCACTTTCTTGTCAAGTGTCTTTAGGCAAATCAGCTGATCCCTTTGAGACTTGGTTTTTGCAACTCATTACAGGGGAAGAATAACTCCTACTTTCCAAGGTTATATATGTGGGATATATATGAGTAAATCATGTTATAGGGGGTTACTAAATGTTCTCCAGGATTTGCTGTGATTACTAGTGTTGCTATAGTTACTGTCAGTCACTACTACCTATACAGTTGAATATAATAGGTGTTGTGGACCCTCTTCAAATTGTCTGATCTTAAGTCCTAACAATGGAGACAATCTTGTGGTTTGCACAAAAGAGGGAGGGGTGTTATCACCCAAGGCCCAAATTATAATGCCCTTTTATGGGGCAAGGAGAACATATGGTGTTCCATTAGCATAGCCTACACAAATACTTTACACAGTGATTCTCACATTTTAGTTTGTCTAAAAGTCATCTGAAGTGCTTTTAAAAATACAGATTGCAGGGCCCTGCCCTAGAGTTTCTGATATGGTAAGTTTTGGGGCCCAATAATTTGCATTTCTGAAGAAGTTTCCCGGTAGTGGTAGCACTGCTCTGGGGACAACACTCCAAAGACCGCTGCATATGAGGTGATCAGGTAGCTAATTACCATCCTGGAAGCCACTGATAGCCTACTCTCCAGAAGGTGTTTTGTGTTGGGGGCCAGAGATTTCAGAAGAGGCTGGGCATATTAAAGGTGAAGCCAGGGATAGGTTGAACACCTGCAGAAGGTAAAGACTTGGGGGGCAGGGCAGGTGTCAAGATCCTGTGGCCCCTATTTCACAGTTGCATCTATACTTGCTTGGCTTGGCTTGGCTCAGGGTTTCTGTCCTTTCTCCCCTTCGTGGCTTCCTCTTTCTCTTTTTCAATCTCTCTCTCTCTCTCTTTAGGATCTAATACTTTTTATTATAATGTCATTGAAGCACAAATATAAAACTAGTTACAGTTACCTTGTGCCTATAGCTCTTGCATAGTCAGCTGGGCCATAACAAAGCACACGGGCTGGTGGTTTAAGCAACAGGAATGCACTGTCACAGCTCTGAAGGCTGCAGGTGGAAATCAAGGTGTCAACAGGGCTGGGTTCCTTCCAGGGGCTTTCTCCTTGGCTTGGAGATGCTGTCTCCACTCTGTGTCCTCACATGGTCATTCCTCAGTGCATGTGTGTATCTTAAACTCATCTTCTTATAAGGACATCAGTCAGACAGGATTAGGGCCCAGCCTAATGACCTCATTTTAACTTATTTACCTCTTTAAAGATCTTATCTCCAAATATGGTTGGTTATGTTCTAAGGTACCAGGGGCTAGGACTTTAACATGTCAATTTTGTGGGATACATTTTACTGGCTTCCTCTTTCTAACCACTCCTACCCTCATGGAGTGCCCCTTTCCACTGAGTTGTCTCCAGACTGGCTGATGAATAGACAAGGAAAGAAAGCCTCAGGTGGTAGAAACAGCAAGCTAAGTGGCCTGAAAGCTGGATTCCAGTAGCTAAAAGCAATTTGACTTTGTTGGAGCCTAGAATGCAAAGAGATAGCAGCTTGGGAGCCTGCTGTGGAGTGACAAAGGCAGAAGTCAGGTCACCAATTGGACTCGATCCTAAATACTACGGGATACTACTGAAGGTCATTTATAGGAAGGGACAGTACTTGGTTTGTAATTTAAAAGTCTCACTTTTCTTGCAGTGTGAGAAGTTGACTGGAGAGCCTTGAGCCTGGAGACAGGGAGACCAGAGAAGGGGATGTTGTAGGTGTTTTGGCATGAGACCATGGTGGCTTCCACCTGGGTGAAGCAGCAGGATGGGAAAGACTTCTTGAATCACTATTTAATTATAATCAGAGTTTTGAACCATTTCAGTCATTTATTCCAGTCGTTTATTGTAGTGACTCCCACACTTCAGTAGACAAAGCAATCTGAGCGGGTCCCTGCAACACAGTTTCTGATTCAGTGAGTCGGAATGAGGTCCAAGAATTTCCATTTTTAATAATTTCCCAAGGGATGCTGATTCTGATGCTGCTGGTCTTGGGACCAGACTTTGAGAACCACTGACTTATTCCTATTTTGCTACCAAGAGAATTACAGCCTTGAACCCTTCCAGCTAATAGGGCCTCAGCTTTTGGTAACCAGCGTCAGTATGCTTAAATAAAACATTGAACCTGTTCACTAAGATTCTGCTCCTCCAGCATCTGCATCAGTTCACCAAGCTCTCTCAGGCTCTAATTTGTCTTCGTGAACCATCAGCCTTGCTCTAACTTTTCCAACAACTGCTTCCTCTCAGGCTTCACTTGGCTTCTACAGCAAATGGAACCTGCTCATCCCCAAGAGATTCTAATTAACTCTCTTGGGGCCAACTCCCTGAGTGAATGACTTGAATAACTCAGCATGATTGCAATGTTTTATTTATTTAAAGATTCCAAATTCTTCTACCCTGCATGCCTATGTTAAACAAGGACAACCCAAAAAACAATCATGAATTAAAGAAATGCTTCTTTATACCCTGAGTTGTTCCTCTGTTCTCCGACTCTTTCCATGTTCCTTTAACTTTCACAGATGGCCAATCTTTCTTGATTTTAATTTGGCAAGGGCCCTCCTTAAACATATTTTGATGATGGTAATAGAAAATAAAAATTAACTACAAGACTGCTGTCCTAATCTGTCATTAACAGGTTTTTCTTCCTTTGGAAAGATTAGCAGAGTATGAATCATTTCAGAGGGCTTCTTTTTCTTTTCTTTTCCTTGCTTTGTTCCTCTCTCCCTTCCTTCCTCCCTCCCTTCCTTCCTTTCCTTCTTCCTTTCTTTTTCTTTCTCTCTCTTTCTCTTTTACTTTAATCTTCTTCTCTCCCTCCTTTCTTTCTTTCTCTCTTCTCCTTTCCTCCCTTTCTTTCTTCCTTTTTCTTCTTTTCCCTTTTTTTCCCCTTAGGCCCAACCCTTCCAGTCCCCGTTTTTTGCAGTGTCGAATTTCTTGCCACAAAATTGATGCAATTGCCGCATTCTCTGCAATGAATATACAGGCTCCCTTCTTGCTCTCAGAGAAGTGAAGCCTATCCTTGTTACCTTCAGCTCCCCGTACCAGTGAGCAACTTGGCCACGCAGGGACTTTAGGGCCTGAGAATGGATTCCTCGAAGTACTCTGCAGGAATTGATTAAAACAGGAAGGAGAGGGGCGGGGAGATGAGAGAGCCAGCAGAGGAAAATAACATGTTAGTGCTCCTTTGTGCCTTACTGAAGTCAAGGCTGACTTCATAGTGTCACTCAGGGAAGGAGGCCAGGATTCTAAAGAGGAGAAATGATTAAGAGGGAAGCACAGAGGAGGATGAATTCAGAACCAAGCAGGGAAAAAACCTCATACCAGCCATTATGATAAAATCAAGTAGGTGCAAGGAAATGAATGGGCAATTTGAGAGTGAAAATTATTTTATATCAGGCAGAAGACAGGATTCAAGGGTACTTCTAGCTTCAGGTATCTCTCACCATGCAATGTATTGATGTTGAGCTGTAAAATAAATTACTTAGAGTCTAACTTTCCCATTGGTTTTATTATTAAAGTTATTTTATAATATAATTTTATAATATAAATACATTTAATATATACTTATATGAATATAAATATATTTATATTTTAAATATAATAATGTTATGTGTTTACAAATGATTCTAAGTTATATAAATTATTTTCATAAGCTATACAGATCTTTCTAATGAGTGAGGTGAGGACTTTTGATGAGCAAGAGGAGGAGTTGTAGGCTGCTCCTGTGGCATGCTGGGTGTTTTAGAGAATTGAATGGGATTTGACTTTCCTCATTTTCCTTGTTTTTGTTCTTACAATCTGATTTTTTAATAATGGATCCTTCCTTTCTTTCTACCCTTGGTAGAAGTAAGAAGTATTTATTTCATACTTAGAAGTCCCTAGTTTCCATATTTACAATGCCAAATTTAATCTCCTTATCTTTTGCCTAATTTGAGCATAGAAAAAAAATTTTTTTCATTAACTTGGATTCCAGATTTGCAATCTGTGAGCTTTCAGATAGTGTCACTTAAGAAAAAAATCAATCAAGATAGGGTCATACAATTTTTGTCCACTTAGGGGAACAAAGTGACATTGAGAATTTTTAAAACTTCAATTAAGAAAAGAATTAATTGCAATTTAAGGCAAATCACTACAGTATAAGCTGAATATTTGCTACAGTAAACAAAAATATTGTCTGTAAAGACATAGACGAACTCACTTTGTGTCTAAGTCAAATTACCTAGAGTATTTGAATGAGGCAAAAGCGTGTAAAAGTGATGTTCTCCTACCATGGATTTCGCCCAGTTCAGTCTGGCTGTTTTCCATTGTGTCTGACTTCCAGAGGTTTTGTAGTACAATGTTCAGCAGTTCTGGTTGAAAACACTACATTTCACCAATAGGTGTCACTGTCTAACGCATGATATATTCAGACATTTAAAAAAATTATCATGTATGGATTTCGAGGTTCTGTAATTCTAATGAATTCCATACTTTATCAGTGTCGCAGTGTAGAAACATTGAGCATTAAGTTTCTATAGAGCAAAGACTCTAGAGGCTGCTGGGGGCAGAGGAAGGAGGTGGATCAGATACAGAATTCTAGCATTTTAGCTATTTCAGGGGGAAGTTAAGAGTAACAGTACGGATCTTGAGCTCACTGGCACTCAGAAGACTGTGATCAAGCTGATGACATAAATAATTTGAACAATTGCTTCTTGAGGCTCAATTGCTTTTTCCCCCCTTTAATCAGTGAAGAGTTGCCCTTGAACACTTGACAAAGCAGGCAGTATTTAGGGATTAGAAAAAGAGAAGAGAATCACTGTTTTGTCAAATTCTCTTAAAGATTTAAAGGCCTAAGTTGAATTCCCCCTCAACTTTTTTTTTTTTTTTTTTTTTAGACAGGGTCTTGCTCTATCACCCAAGATGGAGTGCAGTGGCATGACCATAGCTCACTGCAGCTTTGAACTCCTGAGCTCAAGCAATGCCCCCACCTCAGCCTCCCTAGGAGCTGGGACTACAAGGTGCATGCCAGCACACCCAGAAAATTTTTTAATTTTAATTTTAATCTTTTGGTGGAGATGAGATCTTGCTATGTTGCCCAGGCTGTTCTCAAACTTCTGGCCTCACGGGATCCTCCCACCTCAGCCTTCCAAATTGCTGGGATTACAGATGTGAACCTCCACACTGGTCACTTTCATCTTGATGGTACAAGAAGAAAGTTGCTTTTCCATGAACTTTAGTGAACCTCATGGAAAGTTTATTTTTTATCAACTGCTTTAAAATTTATTATGGAGGTTTTTGAACCTATACAAAGTTAGAGAGAATAGTATGATATACCTTGATGAGCATATGACACAGCTTTAACTATTATCAATGTATGGCCAGCCCTGTTTCATCTGTACCTTCTCACCTCTGCCTTACTCTACTGGATGATTTTGAAGTAAATACTAGACATGATATAACTCCACCCCTATATATTGATGTATGTATCTCTAAGAGACAAGAACACTATTTTTAACCATTCTTAATATCTTAAAAATTAACATTATTTTTAATATAATCTAATATGCTGTCAGTATTCAACTTTTTTCTTACTGCTCCATAAATATCTTTTCTTTTTCAATTGGTTTATTTGAATTAGGATTCAAATTGCTTTTGGAGGATGGGTTTTATAAAACTCTTCTAAGGTGTAATAGTTTTCTTCTCTCTTTTTAAAAATGCTATTTCTTTGCTTGAAGAAGCTGGATCTTTTGTTTCATAGAATATCCTGCACTCTCGAGTCAGCCTATTACATCCTTGTGATGGCATTTGGTATGGTCATCTATCTTTTGTGTATTTCTTGCAAACTGAAAGTTATATCTAGATGCTTGATTTTATTCATGTTCAATTTTTTTGAAAACACTTTTTATAGATGATGCTCTATTTTTGTCATTGTATCACATAAGAAGCATATGATGTTTGACACACACACATACTCTGTCTGCTGTATTTAATTTTTTACTTTATTTATTTATTTTTTAATGTTAAGATTACCTAAGGATTCAGGTGCTATCAGCCCGATTCATGAATCATTAGTTTTAGCAATCATGACGACCATTGTGTTGACCTATTATTTCATTGGGGATTAAAAATGGAGATATTCTAATTCAATCATCCCTTCTGCAGTTACTAAATGGAATTCTCCAAGAATTCTTCCTCGTCAACTATTTGACTCCTTTGGAATACAGTTTGTGTAGGAAAGGCAGGATAAATGCTTGAATTTTATCTCCCCTTTATTTACCAGATGAAGAATGAGGAGTTGCTGCTTTAACAGCTTTCAAATGAGACAAAAGAGGTGTTTAAAAAATATATCCTTATTACCTTGATTAAAAAAAATTTGATGTGTTTCATCTTTAGTTGATAGGGAGTTTTGCTTTAACTTGACTCCAATTATCTCTTGACATGACCCTAGTGAATGGGGATAGCCTCTTTGCTTTCTGGTATGACAAGATGTTTCAGGCTCATATTGTGAATTTATTCTACCAGACCTGAAATCAGTCACTTCTCCAATGATACAAGGTTCTTTTTGTGGAGATGGTATTTAGAAACCACAATCTCAACACTAGGGGTGCTCTGTACCACTTAGGTGGTCATTACTTTTAGACCTTTGTGTAAATAGAAGTAGGTAATAGGTAATACATATACACACACACACATTAAAAAATACATCATGAGAATATTAGGCTTTTAATTTAAATGCAAATCTACAGGTCTCATTGAACAATATTTCCATTTAACTACGTTTCAGGCTTTTATAAGATCCAGCTTAGGGAAAATTGAATTCATGACATTTAGTTTGAGTTTAGTGAAAAATATTTATGTGATTTTTTAGTTGCTATTGTGTGTGGTGAAGCTATTATTAATCTTCAGTGTATAGAACCATTACTTCTCTGGTTCCCAGAAGTAGAAATGTGAATGATGGAGAGAAAAATAGATTTGCAATGTATGGAACCTGAAGCTGGTCTCTGAAAAATTCTTCTAATCATCAGACATGTTTAATTTTTAGTGGAGGAGTCAGTTCTCATCAACATCTAGTCAAAATGAAAGTGCTCTGCTGTTAGGAATATATTTGATAAAGCAGTATATATTACTGTAAAAGCAACATACACATTTTTAAAATTTATTTTGTCATAATTCTTGTTTTTAGGGTACAAATTTACAATGGGAGTGTACAAACAAGTACATGTTTTTGTGAAGTTGCATATTTTATGTATCCCAGTTATCAATAACAAAACTAATTTTGATTTATTATTATAGAAAAGATTAAGGGCTGGGCATGGTGGGTCACACCTATAATCCCAGCACTTTGGGAAGCCAAGGTGAGTAGATCACTTGAGCCCAAGAGTTCAAGACCAACCTGGGCAACATGATGAAACCCCACCTCCACAGAAAATACAAAAATTAGCAGGGCTTGGTGGCATCTGCCTATAGTCCCAGCTACTCGGGAGGCTGAGCTTGAAGGATCACCTGAACCTGGAAGGTGGAGATTAAGGTGAGCCACAGTTGTGCCCCTACACTCCAGCCTGGGCAGCAGAGCCAGACCCTATATCAAAAACAAAAGCAAAAAAGATTAAATTATCTTTCTATTCTTTTATAGGAATTGATATTAGGAAATTGTTCTTATAGGAAGAGATGATAAAAAGATTTATAGTCAAAACTGTAAAGAATGCATACATTATAAAGGTATCTTAGGCACTTAGTTTATAAAACTGTATTGGGTTTTTTTTAAATTTTGTGACAGTTGAGTATTTGTCAGCTATTTCAAATTCCTTGTTTGTTGTGATTTCTTAATCTAAACAAATATGCACTTCCACCCCTAATTTGTATTTTAAATTTTATACTATTATTTTTTGAAGTGGTCCCCCCAAACTGCAGAAATCCGAGACCCCACAAAATCTGGAATTACCAGGTGTTGGTTGCTTTTCATTTAACCTTTGCCATTTTTAGCCCTTCTCTGCCCTATTCTGTACCCTAGGACCCTACAGATTTTCTCAGCTGGGCTTACCTGTTCTTTGGCTTCAAGAAGAGAAAAATGTTGGAATATTCATTCTTTTTGCTTCCTTTTGTCTCTCATCCTAGTTGCAGTAGTGAATGTACTCTGCTAAGACCTCAGGACTTGGTGGAAGGCTCACACTTCACAGTTTCAGCTTTTATGGGGCCTTGTAACACCATTTTCTCCATTTTCCCTTTCAGGCCTGAGATATAAAGACATTCTCCAAGGTTTCATTATCCTTACTGATTTCCTTAATCCTCTTCAAGACTTAACTATTCACTTCTGTTGTTAAATTCTTTAGTTAAACTCTCTCGAGTATGGATTTGTTTTCTGCTAGGACTGATGTGGATATTGAGGTTAAGCCTGAGTAGAGAAGTCTGGGATGAGGAATTAGCCAAAGTTTATTGGCTCCTTTTGATGCATGTGATACCTCAGTTTGCACGTTCCCTTTGCATCCAAAAGCTCTTCTGTATCTGGACCCTGTTCAGGGCATGGGACTCTTTGGCAAAGCAAAGATATCCTGTGCTTAGATTTTAGGCTGCACTGGGACACCAGTTCCTCCTGCCCCCAACCTGTGGGCATGCCTTTTTCTAGAGTGTCACAACAGCATGTGAGTCTTTGATACCCAGGATACCTGTATTCAGTCCTCTGCAATGTCTGGAATTATTCCCCTTTTGCTTGCTGCTCACATGGGTGCATTCCTCTCTTCCCTCCTTCTCTAGTATCTTTAGTATGGTATCTGCCTCTAGTCAACATTTATTTTCTATAAGAAGAGTTTATGATTTCACATAACTTATGGTTTCTGTCTTGCAAAAATCTCTGAGGCATTATGTAGAGGATCTGAATAAAATGAGTAAAAAGGGAAAAATATAGAGAGAATCAAAAAACTTAAAATTATGTTATTATGCCCCAAGACCATCCAAAATTTTTGCAGGGTATTTATTAGTGTGATACAAACTGTTTCCTGGGACCCATGCAGGGCAGATCTTGGCCTGGTTATTTTCAGATCCATACTCTGTCTTTTTCTTCTGCCCTGGCCAGTATTATAAGAAACTACATTTGTCAGGCTTCCAGTCCTCTAGTGTCTGTTCAGGTTTGGCCAATGGGATACACTGGTACAAAGAATATATAAAAGAGAGAACCCAGGGTATGCCTTCTCTTTTCTCTGCTTTTGGTCAGGTCTTTGGCAGCATCTCTGTGCATCTTCTATGTATCCAGATCCTGCTGGAAGGCACTCCTCCTCATGGTCCAACTTCTAGTCTGTAACTACCTCCTGGATTTGAAAACACGGCCTCTTCCTATGTTTCTCCAGCCCTTTTTGTTGTTGTTAATTTCTGGGATGCCTCACCATCTCCTATTTGACTTTTTGGTTCTTTAATCACCTGGATAATCAATTCCCTAGATTAAATTTTATCCGGTTGAAATAGCTAGAGTGGTTTCTGTTTTCTGATTGAAATTAAAATAATACATCATATTTCTTCCCAGTGGAAGAATTTATCTTCAGCTGAGTCTTCATTTCTGTCTGAGACTGTATATAAAAAATAGCAACCCAATCAATCTAAATAAAAAATGATTTATCAAAAGTACACAGATCTTATGAAATTCAAGATTGATTGAGAGTACACAGAATGTGAACTCTGTTCTATTGTCTATTCTGGGCAAGTTTAGCCCTCAGACAGTAGTATGGATAAGGAGACCAAACAGATTTAGCAGCTGGCTATTTTACTGCAGCTCCAGGTCTGCTTGTACAAGGTTCCGGAAAAAACTCTTTCCTCTTTCCAGTCCATGGTTGATTTCAAGTAGTGAAAGGAGGAGAATGTGGTTATATAGCCATATGATTTATCATCCATTTAGACTTGATCAGAGACAGTGGGAGGACAATGGGGGTCCTCCAGGTCAATGGTACCTGGAGGACTTCCCAAGATACTGGCTTATGTTTACTCTCAAATTTCAAATTATTTTGCTTTATTTTAATCTATGTAACTAACACTTCCCGCACTTCTTTCCAGATCTCTTCTAATTAATTTTATTTTTGCTTTATTTTCATGTATGTTTTTCTAATTAGAGTATCTTTAGTGTGGGGAAATATCTCTGTGTCCAGGACAAAAAAAGAATGGGTCATGCGCAGACATTTGGTCAAACTTCAGCTATAATGATGAGGTTTAATTTTATTTCATGTAGCATTCTTCAGTTTTCCCCTTATTATTTTGACTGTATTTCCATAAGATCTTAGTGACTTAAAAATATTCCTCCAATTTCACTGACTATACATATTTTATTTTTAACTGTATCCTTTTCCAAAGCAATAGCTTCCTCCTCTGATCTATGCTGCTCTGTCAACAAATCGTATTTTAGGATGAGCAAGAACCAGGGCAGTACTAAGGACCCTTTGCTGCAAGAGTCTGTGGATTTCATTCCAGTGCCCCAATATTAATGTGTCTCAGGTCCCATCTGCCTCCAGTTCTGAGTGGTGGGCAGCATGGGCTCAAAGATTTGAACAAGGTGGTCTCTAGTTGAGCATTCTGTCTTTGTCTCTTAGTTGATAGCTAATTGTTAAGAGATTTGATAACTATCTTAGTATTTTATCTATTTCTTCCCCTCTAAATCACAAGAATTGACTTTTCCTGTATTTTAAGAAGCAAAATAATAATACCAACAATGGTAATTTTAACTAGAAGTGTTATTACTTTTAATAAAAAAGAGAGTGATTATAATAAAGTACTGTAAGCTTCAGAGACTGAATAATCTCAACTCATGGAGAAATTGGCTAACTGAACACCTTGGCTGCTCGACACCCCTCTCTTCTTGACCCTATTGCATTGGTTGGTCTCAATGTGTCCTCCAGAATTGCTGCCAAGAAAAGGAATCATGAAGTGATTGCCTCTGGTGGGGCTAACCTGTAGATTTATAATCCCTAAACCCCGAAAGACCACAGTCTGGATCTCTTCTGTGGTTCTGCAGAAATAGAAAGATGCTAATCAAAATTCCCATGGGTCGTTTGTTCACTGATTAGTTCATGTGTAGTAAATAATTTGCCCAAACAATCAATAGTGACCTAATTGAGGCATTGAGGTCTACTGATGCCTTAACCACAGGTAGCAGGAAAGGCTTGAAAATAGCTACAGGTACTGAACTTCCATAAGAGTCACATGTAAACCAGGGACCCAAGCATTAGAGATTACCAAAGAACAAGAGTGTAAGGGAGGGAAACATCCATGAATGCAGCTTTTGCTGAGATGGTAGCTTCACATTTCTTTAGATGGAGAACTAAGGTCACTTTTCAGATTATAAGTATCAAGGCAGAACTGCCATCCTAAATATTTATAATGCTTATACATATTATAAATATTTTAATTTATAAATATATTTATAATGCAAATTTTTTGTTATAAATTTTATTATAAATATATTTATAATGCAAAATTTTTGTTATAAATTTTTATTATAAATATATTTACAATGCAAAATTTTTGTTATAAATTTTTATCAAAAATATATATTGCAAAATTTTTGTATTCTAAACAATTACATAAAATTAACAAGGGTTTATATAGAAATTAGGGTTATATGTGTGTTTGTGTGTGTGTGTGATCTAATTCTCTAAAGGAGTTTATAAGGGCAAGAAGAATAGAAAACCCTTCTACCTCAAACTATACGGAGTAAGGTTCCTTTCTTACCTACCACTCCCACCCAAAATATTGGGGCTGGACTAAATGTAAATCATGGAGGAATTTGTTCAGAGCACCAGTTACAGATCAGTTTAGATTGGTTATAGAATAAATGGATTGTGAACCACAGGACCTTATGTGTAGAGAGAAAGAAAGGCTTTCTACATAACAGGATTTCCCATAGGCATATTACTACAAAGTATTTTGGTGGAAAGTAAAGCCTCCTTAAAAATTAGCTGATGGGCAACCTATATTAATAGTCATCAATTAGAGCCATTTCAGACAGACCTGAGAATTCTGTTTACTAATAATCAGGAACCTAGGACACAGAAAATGAAAGTAAAAGCCTGTTAAACTTCATGGAACATAGAGAAAGAGGAGCCAAAGTATTCTGAACCAAAAATCTGAATTGGATCAGTGCAGAGATAATTCACCTACCACATGACTAAAGGTTTCTATTAGCTTTTCTTCAAGCTAAACTTAGAACTTAATATCAGACAACTGATGCATAATATTTATAGTTTCTTATAGATAATGATGCCTAATATTACTATTCTCTTTAGCATTCTTTTCTATATAAGTTTAGTCATCTGTGATTTGTTAATTTTGCTGCTTTCATTAAGTTAGAAAAAGTCAAGTTAAGAAACTGGTCCAAGTGTTGTTGAAGAAAGAGATCAGCACTGGAGGATCGTACAAGAGTTCAATAAAGAATTGATTCTCAGTGTGCTAAGACCAGGTTGGGAGCATTACATAGAGGAATGTTGCTGTAGCGGGGGCTTAGTTAGGACTGGGTATGTCACAAGTCACATACAGGAATCAAGGGAGAAACCAGTTTCCAATGAAAGAAGTGGCTAGAAACAGGCATAAGTTGTAGCAAAAAGATTTGTTGTTAGATGCTCATTAGGTTTAAAGATGGCCACACATAAAGTGTGTAGTGCCCACTGTGTGTAGTGTGTAGTGCCCAAAGAAACCTAGCTCAATTGCATAACAGCTGTGTGGCCTTAGGCTGGTCATTGATCCATTCTGTGCCTCAGTTTACTCCTTCGTAAGCAAGCATGGGCATAACAACTCTTTATGGATTCTTGTGAGAACTTGATGAGTTAGCACATGAAAACCACTTGGAAAAAGTATTCAGTAAAGATTAGCTCTTGATATTGTTACTAGCTCTTGACATTGATAATAATTAATTACATCAATAATTTATTTCACTAAAATAAAGGCTGATATGAAATAAAGACTACTGGATATACTGGGTATAATATAGTGAGTATGAGTTTGAGAATACCGGATATAAGTTTGGAAATATGGCTTCTAGTCATGGCTCTCACAATTACACCCCAAGTAAGCAATAGAATTTTAGAACTGGAATGTGAAAGTGATTCTGAAATTATCTTATTCCAATTCCTCAATTTACGTAAAAAAAATTGGGGCCAGGGGATTCTTGCTCAAGGTCACACAGCTACTTGGTAGCAGCATGCATTCCACTCTACTGCCTTTCTTAAATAAACTTCACCCTTAGCTTCCTCATGTGGAAGTCAAAATGTTGAACTATGTTAATTATTCCCCCAATTCAATTAAAATATAGGCCCTTTAAAGCTCAAATCATTAAATTAATTAGCAGATATTTATGTCTAAAAATATCTGAACATATGTTTGTTCTATAACACAGCAATTCCACCCCAGATATGTATCCAAAAGAAATGTGTATATCAAATGATAAGAACTAGAATGTTCATAAGAGCACTAGTTATATTACTCCCAAACTGGAAACTACTTAAATGTCCATCAACAGTTGAAAGGGTAAATATACTGGCACATTCACACAATACAATATGTTGCAGCAAGGAGAATGTATAGCTACACAAAATACCAGTGAGTCTCACCAACACAGTGTTAATCGAAAGAAGTCATAGCCAGAGCGATTCATGTCATGTGATCCTATTCATATAGAGTCCAAAAATAAGCAAAACTAAACTGTGCTGTTTGAAGTGAGGATGGTAGTTATACTGATAGGAGTTAGAGACTGAGAAAGGGTCCAGAGGGGTTCAGAGGTGAATGATAAGATTTTGTCTCATTTTATTTTATTTTATTTTATTTATTTTTGAGTCAGAGTCTCACTCTGTCACCCAGGCTTGAGTTCAGTGGCATGATTTCAGCTCACTGCAACTTCCACCTCCCAAGCTCATGAGATTTTAGTGCCTCAGCCTTCTGAGTAGTTGGGACTACGGGTGCACGCCACCATGCCCAGCTAATTTTCATAATTTTAGTAGAGACAGGGTTTTGCCATGTTGGCCAGGCTGGTCTCGAACTCCTGGCCTCAAGTGATCCACCCACCTCGGCCTCCCGAAGTGATGGGATTACAGGTGTGAGCCACAACTCCTGGCAGGTTTTGTCTCTTAATCTGGGTTTTGGTTGCATAGATGTGCTCAGTTTACGAAAATTCAATGTTTTATTTTTATTATCTGTGTACTCCTCTGTACGTATATTATTCTTCAATAAAAATAAAACAAACACAGTAAAACAAAAAACATTGAGTGTCGCCTCTTGTCAGCCACTATTCTAGGTGCTGGAGATAATGAACAAAATTGACAACATCTCTACCCTCAAGGAGGCTATTTTAGTGAAGAGTAAAGGAGACAGATTTGTATGATGAAAAGAAGCTAAAGTTGTTTTAAAACTGTAGTTGAGCAGTGATTACTTCATTTATTAAGTAACTATATTGTAGCTGCCATTGTTGTCTCTCAATTTATGGATTCTGATATTGTAGCTAAACATTCGACAGTATATCATCTCTCATGCTGTCTGAGAGCTTCTTTTAAATATGATTCTTAAAAATCTCTAATGGTTTCTCTTTTCTTGGCTGTCTGCTACTTTCCAAGTGGTTTTAGACTCATTTTTCATCAGTATGTCAATGGGCATTGCCAATTACCACAAAGTGCTCATTTCTCATAAAAAATAGAAACAGCAAACTAGAAAAACTTGCTACAGCAGCCAGTGGTATATGGGACCTATTACAGCCATTTAAGTAACCTCAGTAGTGATCTGTTTACGAAAGAGACTATTTGCTTTTTAAGATCTATTGCCCATTTAGCAACCTCACTGACAAAGGCAACATTATTCAATATTATTGTCATATGTTTTCAAAGTTGGACTTTAATTGCCTTTCAGACAAAAAGGATACTTTAATTATTATACTTAATTGTGAGAGAGAACAATTGCGAAAACTGGGATATGCATTGATGTTCCAATGTGCTTTTTTTTTAATGGGATAAATGAAGCCCAAGAATCAAACGAAAAATGCTGAGAAAATAATTGAAGAACTCTTTAGGAATGTGCAGACGTTTATTGGGACCATATATGAGAGCCCCGAGACAATCAAGATTTTGATTAGCCTGTAGATAACAGTGCAATTTTATCACCTTTGATTGTATCAAAATGTCCCCATGGACTGAAGGAGTGCATAAAGCCGCTAGCTTGAGTTTATAATGATGTTACTGGTATTATTTAATTTAATGTTTTATGAGCACCATATTATTTAATAATGGTTTCTTATTGAACTTATGGTGACATTTCTTGAGTTGTTATTGCAAACGATTGTTTTCTGGCAGCCTTCTCTTTCTCACACCACATAATAGGGTTATGTGGCCCCTGTTGACCATTTTGCACAGCATGGCTCTGCCCACAGGTTACAATGAATTGGAAGAGGGGAGAACACATGTCTCAATCAGAGCACCATTTTCAGATTATAGCCACAGTTGATTGGTCAAAAGGTTGGTATGTGACCCAGGCTTGACCATTTCCTTCTCCAGGAAATTCTGTTTGGGTTTTAAGGAGAGAAGGTGGTTCCTCTTTGGCTGATGTATAAGTGTGATTGTTGTTTGTGGACATTTTTTTCTGCCATGTACAATATAATAGAAATGAGTGTTCAGGTGTGTTTTGGGGAGCAGAGTTGGGGGGTAGACATTATTAAAGTCATCCCTGTCCCTGGTTCCTGTCCATTCACAGGGCCAAGTAGCATTCCAGTTCTTGGATTCCATGGGAACATTATTTACTCTGAAATGGTAGAATTGGTTTCTGTACTTGCAAACAACAGCCCTGCCTCATGTAGTTTTCTGACTTTACACCGACTCTCTTCCACCTGCATTAATATATGGACAACATTTTGCAAAAGTCCAGCAAGTCAGCTCAGCTTCCTTTTGGAATGAAATATGTTTCAAATAAATAAAATTTTAAAAGGGTTAAATAAATGTTTTAGAATTCCTAAAAAGGGTTTATATTTCATTTCACATTTGGAATTACGTTTCACTTAATGATGAAGAGTAATTATAGAATCCATTCCATTTTAAAGCTGAAAGAAAGGGATCTCCCCTCTTTTTTTTTTTTTTTTCTGACTGAGGAAACTGGGGCCCAACGAGGTCAGCCTACCTAGATTTCACGGTTCATCAGTCCTAGTAGGGCTTTCCATTTGAGATAGTAAAATGGAGGTACCTAGGCAGCTACAAAATCTAGCCTAAAAGCAGAGAGCTAAATTCAAGAGAGAATGGAAGCCAGGGATGATGGGACATTTCTCTGGAATGCATAGAGAGTGGAGTTGCGAATTCGGTGTCAGGACCCCAAACATCGAATTTCATTGCGTGCCCTCTCATTGCTTGACAGTTGCCTGCTACTTTGTTTTCAGCAAAGACATCAGAAATCCACATTTTGCAACTGCCACCCCCTTTCCAGCTTCTAAACTCAGAACTCTTCTCCCTGTCCTTCTTTAGCTCTCAACCTCTTTGGAGGGATCCTTAGGCTAGGGCTGAGTGAACAAACATCTTGGGAAAATATCTGCGTTACCAGCTGTTTGAGAAAGGTGTGTATTGGTGAGATTGAAGACAGGTATGTGGATGAGGATCCACTTAAAGATAATATATTATCAAAAGGGAAATAAATTCTACATGATGAACTAATCTAGTCAGAGATGATAGAGAGCTAACTAGAAATTTGTACATTTTCTAGGTGGCAGAGGACACTTTTCTGAATTTCAGTCTCTTAGGTGGGCAAGTTACTTAAACTCTCCAAGGTTCACTCAATTTGTCATTTTAAAGGGGGGAATATGGGCTTATATCTCTTAAATGAGAAAATGCATTTGTAGAATTTAGCCTTGTAAGCACTCGCTATATGTTAGTTATTAACACTGGATAGGATAACACTGAAAGGGTGAATTTTTTAAAAGGTAAAATCATGAATCTCACAGAGCTATAAAATAAACACATGTCAAAAATTTCATTTAACCCATCACTAAGTGAATACAGCTGGTTCAAAGGAAAATCTAAAAAGCAGACTCATTTATAGACAAGTAATATTGAAATTAACTGCTCTGAACAGTACATAGTTTTCTTTTGAAGGCACTCAGTAATCTTTCTTGCTTGTTCCAAATCTCCTGACATTGCTATAATTATTATTAATTACCCTAACTGAGTCCCTCCATTCATGCCCACTTACCAGGAAGGAGTTTATTTTTGACATATCATAAATCTCATGTGCCTAAAATCCACATTTACAATATAAATATTCTTGCCTGTTCAAGGTAGATTTTGCAATAGAGTTCCACTACTACAACCCTTTATTATCAAGCCTTCAGTTCTTGGCCATAACTTACTAGCTTGGATTAAAGTCAAAGGGTGAAAAATATGTTGAGGCTTAAACAAGAAAGAAAAACGGAAGTGGTCACGCTGGCAATTTACCCATTTAGAAAATGTCTGGGGCTATGAAAACTAAATCCACTGTTGGCAGAGCATGCTCAAGGAGGAGAGTCTGTTTGGTGCGGGAAATAGTACTCAACCTTTCATTTTCAGCAATTTCATCAAATCTCTCCTGCTCTCTCAAATATTTCTTTAGTCTCCTATAATTTATGGTAACCATGGCACTTAGTATTACCCAGGTGTTAAATCAAACACACAAAAAAGGTAAAAAGAATAGTAAAGAAGTATCGAGTGATGCCCAAGGGAACTTATTAAGTGTATTTCATTTAAATAATCCAATTCAACGGATTGAGGCAGAACTCTTTTCTTAAAAAAAGTACAACTTGAAAGAACTTGGCTCAAATTGGAGTAGTCACCTTACCTGCAAGCTGCCCAGATCATTAATTTTAATAATTTCTATTGCACACTTCTGAAGTAGACTGCATTGGTTGTTCTTTACACTTGTTCTGTGATGTAATTAGGTTGCTATTAGGCTCTACACTTGAAAGATGCACAATGAGGTCAATGATTTGAACAAGCGAATAGTCAGGGCCAAAGACACACATTCTATTTCAGCCAATTTTTGTCTCACTTCTATGCAACTTGGGATTTTTCCTTCTTAGAAACAGACCATTTTAGCCACGTGACCTTGAAGTACTCTCCCACAGTCTCGTATCCTTCTCAGAAATCCCCTAGTTTCATGCCTTCCTCTCTACCAGTCAACACCAACTCCTTGCACATTCATGGATTCAGCTAGTGAACGTACTTATTGATTGCCACTCTACCACATCTAAGAACGATTTTTGGAAGAGGAGGAGGAATATTCAATACCATTAAACATCAGGGAAATGCAAATCAAAACTACAATGAGATATCACCTCATACTTGTCAGGATGGCTATTGTCAGAAAAACAAAAGATGAGTGTTAGTGAGCATGCCATGTGGAGAAACAGGAACCTTTGTGTGCCATTGGTAGAACGCTAATAATTAAAATTTTGTGAGCTTCTGAGCATGTTTATTACCATTTGAACTAACTTAGTAGGAGAAAAATTATTACAATTAACTCTTCAATACTAATATGTTAGTATTGCAGGATGAAAAGAGCATATGCTTTGGAGGCTCAGTCCTTAATTAGTTACTATTTAGTAAATAAAAACATTACTTAATGTTTCTGAGCCCCAGTTTCCATACCTTTAAAATGGAATGACAGTATCAAATGGAGTTGCTGTAAGGATTATCTGCAATACATTGAACATACCTGGAACAAAATACGTGTACACTAAATAATAGCCATTATTTTCAATTTATTACTTTAGACATAAGTCTTCTGTGAATTAAGTATTCTTATTTTTTATCTATCAAATATTAGAGAAAGGAGAATGTGAAGGTTTAAGTATCGCATGCTGCTTTTATTTTCTTAGCCATATAAACTAGGTTATTTACTAATTTGAGTGAAATTTGTTGACTATGTGGATAATCTGTGACAAGTGTTTTGTTTTAGGCTAAGTTTTAATAATGTATCACCAATCTAGGTGAAGTCTCCTCTCTTGGGTGGTAATTGCTCAGTGAATGGAAAATAATTTTATTGGCATTTTCAGCCAAATCTGGACCATTCATTCAAATGCAGTAATCCAGGGAAATATTATTATAAAGACAAATAAAAATTAGTAGCATATGTTGGAAAGTAGGACTACACAGAGAGTGAAAACTCACACGTTTCAGTTCACCTGCCACACATAACTGTAAATGTGACCCAGAGTCATCACAACTTCTTCAGGGCTCCATTTCATCTGTGCTGTGACCTGTTGAACCACATATTCTCTGATGACAGATGCGTAGAGGCACATAGAGTCTATGCTAATTAGAAGTCAGTTACCAAAACATGAGGAAATAGATTCGGATTATCTGTGTTTTGAATACTACTACTGTTTGTCTTAATTAACATGAAAATCAAGGATGTTTATAATCACTACTCAGAGTGATAGCACTAGCATTTCTGTAGGGCTTTGTAGTGTATAAAGTGCTTTTCAAATACATTGGCTCCTTTGGATTTCACAGCAACTTGTGAAATAGGTATTACCATTCTCTCCCTTTGACAGATGTGCATGTGTGTGTGGGAGGGGGACAGAGAGAGAGACAGAGAGAGAGAGAAGAGGACCAGGGTGGGTGCGGAGAGCAAGCGCTCAAGAGTGCACAAGGGCTTGTGAGCATGAAACCATCCTAGAGATGAGATTGGTAACTGGCTTCTTCTAGGGCATTTATACTCCTACAGCTTTGCTGTTCCAGTCATCCTAGATCTACTTCTTTTTAGTCCAAGCCCATTAACATAGGAATAATATTGGAAACTTTGCCTTGGTAAAGTCTATGAATATGCCTCAGGTTAACTCAAATAATCAATAATTCAAAGAACCACTGACTTTTATCACATAGAAACAGATCTTATACCCTTTCCAGAATTCCTATTGGCTCTAAAGATGACTTTTCCTGGACAAGGCGCAAATAAGATAATTTAACGACTTTCCTCAAGCTTTAGGACAACTGAAAGAAAAGTGGTCAAAACAATTTTTCCAGTTTAAAAAGAATAAAAAATAGCTTTAATCTCATCACAGAAACAATACATATTTACTGCAGAAAATTAGAAAACACAGAAAACTACTTCAATTACACAAGCCAGAAGGCACTTCTCTTGATATTTAATACGTGTCAGTGATGACATCTGTGTTTGGTGCTTGTGCTTAAAATTGGCCACCTGTAATCAAAGAAGAATACTCATCTTTCACTTTTTTTCCCCCTGAACCTGAATTTGGCCTCAGAATCTTTCCCAACACAGTGCCAGTGGGATCCATAATACTTGATCAGAGTTGGCCTGTGAGTTTAAACCTATTTTCTATCTCTCGTGCCTTTCCAAAGCCTGTACTATAACATACACAGAAGCAGATACATATATTTTAATAAAATTAACTTATTTGACTGGCTTCAAAGCATGCACCTGCCTTATTAAAGTGATGCCATCTATCCTGTTTTCTATAAAAGGTACAACTCTTGAACACCAATCAAAGGATTTTCTCTGCAGCTTCAGGGAATGGTGAGATAAGAGTAGAAAGTTAAAAGGACTTATACAGACAATCATAAAAACCAGTTCTAAAAACGAACTTTAATTTGAACTGTTTAAGTGCAAAATTTTCAAAACGAGACTTTTGTGGTGAAACTACTTAATACCCAACATTTCGTGTTAAGTCTGCATGCTTTCCAAATAAGGTGTCCCCCCGTCCTTCTAAATTACTGAGCATAAAAGCTGTAATGTTATATGTTCCCGAGGGGCAGAGAGTAATTCAGACATGAAGTAATTTTAACAGAAATCATTCCTCTTTTCTTGGCAAGAGAAGAATTTCAGTAGGAATTTTTCAAAATTACAAAATATCCTTCCCTGGGGGATGCATGCCGCCACTTAGCAGATTTCTCATTTCATTTAACACAAATATTTTGATCCTCAAGGGGAAATCGGCTCAGTTACAGTTTCTGCGTTACTGTCTCCCAAAGATAAACGAGGTGCTTTTCTCCAAAATGGACACAGGAGAGGTAAAGTGGGAGGAAAATAATATAAATCCCAGGAAGAAATTTCTAAAAACGATTGACCAAAACCCTTAAGAATGGAAACAATCTTCAATTTCTATTTCATTTTCATCTCAGAATGCTTTCAAACAGGAGAGATACTAATTTTTTTCCCCCTGGGAAAATTAGCCTGAAAATCTGCCTGGAGGAAAAAAAAAGAAGAAGGTGATCTTGGAAGGCAACGGGGCTTCTCTTTCCTTCCCAATTCAGGTTATCACAGTGGCCTTCTGGAGGGATGGGCAGAGAAGACTTCAGGCCTGCATCTGGACTTAGCTGAAAAGCGCTCTCTGATAGAGAAGCCATGTCCACTGAAGAGTTGTGGGCGAGGATGCCTTCCATTTGCTGACCTTGAACTGGGTGCCATCTTTAGCATTGAGTGCTAGCACACCTGTGAAGAAGATGCAATTTGTCATCCGTGCCTGTTGCCAATGTCCTCTGCTCTCAAGATCTTCTGAAACTGTATTTAAACCTGCCCTTCTCAAGCAGCATTAAAAATGATAGCTTGTCTTATTGGTAATTTTATTGGGATTCCACTTTGCCAAATGACAGGCAGACTAATCTCCCATTTGGGATGGTGAGGTGTAAGTGGGTTACACTCCATTCTCTAGTGGCCCTGTAAAAAACGCTGGGCTTGAAGTAAATAACTCAGTGGTGATAAGCACCAGGAGTTGGTAGGGAAAATAGGTATTTCTGTGTTCATCAAAGTGGGCATCTTTCTACTCTGTCGCTCTGAGAGATTGACATTGCTTTTAAGGTCAACTTTAGCACCATGTTTTCGTAATAAACTCATTTCTTTCTTAGAAGGTAATGGTTTTAAGGCTTTCAGTGGAGGAGGCACTAAATGAGCTTTCAGCTAAACTTTGTTGTCTTCGAATAAATTCAGGTTCAAAGCCCCTTACATGCTAACCTTAAGCATCAGGTTTCAGGTCTCGGCATTTGAATAAAAAACTCTAAACCTTAAAAACATGAAGCCACAGTCCATGTATATCTTTTCATCATTTTACCCCAGTAATGATCACAGTGGCTGGGTACATAGAGATCAATAAATATTTTTGCCCCAGCAGTCTAGAAGGGTTAGCAACACAAAGGGAAATTGCTTAAGAAGACTAATCAGAGCTCTGCTTCAGTCATGCAACATGTCTACCATGGATTCATGACCGTTACAAAAATTCAGGGTCAGAAACGATTCTAACATACTAGCAGTCCGATGTCACAGTGATCTTTATTTCCTAATGGAATATTAGAAGTTTCATTGCTTGACAGATTGGCATCAGTGTCCAAGGTAATTGCCAGATGTTTTGATAGTAGGCTGTAAGCCCTTCTGGAGGAGAAGAAAAGCAGCTCCTGAAACCACAGGCAGCCATTTGAAAAAAATACAATTACTCTTTAGAGTTTTTAATGACCATTTAAGTTCTAAGAATTTTTAAAGTGATATGTAAAAACACCATAATGTCACAACTTTAAATTAGATTTCAAATGAGCTCGTTTGAAGGAAGCAGACTTTATTAGGCCAATAACCTCTTTACTCTTCTCTGTTGTTAAAGTGATCTAAATATGGCCTGAGAGGGACTCTGTACTTCTACATTGGAGTCCATGTGGACAAACTGCAACCCAGCTTAATAGCTAGACAACAATGAAAACCTAACTTAGGATTATGTGCCTGTAACAGAATCTTGACCAATCCCAGTACTGCTGAGTGTTCAGACTGTGTAAAAATAATGTAAATGCCAACTTGTAACTAATCCAGCCGTTCTGTACCTCACTTCCAATTTCTGTACCTCATTTCCCTTACTTTGTCTATAAACCTTCTTCCACCACGTGGCTATGCTGGAGTCCCTGTGAATCTGCTGTGACTCTGGAAGCTGCCCAATTCATGAATCATTCATTGCTCAATTAAACTTCTTTAAATTTAATTCAGTTGAAGTTTTTCTTTTATCACTGTCTTCTATGTTGACTATTGACAATTTTAGGCCTAGCAGAAGTCTCTCCTAAGTCAAGTACATAATTTAAGCCCTGTGCTCATGAGGCCAGGAAGAGGGTTAAATTTCCTGTGGCCCGTTTCAAGAACAAAGGCTCACCTAATTCTTTTCATTTTTGCAAATGTGTGCTACACAACTTGTCCCCTGAAATGTGGGACAAGAGAATATGACTACATGAGTATAAACCCATCTCTACTACTAGTGAATTAATATTAATAATAGTAGTTATTAATATTAAGAGCAAATATATTTTGAGTGTTTACTATGGACCAAACTCTGTGCTAAGCATTTAACATAAAATCTTCATAACAAACTTGTAAGGTAATATAAACAATCCCCTTTTATAGAAGAGTAAGATAAGGCTCATAGAGGTTAAGTGACTTTCCCAGGATCACATTACTATTAAATACAAAAAGTGTCAGATTTGAAGCCAGGTTTATCTAACTCCAAGGCCACCCTCATTCTGTTATGCCAGTCTGTCTCCCATACTACTATTTGTGAAGTAATTTATGATTGATAAAATACTTTTAAAATTTATTATGTTTCATTGAGTGAGGATTACTCAACAGGCGCATGATCTTTGTGGATTCCCTTATGGGTAGGGAAGGGAGGTTAAAAGCAGTTAAGTTCATACAGATTTGTGCAGCTGGGAAAAGCTGCATGAGGTGGGCCCAGTATCAAGGTACTCTCACTCTTCATCCTGTGCCGTTTTCATTACATCAAAGACATCCAAGATTTCAGGGCCAGTGAATGTCCATAGCTTGCTACCAATGTACTTTTCCTTGGAGGTGCAACTTGAACTGAGAATCAGAAGACACAGCCAAACTTAGCAAGTGTTTATCAGACATACTGCATTAGGCATTTCATCCACATTCCTCAACTTCTGGGAGTTTACACAATGCAATACCCAAGCATACTTATAAAAGTTAGCTCTTGGAAAATAGTACACAATTCATATATGTGAACCCAAATATTAGATAAATGAGTAAACATACGCATAATTACAAAAATTACTAAGCGCAAAAAGGATTCAAACTAATTTCCGCACAATTACTTAGTTTAAATGATGGATCCCATTTCAACTTTTGCCAGTTCTAAGATAAGTAAACTGCTATTTATACTTAGCGTGAGAGAAAGACCTCAAAGACTATACTATAGGTGAGTTAGAAGTAAGCTGAAAGATATTGGGTGGGCCTGAGAAAAACTATTGGTTTATATTTCTATGACCTTTTGCTAAAGTGAGTTATTCAAAGATGGGGACTATGTGTTATTTTTAACTTCTTACCCTGCTTCCTCCAATTCCCAACAGTGTCTAGAAACAGCGTTCTAACCAACAGTGATGAATGGGCTTGGGCGTTTGTTTACCCCTGATATTGAAAGTAGAATAAATGGGATATATGGATTTTTCTGGAGAGTATGTTCATAGATCTTGTTGGATCCTTGGAATGTATGACTCTGAATAATAATAATAAAAAAAGCCTAAATTGACTCTCCGTCATGGCTGCATGTTAAAATCATTTGTTCAGCTCTTGAAAATTGTGGGCCGGGCGTGGTGGCTCACGCCTGTAATCCCGGCACTTTGGGAGGCCGAGGTGGGCGGATCACGAAGTCAGGAGATTGAGACCATCCCGGCTAACACAGCGAAACCCGGTCTTTACTAAAAAATACAAACAATTAGCCATGGGTGGTGGCGGGCTCCTGTGATCCCAGCTACTCGGGAGGATGAGGCAGGAGAATGGCGTGAACTCAGGAGGCGGAGCTTGCAGTGAGCCGAGATCGCACCACTGCACTCCAGCCTGGGCGACAGAGTGAGACTCCGTCTCAAAAAAAAGAAAATTGTGGATGGCCCCTCACTGGGACTACTTAATCAGAATATCCTGGGAGTGGGTGATGAGGGGTAGAAATTACCAAATATTCTACAGATTAGTATAGTGCACTAAGTGTTGACCATTCCTAATCTAGAACATAGTATTGTCAGTTATTTGAATGAAGAAGGAAAAGAAAAGTTGGAAAATCATGTGTATGTTTCTTGGGGGTGGTGTAAGTGGAGAAGGAGAAAACAAACAGAAGAAAATATTTGCTTATCCTCAAATTTATTGGTTTTAATCTTTTGCTTTCTGCGAATAGCTTTTGGTCTATTTTGCCAATGCTTTTCTTATGAAGTACCGCAAATATTTTCTATAAGTAGATGGAGGTGTGGTATAGTGTTTGTTTTGGATTATTAACTGTTGTTTTAGTGGCAATCAAGAGAAACAGATTTTTACTAGTTAAACAAAAAATGAGAGTATTGAAATGATTAGGGATTCTTACACAACTGGAGAAAAAGCGGAAGATCCAGGCCTCTGGGAAGGCCAGAACATGGAATGACCTAGCAAGCCCCTCAAGACGTCCACTCCCTGTGTTCCTCTATCAAGGTTCAAAATCTGAGAGGCCAAAACTGGTTCAGGTGTCTTCCAGCTATGTCCAAAGGATGTGTATAGCCAGTGGGAGTCCACCTTTGTGTATAGGGAACAACTCCAGGAAAAACGTTTCAGAAACTTGCAATCATGGCAATTGATGTCTACTCTATTCATCAATGAATTCTGGTTTAACTTAGTCTTAGACCAACTTTCAAGATATAAAGATGCAGAGGAGATAGAAAAGTCATGGCTTCAGAGAGGAAGTCCACTAGAGGATTACATGTATGGGTTATGGGTTGGGTCGGTTGTGGTTCACATAGAAACATGGTTATCAAAGGACAGTGATTTTATGATACTTACCCTCAAACAACTGGTAAAGGATCCACAGTATGAACCATGTAACTGGTTAAAGCAGGGCTTACATGGTGGCTGGCAGGCCACAGAAATGGAGAGGGCTGGGGCCTAAGCAGGGTGTCTCAACTTCAGCACTGTTGATATTTGAGGTCAGGATAATTCTTGGCTGTGTATGTGTGTATGTGTATATATGTGTATGTTTTTTGGGGGGTGGTCCTCGCCATTCTGGCAGCACCCATTCCCATCTTGCTTATATAAAGAAAACTAAAGAAGGGAAAAGGAAGTTGCCCTTTGGAGAAAACTGAACCCTTCTCCCCTCCACAGGATGGAATTTACTATGCGCTAACTTCCCTACAGTCAGAAATGTCTAAGAAATTTATCCCAGTAAGTAAGGGATGGGTGATGCTGCCTCATTTGAAAGTTGTGTGTGATGTTGTAGGGGTGCGGAGAAGGGTGCAGGGGAGATTGGACTTGAGAGATGGAGAACGCAGGAAGAGGTGCAGGGAGCACCTGCAACAATCAGTATGGCAACAAGACCTGGGGGCCGGTGAGAGTAGCTGGGGTTTAAGTCGGCAGAACAGAGGAGTAGGTGGCTGAGGGGTTGACATGCACACCTGCTGAGGGCTGAGCCACATTCAGGGCCACAGAGTAGAGGAGGAGGCCAGTTTGCCTCAGGGGTCTTCTGAAAAAAATAACACATGTGCCCATGAGAAAGAGCCAGTGTTTGGAAGCTGGGTGCCCCAAAACTAAATGGTGTTCAATTGAACACATGACAGAAAGGAGCCAGAGATCTCATTACCATGGACACATGGGTGGTCCAATGATGTTAACCAGGGTTTGTCGCCACAGTGGAACCAAATAAAACTGGCTTGATGTAAAGTAACGGGGCACCTGGTCTAAGGATCCTTAAATTCTCTCAACTAGAATCAGGATTGGTCTCTGAGCCTGAAGCTAGGCTGAGCCTGAAGTGAATGGGGATTGGAGGTCTGCAGGGCAGAAGGGTGGACAGGTCATTATCTCCAGTTCAGTGTCATAGATGTTCTATGCTTGCATTGCCTGATTGCTGGACTCGCACCGAAGTCCTGGCTTCTACAAGAAAAAGGATCTCACCTTGCATTCTATCAATAGCACCAAAGGGAGTCTTCATTTCCGAAGGTAATTGCCGCAAACGTGTTACACAATATCATTCATTACTTGCTAGGATTGAGTGCTGAAAGTACATTTCACAAGATAATGATGTTGTTTCCCAGGACTGAAATAACCGGTTATCTGACTCCTAGGTTCATCCCACATTAGGTGTATTACACACACACCTGTCAAAATAAATAATTTACTTGGGATGTGTCAGAACTCACAACAAGCTGATGAGAAATGTGTAGGGTTGTAGAAAGCAAATCAGAGAGGCTGAGTGAGTGAGGGGAAAATGATGGTCCGTGTCAGCAAAAGGATAGCCCAGCAAGAGAGATGAAAGCATGGTGAGATTTTAAAATGCCCACATTCCCATTCTTGCAGGTTTCAGTGAACAGAGCCACATGTGGTCACACCAAAAATATTGGCTTGAAATGAATTCCTGGCTGCGGTGGTGTCTCATGAAGCCAGCTCTGCAATTTACAAAGGTGACAGCCAAAGCCATACAACTAAAATGGGAGTTTTCAATCAGGTAGACTGAGACTAGTGAGGGGGTAATCTTATACTAGTTGTAGAAATACATTTTTATCAGGCAACAGGTGTCATTAAAAAAAGAGAAATTGAATAACCTGCTCCAGACAGGAAGAGTTGCAGGCATGGGTTTTCAACCTTACTTATTAAATGGAAAACTATTTTAAAAGAAGTTTTAGGAAATATTCAGAGTAGCTTCCAAGGAGAAATGATGAGCTTAGAGAGGCATGAGACAACCTAGTAGCAACAATAATAATAATAATAGTGATACTAATAAATAATAGTAATAATAAAGGAGGAGGAGAAAGTGGAGGAGAAGAAGAAGAACAGGAAGAGGAAGAGGGAGTGAGAGAGAGGGAGGGAGAAGAAATAAATCTTGCTGATCCAACTAAATAAAGGAAAAAGTGAAACATGACATATACAAGGTCTAGACAAACAAGCGAGTCACAATTAGAAAAGGTAGTCAGAATGGGAAGATGAGCTTTAGTAACCATTGCAGGGTTAAAAATGTTTCAATGGCAGCAGTCATGTCTTGTGTGGCAACCCTGTTGAGCAATACCATGTAATAAAACAACTTGAGTGGCACCAGCAGTTTGCAGCCATGTCTGTTGTGTACCTAAAGAGCTCAGATTAAATGCAGCAGTATTCCAGCCAAATGGACACGTGGAGGGCCCAGTCCTGCCGCCTCGGGGCTAGCAAAGTCTGAGAACTAACTGAGCATAGGCAGTTGGCCCAGGCATCTGACGCTCTGGGTGTCCCCCGATGCTCCCCCACCCCCACCCCCGCAATCCTGCTGCTTTTTCCTTCTCAGCACAACCATAGTTCATGAAATTTTGTGATCCAGCCATCAGAGCCTTCACTTTGCCAAAGACAGAGGAAAAATTAGTAGAGACAGGAAATTCCTGGAAGAGAAAGCTGTTGTGAGAGCTAATAAACCCATATTAGGGTTTGTTTTTTAACCTCCAATAACATGACTGTTATGAGCATTACTGTCAATAATAAAATGAATAAAAGAGATTGAATCACAGCAGTGAGGAAAGAATCATAGACTGTGAGGGCAGAGAAACACAGATTCAAACCCTGCCTATTGAGGGAAAATTGTCTACTCTCTCTAAGCCTGTGTTCTGTTGAAGAACACTATTATTTTGTAAACTTACAAAGATTAAATTAGTATTAATTAGACGTGCCTTTACTGAGTGCTTTCTACCTGTTAGGGCTTATGTGAAAGTATCTGCAGCATCTCAGTTAAACCTCACCATTATGAGATAAGAACGATAATTTTCCCCATTTTACAATTGGAGAGGCTAAGAAAGACAGAATAACCTGCATGAGGTTATAGAAGTACTAAGTGGTGGAACGGGCATTTGAAGTAGTTCTGTTTAGCTTCAGAACCTGTGCCCTTAACCTCCACATAAAAATGCCCAGTGTAGCCCCTGACACATGGTGAACACTTAATAAATGGCAGCTCCTATTAGTACCACAGTTGCCTTAAATTCTGGAACAAGAAGGCACGTAAATAAAATAAAAGAACGATTATTGCTGGTGGTGTTTTTTCCATCATAGGAGGTATAAAATGCCCTGCTGGTTCTCACAGACATTTTGCCTGGAAAATTGTGAAGACTTTGCCTTCACAGGGAAATGAATTAAGTGAACAAAATCAAATGGCAGAAAAACTTCTCTTTTCTAAAAGGGCTTAGAGAAATGTGCCACTAAAACATGAGGCCCCTTGAAGAGGTTGATGTTTCTGCTACAGTCTTAGATGACTTGGAAGTAGAGGCTCTCTTGCAACGGGTAGATTAGATTTTTCCAAGAATGCTCTTTAACAGACTCAATAATGTTAATTGTGAAAGTCCAAACAACATCAAATTTAATCTCAAATTAAAAGCTTTTATTTACTGGAAAATCTGGGGTAGACAAAATTTAAGAAAGAGCTTCGAGTTGCCTGTGGCAGTTGACATTTCCTTGGGACTGGGTTTGCTTAGATATTTTATTTCCTTCTGCAGTTGTACTTTTTGATATAAGAAACTATAAACACATTAAAGGAGACAATTTATAAGGAAATAGCTCCTATTAAAGAATTTTACACTTAATTTCTTAATTAGGTAAGAATTACTGAGTTCTGGCCAAGAGAAAAAATAAAAAATAAAATCAGTGAGAAAATAGGCCAGGTGATTAGCAACCTATTTTTAGGACTTGACAGGCCAGTTTTATTTCTAAGAAGAAAAAGGGCTTAATCTATTTGTAGAACTTGATCATAGCCCAAAGCCATTTGTCACTGCAAGTTAAAAACCTCTCTGCTAACTTACTACTTTAAGCAGCCTATACTAATCCCTCTGGAAACCCAATCTTTTTACCTTATCACCAGATGGCACCAAACATCTTTAAGGAGGAGAAGAGAGGTGAATGGGAATGTTTACTTTTTGATTTTTTTAATCTAAAAAATGAATCCATTTAAAATGTTAAATGCTGAAAGAATGAAATGTACAGGGCAAGTGAATCAATCTTCCATGATCAGCAGTCTCATAGCATTTGTTGTCTTTGACCAAGATCATTTTCATATTTTCTAAGAGATTTAATTTGATAATATCAGGAAGAGTCATTTTTTAAAATGTAGAAAAATATACATTACATAAAAGTTACCACTTTAACCATTTTAAGTATACAAATCTGACATTAAGTACACTCACAATGTTGTGCAATCATCACCATTATCTATTTCCAGAACTTTTTCATCATTGCAAAGTATTAAACAGTTTTTAAAATAATTATAGATTTCCAGAAAGTTACAATGATAATATAGTGAGGTCCTGATAACACCTCACCCAGTTTCTTCCAGTGGTTATAGTTTATATCTTAGTCCGTTCAGGCTGATATAACAAACTACCATAAACTGAGTAGATTATAAACAACAGATGTTTATTTCTCATGGTTCTAGAGACTGGGAAGTCCAAAATCAAAGTGCCAGAAGATTTGTTGTCTGATGAAGGCCTGCTTCCTGGATTGTCAACAACTGTCTTCTCCCTGTAAACTTACATGGAAGAAGTGCAAAGGAGCTCTCTGGGGTTTTTTGTTTTGTATTTTTTAAAAAAATAAAGGCACTAATCTTATTCATGAGAGACCCACTGTCAGAACTAATCACCCCCCAAAGGCCCCACCTCTTCATACCATCACATTGAGGAATTAAGTTTCAGCATATGAACTTGGGAGGGACATGAACATTTCATCTATATCATCTTATGTAACTATAGTTCAATACCAAAAGCAGGAAACTGACATTGGTAAAATGTGTGCATGTAGTTCTGAGATAGTTTATCATATGTATAATTTATGTAACAACCACTGCTATCAAGATACAGACAAGTTTGAATGAAGGGTACAAACCTCACCTCTATTAAAGTCCTTTAATGAAAGTCCTCATAAACCTCTATTTATAATATAGTTACCTTATATATTTACTCTATATATGTTGAGAATCACACCACACTTATATCTTTTGCTTTAACCATCAATTATAATCTAAAAGTCAAGAAGAGAATAATGTACGTTATTTACCCATATTTCTGTTCTTCCTGTTATTTCTTTTTGATGTTCCAAGATTCTTTCTTTAATCACTTCCTTTCTGTTTCAGGGACTTCCTTTAGGAATGGTCTACTGGTGACAAATTCTCTTAGTGTTTCTTCATCTGAGAGGGTCTTTATTTCCCCTTCATTCCTGAAAAATAATTTTGCTGAATATAGAATTTAGCATTGACAGTTCTTTTGTTCCATCACTTGAAAAATGTATCATTTCTTTCTGTCCTTTCTGTTAAATTAGTTTCTGGTGAGAAATTCATTGTATTTAAATTGTTTTAATCCTATAGATAAGGTGGCTTTTCCCTCCTGCTGATTTCAAGATCTTTTTCCTTTATTTTTCTGATGTTTGAGTATAATGTGTCTTCGTATGGATGTTTGGGTTTAACCTGTTTGAGATTTACTTGGCTTTTCATTTATTGTTTATTACTTTTGCCAAATTTTGGTCTACTTTTTTTTTTTTTAATCACCACCCTCTTTCTCCTCTCCTGGTATTCCAATGACATGAATGTTAGCTCTTTTGTTATAATCCCACAGGTCCCTCAGAATTTGTTCAGTTTTTTTGTTAGTTTATGTTGGCTCTGTTATTCAGACTTGGTCATTTCTGTTGCTCTATATTCAGTATAACTGATTTTTTTCCTCTGTCTGCACCATTACGCTATTTAGCCGATCCATTGAGTTTTTAATTTTGATTATTGGATTTTTCAGTTCTAACATGTCCATTTGGCTCTTCTTTATGTCTTCTATTTTTTTATTTTGCTGAAACGTTCTACTTTTATTTTTTTCAGTGTAATTGCAATTGCTTATAGAATCATTTTTTGTGACAGTTGCTATAAAATGTTTGTTGGATAATTTTTACATCTGTGTTATCTTGGTGTTTATATCTTAGTCCGTTCAGGCTGATATAACAAACTACCATAAACTGAGTAGATTATAAACAACAGATGTTTATTTCTCATGGTTCTAGAGACTGGGAAGTCCAAAATCAAAGTGCCAGAAGATTTGCTGTCTTTTCTCATTCGAGTTTACATTTTCCTGGTTCTTGATATGATAACTGATTTCTGATTGTATGCTGAGTATTTTGATATTATTTTATAAAACTCTAGATGTTATTTAAGCCTTATGTTTTCACAAGCCTCCTTTGACACTACACTGGCAGGTGAAGGGGGATCCAGCCCATTACTCCAGGTAAAAGTGGACATCTAAATTCTCCAGATCACCTTCATTGATACCACTGTGTCATTCTTTGGGCCCCAAGGTTTTCTCTACCTTTTGACATCTCCTTGTGTTTTCCTTCTATATAATATGGTGCAGGGTTTTTAGCTGTAGTTAGCAGGAAGAATAAGAAATGTGTCTATGCCATCTTGGTCCTGAACCAGAAGTCCTAGGGTCATTTTATTTTATTTCATTTTTTTGTGTAGTTGGTGAAACATAGCCTCTGAGTGAAACTATAGCAATAATGATGCTTTAGGTTGAATAATTCAGATGCTTGTAGACCTTACCAGTTTATTAACTTCTTAATGAATTGTGCACTTCTGGAGAAGAGCAGCACCTGTTGGTCAATGACTGTTTCTACCACATAAGGCGGTGGCAAGCTATTTGTTTTTATAAAAAATGTGTAAGGAAGATTAATATTATTTTCTTAAAACATCAACTGATTTTTTTTTAGAAACCATTTAAAGAGTCTGCTTAAACACACCTGGAGACTCGGGAATGATAGCCTCATTCTAAGCTTTTGGGTCTTGACAGGGAAGAATTATGCTCTAAAGTGACACATGTCATTGATTATTAAATAAAGACACCATGGAAGGGAATGGAAAGCATAGCCTTCAGTGTATTTTGTTCTTCTTCTTGACTAGAATAAATCTGCTGAATTATGAGCTTTAACTATCATGTCACAGAGAAAGCAGCCAAGGTTGAGTACACCTGCTAATTATAGGCCCAGCTCAGCAGGAACACTCAGTTGCTACCAGCAATCCAGCCAAATCACAACCTTTTCTTAGAATGAAAATACCCTCACTGTAGCCTGAAAGTTAGCAAATGGATTTAAGAGGTTTTAGTTTTAAGTTTCTATGATTCCTACCTCCAATGACACTGTGTAGGATGATATACATCAGAAATTGGACATTTTTTATAAGCCACATAATAACATTTTAGTCTTTGCAAGCTGCAGTCTATTGCAACTACTCAATTCCACCATTGTAGCATGAGAGAAACCAAACACAGAAACAAATGAGTGTGGCTCAATTTCAATAATACTTTATTTACAAAACAGGGAAGTGGGCTAGATTTGGCCAGTGAACCATAATTTTCTGACTCCTGGTATACACCATGGGGCAGGATACTTTACTGAAATATTAATTTATATTTTTTTCCCTGTAGATTCTCATTTCTTCATTCCCCTATAGACAGTTTTTCTCATGTTTTCTTGCCTTAGGAATTTTGATACATAAGAAATCAGAAGTAGCCTGAAATCAAATTTTCTTCCCCCTTCTTCTGAAATGCAAGGCAGGGGTTGCAAGCTGACATCTGGAAGCTTGAATATGGCCAATGACACATTTTGCTTGGCCCAAGTGAAGTTATAAAAGCATTTGATTTAGTAACCAGTATTTAACAATCAGGATGTTTTATATAAAAACACAGATTTCTGACTTTTCTTTAAAAGATGAGCAGATTTGGCACAACGGGAACTGCATCCCTTATGATAATAACTGGCTACAGCTGAACAACAAATACCTGTTTTAAACAGTTTTCCCAGTTCCCACTACTCCCTGTTATCTTCTGAAATAAATGCAACTGTTAGATGCCATTATAATTTTTCCTTGACTTTTTTATGATAAAGAATTATTTCTTTATCCTAGTCCCTATACCAGTCTTTATATTAATACATATAAACCTTTGAGTGCCTTCTTTACTTACCTGACATCCTTGATCTGAGACCATTGTAGGAATAGTGCTAGGTGTCCCAGATGAAGATGGAAGAAGAAAAAGACTTTAAAAGGAAAGAGAAAGAGGACATTTCTCTAAACCCTCAAGTGTTAAGATGACTGTGGAACCCCAAGACAAATAGAGCCAGCAGTATTCTGTGTGGCTCTCTGTGTGGCTCTGGGTGTTTTAAAGCATTTTGCAAATGATTTGGTACTCCCTGTATGAAACTGGGTCAGCCATTGTGACTGTGTCAAGGAGAATGTTATGGAGGTTATACTGGGTAACTTTTGTGGTAAGAAACCATGCCATGTCTTCAGGTTTCTCTTTGGCACTCCTTCTGATAGCCTTCACCAACTATGTAAGAAGTCTGGCTACTATGAGGTGGCTATGTAGAAGGACAACATAAAGCGACCACAGTGAGAAAAAGATGTCCCAGGAGCCCCAGCGGTTCTGGCTCCCAGCTTCCTGAACATTCCCAGCCCAGATCCAGATATATAAGTGAGAAACCTTCAAAATGACACCAGTCTCAATCACCATCTGATTGCAACTTCATGAAAGACCCTGGGCAAGAACTACCTAGCATAGCCAGTCAATCTTCAGAGTAAGATAAACGGCTGTTACTGCTTTAAGTTACTGTTCTGGGATTCTTTTTTTTTTTTATGCCAAAGAGATGCCTGTGCTCTGGTGTTCATGGCAGCATTATTCACAATGTGTGTGTGTGTGTGTGTGTGTGTGTGTGTGTGTGTGTGTGTGAAGTGCACTTCTCAATTTGTGTTCCAGTCCAGGGCTTTGAATGAAGGTTTTGGAAAGTTCTCGACAAGCTCTCTGAACTTGTTTCCACTTTGTGTAGTTGCATGGTAAACAAATACATACACACCACAAAGAGTTATATCTCTAAAGCTCCTCCCACCTTGTTTATGTTCCTACATACAATATCTTGAAATCACAACTATTTGGATATGGCAATGTGTGTGATATCATTTTTGAAAAGAAAGGTGGCAGGTTCAGAGCCTCTCTGAGGGAAAAGGATTTTTAAAAGTAGTTGAGAAAGGAACCTGGAGGGAGATTTAAAAGTGAGAGAGGAGGGGTTCGATGAGGCCCCAGAAAGCTTTCCTGTAAATGAAGAACAGCTAAATGAGCCATTTGTAAGCAAATAACTGGAAAACTGAAGAAAAATGAGGAGGGGACTGGTTTTTGTTCAGGCCAAGTAATATAGGTAGTGCTAAGTTTGGCAGCAGCAGAACTGAGAAAACAGCAAGACTCTTAATTTCTATTTCTAAACCTTCTTGTTGAGGAAAGAAAGAGGAGAAGCTGGGAAAAGATGTCTGAGTGCTCCTTCTACTAATCAGAAGTCTCCACAAAAATAGATTGTTAAATTCTCTTTTGGCCCCCATAATTCCTATAACTTCGGCTTATGGGCTCTGGGGAAAAGGAAGTGTTGTAGGATTTCTTCAAAATAATTCTCCTCAAATCCTTGGTCCCTTATATCAAGAAGTCAAATATATGCCTGCAGAGACCACCATATGCAAAAATGTAGCAAAAAAAATTGTGCAGCTGAAACTAAGACATACAATCTTCTGTGGAAAGCAATGCTTTCAACAGACTTGGCCTCAAAGTTTGATGTATTAAGATGATAAAGTGGCTTATGAATGACAGAAAGACAAAACCAAGGAACAAAAAGGAAATTTGAAGCAGCATATCCTCATAGTCTCTTCAAAAGGCATCATCGTTTCATCTGGTAATAACACCTGGGCCACCTGCACCTGAGTTACCCAACACGCCTCTTGAATGCTTCTAATTACAGGGGAGAGCCCAAATTCTGTTTGAGGTCAGGAGAGAGATAACAGCATTCTGACCCCCTCACCTGAGTATGGCAAGAAAAGAGCACTTTTGGTTCTCAAAAGTTCATTCTTGTCACAGTATGTAGAGAAAATTACCTCAGAATCATGCCCTGGGCCTCCCAAGGGCCATAAATGCAAGACAGGAGATGATTCCGGAAGGCAGTGAATTTTTTCTTCGTTAATTTGCATCCCTTAAGACACCCAAAATGACATGGTTGTTAGCAGCAAGATGAGTGGTTCCAGAAAGCAGCTTGGATGGAAATAAAGGGTTCCTCCTTTGGTTGAAGTTAACTATAAGTGTCTAAGAAAGGAATTGCCAGGAAAAAGTACTAATGGAAACAGACAGAAGGAAGGAAGGAAAGAAGGAAGGAAGGAAGGAAGGAAAGAGAAAGAGAAAGAGGAAGGAAAGAAGAAAGAAAAGGAGGGACGGAGGGAGGATGGAAGGAAGGGAAAGAAGGAGAAAGAAAAGGAGGAAAAAAGACACTTGAGAATTACATTAGACATCCAGATATAAAAGAACCTCAAAGGACCCATCAAACCTAACCAAGATAAACTCAGAAGTGTCTTATTCATAGCCTTCAATTAAAATAGTAGCATTTATAATTGCCATACAGTGCAATGACCCAATTTTTATAAATAATCTAAATGTTGCTTTTAAAGGCAATGGTGTCAGAAAGAAATAAATTCTTCTGAACAAATCTGTCGATTCCTTGCACTATTTCTATAGCAACTAGAAACAAGTTACAAGGCTTGGCATCAGGAGATTCTAAGTACGAAAAAGCAAATCACTTTGGATTGTTTATCAAGTTCAGTACAAATAATAAAGCAGTTAATCTCATTGGACTTCCTAATTAGACTTTTTAAAGTCCTTCATGGTTTTGTAAACATCATCAAAGGAATGAGTTTCCACCCTGGCACCCTTAAACACCTCAGAAGGCTCAAAGTTAATAGTGGGGTCCTCAAGCTATTTGCAGTATTTCAAAAAGCCTAATGCAAATGGCACACTTATCTGTGTAACTGTTATGAGTTCTGAGCCTACATGATCCAATATCTACATTGAATCACATTCAAGCAAAGCATAGTCCTAAATAGTATTTAAAAAGGGAGTTTTATTTTTCATCTTAAACACATGAACAATGCTACTCCATAATCGCATCCATGTTTCTTGGGTCCCACTTTCTCTCCTCTTTTTTCCCACCCTGCACCACCCCAGAGCCTTGCACTCAGGAAAGCCCCCTATAATGCTTCCTCCACCGGCTGCTCTGGGAACTTTTCTCTTTCACTCTCATCACTTTTCCTTCTTCATTTTGTTTTCCCCCACTTGCTTCTTACGTAGCTTTCTCTACCTTCTCTCATACTCTCTTTCCACCTCTTCCCACCTCTTCCCACTTCCTCTTGTCTTGCTTGACTACCTATTTTCCTGTTTCTGCCTCTTCCAAGGGCCAGAAGGAGCAGTCTGCTCAGCCGTGAAAACCAAACAGACAGCAGCAACATCAGTTCGTTTATTGAGTGGAAAAGTATCTATTAATCATTTGAGCATTTTACAGGATTTTGTCTTCAAGTGACATCTTATTTGCTAAATCAAGGGTAGGAACTTAAAGCCGTTCCTGGTTGACTTTCTCCTTAGCTATTCCTGCCTTAGAGGTGCTCCTGTGGTACCTTCAGACAATCTCCATGGCACCACCACATATAGTTTTTTAAAAAGTTGTATAGTGATTGTTTTCTTGAAGACTGGTTTGGCACTGTCCCATTAAATAACTTTTTATGTGTGTGTGCCATACTTTCCAACCAGACTGCATACACTTTGGAGACAGGAGATAAGGATAGGCTATCTTCCATACTATGTTAATGTGTATCGACATTGTTAAGACACATAGTATGTTAATGTTAATACTATAGAGTTAATGACACTAAAAATCATGGGCTTAGTTTTTTTTTTTTTTTTTTTTTTTTTTTTTTTTTTTGAGACGGAGTCTCGCTCTGTCGCCCAGGCTGGAGTGCAGTGGTGCGACCTCGGCTCACTGCAAGCTCCGTCTCCCAGGTTCACGCCATTCTCCTGCCTCAGCCTCTCGAGTATCTGGGACTACAGGCGCCCACCACCACGCCCGGCTAATTTTTTGTATGTTTAGTAGAGACGGGGTTTCACCGTGTTAGCCAGGATGGTCTCGATCTCCTGACCTCACGATCCGCCCGTCTCAGCCTCCCAAAGTGCGGGCTTACATTTTTTAAGCAAATTTATTGTTTCTAGCACAAGGCACTTTCTCAAGTGTATGCCAAGGGCAATCATTTTATAAAATATTCTGCAATAGAAGTGTTCTGTGCAGGTTATGAGAAAAGCCAGAACTATATATACCTCTTTGGAGATTCCTGGTGCTGGTTAGTCTCTTGCTTAACTTGTTTATCCCATCAGATCAAATATGTACTTGGTGGCTCAGTCCATTTGTGCTGCTATAAAAAAGTATCTGAGACTAGGGAATTTATAAAAAGAAGAATTTATTCCTTAGAGCTCTGGAGGCTGGGAAGTTCAAGATCAAATCATCGGCAGATTCGGTGGCTGGTGGGGATGCTCTCTGCTTTCAAGGTGGCTTCTTGTTACTACATCCTCACTTGGCAGAAAGAGCTAACTCTATGTCCTCAGATGACAGAAGGCAGAAGGGAAAAAGGCCTAATTAGTTCCCTCCAGTGCTTTTTTAAGGATATTAATTTTATTTGGGAGAGGAGAGCTCTCATGATCTAATCACCTTCTGTTAGAAGGCCTCATCTTCTACCATCACCTTGGAATTTCACTTCCAGCTAACAGATTTTGGAGGGACACATACATTCAAACTATAGCACTTGATCACAAAACCCTCTTCCCCTTTCAAAACATTCCTCAACATCCCACAGCGTGAACATGGAGCTCCCTTTGGTGAACTGTGGCCTAAGATCATATAAGCCAAGACATGTCTAAGAAAAAATATTTTTCTTGTGGCTTTTCTGTTTTCCACTTTACATTTTCTCAACAAAAGTTAATGCTCTAATCAGGTGTGAAACAGAACAATGAAAGCACAGGGGTAAAAACACACAACTCTAAAATGTTCCTTTTATACCATCTGTAGTGTGTTTAATTCTGGCAGCCTTTGTTGAGTCCATTTTTTCCTTCTGCAGGTCAGGCTTGAAGTGATACATGCTTTCTGTTTTCTCTGGACACCAATCAGAGAAAGTTCATTCAACATCTGGTACTGCTTAGAAGCTTAAAAAAAAAAAAGGAAAAAAATTCACTTCATGAAAAAGCTATTAGTAGGCAGGGAAATAAGGCCTTGGTGTTCTCACAAGGGAAGGAACACTTAAGGACAATTTTTAAAAAAATAAAAACAAATAAACTAGAAATTTGAATGCAGCTGACATCTATTTCCATTGACAGTTCATTGTCTGGTGTATAAAATGATCCACAACAAAACACTGTTCCTTTCTTACATAAAGAAGAAACTCTCAGACTCGCAGAAAAGGACAGTCCAGGGGGGAAATATAGGAACACTACATTGAATTATGTTAAATGGGTCATGGTCAGCCCCTAAAAGGACATTTCCTAAGATGGCAAATAATCAGTTATTCAAGAGTATCCCACAAAATAAAGAGAATGGTGAGGAGCAGACAGCTATGATCACAGGCAAGCATCCTACTCTGAGAGAGGCCTCGTTCCTGGGGAAACTGCTGAGATATTGCTAACCGTGCTCAAGCAGGAAGCCCTTGCATTTTACTGAGGCCATGAAAGATTAGAAATAAAATTGATAAACAACAAAAATACAGAAGAAATCATTCACTCATTCAAGAAATACTTTTTAAAGCACCTATCAGGGAGCAAAGGGAAACACTGAAAATAGCATAATATCTTCCCTCTAGGAGTTTAGATCATAGTAGGGAATAAAGATATTTGCAGGGGTAACTCCAATACCAGGTAAGATGTGATTAATTCTGTAAGAGAGACAAATTGCTTTGAAAGTTCAGGGAAGGATGAATCCTTGAAAAAAAGTGGGTTTTTTTCTATTACAATGTACTGATAATTTATGTGTAAGTCATTGTTTAGGACAAAGGTGAATAAAATGATCTCTACTCTCTATTGACTAGTATCTCTAAGGATCATTCACAATTCTAATGATCTTCTTGGTACCCAGCCACCCACCTTTTAAAACGGAGTTTAGAAAAATATGGCCTTTTGGGACATATCTGGCCCACTGCCTGTTTTTAAAAATAAAGGTTTATTGGAACATGGGCACATCCTGTTTACATATTGTCTCTGGCTTTCAAGCTACAACAGCTGGGTTAAGTGATTGCAATGGAGATAGCATAACCAGCAAAGCTGAAAATATTTAACATCTGGCCCTTTACAGACAAGGTTTTCTGGCCCCTGTACTAGAAGATAATAAAAAATATTTGATCTATTTGATTATGATAAGGAGTCTCTTTCCTATACTATTCACGTACTAAATAATCCCCATCGCAGATGGTGGGCGATTGTTCTCATTTCAATATGATGTTAGAAAGTGCATCTACAACTACACACTCTTATTAGAGCTTGTAAGCTCCTTTAGGATGTCAACATTTCCTTATTACCCAGATACATTAGAATCTAAGTTCCATGCTTGTTTTTTCTTCACCATTGTAACCCTGTTGCTGGGTGCTAAATTAACACTTCTATGATGAAAGCAGATTAGGCCTGGAGAGATCTGTAAACTCTTCCAAAGTCACAGAAGGAATGCTGGCACCAGAACCAGTACTCAGGGCCTTTCCTTCCCCAATGGATGTTACCTTGTCTTTTCTAGAAGTTTCTCCCCGGGCTGTTGCAATGGACTCTTATCTTGTCTCACAGACTATATTCTTGCCTGCAAAAGTTCATTGCGACCAGAAGGACATCTCTAGAGCTCTGCTCAAAAATCTCTAGTGCTTTGCCATTACTGAAACCTTACCAACATTTCAAGGCTTAGCTCAACTGTTCCTCCTTTATCATGACTTCTAAACTCTCTCACCTTCCCCTCCAAATGAAATGCTGTGTGCCTCCAGAATGTCTATTTGTTGTAGGGAAAAAATGTGTGCTGTAGTAGAAAAGCATGTTAGAGCATCCTCTTCCAAGTCGTCTGATTCTAGCTTTTCATTGCCTTTGAGCTATTTTACAACTCTGTAAGCTGTAGATAACTGACAGCAATGCAAAACAATTCTTGTTTATAAATAAGCAAACAATGCTATCAGGTGAAGGTTCGGTTGACTTCCCTCCCCACTGTGGAAGAAGTCAGTTTTGTCTCAATTTGCTCGTTTGTTACAATATTCCAGATCTATACATGGATTCTATATATTTACTCTTTTACTTCTCCTTTCAATTGGTTTAATATCTGCCTGACTCCCTCATTAATAATGATTTAGGCTGGGTGCAGCAGCTCATGTCTGTAATCTCAACATTAAAAATTAGCCAGGCATCATGATATGTGCCTGTGATCCCAGCTACTCTGAAGCTGAGGCAGGAGAATTGCTTGGGCCCAGGAGTTTGAGGCTAAGATGGTGCCACTGCACTTCACCCCAGATGACAGAGTGAGACCCTGTCTCAAAATAATAATAATAATGACAAATAAAATCTTTAACACATTTTCATTTTACACCTGTATGAGAATCATGATTTGACCTTTTTAAAAAATTGCCATTTACACCTTTGCTTATTGTTTGTTTTTCAGCTACTATATGCCAAGCTTAGTGCTAGAAGCTGGGCATATAATGATAATCAAAATAGTCATAGTTCCTGACTTCAAGAAATTTATGTCTAGTTGGGAGATAGATTTTAAAAAAAACTCAGATATAAGAAAATATTTAAGGTGCATAAAGGAAAATTACAGAATATTCTAAGAGAAAATCACAGAGAAATTGGTTTAGAGTTGCAGTGAGCAGTGAGGAAGTTAAGGAGGTACCCCTTAGAAAGTGGCATCAGGGCTGAGGCTTGAAGGTGAGAATTAACTAGGCAAAGAGAAGGAGGAGGAACAGTTCAGACAGAGGAAAAGTACAAGACAAAGTCCCTGGAGTGGGGTGGAGAAGGATTGCAACATAAGAGGGACAGAGTGACAGCAAATGAAGACCCTGGATACCAGATGAGGCAGGGCCTAGTAGCCCATAGTCCGTAGTTTGGATGTTATGTTCAACAGGAGGACACTAAAAAGTTTTGCAAAGATCCCTCCATTTTCACATAAAGAATGGGTCAGATTGGAAGCAGGGGTTGTTAAGAAGATACTAGGCCTAATTGTATTTCTACAATATCTTTTTTAAACACTCATTTCAGTCTGCCTTCTAATATAATGGTGATAACTAGAGTTAACCTCCTAAACTGAGGACAGAGATCATGTGTTATTTATTTCTGAAGCCATCTAGGTTTTTGCTTACATAAAAGGCATGAGGTAAATGCTCGTTGAATTGAACACCAGTCAGCATTCTGATAATAACAAGAGCTAACATTTATTGGGTGCCTACTATGATTCAGACACTGTACCAAGAACTTTGCATGAATTATGTAATTTAAAACTCATAACAATTCTATCAGGCAACTTCGATAATTATTTTCATTTTACACATGAGATAACAGAGGCTTAGGGAGGTAAAATAACTTGCCTAAGGTCACGTAATCTGCATGTTGGATAAAGGCAGTTTTGCCTAACTCTAGAAAGTGAGCTCTTAATCAGAAGCTGTATTCCTTCCCATTCAAATATTTGAATATCAAGTTTACCAAAGCAGATGCTGGTTCACTATATCTGTCTTTCTTTTTAGCCCTTCAGAAGAGTTATTAGGTTGGTGCAAAAGTAATTGCAGTTTTTGCCTTTACCTTTATTGCAAAAACCTTAATTACTTTTGCACCAACCTAGTACAATCTGACACCTCTTTTTACAGATTGCCTTCAAGCGCTAAGTAAACATTTTGGAAATCACAGCCTCCTTCAGACATTGTTGTTTATACTTTCTCTTGTCCCTTCAAAGAGGTTTGCCGTTAACATCCAGCACAGAATCTGTCTTACATTAGTGATTTGTGTCATCTCCAAAATAACTTTATGCCTAACAGCATCACCTATATTGTTTGACAGCAGAAGTCAAACCATGAGAAAAATGGACCCATTCACTGCAGCTCCAATTGAAACATAGATAAAAGAATAAATATTTGCCAAATATAAAGGAGCCAAATTCAATAGGGAAAGGACCATTCTGTTTCAAATTCTGTGGGGATCTCAAACAATGTAGGAAGGGAAGAAAAAATAAAAATGTAATGGAGTATTTGACTTCATTACATTAATGCATCTTCACTGCATTCATTTAATCAGACAATTACAAGGGAAAAGATATAATAGTACCAGATTCACTCCACATGAATAAAAAGCAATTTTGGATTATCTTGCTATATTGACTTCTCATCACAAAGAGTTCAGTTTCTTTCTCTTGCATGTAGCTGGGGAAAATTATAATTGCTTTAACTGGTTTTGATTGACCAACTGCTTTAACAGGACCATAAATATAGATGTCAGAACAGCAAACACTAAATGTTTATTTCTGTGATCCTTCTCTAGATATTGACAATCTGACCCATGAACCCGCCAGCAGGTAATCTCATAGATCATTTTCTCTACGGGAGATTCTTGCAGTTGGACAGGTTTGTCAATACCTCTCGCAGAGGGTTTTGATCAAGGACTGCTTTGTAATTGTCTGGAAGATACATTAAACACCTCACTTTCCCCAGGGTTCTAAAGACAGAACAGTCACTTCAAGTGTAAATTGCTCACACCAAGATTTTTCTATCTGGCTATTTTAAAAAGCATGTTTCAGATCCTTGCTGCTTAAAAAATTTCACAACCATATAAATATGACTCTCATACATTTTTCTGAAGCTATTCCCTTGCTCATCAAATCAGAGCATTAAAAAAAATCTCTAGTTGACAAATCTTTTTAAATTTAAAGAATACGACTGCTTGTTGCTCTAGCCAACCAACTCCCTCCTTAGAAATGCTGTTAGGTGTTCATATGTTTCTATTCATACTAACATGGATACACATTAATTGGTATCTATGGAGCATGCAAAACAAATAATGGACAAAATCATCTGGGTAATTTATACCATTGACTCTCTTTTATCAAAAATACTTAGCAAAGTGGGGGAGATTTCATGGATGGTATGTGTGCAGCCTCAAATGACAGTATGAGATAATTGAAAGGGAAAAAAAAATCAAGTAGGAAATAGAAGAAAAAAAGGAAACGTAGGAACATTGAGGGCAGACCTGCTACTTACACAGATGAGAGGCAGAGGAAGGTCAGTGGCGTTGTCCTCCCCCTCTTTACACCCCTCTCCTGTCCCCACATTGATCCCAATTTGTATGGAAAGTCAGGATTTGACTACAACATCTGTTCAATTCCTTCTCTTCCCAAGACTTTTTTTTTTCAGTATTTTTTTTTTTTCTGATGTCACTGTTGCCAAAATCTCTTTTTGTCAGGTAGGCAGAAAAACAAAATGGAGAACATCTGTTCCTGAATTATTTTTCCCTGAGCAGGAGTTACTAGTAGGGGGGAATAATAGAACACTTTTAAATTATTAACAAGTTGGTGAAATTTCAAACACATTGGTAGGGTCTATGGTTGAGGGGTGGGAGTAGAGTGGGAATTACAGCATTTGTATAAAAAAAAGACTGCAAAGCGTACCCCTAGCCTGATCGAGACACTAATCAAAGTGGACTAGCTGATGCCTAGGTCATTAGGAAGAAATAACCCAGTGCACAATTAGATCAGCATAGTAAAGAGAAGAATTTGATCAATTTTAAAATGGGCATAACCACCCAATTGCATTGAGAAAATGTTAAGCTCTGCTACCTGAGAAGGCACCTGTGAATCCACTATTCAGATGACAGCTGTTTTCTCTTTAGCTAAGATTTTATGCAGAACATCAGAAATTCACTGAGAGTCTCTGTAGCGTTAAGCTCAGAGGCATTCAGGGTATAGTGGCCTTAAAATAGGGTCAGTATTAGTATTTATTGGCCAAGAAAGTTATTACAGATGATGAGGAGGAACCTCTTTCTAACAAGGCCTACTCCATATACAGTACAGTTAAAACAGGATTCACATTTGAGAAGAACTCATCATGAAGAACAAATGAACATAAAGAAGACAAGAGATTTAACAGGGAGGGGATTTGGGAATAAGAAGACTCCTGAAAACCATTCTCCACTTACTGTACTGATATTAAAAGTTGCAAATTTAAGAGGCAAAGGAGACAAAGTCAGTTCTTCCATATATTTCATCCTCCTGCTCTAGGAACTGATAAAACAGCTCTTAAACACACAGGTGAAAGTGTGAATCTGAGACCTAATGAATACTGGAAATGTTCCCCAAAATTCACAATTTGAGAACAAGTTGTCATGAATTAATTTTGTCTCATCACCCTATTCAAATGGATTATAAAATAAACTTAAATTGCAAGATTCCCGTGGGCAATCTTATCACATCTTTGGGGTCCAGTCTGAAATGGGAGTTGTGGTATTTGTTATGGTTAGTAGAAGGAATTACATTTCATGTTAAAATATTCATACACCACCTCTCTTTATCCCATCTAGCTCTCATGTGAATACGGCGAGAGCTATGGCTAAATCTGTAATCACAGATGCACAATGACCAAAAAGTCACTCATCACATATTCCCTCTCCAAGCCCTTCCACAGAGGGGTATGTCTGCATACTGATAAGAGATTGGATTTCACAGAGACAAGTTAAGCTGGAGTCTCCTCTCTTCTAATTACTGATGATGTGACCCCAGACAAGGTTACATCATACCCTGGAGCCTCGGCTTCCTCATCTATAAATTCAGGATAATAATATATGTACCCAGAGGAGTTGTGAGGATAAAATGATATAATGTAAAGTGGTTGGCCCAGTGTCTGGCGAGTATTCAATAAAAATTAGTTGCTGCCATTACGCCACAGTTTTGATCTGCTACCTGTAGACTTTGATGATGCATTGTTTCTGTTTTCTTTAGACTAATTAACAATCTTAAACACTATTAAGCAAGTGTCCAGGTGGCATTGTGTCTCTCATATGTTAACAGTAAGAGAAAAGCAAAATTGTGTACATGCTTTAGTATTTCCAAAGCTCTTATGCTTATCGTCTCCTTTGATCTCTACAACATTTTGTGAAGCAAGGTGAATATTCTTATCCTCATTCTGCAGGTGAATACATTGATTTACAGGGCAAAGGGACTTGACCTATTGTGTTCTTTATGGTAGATTCAGGTTATGTCCTCAGATCTTTTCACTTTCGTGTAGAATAAACAAAAGAAATCTAGTTATCTCTGGCCAGCCTTGAAGTAGGCTTCTATTCAGCCAAGTATTCTGGCTGAATGTGTATATTTTTCCCAGGTTGATGTTAATCCTATCCTGGACTCAGCTGGTTTATGAAGATCCTGGACCAACCCTTTAATCTGCACTCCAGGTATATCCTAGAAAACAAGACTTCATATTCTTCAATGTAATTTTCATTATAAGGTCAGTTGGAAGAAACCATATCTGAAAAATAATTTTCCATTCCTCTATGATCTAAATATTATTATTAGATGAAATGAAATTATCAAAGAGAGAGATTCATAAAGATGTGCTTCTTGGCTGCTTGTGAAATTGGTTTTATTCAGTGGTCGTCAGTCATTTCCTTCAATTTAATTGATTCATGTAAAAATAAAAATAATTTTAAGGAACAAATGTGTGATTATTACATCAATAGGATAATATTGTCTATTAAGCTAATTCTACCAATGTTTGAGTGACTACATTTGGCCATGGTTTAGGTTCTAGGGATGCAGTAGTGAACAGGGCACAGTCCCCATTTCAGACAGGTAAACAGGAAAATGCTTCATAGGGTGGTACATGCACCACAGTGAGTGAAAGCACTTAAGAGGTTTGGGAGTTCCCAAAGTTTGGGAGTCCCCAAAACTGCCCTCCCTTCTGACACCAATTGCAAGTTTAGGGGACTCCAAGAGCACCTCAGGATCAAAAACTTGCTAGAAGTACTCACAAAACTCACAGAAAGCTGTTTTACTCATAATTATGACTTATCATAGCAAAGGGATACAGATGAAAATCAGCCAAGTGAAGCAGTGCATGGGGCAAGGTTCAGGAGAATTCTGAATGCCAGCTACCAATTGTTCCTGCCCCCCAACAGTGGAATCACAGACATTGCAAACTTCTCCCAGTAGCAATGTGTGACCATACATGTGGAGTATTAGTGTCCTCAAAAAAGTTCACCTTAGCCATGATGTGCAGAGTTTTTATTGGGGCTCAGTTACATAGATATGGTTGACCATACATGTTCCTGACCTTAGTATTCATCCTCTATGGAGGTCAAGCCTATGCACCCCATGATGATCCAAACCCCTCATTGTAAATTGCACTGTTAACTTACACTATCAAGTGTGGCCCAAGTAAACAAAGACAGTCTCATCAGGGATGACTTTTCAAGGGCTTAGAGATTACCTCAAGGTATCAGGACAAAAATCGGGATTAAGCAATACTAATTCTTCTCCAAACAATCACCACACCAATTTATAGTGCCAAAGAAGACTTCTTAGAGTGAAAAATGTGTAAATGGAGATCTGGAGGACAAGCAGGAGTTAGTCAACAAATTCTAGTCAAAAGGAACAGTGTATACAAAAGCTCTGATTATTATCTAAGGAAAAGCTTAGATTATTTGTGGTACTTCAGAATGTCTGGAGCAGAAAATATGAGAGAGCAAGTAGTCAAAGATGATCCTGGAGAAGACAGCTGGGGACAGGTCTCGTGATGCTTCAGCAGCTGTCATGTGTTGCTGCCAGCTTGATATAAGTTCAACAGAGTCAGTTGCTAAATAGGAATTTTTCAAGCTATGGTTCAACAGCTATTATTAAAAATTAAGTTGCTGGGTGTGGTGATGCCCCTGTAGTCCCAGATACTTGGGAGGCTGAGACATGAGTATTGCTTGGGCCCAGAGTTCAAGGCCAGCCTTGTGCAACATAGTGAAATCTCATCTCTCTCTCTCTCTAAAAAATATTTAATTATATAAACTTATGACTAAGTAAATCATATTTTTGAAAATCTTTAAAACTTATCACTTCCTAACTACTAACTTTACTATTATCTAGGTTCTTGAAGTTATTTATATCTATTATATCTGTATGGTGGAAATTATTTCCAGTCCACGTTTGGTAGCTTCAAGTTGTCCATGGTAGGATTACTTATACTTCAGTAACTGGCAAGTGCTACAAGTCAGGGCCCCTGTCTGTTTCCAAGAACTGATGGTTAAACATTTACCAGCACAACACCTCTCAGAAGCAATATTTCTCTATTGTTTTTGAAGACAAAAAAAGATAGCTGGCCAGGCATGGCAGCTCATGCCTGTAATCCCAGAATTTTGGGAGGCTGAGGTGGGCGGATCACTAGGTCAAGAGATCAAGACCATCCTGGCCAACATGGTGAAACCCTGTCTCTACTAAAAATACAAAAATTAGCTCAGCATGGTGGCTCATGCCTGTAGTCCCAGCTACTTGGGAGGCTGAGGCAGGAGAATTGCTTGAACCCGGGAAGTGGAGGTTGCAGTGAGCTGAGATTGTGCCACTGCACTCCAGCCTGGTGACAGAGCAAAACTCCATCTCAAAAAAAAAAAAAAAAGCTAGAGATGTTAAGTTGGGAATGATATAACCTTTGTTCATTGAGAAGATAATTTAGGTTTCTAGTGGAGGATGGATTTACTGGACACGATTGGATGCAAGGAGTCTAGCTGGAAAGTTGTGAAGCATTCTTCCCTCATGAGGACACATGGGCAAAATCTGTCTCCAATCCCAATACCAGGGACAGCTACATCTCACTAGAATATCTGGCTTTTCATCTTATGCATGCTATAAATCTCACAACTGGTCATTTTTTCTTCCTCCCACTTGGAAGTATGAAACTAAATTTGGGGTCCTCTACTAACAATTTATGCTATCATGTTTTATGCTCTTTCATTTTCTCATCCTTATTTTTCCCTTTGTTACAATGTTGTAATTTTTTAAATTTATCCAACTGTATTGTATGTACTTCTAACACAAGATAGGCAAAGTCTAAATGGATAAAGATTTAAAAGGCAGCCTGTGTCCCCCTAGGTTCACATTTATAAAAAAGAAACATCAGTAACAACCCACAACTTTTTGTTGTTGTTGAGTGATCTTCTTTCACTGATTTTAGCTTGGGCTTGAGTTTGTCTACATAAACAGGGAAAAGAGAGGATATTTTCCTTCCCTATTAAATCTGAAAGGGTTTCATTTAAAAAGTGAACCACAGGCAGGGCATGATGGCTCATACCTGTAATCTCAGAGGTTTGCAAAGCCAAGGTGGGAAGATTGCTTGAGGCCAGGAGTTTGACACCAGCCTGGGCAACACAGTGAGACCCCACCTCTACAAAAAATAAAAACATTAGCCAGGCATTGTGTGGCATGCACCTGTAGTCCCAGCTACTGGGGAGGCTGAGGTGGGAGGATCTCTTGAGACAGGTGTCTTTAGGGTCAGCTGGGAAGGAAACACATTGCCCTATTTTCTACCATGATGACATTTTACATTTGTTTTACGTTTATCCTTTCATCCAATCTACTAATCACAACAATTCGCTCGGTAGATATCTTTAATCCTGCTTTAGAGAGGACAAAGTAAGGATTTGGAGAGGCTAAAGAACTTATCCAAGTAGCAGAGACTGGATGTGTGTTCACACCATCTGCCTCCAGCCTATCCTTGTTTCCTTCATCAGTAAATCCTCTACACAGAGTTCAAGTTCAGCTTTGAACCACTAAGAGGAGGAAGGGGGAAGGGAGAGAGCTGTGATTGTCTGCAAAGCTAAGCAGAATAGGTATTTCAAAGCTGTGCATGTGAGACACCAACAAATCTTGGATGTAAAGACCCATCATACTAAATTGTATTTTGGAGAAACCTCAAGAACTTTTCTCCTGTCTTCATTATCACTTGGTTTCTGAGAAACTAAAATAATCATGGTAATAGTTATAATAATGATCGAGGCCTTTACTTGAATTGTTAATTAATTCTCACCCCAACCCCATGACTGTGTTGTAGGTACTGACATTATCCCCATTTTATAGTTGACGAAACTGAAAGAGAGCAAGTTAGGTATCTTGTACAGGATGAATAGTTAATATGTGCTGAAGCCCAGGGATACCAAATCCCCAGAGCCATCTTGCAAAATCGATTATGTGTCAAGGCATTGGGATGATCTACGGACTTAAAAGCCACAGAAGGTAGGCCAGGCGCGGTGGCTCACGCCTGTAATCCGAGCACTTTGGGAGGCCGAGGTGGACTGATTATGAGGTCAGGAGATTGAGACCATCATGGCCAACATGGTGAAACCTCATCTCTACTAAAAATACAGAAAAATTAGCTGGGCATGATGGCACACAACTGTAATCCCAGCTACTTGGGAGGCTGAGGCAGGAGAATTGCTTGAACCTGGGAGACGGAGGTTTCAGTGAGCCAAGATCACGCCACTGCACTCCAGGCTGGGTGACAGAGTGAGACTCCGTCAAAAAAAAAAAAAAAAGCACAGTAGTTAAAATGTATATTTTCTTATGATTGTATTCTAAGGAATATTCTGCATATATATAATATCTGCCATCTAGAGCACATTCACATAGAAATTATAGCATTAAATCTCGTTATTCTCAAGAAAATAATTCCAAGTATTAGAATTCAGAAAGAGGATGGTGTCTCCCTTTAATCTTAACCCCACTGGCCCCAACGAGGTACTAAGGTGTTAAACACAATGTCTAAAATGATCTGTTTGTGTTGGGAGTGAGGAACCACACAAGCAGGTGTGGAGAAGGGCAGGGGGTCAGATGAGACTGATGTATTCAGTTTGCTGCACAGACTCTTGGAAAGATCTGATCTTTTATTGTAATTCCAAAACTGTTGTAAAGAGTTTCACTTGCATCCTGTAAATTAAGCATTTCCATAAAACTTAAATTTTTTCTTTGCTCCTGACTCCCAACTATAATTAGAATAAGCACAGACAAAAAAAAAAAAAAAAGAGATAGTCACATACTTAACACATATATATTTATTGAATTTATAAACTAATTGTGGGCAACAGAAACATTTTATCTTTCTTTTTGTTGCAGTCTGGGCAGCTCACATTTAAACAACAAAGTCATAGATGGTACCTGAAAAAGTGGGGGTTCCGAAACTGCTTCAATGTGCTCCAAAAGATAAAGCCACCAGTCCCCTCTGATTCTTCCTGATCAATGACCCTTAACAGTTATTCTCCTTGTTGACATATGGCTTTTAATATATCATACCCTCTTAGATAAAGAACAGTGATGCTTTGGTTCTGCACTATAATGGATAATGTGGGGCTTTATTTGAGGTTTATTTTGAATAAAGAGATTTTTCATCCTATAATTGGGGATTAAAGACAATAGTGATATTGTCAGAAACTTCTCTGACATTATGATGTCTATTTGCCAAGGTCCTAAAACACAAAACACTTTCTCCCTTGTGGTGTACTTTGCAGATAGGTAACTTTAAAAAATAACAGCAACGAAACTCAACAACCCTTTCTGCAGGTGCCATGCAATAGAAAGAACTCAATTAACTCCATTCATAAATGCACTCTGCATTGTGAGAGAACTAGGAGAATGTTGTCTCCCAGGTTCTAAACCCCATGCCAGCTGCTTCTTCCAGGCCTCCCTAATTAATACCCTGGACTTGGTCACAATCTTCTCACTACTACAGGCCCTCATTTTTTTCTATTTCCTGTGTCCTCTCTGAATCTCACTGCTCAGTACTCTGTCTGTGATCTCCTTTAAAGGCACATTTAACCATGTCTTTCCTCTCCACAAAGCTCTTTAATTACTTGGTTGCCTGCAATTTAAAGTCTTACCTTCTTAGCCTGGCACATAAGACCTTCCAGGGAATGACCTTTGCCCATCCTGTAACTTTTCTCCAGGTGTTAGGTCTAATCATTACAGCTAGACCCACCTACTATACATATGTGAGTTAATTTTTACAAAAATCCTATGAGATTGAAAACATAATCCTCATTTATAAATGGGGATAGTGAACTTCAGAAAGATGAAATAAATTGGCCAAATAATGGCACTGGGATTCAACATTTCATGGCATCAACATTTTTTGACCAGTTTTTCCCACTATCTCATAGTTTTTGTCCTTTGAAACTACATAATGTGGCTAACAAATTCAGTTTAAGAAAACGATGCCTCCCTCTGTGCTTCCACCATATTTTGGTTCGTCTTTACACAAAAATTGAGGCATCCCATAGAGCCCTGGAACATGGACTCAGAAAGGATTTGGAGCCAGGAAAAGGCAAGGCCCCAGAACTTCAGGAAGACACACTTTTAGTTTCCCATTCCTGCTTTCCACTCCATCCCTTCTCCCCCTGCAGACTGGATTTCTCACTATGTCAGCAGACAGCCTCCTCACAACTCCTGAGGTCAAGAGAGAAGCCTGCACTTGAATAGAATTTTAATTGTGATTCCAGCTCACCAGGAAGAGGAACCTGATTGGCTCAGCTTGGATCAAGTGACCACAATGTTTAATCAAGTGCAAGCCATAATCATGGTTGCCTAGGGACCACCTTTATGAGTGATAAAAAATGACCACAAAAAACTTAAACATTAAAAAATTTTTTATTAGTCAATAAAATATAATCACTGGATTTTGTTCAGATTAGGGTCCATGTTTTTAGTCTGGTTAATTCTTAATTTTTTTTTCTTGTTGGGTGTTATTTCAAATTACCTATGTGCAGATATGCAGTCAAGGAAATGTTGTTAATGATAAATATAAAAAACAGCTTTTCTCCCAATGCCTAGAACTGCCATCGTTCAGTAAAGTGACAGCATGCTTGTCTCCCCCTCACATCCATTTTCTTAGGAAAAGAGTAACTCTTCTAACTCCTTGCAGAAAATTTTACACTTTGATGAGAATGAGAGTAATGCCTTCCTTGAAAACAAGTTTAAAGAAGGTGAAATGAGGCCGGACACAGTGGCTCACACCTGTAATCCCGGCACTTTGGGAGGCTGAAGCAGGTGGATCACTTGAGGTCAGGAGTTCGAGACCAGTCTAGACAACATGGTGAAACCCCGCCTCTACTAAAAATACAAAAATTAGCCAGGCATGGTGGCAGTTGCCTGTAATCCCAGCTACTGGGGAGGCTGAGGCAGGATAATCACTTGAATCTGGGAGGCGGAGGTTGCAGTGAGCCGAGATCATACCATTTTACTCCAGCCTGGGAGACAGAGTGATACTCTGTCTCAAAATAAAATAACGTGAAATGTTGCATGAAGTCACTTGTACCTACCGGGAATGAGAAGGACACTCCACCAGAGGCCAAGGATCCGAGCTGCAGGCTGTACTTTTCACAGCTGTGTCCAGATGTAGAACCACACAGGCAGGTTACGTGGTTGGTGAAGACACATGCTTTGATCATGCCAAAGCCTGTAGCAGTTTGTAGGCAAAGAAGTGCTGTGAAAGCTGTGTCCTCCTGGTTTTTTCCTGGAAATAGCTCAGGGACAATGGAAGCTGCAAATTAATAGCCACACCTGCTTGACAGCAGCTGTGGTCTCCTGTGGGCTATAGGTTCTTAATGACTCCGCTAGTGAGGTAAGCATAGGGAATACAGTCCAGCATGAATGCAGAATCGTAAATGATACAGACTCAGACATATTATAGTTACATCTACATGAAAGCAAGTTATTTCTTTTTTCTGGGTCTCAGTTTCTTCATCTGTAATATGGGGAGAATAAATATCTTCCTTACAAATTTAAGTAATAACTGAGCAAAAAAATACATGTATGGTGTATATTACATTTCAATGGATACAGCAGGCACATAATAAGTGGTAGCAATGAAGCTATTTGCTTTGCTCTACCTTGGTCATGAATAACATGAATAATTGGTAAAGCCTCAGAAGAAGATGCTTATCAATGCTTTTGTGATTGCTCTCATCCCTATTTTCACTGGAAATAAAATAGCCCACATCGGTGACCAAACAGTGATTCTTTTTTTTTTTTTTTTTTTTTTTTTGAGATGGAATCTCGCTCTGTCACCCAGGCTGGAGTGCAGTGGCGCGATCTCCGCTCACTGCAAGCTCTGCCTCCCGGGTTCACGTCATTCTCCTGCCTCAGCCTCCTGAGTAGCTGGGGCCACAGGCATCCACCACCACGCCTGGCTAATTTTTTGTATTTTTTTTAGTGGAGACGGGGTTTCACCGTGTTAGCTAGGATGATCTCGATCTCCTGACCTCGTGATCCGCCCGCCTCAGCTCCCCCAAAGTGCTGGGATTACAGGCGTGAGCCAGCACGCCCGGCCAACAGTCATTCTTTACTATTCTTATTTGTGAACACTCACCTTGTGCTGCCATCTGGAGGCCAGGCTGGTAGAGAAGGGACTGGGTCCAATTTCAGGTCTACCGCTAAACTCAGCAGCTGTGTAAGCTCTGAAAAATGGCTTAACTTATCTGTGCCTCAGGCTCTTCATCAAACATCTGGCTTTTATCACAGGTTTGTTACAACCAGTAGAAACCACAGCTGGAAAAGTACTTTGGGGATGTGACTACAAGATACACAGCAGTAAACACGCTGCTGAGATATTCACCCAGACTCCCCATAAACAGAGAATGCTCTGGGAGAAGTTCAGAAGGAAAAACCCCGATTTCTGCAAGAAATCTAGCTGTCTTCTATGGGCTAAATCTACAGATTTACTCTTATTGGAGTTAATTCCATTTTCCCAGGAATAGGAGTAAAAACAATTTCATCAGGATCCTTAACTATAATTCTTCAAACATAACTGGTGCTTGTCAGCTAGTCATTGCTTAGTTGCTTGAATGTGCATGTTCACAGATACTAGTATTCCCGATTTAAATTTCCTCTCCTAGGCATCAACTACAAATTTTCTCCTCATTGCTCCTCAAGAGGGTGCATTTCCTCATGGAATTCAAGGCCACTATATTAATGGAACTCCAGGGGAAGGGATGGAGGGGTCACAGTCCTCCCCCTGCCTGTGGTCCTTTCGTCTCATTTTTTTTTTTAGAGCACATGAAGTTGGGCTGACACTGCTTTTGCTTCAGAATACACCCTTTAGCATTGTCATCATCACCATCCTTATAAAGTATCAATAAGTAGGAAATACTCTTCAAATCTTTGGTGAAAGTGGTCATATTTATTTTTCAACAAAAATGTTTGAGTTCTATATATCAGAATAGCATGACGTTTTCTATCTCTTGATTTGATTCTCCATTCTTTGAATTTTCCAAAAACCAAAAATTAGGTTCTAGGAGCACAAAAGAATATGAAAGTCATTCAGGCATACACACACAGTCACTATCACGAGAACAGCATGGGGGTAACTGCTTCCATGATTCAATTACCACCCACTGGGTCCCTCCCAAGATATGTGGGGATTATGGGAGCTACAATTCAAGAGGAGATTTTGGTGGGGACACAGCCAAACTGTATCTTTCTGCTCCTGGCCCCTCCCAAATCTCATATCCTCTCATTTCCAAACACAATCATGCCTTTCCAACAGTCCCTCAAAGTCTTAGCTCATTCCAGCATTAACCCAAAAAACCAAGTCCAAAATCTCATCTGAGACAAGGTAAGTCCCCTCTGCCTATGAGCCTATAAAATCAACAGCTAGTTAGTTACTTCCTAGATACAACAGGGGTACAGACATTGGGAAAACACACCTGTTTCAAATGGCAGAAACTGACCGAAACAAAGGGGCTACAGGCCCCATGCAAGTCTGAAATCCAATAGGGCAGTCATTAAACCTTAAAGTTCCAAAATGATCTTCTTGGACTCCATGTCTCACATCCAGGTCACGCTAATGCAACAGGTGGGCTCCCATGGCTTTGGGCATCTCCACCCCTGTGTGGCTTTGCAGGGTACAGCTCCCCTCCTAGCTGCTTTCATGGGCTGGCGTTGAGTGTCTATGGCTTTTCCAGGTGCATGCATAGTGCAAGCTGTTGGTGGATCTACCATTCTGGGGTATGGAGGACTATAGCCCTCTTTTCTTTGCTCCACTGGTCAGTGCAACAGTGGGGACTCTGTGCGGGGACTTCAACCCCACATTTCCCTTCTGCTCTGCCCTAGCAGAGGTTCTCCCACAAGGGCTCCATCCCTGCAGTAAACTTCTGTCTGAACATCCAGGCATTTTCATACATCCAGCCAAAGTTTCCTGAACCTCAGTTCTTGTCTTCTGCATACTCACAGAACCAACACCATGTGGAAGCTGCCAAGGCTTGGAGCTTGCACCCTCGGAAGCAATGGCCAGAACTGTACCTTGGCCCCTTTTAGCCATGGCTGGAGTGGCTGGGGTGCAGGGCACCAACTCCAGAGGCTGCACACAGCAGGGGGCCCCTAGAACTGGCCCAGGAAACTATTTTTCCCTCCTAGTCTTCCAGGCCTGTGATGGGAGGGGCTACTGTGAAGGTCTCTGACATGCCCTGGAGACATTTTCCCCATTGTCTTGGTGATTAACATTTGGCTCCTCATTACTGACGCAAATTTCTGCAGCCAACTTGAATTTCTTCCCAGAAAATGGGCTTTTCTTTCCTACTGCATCATCAGGCTGCAAATTTTCTAAACTTTTATTTTCTGTCACCACTTGAATGCTTTGCTTCTTAGAAATTTCTTCTGCCAGATACCCTAAATCATCTCTCAAGTTCAAAGTTCCATAGATTTCTAGGGTAGGGGCAAACAGCTGACAGTCTCTTGCTAAAGCATAGCAAGAGTGACCTTTACTCTAGTTCCCAACAAGTTCCTCATCTTCATCTGAGATCACCTCAGGCTGGACTTCATTGTTCATATTACTATCAGCATTTTGGTTAAAGCAATTCAACAAGTGTCTAGGGAAGTTCCAAACTTTCCCACATCTCCCTGTCTTCTGAATCTTCCAAGTTTCTAGGAAGTTCCAAACTTTCCCCATTTTCCTGTCTTCTTCTGAGCCCTTCAAACTGTTTCAACCTCTGCCTATTACCCAGTTCCAAAGTTGCTTCCATGTTTTTGGTATCCTTATAGTAGCGCCCCATTCCTGGTACCAATTTGCTGTATTAGTCCATTTTCATGCTGCTATGAAGAAATACCTGAGACTGGGTAATATATAAAGAAAAGAGGTTTAATTGACTCACAGTTGCACGTAGTTGGGAAGGCCTCAGGAAACTTACAATAATGGCAGATGGGGAAGCAAACATGTCCTCATTCACATGGTGGCAGGAAGACGAAGTGCCAAGCAAAAAGGGAAAAGCCCCTTGTTAAACCATCAGATCTTGTGAGAACTCACTCACTATCACAAGAACTGTATGGGGGTAGCCACCCCCATGATTCAATTACCACCTACCAGTTCCCTCCCGTGACATGTGGGGATTATGGGAGCTACATTTCAAGATGAGATTTTGGTGGAGACACAGCCAAACCATATAAGGTCTCCTAGGGAAGACAGAGGCCTTAAAAAAACATGGGTAAAGAAATCGAAATATCCATGAAGTTCGTATGTGGTTCTCTGAGGAGGTGAGCTATGAGATAATAAATAAATAATAATAAATATATGTTTACATAAGGTGTCATGTTTCTCCAGGATTCATGTCTTTCAGAACCTGAAGCATGGTAACAGGTGATGTGCTGAGAAGAAAAGGAACTTCACTATCTAGAAGTCTCACCCAATAGCATCTTCTACCACTGAATTTAGAGCTCTCCTGGGCCAGCAAGTAACCACTTCCACTGAAAATCCTCAGACCTGGCCTGTTAAAGACAATAAAAGTGAACAAAACCCTAAACTGTACCAAGATCCACGATGAAAACATGACGCACAATCAGTTTGGAGCCAATGGCCTCTTGAAGTATGAGAGATCAACCTCAGTGTGTCTAGACTGTGTAATGCCATCTTATCCCCATGTATCAGGAATTAGCAGAAGACTCTAGTGAATAATCTCCTTGTTGTAGGCAAAGATACTTGTCCCCTGAGATGACCCATGATGAACAGGGATATGATATCCATGGACATCTTGGCCTACTTGATTATTTTTTAAATGTTGTATCATTGTGTATTGACTATTTATCATGGCTAAGGTTAGAGAACAGAGAAGAGAAGGCAAGGGCATGGCAGGAACTGAGAAATTATGCTTTAACAAGGGAAAGTCAAATGGTCTCCTTTTTTAGGAAAGCATCCTAGTATGCTCCCCTGCCATCCTACTCCTTCTGACTCTGACTACCCCGTAATGTTTATTGTCACCACTAACAATGTATGTCTCTAGGGTCTGGCAGACCTCAAGAAAACAGTGAAAATTCCAATATCAATTACTCACAAATAAATGGGTTTTGATGGAATCACGAAGTTGGGCTTATTACTGGCTCCTTTTATGTGCAATGATTAAAAAGCCAACAGGTATATCAAGACACTAAAAAAGCAATGGCAATCCTTGACTTGCTACATGCAGGAAAAAGATGAGAAAAAAATAAACTTAAATTATTAGCTCGTTGCACAGAGACTTCTGGCTGAGAAGTTCAAATTCAAGCTAATCCACCTGTTTCCAGTGTGCTGGAGAAAGAGAGATATTCCTTGTCTCCGATTTATTATGTGTTCTTGTTTTATATGGGCTTTGTAGGTGGTCTCTGAACTTTCATTGCCAGGTAAGATGAGACCTATTGGCAGTAGAGCCCCATACATTTGGTTTGGAGCAATGGAAGTAGTGTTGAACTAGGAGACAGGAGACCTGGGTCCTTATCCTGCCCCTGTTTTTTATTAGCTGTGTGACCTGGCATAAATTGCTTAATATCTCAGGTCTCTATTTCATTTTATAAATGAGGAAACTGCTTCCTGACTTCCTGGCCTTACAAGGTGGTTTTGAGGTAATTAGGTAACATGAATTAGGAAATTAGGTAATGTGAATTAAAGCACTTTTGTTTAAGCACTTTGAACAAAAAGGATGCAAGCAGTTAACACATTCAAGGACTCATTACTGCAGATAAAAATTGGCTCTGGGCTTTTCTTGTAACTCCATTCAGGGCATGCTGCCAAATCTAACAAAAGCAATCAATTCCCAAGCACCATTTTAAAGACTCACATTCACATACACTCTGCCTTTTGACCTCACCTCTATACTAAAACTGGTTTCCTGAAGGTCACCAATGATTTTTCTAATCATTTAACATTGACTTTTCCTCAGTTTCTATCCTCAACCTCTCCATAGCTATGATGCCACTTGTCATCTACTCCTTGAAATTTCCTTCCACAGGTGAACCTGAACTCTTCAAGCTCCTCTCTGGTGTCTTTAACTGATTCTTCTCCATTGATTTCTTTTTCTATTCCTCAAATATAGGCATTCTCCCAGGTTTTGTTCTTGTTCCCCTTCTCTAAGTCCTTGGCAATTTCTTTTATTTCAAGTCTTTAAGTTGTGCCACGGTGCCCCTCAGAACCACCATGTCCATTTGATGTCAGCATCATCATCCCTTCCATGATCTACACACATGATCATGGCTCATTATATTCTTAGTCACAGAGGTGAGAAACTTCATTTAGTTTGGTCTTATGCCTCTGTCCCACTGTGATTAATGCTGCCAATATTCCTCCAAAATATTCTGACTGCCCCCTCCCATCTAGGCCCTAATAATCTCTCACCAAGAGTCCTTTAAAACCTCCAACCTATGGGAGTAATCATCCTTAAAGCAGAGCTCCAGTCATTTCTGATGACTCTGTTTTTCACACATATTCTCCTCTGACTTCCCCATCCCATACAGGGCATCATAGCCTGGTAACTGTATGTTCCCCTCACCTGAGCTTCAACCTACCTGTTGGGGGATGCATTCATGACTTCCCCACATATGTTCAGGATTCCAACCAAACTTAATTTTGTAACCCCAAACACCCAATATTTATCACACAAGTAATAAATGAATGAATGTATGTGTATTCAGTTTCCTTCATTTCTTGTGTCTGGGCATATTTTTTTCTACTTACTCCATCAGTGACAACATTTCTGGTCATTTCTATCTCTCAAAACCCTATTGATTACAAGACTCAGTACAAATGCCCCTCCTTCTTAAAGCTTTCCCTGATCCTATCCACCAACGTAATCACTCTCCCTCTAGGATTAGGGTGTTATTCCATGGTCATATGGTACTGGCTACAGTCCATTTTATTCCTAGGTGACTTTCCTAGTCCTCCTCTTAGGTCAAGTACGCTCTGAAAGGTGAAACCATGCCTTTTTCATTCTTGTCACCCACAATGTCGTGCATACTGCCTTATATGTAGTCGAATTAAATTGAATGATATTGCTTAGGGAAGCTCTCAATTTTGGTTGATTTAAAACTAGCTCTTAAGCTATTAAAACATGAGCAGAATTATTGCTTTCCCAGGTCAGACCCATTATCTCTAATAATATTCAATTGCCTTCCTTGGGTCTGTGTTACTTAACTGAAGCTTACTGAGCACAAATGTTCACCAAAAATCATCATAACTCTCACAGAAATTCTTTAAGTATAAAGTTATCTTCACTTTATAAATGTGGAAACTGAAGCTCAGAGAGGTTAAGTAAAATTCAAAGATCACACAGCTAGAAAATGGCAGAGTTGAGATTTGAGCTGCAAATGATGTGAACTTAGCCTTGACTATATAATAAATATTAAGGCCAGATATTTATCTGGCTGCATCCAAGTTTTTCTCCCTAAGCCAAATTAACTTGTTTATCCATGGATCTTAATTTAGCCTCTTGCAAATCAATGTCTATTTTTAACTTGTGCTACCTCTTGTTTTCATGAGTTGAGTCTTGTCCTAATCTCCTTTGGCTTAGATGCAGCCTTTTGGAAAGTGTTGCTATGTCTTAATGTACTCAGCTGTTCGTTGAAGTGGATAAAGCCATAGATGTTTACAGTGGCAGCTGTCTGCAAATTCCTGCCATGTTTAAAAAAATAACTTAGAAAACTAGGCTCCTGGGGCCAGAGAAGCATGTGTAATTTATTGTATGATGGAAAATACTTTAGGAAGCTCAAGAGGCAAAAGAAATCTTTTCACCTACTTCCTGCAGGAGCTCCAAATGGCCAGGCTTATATTTTTCCAGTTGCAAAGGCAGACTTTTCCCTCTGAAAGTCACAAAGGCCTTTGTGGTAACTATGAATTGATGGAAAACACACTGAAATAACTCTCATGCTTGTACTGCTTGCTTTCTATAAATCTGATGAGCAATGACCCCTAGCAATGACATGTTATTTCAAAATAAAGCCATCAAGTCCATCAAACAAACATTTATTGAGCTGCTACTCTGTGCCTATCTCAGGTTATGGTTGGGGCATGCTCTGGGCTTCCTAGAATCAGGAAGTCAAATACGTAGCAAATGTTCAATAATCATGTTAAATTGAAGTCAGCATGGCCTTGGAACTCAAGTGTTTGCTCTGAAATAGCCTTTATTTTTTCACATAAAAATGGGAGAGGTAAACCAGGTAATCCAAAGGTCCCTTTCAATTTTTAAACAACAAAACAAAAGAATGTTTTCAAAAAGTATTCTGTACTCTGATGGCCTAATCAATGAGGCCATACAGAATGCATAATCCTATGAATTGTATATAGATACATCATACAGGATGGTGAATTAGCCATGCAGATGATTCCAGTGTAGTAATTAGAGCCAATACAGGCTGTAGTCAACAATATATAATTTAAATAACCAGTGAGAATAAACAATGGTAAAATGCATCATTTAGTACATTTAGCAAGAGAAAATATAAAATACCCAGGAATAAACGTGCATGAAGGATGAAGAATCTATGTTGACAAAACTATACTGTGGGATGTAAATAAGATGAAAAATGGAAAAACCCAATATGTTCTTGAATAAGAAGTCTCAATTTAGTTAAATAAATCTGTAAGTTGAACTCCATTTGGACTCCTTTTGGGAATATAATTAAAGTTAAATTAAAGGTGACTCATAAGAATGACATGTTTGAGAATACCCAAGCATTTTTGAAAAGAAGAATAATGACAATAGGTTTCCCCCCAACAAACATCTCATTGTGTTATAAAGCTACAAAAATCAAAAGAGTTTGGTATTGTTATCAGAAAAGACAGATAGATCAATAGAAGAGAATGGAAATCCTAAAAAGCATATATTCCTGGAAAAATTTACTATGTAAGTTAAAATCAGCAGATATACCAGTCAGACTAGGCTAAGGCAGGTAACAAATTATTCCCAAACTCAATAGATTAATACAGTTGACCCTTCAACAATGCAGGGATTATAGGTGCTGACCGCCACACAGCTGAAAATCTACAAATAAACTTTGACTCCCCAAAACTTAACTACTCAAAACCTACTGTTTACTGGAAGTCTTACTAATAACAAAAACAATTGATTAGCACATTTTTGTATATAATATGTATTATATACAGTATTCTTACAATAATGTAAGCTAACAATTTTTTGAGAAAATCATAAGGAAGAGAAAATATAGTTATTATTCATTAAGTAGAAGTACATCATCCTAAAGGTCTTTATCCTTGTCACCTTCATGTTTTGTAGGCTGAGGAGAAGGAGGAAAAGGAAGAGCTGGTTTTGCCATATCGTCTAATGTCAACTATTTTCTGGTACTGCTTCTTCTATGTCTTCTTCCTCATTGCCTGATACTGGTTTGGAAGCACTTATCTCTATCAAGTTGTCTTCTGCTAATTCCTTTGATGTGGTGTCTATTAGCTCTTGAATTTTTTTTTTCCCAAGATCCATATTTTGAAACTCTGCACCTCCCAGCTTTTTTTGGCCATATCCACAATCTCTTTCATGAATTTCTTGATGACTTTGCTGTAAATCCTGTGATATCATGCACAACATCTGGATACAGTTTTCTTCAGCAGAAATTTATTGCTTCAGGTTTGATAGCATTCCTGGATTTTTTTTTTCAACAATGATGCCATTTTCAGTGGTGTAATTCTTCCAGACTTTCATAATGTTCTTTCTATCGGGGTTCTCTTCCATAGCATTAACATATAGTACCATGTGTAATGAGCCTTAAAGATCTTTATGACCCTGATCTAGAGACTGAATTAGAGATATTGTGTTTGGGGACAAGTATATCACTTTGATGCCTTCGGCATCTGGGTGGCCAGGGGAATTATTCCATATCAAAGGGACCTTAAAAGGCAGTCCCCTACAAGCAAGATATTTCCTAACTTCAAAGACAAAGCATCGATAGAACCAATTCAGGAAAGGGGTTCTCATTGTCCAGGCCTTCTTGTTGTACAACCAAGAGACTGGCAGCTGGTGTTTCTCTACTAACTTCAAGGCTTGGGATGTTAGCAGGTTTATAGATCAAGCTGCAGTCCTGATCATAAGCCTGAGTACATTTGCCCAAAGCAGTAGAGTTAGCCCACCCCTTCCTGCCTTAAATCCTGGTGCTCACTTATCTCCCCACTAATAAATGTCATTTGTGGCTTTTTTTTTTTCCCCAGAATAGGACACTTTGTCTGCATTAAAAACCAATTCATATATCCTTTTTTCTCAATGATTTTTTCAACAGGGTCTGGGAACTCATCTGCTGCCTCTTGGTTGGCAGAAGCTGCTTCTCCTGTTATCCGGATATTTTTTAAAGTAAACCTCTTTCTAAAATTATCAAACTATCCTTTGCTGGCATTAATTTCTCAAGCTTTAGATCATTCATTTTCCTTTTGCTTTAAATAATGACTTCACTTTTTCTCAAATCATATTAGAATCTATAGGCATGCCTTTCTTATTGCAATCCTGCCCCCACATAAAAGTTGCATTTTCAGTATGACAAAAAAAGGTATTTGCAAAAAGTAGAATATTTTTTCACCTGCTTGCATAACTACAGTGACAGCTTCATGGATTTCCTTTCCTTTTTTTTTTTTTTTTGTGATGATCCTTACGCTGGATTCATTTTTCCTAAAATGATGGACAACTGCAATTGCAGACCTCAGTTTATGTTACATAGCAAGCAATTCTTTTTCTTGTAATGTCATGACTTTTCTCTGCTTCTTGAGAGCAGTTCCAGTATCACTAGTGGCACTTCATATGATTACCATGGTGTTTTTCAAGGTTTAGGGTATTGCACTAAACACGAAAAATATGAAAGAAGCATGAGAGATCACTTTTTCCTTTGATGCATGATTTACTGGAGTGATGAACTGCTCACGTGGAGATGATTAGCTTCACACATTGTTTTATGCAGATACTTGCCACATGAGTTCACTACAGTAACTACAGGAGGTGGCTATGAAATTATTACCATAGTATAGCATGCACTATAGTTAATTTTACACAGTTATCATTTAATACTGCATCTTTACATTTGTTTACATTTCTCTCAATCAAGAATGGCAGCATGTACAGTCTAGTTTTATGTGACTAAGTTTTAATAAACTTTAACTTTTTATAATATATTTGTATATATTTTATGGCAGTAAATGATTAAGAAATGACCTACATATATTTTATGTGTTCTTGACATAGCTACCTTTTTATTACTTTTTTTGATATTTCAAGGCTATGTGGTTCATCTGTGCATTTTTTCAAATTGACACAAATCTCCGCAAAATTTTCCAGTATATTTTTTGGAAAAAATTTGCATATAAGTGAACCCATACAGTTCAAGCCTGTGTTGTTCAAGGGTAAACTGTACAACAAAAGTTTATATCATGCTCAATCTATATAACTCAGAGCAAATCACAGACTGAGGAAAGGAAAGGACTTTGCTCCACAGCATCATTAACGGATCTAGGCTGATCTCCACTATACTGTGGTTGAAACATTTTTAAATATATGACCCCCCTGATTGCAAGGCAAGAGGGCTAATAGAGATCTCATGCCTGTTATTAAATGTTTTTCCTGAATATAACAAACTTAAGAACTTAATGACCTGCAAGACAGCTGATAAATTGAGTAGGTAACGGATATTATGTGAGGAATGAATGTTTCTGCCACAATGGAGAATATGTGAATTACTTTTCAAAAAGTAGTGTATAGGTGAACTTTTTTTTTCCTGAATATGGCTTTATTTTTATTTTTGCTATGTCACATTTCTGAGCATTTTTAAATAAATTCTTTTTATTATTATTATTATTATACTTCAAGTTTTAGGGTACATGTGCACAATGTGCAGGTTTGTTACATATGTATACATGTGCCATGTTGGTGTGCTGCACCCATTAACTCGTCATTTAACATTAGGTATATCTCCTAATGCTATCCGTTCCCCCTCCCCCCACCCCACAACAGTCCCCAGTGTGTGACGTTTCCCTTCTTGTGTCCATGTGTTCTCATTGTTCAATTCCCACCTATGAGTGAGAACATGCGGTGTTTGGTTTTTTGTCCTTGCGATAGTTTGCTGAGAATGATAGTTTCCAGCTTCATCCGTGTCCCTACAAAGGACATGAACTCATCATTTTTTTATGGCTGCACAGTATTCCATGGTGTATACGTGCCACATTTTCTTAATCCAGTCTATCATTGTTGGACATTTGGGTTGGTTCCAAGTCTTTGCTATTGTGAATAGTGCTGCCAGGACATAGGCATGGGCAAGGACTTCATATCTAAAACACCAAAAGCAATGGCAACAAAGGCCAGAATTGACAAATGGGATCTAATTAAACTAAAGAGCTTCTGCACAGCAAAAGAAACTACTGTCAGAGTGAACAGGCAACCTACAGAATGGGAAAAAATTTTTGCAACCTACTCATCTTACAAAGGGCTAATATCCAGAATCTACAATGAACTCAAACAAATTTACAAGAGAAAAACAAACAACCCCATCAAAAAGTGGGCGAAGGATATGAACAGACACTTCTCAAAAGAAGACATTTATGCAGCCAAAAACACATGAAAAAATGCTCATCATCACTGGCCATCAGAGAAATGCAAATCAAAACCACAATGAGATACCATCTCACACCAGTTAGAATGGCGATCATTAAAAAGTCAGGAAACAACAGGTGCTGGAGAGGATGTGGAGAAATAGGAACACTTTTACACTGTTGGTGGGACTGTAAACTAGTTCAACCATTGTGGAAGCCGGTGTGGCGATTCCTCAGGGATCTAGAACTAGAAATACCATTTGACCCAGCCATCCTATTACTGGGTATATACCCAAAGGATTATAAATCATGCTGCTATAAAGACACAGGTATATAGGTAAACTTATTCAACATTTTGATTAGCTGATGAACATTTTCAGATAAACTAAAGCTAAGATAATCTGTTGTCAGAAAAAAAAAACCCAAAACCAAAGAAACCAAAAAATGCATTATAAGAAATGCTAAAGTAAGTTCTTCAAGCCGAAAGGACATGACAGCAGATGAAACATGAAATCTGGATGTACAGAAAGGAACAAAGAACATAAAAAATGTCAAGCACGTAGGTAAATTGTACATTTTCTTCTTCCCTTAATTTCTTTGAAAGACAATTGGTGGTTTAAAAATATTAACACTGCATTGTAGGGTTTGTAACACATGCAAATGTAACATATGACAATAGGCAAAGAACCATTCTTTTAATTCCTATAATTAGAAAGAATTACATTGTTGCAGGGTAGTTTTATTTTCTGTAAAATGATACACTATTAACTGTAAGTAGACTATGATAAATTATTAATACATTTGTAATCTTAGAGCAACCACAAAAAAGCTATAGCTAAAAGACAATGAAGAAATTAAAAGGGAATACTAAAATCTCTTCTATTAACCTTTTCAATTAAGAAGGCAGAAAATTAGCAATAGAGAAAGATCTACAACAGAAAGATAAGTCAAATACACAACAAATAACAAAACAGTAGACATAAACCCAACTGTATCAATAATTCCATTAAACATAAATGCCAAATAAAGAGACAGAGATAATCAAACTGGGTGAAAAATACAAGGACCAATTATATGGTAATGACTAAAAGATGCATATTAAATACAAAGATGCAGAGAGTTTGAAAGTAAAAACAGCGGAAAAATGTACCATACAATGGTAACCATAAGAAAGCTTGTGTGGCTATATTAATGTCAGGCCAAGTAGACTTAAAGATAGGGAATACAATCAGAGATAAAGAAGGACATTTTACAAGTAATAAACTGGTCAATTCATTAGGAATACTTAACAATCCTAAATGTATATGCATCTAATCATAGAGATTTTAAAAATATGTGAAGCAAAAGTAACCACCTCTAAAGAGGGAAACACACAGACACAATTATAGTTGGAGAATTCAAAATACCTTTCAGTAATTTATATAATGAGGAAAAAATCAACAAAGATATAGACAATTTGTGCATCAATGACTGCTGATGAAATATTCTTGTTAAGTGCATATGAAATGTTTACTAAAGTAGACCACATGTTGGAGTATAAAGCGAGTCACAATAAACTTTAAAAACTGAAATAATTATGGAGTATGTTTTCTGATGAGAAGAAAAATAAACTAGAAATAATAATAATAGTATGTTCTCAAACTCCCAAATATTTGGTTATTAAACAACACATTTCTAAATAACCCACTGGTCATGAAAAAAAAAATCACAAGGGAAATGATAAAAAAATTATGCATAACTTTCCATCAACAACATTAGATGAAATAATATAGATGCTCATCTATATTAGATGAACAAATATAGATGAAATCTATAAATATCTTAAACACAAAACTACCAACACTTATAAAAAATAGAAGAAATAGAGGATCTGTATATTTCTATATCTATTACAAACTAAATTTTTTTTAATATCTTTGTTTAAAAATACCTCAGGCTCAATGATTTCAATGTTAAATCCCATAAAACATTTAAGGAAGTAATATTATTTTTACACAATTTTTTTTTTGTAAAAGAGAGGAAAAAGGTATGCTTTCCTAGTTATTTTTAAAAGGCCAGCATAACTCCAATAGCAAAACCTGATGAAGATATTATAAGAAATAAAAATAAAAGAATAAGCCTCATAATTGTAGTTGTGAACTATTAACAAATGAAATACAAAAATATATAAAAAAGAAAATATAGCATTACCAAAGGACCTTTATCTCAAGAATGCAAGACTGAGCTACCATTTAAATATCAGTTAATGTAATTCACAACATTAGCAGAATTAATAGAGCATAGCTTTATAATGATACAATAGATGTAGGAAAAACAATTGTCAAATTAAACATTCATTTATTCTTTTTAAAAAAACTTCTCACTCTAGGAATAAAAAAGGAATATTCTCCATCTAATAAAGGGACCTACAAAAAAAAGGCAAAACAAAACACAATGGCCAATAAATACTTAGTGTTGAAAAATTGAACACTTCTTCCCAAGATCAGGAACTAAGCAAGGATATCTGCTCTTACCATTTCTATTCCATTTTATACTGGAGGTCCTAGCTAGTACAATAAAGTAAAAAAGAGTAAAGTCATAAAGATTGGAAAAGAAGAAGTAAAACTATCTTTATTCACAGGTAACATGATTGTTTATGTAGAAAATACTAAGGACTCTTTAAAAATACCCTGACAGAACTAATAAAATTATGTAGTAAATTTCTAAGATTCAAGGCAAGTATACAATAAAATAAATTTCTGTATATTAGCAATGGCAAGGGGTGAAAAATAAAATTGAGAGAAATAATTCATTTCTAAGAGTATTAAACATATAAAATATTTAGACATAATTACAACAAAAGATATGTAAGATGCCTCTACTGGAAACTAAATACATTGATGAGAAAAATAGCAGAAGACCTAATAAATGAAGAGACATACCATGTCTTAAATTAGAAGACTACATATTATTATTAAGATGTCCATTTTCTCCAAATTGGTCTATCAATATAAAACAATTCAAATCAAAATCCCAACACACTTTTTGGTAGAAATTGACAGGGTGGCTTAAAAATATATCTAGAAATTCACAGGACATTGAATAGCCAAGCAATTTTCAAAGAGAAAAAGAGTTGAAAACCCCACAATAGCTGATTTTAAGACTGTATAAAGGATATTGTAGACAAGTATGGGGTGGTATTGGCATTAGGAGAGATAAAATCATGAAAGGAACACAACAGAGTCCAGAAATAGATATACACATAAATGATCAATGACTTTTTACAAAAGCTCTAAGACAATTCAGGGAAGAAAGGAAAATCATTTTAACAAATGGACTGGAATAACTGGATAAGCATATGGAAAAAAATTAACCTGAGGCCCTACCTTACACCACACCAAAAAGTAATTTGAGATAGATTTGAGGCCTAATGGATAAAGCTGTTAACTCATAAAGAGAAGGAGATGTGAATGAAGGAGAGGAATTGTAACAGAGTCATGAGGATTTTAGAGAATGAAAGGACCCTGGAATCATTTTTTTCCACTTTGTAGATGACAAAACTGGCCCAGAGAGATAAACAATTTGTCCAACTTCACACTGGTCATGTATTTTGTTTTACATCAGTATTCTCATTTTATTTCTTCCTACATTTGAGGATTTTTCCAGAAAGCTAATCTTAATAGTGCCAGAGTAGCCTAACTGTATACCAAATCCAACTGTGAGAGTTTATTGACTGCATTCAAATCTAAGGCTGCCACACATCAATCAAAATAGAGAGTTAGGCAAATTAAAACTGCTGGTTTGATATATGGAAAAAAGCAGCTGAGAATGGGAGAGATGGTGCTCCATATCTGATTCATGACACATGATCTATCAATTAAAGAACCATTTAACAAATCATCTCCTACATTTCAGGGAGTTCCAGATATTCAACAAATGGTAAAACATTATTTCAATCCAGAATCTGCAGACATATTTTTAAAGTTACTTGGTGATATTAATAACTTTATGCAAAACACTTTATATATATGAATTAATTTAATCCTTATAAAAATCTGGCTGTTATGAATCTTTTTTTTTCCATTTTACAGGCCAGAAAACTGAGGTACAAAAAGGTTATTTTATCCATGCTTACAGGACTATTAGGCAGTGGGGTCAGGATTCAAAATCAGGTCTTCTTGATTTCAGAACTCAAATTATTATCCTTTCTACAGTACTGTCATATTATTACTACTAGTAGTACTACAACTACTACAAATGGACACTAGTTATTGAATTCCACTTATACTGGGTATACTAAACTATACATTATAGAGTATATATATTTGGTTATCCCTTGGTATCTGCTGGGGATTGGTTCTAGAATCTCCTGCAAATACCAAACACCATTGGATGCTTGTATTTGTCCATTTCACACTGCTGTAAAAATACTACCTGAGACTGGATAATTCATTTAAAAAGAAGGTTTAATTGACTCACAGTTCTGCATTGATGGAGAGGCCTCAGGAGATTTAAAATCATGGTGGAAGGTGAAGGGAAAGCAAGGCACATCTTACCTGGCGGCAGGAGAGAGAGAGAAGGCAAAAGGGGGAACTGTCGAACACTTTTAAAACCATCAGCTCTCCTGAGAACTCACTCACTATCACAAGAACAGCATGGAGGAGCCATCCCTATGATCCAGTCACCTCCCCACCAGGACCCTCCCCGGACATGTAGGGATTACAATTTGAGATGAGATTTGGGTGGGGACGTAGAGCCAAACCATTATCAATGCTTAAGTCCCTGATATAAAATGACGTAATATTAGCATAAAACCTACACACATCTTCTCATATTCTTTAAATCCTCTCTAGATTACTTATAATATCTAATACAATGTAAATGCTGTGTAAATAGTTGTTATGCTGTATTGTTTAGGGAATATGACAAGAAAAACAGTGCACATGTTCAGCACAGATGAATTTTTTAAAAATATTTTCTATCCACAGTTGTCTGCAGTTAGAAAGCATTAAAAAAATCCACAAATGCGGAACCCTCAACTATGGAGTGCCAACTGAATGTATATCTATATATTGATATAGCTATCATATTGATTATCTATCCATAATATATATTTTAATATATGTTATAAATATCACATATTATAGCTATAACATATTATATCAGATATATTAATATATCATATAACATTACATACAACATATGTTATAGATATTATATATTGTGATTATAATGTATAAAAACTAGATCAATAGATGCAATAGATATATGATAGATAAATGACAGCTATCTAATATATAGATCTATGTGACATAGATCTACATCAGATATAGATATATAGATATATAGATAAATATCTCATATATATATCTTAATTGCCTAACATCTCTGTTCTCTGTAGAAGAGGTTTACTGTTCCCACAAAGATGAAACTAAGATTCAGATAAGTTCATATATCTTTGTATTGTGAAGTGAAATAAGCCAGGCACAAAAAGACAAATATTTCATGATCTCACTTATACGTGAAATCAAAGTTGAGCTCATCCAAGTAAAGAGTAGTTATCAGAGGCTGGGTGGGAGGAGGGAATGGGGAATAGGAAGATGTTATTTGGAGGGTACAAAGTTTCAGTTAGGAGGAATACGTATTAGACTTCTATTGCATAGCCTGGTGAGTATAGTTAATAATAATGTATTGTATATTTCAAAATTGCTTAAAGAGATTTTAAATCTCTCACCACCAAAAACAATAAGTGCATGAGGTAATAAATATGTTAATTAGTTTAGCTTCATCATCCCACAATGTAAATATATATCAAAAGGTCACACTGTACCCCATAAATATACATAATTATTTATCAATTAAAAATAAAAAATCATAGAAGGTGAGATATTTACCCATAGTCAAGTAGCCAGTGAATGATATACCTAATACTTGAACCTAGATATATTTAGAGCCAAATTTAATGGTTCAGCCATTGCAACGACAGTCTTCCTGATATTTGAATCTACCATCTTTTATGGCACTGAATACAGTGCTTGATGAAACCTGAACAACTGAGGAAAACCAGATCAAGGCGCAATTTCCTGGATTTTAGAAGAAAACACTCCAGTACAGCCATCTGGCTTTCAAGATTGAACTTTCTCTGGGAAATGAGTACAACCATTCCCATCACCTGTACAATGCCAGGCACACAGGCATGATTGAAAACACTCATCTAATGCGAGGTGACAATACATTTATGTATATATGGTAGTCTAAGGAGTTGAGATTTCCAAATGGCTCACTCTATTTAGTTTTATCTAGAAATTTAGCATACTAAAGTAAATGAATGCAGCCTGCCTGGCTATCAAACCAATATCTTAATTCCAAAGCACCCAAATGTGTGTTATTTTTCTTTCTTTTTAATACAGGTCAGTGGTTCCAATTATGTCACTGATAAAGTCAAAGCCTTTTAAAATTAATGTTTCACATGCCCTCAGAAATTCAGTTTTTATTTTAATTTAAAACAGAAGTGTTTTTTTTAAAATCATACTTTAAATTCTTGGATACATGTGCAAGAACGTGCAGGTTTGTTACATAGGTATACACGTGCCATGGTGGTTTGCTGCACCCATCAACTCGTCATCTACATTAGGTATTTCTCCTAATGCTGTCCCTCCCCTAGTCCCCACCCCCAACAAGCCCCAGTGTGTAATGTTCCCCTCCCTGTGTCCGTGTGTTCTCATTGTTCAACTCCCACCTATGAGTGGGAACATTCGGTGTTTGCTTTTTTGTTCCAAAACAGAAATTTCTGTCTCTCTCCGTCTCCTTTTTTTCAGGGAGTTTCCTATTTGAAAGCAGTCAAGTCTATGTTATCATTATACTGAAAGTTTCTGAATGATTTTGAAAAAGATCAAAGTCCTTTGTTAATTGCTAAATATAAGATATTTAATCATTTCATTGTGATTTATTGGGTGAAAATATAACGTGACAGCCTTCTACAAAATTAATGTAATGGTAATAAGTGAATAAAGTAGCAAAATATAATAAGATTTTCAAATGTTAAATCAACATAGATTGTGGAGAAGTTTGTTAAATTCAGTAACTTACTTCTTTCTCTTTCTTGAGAATGTGAAATTTGTTCAGTTGACCCTGAGAAGAAAAATTGTGCTAATACAGACCTCTTGGTTGGCTCAAATACATCAAAACAGAAAGAGGATGCTATTTTGCTCTTCACAAAATCAAGAACTATTTTGTCAAACAACAAGAAGTTATTTGACTAGTTCTTTCCCTCCTACTGTCAGTAGTCAGGTAACAGTCAGCTGGGAATGTTTTACACGTCCTCTTCTTTCTTGTATTTTTAGTTTTGATATTTGAATCTATATAACTGAAAGCACACTCACCACAGTGTGCTAAATCCCAAGTGGATTTCCACGTTTCTTCACCAAAAACTTTATGAAAGCTAAGACTAATGTCTTTAAAATGGATTTTTGAATCACCTAGTCTTATATTTTGACAGGGCTATAGTTATATTATGACTTCAGTGGGCAATGGTTATCTCTCAGTATTTCTCCATTGTATTGATCTTGAAGCAGTGAGGACACAAGGAAAGAGTCATTCATAAATAAACTTGCTGTACATTTCCTATAGCCTTGCCTCCCTGGTTTGGAGACTCTAAGGTCTTCAGTCTTCACCTCCATGCTCCTTATGGTGATAATAAAAATATTTATCTCAGAGGGTGGCTTCAAGGATTAAATAAGATAAAGTATAGGAAACACTTAGATTAATAACTGAAACTTATTAAATACCCAGTAAATGTAAGGTATTACTACTAATAATATTTTAAATAATGTCTTTTGTATTATACCGTTATTACAATTTACTACATACTTTCACATCTATTATTCCAAGCACTTCATGTTGAAGAAAAAAGTTGTTTTCTCCTGGGATTATTTAATTGGTTCAGATTCAAATGTAGAAAAATGAGGTAAATACTATAAAGTATTAATTAATGAAAATCTAAAAATCCTAGCATTCTAATTTTATTGGCATTCTCTGCTCTCAACTTGTAGAAGAAAGAAAAAATATGAGAAAATATGCTTATATCAAGTACTTATTTTTTAAAAAGTTCGTTTTAGAGAAAGGTAGGAATGAGATATTTTTTCAATGCTGCTCTGTTTCACATCATCATTCAAAACACTAGTCAACGCAAATCATTGATTACAACCAATATTGGAAAATTAACCCATTAAATCACTTATTTACCCATCACTCTTAAATGCCTACTATGTGCCCCCACACTTGAGGGTCCTAAAATCAGAGACACATACAATTACATTTATTTTATTCAACTTATTTTAAGTTAGTTAGAAATAAGTAGTAGTGCATTTTTAGGGGTTTCAACAACAAAGGCTTATCTAAGAGTATTTTAAAGATGAATTTATTTAATGGAAAATAAAATTAAGAATTATCCCATTCTATAAAAATTCTAATTGAGGTTTTATTATAAATAGAATACAGAATAGCTTTTCCATTAAGTGCAAATAGTTTAGATTTTTCTAGAACAATTTTATGTAAATGAAGTTTTTTTTTTTAGTACTGTAGACTCATTTAATGAGGCCATAGTTACTTGGAATAACAGCAGAGCACTTAACAAACAAACATTGAGATGGGGGAACAGTAATCTCCATAAATTTGTGACAGTGAAGTTTTTACAGACTGCTTTGCATTAATTTTTAAAATAGCCATACTGATATTTATAAATTTGAATGCATCATACCTTTCAATGCAATCACCTTGAAAAACACTAACTTAATTTCAATGATATGGATATCACTCCAAATAATATTTTAAAATCTTTCAAAAAATTGGGCATTGTGCATTTTTAAAAAATCTCATTGGCAGCAAATTTTTACTCTTTGAGCCTGAAGTAATCTCCAACTAGCACTTTAAACTAGTAAATAACTAATATATATGCTGTCATCCTTGAGGAATGATTCAAAGTTCTTTACATAAATATATGGAGTAATATAAATATTCACCTCTTTTCTCCTGTATTCTAAGATAGTTTTACATTTAATATTTAATTCTCTGTGATTTATTTTGATGTATGATGCATGACAAGGCTACATCCTGTTCTCCCTAAATTGTTATTTTCTCCTGCCAGAGAGTTTATTGAATGAGTTATCCTTTTCCTTATTGGTTAAAAATATTATCTAAAATACTTTGGGAAGAAACTGCCCAGTTCGTGACGGTCACATTACTCTGAAAACTGCCGGCACCCCCAACTCCCAAGCCATAGAGGGGGATCACTGTGCCCTGATAGCCTGGACTGATCATATTTCTCCTAGGGATTTGGAACAGGGACTGAGAGTTAGGTGGTCCTTGTGCCTGGAACTGAGAACATCTAAATGGAAACTGAGGTTACTACATGCATGGAGGGTCAGATCTGCAAAGGGAAAAGAAGAAAGCAGATGTGCACAGAAAGACAGTGATAAGAAGCTCAGAGCATAGAGACAGAGTGAGAATGACTCAGAAAATTCTTGACACTTCCTGATTCCAGCCACTGTGAAGTCTCTGTTTTTGGATGCAGGAGAGTGGCCTTACGGTAAAATTTCACTTTCTTATTCATGTTAACTAGAATTAAGTTTCCTTTGTTTGAATTTAAGAAGCACGTTGACTAAGTGTACTGGGTTGAATTGTGTTCTCCCCAAATTTATGTTCACCTGGAACCTGTGAATATGATCATTTTTGAAAATAGAGTCTTTGCAGATATAATCAAGTTGAAAAGAAGTCATACTGCATTACAGTGGGCCCTAACCCAATGACTAGTGTCCTTATAAGAAGAGGGAAATTTGGGCACAGACACAGGGAGAATGCCATCCGCTATGGAGGCAGACATTGGAATGACACATTTACAAGCCAGTGATCCCCAAGGATTGCTGATAACTACCAGAAGCTAGGAAGAGGCAAAGATGTATCCTTCCCTAGAGCTTCCAGAGAAAAAATGGCCCTAATGATACCTTGATTTTTAATTTCTGACCTCCAGAACTGTGAAACAACAAATTTTTGTTGTTTTAGCCACCCAGTTTATATTAGTTTATTTGTGGAAACCAATATACTAATAAAGTATTTTTAAAACACGCTAGACTCTAGTTTTTAGTTTTGTTTAATTGGTATGTCTGTATATTCCTACAAGAACATTACATTGCTTTGTTTTTGCTTTTTAGTATATTAATATATGGATTGGCAGTTCTTTTATTATTTCTCTTCAATATTTTCTTGACTATTATTATTCTACAATGACACTGGGCTCTCTTGACAAAGTCCAGGAGACTTAAAAAATATTTTGTTTAATGAGTTTTTGTTTAGCTTTTTACTGTTAATTTATCAAACTATTTCATTTTGATCAGAAAGAATGATGCCTACAATTCCTACTTTGGGGAATTTATTAAGGTTTATTTCTGGCCTGGTATTTTGATAATATTGGCATGTTTTTGTGCATGTGAGAGGAGGGTTTATCTTCTCTTGAAAAACAAAAAGTAAAATCATTGCTGTTAAGCACATGATTTATTTAAATCCTACTTTGTACCCTTATTTCTTATTTCCTCAGTCTATCGAAAACAGTGAGGTGGGTACATATTTCCCAATATGACTAAAATTTTGTTAAATAATCTTTACATTTTGGTTTATGTATTTAGATGTCATGTTATTGAGTGCATTATATTTACAGCATTCATTTTAGAGTGTACTTTTCATCACTATAAGATATTTAGCTTTCCATTATTGAAGTGTCCTTGACTTGAATTCTACTTTATTTTCTATTAGTATCATCAGCCTCTTTTTCTTTAGAATTTGTGTAACTTTCCCCAATATTTTATATAGCTTTTTCTATTTTTTATTGTTTTTAATCACCAAATAAATGCAACCTTCAAAAATTTCAAACAACTTGCAAGTATGTAGGGAAAAATCTGAAGATTCTCACTGTATCAATCACCCACTGCAACTTCTATTCCAATGTTAATCACTTCTACCCAAATAATTAATATCAACAATCTTGTGGGTTTCTTTTCATATAACTTTTTATTTATTTGTCACTATATGTTTATTTACTACTTTATCCAGATACTTGTAAAATAAAAATAAAGTTAATAAATGATTTATATATAAAATACAGATTTGCAAGTGTGTATTATAAATAATAAACACATATATATGAGCTCTTACATACGTTTAGTCATACTGCTCCCACTTACATATGTGTGAAGGAACTAAAGGCAGGCCAAGGAAAAAGGACTCTGCCCACCAAAAACCACCCTGAAAGCTATATAAAATATAGAAATCATCTCTTAGAATACAGAGGAGACACTCTCAGACATTTAGACTAGAGGACCTAAGTTTTCAGAGTGGGGAACCCCCTAGGAGATGAGCCCACCTCTGTGGCTTTTATTCTTTGGACATTTGTTAATTCTGGGCATTAGGCAGGAGCTGAAACTGTGAACTTTTCACCTACAAGGAGAAACTACTGGAAAACAGAGAACAAGCAAAGTTTTTGCATAGACTTGCTGGGAATCTCAAGCATATCACCAGTTTGTATGTGTGGACTTGTGGTGGGCAGGGGAGGGTTTTCAAGTACATGGCTAATTTTTCTTTCAGGATACTTGCTAAATGTGGAATGAGCATTTCCAGGGTTCCATCTCAACCTTGACTCAGCACCATCCCTGATTGGGTTAAAGTGACTTGACATCACTGTATTGATCTAGCAGGAGACTGAATATTTTCTGAAGGAAGATATCGCCTGAAATTACTAAATATTTTTAATATAGAATATGCAACATTCAAAATAATCCAAACACATGCCAGAAAGCAAGGACACATGATTAAAACCAAGAAAAAACATAAACAATAGAAACAGATCCATAGATAATGCAGTTATTAGAGTCAGCTAAAAAAAAGTTTAAATTACCATAATTAATACATTCAAGAAAATAGAGGGAATGATAAAGGAAAACAGATAAAAAGATGGTAAGTTTTATCAGAGAATTAGTAATTCAAATGAAGATTTCAAATGAATATTCCAGAAATTTAAAAATGAATGGTACTAAATAATTTTTCTGAAATTGTTTTTCCATTCATTAATTTCTTACAGACATACTTTACTGGTAATAAATATAGTTCAGCACTTCTTTCCATCTAGCTTTTGTCAACAAGATCACTCCATGGAAGTATATACAAGTATCACTTGCTCCTTTTTATGGCTGCATATCATATGGATATACTATATGTGATTTATCCAGTCCCTTATTGAGGGATATTTGAGTTGTTTATGATTTTTTTGTTATTGTAAATAGTGATGCAATTAGTAGCTGTGTGATGTGAAAAGGTATACTATTTTCAACAGTATACCTTTAGGTTAGATCCCACAGTGTGAAACTCTTAAGTCAAAGGATGAATAATGTCTCATTATTTTGTGGTCACATTTTTTTTGTATACCCAGAAAAAAACTATTATCTATATTATCTGCTATTAAACTAAGTTAACACCTATTATTAAGATCAGTGAATTTCCTACTGATTCTTATTTGATACCACTCAACCAGAAATCTGGTGAGAAATAAAGAGTGGTAAGATTTTGCTGTTTTTCCAGGTACTTTCCAAATGCCATATGAAGTTCCCAGTGATTCTTTTATTCTATAAATATTTATTGAATCTTATGTGGCATAGGATAGATTCATTTTCAACTAGCTGTTTAGATGTTTGATATGGTTCTCTCAACCTGATTCTCCATGATACAGCTTAGAAAACAGAGAGAATTTTAAAATACATCTTCAGAAAATGCACATTTATAAAAGTTAAATTAAATAAAGTAAAATGGCAAGGTCTGGGCAAAATCTGATATTTTAGCAAGAAGAAGTTCCATATCTTGAAAGAAAACTATTCCTTCAGATAGCAAAATACAATCACTTTTCATGGACATATTTCAGGAAATAATATCTTTAGTTGGAGATGGTTCAGAAATTAGGACAGTTCTTTATGAACAGTTTTCAATCAACTCAGAAAAGACAGGCAGAAAGATGTAGGAGTCAAAAAGCAGGCTTTGGAACTCCAAAGACAAAGTTTGAACTCTGCATTCATCATTTTCTACTGTGCCCTTGGATAAGCCTCTAAGCCTCTCAATTTCCTTACCTGTACAACAAGAGTGAAGCTATATTCACTCCAGAGCTGTAGAGCAGTGGCTGAAGCCTGGTTCTTGAGGCTCCAGTATTTCTCACCAATGGCAACAAATGTTAAAAACCACAAATGTTCGAAACAACAAATGTTGCCATTGGTGAGAAATGCTGGAGCCTCAAGAATCATGCTTTTTCCCTCCCTGCCAAGTCAACAATCACACACCCACTAACCACTGCATTCTTAGAACTTCAGCAAGTGCATTGCCACTGTGATACTTGAATTTCATATTTTATGAATAAGACTTTTCCAATACTTAGTCCCTTGCTGTATCAGGTAATTGGTAGAGCTTTAACAGCGTTTCTTTCCTCTGCAGGTGAACCAGTGTCTATTTGTATCAATGGAGATTTTATTCATAAGCACCTCATCCTGTATCAGTAGGTCTTATAATAACTATGCATGCATGCCCAGCTATATGAAGAGGCTGTGACCTGAATGTATGACATATCTTCAAACTAATGTAGGGCATCATTGTGAGTTACCAGTCACTTGAAGGTCCAGTTACATAACATCTCTTTTAACCTCCTATGTGAATAAAACATTCTTGGCATATTAAATAAGTCATTTGTCGAGAAGGCAAAAAGGGAGCTCCTCATTGAATGGATGAAGTGACATGGTTATATTCTTCCTATTATTTTATGGTCTTGGGATTATAAGAAAAGCTTTTTTTTTTTTTTTTTTTTTTTTTTTAACTGACCAAAACGCATTGTTTTACAGGGACAGGAAGCCTTAAATGCTGGTGAAACTTTATTGTTTATTCTTCCCCAGGGGACCTTGCTCTCTCATTCAGTAATTTAGGAAGCACAATCAGTTTCTTTTTGAAGTTGGCAGAAAAATAGATTGATGCTCATTAGCCAAGATTCTCAGTCCCAAGGTTAACTGAATAGCTCTCATCCCCATGGAAAGTTTGCTTGACAATTTGAAGGACAGAGCCTACCTGGGTTCTATGGCCAAGGTTTTCTCCAAACTTTTCTGGCTTCAGCTCAGATTTCAATTCCATCTGTAGCAGAAAGTAGTCATAATTGTCTACACAGTGTTCTCTTCTCATGGGGCACACAATTAGGCTACATTACTCAGGTTTCTTGTGGTTAAGTATGGCCATGTGACTGAGTTCTAGGTCATAGAGTGTGAGTAGAAGTGATAGATACCACTTCCAAGTTTGGACCAAAAACCTCCTGTGAGAGCCTCTATTCCTTCTCTTTCTCTGTCTCATGCTGAAAATCCAGAAGGTGACTTTTCGGCCTCTAGGGGATGTTGGAGGCCCAAAATGGAAGAAACCCATGTCTTTAAATGACCACATTGAATTGTCACATGAGTTGTAAATCATCTTCTCTCGTGTGAAGCCATTGAGCTTTGGGGGATGTTCCAGCTAGTAGCCTATGATGCACAAGAACTTCCCTCTACTCAATCCAGACTTCAAATGGAAGTAATTTGCATTCTATGATTTGACTGCAGCCATCACTATTCAGTTTTATTCCCCCACTCTCTTCAGTGATTACATTCATGTTTCCCAAAATGTGCTCCATGGAACCCTAATACCTAAGAATGTTAATAGACATTACACTTGGTAACACTGGCTCAAGCAAGGATTAATTTGTTCATTTACTGTGGGACCTGTCAGGGCATTTATATTCTTTAGTGTCTAAGAGGGGACTACTATAAGTTGTATTTTTTCAAGCGTAGTTTGTAATTACACCACTTCCCATCTTCTTTTTGTTGACATCTTATGGAGTATACTACTTTAAGATATTCAATTTTACTAGAAATAAATATTCAATTTTACTAGACTAGAACCATCTGGACAATTACGTTCATATCGTAGATCTTTCTACATGAGTTTTCCTGCCTTTGCACTACTGCATCTATATTAGTGTCATTAGCATTCATATTGTTTGCCATATGTGAAGAGGCACTTATAGGCGATTGGTTCCCAAATAGTGTGGTGGTATCTTTAAAAATCAGCAAAGACCATTTAGGTATCTTCCATGTATGGTGGGAGGATGGTGAAGGGAGGCTTCTCCACCTCTCAAAGCTAAGATACTTCTCTCTATAATTAATCAAGATTTCTGAAATTCCCTTGGTACTATTTATAGGCTCTCATGTTTTTAACCTGAATATCAGATAGCATGTTTTTGTGGAGCAGCAACAATTAACTGGCTAAGATTTTAGTTGGGATAAGTTGTGATAAATGCATTGTCATATCAGCAATCAGATTTTGGGGCAACAGGACACAGCATAGTGAAGTTTTGGTTAGAGGTAAGAGAAAGAAGAGAATAAAGAATTAAATCTATAATTACCTTATGGTGAGGTCCAGGCAGCTAGAGGAGCAGCAGACTATGAAACCAGATATATCCAAACCCTGTTTCATCACTTGATTATTAGGCCTTGTGTAATTTACTTTACTTCCTTAAACTTCAGTTTTCTATCTACAAAAGAAAGATAATAATAATATCTACCTTGCAGGGTATGGAGAATTCAATGAGAAAATACATAATTAGCATCAACTATTATTATTATAGTTACAATTATTAACTTGGTCCCTTGGATGGCACATCAAAAATAAAGCAGTTTATTTACCGATGAATCATATGCTTTTGTTGAAGAAAGGAAACTCAAAGGGACATTGTTGGGAAAAGTAAGTGAGTTCTTTGTCATTGACATTCTCTCTTTCATGCTACTCAAAAATTGTGACCCAAACATCTCTATTTATAAATGTATTACTTCATTCAAAAGGAAGAATGGGATTCTTTCCATAGCCTAGAAAAGTCGGTGGATCCTGTGATTGATATACTTGTATTCAATCTTCAACTTAGAGGTATTCAATTTGATCATCTATTTTTGGAGTTCAAGGAAGATACACTTTACTTGCATTGTGCTTCCTAGGTTTTGTTAGTAGTCAATATCTAGTTCAATGAAATGTTACACCATCAATGATCTATGAAACAAGGCACTTCCAAACCAGAATTCAGAATTGTCCTTTAAACATTCCTCCCTTCACTTGTTGGCACAGCTGTTGTGTTCTATCCAGGAAGACCTGGAGAGTACATTCTCTTTGTGAGAGAGATTTGTCTTTTTAGTTCTGCTTTAAAGTTATTAAGAGAAGAATCAAGCTGACATTCAATGCTGATATATAAATACACTGAGGAAGAAAAAGTCCTCTTGAGATAAAGGCGTGGATGAAAATCTCTCCAGATAGCTTGGTGAAAAATAGAATTATTTTTATTGATGTGTCAAATAGAAAATCATTTCGAAAAAATTCTCTTTCTTATTTCCCTTCAACCATTTTTCTGTTTTGTAGTCATTTAATCATTATCAATGGATACTTACTAAGCATCTAGTACAAGCAAGGCATACTGTTTAGCTACAAGATTTTTGTTTTGCTCTTTGAAGTAGTTAAAGTATTTAAAACACAGACCTGTTTCCTGGTTGGAGCATTAAAACAGAGAGACACACATAGAGACCAAAGGAGTGATATATAACCAAAATAATAGTCAACATTTATTGAGTGACTACTATGTGCTAGGCATTTTTTTCTGTGATTTATAATTATTAGCTCATTTAAACCTCACACTTTTATCCCCATGGTATAGATAAGAAAATCAGAGTTTATGAGTTTGGTAACTTTGTTAACAATTTATTGCTAGTAAATATTGAAGACAAGGTTTGAACAACTCTATCCTCTGAGTCCTCTTAACCAACATAGCACACATATAATAAAATGTATTGAGATACCTAGAAGATATCAAATACCTTAAAGATTGTTACTGATATCAAGAAGAACAAGGATACTTTACCATAACCATGGAGGCCACTGCAGTTTTAGCTTTACAGAAATTTGACCAGAAACAGAGTGCTCCCATATATTAATACTTCCTCTTCTCCACACTTCCCCGCCCCCACAGTTTCCCCTATTATTGACATCTTGCATTAGTGCGGTGCATTTGTTATAATGTATATGATGAGTAAATATTGGTACATGATTATTTAACCAAATCTCGTAGTCATATTAGGACTCTCTCTGTGTTGAACAGGTCTATGGGTTTTATCTCATGTACTCACCATCACAGTACATACAGAATGCTTTCACTGCCCTAAAAATCACCTGTACTTCTCCTTTTTATCCCTCCTTCCCTCCCTCTCCTTAGCCCACTGAAAACCACTAATCTTTTTACTATCTCTGTAATGTTGCCTTTTTCAGAATGTCACATAGTTGGAATCATAGAGTATGTAGCTTTTTCAGACTGGCTTCTTTCCCTTAGCAATACGCATTTAATGTTTTTCCATGTATTTTGAGGGCTTAAGATCTCATTTCTTTTTATCACTGAATAATATTTTATTGTCTGAATATACCATAGTTTAACCATTCACCTACAGAAAAGTGTCTTAGTTGCTTCCATATTTTGGCAATTATGAAGCTGTAATAAACATTTGAGTGCAGATTTTTGTGTGGACATGTTTTCAACTCATTTAGGTAACCAAGAAACGTGATTGCCAGATCATATGCTAAGATTATGTTTAGCTTTGTAAGAAACTGCCAAACTATCTGCCAAAGTGGCTGTACCATTTGCATTCAGCAACAAATGAGAGAGTTCCTATTACTTCATACCCTTGTCAACATTTGGTATTGGCAGTGTTTTGGATTGTAGCTATTCTAATAGGTGTGTGGTGGTGTCTCATTGTTTTAATTTGCAATTGCCTAAAGATATATGATGCTGAGCTTATTTGCCATCTGCATATCTTTTTTGGTGAGGTGTCTTTTCAGATCTTTTGCCTATTTTTTAAGGGTTGTTTTATTTTTTATATTGCTGAGTTTTAAAAGTTGCTTATTTTGGGTAACAGTGTTTTTTTTTTCCATTTTTTCCTTTGCATTTTGCAAAAATTTTCTGCCAGTCTGTCACTTGTCTGTTCATTCTCTTAACAATGTATTTGAAGAGCAGAAGTTTTTAATTTCAATAAAGTTCAAGTAATCAATTAGTTTTCAATGGATTGTGCCTTTGTTGTTATATCTAAAAAGTCATCACCATGCCCAAGTCAGCTTGATTTACTCGATTTTGTCTTCTAGAAGTCACACAGTTTTGCATTTTACATCTAGGTCTATGTTCCATTTTCAATTACATTTTAAGAGAGGTATAAAATCTAAATTAACTTTTTTTTTGCATATGGATGTCTAGTCATTTCACACCACTGTTGAAAAGACTATCCTTTCTCTATTGAATTGCCTTTGCTCCTTTATCAAAAATCAGTTGGCTATGTTTGTGTGGGTCTATTTCTGGTCTTCTACTCTGTTTCATTGATCTATCTATCTGTTGTTCACTAATATCACACTGTCTGGATTACTGTAGCTTTGTACTAAATCTTAAAGATGGGTAACTTTGTTCTTCTTCCTTTTACAATATTGTGTTGGTTCTTCTGAATCTTTTGCCTTTTCACATAAACCATCTAATTAATTTGTGGCTAGTCACAAAATAACTTGTTCAGATCTTAACTGGAACTGTGGTGAATATGTAGATCAAATTAGGAAGGCTGAAATCTTAACAATATTGAGTCTTCCTACCCATAAACATGGAATATCTATCTATCTATCATTTACCTATCTATCTATGTCTTCTATGTATTCTTCATCAGAGTTTTGTAGTTTTTATATTTATATACACACAGCTTTTATATTTATACAGACATACACACACAGAAAGAGAGACAGAGACAGAAAGAGACAGAGAGTAAGAGAAAGATTACTTACACTGTATAGATCCTAAAAGAAATATAAAACTATATGCTATGAAAATAAGCTAATATAATCCCTTATTTTAAAAATGGAGAAACAGAAGCCCAGAAAGAAGATGAGATTGGCCCTCCAACTGGTTAGAGATGGAGGCAGAACTAACACCCAAGTTTTCTGACCTATAGAAGAGTCAAAGACTAATAGACCATTTTTGTTTTTTTAGTTTGGTTTTTTCATAAAATCATGTAGATCCTTGTACTAGTTACCTATTGCTGCCTAACAAATGACCTCAAAATGTGACAGTCTAAAACTTAATAAAAAATTTATTATCTCACAGTTGTGGGCCAAGAATCCAAACTTGGCTTACATGGCTTAGCTGAGAGCCTCTGGCTGAAGATATCATGTTAGGTTAGAACAAGATGTAGTATCATCCAAAGAATCAAATGGAGGAAGATGCACTTTCAAGCTCATCCACATGTTTGTTGGTGGGCCTCAGGTTCTGGCAACTTTGTCCTCTCCAAAGGGCTACTGGCTTCCTCCAGGATAAATGATGAGAGAGAAAGAGAGGAAGGGAGGGAGAGAGAGACAGAGAGAGAGAGAGAGAGAGAGAAAGAGAGGACGAGCCTGAGATAGAAGTGATAGTCTTTTATAACCTTGAAAATGACATCTTGTCACTCCTACCACATTCCATTCATCAGAAGTGGGTCATTAAATGAAACCCACGCTCAAGGGAGGTGATTAGACAAGAATGTGAATACCAGGAGGCAGGAACCATCAGGTGTCATGTTCAAGGCTTCTACCATAACCCTGCTTTCTGCCTTCAGTCTTTCAGTGACAAAGTAATCAAGAGATAGAAGCAATTGATGGTGGATTCACACTCAGTAGCATTCTTTCTTTACTCAGAGAAGAACTGAACTATTGATCATGGAGGAGGTGACCACTGATACTTCTGCATAATAACATACTTTGATCTTCATGAAGTCACCAGCAAGCTCTAATTTAAGATCACAGCAAAACTGTTAAGTCTATTCTTCTCTGCACATATAGGCCTGACCATATGTAGTTCTCTCACCAGAGGACTTTTTAAGCAAAAAAATCTATCCCATATCAGAAAGACTTTAAAATTTCAAAAACCTTTAAACTGAAATAGTTTTCTGATACACTTTTTTACGTGGTTTTAGAACACATACATGCAAAGAATATATGATTATAAAATTCAATAACACTAAATTGGGAGCATCATAAAAAAGCAAAGAGATATATTTATTTTTTTGTCTCTTTAAAAAAAATTACCTGGTCTTCAAAACAGCCCTGTGAGCTATGTGATACTATTATTTCATACATGAGAAAGGGAGATCTGATAATTTGCTCAATTTCATGCATCTTTACTTGACCCAGAACCTTGATTACATGGTGGCAGGATTAGATTGAGGTAATCTATATGCCTCTTAACCAAATAAGAGAAAGAACGAAAAATCTTGAAAGAGGGGAAGAAATCCTTGTGTGCCTTCATCTCATAATTGGACACTCCTTCTTTGGCCACTTTCTTTGAAAAGATTCCTTTTTAAAAAGACTGCTGGAGGCAGAGGGAAAAAATGTGATTTAACCTAGGGCTTAGAATAAGTCCTGTGAATCTCTAAAACTTTGTTGGAGATGTCATACACTGGAAAGAACTATACTTAAAAGCTTCAGGCTTTTCTCTGATTCGCCTTTTATATGATTTGTGAACATAAAGTCATTATGCAGATGTTCTCTGCACTGAAAGACCACTTTGATAAACCTTGAAGTTTTTCAAAGATAAAGCAAATTTGAAAATAGAGAGATTCAAGAAAATGTGGATCCAAAAGCTGAACAGTTCTCCATAATATTGTAGAAAGCTATTTTTATTTTAGTTGGCATTTCATCCTATTGTATTATGTTTCCCTTAGGAAAAATATATTTTCCAAGTTAACATTTAGATTGATTAATCTCCAAAAAATATTTACTGTACTTGGATAATGGGCATGAATTCTTTTTCCATAATTGGGGCAGAGGTCAAAAAGACCCAGGAGATTGAAGGTGTCATGGCAATGTTTTCATGTGATCTTGAAATGAATTGGATTGAAATTTCTAAAGCTCAACTTTTGACTGTTTTGTAGAAGTATCACATATGGTGTTTTCCAGAATGAATAAACCAGGCTTTTCAAAATATATTGATGTTGTCTATTGTGCTAATGTCAAGGAATGAAGAGAGGCAGATAATAAGGCCTAATTTCTGTGAGACCTAGTGGGAATTGCTCTGGAAAGAATGGACTTCCCTGATGCCAATCACTCCTTGAAGAAAGGTTGCCTTCCATGAAAGAGTAAAAGTGTCCAGATATATCCTCCTACTGTTAACAACTAGAAAACAGGACAAAATATATGAAACAATTGTCTTCCATCATTATACAACAGACAGTTCAGGGCTGTGATTTCTGAAAGAAGGTAAACAAATAAAGTGAGCTCCACAGTTGCCCTGGCTTTATGCCTGGAGGCATTTAAAACTATGGCACAGGGAGGGGGAATCCAAACATAGTCTAGAAGCCTTGTGGATTTGGAGATACAGCATTTGGAAACCAGAAATGGTGAGGTGGCTATAATTTGAAAGGCAGATTACTAAGAAAGGGACATATGCAGAGAAATAGCTCCAGAAATATGTGTATGTCTGTCCTTGAGTCTTTGACTAAATACCAATCTGCACATGCAAGAGTGACACAAAGTTGGACAAAGAACAACTTCTGAGAAAAGAAAATTTAGTAGGATTGGAGGGCAGGGGGTGCAAACCAAATGATTCCCAGATTTTGTTTTTTTGAGATGGAGTCTCATTCTGTCACCCAAGCTGGAGCACAGTGGTATGATTACAGCTCACTGCAGTCTCACCCTCCCCTGCCTCAGGTGATCCTCCCACCTCAGCTTCCTGAGTAGCTGGGACTATAGGCATGCATCACCATGCCTAGTTAATTTTTTGTATTTTGTATAAAGATAGGCCTTTGGCATGTTGCCCAGGCTGGTATCGAACTACTGGGCTCAAGCAGTCTGCCTATTTTTGCCTCCCAAAGTGCTGGGATTACAGGCATGAGCTACCATGCCCAGCCAATTCCCAGAATTTATACAGGATTTGGCATCATGTAAATTCCAAAGCCTCATGAAGAAACCTGAATGATTACACAGTTCATCAAAGACTCCTAAAGGAAAAGCTAGTCTATACTCTATGAAAATGGTTAAACTCAAGACTCAAAAGGATCAAATTGATGTGCAAATTGTCTAATTACCTGTGGGAACACAGTAAACATTATTTAAAGAAATATAACAAAATTCAGAATTCTACAAAATAAAATCACAACATCCAGGATCCAATAAAAAATCACTAAGTATACTAAGAAGCAGAAAATTTTAATACATAGCCAGGATAAAAATGAGTCAAGAGACATCTGGTTTTTAGTCTGAAAGGTAAAGAGCTTGAAAGTTGTCACTCCCATCCTTACAACAAGAGAAATATTGAACAAACTTAAAATCAGCAACTCTTTTTAAATCCATCAGAGAATTGATGCCACAGGACAACCCACTGGTCACCAAATTAGAAGATCACAACTTACCGCAGCAGACGCCCAGGAGCAGAAACCTTAGTGGCAATCAGTATTGGGGTAGGGAAACTTAAATTGTAATTGATAAATTGCTAGAGGCTCAGTATGGGTGAGTGTAAGAGTTAAAAATTCCAGATAGAGAGAGTAGTCTTGGGGAGGGGGACACACACTTATGTGAATTTTACTTCTAAGATCCCTACAAATTCTCACAGTGAAGATTAGAGAAAAATCTCCTTGTGTTTCAGCAGGAGGGAGGAAAAAGCAGACATTTTGGAATATGCCCAGAAAATTTTGTTTTTCTTAACAAGCTCTGCCTTCAAGAGAAAGTATTTTACCACAGTCTAGCTAACTGGGGTTTTACTAGGGCCTAATTGACCCAAGAGAAGGGAAACACCCAGTTCCTACTAGCCTTCCCGTTTCACCAAAGAGTGAAACAAAACAAAACGTTATTAAAAAGCATTTGTGAATGTCACAGCTTGGGGGTACAAGCAAACTAAAAAAATGAGACCAAATTATAGGATGATAGAATACCTTACCTTTCCCCACATGTTAAAAACACATTAATAGGTCTTTTGTGTAATAAAACTGTAATGTAACTATGTCTCAGAACTTATTTAAGAGGAAATCTCTAGAAAAGCCTCAAAACAATAGGGAGACAAAAACAGTACATCAGAGAAAATTTTTGCATTTGACATCTACAGCCATAGCAAACAATAAACACAATCTAAGCCCAAGCCATATAAACATAAAGCCTCACACTAAATGCCTACTTAGTTCAGTTTATTTTACCCAATACATCATATCTTGCTTTCAAAAAATTACAAGACATACTAAAAGACAAAAAAGACAGTTTGAAGAGACTGAGCAAGCATTGAAACAAGACTGAGATGTGGTAGAGGTATTCAAATTCAAATTATTGAACCAGTAATTTAAAATAACTATAATTAGGGCCAGGTGCAGTGGCTCATGCCTGTAATTCCAGCACTTTGGGAGGCCGAGGCAGGTGGATCACCTGAGGTCAGGAGTTCAAGATCAGCCTGGCTAACATAGTGAAACCCCGTCTCTACTAAAAATACAAAAAATTAGCTGGGCATGGTGGTGGGCACCTGTGATCCCAGCTACTCAGGAGGCTGAGGCAGGAGAATCACTTGAACCCAGAGGGTGGAGACTGCAGTGAGCTGAGATCACGCCATTGCACTTCAGGCTGGCAACAAGAGCGGAACTCCATCAAAAAAAAAAAAAAAACTACAATTAATATGCTAGGCATTCTACTGAAAAAAGCAGACAATACTCATGAATAGATGGGTAATGTAAGCAAAGAGATGGAAACTCAATATTGTTAAAATATCAGGAAGAATGAAAAAAGAAATACTAGAAATAAAAAACACTTTAACAGAATTAAAAAATACCTTCAATGGGCTCATTAGTACACTGAACACAGCTGAGAAAAAAAAAATCAGTGAGCTTGAAGAAGTCAATCAAAACCTCCAAAACTGAAATGCAGTGTATGATGACACCTTGGTAATGCTGCAGACTCCTCAGTGTGCAGTGAAGAGGTGAACTTTGAAGAGTCACATATGTGAAAAAAAAATGCATGGAGCAAAAAATGAAAAATACAGAACAGAATATCTAAGAACTGTAAAACAATTACAAAAGGTGTAACATATATAATAAGAATACCAGAAGATGAAGACAAAGAGAAAGGGAACCCAATGAGATATTTGAAATAATATTGATTGAGAATTTCTCAAAGTTAACACCTCCAAACAACAGGCACCAAAAAAAATCAACCCGGCTGGGTGCGGTGTCTCACACCTGTAATCCCAGCACTTTGGGAGGTTGAGGCGGGCGGATCACAAGGTCAGGAGATCGAGACCATCTTGGCTAACACAGTGAAATCCCGTCTCTACTAAAAATACAAAAAATTAGCCGGGCGAGGTGGCGGGTGCCTGTAGTCCCAGCTACTCGGGAAGCTAAGGCAGGAGAATGGCGTGAATCCCGGGGGGTGGAGCCTGCAGTGAGCTGAGATGGCGCCACTGCACTCCAGCCTGGGCATCAGAGCGAGACTCCATCTCAAAAAAAAAAAAAAAGAAAAAATCAACCCTTATGCATATCAGGTTCAAATCTCAAAAAATCAATGACAAAGAAAACTATGAAAGAAACCAGAGCCGATGGGAAACACCTTCCCTGTACAAAAGCAAAGATTAGAACTACATCAGACTTCTCTTCAGAAGCCATGAAACAAAAAGAGAGTAGAATGAAAATATTTAATGTGTTGAAGAGTAAAAATAGCCAACCTAGAAAATTTTTATCTGTGAAATTATGCTTCAAAATTGAGGAAAAATTGAAGACTTCCTCACATAAAATTAAGGGAATTTGTTGCCAGTAAACCTACCTTGCAATAAATGTTAAAAGAAGTCCTTCAGAAAGAAGGAAAATGCAATAGGTTAGAAATTTGAATCACATGATAAATGTGGATCATAAATAAATACATTCTATTTTTATTATTCATGATTTACACATATAGCTATTTAAACATATAGCTATTTGTTTAAAATAATAAGTAGCAACAATATATTCAGCGATTATCACTTATTGATAATTAAAATGAATGGCAGCACTGTTATGAGATACGGGAAGGGGGAATTGGAAATATCCTGTTGTAATGTAACTACAGTATCTATGAGGTGGTACAGTGTTATTTGAAAGAGGGCTTGGATTACTTGTAAGTGTACATTGCAAACTTAAAGGAAACCACTAAAATAGTAGAAGTGGTATAATTGATATTGATAATTGATATTTTGAAGCTGATCTTCCAATGGGAGAGATACACAATGAGCAAATAAATAATAAAATATGTAGTATATTGAATGATATTGCTATGGAAAAAAATAAAGCAGTGTATATGTTTTGTGTGGGGCTTTATTCAAACATATCAACCATAACAAGGTATCTCTGAGACGACTAGGAAATTTGAATATGTACTGGTAATTTATGTTACCATCAACTATGTTATATTTGATGATGACATGGTGGTTGTGTTTCCAAAACAAATGTGTTTATCATTGAAAGATGCAGACTGAACTCAGATGGACAAAGCAGCATGTGGAGACCCACATCATGAACTTTTGCTCCAAGAACTACAACAGGAACATACCAGGAAAGCTGAGATAATCCACAGACCCTTTGAAAAAGGTGGCTTGCCACTGCAGGCTCTGTGGGACAGTTGGGAACTGTGAGTCGGCTTGCTTTCTCAGCCAGGAGGCTTGTAGCCTGGGCAAGCTCTCAGCCCTGCTCACTGGCTGCCTGGAAATAAATTTGGTGCTGTTGGGGAGTCAGACTGACCTTTTGGGCTGTGGGTTACATAAGAGCTGAGTGGGGCCTGTGACTGCCGACTTTCCCCCAATTCCCTGGTGACCTGTGTGATGCAGCAGAGGCAGCCATAATGGTTATGGGAACAACTCCATTGGCCTGGGAACCACACCCCCATTCCCCACAGCAGTTGCAGCAAGTCCCACCTGAGGAGAGTCTGAACTCAGACATGCCTAACCCTGCCCCAACCTGATGGTGTTTCTCTACTTGCCCTAGTAGCCGAAGACAAAGGACATAATCCACTGGGAGCTCTATGGCCTTGCCTACGACCTGAGAAACCTGAATACTTATCCAAATGCCACCTAGGCAAACTTGTATCCTCCCTCTACAACTGCAGCTGATGAGCTTTTGAAAGTGTCACTTCCTGGATGGAAGCAAACCAACACAAAACCAGTGCACTTAACAAAAAAGCAACCAAGGACACTTCACTCCCCTGATACTCCACCAAAGCAGGTGCTGGTATTCACGGCTGAGAGACCTGAAGATGGATCACATCACAGGACTCTTTGCAGATGCTCCCCAGTACCAGCCCAGAGCCTAGTAGCTACACTGGGTAAGTACATCCAGAAGAGAAATAACAATCACTGCAGTTCGGCTCTCAGGAAGCCCATCCCTAGGGAAAAAGGGAGAGCACCACATCAAGGGAGCACCTTACGGGACAAAAGCATCTGAACAGCAGCCCTTGAGTCCCAGATATTCCCTCTGACACAGTCTGTCCAAATGAGAACAAATGAGATGAACAATTCTGGTAATATGACAAAAAAAAAAAAAGGTTCTTTAACACCCCCACAAGGTCACACTAGCTCACCAGCAATGAATCAAAACCAAGACAAAATCTCTGAATTGCCTGAAAAAGTATTCAGAAGGTTGACTATTAAGCTCATCAAGGAAGCATCCGAAAAAGGTAAACTCCAACTTAAAGAAATCAAAAAAATGACACACGATATGAATAGAGAAATTGCCAGTAAAATAGATAGATAAATAAAAAAAAATCACAACACAACAAAACAAAAACAACTTCTGGAAATGAGGGACACACTTAGAGAATTTCAAAATGCACCCAAAAGTTTCAGCAATCAAATTGAACAAGTAGAAAAAACAACATCAGGGCTCAGAAACAAGGCTTTCAAATTAACCCAATCTGATGAAGGCAAAGGAAAAAGAATTTTAAAAAATAAACAAAGCCTCCAAGAAGTTTGGGATTATGTTAAATGACCAACCCTAAGAATAATCGGTATTCTTGAGAAAGAAGAGAAATCTAAAACTTGCTAGGATCTAGACATCCAAATACAAGAAGCTCAAAGAACACCTGGGGAATTTATCACAAAAAGATCATTTTCTAGGCACATAGTCATCAGGTTATCTAAAGTAAAGATGAAGGAAATAATTTTGAAAGCTGTGAGGCAAAAGCAAGAGGTAACCTATAAAATAAAACCTATCAGATTAACAGCAGATTTCTCAGCAGAAACCATACAAATGAGAAGGTATTGAGGTCCTATCTTTAGCCTCCTTAAACAAAGCAATTATCAGCCAAGAATTTTGTATCCAGTGAAATTAAGCTTCATAAATCAAGGAAAGTTACAGTCGTTTTCAGACAAACAAAAGCTAAGAGTGTTTATCTTTACCAATCCAGCACTATAAGAACTGCTAAAAGGAGCTCTAAATCCTGAAACAAATCCTCGAAATACACCAAAATAGAACATTCTTAAAACATAAATCTCACAGGACTTATGAAACAAAAAAAACACAAGATATTCAGGTAACCAATAGCTCGATGAATGGAATAGTACCTCACATCTCAATACTAACATTGAATATAAATGGTCTAAATGCTCCACTTAAAAGATACAGAATGGCACAATAGATAAGAATTCACCAACCAAGTGTCTTTTGTCTTCAGGAGACTCACCTGACACATAAGGACTCAGATAAACTTAAGTTAAAGGGGTGGAAAAAGATATTCCATGCAAATGGACACCAAAAGCAAACAGGAGTAGATATTATTATATCAGACAAAACAAACTTTAAAGTAAAAGCAGTTAAAAAAGACAAAGAGGGACATTATGTAATGATAAAAGGATTAGTCCAACAGAAAAATATCATAATCCTAAATATATATGCACCTAACACTGGAGTACCCAAATTTATAAAACAATTACTACTAGACCTAAGAAAGGAGACAGACAGCAACACAATAATAGTGGGGGACTTCAATACTCCGCTGACAACACCAGACAGCTCATCAAGACAGAAAGTCAACAAAATCAATGGACATAAACTATATCCTAGAACAAATGAATTTAACAGATATATACTGGACATTCTACCCAACAACTACAGAATATACATTCTATTCATCAGCACAAAGTAGATCATATGAAAGGCCACAAAACAAGTCTCAACAAATTTTAAGAAAGTTGAAATTATAGCAAGTACTCTATCAGACCACAGTGGAATAAACTTGGAAATTAACTTCAAAATGAACCCTCAAAACCATGCATATACACGGAAATTAAATAACCTGCTCCTGAATGATGCTTGGATCAACAAAGAAATCAAGATGAAAATTTAAAAATTCTTTGCACTAAATGATAATAGTGACACAACCTATCAAAACCTGTGGGATACAGCAAAAGTGGTGCTAAGAGCATGAATGCCTACATCTAAAAGTCTGAAAGAGCACAAATAGAGAATTGAAGCATCAAATTCTTTTTAGACTAAAGTTAGCATTAACTACCAGCTGGTGTTAATTTCTGCTTACACTTAGAGCGCTCAGAAATTGTATAATTTGTGTGATCCTTGTTAGTTTAGCAGCATTTTGTCCTAGCTGAAACATGATAATGAGATTTTAAAAGATTTTTTTTAAAGGATCTCAGTGGTTAAAAGTCAGCTTACTTAAAATGCTAACATACAAGATGTGTGTGTATGTGTGCATGTGTGCATGTTTGTATTTTAAGGGCTTCATGTTTTTGTTTCTGTTTGTTTGTTTGTTTGTTTGTTTTTCTCTCCCAAGATCTTGGTTGTTTTTTTGAACAATTTTTTTTTCTTCTCAGTTGATGGAATTCTGTTTTCACCTGATTTCTTGACTAAAATGGTTATTGCAACAGAGGCCACTTTTAGGTTTTTAAGGAATAATGTAGTTTAGACACTCAGAAATGTCTTTGTTTTAAAGAAAATCTTTTAAATGCACTGTGAAAGTATCTCCCTCTAGCACCACCAGACCTTTTCTCTTTGTACCCTAGGATGTGTATTTTGCTATTTGATTTTCACCTGAGTTGTTTCCTTTAATATGAAAATTTAAGGCTATTTAGCTGACAACTGCTTAGGGTTGTAAAAGAGGTTATCAAGAATCTGAAAGTCTAAGAAAAAAAAGTGGGAGGTCTTTATGAATCTATAAAATGTATTTCTATTGGTATACCTAATATGTCTATGTATTTATATGTTGTGTACACAATGTTTCACTACTAAGATATAAAAGAGCTCTAATTAGCTTTTAAAAAGCACTTAAATCAGATACTAAAAAAGTAAAGACTAGTCAAATACTTTTTCAAGTTTATGCAGTTTAGGTAAAATCTTTAATAAATAAACTAGCCTTACAATTATCAGTAAAGTAATATTAGAAATGTCTTAAGAATTGCCAGCATATGTTTTGGTCAGCATATATTTTGGTTTGCACTTATTAATAAAGCAATTTCATACTTATCCCTGCCAGATACTATAAGGTGTCAAAATTTGGCACAGCGGTTACAAAACTATAAACCCAGCCTAAAACAGAATGATCTTTGCTTGTGTAATTTTTAATAAATAAGACATTGATATCAGTTTAATGAAAATAGCTGCATCTTAAATTTAGTAAGATTACCATAACTTCTAATCTTGTGGCTTTAAGCAGTCTAGTCCACAGGCAATAAGGAGGCTTGTTTTGGGAAAGGACTGTTATCATCTTTGTTTCAAAGCTAAACTATAAACTAAGTTCTTTCCAAAGTTAGTTCAGCCTTTGCCCAGGAATGAACAAGGATAACTTAAACGTTAAGAGCAAGAAGGAGTCAGTTAGGTCAAATCTTTTTTCACTGTCTCAGTTATAATTTTTCAATGGTAGTTTCATAACTTTAAATGATGACTATCACAGTTTTCATAAATAATCTAGGTAATCAATTAAAATAATTTGGCAAATGTAATGAGATAAATACTTGTAGATAAGCTAAATTCATAATTTCTAAATTCATAATTTAGAATGAAAAGTTATATCAAATTAAATAATAGATATCTCATTATTTGAGTATTTTCCAATAAATATATATTGTAGGAAAACATTCTTGTTAAAAAAAAAGTGTGTCTTTTTTTAAAAAAGGTGAAGTTTTGTCTAATTCAAAGATTATTTAAAGATTATGTATAAAACAAGACAAAAGGAACCAGAAAATAAAAAGAGATCCAGGCTGGGTGTGGTGGCTCACACCTGTAATCCCAGCACTTTGGGAGGCTGAGGCGGGAGGATCACAAGGTCAGGAGATTGAGACCATCCTGGCTAACATGGTGAAACCCCCATCTCCACTAAAAATACAAAAAATTAGCCAGGCATGGTGGCAAGCACCTGCAGTCCCAGCTATTTGGGAGGCTGAGGCAGGAGAATGTCATGAACCCAGGAGGCAGGGCTTGCAGTGAGCTGAGATTGCACCACTGCACTCCAGCCTGGGCAACAGAGTGAGACTCCATCTCAAAAAAAAAAAAAAAGAGAGATCCAAAGAAAGTTATAAAAATGAAGAGGTATTTTTTGTCATAAAAGAGCTTAAAGAGAAATAATTTTATATGAGAAAGAATCTTGTATGGTAAATTTAGTCCTAAAATAAAATGATTGTTTAAGAAGGAGGGATGATCAGGACAAAGCAAAAAGTCCAAACATGTCATGAATGGTTGGTGCAAGTCACAATGAGGATTTATATTAAAAAATCTTTAATGTGATCAAGCTGTCATATTATTATTAAGTTTTGGTTTGCTTAGAAAAAAACTGACATTAAAATTTTTTTAAATTAAGGTTATTACATCTATGTATCTCCCTTTGTGTGCTTTTAAAGTCCTTATGACATTGAGTTACAGGGCTTTGACTCCTGGGTCTAAAAATGACACCAAGTACTGCTAAATCTTAAACACTGACAGCAATTAAAGCCTCATCTTCAGGCCCCATAGAAGATGCCAATCAAAATAAACTGCATTCTTGAGACACAGGGCAAGAAATTAAAGCTATTCAACTCCTCAAGGCCCAGGGACTATTGTGGAAGAGGTGGGCTCATAAGATTGTAAGGGCCAATTTTGAGATACAATAAGTTCAATTTTTCTATAAATTAATCATTAATGTCAAGGGCATATTGATGTAAGACTGACATATGGGCACCTGTGTCAGATTAATGAGATTTTCTTGAAGCGTTAACTAGCTACTTAATACAGGTTATAAAAGGCTTATGGAAGTAATAGCTTATGGTCAAGATTAAAATTTTATATATTAGTTATAAAATTTTGAAAAACAAATTTAATTGGCTTCATGCTGTTTTTATTAGGACTCATTGTTTGGAAAATTAAGTCTCCTCTCTCAAAGAATAAAGGTTTTCATGTTTTTTTTTTAATTTTTAGAGTTATCACTGGTTAAATGAATGATTTATTTTACAATGACCTCCGATCCTATTTTGTGATATAGTAATAATAATATAAGAATCCATTTCTTATTTTATTTATTTTACAATGACCTCTGATCCTATTTTGTGGTATAATAATAATAATTCTTATTTTTCTTATTGCAAATAACTGTTTTGCCGTAAGTTAAAAATATTCACAAATAGTTTCCAAATTCTGGAGAAATCAGCTAGAGAGAAATATGCTTCAAATTTTGTTCATAAGAATATACTAAAAGCTGTGAAAGATGTGCTTTCCTTTATGGAATCAAACTTGACTTATGGAGCCAATAAAGCCCTTGGAAAAACTGGCCTTATTTTGTGTACACAGTCCATGTACAGGGTTTCTAACCTGTGGTAAATAAAGAATGTCACTTTCTGACAGGCTCAGAAGCCCCAAGTTTATCTTGGAACCTCAAGAGGAGGCAAAATTCACCCAACTCATAGGTATTTGATGACACAAACCTGTGACTGGGCTTGGCTTTAAAAATTCTCATCTGAGATTTTAAAAGTTCCACCAAAGCCAATTTAAAAGCCTATGTAAAAAAAAAGTTTTTCTTGCTGCACCATATACAAATAGTTAGACCAAGTGTAATAAAGCAAGCCAGTTCTACCATGATTTGTTTTTAGTAGAAATGGAAAACTGGAGAAAGAATAATTATGTTTCAAAACTATAGTACACCTGTTGTACTATATACAACTATAGTACCTCTAGACTTGCCTAATGTTTTTTCAATTTTTATTATTTTCTACAGTTTGAACCAAATTATAATTTTTCTTGGCTACATATCTTCAAAATAATGTTTTCAATTTCTTCCTTCTTTTTTCCATTTTTCTTAATTTGGAGTCACTGAAAACTAAGTTGTGCTTTCTTAAAGCCTCCAAACTGAAGCCAGACAATTTAAACTTCTGAAGAAAACAAGAGTAGCCTATTTACATACATAAGCCACTTTCATACCTGCCTACTAGTGTGTGGACTTCAGAGTAATGTGGCCTATATCAAATTTTCCAAGATTGTTCTTTGGTTTGTTGTTGCTCTTTCTACCTTCCTCCCCACTATTTCTCTTTACGGGACATGGGATTTCACAACCTGCTAAAAATGAGCTTTTGGGACCTACCCATCTAAAAATAAACTGTTCTAGCCATGAGAGATCGGATGAAACCTGAGACCAGAGACTCATTTTCTTGTAAAACGCTTTCTCCAAAATATTTTTAAAAAGAAAAAGGGGAAAATATGAAAGGAAAATATCTTGGGCCCCCAAAATCACTAGGTTAAAAAAAACAACTCAAGCTGGAAACTGCTTAGGGCAAAACTGCCCTTCTGTTCAAAGTTATCTCTCTGTTCACTCAGATAAATGCATATCCGATTGCCTCCTTTGGAAAGTCTAATCAGAAACTCAAAAGAATGCAACCATGTGTCTCTCAACTATCTGTGACCTGGAATCCCCCTCCCCATTTTGAGTCTTTCTGCCTTTGCTTGAAGTTGTCCCACCTTTCCAGGCTGAACCAATGTACTTCTTAAGTATATTGATTGATGTCTCATATCTCCCTAAAATGAATAAAACCAAGCCGTGCCCCAACCACCTTGGGCACTTGTCAGGACTTCCTGAGGCTGTGTCACAGATGTGTCCTCAACCTTGGCAAAATAAACTTTCTAAATTAACTGAGACCTGTCTCAGATTTTCTGGGTTCACAACTTTATGCTTGAAAGCCTCAGCAAATTTTGCATAGAAGGGACATACTTATAGTAATAAAAACCATCTATGACAAACCCACAGCCAACATTTTACTGAATGGGGAAAAGTTGAAGACTTTCCCCCTGAGAACTAGAACAAGACAAGGAGGCTCACTCTCACCACTTCTATTCAACATAGTACTGAAGTCCTAGTCACAGCAATCAGACAAGAGAAAGAAATAAAGGACATCCAAATTGGTAATGAGGAAATGAAGCTGCTGTTGTTTGCCAGTGACATGATTGTATACCTAGAAAACCTTAAAGACACAACCAAAAAGCTCCTAGAACTGGTACATGAATTCAACAAAGCTTCAGGACACAAAATTAATGCACACAAATCAGTAGGGCTGTTATACACCAACAGCAATCAGGCTGAGAATCAAATCAAGAACTCAACCCCTTTTACAATAGCAAAAAGGAAAAAAAAAAAACACTTTAGGAATACACTTAACCAAGGAGGTGAAAGACCTCTATAAGGAAAACTACAAAACACTGCTGAAAGAAATCATAGATGACACAGATGGAAACACATCCCATGCTCATAGATATGTAGAATCAGTATTGTGAAAATCACCCTACGGCCAAAAGCAATCTACAAATTCAATGCAATTCCCATCAAAATACCACCATCATTCTTCACAGAACTAGAAAAAAACAAACCTAAAATTCATATGAAATTCATATGGAACCAAAAAAGAGCCCAAATAGCCAAAACAAGACTAAGCAAAGAACAAATCTGGAGGTATCACATTACTCAACTTCAAACTATACTATAAAGCCACAGTCACCAAAACAACATGGTACTAGTATAAAAATAGGCATATAGATCACTAGAACAGAATAGAGAACCCAGACATAAAGCCAAATACTTAGAGTCAGTTGATCTTCAACAAAGCAAACAAAAACAAAAAATGATGAAAGGACACCCTGTTCAACAAATGGTGCTGGGATAATGGGCAAGACACATGTAGGAGAATGAAACTGGATTCCTCATCTCTTACTTTATACAAAACTTCAATTTAAGATGGATCAAATACTTAAATCTAAGACCTGAAACCATAAAAATTCTAGAAGATAACATTGGAAAAAACCCTTCTAGACACTGGCATGGGAAAAGACTTGATGAACAAGAACCCAAAAGCAGATGCAACAAAAACAAAGATAAATAGATAGTACTTAATTAAACTAAAAAGCTTCTGCACAGCAAAAGAAATAATCAGCAGAGCAAACAGACAACCCACAGAGTCGGAGAAAATCTTCACAATCTATACATCTGACAAAGTACTAATATCCAGAATCTGAAGGAACTCAAACAAGTCAGCAAGAAAAAACAAACAATCCCATCAAAAAGTGAGCTAAGGACATGAATAGCCAATTCTCAAAAAAGATATACAAATGGCCAGCAAATATGAAAAAAATGCCCAACATCACTAATTATCAGGGAAATGCAAATCAAAACCACAATGCAATACTGCCTTATTCCTGCAAGAATGGCCATAATCAAAAAATCAATAAATAATAGATATTGGCATGGATGTGGTGAAAAGGAAACACTTTTACACTGTTGGTGGGAATGTAAACTAATACAACCACTATGGAAAACAGTGTGGATATTCCTTAAAGAACTAAAAGTAGATACACCATTTGATCCAGCAATCTGTCTCCTGGGTATCTACCCAGAGGAAAAGAAGTCATTATATAAAAAAGATACTTGCACAAGCACATTTATAGCAGCACAATTTGCAATTGCAAAAACACGGAACCAGCCCAAATGCCGATCAATCAATGAGTGGATAAAGAAATTGTGGTATATATATATACCATGGAATATGACTCAGCCATAAAAAGAAATAAAATAATGACATTTGCAGCAACCTGGATGGAATTGGAGACCATTATTCTAAGTGAAGCAACTCAGGAATGGAAAACCAAACATTGTATATTCTCACTCATAATTGAGAGCTAAGGTATGAGGACACAAAGGCATAAGAATGATACAATGGACTTTGGGGACTCGGGGGAAAGGGTTGGGGGGTGAGGAATAAAAGACTACATATTGGGTACAGTGTACACTGCTTGGGTGATGGGTGCACCAAAATCTCAGAAATCACTACTAAAGAACTTAATCATATAACCAAACACAACCATTTCCAGAAACATTGGACAGAATGACTTATGTGAAAGCAAGATGGAAACCTGGAAAGCATCCTTCAGCCAGAGAAAGGTTAGGGTTAGAAAAGCCCATTGAGAAGTGGAGAGCTGCCTGATACCCACAGAGGCCAAAGAAGCACCAGTAAAGCTTTCTTCATCCTGGATCATTTGCTTATAAGTGCTTGCAAAGCAATAAAAAGGAATGGCTTGTTCTCTTCTCCAGTACTAGGGTTAGCTTAGGATAACAAGTTGATAGGCACCCTGAAAGAAAAATGCTGGAGCAGAGTGTAATGTGTTCCATTGCTCCAGTATTCCTCAGAGCAGCAGAGTGTAAGAGACATTCTCATATGGCAATATAGTTTAGCCCCAAACCATACCGCGCCTGGTTGTGCCCAGTCCCAGAACCATATTCTACCTAGAGAGGTAAGATCTAGGAATATGTTCAAAATTGTTTCCTTCATGTAAAAGCCAATAAATGCATTAGGGGGCTTTTAAAAAGCTTTTTTCTTGTTTATAAGAAATATAAATAATTGAATTTGAGTTTAGGGCCTCAGTTTGGGGGCAGGTTTTAAAGATTGGTTCCAGTCCCACTGAATTTGCAGCGACAGTGAGAGAGCACACACACACATGCGTGCACGCATACACATATGATGGCATTTTGAGGATGCCAGCCTATTATTCACCCAGGATGATTCCAGGTAAATGAAGGGAACAGGAAGGAAACAGTTTCCAGAAGACAGAGGTATACCAAAAGGAAGCCACCGCTTTGGGGAAATTGAAAAAAGGTTAGTGAAATTACACAGACGGCCTACAACACTCTTCATGAATAACACATGAGCAAACTAAAAATAAGACAGCCCTCCATAATGCTGTGTATTTATGAGGCAATAGAACATGTAAATAGATCACTTATTGGGGACATCTTAGGCTATTTGAATGGCTATCTAATTAAGGGAAGTATTTGGTATCTGTAGATATATAGATGGGGCGGAGCTCCCATTGAATGATATAATTTATGTTTGACACTTAAAGTGCATATTTAAATCTTTTAGAAGGACTGTAGTAATTCTATCTCATCACCATCTATGAAATGACTGAGGGCCAGTATACCCAATTAGGCAGGTGACAGGCAGGATTAGAGGAATAAGACAAGCTGAGCTGTAAAATTTCCTTTTACCTCCTGTCCTCAAAGGTCTCATGTGTATTTAGGCAGAGGTTGCACATCTGTAGCCCAGCCTCTGGTGAGAATTTCTGTTGCTTTTGACCCCTCTACACTCCTGGTTTAAAGAGTCAGATTAGTAGCCAACATTTTAAAACTAGGATATCACTGGAATTTCCAACTTCTCTGGTTGAAATGGAAAGACCCAACAACATCAGGCTTGTGTTTTTGCATGTCTATAATTAATTGGAGTTGAGTAGCAACTCCCACATGAAACTGGACATGTAGTTTTTGTTTCCGTAGGCCCTCACCTGGTTTACTTCATTTATGGACTTTCCATTTGAATTTGTAACCCCTGATTTGGAGACATTTATGCAGGCCTGTCCTTTTACCACCACTCTTTTTGCTTTATGGGGAAATGTGGGGAGGTAAGGTAATCCCAAAGCGCTGGGATTACAGGGGTAAGCCACCATGCTTGTCCAGAAAAATATTATTAATTCAATTTTACAAATATTAATTTAATACCTACAAATCGCTCTGCAAGACATATGGGAGGGAGGACACATGGAAATAAGGGCATGGGAAACAAAAGACATGGTTCTTACTCCCAAAAAATCCAGGAGAGGCAATTAATATTTATTTAACAAGTAGTGAATTTGAAACAAAAATGTAGTAGTACACATAAACAATTTGCAATCACTTGCTAGATTAGAGAAAAAAGAAAATTACATGCTATCAGATTTCATCATGAAAGCTGTTTTCTGTGGATAAACAAAGATGAGAAAATGGTGAATATTGTCAGTTTTCTGAAGGAAACTTTTGAGTAATTGTAAAGAGGTTGATAGTACTTGTTCCCTTGGAATCACTCTTCTTAAGGTACTTTTAAAATAGTTTGAACCATTATATTCTTTTTCTGTATTTCTTTTTAGGGATCTACAAAGGGTGGAGTGGAGGCAGAAGACAGAAGTAGACATGAAAATAGGAGAAAAGTGTAAAAAGAGAGAATGATGAGAAAGGGTTAAAAAGGATAGCATATGTGTTAAAAGTAGATGTTTGAGTTGAAACTAATTGACATGAAAGAGAAATTGAGAGAGAGAGAGCAGCTGCTTATGTGTTCTTCATTTGAATATTGATGAAAATGCTATAGACACTTCTCTTATCAAGGTCAACAATATCTTCACATTGGTGAATCCAAAGATCAATTCTCAATTCTCATCTGATTTCTCAGAGCCATTTGAAGTGGATAATCCTCCCATCCTTCTAGAAATACTTTGGCTTTCAGGGCACCACACATTGCTGGGTTTCCTAACTTACTGGCTGCTCCTTGTCCATTTCTTCTGCTCATGTCCCCAATCTTAGTGCTAGGGGGCTCCGAAGGGTCATTGCTTGGGCTCCTTTGCTTCTCCACAAACCCTTAGTAATCTATTGCCTCATGGTTCTAAATACCATCTGCATGGTAATAAACCTCAGCCTTGAACTTCAGACTTTTGGATCCACAACATACTCAACATCTCCACTTGACAGTCCCATAAGTGTCTCAATTTTAACATACACAGAAATAAATTTCTCATCTTTTTTCTCAAAGTGGCTTCTCCCTCAGTTTTTTCCACCTCAAATAGTGGAAACTCTATCCACTTTGGTTTAGGCCCCAAACCTTAGAATCATCCCTCACTTATTTCTTTCTCTCATCCCACATCTAATCTGAAAATTATTTATGACCTTAAAAATCCAAATTCATACTACTTCTCACTTCCATCACTTGTCATGTTTGTATAAGCCAGCATTATCTTTTCCCCGGGTTACGGCAATAACTTTCAGACTTTCATTCTCATCTCAGCAATAGTCAATCTTCAACACAAAAAAGAGATCAATTATTTTCATGTAGGAGATCACGTACATTCTCTGCTTAAAACCCTGTGACAGCTCCTCATCTTACTTGGAGAAAAATTTAAAGTCCTAAGAATGGCCTCCACACCTGTAAAACCTGGTAGCCCATTATCTTGCTGAGTTCATTTCCAACAATTCTCTCTGCTCACTATATTGCAACCCTACTGCCCTTTTTGGTATTCATTGAGCATTCTAGACAAACCACTGCCTCAGGCCCTTTGCATTTACTGTTCCCTCTGCCTAGATTGCTTATACCATAGATATGTATTTCCATTATTTGCTCAAAAGTTAGCTTCTCATTAAGACCTTTCTGAACCACCCTATTTAAAACTGGACTTTGTCAACCTGCAAGCGCCTCCAATCTCTCTTTTTTTTAAAAAAAAAAAAAACCTTTCTCCAAAGCACTTATTACTATATTACTCTTTTAATATATAATATCTTCTTTTTGCTTGTGCTTTTTTTATACCTCCACTAAAATGTAGGCTTCCTGAAGGAAAGCATTTTGTCTGTTTTACTCATTGCTCTATCCCCAGTACTCAGAGCAATACTTTACAAATAGAGGCTCAATAAAAATTTGTTAAATTAATAACTGAATAAAAGGAGGAAGTAGTGTGACTAGTTCTTGGATCACATAGCTGCCTCGTTTAAATTCCAGGCAGCATCATGGTTTCAAAAGAATCAGTTTCCTAAACAATTGCTATGGTTTGAATGTGTCTCCGAAAATTCATGTGTTGGTAACTTAATCCTGAATGCCACAGTGTTAGGAGATGGGGCCTTTTGGGGAAGTGTTTACATCATGAGGGGGCCACCATCATGAATGAGTTAATGCCATTATAGAAGGGTTTGATGAGGGAGTGTAGTCCCCTTGCCCTTCTATCTTCTACCACATAAGGACACAGCAAGAAGGCCCAATGCCAGCATCCTTGATCTTGCACTTTCCAGCCTCCAGAACTGTGAAAAATAAATTTCCTTTTCTTTATAAATTACCCAGTCTCAGATGTTCTGTTGTAGCAGCACAAATGTAATAAGACAACCATCAATTAGGATGCAAGAAGAAAGTTCAGGGAAGATTCCAACGTGTCATCATACTAGAACCCACTTGGCCTTTTTCGTTCTTTTTCACCTGGTGATGTGCCTTGCTCTATTCCCTCTCCACCCACCCCCCTGCCATGGGGACATATGCACAAACTGAGAGAAAGGTAGTTGGTACAACAGTTGAAGGTGATATGGGAGTCCTGCCACTTGCCCACATAGCTTTCTTGTGCTCACTAGACTTGCTTGTGCCTGATACCAGTGGTACCACTTCCATCTTATGAGGATTTCTATTGAGCCCTCTGAACCTTATGCCTTGATGGGTCTGGCAAGCCAGCCCCTGATGGGCATTCATGTCACATGGCCAGTTGCTGTATCATATCTAATACTTTATCTCTAATAGGGTTCAGTAGCATGCAAGGGAGCTGTTTCAGGATGGCCTAGAGTTCTCTGCAGTACGTAGAATGGCCTTGCTACAAATACGGACCTATGTTTCTCCTAATCCAATTTGCCATAAACTCTACATAACGTACATTCTTAGCACAGGTACCTCTAATACCATAAGGCTTGGTAAGTCTGATGCCCCAAGTATCAGGGTTGCTTGTCCCATATCTTAGATTTTTTTCAGATCGCTTTCCTGCTCTGTCCCATTCAAAGCTGGAAGTCTTTCATATCTCTCAGTAAAATGGGGGTAAAGAGATTTTTTTTTTAAGATGGAGTCTTGCTCTGTCACCTGGCTGGAGAGTAGTGGTGCGATCTCGGCTTACTGCAACCTCCGCCTCCCGGGTTCAAGCGATTCTTCTGCCTCAGCCTCCCGAGTAGCTGGGACTACAGGTGCATGCCACCACGCCCAGCTAATTATTTGCATTTTTAGTAGAGATGGGGTTTCACCGTGTTAGCCAGGATGGTCTCAATCTCCTGACCTTGTGATCCGCCTGCCTCGGTCTCCCAAAGTTCTGGGATTACAGGTATGAGCCACCGCGCCTGGCCAGAAACAATATTTCTAAGTGTGGAATACATTGCATCCAGAGGCTAGAAAGACCTACAAGGCATTGTGCTTTCTTCATAGTTGGTGCCAGAGGGCTGGGGAGAAAAGTTATGAGATGCTATAGTTTGTCATTTACTTTGGTGGGGATGTCCCAGCATAACCCAGATCATTAGACTCCAAAAAATGTTCTTGAAGTGTCAAGCCCCTGAATATTCATAAGGTTTATCATTCTACCTTTTGGAGCATATGTGTCTTACCAAGGCTTTGTAGCATGCTTCCACTTCTTATTCATACAATATAATTGACATATGTCATTGACTGAGAGGACTAATGTTCTGATCCAGGCACATACAGTTCAGGTCCCTTCAGACTATATCTTTTTCTCTCTGTCTTTTGTTGTTATTTTTAAAAATAATTTTGAGACAGCATCTTGCTTTGTTGCCCAGGCTGGAGTGCAGTAGCACAATCACAGCTCACTACAACTTTGGCCTCCCAGACTCAACTGGTCCCTCCACTTTAGCCTCTGGAGTAGCTGGGACTACAGGCATCTGCCACCACACCCAGATAATCTTTTTTTATTTTTTGTAGAGACGGCATCTTACCATGTTTCCCAAGTTGGTCTCAAACTCATGGGCTCAAGTGATCTTGCCACCTCAACCTCCCAAAGTGTTGGGATTACAGATGTGAGCCAGTTGGAAAAGAATGTACCTGACAGGTTAATATCAAGACACAATATAGCTGAAATTGTAATTTGCCCTACCACATATATATCTGGCACTGTGGCTGCAATTGCAGCTACTTGTTGAGTTGAATTTTGGGTTATCTATTCTCATCCACCAGGATCCATTTGGTTTTCACGGGGGCATATCTTGGATGGAAAAGGGGGGAAATACAGTTTCTTAGTCTTCTACTTGGCTTTTCCCACTACAATAGCTCTTATCCTCACAGCCCATAGAAGCATGTAAAGGTTCTGACAATTCTCAGGTATGTTTATTTCAATTATACATTCAGGGTCTGGGAGAATGACCAGGGAATAGGTCTGTGGACCTCAGTAGACTCATAATAGGCAGGACCTGGGCCAGAACTGCATTTATTACATGGCTCCCATCTAGCCCTACTCCAACAGGTGTCCATGATGATACTCTGGGTCCCCAGATATCAATGTTAATTTAGACTCTCTTTCAAACAGCTCTTGAAATGTTTGGATATTTATCTTTCTCCAACGTAGAATTATTTGAGTAAATGTTTTGAGATTCCTTTATGGATGAACTGATGGAATCATTATCAAGCAACTTTCCCATGGTATTGTGGAATCTTTTTCCCTGGAACATGACCTTTCTATCAGTCAATATATTCTAGGTTTGGGAATGGTTCCAGTCAGGATATTGGACAAAAGATTACAAATTTTTATTGGAGTATTTACCATCAGCCTCTTGATCATCTGCCTTTGATTTCTTCTCACTGTACAATTTGAATGATACATTCACATGATGCCCATCTATCTTGGGAATATTCTATTCTACTTACCAACTTCATTGTAGTTTTCAGCTCAGCATCTTTGACTACCACTTTGACCTTACTAGTTATTATGAGAATGGTATCCTCCTTGCTTTTGTAATTTAAGTGGAGCCACCTGGCTTATAAGAGCTCAGGATCCTCTCATCCTCATTGTTATCAGGGAGCCCAGTTCTTTAAAAGAATCTTTTACTGCCCTGGTCTACCAAGGACAGCTGTCACTGAGCTTAAAGCTGCTTTCAGTAGCACATTCCTTATCACTTTGGTAAATGGATTGTCTTCCAGTCCCTTCCATGGGGCATTATTGACTTGTGCCTTTTCTGGGTTTGTGTAGTATATCCAGCCTAGCAGGCCTTTTGATCACTCCCTCCACCATCTGTCACATTTCTACTTCATTAGGTACTGGCTACTGCTTTTTCCAAGCTACCAAGAGCCATCCTAACAGTGAATTAGTACTGTCTCCTGGGGTTCTTGATGGGGTATAAATCCTGTATCACAGGACAGTGCTCACATATTTGATAAACTCATCCTATTGCAGCTCCTTATTCTGTCCTCCTTAATACAGAATCTTTGGGATGCTATCTCATCTAAACTTTCCTGGCTTCTGCTGGCACATGCTGGTGAAATACTGCAGATTCCTTGATATATAGCCCTCAATTTCTCTTAGCAGACCCAGACTTTCCCAGGTGTATTGTATTGTATTGTAACTTTTCCCGTGAGCCAGTGGCCAGGAGGGAAAGCAGGTACATCACGACGTGTGCCATTTTGCATAGCAGAAGCTTGAGCATCTTCTTCAAACAAAAGTGGCATGATGAATCTAGCATTTAGGAGAGAGGAATGGACCATTTGTGAATGACTAAAGGGCTCAGGGGAAACTGAAGGAAACTAAAGATTCAATATTTTCCAATGCATCAGTCAATATGCTCCCATCCAAGTCTTAATGTCCTATTCCTTCCCAATCAGGACACTGCCTTGCTGTAGCAAATATGCTGGCATTGAAAATTCAGTCTTCTGTGCAGTTTTGCCTCTGTGAGGTCCTCAACGTTTTTTGTCCTCTGGCTGTAAGAGATGAGTGTTTCTTTTTATATTACCAAGGAGGCCCTCAAGTTTTCACACCTCATCTTATATTGGTGATATTTCACCCTTAGACTTTCATTTTCATCTCAATTCTCCATTAGTGGGAGTTTTAACAATTTATCATAATTGCATAACCAGTGATAGGATTCTTACTCTGAGGCTAGGTGATCCTTCTAAATCTCATTTTATAGTTGTGTTCCTATAACCACTTTGACAGAGACTGTCTCAGGTTGGCTTCCTCAGGACACAAACTCCAAGATGTTGAGATTTGCATGCATGAGGTTAATTGAAGAATGTGTTAAGTAACAACATCTCTGCTGAGTGAGAGTTGCAGAATAGGGCAGAGGAAGAAGTAGAATTGTGATGCAGTTGCAAGAGAGGCCTCAGTTGACCCAATGGTACAACATGGAGCTGTGCTGCTCTTTATAGTTGTCCTAATTGAGTAAAGACCATTCCTACCTCAGCACCACCAGTTATTGGATACAGATGCTCCCTGAGAGTGGGATGCGTAATATTTGATGAGGTAGCTTATTTTAGCCTAGAACAATTCCTGGAGAGAAACTCAGTTTTGAACTATCAACCGTCTACACTTCTTGAAGCCCCAGAAATGAGTGTCTCAGTCTTGAAGAATTTGGGCAGTAAACCATAGAGCCTGCCTCTGTTCCCAATAGAGGCTTGTTCAATTAATGAGTGAATAGTCCTTTTTGGGTTATAATTTATTCCTTTTAAATTCTTTACAGCAATTAGCATATCACCTTTAATATCATAATTACTTGATCAATATGCATTGAATGAATAAATGAAGGAATGAATTTTAGGACTATTATCCATCAGTGGCCACACTAGGCCTTAGTTAATACACTGGAGGTTTTAACTATAATCCTTCTGCATTGCAATTTTCCAAAGTGTGCTACTGTTACAATGAAGGATGATGTGGGTTTACCATTTGTGTGAAACAATGACTGAAGAAAGTCACTTTGAAATGTGGTGGTGTGAGTGGACAACAGTTGAACCCAATTTAATTTCTGTTCTGCTCTTCAGTCATGATGTCAGACCCTTGAGTGCCTTGTTGATGCCAATTCATTGACATGTACTGCCTCAGATAGAGGCTGAGTCTTGCGTGCTGTGGAAATGCCTAACAGCTTTATTCTGAATACTTAAGAGTATACCAGAAATGCTTTAAAATTCTTTCTTGGAAACAGATTGTTCATAACTGCTTTATTTCCCCTGTAAATACATAGTTTGTCACCACATGCTTTAATTCTTCATTAAACAATGTCAACATTCCACTTGGTAGAAATAATTGAACCCTTTCCTTAGGTGCAATTATCCTGATGAAGGTAATTAGTCAATATAGCTACTTAAGAAGGAGCCCTGCATTTGGAAGGGATTCAACTTACATGTACCATGTAGTAGAAATTTAGCTTGGCACTAGATTCAACTTGGCAATATGTACAGCCTCACTAAGTGTTCCTTGGTTATTTGGTTGGTTTTTCCTTTATTCCTATAAAGGTGATGTCTCAGGAACATCTAGCACAAAGAACACAGCATGAATTAATCCCAAAGCATACACGCTATGCAGACACAAATTATGTGTACATGTTATTTTTAAAAATAATGAAAACAAACATAAGAAATTAGAATTCTAATTTTGCTTTATTCTCTCCTGCCTATTTGCCATCTTATTAAACCTTCAGATAATGTTGTACATCCACATAAATCTCTCCTATGCCATCAACATTTGGAGTTTGGATTTCACTAAACAAATATACAGTGAAGCAATTCTTTATTGGTTTGAGATCTGAAGCAGTTTGTGAGGATGGACACTTCCTTTCAAATATTAAACTTTTTAAGTGATACCCAAACCATTCTCTTTCTGGGTAAAGAGGTAAATAAATTAATTTAAAGGCTTTTAAATCTCCATTGCTAAATTTTCTGGGGTGACAGGAATGCTCTATATCTTGATAGGAATTTGGGTCACACAGGTGTTTGCAATTGTCAAAATTCAGCTAATGATCCCTTTTACATCAAAGAAAAAGACTCAAGACACATATTGAACTCCAATGATATGTATTCTGAAATACGTATGGAGAAGTACCGATGTCGGCAATGTAATTTGAAATACATCAAAAAATAAGATGGGTTGATGGATGAATAGAAGGATAAATAGATGGAGAGTTACATGATAAAACAAGTGGAGTGAAATATTAATGGCAGAATACAGGTCACAGATATAGGTGTTCTATGTAAAATCATTTAAACTTTTCACAATAAAACATCGAAAAAAATTGCCACTGGCACTCCTCCTGCAGTGTCATTGAAGCAAACTTTGATCAAAATGGGCAGCAAGTAAATTTATCCAATGTTTATTTGGTACTTATCCTGGCAAAGCTTGGTGCTGAGAATGATATTTTGCTGGAAGTCCACACTTAGTCTTGCTCTACCCTTCACTGTGCTAGTGGAGCAGCTTCGCCCTTTCCTTCTGATTCTGATTTCAGCAGGAAGAATGTAAGCAAGTGTATCCCAATGCTCTCGGATTCATTGATTGATTGATTGACTCAACCATCCATCCTTCCATTCATCCATCCTCCACCCATTTATCCAACTTCCCTCCATCCATCCATCTATCCATCCATCCATCCATCCATCCATTCTTCCTTCCTTCCATCCATATCTGCTGTATTTCTCTCTTTGGTGCAAGCAATTTTAAAAGTTATCAAGACAGAATTCTGCAATTTGAAAAAACCTTATGGTGTCATGGGGATGTTAGCATCAAGTCAGAGGACTATTACTGAAAGTTCCACTCTGACCTTGTTTATTCACTCTGTCAGACAACATTATTTCAAAACCAGGGATGTGATATAAGATATATAAAAATATACTAGTCTGCATCTGGAACACTTCAAAAGTGGTGCTTTTGATTTTCATGGCTATTTCCAAAGCCACAAAATATTCTAGTCATGAATAAAAAGCCAAGGCTTTCCTGTGGGAAACTTTAGAGGAAATCTAACAAAACTTTTCTCAATTGGAGTAAACCATTATATACTACTTAAAAGAATTTTAGTAGCATATAAAACCAAACTAAACCCTCTGAAAATCATGAGACCAAATCAAATGTTAAGTTTAGAATAGTCCCAACTGAATGCATCTCACCCAGGTCCTGCCAAGGGAGTTACTGCTCCCTCCAGGGCTGTCTCTTTTTTTATTGGTTTTAATTAAGTTTTACAGGATAAATTAGTTCACCATTTTTGGATAACATTTGCACACACAGATGAAAAGTTCTTCTTTTTTTTCAAATAAGTACTTTGTTGCTGAAATCGCAGTCTATGTGATTCAACTACTATTGAAACTCTAGTCAATAAAATGATCCAATGTAGTGGGAGGGAGAGAAGATGAATAAGAGAGTCAAAGAAAAAAAAAGGAAAGCAGAGGAAATAGAAAGGAATGTAATATAGAAGAGGCAAGAAGAGAACAGAGAAAAACCAGGGAATGTAGGCGAAGGCATAGGGCTGTGAATAAGTTGGCTCCCTTAGTAACAGCCGAACATGGAAAACTTATTGGCAAATATCAAACAAGTCTCTGATTCTCTTTGCTGCCACTCTGCAGTCAATAAACTGCTAGTTCAAAGTCTTCCTATCTTATTGTTTGCCATTAGAAACAAGAGTGCAAGGTACTCTGTAATCCTAAGAACCAACGATCCAGATTCCTAACTATTGGCCCTTCTATATAATCTAGAATAGAAAAAAGATTTCTTTTACCTATTCCAACTTTGGTATTAAAATGCTTGAATGTTTTCCTTCACCTGTCTTTACCTCAACTCAGGTATATAATTAAAAATAAAATCAAACAAAAAAACTTTGTTGCACCAAAGATAGAACTAGAAGCTTACAGCAGTAGGTCCTTCCACATGATGGTGCTCATCTTTCTGTTTCTTATTTTCTGTCTTAAAAACTGGAGTGACTGTGACTGGGGTTTTAAAATGATTTGGTTGATTATACATTTCTGATGGCATCACAGGATTTTAATATTGGGAGCTATTTAAGTTACATGGTGCATTTTGGGTGCTAAAGATGAAGAGGGTATCACAACTTGGTTATCCCTGGGTGCAAACTCAGAGATAGAGGTGAACGCACAGGAAGTTTTTTAGTGAATGTTCATGTAATTGACATCTGTGTAATGAAAGAGAAGGAAGCAAGATTGGTCATAGGGAGAAGTCAGGCTGTGGTGAAGTCTCAATGAACGTCTTAGCCAACTCACAGGGCTCTGGAGCTGAGAGGACACTCCACAGTTGTTCCTTTTTGGGACCAGGGCTGGGTCTTTATACTCATGGATTGGCCAGTCATTGGATACTGGCTCTTCTAGCAAGGCAGCATACTGTTTGGTGAAACAACTCTCTTTAGCAGAGGCACTTTCTGAAGAGGGTTGACAACTGAGGTCACCAGCAGCACTCATAGCAACTGCAGATATAAATCCTGCCTTCCTAAAGGGAGATTTTCTGGCACATTACAGCATTCACTACAGGGTTGTTGTTTTTTTTATGTTTATGTTCCCTAGTATGTGGCATCCATAATTCCGCATGGTTCTTTGAGCCACCTCATAGACATACAGTTAGCCAAGGCTATTCCATTTCAGTAGTTTTTTCAGTTTCAGCTTGGTTCTCTGAGCAGCTATAGTTGCAGCTTCAATTTTCCTAGTAGCTTATCTTTCACCTTTGGTTTGAAATTGAGAAAGGCCAATTTGTCTGATTGGAGAAATTCCACCTGCTCTGGTTCCTAGACAGGAAGGAGCAAACTATGACCCATCAATGAGCAATATGAAGGTTCTGGACTGGTTTCCACTAAGTTTTCTGATCTGTTTGCTAGTGCAGAAATGGATGAGAGTTACTTTTCAGTTTCCTGCTTATAAGGAATGTTAATATGAGTTTCAAGTCAATCCACTGGTGGATCTATATATTTTCCTTAGAGAGCTTTAGAAGGGCTCACTAAATAATATTCTTTTCCACCCATCAATCTGTGTTAGGAAGATGTATGACTGGTATCTAAGGCGCTGTCAGTGTGTTATTTTCCATGTTCCTCTCACATGTCAAATATAAAAATACAACCTGTCAGTGTAAGTGTGATATGGGGCATTGTTCACAGGGACTGTGAAAAATCCTGTAGCGCTCCCTGATTCATCATTTCAACAACCTAATCATTTCATAGCCCCATCTAAACAAAACAGTTAAGGGCATTCCAACTTAGAGGGTACTGAATCAGGCTCGATTCAGAAAGGAAGGAAAAATCCTAAAGAAAAAAATGTTCTAGAGAAAATAAGAGAAGCCTTGTCTTCGTCTCCAATTTCATAGTTACTGATCTTTTTCCGAAGGTTGTTTATCAGTTAATTATTCTCCACTGCAACTTGCACCCTGACATTTTGCCGAAGTGGCCGGGAGGCCTCGTTAAATCAGAATTTCTACTTTCGGCTCACCTGTCACAGCTAAAGGCTCCCTCAAATGCATTGACATCGATTAATATTTAATGATTGAATAGTAGAAATATTGGCTCAGCACTTTTTTCTTTTTTTCTCTTGAATTGAAAAAAGAGCTTTTAGAATGGATTCTACTTTATATATACCCAGCTCTAAATTTTTACGATGAGAAATTTATGTTTCCCTAGAAAAGGAAAATGACAGTTTGTGCTCCAGGAAAAAGGCTTTACTGCAATGGAGAGAACTAACATTTAATGAACACCTGGTCTGTGCTAGGTAGTGTATGAAGTAGTTTTCATAGTTCATCTCTAATACAGCACCACTACAAGGTGGATATCATTATTTTTATTGTACAAATAAGGAAACAGGCTCAGAGAAGTTAGTGAACTTGCCTGAGGTCCTATATTCAAAGGCACAGTCAGTATTTGGATCATGAGTTGTTTGGTTAAACCGTTGATACTCTTGAAACAATTGTTGCTTCCCTGGGAGACAAGAAACATGAGGCCCATTAAGTCAATGCCATAAGGATTTGACTCCAGCAATCATTTTGGGTCTCTGTGCCTCAGTTTTCCCACCTGCTAAATGGGCTATAAGGTCAATCTTGAATTCTAGTTTGGGCTCTTTTAGGAAAATTTTATTCCAGGACAAGTAATAAAGTATATAAAAATGCTAGGAAAAATTACAATATGTATAGGACACATTTTCAGGGAGATCTATTGTCATAACAATGGCAGTGCAGAAGGAGTGTGCAAAAGGGAAAGAGTGGGCTTTGGATTCCAACAAAGCTAGATGAAGTCCTGCTTCTGTTACCCATTAGTGCAGTCACCTGGGGCATGTTTTGTAACCTCTTCAAGGCTGTCTTTCCTCACCAATGAAAGAGGGATAATAATCCTTTCTTCTCGTATTTTTGTGAAACATAGAGGAGAGAAAGTATTTAAGGGGCTTAAAATCATGTTTGGCACATAGAAGCCACCTGTGAAATCACAGATTGGTGTTATTGTTAATATTAATATTGTTGTTATTATTATTATTGAAAAGGACATATCCATTATATCAACTTTCTTTTTTATTTCCAACTTTTATTTTAAGTTCAGAGATACATGGGCAGGATGTGCAGATTTGTTACATAGGTAAACGTGTGTCTTGAGGGTTGGTTGCACAGATTATTTTATCACCCAGATATTAGCCTAGTATCCATTATTTTTCCTGCTTCTTTCCCTCCTCCCACCCCCCACCTTCCAATAGGCTCCAGTGTATGTTGTTTCCCCCATGTGTCCATGCGTTCTCATCATTCAGCTCTCACTTATAAGTGAGAACATGCAATATTTGGTTTTCTGTTCCTGTTTTAGTTTGTTAAGGATAATGACCTCCAGCTCCATCCATGTCCCTGCAAAGGACATGATCTCATTTCTTTTTATGGCTGCATAGTATTCCATGGTGTATATGGACCACATTTTCTTGATGCAATCTATCATTGATGGGCATTTAGGTTGATTCCATGTCTGCTATTGTGAATAGTGCTGCAATGAATATATACATGCATGTATCTTTATAATAGAATGATTTCAATTTATATTCCTTTGTGTTTACAGCCAGTAATGGGATGGCTGAGTCAAATGTTATTTCTGCCTCTAGGTCTTTGAGGAATTGCCATACTGTCTTCCACAATGGTTGAACTAATTTACCCTCCCACCAACAGTATAAAAGCATTCCTTTTTCTCCACAACCTTGCCAGCATCTGTAGTTTTTTGACATTTAATAACCACCATTCTGACTAGTGTGAGATGGTATCTCACTGTGGTTTTGATTCGCATTTCTCTAACAATCAGTGACATTGAGTTTTTTTCATGTTTGTTGGTCACATGTATGTCTTCTTTTGAGAAGTGTCTGTTCTTTCCCTTTGCCCACTTTTTAATTTTCTTTTCTTGTAAATTTAAGTTCCTTATAGATCCTAGATATTAGACCTTTTTCAGATGGATAGACAGCAAAAATTTTCTCCCATTCTGTAGGCTGTGTATTTACTCTGCTGATTCTTCTGCTGTGCAGAAGCTCTTTAATTAGATCCCCTTTGTTAATTTTTGCTTTTGTTGCAATTGCTTTTGGCATCTCCATCATGAAATCTTTGCCTGTGCCTATGTCCTGAATGGTATTACCTAGGTTTTCTTCTAGGGTTTTTATAGTTTTGGGTTTCACATTTAAGTCTTTAATCCATCTGGAGTTGATTTTTGTATATGGTGTAAGGACGGGGTCCAGTTTCTATTTTCTGCATACGGCTAGCCAGTTTTCCCAGCACCATTTATTAAATAGGGACTCCTTTCCCCATTGCTTTTGTCAGGTTTGTCAAGGATCAGATGGTTGTAGGTGTGCAATCTTATTTCTGAGTTCTCTATTCTGTTCCACTGGTCTATATGTCTGTTCTTGCACCAGGACCATGCTGTTTTGGTTACTGTAGCCCTGTAGTATAGTTTGAAGTCAGGTAGTATGATACTTGCCCCTTTATTCTTTTTGTTTAGGATTGCCTTGGCTATTCAGGCTTTATTTTTGGTTCCGTATGAATTCTTTAAAAAGTTATTTTCTAATTCTGTGAAGAATGTCAATGGTAGTTTAATGGGAATAGCACTGAATCTATAAATTACTATTGAACAGTATGGCCATTTTCACAATTTTGATTTTTCCTATTAATGAGCATGGAATGTTTTTCCATTTGGTTGTGTAATCTCTGGTTTCTTTGAGCAGTGCTTTGTAGTTCTCTTTGAAGAGACTCTTCACTTCCCTTGTTTGGTTTATCCCTAGGTATTTTGTTCTTTTTGTGGCAATTGTGAATGGGAGTTCCTTTGCGATTTGGCTCTGGGTTTGCCTGTTGTTAGTATACAGGAATACTAGTAATTTTTGTACATTGATTTTGTATCCTAAGACTTTGCTAAAGCTGTTTATCAGCTAAAGAAGCTTTGGGGCTGAGATGATGGGGTTTTCTGGATATAGGATCATGTCATCTCCAAAAACTAAAATAGTTTGTTTGACTTTCTCTCTTGCTATTTGAATATTCTTTATTTCTTCCTCTTGCCTGAATAGGAGTGGTGAGAGAGAGTAACTTTGTCTTGTGCGGTTCTCTAGTTCTTTCAGTTGTGATGTTAGGTTATTAACTTGAGATCTTTCTAGATTTTTATGTGGGCATTTAATGGTATGGATTTCCCTCTTAGTACTGCTTTAGCTGCATCCCAGGAATTCTGGTACGTTGTCTCTCTGTTCTCATTAATTTCAAAGAACTTTTTGATTTCTGCCCTGATTTCATTATTTACCCAAAAGTCATTCAGGAGCAGGTTATTCAATTTCCATGTAGTTGTATGGTTTTGAGTGAATTTTTAAGTCTTGAGTTCTAATTTGATTGTGCTGTGGTTTGAGAGACTGTTATAATTTCAGTTCTTTTCCTTTTGCTGAGAGTTGTTTTACAGTGATTACATGATCAATTTTAGATTAGATGACATGTGGTGAAGAAAATGTATACTCCGTTGTTTTTGGGTGGAGAATTCTGTAGATATCTATCAGGTCCACCTGATCCAGAGCTGAGTTCAGGTTCTATATATCTTTGTTAATTTTCTGTCTTGATGAGCTTTCTAATATTGTCAGTGGAGTGTTAAAGTCTCCTGCTATTATTGTGTGGGAATATAAGTTTCTTTGAAGGTCTCTAAGAACTTGCTTTATGAATCTGAGTGTTCCTGTATTGGGCGCATATATATTTAGGATAGTTAGCTCTTCTTGTTGAATTGAACCCTTTACCATTATATAATGCCCTTCTTTGTCTTTTTTTAATCTTTGTTGGTTTAAAGTCTGTTTTGCCAGAAACTAGGATTGCAATCCCTGCTTTTTTTCTGTTTTTGATTTGCTTAGTAAATTGTCTTCCATCCCTTTATTTTGAGCCTATGTGTGTCTTTGCATGTGAGATGGATATCTTCAAGACAGCAAACTTATGGGTCTTGGTTCTTTATCCAGTTTGCAATTCTGTGCATTTTCATTGGGGCATTTAGCCCACTTACATTTACAGTTAGTATTGTTGTGTGTGGATTTGATTCTGTCATCATGATGCTAACTTGTTATTTTGCAGTTGCAAAATATTATGTGGTTGCTTCATAGTGTCACTAGTCTGTGTACTCCAGTTTGTTTTTGTAGTGGCTGGTAATGGTTTTTCCTTTCCATATTTAGTGCTTCCTTCAGGAGCTCTTGTAAGGCAGGTTTGGTGGTGATGAATTCCCTCAGCATTTGCTTGTCTGAAAAGGATCTTATTTCTCCTTCACTTGCGAAGCTTAGTTTGGCTGAATATGAAATTCTGGGTTGGAAATTATTTTCTTTATGAATGTTGAACATGGCGCCCAATCTCTTCTGTCTAGTAAGGTTTCTGTTGAGAGGTCCACTATTAGTTTGATGGGCTTCCCTTTGTAGGTGACCTGGCCTTTCTCTCTGGCTGCCCTTAACATTTTTTCTTTCTCTTTGACCTTGGAGAATCTGATAATTATGTGTCTTGGGGATAAGCTTCTTGTGTACTATCTTACTGGGGTTATCTGCATTTCCTGAATTTGAATGTTGGCCTGTCTTGCTAGGCTGGGGAAGTTCTCCTGGATGATATCCTGAAGCATGTTTTCCAAATTGGTTCTATTCTCCCAGTCTCTATCAGGTACACCAATCAGTCATAGATTTGCTCTCTTTACATAATCCCATTTTTCTCAGAGGTTTTGTTCGTTCATTTTTTTTCTCTATTCTTGTCTGCCTGTCTTATTTCAGAAAGACAGTCTTCACCCTCTGAGATTATTTCGTATGCTTGATCTATTCTGCTATTAATACTTGTGATTGCATTGTGAAATTCTTGTAGATTGTTTTTCAGCTCTATTGGGTTGGATATGTTCCTCTCTAAACTAGCTATTTTGGCTGTCAACTCCTGCATTGTTTTATCACGATTCTTAGATTCTTTGCATTGGCTTACAACCTACTGCTTTAGCTCAGCAAAGTTCATTTTTATTTTTTTTATTCTATTTATTTATTTATTTTGAGATGGAGTCTCGCTCTGTATCCCAGGCTGGAGTGCAGTGGCACAATCTCAGTTCACTGCAAGCTCCACCTCCCGGGTTCACGCCATTCTCCTGCTTCAGCCTCCCGAGTAGTTGGGACTACAGGCGCCCACCACCACGCCTGGCTAAGTTCATTTTTGTCCACATTCTGAAGCCTACTTCTGTCATTTCAGCCATCTCAGCCTCAGCCTGGTTCTGAGCCATTTTTGGAGAGATGTTGGAGTCATCTCTAGGAAAAGGGACACTTTGGCTTTTTGAGTTTTCAGCATTTTGGCATTAATTCTTGCTCATCTTTGTAGGCTTGTCTACCTTCAATCTTTGAGGTTGCTGACTGTGATGGTTAATATCAAGTGTCAACTTGATTGTATTGAAGGATGCAAAGTATTGTTCCTGGGTGTGTCTGTGAGGGTGCCACCAAAGGAGATTAATATTTGAGTTAGTGAACTGGGAGACACAGACCTACCCTCATTGTGGAGGGGCACCATCTAATCAGCAGCCAGCACAGCTAGGATAAAAGTGGGCAGAGGAATGTGGAAGCACTAGGCTGGCTGAGTCTTCTGGCTCCATCTTTCTCCCATGCTGGATGCTTCCTGTCCTCAAACATCAGACTCCAAGTTCTTCAGTTTTGGACTCTTGGACCTACACCAGTGGTTTGCAGGGGCTCTCAGGCCTTCAGCCACAAACTGAAGGCTGCACTGTTGGCTTCCCTACTTTTGAGGTTTTGGTACTCAAACTGTCTTCCTGGCACCTCAGCTTGCAGGCGGCCTATTGTGGGACTTAACCTTGTGATCATGTGAGTCAATACTCCTTAATAAACTCCCTTTTATTATACATCTAACCTATTAGTCCTGTCCCTGTAGAGAATCCTGACTAATACACTAAAATTCGGATGGTGTTTTTGTGGTTTTTGTTGTTTTCTGTTTGTTTGTTTTTATTTTAACAGTCTGGCCACTCTTCTGAAGGGCTGCTGCAGTTTGCTGGGGTTCTGCTCCAAACCCTAGTTGCCTCAGCTTTTTCCTATACCTGGAGGTATCAACAGTGAAGCCTGCAAAACAGCAAAGATGGCAGCCTGCCCCTTCCTCTGGAAGCTCCATCACAGGAGGTTACTGACCTGTCGCTGGCCCAAACATGCCTATAGGAGGTGGCTGGAGACTGCAGTTGGGAGGTCCCACCCAGTCAGCAGGAACAGGATCAGGGACATACTTCAAGATGCAGTCTGGTTCTGGTTGCTTTTTGGTAGAGCAGCCATGCTGCATTGGGGATCTCTTCAACCCCCAATTCGTTTGGGCTCTCCGAGGCCCACAGGCTGGACTGGCTGAGATGCTTGAACAGCCAAGGTGATGGCCTGCCCCACCCCCTGGGCACTTCATCCCAGGGAGAAATTAGAACTCTGTCAGTTTTAGAACATGGATGGGAGTGGCCAGAGGCCCTAGCTGGGAGGACCCGCACTGTGAGAAGTGGATTGAGTTCCCGCTTTAAGAAGCAGTCTGGCCACACCTTGACAAAACAGCTGTATTGTGCTGAGGAACTCCTCTGCGCCTACAGGCTGGAATGGTTGAGTTGTCCAGACAACCAAGGCGGTGGCCCAACCCAACCCCAGGCACTTCATTCCAGGGAGAGATCAGAGCTCCGTCCATAGAATACGGGTGGGATGGTTTGAGGCCCCAGCTGGGAGGTCCCACTCAGTGAGGAGGAATGGATTGGGGTTCTTCCCTAAAGAAGCAGTCTGGCCACATTCTGGCAAAGCAGCTGTGCTATGTTGGGGGGACCCTTCCTTATTCAGATTTTTTGGACTCTCCAAAGCATGCAGGCTGGAAGAGCTGAGTCATCCAAACAACCAAGGTGTCAGCATGCCCTCCTCCTGGGCACTCTGTCCCAGGGAGCAATCAGAGCTCTGTCTGTAGATTATGGGCAGGGATGGCCGACAGATCCCACCCAGTGAGGAGGAATGGATGGGGGTCCCACATAAAGAAGCATGTATTAATTTCATAAATGTGCAAGTTCAATTTTATCATTTGTTGATAAAGATAGACATCTGTCAGAAAAGAAACCACCTATATTACATATAGATGAAGACACAAAGGGGTCATTTCAATGGTTCAATATTGTAAGTACAGTGATAGATTCAGGAATAGCAGTTTCAATGGGCAGAAATGGGGTGCTTAACTCAGCTCTGAGGGTCAGAAATGCCTTCTGGAAGAACTAGCTGTATTGCCTTTTAAGACATAAAGAGGGGTTTCCAGAAGTTGTAGATTGCCAGCTGTCTTATAAAGTCTGTTCTTTCCTCTGTGGTGCTAGAGATACAGATTTGCACATAGCTGCCCAGTATAAAACAAGATTACCCAACCTCTCTTGTAGCTTGATGTGGCCAGTGCAACTGATTTATCATCAATGTGTAATGTGTAAACAATCTGCAGCCATTGATTAAATGAAATGGTTTATGAATTCTCCTATGAATAAACATTTGAGTTGTTACACACATGACAAAACTATGCAAATTGCATACTTTAAATAGATGCAGTTTATTGTATGTAAAGTATACTTTGATAAAGTACAAACAAAATAATAGAAAAAGGAAAGAGCTCACCCTTCAAGTTTTCTCTGCCTTCCTTCCTATGAGCTGAGCTACAAATGTAACAGTGACTCAGATTTGAACATTAAGTCAAGAACAACATCCTGGGGGAAGACAGAGGTGCAAAATAGCGGGAACCTGGGTCGTGATAAAAATCATGGCACAGAACTACCATGGCAGCTTGAAACTCTTATCTTTGGACTGATAGATGAGTGTGAAATCAACATCTATCTTATTTAAGCCATTGTGTTTGGGGTCTCTTTGTTACAGGATAGTTTGTGCTTTAACTGTACCACACCAGGCAACAATACCTGTATAATAACTTGGCCAATATTTTTGAAAGGATGTTCCCAGTGCCACCTGCATTAGAATTGCCTGGGCTACACATTAAGAATGCAACACTGGCCAGGAGCAGTGGCTCACGCCTGTAATCCCAGCACTTTGGGAGGCCGAGGTGGGCAGATCACGAGGTCAGGAGATCAAGACCATCCTGGCTAACACGGTGAAACCCCATCTCTACTAAATATACAAAAAATTAGCCAGGCGTGGTGGTGGGCACCTGTAGTCCCAGCTACTTGGGAGGCTGAGGCAGGAGAATGGCGTGAACCTGGGAGGTGGAGCTTGTAGTGAGCCGAGATCGCACCACTGCACTTGAGCCTGGGAGACAGAGCGAGGATCTCAAAAAAAAAAAAAAAAAAAAAATAGAATGCAACATTAGGGCTGGCCATGGTGGCTCAAGCCTGTAATCCCAGAACTTTCAGAGGCCAAGCCCGGGGGAATCACTTGAGGTCAAGAGTTTCAGACCAGCCTGGTCAACATGGCGCAACCGTGTCTCTACTAAAAAAGAAGAAAAATGCAACATTAAACAGCAACATTAAACCAACTCCTTGTGGAAGAGAAACTCAGGAAATCTACATTTTAAACATGCTCTTGAGTGATGCTTGTGCAAACTGAAGACACAACTATCCTAGTTTATTAGCTTTCTGCTTTTTCAGAATCTGTGGAAAAGTCAGTAGATTGGCATTATCTTTTGATGCAAGTAAAGTTTTATATGAGAGGACGTAAAAGTAAAGTCAGGAGCATTTTTTCCATAGTTAGAAATCTGTGTAAGAATCACGATTATACCCTTTTAGCTTTGCTACTCAAACTTTGATCTGTGGATAGCAGCCCAAAAATCATATTGGAGCTTTTTAGAAATGCAGCAGCTCAGGCTCCAGTCCAGATCTACTGAGTTAGAGTCTGCATTTTAAGACAATCCATAGATGATTCAAAAGCATATTAATCTTTGAAAAGTCTTGTATATTCATTGAGGTGAAGAAATAAATCTCTGAACCTTATTGATTGCATTGTGACATGCAATCAATAATAGGCGTGGCATTTATGTAAGTGGTGACCATGGTTAGGAATTCAATGGGCAACCTTTAAAATAGTAGCAACAATTCTAGAAGTCAATGCTTTTTGTGACAGTGATTGTGCCAGATTTATGTACACTTAGGTGTGATGGTCCCTACCCTTGCCATCAGTTGGGCCCATAGTGAATATTCTGAGATTAAAAATACCTGGTACTCAGCTCTGGGACCACCTCTATTCCATCATTTCATAAATGTAATCCCTTGTCTGGCTAAACACCCACCAGGTGACTTTCACACTCTTTAGTAGTAAGAAGGCTCTTCTACCTGTCTTTTCAATTAGATACCTCTTAGTTCACCTTCCCATGGATATTAGGAATTATCTTGCATATTGCCTGTAATTGTGACATGACACACAATCAAATGCGCATATCATAGTGTGTCAGTAGATATTCCAAGTACAGTACGTTCAAATTTTCTACTCAGGCAGAGTTATGATCCCTGTCTTAGAAATAAATGTTGTGGGAGGCTCTTTTATCAGATCTCTGGGTGGTAGGTCCTAATTGCTCTGATTCTATTTAGTAGTTTGGTTTCCTCAGTGAGACTGAAAGTTCCTTAAAGGCAAATGTCCTCCCTCCCTTTAATAGACTGACCAGGAAGGGACTGGCCTCGCTTGTCACTGGGTGTAAGGCTTGGATGACTGGGGAAGGATCATTGCAGTTCTCTCTTCCCTTTTCTCACGGTTGGTGCTATTGAAGGATAAATTTAGAAATCTTATTCGGCATTGAGGTGAAGAATATCAACTTAGTATGAATTAGTCTATAATAATAACAATTTTCACAACTATTAACCGTAATAACAATCTATCATTTATTGAGCATTTATTTTCTTTTTTTTTTTTTTTTGAGATGGAGTCTTGCTCTGTTGCCCAGGTTGGAGTGCAGTAGTGTGGTCTCAGCTCACTGCAACCTCCGTGTCCCAGGTTCAAGTGATTCTCATGCCTCAGCCTCCCAAGTAGCTGGGATTACAGGCGTTCACCACCATGTCTGGCTATTTTTTGTATTTTTAGTAGAGACGGGGTTTTGCCATTTTGTCCAGGCTGGTCTCGAACTCCTGACCTCAGGTGATCTGCCTCCCTTGGCCTCCCAAAGTGCTGGGATTACAGGCATGAGCCACCATGCCTGGCCATTGAACATTTTCTAAGAACTTTACACATAACACCCCATTGAATTCTCCAAAATATCACGATAAATTAAGAAACCAAGGCTCAGAAAAGTTAGGTAATTTGTTCAAGATACCTTAGTCAGTGAGGTGACCAGCTGGTGTTTGGTTCTGGAATTGTCTGAATCTAAATCCTCTTCTTTTACATACTAAGATCTGACTTCTCCAAACAAGCCATCCAAAACCAGGCACACTAAAGCTGATAACCAATTTTGTGGTACAAAGCCAATGAGAATTCAGTGAGTTAAGTAAGAAGTCAGAATAAATCAATGCAAGATGCAAGATGGTATGGGTAAAATCCGAAGGTGAAAGTTAATGTTCACATGTAGTGGACACTCACAGGGGTTTGGTTTCCTGGGGTCCATTTCCACCTCTTACCAGCACCTTAGTTTCTGTGGGGGATTACTTCTTCCCCTTAGCATACTATATGGTGGGACCCTAATCAGGAGCCCTGATGTCCCAGAGAAAAAAAGTAGGCAGGTGATCTAAAGCCACCTGGACACTCTCTCCCTAGAATTTGACTCTTGAACAAAATAACAAGCATACAGTGCATGATTAAAGTTTCATTACCCTGGAAGATGACCCGACTGTTCCTGCTGTGGGTTCATTCCTCTAGTTCCTGCAGTCCTTGATTCTCAGCTTCTAATTTGTCATTTCTCCTGTCACTTTTAAACTTGGTCTCCAACTTACCAGTCAACTCTCTGAGCTCCCAGTATCCTTTCAATATATTTCCTCTTACTTAAATGAGCCCAAGTCAATTTCTGTTGATCATACCAAAGAACCCTGATTGTCACCAAAGAACTCTGATTGACACACTACAGTTGTATTTTATCCACTCTTTGTACCTTTAAGAGTAAGTAGGTCAGGGGTATTTAAGGAGACCTACTGGAGACAGAGAAGTGAGATTATATTTGCTCTTCTGTGTCTTCCACACAATACTGAAAAACAATGAGTCTTATTGCTTTATTAGCAGTAAATGAAAGTAAGTTAACTTCTAGGGAGTAGGTATGAATTTTTTAAAGAAGAGTATGGGGTGAAGCCAGGGAGCTTCAGGTTGAATAGCAAACCTTCTCTACCTAGTATTCAATGACACACTCTTTAATTTAGTACGTATGTACTTAAAATTTCCTACTCAACAAAGTTTCAATTTTAAAAATATCAAAATAAATACTTAAAAGGCATTTCAGTGATCTGAAGTAACTTATCCAACAAAATAATCAAAATTGAATTTCTGACCATTGGCTCACACTCTGCATTTTTTCTTCCAGTTGGATATCTGGACAAAAAGGTCAGTCCTTGAATAATGAGTATAATCGGAGAGTCAGAATAGCATGCAGTGAGGCATAGGAGAAATTTCCTTCTCAGCCAGCAGGATCATTGTGGATGAAAGCCTATAAAGTTCTGGGTTAAGACTAGAAACTATGCCTGTCACTGAGTATTTCAGCTGTGATATAAAAAGGAAAGTCAACTTGTATCCAAGCCCACAAAAAAAAGGGACTGAAGGCAATTCACATGCTTTGTCTACTGGAGACAGAAATCCATACAAGTCTTTCCTTGTTGAAGGAAAAGTAAATACAAAAATAAAATTAAATATGAGGGAATATTAAACAGAGTGTATCACAAAGAAAGAGTGCATTAGCTTAAATACATATAAGAGGAACAACCTTCGGAAAATGATTTGTTCCAGTAAACAAAAGAGAATTTTAGAAAAATGAGTCATTAGCTGTAGAATGCAATACAACCAGACCTTGTGAAAAGCAGAAAATTATAACAAAAACATTGGATGAGATGGGAAGGAAGATTCCTTAGTGAACAAAAAGGACTTCAAGAGCACCAAAAATGAAATAGCTGTATAGAAATGAATAGAAGCAAAGAACAGAGTAGACACTGTAGAAAAGCAAATCAATGGTGCATTGAACTAACTCTAGAACTCTAACAAAATGCAGAGGGAGGGGATAAAAAGATAAAAATGATGAAGAAAGAGATGGTAGCTATATGAGGCAGAGGATGAGAAGAAATCTAATGACTTAACATGTTCAAGAGGAGAAAACCAGAGCAAGTGGAGATGAAGCAATAATCAAAGACATATGGTAAGTAAAAAGCAAATCGTCTGAGTCATACAAAAACTTAAGTATCCAGAACAGAAGGATTCACTGTATGCTAGAAAAAAATCAAAGAGAAGAGAACCACATTTGAACATGACTGGCGAAAATGTTTGAATTAGAAGAATAAAAATAAATCCTACATTCTCCCAGGCAGAAAGAAAAATGTAGCCTACAAAGGCTGACCTTAACCTTTCTGTAATAGCAAATGCCAGAACTGGAGAAAAGTCTTCATTTTTTTGGGAGAAAAGTTTGTAACCCAAGAATTTTAAAGCCATTCAGATTGTGTTTCCCATGTGACAGCAACAGAAAGACCTTCACCATTGTTAAAAGGCTCAGAAACAACTCACTAATGGGAACCTTCTTTATTTAGAAATATTATGTAAAATATACCATGAACATCCAAGAGATGAAAATAATGAAGAAAAATAAATTCTTAGCACTGTGCTGAGTAAGTCACACTTTGCATGCTAAACTCAATAATAAAATGGATTTTGTAATTCAAAGCCAAAAAGGGTTATGGGGCTGGGGTTAGCCTTGCAGTTTCCCTGCATTCATTTACCTTTGCCACTTTTTCAGCACCAGATGTAACTCATGAGCTGTATCATTTACCCCACTGCCCTCCCTTTCAGATGAAAACCCTTGCAGTATTCACATTACTCTTCTCTATAAGTGCTTTTTAACAATGGATGACCTATGTACAATGTTGGGTCAGAGAGCCTGGAAAATGATGAAACAAAGAATTGCTTTTGTTCTACATAAAAGCAAAGTTGCAAAGAGCTATATTCTGGCCGTTTTCAATGTCAATGAGCTTGACTAATGGTGTTCTGTATTTCTCAAACATACATTGAATAACTTCAATCATTGGGATTAATCTGGGACATAGTATAAACAACCCAGTGAAAAATTTTGTCACCATGGCCCTCTTCACAGCTGCCTCTTACTTTAACTATATAAAACAATTATGGCTACTAAAATTTCACTAGGAAAATGCAGCTAAATGTTAATAATATTAACTAGTGGGTGGTGAGATTTAAGGTAATTTCATTTTTTCTTACAATTTGCTGTAGTTGATCATAATTGAGGATATATTACTGTTATACTTAGGAAGGAATTGAATAACAAACCACAATACTCAAAAGATCGAAACAGGCAACTCACAAGCAGAAAACTGACTATTAAACACACGAAAAAATACTCTGCCTCATTAGTAATAAAGTAAATGTAATAGAAAACTACAATAATGTATCTTTTCATTCCCATCAGCATCGGCAATCATTTAAAAGTTTGGCTGCACCTGCAATGTTGAAGGTGGGGAGTCACAGGAACTCTCATACCCTACTGGTGAGAAGATACATTAGCACCACCACTTTAGAGCTGAATATTGCAATATCTAAGAGAGTTGCCAATGTACATATCTAAAATTATAATTTTAGATAATTGCAGCATTGCTTATGTTTTCACACTGCTATAAAGAAATATCTGAGACTGGGTAATTTATAAAAGGAAGAGGTTTAATTGACTCACAGTTCCTTATGGCTGGAGGGGCCTCAGGAAACACACAATCATGGCAGAAGGGGAAGCAGGCACGTCTTACATGGCAGGTGAGAGAGGAAAGTGCACACAAAGCAGGAACTGTCGAGCACTTATAAAACCATCAGATATTGTGAGAACTCACTCACTATTATGAGAACAGCATGGGGGAAACCACCACCATGGTCCAATCACCTCCCACAAGGTTCCTCCCTCAACACCTGGGGATTACAATTCAAGATGAGATTTGGATGGAGAGACAAAGCCTAATCATATCAGCTTACAATGACAAAAAAATAGACACAAAATCCATAAACAGAAAAAAATCAGTACAAAGTTTGTAGTATACTCTATACTGTGGTTACCATAACCAAACATGAGCTACATATAACAATATGGGAAAACCCCAAAAACATAATACTGAGAGAAGAAATGCAAGGTACAAAGGAGCATTTATAGTACAATTCCAACTTTAAAAGTTTAAAAACCTTAAAAACCAACCCCTCAGCCCCTATTTTGTTTATGGATATAAACATATGTAGTAAGACTATAAAAGCATGCAAGGAAATGATCAATTCAAGATGGTGGTTATCTGAGGGGAAGGAAGGGACTTGACTTTGGACAAGGGTATCACAAAGAGTGTTGGCAGTTCTGCAACGTTGGAGTTTTTTTTCCTTGGGAAAACATAAATATCGAGGCATGTATGTGAATATATTAATATCTGGCAAAGCTTATAGTAGGTATAATTTTATTTGCATGATATATGTCATAATAAAAATGAAAATAAAATATTAATAATGCATTTTATTTATAACATATTTTATAAATATAAAATAAATTCTGTGTTTATAATTTTAACATGCTATATAATCACAAGAAGATAAAATATTTATGATATAAAGCCTGCAAAGAAATAAAAAGGAAATCAAATATTGGTTATATCTGAATGATGTATGTAATTTCTTTGCTTTCTTTTATTTTTTCTATATTTTCAAAATTTTCATTATGAGATTACATTATTTTTTAATTGAAAACTTTTAAAAACTTTACCAAAGTGTGATTAAAAATGTAGGCTTGGGACTTATGACGTAGGGTCTTGAATGTCGTATTAGGTTTTTAGCTTTATGATATAGACTATCATTTCCCAAACTGTGTACTATGGAACACTAGTGACTCTTGAGAGGTTAACTTATGATGCTCGGAAAAAGAGTTCCAGGGTCAATAAGTTTAAAAATGATGGGTCTCATGCTCCCTGTTTCAAGAAGCACAATAGACATTTATACATTAAAGGCTCCAAGAAGTTCTACAGTTGAAAAAATCCACACACAACACAACAAAAACTTATTTGCATTTGCTCAACTCTGTGTTTCCCAAATACATATGATTACAGATTGCTTTAACAAGGAGTTAATTTATTATCATTTAAGGGATATTATCTTCAGGAGACATGATTTGTGAAACTTCTTAGTTAGAAAAATCTCCAAAACATCATACAGAAAGTGGCATGATGAAAGGAGAGATTTTGGAGGTTGAAAGTGTCAGTGTTGGGTAGGAGAGATTGGAGGTGGTGGAGGCAGGATTCAAAGAGGCCAAGTGGGCAGTAATTGCAGTAGTTGGTTAGTAGGTGATAAGGGCTTCAGCACAGGACTGATGGGTCTTAGTGAACCTTCGCCAAAATTATGCTTCTGGCACACAATAAACATTTATTTCTCATGTGTTATAGACCTGCTGGGATTCAGCTGGCTTGGCTCCTGCATAAAGGTTGAAGCAAAGTCTGTTCCACATGTCTCCTTGTCCTTAAACAAGAGGTTACCCAAGACCTCTTTTTCCTATGGAAACATGCAAACCTGTTTCAAGTCTTGTATCATATCAGTTAACATCCTATTGGTCAAAGCAAATCACATGGATGGCCAAACCCAAGTCAAGAGCTGTTGCACGTTGCTTATCATGAAGCTGAAGCAAGACAGGGCTAAGCTTAACATCAAAGGGGTGGGGAAGTATATTCCTCCCAGGAAACTGGGAATGGGGGAGGAAGTGAATATATGCTGAACAACAATATAATCTACAACCCTGTCTCTGTCTACAAAATGAAAAAAACCACTTGTTAGATCATGGAACTATGCATATGTTGAGTCCATCAGGGTGGATTCCATTTCTAAAAGGCACCAATAACACCATGAAATGATGGGGTTCAGCATGGCACAGACCTAAAGACAGTAGTATGAAATCTGACCCTATTGTAGCTTCTCTTTTCTCCAGGTGTCATAACAAGTAAGTGAGCTTGTAAAGTGCCTGGGAATTCCTGAGAAGAAAATTACTAAGAAATTAAAACAGGATTGTAAGAGCTTAGCCCAAATCACTGTGCATGGCAAAGATAACCAGATGAGTAAGAAGCTCCTCATTCACATTTTACACAGCTTTCCATTAATTGATATTTAGTATTCAGAGACATGACACAGTCTAGAGTTCAGAGAATGGTTTCAATCCCCAAGGGAAAAATCGGAATGATTTTGAATATTTTGAAATAATGTGATTAAAACATAGGATCAAACAACCTGTCGCATTTTTAGATCCTAACATTTTTATTCCCAAGTGGTCTGGTGCTCACTGCATTCTACATTTAATACTCATAAAGACCATATTCCATGGATTTTTTCCAATTGCCATCTCTATATTTTAACTATGTCAACATGATATATAGGCAACCCTTCCTACTTGGAATAACAATATTGTTTTTTCTAAAAAATAACAATAAAATATTTTTCAGATTTGTATTTACTTGCTGGAAAACTTTGAAAAACACAAGGCTTGTGACCAATTGTGCTGCAGGAGAATTGTAAAATGAAGCAATGACTAGAAGAAAACAGAGAAGAGCCTGACCCATGACAATTGTGAAAATGGCAACATTTGCTCCTGGCCTTTGCTTCTCAGGAGTACTCTAGCCCTTCTCATTGTCACAGGCTCAGTGACCTCATGGTCTTCATTCTGGCTCTAGGAGCAGAGAATCTGAAACTCATTTCCATCATGGTATAAGTGACTGATAAGGACTCCTGCTTGAAATATGAAAGAGAAAATCTATAATGAGCACAGAATATCAGGAATAGTAGGGAGGGATGCATTTTGGAGGGTGGGGACTATCTCAGTGCCCATAACATCCTTTCAGGACAGCACCAGTCATGTTCTACCTATAGAAATACATGCCTATATGAAATGGTTAGTGTACCACACTGAGCCTATAAAGAGCACTTAATATGTGCTACTAAAGAAAAAAAAGGGAAAGAAAGGGGGCCTGAGACAAGATATTCTAGAATTATGCTACATCTCTTCTATGGAGTATAATCCTATTATTTTTAAAATTATAACTCAACATAAAAACAAAATTCACAGGGTGATGGAGATGTGAAGCTTTGGGAGATGAAGTATCAAACAATTATTATGAACCCTTAGTATTCAATCTTATATCTGTTGAGTCCCACCTGAGGATTTAGCCATGGACAGAGACTCTCCTAGGGACCAGTAACCATGTTGTGTAAGTTAAACTGTTCATTGCTATCCATCTGACATTTAGTCCTACATTAATAACAATTATTGGTAACAATAATGATGATGATGATAGCTATCATTTACACAAAACAATCTTAAGAGCTGTGATGGTTAATTTCATGTTTCAACCTGAAACACGAAGGAAGATACAGACTAAGGAAGACACAGATAGCTGGTAACACACTATTTCAGGGGCTTTCTGTGAGGGTGTTTGTGGAAGAGGCTACCATTTGAATGAGTAGACCTAGTAAGGAATATTGGCCTCCACAACTTGAGTAGACATCATCCAATCTGTTGATGGTCCAAGTAGAACAGAATATGGAGGAACAGTGAATTTGTGCTCTTTGCTTGAGTTGGGACGTTCGTTTTCTCCTGACCTTGGACATTGGCTTTTGTGGTTCTCTAACCTTCAGACTCAGAGCAGGACTTACATCATCAGCCCCCAAAGTTCTCAAACCTTTGGGTTTGGACCAGGACTTCATCGGCTCCTCTGGTTCTCAGTGCTTCAGGTTTTGATTGAAACTATACCCTCAGTTTTCCTCCAAGCTTTTACTCTAATGTGCAGACAGCAGACTGTGAGATTTCTCAGCCTCTATAATTACATAAGGCAATCCCTCATAATAAATCTCTTTCTGTATGTTTATAATATATCCTACAGGTTCTGCCTCTCTGTAGAACCCTAATACAAAAACAAATTACCATAGTTTTGATTTAATGTCTTCTAGTTTCTATCATTAATGAGAGAGATGAATTGTAGATGGTCTTAAACTTTTTAGGTCTCAATTCTATGCACTTATTTATTTAACAAATATTACTGAGCATCTACTCAGGGTAAACCTTTGTTATGTAAACAGAATAGGTTCATTGCCAGAAGCACACAGCAAGTCACTATGCTGAGACACTGGGTTGCAGCAGAGAAAGAGGTTTCATTGTAAGGTCACCAAATGAGGAGATGGCAGGGAACCTCAAATCCATCTCTCTAAGGAATTTAGTGTTAGGGCTTTTAAGGGTTTTGGAGTGGGTTGAAGAGTGATCATTGATTGGTTGACGAGTGCAGGGTGAAGTCAAGAAACAGGGAGATGAATCAGCTGTATTCTCATGCTGATCCCATTCATCTGTGGGAGTCTGTGGGAGTTGCTGGAATTTGAGTCTGAAAAACATCTAAAGCAATGATTAAACAGAAGCCTTATGATTCCAATGTCAGAGTCCTATCTATAAGAAAACCGGGGATGCAAATGGTCAGAATCATTCCATGCAAGGAAATGGTAAGTTCAAGATGGTGGTTATCTCTGGGGAGGGAAGGAAGAGACTTGACACTGGACAAAGGTAGCAAAGGGGGATGGCAGTTCTGTAGTGATTTTTACAGATTGAATTTTAGCCACAAAGAAGTGGGACAAAGTGCAAACCAGATTAATGCTTAATTATAACTATATTTCTGCCCAGAATCTGGCATGTAATTCTTGTTAGTCCTGTGGGGATAGTTTCAGTCAGGTGCTGTGGAAAATGCCATACCAAAAGGAAAAAATACACAATCTTCTCTCACCACAAAAATATAACATACTAGGATACATATACATCCTACTTGTATATGTAAAATATATAATTTATATTTATTATTTTTTATATTATATATAAAAATAATTTAAATGCTATAAGACAAGTGTATCAAAAATGCTAAGATACTCAAGAGGGAGAGGCATTATTGGTTGGAGTGTGCAGGGGAGAAAAAGAGGAACAGGGAGAAGGTTTCTTGTAAAGGGAGGTTTGGGGTGGGGCTGGAGGGATGGTAAGGCACTACAAAGTAAGAAAGTTGTCTAACAAAGAATAGAGAAAAAAGAGACATTTTTGTCCAACAGTGGCAATTCCTACTTGGCTGCATTGCAGGTTATATGCATCAGGAATAGAGGGAGTAAATTCAGGGAGATAAATTGGGACAGAGCACTGAAAATTTTGAATCTCCAGATAATGAGATTAAACCTTATTTACAAGGTACTAGCAAGTTACAGAATCTCTTTAAGCAGATGTTTGGCATGATGTGAGCTGCACTTTGGGAGAATTACTCTGGCATCATGGGTAAGATGATTTGGACAGGAAAGAGTGCAAGAGCAGCTTCAGTCTTCAGGCCACAGTAGCATAATAGCTCAGGTGAAAAAAAATCATGGGCCTGCCCTGGCGCAGTGGCTCAGGCCTGTAATTCCAGCACTTTGGGAGGCCGAGGTGGGTGAATCACCTGAGGTCGGGAGTTCGAGACCCACCTGGCCAACATGGAGAAACCCTGTCTCTACTAAAAATACAAAATTAGCTGGGTATGGTGGTGCATGCCTGTAATCCCAACTACTGCAGAGGCTGAGGCAGGATAATCGCTTGAACCTGGGAGGCGGAGGTTGCAGTGAGCCAAGATGGTGCCATTGCACTCCAGCCTGGGCAACAAGAGCGAAACTCCAACTCAAAACAAAAACAAAAACAAAAACAAAAACAAAAAACAAACAAAAAAAACATGGGTCTGAACAAGGGGATTAATAATAACGGATAGAAGTGAATACATTTTTTTAAATGAAGAACTGATGAGGAGGTTGGGAGGCAGCTGGGAGGGTATCAGTTGTGGCTTACTTTTTGAATCCCCCCAAATTCCCATAGACCAGGGTTTCTCAACCTCACCACTATTGACATTTAGACTGGATAAGTTTTAGTTGTGAAGGACTGTCCTGTGCATGTTTAATAGCATCCCTGGTCTTTGTCCACTAGATGCTAGTATTACCTCTCCTCCAGTGTGAAAGCCAAAACTGCCACTGATATTGGTTAATTCCTTTGGGGGACAAAGTTATCCCCAGTGGAGAATCACTGCCCTATATAAAACCAATAGAGCCACTATGATAAAAAATTCAAAAAAATCCATAGACAGTATCTATTCATATCTGCTATCTATCTATCTATCTCTATATATAACTAAATGTTAAGCTATTTCCAAAGACTCCAAAATATAAGGGATTAGAAAAAAGCCCTGAGAGCCATCAGACATGAGCAGTATCAGCATCTCTGTAGAAGGAAGTAAAAGAAAGACAATGTGGGTTGTGAGGATTCTGATACCAGAATATTCCATATTTCTTATAGATATACACTGGAAAACGACTGAACTGGGTAAGAGTCTTGCAGGCTCTGAATCATGGGTGAGAGCAAGGGGACCATGTTTGATAGGATCTAATGGTGCTGGAATAATCTGGGCCCTCTAAGCCATTGATGATAACAAGCCAACCTTCCCTTCCAGGAGAAATTGTTAGCATGAGCTTCACATTGAGAAGAACAGGGACAAAAAGAGCAGGAAAAAAATAAAAAAGAAAAAAAGAAAACTCCAGATGAAAAGGGATTAGGGAATAGAAGAGAGAGATTCCACAAAATGCAAGCCTATGTATATTTAAGTTACTTTAAGGTAAGAAACAGAAGAGGGAGTCCTAGAGTCATGAGTCTAGAAAAGTTACTTCGCCCTTTCCTCCCTCCTAAAAGTACACAAAAACTCATTTACTTAAGCATGAGCAAAGCAAAAAGTATGCAGTCTCAGAAGAATGAGAAGCAGAATGAATTCCCTATGACCTGGGAGGCACAAAGAATGACATGCCCTCAAAAACAGATGAAGACTGAAGCCCGGTATTTCAAAATGAGCTAAAATAAACCAAGCTAATGGTAGAAGCTGTGACAAGAAATCACAAATAGAATAACTCAGAAATGAGATGATTAAGGAAGATTTAAAATTAGAGTTACATAAGTTGAGAAAAAACTAGAAATAAATAAAATCATTTCACTAAAGAAGTTGAGCCAAGAGGAACACAAAAGCAAATAAACAGAATAGTGCAATGAGAGAAACAGAACATAGAAAGGAAGAAAAAAAATTTTAATCAAAATGATGTAAATAAAGCGTTAAAAAAATAAAGCACCTGAGAGAAAATGATGGTTTAGAAATTTCAACGTATGTCTAATACAGGGGTTCCTAACCCAGGGTCCATGGATGTCAGGGTTTATGGGTAAAATTTAGGTGGTGCAATGAACTTGGTTAAGAAATATATTATGTATATATTTTTACTGACCTCTGGCTGAAATTTAACGTTTTTCTTTAATTATCAACATATGCACCAAACCACAGTAGTACTGACAGTATCTACGATTTTATCACCAAAAATGATCACAAAAGTCAAAATGCCAAATTACAGTTTGGAAAAACAGCTCCAAATACCATTTATGCTCATCACTTTTTTCAATTTGTAGTTGTTAACTATATTTAGATCTCATTAATTAAGAACTATATCTCATTACTTAATAGTTAATAAAGAGTTAATAACTGCAACATAATTTTAAATTATTTTGACAACTGTATTTCAATATAATTAGTTTCCTTTGAAATGCTGTATGTTCTCCTTTATACATCTAAAAATATTATTCTGTGAAACACTCCATTGTTTTTGCCAGACTGCTGCTTCCATGATACAACAAATTTGGTAACTACTGTTATATAAAAGGAATCTCTGAAGAGAAATTATAATTTGAAAACTTTCCTAAAATAAAAACAATTAGAAATTATGTATTAAGAGGACTTGAAATTTGACCCATAATGGCCAACACCATCCTTTAAAATAAATATCTTTAGGCTATCCCACCAAAAAGATAAGTAGAAAGAAAGTTAGATTGTCATCAGAATTTTTAACAGACATACTTTTAGGGCCAAAAATATTATAGTAATATATTTAAGATACTCACAAGAAGAAAATGTCAGCCAAGAATCTTATGTTCAGCCAAACTGACCTTTAAGTACAAAAAGCCTATGGTCAATTGATGTCAACATGCAAAAACACAGAGAACATTGTTCTCATGTGCTCTTCTTAAGGAGTCTACCAAACCACAAAGAAATAAGAATGGATTTAAGAGCAAGTGTTCAAAACTTTTATGGCACTTTGACATTGCCATGACATCCAAGTACATGAATCATTTCTCAAGTAATTTGTTTTCATTGTATTTTACTAAAGTATTGTTCCATGAAAGATTATTATAAAGTTTTAAAAAATCCCTGTACTAAAATATGAGCTTCAGACAACCAAATTTACTGAAAGCATGGGTAAAGAACATTAAATATCAATATACTTGTACAATCAAGACCAAAAATACACTATAAATGAGGCAGTCTAGTATGTAATGTCTACATGCTCTGACAATGCAGATAATATGACTATGTTTTAAATGAGGGAATGAGGAATAAGGAAATTACATGAAAGTTGGCTTCTAGTTTTGCCCACTGAAAAGGCCTAGAAACAGTGATCAAGTTATTAATAATAAGCATATGTGGCATGCAGCTTGTAGTCTTTAAATGCTATTTCCTACTCCTCGGATGTGGATGGTTGCAAGCTTAGGCAGAAATGTGTATGATGAGCCTACAATGCACCAGAGAGCAAGGAAGCTATCAAAGGTTGTTTGACTAAGTTTGTGTCAAAAAGAGTCAGCAGCTGAGTTGAAGAGGCTCACAGTGGCCAAAGATGGGATAATTATTCCAGAGAATGTATTCTAATGAATTCAAACACATCAGATAAGATTAATTCCTTGAGTTCACGGATATATAAGCATACAAAACACAATTATTGGTCAATTTTGAAGCCTGCTAGGAAACAAATTTATTATTTTTTAAACAATAAATAAAGATAATTAAGCTACCCTCTCATTTTTATATGACCTGTATCTTAGAGCAGGGGTCCCAAATGTCCAGGCCACAGAGTGTTACTTACCAGTCCATGACTGGTTAGGAACCAGGCTGCACAGCAGGAAGTAAGTGGCAGGCAAGCAAGCAAATCTTCATCGGTATCTACAGCCCCCCTCCATCTCTTGCATTACCACCTGAGCTCTGCCTCCTGTCAGATCAGCTGCAGCAACTGATTCTCATAGGAGTGCAAACATTATTGTGAACTATGCATGCGAGGAATCTAGATGGTACACTCCTTATGAGAATCTAATTCCTGATGATTTGTCACTGTCTCCAGTCACCCCCCAGATAAGACTATCTCATTGCAGGAAAACAAGCTCAGGGCTCCCACTAATTCCACAGATAATGATGAGGTCTACAATTATTTCCTTATATATTACCATGTAATAATAGTAGAAATAAAGTACACAATAAATGCAATGTGCTTTAATCATCCCAAAGCCATCCCCACCTTCCCAGTCTGCAGAAAAATTGTCTTCCACGAAACCGGTCCCTGGTGCCAAAAAGTTGGGAATTGCTGTCTTAGAGTAGCTGGATAGTTGATAAAGTAAAACTTCTCTTTACTGAAATACTCCAGATAACAAATGTACTAAGAATGAAATGAGATAATTAAAATATCACCATTTTATAACCTCTAGTATGTTGCTGAATCTGGCCAATGATCATCAGTGGCTGTTAACATCACAAAAAGTGGGACAATCAGACACTATGTGTTTGTTCTCTGGTGGAGGTATATAAGAACATCTGTGAGGTATTCTTGCCAAATAAGCTGGTCAAATCTCTATATAACTACCATTTTACAAGAAATATAGATTACAGAGGAGGATATTCAATGATACCAAGGGGATGCATTCAGTAAAATACAGATTGAGGTAAACTCTGTCTAATAAATTGTCCAGTTTCTTCAACAATAACTAAAAGGACCAAAAAAGATGAAAGAGATTAAGAGAAACTTTGACTTTAAAAAGATATAAGGGGCTGGGCACAGTGGCTCACGCCTGTAATCCCAGCACTTTGGGAGGCCAAGGCGGGCGAATCACGAGGTCAGGAGATCGAGACCATCCTGGCTAACACGGTGAAACCCCGTCTCTACTAAAAATACAAAAAATTATCCGGGCATGGTGGTGGGCGCCTGTAGTCCCAGCTACTCAGGAGGCTGAAGCAGGAAAATGGCGTGAACCCGGGAGGTGGAGCTTGCAGTGAGCCGAGATTGTGCCACTGCACTCCAGCCTGGGCGGACAGAGCAAGACTCCATCTCAAAAAAAAAAAAAAGAAAGAAAGAAAGAAAGAAAAATATAAGGTATATATCAATGGATTAAATGTGAAAACTGCTGACTAGATATGATATTAAGTCATCATTGTGTATTTTGGGTAGTTTATATCATGGTTTATTTTGAAGAATCTTAGTCTTATAGAGATATTGTATTCGTTGAAATTTCTCTGGAGAAACAGAGTTAAGAGGACATACATAGAGACAGCAAGAGATTTATTATAAGGTATTGACTCACTCAGTTATTGAGGCTGAGCAGCCCCATAATCTTCCTTCTGCAAGCTGGAGACACAGGTAATCTAGGGCTATAGTTCAAAGGACTGAGAGCCAGAGAGCTGATAGTGTAGATTCAGCCCAAGTCTAAAGGTCTGAGAACCAAGAGCACTGAGGGCAGGAGAAGATCTATGTCCCAGTTCAAACGGTCAGGCAGAGAGCAAATTGACTCTATTTTTTTTTTTTGGCTCTATTCAATCCCTCAGGTGATTGAATGATACCCAGCCACATGGGGAGGGAAATTTGCTTTACTCAGTCTACACCAATGCTAATTTCCTCTGGAAACACTGTAACAGATACATCCAGAAATAATGTTCAACCACCTTTCTGGGCATCCCAAGGCCAGTCAAGTTGACCCATAAAATTAACCATTGCACATACTTAAGTATTTGCAAATAAATATTGTGATATCAGAGATTTTCTTCAAAATATTTCAGGGTGTGGGTGGCAAAAATATGGAAGAAAGGAAAAAAGACTTGAGGTAATAATTGTTGAAGCTGGGCTATAGATACATGGAAGTTCATTTTACTATTTTCTCTTATTTTGTATATCTTTGAAATGTTCCCTGATAGGAAGCTTAAAACATGCTGTGATGGTACTGGTAGGCTCAGCTAAATTACTAGCTAGTATTTGATGCTACAAACTTTATAATTATTTTAGTCTCAGAAAATATTAAGGATATATAGTGTAGGTATGAGATGAAGAGGAAAGGGACAATAATTATTTAAAGTTTTCCAGACTGGATTATTAGGGGAAAAGTGATTGAGAATAAAATTGAACATGAAAGAAAAATAAAAATTTAGAAAAGGACCTATCTTGTGGGAGTGAGATGATTTGAGCTTTGGGTACATTAAATTTGAAAGCTATGGCCACTAGACAATGAGAAAAACACATCTGAAGTGTGTTTGAAAGGTCAGCACTAGAAAGGTAGCTTGGAGACTTAACTATTCAGACAGCAGAAGCCTCTGGTGCATATGACTCCACTGATAAAGAGATTGTAATATACTATAGTTTGAATGTGTTCCCCTAAAAGCATATGTTAGAAACTAAATTCCCAGTGCAATAGTGTTGAAAGATAAAGCCTAATGGGAGGTGTTTAGGTCATGAGGGCTCCACCCTCATGAAAGGATTAATGCCAATTATAAGAGGGCTTGAGGCTGCAAGTCCCATCTTTTGCTCTTTCTCTTGCATGCTGTCTTGCCCTTCTGCTTTCCACTATGGGATGACACAGCAAGAAGGTCCTCATCAGATGCAGTCCTTGACCTGGGACTTCCCGGCCTCTAGAACTGTAAGAAATAAATCTCTGTTTTTTAAAAATAAATTACCCAGTCTCCAGTATTCTGTTAAAGCACAAAACAGACTAGGACATAATGAAAGTAGGGAAGGCTGGTAAGATCAGCAACTTCAGGAGTCTCTATGTGCAGAGGGTGAAGAATAGACAAGGAGGAAGACAAAGACACCAAAACCCAGGAGATGGATGAGATTCACAATGAAGGGTGTATCAAGAATGTCACAGTTATAGAATGATAAAATAGAATACCAAAGGAGAGAACACCATTGGACTTGGTGATGAGGAAGTTACGAAGGATTTCTGAGAAAGCAACTGAGCAGTCGAAGGAGATGTTATACTGTAAGGAATTCCACTGGAGATCATGATAATGAAAGTGATGAAGTAAACTCCCTCAAAAAGTTTAGTATGGACAGCAAAGGAGGTATAGGAAAGCAACAAAAATTCCTGCAAAACTAAGAATGGGGAAGACCAGAGCACATTTCATAGACAGTGGAGGAAGCCCTGTGTAGAGTCTAACAATAGAATTCTCCCTTCTAACAATAGAAGGGAGACAAAATGATGAGGGTGATAGGGAGAAGACCTGAGATGAGAGATCTTTAAAATATCTTCCCACTGTCATATGTCATTCAGTCCCTGAAAACTTTTTTGGCCACTTGCCCTGGGTAATTGAGGCATTTACAACTTCTAGGGCAAGAAGCATTGAAAAAGAGGTCCTGTGTTGTTTGGAGTGACTAGAATGGGTGGAAATGAATTAATGGATGAAGTTACAGCAGGCCCCAGTCCTCCTTGCTTAGACTGTCCCATTTTCAGAAGGGCTTTCCCTGTGATTGCTGCCATATATTATGAGTGTTAAATCAGCCTGAATGATGGTTTACGTATATGTGTTTATGAACAGTGGTCCTCCTGCAATTGACATCATAGAAAAGAAACTGTCTTAGCTTTTAAATAGGTTAGTTCAAACAATGCATGTTCTCACTCATAGGTGGGAATTGAAAAATGAGAACACATGGACACAGGAAGGGGAACATCACACACCGGGGACTGTTGTAGGGTGGGGGGTGGGGGGAGGGATAGCATTAGGAGATATACCTAATGCCAAATGACGAGTTAATGGGTGCAGAACACCAACATGGCGCATATATACATATGTAACAAACCTGCATGTTGTGCACTTGTACCCTAAAACTTAAAGTATAATAATACAAATAAATTAATTAATTAAAAAAATAGGTTAGTTAGGTTCAGGAAAGAAGGTAGCAATTCTAAGAGCTCTTGAAAGACTCATATTCACACACCATTGAATCCTACTCCTGAAGAAAGAAACACGACTCTTCTATGATGCTATGAGGTTCACAATTATTTTTCTCTGAGATGTTAAGGGATATCTAAACACATAATGTGTATTTCATGTTCTTAGACGTTGTGTTTCAGGCACTGCTACTTTGAATATTCAACTATTTTAAATCAAGATTTTTTTTTTTTTTTTTTTTTTGAGACGGAGTTTTGCTCTTGTTGCCCAGGCTGGAGTGCAAAGGCATGATCTCGGCTCACTGCAACCCCCACCTCCCGGGTTCAAGTGTTAAATCAAGATTTTAAAAGGCCTTGGGATAACTAGGGAGCATCATCCTTAAGCAAAAGGACCTTGAGACAAAAAGTAATAATCATCATCATCTCCCATTAGCATAACACTTTTGATTTTTTCAAAACCTTTTTTATGTCTATTATTTTACTTGATCTTCACAACAACCACATGAGGCTGTTCACTTTAAGAAATGAACTTGAAAGCAGTGAACATTTAAAATGCTTGCAAAAAATGTAGTAAAATCGCAAAGACAATTCCCAGAGCATCTATACCATAGCTCTAACTTAAACTGTATTTACTGCAAATTGTATTGACTTGAAAGAGATGGTGGCTTGTAAATATAGTTTCTCTGTCCTGAACCACATTCAAACTGCAGTTGTTATGAATACAAAAGAGTTTTCTGAGTACATAACTGTAGTTTTGCTGCATTAAGGCAAAAGGCTGGCATTTGGACTAGAAAACAGCCTGTAACTATGTCTGTTCTGCGTGGCAGGCATCTCAGGGCCTGCCAGCAATAGGGATGGATTTACATATATTGACTCTATCCAACATATGAGTAACGATCAATTTTCTTGATCTATTCTATTCTGTCAATCTGTGCTTTTGCTAGCAAATGAGGAGACATTGCTGTCAGCCAGAAATAGAGTTTCCTGGGCTTATGTGAGCTTTTAAGATCTCTTTTCTACTTAATTAAAAGATACATACGGTGGTTGACAGAGAGCAGCAGGCTAGTCAAAGTAACAAAATTTGCCACGTATACATGAGTTCCTGGAAGAAAAATCATGAAAGATGGCTAAATAAATGTAAAGGCAGACTTTCATTTCTGAGGATAGTATATTGTGATGTCAATTTTATTAACAGAAAAATAAATACAAAGGGACAAATGCAATTTGTCTGTCAGGAGTAGCCAGTAAAGGCATCTTTTTTCAGGAGTCGGAAATTACTCTTCCAGGTAACGATATGTAAACTGCTGGACAACATGGAGAGAAAATGCTTTTCTTTTTGATCTCCCACATTAATGTACCATGTCATATTAATTCATTTGCTTTGGGCTTAGGTAATCTCTGCCCCAAAACTGTATGGAAATTTTAATTAGGATGATGGAATAATAGACACAAAGCAGGTGAGAAACATTCCTGCTAGAAAGTCTAGGAAAAGCTTGACACATGTTGAGTTTCTTCTGGTTCCCTTCACCTCAAATGTGGCTGGTGATGCCAGAGAACGCATCAGGCGCCCAGGCACAATCTAAATCCGTTTCGGGGAGAGTTTTACAGTGGGTTAGTAATTGAATGTTTCTGCTGGGGGTGCAGTCGCACAACATTCTAGTTTCTACTTCTCTTTCAAGTGTTTTGCATGCGTGGAGATTCTGATCTGTACAAGTAGGATGTGGTTATCTACACATTTACTGGCTCTAATTAATTACTGGACTGGATTGGGTTTGGCTTCTGTTTGTTTCCTTAGATGCTTCGAATGGCATTATCAAGTACCTCTGGAAGTGTCTACAATCCACCAGGGGACTGATTTTAGGAATTTCATACATTAGGGAGGAAGAATGGTTGATGTTCTATGCTAGAGTGACGTGAACCAGGCCATGGATTAGAAGCCAAAAATCTTGGTTCTCGGCCTGGCTCCTCTATTGAGTTCTATAATCATGAGAAAATAATTTCCCTTTTGGACCTCAGAGTTCTATTTGTAGAATGGAGATGTTTTAGTAGGTGCATGATTTTCCAGCTGAATTTGCAGTGTCCTCAGCAACTATCACTGGGATAAGGTGTATGGGATGCTGAAGATCCTTGCTTTTGTGACAACCTTAGCAGCTGTTCGGGGTCATTTTGCAGAATGTGCTTCCAATAAGATTTTGTACAAACCAAAGCTAAAAATGTTTTAAAACCATAGCACTAAAGGATCTCCAGTGTTTCCTTTATCTTCAACAATCTATGACCAACATTAGTTCGTGTAAGCCTCTCATCCATTGGGTTTATAGTTAAAAATTATGTTTTCTAAATCCTAGGAATGTTTTCGTTTTTTGAGTTTTGTTTTTGTTTCTGTTTTTGTTTTTATTTTTAGTGACGGGGTCTTGCTGTGTTGCCCAGTCTGGCTTTGAACTCCTGGGCTAAAGTGATCCTCCACCTCAGGCTCCCCAGTAGCTGGGACTACAAGCATGAGCCACTGCACCCAGATCCAGGAATAGATTTAAGCTGAGTCACCTCTTATTCTCGAATGGCTCTTCCTCATTTGTCATGTCTGACAACAATAGCCTCCATTTGGCTAGCTCATAGATGTAGTGTCTGGCAGATAGGATGAATGCAATAAATAGGTATCAAATGACTATCTGGTTCCTATAAGATTTATACTCCTAGATTTTAACCAAAGGAACTTATAAGAATGACTAAAAAGTGAAAGGGCAGGCATTCGGCCTAGGGGGTGCCTAAGAAAGACATAAAAATAAAATTAAGGTGTCTGATCCCTAAGATTCAAGAGGTTGACACAAATTCTACATTTATTCCCTAATCCATCTCATTTGGTTTGGAAATGAAAAGAGACATACGGTGCTCTTTGAAAAAGCTGCATCTCTTTTTTGATCTCCGCCTCCACTACCACCGCCTTGACACATGGTGCTAGATTCAGACGCTGAGCCCTTGCCCTCTGGAGATAGTAGGATAAAAAAGTTCAACTCAACCAAAACCACCAGAGGCACCACCAGTGGGAACTGAGATTGTCCCAGAAAGGAAATGCAAGCACTGCTAGTTAGACATTTCTGATAAGGAATCTGTGACCATTGTGGATTGGAAGCAAAAATATATACTTCCTTAGGGTAAGAGTATTCTTTTTCCTATTGCGTCAGGTTTCTAAGGCTCACATTCAACCCCTAGTATTCATAACTAAATCTACTGGGACTATTCTTTTTTAATCTATTCCTACTTCTTTTAAAACTAAGGAAATCAAGACCCAGGATGAGTATAGAACTTGTACAAGGACACATATTTTGGTTGTGGACCTAAAAAATGTGCTTGCTCTTATGAATGAATACTCCTAGACGAAGAAGTGACTTTATCTTTAGGTTTCTCCTCACAGAAGTAGAACAAAAGGTCTATGAGACAATCAATCACCCTATATTTATTGAGCATCTACTATGTGCCAGAGATGGTGATAGACACTGAAGATACTGTCATACAGAAGACACACTTTCTAATTTCATGAAATTTATAATCCTCTAGGAAAAACTCTCAACGAAGTTCTTTTGAGTGAAAGCTAAAAAGTAGTCCAAAGTATTGTGAGCATAGCATAAAACAGATAGGAAGGGGATTCAACCCTATTTGGGGGTCCAGGGAAGGCTTCCCTGAGGAAGAAATGGTTAAGCTGAGAATTGAGCAATAAGAAGAAGACAGATAAGGTAGGGTTCTTTGAAAATTGCATGATGAAAAATTATCTGGACATTTGCTAAAAAGTACATATTTCCAGGCTCCTTCTCTTGGAGAGTCTGATTAAGTAGATCAGGGGATGAGGTTCAGGAATCTGTATTTGTAACTTCCCCAAGTTGTTCTTGCAATCCAAGAAGTTTGGGAAAACCTGAAAGAGGCGATGAGCTGTTCCAGGTGAGAAACTATTCATCCTAAGGCATCACATCAAGGGTAGAGAGGACCTGAGAAAAAACATTTTGACTAGAGGGCAGAGTGCGATGTCAGGTAACGGACAGGAAGCGTTTGCTAAAATTTGTTGTAAGACCTTGGAACCTTGCACAGTAGCTGAGCAGATGCTTAAGTGACTACTGGGATGTAGTAAGGAGAGGACATTGACAACTGCTCTACGGAAGGAACTGAACCTGTTAATTCCTCAGAGTTACCCCCAAATAAATAGTTTGCTTTTATTTTCTTTTAACACTAAGGAGAAATGTAGGTAACTGCATAAGAAGTATTGTTTGTTGAGAAGTCTTAGGCAGACCCCATTTTCAAAAACGCTTCCTATAATGATGCATAAAATTGTGCAGGAAATTACTTTTAGGTTTACATTTTAACAAAATGTAAATAGTCATGGCAAGGAACTTTCCTTCAACCAAAAATCTGGTTGTCTTCTCTTGTGTTAAACATTGTGCTTGAACCTTCTCAGCTGTTTATGCAACTGGATTTCAGGAGAGAATATGTGCCAAGAACATGAACAATTAGCCTTACTTACCTTGTATTTCAGAGAAAGATGCACCATATCTTTAGGTTTATAATCTCCAGCAATGGTTTGCTGAAACTGGCTCATACTGGCTCTTGAGAGCCAATTGTTAGCATCTATTTGCAACTCCGTGTTCAGTGATTTCACATTCATAGCCTGAAATCAGCCATCGTGGCAGCATTTACACTATGAAAATCAGCAATTTATCCCTGTCATTGCCGAGAGCCTGTTGTTAACATTTACCAGCACACCATGACTGACAGGTATTCACATTTTTTAAATTGTGGCAATTTATGCATGAGAATATTCACTGATTTGTCTCCTACAAATAAATACTTTTTTCTCACTGCTCTCCTTTTTATTAAAAAGGAAAGTCTTTCTCAGAATCTTCAACAGGCTTCCATTACTTTTTCTTGGTCAGACCTCTGTCCCATGACCATGCAAGAAAGGCTGAGATAGTGAGTATCTAATCTGGCAAAGCTACCAAGTCAATTGGTAGCTTTGGTACCAATTGGTACATTTGGTTCAAGTGAATCCTGATTCAACTGTGAACTTGGACACAATAATAATCTTGAACAACACTCGAACTCTGTTAGTAAGGGAGAAAGGGACATCATCCTTGGTCAGGAAATGAACGATATTTCCCACTTTAGTAATACAAGAAAGGAATGAATGTGGTCTCTAACACCCAGAAGGCTGAACTGTAACAGAACTAAAATAAGTTCTCTCTATTTTTGCTTGTTTTAACAGCTGCTGGCATTTTATGCCCAGCCTCTTACAGCAGTGGTTCTCCAAGTGTGGTCCTCACATTGGTAACATCAGCATCATCTGGAAACTTGTTAGTAATGCAGATTCTTGGCCCCACCCCAGATCTCCTGAATCAGAAGCTGTGGCGGGAGGAAGTGATGGTGGAGGGGAACATGATAACAGATGTGGTCCAGTCATCTGTGTTTTAACAGGTGCTGCAGGTGATTCTGATGGACCCTCAAATTTGAGAACCTGCCTAAAGAGTGTCTAACTCTATCAGTGTGATAATGTGTAAAGTGAATTTCAGCGAATCAAAAGCACCTTGTTGGTACTAGGCACATAGTAGGCACCATCATTTATTCATTCATTCATTCATTTATTAAGCACTTGCTAGTGTTACCCTGTGTCACACAATCCATTCCCCACTAGCAGCCAGAATGATGTTTTAAAAATGTAATCAGATTGTGCAACTTGCTTGCTTAAAACCTTTCAGTGGCTTGTACAATAAGATGAATACAAACTCTAAGTCACTCCATGTTCTGGCCTGCCTGCCTCTCCAAATTCCTATTCATTGCCTCTTGGTTCCTTGACCAGGCTAAACTTCCTTCTATGAATGACTCTACCTTGTCATTTTAGTTCCACCTTAACACCTTTTCAGAGAAGATTTCTGCATACCTTATCAAAGGTGCCTCAGCTTGCCCCTATTTATCTTTATCACATTACCCACTGATTTTCTTCATAGCATATAAAACTATTGTATCTATTCATTTGCTTATTGTCTGATTCTTCCCCTAGAAAATAAACTCCATGCAGGTGTCCACTGCCTCTCAGTGTCTATGTGGGCCTTGTAATCCTAGAAGTCTCAATAAATATTTGTTGAATGAATTTCTGGGTACCGTCCTAGATGTTTCATAACTGAAATTTGAATTGCTAGAGGAAATTAACAGCAGGAGTCAGCGCTTTGGCAAAGGCACATCATGTCTCTTTCTTTCTTTCTTTCTTTTTGGTTGTAAATTATAATTTATTTCATTTGTAGAAACTTAAATTTACTTACAGGAAGCTCTTCAAAGGATGATGAAACTCACTTGTGAGATCGGTTGGCTTCCGATTAAGAGTAGGCATTATGTTTATTTATTGACGGGATTACTAGGAACTTCAAAAATAATACAAAAATGTTTTTTATCTTGTACCACATCAGATAAGCAAGTAACTGACTCAGAAAATTTATGATAGCCTTACCGTTGTTTTCCCACGGACTGTTCTGGAAATAGAAAGATGAAATCAGACTCCAGTGCCATCTAGTGGTCATGTTTAGTTCCTCAAGAAATAAAATCCAATGTAGTCTAGCACTGATTTTTCACTTTTTGGGAGATATTGGGCTTGTGTATGTGTCTTTCCAATTTCAGATATTACTTTAGAAATTTTAATAAATATTAGATTAATGCAACTGATGCAAGTTGGTCAAATTCTTGAAAATTTATGAGAAATGCTAATCCTTCATGGTGTTATGTTGTAGTAGAAATGGGTTTTATAAATAATAATTGTGATGATAACCCTTCATCAAGTTGTATAATCCTAAGGAACTGAACTATTTGACACCTCCCTTTGGTGATGGACATCAGTGGACACTCAGAGGCAAAGGAAGAATTCAGAATTTCTGATCTCCAATCCCATTTTCACTCTACTTTGTTGCATATGGTGATCTAAAGTTTGATTCCAGATGTCCCATCCTACTCATGTTTTCCATTCTTTCTACTGGCTTATAGTAAGATCTTTTACAAACAATAACCAGATCCTCAGTTTAAGAAGTAAAGTGTCCATTTTAAACAAAAATTAGAACCTCAAAAGTTCTTCATAAAATTATTTTCATCTCCTATGGTCATAACATAATTTATAGGGTCCACAGAAACTAACAGAAATAAATACTCTGGTTGCATCTAAAATGGATCATGCCCTGTGCTTATCTCTTTATGCACACTCAACAACGCTGCACAATCTAATGATTATTCCCTACATTAAAAAGATGAAGAGTAATACTCATAGAATCGGCATTTGTTGAGCCACTAATATATGCCAGGTATCATGCCAGGTATTTTTAATACATTATTTTATTTAATTCTACAAACTTTTCAGAAGTAGTTTTCATCTGTGCAGATGAAGAAACTGAAGCTCAAAGGAGTTGTTAGCCCAAAAACCCATATCTGGAGACTGCAATTGGAGCCCTTCTGGCTGGCTCCATATCTCTGCTCTTTCTAATCATTTTCCAGAAGTTTAAAAGGAATTTTGATTTTTAATTTTTAAAAAAAATTTTTCCCACCACATCATGCCCCATCAGAAGATCAGCAGTTTGAGGGCAGGAACCACATCTAATGCCTGGCATGTAATATCTCAATAAGTATTTGTTGAATGAATTGAAGGAGGCAGGCTTGAAAAGGTTCTAGTTCTCCAGCCAGTCATTTGGTTACCATTCATATTCGTTATTTATTGCTGCATGAGACTTAGTGGCTGAAAACAATAAATAATAAACATTTGCTATCTCAGACTTTCTGTGGTTCAGGAATCCAGAAGCAGGTTACCTGGATCTCTCATGAGGCTGAAGTCAATATTTTGGCCAAGGCTACAGTCATCAAGGCTCAGCTGGGGCGGGATCAACTTGCAAGATCACTCATATGGCTGTTGGCAGTCCCCAGAAGATCTGCATCCAAGCTCATTTGCGTGGCTATTGGCAGGCTTCCTCTCCCTACCACGTGGGCTTCTCCACAGGGCTGCTTCACACACATGGCAGCTGGCTTTCCCCAGGATGAAGTGATCCACAGGGAGTGAGAGAGAAGGCTCAAGATGAAAGCCACAGTCTTTTTATAACCTTATCTTAGCAAGTGGTATCTCATCGCCTCTACTGTATTCTCTTCATTAGAAGTTACCCGTGAAATCTCCCCCTACTCGTGGGGAGGAGATTATATAAGGGCATGAATACTAAGACATGAGAGTCCTTGGGCCATCTCAGAGACTGCCAACCACCACATTCGTGGCATATCCATTGAGGATTGACCCTTGAGATCACTCTGTAATATTACAGATCATTTCCTTCCCATGCTACATGAAAATGTCTTGTAATCTAGCTGAGGCAGGTTCTAACAGTTCTGATATTAGACAAATCCAAATCTTAACTCCTTCATTTTATAATTGTGACCCTGTTGCTTCATTTCTAATATATGAAGTAGGCATTATAACAGTATATGCTTCATGAGCATTTCATGAAGATTAAATGAGAGTATCAGGAAATTGCTTATTATAGTGCCTGACATCAGGAAACTAAGCAATCACTTCCAGCTAAAACAGTCTAAATATACTAGTAACTTTATTTTGAACATTCCAAAATGCTTTCCTATGTGTCACTTCTTGTTTTGTTTTATTCTCTTTGTAATTGTAGTAAGGTGGTAGAATTTGATACAGTTATACATATTTTAAATATTACTATTTGAGGCACTTAAAATTAAATAACTTACCAGTAGATATTGAAGTCAGGGGCCAGGAACATTCTCACTACCTCATTTCTATATAATCAGTATTTATTGTTACGGAGTTAATGAAACCAAAAGTTGCCGTAGAATAGACAGAGTCATATTTTCAATGTCATAAAGGAAATGTCTATGAACTAACCATAATGTAGACACCACATTTTAAACTGCACTGTTATGGTAGCTTAGGAAACCCACATCCTGGCTTCAGTTCCTCATGCTAAGAGTATGGTTTTTCTGTTAAGTTAATGAAAAACCACCTCACGAGGCTCAGATTCTATCTCTTAATTTGAGAATGGTCTACTAGAAGGCCTAGGAGACTTTCTTATGATAAATTCCAAATGATATTTTACCTAAACCAACAATAAAACTCTGTAAGAGAGACCTGAAACCACAGATACATTCCCATTTAATTTCTATTATTCTCCAAGTCCTCAACCCCTTCTCTCCCTTTCTCTCCCAGAAACCCCAAATTCAGGCCAAACAATAATGAAGAAAAACCTTGTTGACTATGTGTCATAATTACATCTGTCTTTGGAAGGGAAGACTCTATTCCCCAGATATTAGATTGAGCCTTGAATCATTTTAACTTACGAAGCTGATCTACTCAGAAGAAAAGTCATTTCATGATTAAAGCTTAGTGTCCCTTTCTCCCCCATTTTCTGTTTACACACAAAAAAATAAACAACAGCTTCTCTGATCAAGCTGTAGCAAACTTGTGCTGCTGAACTCTTCCCCTTTAAATGATTATAGCTTTCTTCTAAGCCCTCTGTTGTCCTGTCTCACATATGCATGGGAGCTACCCAACTTTTAAGACTTTTGTTTATTGGAGTTTACAATGTGCTTTGGAGGGGTTAGGAGAAAAATGAGGGAGAGCAGGAGAGAGGGGTTGTTACAGATGAAGAAGTGGAGAAAACAATGTTTGATAGGTTTTCAACTCTAATTTCTAAAAAATTATTGGAAATATGTCTAAGAAAAAGCAAAGTTCTAAACACCTTTGTGAGGTATCAAACAAGGTAGCTGGTGCCACTTCAATATTTCAAAGAGGGAAATATTTCACATTCAGGCTCTGTAAATGTTATGTTTTGTTCCCTGGCTAACAGGCTTGGTTCTTCTGGGAAGACTCCAAAGGCAATAGGTCATCACTACCACTGATGTCCATGTCCAACCCTACAGCCAAGCAAGAGAATCATGTCAACACTGACCTTTTGGGGGCTGACCTAATAGAACGCTATGTTCTTCAGAAATGTTAAAGACTGAAGAGCGTGCACACCAAAACACTCATACCACCATCATATAAAGTGTCTGGAATGAAATGGTGTGTGTGTGGGTGAGTGGGTGGGTGGATGAGGGCATGTGTGTGTTGAAACCTGTTGCATCCATATATAAATGGAGATACGTACATAAGCACATGTATATATTGATCTAGTTATTTCTATATAATCAGCAATCTTTAAGCAATGTTCAATGGTCAGACCACATTTGGTGTACTGTATACAGCCCTGGGTCACAGGGTCCTGAACAAGTTAAGATATATTCAGGGAAGGAATCTGGGCTCAGAAAAGGTCAGAAACCACTAGCAACAATAATCAGAGGAAGAAAGTGGGTAGGATTACTCTGGAGAAGTGAAGACATAGTAAGAGCAGGGTCACTTTTAAATACCAGAACACTGTCATCAGGTGAGAGGAAATACCAGCTATGTGTCTCTCCAAGGGCAGAGCAAGGACAAACTGCCAGAAGCAATGAATAGGAAGGTTGATCTTCCGTACATGATGGGCTTTCTAACAACTTGAGAATGCAGCAAAGCAATCAGATCAGTCAACTCAGCTGTCCTACCAGTGTCCAGTTCAACTAACTGGACCATCTTGCCCATGAGGCAGCCTAAGAAATGATGCCAGGTGCATTTTCAGAAATCCAGACTCAGGCCATCTGCCCTGTACTGCTGATCCAATTTAATAATAATAATAATAATAATAATAATAATAGCAGACATTTAAATAGTACACTTACTCTGTGCCAGGCCCTGTGCAATTGTTTTGCCAATCAGAAGATAACAGCTCCAGAGAGATCTTTAATTCCTTCTGATGAGAAGCAGAAAGTAGGAAAATAATTCCATTTTTTGTTGACAGAAAAGAGTAAGTGGAATGGCAAAGAATTCAGCAAGGCAAAATAATATACCTCAATTTTTTGATTGCTTTAAAATTCTCTGTTCTTTTGAATAACACGTGGTATACACATACAGCAGAGTATTATTCAGACATAGTAAGACTGAAGCTCTGATACATGCTAAAATATGGATGAACTTTTAAAATATTATGCTAAGTGATGAAGTCAGGCTTACAGGATAAATGTTGTAGGATTCCACTCCTATGAATATATAGAATAGGCAGATTCATAGATATTGAAATTAGATTGAAGATTACCAGAGGCTAGGAGAGGGGAATGGAGAATTATTACTTAATGGGTACAGAGTTTCTTTTTGGGGTGATGAAAATGTTACAGTGGTGTTGGTTCCACAGCATTGTGAATGTTTTTAATACCACTGAATTGTACACTTTCAAAAGGTTAAAATAGTACATTTTATGTTATATGTATTTAACCACAATAAAAATTTAATTAAAAATTTTAAAAGGGATGTCATCCCTTAAAATATTATTTCTTCCTTCCTGCTTACTTAGGGAAGAACTTGGTTTAAATTGGGATATTTCTGAAGAGAAGAATTGGTTTCCCAAATGGCAAGTCCTGGACCCAGAGAAGTCATGTCCAGAAGTGCCTAATTGAAAGAAAATATTCAGACTTCAAGCCAACAGTGGTTCCCGGGAACAATACCTCCCTGTCAAGAGGAGCCCCTATCATGAAACGAACCCCTTGCTTTAGAGTAGCGCTGTCCAATAGAACTTTCTGTGATAATGAAAATGTTCCTTTTTTAAAAAACAAAACAAAACAAAACTTTTATTTTCGGTTCAGGGATTCATATGAAAATTTGTTACATAGGTAAACTCATGTCATGAGGTTTCGTTGTACAGATTATTTCATCACCCAGGTATTAAGCCCAGTACTCAATTGTAATCTTTTCATCTCCTCTCCCTCCTTTCACCCTGCACCCTCAATTAGAGCCCTGTATCTGATGTTTCCCTCTTTGTGTGCATGAGTTCTCATCATTTACCTCCAACTTAAAAGTAAGAACATGCAGTATTTTGTTTTCTGTTTCTGTGTTTGTTTGCTAAGGATAATAGCCTCCAGCTCCATCCATTTTCCTGCAAAAGACATATTCTCATTCTTTTTTATGGCTGCATAGTATTCCATGATATATATGCACCAAATTTTCTTTACCCAAACTGTCATTGATGGGCATTTAGGTTGATTCCATGTCTTTACTATTGTGAGTAATGCTGCAATAAACATTCGTGTGCACATGAATGATTTATTTTCCTCTGAGTATGAACCCAGTAATGGGACTGCTGGGTCGAATGGTATTTCTGCTTTTAGCTCTTTGAGGAATTACCATACTTCTTTACACAATGGTTAAACTAATTTACGCTCTCACCAACAGTTTATAAGCATTCCCTTTTCTTTGCAAATTTGCCAGCATGTTATTATTATTTTTTTTAAATAATAGTCATTCTGACTGGTGTAAGATGATATTTCTTTGTGGTTTTGATTTGTATTTATCTAATGATCAGTGATATTGAGATTTTTTTTCTTCGCTTGTTGTCCTCATTTATGTCTTCTTTTGAAAGTGTCTGTTCATGTCCTTTGCCCACTTTTTAATGGAGTTGTTTTTCTCTTGTAAATTTCTTTAAGTTCCTTATAGATGCTGGATATTAGACTTTTGTCAGATGCATAGTTTGCAAATATTTTCTCCCATTCTGTAAGTTGTCTGTTTACTCTGTTGATAGTTTCCTTTGCTGTGCAGAAGCTCTTAAACTTAATTAGATCTCACTTGTCAATTTTTGCTTTTATTGTGATTACTTTTGGTGTCTTTATCATGAAATCTTTGTTTCTATGTCCAAGATGCTATTGTCTGGGTTGTCTTCCAGGGTTTTTACAGTTTTGGGGTTTTACATTTAAGTCTTTAATCTGTCTTGAGTTAATTTTTGTATATGGTGTAAGAAAGGGGTTTGGTATGCCCAGTAGCCATTAGCCACATTTGGCTTTTGAGCATTTGAAATATGGTCAGCATGACAGAAGAACTGAATTTTACATTCTATTTAATTTGAATTAATGTAAATTTAAATAGCTACATACATCTAGTGGCTATTGTATTGGACAGCACATGTTTAGTGAGGTTTTTCTCTGGACCTTTTCTGGTCAGTTCCCTTCTCAAGATGGGAGTGGTAGGAGGGGCCCAGGGGTCTACCATTGGCCTCTTCCTCCAGGCTCCAATCAGGGAAGGGTGGATGCCAGAGCCATGAAAAAAATGTCTATCTGAGCCATTTTAAGGAAACATGGAATTAGAGTCTTATATTAGTAAGAGAGAGGCATATAGGAAATCGGCAAGAGTTGACTTTCATCCTAGCAAGTGCAGGCATAAAAACCAGAGTGGAGACAGAAGAGCCCAGGATGTGAAGATGAGAAATGGAAGACTGCATGAAATTTTGTGTTCATGGGGTCAACTGGATGTTAAATTTCTCCCTGGAGATTTGGGGAAGAAAAATAGATTCTTCCTGGACCCTTTCAAACATGAGAGAGAATGTTTACATTTTGCCGGAGGCTGGGACGTTCCTGGCTCCAGGTCTGGGTGTAGCTTAGTATGTAAGGGATAGTCCGTCGTCTCCCAGAGCTGTGTTGGAATTCATAGTAGATTTGGAAAAGGCGGTCATGTGGAATAAATACTGCAGTAATTTGGCCCAAATAAAACTATATGGCTTCTCAATTTCCACCTCTTCATGTACTTCTGCTTTTCCTTAAATACTGCCTTCCCTCTAAGGTTTTCACATCCCCTATCCTTTTCCCCAAACTGTAGAACTGAAGACATGGGTCAAAATCAGAGAAACCCAGGTTTGGCTGAATCAAGGCTCCAGTGAATCTGGGAATGAAAGGGGTGAATTATCAGCAATCTGGTTGCTGATTTTTTTTTTTTCCTGTGAAAAAAACCCTTTATTTACTCTGTCTTGGCAATCACTGGATTGATTTAGAAAAATTACACCTTAATTTCCCTTTAGAAATATTTGCAACAATGAAGAGGCGAATTACTTTTCTAAAGCCTTGGCTGCCTTGACGTGTCTGTACAGTAATGTGATTAGAGAACCACTGAGAAGCCAAAAGAGCTCCCATCTCAATTAGCTTCTGTGGGAGGGGAGTGAGAAAAAGCTGCACCTTCGCTTTCCTTGACTGCTCACTGAATCCGATGAGGAAAGAGCACAGTTGTTCTAAGCACATGGCTAGCTTTGGATAAAATTGCAATGTAATCATCCGATTATTTTAAAGATACCGTAAACTTTTAAGCTAGTGTATGATGAGTGCCTACTCCATTCCAGGCATTTCCCATGCATTTATATTCTAAAGCCTATCATCTCCATGAAAAAGCAATTGAGGCTCAGGGAGGGTAAGTGCCTTGCCCTGACTGCAGAGCTGGTGGGAAATAGAGCCAAGGTAGGAACTTAATTCTGTTGGGTGCCAAATGTCATAAATAGGGTGATTCTTGTTTTTAACCTTCTTGATCTCAATTTACTAGGTCCTCGGGTACCTGCTGCTCTCATAAATTCTTATACCCTTGTGTTGCACTCTCAAGTCCCCTCCTGTGCCCACAGACCCCACCTGACCTGTCTCTTTTTCCCTCTTCCTGAAATCTGACTTGGTCTTTTCTCATTTATTCAGCAACTTGCTAGTCTCACTTTCAGTAATTTATATGAAAAGATTAATATACTACTCATCCCAGTGATATTTGCATTTGGAAAGAGGTCTTCTATGGGCAGTATTATAATAATCCAAAGGAATGATTCTTTAATATGAAAAAATTCAGGCACTTACTCTGAGAAATAATTTTGGTACATCTGAGTGTTCATGTGTCTGTGTGTTTGAATAGAGGGTTGCTGCTAGGGAAAGACTTACAGTAGTATTCTCCTAATATAACTCATAGTCCAGTGTTTTTCAATCTTTTTAAGTTAATGATCACTGAAGAACTTTTTGTTTTTCTAATCCTCTCTTCCCTAGATATACCACTATCTGTTTATGTACTACATGTAATCTGTGCTTTATACATAAAAAGAGTAAGATATTTTAGACCACCGAGAACCAATTTTGCCCCATTGGGGTCAACATCACTATGGCTGAAAATGCATGCTAATAGACCAATGTTTCCCTGCATTTTTGAGAGACAAGATAACCTAGTGTTAAGAGCATACTGAGTTAAAAATTGCAATTCTGCTACTTCCTGGCTGTGCCTAGGCAAGTTATTTAGCCTCTCTGTGCTTCAGTTCTCCTGTATGTAAAATGAGCATAAGAAGAGTCCTTATAGGCCAGGCGTGGTGGCTCACGCCTGTAATCCCAGCACTTTGGGAGTCCAAGGCAGGCAGATCACGAGAGAAGGAGATGAAGACCATCCAGGCCAACTTGGTAAAACCCCATCTCTACTAAAAATACAAAAGTTAGCTGGGCGTGGTGGTGCGCACCTGTAGTCCCAGCTACTCCGGAGGCTGAGGCAGGAGAATCTCTGGAACTTGGGAGATGGAGGTTTCAGTGAGCCAAAATCACACCACTGCACTTCAGCCTGGTGACAGAGGGAGACTCTGTCTCAAAAAAAAAAAAAAAATGAAAGAAAGAATAGTCCTTATATTGTGGGATTGCTGTGAACATTAACAAAGGTATATATATAAAGCATTTAGAACAGATCTGGAGACAGTTAAAATTAAGCATTATATAGTATATTTCTTGTCAAGGTGCATATAGAAAGAAATATTAGTTGTATCATACACAGGAATAAACTGGGGTAGGGGCTGATTTGGGGGTGTCAAATGGGACTTGAACAAAGTTAGTTTTGTATTATATATTTACTATAAGAAAAAACATAAACAGGAAAAACATAATCTCAAATTTGCATATAATGTTCAAACAAAACAGTTTCAGAAAGTGTACTGATACGTTTGAACTTATTGTCATCATTGACAAAAATTTTTGCTCAAATGGATGTGCTGGTAAATGGTCCAGGGGAGAGGCTTAAGAATCTTAAGTGTCAAATAATAATTATGAATTTAGAACATTTTTAGAAACAGTCATTTAGTGCCTAAAGATAATTTTAATCACTGTAACTGTCTGAGCAGTGGCTTTAAAGAAGGTTAAATGTTTTTAACACTATGGAGATGGATAGCCCTTCCTATCTCCTGGCCGACTACTAGCTTGCCTGTGGCAGGAGGCTGTCACACAATGGTTAGGAAGCTCTGGCTTAAATTGCCCCCTTGCCCATTCCTGTGTAAGACAGGCCCAGAACAAATATGAACGAGATGAATTCTTCCTAACGGAAGTCCTTTTCAGAAGCACATTACTAAATTGTCTTGGTCCAAATAAAAAGAAAACCCAAGGTGGGCCTTTTAAAGACGAACTATTTCAGGCCCAGTTCTGAGCAGTCACCACATGGTTCATAAATGGGAGGGGCAGCAGGGTGACCTAAGCAGCTACAGCTCTGAATGGGAGCAGAGTGGACACTAGCCAAGGACCAATATAGAGTGGATGCTGAAGGCCAGTGTCTGACCAGGTAAGACTGGAGGCTCTGAAGTCTGTGTCTGAGCGGGTTTCCTCCACACAGCCCAAGGACAGGATTCCGCAGAGCTCATTTACTATACCCTTCCTCACTACACGGTGTGAAGAGTGCTGGTAGATTTCTAAAAATATGGAGTTAAATCTTCTCTTGCCTTTATTTGAATAATTCCTTGCATTTTATTATTATTTCCCAGCAGTGAACTCAGAGAAGAACTGCATGTTCCAGCCAAGCCTAATGATTGTTTTATAAATATTTATAAATCAGATACTATCTTCTTCTTTTCTTTCTCCTCTCTCCCTGGCTATACATTATTTGAAGGCTCATTCTTCCCTTCCTAGCAGCTCCTTTGACGTTTTGCTGGGCTTGGAGGGTATTCGGAGTTTGACATTTTTCTTTGATTTGCTTGCCTGTACTTTGGGAGTCTTTGTTAAAAAGCTTCATTCTAAAGTATTTAAAGTTGGCCTCCTAAGGCTGTCTCATTGTTCACATGTGCTGAAACCAAACTGAAGCCTCTTTGTAGAGATTTATGCTCTTTTGGAGCAGAGAGAACCTGTTTAGTGAATTCAGTTATCAACAGAGGAAACCTCACTCTTGTTGAGACGATGTCTTGTGCCTATCTATACAAACATCAGAAATGAGGAGGGGGAATAAAAGGAGAAAATAGCCAGAGCAAAAAAGTCAAGAATTGAAACCAATCACCAGTTCTATACATCAGGTCTTATTCCTGGAAAGACCGCTGTCCACCTTCTGGCAGGGAACGGCATTCCATCTATGATGTTTGGAAGCATGCCCCAGTGGCCATGGCTTTCAGAAAGTCGTGCCAGACTAATTAGATTAAGAACATAAGAAATATTATGTTGGATTGATTTCATTTTTTATTCTAAACCTGGAATCAATACAGAAGCTAATTGCTAAATAAATGAGAAGTTTCTTGTCTGATATCAATAGGTCCTTCTGATCATCACTGATCGTGATGGGACAATGTCATGGCAGGAAAAGGCACAGTGAGACTAATGGGATCTTCAGAGTGGTCAACACCTTAGCTAGAACTTGCTTTCCTCATTCCTAAGTGAGCCTAGAGCCAAATTTCTTATATTAAGATTTTCCAGGAAACTAACATTGATAGCAAAGGGAGATTTTTCTGTGCAGGCTCCTTCACTAAGAGAACTGTTGGAAGCAGGGGTGTTCCATCTTCACAATAGGAACCATCACCCCGACAATCACCAGAAGAACTGCAAGGACAATAAAGCAAGAGTATGTCAAGTTTCTACTATGTAGCAGGACAGGTTTTGTACAAAGCGCTTATCCCACTTTCTCTAATTTTACAATGAAAGACACTGGAGAAACACTTAGTACAGATCAAAATATTTGAGGCAAGTGTATGGGATAAGTGATATTATTCCCAATCTTATGAGAGATGAGGAAACTAGGACTTAGAGGAAGTAAATAACTTGCCAAAGGTCAAAAAGTGACATGGTTGGGAGAAACCTGAGACCACCTGACCCCACCACTGGTGCTCTGAAGCCCTTTACTACCTCCTATAGTAAGGAGCTGGGCCCTGGGGGACAGTAGAAAGAGCTCTTTACTGGCCTCTATTTTCTCATCTGATGAAAACACTTAGAAGCCTTCCTGAGTTCTTCAATGATCCTGTAAAGTCCTCTGGATAGAATTCTTTGCTCAAGATACCTCCAGTAAGACCAAGGCAAGAATTAGCTTTTAGAATATCCTTTGGAGAAAGGGACAGCTCATTTTCTAGAGCTCTCCGAGTCCAGAGTCTTCCTGAAACCTAGTCCTGGGTTTTGAAGGGTGGTGTGGAGCTGCCCCAAGTGTTAATCCAAGATGGAGAATCACATCTGGAGACATGCAAATTCCCTACCTGCTGCCAGTTGAGGGGAAGAACCATGGCATGATATACACCAGACCAGATAGAAGGCTGGCTGCCAGCAAGCTGCCAACTCACAAACCACAAACCCAGCAAAGTACCAAAGTGCAGCCCTCCCTGGCCTCTGTGGAAAGGCACAGGAAAGGGGGCCTGGGAATCAGACTTATCAATTTTTAAAATCTAGGCAAATCAAAACATTGAAGGGCTTCACCAAATTAGACCTAGTAGACCACATCCATCTGGATCAACTGGCACCATATTCAGCAGTGGTTTTCATACTTTTATATAATTAAACAATAGGCCCTTTACAAAAACAAAGTAGCAAGTAGATCTTCGCTCTATTAAAGGGTTAAAATTGGAGTTGGGAAAGGGGACGGGTGCCCACCTGATTACCTGGTCGGTTCACTGTGCCACTCAGGCATCTCCAGAGCCCCCCAGGATTTGTAAACTATTCTCTGCTATATTTCTGGGAAACCATACATTTATATTAATTTTGAATATATTTTATAAGCAAAGACCGATTTCAGTTTAATCCAACTAATATATTGTCCTAACGCTCACAGAATTTAAATTGGTGAATTACAAATTAATGAAGTTTGGGCTGGGTGTGGTGGCTCACACCTGTAATCCCAGCACTTTGGGAGGCTGAGGCTGGAGGATCACCTGAGGTCAGGAGTTCAAAACCAGCCTGACCAACATGGTAAAACCCGAATTCTACTAAATACTAAAAATTAGCCAGGTGTGGTGGCTCCTGCCTGTAATCCCACCTACTTGGGAGGCTGAGGCAGGAGAATCATTTGAACCTGGGAGATGGAGGTTGCAGTGAGCTGAGATTGTACCATTGCACTCCATCCCAGGCAACAACAGCTAAACTCCATCTCAAAAAAAACAAAAAAATTAATGAAATTTGGCTGACTTTATATAATGCAAGTATCACAGAATTTTAAAATAAGATTCTTATAATAGAACTTTTCAAACATATATAGAATAGGTAGGCAATTTAATGAACCTCTGTGTATTAATCACCAAGGTTATTAACATTTTGTCAATATTTTAGTGATCTCAACCCCTCTTTCTTTTCAGAAATATTTTAAAGAGAATCTCAGAACCCACATTATTTCACCCATAAATACCTCAGTATTCAACTCTAAACAGCAGGGCTCCTTTTTGAGAAAACAAAAACCTATGTCATTATGACACCTCACAAAACCAATAGTAACCCTATAATACAATTGTGGCATTTTAAGCTTGAAATCTTAACCCAATCAGCATTTCTCCAAGTATAATTTGAAGAATACTAATTTTGATGGATATTAACTGGTATTTTTAGACTAAAGGGTTTTATGATCATATTATGTTGGGAAACTCCTTATTTAAATAAAATTAGATTGTCTACCTGCAAAGTTTCTTAGAATTTTAATATGCTATGTTTCATGGGACCCTCAAACAAGGAAATAGACTCTATGGGAGTTTTGAAATTTATTTTACCTCTGAAACATTTTTTTTCATGAGACAGGAGAAGGGTTCCAAAAATACACTAGAGTAGAAAGCTGATTTCAGCCACTGGATCATCTATTTCTTGAGGCGCCTCCATATTTCTATTCCCAGAGAGTCAAGAGTCCAGCCTTGCTCTCAATGATGATACACCTGAGAGCAGGGGTTGTATCTTTGAAGAGATCCTTCCAAATAAAATACCTTAAACAAAGCAGGCTTAAGTACACAGATGTTTATATACTGAATTCCACTGACTGGGGTGAGCCATGAATTCATGCATCTCAGCATAAACTCATTGATCAACATAATTAGCCTATCAACTACCGCTGACAAGACCCTAGGAAAATGAGCCACAGGAAATGAGGAAGGAAAGACCAGAAATGCAGGATGTTTAGGGTAGAGGATATCAAAACAGAGGGCTCTGTCATGAGGCTGAAGGCAGAAGTTAGAGGAGAGGCTGAACTGGTGAAACAAGAGCCTAAGAGAATGGGGCCTCTGGGCAGCAAGGAGAGAAGAAAAAAGGGAGATCAAACGGCCATAAAACGCCTTCACTCACATTCACATTTCTCCATGATCAGTGATGTGGAGCATTTTTTCATATGTTTGTTGACCACATGTGTGTCTTCTTTTGAGAGAAGTGTCTGTTCATGTTTTTGCCCATTTTTAATGAGGTTATTTGTTTTTTGCTTGTTCAATTGTTTAACTTCCTTTTAGATTCTGGATATTAGACCTTTGTCAAATGCGTAATTTGTGAATATTTTCTCCCATTCTGTAGCTGGTCTGTTTAGTCTGTTGATAATTTCTTTTGCTGTGCAGAAGCTCTTTAGTTTAATTAGCGCCCACTTGTCTATTTTTGTTTTGGTTGCAATTACTTTTGAGGACTTTCCCAAGGCCAATGTCTAGAATGGTGTTTCCTAGTTCTAGGATTCTTATAGTTTGTGGTCTTACATTTAAATCCTTAATCCATCTTGAATTAATTTTTGTATATAGTGAAAGGTAAGTGTCCAGTTTCATTCTTCTTCACATGGCTATCTAGCTATCCTAGCACCATTTATTGGATAGGAAGTCCTTTCGCCTTTGCTTATTTTTGTCCACTTTGTGAAAAATTAGATGGCTGTAGGTTTGCAGCTTTATTTCTAAGTTCTCTATTCTGCTCCATTAGGCCATGTGTCTTTTTGTACTGCTACCATGCTACCATCTTACACCAATCAGAATAATGAATATTAAAAAATCAAAAAACAACAGATGTTGGCAAGGCTGTGCTTATACACTGGGAATGCTTATACACTGTTGGTGGAAATGTAAATTAGTTCAGCCACTGTGGAAAGCAATTTCTTGTACATTTCTCAAAGAACTTAAAATAGAACTACGATTCAACCCAGCAATCCCATTACTGGGTATATGTCCAAAAAATACAATCATTCTACAAAAAAGACACATGCATTTGCATGTTCATTGCAGCACTATTTACAATAGCAAAGATATGGAATCAACCTAGGTACCCATCAGCAGTGGAATGGACAGCCATAAAAAAGATGAAACCATTTGCAGCAAGATGGATGCAGCTAGAGGCTATTATCATAAGTGAATTAACACAGAAACAGAAAGCCAAACACCACATGTTCTCACTTATAAGTGGGAGCTAAACATTGGGTACTCATGGATATAAGATGGGAATGATATACACTGGAAACTACCAGAGGGGAGAGGGAGATAGGAGCGTAACAGCTGAAAAACTACCTGTTTGGTACTATGCTCGGTGCCTGGGTAACAGGATCAATGGTACCTCAAACCTTAGCATCATGCAATATACCAAGGTAACAAACCTGTTACCCTTTGAATGCAACATAAAAGTTTTAAAAAAGAGAAAAATAAAATTTATTTTATTTATTTATAAAAAAGAGAAAAATAAATAAAAATTCTTCACTCAAGTAGAAAGTGAAGTCCTATTTTAAGAAGAGTTTTGAATTTTAGAATTGTGTTTAGAATAAGACTATTATTTATTGGAGTTAAATAAAGTGTGTAATCTAGATCATTGCTACTCAGAAAACGGTTCATGAGCTGGGATGAATAAATCCTCGAACTGTTTGTTTCTGGTCAGCAATGAGATAAGTATTAGAATGTGAAGAAGCCATATGGCATGGCCGGACATACAAGCAAGTGGTTATTTTCTAGTAATTAATTTGTACTGTTTTTTACAAAAGTATTAGTTTAAAAGATGTTGAACAAAAATAGTGCTTCACCACAGATGGTTTGAGAAGCGGAATCTAGATTATTCTTGAAAAGGCCCTGAGGAATATATCTTCTCTCACAGCCAGTTTTTTTTTATTGTGCATTAAAACAAGTAACTGTTTCTTTGTTGGAGAAACAGATGGCTTACATTTATAGGCCATCTTATTAGAAAATCATACATCTAATTCCTAGAAGCCATACCCAGCTCTGGGAGATACTCACACTTGAAGAGGCACAGAGGACTGGGAGGGAGCGAGGCTGCCCATCTCCTGTTCACTGGGGGTTTATTCTCACTGAGTAGAATAGCAGGAGGAATGATTGGCCATGGTCAAATTATTCTCTCTCACTCTATCCTTCTCTCCCGCATCTTTTTGCTTACCACATACATTTGCTATTTTACAACTGTACAATGTGACTCCGTTATACAAGACCATTGTTCACACATATGCTTTTGCTCTTTTCTAATATTTTCTCTTCTGACATTTTCATCCTAACTGAAAACAGAAATAAGCAAGAATTGTACTGTTATCCCATTTTACAGGCGATGAGCAGAAAGGATTTGAGACCTAACCAATTCACTCAGCTGGAACTAACATCTGACTGTTTGCTGAAAGGTCTGGACTTTTGGCCATGACAGGAGGCAGCTGGGCAGAGTCAGAGAAGTTCCAAAGCATTTTAAAAATGTAAATGAAACAGTGTGTGCAAAGAGCCAGCATGGAAACTGGCAGAAGGGGCATTCTCAATAAATGTTAGGTTTTTTTTTTTTTTTTTTTTTTTTTTTTTTTTTTTTTTAAGAAAAGCCAAAAGGTAGCATGAATTGAGGGAAGAAGTTGCGCCTTGAGCAAGACATAGCCCATGCTCTTTAAATTCACCCAGGGTTGACATTGTACAAATCATTTAAATCAACCTTTCCAAAGTGTTTTCCAACCTATGTTAATTAGGTCCCAATCTCTGCTACTTACTGTTTGACCTCCTTCAACCGTTTAAACTCTCTGAGCCCCAGAGTTTTTTCATCTAATAAAAAAGGTTGATATAATTTACTTTACAGAGAGGCCATGAGCTTTGAAGACAATATGCCTAGCACATAATGGACACTTGATAGTTGGCACGGTTGTGTTACATATACACGATTTTGCATTGGCTTTATCTAGCATAGAACAGTCAAATCAACCAATATATATTGAGCACCACCTTCTTGTTTGGAATGGATCTGCTATCCTTAATTGCCTATTCTTTGCTTCAAAAGTCAGGGAATTAAGTCCAAGTGCCAACAAGATGCAGCCACATGTACAAATAAAAAATGCCTATATGCATTTGCTTAAAATAATATGTATCCTTCTTGAATTTCCCTTGTACGGCACAATATTTGAGGCCTGAAGGGATGATTTATTAGAGTCTAGCAGCACCGCTCTGTCGAAGCCAAATATACTGAAGGAAGATTAAGGGAGAAGACAAAACCATTTGACAGCATAATTACACACAAAACTTTTAATGTTATTGTGTATGTATCAAAGATACAGTATCAAAATTTAAAGAGATAAATATTTTAAATTTAGAAAATGAGAATAATTTTTGTTGGTGGAAATGAAAAAAACAGAGAATTTAATAATATGCCATTCAAACTTGCTTTAAGTAATTATGTTATTTCAGATCTGCAAGATAAACAGGCCACACCACATAACAGGGCATGGGTTATAATTTAATAAACACATGTCCCACAAGAGTGATGGAGAATATGGCCAAAGGCTGAAATTGGAGGCATACATGATCTGGGGGTGTAACTTCATTTGTAAAATGAATCACAGTCTAAACTTGGACTCGGTTGACTTATTGAAATCATACTTTTGCACGAAATGTTGTTTTTCCTATAGGGGCACTTTTTCCAGCTTATTTTTAGTTGAGTTCTTTTGAACAAAGCACTCTAGTGTTTACTAGGGGCCAGCTAAGGACACTTTTTAAGACCTTTCTCTTCATATTTAATTTTCTTTGAACCACCTCCAAAATTTCTCCAACCACACTGACTCCCTCTCCCCCATTCTCTTCAAATTAACTGCAGAAAACAAATGTTTTGAAATTTTTCAAAATTTATGTTTAGTTGGCTTCTGTAATCACTCCTAACCCCAAGCAAAAGACAGTGCAGTGTGGTGGGAAAAATACAGGAGCAGGGTAACAGGATAGTAGAGTCCTAAGTCTGGCACTGACATTAATGATCTGGGGACAGTGAGAAAGCCACTCCATTGATCTTATCCTCAGTGTTTTTCATCCCTACAGAGTAGAATGAACCAGGGGAATCTTAAACCAAGGAACTAAACTATAACACTTTGTGATGCATATTTTCCTCCTGATTCAGTCAATGACATCAATAGAGAACTTTTTTTTCTCTAGTTCTACTACTTATCAAGTATATGATCATTGGCAAATTCATTTTGCAACATCAGTTTCCATATCTATAAAATAGGAAAAATGTATTTCTCTTAAAAAAAGGTTGTAATGATTAGATAAGATTATCTATAGGTATTCAGTAAATGTTACCTATTATTTGTCTTTCTGGATACACAGTTTTGATTTATTTGGTAAGAAGTCAATAGATGCTGGGAGTTGTTCAGAAGACATTATTTTCAGCAATCACATTTCTTTTCTCAGTTTCCCTGTTGGGATCTCACCCAGCCTTTTTCTACTCTAGGGAAACCAGGCAAATAACAGTTTACCCCAGCAAAGGATGACCATACAATTGTTCCACTCCACCTTCTGGGGACATGGTTCATGATTGTCTCATGCTGAAAACCATCTAGCTTTCATCATTGGTTTTGTCTTTTTTAATCCAAGATTCTAACGATAAGTAAGTGTCTTAAGACATCATCTTAGATTAAATTCTGGGGTCAAATTAAAATAAACTGATGCATAATCCCTTCAGGTATAGGCTCTGGGTTCAATTCTTGTCTCCTGACACCAGCTTGTTTATAACCTTAGGCAAGTTACTTCACCTCTCTTATTGTCTCCATCTGTAACATGCAAGTAATAAGATCACATACCTTGTAGAGTTTATGTGAAAAATAAATGAGTTGTTACTTAGGATAGAGCTAGCACATAGTAAGCACTATAGATTTCATAACTGTCTTTTCTTTTCTTTTTCTTTCTTTTTTTTTTTTTTCTGAGATGGATTCTCACTCTGTTGCCCGGGCTGGAATAATGCAGTGGAGCAATCTTAACACACTGCAACTTCAATCTCCTGGACTCAAGAAATCCTCAGCCTCCCAAGTGGCTAGGACTACAGGCACACACCACCATGCCCAACTAATTTGTTTTCAGTGGTTTTATAGAGATGATCTCTCAGTATGTTGCCTACGCTGGTCTCAAACTCCTGGACTCAATGGACCCTCCTGCCTTTGCCTCCCAAAGTGCTGGGATTACAGGCATGAGCCACCCTGCCCAGCCTTATTTTTCGTAATTATTAAATTTTCTAGAAAGAGGGAAGGTGTGAGAAAATGAGCTCCATGTGAATGAACCACTTACCCAAGATTGTACTGCTGGTAGGCCAGGGCAAAAATGTTCAGATTAAAGAAGAATGCTGTTTAGACATGCATTAGGTGTGAAAAGGACATGCCACAAGTTCTACATAAAGCAGAAGGGAAGAAATACTGATGGAACAAATAACTTTTTACTCTTTTTCTTGAAATGCATACCATTTGCCAGTCACGCTCATACATTACCTCATTAAACAGTCTTAGCAGCCCTCTCTGAAGTATCACCAGCTCTGTTTTACTGATGAGTACGTCGAGGCCTAGAGAGATTAAGTTGCTTGTCCAAGTTCACAGAGCTGGAATGTGGCAGAGCTGGGATTTGAATCTGCATTTGACTGACTTCAGAATCCATGTTTGTCTAGAATGTCATATTGCCTTGCAGGTAGGGTGTTAGGAATCTGAGGAGTCAAAGAGGTGGTCTGGGAAATTTATTCTGATTTTTGGTCAAAAGTTTACCAATGCTATTTTATAGCCTCATACATTTTTCTTTAAGAAGTTTCAGAATGTGCTGATACCATCTCCCAAGATACTTCATCATAAAATAAATTTCTTAAAAATATTGGAAGATTGATAATATTTTCTCTTGCTTAAAAATGCTATTAAGGTTTTTTTTTCTAGATAAAGGGAAGTTAAATGACAATGGCTGCTAGAAACTCTAGTTTTATGTAATTTTTTAAAAGTTATCATTTTACAGTGAATATTAATTCAAAACATAAAATTTTGCAAGGTAGTGTGCCAAAATTACTCATAGAAACTCCAGAAATAAAGAGCACAGTATTAGTCATTTTTCTCCAAAGGACTTTCTTATTTATCTTCTTTTTAAAGCTAAAATCTTAACAAACTGTACTATTGTTGAAATGCAGAGATTTTCTTTTTTGCTTCAGTGATTATTCTTGAAAGAAAATGAGTCTTTTAAGAGTGAGGCTATAAATGGTGAAAAAGAGGGAAAAATGTCATCAGACAATCTTACTGAAAAACCTTAAAAAGATCAGAGAGTAACTTTCTGGTCTGGCTGTAGCAATGTTTTTATTATGAGTTTGACATCTGACCTTACTGTCCTCCTTAACCAAAAATGTTCAACTTTTTATTGTACTAATTTCAAATTTATATGTGCATAAAGAAATAACCTACTTTCTTGGAAACATGTTCCATTACAGATTATAAATAACATAGTGATTCAGTTATTTTTGAGCATATTTTTGTCCTCTCATTTCAGTTCATTTTGAGTATCACACCAAAAGATGATCCCTTGAAACAACACAAGAAGAACTTTTTATTTTTATTTTAATAAAACCACTCTTCTTTTTTATCACACTTTCATTAAACATTTTATGAATGTACTAAAAAATATTGAAGCCAACATTAAAATGCTGTACTCTCATGGCAGAATTATGCTCTTTCATTCTTTTCACTCTGCGTGTCATGGAACATTCCAGTCACACTGTGAAATGTGGTCTTTATGAGCCCCTGAAGGTCTAAGTATGGACTCCGGTGCGAAAAATACCAATAAGAATATAAAAGTAAAATAAAACTGGATTAAATATTACAATGGCTTGTTCTATGAAAATTGTCTTTAAACTTTAAAGTGTATTTCACACCATTAATGTATTCATTTAATTCATTTAACAAATATTTATTGAGGTTTTTCCACATGCTGATGTTGTGATATAACAATGAACAAATAAGATACACATCTCTGCCCAAAAAGCTTACATTCTAGAGGAAAGAGGCAGATAAAGAAGTAGAATGTATAGTTTATTTGAAGGTGATAGTGGGGATAAAGAAGAATAAACGAAGAAGTTCAGAGTGCTGGGTAGGATTGGGGGTTGTTATTTCAAATAGAGTAGGTAAAGAAGGCCTAACAGAGGAAGTAATTTGAGTCAAGATGTAAAAAGAAGTAAGAGAGGAGGCCGGGTCGGTGGCTCACTCCTGTAATCCCAATACTTTGGGAGGCCAAGGTGAGCAGATCACTTGAAGTCAGGAGTTCGAGACCACCCTGGACAACATGGTGAAACCCTGTATCTACTAAAACTACAAAAATTAGCCTGGCGTGGTGGCGCTTGCCTGTGATGCCAGCTACTCGGGAGGCTGAGGCACAAGAATCGCTTGAACCTAGCGATGGTGGAGGCTGTAGTGAGCCGAGAATGCGCCATTGCACTCCAGCCCAGGCGACAGAGTGAGACTGTCTAAAACAGAAAACCAAAAAAAATAGTGAGAGAGGGAGGCATGTGGACACCTGGAAGAAGAGTTTTCTAAGGGAGGGACCAGTGGGTACAAATGCCCTGAGGTAGAAATGTGCTTCATATGTTGAAGAAACATCACAGAAGCTTATGTTTAAACAGAATCTTTCAAGCTGCTGGTTTAAGGTTAGATAGAAAAGGGTTAAGGTGGAAGTTGAGACACTAAGTAGGAAGCTATTGAGTCCTGCAGGTAAAAATTGATGATGCTTGGACAGAGGTAGTAGCAGTGGAAATCATATAAAAAAAGAAAAAAACACATGAAAATAATGCTAACTTGTAATGGTTCATCTCTGCAAACAAGCACCCAAATGAGGAAAATATTGTTTGATATCTGCTTTTAATAGAATTTATTTTCTATTCTTAAAATCCATCTCATCAGAGGCTTTTAAAAATAGGCCTTTGCTTTTTCACGTCAGATTAGACAATTTCCCCCACACAAAAAAAATTATACTGGAATTTTGGCTGGGATAGCATTGCATATATAGATCCATTTGAAGAAAATTTACATATTTAAATAGCCTTCTAATTCATGAGCCTGATGTATTCTTCCACTTATTGGTCTGCTATAGTACCTCTTGATGTTTTATAGTTTTCTGCATATAGGTCTTATACATATTTGGTAGATTTATTATTTTTTATTGTATTTTTTCATTCTATTTTCTATTATTTTTGCTGGTAATTAGAAATATAATCGATTTCTATACGTTGAGCTTATATTCAATGACTATGTTAAATGATCAGTTTATCTGAAGATCCCTTTGGATTTTCTATGTATACAATCATGTCTTTTGTAAATAATCACAGTTTTATTTCTTTCCATAACTTACAGAACTGGCTAGAACCTCCTATATAATGTTGAATAGAAATAATGATGGTGGTCTTCATTGTCCACCAGTCTCAGGTGGAAATCTTTTAATTGTTTACCATGAAACACATATTTACACCAACTTTTTAGAGGTTCCCTTACCCCTTACCAGATTAAGTCCCTTCTGTTCTCAATGTGCTAGGAGTTTTTGTCATAAGATGGTGGTTGATTTTCTTCAGTCACTCTTTCTGTATTTCTTGAGTTAATCATCTGATTTTTTCTCCTTTTTTTCATCCCTATGATGAATTAAATTAATTTTCACATATTGAATCAACCTTGCGTTTCTGAAACAATTCCAACTTGGTCTTGACTCGGCAGCTAATAATGTTAAGACTTATGCATTATATTTGTGAGAGAGTATTTATACTCTCTTATAATGTCCTCATCATGTTTTGCATCAAAGTTATCCCAACCTCATAAAATGAATTTCTATTTTTTAATTTTTACAAGGTTTTGTGTAAGATTTGTTTTATTTCTACTTTAAATGGTTGAAAAATTTCACCAGTGAAGCCTTCTGAGTGTAGTGTTCTCTCGCAGGAAGGTTTCTAATTACACAAATTCTTTGGCAGATATAGGACTATTCAGGTTTTTTAACTCTTGTTGGTCAAATTTGAGAATTTTTGTTTTTCAAGGCATTTGTACATTTCATGTAAATCACCAAATGTATTACAATAATGTTTGTAATAGTTTCTTTTGTCTTCCTAAAGTCTGTAGGATTTGAAGTTATAAGCCCCCTATTGTTTCTGATGTTAGTGATTTTTGCCTTCTCACTGTTATTGATACTTGGCTTTTTTAGAGGATTGGTGTTCCAAAATTTACTTTTGGCCATTTAAATATTATATTTACATTTGTTCTGTATTGTGTTATTTCTGCCTTTTATTATTTCCTTCCTTTTACATCTTTGGATTTAATTTATTCTTTTTTTCTGAATACTTAGAGACCTGATTTTCAGCCTCTCTTCCTTCCTAGTATATGTTTTTAAGACTATAATTTTCCCTCTAAGCAGCAGCAGCTGAATCCCATAAGTTTTGATATCACAGTTTCATACTATTTGGTTCAAAATAGTCTTTATTTCATTGTAATTTTTTGTTTGATCTACATGTTTTTACAACAAATACATTGGTTAATTTCCATATTTGTGGATTTTCCACTTGTTTGTGGGTATTAATTTTAGCTTGGTCCTACTCTGGATGGGAAATACACTCTGCATGATCCCAATCTTTGAAATTCATTAAAACTTGCTTTATGGCCCAGGAACGTCATAAATTTTGGTAAATATTCTGCTTTTGAAAAAATGTAATCATTGAATGTGGTCTTATATAGGTCAAGTGTATTAATCATGTTGTCCATATCTTTATGTTCTTATCGTATGTTTGTTTTGTTTTGGTGTACTTATTCTATTACAGAGAAAGTTGTGTTAAAATCTTCATCTGCAATTGTTGATTTCTCTCTTATTTTATTTCTGCCAACTTTTGCTCCATGTATTTTGTGGCCATTTTATTAAATACATACACTTAGTTTTTATCCTCCTATTCACCGAACATTGTATAATTATGAAAAGTCCCTATTTTATCTCTAGCTATGCCTCCTGATTTCTACTTTTTCTGAGATTAATATAGCTATACCAACTTTGTTTTGATTCATTTTGCAATGTGTATTCTCCCATCATTTTACTTTCACTCTTTCCGTTTCCTTGTATTTAAAGTATGTATGTCCCTTTAAACAGCCTATAGTTTTTTTATACTAGCTGATATTTTTTAAAATAGGAGCATTTTGTTTATTTACATTTAGTGCAGTTATTGATATGTTTACTTTTAAGTCTGTTATCTTATTTGTCTTCTATTTGTCTTTCCTATCTTCCTTTCCTTTCTTGGCTTCTTTTAAAGTGGTGGTTACTACAGTTTTCACTGTCCTTTCAGTAGGTTACTGTAAGGCATTACTACATGTATCTTTGACATATTAATTTCCAATGTAAATCATTTCTGTCACTACCTGAGTAATGTAAGGATCTTAGAATACTTTAACACCATTTTATATTTCTGTATTTTTTGTTTTTGTTGTTGTATATTTTAATCACACATAGTAAGCCGCACAAGACATCGGTAGTATTACTGTGTACAGTCAATATTCATTTAGATTGGTCCATGTGTTTCTCTTTTCTCTTTTTCTTTATTTTTTCCAGCTTCTCAATGCTTCCTTCAGGGATCATTTTATTTCAGCCTAAGGAAGATATACAGCATTTTTAAAAGAAGGTCTACTAGTGATTAAATCTCTATTCTTGTCTGAGAGCATTTTATTTTTCTTCCTTCTTTTTTGAATCATTACGAGATATAGAAATCTGGGTTGGCATTTTTTGTTTTTTTGTTTTTTTTTTTCCTTTTCCCTAGAAACTTGAAAATATCATCTGATTGCCTTAAAGCTTTATTATTTCTGTTGAGAATTCGGCTACTATCTTTCTTACTTTTGTTCCTTTCTCTTGGGAAGGTATTTTTCTTCCCCACCTTTATTGAGGTAAAAATGATAAATAAATTTAGGGTATATAATATGATGTTTTGACATACAATTAACATTTCCATCATCTCACATAGTTACTTTTATGCGTCTATGTGCCTGGTACACTTAAGATCTGCACTTCTAGCAAATGTAAGGTATACAATACAGGATTATTAACTATAGTCACCATGCTGTACTGTAGTTGATCCCCAGAACTCATTTATTTTGTGTAACTGAAACTTTGTACACTTTCACCAACATCTCACCATTTCCCCTACCCTGAAGTCCCTGGCAACCACCATTCTATTCTTCGCTTTTATGAGTTCAACTATTTTTGATTCCACATATGAGTGAGATCATGCGGTATATATTTTCCTGTGCCTGGTTTATTTCAATTAGTATAACATCTTCCAGGTTTATCTATGTTGTCACAAATAATAAGGTATTCTTCTTTTTTAAGGCTGAATAATATTCAATTTTTTATAGATATATATCACACTTTATACATTCATCCATTGATAGACACTTAGGTTAATTCCATATTTTGGCTATTGTGAAGACTGCTACAATGAACATGGGAGTACAGATATCTCTTTTGAGATACTGATTTAATTTCTTTTGGATATATACTCAGAAATGAGATTGCTAGATTGGATGGTAATTCTATTATTAATTTCTTTGGGAAGCTTCATATTGCCTTCCATAATGGTTCTACTAATTTATATCCCCTCCAATAGTGTACAAGTGTTTGTTTTTCTCCATATTTTCACACCAGCTCTTATCATTTGTCTTTTTAAATAATATCCATTCTAACCGGTGTGAGGTGATATCTCATTGTGGTTTTAATTTGCATTTCCTTTATGATTAGTGATGTTGAGCATTTTTTCATATACCTATTGTTCATTTGTATGTCTTCTTTTGAAAAATGTCTATTTAAATTGCCTGTTTTTAATTGGATTGTTTTCTTGATATTGAGTTATTTGAGTTCTTTATACATTGCCGATATTAACAGTTTTTCGGCAGAATAGTTTGAGAATATTTTCTCCTATCCTGTAGTTATCTCTTTGCCTTATTGTTTCCTTTTCTATGCAGAAGCTTTTTAGTTTGACGCAATCCCATTTGACTATTTTTGCTTTGTTGCCTGTGCTTTTGGGATTATATTAAAAAAAATCATTGCCAAGACCAAGAATCTTTCCCCTTTGTTTTCTTCTAGTATTTTAACAGTTTCAGGCCTTATGTTTAAGTCTTAATCCATTTTGCGCTGATTTTTCTATATGGTATGAAATAAGGTCCGATTTTATTCTTCTGCATGTGGATATCCAGTTTCCCAAATCCATTTATTGAAAGCACTATTCTTTCCCCATTGTGTCTTCACATCTTTGCTGAAGATAAACTGATCATAAATGCATGCATTTATTTCTGGGCTCTCTGTGCTGTTATGTTGGTCTACATATCTGCTTTTATACACCACCATACTTTAAAAATTACTATAGCATTGTAGCATATTTTGAAATCAGATAGTGAGATGCCTCCAGCTTTGTTCTTGCTCAAGATTGTTTTGGCTATTTGGGGTCTTTTGTGGTTTAATGTGAATTTTTGGTGTGTTTTATCTATTTCTATGAAAAATAACATCAAAATTTTTATAGGGATTGCATTGAATCTATATATCATTTTGAATAGTATGGACATTTTAACAATATTAATTATTCTAATCTGTGAAGATATATTTCCATTTATTTGTGTCTTCTTTATTTTTTCATCAATGTTTTCTAAGTTTCAGTGAACAGATCTTTCTCTTCCTTGGTTAAATTTATTCCTAGGTATTTAGGGGAGGGATGCTATTGTAAGTGATGTTATTTTCTAATTTATTTTTCAGACAGTTTGTTGTTAGTTTATATGAATACAACTGAATTTTACATCCTGAAACTTGATACTGTATTCATTTATTAGTTCTAACAGTTTTTTTTTTTGTTGGAGCCTTTAGGGTTTTCTACATATAAAATTATGTCATCTGCAGAAACAATGTTACTTCTTCCTTTCAGATCGGAATGCTTTTTATTTCTTTTTCTTGCCTAATTGCTTTGACTAGGGCTTCCAGTATTGTATTCAGCAGAAGTCCTGAGAGTGAGCATCCTTGTCTTGCTCCTGATCTTAGAGGAAAGTGTTCAGCTTTTCAACATTGAAGGTGATGTTAGCTATGGGCTTGTAACAAGTTAGGGTGTATTCCTTCTAAATATAATTTGTTGAAACTTTGTTTCATGAAAATATGTTGACATTTGCTAAATGCATCTTCTGCATTGATGGAGATTATCCTATGATTTTTATCCTTCATTCTGTTAGGGTAGTATATCACATTTATTGATCTGCATCTGTTGAACCATATTTGCATGTCAGGGATGAATCCTCCTTAATCATAGTGTATGATCTTTTTAATGTGCTGTTGAATTTGATATGCTAGTATTTTGTTGAAGATTTTTGCTTCTATATTCATCAGGAGTAGTGGCCTGAAATTTTCTTTCTTTCTTTCCTTTTTAATGTTTGCTGACTTTCATTTCAGGGTGATGCTGGCTTTGTGAAACAAGTTTGGAAGTGTTCCCTCCTCTTTAATTTTTTGGAAGAGTTTGAAGAAGATTGGCAGTAATTCTTTAAATGCTTTGTAGATTTCACCAGTGAAGCCATCATGTCCTGGGCTTTTCTTTGTTGGGAGGTATTTGATTACTAATTTAAACTCCTTGCTCTTTAATTGGTCTGTAAAGATTTTCTATCTATTCATGAGTTAGTCTTGACAGGCTGCATGTTTCTAGGAATTTGTTCATAGCTTCTAGGTTATCAAATTTGTTGGTGTAAAATTGTATATAATAGTGTCTTCTAATCCTTTATATTGTTGTGGTGTCAGCTGTAATGTGTCCTTTTTCATTTCTGATTATATTTATTTGAGCATTCTCTCTTTTTCCTGGTCTAGCTAAAATTTTGTCAATTTTGTTTATTTTTTGAAATAATCAACACTTAGCTTTGTGGAGCTTTTCTATTGTTTTTCTAGCTTCTATTTCAGTTATTCCTGCACTCATCTTTATTATATCCTTCTTTCTGCTAACTTTGGATTTAGTTTTTTCTTTTTTTCTAGTTTCTTAAGGTATAAAATAAGGTTGATATTTGAAATCTTTCTTTTTTTCTAAGTGTACGTGTTTATCACTATAAATTTCCCTCTTAGAACTACTTTTGCTGCATCACATACGTTTAAGTATGTTGAGTTTCCAATTTCATTTGTCTCAAGATTTTTTATCTATCTTTTGATTTCTCCTTTGACTTATTGGTTGTTTAAAAGTGTGTTGTTTAATTTCTAAATATTTGTGAATTTAAAAATTTTCCTCCTGTTATTGATTTTTAGTTTCATACCATTGTGGTTGGAAAAGACACTTGATATTATTTCCATCTTCTTACATTTGTTAAGAATTGTTTTGTGACCTAACATGATATTTCCTGGAGAATATTCTATGTGCACTTAAAATATTCCATGTGTATATAAAAAGAATGTGTGTTCTTTTGCTGTTGGATGGAATATTCTGTATATATCTGTTAGATTCATTTGTTCTTCAGTGTAGTTCAAGTCTGATGTTTCTTTTTTTTTTTTTTGGAGACAAAGTCTCACTGTGTCACCCAGACTGGAGTGCAGTGGCACGATCTCGACTCACTGCAACCTCTGCTTCCCAGATTCAAGCAATTCTCCTGTCTCAGCCTCCTGAAGCAGGGACTGCAGGTGCACACCGCCATGCCCGGCTAATTTTTTGTATTTTAGCAGAGACAGGGTTTCACAATGTTGCCCAGGCTGATCTCAAACTCTTGAGCTCAGACAGTCCGCCTGCCTCGGCCTCCCAAAATGCTAGGATTACAGGCATGAGCCACTGCGCCCAGCCAAGTCTGATGTTTCTTTATTGATTTTCTGTCTGGATGATCTATCCATTGCTGAAAATGGGGTATTGAATACCCTACTGTTACTGTATTGCTGTCTATTTACCTCCTCAGTTAATATATGCTTTATACATTTAGGAGCTCTGATATTATTTGCATGGATATTTATAATTGATATATCCTCTTGATTGACCCCTTTATCATTTATAATTAACATTATAAAATTAATAATAATTAATTACCCCTTTATCAAAGGGACTCTCTTGTTCCTTGTAACAGTTTTTGACTTAATGTCTATTTCATTTACATATTAGCTACCCTTGCTCTCTTTGGGTTTCCATTTGCATAAAATATATTTTTCTATCCCTTCATTTTCAGTTTGTGTGTGTATACTTAAAGGTCATTCTGCAGGGGACCTGGAGCCTAGGTCTGTAGTGCAGGTCTGGTCCTGGTTCTACAAAGGCTGGCCTACTGGAATGGGCTTGGAGTCTGAGGCTGTGGAGGACAGCCTGCTAGCAGAGTTCACTATGACAGGCCTGGTGCTTCTCTGTTTGAAAACTGGCAAATACCTCAAAGGAAAAATTGCTTAAATGTTAGACTTATCTAGGAACTTTGTTTCCCTCTGGAATCTTGGCCCTTGAAGCCTTTGCTAATTTGGTAAGCTTTCTGATGTCTTCAAACAAGTATTTTAAAACATTTTCTGGAGTTTATAATTGTCCTTGGCAGCAGTGCTGGTTTGTAATAGGCTTATCTATCATTACTGGAAGTGGAAACCACTTCCTGTTGCATTTTGTCTTTCTCATTTTAATATGCCAGCTATCTTTTCTATTTCCTTCTCTGGTTTATTACCTTTTATCATATTTGACTTTGTCTTTCTTATTTCAAATCTACTTTATTGCAGATGCTACCTCAGTGTTGATGTTATTATTTTTTATCCTTACCCTTTTAGTGAATTCATTTGCACAGATAAGTCTCAAATCCATTTCTGTAAGGCCTGTCCTGAGTGTGATTTCTACCTACCTTCCTCTCAAAAACAGTCGATTGATTAAAGGAGGGATATTGAAATAGTATGAGTTGGAGTCAACTCTTGATTTCACAACTTACTGTGTCTCTTTTTCAACTTGTTTAACCTCTTTATGTCAGTTTCTCCATCAAAAATATGGAAGTAATATAAATAGGATTATTGTGAGTGTTAAATAAGGTCATGTATATAAAAATGCTTTTCATAAGGTAAGCACTTTGAAAATATTCACTTTTACTATTCTGAATACCCATTGTAAGTTAGGTACAGGGGTAGGTATTAGGAATTCAAAAATATGGTATCTATCTTTAGGATAATACTTCCTGTTCTCTACTGGAGGTATTTTCTATTAACATGTCTCAATAATTCTTAAACTAAATATGTCAAAACTGAAGTCTATGCTTTCTTGACACAGAGTCAATCATTCCTCATATTTCCAGTGGCACCTTATATATTCAGCTCTCTAAGATAACAAACAGAATAATTTTACACTTCCCCCAACCCTCTGTCGTGTCTGTCACTATCTCTAGCCAATTATTTTTCTCTAATGTTTTTGCTTCTCTTTTTTCTTTCTTCTGCTGACACTTTTATTCTGGTAGTGGGCCTTTTTCACTCCATGCATAGGTAGCCTTAACTAGCTATTTTTAGTCTTCCAGGCTTTTGCCCATTCATCTGTTATATCTTACGCCACAGCATGAGAATCATCTTGTAACACAATTCCATCACACACACCCCTGCTTAGCTTTATAATATTTCTCTCTAATACTAGTTATACCAGATCCCAACTCCTTAGACTGATGTGCAAAGTACTCTAAATTCCTACCCACTTACTCTCTCCACTCCCATCTCACCAAGGTTAGTTCTCATTAATGAAATGAAAGGTCTGAAGATCAGAATGCAAAGCTGATCTGACATAGCACTCAAATCTTAGTCTCTAGTCCCTGTTCTTCAATAAAAGTAACTCAGTCTTCCTGGAGAAGTGCTTGATTCTAGGGCTAGGGGAAAAAATACAAGGTAAATCTGGAATATCTTGTGGTACTGAAGGCAAGTAAATGCTTTAAAAAAGGCAGCTTGTCAAAAGGACACAGGATCCAACCTGAAGAAACCCCCCATGGCCAAACCTAGACTAATTTGAGCAACAAAATATATAATAATGGTATTGAATTTAAGCCATGTAATCAAATTAATTTTCCTTGAGAAGTACTTACACACATAAATAATTAAATAAATTAATAGAGCAGAAGAGACAGCTCTTCCTCACAGAATTCCAATTAATAAAGGTAGAAAAAGAGATAGAAATAGAAAATCACCATTAGCAAACACTGTAGTAATAAATATTGCAGACAAGATCCACCAAAGGATGCTAAAATTTGGAGGCAATTATTTGAAGACAAACAGGATTTATATAGTCTCAAAGTATCTTCCTCCAAATACCTATCAACTACAAAGGAAAAGATAGTAATTTCACAGTGGAGAAACATGGCAGACACTAGTAATAATATATCAACATCATGAACCCTGAGATATGATGCACTGAGAAGGATACAAATGTCATTTTGAGATATTCTTGCCAAAAATTAATGACCTCATTCCAATCACAGGAAAATATTGAACACATGCAAATTGAGAGACATTCTACAAAACAGCTGATCAATATTCTTCAAAAGAGTCAAAGTCATGAAAGACAAGGAAAGACTATGATGGACTAGAGGAGACTAAGGAGAAACAGCAGCTAAATGCACTGTTGAATTCTGGATAAAGTTCTGCAACAGAGAAAGAGTATCGATGGAAAAATTGGAATTTTGAATATGATTTTAAGTTTAGTTAGTAATACTGTGCCAATGTGAATTTCTCATTCTTGATAACTACAAAATGGTTTTGCAAGATATTAAGACTAGGGGAAGGAAATGAGGAGTGAAAGGTAACTCCTTTTTTTTTTTTTACTATTTTTGCAATTTGTCAATAAGTCTAAAATTAGTTCAAATAAACTGTTTTAAAAAATAGAAATCTGATCTGCCTCCAAAATGTCACATGATCCTTTACCTTTATTTCTATGCTCCATTCTCTGAGAATGTGTTCATCTTTCCAGAGCCAACATACATTTTCATGCAGTTTCTTTGAACACAGTATACATAATAGCAAGCACATCAGCTTTAGGTGTCAGACTGACCTGAGGTCAGATCCTGACCCAGTCTGTCATTAGCTCAGTAATGTTACATATATTGTGCAGGCTTTCTACTTCTTGATTTTCTCATTTTAAAAACAGGGGCAAAATAATACTTTGTTAAAGGATTGTTATAAAGATTAAAAGAGATCCTGCTTAAACAGTGGTAAGTACAGGGACTTGGACATAGTAGGTGCTCAACAGAAGTTATGATTTTTAGTGCAAATGCTATTTTCTTTAGAACTTGTTGTTGATTAATATGTAAAACCTCTTTTACTGTTTGTTCCTTTGGTATAGACCAATTCAATTCATAACATTTAAATTTGTATTTGATATTTAATAAGCTGCTCTTAAGTTTAGATAATTTCCTCAATTAAATTATAAAATCGTTTGATGCAGTCTTCTACTTCTTTTATCGTGCCGCAACTGACTGATTCAGTATTCTGCACACAAGGCATGATGAATGTTCATGGACTGACTGATTATAAAGTTGGCAACACTGTATCTTTTCAGCTTTCTAATGAGTTGAAGCTTTCATATACTGATAATATTTAATATACTGAAAATGCTGCAACTTTGCATGTTGGCAAAAATATTCAAATATTGCGTTAATTTCTACATTTTGAATTAAATTTGCCATGGTGCTACAGTCATATTATGGGGTGATGTCTACAAAGCACACCATCATCTGACAGTTTGGAACATGGGTGAGACAACAGTACTTCATCAAAATTCATTACAACATCTTCAGTCTAAACAACTTTCATTCTACTCTGTTCACTTATGAATGGTTCACTGTAACAAGTCAAAAAATGCATATGTGGTTTTTAAAATCAGATACTGATGGATAAAACCTCTATCCAAGAAAGTTGTGAATTTCATTCTTTGGTTTGTGGCAGAAAGCTCTTCTAGCTAGAGATTAAATTTGTGTGGTTGAATTTAACAATGATTACCCCTTAGAACTTTAGGGAAATCAGACAATTGCTATGGTGGCTTTAAAGAATCCAGAGTGCTTTGGCCAAGAGAGTGGGTTTGGGCTTTAGGGTTACATGGATTTCCATTCTCATTCTATGATTTATTAGGCTAGATATATAAAACCATATATATATATATATATATATATATATATATATATATATATGTTTTTTACTCATCTTTGCCTCAGTTTCCTTATCTCCAAAAGGAGAATAATAGTAGCATCTACCTAATCAGTTTTTTGTGAGCATTAAATAAACAACTTCTTATAAAGTATAGAGTATCATGTACTTCATAATTGCACAATAAATGCTAGGTTTTCAATCTATAGATAGGTCCGTTTCTTTCTTTCTTTCAGGTCCTAGAATCAGACAGTTGGAGCAGACACTGATTTTTAACAGTGGTCAGACCAGTTATTTTCACAGAGAAAGAAACTGAAACACAAAAACTTGCTCAAGATGGCAAAGCTATTTTTATTTATTGAAAATGGCTAATTGGGGTATGATAAAATCTTTACAGAAATACATTCATTGGAGTTAGTAGGCAGATAGCAGTCTTTATTAAAATACACACCCCCTTACTCCTAAATAGAAGTCCTTACTAAAATGAATTCAACCTCTATTCTTTCCTTTTTGGTTAGTTTCATGACAATATGTCTGAATTGGAGAAGTGCTTAAAGAAAATCACTGGGTCTTCATTTTGTTATTATTGCTTAATAAACATTGACATGTCAGGCAAGGCAGATTGCAAAAAGAAGAAATACTCCAAATGCCTATTGACAGAAGAATAGATGGTGTGGTATATTCATAAAATGGAAAACAATATAAGCATCAAAAAAAATGCAATAACTACATGAAACAAAATTGATTCATCTTAGCAATGAATCAATGTAAAATTGTAAAAATTTTGTAAAATTTTTATGTAAAAATTATAAGTCCCAGAATATTATATACAGCATTTTTAAGTTAAAATCAACTAAAATGAAAGTATAATTTTTAGACATGATAAAATGATATCAGTGAGAAGCAAGCTGATGATGGACACATGATTTGAGACATGGTTATTTTTAGGAGGAAATAGAGATAGGATGAGGTAATACCAACAAAAAATATGTAAGTAATTTCAAAGGTTCTAGATTCTATGATGGGGGTGGTTTTTTTGGTAACTAATATATTATCAAAACAAAGAGAAGGCCTCGTACAAATCAACAACAAGGGTATGTCATGAACAAAAATATTTTAAGCACAATAGAATGTATGTGTGTATTCATAGATGTATGCATATATCTAAATTTATCAATCTATATAACCTGCATTATGCTTTGTATTTTTTCATATTGAAAAGTTAAGATGAACATGTCACATGTTGCTTTGTCCTCATGAGAGTCTTAAGAACTTCCTTTTTCACAGCAGAAAGGTCAGTGAGAACAGCTATGTTTAAGGCAAATTACTTTTATTTCTGGCACAGAAGGAAGTGTAGTGAATGAGATCTTACACATACACACAGTGCCTCCCACTAATGTTCAGGGATTCAGCAGAAATCTGGGTTTTTGGTCCTTAGCTGCCTATTTTTCTATTATGACATAGTTTGTCAAACAGCATGTCCACCCTGAAGGAGGCCAGTGCAATCATATAATGCATATCCCTTTTACAGATACGCACATCAAGGTAAAGCATTTTGCCTGAGTTTATAAACATTTTTGTGAATACTTGAGGTGAAAGGGCTAGAGACGTTCATTAGATCTTGGAACAACCTTCTCCACTCTCCTATTTCTAAGTACCTCTTTATGTCTTCCTCTTACTTTTGTCTTCTTTCTTTGCTGCCACAATGATAAATGAATAGGTAGGACATGGTTTGAGTTGGTGAAGAATGTCTAGAAAGAAAAGATGACAACACCAATAACCAGCATCTATTGACTGCTTACTCTGTGCCTGGCATATACTATCTCATTTAATCCTCAGGACAAGGATCAAAAAGCTAATACAAGTAAAATGACCTTATACAGGAATTTTATTCTGTGTCCTTCTTTGCCCTCCAGCATAACGTACACATGGCAAGTGACAAAGCTTAATAGTCATTAAGAAGCCATCTAACACATTGGAATGAAAAAGATTCCCTATATGTAGCAGTTGCAAAAGTCCATGGTGACAAAATCTTTGTGATAACTCAACTAGGTGTGAATATTTAATTTTTGGCAGGTCTTTGGGGCCTTTCAAGATCACATTTGGTTTACTACTATGCTTCTTAGATCTCTTCTAAGTTTAAATTAGAGAATTTGTCACCCATACATTTCACCAATCCATCCTCCCCAGTAGAGCAGGTTTGAAGGTTTATGACTTTTCTTCCCATGATGTAACACTTCCAAAGTTTCATTATATGTGACTGTGACTCAAATATTAGGAATGAAAGGAGAAGCCATTATGGAACTTAATTAGAATTGCCTTCTGCAGCATGAAGGCATAATTTCCTTCATGTGTCTTATGATTATCCATGTTGAACATACAGTCAAACTATCACAGGTGGAGTTTATTAGAATGCTCGTGTCATTATTCTAACCTTGTTCTGTATGACATAATATGGCTGGAATTTATGCCTTTTGTGCTGCGAAACCTTGCCTAGAAGCATACCAAGAAAGGTAAGAGGGAAACTTCTAGGCCTTAGGGTTATTGCACATGTAAGCTTGTCCAATCTGCAGCCCACAGGTCACATGCAGCCCAGGATGGCTTTGAATGTGGCCCAACACAAATTTGTAAACTTTCTTAAAACGTTATGAGATTTATGCACAGACATTTTTGTTTTTTAGCTCATCAGCTATTGCTGGTGTTAATGTATTTCATCTGCCACCCAAGACAGCTCTTCAATTTTTCTTCCAGTGTGGCCTAGGGAAGCCAAAAAATTGGACACCTCTGCTAGAGTGTGCAGAGCCACAGTGAAATGAGGGTGTGTGAAAGAGGATTGGAAATTCCAGAATGAATCACACTGCATCCTCCTACCCGCTAGTCCTGCTGCACATTTTAATAAATAAATCCAATTAATGCACGTGGGGCTTAATAACTAGGTGATGGGTTGATACGTGCAGCAAACCACCATGGCACATGTTTACCTATGTAACAAACCCGCACATCCTGCCCACGTATCCCAGAACTTAAAATTAAATTAAACTAAATTATTTTTAAAAATATCTAAAGACTTGAAGAGGTCAAAGGTCAAAACCCAGGAAGTCAAAGAGTACAGGAGAAATGGGTCTGATATTTTCAGCGGGAGGTAGTATAATGAGTCCAACTGATTAGCATATGTCTGCGTATGTCAATATCCCTGCACCTCAGTTTCCTCAGTAGAGATAACAAAAGAACCTTCTTACTAGGATTACTTTAAGAATTGCATGAAATTGTGTGTGTAAATTACTTAGCATGGTGTATGGCATATATCATGCAGTCAATACTTATCAAAAATAATTATTACTGTGAAAGAGAAGAATGATACATCCCTTAGAAGGCTTTTATGAGGCATAAATGAGATGATGTGTGTTACATGCCTGATATCATGCCTCACACAGAGTAAGGGCAGAGGATGGGTAGCTTTTATTCCTCAGCTTGTGTTATTAATATAACAGCAGTATTTTCAAAGAATGAGGCACAAGTCTCTGATTATCATTTTTAAGGCTTTATAATTTGCAAAACCATCTAAAATGTACAGAGTGTTTTCCAATTTTTAACTCAATCGGTCTTCACAATAAGCTTGTTGCTTCCTATTCTGAAAAGTCAGCTTAATCTTTCTCCAGCTTTGCAGAAGAAGAAACGCTAACTCATAAAGTTTAAGTGACATGTACAAGTTAAGCAGTGGGAGAGGAAGGATTTGAACTCAGTTGTGTAGGATCCTGAAATCAACATTCTTTCCATATGACCTTTCTAAAGGGCTTACTATTGAGCTAACTAGGTCAAATTACAAATTTCTGCCTGGCCATTACCTTAAATAATTCATTCAAGCTGTCTTCATGGTTGTATTGATGCAACTGGCTTCATTAACTGGGTTTCTTAGAGCAGTGCCAGTGTTGAAAACCAACTACAAACCAGGAAGCCAAAAAAATGAATACCATGTAAATACTTTTTTTTTTCTTTTAAGATTGCAGTTTGTTTAAAGAAAAAGAACTTTCTGGAGATGCAGCAGCAGCAAATCTATCAGCTCCTTGCAGTGTCATCAATCACAGAAGCACAGAAAAAAAGAAAAAGCCAGCTGGACCCAGTACCCATCCTTGTAAATTATTTTTCAGGAAATCCTGCAGGCTTGGTTTTTTACCAGGAAACAATTACAGTTTAATATAGAGGACCACAGAATTCACATGGAACTGATTTCTATTTCTTTTTGTTCTGGTTACACAAAGGAAATGTAATTTTTCAAAAACCAGCAGAGAAATACACAAGCACTGGACTAATATAGTGGTGCTTGTCACTTACAACTGAGGGATTGTGTCATTTCTCATTGCCAGTCCTGACAGCACCTCAAATAAAGAGGCGTCTTAGCAAATTATGTTCTTGATATCGCTTACTGAAATGCAACGACTCCATTTTAAATATTAAAGTGACAATGCAAAGACCCAAAGCTGGCTATGAGGAAAGTTTACCCCAGCTTAACTGATGGCCCATTATATTGCTCATGTCATTATCTTAATCTCATATATTTATCATGTGTCTTTAAATGTGCCACGTTAAAAAGCCAGAGGTAATTTTATATTTTATCTGAATCCAGGAAAAGAGATTGTTAAATTATCATCACAAGATATTAAATAACTTGAACCTGTACAGTGACCTTTGAATATGCAAATGGGGTACCTTTTTAACTCCCCACAAAAAAAATGTGGTTTGCTAATTGTTAAAATGATAAATGGGAAAAAAATGGAAGAAACCTGGAATTTAGTTTGAAGCAAACCTAATTGAAGGTTTATGTGATAAGGATAAAGAAAATGTTTTATATTTATGTACAGGTTCAGAAAATTGATTGTCTAGAGCTGTTCAAATCTGTGACTTTGCAGCTGTAATCAAAACCAGCAGGACAGTTTCTGACTTATGTCCCTGGCAGAGAACTAGAAGAATACATAATACATACCCACAAGAGTTTAAGAGAATTTCAATAGTTTCTTAGGTAACAATTTTCATTCTCTGCAATTTTCATTCTCTGCACTTGAGATGTTTGAAAAATGAAAGGCTGCAACCCCAAATCAAACAATAATTAAACATTCATCTTTACTTTAAAATGAGCTTTTTAACACCGAGGTACTTACCAATCTAATGCCCCCCAAATGGGGGATGAACACAACTTCCTGAGATGATGACATCTGTGGGCAGGTTTTTCAGGAGGAATCTACCATTTTAACCTTGAGCTTCAGCTATTTGGATGCTTGATTGCCAGGGTTGCCTCAAGCAGAGAGAGGTCCCATGTAGGCTGGTCTTGGACAAACACCCATGGGGACTTACACGTGGCATCTCCTTTGTTTTTACTCTTGGGGGATTTGGCATAGTCTCCAGGCCAACGGCGATTCTCTCATGTTACAATTGTGGAACCCACTTCCTTCGCAGACTGGGAGTTATGTGCATGTAATTCTACAGCAGACAGTTCTCTACAGATATATACTATGAATGATGGAGATGGCACTACATTTCCTGACTTCCCATTTCTGCTCACCTGGACTATGTGAGGCTGAATGATCTCCCATTGCTTTTGCTGCAGTGTATCAGAGTGATTTAAAAAAAGACTCTGGAGCCACTTAGGGCTTGAACAAATTACTTACCTGTGCCTCAGTTTGCTCATCTCTACTGATGAGTAGTATCATTCTACTACCCCTTTCAAAGTGTTGTGTTGCGAGCACTCAAGTTAGTTATTGACATGCTGTACTAGAACTGCCTGGGTCATTAAAGATGCAACCCAAGAATCCTGGGTCTGTCTTAGAAAAAATGGAGATAGAGGCAGTCTAAGCTATCTTAAAAGAAGCAGTGAAATGCGCTGAAAATGATAACAATCAATAACATTCATTCAGTGCTAGTCAGCTCTAGGCATTCTTCTAAGTGTTTAATACTTCACAGTAATGCCAGGAGTTGGATGCTGTTTTTAGCCTTATTTTACAAATGCAGAGAGCAGGTCAGTGGTAGAGATGAAACCCCAATTTGCTTGTCACCAAATCTTATTATGCTCTTAACAACTCTGCTAGAATGCTTCCCTAGGAGGTTACGATTGGGAAATCCGGTGACTTGGGACCTAAACCTCCTTAGGCCATTAACTAGCTTTGTACCTTTGTGACCTTGGATAAATCATTTCATTTCTTTGTAACTCTATTTTTTAATTTGATAGAATTGTATGATCTCTATGGCTTTTTGCTAGTTCTAACAACCTATGTTTCTAAAAGGAGAGAACATATTTAGGAGGGAGGGTGAAGGAGAGGGAGGAGGAAAGGAAGAAGGGTGGGGGGAGAGACTTCTATGTATAATTATAATTGAACATAATGAGATCTTTGTAGCTTATAAGGAACTCAAAACACTTTCACATATTTTAGTACCTTCATTCTTGTACAATATGTCTATATATTATCACCATCACATTATAAATGAGGAAACTGCAGTATAGAAAGTTTGTAACTTGCCAAGGTCACATAGCTAAGTCATAGAATCTAGCAATTTTACTGCCAATGTGAAATAGCATTTTCTGGATTGTGCTGAAAAGCCAATATATAAAACACTCTGAAAACTTCTATTGCTTAATAATGCAAATAGAAATGTACTTCATGTTATGCAATCAAATAGTTATTTGAAAGGTATAAATCAAATGTCTTTCTTTAAATCAAATCCTATTTGTCACTGGCAACTCTTTCAGTTTGATCTTCAATGGGTGATAGCTCCTTTAGAATTTTTTCCTGCCTTATTTCTATATTTTGTCTCCAACCTTTATCCAGTTATTCAATGCACAATGAAAATTCATACTTAAATGAACCCTGCAGTGAATCCACTAAAAATTCTGTGACTGCATATTCATAATGAAATTCATTTATTCTACTATACCTCTATATGCCAAAGTTTCTGTATATATTAATTGTGAACAATGGTCTCCAATCTAACCTCCTAGACAAGGTTTTAAAAATTAAATGAGATACCTATGAGAAAGCTTGGACCAAAGTAAAATACATAAGAGGCATCATCTCCTTTGTAAATCCGAATTTTTGCTTTAAATTTGTCCTCATTACAGTTTCTTAAATGATGAGTAGTTTTATTCTGCTACCAAGTGATTTTGGTAAAATCGTAAATTTTCTTTTAATATCATACAAACTGGATTTTGAGAACTGGTTTTAAAGCCTCCAAAGTTTTAATAGCAAATAAGTTTCACACTATAGGAAAATGTGGAGCTAGCCTTAAAAGAGAATAATGGAATCAAATCTGTTAGCAATAATATAAAGATAAAAATCTCGGTTTCTATTTTTAACAGAAGCCTGGATCTGCTAATATTTATGCATCTTCCTATGAGTGTGTGTATATATATAAAGCTTCTCCTTTTAAAATCTCAATTGTAAAATAAAATCAGAGCCCTCATCCCTTTCTTCTTCGTTCTTCCTCTTTAAGGTTTCCTGTTCCAGAGGAATTACCTTTTGCAGGGTTTCTTGATGGCAAAAGAATTTGTTTCTCAAATAGAGCGTGGGTTTTTGCAGTGCTGCCCAAGGTCTCCAGGAGATCAGAATGCCTGTTTGCTTCAGAGATTCCTGTAAAATTCAACTTCCCTCAGCCATACATCTCTCTGATTACTGCTTAGCTATATACATTTTGACAAGGAGAAAAACAGTCTCAATTGTTAAAGCTTTTTGGTATTAAGAGTTTTGCTTTGACTGCACCATATGGATATATTTAGCCCGAAATCCTTCACACATTGTGTTCTCAGATTATAATTACACTTGCCAAATCATTAGGCATACCTTAGAGGAGAGTATTGTTATTAAAAGAGAAAAATCCCCAGGGATGTAGAACCTACATACATACATATCCTGTAACTATATCTATATCTATACAAGTGTGTGTCTGTATGTGTGTGTAATGAGCATTTACAATGTCTAGCAAAGGACTGTTCTCCAAAACGACTCTGTTAAAACAATCACATCTCACAAACCTCAGACAGCGCTAGTGTGTTGGGTTTCTAACCTCTGGAGAATATGGCATTGTGGTTTACACATGATAACCAGAGATGGTGGAAAAGTCAACTACTTGGCAGTAGATCACATTTCTGTAATAATCAGATACACATCGTACATTGATTTGTTTCAGATTTGGCACAAAATTAAGCAGCAAATACAGACATTTCTTTAGCTGTCTGAAGGTGGGTTTGACCATGAGCTTCATCCAAATGGTATTTTTTTTTTTTGCAACTAATTTCAATGGGGAGTCAGGAGTCTATTTGCAAAAATTTCAACCTCCAAATTTACGGGTTTGGAATTTTGTTCTAAATCCAAATCTTTTTGCATTTAAGTTCATTCGCCTTTGGCCAAAAAAAAAAAAATTCTGTTTTTAAAATGAAAGAAGTCATAAGAGAACTTTATTAAAAAAGTTTCAACCAGCTGTTTAAAAAGGCCATTTTGATGATGTCAGTGCAAGTGAATAAGAAACACATGGATTTAAATTCCCTTAAATTATATAAGCCTTTAAAAATTAAAGTAACTATGTTGGGAAAATGTGTTTCAAGTTTATTAACTTAAGAATCATTCTCCCATAGTTTCTAAACAGCTTTGTATTGGGAAGGATGCTACAATTATTTGCTAAACTTGAAGACAAGTGAGAAAATGGTTCAGTAAGAGCCAAGAGACTTATGTTTGTGAACCTAAATGGGAGTGGGTCCTTAACAGCCAAGAAAGCTCATACAAATCACCTCCTCCTCCCTCCCCAGTAATATGGCAGTAACAGAGGGAGAATGAGTGGTCCACTTTCAACTGGCAACCACAATGTCTGTGATGTTTTATCTTATGTTTCTTAAATGTTTATTTTCCTGGTGTGTAGACAAAGCCCTAATATTTGAAGAGCTGTTGGATTTATACCAATTATTGAAAGAGATCTACTAATATAAAGATTTCTCCACATCTTCTGAAAATCATGGGCTCGTTCTTCTAAAATTGAGGGGGTTTTTAGCTTTCATAAATTGGGCAGGGAGACAGACTATAAACAACTTTACTGTTCAATTCTTAAGGCAACATGATACCTCTTTGCAGAAAAAGATGTGGTGAAGTTTTGACAAATGAGTGCATTCATATGTAGACTCTATAACAAAAGCATTTTGAAAGCATAATTGATGCCCCAAAACAGTCATTTCTTGTTCTTAATTTGGTGAAAAATAAAAGTACATGTCTTCACCTGCTTGTTCCTTGGTCTTCTCCAAGCTGTTTCTTTTATCACTCTCTGATATAATGCTGGGACTCTGAGTCCTCAAATAGCAAACACCAAATCACATCTGTCCCAATGATGTCCTGATACTTTTTTTCAGTGACTATAAAGCACTAGATTTTACCTCTTTAGTCTTGGGAAATTTAGCAGTCCAATCTTCCAGGAATAATAGTGAGATTAACCCATATTCTCCACTTTACAGAATGCCAGATGTTTGCAAGTCTGATGAGGGAGAATAGAGCTATTATAACTGGTGTTGCTCATAAGTGTTGTGTCTTCCACTCCCTAGTGTAGGTAAACACTTAACATAGTGGTACATAATAGATGCTTAAGAAACAATAGTTACTATTTCACATACATTATTGCATTGATTGTTTCCAACTCAACTATGAGGTAACTATTTTAATGCCGTGTTGCAGATTAGAAAAACAAGAATCAGAGAGGAAACATGACTTGCTGAGATGACATAAACTCGGTACAACATGAATAAAAGTCATGTATGTCTAATTCTAAAGTACAGGCTCTTCAAATTAAAAATATTGGTAAGAGGAGCTAAAATTAAAAAGACCAACAATATAAGAACATGGAGCAATTGGGCCTTGCATACTCTGTTGGTGGGAATGTAAATTTATACAGCCACTTTGGAGGACTGCTTAGAGGTTTCAGCTAAAGCTGAGCATCTTCACAGCTTACATTCCCACAATTTTATTCCTAGGTACAGCAATAGAAATGTATACATAGACTCACCAGAAGACTTACACAAGAATGTTCATATAATTATTTATAATTGCCCCCAGAACTCGAAATAACCAAAATGTCCATGAACAGTAGACTGCATATGAAGGTTGTGTTCTATTCATACAATGGAGTGATATACAGCTGTAAGAATGATCTAACTACAGCTAAAGTCGACCACATGGATTAATCTCAAAGACATGAAGTGAAGTGGCAGAAGCCAGATATGTTTAAAAAGTACTTTCTATAGGAGTCCATTTATATAAAATTCAGAAACTGGCAAACGTCATCTATTATATGAGATAGTAGGATAATTGTCACCAGGGGAAAGAGATAGTAATTGGAAGGAAGAATGGATTATGCTTTCAGCATAACTGGAAATGCCTGTTTCCTGATATGAGTGTTAATTGCTCGGGTATGTTCATTTTGTAAAAATTTATTGAGCTGTACTTAAGATTTTTGCTCATTCCCACACAAAGTTTCTTTATAAGATTTATTTTAGTTTTCTTTAAAGCAGGTTTAGGTTCACAGCGAAATTAAGAGGAAGGTACAGAGAAATTCCATATACCTCTTGCTCTCACACATGCATAGCCTCCACCATTATCAATATCTCCATCTTGGGTGATACATTTGTTACAACTGATGAATCTACATTGACACATTATTATCTCTCAATATTCATAGTGTACATCAAGGTTCATTCTTGGTGTTGCACATTCCATAAGTTTGGACAAATGTACAATGACCTTTGTCCATCATTGTAGTATCATACAGAATATTTTGCTGCCCTAAAAATCCTCTGTGCTCCATCCATTCATCCTTCCCTTTTCCCTAACCCCTGGCAACCACTGATCTTTTTATTCTCTGCATAGTTTTGACTTTTCCAGCATATCATATAGTTGCAATCACACAGCATGAAGCTTTTTCAGATTGACTTCCTTCACTTAGTAACATGTATTTAAGTTTCCTCTTGTCTTTTCCTGGCTTAATAGCTCATTTTTTTTAGCACTGAATAATATTTCATTGCCTGGATGAACCTCAGTTTATTTATACATTCACCTACTGAAGGGCATTTTGAGTGCTTCCAAGTTGGGGCAATTATGAAGAAAGTGGCTATAAACATCTATGTGCAAGTCATTGTAATTATATAACTTTTCATGTTTACGTAAGTTTTCAATTCTTTGGGTAAAGAGCACAATTGCTGGCTCATATGGTAAGAGTATGTTTAGTTTTGAAACAAACAACTAAACTATCTTCCAAAGTGGTTTTACTCTTGTCCTTCCACAGGGAATGAATATGAATTCTTGTTTTTCCATATCTTTGACCACATTTGCTTTTGTCAGTGTTCTGGATTTGGGCCATTCTAATAGGTATGTAGTAGTATATCATTGTTTTGATTTGGATTTCCCTGGTGAATATTATGTGAGGCATCTAATCGTGTGCTTATGTGTCTCTCTGCATATCTTCTTTGGTGAAGTGTCTGTACAGGTCTTTGATGCATTTACTTATTGGGTTGCTTATTTTCTAATTGTTGAGTTTTAAGTGTTCTTTGTATATTTTGAATAATAGTTTCTTATCGGATGGTTTTTTGCAAATATTTTCCCAGTCTGTGGCTTGTATTTTTATTCTTTGAAAGAGTTTTCTGCAAAGCAGAAATTTTAATTTTAATAAAGTTTGGCTGATCCATTATTTCTTTCATGGATCATGCCTTTGGTGATGGTGTCTTGTCTAACAAGATATTGCCAACCCAAGGTCATATATATTTTCTTCTATATTATCATCTAAGAGTTTTATAGTTTTGCATTTCGTATTTAGGTTTGTGATCCATTTTGAGTTAATTTTTGGGTGTAAGCTTTGTGTCTACATTTATTTTTTTGTATGTTAATGTCCAGCTGTTCCAACACCAATCGTTGAAAAGACCCTCTTTTCGCCATTGTATTGCCTTTGCCTTTTTGTCAAAGATCAATTTATTATACTTATGGTAGTCTATTTCTGAGCTTTCTGTTCTGTTCCAGTGACCAATTTGTTTATATTTTTTCCAATACCATGCTGTCTTGATTATTGTGCTTTGTAGTAAGTCTTGAAGTTGGAGAGTATAGTCCGTCAACTTTGTTCTTCTCCTTCAGTATTGTATTGGATATTGTGGGTCAATTACCTCTCCATAAAAATTTTAGAATCAGTTTGTTGATATCCACAAAATAACTGCTGGGATTTTTACTGGGATTATATTGAATCTACAGATCATACTGGGCAAAACTGACACCTTGATGATATTGAGTTTTTCTATTCACCAATATGAACTGTTTATTTATTCAGTTCCTTGATTTTGTTCACCTGAGTTTTGTATTTTCCTCCTATAGACCTTACTTGTATTTTGTTAGATTTATATCAAATTACCTCATTTTGGGGGTCATAATAGAAATGGTACTGTATTTTTCTTTTAAATTCCACTTGTTTCTTGCTAGTATATAGAAAAACAATTAACTTTTGGATATTAGCAGTGTATATTGCAAACTTGTCATAATTACTTATCAGTTCCAGGAGTTTTTTCTTGATTCTTTGGGATTTTCTACATAGAGATCATATCGTCTGTGAACAAAGATGGTTTTATTTCTTCATTCCTCAATCAGTATAGTTTTCACTGCCTTTTCTCGTCTTTTTGCATGAGCTAGGACTTACAGTGTGGTGTTGCAAAAGAGTAGTGAGAGAGGAAATCCCCACCTTGTTACTGATCTTAGTAGAAAAGTTCTAGTTTCTTACCACTAGGTATAATATTAGCTTAGGTTTTTTGTAGACTTTATTGATCAAGTTGAGTAAGATGTACCCCTTCTTCTAGTTTACTGAGAGGTTTGTTCTGAGATTTTTAAAATCATAAATGTGTTGGATTTTATCAAATGCTTTTTCTGCATCCATTGATATAATCAAAATCATAAACATGTGTTTGATTTTATCAAATGCTTTTTCTGCATCTATTGATATAATCATGTAACTTTTCTTCTTTAGCCTGTGGATATGATGAATTCTAATGGGATTTTTGAGTGTTGACTGAACAAATTAGCCTTGCATACACTTGATTATGGTTCAAATTTGTTTTTCCATACAAATTTTACTCTCACAAATTTAAGACATTACACCATCAAAAAGAGGAGTGTGAAACTAGCATACTGTAGAAGAGAGGAATCCTCTCACCCGTCATGGTGGGCCCACACCGATGTCCCCAAAGCCAGTCTTGAGCTATGAAAGCACAAGTGATTTCAAATAAGGTCAGGTTTGGGATTACTTCCAGGCATACAGGTATTAGACAACAAACAATATGTAACCAAAGCAAGAGAGAAAATAACAGAGAGCCTTCTTCCCACTGATACAGCATCAGCCATAGAAGAATACAACTTCAGTCACCCACATGTGAAAATACTTTTCAGATATTGAGCCCACACAAATTCTGGCCAGTTTGCGAATTTATCCCCTCTCTACTGACGTGATTGAGCCTGGGAGCAGCATGCCTCCCCGCCTCAGGCTGTCTTGGTGACCAAAGAAACACATGCATGGCAATTAGAGCTGAGTGTTTACTCTCAGAACACCTCAATCTCCAGGACTAACAAAAACTTTCCCAGCAAGGAGAGGCAGATCTCAATACATTCTAGACTTGTTACCTGATTTCTTTTGGCACTGCTGAGCATGTGGCCACAGCCTAATTTGCATGGTTTATATGTACACCCAAGTCTAATTTGGAATCACAAGACCCCAGGGCCCCTGATGCTAAATAACCTGGGACTTCCATCTGTAGCACAGCATATGTTAGTCTGATGCAAAGTAAAAATGGGCATGAAATCCAAATCTAATTATAAATGTACAGTCAGAATGTCAGGTAAATTATACTATCTACAAGTAAATTATTACTTAGGGTTCAGTGAACTTCGGTATAGTGGGCCATCTGCCCTACAGCGTCCTCTGCCTGTAAGTACCCACAGTGGGGCTTTGCCAAATGAATGTTAATTTAAGGAGTTTTGAAGCCCTTAACAAGTATTTGTGCTGTGTCTACAATTTATCTAAATTCTATGAAATATATAGAGACAGACGAATGAAAGCAAAATTTGAACACAATCAATATCCAATTGCATGTTATGATTATGAAATGCCCTAGGGCAGGGTTTTTCAAACTGGAGGTTACAATTCATAAGTAGGTCATAGAGTCAATTCAGAGGGTCATGACTAGCACTTTTAAAAACAGAAATAGAATTAATTAGAAAATTTAAGAATAAGCTACGTGTGTGCTGATTGTCAGTTTAGTTTAGAGCAACGTTTTATTTTGTTGTTGTTTGTTTTGATTTCATGTGTATGTGTGTACCTACCAAATCAGGATGTATAATATGTTTCTAGCTGGATGGCAGTTTTTAAAAATTTGAAAAGCACTGCTAAAAGGTGCATCATGGATAGACATAATATTATAATTGCTATAACCTTATCATTGCAGTAATTTTATAGCTCTTTCACTTAACCATCCCAACTCTGTACCTGACATGTGCTAGGCACTGAAAATAAAGCAGTGGATGAGACCAACAAGGTCTTTGCTTTCATGTAATGTGCTTTCAGACGAGAGGTATGTGTTAAGCAATGAATCACATAATTAATTACTTAGGCAATTACAATCATTGCAAGTCACACAAAGGAATCAAATTCAAGAGTTACAAGAGTGAATGACAGGGGGACATGACAGAGATGTTAGAGGTGTCAGGAAACTCTTCTTTAAAGAAGTGATATGTGAGCTTCTGATAAGGAGTGAAGGATGAATCAGAATGAACTAAACTCAGTCTCAGAAACTTTAGATATTTCAACATAGCCTCTTGATTTCCCTAATTTTCCCATTGGTACATCAAGGCATCTTTTGTGCCTCATTTGGTCTCCAGAGAAGCCCTTCTTGACATGGACAGTATTCTAATTAATGATGCATCCTCACAGTTTCTTTTCACTGTCCCTCACTCTCTATTCCGACTGATTCCTACTCACTGGTACACATAGGCCTGTGAAATCATCAGAGGTACTTTTCAATGAGTACCTGGAAGAAATAAGAAAATATTTTGGAACTAATGCAAGAGATGACCTTTGAACTATTGGGTATGTGTTGACCAGCTCTGTCCTCTTCACCACCCCCTGCCACCTGATTGCTGCTTCTCTGAGAGTCCTCTATTCATGGGAAAGAAAGGGCCACATGATACCCACTTTGCCTCACAGAAGACCAATTTCAGCTCCACCAATTCACATGACTCTTTTTCTAACTCAGATGATGAAATGGGCAAAACAAATCATATAATAGATTTCTTCTTGTTTATAGAAATACTTTGGAACCACTGCTTGGGATGGTATTGGGGGAATGCCAAGATGCCAGTCTGGTATAAAACACTTAATCACTTTCTGTTTAAGGTGATTGGCATCGTGCCATCCACTTAATGCCATTCTAAGCAGTGATTCCAAAGTATTTGGAAAGAAGAGCAGCTTTTCTTTCTGTGGAAAACTTGTGTGGAAGTGTGATGGTAAAGACTGGAACCTAGTCAAAGGGCTCGGTATAATAGAGAGAAGCTGACGTTCCCTGGAGGCGATCCAAGAAGCTTCATGCTACATAGAAGGAAGATAAGAAATAAAAAATTTTGGGGCTCCTCTCTTAGCTTTTGGTCCTTGTGGATTTCCTTCATTTGTGAGCTCATCTGTGCATTTAAAGAGATGTTTACATCTTATCTAGTATTTCCAAATGCTGGAGCAGGAAGGTTTTTCACAATACCTACTTTGACATACTGCAGCAACAGAAGTCCTCAATATATTCAAATTTTGAGCAAATGCCATTCATTACACAGTATATACAGATTATATTTAGCAACAATGTATTCTTCTTCCATCATCCAAAATGTACTTTCTAGGATAACTGTAAATCTCAGCAGCACCAGAGATACGGCTACTTCCCTGGAATGTGTGTGAAACGTATTATTAAGGAAACTAGGAGATAGCACATTAATGAACCAGATCTGTCCTCTAGACCAATGATCCCCATGTTTTGACCAGATATTACAGACTTTAAACTGCCAAGAGTCCTCTATTTATCTCCAAAAGAAACAGAAATAACCAAGCCAATTTTGGTAAGAAAATAACCATCTTTTCAGCTTTCTACATATGGCTAGCCAGTTTTCCCAGCAACATTTATTAAATAGGGAATCCTTTCCCCATTGCTTGTTTTTCTCAGGTTTGTCAAAGATCAGATAGTTGTAGATATGCGGCGTTATTTCTGAGGGCTCTGTTCTGTTCCATTGATCTATATCTCTGTTTTGGTACCAGTACCATGCTGTTTTGGTTACTGTAGCCTTGTAGTATAGTTTGAAGTCAGGTAGTGTGATGCCCCCAGCTTTGTTCTTTTGGCTTAGGATTGACTTGGCGATGCAGGCTCTTTTTTGGTTCCATAAGAACTTTAAAGTAGTTTTTTCCAATTCTGTGAAGAAAGTCATTGGTAGCTTGATGGGGATGGCATTGAATCTATAAATTACCTTGGGCAGTATGGCCATTTTCACGATATTGATTCTTCCTACCCATGAGCATGGAATGTTCTTCCATTTGTTTGTATCCTCTTTTATTTCCTTGAGCAGTGGTTTGTAGTTCTCCTTGAAGAGGTCCTTCACATCCCTTGTAAGTTGGATTCCTAGGTATTTTATTCTCTCTGAAGCAATTGTGAATGGGAGTTCCTCATGATTTGGCTCTCTGTTTGTCTGTTGTTGGTGTATAAGAATGCTTGTGATTTTTGTACATTGATTTTGTATCCTGAGACTTTGCTGAAGTTGCTCATCAGCCTAAGGAGATTTTGGGCTGAGACAATGGGGTTTTCTAGATATACAATCATATCGTCTGCAAACAGGGGCAATTTGACTTCCTCTTTTCCTAATTGAATACCCTTTGTTTCCTTCTCCTGCCTAATTGCCCTGGCCAGAACTTCCAACACTATGTTGAATAGGAGTGGTGAGAGAGGGCATCCCTGTCTTGTGCCAGTTTTCAAAGGGAATGCTTCCAGTTTTTGCCCATTCAGTATGATATTGGCTGTGGGTTTGTCATAGATAGCTCTTATTATTTTGAAATACGTCCCATCAATACCTAATTTATTGAGAGTTTTTAGCATGAAGGGTTGTTGAATTTTGTCAAAGGCTTTTTCTGCATCTATTGAGATAATCATGTGGTTTTTGTCTTTGGCTCTGTTTATATGCTGGATTACATTTATTGATTTGCATATATTGAACCAGCCTTGCAAAACCACAATGAGATACCATCTCACACCAGTTAGAATGGCAATCATTAAAAAGTCAGGAAACAACAGATGCTGGAGAGGATGTGGAGAAATAGGAACACTTTTACACTGTTGGTGGGACTGTAAACTAGTTCAACCATTGTGGAAGTCAGTGTGGCAATTCCTCAGAGATCTAGAACTGGAAATACCATTTGACCCAGCCATCGCATTACTGGGTATATACCCAAAGGACTGTAAATCATGCTGCTATAAAGACACCTGCACACGTATGTTTATTGCGGCATTATTCACAATAGCAAAGACTTGGAACCAACCCAAATGTCCAACAATGATAGACTGGATTAAGAAAATGTGGCACATATACACCATGGAATACTATGCAGCCATAAAAAATGTTGAGTTCATGTCCTTTGTAGCGACATGGATGAAATTGGAAATCATCATTCTCAGTAAACTATCGCAAGAACAAAAAACCAAACACCGCATATTCTCACTCATAGGTGGGAATTGAACAATGAGATCACATGGACACAGGAAGGGGAATATCACACTATGGGGACTGTTGTGGGGTTGGGGGAGGGGGGAGGGATAGCATTAGGAGATATACCTAATGCTAGATGATGAGTTAGTGGGTGCAGCGCACCAGCATGGCACATGTATACATATGTAACTAACCTGCACAATGTGCACATGTACCCTAAAACTTAAAGTATAATAATAAAAAAAAGAAAATAACCATCTTGTTTTGCTTCCTCTCTCTTATCTTGGGTATAATCAAAATTGGTAAGGAACTTTCAGTTGCTAAGTTTTTAACAGCTTTCAGACAAAAAGAATTCTGGAAGAAGTTTTAAAAGGGATTTAAAAATTGTTTACTATGGGGAAGGTGACACCTCTCTTTCACTTTCCACCTCCCCTAAACACTTTAGTGAAGTGTACATAACTCCCTGATACTTCTGCATGCATATGTTCTTTGTGTGAAAATGAAAAGGTGTCAAATTTGTGTCTCAGAAGGCAGAAGATGAAAACAAAGACATAGAAGCCAGTAGACAGAAAAAATGCTACTTTTTATATACCCCTTAGATGGGAAAGTACAGTATTTTCTTCCATAGGAGCATCAAGATAGAGACCTCACTTGACTTTTTGTTTTACTGACAAGTGATAGTTATATAAAATAGTATAAATTAGCTAGTCTATGTCAAGGATCAGTGAACTGTTTTTGTTAAGGGCCAGAAAATAAATATTTTAGGTTTGGGGGCCAGACAGTCTGTGTTAGAACTACAGTAGCGCCCTCCCCCCGACCCCCTTATCCCTGGTGTCACTTTCTGAATTTTCAGTTATCTGTCAACTGCATTTGGAAAATATTAAATAGAAAATTCCAGAATATAAATAATTCCTAAGCTCCAAAAGGCACCTCATTCTGTGTAGTGTGCTGAAATCCCTTGCCATCTGGTTCCATCCCACCCAGGACATGAATCTTCCCCTTGTCCAACCTATCCACACTGTCTACACTCTTCACCCGTGAGTCCCTTGGTAGCGCTCTCTGTTATCACATTGACTGTCTTGGTATTGCAGTGTTTGTGTTCAAATGACTCTTATTTTACTTAATTATGGCCCCAAAGTGCAAAAGGAGTGATGCTGGTGATTTGGATATGCCAAAGAGGAAGAGGAAAGGGCTTCCTTTAAGTGAAAAAGTGGAAAGCTCTTGACTTAAGGAAAGAAAAAAAATTATATGCTGAGGTTGCTAAGATCTGCAATGAGAATGAATCTGCTATCCATGAAATTGTGAGGAAGAAAAAGGAAATCTATGCTAGTTTTGCTGTCTCATTTCAAACTTTGTCATAGGTATGTATAGGCAAAAACATACTATACATAGGGTTCCTAACTCTCCATGGTTTCAGGCATCCACTGGGGGCCATGAAACATATCTCCCTCCCTCTTGGATAACAGAGGGACTACCGGACTCAACTCTGACACTGCAATGCAAAACTAGCCATAAACAATATGTGAACATATGTGTGTCTATATTCCAATAAAGCTTTATTTGCAAAAACCTGTTATGGGCTGGATTTGGCCTTCAGTTTGCCAATGCCTAGTCTATGTAAAAAGGCAAAACCTGAATGGGGAAAGATCTGCCTACACCAATCTTAGGCTTTCCCAATCACTGTTTATTTACAAGGCAATTATTGTAATTTTTCAGTGGTTTGTAAAGACTTTAAGGACATTATATATTCTTTCTTTACTCCCTTCAGCAAATAAAAGCTTCAGAGTGATTTTCAGTACCACTGTGCCTTTTTTCCCGTTTTCTGACAGTTATGCTGATGTTACTGTTTTTTAAATAATCGATGTTTTTCCCCAGAAGGAAAACCGTACATCTGATTGCCATGTGTTGTTAGAAAGGAAATCAAATGCCCTATGACTAGAGAGTAACACTCCGAAACCAATCTAATCAGGAGGCTGCATGTGATTCAGAAGGATAACATTGGCATTCACTAGACCTTACCCCAGTGAGTCCAAAACTATGCCAGTCAAAGACCTATATGTTCTTTTAATATTTTAAAATTCAAATTTGCTTTTCAATTAGCAGAAGCTCCACTTACAGCTCCAAAAAGAAAGAGTTTGGTTAAAAAACTCATCGTATAGATTCATGGATCCGGTGGGGCCTTGGAGGTCACTGGTCAGCTCACCAGCCCCTGCTGTTGCCCATGCCCACCTCCTGCTTGCACACTTCCAGTGATGGGAGTCTCTCTTTGTCCTAGGGCAACTCATTCCTTCTGTGGTCAGGCCACCATTCAAGATGTTATTTTGCTGCATGGAGACATCTGCCTTCTTTTCAACTTTTTCTGCCCTCTGAGGCCACAGTACCTTACTTATCTATTCACACCTTCCAAGTACAACCCTTCAGGTATTTGAAGATAGCTACCTATCTTTCATTATCACACATTATCAATTTTCTCCAAAGTTCCCATATGACATCATTGAAAAGAAGAGTCTCCAACTCAGATGTCAACAGGGGTGGGACATCTAATGTACACGAATCCAATTTGTTGTGCACGTCGGATGGGATTGAAGTGAGCCAGAGAGGGAGCAACCCAGGAAAGAGGCAGATGCCACTCAGCACCTGCCAGTTGTTGCCATTTGAAAAGTGGCGGCCAGGCCTGCCAGTGATTTTTTTTCAAAAACCTGAAGATCAAGATTTCTATTTGAAATCTCCCAATTTTTAAATGTTGGCAACTAATTCAGAAAAATGTTTAAACACTCTGTAAGCCAAACAAAACACATATGTGGGCCAGATTTGGCTTATGGGAGGCTAGCTTGCAACCTTAAGTTTGGAGTCATCTTACCATCCTGGTCGCCATATTTTGTACATATTCCAGTTTAGTCAGTTGTAACATGAGGAACATGAACCATCAAAAAGAAAGAGAGAATTCATTAGTTGAAAGGAAAACAGAGAACCAGTAACTTCAACACAGATGAGCTCCAGCGATCAACTTTACTGCATAATCAAAATTTAGGTCACAAGTAACATAAGGTTACGTTTTTAACTTTTTAACTATTGTGAACTCTAAAAGTAGAGACATGTGTTAACAGTTGATGTGATAGGTCTACAAGAAAACATAGTGCTCTTGTCTAAAAGAGGTCTCCTAAAAATGGGAATAAAGCGCTAAAGAAATATAATATAAAATCATTACCAGACCATATGTTTGTGATATAACATGAGGCATTTTCTTGCCAGGATATCACATAACCATGGCAAACTGCCACTAGCTTCACTCTCTCTACCATAAAAGAAAGAAAGAGATTCAACAGACATTCTTGGGACAAATTAGGTTAATGTTTTATTATAAGTATTTAATTTATTAAATATATTTCTGGAAGTGCCACCCACCAGAATAAATAATTCCATCATTGGACTGAGAGGATATTGTTTTGTCATTTCTAAGTCTGCCCTTTCTATGACACATTGTTTTATGGATTTTAGAAAGATATATCTGGAATACATTTTCATTACTGTGATTCTTGCCCTCACTAGTGTGTGCTGATTTTCAAGCTAGTTTGCCCTTTTCCCCTTATTTCCTCAAGAATCTGTTAGGAACTTAATTGAAAGAACAAAATGAACTCTAAGCCCCAGGTGGACAGTTCCTGGTGTTAAGGTTAATCCACCAGCACCTTATCTAATTGCTGACCTCTTCCTCATGGGAAGGGTGGTCTTCAATGATCTGCAAGTCAGTCACCACCAGAAAAGTTTATTTTGTCCAAAGCCGGCAGCTCATAAAGAAGGGAGGAAAGCCAAGTTGCTTTGTGGAATATCCTTTATGCTACAAATTTATTAATTTCAAAATTGCTTCTTCTTTGCAGTTCAAGCAAGCATCTTTAAAAAACAATTTCTGGGAAGAGAGTTCTGAATACATATTACTGAAGACAATCACTAAATTAAAAATTTGAACATACCTTCTAGATTTATATTAAGAAGCTATTTCAAATAAAATATTGAAGTTGTTTTGTAGAGACAAGTTGATTTTAGAACCAGAAAGTATTTTGTTATTGCTGGAGTTAGTCTTTGTGATTATTAAAAATAAATGCATGCCAAGGGAAACTATTTCCCCTTAGTTAATATAGATTAAGAGATTTTATACACGTAGGGACTGAAATGAGCCAGAGAGGGAACACCCCAGGAAAGAGGCAGATACCACCACCCAGCATCAGCCAGTTGTTGCCACGTGAAAGTGTGGGCCAGGGTTGCCAGTAAATTACCTGCTTCTTTAGCCAGGCATTAAGTAAAGCAATATCATATATAGTTGTAATATACAGTCTATCTATCAGGTGAAATCTAGAATTAGTAACACTGAATCTGCAACTTAGAAGGAAAAGTACTCATCTTCTTGTTTTATGTTAACACTCCTAATGAGACTTAATCAAGAATAATAAACAAATAAAATCCAGACAATTGGAAAAGATAGACCAAGCGTCCTTATTTTCACTTTACTGCTACAATAAATCTAGCTACCTCATAAATTCGCCCTTTTAAGGATGCTCACAGTCCTTGAATGTTTAGATCTTGCTTTCCAATGTATGTATTTAGTTTAACCAACTATGAAATGTAGCACAGCTACTTCTTACAAACTTTGATACCTAAAGAAAGTGTATTAAGCTATACTGTATAACTTCTATCTCTTTGAGTACCACCTTCCAATTTTCTTAATCTCAGACTCTGTAGTCATTCTTACGCTGCTTACGAAACAGTTACTATCCTGAATGAAAGTGTTTCAAAAGTCTTATAAAGGATAGGCCATTTTAATGTATAACTGACAAGGATTAGTAGCAGTTTACCCACATGCTTCTCTGCATTTTGGATGCCCATTATTCTAATGTACCTGACACAGAATAAACCATGACATTGGCTATCTCACCTGCTACTGCCAAGACATAACTTATAAACACTAGCAGAATTTCTGATCCAGACAACAATGTCATTGGAAAGGACCTAAACTAGTGTCTCTATAGTTTTATATTGTGCATATATGTATATTTATTATATCATATGTATGTATGCATATATACAAATTATATATTTATATTACATTAATTCAAAAGTTATGCTCTGTGAAATACCTTGTTAGAAGGATAAAAAGACAAGCTATGAACTGAAAAAAAATTGTAAACCACATATCTGACAAAGGACTCATATCTAGAATATGTAAATAACTCTAAAATTTCAACAGTTAAAAAAAACAATTCAACTAGAAAGTGGGCAAAAGACACAAGGGAACATTTTATCACAAAAGATATACAGATGACACAGCAACAAAGCCCATGAAAAGATGTTCGACATCACTAGCTATTAAGGAAATGCAAATTGCAAATTAAGTCCATTATGAGGTATCACTGTATACCTATTAGAACAGCTAAAATAAAAAAAAAATAGAATACCAAATGCTGATGAAGAGGCTGAAAAACTGGAAAACTGCATCTCTCATACATTGTTGATGGAGATGTAAGAGCACACAGCTATTTGGGGAAATTTTTTGGCATTTTCTTTAAAAAAGTAATTATATACATATGTAACAAACCTGCACGTTGTGCGCATGTATCCTAAAACTTAAAATATAGTAATAATAATAGAAGTAATTTTATACTTATCATACAATGAAGCAATTTCTCTTCTGAGCACTTACATTAGAGAAAGAAAAACTAATGTCCATACAGAGACCTGTACACAAATGTTCATGGCTGCTTTATTTTTAACACCCTCAAACTGGAAGCAACCAAAATGTCCTTCAATATGTGAGTAAACAAACTGTACTACCTCCATAACGAAATACCACTCAGCAATAAAAAGGAATGGACTGTTGATATATGAAATGACTTGAATTGGTTTCAAAGAAATGCTCAATGAAAGGAGTCAATACTAAATGGCCTCATACTGCATGATTCTGTTTATATAATATTTTAAAAGTGACAAAATTGTGGAGCTGGATAACAGATTAGTGGTTGCTAGGAGTCAGAGATGGTGGTGGGGTGGAGGGTGAATGTTATTATAAAGGGGTACTATGAAGAAATCTTTGTGCTAATGTACTAGTTCTGTATCTTGATTATGATGATTGTTGCACAATATATGCATGTGATGTCATAAAATTATGCATACACATTGTACCCAATGTAAATTTCCTGGTTTTGGTATTGTACTATAGCTATTAATATGTACCAATTGGGGGAATTGGGTGAATGGCACTTGGGATCTCTGTGTGCTTTTGCAACTTCTGTGTGACATAGTTTTGATGTGTGTCCCTGCCCAAATCTCATGCTGAGTTGTAATCCCCAGCATTGGAGATGGGGCCCTGTAGGGAAGTGATTGGATCGGGGGGGCAGATGAATGGCTTAGCACCATCCCCCTTGCTAGTATCCTCATGATAGTGAGTGAGTTCTTGTGAGATCAGGTCATTTAAAAGTGTGTAGCACCTCCATCCTCACCCTCTCTTGCTCCTTTTTCGCCATGTGAAGTTTCTGCTCCCACTTTGCCTTCTGCCATGAGTGAAAGCTCCCTGAGGCCTCCCCAGAGACAGGTGTCATCAGGCTTCCTGTATGGCCTGCAGAACCATGAGCAAATGATATCTCTTTTCCTTATAAATTACCCAGTCTCAGGTATTTCTTTATAGCAATACAAGAATGACCTAATACACTGTGAATCTAAAAATAATTGTAAAATCTTTGGAGAGCTATACAGAATTTACAGTCCATATTTTAAATATTCTCAACAAGGTGATAGACTGTTGACTGTTTTTATGAATTTATACCCTGAAAAATATGTTAAAAGCCTTGGTTTTGGTGTCAACCAGACCTACTTTTATTTACTAGGCATAGGTATTAGGAAATTACTGATTGTCTCCAAGTATCAATTTCCTTTCCTGTGAAAAAATAATCATGGAACTAATAATAGTAAAATATCTCACAGTAGTTTTGGAAAAATTAGAATGAGGTAATGTATGTATTACTCTTAGTAGACTGTCCAACATCTAAATATACCCCAATAAATTATAGATAATATTATTTTCTTTCTTTCATTGAACTCTGTACAGTTGGTTAATTTTACTACTTTATCTAAATTGATATGTTTATGAGTTGACTGTCCAGCTGCATGAGAAATTTCATTAGCTTGAGAACTAAGTTATTCCTAAGATGTCATTGGCACCTAGCAAATTACTCCATAGGGTAAATTGTTAATACATACATGTGAAATATACAATCTGCATTGTACAACCCAATGGTCACTTTTCAGTGTCCTATAGAACTTACACCTCAGCATCACTTGACATAGTTGACCATTTCCACATTTTAAATCTTTTTTGTTCTTTTTTTATGACATCCTTTTCTCTTGGTTTCTCTTTTACTTTTCTGGCTAGTTCTACTCAATCTCCTTTGCTTCTCCCCATCTCCCCCAACCTTTTACTATTGGAATTCCTCTGTGCTCTTATCCTAGGCTTTTTCCTTCTTTTAACTAAGGATGTTCTTCCTAGATGATCTGATCAGTTGCCAACATTCCTATTATTATCACTATGATGGTAACATCCATATTCATATCTCCAGTTCACATCTTGCTTCTGAGTTCCTACCCATCCAAATTTCCACTGAGATGCCTTAAAGTCACCTTGAAAACAATATGTCTAAAACTGAACATGTATCACTTAGGCTTCTGGCAGGAAACAGAAGAAATTTTAATGAAGGATCTATCTGCAAAATTATAGACAAGGTGTAGAAAAAGAAACAAGGGTTGACACATTGCTGTAGGCCTGGTAACAGCAGGAAACTATTAGCACTACTGGGTCTAAAAGGCAAGGAAAGGAAGTTATTATGAGAACACACACACACACACACACACACACAGAGAGAGAGAGAGAGAGCCAGAGAGAGAGCGAGAGCTGTGTAAACAGGGCTGTCTGATAGTGGTACGAAGCCAACCCAACCCAAGATAATCCTGCAGAAAGAGACTCAATGGAAGAAATATCTAGGTCTCACTTTCCTGTCTTCCTTTGATCTTTTTCTTCTGAACCATTCGCTGAAACCAACTCAAAGCATGAGGGCGAAGAGGCCCATTGATGTAAGACAAGGTCGTTCACCTCCAGTAGAGAGTAGAGTGGCAAAAGGAGTAAATTCAATCTGAAAGAGCAAAAGGAAGCTATCTGGCACAGAAATTGGGGAGCATAAACCACCTTCATTTCCAGTATTACCCAGGTCCAGCTGCATATCTAGTACTTCCTTACTCAGCAAATGTTGCTATCATCTACACAAATCCTAAAGCTGAAATCCTAAGAGTCATCCTGATTTCTGTTTCTTTCTTTTCCTATATTCACATCAGACACTGTAGATACAACTCAAATATATTACAAATTTGACCAGCTGTGTCCATTTCTATTGCCACCACTCTGGTTTGAGCTCCCATAATGTCTCTTTTGGACTACTGAAATAGTCTTACCCTGTCTCCCTCATTACATCTTGCCTCTCTCTATTTCGTTATCTGCACGCATTCAGTGTGATTATGGTGGGCAGAATAATAGCTCCCAAAGAAGCCCACATTTAATCCCTGGAATTTAATAATATGTTACATTGTATACCAAAAGGACTTTGCAGGTGTGGTTAAATTAAGGACCTTGAGATTGGAGATTATGCTGGCTTATCTGGGTAGATTCAATCTAATCATGGGTCCTTGAAACTTAATGACGTTTCCTGGCTGTAGTCAGAGGCTAAATGCGACGCAGAAGAATGGTCAAAGAGATGAAACATTATTGGTTTTGAAGATGAAGTAAGAGGGACATGAGTCAAGGAATTCCAATGGTCTCTGAAGCTCAAAAAAACAACATTGACTTCTTGCCTAGAATCTCCACAAAAGAACACAGCCCTGCCATCACTTTGCTTTTAGCCCATTGCAAGCCATGTCAGACTCCTACCACACAGAAAGGTAAGATGATAAATTGGCATTCCTTTAAACCACCACTTGTGGTAATTTGTTACAGCAGCAATAGTAAACTAATATAGTAATCTTGCAAAAATCTCAAGTTTGATCATGTCATTTCACTGCTTTAAAACCTTCAAATGCTTCTCATTGCACTGACAAAATCTAAAATTCTTAACACGAATCTTGTACCATCTTTCTGTGTCTCCCTCGTCACCTCATTGCAGACGCTCCTCTCTTCAGCAAGTGTACTCCAGTCATGCAAGACTTCTTTACCTCCCTGAACAATGTCAAGCCTTGTTTTGCATTAGGGTTCTTGCAACCTCAGCAACATCTAGCTGACTACTCTACCTAACTTCACACTCTTTCAATGAGTTAATTGGTTTTTCATTGCTAACAATTTATCACATATTTAGCAACATTGAATAACACACATTTCTTACCTTGCAGTTTCTGCAGGTCAGGACTCTAGGCATGGCTTAACTGGATCCTCTTTTCAGAGTCTCAACACACTGCACTCAAATTATCAGGAGAGTTGCATTCCCATCTGGACAATAGAGGAGAATCTTCTTCCAAACTCACAGAGACACAACCTAGCTCCTGGCAGTTGTATAACTGAGGTCCCTGTTTTCTGGCTAGCTGTTGGCTAGGGATTGCTGTCAATAGCTAACAGCCACCCTTGGGTGTTTGCCACATGGTCTTCTCACAGACCTTCTTGCAACAGGGTAGGTCATTTTTTTCAAGACCAGTAGGAGAATCTTCAGTTGGCTTTGACAGAATCTTACATAATGTAGCATAACCACAGGAGTGACTATTCTACCACCTTTGCCATATAACATAATGTAATCAAGGGAGGGGTTCTCGTATCATATTCACAAGTCTTGCCCACACTCAGGTAAAGTGTGTGATTCAGAGTACATATAGCAGTGGGGCAAGAAAGTCTTGAGGGTCTGGGTGTGGTGGTTCACACCTGTAGTCCCAGAACTTTGGGAGGCCGAGGTGGGCAGATCACATAAGCTCAGGAGTTTGAGACCAGCCTGGGCAACATGGCAAAACCCTGTCCCTACCAAAAATACAAAAAAATTAGCAGGGTGTGGTGGTGTACATCTGTAGTACCAGCTACTTGGGAGACTTGAGGTGGGAGATCGCTTGATCCTGGGAGGTGGAGGCTGCAGTGAGCTGTGATTGCACCACTGCACTCCAGCCCAGATGACAGAGTGATACCCCATCTAAAAAATATATATATATAAATAAATATAAAGAAATAAATAAAAAGAAAATCTTGGAGGGGTCATTTTAGAATTCTTCCTATAGGCTAATAACTGTATCTTCTTTAGATATTAGTTTACACATAATATTTTCAGAGAAGGTTCTTACAGTGTTCCTGCCTTCAGCTTGTTAGGTTTCGGACTGTCAAATCAGTCTCATGCAAATGAGAGATTTTACCCTGTAACGAGTTTTACTAATAATTTCTAGAATGCAAATAATCACAACCCACAGACAAATCAGAGAAGTCGGAGATATCTCATGTTCCTCCCAGAGCCTTCCTCCCCTCCTGCATCTGATATACACCCTTGAGCCCAGAATATTAGGCATGATCTACATGCGAGACTTCTATTTAAGTTATGAAATATCTCCATTGTATACCCTCAGAGATATGTACATTCTCTGGGAATCTGTCACTCATAGACCCCTAGAATTTAGGTTTGTTTGTTGACCATAAGCGATCCTAAACCAGAGACATTCTTCTAAATATATTCCTTAGATTAGGACTCTCCTACTAGCAAATACCATTGGTCTAATTTCATGAAAGTCTAGTTATCATGTGTAAAAGAGATCAGAAAACTAGAAGCATCACCTGTCTTAACTCTTCCCCTCAGAAGTAATGGGAGGAAAAATAAAACATAAGCTGTGTGTCAGTGTCCCAGAGCTGCTGTAACAAATTCCCACAAACTGGGAGGATTAAAACTCCGAGTGTTTCGGAGGCTGGAAGTTGAGAATCATGGTATCAGCAGGGCCACATTCTCCCTGGGGGCTCTAGGTAGAACAATAATTCAGTAATTTATTGATGATCTCTCTGTCTCAAGGTTTTCAACTTAATCACATTGAAAAGATCCTTGTTTTCAAATAAGGTAACATTGATAGGCTCTAGGGATTAGGATGTGGATGTATCTTTTGGGGGCCACCATTCAACCTACTACAGGCCAACTGCTGGAATGCTTTTCCCCCGTGGGTGTCCCCATTACATGCTCCCCAGCATCCTGCACTTTTCTTGCATAATTACAACTGTGGTTACTTGTTCAATGTCTGTTTAGGTCCGCTGAAGCACACCCTCCTCACAGGTAGAACTGTGTCTGTCTTACCCACAACTGTGAATAAGCACACAACATGATAATTTGCCTATATTAGGCACATAATAAATGGATTTTTTTCCCCAAAGAAACTGGATCATAGTTTTCTCTTTCACTTTGTTGGGTAGAAATAGCCCAAGTCATTGGTAATGAAAGTTGTTTCTACTAATTGTGAACTTGTCATCTCTCAAGCTGTCTCAGTTTTTAAAAAGCATTCATATTTTGAATTTCAATGAATGTATTTCTTTTCTAATGCATTGCTTTACCTTAGAAATTTCAGGCCAATCTCACTGTATAAGAGGCATATCTATGGTGCAACTCCTTTGTTAAAGTCCATGGTATGTAAATGTGGCACAAGAAACCAAATCCACATTAACAGCTGAGTTTTGTGAGGCTGACAAGACTCCTTTTTACAATAAGAATATTTAATACTTTCAAATCTGAACTCTGTCTTCCTACATGCTGTGTCTTATGCAATGCAGAATACAGAAGTGGTGCTCAGCAAGTTACAAACAACCACAATAATGATTGTAATGCATACCGTAATATTGTTACTAGAAATATAATTATGTGAACAGACAATTTACAGAAGAGAAGGGACCTCAGAGCCCTTGTGTTGTCAATCTGGCCTCTCTCTTAATCAGGGATAATAATAATAAAAATATCCCCCCCCATCTGCAGTCAGCTTGCCAACATAGCAATATTTATAGAACGCTGTATATAACAATGGCATCTTCATGCAGATGGATTAAGATCGAGGAGCAGCTGCAGATGGCTGTTCATTAACTGAAAGAAGAAAATGAATCTGAACAAAGGCACTTATGGAACCCCTAATTTATTAGTGCTGTAATAGGGAAGAGGAGCTCTCTGGAATGGTAACTGAGTGAGACTGGTAACAAAGATAATTGTGAAAACAAGACACAGATTCAGTACAACATACAGGGATATTTTATTGCCTGTAAGGTCTGTAGAATTACAAGGTCAACAGATATCAGACTCAACATCTAATCCTTCATATTTATTAATTACATTCAACAAAGCACTTGCCATCAATCTACAGACTGAAGCTAGATTAATATTCTGTCACAAAAACCTGCTTAATTCATCCAGAGAAAGGTACAGATTTCTTTTACTTCTCTGCTGTAGTTAATACGGCGCACGAGCATGCACGCGCGCACGTACACACACACACACACACACACACACATCCTTTACACAAAATTCTTCTTGACTGTGGGTCTCAGGATAACTTCTTACTCATTCCAAGATAACAAAATGTCTGACATGAAGAAGATGCTTCATGGCTGTTTTGTTTTCCTCCCATGTCACAGCTGCCACATGACCAAGAGAAGGGCTGACTACCTCACGTAGTCAGTTTGGTTTCTACTCTTCAAAAGAGTCCATAAGTATCTAAAAATCTGCTATTAGAAGGGATCTATGTCAATGATTTTAAAAGTAGGTCTTCCACAAAAACAAAACAAAACAAAAATGTTCATTAACAGGCAAACAGTTAAACACATTGTGATGTTTCCACACAATGGAATATTACTCAGCAATGAAAAGAAACAGACAGCCAGGCAGGGTGGCTCACACCTGTAATCCCAACACTTTGAGAGGCCAAGGTGAGCAGATCGCTTGAGTCCAGGAGTTCATGACCAGCCTGGGCAACATGGTGAGACCCTATCTCTACAAAAAATACACACACACACTCACACACACACAAATTAGCCAGGCATGGTGGCACATGCATGTAATCCCAACTACTTGGGAGACTGAGGTGGGAGGACTGCTTGAGCCCAGGAAGTCAAGGCTGCAGTGAGCTGTGAGCATACCACTGCACACCAGCCTGGGGGACAGAGCAAGACCCTGTCTCAATAAATAAATAGGAACTGACAACTGCTATAACATGCAGCAACATGGATGAATCTCAAAATTATCAGGCCAGGCACAGTGGCTCACACCTGTAATCCCACCACTTTGGGAGGCCTAGGCAGGCAGATCACATAAGGCCAGGAGTCCGAGGTCAGCCTGGGCAACATGGTGAAACCCTGTCTCTACTAAAAATAAAAAAATCTGCTCAGCGTGATGGTGTGCGCCTGTAATCCCAGCTATTCAGGAGGCTGAGGCTCGAGGATCATTTGAATGCAGGAGGCAGAGGTTGCAGTGAGCCGAGATTGTGCCACTGCACTCCAGCCTGGGCAACAGATAGAGACTCTGTCTCAAAAAATAATAACAATAGTAATAATAAAAGTATTATGCTGAGCAAACAAACGCAAACCCAAACAGTACATACTGTATGATTCCACATAGAAAATTCTAGGGAAAAAAAAAACTCAACTATAGTAATTGAGAGCAGATCAGTGGTTGCTTAAAGAGGGGTGGGAAAATTTTCTGGGAAGGGTTTGATGAAATGGTTCTTGACCTTCATTATGGTGCTGGCTCCATTTGTCAAACTCATTGAACTGTTCATTTAAGATGAGTTTATTTACTGTATGTAAGTTATAACTCAAAAATGGGCTTTTAAAACTTTTTTATTCAAATATGTGTAAGAAATATTACATCTTATAGTCTCATCTCGGGAATTCATAATTAATCAATTAAAGACTCTTAATCCATTAAAAGCAATTGAATCATTCTTTTAGTGACTTTTCAGAGAAATCCTATGGTGTAGAACATAGAATAACTGTTGATTTCCACATTTTCTGAATCTATGTTACTTTTAATCTGTCTTATTTTAAAAATGAAATCCTATTAACATACTTGAATTATTAATTTACAAGTTATGTGACCATAGGCAAGTCACTTAAAGTATTTGTATGCCAGTTTCCTTATGTAAAAAAACGAAATATTAGTCCCTATCACATAGATGTAGTGAGGACAAAATGAGCTAATGTTTGCAATGCGTTTAGAACAGTGATAGGGACAAAGTAAGTGCTCTGCCAGTGTTAGCTTCTCTTGGAACACATTTGGAAGATGGAAAACCTCCAGTCAGTCATCCACTCAAGCACAGAGTCAGGATACATGTTATTGTCTTATGCATCCCTGAAAAAGAGGGGAAAGGTGAGCTATGCTTCTTAATTAAGAACATGCAGATGCAGATGATCTGTACATGAAGTAATGCATAAGGATGCTCCAGGGAGGGAACTGAACTTGAGTTGATGCTCTAGCTCTGAGGCATCTTTACTGGCTGTGTGACTTGGAAAGTTATGCTATGTCCTTAACCTCGGCTCCCCCTCGTTTAAAAATAAGGTGGCCATTGCAACAGTAAGTAGATTTGTGATTAGAGCTGGAAATGACTGGAAAATAAACTGTATTTTAGTGGGCAGGTTGTTGACAAAAATATTCTGGGATTAGATAGTGTTGATGGTGGCATAATATTGTGGCTATACGAAAGCTACTGAATCGTACACTTTAGATGGTTAAAATGGTAAATTTTATGTTATGTGAATTTTATCTCAATAAAAACACAGGGTGGTTGAACTATATAATATTAAATATCCCTTATAGTATACTCATTCATTAAATAAATCTCTACTGAGCTTCTGATGCATAACAGGCAATGTACTCTACCATCATGACACAATAATGAACAAAAAAAGACCTGGTCTCTAACCTCATAAAATTTATATATTAGTAGCTTCCCTTTTAATTGGTGACCTTAATTTAAAGTACTACACTTTGTTCCCTTTAAGTCAGTGGATAATTCAAGAGTTTTGTGCTACAGCATGAGTTATTCGTTGATATTATAGATGGAAAGAATAAAGAGAAAGGGCTAACATTTAATAACCTCAAGGAGCAGTCACTGTGCACTTGCCTGTGCCTATGTCATTTAATCCTCACCATGTTTGCATAAAGTCAGTGTTATCTTGCACTCTGTGCTGATAAACTAAGCCTTAGGGAAGTTCAGTAAATCTTTCTTACATTATAGATTTTCTAAATAGTGTAGCAAGGGGTTGAAATACATAAACCCATAGAAGTCATATAATTTTCTCCTGTAATATTATTTTTATAAGTCTAACATGATTTATATAAAATAGGGAGTGCACATGACATTAAGATTTACAATATTTCTGTGAAGTTTGGCCTCACTGTAACAGATGCCAGCAAACAGTGCTAACAAGGTGAAGAAAACTAATTAGAGGCCAAAGAGCCAGTAATGCCTACAGTAATGTATTTTGCGGTATTTATATACTCAAGATACTTGTTAATATTCAAAACCATTGTATAGAATATCTGTTTGTTTTCATCTGAGGAAGGATATTGTTATAAAATGTGCTGAGCAACTTCTAAAAGACTCTATCATAACAAAATCTTGTGGTCATCATAGTTTTTAAACACTGGATATTGGGCACTCTCTAAAATAAAAAAAGATACTTATAGAACATGTTCCCACAGTCATTTACAGTTTGTATGCACACATCAGGTAACTACTGAAATGTAACTGGCAAGGAAATTGAAGACAGATTGGATAATAAAAGATACTGAGGAAAGACAAACAGAACATTTACTTTGGTCTGTAACTTGCTGACACAAAACTATTGCCACATTTAAGTTATATTATCAACTGGGGTGTTTGGTGGGTTAAAATTTTTGCTTTAATCAGCAGTTCAGTTGATATAAAGGTTGAATTAACCCTTCTCAATTCAATCATTTGCTTATTAGTTTGAAAGGAAATTTTCTAAACAAAGCACCGTCTCTTGCTCTTTTTCCAATTCTTATATATTACTTCTTTTTCTTCCTTAATTTCTTGTCTACAACTGCCATTATAATGTAAAAGAAAAATGGTGACAGAAGCATATTTTCTGACTTTAAGTGACATGCTTCTTATGTTCCCCTCTCCTCCTCCCCTTCCCCTCCCCAAGAGAGAGTTTTGCCCAGGCTGTAGTGCAATGGCGCGATCTCGGCTCACTGCAACCTCTGCCTCCCGGGTTCAAGCAATTCTCCAGCCTCAGGTTCCCCAGTAGCTGGGATTACAGGTGCGTGCCACCATGCCCAGCTAATGTTTGTATTTTTAGTAGAGACGGGGTTTCACCATGTTGGGCAGGCTGGTCTCGAACTCCTGACCTCGTGATTAGCCAGCCTCGGCCTCCCAAAGTGTGGAGATTGCTTCTTATGTTTTAATGTTTCTTTTCATTTTTGGGGGAGATATCCATTATAAACTGTCCTTCTAATCTCAGTTTGCTAAGAAATTTTCATGAATGAATGTTCATATTTATCTAATATATTTTTCTGCATCTATTGATATGAAGATACTGGGTTTACTCTTTTATTCTGTTAATATTTTGTATTTCATCAACATACATTCTGAGCCTGAACCACCCTCACATTCCTGGTATCATACTGGTATCATGCTGAGCCTTATTTATCTCTTCAGTCTCACCTCTTGCCAGTTCCCCTAACAATTATGATCAGCAGTCTGGTCCTACTTGAATTTCTTTCAGTTCTTTGAGTATATTTACTGTCACACCATACCGGATGTTTCTCCTCTCTGGAATAGTCTTCTGGGCTTTTCTCTCCCCCAAAACACTGATGTTGTCAAAGTATTATCTACTATCCTCAACAACAATTTTTGGAGGAAGGTTTATTTTAATACCTTCCATTCTCCCACCCCCTATAGCACCCACTATCCTTTCGGAGCACTTACTTTAAATTGCAATTACCTGTTTAGTTTTCTTCCTTTTGAAATATGTTGTATAATCCATAGGAGAAGATATTAGGTATTTTTCACTAAAATTAACCCTAAACCCCACAAAGGATCTGGAGCAGAGTGAGAAATCAATAAATGTGAAACAACAAAGGAAGAAAGGAAGGAAGGAAGAAGGGAAGAAAGAAAGGAAAGAAGGAAGGAAGGAAAGAAGGAAGGGAGGGAGGGAGGGAGGAAGGAAGGAAGGAAAGAGGGAAAGAAGGAAGGAAAGATGAGAGGGAGGAAGGATGGGAGGGAGGAAAGGAAGGGATGGGTCAGGGTTGGGGAGACAAAAAGACTACCTTCAATCCAACTTAAATTTCTGAGATGTTTCTGAATATGGCATAGTTTGAATTTTTGTTAATTAGCCTCAGAATTTCCTGGTTTGACTCCAATCATGATATACATATAGAAAAGCATGAAAAGGATTTGTATATCTTGAGCCTATGGACCAAGATGAGGAAGCAACACTGACAGAGAAGGGAAAGAAGGTATTTCCACAAAACATTTTCTTCCTACTAATGAAGACAAAACTGTATTTATTTGTCTTGTTCTTTTTATTGTCACACCATGTGAAGGACTGAAAGATATTAATCTTGTTTGCATCCTAAAAACTACCATTTTTCCAATAAGCCTAGCTGTTGTGATATACAGATGCTACGACTTGGGTATTCTGATGCTAGAATGCCGGCAGCACTGGGGTTGTCACAGAAGGATCCTAAGCAACAGGACAAGAGTGTAGGTGCAGGGAGAGAAAGAAAGGGCACAATGACTTCTAAGACCATCTTTGTGAGAATGAAAGTCAAGGGAGCTGAAAGTAAACAAAATATGAGCCTGCTTCTTGAGCTTTTTAAAATTAATAGTTATATTTCAGGGCCAATATCATGTTCTCATTTAGATTCCCTTTCCTTTCCACTGTGTTCTCACTGCTCACCCCCTGGTTTATCCTCCCATTAGTTCATGTCTGATTCTTCCCTTCTAGCTCTTCCTGTCCCCAACTACTTTCTTCCTAGTAACATCTCCAGTTCCATCCCTCTTCCTTCCTCCCCACTTTTATCCAGGTCCATGGGTTTGTCTCCGCTATAAGTCCCAGCAGCCTTGGGGGTTTGTCCAGGACATAACAGGAAGCATATCAAACACTGGTTTGAGCAGATGCGGTGCTTCATCCTCAACCTTCTTTCTTGCCAAGAAGAGATGGGAATGGGAGTTGTCACATTCTTTCATTCCGGTCTTCTTTCTCATTACATTTGAGTCCAGTTCTTCACCCAAGTTTCTAAATGCCATGTTAATCTCCCTGGCATTTCTTGTCCATCTCTGTGCCTCCCACTCTTGTCATCTACATAGTACCAATATGCTAGCCAGACGTCTTATTTCCCTGCCAATTCATCACTTCGAACACAGTACTCAGATGTCCCTGGTTCTTTAACTCCTCCCTACACCAGAAATTGTTTTGACCTCATTGCTTTTGTAAACACCCAAATATCTTTCAGGAGTCAGGAATGTCATAAGCAATTGAGTAAATAAACAAAAACAAATTTAAAAATAGACTCTTTTCCTGTTGTGTGCATGTCAATGGACAGTTAACCTACTTGCTGTACTCTCTTGACTGACTCTACTTCAAGTCTTGATACGCACTTGATGTTGTCCTTTCTCTGTTTGCCTCCCAGGACCTGTAGCATCCTTACCTTGTTGCTGCCAAAAAGATATGCTTTCATACTTTGTGTCCTCTCCACTCATGAACCCACAACATTCAAGTGCTTAACACAATGACTCTCAAATTATACATGTCACTCACTATCGCCCAGGTGTCCCCTATAAATTACATATAATGGGAATCTTCTTCTGTTACACAGAAAAATTAAATGAATGGATTGAATTTTCTCATTTTAATGTTCTTCAATAGGTCTCTTAGTCATAGCACACAGGTAAAGCCAAAACACTCAATGGGTGAAAGAGTAAGCATTTTTTACTTAACCAATGTTTGTGGTTCGGGATTGATATGAAATCAAAAGCAGGTTCCCAAAAAGCAAAAAGATTTTAAGATTTTTATGGTCACACTATGGTCTCTTGAACATTTTGGAATATGATATAATAAAATAAAATATTAAAAGCAAGCTACTATATCTACTATATACAATATATTATATATAATTAATATACATTTATTACAAATAAATATATTTTTTTGTATATATTTGGTCATCAAATATATACAAAATATAAATAAATAGTCATCTCCCCCAAAACACATACACACATAGAAGTATTACTCATGGAGTGATTCCTTCTGTTAGTGAATATTTATAATTATAATATGTTTTATTTTATAAATGAGAGCAATAATATTCTGTACATCACCCTAATCCCTTTTCTTTTAGCTCATTTTGCTTTCTAGTTTGAAATATAAAATCTATATGTCTTTGATTAAAATAAAAAGTCTCTTTCTGTTAATAATCAGGATTATTAACAGAAAGACAAGGCTAAGACAAGAGTTCCTTTGGAAATACGCCTAGAAAACCCCATGAGTATCTGGTAACACTTAAACCTCCACTAAATATCCTATTATATATTTATCAAATAACGTATCTTTTTACATCAGGCTTTACAATAACTCACTCTGCAGCATTAGGCAGACATATGGATTGTTTAATGACATTGGCATGTCTTGTGTCTCCAGAGGAGTTTGCTGCCATGGCATCCACACACTATAAAGAAATTATAGATGCATTTTTTGAACATGGAATACATTTTGGAATGACAGCCTGGCTCAGTTCCATGATCTAAAAATGAATGATAAAGCTTTTTCAAAGGATCTTGGTTAAGAAAAAAATTCTAAAATACTGATTTACAGAGATCCTTGAACTTGTTTTGGTTACTGTAAATGTAGTATCCCTGGTAACTTATTCTGATAATCTAGGTGATATTCACTATTCTATTTGCTGCTTTTCCAAACCAATAATGTGGAGAGATGTTTATAATAACTGTTTTCCTTAATCCCCTACTGCACTGATAAAGGTGATTTTCTGAAATCAGGAGGAAAAAGGCATTCCAACTAATCACTGATGATAACAATTGCTGGACAGACTTCAGACATCTAAAAATAGGAGGGCATTGGTTCCTACCTGCACAAAAAGAATCTGATGTCAGCAGTGTCAGAAATGCAACCTAACCAGAGCAAAAACACCCCATGGGGTTATATAACTCACTGGAGTCATTTTCAGATTCTGCATGTAAATTGTATAAAACTCCCAACAATAAATCCTCAGGATACGGTGATGATTGGCAGGCTGCAAAGCTTTTTCTTTAGACTCAAACAGTTCTTTGATACAAACAATATTTTTCATTTCAAAGGTAATTGTTGGTAGCCAATAGGCACTGATAGTCCCATGTGGGTAGCACAATAAGTACATTGCCTTTCAAAAAACAGTATTGCTTTTCATGTGATAGAGACCATTTGTGCAATTGAAAACCCATTCAGAAAGAACACTGATAGACAGACCCTTTAAAATTCCAAGATGTAAATGTATTGAAGTGCACTATCAGACAGGCTCTCACACAAAGGCTCCTTGGAAAATAATTTAATATATATATTCAGCTATTATTATATTTACTTTTTTGGCAATAATTTCTTTTCCTTTATTTTCCAATACACTTAGTGGAAAACCTCAGCTGTGTCTCAGCTGAAACAAAGGCAAGCCACAGCCCCTAATTTCTGATTTTATCATTGTCTCAAATGTTTCTTACAGTTCCATTTTTGTTTCTTACCAGCAATTTGTAACTAACCTAAAGGAACCAAGATGAAAAATAATTTTATAACCTATCTTGGCCCAAAAATATCCAGGAAATTAGATTTTTCAAGCAATTCTTGCAAATCATCTCCTTATCTTTCAGGGTGAATTTTGCATTAAATAACAAGTGGATTTTTTTGTTTTTATTTAATTTCTACTAATACTTTTCTGGGAGACAGTAGATCAGTAAGAGAGATCTTCAGTCTGTGAAATATTTTAATATTTGTGCTTAGTGACAGAGCCAAAGAAAACATACAATAATAGAGTATAACAAAATTAACTATTAAAAAACATAAAGCCAAGAATAAAGGATTTTGCATCATTATTCATCAAGAGATTAACTATAATCCTATTAACAAATCAAAGTACATTTCTAAAAGAATTCCCCACTCAAACCTCTGAGTGATCAGTTTTCTAAAAGAAAATCAATTTTTACATTGCATCCAGAATGATCTTTAATGAATCTCTACAAAACTATTGACAGCTATGCAATTAATTAAAATAATAAAATTTCAATGACAATCCTGAGCCATTATTTAATCAATCCTTATAAAATGAAAAATGAAAAGCTTATTTAACTAGGCCTGAGTACCTGGGAAGAACTAGGTCACAATGAAAAAAACAGTGAAGAAATCCATTTTTTTTTCTGCATTGAGTCACTGTATGACCTTCAACTAGTTGCTTAATCTTGGGGTTTGTGACTTTTTTTCTGTAAATGTGAGTCCTAAATCAACAGAAATGACAGACAGATAAAGATATCATTTTCCTAAAAGCACCTACAACTATTGAGAAATTCATGCACTAAAATTAAAAATCTGTATTTCAAATTAATGCTTTTATTCACCTATGTGCTAGGAAGGCTTCAGGCTCTCTAACAAATGTATAAATTTCAAATGTAATTTTTTTATGGGTGTCTTAAGGCTCTTTCAGTTTTCCCGCCCCAAGATGTTTTTTAGCTAATCTAGGATATTTTCGGTATCAAAATTATCATCATCATCCAATAGTCATCTAGGAACTTTGGCTAAATTCCAGAATGCTTGTTAATGACAACACTATAATATTGCCTTATATATGCATATCACTTTGCAATGTACAATCTGATATGGTTTGTCTGTGTCCTCACCCAAATCTCATCTTGAATTGTAGTTCCCATAATCCCACATGTTGTGGAAGGGACCCGGTGGGAGGTAATTGAATTATAGGGACAGTTTCTCCCATGGTATTCTTGTGATAGTAAGTTCTCATGAGATGTGATGGTTTTATAAGGGGCTTCCCCCTTCGCTTGGCTCTCATTCTCTCTCCTGCCACCTTGAAAGACATGTTTGCTTCTCCTTCCACCACGATTGTAAGTTTCCTGTGGCTTCTCCAGCCATGTGAAACTGCGAGTCAATTAAACCTCTTTTTTTTTTTAATACATTACCCATCCTTGGGTATGTCTTTATTAGCAGTGTAAGAATGGACTAACACACAATATAATTTACATAATCCTGTCTTGGCTAGTGAAATATTCTGTTTTAAGGGTGGCGGTACACATGCTATGACCTCAGTCCTTCTTAGCTTCTTGTTCAAGGTCTGAAGCTACAAGCCCATCCTGCAATCACTCTGTAACCCAGCCTGTGGAGTTTGCCATCCAGAGACAGGAAAATGTCTGGGATTTTGACACTTGAGCCAAATCATATGATTCATCAGTGTAATCATCTTCATTAGGTAGAATCACATACATCTGACTACAGCAGAGTGTGAACTCCAATGTCCATAGGGATCAAACTACCTAAAATGGGTGAAGTGAAACTGGCATTGGAGAGACAATAAGGAGGGTTGGGGATTGTGTCAAATCCTGATTGTTCTGATTGTTACCATGTGGGAACTCAAGCCTCATAGTAATCTCTGCAAAATTCTCAAGAAAAACGTGAAATCTGTATACATACATGTAAAATATCCAAATTTTTAAAGAGAGAAATCCTTTAAAATATTTTGAAAACTCTATGAGAGACCTCTGTGTTATGATGTAATAATTGTGCAACTGGAAGTCTCACATTATCAAAAAGTTCATGATAAAACAGTTATTTAAATGGGTATCGGTTAAATGCTCGATAATTTCAGTCTTTCTATAACACAAGTCTTTACCCTGTAGGAATTTCTCTATAATGGTTGCTTTTATAATTATAAGTGTAGTGTTGTGATACCTAAACATCAGAGAGCATTGACTTCATATAGACTTCTGCTTGAGAGCAACATCTTCTATCACCATAAGCACTATCACTGAAACAGTACTTCTTAACATTTCTGTCACTTTCCTCAATGCTGTTAAGATAAACAATGCAAAAAGTCACTCAAACAAAAGAGATGGGTTATTAACACAACCACACTGTACACTGGTTGCTCGTGATTTTTATCTCATTAAAACCTGAAACACATATACTCTACTAAAATATGCACAAAAGTGGTCTTTTTATTTTCTATAACTGTTTTCATTTTACTCTGAGACATCCATTCCAGTTGCAGAAAAAAAATACTTCAAAACTTGCCAATTACAGTGTCTGAAGCCCTTTAAGTTGAAAAATGCTATCTTTTGATTTGAACAGTTTTGTTTTAGAAATTATGAAGAGAATTGCAAGTTCAATCCCTACCACATCTGCTTCTTTCCTCCTACTCACAAGGCAGTTTCTGGTTTCAAGGGATATTTTTTATCCCGATGGTGGGTGGTTGGGACTAAGGGTCTTCACACTCATTTCTGGGCCTCCATTGACCCACACGGATGTCCAGCTTTGGTGCCCAATGATGAAGTACTCACTTAGTGAAATTCATATTCTGTTTCTTAGGCATATATAAAGCTTGTTGAGTAGTTAGCCGTCACTAACTAACTGGGTAGTTAGCCAACACTCCGTGCTGACAAAGCCCTACTTCTATTATTATTATTGTAAAATGTACATATAATAAAATTTACCATTTTAACTATTTTAAAGTGTACAGTTAAGTAACATTAAGTACATTCACCGTGTTAAGTAACATTAAGTACGTTCACTATGTTATGTGATCATCACCACTCTCTATTTCCATAACCTTTTCATCATTCTAAATAGAAACTGTGTATTCAATAAGCATTCACCACCCAATCCCTCTCTCTGCAGCCCCTGACAACTACCAATATATTTTTAGGTCTCTATGAATTTTTTTATTCTGGATATTTCATATAAACTAACCATATTATATGTGTTTTTGTGTGTGTGTCCGACATATTTAACTTATACAGTCTTCAAGAGCCATCCATGTTGTGGCATACATCAGTGCTTCATTCTTTTTTGGCTGAATAATATTCTAGCACATGGATATATTACATTTTGTTTATCCATTCATCTCTTGATGAAAAATCGGCTTGTTTCTACCCTTGGACTATCGCAAATAAAGCTGCTATCAATAATTGTGTACAAGTGCCTGTTTGAAAAGTTGTTTTCAATTCTTTTGGGTCTATTCCTAGGAGTAGAACTGCTAAGTCATGTAGTAATTATTTCTTTACCTACTTCTATTCTTGCTGGCATGCAGATCATCTCATTCTCAGCCCCTTCCTTCATCTCACCTCTAATTAATGGTGTCCAACCCACAGTTTTCACTCTGGGGACACTTAGTTTCTTATTACAGAAGCTTTCTGACAGGCCTGTAAGCTTGAAACTCAGCCTTCTAGATAAGGTGTCCCCAGCCCCCAAGCTACAGATGGGTACCAGTCCATGGCCTGTTAGGAACCAGGCCACACAGCAGGAGGTTAGCAGCGGGAGAGCAAGTAAAGTTTATCTGTATTTACAGCTGTTCCTCACCATTTGCATTACTGCCTGGATAAGCAGAGCACTAGATTCTCATAGGAGTGCGAATTTTATTGTGAACTGTCATGTGAGGGATCTAGGTTGTACACTGCTTATGAGAATCTAATGCCTGATGATCTGTTACTGTCTCACATCACCCACAGATGGGACCATCTAGTTGCAGAAAAACAAGCTCAGGGCTCCTACTGATTCTACATTATGGTGAGTTGTAAAACTATTTCATTATATATTACAAAGTAATAATAATAGAAATAAAGTTTGCAGTAAATGTAATGTGCTTGAATTATTCTAAAACCATCACTGCCCCACCTCCTGACCTGGCCCTGGTTCATAGAAAAATTGTCTTCCACAAAATCAGTCCCTGGTGCCAAAAAGGTTGGGGACCACTGTTCCAGACGAAGAGAGACACTTAGATATTTCTGAATCTCTTGTGTACCGCATGTATACAAGATATAAAACCAGCAGAAGTCTCTGAGGCTCAAGCCTCACCTTGTTCTTTCTATGCTATTTTACTACTCCTGAGCCTCATTGGAAATGCTGGGAAAGTGAAACATCTGTCCTGATTTCTCACACCCTCTCTCCACCTCTCTGAGTATTCTAGCAGGTATTTTTTCTTGTCTCATTACACGTCTCCAATCACCCCCTCAAACCCCACCCCTGCCTCCACCACACACACACATGTGCACACACAAATACACACATAACCTATCTGGATGTTTCTATTCTTCCCACCAGGTAGATTTCTTCAACTCTAATGAGGATAGGACATTTCCATCTAATCTTCATTCTCCATGTCTTTTTTTCCTTCCATAACTGGAAGCACTTTCACTTCTTGGCTGGCAAGGACTTCCATTACATTCTTTCATAAGTGTTATTTGCCCTTGTTTCTTTTTTTTTTTTTTTTTAAGACTTTGTGTTTTTAGAACAGCGTTAGTTTCACAGCAAAACTGAGTGGAAGTTACAGATTTCCTATATATCCCTGCCCCCACACATGCATAGCCTCCGCCATTATCAACATCACTCACCACAGTGGTACACTTGTTACATACAACTGAGAAACTTACACTGACACAACATTATCACCCAAAGTCCATAGTTTATACTAAGGTTCATTCTTGCTGTGCCACATTCTGTGGATTTGAACAAACATACAATTGCATTTATCAATCATTACAGAATCATATAAAATATCTCCACTGCCCTAAGCATCCTCTATGCTCACCTCTTCATCTATTTCTCCCCCTAACCCTGGGCAACCACTGATTTTTACTATTTCCATAGTTTTGCCTCTCTAGAATGTCATATAGGTCATATAGTTGGAAGCATGCAGTATGTAGTCTTTTCTGGTTGGCTTCTTTCACTTAGTAAAAAGCATTTAAGTTTCCACCATGTCTCTTTACAGCTTGATAGCTCATTTATTTTTAGTGCTGACTAATATTCTACTCTCTGGATATACCACAGTTTATTTATTGATTCACCTCTTGAAGGACATCTTGGATACTTCCAAGTTTTGACAATTATGAATAAAGCTGCTATAAACATCTGTGTGCAGATTTTTCTGTAGACATAAGTTTTCTACTCCTTTGGGTGAATATCATGGAGTGCAATTGCTGGATTATACGGTAAGACTATGTTTAGTTTTTAACAAACTACTAAACTGTTTTCCAAACTGGCTATGTCATTTTGCCTTCCCACCAACAATGAATGAGAATTCTTTTCGCTCCACATTCTTTCCAGCATTTGGTGTTGTCAGTGTTCTGGATTTTAGCCATTCTAAAAGGTGTATAGGATTATTTCATTGTTGCTTTTCTTTGTTGACATTGATATGGGGCATCTTCTCATTTGCTTATTTGCCATCTGTATATCTTTTTTGGTGACAGCTCTGTTAAGGTCTCTGGCCCACTTTTTAAAATTGGGTTGTTTGCTTTCTAATTGTTGAGTTTTAAGAGGGTTTTTTTAAAAAAAACATATTTTAGATAAAAGTCTTTTATCATATATATCTTTTACAAATATTTTTCCCTGGTCTGTGGCTCATCTTTCAGTTATCTTGACAGTGTCTTTCCCAGAGCAGAAATTTTGTCCTTCTTTCTTGGAGCTATAATGGCAGAGAGCTGCAGGACATTATGATTTAGGGAGAAAAGGAACACACATGTTTAATATTTTAAATATGAAATTATCTTCTTTTCATATCTAATAACAGTCTATGTAATGCAAATCATGTGCCTTAATTAATTGCTTAATTTACATTCAGTTTGTTTAGGCATTCTTGTACTATAAGAAAAATTGCATGCATTTTTAAGCATCTGGAAATACAAATGTCTGGGAAAATTTCAACTGGGTCCACATGTCCCATACTCATGTTCTCCAAGTTTACCCACAGAATAATGATGACACCTTTCATTGTGCTATATGTAAACTTCTACTACAATCATCCATTTGACACCACTGAGGTTTCAGCCCCAAAAAGCTGTGTTTAAGCTCCTGTCTTGTTCAAGGTGTGAAGCTATAAGCCCATCCTGCAATCACTCTATAACCTGGCCTGTATCCCAAAACACCTTGCACTACATTGATTGGGAGGTAAATCACCAACCAAGTAAAGGTGTTATCAAGAGAGCAGGGAGCTACACAAAGGAAAGAACTGTTAGCAATGTCAAAAGTTCAAGAGAGTAGAGGTATAATGAAGAGAGAAAGAGATGAGTTTTAACTACCATAGTGACAGAAATTACAGCAGAGCAGTAGAGCTTGAAGCCCTAGATAAATAGCTGGTACTTGAAAAAGTTTTTTTATATCAGTCTCCATCTTTGTAGCACTCATTACAGTTGCAATCCATTTAGTAAATAATGGTTTAATGTTGACTTTCCTCAAAATCTTTAAGTTCCGTTAAGTGTAAAGACTGTACCTCCTATACAATATCTCTGTATCTTGTATCCACAGAATTAAACAAGATTCCTGGCACAGAGAAAGTGCTTAAAACATAACTGTGGAATGAATGCAAATTAACAAAAGTTTAAAGACACACAGCCTTTTGGGTATTGTGGGTGAGATTGGAAATTTCAAATGTCAATTATAGTTCTAGTCCCACTATTAACAAGCTGCGTAAGCTTGAACACAGCATTTAATTTCTCTGATCCTTAATTCTCTCTTCCAATAAGGTGATCGGATTTGCTAAAGATCTTTCCATCATTAGTGCCTTTTTACTAAATTCAGCCTTGTTTTTTATTTATGAATGAAAGATTTAGTGTTTTCTTCTTAATAGATACACATTTTATTCACAGCTCTAGGCCATTTATTGCCTGCGTTTAACTTGCTAAAACGAAGATACGTAGTAATTCTACTTCCCTTAACTTTTTGTTTCATTATCTGCTTCTGGGGATTCTAACTTTCTTCATTTCTTTCTCAATTTAGGTCCTCAGCCTTATTTATTTCTAATTTGGTTTCTACTTGCTCTTTTTCCTTCCATGGCAAGGGAGAGAGGAGGAGAAAAGGAAAATAGAATCAGACAACCTACTTTGGTCAGCAGTTTGACTCTTCTGTGATGATCTTTTTCCAATAGTGAAGATTTTCCTCTGGGAACCACACTACCAAAGTGAATTTATATTTATACTTCCTTCAGAGATCATTTGTACTAAATGGCTCTTTGTTGAACCTCTCTCTGGATTTTTCCTGTGTATGCGAACCTGGACTTATGCCAGTTTTCTTAAAGGGTAAGCCCACTTATAATTTTGAACCCTGTAAAAACATTTAAACTAAACAAAGTAATAACATTAAAAAACAAGATTATGCTATAAATATGCAATTTGGTTTCAGAAAGAAATAATTTATAATGGTTAATGATAGAGGCACGCCCCTCTTGATTACATCAAAGCATCTTGTACCACAATCTTCATGGTTTCTTAGCTACTAAAAGAATCTAATATCCAATAGAAACTAATTCAAGAAGCCTTAAAGTAAAGTAAGTTTAATATGCAATCCAGTTCTCTAGTCTCTAATATTATGACACAATGAAATCAGGCTCTGAGTGGGCTCAAAAGGAAGATTCCAATTCCTATTAGAAAATCAGGTAATTAGGGGGAAATGGTTTAAGGGAAAAGAAATCTTGAGATATTGTTGAATTAATTATGTGAGTTGAGTAAAATAAGTTTGAGTTGAAATTATTTTTACCACTTTAGTTTTCCTTTCTTCAGCAGAAGAATTGGAAGGTCACACATGACAGTTCTGGAAGAGAAGATAAGGGAAAGGATTTAAAAGGGAAGAAGTGGTCAGTTTCTTCCTATAGTCCCATAACTCTTAATTATTTTAAGTTTTCCTGCTGGAGAGCATTATTTTTCATTGTAAAAATGTCCTAAGTTCTTGCCAATAAAAAGCACCTATACTTTATAGTCTATTGAATCAAGACTGATATATGGTAAGTAATTTAAAGAAAGATGCATTGAGGCCAGTTTCTAGGAGGGATGCTATCATTTCATGCAAAAGTGACTCTAAAGTAAAATGAACTCTCAGAAATGTTATTCTTTCACTGGCCAACTCCTGTCATCTTATAGTCAGAACCTAAACTTAATGGGCTCATAGGTGGGAGGTTGCTATTGTAGCTATGTTTCCAAGTCTAGGGAGTTATGTTTTTATATTTTACATATTAGGAGAACATATTGCAACACTGAAACTTTTTCTTTCGAATTTTTGCCTGTGTCAAAGAATTGAAGATATAACTTCTGTTGAAATAAAACTACTACCAGAAGGAATCCCACCCCTCACAACCACCAACAACTTTTATTCACGAAGTATTAAGAATTCCTCTATTTTTCTAAAATACAGTGATGGATGCATTTTGGTGAGGTGAAAATTGAAATATAAAATGTTATGATGAATTATAAATACAGATATATTTCATTTTCTCATCTCAATACTTTGCATTAAATATGAGTGTTGTATTTCTTTCAAGTGACTGAGTTAATTTTATCTGAGAAAATAATAAAATGATCATTCATTTCAGAAAGGCATTTTGGAAAAGTTTACACTCATTTCCTTTTTACTTTCATATACATATATAACCTACTCTTGAAGAGCCAAGAAAATGCTTTAAACACCTCATGAACTCCATCAAGTGGAAAAGAACTTAAAGCAAATATTGACATAGAGTAGTGACTTACCCTATTACCTAGTGGGGATAAATTTAAATTAGCTCCTTGAGGGATGAATCAACAAAACCCAATGGTAAGTGAAGTCTGGATTGATCTTTGAGAAACTTGAACTCTGGAGTAGACTTCGGAAATTTTAATGAGACTGAAATGGAAAACGAGATGAAAAGTAGTTTACAAATCATCCATAGTTGTTTGAAAGATGTGTGTGTATGTGTGTCTGTGTGTATGCAGATGCAAAGAGTAAAGGGGAAACAGGAGAAACCAGAGAGTATATCAATTATAACTTAATGGCAAAAAGTCAATGTGATAAAATCTAATAAAATATTAATAATAAAATAAGATAAAGTAACTCAAATGTAATAAAACTGCAAACAGTATCAATCACTATACAAGCTATTCAGAAAAGAGAGTCAGAAAACCAATTTTTCCTTCCACAGAATTTCTTCATGCAGAAGAGTTTGCAAGTTTGATAAGGAGCTCATAAAGTTTCTCATCCTAGCAGGCATCACCAACATTTTACGTTTTCTACAAAGAACAGCATAACAATCATTTGTGACTGGACAAAGAACTCATGGACATATGCCCTTCAATTCCTATATCATGGAAGTCTCTTCATGCATACAAAGATAATTAAAAGAATATTTTTAACAAACTCATTGGATCAAAATTATCATGTGCTTAATATTTATTTATTTATTTTTTTTGAGATGGAGTCTCACTCTGTCCCCCAGGCTGGAGTGCAGTGATGCGATCTCAGCTCACTGCATCCTTTGACTCTACGGCTCAAGCGATTCTCCCGCCTCAGCCTCCCGAGTAGGTGGGATTACAGGTGCCCACCACCACGCCCGGCTAGCTTTTGTATTTTTAGAAGAGATGTGGTTTCTCCATGTTGGCCAGCCTGGTCTTGAACTCCTTTGACTTCAGGTGATCCACCTGCCTCGGTCTCCCAAAGTGCTGGAATTACAGGTGTAAGCCACTGTGCCCAGACAGTCCTAGGCATTTCTAAACTTTTACTTGGTAGTTGAATTTTTAACATATGTGCATAAAATGTTAGGCATACAGCTCAACTAATTTTCACAAAGTGAAGAGGTTCATGCAAACACTATCCCAGTTAGAAAGTAAAATATTATTAGCAGTCAAGGAGTACCTCCAAACTTGTGCTTCCTAACAACTGCCATCCTCCAGCATTCTCCTCAAAAGTAACCAATACTCAACTTTTTTTTACCACTGTAGATAAGTTATGCCTGTTTTTAAACTTAATGTTTGGAATCATACTCTGTCTCTTTGTAGAAGATTTCTTTTGCTTAAAATGATGTTTGTGAGATTGATTTTGTTGCATGTGGATGTAGTTGTTCATTTTCATTATGTATGGTTTTCAATTGTATCAATGTATCATCATTTCTCTAACCACTATGTTGCTGATGGCATTTTCATGGTGCCCAGTTTCCAAATATTAATAATCCTGTTAGGAGCGAGCATTATTCTGCACAAAGTTTTTGTTAGATGCTTATCTAAGAAGGAAATTGGGGAATTTGTGGATAATGCCAAACAATTTCCAAAATGATTTTAACAATTACATTCTTACCAGCAGCGTATAAAGGGTGGCATTGCTCTGCATTTTTGCCAATACTTGGCCTGGGCAGATTTTTAATGTTAGCAATTTTGATGATTCTAAAGTGTTATTGTGATTTCTATTTGCATTTCTCTGATGACTAATGAGGTGGAACACTTATATGTTTATTGGCCCATTCTGATGGATACTAGTTAAGTCTCTTGCCCAGTATTCTATTGAGTTGTCTGTTTTTTCCTCTGACTGATTTTTAGGAATTCTTTATATATTATGCACATGAGCCCCTTGTCAAATTACATGTGTTAGAAATATATTCCCTTACTTGCCTTTCACTTATATAATTTTTATTTGATAGAGATTCTTATTTTTCATGTGTATGTTTATATTTTTCTTTATGGATATGGCTTTCTTTTTAATTTTATTTAAAAAATACTTCCCCACTCCAAAGTCTTGAAGATATTATCCTATTTTTTCTTCTCAAATATCTATTGCTTTTTCTTTCACATTAAGATAGTCAATCTACTTGGAACCCCTTGTTGTATATAGTGTGTGGTAGAGATGGTTTTATTTTTTCTCCATGTAGATATTCAATTGACTCAGTGATGTTTATTTATTGAAAAGGGCGTTTTTTTACGTAGTGCTCTTCAGTGCATGTTTATCATAAATCATAGATAAGATGGTTTGCTTTCTTTATGGGAAGCATTTGTCCATCTTAATGTTAATACCATGCTATTTAACTATTAGTGCTTTATAGTAAGCCTTTACTCCTGATGGAGTAATTTCCCTCACATTTTTGCTTCTTGTTCGAGAGTGTTTTGGCTATTTTTGGCATGTGCACTTTTATATGTATTTTAGACTATCGCTATCAATTTCTCCCATAAAAATTGGAATTATTTTGTTTGGAACCAATAAGTATACTTGAGGATAATTTACATTTTTACAATATGAGTTTTCTAATTTTTGAATAAGGCACACATTAATATTTCTCCATTTATTTATTTCTTCAATTTTTCTAAATTTTCCATATACATCTCTCTCTCACACACACACATACATACATACACAGATATATGTACATAGTATTTGTATCTCTATATCTATCTATCCTCTCCTCCCCAGTGCATACATCAGAAGGCGCATAAGGTAAGTTTTTCTCCTTCTAGTGGTTTTAACTTTGATCACTTAATTAAGGTGGTACCCACTAGATCTTTTCACTTTACAGTTACCATTTATTTCTCTTTACCGTTCATTTCTCTTTTTAATTAATAAGTAAACTGAGAGATACTTGAAGTCTAAGTAAATATCTTGTTCCTCTTCACACATTCACTCAATGGTTTAAACATTCATTTATGATTCCTATCTGAATTCATTTTCAATTATTGTAATATGAAGATGAGCTTTCTCTTCACCTTTATTTTTCTATTTACTTACTATTTGTATGAACTTACGGATTCTTATTTTATTCAATGATAATGACTGTTGTTATTCATTTTGAAGCTAAATTGGCCTCGAGTATGGCCAGTTGGAAGCCTCTTTAAGTTGGCTTTGTGTAGTTTTGACAAGTCCTCTTTATTTTTGAGCACTTCTTTATTTTTGACCTTATAAGATGTTACAAGCTCATTTTTTAACTTTATTGTAATGAATATGGAATTAGCCAAATCTTCAAGGAGCCCTCTTTTCTTTTAATTTGCTAAATTAATTTTTCATTATAATATTTACTGTAGATTCTTTTGGATTTTAATTCATCTATAAATAATGGTGGTTTTCTTTCTTTCTTCCAATCTTTTTTTGTCATTTATTTTTCCTGCATTATAGCATTTTGTAGGATTCCTAATACAGCATAAATCTAAAAAGTGATATTGAGACCTTTGTTTCAGATCTAATTTCAGAGGAAAAGCTTTCAACCTTTCACCTTTAAGGATGATGTTTGCACTATGTTTTTATAGATGCCTTTTAAGATGTAAAAGTTTCCTTTTTTTCCTAATTGCTAAGATTTTAAAAATCATAAATGATAAAGTGTTAGTGTCCTATTGCTACTGTAACAAATCGGTCAAACTCAGTAGCTTAAAATAGTACAGACTTATTATCTTAAAGTTCTGGAGGACAGAAGTCCAAAATGGGTCAGCAGGGCTGCCTTCCTTTTGGAGGCTTTAGAGGAGAATACATCTCCTTGCCTTCCCAGGTTCTAGAGGCTGTCCACATTCCTTGGCTCATGGTCACCACTCCAGGCTCTGCTTTTGTAGTCACATCTTCTCTGACACTGCCCCTCCTGCCTCCTTCTAATAAGGACCTTAGTGATTACATTGGCCTGATCAGGATAATCATGCAGAATATGCCCATCTCAAGATCCTCAAATTAATTACATCCAAAATGCCCTTTTACCATGTAAGGAATCATGTCCATTGGTTCTGGGGATTGAGTTATGTAAATCATTCATTGGAAACCTTATCCAGCCTATCCCAGAAAATAAATGTTTATCAAATAATTTTTCTGCATCGACCGAAATGATCATAAATCACCTTTATTCTATACATGTGGTGACTTCATTTTTAATGTTTTTATGTTAAACAACCTTACTTTCCTGGAATAATTCAGTTTCTTTGTGATGTGTTACCCCTTGTATAGGTTGCTTGGTTTCCATTGATGATATTTTGCTCAGTACTTTGCATTTATCTTCATAAGTAAATTAGCCTGTAATTTGCTCTCTTTTGATGTCCTAGACAGTTTTCTTTTTTAAATACAGTAATTCTGGCCTCAGATAATGAGTTCAAAAGTATTTTTTTTTCTATTCTCCTTAAAGTTTCTGATTTGTCTTTATTATTTCTTTTCTCATACTTTCCATATATTTAATTTTCTTTCTTCTCTAATTTCTTGAGAGAATTTGAGCAAGAAGAATATGTATATTCTTTCTGATATACATATTTAATGCTAAAAATTCCCGCTAATATAACCTTAGATGCAGTGAACAAGTTTTGACCTGCAGCCTTTTCATTATTGTCATCACTAATTCAAAATATATAAATAAAGTCTACTTTTCCTTTTGATATTTTTTACTTATACCTTCTCGACTGTCTTATCCAGAATATATACATTCATACACATATACATACATGTACATACAGATTTTCTCTGTGGGCATATTGATCCAAATTGTTTTTCTGCCATCAGTAGCAGCTTTCTCTATGACTATTTGTAGACGATTACTACATATATATGAATCTATAAATAATATATGGTACTGTTCCTTGTGCTTTCAAATGTGTGTATATATATCATATTGTATCATTTTACTCATTGTTGTTTATATTTAAGTTTTTTACATTTGTTAATATTGGTATGTATAGCTCTAGTTCATGTATTTAAATTTCTGTTTATTTCATTGTTTCATATTAATAAAAACTACAATTTATTTATCCATTTTCTTTTTGGAAGTTTTTAAGGTTATTTACACTTTTATTGATGTTGTAAACAGTGTTACAATTCTCATGCTGTATATATCATTTTGTGTATTTTTGCCAAATTTGTCTCTAGCTACTACGCTTGAAGGAAGAAGTGTAGCATCATTAGGTGTAAACGTCCTCAATTGTACTGAATATTGCTCAATTGCTAAACAACGTGTTTGTAGTTTAGAAATTTGCAATTTTCTTTTTTATTTATTTTTATTATTTATTTATTTATTCATTTATTTTTTTATTATACTTTAAGTTCTAAGTTCAAAATCTCAATTTTACAACTTTCTCCCTATTTTTGGTTATTATTTGATAATGCCAGATTTCTCAAATTTTACCCGTACAGGGTGTGTAAAAATATTCTTTACTTTTGTTTTGGTATTTCTCTGAATACTAGTGAAGTTTAATACCTCTTAATAAGTTTGTAGGTTTTCCCTTCTTTGAATTGTCTGCTTATGTTATTCTCTCATTTTTATATTGGATTCTTATAACATTGAAATGTTCTTGCTTTGTTTGTTAAACTAGACTTTATTTTATTGTGACAAGTATATTATGTTATTTAATTTCTTTCTTTAGTATTTTATTTAGAAACTTTATATATACATTCATAATTTTCACTGTTTTATTTTTATGTCCTCTGATTTTGACTTCAAGGTTTCTAACTGTCTCATAAAATGAGTTGGTGGTTCTCTTTTTTCTATTCTGTTAAATATTTTGTACTTGTTGGTTTTTTGAAGGTCAGGAAAAAATGTGCATTGAGAATAGTCATAATTTGAAGTTTTTGTGCATCACTGCTAGTAGGGAAAGTGCATGAAAATTTTTGAATATAAATTAATTTTATTTAAGAGCTCCTAGTTGATAATACTTTTCATTTTAATTTGGAGGATGTGTAATTTTAAAAAATACATTTCATTCACATTTTTATTTCTTTAAACTTTTCTTTATGTTATTATCTTATGATCTTAAAAGTTGATATAATATCTGTGGTTATGTCACTTTAGTTCATAATAAAGTCATGTGTCATTTAATGACAAGGATATGTTCTGAGAAATATATCACTGGTGATTTTGTCATTGTGTGAACATCATAGAGTGTACTTACACAAGTCTGGACGGTCTGGCCTACTACACACTTAGGTTATATGGCATAGCCTATTGCTCCTAGGCTAAAACCTATACAGTATGTTACTTTACTGAATACTGCAGGCAATTTTAACACAATGTAAGTATTTGTGTCTCTAAACATATCTAAAAATAGAAAAGATATAGTAAAAATATGATATGAAAGATAAAAAATGGTACACCTGTATAGGGCAATTACCATGAATGGAGATTGCAGGCTGGAAGTTGCTCTAGGTTAGTCAGTGAGGGGTGAGTGACTGTAAGGGCATATAAACACTTTGTACTTATGATACATTAAATTTATGACAAATAATTTATTTCTTCTATACTAAATCTTAGCTTACCGTAACTTTTTTCTTTCCAATTTTTATTTTAGGTTCTGGGATACCTCTGTAGGTTTGTTACATGGGTAAATTGTGTGTTGCAAGGTTTAATATACAAATTATTTCATCATCCAAGTAGCAAGTGTAGTATCCAATAGGTAGTTTTTAATCTTCCCCCTCCTCCCATCCTCCACCATCAAATAGACCCCGGTGTCTATTATTTCCTTCTTTTGCATCCACGTGTAGTCAATGTTTAGTTCCCACATATAAACGAGAACATGAAGTACATGGTTTTCTGTTTATGTATTAATTTATTTAGGATAACGACCTCCAGTTGCAACTATGTTGCTGCAAAGGACATGATTTCATTCTATTTTAAGGCTGTGTAGTATTCCATGGTGTATATGTACCACATTTTCTTTATCCAATCCACCATTGATGGGAACCTAGCTTGATTCCACATCTTTGCTATTACAAACAGGGCTATGATGAACATACATGTGCATGTATTTTTGTGGTAGAATGATTTATATTCATTTGAGTGTATACCTCATAATGGGATTGCTGGGTCAAATGGTAGTTCTAAATTCTGTGAGAAATCTCAAACTGCTTTCCACAGTGGCTGAACTAATTTACATTCCCACCAGCAGCATTTAAGCATTGTCTTTTCTCCACAACCTTGCCAGCATCTGTTATTTTTCTTTTTAATAATAGCAATTCTGATTGGTGGGAAATGGTATCTCACTGTGGTTTTGATTTATATTTCTCTAAAGATGAATAATGTTGACCATTTTTCATATGCTTTTGGCCATGTGTATGTTTTCTTTTGAGAAGTTGTCTGTTCATGTCCTTTGCCCATTTTTTAATGGGGTTGTTTTTTGCTTGTTGATTTGTTTGAGCTCCTTATAGATTCTATCCAGAATATTAAACCTTTGTCAAATGTATAGTTTGCAAATATTTTCTCCCATTCTGCAGGTTGTCTGTTTGCTCTGTTGATAGTTTCTTTTGCTGTGCAAAAGCCCTTCTGTTTAGGTCCCACTTGTCAAGTTTTGTGTGTTGCAATTACTTTTGGTGTGTTCGCCATGAAATCTTTGCCCAGGCCTATGTACAGAATGGTATTTTCTATGTATTCTTCTGGGGTTTTTATAGTTTTAAGTTTTGCATTTAAGCCTTTAATTCATCTTAACTAGATTTTTGTATGTGGTGTAAGGTAGGCATCCAGTTTCCGTCTTCTGCATATGGCTAGTCAGCTATTCCATCACCATTTATTGAATAGAGAGCCCATTCCCCATTGCTTGTTGTTGTTGACTTTGTGAAAGATTAGTTGGTTGTAAGTGCAGATTTGCTTCTGAGTTCTCTAACCTGTTCCATTGGTATATGTGTCTGTTTTTGTACCAGTATCATGCTATTTTAGTTACTAAGGCCTTGTAGTATAGTTCGAAGTTGAGTAGTGTGATGCCTCTGGATTTTTTTCTCTTTACTTGGCATCGTTTTGGCTATTCAGGCCCTTTTTTGGTTCCCATGTGAATTGTAGAATTTTTTTTCTAATTCTGTGAAAAATCTGGTTGGTAGTTTGATAGAAATATCATTGAATCTGTAAATTGCTTTGGGCACTATGGCCATTTTAATGAAATTAATTATATTGATTATTCCTAGCCAGTAGCATGGATGTTTTTCTATTTGTTTGTGTCATCTCTGATTTCTTTGAGCAGTGTTTTGTAATTCTCATTGTAGAGATCTTTAACCTCCCTGGTTAGCTGCATTCCTAGGTATTTTACTCTTTTTGTGGCTATTGTGAATAGGATTGCATTCTTGATTTGGCTCTCAGCTTGGACATTGTTGTTGTATAAAAATGCTACTGATTTTTGAACATTGATTCTGTATTCAGAAACTCTACTGAAGTTGTTTACTAGAAATAGGAGACTTTGGGTAGAGACTATGGGGTATTCTAGGTATAGAATCATATAGTCTGTGAAGAGAGATAGCTTGATTTCCTCTCTTCCTATTTGAATGCCTATTATTTCTTTCTCTTCACTAGTTGCTCTGGGTAGGACTTTCAGTACTATGTTGAGAAGAAATGGTGAAAGTAGGCATCTTATTTTATTCTGGCTCTCAAGGGGAATGGTTCTAGTCTTTGCCCTTTCAGTCTGATGTTAGTTTTGGGTTTGTCATAGACGGCTGTTACTATTTTGAGGTATATTCCTTTGATATCTAGTCTCTTGAGGGTTTTTAACATTAAGTGATATTGAATTTTATCAAAAGCCTTTTTTGTATCTATTGAGTTGATCATGCGGTTTTTGTTTTTGGTTCTGTTTATGTGATGAATCACATATACTGATTTGCATATTTTGAACGAAACTTGCATCCCAGGAATAAAGCCTACTTGATCATCGTGGATTAGCTTTTTAATGTGATTCTGTATTTAGTTTGCTAGTAGTTTGTTTAAGGTTTTTACATCTATGTTCATTTGGAATACTGGCCTGAAGTTTTTGTTGTTGTTGTTGTGTCTCTTCCAGGTTTCGGCATCAGAATGATGCTGGTCTCATAGAATGAGGTGGTGGTGGGGAAGTTCCGTTTCCTTAATTTTTTAGAACAGTTATAGTAGAATTGGTACCAACTTTTCTTTATACATCTGGTAGTATCTGGCGTTTAATAAGTCTGGTCCAAGTCTTTTTCTGGTTGGTAGGCTTTTTATTACTAACAGAATTTTCATAACTCATTATTGCTCTGTTCAGGGATTCAGTTACTTCCTGCTTCAATCTTGGGAGGTTGTATGTTTCCAGGAATTTATCCATTTCTTCTAGATTTTTTAATTTGTTCAAAATAGTCTCTGAGGGTTTTTTGCATTTCTGTGGGGTCAATAGTAATGTCCTATTTGCCACTTATGATTGTGTTCTTATGTATCTTCCTTCTTTTTCTCTATTAGTCTAGCTAGCAGTCTATCAGTCTTATTTATTGTTTCAAGAAACCAACTTTTGGTGTCATTGATCTTCAGTACATTGCTTGTTTCTCAATTTCATTTAGTTTAGCTGATTTTGGTTATTGCTTTTATTCTGCTAGCTTTGGGGTTGATTTGCTTTTATTTCTTTAAGTTCCTCTAGGTGTGATGTTAGGTTTTTGATTTGAGATCTTTCTAAGTTTTTAATGTGGATGTTTAGTGCTATAAAATTCCCTCTTAACACTGCTTTGGCTGTGCTACAAATATTCTTGTATGCTGTATCTTGCTTTCATTAGTTTCAAAGGATTTCTTGATTTCTGCCTTAATTTTGTTGTTTATCCAAAAGTCATTCAGAAGCAGATCATTTAATTTCCATATAGTTGTACAGTTTTGAGAGATCTTCTTGATATTGATTTCTGTTTTTATTGCACCGTGGCCTGAGAGAGTGGTTGGTATTATTTCAATTTTTTGGATTTGTTGAGAGTTGCTTTATGGCTGAGCATGTGGTTGATTTTAGAGTATATGTCATTTGCAGATAAGAGGAATAAATATTCTCTTGTTGTTGAGTTGAGTGTTCTGCAGATTTCTGTTAGGTTCATTTGGTCAAGTGTCAAGTTTAGGTCTTTAATATCTTTGTTAGTTTTCTGCCTGGATGATCTGTCTAATACTGTCAGGTGATCTGTTTAACACTGTCACTATCAGTTGAAGTTTCCCACTATTACTCTGTGGTTATCTAAGTTTCTTCATAGGTCTCTAAGAACTTATTTCATGAATCTGGGTGCTCCAGTGTTTGGTGCATATATATTTAGGAAAATTATGCCTTGTTGGATTGAATCCTTTGTCATTATGCCCCTAATTTGTCCTTTTTGATTGTTGTTGGTTTAAAATTTGATTTGTCTGAAATAGTAACCCCTGCTCTTTTTTGTTTTCCATTTGCTTGATAGATTGATAGAAGTTTTTCCATCCCTTTACTTTGAGCCTATGGTTTTCACTGCATGTGAGATGGGTCTCTTGAAGATAGTACACACTAGGGTCTTGCTTCTTTATCCAACTTTCTACTCTGTGCCTTTTAAGTGGGGTGTTTAACCCACTTATGTTCAAGGTTAATATTGATATGTGCAGATTTGATCCTATCATCATATTGTTAGCTGGATGTTATGTAGACTTGATTGTGTAGTTGCTTTATAGTGTTGATGGTCTATGTACTTAAGTGTGTTTTTGTGGTGGTCAGTAACAGTCTTTTTTTTTCCATATTTAGCACTCTCTTCAGGACCTCTTATAAGGAGGTCTGGTGGTAACAAATTTTTATAGCATTTGCTTGTCTTAAAAGTATTTTATTTCTTTGCTTATGAAGCTTAGTTTAGCTGGATATGAAATTCTTGATTGGAATTGCTTTTCTTTAAGGATGCTAAATATAGGTCCCCAATCTCTTCTGGCTTAACAATGCTTCTGCTGAAAGGTCCTCTTTAGCCTGATGGGGTTTCCTTTGTAGGTGCCCTGCCCCTTCTCTCTAGCTGTTTTAATATTTTCTTCTTCAAAACAAAGGCAGTGTGATGGCTAATACTGAATGTCAATTTGATTGGATTGAAGGACACAAAATATTGATCCTGGGTGTATCTGTGAAGGCATTGCCAAAAGAGATTAACATTTGAGTCAGTGGGCTGGGGAAGACAGATCCACCCTTAATCTGAGGAGCACAATCTAATCAGCTGCCAGCAAATATAAACAGGCAAAAAAACGTGAAAAGGAGAGACTGGCCTAGCTTCCCAGCCTACATCTTTCTCCCATGCTGGATGCTTCCTGCCCTCAAACATCAAACTCCAAGTTCGTCAGTTTTGGGAGTCGAACTGTCTCTCCTTGCTCTGCAGCTTTCAGACAGTCTATTGTGGGACCTTGTAATTATGTACGTCAATACTTAATAAACTCCCCTTTATATATATATATGTTATATATATATTTTATATAATATGTAACTAATATAAATATAAATTTAAAAATATAAATATATAATATAAATAAAAATATAAATGTATAATATATAAATGTATGTATTTTATATATATATATATATATGTATACACATATCTCCTATTAGTTCTGTCCCTCTAGAGAACTCTGACTAATACAGGCGGGGTCTGTCAGTGCAGGAACTATAGCAGTGGCTGTTGGGAAGCACCAGTGTTGGACATTTGAGTTTGCACTTGAAGTGGTTATAGCCAGGTAAGGACCCTGGGAGGGGCCAGCAGACAGGGCATGCTCATATTAGACAGGCCCCATCCCACAGGCAAGATAGCCCTGTTCTGTCCAGATCCAACAGTCACCAAAGGCCAAAACCACCTAGAAGAGTTTCGCAATCCTTGGGGGATGGACATCCTTGGGTATGCTCCACTGCAGCCATTCTTGTGCCAAACCCTCTGGGCTCCAGGTAGGCTAGAGTCCTGTCCCTGCCAACTCTCTAAGCAGCTGTCCTACCCAGCTCAAATGTTGATGGGGGTCATGGGGTCTCCTGCAGCTAGGGTTCTGGAGGTCCATGTTGACAGTGGGCCATTCCATACCTGTTTAACTCACCCCTTCTCCAGGAGCCACTCTGGGCCAGGAACAAGTCCTGGTGCTCAGCAATCCGCCAGTCCCACGCCACATGCCTGCACTCCTCAGCCCTTGGGTGGTTGATGGGACTGGGCGTTGCAGAGCAGGGGGCGGCACCCGTCGGGGAGGCTCAGCCCTGTGGGAGCCCACCTCTGGGGGAGCTCAGTCATGGAGATCTGCAGGTCCCCAGCCCTGCCTCGCGGGAAGGAGGCTGAGGCCCAGCAAGAATTCGAGCACGGCCTGGGCGGGCCGGCAGTCCTGGGGGACCCGGTGCACCCTCGGCAGCTGCTGGCCCTGGTGCTAAGCCCCTCACTGCCCAGGGCCGGCAGTGCTGGCTGGCCGCTCCAAGAGTGGGGCCTGCCGAGCCCGTGCCCACCCAGAACTCGCGCTGACCCTCAAGCCCCGCATGCAGCCCAGTTCCCGCCCACGCCTCTCCCTCCACACCTCCCCGCAAGCAGAGGGAGCCAGCTCTGGCCTTGGCCAGCCCAGAGAGGGGCCCTCCACAGCGCAGTGGCAGGCCAAAGGGCTGCTCAAGTGTGGCCAGAGTGGATGCCCAGGCCGATGAGGTGCTGAGAGCCAGCGAGGGCCACCAGCACGTTGTCACCTCTCAATTATGATGTTAGCTGGTTATTTTGCTAATTAGTTGATGCAGTTTCTTCCTAGCCTTGATGGTCTTTACAATTTGGCATGTTTTTGCAGCAGCTGGTACTGGTTGTTCCTTTCCATGTTTAGTGCTTCCTTCAGGAGCTCTTGTAAGGCAGGCTTGGTGGTGACAAAATCTCTCAGCGTTTGTTTGTCTGTAAAGGATTTTATCACTTATAAAGCTTAGTTTGGCTGGATATGAAATTCTGGGTTGAAAATTCTTTTCTTTAAGAATGTTGAATATTGGCCCCCACTCTCTTTTGGCTTGTAGAGTTTCTGCCAAGAGATCCACTGTTAGTCTGATGGGCTTCATGGGTAACCCAACCTCTCTCTCTGGCTGCCCTTAACATTTTTTCCTTCATTTCAACTTTGGTGATTCTGACAGTTATGTGTCTTGGAGTTGCTCTTCTCAAGGAGTATCTTTGTGGTGTTCTCTGTATTTCCTAAATTTGAATTTTGGCCTGCCTCACTAGGTTGGGGAAGTTCTCCTAGATAATATCCTGAAGAGTGTTTTCCAACTTGGTTCCATTCTCCCCATCACTTTCAGGTACACCAATCAGACGTAGATTTGGTCTTTTCACATGGTCCCATATTTCTTAGAGGCTTTGTTTGTTTCTTTTTACTCCTTTTTCTCTAAACTTCTCTTCTCATTTCATTTCATTCATTTGATCTTCAATCACTGATACCCTTTCTTCCACTTGATCAAAATCGGCTACTGAAGCTTGTGCATGCGTCACATAGTTCTTGTGCCATGGTTTTCACATCCAACAGGTCATTTAAGGACTTCTCTGCACTGGTTACTCTAGTTAGCCATTCGTCTAATCTTTTTTCAAGGTTTTCAGCTTCTTTGCGATGGGTTCGAACATCCTCCTTTAGCTCAGAGAAGTTTGTTATTACCGATCGTCTGAAGCCTTCTTCTCTCAACTCATCAAAGTCATTCTACATCCAGCTTTGTTCTGTTGGTGGCGAGGAGCTGCGTTCCTTTGGAGGAGAAGAGGCACTCTGATTTTTAGAATTTTCAGCTTTTCTGCTCTGGTTTCGTCTTTGATGATGGTGACGTACAGATGGGGTTTTGGTGTGGATGTCCTTTCTGTTTGTTAGTTTTCCTTCTAACAGTCAGGACCTTCAGCTGCAGGTCTGTTGGAGTTTGCTGGAGGTCCACTCCAGACCCTGTTTGCCTGGGTATCACCAGCGGAGGCTGCAGAACAGCAAATATTGCAGAATGGCAGACGTTGCTGCCTGATCCTTCCTCTGGAAGCTTCATCTCAGAGGGGCACCCAGTTGTATGAGGTGTCAGTTGGCCCCTAACTGGGAGGTGTCTCCCGGTTACGCTACTCGGGGGGGGGTCAGGGACCCACTTGAGGAGGCAGTCTGTCCGTTCTCAGATCTCAAACTACATGCTGGGAGAAGCACTACTCTCTTCAAAGCTGCCAGACAGGGACGTTTAAGTCTGCAGAAGTTTCTGCTGCCTTTCCTTCAGCTAAGCCCTGCCCCTAGAGATGGAGTCTACAGAGGCAGGCAGGCCTCCTTGAGCTGTGATGAGCTCCACCCAGTTCGAGCTTCCCAGCCATTTTGTTTACCTACTCAAGCCTCAGCAATGGCGGACACCACTCCCCCAGCCTCGCTGCCACCTTGCAGTTCGATCTCAGACTGCTGTCCTAGCAGCAAGTAAGGCTTCATGGTTGTGGGACCCTCCCAGCCATGTGCAGGATATAATCTCCTGTGTGCCATTTCCTAAGGCCCTTGGAAAAGGGCAGTTTTAGTGTGGAAGTGTCCTGATTTTCCAGGTACCGTCTGTCACGGCTTCCTTTAGCTAGGAAAGGGAATTCCCTGACTGCTTGCTCTTCCCGGGTGAGGCGATGCCCTGCCCTGCTCCTTGGGCTGCACCCACTGTCTGACAAGCCCCAGTGAGATGAACCCAGTACCTCAGTTGGAAATGCAGAAATCACCTGTCTTCTGCATTGCTCATGCTGGCAGCTGCAGACTGGAGCTGCAGAAAAGGCCTTCAACAAAATTCAACAGCCCTTCATGCTAAAAACTCTCAATAATTTAGGTATTGATGGGACGTATCCAAAATAAAAGGAGCTATTTATGACAAACCCACAGCCAATATCATACTGAATGGGCAAAAACTGGAAGCATTCCGTTTGAAAACTGGCACAAGACAGGGATGCCCTCTTTCACCACTCCTATTCAACATAGTGTTGGAAGGTCTGGCCAGGGCAATTAGGCAAGAGAAAGAAATAAAGGGTATTCAATTAGGAAAAGAGAAAGTCAAATTCTCCCTTTTGCAGATGACATGATTGTATATTTAGAAAACCCCATCATCTCAGCCCAAAATCTCCTTAAGCTGATAAGCAACTTCAGCAAAGTCTCAGGATACAAAATCAATGTGCAGAAATAACAAGCACTCCTATACATCAATAACAGACAAACAGAGAGCCAAATCATGAGGAACTCCCATTCACAATTGCTTCATAGAGAATAAAATACCTAGGAATCCAACTTACAAGGGATGTGAAGGATCTCTTCAAGGAGAACTACAAACCACTGCTCAACGAAATAAAAGAGGACACAAACAAATGGAAGAACAATGTATGCTCATGGATAGGGAGATTCAATATTGTGAAAATGGCCATACTGCCCAAGGTAATTTATAGATTCAATGCCATCCCCATCAAGCTACCAAAGACTTTCCTCACAGAATTGGAAAAAACTACTTTAAAGTTCATATGGAACCAAAAAAGAGCCTGCATTGCAAAGACAATCCTAAGCCAAAAGAACAAAGCTGGAGGCTTCAAGCTACCTGACTCAAACTATTCTACAAGGCTACAGTAACCAAAACAGCATGGTACTGATACCAAAACAGAGATATAGACCAATGGAACAGAATAGAGCCCTTGGAAATAATACCACACATCTACAACCATCTGATCTTTGAAAAACTCAACAAAAACAAGAAATGGGGAAAGGATTCCCTGTTTAATAAATGGTGCTGGGAAAACTGGCTAGCCATATGTGGAAAGCTGAAACTGGATCCCTTCCTTACACCTTATACAAAAATTAATTCAAGATGGATTAAAGGCTTAAATGATAGACCTAAAACCATAAAAGCCCTAGAAGAAAACCTAGGCAATACCATTCAGGCCATAGGCATGGGCAAAGACTTCATGACTAAAACACCAAAAGCAATGGCAACAAAAGCCAAAATTGACAAGTGGGATCTAATTAAACTAAAGAGCTTCTGCACAGCAAAAGACACTACCATCAGAGTGAATGGGGCAACCTACAGAATGGGGGAAAATTTTTACAATCTACCCATCTGACAAAGGGCTAATATCCAGAATCTACAAGGAACTTGAACAAATTTACAAGAAAAAATCAACCCCATCAAAAAGAGAGCAAAGGATATGAACAGACACTTCTCAAAAGAAGACATTTATGCAGCCAACAGACACATGAAAAAATGCTCATCATCACTGGCCAACAGAGAAATGCAAATCAAAACTACAATGAGATACCATCTCACACCAGTTAGAATGGCGATCATTAAAAAGTCAGGAAACAACAGGTGCTGGAGAGGATGTGGAGAAATAGGAATGCTTTTACACTGTTGGTGGGACTGTAAACTAGTTCAACCATTGTGGAAGACAGTGTGGCAATTCCTCAGGGATCTAGAACTAGAAATACCACTGGACCCAGCCATCCCATTACTGGGCATATACCCAAAGGATTATAAATCATGCTGCTATAAAGACACATGCACACGTATGTTTATTGTGGCACTATTCACAATAGCAAAGACTTGGAACCAACCCAAATGTCTGTCAATGATAGACCGGATTAAGAAAATGTGGCACATATACACCATGGAATACTATGCAGCCATAAAAAAGGATGAGTTCATGTCCTTTGTAGGGACATGGATGAAGCTAGAAACCATCATTCTGAGCAAACTACCACAAAGACAGAAAACCAAACACCACATATTCTCACTCATAGGTGGGAATTGAACAATGAGAACACTTGGACACAGGAAAGGGAACATCACACACCGGGGCCTGTTGTGGGGTGGGGGGAGGAGGGAGGGATAGCATTAGGAGATATACCTAAAGTAAATGAGGAGTTAATGGGTACAGCACACCAACATGGCACATGTATACATATGTAACAAACCTGCACGTTGTGCACATGTACCCTAGAACTTAAAGTATAATAAAAAAAGAAAAAAAAACAGAAAAGAAAAATACATAGTTCCTATTTTTGTGTTAAAAATAAGCTGTATACATGTTTGTGAATGAAAAAAGAATTATATTTCTTTTTTCTTGTTTCAAGAAAATCTTTAAGGCGATTATAGGAGATATGTATGATATTACGACAGATATGTATGAAACTCTACCACTCAACAATCATTGCAAAGAACACAAGAGACTGAATTTCTCTTATGGTTTTCTTTAACTATTAGAAACATTGAAAATTGAAAATAACTGTGCTTCATTTTCTGAAGCAAACTTGAAAATAACTGTGCTTCATTTTCTGAAGCAAACTTAATGAAAAATGTCATGGGTATTGTTTAGTTGTTAAAATCATTGGATATATGCATGCAGATATATGAATCATCACCAAATTATGGAAATTTTGAAAGAAATAGAAGATAGTTAATTTAATGAATCAATAAAAATTTTAATAGCTACTTTTATTTTTCTCTACAGGCTTAAAAGCTCTAATTATATAATCACTTTCGTAGATACGCTAAAATTTAAAAAACATGTATAGTTGGTTACATTTTTTTAACAAATTCTAACAGCATGCAACATTTCTCCCCTTCTCTCCTATGTAACACAGAACTTATCACGGTACAACTATGCATTAATCATTTCAACCTATCATCTAGTTATTGAAAATTAGAATTATGATTTTGACATTTTAAACAATATATAAAATACTAAATTGTTTTTATGGTCAATAAATAATTATATTTAGTGACATTTTTATACATTCCTGTGTTCTCTAGTTGATGACAATCTTTAAGTATTTTTTAAGCTGAGTGTCTACGGTAAATACTCTTAGTGGTTATGTGTTTGAAACTGTCTTCATTTTTTTTTTAATTTTTATGATTTACCTGCAAATAAAATTCTAAGTCACAGATACTGTCTTCAACACCTTAAATATAGAATTCCATTGTCTTCTGGGTTTTCTATTATTAAAGAGAAATTTCCTGACAGATTGTGTCATTTTTCTTTAATGGTTTTCCTCTACGTTTTACAATTATTTTTAATATCTTTAACCTTTTGGTTCTAATTGTATTTATGTGTATCTTGCACAAAACTCAGAATTCAAAATATGTTACAAGCATTTTTGTTTTTCCTCACTTAGGGAAAATTCAGTTATATTTGCTCAGATTTTATTTATTCTATCCTTTCATCCTCGAGTCTCTGAAATCAGTCATCCGTATTTCTTAGTTGCTTTGCTTTGCCCCTTAGAAATTCATTTTGCTCTTTGTGATGCATTCTATGTGAATTCCCCACTATAATTTTCCAATTCATGAATTCTTTTTCTGTAGAGTTGTTCCATCTATAAAGTTGTTTCACCTAGTGTGTGTGTGTGTGTGTGTGTGTGTGTGTGTGTTTTAATTTCAATGACTATATTTTTTTCACTTCCAGTTGATGGTTTAGTCTGTCTCATCTTCTTTGGGACTTATTTACAAATGTTTACATTTTATAGATTCTTTTTTTTTTTTTTTTTTTTTTTTGAGATGGAGTCTCACTCTGTCGCCCAGGCTGGAGTGCAGTGGCGCGATCTCCACTCACTGCAAGCTCCATCTCCTGGGTTCACGCCATTCTCCCGCCTCAGCCTCTTGAGTAGCTGGGACTACAGGCGCCCTCCACCATGCCCGGCTAATTTTTTTGTATTTTTAGTAGAGACGGGGTTTCACCGTGTTAGCCAGGGTGGTCTCGATCTCCTGACCTCTTGACCTGCCCGCCTCAGCCTCCCAAAGTGCTGGGATTACAGACGTGAGCCACCGCACCCGGCCACATTTTATAGATTCTTGCTCTTGCTATGCAGAAATTATACTTTCATTTGAGGTTATGTCATTGTCTTCCCATATCCCTGTAACAGCATAGTTTCAGGAAGTAAATCAGCAGTAGTGTTTTTGGTTTTGTTTTTCCGGGTTTTGATTTTGCTTTTTAATGAGCAGGAACCACCCACACACCCCAACCCCTGTTTTCAAATGATTGTTGTGTGGTCTTAATTTCATGTGGAACTTTTTAAAACCACCCTAACAATGGCTGCTACAACCCAGATCTGAACCTGTGGAGTCAGCCTTGCTACTGCTTTCTTTCCTACTCTATGTCTTTTCTATACATGAGTTTATCTTGGTGAGCCCCATGATGACATTTCAAATGCCTAATATATTTTATCTGTTATTGCTATGATTTTGGAACTGTGCATATGGGAAAAGTGAAAACTATGCTCCACTTTGCTTATGTTTGGCAATTTGTTTGTTATTAAATTGAAAACTGTAAATATGTTCCTATCTCAAACCTGGTAGAAAGTATATTATACTTCCAGATAAAGAATTAATGAATATCTTTGGGCAACCAATTAATAATTCTTTGGTAACAGTGAGATGATTTGGATTGGAAATAAGGAAACCTTATTATCACTTCTACTTCTGCAACTGGAACAAGCCAGTCTTGGAATAATATTCATGACCCCCAAATTATCTGTGAAATGAGATTTACTGTAGATATGTAAAATAAATAAATTTTTTGGGCATTGTGAATTCCAAAATTCTTATTAAATATCTTTCAATAAAATTTTCCAAAATTGTGAACTTCCACAGAATATTGATATATTTCACAGGAAAAAAAATACTTTCTTGACAGGTAAGCCTCATAATTCTGGTTAAATGAAGGGAGACAGGTTTATTTATAACTGGAAGTTTCAGAACCTTTAATATGCTAATGTTTGGGAGCCTTCTTGATTGAGCCATCTATGCAACATTTCAAACATTCGACATGCAAAGGTTGACCTTGGAGCCATTTCTCCTTTACTTTCAAAAGAACGTTTTTGGGAATTAGTGTTCCATAAAACAAGCATTTCAAATTTAGTGTTAGATTTTTTTTTTAAGTTGCAGCGTACTTGCTATAAGAGAATGTATACCTATACCTACTACTGGTTTTCTGCCTTCTTAATTTTGATGGAACTAACTGGAGCAAGGCATGAACCCAAAGAACAATATCAGAAAAACCACCTAGGATTTCAGCCCATTATTTAACCTATTAGCAACCTAGTCTAACCACTTACAGGATCAATGGTAAAAGGAAATTTGAATGTGACTTACCACATAGTATAGGTTAGGATTCTTAGGCTTGGAAAGAGAGAAATCAACCAGCTAAGGAGATCAGCTTCATGGGGCAATGCTAATGGCCCTGAAGTATTAGCGTCTTCTTTTATGGATGACTACTCTAGCCAGTTAATTAGCTTAGGTGAAGCCAGGAACTGTATTTCTTAAAAGGAAGCATATACCATTTGTCTATTTTCATCCAACATGATGATAAGTAGCCTGGACTACAAAAAGTTTTGAAATAGCACTAGTCAGCAATGTCAATAATTAGAAGATTTGAGAAATAATTTTTAAAACGAAAATGTACCAGGACCAAAAATATGTGTGTTAATGTATACATTTTTAGTCATAGAATCAGACACACATCATAAAAACACTAATGAGGTATAATTTATATGTTACATATATATCTATCCTCATTTACCTATAGTAAGTTTAGTTTACTTAAATCAATAATTTCACATTTTGTATCTTTCTTATAAGCTTTTTAGCAGACTAATCTCCTCAATTCCTATAATGTACTTTTTTGAAATTTGAAATATTCTGAGGAACCCTTGGTAAGTAGCCTCATTGTTTGCTAAAAAGTGAGTCCTAAGAACAGAAAGATATTGCAACACAAGCCAAGACTGAGTTCTTAATTCCTTCTTTAGAGTCATTTCCCCTCTAGCAGTTCCTTAGAAACAAAATTCAAAGCACTGCCATAATTACAGAATTTTAAAACTGTTATAAGGGACCCCAAATGTTATTGACATATTTATGCTTTTTGGTTGTAATCTCCAATAATCACTCAAAAGATGTTCGTAGCATGTATTATTATTTCTGATGACTTATATACAACAAGCGATATCTGAATTAACAAATTTCCATAATATTTATTTTCTTGCCTTTTGCATCATTTCTCCCCAGGCATCTGGAAAACATAAAAGAAGAAACTTCTGTAGTTGTGTAAAGTCATCTATTTAGTTATTTATCCTGCTGTATTTCCATTCCCCCACAAAAGGATCTGAGTTGGCTTAGGGAAGAATGGCTCCATAGCAAGAGCAGAATTAAGTTATCAGAATCCCCAATGACTTGATTCTAATTTATCCCCAGTTGCAACTCTTATGACTTCCTGCCTTTAAATTTATATTCCAACAGCACATAATCTTATGCAACTGACTCATTGTTCTTTGTTATTGCTCTGTGTAACAAAATGATCTTTCTTCCTACCTGTAACCTTTTCTCTTGGCCTAATAAACTCCTACTTGTCCTCTAATCCTTGCCAAGGAAGAGTTTGCTGCCCCTCCTCGGTTGAAAATTGCCTTTTTCTGGATTCTCATAATATCTCATGCAAAGATACACCTTTGAAATTTTCATAACACATTAGATTTCTGTGGTTTCTCCTCTCTGTTTGAAGAGAACGTCAGCATTTTGTTCTTTGTGTCACCAGTGTGTACCTGGCACACAGTAGGTGTCCAATTAATGTTTACTTGGTTCACAAGTGCCACATGTGACAATTATACATTAAAATATTTGGGGGTTGGGTACATAAAATCCCACTAAAGTGAGGATTAAGAAATAAAGCTATGTGAAGTACTGAAGAAAGTCTGAAGGACTGGAGGTAGAAGTGTCTGAGACTCTGGTGTAAGATAATCGCTGGCTGTCTTGCATCAACGAGGCATTGAAGTTTTCCATATACATTTATTGTAAGTATAAACATGTCATACAAGACACAGTTGATAAGTAACATGCTGAGTAGGATTCAGAAGTCAGCTCTATTTCGGTGTTCTTTATACCAAACTGCATTGCCTTCATGGTTCTCAGCTGTATTCCAATATTTGAGATGAACTGGAAGTAGGATCTTTTTATTTGCAAGAATTTTCAAGGTCTGCCCTCCTACACAACCTTTCTGGTTTACAGGTTGTTTGGGAAAGTGGATGGGCTATGGGATAAGTTAAATTTTCAGTATGGTGGTAGAAAAGAACCAAAGACAGATTTTGCAAGTTTGCCATGAGTTGACCTTGGTAATATGCCAGATTTTAAGCTCTTTCCTATAAAACCATTGAAGGCAGAAATTAATTTTTTAATCTAATTTAATTAATCAATTAATTAATTTTATTTTAATTTATTTACGAAAGACTGATTTTTATTAGCCTTAGCCTTTATTAGGCTATGCTTAACAGCACAAGATGAGTGCTTAATAAATATTCAACCATTGATATGCTCATCCAACAATTTATGCATGAAAGAATAATTTGTTAATTATTAGCACAGTAATCTCTCTATATATTTTCTGACCCAGAAATTCCAAGTGTTTCCAATAAATTTATTTGTAGATATGAGACATTTTGCTGCCAATGGTATTTTGTTCGAAGATAAAAGATATGTTGACACAAACTAATTACAGAAAGCTAAGAAAGTCAACCAGGCTTTTAAAAATTCTCTTGCTTCCCTTCCAAACACTTTGATCTTAAAGTGTTACACCATCTGTACTCTCCTTAATTCTTAATCTCAATGACTAAAAAAAAATCTGTCTTCTTGCATCCCTAAATGGGATGCTCCTCTGAATGAGGACGACAGGAAAATAAACTAGATCTCCAGTCTAGAGCCCTCTCCAAGCCTCCAGATTCATATATCCAAATTCTTAAGGGACTTTTCTACTTACATGTCTAGTAGTTGTTTGAAATTTACCATATCCAATATGAAACTCTTAAATTTCCCCACTTAAATAACTGCCGTTTCCATCACCTTCCCAATCTCATCAATGACAGCTCCATCTTTCTGTTTGGTCCAGACTTTTACTCTTTGTTGACCCATGTCTTCTCTCAAACTCATCTCTAAAACATCAGCAAACCTTACAGCTTCTGCCTTAACATTACAGGAGAACCTGGCATTTCTATATCTTTCTTTAGCCGTGATTCTTATCCAAGTCATGACCATCTCTCAGCTAAACCATCACAGGGGCTTCCTAACTGCCTTCCTTGCTTTGCCTTTCCCCTGTACTGTATTTTTTTTCTTGAGACAAAGTCTCACTCTGTTACCCCGGCTGGAGTGCAATTGCACCATCATGGTTCACTGTAACCTCAGACTCCTGGGCTCAAGTGATCCTCCTACTTCAGCCTCCCAAGTAACTGGGACTACAGGCATGTACACCTGGCTAATTTTTAAAATTTTTTGTAGAGACAGGGACTTGCTGTGTTGGCCATGTTGGTCTCAAACTCCTGGACTCAAACAATCCTTCCACCTCGACCTCCCAAAGTGCTAGAATTACAGGCATGAGCCACTGCACCCATTCCCCTCTAATATATTCTTAACACAGCACCCCAACAGTATTTCTAAAATGGAAGTCAAATCATGTCACATCTCTGCTCAAAAGCCTCCAACAGCTTCCCATCTCATCCAGAGTAAAAGTCTTTATGCCAGCCCCTTCTATAATTTATCTTCTAGTATGTCACTCTGGTCTTTCTGTTCCTCAAATATGCCATGTCCACTCCTTCCTCAAGACTTTTGTACTTCCTTTCCCTGTTCATTGTTCTCCAAAGGGTCCCATCTAACTCCCTAATTTCCTTCAGGTCTCACATGCCATTGCGCTATTGAGACTTTCTCTACCCAATCTACCTAAAATAACAACCCCTCTCTTCCATCACTCCTTGTCGCCTTTATACTATTTTTTGCTTCCTTTTGCTACCTGTCATATGATATATTTACTTGTTTTTAAAATTTTTACTTTCTATTTCCCTCTCCCAGAACATGAATTCCATTTGGCAATGACTTTGTTTTGTTTAGTGCTCTATTCATACATCTAAGACAATGTCAGACAGATAGTTGATGCCCAGTAAACATTTGTTGACCACATGCATGAGCTTGTGAGTTATTAACAATAGCACATCATCGTCCATCAACTCCGTTTCCCCTCACTAGACACCATGACCAAAGAGTGGCTCAGAAATTGTTAGTCCATTGAAAACCAAGACTTCAAAGAGTGTCTTAGAACTCTTGTGATTGCAGGTAATAAAAACTCACAAAATCTAGAAAAGCAATAGAAAGAACTCCAGCAATACAACATTGACTATTTCCCAGAATCAGAGAGTAGGTGGATAGCCAAGTCGCAGGTGGGACTTAAATGGAGTGGTGAGGTAAGAAAGCTGCCAAGTTGATTCTCCCTCCTACCTCACGATAGCTTAGGAATGCATGGACTCAGTTTCCCTTTCTCATATTTGCTCTTCTCTTCCTTTCTACCTCATTGTTTTCTCCCTGCAAATTAACTTTTTCTGTTCCTTTATGCATGTGGAAGAATACAGCTTTTCATAGCTTACTTTTTTTTTTTTTTTTTGAGGCGGAGTTTCGCTCTTCTTGCCCAGGCTGGAGTGCAATGGCGCAATCTTGGCTCATTGGCTCACCACAACTTCTGCCTCCTGAGTACAAGTGATTCACCTGCCTCAGCCTCCCGAGTAGCTGGAATTACAGGTGCCTGCCACCATGCCTGGCCAATTTTTTTGTATTTTTAGTAGAGATGGGGTTTCACCAGGTTGGCCAGGCCGGTCTCGAACTCCTGACCTCAGGTCATCCACCTGCCTGTGCCTCCCAAAGTGCTGGGATTACAAGTGTGAGCCACCATGCCCGGCCCACAGCTTACCTTTTATTAACCTTGCCTGGGAGAGAAAATCTGATTGGTAAAGTCAAGTTTGCTATGGGTAAGTAGCAAAGAAGACAGCTAGCTTCCCATAGAAGTGAAAATAATTTTGAGCTGGTTAGATGCCTACAAACTCTCTAAAACAAAAAAGGAAAGAAATTTGCCCTAAGAAGTTGAAGTAGTATTTGAACTGGGGTCTTCTGTTATAAATCTTGGGCATTTTAAACTTCCCCATACATATTCTTTAGTGAGTTATCCATAAATTTTTTCTGTCACTTTGATCACCATAAGCAAGAGTAGTTAGGTAAAAAAATATGAAATAGGACAAGAACTAGGCACAGTGTCTCATGCCTATAATCCCAGCCACTCTGGAGGCTGATCACTTGAGACCAAGAGTTCAAAACCAGCCTGAGCAATGTAGCAAGACACCATATTTAATCTTTTTTTTTTTTTTTTCTGGTAGCAGCCAGGCATGGTGGTGCACTCTATGGTGCTTAGCACTATGGAAGGCAGAGGAGGGAGGATCGCTTGAATCCAGGAATTCAAGATTGCAGTGAGCTATGAGTCATGCACTCCAGCATGAGTGACAGAGTAAGACCCTGTCTCTGAAAAAAAGGATAAAATGAAATAGACTTTAGGGGAAGAAAAAAAAAAAAGCAGAATTAGCAGATTATGAGAATGAGGAAATTCGTATTCTGAGAATCTAACCCCAACCACCATGCTGCCAGAAAGATGACTACAACATCCACTTAGCTCAGACAGCATATTCATGGGCCTGGTGCTGGAAAGCCTGGGGCATAGAAATGTTCGTGCTCCTTTTGTGGTTCCAGTGTGCCCAGTGGAGCATCAAGGGTATTGGTCTGGCATAATTCCACCACTGGTGGGCATAGGCCTGCACTGTAAAATATTTATTTTATCAATTTTATTTCAACTGTATTCCTTTCCAAAAAAGAAATGGTGGTATCTCTATGCTATTGATTTATAAAGAAATGTAATTTACTTTACTTTCTGCTCACAGTTAATTTAGCCCCATTGTGTCCTTGTCCCCAAGTTCATGGAAATGTGACTTCATGAGGGAAGAATCCATGTAGAGATTGTACATTATACTTTAATGTTGGAAAGGTGGATGAGTTGACATCATATAATGTAGAGTGTATCACCCTTTTACTAAGAGATGTAATAGCAGAAACAGTCTTGACTGTGGCAACTGCCACAATAACTGCTATGCTTATTTTTTATTGATGATGGATAAAAATTCTCATAATACTGTAGCACAGTAACTTGCTGGAATATAGCTTCGGGCTGCCCCTAAGGCAGACTTTATTTATGCATCCCTACTTTCACTATTTGTAATGACAATGATAATAATAACAATAAATATCAGTACTTTCTAAATTACAACAGGAACTAGAAGTTTCAGTGGGACTGACTGCTGAATTTTCTTTTAAAAGGGTAATACAAAAAACAGCCATTATAATCCTCACCATTGTCCTGGTTGCTAATAGACCTGTGCTAGCAATTTGGAACAGGAAGTGAAATCTGCCCACTGTGGGTTTTGCTGGTTTTGCAACTATTATCACAGGCTTTTTAAAAATTATTAATTTATAAACTGCCCTGAGCCTTACAGAATATAAGCAATCGAGTAAGCTGGGGAAATAAAGTTACATAAATCACTATTAAGTTAGTAGCAGAAACCACCGTGACTCTACGATGGTTCAATACTGTCATTTCAGGAAACCAAGCACAATCAGGAGTTTTTTAAAGCCTGAAAAAGGAAGTATAGTCAAAAATGAGTAAACTTGTCGTGAGATTTATAGAGTGTCAAATGGAGTTTAATGGAGATTCCAGAGAATCAGAAAAAAAAGATGTCAGGATAATGTGTAAAGTTCTTGTTTATTTGACATTTTGATGACTTTAGAAGTATTCGTGAGAGAAGTAAATCAGCCCAAAAAAGGGCACCTCACCATTAATAAACATGCTTTCCACAAGTGACCCTACAACTTCCCGTCATCTCATGAAACTCATCACTGCATTTATTGTATGAATGGTGTTAAGAGTGCTGTTCAATAAATGTCGCCAGGCCCAGTGAGAGGGATCCTGTCTGTCTTAGTACCAAGAACACTAGTACCTCTTCTGAGTAATGGGTTTTTAACATATATACACACATATATATTATATATACACATATACTATATATTCATATGTAATATATACATATATAGTATATATATGTAGTGTATATATATACTACATAGTATAGTAGTTTTTTCTAATTCCGTGAAGAAAGTCAATGGTAGCTTGATGGGGATAGCACTGAATCTATAAATTACTTTGGGCAGTATGGCCATTTTCACAATATTGATTATATATAATATATTATACATAATATATATACATAATATATATATACGATGGACCCTGGGAATTGTGTAATTGACCAGGTTTCCCTTTTCATGCTGGCAGTGAGAGAAAAGAATTCTAATATGCAGCCTTCTCCTAGCAGTGTATAGGTCTTTTTATTATTATTATTATTATTATTATTATTATTATTATTATTATACTTTAAGTTCTGGGATACATGTGCAGAACGTGCATGTTTGTTACATAGATTTACACTTGCCATGGTGGTTTGCTGCACCCATCAACCCGTCATCTGCATTAGGTATTTCTCCTAATGCTGTCCCTCCCCTAGCCCCCGACCCCCTGACAGGCCCTGGTGTGTGATGTTCCTCTCCCTGTGTCCATGTGTTCTCATTGTTCAACTCCCACTTAGGAGTGAGAACATGTGGTGTTTGGTTTTCTGTTCCTGTGTTAGTTTGCTGAGAATGATAGTTTCCACCTTCATCGATGTCCCTGCAAAGGACATGAACTCATCCTTTTTTATGGCTACATATTATTCCATGGTATATATGTACCACATTTTCTTTATCCAGTCTTTCATTGATGGGCATTTGGGTTGATTCCAAGTCTTTGCTATTGCGAATAGTGCTGCAATAAACATACATGTGCATGTGTCTTTATAGTAGAATGATTTATAATCCTTTGGGTATATACCCAGTAATGGGATTGCTGGGTCAAATAGTATTTCTGGTTTTAGATTCTTGAGGAATCTCCACACTGTCTTCCACAATGGTTGAACTAATTTACACTCCCATCAACAATGTAGAAGCTTTCCTATTTCTCCACATCATCTCCAGCATCTGTTGTTTCCCGACATTTTAATGATCACCATTCTGACTGGTGTGAGATGGTATCTCTCATTGTGGTTTTGATTTGCATTTCTCTAATGATCAGTCATGATGAGCTTTTTTTCACATGTTTGTTGGCCGCATAATTGTCTTCTTTTGAGAAGTGTCTGTTCATATCCTTCACCCACTTTTTGATGGGGTTGTTTGTTTTTTTCTTGTTAATTTGTTTAAGTTCCTTATAGATTCTGGATATTAGCCCTTTGTCAGATGGATAGATTGCAAAAATTTTCTCCCATTCTGTAGGTTGCCTGTTCACTCTGATGATAGTTTCTTTTGCTGTGCAGAAGCTCTTTAGTTTAATTAGATCCCATTTGTCAATTTTGGCTTTTGTTGCCAGTGCTTTTGGTGTTTTAGTCATGAAGTCTTTGCCCATGCCTATGTCCTGAGTAGTATTGCCTAGGTTTTCCTCTAGGATTTTTATGGTTTTAGGTCTTATGTTTAAGTCTTTAATTCATCTTGAGTTGATTTTTGTATAAGGTGTAAGGAAGGGGTCCAGTTTCAGTTTTCTGCATATGGCTAATCAGTTTTCCCAACAGCATTTATTAAATAGGAAATTCTTTCCCCATTGCTTGTTTTTGTGAGGTTTGTCAAAGATCAGATGGTTGTAGATGTGTGGCGTTATTTCTGAGGCCTCTGTTTTGTTCTATTGGTCTATATATCTGTTTTGGTACCAGTACCATGCTGTTTTGGTTACTGTAGTATAGTCTGAAGTCGGGTAGCATGATGCCTCCAGCTTTGTTCTTTTTGCTTAGGATTGTATTGGCTATATGGGCTCTTTTTTGGTTTCATATGAAATTTAAAGTAGTTTTTTTTCTAATTCTGTGAAGAAAGTCAATGGTAGCTTGATGGGGAGAGCATTGAATCTATAAATTACTTTGGGCTGTATGGCCATTTTCACAATATTGATTCTTCCTATTCATGAGTACGGAATGTTCTTCCATTTGTTTGTGTCGTCTCTTATTTCCTTGAGCAGTGGTCTGTAGTTCTCCTTGAAGAGGTCCTTCACTTCCCTTGTAAATTGTATTCCTAGGTATTTTTTTTTCTCTTTGTAGCAGTTGTGAATGGGAGTTCACTCATGATTTGACTTTCTGGTTGTCTATTATTGGTGTATAGGAATGCTTGTGATTTTTACACATTGATTTTGTATCTTGAGATGTTGCTGAAGTTGCTTATCAGCTTAAGGAGATTTTGTGCTGAGACGATGGGGTTTTCTAAATATACAATCATGTCATCTGCAAACAGAGACAATTTGACTTTCTCTCTTCCTAATTAAATACGCTTTATTTCTTTCTCTTGCCTGATTGCCCTGGCCAGAACTTCCAATAAATACTATGTTGAATAGGAGTGGTGAGAGAGGACATCCCTGTCTTGTGCCAGTTTTCAAAGGGAATACCTCCAGCTTTTGCCTATTCTGTATGATATTGGCTGTGGGTTTATATGTGTATAAATAGCTCTTTTTATTTTGAGATATGTTCCATCAATACCTAGTTTTTTGAGAGTTTTTAGCATGAAGCGGTGTTGAATTTTATCGAAGGTCTTTTCTGCATCTATTGACATAATCAAGTGGTTTTTGTCGTTGGTTCTGTTTATGTGATTTGCGTATGTTGAACCAGCCTTGCATCCCAGGGATGAAGACAACTTGATCATAGTGGATAAGCTTTTTGATGTGCTGCTGGATTCGGTTTGCCAGTATTTTTATAGATCCTTATAGTCAGAGTTTTTCCTTATCATTTCTGAGTCCACTTTATGTTCCTACACCATGTTTTATTACATTTTGTTAGCTTTACACATCTGTTTAGCTGCCTTATTTAAATACTTACTTGAAAGATTGTGGGGGTTGGGGAGGAGAAAGAGTAAGAAAGTTGAAATTTGTAAACTTAGACATAAGCATAATGTTCTATGACAAATTATAAGATCTTGTTCTTCTATACTTACAAAAAGGTAATTAAATTCCTCTTAAGGGATCCGTATCTCCAAGGCAAAATAACATTGATAAGTGGGTACCAGTTTTAATTTGTATCATTTTCATGAATGTATCCATATTAATGCGCATTGAATACAGACTCACAGTTTAACACTATGGGATATTCGTTAGGTTTCTTAATCTCTCTTTCAATTTATTCATCTATGAAATGGTGGTAATAGCATACACCTTAAAGACTTGCCATGAAAATTAAACAGAATTTCTATGAAGAGCAAGCCTTAACCTTCTTGTAGCTCGATTTTCTCATCTATAAAATGGATATAAAATAATACCTATGTCATAAGTAAGTTGTGAAGATTAAAGAGGTAGACATATGTATCATACTAAGAAAAATTCCCACGTAGACTAAATGCAATTATTATTCTTTTTATATTTTTATTTTACAAAGGTTTTATAACTATCCTAAATTAATTCCCTCACCTTAAAGATTGGAAATATAGATTTCCTCAAACCAAGTACTATAGTAGCATTCTTTAATGGCCTTAAAATGACCATTTTTAAAAATTGCAAGATCTCTCATTGCCTTCATGGGATTCTCTATTTATTTTGGCCCCAAATACCACAAGATTAGCTACTGTAGCGCAACAGTTCTTATCCATGGGTGATTTTGTGCCCCCCTCTCCTTCTGCCTCAAAGGTATTTGGCAGTGCCTGGAGTCATTGTTAAATGTCAAAACTGAGGAGAGATGTAAAACTAGTATTTAGTGAGTGGAGGCCAGAGAGGCTGTAAAACATTTTAGAGTGCACAGAGCAGCCCCCATAACAAAGAATGATCTGGCCCAAAATGTTAATAGTGTCAAGGTTGAGAAGCCCTGGAAGGTTGGGAAGTCTTAGTGTAGAGTTTCACTTCCAGAAGGGGACTAACAGAAGAAACTGCCATAAAGCTGGTGGAAATAGATGTTTCTTACTCAGGTACTGCTGTTTCTGGATTTTGTTTTTTCTGATTTTTGTTTCTAGTTTTTCCAGAGGCTTAACAAATAGTGTAAGAAAATAAGAAAATGTGAATAGAATAGTTTAGAGTCCTGGAGATTACTATTACCCATCTGCCTCTAAATTCATAAATGATTCTATTTCTAAAACTGCTTGGACCCAAATTAAGAATCTTAAAGAGATTCATCCGAGTCCACATCCAGCATACACCCTAAAGAAACCCTTGTGCATGTGAATGTGCAGGGCGACACAGAGCAATAGCATTGGTAATGGTAAAAACTTAGATGCAATCTAAATATCTCTTAAGAAGAAATGAATAGAATAAGTGAATTTTAAATGAACTAGATACATATCAAGGTAGATAAAGGTCAAACGTAATATTGAGTGGAAAAAGTAAGTTGCAGAACAACTTGTTAAGGCAACCTCATTTTTACACAAATCATTACAGCAAGATAATACAATACCAGTTAGGATTGTATTTGGCTACATTTAAAGGAATTTAACAACAGTGGCTCAACCAAACAGGCTGTTGTAATTTTCTCCTGTAAGATTTCAGCTAAAGATGATCCAAATGAAGTTGGCTCCCAGCTGCCATCAATCGTGTCCCCACAAAGCGAGGGAGGGAATAAAATTTACCTGGTCTGGTGGTCCAAAAGATGAACAAAGGATGATAATGTGTAAGTAGGTTTAATTAGTCCACTTTTGCTAAAGGACTCAAAAATTTATTTTTGTATAGGCTCAAACCTGCCACCAGGGTCCCTTTTGTAAGGATCATGGCTTATTTTACCTTCTTCTATGCTTTCATCCTCAGGATCACAAGATGATAATTCTTGCGACAGATATTGCATCCATGCTCAGATCCAAAGAGGGAGAGGAGACAGAAGATGTAACTGAATCTAAATCTGCCCCATCTTACCAAGAAAATTATGGTTTTACTAGAAGTCTTACCTTTTAAATTACTTATAGTTCCTTGACCAAAACTTGACCATGTCCTTCTCTACCCACCATTTGGCTTTTTAGCTAATGACAGAAGAGCCTGGGAGAGGGGATGACTAGAACTCACTAGGCCACAGAGCAAAGTTTTGATAGGACAGAAGAGAAGAGGGGATTAGTGACAACTAGTGGCTCATTAGAATTTATTGTCTCAAATATTACATATTGTTTAAATATAATTAATAAACATATAAAAATGTAGACTGGGAGAATACATACCAAATTTGTGAAAATGTGTGTCTCCAGGCGGGAGAAAGAGGAATACAACTGAATAGAAGTACAAAGAGGATTTTCAGTTGATCTCCATTATCTTTAAGTATTCATATTTTAAAACATCTGAAGCAAATGTGACAAAATACTAGAGTTCTTAAACCTGGATGTTAGATACATGAATCTTATACTCTGTAATTTACTGTAATTGTTCAAAATTAAGAAAAAAATCTTCGAAGGTATTTTGTTAACCTTCAGAATGCTGGGGCTAGTGGTAAGTGTTCTTTTACCTTGAGAGAGAAAAAGACATGAAAGTATCTGCCCAAATAATGAAAGAAAGGAGGACTAAGATAAAAAGTCCAGGGAGCTGCATTCCCACTGGCCCCTAACCTAGACAATTATTGGAAGTTCTAACACCCAAATCCATATTACATACAGAGTCTCCCAAGTGCATACTCTGAAACAATTGAACTAGGATTTAAGCATAACCATGGGGAAAAAAAAATTAAGTATTCATGATTCATCTTGTTCTCGCTGAAAGTCAGCATAAAAGCTTACACGTACAATGTTTCCAAATAGCTGACTGTCCTAACATTTTCTTTCGTAAGAGATAGGTCACGCAGGATACTCATACAAGAGGTGCTTTTATGTAAGACATTTTTATCCCCCCTCTTCACCATAAAAAATGTGTAATGAATTATTTTCTAAAGTTGATGGTTTTGGAGCATTCATTTTCATGAAAGTCAAAGTCACCCCCACGCAGTCATGAATTCTTTTTGGATGCAATTCAGACTTTCCAAGGTTACCATTTCAGGTTTTACAGAAAGAATTGTACCACTCTGACAAGAGGTATCTAGGAGAACTTGAGGAACAGAAAGTTAAGGAAGCAAAAGACAGGATGAGGTGACATCACCAGCACTAGGCATTTAATGAGTACTTAAGAACTTATTTTCATGAAATATAGACAAAGCCAGTTTAGAATAGGTTTTAATTTATTCAGATGAAGAAGTCAGAAAGAAAAGGAAGGAAGACGCCATTTTAGTTTCACTTTTACTTGCTGCAGATTAATATCCCATGACCTAAAGTGCTCGCATGCAAAGAGGAAGAGCTAGGGAGAGAAAGGAAGGGAGAAAACTGTATCATGGAAACTTGAAGGGTCTTCTGTCATAGAAACCCAGAGATTCCCTGCCATGGTGCCTTTCTTGTATTCTTTTAATTGCTTTTGAAAAGTAGTAAGGGTTTCAGTGTAGGAAGGAGGAAAAATTAGTTTTCTTTTTTCCAGCTCTACTAAATATGAAAGAGAAGACAATCAAAAGAAAACACTCTGACATGAATAATTGTAGTACCACAGAAACAAGGGCAATCGTTTTTCTTTGAGTGAATGTGCACAATGTAAACTTCTGTTTGGGAAGAAGTAGTCAAATGACTTTTCTCATTTTTAATGAGTGTTTGAATATTTCTGGAAATGGACACTGCTGGCAACAAACTAGCTCAGGGCCCAAAGAGTGGTAATTCAATCCCATTCTGATTATGCTGAGAAATGGAGTTGTCATTTTATGGAAGTGGGTTTGCACCCACTTCCAGGGACAGCGAGACTGTTTTACTGGTCAAAGCTAAGTGTAGAAAATTTCAGACCAATGGGAAAAGAAAATCTACTTAGATTTTTAAGTTGATTTGTTATCACTACTGCCCCGTGTTGGAATAAAGTCATTTCATAATGCATTCCTACCTTGGGAGCTGAATCTTTGGACTTGAGTCCCTTGGCCCCAAAGACTTGACCTTTTATAAGTCTGTTGACCTCTCTGAGTGCTCATTTCCTCATTTGTTTTTTTAAAACTTGCCTCCAGATTGGCTGTCAAGACTGAGATAAAGATGTGAAAATGTATAAACTTTAAAATGGTGGGCAAGTAAAATTGTTTCAAGGATATTATAAATATTATGTGCTATTAGCAGAAAACTAAAGATGCTTAATTTTTTGTTTTGTTATAGATTTTGTTTGTATTTTGCTTTTATGTACAGGTAATTCTGATCTTGAGTATGCCATCCCTAGAATACAACTAGGCTGACCCTTTTCTCAGCTTTCATTTATTTGCTTTCAAGGAGATAAGGAGATCCCAAAGGCTCCAGGAGTATGTGACTCAAAGTACAAATAAAGAGCAGAGTCTATGAGTAAAATCCTTGTAAAGGTAACCTCTGAAAGGAAGTCCACAGCATGACACTAAGTGAAACAGCATTTTTGAGGGACTTGAAGCTGAAAAAATAGAAGTTATGATAGTCAATGTTTGCTTTAGCTTATCCAAGAAGTTGGAGAAACAAGTTCTATTTTTTTTTTGGAAGATTCTAATTGAAAATAGGATTTTTATTAAGTTTTAGAAAAGCCGTAAGACGAAGGTGAATTATCTGATAGCTGCTCAAGTATTTCCTGAGCGTTATCCTTTTGAGGGACTGGAGCTTTGATGAATGTGTCTGTCACCCCAGAGATGCCATGGTATAATAAATGGATCAGTGCCTGGATGTTTAGTCTTCTATGGAATAACATAGAATGCAGAAATTCAAGGGTGAGCTTATTTTGGTCGGTGCTGATTTTACATCTGTGCAGGTAGGTGTGCAATTTTAAAACACAAATTTTCAAGATGCTATATAGATCACCAGCACTCAGGCTATGAAGCAGCATGTGTGTGCAGCAGAACCAGAGATGTCTGCAAGTTCAATCAAGTCTGATTCAACAGTCTCTAAAGTAGAAGCAACAGCAGATCCAGAAATATCAGTCATTGCCTCTCATGATGTTGACTCCCAAGCCAAAATAAACCAGACTGAATGAACTTTTTTGTCATGTCTGATTCAGCAGCACACAGCTTAATGGGCTGCTTCCCAAAAGAGAGAAATGGTGGTGGACATCTGTTCTTAAAAATGACTGACATGTTCCCCAAACTAGCATTTTCTCTATGGCTTTTATGCCATTTATCACTATCACTAAATACAATTTTAAACCTTTCAAAAAGGATTTGAAAGAGTTAAGAGATTATAATCCTCAAGTATGGGCCAAGTATATCTTCTTTCTAACGTTGTGTTGCTGTAATTAAAGTTGCTAGAGAGTAATGGCCCCAAGTATTCTTCCTGTTAGCCAGTGATTCTGTAAAAATAAACCTCAGTGCTTTTTGACATATGACAAATGAGCATCTTCTGCCCTGGATATCTACCAGGGATATACTTTAAATTATTCTGAAGGCCTGTAAAGTGCTTTTAAGTCTTCCGTGGGGCTTTCACATGAATGGTACTTTACCACTTTGAGCATAGAAATGTGGCTGAGTTCAGACAGAAGCCTCTCCAGAAGAGCTGCATCCTTTGAAAAGAAGACAGCAGATCATAGCCAAAACCGCTGTTAAGTCTAAGATAAGTTCTTGCCATGTTTCGGGGATCCTATGGTGCCCATCCCACAGTGATCAAGGGCCATCAAGCTGCAAAGGTGTGTTTTCAGAAAACAAACAATTCTCATTTCTTTTAAATCAGCCCTCTAAGATCTACTTTCTTTTTTGCATTTCTTCTTATATTTCAAAGTGCTTGTTGGAGCAAGGCTAGGGACTGCAGCTTCCACACAAAACTCAAAGAGAACCAAAATGAGCCCTTCACAGGCATGAAGATAGGTGGCAGGGAGTGAAGTTTATGGAGGCTATAGCAACATTTTTTAAAGGCCACTGTTATAAAAATTTTCTCTAAAGCAAGTAAAATGTCTTATTCATTTGTGTATCCCTCACATAGCTAGCAGTAGTTTGTATATGATAGATATTAAAAGATATTTGTTGACGTCATTGATCATTCACAGAGCAAAAATATTATTCCTCATGTACCCTGAGAGTCTCCATGGATTACAGAAAAAATAATAAAATGAGGTTTCAATTCCAGAGTTTACCACAGGGGCACCATTTGGTCTAGGCTTCAAATTCACAAAAGGCCTGAAAAATCTCTCATTTCTCCAAGTGAGGTTATATATGCCTTCATAGAGGTGATACTGACAAGATTGAGAGCTGAAGTTGTTCAAAATACATATTTAAATTAAGCCAAAGTTTTGGGAACTCTTTCCTTTTTTTTTTATTTTTAAAGAATGAACCAGTGTATTATTCCATTTATATCTATCTATCTATCTATCTATCTATGTATCTATGTTAAAGGGTTCACAAAAGAATAACCTTTAAAGTGTTAATAATGAATTGTAATAAGGTGGGAGTTCATGTGATTTTTACCCTCTGTATGTTTTACCCTCTGTATGTATTTTATCCTTTTGTATGTTTGAAATTACTACATTGATCGCATATGATTTATATAACCAGAGAAAGCAATAAAACTATATTCATTACAGGAAACAGAGTATAGGATGCAGCAAATGACTTTGAGAGTCAGTCAAAGATAACTCCTTAGTCTGAGCCCAAATGACTGGATGGGTGATGGTTCCATTAAGAGAAATTGAGCGATCAAGAAGAGAAACAGATGTGGGGGAGGAGAAGTTTTGAATCCAAATGTGAGCAAGTTAAGTTGGAAGTGTCAGAAGTGCTTCTGCATGGAAATGTTAAAGAGAAGCTTAGAACAAGGCTGGAAATGCAGATTTAATAGGGCATTGATGAGAGTGGAGTCACAGAGAGACAGATGAGCCCAAATGAACAAGACAGGGCTTGTAAATTTAGAGAGTAAAGGAGTAAACAGACCCATGCGCATAATAGGAGCCAATAATGAGGAACCAGGAGATGATGGTTCTCATATAACCATAGGAGTGGAGGCGAACACTATGTGTGTCAGCTCCTAGGACTTTGCATTCCATCTGGAATCAAAATGAGAAGGAGCTTCTCTAGGATGGGGTTGGGGTGGGATATGGACATCTCAGGAAGCAACACCCGCAAATACAAAGTCCCACAGACAGAAAGAAGGTTGGTGAATTCTGGGAGTAGACAAAATTTCAATGCATCTGGAGTTCTGTGGTTATTATAGCAGAGTATAAAATATGACCTGCGCCCTCAGACAGCTCATAGTCTGATGGGAGAGACAGATATAGCAACGAATACTTCCAATACATTATGGTAAGCACAGGGATAGAGACGAGACAAGTACGAGTGCTATAAATGCACAGTAATAGAGGGGAGACATTCAGTTCTGGAAGCAGAAGCGTGTAATATTTTTCTTAAACCTTCTGAACCTTTTATGAGGAATTTTGCCAAAAAGATGGTAAGTAGTGAGTGGGAGATATTGCTAGAAAGGAGAATCTCTGGAAGGGGAAGGGATAAGACAGCTTATAATATACTTATAAGCTGTTGGATTAGTAAACACAGATTAAATTGCATAGTTCAGCCAGATTCAATAATAGGATAAAACTTCTGGAGACCGTTGGCCAGTTGCTTCTCTTGCTGACTCTCGTCAAGGTTCATGGTAAGTGATGAATCCCATAGCTCTATATCCACATTGCCTTACCTGGCATCCTTAGGATTGCTGCTTCAAAGGAAACCTACAAATTAGAGACCCAGGACTGAAGGATGTCTCTGCTCTCAGGACAAGGGATGTCTACACTCACTCACCTGGAGTTCCCAGAGGGCGCAGAACAATTTTTCTTTCTGGGATTGTTCTTTCTTCCCTAGCATCAACTCTGGATGGAGAAATTAGGCCATCAGTAATGGAGAGGTGGCATCACTGAAAAAAGAATTATGCTTGGAAACACAGCAATGTAAAGGATAATGGCATGTTTAGGGGAACACAAGTAGTTTATTATGGTCTTATGGTGGCAGTTATGTGTGTTGGGGGGCAGACCGCAGTAATGGGAAACAAAGTTGAAGAATTAGGTTAGGGGCAAATTGTGAAAGTTCTTGAATGATTTTTGAGGGACTTTAGGTTTAATCTTGTGGGCAGTGAGGCATCATGAAAGTGTTTTGAATAGAAGAGATGTGATCAAATGTGAGTTTTAGAACAGCCAGCACTGAATGCACTTTGGAATGCACTATGGAGGATTAAACCAGGAGGTTGGAAGACCAGTTGGGAAATAATTGCAATCACTGAGGAAAGAAATGACGTGACACCAAATTAAGATAGTAGCACTTGGAATAGAGAATGTAGGATAAAGATTGAGAGGAAGTATAAGCAGCATAACTGACAGAATTTAGGTATTACTTAAGAAGAAGGTATAAGAAAAAAGAAACAAGGACTTAGGAAACATCTGGTTTTGGCATGGGTGCCTAAGTGGCTGGAGATGCTACTAGTTATTGTTTGGAACACAGGAAAGGAGTAGATTGGGGGTTGAGTGTGGTAAGACATATATAATTTTATATATATATATATATATACACACACACACACACATATAACTATATATAATTATACATTATATATAATTATATATATTATATATAAAAATATACAATTAAATATAAATATAATTATATATGTCTTACCACACTCAACCCCCAATCTACTCCAATCTAATTACACATATAATTATATATATGTGTGTGTGTGTATATATATATATATATATATATATATATATACACGTATATATATATAAAATTGAGTCTGTAATACTTGCAGAATATCCAGAGGAGATGCAAATCCAGGCATAGAGTCCAGGAAGTAAAAGAGTTTGGGATTAGAGATACCAATAAAAATCACTAGTTATAGGAATTAGTTGAAACCAAAAGATCCAATGAAATAATTATAGCATTTGACCCAGCTGTTCGCTGCCACGTAGGTCATATGGGGACTCTTGCATAATAGAGAGAATATACTTTGCCAGAAGGTAGAAGCAACCCCCAAGATCCCAGAGCCACAACCATCTGAATTCTTCAGCTATGCATTTGGCAGAAGCTGAACACCAGCATCCATAGAGAAAACATATTTTGTCTTGTAGATCCAATTTTCCTTGCCCAAAATTCTTAGTTTGGATACAAAGACTATATGATATTTGACATATGGCTGGTTTAGAAATATTTGTTTTCCTGAATAAGTCGATCAGATTTGCATATGATCCATTTGATCACTTACCACAATCAGTTATAAATTTAGTAAATACTTGGCAAAATCATAAAAGCTTACATACACAAATTAGATGGGCTGTGAATACAGACATGGAAACAGATGCCTAGATTCTTTCTGAAGTTTTCACTGTCAGGGTTCCTTCAGTTCTCAATCTCTTCTGGGGAAATCAGCATGACTGTGTCATTCAAAGTGAAATTTCTTGATGGTTTGTTCTGGTGACTCCATAAATGTCAGGAGTGTGGAAGTGTTAGACTGGCAGCTTCAAAGTAGTCTCCATGGTACTCATCAAGAAAGACCCAGTGAATCTTTTTGGTCAGCTGGATTCTTCTGTGCTCTTCTGTATCTATTCATTATTTCATTTCCCCAGTATTAGACACTTTATAAGGCAAGCAGAATTTGACATGGTTTAAGGCCTTGATTTATCTAAAACTTCTCAAGATCATCCTTAGTTATAATGAGAAGGTCTTTATTTTCTTGGGTGGAAATAAATGATGTGCTTTTATTTTATTTGCAAAGTGATATCAAAGCATCTGTGCATGGCAGTAGGCTGAAGTAAAACTCACAAATTGGTGAGGTTTCCTTTGTCATAATTACTTTTAACATTACAAAAATGATGTGTAATTTTAAAAATTCAAGCTATCAAATAGATAAAAGTAGTTTTACAAAGGAGGGAATATCCATGATCATTAGAAACTTGAGCACCATTTCATGTTTATTAGCCACTTGTGAAGGTATGGATAACACTTACAAAAAGAGTAACATACTAACTTGTTTTGTATCCTTATTTTTACTTAACAGAATATTTAAGCTATTGTTTCCTATCAACAGTATGGCTCTACTTCATTCTTTTAAAAAATGACATGGTATTATGTAGTATAGAGGTTACATTATTTAACCATGACTCCATTAATGGACATTATGCTGCAACTATGGAAAATACTGAACAGTCTTATATGCACATGTTTGCACACACATATCTGCAGGATACATTCTTAGAAGTGGAGTTGCTAGGTCAGATGATAAATGTGTTTTGTTCTGACTGATGTTGCCAAATTGTCTTACAAAGGAGTTGTACCAATTTACACCCTCACTAACTATGAATAAGAATGCCTACTTCCCTTGTTTCCCTCTAATACAGCATTCTAAAGAACTTTTGGGTCTTTGCCAACCAAGTAACTGAAAAATGGTTAGCCTGTAGTTGAGTCTGCATTTGAAAAATGGTATTTCATTGTGGTTTGATTTGCATTTCTTCAACTATTCCTTTTGCAGTGAATCATATACTTAAGTCATTTGCTCATTTTTTCAGTGATTTTTTTTCTTATTTGTAAGAACTGTTTGTTCATTAAGAAAACTAACGTTTTGTTATATTCGTTGCAAACAAATTAACTCAGTTCATTGTTCAACTTTTGAATTTGCTTATGGTATTTTTACAATGCTAAAATTTTTAATTTTAGGGGCTGAAATTTATGAATCTTCTATGGTGTCTCATATCTTGCTCAAAAAGCATTCTCACCATCACAGTTATAAAAACAAAGTTTTCTGTGTTTATTTTATTTTAAATGTTTAATTATTTGCTCTACTGGAAATGTTTTGGACATAAGGATTTAGGTAAGGATCCAATTTAATATTTTCCAAAACCTAAACCATTTATAATATTTTACCCCACCCCATGATTTATCACATATCAGAATCCCTTGTGTAACTCGGTCTATTTATTAAATTTATTCTGTTCAGCTTTTTGGCTTGCTTATTCATATTCCACAACCAAATCCTTTTGGTTATTATAGTTGTATAATATATTTAAATATATTAAAATATCTCTCTCATTTTTCAACTTTCTGTTGGTATTTTCTAACTATTCTTTCATGCTTATTTTATCATGAAATCTTTAGAATCAACTTGTACAGTCACAAAAAAATTAATATCTTGTTGAAAGCATGATGATTGTGCTACTTGATCTATTTATAGATCAGTTTAGGGAAAATTGAAACTTTTAAAAAAATATCAAGGCTTCTTACCAATCCCCATAAAATAATGTCTTTCTTTTTGTTAAATTATTCATGTATGGCCCTCACAATCATTTTTAAGTTCTCTTCACGTAGATCTTAAACATTTCCCAAGTTTATTCCTATGTATTTTATAGATTTAGTTTATATTGTAAAGGAAATCTCTTCCTCAAGTATATATTCTATGTGATTTTGTATGTAGAAAAGCTATCGATTTTTGTGTGTGATTTCAGATTATTTTTAAAAGTTTCTTAGGTTTAATATGTTTTCCTTGGATGTTCAAGACTCAATCTTCTATGAATAAATGATACATTTGGCTCCTTCTTTCCAATTTCTATACCTCTCATTTCTCTTGTCTGATTTCTCTGACTCCTTTCTCCAGAAAAGAAAATAAGAGTGATGTATTTATGATAGCTTTCGCCATTGAGAAACGTTAAGCTTTTATGTAGGAAAAATCTGTCAATTCTTCTGTAGCTTCTGGGTTTCATGTCTTGTTTCAGAAGATCTTTCCCATCCCCCACAGGCTAAAGACAGACTGCATATTTTCTTCTAATATTTATAGTTTTCATTTTACATTTACATCTTTAATCCATCTGGAATTTATTTCTATATATTGCAGGAGATAAAAATCTAACTTTATTTTTTCCAGATGGATTGCAAAATTTCCCAACATCATTTGTAAAATTGGTCAGCCTTTCCTCACTGGTTTGAAATGCCACTTTAATCATATTCTAAATAGATCAGTTTTATTTTTTAAACTAGAGCTTAAAAACCATAAAGGAAATGAATTGCAGTAGAGAACAAAGACATGAAAAGCCAGCAAAAATCCACATTAAGATAAAGTTGTGCACACACTATTTAATGCATATAATAAAATACAAAGGCCACTCATAGCAAAATAGTATAAATATAAATACTGCAGAGAAAATATTCTTATATGGTATTCTAGTAAGAAAGAGACAGAGGATGAAATAGATACACATAAAATATAAGACTTAGCAGTTAATTATTCAAACATTGTTTAAAGTTACTCCCTGCATATGGAAACTTATTTGAAGCCTCAAAGCTGTAAACATCCTCCAGCCGCCTAGTTTAACCCCAAATCAGATGTTTCTGAGAGCAAATCAGAATGTCCTCTAAGTAAAAAGCCAAGTCTGAAATTAGAAAAAAAAAAAATCCCCTTTTTTTCTTGTAATTCAAGACTGTTTGGTGTTTCATTTGCGTCTCTGTAGTATACGTCACCATCCCTCTTTCTTAGCATTGGAGGAGGGCTAAAGTGGACAGATGCCTGGCATTTGCAATTCTTTCTCTCCTGTAACAGGAAAAGTTGGTTAAGAATTATCAAGAATTAAATACCAAACATTATTACATTCAACTCTGAAAGATGGATAGAAATCTTAAAGCATGTGCACCTACAAATGCATGCCTTTCCAGAGCTTTGGAAATGTTCAATTAAATAATGAGTTAACAATTAGTATTATAATAGTGAATCCTGCTATTCCTTGGCCATATCTATATGGTTCTATAAGGTCTGAAGTGCTATTTGTTAGTGGAACTACAACAGTGCCAAGAGTAAATTTGTATCAGACTCTTCACTGGAAGATTATAAAGCATGTTATTGGCCAATTCAAAATTTTATTTCATTATGCTATTGAAACAGCTCAAATAAAAATTAAAAGAATAATCAAAGATAAAGACAGTTTACTAATGTTACTATGTCAAGTCATGTCCTCTGAGAGTCATCCAGTAAGGGCAAAAGAAACCCACAAGATGATCATGAGGTGTGTTTCCGCACAGTATCATTGAAACATGCACATTGTGTTTTCTTTCACAAGTGGAATGACATGTTTTTAGGAAGGATATTTGACTGAGTTTAATCAAGCAATTAAATAACAACTATGGCAATAATACCAACAGCACCAACAACCTCAAATAAGCCACTTTCTTCAGGGGTTGGGGAGTGACCTACTGTGTGTTGGGGGGAGGGGTTATGATAGAGAGGATGACTTGCATCACATTATACAGGTGTTGTGAGTCAGTTATCTTATTACAGATAAAATGTAAACAAGTCCCAGGATGTCCACACATGGGAGGTAATTGATGTTCTAGCCACTTTATAACAAACAGTTGGATGTTTTGAAACATTACAGTATTTAGCAGTCTACGCTATGAACTGAACAAATTTGTAATATTTAATCAGGAGTCTTAGGAATGGCTAATATATAACCTAGGTTTAGAGCTTTTATTCAAATAAACTAAGCAAATGCATATTTTTTTTTCCTATTATAAAAGCAGCCAGTATAAGAGAGTAGGAGTACTGGCAGCTAGGTTAACAAATGCTGCCCCAAGCAGATTTTCCTGGAAAACCTTGCAGAAGCTGGGTCTATTTTTGCCGCTATTAATTGCCAAGATGGTCCTGGGTGCTCTTTGACTTCCTGACCCTCTAAATAAAGCTAGACTTTGGACAGGCTTTTTATTTCTCAAGCCCACGAGGAGTCTAATTACAAAATACTTTAATTTAAACACTAGAAACTCATTCACGAAGCCAAGCCAAGTCTCAGATTTGAAAGCATTTAAAAATATCCTTGCAACAGCCGTACTACTTTATACTTTATCTATTTTTAGGGCCTCAGTGTTTATTTTGCTGGAAGAAAAAAATTAAAACATGAAAAGTATGCCATGAGCAAATCTGCAATAATAAGCAGCACATACATGTTGTGGAAGAAAATATTCAACATAAAGCAGTCAACATAAAAACAGATTCTGCTGAGGCATTTTTATAAATAGCAGTTATTATTTTGCTTTCAACTGCTGAGCACTTCAAATAACATGCCCTTAAAAGTTGTCAAGTGATTTACTTCATATAAATATAATTTCTTGATCTTAACTTTCATAAAATTATTATGGAAAATCATAAATGTATTCCATTAGTTCCATGTGTCATTTTATAGTCATTATATTGTTAAAATTAGAAGCACAAGGAAGAAAGAAATAAAAAACATATAACAATGGCACTGAAGAAGCCATTTATGAGAAAATATGCATGACTCTGTATAAAAACACAATTTGTCTATAAAAGTTTGTATAAAATGTTTCGAATAGGTATCATGTCACCCAGAGAGTTACAGATAAAATTGTCCCAACTGGTTGTCAATAAGTCATACCAAATTAAGGGCATACCCCACCTTAAATGTCCCTTTGAATTCTCGAGTATACTAATCTGGGGGAATTAGGTTTTGAACCTAAAAGAACAGTTTTGGAACTGTTTGCCTCGTGTAATTACTGCTACACACCCGAGCAAATTTTCACACTGTATCTTTAAAGGCAAAAATCACTTTAAAAGGTTCTGAATCACCTCCATCTGGAAAGTATAGAGGTATGTAAAGGAAAAGTATGGCTATTTCAATACTGGGAAAATGAAGTCTTAATGCAAGAAAATAAAGCGAATTGCCTGATTCCCACAACGGGGTAGCACATTCCGACTCCCGTCACTCAACAAGGGCTGTTGGCCATGGGTGGAGCTGATGCAACCCTCCATCACCATGTTCCCTGAGAGCAAAGGCCACTTCCAGTAGTCGCGGTTCAAAGAAGCTGCAGCTTTGTTCACTACTGCTGGCAGACACCAGAAACCATGGAAACACTTACAGGGCCCGAAACACCTTTATTCACTGCTTCAGAGCTTCCCTGCATCAGCCCACATGATTCAACTTGGCAATATAGAAAATGGTAAAGCAGGGTTCAGAAAAATACTGATGAACACTGCAAATCATGTTCAGAGTAGAAATTGTGACTTTGCTAGCATTTCACCAATATTTCCTGCCTTGCAACCAGTAGATATGTAACCAAAATGGCTTGCTGTGAATTTTGTAGCACCCAAGACAAAAGCAATAAAATTTCTGTAAGAACATATGCGCCATGGCAGAATACAACATCAGCCCAGAAAAAATGATTTTCCTGGGAAGGCCTGGGCAGCGATGAATAGGGCTCTCTATGATACGGAAGCTGGGCAGAGATTTTCGCTTCTTCCAGCCCACAGTGAGGTAATTTTAAAGGCACTTTTCCCTTCATTTGTTCTGCATTCACTGAATGTACATTTTTTGATGTCAGAGGAACATTGCAGAAAAGATCAGACGAAATAGTCTGACAATGGAGGCAAAGTTCAAAGCTTCTCTATTTCCAGGTAACAGCCGCGACAGTTGGTCTGCACCAAATCTTTCGAGGGCATGTCACTGTAACCTCTTCCATAGCTTTTCAAACAGTTCAAGACAAACAAATCACTTAGTCGTTGAACAACTATAACATCTGATACCATCACACAGAAGTTGTAGCAATAGTCACTAATCAAAGTTCCTTCTATTCAGTTGAAAAAAGAAAATTCCTCAGCTTTGGTTTAAGATCACCTTTTTATGTTGTTCTTTTGAAAATTATTATACGCCAAGGTTGGAGGAGAAAAAGGATCCTCCCTGTAAGAAGAACCAGGGAGTCAGGTTCTAGCCGCAGACCACTGTCAATCAATAACTAAGGGGTGTGGTGGGAGTCGTCGGAGGTGACTGGGGAGCCCCGCAAAGGAATAGCCAGGCCCTCCTTAGACTCGTTCTGCCAGTCCCGCTGAGAGGGCCCACTCTCAGAGGTCTGTGCCCGGCAACCATGTTCTCCTTTCAGGCCTTCTGACTGACTTCTCAACGAAGCACGGACTGCCAATGCCAGCACCACCAAGCGGTAGAGTTGCAACACCACCACGAGGAAGTTCTTCGCGGCAAAGAACACCAGCATCTGATTGATCACTTTGAAATAGGTCATCAGTATGAGACGCACGACAAGGAAGGGGCCATCTTGTATGAAGACGCTGATTCCGATGTTCCACAGATCGGCACTGTACTGGCAAAAGAACAGGCTGGGGAATCCCCTCTCTGTCACAGACACAGGGCACACAACGTTCTGTACTGAAAACACAAGACAGACTAGTTACTATCTCTCTTGGAAGTGTAGACATATAAGACAATGCCATGGGGACGAGTCATTAACAATGGGGACTGTGCTAGTAATAATTCTGTGATTTAATTACAGGATGGAAATCAAATGGAATGATCCAGTAATTTAATTCAGGGTGGAACAAGTGAAAGCACCCTGCCCTGTGACTCGCATCCACATAGAAAATGTAAGATCATCTAGTTCTCACCCTGGGCAAAGCACAATTAAATAGATTCTAGGAGCCAGTCATGGTCACAAGTGCTTATAGCCCAAGCTCCTTGTGAGGCTGAGGCTGCACCATGGGGGGAATAAAAAATAAAGGAAGCCACCATTGTGATTCTGGGGTCCACAGTGTAAGGAAGCCTCACAGTTGCATGCTCAAGGCCTCAAGTCAGGAAGCATGACTGCCGCATTTTCCAGCAGTGAGTTGCTGGCGGGGTCACTAAGCCTTCCTGGGCCACGGTTTCTTCCTTTGAAAACTGGGATAACAATCATATCAGTGAGGAGAGGGGTCCCTATTCATTGGCTCATTTTGTTTCCATTAGAATAACAGCCCTGCATTCTGTCCACTTTTTCCCTCAATCTTCCCCTTAGGATCACGAATGATTTGCTTGAATGATAAGCTTAAGAAACGGAGCAAAGTGTACGTGGCTCTGATCATTCTATATACTCTTTTTAGGATCTGCCTGTTTGTTGGTTTACACACTCAAGCGTGTGCGCAAATTGTGCTGTGAAAATTCAAGTGCTTATATTCAAATTCAAACTTAATTCATATTAAATACATTTTTCAAATGATGGAGGGAAAAAGCCTGAATAAATGCCGTTGTTATTTTATTTTATCCTAATTCCTTGTGCTTTGTTTCACAGTTTACAATAATGACTGGATATAATTACTGATTTTCCAGTTAAACAAAAGGAGGTGCAATCAACAGAAGAACCTTTGTCTTAATTTCTGAAATGTAAATTTAATTCAGGGTCAAGGGCAGAAAATAATCCTTTTATAATAATGAAGCCTTCCATTTGGAGTTTTCAAACAAAGAATGCCTTCGTCTACTGGAGCCTGCAAATATTATGAAGCTGCTTTGATATGGATAAACATAATGTACTATTTGTTGGAAAATACAATAATGATTTAGTCAGAAGTAACATTTGGTCTTTGTTTTTCAAACAGCTGCATAACATTATCACCCCTGAAAGTTTACAAAATGTCTTTCTTAAATACAAATTTTCTTAGCAAGGCAATAAACCACAAGATATGGGAGGGTGAGGATCGGCAGAGTGAAAGACAAAAGAGAAACCAAGGTTATATCAATGGTAGCCTTTCCTAAGAAATGAGGGCCAGGAAATGGCTCCCAAAGGACCTTCTAAAGGTATTAATTCAGTATCTAATGTGATGGCACCTAATATTCTGTAAGTGGACACCAGCTTGACCAATGAGTATAGCATACCTTCCAGGGCACATTATGACAAAATCTGTGTGTGTGTGTGTGTGTTAGCATACATTTGTTTGTAATTACTAATAAGTGATTCCGTTTTTGGCATTTCTTAAAAGCCACAGCAAGTTTTTCCATCTATTCCAAATTGTTAATAATTCCAAAAAGAGGATGCTATGTTTAAAATGGCCTCAGACCTCTGAGCCTACAAAAGTGAACCAAAAAAGATGGAGAAAAAGTTAAATATCTCTGTCCTAAGGATTAATTCTAATCCTGAGGCTGGCAATTAAGGTGTAATAAATAAACAAGTCAGGCTAAGGAAAACATAATTATTAATTTCTAGAATTTCTTTGGAGTAAAGTGACATCCAGGAGAATTCTCAAATCAAAATTCTAGGGTTCCAAGAAGTTTTCAGATGACTCCAGATGAACACTGCTCAACTGAACTTTCTGTGATGATAAAAGTGTTCCATATTACTGCTGTCCAATATGGTAGCCATTTGTGGCAACTGAGCACTTGAAAGGTGGCTAGTATGACTGAGGAGTTGGAATTTTAATGTTTTAAATTTTTAATTAATTTCAATTTAAAGAGCGATGTGTGGTTGGTGGGTCCCCTGTTGAACAATGCAGCCCTAGATTATTGCTAGTATAAAATGCCTGGGAAACAGATTACTTCTTGCAAAATCTTAGGGGTTTATGTTTTTATTAAAGTAAGACCAGTAGGATTCCAAGGACCTCCAATGAGGACAATTTTAACTGCTCCTATGTCTTCTGAAGTTCTAATACATGGGTCTGAAAAAAGAATGAAAATTACTTCTTACAAATAATAAGAAATAAAACTTTTATGGCAGCAACTTGCTAAGCAAACTGTATATTACTGAGTCATGACAAGAATCTTCAACCCTAGTGACTATGATTATCATCCCTATTTCATGGGTGAAAGAAAGCTGAGACACAGATGTATTACCTGGTTTGCAGGAGGTCTTATAAATCATAACTGACGGAACTGCTATTTGAAGTAAATATAACACTATGCAATTATCTGCTCTACTATCTTAAGCTCACCGTGTACCACAGTGGATCCACTCTTCTTGGCTTACTAAGTTTCAATCTACTTTCCTTCTAAGCTGAACTAGAACTAATATTGGGATACAGACATGATAATCCTTTCACTTGCCTTCTTAGTTTTAGCATAGTTAATAATCAAGAGGTGTAATTTTCTATTTCTTTGCACAAACATCAGGATACTTACCTGCCAGGTCAAGTGGAAACTGCAGCATGCTCCAAGTCCATATAACAAGGATGGCATAGACTAGTGCAGGACTATTCCTAGAATACAGACAAAATGTTAAATTTGTAATAAAAAGTATGATCACATGCAGAAAAGTCTTCTCAGTCAAGTTTTTTAGTATATTCCTAATAAACCTCTTGTGGCCAAAATATCTTGGTGATTTAATAAATCAATGAAAAAAATCCTTACATGATAATAATGGAATAATGAAGAAGTGAAAAATAAATAATCTGAGACTTAAAGCCCAACATATGCATGAATTATGACAAAGCCTCTTGGTCCCATATTGCTGTCTTTAGTTTTACAAAATTATGGAAACATTATGGGAGAAAAATGATAGGGGAGAAAATATAGATATTAACATGGATATTCAAATGGCTGATTTCAAGGAATGTCAGTGGGAGGATTAATAATTATTCTAAGAAACCAGGGATCGAATTGAAAAGACATTTCAAAAGAGCTAAATGATGATCAAAGATTAAAAACTCAACATTGAAATAAAATTGTCATTAGATAGGAAAAAGGTAAGGAGATAAATCCAATAAACAAAGATTTATACCAGATAGTAGGACATAAAGCAAGGAATAAGCCTATTTCATTCACCACTGTATCCTTAGTGCCTAGAACAGTGCTTGATGGATACAACATATATTTATGGAAGGAATGGTTAAAAGCACCAAAGAAGGGTCCATACTCAGACAAATATACAAATGTCCTAGACCTAGGAAAATGGTCATGAAGGCTAAAATCAGAAAGAACAGAGGTTGCAGAAATGCAAAGGATATTAAACAGGGTCACATTTATTTTTAGCAAAGATAGAAAGGAAGTCATCAATTTGAGCTTGGTAGCATAATAATAGATTTTGTTTCCATCTTCCATCAAAAGAGATTTTCAGATTGAAGAGGTCTGAAAAGCATCAAGGAGGAGTAATTGAAACCAAAAGAAATGAGGTGATTGTAAGGGATATCTTTAAATGCTTCAAGTGTAGAGGCATTAAATACAAAATTAAATCTCAAAACTCTGAGAGAATTTGTAAATGAGATTTCTAAACCATCATTATCTGTCTTGGCAGTTAATGGTGGAGACAAGGTTGGTGATAAAAAAATAAAGTCTCAACTTTCAAAATGAAGCAGAAATATGTCTTGAAGTACAAAAGGCACATTTACTATTAATCTCTAGTTAGATTATATAAATGATCCTTTAAAAGATTTCTGAGAGCCCTTTTAGAAGAACACAGTTATTACGAAGCATCAGCACAGGTCCTCTGAGAAAAATTGCACTCAATTAAACTTAGTTCCTCCTCTTAAAAAATATAGTTAGGATTACCAAGCAGGTAATGTTATGTAAATTGATGACAGACATTCAGATTTAAACAAGGCTTCTGAAAAAGTCTCCCATAGTGTCCTCATTAACAAAATTAAGAAATATTCCAGGTGTGAATACTGTTAGGTGGATTCCTGTGTAAATGGCTCCCCACAGGGGGACTCTCCAATGGGTTGTTGAAGGCTGTGCTTTTGATTCTTTTCTACTTCACATTTTATCATGACTTGGTGGACATTGATGGAAGGCTTCTCACATGCACATATGGCATAGAACGTGGATAGAAAACCAGTACCCTGGAAGACACAATCAGGATTCCAAAAGAAGTAACTGGATGACCTAGATTAGAATAGAATTGGATAGAAGAAAGAGCATTTCACAGCAGCAGCCATAAAAAAGGGCTCAAAGATTTTCCCTAATTGTTATCTAATTATGAGTCCACAGTATGACATGATTTATGATTTACCAAAATCAAATAAAATCATAGGTTGCTTCACAAGAAATATAAGGTCTAAAATTTTAAGTGGAAATGCCTTGGGAATGCAGACTGTAGCTTTTCCCTCTTTACACAGTCAATGTCTATACACAACAGATGTTCAATAAGTGCCTGAATTTTTAAATAATGTTATGGACAGTTTCTGATTTCAGACATTCATGCCAGGCAGTTTTCTAAATGCTTAACTCTATGATCACACTTAATTCTCACACCAGCTCAACAAAGTAGACACAATTGTTATCTCTATTTTATCAAGGAGGTAAAAGAGAGTTGAGGAAATTTGTCCAAAATAATGTAGTTATGAGTGTTGAGAGCAGAAATCAAAACTAGACAGCTGATTTCAGCATTTACTCCTTTGGACATTACATTATATTATTTCCATGAATGAAACGGAAACTTTTAGGTCTGCTCTATTCTACAATGTTCAGAACATACCTGAAATATTATGTGTGATGCTTCATATATTAGGAGAAACATTTATAAAGTTTCTTGTACCAAAGGGGGAGAACTAGAGTGCTAAAGCATTCAGAGTCATGATCTATGTGAGACAGTTCAAGAAACTAAAAACTAGAGATAATTCCTTAGAAGTTTTATTTCATATGTTTAAGGACTATAATGTGGAAAAGGAATGAAACATTTCTTTTGACTTGAGATGGCCAATTCAGGCTCAAAGGATTTCAGTTGCACCTGTGAGAATTCAAATTTCATCACAATAGAGGAAAGTAGTTTCTAATAATATTACCTCAAAATAGAACAAGTTGCCACTTGGGGTTAGTATGTCTTCTATTAGTGGAATTTTTCCAACAGAGCCTGCAGAAAAAGTTGTTGAGGATATTTTCACAAGGTTTTTTCAATAGATGCAAAAGAAATTTTTCACAAGATCTTTTGAAGTTTCATCTAATCCCAAACTTCAATAATTCTACCAAAAACTATGTGCAATTTGCCTGCAAGGCAGTAGAAAGCAGTGGCAAAGCAGGGGGCTTTGGTACCAAGTGACCAGAATTCTAACACCAGCTCCAACTCTCACTAAAGAAATAGGATGTGAGATTCTAATTCCAGATTGATCAGTTATTAGTCATATGAATATGCATAAGTAGTTTAACATCTGCATGCTTTAGTTTACCCATTTACATTATGAGGAAGACAATAATAATAATTACTGGATTATATAATAATTTTATTAAGTATATTATTTAAACATGTTAAACACATAAAGCTCTTAGAACAGCATGTGACACAAGCTATTATGGTAGATCACTACAAATTAGTTATTTTTGGTTTCATGTCACCTTGAGACTTTATTTTCCTTGCCTGACATGTCTTTGCTTATAAAATTGGGATAATAAAAAAATTTACTTCATAGTGTGGATGTAAATGCAAAATAACTTACTAAATTAAAGCATTTAAGACTTCTTAGCACACAAAAAGTCATAAATAAACATTACATAATTGTAGCAGTAGTAATTTTACTAGTATGTCAACATGCTTCTTAAAATCTTTGTATATTATTCACCATCCTACAGAATAGGGATAAATGATATACTAACCCTAGCCCTACATAAATCCAACTTTAACCATACAATAATAAATGCACAGTTTTTGCATATGTATATATTATCTATGCACACACAAAATACGGAAGAATGTGGGTGTTGAAAAACATACTAGTGAAATTATCAAACACAATTTTGGAAAAGTAGATCAGAAAATTTTAAAGCAGGCAAATATGAATTATTAGATCAGACAGTAAAAATTCTCAGGAAGGTTAAATGTTAGAATGTAAATAAATCATGGAGATTAATGGCAAACACTCAAGATCTGTAAAGGAATTTTGGGTGGATTTATTCACCACTGTCCCATGTGTGTAATCTGCCTTCACAAATGTCAACTGAGAAGCATGTAAGCAGACAATGACTTGCTTCAGAGAGAAACAAAAAAATCTTGGGAAGTTTAATTATTGACATTAGTATCACTTTTCTATTTGAAAAAAATTGTAAGATAAAAGACTGGCATTTGGTATATCAGCACACTCAATATGGTGGTTAAAAGTAAAAATAAAAAGTCATATTTTGCCAATGTGCTTAGCTATTTGTTTTTGGAAGTGTAAATATTCCTGTAGAAAAGACAGAATCAGTGGATAGAATTCATCTAGTTTTTTTTTTTTTTAATGACAAATACCACCAGAAAAGGAAAAAATAATAGAAAGGAAGAAAAAAATGAAGTATTAACCTATCCTGGAAGAAATATTTCACCATTTCTTCCAGGTGAAAAAGAGATTAGCCTCAACTCTGCAAAATAAAAATAAAACACAATGTAAACATAAGAAGAGTCTCCTTTGTATGGTCAAGTATTCACAGGGAAATGTTAGTAATGCTGTGAGAATAGAATTCTTTTTAGTACATGATCTATTAATATGTTGGGGGGAAAAAAGACTGCACAAAGTGATCTCCAAAGGTGTGAATGGCCAGGGAACTCTCCGTGGCAATGATGTTGAAACTCTGACTTGTGAAAATGTTGGAAGGTGGCTGTAGTGAAATGAAAAGGTCAGCAAATCCTTTCCCCAACAAACATGTATAATACTTAAAAAATTGTCAAAAATTGTCAAAAACAACGATCAGGGCTCTGAAAATCAACCAAAGTCAAACAACAAATTGGGTAACATTTATTCATGAAAAGCTGGCCAAGCTTCAGGTAAGAACAGTGGGAATCTGAAGCATTCTTACCCACAGATATTCATTCCCCTATCCCCAGCTTGGCTATTTTTTTTTAATTGTACTGAATGAAGTTAAATAGATGAGGAAAAATTTATTCAAGACTATTGCAATACAGGAGAAAGATTAAACTCAACTCTGCTAAAACAAAAAGTAGCAGAGTTTTCAAGAACTAGGAAAACTTTTCCTACTGGAAAAGTACTGGAGACTGTTAGGATGGAGGTTGGTCAATTTGATTAGGCCACTTGTGTTTGGTAATTGGCACTTTTCAAAGTTAGGATCCTACCCTCTCACAGAGGCTGGGAGACAGGGGCTCCATCTTTCTTTAAGACTGCATTTTAAACAGATGGCTCCCAGGTCCTTGAGAAAGATATTGTTGGTTTGCAAACTGGCAAGAGGCTGGGAAATTTACATTTCAAAGGGGCAGAAACAGAATTTATGATATCAAGTTTCTTAACGTAAATGCTGTATGAAAAGATAAATTAGGGACCTATAGTCAGCAAAAAAACAAAAAAACCCTGTCTAAGTTGATTCAAGTTTTGGGAATGCTAAGACCATATTGATCAGTTAAAGTGGTAATTTTACCAGTGACAGCTTTGGAGTGGAGTATGAAATCTCACACTCAGCGGTGTGGTCAATAGAAGTAACAAACTTGATTAGAAATATTTAAAAAATCTGTAGCTTGCTACTTTGAGACTGCAGTCCTAGTTGGAGTGGGTAATGAACTAACTTTAAATTTAATAGAGAGATTCTTAAAGTGAGAGCTATAGAAGGGCTAGATGAGTACTCCTGTAGGCTTGGCTGACTGAGAAACTGCAGGCATGTTCAGGGAAGGCCAAAGAGGGCCTAGTGGGAATCAAAAGCTAAGGCAGACATGAAAACATCTTGAACTCTAAATGTGCTATCCACTCCATGCACAGATCATCAAAGAGCAGAAGTCATAAGGGCTCATAGTATTTGATTCCAATCTGCCCAAGTTATTGACTGACCAAAAACTACATAGCCATAGGTGTGACCACTAAGACATCGAACTAAAAATAAAACTAGGAATTTTTAAAAAATCTGAGACATCAGTGACTACAACCCAAGGAGAGATACATTCCTCCAATTAAGAAAACAGATGCAACAAAATGAGAAGCCTCAGGTGGTGGCAGTGGTGGGGGAGGCTGAAGATAACATGGTTATAATACATTATCCAAAATGCCCAGTTCTCAACAAAGGAAGTATGTGATATATAAAAGAAAAAATCCAGGAATATCTAACTTACAATCAAGAGGAAAAACTGGTCAGTAGAAACTGTCTCTACTGAGGTCCAGATATTGGATTTAGCAGAAAAATATTTCAAAGCAACTATTATAAATAGGTTCAAAGAATGAAAGAAAACTAAGTTTGATTGGTTAAAGAAAAGTCTCATGGCAATGACTCAATAAGTGAGTAAATAAAGATACAGAAACTATGAAAATGGTTAAATAGAAACTCTAGAATTGAAAATATGCAAACTGAAGTGAAAAATTCAATAGATGAACTCTACAATTGGACTCTACATCTGGATTTGAGATGGCAGAAAAAACAATCAGTGACCTAGAAGATAGATCAATAAAAATCGAATCTGAAAGACACAGAGTAAAAAAAGATTGAAGGAAAAACAGCAGAGCTTCAGAGACCTGTGGAACACAGTCAGTCATATATATTTTTAACAGAAGACCCAGAAGAAGAAAGATAGAAAAGAGAGGAGAAAATATTTAGAGAAATAATGGATGAAAATTTTGAGGAAAAAAACATAATTTACAGGTGTAAGAAGATCAACAAAGCCCTAGAATAAGTAAAAGCAAAGATCCACACTTAGACACATCTCAGCTACTAAAAGCCAAAGAGGAAAGAAAATCTTTAAAACATCAAGAGAAAATTGAGTCATCATGTACAGAGTAACAACAAATAAGTACAGTTGACCTTCCAGCAAAGTGGGGGTTAGTTAAGGGAACTGACCTCCCCACACACAGTTGAAAATCTGTGTATAATTTTGACTTTTCCAAAACTTAACTACTAATAGTGTACTGCTGACTGGAAGTCGTATCAATAACATAAAGTCAATTAACACATATTTTGTATGTTATATGTATTACACACTTTATTTTTATAATAAAGTAAGCTAGAGAAAAGAAAATGTTATTTAGAAAATCATAAGGAAGAAAAAATGTATTTACTATTCATTAGTGGAAGTGAATCATCATAAAGGTCTGCATCCTCATTATCTTCACATTGAGTTGACTGAGAACGAGAAAGAACAGGAGAGGCTGGTTGGTCTTGCTATCTCTGGGGTGGAAGAGGTGGAAGAGGTGGAGGAGGTGAAAGGAGAGGCCAGAGAGGCAGGCACACCCAATGTAAGTTTTATTTTTTAAAAATCTGCGTATACATCGACCCACACAGTTCAAACTCATGTTATTCAAAGGTCAACTATAATGGCTAACTCTGGTCAGAAACAATGAAGGCCAGTAGACAGTGAAATTATATATTTGTATATATATGTAAAATGGTGGATCTTTGTTTTTACTTATTATATGGCTTTGTTGATCTTCTTACACCTGTAAACTATGTTTTTCCTCAAATTATATATATATGAAAAACCTGTCAACCAATAATTCTTTATATAGCAAAATTATCCTTTAAACATGAAGGCAAAATAAGAACATTTCCAGATTAAAAAAAAAAAAAACTTGGAGTATTTTTTACTACACATTTGCCTTAGGAGAAACACTAAATAAAGTCTTTCAGGTCGAAAGGAAATTACACCACATAGTAACTGAAATCCACATGGAGAAATGAAGTGCATGAAAATGATAAATGTATGGGAAATTCAAAGAACATATAAATATACAGTCATATAGATATTTTCTAATATCTTTTTAAAACCTTAAAAGATTATATAGAACAACAATTATAACACTGGATTATTTTATTTATAACATACAAAGATATAATATATGTATAAAAATAACAGCAAAAAGGAAGAGGAGGAAACAGAGTTATCAGTAACGGAGCAAGTGGGGCAACAGTGCTATGACCAAATGGAGCCATATTGTTAGGCTTTATCAGAATTAAGTTAGTTTTACCCTATAATAGAGTGTGAAATTTTAAAATGTATATTGTAACCCCTAGAGCATCCACTAATAAAATAATTCAATAAATGCATGGAGAAATTAACAAGAAATTGACTTAAAAATGCTCATATAACCACTCCCACCAAGAAAACAAAAGAGTAGAGGAGTAACACAGAAATAAAAAGGATGTGAGACATAGAGAAAAACAAATAGCAAAATGGCAGCTGTAAATCTAACCATATCAATAATTACATTAAATATTAATGGTCTAAACACAGTGTACCAGCTTGAATAGTGTCCCTTAAAATTCCATGTCTACCCAATTCTCAGATTGTGACCTTATTTAGAAATAGGGTCTTGGTAGATGTAACCAAGTTAAGATGAGGTCATATGGATTAGGGTGGGCCCTAATCCAATGACTATTGTCCTTATAAGAAAAGGAAAATTTGGAGACACAGACAGACACACTGGGGTGAATGCCATGTGAAGAAAGAGGGAGAAACTGGAGTGATATATCAACAAACAAAGGGACACCAAGAGTTGCTAGCCACCACCAGAAACTAGGAGAGAAGCATGAAGCAGATTCTTCTTCAGAGCCTCCAATAGGAACCAGCATCTTGGTTTTGGATTCCTAGCATCTGGAACTGTGAGAGAAGAAGTTTCTGTTGTTTTAAGCCACCATGTTTGTGGTATTTTGCTATAATAGCCCTAGTAAACTAATATACACTTAAATCAAAAGACAAAAACTGTACTTAACTGGGGAGGAAAATGCAAGATCCAACTATAAGCTGTTTATAAGGGACAGAATGTAGATACATATATATATATAATTTGAAAGTAAAAGAATAAAAAAAGATATCTCTATGCCAACATAAGAAAGCTGGAGTGCCTATATTTGTAGGAGACAAAATTGACTTTCAGAAAAGAAATATTACTAAAGAAAAAGTGATCATTCATGATAAAATGTTACTACATTGGAAATATGTTAACAATTCAATTTTGCACACCTACATACAGAGCCCCAAAATATATGAAGCAAAAACTGACAGTATTTAAAAGAGAAACAGACATTCCAACAATTAGAATGAAAGATTTCAGTGTTCTACTTTCAGGAATCAATAGAACAAATAGACACAAAATCAGTAAGGATACAGAAGACTTGAACAACACTATCAAGCAAGGTGATGTAACTAACATTTTATAGAACACCCCACCCAACACCAAGTAAAGACACATTCATCTCAAGTACACATGCATCTCCAGATAGGCCATATAATAGACCACAAAGTAAGTCTCCATAAATTTAAAAAAACTTAAACAATTTAAAGTAGATCCTCAGAAGAAAATAGAATTAAAGCAGAAAACAACAACAGAAAAAAGTCTAAAAGATCCCTATATATTCAGAAGTTAAACAGCCAATTTCTAAACAACCCATGTCAAAAATAATGACAGAAGAAATTGGAAAATATTTTGAACTGCATTAAGTAACAAAAAAAGACATATCAAATTTCTGGGTGCAGGCAAAGCAGTGCTTACAGGAAAATTCACACTTCAGATGTCTGTAATAGAGGAGACGAAAGGTCTCAAATATAATAGAAAATATGAAAGGTCAGCAATCAAAGTTTCCATCTGAAGAAATTAGAAAAAAAAGAAGAGAAAATTAAATCCAAAGCAAGCATAAAGGAAAAATTAAACATCAGAACAGAAACCAGTGAGGTGGAAAACAGAATAACAGTAGAGAAAATCAATAAAACCAAAGGCTGGCTATGTCTAAATATCAACAAAACCAATAAACCTGATCAAACCAAAAAAGTAAACATCAGCCTCTCCCCTCACTGCCTAAAAATACAAGATAAAAGGCAGAAATTGCTAAACTCAAGAATGAAAAAGGAGGGTACCACAACTCACTCCACAGAAATTAACACATGTATAGTGAATATTATGGACAACTTTATGACAAAAATCTACAACATAGATAAAATAGAAAAATTCCTAGAAAGGAAAATGTAATCAAAACTGATTTAAGAAGAAATAGAATATCTAAATAGACCTATAAAAAGTAATGATATTAAATTGATAATTTAAAAAATCTTCCCACAAAATAAACTTGGTCCAGATAGCTCCCTAGGTGAATTCTATAAAATATTTAAAGAAGAAATAAGACCAAACCTATGTAAAATCTTTCAGAAAATAAAGAAGGAATACTTCTTGAGGTATTTGATGAAGTCAGCATTACCAAAGACAGAAAAAGATATCATTAGAAAATAATACTACAGATCAATATGCCTCATAAGCAAATGTTAGCAAGCTGAATCCAATAACATGTAAAAAATATTACAGACTGAGCACAGTGGCTCACATCTATAATCCTATCACTTTTAGAGGCTTAGGCCGGGGGACTGAAACCAGGAGTTCAAGAGCAGACTGGGAAACATAAGGAGATCCTATCTCTACAAAAAATAAAACAAATTAGCCGGTGAGGGCCTTTGCCTCTGGTCCCACCTGCTTGGGAGGCTGAGGTGGGAAGATCACTTGAGTCCAGGAGGTCAGTGCAATGGTGATCACACTGGGTGGTGCCTAGACCCGGGCTAAAGGGCAAGACCCTGTCTCAAAAGATAAAAAAAGATTATATGTTATAATAAAGTAGAATTTATCTCAGGAAGTCAAGGTTGGTTTAATATCTGAAAATTAATTAGTGTAATCTATTGTTTTAATAGGATAAAAGACAACCAACAAGTAATTATGTCAATAAAAGCAGGAAAAGGATTTAATGAAATTTAACACCCACCAAAAAATAATTCCCAATAATCTAGAAATAAAAGAGAAATTCTTCAAACTGGTAAAGGGCATCTATACAAAACCCACAAGTAACATCATCTTTAATACAGCAAGACAGAATGCTTATCTTTTGAGATTGAAATGTCTACTCTTACTACTTCTATTTGACATTGAAAGAAGTTCTTGCCAGTGCAATAAGGCAAGAAAAATAAAGGCATACTGATTAGAAATAATCAAAACAGTCTGTTCACAAGCAGCATGATACTGTAAGGAGAAAATTTAAGGGATCAAACTAATTAGCAAGTTGAGCATGGCTGTGATAGTAGATCATCATACAGAAGTAAACTGTGTTTCTATTATAGCAATAAAAAATGTGAAAATAAAATTAAAAAAATAATTCCACTACTAAGAGCATCAAAAAGAATAAAATACGTAGGAAATAGTTAAGAAAAGCAGTACAAGCCTTGCACTCTGAAAATTACAAAACATTGCTGAGAGAAATTAAGGAACATCTAAACAAAGGATGAGATATTTTGTGTTCACAGATTGGAAAATTTAATATTGTTAAGATGACACTTCTTCCCAAATTGATCTTTAGATTCAATTTATTCTCTACCAAGAGCATAGTAAGTTATTTTTTTAATTTTTTACCCTTTTTTACAACTTGAAAAGAGAATTATAACAATTATATAAAAATGCAAAGCACCTACAATAGCTAAAACAAATTTTAAAAGAACAATTTTGGAAGACTTACAATATCCAATTTCAAAACACACTATAGCTACATAATCCTGACAGTGTGGTATTGGTATAATGACAAACAAATAAAACAATGGAACACAACAGAAAGTCCAGAGAAAAAGCTTTATATCTGTGATCCGCTGATTTTTGACAAAGATGCTAAGGCAATATAATAAAGAAAGACTCCTTTCAACAAATGGTATTGGGAAAATTAGTCCCAGCTGGAATGGGGCAGTGCCAAAAATAAAAAATAAACTTGGAACCTTACCTCCCACTGTACACAAAAATTATGTAAAAACAGATAATAGAAATAAATGTAAGAACTAAAACATTCTACAAGTGTACTAGTCCATTTTCATGCTGCTGATAAAGACATACCCAACACTGGGTAATTTATACAGGAAAAAGAGTTTAATGGACTTACAGTTCCACATGGCTGGGTAGCCCTCACAATCATGGGGGAAGGCAAGGAGGAGCAAATCACATCTTACGTGGCTGACAGCAGGCAAAGAGGGCTTGTGCAGGGAAACCTCCGTTTTTAAAACTATCAGATTTTGTGAGACTCATTCACTATCACAAGAGCAGTGCAGGAAAGACCTGCTCCCGTAACTCAGTCACCTCCCACCAGCTTCCTCCCATGACACCTGGGAATTGTGGGAGTTACAATTCAAGATGAGATTTGGGCAGGGACACAGCCAAACCATATCAATAAGAAAACAAAAGAAATTACATTTCTCATTTAGAGTTAGGAAAATAGTTCCTAGATATGACACCAAAAATGTGAAAGAACATATTGATAGATTTGAACTTCTTCAAAATTTTAAAAACACGTTTTTCAGAAGATAAACATTAAAAAATTAAAAACAAGCTGAACACAGGGAGGAAATATTTATATTTAGATATTTGATAAAGGACTTGTATCAAGGATATATAAAGAATTCTTACAACTCAATAATAAAAAGACAATCCAATAAAACATGAAGAAAAATTTAAACAGACACATCACCAAAGAAGATAGATGAATAGCTAATATTTCCATGAAAAGATGCTCAGCAACATTAGTCATTAAAGAGCTGCAAATTAATGTCCTGGTGAGATACCACTCTACATCCATCAGAAGGGTATAACAAAAAAGACTACAGGGAAAAGGATGGTTGATAAGGATGCAGAGAAAACGGAATCCTCATGCATTGCTGGTGGGAATATAAATTAATACAACTACTTTAGAAATATCTCAGCAGATTTTTTTAAAAATTAAAGCTATACTTAACATATAACCAGCCATTCCACTCTTAGGTGTCTACCAAAGAGAAATGAAAACATAGCCAGGCAAAAGTCTGTCAGTGAATCCTCTTAGCAACATCATTCTTAATATGAAAAAGCTGGAAGTTATCCACATGTACATCTACTACTGAATGGATAAACAAAATGTGGTATATGTGTTTAATGGAACACTAGCAACTAAAGAGGAGCTAAACATGAAACAACATGGATGAATCCCAGAAACATTATGTTACATAAAAAAGCCACACATAAAAGAGCACACATTTTATAATTCAAATTCCATGAAATTTCTAGGAAAGAAAAATCCACAGAGACATAAAGGATATCAGTGGTTGCCTGTTAAGAGTGAAGACTGACTGCAAACTGCCACAGGAATCTTTTTGGAGTGATGGGAATGTTCTAAACCTGGATTGTGGTTATGGATAAACAAATCTATAATTACTAAATATCATTAAACAATAGAATTACAGTTGAACTTTATGTTATTTAAACCATAACTTCACAAATCTGTTAAGAAAAAGTTGCAGAATCAGAAGCTTTACAAAGCTATGTAAATCCATAAAACTTAGGTAGATGAACTTCAATGTGAGCCAAAGGAAGGAAATTTATTTAATAAAAAATGGAATTTGACATATTAGCTAGAAAATAGGGAAGAGATTTAGACATTTTTGTGATGTAGATATCATTGTAGGCTTTCTCCTAAATCTATCAGCCTAAACTATGGAATAAAACATTAGAAAAAGTAAAATGTCATAATAATAGGCAATGCTGAGTAGACTACAATGAAGTGATCCCTTCTTCTATTAGATATAAATATCTTTTACTTATGTATTAAGATTATTCTCCATGATTATCCTCTTGAGCCTAAAAGGGAAGGCTTATGTCCCAGTTGGAAAGGATTAAGGGTCTCCTTCTTTGAAAAAATAGATATTTGCAGTGTCTATTCTTGCAGTATAGGCGAGAACCAAAACAGGAAATCAGAACATGGAAGCTAATTTTTAGGAGAGAGAAAAATTTTATATCCTTCCTAGGCTTTGACTTTGGGAGGGTTTTTGGGACAGTGGATATCTGAGTAATAGAGGCACATAGAACTTGAATGGGAATTACAGAAGGCTACTGTCACAATGTGGTAATATTAAAAATGAAAATGACTTCAACCTGAGACAATGAAAATTGAAAACAAATTTTAAAAACATTAACCAATAAAAACTATGACATAATTTATTGGGCTCCATTAAACATCAGCTTTCCTGGGATATGATACAAGTTTAAAATTATAAAAATACATATTTATAAAGCATTCAGATTAATTGGTAGGTGATAGAAGAAATTGGGAGTATTTATGGTGTCTTGAAACATTAAGTGCTCCCTAAATTCTTACTGAATTGAAACAGTCTTGATTGAGATAGGACTGTGTGTCCTTTTACTAATACTTGCTCACAATTTGTTCCCCAATCTCTGCCTAGCTCAGTGCTTGACACATATTAGATAACCAATCAGTAGTGGGTGAGTGAAAAAATGCCTTATGGTTTTCAAGATTTGGGTTTTTTCGTTCATTTGGGTTGTTTGTTTTGCTGGGCAATTCTACTTTTATTCACGAAATTATTTAATATTCAACCTTTATTGGAAAACACAGATCTATAAATTGCTCCTTGGTGTCACTTCTGGATGGGACTAACAGTCCATTAAGATAAATGAGTTAGGCATTTCTTACAATTTTATGACTGGCCCCACAAAACATATCCCTCCTTACTACCTCTTCTACTATCCTATGTTCCCTCCCAACTCCCTAAATGTTTTGCATGTGCATGTTTATTTCTATATAGGTGGAGTTAATTATCTTTCTATTGTGATGTCCCTGTCACTTTTATGTGCTCTGTCATGATTGCTTGATGTTTTTCTTGTAACAACATTGTATTCTATTTGAAAATACATTTTACAGTGTAAAGCACTGATCATACTTAAGACATTAAAACTACGGAACTAAAATCAACACTTTGAAGATAATGAATCAATTTAGATTGGATTTTTAAAAGAATATGTCAACTTAATAAGCTATAAGAAAAATTAGTATAGATGAAACAGGAAATTATCTTGTAAAGGTAGCTCATGTTTATAAATATAATTTGTGCTATAATTGGGATATTAAATTTACTTGGTAAGTTAGTGTATTTCGTTGAGCTTTATGTTTTGTTGTTTGAGAAGCACAGCATAAAGTAAACTGTAGCATTAAAAGCCAGACTCATTCCAATTTATTTTTATGGCATAGTGCAAAACAACCCAAGCTTAAAGTATATTCAGGCACTGAGACTTAAATCCCTAATGGTAAGAAAGTCGTTCCGTAAACAGATGTGATCATGGATTCTGAGTTTATTTGCTTGTGGCAAAAATAAAAGTACCAACTCAATAAGTTTTAATTTATAGGCCTCTACACCAGAAAGCCTGTGGGCACTTTGAACAAAACTGACTAAAAATAAAATTTAGTAAAATAAAACCTCATCTGCCCCATTCTCCATATACACCAGGGAATGCAAATCCCCAAATGGATAGGGAGAGACTTCTCCATGTCTTCTCTCAGTGCTCTCTTAAACTGTAGCTATGCTGTGTTCTAGGAGAGGATTTTATGATTGACTATGCTTCTGACACTTGGGAATGGAAAAGAGGAGCTGGGGATGGTCATTCCACTTCAGAAGGTTTTCAGAGAACCATGACTCTATCTAACCTGTGGTCATGAAAACATGCAGAGCTTTTCTGTTCTCTCCCACAGAGAATATTATGTGTCTCTTTCTCTAGCAGAAATCTCCTTTGTGTATTTCTTAAAAAACATAAAGACTGTGCTCGTTTCTAATACGTAAACAGCAGCAAATTCTCTGATCCTAACGTTGCATATAAAATATACTAAAAATTCTTATTCATGTGAAATACAAGTCACAGAACAAAGAGACAGGTGCATGGTCTTGACCCTGAAAACAAGGTGTTTTTGCTGCAAGGAATGCTCACCTCACATTTTGTTCTTCTAGGGTCTCACTTGTGAATTCCAGTATGTCAGCCGCTGTCCCCACAAACATAAGAAGAAGTTGAGAGAGTTGATCTCGAGTGATCCCGCCTCCAATGGGTAGAAGCCATCTTCCAATTATTAGCATTAACAGGAATGTCTGATGGAGTCCCAATGTCCAAACTTTCTCACATACTGTAGATAAGTTATTCACAAAAACTTTGGCCTGTTTAACAGAAATGTCATACAGACAGGATTATCAGCCACCACCTGAGAGAGAAATATTTTCCTCACTGTGCTTTCAATCAAGAGTTTGCTTTTGTAGAGAGTAATTTTCAGGAGTTATTCTTTACTTACTAAAGAAAGTAAAATGCCTTTCAGCTGAACACTCTGAAAAAAATAAAAAGCTAATATGGTCCTTAAGATGGGGGTGCCTATAACTAGCAAGTAATTTGAGCCTTAAACTTACGAGTGGGATTGTACCATATAGTATTTAAAGAACCAATTTTACAATGTTTTAATGTCTCATTTTATTATACTGTGTAATGAAAAATAACACATAGCAAAGTTTTATAAAATCCATATTAATATCACAAAAACTTCCTATATTTTTCTTTAATAGATTTTTAAATCTGAATGTACTAATCTTGAAATATTTTTAGCATTGTACAAATCTTCTCTTTGTTTTTTTGCTTTAAAACTCTATTATAGCTAAACATAAAAATGTAATAATGTTTATCGATTACCTAAATGTAAAGAAAGAGAATAACTGTAAAATTATTATTTTTATTCTGAGTACTTAACATACTATTCAATAATCCATAAGCCAGCAAGCAAATTTTACACTGCCATTATTCTTAGACTAAGAAAAACTTACATCCCACCAATGTATTCTGGATGACAACTTGCCCAATTACATTCTAAATAAGTCTCAAAGTATACTATTGCCCCTACAAGGACTTAGGTCTCAAGTGGATAATGATTCCAACTTATTTATGCAAGTGACTTAACTATGTTTGTGCAAAATTCATTTACCCCTCTCCATCACTTGCTGATATCAAATGCACAAGGACGGATAAAAGACAAGGCATGATGCTATCCTGATTGAATCCATACATGAAAATCAAGAATATTCCATCTGTACGCTTTCTTATATTAGTACTATGAAACTTTGCGTACATCATATTTAATTTATACAGGAAGCACATTAGTAGAGTAAAGATTAATATTTTTGATTGTCAGATGAAAAACTGAGAGAGAAACTAAGCGATTGTCCAGACTGATATAAATAAATTGTGATTGGAGCTTGAATTAGAACCCAAGGTTCATTCCATTAAACCTCACAGAACCAATAGTACATCTTATTATTGAAAATATGTTTTGGTGATAGGGGCCTTTTCCTTTTTAAATAGGTCATGGTCAGTTTGCCAAATAACAGCCTTATGAAGAAAAAGGAAGGGATTCTGTTTTGGCCAGAAATCTTCTCTATGTTATTAATAAACATCTACAAAATACATATGGTGGAGTTCCTAGATAATTCAATAAGACGAGAAAATAAAATAAAAGGTATAGGGATTGGGATGGAAGAAACAAAACTGCCTCTGTTCACAGTTGACATAATTGTCTAGGTAGAAAATCCCAAAGAACTGACAAAAAAAAAAAAAACCTCCTGAAACTAGTAAACGTTTATAGCAAGGTTGTGGGATAAAAGGTTGATATACAAAAGTTAATCTCTTTCCTATATACTAGCAAAGAATAAGTGAAATTTGAAATTAAAAACAAAACGCCACTTTTATTGGCATCCCCAAAAATGCCACGTAGGTTTATCAGTGTTAACAAACGCACCACTGTGGTGCAGGGTATTGATGGATGGGGAGGCTGTACATGAGTACAGAGTATATGGGAAATCTCTGTACCTTCCTCCCAATTTTTGCTGTAAATCTAAAATTCCTCTAAAAAATAAATCTTAAAATTATCATATCCCAATTTTTTAATTATATCATTGTTTCATAAATGTATATGTCTCTCAATGTGCACATATTATCTTCTTTATGTGTTCCTTAATGATGCAGGTTAAATATATCTATTAATATATATAAAATGTATCAATGTATATACTTATGCATATTAAATGTTTAATAATTTAAAAATATAATTATTTTGTGAATTCCTAAGCCAAACAATGGATAACTTTCTTCAGGAAAGAATTAGCTGGGAAGCATGTATAGCAGGTAATTGAGGATTATACCAAGTCCACCATTTTCTAGATCCTTTAATAAACAGTGGAAAAGCTCTCACCGTCTCAATGAGATCATCAGCTCTACTGGTTTGTTCATTGGATGTCAATGTTTGATTGAAGTCTTCTTTTCTGCTGGTATTCTGTGATGTTCCTTCAGCCTGGATACTGCAATACTAAGAATGGGGTCAGGGAAGGCAATTATGGCAAAAAATTAGCACAATATGGTAGAGATCAAAATGACTTAAATCTGTTCAAGAGATTATGAGCAGATATGCAGAGTTTATACAGCATATATATAAACATTTCCAAAAATCGGAATATAGGCCTGAGATTGAAAACCACTTTTTAATCAATATGAAAAGAATGTCAAGTATACAAATCTTATTTTTCCATAAGTCAATGAGGATGCAAATGCTCTGAGTCATTGCAGAGAGCTGTAGAATTTATAGATTGGTAACTGAGATTCCTTTCTTAAACCCTGCAAGAATTTAAAACCAAACAAATAACCAGTGACAACAATCAAACATATATGATCCTGGTCAAGGAAATTACAGTGTTTTTTTTTTTCTTTTTATACTTTCATTTTAGGTTTTGGGGGTTCACGTGCAGGTTTGTTACATGGGTAAATGGCATGTTGTTGAGGCTTGGTGTATGAAGAATTCCATCACCCAGGTAGTGAGCATAGTACCTGATAAGCAGCCTTCCAATTCACACTTCCCTCCGTCCCTCCCCTCTCAAGTAGTCTCTGGTGTCTGTTGTTCCTATCTTTGTGTCCATGTGTATTCAGTTTTTAGCTCCCACTTATAAGTGAAACATGTGGTGTCTGATTTTCTGTTCCTGTGTTAGTTTGCTTAGAATACTGGCCTCCAGCTTCATTCATGTTACTGCAAAGGACATGATTTTGCTATTTTTATGGCTGTGTAGTATTCCACAGTGTGTGTCTGTGTGTGTGTATGTGTGTGTATATAGTATTTTAAGAGTTTGTTTCTTATCCAGAAGCCTCTTTAACTAAAATATCATATTGCTTAAGTAAATAATCCAATCATTTTTAATCCTGACTGTCAAGTACTGTAACAACCTAAAAAATTATCATGTTCACCCACCAAAACATACATTTTAGTGACAGTGTAAAAGCCAATTTAGGTCTATGGAAAATTCAACAACAGACATGAAAAATGGCATTTTTCCTTTTTTGTTTCTTCATTTTGTATGAGAATTTCTCCAAGTGAATTGTGCATGATATTTATCCACCAGATGCTGGGAATCCGAGGTAAAGTAAGAAAAGGAAAAATTATGTAAGAGAAGAAAGGAGTGACACTTGAAAATGTAGCTGTACCCAATGAAAATTTTACAAACTGGTTTAAAAAAAGTTGAAGGTTTTTCAAACATCTGCAGTGCTAACATATTTTGAAACACATACACATGCTCCACCACCGCCACTACAACCACCACACATCCACGATCACACATTTGTATTTAGAGAGGACTTATTTTTTTAAAAAAAATTAAAGCTGTAAGAAGTGTATTTTTCTTAATTATTCTGGATACATCGTCGACTATTCTATAAGCTACTTGAAAAAACAGAAAAGAAAGTCTGCAAGAAGCTGTTTTTTCTACTCTCTTTCCAAACGACTAGTATTATGGTTGAAATGACAAGAATAATTAAGAAAAATGGCCATATTCCATATCTGTAGGAGCAAAAATACAGTTGTTTGCACACTTTGTGTGTGTGTATATGTGTGCAGCTAAGCCTCCAAGAAAAGATAATGAAGATAAAAATTAAATGTTTAACCAAGCAACAAATTTTCATTGCAAAGCATGTTGGTGTTTTTATTTAAGATTTATTTCAATAGGAAATATATTTTGACCACTTTGTAGGCATGAAAACAGACTATGTATTAAAAATGGCGACCTTAATATGTTTTTGACATTCTTACCACTAAAATACTTAAACATCTTGTTATTTAAGAAAATAGGCCATGCTTTAGTGCAGTAGAAGATAACTTGGAAGCAAATAGCTTCATAGTCCATATTATGGTATTAAGACTTATCTGAGTTGCTCTCCGCTCTTGTTATTCTATTTGTTATAGATTTATGAGATTTTCCTCCAACTGGCCTCTACATTGGGACTGCAGTGAACAAGTGACTTCACTCTTAAAACCTAGCCTGACTTGTATTATTTTGGGGATTATATTGTTTACATTCTGCCTCGTATAGGTGAGTTCACATAGATTATCTGGATACCAACATGCCTTTTTTTAAAAAAAGGCTGTGTCTTTTAAACTCTTATTAGCTTCAAAAATATTCCTTTGGGTCCAACAAGACTGTGACAACAAGATGACCAGAATATTTCCACTACTTTAATCTTGCCACTTCATAAATGGACCTAAGAACTAAGGTCACAATCATTGTCATAAACGTTTTGTTCCCATACATGTACACCCAACCAGATTCAGGAATGAAGGTAAGAAATTAGTTATCTAGGAGAAATGTCTCATGAAATAGGTCAGGATGTTTTCCTAATGCCAAGTCATAGGTTAGAACATATAGTATATAGAGCAAACGGAAAATGTGAAAGAAAATTAAATTACTCTTTTCTACAATGAACAACTCAGATAATTCTGATGCAAACTCCTCTAAAACACAGAACACATAGCTGAGAAGGGCAATATGGTTTAATGGACTAGACATCCATTAGGTTCTAAGCCCCAGCATTACTGTGTATTCACCGTATCAACTTAGGAAAATTACTGAACCTTTCTGAGTCTCAGGATCCTCGTCTTTAAAATAGAAATGTATGTATCATGCCTAACCTATGGAGTTGTTGGGTCCATATATGTGAAAACATTTGTGAAAGTGCAGGAGACTACCTGAAGAAAAGTGATTATTATCACTCCCAAAATGTTCTAAATGAGTAGACTAGAAGAATTGCTGTAACTCCCTTTATTCTGCCATTTCTTCTTTATTTAACTGCAATTCCAATACTTTTTTTCTCTCTTACTATTTTTCTACTTTCATTTCTGCTCAGTCTGCCCAATTCAACCTCTGGGCATTCATTTTAATTCTCAGTGTCAAAATGAGTCAAATCCATTACTACTAAAGGTTCAGTTTCTTTTGTAGTTTGAAAATTAGAGAGCTACTGCTCGGGGCTCAAAAATCTTTTTTTATTAAAAAGGGAACTTTTGGTTGCACGTTATTTGTTGTAACGGGATTTGAGCTGTATATCAATTAATTGTGCAACAAATTTATATTATAAAAGCATTTAGGGAAATGAATGGTTATTGTGTATGACAGCCATGTCATAGAATTGGATATGAAAGAAACATGAAAGAATTGATTCAAATCACTAGAGCTTATATTCATACCCTTGAAAGTAGTAAATAGTAAAGAGATTGAAACAGTCCCCTAACTCCTTCCAGTATAGTTTTAAAAAGCCATGATAACTTGAACCAAAAATATACAGTTACAAAAACACTTTTGCTACAGACATAGGGATAGCCTATATGACTTTGGTGATTTTTAGCAGATTGAAGGGAGAAAAATGTTTTATTCATCCCTACATTCTTGGTACTTGCTTGTAGAATTCTTCAAAAGTAGTCCACAGAACTAAATTCCCCTTTGTGTGCCTATAATTTGGAGCAAGCCTTTTACAGATAAGGTTATATATTGGAGGCAGATAGGGTTACATATTGGGGGCTTAACCTTGCTATAAAATGACCAACTATAACAAAGAAATCTATGTAAGTCCAAATTCTCGAAGATCTTTTCTAAAGTATTTTATCAGTGAAGTTACCAAAATATTATTAGGTCATAACTACATTTCTCTGTAACATAGTCCTGTAACCTGAACTATGAAGTCAAAGCTGGAATCAGATGGACTTTAGAAACTTGGCCTCCCCAGAGTTGTACAGGAACATCAACAGCAGTATATGACTGCACTCAACCTAGAGACTGCTTATTAGAGTTGTCTGTGTAGAAAATAGCTGTATTAAAAATTTCTGTAATAAATTAGGGACTCTTATTGGAAGCTACTTTTTCTTTGGGAGGGAGTTTCTCTCTGTTGCCAGGCTGGAGTGCAGTGGTACAATCTCGGCTCACTAAAACCTCCACCTCCGGGTTCAAGTGATTCTCCTGCCTTGGCCTCCACAGTAGCTGAAGTTACACAAGCATGCCACCACGCCCAGATAATTCTTGTATTTTCGGTAGATACAGGGTTTCACCACGTTGGCCAGGATGGTCCCCATCTCTTGACCTCGTGATCCACCCGCTTCGGCCTCCCAAAGTGCCGTGATTATAGGCATGAGCCACCACGCCTGGCCGGAAGCTACTATTTTATTTCTATGACAATGTGATCTTCTAATACATATAAGCTCACCTTCCACATGGTGGGTCCCACGACTCCTCCCCTTTAATCTTAGTTTCGGGGCTCTAGAAAAGAATTTCTATTTCACTAAGGCAGCCCGTGGGACTCCCAAAAATTAATCTCCTGTAATCTGCATAACCTGCATTTTAAAAGAGACTATTTTAAATGGCTCCTATAAGTTTAATTGCATTTATATAGCTGACTACAGATAAGGGTTTTGTTTTTGTTTTTGAAATTCCTAAAAGTGTCACTTTACAGGATGCCAGATCATTGAGGCATGCCCATTCTTAGCACAACATAGAAACTCACTGAAGCTGGAAGGGTTAAAATCAAATTTCCACACCCCCATGTAAACTCTACCATCCTGTAGGGTGGGGGACAGGGGAAGTCTTAGTAATAAGATCTCTAACACAAAATGTTAATTCACTATATAATCCTAAATCTTACATAAATGTAATTTTTTTATTGGAGTTTTTTTTTGGGGGGGCAAATCATGGATTCACTTCCTTTTGCTGATAGCCTCTTATTTATTCAATTCTTGCTAACTCCAGTACCTTAGAAAAGTGCATTCCGAAAATAAACTGGATCATACTGTGAAAGTAGCTTATTGCTGAATAGGTCAATTCCTACTTTCCAAAAAGAAGTACCTGGGTCTCATGGTGCAATTCAAGAAGCCATAATGATGGAACGATGCTAATCAGATATAAAAATATGGCTGGTGAAAACCTGTGAAAAGAGAGAAGAAAAAATAGTTTAGCTAATTTAAGCTAATTTTCCAAAAAAAAAAATTAAGAGGAAGAATGAAAAAAAAATGCACATACTCCGACCACATTGAGTCAAACCTTTTCGTATAACTTCAAAGTGTTTATTTCAATGAAGAAAAAAGCATTATGTGATTTCTGCCATATGGATTATAAAGAAACAAAGTAACTGTAAAAGGCACTAGCAGCTGTCATTCTCACTGAATTTCTAATCCAATTAATAGACATTAATTTTGATATGGTTTAATGGGACACTGCCAATTAGTTTCAGGCACAACACTGGATATTTTGTATTTAATATGTTTTACGAAAAGCAAATACAGCAGGAGTAAATCTTGAATTTATTAGACATTACAATTTCAAGATATGGCTACATTTTTCAACATTAACCTGGAACTCTGAGAGCTCAAACAATAATATGATGCTGGAACACAAAAATCAGATGATAAGGACTAGGAATGAGAGTAACCCATTGGCTTTGTGTGTGGTTTGCTAAACCTATAAAATAAAAACACCAACAACCAACGGTGTAAGCCTTTGGTATTTTTTTTAAGTTATCTATATTCACTGTTTTCTCATTCAAAATTCAGAAAGGAATCCGAAGAGTGGACTTCTGTGATCCAACACACTCAGGTTCAAATGCCAGTTTTGCCACTGACCTCTCAGTTTGTTTCTTAATCCACAAAAACGTCACTGCATCAGCCAACTCAGGCTGCTGTACAAAATACCATAGACTATGTGACTTAAACTACAGACATTAATTTTCTTGTAGCTCTGGAGGCTGGGGGTCTGAGATTAAGGAGCCAGAAGAGTGGGATTCTGGTGAGGACTCCCTTCCTGACACGTAGACAGTGCCTTCTCCATGTGTCCTCAGATATCCGTCTCTTCTTCTTCTTATAAAGCCTCCAGTTTTATTGGATTGGGACCCTACCTTTAAGACCTTATTTAACCTTAATGACCAAATTAATCTCCAAATATTGTCACATTTGGGGTTAGGACTTCAGTCTAGAACCTGGAAGGGGAGACAATTCAGCAGTTACATTTATCTCACAGGGTTTTTAATTTTACTTCCCGTAAAGCAGTGCCTGGCAGTGGTGAGCATTCAATAATAGGTAGATATTACTAGTATTATTATCGGACATGGTACAACATAAATGTGTCCTTAAAATGCTGAAATAAGAAAAATAACATACTTTCCACATTTATTTCTTCAAATTGGTCTGGGCACGGTGGCTCAGGCCTGTAATCCCAGCACTTTGGGAGGCCAAGGCAGGTGGATCACTTGAGGTTAGGAGTTTGAGACCAGCCTAACCAACACGGTGAAAACCCATCGCTACTAAAAATACAAAAAATTAACCAGGCAGAGTGGTCTGGGCCTGTAATCCCACCTATTCAGGTGGCTGAGGCAGGAGAATTGCTTGAACCCGGGAGGCAAATGTCGCAGCGAGCTGAGATCAGCTACTACACTCCAGCCTGGGCAACAGAGCAAGACTCCGTCTCAAGAAAAAACAAACAAATAAAAAAACAAATTGAACTTTATTTTAGAGGACTCTTGCTTTGCAGAACATCTCAAAGTCAAAATTATGTCACTATAATTTTATTAAAATGCTTTTAATACGCAGCAATAGTTTGAAATGACCTAGAAAATAGACATGTTAATTGCTCAACAAATAGAATTGTTCGAGATGAAATGTTACCCAAAGTATGTTATTATAATTCAGGAGAGAAAAGTGAAATGAAAAGAGAAAATTTAGAATGATTTTTTTAAAGGCTATTAACCCTTTCACTAATATATTTTTTCAATTCCTAGAGAGAGGAAGGGAGAAAGGGCAAGAGAAAGAGAGGTCTCTTAAAAAATCAATATTTAATATAGATACTCCCCCACCTTTGATTTCCTGCAAAAGCCAATTTTGAAACAAAAGGTTATGGGTCATGATATTATTAAAATCTGACTTGGAGGATGGTGAAGCTGTAGAGAGATATCAAAAGCCCATGTTTAGCATGCTCTTAGAAAAAAAAGAACAATTAACTTTTTGACCTCACATATCAAAGGAAACATCAGGAGATAATATTTCCCTTGTGAAACTGGGAAAGAAAGTGAATTCTAGGTAAGAGGGACAGTAGGAATATGCATATTTTGGTTTGGAGACATGAAATGTTGGCTGGATTGCAATTTCATTGAGTCTCTTGGGATTAATTTTGAGACTAACCCCTCCCTAACAATAATGTAACAATAATAATCTAGGGAAACCATAGCCTGAACATACAATAGCTCTTGAAAGAGGTTAAAAATAAAACAAACAATACCCTTAACATCTTCTATGCATAACATTTATTTCTATAATTGGAAAAAAGTACTATCCTGTTTCAACGTATTTCCTCTAATTGGGAAACTGGTTATATAAACAAACAAACTTCAAGATTCAAGATGTTTTGTGTTGCCTAATAGAAAATCTAAACTCCATAATCTGATATTCGAAGACTTCATTATCTGATCTTATCTCCACTTTTCCTCCCTTACCACATCCTGTCAAGCTGAGCAACTCAGTAGTTACAACTGACTGTGTATTTTAAATAAAACAAACAAAAAGCTTTGGAAAGTTCCTCTCACTTCAATCCTCTTCCTTAGATTATTTGACCTAATGAAGAAAGGGGTAAGGAAAAAGGAATCATATTGAGGGCCCAAGAATTAATTATATTCAACTCAATCCTCAGCCTTGTTTAACTAACCACGTGTCTCTGGTAAGAACAAAGTGCTCTCTGCTCTTTTAGTTTGGTTAATCTAAGGAGCGAGGTTCTGCAATGGTTTTACAGCAAATATCTCCCAAAATTATGAAAGCTTATTTTGGAATGTTCTTCTCTTGCACGTCTATCCACCAACATTCTACTTGTATTTTAAAGGCACAGCAGGAATTAATCTTAACCTGTACTTCTCTTGTGGCCCAACACATGCTGTACTGTTTTATAGTTATGTGTGTATAAGACTTCGCTTTCCTAATGCAAGCTCCATGAAGGAAGGTCCTGGGTCTTATATATTCCTTATATCTCTTTCCTCTTCCCACTCCTTCATTTTCTTTTCTCCCCAGTGGAATCACAGTGTGTTACTAAGTCTCAAATTAATGCTTACTAAGCAAATGCTTAAATATTTGAATGCCCGAATTTATGAAGGAAGGAAGGACTGAGCAAATAAAGTCAATAGAGACTACTGATATCTACAAGGAGCTTTCATTTCAAGAGGTCTGGTATCAAGTAACCTCTTCCAGCTATGAACCTTGAATTATTATATGTTAGTGAGACCCTGTATAAATTTCAGAAACTTAGAAGACCCAAATTTGAATCCTGCCTTTTCCATGCACTGATCTTTGGAAATTCACAACCTTCCCTGAAACTGAATGTCCTCATCTGTAAAATGGGGAAAATAATACCCATCTCATAGTGTAGTTATGAGGATTAAATAAGACAATGTATGCAATGAGATTGACACTTTAGGTGCTCAATAAATGTACTTGCTGCTTTGCCTAGACTCAGCTCTGAAAATGTACTCACAGCTACATACTTGTTATTTATGCTTATGAAGGACTCTTAGAGGACACCCAATTAGGAGACTGTTTCTTTATATAATTTATAATGACTTATATTTTTAAACCATGATTCTCAAAACTAAACCTATATAAGGCCGTGCACAGTGCCTCATGCCTGTAATCCCAGCACTTTGGGAGGCCAAGGCAGGCAGATCACTTGAGGTCAGGAGTTCGCGACCAGCCTGGCCAACATGGTGAACCCCCATCTCTACTAAAAATACAAAAATTAGTCGGGCATGGTGGCTTGCACCTGTAATCCCAGGTACTCCATAGGCTGAGGCAGGAGAATTGCTTGAACCCGGGAGGTGGAGGTTGCAGTGAGCTAAGATCATATCACCGCACTCCAACCTGGGCAATTTAGTGAGACTCTGACTCAAAAAAAAGCAAAAAAAATGACAACGAAAACTAAACCTATATAAAACTCCTTGAATCAAGGGCCCTTCTTGTACTGTTGAATACAAACATCGTTATGCTTAACTTCACAATCAATGTTGAGGCAATTACTGTCACACTGCCATGGTTTGCATGGAGCATTTGCCCATCACTACCTACAAGATGCTGCCCACTCAGGGCCCTGCCCACCTCTTGCTCTCTCTTGCTTGCCATTCTTCCAACTGTGTTCATATAACAGTGTTCTTCTTCCAGTTCTCAAAAAAAAAAAAAAAAAAAAGCAAGTGCTGTCCCAACTGAAGCCCTCACATATGTATTTCTCTCTTTAGAAATACCCCCTCTCTCTTACTTTTAACCTGATTATTTCATATCAGTTATATGGGACTTCAGAAAACTTTCCTTGTTCCTCAAGTCTAAATTAGCCCTCTCTGGTCACTTTTATGCCATAGATTTTCAATATTTATAATTACATATGTGCATATGTATATGTGTGTATTTGATATCGTTTAAGTGTTGACTCCAAGCAATTCTAAATAACGCAAGCACCAGAACTGTGCCTGTCTGCTCAAAAGTGCAGTCATCCCTTAGTATCTGGGGGGGATTGGTTCTAGAAACCCTGCAGGTAGCAAACACTGCAAATGCCTAACTTCTTTATATAAGATAGTGTAGTATTTGCATATAACCTATGCATATCCTCCCTATGCTTTAAATCATCTCTACATTACTTATAATACCTGATATAGCTGTAAATGTTATGTAGATAGTTGCTGTACAGTATTGTTTTTTATTTGTATTATGTTTTAGTGTCACATTGTTGTATTTTATTGTGTTTTTTTTCCCAAATATTTTTGATCTGCAGTTGGTTGAATCCGCAGATGTGGAGCCTGCATATATGAAGGGCTGACCGTATACTCTCTGCTCCTTCCAGAGTATCTGGCATGTGATGAGCTCGCCACAAACATTTAGTGATTCGATAAGGCTCTGGTTGATTTACAGTTTCTACTTTCCTGACACTCTGTTGCTGGTTTGAATAAAAATTTCTTCTTGAAATGTCATCATAAATTGATTTTTATTGGAAGATTTACAGAAGAAAACTAATTTTATATGTTCTGCTCCTATGAAAAATTTAATATTTTAGTGTGATATCTTTGCCATTAATTACTATTTTGAGGGTTTGCAGTATTCTTGATCATGTGTTGTCTGTGCAATTCATTTTTAGAGCAAAGAAGAGTGTGAAGTTTAAAAATTAATAAACCAGGTTTTATTTTAGTCTTTGTCTTGATGGCATTAGGAGTAAGGAGATGTGGAGTACCTTGTATGACGACTAATACCATGGAAAGATCTGGCCAACTAACAAATCATTTATATCACGTTTCTGGATAACTGTTTATAAACATACAATATATTGGACTGATAAAAGCTGATAAGTATATGATTCAATGACTAATACATGTCCAAGTGAAAAATTTTTACAAATGGACAATACCCTATTACCAGTGAGCTATCTGCCCTTAGAAACTCAGATTTATTAGAATCCCAATTACCTGTCAGAATACCAAACTTGTCCAATATGAATTCTTCAATGCCAAATTACTTTGCTCAACTATATTTTCATATAAAGCCCTCTTAAAATCTTTCTTTTCCATGAAGTTGTGTTTTTTTGTTTTAATTCCATAGCTCTTAGCCTACCTACCAATTCTCTCCCAAGTACACAAGCAGGAGCACCATCTCAAAGGAGTTTTTTTCTTTATATATTTACTTGTTTACTTAAAAATTCATTTGTTTTGTTTTATTTGTTTATGAAATATGTATATATATATAGGTCTTGCTACATATTAGACACTGCTCCAAGCTTTTTAAAAGCTTTACTCATTGCTTTTGTCAGTTCATTTCATCCAAAAGTAAAATATTGTTTACCATACAAAGTTGTCATTTCAACAAATTATAATGTTTTCTACAAAATGATATGTCATGACATTTAGCAATTTAGCCCTGCAGTAGATTTTATTTACTTTGACTCACCATTAGTCTAGAATTAGGATTCCATTTTTCTCTTTCTAAAAATGACAATTATTAATGTTTTCTTATTGAAAAAAATAACATCCATTCATTTTTATTAACAAATAACAGTATAAGTAAGCCTATAGAAGAAAAATTAGCCATATCACTACCCTGTTTAGTTTTTCTCTGTCTGTCTTCTGATCATATGTATATATCTGAAAATGGATAATATTTAAGTGAAGCAAAAATAATATTCAAAATGTACTTCAATTGAATCCAGATTTTATTTGTATTTCATTTCTCAATATTTTCTCCTCTACAAAAACAGAGTGAAGTTGTAAGAATACTAGACCCAAGTTTCAAAATCTCATGTTAAGTGAGATTTTGCATGTCCTCCGTAAAATTTCTGGAGCACTTTATAAAAGTTTATTTTCGTGGAAATCAAAAAACCAGGTCATGATATTCTTTTCTAAGTCCCTAAACCTGTCTAACAATGCAAAGGTTGTCTGTCCTTCTTACATGTAGACTCATTTGTCTAAGTGGGCCTTAACATGTATGATTTCCATCAAGGCTGCTTGGCAAAGGCTTTCTGTTAGTGTGTAAGGGGAATATGATGACCAATATAACAACCTCAGTATTTCCTCTACCTCTCTTCAACTCCTCAACGTGAACCCAATGTTTTTGTGGAACACAAAGCCTCTGAATGCCTGGGAAGTCACCAGTGTGATCCCAGCCACCACCCATTAATCTTCTTAACTAGCATGTCCCTCATCATTACCTCCCTTCCCAAAGCCCTTTGCATGTGCCTGTTCCCTGGCAAGAAAGCCTCAACTAAATGGCCAAGAGCTAATGAGAATTCCCCCCAAAATGGAAAATTGAATATAAATGAGAAAGTTTTAAAAGGTGCCAAGATCAGGCCCGGTGCAGTGTGTCACGCCTGTAATCCCAGCCCTTTGAGAGGCCGAGGTGGGCGGATAACAAGGTCAGGAGATCGAGACCATCCTGGCTAACACGGTGAAACCTGTCTCTACTAAAAATACCAAAAAAAAAAAAAAAAAAATTAGCCGGTTGTGGCGGCGTGCGCCTGTAGTCCCAGCTACTCGGGAGGCTGAGGCAGGAGAATGGTGTGAACCTGGGAGGCAGAGCTAGCAGTGAGCGGAGATTGGGTCACTGCACTCCAGCCTGGGCAACTGAGGGAGACTCCATCTCAAAAAAAAAAAAAGTGCCAAGATCGGTGGATAGGTTTGTTTATTCAGTGATCTTAAGGATAGACCAGACAAATAATGACAGAAGAGACAAGGAGGAACTTCAAATGGGTTGAGAAAATCCATTGCAATGAAATCTTTCTTTGTATTTCCGAAGCCCTTGAAGATTGTCTATATTCAGATTTTGTAAAGAGAAGATACTACTGAATGTGACTCTTAGTTATAATTTTCATTGTTTGTTGTTGCAATTTAAAAAAAGTCATATTCCCAAATAATGATATAAACTAATAGCAAAATTAGTACCCCATATACCTCACTCAATCTAAAATTTTCCAAGAGTAGGCCTAAAGCAAGCACAAGCTTTATTACAATTGAAGTTGTTCACAAACTCCAGCAATATGTTTCACTATTACTAAACTAGTTATAGTGACAAAATATGAATCCATTTGAGGATCTACATACTATCTTTCTCATAAAATATTTCAGAAGAAAAGAAAATCATGGCATCCTCCTAAATGAATTGTTCCAATTGAAATCCTAACTGTCACCATCATGATATTCTTTCAACCTGAAAAGCACATCTTTCTTTTCTGCACTCATAACCACTACTACCTCAGAAATCATTTACCTCTGAAATGGTCCTTGTCAACAAGCCCACCTTACTGATTGTATCTTGATTCTGCAGGCTTTCCACACTCTTGGACTTAATTTGTGAAAATTTATTTGGTTCTCTAAATGTCATTTTATACTGTTCTCATATAACTATACATATTTTCTATTTTTTATAAAACCACCATGACAGCATCTGGTACAATAAATGCTTATTTAATGAACAAATGAACTTATATTGCTGCCGACTACAGGAACTTTAATGCTCTCTGAGAAAATAAAATGCATTATAATTGTTATTTGTGTTAGGCTTTAGTTTATTTCATTCTAAATAAAGATGATAGTACTTATTTCTGTTCTGTAGAGGAGATTGGTTCTTTAGGACGAAAGTTAAAATAGTCTAGAATTTTCCCCCTTTTCTCCCTTTTATGTCCTGTTTTGGTTTTACAAGAATGTTTGCTTGTGCAAGAGTGTATCTGAGCCAGACACTCTTGTATGTAGTGTGGACTTCCCTACATTGTGTTCTAAGCAAAATCATCGCAGTCTTCCTTTAGCTGGTCACTTGAGTTTTACCCTCATAATTTAAAAAAAAAAAAAAAAAACACCAACAGAACTTTGACCCTTTCTCTACTACAGAAAATCCTTGACCCTAAAAATTATGTAGTAATGTAGTTACTGTATACAAAACATAACAAATAAGTTGATGGAGTAAGGGGAGGACTCAACACAGGATTACCAAGCTTTCCATCCTGGGAAGAAGAATCCTTCTCCAGACCTCTAAGCTGTAGCTTCCCCATCTGCAAGCAGAGGCATAAAGGCACTACCAGGGCTATTGTGAGGATTGAATGAGCTGATGTGTGCAATGCCAATGCCTGGCTCAATAAATGTGAGTGCTCACCTGATGCTAGGAATTGTTTTCATTATCTATTATTGTCAGTTGTGACCTTGGATAAATGATTTATTGTTGGTGTGCATTAGCGTACTCACCCTAAAATGGTAATTAAGATGGCAACTAATGTATAGGGTCATTGTAAGGATTACATGAGATAAGGGAAAGAAAGCAGGCTGTAGCATTGTCAGTACTCAATAATTGATAAGTGGTGCCACCTCCATTATCATCATCACCATCATCATTTTCATCACCATCGTCATCACTAGTATTAAGAGACTGTCTGAGAATGGCACTAGCCAATTTATTTTGAGGCTATTTCAGGTAGATTAAAATGTGTATGGGACAGGAAGCTCAACCTGGGAAATAAGAAAGCAAAGGAACACTACAGGAACAACCCCACCCCCTCTTCCAGGGCTACAGCAGCACTGATGTTAGAGAACCTCTTTATGTGCTTAAGGATGACCGATTTTTATTCTAATAAGTGGATAACATTAAGTCAGTTGTACATTATCTACCTCTTTGAGGTCAGTCAGACAAAACAAAGATAAAATATAACCCATCTCCTTAAATAACTATAGGTAATAGGTTTATATTCAGAGAAAAGTAACAAAATTGGCGTTCACCCTGGCATGTTACATTAACAAGCCTTATATTCTTAATATATTTTCAATATGACTTTCCAAAAAAGTACATTTCATAAAGTGCCTACATTAAATTTTTTTTTAAAAAAAAGGAAAGAAACTTATTTTTAACAAAACATTTTATATACCAAAGGCCTTTTTGTCCTAGTACCAAGACTTTACAGGAACTTCCAGGGTAGTGGGGAATATACACATGGGGAGAATAAACCTTGATGTAAATGTGAATTTTTCCACCGTTGGAAAAAAACTTAAGGTATTCAGATTTGTCCTGATGCTGTATGCATAATGTCACTGCCATGAGAAGAAATGCATGAAATTTAAAAGTAGGAATATATTTATACTGACTTATAGGAGCTGCCCATGCTAATTTGTACTTTGTTTTTCTCCAGTCAAGTACAAGAAGTGAAAAAAAATATATCAGTAAACTTAATTTTCAGTTCTAAATGTCTCAGTTGAACATGATCATAAAGAAAGCATAGCCATCATTCAGAGGTTCCATTTCTTGGAGCTCCCATTCTACTTGCAGACATAATTATTACATTGATCTGAAGTCTTATGTGAGGCAAAAGAAGGAAATATGACTTCTTCTTGGGAGTAAAGCATGGTACTAATTTTTGAAGAAGACTCTTGTCCTAAACCATGACTTGGATTACTAAGAACAAAGTCATTTGCTAATAACATTCAGTGTGTGCTTCCCAAAATGATGCACATTTAAGTCACCCTTCTGCACTGAGTTCAAGACTCAGGATATAAAACACACATTCCCACAAGCATACAGGAAGATAACAAATACAAGCAAACCTTGGTTTCAGATATCTCAATAAAGCAGATCACACAAAACTTTTGGTTTCCTAGTCCATATAAAAGTTATATTTACACTATACTGTAGTCTATTAAGTGTGCAATAGTATTATGTCTTAAAAAATGTATATACTGGGCCAGGCGCGATGGCTCACGCCTGTAATCCCAGCACTTTGGGAGGCCGAGGTGGGCTGATCACGAGGTCAGGAGATTGAGACCATCCTGGCCAACATGGTGAAATCCCGTCTCTACTAAAATACAAAAAATTAACCAGGCGTGGTGGCACGCACCTGTAGTCCCAGCTACTCAGCAGGCCAAGGCAGGGGAATCGCTTGAATCCAGGAGGCGGAGGTTACAGTGAGCCGAGATCGCGCCACGGCACTCCAGCCTGGCGACAGAGCGAGACTCCATCTCAAAAAAAAAAAAAAAAAAAAAAAAAAAAAAAAAAATTAAAAATGCTTTATTGCTAAAAAGATGCTGACACAGAAACACAGAAACACAGAGTGAACATACATGTTGGAAAAACAGCGTCAAGACTTGCTCCCATCAGGGCTACAACAAACTTTAAAAAAAAATGCACTATGTGCAAACACAATAAAATGAGGTACACCTGTAGAATAAAACCTCAGATACACTAAAAAGCTAAAGAGAGATTTCAGGCAACTTGGACACGAAGTGTGAAGAGGGAGAGAAATTGTTTATCTTCTGGGAGAATTTCCAGTGCCCAAGTTGGCCATATGGAAGTCACAGGGTCTCCTTTCAAATCCCTCTATCTCATCCTCTCTGGGGTCCAAAAACATTGGGGTGGGGAGTGGAGGAGGAAGAGTTTTATTTCCAAACCTTCTCTCTGGCATTTTCATAAACATTTTTGATGGAGGAAAGCACATATTATCACATACTACAGAATTACATCATACAAAGTTCTCCCGCATTGCTTAAAACTTATACATCAAGATCAAATTTCACACAGTATGCATCTGTCAAGTCTAGGTTTTCAATTTCACTGCTGAACTTTTCAAATGCAATTGAGTGATCTAAACAGATTTCAGTGAATTTTTTACAAAATTGGTTTGAATTTGAGATCAATTTAGGATAGAATCCTTTCTGTTTCCTAACTTGTCTTTTCTGTTTTCAGCTGTGAGCCATCCAGATAATTTCTAATACACAGTGTTTAAAATGAAGTATTGTAAAGTTAAAGAAATTCGGAAGAGTTTTTAACATGGAGTCTAGGGATACTGGAATAATAAGAAAAGGGGAAGAGTAGAAAAACAGTATTAATCGGTCATTTGAGGGTATGTCAGAAATATTTCAAGGCTCATGACGATTGCCCCTTTTGTTATCCTCCCCATGCCTGGCTGGCTCCCTCTCTTCTCTAAGGCCTCAGCTCAAAGGTCACATCCCCAGCCAGGCCTCTCTGACCATCCAGTGGCACCTTCCCCTGCACACCCCCCTCACTCTGTCACCCAAACCACTGGGGCCTTCAGAGTTCTGATCACTCATTTGTTCACTTGTTTTCTGTTACCTATTAATTCATCTGTTTATTAATTACTCACATCTTTATTTTCTAAGCCCCTTGACTAAAATGTGAGGTTTGCGAGGGCAGAATTTTGCCTGTTTATTCACTTCCATATTCTCAGTACTTGAATAATGCCTGACACAATACAGTAGATGTTCCGTACACTGTTGTTGAAAGAAGAGTGAAAAGACTCTGTGCCTTCTCCAGAGAAAACTACTCAAGGTTGTCTAATTCACCTGCCCACCCAGGAGGTTCCCTCCCTACATGGCCTTCACACACCTCTCTCCGGATGCAGCTCTCACCCATTCTTCCTGTGACAGCTCAAATGCTGTCAAGTTCCCTGTTCCCGACCCAATATTCTGCAGCATATCCTTTCTCCTCTGAACTGCTGGAGTGAGTAAGATTGGGAGCCTGGAGTCTTCACTCTTCTCTCTCAACTGACAACTAACTGGTCCCAAAAGGGATGACTTAATAACTCTGTGCCTCAGTTTTCTCATCTAAAAACGGGAGAAAACAGAGAAACAATATAAACTACAGTTTTTGAAAGGATCAAATGGGACTATCTGTGTGGAACACTTGGAAGATTCTGGAAGATAGGAAATGCTAAATATTCATAATTATTCTGATACCAGCACATTTGAGCACTGTATCAAAATGCTACCTTTTAAAATGTCGACCGTGTTTGTTTTCTGTTTTTTTGTTTTTTTTTTTTTTTGGTCTGGTCACACAGTGTTTAGCATAGTATCATATCATGCTTGCTCATTAAGCAATTCAAAAATACTTGTCTGATTGAACTTAATAAAGTAAAAGGAAATGAGAGATAACAAAGCAAGGTGACCAAATAGGTGAGTTATTATTTATTAACTCACAAATGATATTTTCCTTGGATTTATCTGGGGAAGAAAACTCAGTGCTTAAAATTGTATACTTTTGCCAGTAAGTTCAACCTAGCTTTCTACTTATTCTCAGATAATGCCTGCTTTCGAGTGAACAGCCTTCAAACTTGTCACAGTCTTAGTAATTTTTTTCTATCCCTGAGGAATATTTTATTGGCTGGAAAGCAGCTGAAATGTTGACTTTTATTTGACTTTACCTAAATGGTAATTCACAGATCCATTGGATTGTTGCCCAGACAATAGAAAATAAAATCAAGAAAATCTTAAGCCAAGTGATATTCATTTTCATCTTACAGAAATGTAATTAAATATGCAGGTGAAATAGATAAATATTAGGTGAAAAAAAGCAAACTCCAGGAGTACATATTTTTTTTAGCTTAACGGGGGACATGTTGTTGGCTCACCCTCTCTATTCTATAGGATTCCAACAAATTAAATATTAGGTGAAAAAAAAGCAAACTCCAGGAGTGCATATTTTTTTTAGCTTAACGGGGGACATGTTGTTGGCTCACCCTCTCTATTCTATAGGATTCCAACAAATCAAACCTCTCCAACTGGCGAGTTACTAGTGTTGATGTAATGTTGCTTGTCCCTGGACAGCTGAGCTCAGCAATTCCAGTTCCATGTTTCCTTTCCAAAGGATAGCTAAAGAAACATTCACTGGATAAGTGTCATATGTTTGCTGTGTTTCAAAATATTTAGTTCACATTTTCCTCTATAGCTCTATTTATTGTTCCACAATTTCTGTAGATTGGACTCGTTTGGGTCCAAGTGTAAATTTGAATTAAAAGAACAATACTCAAAGTAGCCCAGAGTAGTCCAAAGGAAGTTCATGGATCTGATTTTCAAAGAAAAGAACTTTTCCACCTTATATATGTATATATTTTAGTCCATCATTCATGTTTAGTCAATCATTCTGTCTATTCTAATTTATTCCTCTTTATTTATTTTCAATATGGAAGGTTTTTTTTTCCTTTTCGCCTTCCCTTTCTCCTCCTCCTTTGCTCCTCATTTCAACTTGTAGAAACAATGCTTTCAATTGATACAAAGGACAATTCTTTTACATTTTTAAAAAATGTAACCATAATATACACAACTCTATAACTTTAGTGTCCTGATAATATATCATGGACATTCCTTGAGTTTAGTGGTTAAAATCTAGCTCATTATTTTTAATGTCAGCAAAATAGCCTATAGTATGAATATTTCACAATTCTTAACTATTCCTCTGATGGACAATCAGTATGCTTTCAGCTTTACTTTCCACAAACAAGATGGATATTAATATTTTTGCTCATGTCTTCACATATGGGTACCTTTAGTTCTACAGGGTTGATTCCAAAATATAAGACTATAAGAGCAATGGAAAAAAGGCTTATCTATATATAGATTAATGCATATTAATATTTTTCTATATAGAGGTATAGATGTTGCCATAATGTTTACTTCATCTCTATTTAATTCCATCAGCCTAGATTTTCGAATGGAAATTTTTTCTTAACACTCAAAAACAAAAATTACACCTTGCTTTACTCAGAATACTTCACCTAGAAAGGGAATGTTCCCCAAATTGAACGTTTTTTCATTGTTAACATATTATTTCAAGGATAATTTCCTACATGTTTTAGCAGCCCATGTTCTGATTTTTTATTCTCACATTTATGACAGAATAGTGTGTGGGCTTTTTCCACCACAAAAATGAGCATATGTCTATATTCAGTTGTATTTGGTAACATCAATAGAATAAAGCATTATTAATCATATTCCTATTTAGACCATTTACCAAGACTCATTTGTTGCTGAAATTTTATACTAAGTCAAATCAATCAACTTTTTTCTTTGCTTATTTTCAAATATGAGTGTAGATACTATGCCAGCAAGATTTTCCTTGAATTCATGTTATAATGCACAATATATATAATGGGTCTGTTCTTCCAAAATAAAGGTGAGAATTTTTTTTTTGACGTTTTTGCCTGGAACCAATGGTTTATTGGCTAGTCACTCAAGTAAATTTGTCTGACTTGTGCGGACATAAAGTGTGCCTAGTTGATACAATAATATTTTTAATAAGAAGAAAATAAAGAAAAATCTTTGGATTTAGAAAAGATCATTGCTTTCTTATTCATCACCAGTCAACATATATTATTTTATATAATTCTCTAATCACCTATGAGGTAAGTATTCACAGGTAAGAAATTGAGGCTGAGACATTAAGTAGCCTGCTCAAGGTCTGACAGCAAGTAGGAAAACCCAGATTTTACCCCATTATCTGTCTGATTTTGAGGTGCGTACTCTAAACACTAGTATATCCCCAGTTCCCTGTATAACTTGACTTATTGACCATCACTCATTTTTATCCCAACCATTTTTCCTCTCTCGGTTGTAAGTCACATGTCAGTACCAATCAGCAGTAAACAAAGATGTAGACGTGAAGGTAAAGTTCCATTGGCTATAGTATTTACACACAACAGGAATGTTTGACTTAATGCGAGTTAAGGCCTCTGGTCTACTCTTGGAGGGGGAGAGCAGCCCCTCTTCTGAGGCTGAAGGTCTCCTAGAAACTCTGGCGGTTGGTGGCAGGACTATTTTCCAATGAACAGTTTTCAGCCTCAGACTTCATCTTTCTGTGACCAAAGATATTTCCACTCTGGCTTATTAAACCTACTCAGTCAAAGTTAAATCAATGTTATATGACCTGCTGAGTGAACAAACACTTTTCTCCCCCTTTGTTTCTTTATCCCTGAGGCTTACTTGGGAAACTAACACCATTTTTCTTTGAGATTTCCAAAAGGCACACTGGAAAGTACCTCAAATGTCTCACGCTTAATAAATTCTTCATGGGGGTGGGGAGGTGGAGCCAGGGGTAGTCACATTCCCATCCTGGTCGTATTAAATTAGGATTGTTCTTGAATAATTTCAGCATTGATAATTCTAGAAATTTTTCAACAGTAGAAAATGTAAGTAAGATTCACATCATCTTCAGAGGCAACATGTTTTCTTCCGTGAACTGTCAGGAAATACAAAGCCTTTTGTAGTTTAGTATGTAAAACTGTAGAGGGGTTGTTTCATTTTTTTTGAACACAATGACTATAATGCCATTGTGTATGTAATTGTAAATTGCCTAATACCATTTTCTCCTTTCTCATAGCATGAGATATTTTTAATGTATTGATATATATATATATATATATGAAAACACATCCTATTTAAAGAATTAAAAGAGAAAGAGGCCTAACTTGGAGAAGTTCTGGATGAACTTCCAGATGGATTCCTCTGGGGGTTGGGGGAGGCTCTTCGTCAATGGCAAGAGAATCTTTTTCTCAATTATTTGATTGCCATTCAAGCCTTTCGGGGAGGAAATAAGCACCACACGTGGCGTGTAGTTATTGCACACAGACGTTAAGACTGAACCACTACCTGCTGGTCCCTTCACCAGCGTTACAACCCGTTCCTTGCAAGATAGGCAGGCCGTTAGCCAAGCCCCAAAGCCAGCAAACCCAGACACCTGAAGCTGGCGCTGTGCTAGAGAACGCGCGACGCGCGCGGCTGGAGGGAAGGGAAGCGGATGAAACCACAGACGTGCAGCGAGGGTCTTCTCGTCTTAGGAGGGTGGCCAGTGTGCTCAGCTCTTGCGAAGGTCGCTGATGCCCAGCGAAGGACATTCCCACATGTGCACGCACGCAGAGTAACCCGCGCACACTCACACACCCCAGTTTCAGAAGGCACACTACATGGCAACCTCCTTGTCCCAAGACTCCCCTATTTGCGGGCACATTCAGCAAAATAGACCAGCGCTTCCTCTCTTTACTCATCTTCCAAGTTTCCAAACCTGAGACTGGGTGACTCTTGCCTAGGCTCACAGATCGAGCCTTCCCAGTGTTGCACTGGGACCCTAGGGTGGCCCTGGGGTGCCCAAGAGATGCGCAAGCATCTCGCGCCTTCCAAGCGATCAGCGAGGAAAAACGGGGTCCAAATTCGAGTAGAATCTGCGGGTTGCGGGAAGATGGCCTGCGAGTGCGGTGGGGGACAATACCCTAGGGCCCCGTGCGCCCTCGCTTTCCCGGGGCACTCTCACCATTTGTAGCCTCTGCCGCGCTTGAACTTGAGGGTGAGCGCAGTCTCCAGGAAGAGCAAGAGGTTGAGCAGCGCAAGCAGCCAGTACCGCGGCTCCTTCTTCACCTCGGTCACTCGCCAGACCCCGACCAGCGAGTGCAGCAGGAACAGCAACCGAGTGGCCAGGGCGTTAAGGAAGACCAGTCCCTCCATGCTGGCCGGAGCACTCTGCCTACGTCCCCTTGCCTGCGCCCCCAGGACCCTGCCGGGCGTGCCCGGAGCCCACCGGTGAGCAGGAATATGACAAGCACTGAGACCTGCTGCTGCTTGTGGTCCCTTCTCACCCTCAGCGCCCGATGCCGGTAGAACTGGTGCGCGGCTCGCCCCTCCCCCAAACTTCCTGAGAACTCTTCAAAGAGGGGTGAGTCCAAACCCAGCTTTTCCAGACTGCTGGGTTTTCCAGGGAGTCTGGGGCTGCGCTGCCCTGTCTCCAGGGCGTTATTCTCCAGCGCTGCCCATCCCCCTCCCAATCTCGGGGCCAGTCTCCATCCCTGTCCGGTATCCCCGCCCCCGGGCCTCTGTGAGGTTCCCAAGAACTTCCCCATCACGAGGGGGCGGAAAGAGGAGGGAGGAGGACTGAAGGTCAAGGTGCAGCACAGCCAGAAAGGCGGAGGAGGAGAGCATCTCTGGCAGCTCCGCCTTACTTTTCCACCGAAGTACTTTAATTCACTAACACGTTTCACGCTGTCATGCTGACCCGAAGCCGGGACGCAGGAGGGCCAAAGAATCCAAGCAATTTTAGAAACCCCGTTACTGCCCAGCTTGAATTAAAACTTCCTAGGATCAGAGGCAGTCAGACCCTCTGGGCTTTCTGCGAGTTTAGCGCACCTCCCTGGGCCAGTGGGTAGCCCTGCTCACTTTTACTACTCGAAGATTCCTTATTGTGCCATCCCCCACCGCACCCCACCCCTGTTGGTTATTTTTTTTTCTTGAAAAAAATATAGGGGTAGCAAGATAAGACGGAAGAAGGGAAAGTGGAGGAGGAGAGGAATGATAAAACCAGGAATGCCATTAGAAGGTAAAATGCATGCACTCTCAAATTCAAGGACCTGTGCTCTTGAGATCAATGACCATGAATTAAACTCTCCTCTTTCCAGCGTCCAACACAAGAAATGAAGTCGGGGTTTCCCAAAACACCTTCATGATTTTTGTTTGCTTGTTTGGTGTCCTACCACCTGTACTACTATTGACTTAATATTTTTCTTTAAATGTCCTCAAATTTTTACTCAAATAAATTTATTTTAAAAAGAAACTTTGTATCATTTGTAAATGGAAAGCCTGTATAATTGGCTATAGTTGGAAAGTAATTACAAAAATAGCTAAAATATGATGAACTATGTTATTGAAATCTCTCTAGATATTAATTAGTGCCTTCCAAAGCTCTCTGCCTCAAACTCCCTCTTTCTTTGTTATAAAGGGAGATATAGAATTAATTAGTCATATTACTATAATACCAAGCAGGAATGCTCCCTTGACCACATTAGTAACATTGAAAGAAAAGTACAAAGGGAATATCTTTCCTGGTTAGGTTTAGTCAAGTTAAAATCATGTCATACTTTTCTTAAAATCAAGTTGAAAAATTGCAAATTATGTGATTAATGTCTCCATTAGTTGAGAAATATCTAACTGCTCACAAGAAGCTTAGAAGTTATTTCCAATACTGAGAGCTGAGAGAATTTTTGTTTTCTCCTGTGGGTCAGCATTCTCCCACATCTTACAGGAAACCCAGCAATGATTTCCTGGTGCAGTTTATTCTAGTTTATAGTGTCCTTCAATGTTGGCTGATGACACAGTGACCACACGCCATTCAGTGAAGCGGAAGAGCATAGTGTGGCAGATGAATGCTGTGGAAGGAAGCAGTGTGCTGTGGGGGTTAGAGCCCTGTACCCACCAACCAGCTGACTTAGACGGCTCACTAAGTCACTTAGTAGTATTGTGCCTTTTGTCCTTCTGTAAATTTGGTACTAAACCTATCTACTCACGGGGTCATTGTGGGGATCAAATGAGTTAATCCATATGAAGGGCCTGGCAAGTGGTAAATGCTTGGTAGACATCAGTGATTATTGGGAGGGCCAAGAAAGTTACGCCAGGGGAACTGCTCTTCGATGATCTGAGACAAGTAATAACAGGATTGGAGTGGAGCAACATAACATTCCTGTCAAAAAACCCCAGATGAACACATCTGGAACTGAACAAGTTGAGTTTATTACTTTTTTAGGGAGGGGGCACACTCCATGGGCCACTGTGGGGCGTCTCAGTATGAAAGTCTTAGAAAGGTTAAAAAGCATTGGAGATAACTTATTAGATATGATTTGGGCTTGACTGAGGTGATTTTGGGGCTTACAGAAGTGGGGCTTTACTCTAGATGGAATGCTATTAGGAAGCTGGGTTAATTTTATGTTGGGTATGTTGATAAATCTAATATAGAAAGGGATATTTGTGGTTTGTACAATATTCATGTTCAGACATAATTTTGGAGCGGTCCTATTTGATCCACCATGATCTCAGAGTGGCCTTACCTGATGTTTTGTAAAACTTGTATGTTCAAGAGGAGGATACCAATGCTTGGCTGATGGTGCCAGACCACTTGCTTGCAGTCAGGGGTTGTTTTTCTCTTTCTCTCTCTTTTCTTTTTTTCGAGACGGAGTCCCGCTCTGTTACCCAGAATGGAGTGCAGTGGCGCGATCTCGGTCACTGCAGCCTCCACCTCCCAAGTTCAAGCGATTTTGTGCCTCTGGCTCCCGAGATTACAGGAGGATGCCATTATGCCCGACTAATTTTTGTATTTTTAGTAGAGACGGGGTTTTACCGTATTGGCCAGTCTGGTCTCAAACTCCTGACCGCAAGTGATCTGTCCACCTCTGCCTCCCAAAGTGCTAGGATTACAAGCGTGAGCCACCGCATCCAGCAACTTCTCTCTTTCTCAAGCCTACTAGGAAGGGATCTCTAGGAGAGCTTTAAAAAAGGGAAGGCAGTCAGTCTGACATCTTCCAATCATTTCTTATTCCCTATTTTGAAGGTTCAGAAACAAATTAGTTTCTGTCGTCTCTGGATCTGAAAAACAAAATTGTCATTAAAGAGAATTAAGGTTGATTTCTTCTTAATTTTTTCCTAAGTCCATTTTAAAGACTGGAAGCTTTCAGAAATATCTTAAAACTGTCAGGCAAATAGCCCAATATTTAAACAAGAAGAAAAAAATAAGCAATTTTAAAAATTTACTCTTCTTGAAAAAAAAGCAATCTCAGTTGATGCACCCAGGTCTTGTGGTATGGGCTGGGGTTGCACTAAAATGCAGCCAGCTTGTTCCACTATCCCAGGAGGCAGCTATCAACAGGTCTCCCTTCCCTTCTGAATGCAAACTGAACATAGTTGTCAGGATTTTCTTTCAATTTGGGTGATTTTGGCTACAAGGAAGAGACTTTCTCAATTCGCTCACGTAAAAGGAGTTGTTATTGGAAGGGAATGTGTGGTCTAAAAATGAAGATGGAATCTCTTGGACTGAAGAATACGAGGTAGATGAAGACAGGGCCTTGGGAACTGGGAGCTGGGGACAGCTGTGGACTTGGGTGGCAGCAAGGATCTCAAGGTTGCAGTTTAGAGACCTTTGCACAGCAACTCTCTAACATTCTTGTCTTCCAGCCAGATTTCTCCACTCTGAATTCAAATTGCTGAGATAAGGAATTCAACTGACTTCCTTCAACTCTAAGCATCAGGGTCACACTACAGACCACAGAGCAGGCTACTGACTGAAATCCAGTCACCGGCTATCCCTCTGCAAATACCAGTTTAGTGTTGTTTTGTTCATCCTTCAACATAAGATTCTGGGCAGCAGAGTTTAAGCAGGGGAGGAATGGGGCATGGCAGGTACATTGATAGGTGGAGTACCATGCAGCTGTGGGATGACACGCACACATCCTACACCTATGATGCCAAAGGCCAAAGATGCCCCTCCCTAATACTATTGAAACATTGTGCATGCATGCAATTATGCACCCAGCTATGGTCTCCCAACAGGGATGCAATACAAAGTCACATCTGCATCCAGAGGCCACCAAAGCTGCAGACTGGTCACAGAAGCTGCAGTCTCCTGGAAATCTTCATTCCTCCCTTGGCTCCATTTAATCCTATTCAGGCATTACTTGTATACATAAATGTGTGTGTGTGTGTGTGTGTGTGTGTGTAATACAATGCATGAAAAAACATAATATACTACAGGATTGTATATCTATTCCCCAGAGGAATCATTCACAATTAACATTTTCATTTTTTTCTGATGATTAAAATTATACCTTTAAAATTACACTTTATATTCCTCTATTTCCTGATTTACCGATTTACAGAACTTGATTTTTCAGTTTGAAATTTGGGGAATCCATTATCCTGCAACACCTTCTTCCTTCCTCATTCCACCTATACCACCCAAATTTGTTAAAATTGTTGTCTGTAACATTCTATTCTCCAGCTATAATTAAGCCTGCATACTGTGTCTTCTCAAATGGTTTATTCTAAAAATTGAAAATCAACAAACAATATTTAAAATATATAATTATTACTCAATGTATTTTCAGATATTTTCAGATTCCATTATTTTCTAGAATGCAATGTTACTGATAAGAAGTATGTTTTATGTCTCATTGTCTTCTTTGTGTAGATAAGTATTTTTTTAAATCTCCAGAAATTTTTAGAATTTTTTTACCTTGGAATGTTTATCATTTGACTGCATCTAGATAGTGGACATTTCTTTCATATACCCTACTCAACACAGCAGTCTTGCGTCTTTCGGTAGAGAGTCAAATCTCCTTTTATTATGTCTTTGATCTTTTTTTCTCCTTCATTGTTTCTGTTTTCTCCTTCTGGAATACCTTATACGTTTCATCTTTGTCTTTTTCATCTATGTTCTTACCTTTATCTTCCATATGTCTAAGTTAGTCTTCGGATTATTTCATTTTATTGTTGAACTCTATAAGTGATTTTTTTGTTGTTGTTGGTCAACTTATTTTGTAATAAGCCTTACTTATTAATGGAGATTTTCTTTTACAGAAGTTTATTCTTGTCTGCTGGATGCAATACCTTTTTGTCTTCCTGAATTATTTCTGTTTTTACTTGGTTGGTTGCTCAGTTCCATCCTTTACATCTAGGGTTTTATAACATGACGGTTCTCAAATACTCTGATGATCTTTTGTTGTTCATTTATATTTACAAACCAAGGACTGGGCTGGTTACAGGACATATTTGAAATAGGTGTATGAGTTGCTGTTTATCTATTAAATGGAAGAGCTGGCTGTGGTCCTGGATACTTGGGCAAGAAACACTTGTCAGGTCAGCTTCCGTAACGGGTGCAATGAAGAGGAGCAGGCAGGGGTGTCAAGGCAAGGAAGGTTCCTCTGGGAGCTGGTTCTTAGTGCATCTCATTCAGTCATTGGTAGAGCTGCCTTGACTTCTCTCTTCTACTCCTTGCCCTAGTTCTGGCTGCTGTGAAGATCCATATCTACCCATAACAATGCTCTGATTCTACCCACACCCTTACTAGAAGCCTCACAGCCCACCCAACAACTTTTCTTTAAAGAACACCTCTCAGGTTTTAGCTTGGGAGCAAATATCGCTAGTGATAGCCTCTAAGTAAGGAAGCAGAAGTGATCTCCAGATATTTCAATTGTTCTCAATATATGTGTTGAACAAACACCTCAAGCATTACTGCTGTTTGTACTTGCGGGTTGTGACTTCAGCTTCTTAAGGAGTGCTCATAGAAAGAACTGGGCCCACCTTGGCTATCTCAGTCTGTTTTCCTCTGCACTGGTTTTTCCATTGACCCAATCCTGTCTGTATTCTGTCTTCCTGGATTTCCTCAAAAAGGAGGTTCACCCCCTCATGCTTTCTAATACTGCTTCTATTGTATCTTTTTGGATTTTCAAAATCTTTTCTTCCATTTCAAAGGTGAAATCTTAATTCTCAGTTCCCAATTTGAAACAGAAAACTCACAGGTTGCTTTACTGTTCAAAATGTGTGTATTAAACAGGAAAAGGAATTGTAATTATTTCACATTATAATATAACAGGAAGGAAAATAGAACTTTATTATGCTAGTAATAACTATCATAATTATTCATCTTTAGAAACTAATAAAAGTCAGTGGTAGTGATCAGTTTTCAGACACTTCAACAGCTAACAAGGAATAGGAATCTAAAGTGCAGGTGGAGGATCTTGATTAAGCCACCTTCTTCAAGAGTTGGCTCCACTTCTTATGTGACAGTTGGAAAGTTACTTAATTTCTTTGAATTTTGGTTCTCATTTATAAAAACAAATAATGATAGACCTTCATGTCTATTATTAAGATTAAATTAACTGATACTTCAAAAGTGCTCAGAAAAATGTCTGGAATAAAGCAGGTACTCAGTAAATATTTGTTGAATAAATAAATAAAGATATAAGTGAGGATTGGGTAAACAACACCCAAAACAGAAAGGTATAATTCCCCAGCTGGGACCATAGCTGAGTATTCTAAGGCCAGCTGCTTGTAAATGATGGGGCTAGTAAATGTCATTTGTGTGAGCTCAACGCCTCACTCCATCACAAAGAAGGGAGAACACTGATCAGTAGAAACATTTGATCATCTTCTGTGATGATCTAAATTTGTTCAAATAAGACTAAGGTTACAGTTACAGGATGAAGATAACATGAATCACTAAATCATGAACATTCCTAGCCACAGCAGCTCTAGAGTGAGTTGACATGGAAAGCATTGTAAGATATTGCTTCGTTTATGTATAATTTAGAAGAGGTGGTCAGGTGCTATAAAGGAACCAGTGGGGTGGCAGTCCCAACACCTTAATTCCATCCCAGCCTCAAAATCCCCCTTTGTATAATGGACCTAAGGATGCCAATCTTGTCCATTTCATGATCATTTAAAGAATCACATGAGGTAATGATTATGAAAATGCTTTGTACATTGAGGTCAAGGTTAATATCATCAGTGATAAGTCATGTTGATAGCATGCTCCTTTTGTATGAGGTTATGAAAATGGCACTTTACCTCTGTGATCTTCCTCCAAAAATCTCACAAAACATTACACAAAGACAAATTGAGGGACATTTTTCAGAATAACCTACCAATACTCCTCAAAACCGTCAAAGCCATGGAAAACAAGCAAAGACTGAGAAACTCTCAAAGACCAGAGGAAACTGAGGAGACATGATGACTCAATGTAATGTGGTCTCTTGAATGGGATTCTGGAACATGAGAAGGAAATTAGTAACAAAAAATAATGAAATCCGAATAAGGCCAAGAGTTTAGTTGGTAATAATATACCAATGTTGGTTCCGTATTTGTGACAAAAGTTATGTGATAATGTAAGATGTTAATAAGAAAATAAATGAAGAGTACGTAGGAACTCTGTACTATTTTTGCAAATATTTCATGCAAATCTAACTATTATAAAATTTAAAGGTTTATTTTTTAAAAGTTGATAGGTAAATATAACATTTTATTTGGTTCTTTAATTTTATTTCAAAGCAGATTATACATTTAAAAATAGACTTCAGAAATGTCAGATAAAGGAATTATGTGACATTTTAAGAATACTTTTCAAGTACCGTAATCAATTACCTTTCTGCTGCCTTCCATGAAAATAGTCTGTTCTATGATTGTTGTCATCAATAAAAATCATTATCTCAGTTCTAAGAGGTCCACAGAGCTTATCTAGTCCAATCTTCTCACTTTACAAACTGAGGCCCAGAAGGGGCAGGTGACCTTTCCAAAGTCACAGTCTATTTCATTCTTAGCAGCTTTAAGAATGTGAAATAAGAGATATTTTTATTATACCCAAAATACTAGAAAAAAATGAGTGTGTGTGTGTGTCTGCCAGAAAAGCTTCAAATATGAGAGAGAGAGAGTGTGTGTGTGTGTGTATGTGTGTGTAAAGCTTCAAGGAGTCACCTAACCCAATTATGGGACTGGCCTTAAATAACCCTTCTAGGAAGGATGACAACTTGCCATACCTTAAAAGATGAGGAGAGAGTTCACCAAATGGAAGGAAAGGGGGAAGGGATTCCAGGCAGGAGAAGGGATGTCTTGTCCTCCAAGATTGCAGGGAGGAAGGAAGGGTGAGGGTTTAGATAAGAGAATGACTAAAGTGAGACAGAAAAATGATATAGGTCAGGCCTGATGATCTCAGCCATCATAGTAATAGGATAGGAGACCATGTGCTGATAGTGAAGTGTGGGCATTGGTTGGGGAACTGGAGGAGAGTGGTGAGGACTTGAGCTTGTCTTTGAAGATAAAGAGTAGAATCTAAGAAAAGGTAAATAAAAGGCTAATGAATAATTCTAAGCTTGTATTAATAGCATCATATAGGGATATGCAATTTCCTCTAGCAACTTTCAGTTGTCCACATATAGAGAAAGTGGACTGTGGCATTCATCTAGGATTCAGTTTTCTTGGGCAAGGTCAACAGAGTATGAAGATCTAAAGGAACCAAGGATGTTAATATCAACTTTTGTGAGATCAGCTGTAAAGTCTAGGAGGAGTAGAACAAAAAAGAAAATGGAGGAAGTCAACTGACTAGAAGAAAATAGAGGCAGCAAGAAATTGGATGTCTCTGGAATGACCAGGGAAGGTAAAATCTCTTAAAAGTAAATTTGGTAGAAAAGGATCCTAATTCATGTGCCAAGCATCTGAGTGAATAAAAGGAGATGACTGGAAGGTTAAGAGAGTCATAGGCTATTAAAGAAGATGGCATCAACTTCAAAAGAGGATGACACCTACAAAATGGTAGGAGCTCAACTGGGTGCCAAGAGAATACATCCTGGGATGGTGGAGGTACAGATGTTGAAGTGCAGAATTGCAAAGCAGTAAGAGATAAAAGCATGACAAGGAACAATTCACAACTGCAAAGATATGGAACCAATCTAAGTGCCCACTGACCAATGAATGGATAAAGTAAATGTGGTATGTATACACCATGGAATACTACTTAGCCATAAAAAGAACAAAGTGATATCTTTTGCAGCAACTTGGATGGAGCTGGAGGCCACTATTCTAAGTGAAATAACTCAGAAATGGAAAATTAAATACTGTATGTTCTCACTTATAAGTGAGAGCTAAGCTGTGGGTATGCAAAGGCATACAGGGTGATATAATGGTCTATGGAGACTCAAAGAGGGGAGTGGAGGGGAGTCAAGGGATAAAGAAACTACATATTGGGTATAATGTACTCTACTCAGGTGACAGGTGCACTAAAATCTCAGATTTCAACAGGATACAATCTATCCAAGTAACCAAAAACTACTTGTACCCCCAAAGCTATTGAAATAAAAACATTTAAAAAAAAACATGCCAAAGAAAGGAGATACCATGGCAATGCATTTTGTTTGGTGACCAAAAATTGCAAAATGGGAGGAATGGTTGAAAAAGCTCCTCTCTAATATGGCAGGGAGAGTAGCAGCACAAGGTGAGGGCACAGGCCTTAGCATCAGGCTGTCAGCACTATGTCCCTACAGGAAAGAACCTAAACCTTTTATGCTTCCCTTTTCTCCTTTGTAAGAGCACTACCTAACATGCTACTGTGGCACCAAAGAAGGTAATGTGCCTGTACCATAGCGAGTGAGTACCTAATAAATGAGAGCCAATGGTTTTCTTCCCCCAGCTTTCACTGTGGCTAAAGGCTCTAGATAGTCTTGCAAGTCTGTGCAAGGCCTGCACACAGTGGACAGATGGCTAATGACATCCTGGTGCCAGGTAGACAGAGCATCAGTGAGGTTTGAGTGTGACTACAGTCTTTCATAATGTATCAAGTTTGAAATATTCAGATGTCTAATATTTATGCCTACATTGAAAGACAAAAATGATGGAGGTTAACATCCCCAATCACCACTGCAGACACAATGATGGAGGTTAACATCCCCAATCACCACTGCAGACACAAAAGACAATTCCCTTTTCGGCCAAATAGCTATTTGGAGCTATTGCTCCCCAAATAGCTAATCTAATTCCTGCAAGTAAGGAGGAGGCACATACCTGGCAGAAAATAAGGAGGGGGAAAGAAGTTGAAGTGAGTAAGGGACAGGAGCAAAGAGCTGCGAAGAGACTGTATAGAGGCAAAGTTATCAAGCAAACCCACTTGAATTCCATGCCCCTAGGCTTGGATTATATTTATAAGGAAAGGGTCATTCTTGAGATCTATGGAGTCTTTAGTTCTCATGATAGCGAACATGTTGGTTATATTTATAAAATAGAATCATAACTACATCTGGAACTTTTACACAGAAATTAAGGTTGACTTACATGCCAGATTGATTAACATTCCCAGATAAGATGGTAAAGTAAAGATTTATTTTACTTTGCACTCTTACAGCGTGGATTATTATTCATACTTTATTTTGCAAATTGGTGGTAACCTAACTGCAGCCAAATCAAGAGTTCACATGCCAAGTTTTGGTCTGAACAAGTTTTGCATCCAATATACACTTGGCCAGAAAAATAAGGAGATAGAATAATAGAAGAGAAAAGAAAGTATTTTATGCACCCTGGAGGTCAAAAACAGATGTGAGTAGGGCCCTTGTGGAGTGTGACTAGTTAACATCTGGTAATCCCTAATGGATTTCACTGTCCATTTGTAAGTTTCCCCCAATGTTTAATATCAACAGCTATTCAGGAACGTAGTGACTTGCACAAAGAATAAAATTTACAGATATCAAAGACAAAGCCAAAAAATTACTCTGTTCTTGGCATCCATCCTTTCTGGGCAAAGACTACATATTTTCTTTCTGTTGATACTATGTTTAATAAAGCTATGCGATTGGTTAGATTTCGATTGAGCTGAATGTGTTTTGTTTTGTTTCTTTTTATGACTCAGTGACAAAGGGAAATATAAAACCTTCTGCTTACTTAATCAGAGAACTCTGGTTTCTTCTATGTAATTTGAGCAGAAATTGAAAAAAACCATCCCCAGAAGGAGTAATTATGCCCATACTGGTGGGAGGAAGACAAGCAAGGGATGGTGAGGAAGGTAGATAATCTGGCCCATTTTCTTCTCTTGGCGCATAGTCTGTCTGATTTCTTGTTCCCTTTCAAGTCACTCTTTTTTGCAGTGGCAATTCCCACAAACTGCAGAATTTGTAAGAAAATTTACAAGAGGGGCAGAAATGTCTGTATTTCTGACCATAAAGGCTTCAAATGCTGAGGGACACACTGGAAATGTTTTGCAAAGTTGATGCAGAAGAGTTATAATTCTTATTGCTAACTGCAACAATTGAGATTAAACATAGTTCTCCACACCATCCACACACCAATTAATCCAGACATTCCTTTGACAGAACAGGCTACCCACAGAATTGCTAACTTAGTAACAAATTGGTTAGTTGATTAGTAACAAATCAATGAGGCATCAATTTGTGGACCTACTCAGGTCCATTGGTAGTGGTTGCCAGGAATACTAAAATGCTAATATAATACTAGGCATTAGAAGATTCTTAAAAAGAAACAGGGTCTCTGTCGCCCAGGCTGGAGTGCAGTAGCACAATCTTGACTCACTGCGGCCTCAAACTTCTGGCCTCAAGCGATCCTCCCAGCTCAGCCTCCCAAACTGCTGGGATCATAGGCGTGAGCTTCCAATCCCAGTCTAAACCCTTAACATGCTCAGTGGGAAAGAAGCATCTCCTTGGTGGATTGGATTTCAGATGCCTGTCAGGGAAGTGGGAAGGAAGACTAGCAGCATGTGTGCTACTGAGTTTCCATCTCTGATTTAACCAAAGGAGTGTGTCATCAAAAGATGTTTCCTAAGGTTTAGGAATTTTCCATTCAAGATAAACCTACATAGCAGCAAATGCATGTGTATATTATACAGTATTAGTACAAAACTCAATCACATGATAGTGCTTTCTATCTTTACAGGAACTTTTACACGTGCCATGTCATGAAATGCTAAAATGACTCCATGAAATAGAAACAGGATATATTTTTATCCCCATTTTACAAATGAGGAACTGAATTTTGGAGCAAATAAGCGATTCACCCGAGGTCATGCAGCCAGTATGTTAGAGAATTTAGGAAATATTTCATAGTCACTTGGATATTTTGTAATCACTCAAATTTCTGACACAAATTAAGAGTCAGAAAACTGTGGGAAGTATGGCTGAGATTTTCTGATTCCCACATTCTGCAACAATAAAATATAAACATGACTAACCAGGATACATTTACAATACACATGACTAAGTGACAACACGTGGGAGATAACTGGCTTTTGAAATGCATGTCTGTATTAATCAGAGTTCTCCAGAGAAACAGAATTAATAGGGTTCTACAAACCTGCAGAGCCTATATCCCAGCTTGAAACTGAAGGCTGTAAGGCTGCTGTAGTACCAGAAAGAGCCACTGTCTCAGAGTTCAAAGGCCATCAGGCAAAGGAAAAAAGAACACACACAAAAAAATAAAAAAAATAAAGTTGATATTTCAGTTCAAAGGCTGTCAGGCAAGATAAATCTCTTACTTGGAGGAAGGTCACCCTTTTGTTCTACATAGGTCTTTAACTGGTTTGGTAAAACCTACCCACATTATGGAGGGCTGTCTTTTATTCAGTCTACCAATCCAAATATTAATCTCATTCGAAAACACCCTCACAGAAATACCCAGTTTAACCAAATATCTGGGAATCTCATGGTCCAATCAAGTTGACACAAAATTAACCATCATAAGCCCACCCTTGTCAACTTGGCACTGTACATGTCTCTGTAAAACACATATAATGTCCAAATAAGGGTAATAACAAGATCATACTTCCACCACATTATACAGCTATCCTGCATACAAGCATAACTGCACTAACCCTTTCCCCAGAAGAGGATGCAAACTCCTTGCATGATGGACTCTTCTCCTTAATGTCTCATAACTTAAGTAAGTATGTGGGAAGAATGTTATGAAGTAAATTGTGTCTTCCCTCCGCCATCGGTATATTGAAGCCTTATCCCACAACTTGACTGTATTTGGAGACAGGGCTTTTAGTAGGGTAATTAGTTTGAAATGAGGTCATAAGGGTGAAGCCCTAATCCAATCAGACTGTTTTCATAGAAAGAGGAAGAGACACTAGAGGTCTCTCTCTCCTTGCTCACATAGAGGAAAGGCCATGCAGGTCCACCGCAAGAAGGCAGCCCTCTGCAAGCAAGGACAAGAGGCCTTACCAGAAACCTACCCTGCTGGCTCTTGATCTTGGGGCTTCCAGCCTCCAGAACTGTAAGAAAATAAATGTCTATTTTTTAAGCCACCCAGTCTGTGGTACCTTGTTATGGCAGCCTGAGTTGTGTAATACAATGACTAAAGCCCTAGCTGGGTTATTTCTCACTATCACAGAAGAGGAAATTTATTTAAAATATATCAGTCCAATTATTGTGTGCATGTTCTAAACCTTTCTGTTTAATTTCCAGGCTGGACAGAGGCCTTAAATGGGGCTCTTTTTAAAAAGAAATCAGAAGACATATGTTCTTGGGTATTTTGAGGGCTGGATTATAAATTCCTTTATGTCTTAGGGGAAGATTTCATCATGCTCTTTTAAAAGCTGCATGACGAACCTATCAATAGCAGGGAGATGTCTGGAACAGAGAATACATAATCAACAAATTTTCACTGAGTGTCTACCATATGCTGAATCTCGGAGATACAATAGGGGTAAAGGCATATGCTGTCCTTCCCTTTAGGTAGTATTCTAGTGAGGGACCTAGGTTGTGAGATAGGGATTGGGTATTGATTCATCTGAACGTTTAAGGTTGTTATAATAAAAAAATTGACTTTTAAAAGCTCATTTGGAGATTCTAGTAGAAAGCACAGCTACACATGTAGCCTTAACCTGGAAGAAGATACTGCTCCCTGACTAGCAAAAGTGTTCCCTTTTTCATTTGTCACCTTTGGCTGTAAGCAGGAGTAGCAGATACCATGGCCTGGTTATACTACCATCTCAACATCAAGCTACCAGTTGGGTTATAGAAGATTTGGTTTAGGTCCAGTGGATTTGCAATCAATGAAGAGCTAAACTAGAGTTACAAAGACAGTGTCTGGTGTGTGTGTGTGTGTATGTGTGTGTTTTAATTTATACTACACAACCAACTTTCAGAACCCTAATTTGCTGCAAGGCCCCTATGTTTGTAACAAGGTGGTTTTCATTCTTTCAGTAACACTGTTTTTTGTTTTTACCTAGTTGAAGAGACCTCTTGAAATATTTTCAAGTGTTATATAATATTTTCATGTGTGTTAATACAACACCTTTATGCTGTAAGTCCAAAAGAAAAGTCAAACAAAGGGTCGTCTGTAGCAACACTAAGGTGTTTCCATTTTTCACTGCTCTGCATTCACAGAGTTTGGAGATGACCTATGAAGCTATAAATAAAAGCAATACGATTTTTCTGTAAAACAATTTCTAAACTTTTCAAAACGTGCAATGTTAGATTCATGTAATAGATTGTTACAGGCTTTCCTTGGGGAAGCTACAGGCTTTTTTCCCTTTTACGAATCAAAAGTTGATAATGCAGAAATATTGCACAAATATCATGACAATATCTTTTCTTTTCTTTTTATTGAACAATAGTTGTGATTTGAAGAGTAACCTTCTTCAGAAAACTGTGGAGACTTCACAGAAATGGCAGAAGCTAGTTGAAGTCTACAAATTACCTAATGGAACAGGTAAGCTTTATGCCTTTAAAATTTTATATATATATATATTTTATATTTTCTTTGAAGTCTCTGGTACAGAACTTTTCAGCTCGTAATATTTTGTATTGAGCATGAAATTGACTGCTGTTCTCACTGCTTCGTCTTTTCAAAGCCCGCAATGTAGGAAAAAAAAAAATCGATTTTTTTTTACAAGCCCCAAATCCAAGAACCATACCAATGCTGCCTTTCTTTCCCACAGAGCCGTTAAAAAATATATATCAACATGGCTTCTACCATATTACTAAATTCTATCAAGTTGGTACCCTTCTAACAACAGTAACAACAGCAGATTCCCAAAGTCGTAAGGAGTGAGGAATGGTGAATGGAAACAGTAGGGAGGGAGTTACGGAACAGTGTTACTTTTTTTTTTTTTTTTTTTTTTTTTTTTGAGACGGAGTCTCACTCTGTCTCCCAGCCTGGAGCGCAGTGGCGCAATCTCGGCTCACTGCAACCTTCACCTCCCAGGTTCAAGTGATTCTACAGCCTCAGCCTCCCGAATAGAGTAGCTGGGATGACAGCCACGTGTCACCACGTCTGGCTAATTTTTGTGTTTTTCGTAGAGACGGGGTTTCATCATGTTGGCCAGGCTGGTCGCAAATCCCTGACCTCAGGCGATCCGCCGCCTCAGCCTACCAAAGTGCTGGGATTACAGGTGTGAGCCACCGCGCCCAGCCCAGTGTTACTTTTTAAGACAGATTCAAGAAGCTTTAAAACTGAGTTGACAATTTAGTCACAGGTAAAAATATACTGCATGCAATTAGCTAAAAATTTCTTACAGTAAATGAAAGTCTTGGTATGGCAGACACTGCAAACCTACCAAGGCACATTGAGTTATGAATTGAGGTTTGGACATTCTAGCATGGACAGCTCCCTTCCCCCACACTTCAAACTTCAAACTCGTCTACCTCCTGCCTCCCACACACAGACTCCCAGTCCCACCCTAAATTGACCTATTGAAACTTGCTCTGTTGCCCTCAAAGAGTAAGAGGCTATTTATTCTTCCCTAAACATCCGACTCCTGCACATTCCAAACTAATAGACACAGCCATGCCCCAGGTTTCTGTAGGATCCATAAACCTCACACGCAATTCAGGAGCCTGAATTCCACACGCAACAGAAATTTAGACCAATGAGGGACAAAGTTAAAAGTTCCTTCTGGAGGAAGGCTGAAGAAGAGAAATCAATCACTTACGAAAACTGATGAATGATTCTGGCTCTCAGGCGAGGGAAGAGGGGTCCTGTGCACTCTGTGGGGCTGTTTGTAACCCTCCAGAGTCACCTGCATGCTTTGGGATAATAGTAAAACTAGCTATCACTAGGAAACCGGGCCACTACGCCATGGGACATCGGCCTTAAGAGTGGGATGTGGGCCGGGCACAGTGGCTCACGCCTGTAATCCCAGCAGATGGGTTACCTGAGGTCAGGAGTTCGAGACCAGCCTGGCCAAGATGGTGAAACTCTGTCTCTACTGAAAGTACAAAAATTAGCCAGAGTCGGTGGCGCACCTTTAGTCCCAGCTACTCGGGAAGCTGAAACAAGAGAATCGCTTGAATCCGGGAGCAGAGGTTGCAGTGAGCCAAGATCGCACCACTGCACTCCAGCCTGGGCGACAAGAGTGAAACTCCGTCTTAAACAACAACAAAAAAAGAGTGAGATGTGAGAAGGGAAAAGCGTTTTCCTACTGTCCTACGGAAGAAAACCAAACAGTCAAAGGCAAGGAGCCACGGAGCTCTAACCATCAATGGCAGATCCACACACCAGGTGAGCAGCTTGAGCAAGAGCTGGGAATCAGCAGCCCGAGCACTTCCAGAGATGATTACCCCAGAATCCACGGTCAGGGCACTTCCGGAGTCCACAGTCAGAACACTTCCGGAGGTGGTCACCTTGGATCTGTGGTCAGGACATTTACAGAGGTGATCACCTGGGTCTGTGGTCAGGGCACTTCTGGAGATGGTCTCTCTGGATCTGTGGTCAGGACATTTACAGAGGTGATCACCTGGGTCTGTGGTCAGAGCACTTCTGGAGATGGTCTCTCTGGATCTGTGGTCAGAACATTTTCTGAGGTGATCACCCCGGAATCCACGGTCAGGGGCACTGATGGAGACGGTCATCCATAGGATGGTCAGTGACCCTAAAACAAGACAGAGAGTTAGTTATATGGGGACAAACATCCGCCCTCATAGACTTTGAAAAAAGACTCTGGGTGAGTTTATCCAGGAGCCGTGAGCTGGAGGGGCCTGCAAACCTTCAGGTTACTTTTTCTTAAAGCACCATTGATCAAGGCTTTTTCATGGTTAGAGAGCAAACCAAGGCTACGTGTCACAAATGTAATTTAGGTCCTCTACTGAAAGCTTAATGGACCATTTGCCCCCTCTATCTTGTGTGCTTTATTCCTTTTTAATCAAGAAAATTAATTTTTTTAATTAAATGTTTTTAAATTCTGCACTCCTATTCATATGTTGTCCTACTGAGTTATTTCTTGTGCCATGAGGTCAGAACCCACAGGAATAGTTGAATTTTGGGAATAGAATTTGAGGAGAAGGACCAGAGGGCTGAGGACTGAGCCTTTGGAGATGCTCACAGGCAATGGACAGCACCTAGAAGAAGGAAGAATTCAGTGCCAGTTGGCTCATGCAAAGGTCAACCAGCCCAGAAGTCTATATTAACTGATACCCTAAAACCTCGATTCTTATTTTTACTTGAAATATAGAACAAAGTTGACTTATACATACATATACACATGAATATGTAAATACACATGAATGAGGAATCTCTCTCTCCACACATACACAGGCCATTCTAAAGTCGTTTTCAGAATGTCTTATTATTGAATGAAAAAAAAACCTGAAGTATGTATGTTACTTTTCTAGTTATCTAAGAAAGAAGGGTATAAATATTAGGTTGGTGCAAAAGTAATTGTGGTTTTTGCCATTATTTGCACCAGCCTAACAGATTCATTGTTTTTTTAATAGCTGAAGAGTACACCATTGTGTGGACGTACCATAATTTATTCAGCTAGGCCCCTTTTGGTGGGCATTTGAATTGTTCTTAGTAGTTTGCTGTTACAAAGCACTGGCTTACAGTGAATTGCCTTGTCCACATATCTTTTCTTGCTTTTTCCAGTGAATCATTGGGATAATTTTTTTAAAGTAAGATTGGCAATAGTGTAAATGAGTATGTGATTTTTCTAAATATTGCCAAATTCCTTTTCCTATAGGTCGTACTATTCATTTTGTATTTCTACCAGCAATATATAAGAATGGCTGTTTCCCACCCCATCACTAGTGTCATCCACAGAGTGTGCACTGACATTGGCATTTTGCCAACCTAATGATGAGAAATGCTATCTCAGTATAGTTTAATTTCACTTCTCCTTTTGTAATTGATTGAGCATTTTTACATTTATATTTCCCTATAGAAAATATAAAATTTAACTCTTAAAAATTCAGCTTACCTGATATCAACATTATCAAAATATATCAAACTTCCTGTGTAAACCTAGAGCGAATGGCTATTTTTGTGTCCTAGCTACAGACAGCAAAATATGGAATCCTTCCCCACTCTTTGTAGCAATGACCCTTTAAGTCCTAGGTTGTCTCAACTTCATGATATCCATACCACACAAGGGAATGAATTTTTCCCCTAATGATTATATAGGTTACATTTTTCCAAATGATATCTTCTTCAGTTCCCTCCCAATGTATTCCATTTCTTAACTCAATAACACACATTTACTGAGTTTCTACTATGTACCTGAACAACATAGATCCCATAGTAACCAATCAGAGCCAGTCTTTCTCTGGGCTGCTGGCACCATCAACGCATTGCAAAATTCCAGAAATTTCTGGCCACTCACAGTTCCCAAGCCCCTAATAAAACTATTTTAATTCTATGTGTTTCCTCTACCCAATATCAACATTTTGCATAATTGGGATGCGGAAAAACTCTCCACTCTGGAGGAGGCTTTGAGTTTAGAAAAGAAAGCAGGGTGGAAGAGAAGTTGTTCTTCAACAAAACAAGATTAACTAAAAAAACAAGAGTCCTGAGGAGTCCTGGGCTTTGCGGTCAATGTGATTTATCATTCAGGGCTCTGACTAAGACACAAGAGTTGAGTAGCAGGCAACTTTTGAAGCTCTACAACTTACTGAATTTTAGTCTCTTCATTAAAGTATAATCTGAATTTTATTCTCTTCATCCAAGTATAATTCTTTCATTTACAATGAGTCCAAGAGAAAAGATACATTAAAATATTTAAGATTATTAAGTAGATACTAAATATTATAAAGTCTTGACCAAAAAAAGTGCTTCTCTTGAATAAACAATAGCAAATGACTCAAATGACAGAGATGATTTGTGAAAGTGCTAATAGTTAGACTGTATTTCAGAGCTGACTAAACTTGTTTTTTCTTATAGCCCCCCCATCCATGCCATTAGCAAATTCTACTTTCAAAATATATCTTCAATTCTAAGCATTCTCATTATCCCACTGTTATCCCTCTAATTCAGGCCTCACCTAGTCTATAACCACAGCCTCCTAACTGGCCTCTCTACTTATGAGCTTATCCGTACTTCAGCCTTCAGTTATACCTCAATTATCCATACAGCAACCAGAGTGATGATTTAAAATTGTGACACAGCTCCTGCCACTGATCCTTCACGCCCTCTATTGGTTCACAATCACACCCGTTTAAATCCAAATCCCTTTCATGGCCTGAAAGCCTCCACTTGATCATGATCCAGCCCCTCACCTCCTCTCTGACCTGGCCTCCTCTCACTTTCTGTCTTGCTCATTCTGCATGGCCAGAAGTCTTCTCACACTTCCTGATAAAATCCAGACATGATCCTGGATCAAGGCCTTAGCACTTCCTCTTCCTCTGCTTGGAACTCTTGGCTCATAACTCCCTGTGACTTCCTTCAAGGCTCTGCTCAAACACTTAATTAGCGAGGACTTCCCTGACTAAAATGGCACTTCAGTCACTCTCTGCTTACCCTGATTTATTTTTCTTCATAATATAATTTTCAATACGTGGCACACTTTATACTTATTTGTTTATCGTCTGTCTCCTCCTACAAGAATGTAAACTCCACCAGAGGAGAGACTTTGTTTTGTTCACAGATGGATCTGCAGGGCTTAGAATTGTGAACGAAGAGTTATTACAGTGGCCTGTTCCCAGGAGAGGCATGTGAAATAAAATTATGAAGTGGGATATTGCTTTATCGACAGCTGTTTGGACTGTAAATACTCCTTGTCACCATCAGGTTACAAAGTCTCTCGTAACAAAGATAGGGAGGTAGGTTGGAGAGGGGTAGGGACAAAAAAAAAGAAGAGGAGTTAGGGTGTTCCTAATATGGCCCAAGGGAGAAATAATGGTGGTTTGCATAAGGGTATGGCGGCCCAGATGGAGAGAACCAACAGGGCTTGGTAATGGTTTGAATGTGGGAAATGAAAGAAAAAAAAGAAAAGAATAAAAATGGTCCTTGATAATTTTTTTTCGCACGAACAGTTGAGTGTATACTGGTGCCTTCTGCTGAGATGGAGAAGGGTGAAGAAAGAATGAGATGTGTGTGTTTATTTGGAGAATGGGGATTGGTAATAGTAGAAGTTGTGCCAACCCCCCACTTCCACAAACAATGTGCACACACAAGCACACACCCATCTATTTCCCACACTTCTCTGCTCTGCTTTATGGCCAGGGTGTGCTCTTGTCGTCTGATTTCAAATGGCATAAGGCAATATGAGGTACCAGCAAGAGGCTGAATAAGAAACAAGTAGGAGAATTTATTCCTTTAGACCCTCCCTGTCTCACTCCAGTTCTGCCAGTCACTGCATTCTGGGATTGCTACTTCAATTGGATGGACCTTGTTCTATGGCTTCAGGCTTTCCCTGGGTTCCTTTTGCTTGTCCCTACAGGATTAAAGAAGATAACAGCTTTCCAATGTTGCTAATCCCTGGATGCCTTAACACCTTGTATTGGCTTCTATAGTTCTGCCCACACCTTGGCAAACTGTACTTCATTAAACTTTCTTTTTTTTTTTCATTGCCCAGGCTGGAGTACAGTGGCATGATCTCAGCTCTCTGCAACCTCCATCTTCCAGGTTCGAGCAATTCTCCTCCTGCAGCCTCCCCAGTACCTGAGATTACAGGCACGCACCACCATGCCTGGCTAATTTTTGTATTTTTAGTAGAGACAGGTTTTTGCCATGTTGGCTAGGCTGGTCTCAAACTCCTGACTTCAAGTGATCTGCTTGCCTCGGCCTCTAAAAGTGCTGGGATTACAGGCATGAGCAACGACTCCTGGCTGTCATTAAACTTTCTATTAAAACTTTTGAGTACGCCAGCTGTCCCATGCTGAGACCCTGATTGTGACAAAAGCCAAGTTCATGTTGATCTGCCTATTAGACATCCAAGTGAAGATATACATAGGCAAGCAGAAATGAGTTGGGAGAGACTCTAAGGCTGGGAAAGTCTGGGATACAGAAAGTGTAAGAGTCTTTAGCAAATAAACTGGGAGTGGAGGTGTGCACCTCCAGTCCCAGCTACAAGGGAAGCTGAGGTGGGAAGATCGCCTGAGCCCGGAAGTTAGAGGCTGCAGTGAGCTGTGATCACGCCACTGCACTCCAGCCTGGGTGACAGACCAAGACCGTCTCAAAAAATAAAAAGGCTTTTTACCATATAGGTGCAGAAGGAAATAGTTATGACCTTTTGCTCTCCAGGAAAGCAACTGTCTCATCTGCAGACCAGGCTACCTTGTTGAATGGTAAGATGGGAATCTTATTAGATTCAAGGAAGACCTGGGCTACTTCATCCTCACATTCAGAAAGCCTGACATTCAGTACTAAAACCTGAAATAGTTACCCTCCTTCCTTTAAGAGTCTAGCAAGACTAATTCTCCCATGCCTCACACCACTGTTTACCTTGGTTAATAACAGAGGCCCAAACCTCCCAGGCATCCATTTGTCTGGGGACTCTCATTTTCTTACAGTTGTGTATATCCCTATCATATGACTTGATACTTCCCTCCCTTTCAAAATTTACTTTCAAGCAGTTTTAGATTCTAAATGATAAATTACTTACTCTATGACCATAATGAACTTTTCAAAAAATGGTTAACAGTTAGCCAAGAGGAGAACAAAATTAATTCACTTCAGCCATTTATTCACAATTACAATAGCCACAATGCACTTCATCACTGAACAAACTCTGTGATAGACATTTGGCCACGGGGACAAGGAGCCAGATTAGACTGATCAATTTTTTACTGTTTTGGGTTTGCCCTAACATACATGGCCATAAACAGTAAATTGGAGCTATAAATACTTCCAGCTAAGTTTAATTAGTTCTCCGTACAAAATCCCAGGTTATAATAACTGTGGTGATAACTCTGGACAAAAATTTTAAAATTCCATAGGAAGTTTGTTTTAAAAATTGATCTAGAATATGCTTTGAGAGAAAAAAGAGAGAGAAAAAAAGAAATCGAATAAAGGAGCAAGAAATCAGAGTATGAAAAGATTAGTTACTCTGTAAAAAGCCAATATGATTGTCGAGGTATTAAAATCCCTGTAGGAGATTTACAGAGAAGTCTGCCCTGGATTAGAATTTCATATCAAATAAGTTAACTGAAGTCATACAATTTCTGTGCCATTTGTAGTTGAGTTAATAGCATATGTTCCTGGAGGATTACAGCCAATGATTAAGGAAATTAGGTTTTGTTTGAATTTAATTTAGTTATATAAAACTGCTACTATAATTTACAGCTTTGATATTTAATATTTAATAACCCAGATCTTAGAAGAATACTAGATATAGCTGTGTCATTATGCCTTGAAATATTATTCCCATAAGTCATTTATATTTGCTGGCTGATAAGGATGTTCATCAACTAGATGGACTCAACATGAGTCCACTGATAAAGCCAATGCAGTTTTACAGTTTGCTGAGTCCCTTGTATGTTTCCACTCCATTTCCCGCACCCGTAACTTATGGAATCATAAATTATCTGGCTGGTCAATTGTCATAATAAAGAAACATTACAGCCTTTTCTTCAACAGCCAGCTGTGGGAATGACTCAGCTCTGCCTTCCTCTCACATTTTATGTATCTGTGGCATTTAGTCATTAAAAATCATAGGAATTTCTCCGTAAATATTGCCCCATCAATATTTTTTCTTGTTTTCTTTTTGTTGTGTTGCTTCTTTTTTCCCTATTCATCTCTTTGACTTTTTATTTCTTTTTTCCCATCATTTTTCTGAGGAAAAAATGATAAAATAGTAATGACTGCAATTTTTCTTTCCTAAATATATGTATATATGTATGTAGACATTTTAAGTTTTCTTTTTCTCTGATTTATAAAAATTAATCCTGATTTCTGATTTCATAGATTGACATTTGTTTCCAAACATTCCTATTTTTTCTCCTCATATAAGAATGTTTAAACTATTTAAACTCCTTTTATCTTTTAGTGTTTCTGACTTAAACTTTTTATCTCCTTTATTCACATGTCTTATTGCTTTTACAGCTACTAGAAATCCTTCCATCACAGCTATTCTGTCTAGTTTTATTCCTCTCACTTGCCTTTACTTCCTAGTTTAGGCTTCCTTCAAAGACAGGTCAAGTCAGCCCTTACATATCAATTTAAAAAAAAGACAGAAAATTTAAGAACAAAAAAATGGCGAGTTCATAAGCTACAATTTCGAATCCCAAAGATTGTAGAGTCTATACAGAGGGTTTATGTGAGAATGTCCATTTTTAAAATTTTTTTTTATACTTAGATAGATATGGATATAGACGTCAAATATTAAACGTTGACCACTACTTAAATATGCAAGTTGAATACTCGAAGATTGTTTGAAGAGAAGGAAGAGATTCATTAATACATTCTAAGAAGCAAGTTTCCTTTGTGCTTTACTACCCACTTTCCAACTTGGATTCCAACTTGGAGAACATTTTGTAATAATAACAATAATAAATGTTAATAAAATGTTAAATGTTAATAACAAAATGTTATTACTAATATTATTTTTTTTAAAGTATAGTGATGTGCCTAGGTGGCAATCTTGGCTTCACTATTTTATAGCTGTGTGATTGAATAATTTACTTAACCTCTCTGTGCCTCAGTTTTCAAATCTGTAAAATGGGGATAACAATAGTACTTTGTTGACAAAGTTCTTATGTTAATTTATGTAAAATGCTTAGAATGATGCCTCATACACAGTAAAGTCTCAATAATTGTTCCATATTGTTTTCTATATTATTATTTTTCTTACTGTGAAATAAAGACCAATTAGAAGGAAATAGCAGACGAATGTAAAGACTAGGAAGCAAACAACCACCATGGCAGTAACTGGAAAGTATTTACAAAATCTGTATTTTTTGGCATGTATGTTGCATAATTTTGGAGGTAAAAATTCTTTGGTATTCTTTGGAGTAGCCACAACACATATTGAAGTGACCAGTACCGTATCAACAATCACTAGTTCAAAAGTTACCCATGCGAGTAGTTGAAAGAAAAGTCTACATCAAACATATTTGAGAAGCAAAGTCCTTTTATTATCTGAATATAATGAGCTGCTTCGAATCATGTAAAGCCTGAAGCTCTGGTGGATATTAAAAATTCCATCTCAAAAACTAGAGAAACAATATGGTTGCACTAATCTAAAAAAAACTCGAGCCATAAAGCAGCATCCAGAACTGGATAAAGATATTTCATATCCAAAAATAGAATCTCCTAATTTATTTGAAGAGAATTTCACTGAGTGCAGGCTGTATAGAAGACACCAACATCCACCCTGTGAGGAAGTTAAAAACAGAACACTGTGTAACAGAAGCAATGGTAATCCTTAATATTGAATACAAATGAAAGGAAGGAGAGAATTTACTATGTTTCAATGAATCATAAAATAAACCAGAACACACCAAGAAAGAGAAAAAAAAATTCAAAATGTCCGAGAAGAGAAACAAGATCTATTTCCTGTACTGTGTTTTCATTTATTCACAAACCAGATACCATGCAATATATACTGGAAAGGGGTAAAAATGTACATAATGACTAATACCAAATAAAACATCTTCCACTAAAGGAAATACAAGGAGAATCTGCAGGACATAGACATACAGCAGCAGGGACAATAAGAAATGTGGATTTATGCCAGGTACAGTGGCTCATACCTACAATCCTAGCACTTTGGGAGGCCAAGAGGGGAGGGTCAGTTGAGCCCAGGAGTTTGAGACCAGCCTGAGCAGCATCATAGCAAGACCCCATCTCTACAAAATTTTAAAATTAGCTTGGCATGGTGGCACACACCTGTAGTCCCAGCCACTCAGGAGGCTAAGGTGGGAAGATCACTTGAGCGTAGAGTTTGAGGCTGCAGTGAGCTATGATGACACCATTGCACTCCGGTCTGGGTGACAACGTGAGATCCTGTCTCAAGAAACAAGGAAGGAAGGAAGGAAGGGAGGAAGGAAGGAAGGAAGGGAGGGAGGGAGGGAGGGAGGGAGGGAGGGAGGCAGGGAGAGGCAGGCTGAAGTGGCTAATGACGGGCATTCCTGGGAACAGATTGCTTGTAATAAGATATAAAGCAATAGAAGCATAGCCAAATTCAGGTCTATTACAAAGCTATTTTCAATTACCTAAAACATTTAAAATACCCAGATAGTTATAATGACTTAGGAATACCAGTATTTGAGGGTGAGAAAATTTGAGTGTATGTCACATCTTTGCCATTTACTAGCTCCATGATCTTAAGAAATCATTAAACTTGCTGAACTCATTCTTTCCATAAGGAAAATAGAGACAATAGTATTTACATAGTATATCTTATAAGGGTTTAATAATAGTTCAATTAAATGATACTTTGAAACATGAAACACTAACTGGAATGTAAACCGTTAATGGAATTCAGCTCTTCTTAAATTTCCAATGGTGAAAATGTTACTATTTTATCATATTATTTATGAACACCTCTAATTGTTAAGGATAAATCACTGTTCAATATACGAAAAAAAATCTAACTCTCACACTGGTCCCAGCTATAGCCTCCGGTACATCATAGAATTAAATTTATCTGCCAACCAATGCTATTTTTAAAATATTTAATGATAGCCACCGTAATACCCTTTTTACCTCTGTATATTAGAGAAGTTCAAAGGTTGATTAATTTACTGGTGTAATGACATCAGAGCTCTGATTGTACCTAGTTCCTTTATTTACTCAAAATACAGTGCAGTTGCTAGGTCTTGGAAATCCTCGTCATTTTTTCTCTAGATTCTCTTGAGTTTGTTAATATTTTTCTTAAAAGCTGCTGCCTGCACCTGTGACATACTCTTGCTTACCCAGGACATATGCATCACCACCCTATTTATCTCTTCTCTTTGCCAACAGAAGCCTATTGTTTTCAGATACTGGGGAGTATTATGTTTAAGAAAGGCAGCCCTGTCCCTGGACCCAAGAGGTGAACGTTGATTAGTTGAAAGCAATCACAACAAGTCTATTACTCTGCCACTGCCATGGCCACAAGATGGAGTCTTGACCTCTGAGATACAAAAGGAAGTCTTCTGGCAGGGTTTGTAGAAATGTTCTTACTCTTTATAAGACCCCAAACCTGGATTCACTCATTCCTGCCACTGGAATACTTACTTGTAATGTTTGGAAGGGCTGCAGACAACCTGAAATGATGTTAGGAGGAAATAAGATTAATGCAGAACTACCAATCCAGAGCCCCTTCATCATTAAGCCTCTGAATTAACAAAATATTAACTTTTCCTTTTTCCAGACATTTTTATGTGAGACAATAGATTTTAGTTATTGTTTTATCCCTATTTAGATGTGTAGAAGAGTCTGCTGATGCACCAACACATCTTCTTTGCCATCCTGAAATGATCTGCTGCTGCAATAGTTTCTAGCACTCTGACAGTTTTCCACCTCAAGCACCTGCACCTCTTCTTCTCTTCCTGAAGTTGCAATGCCGAAGTGGAGGAGAAGTTTAAGCCACTTCCCCCTTATCCCCAATCAATAAAGAAGGAGATTTGGTGGAGTTGGAGGGTTCAGCCTTCCCACACCTGGGAGTGAGTTCAGAAACTCACTCATTTCTGAAGTGAGTTTTCTCAGAGGATTCCAAAGGAGTCCCAGTTGCCTACAGTAGAAACTTCATATTAATATGCCATTTACTGGCTCTTTTAGCTTCCTTTTTTTACTTTTATTTTTCCTAAAAACGTGCTCTACTTGACCTTGGGGTCACCTCCTAAATAAATTACATAAGCCCAAAACCTTGTCTCAGGGTCTGCTTTTGAGGAGCCCAACTCAATATGAGTTGAGAATTCTATTACTTGCAGCTGAAAGCATTCTAATGCAAATCCGATAGAGCAGCACTGTTCAGTAGAACTTTCTGTGACAATGGAAATGTTCCATATCTGCAGTGGTCATCATGGAAGGTAGCCATGAGCCCCTTGTGGCTGCTAGAACACATGAAATGTGGCTAGTATGATTGAGGAACTGAATCTTTCCTTTCATTTTAATTAATTTAAATTTAAATGGCCACATGTGGCTAGTGGCTACCATATTGGACAGCACAGCTCTAGATGCATTTCAGTGAGTATAGAATGAATGAAACAATTACACCCTTGCCTTAGACATCAGAATTATATTCCACAACCATATAGTTTGCACAATAAAGAATTAGGCTAGGCCAGACTCTGTGAAGAATACAAAGATGAATAAAATAAACAGCTCCTGCCTTCCAAAACTCAAGTGTATTCAGGGAGGCATACATGCAAGTATATTCATACACGGGATACATGTTGCAAGAGTGGCATTTGGAAATAAGAGGATGTGGAAACAAAGCACATTTGGAAATAAGAGGATGCACAATTGATTTCTACTATGGGAATCTAAGAACTCTTCACTGAGGTAGCATTTGAGCTTCATCGTGAAAATGAATAGAATGTCTTTGGGGAGGGACCAAGGGAAAATTACATTTATAACAAAGAAAAGAGACACATGGAAGCAATATAAACAAGAGGCATGAGAGGGCAAGCAGTATGGTAAATCTGGGCTACAGACCAAGATGCTAGGTGAGGTCCAGAATATGCAGAGCTTTGAATTCCATGTGAGCACACTTAGATTTTTTTTTCTGTGAGCAGTAGTCATCAAAATATTTGAACTTTGGTGTTGATGATGGTATTGTCAATGACATAATTGGTTACAGATGGAAACAATTAGAGACATGGAAATCAGTTAGGAGTTTACAGCATTACCCCATATGAGAAATAATATCGATGTTATTTTTGCTTATAGCATCAAGAATAAAATGAGAAGGAGTTTCAAACCCATCTCATAGGTAGGCGTGGCAGGTCCTGACCATAAACTAAAAGTAGACTATGAGAAAGAGCTGGAGATGGCCCTGAAGAGAACATATGGGAGAAACAGGTTTGAGGGGGGAAAATAATGAGTCTATCAAGATGAAAGAGATGCTCAGGAGACATCTGGACATACAAATGTTGGGTTTGATGGTCAGCTTTGTCAAAAGATGCAGAGTTTAAGGAGGAAGAAGAATGAGAGGAAGCTCTTAAAGTTTACTCATAGCTCAAGGAGGATGAAAAGGTTTGGAAAAACCAAAGGGAAACAAAGGAATAGATTATGTATCTTTCTAAGAACCACATTATACTTTCCACTAATATTGAGCAAAAGATTGTTATTTGTTTCTGCTACAGTGTCTTGTTGATTTGAATGCATGATTCCCATCTACTGAGCTTCTGTTTATCTATTACTCATTGCACAGAAAAGTTACTGAATTTTTCTGATGGTTTTCTTTTGTATTTTTAGTCTAAGGAAGTTATTTAAAATATAAAATACTGAATAAAAGGGAAAGCTAATCATTTTCCTGGAAAAGTAAGCAAGACTGTAAAAATTGTGACATGGATGCTGTGGTGCACTGCCCATATTCCTATTCAAGATCAAGGCATTCATTCCCAGAGACTGAGAGCATTGGTTACTGACAGCTCGTAACTGAGTCTTTCTCCAGAAACTGCCCTTGGCCTTGCCCACTACACCTTTTTCTTGGCGGTAGCTTGTCCATTAACTGGTTGCTGTAGCTCTTTTGTTTAATTCCAGTCAATTCAGAAGAACAATTCTAGCCTCAGAGCTCCCTATGGAATCAGTCGCAACCCTCTGTTGCAACTCCATCACAGTTTAACTTCTCCCTTTGCATTCTCTCTTCTCTTACAGGTGTTATTCCCATGAGATTCCCAAATAAACTTCCTGCATGCAAATCTCCATCTCAGCATCTGTTTCCCTGAGGAGGAACCAACCTAAAATGAATTGCAAATTAAAATCTCAGTGGGTACTTTTTAACTTAACAAAACCATTTTAGACATAATTTAAAGCATCAGGATTCTTTTTACATTTGAAAAAGAAGATTAATGAGGATGACTTTTTTAACATTCTATTAATTTAATCAGCATGTCACTAGTACAATAATGAAGAGACAAATGAATAGATGAGAATAGATATCTTAGAAACAGATCCTACAATATACAAGAATGTATTATATTATCAAGGCCATTGACATCATAAATTATGATAAAGATTAATGGCATAACAAATCAAAGAGGAAGGGAAAGATTATTCAATAAATGATTCTGGGACAACAGGATGAAAAAATAAATTTAATCCTTATATTATATACTGAAATAAGTCCCAAATGGATTGAAAATATCATCATAGTTCAATTTTACTAATAATCAAAGAAGAAAATTTGGGCATCAATGAGATACTACCTTTTGCTTGTCATATTGTTGGAAAAGAGTATCTTCATATCTGTTGGTGGAATATAAATTGTTATAGCTTCTGAAGCACAATCTGCCACTCACTATGAAAATTTGAAGTGTGTATGTCTTTGATTACTTGATGAATATATATAATATTAATAATATATGTATATATAATAAATTTCACAAACCTTAAGAGTTTTTACAAATTTATATATTTATGTACATGTAAAAATAAATGTCAACATTTCTGTAACCATCACTCTGTGGGGCTCAGAAAATGATACCCTATAAGTATGGCACTTTGACATGCTGAGTACTGTGAACTGAAGAACACTGGAAGGGCCTCAAAAGCAAGTTCTCTCTGACCTTCTCTTGCTCTCCTGTCTCCCACTCCTTTCTCCACAGAAGTGAGTCAAAGCAACCAGAATTTCCCTTCCCAAGGTAAGTCATAGAAACTGGAAGCCCTCTCCCCCACAGCAAGTCCTAAAACCTACAAAAGTTACTCTCTCCCTTCTCTTTTGAATACCCTCATTCCAGAGGGGACCAGCCCCATACCCATGAGGAAAGGATGCTACACAGAGAAGCCAAGAAGAGTCTGCATGGATAGGCCTTACTGGCTTCCTCACCTGAGTGTATCACCATTAATTAGATGATACCTCTTTGTCCAATCACATTTCTACATGGCTGTCCCCAGTTTAAGGACAAAAACAGACAGTCTCCCCTTGAGTCTTTGAGTCTTCATTTTTGAAGGCTTCCATGTCACAAAAAAATCTTTGATTAAATAAATTGATGTTTTTCTCTTGTAAACTTGTATTTTGTTATAGGAGTATCAGCTGTGACCCTTATGATGGGTGAGGAAAGTTATCACACCCTTTCTGTCCCTACAACTCAAATGAAGATCTAAAACATTTTCAGCACTTCAGAAGTTTTCCTGGTGCCCTATCCTGGATAGTAACCTTCCCTACCCCCTACAAATAAGTGAATAAGACAGAGACCGTGTCCTAGCTTTCATGGAACTTATGACCTACTGAGGAATGCAAATTGTTTAGTTAAGTAAACAATTACACAAACGATTGTTTATTAATAATTGATATTACTATTACAATGGAAAACTCAAAGTATGAAAAGAGAAATGTAATTTAGTTTGGTGAAACTGAGAAAAGACAAATCTGAAGAAGTAATCTTTAATGCGAAGAATGAGTAGGAGTTAGTTAGGCAAAGAGAATAGGGAGGAAAGAGCATCCCGAGGAGAGGAAATAGTATGTGTCTTGAGTAGGAAAACAGCTTCAAGGAAATAAAAAATAAAAATACTGTTGGTAAGCAGAAAAGAGGTAATGCAGGAAACTGGAGGAACAGGCAGGAGCCAGTCCCTGCAGGGCCTTATAAACTGGTTAAGGATGTGTGTTTTAATCTAATTGTAATGGAAAACTACTCCATGGCTTGAAAGGAAAGTGCATTTTTAAATGATCATTGTGGACCACTGTGAAGATAATGCATTGTTGAGAAGACGGAATTGAAGTTGGAAGCCACTTTTAGGCTATTGTAAGAGATGATGATGACTTGGACCATAAAAGCGGCTTTGAAACAAAAATACACGGGAAATTAAAGATGCAGTTTGAAAGGTGCATCCACTGGATTCAATGACTGATGGGATGAGAAGGGTAAGTGTAAAGAAGATTGCAAATTCATATAAAAGAAAAGTTCTAAAGGATATACATCAAACTGCTAGTAGTTATCTCTGATTTGGGTTTGGGTGAGGAGGGGAGATGAAGACAGACTTTCACATTTTATTCTGTATAGTCCAAATGAAAATGGTGATGATAGTGGTGGTGGTGGCATTAGTAGTATTAGTACTAGTAGCGGTACTAATAATAATACTAGTAGTAGTAGTTTAGAGTTATTAAGTGATCTTGCATTATCATCTTTAATTTATTACATTGTTTAATAGAAATGACATAATTTAAAAGATCACTTATTTGATTTTATAAAGCAAAAAGTATCTGAGACTCCTCTCTCTCAATCAGTTTAGAAGTTTGTTTTGCCAAGTTTAAGGATGGGCCCATGAACAGCTTCAGAAGGTCCTGAGAAGGTTGGGTCACAGCTTGATTTTATACATTTTAGGTGGGCAGAAGTTACAGACAACTATCAATCAATACATGTTGGTGTATATTGGTTCAGCCTGGAGGGGCAGGACATCTCAAAGCAGGGGTGGGAGGGAAGGGGGTGTTCCAGTTCATAGATGGATTCAAAGATTTCCTGACTGGCAAATCTTTGAAAGAGTTGTTTTGCCTGAAGAGTTGAAATCAGCAGAAAGAAATTCCTGGAGTTAAGATAAGGGGGTTTGTGGAAGCCAAGGTTCTTATTATGTAGATGAAACCTCCAGCTATTGGGCTTCAGAGACATAAATGGTAAATTTCTTCTTATTAAACGAAGGGCCATTTGAAAATATGTCAAAGAAATATATTTTGGGGTAAAATGCTTTGATTCTTTTCAGGGCCTGTTATCTGTCATGTGATGCTATGCTAGTCAGGTTGGAATTTGGTATCATTGCTACAAAAAGTCTGTTTTGTCAGTCTTAAGATTTCTTTTTTAATGTCAATGCTGGTAGGTCATGGTGCCTGAATTCCAATGGGAGGAGAGTATAATGAGGCATGTCTGACCTCCACTTTCCATCATGGCCTGAACTAGTTTTTCAGGTTAACTTTGGAATGCCCTTGGCCAAAAAGAGGGGTCGGCAGGGCTTAGAATTTTATTTTTTGTTTATATTCTCATAAAATAATTGTTATTCTATAAATGAAATATAATTCAAATTAAAAGGCAAAAATAAACTGGAAAAAATATTACGATAAGTATCACAATGGATTGAGATCACTTCTATATAAAAAGCTCATACAAATTGTTAAGGTTTGTATGAGGATTTCCATACCAATCAGCAATTCACAAAGGAAGAAATAGTAATATTTAATAGATATGGCAATCAAGAAAATGGGAACACAATCCCTTTTTTGTCCTATCAAATTAGCAGAGATTAACTAAAGAAGAATCTGCAGGGGGTAGGGTGAGGAGGAGGAACCCGTGAGACAGGCCATCTCGAGCATTAATGATTGTGAGTTAAATTGTTGTGGTCTGGTAGTTAGGTGATATAAAAATTGTAACTATGTCATTACCATTTTTATAACCTTTGACTTGAACTTCTACCTTAGGGACTCTATTATAAAGAAATTAGTATAAATGTGAAGAGATATGTATGCCCAAAGGCATTCCTTACAGCCATTATTCATAACAGAATGCTGGAAATAATATAATGCAGAATGGTAAATGGTTAGGGCAATTATAGCATATTCTTGACTCTTGTAAAGTCATTTAAATGTACATGGAGACATGCTTAAGCTCTAATTTTAAGTTAAAGCATGTTTTTAACGTCTTCTTGGCCCAGCATCCCTCTATGCCCTCACCTGTGCCAGCCATACACAACCTTAGTCATACCAATATCAGAAACCAGATTTTAGCCCAGTCTAGCCAAACTTAGGCAATCTGTGGCAGGCCCATTTACATACCTGCCTACCAGATCCTGTCTTTCACTCAGATCTCCAGCCACTCCATTTAAAACAAATGCTATTCACTCTCTTTAGGCAACCTGCAAAAGAACTCAGGTATATGGGATCACTGAAATCAGCGACTCTCTATACGTCATAAGGAACACATTCCAGAACAAATAAATTATAAACTTAAAGCTGTGAGATAAGCTGAAAATCTATTTAAAATAAAAGGAGTGATGCTATATGCTGAATATATATAGAAGAGAACAACAGCCTGTATGAAGGTTAAGAAAAAGGAAAGCTGAGAATCCGTACTTCTCAGTGTAACCAGTACTCCACCCTGTAGGTAACAGGCACTTAAAATCTATTTGTTAATGATGATGTTTTAAGATAGTTTGTCTTCCCACTAGAAGGCAAAGTATTTGAAGACTAACTTGCTGACTTGCTTACTTGTGTAGACACTTGCATAGCTGGAACAGTGTTTACACCCAAGATGTACTTATTTCATTCCCGAAACAACCAGCCTTGAGAGAAGTACACTGAAAAAGCATAGACTGAATAACCTCTAGGGAATGGAACTGGGAAAGGATAACAGAGGAGAGCCCTCTGTTTATTTATTCAAATACTTCACTTTTTACATCATAATTTTGTATTATTTTTGACCCTTTTTTACAATTGGTATGTATTTTGTTAAAAGTAAATATGTAAAAGCATATTACTATGTTTTACCTAATCTTCCACTGTTTTAATTATACAGGTATCAGAGGAATATAGTATATATGTTGTATATCTATATATTACTCACCTTCGAACCCAGGATAAGAAATAGCTACTCAAATCAAACCCAAGACGAAAGTAATACTGTTAGTGATGGTGGCAGCAGTTATAATAGCAGTAATAACAGTAGTAGAAGCAGTATTAGTAGCTAGTAATAGTAGTGCCTTATGTATGTTTCCTCAACCCTTGTGGTTTTTCAATGACCTTACATTATTTCCTTTGTCCTATCAAACAGCACTGTGAAGCCATTGTGAAATCATTTCCATTTAACTAAAGGGAGAAGTAAGGGTCAAAGTGTTTGCCTAACAAATGACACACAGATAATGAATGGTAGAACCAAAACAAAATTTTGCAATTTGATTCTTAAACTAGTTTCAGTTTCACTATTTTTCCAGACACTTGCATATGCAATTATCCCAAGTGGATCCATATACAATTTGACTCTCCAAATATTAGGGCCACTGGTACATTATAATTTTAAGGGCGTTGTATTTCTCAATATGAAAAAAATGTAATCCAAGAATAAGCCTAACAATAAGAGTAATAACTCTAGGATCTTCTGATTTTTATTTGTCTCAGGTCAATGACCATTTTCCCAGTGTAGGTAAAACTAGAAAGGTGTAAAAATGAAATTCAGTGTGTCCATGGGACATATAATTTTGAAGTTGTTCTGAGTAGGAAATAATGTTCTACAGTGGCTGAAAAAGAAAATTGCCTTGCAAGGTTATCTGGATTTTGAAAATCGTCATTATGAACCCTAAGCTTAATGTAAACTTTGTGTAAGTTACCACCTTATAGCAACTTGTGCTAACAAATGCCATCCCTAAATCCTATCATCTGATGACAATTAAGAAGCCTTATAAAAATCCTTTTCCTGAGCAACTCACTTCCTGCCAAAGAAACTGTAAATCTTCACTTTAAACTACAACATCTGCTGAGGCATGCGTGTCAGGTGGCCATTTTTAAATTGTGAATTTTAGCATCCATGAAGTCTGTCGGTTTGTTATTTTCATGTTGCTGTGAGTCACTTCTGAACTGTCATTTCCTCTTACTTTTACATTCCTAAAGCTTTGCCATACTCGGATACTCACTGGAATATCGAATACTCTGTTGTTCCTGTAGGGGTCAAGCCCTCTTTTCCGTGTTATGGTAACTCACCCATATCATCATCACTACCAGCTCTGCCATCATCACCCCCATCTCTGCCATCATCACCCAAGAGACATTTACCCTATATCTCCTTGAGCACACACTCTGTATAAGACCTGATTCCTTTTTTCCAAAGGTACCATCCCTCTTCACTGAATTCTCAAAAATTTTATTCTTCTCTGAAGTAATTCAATGGCAGTTATACATTTATTTTATTGCATCAGTGGACTATTCTTTCCATTTAGATTCTTATCTCTTTTTCTATTATCTTATCTCAAGATAATAGGAAAAGATGAAACTGATGCTACTGCTGATTTTGAAGTCTTAACATTTTGTAGTGAGTATTTTCTGGGACTAAACATGTGTGCTATGCATTCAATTTGAGAAGAAAGATGAGAAAGTTAAGTATCAAGAGAGAATACCTTGAAGAATAATTCTTAAGAGTCCAAAAATAATTTCCAGCATAAATCCTTTCAGAAGGGAAAACATGAGCTGAGAAAAACATCCCTCTGTTTAGCTAATCCACATATAGTGGTTTGGGTGTTACATTTTCTTATGAGTTAGCATTTTGGGGGAATTTGCTATGTATCAAGAACACTTTAAAGCATTTTACGTGCAATATCTCATATAAACGTCACAATAACTTCAAAGGTAGCTATTATTATACACACTTTCTGGAGGAGAAAACAAAGGCTTAGAGAATTTGAATGATTTTTCCAAACTAAATAGCTAATAAGAAGCAAGAGCCAAGGCTTAAACAAAGATCTTTCTCTAGATAAAGTCCAAACGTTTGGTCAAGCATGGAAAAAGGTTCTACTAGATTTTACTAGATTCAATGAATCTATATTGCGTTAGAGCCAGTAAAAATTATTGTGGGATATATTGCCTAATCTTGGTTTAGTTATTTCATTCATTAAACCTGTCTTAAGCACCTATTATGTATTGGGCACCATGTAGGTATAGCCATTAAAGCTCCAACATTCTGGACACAGAATGGTGAAAAAAAATAAACAGAAAAGGAAGTATATAAGATGAATTATAAGGCAGTTAAAGTTACAAATTATGGGACAAAAAAAGAAAGAACTGGCTATGCATAAATATAGTGGAAATGATGTAGGGATTGCAACAGATTATAAGTTACATATCAGTCAGAAATGCAATGCTGTTTGAAAATAACACAAAGACATAAAATGTAACTGCAAATAATGTTCTCTTCATATTTAGCTTTGGCTAAACTGTTATGAGGACAAGCTATTCCAGAGCAACCATGTTGTAAGAAAGCTATGGGAAACTTGAAGAGGGTCCATAGTTCTACAGTGAAAATAATTAAAAAGAAAGAAGAAAAGAAATCTTTAAAGAAATACTTTAGGATTTGTGGTTATTTTGTCTGACGAAAGCAAAAACGTGAACAAGGAGAGCCTTAGTAACTATTTCAACATACAGAGAACTTTTCAGAGGATGGGAAAAAGTTGTTCCACTTTTCCATTAGAGAGAGAATAAAAGAAATGTATGTTCCTTAGAGGATGATACCATCAATGTGTTAAAGAGGTCATTCTTTATCCTATTCAGGAAGAGACATCCTAATTCTCCTCTTGGGACTTGTAAGTAGACAGAAACAAAAACTTTAAGATGATCAGAGGGCAAAAGTTTCTCTTCTCACCCTTTCTCTGACACACATGCAGCCAGAGAGTGCCTACTTAACAATCAATGACATACATAATTGTGCAACGTAAATGGTGTTACCTTTACTGAAAGTTTATAAAACATATAGGTGTGAAACTCGTTTGTTGTCCACATATTTTATAAAACTGTATTTTTTACCAAAATCAAAAAATTTCAGATAATAATTTAAATTGTTTCTCTAATTTTTTAAAGATCAAAACATGTGGCGACCTGATCCCCATTCTTAGTGGGCTGGAGGTGTGTACTTTATCTCACATTAAATAGTGCATATGCCTTCCATTTATCTGAGTCTCCAACATTTCCTATAATATGCATACCTGACCTATTTCATTCATTCAAGTTACCTGGTTAATCTCTTTAGACTTTTGATACTGCAACTACTGGCACAAGTTAAAGAAGGACCGTTGGGTGACTTCACTAAACCTACTTAGTGTACACAGTTTCTCACATGGAGCCCTATTCTTAACATTTTATTTAGAACTGGGCAACCAAATTCTGGCTGGTATGGAGTGCCTGAGCAGTAGTGCACAAAGAGGAGACACAGAAAAACAAATACTCCATGGTCTTCCAAAAGTATTCTATGGAGCTAGGTTTCTCCAGGTAAGATTGGTACAATGTGCCAGGAGCCACTCCAAGCTACAAAAGATTGTGGCAGCTGATCTCTTGGATGATTATTTTTATTCATTGAGGAGTCACTTAAAACATGATTTTCATATTAAAGTATTATCATATGCAAAATTCGAATACTAGATAAAGTATGAAATTTCAGAGACATTTTGTCATTTGTAACAGAGAATCCAGGTTTGCAAACTTTTGCATACTTTTGGTGGGTATTTTGCTGGCAACGTTTGAGGAGCATTACTAGATTTCCACAAACTCTAAATTATTTTAAGTTGTATCTCCCGTGACCTAAACCTCTCCTGAATCTCTTCTTGGAAGCCTTACAAGCACAAGGGTATGTGTCCAATGAAGAAGTAAATCCTAATTAAGATTATTCCCACCAAAATTAAGCAACTCTTCATTTGAAATATTGTTTTTTAAATGATCTCCAACACACTAATTCAGCATAATGTCTTCGGTTATGGACACATGTCTGGAGTCAGATTGCCTGGGCTCTCTATCACTCAATAGCTGTATGATCTTGAATGAGTAACTTAACCTCCATGGGCTCCAATGTCTTCATAGGTTCTTCATAATATTGTTAAGAGGTTTAAATGTGTCAACATTTGTAAGGCATCTAGAATAATATGTGATAAATAGCAAGTGGTACAAATCTTCCTATGGGGAATGCTAAAGTTTTTTTTCTAAAGCTTTGTTTTCAGGTGGAAGAAATATGACCATTCACATAATAAGCTTTATGACCTCATCCTGAGGTGGTAATCTTGGGTAAAATATATCTATCAACCAACCCTCTAGTGACCCAACCTTTAGTTTAGCATTAAAGGGAAAGGAAAGTACTGAAAAATGAGGACCAACTCTCAACAACTATTTAAGTGTGTTTTGACATCTCAAAAAGCAGTAGCAAAGCAAAGAGAAAGAAAGAAAGAAAAGAAAAAAAGAAGGAAGGAAGGAGGAAGGAAGGAAGGAAGGAAGAAAGAAAAAAGAAAGAAAGGGAAAAGAAAAGAAAAGAAAGAGAGAGGGAGGAAGGGAGGGAGGGAAGGAAGGAAGGAGAAGGGAAGGGAGGAAGGAAGGAAGGGAAAGAAAGAAAAGAAAGAAAAAGAAATAAAGAAAGAAAGAGGGCAGGGAGGGAGAGGGAGGCAGGGAGGGAGGAAGGGAAGAAGCAAGAAAGAAAGAAGAAGAAGGAAGAAAGAAAGAGATAAGGAAGGAAGGAAAGAAAAGAAGGAAGGGAGAGAAATAAAGAAAGAGAGAGAAAGAAAGAGAAAGAGAGAGAGAGAAAAAGAAAGAAAGAAAAAGAAAGAAAGAAAGAAAGAAAGAAAGAAAGAAAGAAAGAAAGAAAGAAAGAAAGAAAAAAGAAAGAAGGGAAAGGAAGGAAGAAAGGGAGAGAGGCAGGAAGGGAGGGAGGGAGGAAGAGGGAGGGAGGGAGGGGGAGAGAGGGAAGAGGGAGGGAGGAAGGAAGGGAGGGAAAGAAAGGAAGAAAGGAAGGAAGGAGGGAAAGAAGGAAGGAAGGAAGGAAGGAAGGAAGGAAGGAAGGAAGGAAGGAAGGAAGGAAGGAGCTAGAAAGAGGAAGAAAACTGGGACAAACAGAAGCCCTGCCAAATAGTACTTATTTCAGAAATGTGAGAGACTTGATCTCTAAATTTTATTTTGAAGAATCACATTTTAAGTAAAAGTACAAACATTTAATGCTGTATTATACTCTGTGGCATTTAAATGAGACTAATTATATTTATTTATGGGTATTGTTTTTTACCTCTGTGGTTTTTTTTTTTTTTTTGTCTGAAATATTTTTAAAGCACAGGGCCTATTCCAAATACCTTATCCAAAAGATTAACAACACCCAACTAGATGATGGAAGCTTATTCAAGGAATAAGGACCCATGGTTTTGTGCTATTATAATATACTCCATAATTAAAAGGTAGTAAAAACTTGGCAATCTCAGGTTTTTCTGATTAGCCTTGCCCAGTAGTTCACACACATTTTGGTCTCAGGACCACTTTATAGTCTTAAAAGCTATTAAGAATCCCAAGGAGCTTTTATTTATGTAGATTATACCAATAAACATTTACCTAATTAGAAAATTTTTGACCGAGGAAAAATTTTAAATATTTCTACTTTAATGCTATTAAAAATAACATTAAACCAAATGCATGCTAAAATAAATGAAATAGTTTTATGACAAAATGACTATGTTTTCCAAGGCCCAAAAAGAAATCATTTTTGACAAGAATGACATTGTTTCACATTTTTGCTAATTCCCTAATGCCTGATTTCAGAGAAGTTGAATTCTCATATCAGCTACTGCATTCAGTCTGTTGCAATATATGTTTAGGTTGAAGTATGTGAAGACAATCTGGCCCTCACAGATATGTATTTTGGAAAGAGAAGAGTACTTTACTCATTTTGTAAGATAATTGTGGATACCCTTCTTTGGAACTAAACTTGGAAAGAGATAGTTTCTTAAAGTTTAGTTGCAATATGGAATCTGGAACCACATCAATGAATTTTTGGTACATATTGTAGCGATGTCTATGTGTCTGTCTTGCACTTCCAATGGATTTTTCACATACAAATAACTTTGCAACATGGTGCATTGGCCATTTGGAAAATTTGACTCACTGAATGATGTAAATCAACCAAATGATTACACAGCAATTTTAAAATTGTGTTTATTAATATACCATCAGTCTTAACGCCTAAGCTTTTCAGAACTAAAATGCCATCAAGATCATGGGGACATATTTTTCAAAGTTCTAATGTTTGCTGGAAAGCTCTAATGTTATTATTAAGAATGAAAGCTATCATTTTTTGAAGTAGGAGACTCATTCATTCATTTTTAAGAAAACATCCAAATACCAAAGTCAAAATAGCCATAATCTGTCAGTCACTCTCACACGTAATAAATGTGTTCAATGAAAAAGTGGCTACTTGAGCTTGTAACTCAATCTCACAAGTGTTTTTCCTCTTGAAGACCATCATACAGCAGAATGTTTTATACATAATTCCCATTTCAATACACAGAATGTTAAAAATATCTAATAAAATTCAGGATCGGGATTTAATGAATTAACAATGTTTTCTGCTTCATTGGGTACATTTTTAAACAAAAGTGACATTTCTTGTTTTCTTCCTTTTTTTAATAAGGTGAGGGCATGTCGGTGATGAAACTATCACTACTGTTCAAGGTGCCAGAAGTTTGACTTACCATCGCTTTTGAACAATCATCACTACATGTCAGCGTGGGAAAAAGAATAAAATAACATCTTAATATTATTATGAAAACAGTTTTGGCCTCATGGACCCCTTGAAAACCTATCAGGTTAACTGCAGACCACAGTTTGACGCTTTTAATGTATCCTAGAGGATATCCTTCTTTGTATTACTGTGGGGTACCCATTGTCGTTGAAATTTGTTTGATAATCCCCCTTTTTACCTCTCTTCTGTCATCACTTTGAATCACAACTTGCATTTTTTATTATTAGGGTTATCTTTTTACATGGTCGCCTTGGCTACCCCAATAGATAGTATAGTGCCTTGTTACCCAAAATATGGGCCGTGGACCAATAGCATCAGCATCACCTAGGAGCTTTGAAAAAAATGCAGAAATTCAGGCCTCCTTCCAGTACTACTGAATCACAAACTGCACTTTTCTTTTTTTTTTTTTTTTTTTTTTTTTTTCTTGAGACGGAGTCTCGCTCTGTCGCCCAGGCTGGGGTACATTGGCGCGATCTCTGCTCACCGCAAGCTCCGCCTCCTGGGTTCACGTCATTCTCCTGCCTCAGCCTCTCCAGTAGCTGGGACTACAGGCACCCGCCACCACGCCCGGCTAATTTTTTGTATTTTTAGTAGAGACGAGGTTTCACCATGTTAGCCAGGATGGTCTCCATCTCCTGACCTCGTGATCCGCCCGCCTCGGCCTCCCAAAGTGCCGGGATTACAGGCGTGAGCCACCGCGCCCGGCCCACAGGCTGCATTTTAATAACACTCTCTGGTGATTTGTACGCTTGTGTGTTGGAGACCTATTATATTTGCCTAACTGTCGTTCTCTGCTTCAGGAAATCTGTCATTTATCTGTTTCAGGAAATGCTCTGACTCCAACACATAAGGTTGGTTGCATTTTCCCTGATACAGAAGTGGGTGTATAACTAAGTTAAGCTATTTAGAGTATGCTATCCCTGTAAACAGAGTAATTTGTCCATTGCTGGGCATGTGTAAGCAAGACCAATCAGAGTCCATTTTTTCAGAAAAATATGGGTGGTGGGAGAAAGGAAATGCTCCTCTCTCTGGGATTATTAGCTGTATGGATAATGCAAATCCAAAAATTGCTGTGGCCATCTTTGCTGCAACATAAAGGAAAGTTCTCTGAAGTGATTCCAGAAAAGAGGAGGACAGAAGTCAGAGATGGAGAGAGATAGACCCTTGATGACATCAAATGAGCCTCTGGATCCAGCTCTGCCTGAAGTCATCTGCCCCATGATTTTCAGTAATGTGAATCAACAACATATTCTGCTTTTCTAGCTAATGTTAGTTTGAATCGGGTTTCTGTTCCTTGCAACCAAGGGTTTTGACATAAGACGAAAAACTCTGTGGGGACATATGTATCATTTATATTTTTTGTAATCTTCAAAATACCTAGCAAGTGCCTTAAATTTAATGATCACCATTGTTCACCATCTCAGCTCATTTTATTGAGTCCCCTATTTTATACCTTTCTGATATGCATATTGGAATATGTCAACCCTGGCTTAAATGCTTCAACTCTTCCTTACCATGGAGGTGTACAGTGCTGTTTAAAACGTTCTTCACAGTATAGCTATACCCACCTTCACAGGCTTATCTGTCAGTTCCTCTCTACTGGTGCCATTCACCTCATTTGCTGGGTCTTGAAGAAGCCCTAGCATTTCTTGACACCAAGCATTTACATATGCTGTTCCCACTATACCTTGGCTATCTAACTGATGAACTCCTATGTGGTTTGAAGGAGCCTTTTCAAAGATCACCTTCTTTGTAAAGGTTTTCTTAATGCCCAATTATTTTACTCCCTGAGATTATACTCCTGTGTTCTTCATCAAGCCTTTACAAACTATATTAAATTTCTTGGACATTTCTCAGTGTTGCCTGTAAGATTATGAACCTGTTAAATTCAGAGACATCTTTCATCCCTGTATTCTCATATTTGATATAGAAATCCGACACTTACCATGAGCCCTTTAAATGTTTATTAAAAGCAAAAATAACTAAAAATGACAAAAGGATTTTAGTCATTACTCTTGGGCTCTGCCATTTATTTGCTCTTTGACCAGGGTCAAATAATTTATGCTACTGAAATACTGTATTTCTTCATCTATAAAATTAGGATAATATTGTCCACCTTGCCTGGCATGATAATTCTATGGAATTACAGGCAGAAAAACAGTCTCCCCTCAAAGATGTCTACACCTTAATCTCTGGAACCTGCTAATATGTTGTGTTACATGGCAGAAGGGGCTTGCAGACTTAGTGAAATTTACAGATCTTGATATGGTGAGATTATTCTGTATTATCAGGCAGGGTTCAGGCAAAGCACATGAGCTCTTAAAATAGTTTCTTTTTTTCCAGGCAGAGAACAGAGGAGAGATGAGGCAAAAGGGAATATTAGACAGATTCAAAGCTTGAAAAGGACTTGATCCACTATGAGGCCATTAATGAAGGAATGCAGGCTGCCTGTAACAGTTGAAAATCACCCCAGCCAACACCCAGCAAGGAAATGGAGACCATAGTCCTCTAACTGTATGGAACTGAATTCTGCCAACAAAGTGAATAAGATGGGAAGTGAAGACCCTCCCAGAGCCTCCAGAAAGGAAGAGAGCCATTCAGACACCTTGATTTCAGCCTTCTGAAACTTGGAGCAGAGAGCCGGCTGTGTCAACCTGAACCTGGGTTTTTAACCTACAAAACTGAGAAATAATGAATAGTGATTTTTTTTTTTAAAGATGGAGTCTAGCTCCGTCACCCAGGCTGGAGTGCAGTGGCACGAATAGTGATTGTTTTAAGCCACTAAATTTATGGTAGTTTTGTTAGGGCAGCAATAGAAAACTAATACATATGTAATATAGCATTTTATAAACTAAAATGTCAGGCAAATATGTGCTCTTATAATTTGATATTGCTATCTATTAGAGACATTGGGTTAAAGAATATACTGAACCAATGTTGTATTTATTATAAGAAAGATAAGGGTGGGAGATGGAAAAAATGATGTTAAACTCATGAATTTAGTTTGCTTTGCAAATGTTTAACTTTGAGGTTGCTTTTTTCCAGATCCCTGGAGATTTGGCCTTTCGGCATACAGAGAGGTTTTATTAAAGCTGAAGTCCCTTGTAAAAGCTTTTAATAGCTTCCTTTAAAAAAATCACCTAAACTCTCTGTTCTGTGCTATTCCTCTAAATGCAAGAAAGCACAAAGATACTGAAGAAACACAGAGACAAAATTAAATCAGGGGCTCTCCTAGCTCCTCCATTATTCAAAGCACTTAGTGGACTATAAATGATTTAGAAGTGATACAACTAGACTTTTCAGAGTAAATAGTTTTCATTTTCCTGATTGGTAATCAGGAGAAAGAAGATTCCATATTCCCATCAGCAGAGATTTAGAATTATCTTTTGCCAAAAATGAAAGAGCTCTTTCTTCCTGTGTAGTCCTTTTAAATATACATATATATGAAGGTGAATCAAAAGAAAAAGAAAACAGATTACAACTTTATTACTGCCCTTGTTGGACACTTATACCAGCAGGCTAGCAGACACTGCACAGAATATAGAAATGAGACTCTGAGTACATGATCTATAATGAAAATGAAGCCAATCAGAATCTAATATTACTACAAGGTTGAAATAAAAGCTATGGTATTTCTCATAACTGCACTTGGCACTTAGAGAAATTGAGACTCACAACATGCTTCATAAACATTAATTAATTACTCTGGGCTTACATTTAATTCTTCCAGTGGATAGAACGTATGTACAGAAGATGAAAGAGTCAGCCATAACCTGGTGCTCATTGTACTTCCAGATTGTAGGATCAGCTAATAATAATCACAATAGTAGCTGACACTTGTAATCTTCAGAACACCCTTTAAGCATTTATTAATCAACTATTGCGCCATCTCAAGGGAAATATTATTCTTCTCACTTATAACCCATAAAATTGTGTCTTCAAGTGGAACAGTTTTGCCCAGGATTCCCCCAAAAAACCCCAAGTGGAGATTAGAGAATTAGAATCCCTCTATATACATACCATAAATGTTCAATACCACATTAAGAGAGGTCTTAAAACAGTGAAATTGACAGACAGCATTGATTACTATAGAAAAAGTCCTAGGGTACATCCAAGAAAGAGAAAAAAAAAGGTTGACAAATTGGAAAGGAAAGTTGATGCACTCCCAGAGAAAATCTCCTACTCAAAGAGTTTCCTTTGACTGCAACACATGATTTTCTGATTCCTCCAGAACACTCAGTTCTGGAATGGTCACTAAACAGGTTTGAGATGAGGGTAAAAAAAAATCCAGCCAAAAGGCCCACATAGGAACTCACAGATATATCTGACTGGCCCACATAGTGTTTTTATTTTTAATGAACATAAATAGGGTGCAGCCACACTTGCCCATGCACCACTGCATATGAGACAATGCATTTGACACTGGTGGTTGTTAATATGTATAGACTATACTACTGAGAGATGCCTTGTACACCCAGAATCACCACCAGCTCAGAGCATATAATGCTCCTTTCTTTCTACCATTCTCAAAACAAAAAGTTGAGTGAGAGTACTAGAGTATCCCCAACCTACTGCCATTGTTGTGGTTTTTCTCTCTGTTCTTTGTCCTACCTCCTATTTTGCTTCCTTTCCAGCCCAAGTCTTTCCACCTTGTATCTGGCCTTTTTACTCCCAATTCAGAGCTTTCATCCTGACATCTCCGTCTGCTGGGAAAGTTCTTATCCTTATATCTCATACCCTTTTGACCTAAAGAATTGTTTAGGCCTCAAATCTCTCAAATATGTATCTAATCAAATGCTGTTCCCACCTCCTGTGACCCCTTAGTCTGCTTTATGTTTTTTCATGGTAATTATCACTACTGAAATTACATTATATGTTTGTTTGTTTAGTTTTTCATCAACTGAATCTACCACTAGAACATAAATTTCTTGAGTGCAGGCCTGTTTTCTTTTCCACTGAAGTACCTAGTTCAGCGCCTTCCTCAGAAGAGGCATGAGGCAATATTAGTGAATCAGTGAATTAATCATGCACAGATTTCCATGTCAATACATATGTATGTCTTCATTATTATCTTAATAGCTGCATAATATTTCACTAATATCCACATTTATTTAAACAATATATTGTTTTTGGAAATTGAGGTTGTTTCCACTTTTTTCCTTTAAAATAGCATAACATGAGGACTATGACAGGGAGGGCAGAGTAGAAAGAAGGAAGGGATCAGGGTTAGAGAAATAAACCCACCCTCTTTCTTGGTAATCAGGGGCTACTCTGCTTCCTACAACCCAACTGATTCCTAGTGACAAGATCTCTTAAACCTGGGTTCCTGCAGCAGTTGGCCCCTGTCAGATGCCTTCTTGCGTTTACTTGGTTGGCATGTCTAGCTGTCTAGGCTCCAGTTCCTGCTTAAAGACGATGAGGTACAGAACTAAATGCATGAAGCATATCCTCTATTAATGTTAAGTCCCTTCCTACTCCTATTGTTCAAAGGGGAAGGTGTTAAATTTGTTCTTCCTGTACCCTTCGGTTTCATTCTGTGTCTTAGTCCTTTGGAGATAATTGGGGTAGAGTACTACATACTATAATTAGGATAGTGGGTTTTTGTTTTGTTTTGTTTTGTTTTTCAGAATGAGTCTCACTCTGTCACCCAGGCTGGAGGGCAGTGGCTTCATCATGGCTCACTGCAACCTCCGCCTCCCGGGTTCAAGTGATTCTCCTGCCTCAGCCTCCCAAGTAGCTGGATTACAGGTGTGCACCACCATGCCCAGCTAATTTTTGTATTTTCAGTAGAGACGGGGTTTCACTATGTTGGCCAGGCTGGTCTGGAACTCCTGACCTCAGGTGATCCGCCCGCCTTGGCCTCCCAAATTGCTGGGATGACAGGTGTGAGACCTCATGCCTGGCTTAGGATAGTGTATTGATGCAAGAGGTTTTGAGTGTCCAAATAATTATCTGCTGAATTTGGAACCTTTAGGAAAGATTATCTAGAGCTGTAATTTCAAATACACCTCTGGGAGGGGCTGGAGAAGTTAGGAGGCAAAGTGAGGGTGTCCACAAGTCAAATCAGTCAAATTATCTGGAAAATTCAGAGTGCTAAATTTATAGTTACCCAATGTGCTATTCTTCCCCACTTTCTCACTTACAGTATATAGACTCAGCCATAAGTATACTTAAAGCCTGTCCTAATTTCTACCCTTAGTTTCTTGACTGCAACTCAGCATGGGAGTTAACTGACTGAAGGTTAACACTCAGACTGGGTCCATATTTCTCTGAGAATAGATTTTGATCTTCCATTGCTAAGAGACCTCCCCATTCCACAATATATACTAACCTATAGCTCTGTTCTTCTTATAATTATAAAATGCAAGACGGCAGGGTCTATTTCCTAGAGGCAAACAGTATTAATCTGCATACCTGAAATGCTTTCTCACTATGTATTTTTTGTAAAAGCATCTGTAGGTTTTGTCATAAACACATAGTGTTAAGGAAGCTAAATTAATTACATGCACTTTAATATTGAAAATACAAAATAACAAACCTTACCTAGAATGCATATTTTATCTGTCTTGGTGAGAGGAAGGACAGATGAAAGAAAAATGTGTACTTAAGTATGCATTTAATAGTGTAGACAGTGAGGGGCAAACGCGTGGATGAAAAATGAATGCTAAAGTCGATATTTTTGAAATAAATGAAGTAGAAACATTTGTAGCTAAAACACAAGTATAATCTCAGCAACTACTGAAACAAATATCATCACTAATAATATATTTCTGGAGGCTCACAAAAAATATAATCAATTTTTCAGTTCATAAAATTTCAAAAAATTGAATTTACATTTGCTAAACCAATTAACAAATTCTAATTTACACAGTGTTGATGCTTCTAATTGGCAGCCGTGCATTTTTATGAGTCTTCCTGTTAATCTCTTATGGTAATCAAACTCACAAATTTAAAATTCATTGGTGTTCTTAATACATGTAACTAGCTAAAATTCTTAATTAAATTAGGGTGACTAAAAGAAAAGTCATTTTAAAAGTAAAATCATAAAGTGTTATGACTAATGCTGTACAAATTAGCATAAGGTAGGTTTGGGGAGAATCATTCTGAAGACTTTGCAATTAGGAGCACCTGCTATTAGTGCACTTGTTAAACTTTTATCAATTAATCATTACTCTCTCAAATAGCAAGAAAAATTGAATGTTGTGAATATGAAGAGAGTGATTAATTGCAAGTGGTAAATTGCTGACTGGTTCCATTATTACCTGTGCTTTAAGAATTTTTAGAAATAAATGTCTATTATCAGTTTTATGAATACATAAATTATACTAATGTGTTCAATATTGGTTGGTTTTCTGTCTTATTCTGTAATAATTGTTTTCTCAAAGTTATAAAGATGACTTGGAGAACATGGATTCTGTAATAGCATATTATTATGGCTTCATCAAAAACATTTAATGATTGAATTATTTAATCTTATTCTCTAAATACACTCTATCCATATTTTTTATTAAAAGGGGCACAGGAAGAAGCAACACTTGTTTTTCTGCAGTGTAGAAATCAATCCCTATTTGAAGTATAATTTAGGATTAAACAACATAGCACTCTGACTTCAAAATGTTAATTAATTCTCAATTTGTCCTGCTGTTCTCAAACCTAAGCATTTAGATTGCAAAGGGCACTTTGGTTAAGACTCATTTTATTACAAGTTAAAATTGCAAAAAAAATTGATTTAAAAATGTGTTTCTAAATCAATGCAGTAATAGCAGGGTACCTAAAGTCTTTGCTAGAATGTACTTTTCATTATTCTAAGATTCACACAGGGATCGCTAATGGTCCCTGAAAATCCAGAGATTATCAAGAAATGTGACTTTAAGTACCATGAAATTGCTATAGCTATTTATCTTAGCCACTCATAGATAAAGTCATATAACTATTAAAAGGAAAGAGTCTCAAGTATAGGAAAGACTTCAGCTATATTTTATATTTTAGAAAATTATAGGACATAAGTCTAAATTAGGATGAAGAGTAGGGGTGGTTGTTGGAGGAAGACGACCTATAAACCTAACCTTTACAAATTCCAAATTCAACCAAAGAGTAATAAATATCAAAGGAGGATGTTCTTCTTACCTTCTGGGAAAAAAAATACACTACATAGCATTGCCTTCCACAGAAGCTTTGAAATAACAAATGTACCCTCATACTTGACTCTCTTATGCTGGCTTTAGGTCATGCGTTTTCTTGACTGCCTAAACCACAAGAAGGAAGTCATTAATTTACAACAGAACTATCCAGGCATGGAAAAAGAGGTCTAGATCATGGATTCTCCATGGACATTCAGGGCCAGATCATTCTTTGTGGAGGGGGACAGCTCTTTTTGGGGAAGGATGATGGGCAGCATCCCTAGCTTCTATGCCCTACGCTCCACAGGACTCCTGCAGTTGTGATGTCCTCAAATGTCTCCAAACATTGTCAAAAATCCCCTGGGTGGCAAAGTCATCCTCCATTGAGAACCACTAATCTCAATTGATCTAAAATTCTAGATATTATTTATGTGGTAAATCAGGTAGATTCAGATCCCAGTAATAACACCTTTCAAGTGTTGGCAACTAAAATGCTTAATTCAGTTTCCCATTCTGCTACTCACCCTGTGATTTTGGTTTTCACACTAAACTTTAGTCTGTTCATTTATAAAATGGAGATAATAAGTTTCAAGTTAATAGGATTGTTGTGGGTAATAAATAAGATACTGCATATAAACGTATAACATAATGCTGAGCATATTATTAATGTTCAAAAAAAGTTGATATTTTTGTATTATTATTTTGGGTTGTTATTGGTCCAGAATCATTTTACAGCAATGAAATCTGTGTCTAGATGTCTTCTCAAGCTGCACTAGAGAAAGTTTCAAACATAGATAATGATGATAACTTACATTTGTATAACACTTTAGAGAATCTAAACACTATTCCAGAGCTTATTTTTTATTTCCCTATCCACATTTTTTAGGACAATATGTCCAATAGTCTACTGAACATTGTCAAGAAATTCAAAAGAAATAAAAGTCTACTTTGGGCCTTCAAAGAACTTAAAACCTAGTCAGGGAAAATGATTCTTTACTCATAGAGCCATTAAAGAAAAGTAGACAATGCTGTTCTATACATACTTATTAGATTGCAAACTCTTTCTGAATTATGATAGTGTCTTAGACACAATTTTAATTCCCCCACTGCTACTTTGCAAGTAGAAGGCAACCCATAAATATTGGAAGGAATGTCAGAATGAAAAACTGCCTTTTTTCAGGTTGTTCTTGACTTATTATATGGCCTTGCTGAAGTCATGTCTGTAAGTTGATCTCTCTCAGTAAATGGAGAAGGTAATAACGATGCCTAACACCTGATGTTTATATTGCCCGAAATAGTTTGTAAAGCATTTTCACTTACATTATCATATCTCCTGATGATATATCATCAGCCCATTCTCCTTTGAGAGCTCAGCAATTTCACTGCTGCAGCTACATCATGGGTCTTGGCCCTGGAGTGTTTCTCAGCCTAGGATGTACCTCAGACCTTAAATGAACTTGACTCTGTGAGAATATGCTTTAGTAACAACAGATCGATTTTACTATATGCAAGACGAAGTTATAAACATAAATATAAAACCCCTTACGATCTTTATCTGATGGGGTAGAGCCCTAAGCATCAGTTTAGTCTTATCCTTTTACAGATATGAAGATGTGGTCCTTTGGTGAAGAGGATTTCCCAAGTTTTCTCTTGGTGGGTCACTGTCCACATCAGAATTAGAAGCTGATGACTCTTTCATTGTCTCACGGTATGAATCATTACAAAAGACAGAGGATTTAAATTTAACTCAAATTAGTCAGGCTTCCTTTGGCTCTAAAGTATTTCACTTGTAAGAGCATGTACATTTTTTAGCCTCCCATTTATTAACCCAGTAAACTAATGAGCACATAATTTAGTTAGCCAATATGGAAAGAAGTAATGTAATGCAGCTGATGTCTCTTCACCAGCCATTTGCTTAGGAAGGTCCAAATGGAATTTTTTTTCTCTTCAATTTCAGCTTTAACATCTAATATACACTGAGGTAATTGTCTTAATTTTAGAGAAATCTTTCAACTATCATTAAGTGCAAATGAATTAAATATTTTCAAGCATTAAATATACCCATCATGGACTTTTATTTTCATTTTACTCTCACTCAATTTATTTGGAGACCTAATTCATCATGCAACAAGCTCTATATACTACATGTGGGCTGTAACTCTTCATAGATGTAGACAATGAGGCTCGAACTCCTTTTGGACACAGACATGTAAGAGATGGCTGACAAATATTGCGAATGTTGGTGGCTGCCTGCTAAGATTTTAAAGAGCCACCAACTATAATTTATGTACTTGGTCTGGTGAGCCATCTTCATACAATTTGAATGCTTGTAGAGTTCTTTATATAGAAAAGCTTTAATAATAAATATGTAAAATGAGAGATGAGTAAGTCAACCAGCAGTAATTATATTCAAGGCTAGAATTAAGGGCCTTAGTTATGTAATCACTGGTGAACTATAAAGCAGAAATTAAACTTTCTTTGAACACTGTCTGAAACTAGGGGCATGTCTCAGGGCCAAATACGGATGAAAATAGAAAGACTGTGGTCATCTGTAAAGTTCTAAAGGACAGAGACCACATTTTATCAATTTCTGTACATATTAGCAGGTAATGGTATTCAACAATTTTTTGTTAAACTGGCCCAACATTGTCTCTAGAATGTTAAATCACCTACTAGTCCATTCCTGAATTTTAGGGATGGCATGGCTTCCAAGGAATCTTCTGTTTGCCCTACGTACACACCTCAGTTTGACCACTTGGGTTACTTATGTGGATGCTAACTGGTTGCTAAATTTGCCTGTAAGATTTCTAGAAGCCAGGCTGGCTAATTCTTGTGCAACCCTTCTGCCTCCTGTTTGTGTTAAGCCAAGAAAAATCTCCTATTTAAACACAAATTTCCAAATCTTAAACTGATGCTAACTCCAAATCTTAAACCCTAAATCAAGAGAAACATTCTTAAAAATACATGGACACTAGGGCCAATTGCTGTGAATGCCTCTGCAGTATCAATAAGAATTCATGAAAACCTGGACAGAGTGAAATCTTCATGGAATTTTGTAAATGAGATCAGTTGTGGAGGCTCTTTTAATTTATCAGAGCCCATGATGGCCAGGAAAACATGGGCTAAGAAAACTTAAGGAGGAGAGATCTATTTTATTCCAGTCAACAGGCTTTCATAGAAAAAGAACATGGCTGTGACTGGTGTTTTGCAATCCTTTTTCCATATCCCAAGGCTGATTAAGTTCATGACCAATAAATACATGTTGCATTCCCTGAAAGGTGATTTAAACAACTTTTGATGCCTTTGCCCTAATAACAATACTCATCATATCTAGAAACTTCTATCATGTCTCCTTGCAAGATTCCACTGACAAAGAGGCTTGCTTTTCCTACAAAAGCCCTGATATATTATTATATAACCTGTGAGCCTGTACCCTGTTTCAGGACTGGCACCCTCTGCTAGCCCTACAGATGGAGACACTGAATATTCTTGCCATCTCAAGAGTGTTGTCTCAGCTCAACACCACTCCCCTGGGAAAAAGTCCTTCATCATTTTCCAGGTGTGGATAACTCACCAATGTAAGTAACCAAACCAGAAGCCCTGAAGTTTCAAAAATGAAAATTCCTGCTTAGAAATGTTCTTCATAGACAAAATAAGATAGGTTTGCCAGGTTCAAGATGAGCTCTCCACCAGGAGCAGGGTTCAGTGCTCCCTACATAGGAATACAGCAGTTTCAGTGCTTTGCTCCTGACAGACTCATTGGCAGGTATTGCTTGAAAGGTACGGTTTCTGTTATGTCAGGAAGTTGTAAATCCCACAGTTAAGGAACTTGATGGTTAGTAACATAATTTCTGTACAAGACACTAACATTTTAGACCATCGATCTCTCTGGATTCATGGTATTTCTTTATCTGTTGGGGTAAATATTTTTGGAGTATTGTCTACTCTTTCTCCTGGTTTTAGAGGACATTCTGGCAGCCAAACAAGTAACTAGTGAAGTTGAGAGGAGGAATCTCTTTTTTTTTTTTTTCCTTTTGAGACGGAGTTTTGCTCTGTCACCAGGCTGGAGTGCAGTGGCACAATCTCGGCTCACTGCAACCTCTGCCTCCCCTCCCGGGTTCAAGCGATTCTCCTGCCTCAGCCTCCCGAGCAGCTGAGACTACAGGCACGCGCCACCACACCCAGCTAATTTTTGGATTTTTAGTAGAGATGGGGTTTCACCATGTTGGCCAGGATGGTCTCGATATCTTGACCTCGTGATCTGCCCACCTCGGCCTCCCAAAGTCCTGGGATTACAGTCATGAGCCACCACTCCCGGCTGAGAGAAGCAACCTTAAAGGGTCCATCTTTGAGCTGTCTCTCTCATAAAACCAGAACACCTTCTATTCAGTCCGAGTTTTTATGTGATATGGTAGATGCAATGAATTTCCTTGTCATGGAAAACGACATCCACCTATACGAGTTATTTTCAATCTTGGCTGCACATTAGATTCACCTTGAGAGCTTTAAAAAATACCAATGCCCAGGCCCTACCCAAAAAATTCTTGTGTAATTGATCTGGGGCAATGAAAACCCATTAGCGTTATTTTTTTCTAACTCCCCAGGTGATTCTAATAAGTGCCCAGAATCATGAACTTATGCTTAGATTTATTATCTCTCTCTCTGATAATCTTTTAAATTTATTTAGCTTTACAGTGTTCTGCAAAGATAATCTTCCCTGGAGGACTGAAGGGTAAGATTGATGATGAACTCAGTATTTCTCCACCTGAAGCCATTGGGGAATAGATTGGCCACCTCTTCCCACTGGGCCACTATTTTAGATATAGAAAAATTAACCTAAAAGGGATATTTATCATTAAATGTGTTCATGAACTAAACATGGTGGTGCTAAACGGTAGATATAAATCCAGAGGAAATATTGCACATGTCACTGGATCAAATATTCTCACTTATCATTTATCATCAAAAGACATATTAAAAAATTCTGCCTTAGTTACTTAGGGAAAATGTTTCTGCCTTCACCATCTTTTAACAGATTGATGATGACTTAAACCTGATCTGCTCTTGATCTGCTAGGGTCTGATTTGACAAGGAGGATCAGACAGCTGAATGAATCTTTGATCAGGTCAGTGTGCAAGTAAAAAATAAAGGCTATTGTGTTTTTTACAAATTTTAAATCTTAATATATGATAGGGAGTTCTGGTTCTGCCAAGATGGAGTAGTTTCATTTCTCTCCAATGCCCCACTTAAAATTAAAAAAAAAAAGCCCTGGATATAACACAACAAGCATAGGAAGTCTCAGAAATGGAGGAAAGAAGAAAGCTGGCTGCAAAGGGACCTTGAGACTTGAGGAACTACATGGTGATGAGTTTACTGCGTCTCCTTATTGCCTCCCACATATCCCAGACAGTGCCAGGCAGAAGCTTCCAACCCAGAAGTGTCAACAGCCACAAACCAAAATGCTCCAAGAAAAACCTGCTCCGCCCAAGCCAAGAGACCAGGAAACATGGCCCAACATTAGAAAGCTTTCTTGGCAACACCGCCAAACTCTAGCCAAACATGAAGGGGAAAAAATCATATCTTGTATTCCTCTGGTTTCAGCCATGCAGTGGGAAGTTGATCTTCCAAACCAATCCCCTGCCTGGTGAAAATAGGCAGCATTCTGATTCCCCACATCTGATTGATGTCCATGGGGCTAAGCAGGGAGATGGTATTCCATCCCCTGCCCGATGAAGATGGGCAGTGCTCCAATTTCCCCAGGAGAGTTATGGCAGTGGAGCCTGGGTTGGGGAGCTGAACCTCCACTCCCACCCGCAATCAACAAGATTAAATAAAGAGGTGCCAGTTGTGGCTAATCTGTGCTCCAATTGACCTCCATCCCAGGTGTCAGCAAGACTTGGTGGGGAACTGAACCTCCACACCCACATAGCATCAAGGAGATGGAATGAAGTAGTAGAAGGCAGGGTAGTTGACAATGGGATAGTTGTCCCATTGTTCATCTACCTCGGTGTCAGCAGGACCAGTGAGACGCTAAACCTGCACCCTGTCTGGCACTGAACAGGCAGAAGAGGTAGTGGGAGGCAGGAATAATTGCAACTCCAGTTCTTCTTCTGGTTTCAGGCTCAGTATGGAACCAAACTTAATCGACACCCTGCAGCAACCACGCAGTGTGAGTCAGTACCCACTTTTGCCAGGGTGTGGTAGATGAGACCCTGCAAGAAGCTGAACACATACAACCACCCAGACCTTGAGGTGCCCCTTAACAGAGGCATGGCCTGCACAGAAAAGATTATGAAATAGGAAACAGAGTCTCATAATATAATATCCAAAATGTCTAGGACACAATAAAAAATTATTTTTCATATCAAAAACCAGGAAAATCACAACAAGAATTAGAAAAGCAACCAGCAGAAGCCAGCACCAAGACAAATCAGATGTTACAGCAATTTGACAAGGATTTTAAGGCAACCATCATAAAAATGCCTCAATGCACAATCACAAATTCTCTTGAAAGGAGTGAACAAATAGGAAAATCTCAGCAAGGAAATAGAAGTCATTCAAAAAGAATCAAATGGAAATTATAGAACTAAAAAACACAACAGCCAATTTATTTTTAAAACTCACTGAATGTGCTCAATAGTAGAATGGGATTGGCAGAGGATAGAATCAGTGAACTTGAAGTTAGATCAATAAAATCTTCTCAGTCTAAACAGCTGCAAGAAAATAGATTGAAAATAAAAATAAAGTCTCAAGGACCTTTGGGACAAAAACAAAAGAACAAACATTAGTATCATTGGAGACTTAGAAGGAGAGGAAAAAGAGTAGAACTGAAAAAGTATTCAAAGAAATAATGGCAGGCCGGGCGTGGTGGCTCATGCCTGTAATCCCAGCACTTTGGGAGGCCCGAGGCGGGCGGATCACGAGGTCAGGAGTTCGAGACCAGCCTGGCCAACAATGATGAAACTCTGTCTCTACTAAAAATAAAAAAAAAAATTAGCTGGGCGCGGTGGCACACACCTGTAATCCCAGATGCTCAGGAGGCTGAGGCAAGAGAATCACTTGAACCCAGGAGGCGGAGGTTGCAGTGAGCCGAGATCACACCATTGCACTCCAGCCTGAATGACAGAGCAAGACTCCTTCTCAGAAAAGAAAAGAAATAATGACTAAAAACTTTCCACATTTGGAAAAAGACATAAACCTGCAAACTCAAGAAGCTGAGCAAACTGCAAATAGAATACCCAGAGAAATCCATGCCAAGGTACAAACATCATAAATAAACTTCTGAAAATTAAAGACAAAGAAAAAATCTTTAAAATGGCCACAAATAAATAATACATTGCTTATAAGAACATACCAATTTCATACCTAAAACCAGGGAGGACAGAAAAAAGTGACATTTTTTAAGTATTGGAAGAAAAGAACTCAATATAAATTTTATGTCTGATGAAAATAGCCTTTAAAAATGATGGGAAAATAAAAACATTCTCAGAAGAAGTAAAACTAAGAAAATTTATTGTTAGCAAATCCACTGTAAAAGAATTACTAAAGGAAGTTCTATAAATGGGAAGGAAATATTAATAGAAGGCTTGAAACTTTGGAAGGAAATAACATTGGAATGGGTAAAAATAGGAATAAATATAATAGACAATCTTCTTGTAAAGTTCTTATATCATGTTTGATGATTAAAATAAAATTTCTAACACCCTCTAATGTGTTACTTAATGTATGCAGAAGAAATACATAAGACAATTATATTCTTAAATTGAGTAATTGAGTGGGGTAAAGGGACCCCAGTGGGAGTAAGCTTTCTAAATTTCACTCAAAGTGGCAAAATGTTAATAACGTCAGACTAATATGCAGATTGTTATAACCTGGACCACCCCTACTGAAACGAAAATACCATAAATAAAAAACAGGATGAAGTTTTATAAAATATGTAAATAACCCACAGGAATGTAAGAAAGGCGAAACAGAGGAACAAAAAACAGAAAATGAATATTTTATTTTATACTTTTTGATATCTTAAAATATATATATATATATCAGGTATCCATGTAAGAGTGTCTGAATTCGACACTAAGATCCAATCATAAAGAAGAATCTAAAACATTGTTACCTAAGGTATGAATTCAGAAAGTATACAAATGACATTTTTAGAGAGGAAGGTTAAAGTAAGCTCTCAAAAATTTGTTTTATGCCTGAAGAATGATAGCCTTCATTTTAGTCAATTTTTAGTTGTTCATATAACTAATATATTGTGGTCCCATCTGGTATAACTAAAATGAGCTATTTCTTATTTTCTAAAAGACTATCTTTTACTCTTCCAACAGTATAGAATCATTAGTTTATAGAAGAGCTATGTATATCAAAATATTTTTAAATGTTTTTATTATAAAGGAAATAAAAATATATTAGTAAACCAAAAGCAAGGCTTTTCAGACTAACGTTCTACTGACAGAAGTATTTAAGGTACATTTATTTTTCTGATGCTGATCACTTACTATGTTTTTAAATCATCTTGTAAAAATTATTCAAAACAATAAAGGATTGTTGCTTTTATTAACATTATTACTTTATTGTATTTTTCTTTTTGCTCATTTGTAATTAGTAAAGTTTTTTCAAGAAGCATGCCTTGGTATTATAAGATAAAAATTCCAGGTTCATATTATATAATGGCCATCAGCAAATTCTAATTTCTCTATATATTCTCCCAAAAACTATACAAATCAAGGATGTGAGCAAATAACAAATAACATCACCATCAAAGAGAATACTAAGACAAGAAAAATATTCAAATTATTTTTATGATTAGAGCATAATATTGAAACTAGAAAGCTGGAACCCTAAGTGGTTAAAACTACAGATAATTTCATTTGTGAATATCAATGCAAAAATCTCAAATAAAATATGATCAAGCAAAATCAAACAGCACATTAAAAAATAATATATCCTGACTAAGTGGAATTCATCACAATAATGCAAGAACAGTTCAACAATTTTTAAAAAGCCTTTAATGTAATTCAACACATGAATAAATTTAAGGAAACAAAATCATACATCTTCCTAGATGCTTGAGAGGCATTTGAAAATTCAACATCATTTTCTAACTTAAAAAAAAAGACTTTGTGAAATAGGATTCAATGCATTCATCCTTAAAATTATTACATATGTGTCTGTGTGTCTGTGTATCTATGTACATCCAGTCCTCAACACAAATGGTAACATTATGTAGTAAACACAACATAAATTTTCCCTAAGGCAGGGATAAGGCAAGGATGCCTATCATTTCCACTAACATATCGTCTTGTTTTGGAGACATTACTAATATGGTTTGGATTCTTGTCCCCACCTAAATCTCATGGTGAATTGTAATCCCCAGTTTTGGAGATGGGGCCTGGTGGGAGGTGATTGGATCATGACAGTGGTTTATCATGAATGGTTCAGCACCATCCCCTTTGGTACTGTCCTCATGATAGTGAGTGAGCTCTCGTGAGATCTGGTTGTTTAAAAGTGTGTGACACCTCCCCTTCTCTCTCTCTTGCTCCTACTCCAGCCACAGGATGTTTGTGCTCCCCCTTTATCTACCGCCATGATTGTAAGTTTCCTGAGGTCTCCCAAGAAGCTGAATAGATGCCAGCATCACGTTTCCTATACGGCCTGCAGAACTGTGAGCCAATTAAACCTCTTTTCTTCATAAATTACCTGGTCTCAGGTATTTCTTTATAGCAATGTGAGAACGGACTAATACAATTACCCAATGTTATAATAAGCACAATAATTAGGAGTAAAATGATTATAAAGGAAAAGATTAAAAATATATCTATATGTATGAATTATGATAGTGTACTTGAAAAGAATCAATGAAAATATAATTACAAACAAAAATATAGTTCCATGAGGAATCAAGATCTAAAATTAGCATGCAAAAATTATTTCACATATGCAAAAATAATTAGAAAATATAATAGAAGGAAAGATGCCCCAACAAAAACAAAAAAGTGAGCAAAACAAGAAATACAATGAATAATAAATGTGGTGCAAAATCTATATATAGAAGATAATAAACACTATTAGAAGATACAAGCAAAATAAACTTGGACAGCAAATCACCCTATATTCTTGAATTTGGTGATTTGACTCATAAAGGGTTAATATTATTCAAGTTAATATAAAAATTACAATATGTAATTCCAATAAAAATGTGAAGTTATTTTCTAAGCTACAGACTTGATTCTCAAAATGCAAATAGTCAAGAAAATGTAGGAAAAAATCAATAAAAACTACCTTAAATTGTATAATAAGGCCACTATAATTAAACATTGTGATGTTAGTGCAAGAAAAAATAGACAGCGAAAGTGAATAGAAAGTACAAAATTAGGGCAAGTATATATGGATATTTGATATATGGTAAACGTGGCATCTCAAGTTACTGGGAAAATGATGCACTTATAAGTAAATGATCATAGAACAATTGGATAACTAGAAAAAGATACAATTGAATCCAGACCTCTCACTTATTATACACCAACAAAAAATCCATATGGATCAGGGATATAAATATAAAAAAGAGAATGTTACCTATACTGGAAGAAAAATAAGTAAATTATTTTAATACATGAAAGTTGGAAAGCCTTTCCCATTATGATTCAAATTTTGAAGCAATAAAAAAAAAATCAGTAAACCTGAATACAAAAAATCTTTTGTGTGGCAAGACAAAAAGGAAGAAACAAAATATAACACCATATACCAGTAAAAATATAACTCTATTCATCAGCTTTTATAAGGTATGCTGTGTAATAATCCCCACATCTCCATGAACAGCAACAGCAAATGTTGATTTCTCTCCTGGCTTATTGAAATTTTGTGTTGGCTATTGCTTTGTTTCATTACTCCAGAATCCTCATTACTCCAGAATCCTCATTACTCCAGAATCTAGGCTGATAGAATAGTCCATTTCTGTAACACTGCTATTCTCCTGACAGTCATTTAGCACTTCCACAGGTGGTTCATGAGGATTCCAGTTGCTCCACATCTTTGCCAGGGCTTGTTTTTAATTGTAGTTATTCTGACAGGTGTGTAATAGTACATCACTGTAGTTTTAATTTGCATTTACGTAGTGACCAATGATGTTCAACAACTTTTCCTGGGCTTGCTGGTCATTTACAAATAACTTGCCCATTTCGTTCTGGATTGTCTTGTTATTGAGTTGTAAGATTTCATTATATGTTCTGAATCCAAGCCTTTTGTAACATGTATATTTTGCAGGTATTTTTCCCCATCTGTGGCTTATCTTTTAGTTTTCTTAATTAATGGTGTTTTCTGACAAGCCAAAGCTTTTTATTTTGGTGTATTTTAACTATAAAATATTTTTCTTTGGTGAGTCATATATTTTGCATCCTGTCTTTGCAAACTTTGCCTTACCCAAGACCACAAAGATTTTTCGTATGTTTTCTTCTAGAGGTTGTGGGGTTTTAACTCTTATTGGGGTCTATGACCCATTTTGAATCAAATTTTGTGTACGTTGTGAGAAAAGTGCCCAAGATCCTGTTTTCCATACAGATATCCAGCCGGATCATATCTTTCAGGACCATTTATTTAAAAGACAAATTCTTTCCTCACTGAATTATCTTGACATTTTTTTAAAATTGACCATATAATCATACATCTATTTCTGAACTCTCAATTCTGTTTCTTGGATCTAGATGTCTATATTTATGCCAATACAAGCATTACACATTGATAGTGTCTTCAACTCAGGGAATATAAGTTTTCTGGATACATTCTTTTTCAAAATTCTGTATTCTTTGTGTACTTACATAAACTTTAGGATCAGTTTGACAATTTCTATAAAAACTTCTGCCTGAATTTTAATTGAAATTGTGTTAAATAAATACATTTGGAAATAATCAATATCATAACCGTATTCAATCTTCCAATTCATGAACCTTGTGTCTCCCAAATTATTTGTTTTCTTTAATTGCATTCAACAATTTTTTATATTTTTCAATGTATTGTTAAAATTATCTCTATGCACTTTATGGTTGTTAATGCCATTATATTTGTTCATTGTTAGAATTGAGAAAATCATTGACTTTGGTCTAGTTTTGTCTCATTTGATGTTACATTTACATACTGGTTAGAGTGGCTTCAGTTGTAAAGATCTTAGGAATTTCTATGTACAGGATGGCAATACCCAAAAAAATTTTAAGTTTTATAGCTTCCTTTCATATATATACATATATATATATATATATACACACACAGATTAAAAACAAATAAAACATCTATCTATCTCTCTATCTAATCTATCTATATGAATGTGTGTGTGTGTGTGTATGGAAGGTGTGTGTATATATTATTACCTGGGTGACAAAATAATATGTACACCAAAGCCCTGTAACATGCAGTTTACCTATATAACAAACCTGCACATGTACACCTGATCCTAAAATAAAAGTTTACAAAAATTCAAAAAAAGATGAAGAAAAACATATCATCTCAACAGTGTAATACACACATATCCATACACATATATATGGATAACTATTTAGAAGAGATACAATTGAATCCAAACCTATTTTTTTATTTCTTTTTTCTTGCTCTATTTCACAGGCTAGGACTTCAAAGACAATGTTGAATATAAGTGGGAGTAGATATTCTTTCAATTTTCCCAATCTTAGAGGACAATTATTTGATCCTTCACTGTAAGTATGATGCTACCTTAAGTAAGGTTTTCTACTCTTACTCTAATATTTACATGTTGCTCAGAACTTTTACAATGTGTGGATGATGCATTTTGCAAAATGTTTTTAATTACATCTATTGAGATGATATGTTTTTCTTCATCTTTTTCTGAATTTTTAAAAACTTTTATTTTCGGTTCGGGGTATATGTGCAGATTTGTTACATAGGTAAATTGCATGTCACAGGGCTTTGGTATCCATATTATTTTGTCACCCAGGTAACAAGGATAGTACCTGATAAGTCATTTTTTTGATCCTCACCCTCCTCCCACTCTCCACCCTCAAGTAGGCCCCAGTGTCTCTTGTTCTCTTCTTTGTGTCCATATGTACTAAATGATTAGCTTCCATTTGTAAGTGAGAACATGTGGCATTTCATTTTCTGTTCCTGTGGCAGTTTACTTAGGATAATGCCTCCATCCATGTTGCTGCAAAGGACATGATCTCATTCTTTTTTATAACTGCATAGTATTCTATGGTGTATATGTACTACATTATTTTAACACAGTATACCATTGATAGGCATTTAGGTTGATACCACATCTTTGCTATTGTGAAGAGTGCTGCAGTGAACATACATGTTAATGTGTCCTTATGGTAGAATAAGTTCTATGACTTTGGCTATATGCCCAATAATGGGATTGCTGGGTCAAATGGTAATTCTGCTTTGAGTTCTTTGAAAAATCACCAAACTGCTTTACGCAATGGCTAAACTAATTTAAATTTCCACCAAAAGTATATAAGCAATGCCTTTTCTTCACAACCTTGCCAGCATCTGTTATTTTTTTTTGACTTTTTAATAACGGCCATTCCGACTGGAATGAGATGATATCTCATTGTGGTTTTGATTTGCATTTCTCTAATGATTAGTGATGTTGAACAGTTTTTCTATGCTTGTTGGCCACATGTATGTCTGCTTTTCAAAAATGTCTGTTCGTGTCCTTTACCCACTTCTTCTAAGGTTGTTTGTTTTTCACTTGTTAATTTGTTTGAGTTCATTATAGATACTGGATATTAGACCTTTGTCAGATGTGTAGTTTGCAAATATTTTCTACCATTCTGTAGGTTGTCTGCTTACTCTGTTGTTTCTTTTGCTGTGCAGAAGCTCTTTAGTTTAATTAGATCCCATTTGTCAATTTTTGTTTTTGTTGCAATTGCTTTTGGTGTCATAGTCATGAAATCTTTGCCAGGGCTATGTCCAGAATAGCATTCTTAGGTTATCTTCCATGGTTTATAATTTTATGTTTTACATTTAAGTCTTTAATCTATCTTGAATTGATTTTTGTAAACGGTGTAAGGAAAGAATCTAGTTTCAATCTTCTGCACATGGCTAGCCAGTTATCCTGGCACCATTTATTGAATAGGAAGTCCTTTCCCCATTGCTTGTTTTTGTCAGCTTTGTTGAAAATCAGATAGTTGTAGGTGTGCAGCCTTATTTCTGGGTTCTCTATTCTGTTTCATTGGTCTGTGGGTCTACTTTTATACCAGCACCATGCTGTTTTGGTTACTGTAGCCTTGTAGAATAATTTGAAGTCTGGTATTGTGGTGCCTCCAGGCTTGTTCTTTTTCTTTAGGATTGCCTTAGCTATTTGACCTCTGTTTTGATTCCATGTAGATTTTAAAATAGTTTTATCTAGTTCTGTGAAGAATGTAATTTGTAGTTTGATAGGAATAGCATTAAATCTGTAAATTTCTTTAGACAGTACAGCCATTTTAACAATATTCATTCTTCCTTTCCATGAGCATGGGATGTTTTTCCATTTGTGTCACCTTGGATTTCTTTGAGCAGTGTTTTATATTTCTCATTGTAGACATAGTTCACCTTCCTAATTAGCTGTATTCCTAGGTGTTTTATTCTTTTCGTGGCTATTGTGAATGAGATTCTTTCTTTCTTTCTTTCTTTCTTTTTTTTTTTTTTTTTTGAGTCTGAGACTCACTCTGTCACCCAGGCTGTGTCCAAGCGATTCTCCTGCCTCAGCCTCTTGAGTAGCTGGGATTACAGGTGCTCCACCACGCCCAGCTAATTTTTTTGTATTTTTAGTACAGACGACGTTTCACCATGTTGGTCAGGCTGGTCTCCAACTCCTGACCTCGTGATCCACCCACCTCAGCCTCCCAAAGTGCTGGGATTACAGACATTAGCAACTGCGCCCAACCGATATTTTGTTCTTTATTTCACTCTCAGCTTGGATGTTGTTGGTGTATAGGAATGCTACTAATTTTTGTACATTGATTTTGTATCCTGAAACTTTGCTGAAGTTGTTTATCAGATCAAGGAGCTTTTATGGGGTTTTCTATGTATAGAATCATATCATCTGCAAACAGGGATAACTTGACTTCCTCTCTTCCTATTTGAATGCCTTTTATTTCTTTCTCTTGCTTAATTGTTCTGGCCATCATTTCTAGTACTATATTGAATAGGAGGGGTGACAATGGGCATCCTTGCCTTGTACTGCTTTTCAAGGAGAATCCTTCCAGCTATTCCCCATTCAGTATGATGCTGGTTGTAGATTTTTCATAGCTGGCTCTTATTATTTTGAAGTATGTTCCTTCAATGCCCAGTTTGTTGAGGATTTTTAACATGAAGTGATGTTGAATTTTATCAAAAGACCTTTCTGCATCTATTGAGATGGTCATGTGGTTTCCGTTTTTAGTTCTGTTTATGTGATGAATCACATTTATTGATTGGCCTATATTGAGTCAGCCTTGAATCCCAGATATAAAGCCTACTTGATTGTGGTGGATTAACTTTTTGATATTTTGCTGGATTTAGATTGTTAGCATTTTGTTAAGAATTTTTGCATATGCTCATCAAGGATATTGGCCTGACATTTTCTTTTTATGTTATGTCTCTTCTAGGTTTTGGTGTCAGCATGATGTTGTTCTCATAGAATGAGTTAGGGAGGGGTCCCTTCTCCTGGATATTTTGGAATACTTTCAGTAGGAATCGTACCAGCACTTCTTTATACTTCTGATAGAATTTGGCTGTGAGTCTATCTGGCCCTGAGCTTTTTCTGGTTGGTAGACTTTTTATTACTAATTCAATTTCAGAACTCATTATTGGTCTGTTCAGGGATTCAATTTCTTCCTGGTTCAATCTTAGGAGATTGCATGTTTTTAGGAATTTATTCATTCCTTCTAAGTTTTCTAGTTTGCATTCATAGAAGTGTTTGTAGTAGTCTCTGAGAGCTTTTGTTTGTTTGTTTGTTATTTCTCTGTGGTCAATGTTAACATCTTTGTCCTTTCTGATTGTGTTTATTTGGATCTTCTCTTTTTTTTCTTTATTAGTCTAGCTAGCAGTCTCTCTATCTTATTAATTCTTCCAAAAATTTACTTCGGGATTTGTTGATCTTTTCTATGGTTTTTCACATCTCAATTTCCTTCAGTTCAGCTCTGATTTTGCTTCTTTCTTGTCTTCTGCTGGCTTTTGGGTTTGTTTGCTCCTGCTTCTCTGGTTCCTCTAGTTGTGATGCTAGGTTAATTTGAAATCTTTCTAAGTTTCTGGTGCGGGTGTTTAGTGCTATGCGTTTCCCTCTTAGCATGGCTTTAGTGTGTCCCAGAGATTTTTGTATGTTGTCTCTATGTTTTCATTAGTTTCAAAGAATTTCTTGATGTCTGCCTTAATTTCATTGTTTACCCAAAAGTCATTCAGGAGAAGGTCATTTAATTTCTATATAATTGTATGATTTTGAACAATTTTATTGGTATTAACTTCTATTTTTGTTGTGCTGTGGTCTGAAAGGGTGGTTGGTATGATTTCAGTTTTTATGAATTTGTTAAGGATTGTTTTATGTCCAATTGTGTGCTTGATTTTAGAGTATGTACCATGTGCAGATGAGAAGAATGTACATTCTCTTGTTTTCGGGTGGAGAGTTACGTAGATGTCTATTAGGTTCATTTGGTCAAGTGTCGAGTTCAGGTCCTGAATACCTTTGTTAGTCTTCTGCCTTGATAATGTGTCTAACACTTTCAGTGGTGTCATGAAGCCTCTCAATATTTTTGTGTGGTTATCTAAGTCTCTTTGTAGGTCACTAGGTACTTGTTTTACAAATCTGGGTGCTCCTGTATTGGGTGTGTATATATTTAGGATAGTTAGATCTTTTAATTGAATTGAGTCCTTTACCCTTACCATTATGTAATGCTCTTCTTTGTCTTTTGTATCTTTCTTGGTTTAACGTCTGTTTTGTCTGAAATTAGAATAACAACCTGGGCTGGGCACAGTGGCTCACACTTGTAATCCCAGCACTTTGGTAGGCCGAGGCAGGTGGATCACCTGAGGTCAGGAGATCAAGACCAGCCTGAGCAACATGGTGAAACCCCGTATCTACTAAAAAATACAAAAAAATTTACTGGGCGTGGTGGCAGGCGCCTGTAATCCCAGCTACTCAGGAGGCTGAGGCAGGAGAATCACTTGAACCCAGGAGGCAGAGGTTGCAGTGAGCCGAGATCACACCATTGCACTCCAGCCTGGATGACAGCAACTCCATCTCAAAAAAAAAAAAAAAAAAGAATAACAACCCTTGCCTTGCTGTTTTCTGTTTGCTTGTTAGATTTTTCTCAATCCCTTTACTTTGAGCCTGTGGGTGTCACTGCATGTGAGATGGGTCTCCTGGAGACTGCATATTGTTGGGTCTTGCTTTTTTATTCAACTTGCCACTCTGTGCCTTTCAGTTGGGGCATTTAGCCTATTTACATTTAAGGTTAATATTGAAATGTGCAGATTTGATCCTGTCATTGTGTTGTCAGCTGGTTATTATGCAGACTTGTTTTTGTGGTTGCTTTGTAGTGTCACTGGTCTATGTACTTAAGTCTATTTTTGTAGTAGCTGGTAATGGTCTTTCTTTCCATATTTAGCACTCCCTTTAGGACCCCTTGTAAGACAGTCTAATGGTAACAAATTCCCTTAGCATTTGCTTGTCTGAAAAGCATCTTGTTTCAACTTCGCTTATAAAGCTTAATTTGGATGGATATGAAATTTTTGGTTGGAAATTCTTTTCTTTAAGAATGCTGAATATAGGCTCCTAACCTCTTATGGCTTGTAGGGTTTCTTCTGAAAGGTCTGCTGTTAGCCTGATGGGGTTCCCTTTGTAGGTAAACTGCCATTTCTCTCTAGCTCCCTTTAACATTTTTTCTTTTATGTCATTCTTGGAGAATCTGATGACTGTGTGTCTTGGGAATGGTCTTTTTTGTATTATCATGCAGGAGTTCTCTGTATTTTTTGAATTTGAATGTTGGCATCTCCAATAATGTTGGAGAAATTTTCATGAACAGTGTCCTGAAGTATATTTTGAAGTTGTTAGTGTTTTCTCCCTCTCTTTCAGTGATGCCAATGAATTGTAGATTTGGTCTCTTTACATAATCCCATATTTTTCAGCAAATTTGTTCATTCTTCTATACTGTTTTTTTTTTCTTTATTTTTGTCTGACTGAGTTATTTTGGAGAACCAGTCTTTGAGCTCTGAAATTCTTTCCTCAGCTTGGTTAATTCTGCTGTTAATACTTGTGATTGTATTCTGAAATTCTTGAAGTGAGTCATTCAGCTCTGTCAGAATAGTTTGATTCTTTCTTAAAATGACCATTTTCTCTTTCATCTCCTCCATTGTTGTATCATATTCCTTAGAATTCTTGGATTGGTTTTTGACTTTCTGAATCTCAATGATCTTCATTCATATTCATATTCAGAATTCTATTTATGTTTTTTCAGCCACTTCAGCCTGGTCATGAACCATTGCTGGGGAACTACTGTGATCATTTGTAGGTAAGACACTCTGGCTTTTTGAGTTGGCAGAGTTCCAGGGCTGGTTATTTCTCATCTTTTTGGGTTGATGTTCCTTCAATCTTTGAAGATGCTGTCCTTTGGATCATTTTGTTGTTGTTGTTGTTTTGGCTTTTGTCCTATTTGGTGTCCTTGGGGGTTTACTTATGGTATAAGGTAGATTCAGTTGACTGGCTTCATTTTGGGAAGATTTTAGGAGGCCAAGCCTCAACTCAGCACTCCTGGGCTGCATGCTCTAAATCACAGGGGCTGATAGCAGGCCCTGGCCCCTTCAGGTTAGGAACTTGCTGCACTGGAGGAGTTGAGATATTCCTGGACTGCTGGCCACAACACTATGATGGGTTGTGCCAGCCAAAGCACTTCATTGGGAGGTGACAGCAGAATCTGTGGATCTGTGCTTTTTCATACCTGTCAGTAGCGCAACAGCGGCATAGCAGCAGAGTGTCCACTCGTTGGCTAGTGAGGGATGCTGGCCAGTGCAGGACTGACTTTCTCCATGCAGGTGTTTGCAGTGGCAGCATACGGGGGGCAGGTGTTGGGGCTACTGGCGTCTGTGGATACAGTGGTGTCTGTACAGAGGCAGGGTGCTGGTAGATGTGGGGCTGGCAATTTCTGTGTATGTGTTCATGCCAGAGCAGCAATAGCGGTGCAGGGCAGGAGGTGGGACTTTTGGCCTCCATGCATGTGCTTGTGCTGGCAATGCTAGCATGACAGGGCATTCAGGGGCAGAGTGCACTCAGGACACCAGCAGTGGCAATAGCTGTCTTCATTATTTTCTACATGGGGAATTACATTAATTGAGTTAAAAATGATAAACCAGCTGAGTGTGGTGGCTCCTGCCTGTAATCCTCACACTGGGAGGCCAAGGCAGGCAGATCACGAGGTCAGGAGATTGAGACCATTGTGGCTAACATGGTGGAATCTCGTCTCTACTAAAAATACAAAAATTAGCCTGGTGTGGTGGCACGTGCCTGCAGTCCTAGCTACTTGGGAGGGTGATGCAGGAGAATTCCTTGAACCCAGGAGGCAGTGAGCCAAGATCTTGCCACTGCACTCCAGCCTAGTGACAGAGCAAGACTCCATCTTAAAATAATAATAATAATAATAAACCAGCCTTACAATCCTGGGATAATACCAGTTGGTCATCATGTATTATCTGTTTTTTTGTTGTTGTTTTGTTTTTAGAGATGGACACTCACTGTCACTCAGGCTGTAGTGCAGTGGTGTGATCTTGGCTCACTGCAACCTCTGCCTCCCAGTTCAAATAATTCTCCTGCCTCAGCCTCCCAAGTAGCTGGGATTACAGGCTATCTGTTTTTTATATTGCTTGATTTAATCTTTAAATATTTGGTTCAGGATTCTTGCATCCTGTTTTATAAGAGATATTGCTCTTTAGCTTTGTTTTCTTTTGAAGTCTTTATTTGGATATGGTGTTCAGCTAATGCTAGACTCATAACATGGTCTGAAAAATGTTGTCTCCTTTTACTTTCTTTTTTTTTTCCTATTTTTTTTTTATTATACTTTAAGTTTTAGGGTACATGTGCACCTTGTGCAGGTTAGTTACATATGTATACATGTGCCATGCTGGTTCGCTGCACCCACTAACTCGTCATCTAGCATTAGGTATATCTCCCAATGCTATCCCTCCCCCATCCCCCCACCCCACCACAGTCCCCAGAGTGTGATATTCCCCTTCCTGTGTCCATGTGATCTCATTGTTCAATTCCCACCTATGAGTGAGAATATGCGGTGTTTGGTTTTCTGTTCTTGCGATAGTTTACTGAGAATGATGATTTCCACTTTCATCCATGTCCCTACAAAGGACACGAACTCATCATTTTTTATGGCTGCATAGTATTCCATGGTGTATATGTGCCACATTTTCTTAATCCAGTCTATCATTGTTGGACATTTGGGTTGGTTCCAAGTCTTTGCTATTGTGAATAGTGCCGCAATAAACATACGTGTGCATGTGTCTTTATAGCAGCATGATTTATAGTCCTTTGGGTATATACCCAGTAATGGGATGGCTGGGTCAAATGGTATTTCTAGTTCTAGATCCCTGAGGAATGGCCACACTGACTTCCACAATGGTTGAACTAGTTTACAGTCCCACCAACAGTGTAAAAGTGTCCCTATTTCTCCACATCTTCTCCAGCACCTGTTGTTTCCTGACTTTTTAATGATTGCCATTCTAACTGGTATGAGATGGTATCTCATTGTGGTTTTGATTTGCATTTCTCTGATGGCCAGTGATGATGAGCATTTTTTCATGTGTTTTTTGGCTGCATAAATGTCTTCTTTTGAGAAGTGTCTGTTCAGAACAGAGCCTTCAGAAATAACGCCGCATATCTACAACTATCTGATCTTTGACAAACCTGAGAAAAACAAGCAATGGGGAAAGGATTCCCTATTTAATAAATGGTGCTGGGAAAACTGGCTAGCCATATGTAGAAAGCTGAAACTGGATCTCTTCCTTACACCTTATACAAAAATCAATTCAAGATGGATTAAAGATTTAAACGTTAGACTTAAAACCATAAAAACCCTAGAAGAAAACCTAGGCATTACCATTCAGGACATAGGCATGGGCAAGGACTTCATGTCCAAAACACCAAAAGCAATGGCAACAAAAGCCAAAATTGACAAATGGGATCTAATTAAACTAAAGAGCTTCTGCACAGCAAAAGAAACTACCATCAGAGTGAACAGGCATCCTTTTACTTTCTTACAGAGTTTGTTAGGCTTGGTATTGTATTTTCCTACATATGCAATACAATTCTTTTATGAAGTCATCTGTGCCTACAGTTTCTTTTGGGAAAGGCTTTAAATAATTAATTTATTTGATACATACAGAACTATTCAGGTGTCTATTTCTCAACAAGTCAGTTTTGTAATTAAGACCTTTCAAACAATTTGCCCAATTCATTTTAGTTCTCAATTTTATTGGAATAAAGTTGTTCATAATATTCTTTTATAATCTTTTCAATGACTGTTTGATCGGTAGAGACATCACTTATTTCACTTCTGATAATGACAATTTGTGTCTTCTCTCTTTTTTCTTAATTCATCTACTAGACATTCAATCATTTTTTTATCTTTCCAAAGAACAAACTTTGAATTTTATTCATCTCTATTTTGGGGGTCTGTTTTCTCTTTTACTGTGTTGGCTCTCATCTTTATTTACTTGCTTTCACTTACTTGGGTTTTATTAACTCTCCTTTTTTAGCTTCCTATACTGAAGCTTAGTTCATTGATTGTATGCCCTTTCACTTTACTAATGTAAGCATTAAAAGATATAAATGTCTGTATCGGCTGTGGTGGCCCACGCCTGTAATCCCAGCAGTCTGGGAGGTCGAGGCAGACAGATCACCTAAGGTCAGGAGTTCAAGACCAGCCTGGCCAAAATGGTGAAACCTGTCTCTATTAAAAATATAAAAATTAGCTAAGCTTGGTGGTGGGCTCCTGTAATCCCAGCTACTCAGGAGGCTGAGGCAGGAGAATCGCTTGAACCTAGGAGGTGGAGGTTGCAGTGAGCCAAGATCACCATCACACTTTAGCCTAGGCAGCAGGGCAAGACTCTGTCTCAAAAATAAATAAATAAATAAATGTCTCTGTCTACATTGCTTTAATTGTATCCCACAAATTTTGAAATATAGGTGGTTTCTTTACATTTAATTTCAAATATTTTCTAATTTCCCTTCTGATTTCTTTTTTGATCTGAGGGTAATTTGGAAGTGTGTTGATTGCTTTCTAAATTGCTGTTATCTCTCAATGACTTTTTTACTTAATTCTCTTAATATAAGGGAAAATACTCTACACAACTACACTCCTCTTAAATTTATTAGTAAATTCATCTATGTCTTCTGTGACTGTCTGTGGTAGAAAAAAAAAAGCCCCCCAAGATATCCATGTCCTAATCCACAGAACCTAAAAATATATTACCTTACATGGCAAAAGGGATTTTTCGGATGTTATTAAATTAATGATTTGGGGATGGAAACATTTTGTATTATCTGTGTCAAAGACTAAAACAATGTACAAATTTTGCTAGATATTGACTATTCCTTTCCATAAAGAATTATAACATTTTGTATTGTCACCAGCAATATGTCATTGTCTCTACCCCTGAAGCCTTGCCAAGAGAATATGTTGTAAGACTTTTGGATTTTTGTCAGTGTGATAGGTCAAAATTTGTACATTAATAGAGTTTTACATGTAACTTACTGTGATCAAGTTAAGCCTTTTTGCATATGTTAAAAGTCATTTGTATTTCTTTTTTCAATGAACTATTTGTATCTCTACTACATTTTTGTTCTATTTTATATATTCTGTTTCTTTTAGCTCTTTTATGTTCGGAATATTAATCTTTCACCTGTGATAAAAAGCTGGAAGCTATTTTTTTAGATTATTGTGTATCTTTATTTTGCTTGTGGTATTTTTGCAGGCAAATGTTTAAATGACTTTTAGCCTAGTATTCTGACTGAACTTCCTTAATAGAACATATTCTAAAGGGAAAAAAATCCGAAAGAAAATTATAAACCTTATTGAGAGTTGGTAAGCATATTGAAATTTTTACATTGTAGTCATTCTATACATGTCCTAGAATAAAGAATAAAGTAAATGTGCTAATTAGTAACCAGGGTTTTCAATATAAAACATAGGTTATCAATACAAAGTCAAAAAAATCAGAAAAGCACTATAATATTAAATATGAATTAGAAATAAACAACATATACTCAATATTTAAATATACTTATATTTACATATATCCTAGCTTTATTCATTGAAATGTCTGGGAACCACACCACCCCAATGAAAATGAATACTCCTGATACTCACATTTGAGTTTCTAATTATCAGTTCCCCCCAAAAAAAATCAGATATGATTCTTAGTTTAATTAAGTACCATTTTGTTTTTGTTATTTTTGCTTTTGAGGTCATGAATTATTTGCCTGGACAATATCCAGAAGAGTTTTCCCTATGTTTTCTTCTAGTATTTTTATAGTTTCAGGTTTACTTTTAAGTCATTAATTCATCTCGAGTTGATTTTTTTAATATAGTGAGAGATAGAGGTCTAATTTCATCCTTTGGCATAATGAGAACCCAATTTTCCCAGCACCATTTATTAAAGGGGTGGCCTTTCCCCAGTGTGTTTTTGTCAACTGTCAATGATCAATTGGCTGTCAGTGTATGGCTTTATTCCTGAGTTGTCTATTCTGTTCCCATTGATCTATATGTCTATTATACCAGAATCATACTGTTATGGTTACTATACCTTTGTACTATGGTTAAAGTTAGATAATGTGGGCTGGGTGCAGTGGCTCACGCCTGTAATCCCAGCACTTTGGGAAGCCAAGGTGGGCAGATCACTTGAGGCCAGGAGTTTGAGACCAGCCTGGCCAACATGGAGAAACCCAACTCTATAAAAATACAAAAATTAGCTGGGCGTGGTGGCACATGTCTGTAATCCTAGCTACTCGGGAGGCTAAGGCATGCGAATCCCTTGAACCTGGGAGGCAGAGGTTGCAGTGAGCCAAGATCTTGCCAGTGCACTCCAGCCTGGCTACAGAGCAAGATTCTGTCTCAAATACTACTACTACTACTACTAATAATAATAATAATAATAATAACAATAATAATAATAATAATAATAAATAAAGTTAGGTAATCTGATGCCTCCAGCTTTGTTCCTTTTTGCTTAGAATTGCTTTGGCTATTCAGGCTTATTTTTATTTCATACGAATTTTAGGATTGTTTTTTCAAATTCTGTAAAACAAATGACATTGGTATTTCAATAAAGATTGTATTAAATCTGTAGTTTACTTTGAACATTGTGGTCATTTTAATGGCATTAGTTCTTCCAGTCAATTAGTATAGGATGATTTTCCCACTTGTTTGTGTCATCCACAATTTATTTCATCAGTGTTTTGTAGTTTTCATTGTAGACACCTTTCACCTCCTTGGTTAAAAGTTTTCCTAGGTTTTATGTTTTTTTGGTTTTTTGTGGCTGTTGTAAATGGAATTACCTTGTTGACTTGGTTCTCTGCTAGATAGCTAAAGTATACACATGGTACTATATTTTACATTAATTTTGTATCTTGAAACTATTGAATTCATTTATGACTCAAAGATTTTTTGTGGAGTCTTTAGGGTTTTGTACATGTAAGAGCATATCACTAATGAACAGGGATAATTTAACTTTATCTTTTCCAATTTGGACGTCTTTTATTTCTTTGTCTTGCCTGATTGCTCTGGCTAAGACTTCCAGTGCTATGCTGAATAAGAGTGGTCAAAGTATGCATCCTTGTTTGGGTATCTACCCAAAGGAAAAGAAGATATTATATCAAAAAGATACCTTCACTCTTATGTTTATCCTAACACTACTCATATTAGCAATGATACAGAAGCAATCTAAGTGTCTATCATCAGATGACTGGATAAAGAAAATGTGATATAAATACACAATAGAATAGTATTCAGCCATAAAACAGAATGAGATCATGTCTTTTGCAGCAACATGGATAGAAGTGAGATGCAGAAAGACAAATACCACATCTTCTCACTTATAAGTGGGAGCTAAATAATGTGTACACATGGACATAGAGTGTGGAATTAGAGACACTGGAGACTCAGGAGGGTGCAGGTTGGGGGTTGGATGATGAGAAATTACTCAATGGGCACAATGTAACATTATTCAGGTGGTGGATACACTAAAATCCCAGACTTCACCACTAAGTAGTATATCCATGTAACAAAATTGCACCGTACACCTTAAATTTATACAAATAAATGTTTAAAAAATGAATTCAGAGATCTTTGAAGAAATGTTTGAATTCTGATCTGGAACATAGGAAATACAAGGTAAGACCAACCTGGGCAACATAGTGAGACCCTGTCTCTACAAAAAAATAAAACATTAGCCAAATATTGTGGCACATACTTATAGTCTTAGCTACCCTGGTGGCCGAGGTCAGAGGATCACTTGAGTCCAGGTGTTCAAGATTACAGTGACCAATGATTGCACCACTGCATTGCAGCCTGGGTGACAGAGTGAGACCCTGTCTCAAAAAAAAAAAAAAAAAAAAAGAAAAAGAAAAAAGAAAACACCGCGTAAGACTGTAATATCTTAATAGTTCATAAAACAAAAATTTAGTCAAAGACCACTGAAGCAAAAATTTGCGTCAAAAATACAGAAAGCCATTTTTTACTTTATTTTGTAAGTTCGCAGTACACGTGCAGGATGTGTAGGTTTGTTACATAGGTAAACGTGTGCCATGATGGTTTGCTGCACCTATCAACCCATCACTTAAGTATTAAGCCCGGCATGCATTAGCTATTTTTTCTGATGCTCTTTTCACATATCCCACCCTGTGACAGGCCCCAGTGGGTGTTGTTCCCCTCCCTGTGTCCATGTGTTCTCATTGTTCAGCTCCCACTTACGAGAGAGAACATGCGGTGTTTGGTTTTCTGTTCCTGCGTTAATTTGCTGAGGATAATGGCTTCCAGCTCCTTCCATGTCTCTGCAAAGGACATGATCTCATTTCCACAAAAGCATTTTTAAGGGATTTACATTAGCCAATTTTGAGCTCTGAGTATTTGCGTATTGAAATTTGAGCACCAATAGGGATAATTATTTTAATTGTTCAAGTATAAAAGATTTGCCTATCAAAAGGCAAAATTAATTATGAAACATTGAATAAATAAACACTTAGTAGTCTGTAGTGATTCTGCAAGTGAAAGCCGGGGGAGAGAGAAATTGGAGGTGACTGATACATGGAATAATGTTATAACTTATTGTCAATTTGTTAAATTTTTATTGTGAATGGAAACACAATAACTTTCTGTGGAAAGAGATATAACCAGGACTGTCATGGATAAACTGGAATAGCTAGTCATCTTATTATTACACCAGTTTCTTACTCTGACAGCTGGTAATTAAAAGAAAGGAGCTGAGCAAATTTTTGGAGAAGAAACACTTTTTCTACAAAAGAATGATAGTTAATAAACATAGAAAGCGTAATAATATTTTAAAATCATGTTTTTCTGACCCCCCCACATTGAAATAAGTAATTCAGGCAAAAATTATTTGTAAAGATTAAAACAATTAGGTAAAATGTTGCTAGAGTATAAGATATACACAGTTGCCAAAGGAAAACATACCTTTAAGTGGAAAGGTTTGCTCGTCATCACATCAACAGAGTGATCAAACTTAGCCTCACTAACATTTGGGTATGCCAACATGTGTACCTCTTGATATGATGTAAAATGAAATACAAAGCATTACTTATTAAATATTGTCCAAAATGTTTACTGTATATCTAGTCAAGTCTTTAGATCAACCTTTCAGTTTTCCAGAAATAGGAGATAAAGAAAAAAGATAAACGTCAAGAGGAAACTATCAAATACATTTAGGATGTGGGACAATCAGTGAGAAAATGGATTTGGTCTTTTTAAAAAGTCAATATAAAAAATTATAATAATGGAGAACAGATTAGTGGTTGCCAGGGGCATTGGAGAGGGTGGAAACAGCAGGAAGCCGTTGTGGCTATAAAAGGGCAATACAAGGGATGCTTGTGGTGATGGAAGTCTTCTGTATTTTGATTTTATCAATGTCAATATCCTAATTGTGATATTTTAATGCTATCATTTTGCAAAATGCTATCATTGGGGGGAAATGGATAAAAGATACATAGGCTCTATCAGCATTATTTTTTACAACTGCATGTACATCTATAATTCTCTCAAAATAAGTTTAATTTTAAAATAATTTTAAAAATATGTTAAATACACCAAAAGCTGGGAAGACTACTCTAGATTTAAAAATGCTAGAGATAAAATGAGCAAATGTAAATATGGTCATTACCTATTGCTGAATATTGATGGTAGATATTTATTTTGTTCAAGTACTCTGCATGTTTGAAATTTTTCATAACAAAATCAGAAAAAAAATTCAATCCCATTGTTAGACAACGGGATCACCTTGATTAGAAATTGATCATTTCAGGCAAATGGTTAAAATAATATACCAACCTTCTCTTTGTGGTCATCTAATTAGTTAATAGAACATGCAATTTTTAGTTACTTGCTTCATTAATTTACCCTTATACTTGCTGAAGACACAGCAATGGTCACATATGGAAAAAATAATATTCATTAAATAAACAGAAACATCTGCTTGATTTATTATGCAGAGATTATGGCAGAGTTTTGATTTGGTGCAACATTAGAAGAAAGTGAAAGCCAGATAAGTAAGATTCTCAAGTTTTTTATTCAGTTTTAACTTTATCACCCACAGTGCAAGTCAGCTACAATGTTGAACTCAGAGCCAAAAAAACCAGAAAGATCACATTAGGCATCAGGTCTGTTTGCCTTTGCAAACTCATATTTCGTCTCTTTATTTAATCTTGGCTTAAGACTATTAAGAAAAGAATGCCTAAAATTGTTCATTCCTTTTACTCCCTATGAATTTAACAGGACATCTTTTAATGCAAATTTTTTGACACAACTTTCTGATAAGCAAATTTCATTACAATTCTTTCTTATGTACTTCTCATTAAAATTTTCAGGGTAAATCTATTTCAAAATATCTAAATTAACAGAAATTCTTAGAACTGATAAACAAATTCACTAAAGTTGCAGGATAAGAAATCAACATACAAAAATCAGTAGCATTTCTATATGCCAACAGTAAACAATCTGAAAAAGAAATCAAGAAAGTAATGTCATTTACAATAGCTACAAATAAAATTGAATCCCCGGGAATTAACCAAAGAAGTGAAAGATTTCTACGATGAAAACTATAAAACATTGATGAGAGAAATTGGAGAGAACATAAAAAATGGAAAATTATTCCATGTTTAAGGATTTGAAGAATGAATATTGTTAAAATGTCCATACCACCCAAAGCAATCTACAGATTCAATGCAATGCCTATCAAAATACCAATGACATTCTTCGCAGAAATAGAAAAACAATTCTAAAATTTACATGGAACTACAGAAGACCCAGAACAGCCAAAGATATCCTTAGCAAAAGGAACAAAACTGGAGGAATCACATTACCTGACTTCAAAGTATACTACAGAGCTACAGTAACCAAAACAGCAAGCTACTGTCATAAAAACAGATACATAAACCAATGGAACAAAATGGAGAACCCAGAAGCAAATCCATACATCTACAATAAACTCATTTTTGACAAAGACGCCAAGAACATACAATAGGGAAAGCACAGTCTCTTCAATAAATGGTGCTGGGAAAACTGGACATCCATATGCAGAATCAAACTAGACCCTATGTCTCGCCATATACAAAAATCAAATAATAATGGATTAAAGATTTAAATCTAAGATCTCAAACTATGAAACTACTACAAGAAAACACTGCAGAAACTCTCCAGGACATTGGATTGGGCAAAACTTTTTTGAGTAATAACCCCCCAAGCCCAGGCAAAAATGGACAAATGGGATCACATGAAGTTAAAAAGCTTCTGCACAGCAAAGGATACATCAATAAAGTGAAGAGACAACTCACAGAATGGGAGAAAATATTCGTAAACTATCCATTTAACAATAGATTAATAACCAGAATACACAAGGAGCTCAAACTACTCTATAGGTAAAAATCTAATAATCTGACTAAAAAATGAGTGAAATATCTAGATAGACATTTCTCAAAAGAAGACACACAAATGGTAAACAGGTATATGAAAATATGTTCAACATCATTGATCATCGGAGAAATGCAAAGGAAAACTATAATGAGATATCAACTCACCCCAGCTAAAATGGCTTTTATCCAAAAGACAGGCAATAACAAATGCTGGCAAGATGTTGAGAAAAGGGAACCCTCATACACTGTTGGTGGGAGTGGAAATTAGTACAACCACTATGGAGTATAGTTTGGAGGTTCCTCAAAAAACTAAAAGTAGAGCTGCCATATGATCTGGCAATCCCACTTCTAGGCATATACCCAAAGGAAAAGAAATCATTATATCAAAGAGATATCTCCACTTCCATGTTTATTGCAGCACTATTCACAATAGCCAAGATTTGGAAGCAACGTAAGTGTCCATCAATAGATGAATGGATAAAGAAAATATGGTACATATACACAATGGAGTACCATTCAGCCATAAAAAAGAATGAGATCCTGTCATTTGCAATAACATAGATGTAACTGGAAATCATTAAGTTAAATAAGCCAGGCACAGAAAGATAAACATTGCATGTTCTCACTTATTTGTGGGATCTAAAAACCAAAACAATTAAACTCATGGAAATAGAGAATAGAAGGATAGTTACCAGAAGCTGGGAAGTGTAGGGAGTAGGAGAGTGGGGATGGTTAAACGGTACAAAGAATAGTTAGAAAGAATAAATAATATCTAGTAGTTGGTAGCAAATAGGGTGACTATAGTCAATAATTTAACAGTACATTTTAAAATAAAAGTGTATAATTGCATTGTAACACAAAGGATAAGTGCTTAAGGTGATGGATACTCCATTTACCCTGATGTGATAATACTCTATGAAAATATACAACATACCCCATAAATACATACACTTACTAGGTACCCATAAAAATTAAAAATTTTAGAAAAGGATTTCTGATATCTCCTTTCATTACCAGTGATTTAAACATTTATTTCATTTAGACTATAGCATGAAACTCTATCTCGGTATTATGTGAGCTACCATAAAGCAGGAATAAACAGAAATAGGACTGGTGTTTGGCAAAGCACCATAAAACAGAGATGCCTAGTAGAAAGTTTAATAATATGGTAATCACTTGATAATGGGATCAATTATATCATGAATGTAAGCCTTGATGATCTAATGGGACTAGGACATCTGTTCACTATATTTTTAGTGGGCCCTTCTTTGAGCATGTGATTTGCAAGGTGAAGCAAAACACTGACTACAGAAAAAAGGATACCCAAAATATCAGACTTATTATCAATAGTTCAGCAACTGATATGTGCATAAACCTGAGGCTGGCAATTTTATTCTTCCTGAAAAGGAACAGATATTAAATAATTTAGGCTGTGTGGGCCAGACTGTCTCTGTCACAACTACTCAACTCTTCCATTTTAAGTGCAAAAGCAGCCATAGATGACACTAAATGAATGGGTATAGCCATGCTTCAATAATACTTTATTTATAAAAATAAGCAGCAGGCCAGACTTGGCTTGCAGGTTGTAGTTTGCTAATCCCTTTCATAGATGATCAAATTATTCAATTAGCAAATGGCACTTGATGTAGAATTTGATTTCTGAAAATGCAAAAATGATGATGTTAAAACAAATTATTTTTAGAGACTATGAACTTACTTTATGATTTTCCATTTTGTCTTCTTTATCCATTAATTCTTATTTGCCATTAGTACAAAGGTACAAAAGATTAAAAATTGGAAGGCTGTGTGGGACAAATAAGTCAACTAAATATAAATAACGGATTTGTATATTTTCATTATTTTCATCCCATGCAACCCTGCAAAATTATATTTTTCTCCTCTCAAAAGAGGAAAGTAATGCATTCTTGAGGTTTTGGCACAAGCACTGTTTAACGAAGGTCATACACTGAGCAACAGAAGTTACTTATATGTTAGGACCCTTTGTAGAAATATGGAAAAATATACAAAATGAATAGAATACTCTTTTCTTTTTTAATATATTTTTTATTATACTTTAAGTTCTAGGGTACATGTGCACAACATGCAGGTTTGTTACATACGTATACATGTGCCATGTTGGTGTGCTGCACCCATTAACTCCTCATTTAACATTAGATATATCTCCTAATGCTATCCCTCCCCCCTCCCCCCACCCCACAACAGGCCCCAGTGTGTGATGTTCCCCTTCCTGTGTCCAAGTGTTCTCATTGTTCAATTCCCACCTATGAGTGAGAACATGCAGTGTTTGGTTTTTTTGTCCCTGCAATAGTTTGCTGAGAATGATGGTTTCCAGCTTCATTCATGTCCCTACAAAGGACATGAACTCATCATTTTTTATGGCTGCATAGTATTCCATGGTGTATATGTGCCACATTTTCACATGCACATGTATGTTTATTGCGGCACTATTCACAATAGCAAAGACTTGTAACCAACCCAAATCTCCAACAATGATAGACTGGATTCAGAAAATGTGGCACAAAATGTAGAATACTCTTTTCTAATATGTCCATAATTGAAAATAGTGCATTGTGGAAATTTTTCTCAAGTCCAGCAGTGGTCTTCCTGCATAATGGCTAGATTCTGACACATATATTCCATGCATATTGAGAATACAGATTAAAAATCCCAGCTCAGATCCTGGCCCATAGCTCTTCAAAAAATAGTTGTCAAGGACCTATCCTGAAGACAGCGTGTTCTTTTTTTTTCTCCTAAAAAAAAAGAAAAGAAATACATGTGCAGAACGTGCAGGTTTGTTGCACAGGTATACGTGTGCCGTGGTGGTTTGCTGCACCTATTAACCCATCTTCTAAGCTCCCTCCCCTCACCCCCCACCCCCCAACACACCCTGGTGTTTGTTGTTCCCCTCACTGTAGAACAGTGTGTTCTAATGGTTAAGAGTGTGAATTCTGGGGTCAGACTGTCTGCCTGGCTATGAATTCCAGTTGTGTGATACTGGGCAAATCACTTGTCTTCTCTGTACCTTAACTTCCCTATCTATAAAATAGGGATAATAATATTGACCTCTTAAGATTGTCTTGTGGAATAAATGAACAAGTATGTATAAAGCACTTAGAAGCCCTAGTTCATGATTGGGAAAATGTTTAAGTGTTGAATCAGTTTATGTCAACTATTTTCAGCTTATAATCTGGAGCTCTAAATTGTTTTAGGGTCTATGAGTAAAGAAAATGAGAGAACCATGTGCTTAGTAGCTATTTTAAGTGTCTGTGGTAGATATTACTGCTGCTCACAGAAGGCTTGTACTTCTCTACTGTATTAGTCAGGGTTCTCTAGAGGGATAGAACAAATAGGATAGATGTATATATAAAGAGAACTTTATTAAGGAGTATTGATTCACACGATCACAAGGAGGTCCCACAATAGGCCGTCTGCAAGCTGAGGAGCAAGGAAGCCAGTCTGAGTCCCAAAACCTCAAAAGTAGGGAAGCCAACAGTGCAGCCTTTAGTGTGTGGTTGAAGGTCCAAGAGACCCAAAGCTGAAGAACTTGGAGTCCTATGTTCAAGGGCAGGAAGCATCCAGCACGGGAGAAAGATGGAGGACAGAAGACTCAGTGAGTCTAGTCTTTCCACCTTCCTCTTCCTGCTTTTATCCTAGCCACACTGGCAGCTGATTAGATGGTGCCCACTCAGATTGAGGGTGGGTCTGCCTCTCCCAGTCCACTGACTCAAATGTTAATCTCCTTTGGCAATACCCTCACAGACACACCTAGGAACCATACTTTGCATCCTCCAATCCAATCAAGTTGATACTCAATATTAACCATCACATCTACTCACTTAAAGTTAACCATAGACATGACTTTTTTACCCAATAATATATGAACAGAAGTGGAAAGTGTGAGGGTGTGTCTTTCCAATCTCAGATATTTCTTTAGTAACATTCAGGGCAATGATAGGTATTCACCAAATTATGGGAAAATCCTGATGATCACTAACCTTTGATGTTATAATGGAAATATGTTTTACACCCATTAATAGTCTTAAGAGATGATTTATTTATCTAAGATACAATATTCTTAAGAGATTGAAGGTACGTGATTCCCCTTGGGTGGTCACTCATATACAAGGAGAAAATTCAGAATTCCTGATCTCGAATTACCATTTTTTACTCTACTTTATTGAATATGGTGGTCCAAAGGTTGTTTCATATGTCCCATCTTGTCTTTATTTTTGTTCTCTTTTAATATGCACTAGCTCACAGCTAGGTCTTTTGAAAAAAATAATAATAATAACAACTAAACCTTCAGTTGAAGAAACAAGGTATAGATTTTAAGCAAAAATTATGAGCCCAAAAAGTCATCTATAGACTTTTTTCTGTCTCCAATAGCCATAACATGATTTGTAAAGGTTTGTAAGTTCTACAGACATTTACAAGGTGTGTGTTCTAGGCACATCTAAAATGGACTGTGCCTGGTGCTAACCACGTTATTTATGTATCTCCTTCCATATACTCAGTAGTAACTTTAATCTCAGAGCATATTTACAAAATGACACCGAGACTGATAAAAATGACATCAATTGAACTTCTAATATATGCTACACATTCTTCCAAGCATTTTACATGTTATTTCATTTAATTCTATAAACCTATTAGAAGTAGTGATAACCAAATTTTCATGAGGAAATTAAAGTTCAGAGAAGTATTTACCCCAAATTCCACATCTAGAGACTGGAATTTGACCCATTCTGTTCCATATCTCTGCTCTTTCTACATTATTACACTCCTCTGCATTTTAAAGGGATTTTTATTTTTAGTCATTTTCTTATATTTCTTCCCCTTCCCGATCAGGCAAGAACCTTTGGATTAATATATTATTCATCAATAGATAACTAATGCAAATGCTTACCAAATTACATGCTGGACAACTGGAACTTTCCCATTTCTGTCTCTGGCAATTGATTTAACCAATATTTTTGAAGCTTTATATACACAGCATTAGATATTGTCTTCGCTATCAAAGGGCTTCTTACCTAACGGAAGACGGTTGGTAAAAATTTTTAATTGGACTTTTTCAAAATTAAACCCAAAGTAAGCCAAAGAGTGGAAATAAGTCAGATAATAGCAGATACATGAAATTTAAAATAATAAACAATAATCGAAAGTTGATTCTGCACAAAAGTTGATTCTGCAAAGATTAATAGAATTGATGGGCTTTTAAAATGCTCAGGGGAGAGAAACAGAAAATGAGAACAAAAATTAGCAATATCAGAAATGAAAAAGGGACATCACTACATATCCCAGAGATAAAAATAAGATCATAGAAAATGTTCTGAACAATAGCATTAAAATGTTTAATCATAAATTTAACAATATATCAATGGCGGTGCAAGACTTCCACAGTAAAAACTATATAACATTTTTAATAAAAATTAAAGGAGACTTAAATAAATGGTAATATATTCCATGTTCATGGATTAGAAGACATAATTACCATTAAGATGTTAATTCTCCTGAAGTTGATATAGAGTTTCAACATCATCCCATACAAAATCCTAGCAGTTTTTTTTAGATATTGTCAAGCAAGTGCTAAAATGTATATGAAATTTATAAAAACCTAGGATAGCTAAAAACAATTCTGAAAAAGAACATCCAAGTTGAAGGAATTACATACACTTGATTGTAACACTTATGTTACAGTAATCAAGTCAATGTGATATTGACTTAAGGATAGAAAAAAATAGATCAAAACAACAACAACAACAATCTGGAATCCAGAAGTTGACTCACTTATATATACAGCCAATTAAAGTTTTACAAAAATACAGCAGCAATTTAATAAGGAAAGAAAAGTCTTCTCAGCAAATGGTTCCAAGAAACCTAGATATCCATAAGAAAAATAATAAACTACCATCCCTGCAAAACATCACACACAGAAAATAAAAGATCATAAACTTAAACTCAAAAGCTATAATTATAATGCTTTTAAAAGAAAACATAGAATAATATCTCCATGAGTTGTAGCCAACAAAGATTTCTTAGGCCGTAGAAAACATTAACCATAAAACATTTAAAAAAATGAGAAATTACTTCATTGAAATTAAAAACTTCTGTTCCTTAAATATCACTATTAGGAAAACGAACAGGCAAATCACACATTGGGGGAAAGTAGTCATAATAGATACATCTGAAAAATACATATATCCACCATATGTAAAGAACACCTACAATTCAATAACAAAAATGCAGCAAATTTTAAATATTGGGCAAAGGACTAAAAGAGACACTTCAAAAAGAAAGACAAATGAATGGCTAATAAACATATGATGAAGTGCTCAACATCATTAGTCATCAGGAAACTTCAAATTAAAACTTCCATGACATATCATTTCACTCCAACTAAAATGGCTGAAATGAAAATGACTGGCATAGCAAAAGTTGATAAGGATGTGGCAAAATAAGAACTTTCATATGTGGCTGAGTATAAAATGGTTAATCTCTTTGGAAAAAGATTAGGTAGTTTCTTATAGAGTTAAATACACACTTACCCTATGATGCAGCAATTCTACTCCTCGGGATTCATCACATAGAAATGAAATATATATAACCTCAGCTCCCATAATGAAATGCATCATCAAAAACTGTTTGTATTAGTGAAATAGTCTTTGCTATGTCTGGCATTGAAACATGTTTTAAAACACTACTTTTTAAAATAAACTTTAACTTGAAATAAAAACTGTAAACAATTAATTTCCTGTCCATTGGAAGATTATTTCTGACAGAAAGAGTCATCAAATAAAAGTCTTAAGAGATTGAATTTTCCCAAGTAATATTCTGTGAGAAATATATAACATTTTGTTTAACATTATTTAATGTCTTCAATATACAGTTTATTGTATCAGAATTCAAATGATTTTTTTAAAATTAGCTTTCACTACCAACCATAATATAGTTGGGCAGATGAACACATAAATGTCTAAGGTAGACAATGATAAATGCTACAATGGAGCTAGAGCAAATTTGCCATGAGAATATAGCTATGGAGACAGATTTTTCCTTAGACAATATAGAATTTAAACTAAGCTTTAAGAGGCAGATATCATGGCAAAAATAAAAAGCAAATACTCAAACTTACTCCAAATTTGTCTTAATTTCTTAAAGCTTTGATCTCATTGTGTTAGCAAATGTTGAATGAATTCACATTTTTAAATTATTTTATTATTCACATTGATATTAAATTAGCAAATATTTAGTAAGTACCTAGTATGTCAGTTGTCAGAATTGACATATTATTTATCTAGTAAATTTTTGTATTTCATACACTTCTTGTCATTACCACTATGACATCCCCTAGTCCAAGACACTAATGACCTCTTGCCTTGACTGAATGACTTCCTAAGTGGCTTCACCTTCTTTACTTTCAGTCTCCTTGATGCATTTTCTTAACAGCAGATGATCTTTTAAAAACCTAGTAGAAACATGTTATAAGGCCTTTGAGTTAGATAGTACTTGCTCCTTGAATATTCTTTCCCTGTCTGTATATGGGAGTATCTTTCTAATACTTCAAATTTTACTTAAAGTTCACTCCTTGTGTGAGTTCTTCTCCTGACAACTCTGTCTAAATAGGTCTTCCAACCCCCAAACACATCTTTATTTTAGCACCATTTCCATTTTTAATTTGTACTTAAGTATTGGTCTGTTTCTGTATTTTATGTCTCCCCAACAAAGCTGTCAGCTACCCAAGGGCAGGAATTTTACTTGTTCAGGTATGCGGTGTATATCTACCACCTAGAATGGAGGCAATGCATAGTAGACACTGAATAAATATATATTTAATGTTGTATTGTGAGTAAAACAAAAATGATCCCTGCTTTTATCTAGTGAGAAACGTAGATATTCACCTAATAATCACAGAAATAAATGGAAAATTAAAAACTGATAAGTGCTTGAAAGAGAGAGCATGATTTTAGGAGAATGTGTAACAAAAGGAAAAGATCCTCCTGGAGGAGTTAGGACAGACTTTCCCAAGGACAGTACAATTAAACTGACAACTAAAGAGTGAGTAAGAGTTACCCAGGAGTTGAGAGGTGAGATGTGTCGTTCAGTTAAGGAAAAAAGCTGGGTCGTGAGATCAAGCCTGATGGCTTAGAGAAAGGGTTCTTACTCAGAGACATCTGGCAAAATCTGGAAGTATTTTTAGTTGTCGTGATGGAAGAGGGTGTGCTACTGACATTTAGTGGGTAGAGGCTAGGGACACTGCTCAACATCCTACACAGAACAGGACAGCCCCTCGACAGCAAAGGGTGATCCAACCAAAATGTCAATAGTGCCAAGGTTGAGAAACCCTGGGTTAAAGTATTGCTTCTCAAACATTTTCCTTTCAATACAAAATATATTTTACAACATAATCCAGTAAACTAACACAAAACGTAACAAGCATTTACATGAAGTATTTACCCTTTTGTTTGTGATGTACCCTATTTTATTTTCCCTTCGCTTCCCTTCCCTTCTTTTCTCTTCTATTATTTTAACGCTGGTCTCGATTCACAGAATTTATTTCATGTCTCATTATTAAGTCTCAATCTGTAGTTAGAAAAAATCACTGTGCTGAAGTACCTAAAAAGAGGTGGCTGACTGGAGCTCAGAAATCAAGATGGAAGGTTGAAAAGTGATGGAAATAGTGAGGCAGGTGGGAGATCTTTCACAGACCTAGAGGCCACGTTAAAGATTTTGGTCTTTATCTAAAGAGTAACAGAAAGACCCTGAAAGATTGTGAGCAAGGACTGGCATAATTAGATTTGTTTACAGTACACAGCAGTACTGTCCAACAAAAATATAATGCAAGCTACATATCGAATAATAAATATTCTAGCATCCATAGCTTTTAAAAAGGTAAAAAGAAACAGATGGAATTAATTTTAATATATTCTACTTAACTCGATGGATCATTTCAACATGGAATCAATATAAAAATTATAAACGATGCCAGGTGCGGTGGCTCACGCTTGTAATCCCAGCACTTTGGGAGGCCGAGGAGGGTGGATCACCTGAGGTCAGGAGTTCAGGACCAGCCTGGCCAACATTGTGAAACCGTGTCTCTACCAAAAATACAAAAATTAGCCGGGCATGGTGGCAGTCCCAGCTACTCAGGAGGCTGAGACAGGAGAATTGCTTGAACCTGGGAGGCGGAGGTTGCAGTAAGCCAAGATTGCGCCACTGCACTCCAGCCTAGGCAACAAGAACGAAACTTCGTCTCAAAATAATAATAATTATTATCATTATAAACGAGATGTTTTACATCCTTTTTTCATGCTAAGTGCTTGAAATCAGGTGTGTGTTTTATACTTACAGCTCATTTCAATGTAGACTAGCTGTGTGTTGCTCAATAGCCCCTGCGGCTAGTGGTAGAAAGGCACACCTGACAGCCCATGTGTAGAGAATGAATTGGAGCAGAATAAAGGTGAATGTGGTGAGACCAGTTAGGAAGAGATTGTCACGGCCCAGGCAAGACATGATGGTTACTTGTGGTGCGTGGTGATAATGTACATGGAGAGACATGAGCGATGTTAAAGAAATATTTAAAAATAAAATTAACAGGTTCTAGTTATGATTTTTGATATTCAGTGGGGGTGAGGGTGGATGAATAAAATGGAAATTATCTGGGAACCTGCGTATGTCTCCCTTTTTGCCCTTGCAAAATAAGTAGAGTCCACTCCTCTGTGTTCAGAACCCCTAAGGTCAGAGTTCAGTTAACTGTAAAAGGGCTAAAATCAGAGCTTTTTAAAAATGGTGCACACGATGTGTGATTCTACAATTAGTGAATGTGGATGACTGAGCTTGATTTTTTTTAAAAAATTTATCCATTACTTGTTCTACAAAAATTTAACTTCTCAACTGAAAGCTACATGAGGGTAGAGATTTGTTTGGTTACTGCAGTAGTCTCAGAGGCTAAAATGATTCCTGGCACATAACATGTGCTTAATAAATATTTGTTGAATGAGTGAATCTGCTTATTTAAGCCCTGGTATTCTTTTGGAACATTTTCAAATATTAAATATTTTACAGACATCTGATCATAACAACTAACTGTAGCACAGGACTTGATGTATCATCGAGTTTAAATCCCTTATTTATCGGTTCTTAGTATTTATCAGGATGACTGCATTAGTAGTCTTTCCTCATCATACTGCCCAAGCTTGTATATTTATGTCTGTGTTTATGTGTATGTGTGTGTATATCTTGGAGGTAAAAATCTATCCATGTTCTACCCCTTTAAAGCCTCAAAAATCCCAAAGTATTACATTTCTTTAATTTATGACATGTCAAAATCAGATACTGTAACTGTGCCCCAGTGGTAAATAATTTGTTAACTAGCAAAATTTCTTGAGCTTCTTTCGCAGGACAGTGGAGAAGAAAACAGTTTGTTACAATCCCTTCTGTCTGCAACAAAGAAAGAAAAGAATGCTTCTCTTTTTGCCACCCACAATCCTCCGGCAGATATCCAAACTCTCTTAAAAACCCTCCTTACTTCAGAAGAACATAGAATTTTCCTTTAAAAGAGCCTGTATCAAGGCGGTTAAGATATATGAAGAAGCCCCTAATAACTTGCTAAGGGCTGCACTGACTTGACCATCCCTACACGAACCCTTGATGGAATCCTTGGGACATGGAACATAGAAATAAGTTTGAACATTACAGAGATTGCATACTTAAAGGGCTAAAGAAAGGAGTTTTGAAACAAAGCAGTTTAAATTACACCCAGTAGGTCAAACAAAAGCCTAACAAAGACCCCTCAGAATACTTAGAATTTTGGGGGCTTACTGACAATACACAGAAATAGATCTGGAAGCACTGAAAAATCTAAAAATGAGAAATATGACCTTTACTGGGCAAGCTGCCCCCAACATTCAGAATAAATTACAAATAGTGGAAGGGGCTTTAGGAATGACCATGTCTCAGTGGTTTCAGATTGCTTTCAAGGTTTTTGGTGGCTGAGATGAGGTCCAAGAAAATAATGAGCAGTGCAAAATGAAACACCAGGCCACCTTGCTGGTTGAAGCCCTGAGCAAGGAACTATTGGGAGGAAGCATATCAGCTACTTCATCTGATGCTCCACTCGGTATTTATAGATGGAGTTGGACAGGTCCCATTTTCAGGGTAAACAGACCTTACAGTGGCTTGTGGGCAGGTGGGCTGTTTCTTCAGGAATAACCTCCTGTGTTTCTAGTTCATATATACGTATCTGCAATTGTTCAATAGTGACCTGTGGGTCCTGCATCAACCCAAACATGGTCTTCCACTCTGCAGCATTTAAAACCAAAGATACTGCCCCTAAATTAATTTATCTCATAATCCATTTTAGTAAAAGTTCCTCAAGAAGCTGATAATGCTAATCTTCAAAATGAGACAGTGCTGTCACACAGGATACCCTCTGGTTTCAAGTTACTTGGTTTTGCCCTTCCGCTACATTAACTACCTTCTTGGTAATCACAGGTCTCAGAGGTACTTTCTGCTGTCCCCAAGGAACAGAACTTTCCCCTTTGTGGATGACTTTGTGGTTAGTGGCCTGAACCCAGACACATCCACATCTGAGCTTGGTCCAGCTCAAGGCCCAGCCTAGCATTCTCTTTTACTTCCATCTTAGCTATTATAGATAACAATAACCAAGGTATTGAGTATTTCCCTTTTTTTTCTTATTAGTTTGCATTTCCTTGTGCAGCCAGTAAACCAACTCCGCAGGAGTTAATTTGACCCATCTCTAAATTCCACTGATAACTTTTGCCTTTAGTAACTGGGTGCAGCACAGCTGCAGCTCCAATGCCATGGGTGACCATGTGGTCACTCAGGGAAGGAAAGGTTCCTTATTCCCCACATTTCCATCCTTTCTCTTCCCAAACCACATATTTCTGTGAGTAAGGGCCTTTCTAGAAAACCTTATTTATCTGACACCAATTGTTATTAAACCCTCAAGCCATGTTTTTCCTCTGTTCTAATACCAACAACAGCAATCAACTAACAAGACTCCTTTGACCCCCAGATAATGTGGGACTTTCTCCCCACCAGCAAGCAAGCAAGCAATTCTGCAGCAGACAAACAGCTGGGTTTCCTCCAATTCAATTTCAACACTATCTGTCTAGAGGGAGCATTAGACCCCACACATTGAGATCTCAATCCCACAAGACTGCCCCCTCAACCCCAGACACCAGTTGCAATTCTGGACCTCTGGAAATTATGACCTACCAGCCTCAAGATTGGGGTCCCAAGATCCCCTCTTTAGGGTCAGTTAATTTGCAGGAGCTGCTCAAGCTGCTCACAGAGCTCAAGGAAACACTAACTTATGTTTACGAGTTTATTATAAGGGATATTAGAAAGGAAGGATAAATACAGATAAAGAGGTGTGTAGGGTAGGGTATGGGGGAAGGGGTGCAGAGCTTCCATGCTCTCCCTGGGCATGCCACTCTCCAGGAGCCTCCACACATCCAGCTATCCACATGCTCCCTGAACCCTGTCCTCTTGGGTTTTTATGGAAGCTTCAGGATGCCAGCATTCCTTCCCCCAGGGTATGGAATGAGACCCTCTCTGGAATGAAGGTCTTATGACCAACAGTCAGAAAGCCAGGGGAAGATTAGAGTCCTGCCTCGGAGCAGGTGAGAGGTGGGCATGATAAAATGTCAGAGAGATTCTGTTTCCTGAGACCTGACACATTCAACATTGTAACAAAAGACTATAAGTAAGGCTATGGGAGTGGCGAGCATGGAACTGTGGCTGAAAACCAACAGGTAGGTAGATAGATAGATAGATAGATAGATAGATAGATAGATAGATAGATAGATAGACAGACAGATAGATAGATAGATAGACAGATCACTACTCCCCTAGGGTTTTTTTGGGAATGGTAGGATTTTTCTGAATTTGGATTCCCAACTTTGAGTTCATGGCTAAGCCCCTTTAGGAAGCCATGAAAGATGAGGACAAGGAACCCCTAAAATGGACTGGAGAATGTCACAGAGTTTTCCAGGACATAAAAGAAAAATTGATGATTGCTCCTTCCCTAGGCCTTCCAGGTCTAAGAAAATCTTCTGACCTTTTTGTCATGAAAGACAGCAAGTAAGCCCTGGGGTGTTAACTCAGAATTTAGGGCCCATAAGAAACCTGTGGCTTATTTTTCAGAACTAGATGTTGTCATACAAAGATGGCCAGTTTGACTTCAGGCAGTAGCAATCATTTGTGACTTGCTCTTCTTAGAGGCTGACAAGTTTACCACAGGACAGCCTACTACAATTCACACCCCACATTACACGTTATCTCTTTTAGAGCAAAAAGGAGAACATTGGCTTATACCTGGGAGGCTAGAAAAATACCAAACATTACTGCTGGGCAACTCGAATGTGAAACTAAAAGTAGTCTCCATCTTGAATCTCACCACCTTACTCCTGAGTAGCATGGAAGAAACTATTCATTATTGTATTCAAATTATCGGTCAAGTTTATTCTAGCCAGCTCAACTCAGTAAATCAACCCCTAAAAGATCCAAATCTGATTCACTGATGGAAGTAGTTTCATGAATCGAGGGATATGGATGGCTGAAAATGCTGTAGTGACACTCATCAGGACATGTCCAGCTCAAACTAAATACACCCTCATCAAAAAGTAAGCCCATCTACTCCCCCAAGGACTTGGAAAGATTCAATCAATGGGGATTTAACTGGGGACTGATATGTTCTCAGGACACCACATAAAAGTATACTAAGGAAAGAGGGATATGCAATAGACAAGAAAAGGTACTGATTCCTCAGCACTTAATGGAAGAAGTAATTAGTCATGTCCACAAGAGCACTCACTATGGTAGGGATGCTACACTACAATGGATACAAAAATATATCATTGGACCCAACTTGTGGAGAACAATCCAAAAGGTAATACACCAATGTGTGATCTGTACAAAGAATAAACCAAATGTAACTGAACATCAGGTTACTTATTCACCACATGCAGAGTCCAATTAACAAGAGTGAGATCTGGTATGAAGAAAGTGGTTTATTCCAAAGCTAGCTTGGGGAAGAGGCACAGGCGTCCTGCCATACTGCTTCACTTTTGGGGCAGAAAGCAGGCACTTTTAAAAGGCAAGGAGGAAATAATCAAAGTGAGGGGTCCACGTAAGCTCTGGTGCCTTATCCAGTAGGCAGTCAAGCTGGTGACTGCTGGCACCTTCATGGACAGACTCTTATCTCTTGAGGCCACCTCCTGATGGAGGGAGTTCCTTAGTGGGGATGCTTTGGTCTGTAAATTGATTATTAACTCTCCAGGAGACAGATGAACTTGCCCTGTGTGGGGGGTCTGATGAAGGAGAGGGTAAAAGGCTATATTTGCTTTTCTAAAGGGCTAAGTAGGAAGTAGGGAACAAGGGAAACAAATTAAATCATCTTTTAGAAAAATGGGTTACTCCATAACATAAAGACTGGTCCATCTCAGTCATAAAAGGAGTTCAAGCCAGGAGGTTAAGACCAGGTGAGGGGTCAGGGGCCGAGGCTCAAGCCTATAATCCCAGCACTGTGGGTGGCTGAAGCAGGAGGATCTTTTGATCCCAGGAGTTCAATACCAGCCTGGGCAACATAGCAAGACCCCATCTCTAAAAATCAGGAAGCAGAAGCAGATGAAGAAGAGGAAGGGGAGGAGGAGGAGGAGAAGGAAGAGGAGAAGGAGGAGGAGGACAAGGAAGAAGAACAAGAAGAAGAAGAAGAAGGAGGAGGAGGAGAGGAAGGAGGAGGAAGAGAGGAAGTAGAGGAAGAAGAAGAAAAGGAGGAAGAAGGAAGAGAAGAGAGAAAAGTTTAAAAAAAAAAAAAACCACCAGTGAGGACTGGCAAACAGATGTCACCATGATGCTGAAGGTTGCCAGAAACTTGAGGTATCTGCTACTATGTGTGGATACTTTCGCAAGATAGGTAGAAGTCCTTCCTACTAGGACAGAAAAAGCTTCTGAAGTAGTCAAAACCTTATTAAAATAAATCATTTCTAGATTTGGACTGCCATCCTCAATGCAAAGTGACAGTGGAGCAGCCTTCATTGCTAGAATGACACAGGAAATCTCTGGAGCTCTGAAAGTACAATGGAAACACCATTCTTCAAGGAGACCCCACTCCACAAGAAAGATAGAAAAGATGAAATACACTCTAAAAAAAAGCTCTGGCTAAAATTTGTCAAGAAACTAATTTGACCTGGGATAAGCCACTGTTGGTTGCACTGCTTAGAGTGAGGGTAGCCCCCACAAAGTAAGCTCCAACTGAGCCCTTATGAAATACTTTATGAGAGACCCTTCCCTCAAAATGAGCTTGACCTAGGGCCTCGGAGAGATGGAGGGTAAGAGAACTAGACCTCATTAAATATGTCCAATCCCCAGGTGCCACTTTAACTGCTATTCATAAGTTTGCCTCCCGCAGGTTAAGGTCTCTTATAGATGTGCTGCTTCATCATTTGACTCTAGGAGACTGGGTGTTGCTTAAATCTTGGAAGAACAAACATTCTGAGGATCAACTGCATCCCAGGTATGTGGGGCCATATGAAGTATGCCTGGTAACTCATTTCTCTGTTAAATTATAGGGAGTCACGCCTTGGATTCACCACTCTCATGTCAAGATGGTTCCAGTTCAGCAGATTGACCTTCTCCCCACAGTCATGCCATTAGAATGGGAACTGTCCTGAGGATTTCCATAAGGGCTAAGGCCACCCCAACATCGATTGGAAGCCTACCCCTGACACAGACTTCTCTCAGCCTCCTATTTTTGTGAGGCTTTGGCTGCTCTTAGCTGCTTTTCAAAAGAAAGCCACAAGAGAAGATATGGATGCTTCTTAGATTCTTGATTTACTTGTTGCTTGCTTTGTCCTAAATTTCTATTAATTTGTGATTTGTGTGTGTGTTACTTGAAAAATTAAATCATTTCTTCATGATCATTAAGGTTCTTCACTCCCTCTGTTAAAATTTTCCGCCCCCCCCACCGCCCCGCCACCTTCTTCTTAACGATATCCATTCACTTGCTTTAATCATAGCATGGGAATTTTTCCTTAATACAGGTTTCCCAATCTCTTGCCACTTTGGGGATTTTACTTAGTGTTGCATATGTGATCCAGGAACCTCCTCTGTACCTAATCATGCTGATCTCCTAATTATCCCTGTGACCAATTTCTCTAGCATGCCAAATTTCATGGTGACCTATGATAAAAAAAAAACAAAACAAAAACAAAAACAAAATAGGTATAACTTATGGAGTCAGATTGGCTGATGGAGAATTGTCAGTTGCCTGTTTTCCACTAACAATTCCCACAAAGACACACCTATGCTAAGAGCTGAAAAACAATGCAAGCACAAAGAGGCCTATGCCCACATACAGCAGATATTGCCTAATGGAAGGACTGAAATCATCCATTTACATAACAACACTTACTTTTTGCTTACTGTATCCTACCCTGTAGTCCAGAAGAGATGAACCAATGCATCCTCAAAGTACAGGTCTACACCATTATTTCAAGAATGTCTACATCATTATATTAAAGTACAGGTCTACACCATTATATTAAAGTACATGTCTACATCATTATGTGGAGAATGTCTAAACCATTATGTCAAAATATAGGTCTACACCATTATGTCAAGAAGGAACTGAGTATACCTTCAAGGACCACCCACTTCCCTACCAGTTTGTACGACAGATGACTCCTCCTGGACACCACTATAAACTGACTCCTGGCTTGATCAAGTCCTAGATGAAATTTCCAAAAATGAGAACTTGAATTTTAACAACATGTCTAGTATTGTGTGTGCCCCCTTCAGGATATATATTTACTTGCAGAGCAAATGGCCAGTCTTGGACCTATGAATACCTTGACAGCTGTCATATAGGAGGTTTCTGTTTACTAGGGCACCTAGTCACTCCTTTCTTTATCAATAATGTTAGTGATGCCAAGCATTGGACTAGTACCATAAAACTATATGCAAGAGCCAAGATTTATGTTAGATACCCTACCCAGTAAATATTTGCCAGGCAGCTTATTGCATGGGGCATGATATTTCTTCAGGTGAACTCTGTTAACTAGGTGGGGTGTGCAGTTCATGAACACATGATTAGAAATCTTTCCAACACCCTGGCAAGGCTTACCAATGAGACCACCTTACCCACAGTGGCAAAACAGAGGGTATAGATTCTTTGGTTAAAATAGTATAGCCATGGAGTGGCTCTTGATTGTATACTGGCCGAGTAAGGAGTTGTTTGTGTAGTAGTTAACACATCATGTTGCGTTTACATTAATACCACTGCAGAAGTTGAGATACATTTGGAGAAAATCGGACAAGAAGCCACCTGCCTTAACCAAGTATCTAACAAAGAACCAAGGTTCTTCTACTTCATAATCTTTTCAGTTGGCTTCCCCAAGATATTGGATCCTTCTTCTGACCTGTATTGCAACTTTTCCTGATTATTCATTTCCTCCTGTGTGTTATGAGAATAATGTTCAATTTCTTAACTCTCTGGTGCTGAAAATGTCTCTTTCCCAGAACCGGGTTGAAACTTCTGAAATGTAAGCTTAATACCAGGGAACTCCCACAGCAAAGTGCTAAACAATTTCATTTCTCTAAGGTCAATGCTCCTCGTCAGCAGAAAGTACCTAGAATGGTCATCATCACAAGATTGAGGAATGATTAAAAGACAGGGGGCACTGAAACATGCCCCAGGGTTAGAGAATTTGTTAACTAGCAAAATTTCTCGAGCTTGTTTTGCAACACAGTGAAGATAACAAGCAGAGAAGAAAACAGATTGTTAAAATCCCCGGGATTTGCAACAAAGTTGGCTGGCAGGCTGAGACCGGTTGGAACCAACATGGCTGACTACAGTCTGCACAGAGTAGATTTACTCACCCCATGAGGGACCTTTTGACACCAGAGGGCTGAAAACTTAACCTCCAGATCATGCTAACACTGCCATTTTTTGAACATGCAAGGCATAAAGAAGCATGTAGGGTCAACAGCACATGCCCAAGTCACTTTCCAAATGCCGTTTCTTTCCAGACCCAAAGCCCCACCCTCAAAATGTCTCCCTAAAATTTATGTTTACAAGGACAGTAAGGGGAGACCAACTTGAGCGTTTCCTCCCGTCTCCTTGTCAGTCCACTCACAAAAACCTTTCTCGCTGCAAAACCCGGAGCTTTGGTGTTTAGTTTTCTGTTGCTTATGGGCAATTGGACTCAGTTTGGTTTGATCACAATATGAGTATACATCATGCAGGTTCCTGACCATTTTGGGCTTTTCCTCTGGAGTTCTTCAGTACTCTGCCTCAAAAAGAACGAGCATTGTTGTTTATAGTAGTTCTATTTTTAGATTTTTGAGGAATGTCTATATGGTTCTCCGTAGTGGAATGATGATATGATCCAGCATCCCCTTGCTGGGTAAGTAACCAAAAGAAAGAAAATCAGTATATCAAAGATATGTCTGCACTCCCATGTTTTTTTGCAGCACTATTAACAATAGGCAAAATATGGTATTATCCTAGGTGCCCATCAATGGACGAATTGATAAAGAAAATGTGGCATATATACATAATGGAATATTATTCTGCCATAAAAAAGAATGATAGCCTGGTATTTGCAACAACAGGGATGGAACTTGAGGACCATATGTTAAGTGAAATAAGCCAGGCACAGAAAGAAAAATGTCACATGTTCTTACTCATATGTGGGTGCAGTAGATTTGGAATGTTCCCACCGCAAAGAAATGATAAATATTTGAGGTCATGGATATCCTAGTTGCTATGAATATCCCAGATGTGATCATTACACATTGTATGCTTGTGTCAAAATATCACATGTACCCCATATATATGTACAACTACAATTAGCTCATAAAAATTAAAAATTAAAAAAATTAGAAAAAGAACAAGCATTACAATATCTTGAATGATCTTTCCTATAGTTACATTTTACAACATAGGTTCTTATCAGAATCTTTTCAAATATAAATAGGAAATAAGGCATCTTTTTAAAATTTATCACAAAATTACAGGTTTCTCATATAAAATGCAGATAGACTATACGTAAATAATAATATGGAATAACACAATATAAATATCTTTGAACCTTTCTTTTCCTACTTAACAACAGCTATAACGTCTTTCTCTGTTAATAAAGCACCTCTTTAGCATCTGTGTATATCTACCAAGGGTTTGTATAAATCTTTCATCATTGGATTTCAGGTTGCTTACAGTATTTTGCTATTATAAATAATGCTGCCATAAACATTTATGCTAAATGTTTCCACACTCATTCTGGTTTTTTTTTTAAGAAAAAATTTCTACAGAAAAAAAAGTTCCATGTTAAAGGTTATGTAAATGTTATGAGTCTTAATACTGCCAAATTGCCTCGAGAGAGACTTGTGTTGATTGCTACTTCTCCCAGCAGTGCAGTACTTGAGTCCCTAATATCACACACCCGCCCAATCAGGCGCCTTGTCTTTGCCACTTTGGTAGATGAGAAATTGTCATCTTCATATTAATTTGCATTTATTTTATTACTAGCAAGCATATATGAACATTTTTTCACATGTATATTAGTGATTTCTATTTATTTCTGCATCATTTATTCATGGCCTTAGTCCATTTTTTCTTAGAGATTATCTTTTCCTCATGAATTCATAAGTGAAACACCTTCAATATGTTAATATTAACCCTTAATTACATATGTTTTAAACATTTACCTGTGGGTCACTAACCGGGAGGAGTACTTTGTGATATTTTGGTTAAGGTTTTTGTGTGCTCAAGTCTATTAATCTTTTTATGTAGCATCTGCCTCGATATCACAAGAGAAAGTTACTCTTCAACATAGGTTATATAAGCATTTATCAATAATTCGTATTATGTTACTTTTATTATTTCATTTTAAATATTTAATATATTATAGAGTTAATTTTGGTATAAAGTATCAAATAAGGATACGATGTGAATCTTTCCCCAAATGGTTAGCCAATAACAACATGCTAAACATATAATCAGTTTTTGGTTCACTGACATGATTTTCCAACTTTGTTATATAAAACTTGTTCTACTCAATGGAGTAATAGAAGATTGAGTAAAAGGGGAGTATACCTTATAGAAAGCTAACAATAGTAGAAATATCTCTAAATATGATACATAATCTAGTTTTTCTAAAACTTTGAGTGTTTGGCAATGTATATACAATTACTAAAAGCCTAGATTAGAATGAAATTAAATCATAAAATAAATTTTCATAGTTATTTGTTATCACTCAGTTCTAGTTTCTAGTTCTCTCAGTTTACTTGAAATGACTTTTATGAAGCAGAGGAACCTGATTGGGAAGAAAATTTGCCAGTGTTAAGCTTGAACAGGTAATTGAGTTTCTGACTTAAATAGTATCTTATTAACTTCCTTGAAATATTAATAAGAAATGTTGAACATCAAAAATCTTCTCTTGATAAAAGAGTTTTCATTGTTGCTATTAGTAACTATGTAAATTTGAATTAATGGAAACATTTTTAACATATTCTTGCAGAAAATTTTAAGCACAAACAGAAGTAGAGAGACTAAAATAATAAGCCTGATATACTCACCACCCATCTTCAACAATTTTTAAACTCCTGGATAGGATTTGGTGTTTACCATAAAACACAAAACCATCCTCACCTAAAAATTTTCTTAAAATTTTCACTAAAATATTCATCAGTGTTCACAGATCCCAATTATCTTCTTTCCACTCTTTTTAAAACATTGCCTAGATTGACTTGTGATTCAAGTAAGTAAATACATTGTGGTTCACTGTTACATTTTTTTTCTCTTTATAGGTTTTCCTTCAATATGCTGGGTTTTTGTCTTTGCATTTTTTGTTGTTGATGTTGTTGAAGAAATTGGTTCTATTGCCATATGGAATTTCTCCACAGTCTGAATTTTGTTGATTGCCTCTCCTTAATGAAATATAATACATCGATAAGATTCAGATTCTTGTGTGTGTGTGGAGGGGGGCGGAGGGTAGTTCCACATTTCCTAAACCAGATCCAGAATTCATTCATTTCCCTAAAAGCCCTAGTTTCTTTTAGCAGAAAATATTTCAATACCCCAATCTGGGTGTCAGTGGGGCTCAGCTGAGTTGACCATTGTTTCTTGATTTTTACAGAGTGAACCAATCAAAGAAATATCTATTTTATTAAAAGATATTTTGATGGGTCAAATTGATGTTCCAGTTCAAATTCAGGACTGCAGGTTTACATCTGTATCTCCTTTCCCTCATGGTGAAAAGCTTGGTTTTCCAAATGCTGAGGGATTTCATCACTACCAGGCCTGCCTTGCAAGAGCTCCTGAAGGGAGCACTAAATATGGAAAGGAAAAACCAGTACTAGCCACTGCAGAAACATACCAAAATATAAAAACCAACGACCTTATGAAGAAACTGCATCAACTAGTATGCAAAATAACCAGATAGCATCATCATGACAGGATCAAATTCACACATAGCAATACTAACCTTAAATGTAAATGGACTAAATGCCCTAATTAAAAGATACAGACTGGCAAATTCAATAAAGAGTCAAGACCCATCGATGTGCTGTATTCAGGAGACCCATCTCATGTGCAAAGATATACATAGGCTCAAAATAAAGGGGTGGAGGAAAATTTATCAACCAAGCAGAAAGAAAAAAAAAAAGCAGGGGTTGCAATCCTAGTCTCTGACAAAACAGACTTTAAACCAACAAAGATCAAAACAGACAAAGAAGGAATTACATAATGATAAAGGGATCAATGCAGCAAGAAATGCTAACTGTCCTAAATATATATGCACCCAATACAGGAGCACCCAAATTCATAAAGCAAGTTCTTAGAGACCTACAAAGAGACATGGACTCCCACACAATAATAGTAAGAGACTTCAACACCCCATTGTCAATATTAGACAGATCAATGAGATAGAAAATTAACAAGGATATTCAGGATTTGAACTCAGCTCTGGACCAAGTGGACCTGATAGACATCTACAGAACTGTCTACCCCAAATCAACAGAATATACATTCTTCTCAGTGCCACATGGCACTTATTCTAAAATCGACCACATAATGGGAAGTAAAACCTTCCTCAGCAAATGCAAAAGATCTGAAATAACAACAAACAGTCTCTCAGACCACAGTGCAATCAAATTAGAACTCAGGATTAAGAAACTCAATCAAAACTGCACAATTACATGGAAATTGAACAACCTGCTCCTGAGTGACTCCTGGGTAAATAATGAAATTAAGGCAGGAATCAACAAGTACTTTGAAACCAATGAGAACAAAGAGACGACATACCAGAATTTCTGGGACACAGCTAGAGCAGTGTTAAGAGGGAAATTTATAGCACTACATCTCCACATCAGAAAGCTAGAGAGATCTCAAATTGACACTCTAACATCACAGTTAAAAAAGCTAGAGAAGCAAGAGCAAACTAATCCAAAAGCTAGCAGAAGATAAGAAATAACTAACATCAGAGCAGAATTGAAGGAGATAGAGACACAAAAAACCCTCCAAAACATCAATGAATCCAGGAGTTGGTTTTTTAAAAAAATTAACAAAATAGACCAGTAGCTAGACTAATAAAGAAGAAAAGAGAGAAGAATCCAATAGACACAATAAAAAATGATAAAGGGGATATCACCACTGACCCCACAGAAATACAAACTACTATCAGAGAATGCTATAAACACCTCTATGCAAACAAACTAGAAAATCTAGAAGAAATGGATAAATTCCTGGACACATACACCCTCCCAAGACTAAACCAGGAAGAAGTCGAATCCCTGAGTAGACCAATAACAAGTTCTGAAATTGAGGTAGTAATTAATAGCTGACCAAAGAAAAAAAGCCCAGGACCAGAAGGATTCAGAGCCGAATTCTACCAGAGGTACAAAGAGGAGCTGGTACCATTCCTTCTGAAACTATTCCAAGCAATTGAAAAGGAGGGGCACCTTCCTAACTCATTTTATGAAGCCAAGATCATCCTGATACCAAAACCTGGCAGAGACACAACAAAAAAGAAAACTTCAGGCCAATATCCTGATGAACATAGATGCAAAAATCCTCAGTAAAATACTGGCAAACCCAATCCGGCAGCACATCAAAAAACTTATCTACCATGATCAAGTCACCTTTATCTCTGGGATGCAAGCCTGGTTCAACATATGCAAATCAATAAATGTAATCCATCACATAAACAGGTGGGGGGTGAGGAGAAGGAATGTAGAGGATGGGTCAACAGGTGCAGTAAACCGCAGGGCACACATATAGCTATGTAACAAATCTGCACGTTCTGCACATGTATCCCAGAACTTACAGTAAAATAAAAAAATAAAAAACGAAAGAAGAAAAAGCTTGGTTTTCAATGATACCAACCTAATCACTCATTTGCTTTATCCCGCACCACATGTAAAGCCCTCTCAGAGTAGTTACAGCACCACCACCAACAATGTGATTATTAAAAATAGTTTACACTTTTTACAGTTCTTTTCTTTGAGTATATCCTAGTAGTAATACATAATCAAATTACTGAGTTTTAAAGTAATTTAAAACAGTTCTTGCTATGAGATTAGGTCAACTGGATATAGGGCTAGGTTTACTTGTTTTTGGTTTTAAGATATTGCTTTTTTCTTAATTTTATTTTATAATGATGTAAAAAAAACTTAAGGCCTCAAAGTCAAATCTTCAAAACATGGTATATTTGAAAAGGTGTAGCTGTCTCTATCACACTGTCCCTCTCTTCTTCTATAGGTAAGCTTTTTAACTTTTTATTTTTTGCTTTTATTTTATGGTAGTCTTTCATTGTTTTGTTAGTAAATATTCATACCCATATCCCATGTCCCCACTTGTTTAGATGAACTTTAGCCTTCTTTTATTGCCTTGTTTTTTCCCTTATCAATATGTCCTGGAGATTGTTCCATAAGAGTATACAGAGAGATTTCTTATACTGTTTTACAGTACTCCATCGTGTAGATGTACAATAGTTTATTCAACATCCTCCATTCAACTTATCACCTATTGATGGATATTTGGATTGATCCTAGTCTTTTCTATTATCCCTAATGCTATAATAGTCTCATGCATCTTTTCAAATGTTTGCCAGTGTTTCTTCATGATATATCTCTGCAAATGTAATTGCTGGATCCAAAGGTAAATACCTATGCAATTTTGCTAGATATGGGAAAATCCCTCTCTGAAAAGGTTGTATTTTTTAATTATCAGCAGCAGTATATAAAAGTGTCTACTTACCCATAGCCTTTCCAAAGAAGTATGCTGTGAGGCTTTAGAGCTTTGCCCATTTGATGGGGAGAAATGTTTCCTACAGTACTTCTTCTTCTTCTTTTTTTTTTTTTTTTTTTTTTTTGAAACAGACTCTTGCTCTGTTGCACAGGCTGCAGTGCAGTTGCGTAATCCCTGCTCACTGCAATCTCTGCCTCCCAGGTTCAAATGATTCTCCTGCCTCAGTCTTCCAGGTAGCTGGGACTACATGTGGGCACCACCATGCCCGGCTTATTTTTGTATTTTTAGTAGAGACAGGGGTTCACCATGTTGGCCAGGCTGGTCTCGTACTCCTGACCTCAGGTGATCCTGCCGCCTCGGACTCCCAAAGTGCTGGAATTACAGGCGTGAGCCACTGCACCAGGCCATCCTACAGTATTTTTAATTTGCATTACTTTTGTGGCAAATGAGGTTAAGCATCTTTTCATTTGGTTTAGAGCAATTTGAATTTCTACTTCTGTCAACTGTCTTTTCATACCACTAGCATATTTTCCTATAGGGAATTTTTCTCCCTTTTCATATTTTAGGTATTGTTAACTCTTGTCTATGAGAAAGTGGAAATATTTTCCCACTTTTTTTTTTACTGTGTTTAATTAGCCATGTAAGCTTTTTTAGTTTTGTTGAATCAAATTTGTTGTGCTTTTCTTTTATCACTTCCAGATATTGAGTCAAATTTAGGAATATTTTCCCAAATTTCATATAGAGAAATTCACTCGTGTTTTCTCCTAGTACTTATAGTTTGGTGTATTTCTCTTTCTTTTTCTTGCTCCCCACACTTATCCACTTGTATCTGTGATCCATTTGGAAATTAATGTGATATGAAATTAAAGTCTTGGTTTAATAAGCCAAATGAAAAAGATGAAAGTGAAAACCTTTTTCATACCCAACCTACAATTTTAAAGATTTCTTTGTTTTCTCTATTTCTCCACTATACCCTTTCTTCTGTAGAGAAGGAAGAAAACAACTTGTTATATAATATGATTCAATGATGTAGTGTATTACCTTTAATTTTATTACATTAACTCAACAACAGACAGTTGACATTCTTAAGCCCAATAAACATGCTATAGAAAATAAAGATGCAAGTGGAACAAAATAGTGAGCCCAGAACCAAATTCAAACATATACTGTATTAGTCCATTCTCACACTGCTGTGAAGAAATACCCGAGACTGGGTCATTTATAAAGGAAAGAATTTTAATTGGCTCACAGTTCTGTATGGCTAGGGAGGCCTCAGGAAACATACAATCATGGCAGAAGGCAAAGGAGAAACAGGCACCTTCTTCACAAGGCAGCAGAAAGGAGAAGTGCTGAGCAAAGGGGGAAGAGCCCTTTATGAAATCAGATCTCATGAGAACTCACTCACTATCATGAGAACACTATGGGAGAAACTGCCCCCATGATTCAATTACCTCCATCTGGTCTCCCGCTTGACACGTGGGGATTATAGAGATTATGGGGATTACAATTCAAGACGAGATTTGGGTGGGGACACAAAGCCTAACCATATCATATAGGGTCAACTGATTTTCAACAAGGGCACCAAAAAGACACAATGGGGAAAGGATAGTCTTTTCAATAAATGGTGCTGGGAAAACTGGATTTCCATATGCAAAATAATGAAATTTGACCCTATCTTACATTATGCACAAAAATCAGCTTAAAATGGATAAAAGAACTAAATGTAAAACCTGAAACCACAAAAATTCTAGAAGAAAACATAGGGGAAAATCCCCTTGACATTGGTCTTAGCAATGATTTCTTGGCTATCACACCAAAAGCTTTGTTTTAAAAAGCAGGAATAAATAAATAGGAATACATCAAGCTAAAAAGCTTATACACAGAAAACAATCAACAAAATCGAAAGGCAACCCACCAATAGGAAAAAAGTAGGGCAAGCCATATGTCAGACAGGTGGCTAATATCCAAGATTTATAAAAAAACTTATTAAACTCAACAGCAAGAAAACATATAACCTGACTTTAAATTAGGCAAACTACTTGAGTAGACATTTCTCCAAAGTTGACATAAAAATGGGCAGCAGATACATGAAAAGGTACTCGACATCACTAATCATCAGGGAAATATAAATGGAAACCACTATGACATACCACCTCACACCTGTTAGGATGGCTGTTATCTAAAAGACAAGAGATAACAAGTATTAGCATGGGGGTAGGAAAAGAGACCACTTGTACAATGTCTATGGGAATGTAGACGGTGCAGTCATTACAAAAAAAAAAAAATGGTGGTTTTCCTGAAGAAATTAAAAATATGAGTGCCATATGACCCAGAAATTCATCTTCTGGGTGTATACCCAAAGGGAAAGAAATCACCACCTCATAAAAACACTCCCATGTTCATTAAAGCGTTATTGCATTATTCACAATAGCCAAGATGTAGAAACAATCTAGGTGTTCATCAATCGACAAGTGGATAAAGAAACTCTGTGTGTGTGTGCGTGTGTGTGTGTGTATACACATGAAGAAGTATTATTCGATCTTTAAAAAAGAGGAGATCCTGCCATTTGTCACAACATTGATGGACCTGGCGGACATTATGCTAACTGAAATAAGTCAAACACGGAAAGAAAAATATTGCATGATCTCATTTATATGTGGAATCTTATTTTTAAAATGATCATAGAGAGAGAGAGAATAAATCAGTGGTTGCCAAGGTTGAGGTGGGGACAGAAAATGGGGAGATACAGGTCAAATAATACAAAGTAGCAAATACGGAGGTTAAACAAGTCAAAAAATCTAATTTACGACATGAAGATTACAGTTAATAATAGTGTATTGTATTCAGGATTTTTGCTAAATGAGTAGAGTATAGCTGCTCTTGGTGGGAGGGATAGTGGGTAGCTATGTAAGATGATAGGTGTGTTAATTTGTTCCACTATAGTAGCCATTTTACTGTATATATATATATATATATATATATTCTGTAACATCGTGTTGCATACCTTAAATATCCACAATAACATTTATTTTAAAAAGAAAAACACATGCAACACTTTTAGCTTATCTGATAACTTCCAATTATACCTCAAATGTATTATTGCTAATATCAGCACTTCCATTTTTCTATTTTCATCTCATTGTATAAAAAACATGGTGGTTTTTCCTAAGTCTCATTCATCATTCGTTTACTAAAGGAAGGTTTACTGAATATCTACAATGTTCCAGAAATGTCCTTCTCATTCTGGAGTTTCAGATATGTCCCTCTATATCTCCCCCTACATACTCTGGCATGCGCTGCAATTATGAGATCAAGGGCCTTTGTTGCAGATACTAAAGGAAGGGCATTATATTTCTTGGGTATGTTTTAGTGGTGAAAAACATTCACAAACTGCTCTAAAGGCAATTGGGAGACATTGAAGAATTTTAGCAAAGTGCTGACATGGTCAAAACGTTTGGCTGAGAATGGATTAGAGGAAGACAAGACTGAAGATATGGAGATAGTCAAGAATCTATGAAAGACAGCCAGTGAGAAATGCCTAGGATGGTGGCAGCAGGGATGAACAGAAATGTCTGGATTCTAGAGAAACTTAGAAGTTAAAACTAATAGTAGATTGTGGGGTAGCGAGAGTGAGGAAAGAGCTGAGGATCACTATGTGCAACTGCATGGATGGCAGTGGCAGACACAGATCTGGAGAACATAAGAGGAGAAGGCATCTTTGTGAAGGAAGATGGTGAGGTCAGTTGGAAAAGAGATTACCTGCTTAACTGGAATGGAGGGTGATCACTAATCAACACTTGTACTATAATGCATACTGGAAGTCTTTTGTCAGTGAGATTTAGAAACAGTTCTGTGGTCCTTATTGTTTAACTCAAAGGAATTAGGAATAACAGAAATTGCAAATAAGGATAGATAATTTAAGGCCAACCTGAAGAAAAGGTCAGAGTAGGTATGGAGGTGATTTTTAGGGGAGAGGTGCTTTTTGGAGCTCTTCATATCATGTGATAGAGTTAGAGGCCTATCCCTTTGCTTCTTGGATCACCCCAGTGTATACTTATTCCCACATATGGGACATAATGTACCCCCCACAAAAGCAGTGACCTGGATTATCTTAAATGAGCCACAAAAATCAGACAAATGCAAAGAGTGTTTTCCCTGAGCTATTCAGATTCACTGCATTCCGAGTGCATTTGTGACTGAAGTCCCCTGTGTAGTTTTGGTTATGCAGATATGGCCAAAATGCATCACTTAAACACAGCCTGGAACTTGTAAGAACGAAGACTACCTGGGCAACATAGAAGAAGATAAAATGCAAAAGTAGTCTTAAAGAAAAAATAAGTAAACCTATGTGTTCTTTCTATCAACCTGATTTCTATTCTGAGATAGATTCATCTCAGATTGATCACTGAGTCCTTCCTTGACCATGAAAAAGCATGATTTTGAGCCTGCAAATTTTAAAGAGCTCCTAAAAGATTTAACATAGGTCTTTTCCTAAACATAATCCACTGGATTTTCCCAAACTAGATGCCCTCTGGAAAAACTGGAAGGAAAAGAAGCATTGATCTGAAGAAATAACATAAAAGCTGTAAGGAACTCCGGAGAGATGAAAGGCCACGTGAATTGTTCTGGGAGTGACAGGGTGTTCCTCTAGGGTCAAGAGCAGCCAGGCAGCAGCAGTAAATATAGATTGGGGCAAATATTTTTAAATTCTGCTGTTATCTCAGCCTGTATTTCCTTGCAATAATCATTGCTTGTTCCTTGGCTTCAGAATCAGCAGTAACTGATTTCCATGGTTGTGGATATTCTTACAGCAGCCTTTGGGGGAGAGGAGCTGATGTGGGTGTAAGCTGACCAGTCTCCCATGGATAGTCATCAATTCAACCCCTTCTTCAAAAAAATTACAAAGCTGGTAATTTATTACCTAAAGAGACTGACATCTCACAGTCTGTTCCTGTCTAAGAATTTACATATGAATGCCTAAACAGAGTTATTCCCTAATGAAATAAAGGAAACTGGATTCATCTGAGGGATTCTGTGATGTCTTGGGCTCTAGGGCATAACACTTTAACCCCTCCTTCTTAACTATGGCTGACCTTCAGCCCTTCCCTAACATATATTCTCATAAAGTTTTCAAACTGTAGGTATTTACCCATTAACAAGTGAATAAATCACTTTAGTACAGAGCACTGGTATTTTTCAATAAAATCAAACCGACCAGGAAATAATAGAGTGCATTGCTCAACATGATGATAAATATTTTGTAAAATATATCAAATATATTTTAAAATATTATTTTATCAATATATATCAAGTGAGTCAAGAGGTAAAATGTATTTCTGACTGTAGAATAAAGTCAATAAAGTCTGAAAACCCTTGTTATCCCTAGCGAAATACAAGTTTACAGACAGCTGAGGGCTACAACTCTAAAAATAAATCAACAACAATAACCCTATGAAGAAGAACTGTTGGCATAAGTAATCCAAATAAGCATAATAAATATTCTCAAGCAGGGAATGGAAGACATTACTATTGTTAGTAGTGCTAAGAAGAAAGAAAAAGAACAAGGTCAAATGTGAGATGTGAAAAGCATGATAGGTGAATAAAGAACACTAGTTAGTAAAACAAATTAGTGAGCTGGAATACAAGACTGAGGAAATTTCCCAAAATGCAACAGGAAAAGATAATGATGAGACATGTAAAAGAAAATAAGACTTGTGGAGATTAGAAATCAAAATGAAAACATATAGAGAATAGAGGAATAGATGGAGATTTTTAAAAATACTAATGAAGAAATATTTGATAAAATAAGGAAAATAAAATCACCCAATTTAAAGAAAGCTGAAAGTGGTCCATACAGAGCAAAAAACACTAGACAAAAAACCTCACCCCTAGGCATATTGTAGTAAAATGTAATAACATAAAAAACAAGATAAAATTCTGAAAGCTTCCAAAATGAAAAAGTAGACATATTGGAGAAAAAAAACAAGAATTACATTTGAAAGAAGCAAGAAGTCAATACAGTATTATTTCTAATCTGCAGAAGGAACATATCTGTGATTGTAGAATTTTATATTTGCCAATATGTCATTTAAATCTGATGAGAAAAAAATATTCTCAGACTTCTAAGATATCACAAAGTTTGCCAAGTTCCCACCTTCAAATTCCTCCTTAGACAAGATATTAAAACAAAAACAGGGTTAATTTCGGGAGGATAATTGAAGAGATCTGGACAATAAATTTCATCAAATCCCTTTTAAAAATGTCTAACAAACAAAGAACAGCATAAATAAAAATACATCAAAAACAAACTGGAACTAAAATTCCAGAAAAATTAACAGTAGAGAAAACAATGCATGGGAGAATATCTTTTTTAAAGGAAGATATAGATCAGTGGTCCCCAGTCTTTTTGGCACCAGGAACCAGTTTTGCGGAAGACAGTTTTTCCACAGACTTGGTGATGCCGGATGGTTTCAGGATGAAACTCTTTCACCTCAGATCATCAGGCATTAGATTCTCATAAGGAGTGTGCAACCTGGATTGCTTGCATGTGTAGTTCGCAATAGGGTTTGCGGTCCTATGAGAATCTAATGTCTTCAGTGATCTGACAGAAGGCTGAGCTCAGGTGGTAATGTTCACTAGCCCACCACTCACCTCCTGCCGTGTGGCCTGGTTCCTAACAGGTCACAAACCAACCCATACTGGTCCACAGCCTGGAGTTGAGGACTCCTGAAATAGATGATTAACAAATCAATATAAAAGGAATAGCTTCTTTTTAGAAGACTACAACTTACCAAAAATAACTCCAGTGGAAACAGCCTAAACAGATCATTTTCCACAAAAGAAAGAAAATTGGTAGTTAAAAGAGATCCCCACTCAAGAGCACTAGGCCCAGATTTCATAGGAAAATTCTACTAACTCTAATTTTATGAAACAATTATTACATGATCACAAAACCTGACAAAGATTGCCCCATATAAAAAGTACAGATTAATCTCACTTATAAATAATGCTATAGAATTTTTATATAAGTTATATGTTAGGAAACAGAATCCTACAACACATTAAGCATGACTCTTGTGACTAAATAGGGTTAACTCTAAGAATATATGTGTGCTTCAACATTGGGACACTTATAATTCATCTCAATGAAGTTAAAGAGAAAATTAATATTGTTATCTCCATGGACACAGGAAAGGCATTTGACAAAATTTAATACCCATTCGTTTGTAAAACATTCAGTAAAATAGGAGTTGATGGAGATGTTGTTAACATGATTTTATGTATCTATCTATCTACCTATCTATCTATTAATCCAAAAGCTGGTCTCCCTTAACAGAGAAACATTGGAGACTATCCTACAACAATCAGGAAAAGAAAAGCCTATCTGATCATTCCCTTGCTATTAAATATTGTTTTGAAGTTACTGACCAATGCAACTAGATGCAAGTAAAATATGTATAGTATGCTACCTTTTATTTCTTCAAGTGAGTGGTACATAATTTTTTAAGTGATCAACTGCACGGGAATGGAGGGTATAGGATGGAAGGATAGTGATAAAAGCTAGATCCACCCAAATATAGCCAAGTGATCTTTGACAAAGGAGCGAAGGCAATTTTATGGAGGAAAGATAGTCTTTTCAACAACTGATGCTGGGAAGATTGGACATCCATATGCAAAATGATGAATCTGGACATAGTCCTTACACATTTCACATAAGTTACCTAAACATGGGCTTACCATAAAATCTGGCAATTCCACTTCTAGGTACTTATCCAATTAAGTTGAGAAGGTCTGTCCACACAAAAACTGCACGTGAATGTTTATAGCAGCAGCTTAATTCATTGCCAAACACTGAAGGAACCAAGATATCCTTCACCAGGTTACTGGATAAATAAACTGTGCTATATCCACACAATGGAATGGAATGTTATTCACTGACAAACAGAAATTATTAAACTATTAAGCCATGAAAAGACATGGAGAAATCTAAAATGGGTATTGCTGAATGAAAGAAGTCAGGCTGAAAAGGCTACTTACTGTATGATTCCAATGATATGACATTTTGGAAAAGGCAAAACTATATAGACAGTTAAAAGAATTAAAAGATCAGCGGTTGCCAAGGTTCAGGGGAGAGGGAGGGGAGGGGAGCATAAGTGTAGCACAGAAGACTTTTAGGTGGGAAAACTAGTCAGTGTGAAATAGTCATGGTGAATACCTGTCATTATGCATTTGTCAAAGCCCACAGAATGTACAACACAAAGAATGAACCTTAATGTAAATGATGCACTGTAGTTGATAATAATGTGTTAATGGTTTGTTAATTTTAACAAATGTACCACATGAATGCAAGATGTTAATAATAGAGGATGCTGAGGAGGGAGAGGTGGTTGGGTTATTATATGAAACTCTATACCATCTGTTAAATGATTCTATAAATCTAAGACTGTACTAAAAAGAAAATATACTTTTTTTTAATAAACTAAATTAATGTATGAGCATCCAGCTAGAGGCATTACCAGCCTTACAGAAACTACTCCGAATGACTTTAAAATATGGCAATTTGACTGCATATTCCCAGTGAATACAAATCATAAGGGTAAAGAAATTACAAATAATTCTTTAAGCTGTCTTAATAATCATATTGTCGGCGGTAGTATGGGTATTGTTCTTCTGATACACTTGTTGTGTAATGTGGGATCCAGTGAGTGAGTCATTATATGAAAGACTAATTTTACCAGTGTTATTGGTAACTGGGATTCTCCTAGTGGGAAAGAGGATATATATATATGTAATATAAAAGAAGTTTCATTAAAAAAAAACTCTGTGGTCCTGAATTAAAATGGTAATGAATTAATTACATATTGCTAGTTTTATCTATAGAGAAGGCCTAAAAATAATGATCAATCTGGTGGTAAACGGCGTATACCTGTGGCACCCAGGTTGTGGCCTGGAAATAGCATTTTACTCTAAAAAGAAGCAGATCTCCTCAGAGAAAGGACTGATTCAAATTTAGGGCAAGAAATGTACAAGATAAGCATGAAATATACCAAAATGAGGGAAGCTATTAAAACTACTACAAGTGTGTCAAAATGATTCAGAAGCCAAATTGAAGAGTCCATGGATGAAACAATGTGAGCACTAATAATGAAGATAATTTCAGTGAGTGGAAACACATCTAATATGTTTAAATCCTTGAGTTCATAAAGAATTTTTTAAAAAATTAAAAAGTGGGGGAAAAAGGGGGAACAACTTCTGTTTGTGGATGCCAGGGGTTATTTTGAAAACTTGCAAAAAAAAAAAAGGAAGGAAGAATCAAACATCCTGCCTGCCTCCCTATGTGAATGATATCATTGTATAATCAAATAATACATGAGACGTTTCACTTTATGGAAGAATTCCAGTTAAAAATGGAGACCATAACAATAGAATTAAATTATCATCACTTTGCAGCCCCTAATGAATTAATGGATCTAAGAATTGATCATCACAAAGAGAAAGAAATAAAGAAAGAAAAAAAAGAAGGGGGACGGAGGGGGAGGGAGAGAAAGAGAGAGAACCATGCAGTATGTACCTCTTGATGGAAAAACAAAACACCAGTTTGAAGAAGTCTTACAAGATACTAGATCAAAATACCAATTTACAGGGAATACATTGAAAAATATCTTAAGCTATGTCACAGGAATACAATCTGTAAAATGTCAACTGTGCAAAATCTACAAGACAATTAATATGGTTTTATCAACAATAGCAATAAAATAAAATTAGTTGCAAGAAACAATTTATTCTATAGGTTCCCTATACAAAGGGAACCTCCAGATTAAAGACAAAATATTTGTAAAGAAAAATTTGCTGTAAGTGAACCTTATTTGTATTCTATTTCAAAAAAGAGAACTATAAAAATGGATTATGACATGCAAGCTTAAACTTTTTATTTGATGCTATTAAAGAATCACTGATGTAATAATTTTACTTATTTTTAAGATTCTTTGTCATTTAGAAATATTTAATAAAACATTTATGAATATAATGTTGTAGTATTTGGGCTTTTACTTCAAAATAGTGTAAGAAGAGGAAAAATGAGTGAGAGTTACAGGTGAAAAAACAGGAGCCATTAGTTAACTGATCTCAAGGTTGATGTGAGTTCAGGGTGCTTCATACATTTTTTTCTGTTTTCTTGTAATATGTTTAAAATTCTCCATGAACTTACGTTTTTATTTATATCACCAATGCATAGTGAAGAACAAATGTTCTCTGAGAAGTCCTTTAAAATAAATCAATAACATTTGTCCAGTAATTTTTTTAAAAATGTGTACTTATAAAGGAAGAAGGGGATAGCAGAAAAGACAGAAAAAGAAGCCAAACTTCTTGATTTGTAGATTTAATGTTGGAACCATAAAAATATTTTACATGGTTATAAGGTAAAATTCAATCAAAAAGCAATCATTAAAATCTAAAAATGAAACAAATGAAGCTAACTCAATCTCCAGTTGGTGGCATAATCACACAGAGAAGATCTATTACAAATGAGTTTAAGACACAGTAATTTGATTTTACATTCTCAGTGGGAAATAATCTAAAATTAAACCATTTTTGGTAATCAGATTTTTGGTGGTAGTAGTGGTATTATCATTCTAAAACTGGTGTATTAGTCAGGGCTCTCTAGAGGAACAGAACTAATAGGATATATATATGAAAGTTTATTAAGTATTAACTTAACATGACCACAAGGTCCCACAATAGGCTATCTGCAAGCTTGAGGAGTAAGGACAGCCAGTCCAAGTCTCAAAACTGAAGCACTTGGAGTCTGATGTTTGAAGGCAGGAAGCATCCAGCATGGGAGAAAGATGTAGGCTGGGAGTCTAGGCCAGTCTCACCTTTCACTTTTTTCTGCCTGCTTTATATTTGCTGGCAGCTGATCAGTTTGTGCCCATCAGATTAAGGGTGGGTCTGCCTTCCCCAGCCACTGACTCAAATGTTAATCTCCTTTGGCAACACTCTCACAGACACACCTAGGATTAATACTTTGTATCCTTCAATCCAATCGAGTTGACACTCAGTATTAACTATCACAATTCCACCCCTTGTCAGCTTGAACACATACACATCTCCTGAGATCATACATAGTCCTCAAATAAAGACAATAATAAGGTTACAATTACACCTAACGTAATACAACTTCCTTTGTACAACCAAAAATGCACCAATCCCCAACCCAAATACTATTACATAAAGTTAACAATACTTAAATGCCAATATGAAGTCAAAACTTATGTCACATGATAAAGGAAAAGGAAATAAAATGAAGATATTTTCTTAGTACAAGTGTATACATGAACAAACATGTTTTTAACAAAAGAAGGAGGAAATACTCATGACAGCTACAGTCCTCGTTTCTGCAGCTGGTCATGTAGTCATAGCTGGTCTTGATGACTACCTTCTTCTACTACTCGTTCTATATTCATTTTGCCTTAAGCAGGCACCTCAGCAGGTCATGGTTTTTTCCTGGTGGAGTGACCCAAACCTTCATTCTTGAGGGGTCTGGACCATTTGTAGTCCCACCTGGATTTGGGCTGTTGTAGTTTCCCATTGACCTTAATCACATGGCATGGTAATATTAAGAGATGCCCTAATGGATCTCCTGTGTTCCATGCATACTCTTCCTTACCTCCATTATGGAATAGCAGACTGATTTCATCTTGACAGTCCAGGTCAATCAGCCCAGCCAACACTGTAAATCCCTTCTTATCCTGTTGACTTTAGGATAGGAGCAGCCCAAAGTGTCCAGGTGGAAATCTTAACTTCCAGTTTAATGGAACCTTTGTTGTGTTTCCTAGTGGCAGCATTCCTCCCTCTGGAACTAAGACCTCTAGGCCAGGAGAACATAATGTCAGGGAAACAGGAAGCAAACATTTGCTAGTGGATTACTAGCGGTGATGGTGAGTGGTGTCACTTCCATTTCCACCCCTTGATTCCTGGACCCGTGAATCCTTGCTATGGGAGAAATAGTACCATATATTGAACACTGATTCAGAGCATACATGGTCTTCTAGAGAACTTTGCCCCAGCCCTGCAAAGTATTGTCATCTAGTTGGCGTTGTAATTGTGACTTCAAAAGGCCATTACACCGTTCTATCAATCCAGCTGCTTCAGGATGATGGGGAACATGGTAAGACCAGTGAATTCCATGAGCATGAACCTACTGCTGCACTTCTTTAGCTGTAAAGTGAGTGCCTTGGTCAGAGGCGATGCTGTGTGGAATACTATGATGGTGGATAAGGCATTCCGTAAGTCCACAGATGGTAGTCTTGGCAGAAGCATTTCATACAGGACAGGCAAACCCATATCTGGAGTAAGTGTCTATTCCAGTAACGACAAACCTCTGCCCTTTCCATGATGGAAGAGGTCCAATATAATCAACCTGCCACCAGGTAGCTGGCTGATCACCCTGAGAAATTGTGCCATATCAAGGGCTCAATGTCGGTCTCTGCTGCTGGCAAATTGGGCACTCAGCAGTGGCCATTAGCCAAGTCAGCCTTGATGAGTGGAAGTTCGTGTTGCTGAGCCCAGGCATAACCTCCCTCCCTGCCACCATAGCCACTTTGTTCACAGGCCCATTGGGTGATGACAGGGATGCCTGGGGAAAGAGGCTGAGTGATGTCCATAGAATGGGTCATTTTACCCACTTGATTATTAAAATCCTCTGCTGCTGAGGCCACCCGTTGGTAAGCACTCATATGGGATACAAATATCTTCACAGTTTTTGACCACTGAGGATGTCCATCCATATATCTCTTCCCCAAATTTCTTTGTCACCAATTTTCCAATCATGCTTCTTCCAAGTCCCTGACCATCCAGCCAAACCATTCCCTACAGCCCATGAACCATTATATAATCGCACATCTGGCCATTTCTCCTTCTGTGCAAAGTGCACAACCAGGTGCACTGCTCAAGTTCTGCTCACTGGGAAGATTTCCCTTCACAGCTGTCTTTAGAGGATTTCCTAGAAAGGCGGTGTAGCACTGCAGCTCTCCACTTTCAGGTGGTGCCTGCATATCATGCAGAACCATCTGTGAACCAGGCCCTAGTCTTCTGTTCCTCTGTCAACTGATCATAGGGAACTCTCCATGAGGCCATCAGTGCAACCTGGGGGAGAGGAGCCAGGGTGGCAGGAGTGGAGACAACGGGCACTTCCGCCACTTCCTCATGTAACTTACTTGTGCCTTCAGGACCTGCTCAAGCCTGGTAACATATACCACTTCCATTTATGATGGAATGCTGCTGTGCATGACCCACTTTATGGTTAGATGGGATAGAATGCACCCAGTTCATGATAGGCAGTTGAGGTCACATGGTGACTTCATGATCCATAGTCAAATGTTCAGTTTCCACCACAGCCCAGTAACAGGCCAAGAGCTGTCTCTCAAAAGGAGAATAGTTATCTGCAGAAGATGGCAGGTCCTTGCTCCAAAATCCTAGTGGCCTCCACTGTGATTCAACTATGGGGACTGCCAAAGGCTCCAAACAGCATCCCTATCTGCAACTAACACCTGAAGCACCATTGGATCTGCTGGGTCATATGGCCCAAGTGGCAGAGCAGCTTGCACAGCAGCCTGAACCTGCTGCAGAGCCTTCTCCTCTTCTGGACCTCATTCAAAACTGGCAGCCTTTTGGGTCATTTAATTAATGGGCCAAAATAACACACCCAAATGAGGAATGTGTTGCCTCCAAAACCCAAATGGGCCCACTAGGTGTTGTGCCTCTTTTTTGGTTGTAGGAGGGGCCAAATGCAGCAACTTATCCTTCACCTTGGAAGAAATATTTTGACAGGTCCCACACCACTGGACCCCTAGAAATTTTACTGAGGTAGAAGTTCCCTGAATATTAGTCAGATTTATTTCCCAACAACTGGCATGCAAATGTCTCACCAATAAGTCCAGTCTGTTTGTTACTTCTTGCTCACTGGATCTAATTGGCATAATGTCATCAATGTAATGGACCAGTGTGATATATATATATATATACATATATTTTTTTTTTTTTTGAGATAGAGTTTCACTCTTTTTGCCCAGGCTGGAGTGCAATGTGCAATGGCGCAATCTCGGCTCACTACAACCTCTGCCTCCTGGGTTCAAGCAATTCTCTTTCCTCAGACTCCCAAGTAGCTGGGATTATGGGCGCCTCCCACCACACCCGGCTAATTTTTTGTATTTTTAGTAGAGATGGGGTTTCACCATGTTGGCCAGGATGGTCTTGATCTCTTGACCTCTTGTGGAGGAGAAAAGCTATCAAGGTCTCTCCAAATAAGATTATGACACAAAGCCTGAGAGTTGATATACCCCTGAGGTAGGACAGTAAAGGTATATTGCTGGCCTTGTCAGCCGAAGGGAAATTGCTTCTAGTAGGCCTTATGGACAGGAATGGAGAAAAAGGCATTTTCCAAGTAAATGGCTGCACACCAGGTACCAGGAGACGCGTTAATTTGCTCAAGCAATGAAACCACTTCTGGTACAGCAGCTGCAATTGGAGTCACCACGTGGTTACTGTCTTCTGTGCAGGCCAAATGGGAGAGTTGAACGCAGATGTGGTAGGAATCACCACCCCTGCATCTTTCAAGTCCTTGATGGTAGCACTAATCTCTGCAATCCCTCCAGGGATGCAATATTGTTTTTGACTTACCATTTTTCTAGGTAGAGACAGCTCTGCTTCCATTTGGCCTTTCCCACCACAATAACTCTCACCCTAACAGTCAGGGAGCTAATGTAGGGGTTCTACCAGCTGCTAAGTATGTCTATGCCAATTACCATTCTGGCACTGGGGAAATGACCACAGGATGAGTCTGGGGACCCACTGGACCCACTGGACCCACTGTAAGTCAGACCTGAGCTGCAACTTCATTAATTACCTGATCTCCATAAGCCCCTACTTTAACTGGAGGGCCACAATGATGTTTTGGGTTCCCTGGAATAAACATCAGCTCAGAGACAGTGTCCAGTAGTCCCCAAAATGTCCGATCATTTCCCATTCTCCAGTGCACAGTTACCCTGGTAAAAAGCCAGAGGTGTCCTTGGGGAAGGATGGGAGAAAGATTCACTGCATAAATTATCAGTAATATAGTAGGATCTTTCCTTAAGAGGATCCGGCATTCCTTTCATTCAAGGGGTTCTGGGCCTGTAAACTGACTCAAGTCTGGAAATTGATTGAGGGGCCACGATTCTCTGTTTTTATAATTCAAATTAGTCTTTTGTCTATTTGACCTAGAAGTTTTCTCCTTACATAAAGTAAGTAGGAATGCAGTAGGCTTCCTATCAATTTCACTTCTAGGAACACCACGGTTAATTAGTCAATGCCAGAGCTTTACATGAGTCAGACTACTCTGATCGCTGCTTTGTCTCTGCTGCCCATTATGGTAGCTCACCTTGCCTGTCACAGTTGAGTGCTGCCACTTGGCCTCTGCCACCTCGGGATCCAATTATTCCCACTGTATTTAAATTTTGTAGTTGAGTGACTGTGGTTCCCACTGTTAGATCTAATATACAGAGAAGAGCAATTACACGGTTCTTCAAAGATGCAGGTGCTGCCCTCACAAATCTATTTTGCAAGGCATTGGTCAAGGGTATATCTTCTGGATACTCCCAGCTGGGATGAGTAGGTCTAATGTGACTAATGCACCATCCCAATCTCCCTAAGCCTTTGCATCCCTTCCTCTACATTAAGCCAAAGGAGATCAGGCATTTCCAGCTCTCTCACAGTTGGCCCTTTTTTAATCCACATTTCAGCTGACCAAGAAAATAAACTATTAAATTTTTTATAACTCTTCGAGATGCAACATTAAAAGCAGAGTCCCTACTTAGTGGGCTCAAATCAATAAACTCAGCCTGATCCAACTCTATGTTCCTTCCACCATTATGCCATACCCTTAATATCCATTCCCATGCCTGTTCTCCAGATTTGTGTTTATATAAATTACAGAACTCAAACAGTTCTTTTTAAGCGCAGTGCACCTCTTCATGGGTCATACTCTCAACCTCACCTCTAGGGACCCACCAGGACTTTAGTTGTAGGTCTAGAAGCAAACAGGGGTGTTGGGGGTAGCTCCTGAGAAGAATCAACATTATTTTGCCTGGCATCTGCCTCAGGAGAGGCCATCACTGTTGCCTCAGGCAGTGCGGAGTTTATCTCCTCAGACAAAGGTGGAAAGGCTGATGGCAACATGGGTCAGGGAGGGGATGTTGCCACTAATGGGGATGGGGAAGTTGTTCCTTCTGGCAAAAAAAGATTCATCCGAGTTTACAAACTCAGTGTCCCCAGCTTCATCAGGGTCCTCCCACACATTCCCATTCCAAGTTGCAGGGTCCTATTCTTTTCCAATCAATGCCCTCACTTTAACAGTAGACACCTGATGAGGCTGTGTATGTACCTTTTGTTGCAGGTCAGCCAGTCGCATGATAAGAGCTTATGTCTGTTTTTCCACAATTTCAGCTTTCTCTACAGGAGATAAGACTCTCATTCAGGGCAATCTTAGCAGATTTGAGGCTTAGTATCTGTTTTTGAAGGTGGGAGACATAATCCCTGAGTTGATAATTTTCTTTTATCACTTTGTCCACTGAACTTAGGAGCAAGTAACCAGCTTCATTATGTTCCTTGGTTCTCCACATATGGTCAAAGGCATTATGTATAGAGCCACTAAACTCCTTGCCTCTCACGAGCAGTGAATCAGGAGTTTCAAATGCATTTATTTTGCATAACTCTGTAAGAAGTTTACTTCAAGGACTATCAGTGTTCTCCATACTACTAGAAGTAGAGTCCTTAGCATTTTTGGGTCTAATCATATTAAGCATCCAACTCCAGAAACCCTAAAACCAAAGAAAGAACTCCATCCTTATCATTCTGTTCCTCTAGAACCACTCCTGTTACCAAAATCTGTATTAGTCAAGGTTCTCTAGAGGGACAGAACTAATAGGATATATATCCTATTGGCCCATGCTCAGTCTGGGTGGGTGCCATCTAATCAGCTGCCAGCACAGCTAGCTAGAATAAAGCAGGCAGAAGAACATGGAAAGGCTTGACTGCCTGGGTCTTCTGGCCTCCAACTTTCTCCCATGTTGGATGCTTCCTGCCCTCAAACATAAGACTCCAAGTTCTTCAGCTCTTGGGCCCTTGGACCTACACCAGTGGTGTTCTGGGGGTTCTCTGGCCTTTGGCCACAGACTGAAGGCTGCACTGTCAGTTTCCTATTTTGAGGTTTTGAGACTTGGACTAGCTTCCTTCCTCCTCAGTCTGCAGATGGCCTATTGTGGGACTTCATCTTGTGATCATGTGAGTCAACACACCTTAATAAACTCCCTTTCATATATACATCTATCCTACCAGCCCTGTCCCTCTAAAGAACCCTGACTAATGAACCATATAAGATAACATATGTATGGGTTCCAGGGATCATTATTCAGCCTATCATAACCCTCTAGCTCCTAAAGAGTCACATTCTTTTCACATACAAAATACATTCATCCCCATCCCAAGGTCACCAAAAGTCTCAACACAAGTCCAAAATGTCATGACTTAAGCATCAATTCAACTCCTAAATTTAATGTCTCATCAGCTCAAAAGTAAAATATCTCACTACCTCATCTAAATTAGGTATGAATGAGACTCTGATATGATCCATCCTGTAGTAAAATTTCTATCTGTGAACCTTTGAAATTCACGAAAACTAATTCTCTTCTAAAATAAAATGGTGGTACAAGCACTAGCTAACAGTCATGTATTTCTCATTCAAAAAGGGAGGAATGAAGGGCAGAAAAGGAGTTACTGGTCCCAAGCTATTTTGAAATCCAGCTGGGCAAACTCCATTAATTTTCAAGTCCTAGGAATAATCCTCTAAGGCCCATAGCCGTACCCTCCAGGCTCACAGCTCTGCCCTCATAATTCACTACATTATACAACAAAAATAGAATCAATGAGCCTTTCCAATAATCAGGTTATGTTCTTGAACACCATGTTACACCAAAAGGAACCATATTCCTTATAGAAATTACTAACGGTTCAAGACAGGGAGAATACAAAATTAATATATCAGAAAGTTTATCATATCAAAAAGCAGAAAAGTTATAAAGGACTCTTAAATGTAAGCCAAAAGGACTGAGAAGCCAACCTGGCCTAAGTGGAAAAAGCTGAGCATCAGTAAGGATAATAGCAGAAATTAGTTGAAATATATAAAATGTGTTTTAATCCATGAGTATATAATGATGCCAAAACGAATGAATAAATAGATGAATGAATAATATAAAAGCAAACAAATCAACATAAAAGTTTTAATAGGTCATTTTTGGAGGGTGCTAATGAGCCATTTCATTATTTTGAAAATTGGTAAATAAAGTAAAAGAATCAAGAGTTTATCCTATTTTTCCCATGTGATCCGTATCTAAGGGTAACAAAGACTTAACAAGCATCACAAAAGCAGAGACAAATGAACATTGTATATCTCCTAATGGAAGTACCTACCATCTATGAAATCCTTTCAAAAAAATTTGCACCTGAATATAATTCAAACTCCAGATCTATCAATTTGCAGACAATAGAAGGTTTAGAAAAACATATTAAGAAATACTACAGGGAAAAACCAGCAAAATCCAGACTAAAAAAATCTATGAAACAGACAACCCAATTTTACTCAATTAAAAAATAATGAAAAGGTGGGGGGAGGAATTAATAATACAGTGTTCCACATATATTAATGTGTATTTGTAACAACTGTAATTCTTATTAAAATGCAGATTCAGACTCAGTACTCATGTGGAGCATTCCTACCTAACCTCTAGTGTACTGAACCTCTTACAACACAGAAGAGGGCTAAAAAAAAAAAAAGATATTTAAGAGACTTATCAATCAGTTAAATATAAGCACATAATTTAGATTGTGATTCAAACAAACATTAAGAAAAAATTGGTAAACAACAAAATGAAAATGCTAAATATTAGATTACATACAACAGTTTTCTTTAGCATTTGGTAATTGTATTGTGGATATGTTTTTTGAGTCTTTATCTTTTGGAAATTCAGTGTGAAATATTTATAGCAAAATGATATGAAATCTTGGATTTGCTTCAAAATAATCTTGGGAATGGTAGGGTGGCAGACAGTGAAGAAGTTAGAAATAAAAAAATATTGGTAATGTGTTGCTAAGAGTTTAAGTAGGATGGTTGATACATTGGTTTTATTATACTGTTTTCTCTGTTTCTAAATTGACAGAAAAATTACAAAATCAAAAACTATTTACAAAAATCATCAGGGATTAATAAACATAAGTCTGATTTTTAGGTTAGAGACAAGCAGCATAGAAACAAATAAACACATAAATTTTTAAGTGCATAGCTTAAAATATAAACTAGCAAAAGATAACCTGTAGGAAAAGAAGAAAAATGAAAGTTAAAATAGAAATTATTCAATAATACAACAGAAAGCAATTCAAATATAAATAGAATTATAATAAACAAAATAAACTCACCTATATTCTTGGATATTGGTATTCCAATGATCTCAGATTTGGAAAAATCAATAACATATTTTCTATAATAGGTACACTTAAAGCAAAAGGAATCAAAAAGAGTCAAAATTTAAAGAATTGAAAAGTTACACAGGAAAAAAAAATATAGACCAAAGAGGCTGTGATAGCAGTTTTAAATTTTGTAAAAATAAAATTTAAGGTAGAAATTACCATAATGCACTATGGTATCTTTTGACATTGGTTATAAAAAAAGAATAATAGAGAATATACTTCTAAAATATAGCCTCAAATTATATAAAGTGACAACTGATAGAAATTAGAGATTTTTAAACACCTCTTTTAGAACTTAATAGATGAAGCAGATAATAATAAAGACACAAATATCTTGATATTTCTTTAGAACTCTTTGATTGAATAATAAAATTTACATGCTTGAGTTATTAGTTATACAAAAAAAATCTATACTTGAGAAAGAAACTATTATATATGAGGGCATATGGAACATTTACATTTACATTTCTCCCACAAAGTAAGCCTAAATAAATTGTAAAGAATCAATACCTTACAGACTATTTTCTCTGATCTTAATGCAATAAAATTAGAAAATATTAATTAAAAATTGCTAAAAATCAAATTTTAGAAAATAAAATATTAATTCATAACTCTTTAGTTAATTAGAGATCACGAGGAATATTGTAAAGTAAAAATTAAATAGTTCATGCCAGTATCTGTGGGATGAAGCTAATACAGTACTTAGAGGGGAAAATATACCTTAAATGCATGTATCAGAAATCAAGAAAAGTTGAAAACAAATGAGCTAAGCATTTATTTCAGTAAGTTGAAGGGTAAGCAATAGAGCTCAACCACAAAAATACAAATAATAAAATAATCATGATGAAGACAGACTCATATCTCAATGAAGAACAAAGAGGTAAAGTGAAAGAGAAAGTGAGAAAGGAGTTACCAAAAAGTACAAAGTGTAAAAAGCAAAAATTTTTTAAATATTATTTTTAAAACACATGCATACATTTGAAAATCTACATAAAACTGATAAATTTTCAGACACCCTAAAATGAAAAATTGGTGCAAGAAAAAATAGGAAACAAAGAGACAATTATGCACCAAATAAATTGAAACTGTAATCAAAGATCTCTCTTTCTAAAATGCCCTGGACCTTCATAGTTAAAGAGATGCCTTCTACTAAGCTTCCAGCAATCTGGTTGTGATGATTAATTTTATGTGTCCACTTGATTGGATTAAGGGATACCCAGGTAGCTGGGTACCCCAAATTAAGTAGTTCATGTCGGCATTTGTGGGATGAAGCTAATACAATACTTAGAGGGGAAAATATATCTTTAAATGCATATATCAGAAAGCAAGAAAAGTTGAGAACAAATGAGGTAAGCATTTATTTCAGTAAGTTGAAGGGTAAGCAATAGAGCTGAACCACAAAAATAAAAATAACAAAACAATGATGATGGGGACAGACTCATACTGGCATTCTGGGTGTGTCTGTGAGGGTGTCTCCAGAAGAGATTGGTGTTGGAACCAATGGACTGAATAAGGAAGATCCACTCTCAACCAATGTGGCAGACGCTATTTAATTGGATGAAGGACTGGATAGAACAAAAGGGCAGAAGAAGGACAAATTTTTTCTTTCTCTTCTGGAGGTGTGACACCCTTCTTCCTCTGCCCTTGGACATTAGAACCCCAAAGTCTTTGGCCTTCAGATACTGGGACTATCACCAGGAGCCCTCTGGATCCTCAAGCCTTCAACCGCCAACTGAGAGTTACACCATCAGTTTCCCTGGTTCTAAGGCTTTGAGCCATGCTACCAACTTCGCTGGCTCCCTGGCTAGTATAACCTTGACTCCAAAACATGACAAGGAAAAAAGAAGAGAAAAGAGAAGCAAAAGGAAGAGAAAAGAAGAGAAGAAAATTTTAGGTGCATGCTGCATAAAACATAGTTAAAAATATCCTCCATAAAATATTAGTTATATAAATTAAAAATTGTACTCAAAGAAAACATCATGATCCCAGGAAAGCAAGTATCAATTTTTATTAGAAAATGTATCAATATATTTCTCCAAACAAAAAGGAGAAATCATATTATCTTAAAAGTTTCAGAAAAACAATTTGGGAATTTTAATACCCATTTGAAATTTAAACAAAAATACTGTTGGCAAACAAAGAACAGTCAACAACTTTCTTTGGCAAGGGTTATATAAGAAAAACATATAGAAATTTAATACTTAATAGAGAAACACATTATTATGAAAATAATTTTAGATATTATTCCTTACATATTGGGGCAACCACACAGACACTCACTTTTACCACTGTTTTCTAACAAACTCTTAGAGAACCTGGTGAATGCTTTAAGGAAGGAAAAATAATTACAACTGTGAGGATTGGAGGGAAAGTGTTAAAAATGTAAATGTTTTCAAACTATATGGTCATCTACACAATTAACAGGTTCAACAAATTTTAAACTAATAAGATAATTCAATAAGGTTAATGAGATTTTAAAAATCAGTTAATGAAAATCTAAAGCATGTGTCATGACTACTAATGTCCAGCACAAAATAAGTCTAAGAATGTTCATAGCAACTTGTCAATGAACTTAAACAAAACAATCCAAATGTTTATCAATAGGAGAATGGGAAAACGAATTGTGGTGTATTCACACACTGAAATACTACTCAAGAACGAAAAAAGAATAAACCATCATAAATAAATCTCACAAAAAAAATGTGTTGAACAAAAGAATGCAGACACAAAAAAGTACATAATATATGGTTCTAGTTACACAAATTCATATAAATGGTAGAAGACATGAAGGAGCCTTTGGAATTCTTGAAAGCTACTACATGTTGGTTTGAGCTATATTTATACAGCTATATACAAAAATAAAAATTCATTAAGCTGTATTCTTCAGGTTTATGCAATTTACTATATGTAATTTATACCCCTATTAAAAGTAAATAATCAGTAACATTTCTTTATATGAGCAATAACATAATAGAAAATATAATAAATGAAAAAGGCTATTCATAATAGTACCAAAGGTACTATAAATAATCCAGGACTTAAAAGATAATACAAAAGACTTTTAAGGATAAGATTTTTAAATCATAAAAGAACATAAAAAAATTTGAATATGTGGGGAGACATTCCTTACTCTTGGTTGTAATGACTTACTAATATAAAAATATTCATGTTCCCTGAATTTTTTGAAGAAGATAATAAATTTGTTTTACAATTAACATGGAGAAACAAATATAAACAAATAGTTAAATAAAATATGAAAACGAAAAGCAAAGGAGTGGACTTACATTACGAGCTACTGACATACTACAAACACATTATAATAAAATTTTTTTACTCGCACAGGAATAGACAAATATAACAGAATAATTAGCCCAGAGACAGATCACTCTTATATATAAAAGTTGTGCTACAAATCAGTGGAGGAAGAAACAGGTATTTAGTAGATCTTGTGGAAGGAAACTTGCTCACTATATGGAAAAATAAAATAAAACTGATCCTCCACTTAAGATCATAAACATAGAGAGATATGGGATGGATTAAACACACAAATGTGAAAGGTAAGACTACAAATTAAAACAACTATAAGATCTGCGGGAAACAACTATAAGATCTGAGGGGAAAAAAATGACTTGAAGGCATAGAGAATGAATAAACAAGAAAACGCCAGAGAGGAAAAGGAAATAGCATGCAGTGAGCTTTTTTAATTTTTAAATTATTTTTTTTAAGTATGAGAGCAAACCACAGTGAGGACTATGTGAGTTGGTTAAAACTTTGACATAAAATACAGAGATTATCTTGCTAGAAAAACCAGAGGACAATGTTCAGTGCAACGACCATAGTAGGAAAATGAGGGGGAAAATTTCAGAAAGTCAAACTCTGAAGAAAGGAAGCCCCAAGTTTTTGGCATACTGATACTCTACACAAATCTGTAGCTGATGCTTGAACATATACATGAAGTAGACTTCATACCCTAATTAATGATAAAAGAACTCTGGCCAGGTGCAGTGGCTCACGACTGTAACCCTGTACTTTGGGAGGCCCAGGCAGGCTGATTGCTTGAGCCCAGGAGTTTGAGACCTGCCTGGGCAACATGATGAAATCTCATTTCGAAAAAAATACAAAAATTAAACAGGTGTGGTGGCACACACCTGTAGTCCCAGCTACTCCGGAGGCTGTGGTAGGAGGATCACTTGAGCCTGGGAGGCAGAAGTTGCAGTGAGCCGAGATTATGTCATTCCACTTTAGCCTGGGAAATGGGAAATAGAGTGAGACTCCATTTCAAAAAAATAAAAATAAAATAACTTCTATAACATATCATTCTCAATGTCCAGGGTACAATTCAAAATTACTTAAAATATGAAGTAACAACATAATGCTGGCCATTCTCAATTGAAAAGATAATCAATGGAGACCAAACCTCTAATGACTCATATGTTGAATTACTAGAGCATTTTAAATTATTTATTATAAATACATTCAATTATGTAAAGGAAAATATGCTCATGGTGAATGAAAAGACAAAGAAACAAAACCTATAGAAAGAAATTGATGGAAATTCTAGAATTAAAAATACAGTATCTGAAATAAAAATTTCACCACCTAGCTTAACATTAGAATGCAAATGACAGAGAAAAGAGAAGATAGGTAAGTAGAAATTATTTGATCTGAAGATGAGAAAAAAAATAGGGGGAAAAGGGAACAGGGCTTTCAGAACCTGTAGGACGATAGCAAATGGTCTCATAGATGTATATTTGAAGTCCCAGAGGAGATAATAGAAAGAATGACGCAGAAAAAAAAAAGCTTAAAGAAAAAGTTTATACATAATATTGGAAGGTATCTTTGTATCTTAAACTAAACCCCCAAAACACAAACCATAGGTGAAAATTGCATACAAACACTGCCTTGAAAATATCACATGCAGAAGCATTTGCATTAAATACATTCATGGAAATGAATGCACCTAGAAATTACTGATTTATTCCTCATAAATGTGTAGAATGAGAACAAGTTGACTGGGGAAAGTATAATCTATTTTTGCTATTTTTTCACTTATACATAAATCCTAATTAAGTCAACCATAAGACACTTATGCAGAGTGGCTTACCTGAATTGCTTTATACATATACCAACCCTCTGCATCATCACCTTTGGAAAATGGGATAACTTTTCAGAACTTTCATCCAACTCATATGAAGAGGAAAGGAAATAATTAGAGGGCCCAGCAGAGATTGGGGTAAATTTAAGAAAGGCGTTCCTGCCCTTCCTTGCTTCTGAGTCATCCTTGGGATAGATAGCTAAGCCAAGCAGGGATTCAGATACTAGGCATCAGGTAGTTGGGCTCCAGAATATTCCCAAATGGACTTCCAAACCAAAGGTGTTCTGAAAGCCAAGATGTACCTCTGGGATCTACACTGGAAAGTTCTGGCCAATTTTTCTTCCTTTCTGGAGTACTCTGTTGGTCTCAGAGGCAATTGCCTGGGCAAAATAAGCTCTTAAATGGTCTTAAATGTTAATGAGGCCTCTCACCAAAAGAATCAAACACAGTACCAGATTGGTGAGACTAGGGACTGCCTAACGTAAAAGCAGATACTTGTCTTAATTCATCACCTACTTTCTCTTTCCACAATACTTCCCTCCCTTTGGCCTATGTATTTCCTTCTACCAGAAAACCAGTGCTCTAAGACTGTTCCCAAATGCTCAGTCCTTCTAATTGAGTTAGCCTTTTTATATTCTCTCTGGCATAGCCCAGTGTTTTTTTTTTCCTTAATTTTCCCCAAAATTAGAGCTCACTATCCTCTGCCTCAGCCACTTAGGGTTCTGCTCATTACTAGCTAACAGAAGAGAATGAAAGTAGGAACAACTAAATAAGAAATGGCAAAGTGTGAAAACCTTCCCAGGTGTTTACATTGCGGCTCAGGGGTTCTGAGTCTCAACCCAAATGAATGAATCACTAGAACACTTATCTTACTCTAGAATGATTTATAGAAGAGCTGGTTTTAGAGAGAGCCTTGGACGGGAGACAGTTCAGTGGTCAGAGCTCTGAGGCTCTTACTAGCACTTTAGAAGCAGCTACTCTACTTTTTCTTTCTTTTATATTGGGTTTCTGAATAAAACTGAAGAAAGAAAAAATGTTCTACTCTTTTAAGTTTTAAAAAGAACAGAAACAAAGAAAAATCAGTGAAGTAGAGGGCTGTGGGTAGGAACTTCCTGACCATCCCTGGAGAATCTCTGAAGACATGAGCCCTAATGATGCCTCATTCTACATCAGAAAATCTGCATTTGTAGGCTGTCCCAGGCCAGTGAGGGTAAAGAGATGCGTCATGAGGGTAGAGGGAAGCATTACTTTACACTGCATCAACCGCAATATTTTTATTTTTGAAAGTCATTCTGCGCAGTCATTAAATAGCCTTGCAAATGTAAATCTTCCATACACACACACACCCCACATACACACACAACCCAAATCGTCATCTCTACTGCCAGTGTTGATCACTAACATTGTTCCTCAGAGGTATTGTAGAATTGCCATTATGACAGAATGGGTTCTTCTTTTTACTTTAAAACCTCTCTATCTGCTTACTTGCTAGAACCCCCTGCAGTGAACAAAGAAAACCTTGCAAAGGTTTATAGACACAGGTTGGATTCCCTAAGCAAAGAACACTGCAGGATGCTTTTACATGTAATGAGAACTCCCCAAATCCATAGTCTTAGAGGCATCCAGGTATCTAAATTACTGATGCATTAAATTCACTTAGGTAATATAATAGTAAATAAAATAGCCTTTAACACAAGCATTATTGGCCAGTTCCTAGGAGGTTTTGCAAGTTGAAATGTGTCTTCATAACCAAATTCCTTTGGTTTTCCTTTGTATCATTTCAACCTTGCATGCATAAATTAAGAATTAAAACTTGTTTAATAAACATTTAATGCAGGATATTTGTCATCAGAAGAAATGTTTGTTATTATACAAAGGCTTCTGTATCAAGACAGAACAGTAGCCAGAAATATTGTTTTAATTTCTTCAAATGTTTTAATCCAAGCAGTCTATGGGCAGAAGTAATACTGAGTCTAGCTCAGCTGAAAGATAGAAAGAAAAAAAGGAGGAAAGAAGGAAGAAAGGAAAGGAGGAAGGGAAGGAGAAAGGGAAGAAAGGAGAAAGATAGGGAGAGATGAAGGGAGGAAAGGAAAACAAGAAGGCTATCCATATTAGATTCCAGTTCTAAACCAGCACTTTACTTTCAGTATTTTCAAATTCCCTACTGAAGAGTTCAGTAGAGGATAATTGCAATATTGGAATCACTAAATCAACTTAAGTTCAATTAATGATCTGTAAACTTTGAAAGTGTTGGTTTTAGTGATTCTGTAGCATTCATGATTTCAAATGAATACATTTGAGATTATGAGAACTACTGTCTTGAAATGGAGGCAAAGGGAGACGGAGAACAGCCATGGTCACACTACATTATTATCCAATTGTGCTTAATGGAGAGTTCATAGTGAATGGGAATGATAAGAATTCTTGTTTCAGCCTATACTAATGTTTTGCTTTGCTTAAAAAGTTACTAACACATTGATTAAATACTCACTTTAGTATCAGAGTTATGGAAAATAATTATGATCTACTGAAGTCAGTGAAAAGAAACAAAGTTTAAACAATCATATCACCGGGTTTTAAATTTCTCGTCCTTAGAGATTACTTTTTCAGTAATAAAGTATGTTTAAATCTAATTAATAAATAATAAACTAGATAGTCATATCTTCTGCCCCTCATATCTCTTCCTCCTTCTTTTTCACCATTTTTTTTTCAATTAGTGGCATGGCCAGCTATAAACATATAATTAGTCTCTGGTAACATTGACTACTCATAGTTAGGGAGGCAGTAAATTGGTTTAGGGCCAACACTGACAAGTCACACAGTCCTGGACTCCCATCCAGTGTCCACCACTTACTAGCTTTGATGTCTTCAGAAAGTAACAGTGCTAAATTCAAGGTACTCTTACTTGTGAGATGGAAATTGCAAAGTTTACTCCCACATGTTTGATAGGATAATCAAATTAAATAATATATGGAACACCTTAGTAAAGTATCTGGCACATGGTAAGTACTCAACATAAGGAAATAGTTGAGGTTATTTTTAATTTTTTTATTGCATATAGGCATGATCTATCAATGGACATAATCTGAAATATAAGCACATTTTTATAACTTAGAAATTATATATTCTAAGCGCCCACATTCTGGAGATATAGGATAAATCTCAAGTAGATTTCCAGAGACGGGAGTAATTTCTCCAATGTCAAATGCTTGCTGGTGGCAGCATGGGTGGTAGAACGCGATTCAGCTGTTTCTCTGCCCCAGGCTTCTTCTATAACACTGTGTTTGCCTCATATACATCCATCAAACATCCATTGAGTATTTTCATAGGCCAGACAGTGCATTACACACCAAAAATCCCTACATGAATAAGATATGGTACCTGCCTGGGGAAGCTGACAGTTTAGAATCCCCACTACGTACTAATTCCTATTTCTACCAGTAGCTTCCTATTTCTATTTCTATTTCTACCAGTAGCTTCCTATTTCTACCAGTAGCTTCATTAAAGCAGAAGAATGGCAGCTCTTAATTCTTCATACAGCTCTTCTGAAAGGAGATTTTTCAGTTCCAGCAAACAACGAAGTCTATAATGAGTCTCTGGGTTCTGGTAAAATAGTCGCTGAGTTCTGTAACATGGAAAGCCTAGTGTAATGCTGGCCAAGTCACTTGCCTGGTGTGATTTGCCCTTTATCAGCTTCTTTCATTCTCAGCCATTCAAAGTGATACTTAGAAAGAGCAAGAATTATTCCTTTAATTTGCCAATTTTTATGACCATGGGTAAAAAAGTCAATTAGATGCTGTTAAATTGTAAAAGTACATTGTTGTTTAAAGCATAGAAATAAATCATGTGTTCAGACACAGCTGAGGAAGAAGTAGGGTTTATGATAAGATGCTCTAGAATGGCAGCCACATAGAATGGATGATGGCCCCAAATATAACACAATTTTTAAGATACACCCAGAGGCAGGGATAGTTCCAGCTCTCTCCTGTATCTCCCCATATTTTCTCTTCCACTCAAGAAAAAGTATTACACCTGAGTGAAAGCAATGATATTTACAGAGATGTAAGAGGCTCTGCTTTAGCTTATAACAAAAGAGAAGTCCTATCTACTTTGGTACAATAAATATTTCTCATTAACAGATTTTTTGTGACATACTTTATAGGACACACAAGCATGTAGTAATGCCAAGGTATGGAGCTTAGAAAAATATTCACTCTTTCTTCTAATCATGCTGCCAGACACACAACCTGGTCATCAATGGCTTCAGGCTGTGTTCAACTTACAGTGAGCACTATGTATATGTATATGTATATGTATATGTATATGTATATGTATATGTATATGTATATGTATATGTATGTATATGTATATGTATAGTAAGCATTATGGGTACAGCATGCAGAGGGCCCTTGGGAGAATGCACCAATGGCAATGGAGTCAGCACCATACTAGGTGCATATATCTCTCTCACTGGATGGGTGCTAATAAACAGCTATTCTTTCCCCTCTTTTTGAATGATCTAGTCTTGGTTTGAGCTGTGTTTTCTCTAAGTTGCTCCCTTCTATTAAATTCACAATTTTGGCTGTATCTGTTTGTCCAACTAAAAGCGTAAGTAAATACTTAAATATTTGATAGTTTTCTTTAACCTGGTTCACAATGTCTTACACATTTTATCCAAAGAAATAAAGCCAGTGAAATTAAGGTTTTATTTGTCTTCTAAGTCTTTTCTAGTTCATACTAAAATATTATTAAAATCTAAAATGTCAGAAGGCCTAGCCAGAGCAATCAAGCAAAAAAATAAATAAATAAAAGGCATCGAAATTAGAAAAGAGAAAGTCAAATTATCTCTGCTTGCTGATAACATGATCTTATACCTAGAAAACCCTAAAGACTCCTCCAAAAGACTCACAGACTTGATAAATGACTTCAGTGAATTTTTGGGTAATAAAATCTATGTATGAAAATTAGCAGCATTTCTATACACCAATAATATTCAAGCTGAGAACCAAATCAAGAACTCAATCCCATTTATGCTACACACACACACACACACACACACACACACACACAAATTACCTAGGAAAACATTTAACCAAGGATATGAAAGCTCTCTCCAAGGAGAACTACAAAACACTGATGAAAGATATCATAGACAACACAAGCAAATGGAAAAATATCCCAAGCTCATGGATTGGAAGAATTAATCTTGTTAAAATGACCATACTGCCTAAAGCAATATACACATTCAATGCAATTCCTATCATATTCCCAAGGTCTTTTTTCACAGAATTAGGAAAAAACCTATTCTAAAATTCATATGGAACTGAAAAAGAGCCAGAATAGCCAAAGCAATCCTAGACAGAAAGAACTAGGCTGGAGGCACCATATTACCTGACTTCAAATTATACTACAAGCTACAAGGCTATAGTAACCAAAAGAGCATGGTATTAGTTGAAAAAAAAAAAAAAGACACATAGACACATAGACCAATGGAACAGAATAGAGAACCAGTAAATAAAGCCACATAGCTACCACAAACTGATCTTCAACAATGTTGACAAAAATATACATTGGGGAAAAGATACCTTTTCAATACACGGTGCTGGGAAAATTGGATAGCCACATGCAGAGGAATGAACCTGGACCCTATCCTTTACTATATACAAAAATTAACTCAATATGGATTAGAGACTTAAATGTAAAACCTGAAACTATAAAAATCCTAGAAGAAAACCTAGGGAGAATTCTTCAGGACATTGGCCTAGGCAATGAATTTATGACTAAGATCTAAAAACAAATGCAACAAAAACAAAAATAGATGGTACTTAAAAAAAAAAAGCTTTCACACAGCAAAAGAAATAATCAACAGAGTAAACAGACAACCTAAAGAATGGGAGAAAATATTTGCAAACTATGCATCCAACAAAAGACTAATATCCAGAATCTACAATGAACTCAAACAACTCAACAAGAAAAAAACCAACTAACCCCATTTAAAAGTGACAGACATTTTTCGAAAAAAGATATACAAGTGGCAACAAACATATGAAATAATGCTCAACATTACTAATCATCAGGGAAATGCAAATTGAAATCACAATGAGATACCATCTTATACTAGTCAAAATTGCTATTATTAAAAAGACAAAAAACAACAGATGTTGAGGATGCAGAGAAACTGGAACACTTACTCACTGTTGGTGGGAATAAAAATTAGTACAACTTCTATGGAAAGCAGTGTGGAGATTTCTCAGAAAGCTAAAACTAGAACTACCATTTGACGCAGCAACCCCACTACTGAGTATCTACCCAAAGGACAAGAAATTATATCAAAAAGACATCTGCATGCATTTTTTATTGCATCACTATTTGCAATAGTGAAATCGTGGAAACAACCTAAGTATCCATCAATGGATGATTGGATAAAGAAAATGTGATATATATTATATATATATTATATATATAACATAATATATATATAATGGAATATTACACAGCCATAAAAGAGAATGAAATCATGTTTTTTGCAGCAGCATGAATGGAGCTGGAGGCCATTATCCTAAGTGAAATAACTCAGGAACAGAAAACTAAATATCACATGTTCTCATTTGTAAGTTGGGAGCTAAGCAATGAGCACACATGAACATACAGAGAGAAATAACAGAGACTGAGGGTCTCCAAAAGGGGGAAACGTGAGTGGAGGGATGTAAGTTGAAAACTTAACCATTGGGTATGATGTTAATTATTCAGGTGATGGGTACACTAGAAGCCTAAACTCCACCACTATGCAATATATCTACGTAACAAACCTGCACATGTACCCACTGCCTGCATCTATAAAATAAATGTTTTTATTTAAGAATGTCCATTGGTGCATCTCCCTAAAACATCTCATCCACCTTACCCCAGAAATGTGGTTTAGTGCCATAAGGGATATGTGCCAGTTGGGAAAATAGCACTATGAATTTTTTAAGCCACATTTTAAAAATGCAAGTATAACTGATTTTAGCACATGGAAAAACAATCTGTAAAGCACCGATCTAACTCAGTTTGCATGTCCCAAAAGATTACAAAAAGATAGTATTGTCAGACACTTTGCTGAAACAATAATGTTAGGCTAATTTTGCCCAAAATAATCGGTCTCAGGAATTTGATAGTTATTCACAACAGTGGACAGTTAATAACTTGTGATATCTTTCTCAGAAACCCCAGTCATCTCTTATAATCTATTAACAACATAATTAGAGAATATTTTCCAATACATTCTTCAGGGCCTCTTTCCTCTCAAGAAAAAGGACCCTCTTTGTTACCCAAGTCCATCAAGCCCACAGGGGAGATGTGGAAACAGTAAAAATTTCATGCCCCTTATCATGAGTGCGGTTATGAAGAGACCTCCTGGAAGATGAGTCTCTTGTCTCTCAAGCTGCCTACAGTCTAGCTGATAAGACTGAAGCTAACATATGTGAGATGAGAGAAAGAGAGAAAGAAGTAGAAGATAGTATATAGCCAAGGGCTCAATCAGGAGCCAGTGTCATTCAGCATCCAAGCAAAGAGAGAACAAGGAGAACAGAATCCCTAAGAAAGACTTTATGGAACAAGCAGAACTCAAGCTGACCCCATGATTGGTCACAGTTAGAGAACCAAAAAAGAAAAGCATGTCAGAAAAGAAAAAACATTAATGAGGATACAGACGCCAGTGGGAGTGAGCTGGTGCTTCCTATCCCCTTGCAGGACCAGGCAGAGGCTGGACTAATTGTTGCTGGGACTGCCAGCCCTGCGTTTGTTAAAATACATCATTGCCGAGATAAAAGCAAAGAGATTTAGCTTTCACAAAATAAAAACTTCCAGAAAAACTGAATGCATTCCCTTAGGGTAGAGTAAAGCATGGAGAATTTCAGCTCCAAAAGCAGAAGCTTTGAGTTAGAGATAATAGGGGGAACAGAATTGGAAGCCAGGACGTAGCCCTAGGAGGGAGCTCACCACTATGCACAGCAAATACACATTTTCCCCTTTTCTTTGCATTAACATTACATCCGCGCTCACATTTATTTCCTTGGGGATGGGTATCTGTTTTTCATTAGAACCCCCATTTTATCTTACTTTTTGGTATCCTTTCCCAATTATTAAATTTTATGCCAATTGATCTTATTAATAAAAGACCCCAGATTCAAGTAACACTTTTTTCTTGAGTTTGGATAGCTCAAGCCGACTAGGACTAGAGTCAGATCAATCACTTCTGTGGGCATTCATGAAGAAATCATCAGCGGATATTGTCTGGGAACCCAGTTCATGGTACAGAGACCCTGATACTGTGATTTTCCAAAGATTCTTTTCAAATCGGCCTTTGTCCTTCAACCTTCAATGCATTTAACACATAATTTTTAGCCACACACGCTGTCCTGTTCACAGGGTGCCAAACATCTGCTTGAAAGAAGAAAAATATCAACCCTAAATTGACATTTCCAAATACTCACATGTTTAGATATGTGAAAAGAAAACATTTGGGTTTTGGGGACGGTATTTATCCAAGTGATTTGACAATTCATATTGTTCCATCTGAATGTTCCTAGGAAAATGTGGATTCTTATTATTTGTCCATAATTTATTGTTATTTTAGTATTACCACTACATTGAAAAATAGCAATTTGGTCTTGAAAATTAACATTAACTTTGTACCACAATCCAAATTTTAAAAACTTTTTTTTAAAAAAACAAAGTACCTAATTTGCCTTCTCCTCTACTGAGTGGTAGAACTACTTAACATCATTAATGTATAAATAGTTTCTCATTTTGGGGGAATAGTCAATTAGCAAGCTTAACTACCCAAGCACATACATAAAGGACACTATATTAATGCTTTTAATTCTGATAACCTTGACAGAGACCATGACATCAACCTGAGACACACCTTCTTTCTCCATTAAAAACAAATATACTACTTTGATTTCAAAAGAAAAATGCAGCATCTCTCAATAAGCTTATGTAAGTAATTTAGTTCGGAGGGGTGGGAAGCTATATTTATAAAGATTTTAACTAAATTGAGAATAGGCCCTGGATTCAAATAGAAGAGTAAGGAAAAGAAAATAGGGAAAACAGGACCATTTATTACCATTACCTTTTAGAAAACACCCAACACTCTTGCACCAAGATGCAACACATTTGATGAGCGATCTCATTTCTGCATCATGATGTTTGCAAGGAGAAGAGTGTCCAGCATACAGATATCACTCTCAGAGATAGTCTGGGGAATTGGTTTTCCTCTTTGGGAAGCCATAAATCTTGTGGCTGTTTATCATGACCTAACAGGACCTCTCTCTGAAGGAATGGCAGGCGCATTCTGACTAATCTCTGACATCAGCCTGGGCTGGCTGGTAACGTGTGTTTACACAGAACTGTCTGAAAGCTGTGGCATGGGACAAGTGTCACAGCCCTGTCTTCTTTGGGCAGCCTAATTGACCATTGCTACCTAATACAGTAGGGAAGGGGCCCCGTGCCAGGCCAGGGAGACCTAGATAGGGAAAGGGAAGCAACTGCTTCTGAGGCCAAGTTTGAAATCAAAGGAAGGCGCGTATGATTAAACAGATCTCCAATGCTTATAATCAAAAATTCGATAAAATAAAAAAGTCTTATAGATTCTATTCCAGAGGGATCTTTAAAACCTAAAATGACAACAGGAGGTAGCTAAGATGGATAGAGTGAAATAAAAACTGCACATGGCCTAGGACTCAGGCTGCAAGAGGAACCAGGAGGAATCAGACCAGAAGAGCATCCTCCTCGGATAAAGAGCACCCAGGAGACAGGAAGAGAGATGGGGCCAGGAGGTGGAGGGAAGCTTCTGGAACAAACTGTAAAAGTGCATGGAGGGGCCTGCCAATGGTGGCATCAAGGAAAGTGGCTGGAAAATCAATATGGAAAGGAAAAAAATTTTTAAAGAAGTCTAGTGAAAAATGAAAAACAGCCTCATTAAAACATTTGGAAGTGATTATAAAAACCACCTTGAAATAATCAGTGTTAAACAGCTTCAGAAAAATGTACTGAGATTTAATTCAGTTAACTCTTTCGGTCCTACACTGATGTCGGCTCTCACAGGCACAACTTTATGCTAAATATACCCTTCTTCTCACTGTACCGGTTTTAAATAGGAACCATTGATGCAAAGAGGAAGTGACTCAAACAAAATTCAAAGAGATATGAATTAAAGAAACCATGCAAATTACCTCTGATTTTTTTCTTTAAATCATACAAACCAAAAAAGTACCCAAAACAACTCCATCATGATTGTACATAAAAGGAGCAGCTTAAAATAAAATGTTTGTAATCAACCAATGAAGAAACTATAATATTAAATCAGACTTTTTTTATTTATTTGTTAAATGACTCAATTTCCTTGGCCAGAAAAGAGGTCACAATGAAAATGAAGCTTGAGAAAAACAGCAACCAAGAACCAAGGCACGTGGCCATCCTGGCCCTTCCACTACACCTGGTCCCCTGTCCAGGAGTCACCGGCTGCCCTAAGTCAGAACTTCAAGGAGCCTATGAACATTAGGAATCCTGGGCAGATTCTGTGTGTGTTTGTTTATGCTTTTTCTTTCCCTGGGCAAAAGATCTGTTAACCTTTTGCAGCTTCCCAAAAGGAGTTTATGACTCAAAGAAAGTTTGAAGGTTTGAAGTCCCTTATTTGAATAAGTGACTGCTTTCACATTGTGATGGTGGTAGGGGCCAGTAGCCCCAAGGACCACCCCCTAAGTATTCTATCACCTGTTCCTTTAATGCTAAAAAAAATGCCACAATTAGAACTGTATTGCTGTTAGCTCACAACTAAATCCTGTTAAAATGAAAATCCTCTACATATATATGTATATATGTATATACATATATGTGTGTGTATATATGTATATGTGTGTATAGACATCCTCCAATAAAAGAAAAAAAAAGCATTTTGTATAATCCTCCAATAAAGAAATCAGGGCTTCTTGAATAGATGGCTGATTCTCTGACTGGGACATAATGAGCCTGGGGGCAACTTGTAGTACCAGAAAATAAAGAATTGCTAAAGTAAATAACTAAATAAAATGACCCTGGGAGGTTAGGGGTGTGTCAAAGGGAAATAGTAGCTACCTGAAATGGCTCCCAATGTTCTAAGCTGGAACAATTTGAGCAAAAATAAATAAAGTAGAATTGGACCCAAAGTATAAAATAAATAACCGAGAATCCATACTGACATAAATAAATGGTTGGATAAATAAATGGGAGAGAAGCAATAAATCCCTCACACAGAAGCATTCCAAATGCTATATCCTAGATGTAGAAGATATTCCTTCCTCAAGTTGGGGCAGGGGAGCTTCATTCCCTACTGCTTCAGTGTGAGCTGGGCTTACTGATTTCCTTCCAAAGAGTACAGCATGGAAAAAGGAGGATAAAAGAGTAACTTTACAATGGAGAAATCTGGCAAATACTACCTCAGCCAGGTGATTAAGGTGAGTATCAACAGTCATAAATCATGTCGATAAAATGTACCCTTGGTATGACATAATAAAAATGGCATTTTACCTCTGTGGTCTTCCTCCACCAAACCTTTCCATAACCCTAGTCGTGACAAAAACAGCAGATAAATCCAAGTAGAGAGGCGTCCTATAAAATACCTAACCAGAATTATGAAAGCCATCAAAAACGAGTAAAGTATGAGAATCTGTCACCACAAGAGGACCCAAAGGAGACATGACTAGTAAACTCCTAAATATCATGTGACATCCCTGTATGGAATCCTGGTACTGAAAAAGGACATTAGGTAAGAACAAAGGAAATAAAAATAAATATGGACTCTAGCTAATTGGGAAAAATAATGAGCTAGAAGGATACCTCCCAGTATTATGATACAAGCTGGGGAGAGCAGTGTTGGCCATAGACATGAAGAAAGTGTACAATGAGGCTGTGTGGTGGTTCAAAGGAATTCTAGAAGAATCCAAAATGCCTTATATTTTTTAAACAACACTGGTACCTTATGTGATGAGGGTGAATCTGGGTAGCAGGCATATTATTATTGCTATACTATTCCTTAATTTTTCCATAAGTTTTAAATTTATCATGAAAAATAAGTAAATGTGTTTGTCAAAAGCAGGAAGCAGGTAACCCTTTGAGCTGCAAGCTGTCATCTCTGTACAATGGTTTTCCAGCTGAGCTCTGTAGTCCCATTTTTCTTATCACCGTCTCAAGGACCAGAGCACAGGTATAGAAGGCTGAGTGGGCAGGACTCCAGAAACTACTGTTGCTTCAACCAGAGCAATCTGCTCCCAACTGTTTTATCAACTGGGGTGACTATGTAATAAGGAAGGATGCTCCCTCTTAAAATGGATACTGCTGGTTGTGATTTTTTTTCCTTAAGAACAGCATCCTCCAATTTTAGCAGGACATGTGGGCACTCAGAATAAAATTCACATTGCCCATGCTTCCTTGCAGGTAAGAGTGGTCATCTGACCATCTAAGTTATAGAAAGTAGGATGTAAAGTATCCTTAAAGGAAGTGTCATTCTCTCTCCTGCCCTTTCCTGCTTCCTTCTGGCTGAAATATTGGATGCGATGCCTATAGCTTTCAGATTTTGTGAACATCTGGAACTGTGAGTTGACCTTCGGAAAGTAAGGAACACACGGTGGAGCACCAAGATGCAATATGAGAAAGAAATCAACCTGTGTCTTATTCATTTGGTGATTTAATTTTTTTTCTATTCCTTGGAGCCTAATCTAGTTCTAGCATGTCTAAAGAAATGTCACTCATTTGGATGCATTAATTGGGACAGACTGTGGGCCCAAAAGAGGATTTCCTCTAATCTCATGGGTTAGGGTGTTGATGTATAAGGGAGGCTGGTTTGGGATATGAACTATCTCTGAGACAGGAAAACCTTCATGCCCTAGCTTCCCAGACACTGTGGGTGAGAATGCTTTGGACCAATGGCTGTAGATTGTGTTATGAAAGGGCAATTACCTAAATGGTAGCGCCATATGAGCAGGAGCACAGATGACCATAGCTCTGCCTAACACAGAGCAAAAGAAGTTTCCATTCACCCCTCACATCTACAGTCTACCACCAGCCAAAAAATGGTAGTGTGTGCAGGTAGGTCTCTGCTGTGGTATTCCATGGACACACAACTGCCATGGCTTAGGGACTACAGTCTCCACCAGTGACACCATGTGGCAGCAACAGCAATGACAGCAGTAGAGGTCTTGGCTCCTGGTAAATGCATTAGGCTATTTTGGATTTTTTCTTCATGTGGTGTCTTACATGTCATGGACTGAATATACACTTTTAGCATTGTTGGGTTTGTTATGGGAAGGAAGGGTCCAAGTAGAAAAGAGAAACATTTTCATGACACCACGAGGGAACTTAGCACCATTTAATTTGAATATGAAAAGAGAGATGACCTGGGTTTGAACTCCTACATGGTGAAGTGGGACATATTGGTTACATGTGTAAGATTTCATTTAACATAAGGTTTTGCTGCTAAAGTAAATTTGAAAAATCACTGCCTTATTGTGAATGAAGCCTGAGGACCTTAAAGTTAATGCGTTAAAACTCCAGACTTCAAATCAGACACACAGCGTTTGAATCCCAGCTCCCCTGCCTCTTTCTATGCTCATGGACAACTAATGTAATGTTTCTGAAGCTCCATTGCCTCTTCCAGACAACGGGATAACTACATCTAGCTTTCCTATTTGGGGAGTTAAGGAAGATATTGTGCACAATGGATATCCGTGTGTGAAAGTAGTTAAGGTGAGTTAGCAATCAAATGACAAAAAGTGATGAACTATGAGTGGTACATAGAATCATGACTCCCCAAAGATGTCTAGGTTTCAATCCCAGGAACCTGTGAATATGTCATCTCACATGGCAAAAGGAACCCAGTTACCGTAATGCAGGAGCTGGATCTGTTTTAAAAGAGTTTGGGTCTTTCAGAACCACCAAGCAGTGAAGAGATCCTGAGCCACTATACAGTTAGTATTTGTGGTTGGAATAATTATGCCACTATATGTGTGACATGACCATGGCCCTTGGAAAGGACAGACATGCACACCATAAACTAACACCAACATTATATTCAAAGAAAGGGACTCAGGAGCAATGACAGTTATTTCAGTCACAAGCACTCCAGAGAGAAGGCAGGAAGACATCATGGTATGAAGGGAAAGGAAATACCTTTTCTAACTCAGTCAGTACCAGTGTGATCCTTGGCATAACACACTATCCTGGAGCCTTAGTGTCAATGTATTTGAAGTGAAATTGAATAATATATGTGGCTATGAGGTCCCTACCCAACCTAACTTTTAAAGCCTCTAAGTGGTAAGAACTCCATTTTACTGTCAAAGAGCTCACTGTATTAACATTTCTTTCTCTATGGGTAAACAAGTAAAAAGGTTTATAACCAAGTTACTTTCCTCTTGATGAGCTTTTTGTATGTTTTCTTACTTTCTAAGAAAAGCGCTATATTTTACCAAATTTTACTATTATAATTCCAAACATGAGCCATGATTCTCTAGACCCATTAGCCCTGTTAAACTATTCCCTAAGATATCACAAAAAAATACTTGGTCCTTTTTCTTATCTGCAGTTTCTTCCAACGTTTTTTTCAATCTCCTCCAGCATTTTATTTGCCGCCAAACTGATTCACAAGCCCTCTAAACTGTGAGGCACTGAGGTTTCTGACCAACGTACCAAAAACCTGGGACTCTGGGTTATGTTGAAATGAAAAGGAGATAATTCCGCAACCCTGTTAAAACTACTAAGACAAGATAGTCTCCACAGAAACCAAATATTTAAATTCTAAAATATTGAGGGATAATAGAGTCATTATTATTAAAGTGAAATCATTCAAGCCTCCTTTTGTTGGATATGTTGATTCATTCTTTCTAGTCCTGTGAATTGGACCTCCTAGAATAACCTGATTGGGGCAAATTCAACACATTTTAGTTCAATTTTCTCCAATTCAAACACAACTTGCACAATGAGGTGAGTTTCTAACAATTCAAAGGAACAAACCATTAAATTAAAATTCCTAACTTGATTGTTTGAATCACACTGGGCTAAATTTACATTCTCCGTAACACTGTGGGAATTCACTCTGTGGGAGATTTTTCTAGCTACATTTTTTTAAGCAAACCTTTTCTTTTCTCTTCTTCTTTTTAAGGGTGAATTAGTTGTTGCTGTACCTTTAATGATAAGAAGAAAGAAATAAAACTGGGCTCCAGGAAAAAACAATGAGGCAATAATTTTGAAATTAAAATACAGCGCATGATATATCAATATAATTGTCCTGCGTATGTGGAGATAACTCCGCTTTGATGGTGTTATTTCCTGAGCACGCAAAACCTAATAAAATCTGGAGGCCTGAATTGATGAGAAATTCAGCGTTAGAGATTATGAAAAACACACACTCAAATAGCCAAACAAAATTACTGAAAAACAATTTTAGTGCAGAATTATTTATCTAAGTAATGCAGGAGGATTTATAAAGATCTCTCAACATTAAAATAAATTACTTAAAACACTTAACTTCTTTGACAAAGGAAAATGCGATTATGTAACTAGCTGTTTGACCTTGACCAAGTCAGTTAATGCTTCTGTGCCTCAGATTCCTTAATGTTTTCTTAATCATCCTTAAGGAAACTTTTAATTCTAAAATGTCTATGATTGTATGCTTGTAGTGACAGGTTTTTTCCCCTTATCTTTTATCCATCTCATTTCTTCAAAATGAAATCATTATTTATGGAATAGAAAAGATTCAGTAGTGACCAGCTCACCAATTGATAATATAAATGCCAAATTGCAACAGAATCAGCCATGAAAGCATACAAGCAACCACGAAGTATACGAGGGAAAAAATCATCACGATGCTAGCCTTCCCTACACAAATGTAGTTTAACCACTTATTTGTTTGATGTGACGTTGTGTGTCATTGAACTGTTCCAAGTCTATTTTCTTTTTCTCAAACATAAAATGGAGGTAATAACAGTATTTGCTGCACAGGATTACTGGGAGGCTTAAATGAAACCCCAATGCCTGCCATGCAATAAAAGCTCCATAAATATTTCCCATTACTACCATCATCATCATAAATATTACAGATAAACTCTCAGCTGTGATCACCATTTGGGGAATAAATTTGAAGGAACTGGACATTCCACTTTTAATGTGAACATTACAATTTAATGGAAGATAGGAAAAATTTGGTAGGAGAAATTCTTCCATCCTTTCCTTATAAATAATAGAACATTTGCTCAAACAAATAAGAACTAATTGTCTTACAACAAAGCAATACACTTTGACTGCATAGTCATAAAAAAATTTGTGAGCTATGTGATTCTGCTATGAAGAGAAAAGGTGAAGGAGAAAAAGGAAGAATAATTTTCTGTCTATGCCTTGGCATCTGTTCCCAGGCTTTGAATTATTTTCCCAACTAATTAACCCCTTCTACTTATAAACCCAGAAATCATACTTTATGAAAACTCTGAAGTTTTTCTTTTAATTTTCTTGGATTTTTGTTAACCTCTACTTCTTTTTACCCCACTAATCCCTCTTCCTCATACACACCCGCTGGATTTCTCACAGCTCACTTAAGAGTCATGAAGGTACAGTCTTCTTGCTTCTTCTGTCAGAATTTGATATATTATACCAAGGAATTTCTCTGGCCTCAAACTGCACTGGCAATTCCTAACCCCAAATTATTTGAGTGAGGCTAATTTATTTACATGACATTAATAACAGAGTTCATAACGTGGCTGTAGGTATTAAATAAAAAAGTAAAATTTTAGTAAATAGCTCAGGAGAGGAAGGTGCCCAGAGTGGAGTGAAGAGAAGAAGCCTAACAAGATGGAGGGATGGAGGTCTTAGCAACAGAAAAGACAATGGTCAATAATTGAGAAATTGTCCCTGGACCATGAATGCTATATGTCCTCATTAAAGATATTGATCATGCAATAACACAATGTGAACTGCTGTGTGTACCTGTTTCAATTCCGCACCCATACCCAACTTTTGTACAAATCTCTTATAAATTTCATTTTGTGTCATTGGTCCTTTGAAGGATAAGGTACCAAAGTGAATCTAGTGTTTGGAAGGCAAATTAGTGACAACAAGCTCAGAGACAGATACTAAAATAAAATAAAAAAAAAAAAAAACTAATTCCATAGAAGAAAACAGTTAGAGCCAGAAAAACCTAAGCCCTCAACCCAAGAATTTGGGGGTACATTAGAAGGGATCCTTGAGTTTTATCTCTATATATGGAATGAGAACTCAGGTGAATTTTATGTGAATGCCAAAGGACAGGGTACCCCAGTGGGCTGTTAGGTTGCAAAGGTAAAGTACTTGGCAAGTACTTGTATGCTTAAGTGCTCAACAAATACCAGCTATACTATTAGTGAAGGTTTTCCTTGTTTTGATTTTGGGTGATATTCTGGTTATTTAATATTTGCACCCAATATTTTCCCTCATAGTGCTTACCAACATTTGTAGCCACATATTTATTTTCATAGCCTAATTGATTATCCTTCTTTAATCTCGATGTGGCTTTTTAGAACATATACACTAGATCTCTTATACAGCTGCATACACATTGACAAACTTGTACTATTTAATTCTTCATTTTACCAAGCACAAAATCATACCACTTACGTACAATGTAATCAATCTATAGCTTTCTTTACTTTGTCATTTCTTCCTGACTACACTCTGGTCACCCCTAATAGATTCAGGAAATGTTCTAGTCTTAGAAAAAACAATCACAGGTTTCTTCTCAAAAAAGAAAACTTCTACAAATGTTGATAAAGTGGTATAAGATGGACTATGTTAGATGGAGGGAGAAAGAAAAAGGAAAGAGATTTCATAATCAGAAACCTGCATCAACCTCTAAGTGACCCAGTTGTTTATTGGTTAGGTTTCTTTATTGTAAGCAACAGAAACCAAATCTGGCTAACTTAGCCAAACACTAAAAATAAAATGGGATAGAAAAATTGTAATTTGTTAGCATCTATAACTGAAAAATTCAGTAGTAATATCTTTGTCATCATTCTATCTAGAGGCTTATATATTATCATTACTGTTTGGTTTCTCCCCATCTTTTTGTTCTGTATTCTTCCATGATGCTGTCATTATCTGGATCCATATAGTGATAAGAAAGTTGCCAGAAACTCTAGAACTATATCAACTAAGGTACAATTCTATTAGAAAAGACAGAATGCATCTTCCTGGACACTCAAGCAAAAGCCCTAGAGAGGACTTTGATTGAACTTGATTGACTAGCTTTTGTCCTAACTCAACAAAGCACTACGGCTGAGGAAAATGAACCCTGCTAATTAGCTTAAGCTTAAGTTACAGGCCAAATCATGGACTGAGAAAAGAGAGGAGGTTGTTTCTTGAAAGAAAATTAAGAATCTGATGTCTGGAAAATAGTAAATAACAATAACAATAATAATAATGTTAACATCTTGTTGGTCTTGTATGTCTGGAAGTCATTCTATACACTTTATTTATACTAACTCATTTAATCTTCACATGCAGGTACATATGATTATTATCTCATTTGGCAGATGAGGAAATTGAGGCTCAAAGTAGTTAAAAATAACATGACCAGAATAACTCACATAGTTCCTGACAGAGCTGAGATATGAACCCAGGCACTGTGGAGCCAGAATGTCTTCATAACCACTCTAATTCACTAAGTATACTATGTGTAGTAAGCAAAAAAATTAGTCAGTTAAAATTGTGTATTTTTACAGACTCTAGCTGTGTAATTATGCTCACTGATTTACCCTTCAGGCCCTACAAATAGTATTTGGCATATAAGAAGCATTTATTGAATGAATGGGTTAATAAATTAGTGAAAGAATAAGTGATTGGGGTATGAAATCTACAGCAATATATCTCAGCTAACTTTAAGCTTCAACTAAATTTTAAACTCCTGGGGACAGTCACACCTTGTGAGTTTTCTGTATTCTATCCAAAGGCGAACACAGTGTTAAGTATACAAGAGGTTCTTAAAAATGACTTCCCATTATTGAAAGCCTACCCTGCACAGTAAATCCTGCAGATTATTACAATTTAGGCTTTATAAAGATGTCCTATTTTAGAGATGACAAAAACTGATGCCAAGAAAGGTTAAGACACTCTCAAGGTCATATAACTAGTAATGAAAGTGCTGAGATTAGAACTCTCGTCTATTTTACCATCATGGAAGCTTTTTCCGACCTCATTTTCCACTGTGCTTCTTCCTTCACCAAGAGCTCACACTATAAGAGGTATCTATAGTGACCAAGTGCTCCTATACTTACGAGCTCTCATGAAGATACAGCTGTATGCATGAAAGTCCAAAAAAAATCTATATCAATATTTAAATTTAAAAAGCAAATTTTTGGAAACATGCACTAAAGGGAGAAAGGTGTGTTTTCTTTCATTACAGTGATAGAAAAAGAAAAGAAAGAGGACTTTTTAGAGAATTAATTGTCAAAGAAACCAATCTGATACCATGTTGGGAAGCTAAGCAGAAGGCTGTATCAAGTGACAAGTTCCAAAGACAAGTACCCTTTATTGAGAGTTATTTGACCTGCCTTAAGTCTCCTCAATTCAAATCTGGAATCTCTCAAGGGTGCTCAAATGTGTTCAGCAAGTCAACTGTAATAAAGACAATGAATGGGCTCCAGAACTTTCTGTTACTTAACTCATTGTGAAAAATCTTAAGGTTTTGTTTCTGTATTAGATTACTTGTCAGTTGAATCGAATGTTCAGAACTAATAATAAGGAATAAATCAGGAGAGAATGAATGCCTTTCTCCTCAAAGACCCCAATAATATGAAATTACTAGAGCTAGCTAAGTTGGAATATACTGAATAAATGAATATATTTATACATTGCAGATGGTGTGGAATGCTGCCAGTGATACCTTCGGGATAACTTAAAGTCTGGTTTTCCTAGGGGCAGACAGATAAAATAGCCCAAATAGAATCCCTTCAAACTTGAATCAAAGAGATGGAATGAAAATGTAAACTCATTTAAAAACTCGAAGGACTTATCTACTCTAATGCAAACCAAGGGAATAACTCAATACGTTTGGAAAAAAATACCGTTTCTTATCAAATCATCAGAGTAAAAAGGTCTTTGCAAAAATAAATAGACCCACAATGCCACCATACAGACTAAATATCTGAGACTGCATGTTCAAAGGCAAAGTGGAGTGGAGAAGAGATGAATCAATTTTTTTCTGTGATTCACATAAACTATTCTCCTTTTAAAGGTACTGGAGGCTCAGAATTAACCAGATTGGCAATGTTGATTTAGCTCACAGAGCAATTTAGAATTTTATTTTTATTGGAACCAAAAGGACATTTTAAGAAATCTAGTCCCACTTAACTCACAGTATAGCTCAGACAATCTAAGTTCAGAGGGATTAAGCTACCTGCCCAAGGTCACACCACTAGTTTAGCTGTAGAGGAAGAATAAATATCTAGGATGCCTAACTCCTAGCCACCTGTTTTTTTTACAACACACTATACTTGATTTGATATTTGTTTCTAATATATTTTCTCTGGGACAGCTTCATTCATGAAGACATATCTAAATATAAACAAGAAACAGAATTTTAGGGACTGAATTTAGTCACAAAAGAAAACAAAAAATCTGAACTTCTCCAAAATTGATCAAGGTATATTTAATCACCATTTCATCAAGATAATTTATTATACAACTGTGAAATTCACAGCATAGCTAAACTAAATATTTCACCTGATTTCATTTAGGAGTAATTTGGAACTACTGTTTCCCTAACATTAATCTTACTTGTCTGTATGATAATACAATAAATCTATTAATTTAGTAGGGCAAAACATTTTCTAAAGTATATATGTGTGTGTGACTTTATATATATATAGACATATAATAATCTAAACATGTGTTTATATAGTTATATATCCCCTTTGATGAGATAATGTTTTGTGTCTGTTCTGATGATGACCTCATTGTTATTACAGGGCTTCTTGACATTTTTGGAGTATAATCATTAAACATGTTTAGTTTCACAAAGATTATGCTCCAGTAAGAAAGGTATTTTATTCTTCCTTTCGTTAGTATAAAGCTTAAATATTCTTTTCATAAGTCTGACTCCCTGTCATCAGACAATCTATTTTAAATGAATTTTCCTTCTCTTGGTTCCAAAATGCAGATGGAGGCAGGAGCTCAAGAAAGATTGCTCCTTGGTTTTTAGACTGTCTTTTCAAAATAAGATGTAGATCTATCTTGCCACTCCTAAGGGCCTTTAAGAACCAGGTCACTCGTCCTGTTCTGACTGAATGCTGGCACTATAGCTAATGAAAACTACCCTATGGTTTGAATTAGACCTAACAGTCTTCACTTCCTGCCTTAATTTACAGATACAGCTTTTTTCAGGATAGTGTTGTATACAGTAAGACCTCTGCAACTGTGTAAACAGCTTTATCTGAAAGCTGGACACCCTAGGCACAATTGTTATTGATAAGAGTTAAAGGGATTATGGTTCAGATGCATTTTCAGTGTGAATGTGAAAAGTCTCATCAATTCCCTGAGATAACCAGTGTTAATCTCTTGATATCATCTATATTCTGCCATCTTTAACGATATCACATTTTGTTTTTTGGGGAGAGAAATTTATTTCTCCCTAATGAGTGAAGGGTCCAGAGTCAATAAAACACAGAATTACACAAACAGCCACAATCTCAAAGAAATTGCCAACTCCAGAGTTTGACTCTAATCTGAGTTTAAATAATAGCTTATTAGGAGGCAAAATACTCTGCATATGCAAATGTTCATCTCTCTAAGGCTAAAGGAAAGTGGAAAAGTGGATCCAGACTGCACCCAGCATATTAAACACATCTTCTTTTTATCTGAATTTTAATAATTCCAGCATATTCCTTGGATACAGAAACAGAGCCACTGAATTGTATCCTTAAACTCGACTGCAAAATCTACCACTTAGCGCTTCCATATTAGTAATGGTCTAAAAGGACATGGGAACTTTGGAGTGTTAAATCCCACATGAAACATACGGATTTCTCTACACCAAGACCTCCTATTGCACACTTAAGGTGTTACTGGGGTTTTCAGTGGAGCAATCAATAAATGATCACTGTTTGATTCGACCAAAATTTGAAAGACTTGAGTAAAGTAAAAGCAGCAAGTATTTGTTCACTTATTCATTCATTTATTCAACAAATATTGATCTGTACCTGGCCTTTTAAAGTTTCTAATCAGACAAGAAATTATGAGAAAATAATATTGCTGTCAAAGAAATTCACTGGTTTGTCTTGTCAAACTCTCAAATGACTGGTTTGTAACCTTATGGAGGAGAAGGCCCACAGACTCTGTAGAGAAATTATTGAAAGCTGTAAACCTTCAAAAATAACATCACCACTAACAAAAAGACACCTAAATCCAGACAAACACACAAATGTTTACATGCTACTTCAAGGGTTTTCAAGTGTTTCTAAAATTTACCCAAGGACACACGCTTAAGAACCACTGCTCTAGATTAAAGACCTAATCAATTAGCTAAAGGCTAATCAGTTAGCTGCCAGTGGTATACACCAAGGCAGTGTCATACTTTTTCCATCTTCAGCATTCACTTCAATACTGTATTCATCAGTGTTACCGAATTGAGAGATGACAACACTGATTTGGGTCTCTCTCTCTCTCTCTCTCTCTCACACACACACGCGCGCGCGCACCATTTGCTAAGTTCATTACCAGTTCATCACTTTATCATGGGGAAAAAACGCACTTTATCAAAATTTATAAATATTCAGCAGAAAAGGTAGAAGAGTGGTTCTCTTTTTTTGTATAGACTAGATAAACACAAACTGTTGCAATTCAAAAAGAATTTTAGAAGCCTTTAAAAATATTTTAAAGGCTAAGTTAAATGACAAATAGTACACTGTGTCTCTAGGGAGAGAAGAAAGAAAAAAATTAACATAATTATACATTGATAAAATCACTGAGTTCCAGACATTTTGTCTGAAAGAGCAGATTATATTTTACCTGGAACCTTCACTTTCATTAATTTCCCCCACCTCATTTCTGGTACTGCTTTCACCTTCATGGCTCTGGTCTTAGTCTAGACTCCAATCAATGACCTGGATGTGAAGGGATTCCTGGCTGGCAGATCACTGTTTCTGCAGCAGATCAATATCACAATGCTACAGTTCATGGAGCCTTGGCTCAACTAGTCTCTTCCAGATCTCAGAATGACAGCTTTGCTGATCTTTCCGAGCTCTAGCCTCATGTACTTATAAAACTAGGGAATGGCATTTGGGGAACCCAGGAGTGACAGGTACATTCTGTATGTGATAACTCTCACCATGAATAGTTTTCATGTTTAGTGTTTCCAAGGAAGAAGAATTTTCCTCTAGTACATCAAATGATCCTATATATAAATCAATTGGCATGGACAATTTTGATATTCATTAGGTAAATCAAATATATGAAGACAAATGTCTTGAACATCAACATATCAATGAAACATATAATTGATAATGTTAGCAAATTATTATTTATTTTTAGGCGTAATAATTGTCATGTAATTTTTTTACTTAATTTTTTTCATTTTTAATTTGTATAGGTACATAGTAGGTATATATATTTATAGGGTACATGAGATATTTTGATACAGGAATAAAATGCATAATAATCACATCATGATAAATGGGGTACCCATCACCTCAAGCATTTATCATTTATTTGTGTTACAAATATTACAATTATACTCTTTTACTTCTTTTTAAATATACAATAAATTATTGTTGACTCTACTCACCTTGTGCTATCAAATACTAGAGCTTATTCATTCTACCTAACTACATTTTTGTGCCCATTAACCAACCAAACATCTCCACCTGCACTACCCTTCCCAGCCTCTGATAACCATCATTCCACTCTCTATCTCCATAAGTTCAATTGTTTTAATTTTTAACTCCCACAAATAAGTGAGAACAAGTGATATGGTTTGGCTGTGTCCCCACCCAAATCTCATCTTGAATTGTAGCTCCCATAATTCCCATGTGTTGTGGGAGAAACCCACATGGTCTGTCCTTGAGAATGACTCACGTGCTGAAGAGAAGACTGTATATTCTGCAGCCATTGGATGAAATGTTCTGTAAATATCTATTAGGTCCATTTGGTTTGTAGTACACATTAAGTCCAATGTTTCTTTTTGATTTTGTGTCTGGATGATCTGTCCAATGCTGAAAGTAGAGTGCTGAAGTCTCCAGCTATTATTGTATTGGGGTCTATTTCTCTCTTTAGTTCTAGTAATATTTGCTTTATATATCTCTTTGTACCAGTGTTGGGTACATATATATTTTAAATTGTTATATCCTTTTGCTAAATTGACCCTTTTGTCATTATGTTATGACCTTCTTTGTCTCTTTTTATAGTTTTTGTCTTGAAATCTATTTGGCCTGATGTACTATAGCTACCCCAGCTCTTTTTTTAGTATGGAGTAGCTTTGTCTATCTCTTTATTTTCAGTCTATGTGTGTCTTTATAGGTGAAGTGAGTTTCTTGTAGACAATAGATCATTGGATCTTTTTTGTTTATTAATTTAGCCACTCTATGTCTTTTGATTTGAGAGTTTAGTCTGTTTACTTTCAGTGTTATTATTGATGATTTAGGACTTACTCCTGCCATTTTGTCATTTGTTTTCTGATTGTTTTGTGGTCTTATCTTCCTTCTTTCCTTCCTGTCTTCCTTTATGTGAAGTTGATTTTCTTTGGTTTTATGTTTTAATGTCTTGCTTTTTATTTTTTTTGTACCTGTTGTAGATTTTTTTATTTGAGGTTACCATGAGGCTTACAAATAATATCTTACAACTGATGGCAACTTAACCCTGATTGTAAAAACAAACAGATAAACTAACAAACAAGCAAAGAGAGAACTAATAAAAACTCTACACTTTAAATTCATCCCCACCACACACGCTTTAACTTTTTGCTGTTTCTATTTATATCTTATTTCACTGTTTATGTCTTGAAAAGTTCTTGTAGTTATTTTTTTATAGGTGAATCTTTTAGTCTTTTTACTCAAGATATAAGTAGTTTACACACCACAATTGCATTGTTATAACATTCTGTGTTTTTCTGTATACTGACTATTACCAGTGAGTTTTGCACCTTCAGGTAATTGCTTATTGCTCATTAACATCCTTTTCTTTCAGATTGAAGAGCTCCCTTTCACATTTCTTGTAGGGCAGGTCTGGGTTGATGAAATCCCTCAGCTTTTGTTTTTCTAAGAAAGTCATTTCTCCTTCATGCTTGAAGTATATTTTCTCTGGATATACCATTATTCTAGGGTAAAAGTTTTCTTCCTTCAGTATTTTAAATATGTCATGCCACTCTCTCTTGGCCTGTAAGGTTTTTGCTGAAAAGTCTGCTATCAAACGTATTGGAGCTCCTTTGTATAGTAATTGTTTCTTCTCTCTGGCTGTTCTTAGTATCCTTTCTTTATCCTTGACCTTTGGGAGTTTGATTAATAAATGCCTTGAGATAGTCTTATTTGGGTTAAATCTGCTTGGTGCTCTATAACCCTCCGTATTTGAATATTGGTATCATTCTATATATTTGGAAAGTTCTCTGTTATTATCCCTTTGAATAAACACTCTACCCCAATCTCTCTAACTCCTCTTTAAGGTCAATAACTTAGATTTGCCATTTTGAGGCTATTTTCTAGATCTTGTAGGCATACTTTTTTTTGGTTTTTGTTTTTTCTTTTATCTCTTCTCTGTATTTTCAAATAGCCTGTCTTCAAGCTCATGATTTCTTTATTCTGTTTGAAGGTGATGTCATTTTTCAGGAAAAGAAGCTCTTGTCATTTATAAACATATGCTGAAATATTACACATGAAATAATGCCATGTCCGATGTTTTCTTCAAACAATGTGGAGAGCAAGAAAGTTCTGAAGTATAGATGAAACCAATTTATTCTGGGCCAGGAATTGATAATGTAGAAACTGTGAGACACCACTTGAGAGTTTATTATAGTCTATTTTTTTGCATATCTTTGAAATTTTTTCATAATAAAGGTTTCTATAATTAAGAGATCATGAGAAAATGGAAACAACCCAAATATCCATTAACTAGCATATGGATAGATAACATGTAGTATATCCATATAATTGAATATTACTTGGCTATAAAAAGAAATGAAGTAATAATACATGCTACAGTATTGACAACCTTGAAAATGTATGGAAGTGTAAGAAAGACCACATATTGTATGATTTCATTTGTATGACATATCCAGAATAGTCAAACCTCTGAAAATAGAAAGTGGATTCATAGTTACCTAAGGCTGGCTGGGGAAAATGTGGGCATTTGGGGATGATGGCTCAGCGGAGTGGGGTTTCTTTTGGGGAGTAATAAAAATGTTCTAAAATTGATGTGGGGATGGATGCATAATTCTATGAATATACGGAAAGCCATTGGATTAGGCACTCCAAAAAGAAGATATATGGGGAATAATTTAGAAAACTTGAATATCACCTGTGTGTCAGACATCATTAGAGAAGCATGGTTAATTTTGTTAGAAGGGATAATGACACGGTAAACATGTAAGGAAATCTATTTTTTTATAAAAGCATCCCGAAATATCTAAGGATAAAACATTGTAATGTCTGGGATTTGCTTTAAATCACCTCAAAAAATAGATGGAAAAAATCTAAATAGTTGTTATATGTATGTTGTATATGGGACTTATTATAATTTTCTTCCCATGTATGTTTGAAATTTTGAAAAATTTGAAAAATGAAAAGAAACAAAGAGAAATCCATGAGCTATGGGGAAAGGAGACATTTTGAATCCAAATGGTTATTCCCAGGTGAATGTTGCCATCTTACACACAATAATACTTCCCTGTTAATACTGGAAGATAGTATTATGTGGTCAAATAAGACTGAGAAACAATGAATTAGAAAAGACTGGAAGACTTTTCAGCATCTTAACTATGTAAAGATACAAGATGGATCTCCAAGATTAAGGATATATTACCATAAAAGGTTTTTTTTCATGTACATGCTGTGTATTAGGTAATATAAATAGCAAGGAGGCAAGATCATTCTGTAAAAGACAGCTGATCATTTTGTTGATAACTATAACTTGTCTTTCTGCGATCAGTCCAGTCTTATACCAGTACTAATGTTTTAATTTAGAGGCAAGGAACTAATAATAGATTTGTTCAATTTTTTTTCAAATTTCTCACACTTCCATTTGCTTAAAATTATGTCTGTTATTCAGAACAACCCATGGTCCAGACTAATGATGCGAGGTTTGACTTGTATATTAGATTTTGCAAAACTTTAATGTTACTTAATTTATAAAGTTATGCCTTGTTACATGTTCAGGGAGCTAAGTTTTGTGAGGCTAGGGTATAGGGTTTTGATTGAGCAAACCAGAGATCCATGCTTCACAACTCCAGTGCTCCAAGTCATTCCAGTCTTTCAGAGTATATTGCATATTCATGGCACAGACATGTGGAACAAGCTCGATGTACAAACCTCCTAGAAATTTCATCATCACCTTGCATGAAAACTACCCTGTGAATCATGGGATACCAGCATTTAAGTGCTATTCTATGAACCATCCTTTTGCCTTCAGCTTCCAAGATTTTTTGGTAAACCCCTTAGCATTCAAGCCTTTTGGCAAAAGAATCACAGAACTTGAATTGCAAATTAGTTGTCATAATTCTGGATGCTGCAGTTAGCTCAGATACAATAATATATACCTACGAGACATTAAATCTTAGATACATTAAAATTTACATCAAGTGATTCCAAAAATGAGTATAAATAATTCAACTTTAACATTAAATCTTAGTTAGCATCAGATAAACTGGCCTATCTTGGGAAATAACCACTGAAGTCCTCTAGAGGCACTGTTGTGTCAGAGGGTTGAAAGTATCAAATCCAAAATCAGAAGGTATTCCAAGTTCAGCTTCGCTTTGTATTAGCTATTAAGACCTGGAACACCTTAGTTAACTTTCCTAATCCTCAATGATCCTTCTGAAAAATGAAATATAATAGTACCTACATCATAGGGTTTTTGTGAGGACTAAGTGAAATGTTATGTATAATATGCATAAAGTATTTAATACAGTGTTTGTACGTGGTATCTAAATATTCACTATTAGTAATTTTTATGCATATGTTATTTTTCTCAAAAAATAGTGTTCTACTAAACACACGTGGGGGTAACACTTATTTAGACAAAATTAACTTCTAATCCTAAGCATCAAGCACAGTACCCTTTATATGATGGGTATGTAAAATATGTTTATTTTATTTTATTTTATTTTTCTGTGACGTACTCTCGCTGTGTTGCCAAGCTGGAGTGCAGTGGCACAATCTCAGCTCACTGCAACCTCCGCCTCCCAGATTCAAAATTCTCCTTCCTCAGCATCCCAAGTAGCTGGGACTACAGGTGCGTGCCACCATGCCCGGTTAATTTTTGTACTTTTAGTAGAGATGGGTTTTCACCATGTTGGCCAGGATGGTCTCGATCTCTTGACCTTGTGATCTGCCCACCTTGGCCTCCCAAAGTGCTGGGATTATAGGCGTGAGCCACTGCACCCAGCCAAAGATGTTTATTTCTAAAAATGAAGGATAAATGATTAAATCAGAGCCTTCTAAGCCTATAGGTTAAGTCTTTGGGGGTTTTTAAGTTAGTGGCAGAAATGAAGCCTTTGCCCACCTCATATACATCCTACTAAAACAGAATAGGAATTCAGTTCTCTAAATAAAGCTTAATATGTTCCTGAAAAAAGCATCATAACCAAATTCCATGTTCCATTGGCATCAGAATGTCTTTGAATCTGATTATTATCTTAAGCCACATTCCAACGAGCCCAAAGTGCCCTGTGAGGAAAAATAATTACTCAATTGCTAGTAGTTGGCAGATCTCCCATTAAAAAAAAAAGACTTTAAAGTTGCCTTTGCACTCCTCATTTCAATACTAGTTAAATCAAAAGTGGATTGTGATTAAAATGGAGACATTTTTATGCACTAGCATTTACAGTATACGTTTTCTAAATTATATTCTTTTTGGTATTGTTTAATGAAAGGTTTAGTTCTTCTTGGTTTTTCCCTTCCATATGAATTAGGTTTTAAACTTTTCTTTCTCTAGTGAGAAAAATATTGTAGTTCTACACATGCCCCTACAGCCCTAAATGACATATGATCTACTGATGACGTCACTGCTCCTCATTTTCAGACTTTACATTTGGAAAATTCTTAAATGGAGAAGAATTACTGCTTAAAAACTGATCTATTTGTTTAAAATATTCAAAGAATAGGCCAGGCGCGATGGCTCACGCCTGTAATCCCAGTACTTTGGGAGGCCGAGGCGGGTGGATCACTTAAGGCCAGGCATTAGAGACCAGCCTGAAATGAAATGAAACCCTTTCTCTACTAAAAATACAAAAAATTAGCTGGGCATGGTGGTGGGTGCCTGTAATCCCAGCTACTCGGGAGGCTGAAGCAGGAGAATTGCTTGAACCCAGAAGGCGGAGGCTGCAGTCAGCCGAGATCGCACCACTGCACTCCAGCCTGGGAAATAAGAGCAAAACTCTGTCTCAAAAAAAAAAAAATCAAAGAATATAGAAGTTGGGAGTACAAATTTGTTCCAAATTCAGAGACACAAAAGTAGTGATTTGCTTTAAAAATTACATATTTAAAGAAAAGCAAAAAATGAAACATCTCTAATTTGCAGCCATTCTTAGGGATTTCTAAGTATCTTTCTGGGTTGAATTTAGAATATAGTTCCATAAATGAGAGAAACTTTTTTTTAAGTTTAAAAATATTTTAGTGGTCAATCCTGTAGTGCTCAAGCTTGGAGTAGCCAGAGGGAAGCGGGATGCATCATTTATTCTCAGGTTTGCCACATATTGGCTATATTCTAGCATTGGGCGCAGTCTCTCAAGGGATTTTTCCTCATCTGTAATACAGGGGATTGGGCTAAATGACCTCTAAAGTACTTTTTGGTGATATGACCCTATATTGGAAACAAAAAGATTGTGGGAAAATCTAAATCGTTGTGAACTGAAAGGCAAGTGAAGGAAGCTGTTGATAGTAAAACATTCTGAAATACCCCAGCTTTATTGAATGGAATCAGGCTATAATGAAAACAACATCTGGATGTGATTGTTTAAAACCAAATGCATAAAGGGAAATCCAAATTATGTTAGATGTTACACTGACTAACATCAGAAACTTGGGAAAAGAAACCATTTGGCAGAAAAAACAAGACAGAAATGGCCTATATGGAAAGAGTGGTTGCTATAAACCAGAGCATATTATTCAACATAGAGGAAATTAAAAGACGCTAAAGTCAAGGAAACTGACAAAGCCAGGAATGTGAACTATCCCATTAATACAACCCTTATGTTAGCCTAATTGACTTCAAAATATTTTATTCTATCTATAATACAAATTTATATCTCCATGATAGTCTAAATGATAGGCATCACCCAGACAAGAGTTCTGTCTTTAAAATGTTCAATTAGATTTACAGCTGCATTTGTCAGTCTGTTGTACATCTTTCTCTACCCTTTCCAGTAAAAACATTTGTAGTGGTTATGGCTACTAAATGTTCCCAAGTTGAGAACATTTTCAATAGTGAGTTTAAATATTTGTTAAAATTTTCTTTTTCTCTAATTTCACAATATTGGAAATCTCCCTGGGGCCATTTTTGTCAATACATCACTCAAAGCTCCACAACAGCAGAATCTTGTGAGGTGTATATCATGTCAAACGTAGACAGAAAGAAAAAAAAGCAAAAATAACTACCACTCATATCATTTACTGGGAACCCAATACATAAGCCCACCCTATAAGCCAAGATGTGTCAGGTGGGTGTTATCCTTGTATTATAGCTGAAAAAACTAAACTGAAGTTCCAAAATATTAACTATTAACTAACTTATTTAAAGTCCATTACCTGTCAAGTAGCAGGGTTAGAACATGAACCCGGTGTATCAGTCTCTAGAGTCTATGCTTACTCCGCTATGCCCTGCTGGAATTGACAGAGACAGGGTATAACATTATATATGCTTGCAAAATATGTGATTATGCATACAGGCACATTTCTCTGAGGTGAGACTCCATTGCTTGAATCAGCTTCTCGTAGAAGTCATGACCCCAAAAGGATTCAAAACCCCAACAGTGAATTCAGCAGATCCTGGCTGAATACCATTTCACTCTAGAAAAAATCAACAATAAAAGACAACTAGGTTCTAAGTACACATCCCATCACTTCACTTAAGTTCCCATCTGCATACTTTGTGTATACACAGTGCTCCAAAATTTACATAGCTTCTTGATCATCCTCACCACAGCCTTTCTAGAACCTTCTGTTTCGCTCAGGAGGAAACAGATACTCAGAGACAGTAGAAATTTCATGTGAGAGCACAGCACTAGCCAAGGCTGAACTTCTTCCTGGTCCACAGTTCAGATCTAGACGTCTTCCCATGTGGAGCATGGCATTTCTGAGAGCATGCCCTTGGGCGAGGCACCCAGGCACTCAGAGCCTCTGCTCTCTCTCTTTAGCTCTATCACTCTGAAATTACTGAGGCGCTGCCATATGCTCTAGAAAATATTACAGAGTCAAGAAAAGGAATTCCTAATCATTTCTTCTGTCCAAAAAAGAAGATTTTATATATATATATGTATTCAATCTCTTTTCCCTGATTAAGAACAGAGTGATTGTAAAGTAAAGTAACAAAACATTACCCCCACCCAAAAAATACCAGTTCCCTTCCCAGGCTACTAAAGGAGCCAACTACCCAGGAAAGCATTCTCGTTCCAACAGTTACCTACCAAAACAAAATTGCAACATTGATAGATGCCTAATTTATAAATCCACTTAGTCCCATATTTTTCTCACTCTTTCCAAAGTGTTTTGTTATATATCTACATATCTTTTAGGCCCTGTTCAATTTCCAAAAATAGTTGAATGTTTTATTACAAGCTTAAACCTGCCAAATGTGCACAAACTTTATCAGTTGCTAACCCCAAAAAAGGGACGGGGGGAAAATTGGGAGGAATGGAGGGACACATATAGGTATTGTAGAGTTATAGAGCTCTGATAACTTTTCTGGAGAGGACAGAGGAGAATAAGAGAAAGAAGAAAGAGAGAGACAGGGAGAGGGAGGGGAGAAGGGGAAGAAGGGAGAGAGGAGAGGGAGACACATTATTCTAGATAACCTACATGAAACCACAACTATCAAGAAAGTAAAGCAGGCAAATGATTCCCTTTGTCAGATCTTCTCCATGGAGTTAGTCCACTTCCTTTCCTCCATCTGTTCTATGGTACAGCGTGGAGATGTGTGCCTTGGGGCAAATGTTCAGGTTGGTGAATCTATACAGGCTATGACCATATGCCTACTTGTCTGTTTGTTCTTTAGCCAATTTGAACAGCCCTGTTTAGATGATTTGGGAACCAGTGATCAAAGATATTGCTTCTTGTGCCATTATGCATATTTCAATAAATCAAACTCCTCTAAAAGCTACCATTCCAGATTTCCAAGTTGAGAAGACAGAGAAATTGGCTCTAGTGTGTTGGGCCCGTGCCAGGGAGTTTCTCCATCTCAGCATGACAGAAACGTGATGTAGAATATCTTTTTTTGCATGTCATCTACCAATGACCCCTGAAAATTTTCAATGAGAGGATTTTAACTCTTAGATTCATGCCTTTTACAGGTTAATGGCTATGCCTTTAACAAGTGCTCTTTAAATAAGAAAAAAAAGGTAAAGCAGACTAATTTAAATCTTAAACAAATTGTGATGATTGCCTCTAATAACAACACTCTCCCTTTAAGTTGTCCTTTAAGGTGATACCTCTAATCTCCTTAGGACACACCCCTCTCTTTAACCTCCCTTCACAACTCAAATACATCATGCCTTTTCCTGTATAAACTTCCCTCGATCCAGCCTCCTGTTCCTGGGCTGTTTATAGAAACAGATAAAGAACTCACTTTGTTCTTTTACCCGTGTAGCACAGATGTGTCCAAAATCAAAGTCACAGGTCCCATGGGCAGAGAACAGAGGAAGGGAGGGAGAATGATTTATGATAGTCAAAGTGTGGGATGGTGCAGGAAGATAAGAGAATAAAGCAATTTCTTGCCTGAGCCTTGTTCTCAAGGATGATTAAAAATAAATAGCTAATCTTTCCTTCTGCTTGAGTGAAAGACTTATACTGACGTTGGTGGAGAGGGAGGCCATTACTTCTCATAAGTATTTTTGAAATCAAATCATTCAAAACAAATGTTTATTGAATATTTACTATGTACATGACTTTTTTAATAATTTCACCTGCTGTACTTGAACTAGGTCAGCTTTATCTCATGTTTAGCTGATTTTTGCCTTTTTTTCTTATCCCTCCTGGATTTTCTAACCTAGAGTCCTGCTCAACTCCGATTTTCTCATTTTATTCTAAGCTAATATAACATTTTATTAAACATTGGCTGTTAGGCATAGAAGCTTTTTCCCCACCTACAAGTACACTGAGTAGTTGTTTGGGGTAGATATTTACTAAGTAATGCACTACGGTTCTTTATAAATCCCTTTTATCAGCAGGCCAACTTAATGTGAAAGTTAAGGGCTTTGTGCAAACTTCAAGGTAAATTTGGTCTTCCCAAAAGCTTTCTCAAGAAGGCCCACACCTTCCCAGTTTTAAGAGCTGTAAACTTCTTTATGGTGTGACTGGGTCTTGAATTTCACTTGTATTCCTCAGAAGCGCAGGGATATAAATGGAACACAAAACAGAAACTCAATAGATACATATGTAAGTAGACTTTATTCCTTCCTTTTCTAGATGTTATTTCTTTCTGGAAGCTGAGATCTCTCTCTTTTTAGCTGGTATGTGAAAGTGACTTTAATTAAGCTTTATGGGTGGTATTATCAGAGATTTGTCCTGCAAGTGTAACCCAGCTTCATAAAAAACAAGGTAAATCTCTATGTGTGTTTGCATGTGTGTATATGTGTGTATTAAATATAATGTATTACACATCATATACAATTATAAGCAAGCAATCAAATATAAATAAACAAATATAACAATTTGTTACGGACTTAAGAAAGAAAACACACTTAAATGGCAGGCAGTGGAGCTGCAGAGCAAGGAATGAAAATGAGCCGTGATGGATAAAAGAGCCCACAGAGAACACAGTCACATCCTCCCCCTGGGTCTAATAATGAGCACCTCCCTCAGACAGCTATGGTGAAGATTAAATGAGATAATACATGTAAAGTGTTTGGAAGTGCACCTGGCACTCAGTAAGTGCTCAATAAAGATTATTACTATTGAATTTTAGGTGCTTAATGTGTGCCTGTGAGTAGGAGGTGCTGGGAATACAATGATGAATAAGAATAAGCACTTGTGGAGTGAAATAAACATAAAACAAAGAAATATGCAAATGTAATAATTTCACATTCTGCCAGTTCATATGGTGAAAAAACAAATAGAATGCTGAGAGCAAAAGTAATGAGCAGGTACACCCCTCCATTGCATGGCCAGGGAAGGGCTGAGGAAGGGACACTTACACTGGTTTGGGGACCTCAGCTGAGATGTCTTCCACTGTGACTTCTTGTGTTCCTTCTCCAAAAATAATTTAAAAATTAATAAAATTTTGTAAATGTTGTCTTTCCCCCTTCTTTAATCATATCCTCAAAGTCACTTATAAATTCTATTCTTATAGAATAGAACTACATATTCCCTATGAACCAAGCTCAGTTCACAGTGATCTCTGTATTTTTTTTCTAACTAGTGACTAAATGCTCTATTTTTTGGCCTCAGACAGATCTGGGTTGAAATCCCACTTCCTAGCTGTGTGTCTCTGGCCATTTTCTTCATCTGTTAAAAATGTGGAAAATAAAATATCCTGCTTCATAGAGATATCATGGAGATAAATGAAATAATTTAAGCTCTTGTATTATTATTATTATTTTGAGACAGAGTCTCGCTCTATCGCCTAGGCTGAAGTGCAGTGGGACAATCTCGGCTCACTCTCCGCCTCCCGGATTCGAGTGATTCTCCTGCCTCAGCCTCCTTAGTAGCTGGAACTATAGGCACCCACCACCACACCCAGCTAATTTTTTTGTATTTTTAGTAGAGATGGGGTTTCACCATGTTGGCTAGGCTAGTGTCAAACTCCTGACCTCAGATGATCAGCCTGCCTCTGCCTCCCAAAGGGCTGGGATTATAGGCGTGAGCCACCACGCCCGGCCAGAAATAATTTAAGTTCTTATCACAGTTAACACTGACGCAGAGTTAAGTGCTCAATAAACAGAGAGTACTTACAATAAAAATTAGAACTTTATTAACAACTTTAGTAGTTTTATTATCGAGCAACTGTGGCCATATTGCCCTTTTTGCTGCTCTTCCTAATTATACTTATTTCACCTTTGTCAATACAAACTCTTTCCAAAAGAAAAAAAGAAATGAAAAATCAAATAAGTAATCCTCAAGTTCTTAGCTTTAAACTTAATTTGTGGACACTTAATTGAGGAGTTGTGTAGAGCCCATCTGGTTTATTTCCTTTATGTGAATATCAGTCTCCCCTATGTCGCCAAGTAGTTGCTGGCCACTGAGACAGTCCATGCTGTTGTCTATATAAATGCTAAACCTTCCAAATGCACAGCCTACAAAAAGCAAGGGAAAGGAATCACTCTATAGAGTGTTGTTGATAGACTGTTGAGCAGTATCTGATGTCCCAGCCCAACTTCTTCCAGTTTTGTTAGAATGATGACTTATTCTTTTACTTTTTTTTCTAAAACAAAATAAACCAACAAAAAGTGCCAGTTATCCCTCTAAGTCATTGGTATTCAAAGCCAACATTCACTCTTGCCATATATCATCACAGTGTACCTGAAGGCCATCACTCCCCTTTTACAGTACATATTGACATACCCTCAAACAGTTGCAGAGTATTCTACCATGACTATAACAACAATTGAAAATATTATACCAACAATTGAAAATATTATCCAGTGCTTTTTTTTTAAATTTCAACTTTTATTTTGGATTCAGAGAATATATGTGCAGGTTTGTTACGGCATGATGCTCAGGTTTGGGGTATGAATGATCCCAACACCCTGGTAGTGAGCATAGTACCCAATAGGTAGTTTTTCAGCCCTTGCCCCTCTCCCTCTCTCCCTGCTCTAGCAGTTCTCAGTGTCTGTTGTTTCCGTCTTTATATCTGTGTGTACCCGATGCTTAGCTTCCACTTATAACTGAGAACCTTGTCCAGTGCTATTTTATAGTGAAAATTCTACTTTGCTGCCATCAACTTACCAAGCCCCTGTATACACATAGGCAGTGGGTATAATTACCTGACCCCAAATGATTTATAGAATACCCTTGCCAACAAGAGTTACTATTTTGGCCCTCTGGAACTTATCAAGGCTTTTTGGTGTCTATTTCCTCATACCATCTTCCCAGTTCTGTGAAGTATGGCAGCTGTCATAGTCCCCATTCACAGATGGAGAAAAATGAAATTGTAGAGCTATAGAGAATTTCTGAGAGCCACTATCAATAATATTTACTCTTTGCAAGTCACTCATTAACAGGCCATCTGAAAGAGTATAGCCTGGAAAGGTCCTCTCATTTTGATGAAATAGGAAGCAAATGTTTTCAAACAGTGTTCAGTTGGAATATGCATTTGCAAAGCAAAAAAGCTTACAGCACATATAGCACATACACCAGTGTAGTCCTCAGACTCATTGATCTTGCCTGGTTTGGTCATCCCATTAGATGAAAGCATGGAGAGAAAGAAGCCTGGATCACAAGTGAGACCCTCTTCCAGGTGAGTTACACTCTCCACGTGCAAAATCTGTCTCTCTTCTAGGAAGCCCCACCCCTAAGCCCAGCTGGCTGTTTCATGAATCCATGTTTCTGATCACAGGGGCAACTAGGTGAGGCAGTGTGAACACCTCAAAGCAGGCCCATCATCACTTCTAGAAGCTCCTCTACGCACATGCCCTTTCGCCTCTTGGCACAAAGAAGGGGCAGAATCTTTCAAATACATCAGTAGAGAATACAAAATCTTTGCTCACAGAAGTCTTACCTTAAAAATAGAAACTCGTAGTTCTTTTACATCACCATGAAAGAGTAGACATTTTTAAAATACTATAGAACAGTGGTCCACAAACCACAGCCTGCCATCTGTTTTTATAAATAAAGTTTTATTGGAACATAGCCACGTCTATTCATTTACAGTTTGTCTATGGTTTTCATGCTATAATGGCAGAGATTTTATGGCCCACAAAACCTAAAATATTTACTATCTGGCCTTTCACAGAACACATTTGCTGGCCCCTGCTATATAATGTAGTCCCAGAGTTTGAGGCAGAATAGCATCCTCGCTTAAAGCATGGGCTCTGAAGTCAGTATTCGATGTTTAAAGCCTAGTTCTGCTGCCAAGTAACTGAAACTTTGAAAAAGTATTTAACTTCTCTGGGCCTCAGTGTCTTTATCTGTAAAATAAGAAGATTAACAGCATTTACTGGAGAAACGTATTGTAAAGATTAATTGAAATAATATATCTAATGGGTTTAGAATACTGCCTGGCATAAGACATCATTACTGGCATCACATTGGCAACAGCTGTATCAATTTAACTCAAAGAGAAAAGATTCAGCTGAGTTTCAAATGGCACTTAAACATGCTTGTAAGAATTTCCAAGATTCATCACTGTGTTATACAAAGGGAGTTCTCAGGTTATTTCCAATGACAGGCAATAGGCTGACATAAATGACAGCTTAAGTACACAGCCATTTTATATCCTTCTCTCACTCTATCCCCCAACCATTGCTTTTGATTTCAATAGCTTATGTCTACATATATCATACATTAGTCTGTACTCAGACATTCAGACTTCAAATTATTTGATCTTCAAACTTGTCATTCTTCATGTTTTTCTTCCTCATCTCATCTCCCTTGGCCTTATTTTATTTTTTATTCCCATTTTTATTCCCATTTTATTCCCATTTTTATTACTCATTCCTTAATACCGATTCTACAGCACCCACAAATTCTCTAGGTTGTGCAGAGTGCTGGAGAAAAGAACCCTAACACTTCTCCTTAAGCCAATGACGCACAAGTGTTAATGCAATAAAATCCCTAGTGAGCATATTTTAAATGCTACTGCAACCCACACAGAATCCGATTTCATAGGGCTGGGATGGGCCTAGAAGCTGCTTTGTTTAGTAGGAAGCATACGGCTGATTCTGACATAGGTCACCTGTGGATCACACTGCCCTTCTCTTCTTTCCCCTACTATTAAGAAAGTAGCTTTCTGAACTCAACACACGCATCTCATGTCCTCTTCTCTATGAAAAAACTGGTTTTTATGTATTAGTGGTTGCGGGGGGTGGAAGTCGGGTTAATATTTTTATGGATGTACATTGGTCACAACTATATGGTATGAATGGACTTACTGAAAATAAAACAGAACTTTATGCCTGCAAGTAAGATCAGCACAGATTTTCTGAGATGTGTAATGATGCATACCATGGACCAAAGGGTAAAATTAAGCTCATAAGACTTTTCAGCTGTATTTGGTACTTTGGAACATGAGGGTCCTTACAGATCAATTTAAACTATCCAGACGAACTACCTGATTTAGTAATAACAGGATTTTTTTTTCTGACTTTGCAAGTTTCAATTTATAACTCCAAGTTTGGGAAAACCATCTCAAGTTAAAGACTGGTTTTGAAAATCATTCTGTGCACCACCCCCTACTCAACGATGCAATGCATTATTGGTAATAAGCTGAAGGCATACAGCTCTGCCAAGATTTACTTCCTGTTTCTACTCAGGCTGGTTTAGTATTATTTTCCAATGTTCCAAAATTGCATGTCAGAATTTATTTGAAAACATAATAATTTGGAAGTGGATATCTTGCTAATTGGAGCATCTGTCTCTAGCTATAGCTCTTTTCTTCTCTTTGTGACATCCTGATTTACAATGATCATCTCACCTTCTCTTTGTGACATCCTGATTTACAATTATCAGATATTGCACAGTATTTAGGAATAATGCTGAACCTTTTTCTGTCTCTGGAATAACATAAAGTCATGTGGGTTATGCGATTATTCTACTACCTAAGAATTATCTCTATAGTTTGTACCCTGCTGGTTTGGTTGGTTGCCAAAGTGGTGATTTATATTTGCTTGCTTCTAGACTATGCTATTGCAATGCTTTCATAGGCAGACTGATTAGATTTTGCACAAAAAGAAACGAACACAGTTCACTTAATGAAATGTGTTATACATTGGTCCCTGTTTTCTTAGGTGTTCTCATGCCATCCATTTTGAGGTGAGATATAGAATCCATACCACTGAAGTAAAAACTCCAATTCCTATTGATTACTTTGAAGATTGTAAATTCTATGTTTCTAGAATTAAAATTATGTCTTACATCTGGCATAGCAAAAGAGCTGCTGATATTTTGATAATTGGAAGTTTTATTCAAACAACCATATAAACCAGAACTGATTTTGTTGCTGCTCATAGTTTTTATGCAGTTGCCATTTAGGTTTCAACATGGTGTATACATGCAACCTTATTCTTATAGTGTTGGGCCCTTTGGACTGCCTGGCATGAAGGAAATATGGTTCTGAAGAAGAAGAAGGTTTCTCACATAGTCTAACTTTCTTCCCCATGCAGCGAACCCACATCCAGCAACCCTGACTGATAGCTCTTCTGCATCCCCCAGTTACCTTCAATGACTAAGAGTTCAGTACTTTAAATGCAGCTGATACTGCTGTGAAAAATTTCTAATTGCTGATCCCTTCTTCTTTGTCAATAGGATCTCAAGTATCCTCGTGGTACTTTCCAACCTGTATTCTAGTTTTATTTTTCTTTCTTCTGCAGCACTTGTTATAGACTGAATGTTTGTGTTTGCCACAATTCATATGTTGAAACCCTTACCTCCAATGTGATGGTATGGTATCGTATTTGGAGATGGGGCCCTTGGTAGGTAATTAGGTCATGAGAGTGGAACCCTCATGATGAGATTAGTGTCCTTATAAGAAAAGACTAGAGTTTGTGCTCTCTCTCCCTCCCTGTCCCTCTCCCTTGACCCCCTCCATTTCCCTCGTTTTCTCTCCCTCTTTCTCCCCACCCACCCCCCTTTACCAAATAAGGAAACAAGTTGGCCAACTGTAAACCTGAAAGAGGATCTTCCCCAAGAACTCAACCATGCTGGCCCCCTGATCTGCAACTTCCAGGCTCCAGAACTGTGATAAATAAACATTGGTTGTTTAATCCACCAAATCTATGGTATTTTGATTATAGCAGCTACTACTAAGACACAAAGATTTCCACATGGTAACCATTCTAATAAAAAGACAATTAAATTTCTCTTAAGCTCTTTCTCCAGACTAAGCCTGCCCAATTTCTTTGGCTGTCCCTCACATTCATAGTTCTTAAATATTTCACTTTTGTGCTCAGATTTTTAGGAATCACTTATCTTTATCAGTTTCTCTCCCTGCCACTAATCAGCCCATGTGTTTCAGAAAATATTACTTAACTATTTCCCAATTTATAACAGACCTGCATAGGCTGATCCTTCCTACTCAAAAACTCTAGATTCTAAGAAATCCACAAAAGAAACTCGATGTAGAGAAAAAGATGAATCAGGCAAAGCACTCTGCACAACTCCATGGGAGAAAAAAAACATTAAATTTTGACCAGGTGTGGTGGCTTACCCCTGTAATCCCAGCACTTTGGGAGGCCGAGGTGGGAGGATCACTTGAGGTCAGGAGTTCAAGACCAGCCTGACCAACATGGTGAAACCCCGTCTCTACTAAAAATACAAAAATTAGCCGGGCAGTAGTGGCACGTGCCTGTAATCCCAGCTACTCAGGAGGCTAAGGCAGGAGAACACTTGAGCCTGGAAGGAGGACATTGCAGATAGTGCCACTGCATTCCAGCCTGGGCAACAGAGTGAGGTCTTGTCTCAAAAACAAAAAACAAAACAAAAAAACCATTAAATTTTATGTATATACCCAAAAGGATTAATGACTCAAGCTTCCTATTTATTTCCTAAAAGAATGGGCATATAAGTTTGAAAGGATATGACTCAAATTATAATATAATTATTCTGGGGTAAAAGTATTGTATTAATAGATATTTTCTTTTTGTTGTTTCTGCTTATTTAAAAGTTCTAATTTTTTCTACACTGAGCTAGCATTGTTTATGTAAATCTTTTTAAGGCAGTCACAAGCAAGACCAACTATTCTTAAACAGATTTGCCAATTAATTATTATGGGATAGATAACTTCCAAATGTTCAAACTCTGGGCATTAAAAAAACTTAGAAACCACATTTTAAAACTTTTTTGTATAAAGCAATGATTGTTTTATAACTGAGGAGGAATCATAAGAAATTATCTATGACCCTAAAGTAAAGGCAAGAATTTTGAACAAATAATTCATCTGAAACATTCAGGCAAAAACACTGCCTCTGGCTACATTGTTTTAAATCCATTTCTTGTGAAATCTTAATGTGGAAGATACACATACAATGATGTTAGCCTACGGTAACATGCAACAGAAAATGTATTATTAAATATGGAATACTTATAAGCATCCTTACACAAAAATGCCCAAAGTAGCCGCCTAAATTGAGACATCTAGAAAATGAAGGCATTATGTGTTGACCTGGGATAATTTGCTATGATGCTGGTAATTTTCTATTCATTTTCTTCAGTACTTTTCAAAGACTATTGTATTTAAAAACCAAATTGCTGGTACCATGCAATTTGAAAAAAAAAATACATCAAGTACACAAATTACTGGAGACAAATGCTTCCTGTATTTTCCAACCAAGTTAGATCCACAGAAAATGTCATGTCAAAATCTTGCAGGGTCATCCTTTATATATTTGTGGATGAATTTATTACCTTATTACCCAGACCATCCCCATTATAGAGCAAAAGTACCGCCTGTGTAATGGAAGCTTATGCAAACATTGATTTCTCATGGTTAACTTCCAGACGTCTTCAGACTATTCTTGTGCACTCTCACAGCTTATCTCTTCACCCGGCAGCAGACAAGGGAGTTAATACACAGCGCGTGTGTGTCCATTTCCGTTAACACAATGCACGGGCTATCAGTCGCTATTAATTCCAGGAGGGTAAGGGCAGGGCAGAGGGCAGGCAAAGAGGAATCTCAGCGAAACAGCAAAAAGAATATGCGCTGTCGGATCTCTTTCTGTCAAACAGTTCAGTTGTGCACCACTGATCTTTTAAAGTCTGTGTTTGCACTACCTTCAATTACTTGCTGAAAGCAGCCCAGATTGGGTTGTACATGTCATTGTTTGTATAGCATAGAAACATGAATTAAATCTGTCAGTCTTTTGATCTGCATGCCAAGTCAACAGTGTACTCATTGTAAGGACTTACCAAAAAAAAAAAAAAAAAAAAAAAAAAAAGACTCACCTCTCTGTGTTCTGCCACGAAGAAGAGAGGAAACAATTTTTGCCCTTTTGCCTTTTTTTTTTAACACTCTTCCTGTAATATTCTTTTAAAAAGTGTCATTTATTTGTCAGTAGGAGAAAAAAAAACCTTGTCAGATACAGTTCTTAATTATAGATTTTGAGGTCTGTGAAGGCTTGTGTTACCTCTTTCTATTCAGTATACAGCTACACGAGTAACAGAGAAAGGTAAAGAGTAACACAAGGAAAATGCTGTTTCGCACAGGTCCTGGTACAGGTAAAATTCCTTCTCTTGGAATTTTTTATAAAATTGAATGTTCTGGAAACAGACAGAACATCAGACAATCTCTTGGGAAGAAAACAGAGAAGACACTGATCTCCATTCAAGCTGAAGTTCAACATTAAAAAAAAGAGAAGCCCTACCGGACAAATTAAGTTGGTACTCTTGATTCTGTTTAATCCTCAAAAATAAACATCTTATATATCAAATGTTTCAAGAAAGAGGAAAACTATCTCCAAATCATATCTTTGAAATAAAAAAATGGAAGAATAGGAATAAAAGTTCCTTGGCTTTTTAAAATTTACCTTCTATTATGCTTAATATAAATGGAAAGAAGATGCGCGCAAAAATTTTACATTTTAATAGCCATAAATAATTAGAAGATGGATTCCACTGATAGTTGAATAATCCTTAAACCTTAGTTTACTAACTGTTCCTTAAGTACCTAATAAATAGAAGATTGATCCTATTTAGCCATTGGAGGGGAAAAAGGATGGAGAAAAAGTTCAGAAGGAAAACAGAGCAAAGTGGAGAAAGGATCTCAATAATAATTTATATCATCAAACACTGAATAACAGAGTAGGTTCTTTATGATTAAAATTCATTTTGAATTAATAATGAATCCCTTTCCCCACAAAACAAAGTGGAGGTTCCAGCATGGAAAGTTAGGGAATTTATCTCTGAAGCTTTGGGGTTAACATCATTTTTTAACAGAGGCTACATTTGTTTTATTTTAGAAGCTTGAAAGGACTCTCCCATATGACCAACAATTAATCCAAACCAATAATATGCTGAAAAATCACTATGGCCATAATTGGAAATCACCACAAGAAGTTATATCTTTTAGGCTGAGATGGGAACAAAGACGCTACTGAATGTGTTGTCTTGGGTCTTTTTGTCTGGCTGACCTTACTGTAGATGAAAAATCGGTGACAGCTGTAGCTGTGAACAGCACAAAGCTCTCTCTCAGTATTCCGTATAACACACACACTCCAGCTTGCTTTGCTTTGTTTCCAGAGGCATTTTATTCTCAAGTTTCAAAGCTGAGAGGCAAGAAAAAGTGCCAATTGAAAGTCAAAAACAAAACAGTGAGGAGATATACTTTAATAGATTCATCTGCATCGCTTTGTTAGTATTCTGTGATTCAGACCTCCATTTTTCCATCACTCAAATGAAGTACATCTAAGTCACATTAAGACATAATCTCTGAATAATAAATTGTCATAAGAGGGTGAATAGTTTTGGGTTTCCAATTCCAGCAAATAAAGTTTGCAAGTAGCAATGGAAGAGTTGCAGGTTTTGTTTGGGCTGGTTCTAGTGCCAGCTCCCAATGTTTGATTATGTATATAAACCAAATACTTCATTCCTCTAAAGTGGCATTGAAATCCCATGAGATCATGCTTTCAAACATATTTCCAGTATTTCCTCCTTTTAAACAGGCCAGAAATATCATGTGAATACATTCTGTCTGTGTTTCTTCTCTCTCTCTCTCTTGTCTCTCTCTCTCTCTCTCTCTCTCTCTCTCTCTCTCTCTCTCTCTCTCTCTCACTCACCCTCCCTCTCGTGTGTGTTGTTTCCGTTCACATGTTCTGGCCAGAACTTAAAGCAACCTGACTCTGAAAAATAGTCTTTGTGCTTTTTGTCAGTCATCAATGCCAACATTTGAACTAGCTTGCTGAATGTCACATATCTGAATTTCCTCATATAGGGACAGGAAGTATTGTAAGTATTTGGTCCGACTGAGATTTTGAAGCATATAAAATTTCATGATTAATGATGTATTAATCATTATATTAGTGAACAGATTTTTAGTGAATTAATACGAAGGGGTTAAAAGTGCACTTAAGAAAATATACACTGGTCCACATAAAATCAGGAAATTTTAAATCTGGATATGAAGGTGATGCTATTTTCCATGCCTTGATGGGAGGCCAAAAACATAACAAAAAGATGCATCCATATAAGTGGAGGCATCCATATAAGCAACACCGAAAATGTGGCTTTTAATGAGGGCAGTAGCCACCATGTTCGTGGTACTGTTCTCTAAGCTGCACGATCAGCATCACAGTAGTTGATTTAATATGCAGCCAATAAAATACCAGCCAAGATTCTAGGAAATCTTGCTATAGCATACCATATTCAACAGTTGAGATGGATTGAGGTCTGATAGCTTAGTAGTTATAAATTTGGAATGTGGATCCATACAGACCCAAGTTTAAGTCTCAATTCTGTCACTGGCTGTGTGGCCTTGGGCAAATTACCTTACTCTCTGTGCCTGTGTAACCCACAATTAGAAGTAGGAAAAAAAAATGCTTTACAAGTTTGCACAAGAGAACTTTTGAGTTTGCTAGAAGGATTAAGAAAGAGAATTCCTGTAAAGCACTGGCAGGTAGAATGTGCTCAACAGCCTGCAACGACTGTTTACTTATTATTAACTATTATTATTATTGAATTAGAGCTTCCACCTGCTATCAGTTTTCCCCTGGGAAACATGGTTCAATGATTTATCCCAGAGTAGTCCTTCACACTGAGTAAAACTTCCAGTGGCTTTTCAAGAGGAGACCCAAGCAGAGGGAAACAAGAAGAATAATCTGTGAGGAAGAAAGTAAAGGTGTGAGGGAAAGCTGTACTCATCAACTACTGTGATGTTGTCTTGGAACCTGTCCACCAAAGTGCTACAATTAAGCTTCAACCACAGATCTCTAAGCTAGGACAGGAAACTAGAGGAATCTCCTAGACATTTGCCCACTTGTCACTCCAGAGATACTGGGGATGACTGGTAGAATTCTCATTGCTTTAGAAACATACAGCAATAATGAGAGAACCACAGTTGGGCAAAATCTTAGCTCCATAAAGATTATGCAGAGTTGTAGAAAAGTACAAGTGAAGTGAGCAAGGGGTAACTTCAAAACCCCTACTGGTAAGAAATTCTAGGCTCTACCTTCCAATGTCACTCTTGAAAGCAGAACTCTGGAGCCTCGATAACACACTGCACATACACACACACTCACACTTACACATGCACACTCACATACAATCACAATTGCCCTTCTGATTTCAGAAATGGTTCCAGCACAGCCATTTGGTTTACAAATAGGGAGCTTAAAATCTAAAGCTAAGGGTTTGACCCCAAAATAATACTTAGCACACACACACTTTATATCAGTAGTTAGCCCAGAAACACTTTATGATATAATGCCTAATAGCTCACTAAATGGCTTTTCAGTAAAAATTATTAAAATATGATCAGTGAATGTCAAGCCAGTAAATAGCAACAATATTACACCTAGTTGTTCAAGCCAAAAAAAAAAATTCCTTATCCTTTGCCACATCAAAACTGTTGGCATTCTTATTTTCTCTACTTCAAAATAGATTCCAAATCTGGCCACCTCTCACTGTCTCTATTCCTACTACCCTAGGCCTTGCAGCATTATTTCTTTCCTTGTCTCCCGGCTTCTACTCTCACACTTTTAGAATCCATACCTTATGCAGCAGCCAAAGAAATTTGTTTAAATGTAAATCAGATCACATCCTTCCCATTAAGGTTAATAATTCTTATAGGTCATTTAACACACTTATGTCTTAGATTCACTACTTCCCATCAGATCTCCATCATCCCCCCATTGCGTAGATGAGCTGAGTTGTCCTGCTGCTGTGTTTTCCAAACTCACTTCTTATTCCTCTTACTTCTGGAGCCTGGTTCCTTGAACAGAGCCTGGCTCCTAGCTTGGGTCCTTTCCACATTCTGTTCCCTCTGCCTGGAACACTAGCCTGATTTCCCTGTGGTTGTCTCCTTGATACTATCTGGGTCTCATTGGAAAAGACACTTCCTCACAAGGACCACTCAGAGAAATGGTCACCATCCTCAGGCATTATTGCATCCCCGCTTGCCTGGCTTCACAGCCCTCACTGCTGTTTGATGGTATCTCGGTCATTTCTTTGTCTCCCTGCTGCTTACTGTCTGCCTCCCCCAGTCTAGAATATAAGCCCAGTGAGGGCAGGAATTTTGTCTTATTTACTGCTGAGAATAGTGTCTGAAGCATATTTTTGCTGAATAAGCATGTGTTGAGTGCCTGCTATGGACAAATATGAGGGTAAGCTCTCTAGATGGATTACCTTATTGAATACTTCCCCCAATTTTTGAGGTGGGTAAAGTCAGTATCCCTGTGTACACAGAGGGAATATGAAACAGAACAGTTAAGTCACTTGCCTGATCAGATGGCAATTGAATGATAATGTCTGTAATTTATAAACCAAGTCTATTGAGGTATAATTTATTGACAGTAAGATGTTCCCATTGTAAGTGTGAAGACAAACAGGTTTTGACAAATCTATGCACCTGTGTAAACACAATTAAAATATAGACTATTTTCATCAACCCAGAGGGTTCCCTTCTTCCGTTTCCAAAGTTGCCTCCCACCAACCCTGGTCTCTGGCAATAAATGATCTGCTTTCTGTCATTATAGATTTAATACAGTATGTACTTCCTTGTGACATCTGTAGTTAAACTCTTATTAGAAACAATACTTGGCTACTTTGTCCCGAAAGTCATTTCTAAAGTTGCCATTGTCTTTGATGCAGGAACAGGTGACATTCAGAAGTTTAGATCAAAATTCTATATATTCCAAAATTTTTATAATAAAGGCTAATTATGCCAACGTGTATATAAATTAATAAAAATAGGCCAAGTGCAGTGGCTCACGCCTGTAATCCCTGCACTTTGGGAGGCCAAGGTGGACGGATCACCTGAAGTTGGGAGTTCAAGACCAGCCTGACCAACATGGAGAAACCCCATCTCTACTAAAAATACAAAATTAGCCAGGTGTGGTGGTGCATGCCTATAGTCCCAGCTATTCAGGAGGCTGAGGCAGGAGAATTGCTTGAACCCGGGAGGCAGAGGTTGCAGTGAGCCAAGATCGCACCATTGCACTCCAGCCTGGGCAACAAGAGCGAAACTCCGTCTCAAAAAACAAAAATTAATAAAAATATACCAGCCATAACTTATTTAAGTTGAAAAACACTCAAAAATGAAACAAACTAGATTCAAATTCTGGTTTTGCCTCTTACTAGGTTTTGTGGCTTTGGACTAGTTTTTCACATACCAAGCCTGTTTTCTCATCTGCATGAAAAATAGAGGTTATTATAAACACGTGGCAGAGATGGTAAAAGGTTATGAGAGATCATGTAATTAACATAAAGCGCAAGTGTCTACACATAACAGGCCATTGATAGCCATAGTGCACTATTCTTTCTATTCCAGAAGCTGGACCATACTGCCTTAAATTATTTTCAAAGTATCACAATTGCCTATGGAGACTCAGGCATCTCTGTAAAGTAGATTAAGTAATTATCCCTCAGATTGTTCAGATGGAGAAGCCAAAGCAAAGAACAGTCAAAGCAACTTCCACAGGCTGCAAACAGAGTTGTTGGCAGAGTAAGGTCAAGAACTCAAGATTTTTCTAAAGAATCTCAAAGTAATTCATGTACTTTATTCATTGCCACTATAGTCCTGCTAAGCTGGTAGGAGGAAACTGCTGTCACTGCATTTGGTAAATGGTGAATCTAAGACATATGAATGCTAAATGACCTATAAGAATTATTAATGTTAAACAATGACAGAGCAAGGACTAAAACCTTAGCCTATGGATCTGCCATTTTCTTAACACTGAACTTCCCTATCCCACAAACTTTTAAACTGGAGCTCTACAAAAATGAATTACTGATCAGCACACTCAGAAAAAAAAAATGAAGAGAACAGAGAGACAGAAGGGAAATGGAAAGAACTCTTAGGAAATTTGACGGAATAAAGATAAACACTGAAAATGGTAGAAGTTGTGAATATGGCCCATATGTTCTTCTGGAGCCTGAAATTACCAAGACAAATAGGTGGGAATATATGACTGCTAGACAGACAATGTACCAGAGATATCCATCTAGGGATATAGTAATCAAAGTGTTATCAAGAAACGTGTCTTCAGGATCATGGAGAATATGCTATTCTGATGATGACTCAGAAATTTCAAAATTCTTGGTTTGTGCCTGCATAAAATGAGTTATTGGCTTGAAACAGAACAGAGAAGACAGACTTGCAATGCAGAAAATATTTTACTCCTTTTTAACTAGCTCTTTGCAAAAGAATGTTATGATAGTTGGTGAAGAAGCACTTTCTAAAATAAGAATATCTGTTTTGGGCACAGAACAATTCTTAATATTTCCATGTTTTAAAAGCAGTAGTTTTCCAGCACTGTTTAAAAATTAATAACTATGATGTTCCAGAATTCTTGTGCCTCCTTTCTGAAGACAGACTGGGGAGGAGGCTTTTGCCGATATTAAGTCATGAGCTATATAAGGCATACCTCTTGAATACTTGCTGGCACTGACTTAATTCTACTGTCTACATGATAACCTACATTTTTTTCCCCTTTAAGATACAGCAGAGTGAAGGCAATACCTTTATCTTTTTGATGGAGATAGAGAATTTCATTTTCTAGAGAGATACTTTCTGAGAATTTCTAAGGACACTTAATTCCCAGGAGGGCTTAATGAACACCACAGGTCAAGGACAATTTAAATATGTCAAGCACAATTTAAGAACAGTCCTGCCTAGAGGCAGAATGACACATCTTAGTGGGAGGTGTTTGAATTATGCTGGAATTCAGAACATGCGATGACGCACTATAGTATTTACTTCAGTTCTTTCCTACCCCTGACTCTTAAGTAATCAAAAGAGAAAAACAACATTTCACGTTTCTTCATGCTTGGGCTGTGTGGGCTGTGTGGGCTGTGTGGGCTCTGTGTGTGTGTGTGTGTGTGTGTGTGTGTGTGTATTGGAGAGAGAATGTCTTCCCTCCTTATGGAAGTAGCATGACACTCTTAGAGTTTGAGCTTCAGAGTTCAACTTTCACAATTGGTCTAAGACAGAAAAGATAACTGGAAAAAGATAGATACTTAGCAAAACTGAAAAATCAGCAAAAAGAATCAACAATGTCTTTTTATGGGACCACAGGTACCCTTCTTCCCCAGTGTGTGACTTTGTGAAATCTCTTATATATGCTCTGTTTTCCCCAACCTAACGACCACACTCCACCACTTCACCCACATTAAATGGCACCCCATCCAAAAACCATAAACTTGAACTTTCCTGAGCTCTTGTTAAAGGATTGAACTAGGCCCTTTCCCCTTCAAGGCACAATGGCATGTGATTGCAAATGTATCCAATTTGGCTTGCATAGCATCTTGTCAGATCCGATTCAGTGCCACTCATTAAAAACAAAGAGTGCTCACCTCTAATCTGAATTTTGTACTTTTTGAGAAGAACTGGAAGATCTGAAGATACTGGGCTCACCATCCTGAAAGGCAACAGCCTCCAAGAGAGGAGTCTCTCCTGCCCCTTTAGACAGGTCATGCGCATTGCTGTTTACCAACTTCCCAGAGGGCTCCCTCTATGTTTGTTACTGTTGACTGCAGGGAGGGGTGCGTGGTTAGGGACTTTCAGTCAATGCCAGCATGTGGCCCATGAGAACAGAGAGGGTGGCCCCCCTTTAGAAGCACAGAGGGGAGCGGGGTGCAGTAATGTGCACATGTAGCTCTAGTCACTTGCTGGGAGGGAGACTGAGGCCGGAGGATCATTTGAACACAGGAGTTCAAGGCCAGTCGGACAACATAGTGAGACCCAGTCTTTAAAAAAAGTTATATATAAAAATAAAGAAAAAAAAGGTTATACAGAAGCACAGAGAGGAGTCGAGAGGCCTGGTGAAGTTGCCTCTCATGCTGCAAGGTGTGTCACTGCTGGCTGTACACCTATAGGCACAACTAAGTGTCCACAGATTGGGGGAGTTCTTTTTTTGTTTGTTTTGTTGTTTTATCATAGAGAAAAAACTAAACTCAAATAACCAAAGAAATCCAAGACCAAAACTGCCCATATCCCCATCATCTAAACAAAGCAGTGCTGGTTTTTGTGTTGTTGTTGTTTTTTTTTTTTTTTTGAGAAGGAGTTTCACTCTTGTCACCCAGGCTGGAGTGCAATAGCACAAATGCAACCTCCACCTCCCAGATTCAAGCAATTCTCCTGCCTCAGCCTCCTGAGTAGCTGGGATTACAAGTGTGCGCCACCACACCTGGCTAATTTTTGTATTTTTAGTAGAGATGGGGGTTTCACCACGCTGGTCAGGCTGGTCTCGAACCCCTGACCTCAGGTGATCCACCCACATCAGCCTTCCAAAGTGCTGGGATTATAGGTGTGAGCTACTGCACCCAGCCCAGTGCTCTCTTTTAACCACGTTACCTTGAAACCATGTTCATAGGAACATTCAAAGATGACCTATTTGTGGCAATGTCGGAGGCCTGACTGTGATATATTGCATATGTTCCGTTTACATCACACTAGGAACCTATCATTTTCCACAGCTTTTTTATCCTTTTCTCCCCAAAGTACCTAAGGTAACCCCACAAACATGACAGCATCTATGCATCTATAAATGTAGATATAGGAGCATTTTGTTAGGAGAAAATGGGGTCCTGCTATATATATATATATATATATATATACTTCTCTGCAGCATGCTTTTCTCATGTAACAATACAACATAGATAAGAGGAAGTTTATGTCACTGAAAAACCCTTTGACAAAGTTTTACAGAGAGTCCCAGGAAGCCTTTTACCTCTTCATAGATGTTCTGTTAAGACCTCTTTGTCTGCTCCTAACTGATGAGCAGGTCCCCCTGAGGTGAGCAGACACACAGGAGTTAGACTCACCCCAGGCATGGCTCACTGGGAAAGCCATGTTATTAAAAGCCATGTTATTAAAAGTCAGATCGACCTAAGTTTGAATCCTTCCTCTGCCACTTACTGGCTCTGTCACCCTTGGGTGCAGTATTGTTTCAGACAGTAAGCTAGCTTGGAGCACCTCACCAAGGTGCAGCAGCTGAAGAGCTACTCAAACCTGATGCAGGCCCATACTCAATTAACTTACCCAGGACTTAGCCATAAGAAAAACTCAGAACATAAGCTAATGTTTTAATTCTAGCATACACATGAATGTTTCGTGTTATGAATTATTCTTATTTTGAATTATATAGGGGGGTTACCATAATCTTTTTGGTGTTTAGCTATTCTAAGGATCTTCATCATGCTCCATTTTGGGAGGCAGGGGTGGGTCTCTAATGAAATAAAGGCCTTTTTTGTCTCAAAAACAAGCTAATTAGCAGTTGGTCTCATGGTGCTATTGTGAAGACTGCAGGAGACAGATATATGAAAAGTGTTCTGCTCCATCCAGGCACAGTAGGTATTCCATAATATTCTCTTCAGAGTACAGTCCCTGTTGCCTTCCCATTTCTGCCCATTTTCCCCACCAATAGCCCTCAAGGTTTGACTCCTGAAAGCACCTTCCTTAGTAAAGTTTTCTTTTTCTCTCTCTTTCCCTTATCTTCTTCAAATCCTTCACAAAGTTATCATTATTTTCCACACTTACTGATATCCTGATCTCCACTGCAAGTCTGAAAGCTCCTTGAAGGAAGGAACTGGTTTGCAGGCACTGGACAAAGAAAAAGAAGCCTCCAAGTCTAAATGTTGAACCAGGCCAGGCGCGATGGCTCACACCTGTAATCCCAGCATTTTGGAAGGCCAAGGCAGGGAGATCACTTGAGGTCAGGAGTTTGAGACCAGCCTGGCCAACATGATGAAACCCTGTCTCTACTAAAAAAATAAAAATAAAAATAAATACAAAAATTAGCGGGCGTGGTGGCATGTGCCTGTAGTCCCAGCTACTAGGGAGGCTGAGGCAGGAGAATCTCTTGAACCCAGGAGGCAGAGGTTGCAGTGAGCTGAGATCGAGCCACTGCACTCCAGCCTGGGCGACAGAGAGAGAGTCCATCTCAGAAATAAATAAATAAATAAATAAATAAATAAATAAATAAATAAATAAATAAAGTTGAACCAGTTACTGTCCTAAACTGTTAGATGTATGCTGGCATCCCTGCCCTTCCTTTCTTACCTTTGGCTGCCTCTGGCTATTTTCCCTGCTTATAGGCAGCCTCTTTCTTAGCTCAGTGCAGTACAAGTGTTAAATGCCTCATTAGCACTTTTTTTTTTTTTTTTTAGTGACTCAGAACAGTAGATGCCCTCAGGTGGCTCCTAAGACCAAAGGCACAGCTCAGGCTGTGGCAATAGAGCAGGAGCCTATGTGGACTCTGGACTCTCACATTTGTGCAAAACCCAAGAAGACTGCCACTTTCCTTCTGTCCTAGCTCTTCCAAAAGCCTTCATTTGGGGCTTTACCCAGCTTCCAAGTTGTACAACCTACCTTTTTTTTTTTAACTTTTCAAGGCCAAAATATATTCTGTACGCACTGTTTAAAATAAATTACAGCTTTAAACATTCAACGGAGTATCTCTGTAGCTTTCTAGTTGTTCAAAATAAAATTAAGTAGACATGCAAAAATAAAAGGGATTTTAAGGGAAAAAAATACTCATTGCTGTAATTTGTCTCCTAAATAATGACAATAGATGAGCTATAGCCTCTTTTGTCTGAAATTTCAGCTGTCTTTGTTTACTTCATGACACAGGGCCCAAGACCTACATTATTGCATTAAGTTTGCAAAGCTATCAAGATGCCCTTGAGTAAGATTCATCATCTTGTCCTAAATTCTCCACACGCTCCACTAAAAGCCTAGTGGCAGACTGAAGGGATTGTCAGAAAGCATAAAAGACAAAATAAAAATTTTATGCTCTTTTAGGCAAGTGAAGATTTACCCTGTAGCAATTTCTGATATTAACTCATTAATCCTCACAACCTATCTTGAGGATAGATTTTAGAAAGGAACAGCCCTTGTCATCTTACTTGCCTTCAAAACTTGTACCAAACAGAGAGCTGGTTCTTTCCTTGGTCTTGGTCTGAACATCTCTGCAGAGCCCAGGAGGAGTGGGAGAGAGGGACAGATGGAATTCAGAAGCACCTCTCTGACTCCCTTCTTCTCTTATTACCAGGACAGGTCATCATGTGGAACCCCATGCTGGGTCTAAAACTTTTGGTCGCCATCTTGAAATCCTTAATGAATGGTGATCAAGGACTCCTGCATTTCCATTTTTCACTGGGCCCCACAAATTAGTAGCCAGTCCTGCTGTCACTCATCCCAGAATAAAAGATATCAGTAGTATAGCATGTGGGCCAACACATGTTCCCTTGATCTCCACACTGATGGTAACAATATAGTAGCAAAGTCCATATTTCTCATTAGTACTGTAGTTTTTCTCTGCTTGTACAAAATTGAATTGGGCTATGTGCTTAGAATTTTATCTAAAACATAAGACAAGATATCAGTTTGCCTTCTTAAGTCTATTTATGTTACATTTACTTCATGTTTTCTTGGTTTGCAGTCCTGATTAATTTACCTTATAGTGTGTTTAATTATTGCCATATAATCCCATAACTTCTTTGCATGTGGCATCTCAACAATGTGCAACTTCTAATAGTCAGCATGAAATCATAACTTAGAAAAACATTGCTGAGCTAATTACAGGGACAATCAAAATAAATCCAAATCTTTTCTGGGCCACAGTCCATATCTGAATCATAATAAGTGTGAAATGTTTACAAATCATTACAAATTTTCCACATAGTTTTGCTCAGCGTTAGGACCAGTCGTGTTTTTTCAGTCATTTGAGTCGATGTTTCAGATCTCTCCAGTGAGAACACTGATTTTAGAAAACACTCAGCTTATTAGCAATTATAAAAATCAAAAGACAGATGTAAAATCAACTCTAAAATCTAGAATGTAAGAAACATCTTCATGGAATTATTTGTGTACCAGCATAAACATGATATATTATGTATTTTTAAAAAATAACACTTCACTGAAGTTATAAAGGCAAAAAAATGGAAGGAAACTAGCCAGGCACTTTAACTACTTTGTGTATTCCAGTGAATTCACATATTAAGAAAACTTTATTTAGAAGCCTAAAAATTGTACAATAATGAAGTAGTTTGTGTATGACAAAAATAACCGGGAATCATTTAATAAGTACTTGCCCATTATTGCTTTTATAACATTGGAATTGAGCTGCTAGCTCTGCATAATTTTAAGACTGACTTTTCATTAATTTATATAAGACTCATTGTACCTACTATGTGTAAGGCATTAGAAGAATCCATTGATGCTACATTTTTCTTACTCCTTCTTAGGTTCTTATTCCTGTTAGATTAAACTACTAGAAATATATTTTGGGGAACATTGAACTCAGGTCTTTCAAATCACATCTTTGCCAGTAAGAAGCCAGATATTAAATTTTAAAATTCAAGGAAGGCGGGCTGCATTTTGCATTCTGATAAAAAATGGTTTATATTTACTTAGGTCTAAAAATGAGCTGTAGGGAGTACATGAACCCCCAAAACGCTATACAAAATTTGGGGTGGAAAAGCAGTTTTCTGGTATGAGTATTTGTGTCTTTCATCTGACTCAAAAAAATCCATGGCTCCAAGTACTAACAGACTGTCCAAAATACTGCATTCTTCTAGGGAACTCAGTCACTATCATGAGACTCATTGGTGCACTCAAAAACCACAAAGTCCAAAATAATTTTGTATTCTGAAAGTTCTCTGAGAGTTTACGGTTGCATCACTTTGTTGTACTTGGTATCATTTGGTTCTGTGATTATTTTCCTGTCAGTGAGGTATATATTCTCCATGGGGATGCAAACCACTTTGGAGCCATAATTATTTTTAGTCTACTGCAGCTTGGATAAACACTGTATCCTCAGACATTTGTGAAGTATCATCTGTAAATGCTTGAAGGATGCCAGAATTGAGAGCATACATTTCCTTGATAGCAACAAAAAAATAATTTCCAACTTGACTAATATTTTGTTAAATAATATGTGGGAAAATAAGAAGGATTACATGTTGATAATGCTGTAATTTGCTAAAAGTAGAAAATGTGGTTTTGGCCAAAATGATTCCAATGAATCCATTACAGTCTCATTTCTATCTTGCTTAATAAGACTTTTTTCTGAAGATGAAAATTCAGTTACATGATAATACAAAATAATGCCAGTAATTTGTCTTTGGTTTCAAAGCTTCAAATACCACACTCCAGATTCAGAATTGCTCAGAATGTGCTATATTTATTATAATTAATCTAGACCTCCTGTCCAAGAATAGCAAACTCTTCTGTGGGTCACTGCTTTGGGAAGAGATTGAGAAAGTTTGAGTACAAATAGATGTAATTCTTTAAATACCTCCATGCTAATATACTATGTTCATAATGACTTTTAATCAGTGTACAGGAAAATAATTCGATGTTATATAAAATAGAGAGCTGAGGTCACATCTAACACGAGACCTCAAATTTGGAACACACCAGTAGCTTTGGGAATATGTAGTGCATATTTTGGCCTACTTTTATCCATTGTCCTTCTCTCTGAGTAAGCATTCCCTAATCTCCTTTTGTGTGTCCTTGCTTCTCCAACATAGTATTTAGCACAGGAAAAGCTGACTCTATTCTCCACACCAGAAATGGATTCTGGCTAACCAATTAACACATTCAATCTCTGACATAACAACCAGATCCTAGTGGGGGTCAATGAAACACAAGAAGATCTTTGCTGAGAGTTTCTTTAAAAAATAAATTTCTATACTCTTCTTTGAGAGCTACCAAAAGAGATTTTCTTTCACTACTTAATTTGAATTAGGAAGCATTCAGTTCCCAGAAACTGAGCCTTTCTTGGATGAAGTAGACACTTTGGCAGGCAAAGAGGATAGTCAGAAAGTAAATGGGATCTTTGGTAACATGGTTTCAATTTCTGGATCAAACCTGGCCTGAATTCTGACCTACCTCTGACTCACCAGTAAGTCAATAAATTACCTTTTGGGTTGTTTTTGTTCTGTGTCATTCAGACAAGTTCAGCACACATAGGTCATGAAGTCCATAAATCTAGAAATATCACCAATAAGGAACATACTTGAACAAATTCACAAATTTTGTCTCTAAATACTATCACTATCACTTTTTTAAAAAATATGGAATGAGAAACATTTTTAAAGGTAGTGAAGCCCTTGAATTTTGTTTCCAGATTCAACTAATCTAATAAGTATTTATTGAATGATAATGAGGGCAATATTTATTGACTACTCACTATGCTCATACAACTAAACAAATGCTATTTTGCTCATGAAGAAACTAAGGTTTAGGTTAAGTAACTTACCAAATGTCACTGAAGAAGTGGCAGGGTCAGTACTTGGATCCATGCCGGTCAGACAGCAAAGCTCAGCCTCTGAATCCACCATGTATCCAAACATTAGTAAATGAAAAGAAATTTTACTACATCCTCCATGTATGTCAATACTTTTCTTTTTTTCTTTTTTCTTTTTTTTGAGATGGAGTCTCGCTCCCATCACACAGGCTGGAGTGCAGTGGCGCAATCTTGGCTCACTGCAACCTCCATCTCTGGAGTTCAAGAGATTCTCCTTCCTCAGCTTCCCAAGTAGCTGGGATTACAGGCATGTGCCACCATGCCTGGCTAATTTTTTATTTTTAGTAAAGATAGGGTTTCACCATGTTGGCCGGGCTGGTCTCGAACTCCTGACCTCAGGTGATCCACCTGCCTTGGCCTCCCAAAGTGCTAGGATTACAGGCGTGAGCCACCGCCCCCAGGCATGTAAACACTTTTCATTTACTAAACTACAAAAAGTAGTTTGTATTACTATGGAAATATATCCTGCACTCACAAGAAAAATAAAGAACCACATGATTCCAAAGCACAACAAAATAATGAACCATAGAATCTCAGAGAACTTTCAGAATCCAGGGCCCTCATGTAAGTGGCAGAGTGGTACAAGGAAGAGATGTGGTCTAGATGCAAGAAGCTGGGTAATTCAGCTACCTTCTGGGCCTCAGGCTCCTCACTTGGCAAATAGCCTGGCAAACTAAATAATAATTTTTTTTTGCTAATTTATCTTTTAATTGATAAATAGAAGTTGTATATATTTATGTTGTATAATGTGATGTTTCAAAATATATATACATTGTAGAATGGCTAAATCAAACTAATTGCCATATGCCTCACTTCACATACCACACTTTCTTACCAAAAATTTATTTTATGGTAAGAACACTTAAAATCTACTCTCTTAGCTATTTTCAAGCATGCAATACATTGTTATTGACTACAGTCACTGTGTTGTACAATAGAGCTCTTGAAGTTATTTTTCTTGTCTAACTGAAAGCTGGTATCCTTTGACCAATGTCTCCCCAATTCTCCACCACCCACCACCATTCTACTCATTGTTTCTATGAGTTTAATTTTTTTAGATTTTACATATAAGTGAGATCATGTGATATTTATCTTTCCATGCCTGGCTTATTTCAGTTAACATAATGTCCTCCAGGTTTATCCATGTTTCACAAATGACTGAATTTCATTGTTTGAAAGGACAAATAGTATTCCACTGTGTGTGTATACCACATTTTCTTTATCCATTCATTCATTGATGGACACTTAGGTTAATTCCATATCTTGACTATTATGAATAATGCTGCAATGAACACAGGAGTGCAGGTATCTTTTTGAGATACTGATTTCATTTTCTTTGGATATGTATCCAGTAGAGGGACTGCTGGATCATATGGTAGTCCTATCTTTAATTTTTTGAGCAACCTTCATGGTGTTTTCCACAATGTCTGTACTACATTCCCCCCAACAGTGTGCAAGGGGCCTCTTTTCTCCACATCCTCACCAACACTGGTTATCTTTCGTCATTCTGATAAAAGCCATTCTAACAGGTATGAGTTGATATCTCACTGTGGTTTTTTTTTTTTTTTTTTTTTTTGAGACGGAGTCTCTCTCTGTCCCCCAGGCTGGAGTGCAGTGGCGCTATCTCGGCTCACTGCAAGCTCCGCCTCCCGGGTTCATGACATACTCCTGCCTCAGCCTCCCAAGTAGCTGGGACTACAGGCACCCGCCACCATGCCCGGCTAATTTTTTGTATTTTTAGTAGAGACGGGGTTTCATCGTGTTAGCCAGGATGGTCTCGATCTCCTGACCTCGTGATCTGCCCGCCTCGGCCTCCCAAAGTGCTGGGATTACAGTCGTGAGCCACCGCGTCCGGCCTCACTGTGGTTTTAATTAGACTAAAACCCTGATGATTAGTCATGTTGAGCATTTGAACTGAACAATACTTAACTTCCCTTTCAGCTCTTAGTGTCCAGTGAGCCTTGTTGAAGGAAGATTTCACAGCAACCCTATGTGAGGTTACAGGTGTAGTCCTTGAATAGGAGACTAAAATCATCTACTGTATGTGATAATTAAGTAGATATTCCTTTTGTGACCTGATTTAATTCCTTTGATGACTTGATTTAATGTTTTCAATCATAATAATACTCAATTTTCTTTAGACATCTACCAGGTTGTATATAAACAAGCAAATGCATTCTGTTTACACCTTCTACTTCCCATAGCTCTAGACCCCACCGGTGGCACCTCTCAAAATTACTAATGGAACGTTATTCTACAGAACCTCTTTAGAGGAACACAAACTTTCAGAAGGAAAAGAAAATAAGGAATGTTTTGCAACATTACACAGAATAACCCAATCTAACAAACTGACACATTGCCAATAAAATATTGCCACTAAGCAATAAATAAGCACAGTAAGTCTGTGGGTGACTGGAAGCCACAAGAACAATGTCAGGTATCTTGGGTCATTTCTAATTAACAGAAAAAGTTTTTTATTAATTGAACCTCTGGCCATGTAAAATCTGATGAGTGGCTTTGAGGAGTAAGTCACATTCTGGGAAAGGTGGGGCTAATTGAGTCCTTTCAGCCCTATTCTTACAAATATAATGAACTTAGTGGAATTTAAAAATGACTTAGGACCTGTGAAATATCTGGTAATTAATAAGCATAATATAATTCCTTCCTAAATTTGCCCCACAGAGTACCATATAACTCAATACTTTCTAGAGATACTTAATAGTAAAAAATGGACTGACATTAATCACATTCAAATATTTATTGAAATAACATCCAGGAAGTCAATAACACTCTCTATTGTAGGTAGCATCCATTATTAATACAGTAAGTGTATTAACTGGTATTTGTTAATTATTCACATAGCAAATGATAAGAGTCCCACAAAAGCTGAAAGAGTTAAAGCAATTGTTTAATTTATGTAAAAGTAAGACTGGCCACAATGACAACCTAGTGATTTAGCATTCACTCATTGGCAAGAAAGCCAGTTGTCATTATTTCTAAAAGAACAAAATACATTAATTCTTATTTTATTTCACTTTCCAGGAACGTATTTATTGAACACGTGAGCATTAGGTACTACTTTTGTGTTGACTTGCCTACCCTCCCGTGAGAATTTTCTTTCTTAACCAGATTGTTCCTCTCTGACTACTGAAAACATTTTACCGTATCAAATCATTCACCATATTTACATACTATTCCCTCACCTGGAACTGTATCCTCAACCTTGTCACATTTAAAGGACCCAACCTTTAAACCTAGCTCCAATATTGCCACTATCCCCCTCCGAAACAAGGGGTGTCTGTTTGCCTTTTAACCTCGGGAGTCATTGTCTTCGTGAGCCTCACTCGCCTCAGTTTCAAATGTGCCTCCAATAAGCACTAAGGAGCCTGTTTCACTTGACTCCATAACGTACATTGCCTAGACCCCCCACCTGACACTCCTTTTCATTCTCAATTTTCTTGCTATGTATGGGGTCCTCTCTGCAAGCAGTTCATAAGCAGCTTGGAGATAGACACCGTGCCTTGCCTCTCTCGGCATCCTCCACAGTATGTAAGACAATGACTAACCATCCAGGCTCACAATGTAAATACTGGGAGGATGACTTAGGCAGCATCTTCTTTTTCCTCATTCACACTCAATTTGCAATTGATCACTAAATGCTACACAGACTACTTTGTATCTTTATATTCACTCTGCCATATCACTGGTTATTTTCCAATTATACGGGAGTTGGGAGGTGACATCAAGGAATCAGCTCTTTTGAGAAGTTTGGCTAGGAAAGAATGAATAAACCTAAGTTAATTGCTTAAAGAGAAGGCTGGATCAAGAAGGATTTTATGAGCAGGGCTTGGAGGGAAACATGAGAGTGTTTATAATAAGATGCAGAAAAGAGGACGGTGGAGCAAGAGAGATGGCTAGGACACAAGTTAGGATTCTGATGGGTAAAGTATAGGAAAGAGCGAGAATGCAATCAGGTGGAACAGTTTATAAGCTTTTTTAAAAATACACATTCGTGTGCTGGGAAAAACTGGAGCACATCTAAATTTTCGAACAAAGCAGTTAGGTGGATGCCCATTTGAAACCCAATATGCACTGTGAAGACAGTAGATCGCCAGCATCATTGTGGGATATTTAGCATGTGTTGAGCGCTCACCATCTCCCAGGCACCGTACCAGGGCGAACTTACATACATTATCTCATTCAATTACCGCCCTAGCAATTTAGCATGCTAACACCATGAAGTATTAAATGCAGCATAAAAAACCTCCACTAGGAAAGCTTATCAAAAGGGTTATTTTGCTTTTTAACTCAGTTGTAGCAGAATGTCTTGGTGCCATTTTACAGGAATTGAAGAGATGTATTTATATAGTGACTGCAACCAGAATAACTCCCTCCAAGAAAGTTCCCATGAGGCGGTTACAGTGCTCTTCTGGAGTTGTAATAAAGCAAATGATTCAGTAAGTTCAATCCTTCCATTGTGTGATTAACAGAGACACAGAACATTACACAGATCACCAAACTGCAGCGTGCTCACAGCAAAGCACCACAGCCCCAGCCTGACAGCCCAGAGACCAATAGATACCGCTGTCCAGAAAAAAATACAGCCTTTCAGGTAAAAAAGCCTGGTTACAGCAGAGTCCAGAAACATGGTGTTGCTGCTTTTTTGTTTTGCTTTGTTTTGTTTGTTTACTATTTTGTCCTTTACTGTACAGGTAAACCAAGCACCATTTTCTAGCGTTTTTTTTTCTTAAGCAACATGTACATTTCTCAAATAACCCCATTATATTTTTCAATAATATCACTGAGAAATACTATCCACAAATATATGAATGACCTGGATACCTTTCACTCGTGTCAGCCATCATATTTGTATTCTGAATTCATAAATCAGAAAATATTTCATAATCATTGGGATGAGTTTATATGTGGAAATGCAACAAAGAACAGGTTTTTAAAAAAATCTATGGAATATTTCAGAGCGTATGTACAGAAGGAAGTAGAAATAAAGGAAATTTAATTTTAAAAGACAGTCTAAAAGCAAGAAACCAGGCCTAGGATCCATAGCTGCTTCATCAAAATCGCTGCACACCTCTACATGAATGTCCATGCACATGCCCTTTATTCTCACAGAGTTATAAAGAATAAACCCGAAACTCAAGAGAACAGTCTCACCTCACACCTCAGACTACACTAATCCATGCACCAGTAGTCTTGAAACATAATGAAATTGATTGAGCAAGACAAAACACAGAGAATGAAATATTAGTCTCAACAATAACTATAGCATTCCAAAATCCCAAAGAAAAAAAATTACACTGTGATAGGACTGACAAAAAAAGAATATACATATATTTATTTATTGCTTTAACTCATACAGTAGAAAGATTAAATTACATCTAGATTTTTTTATTCTATTCAACACACATGGATTATTGAGGTACTCTACCTACCCCGTATCAATAAATAATATTAAATGAAGGAAGACTGATTCATGACCGGCATAAATTTTTTCAGTATTGCTACTTTCCATGGACATTGCTGCTTTAGTGTTCTCTCTCTGATACCAACACACACACACCACAATCATAACCATAAACTAAATGACTACATACTCCGAATAGATGGCTGTTAGAAAATACTCACACTAATTGATAATGACATCATGCTGGTATGCACATTACAATGTAAATGAGGCTTTCAGACTCATTTATGGCTCTTTTATTCAAAGTTTAGTACTTATTGCTTTTCTTTCAATGGTTAAGAAGGTTCTTCTTAAGGCTGTGGGATTACTTATTCCTGCTGATTTTGCCCCTTGGAATTGGACCAAGAGTACCAATTTTTAACTGTATTTTAAAACAGATGCTTACCAGCAATGAAGCAGAATTGAAATGTATAATGGAAACCACATTACTGGAAGAAAACAAGTAAAGAGAAAACTGATTAACAGATTTATGCAGGCAGCCGTTTGCTTTATTAAAAATTGAATTATTCTTTGCATCAAAATACAATATCACTGTTTCCATGCATTCGTCTGAGTGTGTACGAAGAGAAAGCATCCAAATGAATATCTTTTATTACAGATCGATTTTGAAAGGTGGCTTAAAATCCATCTCACGCACATCTGTAAGCTTAAGTGACTTCTCAGGGTCATATGAAAGATCTAGGAATAAAAAGCATAACTCTGAACTTCCCCTGAAGTGTTTGTAAAACTTGGCCAGATTTAGCAAAACCTGGAAAGAAAACAATGCTTGATATCATGCCCAACTTTTCTTTGGCTCATATCTGTAATGATTCACAGCAAGACCACATGGTTTCCCTATGTCTCAACTCCTTCCTTTTCTACGAATTCATGTTTCGAAAAGCCTCCATTACTCTCTTCAACAATATAGAGTATGGAGGAAAATTAGAGAAATGCAAAGTTACAATCTTGATGGAGATGTAGGAATCTTTTTTTCTTTTTCCTTGTAAGTAAACTTGAACAAAGCTAATCAGTCACATCATTAGGTAGTAAATACTTAAGTACAAGAAGGCTTATGTTCACTGCGTTTAACCCACTTATAAGAACATTCCTCTATGTTTAAAATAATTGCACATTACACATATAAATCATAACAAGTAACTCATTACCTAGATATTGTTCACTTATTACACTGCTCATGATGGAGGGAGGAAACTGCATGTGTTTTCATTCTCAAAGAACTGAATAAGTTTTTTTTTTTAATGTAGTATATGCTCTACTAAAGTGAAGGAGGAGAAAACACTTCATTACTGAAAGTAAATTACTGAGATGTAAAATTGGGATCAGAAATGATGGAAACATTAAGAGAAGTAGACTGTGATGATCTCACCAAGTGATATCACTGTAGTCATTTTTCAGTGCAGTAGTAATTTGGCAGAGGAATGGTCTGACAGTAGCTCTACATTTTGCTTAGCTGAGAGCTTCCCTTGTAGCATAATACATCATGGAATTGAAAGCATTCAGCTTTGTTTTGCAATTCACAATTCAGCCCAGGTGGGCCACTATTACACAATAACCGTGCAGCTGTTAGTATCATTGCCTAAATTGCCCTTCCTTTTTAAAATTTACAGTATAATCTGCTCAACCAATAGATACTAATGTCCAAAAACTCAGCTTTTATTTACCATTTACTCCCTGTAAAGGTCCAAAATAACTAACAAATCATTCTCAAAGGAATTCCAATTATGCTGCTTGTTCCCTTAAAGAGTATAAAGGAGTAAAATGTCAGCATTGTGTGTAAGAAATAAAGTGCTCACAACACCTGCTAACAATACATACTGTATAAAGCACTTAGCCTGTAATGCGTTTCTGGAAATCATTTCAGAAATTTACAAACATAATTTTTGGCCTATCTTCCCACCATTGTAAAGACCCTACCATATGCTACAATTTTCATCTGAATTGCCTGATTCTTTATTCTTGATGTTAATATGGTGGGGGGAGCCTACAGATACATAGATTTTTGTCAGACTTAATGCTCATAAAAATTAATAGCTTCTGTTGAAACTTTCTGATCCCAATGAAATTGTTCATTTATTTCACTGATAGTGTTTGTCTTCCTCCAAAAGCTGTTGAGCACATCCAAAGAGCTTTGTTCAGTCTGACAAATGATAAGTAGAACATGTGTTTACTCATTTGTTTTCAAGCCTTTGAAAACATTTTTTTTTTTTTTTTTGGTTCTAAGGGCTTTCAAAGAGAACAATAAATTAAACAAATAAGTGGGCTGAGAACAGAAAGGTCAAACCTAGGTGTAATCTATGATTTGTCAATAGATGGTAACTAAAATCACAAAGAATGACATCTTTATATTTTACAGATGAGACTGACTACATGCTAAAGAGGCCCTTACCCAATATTTTCACTCTTAACCAGTTCTTTTGGCAACTTTTATAGGATTTTCTTTTTAATCAGGGAAGCATTTTCCTCATCAAATATCTGCCATATCATGTTTAAAATTAGTTCAGAAACAAGCAAATTTCCTCATCCTATTGCCCCATGTAAGCATCTCTCTTTGTTGTTCGCACTGTCTATGTGAGCTTAAGACCAATTCTGTGACTGAAATGATGTTTCCCTCTGACGTGGATATTTCTACATGACAATATTTGACTAACAAGTATATGAATATACCTGACACAGCTTTAGGACTCTAATCTCTATGAACAGTTTCTCAGTATGTGTTATTAAAAAGTTATCTGATCCTGATTCTGTTGTTTTCTGCTTCTCTGAAATAGCTCTCATTCATTAATTATTTATTTGATTTATAGAAAATGTGTTCACTGCCCAAGGACTTCTGGGCTTTTGCATAAAATTTAAACTAAATCTGGCAGCTAAAATCCCTCTTAAACTATAATGAAATTACCAAGTTAATGGAGCAGTGTAATCAAACCAAAGTTAATAAATATGGTGTGGCCTTAATAGATGCCATAAGAACAAATGTCAATAGATATTGACAATTTGCCATGTGAATGCATGACATTTATTATGTTTATACTCATGTTGTCATGCATTTATTATTTTATGGTCCAGTTATACCCAGTGTATTGGAACCACAGCATTGGGCCTTGCAGAAATTAAAGAAATAAACAATTTCCACTTTCCAAAAGTAAGTTATCCAGGATTTTTTTAAATAGCACACATTAAAGTTCACCAGAGGAGTTAGTCCATCAATATGCACACACTCCTACTAACACACACTATGAAAAATGCGCCTTTAAAGCTCAGTAGAAACACACTAGTCTAGAGGTGAGGTTTTTAGTTGGAAATACACTAAATGGTGGTTGTTGCACCTCTTTGTATCTTTTATGCTTCAATGGGGAAAATACTTAAACTCACAGGAGTCTGTTTTTGGCATGCAGGCACATAATCCTTTGGAGCACCCACGGTTCTTGCCTTCTTCGAGAAGCTCTTTATAAACATCTGCTTGCATAGCACAGACTATATTTCAAATTCTGAACTCAAGAATGAAAGTGCTCCCAAAACTGATTGCAGAGCACAGAGAGACAGCCCTTTTACTGAAATGTGTTTTACCAAGTTCTGCTCTGATCCCTAAATTAGATGAAAAGAGATGGCAAACACATACACACGACTGGCTACATCACCTTTTAGATCTTATTATTCTTAAGTTTCTTGTTTATGTGTTCAAAGAAACAGTAATAAACTGCCAGAAAACCTATGTGTTTTTTACTGGCATAAAAAATAAGAAATCACATTATTGATTTACTATTTTCATTAACAACACTGAAATGCTTTTAGCTTTCTCATACAAACATTGTTGGTGAGTAGGCCAAAGCTTTGAAAACCAGGACTTGGGCAGTGGAAGCACAACATTTTTCAAGGGAAAATATAACAAATTCTTTATGAAGAATTACAATTAATAAGTTGCTCCAGGAGGTTTGAGCACAATGGTTTCTGGGTAATTGAACTGGTAAAAAAAATTTTCCTTTTTCTTTTTAAAGAAGTGTAGTAGGTAATTGTTGAAATGGGAGGAATAGCTACACAGAAGTTCATTATGCTACTCTCTCTATTCTTGTGTGAGTTTGTAAATTTCTCTTAAGAAGTAAAAAATAACATTGCATATATATTGTAGAAAACTTGCAAAGTACAAATAAACAAGAAAAAAATCACCCAAAGACATTTAATATTTTAGACATGCCTCTAGTTCTTCCATTAAATAAATATATATTATAATTATACAGATAGATACACAAATGAGTATCATGTTGTATATATCTTACTTTGTCATGTATTCTCTTAATTTATCATTAACAACTTCTAAAACGTGATACTTTGTAACCATCTAAAATTTCATTTTATGAGTCTGACTTGATTTACTTTATCATTATCCCATTACTGGACATTACCTTATTTCTCCCTTTTCCCCTACAATTATAAACAATGTTAGACTAAAAATTATAGGTGTATTTGCAGACATTTATGATTATGTCCTTAAGACACATTTCTAGCAATATAATTTCCAAGTCAAGGAGTATGCAAAAATTTATGCATATTGTCAAGGAGTATTCATAAATTTTTATGCATATTGTCATATGAACATCTAGAAATATTACAAATGCACATGCCCACAAAAAGTGCATGAGACTGTCCTGCCCCCATGCTTGCTACTGTTGAAGGGCAAGAGGAGCTATGATTGTTTTAGCTTGCATTTCTTTCAACATTCGTGAAGTTGAACACTTTTCATGTTTTTCTTTTCATTATTTTTTTCTTTTGAGATACACTCACTTACCTTCTTATTTATTTTTCTATGGGGGTGGGAGATTTGTCTTTTTCTTATTACCTCATACTTATTTCAATAATTCCACTAATGCAATATAAAAATTGGTTAAATTTTTATGCCTTAATTGCCCCATATCAAGACATGATTTCCAGACAGGTGCAGTGGCTTATCCCTATAATCCCAGCACTTTGGGAAGCCAAAGAAGGAAGATCACTTGAGGCCAGAAGTTTGAGACCAGCATGGTTAACATAGTAAGACCCTGTCTCCACAAAATACTTAAAAATTAGCCAAGTGTGGTGGCATGTGCCTGTAGTCCCTGCTACTTGGGATGCTGAGGCAGGAGGATCACTTGAGCCCAGGTGTTCAAGGCTTCAGTGAGTCATGATCATGCCACTGTCCTTCAGCCTGAGCAACACAGCAAGACCCTGTCTCAATTAAAAAAATAAAAAGACATGATTTCCATACAAGTGAAACCATGCTCAATATATTAATTGGCCACTGAAGACAATTCTCTCTAGTGGCCAAAGTACTAATTATGGAAATAATATTATGAATGCTCACCCCTTGTATCACTGACAAAAAACAACTACTTTCCACCTATGTAAGTAATTGGACTTTTTACAATTTTTAATTTGTATGGGTACATGGCAGGCGTATGTATTTATGGGTTATATGAGATATCTTGATACAGGCATACAATGTCTAATAATCACATCTAGGTAAATGGAATATCCATCACCTCAAGCATTTATCATTTCTTTGTGTGAAAAACATTCCAACTGCATTCCTTTAGTTATTCTAAAATGTACTGTAAATTATTAACTGTAATCACCTTATTGTGCTATCAAATACTGTATCTTATGTAATCTATTTAACTATATTTTTGCACCCAATTACAATCCTCACTTTCCCCCTCCCCGCTGTTCCCCACCCTTCCCAGCCTCTGGTAATTATCATTCCACTCTGTATCTCCATGAGTTCAATTGTTTTAATTTTTAAACTCCCACAAATGAGTGAGAACATGTGAAGTCTGTCTTTCTGTGCCTGGTTTATTTCACTCAACATAATGACCTCCAGTTCCATCCATGTTGTTACAAATGACGGAATTTCATTCTTTTTATGGCAGAACAATGTTCCATTACGTGTATATACCACATCTTCTTTATACATTCATCTGCTAATGGACACTTAGGTTGCTTCCAATCTTGGCTATTGTGAACAGTGCTGCAATAAACATGGGAGGGCAGATATCTCTTTGATATATTAATTTCCTTTCTTTTTGGGTATATACCTAGCAATGGGATTGCTGGATCATATGGTAGTTCTATTTTTAGTTTTTTGAGGAGCCTACATACTGTTCTCCATAGTGGTTATACTAATTTACATTCCCACCAACAGTGTAAAGGGTTCCCTTTTCTCGACATTCTTACCAGCATTTGTTATTGTCTGTCTTTTGGATAAAAGCCTTTCTAACTAGAATATGATGACAGCTCATTGTAGTTTTGATATGCATTTCTCTGACAATCAATGATGTTGAGCATTTTTTTATACACCTGTAGCCATTTGTATGTCTTCTTTTGAGAAATGTCTACTCAGAACTTTTGTCTTTTTTTTTTGAGACACAGTCTCACTCTGTCACCCAGGCTGGAGTGCAGTGGCATGATCTCAGCTCACTGCAAGCTCTGCCTCCTGGGTTCATGCCATTCTCCTGCCTCAGCCTCCCAAGTAGCTGGGACTACAGGCGCTTGCCACCACACCCGGCTTTTTTTTTTTTTTTTTTTTTTTTTTGTACTTTTAGTAGAGACAGGTTTCACCATGTTAGCCAGGATGGTCTCCATCTCCTGACCTCGTGATCCACCCATCTTGGCCTCCCAAAGTGCTGGGATTACAGGCATGAGCCACCACACCCAGCTGAACTTTTGTCCATTTTTAAGTTGGATTATTAGATTTTTTTTCCTCTTAAGTTAATTGAGCTCCTTATATATCCTGGTTATTAAACCCTTGTCAGATGGACAATTTGCAAATATTTTCCCCATTCTGTGGGTTGTCTTCACATTGTTGATTGTTTCCTTTGCTTGCAGAAGCTTTTTAACTGGACGTGATCCCATTTGTCTACTTTGGATGTCTATGCTTGTGGGGTATTACTCAAGAAATCTTTGCCTAGACCAATGTCCTGGAGAGCTTCCCTAATGTTTTATTTTAGTAGTTTCATAGTTTGAGGTCTTAGGCTTAAATATTTAATCCATTTTGATTTGATTTTTGTATACGGTGAGAGATGGGGGTCTAGTTTCATTCTTCTGCAAATGGATACTTAGTTTTCTCCAGTACCATTTCTTGAAGAGACTGTCCTTTCCCCGTGTGTTCTTGGCACCTTTGTTGAAATGAGTTCACTGTAGATGTATGGATTTATTTCTGGGTTCTCTATTCTGTTCCATTTGTCCATGTGTCTATTTTTATGTCAGTAGCATGCTGTTTTGGTTACTACAGCTCTGTATTTGAAGTCAGGTAATGTGATTCCCCCAGTTTTGTTCCTTTTGTTCAGGATGGCTGTAGCTATCCTGGGTCTTTTGCGATTTCATATAAATTTTAGAATTATTATTTCTATTTCTGTGAAGAATGTGATTGGTGTTTTGACAGGGATTGCATTGAATCTGTAGATTGCTTTGGGTAGTATGGACATTCTAACAATATTGATTCTTTGAATCTAGGAACATGGAATATCTTTTCCTTTGTGTCCTTTTCAATTCTTGCATCAATGTTTTATAGTTTTCATTATACAAAACTTTCATTTCTTTGGTTACTTTTATGCCTAGGCATCTTGTTTTATTTGTACCTATCGCAAATGGGATTACTTTCGTGATTTCTTTTTCAGTTTGTTCCCTGTTGGCATATAGAAATACCACTGATTTTTCTATGTTGATTTTGTATCCTGCAACTTTACTGAATTTTTTCATCAGCTCTAATACTCTTTTGATGGAAAGTTAGGTTTTTCTAAATATAAGATCATATCGTGCAAACAAGGATAATTTGACTTCTTCCTTTCCAACTTGTATGCCCTGTATTTCTTTCTCTTGTTGCTGTAGTTAGGATTCACATTCTATGCTGAATAACAATAGTGAACATGGGCATCTTTTTCTTGTTCCAGATCTTAGAGAAAATGCTCTCGGTTTTTCTCAGTTTTCAGTATGATGCTAGCTGTGGGTCTGTCATATATGGCTTTCATGGTCTGGTGGTATGTTTCTTTTATACCCAGTTTTTTTAGGGTTTTTATCATGAAGGGATGTTGAATTTTATCCCATCCTTTTTCATATGATCAATTGAAATGATCATATGGTTTTTGTCCTTCATTCTTTTGATATGATGTATCTTATTGATTTGTATATGTTGAACCATCTTTGCATCCCTGGGGTAAATCCAACTTGGTCATGATTAATTATCTTTTTAATATGTTGTTGAATTTGGTTTGCTCGTATTTTGTTGAGGATTTTGCATCAATGTTCATCAGGAATGTTGGCCTGTAGTTTTCTTTTTTTGATGTCATTGTCTGGCTTTTATATCAGGGTAATACTGGCCTCATAGAATGAGTTTGGAAGAGTTCCCTCCTCCTCTGTTTTTTGGAATAGTTTCATTAGGATCTGTATTAGTTCTTTGAATGTTTGGTCATATTCAGCAGTTAAGTCATAGGGTCTCAGGCTTTTTTTGCTGGTAGACTTTTTATTACAGTTTCAATCTAATTACTTGTTACTGGTCTTCAGGTTTTGGGTTTCTTCGTGGTTTAATCTTGATAGATTGCACGTGTCTAGGAATTTATTCATTTCTTCTAGGTTTTCCAACTTATTGGCATATACTGGCTCATAGTAGGCTCTAAAGATCCTTTGAATTTCTGCGGTATCAATTGTAATGTCTCTTTTGTCATCTCTGGTTTTATTTATTTGGGTCTTCCCTATTTTTTCTTAGTCTGGCTAAAGATTTGTCAATTTTTTTATCTAATAAAAAAACCAACTTTTGTTTGTTCATGATTTTTATTGTTTTCTTTGTTTCAATTTCATTTATTTCTGCTCTAATATTTGCTATTTCTTTTCTTCTGGTAATTTTATTATGGTTTGTTCTTGCTTTTCTAGTTCTTTAAGATGCATAGCAGGTTATTTATTTGAAGTTTTTCTCCTTTTTTGATGTAGGTGCTTACTACTATAACTTTCCTTTTAGTACTGCTTTTCCTATATTCCGTAAGTTTTGGTATGTTGTGTTTTCATTTTCATTTGTTTCAAGAAATGTTTACATTTTCTTCTTAATTTCTTCATTTGCCCACTAGTCATTAGGAAGCATATTGTTTAATTTACATGTGTTTGTATAGTTTCCAAAATTCCTCTTGTAATTGATTTCCAGTTTTATGGATTTCTCTCCACTGTAGTCAGAGAAGATCTTTAATATAATTTTAATGTTTCTGAAATTTTTAAGACTTGTTTTGTGGCCTAACATATGAGCTAACCCTGAGAATGACTCGTGTTCTGAGGAGAATAATATGTAGTCTGCAGCCATCAAATGAAATGTCCTGTCAAAATGTATGAGGTCCACTCGGTCTATAGTGCAGATTAAGTCCAGTGTTTCTTTGTTGATTTTGTGTCTGGATGATCTGTTCAATGCTGAAAGTGGGTGTTGAGGCCTCCAGCTATTATTGTATTGGGGTCTATACAATCATCTGTCCTTTAGTTCTAATATTTGCTTTATACTTCTGGGTGCTCCAGTGTTGGGTGCATATATATTTACAACTGTTATACTCTTTTGACAAATTGATCCCTTAACTCATTATATAATGATCTTATTTGTCTCTTGTTATATTTTTTTGTCTTGAAATCCATTTTGTCTGACATAAGTATAGCAATTCCTGCTCTTTTTTGGTTTCCATTTGCATGGAACATCTTTTTCCATCCCTTTATTTTCAGTATATTTGTATCTTTATAGATGAAGTATATTTTTTGCAAGAACAGATCATTGGGTCTTTTTTTTTTAATCCATTCAACAACTCTACATTTTTTGATTGGAGAATTTAGTCCATTTACATTCAATGTTGTTATTGATAAATAAGGACTTATTCTTGCCATTGTATTTGTTTTCTGGTTGTTCTGTGGTCTTCTCTTTCTTCATTCTTTCTTTCTTGTCTTCCTTTTTGTGAAGGTGATTTTCTCGGGTTGTATGTTTTAATTTCTTGCTTTTTATTTCTTGTGTATCTGTTCTAGGCTTTTTGATTTGAGGTTACCATGAGGCTTGCAAGTAACATCTTGTAACCTATTATTTTAAACTTATGACAACTTAACACTGATTGAAAAAAAAAAACGAGAAACTAACAAGCAAGCAAAGAAAACTAATAAAAACTCTACAGAAAGAACTTAGTTGTAGGTGTGCAAGTGAATGGAAGGACAGGGTCTGTGTACATAGAAGAGGCAATCTTAAACTCAAGTGAATTTTCCTTTACCCCCACCATTCCAGCAATTATCCCTATCCAAGTTTAGTCATCTATCTGAGAAATGAAATTGTGAAGGTTTTCATATTATTTTACTTCCTTTAATGGTACAATTATACAGATTAAGATAGGTGAGAGAAAACAATTTTTTTCTTTTTTTTTTTTTTTTTTTTTTTTTTGAGACGGAGTTTACTCTTGTTGCCCAGGCTGGAGTGCAATGGGCAATCTCGGCTCACCGCAACCTCCAACTCCCAGGTTCAAGTGATTCTCCTGCCTCAGCCTCCGGAGTAGCTGGGATTACAGGCATGCGCCAACATGCCTGGCTAATTTTGTGTTTTTAGTAGAGCCAGGTTTTATCCATGTTGGTCAGGCTGGTCTCGAACTTCCAACCTCAGGTGATCTGCCCACCTCAGCCTCTCAAAGTGCTGGGATTACAGATGTGAGCCACTGCGCCCGGCCGAGAAAACAGATTATTTTGGTCATTGGACTATTTATTTTCACAAAACGTGCAATATTCCTTAGCTTCAGTTAAAACAAGTATGTGCACAATCTATGTTTTCTATTTCCTTTTGAACAGTAGACACCCCTCATTTTCAGGGATACATTCCAAGACTCCCAGTGGATGCCTGAAATTGCAAGTAGTATTGAACTCTATAAATACTGCTTTTTCCTACATATACATACCCCTATGATGAAGTTTAATTTAAAAATTAATCACAATAAGAAAGTAACAATGACTACAAAATAGAACAACTATGACAATATACTGTAATAAAAGTTACATAAAAGTAGTCTCTCTCTCTTTCCCCTCGCCCCACACCAAATATCTTATTGCACTGCACCACATGTATGAAGAGCAAAAACATGGAAAAGGGGTGATTACTGTAGTTGCCATTTTAGAAATCCATGTTCATGTTTACATCACTGGATTTTACCCCATTCATCTCCCTTGCTAATGTTTAAAAAATTAAACTTCAAAGGTAAATAAATGAATGTGTTATATTATTTATATAAATTATTGTCCACAGTATATTTTAATGTATTTATTATAACTATAAACATACATTTACTTATTGTAACATACATTTGTTTATCATTATAAAAGCTAGTGTAATGAGACTCTTCCAGCCACATCAGTCTCAACATCAAATTTATTTCAATATTCTGACTTGGTTTCATAGTACTAAAATGAATTTTTGAACTACATAAGTAATTACAAATGATAGTTTGAAAAAAAAAAACCGAAAACCTTCCCTAGTTGTCTCAGGATACACTTCAATTAGGTAATTCAGACCTTAAAATAAAATCAAGGTGTAATCACTAATTGTATCCCAGCTTTTCTCAAAATAAGGCAGGCAAAAAGCACCTAAACCTAGTAACACTAGAAATACCTTTAGTATCACACTATATAAATATGTTATAGGTTCCCTTGTTAATGAGTTGCCAATGATTCCACTACGATGTGAACATATAACCACCAGACATACTTGATTCTACTCCATGCTATACTTGAGCTGTTAAGCAATTTTATGTAAACAGGCATGCTAAGGCTTGATTTTTTTTTACATCATGAAAAATTAAAACACCCTTAGCCAAGGAAACATTTACATACTGTTCAAATGCATAAAGACGAAAAAACATTTGCACATCTGCAAAAAGTACCTACCTAACACAGTTTAGTAAGCTGGGTCCCTCCAATATGTTAATATGTGGACTATAATATATTTAAGTATGTGCTTTTAAGTATAGTATGAAAATATGGTTAATAATAGATGTTTTAAAAGCTAATAAATAATATCCTGGTGATCTGTATTTATAAATACAAATACAGTTTGTAAGCTACTGCTTTGAGACAGTACAGTGTATGTAACTTGGGTTCTTAATCAGATAGTCCTGAGTTAAAATTCTATTGTCTCTACTAAATAGCTGTGTAATACTGGGTAGATAATTAACTTCTTTAAGCCTCGGTGTCCATATCTGTTGCAAGGTTTAAGAAAGAAACACACAAAAGGCACTTAGCCAGAATGCTAGTTATGATAATAGCGATGATACACTTTGCTCAATTCTCATCTTTTGTCTAAGGCCTATCCTGATTGTCCTATTCAAGACTGCAACATACCTTGATTTTCTTAACCCCACACTTCTAATCTCCTCAATCTGCCCAATTTTTCCCACTTGCTAAACAAACTATTAACCATCAGCCCATAGGATTTCCAGTTTTTAAAAAATCACATATAATTAGGCTTTTTGTAGATCTTAACTCCTCAGAGTCACAAAGACAGGATGCCTTCCAAAATAATAATTAGCAAGTTCGTAAATCTTCAGATAGAATATAGATTTTTCAACTCATCAGAATAGAATTTCTGAGAGGACAGAGTTTTTGCCTCTTTTGTTGACAATGCTTAGAATAGTACCTGATACCTATACAGTAGTCCATAAATATTTGTTGGATGAATGCATGATAATAGGAAAATGTCTCAGTGTGCATTTTCAGCAATTTTACCTGGTCTTAAATTGTGGAAAAAAATTCTTTACTCCATTTTTTTGTTCCTGATTCTCAATGTAATAGTATAATTAAGCACTAATCACTAAAGTTGGAGTTAGAAACCAGGACTTAATAAGGAGTTTGACTCTCCATGTATGGATACAACCCAAGCCAGCTTCATTGGTGTCCCCCAGGATTTAGGGTTTGCATAAGGAAGAAAGGGACAGCTCTCTGGGCAAAGACAGAAGCTAAAGTCTACAATGTTTCATCTAGCATATGCTGCTGCCAGAGAAAAATTATTGCAACATTATGTGTCCACAAGAAAAACGGGCCCTTCTTTGTCCAGTCAAGGAAGGAACAGCAATTTTGCCAATGGTTTTTAGAGGATGCAACAGCAACACGAAATCAGAAGCATATTCTGCTCTGCTGTCTCAAGCTGTCCTTGGACCCTGTACCAGTGACCACTGGAGTCTCCCACTTATGGAGTCCATCGAGTAGTCTGACTCTTCTTGAGTATGGCCCAAGATTTGATGGGAAGGCTGCCACATCAAGAATGGCCAGACATTCAGGAGAAGACTGCCCAGGCAAGAGCAACCCACCAAGCCTTTAAGAATGTATACTTTAAACATATCTCCACTACCTAATTCATCTGCTGAATTGCAATCAAGTTGCATCAGTCAGCTTTGCATTTATGGCCATGGCATCAAGTTAAGTCTAATGCTCAAAAGGGAAAAAAAGTCTCATTTCAGAGTGTCATTTGTCTAGAGGATGCAGGTCCCAAAAAAGGCATTTTCCTAGTGACCTTCCTAGTAATTACAAGGGTAATTCCTGAGCAAAGCAGAATCTACTGGAATTCTGTGGCCTAATCTCATATGATTCCTGATGACAGCTGTGTGATCTCATGTCATGGTGGTTTTGACTCAGATGTTCCATTTGACTCCATTTTCTCTGTCCAAAGTCTGAACATCACTTCTGTTCTGCCATCCAGCTTCCCTTCTGTTCTCTTTTCCAATTGTCTACTTTTGTTTTTCTGTGCAAACATTCTAAGTTTGTATTCCTTAGCATAAGGAACTGTTTAAAAATTTTCTGAGAAGAATCATCAATGTTACATGGAGATAGAGTAATTTTTCCTAAGGTTTCTCAGCAGGTCAAAAATATTCCTCAACCTTCACTATTCTAAATTGCACCAAAGCTACGCCTATCTGTGTACCAGTGACCATGAGTGGCACCATAAGGGGCATGATGAGACTATCATCAAAATAACAGGCTGGAGACCAACCATTAACCACCAAGAGACTATGATTTCTAGTTTCAGAAATATCATATATAATCTTCTCATGCTCTTTACAGACCTACATTTCCAGCACACATAGGCAAATGGTCTATTTCCTTCCAAAATTAATGACTTCTATTATTATAAAATAAAATAAAATAGAAAATGACTAGTAAATCCTGTGATCATTTGTTACAATCTTCTGAAAGCTGCACAATGGCACCCTGAATTTCTCTCATGTAAATGCTTAACCTAGCTTTGAGGCACATGAAATGCATTTCATTCAAAAAGAAGGCACATGGACCTTTTAGCTATGTAGAAAAATAATATTTCAATTTTTCCTACTGGTCGCAGTGGCTCATGCCTATAATTCCAGCACTTTGGGAGGCCAAGGTGGGCAGATTACTTGAGGTCAGGAGTTTGAGACTAGCCTGACCAATATGGTGAAACCCTTTCTCTATTAAAAATGACAAAAGTTAGCCAAGCTAACAGGTGGTGTGCACCTGTAGTCATAGCTATTCAGGAGGCTGAGGTGGGAGAATCACTTGAACCTAGGAGGTGGAGGCTGCAGTGAGCCAAGATTGAACCACTGTACTCCAGCTTGGGCAACAGAGTGAGACCCTGTCTCAAAAAAAAAAAAAATCCATGTAGTGTACTAGAATCAAGATTAACCATAGCTACAAGAATATTTTCTACTGATTAATTTACTTTTTCCATCATCATGCTCTACCATTTATTGGATGCTTAGCAAAGCACTGTAACAGATTTTGTGGAGGGTAGAAGAAATCATCATAACAGCTTCTGACACTAGTAAGGGGAATAAAGCTGTCTCTCAGGTGAAGTCTTTGAAGGCACCAGAAAAGACCTTCTGTTTTGAAAATATAAGCCCCACAAGTTGGCAATCCTCTATTAAAACCTCGTTCATTTGAGCTGCAAAAGAATTTTCCATCTTCAAGAGTCTCCTAGTACAAAACAAAACGAATGCCTCCTGGTAAATGATAAGACATATCATCTCATACTTTAGTTATGACTATATACCTGGGTTGATAACCTACAAGAGAAACACACTAAATGGATTAGCAATTATTGTGAAGGCCTTGGGGAAGTGGGGAGTAGGGGGTGAGAGGAGAGGCATTGAAGGAGAAATGGAAAGACTCCAGAGATAAATTTCATCAACCCAGCCAGGGTCTTGAGCACGCCACACAGCTGAAGTAGCATGGCATAGCGAGCAGAGTGGACGGGCTGCAGAATCATAGAAACTAGTTAATACCTGTGCCTGCCTGCCACATACTTAGCCATGAGACATTAGGTCAGTTACCTTGGCCCTCTGAACCTCAGTGTCCTCGTCTGCAAAACAAAAATAATACTATCTACCTCTTAGTGCAAGTAAGCTGATTAGATGAAATAATGCATGTTATTTCATTTCCCTGGAATTATAAATGTGCAAATACACCAGAAATGTTTAATAACAGTAATGCTTTGTATTTGCTAAGGTGAATGTCTCAGGCAATGAATTCTTTGGGAAATTATATCACAACAGAATTTTCAGAGATGAAGCTTCCTTAGAGATTATCTAGTGGCTTTTAAACTTCTTAAAGCTCAAAATCCTTCCTTCTAACAAAATTTATAAGAAGCTGTTATGTAAAACAGGTAAAACTAGAATTGCTATTTTTCAAAGTTGGTGGGTGGAAAGTGGTGCAGAGAAGAAGGCAATAGTTGGTCAGTTGAGGCACTTCCCAGAATCTCCTAGAAGAGGTTTCTTCAAAAACGTCTTCAAAGAGCAACGGAGTCCCCTGCCATTAATTAAGTGGCACCCAGTGACTTTTAGGCAGTTTCAGAAGGAAAAAAGAAAAAGTCTGTGAAACCGTTTGATCATAGATATTTTGCAAATTTAAAGTGCAGGATAAAATTCTTTATGGCTAGCTCAAATCATCTGTTTAAAAATCCTGCCTTTGCTTTAGGAATTTGGGTCAGTCTACCTTGGCTAACATTCTGGAAACAGGGTGCAGTGTTTTCTCAGCTGAAGTATTTTCACATAATACGTATGTCCCTGCTTAGGATTGTTACCTTGTTTTTTGCATTAAACTACCAGTTCACAAACATGGATCAGTGACCTAAAAGTGGTTCACCGAAGCATAAAAGGAGTGATGAAAATACTAATGTAAATACTACCATAAAGAACAATCTGTAAATGGAAATAATTAATAAGACTCATGTGCAAATATAGATTATGAATCTAAATGTGCTGGGACAAGTTAATGTATGAACGACACGCATTCTCACAAGCAGCAGCCCCTGCCATGTATACTCCTCGTAGTTTCCAAATTCACAACATCCTATGACATGGGATAGGTTTTATTGTGAAAGGTCAAAGCTTCAAGGCCAGGATCAGAAAGAACAAAAAAGGAAGGCACTGTTGTTTCCCAAACACACCCCAGCGTCTATGGAAAGGCTTGCCAGGGCCCAGGAGCTGTTCTTTTGACTTTTTATAGCACAAATTTTAAATGAGTCTTGTCAACAGGGGGACTATACTACACAGTCTGCTTGACATTGGAAAGTTAAGATTTGGGGAACCACCAATCTACACAAGTTGTCTGAGACAGCCAGCTGTCTAAGACAGGCATAACACAGGTCCCATGGGTAGTTACAGTCCCCACTGTCTGCCATCAGTCCTGAGGGTAATTGGGTGCAGCCCCTCCAGCTGGAGAAAACGGTGGGCTGGGGTGCAGCCCTACCTAGACAATTGTGCAAGAAATCCACAATAAATACCCAGGGTCACTTACAGACAATACTGCTCGCTGCACAGCAACTAAGCAGTGGGCAATAACAACGGTGTTGAACAAGCCAGACATCTTCCTTACTAAATGTTTTGGAGTTAGTTTTTGCTAAAATCAGTCAAAGTCCGAGCAGGAAACAGCACAAATATGGTAACTGAGGAGAGCTTGTTAAAGGAACTGTTCACAAACAGGTAGGCAGCCATAAGTAAAATCAACAGCAGCAAGAGGAAGCCATTACCACCTCTAGGCCTGAAGAGGCGAGGGGAGGGATGGTTACCAAAATCCCAAGACGGCTCTAGCTGTGGAAGGGGCTGAAGGACAGAAGGTGGCCTTCAGGGCTTTTGGTGCAGGTATCCAGCTACTTCTAATCTGTAATCCTGCAGAGAGGGGACTGGGAGAATAAATACCCTGATCTCACTCTTCCACCTTCCAACCCCGTGGTGATGCTCCCATTGGCAAAACCCAACCACAAGTCAGAGGGCAAGGAATGTGGCAGAATCAGCTGATGGGACCCATAAAGGTTGGCACGAGACCAAGCGGAGACGGGGAGAGAGTGGATATGAGGAGCAAGCGAAAAGTGTCCACGTACTAAGAAAGACAGGAACCAGTGGCAATTTTGGGGAGGTCGGCTTAGGAGAGCTAAGGAGATGAGAGACTGATTACAGAGCTGGCGTGGGTAAGGAGAGATGATAAGAGAGGGACTACTTTTTCAATATTTTGATCAGGAAGGAAAGGAAAATGTCACAAAACTATCTTAAAGAGATCTCTGTAGTAGGAAAAGATAGTATTGTCTGGTTTGGGAAAAGGACTTAAGTTTCATCTGAAGAGCAGAAGGATCCATTTTAAAGGGAGTGACTAGAGAAAGAGGGACAAACATATGGACCCAAAATGGGAACGGACGGTTTTGAAGACAAGAATTAGTGTTACATAAATATTCTCAAAATAGTATTATACCAACTGTTTTCTGGAAATCATTATCCCACCCCACAATAATTACTCACTCTTAGAATGTAAACTATGGTATGTTTACTATATCATGTCCTAAGTGTGTTTTATGAAGGTAAGACTTCACAATGTTCTCACATATGACCTGAACAGACTACAGTACTTCGTTGAAATGAGAAGATCAGATTTAAGGATTAGATAAAGGTTAAGAAAACTTTAAATACATTTCAAAATTGGTTAACTATTGGAATACTTTCTTTGCTAAAAATAAAATATGTAACTAAAAGTGAATGCAATTACTTACAAATTAAATTGCTTTTAGTCTTTTTTCATTCTACATCTATCAAGTTTCATGGATCTCAAGGCAAGAAACAATGTGCTGTCTAAATTCGATCTCTAGAATGATGAGATCTCTCATTACCATTTAGGGGCATACTGAATTGTTTCCTGCCTGATCTTCTTAAGATTATCATTATCTATCACTTAATAGATTGAAGACCTCAGGAATCACAGTGTTGGAACTACTAACATGTCATTAATCTCACTAATGGCATTATTTTGTTTATTGTTGAAGAACCTCATCATATTTAAAATGAGCTAGAGACACAGGAACCATGAAGAATGCAGTAGAAATGTTTACCCACCCTAAGAACACAGTTAAAATCTGTCAGTATTCATTGCCAAATATTGCCACACCGGACTGTCAATATCCATTATAAAATTATCTAGGCCCCTCTTGAGTGTTTTCCTGGCATTTAAAAGTATGCTTTATTTTAAACATTCAATACTTGGTTAAACTGGTAAAATTGTGAAAATGCCCCTCTTCAAGAGAACATGATTTTATTTATAAAGTGTTGTGCCACTCACAGGTTTATGGATATGTTGATTGGAAAACTTTCTTTAGAACAGGAACCTGAATTCAATTGATCAAGTAATATCAAGCTATCCCACATTTCAATGTGATGTGGTAAAAGTCAGTGGTCTTTTAAAAAAATAACTGTAAACTAGACCCATATGCTTCCTCTTCTCTTCCAGTCCTAAAACAATAGACTAAGATAACAAATGGAATTTTGCAGGCTTTGGTTAGAGGCCTTTATCTTCAAAAGAGACCTAGGAGGGAAGACTTAACTGACCTTTCCATGTAAGAAAGTATATCACCTACTGAGATTTGTCTTTCTTGTTGGCACCTACCTACAAAAGAAATGGGAGGCTAAAATCAGCTTCAACTTGTGCAAATTAAAAGTAACCTTCAGGCTAATGGGTTTTAAACATCACTTCTTACTGAGCAAAACATTTGTGTCCCAAAAAATTAAATTACCCCCTCAAAACTGACTTCTCTAACAAATTACAACATTAAATTTTTTAAAGTAAAATTGTAATTCCTACAAAACAATTCCCCTCTCCCTGAGATAACCATCCTATTACTGTTAGAATTGATTCCATCTTTAATGGAGTTTTGCATCTAGTTCTGGGGTCCAAAACCAAAAACAGGAGAAGAAAACCTAAAAACTGTCAAAGAAATGGCAGCAAAATTAAACGCCTGAAAAGTAAACCAAATCTTTGAGAAAACTGGAACTCCACGTTAGAGAAATAAATGCTTTATCATTTTATCAAACACTAAATTCAAGGAATATGGTAGAGTCCTTACCTTGAAGAAGGTGACCAGCTATTTTCAATTTCTTTGGAGTGGCGATCAGAAGGAAGGAATGAAAAAGATTAAGCACTGTAGTGAGTGGTGGCTTTTGTACTAACTCTAGCAATCACTAAAAAGTGACTATATTTTCACCAATTGAAGAAATTTTAATACGGTCCTATTGAAATGGGGTTGTAATTCATAAATGTATTGTTGCATGCATTCTTTGTACTGAGAACTAAACTAGCTCCTTCAGAAGTGAAAATAACAAGGGAAACAGTAAAACCCACTTGAAAAGATGGGCCATACATTTACAAGACTAGAGACAACTCATAAACACAGGTTGACAGTACAAACTGTATACTTTGAACTATGAGACAATTTGAAGGAAAGGCACAATTATCATGAGGTTATATAAAGCTAATGTGTTATATTTGGTCTAAAAGACAATGGGCTAATATAAAGGAGAGGTTCATGATGAAATATTATATTATCCTGGCAGCTGTCTACAATATGGACTAACATCAGGAGAAGCACAATATTAATACTAACACTAATAATATCAAACACAGACCACTACTAGGTGTCAAGGCTGATATAAACATTTTCATATATATATTAATCTGTTCAATCTTCACAGTCATGTTTTGAGGCCAATACTGTTATTTCATTTAACAGATGAGGAAACCGAAGCACTTAAATGATGTCTGATTTTCACAGGAAGTGTCCTGCATAGCAACCTACATGCAGGTAAATACAAGCCAAGTACATTTCGTTTTCAAAGGAGGCGTTGATCATCCAAAGAAGTCAAGAATACTCATGCTGCTATGTGACATTTCTTATTGTTTGTAAATGTTTTTGTTGTGGAACACTTCAAACATATACAAAAGGAGAATAGTACACTTTCTTTCTAGTGTACTATTAAGTGCACTATTAAAGATCGAACCCCTTCCATTCACATGCCTAATCTAGATGCATGTGCTATACCACCACTCATTTCCTGTGCCCCTCCCTCATTATTTTGGAATAAATCACATATTTTATATCATTTCATCATCACTAAATTGTTCGGCATGTATCTCTAAAAGATAAAGACATATTTTTCCTTCTAAACATGACCACAATACCATCATGATACTTTAAAATTTACAATGATTGCTTAGTATCAAACATCAATCAGTGGTTGAAGTTCTAATAATATATCTTACTTTAATATTTGTTGAAACTTGCAATGTGCTAGCATTAGGTACTTTGACATATTTCATTTAAATTACTACTACTTGAATTGCCTTTTCCCCACTTTCACTCCTACTAACAGGAAAGACTCGGTCTCTCCCAGAGGATTCAGGGCCTCCGTAGCGGGCTGCTGTCGGCCTCCCTCCCGGCCTCCTGCTCCTCTGCGCGGTCCCCAGCCCTCTACCCGGCGGGCAGAGGCTCGGGCCCAGCGCCGCCTTCCGCTGGGATCTGTTCCCAGGCCCAGGGACGCCGGCCCCACCCCAGTTGCCTAGGTGACGAGGGGCCGCTTCTCTCGGCCGAGATTGCGGCGATGTCGCAGGGGACGACTCCCTGGGGGCCGACCCCGGCGGGAACCACGCCCGAATCGGAGGTACACCGCCCCTTTCCCTTCCCGGTACCGGTGCCGGTACCAGAGACCTCCGAGCGCTCATTCCCAGTCCGCGGAGTCTGCGGCCAAGCCAAATCCGGTCTCCGAAGAGGCGCCGCACGTCTGGCCCCGGCTGGTGAGCGGCCTGGGAGGGCGGCAGGGCTGGGAGCTGCGCTGGGGTCCCCGACACCCTCTGCAGCCCGGCGCCCCCCAGCCGGCCCCGGCGCGCCGTGCACGGTGCCAGCGGGTCTAAATGTATGAATTCTTCCATTGGACGGCTCCGTGCCCAAACGCCCTCATAACCACGCGCTTCTACCGCAGGTTTTGTTTTTTGGTTTTTCATGTTTTTTTTTTTTTTAATTCTAGGTAAAATAAGTAATCTCAGATTTTTAAATGAGCCAGTCTCTTTTTGAAATTGCTACTAATTTTGTAATGATTACAGTGTTGCGATTGCTCAAAAGGTGTCATGAAATAATAACTGTTTACTGGTGATGGACTGATTAATATTAGAAGATTGGTGTTTCCATTATTTTGCCATTTTCCTAAACAAATAAATACAGGTGAAAGGACACTGGCTGGAAAATCTTCTCTGGTTATGGCTTTAGTTGCTCATCAGCTTGACTTTAGGAAAGTTATTTAATCTCCTTGGACACCAGTGGCTTCCTGTGTGACAAAAGGTTGATCTTTAGGCCCCTCCCATCACCAGCTCTCCATAATAAATGGGTTTTAAGTAACTTTACTCATAAACTTAATATCCTGAGATTTTAAGAACACATCTGCTGTGCCAGATATTATAAAAAAAAAAGTTTAAATCTTTGCACACGGAGTCTGTTACGATTGTTCCTAGGAAGTTTTTTTTCCTCCGTTTTGTTAAGGCTCTCAAGGTGAATAATCATGTCTTAATTAACATTGCTTTGCTTGACTTCCTTATTCGTTGGTCTAAACGACATTCTTTGTGCAGAAGATAAGTGTTAGCTGCAATTTTATAAATGAGGAAACACAAGGAGCCAATAATTCCATGCCTTGCTCAGAGATATATAAGCTGTTCCCAGTCGAGATTCCTACCAATACAAAATGCAGACCACTAAGGCATGCGGACTCTCATATGAGCCTTTTGAAATTAGCAGACATTAAAAGTACATTTTAATGTGATAAACTGGTACTAAGCCTATTATTCCCTTGTGATCTCTAATGTAAGTAATACAATTTCAAAAGTAGCACAGGAAATTTTCCAATTAAATTGTGTTATTTAAATATATACCAAGCTTAAGACTATGCACAATTATCAGTGTACACATACATATGCTCACCCACGTAGACCATGTCCTTTCCAAAAAGACTGATCATTTGGGGGTTTTAATGAATCTGGACTTTAAAAAAATACAAAATTTTTTAAAAGATGTAAAGAAGTGCTATGCTTCAGGAAAAAAAATCATTTTATAATGGTTGAGTCAGATGAATGAGCTAGTTATAGATCTTAGATTATTATCTACCCTCTTAGGATTGTCAGCTTGCACATTTTTCAACTTCTTGGAGGGCCAGGTATTCTCATGACATGCAATTCAGGATGTGCTCAATCACTTAGTAACAAACAGAAGAAATCAAGTTGTAACAGGGACTTAATTAGCAGTGTTCATTTACTAAGATGACACGCTAATTCGCTGCTTGGTGGAAACTCCATTTTCCGTTTTAATGAAAGCAGAGTTTCTGTAGTTCATGGGGAATATAGTTGATGCATAGAGCTGTGTCATTCATTAAAACAAGTCCTGCCTGCCACCCATTTGTGCTGATTGGGGGTGTCGTATGTTAGATAGAAAAATGGCAAGATTCTCTCTTGTGGTCTGTTCCCAAGGCCACCACTTTTTAGGTAAATACTGAAAGGTTCTTCTCAGATCAAATTCTTTACAATGTTGATCCCCCAACAGCTAATCGCTTATGGTGTCATTTCTAATAAATTCTGTATCCAAAATGACTTAGCCAGTAGCCCATGTAGTCAACTGAGCCAAGCAGTTCTGAATTATTTCCTTTCTTGCCAAGTCTGTCAGAAATAAATCATAAGCTTTCAGTAGTCTGACGTTTCCCATTTGTTGTTTGTGGCCAATACCTAGAATAGAAGTAATTATCCCAATAACATAGTAGGCACTCAATAAATTATGATGACTAATTAAAATCATGGATGGTCTGAGGCATGCCAGGAAAGGTAGTTATCTACTCTATGAATTACTCTATGAGTTACTGTGAACAAGCAGATATGAGATGCAGATCTAGAGAAATTATTTTTTCTGTGACATTGAATAAGTCCTGCTTGCCAACCTTCTGAATTCAACATCCCGAGTTCTTTAGTAATATTGGAGGAAATGCCTCCCTTTACATGGTAAAACTAAACTTTTGGCAGATATCTGTATGAATGCATAACAGAAAAAATGACAAAAATCTGAAAATAAATATTTGTTACGCATAGACCTGTAAGTGAAAGGAGTTTATAAATGTGTACTTGGAATTCAGTGATCGATTTTGTATCAATAATTTTTTTCATATAGTGACTTTTTTTAATATCTTCAAAAATATCTAGGGAAGGCCGGGCGCGGTGGCTCACGCCTGTAATCCCAGCACTTTGGGAGGCCGAGGCGGGCGGATCACGAGGTCAGGAGATCGAGACCATCCTGGCTAACACGGTGAAACCCCGTCTTTACTAAAAATACAAAAAATTAGCCGGGCGTGGTAGCGGGCGCCTGTAGTCCCAGCTACTCGGGAGGCTGAGGCAGGAGAATGGCGTGAACCCGGGAGGCGGAGCTTGCAGTGAGCCGAGATCGCGCCACTGCACTCCAGCCTGGGCGACAGAGCGAGACTCCGTCTCAAAAAAAAAAAAAAAATATCTAGGGAATTGAATCATAAGTAGTACACTTACAAGGAATATACTTCAACTTACATCAGAGACCTAAAAGAAAACACAAATGATTATTTCCCAATTGCTTCTTCTGAGTAATGTCTCTTAAAGTGTTATCACATCACCCAGTAGGTGACAATTACTCAATGCATTCACGGCTTTATCAGGACAGGATGCTTACATAATTTTGAGGGGTAAGATGATGTAACCTGTCTAGGAGATCATCAACATATCCTGGAGCAGGCCATAGACAACTCTCTCTACATTGGGTCGTCCCTAAAGCCTTTAGAAAACAGACCCCACTCCATCGTTACAGAGAAAACTCGGGGCTCAATTGAGCAGCAAAATTGTCAGTTTCCTGCAACATCAGTGTCATTCAAGAAGTATTTCTCGAAATTATGAATAATTCAATGTAAGTGAACACATTGTAATCACATAGTACAGATCAACCTATGCAGGCTATGGGGACAATGCCAAAAAAGTCACTTAAAATATTGTTGAGAAAACAGTACTAATGGACCTCAACATGTGAGTACATGGTAGCTGTATTTATCAGACACTTAAAACTTGTAGCAAATTCTGGCTGTAGCATGGAGATATTGACAAACACTTAGGCTTGTCATTCTTACTGTCGGTCTTTGGGTTTACTGTCTTATTTAAGAAGTCCTGCTCCTCCTCTCCCTTCTGTCTTCCTCCCTAGATGGCACAAATAGTCTTCAAAATTTTTCTAATATTTAAAGTTTTATTTTACTATAGTTTGGTCTTTAGCAAGTCTAGAATTTTTTTATATTTGAAATGAGGATCTGATTTTATTTCCTTCTAGAAGTGAATTACTGATTATGTCAGCTTCATTTACTAAATAAACTATTTTGTCTCTTCCCATTGAGAACAGACTGACTGTTGCTATCCCATTATATGTATACATGAATGGACAAAATAGGCAGCAGAAGAGAATAGCAAATCCAAAACTATGTGTGTATATTATATATTATATATAAATTTCATATATTATATATAAATATAATTATATATTATGTATAAATATAATTATATATTATATATAAATATAATTATATATTATATATAAATTTCATATAGTATATATAAATATAATTATATTATATATAAATTTCATATATTATATATAAATATAAGTATATATTATATATAAATTTCATATAGTATATATAAATATAATTATATATTATATATACATTTCATATGTATATATAAATATAATTATATGTTATATAAACATTTTACATATTATATATAAATATAATTATAAATTATATGTTTATTATATACATTTTTATTTTAAAAATTTTGTATATGCATACATATACACATATTTATCTCTACAAAATAAGTCTTTGGATTCTTTATGCTTTTCCACGCACTAGTTTGTCCATTACTGTGTCAATATCATGTCGTTTTACATTCATCTTTAAAATCTATTTTGGAAAGTTCACTCTATTTTTTTTTCTTGACAAGTATGTCTTCTTCCATAGGAACTAAAAAGTTATTTTGTAAAGTTCCAGAATCATCTCATTGGGGTTTGAGACTGTCATTACATTACATTTATAATGTAGGAAGGACTTAGTTCTTTGAATTTGAAAGTTTTCAATAAATCTCTTTTATCAAGTCTTGTTCTTGAAATTTTTATAGTTTTATAATTTATATAGATACTATACCTTTCTCATCATATTTATAACCAAGTATAATTCAATCAAGTTTTTACCTTTTCTGTTTCTAATTAGCTTCTTGTATAGGAAAAAACTGGCTTTTACATATTTATGTTATATAGAACCATCTTGCCAAATTTTTTATTAGTAATAACTTTTTTGTTAGTACAATGTCCACTTTCTTAGGTATGCAGCCTTGTAATCCTCAAATAAGAATTTTCAAATTTCCTCATTTCTGCTATTTAAGTTACATATTTAGTTTTCTTATTGTATTAGTTAGAACCTCTATAGTGTGTTGAATTACAATAATGTTGCCATCCATCACCTTTTTGTAGTTCCTTGTTTTCATAAGAATGACTTAGGATTTCACTATTCCATATGATGCTTGCAATATGATTTTGGCAAATAGTCTTTTTCGTGTTTAGCATTTTTTTCTTTTCATATTTTACTGGGAGTTTTGCTGCTGAATCTTAGTAAGTGCCTGTTTATTATATATTTAAATAATCATATAATTTGTACCATTTAATTTGACATAAAAATTATATTAGACCTGCTAATGATGATCCAACCTTGGATCTCTAAAATTAATCTTATTTGGTCATAGGTATAGCTTGTAATTGTTTTAGTACATTTTAAAATTTAATTTTCTAAGAGGTATTTTAATTATAATTTTTACATCTGCATTGATTTGTGATTTTGGTTTATAATTTCCTTTTTTGTTAGTTCAGGGTTTTGTGTGTAGACTATGCTGGCCTCTTAAAAATGAACTCTCTATAGTCTGTAAATATTAGACTAACATAGAATTTATTTGTTATATGATTAATAAGTAAAACTACAAGTGTAAAACCATCTGGGCATGGTGACTTTTTAGAAAGCAGACTTCCGGTTTAGTTCATCTTTGATCAGATCAATTTTCTCGTCCAACCGTGATCAATTTTGAGAACTTACATTTTCCCAGGAAATCACCCATTTTCTTAAAATTTTCTAATGTATTGCCCCTGAATGTGACACAAATTTGTTTTCTTTATGTTTCAGTCACATTTGCCAAATATTTGACTATTTTATTAACTATTCTAAGGAATTACCTCTTGCTTTTACTTATTTTTCTTTCACTTTTTTTATTGTTTTTTAAAATACTGGCTTTTTAGCTTCATAGCAAGACTATGGTAAGGTGAACGAGGCACTCTCCTTGGGCACAGAATTGAAGGAAGTGCCAAAAAACTCAGTAATCAAGATAATTTCTATTTTAATGCAATACTTTAAAAAAATCAAACCTAAAGCCCCCAAAAAACCCTGATGGATTAAAATTTTCAGTAAAGATCAGATCTGTATTACTGTTTTTTCCTTTTGCTTCAGCTCCAATATGGCTTAGCACAGCACTGCTCCTGCTCCTTGGTTCATTTATTTTAAGGGTTGGGGAAAAAAAAAAAAACACCTTCCAAGTCTAGAATTTGCAGACCAGTCTATGTCCTCTGTGACTAGGAAACTTCTCTTTAGTAAACTTTGGTGAAATCTGTTATCTTTCTTTTGGTGAATACTTATTAAAAATTTTTTTTATATAAAGCACTACCAGTGATGGATACAAAGATGTCCCTAAAAGTTTACATTCTAGAAAGAAAAAATATATACAAATGTGAAAAGTTTAGTTGACATTAGAGAGGGAAAAAAATTAGAGAAAAACATTATCTGGCAGATAATATCAGGCTTACAGTTTTATTGCTCTTGGAATAACTCTTAAAATCCACCAGGTGGTGGAGTAAAATGAATTAACAGTGCCATTTAGCTTACATATTTTCCTAGTTGGAGATGTAATTTTACAGAGAAAGCCACAATTACATATCCACATATTTTAGCTTATTTATGAATTTTCTATTATATCTTTAATTTTTACAAAGCAGAATGTATGTGTTGAAAGATTAAACATTTTTAGCCATCTGATAGCCTTCTCATGCAAGTCACTGTATAAACAAACAAAAAAAGCAGTCTGGTTTAAAATAGGTCCAGGAATATAATTTAAAACAGAAGAAAAAATCCAGAGGCAAACTCCCCTAAAAGATGATTATATTAAGCCTGCAAATTTTAGTAAAAGAATGAGGCTCTAATATTAGGCATCTTAGCTAGAATTAGTACTGTCCAAAAGGTTAAGATTATTGGATTCTCTTTCATATAGTTCTTGTGTGACCTACTTTTCTCCTACCCAGAGATTTTTCAAATCAGATAAATTGATCTGAATGTCTGTATAATTCACTTTTCATGTATATATTTATTCATTATTAATATGACAGTAATCTTGTGTGTATTAAAACACATAAAAATGATATTTAATATGAATTAAAATTTAGGTTCAAATGACTTGCCTTAAGTCATAAAATTAATCAGTAGTCAAACTATCATGAGATCTGGAGTTCCTCTAAGTCCTGCTTTTCATCATGCTCCACTATCTAACAATGTCATCAGATGATGAAGATGAATTTAGACAGTCAGTTAGCAACCTATGTTGACATATCAAGAACTGCAGAATCCTAAAAAGAAATAAAAGATTGAATGACTGTCCCTGAGGAATTTACAATCTAATGGGATTGACCCTATAGGAATAATTATACTTTACCACTCATAAAAATATATATAATGAAAATCATTTAAACAAATATATAACCATATATTATAGATCAAAACAGTACCTTAAACAAAAACTGGGTGCATTTAATTCAATTTGTAAATATCTGAGTACCTACTAGATGCAGCATACTAAAATACTTTTTTCTTAATGAGTTTATAATCTAATTATATGACCTAGTTTAGATTAATTGGCCCACCGTAGCTTACAAAAAAAGTGGTTAATAATGTAGCATATTTTATTTCTAAATTAGATTTTCAAAGATAAAAATGTAGCACAATAACCTAATATTAAATTACAAACATTAAGCCAATTACCATTACCAATAAGTGGTAGGTTTGAGATTTTTCCACTTTTGAAAAAGAAAAAGAATTTGGTATGTTATCTGGTAAACTACCGCAAGGCAGTTTTTTTGCTGCCCTTATCTTTTGGAACTCAATCGCATGGAAGGCTCAATAACTATTTGTTGCACTGAAAAACATTTGCCCTCTTTCCCCACAAAGTCTCATAATTTTTTATTTTTGTGTAGCTGCTGCTGTCTTGCCTCTATTTCCCAGTCTCCTCTTCCATCTCCCCTTCACAGCTCTTCTCTTCATGCCCTGGCTTTGAGCAGTCTCACCCATTGTCACAGTTGCAGTTGACTCCTAAACCAACGTCTGTAAACTTGACCTTTGTGACTCCAGCATTTCTAACTAAACTCTAAACATTTCTTTCTCGCTATTAGTATTCCACCTTAAACTCAGCCACTGAAATCAACTCAACATCTTGCTCTTTAAAAACTAGCATAGTCTTCCAACACTCTATTTCTATCAGTATAAAAAGGGTTGGCTGGGCACCGTGGCCCACGCCTGTAATCCCATCACTTTGGGAGGCTGAGGCGGGCAGGTCACGAGGTCAGGAGGTCGAGATCATCCTGGCAAACACAGTGAAACCACGTCTCTACTAAAAATACAAAAATTTAGCCTGACATGGTGGCAGGCCCCTGTAGTCCCAGCTACTTGGGAGGCTGAGACAGGAGAATGGTGTGAACCTGGGAGGCGGAGCTTGCAGTGAGCCGAGATCAGCCACTGCACTTCAGCCTGGGTGACAGAGTGAGGCTCCGTCTCAAAAAAAAAAAAAGGTTTGACATGTACAGTTATGCAGGTTGTGCTCTGAGCAAAAGCACTTGGCTGAGGGGTGAGTGGGGGCTAAAACTAGACTCTATTCACAGGCAGTACACTTGGACACAGAGCTGTGTCAGCATTAGGGAAATCTTTTCAGCACTTCCTCCACCCAAAGAGGATATCTTTGTCTAACTCACACAAAGGTGGCATATGTATTATTAGTATCACCACCATTTCCTCCAACTCACCTATTTCAGAAACTCAGAATCTCCATTCTTTCTCCCCTCTTTTAGGCCCCCATAACATGACTACATTCACCACTTTCTTTTCATCCACACTGCCAAGGAGACCGGAGCAGCCCAACGCTTCATCCCTGCACTGTTTAAATGGCCTCTTTGTTTAACTCTTCCTCTGCTCCTGTCTTTCCTTCACCCTCCAGTAGATTACCCTTCCTTAAAGCACAGTTTTGTCTTGTCATTTACCTGCCCAGAAACTTCATGGTTCTGAGTGCTGTCTGTATTACTAGAAACAAACTTCTCAGACTACCATTCTTCAACCAGCCAGGGTCTAAAATATTTATGATGCCTTGCTGTACCTTGTGAACACTCAGTACATATTTGTTGAATCATTAAATTTAAGATTGCCCACCATACCTTTCCAATGCTAACTTCCACCTAAGTCCAACTAGTCACCCTCATGTAACCTAGGTAACATTGTGAACTGCTGATATTTACAGAACTCCTTCCTAATTATCCTATCTTCATAACCTTGGTGTTGCTGGTTCATTCACATGGGGCATTGGCCACACCTAACCTTCCAAAGCCTATTCCTGGAACTCCTGTCTATAGAGTTTCCTTGTCTTGTGCCTATGCTTGTCCTTTCTTTTAGACTGAATGCCGCATGTATTATGGCTTACTTGTGTTCTTTTCTTCTTTTAACATCAACCTAGGCTTGCTCCTCTCACTAGATGTTAAGCTTCTTGAGGTTAGCACGTCTTTCTTGTTTGTATTTGCCTCCTCATAAGCCCCAGATTCAATGAGGAATGTTTAGATAATAAATATTTGTTGAATTGAAAACCATCACCCAGTTGTACATATGCCCAAAAGACGGATTGACTAGCCATTTGACTTTTCAGGTGAAAGGTACCGTTGCATAATATGGAAAAGAAAAGATACCATCTCGAAGATTGTTGTTTTTAAATGTTTTTCCTGACAGCAACTAGACTATAAGAAGAGCCAACTTTGTTACTATTGGGTTTAATATATGAAACGTACAATTAAAGTAACTCACTCCACATTGTGTTTTGGTAGAGAGACACTGAATTCCAGGAGCATGAAAAGATTCTGTCTCCGGATTTTCTTTCAGTTGCCCAAATCACTGATTTGTTAATGGAGGACATCGATGGAGTTCAAGAGTAAGCACTTCACTATTACAATCACATGTAGAAGAACAGTTCGAGTTCTGCATCTGTAAATGATTGTGATTACATGTATAAGCTTTTTTCACAATATTTGTTATGATATTATGCACTGAAAAATATCTAGACTTCAAAACACAAAAATTCTCAAGTAACTGACTTTTGGCACTACTCAACAGTCTCCTTTATAAAGAAAATACATTGCAAACCAACTTACTAATATTTACCAAGAGCAGAGGTTTGTTGATAAAAGCAGGCTATAGCATATGCTGTCTTCTTTTCTCTTTCATTCATAAAACTGTCAATATGCACATTAACTTAAAGAATGTTCTCCCTCGTTGTAAGAAGAGTAAGTTGTGTTTTCTGTAATTATAATGGGCAATGCATTTTATTATTTTGGAAATCTTGAGTATTTGCCATCCACCTGTGATTCTCATCAGAAATAATGCTATACTAAGTACTCTGATTGTGTACATGTTACTTAAAAATGTGAATACAATGGAATTTATAGGCAGTAATTCCAATATATGTACATCTCACTCTTTAGGCCATTTATTTCTATAGTAGATCATCTATTTAGAATTTTTGTCAGATACATCCAACAACATAATATCCTAAAAGGTGTTTTTAGTAATCACCCATTTAAAAAATCATCCCACTTAGAATGGAAGCCTAATTGGCCATCGTGTGTAGAGAGTGGGGATGATGTCATGCACTAGCATCTTGGTGTCAGTTCTCTGCAGGCCAGTCCTTGGGACACAAACAGGGTGTCGTGGACCATAACAGACAAATAGAAAATGACTCTGTCAGTGGTTATCACTGACAAATCTTACAAATGTTATAGCATAAAGATGACTCACTACTGAGAAGGGAATATGACAGATGTCCTGGCTGGAAGAAAAATCCGAGAAGGGAAGGTTTATCAAGAACAGGTGAATAACACTGACAGGCCTTTTCCTGAGCTGCTCAGCTCTAGCGCTGGCAACCTCTGCTGGAAATTGATTATCTGTGATCAGCCATACCACTTACTATCTGCATCTCTACAAGTATGAGTGAATTTAAAATTTCAGAGATTTTTAAGCAAGTATCTCCTGATGATTTTACCATTTTTATAGAAATTAAGGTTCGTTAGGAATTCTGATTCTTAATGTAAGAATTGATCTGCAATACCACTGATCATGTCTTTATGTAAAATGTTATTTTCCATTTCCAGGTAACCCCAAATGTTATTGATCATTGCAATGCAAAACAATAGGTATTTGATACTAGGCAAAATAGCACAATGCGAATAGCAGACATTTTATACAGTTCTTAATTTATTTATATTAAATGCCAAGTAAAAGATATTATATTAAATACAATTAATATTAAATAAAAGGTGTTGCAAATAAGTGCTTTTCAGAATTATTTCTTCCCACGTTGTAAATTGTGCTGTGTATCATACTTTGTGTGATGATTTTTTAAAATTATTGGCTCTCTTTGTTGTTGAATATCTAAATTCTGAACATATTTTTAATCTTTAGGTGGTAAGGCCTAGGATACAGTAAGTGATACAGAAGGTGATGCAGAAGTTAGCAATATAAAAACAGCCAGGCTCAATAGCAGGTTGACCTTTTTAGACTGTCTCATTAATGTAGAAATCACCTGAAGTGACCTCAAATTTTAAGACATCATCTTTGGATAAATAACATCAGTATTATGTTAGGAGCCATTTCTTTGTAAAACAATTTTCTTGAGATTCTTTACATGATTTTCGTAATGGTAATCCTGAAATATTTGCAATCGGTCACTCACTTTCAATTTAAAATAGCATTATTATAAATGGGGGTTATATGCTTTCAAAATGACAGAAATATAGTTTAAGTATCCTATCACCAAGTGACAGAAAATCATAGAGTCTACAAAGTTATAAGCCTATTTAAATAAGTTAGAAGAAATCAGCACATTTCCCTACCTCTTAAAATTAAAAATTTCTCTCCATGAAAGCAGCCAACAAAATGAAACATTAAAGTATCATTAAAACATATTTCTGAAATTCACTTTAAGCAGTTAAATGTCTGGGTACATTTCTCATGATCACTTAGCTGCTATCAATCATAAATATTTTAATGTAACCTTGACTTTATTTATAGATCCATCTCAATTTTTTTTAAAAAAGAATAAGGACTAAAATGAAAGTAACTATATAAACACAAAAATAACACTGAGACATTTTTAATAACCTTTCGGTAACTGGGCCTCCATGAGCTATTTAGCTCTTGCCTTGAGGTTTATTTCTGCATGTCATATTTAAGAATTAAAATGCACCCCATTGTCAAGAACATGCAAGAGTAATGTAATATTTTTACCCAAATTCTTGGTGAGACAAAATAGATAGGTATATCACCTATCATCACTATACCAAACTTCCTAAAACACAGTGAATCATCTTTCTCTTTCCCTACGTTCTTTCATGCTACCGCCATAGCCATCTCTCCCCTCTCCCCTGTTCCAGCTCCCGTTATTCCCAGAGAAAAAGTTTACGTATTTGCCAGTAAAATACTGGAAACTTTGCATTCAAACCATAGCAATATCTTCCTTCAGATGCCTCCCTACATAATCTCCTTTGGAGTACAATGACCGAGCAAAGAATGGAAATGATAAATCCTTAGCCCTGTGGTTCAAGTTAAAAGGGAAGAGACAAATGGTATTAGGGAAAGTGGTGGAGGAAGTGTGGGGGACAGCAAAGATGAAAAAGGTCAAAGAGATTTCACCAAAATATTTTTTGGCAAGTAGTTACTGTCATTCAAACACAACTAAACATTGAAAAGTAAAAATAAAAAGCAAAGAACATATGCAAATATTCAGGGCAAATATTTAATTAAAAATACGTAGTGTGCAGATGGCAGATGATGAGTACAATTAGAAGGAAAACTAACTGCTAGAAACAGAAGAAAATGTTAGATTAAAGCTAATAATTAAAGAGGGCATCAATTTCACAAAACAAGAGACCAAAAAAAAAACATGGTAAAATATATAAAGAAGAAGCTTTTAGAACTAAGGCAAGAAACTAAGGCTAAGAGTAAAACCAGTGTAGAACTTACATTGCTGAAAATCAAGTCAGTAATGTGGAAGACAAATTTAAGAAAACTTACATAAAGTGTAGATTAAAGCAATTATTCAAAAAAGTTAGAATATACATTCAACATAGTGAATCAGAAAAAATAGTCTACACTTCATAAAACTTTGATTTTAATATTTTAATAGAATAAAACCTGCTAAATTTTTGTGGGATAAATTTAAAGCAAGTCACCTAAACAGGAAAATAACAGGCCTCAGACTTTTCCTTAGCAAGGTTAGTCTGCAAAAATCAGTGGTGCAACAAGTAACCAAAATGTAGGAAGTCAAAAGTATATGATTGCAAAATAAAATACTAATTTTGTCTGATGTTCAGTTATAGTGGCAACAAGACATTGCAATATAGAGAACAACTCAGAAAATACAGTATTCATGTGGTCTTATTGAAAAATTTATTTCATAACCCAGCTGAAAAATAAATCAGTTCATTGGTGAATTTTAAACAACAAAAAACTGCCAATGAGAAATTGTGATATAAGAAGCCTGGCAGTAAGTATGGATCATTTAAAATTAAAATTAAATCCAATATGGTAATAATAGACTGAAACAATTATTCTAGAACATCAACAAAAATAGGCAAGCACATGAGAAAAAAAGTAATTGAATTTCCTTTTCTCACCAAAATAAAATTGAATTGAAGCAGATGACCCCTATTTATAGTAATGCTATTTAAAATTGAAAGTGAGTGATTGCAAATACTTTAGGATTAGTGTTACAAAAATCATATAATCACAAGAAAATTGCTTTAAGAAATGGCTCATAACAAAATGCTTTTAAAAACTTGTATCATAAATGTAAAGGGTTAATATCCCTAAGTATGTGAAAAACTTTTATAAACTTAAAAGAAAAAGTAACCTATAGAGGACATTAAAAAGAAATCCAATCTAATGAATAAGCAAAGAAATATATAAGATAGTAATTTTCAGCCGGGCGTGGTGGCTCATGCCTTTAAACCCAGCACTTTGGGAGGCTGAGGCAGGCGGATCATGAGGTCAGGAGATCGAGACCATCCTGGCTAACACGGTGAAACCCCATCTCTACTAAAAATACAAAAAAAATTTAGCCGAGCGTGGTGGCAGGTGCCTGTAGTCCCAGCTATTCAGGAGGCTGAGACAGGAGAATGGCATGAACCCGGGAGGCAGAGCTTGCAGTGAGCCGGGATGGAGCCACTGCACTCCAGCCTGGGCAAAAAGAGTGAGACTCTGTCTCAAAAAATAATAATAATAATAATAATAATAAATTTTTCTGTTAGATTAGTAGATGTTAAGATTATGGACAAAATCCAACGTAGATTGGAGTATAGAGAAGTGGACCTTTCTGTGTGGTCTTGATGAAAGACTTACTTGGCACTGCCTTTCTGGAGGGAAGTTTAGCAGCATATCTCACCATGGCCAATATAACCCAGCAGTCCCAATTTTAGGAATTTATTGCAAAAGATAATTGGAGTTTTGGAAAGATCTTAATTGATCATTTCTCTTTACTTTAGATTCTTAACCAATGGAGGACATCAAAGCCCATGTGGGAATACATATTTCTGATCTATTATTAACTGTATTTAGACCTCTCTCCTATTGATAAGACTTAAGAATGTATGAAGGCTTCCTATTTCTCCTTCTTTACCGAATACTAATCCTTTTTCAGTTATGTTCATTACCATTTTTTTTCCCAGTCTGCAGCTTGTCTTTTCTTTTTCTTTTTTTTTATTATACTTTAAGTTTTAGGGTACATGTGCACAACGTGCAGGATTGTTACATATGTATACATGTGCCATGTTGGTGTGCTGCACCCATTAACTCATCATTTAACGTTAGGTCTACCTCCTAATGCTATCCCTCCCCACTCCCCCAACCCCACAACAGGCCCCAGTGTGTGATGTTCTCCTTCCCGTGTCCATGTGTTCTCTTTGTTCAATTCCCACCTGTGAGTGAGAACATGCGGTGTTTGGTTTTTTGGGTGTTTTTTTTTTTTTTTTTTTTTTTTTGTCCTTGCAGCTTGTCTTTTCAATGTAGTTAGATTGTCTCTGGTTCTCCAGAAGTGTTTCGTCTGTTTAACAAGGACCAATTTATTAGTCTTTTTCTTTATGGTTTGTATCTTTTTGGTGTCACTTTTAAGAAACTTTGGGCTATCCAAATGTCAGAAGTATATTTTTTTAATTAAAGTTTGTAATGTTTGCTATTGCCATTTAAATCTTTAACCCTGGATTTTATTTTAATGTATTATGTGGGATGGTATTTTATTTTATTTTCCATTTGGATAACCAATTCTCCCAGCACCATTTTTGAAGAATTTATACTTCCTCTACTGATTTGGAATAATACCTCTGCCATATACCAGGCTCCCTCATATATTGGGTCTGTTTCTGGACTTTCTGCGTATTCCACTGGCCTACTTATTTATCCCATAACAATACCACAAGTTTTCATTATTGTGGCAGTTTTCTTACTGACTTTCACTTAAGAGTGAATGATACTGTAGATTAAACATTGAGAAATATATCTTGCCAAATGATGTCCAGTGCAAATTAAAGATCCCTGGCTAATAGAGTAAAATCCTACCACCACCATCATCAGGATGTCTATATCTGCCAGTTGAGGTGAATGCCTGAAAAAATGTGTCAAAATGTATAGTGACATGCAACATAAAAAACTGACCATATTGACCTAAAAATTAAAAATACACAATGTTCACATATATATATATATGACATAACAGGAAATTCAGAGATAGATTAACTTCAAAGTTAATGGAGTCAAGGTCTAAATAGTATCATCAAAAAATAAGGCTTAATCTTAGAACCCATTTTTCTTAGGGTTACAAGATAACTGGCGGTAGCAACTAAAGCCACTTATTCACTCTTTCTTATTTTTATTCAACAGAAAAAAAGAAACTGCATCCTCTGTTATGAATTATTTATAATAATTTAGGAGCAGGCCCATCATAGAACAATAATTATTATTGAGACATACCATATACCAAATGGCATTATGGCAAGGGGGTGAAATTAGTATGATTAGCTTAGAATAATCAGAACTCACTTTTGGGTTTCAGGTCTACCCTGACACCACTGTAGATGAAATGCATGTTGAAGAAATAGACCTATCTCGACCTCAGCTTTATTTGTTCCCAAACTTGTTCAATCTTGCTGTATTTATTAATCTGATTATATCACTTATTTTGATGTTAAGAATAATAAGGACTTCCATTTTTGAAGACAGCAGTAAAAAGTTGTCACACACATATTACCCCTCTCAAAATCACATAAAACCAACAAGGAAATACCACCTTCATCTTTGTCAAAACCAAGAGAATGCTAATGGTCCAAACCACAAAATATAAAGATGATGGCCACTGTCATTATAGATCAACCAGAAGGGCAGGAGAAAATATAAGGAAGGATGCTCATAGTCACAGAGCTTAGAATGAGCTTATATCTATATCTATATCTATATCTATATCTATATCTATATCTATATCTATCTATATCTATCTATCTATCTGCTTAATCTCCCAGGAGGGGAAACCTTAAAGTACCATTCCAGGAACCCTTGTCTGCAATAGCAGGACCAGGGTGTGCAGGCTTGGAGCAGATCCTTTCTGTAGCACAGGAAATTGACTGTTTATATGATAATAAAGAGAGTCTATTCATTCTTTTCTTTCTTTTTCCTTACCAATTAAAAAAAATAAATAAATGCTAGAATAATTGACACAAAGTTACTTCATACAGAAAATGCCTGCTAGTTTGTAACTTGGCCAGGTCTCCACCTCCAGTGTATTTCCCGAAAGTAGGTATTCAAGGACAAAAACTCCCTTCATCCAAAGATAAGGTGGTAAACAAAGAATATGCATTCCAGGACACTGCAAGAAAAAATAGGAGAGGAACAGGAAAGAGAAATAGCAAATCAAACACATCAGAAAGATATAACCATGAGAAGACAAAAAATATAATCAACTATTTTATCATGAATTTTAAAACATATGAAGCAACTACAGAAAGCATACAACAGAGATATAAAAGCTCAAGGAAGAGATAAAGAAATAAAAGATTATAAAACAGTATCCAAAATGAAAAGAAAATAGACTTGAAAAAATTTTAAGGTTGAAGAGAAAATTATAACTCTAGAAAAAATGACTAAAATGTACATAATTGGAATGCTTTTTAAAATATAGCAGAATGAACTGGGTGCGGTGTTCACGCCTGTAATCCCAGCACTTTGAGAGGCCAAGGCGGGCAGATCACTTGAGATCAGGAGTTCGAGACCAGCCTTGCCAACATGGTGAAACCCCGTCTCTACTAAAAATACAAAAAATTAGTCTGGCATGGTGGCGGGTACCTGTAATTCCAGTTACTCTGGAGGCTGAGGAAGAAGAATCGCTTGAACTGGAGAGGCAGCGGTTGCAGTGAGCCAAGATCACACAACTGCACTCAGCCTGGCCGATGAAGCAAGGCCCTGTCTCAAAAAAAATATATATATATATATTTATATACATATAACATATATAATATATATATTTATATACATATAACATATAATATATATATTTTTATATATAACATATATAATATATATTTATATATTAACATATATAATATATTTTATATATAACATATATAATATATATTTATATATATAACATATTATATGTTATATTATGTTATATATAACATATTATATGTTATATTATGTTATATATAACATATAATATATATTTGTATATATTATGTTATATATAACATATGTTATACATGTATAACATGTTATACATAACATATACATGTTATACATATATAATATATATTATGTTATACATGTATAACATATATGTTATACATGTATAACATATATATGTTATACATGTATAACATATATATTATATATATAATATATATATCTCAGAATATTTAACAATTTAGTTCCAGAATATTTTCAGAAATAAAAGAAACTTAATTTTATAAATGAAAAAAGACGTTGAATTTCACAGAAAAATATACTAGTAAAATTGCTATACATAAACAGGGAAGAAAGAAGGGGAAGGGGAGAGAAGGAGGAGAAACAGAAAATAAAGAGGAAGAGGAGGAAGGAGACCAGAAATAGAGTTTGCTCCCCCATCCTCGTTCTCTCTCTCTCTGTTTCTTTTTTGAATGTCATTTTGGTCTTATGAAGCTTGATGTAACTGAATATTTTCAGATTATGGGCATTAAAGAAAAAGACCTGTTTTCAAAACTTAGGAAAGAAATGGTTCAATATCTAATCTGAATTAATATGTGGATTTTTGTTTTATTTTACAGAAAACTGAGAATATTTTTGAATTTCAAAAACCTTGAAACTTGTTTAAAGGATGCCATTCTACTAGATTATTATGTATCTGGATTTTTGTGGGCTAGAGGAATGGATTTCTCTATTATTCAGTATTCAAAATTTATGACTTTACTAGCTATGTCACTTCAAAATCTTAAAAGTAAGTACACTATTTTCCTTTGAAGTAAAACAAATTTAATTTACCATATAAATTGAGGTTCTTAAGCAAAAGTTACAGATTTTATTGTAATTCCTTTAATGAAAAATACGGGTTTTTCCTGAGTATAACAAATACATAGTTCCTATCTCCATTGAGTTATAAAACCTCAAGTAATACTTAACAAAGGCTACAGTTTTCATAATAGCCAATTTGCCAAATATATGTTAATTTCATTTTAAAGTTGTATCAGTGGCATCCACCCTCTAAATATCTGAGGACTCTGTGGTATTCTTGTGAAATTTTTGTAAATTTAAAACTACACTAAAATTAAAAGTTTATCAGTAACTATTAGCTATCTCTAAAATAGAATATTAGGCAGCTATAACAAGGAGAAAATGAAGAAACTTTCTGTGTACTGTATGGGAAACAATATATAGTTATCAAGTAAAGCAAGGTGCAGAACTACATGCTTTTATTTATAAAAGAAGCAAAAATAAGAATCTATCCATATTTTCATTTGTGTATACACAAAGAAATGCTGGAAGATACAGAAAAAAAATAATAATCAAAATTCCCTGGGGTGAATGGTAGTAAGAACTGGGCATGTGGGCAACAGATATTGGAGGAAGTCTTTTCACAAGATTTCTTCGTACGTATTTTTGAAATATGAATACATCACTTATGCAAAAATTAAATTTTAAAAGAGAATATGTAACATGGACAGTCCTAAGCTTTGGCGACTTCTGAGCTGAGTATTCACACACTAGAAATAGAATAAAGGAAAGTAAAAATTTTCATGGACCTCACATCCCAAATTTGAGAAGATATTTCTTTTTTAAACTTTTCCTGTAACTTATAACTGACTCAGTAACATTTCTTCTATGTGAAACTTTATATTGTTGATATTATTGCAAAAATGAATTTCTAAAACCTGAGCAGGATCCATCCAACTCCTCATAAACTATGAGAGAGAAAGTACATATGTAGAACCTAACCAGAAAAAAAGCAAGGAATCTAGTTTTTCCTCCTGGCAGAAAAAATTTTTTTTAAAAATCCCTCCACACTTTTAAACTGAACAAACTTATAGTCATCATTAGGAAAGAATGTAATTTTAACCAAATGTGCCAAGGAAAAAGGTGAAGTATGTTTACACTTCAACTAGGTAGCAGTAGACTCCTGAGCACGTAGCCAGGTCCATAGACCTAGATGGATCCCCCTGGTGTATGATGTGAATGTTAGCAAGTAACTGTAGAATATTTTTTATTTCTTATGATGCTAAATTGGTTTTCCCCTCAATAGGAATAGCAAATTCAGGTAACATTTATGTAGATTAACTTATGCCAGTCATAGTGCTATTTGCATTAAAAATATTGTCATGTTTAATTCACATGCCAGCTTATGAGAGAAATTGATAAGAGTCAGAGGAGTTCAGTGACTCCTTAAGGACACACAGGGTCTACACTAGCAAGTGAGGGCCCATCTTCTTGAATACGACATCAAATGTGCTGGCTTTGGGCTAAATCTAGAAAGCACTATACACATGTAATAGTACCAGGAGTTAGTTTCACATGAATTTCTTTTTTTTTTTTTTTAAGACAGATTGTCACTCTGCCACTTGGCCACGCTGGAGTGCAGTGGTGTGATCTTTGCTCACTGCAACCTCCGCCTCCTGGATTCAAGCGATTCTCCTGCCTCAGCCTTCCAAGTAGCTGGGACTACAGGCATGCGCTACCACGCCCAGCTAATTTTTGTATTTTTAGTACAGACGGGGTTTCGCCATGTTGGCCTGGCTGGTCTTGAACTCCTCAGCTCAGGTGATCTGCCCGCCTCAGCTTCCCAAAGTGCTAGGATTACAGGCATTAGCCACTGTGCCCGGCCATGAATTCCTTATTTAATCCTCCCAACAGCACTATAATTTTGAAAATAGGTATTGCAGTATTCTCATTTTACATAGAAAGAAAGTGAGGCCAGGTGTAGTGGCTCATACCTGTAATCCCAGCACTTTAGGAGGCCAAGGCAAGAGGAGCATTTGAGGCCAGGAGTCCAAGACTAGCCTGGGCAACATGGAGAAACCCCATATCTAAAAAAAAATTGAAAAATTAACTGGGTATGGTGGCCCACATCTGTGGTCTCAGCTACTTGGGATGCTGAAGTGGGAGAATCGCTTGAGCCCAGGAGGCTGAGGCTGCAGTGACCCATGATTGCATCACTGCATTCCAGCCTGGGCAACACAGCAAGATGCTGTCTCCAAAAATAAATAAATAAAAAGAGACTCAGGTCACCTAACTACTAATAATAAAGGTCAGTTATGAGGTATCATCCTACATTTTCCAATTAATTATAAGTCTAGTATGTTCTTTCATTACTCTAAGTTTTCAAGAATACATTTTATTTCTAGAAGCTTTTACTATTTGAGTGGCTTAATCTTTTATATTTTAATCACATCACTAAATGTGATTTTTAAAAAAGCAAATATTTCAGTTAGATAAATGAAATTATTACTTCCCTAATTTTTAAAGCAATTATCTACAGAAAGACATTAGACATAGAAAAACAGTTTTAAAGATTCAACTATTTTCAGAAGGAAATAGTCATATAAATGTATTTTTGTTTGATAAGTATAATTTCATCTGGAATTATAATCAATTATCTAAGAATTTCTCTTTTCTCTGCATCTCTAATTAATATCATTTTATTAATAAAATAATTCAGATTTTCCATTCATTTATGAATTGCTTTTATCCAACAGATTTTTCATTTCTGAAGCTACTTCCACTATTATCAAAAGAAGTTTATCATGGAGAGAGAAATGTACAATAATAATTGAATTCCACTTAGAATGATATAGGAAAACCTAGTTATCCAGAAATAATTCAGTGTATCTGACATACATAAAAGATGATCTGGAGGGAGGCAATGGGAAACGAACCAATTGTAATTCATTAAACCAGATTTTAATTGTTTTATGTAGTTTTATGCTTCTTTCTAATTCCTATAAGTAGATAAGAAGCTATACTAAACAAATTACAAGTTAGTGTTTATAGTGTCTTCCTAACATTTTAAATTACTTTACTTTCACCTTATTAGTAATTTTGGTATTTAGGGTAGAGCACTTACACCCCAGTGGGAAAGAGTAGCTGTGTAATCCAGAAATACCTGGTCCAGCAATCAGCCTGTGTTCTCATAACTGTTTTAAATCTCCACCCATTCCCTTCCAAATCAACATTACAACAAGTGTAATGTTGACTGATGGTTTCAGAGAGAGACAGAGATTTGGATGGTGGGGTCCACATTGAGCAGCACAATTCCCCCAGATCCCACATTCAGGCCCCCCACTGACATTCATCTCCCCCAGGCGGCCTGTCCAGCCTGGCTTTAGTATCTTTCTACTCTCCACCTCCAGTATCCTCTGTCTTATGTCCACACACCCATCGCTTTTCTGCAAACATAGGACACCCTGGCCAGTCCACTTACCTGACTCCATCTTCCAGGGGAAGGGTGGATAGTGTGTGTGTGGGTTGTAAATAATGTTTTATCTGTCACAAGTAACACTGAGCATAACAGAACCAAACGAGAAAAGAAAATGGAATTATATTTTTATTACAGACATTTTAAAAGTTAAGTCTAAGGTGTTCTTTTTCAACTGACAAATGCCACAGAAGACGGTTTCGGGTGTTTGTTTTCATTGGTGTGTAGCTGTGAAAGAATAGATGAGAAATCACTGAGCTCTTTACTTCTTAGTGGTGGCCAGGTTGTGTCACTCTTTGTGCATTTTCATCGGGCTCTCACCAGCACCACTGGGCAGATATTTGAGAAACAGCTTACATGAGTTATAAGTCTGTGGCTGTGGAAAAGAAAAAAAAACTTGATGTTTTACATAAAAATCCATATTTCTGACTTCCATTGAAAATCTTCAGACCCAGATTTACACATGGAAACAATTGGCTAAAGCCCAGTGTTGATTGACTCCATTCATTTACATTTTCAGCTCTAAGTTCAGCTCTGCTGTCTAGTAACTGAACCTCCCATCTAAGTCTTCCATTCCTCACCAGCTGTCAAACATCTTTTTTTGCAGTTTTCATGCTTTTATTCTGAGACTGTAGAAAAAAGAAAAAACAAATGCTTTTCATTTTAAAGAAAGATTTTAAAGTACATTTTGAATTTTTTTTCTTTTTTTTCATCCTAAAATGGAAACATAAACTCTGCAGACAATTGTGTAGCATTGTAGTAATTTACAAATGTTGGCGCAGGGTCAGCGCTATTCCTGAGACAGAGTCTCACTGTGTCACCCAGGCTGGAGTGCAGTGGCACCATCCCAGTTCACTGCAACCTCTGCCTCCCAGGCTCAAGCCATCCTCCCAACTCAGCCCCCCAAGTAGCTGGGACCACGGGCATGTGTCACCATGCCTGGCTAATTTTTGGATTTTTTTGTAGAGACAGGGTTTCGCCATGTTGCCTTGGCTGGTACTCTAACTCATGGGCTCAAGTGATCCACCCACCTTGGCCTCCCAAAGTGCTGGGATTACAGGCTTGAGCCACCGTGCCCAGCCAGCTTCTATTCTTTTGCATAAAACGTATTAATTTATTATGAAGAAACAAGAGTTTTACCATTTATCCTCACAAATACTTAACAAAGTAAATTTTGGCACATTGAAAACATCTTGGATTATCTTATTCTGAAAACATCTATCAAAATAATAATTAAGATTTCTCTGGATTTTATTTCAGCACTACATATGTCCTTAGAGGAAAGCATAAAATGGCTTGGAGAAGTTATGGCTGAAATAGGACCAACACATTCGCAAAAGAGTGAGGACTGGAATATCTTTGATGTAAAACAAGCCAATGCTATCATTGATTACTTAAAAATCAGGTATGGATTATTTTCAGTAACATTTATTTTTCATTTCACATCTTCTGGAAAATGTCTGTTAAGTAAAAAGTAATTCAGTTTTTAGCAGATTCAGATATTTACAGAATTTATGCCATAATTAGCCCAATCAATAATTAGGTACTTAAATCTTCTTTAAATTAAGTGTTCAAATCTTTCACCTAATAACTAAAAGTCAGAACAGTGAACAGTTTGGCTAACTTTGCATTCCCAAAAAAAAAGGTTTGCGTTTGATAAATATAATTTTATCTAGAATTGAAATAAATTAAGAATTTCATTTTTCTTTGCATCTTTAATTAATATTTATTAATAGGATGATTCACATTAATCAGCTGCAATTATAATAGACTCTATGTTTTAGGTAGTTGATCTTTCCAACTACCTAATTCTACATTTTGAAGAGCAACATTCATTGCTATTTAAATATTTGTTTTGAATGCTTCGTATTAGAAATTGAAGAGATTTATGAATATACTTCCTCAAATTTATTACATCCCCTGAAATATCTTGTAGTATTGACCAATTAAACTCATTAAGTCTTTCTTACTACTTAGAAAATAATGGTGTGTGGAAGTAAAGTATTTTTATTACAGTGATTCTTCATTGGTGAACTAAGAAATTTGTCTTTTTATATAATCTGTCACAAGGTCTGCAGTAGAGTCATGCATCTCTCTAAAGGGACATTTTTAGGGTTTGCAAATATTCAAACAAGAGTAGGTTAAAATCTTTTGTCAAGCTGAAAGCTTCTGCATAATATTTTTGTTCCTCTTGTACTATATACTCCAGTGTTTTTCAACTTTAAAATTTAAAATTCTAAAATAAGAGTGCTGACTGATATCTTAGACATGCTCATGATTTGCTTGGCAAGGATTCTAGCTGAAATCTAGAAAGCTTTTTAAATCCTAGTAGGTTTAATATGATAAAGTTTATATATTGGTTTGTGGTATGAATTAATAATGTCATATGATATACTATGGTTTTTACGTAATAACATTTAAAACAATGTGGTTTCTTAATATTAAAACGTAGCTCCTAAGGGGTATCTCTCAATAAAAGCCAGAGTAGTTTTCATATCAATTAAAGCAAAGCAAGGTCCTTGTGTTGGGGGAGACGACGGTAATCCAAAATTGGAGGAGAGCCTATTCCTCAAGGTCTTTCTACCCATCAGGGTTTGAGAATCACTGGGCAGAGGAATTCTACTTTGCACATTGTATTAGCATCCTTATTTTCCTTCTCTATTTGAACAGTCCCAGTTTCTCTTGCAGAACACATTTTTACAACTGAGCTCTAAGCCCAGGAGGTTTCTAATGGGCACAGGGACTGATAGTTGACAAGGGCCACAAAACCCATGCAGGTGCCATAATGACCCCTTCTGGAAGGAGAAGGATGACAGCTCTTTTCCCCTTCATCTCGTCTCTCTGGGCAAATGTTCATCTACATATTTCTTGACATTGTCCTTCAGAAAACAATTAAGTTAAGAGGGGCTGTCCATGTTAGTCACCTTTAGATTCTAACCAGGGTAATTTCACATATTATAAATCCCTAATATTATTACTTCACTAAAAATAAAACAAAAAGTAGTATTTAAGAAATTAGTCAAAGTAAATCACAGCAATTGTTGATGCTGTTAAGTCGTCATATTGTTATTTCAAAGAAATTATGCAATTTAAATATCCCTATTACAGAACTATAAAATATCAGTTAGTAGGATATCTGGAATTGAGTCTGCAGTTGTATAAAAGAAAATATGCTTTCCTACAACACCTGTTCAGAACCCCTCAAAGGTCCACAAATGAAAGTTTAGCGGGGACTGAGAGGAGGGGCAGCATCAAGAAGAATACCTAATAGATGCTGGGCTAAATACCTAAATGATAGGTTGATCTCTGCAGCAAACCACCATGGCACCCGTTTAAACCTACCCATCCTGCACATGTACCCTTAAAGTTAAAAGTTGAAGGAAAAAAAACAGTTTAATGACAATGAAATCACATAATATTTTTCATTTTGATGACTACAAAGCAGTTTTATAAATATGAAGGTAACCCAGTTATCAAAAGTATAAGTGTTTGAATTTAACCCGATATTAAGTTTACCCAACCACTAAAAGCCCTAGTCAATTTTGGGAGAGCAGTTTTTAGAACATGACCCATACCACATGAAACTTAACTGACAATAAAATGGAAATTTCATTTGATGCCCTTAACACACTCTGTCATGTGTCTGTGATTTGAAAAAAACTAATACCAAATTTCCTCCCCCACATGACTGTAAGTACTGGCAAATCTAGTTGTACATTTTTACAGTGTATTGTATCATGTATACAAATATAAATACTTCTGCAGCTTTTTAGTATAAAACATCATTTACATATATACGGCCCAAATACACGTCTGCCGTTGTGGATTCTACCTATTTTTGGGAATTAGGCGATAGTAATCTCAGGTGTACACTCAATATAAGAGGCATATACCCAAAATAAGAAAATCAACCCTGCCGCTCTGTAAACCACAGGGTATTGCACTTCCAGGCATCAAGCCAGACATCTTGAATTATTTTCACTTCATCTCTCTTCAATTTAGGACTAAGACTAAATGTTTGACAAAATAATCTAGGAAGTTGAGTCAGTCAGAAGCAGAAGAAAATGCATTATCGCAGCTGAAGTGTCACTTTGTTCCCATGTAGCACCACCTAATCGCTCCTGGTAAAGCTGGACAAGGCCCTAGTCCTGGCCTTGCCCCCAAGCCTGCAGCTTTGACCACCGCATACAAATCATGCATTTCGTTTTCAGTGTTAAGAAGTGAATTTCCCTCTTGGCATGGGACAACCTAATTCCTATATGCAATTAAAAGAATAAGGCTGAAAGATTATGAAATTTCAGGAAAGAAGATTTATGAACTAAGTTCTTTGTGTGATGCAAGATGGAGAAAGGGAAATTTTATGCCGGTTCACTGAGAGGAAGCCAAGCTGTTTCCAAAATACTCTATAGTCTTTAATTTTTCTACTTAAAATCAGTTATTGCCAGTCTAATATTTTTTATCTTAAGGCTTTCTCTAGGTAACCAGCGTAAGTTAGGGAGAGTTTGAATTTATTTTGCATCATTGAATTATCAGACTTCACTAATCTTGATGTATTTTTCTAGCCAACAAATCAAAGTACTGTCAAAAGCTAAGTTACTTTTCTGAATGTTGATGAGTAATTTGAATGTACAAGAGGTTTTTTTCCCCCAAAATACCATGACAGACTCTGCACACCCATCACTTTTTAATGGATTGTGTTAGTAGTGAGATCAACTGCTAATATAACTCAGAGAGACTCAGCTGCCGGAGGATTTCTTCATTGATTTCAAATGAATTGAAACTTTGATCCATTACAACATCCAGGAGAAGCCATTATTATACATGCTCTGTAGCTACATTTTGCAAATGTTAATTTCTCAGTTATATTAAAATCAATTTCCTTAAATAGCAAAAGGCACCAGAGTGAAAGAGAAACCACTAAGACAATTTTTTGTTCTTGGGCATTTTGCTGTATTATGAGTCTATTAATTTTCTCAACCAGCAGGAAGAGAACTAGAAAAATTCAAATATTATCACAAACAGGATATTAGAAGTCAGCCCTTCAGTAAATTTTTAACTCTTAATAATGCATTGCTCCTTAAACTTACTAGAATACTTGTTTTAAGGACCTCCTATCCTTTGGTTCTTTATAGTTTTTGTATGCTGACCACCTAGTCTTTAGGGTAAGAACTGAAGAAATGATCTTTCTTAAATTAATTTTTCCCTTTCATGTATGACCGAATATTCTGCAGAAAACTCAGACATTTTCTAAATGGATTTTAGTTCATGCGCCATTTTTCAGGTATTATTATAGATTAATTTAATCTTGAAACAGTTTGAGAATGTGAGAAGTAATTGACATAGAGGTAGATTATATAATTCAGTGCCATTTGTACCAGAGGAAATTGACTCCTGTTTGCAGCAAAAGAGCAAATAATGTAAAGTTTCATGTTATTTAGTAATGGTGCATTATTTGCTTTTAAGCTAGGAAAAGTCAAGATGCCATCTAATTTCTCCCTTATTCCTAACTTACCCACTCATTACAGATGGATTTACTGATATTATTCTAGGTACTATGTTATATTGTCCTTTCCTTAAAGAATAAAACTCTTAATTTCTTAGTATTTCCCGACAATTTCTTTTGGAATAAAGGAGGATGCTAAGTCTGTTTTAGTGTCTGATAGCATTAGTTTGGTCAATATGAAGTTTCCTTTAATAAATGTCTTTACATATTGTGTTTTTTTTCCTGAAATCAACTTATCAGAGTGCACATTTATTTTATATTTCAGCTTATTTCAACACTACAAGCTATACGAGTTTATGTTCTACTCTGCCAGGGAAGAAATTGTGATAGGAACTGAGGTAAGTAATTTATCTAGATGGAACAAGTTAAGCAGAATCACTTAATGCATGCTGATCAGCATCTGGATCTTTAACTGCTTAAAGCAACTTCTTGTCAAGATTATTCAAGTGTTAATATAATCAACTCGTAGTTTGCAAAAAGAATAATTATATAAAGTGATCGTTGCATTAGGAAAATAAGTGGTCTTTTGGCATTAAAAGCATTGTTAATCATTTATACTTTGTGTATTTATGGATTATTTGACAAAGTTCAATTGGATAAGGTACATATGTCTTCATACAAATAAAATCAGAAAAAAACAACTAGTAATTTGCAAAAAAGAATAATTATATAAAGTAAAGGTAATGGTAACTCAGTGAAATCCCTTCTAATTTCACATTTTTTTTCATTCTACTCATTGTTTAAGACCTAATTTAGATCCCACTTCCTCAGTGGATCAAACCTACCTTAATTGCATCATAATCTCAAACAAAAGGTTTAGACAAACTCTCTAATCAATCCTGTTATTGTGTGCCAAATGATCTCTTATTGCTGAATTTGGGCTACTGTTGCACCAATAAGCATATCAATATTCACTGTGTTATATGGTTTCCTAATTGTTTCCTGTGGGTTGATGTAGTTACTACAACTCAACAGTAATTTTCTTGAAGACAAGGATATCTGCTGCTTTTCTACTACAGCATATAGTATAATGTAGGATACAGTAACCCCTCAATTAATACTACATAAACAATTTAGTGCATAGGACAGCAGTTCTACAATGAAAGGTCTATCTGGAGACACTTTCAAACAAACTTACTTATAATCACATATTTGTAATTCCTAGAAATGAATTCTGAGTAGGAAAACATGTTTTTACTTTATTTTGTTTTATTTTATTTTTTATTATACTTTAAGTTCTGGGATACATGTGCAGAACGTGCAGGTTTGTTACATAGGTATACACATGCCATGGTGGTTTGCTGCACCCATCAACCCGTCATTTACATTAGGTATTTCTCCTAATACTATCCCTCCCCTTGCCCCCCACTCCCCAACAGGCCCCAGTGTGTGATGTTCCCCTCCCTGTGCCCATGTGTTCTCATTGTTCAACTCCCACTTATGAGTGAGAACATGCGGTGTTCGGTTCTCTGTTCCTGTGTTAGTTTGCTGAGAATGATGGTTTCCAGCTTCATCCATGTCCCTGCAAAGGACATGAACTCATCCTTTTTTATGGCTGCATAGTATTCCATGGTGTATATGTGCCACATTTTCTTTATCCAGTCTATCATTGATGGGCATTTGGGTTGGTTTCAAGTCTTTGCTATTGTGAATACTGCTTCAATAAACATATGTGTACATGTATCTTTATAGTAGAATGATTTATAATCCTTTGGGTATATACCTAGTAATGGGATTGCTGGGTCAAATAGTATTTCTGGTTCTAGATCCTTGAGGAATCACTATACTGTCTTCCACAATGGTTGAACTAATTTACACTCCCACCAACACTGTAAAAGCGTTCCTGTTTCTCCACATCCTCTCCAGCATCTGTTGTTTCCTGACTTTTTAATGATCACCATTTTAACTAGTGTGAGATTGTATCTCATTGTGGGTTTGATTTGCATTCCTCTAATGACCAGTGATGATGGGCTTCTTTTCATATGTTCGTTGGCCACATAAATGTCTTCTTTTGAGAAGTGTCTGTTCATATCCTTCACCCGCTTCTGGATGGGGTTGCTTGTTTTTTTCTTGTAAATTTGTTTAAGTTCCTTGTAGATTCCAGGAAATCATTTTAAGAAGACTAAAGATGCCATTAAAGAAATAGTGCTTCTGTAGGTCCACAATTACTTTAAGGGGCTTTGTTGCCTCCTAGAAGTACCAGGGACAGGAGTGGCCATAATCAGAAATAAACAGTGAGTAACAGGATATTCACATTATCTTTGTAATTTTCCTGATATTAAGAACCACATGGAACATGCCAGCTATTCTGACTTCCTGGGTATTGTTATTCTGGGATTTATAAATTACTTGCTTCATAAACACCTCAGTCACCATTACTCACTCTTCATTTGGGTACTTGTTCTAATGCTAGACTTTTAAAAGTGAACTGCCAGAAAACAAGGAACCCTTTTTGCTTCTGACTTTCATAAAAATTACTTCTTTGCAGTCTCCTCATACTGTAGCTTAAATTAGGTGTCACTTGACAAAGTTTCACTGAAAAACGTTTCCATTTCAGAATTACCTCATATCGCGTGACAGCCCTTGCAATAATTATCAGTTTGGAATATAATCCTATCTCATCTATTCAAGCAAAACTTTGGGAAAATGATAGTGGCTTCAATAACAGCATAAGTTGATATTGAGAGTGATCAAGAAAAAATTTCAGAAAGAACTCCCTTTTCCTTTGTTAATTACACAATCATGCCTTTCTTCTATATTGTAAGGATATATTTAGGTGACATTTATGCTATGGAAAGATAAAGTGGAGAAAGTAGACAGGCTTGGCTGCTTTATTTTCCATTGTCATTTGTATTTTCCCCAAGCTGACCAGAGCAATAAAAAAAAATCTTTAAGAGAATGATACTGGGGCTTCAAGAATTAGGCCACTCATGGCATTTTAAAGGATTAGTGAAAGTATTTTATGACATTTTAGAAGTGTTTGCTAACCCTTGGTACAAATACCTGTTTTTAAATTAACAACCTTTCATGGAGGAGGTAGGGGCCTGCCCCAGCAATATGATTATTCATGCTGATCTCAGGGCTCTGGGACCAAATAATGGCCACAAGACAAACATGAATGTTTGAAATTTAACTCTTAGGCAAGCATTCAAGTTAGATAACACTGATGAAATTTAGTTTCTTTAATTGTGGATAGATGAGAAAAAAACATAAATCCCCTCTAATCAAAGAAGTGTCCATTTCATAAGTGAGGAAAGAATGATGAAATAGAATATCACCATGTGTCAACCTTTAATAAAATAATAGATCTAGGCAATGATGATGAGTGGCTCCTGACATCACAAAAAGAAAACCAGACATCACTGCTTTTTAATAAAATTATACAAAACCCCATATATATTGCTCTTGCAATTTGAACTGGCTGGTCTTTTGGTCAGTCTTCTAACCCTAACTTCTCATTTGCTGGAAATACGGAAGATAAAGGAATATTTTAAGGATATCACAAAAAGGCAATTAGCAAACCAGGGTGTAGGAGATTCTATAGGGCAGAAGACATGGAATATTCAAGAAATAAATTGCAAAGAAATAAAAAAAAATAACAGGTGAACCTATAGATTAAAAAATGACTGAATCAAATTCAATGTAGGTATCTTATTTGGATCCTACTGCAGACAGACAGATAGAAAAACCAAACCACAAACACAAAACAGTTATGAGATAATCGAGGCATATGAATATTGGCCACATAGTTGATGATTACTGTTACTAATTTCTGGAACTTGTTAGTGTATTACTTTACATGGTAAAAGGGACTTCGAGGATTTGATTAAGTTAATGAATTTGAGATGGAGCGATTATTCTAGATTACTGAAGTGGGATCAATGTAATCTCCATATAAGAGAAAGAGGAAAGCAGGAGGATCAGAGTCAGAAAAAGGGAGATTTGAAAATGTCACACTGTTGGCCTGGAAGATGGAGGAAGAGGCCACAACTTTATCAACTGTCTTGTTATCTAGTATGGCAATACCTTCTCATAGTTCGTTTTAATACTTAATTATTATTGTTTATTTTTCTTAAATATGAAATTTAGAAATAAACCTGTGCATACGTGGATTTTTAGTGTGTGGCATATACAAAGATTTAGTAAATTGGCATGTACAATTACTTGGGATAATTGGCTATGTGTTTGTTAAAAAGAAATTAGATTTTTACCTTATACCGAACTTAAAAATGAATCCAATTTATTAACAGATTCATTTCCCATAATGGAAGACATATTCCATAATGGCAAACTATAATTTGGTCAACACTTCCACTGAGAACAACTAGAAAAATTGGACAAGATTTTTTTAAGACTTAAATGTTTGAAAGCTCAGCTAGCAAAGCTCAAAAAAGATTATGAGCCTGACACTCAGAAATGCTTTCTATCTATGGGCATCTACAAGTTTGGAAAAGGTGGCTAAGAGACTTAAAAGCTGAGAAGTGAAGCTTTGGTAGACACGTGGAGCTAGGAGAACAAAAATTGGAGGGGGAAGAGAATATAGCAAATTTTGCAGGTAGCATGTTGGGTCTGCACAAGACCACGTTTTAGGAGATCAGCCCTAGCTACCATGGACTGAACTTCAATTCCAAATGTTCTCCATTTCTGGTGGATTTAGGTTGGATGTGTATAGTGTTGTTAACTTCCTCTGTAAAATAAAATCATGTTACACTCCAGATTGTATCAACAGTTTTTCATAACCAGTGTTTGTCATATAATAAAAATCACACAGAAAACAAAAATAGACCACAAGTGCTCCAGATGATGGAGTAATTAGTCATGTGCTTGAAAATAATTATCCTTAAGAAATAAAAAAATATAAAATATATAAATTTTAGCAGATAAAAAAAGATTACAATATTAAATGGATGTTCTGTAATAGAAAAATACAATAAAAATTAAAAACCAAATGGATGTGTTTAACAAGTTAGTCCATAACTGAAGAGAAAAATTGATAAAGTGGAAGATAAATCAAAAAAAAAAAATCTAAAATAAAGCATGGGGATGCAAAAGCATGATAAACACAGAAACTGGGTAAGAGAGTATGGATATAGTAAAAGGTATAATGAGAGTACAAAAGTCAATTCTAGAATGAGAAGATAGAAGTCACATGTGAAGCATTAATTTTCCAGAACTAACCAACACCAGTAGGACATAGATTTAGGATTTACTTGAACCCCAAATACATGTAAATCTACACCAAACATATTACTTGAACCCAAAATACATGTAAATCCATACCTAAGCATATTATAGTAAAATTTCTAAAAATGAAAGATGAAGACAATCTTAAAACCAGCCATAGAAAACAAAAGACATATGTCCTTTAAAGAAGTAGCAATAAGACTGACAGTCAACTTCTCAACAGTAATAATGAGAGCCAGAGGACCATGAAGTAATTTCAAATTGTCCTAAGAAAATAACTGTCAATCTAGAACTTCATTCCGAGAAAAAAACCCTTTCTGTGATAAAATAAGAAAAAGGCAAAGAAGGCAACAGAAACATGGGCAAAGAATATGAACAGACAATATGAGGATTTTAATAGAGGGATTTTTAGATCAAAAAAATAAGTACATTTATTACAAACAGAAACACACTAAAGGAAATACTAATGGGTGCTCTCCAGGCATAAAGAAAATGATTCCAAACAGAAAGTGAGAGAAATAGAAAGGAATGAAGAGCAAGTGAAACGGGACAGATTAAGATGGATGGATGGATGGATGGATAGATCTATCGATGAATCTAAATAAATATCAAATGTGTTGCACAAAATGTTTTGTGAGGTTTAAAATACACGATGACAATAGCATATAAGTTGACAGCAAGGTAAGTGGGTTAGTTTTCTAAGCCCTTCCCATTGTTTTTGAGGAAAGTAAAAGTACTCACTTATAAATATTTAATAAGTCAAGGATGCCTATTATATCCTTGGGGGAAGCATTGAATAAATGATAATGCTAAGCTAAGAGAGGAGGAAGATGGAACAATAAAATCAGCTGAAGTACTAAATTTAAAATGCAAAACTATAGTAATAAATATGAGAAAAATATGAAGGAAAATATTTTTAAATGTGGAATTGGCCATATACATTTTTTAAGATGTGATGAAAAATACTGTGAATAAAATTTTTTAAGTCACTGGGAGAAAACATTTGCAAATTAACATATGAAGGTCAATTCTTTTTTTCATCATTTTAGAGATAGGGTCTCATTCTGTTGCTCAGGCCGGAATGCAGTCATGTGATTATAGCTCACTGCAGCTTTGAACTCCTGGGCTCAAGTGATCCTTCCACCTCAGCCTCCCATGTAGCTGGGACTACAGACACACACCCTCATACCCGGCTAATTTTTTATTTTTATTTTTTTGGTTGAGATGGGGGTCTCACTTTGTTGCCCAGGCTGATCTTGAAGTCCTGGCCTCAAGTGATCCTTCAGTTGCAGCCCCCTAAAGTGCTGGGATTACAGGTGTGAGCCACTGATTCCAGCCCAAAAATATTTTATACACAAATAGTTTCTTTGATAAAATAAGAAAAAGGCAAACAAGGCAACGGAAACATGGGCAAAGAATATGAACAGATAACATACTTTACCAATAAACAGATATAAAGATATCCAACCTTAATAGTTATCAAGGACCTGCAAAAAATATGTATTTCTTAAATATAAGATTAGCTAATAGTAAAAAGATGGATTAATACCTTGTTAATGAGGATGCAAGAAAACATAGCTGTATTTAGTTGGTGCAAGGTTAAATTTGTAAAGCCACTGTGGAGAGCAGATTGGCAAAATCTATAAAGTTTTTGTGAATGTGAATATCTTTCTTCCCTAAATATCTTCTCTGTAGACATATGTACTCATATTATATAAAGCTTTTCCTACCTGAATATTCATCAAAGCATGGTTTATTACAGCTAAAAATTGCAGAAGGTAAATCAGAAGGGAAATACTTTATTTAAAGGAAGTACTCAATAAATACTTGTTGTGTACATTCATTTAAATAAAATGAAGTATAGTCACACTATAAAAAACTATCAAGTCTTTAGAATGAATGTAGTAGATTCCTATGTATGGTTATGTTAATATCTCTAAAATATATTCTTAATTTAAAAAGTGTAGAAGTAGAACAATATGAATAGTGTTCCCATTTATTTTTAAAAGTAAATAAACATGAAAATATGTAGACATGTATATGCATGTAAGTGATTGTATAAAAACCAAAAGAATTTATACTAACAATTAATATGGCTTACTTTTGGGTAGTTGGGTGGAAATAGGAATGGAATAGGATGTGAAAAGGGACATTTTATTCTGTATATTTCAGATTTAATGTTAGTCTTTTACAATGTGAATGTCTTCACATATTTTTGTACAATAATAAAATTGTTCCTTAGTTCATTCCCAAGAAGTATAATGCTAAGGCACATTTTGTAAATTAAGTGCAGCATATAAACAAACTTATTAACATATTGATAGACAGAGTGACTTCATCTGGGTTTTTACAAGACGAAAGGCTGCATAGGAAAAAATACGTGAACTCTCAATCCATAAAATTAAGTGCTTTACAAGTGTGTTGCTACCATATTTAAAATTTCAATATAAACTAGGTTTACTAAAAAGTCATTTATAGAGTAAAAATCTAGTGTGGTGCTATAACATCCCAAATTTTCCCCAAGAAAATAAAATTTCTATCATGAATTATGCATTTTTATCATATTGTAAAAATATTTATTCAGCTTAATTTCACCAAAGTGGCAACACATCAAATCTTAGATCATTTGTATTTTCAAAGGTTATATCCTATGTATGCATTTCAATACACACACACATATATACACATTTGTGTTTGGATATAAAAACATAAGATTAAGTCTGCTTTAATAATTTTTCTAACTTACAAAATGTGTTAGATAGGTATAGCTTTATTTGTAATCATTTAAGCCAACTCACTCAATCTGTTTCAATATTTTATTTTGCAGCATGGGCATTTTCACATAAGCCCCATTGCACAGCTCCAGGGGCACCATTCACATTGCAGTCCATGTGTTTAATGGAGTTGTGCATTGTACAGATTGTGCAGCCATTGGTGGAGGCCCTGTTTTTGAAAGCGGTTCTGTAGCAGAATCTGATTATAATAAATATGATATACTTAGAAAGATATTTAAAGAAAATCATAAATATGCCTAAGTGCTTACCTTGACTAGAGTCACATTTTGGCAGCCTTTCATAACCCGAAATAATACCACTTAAGGTCAATAAATGCAGGACCTCTCTAAAGTCAGTGAATGTCAACTGTATATAATTTCATGTTCTGAGCACTTATTCCTATAGCAAAAACAAAATAAAACACTTTTTCCTTCCTTATTTCAAAACCCACACAGATTGTGGGTGTTAATGACACTATACTTAAACATTGTTAGCTTTGTGGCAGAAAATAACCATATAAAAACATAAATTTTATTTTCTTTCTTTAAACTATAAAGTTATAGTGTCCTGAATAAACAAAATATGAGACTTACGTAAACATTCACCCTTTTAAGAAAAAAAAGACCAAAACAGCATTGCACATTAGATCATATTTTGGAAACGAGGAAGGCAACTGAAGCACAGCTATAAAGATATCTTTTTTTCTCTTCAGTTTACCCTTGAGATGTACCTATCAAAATAATCTAAACTTATCCAGATGATGTTTTTAATCTTGAAAAAGGCTTTTTTCTTGTTGGATGATCCTATTAGCAAACTGCTGGAAGAGAAGATCATACAGGCCATAATTTGTAGTTTGACCTACTCACATTGGGTGTTGCTAAAGAAAATCAATCAGAAATTGTTGTGTTAAAATAACTCTATCTGCTCTACCTGGCATGTGTGACTAACTGACTTTAGAATCTATCATTTAAAGAAAATGGTTGATGCTTGGATATACAATTTATCAAACTTCACTCCAGTCCTTTTTCTCCGAAGCACAGAAAAATAATCATCCCTCTCTAAATATAAATCTTTTAAGAGAAATTCAAGGAATCTGTCTCCAGCAAAATAACTGATAAATGGCAGAAGCATAATTTAAAGATGATTTCCATCACAGATCACATGACATCTCAACTCTTGAGACTGTCACCCAAGTCTTCCCATCTGTTGGCCCACGAGCATCAATCTCAGCTCCTCTGTGACCAGTTCTCTGATTGAGCTAGGTTGGCCTTTTCGTAATTACAGCTTGCTCATTTCCCTCTGCCTTGCAGTATGAGGCTGTTCTTACTGCCTGAAAAGTTCTCTAACATTTTGCTACCAACCCATGCCTACTATCCCCTCATAGCTTCGTCTGAGAGACACTTTTCTTACAGAAAAAAAAAAGCGAGAGAAGAAGGAAGGAATAAAAAGTGCTTTCTCTTACATTACCTTTTACTTGTTATTTCCCCAACATTAAATGTCTTGTTCAAAAATACTGTCAGCATCCACTCTCCTAGAAATTGACTTCTAATTATAAAGTGATATCTCAAGCAACCTATTACTATCTGTAATTCCATGAGATCTGGGTAACTGACATTATTGTTTCTCCTGTTTTTCTGAGTATAGGAGTTACATACATTCACCTAGTGTTCAATAATTGTTCACTAAATCAATTAATGTAAAGGAGAAAAGTTTTATTTTATTGATTAATTACACAAAGTTATATTTGGAAAATATTATTTTGGTGTGTGGACTGAAAAACCTAAATCAATATCTTAAATTATTAATCATTAAGCCCATGACCAGGAAATTAAAAGCTGGTAATGGAATAACACATGTCTATATTAGTCATGTTTTCTGTTATAGAGAAACTGCCTTATATGGACCACCTTGGGAAATGTCTAACTATTGTCAAGACTGTAAGATACCAGAGGCCACTAATATTATTGACTATATCAAAATTTAAAATTTCTATTCTAGGGGAGGGAAACATCATAAACAAATTTAAAAATCAAACTCTAAAAATAAAATTTCCAGTATAAATGACAGAAAAGGCATAATAGTCTTAATATTCTATATAATCAATAAGAAAAAGGTTACCACACTAATGGGAAAATTAACAAAGCATATTTACAAGAGAAAATATAAATAGCCAATAAACTTATGCAAAGATTTTCACCCTTTACAGTACTCAAAGCAATGTAGATTCAACAAAAATCAAATTCTCGAAAATTAAAATGAAACCATTGGCTTGTGAGAATGTGATGAATGGCATTCTCATATATTGCTGGGAAGAATGTACATTGTTAAACTTTCCAGAGAGTGGTTTGGCAAGATATATCAAATTTTTTATTTGTATTTACCTTTTGAGCCAAGGATTGTCCTTCACTGGATTTATCCCAAGTAGATAATCAGACAATGGGCAGAAATATGGGTGCATATATTTGATTATAATGGGAAAAAACTGTAGAGTAGCCAAATGTCTGTTATTAGAAGAAGTTTAAAATTCTTATGGTGCCTCTATATAATTCTATCATCAAGAGTATTCATATAGTGTTGTACTTACGATGGAAAGTTATTCACACTATGTTAATTATTTGATAACAAGCTACTAAATGTGTCCATTGTGACTGCAGTTTATAGTTTTACACCCACATCTGTGTATGTATATGTATACATATACATACATGTATACATATACATACATGTATACATATACATACACAGAGAGAGAGAGAACGGGTCCTGAAGGACATACATCAAATTGTTAGCAGTAGTCCTGGGTTGTCAAGAAAATGATGAAAAGCATTTGATGTTAATGGTATACCAGATCATCTTCACTTTCTCTTTCCTTTATGCTTGTCTTTATGAAATTATTTTTCTGAAATTATGTTTTGCAATCAGCATGTATTATAGCATATATACATGTTCTCATTTTTAAAAAGTAACAGCTTAAATTACCAAAGTTTTACTCTGTTCCCTTTTATTTTCCTTACTCAGCATTATTTCTTTTTTCCTTGCTTATTTAACTTTTAAAAAATGCATAACATTATAAAAATGTCTGTTTTATTTTGAACAGATGCATTTCATGTTTATGTGATTAGGCAGTGTTCTTTTTCCCTAAAGCAAAAGGTTCTATTGCAAATGAAGATTTAATTATTACTTGAGGATGAGTATGTTATTATTCATGAGTTATATAAGTCATAAAAAATGTCCAGGGTGATAACAATACGACCTAGAAAACAAGGACTTTAGCTAAGGGGATTTACTCTGCTATTTATGATATTATCTGGCCAATAGATGGCAGGACTTGGGGGAATGAATGCAGTCTAAGAAAAATCATCATGTTTCCATTCTCTGATTACAAACCCGCAGAATCCATTAATAATCCACACTTCTGGCTTAAAGTGTTCTTTTCAGTCTTTTCTAGGGTGTCCAGATATGCATGCCTAAAGTAAACTGTATCAGGTTCAGCAACCCACATTTGAAAGTGGACATTTTCAAATCAAAATGTTGTCAAAGGAAAATAACCTGGATTTTCCAAGACCAGAGGCCTCTGAAAAAGAAAAGATTCAGAGTGGATATAACTGTCTTCAAATCTAAAGGACTAGCAAGATAAAGAAGAGATTTGTCTTGTCTGCATAACTCCCAGATGGCAAACCAAAGATCGTTGGATCTTCTAGGGAGGATTTTTACTAAATAAATGCAATCACTTTCTAAATATAGAAGTAGCCAGAAATGGAAGGGATGAGATGTGGGAGGGCAGAGGCTCAAGCCTTCCTCAGTTTTATACTACCAACTCTCAGCACAGGTCCTGGCAGAGAGACGGCACTTTAAGTTTTATGGAATGAATTGAGAGATAATAGGTTACATCTTCATTGAATATATTTCAAGTTTAGCAATATGGCTTTTGTTGAATGATATTTTCTGAAGTTGTTTAAAGCACTAGAAGGGAAATTGAACTAGATGATCTATGAGTATGTGACCATCAAACCCAGATTTTTCTAGGATTTTTTAGGACTTTCAATTTAAACTATTTTGTCCTATTCTTCCCATGGGTATATTTCCAAATGTTCTTCTCATTAGTAAAGTCCAAAATTTATGATCAGCTAGTCTTACTCTGGGTAGCAATTACTAATAGAATGACAAAGTGGATTCCTTTCTATGGGCTGGAAATCATATAGGATTGCTTACAGTTGGAGTGGATAAATGCAGTTGTTTATAACTAAAAGGTCACTTACCATAAATATATAGCTGGCTCTATCTTGGTGAATGCAGACTTACATGTTAATAAATATAATCAATGTAAGTCAACCAAGACTCTAGGGTTATATATTTTTATTGATCGCTTTTTTTAAAAAAGAAGATTTTGATCACAGTTCTATAATATTGGGCCACATACCAATGTTTTCATAGTGTTCAAGTTGGCTTATGAGGCCACTCTTTAGGCTTGGTGAGTGTTTGACAGATGGCTGAGAATATACAAGCAGATATGCACTGTGCATGAAAGCATGCAAGTGAAGAGTCAATTAAGAAAGAATAAACATGCTTAGAAAGAGGCCACCTGATTGGTATTCTGACTACAGAATTGAGAAACTTTCTATGCAAATTATGCAGCTGCATCAGCACCATTGACATTATAGGAGTGAAGAGGAGAAAAAAAAAACAGGAAAAAAAAAACAACAACAGAGTTCTCTGTGGCAAAATAGTTTTGTGCCCGATCAAGGAAATAATATAAAGGGGGATGTGGTAGAGGGAAGTTACTTTTTCTTCTATTTGCCTGAACCACTAATGACCACAGCAGAAGTAGCAAGTTTAACTGATGAATATGGAGTTTCATAGCTCCCAGAGCACTGACTTTGGACTAAGAAGAATTTAGATGGGAGATGCAACCTACTTTCCCTTATTTCAAGATTTGCATGCCTGGTACATACAGTATCATATAAATGTACAAAGGCTTGTGAGGAGACACACACACACACACACACACACACACACACACACACACACTCTAAACAGCAGGAGCACCAAAGAGGTAGATCATCCATTATTCAAGGAATTTTTTTCGCCCCTATTCAATACACAGTAACTTAAATAATAAGGGACTTTCATATAAAAAGATAAAGTATTTTAGATGGGAAAAAAAGACATAATATAAGCTAACAAATGAACCCAGTTATTTTGCTTCATTTAAAGAGCGGAAATCTGACTTGAATGATCTTTTCCTCAATAATAAGCAAAATACATTAAATAAATATAACATACTAATATTCATGACCTGGAGCAACTCATGTTTCTTCTATGAAGACTTTTCTGACTTCTGTAGACCATGCTGAATCCTCCCTCCTGTAGACCACCATTGATGTGAACTAAGGCACTGTGCTTTTTGGTATCAGTTTATATGTAATCTGACTTTAGCTGGGCTGCCTTCAGGCCTGCCTCTACTTACTCTTTCTCTCTCTCTCACACACACACACACATATGCACGCACATAAACTCCTGCTGCCCCCTACACACAGTTGATTCCTAGGAGCTTGAGGGAAATGGTGACTTCTTACTACATATCTTTAGCTTTCTTTAAAAGCTCAGCCCAAAGATGATACATAGGGCATCACACAGAGACCTGGATAGTCTCCTAAGTTTTCTGTTGGTTTTAAAAATATGTGCAAAGGTCAGGCGCAGTGGCTCACGCCTGTAATCCCAGCACTTTGGGAGGCCAAGGTGGGCAGATAGAACACTTGAGGCCAGTAGTTCGAGACCAGCCTGGCCAACATGGTGAAACCCCCGTCTCTATTAAAAATACAAAAAAAAAAAATTAGCTGGGCGTGGTGGCAGGCACCTGCAATCCCAGCTACTCAGGAGGCTGAGTCAGGAGAATCGCTTGAACCTGGGAGGTGGAGGTTGCAGGGAGCCGAGATAGTGCCACTGCCTTCCAGCCTGGGTGACAGAGTGAAACCCTGTCTAAAAATATATATATATATGCCCAAATTCTTCCAAATATTCTAGAACTTAATTTCTTTCCCCTTGAAAGTGGGCTGGGCTTAGTGCCTTTCTTCTAGTGAATACAATATGGCAGAAATGGCAGAATACCACTTCTAAGATGAGGCTATAAAAAACCTGTGGCTTCCATCTCAGTTCCTCTCTTGATCTCTCTCTTGCACTGGTGATGCTGGTTGCTATGCTATAAGGACACTTGGCAGCATCTGGAGAGGCCCACAAGGCCAGAGCCTGAGGCCCACCTACAGATGCCTGAGTGAGCTTGGAAGTAGATCCTCCTCTAATTGATCCCTGAGATGAATGCAGGCCTGACTGACAGCTTGAGTGAAATATCATGAAAGACCCTGAGCAAGTACCACATAGCTAAACTGCGCTCAGATCCCTGACCCACAGAATTGTGTATTTCTAAGTATTTGCTGTTTTAAGCGCCCAGGCTTGGGGTAATTTGTTACATAGCAATAGATAACTAATACATTTCCCATTCATAACAGCAGCCGAAATCTCTCTCTTTTGCCCCATATTTCAATCATCCCCAAAATGCTTACTCCATTTTTTTTTTTTTCATTTTCTCCTCCCCTGTGTCTGGCTGCTTCTTGCACAACCCACTCTAGCCTCCTGTTGTTGCTCTTCAATCTCAGAAAAGCCCCCTTGGATTTCTGGTTAAAAAAAAAAACAAAACAGTTCTCCTCCATGAATGGCTTGTCTCCCAAACCATTGTACATAATAGGTGCTTAATAAATATCTGTTCATAGTATAAGCAAACTTCAAATTCTTTTGACTTGTGCAAACAAAATTTATTCATTTGAAAAATATTTTCTTAACAATTGAGACTAAAGTTATGGAGAGAGGTGCTTCAGTGTTTGAAGCTAAGTCTTTTGTGAGCAAGACTTGCTACTGATAACTCTAAAACCTTATCTGGTACCTGAGCGAGACAGACATTGGACTCCCTGTACTCTTTGGCTTCTGGAACAGGAAGAAGCATACATTTTAATTTCACATGATCAAAGCTACTGTACAGTTAAAGCTCAGCAAGTACTTTCCACTCAGGAACAATTCTGGGTTGAAGATCATTGTCTTCTAAATGCATTTCCAGGTCAGTGTCTGTTGCAACCTGATTATCAAGGTATTTATTGAACAAATGCAGTATGCCTACCAGCATTCCCAGTACTCTGGAGACTTTCTGTCAGTCAGTAAGTTCCTGTACACATATTACTTTTATTGCTATCATGTGACACTGGCTAGTAAAACAAACACAGTTTCAAAATGCTCAGAGCCTAGCAAGAGAAACAGACATTAATTTAGTAAACCCACAGGCACATAATTACAAACCAAGTACTATAAAGGAAAAATAGAGGTTACCCTAAAGAGGTATATTAGAGAGCTTCTTATAATCAGTGGATCAAGGAAGGCTCCTGTGAGTTAGTTATCTTTGTGAAGAGATCTAGGCATAACATGTTAACTAGGCAAACATGTAGTGCAAAGGGAAGTGGAGTTAGTTGAGCATTTACTGTATGCTAGGCACTAAGCACTTTAAATATTACACACACATAATCTTCACAACAACCATAGAGGGTGAGCACCTCTTCAACCATACTTTTAAAACATGAAATCTATTACTAATGTCCACAAGCTTAACCACTGTCCGAAGCTTCCTCTGCAGACTTGAGTTAATCCTTAAAAGTATCAAAGACAACCATGAATGAAAGAGACTGTCTAGATTATTTTTCAGTTAAGCAGCATGTGATATTGATTATCTACAGAAGTTTCAACAATTAAAACCCAAACAAAATAGAACACAGTTTGAATTATTACCTTCCAAACATGCACTCTAAAAGAATAAAGGATGATATAAATAATAGTGTAACGAAGTTACTTTATTCTTTTACAACCCTTTCCATTTCTTTATACTTTCTACCCAAGAACCCCATGATGTTCTTTTTATGTAATAAATACTGCTAACCAAATATATATGTTTCAGTTTATGTGCAGTTTATGAAAACGAACACCATACCGTGTATTAAATTACAGCCGAAATTGAGAAAAGAGAAGGGAACGCAGTTCATTATTCTTTGTTAAATAATGAATGTTTTTGAAATAATATGATCATTAAATGCAAATGAGCATAACTCTGATATAAATGTAAATTTTTCAAAACTTGAAATGTTCCTTAAGATAAACTCTTTGGCTGAATTCTGAATATTTAATTGTTCCGCTTTCACAAAATGAATGCAGTCACCTATTCAACATAATTAGTTATCTAGGGAAAAACAATTATAATTGAACATAGCTGCTTCCCAAATGCGTTTTAAATAACATAAACAGTCCTATGTTAAATATTTGGCCCGCTGCTTGGATATCTTGTATTTGCCTCTCCAGACCCCTTTTTCTACCCTACATTGTGCCTCAGAATGCTAATGTTATGGAACCCATCCAGAGGCTCCTTTGCTTCCTGGTCTTCTACCTATGCTGGCAGGGTGCCTGGGTGGGAGAAAGCTTGAGGCTGGGGAGGTTTCATTCCCAGCTCCCTCTCCATTGAATCACTACATGTTGGGTGCATCCTTCACAGGTTATAGTTTCTGTCCTGTCTATGCAGCTCTTCTCCCTGTATTCTGGAAACTGTTCCTTCCCCTTTCCCAATCACCCGAGGGATAATAACAGATAGGATGCTGTGCCATCCCCGTTACTTTCCCTCAAACCAGCCTGCACCTTTGTATAAAGTCCTTTTATTAAACCCTCCTCAATGACCCATTTTCGGTGCACTATTTTCTCTTAGAACCCTAACTCTATAGTAATTGATACCAGGAGTGGCCTCAGGAAACTGATCCTCAAATGAGATTCGAATTGGGTTGTTCATGTATGTGCGTGGTGTCCAGAAAACTTACTGGGCAGGAGTAGGTGTAGGGAGAAATTGGGATGCAACACTGAGGAACATGACCGAGCATTGACTGTAAGAATAGCCAACAGAAGATAATTAAATAGCAAGTTAGGCAGGCGAATGTGTTGATGTGAGTGCACTCAGGATACGGGACTTGAGAATGTGGGTCCAGCACTCAGGAGTGTCATTAAGAGTCTGCTAGGCTGCTAGGCTTGCCATACAGTCAATTAGGTTGTTGTGGCAGAACCTCCCTGGCAGGATGCAAAGAAAAGAAAGGATTCTGATAGTTCAGGGAGATGAAATAATGTACTATCTGTTTAGCCATTTTCTACTTATCACCTGTGGATGTCCAGAGGATACACTCCTCTTATCTGGGCATTCAGGAATCCCTTATTGGGGAGGTTTTCATCATCACTGACCACCCTAGTAGTGGCTATTCTCAGTAGGCTGACTTCTAATCAGAGGCGTGAGATGCTTTGAACAATGTTTGGGATGAAGAGTGTGCTAAAGGGAACAGTCCACAATCACCATTCTAATGACAAGCTTATGTGTTTTTAATCACTAAATGAATCTTCAGTATTAGTGAGAAAAACGTGTTGCAATGGAACTTTTTTTTAAAGAAATCTCCTGAAAATATACACTGCTCACTAACCTTGAATGAATGTACTCTGCATAATTGACACAAAAAAGTGTGGAGAATTATTTCAAGTTTTGCACAAGGTAAAAACAGAAGCTGATACATGAGCTTGGTTCAAAGGTAAGCCCCCCACCACAGGTAGTTGGATTACCATTAACGATTTTCTTAATCTCTATGAAGTTCGATTCTTCATCTACAAAATAAGGGGACTAATATCTGTCTCCCATTGTTGTGCAGATAAACAAGACAGGGCCTGGCATAGGACAGCATCTCAACTAACAGGGCAAAGTAAGTTTGCCTTGGGCATTCCTCTCTCATTGGCATTTGCAATCTATTACTACATCTTATACTATAACCTTGGGATCAGGCTCCACAACTACTTATTTTACATCCCTCATGCCCAGCACATAGACAGACGCATACCAGATCCTAACTAGTGAGAGTGATTCAATGAATTCATGAATGTGTTGTTGTGAGGATGCAATGGAAGTGGTTACTTTAAGGTGTACCTTTCTTTCCTTCCCTCTATTGGTGTTTACATTTCACGTCTTCATTTGTTGCCTTTATAGTCAAGGACAATTTACTTAACTGCAGGTTTGCAGTAGGTTCCTCCTCATTAAAATTGAGATGACATCTCTCTCTTTTCCATTCGGGCTGCTATAACAAAAATATCATAAACTGGATGGCTCATAAGCAACAAGAATTTATTTCTTACAGTTCTAGAGACTGGTAAATCCAAGATAAGGCACCAGCAGATTTCTAGTGTCTAGAGAAGACTTGCTCTCTGCTTTATAAGGAGTGCCTTCTTACTGTGTCCTCACTTGGTGGAAGGGATGAACAAACTCCCTTTGGCTTCTTTCATAGGGCATTAATCCCCTTTATGAGGGTGGAGCCATCGTGACCTAATTGCCTCTCAAAGGCCACCCCTCTTCATACCATACGTTGGGGACTAAGTTTCAACATATCAATGTTGGGGAGATGGGAACATTCAGACCATAGCAACCTACTACCCTAGTAGCAGTGCTGTGAAATAAATTAGATAACAGTTTAAATACCTACAAAATAGGGCGTACTCCATAAATTTTATTTTCCTTTCTTTTGTCCAATTTGTATTTCAAGGACTCAACACATTATAGACACTGAAATAAATGTTGTCCATGATGGACTACGCATAAACTTCTAATCTGGAAACTTTATACACTGTTCATTTCTTTAAAAAACCTCCCAAATATCAGATTACTGCCCATGGGATTGCAAAATATTTTTATGCCTTTTATGGTTAAAATGCTCTAAGAATTTGGAAGAAGTCCCACTTCTGAAAGTTATTTCAATAAATCCAAAATGAATAGATGTGGAAAATATTTAACATTCAACAGTTAATTTTGAATAAGAGAGATACGTAGTTGATTTTATCCCTTTTATTTCTACAAACCATAAGAAGAAACAGTTTGGACAGGTTCCTCAAAAGAGGCTCCCCAAATCCTTTTTAATGGGATACATCAACTCAAGTGTCACCCAAAGATTATTCCTAACAAATGTACATATTGTTTGACTTTGCTTGGAATAAACAAAAAGCTTAAAATTAGATTATTGCTTAGAAACAGAGCCATCAAATTAAAATAAGGCCAGACATTTGGAACTAAGTCAGTTTAAGAGAGTCACCTTTCATTAAATTATGGCTACCATGTTTGGATTTTTTTTTAGCTTTATGCCATAGCCATAAAAACTCAGTTAAAATTTCACAGTAAGTGCCTAGTGCCTTCACACAAATTCACAAAATCAGTGCCTTTAAATAAATTCATTTTTCATACTAAAAGAAATGCCAATAACCACTAAATCACTAAAACTAAAAGGCAAAGAAGTGGAAATTTTTTTAAAGTCATTTAAATCGCTGTTTGCCTGACTTACTTGTCCCCCTCAAATTTAAAAAAAAAAAAATGTATAGAGACAACAACTCAATGCTGCTTCCCCTCATTTCTCTCATTTTTCGTAGGGTTCCAGCACTGTATCACTATTGGAAATGTAACTAATTTAAACTTATTTAGAAAAAGAAGCTTTATTTATAGCCTTATTTGTGCTGAGCAGCTTTTCAAAAAACACATTTTTCAGATTAATGGAAATGTTTGTGGTAACATTAGCTCTACTTGCCATTCCAAAACTATAAAATGAATTAAGAGGGAGAACGACTTGAATTAAAGCATGAGTGACTTCATAAAAATAAACACTTTACATAATTTGTAAATTTAAATTTTTGTTACCTCAAAATGTAGGCAGAATGATTTATAAACATAATGCATTTATTTGCCAAAAACAAGAAGAAATTTGCCTGATTACTAATAAAAATTATTTTAAATGATTTTTCCAGTGAGTTTTTTGTGTGTATATCACTGATGGAAACTTTTTATTCTGTGCCACAGATTCTCATTTCCACATACAGTTTTGTGACCGGAGACTTGACATGCTGAATTAATGTTTGTGTGTGTGAGTGTGTGTGTGTGTGTGTGTGTGTGTGTGTGTGTGTGTGTGTAGAGATATAAATATAGAGATAATGATAGAGACATCATTATAATAGCTTCTTTAGGGAGCTCTTAGAGTTAACTGGAGAAACCCTAAGTTTCATTGAACACAGTTTGAATCCTAAAGTAGTTGTGATGCTATTTATATTCTCCGAATATACTGTAAACACAAAAATATTCCACTTTTTAAAATAGTGGAAATATGTTAATAAGGCATAAAATTTACAAATAATTTTATCTTTCAAATATGAAAAATGCTTCATCCAAAAACTAATGATCCTGGTCCACCTGGTTTCAGCTCTGATGGACTATCTTGTAAAAAACCATGCTCTAATCAAGAATACATAGAAAAGTGGATACTTTTTTTAAAGTAAGTTTGAAGGCATTGGAGGTTTTCCAAGGTAGTCAGGATTTAAGAGGTCACAATCCTAGAGAGAAGCAAAGATTTTTGAGGTGGACCCAATATTTGTGTTGCTCTTCCTCTAGGGGAATCAAAACTCTGAATATGAGCATGTCAAGGTGGCCAGGATCAAGAGGACAAGATTACAGGAAGAAGATGGGTACACAGAAGTGAATCTGATACTCTGTGACAGCTTTTCACTCCAGGCATTTGCTGATTCTTAAGCCATGGTGGTCAAATGACCCAAATGTATACTACAAACCCCAAATCAATCACCAAAAACAAACAAAAACTTATAGCTAAAAATCAAGCAGAAGGGATAACATTAAATACAAAAGTACTCAATACAAAAGAAGGCAGAAAAAGAGAACAAAGGAGTTATGGGATAAATAGAAATAAATAGTCAAGATGGTAGATTTAAACCGAACTAAATCAGTTATCACACTAAAAAGAAATGTATGCCTAACCATATAAATTATCACATTAAACATAACACCCCTTGTGAAAAGAAAAAAGGTAAAGATGATCAGATTGCCAACTATTTCACCCACTATATAATTCCTACAAGAATAAGGACATAAACAGTTTGCAAGTGGGGAAATTATGGAAAATATGTATACCACGTTAACAGCAATCATAAAAAGCAGGATTGGTTTTATAAGTATCAGACTCAGTAGCTGTCAGGGCAAATATGACCAGTGAGAAAGAAGGTGATTTCCTAATAAAAAAAGGCACCAAATCATCAAGAGGACATAAAAATCCTAAATGTTTATATACTTAACAGAGATTGAAAATATATGAAGCAAAGGCCAATAGACCTGCAAGGAAAATAGACACATTTACTCTTACAATGGTAAATGTCAACACTCTCTTTTAACAATTGATAAAGACAAAGTTAGTAAAAATATAGACAATTTGAACAAGACTATCAAATAATTTGACATCATTGACATTTATATAAGGAGAACAACAGAAAACATTCATTTTAAGTGCACAAAAAATATTTACAAGTTAGTTCATATTCTAGACCATAAAACAAGTCTAAATTAATTTCAAAAGATTCAAATCATACAAAGTATGCTTTCTGATCAAAATTGAATTTTAGAAGTCAGTAACAGAAAATCCCAAATATGTACAGACTAAATACACAGTTCTCCATAACCCATGGATAAAAGAAGAAATAAAAAAGGAATTTAAAAAGCATTTTGAATGGGATGAAAATGAAAGCACCAAATACCAAAATTTGTGCTATTGTGAATAGTGCTGCAAAAAACATACATGTGCATGATTTATAATCCTTTGGTTATATACCTAGTAATGGGATTGCTGGGTCAAATGATATTTCTGGTTCTAGATCCTTGAGGAATCGCCACACTGTCTTCCACAATGGTTGAACTAATTTACACTCCCATCAACAGTGTAAAAGCATTCCTATTTCTCCACATCCTCCACAGCCCTATTTCTCCACATCCTCCACAGCATCTGTTGTTTCCTGACTTTTTAATGATTACCATTCTAACTGGTGTCAGATGGTTTCTCATCGTGGTTTTGATTTGCATTTCTCTGATGACCAGTGATGATGAGCATTTTTTCACGTGTCTGTTGGCTGCATAGATGTCTTCTTCTGAGAAGTGTCTGTTCATATCCTTTGCCCAGTTTTTGATGGGGTTGTTTTTTTCTTGTAAATTTGTTTGAGTTCTTTGTAAATTCTGGATATTAGCCCTTTGGCAGATGGGTAGATTACAAAAATTTTCTTCCATTCTGTAGGTTGCCTGTTCACTCTGACAGTAGTTTCTTTTGCCATGCAGAAGCACTTTAGTTTAATTAGATCCCATTTGTCTATTTTGGCTTTTGTTGCCATTGCTTTTGGTGTTTTAGTCATGAAGTCCTTGCCCATGCCTATGTCCTGAATGGTACTGCCTAGGTTTTGTTCTAGGGTTTTTATGGTTTTAGATCTAACATTTAAGTCTTTAATCCATCTTGAAATAATTTATGTATAAGGTGTAATTAAGGGATTTAGTTTCAGCTTTCTACATATGGCTAGCCAGTTTTCCCAGCACCATTTATTAAATAGGGAATCCTTTCCCCATTTCTTGTTTTTGTCAGGTTTGTCAAAGATCCGATGGTTGTAGATGTGTGGTGTTATTTCTGAAGCCTCTGTTCTGTTCCACTGGTCTATATCTCTGTTTTCGTACCAGTACCATGCTGTTTTGGTTACTGTAGCCCTTGTAGTATAGTTTGAAGTCAGGTAGCATGATGCTTTCAGCTTTGTTCTTTTTGCTTAGGATTGCCTTGGCAATGCGGGCTCTTTTTTGGTTCTATATGAACTTTAAAGTAGCTTTTTCCAATTCTGTGACGAAAGTCATTGGTAGTTTGATGGGGATGGCATTGAATCTATAAATTACCTTGGGCACTATGGCCATTTTCACGATATTGATTCCTCTTATCCATGGGCATGGAATGTTCTTCCATTTGTTTGTATCCTCTTTTATTTTGTTGAGCAGTGGTTTGTAGTTCTCCTTGAAGAGGTCCTTCACATCCCTTGTAAGTTGGATTCCTAGGTATTTTATCCTCTTTGTAGCAATTGTGAATGGGAGTTCACTCATGATTTGGCTCTCTGTTTGTCTGTTATTCGTGTATAAGAATGCCTTGTGATTGATTTTTGCACATTGATTTTGTATCCTGAGACTTTGCTGAAGTTGCTAATCACCTTAGGGAGATTTTGGGCTGAAACGATGGGGTTTTCTAAATAACAAGCATGTCAACTGCAAACAGGGACAATTTGACTTCCTCTTTTCCTAATTGAATACGCTTTATTTCTTTCTCTTGCCTGATTGCCCTGGCCAGAACTTCCAACACTACGTTGAATAGGAATGGTGAGAGAGGGCATCCTTGTCTTGTGCTGGTTTTCAAAGGGAATGCTTCCAGTTGTTGCCCATTCCGTATGATATTGGCTGTGGGTTTGTCATAAATAGCTCTTATTATTTTGAGATACGTTCCATCAATACCTAGTTTATTGAGAGTATTTAGCATGAGGGCTTTTGAATTTTGTCGAAGGCCTTTTCTGCATCTATTGAGATAATCATGTGGTTTTTGTCATTGGTTCTGTTTATGTGATGGATTACGTTTATTGATTTGCATATGTGGAACCAGCCTTGCATCCCAGGGATGAAGCCAACCTGATCGTGGTGGATAAGCTTTTTGATGTGCTGCTGGATTCGGTTTGCCAGTATTTTATTGAGGATTTTGCATCGATGTTCATCAGGGATATTGGTCTACAATTCTCTTTTTTTTGTTGTGTCTCTGCCAGGCTTTGGTATCACGATGATGTTGGCCTCATAAAATGAGTTAGGGAGGATTCCCTCTTTTTCTATTGATTGGAATAGTTTCAGAAGGAATGGTACCAGCTCCTCTTAGTACCTTTGGTAGAATTTGGCTGTGAATCCATCTTGTCCTGGACTTTTTTTGGTTGGTAGGCTACTAATTATTGCCTCAATTTCAGAGTCTATTATTGGTCTATTCGGAGATTCAACTTCTTCCTGGTTTAGTCTTGGGAGGGTCTATGTGTCCAGGAATATATCCATTTCTTGTAGATTTTCTAGTTTATTTGCGTAGAGGTGTTTATAGTATTCTCTGATGGTAGTTTGTATTTCTGTGGGATTGGTGGTGATATCCCCTTTGTCATTTTTTATTGTGTCTATTTGATTCTTCTCTCTTTTCTTCTTTATTAGTCTTGCTAGTGGTCTATCAATTTTGTTGATCTTTTCAAAAAACCAGCTCCTGGATTCATTGATTTTTTGAAGGGTTTTTTTGTGTCTCTATCTCTTTCAGTCCTGCTCTGATCTTAGTTATTTCTTGCCTTCTGCTAGCTTTTGAATTTGTTTGTTCTTGCTTCTCTAGTTATTTCAATTGTGATGTTAGGGTGTCAATTTTAGATCTTTCCTGCTTTCTTTTGTGGGCATTTAGTGCTATAAATTTCCCTCTATATACTGCTTTAAATGTGTCCTAGAGATTCTGGTACGTTGTGTCTTTGTTCTTATTGGTGTCAAAGAACATCTTTATTTCTGCCTTCATTTCGTTATTTACCCTGTAATCATTCAGGAGCAAGTTGTTCAGTTTCCATGTAGTTGTGCACTTTTGAGTGAGTTTCCTAATCCTAAGTTCTAATTTGATTGCACTGTGGTCTGAGAGACAGTTTGTTGTGATTTCTGTTCTTTTACATTTGCTGAGGAGTGCTTTACTTCCAATTATGTGGTCAGTTTTAGAATAAGTGTGATGTGGTGCTGAGAAGAATGTATATTCTGTTGATTTGGGGTGGAGAGTTCTGCAGATGTTTATTAGGTCTGCTTGGTGCAGAGCTGAGTTGAAGTCCTGGATATCCTTGTAAACCTTCTATCTCGTTGATCTGTCTAATATTGACAGTGGGGTGTTAAAGTGTCCCATTATTATTGTGTGGGAGTCCAAGTCTCTTTGTAGGTCTCTAAGGACTTGCTTTATGAATCTGGGTGCTCCTGTATTGGGTGCATATATATTTAGGATAGTTAGCTCTTCTTGTTGAATTGATCCCTTTACCATTATGTAATGGCCTTCTTTGTCTCTTTTAATCTTTGTTGGTTTAAAATCTGTTTTATCAGAGATTAGGCTTGCAACCCTGCTTTTTTTTTGCTTCCCATTTGCTTGGCAGATCTTCCTCCATCTCTTTATTTTGAGCTTATGTGCATCTTTGCATGTGAGAGGCATCTCCTGAATACAGCACACTGATGGGTCTTGACTCTTTATCCAATCTGCCAGTCTGTGTCCTTTAATTGGGGCATTTAGCCCATTTACATTTAAGGTTAATATTGTTGTGTGTGAATTTGATCCTGTCATTGTGATATTAGTTGGTTATTTTGCCCGTTAATTGATGCAGTTTCTTCATAGCATCGATGGTCTTTACAATTTGGCATGTTTTTGCAGTGGCTCGTACCGGTTGTTTCTTTCCATGTTTAGTGCTTCCTTCAGGAGCTCTTCTAAGGCAGGCCTAGTGGTGACAAAATCTCAGCATTTGCTTGTCTGTAAAGGATTTTATTTCTCCTTCACTTATGAAGCTTAGTTTGGCTGGATATGACATTCTGGGTTGAAAATTCTTTTCTTTAAGAATGTTGAATATTGGCCCCCACTCTCTTCTGGCTTGTAGGGTTTCTGCCAGGAGATCCACTGTTAGTCTGATGGACTTCCCTTTGTGGGTAACTCAACCTTTCTCTCTGGCTGCCCTTAACATTTTTTCCTTCATTTCAACCTTGGTGAATCTGACAATTATGTTTCTTGGGGTTGCTTTTCCTGAGGAGTATCTCTGTGGAATTAAAATAAATGGAATTAAATTATAATATTTTAAAATATTTTCCACAAGCCAACTTCCCAGCCTAAATTGCTTCATATTTAAGATGATATAAAATTATAAGAAGTTTTCCTATAATTTTTTAATATTCAATATATTTTTTTCTGTATTTCCTATAATGCCAAAACATGACAAGGACATTCATTGTAAGAAAGGAAAATTACTGACATATCTTTGTTATTAACACACAAAGTAAATTTTAGGATATCCTAAATGTGAGGGTTGCAACAGGGAGGAAGCAGAAGCTGCCAGTCCTCTTAGAAGTCAGGCTCAGAACTGGCACAGTGTCACTTCAGTCTTGTTGCATTGGTTAAAGCAGTCACAGAGTCAGCTAGGATGCAAGGGGAGCAGAAATAAACCCCACCTTTCAATGGGGGGAGTGACAGGGAATTTGCAGGCACCCACAATTCATCACATCTTCCCACCTCTTTCAAATTTATGCTTGTCCAAAACCAGCTCTATCACCAAAGTTCATTTCAAATCCTCTCTCTTGTATGAATTATTAACCCCTAAACTGAAAATAGCTCTTCCATTTTCCCCTGTGAACTCTCATTTTTATCTCTACCTTTCTTGGGGCACTTTTAACTTTCAATCTTGAATTATTTATGTAAGTCTTATCTCCTCTACATTTTAAATAACATTTATTTCTAGTTACTGAAATAAGAAATTCATATTATAGAAAATTGTCAAGATTCATTTCTGAATAATACCTCTCTCAAACTGCCTTGCAAATATGAGATGCTTGATAAACATTTAATAAGTGAAGATTGTAATAAAATCCAAACTTTCTAATAGGTCAATACTAGATATTTCTGAGATTGTTTGGCTTGTGACTTTCTTCTGTATACTAATCATATATATTTAAATACAGATAGGCAAAAATGAAACTAAATAATAGTTGTGTGTATTTTACCAGACTCACATTGGGGAGAAAAAAAGAAAAGAAAAAGAAAATAGTATAATGGCGAACACTACCGAATTCTTAACTATGTGTCAGGCACAATTCTAAAAACTTCATCCTCCTAACATCCTGCAAGGTTTTGAAGAAAAGGAAAAAATTACCAAGGAATGCAAAACAAAGGAAACAAAAGAGGCAAAAAAAAATTATCCTATAGACCTGAAGAGCTCCAAAACATCTGAAATTCTGACATAAGTTGGCTACATGGTGAGGGAAGCCAGCTTCTAAGAACATACACAGGAAAGAACTTTGGAATAAAGGGCACTTTTCCTCTGACTTAATCTATTCATTTCATATTTAATGGAGTACTATTTTATGAATTCTTATTTTTGAAAATAAATACATCAATTTTCTGGCGAATGGAACTTTAAGTTCTTTAAATTACCTTCATTTTTAATATAATATTAACATCTTTAACTGCCAGGAAAAGAAAAGCCTAATAATGACTTAGTTTTTAAAAATTGTGCTGTACCTAGAGATCCACAACTACAATGAGACAAAATTAAACAAATTTCTGATACTTTTATTTAACAACCAAAAAGTATTGCATGTTCAGTACTATGCTTTATAATGGTGGAAAAACAAAAAAGGAGGGTAATATGGTACCAGACATCAGAGAATTATGCGATCTATTTGAAAAGATAAAATTAAATATTTAGGAAATTAACAGGAAAGCTTTAGTTTAAAACACAAGATAGAGGTCAGGAAAGGGAGGAATCACTTCGGAATATAACAGCAAAATAAACTTTTGTTGGAAGTGTTGGGAATTGAGGTGGGCCTTCAGAGAAGGGCAGAATTTAGAAAGGTTAGCAAAGAATATTCCAGATTTGAGAAGGTGAAAATAAGTAACTGCACAAGCAAGGGCATAGAGACAAGAATGATTGTAATATTTTAACCCAATAGCAGGGAAGAGACGACTCATCTTGAGCAGGGTTATGTATTTGAGATTACTGGAAAATAGAATCTAATGGGTAAGGTAGATTATGACAAGCTCTGAATGGATGCTGGTCCGCGTGGTTCAGGCTTGGTACAATAAAAACAACCTGAGGCCATTTTCATCCCTGTCTGCGAGAGTATTTAATGTACTAACGGAACCTTTACTGAGTTTTAACATAGGAAAGTTCCTCCCAAAGCGTAGTTGGAATGAAATCTTCCTACTTGTTTTCCATAAAATCAGTATGATTTTCCATAAAGAGATTATTATTTTTGACATGAAGCAAAGGTCAGATTTTGGGTGTGTATTTGTGTCCATGAACATTATGATGTATGTAGGTGTTTTAATTTCCAAAGTCAGGGTCAGGAGGCAGATTAGGGCTACAGTGTCATGACAACCAATCAAGTTGTTTGTTTCAGTCCAAAAAGTAGTCAATTCACTGGAAAATGCTCAATCAACTAAGTGTAAATTAAAATAGTTATGAATTGTTTGTAAAAAGCAACCACAGTTTGTTTTAAAAAGGTATGAATAATTTTGCATATGCATAATTTTCCCTAAAGATATTATTCTTTAAATATGAAGCAAAGGTCAGAATTTGAGTGTTTATATGCAGGTGTATTTGTGTTTTAATTTCCTAAGTGGGGGTTAGGAGGCAGATTAGGACTGCAAGGGGCCAAGGCAACCAATCAAGTTGTCATTTTGGTCTTTGTCCTTGTCTACAAAGTAGACAGTTCACTGGAAAAAGTTCAAGCAATTAAGTTTAAAATAAAATATTTACCAATTCATTATGAAAAGTCACCTTAAGTTTATCTAATGAAAGGTATTAATATATATATTATTTTACCACATCTAACAGCTTGTCACTGTATTATATAAATAAATTTGATTAAACTGAGGGGACATATTTCTCACAAAAAGGTGTTCATTTCTACCCAATACGTACATCTTCTAGGTGCTTAGAAATTGATTTCCAATTCATAATAAAAAGTCCAGTAAAATTGTCAAATGAAAAGCTTTCATCAATTACTTTTCATTTTATAAACATGCTTTGAAAACACCTTGTTAATTTTACAGAAAGTCATTAGGTTGCATAAATCACTTTTTGGGTATATTTACTAATGGAATAAAATAATTCCAATATATCATTTGCTTCTGAATGCCTCAGAGTTTCAGGAAGGTATTAATAAGGCCCCGCTTCCTGTATCTTAAACCAAACATTTAGTTTGATCATTGCTTTCTTGAGTCTTAGAAAAACAAATTATGAAAGTTATAATGGACTTCTTGGAACGGTAATGACATAAGGGCATGGTTACAAAACTGCTTTGTTTGATTTCCAACTTAAACTAAGAAAAGTTAGGCCTACTTTATAAACTCCAAAGAGCAATTATTAGGTGCAATATTATTTAGACAATATTGAGAGTACACACTGAGTTGCTGGTTTAACTTAACCTCTCCAGTTAATGAACACAATATAGTTACAGGTTACACATGATTAAAAAAAAAAATCTAGATTCTCACCCCCACACCCTCCACACACACACATTTTTTTGGTTAGCTTTGAAAAACACAGAAAATACTCAGCATAGGGTATACACTTGCACTGCTGATGAGCAAGATGGGAAATGACTTTTCAAAACAGCATCTTGTTATGTTTGACCTGTTCTCTTAATTAAGAGTGGTGTCATCGGGCCGGCGCAGTGGCTCATGCCTGTAATCCCACCACTTTGGGAGGCCGAGAGGTGGATCACCCGAGGTCAGGAGTTCAAGACCAACCTGGCCAACATGGTGAAACCCCGTCTCTAACAGAAATACAAAAAATTAGCTGGGTGTGGTGACAGGCACCTGTAATCCCAGCTACTCTGGAGGCTGAGGTAGGAGAATCACTTGAACTCAGGAGTCAGAGGTTTCAGTGAGCTGAGATCACACCACTGCACTCCAGCCTGGGCAGCAGAGTGAGACTCCATCTCAAAAAAAAAAAAAAAAAAAGGCAAAAAAGAAAATAAAATCACACAAAAACTGTGAGGGAATGGACATAGAAACAAGGATTGCCAGAGAGCCAAGAAAGATTCAACATGCATAGGACTGCCGTCTCTGAAGGAAACAGTAGAACGAATGGAATAAAAAATCATTCAAAGACATCATTGAAATAACATTTGGGCAAGGAAGAAACGCAGGATCTGAAGAACAAAAGGAACCACTGTTCTAAAAGAAAAAGATGAAGAATGACACACTCTGAGATGTGGTCTTACAAAGTTATTGAACTTCAATTTTTTTTAAGTATGCAAGCAATAAAAATGCATCACCAACAAAGGAAGAGGTAAAAAATAAAAAATAAAAATAAAAAAAAACACTGACTTACAAATTTTAGCAGCTTTACATGCAAAAAAAACTGTGGAACATTGTCAACAGGATTTTGGAAGAAAAGAGATTTGAATTACATACTCAGTCAAACTGGCATTTAAATGTCCAGATGATAGGAAATGATCTCAAATGTACAAAGTCTGAGGAAGTATATCTCCCACATATCCAGGTAATGTTTTTAAAAAATCTACTTGTCACAATCTAGCCAATATACAGATTAATCCAAATAAAAACGACAGGAATGGGAAAGTCCCAGGATGAGAAATGGTAGAGGATTATTAAATTCAGTTGAACATAAAATTAAGGCCAAACAACTAATTGGTGTAAAACGGTATAATGTTTCTAATTCTTGAAAGAAACACTACATCATGTGGTGGGGGGGCAGGTAATGAGGACAAAACCTTCAGAGAATACCACAGTATCTATCAGGATTCTGGGCATGAAACAACATCTTCAAAAAGACTTAAAGAACAGTCTATATAGCGGTGAACCTCCATGGGCTGGTAAGCACCCGTGTACAAACAGTAGTAGGAAAGTATAATATTTTTGTTAGATTGTATTGCTGGTCACCCACCTCTGCTTTTTCTTCTTTTCTTTTCATTCTTTTTTTTTTTTTTTTTTTTTTTTTGCGACAGAGTCTCACTCCGTCGCCCAGGCTGGAGTGCGGTGGCGCGATCTCGGTTAACTGCAAACTCCGCCTCCCGGGTTCACGCCATTCTCCCGCCTCAGCCTCCTGAGTAGCTGGGACTACACGCGCCCGCCACCACGCCCGGCTAATTTTTTGTATTTTTAGTAGAGACGGGGTTTCACCGTGTTAGCCAGGATGGTCTCGATCTCCTGACCTCATGATCCACCCGTCTCAGCCTCCCAAAGTGCTGGGATTACAGGCGTGAGGCACTGTGCCCGGCCCCACCTCTGCTTTTTCTAGAGGAGTCTTATACTTCCCTGCCCCACTTAAAGTTAAACTTGCCCATTTACCTGAATAAAATGTGAGCTGAAATGTCATGAAACAGATGGGAAGAAGCTTCTGAAGCCCGTTTGTGCTTCTCCATCACGTAATCCCCAGCTAGACATCAGGAAGAAGCACCACAACCAACCCGTGGTGGATATGTACCACGAACAATAGTTGTAAGTCATTGATATTTGGGAGTAATTTTATAGCAGCAAATCTAACCTTTCCTCACTAGTATACTACTCCTAAGCCTGAAGAGGAAAGGGAAGGGCAAAGTATTAGTAGAGTCTAGTAAGGGATGGAATCATGGAAGAGGAGCCACAAAAGAGGAACTGAAGTCACAGAGTACAGCACAGGCCACAGCCATGATGAAGCAGTGGGACGTGGGGCAATAAAACCCTGACTTCTCTTTCCTCCCACCATTTTACTTCCTGCTTGTGGCTCCCTTTCACCAAATCCGGCTGGAAGCAGAAGACTGAGGAGTGATGCATTCCATAGAATTCAGTGTCACAAGCCAGGTTTCCCATTATCAAATGCTACGACAGATTTTGGGTGCAAAATCTTTATTAGGAATCAACACCTGTGAAGAGAAGGGGGAAGAAGCAGGATTGGACAGAGAAAGATGTTGAACGTAATTATGCAGACAATGAACTACAGAACCTCAGCCAGTCCACTGGGGAGCTCTGACGTAAGGATTATCTATAAAAATCTTCCACAGAAGGCCAAAATGCTCAGCCATGTGCCCATCATGACAGCCCTGAAAAAGGCTGATGGCCAAAGATATTTGTTGTCAATTGGATGAGTCTCTTTGTCTACTTGTTTGTTTAGTTCTTCTGTGGTGAATGGTCTCTGGTGGGCGTTAACATGTGACACATACATACACACAAACTATATCTATATTTCCTCTTTTTACCTACAGAGAAAACATTATTTTTAAGCAGCCATCACAAATTTTTAAATGTAATATTTTGTCCACAAAATAAACCTCAATAAATTCCTATATTAGAAATAGTACATAATAAACTGTCTGACAATGATGCATTAAAGTTAGGAATGCAAACCATATATATAAAGAAACAATACAACAGCTGTTGCAAATTTTTTAATTTACTGGAACAACTCTTTAGCCAAAAAGTAAATCTAAATGAAAATTTCTAGAAAAATAATAATCTACAAATTAATTGCCAAACCTATGACACATAACCAGAGCTGTACTCAGGTCCTTAAAATTGTTTTAATGTGAAACAATAAAAAAAGAATAAAGCATTTACTCAAGAGTTTATTTAAAAAATTAACAGCAAAGAAATCAGAAGAAAGTCATTAACGATCACAGTAGAAATAAATGAATTTTTTAAATAAATGAATATTTTAAAGAAAAGTGGTAGAACTCATAAATTCAAGAATTGCTTCTTCTAAAAAAAAAACTGGTAAAATACTAGCTAGCCTAAATTTTAAAAAGAAAATTAAAGGATAAGCACCAATACAAAAAAATACGTAAATTAGAAAGCAGCAATGGCCATAGATCACCGCAGAGAAATGTGGTTGAAGGAGAAGTAAAAATTATCAAAATAGACACTAGATTATATTGAAAGCCTAAATCAACCAATACCTATGGAAGAAAAACTGAAAACAAAGAAGTCTTCAGAGGGGAATTTTTAAAGCTTCAAATAATTGATAATTGACCCGTATTTAACAAGGCTAGATAAAGTAGAAAAGCTGTTCACATTTTTTATAAATGAAAAATAATGATTCAAATCCTGTCAAAAGTACGCTAAAAGGGAAAATTACAATCAATTCACTTCTGAATATTGGTACAAATGACCTAAATAAAATGTTGGCAAGTAGAATTCAGCAACACTTTAAAAGAATAACACGTCATGATCAAGTGGAGTTATTGCAGGACAGCAAGGATGGCTCATTGACATAAGTCACCACTTAGTAGACAAGAAGAAAAAACTGTTACAATTTTGATATCTTCTTGATAAACACTAAAAAAGACTTGATACAATTTAATATTCTCACACATTACTGATAGGGGCTTTTACTAAAATACGAATATAAGAATATTTAACATTTTTATAGTATACATTCCCCAAATCAAAAGCAAAAATATGAAATACTAGAAGCATTCCCATTAAAAATGATGCTAAGACAAGGTCCTACATTATTTAACATTTACGTGACTGGCTTTTGCTAGTCAATGTAATAAGAGAATGAAACAGGCAGTGTATTAGTGTGCTCAGATTGCCATAGCCAAGCACCACAGGCTAGATGATGGAAACAATAGAAATTTGTTTCCTCACAGTTCTGGAGTCTGGAAGCCCAAGACCAGGGGCCAGCATGCTTAGCTTTTGGTAAGGGGTCTCTTTTAGGTTTGCAGATGGCCACCTTCTCACTGGGTCCTCACAGGGCATAGAGGAAGAGCTAGCTCTCTAGTGTCTCTTTTAATAAGGACACTAATTCTATCAGATCCAGGACCCCACCCTTAGGACTCATTTACTCTTGATTACTTCCTTACACTAAATGCAGTAACATTGGAGGTTAAGGCTTCAACATATAAATTGAGGCTGGAGGGAACACAACCGATCATGGCAAAAAGTATTAATACTGGAAAGAAGGTAAAATTATGATGACTTTTAAACTGTATAACTATCTGAAAAAGCCCAGAGAATCGGTTGAAAATTCTGTGCAAAAAAGTAGCATTCAGTATGCTGGCTTTAAAAACCAAAACACAAAAGTCAGTAGCATTTTTATGTTTAAGCAATATAATTAGAAAATATAGCAGAATAAAAAGTCCATTCACGAAAGTAAGAAAAGTTTTAGATAGCTATGAAAATCCCAAAAGAATGACCCAAATGATCAAACTATATACTTTCCTGAAAAAAATAAAGGAAGACTTTAACAAAAGAAGCATACTTTCTTCATTGATAGAAATACTCAATATTGTACAAATTCAAGCCCTTTCTTAATGTTTAAATCCAATGTGATGCCAATCAAAACCCTAACAAAATTTGTGACTGGAGTATCTCCATTCAGGATATGTAGACTGAGAATAGAGAATATTGCAAAATTATTCTTTCATCTGGAGAAATAAACATGATGTAATAAAGAAAAACTGACTATACCATATACAATGATACAGGATATGGAAAAGACCAACAGATCATTGTAGCACAATAAAGAGTTTAGAAATAGCTGTGAGCCTTTTCTTTATCTTAATATCTGATAAACATGGCATTCAAATTAATGATTGAAATATGGAAAATGGGAAAACACTCCCATATCTAAAACTTAGATACCAGAAGTAGATTTTATATGAGTGAACATTCATAATTTGTTTATAGTTTTAGATGGGAAGGCCTTTGAAAATGTCTCATCAGCCACAAAGGAAAAGATGGATAATTGTAAAACATCAAAATTATATTTTTAATTGAATCAGGCACCAAAAACAAGCTTGAACTTTTTTAAAAAAGAAATATTATTTGTAACACATGTTAAAGGGTTAATATCTTCAGCATCTCATACATCAATAAGAGAAAGGAAAACACCACAACAGTAGGGGGGAGGGATAGCATTAGGAGATATACCTAATGTAAATGACGAGTTAACAGGTGCAGCACACCAACATGGCACATGTATACATATGTAACAAACCTGCATGTTGTGCACATATACCCTAGAACTTAAAGTATAATAAAACAGGTTCATCTTACCGAATATCTTTTTCTTATATTAGTGGACATTTTCTTTCTTCTTTTAGGAAATGCCTGTTGATGTTGTTTATTTTACTGTTGTAGTGTTTTCCTTTCTCTTATTGGCGATCATTAAAAAGTCAGGAAACAACAGGTGCTGGAGAGGATGTGGAGAAATAGGAACGCTTTTACACTGTTGGTGGGACTGTAAACTAGTTCAACCATTGTGGAAGACAGTGTGGCAATTCCTCAAGGATCTAGAACCAGAAATACCATTTTACCCAGCCATCCCATTACTGGGTACATACCCAAAGGATTATAAATCATGCTGCTATAAAGACACATGCACACATACGTTTACTGCAGCACTATTCACAGTAGCAAAAACTTGGAACCAACCCAAATGTCCATCAATGATAGACTGGATTAAGAAAATGTGGCGCATATACACCAAGGAATACTATGCAGCCATAAAAAAGGATGAGTTCATTTCCTTTTCAGGTACATGGATGAAGCTAGAAACCATCATTCTGAGCAAACTATCAGAAGGACAGAAAACCAAACACCACATGTTCTCACTCATAGGTGGGAACTGAACAATGAGAACACTTGGACATAGGGTGGGGAACATCACACAATGGGGCCTGTTGTGGGGTAGGGGGAGGGGGGAGGGATAGCATTAGGAGATATACCTAATGTAAATGATGAGTTAATGGGTGCAGCACACCAACATGGCACATGTATACATATGTAACAAACCTGCACATTGTGAACATGTACCTTAGAACTTAAAGTATAATAAAAAATAAAATAAATAAAAAATAAAAATATACTTCTGCATGTATTGACATGGGTAGATATCTACAATGTCGAGTGGATGAAGTGAGTCATGAAACACTATGGATAATGTGGTTAGTTTTTATAAAAATAAACACTTATACCAAGAAAAAAAAAGAAAGAAAAAGATATTCAGTCTTGCTAATGACAAAAGGGATACAAACAAGATAATATGACACTGTTCCTCCTTTATCAGATCAGCAACTTTGTATGTGATCCCTGTGTGAGAGAAACTCTCATACTGTTTGTGGAATCTTAAATTGGGATTCCACTACAGTGCGATTTTTTAAAATCTATCAAAATTTTAGGCAGGCATACCCCTTGACATAGCAATTTTAATTTCAAAGATTTGTTCCAAGAAGTTAATTCAATATGTGTAACAATATGTCCATGAAGATTTCTGCTCTAGTGTTATTTATTACAATCACGAAAATTTGGAAAATAGTGTTTCTCAATAAGAAATCGATTAAGTACACATTTGTACATACATCCAATATAAGGCTACGTACCAATTAAAAATTATAAACTTGTGCATATTCACAGGATATTGACATAACAAAATTACAAAATACCTGTATCATACTATCTTATTTATTAAAATAAATACATATATAATATTAAGTGTCACAATATAAAAATGTGGGCTATATTTTTACTTGATTACAGAGCAAACTATCTGGAAAAAATATTTATCTAATTATTTACAATGGGACGTGGAGTGATTTTTAGTTTTTTTTTAAATATTTTTACTACTTGTATTGCTTGAACTCTTTTACAATGATTCTGTTTATTTTTATGAATAAAAAGCAATAAAATCCCTTTATCTGGTGGGGAAAATATTGTAAGAGGGGTTACTTTGTGCGTTCATAATAGTTAGAAAATATTATTATTCATGGAATCATATATGATGGCCCAGAACTGGATGACCTCCTTTTTACTCCTACAGCCTTCATTTATGGCACTTGTATAAATTATAATAAGGCCAGGCACAGTGGCTCACTCCTGTAATCCCAGCACTTTGGGAGGCGAGCGGGGGTGGATCACCTGAGGTCAGGAGTTCGAGACCAGCCTGGCCAATATGGCAAAACCCCGTCTCTACAGAAAAAAAAAAAAAAAAAAGTACCAAGTATGGTGGCACACACCTGTAATTCCAGCTCTAGGGAGACTGAGGCACAAGAATTGCTTGAGCCTGAGAGGCATACGTTGCAGTGAGCCAAGACTGTGCCACTGCACTCCAGCCTGGGCAACACAGTGAGACCCTGCCACATACACAAAAAAAATGTTATAATAATAAGAGATAAAATGTGATCTTAGAGCTATCACCTTCTATTAGATTATAAACTTCTTGAAGGCAGGATTATTTCTTATATTTTAGACTCCCATAGATCTTAACACAGGGAAGTACTCAGTAAATATTTATTGAATTGAACCAATTATACTTCTACAACCAACAAAAAAAAATCATAATCTCTATACCTACACTAATAAAACTGGAATTTTCAATTATCTTAAAATTTCAAATTTATCTAGTTACAAAGAGAAAGATGTATAAATTGTTCATTTCATAAATCTCAAGAATAGTTTTACATTAATAAGATTTTCACTGATAGAATATTGAAGAAAGATTTGAATTGTTTTAAGTTAATTAAAATGCATCTGAAAGAGCTCTAGAGTTCAAAGAATGTATAATCAAACCCCTTATACACAGAATTTCTCTCCTGTAAAAGAAGAAAAAACTAGAAATGTCTGTTTTCATCCATAACTCTCTTCAAATAGCAGAAACTTGGTTAAGAAAAAAGCAAAGATTTTTGCATGTTTCTGGGATAAAAGAAAAGCAGAAATATTTTCCTGATAATTGTCATTCTATTCCTTTTCTGTATTTTCTGTAGCGTGTATTTACATTGATTGGGAACATTTTATAATTTTGCAAATTATCGGCATGACTCAATAAAAAATAAACCAAAATAATTTTGAACACCTAACTGGTAATATTTTTAAATGTTCCTTGAGCTGGAACAATTAGATGTTTGAATTACTTACTCTGAATGCTAATGTATGAATACTTTTCTCCTGTTCCACATTCATCCCTCTATATATAAACTATTTAAGTCACAGTATAATTATGGAATATGTTAGTAGAAGGAAGGCAAAGTGTTTTATCAATGCCTGTAAGCATCATTTACATTAGCATCTGTTACAGAATTGGTTTTAAATTTTATTTCTAGACGCTTAAAACCTGTGGGTTACACACATCAGTATTTTTAGATATAATTTCAAAGGACTAAACCCATTTTTGAACCTTTGTTTCAACATGCTTTTGAAAGCATACAAAGACATGGGTGTTTTATCTTTCTGATTTTTTGTATCTTTCTTTCTGATTTCTTTAGCTTCTTTTAGATCTGTAAGTCTTCTTGTGCATTGTTGGTTTTTCTATTTTTTTGTTTGTTTTCCCTTAAATATATAAAGTTAGTTCTTACCTATGTTTATGTACAAGGCCTTTAACACTTGACATGTCAGTTCTGCGACATTTGGTAATAAAATACCTTTCCTGAAGTATGGAATTGTGGAGACAGAGCTGCCAGCATTACAGTTGGCCTGTCAGTCTTTGCAAAGCAGCACCAAATATCACCCAGCCCCTGCAGATCTCTGGGCAAAAACATATCAGTCCTCATAAGTGAATTCAATAGAATTCTTCTTGACAACTACAAAGAAATAATAATTTGTATTATCTCTTCACATTTATATCTTCCTTAAAAGTGAAAAATGTATTGAACCCTTGAGATTAAGAGGAATTACTAGTTTTTAAAATACACATATATAAGCAATTTGTTTCAATTAATATTAAATAGATCCCAAAGGATTACTTCAGAATTTGAATTTTCAGAAATTTTGACCAAGCTAAGCTTCTGCCAGCACAACCAGAAGGAGACTAGCGAGATGGAGCTTATCCATCCACGAGCCACCTTTGAGTCAACACAACTGGCAGCAGTGTAGGGGACTACTATAGCCAGAGCCAAGATTCCTAAGCCTTTCCTTCTTCCTCCTTTCTTCATCCCATTTCTATTCTCCTTCTTGAAGTCATGGCTGGGGCACTGGAGAGAGGGGAATGCCAGCGCATGTCTACAGTCAAGATTTTCATAGCACAGCTTTGAAATATGGTTACATGTGGGGGGAACTGGGCAAAAAAGTAAATATATCAAAAAAGTGAGCTTTGTGACTGTAGAAGGGAGTTATATTTGTGGTAAGGGGGAAGACTAGAATAAACCATGTGGTGTTACACATATCAGTGTGAACTAAGGGTTTTAAGACAAATAGATAAGTATAAGACATAATATAATATTTTTTCTAACTTTGACTTCTAAGAGGGCCAGAACAATACCTCATTAACAATGAGCAAACTTAAGGATTATGATTCACTTTGAGATTCTGATTACTATAATCTATGATTGTACATGATGGACTATTTCATTTTCTAGTAATTGTTGTTGTGCTTTCATTGAATTATAAACCCAGTTTAAGACATTTCTACAATGAAGACAGACAAATAGCCAACAGGTATATGGGAAAAAAAAATGTTCAATGTCACCAATCATCAGGGAAATGCAAATTAAAACCACAATGAGATAAACACCTCACACTCGTCAGGATGGCTATTATCAAAAACAAACAAAAGACAAGGTGAAGATGTGGAGAAATTGGTACCCTTGTACACTGTTGGTGGGAATGCAAAATTTCCAGCCACTGTGGAAAACAGTATGGAGGTTCCTCAGAAATTAAAAATATAACTGCCATATATGATCCAGCAATCCCACTTCTTAGTATTTATCAAAAAGAATTTAAATCAAGATCCCAAAGAGATTTTAGCACTCCTGTGTTCACCACAGCACTATTCCCAATAGCCAAGATGTGGAAAACCCTAAATGCCCATCAACAGATAATGGATTTTAGAATGTGGTGTATACATACAATGGAATATTACTCAGCCTTTAAAAAGAAGGCAATTGTGCAATATGGACAGCATGGATAAACCTTGAGGACATCGTGCTAAGTGAAATAAGTCAGTTACAGAAAGGCAAATTCTGTATGATTTCACTTATATCAGTTATCTAAAATAGAGGCCAGCGGGGAGAGGAAAATGGGGAGTTACTGATCAATGGACATAGGGTTTCAGTCAAGTAAAATGAATAAGCTCTAGAGATCTCCTGCGCAACATTGTACCTACAGTCAATAATGATGTATTGTAGACTTAAAAATTTGTTAAGATGATAGATCTCATGTTGCGTTCTCACCACTAAAAGTAAAATATGCCACCCAAAACAAAACAATGAGCACTCTTAGCACCCAGCTCTTGGTTTCTAAATACCATTGTCCAATAAAAAAAAAAAAACTAGAGCTTCTTAAGAAATGCCTGACTTTGGGTTTGGGAAAGGAAAAAATTAGATGGGGCTGGAATATGTTATCATGACAAAAAGTAAAGAAGAATGATGGGATCTTGCCCAAAAGACACAGATCCAGCTTGAAGGGACTCCTCCTAGCCAATGTGAACATCCAAGTAAATTATGATAGGAACAAATTGTAACTATTTGAGCAAAATACATATCCATAAAGCACTACAGTTATGAATAGGTAAATGAAAAAAATAGACATATGAAGAGGAAGGAAAATACATCAGTAGAATGACAACTAATAAATCCACAAGAAACAATAGAGTTTGAATATTGTCATTTAGTAACCATCCCAATAATTGATTTAGGAATGAATGATCAAAGAGTGCTGAACTTGGTAGGTGTAAGTTTGGTAAGGAATCAAATATTTAAAGCGTGCCAATGTATCTTCCCATAAAATTATTATTAACTGTTTATTAAGTAATAAATATAATGTACTGAATAATTAATTTCACAGTTGAGAAACTTGGCAGATATCATTTGATCTAAGTAATAAACATTCATAATACAAGTAATAGTGCAAATTATTATTGTTTCCTCCTCATATACTGCATTAAGAAAAACAACATGAATTCTGTGATATTACTGTCAAAAATGCATAAATCATTAAGAAACGTCAGACAGCCCCAAAGAGGGAGATTCTAAAAGGTAACTGTTGTAGGCTCTTTAAAAATGTCAAGGTCAAGAAAAATAAGGAAAGGCTGAGGAACTCTTGTAAATCGAAAGAGACTAAAGGAATATTTAAATAAAACATATGCTCCTAAATTGGATATTGGACTTATAAATAACATTCTTGGGATAATTGGCAAATTTTATTGGAGTAGAGGGATCGATCATATGGCAATACTAGATCAAAGTTAATTTTAATAGCTGTTTTCTGGTTATGTAGGAGAGTGTCATTGTACTTAAGAAATGCACATTGAAGTATGACAAGGGATGCAGCATTAGTCTGCAATTTATTTTCAATAGTTATATGGGAGCACTATGTATTATTTCTCTAACTATATGTAAATTTGAAGTTATTTCCAAAAAAAAGTAAAACAAACAGAATTCCCGAGGTCATGAGAATTCTAGGAATGGTCATCTGAGCTATCAGGAGAAGCTGCTTCCACACATACTGGCTCTTGTTTTCGTTGGGTTTTGTTACATAATCCTCTGAGGAGGCATGGTTCTTTCAGTCCTTCACCTGAAGATGAAACCCACATAAAATCCAGGATCTTCCTTTTATCTCCCTTGCATTGTAGAAGTTTTCAGTATTTACCAAATCTCATATTTCACCTTCTCATTTTTTTTTGTATTAAGATTAATACAGCAGTTGCCCCTCAAAATACTTCTAAGGAGTCAAACTTGGAAATTAAACAGATTTTTGCAGCAAAATTTTGATTAGTGCTTAATGGAGCATTTTGCTTAACTAAATTTGCTTTTGACGTGATATTTTATGAAAAATCTGTTGGCACAATTTTCTGACTGGAAAAACATTAAAAATGGAAGGGAGGGAGGGAGGAAGGGAGGGAGGACAGAGGGAGGAAGGGAAGGAGGGAGGGAGGGAGGGAAGGGGGGGAAAGTTTCTTTTTTAAAGGGAGATCTTTTAGTACCTCAAAGTCATATAAAATCCAGCAGAAATTGCTTCACCCTTAATATAGATGCCAGAAGTTACATTATTTTGAGTGATTGATATCAAGCCATTTGATTACAATTTACCTGTTCTAAAATTTCTAAACAATGAAGAATCTCATAATTAAAATGTTCTGATTAACTAGATTCCAGATTTTAAAGCAAAAGAATTTTGAATATATATGGTTCTATTGTTTGTCAGACTGTATAAAATTTGCCAGTTTTATATAACAATATTTAAAAGTAATTTTATTATGTGAAAGCAGATTACCCAAGTCTTTCTTTAAATCTACTTTTTGAATTCTTTATTGGCATAAAGATCTGTATGAGCTGAAAGAAAAGATATTTAAATTAATACAGTCTGCCTGGATTCCCCAGGGGAGTGATGAACTAGCATTTTAATTACTAACAAATTTAATTATTCAATCCAGGTGTGAACCATCAAAAATTTAGAGAACTCCTTTGCTTTAAGCAAGTACTTTTCATTTCTAGGAAAATATGATGCCATCAATGTCTAATCTAGAATGCAGGTTCAAAAAGCTGTCAGATTTGTAATGTGGTTACATTATTTTGTTTCAATTGTAAATTCCCAGAACATTAAATCTATCAATAGTTGACTGTAAAGACAACAACTACCACCCAAAAGTTAAGCCCTGCTGATATAGCCCACTTTAACTTTTTACCAGTCTTGGAATTACCTAAATCCTTTTGGCAAAACTGAAAAATGAAAAGTTTCCTTACTGGAAATAGATTTGCTATGTAAACAGTTATTAGAACCATATAATCTGTATCTATAACTACTGCTCCTGCGACTTTTCAAATTTAATAAAACTGTCTATTCAGTACAGCTTTCTTGGATTTGCAAGGCTCTGTTAGTCCTCAAAATAATAAGGCAAGGCTCACAAAGACAGATGGCAATTGCCAAGATTACAAGTACTTTTATATTGATTTTAAAAACTCTAGTAAAATATCAAAATATGTTATCTCCTGGAGAACAACTTGAAAATAAACTAGTGAAATTGAAAGTTAGGATGAGAAACGCTTATTAAATCTTAATCTTGGCCAAATCTTGATCTTTATCATTACAGTGAATGTTTTTAGAGCTTTTATTGGGATCAAGTGAACCAGTTTGGAAATGCTTTGATATTTATGTTTGGATTCTGTTTCTACATTTACTAAGATTTATGTAACTATCTACCATCTACTTAGCTAGATGTACCATTGCAAGTAGTATATACCGTGTTTAACTAATACCATTTACATATGCTTTTTATAAATAGTATCACTTATAGGTAATACATGCGTTTATCTGTTGTAATGTCTTTTGGGTTTGATTGCTTAACCAAATGTTCTAAACTATTTCTGTTATTTTAAAGCATTATATAATTTTAACCTATTTATAGTTTATTTCATTCAGAACATGCATCCTGCCATTTTTTGCTGTATTTTGAGATAAGATTTTATGTTAAATACATGCCTCAAAAGAAAGATTAAATTACCTACCTAATTTAGCAAAGAAAAAATATTTACCATATGTGAAGTCTACCTAGCTTGAGTTTTGAAATCCAGAATTTTCTAATCCAGGAGAAGGACTCACTATTTAAGGTGTTTAATCAAGAGCTGGAGAAGGACAGAATGAATTGCTGTGGCTGCAACTTACACCAGAGTCACACTATAGTGCCCTCCTGTGGAGGTTTGGTTAAAACTTCATTTTTGTGCCCATGAGAATGATTTTCAAACTAAGTGACAAAGTCATCACATTCAAAATTGCCAAAGTTCAATATAGTTTTGTCATTTTTTTCCTTTGCAACTAGACATTAAATTACTTTCAAAATATAAGAAACATTCACAGTTCAGAAGATTTGCAGTTCAAAATACAAACCGAGACTTGTCAGCATTTTATCTACATTTCTTATTTTATTTTAGTGGATTTTACCTCAATTTTTACTTAAATAGTTGAATGTTAAAGAGGAGAGAGCATAATCAGTTCCTGAACTAGGAAGATAAATTCTTCAGCTAACATATTTACAGATTTATGTAATAAAAAGAGTTTTCTTGTTAAAAGCATAAAGATTATAATATTGTAGAATCCCAAAAGAAAAAATAACAACAAAAGTTTAGACTATACACTCATTTATATTCATCAAAAAATGTGCAAACAGTGATTCTTTTTCAAACTGTTATACTTCCCCCCGCTTACCCCCAGTTGAAGAGTTAACCTTTTTTTCTGAAGATAAATTAATGCTACTTATTACGTATTTATTTCAAAATAATTTGGTTCATTTGTTTTTTCTCTCTGCCCTAAACCTCTTTTTACACTTAGTTTCAAGGGTATGAAAATGTGAATTTTATCATATGTGGCACGTGCACACTCATATATGCCCTGAGACTTCTTTACACAGTTGTCATTTGTACACCTTTAAAATTAAGTTTCAGTGTATACAAAATTCTCAGATCGATGGATTAGGTATTTCCTTTTGCATTTCCTCTTTTCCTCCCCAGCCCAATGCTCCACCACCCAAGCTTTTCTAATTTGCGACTGCCAGGGATGCCTGTTAACTATTGAAAACCTGAAGCCCACCTTCACTCTTCAATGGGATATTAAACAAGTGTTAAGAATCATAGAACCTAATTAAGACTTTATTCAAGAAGTAGGAAGGGGGAAAAAAAAAACACTAAAAAGACTTAAGAGAAAAACCAGGAAGTTTTACGCAGCATTTTATGTCAACAAGAAACACAATGGATTTTTATCTCTTCACATAAATCTTTTTAAATCTGTCTCCTGAAAATGGGAAGGAGAAAACATTGGTTTTTCAAAGTTTAAATGTCTGTAATTACAGACCATTAGCTAACTGGCAACGTTCATAACTAAAGAAGTAAGTGGAGCGCTCTCTGTAGGAATGGCCATTATCAAAGAGATTGTGAGTGAGCTCATCCAAACTAGAAGTGTTAGATAAAATTTTAAAACAAGAACAAAAATAGGATGAGAAAATGCAGAACAGGGTGGAAGATGGTGTTCATTTCCTTTAGTAAAAAATGGCTTAATTTGTGAGACCAGATTAGATAAGAAACATAACTGAGAAATTCAACCTAACCTAAAAGTAACCTTAAAATGTTAAATAAAATTTGCTTAGTACTGCGCATTCTTGTTGTCCTGTGTTCAAAAGAGAATTTAGAAGAATGAGATTTTTCCAAGGCCAGGAATACATAAAGTTCCATTAATGAGCGAAGGTGATATCTAAGATGCCTCTTTAGAATAGTCTCAAGAGAATAAAATTGGGAGCCAGCTAGAAAATTTCCCTCAAAACAATCCAGGATGAACCCCCAAAAGCCATTTATAAAGTAAGTAAGCATCACAGGGCTCAAAGTCAAAAGAGAATGTGTGGGGCTCAGAACACATCCTCTCCAGAAATCTAATTTAGTATCATCAAGAACTTGGTTTGCTCTCTTCCTAGACTCCACACAAGTCTGAGAGCAGTTTTCTATCAATAAAATCAGATAAAGTCATTGAGGTGAAATCAACTAAGAAGAGGTAGCTATAACCCTTAAATCTTTAGTCCTAGTTTCCCACCCTGGAGCAACCAAAGTTAGACGGAGAGCTACAGTCTGGTACCAATATAGCTTATTCCCCCACCAACCCCTCTGGAGCTTCTGTTGTCCTATGGAGGTCTTGCTGAAAAAGACGAGGGCCTTGCCTTCAAAGAGTTCACCTTATAGATGTGAATGTTAGCTTTTATCTATCACCTAAGTTTATTTTAGAAATGTTTTTGTTTTAATCCTAAATTACATTTCCCTCTGTATTTCTTCTGTCACATGAGCCATGGCAAAAATTGCTCCAAAGGCTTGATGAGAGTTGGAGAAGAGAAGAATATGTAACCAAGTCAGATGAGTGAGGGGAAGAAAGGGAGGTTTGAAGAAGTGCTCACAATTCTCACTCAGTCTTTCCTATAATTCCTTCCCATAGCAGTTCTGAAGTAATGTGGTTCAGAACCCCGACCATGTAGCTGAATCACCTGAAGCGCTTTAAAAACAAACTACGCTTCTCTAATTATCAGTGATATTGAACTTTTTTTCACATGCTTGTTGGCCGAAAGTATGCCTTCTTTTGAGAGGTATCTGTTCATGTCCTTTGCCCACTTGTTAATGGGGTTATTTATTTTTCTCTTGGAAATGTGTTTAAGTTCCTTATAGATGCTGAATATTAGACATTTGTCAGATGCATAGTCGGCAAATATTTTCTCACATTCTGTAGATTGTATGTTTACTCTGATAGTTTCTTTTACTGTGCAGAAGCTCTTAAGTTTAATTAGATCCCATTTTCAATTTTTGCTTTTGTTGAGATTGTTTTTGGTGTCTTTGTCATTCCTAGGTCCAGGATGGTATTGCCTAGGTTGTCTTCCAAGATTCCTATAGTTTTGGGTTTTACATTTAAGTCTTCAATTCATCTTGAGTTGACTTTTATATATGGTGTAAGAAAGGGTTCCAGCCTCAATCTTCTGCATATGGCTAGCCAGTTACCTCAGCACCATTTATTTAATAGGGGATCTTTTCCTCATTGCTTGTTTTTATCAGCTTCATGAAAGATCAGATGGTCATAGATGTGCAGCCTTATTTCTGGGCTCCCTATTCTGTTCCTTTGGTCTACGTGCCTGTTTTTGTATCAATACCATGCTGTTTTGGTTGCTGTAGCTATGTAGTATAGTTTCAAGTTGGGTAACATGATTCCTCCAGATTTGTTCTTTTTGCTTAGGATTGCCTTGGCTATTTGGGCTCTTTCATGGGTCCATGTAAATTTCAAAATAATTTTCTCTAGTTCTGTGAAGAATGTCATTGGTAGTTTGATAGGAATAGAATTAAATCTGTACATTACTTTGGGCAATATAGCCATTTTAATGATATTGATTCTTCTTATCCATGAGCATGGGATGTTTTTCCATTTATTTGTGTCTTCTCTGATTTCTTTGAGCAGTGTTTTGTAATTCTCATTGCAGAGATCTTTCACCTCCCTCATTAGCTGTTTGCCTAGGTATTTTATTGTTTTTTTGTGGCTGTTGTGAATGGGATCGCCTTTCTGATTTGGCTCTCAGTTTGGTTGCTGCTGATGTGTAGGAATACTAGTGATTTTTGTACACTGATTTTGTATTCTGCAACTTTGCTGAAGTTGATTATCAGCTGAAGGAGCTTTTGGACCAAGACTATGGGGTTTTATAGATAGAGAATTATCTTGTCATATGCAAACAGAGCTAGTTTGGCTTCCTCTCTTCCTATTTGGATGCCCTTAATTTCTTTCTCTTGCCTGATTGCTCCAAAGAAGACATACATGCGACCAACAAGCATATGAAAAAAGCTCAATATCACTGATTATTAGAGAAATGCAAATCAAAACCACAATGAGATAGCGTCTCACACCAGTCAGAATGGCTATTATTACAAGGTCAAAAAATAACAGATGCTGGTGAGGTTGCAGAGAAAAGGGAACCCCTCTACACTGTTGGTGGGAGTGTAAATTAGTTCAATCATTGTGGAAAGCAGTGTGGTGATTTCTCAAAAAGCTAAAAGCAGAACTGGTAACCATTTGACCCAGCAATCCCATTACTGGGTATATACCCAGAGGAATATAAAGCATTCTACCATAAAGACACATTCACGCGAATTTTTGTTGCAGCACTATTCACAATAGCAAAGACATGGAATCAACCTAAATGCTCATCAATGACAGACTGGATAAAGGAAATGTGGTACATATACACCATGGAATATTATGCAGCCATAAAAAAGCACAAGATCATGCCTTTTGCAGGAACGTGGTCGGAGCCAAAGGCTATCATCTTTAGCAAACTAACACAGGAACAGGAAACCAAATACCACATGTTCTCACTTATAAGCGAGAGCTAAATGATAAGAATTTATGAACACGAAGGAGGAAACAACAGACACTGGGGTCTACTTGAAGCAGGAGGGTGGGAGGAGGGAGAGGAGCAGAAAAGATAACTATTGGGTACTGAGTTAAGTACCTGGGTGATGTAATAATATGTACAACAAACCCCTGTGACACATGTTTACCTATGTAACAAACCTCCACATGTACCCCCAAACTAAAATAAAAATTTTTTTAAATGATATCTGGGGAAAATGTGGGAAATATCTTCACTTACCAATTAAAGCGTATACAAAAAAACAATAAATAAAATATCTTATTTAAAAAAAAAAAAAACAAAGACACCTCCCCCACCACTATTCTAATTCAATAGGTCTGGGGTAGGGCTTGGCATCTCTAGTTTTTAAATGCCCCATGGTGATTCTGATGCACAACCAGTGGCTGAAAACCAGCAAATTAAATTTTGCTGCAACTGTGTATAATTTGCCAGCATACGTTCATCTACCATCTACTCTCCCAAAAGAGACAGGAATGGAGGCCAGTTACAGGAGCAGAAAGGTAGCAGGAGCCTAGATCCCATAAGATTTTGTGAAAAGCAGAGCCACCATACAGCTTGGTACTGTCTATTTCTGGATTTTTATGTGAAGGCAAGATAAAATACTGTCAGGTCAAAGCTGCTGGAATTTGAATTTTCTGTCACTTTAACAGCTAAATATAATACCATCTAAATATACCAATATCACTACTTTATATTGCTTGTAAACAAATATATTTTTGCTAGTAAACAAATATTATATTGCTAGTAAACAAAAATTAGCCACCTTTAATTTTTACATATTTAAATTCAAAACATCTTAATGATAAGTCCAGAATCACCTCTATTATAACATATTTTGTCTTCTCAAAAAAATATGTTGTCTTATAATTGTAACTAAATATTATTGTAGTCTACATTATGTCTTAACAATTGTACAATAAATGTTGTAGTGGCTTGAACCTTCTTGCAAATTATGCACAGTAAAAACTATATTAAATCAAGCCCAAATAACTTTGAATTTCAAATATATCAACTTGGCCTGCACTAATAGTAAATTTTGGTCTATAAAAAAACAAAGACACTCATAATTTAGAGACTATTACATGGAGGCTGTTTATAAACCAGCTCTTGCTCTCTTAAGCAGAACAGTTTGAATTTGGCAGCATTTGTTGTTTATATGCAAATGGACATTGCTAATTACAAGTGAGTTTTTTTTTTCTTAAGTCATTTAGGTATATCCAGAATCTCAACTTGTAACCTTTTATTAGCACTGTCAGTTACTATACCAGTCTTTTTTAATAGGGATCTGCAAGAGAACTACATTCTACGGAAAACGATTAAATGACTATTTTCTGAATTTTCTCAAGGATAGTTGCATAGCTAGTAAGATTCTAGATGCATTGGAGAGAAATTAACTCATTACAAAAGTGGATGCCTCGGCCATGAGGGATAAATTCTCTAGGAATCTTGCTCGAGAGGTTGAGAATTGCTACCACTTGAAAGTGAAGTTTTATTTAGAAATATTCTATAATTCAGACTGCTCTCAAATTTAGACTAGCTTTCCACCAAATTCATCCAAATTGAAAGTATTTACTAGATATGGAAGTAGCTTTAATTCTTCAGAAATTTGAGTTCATTTTTTAAATTCTATCTTTGGTAAAAGTTCTCATGTAAATGTTATAAACAGCAATTTAGATTGCAAGTTTTAAGCATGAGACTGGTATGATAACAGCAGTATTTTGAGCAAAGTAACTTGGCAATGTTATAACAACATTTTGAAATGAAAAGTGATTAGGGACAGAGAGATTAATTGGAAAATTAGGAAATTGCTAAGTTTTTTTTTTTAATGCTAGCATATAGCAACGGTAATGGAAAGGAATGGACTTATGTAAAAAATATTGGCTGGGTGCAGTGGCTCATGCCTGTAATCCCAGCACTTTGGGAGGCTGAGGCACGAGGTCAGGAGATCGAGACCATCCTTGCTAACACAGTGAAACCCTGTCTCTACTAAAAATACGAAAATTTAGCCAGGCATGGTGGCACGTGCCTGTAGTCCCAGCTACACGGGAGGCTGAGGCAGGAGAATCGCTTGAACCCAGAAGGCGGAGGCTGCAGTGAGCAGAGATCGCACCACTGCGCTCCAGCCTGGGCGACAGAGCGAGACTCCGTCTCAAAAAAAAAATTATAAAGGAAATTTAACATAGAAGTTGGTAACTACTTGGATATAAACGACTTGAGAAGCTAAGACAAACCAAAATTTGCACACATTTGAACAAGAGGATCTAAAAGAGAAGTTGTGCCATTAGTATAATTCGAAGCCAATTTTTCATAATAATAATGAGATGTGAATATAAGTTTAGTTTTAAATACATTAAGTTTAATGTGATATTGGAATGACAAAATATAAACTTCCAACAAACAGATAGGACTGGATATGTACATTAGAAAGGTCATTACCTCAACTGGGAGAGGGAACTCTTGTATAATAATCTATCGCCATCTTTGTATAGATACAGCTTCTCGTACCATCCACTGTGACATCATGATAGAAAGATGCCAGATCCTGTCTGTGTGTCCTTTGTGGGCAGGCTCTGGACATGTGTGAGTAATGGAGGAGGAGAAACCAGGTTTGAAATGTATGGAGCTAGCAGCAAGCCTACGGGATATTCATCTAAACATCAGCTGTGTAGAAAGCTATTCAAGTCTTGCCATGATTTAAGTGACATTTTAAGAACTCTAAAATATATTTTTGAAGACTTGGAATAAAAACCAAAGTGCAAATGAAATGCAAACATTTTATTCAGTAAATTTTGAATATACCATTTTAACTGCAATTTGGGCAGACTTCTGGAATGTTTTAGTTCAACAAGTGAGAAATTACAACTTCTGATTTGGGATTATATGCAGGGTACCTTCTTTTGTCATCTTTAAATTGACTTATTTACTGAGAACTGAGAAAAAAATTAAAATATAGTGGAATATGAAACGAACAATATAAATGAGCAATGAAATCAATAGAAATTAATTTAACATCAAGAAGTAAATCATAACTCCCCAAAATTGAGGTCATAACTAAAGTAGGAATCCAATAAGAGGGCCGGGTGCAGTGGCTCATGCCTGTAATCCCAACACTTTGGGAGGCTGAGGTGGGAGGATCATTTGAGGTCAGCAGTTCGAGACCAGCCTGACCAACATGGTGAAACCCCATCTCTACTAAAAATACAAAAATTAGCTGAGTGTGGTGTGCACATGTAATCCCAGCTACTCGGGAGGCTGAGGCAAGAGAATCGCTTGAACCCAGGAGGCAGAGGTTGCAGTGAGCCAAGATCGCACCATTGCACTCCAGCCTGGATGACAAGAGTGAGACTCTATCTCAAAGAAAAAAAATAAAATAATAAAATAAAAATAAATAAATAAATTTTAAAATCCAATAAAAGGAAGAAATACATTTTAAATGGAAGCAATGAATAAGTTTCTGCATTGCTTATTATTAATTGCTAACCCAATTAATAGAAGTGAATCATATGACAACATTAAAAATAGATTTAAGCTTCTTGCATTTTTACAAAAAAATAACTAATATTGATGAAGGTAGCATAAATTGTATAATATGCCTTTCCAAGGAGGGCATCAACACAACTTGGTGAATGAGTGCCACCTATTTAAGGAGTAAAGAGTATTTTAAATTGTTTCCTGCATAAAATAACCTGAAAAGAAGCTTAAATCTTTTAGCTAATGTATGAAGAAAACTTGCTAAATGTTTTCTGAAATTGGACATTAATGCTAAAATCTATATGATGTTACCAATAATAAGTTGTGAGGCTGAAGCTTTCCTAAACTATTAATAATTTAAAAACATATCCGTTAACCAAGCTAGAAAAAAGACTGACTAATTTTTCTATTTTTTCTACGGAAAATAATATTCTAATGTTGTTGTACCTGAAGGGCTGATTAGAATATGAAGCCCAAAAAAGTAGGGTTAAGTGTATTGTTGAGATAGGTTAAGCACTTAATTTTTAAATTTAATTTTTAATTTTGTGCTATTTTTGGAATTTGTCAGCTTTTTAATAAAAGTAATTTGTTGTTCTTTTATTATTCTGTATACCCACATTTGTGAATTCTATGGATTCACTTCTGTACCTAATTTTATGTACTGATTTAGCTTCAGGCTTCACAAAATCTTCTCTGGCTGCTGTTTGTACATGGTTCTTACCAAATGTGGGGAAGCAGGGAGACCAGGTAGAAGGTAATGGCTGTGGTCTGAGTCACATGGAACAGGATAGTGGCGTGGAAGGTAGAGAGAAGTCGATTTCAGTTTTATTTCAGAATATATATGACAGGACTTGCTGAAAAATTGGGTGCAAAGAGTGAGCGAAAGGGAGGAATTAAGAATGCCTTCCAGGATTCAGTTTGAGTAGCTGCAAGACTCGGGGGGAGACAGGGCTGAGTGAAGAAAAAAAGCTTCTTTGCCGGGGACATTAAGCTTGTCATGTTTTCTCCATGCTGCCTATTGTATTGTACTTTATAGTGCCACCCACATTAGACTATAAACTCAAAGAGGGCAAGAACTGACTGCTTTTTACTCTCATGACATAAGATTTCTATTCAATTGAATTTAACATGTGTTGCACGAACTATATGCAAGATGCTCCACCAGAAACTAGATTCAAATCCTTTGACTCAAACTCAAACTACAAAGAAAAAAAAAGGCAAGTGGATAAGAGCCCAGATTTGGAATGAGATAGACCAGACTTAGCACCTTAGTTCTGTCACCTGCTAATTGTGGGGCCTTGGAACAGTAACATCACCTCTCAGAGCTTCTTGTTCCTCGTCTAAAAATGAGAATGATTATCCCTGTCTTATAGGATTATCACAAAGTAAAAATAAAACAATGTGTGCAAAATGCTTATTACAGTGCCCAGCATACATTAGCACTCAATAAATGGTAGGATGTACTTGCATTTGGTTTTCCTGCCAATACAGACAATATCTATAGCACAGACATCACAAAATCAGTGTACTAGAAAATGTTGAGAGAGAAGTTATTTTTTTCAGCATAAGAACATATCTTAAATAATTTCAGGAGAAGATAATAGGTTTCTGTACTCTTCTAGTCCTGAAAAGGAGGGGGACTAAAAGGCACTGTGAGCAAAAATAGAATGAATTTACCCAATTCTTTACTGCACTATTTAACCTCTGCTTTCTTAATCATATGCACAGCAGGGGAAAGGATGTGCTAAAACAATTCATGTGTCATGAACAAAGCAGCCGCAGATTTTAGCTCAAAAATCACACTAGGAAAACCACCAGTTGCAAGTAAAGTAATAAGGCCAAATTTATTTTTTTCATTGAGTCTTGAGTTACAAGCAACCCTTTAATTACATTAATCAAGCAGGCTTCCTCTCAACAAATGAAGGGAAATATATTGTCCTAACTTTTGCTAAACTTGTTTTTTAAGTTGCTGGATATTACTTGGACATATGGAAAATAAATCCCTTGATTTCTTTTTTATATTTTTCTCCATCTTTCAATGTAGCCATAGCAAAAGACAAACATATACTTACTTCTAGACATGACTTACTCTGTGAAAGATTGTAAATCACATTTTAAATTTAAAACATTTACATTTCAATATTTAAAACATTAGCACTCGACTAAATTTCACTTTAATTTCCCTTTCCATTTTTCTAATTTTTTGCATTTTTATATATGTTTCTAAGAAAATTGACTCTACCAATTGGTTTACTATCAATCAGCCGGTCATTTGTCCCATTTAATGGATGGAAAACCCAAGGCTTGTAGGAGATTAGATGATTTTCCCAGAGGTCTTGTAGTTACAAAATACCAAAGCTGGGGCTGAACCCAGGCCTGTTTGACCCTAGCTTTTCACCAGTGTCACACACATCTTTTGTTCTAGAATGTTCTCCGTATGTATCTGTTCATTTGTATATGCCACTTCCTCTGTCTGTCTGTCTATCTGGTATTTTCCCTCCCTATCCAACCCCATCTGCATGCTAACTCCTATTTCTCCTTTGAGATTCAACTCAAGCACCATCTCTCTTTTTAAGCTTTCTCTGAATCCCTTCTTCTCTTCCCTCCCACCAAAAATCAATTGGCAATCCTTCTTCTATATTTCTAGAACACTCTACATATACTTCTAATAATTGTTTCATTCTTCAAATTATGTTATTCCTACCAAGTGCCCCCACCACCCACACAATAGACTGAGACCTCCTCAAAAGTCAGAGCCTTTGTGTTGTTTGTCTCTGAATCTCCATGACCTAGTACCGTACTTGGCTTGGAGTGCATGTTCAGTGAAGGTGAAAATGATAATATAAATGAGAGTTTATAAAATATAAAGTTCCTTGTTTTCTGAAAAAATATGAAAGCTTTAAGTAATTGCTAAGAGTTTAACTTAACTTTTGACGATACACAGGATTTATAGAAGAGGGCAGGAGGAATGTTAAAATCTAAAACAAGTGATTGGAAATAAATCCTGAATTGAATTGAAATTTCCAAAGTATAACATTATTACAGGAAATGTAAATAACCTTAATTTATATTTCTATCATTGCAGTCATATTTTGAGAATGCAGTGAAATTGTTCATATTTTATAGTGAGGGCTCTAAACGTGTACATTAAACATTTTGTGTTTCCTGGCTTTTAAAAATGATTACTACCCTGTAATTTACACTTTGTTTAAGCAAATGAACAAACATAGCATCATTTTAATCAGGGTCATCAAGCAGCTCAGCAGCAACCCATTTGACCTAATATATCATTAAACTTGTTTGAGCCAGGTGGTAGTTCTCAAATAACCACATACAATCTCAGTTTGTGATGAAATAAAACTAGTCTTCCAGTACATGGCACACCTATGTTGGCTGGCATATCAGCCCTCCTCACACTAGGAGGTGCTAGAGAGTCAGACCTATTGTCCTCAAAAGGAGAGAACATCAGCCCTGGTACTTATTGCCCTACTGTATCATAAATCAGCTTAGGCGCTACCTAAGAAAAATGGCAAACACCATAGAGGTCTAAGTAAGAGAATTAAGTTAAATAACACCAGCAATTCAATAAAATTAAAATAAAATATGGCAAACACTTTGCAAGCAAGGTGAAATGTATGAGTTCGTTTCCAAATGTGCGCTATATTCTGCAGCCCTATATTTCCATTTGCTACTTTTTCCTTGAATTAATGTCTAGTCTTTTGAAAGGATAGCAGCATTTCAGTGCTATTCCTCTGTGTATACAGTCAGTAATGTTTGTCAAGAGCTTTGGAAGGAAAGGACTACATAAATGTCAGTAGTTATTAATACTGGGATTTTTATATCTAGCTATCAAATGTGTTTTTCATAGTCTATGACCAGAGGTCTATTTGTATCCATCTAACTATAAATGTTTTAAGTAAAAATAACCACTGACCAACAACAGTATTTCTTCTGTTCTTCTTTATAATCAAAGTAATATTTATCAGAAGTTAGCAATTACGCTCAAATTCTTCCAGAGCCAAGTTTATTTTGACATGTTTTTATATTCCAGGTCACTTAATACCACTTATTCCTCTGGCTTTGGGTAACTATTATGAGGCTAGTTGACAAGGTTGACAAGGTCCACTTACAAACCCCACTATGGCCTCCCTGTCCTTGCTCTTCTCTTTGTCTGGCCTATCCCTAACAGGTACATTGTTTTGTTGTCAGCTAAAATCAGGGACTCACCCAACAGTTCTCTACCCCTATGGCCCAACTGTAGCCGTTTTTATGTAGTGTTACAAATGAATTGTGCAGGCATTTGTATCCCTGCCTTCTTACTCCACCTTCAGACTGTAACTCTTTTGAGGCAGAAATCCTGCCTATGCCATGTTTTGCACATGGAACGCACACAGATCAGTTGAATTGAACCAAAATCTGAATCTTACGCAAAACACAAGAGACTCTTCTTTTAAACGTGTGATGTGCTGCAGCATAAAGCTTACTGGCAGAGGGTCACAGCATATCCAGCAAGATGGCTTTTCACTTTTTTCTCAAATGTATTTCAACTCCATTTTCTTTGAAAGACCCACAGTGTTCTTTAAAAAGGAGGAGATGTAACAGTTGGGTTGACCTACAACTGGTTCTCTGAGACTAGAGTTCAAATCTTAGTTTGAATTAAAAACCAAGATGGATTTGAAGGACTCTTACCACAAAGCCTATCTGCTAATGCATTTTTTTAAGGATCACACCAATTACCATGTTTGTCATGTACTCATAAGAACCAGAATAGGTCAACATATATTGGCTGAGTTACACAAAGGAGTCTACAAAATATAGGCCTATGCTCTTTCTGGCTCTGGCCAGCAACCTTAGCCCTTCACTTTTATATGCACTAAATTTTACTCTAGTTTTAATAATAATCACAATAAATATATTAATAAAATCATGTTTATATAAGAGGTTCATCTTGTTTAAAATGCACTGAGAATCATGGTGCTTTATAGGACACAATTTATGCTCTCCTTGGTAATTTAAAGGTGATAACTTCATGTGATTCATTGCCACCTAGTTCTGAACTTTAATAATATAATGACTCATTATGATTTTTACATTTCTTAGAGAACCAGCTTGGTAAAAAACTTCGCAGTTGTTTTTACTGGGGTCATCTGAACTATGGTTCCCAGAATGTTTATGAAAAAAACATGCTTATATATTCTGAATGGCTGTAATCTATCATGGCTGGTGCTTGGTCTGCAGATTATGAGTGTACAGTGTCAACCCAGTGAATTAAAGCTTTGTTGTATATCAGCTTGCTACACAATTATTTCCAGTTCATATCATATAAATCATCACTCTTCACACGACAATCAGTAATTTCCATCTTGTGTTCTAAGCATCCATGTTTTGTCTTAATGGCTCTGTCTGATTCTGCACCTAGAATGGTGTGACAGGACTGGTACTAATAGCTTAGAAAATAAATTTCACTGTCACTAGAGCCTATTTAAGGAATATTCTATGTTCTCACTGTTTTTTGTAAAGCTGTTTTGTATATGTTGGAATAATAGGAAATGAATTTAAATAGAAACACTTCTCATGTCTTATCTCTGCAAACAAAAAAAAACCATAATTTACAATAAATTAGCACAGCAGTTGTTAGTGTAGCTCAGCTTTATTTTGCAATTCTCACACCTAAGCTCACAAGATGACACTTTTTCTGATAAGGTAATCTTTATAAGGTAGTTCTGTAGGTGATTAAATCTGACAGATGCTAGTAAGATGGTGAAGTTCAGATATATAACAGCAAACACTTTAAAAAAATCTTGTTAAAATAATAAAATGTCTTATGATCTACCAATAGAAAAATCGATCTGACAAAAGAATAAATTAGTTATAATGTTGTATTTCTGTGTCTAAAACCAAAATGAAATTATTCACCAATAAGTAGATAAATATACCAATTATAACAAAATACACTGCAAGGAAACTGGTATTTTTTAGATAAAGAATTGGTGTGGTAATATTACCTTCCCAGTCATTTCATAGCATTTACACAGCATTGTTGAGCAGAATGAGAATAAAAAGCTTCTAACACAAACAGAAGCTGAAGAAATAGAATGTGTCATTTCATAACATTTTGATAGTCTATCTGTTCTTCAAAACATACCTTGCATACCAGATCTTTCAAAGTTACAACCTTCATCTTTTCCTGGGGCAATGACGATAATCATTTGGTTGGTATTTCCAATGATACTAGCAATCTGAAATATGTTAAGGCTTAATTGTAGATTGTATAATTAGATTAAGCCAATTAATGCTGTGGCTTGGTTTTGCAATGTTCCTTTATTATTTGAATGCTTTTAGCCCTGGTTTCTTGTTTCTAGCAGAATTTCCCAACAGTAGCTCATTGTCCTTGCTTGGTTTTGATTACTTAAACAATGTTAGCTTTGCCAGAGTCGATTGATACTTCGATCTGCTGAAGTGATATGTTGCAGAATGTGCTGTTTTCTGATTTTCTTATCTAAATATTAGTTGCCTAATGTACAGAGTTAATTTATAAATACTGGGAAGTTCCCTGAATCAAGTAAATTAACATACTGGGCCAGATTCACCAGCTTCCTTAGCAAACCCTCACATCAAGGCTGTCTTCATGCAAGTGTGAAAACCAGAACGACCCTTCAAAAGTTTTCCTGGCCAGAATAACTCTCTCATCAGATAATAGGCTATACTCATCCTAATATTCCAGTTTTATCACCACAATCAATTCATTCTACATAACTTCACCTAGCATGGACACTTTTTGGAAGACCATTAGCATAGGATGAATATGGAAAAGCCAAGGAGCAGGACTGGACACCCAGATGAGGAGCAGCCTGATGTATAGGTTGTATTGGGGAGGTGAAGAGCAGGGAGATACGGGGGAAAAAAAAAACCCTAAAATTTGGCACTATTAATTAAGAGACTATATAACAGGGGAAAATAGCAATAGATAGTGACTTACTGACCATATAAAACTACAATTATTTCCTACATTTAATTCTTTAGTAAATATTTATTATTTTCCCACTATTTCTTAGCTACCTGCCAGGCAGTGAAGTTGGGAACAAAACAGACCAAGTCCTTACCCTCAGAGAGTTTTGTTTAGCATTGTTGTAGACATAAATATGTCACATGGAAATTTAAAAAACAAAAAGCCTCACACTTTTAAGCTTTTTCTACATGCCAGGCACTGTGTGAGTACCTTCCACATACTGATTTAGTCCTCTGAAGAAAACACGCAGTGGGTGACCACTGTTATGGCCGTTTTCTAGACAAGGAAACTGTGACCCTTGCTGCAGAACTGTGAATGAATGTGAATCCTCAGAGAGCTGCAGTTATGCCTTTGACTAGTGACAATGACAGTGTTTTGACCTAGCAGATGATACAGCTTTTTTGGTGTTAGAGTTTTAAAATAGTATTTGTGCAGTAAGATCGCATTCTCTGTTTCCCACTCAAAAAAATAAATTATTCAAACCACGAAAATAGGTGCCTAAAATCCACAGGGCAGAAGCAGCACTCTAGGCCCTGTGGGACCACTGTTGAGAAAAAGCCAATGCACCCCTGGGCCTCTGTTAGAAGAGTAACTTGGTACAGCTGTATAATTCCTTTTATGAAATGGATGGGTCTGATCAGGAATCAGAGCCTCGGGATGGACAATGAGACTCATCCACAACAGAACTAATATCTTATTCACCCAGGTTTGACTTTAAAATTATATCAGCCATGAAAATTATTTCACTGCCTTCTGTGGTGAACAATCGGGCTATATTTAATTTTAATCATTAATATGTAAAAATAATAAAAGCCACCAAAATAGTCTATAGTCAATTTTCTGATAAAAGTAAATTTATTTTTTCCCCATTTGTGATTTAAATGGCCTCCAGAAAGTTTTTTGCAAGTAAGTGTTAATTAAAAATATGGAAATGGATTTAAAGCACATTACAGTGCACAGTGGAAGAATAATCACAGGAGCTTTGGTCACACGACCATCCTCATTCCTCTATGTATTTTTTAACTGTCTAGGTTATTGGTTGTTTTTCTGCATGCCTGTTCCTAGAGAAAACTGTGATTCCAATGAAAACAGTGGCCAAAAGCAAACTGATGCCCCTACGCTTTCCTGTTTACACAAATGAAATAAGCGTGTTCTCAGATTTCTTTATGCACGCAATGCTTTTTATATCTTGCCATCTTTAAAAACTATTCAACCTTTCATTCTTGACTTTCATTGACTTATTTTGGAACAATGCACTGTAGTTAGTGCCAACACTATGTAGAGCCAGTGAACAAATTCTCTTTCTGAATTTATCAGAGAATGCCTGCTTTCACAACTCTAGTATACACATGTCATTTTACTTTTCTGAACCTGTATTTCCTCACATATAAACTAGAGATAAACATTTTTTGGAATCCATAATGAACTACTAGGGTTCCCCTTCCCCCTAAAGTTAGGTGCGTGGGTTTCAGAGTCAGATAGATCCGGGTTCTATTTCTGATAGAATTCTCCATTTTCTAGTTGTGGGGCATTGGCTGAGTTATTTAACCTCTTTAAGCTTTTGGCTCTTTCTCAAAACATGAAGTCAATAAAACCTTTCCTCCCAATGCAGTATGATTTGAAGGACCTACTATTTATAACGTGCTTTCTAACTAGCCCAATGCCAAACACAGAGTAAGTTCTCAATAAATGAGAGCTGCTTTTTTTTTTTTTCATCATCACAGTTTATATTCCCAAATGGTGGCCAGCACTGACCTTAGGGCCTCCCCATTGAACAACTCCAGTGGGTACCTTTCACATTGTATTGTGAGTGGGGGACCAGAGGAGGCTCACGGAAAGCAATGTGAATCATGGCCCCTAGAGTCAGGCAACTTATCAGCCCTCCTAGAAATTTGCTTCATGATGTTACTTTCATTAGGAGCTAGGTGAGGGGTATGGTATCTCTGAGGAACTCTTTATGGCTTTAAACTACACTGTGTCTAAAAAACAGTTTAATGATAAGTCAGTTAAAAATAACTACTGGGCCAGGGGTGCAGTGGCTCATGCCTGTCATCCCAGCACTTTGGAGGCCGAGGCAGGTGGATCACCTGAGGTCAGGAGTTCAAGACCAGCCTGGCCAACATGGTGAAGCACTGTCTCTACTAAAAATACAAAAATTAGCCTAGCGTGGTGGCGGGTACCTGTAATCCCAGCTACTTGGGAGGCTGAGGCAGGAGAATTGCTTGAACCTGGGAGGCGGAGTTTGCAGTGAGCCGAGATCGTGCCACTGGACTCCAGCCTGGGCAACAGAGCAAGACTGTGTCTCCAAAAACTAATAGTAACTATCAATGAAGTCAAATCAGTGAGAATCTGTCTGGTTGTTTGGCATTCTGCTAATCAAACAAATACTCTAGGGCTCCATTGATATGAAATACAGATAGTTGCACTGATGCAACAATACAATGACTAGGTTTGCTTCTCCAAGTGTTACCGTTTTTCAAGAAAAATATTTAAACTGACTTGTAGCTGGTCTAACAAACTAGGCAGCCCTGAAGATTTTTAGATGAATGGATAGATACTCTGATGAAATACTCAACATCCAATGAATGCCCCCCGTGTATAAAGGCCTGAGCTAGGGGTCCTTAAGATGAATATGACGTGCCCCACGTCCTCGAGTTGTTTCCACACAATGGCGAGAAATCACTCTACCTGGCTGTCACTCAAGGCCAATGTGACAAATACTATGAAGTTGAATAAGCAAGATACTCTGCGAGCACAAGGGCGATGACGAGAAACTTCACAGAGTTGATTGAGCTGGGTGGAAAGTCCAGGTGGATGAGATGGCCTGGCAGGATGCAGGGAAAAGCTCCCCCAGCAGAGGGAGCAGCACAGGCAATACAGGGCTGAGACCACAGCTTCCTCCACCCCTTGCTTTGCTTCGCTCTGCTTTGCTTTGCCTTGCTCTTTTTTTTTTTTTTTTTTTTTTTCATATAACAATTATGGAGCACCCACTCTGCTGCAAGCACTGGGCAAGCAGGGAAAGAGTGAGTGGTCTAGTACAGCTGGAGCTCGAGATCTGTGAAGGCAAGAACATGGAGTTGAATCCTTCAAAAAATAGAAGGGCACAGGTGGGACAGGCATCAGCAGGTGCCCCCAATGAGTTTTATGGCTGACTTAATGTTAGGGACAAGGGAGAGGGAATAACTGAAGACAGCTGCAAGGCTTTGAGTCCAGTAACTGAGAAGCTGGTGATGCCACCAAACGATAAAGGAATTGGAGGAGGAGCAGGTTTGGGGAAGGTAATTAAGGAAAAATAAATGGACAAGCTTCAGCCTGTCAATGATTCCAGTAAGCACTAAATGTGTACTCCAAATATTCTTCTACATCGTGACTGAAAAATACTGAATCTGGGGATCTACACAGGCAAGCAACTTTGAGTTTTGTATAAATAGAGAAAAAGCCACTTGAAATTTAGTAACATAAGATACAACATCTGTAGCTGGACTAGAGACGACCTAGTCCAACTCCCTAATTTTACAAACAAAGAAACCACATCTCAGACCTACTCTCAACTGAGCAGCAGAGCCAATCCAGAACTCTGACTACACATTTAAGGGGAAAAAAATCTACATTTTTAGAACATTCAAATCTGGAATCAAGATACCACCTAGATTTTTCAGAGCTGCTGCTATTTCAGTTTGTTTATTTTTAACTAAACTAGTATGATTCGCAGACTGTAGGTGAAAGGTCTCTTTTGAGAACATGTATTGCTATGTACACCGTTGTCCACAAAATCAGTTTTGTAGTTAATTTCTAAGATTTCAGATTTCAAGAAAAGCCAGGGAAACTTAGAGTACCTAGACCCATTCTGTATAAGGGAAGACATGCTTCTTTAGGTCATTGAAATAATGACATCTGCCATATATGGAATAAAAGGCTGCCTTGCCTAGGAGGAAGGGCTTGGGTGCTCACTGAAAGTGTCCTGTTTCTAGAATGCCAAGCACATATGACTAATTGGCAGTAGTTTCCTCCAAAGCAAGAAAATCCTGCCTGCTGACCAGAGAAAAGTGCCTAATACGGTTAAAGAATCACTAAGTGAGACTTTTTTATAAAAAAGGAAAAAAAAAAAAGGGTAGGGGCTAGGGAGAGCTAAGCAGAGAGGGAAATATTTATAACTGTAACAACATGTTTCCTGGTAATAATTTATGAGCCTACTGGAGAAAAGGGAAACACACAAACTATGAATAAAATATCTAAACGTAAACATCATGCTTTCTGCAAATTTCTTTAGTTAAAAATTAAGGCTGAGGTTGACTAAAGTAAATGACTGCATTTTCGTGGTCTCTTATTTCCTTGATGCTAAGGGTTACCAACTGATTTACAACTTCCTGTGTTGTTTTTTAAATCTATATTTGTCAGCACATTTTTAATGTCAGATTACTTAAAATAGACATCTTGGCTCTAAGAGGTCAGAAATAATAATATTAGGTTGACTTCTCTAAAGATTTCATAGCACTTTACAAGTATTCTAATTTAGCACCAAAGCTTTTTATTTCTAAACGAATATGGTTTTAAGAAGCTTAGCCCCCACTTTCAGTTGTGGACTTCGGGACTGAAGTGCAGTTCAATCAGTATGCTTTGAAGTTAAGTAAATTACATGATAGCTTTATCTAAATAGTTTCAGCCTCCTCCTATTCAGGTAGTTTCAACTGTCAACAGGAAGTGCATGAAAAAAGAAAGACTCGAACCAAGGACCTAGAGTTCTTCCATTGTAGTTTCTTTCTGTTCTAACCATTATAATTTATTATCTCATATGATTTCTGCAAATTATCGGTACTTATTCAAAAAGAGTATTCTCTAATATGAGAGTCATGAAATAGCTTCATCTTCATATAAGCTGTCATAATATGTAATGAAAATGCAATGTCCATAAAATAAAATTTTTAAATATTAAACACCTCAATTTTAAATAGAACGCTCTAGAAGAAACTAACCAAAAATCTATGATTAGAATTGTTTGAAATATTTTATACTGAGTTCAAGGGTATGCCTTGAACCTAGTAAGCTAAACAAATATACTCTGAGTGGCTTGTAAAAAATATTTTGAAAAGCATTCAATTTTTTTAACTATTTATAATGGAACCATACTTTTCCATCTCTCACCCTGAGGAAGTTGCAAGGTAAGGTCAATCTAAGAATCAAAAGTACAATGCTGAATTTAGTAGTTGAAGAGCTCCGGTATTTCATTTTCACAAGAGAGACGTGTTGAAAGTTTGCCCTGTAAGCCCTGACTCTTTACTTTTGACAAAATTTGTTAAGGGAATCTTTTAAAAATGAATGTAATCAGGGCAACCACAGGCCATATTTGAAACTGGAAAACAAAAGATAAAGAGAGTGATAAATTGGGTGGGGGAAGGGGAGAGGCAGATTTTCTAATTGGAAAGTTAGGTGTAAACACTCTCCTTTTCTAAATAGGTGGCTTGCCCTAATCCTGATCATGCTACATATCTACCTCATTATGTCATTCTATCTAGGTCTCAAAAGAGAAGTTGTTTGGGACCAAGGAACTCTTCAAATAACGTGGTATTGAATATATGTTTGATACTTTAAAGACTGTCACTATATGGAAACAGAGTGATAGCATGTCCTCATTAACAAATTCTTCCCAGTTAATTGGGCTGCTTGAGCAGTGTTAACAATTACATATAAAAATAGCATGGACCAGCATCCTCAATATGGCTATTCTAGTCTGTCTTTCAATGATGGCATTAGAAAGATGATCCTTTCAATAATAACAGTAATTATAAGTAATAATAGTAATACACCTTGAGGTTTAATAATACTTTCCCTTTGAAGAACTCCCAGCATTTTCATCCACATTATCTAGTTTGTGCTTGAAACAATTCGATGAAGTAGCCAGGTAGCAATTATCATTATCCTCCTTTTACAGATAAATAAACTGAGGCCTAGGGATTTTCTTAGCATCCCACAGTTAGGAATAGAGCCAAGTCTAAAGCCTATAATTCAGTGATCTATCTTCCAGATTATTGCATCTTTAGAAAATATCTGGGTATCTGAAGGACTGCTCTATCCCTCAGGAAATGTTTGCACCACGGCCAGATCAAAACATCTTTTCCTTTTAAATTGCATTTACACTACAAGAAGGTGCTCCTTTTCTGATTCATTAGAGAGGATTTTATTGTCTGAGGTCATTAAAATAGGAATACTCAGATTTCTTTCCAAATTGTAGTATTGGCCTTAAGCAGGAGTACACTTAAAAAGTCAAAAGATATCTAAAATACTCTGGAATCAGTTACTTTAATCATCTAACTTTTTAAAAAATGATTATTTGAAGCCCAAGCGAAACAAGATCAAATCAAGAGATAAATAAAAATGGGCACAAGGTGTTAACTGGAGTGTCCTAGCCAGATTGCAAATTGGTTTACTGTGGCCTGCCAACTTAAATTTCTCCTTGCAGCTTCAGCTGGAATGGGTAATCTTCATTTCCTGTCCTAACTTGTTGTACTGTGTTACCGTTCACTGTTTAGGTGATTAGCATGTGTGGATCTAATGGTCTCGAAGCTCTATTAAGTTATAAATGTTCAAACTACCAGTATGCTGTGGATAAAAATAGAACTTGCTATTAGATGTCTATTCATACTCTGCAGAAGCCTGGCAACATTTTGAACCTTTTCAAAATGTAAATACTGCATATTAAGCATAGGAAAGAAAATTAATGTGCTGCATTTGCAAATTTATTTCCAAGTCAAAAATGCAAAGGAGGAGGAGGACTCTTGTTAGCAGAATTGATATTCTACATTTACAGAGTATATTAAGAAGTTTGTAATGGCCCTATCACAAAAGAAAAATACTTTAAAAATGGATTAATTAGTTTCTCTGATAATGTTGGCTTTTGAATTTCCTCTTTTCATTTAAAATTTATGGCCTCAGTATGACATTACTAGAGTTTATTGCATTTTGCAGGTGGCATTCATATGTTGCTACTTTATGTGCCATATATTGTGGGCAATGGGTTGCAAGTTTTTGTTAAAAATTTCCAGAGCCACACAAGTACTTCTTAATTAGACTTGCAAATGAGTAATGCCTTTCTTCAAGGGGGGGAAAATAGTTAAAACATTACAGGAATTTCTGTGCCTTTTTTCCCTTAGTTAATAGTCAGGAAAGTTTGCAATCAAGTTTACTTCTTGAAACTTTGACATTTTATACTAAGTTCTGATTTACATATGAAGTCATCATCTGACAATTCCAAACAAATGTCTTTACAAAGCAAACCGGTATTTTGTCTATGTGCCTATGGCTCAAAAAAGCTTGAGCAGATTTATCTTGCTTTCTGCTGTTCAAAATAGTGGAAAGTTGTAATCTCAACTGCATATTTAATATCTCAAAAAATGTAATAATAGATTTTAATAATTTAATAATTATCCCCTTAGTCATAGATTTTAGTGGCACAAACACTACACACAAATCACTATACTTTCTCCAAACAAGCATTACTAAAGTAAAACAATACATCAGAGCTCATACTATTGATAATGTTAACACGGAAAATAGAAAAAAGAAAGCATAAAGTGATAAAATTTTCAGATAAAATCTTTATACCACTTCTCAGACATAGTAAGATCTAGAAGCAGAGTCTAATTCCTATAAGCATGTTTTTAGATCCAAACTGACTCTGTACTTTGTTCCAAGAGAGTTCAAAATTCTTAGTGTTTATTCCCATGGCGGATGTCCATTTCATCTTGAATATGCAAATTTTTAAAAGATTTCTTACGATTTTATTTGCCATGTAAATAACGACCTTGATTTTTTAAGATACATAACGTTTGGCAATGAAATTTCATACTGACGAGTATTAAATTATGCCAAAAAGCCATTTACTTGATATTCTTCAAATACCATAGCACAATTCAACTTAAAGCACAATTCAACTTTAAATACCGTAGCACAAGTCAAGTAAAGATGTAAACCATCTTAAATAACACTAATGCAATGTGCACGTAATGAACAATATAACTAACTTAATTTTCATGTAACAGATAACATCTGGGGGAAATGTATATTGGCAAGTTATGCAAAACTAATTTTCTAGCAACCACATCTGTAGATGTTATTTATTGTATGTTCACTTAACAGTCCATTATTCTGTTTAGAAATCTATTCTCTTCTTTATTAGAGCTTTTAATGTACTCACCTTAGTTCAAATGGTCTGCTCATTATCAGAAAAAATATAAATGGCATTCACATGGAACAACATGATTGTTTTTATTATATCCATTTGTGTTCAAGCATTCAAAAATGGCAAGAGAAACACATTTATTGCTTTACATTCAAAGTACTATTTAGGGGGTATTTGAAAGTCAAGCAAAACCAATCATTTGGCAAAATGGATGTATGTGTATAATCAGAAACTCCTGATTTTTAATCTCAGCATTAGGCCTCAGGCAACTCACCTAAAGGCCTTCCCTTTGTTTCCTGATCTGAAGATTATGGGTGCTATTCTCATATAGAAGAAGGGAGGTTGCTAAATCAGGGTACCAAATAGGAGTGTTTTTTTAATAAACATTCTTGATCCTTTTCTGTTTTTATTTTTCCAGATTTAAGAGGTAACATATTAGACTTTTGAGGAAAAAAAAATGAGACAATTACAATTCTACAGGAATGTATAAAAATAGTTATAAAACTAGCTTTATTTAATTTGTTTCAACTATTCATAGACTTGAGGAAATTATAACGTTCTTTCAGAAAATCTAACTTAATAAAGCTGACCATGTCTCTCTGTTTTTAAATAGATTTTATTACAGAACCAGTGATGTTGTAAAACATGAGGTTTTGTTAAAAAAAAAAATACAAAGGCCTAATTGTATTTTTTAAAGAAACTATTGCATCAGACGGTTTCATTTAAACGTATTTTCTGGCTCTGGGCTCTCACCACAATTATTGATTCTAATTTTCCTTAAACTTGCTTTTTAAAAAGGCTACCATTTTTAATGTGAAAAAAATCACTGTGATGCTTCTGGGCATTATGTTTATTTCAAACCATATATTTGATAATGTACTTTATTATTATTAATGAAAAGACTTTATATTTACCCTCATCTGAAATTGGGACATTTCTTTCCCTTGCAGTATCTCACTAACACAGCTAAGTGTAATTCTTCATAAAGGAGAAAAACTGAGCTAGGGTTTGGTTCACTAATAGTATGCAAAACACCCTGAAGAAAAGAAATTCTCACCCCCCAGTTTTTGTGCACCAATTAAATCAAATTAATAGTTATATGGGCTACACTCATAAAAATCAAGGCAAAGAAAAGCTCAACTCTCAGTCAGAACTTCAGGTTCTTGGGAGTTTCACTCCACCAAAGAAATGATGATGTGGAAGCTGGGAAGTTCCAAGTTTCCAAGTGTGTGCCCAGTACACACACACACACAGACACACACACACACACACACACACAGTGCCAAAGACCAGGAAACTGGGTAGTTGGTGAGTCATTCAGATGAGCCTTATAAAGAAATCCAGAGGACAGGGATGTGAGGGAAAGAAATGAGAGAATTGGACACAAATACCTGCTTACATTTAAGTGTATAATGTGATGGGGAAATGGGTACAAGTAGAAAAGGGCCAGTGGTAGAATCTGCTACTACCAGGCTAGAGAGGCAACCTATTGAGAACTTCCACAGGGGGTGAGGGCAAGTGAGCAGGAAGGCCTAGCCTGTGTATGGCCAAGCTTAGCAACAAGACAAATATGGTGACAGTAGACCAGAAAAAATTCTACTGCATTAAAAACAACACTTTTACCTTGCAGATTATCTCAGTGCCTGCAGTAAATTCAGTAGACTCCATTCAATTCCTTTCTCTCTTCTTTTCAACGTCTCACTCATCCCCACCACCCCCACTCCAAACTTCCTGTTCCTTGGTGTATATTAAAGTCTATACCACTAAGTAAATACCTCATCATCTTCCCTTGTCTCTGATTCCCATGTGCAGCTTATTTATTTTACCTATAATGTTTCAGAGGCCGCTAAAATATGTTTAGCTGTCTCCTTTTCCTAGCTTGGTAAAATAAAGAGCAATAGAAGGTAAAGGAAGGATGAAAAACAAGAGTGCTGAAAAAAGGTACAAATCATTTCGTGGGAAGGTGAAATTCTTGTTTGCCCCATTTAGGAAAAATGCAATGGCTCGTGGAAGTGCATAAGAGAAAAGAACTGTTCTGATATGTTTTCTCAATATTCTATTTTGATTAACATTTAGTTGACTTAAGATAAACAATCTGGAATGATGTCACCTAACAGAATAAAAATTAAGTGCTTGATAATAGCAATAATTTCCAAATATGGCAACTTAATGACGTATTACAGTTTACTGAAAACCACAAAGGACAAGAAGTCAGCACACCAGGGTTTAATTCCCAGCCCTGTCAAGAAGTAATTATTTGACCTTAGGCCAATCATTTAACCTCTTGGTTTCCAAATCTTTTTGCCTATAAAGTTAGGACACGTTGGGGCTTCTATATATTTACACTAAGCAACAACTTTGTATAAAATCAAGTTAAAATTAATAATATTAATTCAATGCAAAACACATAAGCATTTGTAAGACCAAAAACAAACCTTAGCTTCCAGCGCATTTCAAAACTTATCTAAATCAAAAACATTAATATTTAAATGATGACATGTAACATATTTATTTGAAATATTGTAGAGACATTAAAAATGAATGCATTATTATTTCATTGGGTTTTTTTTCAGGCTTCACAGGATGATAATTATTTCGTGAATTTATGCATTTTCAAAATTTTGTCTTCAAACTTATGTTTGAAGCTCTAATCTCAGGGCCTGACTTTGTCAGCATACTGTGGGTGGCTTCATCCCTGGGCCACAATAACAAGCTCCTATAAAGCAAAACAATTTACCAGTTTACAATGAGGCATGTAGTAGGCATGAAAACGAGAACCCTCAAGTGGGCACGTCTCTACAGATCAATTGGGATGGGAATTGAAATTAAAATCAAATGTTGCTTATTAAACATGGAATTAGAACAACTAATTAAATGAATCAAATGTTTAATGTTATTAATACCCTCATCTCCCCTTTCCCTCCCCCAAGTCAGAGTGAGATGAGCACTGCCAAAGTTGGCTTCCTTGACTCTCCTTTTCCTTCATTTCCAGTGTTAACCAACCGTCAGCCTCCTTCTGAGTGGCACGCTGTTGCTAAAGAATTGTTAAATACTCATAGTGAAGTCTTGCCTTGCCCTGTGTGTTTTTGACAAATCTCCTTCCTGATCTACTGGCTTCATATATTAATCTTTGCAGCCCTTATTGTCTTCATCACCAAGTTCTTGATGGCCACTTCAGCAGCTACATTCTGCTGAGTAATAGCAGTCCCCATCAGGATGACATTAAGTGTATTAAACACCTAATCCTCTGCCAGAACTAGAGAAGATACACAGAGCATCTAAAACTTGGTTCTCCACCTACAGAGGGCTTGTAGTCAGGAGAAGGGGGATACTGAAGCACAAAACAGTTAAGAACGAGGAGATACTACATGAAATCCTAAACCACAGAGTATCGAAAGGAAATGAGACAGTGGGAAAACAAAGTGTTAATTTTGAGAAATGGAGCTCAAAAAGCACTAGAGGACAAAAAGGGCAATGGCATCAAAAATTCAAAGGAGGTGGCACTTGAAAGATAACAGACTTGGAACTATGGTACATATATAACGGAACTGACCGAAACTGTGGTTGCTCACCAAAGGCTCTGTCATAATTCAACTTTTTTCTTCCCATCAGCAAGTGATAGAGGTTGTCAAGTCTGCATGTGGCCCTTTCCCAAATCCTCTGGAAGAAGGAATCTCATTTGATATTTATTCAACATTCATAGAGCCCCCCACAATATTGGATACGGAAATGAAGGTATATTTCTTTTTGTCTTTCCATTCACCCTACCTCATCATTATATTCTCTTGGGGTGGGAGGAAACGAACTAAATGTTTTCTTCATTTTCTTTGCCTCTGATTTTTCCCAACCAAATACAAATATTTCTCTAAGTGTTGATTCAAAGATGAGTCCGCTGATGGTAGTTCAGCAATTTTAATCTTTTCCACCCTACCCTTCCTAATCTCCACCTTCACTTTCCCCTGGGCACCACATTGGTACCATGAGTTGATCTGTCATAACCCTCATGAACAGGAATATAAATACAGAGTAACATCATATCAAAATCTCCCCCCAGATTGACATTGTTTCTGCTAGAAAAGTATCCAATAGAAATTTGAGGTTCCAATGAGAACACATGGACACAGGGAGGAGAACAACACACATCTGGGCCATTTGGAGGGTGGGCAAGGAAGGGAAGGGAGAACATCAGGACAAATAGCTAATGCATGCGGGCCTTAAAACCTAGATGACAGGTTGATAGGTGCAGAAAACCACCATGGCACACGTATACCTATGTAACAAACCTACACACTTTGCACTTGTATCCTGGAACTTAAAGTAAAATAAAATATATTTAAAACAAGAAGTTTTAGGTTCCATATAAATCACCGAATGCTCTAGAAATCACCCGAGTGCTATTTACTTTCAATATTCTAGAGGTTGGATCAAGAACAAGGCCCTGAGGAGTCTCAGCCAGAAACTGACACCTCAGACATGGATCCTTTAGTTGGTTTTACCATTGAAGATGTAAAATCAGTGCTGGATCAAGTCACAGATGACATTTTAATCGGCATTCAGGTACTCAGTATTGATAGTATGCTCACTTACTTTATTACTGGTTAATTAGCCAACCTTAACTTTAATGTCTATAAACACTCCCCACACTGCCAGCATGAGCGATGCTTATGACGAAGTTCAATTTAACAGCTTCACATAATTCTCAGTTGAGTCATCAGAGATTCAGTAAGATCACAAAATAGATTTTCCAACAGCATCTAGTGTGGTGCATGTTATCAGTTAAAAAAATCAACAACAAAACCCAAAAAATAACATGGTAAAGGCTTCATATCTTGTCAAACTGTAAATGTTGCTTATGCAAAAGGAATTGGAATGCATTTCTGAATGGTAAACACTGAAGATCAAACCTTAATCCTCAGCTAAGTCTTCTCACCAAATTTCTAACAGGCTTTCAGATCTTTGAACTGCCTCTCAGACAGTTTGTTCCTTTTGACCTATCAGTAATGGCTAAGCAGTTTACACCAATAATTACATGAACATGGTGATGGCAGCAGCCGTATGAATAGCAGCTGCCAATGATTTATTAACTGGCTTAGGTTTATGCTTAATTCTTTCTCATCTCATTCTGTTCAAAAAACAAACAGCCATTTCTACCTCAACTCAAAGACTTACAGGAATTCACATAATTTTTCAGGCCAAATGATTAAATAAGTAAAATGTATATTTTGAGTACATTTGCAATTTATTTAGAAATGGCTATAAATCAGGAGGGCAACCTAGTGCATATTTAAAATATTAATGCATCTCAGGAGAAGATTTAGTTGTCATCTGAACATGAGACCATATATTAAAAGCCCACTGTATTAACAACTAATTTAAAAAGAGCAAAAGATTAGCTTGGCATAAGCATACCTTGTTACTTGTTTAATCATCAAATGTTATTGCACTATTTACACGAACATTTAATGATTTGGTGCCAACAGACTCAGCCAAAGTCCTCAGCTTAATAAGGGGTGTTTAGTGTTTACCAGAAATAGTGGAAGAACACGTTTTACACAAAGCTTTATTGTTAACAACTCCATGAATGTAATAACTGGTTATTGTGTAGAAGGGCAGAGAGCAGTTGAATTAAGCTGAGTTCAGAACATATCTCCTTTTTAGATCTGATAACATTTCATCTAAATATAGTTTATGTATAATCATGGCTCTGGGCTCCTTTGCAATCCTACAGCTCTGAAATTATTGCCGAGGAACTACCAGACAGTAACTGAATTGTTTGCAGGCCCAAAAAATTGAAAACGTCTTTACCAAAGCTGTGTTCCATGCAGTGAACAGTATGTTTTAACTATTCATTGAAATTATTTTAAATATTACAGTCTGCAGCATTTATACCCCTATTCTATATGATAGCTATGTGTCTGTATGTTATCTTCCCATTGGCCTGAAGCCATCCTGGAAGTTCAATAGCTTGCTCACCTAAATGTAATTAGGCATGGAGAGGATGTGGACCAGAGGACAGGGATGCAGAACCGCTAGGTGCCACAATCATTTCCATAGTAAGTGGATTTGTAGACATCAGCCTGGGCCAAATTACTGCCAATTTTTCAATGAAATAGCATGATGATGTGGATTTATACAATGGCTCAAGATGGCAAACCCCTTTATGTATTTTCTATCAGTAATCCTAGTAAACTCCATGTGAGTTAGGCAGGCACTTCCCCTGATAAATTGAAAAATGGGACACAGAAAGACTTAAGTTATTTGTCCAGAGTTCCCAGGGTTGACAACTGATAAAAGACCCTGAATGGGAGCTGTGACCTGGGTTCTAGTTCTAATTCCAGCGTTATCCACAAAAACCACATAACTTCTAATATCACAACCAGACTACTCTGGATTTTAATACTCCCGTGGTGTGGCACTTTTTCCACGTTTACCCTTGTGTCTTGGTCAAATTCCAAGTTGGGTAATTACTCTCTGCTTACCTAAATTCCTCCTCCTATTTTAGATGTGTAGGTTATTTTCCACTTCTAAAACCTGCCTTCCAGTGTTCCTGGCTCTAAGAACTGCCATATCCCTTTTCAAAGGTAGCTATGTGTCAGTGGTCAGTGTATATATGCTATTTGAACACACCGACCTGCTGTAGGAATATTTAATGAATCACTACTCGTAAGATGTTTTAAATTTTCTCACAGATTTTTTTCTCCTACTTTGTTTAAAAGTCATACTGTTATTACAATTTTTGCAAAAAAAAGGCAGTAAATAATTCATGTTTTAAGTACAGTTGTTTTCAAAATTCCTTTTCTATGTGGTTTCAGGCATATTTTACCTTCTCTAATACAGAAATTTCTGAAAATGTAGTATGAATCCATAAGTTTTTTATGTTAATTCACTTATTTTCCCATTGACTCACTTTATGGTTTTAGAGATTTATTAAGAATGAAGTTATCTTGGCCCTGAGATGTTAATTAAAATTATACTGAATAGAGCAAACATTTTAAGCCTGTATAGTTTAGGTATTTTAATTTTAAAGATACATTCAAAATGAAATTATTTTGGCCCTGAGTTGTGTAATAAAAATTATACCCAAGGGAGCAAACTTAAATATATTTAAAGAATTACATTTCAGAGAAATATGAATGCTAACACTAAATTCTTACATTACATGTTGGCTGTTGGCCCTGTGGAAGCAATAGGGTAATATAATATAAAAACTTTGAGGGAAGTTTGCCATCTTGGGACCCTAGATGTTTTTAGGTCAACTTGAATTTTCCAGGTTAGAAAAGCTGAGCATGAAATCATCTCAAAGAAGTGGTCAATGAGAGACTACTGAACATATTTTTTTTCCTTAAAAAAAAAAAAAAGAACCAGACCCAACCATAGTATTTGCAGGATTGCTTGTCTGTTCAGCAAAGTTCTGAAGAATGACAAGGAAACACGGCTAATGACAGCCTGTTATTGACTAGACGTGGAGCCTTTAGATCCAAACTCTGCTGGTTGTGACTGAACTAAAGTACTAAGCCTAAGGTCTGGAGATCTGAGACATTACTCACCTCTGTCAGTATGCCACTCTCTTAGCTGCCCCTTCATGAACCTTTTCCCAAGGCCTACACTTGTTTTGATAAATTCTGTCTCGGTAAAATACCAGAAAGGCCTCCAAGTGAATGTAAAATCCCTATGTGGTAGTGAAACAGAAACTGGTAGATGATAAGCACATCAATCCTTAGCTGAAAAGAAATGAGATTACTGGTGGGCATAGAGGGACATTAATTGAAAGTGGGAAGAATCGATTGTTTGAGTGGCGCAATTCTTCCCAATCCTTTGAAATTGTGGTAAAATTATTTCAAACCATTTTAATCCCTATGTGGTCCAATATGTTGTATCCCATAAATTTATTTTAATAAGGCAGGAGTAACAGATTTTTAAGTATTTCATGACATCATAACAATGAAAGATAACATTGGTGAAGTATATCACAAAATTGGAAGTTGGAATTATGAATTCAAAAACTAAAGTTTGATATTAACATAATCCTATTCCCCTACTTAATTTTTAAGGTAAGAGCTAAAATCCAGGTGGTGAAATGACTTACCTAAGGTGACGTAGCTGAACTAGTACCTAGATCTTCCCAGTCCAAGATCAGTGCTTCTTTCGACCCTACCTAAAATCATGCATAGATGATGATTTCTTTAGAGTCAGTGCATCCTAAAGGAAGAGTTCCTCTGTGACCTGGAGGACCGCTCCATCCCTCCTTGCCTCCTCCACCCAACCACCAAGAAAGGAAAAGATAAGAAACCAGAGGCCGGAGCTTGATCCCAAGGTTTACTAAAGCTTGAACCAGAAAAGACTGATACTTATGTGAGTTCTGAACCCAGAATTGTTGGCACACATACGATCTTTCCAGAAATATCAAATCTTACTGTGAGGTGAAATCAAATCTCATCAGATAAGGCAGCATGGACATGTCACAACTATCTGTTATAGTTACACTCTTGTAAATAAATATGAAAAATTATATCTGGGCTTAAAACAGTATTTGATTTTTTTAAATGTCTTCTATCTAAATTAAAATAATAAAAGGTTTGCAAAGTACAGTTACCCTGAAGCCCTCAAATAATGTTATAGCTATTAGAAATCCAAACTTTGAATTTATTAACACATATGTGTATAAGCTACTCCTTATACAGCGGTAGACATTTTAAAAATCACCTAAACAACAACAAAAACATCAATTTTGCCACGTCAACCACCACTGCTTTTTCTGTATGTAATTTTATTATCCCTTGTGAAAAAGGGAAGACATTTCCAGGGCTACTAATGTTCAGTTAATGTGAACGTATTTATGGAATTGTGCAGGTAGCAATGTGAGTCCACAGAAGATCGCTGCCAGAGGCAAAATGCTATCACCACCTCGGCAATCACAAAACCTGAGAGCAATTGCTTACTTTTTTTACCAAAAATATATCAGAAAGTGGCATCATTCCAAGAGTTCTAATGTATGATGAATACTCTTAATTATGGGAGTTGTTCTAATTGTAAGGTTATTTGTGTTGTTATTTCACAACAGAAGCTTCCTGGGATCTCATTTAGAATGTATTACACGGGAGACACAGACATCCATTGCAGATGGTGGAGGGACCCACAGCACTGCAATAACTGAGCCCAAAGCAGTTATTCTGATTCAGTGCTTATTGGTAAAGTCTGTCTGAAAATACAGATAAATTATCCTATCTTCCAACACAAGGCTTTGTGAAAAATGGCTGTCCAAATACCACTTCCTGTTCATAGCAGACATGCTATACATTGGAAATGTGCAGAGAAATATGATAAAGTGTTATCACATCACTACAGGCTGAAACACAGCTATGTCTGCAAAACAGGAAGGTGTGTGAGGGATAATATCTGTCTTTAGGCACTATAGTATGTCAAAACCACAAAGACAATGTGCAGCAAAAGATAGCTCCATCATAACCACGTTTTTTATGATTGTCTTCACAGACCGAGATAAACGAAAAACTGCAAATACAGGAAGAGGCCTTTAATGCACGAATAGAAAAATTGAAAAAGGCCTAAGGACTTGGTACAAGGAGAGTGATGCTAAACTTCACAGAAACAAACAAAACCAGCCAGAATAACAGACTCTCTGGAGCGTCGTGTCTCCATCACTTAGTTGTGAAAGGAAAACCAAGCCCCACTTTTTATTTTCCTAAGTAATTAGAAAAGTATTGGTCCCAATTTTGCTATCTCCCATCCCATAACAGCCTCTGAATTTATTGCACCAAGTGTAATGAGAACATTTTGTATACAAGAGTTTGAAAAATTATATATAAAAATACAATTACTTTTATGATAGTCCTTTGACGTTTTGACTAATAAATCCTATTCATCTTCAAGGAGAATGAAGTCAACTTTTTAAATAACCAGAAATAAAGAAAGATGATAATAACTTCATCCATTTTGACCCAAACGGACTGCCACGTTACTGGAACACTGTGAAAACATACCAGTACCACACTATTGAGGATAAAATTTGTTAAACAATAGCAATTCAAATGCATATATGAGGTTTTTTTTTTTTTTACTGAAATCATTTGGTTTTCTTATTTAAACGTTTCAGTGTGAAACCAATTTTCTGAAATTATATAATGCAGTTTGAAGCACTTTAATTTATTCTGTACTGTATTTGTTATTTCTAATCTTGTTACTCTCCCAGGAGAATACATGACCTATATAAAAAGAAGCAATGTATAAATGGTTATTAAAGACCAACCTATATATAGATTGTAAAAATCTTAAATACAAATCAAACTCATAGAGTTCCCAGAATTAGCCATTATATTGAAGTGGAATGATTTTTAAAAATCTCAAGTCTTTAAATACCTTTATTAAAATATAATTTCAAAAGAAAAATATCAATTTGCCAGCTGATTGTCCCCAGTTGGACAAATTAATTAATTACTACCGAACTCTTTTCCAAAGTTCTTATACTTCAGAGTTTACTGGAATGGAGAGCATTGCTAGGAGGTAGCAGTTTCTTCAAAAATTTTCCAGGCTATACAGTACTTGGATCTGGGTGACACTTGATTGGATATCAGCTTTAACCCTACTTTCTCCATCAGTTCAAAGAAACTGCCCAAACTATATTCACTGGGGGCACAGGCAGATCTGACAGCATTTGGTAATTTTCTAACTACACTGATCAGCAAAGTAAGAGTACCCCTTGAGGTAAAACAATGTTTATTGTTCCTGTAGTTCCACAACTAAAAGGTCTGGAGATGTGTTTCTTCTCTGAGCTGTCCTTCCTGAATGAAAACGTTGATGGCTGCAGATCAGTAGGAGGGCTCATGTAGTCTGGATTCCATCAAGCAGTGTTTTCTCCAGAGCAAACTGAAACGGGGGAGACTGCAAATGTGGAATAAAGGAGCTTCCAAAAGTCACCAAAAACAGCTTCAAGTGCAATTGTTGGCACAGAGTAGACCTGAATTTCTAATAAAGAGTGCTTACTTGAGCAAGGGTATCAGTCAGAAGTATCAGGACTCTAAGACTGAATCAAAATAGCACTAGGATGCCTAAACACTATATAGAGACAATATATGTAAGTGTGCTTAAAGCTGTGGTCTCTAGACTGAGACTCCCACAGTGTGATATTGGCTTCACACTGGTGAGTGTGTGACCTTGGACAGGCTACTCAACTTCTATTTGCTCATCTATTCAATGGAAGTGACACTTATTTTTGAAGTGGTTATGAGGACTCAATATGCCACTGCCCATCCCTAATACCCATTGCCCAGTTGCTTGATTAGGCTGTCTGCCAGAATTCCGAGCCTTCTCTGTCTCTCCACTGGCACCTGTGGGGCAGCATGTCCTCTCCCTCTGTTGAAGTCATCCCATGGTAGCCACCCTGCCACTCTGATCTCCTATATTTTCCATGGTGGAGGAGCCCAGGGATCTCTCTGGCAACCCAACTTTCAGATATGATAATAGGAGCAAGAGCAACCACAACTTTCAAAAGTATTTTTTGCCCATTCGAACAATTGGATACATGCATAAGTGGTCTTTTTTTACACAATTAATATTGCTGTTTACATTCCTTTTTCATCAAGTAATATATCTGAGAGATAATTCCCTATCAGTACATTTTAACAACCATGTAATATTTATCAGTTTCACGATTTTTTGATGGGTCCTCCTGCTGAACTTTTTTGTTTCCAGCAGTTTGTTATCACCATGCTGTATCGCCACCCTTGCGCACACATCTTTGTGAATGTGTATAATTATACCTGTAGGTCAAAACTCTAGAAGCGGAATTCCTAGGTCCAGTTGTATGTGCGTTCCAATATTCTTAGATATTGTCAAAGATATTTCACCATTTTGTATGCCCACCAACAGTGTATAAGAATACCTCTTTCTCTACATTTTACCAACAACGTACATTAGTCAATTTTTTGTCTTTGATATTCTGATAGAAAATAATGTCATGCTACTGCTTTAATTTGCTTTTATTGTTTTACTCCACATGGGTTGAACACCTTTTCATATGTTTATAAGAAAATATATATATATATTCATGTAACATATATAATGTGTGATGATAATATATATATTATGGTTATTAGGAAGACTATATTCATTTAGTCTTCCTAATAACCGAGAGAGAGAGAGAGACAGAGAGAGAGAGAGAGATGATAGGTAGATACTATTAGCCTTTAATAGTTAGCCTCATTTTATAGTTATGGAGCCTGAAGCTTAGAGGGATTATTAACCTAAACCAAGTTACACATTTAATAATTGGTGGGACGGGGCTTCCAAACCAAGTCTGACCTATTTTACAGATGACGAAACTGGAATACAGAGAAAGTTTAGGTAACTCTCCATGATCGTACTGCCAGTAGGTGGTAGAATTAACTTTGGAACTTGGGCCTGTACGATCACAAAACCCACGTGCTTAACCTTTATCTTCATCTGGCCATCTCATAGTTGACATGAAATCAAGGGAAAGCTAACCTTTCCTTTTCCTTATTATATAATAATATTATTAGAATAAGCAAGTTTGTTGTTGTTCCCTTATTACTATAGTAAGGGAACAAACTTGCTTATGCTAATGAGTGTATTAAGTTTTTGGAAAATGTATCCAAGGATAGAATACATAACTCATTTCCATTCATCTATTCATGTATTATGTATTTGTTGAGCACCTTCTATGTGCCTGGGCATTTAGTGGTGAGCCAAATAGACATGGTATCTGCCCTAATAATTTAGTGGGGGCAGTTAATAGTAACTGTGGTAAAGACAAGCTCAGGGAGTTAGGAGAATATAAGGCAAAGGAGCTTGGTGGCATCTAAGAGGTCAGAGAAGCTTCCTATGGGTAACTTCAGGGCTGGGCCCAAGAAGTAAAATTTAACCAGAGGGAAGGTGAAGGAAGATGTGTTTCTGACAGAAGGAGGCATGTGCCAAGTCCTTGGGACACAAGCTGAAGCTGAACAATTGTCCAGAGCCAACGTTGTTGTGGGGTTGTGGACCATATTACAGATTTTTATTTTTATTTTTTATTTTTATTTTTATTTTATTTATTTATTTATTTATTTCGAGACGGAGTCTCGCTGTCGCCCAGGCTGGAGTGCAGTGGCGCCATCTCGGCTCACTGCAAGCTCTGCCTCCCTGGTTCACGTCATTCTCCTGCCTCAGCATCCTGAGTAGCTGGGACTACAGGCGCCCGCCACCATGCCCAGCTAATTTTTTTGTATTTTTAGTAGAGACGGGGTTTCACGGTGTTAGCCAGGATGGTCTCGATCTCCTGACCTCGTGATCCGCCCGCCTCAGCCTCCCAAAGTGCTGGGATTACAGGCGTGAGCCACCGCACCTGGGCACAGATTTTTATTTTTAACTTAAAAACAATGACTCATTGTTGACAAACGTTACGTAGCAAGTGACATCAGATTTATGTTTTTAAAAAGGTCATCTCTCTAGTACCAAGACTTCTATCTATGGAGACCTGGAAAAGGGAATATTCTTATAAAAAGAGTCCTACTGCTAATGATGTCATAGCACCACTTCATAGCAGTTTCTAAGAGAGGGAGAAATAAAGAAAATGTTTGACTTTTTTAAAGTGACAGAGTCCACCTACTCTAAGTAGTCTTTGGCATAACGGTTGCCCTCTGAAGAGCCAATTTAAAAATAATACCAACCTATCACTTAGGAGAAGCTTTACTGTCATCATCCACAATAAAGTATGTTTCTTCCATTTGCAGGAATAATTTGGAAAACTTTTTGCATAGATCCCATGATAAGTTTCAAAGAGCAAATATATTCATTATGTTATAAACAAGCCACAGACTACCACTATTTCAGGTATTTGCAGGCACTATTGTGCCTTAATATAACTGTGGAGTCATTTTTCCAAAATCTGAATATAAAGCCTCTATTTCTATCCTTCATTTGATTGGAACCATTCAATCATCCTGGTAGATAATAAGTTTGCATGTTCTTAGATTGCATTTCATTATGCTTCCGTTCCCCTAGAAAATAAATGTGCTCCTTTTCCCAACAATTGTAGAGGAGAAATACTTCTGACATCTCAAATTTCAGCCTCTGGAAGACGTCCCTCTTCTGGACATGAAAGTCATTTGTTTCCTGGACATTCATCTGTTAAATAAGAGAAGTCAAGACCCCCTCATGACAGCCATAATACCTATTAATTTAAGTTTCCAAAGAAAGATGAATCCAGATCAAAATAATTCCATCCAGATCAAAGTAATTCCAAACCAAAGAGAGAATACTAAAAATTCCTTTCGCTTTCAGGATGACTTTCCTTTTCACAGAAGAACCTGCAGTGAAGAAGATTGGTTTATCGTATTTTATTTGTCAGAGCTGCCAAAGTGTTTTATGTTAATATAATTTTTAGCTTCAGAGAATGTTCATTGAAAATGTCTTCGATGGTCATTTTGGTGTTTGTTTCTTCCTTTTAATCTAGCTTGTAATTTATTCTGGGCGTTCTAAGTACCAGAATGAAAGAAGACAATTAAGGTCCTTGACTTGAGGGAGTCCATGGAATTAATGACGTTTATAATCTAGAGACAGATGACACACAAGTGAATATTCTTTTTCAAAAGAACATGCAGAATTATAACCACAAAATGCTTAGAAGGATAATCCTCAAACCCAGATAAACCCACCTATTGAAATAATTTTGGTCCAAATCTTCTTTGCAGAATTCCAAATAAATTATATGGATACTCCACTCAAAGGAGGAGGAGTATAACTCCACTGATGTATGGGCTGTACATACAGACTTCCAAAGAATATAGTATGGAAAAAGTAATGCTTTCATAGTTGAGAAACCTGACAAACACTGCTTCAGCCAGGTGATCAAGGTCAACATCAACAGTCAATAAATCATGTTAATGCATGTACCCTTGATATGAGGTGAAAATGGTGAAGATCTCTGCGATCTTCATGCCAAAAACTTAAAACCCCAGTCTAATCGTGATGAAAACATCAGGCAAATTCCAGTGAAGGAACAGTCTATACCTGATTAGTACTCCTCAAAACTGCCAAAATCATCAAAACAAGGAAAGTGTAAGAAAATGTCACAGCAAAGAGGAGCGTAAAGAGAATGACAACAATTGTAGTAAGGTATCCTGGATGGGATTCTGGAACAGAAAAGGGAAATCTTAAAAAATATGAATAAACTATGAAACTCAATTAATAAAAATGTGTCAATAGTAGTTCATCAGTTGCACCAAATGTACTATACTAATGTAAGATTAATAATAATACTAACAGGAAACTGTGTGCAGTGGTGGAGTGGGGACTGTATAGGGGAATTCTGTACTATCTGCTCAATTATTCTACAAATCTACAACTTTTCTAAAAAAATCTAAAACTGTTTTAAAAGAATAAAATCTATTAATTTTTAAAAAAGAATATTAGTCAAAACAAAATTAATTAGAAGAAAAAATGCCCACAGTCAGATGTCACTATTAATAAAATGATACCCCCTTGTAAATGTCACATGAAAAATCAAATATAGTCAACTTGCAAATTAGAAAAAATATACTCAGAAAAAACAGAAAGTAATATATCCCATTTTAAAAGGGTAATTGTAATTTTCATCTGTTCTGGGCCTCTTCATACCTTCTTACTTCCATAGTAGAATTCGAAACTTTCCAAAAATATGCATACTTTATAAAAGCAGAGTACATTGATTTCTTTTAGTACCAAACTCAATTGTATAACACAACATCATAATATGTTCTATCAGCTAATCTTAAATAGAGAGATCAACCAGGCTGGGTACAGTGGCTCACCTGTAATCCCAAGACTTTGGGAGGCCAAGGCAGGAGAATTGCTTTAGGCCAGGAATTCAAGACCAGCCTGGGCAACATAGAGAGACCTTCGTCTCTACAAAAGAAACTTAAAAATTAGTGATGCCTGGTGGCACATGCCTGTAGTCCCAGCTACTTGGGAGGCTGAAGTAGGAGGATCATTTGAGCCTAGGAATTTGAGGCTGCAGTAAGCTATGATTGCACCACTGCATTCCAGCCTGGGGGACAGAGTGAGACCCCCATCTCTCAAACAAAAAGAGAGAGAGAGAGAGAGAGAGAGATCAAACATCTATAGAATGGCCCCAGTCTCTCAAGTAGCTCACAATGAGGTAAGGCTTCTTTAGATTCTGCTAAGACTTCTCTAAATGAGCAGTCCTTGTTTTATATAACATGGAAAACACAATAAATACATAAACAAATAAAGAAATGCTATCCAGCTACTTAAAATCAAGCTTGGTAATAATCATATCACCTGCCATCCTATCACCAAAAAAAGAGATCAAAATAGCCTGGTTATTAATATTTTCATTGAATATTCATCTCAAAATCAAAAAGAGGAAAAAGTAACACGTTTTTAATACGAGTGACATTTTATATTAATGCATTGTCAATACATGGATAGCTTTCATAAAACCAAGGCCCAAATTCAACCAGAATAAAAGTAACAGTACTCATCTTCCAACCTCACGCGTGAGTTAAACTGTTACAATGACCAACAAAATATAGATTTTTCTTTCCTTTTTTAGTATAAAAATTGATATTATTATTTTTCATTAACTCTATCCAGTCCCTTTTTGCATTGTTATTGGACTTTATGGATTAGAATAAATTTAAAATTTGCATTGAATTTGTAATAGTCAAAAATTCCAAATAAAAAGTGTTCTCACTCCATCTTGCCAGAACCAGAATTGTTGCATTTGCTTAGTATGCATAACTGAATGATCGAACAAAAGCAATGACCAACAAGATTCGATTTAAAAATAGTATTACCACAAGACCATGGTGGTAAAAGTCCTAAACATCTTCTAGTTTAACCCTTTCACAATAACCCTCACTTTTCCTGAGGGCCAGGAAAGTGAAAAGACACTGTAATAACACAAGTAATTTATGACAAAGTCCAAACTAGCATCCACATTATGATTCATTCATTCAAACATGGTTATATTCAACAAATGTTTATTGGGTATCTTCTGTGTGTCAGAAGCTATGCTAAGCATACATCAGCAAAAACAGATAAAACCACTGCGTCATGGAGTTTATAGTCTACTGGGAGAGGTAGATTTTAATCAATCACATAAACAATTATTTTTTAAAAAAGCTATAACGCATTCTATGAAAAAAGGTATACCCTGCAACGAGAGCTTACATAGATAAATTTGACCTAATCAAGGAAGGTTCTACTGAAGAGTCACATGTCGAGGATGAATTGGGCACTCGTTAAGCAAGGAGAGGAGAAAGTTGTTAAGCAAAGGGAACAGCAAGTGCAAATCCCTGTGGAAATAAAATATGGAAGGCAGAGGGTGTGAAAGGAGGCCTGTGTGGCTGAAGTCTCTAAGTGAGAAAGAGCATTTTTCAAAGTTGAGGATGAATATAAGTGGAGATTAGATAATGCAAAACCTTGTAAGTCAGAATAAAGAGTTTTGTCTTTGTCCTAAATATCATCAGAGGTTATTAAAAGATTTTAAGCAGAACTTGGAGGTGGTTGGTGAAGGACAGGCATTTTGCACTATGCAAAGATTACTCTAGCTGCAGCAGGGAGAATGAAGAAGAGACCTGGGAGGATGGGGTCACCCCAGTTAGGATATTTTCCAACCCAGTGCTCTTTCTATTACCCTACATATGCGTCAGAATCTGCCCACCAAAATCCATTTTCCCATTCTCCCTAACCATGTGGTTGGACTCCATTTCCCAGATCCCTTTGCAGTTAGGTATGGCCATGTGATGAAGTTCTACCCAGTGGAATGTGGGCAGAAGTGAAATTGGCTATGTTAAGGGCTTTGCTCAAGACCAGGCAACACCTCCTCCATGTTCTCTCCTCTCTTCTTCCGCTGGCTGCATAGCAGTGAGGACAATGAGAATTTGAAGGTAACAGTGCACTTATCAGCCTGGGTTCCTGAATAAACACGTTGACAGGAGAAACTCACCAACCTGGAGCACACATCCAGACTGTCTGATGAGCAATAAATATGAACTTCCACTTCTTAGAGCCACTTCATTCTTAGGTCCATTCTTTACAACAACTTAGCCTGTTCTAATTAACTCAATCGATATGTCTTTCTACGTTTAGCATACATAATATGTCTCATATGGGTCAATGTCTATAAACTGGAAAAAGCAACTAGCAAATTCATTAACTAGGGACCTGCTTATAGTTTTATTATATAAGGTAATTACTTCTTAGTTTATATAAGCCCACAGTCCCTCCTGAACTGACATTCTATGAAATAATTCACTGAGCCTCACAAGTATGATGAATTGCACGCTTAGGAATTTTCGACCAGGGTCCACACCTTAACTACTTTCTCCTTTAAGTGAGGCTAGTAATTTTTAAAATGTCTATGATTGGCTTGGGATTTCTCTAATAAGAAATGTAAAAAACAAGACCCAAAATTATTAATTTTCTAGTAATTTTCCCCTTAGGCCAAGGTCATTTCTTCAGCTGTTATAGTCTTTAATTCACTAAAAATTATTTACTAAATACCTACTGCAAGAACATGGCTAAGTCCCTTAGCAGAGCCAATATTGATGTGTTGGCTGCTATGGATATTAACTATATCCAATTCTAAACACTAGTATGTATTTCTGAAGTATTAATCTGGCTTAGATAGTAGACAGTTCCATAGGTTAAAATAAAAGGCACAGTCAGATCATACACAGAGTTGGAAAGAGAAACAGAACTTTGTTTTTCCCTCCTGCAAACATGCTCAGTCACCAGTTGTTCACTTGTGATGGGTGCAACCTGAATCAGTTGGCATGTTCTTGGCTGCAAGTAAGCAAAATGCTAAACTCAAAATGGCTCAAAAAATAACAACAAAAAAAAATGTAGAGACCCTTCATGACGTCATGGAGGACCCAGATCATTTATCTGTGGTGCCCTCACCAGCACCTTGGCTTTTGTCCCCAGTATTGTTCCTTTATAGTCCCAAAATGGCGGCAATATCCTCACAAAAAGACTAAATACTCAAAAAAAAATTTTTTTAAGAAACATTTTTTTCCTCTTTTATATATCTTCTTAAGAACAAGAAAAACTTCCTAAAGCCTGCCAAGATAATTTTCTGTGTCCCTTTGGCCAGAATTGTGTCGCATGGTGAACCCTAAACCAGATATTGATAAGTGAAGTAGAATTGTCATGATAGATTTAGGTGAGTTAAGATTTACTAACCAAGGCTAGAGGATGGCCCTGAAAAACACAGTCAGCCAATACTTGAACAAAATTGGGATTCTGTTAGAGAGAAAAAAAAGAACAGCTATTGGGCAGGTAATTGCCATTTCTACTCCACAAAGCGATCTTTCCTCTGTAATATTTTATATCTTGGAATGACCTAACATTCACTTCATTCTTCATTTCCAAATTTAGATATAGATAATAGATAGGTAGATAGACAGACAAATAGATAGAAATTTTCTTCTTTTTCAAAGATTATGCTACTGGTGCTAATTATTATCTCTATGTGTGGGTGTGGTTTAAAAATAATTGTCATAGAAAAAGCTACTGCATTCTAACATGTCTGTGAAAAATAGCTAGAAATTTTTGAAACCAAGTCTATTCAGCTCTTGGGTGCTGGCCTCATATTGAATTATTATTGCCATTTCCTTTCTGCTGAAATATTGATGACATGGTCATCACTCATTCAACCAAGTGTGGCTATTTCAGATTTAGTTAAGTGTCTTTATTCAAGGTGTCCTCATAGGCTCCTTTATTTGTTAGAACTATTTCAAAATGAATAGACAGATGAATCACCAGAGCACTGCACAGCACTAAACGGAGGAAACAAAACAAACAAAATAATAAGACAATTACAGATTTGGGAAATTGCTTATAATATACTATCAACTGATAAAAGGGTGAAATCTATCATTTAGTATGACTTGTGTTTGTGCGGGAACATTGATAGGCAAAGAAAAAGAATTCAAACAAATTGGAGGGTTATCTCTTAGTGGTGAAACTACAGGTGATTTTAAAAAAATCTTTCTGTGTTTTTCATACATTCTATATTGACTTTTTTACGAAGAAGAAGAATTAAACACTGCTTCTGACTGGTTGTATGCTGCATCCCAGCCTTCAGTGTCATTTGCCAGCCTCCAGATCAACCCACTGGAAGCATGGAGATTCTCCTTTTCCAGTAGCAATCATTGGAATGCAGCAGGTACTATTTTGACCCAGGGAAGCCCAAAGAGCATCCCAGAAACAGTTCTTGTTCTGGAAAAGCCTCCAATCTAAGTTAAATACATTGACAGGTTCGTGACATCTGGTAAATAGACACATTGCCCTTGCAGTACTGAGATAAATTCTAGAGATGGATTCCAGCAACGATTCGGTCGAAATAAATGTCATGATGGTGGGCCTGTCACATCTCCCCAACTAAGCTTCAGGTTTATTGTTTATACAATGCATGAAGTTGAAAACAGGTGAAAGGAGGCAACATTGAGAAACCTTTTCCTAAAACTCAAGAGACATACTGACTTTATTTTAAAAAACTAGAAAACTAGTCTTAGAAGAACACATCTTAAAGAATATCTCAAATTGACTAAAAATTGAAACACCAGATGCATTCTCATTAAAATCAAGAATGAGATAAGGGTTGTGATTTGAAGTAATTGTATTATTCCATGTTTAATGTCTGTCTCCAGCCCAGGCTGTAGCTCTAGAAGGACAGAAACTGTTTCTATCTGGTTTGGTGCTCTATCTCCAAGGTTGAGCACAGCGTCTGGTGCAGAATAGGTACTTTGTAAATCTCTCGTGAAAGAAAGTGCAGAAGGCAGACTGATACGCTGGTTGGTTGGCTGTTTTCACCACTAGTATTTTGATTTTTCTACCACTGCCTTAAGACAGCATGTAGGACTTAAAAGCATAATTAACACAAAGCCGAAATCATTATTGTTTGTAGACTGTAAAACTATCTACAATGAAAAACCATGAGAAAATCATTCTAAAAATTTCAGTAAGAAGTCAAATGAGAAAATAAATATTAAAACACAGATTATCTGGCTGGGCTTGGTCGGTGGCTCACGCCTGTAATCCCAACACTTTGGGAGGCCAAGATGGGCAGATTGCTTGAGGTCAGGAGTTCGCAACCAGCCTGGCCAACATGGCAAAACCCTGTCTCTACCCAAAATACAAAAATTAGCCAGGCATGGTGGCGCACACCCGTAATTCCAGCTACCCAGGAGGCCGAGGCAGGAGAATCACTTGAACCCAGTGGATGGAGGTTGCAGTGAGCTGAGATCGCTCCATTGCACTCCAGCCTGGGCAACAAAGTGAGACTCCATCTCAAAAAAAAAATAGATTATCTATAAATTAACAATGGTTAGAAAATATAATGGAAAAAAATCTCTTACAAGAGTAACAAACATACAGAATACTTAAAGTGGCAGTTAGAGGTAAAGGACTTGTTTGAAGAAAATTATAAAACTCTTCTAAAGGACATTTTGCTAGATGCAAAGTTTAAATATAGGAAAGATGTCAAGTTTTAAAAGTAACTCCATTGAAAATCTCAGGAAGTATTTTTGTATTTGCTGATGTTAGACTGAGGTGAACATGAATATTGAACCAGTGAGAGCTCAATATTTGAAAAGCTGAAGAGTAATAAGGTGTGACACTTTCAGTTTTAAAAACATTATAAAGCTAAAATACTTAAAAGTATGATATTAGTGCAAAAAATAGAAACCCAGTTAATGAAACAGAATACAAAACCCTAAAATGACCTTAACACTAAGAATTTGTTTTATGGTAAAACTGATTTGGGTGACTGAGTCTGTGGGTTTTGGAGTCACTCTATCCTGAGGTTACCCCTCAGCTCTGCCTCTTAATAGATAAGCAACTTGAGCTATCTAAGCCTCTGTTTGCTCATCTGTAAAAGGGGATTTAAAATAACTGCTAGAATGTTGTTGTAAGAAGCAAATAAAATATATATGCATTAAAATGAACAATTCATTAAATATATTTAGCACTGTACCTAAGTATATAATAAATGGTAGTTATCATGTATTTTACAAACCAATTAGAAAGTAATATACAGGAAATGATGCTAGGACAACTATTTGAGGAATAATGTTTATATGTTATATATTTATATTTTGTATGTTATATTTTATAAAGCATACCAACAAGTGAAAGCAGTAAATATTAGAACTACAAAATAGCTATAAAAAAGTATAAGTAATTATTTTCCTGATCTTGTAATAGGGAGAGCTTTAACAAATAAAACTGATGAAACATCATCACAGAGAACAGAAAAAAGGATTTTAATGTTTCTGTAGAAAAATTTTAAACTGCTCCATATAAAAGAAAAGTAACCATAAATAAACATAAAACAAAAAACAGAAAAACACTTTCAGGGAATTGTATGACAGACATGGAGTTAATAACTTTAATAAAAAACATCTATTTAAAAACAATACCAGAAAAAAAAAGCCAGCAACTCAGTAGAGAAGTTCACAAAGGATCTGAAAAATGATTCACAAAGAATTAAAGAATAAGTACAAATTGTCAGCAATAATGAAAAAGTGTTTAATTTCATCAATTCTGGAATTTAAATACATGGAGAATTTAAATACATGGAGAATTTAAATTAAAATTTCAGTGTATTTAAGTCCAAAGAAATCTATAAAGGGAAATGCAAAAGTAAAAATATTTTGTACACTGCTATCTTAGCAACTGCCTAAAATTGACTCAAATATGTGAAGCATTGTGCATCTCCCATTTAACCCCTATGTGTTAAGGAGAACTTAAAATTTTCAAATGAGATTTCAGAACTCATTTTTGCTAAACTGCAATATGCCACACTCTCTGCCACTCCATGTTCTTTTCACTTTCTTACTACCGATAATTTCCATGTCATAAATGTCAATTCGCATGAGCATGAACTAAGTACGTGATGAATGACCCCTGAGGAAACATATAGAGATCCAGTTCTGGGCTTGACTCTCTTACCACTAGCTGTGAGGAAGGCCATGGATGAGGCCCATCACTCTCCCAAATGCAAAACAACTAAGTCAGCATTTCTCCCAGGGAGGTCTATAATTCCATTCCTGCATCCCATTCCAGCCCTTCAGAATCAGAAGGCACGATCTGAAATCGGCGTTTTTTTTTTAAGAAGCACCCTAATTAATAGTTAAGTACTTTAAAATTTGAAAGCCAAATTTAGAGGTCCCTTAGAAGGGACCTCTAAGTCCCTTCTAACACCAAAAATCAAGTTCTTTAAAGAAAAAAGTGTGCATGCTGAAGAGTAGCTCCACTCTGCACATCTGAGAGTGACCACCCACCTCAACGCTCAAATTTGGGTTCTCAGATCCTTGTTATATTTGAGGTGATATCTTTTTAGGTTTCTTCTCCCAATCCCATACATCAAATTACACTCATCAAAACTACCAGTCTACAAAAGGGCTCGCAGAAGGCACATAAATTCAATCCCAAGTCCTGATGATTCAGACACTTAATCACACCGTAAAGTTAATGGAATCAAATTTGAATGTAGACACCTCAACAGCTACATTACATTGAATTCACAGCATTCATAAAGTGTGGATTTCAAAGTGAATCATCAGCCTAATGGAAAGTTCAGAGCAGAATGCTCCCCTCTCATTGGTCACTGTGCAGATCCTCGGCTGCCAGGAAAAGGACCAGAGCTGTCAACACAACACTGTAGCCCAGGCAACCAGCCACACTGCTAGGAAGTTTTCAACACTTGAAAAAAAAAAATACAAGTTATTATAGAAACTTTCAGGTGCTCCATAGGTTGTTTGGACACCTCCTGGTTTATAACAGTCATGATGTTTAGACGTCAGACTCCGCCTGTCAGTTTAGGACCTCCCATCATTAACAGCCCAGAAACGGGTGGCTCTCTGGCTGCTTCTGATTTGACCCGATTGTCATAAAGTGTGTTCCTGCAGCAGAGCAACTCTGGGGTAAGAGGAAATAAAGACTACGTTTCCAAGATCCCCCAAATCTATTATTTAAACAGCAGGAAATAAAAATGTCGTTGGCCCACTAAACATCCAGATGTGGTCTCAGTGATGTTTGGCCTCCACTAGATAAAGACATCTGGATGACTGTCTGAGCTTACCATCTGGGTGGCCTACGCAAGTGGCATCTCAACTCTGAACTGAAGGTGGGTGGGGTTTGCAGTTATGACATCGCTGTGTGAACTCCTTCTATTGAGAATGTCTTTTCACATTAGCTTTTCCACCTTGGATAGGGCAGCTTTGCCTAAAAGAATCTCGAGGTCCATAGAACAGCTTAGATCCACCTTCTCAACTAGGCTTTCTGTTCTTCAAACATTTGCAATCATTGTGAAGCTAAGTGGAAGGTAGACCAAATCCTTTCTTAATTTTTCCCTTAAAGACAGCTGCTGGAATCCACTCATTCTTAAAAACTTATTTACCTGAAGTAGGAACTATGCATATAAAGGAAGGAGTCAGGGACTCTCAAAATGTCTTGTATACTTTTTGAGTCTAATGTGCTGAACTGCAAATTTAATCCACTGAAGTGGTTTCATGCAAACACTCCTCTCAAATTCCTTTTGTACAAAATCTTGATGCATAATGTATAAAGTCTGAAAATGGATTAAACTACATTTGGAGATGGCTTGAGTTGTTTTTTTCTTAAGCAAGCAGCAAAAATGAGCAGGTTTTTTGTTGTTGCCTTTTTTAACCCTTCTTGCTCTCAAACAATCACACATGGATTATGTCTTCTCGAAGCTGCCTTCCACAGAATTTTTCTTTTTTTTTTCCTGTCAAAAAGCTTGAAATGTAAAAAGTTTTAATTAGAAATGTGAAGGGTGAATTAAACTCATTTCCTTCAGATCTCCCAACTAAGGCAGGCAAATAGAATGGTAAAACCTTCTGATGTATTCCTGGAAGATAGTTCAGCAACTGAATAAGCAAATGAGTACAATCTTACTGAATAAAATATTTCCTGTTACTCCACAACCTTAATTACCCTGAGGACTGTGGCCATAGAGAGAATGCCAGTCTGTGTAATGGGGGAGGCAAGTGTGGTAGATGCTCACAGACACCTTTTCACCAGTGCCCAATCAGGGCCAGAAGGGTAGGAAAGGAGGTGGCCAAGGGCAAATACCAAAGTCTCCACGAGAATTGCAGAGACGTGGTTACAATCTTACCCTTATGTCTTGCAAAATGCTGTGTTTCATTATTTGCTTATTTTTTACATATCGTTTGAATACTAGTAAATTGTAATGGAAAGAGTTACAGCTAGAATGAGATTTACAATCAAGCCCTGGCCCTACATAGTTATGTGACCTGAAACTCACTCACTGTCACTGGTTTCAAGTTCATCATCTGCGGAATGAGGAGAACCATCCTCCATCTAGCTACCTTTCTTCATCCTGGGGCCACTGAGAAGGACAAAAGAAAAGGATGGGAAAGTACTTTGTAAAGACTCAAGCTTCATCTACACTGCTGAATTCTCCTCTGCTTTGAGCTAACCACCATTTCCTGCAGAGAAAATGGTAGCCTCCTTGTCTTCTCCCACCTTCTTCTTCATCCAGGTTTCCCAATGCTGTGGGTGAAATGAACAAGTTGTCCTAGGGGAGACTTCCAGCTGCTGCACAGCCAACTGCCTCCAGTGGGCTCCATGCATGTGGCCTAATAAGAGCTGTTCAGCTGACAGCCCCATACCCATTACACTAAGAAGTGGGGCTTGAGATAAAACACAGCCACCCCCATTCACCACTTCCCAAGGTTCCTCACAGTCTACTTTCTGAACCACTCCCCTTGACTCACCTTGCTCCTGACCTTGTGACTAATCATTTTGCTTTTGTTCACCACACCCTCCAGTTTCATGGGTAGTTCCACTTATCTGGCTTGGACTTTTTGCTTCCCTTCTCCATCCTGATTTAATTGATTCATTGAATCATACTGCCTTTACTGACAACTGGTCCCAGCACCTTATACTTCAGCCCTGTGAATGGGACACAGACAAACAGAAAGTTTTATATGCAGATGTAGGAACTGAGATGTCTCCCCCAAAAATAGGCTGTTTAAGGACTTCTACCAGCACTTCGGGCATTTTCTCTTTTGGGGCAAAAACTTGGACCAATTGAACAATTTCAAACTCTACGGAACAGGTACCTTGGGAAAAGGTGATGGGGAGAAGGGGAAGTTTTCCCCCCACTCATCTTTTATTCCTATCTTAAATGGAACCACATACTAGCATATGTCAAAAACACAGAGGAACCATCTTCTGCTCATGCCTCTCCATATAGATGTTGACTCAGTAGACGAAGAGTGCTGAATGGGAACAGAACTTTAACTCAAATTCATTCCCTATAATTTCACAATAATATGGACACCAAACTTAAAAATTTTTTTACAATGTACTGAGAGCAAGGGCCATGTCTATCTTGTTCACTGGAGTATTTCTAGAACCTAGCACAATGTCTGGCACCCAGTAGGTGTTTTAAAATATTTGTTGCCTGAATGAATATATAAGAAGAAAAAAAAGTAATAATTTGAAGGATTTCTTATTATCTGATGCTGATAGAGAGTAGAGGCACTGATTTACAGAACAAGTATAAAGCAGTACAGCTTGCTAATACCTTTTAAAACGTGTTGATGCTCATAAATCCAAAATAAACGACCTGTAAAATCACTTAAGAAGAAATAATACGCATTTAATCAGCCTTCCAGAGGAAAGTCTGAAGAAAAAGAAGAGAATTTCATGAAGAATTATTAAATCCCTTCAAATTCAATCGCTGGCCGATCACAGACATGCCACATGTCCCTCTGCCCACAGGGCCGTCACTTTAGGCGGTCTTCCTCAGTGTTTCCTTATAAAACTCCTAAATTACAGCCACCTCCTGGAGCCACAGAAAAAGGCTTTGGATTGACTGAAAAAAGGGCAAGTCCTCTTACAGGTCTAGCCAGCAGACTTTCCCATATTCCACAGAGAGATCTTAAATAAAGGGGGAGAAACTGAACACATCACCCACATACTAAAGCCAGTATCTTCAAAGTCTTACACACAGCTTTAGCTTCATGTCAAAAGGGCTCTTCCTCTGGCAAATAAAATTCAAAACACTGTGAAATGCCAGTCTGTGCCGCTGCTTTATAATCCTGTTGAAGTTTCTGGAATTTAACAGAGTTCTGATACCTTCCATTCCATCCTGGATTTTGCCTCTTAGTCTGCTAATGAGAGTGACTTTACCTTTCCTGGAGTTTGATTAAGGTCCTGAGGGTGGCAGTAAAATGGATCCATGTTTTTATTACAAACTCAATTAGCAGAAGTTGGAATTGCTCTCTTCAACAAAGTTAAATAAATTGTTAATGAGAAATTTACCTTCACTGGATTTGCTAGTTGCCTTATTAGCTTGGAGTCAACACTATTAAAGGAGAAGATGTTTATTAAAGCTTAAGGTGTTTGCTAGATGGAATGTTAAAAAGAAGATGGCAGGATAGCGCCACTGACTGCCTGCTTCCAAAACCCAGAGGGGCTCCCATGATCCATCCAAAATAACTGAGTTCCAGCCCTCATTTGGGTCTCTTCATCAGGGAAATAGCAATTTACCCAGTAGATAAAAGTGTCAGACATTCCTGGATAGCATCTAAAGCTTCTCTCTTCACTCGATGTCATGGGGACGTTTTTAAAGATAGACACTAGCATGAAGAAAGATTACCCAGTAGTAGATGTGTCTGAACAGGGCATAGGAACACTTTTCCGTCTCTGCTAAGAAGGAAACTAAAACACCCCACCATAAATGTCAGGAGCATAGAAGAAGGAGCCTATTTACGCAAGAAACTTTACATACAGACCTCAAAACCACTTACCCAAGGAAAACAATAATGTCTCCCTGATGTGGCATTCCCAAAATGCCTCATTTTAATAACCAGGACAAGCTCTAGGCAAAGTTGTGAGGCCAGTCAAGATTCTTTTCAGCCCCCTCTCCATTTATGTCTCTCTCAAAAATGTTCCCCTGCCCCCACGCCCCTCCCCCACCCCGCCCACTATGTAACCCCTGCGATAAGATCTGCAGACTACTTCACTCCATTGCAAGATCCCTCCTTATAGCTACTGTATGGCCCTCAAGAGTCAGAAAAGCTAAAGACCTCATTTCCCAGAGTCCCCTGCTGCTTAGGTTCCATGTGAAACCCAGCGTGAGCCAAACACGCTCCCTCATGAGAGCTGGACTATAGAAGCAGACATCAAGGCTGAGGCTGCACCCCACTACTTCTGCTAACCAGCACAGTGTGGAGACATGTGGGAACTATAACAGAGCCCCCAGGGTCCAGATCCTATCACTGTGGCTATTGAGAGGCAAGTGCAGGTTGGATAGACGTGGTGAGGTGCAGAGCCAGCAGTTGTAGAGGCGACCTCCTTATTCACAAACTTGATCATGGCAGAGGCAGCAACTGCCTCCGTGGGCCAGCCCTGAGGTGTTGTTCTGAGGTGTGATTCCTGGAAGCTCTGCTTAAAGAACTCTAGCCTTTCTAGTGATCTTTGTAAGCTCTTATTCCTTGTATGAAACTCATTTCTGCTAAAAATGACTATACTGAATTATGTTATGTACAACTAAACTCTGACAGAAATACTTCCTTCCCACATAGGCAATCAAGTGACTTAATACTTGGCCCTTCATCTTCTCAGATGAAACGGTTGATAAACTAATTCACAATAAATAGTCAGTGACTAATATAGCAACTTCTTATGAATAATGGCCTTAATCAAAGCAAAAGATTCTAATGGTAGACAACCATGAATGGTCTATGATGTTGATGGAGATTTTTTTTCCTAGGCAAGAAGGCAAAGGTTTTTTTAAATTTAAAGAAGTTGTTATTAGTTGTTGCTGATGATGATAATGTCGGCAGTGATGTTTAAAAGCTGTCCTCACTTGTAAAGTTCCCTGGGCTGACAACTTCAACTCACCTAACCCTCTAACTGGGGCTAAAAACACCATGATCACGACTCAGTTTTTTGCCTCTCACTGCAAACTTCATGTATGGAGGTTTCATGAAACTATACAGAGAAAAGTTGCCATATAAGAAAATGAACAAGGGTTCTAGCATCTCTCTGAAAATTGATAGTGCACTTTTAGATAGAAGACAGAGAACAGGCTGAGGAAGAAGGCAAATAGGTAGACAGAGATGATTGACAATGTCCACGTGCACATCCACAGATGTTCCTGAATCAGCTACTTTGTCAAGACCCCACCCTAGGTGCTTCTGGTAAAGAGGTAAGGCTTGTCCTGGCTTCCAGGATCTCACAGTGTAGGGGAACAAGGGAAATTGCCATTTCTTAATCACTTATCGTTTGCTAGTAGACTTTGTTGATTTCATTCATACAATAAATATTTTGTTTTTGTTCTAGTTTATGAGACAGATGAATAAGTTAGGTTTCCTAATCCCTTATAGAGGGAGCCAGACATGACATCAGTACTTACACAAAACGTTTTCAATTATAACTGAGGCAAGTACTACAAGGAAAATCATAGCACATGGTCTAATGGAGGAGGAGGAGGAGTTAGCATGACTTGGTCTGAGGGTCCATGGAAGCCCTCCCAGAAAAAAGCTGTTCCAGCTGGGTTCTGGGGCCAAGCATGAATTAGTCCAGTGGAAGGAACAGCACCAGCAAAGGCCCTGAGTTGGAAGGAGCTTACTCCAAGAATAAGGTACATATTATTATCCCCATTTTACACATGAAGTAGCTGAGATCTACAAAGATTAAGTAACTTCCTAAGGTTATGCATAACACATAAACTCAAAGATAGCGATCTACCATATAATCCAGCCTCTCCTAGAAGCAGAAACAAAGATACACGGCAGCCTTTAAAAACAATTATCAGGAGACCCTCTCATGCCCCTCAAGGCCACTGCTCCTCCTGAAGGAGCTAAGGACAGGTTTTCATTTGCTCACTCTACTGGGCTCCAGATCAAATTAAATTAAAAGCCAGCTATTTCAGACGAAAAAGTCCTGCGTCCTTTTTGGGAATAAAATCGTCTTCCCTCCTCCCCAGGGCCTTTCATACCATTATGGTGCAGTCCCAAGCTATCAATGATAGTGAAAAAATGGGGCTTTGCGATAGAGGAAAGAGGCTATTCAAACTGCTCCTGATTTCTATAAAAGAGAGATCTTTTGATCTTTGAAACAGCCATAGGGCAGTTTGATCTTTCTCAAACTCATTTATTTTAGATTCTTGCAAATTTCTTTTCTGTAGGTTTACTTCCTCAGAAAACTCAATATTCAATTGAACAGTGACTTTTATACATTGAAATGCAATATTGAATAACTGAAGCCTAATAAATGCCATCCCGCCTATATAGGATATTTTAAAAATCATAAAAGGGCTGATTGAGCCCGATCCAGGCAAAGATGACAAAGCGAATTCAATGCTTCTTTTGAAAATGAGTCATGGTCAGAAATACTCACTTTGACCAAAAGCATTTCTTTGAATGCCAGAGGTAAATTTGCTCACTTTCATTTTCTGCCTGGGTTTCAGATCGGCCCTGCAGAACTGAACAAAATCAACTCTGAGAGGCCCTGGCAGCTGTTCCAGATGTAAATGTGAACAGGATACTGAGATTGGGCCTATTTCCTTCTATGTGTTATTTTCAAATTATGCAGATAATATTCAGATATGGGTCTATCAGACTTGGCATATTTTTTTCAGGGAGGAGTAAATCATTGCTATTCTCTGCTGCATTAACATTCCCCAGGACCACCCTCTCTTTTTTTCTTAGAAAAAGGATATTTTCTTGTCACGAGCCTCTAAATTACTGGCACAAGAAGAATCTGACATATGTTCCCAGTCGTGGGGGGGCTCATGGGAGGACAGGTACAACATACTCAATAGATTAGCCAAAAGAAACAGCCTTTGATGTCAGGGAACCTTTCCAAATTTCATGTAAGACTCAAACAATCTGTGGCAAATCAAAGTTCTCAATCAGAACTTCTGTCCCACTTCTCTTGGTGCAGCTATGGCTGGAGGAACTTTTGTTTTAACTCTTTGTAGATTATTACTCAGTTTGAGAGTGTGTTTCTCTCATGACCCTTCCAACATTATGAACTTTAAGAAGATCGATAACTTCATTCTCCATCTTCATCTTAACACATGCACTTTTTCCCTCTTGGATATGTGTTTTAGGAAAATGCAGATTAGCATTGCCAAAGAGCCAGTTGTTTTTAGCAACATTCCCCTCGGTGTGACCTCCTAAGAAGGTCTGATTTTATAAACCATTAAAGGAACACTACGTTTTCCATACTCCCTGTATCAGCTAAAGGCTGGAAAGGGCAGCAAAAGCAGGATCTCCATGGAGGAGGAATGATAACCACTTGGAAGAAGATGGTGGAGAAAAAGCAGGCATTGGCTATGCACAGAAGATGTCGGTCTTGCTTTAACAATCTCCCTTAAGGCCTGCTGCCCCACACTTTCCTTATGGTGTCAGCATTCCAAGAACATTCTTTGGGAACCAGAGACAAAGATGGCACCAATACCTCAGAGCCTTTTGATTAAAGAGTTGTCGTTTTCCATCTTGGGACCGTGGAAAACAACTTTTACATAAGAAAGTTTCTCTCAAGGGTGAGTAAACTATCCACAGCTTAAAAATAAAAATTGATAATTAATGTCCATGAAAGGGCTCTAAAGAAAAGATTCCCAGCAAATCAAAGGTAAAATTCTGAGCTCATATGACTATATCCATAGACATGTCCGTGCCTGTCTCTAGAGCCATTAGCTATCCAAGAGACATTGGAGGAAAGAAATTATTATTTCCTTAGAAGCAAATGGAGGCTTCCTTTTCCTTCCATCAAGAACACTTTAAAACAAACAAACAAACAAACAAAAAACAATATCTGGATTTCTAGACACTCAGAAATATGTTATTCATAGGTTTCTTACACTTCCGGGCCTAGAACATAAGGTAGCATGTTCTAAGAATAATGTTCTGAGAGGAACGTAAGATATAAAAGAACTAATGTCATTCAAGGCACAGTAATACAATCCAAAGACAAAACAGCACCACACACATCTTACAGGGCATGTGCTCTGTGTCTAGTCTATCACTGGTTTGAAAAACTCTAGTGGAATGAGATTACCTTTGTCACTCAGTTAGCACCACTTGTCACCTTTCATTGACTCTGCTGTTTCCCGTTTATAATTTCAGCAGGAGATTGAATCAAGCTGTAGACTTATGGAATAACGCCCCCAGACATTCACCCAAGAGTAGTTTAGGCAAAGTTTTCTGTGTCAGGAATAAAAATGTTGAATTTGAAAATGAAGTACAACCAAGTGGAAATATAAAATGGCAGAGGAGGGCCAGATGTGATGGTTCGCACCTATAATCCCAGCACTTTGGGAGGCTGAGACAGGCAAATCACTTGAGCTCAGGAGTTCAAGAGCAGCCTGGGCAACACAGAGAAACCTTGTCTTTACAAAAAAGACAAAAGTTAGCTGGGCGTGGTGGCACACGCCTGTAGTCCCTGCTTCTTGGGTGACTGAGACAGGAGGAACACTCCAGCACAGGAGGCTGAGGCTGCAGTGAGCCCAGATTGCACCACTGTACTCCAGCCTGGATGACAGAATGAGACCCTGTCTCAAAAATAAAATAAAATAAAAAAATAAAATGGCAGAGGAAGGCTGCCTGCCTAATTAGAGTGGTGGAACAAAGTTATGAAGCAGGAATGCTTAATATCAGGAGAAAAATGGAGGATTATGGCTTTAAATAAATGGGACTCACTCTCCTACCAGCATCTTCCCCATTCCAATGCAATCCTCCACACTAGACCATCTGCCAGTTGCTCTGGCAGGAGTGTGTCACCAAGTAGAATGGATCCACTAATTCTGGGATAAAGTCAAGAAAATTCCTCCAATGCAGAACACAACACTAACCTCAGTGACTGTAGCCCTTATATATCCAACGATCTTCTAGGGAAGCAAGAGAGAAAGCACCAATAAAATTCCAAAGCAAAAAGATAAACATCACTTGTAAATGAAGCAATGGGGTACAATTTGGAGCAAATGTTCACTGATAATAAATCAAAAGCTCAATATTTGCCCCCTCAGGCCTCCCCAAACTTCCCATCAGTAAAATGCTATCAAAACAAGCAAGGAAAAACATATTCCTACTTCAATTTCTATTTCAGTGCAAAATACAGTTCTCAAAATGTCAGTTTCATCTAGTTTGGCCTTTCCAAGAACGTGCATAGTTAATCGTCAATGAACTGTAGTGTTTGGAGGATGCTGTTTAATTGAATTTTCAGGTTAACTGGGGCTAAGCAGAAAACTTTTTTTCTTTTTTGTTTCTAGTAGGAATCCTATAAAGTACTGATGGAATGGAAATGATGGTGTCCTGGAGACCCAGGGACCTAGGTTCCTAGGAAATTTCTTGGGAAGTCATATGCAAAAGAAATCCTGACAAAAAGAAGGCAAATAATACGTCATTGTCAGCTGTGTTTGTGTCCCAGGCCTTTAGGTAGAGCTCTCTGATAGAGTTAGCTGGAGCCTATGCCTTAGCTCAGGACTTTTAGGTCCTCACCCTGCCCATGTGCCTAAAGTCAAATCTTATTATTAGGACATCACAGGAAAAGAGCAAATAAAGAATGTTTACAATGAGAAGAAAGTGCAAAATATCCTTGCTTAATATGCCACATGGAAGTGAGTGCTAAACTGCCTACTTCAGCCTCCTGAAGAAGAGAAGCAGATTTTACCCTTAATAATAAATGTGGTTCACGGCAAAAATGGGTTTCACCTCATGGATAATTTTATGCCTTTTTAAATGAAATTTTACTCTATTATATAGATGATGACTTGAATATTACTCCTCCATGTCTTTACCAGATTCAGAGAATATAACACCACTAAATTACTATCATTGCCATCATTACAAACACATATTTTCTAGCACAGTTGGTTCCACAATAGACTAGCATACCGGTGCTTACTGTAGGGAAATGTAAAAGAGAAGGCCAGCGCAGCGGTCATTTAAAGAGATCTAAGCCATCTAAATTATCCTCCTAAAAACCCTTCAAAATCCTAAGAAGACAAGTAATATTAATTTACTTTTAAAGTAAGGATACTTTTTATAATTAGTACCTTGCCCTTTTGTTTAAATTGTGATAGTCAAATACATTTTTTAATGATATATGAATAGTTCATGGATAATACAGGCCCTTATATAAACAATAGGTATGGAACATATAATTCCATTTTAAACTTGTCATTTTACATTTTTGCAATTTAATAGTAATTAGATCCTAATCTCATTATCTTAAGACTTTGCAGTTTGTATCTTGGATTTCAGGACAATGAAAGGTCACCTCTGAGTTATGTGAAGCTGTGGCCTTGTTTGGGAACACAATTCCCAAATATAACACTGTTTGAATGGGAATATATTATCCATTATACTCTGATGCATTCAATGATCTAGTTTCCAGAAATAGATTTTGGCAAATAGCGAGGACTGAACTTCTATTAATGATACCTCTGCCTCCCTGCTTTAATTACTTCCTTGAATCAGGTATAGAAAGCAATTGATTCATCTATTGATTATGGTAAACAAGCACCATAGGGAGCTTCATTGCCATTTCATAGAGGGCTTGTGGCAAAAAGGGATGTATCCATCCTTCAGTTCATAGGACAAAGAAGCCCATGCATGAAGTCACCATAGCACTTAGAGACCAGTGTCCACCAACCATGAAAACCAAATAGGCTGCAATTCCTTTTGATTCTGCACCTCCCTAAGGGGGCATGAAGTTTCTCCAAAGAGAGTTTGAAGGCCTTGTCTGCCCAGATCTGGATGCAAAGCTCAGTTAGGTTCAGCTCTGAGGCTCTGACACCACAGGCTCAGGAGTTTGCTTACATTACTCTGAGATCACAGGTCACCCTCCGAGATCCCAGCGAATTCACTCTCCCACAGTTTACCCCAGGAGTCCAACAGGCAGAGTGTGAGAGGGTGAAAGATGAATCTGGGTAAAGTCATAACCATTCCCAGAAAAAGAATCCCAAGCATGTACTCAGCTCAAATATGAACTGGGGGACATCCAATGAGCCTGTCACATGACACTGGACTTGGGAAAAGTAAGTCAAAAATATGCTTGCTTACTTGGTTCATGATTAACTATTTAAGACAAGTTGCATGGATGCAAAACACATATGAAAAAGTGAAAGCATAAGGCAAATCCACAAAGGGACAAAAAGCCCTAATGACAATAATAAAAATACCATGATATTTTGTTTCCAACTGAGTTAGTCAGAACACTATCAGCTATTGGTGACTGACAAAAATGCAACTCAAACTAGTTGCAACCAGAAAGGGAACCTATCAGTTCATAAACTTGGAAATTCAATCTTGCTTCAGGTACTACTGAATCCCAGATACTCAAATGATGTCTTCATTATGCCTTCACTCTATCACCATCTCCTGGCTCTGGATGTTCTGTGTTGGATTCACTGATCTCTTCACAAATTCCCAAAGAACCTGTAGTTCCAGGCTTGTTTCTGTTGCTTGCAATCTTAGAAAGAAAAAAAACAGATCCTCTCCTCTAAAAGTTTCAGCAGAAGTCCAAGGGTTACGCGCATCAGCCCAGTTTGGGTTGAATGCCATCCATAAGTTTTACACTGCACCTAGGGGATGGAATGTGCTTATTAGACCTATTCCTGTTCAAGAGGTGTTGGAAGCCCCACCTGAACAGCACTGATCAAAAGAGAGGAAGGGGACAGTCCCCAAAGGAAAAGTGAGAGAGTGATGGCAAAATAAGGGAAAAGGGTGTTGGGCAGACAAACAACAGATAACCATTTTAGCTACCAACACTCAGATGGCAGTCTGTGGATTAGACTTGGAAATGCCTAAAATTCTCTAGACAATCTCAGTGCCATCTCCGGCATTTGCTCTTCAGTTCAAAGACCCAAGACTACATCAACTAGAAGACTCATAGTGCATTGCTCATTCATTCAACAACTATTGTGCACCTCCCCAGACCTAGTTACTGGGGATACAATGGCAAGCAAGATGTATAAAGTATGATAAAAGATAGGATAAGGAATGACATCACAACTAATATTTATCATTAGGTGGCAGACACTGTGATGAATTTATTTACATAATTTTAAGGGTGTTACCAAACACAGAGAAAGGAATCCTAGCCCAGCCTTGGGAGATCAGGAAATGCTTCTAGAGGAAATGAACTTGAAGTTGAGGTTTGAAAAATGGGTAAGAGTTTGTCTAATCAAAGAGAGAAGTTAGGTAGTTCAAGCAAAGGAAACAGCACAAGCAATGTCTCCCAAATCAAGAAACAGTATAGTATTTTAGAGGAACAGAAAGACTTGTATAAACTCAAATAGTTTATTAATATAAACATTCTTAAGGGCAAAAACTATTCTTATTCCACTTACAATGTAATCTTAAACAGGTTACTTGAATCCTCTGGGGGTCTCTCATAATGTTGTTATAAGGATCAAATGTAATAATATAGGTAAAATAGTAAATTTAAAGTCATCTACAACTCCAAGGCACACGTCAAGAACTAAAACTATTATGTAGATTCATAAATCCTGCATGATTAAGGAAAGATGACTGGCTCTGTATAATTGGGTCACTTGAGAAAAACATGCTTGAGCTTTCTGATGTCTATTTACCCACTAAGCTTCCTTATACTCATTGTGTGAGGTTAAACACACACAGGAGTCATGTGTCTTTTATATCAGTGATCAGAAATGTAATAAGAGGGAGCAGGCAGTGTGGAAAAGTGTGCTCTCTAGGAAAACAATGGAAGTGTTCAAAGAATGTGGGTACAATGCACTGTTATAAAAACATCCTTGGCAGGAGAGAGGGATCCTGGGATTTTTTTTTTTTTTTTTTTTTGAGATGGAATTTTACTCTTGTTGCCCAGGCTGGAGTGCAATGGCGTGATCTCGGCTCACTGCAACCTCCACCTACTGAGTTCAAGTGACTCTCCTGCTTCAGCCTCCTAAGTAGCTGGGATTACAGGTGATGCCACCACACCCAGCTAATTTTTTGTATTTTTAGTAGAGACAGGGTTTCATCATGTTGGCCAGGCTGGTCTTGAACTCCTGACCTCAGATGATCCACCTGCCATGGCCTCCCAAAGTGCTGGGATTACAGGTGTGAGCCACAACGCCCAGCCGGGATTGTGGGATTTTAAAGGGAAAGGAGGAAAATTTTGCATCTCACGTTCTAAGAATATAATCCACAAAAAAAAAAGGATATGTTTGGAAGATACCTGGAAGGAGGAAAAATATAGGGTATGAAGTGAGAATGAAAGATTATGAAGTATGAATCTAGGAGAAGTAGTAGAAATAGTTTGGGGGACTTATATTCTTAAAACATCAACATAAGGTATGTTTAAATTGTAACCCAGGCCAGAGAGTCATGAATAATCAGTTTGTCTTGGAGAATTCTGGAATTATAAACAAAAGGATACAAAGCATTGTCCAAGGTAAATATTGACATAACTGAAGAGGAACTAGAAAAACTCTTAATGAGGCCAAAAATACTGCATCTGGGGCAGATGTTTCACATTCTAACAATAAACACTCGGGTACAAGAACTCTAAGGATGAGGGGTAAGAATGGTGTCCAATAGGTTGAAAAATTGACTTTGAACAAAGACCTTCTCAAATTTAAAACAGTGATACTATAAAAACATGAATATTAATTTTTAAGACCATGTTATTTCTTAAAATAAGGGCAATTCTCTCTGCCAGACACTCATTTGCCCACAAATATGAGGGGATTAGTGTTCATATCCTGAAGCAGCCATCTGGTTTATACAGTGACAAATGCACAGTGGTTTCTTCCTCAACTCCCAGCTGCCCAGGAGTGAAGTGGTCTGGGAAGCCCCAGCACGACAGCTGGGCCACTACTAGGTCTAAGCCCTCCAGCCCCTGCAATGACAAACCTTTTTGCTGAGACACACCCCCGCTCCACCATCAAGGATGGCTATGGAAGGACTTCACTAATTCCTTCGGATTCATGCCCTGCTTCCTCCCAGGAGGATGTTCAGGTGGGGTAACCTGAAACAGAATAAACAGAAGCCCATTATTGCTGCTTAGTGGGAGCCAGTGAAGGATCTTGTCAGCAGAAAAGCGCCATGGCAACCAGTTCTTCAAAGCATTTTTTTAAAACTACAAGTTGAATTTCATCTGGAAACATCCCAATTACCCAATTAGACTAAGCTGCAAAGTCTTTTTAGAATAAGCTCAGATCATAAGTGAGTGAATAGCTCAAACCCAAACCATTGCTTTCTGATACCCAGAAAATATAAGTTTGTTGGTACTGTATTCTGGTAGAAAGACAGTTTATTAGCAGGGAGAACGAAACCAGTCTGCATTTGTACAAAGTCTCAGTGCTACGGTAACATATGACTATATCCCATTGGGAGCCATGAGATCCTGGTTTTATTTTTCCCACTTAACAGATGGGAAAACTAAGGAGCTATAAGTAGACTCATCCCTGGGGGACAGAGAAAGAGGCCAGGGTAAGGCAAATCTGGATTTTCTTGCTTTTGTGTTTATTTCTGTATAGCTCCAAGGAGTCAGAGAAATCAGCATCCAAGCCCTGTAGGTTCCACCCCTGAAATGTCTCATCCCTCACCTTCTTCTCCACCCTCTCTCCATTGTGCAAGTCAGACTTGGAGGACCTGCCACCTGGGAAAGTGTTCTCTTCTGCTCCTGCTCTTGCTGGACATGTCTATGACAGCATGGGGCACATCACAGCCCCCACCCCCACCATGCTGAATTGTCTCTTGTGGGCTGAATTATGCACCCCCCCAAATCCATATGCTGAAGTTCTAGCCCCCAGTACCTCAAAATATGACTGGACTTGGAGATAGGGCCTTCAAAGAGGTAATCAAAATAAAATGAGGTCATACGGATGGGCCCTAGTCCAATAGGACTGGTGTCTCTATAAGGAGAAAAGATTAAGACACAGAAAACACGCTGACCCAGGGAATGACCACAGGAAGACACAGTGAGAAGGTGGCCACTTGCAAGCCCAGGAGAGAGGCCTCAGAGAAAACCAACCCTGCTAAGACCTTGGTCTTGGACTTCCAGCCTCCAGAACTGTAAGAATAAATGTCTGTTTCTTAAGCACCCAGTCTGTGGTATCTTGTTACGGCACCCCTCACAGACTGCTCCACTGCTCTTCCGATGGCAGTTCAGGTCTCCTCAATGTCACAGGCTGATAGAATTATCTGCTATACCCTCACCCACCACAAGTCGCATGCTCCAGCCACACCATGCACTTTCAACACTCTATTAATTTCCAGAAATATTCCCCATCAACTTAAAATTACTTCTCTACCTTTGCTTTCTGTTAAAGTCTTCCTCATGCCTCAAGGCCAGGCCCAGGAGAGCCAGTTCATAAAGTGCTCCCTAATCTCTTGTAGGTGTATTGCTAAGACTTAAATGACACTTGCCATGTGGCAGGCTCTGTGCAAAAGCATTTCCTATCCACTGTCTCATCTCATCATCATGCCTAGCCTATAGAATGGATACCCTCTGCTGATCCCATTTTATGGATGAGGAAACTGAAGCACAGAGAGGAGAGGCAAAATGTTTGTCACAGTTAGGAGGGGCGGCTTCCCTCCAGAGCATCTGCAGTCCCATGGCTACGGCATCCCTCTTCGGGGTAATGTTTGTTCTGTGCTCCCACTGCACTTCCAACCTCAAGGGAAGCACCGTTAGACCACTCTGCTTTCTTTGGAAGTTGAGAGGCAGTATGTATAATGGTAAGTCTCTCTGTGCCTCAGTTTCCTCAACTGTAAAATAGGGATAATAACTGACTATATACTGTACTTTTGTTTCATAAGGACTACACAAGCTACTCCATTAAAGGAAAACTTGGAACTGTGCCTGGCACATAGCAAGTACTTAATGAATGTCAGATACTAATTCATTAGAGTCTACTGTTCCCCCAACGAGAATTTGAGCTCCTCTGTCCAGGTTATCTTGGTATGCCCCAAACCTAGGAGCCTAATGTGGTGCTCTGCACAGCTTGGGCACAAGGTATAAAACTATTCTAATATTAATTGAATATGTCATTTTTAATAGATACCACCTTTTGATCATCTTCTTCTATCAACAGTTAAAGTAAAACCCAAGGTTCACCTTAGTCTACCAGGCACTCTCTGCCCTGGCACCTGACTACCTGTTTCACCTCATTTCTTCCTTTCTCCCTTTCCCTGTTCATTCTTACCACACTGTAACCACCTTGGTTTTCCTCAAACATCTCTACCACACTCCTGTCTCAGAGGCTTTCCTATAACCTCTCCCTTACTCTGATGTATTTTTCACAGTACTTCGTAGTTTCTTATGTAACTATCTATATATTTATTGTCTGTCTCCCCCATTAGAATGAGAGCTCCATGAGGACAGGAACTTTGATTCACTGCTGTATTCCCTGTGCCCAGAGCAGTGAATGGCACATAACAGACAGTTAATATCTCAAGGTTGCATGAATACATGAATGAATCTCCAGACCCCGCAGCAACATTGAAAGGTGGGTTTTAAATGCCCATTCTACAGACTAACAAACTGAGGTCTAGCAATTAAGTAATTTTCCCACAGGCACACATTTAGTAACAGGCAGATCTTGGATTTTATCCATGTCTCTCTGACTCTAAAATTCTTTCCATAACACCAGGGTCTCCTCATCTTAAGAAATACATGTGCCACCTTCAAGAGTTTCACCAACTTTCACATAACATCTGAATTAGTATTTGCCAAAACTTTAAGTCATTTAAATATTATGCAAGTTATTATAGATTATATATACCTTAAGTATAACTATACCTACCTTTAAGTCATTTATATATTATTCAAATTATTTTATTTTGAAAGAAAAGCAACCATTTATGTGGAATAAATCACACTAGAATACATATGTGTTGATTATGATTCAAAATATTTGTCAGTATATTTGGAAGCAGGGATATGGCTCCTGCATTTGAAAGCACTGATCCATGCTGCCTTATTCTACATATCCCTGGGCTGGTCCTGAATGCAGCCACCCCAGGCATCAGGATCCTCCACATCCACAGTGCCTCTTTTCTACTCCCCTTGTTCATCCAGCTTCCTGCTCACAAGTCCCTCTGCTCTTTGACAGGACATTTTTCATCGAAGGCCAGAAAGAGATTTCTGATGCCTTCAAAGCACGCACATGCACTCGCGTGCACACACATGCACTTGCGTGCACACACACACACACACACACACCCCATGTCAGGAGCTCACATGAGCCTGTGAACATGCCAGCTGCCCAGCTGAAAGCAAAAGCAAGATGCAGGAGAGAGAAATTAATTGAAAACTTGAGGCTGTCAAGCCATACTGAGGAAAATCTCTCCCTGAGTTAAAGATCAGGAACATAATCAAGGAAAGTGGCTTCTATAAAAGCTTGATTGGTTGATCGAAATCTCCAGTCATCTCGAAAATAATTGCCCGGAAGAAAGCACTGAGTGACCTGTCTGCTCGGAAAGGAGCCGCCACACCGACAACGGAAGGTGCCCCCAACCATCCTCCCCTGCGCAGGCCCCAGCGATGATGAACTGAATCTGTTTAAGGAAGTATATTGCCTCATTATTTTCTGCTCTGACATACACGCATATTCCTCATGGATGTTAACTCTCAACAAAATAGAGGAAATGTTTGTGCTCTTTGTTTCTGCAGCTCTTTCATTTCCATGTCGGTATTTTATAAATATTCGGTCTGTACTCCTCCAGGCATGAGGAATGATGAAGATGGCTGTGGGCCCTGCTGTGGGCACAGCAACTGGAAGCAGGCCTGTGTCGGGGCAGCGTTCTCCTCCAGGTCCCCAAAACATCCTCCCACAAGGGTCTTCCTCTGTCTTTGTCTACTCCCTGGCCCCACAGTGGTCTATCAGAAATGCAAATGTCATCACATCTCTCTTTGAGCTCAAAGTCTTCAGCAACTATCCATTGCCTACATTTAAAAATCCATCATCCTTAAAATGATGTGCTGGGCCTTATGAGGTTCCATCTAGCCCCCGCCTGCTTCTACTAAGCATCTCTCAAACCCTCCCCGCATCAACTCAAAGCCCTCCAGGTTCTCTCACATCTCTACATCTGGGCCTGCCTACGTGGTTCCCACCACCTAAGAGGCCCACTTACCTCTTCCCCTCACATCCTTGTCAGCCTTGGAAATTCCTTTCTGTCCTTTAAGACTCTGCTCAATGAAGTCTTGTCTTACCAGCTCAGTGCCTGTGTCAACTGACTTATAGAAAAAGGGCATCAAGAGTCTTGGAGAATTGCCCTTCCCTAGCAGGCTCCCATTGTCCAAGGTCAGCTCATGCTCTGCCCCACCTCCTCAAAGAAGGCTTCCATGATTTTTTTTTCCTCTGCTTGCTCAGATCTCTAACTTTCCTGAGTTTCTATGTTATATAAATCTGTGCCACACATCTGAACCCTTTTTCCACTCCACCAAAGATTTGAACAAATGCCAAAATACTGAGCAAGTCATCCTCTTCCAGGAATCTGTCCTGAGTAAATAATCAAAAAGCTGATCAAAGATTTACAAACATGGACATTCACTGAATTTTTTTAAAAGACAGGTCCTCAGCCTGCCAAGTAGCTAGGACTACAGGAGTGCACCACCACACCCAGCTAATTTTTTATTTTTTTAGAGATGGGGTCTAGCTATGTTGCCTAGGTTGGTCTTGAACTCCTGGCCTCAAGCAGTCTTTCTGTCTTGGCCTCCCAAACACTGGAATTGCAGGCATGGGCCACCTGGCCTGGCCACATCATTTTTTATAATAACAAAAATCAGAAACAACTTAACTGTGCAATGGTGGGGATTCCTACATAAAATATGTCTATATGGTCATTAGAAATATTTTAAAGAACGTTTAAGGATATTGAAAGAATGCCCACTGAATAATGTTATGTTAAAAAAAAAGAATATAAAATTGTATGTAAAATATAGCCAGGCGCAGTGGCTGATGCCCGTAATCCCAGCACTTTGGGAAGCTGAGGAGGGAGGATCACTTCAGCCCATGGAGTTCAAGACCAGACTGGGCAACATTGTGAAATTCTGTCTCTATAAAAAATACAAAAATTAGCTGGGTGTGGCCCACACCTGTAATCCCAGCTACTCAGGAGGCTGAGATGGGAGGAACCCTTGAGCCTAGGGAGGTTGAAACTGCAGTGAACTGAGATCGCGCCACTGCACTCCAGCCTGGGGGACAGAGCAGGACCCTGTTTCAAAAAAATATAAATAAAAATAAAAATAATAAAATTGTAAGTAAAATTTGATTTCAGGTTTTTAAGATAGATAGATAGATAGATAGATAGATAATGTGAATATACATTTTATAGAGAGAAGTGAGATAGGAGAAGAGTAGCATGGGCTCCAGAACCAAGCTGTGTGGTTTAAGTAGGTTTGACCTTGTGGTCTTGGGAAAGTTACTTTAATCACTCTTTACTTCACATTTCTCATCAATTAAATTGGGATAATAATAATACCCTCTATGTAAGGCTACCATGGATATGAGTTAATATATGTACAGTGTGTGGAATTACACCTGGCAAATAGTAAGTGCTACATAAGGGTCAGTCATCTTTGCTACTATACATTCAAAAAATACTTCAAAGAACCAAAATACTGCCCTTTCCAGGTGGTAGAACTTTAAGTGATTTTTATTCTTGCCTTTACATTTTTTTTATTCTTTCTTATTTTTCAAATTGCTTATAATAAACACATATCACTTTTTTAATCTAAAAAATATATGCTGCTTTTAAAGAAGTAAAGCACCATTCAAAATATATTTTATTCTTCACTCACAGCATCTAGGCATGAATGGTTTGGGGGTTTTTGTTGCTTTTTTTTTTTTCTTTTTTTTTTTTGCTGGGGGTTGAGGGTGGTTTATTTTATTTTATTTTATTATTTTATTTTAGAGCAAGAGAGAGAGAGAGAATGTCGCATAAGCCAGTCCGCATTGCCTAAGTGTCTGTTCCCAAGGAGCACAGTAAAAACCCTTGGGCCCTGGGAAAAAAGAGTGGCTGCAAAATCTCTCTATTAAGAACATGAGCATTGGAACTGACAAGAAAATGGCACTGTCACTTTGAGCAAGTTGCAGATTTTTCTTAAGTCTCAGTTTTCTCATCTGCAAAATAAGGGAAAAAATTATTCCCACTTCATAAGGTAGCTAAAGCAACACACAAAATTGAATAAGGCCTGTCACATAGTAGGGACTCAGGAACTTTTAGCAATCATAGAGATGATCAAAACTCAGAAGGGAGCTGCTCAGCCGGTGCAGGTGAGCAGACAAACTTGGATTTGTATCAAGCCTCTTGTCCCTACTTGCAGTATGGCATTCAAGATCAAAGGAGGGCCTTCTACACTGAACCCCAGTTATCCTCTATTTCCACATCCTATTTATAGCCTTTTGGAGTGTTTACCAATCATTTGTTTTTTGTTGATTTATTTCTTTGTTTCACTATATTTTATCTGTCCTCACAATTAGATTGTAAACCCCATAAGAGCAGGAACCAAGCCTATTACGCTCATTATGCTATTCTCAGTGCCTAGCACAACACCTAGAATAAAGTAGAAATCTGTAATTGTGTGTGTGTGTGTGTGTGTGTGTAAAAGAGTCATGTTCAAATGAATGAATAAATCTGGGCCAGTTATTTTAGATGCCTTCTCTATTAAAAAAAATAAGTGATATATAGTGTCTGACACATAGTAGGTGCTCTTTCAATATTAATTTCTTCTTTCTGGGTATTCATCAGATTAGCTGTTATCATTTTCTAAAATTACTTTGACTGTCTGAATAAATGCTGTCCATGATGCATCTTAAACTACTATCCCCTGTGCCTATGAAATTGCTTGATAAAGGAAATTTTTTCCAGAGAACAGAGCAAAAAAAGCTTAGAAACTATAATTTTTATAGTTCACACCCCGTGCATGCCAGACATAAAAACCATTTTGAGGAGCTAATTAGTGATGTAAAAAAATAAATGAAAAAAATGAAAAATAAAAATGTAACACTAGGTTTTGGCAGCCAAAAGAAAGGTTCTTTTCAATCTAAAAGTGGTCGTCATTCCAATTTGTATTGCCTTAATTCATTTCTCAAACAGAGAGGAAAAATTGGTGATTAAGATGTGTAATGGAAAATTTTCAGAGCAAAGTGAGGAGGTGACTGGAGACCATATGTTGCCCAAGAACAGAGCCTTCAGCAAACGTTGAAGAAGAACAAATGTGCTGATTTGCATGCTGTCGGCGATTATGTCCTGATGAAAGAATACATCCCATTAGTACTAATGGGCATTATATACACATGCTATTAAAACAACATATAAACTTTCCTGAGACCAAGAGCAAAGGAGACGCCAACAATACATTGCCAGCAGCAAAAAGAAGAGCAATGTAAGTTGTTGAATCAGAATTTTTCACACATATTCACATTAGAAAAGACCCTATTTCTAATATTAGCAAAGCAAGGACTCTCCTAGCATCCTATGTTAAAATCAGCCGCCACTGTCAGACACACAGAATCCACTGTGCCTGTAGCAATGAACGAATCTACAAAATTAAGACATAATGGACCTTGTTATTTACCTTGATGCATGAAGTTCAACCCAAATGATAAAACTTAACAGTTAAATTATGCAATAAATATAAGCTCAGCACTCACTATAGTATGCAGTAAACTATGCTGGCACAAACTACTAGGCAAAGTTAAATACAATTCACCGAAGAGTAACTCGGGTAAAGTTTTCAGTGTTAAGAGTGAAAACGTGGCCACAGGCTTCCATCAGCCAGTGGTATAAACCCAAGCGGTCCTGGCCCACCAATTCCTCCTAAACCAGTACTCAAAGTCCTTTGTGCTCAGAAGTCCAGAAGTCAAGCCCAAAGTGGTCAGGTTAAGGTTCTCAGGAAGGCTACCCTTCTTTCTCAGACAAGACCTATGGTGGGCTAGAGAACAAGTTCAGTGACACAAGTCAAAATGAAGTTGGAGTCAATGTCAGAGGAAGGCTTCACAGGTTTTCTACAGATGTTCTCATACAACTGGACTGGGAAAGTATATACACCAGGTGAGATGGCAGCAGGTGTCAATAGCTATTTATCCTCGGCCCTGGAGAAGGACACTTCCTGCCTCAGCACTGCCCCAGTGACCTGAGACTCAATGATGTGGCTATAAGGAATTGTGACCTAGGGCAAGACCTGTTTGAAGACAGAGCTCATATTGTAGCTGTCTTTGAGTTTCCCATAGTGCCCAACACTTTGCTTTGTGTAGATTACATACTCAACACACAGGAATGGTGGGATTATAAAGGTAACTTTACAATTATCTATCCTTTCCTTTTATCAGTCACTGTTCCTTTTCCTACAAGTTCCCAGTACCCTCAAAAATGCCACTTCGAGGGTCTACCAAAGCTGACGAGCCAATCAGACCCAAGTTCAATCACATTTCCACTACCTGATAACAGCAAACACTTCTACCATGCCAAATATGTGCCAGACACTATTCTAAATACTTCTGTATACAAACTCCTTTAATCCTCACAATAACCTATAGATAGATACTATTATCATTCCTGCATACAGGAATGAAGACACTAAGGCACAAAGACAGATGTTTAGTCTCTTGTCCAAAGTCACAAAGCTAGCACTCTGGACCTGGATTCAAACCTCATTTCTAACACTTATTAGCTGTATGGCTTTACCTGACCTTGTTTGCTTCTATGCCTTCATTCAACAAGTATATAATGAATGCAGACTCTGTGTTAGGAATTGTTCTCAGCATAGGAGATAAAGTGATGAATGGGACAAAGATACCCCTTTTCCATGGTTGGAGACTAATCAAAGCCATAGATAACATGCTATAAACAAAATTATTTTATGTAAGAACAATAAAAATAAAGGTGATGTGATAGAGCAGTGAGGGAAAGCCCTTTGTTAAGGTGGTCAAAAAAGTTCTCTCTGGAGTCATAGCAAATAACCTTAAAATCAAATGATAAGCCAGCCAACCTATTGGCCAAAGGCCAAGATTTCACAATAAGAAGACACTTGGTTGCTAGTGCCATTTTTACGGAGAATGCTTGTAGGTGAGGGTTAACATGTGATGCAAAGGTCTTCAGGCATACTGTCCCTTTCTACAAGTCCGCTGACATACTTCTTCCCCAGATCTTGTCCTCCAGCCTCTAATCTTCCTGCTCCGAGGCCTCTGTCCAACCAATCCAAGCATCTGCTGCTGATAATGTGTCTGCGTGTATTCTTACCTTGGGCCACTTCTTTTCTTACACGAAGTGGAAGAGCAAGTGTAGCCCATGAAGCTCTGCCCATTGAGATGATCTCACCTCACTATTCCCTTTCACAGGGTAGGACTGTACAGCATCAGCAGTCCATTCTAGGCTTCCACTCACATACTGAGCTGACCAATCTGGCTTTTCTTCTCCACAGTTTCCTCCTCTGTCAACTGATTATAAGGAACCCTTCATGTGGCTATAAGTGTGTGCTGAGAAAGAGGGCCTAGAGCCAAAGTGGAGGATGGCATAAGGGTCTGGACACCCTTTGTGCAGCTTACTTGTGTCTTCTGACTCTGTTCATGGCCAATGCCAGGTGATGATGATAGTGATGATGGTGGTGATGACCATGATGGGTCTACCCATTCTTAGTAGATCTGAAAGAATCTAGATCATAATAAGCAACTCTGGCCACAAAGCTGTTTGATGGTACAAAGTCAGACGGCCTGTCCACTCAGGGAATAATAGCATGCCAAGAGCCACTTTTGGAAAGCTAATATAGCTCTCTTTTGCAGATGGTATGGCATTACCCTAGAATCCTAGAGGTCTACATTGTCATCTTCCTATTGGGGCTTGACATAAACCCCACATAGAGTCCTTTCCACCATACAGACTTATAGTACCATAAGACCTACCAGGTCTAATGGTCCAAGTGGCAGGGCTGGTTGCACTACAGATTGGATCTGCCATAGAGCTCTTTCCTGGTCTTGATGCTACTCAGAACTGGCAGTATTTCATGTCATATATAAATGGATTGAGGCAGTATTGTCAAAGGTGAAATATTCTGCCCCAGAGCCCAAAAAAGCCTAACTAAAATCTGTTGTTATTTCTTAGTCGTAGAGGGAAGTGATTAAACAGATTTCCTTTTCTTTGGAGGGGATGACTCAGCATAATCTAGACAACATGAACTCTAAAACTTTCATCAGTGTCACCAGCTTTCATCTATGTACTCCTAGTGTTTAACTTCCACCCTCTGAAGCACATGTATCTTACCAAAACCTCCAGTTAATTGCTATCTCTTGCTTATCTGATCCAAAGAATATGATGTCCTCAATGTAAAGGACCAAGGTGATGCTCTGTGCAATGTCCCTAGGATGTAGATCCCTTCAGACTATTAGATGACAATAAAAAGAAAAAACAACAAATCCCTAGGGAAAAAATGTCCATTCCACATAAATGAGAATGCTTCTGATATTTCTTATTGATAGAGATGGGAAAAATGCACTCATCAGCTCAATAGCCACACACTGGTCTACATATCTGAAACTATGTTAACCTACTCTAGCAAAGATACAATATCCAGCATAGCAACCACAATTGGGATCACTACTTGTCTGAAGCTACAGTGGTCTACTGTCAACCACCAGAATCCATCAGATTTTTGGTGGGAGTCAGACTGGTGAATTAAAAAAATGCTATGATGGAGATTATCAAACCTACATCCACCCAGCCATAAAGATGAGTGTGCCCAGAAACATTCCATCATCAAATGGCAGTGGTACATATGTGATCAGGGCCCCAGCAGGCCCGAACACACAAATGAGTTACATGAAGAAGCGGCCCAAACGCCCATGGTCCCCACTGCTGCTACAGCTACACTGCCCTCTGTTTCTTAGCCTGCACTGAGATGGTCACATGAGGAGTTTTCTGTAGTCAGCTGACAGAGGAAGAGAACACTCAAGCCAGACTTACAGATGGTTCTGCATGAAATGCAGGAACCATTCAAAAGTACACTACTATACCACTGCAGTCCCTTTCTGGAACATACCTGAACACAGTGTTGAAAGAAAATGCTCTCAGTAGACAGAACTGTAGGCAGTGCATCTGGTTGTGCACTTTGCTTAGAAGGAGAAATGGCCAAAGACATGATTCTATACCAATCCATGGGCTGTAGCCAGTGTTTTGGCTGGATGGTCAGGGACCTGGAAGAAACATGACTGCAAAATTGGTAACAAAGAAATATGGAGAAAGGGTATGTGGATAAATGACTCTGAATGAGCAGAAAAGTGAAGATATTTGTGTTCCATGTTAATATTCAACAAAAGTGGATAAAATACTGGTCAGCCTCTCTTGTCATCACCCAGTAGGTTCATGAATAAGGTGGCCACAGTAGCAAGGATGGACTTTATGGCCGGGCTCAGAAACAGGAACTTCCACTCAGCAAAGCTAACTTGCCTGTGGCCACCACCGAGTACCTAATCTGCCAACAGCAAAGACCAACAGCGAGTCCCTGATATGGCACCATTCCCCAGGGTGATCAGCCAGCTACCTGGTAGCAGGTTGATTACACTGACTTGCTTCCATTATGAAGGGGGCTATGTTTTGTTCTTATTAGAATAGATATTTACTTTGAATATGGATTTGCCTTCCCTGAATGCAACGCTTCTGACAAAACTACTATCCATAAGCTTACAGAATTCCTTATACGCCATCATGATATTCCACACAACATTGCCTCTGATCAAGGAACTCACTTCACTGCAAAAGGAGTGTGGCAATGGCCCTATGCTCATGGAATTCACTGCTTTTTTCATGTTCTCCACCAGCCTGAAGCAGTTGGCTTGATAGATTCTCTGAATAAGTATCCAGTATATGGTTCTGTGTCTCCCATATCCAGGATTAATGGGTCCAGGAATCAAACGGTGAAGGTGGGGTGGTACCAGTCACCACTACCCTAAGGACTCACTAACAAAATTGTTGCTTCCTATTCCCATAACTTTATGCCCTGCTGGTTCAGAGGTCTTAGTCGCTGACCTCCACTGGCCCAGAGGTCAGAGGAATGCCTCTAGCAGGAGACACAATAATGATTCCATTAAACTAGAAGTTAAGATTGCCACCCGGCCACTTTGGGTTCCTTGTGCCTCTGAATCAACAGGGAAAGAAGGGAGTTACACTGTTGGCAGGGGTGATTGATCCTGATTACCAAGGGTAAATTGGGATATTATTCCACAATGCAGGTGAGGAAGAGTTTGTCTGAAATGCAGGATTTCCCTTAGGGCATCTCTTAGTATTATCATGTCCTGTGATTAATTAAGGTCAATGGAAAACCACAACAAACCAATCCAGGCAAGACTACTAATGGTCCAGACCCTTCAGGAATGAAAGTTTGTGTAACTCTTCCCTAAGTATCCCAGGTAAAGAACCACAATCAGCAGAGATGCTTGCTGAAAGCAAAGAGAATACCGAATGAGTGACAGAAGTCAGTTATAAATAGTAGCTATGACCATATATATGACCAGTTACAGGGGCAAGGACTGTAATTGTCATAAAGATTTCTTCTTTATTCATTATGAGGAATTTTTATTCATACACATTTATGTGTATATATACATACATTAAGCAAGTATCCTTGCTTTCTTTCCTCTTATGTTATCATGTAATATAAGTTATGTTGACTTTATGTCAGTATATAAGTATTGTTAATTTTACATCACAGTATTTAAGTTATGGAATATCAGCAGAAGAGTAAACACTATTCAAGGACTTTACCTCATCTTCTAGGGAAGGGATTAGTAGGTTTTCAGTTGTACACAGAGTTAGTTTTATCACATTAAACAGAATTATGACCTTGTTATTGTCTCTGTGGGGAGATGAAGTGTTGTTTAAGGCAATGTATATGGGTGCCAAGTTGATAAAAGGTGAATTTGTGATGGTTAATTTTTATGTGTCAACTTGACTGAGCTAAAAGATGCCCAGATAGCTGGTAAAATATTATTTCTGGGTATGTCTATGAGAGTGCTTCTGGAAGAGACTAGTATTTGAATTGGCAGGCTGAGCAAAGAAGATCCCCTTCTCCGAGTAGACATCATCCAATACATTGAGGGCCTCAATAGGACAAAAGGCAGAGGAAGAGCAAATTTGCTCTCTGCTTAAGCTGAGACATCCATCTTCTCCTGCTCTCAGACATCAGTGCTCCTAACGCCCAGGCCTATGGACTCAGACAGGGACTGATACCATTGGCTCCATTGGTTCTGTTTCTCTGGATCACCCTGACTAATACAATTGGAGATGAAATAAATGCACTAACCAGATCAATGACCACACACTGGTGTATGTATCCAAGGCCACATCAGTGCTCACTTCACTAGCATATTCCTTATTACTTTGGTGAGAACGTTCTCCTGGCCCGTCTATGGAAAATGGTCAACTAAACATTTTTCTGGCCTTATCTTATATAAATATTCCAGCAGGGCTCCTTCTCTGAGCCTTCTGATGGCTTCACCATCTACCTGGGCAGTTCTGATAGTTCTACTTCATTTGGTGTGGGTCATTGCATTCTCCAAGTTTCCAAGAGCCATTCTAGCACTGTCTCCTGGGGTCTTTGCCAAAGTGCTAAAATTGTGTGTCCAGGGAAAAATGCTCTCATATTGGGTAAATTCTCCATTATCCAACTTTATATTTCTGTCCCTTGGTTCAGCACCTTCAGAAGCCAGAATAGCTTGGGTAACTATTCTATCAAATAGACTCTGAGATGGTGATATACATACAAAATGTTTATTGGTGTGCGCTCTCAGGAACAATGCCTGTAAGAAGGTAAGGCAAGCAGGATTCAGCACAGGAAAAAGTTTAACTGATGTACTTGCAACAGAAACTTCAGCTGACTCCATGGGGAGGACTGGAGCCAGAATGGCTCTTCAGAGCTGCTTTTGAACCCCTTTGCTGACAGTTCCTAAATGGAGACTGCCCCTGGACAAAGGGCACACCATGAACAAGGCAATTCCCTTCCACCAAGGCAATTCCTGAAGAACAGGTTACACTCCCAGCAGCTGGAGGCATGAAGAGGGAATCAGCATTAGAGAGCCCATTAGACACAAACCTTTGTAATAAAATGAAAACCTTCCAAAGCCTAAGTTAGCAACTTCACCTTTAGGAGAAAAGCAGATACTAAGAATTCCAAAGGGCAAAGACCCCAAATTTTAAGTTATGAGGGTAAAATATTGGAAAGAATTGTAAATACTTCATGTGTCTCTATAAAATAATGAACTTTCCTTTAAAAAGGTTAATTGCTCAAAGAACAGTGTTTCTGTGGCTTCCACAGTACTGCAGCTTTCACAGACAATGCAAGCAGACACGTGCTATTTTGGGACCGGTTGTACCAAGAACAAAAGCAGAGTTCACTATATGGCTCAAAGTGGGTTGTTTATATGTTATCACATGCCCAGTCATTCCTGGCTTTATGTTTTCCTACATACTTAGTGACTATCCTTATGGAACAGAAGACTTTATGAAAGTAGCTCCCAGCATGGCAAAATGAAAAATACTTTGGCATCAGAGAAAGGAGACCTGGGTTTATTCCCCAGCTGTCTAACTAGCAGTGTAACCTCAGATAGGTCACTTGCCCTCTTTTGGCCTCAATTTGTCTCCAAAATTGGGTCAGATATTGAAAATACATGGCTATGACATACTTCTTACCCTTCTCACTTGTGGCAGACATTGCTAATGCATGAAGGTACTCTTTTAGGCTAAACCTAGATATGAAACTTAGAATCCTCTCAACAAAGTGCTCCAGGAAATCACTACTGACTAATCCGTGTTGACAATGCCATGAAACCTACACCATGATCTGGAATGAAAGTTCCCTTCTCGCATCCACAGGCTACAATTCCATGCGCAGAGCCATGCATGAAGACTCACAAGCCAGGGTAGCTCCAGCAACTCTTGTGTATACACACCCTAGGACCCCTTGTCAGCAGTAAGATCACGGAGACACTCAGCAGCTGAGGCAGAAGTTCTAGACCGTATTTCCACTTTCTCCAATGCCCTTCATCCTCTCTGCCTCTTGGTAGGCTATGGCCAGGGAGTTCATCCATAGCTTAGGTTCCAGCCCCATCCATCCCTAACTTGACCCAGTAGGGAACCTCTAGATTGAGGTAACCCTAGGGCACGTCAAACAATCACACAGGATCAGACTATCACCCAAAAAGCTGATCTTAGGATGTGTCATCACATTAGTGCAAATTAGCTCTGATTTTTCTGTGTCATTAATAACAATTTTGCTGTACAGAAAGAAAACCTTTTATTTCCACAAGCATCACAAAGACCCACGAACCCTACCTTCCTACCCTCACAATTTCATGAGGGCCACTTTCCTCCTCTCCCAACAAACAAACACAAGTAAGAATCTAACTGATCTATTGTGAGCAAAATAATAGTCCTCTTGCTTAGACAATTTGAGCTCCCATCATCCCCAAAGCTTTATTTCTCCTCCTAACCCTCCTCCCCTCATACCACTTCTCTCCTCTGTCTTTAAGTAGCTCATTCTGCATAATGAGGGTCTTTGCAAGGCAAATTCTGTGGTTTCTAAAAAGAATCTAGTGTCCTCATTAGGGTCAATTTTTTAAGGCCCTTCAACTATTTTGAAAATGTTAACTCTGTCCTTGTTCCTTGATTCATTAGTAATGCTGCCAGATCCAATGTATCATTCAATAAGTCCAACCGCTTGTCAAAAATAGTAACTGAATTCCCTATATTGCCAATTCAAAATTTGATCTCCCAAAGCCCAAATACAAAAATACATTAAGCTCCACTGTGTTCAAATTTCATTTGGAGATTATTTGCTGATAGCTGCCAGTTCCCAGGACCCTAAGTCCTAAAATGAAGCCGGAGTTAATATCTCATTAGGTAAAAAGTATGACAGGATATGGACTTTCAGGGATGGGAAGAGCTCAAAAATCATGTAGTCCAACCTCCTTGTTTTACAAACAGGGAAACTATGCTCAGGAAGGCTAAGTGACTTACTCAGGGTCACACAGCAAATTAGTGACATGGCAGAAATTAGAACCCTTGCCTTATGGGCACCCACACACACATATAGACACATGCCCATCATCTTTTGTTATTCCAGATAGTTATGAGGCACCATCTTTTGGGGAATCTAAGGGACAAATGGAGCCAAATTTCTAACACTACCTCTCCTCTGGAGATATGGTTAGACTTTGTGCCCGCACCCAAACCTCATCTTGAATTGTAATCCCCATAATCCCCGTGAGTCAAGGAAGAGACCAGGTGGAGGTCATTGGATCATGGGGGAGGTTCTCCCATGCTGTTCTCATGATAATGGTGATCTCAGGAGATCTGATAGTTTGATTAGGGGCTCTTCCCCCTTCACTTGGCACTTCTCCTTCCTGCTGCCTCGTGAAGTGAATTTCACTTCTAGGTATATACCCAAGAGAAATGAAAACATATGCCCTTGCAAAAACTTGTACACAAATGTTCATAGCAGCTTTACTCATAATACCCAATAAATGGAAACAACCTAATGTTCATCAGCTGATAATGGATAAATAAAATATAACATATCTATACTACAGAATATTGTTAGACAATTTAAAGAAATACTGATACATGCTATAACATGGATAAACATTGAAAACATTATGCTAAGTGAAAGAAGCCAGTCACAGGGATAATTTTTTTTTTTTTTTTGAGACAGAGTCTCGCTCTTATGACTTAGGTTAGAGTGAAGTGGCATGATCTCAGCTCACTGCAACCTCTGCCTCCCAAGTTCAAGCGATTCTCCTGCTTCAGCCTCCCCAGTAGCTGGGATTACAGGCGCACACCACCACACCCAGCTAATTTTTTATATTTTTGGTAGAGACAAGGTTTCACCATGTTGGCCAGGCTGGTCTCGAACTCCTGACCTCAAGTGATCTGCCTGCCTCAGCCTCCCAAAGTGCTGGGATTACAGGCATGAGCCACCAGCCCCAGCCTCACAAGGGATAAATATTATAAGATTTCATTCATATAAAATGTCCAAAGTAAGCACATTCATAGAAACAGAAAGTAGATTAGCAGTTGCCTAGGACTAAGGGGGCAGGGAAGGTTAGGGAGAAATAAGACATGACTGCCAATGGTAATGGAGTTTCTTTTTAGAAGTGATGAAAATACTATAAAATTTATTGTGGTGACAGTTGCACAAATCTATAAACATATTAAAAATCGGGCCAGGCGCAGTGGCTCACGCCTGTAATCCCAGCACTTTGGGAGGCCGAGGCAGGCGGATCACCTGAGGTCAGGAGTTTGAGACCAGTCTGACCAACATGGAAAAACCCCATCCCTACTAAAAATATGAAATTAGCTGGGCGTGGTGGCGCATGCCTGTAATCCCAGCTACTCAGGGGGCTGAGGTAAGAGAATTGCTTGAACCTGGGAGGCAGAAGTTGTGGTGAGCCGAGATCATGCCATTGCATTCCCGCCTGGGCACCAAGAGTGAAACTCCATCTCAAAAAAAAAAAAAAAATCAGAGAATTGAACACTTTACATGGTGAATTATATGGTAGGTGAATGATACACCAATAAAGTGTTATTTTTAAAAATCAGTCTATCATTTGGGCTGCTTTGGTAAAACTATAGAGTTTCAAGGTCAGAAGCATGAAAACCAACTAGGAGGCTGTTGCAAAAACCAAGTGTGAGGTGATGGTGACTTGGACCAAAAAGTGAGTGGTGAAGGTGGAAAGTGTCATTGAGTTTTGTGTTCCTTTTGAAGGATGAGTCAACATCTTTCCTTTCTCAGAAACTGACCATAAAAATATGAGTTAGAGGTAAATGTCAGGTTTGAGGTCTGAGCAATTGATAGTGAAAGTTCCCATGTACTGTGAAAAGGACATTGCTGGCTGGGTTCAGCGGCCCATACTTGTAATCCCAGCACTTTGGGAGGTTGAGATGGGAAGACTGCTTGAGCCCAGGAGTGCAAGACCAGCCTGGGCAACATAGAGAGACCCCGCCTCTGCGAAAAATAGAAAAATTAGCCAGGCATGGTGGCATGTGCCTATAGTCCTAGCTACTCAGGAGGCTGAGGTGGGAAGATCACTAAGCCCAGGAGTTTGAAGTTGCAGTGAGCTATAATCAAGCCACTGCACCGCAGCCTGAGTGACAGAGCAAGACCCTGTCTCTAAAAGAATACATATAAAACAGAAAAAGGACATTGCTGGAAGAAAAAAATTACTGGTGGGACAGGAGACCTGGAGTTTCATCTTGGCTGTGTTAAACCGAAGACCCTGTTCACCACCTAAGTGGAGTTGTCAAGCGGGCACCTCAATCTGGCATTCAAGGGAAAGATGAAAACTGAAAGATAAAAACAGGTATGATCAGCAGGTAGGTACTTTGAACCCTGAGAAAGGTGCCACACTCACCTACCAAGTGAGGGTAGGTATAAAAGATAAGAATTCCAGGGACTGAGTCTAGGAATATGGTAACATTTAGGTGTTTGGGAAATGAAGAGAAACCATTAAAGGAGTTGCAAACGGAGTGGCTATTGAGATGGGGGGAAAATGGGTAAGTATAGAGTCTTAGCACCAAAGGAAAAAAAATGTTTCAATGATGAGGAAGTAATCATTTGTGTCAAGTGCTTCTAATATGTCAAGTAAGATGAGGACTGAGAATACTCCAATGGACTTAGTAGTTTGGAGACCATTGTGTGACATTCACAGTATCAGTCTTAGTGGAGTGTTGGGGGCAGAAGACTGATTCAAGTGACTTCAAGAGAGAATGAAAGGAGAGAGATTGGATAAAAACATAAAGACAATTTGTTCTACTCGTTTTCTTGTAAAGAAGATCTGAGAAACGGAGTGGCAGCTGGAAGAGGTGTGTGTCAGGAGAGGTTCTTTTTCTTTGAGATGTGAAAAATCACAGCATGTTCGTATGCTAATGGGAAATATCTAGGAAACAAATAAACAGGGAGATTAACGATACCAGAAAGAAGGAAACAGCCCAAGAACCAAATCTTGAATAGGGAGAAGAGCTGAGGTCTGGTGGCCAGTAGGAGGGGCTGGCCTTAGACAGGCATGTGGAAGAGGCCAGTGAGCCCAACAGCACAGATTCGGGAAGGTGTGGAAATTGGAACATGTAGACATCTTTTGATTACTTCTGTGTGAAACAGGAAGCAAAATCATTAGCTGAGAGTGGAGAGCAGAAGAGGAGGGAAAGGGATACTAGAATTTCGAGGAGGATTTGTTCATAGTAAAGGAAGGGAAAAACTAGACCGGGCAGTTCTGGCAGCCCTAGGGGTTATTAATTAAGGTGTGATGTTCAGCATGCGTGTTTTCTCCCGCCACATTGAACTGCACAGGAACAAGCAGAGAGTGTAATTTAATCCAGGTTGGGGTCTTCCAGAGGAAAATAATGAAGAGAGAGAGGGTGAACTAGTTGATGGAATGCAATAAAGTGATGATAATGATGGTCCAAGGAGTCTAGGCTGGGTAGAGAGTAAACCAAGAACCTTGAGGAGAGGAGGGACAGTGAAAAGATGATAGGAAAGTGTGGGTCTCGGTGGGGAAGAGATGCAGAGAGCTTGAGGAGGGAGGAGCACATTACATCATTATCAACTATTACCACCTCTGCCTGAATTCATTTACAGGCATTTGTTACATTGAATTAAATATTTTTTTAGAGACAGGCTCTCATCATGTTTTCCAGGCTGGTCTCAAACCCCTGGGCTCAAGTTATCCTCCTGCCTCAGCCTCCCAAGTGGCTGGGACTATAGATGCATGCCACTGCAAAAACTGGATTCAATTTTAATGGATTAATACTGCCGGCAAAGTAACATTGTATGCTAGTTTCCTGGCACTGCCATAGCTGGGTGGCTGAAACAACAGAAATTTATTGTTTGAGTTCTGGAGGCTAAAAGTCTTGAATGAAAATGCTGACAGGGTTGATTCCTTCTGACCATTTTAAGAGAATCTGTTCCAGGCTTCCCTCTCAGCTTCTGGTAGCCTCGGACATCCATGACTTGTGGATGGCATTCTCCCCATGTCTTCACAGTCTTCCCTCTATGCATGTTTGTCTCTGTGTCCAAATTTCTCCTTTTTATAAGGAGAGCAGTCATGACAGGTTAGGGCCCACCCTAATAACCTCATTTTAACTTGGTTAACTCTGTAAAGGCTCTATATCCAAATAAGATCACATTCTGAGGTGCTGGGAGCTTAGTCTTCAACATGTCTGTTTTGAGGCACACAGTTCAACCCATAACACAGAGTATCATAAGTTATAAATACATGCTGAGAAAACCCACAGGAAAATTGTACTAGCAGAGTACCTTAAATTGAGAGTGACCAAACTTGAACTTAAAAAAAAAAAAAAAAAAAAGCTTTCAGTTGAGAAGGTGATGTTCATTGGAAAAGTCTCCAAGTCATTCATTACCCTTCATTACTTGAGGGCAATTAGTAGGTAGGGGTGCAAGACTGAGAAGTGAGAGGAAGCTAATAAAGTTACCTGCATAGTGGTCCAGACAGGAGCCCTGGGGAAAAGCCACCTAAAGACCTTTAGCCAGGCTCTCCCAGCCAGGAACCAAAAAACTTCTCCACCAGGGCCTGAAACACCGTGTACTTGGCACTGTATGAAAGAAGCTGGTCATACCAAGAGGATGGTCCTATCGGTCATGAAACAATAGGACTCGAATTCTCCCAACTTCACGAAACACGATGGTAACCACTGGACCATGGCAAACTGTGCAAACCTTCAACACAAGACACTTCTCTCTCAGACCCGAAGCACCTGGCAAACCAAGTGCATTCTACAAGGTGAGCAATAGATCCTCAATGACTTTTTTGAAAGTGTATGGGAAGTGGATGCCCCATGCCTGGAGCCTCAGTTGGGAAGCTTTTTGCATTTTGCCAGAAGATTTATCAAAATAAGGGTCTAAGTGTGAAAACCTGGGTAAGCTGACTTCTAGAAGAATGATTATCAAACTGCACCAGCGAGACCGTTGATTGGCTGCCATTTGACCTAATGGAAACTGATCCTGCTTTAATTCATAGACATGAGGACTAGCAGTAAGTGGGCAATTAGGTCACTAAATTTCAGTCTTCATAAATTCAAGTTAGCACATTACTAGTTTATTGAGCACACAAATTCATTGCTTCTGCTAACAATTCTGATTCCTACACAATGCTTGGCAACATTGCCAGTTCCAACACAAGCTCACAAACAAACAGCTGGAATTTCCAAGTCACAGCATGAATCCTTTGTTGTCAGCATATTATCAGTGTTATCTTGGGTTGGTTGGTTGTGGTTTTTAAATTGCTGCTGTCCTTGTTTTTCAATTACACATTACTGTGGTTTAGTTACAACATTATTAATTTAGTTTGTTGTCATTGTTTGGGGAACCCTGCTGTGTGAATGGTGCATATTGGCACCAACAGTATTTTTCACTAAACTTTAAGACATGTATATATTGATACTTAAATATGCATCGTCCAGACCATTATTCCAAAGCAAATTTTGTATACATTTATAATATAAACCTATTGTGTGAACATATATGCTATATATTTATATTCCCCCAAGTTTGCTTGTACAATGACATTTTATTGGTGATAAATTTGTGTTCTTTATATAATTTCCAACACGTCATCAAGTTAGTGTAATAAAATTACTAGATTATTTTTACAGGTATAGAGCATTGTTTTATGTGTATGTGGCTCTAGTCTTTTCTTACAAAATAAATAGTAGGTTGTCACCAATAGATCAGCTACATTTTCTTCTTTTGTTCCCCAGATTATGAAAGGCTACACCTTACTTTTCTAGGTTTGTTCCCTGCAAGGATTGGTACCTGAGGGATCTGAGAATCAGAGTCTTTGGCACTTGTGTTAGATGACATCTTAACAAAAGTTGTTGGGATAGGGATGTACAATAAAGTGAAGCAGTTAAGAGCAAGGGCCAGGTCAAATCCTGAACACATGTGCAGGTGATGTGACTACCAAAACCTTTTCAGCTTCTTTGAGTTTCAGCATCCTCATCTAGACATTGAAGAAATGTATCTATCTCACAAGGTTGCTACCATATTAAATGAGACAGAACATATAAAATTCTCAGCACAGGGAGTTATACATTGCTTTGGCCCATTCTTCAATGGCTAAGGCAAATCATATTGCTGCTTGTGAGTTTAACAAGGTGGAAATGTATAACTGCCCTGCAGAAAAGGTACCATAAGAAAAATGGAATATTTGGTGAGCGGTAATACTATCAACATTGCTGTTACTAACTCAAAGATAAAATGAGGCAGGTAACCTACCAAATGGTTCATCCTAGGTTTATTCATGAATGGAAAGGTTTATGTTTGAGGTCGCTAACTGAAGGTATAATCTTTAGCCTTATTTTATTTAGTGTAGTGGCTGACCTAGCTTAACTAGTAGAGTCAAAAAACCCCTGCCGGCCGGGCGCGGTGGCTCACGCCTGTAATCCCAGCACTTTGGGAGGCCGAGGCGGGTGGATCATGAGGTCAGGAGATCGAGACCATCCTGGCTAACAAGGTGAAACCCCGTCTCTACTAAAAATACAAAAAATTAGCCGGGCGCGGTGGCGGGCGCCTGTAGTCCCAGCTACTCGGGAGGCTGAGGCAGGAGAATGGCGTGAACCCGGGAAGCGGAGCTTGCAGTGAGCCGAGATTGCGCCACTGCAGTCCGCAGTCCGGCCTGGGCGACAGAGCGAGACTCCGTCTCAAAAAAAAAAAAAAAAAAAAAAAAAAAAAACCCTGCCAATGCAATCTAAGCTATATTTAAGAATAATCTCTAAGTAGATTCTACATTCAAGGTAACTATCCATGTTTCTCTTATATACAAATCCCAGTAAGAGACAGCTCCAGCTACCATTGCACAAGTACTCAGAGCAGTGAGTCCAGGTTGTCCTCATTGCTACGACTTCATTTTCAGCCATATTCTCCCCATGCCAAAGCTGCTCCAACATCTTAACAATGACAACATGCTCCACAGCACCCATCCCATGCTGCTCTTCCCAGCCCCCTTTCTTTCTAACCTTGCTTCCTGAAGCACCAGGTCTTGCTGAACCACAGTGGTTCCTAAGGAATAAGTAACTAAATGATTCTTGGGAGAGACATTTTTAAAGTCCATACAATTTCCCGAGAGCTAAATTGACATGATAGAATAATGTCCACTTTCAAGGGTTTTATTTTTACGTTCACCAGGGACCTACAGTGAACCAGACTGGCAGCTAGACACTGAGAAGAGAATGCATACTTTTCAGTAATTCACAGTGGGAAAGACAGTGGCCAGTAACCCAGCAGGAGGATGTGTGAATGGAAAAGCTGTAAGAGGCCACATTGAGCCAGGGAACGGACCCATGTCTAGTGCAAATAAAAATTTGAGCTTAAATCACTTATCAAATGGAGAAACACACCCACCCATGATGACCCACTTTCCCCAAAGGCCACTCAGGTGAAGTCTCGCATTTAAAGAGTGATAACTCAGAGCTCTGACATTTTGCAGGCTTGGCTGAATAACGAGAATAAATAGATCAAATTCCTAAGAATTCACAACTAGTCTTGGCAAACCAAGTAAGTGTCACTTGGACACTCTAAGTCTAGTCTAGTCTTGACCCTACCTTCAGGAAGCCAAGATAGTGCTGACCCCCTTGAAAGTATAAAATTGAGGCTGAGTGAGATAAAACATAAAGTATAAAATTGAGGCCCAGATAGATTATAAAACATAAAGTATAAAATTGAGAACCAGTCAAAGGACATGAGTAGACACTTTTCAAAAGAAGACATACATGTGGCTAACAATCATATGAAAACAAGCTCAACATCACTGATCATTACAGAAATGCAAATCAAAACCACAATGAGATACCATCTCACACCAGTCACAGTGGCCATCACTAAAAAGTCAAAAAATAACAGATGCTGGCAAGGTTGCACAGAAAAGGAACGTTTTTATACTGTTGGTGGGAGTGTAAATTAGTTCAACCATTGTGGAAGACAGTATGGCAATTCTCCAAAGACCTAAACACAGAAATACCATTCCACCTAACAGTCGCATTACTGGGTATATTCCCAAAGGAATATAAATCATTCTATCATAAAGCCACATGCAGGCATACTTTCATTGCAGCACTACTCATAATAGTGAAGACATGGAATCAACCTAAATGACCATCAATGGTAGACTGGATAAAGAAAATCTGGTACATATACACCATAGAATACTATGCAGACATAAGAAGGAACAAGATCATGTCATTTGCAGGAAAACAAATGGAGCTGGAAGCCATTATCTTTAGTAAACTAATGCAGGAACTGAAAAACCAAATACCACCTGTTCTCACTTATAAGTGGGAGCTAAATGGTGAGAACACATGGACACAGAGGGGAACAACACACACAGAGGCCTAACAGAGGGTGAAGGGTGGGAGGAGGGAGAGGATCAGGAAAAAAAATGAATGGGTACTAGGCTTAATACCTGGGAGACGAAAAAATCTGTACAACAAAGCCCCGTGACATGAGTTTACCTATATAATAAACCTGCATATATACCCCTGAACTTAAAAGTTGAATTATAAATAAACAAATAAATAATATAGATAGATAGATAACCCAAAAAAAAACGAGGCCCAGTGAGATAAAACACACATAGGTGATGAGTGAAGCTCTGGCCTCCTGTGTCCATGTATAAACTTCCCCAAACTTCAGCCATTCCCATGCTACCTTCAGAAATCATGCCATAGCTATATGCCACCTGCTGTATTATTTATTTCATCATTTTAATATTGAATAACTCTTTTTAAACTGAACTTAACCTTAACCTTCTCCTAAGCAATAACACTGTGAATTCACAAGTTTGATGTGCTAATTATTTTGCTGTTATCCATTAAAATAACTATTAAAATATTTTTAAATATGTTCATATACCCTTAAGATCACTGATGTCCCACCACTGATGCCCATATTGAGCTCAAGATGGTAAATTCTGCCACCTGCTGCCCCCACAGAGTGTGGCTCACCTGCATCATTTTAATGATGCTAATTCCTTTATCATTTCTCCCATTCTTCCTTTTTCCATAACCCACACTCAAACCAGTGTCTAATTTTTACTCAGAGCTGCTTCGGGAAATAATTTAACAGCTCTGCCTTCTCTGTATTTCTTTTTTGGATGTTTACCTCATCTGAACATCCACACCTATGACAGGAGACTCCCCACGTTATTAGTCCCTTATCACAAAATTGATATCAGGAATTCACTTTTCCAGCCTCTCTTTCAGCTAGGGCACAGCCGTTTAATCCAGACTCTGTTCATCTGATGATCCCACATGAGATTTTGAATTCAATTGTTGGTTACACAAAGAAGGGCCACCTGGAGTTCATCTTTAGAAGGCAGTAGATATATTCAGTCCATTTCTTCATCAAGTTCACAATCCACTGTGCTCCAAATGGGTGTTTTTAGACAATTGCAATATGGTGAGATAAATATTCTAATTAGAGCACATATAGAGCACCCCATGCAGAGGTTTACAGGGAAAGTATCAGGGTAGTCATGCTTGAGTTGATTCATGAAGAAAAGAGATTCCCAAGCAGATAAGAAAGTAGGTAGCTCAATAGTGATTAACTATTATTATAATCACTCTTGCCAGATTAGAGTCAGACAGACCTGGATTCAAGTCACAGACCCATTAAAAAGGTCAGTTTGCTCACCTATAATCTTGCTCCATTGGATCTGCAAAGAATAAGTAAGATGATTTAAGTAAAGCACATACCAAAGTATCTGGCACACAGGTTCATTATAAAAGCTATTTATCTTCCCACCTCTATTTTTTTATTAGAATGCCCTCTCCACTTCCATTCTAGAAAAATCCAAGATTGGACTTTGGATTGCATTCTTGAAAAAATTATAAAATTTGGTTATTTAAATTTTACTTGAAACACTGCCTCTTCCGTGAAGCTACTATTTATCCCAAAGACACAATCTTCCCTCCTTCAAACTTCAATTTAAGCTGATCTTGACCTCTCTTGTACACACTCATACCCTTGCCACTTCATAATGCCTGGCTCGTAGGTGGTACCTGCTTGCTGAGCTGAATTAAATGCCCTCATTCTCTCCCCTGTTGCCTAGTCTTAATGCCTGCTCTTCCATTTTTTTTAAAATTCTTGCTAGCTGCCTAGCTAGCATTATGACCACTATAAGACTCTGACTTCAAAAAAAAAAAAAGTTTTCTAACTTTCTGGGCAATTAAACTACTATTATGTCTCTGATCTTGAGATTCTAGCTATGTGTTCACCATTGGCCAGTCCCTTTCCAAACTTTCCCTCCTCCCTTTTTATGATACGTATTTTCTGAGCCCCTTTATGTACCTATATGTGGTCACAGGCACTTGGCATACATCAATGAGTAGGACAGACCTCGTCCCTAGTCCTTGACTCAAAGGGCTTATCTTCCAATCTAGGAGACAGTCAATAAGCAAATAATAACGCAAAAAAATGACAACTATAGTGACGCTACAAAGGAAAAATACAGACAGTCTTGTCCTAGGCCCAAATTGTTCCTTTTCTTGCCTCACCTAACCTCTCCTCCTGCCTTTCCATCCGCTACATCCTTACCCCAATTTCTGTATGTCCAAATTCTTATCCCTTAAGGCCTATTTCCAATATTACCTTATCATGAAGTTAAGACAAGTTAGAGAAAGAAGTTTGTGCAGTGGTAAGCCTACAGATAGAGTTTTACATACATCTTCTCACCCTTACTATAAGTTCCTGAGGGCATGGCCTCAAATACTGCATTGTAATGGTTACAATGCCACCTAACACGAAGCCAGGAAAGGAAGTAATCAGTAACTTCATGAAATGAACAAAGAATCCTCTTCTTGTCCTGACAGACTGCACTTGAAGAGCTCTGGCTACATAGAGAGATGCGTCATCCACACTCCTTGTAGGAAATCCTGTTGTTTCTGTCTTCATTCAGGCACATAACTTTACCCCAAAGGTAAGGACGCACTCACCAGGCAGCAATGCCAAGAACTTAGAACACTCTACATCGTGATCCCCATGGTAACTAAGGCTGTGCACAAAGGAATCGGCCATGAGAGTATCTTAATCCAGAAAGGCTGAGTGTTTTTTCTCATATTGATAATTCTGTTATTATGGCCATAATAAATGGTTATCTGGATCACAAGCTGCTGAACGGTATTCTAAATTTCTAAACCCATCATTCTATCATATATTTACCATGAATGTGAAGTATGATTCACTAATAGAACATCTGAGGTTGTTGATGGGAGCCTTGGATCAAGTCAACACTTACTACTGTTGGTAAATATGCAGAAACTTACAGAACATTAGACTGGAAGGTACACACACTTACTCCTCTGTTCTCACAAAGCTTGCTACTTTCCACCATATATTTGGTTTTTATCTTAGGTGCCATGCATAAACAATGCCATGTGCACTGCTGTGAGGAGTGGTGAATATGCACGCTTCTGTTTGTTTGGGGAATGTAAGAGCTGTGGGGTTTTAATTACCCTGAGCTGGTAGAGATCAATTAGAAAAACAAACATATTAGTGAAATACCAAGAGCTCTTTTGCTGCCAGAGGATTGTAACTTGAAATCATAACACCCTAGAGCTTTAGAGCTGAAAGAAATGGCAGAGATCAGGAAGGCCAAGCCCTTCATTTTGCAGATAGGAAAGCTGAACCCCAAAGAGGCAAAATGCTTGCAGAGTGGTTAAGAGCTTGTGTTCTGCTATCAGACAGACTATACTCAAATTTCAGGTCCATGATGTACCAAACTACCTTGGCAAGTCACTCGACTTTTTTTTACCTCAGTGTCCTCATCTGAAAAATGGGGACAATGATAGACTTGTAAGGAATAGTGAGATAATGGACATAAGGTGCTTAGCACAGTACCTGACCTAGTAAACAATGTGCTAACTTTTATCATTATTATTATCATCATTGCAATCTAAAGTTACATGGATTATTAGTGACATTACTTTTGCTCAAACAAATACTCCCTTACACATATCTGGGTTTATTTTTATAGAAAACAAAAAATATGTCTTGTCCCAATAATCATATGGTCCAAATTAGTTTCCAAATCAAGTTTTACATTAATTCTACATTTTCAAGTGTTTATTGAATCTTCTAGTAATCACATATTCTACGTTGTCACAGCTCCAGAAACTTAGTTCACTTAGCATAAATACATTCTCGTCCTAAATGTGTAGTCGCTCAAGAACTATTAGTGACTTACCAAGATGTTTTACTTTGGAGAGTGCAGAATCTCTTAGGATATTTGACTAGAATTTTTTTGCCCTTTCCAAAGGCCCCAAATTAACAAAACACAGTGCTTTTTGTGGCTTGATCTAAATTGATAATTTATAATCCATGACTCAGAAAAAGATTACTTCAGAGCATGACATGCAAATGCAGAATTCACGGCTCTTTATTTAAAATCAAGGCCCTTTTTCCTTGACTGCATTTACTATAATTAGAAGAGTGGACATTCTCACAAGGGGTTGCAAACACACCATTGGCGATGTCATATGTGAGATGCCAGAGAAAAGATTAATACTTTTCTGCTGAGTGGCTTGAAGCTATTGGTCCCCAACACAGCTTGCTGTCTAAATAAATTGAGGTTCCAGAGAAGGGAAATACCAGGAATTTGAATGATGAATAATACTAAAGAAAAGAGAAGGCTCTACTCATACCACATTCTCCACGGGGTGGTAGGTGATAAGAATAGAAGGACCATGTGACCATCTAGTCTAGAATAATATGGTATTTTCAGGGCCAGATGCAAGTTTTGTGGGCCCAAAGTTTACATAATTGGTGGGGTTGGGGGCTCTTTAAGTTAAAAAAAATGCAAAATTATAAATATGAATGAGGCCCCTCCCGAGGTCTTAGAAAAGGCCCTAGCAAGTGAGGGGTCCCTGAAGGTTTTTTTTTTTTCTGAGACAAGGTTTCACTCTTGTTGCCTAGGCTGGAGTGCAATGGTGCAATCTCGGCTCACCACAACTTCCACTTCCTGGGTTCAAGCAATTCTCCTGCCTCAGCCTCCCTAGTAGCTGGGATTACAGGCAACTGCCACCACGCCTGGCTACTTTTTGTATTTTTAGTAGAGATTGGTTTCACTATGTTGGCCCCAGGCTTGTCTCAAACTCCTGACCTCAGGTGATACACCCACTTGGCCTCCCAAAGTGCTGGGATTACAAGAGTGAGCCACCATGCCCGGCCAGGGACCCTGAAGCTTAAACTTAATAACTGCATGATGAATTCACTCTTTGATGCTTGATAGTTTGTAGACCATTTTCACATAGGTCAAATTTAACAGATTAATTAAGAACCTAAGTTATAGCAGAACCCTGGTTTGACCTGGGTGGACGCTTTATAGCTGTATTACCTTAGGCAAGTGTCGTAAACTCTCTGATCCTCAGTTTCCCCAACTATAAAGAGAAAAAATAATATCTCCCTTACCTAGTCATGCAATTTTCTTAAAAATCCATGTAATGCACTTTAAGAGGTACCCAGCATATGGTAAGAGTTCAATAAATAGTATTATTTTTGCTATTTCCTACACTATCTCATTCAATCCACATCTTAACCCTGTGAATATTTGTTCAGAAAATAAGATGTTTCCTCTTTAAGGTCAACCCTTGATTATCTGGGAATTATTATTCTTTGAGTCCATGTCTATTGTTTCTCTTTTCTAATGCCTACCTTGACTTCTTGTCCATTTTATCCCAGAATGAGTATAGGACAGGACAAAAATTGAAATTCAAATCAGTTCATCAACAGCCCTGGACGAAGAAAAATATATTAGCAGTCCAACCACTTACTCCCCTTCCCCAAGACCCGCTGTTCTGTGTCAGCTGTTGACTCCCCATAATGGCCATGACCGTGGGCAGTGGAGACCATGGGGACACGGGTGTGCAATGATGGTCCTGGACTAGCCACTAACTCTTGAGGACAGACACTTCACCTGCTTCCTCTTCCTTCTGTCAGATTAAGAAGATGGAACGTAAGTTTAAGGGCATACTTGGTTCTATTCTTTCTCCTGAAAATTCAGATGATGCCTTCGATTTTATAAAGAAGAGGATCATTTTTTTCATGGAGAAGAACAGCCATACTTCCTGGGAGAGAGAACCTCACAGTCTTGACTGCAGGCGGGAACAATCTTCAGCTCTGACATCAAATACCGGGGACTGGAATTCAGGTTCCACTACTTACTATTGGTGGGACCTCGGGCAAGTTCTTTTCAGAAGACACTACCAGCACCTACCTCACAGGGTTACTATGAGGATCAAATAAAATGTGCAGGTAAAGCACATAATATAGTGCATGGGAGGTTATATATGTTTAATTCATGCCACGGATTATGACAATAATAAATGTTATAATTACATAAAATTATTTAAATTACTCCATATTATAAAAAATAAAAATTGTTATTATTTCCTAAAGCTATGAAAGTCCTGAGTAATAATATATTGCCATCACCTTTTAACAACTGTCAGACAGTAATCTCAACCAAACTTTGAAACAAGAATGTAACAGAGAGTTAAGGAAGAAGCCCCAAAGAAACCCAAAGTATTCAGTTGTTTCTTACATTAAAAAGGGTTGGAACATATTTAAAGGAGTGAAGGGCCTTCAGAGGGCATGAAGGTTTCGTCTTACGTGCCAAGACGAGTTCTGGCCACCTGGTACTCTCTCAAAGGGAGAATGTTGAGGCTACATCCAGGCGTAGCAGGAAGAAGTGCTGTGATCTATTAGTAATGTCTGCCACAGACATGCAGCACAGGGTCTAGTGACATTTACTATATAACAGCTATCTCTGGATTCTCTTCTGGATCTCAGATCATTTTTCCAGGCTCCGCCACTAGATAAGGTACAAGATCATTATTTTAGGTAACCAATGACCTCAATCTTCAGAAGCAAGAAAATCTTACTATGTATTTAAATGTAGATAAATATGTATTAGTAATAAGTCTACCAAGAAATTGCTCAGGAGTGAAAGGGAACCTGTAAGTTGTGGCCTGTTTCTTTTTCTATTGCTTTATTATATACTATTTGCACTCTCTCTAATTCTGTTTAATCTCTGCAGTTCTCAGCAGTCAAAATCTTTGTGTTAATTCTCTGTTGAGCAGGAAAAGAAAAAAAAACCCTGCTGATTTCTAACATAATACTTCAAAACAGATCCTGTTTCTGTTACTTCCGCATTACATACCTAGCACTTGGAACTAGTTTTGGTATAGCATAGGTGCTCAATAAGTGCTTTTAATGAATTAATCGGATGCATTTGATGTCATCTCCCTCTTAGGATGTGAGCTTCTCTAAGACAAATATGGTGAATTACTCATTATTTGCTCCTTTGCCCTCACTCCCTAAAGTGATTGGCACAGTATCCAGTACGTGGTAAGGGCTCTATAAATATTTGTTAAATGAATGAAGTATTAATGACAGTACTGCCAACTTTCATAGCCTCAAATTTCTTCTGCTATCGGTTAAGGCCTCTTGCTACATAAATCTTTCATATCAGTGCATTACAGTATTTGAGAATATTTCATTTGAAGAACTCAGCAGAGAATATTTCCCATAAAAAGGAACAGCCCCCTATATTACCTTATTACTCACTAATTTCATAAGAAGTGCTGTTTGCTAAATTCCTCCACCCTGCTTTTGCCTTGTTTTGCACTTTCACTGCTATCTGCTTTGCTCCCAAAGCAGCCCCTCATACTTTGGAAACCACAGGGAGGCAACAATGAACCAAGACTTTTTCCTCATCAAACACTTTCCTTCTAAAGCAAAATCTTTCTTGTCCATTGTCCCACTGTAGCAAATCTCTCCCGAACTTCTGCAGTGCCCTTTTTGTCTGAAGGAATTTCCATTTACCACATCCAGTAAATACCTTTAGTGATCAGTGACTCGGCACCTGATTTTTAACACTCAATCAAGATGCGCTATGTTTCCATCATGTGATGGTTAAATTTAATTTAAAACAAAGAGATTTCTTCACACTCATTCCATTTTGCTTCAGTTTCCAAGGCAATTTGTGTTTGTGCAGAAACCAAATGTGCTCTCTGGAGACAGATGGAGACTGGTTTTTTCTACAGGTGCCTGCCTACTACCTACCTACCTGCTCATCTTTGTAGTCTTAATCTGTTTTCCTTCCACATGAACACTTTTTCTTTAGTTTAAATTTTTATCTTATTTTATTGCATTTATCTTTGTAAGCCACCTTGAATCTATTTGGAATAAGGTGGTATTACGATTCAATGAATATAAAAATAAATTCATATGCCTTATATTCATATTCATATAGCTCCTGCCCCCCTGATGCTTAGAGTCTTCCTAGAAAAATAAGACTTACTTACTTGAGGAAATATGCAAGGGAGTGATTGGCAGACAGTTGCAGGAAGGTAGACAACAGATTCCTATAGAAAGCTACATTTGAAGGGACATTCAAAATTATCCAGCGGAGGTTGTGTGTCCTATGCGGAGTCACCTGAGTACTTAGTGGCAGAATCAAAACAAGTCCTCATCTTCTAACTCCAAACCTTATGCTTGCTTGATGCCCTCAGCTCCTCAATGCTTGCCAAATAGTAAGGCAAATGTGTATAATAGTCCATTGAGGAAGATCCCTCAACAGATATGAAATAATTGGTCATTATTGAGCAAATGTCAATGTCCTCTAACGGTCACCCAAGCAAATATCTGCTCTTAATCATAAACTCTTTTTCAACATTTTTCCCCAAGTCTAAAGAAACTTAAGTAACAATCTTGATTGACTGAAATACTCTCTATCTTGATTCTGACTCAATTAAATTTAATTTTAAAAAATACTCATCTCTGGCCAGGCACAATAGCTCACGCCTGTACTCTCAGCGCTTTGGGGGGCCAAGATGGGCGGATTATCTGAGGTCAGGAGTTTGAGAACCGCCTGGCCAACAAGGTGAAACCCTGTCACTATTAAAAGTACAAAAATTAGCCAGGTAGTGGGTGTCTGTAATCCCAGCTACTCAGGAGGCTGAGGCAGGAGAATCCTTTGAACCCAGGAGGCGGAGGTTGCAGTGAGCCGAGATCACACCATTGTGCTCCAGCCTGGGTTACAAGAGTGAGACTCCATCTCAAAAAAAAAAAAAAAAAATACTCATCTCTCTCCAAGAAGTATTTGAAGCAGCTTATGGGAGGAAAAGAAAAAATTAATAAAATTGGAACTAAAAAGGTGATGCAGCCTGGAAAACATAAGTACTTTGATGTTAAGTGACGATAGCTATTATCTTTGCGCCTTAAACCTAGCTCTGAGCTTCCTGGAAATCCAATCAAAAAGGGAAACACAATTAGTTGCACAGTTCTGTCTAGCTGAAGAACAGAATCATATCTTCTCAGGAGAAAAGAATTATTCTTCTGTCAAATTCTGAGATAATTTTCTCATAAGAAACAATATATAGGGGGATGTAATAAACAATATTTTCAATAATAATTCTCAGCTAAAACAGCAAAATCTATAAAGCATTTTCAATTATAACAAAGAGATCAATGCTTTGTCTTAAATTACATGATGATTATTCTGTGGGGGACCCAGCAATCAACTTGATCAATTTAAAAAAATAGGTAATCTAGAGAAATGAGGAGATTACATGAGCCTTAAATTATCTTCTCTCAATTTTCCTCTCTTCCAGGTACTTGACAGGTTGTAGCTATTACACAATTTCAAGACCTTACTCTCTAGCAAGAACACAGAGGGCAGTTATCCTGAAAACTGTTGAGTGCAGAGTTAAAACTTTGACAACATATAAGCAGATATTAAATTTGACATTGACTCATGCAAACTATTAAAGCCTTCCTGCCTGAGTGGAAGTCCTCCACTTAGAGATTTACTAAACTTCCGAGTCAGGAGGAAAGTTTAACAGCCTCAAGTTACCTTACTGAGGGTTTACTCCATCATCTCATCTGTCAAAAGGGAATAAGAATTACCCACTCACAAAGTGGTCAGTGGAGAGTGACTGTGATAACATTTGAGCACTCTTGGCCCCTCCTTCATTCTCAATAACATGTTTGTTACAAGCATGAATAAGTTCCCATTGGTATTATAGATTCCCACTGAAGGTTGAATATTCATCATTCTAAAAACCTCACAGGCCAGGCACGGTGGCTCACGCCTGTAATCCCAGCACTTTGGGAGGCCGAGGCGGATGGATCACAAGGTCAGGAGTTCGAGACCAGCCTGGCCAATATGGTAAAATCCCGTCTCTACTAAAAATACAAAAATTAGCCGGGCGTGGTGGCATGCACCTGTACTCCCAGCTACTTGGGAGGCTGAGGCAGAAGACTCACTTGAACCCAGGAAGTGGGGCTGCACTGAGCCGAGATCATGCCACTGCACTCCAGCCTGGTTGACAGAGTAAGATTCTGTCTCAAAAAAAAAAAAAAAAAAAAAAAAAACTCACAAAACCAGCCATTAAAGGACTTATGTTCTCCCTCCTTATAACCTATGATTATATCACATTTCCCATTATGTAGTGTAGGAATAAGCAAACTACAGCCCTTGAGCCAATTCCAGAGTGCTGCCTGTTTTTGTAAATAAAGTTTTATTGGAGTACAACCATGCTCACTCACTTACACATTGTCTGTGGCTGCGTTCCTAATATAACAGCAAGCTTGGATAGTTACAAAAGAGCTGACATGGCCTGCAAAGCCTAAAATATTTACCAACTGGCGCCTTATAGAAAGAATTTGCTGACCATAGAGCACATGTCCTCTTATATGCTATATACATCATTTTAAACTCAGCACATCCCAAACTAAGACTTCCACCTCCTCATGTGTGTACATGCACATGCACACACAGACCCCTCGATCCCCACCTTTCCCTTCTGAACTTTACTGTCAATCCGGGTTCCCACTGTTAATGCTGTCATCTTCTGAATCCAGTTGTCATCAAATCCTACCGTCTTCTTTTCCTTTAAAAACTCTCCCAACCTTTCTATTCCACTCTCACTATAGCCCAGATTCCAATTACTTTCCCTGACTCTACTGACATCTTCTTTCAATCCAACTTCTATGATACTGTCTGTGTCATTGTCCCAAAATGCCATTTTTACAGTTTTACAATGCAATTCAAAAACCTATGGTGGCTCTGACTTGCCTTCCACACCAAGTCTGAATTTGCTGTGCTTGGCTTTAAAAATAATCACAGTCTGCCTCCATAGTTTCTGTCAAACTCCAGGTCCCATCCCTTCCAGATCTACTCTGGGCACTCTCGTCTGGCCCATCTCCATTAGCACCGACCTTGCTAAATCTTACCTGTGTTGTTCACTTCCACCATGGCTTCTGTTACAGGTTGAATTTTGTCCCCTCCCCAAAATTCATATGTTGAAGTCTGAACCCCCAATACCTTGGAATATGGCCTTATTTGGAAATAGGTTCATTGCAGATGTTATTAGTGAAGCTAAGATGAGGTCATTTGGGAGTAGGGTGGGCCTTACAAGTGTCCTCATAAAAAGGGGAAAGTTGAAACCAGAGACACAAGGTGACTACCACATGGTCCTCAAAGCAAAGATCTGAGTGATAGATCTACAAGCCAAGGAAAACTCAAGATGGCCAAAGATGGCCAGCAAATCACCAGAGACGTGGAACAGATCCTCCCTCACAGCCTGCAGAAGGAATCAACCCCACTGACACCTTGATCTCAGAATTCTGGCCTCCAGAACTGTGAGACAATAAATGCCTGTTTTCTAGGGCACCCAGTATGCGGGGCTTCATAACAGCAGCCCTGGGAAACAAATGCAGCCCCTGACCTGACCAAGGCTCAGAAGGCTTTCTAGAGGAAAGGTAGCTCTGAAGGCTGTGTGAGATGTGCCTGTGCAGAGAAAGAGACGAAGACAGCTGCAAACAGCAAGGGAACAATTAATAAGCCCAGCAAGCTGGCCTGCATCCTCCCTTCCAAAAGGAAGCCAAGACTGCTTCCTCGAAAGCCTGCAAGGCATTTCCCCGCTTTGTACCACTCCTAGTTGGTCAGAGAAAGAGCAGGAGTGAGGGAAGCTGAGATAAGGAAATTGACTCCAGGATCTGTCTTCAGTGAGTTGCTTTTTGATGTCTACTCTTCCCTTCCTGTCCTTTCCTTGCTGAAAACTTGAGCCCCAACTTTTGTAAAAGGCATGAGCCAAGTGAATCCTCTTCAGGACTCTGTTGCCATGCCCTCCCTTTGCTTCTGTCCTGGAAGTCTCACCTTCCGGCTGGAGAGTCCACAGTCCCTGAACAAAGGCTGCTTGCGAGAGGCTGCCAAGACCTGTGCATTGTCCAGGAACTTCAAGGAGGCTAAACTGGGACCTACCAAATCAGGCAGGAGACTTCTTTCAGAGAATGTGGCCCAGGAGACTCATGAGAGGCCGAGGAGAGCTCTGCAGCTCTGTTTGGCTCTGACATGCAAGCCCATGTGTCTCTGGCTGGTTGTCAGTGAGAAAATGAAACCCCTCCAAGTCACTGGACTCCAGGAGGCCAAAGGCCAAACCAACCCTTCCGCCACCAGGTCACAGAATGTGCGTCTGTGAGCTCATTATCCTCTTCCCCAGAGATACGAATGGTTTGGTAAACTCCTTATCTCAAATGAGGCAAGGTAAACAATGATCGTATTTCTTGATCCCAGGGAAAAAAGAGGCACAAGTGCTGAAGTGAAGACACGACTGATTAGGTGGAGGGAAAAACTGGGCTGGCTTCTGGGGCATGCGACCTGAACACGAAGCCCAATACCTGGTTTAATCCTCTGCTCCTGCCATCTGAAATTCTTAGGAACTATTGAACAAGGGGTCTTGCATTTTCATTTTGCTTTGAATCCTGAAAACTTTGTAACCATCTCTGGGTAGGGGTGTGTGTGTGTGTGTGTGTGTGTGTGTGTGTGTGTGTGTGTGTGTGTTCATCCAGGGGGTGGATTGCTAATGAGTGATGAGCAGAGAAGGAATAGCTCAATTTCAAACCTGTGAGTAGAGGATAGAGAAGTAGCTGATTCCCGTTACTTGCAGTAGTTAGCTTCTACAAAGTTGCCACACACACTGAGTTAGGGAATACTGAGCCATGGCTCCTAGTGGAAATACTAGGCTCAGTTCCTGTGAGCTTCTAGTCACAATTTCATCTCATCAATCTATCAATATATAACCTTCCTTTATAAGTGTTTCTGTTTAAAGACATTATTTATAAAATATATGATATACAATATGTATTATATTATATACTATAATACATATATTTATATCATTTTATGTATTGTTTATATATTATTTACTATACATTATTTATATATTCTATAGATACTGTTACAATATAGTATATAATTATTCTATATATAATTAGTATTGTAGTATTATATACTGTATGTATAGTATATAATTAATACTATATATTATTTATATTATATACTATATATACATTACATAGTATATATTACATAGCATATATAGTATATAACCAATACTATATTAAATATATTAAATACTATATATTATGTACTATATTTAGTATATATACAGGATTACTATGTGACATAGTATATATAATATATAGTATACAATATAAATAATATACGTATGATAGTAAAGTATACATAGTATAATATATGTATTATAGTGTGTATAATATCATATATGTACTATATTATATATATACTATTTGATTCATTAACATTGAGCCCCCTGCCAACCTCACTATAACTCATGTCTGAACAAAGCTTATCTAACACACACATTTTCTCCGTAATTGCATTTAGGAACACTAGACAGCACTTTGCACTTACTTGGGGACCATTGAAACGTGAAATCGCCATCAAAAAGCACAAACATGTGAAAAACATGGCATGCAACAGATTTGTTGACAGTATCAGAGATGAAACAAGAAGGCCGAATGCGGTGGTGTACAACCTCAGCTGGGCACATGCATTTCAGGTGACTCAAATGTTTTGTCACTTTGCGTGGCATCCATCAGTGGCCATGAAAGTGCCCCAGGTATTAGTTTGGAGTTAGAAATATATTTTAGCAAGTAGGTGAATTCACAAATACAGAATCCACAAATAATGAGAATCAAATGAAATTCAACTAGGATGAGGAGCCTAGGATTCCATTTCTGTCACTGCTGTGTGACATCCAGCAAGTTTTTTATCCTCCCTGTGTGTTGGTTTTCCCTTCTTTGTCTGCTGAATTTCTATTTAGCCTTCAAGAGAAAGGTTGAAACAGGCTGAATGTGGCAAACCACCACCTCCTCCATGAGGATTTTCCAATAACTTCAGTTAGAAGTGAATTGTTTCTTTCTTCTAAATATCCCTCAGCATTTTGCCTATTCTTCCAGTATAATGCTAATCTAATCATGCTTTATTGTAATTCATTGCTGATCTTCTATTACTCCTATAAGTATATTTTAAGATCTGTAAGGACAGGGATTACATCTTATTCACCTTTATATCCAAACACTGCTGAGCCCACTTTTTCATAATGCAGGTGCTGAATAGTGATTTCACTTGAAATGACAACAATAAGCCTGGCCTTATCTACCATCGTGGCTTTCATTTTTTGCATTTTTTACTGTGGTAAAATACACATAATATAAAAGTTGCTATTAGTAACATTTAGTACATTCACAATGTTGTGCAAGCATTGCAGAACATTTCATCATTCCAAAAGGAAACACTGTACCCATTAAGCTGTCCCTCCCCATTCTCCCCGTCCCCCAGATCTTGGCTACCACTAATCTGTCCTCTGTCTCTATAAATATGCCTACTCTGAATATTTCATATAGATGGAATTATGCAATATGTGGCCCTTTGTATCTGGCTTCTTTCACTCAGCATAACGTTTTTCAGGTTAATCCATGTTGTACCATACATCAGTACTTCATTACTTTTTATGGCTGAATAATATTCCATTGTATATGGCTATACCACATTTTGTTTGTCCATTCCTCAGTTGATGGGCATTTGGGTTGTTCCCACATTTTGGCTTTTGTGAATAGTCTACCATAATATTTCAATGATTCACTATAGAAATATTAGTAATAATAATGTTTTAGCTATAAAGGTAGAATGCATGTTTACTTGTGCTCCACCCTCTACTAGACTGTAAAGTCCTGAGGGCAGGGACTTTGCCTTCTTCCCCGTAAATTCCCCAGGGCCTTGGCTAGTGTCAGGGCCTTGGCTAGTGTCTGACACAGAATACATGCTCAGTACTTCTGTTGACTAATGAACGATTTCTGCTTAGAGGATTGACTGCCAATCACAATAGATATGAAACATAGCAAAAGTCACCCTTCTATAATCATACAATGTTAGATTTTGAAGTGATCTGATTCAAGATCATCATCCAATATTATTGGGCCCATCATTTCCTAGCTGTGTAACTTGGGCAAGTTCCTTAATCTGTTACTCTAATTCCTTCCCTATAAGGAATATTGTAGATGCATGATCTACCTCAGAGAACTGTTTGATGATTAAGTGGCTTAATGTATATTCGACACTTATTGGGCATTAGATTTAAGACCGAAAGGTAAGTAAATTACCCCCAAGATTGCCCAGCTAGTTAAAAACAGAGCTGGGACTGGAACCCATATGTCTTAGCTTTCCCGTCTTCCAAAATAGTTGTTTGATGGCTGCTCAGAAACTGATGGAGAACAGAGTTTTCTTCTGCAAGGATACCAGCACAGCTTCAACAGTCACGTTTTTAGGGGCAAACATCTCTTTCCTCTTACAGGTGGCCTCTAAGCCCCAACCTCTTTACCTCCTTCTAGCTTCCAAATCTTCCAATCTTTGAATGTCTACTACTCAAAGCAATTTTTCCCAAAGTATATTCCTCAGAACATTCACTTAAACATCCAGCGTAATTTCTAGGTTTAAAAATAATGAGGATGACCAACTGACAGGATAAGAATTATGAAGGTAGTGTTTGAGTAACAGAATAAAATGTTTGGAATATTTCTCTAGGATAATAATGACATATTTTGTTTTTTAAAAATTGGCTTGGAGAATGTTTTTATTTTTTAAAAAATTATTCCTTAGCCAAATATATTTGAGAAATAAGACATCTCTTAGAAAGGGACTATGCAAATTAGCATATAGAGGTTACTAAGGAGTTTTGCATCTAGACACTTTTTAACCCAGCAGTTCCAGAGCATAATGAAATATGAAAACATTTCTCAGCACAATACTTATTACCATCCTTGGAATGCCACAAAACACATTTTAAGAAACACCAGAATTGATTTTTACCCCAGGCATCAAATGGAAGGGACATATGTTAACGCAAGCTCTATGAGAGCAGGTTTTTCTAGTTTTTTCACTGCTTAGGACAGTACCTGGCACACAGTAGAGATTAACTGATTATTTGTTGAAGAATATATGCTCATGGAAATAGCAACTTGGGATTTGGGACATCAGCCCCTGGTAGAGAAGAAGCCAGCACATTAGGTTGTGGGTCTCTGATCTGGTTGTTCTCAGCCAGAAGGTCCCCATGGAGTTGGCTATCCTAAAAGAAGAAGGCCCCCATCCACCCAGGAAGGGCTTCTTGCCAACCAAGATGGCAGGTCCCCACCAGAGTAGAACAGGCATGCAATACAGGCCACAGCTGCCTAATTCACTGGTATCAGTATTTCCACGGATGCCAGTCTTCATGACTTCCACACAAAAATCAGGTTCCCTTACAAATCTGAGTCAATAGGCTTTAAACTGAGCACTCATGAAAGAATAAACTCCACTCCCCTACTCACAGCCAGCCCTCTGGCCTTGTCTAGGCCACGGCCAGGAGCACTAGGGAGGGAAAAGGAAGGTAGCTTCAACTTTTCCTGGCAAAGTGGCCTTCCTTTTCAGAACCTGTAGCTCAGCTAAGTGGAGACACCTGGTGTTTGTTGTTGCAACTTCAAGAACAATACATTAAGACTCGGGGCAGAAAATCAGGCTTTTCATAAAAATTGTGTCATCAAAAAGACGGTTCAGGAAGAAAAAATGCAAATGGCAGCCCAACTCACCCCTACAAGACTTTTTCCCCCTCAATATTTCTACCATCTGAATAGCTTTTCTCCGTATTCCTGTATGTAAAACATGGGGGAAAAAAAACACAATAGCAAGGCACCTAAAATTTGTGAGAATCCAGAAAAGAGAAGAAATCATCTTTCCTGGTTGCTCCATTTTGTCAGGTGTTAAATCAGAGTGCTAACTTTTGTATAATAACTGTTTGCTAATACTTAATAAGTAGCCGGTGTAACACAGTTCCAAAAAATTTTTTTGTTGTTGTTAAGCCTATGCAAGGCCAAAGGAGTATTAAAGTTTCACTACGGAAGAAATATGGCCACTGCCAAGAACTGATTAGTCATAAAATCCGAGGCATTATCATCATCCATCATTGCCTTTCTTTTAATGACTGAACTAAAAAGAGAGACATCAAAGTTTTCAAAATAAGGTTATAAAAATGCTGTACGCAGATGAGGCCTCCAAATATTTTGATAGAACCTGAACAAAAAAAATATAGAAAAATCATTGAAACAAATCACAAAACATATGTTGTTATGTTTTGCTCTAAAAAGCATGAAGTTTATCCAGAACCCTATTATGGTAACTGCTTAGCTTTTCATGCATTCCTAAATTACCATGTAATCTAAAACGTTGTTTTCAGCTGCCCTGTATTGGAAAGTCCCTTAAAATAATCAGGATGATTACAGGCTAGTATTCAGAAAGAAACTTGCTTGTATTATTGTAAATGAAAGTATTATTTATCGGGCAGCCTCCTTTAAAGAAAAAAAAAAAACCCTATCTCAGAAGCACAGAAATACAATGTATTCAGGAAATACCTAAACCAAGGATTGCATTTTGGGCTCTCTACATTTTCAAACACATGGATAGTTGGTGTAAAAATATGTTCTTTTTCTGCAGGGACTTGACTGTAATTAGTGTGTGCCAAAACTCTCTCACAGAGATTTCATTGTCTTATCTACTTACATCATCTTAATGCGATTTTATTTTACTTTGTCAAAGTCATATTAATGTAAATGTGTTCTTGATAGCAAACAGAGTTCTTTTTTATGCAAAACAGGATTCAGCTGACTCTAATAAAACAGCTTGCAGTCTATTAGACTATAACAGTAATGTGCTTATTTTGTTTCTCAAATCAAGACTGTGTCAGAAAGCTATAGATGGAGATTTGTCTTGTTTTTCACAATAATTGCTAGGGTGGGGTTACATTATGATCTTTAAATGAATAGTATCGCTTAGAACAAACACTTCATATATCTTTTATCTTCCCCGGCATACAGTTCTGAGTTTTCTTTGAAAATGCTGCGCTACTTTTCCACATAAGTCATCAGAATGTTTCCAAAGAATTTTAACTGCCAGATTAATTATATCTTGCAAACAAAGATAGATTGCTTACATTCTTTATTCAGAATTCCTGCCAGTGTGGAGCAACTGGCAACAAATTAATTTCTTTTGCAACCATGCAAAATGTTTTGCTATGAAAAGCTCTGGAAGGTAAATGGATCCTTTTAAAAAAAAAAAAAATCAGGTTGCTCATTCTGAAAGGCTAATCTGTAAGCAAAGAACACAGGATTAAATGAATTTGACTACTCCCCCCCACCCCGCCCTCTTTTTTTAGCATCTATGTTATAACCCTCCCATAATGTATTCAGTTAATTAAGTATTGCTGTGACCTGGTGGCAATTTTTGAAATCCAGGGAATTTTTCCCCCTTTAAATTCTGCCTCCCCCACAGAGCAGAATATAATCTGTTTCCAGTCAGTCTGTTTATTTCAGCTGTGCTTCTACTACAAGCCTCTAAAATGTTTTAATAAATTTATCAACCAAAAAATATTACAAACATTTCATTTCCTTTGATTCAGACACACATACACACCAAAAAAAAAAAAAAAAAAAACCTCTGCCTTCATTGCAAATTCTTGGTGGTATGAATCACTCTAAGTAATATTTGCTTTAACTTTCGTGTGGTTCTACAAACAACCTTTATATGGCTGGACTTCAAAGCGAGGAGAAATAAAGGTTAGAAATGTGATAGGAGTAATCTATTATTAGGCATGAAACATTAAACCACTTTTAGCTATAAGTCTTAAAACCTGAATAATCTGGGTTTTTTAAGTAGTGCATATTTATTGTGCTTTCAGCTACACACACATTTATCACAGAGAAGTGTTTGGAAGAGAAATATTTTCCATTGCACTGTGTGCCACAATTTAGTTTAATTTTTCCTAATATTTAATTTAGAAAAACGGTAATATTATAACAGGATTCTCATGTGTCCTGGCCAAAACACTTGGTGTTCCTCACAGAGTGAAATTAATCTGTTACCAGCCTGCTGACCTGAAAGTAAGGTTTAGTAGGCACAGAGCGGGTAGGGCAGAGAAAGGGGTGGGTTAGGGTGGGTAGGGAGATAAGATCTCTTTCTTTTACTAGAAAGGAGAAAAAAAAAGGCTTAGAGGAATGTCTCAACCCACCAATGCCATCAAATGACAGAAAATAAGCTGAACGTGTATTTGAGCCGAAGAGTGTTTGAAAACATTTATTAGCTCCATCCATAACGACATTCACGGCAGGAATGTTAATTGTTAAAATCTGTACTGCAGCTAGTTCTTTAAGTAAGGGGGCTGCATTGAGTGGAAATTCAGCTCCTCGTTTCTTTTTTTCTCCACATATATTTGTACTTAAAAAAAAAACTAATGTTATGAAATAAGTCAGATGTCAGATGGAAAGCTTTCTAGCACAAGGGAATACAGAACAGTGTTAAGGATATATGCATATGCAAGAACAAAAAACAACATTGGTAACAATTTGTTCTTGATTAAATTTGTGCTCCTAATACAGTAGATTAAAAATAAGTCCAACTGTTAAACACATTAGGGTTCAGCCCCTGCTGATGTGCCAGAAAAGCAGCTATCACTCCAGACCTGGCCGGATTCTTTCTGGTAGCCTTGAGACAGGAAATCTGACCCCCAAGAAACCTGAACCCCAAAGTCCATCAGTGACCCCGAAACTTGGGGATTCCTTATTTTCGTCTACTGATTAAACCCCAGAACCTTCTTAATATTTTCTTATACCCAGTCAAAACTGGGTGTCTCTCAGCAAGGCTAAAAGACAATACCAGTTTGGAAAGATGGAGAAAGAATTATGGCTGGGCACGGTGGCTCACACCTGTAATCCCAGCACTTTGGAAGGCTGAGGTAGGAGGATCATTTGAGTTCAGGAGTTCAAAACCAGCCTGGGCAACATAAGGAGACTCTGTCTCTACAAAAAATTGAAAAAAATAAAATTAGCCAGGCATGGTGGCACGTGCTAGCGCTACTAGTCCCAGCTACTCAAGAGGCTGAGGTGGGAGGACCGTTCGATTCAGGGAAGTTGAGGCTGCAGTGAGGCATTATTGTGCCTCTGCACTCCAACCTGGATGACAGAGTGAGACCCTGTCTCAGTAATTAAAAAAATATAAAATTTAAGGGAAAAAATGAAGAATTGCTGATAGCCACAATCAAGGCAATCTTTGAAGAAATTAAGTTGTAGTTTATTGGGCAAATATTTGTAAAACTTGTATCGTTTAAGAAGATTATTGTAAGCCATGTCTGCCTCTCCCTAGAAACGTTATAAATGGAGTTAAAGACATAATTGAATTCCAAAATGCCCAAACCGGTACCGTGGCTCAAGCCTGTAATCCCAGCATTTTGGGAGGCCAAAGCAGGCAGATCACTTAAGGTCATGAGTTCAAGACCAGCCTGGCCAACATGGTGAAACCCCATCTCTACTAAAAATACAAAAATTAGCTAGGCATGGCGGCAGGCACCTGCAATCTCAGCTACTCAGGAGGCTGAGGCAGGAGAATCACTTGAACCCAGAAGTTTGCAGTGAGCCGAGATCGGGCCACTGCACTCCAGGCTAGGCGACAAAGTGAGACTCTGTCTTAAAAAAAAAAAAAAAGAAAAAAAATGCCCAAACTGGAAGGCACTTCGAGATCATAGCCAACTCTCTTCTTTCCTGGATGACTTTCCATGAGGTTAAAGAGAGGGCTTGGCCAAGGTCAGACCAGGGGGAGGCCCCATCTAGCTGAACACGGAACTCAGGCCTTGGTTTCCCCAGCCATGACTATGATATGGTACCATCTGCCTTTTCAGTTTGTTCAAAAAAGAAGACTGAAATTAAATTCATGGGTATAAGAAAAACAACATGTGTCTTCAGGTAATTATATTAATGGCTCTTTACCTAAACTGTTGTGTTATTCCACCTGTACGTTTTCTTAGAGTATGTGTATTTTTCTAAACAAAAATACCAACTCAAATTATTACTCCCTCCTTTCTCCAGCCTCCCCTGCTCCAACCCTAGTGTATTTTTCTGGTCTTTGGTCAATCTGGTTTAATAGGTTACCTCTTGCTGACGCTCTCATTTCACAGAGTAGTGGAGTTCTCTGCCGTGACATGTTTTCTGGAAACATAAGGGTATGAGGCTGTAACATTCGTAAATTTAGGAAGTAATAGCTCCCCAAAAGCAATGTAGATAGCTCAGATATTGCCAGAAAAGAAGAACAGTTAATTGAAACTATTTGGGGCATGCAGTATTGAACAAGGAGATGGTTTCTGAGCAACACATATCTAAACGTGGCTTGCCAGAGACCTGCACACATTTAATTTGCTCTACAAATTTGGTTAGCCCAATAAAGTGTGAACATCAAACACTGGTCGTGGAGAGCATTAAACATTAACCAACAGAGACCTTAAAGACTTGGGCAGAACATTAAAATTAGAGGAGAAAGATAGGCCAGGCAACTCTGGGAAATTAGGTTAAGACTCCAAAAGCGAATGTTTGTTGGCTGAATAAAAATAAAGTGAAAACTATTTTGAGATTGGTAACCATTTGTCTCCACAGACAGGCCACTTTCCCCCTAGGATTATATTTTTAAAATCAAGCAAACATACTAAAGTCAATTTGATTTTCTGTTGTTCTCCAGAATGAAATGTATTACCACCCAAATGAACCCTGAAAAGGGGGATTTCGGTTGCCATTCCCAGATCCACGAACACTTAAATGGAGTCTGGCCTTTTTTCCATTTTTCGTGTTTATGTGTATTGCATACTGCTTAGCCTGGGGCTCAAACCCTGTTAAAGTTCAATCAACTTTTGTTGAACAGCAGAATGAAAATGTCCTCTGAGGAGATAAGGATGGCTTCCAGGCTCACTCATTCGGACTTCCTCTTTACCTGACAAAAACTGGTGTATACTTCCCTTCTCAGCAACAGCAATAAGTGCTTCCTTCAAAATAGTTAGATTCAGGAAAAGGAAAATAATATCATATTCTAGTCCTTATTCTCTAACTATCTTTTGCCCTAGTAGGCCTCACAAAGTAAATCTCTTGAAAGTAATAGCAGTTTTCTCTCAGGAGAATGTTTGGTACATTATTTTTTTAATATCTAGTAACGTTCCAGGATGTAGTAGGTGACAGCACTCAATAACTCTACATAACTCATGGAGAGGCGGAGTTAAACATAAGTTAAACCGCTACTGGACCAGGAGTTAACTCCTAAGACAATTTAAGTGTGGCTACTTGTCTTAAGATACAAAATATCCACTAATGATAGAATAGAGGAACCCCTAGGGGCCCTGACATAAGGTGAGTTCCCCCAGAAATAGACCTTTAAACAGTGATTTTTTTTTCTTTTTTGTTCTTTGCCCAGGTTAGCGTGCAGTGGTAGGATCTTGGCCTCAACCTCCTAGGCTCACCCAATACTCCGATCTCAGCCTGCCAAGTAGCTGGGACTGCAGACATATGCCTGGATACGTTTTTCCATTTTTTTTATAGAGGCCGGGTCTCGCTATGTTTCCTGGGCTGGTCTCCTGTGATGCTCCTGCCTCGGCCTCCCAAAGTGCTAGGATTACAGGTATGAGCCACCATGTCCAGCCCTTGAGTAGGATTTGAGTGCAAGAAGTTGATCTGAGAAGCAAAGGAAACCCCAGGTGGGGAGTAGGAAAGTGAGACAGGATAGGGAAGCCAGTCAATGCAAAGTGTGTTGTCTAGCTAGCTACCACTGTGGGCAACTGTTTAACCCTAATGAGGAAACTCAGGGAGGCCTTGTAGAACATACACCTCAGAATTACCCCACCAGAGGGGTGGGAGCTGGGATATTTATACACCAGCTGCCATCAGCCTTTGGATGAGGTTGTTCCTTTGAGGCATTAACTCCCTGGTACTAGCAGCTGTCCACACAGGCAGGAAAATCAGGTTTTGGTGGCTGAAGGAAACTCTCAAGCAGACAAATGCAGGAGCTGGCAGTAGAAAAGCAGGCTGGTATGCTCTGAAGCCATGAGGGTGAGGAGCTATGGGCAGGACCCAGACAGGTCCCTTGGGTGGAGGGAGGTTTAAATGCAGTTCTTTTTTTGTCTAGCACAGTGGCTAACACATTGTCAGATCCTATTCAATAGTTGTTGAATGAAGGAAGGAAAGACAGAATAAGACATCAATTAATAAAATTTTGTTGATGCTTCACAGATACGGTTTACTCTCTGTTTAATGTTGAAACAGTTCAAACTTTTCTCAGTAAACTATATAATATCAGCTCAGGCTTGGTGTCAGACAGATCAAAGTTTCAGCCCCATTTCTATCACTTCTAGTTGTGAGACCTTAAGTAAGTTACTTTACTTCTCTGAGCCTCAGAGAATGCCTATTTTACAATGCCTATTCCACAGTACAGTGGCCTATTACAATACCTGTTCCATAGTATTTAATAATATAAGACTGAAAAAGTAAATGATATTGAGCTTGGTACAGTAACTGAGCTTGGTAAGTGTTCAGTGCTATCATAATGGCTCAAGAATCAGTTCCCTGACTTGAAATCCCACTCATATCACCAACTATCTACATATCTTTGAACAACTCATTTAGCCTCTGTGGTGCAAGGTCTCCTCATCTCTAAAATGGACACAAAATTGCCTGTTACTCCTTCCCCTGAGAATGAAGTCCTAAACAGATATCATGAGAGGGTAAGTCACACTTATGGAGCACTTTACAGTTTACACAGTCCTTTTATATATGTCATCTCATTTCTGAGCAAGATAGGGTTGTGAACTTGCAAATCATTCTGTCAATGTAGGGAAGCATTTCTCCAGTTCTCCAAGTACCCCCGAGTCTGATTTGTGTTTGGATTAGGTTATAGACTGTGAGATGACCTATAAGGGCTGCACATAGGTGCCCAAAGAGAATGGGGTTCGAATCACTGATAGTTGGTTAGGAAATGAGGGTGGGTGTGAGAGTCAGGGTCTGGCAGAGACCTGCCCAAGTGGGCACTGCAGGCTCATGCTCAGAACACAGTGTTTATAGATTCAAAATGAACCAAGAGTATAACTTATAGCAGGAGCCCTTGAACCAATGAAGTCATCCGAGTGGGGCTGACTGGAGTGGCCGGCAAGCAGCGCCTCTTATACATCAACCCGGGAGATAGAAGCCTAAAACTTAGCCAGAAGGTGATCCCACCAGAATGTCTGAGCACTAATTACATGCCAGGAAGAGTGGAGGATACAAAGTGAATGCCCTTTTATTATCTCTATTCCACTGCTGATAAAGCTGAGGCTTAGAAAAGATGTGTCATTTGCCCAGACTTCACAAAACCAAAGCCCAGGCCTGCTTGTTGCCAAAGAGAGGCTTTTAAACCACAGTGTAATACTGACTTTCTACAATATCATAACATTTGATGCCACTCAAAATATAACTACAATAGATAAAATAAGTATTTTTGATAATTTTTTAACTTTAAGCATTGCAAGGGAAAAATATTTTATAACAAAGCATTGATAGTCACTAGACTAACCATGTGAGTCATGAATTACACTTTACAAGACAATGCAAAGTTGTGGTCACTGCTTTCCAAATGCTCTCATCCTAAGGTATTCCTAAGCCTTCCATAAGAATTCAGCCAAGTCAACAAGAATAAATGTAAGTAATTAGTCTAATTTGTGATGGCTTCCCTTCATTGCATCTCAATGAACTCACTTTAATTTAGGGGACTCTAGGAACCAAAAAATAATTGCTAACTTACTATTCACTTACTGTGCACTTACTCTGTGTTGGGCACTGGGCTAAATGCCTTACCTGAGTTACTGCATTTATTCCTCACAACAGCCTTCCAGGTTAGGTGCTATTAGCTTCCTCTTTTATAGATATGAAACTGAGGTTCAGAGAGGTTGAAGAACTTTTCCAAGGTCAAGTTAAAGCTAATAAGTGGGAGAACTGAAATTCAAATCTCGACTGCCTAATTCCGGGAACAATGCATTCATCCTCGGCTCTACACTGCCCAAGTCTTGAATCCTAGTGTTGGAGAAGTCTTTATTTTCATTTAGACATTCCCTATTAAATGAGACAAATATGGGCTCTTAAATACTATAAACAACTTTTTTTTTAAATGTACTTGAGAAAGCTTAGTTCCTAGGAATTCTTCAGAACAGAGTTGAAGTTCCAAAACAAATCTCCCCAGAACAAGCCTGTTTAATATAAAGAATTAAAAAGGAGGGCATGTAATTGCCTACAGTATTTGATTCGAATTTTGTAAATACCTTTTAAACTTTTAGTAAGCCTATGCTTGTAAAAATACATTTTCAAAAAACATATTATATATGCAAGTTTACAACCCTGACGCTTTTTAAAAACTTACCATTACTTTACAAATATACAATCTCTATAATATTCAGCATGAAGAAAATTCCAGAAAGGAATGCATTAAAAGTCAAAATGTGATTGCTACCTTTTCTTATCTAAAAAGTGCAAGTGTTACATGGTTATCAGGAAAAAAAATGAACATTAATATTTGTCCATTCATCATGAGTCAGGCTGGCTTTTTACATCTATTTTCCCAACTAACGCCCACAACAAGCTTTAGATGTAGCTATTATCTTGTCCTATTTATAAATAAGGAAGCAAGTTTTAGAGAAATTAAGGGACTGTCCCAGGGTCATACAACTAAACAGCAGCAAAAGTAGGATTTCAGTTCTGTTTTACTCTCAGCTGAGAGGTCTTTGCACTACAACACAACCTGTCATACAAATTATTTATGTTGGCATCCATATATGCCTCTGTGACAAGATTATTTACTGAGATATTGATTTATAATTGTTTCCTGATTCCAAATGAGACTAGAAGAAAGGTATTTTCCCCTCCCTAAATCAAAACTGTGGAGGGGTACATGCCTGAGACAGGAGAGATTCGTAGGGTGGAGGTGATCCTTTACAAGTGGGGAAGACCTGAGTTTGCAGGAAGTGGGTGTGGATACTGGGCTCCCAGGGAAGCCGCCACCCCAGGCATCTAGCCCAAAGATCCTGCTGCCTCAGCTTAGCACATGGTGAGTGAGGCGGCCCACCTCTGAAATAAGGTACCCTAAGATTATTCAGAGCATAACTTGAAAAATCTCTAATCGAAAGAATTAAAATAATGACCTTTTATCAGGTCAGGACTCAGACTTGGCAATACGGAGTTTGCTCAGACACAGGTACAACTTCTGCCTTGAGGCATTGAAATCTTTGGTCCCATGCTAGAGAATTGATCCCCATTGGCAGGGACAGAATGGGATGCAAAATGTAGCAAGTACTCCAACAGTGACCTGGTGGGGTTTCTTTCAGAAGCTTTTCCTGGCGCAGTACAGCTGCCCTTTAGAATGGCAAGAGTTGACCACCAACCAGAAAGAAGCCCTGATTCCACCAAGCCTGCGGGCCACATCTGTTGCAACAGGAGCCACTTTTCAGTCCCATCAGCTCCTTCTCTTCTAGCTATGACTTTTATCATGGGCTCCACTTCAATCATTAGCAATAAATAGAAAATACCCAAAAGCCCCAAAATAAAGGTCCCCTTTTCATTTAAAACATTCAGATTTCATTGCTTGTGCTGTGGCTAACATCAAGTCACAAAGTGGCAGGGCAGTTCCCCAAGCCCGTTCTGCTTCCAAGCTTGTTAAACTTTGGAATGGGTTTTGTCCTTTGGGTGTGCATGTGTTTTAAAGCTGTTTTATGACACATTGTCGGGAACTCAGGTACTGGACCTCTTTAACTCCAGCTTTCAGCAGCTGCCTTTGCACTTCCCTTTCACATAATTAAACACCCTATGGTACTTAACAGAGTAATAAGTAGCACATCAATAAAGCAATAAATAATTGTATTCAGGCAAACTCCAGAGCCATCATCCATTAACCAGAGCTGTGAGCAATACTTTTGATTAATCAGTAAGGTTATATAATAGCAAAGCAAAAGTCAGTCAAGGCTTGGGCAAGAATCAACCAGACTTCCAAGCCATGAAGAAGTCTTATCTCTGAGGTAACCTGCAGGGAGGCTATCAATTGGAAGCATTAACCCAGAGAGTAACTGAAGCAGCAGGAAGTCCCACCTCCAGAAACTAGTTAAAAACAAAGAAACAGGATGATCTGGCTGAGGCAGGAGGGCTGCCTACTGAGAATATGGAGTAAAGGGCCTATAAAAGCAAAATGTTCTGACTTCAGAGAACAAATACTTGCAGCTGAGCTGAAGAGCAAAGGAGAATCAGGATGGACCTGGAACTCCATCCATGAGTCTGAGGGAAACTTCTGCAGATACGATGCTGTCTGGGAGGAGTGCTTATTCAGCCTCCCACCGAGAAGTATAGGAATGTTGTTATTAGACCACGGCTCTGTAGGCCAACACCAGCACAGGGCTGGGTGACTATGCTTAGAGCCCTCAGAATCACCTGTGGAGCTTTTTATTCTTAACAATAGCTTGCCTGGATCTCACAAACCCAAATCTCTGGAGGCAGGGCCCAGGAACCTGTATTTCTAACGAGCTCCCCAGGTGGTTCCACTGCACAGCCAATGTGGAGAACCTCTGGTTTGGTGACAATAATGGAGGACCCCTATAGACCTAGCCAGCTGGGCCAGCCTTGCCATGTGTGGCCACGAGGCTGCTGTCAAGATCCTCAGCTTGACACTTGAAACAGATCTTAGGCAGTCCAGATTTGTAAATGCACCATGAGTTTGTTTATACCAGTAGTCACTAGACTCAGAAGAGGCGCCCATGGTGCACCTGATCAAGGCTTGTGCCCAGGTTTCAGTGCGCTAACATGTTCCCCAAGGGAGTCAGAGAAAACTAGCCCAATACCAGTCATGTTGAGAAGCATTCATTCCATCCTCAAAATACTGAGGGCCTACTATGTGCAGGCACTCTTTTAAACACAGGGGATTCATCAAGAATGAAAACAAAACTCTCTCCTCAGAAGGAGCTTCATTCCAATGGGACCCCAGAGTTTTCTGGGTGTCTCAGGGCACAAGAGGATTGGGACTGAGCCAGTAGAGGTTTGCACACTCGAACTGCACTGCAACAAGACAGCATGTTTTTGTTATAGAAATTTTAAGCACATGTGAAAGTAGAGAGTGGTATAATGAATCCCCACCACGTACCTCTCACCTAGTGCCCACAGTTACCAATTCATGGCCAATCTCCTTTCATACCCACCTTCACCCTCATTACCCAGATTATTTTGAAGAAAAACCCAGACATCATATTGTTTTATCTGCGAATACTGTCAGTATGTATCTCTAAGACATGGATAATCTTTAAAAAAAAATAATCACCACATACCCTTATCCCACTTAAAATGTTAACACTAATTTCATAATCTTCAATTTAGTCAGTGTTAACATTTTCCCAACTGTCTCACAGTTTAAAGTATGTATTTTCAAATGAAGATCAAATAAGGTCCATACGTTGAAATTAGTTGATACATCTCTTAAGTCTCTCTTAATCTAAAGCTGCCCCCACCCCTGCTTCAATCATGTCCTTTGTTCTGTAGAGTCTGGATTTTGCTGACTGCATCCCCGTGGTATCACTTAACATATTTCACTTTTGTTCAGTGTATTTCCTGTCATATGGTAGTTATAGCCAGAGGTTTGCTCAGAGTTGGTTTTGATTTTTTTGGCAAAAGTATTTCAAAGGTCTATCAGGCTTTTCATGTCTACTGGATGTTGATCTCTTTGTGATGTTGGCAGCCATGTATGATCATTTTCTAGATCCTTTACTTCATTAGGAGCTCATGAAACAATTGTAAACCACTAGGAAGATTCATTAGGATCATTAGGTGAGATCCCTATTTCAATTGGTGATATTCTAATTTTAATAGCTTTATCAGCTAAAATACTGCTATGATGAAAACTTCTCATCAGCTCTCTGGTTACCCTGAGGTATAGGAAAAGCAAAATAAATGATTTATTTCTTTATTTGTCAGTTTTCAAAATAAGTTGGTTCCTTAGCATCATCCAAAGATTTTTGTTAAGTGTCATTATGAACCCATGAACTTAAGCAGCTCGCAACTTTTTAAGCAGCTCACAACTGACATCCTTCTTTGAGTCTCTTACATATATAGCCTGTCTTTGTCCAGTGGGAACTGACTCAGACTGGCTCCTGGATCCTTGAAATATGACCCTTCTAGTCTTTGATATCTTTCTTGCTAGTATGTCAAGATGTTCTCGGTGCTTCTTGTACCTTTCCTGCCCCAGATCTGGAATTAGCCATTTTTCCAAAGGGCCCTGGCTTATTTTTAGTCAGCAATGGTATTTAAAGACCACATTCTGCAGTCCCACTTTTATCTATTGTAGTTATTGAGGTTTGACATGAGAGTCCCATTGAATAAAAGGTTTTGCTACTTAAACATTTCTTTGAAAGTCATTTGTCTTTGGAAGAAAAAATTAATAAAGGGTTAATTTGAATATATTAGGAGTTCCTACAAATTAATTAAAAAACACAAATAATGATAAAAAATAGGCAAGATATTTGAATAGGCAATTGAGAGAAAAGTAAATACAAGTGTACAATAAACATAGAAAAATGTTCAACCTTCTAGCTGTCATGTAATTACAAATTAAATCACTAATGAGATACGAATTTTCAGCCTTCGGTCTGGCAAAAATATTTAAATTTGAGAGTTACATTTTAAGAGGTACCAGAGCTAACAAAAATGGGGATCAAACACTGATATTGAGAATGTTAATTAACCCATCTTTTTGGAAAATAAAATTTTTAATATATACCCTTTGACCTTGTAATCCCAATTCTAGGAATCCAGCTTACAGAAATGAAAACAAAAATATTTTACATATATATATATGGATTTTGTTGCAGCATTGTTTACAACAAAATTTTAAAAACCATTATTAAGGCACTGGTTGAATAAATTATAATACACAATACAATTTTTTTTTTTTTTTTTTTTTGCGACAGAGTTTCGCTCTTGTTGCCCAGGCTGGAGTGCAATGGCGCAATCTTGGCTCACCACAACCTCTGCCTCCTGGGTTCAAGCGATTCTCCTGCCTCAGCCTCCCAAGTAGCTGGGATTACAGGCATGGGCCACCACGCCCGGTTAATTTTGTATTTTTAGTATAGACAGGGTTTCTCCATGTTGGTCAGGCTGGTCTTAAACTCCCGATCTCGCGTGATCCGCCCGCCTTGGCCTCACAAAGTGCTGGGATTACAGGCATGAGCCACTGTGCCCAGCCCACATTATAAAATTTTATGCAGCTATTTTTTAAATGTTACAAATTTATATCTATCAGTATGTAAAAATACCCACCATATAGCCATAGCTTCAGAATATTACATATAGAAAGATAACATCTATATGTATATATTCATGTATACACATGATAGGTAGACAGCAAGGCAGACAAACAGGCTTAAAAATAACTCAGAAAAGATGCATGGCAAAATGTTCAAAGTGGGTAGCTTTGGTAGCTGAGATGGGAACATCATTTTTAAATTTAATGTTTAATTCCATATAATTAATAAAAAGTGATGGCCATATGAGGAGTTTTTTGGTTTTTTGTTTGTTTGTTTGTTTGTTTGTTTGTTTGTTTTTTAAGACGGAGTCTCACTCTGTCCCCCAGGCTGGAGTGCAGTGGCGTGATCTCAGCTCACTGCAAGTTCCGCCTCCCAGGTTCACGCCACTCTCCTGCCTCAGCCTCCTGAGTAGCTGGGACTACAGGCGCCCGCCACCACGCCCGGCTAATTTTTTGTATTTTTAGTAGAGACGGGGTTTCACCGTGTTAGCCAGGATGGTCTCGATCTCCTGACCTCATGATCCACCCGTCTCAGCCTCCCAAAGTGCTGGGATTACAGGCATGAGCCACCGCGCTCAGCCCAATATGAGAAGTTTTAACTCTTTTTCTGTTTTCAATATAATATCCACCCCTAAAAACAGAAGAAAAAGAAAGCCCACAATATCAGCACTGGTTGAGACATTTATCAAAGAGCTTGATATGGATCAATCAAATCCCTTCTTCCTAAACCCATCACAGGTACATATGGGAGAGCATTTGTGCTCAAGAGTAATTGCTACTCACTTCCACCTTGGTATTTGCTCCATTATTTCTTAGCTTCTTGGCCCTCAAAGCCTCTATGATCACAGTAAGATTTTCCACAAGCCCCTTTTTCGCTTGGGCTGAGGTGCCTTTCTGTTTAGGTCTCTGGGAAACTGTTCCCCCAAAAAATGTTGTCTTTGACAACTAAGGAAGTTTCAGAGGATTGGATGCTGAGTGCTGCTGCTAACCTGTAAATCTGTACCCCATTCCTGGCTTCCTGGGCTTCTCCCCAAGGCACACAGTCACTGATCTCCACGGGCAAATCAAATGAAATCTTTACCAAGGCTTTGAGAAAATTGTTAAAAAGAATATAAAATGTAATCAGAAGCACGAGAAAAGCTAGTGACTGGCATTAAGTGCTCTCCATTAGGTACGTAATGGCCTGTCCTGGCTTCCCCTCCAAGTCCCATACATTTATTGCTGGACAATGTGCATGTGTGGCCTATCATTCTCCTTGAGCATTTACAGAGCCTTGATCATCACACATGAGCTTAGCCTGGTCCCACACACCAGGGATCAGGGTCTTACCCCCAGGATAGGGACCTAAATGCTATATTGCAGGGTGAGCCAGAGCAGCATTCCTGAATGTTGACACTCCTAACAATATTTGATCTCTTCCTTCTTGCCATTCCAAGGGCAATAACTTCTCAGATATTTCCCCTTTGACTTAGGATCAGTAGCATTATCTCCTTGCTGTGCACTTCTCTTTGAGTCCCAATCCCCCATCTATTTACAAAAGACCAGATAAGATCAGCAACTTGCCCAATGCTGTTCCAATTCCTTTCACAAGACCCCAGCCCTTTTCATCACCTTTTTCTCAACTTGCCTCCAGCCCTTGTGGAAGAGGTGATGAAGCCATTCCCTTGAATGGTTGGAGCACCTGCTATAGACAGTTCCAGGTGCTGTCTCTGTCCAAGCTCCTAACTTTTCATCTCATAGAACATTGGGGCATTTTGGATCTAGAAGGAAACTGTAGATTACAAGCTGGTTCAGCCTCTTATTAAACACCTGAAGAAGTAATTAGGTGTCCATGACTTGCAAAATATCATACTGTAGCGAGGGTTATTAACCCACTAAAATGTGGTTTTCTAGATGTGGTCTAAGCACGTATTTCACTCCACCATGTAAATTCAACTCCATCTCTAGTCTTTCCTTTTGTTTAAACGTTTTTATATTTCTTTCACCCATTTGGTTCATTTTCAGTTCTTTTGACCCTCAGTACACCTCCACATTGTCTCTTACAACTAAAGCAAATTTCCAGACCCACTTTTTTTTTTTTTTTTTTTTAAGACAGAGTATCACTCTGTTGCCCAGGCTGGAGTGGACTGGTGTGATCTCGGCTCACTGCAACCTCCGCCCCCTGGGTTCAAGCAATGTTTATCCCCAGCCTCCCAAGTAGCTGGGATTACAGGCATGCACCACCATACCCAGCTAAAGTTTGTATGTTTAGTAGAGACAGGATTTCACCATGTTGGCCAGGCTGGCCTTCTGGGATTACAGGCATGAGCCACAGCACCTGGCCTGGCTCACTTTCAATATGTCCTTTCTACCAATAAGCATTGTCAAAATTCATTCCCCTCCCTACCGGCAAAACCCTTTGTGAGCCTCCCTTTCCTTTTATGATGATATAGCTGAGGGTGATACCTGAGGAACAGAAAAAAGTTATGACTTCTTGGAATGCTTTTCCTTTTGCATATCTGGAAAATAGCAAATTCCTACATATGCTTCAATTCCCTACTCAATTAATCTCCTCTTAGTTTTCCCTGCCATGCCCTTTGCTCTTCAGACCTTTTTCTTTCCTTTGTGCTATATTTTCACCATGTTGGCCTCTTCTGCTAGAGTATGAACTCATCAAGCAAGAGATCTCATCTCACTCTTTTTTAGCACCCCTGTAGCCCAGTATGGTGTCTGGCATAGAATAAATGCTTGATAAATGCTTATAGAAATAAAATAAAATCAATATCAACCATCTCTCCTAAAGAACTCTTTATTTTTCCCTATATTTATTTTCTTCTTTCTTTCTCTTTTTTTTTTTTTTTTTTTTTTTTGACACAGAGTCTCACTCTGTCACTCATGCTGGAGTGCAAGGCATAATCTAGGCTCACTGCAACCTTTGCCTTACCTCAAGTGATTCTCCTGCCTCAACCTCCTGAGTAGCTGGGACTACAGGGGCCCACCACCACACCTGGCTAATTTTTGTATTTTTAGAAGAGACGGGGTCTCACCATGTTGGCCAGGATGGTCTCGAACTCCTGACCTCAAGCCATCCGCCCATTTTGGCCTCCCAAAGTGCTGGGATTACAGGTGTGAGCCGCCATGCCCAGCCTGTATATTTATTTTCTTATCTATTTTATTTATATTTTTCTCTAAGCACTGAATATTTTCTGCCTTAAATTTCACATGCCACCTAAACCTGGTTAAAATTAAAAGCATTTATAATTATGAAATATCATCAAAGAGTGGGCTATTCTCCATAATGAAATTTTCAGTTTTCAGCAATATTTCCTTATTGTAATTAATTGTTGATCATCTTTATAAAGAGCATTACAGACTTTCCTGCTTTCTTTAACAGAGCACAGCATTGTAACATATTGTCTTCCTGATGAGTTAGGCAGTTTTATGCACACCAATTATTGTACTCTGATATCATATAATGAAGCCCATGGGGGCTATTAAGGCAAGTAGAGTTGTTGGCCTCAACACCAAAAGACTCTAAGATTTTTTGTGTGTTTTTAATGCTTGGGTCTTGTTTCGGAGCTTTATGCTTCCTCATTGAAAATTTAATTGTCACTCTGTTAGCGTCATAAAGTGAGCCTTGCCTCTCCTTATTCATATTGTGCTTTCAATAAGTCATTGTTGAATTTGATGAATTGGTTAAAAAGCAGGGGCTTTTTGACAGCTACTCAGAGCCTGTTCCTGCTCTCCAACTAAAAGGGACATTATCGATGTAAGAACAGCCAGTCGGCAAAAACCCGGGGAAATATCATATAAGTATTGGCTGCGGGGCTCATAAGATAAAAACAATTAGGGAGGAGTATAAGAAAACAAGCACATTCTATAGGATTCCAAGGGGAAAAATCAGGCAGAACTAGCAAATGAAATGCACAAATGTTTTCACTTACTACGTTCCTACCTCTTCTTCATTCCCCATTTCTCATACCACGGCACATATCACTAAGTCATCTTATCTTTCTTTCCCAGTTTCCTTACAATCCTGTTGGGTACCAGTCTCCAGAAAGCCACTATCAATCAGCTAACGATGGCATTAAAGAGTCAACTATAGGATCTTCCAGAACAAGGACTACACTTCAGGAAGATGACCTTCAACATAGGAGGGAAAAATGTTTCATAGTCAATCTAGTAAGAAGTTCTGCCTTCAAAGCAAAAGAACTACCATTTATTAGATGTTTGCCATGTGCCAGGCAATGTCACAACCCTTTTATATCTCATTTAAGTTCATAATCATCCTGTGACATAAGCAACACTATGTCCCCCAGTTTACAGATGAAGAAACTAAGGCTCAGAGAAGACATGTGACTTCCAAAGGGCACTGAGCTAGGAAGTGGTGACACTCGGATTCAAACCTTGGATCTGGCCTACTTTAAAGTCCATGGTCTCAAATCTTGTGCTATACCTGTTTTACAGGGAGGTGAGTCTCCAGTCACTGGAGCTCAAACAGACTGAACACCTCTTAGCAGGGATATAGAAGGGATTTAATTATCATATGAAGGTAAACCAAGGACCATTTAAATCTTTGCAATTCTGACAGCCTTATCTTTCCATTCATTCCTTGAAAATAGATTTACTTATATGCAAAGTCTCATGAATCTCAAATGTCAGTCAACCATTTCAGAGGTTTCTGTGTGTTTATGGTTTTAGGAAAGTATGCAGGAAGACATTATTAAAGACATCTCTCTAACAGAAGCCATTATTTACTGAATTCTTTTACCAGAGAAATTTGAGTTAAAAGAGGTAACAAACTGAGAGCAAGATAGTCTCTCAGGGTTGGCAGGGTTGTGGTAGAAATTTACAGGTCGGTTGGGAAGGACCTTCGAGTTATTAAGTGGTTGTCCAGCTTCTATTTCTCTCCTTTATGAGACAAATCCTTCTTCAAGGGCTATTATGGCTGGGTTTCATGTTGGGCCTTGAGGATACAATAGAGGTCCAGAAAGGACTTACCCTGCCCTAGAAAGCTTTAGTCTTCTGGAAGCAGCTTATTCCATACCAGGACAGCTCCAAGGATGGGGAAGTTCTCTTCCAGGAAAGTTATAACCCTTCCCTCTGAAGAGCCCCAGAATATATCTACCATGTCATATACTTGAAGCCATCTATCATATCTCCTTCAGGCCTTATTTTTGGCATCTAAGCACCCCGTGTGTCAATCATCTCTCGTGGCAAGATCTGTCCGGCTTGCTATCCAGGACGCCCTGTCTTGGACACTCTTCCTGGTTCTTGTTAACAAACGAATTTAGGACCACCTTATCCCCATTATGTTTTAACCAATAAAGCACACCCTACTCCTGCCTCTCCCTCACTCAATTTCCTAGGTTTTTATTGACCCAGGAAAAGAACAGGCAAGATAGCAGGCACTATCTTCAAAATGAGAGCTACTATCTATTAAGTACGTACCATTTGCAAGGAACTGTTAAGAATTTTCCTTGCATTAACTCACTTATTCTCAATTATTTTTTCCACTTTAAACATAAAGAAACTGAGGTTCTGAGGTTCTGGGTCAAGATCTTTATCCTTGCACACATGCCATCAATCACAGACCACATCTTCTTTGTGCCAACATTTGGAAAAAGGAAAACTTCCATGATAACTGTTAAAGGGAGCAGTGCCTTGGACTTGCTGCCACACACCCTTCCCCTTCCCAAACCTCCACTTACCCAGGCACAAATGGGGCCTATTCTCTAACTTGTTTGTTTCACAAATACTGAGTGGGTATTATGGAGCAAGTATCATTCTAGGAATGGAAGGGTGTGTCTAGTGATGAACAGGACAGACTAGATTTCTTCTCTAAGGACCTACACAAGGTAGATAATAAATAGGTAAACAAATACATATATACTGATGCTTTGGGTTAGTGATATGTGCTCTAGAGCAGGGGTGCCCAAACCCCGGGCTGTGCACTGGTACTGGTCTGTGGCCTGTTAGGAACCAGGTCACACAGCAGCAGGTGAACAGTGGGAGAGTGAGCATAACCACCTGAGCTCTGCCTCCTGTCAGATCAGCATTGGCGTTAGATTCTCATAGGATTGTGAACCCTATTGTGAAGTGCCCATGTGGGGGATCTAGATTGCGCACTCCATATGCGAATCTAATGCCTAGTGATCTGAGATGCAACAGTTTCACCCCAAAAACTTCCCCCTCCCCACCTACGTCTGTGGAAAAATTATCTTCCATGAAACCAGTCCCTGGTGCCGAACAAGTTGGGGACCACTGCTCTAGAGAAAAAGAAAGCAGAGTAAGGAGAGAGAGAATAAGAATTGATGTTTTAGAATGTACCTGGAGATTTCCTTTTTATTTGGGTATGGTGAAGCCAAAAGACCAGGAGAGGACTGCCATTGAAAAGACAGTTTGGTACTCGCAGTTCCTTAGAGGAGGGGCGCAACACACCACAGTGCCATATGGGGCAATAGCAGGTGATCAGGAGGTGAAGGAGTGAGGAAAGCATGGGCAAAGGCTTTTAGTGTGGTTTTTACTTGAAATAAGTGAGACAGGATCAGTAGCTGAGCAGCTTTAGGATCAGACAGTTTGAATAATTTTGGCAGGCTCTGGGCTATAGGGGAGGTGTCCAGCTGTCTGATACCTGGCCCCAGGGTGATTTAGGGCAGGCGGATAGTCCTCCCAGACTGCTGGAGCCTGAGGAAAGGAGGTGGGTAGGGGTATGGACTCTGGAGTGGTTGGTTTCCATATCAAAGGCATAGTTAAAGCCAAGCTAGTTTGCTATCTTGGGAAAGATAGTCACTCCTTGGGTTTGCAAGGCCCCAAGATACTGAAGCATCTTAAAATATAGAAAATAAAAAGCAGAATGAATACAGTAGGAGACTAAGGAAGGCACAGGACTCTGTAGACTGGTCAGGGAAGAAATGGAAACTAAGCAAAGGTCTGCAGAGGTGAGGCCTGGGGAGGAGACTTAGACAAAGAGAACAGCAAACCACAGAACCCCCCCGGGAGCAAGCATGCTGCATGAAGAGCAGCAAGAAGGCCAATGTGGGAAAAACAGAAACAACAGGAGAGAGGGAGCTGGAGCCAGACTGCACAGGGCTCTGTAGGCCACGCTAGAGAGCTAGAGCTGTATTCTGAAGCCACTGAAGGAAATTTTAGTTTGTTTGCACATTTACTTCTTATTTTAAAAAACTTAACGCCTGTAATCCCAGCACTTCAGGAGGCCGAGGCGGGCGGATCACGAGGTCAGAAGATCGAGACCATCCCGGCTAACACGGTGAAACCCCATCTCTACTAAAAACACAAAAAATTAACCGGGCATGGTGGTGGGCACCTGTAGTCCCAGCTACTCGGGAGGCTGAGGCAGGAGAATGGCATGAACCCAGGAGGTGGAGCTTGCAGTGAGCCGAGATTGTGCCACTGCACTCCAGCCTGGGCGACAGAGAGAGACTCCTCTCAAAAAAAAAAAACAAAACCTTAAACATCTACAAAACTAGAAAGACTAGTAAAACAAATCCCCATATTCTTATTACCCAACAAATGTCAACTCAAATGACCTAACAGTATCTAAACCCAAGTCCCCAAACCTTGGGTTATTTAGAAACAAATTCTAGACATCATGTTTTATGTTTAAATACTTCAGCTTGTATCTCTAAAATATAAGAAGGCTTTTTTTAAGAAAGCATGACCATAATACTATAATCATACCTTAAAAATAAATAAGTAAAACTAATTATTTAATATCACCATTAGTCAGTGCCCCCTATATGCACACAATTTTTATTTAAGTAGGATCCAACTCTGCATCTCTGAAGCCTCTGTTAATCTATAGAGTTCTCCTTCCCACCTCCCTGACTGGGACGAACCATTTCAATTTGCCTGGGACTGGGTGGGTTTCAAGATTCCATACTTACAGTGCTACAACCAGGAAAGTCTTGGAAAACCAGGTACGAGCTGGCTCTACTCTTTTCCCCACCCCTTGCCAAATTATTTGTCCTGCAGCACTTCCCACAGTCTGGATTTTGCTAAGTACATTCCCATTGTGTCATTTCTTATGTACCTTTATCCCTTGTATATCCTCAAAATTGGTTATTAGGTCTAGAAGCTAGATCACATTCAGGTTTAATATTCTCACACACAAAAAGCAACCTTCTTGGGTCATAGTATGTGTACATACACACACTATTTCAAGTTGTCTCTTTTCATGTGTGATCTTGGCAGCCATTGGGATTGTTACCTAGACATGTTTAAGTAGTAGTTTTCTAATTCTACACCTGCTTCTTTCTTTATTAACAGAAATACTTACATAAAGAGAAACTTTTTCTCTCTTGGTTACCCTGAGACATAGTCCTTAGAAGGTTCTGAGAGGTGAATGGCAAACAATGTCTCTAGATGTTTTTCTAAACATCACTCTGACTCTTGTGAGAACAGCAGCTATTAGGGAGTTACAAATAGGATCAAGAGAATGGTAGAGAGGCTGTGTTCTAGAAGAGAGACAAGAATGTCTTGAACTAGGGTGGGAGCAGTGGAGTTGAGAAAACATGGTCAGATATGGGATGGAGAGTCAATGCTGAGAGGTTAGGTATGGGGTGCTAAGGAAAGAGAAGAGATAAGGATGACCCCAAGGTTCTGAGTAACTGAGTAGGTGAGGGTGACATTTGCTGGGATGGGGAGAATGTGAGAAGAAACAGGTTTGGGCTTAGAAGAGATAGCATATAATAAAGTGAAACAAAATTGCCTGAGTTGTAAGAAAAGATGTGCAACTATTCTAGAGGATCTTGATCTAAAACTCAAGAGATGCCCAGACCACTGAAAATATGAGTCTTTTTTTTATTTTTAAATTTGTGTTCCCAGTATCAAACAAGTTAACTCTTCTAAATACTTGGAGGATACTCTTTTTCCAGCCTATCACCAAGGCCATTTGTCAGAGCTGTGGCTTCCGGAACTCATGAATGCATCATGAGGGTGAGACATCAAGTCCAAATTTTTACAAACACCACATTCACACTCTGTGTAAAGCACTCAAAGCTGTTACCACAAATCAATGTCATCTAGAGACTAAACTAACATTTGATGACAGCCAAGAGCAGCCACTCTTCTCCCTGTTGATGTGATTTCCTTTCCGGGTCCACCTTAGAAGGTTGTGCAGTTATGACTCTAGGAAACACCATTCCCATTGTGGTCTGTGATAGTCCTTCCCATTGAAGTCTCACCTCTCCAGGAAAATCCTGAAGGAGAAAGTGAAAGGCAACTCATCTAGGTGTAGGTGGTGGCTGCTGTCTACACAGCCAGAGAAGCCCTGAGCAACTCCTCTTCCTGAAAAATGACTCTCCTGAAACATCTTACTTTAATTATTCTGTTGTGGGCATCCTTTTTAAACACAAAATGCCATTACTCCTATATTCATAAACTGAAAAAATGTCTTCATCTAGAGCTCCTCTAAAGGTGATCTTCCCTTCCCACTTTTGTTTGATGTCATGTGACTTTTTGAATTTTACCATCTCTGGTAGGGGTGGGCCAGCAGATATCACTGGGAGAAGGAGAAAAAGCAAACACACTGCTCCATGCTTCTCAGCCAGAAAATATGATACACTGTTTGTTACTATGGAGAGTGAAGGAGTGATGTGGGTGAGTGCATTCATAGATTTATTTGTAAGCTGATTTATACTGATGAGCCTGCAAGCGCCCCACCATGGAATGAGAGGCAGTCTTCGGGAGAAGAAGTGGTACTGAGCTATAAAATATCACAAGGGAAAGATAATAGCAGTTCAGAGGCAGATGACATTTTACTGTCAATGAAGCCTTTTCCCTTCATCTCTTGAATCCTGCAGCTACTTTATGAGTTAGGCAGGGCAGGGAGTGTGAACCTCATTTCAGAAATGAGAAAGTTTGAAGAGGAAAAGTGATTTCCTCACAATCCCACTGCTTATAAGTCACAGAGTGAAGTGGCATATCCATGTCTTCTGACCCCAGGGCCTACAGGTGGGAGTGAGCTTCTTGCTTAACCAATAGTGAGTGGTGGACTTCAGCTTCAGTGGGGTAGATACTTCAGACATTAGTCTTTCTCAATATCCCTCTTCAAAAGTGGTGGTGTGAGCAACCATTACTACCAGTGAAATATGCCAATGTAAGCCCAAAGCTATTGCCTTGTATTCCCTGGGAACATCTTTTCTGGAAGGCTGACATCAATCAGAAATGGCCCTTTGAAAATGTGGTAAATATACATCATGGAATACTACTCAGCCATAGAAAGAAACAAAATAATGTCTTTTGCAGCAACTTGGATAGAGCTGAAGACCATTGTTTTAAGTGAAGTAATTCAGTAATGGAAAACCAAATATCATATGTTCTCACTTAAAGTCCGTGCTGAGTTATGAGAATGCAAAGGCATAAGAGTGATACAATGGAGTTTGGGGACTTGGGGAAACTTGAGAGGGTGGTGAGGGATAAAAGACGACATATTGGGTAAAGTGTGCACTGCTCAGATAATGGATGCACTAAAATCTCATAAATCACCACTAAAGAATTTATCCAGGTAACTAAAACCTACCTGTACCCCAAAACCTATTCAAATTTTTAAAAAATAAATAGCCCCTTTTATTTTCTTATAAAATATACCATTTGTTTTCTTCCAATTTTTAGAAGTATGACAAGGTCATTGTTTTTACAAATGGCGAATATAAAAATGCTCCCTTATTTCAGCGATAAAATTCATTAACATTGTGGTATAAGTCATCTAAAATGATATGGTACAGATGTTTCTACAACTAACTACATACATTGGGATCATACCGCTATTTCATTTTATAGCCTGCTTTTTTACTTTATATATCATAAGCATATTTCAAAACACTAAACATCTGATTATTTTTTACTTCTTCAGAGTAAGGTTTCTTTACTATGTGAAAGCACCATCATATATTCAACCATTTCCTTACTGACAGACCTGTCCAATTTCAGTTGTTTGCTTTTCTTTTTACCTTTTATCAGAAAAGAATGGATGTGTAAGTGCCTCTTATGTGTCATGGGCCTGACTTGACTCATTCATCTGACCCATCACTGAGTCCTGCTGCCTGAGCTATTCCCTTCCAGCACCAATCTCTTTCCCCCCACACCTACCATCAGTGCCCAAGTCCAGGCCCTCCCACCTCTCTCTCGGACCAGTGCAACAGCATCTTCCCCAGTTCACCTAAAGTCTATCTGGGCCAACTCCCATCCATTTGCCAACACCAGCCAGAGTCATCTTTCAAAAACTTCAACTGGACCATGTCACTCCCTTGCTTTTAAGCCATTCGGTGGTCTCCTATAACCTAAGGATAATGTCCAGTCTTCATGACATGGAATATGAGGCCCTTGATGTTGGAGCCCCACGAACATGTTTTTAACCTCATCCCCTGCCACTCTTGTCCTCCAACTTTACACAGCATAGGTAGTAAATGGTGGCCTCCCCGCTCTAGTAGCACTGTGCATTTTCTAGCTGTCCTACCTCTTTCCATGCTGTTCTGCTGCCCAGAAGAATGCCTTCATCCACCTCATTTCTTCATCACAATAGCTCTTATTAATTGTTAAAACTCATCAGGAGCTTCTCCGTGGAGGACATCTCCCCTCAACTCTTTGCCTACCCCCAAGGCTATATTTGAAGCTCATCTTTGGTGTTCCCACAGGCCCCTGAGCATACCTCCATCAACGCCTTTCACATTGTGTTGAAATGACATACACACCTGCATCCTGTGCTGGACTATAAGAAAGCCTAAGGCAGAGACCAACTTCTTTTTTATTTATTTATTTATTTATTTTTTCTTTTGAGACCGAGTCTTGCACTGTCGCCCAGGCTGGAGTCAGTGGTGCAATCTCGGCTCACTGCAACCTCCACCTCACGGCTGCAAGCGATTCTCCTGCCTCAGCCTCTGGAGTAGCTGAGATTACAGGCATCCACCACCACACCTGGCTAATTTTTTATACTTTTAGTAGAGATGGGGCTTCACTATGTTGGCCAGGCTGGTCTCGAACGCCTGACCTTGTGATCCACCTGCCTCAGCCTCCCAAAGTGTTGGATTTACAGGCGTGAGCCACCACACCTGGCCGAGATCAACTCCTTTTTTTATCTCAATACCCTCAGCCCTTTATACAACACTTGGCACATCACAGATGCTGAAGAAATTGTTTAGTGAACTCAACTAATTCCAAGTAGATAAGGTTCCTTGTATGTGTAATCTCAAACTTGCCCTAAATTGCTTCTGAGTTTCATTTCTTGAGATTTACTTAACCTGATCACCTACTTTCAATCATTTACTGATTGTTTATGTTCTGTGCTTTTTTTATATATATGAACTCATTTAATCTTCCCACAAACTGGCTGAAGAAGACAGCTGATATTTTTGCTTCCTTCTAGCAGTCACTCTTCCTTGTCTCATAACTTTGCTCCAACTTTTCTCTGCAGAATCATCTATCCCCTACTCTAGGACCAAGTGATTTTGGTTGGGGGAAAGATGCTGACACACCCAGCAGTGGGCTGGGCATATGACCAAAACTAAAGCCAAAGAGTGCATCACATTCTCCCGGCGACAATAATTGCTTCAAGACGGGCACATGACCAAATGAGCCAATGAGATGCAAAGAGACTTGTGCTTGGGCTGCTAAGACAGATGCACATTCTCTTCCCCAAAGAAAATGTACTGCCGGTACTGCTACAGCCATCTTACCCCACCTGAGCCTCAGATTGAGGCCAGGAGAGAAGTAGGTAGGGGTAAGAGGGGAAGAGACAGCAAGTTGTGATGATGTTGGATAACAAACTGGGCTTAAAGCCCCTTCTATAACCTGGACTTGTCATTTACATGAGCAAATCAACTTCCTTTCTTTTTTTTCTTTAGCTGAAGTCAGTTGGAATTAGGTTTTCTGTAAACTGGAAACCAAAAGAGTCCTATCCATATGCCTATAAAGGAGGTATTATTGGAAATAATTATTGTAAATTAAAGCTTCAAAACATCACTTTAGGCAAATTATAGCTAATAAACAGCATAGCTAAGATTTGATTTTGAGATTTCCTAACTTTATACTTTGCTGTTTTCCATCATGAGATTGAAAACCTTGCAAAATGTGGATAAGGGAAAACACACATGCACGCGCACACACACACACACACACACACACACACACACACACACACTATAAATTACCAGGTGATTTTAAATGACCTCTGTGGGTCAATCTCCTCCTCTCTTCAGTCAAGACATACTATTACACTAGACAGTGTTAAAAGTCTGCCTCACACAATGCAGAAAAGTATTCCTAAAAATGTGAGTACACATTACTTTTTACTAGTCAAATTTTATTGCACAAGGTTATTTTTTCTTTAAAGAGACTCTATGGTGATCCTTTGGCAAAGTGAAGAATCTTAAATTTGAAAAGCAACGTAGTGCCCTCATTTAAATCTGAACATTTGTTGATCAGGATTGCTTCAAAATAAGTCTGGCTTACAATTTAAAGGAGAGGGAATCCTAGCAGGGTGCAGGTCATGTGTAAAAGGCTACTTTTTGTTTCAAATGTTTACATGAATAGGTTATCCAAAACGTCCAAAATGCTTCCAAAGATCTCATAAGGTAGAGATCCTCAGCTGTGTCCGGAAAACTTGGTAAAACCTTCTGTTAGAACAATTGATTTGTCTAGCAGGCATTCATTTTAAAAAAAAATTATGTGTGGCACCTACTAAATTCTGGGAACTGTGCTAGGGAGTTGAGATATGATATTAAGCAAAAACAAGAAAGCCTGCTGTCTTGGAGTTTATAGTATCAAAAAACGACTCCTGTGTACTGTGCTAGAAACTGGGTAGACAGAGGTAAATAAAGCTGATATCATCCCTGCCCTCACAGAGCATGACCAAGTATAATATCTCTAAATTTTGTATTGTTGCACTCCATTATTAGAAAAACTTTTGAGCACAATCCCTAATAAATATATATTTTCTTGTTCATAAATTTTATACTTGTGCTACTTTCAGATATATATAGTATAAAGTATACACAGCACACAAACACACACACAACTAGACAGTAAAAAGAAACCAAAATTTAACAAAAAGAGTTCAAATATTTTCCTCTACACCCCTTTAGAGACCACTGGTCTACTGAGCTAAGTTTCCAATGTCCAAGCATTGGCCTAAACTAATCCTTTCAGACAGAGTCAAGGATTAACCTACACACTAGGGCAAGGGCCTGAGAATATCTTATTCCTGTCTGGAAGCCACCTATCAATGCCTGGCCGCCATCACTAAACCACTCTTGAATTCAGGGCAACCACGATCAAACCAGCTGTTTGACTGATTGAGTTTTCACTTTTCAAGCATTTGCTTTGGCATTGGGTAGACACACTGCTTGAGTGAATATTTGTCACAAAATATCTTACTTATGCACCAAGAATGGCTGGTTCATTGACCAATGCTGGAAAACCCAGGGATGAAGAAAAATCTCCCGTGCATTCTACTCAGAAACACATTACCTGGATAAGGCTGGCCGCATACTCCAACCAGGCCTTCAATTATGAAGCATCAGTATTCTTGTCATCCTCTATTTCCAAGGCTAAATTGTGCAGCCCATGAACTACAAAAAAAAAAAGTGGTGTTTCCTTAAACCAAATTTCTACTCATATTCCTGCAAATTAATTCAACCAACGTTTATCAGTGCCTACTATGAACAAGATACAACCAATAGGAATTTATTTTTGCCCAATGACCTGAACTAACATATATATTTATATGGATTCATACACACACATATGGGTTAAGAGACTCAGTTACATACAGAGCTCCTACTTTAAGAAAATTATTTCACAAAAAATGATTGCTAAGTGGCGTTTACTTGCCCCATCCCCAGGCATCATTGTGAGCGTACATTAGCATCCAACAGCATGCTTCATTCCCGCATGCGCTAATGAAAAATGATTGCTTGTCTTTCTAAAACGAAACCAATTATTCTTGTTTTTGTTGAATGGGAATTTAGGTTGTGTTTAGTGACAGAATAACTAAATCAGTCTTATTTGGAATCCAAGCATCAACGTGGATCCTGTTGCTTTGCTGACAGGAAATGTAACCCAGATAGCTTATTTGCTAAAACGGCTATTTTGGCTTTGAAACAAACAAACAAAAAACTCCACTCTTGTGACTTCGGAGCGAATGAACCATGTGCCCTCACCTCCAACTTTCTCTTTCCTTGGCATCTGCCCTAACACGGTACAGTAATGAGGCAACATTTTACATAACCCGCAGTATCTGCTCCGTGCTGGTATACAAACGCCTACCTGATTGACTATCACCATTTTAGAACTGCGGCCTAATCACATTTTTTCAGGCTGTATGAACAAAATAATGTTTCTTTAATTACGTGAACTCTTTATTTTTTATATTTTAATGACACTTTAGAAGATAGAATAGCCGCTTCTCTTAGATGAGGTGCTATTAATCAGGAGTGACAGCTAGTTATTTGATACATTTTTTTAAATCCCACTTGTATTTTCACACAAGTAATCTGGGACTTGATTTCTCAGTCCTGGGTCTGTTATGTCACTTGTGTTTCTGCCCATAATGAGCAAAATAATTGAACCAAATTAGCACTATCTATAATTCAGTGCTAGCTTAAAGGCATTATTTTATTTTTTAAGAAAATGAAATGAAAAGGTATTCTCCCCTAGGATAAATGTCAATAAATAAAGGTCTGTGAGATCTACATTCTTTACCGTGTCTCAGTCCAACATACCGTTTCCCCTGGGGCTGCCAGACTATATACAAGGCATATCCATTTCTTCATTGGGGTGGGTTTTGTACTGGGGAGTTGCTCAGGCACATGTGGAGGCTCTTTTACCTGGATCAGGATGCTGAAGATGATTTAGTACATCTTAGGTGTGATTTGGGGATCAGAGTATTAGCACCGGGTGCAGTCTAGGCATGTGTTTGTTATAAGTGCTGTAATTGTTCATTCGTTTGACTCTCTGGCGTACTAACCTGAGAGGTCCCAGAGGACTGGCATGGATTGCCTATGCTAGGAATGTGTAGCCCCAGCACCAAGCATAGAGTTAGAAGTTCTCACCCAGAATTCACACTACTATTAAATATTTTTGTGGAATACTAAGTATAAATATTGCTCAGTCCTCTCCTTTTGCAGAGAAAAATGATGAGGCCCAGAGAAGACTTGACCCCAAAGCAAATATACTCGAATCCTATTCTCAATTCCCAGGCTAGTCTTCCATCCACCACACTGGCCTTATCTGTAAGCTCAGGGTCCAAACATTTGTTAATAATAAGAACTGTAGAGCAGTGCTTCTCAAATTCTAATATGCACGTGAATCTCCTATGGGGCTTGTTAAAATGCAGATTGTGATTTAGTAGGTCTGGGTTGGGGTCTGGGAATCTGCACGTCTAACAAGCTTGAGGGAATGCCAGGGATGCTGGTCCATGGACCACACTTTGAGTAGCCAGGACAGAGAACAGAGTGATTGATCCCTCTGGCTCTGGAGTCAGAATGATAGCATTCAAATCCTGACTCGGCTACTTTCTGCATATTGCCACATGCCAAGCACAACACTATGGAGTCTATAGGGACCAGAGAAAGAAAGCAGGCAGTAAGGTGTGCAGGGAGCTGGGGCAGACAGGAGCATACATGCCCTATCTAAGGCAGTAGCTGCTGTTTGTTTTTATTTTATTATTACCTCATGAGAAGATCCCATGAGGATCCTGCCAGATTTTCTGAATATTCAAAAGAAAATCTTTACATCATGGATTTTATGTTTGGGGAAGGAAGAGATAAAGATAGAGAGATAAACAGACAATTATCTTTTTTTTTTTTTTTTTTTTTTTGAGATGGAGTCTCACTCTGTGGCCCAGGTTGGAGCGTTGGAGTGCAGTGGCATGATCTTGGCTCACTGCAACCTCCACCTCCCTGGTTCAAGCGATTCTCCTGCCTCAGCCTCCCAAGTAGCTGGGATTACAGGCACCCACCACAACGCCCAGCTAATTTTGTATTTGTAGAGACAGGGTTTCGCCATGTTGGCCAGGCTGGTCTCAAACTCCTGATCTCAGATGATCCGCCCACTTCAGCCTCCCAAAGTGCTGGGATTACAGGCATGGGCCACCACGCCTGGCCTGTTATCTCATAGTTTTTAAAAGTTGGAAACTACTGAAAATATTTTAAAACAACTTGTAGGTGGGCCAGGCACGGTGCCTCAGGCCTGTATTCCCAGTAGTTTGGGAGGCCAAGGTGGATGGATCACTTGAGGCCAGGAATTCGAGACTAGCCTGGCCAACATGGTGAAACCCGTCTCTACTAAAAATACAAAAATTAGCCAGGCGTGGTAGTGCACACCTACAGTTCCAGCTACTCAGGAGGCTGAGGCATGACAATCACTTGAGCCCGAGAGGCAGAGGTTGCAGTGAGCCGAGATCACAGCGCTGCACTCCAGCTTGGGCGAGAGGGCGAGACTCTGTCTCAAAAAAAAAAAAAAAAACACCTTGTAGGCAACCTATGGACTGGGTTATGCCTCCAGTTTGCTTCTTCTTTACAAATGTTTTCATTTAATCTCCAAAACAACCCGTGAGTTAGGTGTTATTGTGATTATCTTTTTACCATAAAGGAAATTGGCTTAGAACCATCTCATAAATCACTCTCTGTATATAGAGCTAGGTAGAGATGGAACTAGAACTTAAGCCAGGAATGACTGATTCCAAAGCCCACCCACTACACAGCACTGGCGACTATCACCAAGTCTGGCCCAAATCTCCCAAGTCTTTCAAATGTCCCCTGTCCGTGGCTACCCTACATCCAACAAAAGGGAGGAAGTGCCAATAGCCATTGAAACAAGTTTCCCTCTAGTCAAATCCAACTGGTCCAGAAGCTCAAACTTATGACAGGCACCTCCTAAGCACTGTGCTGTCTCATTCCTGAAACAGGTTCTGCCCTGATACTGTTTGAGGGTAATGAAATGAGATGACTGAAAGCACCAGCTTTGGGCTCAAGTCAGCCCAGTTTGAATCTTGGCTCTGAACACCAAAGGAGATCTGATCCATAATGTATCCTTCTTGGTAGCTAATCAAGGAGAAATCTAATGGGACTTGGGCAATGCCAAAGGTCACAAAATAGCCATTTCCAGTTTCATAAACACCTAGACTTTGGAGACAAGAACCACCTGGTTTGGGACTTGGTTGGCATCTGGCTGAGCCACCTCAGTTATATTGCTTAACCTATCAGAGGTTCAATTTCTCCAATTGAGAATGAGAATAATAACCCCTATCTCCTACATTTTCTTTTGGGTTTTGCAGGAATTAAGCGAGATGTATGTAAAGTGCCTGACACATAGTAGGCACTTTATAAATTTAAGTTCCTTAAGCCCCATTTTTATTCCTACAACAAGTCTGCCAACTTTGTCCCAGAATGCTACTGGGTAAAAGTGAGCAGAGTATACCAAATCTACGAACATTCCTTCTCCAAGCTTTAAAAAAGGCAAAACGATACTGAGAGGTGACAGCGTGCTGGCAGTCCTCACAGCCCTCGCTTTCTTTAGGCGCCTCCTCTGCCTGGGCTCCTACTTTGGCGGCACTTGAAGAGCCCTTCAGCCCACCGCTGCACTGTGGGAGCCCCTTTCTCGGGTGGCCAAGGCCAGAGCCCACTCCCTCAGCTTGCAGGGAGGTGTGGAGGGAGAGGCGCGAGCGGGAACTGGGGCTGCGTGCGGCGCTTGCGGGCCAGCTGGAGTTCCGGGTGGGCGTGGGCTTGGCGGGCCCCAAACTCGGAGCAGCCGGCCGGCCCTGCTGGCCCGGGGCAATGAGGGACTTAGCACCCGGGCCAGCGGCTGCGGAGGGTGTACTGGGTCCCCCAGCAGTGCCAGCCCACCGACGCTGCGCTCGATTTCTCACCGGGCCTTAGCTGCCTTCCCGCGGGGCAGGCCTCAGGACTGCAGCCCGCCATGCCTGAGCCTTCCCCCGCCTCCGTGGGTTCCTGTGCAGCCCGAGCCTCCCCGACGAGCACCGCCCCCTGCTCCACGGCGCCCAGTCCCATCGACCGCCCAAGGGCTGAGGAGTGCGAGCGCACGGCGCAGGACGGGCAGGCAGCTCCACCTGCAGCCCGGTGCAGGACCCACTGGGTGAAGCCAGCTGGGCTCCTGAGTCTGGTGGGGAGGTGGAGAGTCTTTATGGCTGGCTCAGGGATTGTAAACACACCAATCAGCACCCTGTGTCTAGCTCCGGGTTTGTGAGTGCACCAATCAACACTGTATCTAGCTGCTCTGGTGGGGCCTTGGAGAACTTTTATGTCTAGCTCAAGGTTTGTAAACACACCAATCAGCACCCTGTGTCTAGCTCAAAGTTTGTGAGTGCACTAATACACACTCTGTATCTAGCTGCTCTCGTGGGGCCTTGGAGAACCTTTATGTCTAGCTTAGGGATTGTAAATACACCAATCGGCACTCTGTATCTAGCTCAAGGTTTTTAAACACACCAAACAGCACCTTGTGTTTAGCTCAAGGTTTGTGAATGCACCAATCCACACTCTGTATGTAGCTGCTCTGGTGGAGCCTTGGAGAACCTGTGTGTCCAAACTCTGTATCTAACTAATCTGATGGGGACATGGAGAACCTTTGTATCTAGCTCAGGGATTGTAAACGCACCAATTAGTGCCCTGACAAAACCGGCCACTGGGCCCTACCAATCAGCAGGATGTGGGTGGGGCCAGATAAGAGAATAAAAGCAGGCTGCTCGAGCCAGCAGTGGCAACCCGCTGGGGTCCCCTTCCACACTGTGGAAGGTTTTTTCTTTTGCTCTTTGCAATAAATCTTGCTACTGCTCACTCTTTGGGTCCACACTGCTTTTATGAGCTGTAACACTCACCGCGAAGGTCTGCAGCTTCACTCCTGAGCTAGCGAGACCAGGAACCTACCGGGAGAAACAAACAACTCCAGACGCCCCGCCTTAAGAACTGTAACACTCACTGCGAAGGTCTGCAGCTTCACTCCTGAGCTAGCGAGACCACAAACCCACCAGAAGGAAGAAACTCCGAATACATCTGAACATCAGAAGGAACAAACTGCGGACACGCCGCCTTCAAGAACTGTAACAGTCACCGCGAGGGTCCCCGGCTTCATTCTTGAAGTCAGTGAGACCAAGAACCCACCAATTCCGGGCACAATACTACTGGATGTGGCGTAACAGAAAACACCTTTGACCTGGAATCAAGAATGTAGACATTTCCAAACAACCCACGGATGTTGGGGCAACTGAGGTTCAGAGCTGTTAAGTCACTTATTCAAGATTACTCTTCATCCAGAACTCAATAGTCTCATTCCTCAGTGAATACACTCCACTACAAGTCACTTTACCTTCTGTGGTCTTAGTTTCTTCATCCATCAGAGAGAGATATCTGAAATAGTCAGCCATTTAAGACATTCATATTTTTCTCCTAGTCCTTGGGAGTCTTCCCCATTAAATTCTTCACTGAGAAGAATTTCACTAGACCAGGATGCAGCACCATTGGAAAGGAGCATAAAGACAGCGGCTTGCTCTCAGATGCACTGTTCCGGGCTATCACATTAAAGACAGGTCATGTTTGGAGATCTGCCCCATTCTCCTTTCAAGCTGGCCTGTGTGGACACTTGGGTAGTCTCTCTCTTGGATCTAAACAATTTTCAAGAGGCTCAGATTTCCAGGATGGAAAAGAACTCTTTGATACAGATCAAGTTCAGCTTTAATCATTAAACCGTTTCACACTTCCCTGTGAATTTTTACTAAAGCGGGGAAACTGAGCCAATGCATGCACATCAACTCAGAGGGTGGGTGCTGTGGATAAAGGCAGGGAGAGGCAGGGGAGACAGCAGTCTCCTCTACGCCACATGGAGACACCCCGTTAGTACCGAAATCCAGGGCGAAGAGAGGAACTTTAAATAGAAATCAAATACTGCTACCCTTTCTTTCTCCCTCTCCACTCCCTTGCAGATAAACACACGAGGTTTATGATTGGATAAAGGTTTGGTTTCATTCCAAGCATAAAAATGGCTTTAGAAGACTTCAGTTTCCTGTCTCCTAACTTTCCTGACCACAAATATTTTTTATTGTAAGCCTTGAAAGCGAAGGGTTATTTAATAAATTAACACTTCAAATGCCTTTGGTTCAACTCTCAGTTTGTTCTAAGTTCAATTCTTGGCTTCCTATTCATTAACTTTAGATAGTTAGTGCTGCCTCATCTCTCTTCACCTAGAAAGCTTTAGTTCCTATCCTTTCTGTATTTTACAGTTTTACAATACTTTATTGCATTGCTATATTATAATATTTCTGCCCTTCCCCTACCCCCAAATAATCTTTTATGAGGAAGCATAGATGAAGTTTGGAATGCAGTGAAGTAAGCATAGCAGTCTTTATAGCATTTTACAAATTTCTCTTGGCCTCAGAAATCACAAAATAATCACACAAAGAAACCTAACCCTTTGCCTGCAGGACAATGCAAGGTTTTTTATTAAAAGAGGAATTTAAATTCCTTCTGTGCACAGACTGTTTTAACTATAAAGACTTAGAAAATTAATTTTTGCCTATAATCTCTTATAGATAATACTATAAAAATAGTTCCTCTTTAAGAAGCATATTTCATGCAAATATCAAAAAGCCTTTTATCTGTGTTCAAGATTTTTTGTTCTATTTCTGTCCCTTGTTTCCTTCTCTTAGCTGAGGATCAGACTTTGGGAGCCCTGGATCTCTAGGCATGCTGCTGAGAGGCAGGGCCCGGAGGCAGGCAGCAAGCTGGCTTGCTTTGCTACTTTAAAAGCAGTGAAACTCAAGAGCCCAGATTAACTTCCTACTACGTGCTGAGCACTGTGTCAAGCGCTGGGGTAAAGAAGCAGTGAATTAAAAGGTCAAGCAAGGCAGCATTCCTGCCAGAAAGATCAGAATGGCATTGAGCTGCAGTAAGAGATCGGGCTGTTGGTGCAGAAAGAGAGGAAAGGCAAAGCAATACTTTTTTTTTTTTTTTAAGACAGGGTCTTGCTCTGTTGTCCAGGCTGGAGTGCAGTGGAGTGATCTCAGCTCACTGCAACCTCCATCTCCCAGGTTCAAGTGATTCTCCTGCCTCAGCCTCCCAAGTAGCTGAGATTACAGTCATTAGTTGGGCGTGCCACCACGCCCAACTAATTTTTTGTAATTTTTGTAGAGACGGGGTTTCACCATGTTGGCCAGGCCGGTCTTGAACTCCTGACCTCAGGTCATCTGCTTGCTTCTGCCTCCCACAGTGCTGGGATTACAGGTTTGAGCCACCACGCCCAGCCATAATACATCTTTTAAGCAATGTTGCCCAAACTTCCCTCACTCACAAGCCACCTTCAGGCTTTTTACACGTCCTAAAACCACCTGTAATTGTATTTACTTAATATTTTTCTTCAAATGATTTACTTTTTTTTAACCTCAATTTTGATTCATCCTAAGCAATAATATGGGTGCAAGTCACTGTTTCTTGATTTTAACTGTTGTGTACTTATTTTAGTATGTATTTTTCCTCTAATATTAAAACACATATTAATATATATTTTCTCTAATACTTATTAAAATAAGTACACAATGATTAAAATAAGGAAATGTTCATGTAGGTACTGCTAAAAATTATCTCAGGTATACCACCAGTCACCCCACAACACACTTAGGGAAAACCTGCCTTAAGATAAAGTAGAAGAAACCAAAAAAGAGGAAGGGAGGAAGAAAAGACAGTTAGGATTTAGCATTTGTCGAAAAACAGTCTCCATACACACACGCACACCAAATGAAGCACTGAAGTCGGATGCTGAAGATGCCTCGATTCTCATTTGATGTCTTTCCGTCCCCAGAGCAGATCCCCAGAAGACCTAAGGTCCAGACTTGGCAACGGGCACTGTTTGTCAACAGGTTGCTGGGTCTGGATAGGTCTGCCCAGATCCATAATGCTCACGAGAACATCCATCTAAGCACACATCTTAACACTGGAGCCATGTCATATGCTTTCAACAGAAAGTAAATCAGTGCTTATTGTTACCTTCAGCTGCCATCCACATAGTAAATTTATTGCCCACTCCCTTAGGCTGTTTGGGCTGCTACAACGAAACACCATAGAATGAGTAGCTTATAAACAGCAGACATTTATTTCTCACAGTTCTGGAGGCTGGGAAGTCCAAGATTGAGGCATCAGTAAAGACCCATGTTCTGGTTCATAGATAGTGCCCTCTCACTGTATCCTCACATGGGGAAAGGGACAAGAAGCTCCCTAGGGCCCATTTTATATAAGCGCTAATCCCATGATCTAATTGCCTCCCAAAAGCCCCCACCTCCTAATACCATCACTTTTGGGATTAGGATTTCAACTAATGAGTTTTTGAGAGGACACAAACATTGAGATCATGGCTCCCAGGAAGGATGCAGTACCTACTTATGCCCTAAGCACTGGACATTTTGGTTTGCTAATTTTCCAAAAGGCAGCTGTTAGTGGAAAGAGCCCAGGATGTAGAGTCAAAAAGTCTCTTTTGTTATTTCTGCCCAGCCACAGGCCAGATGTCAGATTTTGGGTAAGTTACTTAAGTCCTGTAACTCTCAACTTCCACATTTATAAAATGGAGATAATGGAGATAAAATGAAGATGCATGCTTCTAGCAATTTTCTTTTGGAAGAGAGGACAAAATGCTTAGTGTATGTAAAAGTATAATGTTAGCACATAATTTGAAATCACACAGTAAGTATATTTTTAATATGAGCTATGCAGCATTAGAAATGACAAAATTATATTAATGAATACTATGAAAGTAATATCGAACAATCCTTAAAATAATTTTAAAATATTCTAAATATCCAATATTTCAATTTTAATACATTCCTCTGTGTATGTGTATTCACTCTGATTTCAAGTAAGAAAAGTTACTCATGTTTATAGGAGGCAGGTTAGAAACATGGAAAAATAAAATTTAGTGTGTTAGGGCTAAGAGGCAGTTTGGAGTAGAAATTAGGAGCATTTGCTCTGGAGCCCACTGGGCTGGGATTTAATGCAAGCTGCGCCACTTCCTAATTGTATTCTCTTAGCTAATTGCATTATCTCTCTCTAAGCCTCAATTCCTTTCCACAAAAATGGGAATATTAATAATAGTATTAACCTCATAGGTTGGCTTAGCTGTCTCTGGTTTTTAGTAAATTCCCAATACATAGTACAGGAATTAAGGTGGTAGGATTAAGGATGATACTTTTAACTTTAAGAAGTGATCTTTCTTTGTTCTTTAAAAACTGCAAGTAGCCAAATTACAACTACATGTTACTGAATATCTACTGCTCAACTGCAAAGTTGTGCTGTGAGAAAGAGATAGAAAAACAAAGCTACCTCCACCACTAGACTGCCCCGTCAATGCCCAACCTTACACCTGGGCAGTCTGTGACCAAACCAGCGGGACAAAGACTCACCTCCCACCTGGCAGAGTCAAATCAGACCTAATGATCCAAGTGCTTTCTTCTCACACAGAACAAATATATCTTCAATATCCCTGGGCTGTGTGTCTACTACTGCCACTTCCAATTTTACTTCACAGCTGCATTGGAAAATGTTAAACTCTCTTCAATTTAGGCAGCTTTTATTTGTATTCAGACGAAGACAGAGTGTGTACCAGGGGACAACTTGACCATTAAAAAAATTCTATTTGACTACATATATTTTTAGCAATTTGGGAAAGCTATCAAAGCAGGCATTTTCACTTAAAAGCTTGGAAATAAAGCTGATATCGTCTGGTTGGGGGAGGGCTGGGGAAATCACCAGAGGGAAAAAAAAGCCCTTTTGTGTATCCAATTTCATATTGCTGTTGTCATGTACAGGATGTATATTCAAATGTGTTTGCATATTTCTAAACTGATCATACATCAAAATTAGAGCCATATTGTTTCTTTTACAGTGAAACTGTTTATATAGGAAATATTGTACCAAACATTCCCTGCTTCCACCCTGAGTTGTGACTGATTACAGAGTGAGATAAAAGCACTTACATACACAAACACGAGAAAAGTCTATAGGCATGCAAGAAATCAAAAGAAGGTGTGATTTTTAACACAAACACTATTATCAACCAAAAATAAAGAAGAAGGAAAAAGAAAGATTGCTGGAGTTTATGCGAATTCTGAGAAAGCAAAAAGCATAGACTTACACACTGATAGATTGAAAATTAGAGGTTGGGTTAGACAACTGCAGAATTCAGTTTGGTACATAGTTCAAAACAGCCCCTGGGTGCCGTTTTATACTCATGTGACCAACTGAATTAGAGTCATATACAAGAGACAGATATGGCCCACTAAGGGGAATCCATTTCCTAATTCACTATGGGAAACAGTAATTTAAAGCTAGCCACTTGGTTCTTTAGTGTATTTTCTGGAAGGGCTGTATCAGTTTCAGTAAGTTCAGTTGAATTTTCCCTCCTCCACACTCAACAATTTTTTCTATCTTCTTCATGCTTAAAAGCTTGGTCCCAATACAAAGTGAAGTGGGAAGCTGGCAATTATCCTATAAATCCAGGTTATGTTGTTAGGTCAACAGAATTGTAGATTTGATGGAGCTTAAAGGAATTTTAGAGATTATCCTATCCAACAGCTTTCAAACTTTAAATATTTTGTTAATGAAATCATATGTAGAACTCTAATATATAAACTAGGTTTTACAAGTATTTCACTAGTATAACTTGGTCAAAGATTATAGAGGGAAGAAAAAAAGGTAGGTACATGATTGTCCAAAGCCGAAGAGTCCATGAGAGATGAGAAAGTGGAGTAATGTGGAAATCCAAAGGAGAAAATGATTATTTCTGTCTAAGCTGACCAGGAAAAACTTCATGATGTTGGTACTAAAAGATCAACAGAATTTGGACATTGTTTCCTCCACTGACTTGCCCTTCCTTATCAAAGATACAGGTTAGAATCATGGTCTTCTACAAACTCATCGAACGGACAGGCACACGGGAATTTCATCAACCTGAGGAGATGGTCACTTTCCCATAATTGTCCATCCTTTGGATCCTGTGGCAGAGATTGCTGGCTGGTAACAAAAAGTCTTTCCTCATCTTGTGAACACAATTACACTTCCCAGCTTCCCAGCATCAGATATGGCCATGTGACTGAATTCTAAAATGATATATGGAAAGAAATGATGCGTTCCAGTCCTAGCCGATAAAACAAATTCCTCCATGCAATCCCTCATTCTCCTCTCTTTTTCTTGCTATATATTGATGCCCAGCATGGCATGAGCTGAGAAGTGACACACGGAGGATGGCAAAGCCTCCATTAACCTGGATCCCTGAAAGACTGCATGGAGCAACGCCCCCACCATGACCATTACTAGTCAGCAATATCTGCATTGGACTGTTACATGAGGGAGAAATAAAATTTCATGACACTAAACCTCCTGATATTTTAGGATTTGTTACAGCAGCTGTTGCCACCCTAACTAATACAGATATCTTTCTCTATTACAGCCAGCTCATCTTTCCCTTTCTTGCATATATTTGCATTTTTCTCAGGTGTGTTTTTGTACATCGCTAAGCTTTTGTACATTATTAATTATGTAATCTCAAGAGAATAGCTATTAATAAGATATAATCCAAGTCTCTTCAAAGGAAGAGACCATGTTTCCACATAGGTGTTTGAAACTCCTCTGGATGCCATTTTCTTTATAGATAAAGAAGAGCATGGAATAGACATGGGCAAAGCCTCTTCCTATCACGAAAAGTCTGCTTCTACGATGCAGTGACAAAGTTGTCAATGACAGCATGCATTGGTATACTGGAAAAGTTACCAGATTCAGAGTCAGACAACCTCAGGCACATCACCTAATCTTCCAGTTTCCTCACTTGTAAAATAAGGATAAAAATACCTACTTTGCAGAAGGTGTTGGTTATTCACTCAATGGCCATTAATGATGTACCAATTAGGTTGCATTGCCAAAGAATGTATATCTGGAGGTTCTTTGTAAGCCAACAGTGGTTGATGATTACGTTTACATATCTCTTTAGCTAGCTAGGTTCCTGATAATGCGGGCCAGTGCTTGAAACTAGTAAAAGAGGTATAAATATGCAATACTATTTTATCCAAAGGATTCCAATTTTCTATCTTGGAGACTGCAAAAAGGGGTTTTATAAAATTGGCTGTATGTCCCATTGGCCACTTTGCCTTTTCCCCAATTTAGAAACTCCAGGTTTGATTCTCCACCCCCACCATGTGTACCAGCATCACCAACACTAGATACCTTTCTCTTTTACAAAGTCTACCACTCCCCAGGTGTGCCAAATAGGCAAAATTCAGAACACCAGCTAACAGTGGGCAGAGAGCAGAGGACATCATTCTGCATTGCTGTGCAGAATTGCCTTCAAAGTCAGCATTTCACTCACCAAGGAAGCTCCACCAGCATTTGCGGGGGAGATCTCAACCTTCCAACTCTCACTAGATTTGGAGGCCATGTAAAAACCAGAAACCAAAGAGCCCCACTCTCTCATGACCACCTGTCACTGCTACCACAGTCATTGTCCAAGAAGGCCGCCCTCTTACCTCAGACCTGGGATCAGTGGCTATCAGGACAGGACAGGATAGGACAGGAAGGCAAAGCTGTCAGGCTATTATCTGGTTCATTTTTTTTCTCTTCCAGAGTACATTTCAGTTTCAGAAAGAGCTCTGCAGCTAAACACTTACATAAAGGTTTGTAAACCTCTGAAACAAGTGCCATGAGGCAAGTGACTTGCTTCAAACTTCAATTTTCTCAACTGTAAAATGTGAGTAATAATATGTTGGTTTTTTCTGCCACGTGAGGATTGTTGTGAAGCATAAATGAAATTATTTCTACCATGGACAAATCTAGGAGGTTTTATCATTATATCTTAATTGCTATCTTACTGAAGGCCAGCACCAAGACCTAGAGCTCAAAGTCATGTCATTGACAGGGCATATTCTAGGTCAATCATACTGAAAATAAGACTACTTTATTTTAGATTTTAAATATGCAGGATCTCTTCAAAATTAAAGCCTTGAATAGTAATAAAGTCTCAGGAATCCAGACTCTGCAAATTCAAAATTTATCACTCTATAGAGAGAGCTAAACTGAAATGAACCTTTGCACCAATTATAAGATAAGAACTTAATGTATAAACAAAGCTTCAAGGGGAGTATTGACCCTACTTGTGAGTAAGTCTTCAAAGCCTTTTGCTCAGAACTTTCAAAAATATTTTCAAAGCAACCTCTTCCTATAAATAAGTGATAAAGCTATTCTGAAATGTTCTTACCTCTTTGTTATGTCAAGTCCCATAAGGGCCTATTCATGAAGATTTTGTTAACTGAGTTTTCTTAATTAAAAATGCATTTGCTTAAAATACTCTATAATTTAACTTTGTACTATAAATAAAAATCACCTTTCATTGAGTGCTCACTGATGTCAGGCCATTGTTTTAAGCATGTTCACACACATCATTTCACTTAACCCTTATGATGACCCTGTGATGTACTGTGGGCATGATTATTTCCTTTTTACCCACAGGAAAGCCAGGCTCAGAGATTTTAAGTGACTTGTCCAGTGCCCTGAAGCTAGAAAGTGATACAGCAGAGATATTATACAAACCAAGAATTATCTGATTCCAAAGCCCTTTCTCCTGCCATTTTTCTACTTTGCCTCTTAAGATTTACCTTTTATCTAGTTAGCCCAACTTAGTAGGAACTTTGGTACAATGAAATATAATAAAAAGGTTAGACTCCACACCATCAGCTGGCATGCTCTAGAAAGCAATAGCCACCTTTGACCAAATCTTTATTAAGTCCATTCAGCCTGACTAGGTGTCATCATGTGTGGATGCCACAGGGAAGTTTGATACTCACAATGACTTCCAAGTTCCTCTCATTGTCAGACAACTGATAAGCTTGAGAAACAATCTGTGTTGAGGTAACAAAATCACCAGCAAGTGGGAAGTGGTCACGGGAAGGTTAACTCAGGGGGCTATTAGGCTCATCTTCCATCTTCCCTTTGACCCTCTACTGACATTGCTCCGGGCACCAGCCCTGGCTTTTATAGGGAGGATAAAGGACAAAAAGCATTAGTCTTTCTTGATCCCTCCCAAGAAAGAAAAGAGGACCAGCTGGGAAGGGCAGTGCAGTTGTTTCACAGTAATGCAGGCTTTCGAGGGAGCTGGCTCCAACGTCAGGAATGTGCAACTCTATCCACTGCTGATTTTCTTCCCGAAGAGAGACCCTTTGGAACGTAAACTTCAACCAAGAATTGGATTTTTCTTACAACGTCAACAATTACTTTGTTATTAAAGAAAAAATCTGGGCGGGAGACAGCAGATGGGTACATCTGACAAGGGGCTGGGAGGAGGGAGCAGTGTTTCAGGTATTGGAGAAATTGTTCAAGGACAATTTGTGTGTGGAAATATAAATTCCTATAAATCTGCCAGAGCCAACAGGACTGAAGACAAATCACTCACAGAAATGCGTCTCTCCCCAGCAAAGCTGACCACGGGCTTAATTTAGGTGCACGCCCTGTTTGTGCTGGATTTCAGATATTGTTTTAAGAGAGGCAAGGACAACAAAGAAGTAAATTGATATCAGTACCCCTACTTTGTCCTGTTAATAGCATCTTTTGCCTTCTGGTATTTTTAGAGCTTTGATTCAAAATAGGAAAGTCTATGTCATGCTCCAGACCAATGAGCATATCATTGCCATGGCAATAGAATATTGGCCTAGGAGCAAAAGAGCCAACTTTCTCTTCCCAATGCCACCATCAACTTTCTTCTTCATGTTGGCATGACTAAAAGAGATGGAGGAGCTGATCCATTATTTAGCCAGTTGAGAGTTGCCTAAGCCACTCATTCTACCCACTGAGATATAAGCCACATTAGGGCAGGGATTTTTTTTTTCTTGTTCATGCTCTGTCCCCAGTGCCTGAACTGTGACTCACTTGCAGTAAGAAGTCAATCATTATTTGTGGCACTCATGAATGAATGAACCATCCATCCATTCATTCATCCTCAAAGATCACTGCCAAATATTCATAGGTTTTCCTCCCATGGAATTGCAAATTATACTCATTATCTCATTCAATTTTATCTCTGGGGCCATGGGTAAATCACTGACATACTTCCATATTACTTTAAGTGCAGGTGAATGATTTTGGGACAAGAGTTAATCTCTGGGAAAATCTTGCACCAACGAATACTTCTGCTTAATTTTCAAACCCTCCCTTACCAACTTATTATTGCAGCGATCTACTTTCTTAACTTCTTGTGTTCATCAGCTTGGATAATATACGTTACAGACAATTAAAGAGCTGTATTCAGAATTATTGCTCTCTAGATTATCAGATTCCAGTTTTATTCCATCACACTTTTTCTTAAATGAATGAACTGTCAGCTTTTCCTAGGAGGTTTTAGAAGAGAGGCTTCTGATATGACCGTAGTTAAGTCATTTCTCCTTTCTGGACTTCCATTTCCCATCCAACATAGAAGGCAGTTGGACCAGACCAGAGGCACCGACATTCAACACTCAGAGTACATGGAAACCACAGACATGTTTTATTTGACCTGCATGGAGATTTCTGAGTGGGGTGGGGAGCACTAGGTGTGGGATTGAGGGGCGGTGGTGGGAGGTGTTTTGTTGCCAATATGTAAAGAAATTTTCACATAAAAATGGCAATATCCAAATTCCTAGGTTTTCTTTATTTTCTTTCTTTATTTTATTTATTTATTTATTTATTTGAGATGGAGACTCACTCTGTTGCCCAGGCTGGAGTGCAATGGCATGATCTCGGCTCACTGCAACCTCTGCCTCCCAGGTTCAGGCAACTCTCCTGCCTCATCCTCCCAAGTAGCTGGGATTACAGGCATGCACCACCACACCCGGCTGATTTTTTGTATTTTTAGTAAAGGTGGGGTTTCACTATGTTGGCCAGGCTGGTCTTGAACTCCTGACCTCAGGTGATCCACTTGCCTCGGCCTCCCAAAGTGCTGGGATAACAGGAGTGAGCTACCGCACTCGGCCCCTAGCTTGTCTTTAGAAGTCATATCTGGCAATACTGGGTTCAAAGGCTTGCAGGGAAACAGTTTAGGAAGTGCCCCCTTTTAGGATAGCTTGATCTCTCTGATTCCCCAGTGCCTCCAGCCCCACGTCACTCCTTAATGTTAGCTACCTGACCCCTGAGCTAAGCAAGCCCTGAATTTCCTTCTATATCAAGCATTCTGTTATTCCAAAACTGTATGAAATACTGTCAATTGGTATTGGGTCACTAATAAGCATTTGATAGGGTATATATTGGGTAAATCTCTGTGTTGCCACTCAATGTGATTTATTTATTTGTTAATGTCACAGGGACACTCAATGCTCTGCATCTCCATTTGTTCATCAGTGCTGAAAAAAATGGGCTACTCAGTGAAGAGCTACTGAGGCCCACGGATGCCATGCAGCCCACTGGCCTCGCTTTGAATATAAGGCTAAATGATTAGGATGCTACCTCTGTTGCTGCTTCTCAAATAACCCAGATATTTACACTAAATGATGACAAACCATGAGAATTTTTTCATTGACATTCTTCTAGTCAATGAAGTAGATCATGCAAGTGGTAAGACGGTACATTTTTCCCATGGGACTCAGTAAAACTATTTTTATTTTGAATGGAAAATAAATACAGCCTGTAAACGTTATTTATTTTTTCTGAGAAATGTCTTCTATTTCTCAAATTCTATGATTCCATGTTTTGTTAATGCCTTTCTCCACCAAGACAAAAATACTCCAAAACTGGGGATATTCTACTAATATTATATTGGTAGAAAAGAATAAAACTAAAATTGCCTAAGTATGTCCTAAATGCTTTTCAATACAATTACATTTTAGCCTTACAGCAGTCCTGTGAAGTAGATATTGTCATCCTACTTTTACTGTGAGGGACCAGTAACACCTGGAACTAGAAGTCAAACTCAGAGTGGTCTGATTTGAAATCCCAGCTTTTCCTACTTTACTTCACTGCCCCCTTGAAAAGTCTGTTTCCCAAACTGCAGACAATGACTTGATTTTTAGGTGGAACTAAGCACTGATTAGTTAAATATCCCTCCATTAGTGACTACAAATAAATAGATCTATTTTTGTCATTGAGAAATTTATTTTAGGTGTGGAAATTTTTAAATTTATCTGATTTATCATTAATTGTTTTTCATTGGTGAATTTTATTCTTAAAAAACTTTTAAGTAGCATTTTTGCTTCCGTTGTACTTACTTGTATGATTTCCTTGTATTTACTGCAGGTGGATACTGACTTTTCTTTCATTTATAAACAGTTTTAAAAGTGAGGCAATAAAACAAATAGCCAGGCCAGATGCAGTGGCTCACACCTGTAATCCCAGCACTTCAGGAGGGCAAGGTGGGTGGATCACCTGAGGTCAGAAGTTCAAGACCAGCCTGGCCAACGTAATGAAATCCTGGCTCTACTAAAAATACAAAAAATAGCTGGGCGTGGTGGTGCGTGCCTGTAATCCCAGCTACTTGGGAGGCTGAGGTGGGAGGATTGCTTGAACCTGGGAGGCAGAGGTTGCAGTGGGCCGAGATCATGTCTTTGCACTGCAGCCTCGGTGACAGAGTGAGACTCTGTCTCAAAATAATGAATACGTTAAGTTAATTAATTAAATAGCCAGGCATGGTGGCTCAGGCCTGTAATGCCAGCTATGCAGAGGCTGAGGCAGGATGATACCGTGAGCTCTGGAGTTTAAGGCTGCAGTGAGTTATGATCGTGTCACTATGCTCCAACCTGGGTGGCAGGGCAAGACCCTGTCTCTAAATATATATATTTATTTATATAAAATGAGGAGAGGAAACAGCACAAGTGGCAAATTGATAAAGAAAAAATCAGAAAGAAAATGCACCAATGTTTAAACTTCAGGAAAAATTAGTCTGAAGGGGAAGGTATTTGGTCAGGGATCTTGGGAGAGGCTAACTTCATCTGGGGTTAATTAGAGTCCCATCTCAGGGAACAGCCATCTTATTGGCTGAATATGGGAAAGGGCCAGAAATAATAAAGTATCTACAAGGAAAGACGTTAATAGAAGAAAAGATCTTTTCTCTTTTTGTCTTCCCAGTGGTTTCCTCTTCAATACACCCCTTCCTGTCTCCTAACTCGATCCCACCCAGCATCTATTACTCTCCTATTAGGCTGCTCATGCATTTTTAAATCCAGCTTAATTGGACATTGACATATTTGGCTCCTCTCTTTAGCACCAAAGCCACCCAATCAAGTAAAAAATTTATTTTCTCCTCAGTACTGCAAATGGAAAGTATCTGCATGCAAAAAAATAAAATATAAATAAAAATTCCTTCTGTAAGAAAGAATATCAACAAGAGCACAAAGTAGAACATGCCAAGTGTTTAGAAAGACAACATCAGCTTCATTTTATTTAAATGCTCCATTGTTTGTAATAAATTTTTAATAGCTTGAAAATCTAATTTTTCCACTACCAATTTTATCCTTGGCCACTTGGCAAATACTGATACTGGCTTTTTTTTTTCTTTTCTGCCTCTGTTACCCCAGTAGTAAAAGCTGGAGATCTGGATATGTGAGTTCTTAATTATGAACCATTACAATGAAAATATCAGCTCTGTATTGGGAATAGCACCAAATGGTATAAAGACCTAGACTGTTATGAATTATTTGGGACCAGAGTATCTCTCCACCCTACTATAGGAGAGAGAACACTCAGAAAAATAGAGACGAAAAGTCTGTGGGGGTGGCTGATCTGTAGTGAAACTCTTTTATAATTTAGAAGACACAATTGTACCGAACCTTTATACTAACCACATATTACTCATTGCATAATTATTGCAGGATTGAAAATGTATGACAAATGTGCCATAACTCCCCCCGCCCACTCTCATGGCAGACATTGCTAATCAACTATGAAACTCTTTCCCACTAAACATTCTAGGTGGACACCGCGGTTGGGATAGTGTGGCAGGGGGAAGGTTGGGGCAGAAAGAGCAAGAATCTCCCCTATTCCTGATACTTCCTTCTTGTAAAAAGAGCACCACTAATGTAACACTCCTACTTTCCTCCAGAGAAGAAAAAGAGACATAATCTGATTGGTAAGCTTTAAAAGAAACACTAGTCATGGGTTGCCAAGCCCCTTCCTCTGGCAGTATGCACACTCACACAGAGCATGTGCTCCTGATATTTCTCTACCAGCTAATAAATTTATCAGTGAACTTACTCCTCAACCTGTAGGAAGATCAGCAGTGGTCCAATGCTGCTGGAGGCTGGGTGTGGTCCCTGCAATATCACAGTTAAGAATGGGGACGCTCACTGGCACAGCAGATATAACCACATTCCTCAGTAGCAACTTTAACAACAACAAAGGTGATGTTTTGACTCTTTCTGTCTTACTCTTTTGCCTAGCTCTAATTGATTCAAGCCTTGGGCCAAAAAGAAGGGTGATGTTTCAGGGTCCCTTAAAACCCCTCACAGAAGCAATTGATTAGGGCGCTCACAGGAAATTGATGTACAGTCTAGTACACTTCAGGAGCCATAATGTGGTCTGATTTACAGTTAACGAGAGATGTGTGAGGTCAGTGTTGTTTGGGGTGGCATGCCAACGACCTATACAAGGCCCGACACAGGAGTAGCTCTTGTGTCATCAAGTTCCCGAGACTTTGCAGTCCAGATCATCAGTTCTGTCATTGCTTCAGACATGGTCTGTCCCAAGCAACTCACCCAACTGACCAAATTCATGGGCAACCCTCATATACTCCCGGTGGAAGTGGAAATTGGTGCCATTTTGAGGGGGCCAATTTAGCAGTACATAGCCAAATTGTCCATTTAGTTATGCATTGTGATGGCAGTTTCACTTCTGTGTATCTATTCTCATAGAAAATGCACAAAAATAAATGTCCAAGTTTATTGCAACACCTATTGTCACGATGATAATTTGGAAACTACCTAAATGCCCAGCCATAGAGAACTGGTTAAATAAATAGTTATGAAATATTGTGAATTGGCTTCTAGTCATTTCATGGGTTTTTTGGTTTGTTTGGTTAGTTGGTTGGTGTTTTAGAGACGGGGTCCTGCTCTGTTGTCCAGGCTGGAGTGCAGCGGCGATCATAGCTCACTGTATCCTCCTTGGGCTGAAGTGATTCTCCCGCCCCAGCCTCCCAAGTAGCTGGGACTACAGGTGCACGCCACCATGCCTGGCTATTTTTTAATTTTTTTGTAGAGACAGAATCTCTCTATCTTGTCTTGAACTCCTGCATTCAAGTGATCCTGCCCCCTCAGTCTTCCTGAGCACTGACTGGGATTACAGGTGTGAGCCACCATGCCTGGCCCATTTTGTTTTTTAATGTAGCAATTTTATACTATGTGTCATGGCATGGTGATAGATGGGGAAAGAGTATCCACTTCTTACTCTATATTTCTTCCGTTTGAAATTTTGAGTAAATGTTCTAATTTTATGATTAGTAATTAAGAGAAATGAACATGAATTTAATAATTTTTAATTTTTTTTTCTTGAATGGTGCTGTCCATCATTTAGACTGCTCTCCATGATGACAGTGCCTGGAAGCTGAGCAGGTAACAGAAGGTTGGTGGGAGAGCCAAGGATTGGGACAAGGGCAACAGTTGTCTGGAAGGAGAATTCTCCCATACCAAAGTGTGCCTAATCAATCCCCTCTGTCATAATAGAGTCCAGCTTTCTCCAGCTTTCCTAGGACCAAAATTCCCATGACTGCCAAAACCGAAGTTCCTTTTTTCTTTTCTTTTCTTTTCTTTTCTTCTTCTTCTTCTGAGACTGCATCTCACTATGTTGCCCGTGCTGGTGTCAAACTCCTGGGCTCAAAATCCTCCCACCTCAGTCTCTCAAGTAGTAGGGAATGCAGGTGCATGCCACTGTACCTGACTCTTTCATTTTCATAGTGCTGGAGAAACATCATTCAAGTCTTCGTCTTTTGGTTCTCATCTCAGAAACTCCAAGCAGATCATAAACACATACTCCCTGCAGTTAGATCTAATACAATGGGTTGAGCTTCAGCTTTTGCCAGGTGACTGCCCTTGAAAAGATTAAAGATCCCTGCCTCTCTCCCTTTTGAAGAGTCAACTTGGCATTCTAAAGACAGTGAGTGAAAATTCTATTTGACTTTGTCTAACTCAAATCTATTTTACCCATTTTTGTCCCTGAAAAACCTGTTTCACAGATCAAACTTTAGCCAACACTTTATGAAAAAAACTCCCAGAGTTCTATTTTTCAGCAATATGAATATTCTCCCTTGATTGAATATGAGCTGTCCTCATCTCCCTGTGACCTCCTCAACTACTCAGGCTTTTCCTTGGTGGATGTCATTTCCACAGATAGTTGGTTTCATTGATCATACATGAATCTTAAGTATTGACCACCCATCCTTATAATTGCAATCTCCTCTGCCGCGTAAGATTTGGTTTGTCATATTTACAATAATGCCAAATAATGCCTTGGGTTTGCCTAGTGCTTTCAACTTTTAAAGGCTTTTCATATCCATTATTTTATTTTGTTTTCACAATAATTCTTTTAGGTATGATTGGCTCTGTGTCAACTGACAGATGAGAGAACCAAGACTGCAAGAAGTAACTGAGAATATGTCTTGATGATGAGCGAACCAGTCCTACAACCAGTGTCTCCTACCTTTTGGTCTTGAGCTAGAAGCCAATTAATCCCAAGCACAGAATAGTTTCTAGGTACACTGGACTTTTCAAACCACTTGAAGCCTCAAAGCTTCAGTACTGAAAGCTTAGTTTGCTAGATGATGTATACCTTAAACCACTAGGCTTCTCTCTATTGAAATAAATAGGCTTGTGCCATGCTAGTTGTTGGCATTGTTTTGTCATTTTTGTTATGTAATAGGGTTCCTGTCCCTCAAGGCCAGAAGAATATAGCTATACGACTTATTTAAAAAGACACAGCCAAGGAAAGCAGTCCAAGCTTTCTATGCAGTTCCAGGTATATTGAGATCATTCTCAATATGTCTGGTAGCAACAGAGAATTCTTTATAGAAGGAGGTGGGGGCACTTGAGTTGGGTTGCAATGGATCATGAGAGAGAGAATAAGTAGAGGCATTTCAGAAACATAAATGTCATGAACAAAAGAATAATAGTCATAAAAGTTTTCTGTCTTTTCAAGATCCTGGTTCCCTCCATCTGAGATAGAATATTGATGATAACTCAATCACTGAAAGCAATTCCTCTGTGTCTGAAGGCATGCTGAGGTTAAGCAGAGACCCAAGGATTAGGGCACTGGGCACATTTTCTTTGGAGCCTGGTCACTATTCATTACCCTTCCTCAGGGCTAAGTCACTTATCAGTAGCCCATTCTTTGATTCACACACCTGACACCTTCTCACTCTTGTGTTAAGTACTATGTAGACACAACTTAGAGTGTCCAGCCACCTCCCTCCAACTGTGCTACTACCTCCAGGGCTCTACTATTTAGAAGTTCTAAAGTTGCCACAGATTTAGGACTTCTGCCTTTATATTTCCCAGCTACTAAATGATGAGGAACAGCGACATACCAAGGGTAGAGACCCTCAGAGAGGTAGAGAAGATCAATGTTTATAGAGACAAGTATTGGAAGGAGACTGCGTGCCAAGCAAAATCTCTAAATTACCAAAATTGAATTGAAGTGACTTTCTCTCAGGCTCCTCCTCGGGTGGGATAGGCTTTGTGTGAGATACAAAGGAAAAAGAAATCTACTAGTAAAGCACTTTCTATCTGGCAGAGAAGTTAACTGCAAGGTAAAAAGTCACACAATATAGCTGTTTACCCATCCCGAGTTCCCTCAGGGCTCGATCTCAATGAATGGTTTTATTTTTAACCAGAAGATCTAAACTGATCTTCTGTGTTGGGCTAACTAGCTAACGTTCCTATCCATAGGAGATGGTGCTTTAATGCCCAAAGGCCAACTTTATTCTTTCATTTCTGAATCCTACAAATTATTTACATCCCCTTAGAAGCTGCCTTCTCAGTGAACTTGGAGCAAGTTATTTAAATCTTTTTGTGCTTCAGTTTTCTGAACTGTAAAAAGACAGAGTGCTCACATCAGAAGAGTTGTAAGGATGAAAAGAAATCATTTAAAGTATTTAACAGAGCTCCTAGCCCATAATAAGTGCTCAATGAACGTTAACAATTAATTTTACTTTAAACTCACTCTGGTTAGAGTCACTGCCTGTTTTGCACATATGAAAAAAGTTTTCCAATGGCTAAGGCAAGGAAGATCTAGGGGTTTTTGTGTGTGTGGTTTTGTTTGTTTGTTTGTTTCTTTTTGTGACAGAGTCTCTTTCTGTCACCCAGGCTGGAATGCAGGGGTGCATTCCCGGCTCACTGCAATCTTGACCTTCCAGCTTCAGGTGATTCTCCCAGCTCTGCCTCCTGAATAGCTGGGACCACAGGCACACACCACCCTGCCCAGTTAATTTTTTCATTTTTTGTGGAGAGGGGCTTTCACCATGTTGCCTAGGCTCGTCTTGAACTCCTAGGCTCAAGCGATCCAACCGCCTCGGCCTCCCAAAATGTTGGGATTACAGGTGTGAGCCACCTCACCTGGTCTATTTTTATTTTTTATATAAGTAATACATTGGAAACTACCAAACACCACAAAGAAATCTGTAACTGTCTTAATTCTACTATTGACATAAACTTATGTTTTAAGTTAAAAACTATTTTCTTTTTAAACTTAACATTATTTTGAACATCTTTCCATGTCAGTAAACATGGTTCTATTACATTCTTAATATCTGCATATTTTTTATTAGAGTTGTACCATAATTTATTTAACCAATCCACCATTGTAAATTATTTATGTTGTTTCCAACTTTTTGCTATTTTAAACAATGTTCTTACATAAATTTTATGCATTCATTTTTTGTGAACTTCTCCAAAATTGTCCTTAGGATAAATTCATGGGAGTAAAATTTCTGGGTCTAGCAGTATGTTCCAAGGGACTTATTACATACTGTACTGCCAATTTGTCTTTCAGAAGGACTGTACAAACTGGCACTCCCACCAGCAGGGCAAATTCCATTTTCTCACTTCCTCCCCACCACCAGCCACTATTTAAAATATTTGCCAAGTTGGTGGGTCATAAACATAATTTTATTTTTTAATTTTAATACATTCAGCAAACATTTTAATTTTTTCTTCTCTAAAATCCTTTACAATGCCATCAAAAACTTGGTAAAGTGTGTTCTTGAGAGCACAGACCCTGGAGACTGACTACTCGAGTCTGAATTCAGTCTCTGCCTCTGAATTTAATGATTTCAAGCCAGTTACATATCCTCTCTGTGCCTCAGTGTCTTCATCTAGAATGAGAACAATATTAGTGATTGCCGTATAGAGTTAGATGCATGCATGTAAGCACTTAAGGCAATGGACTACTCTTATTGTTTGTCCATTTTTCAGTTGGCATGTTGGACTTCTCTGGGTGGGTATGGTGAGAAGGCAAATTGAGGGACATCCAGAAGAAGTAATGACATAAACAAAGGCACAAAGAGACATTAAGTGTCATGTTAACTCCTACATTTAAATCTTCCCAATATTTTCATGTGTTTTGAAGAACAAAGAACAAGAATGGTTTCATGCATTGTTTTCCACTTCATGAAACCCAATTTAAACCATACGAAACAAGCCTTGACATGTTGTCAACATGAACTTTTCTTGGTCTATGCATGACACTGTCCCTCCAGGTCCAGCAGTTCCCAGTTGTGCTGTCTTTCACCTATAATGACCCATGTTGAGCAGGCAAGGGAAAGCATAATTATATTTGCTCACAGAATTATATGCAAGCTTCTGTATTTCCAAATGCAAATTAGACAAGAATATCTCTCCTCCCCATTATGCAGTACAACAGAGAATTATTCGAACCCAACTTTGTGCTCCAATCATGTCCTTGTGTTTGGATGACACTAGCAATGCACACAGCCCTAGAAGTTTCATGGTGAGTCAGAAGGAACCTCAGAGCTCATCTAGTTTAACCTCCTCATTCATAGAGAAAATTCTGGATGACTACATTCAAAACAGATCCAAGAATGAGGAAACATTGACCACAGGGGCTTTCTAACTTTGGGAACATGGGAGCCTTCTATACAACTTATTGCAGAATTTTTAAACCTAACCCTTGTGTTGGTGGGATCAGCTAAAGATGAAGGAGCCACAATTACTCTACCCTATTCTGTCCATATATCCTGAGTCCTTTATGAAAGTGGAATTCCACATTTGAGAACCATTTGTCTGATGAGGATCAGCCTCCTCCTCCTCCTCCAACTAGTGTCCTAACCCTTTCTTCTTACGGCTTTGTCTTAGGTAAGCCAACTACCTCTACTTAGCATCTCTGGGTCTCAGTTTCCTCATGTGTAATGAGGGTGCTATTCTTTTTTTTATTTTTTATTATTTATTTATTTTTTTATTTTTTTTGAGACGGAGTCTCGCTCTGTCGCACAGGCTGGGGTGCAGTGGCGCGATCTCGGCTCACTGCAAGTTCCGCCTCCCTGGTTCATGCCATTCTCCTGCCTCAGCCTCCCGAGTAGCTGGGACTACAGGCGCCCGCCACCGCGCCCGACTAATTTTTTGTATTTTTTAGTAGAGACGGGGTTTCATCATGTTAGCCAGAATGGTCTCGATCTCCTGACCTCGTGATCCGCCCGCCTCGGCCTCCCAAAGTGCTGGGATTACAGGCGTGAGCCACCGCGCCCGGCCGAGGGTGCTGTTCTAAAAGATGCCTTCCAGAACAAATATTTCGGGGTTCCATTTGCAGGCTTACATATTGATTCCAAGAATATACTTTTCTGAGACAAAGTACTTTATGACTACAGAAAATCGCCACCCCCATAATTACCATTGTTGAAAACTAGCCAAAGGTCTCAGCCCAAGTTCTGCGGCAGGCCCAGGATACAACTCAGATCTCCTCATTCCCAGACCTTGAAAAGTTAGGCACACCCTAAAGGGGTACTGTTTCAAAAAACCAAAACATGGACACTAACTTAGGCAACGGGAGATTTTAAAATTCAGCTTGACTAACTTTACGAATGCAACTTTTCAATACTTCCATGTAAAAATATTAAAGTGACCTGTAGTATCTTCCTGCTTTGTCTGCAGTGCACTGATCTCTCTATAGGGTGCCACTGTCCTTAGTGGCTAGGCCAGTGATTCTCACCCTTGGTTGCACAGAATTCCCTGGTGGATGGGGTGGAGGGGGAAGGTGAAATATTCCCATGATCTGTGTACCACCCCCCAGAGATCCTGATTGATTTGACCTGGGGTTGGGACCGCAGTGTCAATTTTTAAACTCTCCAGAAAAGCTAATTTTCAGCCAAAGTTGAGTACCACTAGTCCAGATAAATTGCTTCCAAAGCAGAGCGCATAATTCATCAGCATGCTGAAAAATATTGTAGAATGTCTTTATATATTTTTATCTCATTCTTTTAAATTTTTTATGATTTACATCTTTGAGCATATTAATATATATTGATACATTTGTAACAGATTGGTGCAAGAGTAAATATATAATTTATAAATAAATACATATTTATCTGGTGTGCATTCTAAAACAAAGGTTTTCTGATAGAAGTATATTCTCCAAAAGTTTGAATCTGAATGATTCACTGGGTAAGTAGCCATTTCTACTAAATAGGCATTCCTTTAATTATGGCATTTGTGGTCTGCTGTTAGCTAACTTCTGTATTGATATTTGCCTTTCATTTGTGCAATATGTCTTGTCTCCCAAAGTAGATTGTAAATGCCTTTAAGGCAAAGACTCTGTTTCCTGCTTTATACCCTCTCTCATATTTCTTGTCAATATGTTAAACCCATCAGGGTCTGCCCACTTTCTAGCTGTTGAACTATGGGCAAGCCTTAATCTCAATCAAAAAATATTAATAATAGTACCAACTTCATAGCATTATTATGAAGATTAAATTTGAGACAGTTTAAACACAGTTCCTAAAATATATTATGTACTCAAAGAATGAAAGCTTTTTTATCACTGGTTGAATTGAATTCTTACAATCCATACATACAGAATGTCAGGTATGATCCTAAGAAATACGGAAAACATATATAAGACATGACTCCTCTGTAAGGAATTCAGTCTAACAACAGCAAACAGATATTTGAACATATAGTCATAATACCACATAATATAATAAATGGTCTGATTGGCATATATGTAAAATGCTATGAGAATACAGCTAAAGGGGGCAATTAATTCTTCCCAGTGCCTTGAAGGATGAATAGGAGTTTTCCCGTAGATAAGGAAGAGCATATGCTTGGAAGAACAGCATAAACAAATGCATAGAGCACTAGTTCTCAAAGTATGGTCTGGGGATCCGTGGGAATGTTTGAGACAATTTCAGGTGGCCCACAGGGTCGAAACAATGATTATAATAATATTAAGACATTATTTGCTTTTCTCGCTTTCATTTTTTGAGAAAGGTACAGTGGAGTTTTCCAGAAACTATATGACTTGCGATATGAAACACACTGAATGCAGAAGCAGCTATGAGAATCTAGCTATCTTCCATTAAAGAGACTTCTAAAAATGTAAAACAATGCCTGTCTTCTCACTATGTTTCATTGTTTTGGAAAATATAGTTATTTTTTATTAAAAAGTGTTTTATCAGAATGGATTTATTATTTTAAAATCAGTTATAAATATTTTTAAATATTTCTACTATAATGTATAATATTTTACATATACAAAATCTGACTTTCTAATATTAAATGTATATATATCCACCACAAACAAAAGCTCTTTGCAGTCCTCAATAATTTTTAAGTGAAAAGGGGACCTGTGACCACTGGTGTAAAGGCATAAAATTGCATGACATGTTCAAGGAATAAATGAATAAGTGTAGTTAGCTACCTCCAGTTCTTTTTGGAAGTAGACAGAGTATAAATTATAAATATATACATCACACATTCATACACAATGAATGTGATTATCATATCCTCTCAGCCTATGAATAACAGATAAAATATACCAGAATGCTGAGAGGGTTAATCTGAATGTATGCGTGATTTTGAGAAAGGACGAGGGAGCAGATTTAGTTAATCCAGTGAAAGTCATCGCATACAAATTTGCAAACTAAAATACTCCCTGGGCTGAGGTCATGTGTTTAATTTTAGCAAGTAGGGTGAATACGTTTGGGTAGGTATTTATACTAAGCAGTGGACTGAGCTGGAGATGGGTTTGACAGTGGAAACAGTGATACAACCTTTATTATTTTCAATGCAAAAAAAATGAACTATTAATGTGATGTTCTGGTTGAAAATTTAAACTCTCAAAAAATCTGGAAATTCAAAGTCATGGTACCCATAGCAACCATAACTCTGCCCCCTTGCATGCCCAGTGTGGAGTATTTTGTATTGCAGTACATGCTGTGAAATCTATGCCTAAATGTGCTATATAGCAGAGTTACAGTTGCTGTGGGAACTGTAACTTTGAATTGCCTGCCTTTTGTGTCATTAAACTTTCAGCTGAAGTATTGCATTAAAGGAGGTTTTTTTTCCTCTACTGCGTTTCCTCATTTAAAAAAAAATTGATTGGGCACCTTTTTTAAAAAAGGATGTAAATGATGTTAGATTCAAATAGCAGGATAATGCATTCTAGCTTCCCAGATACATGCACTGATATAGCATTAGTGAATTACCACATTTACATATTTCAACCTGCAATAACAAGTCATAAAATAATCCTCTATTTATATAGCACCTTTAATCCTGAAGGGTCCCATCACACACACAGACACACAGTAACCGAACCACTCTGGACAAGAAAACTCAATAAATATTTAACAGCGCCCAACAAAATCATACAGTGCTTTAGGACAAGCAGTAAGGAAGAAAGGCACTGTCATGCAGTGGTCAGAATACAAACCAAGGAGTGAGAATTCTCATGCTCCACTCTTACTTTTATGATGGCATGGGCTCTCCCCGTGACCTTGTCAATGATTTGACTGCCTCACAAAAACTCTGAGTATTCCTTTTTTTTTTCTATCTGTTTACCAAGGAAGTATTTCTAGGACCAAAGGCAAGAAAAGACTTCAAAAGGTCATTTGGTTGAGTTGACTACTCCCAACCAAGGGATGTATCTCCATATTCTAGAACAGGAGTCAGCAAATTTCTACTACAAAGGGCAAGACAGTTAAATATTTTAGGCTTTGAGGGCCATACGGTCTCTGTCACAACTACTCAATTCTGCTGTTTTAGCGCGAAAGCAGCCATAGACAATACATAAATGAAAAAGCATGGCTGTGTTCCAATAACATTTATTTACGGACACTGAAATTTGAATTGCATATAATTTTTATATGTCACAAAATATTATTCTTCTACTGATTTTTCTGAGCCATTTAAAAATGTAAAACATGTTCTTGGCCTGGGTGCTATAGAAAAGCAGGTGGTAGGCTGTAGTTTGCTGGCCCCTGCTCTAGAAGTCTGAATTGTATATCATGTTCAAAGATACCTATACAATGTGGTGTGCTTTCAAATCTTTAACAATTAGTTCCTCACCCCCAAAAAGGTATGTATGTTTTATTTAAATATATACAAAGATCTAGATCTAGATATATAGATCTATATATGTATATATGTAGGTCAAGTTATGCACATATATGTGTGCAATTTTATTATATATTTTGCAGATATACAGGAAGTATAGCAGAAATGTGCAAATAATAATTATACACACTCTTCATTGTGAATTCCAGATAGCTAATTTATTCTCATAGAATGCTTCTGTTCCTGTTTGCTGAACTCTGCTATCCATACCTAATCTATGGTTGCAATTAATAAATAAGTGTAGCTCTAACTTTAATGTTGATTGATATTTTCACTTATATTAAGGAGTACAATAAAAGAGAAAAAACAGAGATGTATCCCAGAACTTCCCTCTTTCATCAATGACATGAACACCTTCTTTGCTGGTATCAAATAATAGTTTTCAAAATATTTCCTCAATTGTGCTTTCACAATATGATTGGCTACAGGCTTGACACACTTTTAAGTTAAACCTAAGTCAGAGTTCTCCAGAAAAACAGAATAAGGTGTGTGTGTGTGTGTGTGTGTGTGTGTGTGTTGTGTGGAGTATGTGTAGAGAAAGAGAGAGAAAGACAGGGACAGATTAATTTATTATGAAGAATTGGCTCACATGATTGATTATGGAGGCTAAGAAGTCCCAAGATCTGTAATCACCAAGCTGGAGACCCAGGAGAGCTGATGTGTACTTCCAATCTGAGTCCAAAGGTCTGAAAACCAGGAAAACAGATGTTTCAGTTCAAATCTGAAGGCCGGAAAAGACCAATATCCCAGGTCAAGCAGACAGTCGAGAGGAGTTCCCTCTTACTCAGCCTTTTTGTTCTAGTCAGGCCTTCAACTGATTGGATGATGCCCACCCACGAGGGGGTTTACTTTGCATATCATTTGTCTGCATTACTCAGTCTAGTGATTCAAACGTTAATCTCATCCAAAAACACTCCCCCAGATATACCTAGAAAAATGTTTGACCAAATATGTGGGCACCCCATGGCCCACTCAAGTTCACACATAAAATTAATCATCACAATCTGCAGTATTAACATTGTCTTCATCACTTTCTCAAGTCCAATCAACAAAACAATGAATCAAGCTCTGATTTGTAATGTTTGCTGAATTCCACGGTATAAATACCCCACCATGGCCTATTTCAAGCTACCAATGGGATGTCAATGGATGTGAATTGGGAAGAGATGGGGAGTAGCACACCCTTATATAGTAGAGTTGGCCCTCCATATCCACAAGTTCTGCATCTGAGGATTCAACCAACTGCAGATTTAAAATATTCAGAAAGGCCAGGCATGGTGCCTCACGCCTATAACCCCAGCAATTTGGGAGGCCGAGGCAGGTGGATCACTTGAGGTCGGGAGTTTGAGACCAGCCTGACTGACATGTTGGAACCCTGCCTCTACCAAAAAAATACAAAAATTAGCCAGGTGTGGTGGCGCACGCCTGTAGTCCCAACTACTCGGGATGCTGAGGTGGGAGAACCGCTGCAACCCAGGAGGCGGAGGTTGCAATGACCAGAGATTTCACCACTACCCTCCAGCCTGAGCAACACAATGAGACTGTCTCAAAAAAATACAAATAAATAAATAAATATAAAAATAAGTGAAAAATATAAATAAGTGAAATAAGTGAAAAATAAAAATAAGTGAAAAATAAAACAATATAACAACTGTTTACATAGCATTTACATCATATTAGTTATTACAATATGATGATTTAAAGTATAAGGGGGATGTGAGTAGGTGATATTCAAATACTATGCCATCTTATATAAGGGACTTGAGCATCCACAGATTTTGGTATCTGCCAGGAGTCCTGGAACCAGTCCTCTGAGGATACTGTATTGCGGCCACAAAAATACAAAAGACATAAATAACCTCCAGAGTATAGATAACAGTTAAATATAGTAAAACAATTAGAGTGTTGAGGGTATATTACCATTGTTTTCTAATATAATTTATTTGAGAGCTTATATAATTTAATGTTCAATAGTGGATGTGTTTGACATCTGACTTGCAAAATTTCTGAAAATGTAATCATCAGCTCTAGGGAGTCTGCGGGAACTAGTGCCAGCACATCTCTAGAAGGGCGTTGTTTAAGCCCTGAGGGAAATTCATCTGGTCCCCTACTATCTTTGTTGAAAGCCCACCCAATTTTATTTTGGCCAAAGCTTATTGGAAATGAAAACAGAACCAACCTCACTGTTTTTCTTGGTATTATTTTTCTTCTGAAGTACACAGATCTCCTTATACCCTTAGTGAATTACCACGTTTACATATTTCAACCTGCAATAACAAGTCATAAAATTATCAGTCTGTGACATGGCAAAATGTAGGTGGAGGCGGTCAAGGGACTTGCCGGCACTTCCATGGGTCTGAATGACTCCCCAGCAAGGGCAGCTGCCTCTATACAGATGACCAGCCTGGATAATTCTGCCACAATAACTGAGAAATTCCGACAAAGCCAGAATTAGGGTTTGAGTCCTGCAGATAATTATAGTCATGGACATGGAGACACAGCAAATCAGAGAAGAATGATCCCCTTGACTTTCAGTCTAGTGATTTACCTACCGTACCCACTCTGCTTCTAGGTAATGAGTTACTTAATGCTTGTCAAGTAATTATAAGTTGTAAATCACCAAATACAAGGCATCATTAATGTCCGTTTGAAACTGCACAGAGAAATTTTAGTAGGCAATATATGAGTGCCCCATTGGAGCCAAGACTCCATGTCTGTACATTTTTTCTTGTCTCCTTTAAAAAAAAATCAGGTATGGCAAGATGTTTTCATAACCTCAGATGGTTGGGACCTCTGTTTTGAGTATGACCTATGATAGGTGTTCCCAGGAATTTCTTTAATACCATGCTGGGGGGAAATTTGATCAAATTATTTATTAATATGTGGATCACAAATGAGTCTGAAAGCCTGAGTCACCACTACCCTTTCCTCCAGCACCCTGCCATTTGAGATGGAATGCCGTGGCATTCTGAATAGAGGGGCAAGATTACAATTTAGCCAAACGTCATATATGTACCCCGCAGTGCAGGCAATTAAAAAAAAAAAAAGCTTAGTTATTTCTATACTAAGTAACCCATAAATGTCAAGGGCACTTGAAGGCAATGAAATTGTTAAAATTAAGGGGTGTTAGGGTGTATTTGTGATTGGGGTGAGGGAATGGGACTTGGCTTTAATTTACAAACAAATTAGAAAAAATAAACAGACTCAGCATTGCTATTGTAACTGGAAAGGCTTGAGCAAATTTAATCCAACTTCCTGCATAATATTTGATTAATCTCAGACTCGGGAGGAAAATCAAGATGAGATAGGAAGTCTCCATCTGTATCGAGGGCAGGGGAACTTGGGGCTTCCAGTGCCCACAAAGGGCATCACATGACCCTTCCCAGGGGATCACTTGCTCCGAGTTCCCTGTGTCTCTCTTGGCTCCGGCTCCAAGTTCATGAGAAATCTGTCCCCATACCCATCCTTCTGAAGCTTCCAGCCTTTACCACCTGGACCTGGGCTGGAGTCCCACCCCCACCACAGCTCTTGAGACAGGCGACGAATAGACCCAAATTTGAGATGTAGCTCAACCTTTGACCACTAGAGGTCTCCTGGAAAGCAATGACCCGTATAACCCGGTTGATCCTCCTTCAAACCAATAGACTTGTTGCACTAAGGCTTGGCGAGCCTGCTCTGCTCAAGGCCTCCTTATTAATAACGCCACCCGCCCCCGCCGCTCACGATGGCGCCAGGCATAGAGGGGGATGGGACCAGGCGGTGGCTGACCCTCAGACAGTGCTGGTTCTTTACGAATCAGTCTGCAGACTCCAGGGCTACCCCTTCGAACCCCACTTACTGACCAAGCAAGAGCAGGAGAGCGTGCCTAACTCGAGGTCCCCAGGTGGGCAGCGTGGAGCCCCACAGACTTCCAACCAGCGATGGACTGGGCAAGGGACCCACGTTCAGAATCACCTAGCATCAGGTCCGCCAACAGGCCAGAATCCACTCGCCCCTCGCTTCGTCCCCCTAATTCCTCGTCCCCATTACCCCCCTTCACCGCCTCCGTTTTGCCTCCGGATCGCAAAAGTGACCCGAGCTTTAACCAGTGGAGAGAGATCAGGGAACAATTCACTGTCCCTATTCTCATCCATGTGGTATTTTCTGGGAAAATTAGTGGCTTCTAGCTGGAAGAGGAAAGAAAAGGGGTGGGGGGGTGGATGGCTGAGGGGGAGCAAGAAAGGAAACAGCCAGGTTGAATTCCCAGTCTTTATCAAGCAATTCGCTCACCAATGAGAGAAAGCTGCAGTGGCAGATTCGAGCCACATGCGGTAGTGTGTAGCAATTAGTAGATAAAATGCTGACTAAAGTGCTAAAACATGAAGTATTATTGTAGCCAAGGTCAAAAATGCTTCAGTTGTCTTTTGCAATTTGGGGGAGGGGAGGCCCAGGGGTACGCAGAGAGGTTTGCATTTTCGAAATGGTCGCCTTCTTTCTTCAAACTGTACTTTTCCTTTTTTTTCTTTTTTTATGATCCTGTTTATTATAGTCCAAGCTGCCTAATTATGTCACTGCTGGTTTTTGCAACTAACTTAATCCTCCTGATCCTTTATGAAGCGATTCACAGACACTGAATAATGTCTACTGCTCTCCCATCCCCTTGAGGGGCAAGAATGATTTTTAATTTTTTACCGTGTAAATACACGAGATTAACTTAGAGAGTTGGATTTTTGGCTAGTAAAGCAGCAAGAATATAGGTGTGTGGGTACCGGATTCTGTGTTTCAGTACAAGAAAGAGCCCAGAAGTAGTGGGTCATATAAACATATACTACTCTCCCTCCCACCTTTTATACACAGCAAGTTCCAGCTACAAGCTTTTTTATAGATAAATAAAGCAGTTGCTTTCATGATTATAACTGTCCTGAATGGATTGTCTTCTTACAACATTCAATCTGTTTATGAGTATTTACTTTACATTAGCCCAGGGACCCTGCACTGCAGGAGTTTGCCTCTATTCCCCTGGGTGTCGGTGTCTCAAGTCTTACATCTGCTCTGTGATTGATGGAGCCTTGAATCCACGTTATTACTCTCTCACAAGCAGAAATCAAACAGGCTATTAACTACATTACTTCAAAGAACTGTTTCAATACAATCTCCTTATCTTAATTGAAACTTTCTTTGTATGGATATTTGCTACACAGATAATTTACAGGTGCCTATCAAACATCACATTAAAGAAGAGGTAAAATTGAGGGATTTTTGGGGGGGAGGGGTAAACACTATTGTGATCTGTAATTTTAAAAGGCATTCACAGTATTGGTTTGATTTATTAGATTTATTATGTTCACGGGGGGTGGGGGCAGTGCTGTAAAAAGAGGGGGAAAGATACCCCTGTGATTCGGTTTTGAAATTTAGCATTCATCTGATTACAAGGCTGCGGATATTCAAAAATATTCAGACCCAGATCCCTGCAATTGTTAACATCTCAGAAACCTTATCGGAGAGATAAGGCAGCATGCATCCTAGTTCAGTGCCTACCTTGAAGAGCTGAAGAAACAGGGTTTCTAATTAGATGAAGTTCGTTACACACTTAAAGACTTACAGCACCAAAGACAGTAGAAGTAGCTTAGATGCTGTAAAGAGCTGTATAATTTTTTAAGAAAGAGATTTAATATACAATTGAGGGATACCCTCAGGCATTCTGTTGAGGTTTCCTGCATAAATGCTGCTGCATTGGTCATACAGGAAACTGACTCAGAGTCGATCTCAAATACGATCTTGTCAAAATACTGCAACTCAAGTTTTTTTAATATAGGATTTCTTGAACTGGATGTATATATTTACGCTAACACGACAGAGACTAACAGAAGCTTTAGGCATATCTATTTTTAAAAAAGACATGTAAAATGCCCCTCAGTCAAGTCCATTCATATGTTAAAAATGAACAAAATGGGCGATTCTAATCAAACGTCTGCAGTATGCATTATAAAGTTAAAAAGAGAGAGAGAAAGCGCAGGAGAGCTATAATTTCTCTTTGTAACCCATGTTTATAAAATAGAAAGATCAGATGAAATTTCAAGAGATAATTAAAGAGTGATGTGCAAGTCATAATTTGGCTAATGTTAAAGATGGGAGACTGCGAATTGTAGTCCTCCATGGTGCAGAGTTGTGATATTACTTTAAATTATTAAAATAGTTTTCGACAGCTTTCAGAATACCGGCTCTTTGGCATGGGCTTTTATTATTTATTGTAATTAGAGGATCTGCCATTTTCTTTCGTTTATCTCTGTGTGTATAGAAACGAGATAGATTTTGCCTTTTATTACTTCCCCATATTCTGAATCAAAAATGTGGTTTAGATAATGTTAAGTGCCCTAATTCTTACTGCAGCGGACGCAGACGTTATGAAAAGGCATAAAAATACACACAGAGGGTCTTTCCACCTCAAGTCACTGAATATGAGGCATTTGTGCTCTGCCGGGTGTATTAACTTCAGCCATGTGAATATAATTTTCATTAAAGTAATCCTGTTTCAACTAGATGCTGTGACTAGAGGTGAAACGTTGCGAAAGCGTTAAAAATAGCTTACTAGTAATTTCAACATCCTGTAATTTTATCACAGATCAAGTTTCAACTGTCATACTATACAGACCTTATTCCCCATATAGTACATGTTTACTTTTTTAGCATGCCAGACCCACTTTGGAAAGATTGGTGCCAATATAATAAAAGCTGGAGGGGGGGTGTGCTGGAAGGAGTGGGAGGAGAGCGGGGAAGGGGGTGGGGGAACGTGGGGGAAGCGAGTACACCATTTTAAATCAACACTGCGAAAATGCAATCTAGCCTGGCGGAGGACCGGCAGCTGGGTCGGAGCTTGCGAGGGCTTTGCAGTCTCTGCCTGTTCCTTGTTCTGTCGCTCTTAAGTTTCTCTGTGTTTGCATAATAGCCGTGCATGCAAACCTCGCAATGCTCCAGGGCTCCAGAACAATAAATATACACATTTAAAGCCTTTATTGTCTTACGGTTCATGCCCCCGGTTTTCAACAGCTTAATTTCTGGTTGTATTTAACTAGTTTGCAAATGGATTTTTTCAGTTTCAAACTATTATTGAGGAAGCTCCCCTCCCTTTTTTGGCGGGGGAGGGGATGGGGGTGGGGTAGGAGTCGGTATATTATTCCTGTAGCGCTGGGTTATATAAACACATTATCATTTGAGAGCGCCCTTGGCGTCCATCAGCATTGTAAACACGTACTAGTGTATATACTTCAAAATTAAAGAATGCACACGCAGAACCGGGAGCCTGAATTCATATTCTGAGCAGACTCGCTTCTCGCATTTATTGATTTATCATGCATCGTTTATTGTTCCAGTCCCTAAATGCAGTCGCTGTCCGTTCAATATTGTTTGCGAAATCCTAAGATGTGTGTGCACTGCTCACTTGTCTCTTTTTTTTTTGCTGAGTATTTTTTTGCGAAGCGAACAAATGCATTAATATTTATATGTTTATATAATCGATAACCCACTTTTCCCTTCCATGTAAATAGGCATCAAAAGATAATTTAACAGATTAGTTCTCGAAAACATGGCAGTGAGGAAGCGTAATTTAACTATCAAACAAATCTACATGTCTAATAACAGCAAATCTGCTAAGAAGCATTAGAAAGAGGAGCAGCGCCCCGGAATCTCTGCAGGAAATGTTCTTTATATTAGACATATACAAGCAGGTCCTGTCAGATGCACAGTGGAGCTCGCTACCCCTCCTCTCCTCCAAAAATCTCATCAGACGATATCCCAGACAGGAGCGGTTAGAGAGAGAGGAATCACATCTCCACACAGTTTTAGGGTGCTTTTTATTTTTACAAATCTTCTTGTGTGTTTTTTGCCTTGATCCATCCTCTTCCCGCCGAGATCGTATGGCGCCTTTCTCTCGATTATGAATTTGATCAATCCATCTTTGGAAGAAAACCCACATAGTTTTTTCAGGAGCTGAAAATTGAGTCGTTATAGAAATATTAGGACATATTTTCAATCATTTCGGTGCCCGAAGGGAGGCAAGAGCTCAGTTTTATATTGAGACATTACGCCGGCTGAAGGCAGAGAATGCGTTTCCCTGCCAGGACCTGATGCAATCCATTCAAGCCAACAAGTTTGGAGAGAATGTTGAGTTCAATCAATTCAGAACGTCGAGATGGAGCCCAACTCACTCCAGGTATTTCGCTCTCCTCCGCTCCTCCGATCCCGGCACCCCCCGGCACCCCCCAACCCCCCAGCTCACCCACACCTCTGCACCCACCCACACCCCCCACAAACTTTTCACCAAACTTTTACCCTCTGCATCCCCCAAAATCATTTTTATTGTTTAAAAAAATCCCTGCACTGATCATACATACATAATGTAATTTTACCGCCTCAAATGGGGAGGTGGGTAGAAGTGGCGGTGGGGGGCCCTGAGTTTTTTTTTTTTTTTTTTTAGGGAAGCAGAAAATTTGTGGGTGCTATTATTTTTCCACCCAGCGTTATATCTGTTGGGTCGTCTGTATTAAGAGAGTGGATGTCTGTGTGTAAATGTGTCTGGGAATAGATGTTTGTGCTCTGATGGCTACATTATTTATTTGGTGTTTTTTTCCCCCCCTGCAGTGGGTCGGCTCACCGTGTGGCTTGCACGGACCTTACATTTTCTACAAGGCTTTTCAATTCCACCTTGAAGGCAAACCAAGAATTTTGTCCCTTGGCGACTTTTTCTTTGTAAGATGTACGCCAAAGGATCCGATTTGCATAGCGGAGCTCCAGCTGTTGTGGGAAGAGAGGACCAGCCGGCAACTTTTATCCAGCTCTAAACTTTATTTCCTCCCAGAAGACACTCCCCAGGGCAGAAATAGCGACCATGGCGAGGTGGTAAACCTGTCTGTCCCCCTCTTCTTTCTTTATTATTTTTCCCCCTAGTAATGCTTATTACAGGGCAAGCTTGAAAATACTGTATTCACTTCTGCAGGCAAGCAGGATCGACTCCTTTTTTAAAGGGGTAGCGCCACTAGCTGGGGCTCGAGTATTTTGCCATTGTCAGAGTTTGGCTGTCAGCTTTACAAAGAGGATCCAACTGCTGATTTTAGTCAAGATCAAATAACTTGTTCGAGAAGGGTTTTGTTCAAGGATGTGTGTGTGTGTGTGTGTGTGTGTGTGTATGTGTGTGTGTGTGTTCATTTGCTCTCCTGCTATTGCCTCTTGAACATCACATGCTTTTTATATTTTTTGCCTTTTGAAAATTTACCTTCGTGTCTGGCTCGGTCGTGTCTGGGTGGATTTCTTTCGGTGGGTTTCGATATTGTTCTTTTTTCAAAGTAAGTATTTGATATGTTTAAGAGGGCGGAAATTACGAAATGGAGGCAGAATGAGATCAAAAGCTATTGAGTTGGCAAAGACGTGTTGAATAAAGTGATAAATGACAGGTACTGGAATAATACATTCAAATAACTTGCAGATCTGCCCGGGCGGATTTCAAAGCGGTGGTGTAACAGGCACAAACACGTTAAGCATTAACAACTATCTCTCGCCCACTCCCCCTCCCCCCGGACAAGCCATTTGATGTTCTAGTTTGCAATTACTCCACGCAAAGTGGACGTCCTCCTGCGCGATCTTTGGGGGTGTGTGGGACGGGGGCGGGGGAGGGGAGGGCAGAGGGGTGTGTGCTCGCCCACTGGCCCTGCGGGTCCAGCGTTCTCCGTGCCCAGACGGCGCTCCCGGGGAGGGCGGGGAGGGGACAGAGCCTCCCCGGCACGTTTCTGGGCGGCCGCGGGGGCGCTCGCCGCGCTCCCGGGAGGACGCCGGAGGTGAGCCCGCTGTCACTGGGCGCCGGGGCGGCCGCCTCCCTTCGGCTCTGTCATTTCATGTGTGACCGCAGTTCTGCGGGCTCCCCTCCTCAGCTGACCGACCTCAGCGCCGTGGTACCTACCGAGGGGAACTATTTTGGGGAGTCTGTGCCCACGGCGCAGCGGGGAGGGAGGGCGCACTGCCGCCTGGCGAGGCTTTGTGTTGCCAAAGCGAGAGCAGGGTAATCAAACAGACTTTTGAGGGCAGCTAGTGCTGTGCCAGGCTCTCGAGCTTTCGAGGTAGGTGTAAGGATCTAAGGATCTTTTTGTTAAATGAATGGTTTCCCGTTTAACTCATCCCGGGGCTCGGAGCTGCCAGTCCTTCCAGAATTCCTCGGTTTGATCGAGTTGATAGTACTTTTGGCATTGCTAGTTCACTCCCTCTCCCCAGGATCGAATTACTCGTCAGTGGTCTATGCCGGTTAATTACTGGAGTTCGTCGAAACGTTCGCCCTCGAATCTGCCTTTTCGGAAATAAGCCCCTCCCACCTCCCCGCTCACCTCCCCCCTCCACCCTCCCCGGCCAGCTTTGGTTTTTAAATGTTCATATTTCCCGACGTCCGCCTGCAATTTTAAAAAGGTGTTGTTTGGAAATACTGTGAAAAATCCTGCAACCTACCAACAGGTTGAGCTCTTTCCCCCTCCCAAGGTCTGGCTCGGCCCCCTCCCCCGACCCAACTTTCCTGCGCAGCTGTCTTCCTCCCCCTCCCTCTCCCCCTCCTGATTTCTTATTATTTGCTTTTCAAATTTATTACTTCAACATGGCCTGTGATCTGGAAAAGGGAAGGATTAAATATCCAGAAAAGAACTGGTGCTTAACAGACTTCTGACTAAGTCCAGGAGGAAATTATTCAGTGTTTTATGGGATATTTTGTGGTCACTCTTTTTTGGGGGGCGGGGAATTGAAATTGGGATGTTTTTTAAAGACCCTGAGTTGACCCCACTTGGTACAGTTTTAATTTTTGTTGGTGTAATTAAATGGTGAATTCTGATTTAAGAATAAAGGCTATATTTGCCAAACGTTGCATCTGCTAGAAGTGTTGACAGTGAATAGATATATTTTTAAATACACGATTTCTTTTTAATTGTTCATTATGGGGAATTGAAAGGGAACCATTGTAATGATCTGTGCATTTCGTCACTGCTATATGAGCCATACCTGAGAAAATTAATCTTGCCATTTAAAAGTAAACTCTAGGGGGTTTGCGGAGGGAGATGGCTCTATTTATAATCCTCAGCTGCATATACATCGTCTAATATTATGCATGATTTGTTTTTTAATGCTAACACGGCTGGTAATTAGCTGTATGATTATACTTGTATATTTCATTAGGACTTTGGCTGATGTCATTGTGAATTATTCAGCCATATTAAAACAATTTTCAATTGAGATAATGACACGCCTCAAAATTATGCAAATGCAGACTGCATTGTGCAAAATAATTATGACAAATGTAAAGCAGGTAGAAAGTTTCCCAATGCAGATCGGTTTTCCACCCTGGTGATGTCATTTCCCCCCTGGCCTAAGTTAGTCATTCATTAGCAGAATAGCAGCAGCAGTCTTCTCTGGAGGAGAGCCTTACAGAAACCAGCATTTACTGCTGGCACCTAGAGGGGGCAACAGGGCCCTCTCATTAAGAAATTTGCTTTGTTTTCACTTATTCCATTAACTTGTTTATATACATTTAAATGATTTTTATTATTGATTTTAAATAGTTTTGAATGATGCATTTGCCATTTGCAATGTGTAACTGAAAGAGAAAGGTTTCTTGGTGATATGCACTGTTACTTGGAGAAAATGTTCAGCACATTTAATCAGCCAGTACAGTTTATTTTAAGTAACCAAATGGAGATTAATAATTTCTTGATTGAGCTGACATCAGCATCCATTTCGAAAGGACAGCCAGGACTCAGTATGCTTTTTTTGGTTTAAGAGAATCATTCTGCCTTTTTATGATTTCTTGAAATGTAAAGACGTCAGTTCTAAAAGCAGAAAAATGATCATTGTGCAAGATTAGAAATAGCGTCCCTGTGTGGTTTGCTGTGATTTGCAGAGGGTTTTTTTTTTTTTGGAATATTTTCTCATGATTTTTGTAATAAATTGTGGGAGGCTGGATAAGGCAGGACTTTGTACACCCATTTTACAGATGGGGACATAGACTCGGAAAGGTTATGTGGTTTGTCAAAGGTCACCAGGCTAGAACCCAGGCCTCCTTGAAATTCAAGGTTATCTTTTCTCCCCAGTGAAACCTACCCTTGAAAGCAGAGCTTGAATTCATCATATTACATTCTAGAAGTGTGTACTAATGTGAACAGTCCCTCAGACATTTTAGAATTGTAACTAGTTAATCAGTTTTGCCAAAGGTCACCAGATGTCTAGGTAGCAAAACTATCCTTATCCTGTAAAGTTAAGCTAATTCTAATCAGTGGTATATAATGATAACAGTTATATTTTAATAGTTATTAATGAGCATTAACAACTTACTATTCATTTTAATGATGATGGTGATGATTTATATGCTTATATACACCAATGCCTTCATATATAATACTTCCAGTGTTCGCAACTGGTGTTGAGGAAAAGCATTCAAGAAAGTCACATTTTGATTCTGCAGCTTGCTATTTGCTTAATCTTGAACAACCATAAGTACTTGGAACCTCAGTTTCTTCAGCTGCAAAATGGGAACAAAGTAGGGATGACTATAGATTGTTGGTGAAGATCAAGAGGATTTATAGGCAAAAGAGCTTTATATACTATAAAGTACTTAAATAAATAGAAAATAATTATGATTATAGTGACCTTTGTTCTAGATATTCTTAATTTTATAAACAATAAAAAAAAAACTTGTGTCTGTGTGGAGGTTCTTGGACCTAAAAATGATACCATCTTAAATTACCATGAAAATGAATAGCAGGGCCATGTGCAAGGAGTTAAGTGTCTTTAGTAATTACTTAGAATTGCCACATTCAGCCACTAGCTCTTCAGAGGAGGAAAATGGCAAAGTAGGCGGGTAATTGGTTCTGTTACTGGATAACTTCTGATTACATTCATTTTCCAATTGCCAAGTGCTTAATCTATTGGCAGTATACCCTCTTAAAATGGGTGGATATGCAAGCTTGGATTTCAGCCTGACCAGCCATCGCTGGGATTTTATAAGAAGGTTTGCTGGTCACCTCCAACTGTGCTTGTGGATGGCTAAGCTAATGATGTCCAGGAGTCAAGATCAGGCATACCTGGATGTTACAGATTCTAGCATGCATTCCAGATTTCTAAAAGTGATTCAGTTATCACCAGCCTCACTACTGAATTAAAAAATGCTAAAAATCCATGTTCTGGGGCCCCTATTGAAGTCTCCTCAAATAGAATCTCTAGAGTTGGGTCCAGGAGTCTGAATTTTAAATATTTAAACAGTCTCAGTCTAGCTGTGTTATCTTGGGCAAGTTCTAAACTCTCTGTGCCTCCGTTTTCTCATCTGTAAAGTGGAAATACGGTCCTTATTTCCTAGGATTATTTTAAGGATTAAATAAGTTAATATATGTAAAATGCATATGCCCAAAGTTGACACATAGTAGATACTTCAATAATGGTTGACTGTTGTTATTATCATTAATATTAGCATTAATCTCACTGAGGTTTGAAACCACTACCATGGAGCTTACTGAAAAGTTTTTCCGTGTGAGGGAATGGCACCTAGGTGAGTTTGCTAGGACATGTGGGCTTCCAAATCCTACCGAATCAGGCTATCTTTCATCTCCATGTTGGCTTTAGCTGTGTCACCAAAATAAAAAGTGTCTTAAGGATTTACATTTTAGTGCAGAAGTAAACTGTCAACTGGATCAGCAGGATTTTTTTTTTCAAAAGATTGCCTGATTTGGTCATATCTGGAGTTAGACAGACACATTCTGGAATTTAGAAGGTGCTGGATTAGTCTTGCTCTTCTCTTTGGATAGCTCCTCAGTCTTGGTCTATATCCATAAGGTAATTTTTTAGAGATTTCTGAGACCTCTTAAATGACCACACTGGCCTTAGACAATTGTTTTAACTTTTTTAAGCCTCTGTTTCTTCCTCTGTAAAATGGATTTAATGGCCTCAACTGTGCTGGGAATCAGAGATAATAATGAAAAGGGTCTGGAATCTAGCATAGTATAGTACCTACACATGAGAGTTCAATGAATAGTGGTTGCACTTATAATAGTTATTATTTATTTTTAGTAATCATCTTAAGCTAAGAAAAGGATTTATCTTTACTCTCTACCAAGCAGGCCTTTTAGAACAAAGATAAGAATGTAAAGAATTACATGGAGAGAAATTACTGGACTGTGACAAGAGTCAGCCAAGTAAGGCCTGAAGGCCAAATCTGGCCCACTGTCTGTTTTTGTGAATAAAGTTTTATTGGAATGTGGCCATGCTAATTTGTTTATGGCTGCTCTCAGGCTCCAACAGCAGAGTTGAGTTGTTTTGACAGTTACCAGATCGCTGACAAAGTAGAAATATTTATTATCTGGCTTTGTTAAGAAAAACGTTGCTGACCCCTGGCCTATGCGGTTGATCTGCAATAAGGTAGATGATTGTGTACCTATTTTTCTTTCTTGAGTTTTGGCCATTAACCAGTAATAGCAGAAATATAAGAAACTTAAGTAATATAAGAAATTGTACTTCAATATTATATCATTAACGTTTACATATCCAATCCAATTTCACCATTGGTTCTAGGACATTAAAATTTGAGAATGAGTGAAATAATATTAAATTATATTTTGTATGGTTAAGAGCGAAACTTTAGCCAATATTAGTATTGTCTATTTTGAGTTAATAAAAAACTACTCGTGAAGTTCTATGTGCTCAGTACTCTGCTAGGTGAAGAGACAGATGCAAAATAGTTTGCGATGTGACCCTTTTTCTGAATAAATTTATCAGTCTTGATAAGGAGATGAGATCAACATGTCTAAAAATGTAAAAGCAATATGAGTCACAACACATCAGTAAATTGTGCTGATAATACATGTCATAGGCATCCAAAGGAAGGCTCCCAACCATCATGTTTTTTGGAAAAAGAATTCATTAAATTTCTCAGATGTTGATTGAAAACCTACTGTGTGCTGGCACTTGGATACAAGAGATTAAGGAGAATGGCCTCGGCCAGGCATAGTGGCTCACGCCTGTAATCCCAGCACTTTGAGAGGCCGAGGCAGGCAGATCACGAGATTGAGAACATCCTGGCTAACATGGTGAAACCCCGTCTCTACTAAAAATACAAAAAAATTAGCTGGGCGTGGTGGTGGGCACCTGTAGTCCCAGCTACTTGGGAGGCTGAGGCAGGAGAATGGCGTGAACCCGGGAGGCAGAGCTTGCAGTGAGCCAAGATTGCACCACTGCACTCCAGCCTGGGCAACAGAGCAAGACTCCATCTCAAAAAAAAAAAAAAAAAAAAAAAGAAGAAGAAGAATGGCCTCTGCCCTCAAGGAGTTCCCAAACTGCCTTTGTAGACAGACAGTGATCACAGAAAAGGCCATCAGACTCTTTCCATCTGTGTTCCTTAGTTTAAGTTGAGACGAACTGAGATCACTATTTATTTGTAGCATTTCTTAATCTTTCCGGAAATTAGAAAGTACTGTCTTCATCTTTGAATTATTACTTCCTGGACACATATTTGTAGAGCACCTATTATGTGCCAGATCCTATTCTAGGCCCTGGGGATGCAGCATGAACAAGACAGACAAAAATCACTGCTCCCAGGGAGCTTATAGTCCAGTGGTTGGTTGTAACCTGTCGTGCACTTTATACCTTGTGCCTTATAGTTATCTGTGTTCTTTTCCTTTACCTTGTCACCTGACCCTATGCTCCCCCCACCATAGTGCTGTTCTCAGGAGCAGGCAGTTGTGCCTTATTCACCTCTGGGTCCTCTGCAATATTTAGTGCTATTCAGTGAGTTTTTTTTTTTTTTTTTTTTTTTTTGAGACGGAGTCTCGCTCTGTCGCCCAGGCTGGAGTGCAGTGGCGCGATCTCGGCTCACTGCCAGCTCCGCCTCCCGGGTTCACGCCATTCTCCTGCCTCAGCCTCCAGAGTAGCTGGGACTACAGGCGCCAGCCACCGCGGCCGGCTAATTTTTTGTATTTTTAGTAAAGACGGGGTTTCACCATGTTGGCCAGGATGGTCCCGATCTCCTGACCTCGTGATCCACCCGCCTTGGCCTCCCAAAGTGCTGGGATTACAGGCGTCAGCCACCGCGCCTGGCCTTCAGTGAGTATTTTCTGAGTGACTGAACGACATAATTAAAATGCCTTCTTGCACACAGTCTACCTTTTTTAAGCTTTACCCAGTTTCTTTCTGGCAGATGACCAGTGACCAGTCATTCACATGTGGGCCAGATCCACGACCCCATCTCACACTTCTTCTTTCTCTTCCAAAGTCTGTAGTCATTTTGCACTGTAGAATGTGAAAACATGGGAAGTGGTTTTTTCACAGGGGCACTCACCAAAGAAACAAGCAAATATTTGAAAGATTAGACTGGAGGCAGCATCTCTGTTTCGTTGTTAATTTTCCAGTCTCAGCAGTCAACCCATAAAAAGTCAGGGCTTTGGGGTGGCAACCTATGAAAAGACTAGACTTCAGGAAAGAAGATTCACTCCTCGCCTGGTGTTGGTTGGCAGTTCATACGAGCCAGCATGTTTTTCAGGCTGATGGTCTTAACTAAGCCACATGTTTGATAGTGCCTCACAATTGTAAGCAATTAAAACCTCTCGACAATTAGACTGTCAGACACATACTAAGGAAATGTTATTTTTATGAAATACAAGAGTCCATACATGTAAATACTTCATTATTAATTATTAATAAAGCATGCCATTGTTCATAGTGGCATCTAGTGATATATGACTCAAGCTCATTTATCAAAGTCTAGTTTTAACCAATATCCAGAATATAATTGCTTGAACCAAATGCATTCACTTGTCATTTTTTATAGCCAGTGTAGTTGGATATTTGCCATCTTCTACTCAGAATAATACTGTAGCTAGTGACTACCCGTTGCCTTGGCTTTTAAGGAAATTTAAAACAAATTTATCGATTGTTGGCTTAAGGATTCATTCACCTCTCAGAGATGTGGTCATGGATTCCCTCATTTCTTGAAGAATCTACACTGCACAAATCCAAGGATGCATTTTTCTGGCCACGCTGTGTTCCTCACTGACTTGCTGGAGATGAGAACCTTGGTCTTAGCCCTCCAGCATACATCCCTCATGCCCTGGACTATGAGCATCAGTATCGACAACACATTTCAAACATGCAGATGATGATGATTATTGAAAGGGTGCTTTAGAATCATGCTAATGGCATCAATCTCTCGCACACACTTGGGTAAATTAATTCTGCTTTTAAAATCAGATGCACTGTTAGCAGCGTTAAAGATGGATATTTGACATTTATCACGCAGACTAGGATGGGTGGTTTAATTACGCGAATTTTCTGTAGGATCTTTGTGGCTGTATAAATAGACGCACAGTGGCGTGTGTCCTTGGCATATGACCATCAGGTTCACAGTCACATCTCCATTCCTGTGCCCCAGTAAGAACCCCAGGCGGCAAAGGCCAAATGTTGCTAGTCAATCTAGTGACCCCATAAACATCTTTTCCCCCACCTTTCTTTTCTCATGACTCCAAGCACACCCGGGCTATGAAACACCCCTTCCACCCCATAGTTGAGTTCCAAGCCTCATCAGTGGCACTAAACATTAAACTCTTGTCTTTGAGAATAATGGGCTTTGCTTTCTACACCCTCAAGCATGTTGAGCTACTGTGCAAGCTGGAAAATAAAAATGTTCTAATTGTGTCTTTTAAATAAGCATAGGAGTGAATTAATTAGACCATATTTTGTCTTTAGTTGCTTAGTTACACAATAGTATTCCTGAGCACGAGTAAGATAAATTGGCTCTTTTTGTGCTGCTTGTCCCTTAATCATAATTACTGTATTGCTTAGGAGAGTAAAGCATACATAGATTTTGAATTTTTTATTAATAGTCAAAAATATGCATATGATATATAAAGTATATGCTGTTCAACCTGTTTTATATGTGGGAAGAAGTTTTATTGTGGTGGTAACATTTGCATTAGTTGCTCAAAGATGTAGTTCTGGGAAATACATAATTGAAATGTTTTTGAATTGCTTTTTCTGGCCTTTTCAATCTTATTCAAAATAATAGTGCTTCCAGTCCTGGAGTAGTCATTCTCATTTGATTTAACATCTTTCTTTGCACTGCACGAGCGGCACCCAGTTTTAACCCTGCAGAGCCTAGATGAAGTTCTGTGATTCATAGGCCATACATTGTGCCTTATGTTTTTTGGCTCATGCTCTTGGGGCTTGGGGGGCAGCGGGCAGAAGGGTGCCTTTGTCTTGCCGTCATTATTCCAATGCCCTTCGCCCTTGGCTCACTTCCATGCTCCTTAAGGAAGGTTCTAGGGTTAGAGAGTGTAAGAGTTTTTTTAGCATGAGCTGGACAACTATCTGTGCTTGCCTGCTGGGGTCTTGCAAAATGAAATGTTGCTACTGGAAGTTGGGTTTCTAACCGCCTACCCCAACCCTCCACCAAGGAGGGCAGCAGGAGTTAGACAGCTTGATATAGTTATTGAACAATGAGAGAGTCTGGATTATGACCCAGGATACTTGCTTGGTAAATGTATGTGAAAATCGACTCCATTGTTCTATTGTATTTGAAAAGCAAGTAAATTATTTACAGATATTTGCTAATTAAAGCATATGTTGTTTCACAAGCACAAAGGATCGCAGTATAACTGGAGACAAAGAACTAAGTGCAAATAATTTAAATTCACTAATACTGTGTATTCTTCTTAAGGGAGGAATATGTTTTTAAAATGTGTATATATAGGGTGTTGGTCAAAAGGTACAAACTTTTAGTTATAAGATATTCATCATATATATGTGTTCATCTTCTATCTGGAGATCTAATGTATAGTATAGTGACTATAGTTAATAGTACTGTATTGTATACTTGAAAATTGCTAACAGAGTAGATCTTAAGTGTTGTTACCACATCAAAAAAGGATAACTGAGGTGATGAATGTTAATAACTTGATTGTGGTAATCTTCATGATATATATGTACATCAAATCATCACATTGTATACCTTAAATATATACAACCATCATATTGTATACTTTAATGTATACTATTTTTGTTAGTCAATTATACTTCAATAAAGCTGGAGAAAATAAAAGTATATATATAGGCATATATATAATTATGTGTGTATATATATGCATGTTTATATATATATATATATATGTATACACACATACACACACACACATACAGATAACTTGTCCTGTTATCTCTGTATACATTACACATATATACATACTTTTTTTTTAACCCTTCCAAGGGAAGTCTCGCATGCTACAGAGATAGCAAGCCAAGTTACCCCCCAGTTGCTTGTCACTAAGCTTGCCCTAAGCTCTCCAACGGAAGATGAGATGGAAACAGTTTTGACAGAATGCTATTTTCCCTTTGGTTTTTGCTTGCCATTATCTAGTTTGAGCTCAGCTCAGAGTATCACTAGAAATAAGGCAAATTAGCCAGATACAGTATCAGAGAATAAAAATGTTCTCACCCATTCCTTTGTCCTCAGACTTTCCTGAATGTGATAGGCTCAGGTTTAGTTGTTTTTCTTCTGTTTTGGCAGTGTTCTGGTTGGAAATTTGCACTGTGGAAAAGACGCTGGTGATACAAGGCAAAAGGCAGACCAGTGAAGGTCAGATGCAGAAAAGGTCATTGATAATGTTCTCAGAGACCTTTTCCTGGCTGGAACTTTGGTGTATCCATTGGTAAAGCTGGTCTCTCTGGCTGTGCTGTCTGCCAACATGTTTGGTTTTAGGCATGGCTAGCTTAAAGTCCCTTGGTATTGTTGATAACGATGGTCAAGAAGAATTGCCATGGTTATTTAAGAGAAAGGCTCATGTCTAATTTGCCATGGACAATTCTGTAGACTCACAAGATAACAGATAAAAGAGACTGAGAAGAACAAATCCAGCCCTCTTTATTTAATAGATGCAGAACCTAAGGCCCAGAAAAATCTTGGGCATGTCCTCAGAACTAGAGAGTGACAGAAGTGGAACTAGGATTCAGTGTTCTCAGGCACCACAGTCTGGTCGGCTGTTTTGTGGGGAAGGGGCTGCTCTCTTGAGGTCATGTGCTGAGGAAAGTAGGCAAGTGCTTCCCGTGGCTGTGTTCTTGGTAGGTCATTCCAGTGCCCTGTCTTATACCAGTGCATGGTGCCATGGGGGACATCACTTTTATAAAACAACTCATGGAGAGTATGGACTTTACTGGAATGGCAAGATACCTTGTTTTGTTTGTTTGTTTGTTTTTGAGATGGAGTTTCGCTCTTTTTGCCCAGGCTGGAGTACAATGGCGCAATCTCAGCTCACCGCAACCTCCGCCTCCCAGATTCAAGCGATTCTCCTGCCTCAGCCTCCTGAGTAGCTGGGATTACAGGCATGCACCACCATGTCCGGCTAATTTTGTATTTTTAATAGAGACGGGGTTTCTCCATGTTGGCGAGGCTGGTCTTGAACTCCCGACCTCAGGTGATCCACCCGCCTCAGCCTCCCAAAGTGCTGGGATTACAGGCGTGAGCTACCGCGCCCAGCCCTGGAATGACAGGATACTTAGCAGAGAGTTAGTGATTACACAGAAGCCAGGATTGATATCCAGGATCCCAGACTGGACATCACCTTCATTTCTATAATTTTTCCTGAAGCCAGGAGGGCCCTCTAATGGGATGCTATTTATGTTGGCTGAAGAAAAGCTTCGCCAAAAGTTGGCAATGTTGGTAATAAATGGAATTGGTACTTATGCGAACATCTGATACTCATGGATGGTTTCATCATTCAGAAGTGTGTATCTACTATATGCCTACTATGTGTCAGTTCTCTGTGCTGTTAAAGGAGCAGTTAAAGTGAGTGCCTACTATGTATCAGTTCTCTGTGCTGGGGATATAATAGTGAACAATGAGTGACTAGTACACAAAGATTTCTGTTCTCAGAGAGCACATTTTCTCTCCTATAGTAAGAAGGAAGAAGCAACTTGATTAATTTGTCCCAAATGGAGGGAAAACCATCTCCATACATTGTAGTCTTAAAACCGAATTCACGCTTCCTTCTAGAGTGCTTTCTCTGTGTATTCACAGCCCAGAGAAAATGCCCCATATTTCTCTTTCCCGAAACCATCTGCAAAATTTTCACCCACTGTGTTTTCAATGAAGTCAAAGTCACAACATTTTCCATTAATTCAGTGACCACTTATATGTCAGGCATTGCAAATACATTAACATATAAATTAAATATAAATAAAATATCTCATTTAATTCTCATGGATACTCTATTATGTCCGTAGTATTTTGACATTTCCATACTTTGTAGGTGATGCAGCTGAGGCCAACAGAGGTTAAAGGAACTTGCCCAAGGTCACACATAGGTGAGACTCAAGAGTCGGGATTGAAACCCATGTTCTCCCGATGCTGCGAAGACCAGTGGGCGAGCTTAGTTTCTCATTATAACTTTAGAATATATTGAGAACTCTCAATATCAGCACTGGGGTTTTCACTATATACTGATGTATTCTTTAATTGAGTCTTTATGAAAGCTTCTTTCCTGCTCTTTAGGGACTTGCACAGTTGACTGATACCCAGATAATAGTAATGCCATGCACACAGGTAATACACTTTGAAAGGGCACTTTACACTCCACATAGCGCCTTTCTCACATTTCACAGGAGAGAAGTCTCAGACTCAGTACCTCCAGCGTGACTTTGTGTGCAGCCCAGCACTGCGCACTGGAGAGAGAGAGGTGGAAAACCAGGCAGATCCTGCCGCCATGGAGCTTACCATCAGGTGGGGACCACGCATAGTATATAAACTTATCACAAACAAAGGGTGATTCTGTGATGTGGTCAAGGGGATGAAGGGCAAATACAAGTGCCTATGTCAGGGGTACATGATTTTGTCGGAAAGGTCTCAGGAGGCATTTTAGAAGAAATATCATTTGAGTTGAGGTCTAAAGGGATCTGGGGGTGAAGATTGGGAAGTTTCTAGGCAAGCTGTATGGTGAGCACTACCTCCCTGCAGAATGGTTTCTGGGCTGGGCTTGGCCTTGGTGAATTCGTAGCCAGGTTAGAGATGTCCGTTTGCCCACTGGAGGGACCAGTTGGTCTAGGTATCATCTAGACACCTGGGGTGCATATTTAGAGCTAATGTACATCATTTGGCTATGGAGATGGTTGAAAACACGGCAAGCTAAGGCAAACTAAGGCCCATAGGCCAACTCTGGTCTACTATCTGTCTTTGTTTGTTTGTTTTTTGTTTGTTTGTTTGTTTGAGACAGAGTCTCGCTCTGTCGCCCAGGCTAGAGTGCAATGGCACGATCTCAGCTCACTGCAACCTTCACCTCCCAGATTCAAGTGATTCTCCTGCCTCAGCCTCTGGAATAGCTGGGATTACAGGTGCCCACCACCATGCCTGGCTAATTTTTGTATTTCTAGTAGAGACTGGGTTTCACCATGTTGGTCAGGCAGGTCTTGAACTCCTGACCTCAAGCAGTCCACCCACCTCAGCCTCCCAAAGTGCTAGGATTACAGGCGTGAGCCACCGTGTCTAGCCTTGTTTGTTTGTTTTTGAGATAGGGTCTTGCTCTGTCACCCAGGCTGGAGTGCAAAGGCGTGGTCTTGCCTCATCGCAACCTCTGTTGCCCAGGTTCAAGTGATTCTTGTGCCTCAGCCTGCCGAGTAGCTGGGATTGCAGGCAGGTGCCACCCCACCCAGCTAATTTTTATATTTTTTTTAGTAGAGATGGGGTTTTGCCATGTTGGCCAGGCTGGACTACCTGTTTCTGTAAATAAAGTTTTATTAGCACAGAGCCATGCCCACGTTTACAAATGGTCTCTGGCAGCTTTCGCACTATAGTGGCAGAGTTGGGTGGTTGCAGCAGAGACTATATACCACACAGAGCTTAAAACATTTACTATCTGGCCCTTATATAAAATGCCAACCCCTCATTTAAAATAATATTAATAAAAGTAATAGTAAAACTAGGTCCTGACAGATTAATATGTGACATTTTATTTACTCTTCATAACAGTAATACTGTGAGGTAGATTCTAGTATCATCTCCATTTTGCGGGAGGGTAATTTGAAAGGTTAGGTAACTTGTCCGGGTTTCCAAATTCACTCACCTGGTGAATGACAGAGACTGAATGGGAACTCAAGCTGTTTTAATTCCAAAATGCAGGTGACAGAAACATTGTGCTGTCCTGTTTACAAGTAGAGGAAACGGGAAGTATAAGAAAAGGGTGGTAAAGTTAGCTGAGGTTTTACTCTGTGAAATAAAACTGCGCAACAGCTGTATCCGTCTTTCAAGGTCCCATTTAAAAGCCACCTCCTCCTTGAGGTCTTCCATTGACTGTCTAGGAACAAGGAAGCCACAGAGGCACAGGTGTAAGTGCCCTCTGGGTCAGGCAGATAAGATCAATGAGTGACTGGGCCAGGTCTGGGAGACAATATGATATTCAGGGGAACTGGGGAGCGCACGACTGGTTTGAGGCATGCCTCTAAAATGTTCCTCTTGAGCCAGGTGCCATGGCACATGCCTGTAATCCCAGCTACTTGGGAGGCTAAGCGGGGAGGATCACTTGAACCCAGGAGTTCAGGGTGAACCATGATTGCACCACTGCACTCCAGCATGGGCAACAGAGTAAGATCCTGTTTCTAGTAAAAAAAAAAAAAAAAATTAATTAAAAAAATAAAATGCTCTTCAGTTTCTACCTAGCATTGCTGGGCAGGAATGTCAGTCTGAGATATTGACAAATCTTTCCATTTTTCAAGAGAAGCCAGAAACCTAGATTTTCATGTGATTTTAGTTGACCATTCTATTTATTTATTTATTATTTATTTAAGACAGAGTCTCGCTCTGTCGCCCAGGCTGGAGTGCAGTGATGCCATCTCGGCTCACTGCAACCTCCACCTCCTGGGTTCAAGTGATTCTCTCTACGTCAGCCCCGCTGAGTAGCTGGGATTACAGGAAAGCACCACCACGCCCGGCTAATTTTTGTATTGTTAGTAGAGATGAGGTTTTGCCATGTTGGTCAGGCTGGTCTCACTGCACCTGGCCCAATCCAATTTTTAAAACACTCTTTGTGGGCCAAACAAAATGTGTCTTCTGTCCAGATGTGGCCCACAGGCTGCCACCTTGCCATCTCTAGAGCAAAGCTTTGGACTATTACAGTTTTTAAAACTTTCTCATATTTGGCCCATTTTCTGTAACTAAAGCAAAAAGAACCGTTGGTCCCAAAGGGGCTGTTAAAAATGGGGTGGGGAGAGCCACGTGGATAAAGCCAGGGCTCTGGAGTCTGGAGGGATGGCAGGAAGAGATGTGCAAGAAGAAGAGCTTGGCTCTGCCCTGGAGTCTACATTTAGGCTTGAGGAGGGAGGCAGGGACCAGCTGTGGAAAGAAGTGCATGAGTGTGAAGGTGACCTGTAGCCATCCTGGAAGGTGTCCTGGAGAAGGGGCCCTTGAAAACACCTAGGGATGGATGAGGGTAAGAGATGAGAAAATCCTAGGCAGAAGCAAAGCCACAGGCAAGTAGGAAGGAAGGACATACCAATACCGGATATGGTCTGGATTTGGTAAGAGAGCACAGGTCTAGTGGGAAATGAGGTAGACTGAGGCCAGACTGCAGGGGAGCCTAGCATGTCATGTGGACTTGAATCTGAAGGCGGTGCTGCTGAATAAATTCACATGTCTGTTTTCTCTTTCTAGTTAAAATATAAACCCTTAGCCTTGAAGAGTAGTTAAATGGAGTGTGAATATTTACTCTGCCAGTTAGTAGCTGTGTGTCATCTTGACCAACTTGCTTAATCTCTCTGGCATCTCAGTTTCTTATCTGTGAAATGGCTTGATCTTGCTGGGCTAAGAATGTCAAGTGAGATGCTTATGGGCATAGAGCACAAAACCATGACCTGGCTTATCCTAGGTCTGCAGCAGATGTTGGTTATTGACCCTGCCCTCCCTGGTCAGGGACCACATCCTAAGTTTTGAAGTCTTAGTGCTAGGCTGTTAATAACTCCTTAATAACTAATTTATGGGTTGAGATATTGGACTATTATTTGAAAAACAGGAACTAAGGAAACTATCATATTAAATAGAGTTAAACTTCCTGGTTTTTCATTTACCCCAAAAGACTTCTCTTGTGTTTAGGTTCAACATTTTTTATCTATATCTGTGATTTCCAGTCACTTTGAAGGAGACATGTTCAAATCCATTCTATTCTGTTCCATGTAGATGTTAAAGGTACATTAGGGGCCAGGCACGGTGACTCATGCCTGTAATCCCAGCACTTTTGGGAGGCTGAGGTGGGCAGATCACTTGAGGTTAGGAGTTTGTGACCAGCCTGGCCAACATGGTGAAACCCTGTCTGTACCAAAAACACAAAGATTAACTGGGTGTGGTGGCATGCACCTGTAATCCCAGCTACTCAGGAGGCTGAGGCAGGAGAATCTCTTGAACCTGGGAGGCGGAGATTGCAGTGAGACGAGATTGTGCCACTGCACTGCAACTCCAGTCTGCGTGACAGAGCCTGACTCCGTCCCCCCCCCCCCCCCCAAAAAAATAAAAGGTGCGTTAGGGGACATCTCTTCCATTGGCCATGTCAAAATTAACTGAGATAGGAGTAGATGGAGTCAAGAGACAAAACTGGCTTCCCAGATGTTTGATCTAAGTGCCCCACCCTCCACCCTGCCCTTTCATGATGCAACCATCAGGAAACCTGGTATTGATCTGCAAAATGTGCAAAACATTGAATTCATTTTAAATATACCCACTATTCCTCCATTTCAAAAAAGTTTCCTGTATTTTCTTTTCTTAAAAACACCCCTAACTTGAAAATTTGCTTCATCCCTTTGTCCCCTTCCACCCCACCGTCTTCCTCATTTGGGGATGCTCATGGTAGAGGGTGTATTCCAATCCAACTCTGAAAGATGCAAAAAGCATCAGCCAGACCATGTAAAGGGAAAGGTCCCAGCCAAAATGGCTGGGGGGAATCTCAGAAGGATCTTCCAAATAGAGGTAGCCTTCTGGGCCATTAAATCCTTTTGCTTTGGATTAATCCCACAGTGTATATCAGATCACTAGAATTCAGATGAAAACACTGCTGTAGTACTCAGTCTCCTCGCCAAATGATTCCAAAATATATAGGTTATAAATACAGAAAAAATAACTGAATTCGATATTTCTTAAGTGAAATAATCTGTTCCTTGTGAATATTCTCTGTAATAGTCTAATAGTATTTTGTGCTCCTGGGGGCTGAGTGTGTTTTTAGCAACAATGCATTGGTTGTAAAATATGCATCCCTAACTATCTGGACAGACAAGAAAGAGGGCTCTAGTAAAAAGACTGAAGTTTTTTTTTTTAAATGCAGATCGTATGAATCACATAAATGGTGGTGTCTAAAAATTATCAACAAGCTCTGGGTTTGTTTTTATTTCTTTACATTATAGGTCCTCTTTCTCACTCCACATTTTTGATATTACTAGATCAGTAATTCAAGAGACAGCCAAGCAGGTGTTCACATCTCTCCTGACCCCCAGAATTCCTTAAATGACCCCTTGAGGCAGTGGAGTAAAAACATTCTCAGCATGTCAGAATATTGAGATATCTCAGTTGTCTTAATTTTTTTTTCTTTTTGCCTTAATCTTTACAGGCTTTTTGTGTGTCCTTTTTTCTCTCTGCTTAAGCCAAGAGGAATCTTGCTTCAGTCTTGGCCATGAAGATTGAGGGACAGGAGGACAGGGTCTGCAGATTGTACTTACAGTTAATACAGTTCTAACTGCTCAGCTGTGCCAGCTGACTTTTCTAATTGGTCTTTAAAAGATGAATCTTTGTTTTTTTTTTTTTTTTTCCTGAGAAGTTTCACTTTTGTTGCCCAGGCAGGAGTGCAATGGCGCAATCTCGGCTCACTACAACCTCCGCCTCCTGGGTTCAAGCGATGCTCCTCAGGCCTCAGCCTCCTGAGTAGCTGGGATTACAGGCGTGTGCCACCATGCCTGACTAATTTTTTTTTGTATTTTTAGTAGAGACAGGTTTCGCCATGTTGGCCAGGCTGGTCTCGAACTCCTGACCTCAGGTTATCCGCCTGCCTTGGCCTCCCAAATAAAAGATGACTCTTAAATGAGTAGATGGAAAAAAAAGGAAGATGGGGCTTGGAATTCTCATATGGTAGTTAAGGGCATAACATAATATTGCTCTTGAAAAAATATAACATTTATATTTTTAAATATGGGCCTTTGACTATAACCTTTTATTCAATTAAATTCAATCAATATTTATTAGGATGTACCAGGGTACTATGGGGGGTGATAAGGGGATGAATAAAATCAGCTTCTTTCTCTCTAGTTAGAGGAGATCAAACATGTTCAAGTTAGCCATACTTGGCAAGATTATATGGCCTCTTTCATACTGAAAAATACACTCACATTGTTAGATAGTATTCTTAGAAATTTCTATGGATACCCCTCCAAAATGAAAGATCTCTCATACAGGCAGTTGATTTAGGATTTAGGCAGTTGCATGAAGTATTTTACTATTGGTTTGTCGTCAACTCTGCAGAAAATTATCTAATTTCTAGGAATACTTGAAACATATTTAGCACCTCATTTTACAAACTTTATTTTATTGTCATACAATGGTGTGTAAATGTGTCCTGTGTTAAAGATGGTTGTATCGGTTATCTATTGTTGTGTAACAGATTACCCCAGATTTGGTGTCTTGTTAAAACAACACTTACTATCCACAGTTTCTGTGGGTGGCAAGTCTGAGTAAGGCTTAGCTGGGTGCCTCTTGCTAAGGGACTCTCAAAGCTCCAGTCAAGGTGTCCTCCCCAGCTGTGGCCATCTGAAAGCTCTGTAGAGGGAGGATCTATTAATACTTCAGACCCACTCACTTGCCTGTTGACAGGTCTCAGATCTCTCAGGCTGTTGGACTGAGGCCCTCAGTTCCTCTCAGGCAGTGGGTCTGGGTCTCCCTGGCTTCCTTGCTGGGCCACATGGGCCTCTCCATAGGGCAACTCAAACATGGCAACGGACTCCCCTCAGAGTGTAAGGTGTAGGAATGAGACACAAGCCATAGTCCTTTTATAACCTGATGCTGGAAGTGACATCCCATCACTTTTGCCTAATTCTGTTTGTTAGAAGTGAGGCATTATTGTCTAGCCCACACCCAAGAGCAGGAGATTATTAGGAGGTTGCATATAATCTCAGGGGACCATCTTCGAGGCCACCTATTACAGCTGGCAACAGAGCCAATCACTTCAGTGTACAGCTCATCTGATGAGGGTTGAAAGGTATTCTTCTTACTCTGTTTTACTTTTTTCCTTTTTTCCCTTTTATTAGTTGTTTATCTATTTATTTATTTTTGAGACAGAGTCTCACTCTGTCACCTGGGTCGGAGTGCAGTAGTGTGACCACGGCTCACTGCAGCCTCGACCTCCCTGGCTCAAGCGATCCTCCCACCTCAGCCTTCCAAATAGCTGGGACCACAGGCGTGCACCACTGTGCCCGGCTAATTTTTTGATACAGTCTCCTTGGATGGTTCCTCCCAAATATCTCCCCGCTCTTCAGGGCATATAACTATAGATGACATACACAGTAGACTGCAGATTGCCTAATCTTTTGAAGATTTGTTAGTCTTACAGCATGTCAACAAGCCATATCGGGTCTTTTTTACATCTAATGTCTTGATCATTGCATTTGGAGAGTTTTGCTGGAAAGGGCATTGTGTCTGGTTAGATGAGAAATCGGCAGAGAGAAATGAGGAAGGAGGATCCTGTAGCTGATATAAACAGGCTCCTTAATGCATAAGAAAATAGGCATGTTTGGGCCGGGCATGGTGGCTCACGCCTGTAATCCCAGCACTTTGGGAGGCCAAGGCGGGTGGATCACCTGAGGTCAGGAGTTCAAGACTAGCCTGGCCAACATGATGAAACCCTGTCTGTATTAAAAATACAAAAATTAGCTGGGCGTGGTGGCACATGCTTGTAGTCCCAGCTACTTGGGAGGCTGAGGCAGGAGAATCGCTTGAACCCGGGAGGTGGAGGTTGCAGTGAGCCGAGATCATGCCACTGCACTCCAGCCTGGGTGACAGAGTGAGACTCCGTCTCAAAAAAAGAAAATAGGTATGTTTCATGCACAGTGGTTGAGGAGAGGCTTTAAATCATGTTGGCATACGGCCATGGAAAGAAGACCTAAAAATCCACATGAGAGGGATTCTTGTCCCAGGTGTGTTTCTCATGAGTGTATCTACAAGAGGTGAGCATCTCCTGGCCCTCCTTCCATGTTGTGTATACGTCAGGAGAGCAGCTGGTCTGCCATCTTTTAAATTCTGTGCAAGTTAACTGTTTTGTGAGAAGACTCATTGATCTTTCTTTCTGGAAGTGTGCAGTTTGGTCTTCAGCAAAGTGCTCACAACATACATATGTAGGCATTAGAGCTTTGAGAAAAAGGTAGTATTAAACAGATTCTGGCCAATGTTTTTTTAATGCATAATGATGTTCAGTGATACTGGTTAATTTTTAATAATGGAAATTGATTTATGGGGTGGCTTCCATGTTAAACCTAGTGGGAACTTAAAGAAAAGGGGTCTGGATTCAAATTGAGGAGCATGCATCAGCAGTAAGACATACACATGGGGCATGTTGTATGTTTTTCTTTTTTTAGCCTTAAATGTAACCATGTACCACGTTTCTCCCAGTGGCTTCACGTGTGCTGTTCCTCTGCCCACAGTGTCCTGTGTTCTTCCCCATCTTCCCTCACCTCTTAACTTGGCTGCTTCCTTTTCTTTCTCAGGGTCTGAGCAGAGAGACCTTTCCTGACCACTCAATTTCAGTCATCCCCGCTTCCACCCCTTGCCCCATCAATGCCTCTTCTCGTCCTTTTGCATCAGATTTTGTTTACTATCTGGCTCTTCTACCCAGTCCACACATACATGACTATCCGCTCTAGAGGAGTAGGGGTTTTGTCTGTTTTATTCCTGGCTGTAACCCCAGTGCCTGGCATAGAGTCGGTGTTCAATAAATATTTGTTGAACTGATAAAATCACTTATGACCATTTTTCATTATATAAACCACATTTAGCTAAGGGCTTACGTTTACTGTCCATCTCCCCCACCTTGGCTGCTGTATGACTCAGAGAGGCTTGTTCCCCAGCTGTTCCTAGTGCCTAGCACAGCTCAGAATAGATGCTTGCAACACTGAAGATGAAAGAGTGAGTGAACTCTCTGACAAAGGACTAGAAGGAGTGTGAGCTGCACTTCCCAGGAAAGGAGCAGGAGACTCTGCCTGGGCGCTGTGTGTTTCTGAAGGGCAGCACCATGTCTTATCCATCCTTATCTCTGTAGCTGATACTCAGCCCAGTGCTTGGCACAGAGCAGAGAGTCAATACAAGGTAATTGGATCAGATTGAATTGAGTTTGGGAAAAGCTAGAACAAAATCTCTCCTGACAACAACACTGGATGAAGCTCAGCTTGTGAATGCTCTCTTAAAGGTGGCAGAGATGACTCCTCCTGGATTCCCTCCTGTGATTGTTTTGTCAGGATGCCTAGTAGTATGCATCTATTCATTCATTTATTCATTCTTTCTTTAAGCTCCACCTGCAAGGATGCAGAGCACAGGGCATGGAAAGCTGCACAAGTTTTCAGCCCCACCTTTAGAAAGCATGTCTTGAGGAAAAGTTAGGCTGTATTCTCTGGCTTGTACAACCTCCCCGAGGAGGCAAAAGAGTTGGACTCAGGCGGTTGTAGTTGCTTGAGTCTGTCCTTTGTGTTGGCCTCCACACCACAGTCGTTGAACAGGAGTAGAAAAAGCACCAACTGTGGTTGCAAATTGGCTTTTGCATTAATCCTGGCTTATTGAAAAACACTCAATATTTTTCCAAACTGAATTTAGGGCTTTTGACTGAAGCCTGAATCATTTACTGCAGCAGAGCATATCACTAGTCTAGGAAAAACTAGAACTTATAAATACAAAGTCCGTTTAAGTAATCCAATATAGGATAATTACATTATTAAATAAAGCTATGGGTCTCAAATTATCCCACTGCCTTTGTACATGTGAGGATAATAATGTGAACTGTGCTAAGTGAACAGAGTAAAAAAATTTAACAAGAATGGAGTGTGTCTAAATCATATGTTTATGTTTAAACAGAGGCTACAGAAAACAGGAAGATTTACTCGGTTTGTACATTAAAGTGTCCTAAATAGGCATAAGGCTGTCAGTGATTCTTGGAAGACTGCTCTTCTAATTAATGGCAACGGTATATTGAGACTCTGTGCCAGATGACCAGTAAGCTTTAATAATTCAGATTTTCATACACCAACAGGGGCCAAGGGTTTTCTTCTTCCTTTGAGGGTCTTTATGGGATAGACTCTGCTGGATGATGTACCTGGGCAGAAGGTCATGTGCCTGCAAAAGTGGATGAAAAAGGCTGGGCATAGTGGCTCATGCTTGTATCCCAGCACTCTAGGAAGCTGAGGCGGGTGGATCACTTAAAGGTCAGGAGTTTGAGACCAGCCTGGCCAACATTGTGAAACCCTGTTCCTACTGAAAATACAAAAAATGGCTGGTCATGGTGGCACATACCTGTAATCCCAGCTACTCGGGAGGCTGAGGCAGGATAATCACTTGAACCCGGGAGGCAGAGGTTGTAGTGAGCAGAGATCGCACCACTGCACTCTAGCCTGGGCGACAGAGACTCTGTCTCCAAGAAAAAAAAAATTAAATGGTCAAAAAAATCAGATGTTAAAGTAATGGTCGAGTCATTCCGGATTGGGTGGTGGTTGGGTTTGGGCTTTATTGTTACGGTTTTTGCTTTTATTGGGTGTTCTTACATATGGCTTAACTGAGCATAACACTGGAATTGGGCTCATTTATCTTCTTTGTTAATGTTTTAATGGCCAGAGCTAACTGGGTGCCAAGCTAGCTTTTATTATGGCAACCTGAAAGGAGTTAAAAAAAAAATAGACCATGGAGTTTACACCCTATTAATTTGGCCAGAGAAAAAGTAGGCAGGCTTAACTAACACTGATATAAGTAAAGCCTCTTCTTTGCATATCAAATGCTTGACTGTTTAGAGAGAAAGTATGTAGGACACTGGGATGCAATTTTCTGCTCTCTGTGTAAGTTGTCTTTTATTTTAGGGAGGAAAAAGGTACATGCATGGTAAGCCCAAGAGGAAAGAAATGGAACAGGGAATTATGAGAGGGTGTTTCTAGGACTTTCTCTGGAGATGGTCAGGGGAGCAGGCTGCAGCCGACCAGGTTTTAGATTAGTGTGTATTAAAAATGTATTTAGGAACATAAAATATTTAGGATTTTTGAATTACTTGTTTGATACGCAAATGCCGTTGGCTATAACCATGAAGGATGGTCGCGTTACATTTAACAAAGCGTGCCTCAGAGCAATCTTCTGTTTGTTTACTCCCTCCTCTTGTGCCCGGATGGATTTCCAAAATTCATCGAGCCACAGGCGTCAAAGATCTGGTGAGCAGGATGGAAAAGGTTGGAAGAGGAGGGGCTAGCTTGGGAAATTAGAACCCAATACACTAAAGAGCCTCCGTGGCAAATCATTTCATCATGTTAAGGGAGTCAAATTAAATCTTAGCACATACTTCAGAGTCTATCTTCATTGCTCTGACAACAGAAAATTCTTTACATTTTTAACTAGCACATGAGTGGTGATTTCTGCCGTCTTTCTTTGGGAACAAAAACACGATAAAAATTAAAAATTAAAATCCTTTTTGTGAAGTGACTTGAAATCCCATTCACCCCAGGGAATTGGCAGGAGGTGGGGAAAGGTGCATTTGTCCCAGGGAGGGAGTAGGTTGGGATGTGACTACTGTCAAGGTTTAAATGACCAGTTTTCCAGAAAGAAGATGATGCTACCATGCTGGTTTCTGGTTCCACTTCAGTTTTTTCATCTCTAAAATGAGTTAAGACCACCTATCTCAGAAAGTCCTTATAGGGATTAGATGGGATAATGTCTATTAAATTCGTAGACTAGTGTCTGTGTCAAGTAAAGCATCTCTGAGTTTTCTGCAGCTGTGTCCTTGAGAGCTGGGGAGGATGAGAAACCCAGGTATTTAATTTTATTATTATTATTGTTATATTTTATTTATTTATTTATTTTTTTGAGACAGAGTCTCGCTCTGTCACCAGGCTGGAGTGCAGTGGCACGATCTCAGCTCGCTGCAACCTTCTCCTCCCTGGTTCAGGTGATTCTCCTGCCTCAGCCTCCCAAGTAGCTGGGACTACAGGCGTGCACCACCACACCCAGCTAGTTTTTGGGTTTTTTTGTATTTTGTATTTTTAATAGAGATGGGGTTTCATCGTGTTGGCCAGGATGGTCTTGATCTCCTGACCTCGTGATCTGCCCGCCTCGGCCTCCCAAAGTGCTGGGATTACAGGCGTGAGCCACCGTGCCTGGCCTCAAGCCTATTATTAGGTTGGTGCAAAAGTAATTGCGGTTTTTGCCATTGAAAGTAATGGCAAAAACCACAATGACTTTTACAGCAATCTAATAATTGTCTTCTGGTCCAACCTTCCCTTGGAGATACCAGCAGGAGTTACAGGACCATTATTGTTCCTAGACAAAGAATTAAGAAGAGTTAGGAACATGCACAGTTACCCACAAGGGACATTTGAATCCCACTTGCCCTCCCTTCATTTTCTGCTCAAGAGATAATATATAATAGTAATCACCATTATTTCATGGATGCCTACTCTGTGTTGACCATTGTATTGTAACAACTACAGCATCCTAACTACCCTATGTAGTTGGTTACTTTATCCTATTTTCCCCATTTTTTTTATATGAGACCTTGACAAGTCCAAGAATAACATAGACTTGCCAGGGTCTCATCTAAAAAATGAGGAAAATAGGCTAAAATAACACAGTAGAGCTGCACTTGAACCTCAGTCCATCAGACTCAAAAGCCAGGGTTTTCTCAGCTCTCCCTTAGTTTCTTCCAACATGGTACATTCAGAGATGATGTACCATTAAAATAAGCACTTGGTGCTTTGGGCCCAACACAGGCCTTGGCTCTTTGGGAAGTACAAGAGAAGTGGAAGTTAGGCAAGGAAACCTGCCTCTAAAAAATATTTGCAATTGAGGTGTTTACTGTAGAAGACAGAATTATGCAATTCAGCATCAAATACTAGTGCCTAATAAAGATTTAACATTATGTCACAGGTAATAAGAACAGTAAGTCCCAGTTCAGGGACCAACTTAGATGAGATAGCTTTTTATTTTGCCTAATAAGGACATTCAAAAACAACTACCAGCATCTTTTGATATCATCATTTCAGAGAAAATAAAGGATATTATAATACCGCATGAAAGAAACGAGAAGGGATAAAAGTCTCCAGCGGAGAGTGTGTGGAGTCCCTCCATATCAGGGCCACTCCTTTCTTTTCTCTGCTTTCTGCCCTGGGAGGCTGACCTATGCGGGCTCCATTAACAGAGGCCCTGGGCACTGTGGTTTCCGGTGGGGTTTACTCATAGAGGTGCTGGGAGCGGGAGGAAGGGAGAAGTGTGGAGGCAGGTATTTATTCCCTGTTGCTTCCCTTCAGGCTGGTCCCTTCAGGCTGGTGGCATCCCTTTAAGGAAGAGTCATTGTGTTTGGTAGAAGGGTCTTCTCTATTCTGGTAATCACTCCCACCCCTCTGCGGCCCTTTAGCCCAGGAGTGGTGATGGCTGAGCTGCTCCAGCCCAGGTTCCTGTACTGTGTATCTCTTACGATTCCTTTACATCCCAACACCTCTGTCACTTGTTCCAGTGTAAAACCTCCCCTTGAATTATTATTACTATCATTATTATTATTGAGACAGGGTCTCAACTCTGTCACCTAGGCTGGAGTGCAGTAGCACAATCATGGCTCACCGCAGCCTCAACTTCCTGGGCTCAGGTGATCCTCCCATCTCAGCCTCCTGAGTAGCTGAGACTACAGGCACCTGCCACCATGCCTGGCTCATTTTTGTATTTTTTGTAGAGATTGGGTTTTGTACAGGCTGATCTTGAACTCCTGGGCTCAAGCAATCCACCCACCTTGGCCTCCCAAAGTGCTGGGATTACAGGCATGAGCCACCGTACCTGCCCCCCAACTTGAATTATTATTACTCAAGTATTCCATTGGTTTCCTGTTGGGATTCTGACTGATACAAGGAGAGTCCTTGAAATCTAGCAAGTTTAGCTTAATGAAGCTTGACTGCATTGTCCCCATTTTTCTCATTTCACCGCTGACCAGTGAAAGCTTCATCTTGTTTGATCCATATTACCATCCTGTCTTTTCTGACTTTCTTGGATTCCGAGTGGCAACTACTTATCTGTAGTGTGAAACCTTTTTACTCCCTCTGTAGATATCCCATTAGCAGAATACACTAATGTGTAATGGGGAGAACAGTTGGGCAAACTGGTAGGTACCTCAAATTGCAGTGTGTCTGAGGGAGGCTTGAAAGCAAGGGAGTGGCCAAACCACCCAGGCTTCGAGGTGGTACATTCTTCCCCCTACCCGTCTCCATTGGTGCACACCAGAGGCACATGCACCTGCCAGGAATGGTTCCGTCAGGACACAAGCTGAAGTGGTTGTAGTTAGTCTGTCTAAAAGTTGACTCTTAACAGAGTTCCTTCATTTTTAATTTCTATCTTAATTAAAGTTTGCCACCCTCATGCAACTAGTTGGACTAGTATTTCGGTGTCACAATTTATTTAGCTAATACCTCATATTGTTGTTTTTGTGTTCCCAACATTTATCATGTTTCAAATGCTACAAAGTACATTTTGAAAGCCTGGGATGTTCAGGGAAGACTGAGGTGAGTATGCCATGCTTTCCTGTTCTTGTTCCATCCCCTCCCTGCCAACCCGTCTGATATTACACTTGTGCATTTATTGTCCTTGGGATGCTAGGTGATTATAGCTCTCCTTACCAATGATCTGTTACTGGGTACAACACAGTATGATAAGAAAAGTTCATGTTCTTTCTCTGGAGGGATGCCATATTAGTAAGGATATAGGTTCAGCTGTGTGTAACAGAGACTCGTATATTATAGTTGCTTAGATACATTGGGAGTTCAAAATCTCTTATCATGGTACAGACGTAGATGGCTCACAGGGCTAGTGTGGTGGCTTTGCTCTGTGAGGTTGTCTAGGGACTGGGCTCCTTTTTCTCCTGAGCAATTTGCCCTCATTCTTATGGTCCAAAGCTACACTTATTCCCTTTGAGGGAATTACATCCGGGAAGGACATCACTAATACTCATATCCTGTAGTCATAATTTGGTCACGTGACTGCACCTGGCTGTAAAAGGAAGCAGAAAAAGGACGCCTTTATTCTCCACCCAGCAATTTAGCAGTTTATTATTAGAAAGGAAGAATAGATATTATGGAGAGGTTAGCCACAGTTGGGAAGTGTTAAAGTCTCCTTGTACCAGGCAAGATATTTTCTTACAAGTAAGTCAAAGGGAAGGCTGTGCAGTTCCGCTGAGCTTGAGTTGACTCTGAGGCATCCAAATTGATAACAAGGGACTAGAGTGTGGATGAATTTTTGGGACCAAACAGTACAATGTAGTCATGGGCTTTAGGGGTGAGCACTGGAATCCCCATAGAGAATGATTTCTTTAAGGAGTGATATGCAGAGAAAGAAGACCACATCCCAGATTGCATCTAAGTATATGTTTCATACATTTTCCCAGTTGGGAGATGGAATGAGGAAGAAGAGAAATTGAATAAAGCAAAGAAATGTAGAGGTGATAGATGTTGGGTAGGTGTTCTCCAAGGGTCTCTTGCATATGTACACATCTTGTGAGCAAAGCCACTGACTGTCTGTGTTCTGGACTGTCTTTTCAAAGATCTTTATATAGTGAATAGCATTGGAAGACAAAGGTAGTGTTTTTCCTTAGAACAAGAGCAGGCATGCTTACTGTCCAGTATTAAAGATACAGGTTCTCGGCCAGGTGCGGTGGCTCACACCTGTAATCCTAGCACTTTGGGAGGGCGAGGCGGGCGGATCATGAGGTCAGGAGATCGAGACCATCCTGGCTAACACGGTGAAACTCCGTCTCTACTAAAAATACAAAAAATTAGCCGGGTGTGATGGCGGGCACCTGTAGTCCCAGCTACTCGGGAGGCTGAGGCAGGAGAATGGCGTGAACCCGGGAGGCAGAGCTTGCAGTGAACCGAGATGGCACCACTGCACTCCAGCCTGGGCGACAGAGCGAGACTCCGCCTCAAAAAATAAATAAATAAATAAATAAATAAATAAGATACAGGTTCTCTATGCTCAGGACTCTTCTCCAGTAGTGCACCCCATTGTGTGAAAAGGTATCATCTATCCCTCTTCACATCTCCTTTTGGGAACTGAGTATTAAAGAACCACCACAAACGCTGGTACATTGACTATTGCTATTACTGTGAGTAATAAACCATTTTTTGTCTCTGGCCAGGAGTCTCATGGCTTCTGCCAACATCCATGAAACTGGCAGGTGAACTTGGAAGTCTGAAAAAAGGGTAAAAATCTCAGACCCTTCACAGTTCTTAACAGGAAGGAGAGTTTCAAGTCAAAATTAGGGTTGTTCATTACCAAATGCTACAAAGAAGTTAAAGAAATTGAAGAATAAGAAAACGCCTTGGGTTAGTGACATAATACCATGGCTCTCAAAGTTTCGGACTCAGGACCCTTTACACTCAACTTATTGAGGGCCCCAAGGAGCTTTTGTTTATGTAGGTTATACCTACTGATATTTACTACAGTAGGAATTAAAACTGAGAAATAATTTTAAAATATCTATTAATTCATTTAAAAATTATGACATCCACATGCACAAAAATACATCAAGCTGAACCTCATAACTTATACACAATTAAGTGAAAACAGATCATATTTCTAAAAGTAAAATGTAAACCTATAAAACTTTTAGAACAGAACATAGGAGAAACTCATTATGACCTGGGATAGGCAAAGAGTTCATAGATATAATGGCAAGCCACAATCCATAAAAGAAAAAAAATCTAACTGGACTTAATCAAAATATAAAACCTTTGCTTTGTGAAAGACACTATTACGAGAATTTTAAAACAAGCTACAAAATAGGAGAAAGTGGTTTCAAACCACATATCTGACAAAAAGTTAAAAGAACTCTCAAAACTCAAGTGTAAGAAAACAAATAACCAAATGGGCAGAAGACTTAAACACACATTTCACCAAAAAGGACATGCAGTTGGTGAGTTAGCACCTGAAGAAGATGTTTGACATCATTAGTCATTAGAGAGATGACCATTTAAAACACAATGAGAAACTACCACATACATATTAGGATAATAATTATTAATTATTAATAATCAATTAATTAACAGTGATAGTGTCAAGTACTGGCAAGGATGGGGAGCAACTGGAACTCTCATGCATTGCTGTTGGGAATGTAAAATGGTACAGCCACTCTGGAAAACAGTTGGGCAGTCTGTAGAAAAATTACATCCATACTTACCATATGACTCAGCAATCTGTCTCCAAGGTGTTTACTCTAGAGAATTGAAAATATGGGTTCACACAAAAACCTGTGCGGGCATACCTTAGAGATAATGCAGGTTTGGTTTCAGACCACTGCAAGAAAATGAATATCGCAATAAAGCTAGTCACATGACTGTTTTGGTTTCCTAGCGCGTATAAAAGTTACATTTACACCATACTGTAGTCTGCTAAATGTGCGTTAGCAATATGTCTAAAAAAAAAGTACATACCATAATTTAAAAATACCTTATTGCCAATAAATGCTGAAGATCATCTGAGTCTTCCGCAAGTTGTAATTTTTTTTGCTTGTGGAAGATCTGGGCTTGATGTTGATGGCAGCTGACTGATCAGGGTCGTGGTTGCTGAAGGTTAGGGTGACTGTGGCAATTCCTTTTTTCTTTTTCTTTTTCTTTTTCTTTTTTTTTTTTTTTGAGACAGAATCTCACTCTGTCACCCAGGCTGGAGTGCAGTGGTGCATTAATGGTTCACTGCAGCCTCGACTTCCCAGGCTCAAGTGATCCTTCCACCTCAGCCCCTGAGTAGCTGGAACTATGGGTGTGTGCCACCACACCTGGCTAATTTTTGTTGCTGTTGAGATGCAGTTTCGCCATGTTGCCCAGGCTGGTCTCAAAATCACAATTTCTTAAAATGCCATGCATTGGTTGACACTTCATTTCACGAAAGATTACTCTGTAGTATGCAGTGCTGCTTGATTGGATTTTACCCACAGGTAGAATTTCTTTCAAAATTGGAGTCAACCCTCTCAAACCCTGCCACTGCCTTTATCAACTAACTTGACGTAATATTCTGAACTTTTTGTGGTCATTTCAGCAATGTTCACAAATCCCAGCACTTCGGGAGGATGAGGAAAGAGGATTGCTTGAGGCTAGGAGTTTGAGAGCAACCTAAGCAACACAGTGAAACTCCTCTCTAAAAATAAATTTAAAAATTTAGCCAGGCCTGTAGTCCCACCTATTCGGGAGGCTGAAGTGAGAAGATAGCTTGAGGCCAGGAGTTCAGGCCATATGGTGCCAATGCACTCCAACCTGGCCAACAGAGCCAGACCCAACTCAAAAGAACAAAAACAAAACAAAACAAAAAAACATTGTTGACAGCATCTTCACCAACAGTAGATTTTATGTCAAGAAACCCCTTTCTTTACTCATTCATAAGAAGTAGCTCCTCTTCATCTGTTCAAGTTTAGTCATGAGATTGCAGCAATTCATTCACATCTTTGGGCTCCACTTCTAATTCTAGTTATCTTATTGTTTCCACCACCTCTGCAGTTACTTCTTCCACTGAAGTCTTAAATTCCTGAAAGTCGTCACCTATGAGGGTTGAATCAATGCCTTCCAAACTTCTGTTAATATTGATGTTTTGACCCACTTTCATGAATCTGAATGTACTTAATGGCATCTAGAATAGTGAATGCTTTCTAGAAGGTTTTCCGTTTACTTTGCCTAGATCTATCAGAGGAATCACTGTGGCAGCTATAGCTTCATAAAGTATATTTCTTATATAATGATACTCGTAAGTCAAAGTTACTCCTTGATCCATGGACTGCAGAATAGATGTTGTGTTAGCAGGCATAAAAACAACATTCATCTCTTTGTACATCTCCATCAGAACCTTGGATGTCAATAAGCAGTCATATTTGTAAAGAAATCTCTTATTCTGAGCAATAGGTCTCAACAGCAGGCTTAAAATTTTCAGTAAACCCTGCTGTAAACAGATGTGCTCTCAATCCAGCTTCATTTTTTCATTTATAGAGCACAGAGAGCATAGATTTAGCATAATCCTGAAAGGCCCTAGGATTTTCAGAATGGTAAATGAGCATTGGCTTCAACTTAAAATCACCAGCTGCATTAGCCCCTAACAGAAGAATCAGCCTGTCCTCTGAAGCTTTGAAGCTGGCATTGACATCTCACTATCTATGAAAGTCCTAGATGGTCTTTTTTGCCCAATATAAGGCTGTTTCATCTTCTATTGAAAATCTGTTGTTTAGTGTAGCTACCTTCAATTATCTTAGCTAGATCTTCTGGTAAACTTGCTGCAATTTCTACATCAGCATTTCCTGCTTTACCGTGTACTTGAAAGTTACAGAGGCAGCTTCTTTCCTTAAACCTCATGAATCAACCTCTGTTAGCTTCCAACCTTTATTTTGCAGCTTCCTCACCACTTTTAGCTTTCGTAGAATTGAAGAGAGTTAGGGCCCTGCTCTGGATTAGGCTTTGGTTTAAGGGAATATTGTGGCCTGTTTGATCTTTCTACCCAGACCACTAAAACTTTCTCCATATCAGCAGTAAGTCTGTTTTGCCTTCTTATCATTTGTATGCTCACTGGAGTAGTGCTTTGAATTTCCTTTAAGAGCTTTTCCTTTGCATTCACAACATGGTTAACTGGCGCAAGAGGCCTAGCTTTCAGCCTCTCTTGGGTTTTGACATGCCTTCCTCACTAAGCTTAATTATTTCTAGCTTTTGATTTAAAGGGAGAGGCATGGGACTCCTACTTTCACTTGAACACTTAGAGGCCATTGTAGGGTTATTAATTAGCCCATTATTGTTAAGTCTTATGGAATAGGTAGGCAGGAGGAGAGGGAGATAGACTGGGGAAAAAGGCAGGTCAGTGGAGCAGTCAGAACACAAAACAGTTGTCAGTGAAGTTTGCCACCTTATATCTGCATGGTTTGTGGCATCTCCAAACAATTACAATAGTAATATTAAAGATCACTGATCGGCTGGGTGCGGTGGCTCACACCTGTAATCCCAGCACTTTGGGAGTCTGAGGCGGGTGGATCATGAGGTCAGGAGTTCGAGGCCAGCCTGACCAACATGGTGAAACCCCGTCTCTACTAAAAATACAAAAATTAGCTGGGCATGGTGGCACATGCCTGTAATCCCAGCTACTCGGGAGGCTGAGGCAAGAGAATTGTCTGAATCCCGGAGGCGGAGGTTGCAGTGAGCCGAGATTGCACCATTGCACTCCAGCCTGGGCAACAGAGCAAGACTCTGATTAAAAAAAAAAAAAAAAAGATTACAGATCAACATACTGGATATAACAATAATGACAAGTTTTGAAATATCACAAGAATTACCAAAATGTGACCTGGAGACACAAAGCGAGCACCTCCTGTTGGAAAAATGGGGCCGATAGACTTTCTTGGCACAACTTGCTTCCCACAGACTTTCAATTTGTAAAAAATGCAATATCTGTGAAGTGCAGTAAAGTGAAGCACAATAAAAAGAGGTATGCCCGTACATGGAAATTTATAGCAGCTCTGTTTGTAATCACCAAAATTGAAACAAACCAGATGTCCCTCAGTCAGTGCGTGGATAAACAAACTTTGGGACACAAACATACCATGGATACATAAGAACTCTGCAGAAAGGAATAAGCTATCGATACAAGCAGGGTCATGGATGGATGGATCTCAAAGGCATTATTCTTTGAGGCTGCTTTAAGAAGCAGCCTCAAAGATTTTGTACTGTATGATTCAATTTATATGACATTTTAGGAAAGAAAAAACTATACCAAGAACAAATCAGTAGTTGCCAGGAGCTGGTGGGGAGTGGAGGGAGAGGGTGACTACTAAGAATTAATATGAGGGGTTTTGAGGGTGAGGGACTAGTCTGTATCCTGACAATATAGTCGTGGTAGTTATATGAATCTATCCATGTGTTAAAATTCGCAGAACTGTACACCAAAAAAGGAAATTTTACTGTAAGTTAATTTAAAAATAAAATAAAATAGCAATATAAACTCATTATGTAAATGTAACGCACTTTTTATGAAAGTTAACCATATTTTCAAAAACAACAAAAAATTAGTAAGAACAGTGGCATTGTTTTACATTTTTTGTAAATCTCTTTACTGTCTAGCTTTATATAGAGAGCGGAGTTCTCATATCTCCTTCTGCATTCACTCTGTTGTGATATCACATGTCACATCGTTTCTGGAAAACCCTACTATATATACACTTGAAAGAGGATGAGAGTGAAAAAAGCCAGTAATGTCTTAGTAGTTTTAGGATCATTGTTTTGACCCTGTGGACCATCTGAAATGGTCTCAGAGATTCCCGAGGGTTTCTGAACCCACTTTGAAAACCAATGATATAACACATTGTTCCAAATTTTATTTTCATAGCATCTTGACTTTTATTTTTCTGGCTATATCCACATGTTCCCTGTGTTTACTTAATGCCTATGTTCAAATTGGCCCTTTTTTAAAACTTGCTATATCTCCTATAAATAGAAAACCAGTACCACCTTCCCATAAATAGTAAATACAAAACAAATAAGCAATGAAAAACTTAATATACATTTTAAAAGTTTATTTCTGGGCCGGGTGCGGTGGCTCACGCCTGTAATCCCAGCGCCCTGGGAGGCCAAGGCAGGCAGATCACCAGAGGTCAGGAGTTCGAGACCATCCTGGCCAACATGGTGAAACCCTGTCTCTACTAAAAGTACAAAGATTAGCCAGGCGTGATGGCAGGCACCTGTAATCCCAGTTACTAAGGAGGCTGAGGCAGGAGAATCGCTTGAACCTGAGAGGCAGAGGTTGCAGGAGCTGAGATCGTGCCACTGCACTTCAGCCTGGGCTACAGAGTGAGACTCCGTCTCAAATAAATAAATTAATTTAATTAAATTAAAAGTCTACCTGTGAACCATCTAAAATCATCTCTGCATGCCACGGTTTGGAAAACACCAATTTAGAGAAGAAATAACAATGATCATGATAGCTAATTCTGACATGCTACTTCATTTGTATCAACCCATTGAGTCCTGGCAATTACTGCTGGACAAGGCAGACAGAATTATTATAAAACCTGGGTTTCCCTTTTTTTCTTCCCCAAAAAAAAAAAAAAAAGAAAGAAAAAAAAACTTTGAAGTACAAGGAGGCTGAAGAAGTTGCTCAGTGTTCCACAGCAAGTAAATTCCGGGGCTGGAATTTGAACCCAAGCAATCTGGCTGCAGAGTCCAAGATGCTGTCTTGGCAGATAGGAAACCTGGATCTTTGTTCAAGTCCTGCCGTCAGTTGGTTCTTGGACATGTCACTGAACCTCACTGTCCTCATCAGTAAAATGAGAAAGGTGAACTAAATCAATGTTACAAGTTTAAATGTCTGGTGCCCACGGGGGCCAGATAGTTAAGGGAAAACTGGACTGAATACAATGCAATAGGGAGTGGTGGGGATTTTACATCTTGTCTGAAGAAGGCAGCTTCTATCAGTTTCAACTGTTTTTTATTTTTATTTTTTGGCCTTTATTTTATTTTATGAGAGAAGATTGAGGTCTGGGTATTTTTGCCTAAAGTTTCCCAAGTTTTAGAACACTTGGAAGGGCCCGCCATGCACATGGGCTGACTGGTTTGTGACTTCTTGACTGGATGAGCTCCTCTTGACTTAGAGGATTTATGATTAAATGAGCTGTTTTTGGACAATGGTAGAAACTAAATCCAAATTACAGAAATAGGCAGTTTAAAACAATGACGAAAGGGGATAAGGACTTAGAACGTGGCTCAACACAGCTTACATAAATATTGATTAAGAGCTGGGTTAATTGAAAAGCCAAGGTACATTAATAGAATAACAAAGTGTATTTCTTTGTGTTCCTTTTGTGTTGTATTAGAGTAAATCAGCAATATTTATCCAGTGCTAATTCTCAGTTTGCAGAGAGCTAATGTAATCATGAGATGAGCTTATTGAAATTCTTTTCTTAGACATAGAGACTTGCCCAAGAATGGTGAGTATTAGGAACTTTAGTCAGCACTTGCTCAGAATAGTAAATGCGAACATGTGATTTATGCCATTGTGTGCACAAAGTAATGTTTCCTGAGACATTTTCTATATATATGTTGGCTACTTTTTGTTTTCTTGTGGTGGGAGGGGGGTGTTGGCTTGCTGTTTCCCCCTCCTCTCCTTATCAGATTTCCTTCTATGGCATTTGACAATGTTGCAGGGCCAGTTTCTCTGTGAATCCACAGTAAAACATACTGGTGGTTTCACAATTAAGCCAAACTTGGGTTTATGGCTTATGCATGTTTATGTGAATTCCTGCATTTGTTTTTATGTGTGTGTGTGTATTCATGAAAGATCTGTTTGAGAGAGGGAGAAAAAGGGAGGACAAAACCTATAGACTGAATCATAAAAGATGGGTTTATTCATTAATGACATCATAAGGATAGTATTTTCTCTTGGTTAATATACTATTTGTTTGGAGGGTGTTGTAAGCCATCCAGAGATAGTCATGCCATTTCTTGGAAAAGATCTGAAGCAACTAGTAATTGAAATGATAATCATTTGATCAGAGAGCTATTTGAAAATAACACTCATCTACAAACTTGTCTCTTCTGGGAAACTGTATTTAGTCAAAATGTTGCCAAATTCTCTCTTTACTAATGTTGAGACTGATACACCTAATTATTTTCCAGTACATTCTAAACTTGATTTCTGGTGTCACCTGTCCAGAAGCTGTTCCCATATGCTTTGAAACAATATCTAGCCTGACTTTATTCTGACATTTAATAATCACCATGAAATAGCTATAAAATGCATGACAACTACAGATCTTTTATTTCAAGAGGATGGTGTGGTGAATCTGAGGGAAATCATCCGTTGAAATGGTACTTTGTAATGGGCCCCATTGTTTATAAAGTACTCAAATTTTTTCTTGAGCGCACGATAGAAACACAGTTTCCACTTTGTCTCCCATTTAGTGGTAGTTCATATTTAATCATGATAAGGGAAAGGATTCCATTACTAAAGTTTTACTTTTCATTTTTGATAGAGTATTTGTTACTCTGCTGCTGCCTAATAGACTTTCTTCTCAGAAGCAGCTTGGAACTCAATGAGGAAAATTGAAATTTTAGATCCTACCTTAAAACATCAGAAAAAAAAAAAAACCCTCAACCCAGGGCTTCTTATTATGTGAAGCTTACCCTAATAACCTTTTTTTGTTCGAATTGGAGAAGTGTGTGTGTGTGTGTGTGTGTGTGTGTGTGTGTGTGTGTCGGTGGGGCAGGGGGAGGAGGAAAAAGTCATGTTTGGGGAGGAGGAAAAAGTCATGTTTAACAGCAAAATTAGCCAAAATCAGTTGTGAATTCCTTTTGTTTAATAGCTTTGAGACATCTTCCTGTTGTTGTTTGTCAAAAATATTTCTAAGATTTTGTAATCTTAGGGGTTTTCACAGCCAAGCTTTCTTCAGAAATGTGAAATAAAAGAAATGAAAGAAGTCAGTTCAAGTTGAAATGTCAGATGCTTAAATAACTTAACTTAAAACCCAGTGAGATGATCTTCTTGAGCCTTTTCCAAAGAATCTTTGGGTGAAGGGGCCTCCCTTTGTTCCATGTATGGATGTCTATTAAAGATCTTGCTGAATTAATTCTGAGTCAGAAAAGTTGGTTGTTTCCTAGAAGCAATTAGAGATGCTTAACATTCAAATTTATGATCCAGAGGAGAAACTTGCATTTCAACTACTTTTCTTAAATTCAAAGACTTTTTCCTCACTCACCCTCTCACCCTCTACCCCATCTGTATTAAAAGAAAAAATCAGTTCATTTCTCAGCTTACAAAGTTTTTGAGAAACATGAGAATGTGTAAGTTTCTTTCAGTGGGAAGCACATAACATTTATGAAGTATTTCTTTTGGGATTACATCACAGTTTTATTTAATTTTTAGGACAAAAGTTAAATTCAATATTTGTGTATAAGCCAAGGGAAAATGTACCATAAACATAGGAATTTGGGGGTGAGTCAGAGTTCCAAGAATCCTAGATTTACTTAGACCATTTATGTAGAGACAGGCTCACCATTAGTCATCTAGCTTTCACTTTTTACATTTGCAATTAATTACACCTAAAAACTAGCTTTCACCCAAGTGGTCAGCTAGGTAGAGTGTGAACTTGGGCAACCAACATTAAAAATGGCTTATTAGAATTACTGTCCTATTTTTGGATACTTTCTAATTGTATAACAAACATAAAAATTATTCCTTAACTAAACAACTAGCAGTGAAAAACCATTGAAATGAAGTGAGTTACTAAAGATTCTGTGTCACCAGAATGCACACAGTCTCCTTGCATTAGGTTAAACCACTCACATGGCATTTCAGATGGGCCTTGTGGAGAGTGGATCATTTCCCTCAAACCTATAAATAACGTTTTTTGTTCTTCCCCAACCACCTCTTGTAGGATGAAGTCATTGCTGTTTCCGAAAAGGTGATTGTGAAGCTTGAAGACCTGGTCAAGTGGGTACATTCTGATTTCTCCAAGTGGAGATGTGGCTTCCACGCTGGACCAGTGAAAACTGAGGCCTTGGGAAGGAATGGACAGAAGGAAGCTCTGCTGAAGTACAGGCAGTCAACCCTAAACAGTGGACTCAACTTCAAAGACGTTCTCAAGGAGAAGGCAGACCTGGGTAAATATGACTTGTAATTTTAAATCTAATGTGTGGGCGTATATAGTAACTTTTCGGTTGAAGATTTTTCTGGAAACACTATCATTTATATATAAATGTATTTCAAATTTCTTTAACCTCAAAGGGTCCTAAGAATATGGATGGAGAGATGACTGGATGGGTAAGGGATGAGTGTTACCTGTTGGATCAAAGGACCTTTTATGTATGGACCCTTGTGCTGGGGTGATACAGTGGTTCTAAACAATTTTCAGTGTGATGTCAAGGCATACAATTTAATTAGAGCACCTAAAATTGAATTAATGAAGAGTTTAAATACTTGCTATAAGTATGTAGTATGACATCTATTAACACCATGTCCCAATTTCATGTTTTACATTGAGTGGAAAACAAACTGAGGAAAAGGGATGAGTTCCTCAATGTGGAGCAAGAGAACAATGTCAAGCCAGGGGATCCACTGGTTGGCAACCAATGGCATAGGTTTGCTTGATCTTTTAGTGTTCAGTGGTACCATCAACTATATATATATATATATATATATATATATATATATATATATATTTTTTTTTTTTTTTTTTTTTTTTTTTTTTTTTTTTGCTTCCCTCTTCCACTGTAAGTTTAAAGGAGAACTTGGGCTTTGGAGTAGTTGTGCTGATTGGTGTTTACATACTAACTCTGCTGCTTCTTAGCTGTATGGCCTTAGGCAAATAATTTAACTTCTAAGCCTCAGTTTCCCCATCTAAAAAATAGGGGAACTTTACAGGGTTATTGTGAGATGTGAGATAGAAGGGGTAGAGCACATTGACTGGCATAAAGGAGGGGCTTCATAATTAGTTCTATTGCTTTTTCTTAACACTTTCTTCTCCAGTGACATTTTGTGTCCTTTCATTGCTTTTTTTTTTTCTTCTGTTTGTATTCCCGTGTCATTCACTGATTTATTCTCCTAGCATTGCCCAAGACGAAAATTGTTGTCCTCTGATTTAGACTAGTTATTTCCTCTTTAGGCAAAGAGGAACTGCACTTTAACATATTAAGGCATCTTTTTCTTTCATTTGCGCACAATGCTGATTTTTGCAGTCCTATTTTACGCCTTAATGTGACAACTTCCTGGTTTTTTTTTTTTTAAACCCAGAACTTAACTATTACAACAAACCTAGGCAATTTATTTTAATTGGCATAAAGAGACTGAATAACACCAGTAACTGACTGTGGCTTTCATGTGACCCTGGTTTGTGATGAGCTGTGCTGTGTTTTGGGAATAGCATTAATATTTTCTTGCAGTTTGAGTTTAACTATCAACGGTTTCCTGGCATCTTTTGGTTGATGTCAGACAGTAACATTTTAGATATGGCAGCCTGATTGTCACCTGCACATTTAGAGACAATTATTAGACTAGTGGTTTTCCTTCTAAAGCCAAAGAGTTTTTTGATAATCTTCCTATATATACTGTTACACCCCCCAGTTTTGTGAACACACAATAACTAGTCTTATGACTTGCGGTAATGCTGAATAATACATCTGTTGTGTTACTTTCCTAATGTATGATCTAAGTTGTATTACCATTGTCTTATGTTTTCCTTAACATTAAAACCTTTCTTTTGTTTGTTTAATTTTGTGTGTGTGTGTTATGGAATATACTGTTACTAATAAAAAATTAAACAGGAAACCCACAGGGGACAAAAGGATGTGTAGATGGTTAAGCTTGATGTCACACATATAAACAAGAGTATTTATAGCAAGGTTTATGTTTAAAATTGTGTTTAAAATGGATAATTTATTAATGAACAGGAAAATAAGTCTAATTTCTTAATTCCACCCAAAGAAATAAAAGGTTGATCCTCTTGGATTCTAAAAAAAAAGAAGGTCCATATTCTACCTTTTTGCAGTTGATTCCAGAAGAAATTGGTTTATAGTGAATATTCACAGTACTTGCAGGTGGTTTGGCCTGGAAAATCTAGATGAGTGGTTTTTAAATTTAGTTGCTTATTAGACTCAAGAAAGAAATTTAAAAAACAATACTGATTACTGAGACCAGCTTTTCTAGATTCTTCATTCAGTAGGAGTAAGGAAAGGCCAATGAATGTGTATTGATAAAAAGGTTCCTGGCCGGGTGCGGTGGCTCACGCCTGTAATCCCAGCACTTTGGGAGGCCGAGGCAGGTGGATCACCTGAGGTCAGGAGTTCAAGACCAGCCTGGCCAACATGGTGAAACCCCATCTCTACTAAAAATAGAAAAATTAGTCACGTGTGGTGGCAGGGGCCTGTAATCTCAGCTACTTGGGAGGCTGAGGCAAGAGAATTGCTGGAACCTGGGAGGCAGAGGTTGCAGTGAGCCGAAATCATCACACCTTTGCACTCCAGCCTGGGCGACAACAGCGAGGCTCTGTCTCAAAAACAAAACAAAACAAAACAAAAAAGGCTTTTAGGTTGAGTCTGATTTTGTTTGTTTGTTTTGGTCTCATTTTGGAGACAGCTTTATGATTAGTGCTGAAGAAGGGAAAATGATCAACAGGAGAGTTGATTGGGAGGCTCTCTCCTGGGGCACAAGAAACACCATGTACTTAAAAAATTTTTAATGTAAAATACCCCTTTAAGGATAGAATTTAGGGCCTTGAAATTCTACTCAGTTGCTATGAACTGTGGGGAATTTGAGACAAATAGCTTTTGTAATTGGAATGCACACTGTGTTGTAATAATGTGGAAAGAGAAACAAAAACTTTCCTTAATGTAATGAGTTTCCATTATCTGCCTAATCTAAGGTTTGTAAGTCTACATTGTCAGGATTTATATTGAGGAGATAGGGGGTGTCATTTTCTGTACACATTCCTGTCCCCACAACTTTCTCTTCAGCCTCTTCTATAACATCAAAATATTTGTTGTCTGTACTTTTCTTTCTCCGCAGTGGTTTTCTTATCTCCTTTTCTGTTGGTCACACTGAAACCACCTCCAATACCACATTGTTAATGGAAATTCACACACTTATTAGGTTTTTCCTTCTGTAGAACCCTTCCAACTCCTCATTGTTCTTACCAAAGAAAGAAGATGAACTGTGAGATTATTTGAGGCCCCCCCCCTTTTTTTCTGGTGGAAGTAAGCAAAGAACGGAAAGATCTCACCTTTCTATGGATAAAGTAAAACTCCAACATGTTATCGTTTTTTAACTGAGTTATTTCATAATGTTGAAACATGAATAATAACAAAATAATTAGATTGGTTCTTAGAGAAGGGATTTTAAAATATAAAAGCTCATTAAAGCACTTTTCTTGCTTAGTGTTTAGGTAGAATAAGTTCGCTTTAATTCCAGTTTGTGTCACTTCCTGTCTCTCTCTGAATAGTAAAAAAAAAAAACAAGAATGTTCTCACAAATGTGTGTCTGCCAACAAATTAATACTCCACAAAGAGAAACTCTGCCCCACATGGCAGCTTCCAATAAATGCTCTGATTCAAATCACAACTCTTTCATTTTTTTTTTATCCCCTTCCCCCTTGAGGGAGCACATTTAGACAATATTTGAGGATGTCATCTTTCTGCTTTTTAAAACTCTCTAGAGTTTTCATTTAAGACTCTTAATGGTTGATGACTAAAACTACAGATCTGGATAGTGGAAAAACTAATAATCTTAAAAAACACTTCTGAAATGTGGTAAAGTGCATTCATTCTCTTCCCTCCTCTTTGTCCTTTTCAAAGAAAGAAAGTTCAATATGAAACCAATGCAAATTATGACTTTACTCAGTGAGATATTTTACCTTCTTTCAGACTGTTTCATACTGAAGTTTATAAAAAAAAAAGAAAAATAACTATGTTAAAATAGGAGGGTTAAGGAATGTATTATTCATAAGCATAATGAACACAAGAACCTGTTTTTCCAGAAGAATTGGGTTGATTAAATCATTCACCACACAAGCCTCTAGTTATTTATTTTTGTCTTTAGAATTACAGTACTTAGCTTTTATAATAAAGTGGACTTGATACCCATATTTGGTATGGCAGTTGAAAGTAGTCAAATGAAGAATTATTTCATTTTACAAAATTTTTAGTAAGTAAGGAATATAAACACTATCAGTTAAACATAGCAAACTTGCATTTTTTTATTCCTTGGGCTATAGTTTGAAAAAAAAATCAAATTATTTTATGTAACACTGATTCTTACAGAGTTCCTTTAAGCGAAGTATGAAAGCTGCAGTGTAAGCTTTATTGGCCTATAAATATGTCATTATAGTTGGACTACATTTATATGCTTTGGATTGTTGTTTAAGCCAAGAAAATATGTCTCTACAGGTTGACTTTTTATTGAAGCCCTTTGAGGCATACAACAGAATGTATTTTAGGCCAAGGTTATTAAAACAGCATTTTCATTTTTTTGCAGCAGACTCATTGTCAATTATGCTGCCACAAACTGTCTGTGGATGGGCAGTTATGAATGGTTTCATCTCCAAATGTGTCTTTAGAAAAAGAAAGAAAAGATAGAGGAGTCTGAGCTGAAACTGAGAAAAAAGACCCAAAGATTATGTGTGGGGGTCTGGCTGAATTTAATGATGGGGGTTCCCTCAGTTCAATTTCTGTTTCTAAATCTGTCCCATCAAATTGAGAAAGAGTAGCTTCCCCCTTTCTTCTGTTGCTGGGACTTTCACTGTACTTTTTGGGAGTCAACAGCATGGTGGGGTTAAAAGAGCAGAGGGTGGGCTGTCAGGAGAATCTTGGCTCTACATGTAGATCTGTCACCACTGGAAAAGTCACTGGAAGACACTGTATGATTTTTTACCTGAGTGCTCTCATGAATTTATTAGGATTTGAAGACATGCCTCTTATTGGAACAATCCTTCCTTCCTTTCTAGACTTAAATTTTATGTGTATATATTTTTTGTTTTTTATTTTTTTCAGTGAAGAGAAATAACTTTTATTAATGAGAGCAATGAATTCTTAATTCTCAGCCACAAAAAAAGATAAAATACAATGAGATTTTCAAATGTAAAATAAAATATCTGTACTCACTTCATTGCTGCAGAGATAAAGTGAAATATTATTATACAGCTCTAAGGTGACATGAAAAGAACACAACTGTTCAACCAAATGGCTCAAAGTAGGTTTAAATTTTATGTGTATATTAAAGAGTCTTTGGAAGGTATTTGTTGTTTATATTTTACTTTGGATTGCTGGTTTCACTCTGCCATTTTCCATAACACTGCAACTTGAGAAGTTTCTTAAATGATATATTGTTTATACATTCAGCTTTGTTTTGTCTAAAATGGGCAATAATATGTACCTGGCTGTTTCTCATTGGATTTTTGAGAAGACCACCTGAGAACAAATTAGTTAATATCTATGGAAACATTTGTGATACTGAAGTCTAAAGTGGTATTATTAGTACATTATTATTATCAGAAGCAGGTTCTGTATGATAGGGAGCCATGTGGTACAAGGTTAGCTTATTTGTCCCTTTTGAATTTCCCTAATCACACACACATTCTAGTAATTTAGAACAGGGTTTACTCTCATTACTGTCTCCCTCGATAGAAAACTATTATAAAAGTCCTTTAGGTTTTTGCTTGTTTATATGTATATATATAAATACATATTATATATGACTATTATTTTAATATATATTTATTTCAAATAATAAATGTATGTAATATATACCATATAACATAAACATTTTATATATTTATATATTAATATATATTTATATTTTATAAACTTTTATCCTCCTGAAAATTCTGTCAAAATAAACTGAGCCATAAGTGGCCAGTTGTATAGGATATCTCAAATACTCTTGGTTAAAAATTAGCTGTAGTTTTTGCTTGGAGATTCTGGAGGCCTCGTATTGCAAATGGTTGTTTCAGATCACTTTTGAGTTTGATATGTCAGGCAGCTTCCTGAGATGTGGACATGGGAAGGATTCTCACTTTTTGTTGAAGAAAACAATATAAATGTCTGTAAGAAGCATGCTAAATGCAGACATCTTGTCATAGAGACTTTTCACTGCTAATGAATTTACTAGGATTGGAAGACATCCTTCTTACTGGGACAATCCTTCCTTCCTTTCTAGATTTAAATTTTGTATGTATATTAAAGAGTCTTTTGAAGGTATTTGTTGCTTGGATTGCTGGCCTAAGTCTACTATTTTTCTTAACACTGCAACTTGAGAAGTTTCTTAAATAATATATTGTTGCACTATACTATTCATGAATATCATGAAGAATCATTACAGAGCAACCTTCTAACTAAAACGAATTTGGGCCAGGCGCAGTGGCTCACACCTGTAATCCCAAAACTTTGGGAGGCCAAGGCGGGTGGATCACAAGGTCAGGAGTTCAAGATCAGCCTGGACAACATAGTGAAGCCCCATCTCTACTAAAAATATAAAAATTATCCGGGCATGGTGGCATGCGCCTGTAGTCCGAGCTACTCAGGAGGCTGAGGCAGGAGAACTGCTTGAACCCAGGAGGAGGAGGTTGTAGTGAGCAGAGATCACATCACTGCACCCCAGCCTGGGCAACAGAGTGAGACTCTGTCTCAAAAAAAAATAATAATAATTTGGCCTTTATAGTATCCTTAAGTTCAACATGGAAACTAATTACATACGAGACTTATCAAAGACTTGTAAAGATACTTTCCAAAGGATTTTCTCTCTGACAATATTGTTGTGTTAACCATGCATTCGTTAAAGAATTTTATCATAGCCCAATTAACATTGGAGGAGATACTCTCCAAGTACCCACATGACTCTTCAAGAGATTGCCTCATGCCGTTATAATGTGACAACCCAAAGGACTTTTGATGGAGTACAAGAATCTGCATCCAAGATATTCAGAGTTTTAGAACAGCTTATTACCAGTATATCTTCTCACTTACTTTCTTTTTTTTTTTTTTTTTTTTTTTTTGAGACAGGGTCTCACTGCATTGCCCAGGCTGGAGTGCAGTGGTGCGATCTTGGCTCACTGTAACGTCTGCTTCCTGGGTTCAAGCAATTCTCCTGCCTCAGCCTCCCAAGTAGCTGGGATTACAGGTGCCCGCCACCATGCCCAGCTAATTTTTGTATTTTTTCAGTAGAGACGGGGTTTCACGATGTTGGCCAGGCTGGTCACAGACTCCTAAACTCAAGTGATCACCCGCCTTGGCCTCCCAAAGTGCTGGGATTACAGGTGTGAGCCACTGTGTCCAACCCAGTATGTTTTCTAAGAAACTAGGAATACATATGGTTATAACACATAGGAATAAGATTATTCATTTCATTTGAAATTTAAATTTTGGCTTGACCATCTAATTAAATAGTTGAATATTGCCTTGTAATAGTGGTAGAATGAGTGAGTAAAAGTGGCTCAAATAAGTAATATTCATTTATGCTGTCTACACTCAGCCATCTTGGCTATTCCTGCTAGAAAAGAGGTCTTTGTGAAATCTGACCAAGTCTGAGCCAATCAACAGCTGGTCGTTGATAATGCTGCCCAGGTACTTGTACTGCCATCACTCATGAAGGCACAATCCAAGTTAAGACCCTTTCATTTGGAATTACTGTTGACCTGAGGATTTTCTAGTGTTTCCTGCAGCCACGAAAGCTTCTTAGAATTCCAGGTTCATTTCTTCTTCTGATGACGGACTGAAGATGGACCATCAGCTGAAAAGAAGTTTGTAGAATTTTGGAATTTATTCCTACTTTTCCATTTGGAGATGTCAGGGCAGAAGTAGAAAAAAAGTGAAATTGGAACTTTCTGTGCTATTTTTAGTATCCAGGCTACCAGTATTTACCTCTAGGATACAATGTATGCAAAAGGAGTAATGGAGTACAAGAATCTGCATCATGCTTTTCTGAAACTCTTTATAGAATTGTCAGGCTGGAAGGGGCCTTCATGAACATTGTTTTCTCCTCTTTTTCCTTCTAACAGTCGTCAGGCCTCTCTTTTCAGTTCTTCCCTAAGATGTGCTTTCAGAATCCCTCACCATCACGGTTACTTATCTTAGGATACACTTTAGGTAATTTTTTTTTTTTTTTTTTTTGAGATGGAGTTTTGCTCTGTCACCAGGCTGGATTCGGATCCCTGCAACCTCTGCCTCCTGGGTTCAAGCAATTTCCCTGCCTCAGCCTCCCGAGTAGCTGGGACTACAGGTGCGCGCCACCACATCCGGCTAATTTTTTTGTATTTTAGTAGAGACGGGGCTTCATCGTGTTGGCCAGGATGGCCTCGATCTCCTGACCTCGTGATCTGCCCACCTTGGCCTACCAAAGTGCTGGGATTACAGGTGTGAGCCACCATGCCCAGCTGAGGTGATTTTTTTATACCATTTAACTCATTTATATTGCAGGAGCTCATTTTTACTAAGAATCCTAGAGCCAGAATAGGAGTAGATTCTAGAGAAAGGCCCCAGTGATCCATTACGCATGGCCAGAACTCTAAGGAGCTGGCTTGGCATCCTCCAGATACAACATGACATTAGCAAAACTACTGGACTCTTCTCTAGAGCTGTATGGCCTTGGCCTTTTTATAAGTAAGAGCAAAAAGGGGGAAAATATTCTGCCACTACACTCCCTGAAGTTTAGGTACCTATTTTTTTGTTTGTTTTTATACACAGTAATATTAAGTGTAGACTAGTATCTAATGAACATCGTTGTTAATATGGCAGCTACTGTGGCTCAATATCAATGTTGTGCCTTTTGAGCTTCTGTAGTTCCTGTAGTTTTTTACTCTAGCATTTAGGATAGGGCTTGCCCAAACTGATTTTTGCCTCAGTAACGGTCTACAGTTGAAGACCAGCTTGGTGTCTGAGAGTCTGTTTAAGCTATTCCAACCAAATAATATAAAAACTGCAAGTCTTTCCTAAATTTTCATATGTGATAGTTTAATCATGTTGTTCTCTTGGACTTAAGCTGTTCTTGTTTTTGTTTTGTTTTGTCTATTTTTTCTAGCAGTTTGTTTTTTTACAGCCATATCTATGATAAAAGACCATGATGGAGGCTGGGCACGGTGGCTCACGCCTATAATCCCAACACTTTGGGAGGCCAAGGCAGGTGGATCACTTGAGGTCAGGAGTTTGAGACCAGCCTGATCAACATGGTAAAACCCCGTTTCCTACTAAAAATACAAAATTAGACGGGTATGGTAGCACACATCCATAATCCCAGCTACTTGGGAGGCTGAGGCAGGAGAATCACTTGAACCCGGGAGGCGGAGGTTGCAGTGAGTCAAGATTGTACCATTGCACTCCAGCCTTGGCAACAAGAGCGAAACTTTGTCCACACCACCCCCCCACGCCCCCACAAAAAAAGACCGTGATGGATAAGACAGTGAATTCATAATTTTGTTTTAGCTTCATTAATTTGAAATGTTAATTTCCCAAAGAACTGTCTGTAGAGATTGCCATCTGATGAGAAGATAATCAAAAGATGAAAGAATAAATTCATTTATGGTCCTATTCCTTGCTATGCCTTTAGTTTCTTGCTGTGTACCTTGGATTGACTGGAACAAGTCTTATGCGGCCTTGGCTTCATACAAGCTCATAAATTTTCATTATCACTGATAGATTGCCAAACTTAGACCAGTAATTCTGTTTGCATTTGGTGATAAAAGTGGGTCTATTGTGAAGGACAAACCCAACTGATCCACCATGTTTTGTTCTTTTTTTTTGAGATGGAGGTTTGCTCTGTCACCCAGGCAGGAGTGCAGTGGTGCGATCTCTGCAGACTGCAACCTCTGCCTTCCGGGTTCAAGTGATTCTCCTGCCTCAGCCTCCCAAGTAGCTGGGATTACAGACATGTGCCACCACGCCCAGCTAATTTTTGTATTTTTAGTAGAGACGGGGTTTCACCATGTTGGCCAGGGTGATCTTGAACTCCTGACCTCGTGATCTGCCCGCCTCAGCTTCCCAAAGTGCTTGGATTATAGGCGTGAGCCACCATGCCTGGCCCGGACCATCATGGTCTTTTAAATATCTTTTGAGAATGCAACACTGACTCTGTACCTCAGATGTGCTTTTAAAGTGAGGTCTGTCTGGGCACAGTGGCTCACGCCTATAACCCCAACACTCCGGAAGGCCGAGGTGGGAGGATTGCTTGAGGCCAGGAGTTCAAGAGGAACCTGGGCAACATAGTGAGACCTGTCTCTGCAAAAAAATTTTAAAAATTAGCTGAGTTTGGTGACGCCCAACTGTAGCCCCAGCTACTCAGGAGGCTGAGGCAGGACAATCACTTATGCCCAGGAATTCAAGGTTGCAGTGAGCTAAGATGATACCACTACACTCCAGCCTGGGCAACCCACACTGCATTCCAGCCTGGCCAACACAGTGAGACCCTGTCTCCAAAAATAAATAAATAAAATAAAAATGAGGCTTGATTCAGCAGTTCCCCTTTCAGTTGGAGGTGCATGATGCTTTTATTTTGTCATAACTCTAAAATGTTTTTGTTTGCCTTCTACCTCTCACCTCATTAGCCACTGTATGATTACTGACAGTGAGCCATTATTACAGCTGCTATCATGATAGCATCACCTTGGAACACAAAGCAGATATATCCTACATGTGAATTGATGTGGTTTTTCCAGTGGGTTCTGTGAGCAGGTATCTGATTTGTGCATTTACTCTTAATACTCGGTGGTATTGACACTGATTCTTTTGAACAGTTTGTTTAATCTGTTAGAGTACTTTTAAGTCTGAAGTTCTGTTGCAACACATTAACTTTCCTAAATGTCAGATTCACTCCTCTCCTGTAACATTATGTGTTTAAGTCTGTAGTTTATGCAGGTCACTGCAGAGGAAAGCTGAGGTTTGGACTTTTAGCTTATTTTAATAAATGTATTTATTTAGGACAGACTGGAATAATAGTGGGTTTTCAAAGACTTCGTGAAGTGCTTCATGCACAGTAGGGGCTGAGCAAATAGTGCTGATGATTTCAGGCTTTTCCTAGTTGCCTCACTGTGTGTTTTCATTTGGTGTGCTTGGATGAAGTGGTATTGCTTCTTTCTTCCCTAAAACCCCAGAGCCTGTGCCTTGCCTAGAACTCTCTTCCGTTGGGCAGCCCCACTTGCTTTTTGAATTTTTAACTATTTCTATTATCTTTTACTTCTGACCTTAAATATTGGCATTCCGCTTAGGATCCCTGTTTCTTTGCAAACTTCATGCCTACGGGATAAAATACAAATGTTACAGGAGTATCCAGTGAACTTCCAGGCTCCATTTTCTTCTCTTTTTCATTAAGTAACTTTCATTATTGTTATTTTTTGTTACTACCAATGTTATCCATGTTTGTTTTAGAAAATATAGGCACTACTGACAAACAAAAAGCAGAAAAATTAATGTTGCCTATTTTCCTCCCACTCAGAAGTGCTGTTAGTATTTGTATATGTACCAATGCATATGAATGCATGTATCAGTGAGAATTTATATGGATATTATTTTTCCTCATAAAAATAAAATCTACTGTTTGGGAATCTACCTTCCCATACTTAATTTTGTACAGAGGTATTATAAATATGCCCCCATATTGTAAAATATCCTATACTGGGTTTTTTTTTCAGCTGCTGAATATTTCATTACAGAGGTGTTTCATACTTTAATTATCGTTGGGCATTTCAGCTCTTTCTGATTCCCACAAACTTTATAAAACTCTTGTAGTTATGCACATAGCCATGACTATTTCTTTATACATTTGTAGGGGGGGATCGCTGGTTCAAAGTGCACACAGAACGTTAAGACACCTATCCCCTACCTTATCTCCTCTCCTAAACCTTCTTTGCCCTAGCCTAACTAGTCTAACTGCCTGGTTTTCTTTCTCTTTAACCACATGTACTCAGTCCCCTGCCTTCCAAACTCTCCAGTGTGTTTTAAGTGGCTCATGCCTCTCTACTCGTGGAATAGCCTTTCTAGGAGTCCTACCTGTGGGAATTCTGCCTTTCGTTTAAGACTTGTTTAAGCCTCTGAAGCCCTTCTCAGCCTTCCAGCTCAGAGGAATTGCCCTGCTTTATTGAGCTCTTATCTTATCACATTTAGTGTCTCTACCACCTTATTGATCACCTTACTCTATACCTACCAATATAATGCAGTATCTTTTTTCATGTGTTTATCTTATCTTCCCAAAAAGTCTTAACTCTATAGTGTTAGCACTCAGACATCAAAGCTATACCTAGTAGGTTAAGTAAACATGCGGCTTTTATGATCAGACTTTCCTGAAATCTCTGGAGTTCTCTGTTCTTAGTCTACTTGAGACACCTATGTGCATTTGAAGGTTGATTTGAGTTCTTTTAGAGCACTTCCTAAGACACTCTCTAGTGGAGAGGCTGTTTCATTGGTACCCTGTAGAAGCAGCAGCTACTTGGGGTATTAGTTTGCTAACTATTCTTGGTCTAATTAGTAGTCATCTATTCATCACTCATTCTAGAAAACACATTGAGAGATCACGTGAACATGCTTGAAGCTATCCTGCTAGCCTGAGGATTGTAGGTGGTGTTATAGGTGTGTGTGTGTGTGTGTGTGTGTGTGGACATTTTACATCTTAATAGTGGTACATATTAATGCCTTTCTCAAGGGAATCTTCTTCGTGTTTCAGGGTCATAGTAGTGACAAAAATATGCAGGGAATAAATCCAGATTGGACTTGTTCCACCTTACCTTTTTTTTTATTATTATCGGCTTGTTTGTAATCTTTTTTTAAGATGACAGGTTATTAAGAAGATGATTGTAGCACGACATCTAGTGCTGCTTATTCTAGGCAATCACACCGTTTTAATCTTCGCCTCCCTTAAAATGGTTGCTTGCTAATTATGGTGGAAGATATTCTCCATCTTCCAACTACTCATTCTACAACTTTTGTTCACAAAGAAAGTATTCTGTTAGGCCTTACAAAAACAATGCTTCATGCCTGGCCTATTCTCTCAATAGGAAATAAAACATTGTTTTCATAGCAGAGCTGATAATAAGGCAGAGTTCAAAGCATGATGAAACATATACTTTTCTAGCAGAGAAAAACCTATAGTTACCTGGCTAATTAACTATCACGTGATGGCTGTGTGTATAAAGATACAGGCTTTTCACATGTGCGGCCTGTATCTGGGTTTCTTTTCTTTTTTTTTTAATTGAGAATGCTCATTTAGTTCCCATTGATTTGTATTAATGTTTTCCATCAAAGATTTAGAAGAATGAGCAAACACAGAAGCTGCCATTTTAGGGTAGCTTCTTTTTGACCACTGTACTAAACCTCAGTAGTCAGTTATGTTGTAGCGGAAAGAGCATGAACTTTACAAAGTAAGATGGACCTGGATTGAAGTCCTTGCTCCATAAACTGTATGGCCTTAAAAGCTTTCACTCTGCTTTGATTGCTTATCTATAAATCAGCGTTAACAATACCCATCTCACAGTTTTGTCTCCCAGGACTTGGGAAGATTACGTTAGATCATCTATAGGGGTACCCAACACACAGTGGGAGCACTTGGTCAACAATATTAGTTTCCTTTCCCCTTTCCTTTAGAAAGGTAAACCCTTACTCAAGAAAGCAAAGTGAGTAGATGCAACATAAAAAGAATACCAAGACAGAGATTACAGTAGTATGTTATTTCATTTTATTTAATTCACAAACACTTGAGTTATCTATTATAAGACATTGAAATTGATTGAGGGTTAAGTGAGCCATGATCCCAGTTCTGTAGGAATTTTGAAGTTTTTAATGTGATTTTTAAAAAATATAAATTTCAGCCGGGCACGGTGGCTCATGCCTGTAATCCCAGCAATTTGGAAGGCTGAGGTGGTGGATCACCTGAGGTTGGGAGTTCTAGACCAGCCTGACCAACATGGAGAAACCCCGTATCCACTAAAAATACAAAATTAGCCAGGCATGGTGGCGCGTGCCTGTAATCCCAGCTACTCGGGAGGCTGAGGCAGGAGAATCACTTGAACCTGGGGGGTGGGGGTTGCAGTGAGCCAAGATTGCGCCATTGCACTCTAGCCTGGGCAACAAGAGGGAAACTGCATCTCAAAAAATAAATAAATAAATAAATAAAAATAAAATAAAATTATATATATAAATTTCGATGCTAAAATTTACCTGTGTGTATTGTCCTACAGACCTGCTTTTTACTTCCTCTGATCACTCTTAGATCATGATTAACAGCTGATGCTAGTTGGCTAGAAAATTTCGTGCCAGGAATTCAGAATGTACTCTGGATGATCACATGTAAAACATGTGTATTGCTGAGCTCCTCTGATGTTTCTCTGGCTGTGAACTGGTGTTCTTGTGGTTTATTGGATGTGCATGAGTAGGTGTGTGAATACGCTTGTGTGTTTGTGAAATCATCCCAACTGGAAATCTCTTTTGTCCTTGTGGTATCTATTTATTCCATAAGAAAGCAAACTATGGGCCATGAGCAGTGGCCTGTAATCCCAGCACTTCAAGGCAGGTGGATCACCTGAGGTCAGGAGTTGGAGACCAGCCTGACCAACATGGAGAAAACCCATCTCTACTAAATATATAAAATTAGCTTGGCATGGTGGTGCATGCCTGTAATCCCAGCTACTTGGGAGGCTGAGGCAGGAGAATCGCTTGAACCTGGGAGGCGGAGGTCATGGTGAGCCAAGATCGCGCCATTGCACTCCAGCCTGGGCAACAAGAGCGAAACTCCATCTCAAAAAAAAAAAAAGCAATCTATGATGTGCCATGGTTTTGTGTGTGTTATTTTCTCTTGGAGGTTATGAGTAAGAATTTTCAAGTTTAGAATAGCCTAAAGGATGCTGTAGTAGCAACATTTCTAAAACCTCAATAGCTGAACACAACAAAGACTGACTTCTTGTTTATATACTGTTCAGTGTGGGGTACATAGGACTCTAAGAGCAGTTTTCCCCTCTACAGTGGCCCTGCTTTGGACCTCCATACCAACACATGCTTCTATGCTCACGCAGAAAGGGAAAAAACAGGCACAAGTGGAGTACTGGCAATTAAGTGTTTATTAATACATACATTAATAACATGCAGTAACATGCATCACTTCTCACATTTCATTAATCAATGAAGTGATTAATTTCATGACCATGTCTTGACTTAAAGGAGGTGGGGATGGATATATGATCTTATAGCATTCTTAGAAGGAGAGGGGAATTGAATGTGAACATTAGTGATATTTCACACATGCATTTAGGATAATGATGTATATCATAGGATAATAAAATCTCAGGGATGAAAGGAACTACAGATAATCTAGTTACAAGATTTTAGTAATGTCATCTTTACTATACTTACTATCTCTTCAATGCCCTTTGCAGAAATCTTTTTTTGTTTTGTTGTTGTTTTTTGAGACAAGCTGTCACTCTGTCACCCAGGCTGGAGTGCAGTGGCCCAATCTCAGCTCACTGCAACCTCCGGCTCCTGGGTTCAAGTGATTCTCCTGCCTCAGCCTCTTGAGTAGCTGGGATTACAAGCACCTGCCACCACGCCCAGCTAGTTTTTGTATTTTTAGTAGAGACGGGGTTTCGTCATGCTGGCCAGGCTGGTCTCGAACTCCTGAGCTCAAGTGATCCACCCGCCTCAGCCTCCCAAAGTGCTGGGATTATAGGCCTGAGCCACTGCACCAGGCCCAGAAATCTTGATTAGTTGACTTTTTAATATTTTCAATGAGTGGGAATTTTTATTACTTTGTGAGATAGTCCCATTACATCTTTTATCCATCTCTTTGTTAGACATTCTTACTTCTGAAAAATAAATTTGACTATATGGTTTATAACAGGGGTCCCCAATCCCCGGGCTGTGGACTGGTACTAGCCCCTGGCCTGTTAGAAACTGGGCCGCACAGCAGAAAGTGAGTAGCCTGCCTGAACATTACTGCCTGAGCTTCACCTCCCATCAAATCAGTAGTGGCATTAGATTATCATAGGAGCACAAACCCTATTGTGAACTGTGCATGCACGTGATCTAGGTTGTGTACTCCTTGTGAGAATGTAACTAATGCCTGATGATCTGAGGTGGAACAGTTTCATCCTGAAACCATCCCACACAGTCCATGGAAAAACTGCCTTCGCCAAAACTGGTCCCTAGTGCCAAAAAGTTTGGGGACCACTGGTTTATAGCATAAACAATTGTATTAACTGTATACTGTTGTTTCCAGTTCTATTCTTATAACAACATGGCACAAATCACATTTTTCTTTTTCTTGATAGCATTTCAAATATTTTCATTTCAGTTTCCAGGCCTCCTCAGCACTCTCTGTCCCCACTCCCAATTTTCCCTTCTCCAGGTCAAACACTAATAACCTCAATCTCACATTCCTTATACAGTGTGATTTCTAGTTCCTTCACCTTTCTGGTGGCCCTTATCTAAAGAAATCTAAGTTGTCCCTATCACTCTCAAACTGTAACTACATTTGTCTGTATTTAAAGAAAAGGTGACATCTCAATCTTTCTCTCCTTAATTTTACTTTTTATATAACACACATAAAAATGTAAGTAAAAAATCCTTCTTCACCTCCTTTCCAGTCCTACTCCTCCTCCCAGAAATAATAAATTGCTAACAATTTGCGGGTATTCCTCCAGTTATCTGTGTGTGTTTGTGTGTAAATTGGTTTTTGTTTTTTTGAAATAGGATCTCACTCTGTTGGGATCATGGCTCATTGCAGCCTCAACCGCTTCCAGGCTCAAGTGATCCTCCCACCTCAGCCTTTTAAATTGTTTTTCTGAAAAGACAGGAACTTACTATGTGCATTTTAGTGTTTAACAGTAGTGCAGAGCTCTGCTGTCCAGTATGATAGCTACTAGCCACAAATAGCTATTGGGCATCTGAAATGTGGCTACTACAGTTGACAATTTGGGTTTTATATTTAATTTTAACTAATTTCAGTTTAAAATAAAAAACTGAAGCAGTATAAATTTTTTTTTGTTAAACATAACTTTATTGTCTTGTTTTTTTGTTGTTGTTGTTGAGACGGAGTTTCTCTCTGTCGCCCAGGCTGGAGTGCAGTGGTGCGATCTCGGCTCACTGCAACCTCCGCCTCCCAGGTTCAAACAATTCTCCTGCCTCAGCCTATTGAGTAGCTGAGACTACAGGTGCAAACCACTATGCCTGGCTGATTTTTGTATATTTAGTAGAGACAGGGTTTCACCATTTTGGCCAGGCTGGTCTCGAACTCGTGGCCTCAGGTGATCCACCTGCCTTAGCCTCCCACATTGCTGGGATTACAGGCGCAAGCCACTGCGCCCGGCCTGTCTTGGCATTTTAACTGTCATATATTTAGCATGCAGACTGGATGTACTGGAAGTGCAAAATACACTGGATTTAAAAAACTTAGTATGAAAAAGAATATATATCTCTCTAATGATTTTTATATAGATGGCATGTTGAAATAATATTTTTGATATGTTGGATTAAATAAAATATATTATTGTAATTTGACCTTTTAAGAAATTTTAATGAAAATTTAAAATAATGTATGTGTCTCACTTTATATTTATATTGGACAGTGCTGATCTAGAGAGATTTGGACAAATGCAGTGTTTAGCCCAATCTGTTATTTTGAAGTAGAATCACCATTTCATGCTTCATAAGGCCAGGGCACTATATTTGCTGTAGAAAGAATATGAAGACGAAAGGGACCCAGTCACTGCCCTCAACTACGGCCTTCATTTTGAGGTTGTCCACCTGGTTGGTTGGTGGGTTTCCTCTTTTAGATTGGAGGGTTTCTGGTTTTCATGCATGTGTAGGAAGGAAGGAACTCACAGGTAGCAGGGCAAACAGCTACAACTATGTTATAAGGTAGAGTCTAGCCAGTGCATGGATGAAGGCGTAAGCAGTGTTCCAGGAGCTTGGATGAAGGTTGCATGAGTACGTCTTGCCTGTGAACAACATTGTAAAAACTTAAAAGAGTAGGCATTGTGACCTCTTTTTCTTTCTTTCTTTCTTTTTGAGACGGATTCTTGTGGATTGGTGTGATCTCAGCCCACTGCAACCTCCGCCTCCCAGGTTCAAGCAATTTTTATCCTCAGCCTCGCAAATAGCTGTGATTACAGGTGCCCGCCACCGCGCCCGGCTAATTTTTGTATTTTTAGTAGAGACGGGTTTCACCATCTTGGCCAGGCTGGTCTAGATCTCCTGACCTTGTGATCCACCTGCCTCAGCCTTCCAAAGTGCTGGGATTAGAGGTGTGAGCCGCCGCGCCCGGCCGTGACCTCTTTTTCATTGGTAGTAGTCTCATACACATGATTGTTGAATGAATGAGGAGACTCCCATCCCATGTACTACTCTTCCTATTCTACCAGGATATTACTAGAAATAAAGAATCTTGTGGTCAGCTCTGACTTAGATTTTCTTTTTGAAAGGCCTAGTCATCCCACTAGGAACTTATACTTAGTTCAAACCCAGCTTTCCAAATAGAAACCCTGTGCTTGATGTTAAATACTGACCTTTTTGTTGTCTCCGATAAGTGCATAGTGGTTCATTTTGAGGTTGTCTGGTTAACAGAAGAAATATGTATATTGTATATTCCTTGTCAAAATTCCTAATATTCCACCAAAGCTCTAGCACTTCCATCCAGAAAGTGTTCTGAGGAGTTGAAGGCTCTTTCTTATTTTGATTTATTCAGTTTCATTTGCTTCATAATTATGAAGACTGTCCAGGCCTACAAATGGCTGCATTGGCAATGAAAGGCTGTCAGTTGAAGCTCAGAATGTTAATAATTTATCCTCTCATTCACTATCCATGATTCATCACTGCAATATTTTCATATTATATTCTTAGGGTACAACCTACAAGCTAGGGGAAAACATTAGCAATTTTAGATTGCAAATGATAGAACCTTTCCATGAAAATGTCAACTTTTTGCCTAGTTATATTCATGGTTGCAAATGGGGCTAGTGTGGTTAATCAAATTGTTTCATATAAAACAATTTCTCCTGAAGGCAATGTTAGTGGTGGATTTCACAAAATCACAGAATTCACCTTGGGAGAACTTTGTGGCTGAATAAAACTTCTGTCACATCTCTGTCTGGGGAGTGAAGGTAGGGCAATTTTATCTAGAATCTGTACTACACCTAATAGGTTCAGTGTTTGGCAGGAGATATACTGATAATCATTATTCCCCCACCCCACCTTCAAAAAAACCTATAAATTGGGCTACATGTCAAGTGCCTAAATGTTCTGCTGGGAAATAACCTGAGTAATAGGATCTTAATTAAGAACTGATGGATAATTTTTGTGGAGATGCTACCCCCTGCCAAAATCTGCATGCAGAATTTTATATGTAAACACACATTTTCTTGGGAGACCATTCATAGCATTCATCTGATTCTGAAAGGTATTGATGATGATTTTAAAGGTTATGATATACCCTTTTAAATGCCCAATTACCAGTTACTGTTCTCCCCAAGAAGCCACTCAGGCATCTCAGCTAAGTTTTATTTACTGTATTTTCCTAATAGTTCATGCACGTGTGATAGGGAGGACAGGTGGTTGGTCACCTAGTCTAGTGGGGCTATAACTTGGGAGGGCAGCATGGATGACTTTGAGAATCCAAAGAACCCTATGGACTGTCTACCCAGAAAACGTTTACATCCACAAAATTTGAATGACATTTGAGGACACTCATGAACAGCCCCCTCCTGAAGTTGGTCCATGAACTCCTTGTTAAGGACTGCTGGATGATTTCCTTTAAGAACACAGAACCATTATGCTGTGAAGAAGGAAAACAAGGATGATGTGTGTCTACCCGCTTGGTTGGTGGGTTTCCTCTTTCAGATTGGAGGGTTTCTTTTTTCATGAATGTGTAGGAAGGAAGGGCATGACTGTCTTATTTCATATATTTTTCTTTTATATTTTCAAATTATAAATTTTGACAACAGGAGACAATAGGTAATATTCATTCTCTACTGTCTGGACAGCATGGAAATACTACGTACAGTAATGTCTTCAGTAGTTACTTTCTCTTTAGAAAGCTCCAAGGAAGCTCACAACAGTAGGAAGTCCTACTGAAACTCCTTTTGGTAAAGTGGAGCACGTTTTGTAATGGAAACACATTTTCTATGGCTTAATTTTTATATATAGGGTTTTCATAAAATGAGACTTGCCTAAGGATTCTTTTGGAAGCCTTTTGCCTCTTTTAACAGCAATGTGTTTATTATAGGAATCAGTCTCCTGCTCACTTATAAAATATTCTAAATATTCACTTATAAATATTCTAAATATTTATAAGATTATGAGTTTTGTCTTTTAAGTAGGGAGTTCTGCATATTGTTTTTGGCCAAAATGTAGCCTGCCTCCTTGAGCATGAGTTGAAGCCCAAGATGAGAAGCCCTTTTTTTTCCCCTCTGACCAAGATCTCATCTGCCATTTACTAGATTAGGCTACTTGAAGGGAAGGAAATGAGGGCCCCCTTCTTTTAATCCAGGACATTGTTAGGTATATCATAGGTGCTCCGTAGGTATGTTGGATGAATGGATGGATGATTAGACCTTAAATCTTGTACTTGGCAGCAACATAATGTAGTGGTAAGGGACTAAAAGTCTGGCAGACATAGACTAGCACTCTGGATCCCCAATCTCTAGCTTTATGCCCTTCGGCAAGTTGTAGAGTATCAGTTTTCTCATCTGTAAAATGGGTATAATAAATCTATCTGATAGGGATACTGTAGGATTTAATAACATATAGAATCCCAGGTGCTTATGGACATTTTTCTGGTGCCATAAAGCACTTGATACATGGTAGCATTATTAAACTCTTAAGCCTTAAATCAGGATATCCTAGACTTTAGTCATTTATAAAGCAACTTTATAGTTCTTGCCATACCAATAACACTGTTTTATTATTTACTTAATTTTTCTTTAAATTAATTGCTTTTTAATTTAAAGAACTTTAAGTAGGAAATTTTATATCATCACTGTAAATGGAAAACCTGTATCACTTGCTATAATTAATGGTGAAGGTAAATATATAATCCTTAAAATAAAAAATATGTTTATCCATGTACCACCTAACATTGACTTGGGTACCGCTAGTGTATACCACAGTTAAGTCATTTCCTTTGAGGCTTTTCTCTTGGGCAACAGCCTAACCTAGGTTATCGATAGCTTTGAGACCTTCTGAGACCATGCAAGCCTCGTGTCAACAACAAGCTAGAAAGGGTTGGAACCGGTTGCGCTGAATTAATCTATAGGCTCAGAAGTGTAACTGCCACACAGATGTGAAGTCTGAAAATAACCCACCGTGCACCTGCCCTTTTCGCGTGTCAGTTACAGTGTTAACTGAGCACCAGAGGATGAAATGCTGTAGGAACAGTAAAGGCATGAATCTTACCTTCCAGATGCTCAGACTCTTATCAGTGGTTTGATACCTAGCCCCTTGATTGGGCTTGGGGACCTCAGTGTCTCAATTCTGGGCAATTTCTTTCTTTCTTTCTTTCTTTTTTTTCTGAGATGGAGTTTCACTCTTGTTGCTCAAGCTGGAGTGCAATGGTGCAATCTCGGCTCACTGCAACCTCTGCCTCCCCGGTTCAAGTGATTCTCCTGCCTCAGCCTCCCAAGTAGCTGGGATTACAGGCACTCACCACCACACCTGAATAATTTTTTGTATTTTTAGTAGAAACAGGGTTTCACCGTGTTAGCCAGGCTGGTGTCAAACTCCTGACCTCAGGTGATCCGCCAGCCTAGGCCTCCCAAAGTGCTGGGATTACAGGCGTGAGCCATCGCACCCGGCCTTCTCGGCAATTTCTGAATACAGATCTTAGCAGGGTGAGGGAAACGGTAATTGTTATTACTACCAACTGGCCCCAAACAGTTATTGCATAACGTTGCACAACTGAGTCCTGGGTAAAATGAGCTTCTTCAGAAATTGCCTCGCCAAAGGTGATTTGCCAAGGTTGAATCCTTCGGATTGTCTGCATTGGAACAACCCCCTTGCCCAAGCACTGAGCTTAAGCTAGATAAAAGGAAATAAACACTGCTTTAAAAGGGAGTGCACTTTAGCAGCACACAAAAAACAAAGGTGAAGGCTCACATCTGTGTTGCATTGCATAATTGATAAAAGCTGAAGCACCATTAGAAACAGCCTCATCATCCATACTCCTCTCCTAATCATTTAAATATGTACAGCATGTTTTAGGATGCTTGTTAATGACTCTACGGGCACGTTGGTAGTCAGAACATTACATGTGGGTTTGAGAAATAGGCCTGGATCATTTGCCAGACAATCTAATTCTGACAGTGTAGTGAAGGCCATCTTCAATTTGACTGTGCTCCACTCTGTTATGCTGTGAAAGAAAAAGATAATTCAGCTGAGCATTCTGCCGTTGGCTAGAAACACCGCAGTTCTGAATACAAATATTATGCAGGTAAATGAATCATTAAAAGAATAGAGGCATAAAATATCTGACAGATGAACTCCTAAAGTTTGGACTAGAATAAATTTTCCCATATATGAGCAGTACCTTCATCCATCGACTAACAGTGTTAGTTATCCGTTAAGTCACCAAAAAGCATTTATGGTCTTAGAGTAAATGATTGGTAATTATGACTTACAAGGCTATAAATACATGGAGGGGATTTGGTGATATCATAATAAACCACGAAAGAAACTGCAGTGGTTTTTAATGTTAGTAGAAACTTAAGAAATATTTAGAGCCGTGTTCGCAGCCCTACAGTTGTTTTTTTTCTTTTTTCTGGGAGTGTGTGATTGGTGTTTTGTCAAAATGTGCAACTCTACCAATGGACTCAACTCAACTAATGTAAATTAGGGCCAATGAGAGTGTCCGACTGAGATTAGTCCTCAATTTGTATGACATGTGTCTCAACAAATAGAAAATATTCTTAAAGAAAAATAAGATATTCCCGCATGTCTCTCTTTTTTAGTTCCCTAATTTCTGATTCCTTTCTTCTGAATGAGTTTTCTGTAAGTTAAAAAAGACAACAGTGAAAGGCCCTGTTCCTCTCAGCTTCTTAACCCCAGTTTGCCTGGTTTATCTCCTGTTTTAGATTCTAAAAAGGAAAACATTAATCATGCTTAGCCCTGGACTTTGTTTCCCTACCTGTTACCTCCTGGTCTAATGGCAGAGATACTGAAAGGGGCACAGACCCACACCAGCCAACTGACCTAGCTCATAGCCACAGGAAGAGCGGCATGTCCCTGGGGCAGTGAGAGCGAGACTGCACCCAGAACCACTGTCTCATGACACCACCCCACATCTCAATTGAAGATCCAGATGGACAGCTGACCTATATGTCTCTCCCTGACTGGACCAGCTCGGCAGAGCATCCTAGATTTGAGTAAAGAGCAACACAATTCTTTGTAAAGCCATTGGCCCCACAGAAAGCTCCATGGAAAATGATACATGAGGGTGTTAGTGGGAGGTTGAGAACTGCTTGGTGCATTCTTGATTTCTGTGCCTGTGTCCTGATTTCAGGAGACTTCGGTCATCTTTGATTACTGTCATTACTCTAGCCCCTTCTGTGTGCAGTTACTATAGTTGTACCTAGTGTGTTCAAGGCACCGGGGAAGAAATGACCTGTGCCCCCAGTGTACCTACAGCCTTGGCATCATTAGCAACTCTCAGTTAAAGGAGCTTAACACAGAGACAGATGTGCCTGGTGTGAAAAACATTGCCAGGATCTGCCCCAGAGTGATTTTATTTTTGCAGGTTTCTGTGGTCCTCAAATCCCTTTTAGATTTGCACCTTTCTTGATTTTGAAGTCTGGGGTCAAATATAGAGATCAACTTGCTGGATAATCAGATGTAGTGGGGAGAGAATCAACACATTAGCAACTGTAGGGAATAGGCAGGCATCAGTCTAAATGGACACAAACCTCAGGGCCACGATAGCAGCCAGGGACCTCTTGTGTGTGTCAGGAGTTAACCCTTCAGTGTCTGGACTATAGGGTGTCCAGGAACTCCCAAGGGAAGACCAGAGATAGGGAGGAAGAGTCAGGGAGCACTAGGGAGAGGAGATGGGGCAGCAGCTATTTATTAACCTGCAGGGACGTCTCTCAGTATTTTAAACTGATGAGGCCATTCTAGTGCGTTCTAGCCCTTGCTGCAGTCCTGGTGTCAGTGTGTTAACCCAGGGGCAGGAATCTGTCTAGTTTCTGTTTGTAGCTTACTGAAATCCCACCCTATAATGCTTAACTGAATAGTGCTCTTCAAAATGCACCAACTAAAAATAGTTTCATCTGCAGTGTGAACATAGTTTCATATTTATACTAGCATCTGGCCTAAGGAATTGAATACTCCATTCTTTAAATAGCTTCACTCCAGCTCTGGAATACTCTGAGAAGAAAATCTCCCCCAATCAAACACCTTGTTTACATAGGCATGCTTAAATGCAAACAAGCTCCCTTTTTAAAATGCAGAAGAATATTAATTTGTGAGGCAATGGTGCTTTGGGGTAGTTTTTTGGTGAGTGAAAGTAAAGGGGTTAAGTAGAGAATGAATTTTTTAAATGTCTACTTAGTAAAAGATTTCTGAGATGCCTATTATGTTTTAAATTTTTCATTTTCCTAAATTTGATTCAAGAACACATTAATTGTACGTGTGAATTCGGAATTCCTTCTTTACCATCACATGTGAAGCCAGTTAGAATGAAGTTCTTGGGAAGAAAAATTTATGCTGCCGCTAATGCCCAACAATAATAGAAATATAAGCCTAGATATACTTTAACTTTTTCTACCAGCAAATGCTTTGGGGCCGGAAATCATTTGCCAGCATGCAATGAATGTACTTTTGTTAGTCTTAGGGGGATACTAATGGTTAGTCCCCATGAAGAAAAATGTGAAAATAACACACAAAAAGGTAAACATTGCGAATGGATGGCTAATGATTAGCTGTTACAGTCCAAAGGGGCAGGGTATTTTTTTTATAGTTTTATGACCCTTGGCCCAGCCTTTATTGAAAGAACATTGTATGTTCAGAGTTATATATTTCAAACGTACATCTCCTTTGAATATCCCTCTTTAAAGATAATAGGAAATTTTTCCATGTTCATTTTTATTTGTAGAGAGAGGAGGATTTTAAATGTATACTAGTTTTAACTCTGTATTAAAGAGGAGGAACGGTTATTTTTAAACATCCCATTCATGAACCCACAGAGTAAGATATAATAATATACCTTTACCCTCCACCCACCCCAGCCATCCTGAAAATGAGTGAATGTAGGGCAGTATGATTACTCTGTCATGTAGATGAGTTAGTATTCGGTACATTACTACCACAGTATAGTTATGATATGTCCCTCTCTGAAGTGAATGGTTTTTGTGCATATACGTCAATTCAGAAAAAAAATTTTTTTCTATTTAAAATAAAAATGGCTTTTTTGAGTTCCCAAGGGTTCTATTTTTACAACTTGCAAGAACTACTTTAGTAAATAAAAGAATGTCAGTAGAACACTGGCCACTAAAATGTTAACATATGGGTATATTTGAGGAGTAGTAACATAAAGGCAACTTTTCAGTCATTGATGTTAAAATTAGATTTGAGGCCATAATCTCAAAGAGGTAGGCCAGGGGTTGTTTTTCATGGTCTACGAAAATAAATGCTTTGGTTGAACTAAAGTTATGTGCATTATCTGGGAAACAATGAAATGTCTTAATTTAGACATCACTTTCATTTTTCACCAGTGGGACTTTTCTAGATGAAAATCTAATCCTGTTCTAAATCATCCTTTTAAAATGTTTTTCCCCATTACAAATGTAATATGTTTGTGTTGCAGAAAGTAAAGATATGCAAAAAGAAGAGATAAAAATCAGCCATAGTCCCACTATGCAGAGGCTTACCACTGTTAATGGTTTAATTCCAATTTACTATATTTTCTTTTTACTAAGATGTCACTGGTTGTATACAATGCGTCATTGATTTCACAACAGCTTTTGGGGAACAGGAAACCATTTCATCCTAAATATATGCATGATTTTAAGATATATACTGATTTCAGAAAGTTAAAAAGTGGTGAGGAGAGGCAGGGAGCACGTTTTAAAATTAGTTTTTAAAAGCCAGCTCTGGCCCTCCTCCCCCAAGAAGTCATCTTTCTCCCTGTGTTTCCAGCTCACAGTGAATGCTCTCCCTAGTCCAAGACTCCTAGAATTGTAAGGAATTGCAAAAATTCAATCTAATTTTATTTGCATCCATCACAGTAATTTTCCCATCGTTCTCTCAGTGATATTGAGATTACTTGCCTTACACAACTGTAGATTTTTTTTTTCACATGCTCTGAATTTTAGAAAATTCTTTGTTTTTACATGGACCAAATACCCTGGCTTTACCACATTTTCCCGTTGAGACTAGTTCCCTTAAGGCACCCCATAAGATGAGGGTATAAACTCTTATCCCACATGAAAGTCCTTCAGATACTTTAAAAGCAGTAATCTGTTGCTTTCAAGAGCTCCTGAAATCTTCCTGGTTCTTCTGACATCTCCTAATTTCTAGGTGAAACATCCCTGGTGCTTTCAACCTGGAGTATTCCTTAAAGTGCACCTTTGTCATGTGCTTCAGTTAATCAATGCCCATTTAAAAATACTGCCTGCAGACCATATATGTTGTGTAACCAATGTGGCATATTATAAGATCTATAACATTTTTTATCCTGGACCTATATTTCCATGAATTCTGCCCGCATTTTATTATTTCTCACTAGCAGTACTCTGTATATTGGCTCGTATAGAAATAATGGTTAGCTCAGAAAACCGGGCCTTTTTTTCCCCCAGAACGTATGTAAGATTGCATTTTCCGTTACTAGATTTAGCATTAATACTATCTTTAGGCCATTTTTTAGCCCTTTAAGAGCATTTTGCTCTTCACTCACATACATTTGGATTATATCTTCCAATGGTGTCATCTGCAAGTTTGAGAAGGCTTCTATAACTTTACTCAAGCAGCTGATTAAAACAAGCAAACACCAAACAAATATGAACCACTCTTATTTGGATGTTACCATATTTCTACTTTAAGATATATCTTCCTAACTTGACTCCAACCTAGTGTCTTACAGGAAGAAGCTTATCTTACCGGTCAATATTTGTATTATCCAGAGCTCTTAGTTCAAAGTAAATTTTTAATTGATCCATTGGCCGTTAGTGAATCATATATCTACCTTACTTATCTTCAGCCACCACCACAATTCTTTGTGTGTGAACACAGGGGAAATATGTGGTATGAGACAACACATCGAACCTGGCTGGCGATGGTTTGTTCACACAGTGTCATGCACCCTACAGCAAAAAAGTTCTTTTCTTGCATCCATATGCTTTGTTGTAGAATGACAAGTGGAGCTGGTTGATGGCTAAATGTGCATCTTTCAGCTAGATGATTTGTACTGTGTAGACAAACTGCCCAAACATTCAATTTTTCCCTTTCCAAGCAGATGTTTTGCTAGAATGTAGACACAGCCTCCAAAAATACCTTTCTGGCCTGTGAATGTTAATGTCTCTCTTATGTGTGTGCCATTTACAACAGAAAATATAATGCTGGCATTTTATTTCAACAGAATGTTGGAAGTACAGATCGATGTTGTAAAGGTAAGTTGTCCAGGCCCATGGAACAGTTCATATAACCTTTTGGTTTGGAAATGCTTGTCGCATTCTTGTAGATAACCATCTATTTGTACATTCTTATTTTTCTTGGTTTATTCAGTAAACACGTAAGGGCCTATTATGCCCAGGCTCCATTAAGCCTTGGATTTTTAGAAAAATTATTGAAAATGCGCATTTTCTTATTGTACGGCAAGTGGGTGGGGGTGGCTCATTTCATGAAAATTACCTAAGTAAGAATTTATAGGTCTATAAACACACCTAATCTAGTGTGCCACAATAATAATACATTTAACATGGCAAGTCAGCACACACACACATATTTATACACACACACACACACACACACACACAAACACAGTTTCACCAGGCAGTACTTACCCCTTACCGACAATGCCCTCTGACATTTTCTTTTCTATTATATCCTATTTCATTTTTTTAAAAACCCACCCGATTGGTTTTATAATCCTATTAATGGGCTACAAACCTACAGTTTAGAAAATACTAACATACACATAATCGTTTTTGCCTGATGTCTCTTTCTGGTTAAGCACACTATTTCCAAACTTAACTAAGTGTTTATGGATCCAAATTCGGCTAATTGATACTTAGGTTCTTCCAACCCTGTAACAATCCCTGCAGAATTTGCATTTCTTTTCCAAAGTCTAAAAATGAACCCTTTCAAGGTATCCTATTTCTAAGGCACCATTACTGGTACAGTTCCGTGCTCTTTTTGGTAATCTAATATATTGTCATATGTTACTAAACTACCCATGTCTAAAACAGAAGAACCCCACAGCACAAGTCCATTTATGATACAGTGCCCTTGATTTTTCAAAATATGTGGATAGGTTTGCTGTTCTTCTCATATACAGTGTGTTTTAGGAATCCATCTTTTAGGCATTGTCTGAATCAGCGTATTACTCCTTGATAGAGAAAGAGTGATAATTCCTGCTTTTTGCCCAGGACCTAAGAGAAACTGCTTTCAACAATCCCAAAGACAAAGAAAAGCTTCTATTTATAGGCTCCATATGGTTTCTAAAGTTTTAACCAAAGTGAATAGAACAATAATAAATTGCTTTCACATTTCTGCCCATAGAATTGTTTATTTAGCATTTTCTGTAAAACAAGAGGCCTTCCATCCACATGAAAAGACTGTATTTTGATTGCCTGGGAGATTCAAAATGATTTCTAATCTTGCCACAACTGTCTTCTGCTGTATAAATGAAATGTTTCATTTTCAAAGAGACTGTCAGGATATTCTGAAAAGAGTTCCTTAGCTGCTCTGCAATACCCTCCCCCCCAAATAAAGTGCTTTGTTTTGTATTTTCCAAGAGAACAATGGCATTACTTCTCATATTGGAAGATACGATTTTCAGCAAGTCCTAAAATGCTTATTTGCTAGCAGTTTGTTTCATCAGGTTCCTCATAGGAATATCTTATTTAATTCACTTACAACCAAAAATTCCCAGTTTTGTGAGGTGGTCAAACAGGATAGTAGCCTTCTGCATATGGAAAAGGAATTGAACCTATAATATGCATTATGCACACTGTTATCCTTTTTTTTTTCAGAGTCATGGTAATAAGTGTCTACAACAAAATTCCCTTCCTTCATTGAAATAGACAGGTCTTTGCTCGACAGCTGGACAGACCATACCAGCCATACCAAGGGACCTGGCATTTTGTGAAGGTGCTGAGGAGGACTGAGTTGAGTTTACCAAATCAGCCTTCTTGACCCTTCGGCTTAGCATTTTCAAGTCATTGACATTCTCTTATACCTGTGCCGCTGATCTCTAGACCTGCCATGAGTGTGAAAGAGGCTTCGTTTTTTAGTGACACTTTACCCAACCAATTTTCACTCAAGAATCTTCATATTCTATTGTCTCACAATCAGAATAAATTGGCATTTTCCTCACTCAGTCTACTAGGTGCTTTAATTGTGTTTAGAAATAGCCTTTTGATTCTTTTGGATTTGTTTTTTGCCCTAAGAGTCTTGATTTCCGTACTAAATTACCTGACAAAACTCACTCTCTCCAACATCAATTAAAGGGATTTAAAAAATATAATTACACTTAAAACACTAGAAAGAGTCAAGTTTTTAGCATATGTTATGGCTTGCCAGTACGAGAAAAGTGACTTAACATCCAAATAAAGAAAAATAGTTAGCCAATCCATTCATTATGTTGATATGATCAGGTCTCCAAGATGCATTTAATCAATATATTCTGCCTTGATTAGCCATATTGAAATACTTGAAAACATAACCTACAATATGAAAATCAGACATACTTATAAATGCCAATAGCTTTTATTTAGAGTCAACAAGTGATGAAAAAGCTCTTACTTAAATAAATTGACTTTGAGAACAAGAATGCGAACAGAAACATAATTCGTTCATTGTATAATTGTTTTTCCCTGCTGTGGACATTAGCCTTTGGCATATGGTCTTTGACCATAATCTATGGGTAGATATAGCCAGGGCACTGGAGGAACACGAAGGTGAATTCCAGTTGGGTAACACTGGAGAATTCCAGTTAAAACAAGGTTGACTAAAATCTAAAATACACTGTAACATAGACAAAAGAATTCTTATTGTAGATTAAATGTATGTAGAAGATATAGAAGGATTATTGTGTCTGTTTCAGATGTAATTTCATGCCTGAGAATTTACATTGAAGGAAAAATGGTCTGGATCCCATTAGCGAAGGCCCTGTTTTGCTGTCAGTTTAATTAAATGGAAACTGCTGGCAAGAGCGCCGAGGAGGTTGATAGAAGCAATGCTATTTTGTATGTTGGAACAGGAAACTGTTAGGTCTTCCAGTTTGAAAAGGATACAAAAATGAAACCTGTGATTCATTTTTGTTTACAAACTCCTTCCTAGTTTACAATGACCTTAGTGATAAATTAACTAAAATAAGTTATACATAGTGAGCAGGACAATAGCTTGATCCCAAGATATGAAATACTAATCTCTGATGAAGAAGGTAGAACTTATTTTTATGTGACTTTCCCCCTAAACAATGGATTCCTCAACAAAAGTAATTGTTTCCTTTGGTTTATTTTTCTGTAAGTAGATTGAGAAAAGGAGGAGGGGTATTAGTTTGCTTTTAAAGTGTGTGTGTGTGTGTGTGTATGTGTGTATAAAACAAAAGAAAGAGAATAAAAAAGAAAGAAAAGGGAAAAAGAGTAAAATAGAGACCCTGAAACAGTGATTTATCTGTTAAGTGTATTTGGCATCCTGCCTTTTGGCTGGAATTTTTGAGAGAAACATATTTGGTTTACTTTAATGGGCAAAAGCTCTGAACCTCATTTGTAGGAAAAAAAGTGCATGTTTTCTTTTCCCTTTTTCAGTTCAGTTTATTATATCTTGACATTCTGTCTTGTAATTGAATAGTAATTCTGGATTTAGAGTGGAGAAGAAAGAAATTTAAGTCAGTCCTCCTCCCCTCCTTATGTTTCAGAGAAAAGGACTAGCTGATCCCAAAGTTTTAACTTTTTTCACAGCCACCCTTTGAACTGGCACCAAAAAAATGATTGTTTAATTTTGCTGAAACTCTGTAGCTGTCTTTGTTCCTTGACTATGCTGAGGGTTGTTGATATGTTTGTGTCTATTCTAATAATGCAAAGTCAGTATGTGTTATCCGATGGAAATTTTCGATCTCAGTTAAGGAAACAGATTGGCAGTGAAAGTACTCTATTAGATATTGCCATGGTGGATACATGACATTTTGCATTTGGCGAAGCCTGTAGAACTGCACAATACAGAAAATGAACCTTCATGTAAACTGTAGTCATTATTATAATAATGCATCAATATTGTTTCGCCAGTTTTAACAAAGGTACCACACTAATATATTAAATTTTTAAATGTTTTGTGTGAAGATACTAGCAGGAAAAAAAGATGTCAGTGGCATGTAAACCTAAATTGAATTTTTTCCTAACTTGGTGCAGCTATTTTATCATTATTTTTAATTGAATATATATTGGATTGTCATCTTCTTGCTCGTTGTGTTGAGGGGGATTTATCAGAGTTACAAAAACATGAAAGTTTGGTATATTTATTTCAAAAAGGCATGAGCAAGTATTTGAGCCATCCAACGCTGAAGAACTTATATGAGGTTATTTTCTTTCTCTATGTCCACGTTTTTCATAATCTCTTTTAATTGTGCTTATTTTGTTATAATAAAAACAATCCATGTTTATCATAAGACAATACAAAGAAACAGAAAGAAAAAAATTATCCAGAATACCACCATACTGAGATAACTAGTGTTGATATTTGCCTGTTATTCTATATTTTTTATCTGCTTATATGTTGGATATTAATTTTTAACATTATACTGTATCTCTAGTCTTATATCATGCTTTTTTTTTTTTTTTTTTTGAGACAGAGTTTCGCTCTTGTAATCCAGGCTGGAGTGCAGTGGTGCCATCTCAGCTCACTGCAACCTCCGCCTCCCAGGTTCAAGGGATTCTCCTGCCTCAGCCTCCTGAGTAGCTGGGATTGCAGGTGCCCACCACCACATCCGGCTAATTTTTTGTATTTTTAGTAGAGATGGGGTTTCACCATGTTGGCCAGGCTGGTCTCAAACTCCTGACCTCAGGTGATCCACCTGCCTCGGCCTCCCAAAGTGCTGGGATTACAGCCATGAGCCACCACTCCCGGCCTGTATCATGCTTTCAAAAACACTTAATATGCTCTTTCACACAGTAAATATTCATCTGTAGCATCATTTTTAGTGATGAACTCCACTGTATTCTATTATGGAAGTGCCATAGCTTATCTGACTATCCCCCTATTGCTGGACTTTGGGTTTTTTCCTCCAGCTTTTGTATATAATAAACAGTGCTCTCAGAGACATCCCTGAAGTCATATTATTATTTCTTTAGGATAAACTCCTAGAAGTGGAGCTTGTCAGATCAAAGTTCAAAGCAGAATTCTCAGACTTTTCCTAGGTGCTGGTCAAACTGTAAAAAACATTTTCGGTAGAATTAGGATCTTGTGTATATTGAAAATCCCTCAATGATTGCATTTGCTACAGCCAGTGTGAAATGAACAAATTTATTATCAAGTTTCATGAGAAGTTGGGCAAACTTAGATATAGCCAATCTTGGACAGACTTGTACTTTCTGTGCAGAACATGTTTCTATATCCAGAATTCTATCTCCAGCTCTCAGACTATGATGAGGAAAGACAACCCAACACTAAGAGAGCTCCTGATCATTCCCTCCTCTACCTATGAGAACCATCCACAATGAGCCTCTGAGGGCCTATATTTGTATCAAGGCTTCCAGTTGAAGAGACATACCCAGTGCCCTTTAGAATGTTCTGGGTCTATGCTGTTTGTATGTGGCGGGGGAGGGGAAAAAGGGTGGTGACGTTCTTTTCCAGTCTCTGCTCTTACAGGGGAATAGAGGAACCTCATTAGAAAACTAGCAAAGTGATGGGCTGAGACCCTCTGTGAAAGGGTTAACCCAAAAGGTTTTGTAGCCAATGAGCATTTATCCTGATGATGTCACAATGCTGATATCAGGGGCTCCAGGGCTCTGGGGAGTTCATTATGAAATCACTCAGAACTGGAAACATTCATTCCACTATTTGTGGCTTTTTTGATAAACAAGGATAAATTGAAGTTTTAATAGACTGGGGCTACATTTGTTGCTCCAGGTTCCTGAAGATCATTATTTTTAGTCATACTTAAATTCACACACACATGCATACACACACACACACACACCAGATGCCAGTGTAAAAAATGGGAGGGGGGAAGCTTTTAATCTTTATTATTGATTTTCTGTGTGTACAATTTTATCTAAAGAGTATGGTTTACCAGCCATTGTGGAGCTAGGCTTTAATGCCAATAAAAAGCTTTGCTTGATCCTTAGAAAATAAAATGAGATATTCAGGCAGCTAGTTTATTTTATTTCTTTTCTTTTCCACATCAAGACAGTATTTCAAATAATTAGGTTGATTTATTATTACAAATAGTTTGAAGATGTAAGATGCTTTTACAGTGCAGTGCGGGTTTATTGTATCTGGCCTTATCCAATTATAAAATCGAGTTTAGTCATGTAATGATTCTCTAACTAAAATATCAATCACAGTGAATGGACTTTTGCGATGTATATACTGTGAGGCTATTTTGAGCTTCTCTCTTTAAGGCACCCGCACATCTGAATATGCTTACTTGGCTTTACTCTTTAACATATAAGAACACATGAAACTTTGGCTAAATTTAGCCTCTGGAGTCCAATGCACATGCTTGGTGACAGCAAAGGGAGAGGTTTTGACAACAAGCAGGATATGATACACCAGAGTAATTATTTCCGCAAGACAATGAGCATTCTACATTATTTGTACAAATAACGCAAAGTGATTATTTGGCTGTGCCATTGTAATGAGACAATGAAGATCATATTTAATTTTAAAACAATATCTTCTAGGGTCTTTTTTGTTCTGAGTATTCTGGACTACTAAAACAAACTTGATTTGCTGCTATGGTTAACAATCACATTTTAAGTGGGGGACAGAGAGAAAGAGAGAGAGGAGAACAAATCTTTCCCCCTCTTCCCATTAACTCTAGCATTCCAGAAATCATGATAAGGGTATGTGGGACAGGAATGTTGAAATAAGTCACTTATTTCACTATTTTTCCATATTGTTCACATAACCATTTATTTATAATAATTTGAGTAATCTCAGAGTTCCTCCTAAAGGCTTTTTTTGGCCTGGATAAAAAGTACAGCTTTAAGATATTTCTCCTAAAATAAATTTGAGACGGTCTCATTTATAGTCAGCAGTGCCTTGATTACTTGCAGACACACTGGAAATTTACATGCGCTTTTCTCCTTTATAAAACACTGATCTGTTCATATCATTAGTTCCCTCATGACTAGTGCTTGGCTGCTTGCCAAGCGGTCTAAATCTGTAGTTGTAAATCGTGAGTTGAAATAGCAGAAAGTGGATTTGTAACTTAAAAAGTGTAAACAGTTTGGAAAATGAAGTAATTTTGGAGTATGATTGATTGCCTTGTGATTGTACTTTAAATTAGCCTGGGGTCTCGGGGGCAGATATGTGCTCTAACTGCTTATTACACATTTTCAGTTTTCGAAGGAATAATAGCATTGTTGGTAGGCTTTTAAACAATGTATGCATCTCCTGGAGTGACCTTTTAGGAAATGAATAGTTTTATTGTGTGTCCATTACTTTGCCTGAAACAACATTTTTGAGTTATTAATTTGACTTGTTCTATAAATAAAGAATTCAAAATGCAAAGCAGCTGTGCAACCCAGAGCATAGTATATCATGCTTCAGAACCACTGTTTGAGATGGATAATCCATAGAACAAATGGTTTCTTGGGTGATACATTAATAATGTTTCTGGAGCCTCTGGTTACCAAAGATTAGCCCCTCAATATTGCAGAAGCCAAAAATTATTATTAAGGAGGACAATCGATTAGTTGGCCTTCCAACACACTGGAAGTAGAGGTCTGCGTTTTTTAAAAGGATCCCAGTTCACTTAACAGCATAAATAGAAAGTGGGAGTAGCTCAGTGGGTAATGTCTGCACAAAGTGTAGCAGTTGTGACAGAGGAGAAAGACTTGGAGTTAGAAAGCCTGAGGCCAGATGTCTTTTTCTCTCATTTACCAGCTGAGTCATCCTAGACAAGTCACTGAGTCTCCGATCCTCTTTTTTTTTTGGCTACCAGTAAACTGGGTATAAGAATTCCAACCCTGCAAAATTGTTGTGAGATTGAAATTATTTAAAAGATTTGAAAAGGGTTTTATAAGTATTAAATGGTCTATATTGCATGAGTACCATCATTATTATTAGAACTATTGTCATTGCATTACTCTTACACTGTCTTTGGTGACTTTGCCTGTCTATTAATATTGAGAATAGCTGATGGATGTAAATTCTGAGCAATAGTCTTATTCACTCTTTGCTTTCATAGGGAGCGATCTAGAAATAATTTTTGTATATTAATAATAGAATTCTAGTTTTTGAGTATGGAAACAATTTTCCAATTATAGCTATTTCTTTGTATTTATTACTTCTTCCTTGTCTAATTCAGCATTTTGGGGGGAATCACATTTTGTTTCCATGTTTAGAGAGGAAGAATCTCAGTTCCTTAAGCATTTATTAGAGCTTTTAATACATGTCAGACAGGGCCTGGGTTAAGCACTAGGAATACAGTGGTGGAAGGAATGTAGTCTTTGCCTTTATAAATGTCCATGCCTTCAGGCATACTTTGCCAATAGAATGCTCTTCAATGATGGAAATATTTTGTATCTCTGTTCTGTGTCCAGTAAGGTACCACTGGCTACACATGGCTGTTGACCACTTGAAATGTGGCTAATATGACTGAGAAACTGAATTTTTAGTGTATAAAATTTATTTTGTTCTAATTAATTTAACTTTATATTGCCGCATGCAGCTATAATGGCAAAAACTGCAGTTACTTTTGCAACTACATAACAGAAGCTATTCTATTGGATAATCCAGCTCCAGAGTAAATGGCTTTAATTGCCAGTTTGGAAGGTAAAGTGGGGTATTTCATAGACACGTGGAAGCCTAAATAACTGTGTATATTTGCTCCCTAATGAAGCACAATGCCAAGGCTCAGGAAATTGGTGTTTGGATAGTACCAATGGAAAAAAGCAGATGGATTGCTTTTTAGAGTGTATGCTGTTGAAACATCGAAGTGGTACATACTGATGGGGAAAATGAATAAAATTCTCAAACAGTGCCTAACCTTGGTGAGCGGGCAAAGATGGTGGTGCCGCTGAAACTCTGCCAGCGGGAGAATGTTCATTGAGTCAGTGGAAGGTGGTTTGGAGCATCAACACCCAATAGACATATTTGCAAGATTTACAAATGTTGAACTACAGAATAAGTGACTCTCTGCCACACAGGATCTTAAATTACGTAGCACTTCACAGTTCCATTTTGAGTTATCCAAATTCATTTGTGTTTGTGGGAGAGAAACTTTCTTTCTTTTTTTTTTTTTTATTATACTTTAAGTTCTAGGGTACATGTGCACAATGTGCAGGTTTGTTACATATGTATACATGTGCCATGTTGGTGTGCTGCACCCATTAACTCATCATTTACATTAGGTGTATCTCCTAATGCTATCCCTCTCCCCTCCCCTCACCCCACAACAGGCCCCGGTGTGTCATGTTCCACTTCCTGTGTCCAAGTGTTCTCATTGTTCAATTCCCACCTATGAGTGAGAACATGCGGTGTTTGGTTTTTGTCCTTGCAATAGTTTGCTGAGAATGGTGGTTTCCAACTTCATCTATGTCCCTACAAAGACATGAACTCATCCTTTTTTATGGCTGCATAGTATTCCATGGTGTATATGTGCCACCTTTTCTTTATCCAGTCTATCATTGATGGACATTTGGGTTGGTTCCAAGTCTTTGCTATTGTGAATAGTGCTGCAATAAACATACGTGTGTATGTGTCTTTACAGCAGCATGATTTATAATCCTTTGGGTATGTACCCAGTAATGGGATGGCTGGGTCAAATGGTATTTCTAGTTCTAGATTCTTGAGGAATCACCACACTGTCTTCTACAATGGTTGAGCTAGTTTACAGTCCCACCAACAGTGTAAAAGTGTTTCTATTTCTCCACATCCTCTCCAGCACCTGTTGTTTCCTGACTTTTTAATGATTGCCATTCTAACTGGTGTGAGATGGTATCTCATTGTGGTTTTGATTTGCATTTCTCTGATGGCCAGTGATGCTGAGCATTTTTTCATGTGTCTGTTGGCTGTACAAATGTCTTCTTTTGAGAAGTGTCTGTTCATATCCTTTGCCCACTTTTTGATGGGGTTGTTTGTTTTTTTCCTTGTAAATTTGTTTGAGTTCTTTGTAGATTCTGGATATTAGCCCTTTGTCAGATGAGTAGGTTGCAAAAATTCTCTCCCATTCTGTAGGTTGCCTGTTCACTCTGATGGTAGTTTCTTTTGCTGTGCAGAAACTCTTTAGTTTAATTAGATCGCATTTGTCAATTTAGGCTTTTGTTGCCATTGCTTTTGGTGTTTTAGACATGAAGTCCTTGCCCATGCCTGTGTCCTGAATGGTATTGCCTAGGTTTTCTTCTAGGGTTTTTATGGTTTTAGGTCTAACATGTAAGTCTTTAATCCATCTTGAATTAATTTTTGTATAAGCTGTAAGGAAGGGATCCAGTTTCAGCTTTCTACATATGGCTGGCCAGTTTTCCCAGCACCATTTATTAAATAGGGAATCCTTTCCCCATTCCTTGTTTTTGTCAGGTTTGTCAAAGATCAGATGGTTGTAGATGTGTGGTATTATTTCTGAGGGCTCTGTTCGGTTCCATTGGTCTATATCTCTGTTTTGGTACCAGTACCATGCTGTTTTGGTTACTGTAGCCTTGTAGTATAGTTTGAAGTCAGGTAGCGTGATGCCTCCAGCTTTGTTCTTTTGGCTTTGAATTGACTTGGCCATGCAGGCTCTTTTTTGGTTCCATGTGAACTTTAAAGTAGTTTTTTCCAATTCTGTGAAGAAGGTCATTGGTAGCTTGATGAGAATGGCATTGAATCTATAAATTACCTTGGGCAGTATGGCCATTTTCACGATATTGATTCTTCCTACCCATGAGCATGGAATGTTCTTCCATTTGTTTGTGTCCTCTTTTATTTCGTTGAGCAGTGGCTTGTAGTTCTCCTTGAAGAGGTCCTTCACATCCCTTGTAAGTTGTATTCCTAGGTATTTTATTCTCTTTGAAGCAATTGTGAATGGGAGTTCACTCATGATTTGGCTCTCTGTTTGTCTGTTATTGGTATATAAGAATGCTTGTGATTTTTGCACATTGATTTTGTATCCTGAGACTTCGCTGAAGTTGCTTATCAGCTTAAGGGGATTTTGGGCTGAGACGATGGGGTTTTCTAAATATACAATCATGTCATCTGCAAACGGGGACAATTTGACTTCCTCTTTTCCTAACTGAAAACCCTTTATTTCTTTCTCCTGCCTGATTGCCCTGGCCAGAACTTCCAACACTATGTTGAATAGGAGTGGTGAGAGAGGGCATCCCTGTCTTGTGCCAGTTTTCAAAAGGAATGCTTCCAGTTTTTGTCCGTTCAGTATGATATTGGCTGTGGGTTTGTCATAAATATCTCTTATTATTTTGAGATACCTGTGGGACAGAAACTTCCAAAGGTACTGAGTGTGAGATGCAGCCAGCCACGACACAGAGCTCATCGGGAGAATTCCACGGGAGACCCGAGTACACATGGCCTGCCAGTGGGAGGTGCTGCACCCAAACCTCTGCAGCACTGGACAGTGATGCATTTTTGCAAGCCATCTGAGTTCCTCAAAGTCCTTTCTTAGGTCCTACATTAGTGAGTTTCCTCTGGGAGAGGAAGCAACTTTTGGCATTGTGGAACAGTTATTTAAATACTTGTGGCAAAGAAGAAAAGTCTAATATTAGAGCAGGAACAGAGACTTTAGACATCATGGAATCCAATCTTGTTTTTGTTTTTTAAATTCCGTGTTCCTGGTGAGCCATGTAGATCGTAGGAAGGATTTCACAGAGTCGATGGGAGAACTGGAGGAGGGCTTGGTTTACATCCACACTCCATGCAAACACTAACGTCATCACTCCCAGCCAACACTTCTCCCCATGACTCTTCAACTGGTTCCCAATTGGAGGTCTTTTCTCCAGGCGTCTCCCACGTGGAGGCCCCTTTTGCAGAACACCACTGCCAGGACCACTGCCCTTCCAAATGTCCTTCCCCAGCTCCAAGTCCTTAGCAAACCAGGGGTCTACCCTCTATCCAGGTCTGGCACAAACAGTAGCCACAGCAACCACAGTGATTAGGGCCCATAGTACTTTTAAGGACCCACAAAAATGCCTTTAGTCCTTTTAAAACGAGAAGAAAACACGATGACCTCTTCAGTCGAAAAATATGTTTTAGGCCGAGCGTGGTGGCTCACGCCTGTAATCCCAGCACTTTGGGAGGCCAAGGTAGGCGTATCACCTGAGGTCAGGAGTTCGAGATCAGCCTGGCTAACATGGTGAAACCCCGTTTCTACTGAAAATACAAAAAATTAGCCAAGCGTGGTGGCACATGCCTGTAATCCCAGTTACTCAGGAGGCTGAGGCAGGAGAATCACTTGAACCCGGGAGGCAGGGGTTGCCGTGAGCCAGGATCATGCCATTGCATTCCAGCATGGGCAACAAGAGCGAGACTCTGTCTCAAAAAAATAAAACAGAAAAATATGTTTTAATACATTATTTATATATTTATCTGTGTACCAATGTAGTCCTAAAATGTGACTTTTAATCTTTTCCTATGGAGGAAGGGGCTCAGGAGGGCAAAGTGCCTAGAGGCTAATGGAAGCCACAGGCAGTGCTGTCTTTACCTGGTCACAGTCTCCCTAGAAGACAGTGACTCTGTCATTTTACAGAGCCAGAGAATGAAGCCCTTCTTTGCCCATGGTTACAAATCCAGTGCCTGTTTCATATTTCTCCTCCTTATGCTGCCTCTTCATAAGGCATCGCCTTGATTTCTTCTTAAAACGATTTATTCTGGGGCTGATTTTTCCCAACCTTAATGTAATTGTACTTTAATCAATAAAAAATTTCCTGTGGAACAACTGGGAGGGGTGGGGAGGAGAGAAGCCCAGCAAATGTGAATTGTTGTTTATTTGTCTCTCTTAAACAATGTTTCACGTTAAACCAGTTGCAAATGAAATGAATTGTATTATAACCATCTTGGAAAAATAGCTGCTGATCTCATAAATTCATCGAGCTTCCTGGTTCCAAAGCCCTCTCTTACAATAATAGTAAGTGTTGCTGTGCTCAGTAAATATCTGCCTCCACTTGGCTGGTAGTGAAGGAACTAGAATGGCAAACCCAAGATGGGCCCCCCTTCTGCCTCCTCCAAAATCACAGGTTTTGTGCTGACCCTGAACAGGAATGGAGAGGAACATGGCTTCCCAGGACAGTGACTACTGTCCTGTCTCCTAGGATGCCAGTATCCCAAATATCATCACTCACCCAGTAGGTTGCTCCTCTGGGCACCTCCACTGCCTTGCGTCTGTTCTCAGTGCTGCTTCCGTGGCATCTGCCTTTGTGTCATCGGTTCATCTGGGCACAGGCCTCTCTCAGAACTTATAAGCAGTGGCTATGACTGTGGGCTTTGGAATCAGACAGACCTGGGTTCCAGAGTCACCTTGAACAGGTTGCTTAATCTCTCTAAGCCTCAATTTCCTCATCTATAAAATGGAAGCAGTAAACTTATCCCTCATAGGATTGCTACAGTGATGAAATACACATCAAGGGCTTAGAGCTTGCCTGTCTGTAGTGCATGTTCAATCAAAGGCAGCTGTATTCTAGCAGGACAGTGCAATAACTGAACACTCTTGGTGGGTAGCCTGAGTTTTGTTTTGTTTGTTTGTTTGGAGACAGAGTCTTGCTCTGTCACCCAGGCTGGAGTGCAGTGGCGCACTTTCCACTCACCGCAATCTCTGCCTCCCGGGTTCAAGCGATTCTCCTGCCTCACCCTCCCAAGTAGCTGGGATTACAGGAGCATACCACCACACCCAATTAATTTTTATATTTTTAATAGAGACAGGGTTTTGCTATGTTGGCCAGGCTGGTCTCAAACTCCTGACCTCAAGTGATCCACCCGACTCAGCCTCCCAAAGTGCTGGGATTATAGGCATGAGTCACCATGCCTGGCCTGAGGTTTTTATCTTTTTTTTCCCTGTAGTTTGGCATTAAATGTCATAATGACTGTGGTGTTAATAAACATCAGGAAGTGTGCTTGGCAGTTTGCAAACTGGACCTTATCTTACCTGTTCAGGTGTGTGAGATCTTCTCAGAGATGGAACAAGTTCCTCAAGTTTATGATCTCAAAACCCACAATGTCTGTTCCTCAATGCAGGTCTCTTAACACCTGTCTGTTACATTATGTTGGTCATCCAAGGATGCATTAAGCAGAAAAGAAACACCTCACCTAGGTGTTACTAAATTCCATTATCCTCCTGTCAGACGTCCATGGTGGGAGAGACTTTGGTCCCCACCAACCTGGGTTTCTGCAGGGTTTCACTACCTGCCTTTTTATAGAGTCTTGTATAAGACAAATGGCATTTTAAGCTGTTTTTCTTTTTGCAGGTTTGGAAATCTTATTTAAATCAATGTAATGAGACACTTTGAACAAAATGTAATCATTCTCACTTCTCCACGTGTTGGAAGAAGCAGTATAGAGTTGGAGACTTGGGGTTAGATTAGAGCTGGCTGTCTTCACAGATTTGCATCCTTGCCGTGTGCTCTGAGTTGTCACAGTGTATCAGATAGGTGGGATGTTTTTGCCTCTGTGCTAAGTAAATTACATTCTAGAAGAATTAAGAGGGCTGTTATTTCATGGTGATTTTTTAAAAAAAGTCAGACACCCCAGAACCGAGCTAGAATTGTTGGACCAGTTTTCTTCCCTTTTCTTCTTGGCCTCCTTCTTGTCAAGAACAACTGTTCTCCAGTTTTCAAGAAGGCTCTGTTGAAGTGGAAACATAAGCCTCCATTAAAGTATAAGGGTTTGCGAGGAGGTCAAGGGAGTCATTACTTTGTCTTTTACAACAAGGATGTATTTATATATTCTGAGTTAAAAAAAATGCTTTTAAAGAAGGTGTGAGCAAAGATAAAAATTATTTCTTACAGCTAAAGAAAAGTAGTCTCTTCATCGTTATCCATGAGGGAATAACTCATTGACACTTATAAAAGAGCGTCCTAGCCCAAGATATCATGTGGTGGGAAATTTGATTGGAAGAATCTCTTCCACTAACTTGTGCATGAGAATATTTGTTCCAGCTCCAAAGCCTTAGAAGCTGTTAGAGAAAGGTGGGAGGGTATTTGGCTGGCCTTGGGAAATGGTAACCTAACACTGGAAGCCCCTTGCTTTTGTTCTCCTTATTGTACATAAGAAGATGAGATTTTATTTCCAGATTTCAAAACACGGACCAACTTGCAATAAGAAATAAACCCCCGCCAAGGTGATGAATTATGTTGCTTTTTAATTTAGAAACTGGCCCTCCGATCAGAAAGAGTAAGGATGACTTTAAATAACCAGATTGATTTGCAGGTTGGGGCAAAGTAGAGGGATCTGGTGGATCTCAGAGACTCTTTCTTGGCTGCCTAGAACCTCATATTGAGGCTCCTTCAGAGGCTGCTTGTGTGAGCCTCTGACTAAATCCTTAAAATAACTGCTGTTGGAAGTCCTGTAAGTTTCAAAATTTGTTACTGGAGCAAGGAAAGGGTGTGTTGGGTGTCTCACTCGGCTTGAAGTAAGGACCTGAAAGCTTAGCAGCCAATAAAAAGAGAATTAGGGGAAGATGAATATTAATTTTAGGAAATACAAACCTCAGTTTTCTCATCCAAGCCCTTCCTTTCCTCCTCCTCCCATTTAGAATTGAAGAATTGCAATGGCTTTGACTTAAAAGGATAAGAAAGAGTAGTGATTTTCTTAAATCGGAGGAGACAAACATGGAATTTTTATAAAATGTAATATTTGCTGGTATTTAAGTATACTTTGGTGGTATCTTGGCTGGCGTTCAGAGACTGTTGAAATCATCTTGATTGTGAAAAGTCGCTAAATGGAGCTGTTAAATTGTGCTTCGCAAATTACATTTAGCTGCAAAGTATTGGTTCAGTCTAGGCCTCCTGAATGATAACACCTATTATATAGATGTTCTCTGTCCACATCCCACCTGAGGAAAAAAAAATCACATCAGGTTTGAAGTTCAGTTGAGGCAAATTTTATATTAGTAATATCGTTCATTATTGAGAGAGATCTCGGCTGCTGACCTGCGTATGAAGCACTTGCCCCATGGAAGTTGTGGCAAGCCAAGTGCCAGAAAAAAAAAAAATGAAAAAGGAAATATTTAAATGGTAGACTATGTACTTGATGTATCCATTTTTCTTCTGCATGAACCCAGTCATAATCCAAATTATATTTTTTAAACCCCCTTTTGTTCTTTTTTTTTTTTTTTTTTTTTTTTTTTTTTTGAGACGGAGTCTCGCTCTGTCGCCCAGGCCGGACTGCGGACTGCAGTGGCGCAATCTCGGCTCACTGCAAGCTCCGCTTCCCGGGTTCACGCCATTCTCCTGCCTCAGCCTCCCGAGTAGCTGGGACTACAGGCGCCCCTTTTGTTCTTACTGTTGTACCAACCATAGCTTTTAAAATCTCAGACTCAGAGATGAAATACAGAACATCTTTTTCAGAGCTGGGACATAAACACCTTCAAAGTGCTGAGCTCTGGGATGTGCTTTACGTTTTAATTATTCATCCCCTGGGCTCCACTGTTTCTTTGGGAGCCACCAACTCCTCCTTGGTCTGGAGTCTCATCTGTTTTCTCCATCAATGGAGGATAGGACTGGGAGCTCCCTGAGAGCAGGTGCTGTCATGTTCACCCATGTAAACCCACTGCTGAACACAGCATTTGGCACTGAGTAGGAACCAAATAAAGGTTCGCTGACTGCATGAGGAAAGCATAGACATTATCCTTGCATATCTACATAAGGAGACTTAGGTTACTCTTCCTGGGATCTTGCCCTCAGATGCTGCTTGCATGGTCTCTTTCTCCCTTGAAGAGACTTCATCTGGACATTGAACGTGGTCTTCCTTGAACTGGGGCCAGTGGAGCTTGCTCATGTGGAGGCAGCAGGTGGGGGGGGCCTCAGTCAGCTGAGTGAAAGGAGGAAGATGAAGGCTAAGGTTTAGGTACAACAATCCTCCAATATATCCTCCACTCTTGCTGGAATGGAGAGTAGGCCCATCACTACCATGCATGAGCGCAGCCTCGCTGCCTTCAGGATTTAATAGAAAACCCATAGCATTGCCACCAAGGTTCTCTCAGAGTTCCAAACCCGTATTTCAGACACAGCACCTAAATTCCAGAGTCCTCACTGGTTCATACCAGTTACAGCCCTGGGGACAGGAGATTCTCCTCTCTCCTTCTGACCTTTTGAGGCAGCAGGGGCAGGCAGACCCACACATTGGGCCCAGATCTATTCTCCAGGCCTCCTTAGCTGTGTGACTGTTGTTAAATTACTTAATCTCTTTTTGGCATCAGTTTGCCCATCTGAAAAATGGGGCTCATAATAACTTCCTTAGGGCTGCCCAAAGGAGGAGAGAGAATGTTCATGACTGACAGGCTGGAAAGATTAATGAGTCATGGTATTTTAATCTGCCTGGGGAGTTTCTATGTATCCTTCAAAAGTTAGCTTGAGGGGTTTCTCTTCCCTGCGAAGACTTTCTTCACTCTCTTTGCTACCAAGATTCTGCCTCTGCTGTGACTCTTGTCAGAACACTTACTTGTATTAGGTTGGTGCAAAAGTAATTGCGGTTTTTGCAATCCTGTTTAATGACAAAAACCGCAATTACTTTTTGCACCAACTTAATACATCTGTTCACATGCCCACCACCTTTTCTAGGCTATACACCCCTCTTTAAAGAGGGATGGTGGCTTTTGGTCTTTATCCTCTTGCCACCTGCTACTTCTTAATCCACAGAAGGTATTCCCTTGGTGTCTGACCAGCCAATAGATGGAAGACCATTTTGATGTTAAATCCTTTTTTTTTAACCACATATTATGTTAATCCATTTATATGAAATGTCCAGAATAGGCAAGTCTATACAGACAGAAAGTAGATGAGTAGTTGCCAGGGTGTTAATGGGTATGAGGTTTCCTTTTGGGGTGATGAAAATGTTCTAAATTGATTGGAGTGATGGTTGCATTGTGAGTGTCCTAAAAAACATTAAATTACATATATGTAATCGTATCATTTTTAATCTTATCTTTTTGAGGATACAATGGGTGCAATTGTGTGAGCTACGTGTGTATGATGAGAATCAGGTGGTTGTGGATCTTTGTCCCGGGATCAAAAGAGGAGAAGTAATAGAGAGAAATAATAATACCATTGTCTTCACTTAGGCTGAAATGTGCTTTCTAAGGGGTTAAAAGTAAAGAATTGTGCTGGCGAGGTGTGTTCTGTGCAATGGTCATCTGTTTTTGAGATTATCTTCCAAATAAGGCAACACCAAGCTTCACTTAGGGATTGTTTTGAACACAAGACTGGAAGAGATTCTTTAATACTGCAATCTGAAACCAGAAATTTGCGTCTCATAAAAATCACGAGAATTCTCAAAGCCACCAGCCCACTGGAGGGTCTCTGAGAGGTACCTGGGAATACCATGAATCTGACAGGGCTCTTCTCAGAGGTTCAGAGTCAAGCAGAAGGCAGCTGGGGTGTGTTGAGAACAGTGTGAGATTTAAAATAGTGCCAGGCAACTTGCCCCTGCCATTAGCTGGATGACCTTGGGCAAGTCATTCACCTCATTGAGCTGCCTGTGTCCTCCTGTATAAAATGGGACTATTCTTGACAGACCCTAAGAGAGATTCTAGGAGGATTGAATGAATCTAAGCACATGAAAGGGCTTTATAAATTTGGGAGTGTTATACAGATGAGTGATTATACCATGCATAATAAACTATTTGTAATTATACAGTGTTAAGCTGGCTGTGTGTGCTGAGAAGGAGAGCTGAAGGGAGCAGGGCAATTGCTGTAATCAACATTCGGGTGTGTTATGTCCCCAAAATGTGATCAGGGAAACACTAACTTGTTGAGGTGAGCCATGAATGACAAAAAAGTGGGGGAGGGTGAGGAAGCGGATGGGAGAGGATTTCATGGTAAAATAAAGTCAGAAAAAGCAGCATCTTCCCCCCTGTGCATTAAAATGTCCATTAGCATGTTAAAGGCTCCAAGCTGTTTGTGTAACTTTTTGTTAAACTCAGTGTTTCCCGTGCTGTGGTGCCCCTTTTCCACATAACCCTTGGTAACATACTCCCTTCTTTCTCAAGGAACTAGTGTTCCTTGGCATACTTTGGAAAACAGCTTGCAAAGCAATAATCAGACAAGTACCTACGGGGCGTTCACTGTGTGCTACATTAGCCTGACTACTTTGCATCTTTTAACTACTGTTAAAGACCCCCCAGGAAGTCACTGTTCTTAAGTCCATTTTACAGTTTGGGAACCCAAGGCTTAACAAAAGGAACCAAAGGAAGACTATAGAGATGGGGTTAGGGTGAAAAGAACCATGAAGACATCTGGGCACTAGTAAGAAGCAAGAGGAAGACATAGTGCTACCTGGTGAAAGCTGCCGTCAGGGTGGAGCTGTGGCCTTGGCCAGAGCTGCCAGGCCAAAGCAGAGATGGGGCAGAGAAGAAATATGACAACTTCTCACTCTTTCCCACATGCGATCTGTTAGGTGTCTCCCATTGGCTGAACAAGCAGAAGCCAGCCAGCCCATGAGGGAGCCCAATGATACAACATTCAGGGGTCACAGAGCAAGGAAGAAAGAATGGGTAATAGATCCGGGAGTAGGATGAGAACAGAGGGACAGTGAATAACCAGAAAAAGAACCAACATTAATTAAAAATCTATCATGTGCTTCGCTTGTTTCCAGGGTGTTAGGAATTCAGACATGCTACAGACCTAGCTCCTGCCCTTCAAAGAACCCATATTCTGGAAAGGAGAGTCCAGCTTGAACAAGTAAATGCAGCCAAGTGTTACAGAGTAACTGTATCTTAGAAATTAAGCTGATATTCGTGATCCAAAATAGCAGATTTCTGGCAGCAAGACTATATTCTCTAGATCAAGGGTCAGCAGAGCCAGATAGTAAATATTTTAGATTTGTGCACCATAAGGTCTCTGAGGCAAATGCACCACTCTATAATCACACAACTGTGCCGTCGTAGTGTAAAAGCAGCCAAAGACAATATGTAAATGAATGTGCATGACTATGTTGTAATAAAACTTTATTTACAAAAACAGGTGTTGGGCTGAATTTGGCCCATAGTTTGCCAACCCTTTCAAACAGAAATAACCTTAAAGAAATATCTGAGAGATACCCAGAAACAGGGATCTGTAGCACTGGTAACTCATGGTATGAAACCACAGAACTATCACTGGAATTAATATAGTAGTCACGAGCAATTTGTTTATTGTCTTTTATGAGAAAAGAGAGGTAGGTTTGGATGTTAGAGATTGGGGAAAAGGGGATATTTGCTGTGGAAATGATTTTCAGCAGATGGTAGGTACTTTGGGAAAGGTGGCTAAACTAGAGCCATCCTCCTCCTGTCTTACATCAGCTTACTCAGTACTAACCCTGTACAAAAAGGAAGTAAAACAGAGCACATCTGTATCATCAGCTTTCAATGATGTTCTTCCATGGTGCACTGTGACAGCACATTAGAAGGTGCCGGAGTTTTTATATGACTGCTTTGCCGTGAGATTAAATAGTGGTTTCAGTTTCCAGTAGGTTTCATAAGTATCTCTTTCAGCTGTTAAATTACTTTTAGTAATGTGCACACTAGAAAAAGAAAGAAAGAAATATCCATTCTGAACAACTGGGTGTCATGACAGAAAACAGAGCAGATGGTTTTGTGGACATGGCACCAAGTGAACCTGTAGCTGGTTACAGCAGAAGGATATGTTTAACCCAGAGGAGAGGGCTCTCACCAGGTCTTAACAGTTGAAGCTTTTAAGAGATTATTATTTTACTTTGAATTGATTTTTGTTATTCACCAGAAACCAAAGGTGGCAAGCGAGAATCTCTACTAAAATAACTATACTTGCTAACTTTGGGTCTTTGTTGGGGCTTTGGGGTATCAGAACAATGAAATAACAGGCACTGTGAGGCTTTTCCTCCTGTTCTGTTCTCCTCTCCTAGCTATATTTCAGAACATCTTATCTCAAGATAGTTGGCCAAAAGGAACCTGTACACAGAACAACCTCATTTTTCCCAAGTGCCTCTTCGGACCCAGGACACAATGATTTTAAAATTTCTTTTCAGGCAGACGCTCTAAAGAGAGCTATGCTGTTCAATAAGGTAGCCACTAGCCACCTGTGACAACTAAGCCCTTGCAATGTGTCTTGTCCACTTCAAGAGATGCTATAAATGTAAAATACACACTATATTTTGAGAGCTTACTATGAAAAAATAATGTAAATATGTCACTAGTAATCTTTTTTTTTCTTTTACTTTTTTTTTTTTTTTTTGAGTCTTGCACTGTCGCCCAGGCTGGAGTGCAATGGTGCAATCTCGGCTCACCGCAACCTCTGCCTCCTGGGTTTAAGTGATTCTCCTGCCTCAGCCTCCCAAGTAGCTGGGACTACAGGCATGTGCCACCATGCCTGGCTAATTTTTTGTATTTTTAGTAGAGACGGGGTTTCGCTGTATTAGCCAGGATGGTCTCGATCTCCTGATCTCAAGATCCGCCCACCTCAGCCTCCCAAAGTGCTGGGATTACAGGCGTGAGCCACCGTGTGCGGCCAGTAATCACTTCTATTGATCACATGTTAAAATAATATTTTGGATATACTGGGTTAGATAAAATAGCTTACTAAAGTTAATTTCACCTGTTTTCTGTTTACATTTTCAATGTGTTAATTACAAGTTGGCTCACATTGTGTTTCTATTGAATAATGCTGCTCTAAAAGATTTTTGAAAAAAATAATCCATGTATTCCTTTGCCCAGTTTTAAGTGGACATCTACATTTTTAATCATGTTTTGAATAAATTTTGTGTTAATAAGTAAAAAATGTTAAACATGATAGGAAATGAAATAAGATGGTGATTAACTATAATTAGAAGACATATTACATATGATTTGATAAAAATCTGAAGTTTAAATCTGTGTTTAATAAAGCACAACAGTTCTAAAATAAATTATCTAAAATTTTTATGCATAGGTTTATGCAGTTTATGTCAAAAAATCTGGTAGCCTTGCCGTGCATTCCAGCTACACTTTAATGGATCAGCATCGTTAACCTTTATTAGTTTGGCTTTTCTGAATTTAGAGCATCATAACACAGGCCAAAGTACTCTATTTCTAATGCTAAGCTTCCTCTTGAACAGAACTATGTGCAAAAAGGGAAAGATCAAAAGGCTATGGCTTGAGGTTCCTTGATAGATCAATAAGGAAGCATCTCCAAAACCAATACTTTGATTTGACTCTTTAGTGCTCATAATAGGACTAGGGATGGAGGATGGGTGAAGAAGGAGATGGGCTGTTCTGATTGCTGGCTCATTCTTGGGCAGATGCATTAGGGAGTGGAGTAGTATCTAAGTTGAAGATCTGCCCCATCCCTATGTAGGTTCCCTTTAAAAAGTCTTCTCGTACCCTCAAAGGAGAGATTCACCATTTTGAAGACCACTGATTTAAGATGAGTCACTGACAGAGGCAAGAGGCCTTTTCCCTTCTTTCCTTGTTGAGCTGCCCCAGAAGCCCTGCGGTAAGGTGAAGGAAAACAATGCAACCTATAAAAGTGCTCTTGACACAGATGTTAGCTCCCAGAAGTCAGTGCAGTTGCAGAGGTGGCTCAGCACTTAGAGCATGGTGGACAAACTCCTCAAGTGGCGAGATTATTTTATTTTTTAAAGTCACTAAAATGAGATGACTGCCTAACCACATGACCCTTTGTCTAAAAAAGGCCTGCCAGGCAGTGGCTACAGTCATGTTGGGCAGATAACCTTCTCCAGATTCCTTCAGCCTTTTAGGAAGTGTCATTGGTTCAGAGCCTGTGGTGAACTAATGAAATGACTGCTCTTATCCTTTGGAAGAAGGCTCAGATGTTTACTGCAACACTGTCTGTAGGCAATTACATTTGTCAGCACTCTCAAAGGTCTAGGAGGGATACCAAAGAATTAGGACACCGATTCTGTGCCCTCCAGGATATATTCTAGTTGTGGATTGGAGAGACACCACTTTTCCTCCCCAGAGCAACCAAGCATGCATCTACACAGAAAATATAACCCTTCCCAGATGTTCCCCTCTTTGTCATTGTTGTGTAAAATAGACATAACATAAAATTTATTATTTTAACCATTTTTAAGTGCACAATTCAGTGGCATTAAGTACATTCACAATATTGTGTAACTGTCACCACTATCTATTTCTAGAACTTTTTCACCATTCCTAACAAAAACTTTGTATGCATTAAGCAATAGCTCTCCATTCCTTCCAACCCTCCTAGACCCCCTGCACCTAGCAACTTCTATTCTATTTTCTGTCTCTATGAGTCACCCTGTTTTGTGATTCCACTTTTAAATACCTCGTATAAGTGGAATCACAATATTTATCCTGTACACACACACACACACACACACACACACACACCAAATTTTGTTATCTGTTCATCTATTGAGGAACTATTGGGTTGTTTCTACCTTTTGGCTATTTTGTGATAATGCTACAATCAACATTGGTATGTAAATAACTGTTTTTGAGTCCTTGTTTTTAATTCTTTGGAGTATATACCTAGGAGTGGAATTATCACATGGCAATTCTGTATATAAATTTTTAAGGAAGTCCCATACTTTTTCATCATGGCTGCACCATTTTACATTCCCACCAACAATGCACAGGGGTTCCTATTTCTCCACATCCTTGCCAACACTTGGGATTTTTTTCTTTTCATTTTTATAATAGTCATCCTACTGGGTGTGAAGTAATATCTCACTGTGGTTTTGCTTTACATTTCCCTAATGAAGAGCATTTTTTAAGATGCCATTTATATATATTCTTTGGAGAATCATCAAAGTCCTTTGCCATTTTTAAATTGGTTTGTCTTTTTGTTACTGAGTTGCAGGAGTTCTTTATGTATTCTAGTTATTAATCCCTTATCAGGTATATGCTTTGCAAATATTTTCCCCCTCTCCAAGACTGTCTTTTCACTTTATTGATAGTGTCCATTGATGCACAAAAGCTTTTAATTTTGATGAAGTCCAGTTGTCTATTGTTTGTTGTTTTCTTATGTGCTTTTGGTATTATGGTTAAAAAATCATTGTGGAGGCCAGGCACGGTGGCTCACGCCTGTAATCCCAGCACTTTGGGAGGCTGAGGTGGGCGGATCACCTGAAGTCGGGAGTTCGAGACCAGCTTAAATACCATGGAGAAACCCTGTCTCTACTAAAAATACAAAAAAATTAGCTGGGTGTGGTGGCGCATACCTGTAATCCCAGCTACTGGGGAGGCTGAGGTAGGAGAATCGCTTGAACCCAGGAGGTGGAGGTTGCGGTGAGCTGAGATCACGCTATGGCACTCCAGCCTGGGCAACAATAGCGAAACTCTGTCTCAAAAAAAAAAAAAGTGAATGGCTGACTCTAGCCAAAGTTTAACCCATGTGACGGGGAAGCAAGTTAAGGTAAGTCAGGCCCCATAGAATAACACCTCATATGTGGTAACAACTTTACCTACATGTCAATCTGGCCATGAAGTCTCACCTGTTGCATAATCCCTGTCTAGTGTGACATTTAAATTTAAATGTGGCTAAGATGAACCCTATGGCAATAAGCTGCAAAATTCTCAAGATAAAAAGTGGCTCCCGGTCGTGGCTTAGAATTCAGTGACCCTTTGGGACAACCTTGGAGGTGGAGTTGGCTTTCTTCCCACTGCGTTCATTTGTTACTCAGAGTGGTAGCAGTGTTTGGTTATAGTTTAGTTTTGTGATGTTTTTTTTCTTGAGTGATGAAGCAATAGTGAGGGCAAAAGCTGATAGTAACATTTTGATACATATTTTTGTATTTGTCTATGCCTCTATTTTAAGTGGTTTGCTTTTGAAAACAGCTGGTTCAAACCCTTGGTTTTGGGTTTGAAATATTCTTTGTTTTGTTTGCATCCATGTACTGATATATTTTTCCCACATTTACTTTTTTTTAAGTTCTCCAGTGATGTTTTCGTTGCCTATCCTGGGAAGATCTGTGTTTCCATTTAGCAAAACAAATGGCAAGCTGGGGACCATTTAAAGTAGTTTTTTTTTAGTTAATAAAGCCAAGCCAATCTCCTTGTTCTGTTATGTTAAAAGTACATTATCTTTTTATTGCCAGTTCTGTATGGCTAGTTCTGTTTTCTGTCTCAGCAATCTCAGGGCTGCCCCACTTGCTTACTGTGTCGAGAATTACAAAATCATTAAGGGTGGGGCAGCACCAGCTGACTTACAGTACAAACCATTTCTCAAAATAACCACAACAGTGCAATACTGATGTGTAATTTACGTCACAGTTTGTTTTTATGAAATAGTTTGTGGCATTTTCATTTCTATTCCGGATGGAATCTTGTTCTCTTTCCCTTTTAATCAGGCATTTAATTTATTTTTATTATTAATATTTTCCACTCCTTGTTTTGGCATGCCTCCAATTTAACAGCTTTGATGAGGAAGGGAGATACACACACACACACACACACACACACACACGCACACACAACTGATCTTCCCTGACTCCAACTCTTCAACATCAGTTTAACTGCAAATGTGTTTTCCCCTTTGATGTGTACTAACTTTGGGTACTAAGTTTACTACCTTAAGAGAGATTGAAAAATACGGCAGGACACAGTACACATTTACATAGAGCTATAACCACGAATTGATAAAGTTGATGTACAACTTTGGAATTTTAAACACTTTCAACCAATTCAAGCTATTTAGTCATATGCTCTGCTGCATTTTCCTTTTACAAATGTCTTTCTGTATAATGTCCTGTAATTAGAACAGGAAATCATTGAGTAACTGCAAGATGAATAAGAGCACTTAGACTGAAAGGAAAATTACCTTCCGAGAAATTATATTCTCTTTTTTTTTCTTCATGTTACAATGTTGGTAATGATAGTAACAGCTGTAGCTACTCTTATCTGTAGAATTTTCATGCTTAGGTTTTCTGGAATAAAAATTTCATTTTCAGTAATAATAAAAAATGCATGGACAGAAAATAGGAAATGCCTAATTGTGACAAATATTCGGTGTCACAACAGAGCAGCAATTAAATGGAAACTTCAATATAATTGTCAATAGCAGTAAGAATTGGAATAGCGCCAGGTATATAAAGTTGATGCTTTGCCGTTGGTTGGTTGCTAGGAGCACAGTGAAAAGTATAAAGCTTTGAGAAAAGAATGTCTAATGTAATAAAGTAACAGGAGGAAGCATAAATCATTGTGAGAACCTCACATATTGACATTATTTTGCTTAAATTGTTTCAAAACTAGACATCAAGCTTTATAACGTGAGCACATTCATATTTCCTTTAAAAAAAAAAGGAGAAAGAAAACTGTATGTTGTCTTTGAAGCACAAGGGACATTGTGTCTCAAACTTAGCCTTCATACATATTTGGAATCTTTTAAGTGAAAATCTTTAAATGTTTGTTTCTATTGGCATCCAAATGCATTTGCCCTAATACGATTAAGAGAACTAAAGGGCAAAATACTTGGCAGATTTTTCAGTTGAGGTAATTAGGTGCAGGAAGGAACATGCATATTTTTTCCACTAGGCTCTATAAAATCCTGGGGCGAAGGTTTTTTTTTAAAAGATTTTTTTTAAAAAACTTACTGATGTTAGAAGTAGATTATAGTGGTTTTCAGTAAGCATAATAGTGTGATGTTTCCGAAACAAGCCTCCCCTCACCCCAAGAATGAAAAAGAAAGTTACATTTCTAAATTGTTGTGTAAGAGATAAAAGCAAATTTCTCCTCTGGAATTTATGTTTTCAGCCTCCGTGCATTTGGCCGCCATTATCTATTTTCAAAAAATAGCATTATGGATATTTGAAAGTCAATGCTCCATTAATTCATTGTGTTTGCTATTTCATGCATCTCTCTTTGTACAAAGACAACTTGAGCAACCTGCTATTCAGAATGAAGGCCTGCTCTTACCCTTTCTCCCCGACTCCTTCCCCACCCCCAGCCCAACTCTGAGGATTAAAGCAATGGTATACAGTTACTGTTTGAAAAGCTTGGGTGGAGTCTCATGTTATAATTACAGTTTCGCTATGGAATTCTGTTTCGGACTTTGAAATATATAAATAAGTAAAAAATTGACATTGAGAGAGGTTAACAAAACGTGTAATTAAGAGTCATTTTGGTTGAGCATTACAAGCAGTGTACTTTAGGTATTAACTTTTAATAGGCAAAGTTCTTTTTATTGAAGTTGAAATGAGGTTTAGTAATGTTGGGTCTCTTATTCCCTTTGAATGTTTCATTTTAAAATAGGCATTCACTTTTTTTTGGTATAGGAGAAATTCAGGAATGGGATGACATTTTAATAGAATATCATAATTATGGTTTAAAATTTCAGTCTTGGTTACTAGCAATTTATTACAGATCATTTTCTGTTGACTGAAGTCAAGTAACGTATATGTAACCCAACCAGCTACAACCAACTAGAGTGTGTTAGAAGAATACTCCTAGGGGTACTTTGATTTCTTTTTCTCTATGGGTGTGGTTGAAAGAAAATCTGTGTTCCAGGAACACTTTGTTTGTCTTTTACAAAACAAATGTGCAATTTATTCATTCTTAGATTTATCTGCTTTCCCTATTATGAATTGGAAGGGTGAAAATATCTTACACAGCATTTATTGGCAGCCCTTGTTTCATGGGTAACTTTGCACAGGAGTGTTTACTTATGTGTATATGAAATGCGTGGGCAAGAAAGAAGTAGCCGAGGAATTTAAATAATTCTTGAAAGGACTATTTGGCTTTATTTGTTTCCTGGTGTACTAGGGCAAAATAAAATATGCCGACCATTGAACACTTTAGTATTTTTATAGCTGTATCAGAAGGAAGTTAATTTAATGCAAAGGCTTAGGAGGCAGTTTTAGGATCACAGAATTTTAGATCTGGAAATCTCTCCCCAAACTCAAAATTTTATACTCTGTTATACACACCTTTCATATAAAGTTGACCATATTTTGTCTTGAGGAAAAAAAAAAATGTTTTCACCAATAAAATAAACTGCAAAGAAGAGACCTGGACCCAGACTGTTTTACTCAGTGAAACTTCAACCTAGCTTCAACCTTGGCTTTTCCAGGTCCCACTTTGACTCTGTATCTTTCCCTTTTACTTTTCACTTAGAATGCTTTGTAAACTTTCCTAGGAGTCCTCAAGGTCTCGTGGGCTTTCTCCAGTTTGGTAAATATTAAAGGCAACTCCTCTGGGGATGTCTAATTGCAAGGTTGGAAATCTGCCTCTGTCCAAACAATGCCAAAATTCTGGTCCAAACGGGAGGTTCTGTTCATAAGCAACAAAGTTATCATTTGTGTTTTGCCCCACCAAGCATTGCCACAATAGACCAAGCCCCAGCTGTGCCTGTAGCCTCTTAGTGTGTGGAAGGAGGTTGATGAAAGGTAGGGGTTCTAGGCTGGCAACACATAGAGTTGGGACTATTTCCTATCACATGCATAGAAAGTAGAAAGTTAATGTACATGAATGATGTATCAATAATGTTAAATCATTACAGTGGAAATTGCAGTGTTCCAAAATAATAAGTAACAAGCTAACCTAAGGAGAGTAGAATTCTGGCTTCCAACTGGCTGAATTCTACAGTCTTACATCAAACAGAAGTCTTATATTTGACTTGATCAAAGGCCACCATCCTCGTCCCTAATAGTGTAAACCAGTTAAATCTCTGTTATTATTATTACTATTATTATTTGAGACATTTTATCCTAATGAAAAGTCCACCAAACTGGGAGTTCAAAGATTGGGTTATAAGTCCCAGCTACTCAGGAGGCAGAGGTAGGAGGATTGCTTGGGCCCAGGAGTTTTGGGTCCAGCCTGAAGAACAGAGAGAGGCCCATCTCTTAAAGAAAAAAAAGGATTGGGTGGTTATAGTCTCAAATTGGGGAATATTAACAACTAGTAATGCCACTAATAAGGTTGTTGTGAGGAACAAAAGAGACGTGAAAACACTATATAAAAAACCTTTGTGAATTTTAGTGTTTTATTATCAGTACTGGAAATAGCATTAATACTTGCTTTCTAAATGGGGAAACAGTCTCTCTGTTTCTCGTATTTTTAGTTAAGAGGGCTTTTAAAATTTGCTGTCTTCTGTGATATCTGTAACAATCCTGCAAAAGTGGCAGAGAGAAGAGATTTTGCTTCTTTGTTCTATGTACTGGGGGGTTAGGAGAGAAATAAGAATTTTTTAAAAGTCTGACAACTGAAAAAAAAAAATATATATATATATATATTTCAAAATCCAAACTAACAACCTTACTTTAAGTCTTCGCAAAAAAGTAAACTCAGAGTTACTGGTTTCAAAGTTTAGTGTGCATGAGCTATTTGGGATGCTTGTTGAAAAGGTAAATTCCTAGACCCCAGCCTTAGAGATGCTGAGTCACTGGTTCTCGATGGCACAGTATCTGATTCTGATGCAGACAGTCCCAGGACCACTATTAGCAACACTGTCTCCAGGATGCACGGACAGTTGTAGGAGTTGAGAGTAGGGGGAACTTGCTGTTTTTCTTCCAACAGAAAGAGAAGGATTCATGACTTGGCTAGTGTTTTGGGTACTGCGTGATCTAAATGTTTTGAACTAGGATGAGGTGGAGAGAAAAAAAAAAGAGGTCATTTCTAGGCACAGAAGATTGCCAGGGAGCCGACTCCATCCAGAACAGAGAATTGGGAAGCAGTTAGAGATGGCATCATCATGAAAAATGGTTAGAGAAAAAAAAAAGGAGAATGAAGGGATATGAAGGAAGTGAAGTGGTCCCAAGAGTCCAGGTGACATCTTCCATGAAACTTACTCTGAAGCAACTGTTCATTTATACTCCTTCAACCTGAGAGCACACACATTTTTCTCCATTTTATTTCAAGAATACTTGGAGAAATTGATGCACCTTTACCCCTATCATAGAAAGCTAATTGCACAACCAAGATAGAATTTTAGAATCAACAGGTATTTACAGGCACAGTATTTACTATGTATGGGAGATGGTGTTAAGTGCTATGAGGGGTAGTCCTGGCACTTAATGGTTATATGCCTCTCTCTCATTAACAATGTCTTAGACAAATCGAGTATAATACAAATCGAGTGTAATAATACAATTGACACATTGGGGGCTGCTTCTTGAAATAGCACTTAAAAACTCTGGAGAAACGACCGCATTTGAATATTTTCACTAAAACTTTTTGTGCTTTAGCTGTATAAAAAGCACGGTTTTGAACCCAAAGTTTGAACTTAGCGTCTTGGTCTGCTGTAAAAATCTCAGATGGGCATGCCTTGGGACATATATCAGCATCTCAAAACTAGTTTGCATTGGGGGACTTGCCTTCAAGGTAAACATATTTCCTTTTAATTAAGTGTGCCAGCTGACAAAGCAGCTATACACAGACCAGGCAGGAGTTGAAGACGTGTACACTGTTAAAAGATGTCATCTTGTAAGCAGCTAAACATCTCCATCCGTGGAAAAGCCGCCAGCCTGAGGAACTAAGTGAACATAATTAGAAATACATCTGGGTATTGGCCTCCTATCTGAAAAGGTCACATGCACACCTTCCATTGGTACTGGTTATGTTCCATCATTATGTTCCGTCCTTGCTCATTCGTCTCCCACTGGTTACCAGATGGCCATGATAATGTCGGTATCCTTAACAACTGTCTAGTGCAATTCCCTGCAGCATGGTAAGGGCTTGAAATATTGAGTGTTTTCCCTTTGGAGAAGCAAGTGACATGTCTGGGAATTGCTTACAACCGCTCTGATGGGGTGGTTGCGGAGTGATGGCAAACTGGGTCATGGAGCCTAAATTCAGCTTGATGTTGTACAGGTGGAGGCCACCAAAGCACGGTGTTTGCCATTTCTCAAGCTTAAGATGAAGGAAGGCTTCATCCATGCAGAATCTGGTGTTTACAAATGAGCACAAAATAAAGTGAGGTGTAAATAAGCATTAAGATCATTATAAGAGGAAGCTTCGCTAAATTTGCTGAAATGTTCCCCTGAGTTAAGGTGGTTTTGATAGAACTCTCTCACAAGAATGCTTAGGGAGTCCTCCCAGCATGGTTCTCTGAGGTGTGCCAAGTTACCAGATGGATTTGAGGAACGTTAAAAGAGAGGAGTATGGGTATGGGGAGGGTGGAGAAGGTGGGTGTATCAATCAAGTTGGGCTAGATCATGCTGCAATAACAAATGACCCCCAAATCACCACTGCTTTAGAACAACAAAGGTTTATTTTCTGCTTATGTTATATGTCTCTTTTGGATCAACCAGGGGTTCTGCTTCATGTTAATTTTACTCCAAGACCCAGACTGGCAGAGTTGCCACTATCCTGGGACATTATAGATGGTCACAGCAAAGACAAAGAGAGATTGTGGTCAGTGGTACACTGGGTCTTAAAGCAACCATCCACTTCTGTCATATTTCATTGGCCAAGGAAAGTCACAAGGCCACTGGCCTCCAAGAGAGTGAGGCACACAGGCTTTCCACAGGCCCAAAAGGAGAACAGGAAATAGTTGCTGAACAGCACTCATGACCCCAGAGCAGATGGCGATGCATTTTAGACCCATGGACATCTTTGGGGCCAGATGACCTTTTCAGAGGCTCCAAGCACTGAAAAGATTATACAGATGCTTGTTGACTTTCTATGGGGTTACAGCCCAACAAACCAATTGTAAGCTGAAAATATCAAGTCGAAAAGGCATTGAATACACCTAACCTACTGAACACATAGCTTTCCTAGCCTACCTTAAACGGGCTTGTAACATTTGCCATAGCCTACAGTTGGGCAAAATCATCTGGCAACACAGTACACTGTAGAGTACCGGTGTTCACCCTCTTGGTCTCGTGGCTGACTGGGAGCTGCCACCCACTGCCCCTGCCAAGCCTTACAGGAGAGTGTCCTACTGCATATCACCAGCCCAGGAAAAGATGAAAATTCAAAATTCAAAGTATGCTTTCTACTGAATGCATGTTGCTTTTGTACGTGGAACCATCGTTCAGTTGAGGATCATCTGTATAATCCAATATAAGAGCAATTCCAAACTAGAAATAAATGTAAAGAAGCCCAGCAAAGTTCTACCTTTCCCTATGATGAGGATGACTTTAATGCTTCAAAAAATGAAGATTCTTTCAAAACAGTTTTTGGGTCCTACTGCTTGCTGATGACACAAACATTACTTACTGTGTCTAGAGGGCCAGCCTACTCTTTTCTTTTCTCTGCAAGAAGGTCCACTGTGCGGGTAGCCTGAAGCGTATTCTGTGGGGCTGGATGGGTGAAGTGGGGCTGGGAGGATGCTGGCATCCCCCAGACTGTAACAAGGATGAGAGTCTTTTTAGTCCCAAACCAGAAGTGATTATTGAAATTATACCATGGCCATGAAAGTTCTTTGTCAGAGGGAAGAGGGTAATGGAAGTGTTTTCTCGTTTGTCTAGGGGAGGACGAGGAAGAAACGAACGTGATAGTTCTCAGCTACCCCCAGTACTGCCGGTACCGCTCGATGCTGAAACGCATCCAGGATAAGCCATCTTCCATTCTAACGGACCAGTTTGCATTGGCCCTGGGGGGCATTGCAGTGGTCAGCAGGAACCCTCAGATCCTGTACTGTCGGGACACCTTTGACCACCCGACTCTCATAGAAAACGAGAGTATATGCGATGAGTTTGGTGAGTCTTTTTTTTTTTTTCCTACCTGATTCTTGTGCGTGTGTGCCTAGTTGTTTTCAGTTCTTCTGAAGAGCGGTGATGGGGAACGGGGCTCACTTTCACAAGCCCCATGTGCTGCCCCACCCCTCCCATCCCCCAAATTATTGCGGCATAAGGCGTCATTGCCTCCTTCGTAGCCTCTGTTTACTATGAGTAAGAGATGATTATTTATAATTTGTTGTTCAATGTAGAGTCTGAAGTTGCTTGGTCGACCTTGAAATTGGACTTTAGGACAGGAAGCTTTCATGTTACTTTTCTCTCAAAAGGCTTTGTCTATTCAAATGCTTTTTTATTTAACTAGTCACTCTCTTTTCATTGTTATAAGGTATTGTAAAAATGCACCAATGGTAACCACTTCAGTAGTAAACAGTGAATAGATAAATAGATAGAAAGAAAACAACTTCAGTACTGTATGGTGGATAAATAGATAACCACTTTAGTACTGTACAGTAGATAGACACGTAGAGAGATGATAGATAGATAGATAGATAGATAGATAGATAGATAGATAGATGATAGGTGATAGATATCCATGTCCTGAATTTTTTCATACACTCATACACACACATGCACACGTACACGCACATTGTGCCCACCAAAGATGGATACATATCTTAATCTGCATCTCTGCCTAGCTAACTGGTCACGTGTCTCTACATGTAGACAGAAGGGGAGGAGAAGAAGATATCACATCACCAGTTTGGGAAGCCTTACACGGTGCAGTAGATGGCGAGATGCAAGCCAAGATAGTCGTTCTCTTACATTATCACTTTCTCATCTGTTTGTTGAGGAGACTGGATCATATCAGTGGTTTTCAGCAGGCTGGGCAGGGATGTCAGAATACCCTGGGGTAGCCTTATCAAACTGCTTGTGTTCCTGGGAATTTCTATACTTAGAGGCGTGAACCCCTACCACTCTCACCCTACCCCTTCTCTGGAATCACTACCACAGAGTGACTGCTGGGATGGCTGAGCCCTGCTGAATCCCTCATGGCTACCTGGGTGAAGAAGAGGTTGAGACCCTTAGCCTGGAGAGAGCATAGGGTCCCTTTGAACTGAAACATTCCTTGATTTTGTTGGCTGATGTTTTCCTGAGAATCACTAGTTGGCAGATTATCCAGATTCAGGTTACTCTGCTTATCCTTTGCAGACCTTGGTATGGTTTCAGGAGTCCACTATGGCCTCTTAAATTTGATTCTTCATGATTCCAACAGCCCTGGTGCTGCTACTAGAGAAATTTTGCAAGTAGCTATGTGAACAGAGTTGGGGTGAGGATGAGGAGATGGCATATGATGATCAAGAAGGAAGGGAAGACAGAGAGAGGAAGGGGAACCAAATGATCTAAGTCCATTAGATTCTAAGAGCCATGACATTTTTTCCCTCTAAATTGTGTTTTTGGATATCTCTCACAACTCTGGCTTATCAAATGACTGTCATTCTGTAAGAGGGCAACACTGTTTGTATTTATTTTTTCTTCTTCAAAGAAATTTATTTATTGTCATATTTTTAGTATTCAAATATCCTTTGACTTCAAGTAGATAAATGTATGCAATACATTTTTTTACAATGCCCTCTCTTTTCAGATCAGCATTTACAAATCTTCCCTTTTCAATACCTGTGTTTGAGTTTTTCTTCCACATTCTCGGCTCCCAAACGTTGCTTCCTACTTGCCGCTCAAGAGGTCTCTAAATTCCTGACACAGAATAAAACTGAAAGCATGTGTTCCCTCATTTAAGAGTGTTCAAAATTAGAGTTTCACAACGTAATATGAGGAAAAAAATGTTTTAACCTTTCTGGTTAATTTAAGAATTATTAGTCATTGAGTTTCAAAGCTGTTGGATCTAGAATTGGTAATAGAAAGAAGTTCCAATTTAACAGCGATCACAATGGTTGTTAAGAGTTACTAAATTAGTTTTAAATGTTCTCACAAAAACAAGCATCTGACTTTTGAATGTTTTCCTGAACTTTCTTCTGGTATAGCTAATTTTAATGCTGTTTTTCTTCTCCAGCCTCTTAAAGTGGAAGCTTTCTTTTGGAATAAAGGTACCTTTAGAGACCTTCTAGATGGCTAGTTTAATAATTAGAGTATTAGACATTTTTTAGTTGTTTGTACTTCAAATAGTTTGTACTTCTTACAGACTTTCATGTTAGTAAGTGGACCAAAAAGCTTATTTTGAGCAGATTTGAGCAACTTCACTAACATCCCTCCCCACCGTCCCACTTTCGGTCACAACCTAAATTTCCAAAGAGCACCCTTTTAAATCTCCAACTGGTTGCATTTGAAATTGACATGGGTTAAAGTGTTTGTTAAAATGTGGCATTGAGTTTCTCCAACCAACTAACAGTTGGTGGAAGAACATAAATTTAATTAGTGACTAGCATTAAACAAATGTTCCTAATATTAAACACTGCCAGATGACTGAAACACTTCTGTCAGATTACCGAGAGTGCCAGGGGGCCCACAGATGAATTTTCTACACAGTATATATTCTGTACCACACGTTTGGTGACTTCAGTAATTGGTCAAATGTAATTTAGGTAACAGTATGCCTAGGCTGTAAAAATCAAATTTTATTGGCCATATCACCAGGTGGATGAATGGTAGAGCTGATGGCAAAGAGTTTATAGCATTTAGCAGCTACACCTTTGACACATGAAATTCATAAATTGCTGTAAAATACCTCCAAGGCCCTTCTCAAAAGGACACTGTTTGCTTTCCTATGATTGAATAATGTTTATTTTATTAACTAATATACTTTTTGCTTTCTTCTATTAAATGCGATTATGGAGTAGGGGGTGGGAGGAGGTGTTCAAAAGGTAAATAAAACTTGGCTCTTGCTAGTTTTGAGAATTTAAAATCTAATTGGGGAAGACAGGATTAACACACCTGAAAGGTTAACTAATGTTACAAGAAAGTCAATGATTAAGTATTTGATGAGTGTTGCAGAAAGCAAGTGTGGTAGGAATTTAGCAGTGGGCTGGGAGGTGGATAGAGATGGAAATCTTGGTGAGGGGTCAGGGAAAGCCTCGTGAAAAAGGCAGGGTTTGATCTGGTTTTAAAAGATAGGGAGCAGGTTAATAACTACTCATTTCTAATTTAAAAAACTATTGGAAATGTCTAGATTGTTTAAAACTCATGTTCTGACCTCCCATTTTGGGTAATGGCTGCCTTCACCCTGGATCAACTGTTGATCTGTCTTAGGTTTGTTCTGCCTCTAGTCACTATCCTTTGGGTGGGTTTCATAAATGGCCTGATGTCCTCTCTACCTGTGGGACACACATGTGACTCAGTGACCAAGCCTGGCAAGAACCCAGGCTGTGACTTTGGAGCTGGGGCTGGCTTTCCATCTTGGATAGGAATGAGTCTGAGTTTTCTCTGTGTGCCGTGGAGCTTACCTGCATTCCCTGGATTCATCTCTGAAAATAGACTTTGCATTATGGGATGACCTTGCCCAACTGCCCATACACCCCTGCTCCCCACCCACCAATCCCCACTGCTGTTTTAATGTTGTCCACTGAATAACAAGTTTAATTGAACAATGAAAGTAAGGCTTTTAAATCTGCAATGAGTCCCTGTAAATAAATTCTCTGTGGAATTTTATGAAGCTATTTAATGAAAAGTTTGATTAGAAACTATTAAAGAAAAATAGAATAGATGAAATTTCATCATTTAGTCCAACATTACAGTAGTGTCATTTTGATTTTTATTTACATTGAGATATTCAGAATTGAGTAAATATATCCTGGTTTTAATTAACTATCCTCCTTACTTGGGAAAGGTTATTTTAGGCTTGAAGGGTTTTGATAGCATACCATCTGCTTTCTTCACTGTATTTTATTCAGGTCCCTTCCTTGCTTACAGAGCTGTGCAATGTCTAAACCTATGACATAAGCATAAATTGAATCGTATTAATGGTAGGTGATTGAAAAGCTTCAGTCTCGACATTCTGCTTGCATTCTTCCATCTTGTCAGTTACACTGCTCTTAAAGGCAATATGCTCTTTTCTTAGCACAAGAGAATTGACTATTTTTAAAACGAAAGCAACAGACTCCCCATTAAAGCATTATGAAAACTCATTGTATTGCACATGCAATTAGGAAATGAGCTTGTAAGACCAATGTGGGGAAAGTGATGTGAATGGCAATTTTTTCTTCATAAGAATCTTTATTCTGTGCATAATTCCTGCCTCCACCGTCCTGTTAGAATAGCCTGGAGAATCAAGCATTCTCCAACAACCCCTACCTTGCTTTTACCTTTTTAAATGATTCCTCTTTTGTAAAATGCATACTGTCATTTATATTGTGTTATTTCCTATGCAATAGAAAAAACAAACACATACAAACATTTTTGTCTATTTTTGTTGTTAGAACAATAAAATGTCCACCACTTTGTAATGCACAGTGTTTACATTAATATCACACAGATTGATTTCACATGTGTGAAGTGTTGACAGCTAAATCCAAACAGAGGCACACTCAGTACAGTAGATAAAAGGATAACTTTAAGGTACTGGCTTCCATCAAAGATATGTAAGGCAGCTCAATATATATAAATGAGATGAAATCAATTATTCAAGGTGTGTGGTACTAAATGGCTTAAGAAATGGTTGACTTAAAAAAGAGATACAGTTTATTTTGGTCTGAGGTTTGAATTGCAAAGAAGAATAAGAAGTTGAAGTTGTGCTTCTGAGTCTTTTGGCAATTGGGATGTGTGTTGGCCTGTCATCAGCTGTTTGGTCCATGTGTAGACACCATGAGCTCTGATCTTCAGGGAGAAGGGGTTGGCTATGTCAATATGAAAATACACATTCTGCTGGGGACCAGAAAGGAGGGACAGCAGGGTATAGTGAAAGAGTGCTAAGCTTACAGGCAAATAGCCCAGGTTTAAAATCAGGGCTCAACCACCTGATTCTCTATGCCTCTGGGCAAGTGACATAAGGTCCCTCACTTGCCCCATCTGTAAAATCGGGTAATAACAGCCAACTTGCTGGACACAGAATAAGACTGTGTTCACTTGATTTTAAAAAACCCTCTTGATAAATGAAGATTCTCTACTGTTTCTATTAGTCATATGTCTTGCACAACTCATACTCATCCAAAATGATCTTGTTTTTCAATCATGAAGGAACCCAATTCCCTAAGGCTCCTGGGGTCTTACTATAATAGAACTTTAATGGAAAAGACGAGTTTTCTACTTTTTACAGTATGTTTTTAAAGAGGCTTTTCTATCTCTGTACTGAACTTTCCAGTCCTGTTTTTCCTGTGGAGTGAAATAATGACATTATGGACAAAAGAAGAAAAAGAAAAGGGGGAGAACAGAAGAGATGAAGGGACAAAACCTTGAATTTTTATGAAAGGAAATTCAGGACGTATAAAATTAATTTGAAGCATAAAGGATGAGCTGGACTCTGCCTCTTCCTTTCTGAACATCACATGTTTTGCTGGAAATGAAAGGCAGTTGTTTTGTTAAGGATCATGGGAATTTGTAAGTGAGTAAACATTTTTTTCCTTGCCGAAGTAGGTTTCATGGTCACAGTGGATTTCGATGACCAAATGGCTTTGTTCCTGGCCCCTGTCCACATTCATACTTTCTCTGCCTGCCTGTGGTGCCCACTGATCTCCCAAATGATAAGAAGGCAGACATTTTTCTTTCATTGAAGCTAAGTAGAAAAGGAGTTGTGCTTCTTGTATATTGCTGTTTATGCAGAAGACCTTAACCTTCAGAGATCTTACTTGGAGGACTGCTTTGTTTTGGAAATTTTCTAGAGGTTTTGTTTATCATTAAAGAATGGTCTAACCAGGCTGGGCGTGGTGGTTCACACCTGTAATCCTAGCACTTTGGGAGACTGAGGCAGGTGGATCACCAGAGTTCAAGAGTTTGAGACCAGCCTGGCCAATGTGGTGAAACCTCTTCTCTACTAAAAATACAAAAATTAGCCAGGCGTGGTGGCGAGCACCTGTAGTCCCATCTACTCGGGAGGCTGAGGCAGGAGAATCTCTTGAACCCATGAGGCAGAGGTTGCAGTGAGCCAAGATCGCGCCATTGTACTCCAGCCTGGGAAACAGAGCAAAAACTCCGTTTCAAACAAACAAACAAACAACAACAACAAAATAATGGTCTAACCAAGTCACTCTTGGCACTTTCTCCTTGTTGCATGGGCTACCAAAGTGAAAACAAGGAGAACCTTAAGGTCATCATATGGCATAGTAAACCAAACCCAACTCAGTGCTGGTAGAGGTGTAATGGATGTGCTCCGTGATACATGTAATGATTAAAAGATGGACTCAGCTTCTAAGAGAGTAAGACAAAAGTAGAGCAAGAGAGAAGACCTCCTTGGGCAGAGGCCTCAGAAGCTAGAATATCATTTCTCTTGGGAAAAGAATTTTGTGTGTTGCTACTGTAAATTAATTTACAGTCATAATATATGGAATGGCTAAGATTCGAGGATTTCTTTTCTGTTTTTGGAACTTGAAAGGAGATTTAAAAATAACTCTGGACACCTTTTGTAGCTGAGTGGGCTCAATGGGTTATTAAAAACAATTTGGGCTCATGGGTACAATAAACTTTTGTTCACGCCGTAAGAAATGATTTGTGTCTATATTGACTAATATTTCACCTAGCATTTCATCTAGAAAAGCGAGAAAGTTATATCCCATTACATTAGCAACATCAACATATTTCTCTCTAGGGTGAAACTGACATTTTTATCAATTAAAAAACATACATGCTGCAGGAAAGAACCAGGTCATTGAAAAATCACAAGCAAAAGTGCTGGTCTGGGGTAGTGGTGGTGGAGAGAGATTCAGAATAAGTCTATGTTCGCTTGACTTAAGCAGCCTCCTTGATAAATGAAGATTCTCTGTAATCCCCTTTATTATGTCCTGCCAGGGAACTAGATGGATATAAGTTCCTTGAACTGTAGGTGAGGCTGTGTGGAGATGCTTAGAGCCTATTACAGTGCCTGACACATGATAGGCTCTCATTCATTCATTCATTCATTCATTCATTTAACCAGGGTTTATTCCACAGCTATTATATGTGAGGTGCTGTTCTGGTCTATGAGGACAACAGTTGTGAACGAGACAGAAAATTTCCCACTTTTATAGTATGTGGAAAGGGGAGTGACAAAATGTGAGATAACTGTGGACCTGACCTCACAGGTATTGACCTCACAGGACTATTGTGAAGATTAAATGAGCTAATGAGTAAAAGCACTTAGATGGTCCATGTAAGTGCTGTTTAAGTACTCATTGTTAACCTACCCTTCTTGTGCCTCTTGCAGCACCCAACACAACCTTAACCACATACTGGTTCTGTAGTGGTTCCTCAGAAAACACCCACAAAATTATTTCATATTGATACAGACTGCTGGGGAAAATGAAGTATGTCATTTGCTATTAAAAATCATTCCACATCGCTTATTCCAGAAATACTTGTTTGTTTGTCCCTCTGCATGGAATGTATATCCCCAGATATCACAGATCTGGCTCTTTCCCAGATCATTTGGGCCTTGGCTCAAATATCTCCTCCCCAGGGAAGTCTTCTCTGACCATCCCTCTTCCACAAGCCCAGCTCTATCCCATCACCCAGTGTGTCATTATCTTTCTGTAACTCATCATTATCTGAAATTAACTCCTATATTTGTTTCTTTACATGTTTACAGTCTGTCCCGCCCCCTCCACCCACCTCCCCCGCCCCACAACACACACACACACACACACACACACACACACACACACTGCCACATAAGCTCTTTGTAAATGTATATAGGGATTTTCTGTCTTATTCACAGCCATGTGTGCAGGCAACAGAGCAGTACCCAGCACATAGTAGCTGTAGTAAATATTGGTTACATGAATGGATGGATACGTTTATAGCGTATGTCAGTATCATTGCTATCCCCTGTTTCACAGATAAGGACACTGAAGCACAGCAACATTTCATGGCCAGCAATTGGCAAAATCAGCATACGTGCTCAGTGTCCGTGCTCTTTGCACCTTTACATTAGGCTGCCTCTCAGCCCAGACCCTGCTCAGAAAGAGCTCTCAGACTTCCTGAGATCAGGCTGATGGAAAACAGATAACTGATCGCTAGCTTTCTAGATGATGAATGTACAGTAGATTTTGTAGGATTTAAATAGAGAGATTGGCGTGTTGGGAAGTGGTTAGGAAAGGAATAATCACAAGCATTCAAAATCTGAAACCCACTGGACTGGAATCAAGAAACCCTGGTGCCAGCCACCAATACCCTTCATCTCTGTTATGCCAGCCTCCTTGCCTCAGCCCTTGCTGTCCTTTGGTCTGTTTTTAACACCCCAGCCAGAGCGGCCATTTCTCTGCTCAGACCTCCGGTGGCTTCCCATCTCATCACAGAAACAGAAATGAGGATAGGGCTCTTTAAGAGTGCAAACTATTTAGAAGTTGAAGGGGGCAGATAGTGAACTGCTCTGTGTTCTCATGGACTCTGTGAGACATGGGGTTTCCATGCTGACAGGACTTTCATTATACACCTCTCCGTGATTTTCTGCTTAGAATGCATTGGCTTTCCCAACTTGGCATTATTCTTTAATGAAAAAATTATAGGTCTAATTTCAAAAAAATGAAATGTATGCAAGCTTTCCTGCTTCTGTCACTTTTTTATTTCTGTAGCACATAAATCATTTCCCTTTTTAAAATTAAATTTCGCTTGCCATGATTTGGTAATGGGTTTTCAAAGGAGGCAGAGTAGCCAAGCTCTTGGCACAAGAGCCAGCTGTACTGCCTGCTCAGGAAATCTTCTCATTGCTGGCTGGCGTGGGCCTTGATTCCATCATCTGGGCTTTATGTTCCCTTAGGAAGTTGCCTAGAAATTCTGTGTCTTAAAAGCTCTCCTTAGAGTGGCTGTTTTGGCTCTCCAGGTGCCATCTTGGAGGACTAAGGAACACACTGTGTTCAGCAGAAGAAGATTGGTGCATTCTAATGCTCCTTGAGTGCTTATACATTCATTCCTTGGGCACCAACTATGTTTAAGGCAGAACTCCAGGCATTGTTAGGATGCTAGTGTCTGCTCTCTAGACAACTGAAAAATCAAGTTGTCTGAGATAGGACATGGAGCAAGAGGCCATTACAAATGTTCTTTGTAATCCTCTTAAAAATCTTGCATTTTACCCATGAGCGACCTCAGAGAGGTTAAACAGCTTCTGAAGGGTCACAGACCTGGCATGTTGCTGAAGTAGGGGTTAGCAAAGCAAAACCCCACACACCCCCAGGTCTACTGACCCCAAGGGGCATGCTTTTCTGCTACAAATGCAAGAAGCCTAGAGCTAAGAGTCAGGAGTTATTTTGAAGTTTAAAGGAGAGGATATCTGCCAAAGCTTTGTCCATGGGAAAGTTTGCCATATAACAGACACTACGAGGCAGTTGGCTAAGGGCAAAGTGAGGAGGTCAAACCGTAGGTGCCACCGGAGTTAAAAGATCCATAAAAGAGAGCCCTAATGTCAGAGGAAGCCTCTTAGAGGAAATGGATCTTCAACTGGACCTTGAAGGACACAAAAAGGAGGAAGTTATTTCAGGTGAGGAGGTGGAAAATACTCTGGACTTTGAAGCTCAAAGAGATTGTTTCCTCTGCCATTTTTAGCTTTCTGCACAGACAAAAAGCAGCCTCCACAAGCAAAAACTCTTTTTCTTTTCCTAGAAGATGTTATATTCCCCCGAGGGAGTGAGTACTTGTGAGTCCTCTCACAGACCCCCATCATGGTTAGAACCCAGGGGAAGTTTCTTGGAAGAAAAATCAACTTGTTTCTTATTAAATTGGATCCTTCCCTTGGGCCTATGAGAAAGAAAAGGAGAGAGGCACCAATTTTGCAGCAGTGGTAAAGGAGTGAGGTGCCTGCTTGGTTTCCTGGCTGCTTAATGGGCTGCTTCTAGGCTAAAAGAGTCACTTCAGAATAATCATCTTTAACATTTTGCTTCTTGTCCCTTATGTGTTACTCAGTACTTTTTCAAAGATGTTTTTCCCCCTCTGCCTGTTATTAAAGTTAATGGCTTCAGTTGCATTTCTCTTCGCTAGACTCTAAGCTCCTTGAGGGGGTAAGAATCAACATGTTTGTTGAAATGATACGAAAACTCTGCTAGATCCGAGAGGGCTTCAAATCTCCATCATCTTATCTCTTTTCCTGGATAAGTATTTCGTGACCTCAGTCTTTCAGCTTTAGCTCATTGCCAGTTGATTTCATTCTCAAGGCAGAGTGCCAAACTCAAAAGAACTGGGTTTTTTCTCAATATTTATTTATCTTTTCAAACCAAAGAGACATTGTTCGTAATCTGGTCAGTGTCTTTAGCTAAAGATTGTTCATTTGTTAGGATGCTTAAAAGACCTTTGTAGTTCTGCACAACCTAGAAGGATGTCTTCCTTAGAAAATCAAGGAGCGTACTTAAGTCAGGACAAATGGTAGCCTGTATCCAGAGGTCACTAACAACCTTTCCAACTTGTAACACAGATACCAGAATTCGCCGTGGCCAATCAAGAAACAGTGGCTGGTTGCTTGACAGCATACAGGGCGTTGTCAGGTTTCTAATTAAATGTGGCTCTATGGGTCAGGAATATAATATAGATCACAGTTTGGGCTGGAATCATATCGGAAAGTGTTAAGTAAAAAAGGCTCAGCCAGTATAACATTCTCATATGGAAAACTCCTTGGTAGATGGTACTGATACCCCAAGGATCCTTTATGGATCACTGGCTTACTGCATATGATTGACAGTTGAGGCCTTCTCTTGGGAGAGTTGCATGGAAGATCCTAGAAAGGCAAGTTCATAACACACAGGATTCAGCAGGGCACTTTCCTCGTCCGGTCCCAGGCATGAATATTATATCTTTGAAGTAGGAGATCAAATCTTTTAACAAGGGTATTACACACAACACCAGAAACATGACTTTATCAAGGAGCTGAGTCCCGCTTCATTTCCAGGACATACCCCTTCAGAAAGACAATGGATGTTGGTACTAATTAGTTCTTTTGAGATTTGTCTTTTCTGCAGCACAGTTGCAAGTACCATGCTCTAGAGAATGCATTTTATCCCATAGCTGTTGAAAGAGAGGAAATTGAAATGTGTCAGGACTAGAACAAACCCAGGGACTGTTATGGAGGCCCCAGGAAGTTGCCTTGCAGACCCTTGGTGCCAGTGTCACCTATAGGAGCTGAGGAGGTGGCCTCAGAGACATGGAGAGTTTGGCCCCGCCACTCCCAACCCTGGTAACTGCTCATCCCACCCTCAGTCTTGCCATAAGAGGAATGTCTTGCACATGCAAGAAGATGCCTCATACTTTTCAGAGCACCTCCACCTCTTCTGGCCTCTGCACAACTCTGTAGAACTGGGAGAACAAGTGTCCTTGACCCCACCAGGAAGTTGAAGAAACTGGTCAGGTGAGTCTGTGGCTACACGTTAGCAGAGTAGTGAATGAAGCTAAGGGGAAACCACAGTGAGACTCGGGCACCAGCTACTCGGCCTTTGCTCTTAATGCCATCCCCCAAAATGTGGCCCAGTGCTGAAGGGCACGGCATCACAGCTGTGATTATATACAGCAAACCCTAATTAACCAGAATCTTCCATAAACCAGATGCTCCCCCTCCTTCATCCCCTTAGTACCATATTTCAAGGAGGGGAAAAAAAAAAGTAAATAGTAAAAACAGCTTATATGTTTTTCAAAATATTTTTCTCATTATGAAGTTATTTCTATTACGAAAAGTACAAGTAGAGTAATAATAATAATTGCCACTCTTCTGTGAGCATGTACCATATGTCAGGCCTTATGTTAAGCCCTTTATATACATTATCTTGCTTAATCATTACAGCATCCCTATAAGGAAGCTCGCGTTAACCATCACTTCACAGGGGAGGAAAGAGCGGCTAAGAAAAGTTAAGTAACCTCAGCACTTTGAGAGGCCGAAGTGGGCAGATCCCTTGATCCCAGGAGTTTGAGACCAGCCTGGGCAACATCCCTTCTCTACAAAACAAAACAAAACAAAACAAAAATTAGCCAAGAGTGATGGCACGCACCTGTAGTCCCAGCTACTCAGGAGGCTGACGTGGGAGGATCATTTGAGCCTGGTATGCCAAGGTTGCAGTGAGCCAAGATCACACCACTGCACTCCAGCCTCCCAAGCAACTGGGCGGCAGAGCGAGACCCTGTCTCTATTAAAAAACAAAGAGAAGTTAAATAAGCCAAAGTCACAAAACTAGTAAGTGGTCAAGCTGGATTCCAGTTCAGGTCTGTCTGGCTTCAAAGCTGGTATGCTTATCTACTCTGTTGCCTCCCTAAACATCATCCGCCATCTCATCAGTGTTATCGATTTCCCTCCAGTCTTTTTCAAAAGCACTTTCATTTACTTGAGAACATTTTATTTATGCAATTTCATATGTTAAATTTCTAGTTATTATAAAGCAAACATTTCCCCATATTCTTATAAACATTTTATAAACTCCATTTTAATGATTGCCTAATATTACATAAAATGAATTGATCACAGTTTACATAATCCCTTTTTATTAGAAGTTTATATTGTTTCCTCCACAGTTTTGTTTTGTTGCTGTTATGTATAATATATAATTAATACTATAACAAACATCTTTATACATAAAAGCATCAGCACTTGATGGATTCTAGGAATCTCTTATTGCCAAGATTATTTTCCTTCCAAGCAATAGCAGAGAAATCAGATAATCAGAGCCTGCTGTAGACCTAGGTATCTTCTGAGAACCAGTGCTCAGAATGAAGATCCAGAGTTTCGCCTGGGCTCCAAAGCACAACAGGAAAAAATTTTCTTGAGTGAATACTGAGCACAAGCAAGAAAGTAAGCTCAGGCGGTGATTTTCACATGTGCATCAATTTCCTGAAGCACTTACTAAAAATTTGATTCTTGGGGTCTGCCTCAGACCTTCAGAATTTGAATGGGTAATATCATGTAACCCACTTTTTTTAATAGACAAAAATTGTACATGTCTATCATGTACAATGTGTTGTTTTGAAATATGTATACATTGTGGAATGGCTAAATTGATGTAATTAGCACATGCATTACCTCACATACTTAACTTTTTTTGTAATAAGAATACTTAAAATCTATTCTCTTAGCAATTTTTAAGAATACATTATTAACTATAGTCACCATGTTGAATAAGAGATCTCTTATGTCTCTTATGTAACTGAAATTATGTATCCCTTGAGCAACATCTCCCCAACTCCCCCAACTCCAGCCCCTGGTGACCACCATTCTACTCTCTACTCCTAGGAATTCAACATTTTTAGATGCTACATGTAAGTGAGATCTTGCAGTATTTGTCTTTCTGTGACTACCTTACTTCACTCCACACAATGCCCTCCAGGTTCTTTCATGTTGTTGCAAATGGTGGCAGAATTTGCTTCTTTTTTAAGGCTAAATAGTATTCCATTGGGTATATATATATATATATATATACCACATTTTCTCTTTTAATTTTTATGGATATATAATAATACATATTTATGGGGGTTCATATGATACTTTGATAAAAATGTAATACTTTGATACAATATGTAATGATGAAATAGGGTAATTGCGGTATCTATTACATCAAGCATTTATCATTTCCTTGATACACTTTATTTTAAAATCTATTCATCCTTTGATGAAAACTTAGGTTGACTCATAGTCTTGGCTATTGTGAATAGTGCTGCAGTGAACATGGGAGTGCAGATATCTCTTCGACATATTGATTTCCTTTCTTTTGGCTATATACCCAATAGTGGGATTGCTGGATCATATGGTAATTCTATTTTTAATTTTTTGAGGAACTTCCATACTGTTTCCCATAATGGCTGTACTAATTTACATTTCCTTGTTACCAATATTTTAATCACACTTTATGCACACTTAAGATTGAGACTCAATACTGTAGGAATGCTTAAAGTTGAAGTTGGTTGCAGTGGTAATGGAGAATGGAAGTTGACAAAGTAATTGTTACCACCAGCTCCTCCCATAATTGCTTCTGTTCGGGTGTGATGGAGGAACTGTTGAGCTGGTGCTGACAGGAGGCAGCGTGTGGTAAGAAGTAGCGGCTGAAGGTAGGGGGTATGTTCCTTGGGTAGTTGCAGATGGGTAAAAGGCTTTGCTAGGTAAAAGTGCAAAGCCCTGATTTTGGAGGTATATACTCTGTATGCTATTAACTACCAAGAAATTAAGAAAAAGCACAGTGTACTAGAAAGGGCATTTGGGAGTCAGGAGAACTATGTTCTGAATATGACCCTCATACAAAATAGGGAGCTTCCATGACTCAGTTAACCTCTCTGGGACTCCACGTCTTATATATGAAATGGAATGTCGGACCGGTTTTTGCACTTTTTTGGATCTCAGGTCCCTTTGAGAATCAGATGAAAGCTATGAATCTTCTCATAAAAAGTGCATGCAAACATAATAAAAATAATAATAGCTTTGAACAATGTCATTAGCAAAAATTGACATGTCAGGCAAATACAGAACATTCTGCATCTATTTTCCAGGATTTGTAGGGTATATGAAACCTCAGATTAAGAACTCCTGGACTGGGTGATCTTTAAGAACCTTTTCTGTTCTCACATACTTGCATTCCATCAATGAAACAAAAAAGGTGTTTCCAATGATTCTCTGTAAACGTTACACTTCATTAATTAGAACAACTCATTTCCTTAGAATTTTAATTCATGAAAATATGAAAATAATGACATTAGATCATACCTTTTATTGAGAGCATACCATGTATCAGGCACTGTTATGTGCCTATAATTTGTGTTCCTAAGAGATAACCACTTAATGAAGTGTTAGTAGGATAAATACTTCAGCGAAAGGCTTATTGAAGCCAAATTTTTCTAGGATTTATTGAGCACCTACTATGTTCATTATCTCCTCGATTTTCACAATAATACTTAGGTAGGGATTGTTACCTTCTCTGGTTTTACAGATGAGAAAGCTGAAGTTCAGACCCGTTTAAGGAAGTCCTTCAACACAGCTGCTTTAGTGGAGCTGGGATTCAAACCCTGCTCTTAAGCTGCAAAGCAGTGCTCTTACGGGTTGTGTTGTGCTTCTTTTCAGTAGCCTATCAACTGTTCTAATTCATTTAAATAATGATTATGAGAATCTGACTTGAGCTCAATGGGACTTTTGTCAAATATATACAGCAGTGCTCCTATGGGGGAAACCGAGTACACTCTTCAAATTCACCTGCGTAGTCTTTGCTTTTCCACCTCTGAACGGTGTGAGGTTTTTTGTTGTTGTTGTTTTCTTTTTTGAGACAGAGTCTTGCTCTGTCACCCAGGCTGGAGTGCAGTGGCGCGATCTTGGCTCACTGCAACCTCCGCCTCCCGGGTTCAAGAGATTCTCCCACCTCAGCCTCCTGAGTAGCTGGGACTACAGGTGCCCACCACCATACCCAGCTAATTTTTGTATTTTCAATAGAGATGGGGTTTCGCTACAGTGGCCAGGCTGGTCTTGAACTCCGACCTCAGGTGATCCGCCCACCTTGGCCTCCCAAAGTGCTGGGATTACAGGCATGAGCCACCGTACCTGGCCTAACAGTGTGAATTTAAACACTGTTATTCACTTCAGCCTTATCTGGCATATGTGGAGCACTTGCCGTAGGTGAATTGTTCGACTAAGACTCAGAGGATGGTGGAGTTTGTGCCTTTAGGAGATTCAGCATTGCGGCTAAGGTTCCATCACTGTACGTAGCTGGCTCTATTCTCATAGGTCAGTGTGCTGTTTGCAGCCTACTGTCCATAAGGCAAACTACAACCCACGGGCCATGTGCAGCGCTCAGCCTGTTACAGAGTTTTATTGGCACACTGCCACACTCATACGCTTACATCTTATCTATGGCTGTTTTTGTGCTATGACAGCTGACTTGAGTATGGCTCACAAAGCTGAAAATACCAACACTCTGACCCTGTACAGAAAAATGTATTGACCTCTGATATAGACCAATGAGGTTCATTAAATTTTAAGACATCATTTCTAAGATACACCATTTTTATATGTGCCACATTGCATATACAATAAAAAGCACTGCTGATTAACAACTGTAAAATGCCATCAATTGAGATGCCACCAATTCTGGAGATATTGAAATTTGAACCAAACAGTGTATCTTACAATTGAAATTTAATACTTTTCAAAGTGATGTTTGAGATTGAGAGGCATTAAAATAAAACCCTGTAAATACGGATTGTCTTAAAGACAATTTTACCCTGCCCATAAGTCAACCAGTCTGTTGCTCCCCACGAAACCTATACTAACAGACCATGTGATAGGACCCAGTGAATTAGAAAAGCACTGGCTTCTTGGCATCTGTCTTCCCAAAGACTGTTGCTAATAATGAGTGGAAGAAATATTTTGGCATTGTCCTCTGATACTATTTTCAACTCCTGTTAGTATAAATATTTGGGGTGTTTCAGTACAGTGGGTTGTGTGGCAGTAAAATTGTTAGTTCTTTTATCTTAGGGCTGGCATATTTGAACAGTATGCCTGTTCTTAAAATGTGTTATGAGGCTATGTACAAAAGGCTTTGTAGTAGTTTGGAATGGGAGGCTTCTCAGATGTTGCTTATGGTTAGATTCTTACTAGTCTGAAAAATATGCTAATTATATACTAGCCTCTGAGCAGAGAGAGTGAACTCAATATTACAATTTTAAACTTCCTCAAAACAAAAACAGGACACCACGTAAGGGGAAGTAGTGATTAATGCATAAACAGTATGTGCCTCGTATGTGTACACAAATTGTCCCTTATGTCTACATACGTTTGTATATTCATATAAACTGCCCAGACAGCAAACATATTTGAAAAAATAAGCCATGACTTTGGGAGGCCAAGGTGGGTGGATCACCTGAGGTCAGGAGTTGAAGACCAGCCTGGCCAACATGGTGAAACCCTGTCTCTACTAAAAATGCAAAAATTAGCCAGGTGTGGTGACATGCCCCGTAATCCTAGCTACTGAGGAGGCTGAGGTGGGAGAATTGCTTGAATCTGGGCATCGGAGACTGCAGTGAGCCAAGATCACGTCATTGCACTCCAGCCTGGGCAACAGAGCGAGACCCCGTCTCGAAAAAAAAAATAAGTCATGGTATTTTGTTTTGTTCTGCTTTTTTTTTTTTCTTCAAAAATAGAAATTTAGGAATTCTGAGTCAGGCCACATATTATTTGGCTAATTCAGCTGCAGAGTAAGTTATTAATGACCCCCAGATGTTGTTTATAGTGATTGGAAATGTTTGGTTGTGAAATAATATTTTCTTTTTTGTGTGTGCAAGTGATATTTCTTAATATGCTCTACAGCATCTGAATAAAAGTTTGATGGCAGAACAGTTTGCATGTCCAATGTAATTGCTTCTAAGTGAGCTCTTCATTCTTCACATTTTTAGCTCTAATTGCTTTTTTTCCCATATGTCTAAAAATAAATATTTGCAAGTTTTGTGTTCTGCTACTCATTGTAATACATAAAATATTTGTACACTGAGCAAAATTCACTGATAATGTTCACAGTGGGCTATTTAGAGAAAGTAAGGTTTGTGTGTAGAGGAGATAAAATACATTTTTATTATTCAATAGTATAAATGCCAGAGAAAGCCATTTATCTTACTTTGAAAGAATATTTTTAAAGAAGTGGCCAGATATTTGACCTCTGAGATGATTTAAATAGATTCAGTTGGAAGAAAAGATCCAGTGTCAAAAATAATCGGGTTTTCTATATAATAGATATTTTAAATGATCTCTGCAAGGTGGCAATTAATTTTTTATTATCAGGGACAGAGGCCCCACTATGTAGATTATCTAAGTCCCTGACTTCCTGGGCAGACCTCCTCTCCCTTCGTTTGAGTTTATTCCAGCTCATTAGCACCTCCATCCGAAGGTTGGCAGAGAAAAGGAGAGGAAGAAAAAATGAAATCACTTCTGCTGCTCTTAATGGCCCTTGGAAAGAATGGATCATGAATGAAACAGAAACCAGTGGGAAAGATAAGCCATTGGATTTTCTGTGTTTTCTTTTATCCTTGCCTTCCTTCGTCACCACAGATAATCAATAGTTGGCTTAAAGACTTTTAAATGAACTGCACATTGGAAGGCTTTGTAGTTGTAATACCAATATCATTATTATCTTTACGTTTCCAAAGACTGGGTGGGTGCCAGAGAGGTAAATATTGCCCGGTCTCCATGTTGGCATGAGACGCGTTCCTGACCTTTTTTTTTTTTTTTCAAACCTGCCCCTCCCCCGCCCCCACCACTGTCGTCTTTTATGCACAGAAGGTAATTTTTTGTGGGTGTTCAGATACAAACATCTGCTTGACCACCCTGTCTTGTGATTATGTCTTATGATCCTGACCTGGTGATATTTTGCATTAATGAAAGTTGGCTGGTTTGGTCTTCCCCATCATATTTACTTCTTAATGTGTTGCTATATTTACAGTTCACCAAGAACAATCTGTGACAAAGATCTGCTTTTATCAGGACAGCTGCCAGATTCATACCACATCTCCAGGTTCTGTTAGACATCACAGTAAAGTAATTCTTTACTGCTTGCTTTACTTGAGCCATCTTTCTAATGTGTATTCTTGAAAGTATCCTGGCTGTATGAATCTCAAATTTCAGTCCCTTTTTTAGACCACCATGCAGCCCAGAGGTTTGGAGCTTTGTCTTGGAAGCTCCTTCCATCAATCAGAATACCAAATTTACATTGTTAGGTTCCCTGGAGGTGTTGGAGCTCTGGATTCAGCAATTATTGTGAATAAGAACCTTGCAGCTAGGGTGAGTGCCAACATTCCAAGTGCTAGCACAATGGAAAAGAGAAGTGGTTTATGTTAGAATATGGTCACATTCTTCTGATTAAACCCACTCAAAAAAGACAACATTGTAATATTTTCCAATGACTGTTTATCATGAATTACGTCAGCCTTCGTTTAAATTGCTATTATTTCTCCTTAATGCTTCTTGGTGCCTGCATAATTTACGGCACTGGCAGCCTCGGGACTATGAAATAACCTTTCACAACCACCGTACAATAGTGAAGAACATGGCGTTTTTGTTGTTAATTATTATAGGACTCCTTTAACTTTTACAAAGTGACATAAAATATTGTTGAGGCATTTATGATTCAAGCTACTTTTACATGGATCTATTTTGCTTCTGGCTAGTTCTTAACTAAAGCAATCATTTGTGGTTATTAGGCCGCCGGAGATATTATGTCAGAACTGGTTTAAGAGTATTATTATGTATCCCATGTCATACACTACATGTCAGCACTTGAGGCTGTCTTTCAATAAAAACAAATGTAATTTTAGTTTGTGCTCTTTTAGGGATTGGCCATTTATAAGCCAACCTGAGTTCATTCGAAGGTGTCCCAACCATTTAGGAGCTTGTTTCAGCCTTCCATCATACACTTTTAGTCTCTTTCCTGTGGATTTAAGACCTTTCCAAAACAAACTTTGGCAAAGGTTTAATTCAGAGTGAAGATTTGCTCCTAGGGAGCCACAGAATTAGCAAGGACTGGTTAATCGCCCAGGGCTGAGCTCGTTCTGATTCCCACATTTTGTGGGTTTTCTTACAGATTTCCTAGGCAGTGAGTCTTCTAATTGTGACCCTCCTAACTGTGACCCTCTGAAGAGAAGCGAGTCTCAGCCCATAGAAGACCCTGCCTTACATTCAAAGAGGCTACCCTAACTTTCTGGCGAGGAGTCTTGAGTAGAAGGGAGGTGGAAACAAAAAAGGATGGGAACATGTTTGAGTTTCCACAAAGCTACACTTCCAAGCAAACTTTGAATTAATATGTCACTCCCCTGGGTTCCAAATACTATGCATATTTTCCAGTCCTTGCTTATTTAAAGCAAGAAAGGAAGGGCGTGCCAGAAAGTTTTACAAAGAATGAAAACACATTAATGACTCATGTGAACAATTACTGATTTTCTTAACATATAATTTCTTAATTACTGTCAACCAAAATAATTTGCATGATAATATTTTTCCTCCCCTCCCCCATCTGTGTTTAAAAGGCATAAAATAATGATCAAAGAGTCTGTTTGATCAATAGTCGGGAAATTTAACTCCTTAATTCTTAGTGGATTGATGGGACTTTGACATCGGATATTCTTCAGAATAATCACCTCCAACACAATGGGCAAAATGAGCTCTCCAGTAAAACAAACAGCTTTGAAAAGAGCTCAGGGGCATTTTCTTTAGCTTGAATTCAAGGAGGAAATTGTGACTTTTATGAAACTTGCATAAATTTACATGTATCCTGTCAGAGTTTTAAAATTAGACAACATGCCTGAATGCCCTGGAAATGAGTCTGCCATCCAGATTTAGAGTGCTTTTAGCTTTTTTAATTAAAGACATTTCACAAGCCAACGCCAGAGAAGAGAATTAAGCATTACATAAGAACATAGCAAAGTTTGAGATTTAATGGGTGAATATTACGAACTTATAAAGGAGATAAAAAGTGTGAAAGGAGCGGTTATTGGGAGTTTTCTACATTTTGTTAAGTGTAAAAAATGGAAAAAATGAAAAGGCCAAGCTGCCATTTGCTGTAGCCCTCGTTCTGGAACTGGTTCAAAGCTCACAGAACTGACTGTGGGACTGTGATGCTTGTTAATGAGCATTTGTGGCAGTGCACTGGGATCATGGGTTTGTCACATGAATATATATATATATATATATATATATATATATATATATATCTCAGAAGATAGAAGACAAAAGTTGTTGCTGCAGTGTGATTGTGAGAAACACAAAACAATCATCCTGAAGACTGCATTTACATAGAGCTCAGTGCCAAGTCCCACAAATACTCACTCTGGATTCTTTAATAACTGCTGATACATAGTTATCGAAAATTGTTTTTAGCTGCACATGCTATACCATTTAAAAAACTTAGACTAAATACTGTCAGCTCTTGTTTGCTTTCCTAGCATGTTATTCATTTATTGAGAAATTTGGAATGTAAAACATCTGGGAATAACTTGGTGTGTGCAAAGGCATCTTTAAAATGTGTATATTTCAGAACTTCTTTGGAGTATTTATTTAGAAATATGGGAAAATTCTGTAAACATGTTCTGGAATATATGTAGCATTTGAATATGAAAGAGGAAGTTGGCATAATTGAAAACCTAAATTCATCTTCTATAAATATTACTCTGTCAGAGGAATGGGTTTCTGAAATTAGAGAATCCAGATTATGGTCAGCGATATTTACCAAGAAGTATCTCCTTTTGCCCTGGACAGAATGTGTGAACCAGAAACATCCATTCTGGCCCTTTCTGGGGTGTAATGTGGTCGTGTGACAATAACTTGGTTTTTTCTACAACAATGTTTATGTCTAAATAAAGAAGTTAATTTATTTCAGCGTTTCAAGGCATGAGTTGGAGCTGTGCAAACCCAATTGCTTAGAGTACAACCACTGTGGTGTTAATAGCTCCCTGGTTTGGTTCAACAGTTAGTCCATATATTTTATAGCCGGGTCTTTAAGAAACCAGTGCCATCACCACAATCATAGCAACTGGGAGATGACACAACATGGAAAGGAGTCAGAGAGGAGAATTTGTTAATGATTTATCAATTTTCTCCTTTTGGGAAAAGTAAATGTAATACCGAATATCACATAACTGTTTTTACTTCTTCTAAATTTCACATTTTGTAACCATTTTAGTAGCTTTAAGCCCTGGCACTGTCCCCCTGTCCCATGTTCTCTTCTTTACTGAACTACAATTCATATAAGTGGAGCTCATACAATGAAGTTTGCCCATATAGTCCAGTGGGCTGGACTGGATAAACTCTAACGTCCTCCAAACACCACTTTCTGGAGATTGCAAAACCCATGTGAGCAATGAGGTTCTCTAGATGGTGTGCGGATTTCCAGTTAAGGGGCACTCTTACTGTAACCACTGTGGCCATGCCATCCTTTGGAAAACCTTACCCATTTACTTGTGTCTCACAGCTGCCCTCCTTTTTGATCCTGATAGAAGCAGGAGGAAGATAAGGGGGAAGGTCCCTGGAGAATCTCCCACTGACCTGTGCACTGGGAGGATGGGGTGGAGCCTTGGGAATTTCACACCTTTCGCAGGAAAGAGGAGCTGGCCCTCTCCTGTTCCTGGGTGGTAACCTGGGATTCAGTCGGTGAGGTAGAGAGCTTGTTAACAAGACTCCATCTCACTTTGCTGTGTTGCTTTTCCTTTTTCCTTTTTGCACAACAAATTCCACTCACCCTTCTATGTGTCCACAAGCCTAGTCCTTCCTGGTCATGTGACAGGAACCCAGTTTTTTTCTACAACAATCCCTCATTTGTGACACTGGCTGTGGATTTCCTATCATTAGAGGGAGATCATCAAAGGAATATTAAAATTAATGTGCTTTCCTTGAGATATTCCCTGGGTCTTGTCTTGTAAAAAACTGAAATGACAGAAAAGAACTGGAAGCAAAATGTAAATTGAAAACAAACCAAAAAAAATCTCCTCATTGTGAACGATTCACAGAGCTCTCCTTTAACTGGAGTACAAGGTTAAATTTGCTCATTGATCAGGGCAGCAGAACCCGTGGTGCCCGTGTTAACGAACTTCCCATCTGTTTTCTTACGAGTTTTGATAAGGTCTTTAGTCAATGCTGGAAACAAGTCAAAGAAACATATCTCTGTGTTTGTCTCTTTGCCCTGCTTGGACTTTCCACACACTGGAGCAAGTCTCCAGCCCCTTTCCCAATACCTAGTGGATGTGGCAGATGATCAGTCATTCAGAGAAGACTGTTTCACACCCCTTACTATGAACAATTCTTATCTGTTCATTAAAGTAACACTTCTCTGTGGACGTGCTTGGTTAGCAAATAGCTGAATGTCTGAAAGTAACAAAATGCTTACTAGAATATTCATCAACTCAGACTTCTTGTGCATTTGCTCCTTAGATTTAGGGCAAGGCACTCTTCCCCATATTGCCTCCTTTGGCCATCATCATTCATAGTATATTAACTGAGTGGGCCTGAAAGAAGTATTGTTATCTTGAGAGCTCCATGTATTTGCATGTATGACACAGAATCCTTTTGAGTCTTCTCACACCAACTGAACCAAATCCTATATTTATGCACATGTGAGCAGGTCACTGCCACATTTTGAGTCATATTCTTGTACCAGAAGAATAAAGTACTGCAGAGCTGAAGGATTTGGTCAGTGAAAGGTTGATTTGGAAAGTGGAAGAGGATAAGGAATTTAAAGCAGACTGTCAAGTCAGAAACAACAGACTCTTGGTGAGATTAGGAAAGAAAAAAGGAAGTGGGGGAATACATAGCTGCAACCTTGATTTAAAAGACAAGTAGCGATGTGATATTAATCAAGCAAAAGGAAGCCTTACTTATAAAATGAGTAAGAATGGCACTTTTTAAGAGAGCTATTTCTGATCTCCAAATCAAGCCACAAATATTTATTGAATAGTGACTGTTCTGCCCTGAACTGTGCCCTAGGCACATTGAAGGACACAGACTGTTTGGGAGACTAAGTAAAGTAGTCGTTATGATCAGGGTCACATACGTGTAGATAAAGTGGTGTTCCCTTTGAGTCTTGGATACCGATAGGCTTCTGTATCCACACAAAGATATGGAAAACTCTGATTTAAGTGCCTGCCCCCTCTGCAGCTTCACTTTCAAGCCTTGATTTCCCTAGTTTTAAAATGGGGATGATAATCCTCTCAGCACAGAGTGCCTTATTCATCCATCCATCTGTACTTCTTTCTGTCAAGGCCATCGTTCATCAATTCAACAAATATTTAGGGATAACTTATTATGTACCAGATAATCCATGAGGCCCTGATTAAACCTTATGGAATTAAATCGACATGACTCATCTGCCCTAATTCTAGAGCCTGGGAATGTGACTAGTAAGCAAGTAAATAGATACATTTATATTTGTACACATACACACAAAGAGAAATATAGAACTTAAGAGACTCCTAATTTTGACTAATACAACACCTGTTGTCTTTGTAGCAGCCAGTGATTACTGCACATGCTCAATTCTTGAGTTTAATGGTAACACAACCACTCCTTTTTCTTTGAGGCTTATTTCAGAAACCAGAGTGGAAGGGAACCTTTCTGTTGAGTTTATAATAGCAATTACAAGCTGATAAGGGCAAACCATTCATCAAAGGATCATACCTCGGGACTTTATCTCTTTGGGTCAAATGTTTCCTGATTGATATTGACTACCATATCTTAAGCAGCTTTGAACAGATAAGAAGCTAGGAAAGAAATTCCTTTGAAGGAGATTTGACAAAATTATATTTTCTGATTTTTTTTTCTTTCGGGAGGCAGATTAACTTCCCATTGTTCTTACTAAGAAGTACAAAGTTACCAAACCAATGAACTGAAGAAAATCTAGAAAAGTTTTCACGGGTAGATATTGATTGAGTTTCCACTAGAGACGAATGATCATCTGTATTGTTATTCTTTTCGGGTTCTGAAATGGCTTGGAAAGAACTTTTAAAATATCGAGAATGGCTCTGTACCAAAGACACTTAGGAATAGACAAGTATCTAAGAAAAGATAGCTACTTGATTACTACATATAAGTGCCCTACTGGAAGCAGTGCTATAAGTAAAAGTCTTGCAGGTTAAGTATAATTCGTTTTCGTAGAACATTATTTGTAGAAGCAATGTTTTAAAAGGTGGGGAGGGTAGGTTTCTCACCATGGACCTGATAGCCAGCTTTTAATTGGAATGGCCATAAACATTGTAATTAATCAACTATGTACTCAATTATAAAGTATATAATTGCATTCTGAACAGTAAAAAGCTTCCGAAAGTGTATATAAATCAACTAAACTGGGCAATACAGTAACTGATCACATAAAATTATATTTAATGAGATGTGTCATCTATCACAGTGTTTTCCACACAGTTCTTATCTTACATCTTTGTGATTCATTTGTGCTTTATTTTTATTGCAACAAATCTCACAGTAAAGAAACCTCTTTATCTTGGCCATAGAATTCAGTGACATTACTTTGGGCAGATTTATAATGGGTATCTTTAAAGAGAGTTTGGAGACGGGGAGATGTGGGGTCATTTCTAATTGGCTTTCTGGAAAGGTGATCTGGATGTGTCTGTCTGCCTTTACTTATTATAAATTTCCCTATCACAAGCTTGGCTATTTGTACTTAACTTGTGGTCATGCTACTATATCCACAGTTGGCATCTGTTGCCTGGAAATTAGCTAGATGACCTACGTTTGTGTGCTTCCTGCGATAGCTGCTAGGTGTTACAAAAGAGGTGTAATTAGAAAAACATGCTAAATACAAATCACTCTTGATCAAGTCACTGCATGTTGAGAAGTATAGGTATAACTTGTGACCATATCATAGCTCCTTTATTTATGTAGTTTCTTCACATTTTATGTGTACAATCAAGCATGCCTGCTGACCAAGGCCAGAGGTGGAGTGGAAGCGAAAAAAAAAAAAAAAAAAAGCTTATTTGCATTTTTAACTCTGGCAAATTGGAAAGATTTCCAAAATATTTTGATAAATATATTCCAAAATGGCTTTCACTGAGTGGAAGTTCAAAAGGTGTTCGTATCTGGTGAATACACACCAAAGACCTTGCAAATTCTGGCACATGCCTTGGGATGGATAATAAAGAAATAGCTGAGTAACTGCTACAGCTGTTAGCTGGCTTTCTAATAAGGTGGTGATACCACTCATTTACCACCCTCTTTCACTCTTTCAGTCGGGTTCAGATTCCAAGTGCCTTTTCCATGAGTGGAGTTAGATGCATGCTGAGTACTTATACCCAAGCCTTGTTGCAAGAAACACAACCATATGAAACAACTGACCAGGGCAGAACTGCCAAATGGAGTGAGCTGAAAACCTTCTCTTCCATCATCCTGAGAGCTCATGTGGTTATTTTGATCCCCCAGTTTCCTGTATTACCTATTAGCAGATATGTGTGGTGTGGGCAATGAGTGTGCTCATTTATTTATGTGTCCAACTGACATTTATTGATTACCAACTATGTAATTGTGTGTAGCCCCATGTGAGGATATAGGACTAGTACAATAAAGAACACAATCCAGTGCTAACCTTTGAGGCACTCACATTCTAGTGGTGGGGGACCCTTGACTTAAGCAATTGTAACAGTATTTAAGTACTCCAATAGAGCTAAATGAATCCTTCTTGTCAGATTCCGTAGATAAAGGAATACTTTTTTAAAAAAATTATATTTATTTCCTTGAATATTTTACTGGAACTAATGTAACTGACAGACTGGCAAGTTGTACAAGTGACTAATATATTAATCCCACTCTTCCCTTCTGCCTTGTGGGATCGTCAAGTTGAGTCAGGGCTTAAAAATGGAGCTTGATGAGATTTGCTCTAAATATGTTGACTAACACCACTTTAACCCCTAAACATCACATGCAAATTGATTATGTCTCTTTCACTCCTTTTAAAGACCCAAAGATGCACCTAGTTAATAACATGCTCTATGTCCTTAATAAAGAGCAGGCTAATTAAAAATTGTTTGCTGGCTGAAAATGAATAAATGAAGAGTCATATATTAAAATAGGCAACTTCAGCCTGCAGAAGGAGCCAAATAAAAGCTAGTGGGGAATGAAAGGAATATTTTGAGCCTTTTCCACCAAAGATGAAACATATGCATGACAAGTTGTATCACAGTGACAAGGTCCTGGGGTAAGAAGGCTCTTGACAGGACGGGCAGCCAGGGTTAGTTTCACCACCTCCATGATACAAAAGGAAACAGTCTTGTTTTCCTCTCTTTCTTCCTCCATCTCTCCTAGTCCTTCCTATCTGTCAAGCCCCATCTGGCCACAGCTCCACACCAGCCTCCTTGAATCTGTCCAACTCCTGGAGGCCTGCAACATGAAAAGTCTTCACTGTAGTGATGCATTAGCCTCACAGTATCTCCTTTTTTTTTTTTTTTTTTTTTTTTTTTTTTTTTTTTTTTTTGAGACTGAGTCTTGCTCTGTCGCTCAGGCTGGAGTGCAGTGGCACAATCTCGGCTCACTGCAAGCTCCATCTCTCGGGTTCAAGCGATTCTCCTGCCTCAGCCTCCCAAGTAGCTGGGACTGCAGGAGCCCACCACCATGCCTGGCTAATTTTTTTGTATTTTTTTGTAGTAGAGACGGGGTTTCACCATGTTAGCCAGGATCATCTCAATCTCCTGACCTGGTGATCTGCCCACTTCGGCCTCCCAAAGTGCTGGGATTACAGGTGTGAGCCATCGCCACCTCACAGTATCTCTTAAGAATAAAATGGTCCTTCCCTTGTGCTTTGTACAGCCGGGCAGTATGCACCTTTTTTAACTTCTTGCACTCGTTTCTTTCTCCCTTAAATATGAAACCCTGTGTATGTCCTTCCCAGAAAAGAAACCCCCTTATCATTGCCTCACCCCTCAGTCTGGCCAATTTCTCCTTCTATTCTGGAGATCTCACCTTAAACATCACTTCCTCAAAGAGGTCTTCCCTGACATTCCAGTGAGTTCAGCACCCTTGTGATGTTTCTTACTCTCACCCTTTCATAACACTGATCCAGCTCACCTTGCTGCATCTCTCTTTTCCATGCCAAAACCTCAGCTTTATGGGAGGAAGGAGAAAGGGCATCCTGGAAACGCCTTGTCCCTGGTGTGCATCTGCTTATCCTAGGTAGCCAGTGAATGTTGAAGGGATGGATGAGTTAACTCTAAGTCACAGAAAACACACTTGATTCTGCGTCCCTGGAAAACAAGAATCCTATCTCATATTTCTTTGGTTTTGGTCACAATGCTATTTGGTGCCCAAGAAATATTTATTGAAAATAATTCTTAGATCTGTTGTGATATTTATCTCAGCTAGGAATGAGAAGAGTTTCCTTTAATGATGTGGGGGATAGGGAGAAGAATGAACGAGCTTGGGCTTGTTTGCTTTCTTAGTTTGAAGCAGTTACGCAAGTACAAAAATACTAGTTTGTAGTATTGAGTGAGCAATCCTGTGTTAAGTGTGGGCCTGTTGTCACTGCATTCTGCTTTTCAGCCTCTCTCCTTCCAGGCCACTTTGTCTCAGGGAACAAAGTCTGTTCCCCTGTAGGGTATTGAGGCCCACTGCTTTGTAGAGGCAGGGGACGCAGCAACAAGAAGATGAACTCTGGATCTCAGTCTGCACTCATTGTCACTCACCACCTGTGTGCTCCTGGGCAATGACTCACCCTCTCTCAGCCTCAGTTTCCTCATTTCTAAATTGACAATCATGATACTACTCACTTCAAGGGGATATATTATATATATGAGGATTAAATGAAGTGCTGCACATAAAGCTCTTAGAAGGGGCTGGGCATGGTGACTCATGCCTGTAATCCTAGCACTTTGGGAGGACGAGGCGGATGGATCACTTAAGGTCAGGAGTTTGAGACCAGCCTGGCCAACATGGCGAAATCCTGTCTCTACTAAAAATACAAAAATTAGCCGTGCATGGTGGCGCATGCCTGTAATCCCAGCTACTTGGGAGGCTGAGGCAGGAGAATCACTTGAACCCAGGAGATGTTGCAGTGAGCTGAGATCACGCCACTGCGCTCCAGCCTGGGCAACAGAGCAAGACTCTGTCTCAAAAAAAAAAAAAAAAAAGCTCATAGAAGTACAGTACCTGGCATAAAATATTTGCAAGAGATTTACAATACGCACCACAGCTAACCTAAATCAAGGGAGATCTGCTCGCCTCCATCTGCTCTCCAAAACTGTTCGTGGGACACTTTGAGGTGGCAGTGAGTGCACAGAGAGGCCTAGGCTTTAGAATATCCAGAATATTGCAGAGCCACACTATTCTCACCTCCATTTTTTTATGTTCCGCCTCCTGTCCTGCAGCCCTAACCCTTATCCATGTCCACGTCATAGGGACTGCTCCAGTTCCGGGTATGCCATGCCTTCTCTTTATCTCTACTGCTCTCCAAAAGTCAGCTTGGAAGTTGAGAATTATATCTATCTATGTAGTATATTTTGTTCTCTGATAACAACTTATTTTTTTCCTGTGGCAGAGCAATTATGCTCAGTATTTTTCCAAGTTAATTGCATAGAGAAGACATTGTCTTTGATTGGAATTAACCAAAATGAGAATATATAGCTAAGAAAGAGTAGGAAGACAATATTGGATCTAAGGCCAAGAATTAATAATTGTAGTAGCTAGTGCTTATATACTACTTATTATGTGCCAGGCACTGATCTGAGCTCTGAATCATTTCCCCTAATTTACAGATGAGGAAACTGGTTGTCTGTAGGAACCACAGAGTGGAAAGAGTATATAATCAGCCTAGTTTTGCCTGTAGGACTCCATCCTCATGGACATTTGTGTTGCTTCACTTAATATCCAGTAAAAGAGGGAGATCACCTCGTAACAAATTCTGCCCTTATTTAGTTCAGATTTTCGACTCAATGTATCAAAGTCAATATTAATGGACTCAATTAATCATGACATTGAAATATCAAAAACAAAGTGTGAGGAAAACACACTGTAAAGTGAAATCTATGTCTCCTTTAACGATGTGGGGGTAAGACGTACACAGAGCGTTTGGCTTTAGCAGAAATCTTAGTCTTTGATGTGGAAAATAGAAAAGTTCTTGTTGTTTCCATTTGGGTCAGAGAAAGAGATGATCGCCCTATGATAAGTTTATTGGGTTCTAAAGCTAGATGTAATAATTGACGAGCCACAAGCTGTCCTGCCCTGAGGATATGCAAGTATGAAATACACATGTCAGGAAAAATGCAGGGTTTTTCTTTTCTTTTTCTTTTTCTTTTTTTTTTTGAGACAGAATTTCACTCTTTGTTGCCCAGGCTGGAGTACAGTCACGTGATCTCGGCTCACGGCAACTTCCGCCTCCTGGGTTCAAGCGATTCTCCTGTCTCAGCCTCCCGAGTAGCTGGGATTATAGGCACCTGCTATCACGCCCAGCTAATTTTTGTATTTTTAGTAGAGATGGGGGTTTCACCATGTTGGCCAGGCTGGTCTGGAACTCCTGACCTCAGGTGATCCACCTGCCTCGGCCTCCCAAAGTGCTGGGATTACAGGCGTGAGCCACCACGCCCGGCCAATGCAGGTATTTTAAGTAAGGAACCGCACAACAGGAAAAGCAGAATATATTTAATAAGACAAATCCCAGTTAGCCTAAGAGTGAGGATTTGTCATAAGACAGGGCTGCTTACATGGATGAGTGGGGGGCTGAAGATGGAAGATCTAAGACAAATAACTGTAAGTAAACAATTTTTGGTGAATCATCTTACTCCTTAACAGAAGCCAGCAACCCGTAGTGGCCTTCTTCTGGATAGCTGCTTAAGGAGGGAAATATTTTAAGTGTGGCAATGTCCTCAGTTTTAAACAAATTTTCCCCATTTTTGAAAATGATCACACAATTAATGCCTCTTGCATGTATTCAACAATAGTTGCCTAGCAACCACGAAGAAGTGTTTTTGGAGCGCAAAGGGTCTAAAAATGAATGAAGAACAAATACAGTACAACTTGCAGCTGAAAATGACCGATTTTCTGATATCAGTTTCAAAGTACATCCCCCAGGAATCAGGCAAGGGCTATGCATCTTTAAGAGTAAAGAGGTTTGAGCTGGGTGCGGTGGCTCACACCTGTAATCCCAGCACTTTGTGAGGCCAAGGCAGGTGGATCACGAGGTCAGGAGATCGAGACCATCCTGGCCAACATGGTGAAACCCCATCTCTACTAAAAATACAAAAATTAGCCTGTCACGGTGGTGGATGCCTGTAATCCGAGTTACTCGGGAGGCTGTGGCAGGAGAGTCACTTGAACCCAGGAGGCGGAGGTTGCAGTAAGCCACGACCATGCCATTGCACTCCAGCCTGCATGACAGAGCGAGACTCCGTCTCAAAAAAAGAGAGTAAATCTGATCTGGCATCTTTAGAGACCCACTGAAATGTCCTATTTGTCTTGGACACAGACAAAGAGGAAGAAAAGTCTAAACTACAAGAAGGACCTCTTAAGTGTAGATTGGTCCACTTTTCTGCCTTCCAGCAGGACTGCTTTCCAGCTAATCCCAAATGGTTGTGTAACTAATGGAGTTTTGAAAAACTCTTAAGAAGGAGGATTATAACACCTTCTTTGGTAACTCTCTTTGGGATTTTGCAGCTTTTGGACTGAGACCACTTGGTAAAGACCATGGGTTAATCAAGGAACTAACCTCTTCACTGTAGGTAACTGACTTATACCATTGGTTGGCTTTCACAGTCAGCTTATTTGAAATGAAAAGACCTGAGAGATCTTTCAGATGAGAAGTCACAAGCTCAGGTGCCCAGAGTTGTCAGCAAAGACCCTAGCAGAAGAAGGGCAGTTGAAGCCTGTAAGAAATCAGGAAGCAGGAAACACCCATGCACGGTCTAAAGGAGCAGCTGCTTTTCAGCTCCAGTCTTCACTGTGTTGTAGGAATATGAGCCCAGAGTTGCCAGATCTCTCAACTCCTTAAGAAAAGCTAGATATACCTATTTTTCTGTGAAAACCTCATGATTTTCAATTGATGATAAGAAAAAATCATGCGAGCTAAACAAGCTATACCACTGGACAGATTTGGTCCAGGGACTGCCAGTTTATGACCTCCTCTCTTGTCTAATGAGCCCCTCATTTTACAGATGAGGGAACTGAGGCCTGGTAATAAGGATACTTATTCAAAATCAGTGAAAATGTAGCCGGGCGCAGTGGTGTGTGCCTGTAGCCCCAGCTAATCTGGAGGCTGAGGTGGTAAGATCGCTAGTGGCCAGCCAGGGCAACAAAGTGTAAGACTCTGTCTCTAAAAATATAAAAATAAAAAAGTAGTCAGGTGTGGTGGCACACACCTATAGTCCCAGTTACTTGGAAGGCTGAGGTCGGAGGATTGCTTGAGCCCAGGAGTTCAAGGTTACAGTAAGTTTTGATCACACCACTGCACACTCCAGCCTCAGCAATAAAGTGAGACCCTGACTCTGTAAATAAATCAATGAAAACATGAACTATTTAATGTCAGGAACTATATTGTCTTCTCTGTGCTACCCCAACTGGACTAGCACAGTGTCAGACATCTGATGGCAGTTTAATATTTAGGCCGGGTGTGGTGAGTCACGCCTGTAATCCAGCATTTTGGGAGGCTGAGGCGGCAGATCACGAGGTCAAGAGTTTGAGACCAGCCTGGCCAACATGGTGAAACCCTGTCTCTACTAAGAATACAAAAATTAGCCGGGCGTGGTGATGGGCGCCTGTAATCCCAGCTGCTCGGGAGGCTGAGGCAGGAGAATCGCTTGAACCCAGGAGGTGGAGGTTGCAGTGAGCCAAGATCGTGCCACTGCACTCCAGCCTGGGTGACAGAGCAAGACTCCATCTCGGAAAATAAATAAATAATAAATAAATATTGGATCGGTGAATATTGGATGTTAGAAACAAAACCAGGACTTGGTTTGGCCAGGACAAATCAGAACCTTAAATGTTTCATCTTAAATGACTCCTTTCTTTCCTTTTCTCCTAAGTGACCTACCCTAACTTCTATATAGGTAGAATTTGGTCTCCTATTTTGCCACCTAGGGGCTTGCTTAAAGTGAGATTTGATTAATAGGAATGTTCTACTGAAAACGCGAGAGCAAAAGCCTTCAACCCTCTATGGGGCCCAACCTTCCTGAAAGATAAGTTTGTCTATACTGGGAACCCTACGACCAACAGGTTGCCATTCTTCTTGGCCTACCAGATTAAATTCTGTTCAATTTGTTTTCTATTTATTGAGTTCCTGCAATGTGCTGAGGCTTGTGTATGGTGATTTCTAGATACAGGGGATTCCAATGATTCCAATGAGCCTCGGGACTTAAGCATTGAATGGGGATTCTCCAAGCACATTTCAGAAACATTTAATGATTAATTTAGAGAATAAGGACACTTGGCATAGTCTCTCTCTCTCTCTGTCTGTCACTCTCTCGCGTGCACTGTCTCTCATCCTGTTGAGGCACACTTTACTTTGTGGTAATTTCCTTTCTTCAGTTTTTGCCTTGAGATTTAAAGTTGCCTGAAACACAGAATCAATTATCACCAAGATAAGTTCTTCCTTTTGACAACCCAGTTATTGCCTCTATATTGGAAGACTTGTCAGCATAGACAACAGTTCAGGCTCTAAGGAAGTATACCAGATGCCTTTTGTCAAATAAGTAGCTTTCCTGCACTTATCTTTCTTCCTGGGCTCTACAAGGTGCTTACCTCTGTGCTAAGGGCCCAGGTGTTTCCAAAATGTCAGTAACTCTCCAACCAGCAAACTGCTGGTCTCTTGAAATGCTTGAAATGATGTATTAATATTACTTCCACGTGTCCGTGCATATAATAGTGATAATAATGGTATTCACCATTTATTAGTGTCTTCAGTGTGCCAAATAATGTGCAAGCCATGTTGTCTAATGTTACCTCATTGATACTCCTTACCCATCATAATCTTTCAAGATGGGCATATAATTCTCTTGACGAACGGTTAAATTCAGCCCGGAGAGAGATGATGACTTGCCCGAGGTCATATAGTTGCCTTATGTATAAAGTGAATACAGAGTTGCCTGCTCTCAAAGCCCGTGCCCTCTCTACTTTCTTATGAAACTTGGGTCTCCAACAGCAATTTTGCCAACTTCACCAGTGCTGTGATGATGGAAGGAAAGATGACATATCTTTTTTCAGAAGGAAACTCAAGGGGCCATTTTAAATGGAGCGGATGGTTTTGCATGAGGCTATGTTTAATTTCGGGATGTCGTCCTTTTCTGGTGAAGATAATCAGACGTAATGTCATCTGCAACCTCTCTGTGTGCATGATTTCATAAAACTGGTATAGCAGTTTATTATTATAAAATTAGTATAGCATAGAACAAACCTGGGATGCAAGCCAGATGAAATAGACAATGAATAGTTATATAAGGTTTTGGAAGCACATGTAGTAGAACACAAGCTCACTGTATTTTCTTCTCAATTGTCTGCTGTTTGTTAATGTTTCCTTTTCAACATGATTGCATCTCAGTTTAATAGCACTTGCCATCTCAGGCTTTATGGTGCCAGGCCTGACATAGTTACATCCCCTCTGTGCTAAAAATATTGCATGTATATATTTAACCGCAGCTGACATGTTTAGCTAATGGGTTACTCAGGAGCTATGCGCTTATATAATTAAGTGATATATGTAATTTTGTGTTAACACATTTGCCATGTGTGTTTCCCTGGTGATTGCAACGCTTTATTCTGTGTAAAGTGTGACATTTTAATTCCCGCTGAACAATTTCCTACCTTGATTTGCCTTGTTTTTGTGGCAGGGGATTATTTTGCAATCAAGATAAAAGCATTATTTATGAAATTTCTAGGCTATCCCATTACTGGGAACTTTGAACTGCAGATCAATCTCCTATTTTATTGATCTTTGTTAAAAATCTTTATTGGAATTTAAATGTAATCTCTACATTACAGATTTGCTCAGACTTTCATCGGTAGGCACATTTTTTTAGGCAGCTCTGCAGAGATGGGGTTCCTTAAAAAAGGAATCCTCACCAGGCAGTCTGCCATCTTCCCCAGGGAAATTTTTTCTCCTAGGTGTTGCTGACTTTTTCTTGTTGTAGGGGCTCTCTAGGAGAGCCAGTAGCCCGGTGGGCTTGAGAGTCTTGGCAAAACAGGTGAGATCTGTGTGTCCACAGACAAGGTGGGTTTCTGTTAGGTATTTAGGTGTTTGACAATAGCTGGGTCTCAGAGTTACACAGTGGGCATTACAATGTGGGTGTATATGTCTTCCCCTTATTAATGGTGATGGTGACCTAGGGAAGGTGCTGGAGATAGGAAGGTGAACCATCAAGGATAGCCTAGCCACCTGGCCCTCTTTAGCGGCATTTATGTTCTCCAGTGGGATGAGCAGTCAGTGCAGTTTAACAAACATTTACCAGACTCTACTAAGTAGTACCAGACACTGATTTCAAAACATGACACAGAGGGAGGCATTTGTTTAGTAAACGTTTATTGAACACCTACTATAATGATGCTACAGTGATCAAGACCAACATAATCTCTTTAGACTGTGGTAAGGTACACTAACCAGATGATTTCAGTACAGGGTGCCAGGTGCCAGGATCAAAGCATGCTTGTTTTTTGCATTTTTTCAAATTTGTTATTAATTATTTTAAGACGGAGTCTCACTCATTGCCCAGGCTGGAGTGCAGTGGCACAGTCTTAGCTCACTGCAACCTCCACCTCATGGGTTTAAGTGATTCTCCTGTCCCAGCCTCCCGAGTAGCTGCGATCACAGGCGTCTGCCACCATGCCCAGCTAATTTTTGTATTTTTTAGTAGGGACGGGGTTTCACCATGTTGGCCAGGCTGGTCTCAGTGTGAGCCACCACGACCAACCCAAAGCATACTTTGTACAGGTATTGACAAGGGTTTTCTCACCCAGCTGGAGATGAGGGAGAGTAAGGAAGCTTTTTGTTTTGTTTTGTTTTGTTTTGGCTGGGGGTGGAGACAGAGTCTCGATCTTGTCACCCAGGCTGGAGTGCAGTGGCACGATCTCGGCTCACTTCATGTTCTGCCTCCCACGGTCAAGCAATTCTCCTGCCTCAGCCTCCCAAGTAGGTGGGATTACAGGCGCCCGCCACCATGCCCATGTAATTTTTGTGTTTTTAGTAGAGACGCGGTTTCACTGTGTTGGCCAGGCTGGTCTTGAACTCCTGACCTGAGGTGATCCACCCACCTCAGCCTCCCAAAGTGCTGGGATTACGGGCGCGAGCCACTGCACCTGGCCAAGGAAGCTTTTAAGCGAGGAGTTAGGGCAGGAGGGAGAAAAGCTAAAAAAGAAAAGGTATCGATGTCAGAGGAAGCCCAGGAACAAAGGCACACAGGTATAAAGCTGTGTAATGTGCTTGGGACCTCTGAGGCATGAGTTACTGCTAGAAGGTGAGGACGATGCTCCCTAGCACAGTGGCCTGTGGTCCATTTCTTCTTGATCCCAGAGGTCCTGAGTTCCCAAAGCCCTTCCTCACCCCCAGGAGGGCTCCTTTGTTTTTTCAGCCCAGCCTAGCAAGCAGGTGGCGGTTGTTGACGCCCAATGCCAGAGCACTTTCCTGATGGCTTTGCAAGTGTTTTGCTGCTAGTACCTCACATTTGGGTCTGAGCAAACAGCTGGGAGTATGGTGCACAGAAGTCCTGCCAGAAGGACCTGCGCTTCATGCACTCCAAGTGAGCTTTCTTGCTTGTATGTTTTGGCATATGAACACAGTGGGAATGTCCTTGTCAGCTCCCATTTGACTTTATTAATTACAGTTCCTTGGAAAGTGTGTTTCAGTAACATGGTCTTGGGATGACAGGGCTCACCCTGCAGAGACCCAAATGGAGGTATTCAGGGCCCATTGAAAAACCATCTGCTGCCAAGGCTCTGCTGCTGATCTCATGCAACAGAAACCAGAGTCTGTCGCAGCTCTGCTACTCACTGGGTGACTCTGGGCGAGTGGCAGGCTCTCTGGTCCTGTCTTTTCTGATGTGGAGAATGACTAGCTGGTGCCCGAGGTTTTCCTAAAGCTATGGAATTCCATCATTTTATAAATGACTCCAATGACGAATCCTACTGGCATAACATCTATGGTTTCACCAACTCTTAGCAGTGATCTTTGGTTCCAGATTCATGTGAAAAGCCAAGAACCGCTTTCCACAATTTGTCTTGTCATGACTCTCCGGCTCCATATTTTAAGAAGCAGTCTACACTAGCCCTTGAATCTAGACTCTAATTTTTTAAGATACAAAGGAAATCATTAAGCCCCAGAATATTAGTAGAATATACGGCAATATGGATCAAGTAATCCAAAGTATTAGCAATGTTGCAAGAGGCTGTCACCTAGCAGCTCTGTATTATGTTTCCAGGCCCTCCCCCACTCATTTCCCTGAGCCCCGAGGCTGTGGTTAATAACGTCAAAAGAATGTTTTAAAATTGCCCTTCTGTTGATTCCAGAGAGTTAGGGCCCTCACATGGTTAGAGTCCTGGGCTAAGAGTCAAATTCTAAATTTAATTCCAGCCTCTATGAACATCTTAGTCCCATATTTCCTCACCATTTAGAGATGTTTCAGTTTTCCCATCTGCGAAATCGGCATAAGATGCCTTGCTCCACAGAAATACTTGTCAACAGCTTTGCCGTACACAAAGATTGGCATTGTATTGGGGCAAAATATCATTTTTCATTCCATAATAGGAATTAAACAAAAGCCCTTTGAGAACGCACCTTGTGTAAACGCCCTGTGCTTAAAAGCCTGTGAATTTCAGAGGTCAGCAAAAACCGCCCCCCTTCTTTATTATTTTTCTTAAAGCTAAACAAGGGTAACTAGGGAATTCATTTTGGAATATAAAGACATGAAAGAAAGGGTATTTCAGCTTGCACAATAGTACAAAGAAGAACAAGAGTTGTCATGTTTTGCTAAAGAACTCCCAGCTGTTTAATTTTATAGTAAAATTACTTTAAGAACTTTGCTAATTCAAAGACAAAATCAAACAACTGTTGTTGCAAAACTGAACTTCCACATTTGAGTGGAAAAGCCAATTTGAGATTAATCTGCCCCTAAAATCATATTATAAAAATACAGAGCATTTCTGTAATGCTGGTTGGAGGAGTGGCTTTTATCTGAAGAGAAGACACATAAAAGAGAAAAATGGTACATTTACTGGTAGTAAGATTTAAAAAAGTAGTTTATGTTCTCATGTACTTTGCCCTGACTTCTCCCCCAGCTTTCTCTTAAGCTCTTCAGTCTGTTTTAATACCAGGTTTGTTTGCTTTCTGGGGATGGGCCTGTTAGGCAGGAAATTGTTGAAAGGCATACAGCAGAAATTTTAAATGGTGTTTTTAAAAGATAAATACCCAATTGGGTAACTGACTATTAAATTTGGAGTTCAGAATTTTTTAAAATTTTATTTTTAGACAATATAGAAAGATAAATTCTGTACCTATACTTGGTTCTATAAGTCCCACATGTTGCCTATTGTCAGAAACAAACTGTTCCTTATTTAAAAAAAAAAAAAGAAAAGAAAAAAAGCCAGTTTTTCTTCCATATTAGGGAATTATTCAGACTTCTTTCCTTGGTTCCTATAATTCCAAACCAGTTGGAACATCAGTCTATTTTTGGTTTAAAGGAGCTTTTAAAATGTGAGCATGATTTTTTTAAGTTTCTAAATCTCATAAAAATCAATTTGCCACATATATAGCAGCTATGGTTGTAAATATAGTGAAGTCATTGTATTGCAGAAAGACAAAGTTCTAATTTCCATATTACAAACCCCACCTACCCCACCTTGTCCAATCTCCACATAAGAGGGCTGAAAATGTAAATTCTAAAACATATAAAACAACATAAGGTTGTCATTTGTGGCTGTTTCTATCCAAGATGAATGTTGTCACCTGTATTGGAGTAAACTCTTTTGTTAGTTTCTGCGGGTTTTTTTGGTCGTCCCACCGCATCCCATCGACTCACCACGAGAGGGCAATGGAGCGTTTGCTTTCAGCTAACAAAGCTAGAAATGGTTTTAATATCAGCTAAGTGTTTGAACTTGTTAAGGATTTATTTCTCCACCTTCCGATTGCCATACATGCAGCCTCCGAGTTTCCACTAACAGCGAATAATGATCCAAATAAAGTTATTCTGAGGGAAAATATAGACAGACTGGTGCAGACAAGAGCTTTTGCCCAAATAAGGATCCCTTTTGTGCAGACCCCATGTGTTAGATAACCATCAACTGACAGTTGCTCATGAGTTAATAATGTTGGATGCTGAAATATGCATACCATGTGCTATAAAAGAGTTTGGAGGACAAAGACAAATACTTCTATAGTTAGATATCAGAAACATACCAGAGGTGTGCAGATTGCTTCGTGGTACATAGGTTGAAACCGCCCAATCATTTCATCAAAATTAGTACAATATAAGTATGATACAGTAGAATGTATGATATTGATTGCATGTTTCATTGATGTTGCAGAAATTTTGGTCTAAGCCTTTCTGCATGTTACTGCCTTAAATGCTACAGCAACTACTGCCTTCTAAGAAAAGAAAATATTTCCTAAGCTTCTTTCTATAGCCACCATTGTTGCTCTTTTATTTTTACCATAGGAACCCATTTTACCATGTGTGTGCAGCCTTTTGATTGGCATGTAGTGTTTGGAGGGCTGTTAATGTCTAGTTAGGTTTCTGTGTTGCTGCTGCCACAGGAATCAAAAAGTGAGGAGGTGGAGGGAATCAGCTTTGATTTTGGCTACTATAACAAGTTGTTTGGGAGGATGGGACACAGGGCAAACTGAGCACCGGGCAGCCGCCTTCTCAGTGATGCCTGATGGTTTTTTGGTGCTAAGAATGATTGCGGAAAGAATGTTTCTCCTCCCTGCCCCCAGAGTTCAAACCTTTTTGTTCTGTTCAACTTTTCTGGGCTTATTGGAATGCCAGTCTTCAATGAATAATCTCATATTTTGTCATAAATGGGACCTGAAGCAGGTTGGCAAAGCCAATGAGGCTATGCCCCTGCATTTAGGCCTGACTGTAACTGACCTCTCTATTTATTCTCAGATGAAATGTCCAAAAAGTCAGACCATTAACTTACTCAATAGTTGGAGATTAAGAAGTGTCTACTTCCAAGCAACTAAAATCACTCCAGCTCCATTTTCTCCTATTCAGTTTGTACTGGATGATGAAAATGGCTTACATTATACCCGACCCATATTGACAGCAGGAGAGAACAAGTCATGAAATAAATAATTAGCTAGTTCCTTCCCCTCTCTCTCTCCATTCTCACTCTCTCTCTCTTTCTGTCTCTTCTCCAGTCTGTTGTCAAAGCTTAACATTTACTTTGACATCTTAGTTAAGAAAGTTAATGAAATAACATCTTCATCAGGGCCATTTAGTAGCCTTGAGTCAATGATTACCAGATTTGAATTTTACAGAAGGGAGACCTCAGCTTAAGAAAAATTTTTAGATACTATTATAACATTATATATATATATATGTGTGTAATGTGTATATATAACTATATATAACGTTTTTACATGACTACCCTCCATAACAGTGAATAAAATCTTAAATGTATTGAAACATTGAATCGTGACTTTTGCTGATTATTCTAGCTTCAGATGTTAATCTTGTTCTGTCTGCTCCTTAACACATATTTCCAAGAACATATCTATAATCATAACATTGAATTATTGACTAAACCAGCATCGCCCAAGAGAAAGATAATGTGAGCCACATGTAATTTAAAATATTCTAGTAACCACATTTTAAAAGGTAAAAAGAAACATGTGGAGTTAATTTTAATAATATATTTTATTTAACCCAGTATATTCAAAATATTATCATTTCAATATGCAATCAATATAAAATGTTATTAATGAGATATTTTACTTTTATTTTGTATTAAGTCTTGGAGATCCAGTGTGTATTTTACACTGCGGCACATCTCAATTTGGACTTGACATATAGTATTTCAGATACTCAAGGGACACGTGGCTAGCGGTGACTGTATCAGACACAGCAATTCTAAATAGTCATAGAAATGTTTTATCTTACAGTGAAAAATGTAAAGAAGCTGTAACCTCTTCTGGGTTCATTGTTAGCTTTACATTAGGGTTTCTGATGGTATCTGTGTGCTGTTTCTCTATAGTGTAACAAACCCTCCCTCCAATTGAGTGATCACTCTAGCTTGCCCCACGGCTTATAATCTGCCCTTAGTTAACATGTCACCAGGTATTATCAACCTTGTTGCTGCCTCTCCACGCCCACTCCAGGCCCCAAAGCTCTTCTCATTCTGTACCCTCACCCCACCCTGCTCCAAGACACACGCTCTTCTATACAATCTGTGAGTTTGCATGAGGTTCTTGGTACCACAGAAGAGTTTTTAAAGTCATTTTCCAGTATCTTGGCTCCGGTACCTGCACAAACAAATGAAGCTCAGAGACCACTGAGGTACTTAGTTGGGGATGGTGCTGGTGCCCTCATAGGGAGGAAGGGTGAGAGGGATTTGCCTGAACAAAGAAAAATGTCTCCGAATCTCAGACAACCAAAAATAGTCATCTTTTTACTTTTAAGTAAAAGACTATCCTACTATTCACATTATTCTTTCTGAAAGGTATAAAAGCACAAAGTGAGTGAAAAGCCCCCTTTCTGTACAAATTCCTTTTTGGATCTTTTTAAAAGAATTGGGAGCCTATCACTTGATAACTGTTTCTTATGTGTATGTCTTTTAAATATTAAAATGTATCCCATGACATACTCATCCAAGTATGTCATAAGTTAAATATCTCCATGTTAATCCACATACACACCAAAACAAAAACAAAAACAATCCATCTCTTTTACTTATTTCCAAGTGGGGAATGTTTTCTGTAGAGAGGTAGCAAATCAGTTATCCTCAATGATGAAATGGAATATCTCATTTCCAAACCTGGAGAAATGGCTGAACAAGAATGTCCTGTTTATAAATGAGTTTAAAAACTGTTCTGATATTTACTGCTCTTACAAGGCTATTCAGTACAAAAATGTTGCTTTCACTTCTGTGCTGTCATGTTCAATAGTAACACCAAAGAACATATCAATCATAGACTAGAACGAGCAGATTTATTGATTGTAACAAAAAGAAAAAAGAGAGAGACAAAAAATTAACTCTCTTTGTTTAAGAGGTTCTATCTGTACAACCTTCAGAAATTGTGGAAATCAAAATGTCCTTAAAACACATTTCCAGAGCAGATCCTTAAACAGCCTTAAGAAAAAAAGACAATTATCTTGTTAATATTATATTTGTATTATATAGAACCATACCAAGAAAGACTAAATCTGTATTTATAGAAGAGTTTTCAAAAAATGAAAACAGGAGCTATTTCAAAGTCATAAGAAAAAAACACATAGTATAGCATTGAAACAACATGCTTATTCTCATTGTAATAGCTTCTGTGCATGATCTCCATTGAGAGAGGAGCCTGGGGCCTGGAAATGGCTCGTGGACACCTGGCATCTGGAGAGATGAATAGGAGAAAGGAGTTGCCAGGTAAATGTGAAAGTGGGAGTTTGAGCCTTGATGGCATTTTGAGAGTCCACTTTTGGTTTTACTGAATTTGTGACTTGACAGGACCTTGCAGCTAGCTGGTGGGTGGCATGGGCTGAGAAAACAGACCCTTTGCGTGCAGTATCAGCTCCTAGATAGCACCACCGCCACACCCTTAGGTGTGAGCTAAGTCCTAAGATGTCCGCTCTGCCCTGATGTCTCTTTATAGAATATGTGGAATTCTGGCTGTGCGTCGTGGCTCACGCCTGTGGTCCCAGCACTTTGGGAGGACGAGGCGGTTGGATCACGAGGTCAGGAGATCGAAACCATCCTGGCTAACACGGTGAAACCCCGTCTCTACTAAAAATACAAAAAAAAAATTAGCTGGGCTTGGTGGCGGGCGCCTGTAGTCCCAGCTACTCGGGAGGCCGAGGCAGGAGGATGGTGTGAACCTGGGAGGTGGAGCATGCAGTGAGCCAAGATCGCGTCACTGCATTCCAACCTGGGTGAAAGAGCGAGAGTCTGTCCCAAAAAAAAAAAAAAAAAAAGAATATATGGAATTCCAAGACAAAGGATTCTTTCCATAGGCTCCTGATCCTCAGGAAAACCTAGGCTGTGGTCTTGTCCATGCTATGGTATATAGACCCCATTATCCCAAAGATGCATAGGCTCTTGCACAGCAGCCATGAGCTACCACGTCCACTTCTTACAAGGGGACCCTCCACCAAGAATGGTTTCCCCTGGAGGATATTGCAGACAGCCAAATAGACCAGAGAGAAGGTGAGAGTTGGAAAGGTCTGGCATAGATTTCAATCTCTTTTCCTATTTCCAGAATTCTCCCCTTAGAGAGTCAATCCTCTGAAAAGCCAGACTGTCTCCTCACTCCTAGATTCAGCTCCCAGATTTTCCCCTTGTTTCTCAAGCAGTAGTGAAAAGCATCTATAATCCCTTTCTTCTTTGCCAGTGTGTTTGTGGACACCCCTATTATACAGACTTCTAGAACATTTTTATATTACGTTGGAATTCACTACATGATTTCAGAACAATATTTAAATAACGTGATCATTTACATTTCTCCCTTGCCTCAAGACACAGTGGGGGAACAAAGATAGAAATCTGCCTATCACTGCTGGTAAAGCTGACTTCAAAAAAGGCTTGCTTGTGTTTTAATGGCAAGAATGCATGGAGTCACATGCTTTCAAACCAATTAGCAATACAGATGAGCTAGGAAGTCCTGTTCCATTTATGGGTTGGGGGAAGGGTAGAAGTAAAATAATCTGTTTTTAAGTGTTTCTGAGAAATGAAGACCTCCAGGGCAGAGAGAGACGGCGGATCAGGAAATAGCTATGCAAATCACATGCCTAAGAAATTACTAAAACCTTGATCAGGAGCATTAATAATTACTCCAGCATTCACAAGTATGAAACAGAGTGAGTAAGACTGGGCATGTATTGGAATGGATTACAAAAGTGTTTACTTACATGGTTTGTTGAGCAGTCAATGAAGTCCATGGCTGTTTTGGACTTAAACTGCCCAAGCAATCCAGGTATAGCAAAGGCAGTAATACATTACTCTCATTGTTGACTCTTGGGGCTCTCAATGATTTTGACAAAGAGGCAAAGTGACGACCTCATATGAAGCCAGCTTCTTTTTTTTTTTTTTTAAATGTTCTTTCTAACACCACAACTGCTCACCCTTCCAGGAGGAAGAACAAGCACTTGGATTCTGTGAGAGCAGAGTTCATTGGAAATGCTAAATTGTAGTTTGTGGTTCAAGCAGTGTAGGGGTATGACTTGGGCAAAAGCACACTTGGAAACTCAAAGTCCAGGTCTTTATATCGCATGATATCCAGTGTGATGAGTGTAAAATTTCTCTAGGGCACATCCATCCATTAGTGATTGGGGTTGTCTGCTCTTGATGACATTTGAACATGAAAAGTGTTTAAATCTGGCTCTAGAATTTGGGTTCCAGACTCTGGGTTCATTTGCTCTTTTTTTTTTTTTTTTTTTTTAAGAGACAAGGTCTCACTCTGTCACCCAGGCTGGAGAGCAGTGGCACAGTCTAGGCTCACTGCAGCCTCAAACTGCTGAACTCAAATAATCATCTCACCTCAGCCTCCCAACTAGCTAGGACTACAGGCACATGCCACCACACCCAACTAATTTTCGTAGAAACAGGGGTCTCATTACATTGCCCAAGCTGGTCTCAAGTTCCCGGTCAAGCAATATTCCCACCTCCCAAAGTGCTGGGATTACAGTCATGAGCCACCACCAGGGCTTCATCTTTTTAATGCCTTTATCTGAGAAAAAATAATTACTCTGAAGAGGAAACTGTCAGAACAATTGCCAAATAATGAAACTTTTGCAGTATTGTGTTTCCATATCTATTGTTCAAAATTCATCATCAGAGTTAGAACGTCGCGCAGGATCAAGTTGTGCTTGTCAATGGCCCAGTGTGTTTATATCTCATACAATGCAATTGCTTCTCAGGCATTTCTGTTGGGTGTGGAAGACTGATTTTGGGAAAACAGAATGAAAATAAACTTGAATATTTCCTAAATTCGTATGTGATCAGTGTTTTGTGAATTTGTAGAAAGATTCAAACAATTGAATAGAAATTTAATACCAATGGTCACTATATGAAATATAACTGTGGATTTGAAATAAAAATTTCAGGGACTTATTTATGAATTTTTAAATATTGGCTTTAAGTTAAAGCCAAAATGAGGTCTGAGAGCTTCTAGTTTTCTTTTGTTCCCCCACATATTTGAAAACTGAAATTCTGTAAGAGATTATCTGTGAAATGCCTTTCTTTCATTACACCCATAAATTTTAGGAGTGGCTTTGATCAAGCCTTCTGCCATTCTTGGTTTCTAAGTCTTTTACTCATACGTTAATAACTTTAAAAACATTCGTTCTATTTTTGTTGTAATGAAAGAGGAAGTTTCCAAATAGTTAAAAGGGAAACATTGAAAATAGAACACAGTAAATGATAACTAAATTAGGGTAGGTTACTCCTCCCCCCCGAAAGAGCAATGCTCCATGCTGAAACTTGCCAGGGTATTTTTTTTTTTTTTTTTTAGACGAAGTCTTGCTCTGTTGCCTGCCCAGGCTGGAGTGCAGTGGTGCGATCTTGGCTCACCACAACCACCGCCTCCCGGGTTCAAGAGATTCTCCTGCCTCAGCCTCCCGAGTAGCTGGGACTACAGGTGCACACCACCATGCCTGGCTAATTTTTGTATTTTTGGTAGAGACAGGGTTTCACTATGTTAACCAGGCTGGTCTCGAACTCCTGACCACGTGATCCACCCGCCTCAGCCTCCCAAAGTGCCCAGCCAGTATTTTAAGATTATTGTCTGAAAAGAAAATGTGCCAGAGAATTGATATCCTCAGAGGAAAAGCATTACAGAAATGCAGGGTATTATCAGTAACGCATACTATACATAGAACAATGTTTGTCTTCCCTAATACTGTGATCAGTGGAGTTTTGTTTTCTGGCTCGTGTTTAAAAGACACACGCAACTTGCAAATCGAATGAGTTAACGCTCCGCCGACTTCTCTAGACATTGACCTCGGGGGTCAAACTCTTAGGAAAATTGTGCTGGTTTTCCATTCCCCTGATTCCAGTCCCTACCAACAAGTAAATCCTATCTCTGAGTGGAAGCTCACAAAGAATTTCTCGAGAGAATATGTAGCTGTGTTGGCAACAAGTCTCTCTGCAAAATGGGAAGGAAGAGTTGTTAACTGATGAGTCAATCCAGCTTTTATAGCAGTTTATCTATCTTCGTGGTATTTCCAAGAGCATAAATGCTATTAAAAAAAAGAGACGGTCATGACAGGAAGAACACAGTAGAAAAAAACAGGAACATTTAAGCCAAAAGCAATTTACTTTGCCAGTAACTGGTTACATTTCCCTTTGTTTTATTATTATTATTGCAAGAGTTGGGGTTGACATAAAAGTTTCCCACACCTGCACTGCCCTGCCATGTAACTTGTGTGAACCCGTAGTGAAATAAATATATAAACAAATTGTCTGCAACTCAGCTTCTAGACCCTTTAAGAAAAACAAACTTGTTTTGCTATATTGTTGAGAAAATAGACTATAATTCATTAATATTTGAAGGAGTTTAAAAAGAAAAAACAAACATGGGTTAGCTGTCAGAGTAGCCTGGAGCTCTGGAGGTAGCTTGATTCTCTGAGGATTAACACCTATAGAAATAGCAGTGACTTCACAAAGGTGAATAGTTGTTAATTTCTTGGCACTGAGTAAGAGGAACAGATGGGCAGTCAGAGGGGAAAGATTTTTTTTTTAAACCACAGAGATCTTTCACTGATTAGGCAGAAGAGTCAGTGGCCCACTGGTTAAGGAGGGTAATATGTAGGGCTCTCTGACTAAGTTTTATTGGCCTTAGTGGGAGTCTTGCCACCTACTGCTGGGTCAAGACTAAAGGGGACCCCACTCGCTGTCAATTCTGTCGGACAGTGTTTCCTGTCTGGGGTGGGCTGCAGCACCCTCGTGCTATGTAGTACTTGAGTGTTTTCATTTGCGGAGAGCTCCCTGGTGACTGCCAGCCCAAGTTAGTATGAATACTTCATTTTGAGGCAATGTGTGTGTGTCTGTGTGTGTGTGTGTGTGTGTGTGTCTGTGTGTGTGTCTGTTAGAGATAAGTTGCTTAAAGCAGGGGCTCTGGATAAAGTCCAGTTGCCTGTGTTGAAATCCTTCTGCTGCCAGTAACCATTTGTATGGTCTGAGACAAGTAATTTCATCTCTGTCTCAGTTTCCTGGTCTGTAAGATGGGGATAAGGATCATGCCTTCCTCTTTGGCTTGCTGTGAGTTTTAGTGGAATTATTGTATGCAAAGCACTCAGAAGAGTGACTTGTACAGAGAAAGTGCTCAGAAATGGTTAGCTACTATTATTATTCACTTAGCTACTCTTATTATTCATGTATAATACTGAAAACATTCATGCAAAGAGCATTTACTGAACTCTGTGATAAGCCAGGCCAGTGAATCATATACACACGTAAAAGTAACAGTACGTCTATTGCTTTGCACTGTTTTTTTTCTAATAAAACTGACTGAAGCCAGATATGCTATCAGTAAGGGTACTGCTCTCTCCCTAGCAGAGCTTTTTCTTGGTAGAGATCAGTCTCACCTAAAGAACAAGAGCTGGTCTAATTCTGGAGTCTTAGGATTTAGGTTCTGTCAGTAAGTACATAGCACTGAGCTTTCAAGGAGAGGGCAGGTGTAGGTCCTTGCAGGGTGGCTGGAAGGAGGTGGGGCTGTCTCTTACATGAGTGAATTAAAGTCCGCAGACCCATCCCACTCCTGCCCACCAGCACACCATAATGCACCTGTTTTCACTCACTGACCTAGCAAATGACAGATTATGACTCTAGAGGGACAAAGATGTGGCCTGGGGACCAGAATTTTTGCTGTCCCCAAAGCCAGTCCTTCAATACCAAAACTTTACCTGGAGTCTTCTGAATCCAAAAGGTCTCTGATTCGATTGCAGAGGCACCTACCCAGTCCTTTGTGTTCCATTCCCCCCACCCCGTACTTTGAATATTTGTGCTCTTCAGGGTGTTTGTGCATTGCATGTGGGGACTAGATTATAGCCTTACTGAGATACCAAAGGCCTTTGGTTTCCTGTCTCCATTCCCAGTGCAAACTCAAGTCACCAGTTTATGTTTCCAGAGCATAAGCATAAGTAGTAAAGGTGAATGCAGTTTTACAAGTGCCCAGTGTGACAAGTATACCACGTGTGAGGTTGGCGGGACCAGTCTATGAGGACAGGAAAGAACAGTATGTGGGCATCTTTATTTCCATTAGTCACTTTTTCATTCAACAAATACATGTTATGCAATGCAGCCTTTTGGGTGTTGTGCTGGGCAGATAAAAGACACATCCCACAGGGTCTTGCCCTTAAGGATTCTCCAGTCTGGTATAATAATATGCCAAAAACCACAGCTAAAGTACAAGGAGTACAGTGATATGTTCCATAAGAGAAGGAGGGAAAAAAAGTTCAGAGGGGAGAGTAGGAGAGGAATTTGATTTTGAGTCCTGAATGACTGGTAGGATTTGCCTAACCATACCTGAAATACGCAAGTACTTGCCTTACTAAGAACAAAGGGCTTTTTCTCTTGATCAAATCCCATTTAGAGTTTACGTTTGTGTGACCAGAATATTAGGTGCTAGTCTGTTCTAAATTTGTAATTCTCAGAATCTGCTGGGGGAGTACATGTGCTTCTCTGGGTTCTGAAAACAGCTCAAAGAATGGAGAAAATAAACCCAGTTTGGGGATGACTTCTTGTCAGTTCCCGGAACCTTTGCCTTTATTTAAAAACAGCATGTTCGATGCAAGTTCTGTCGAAAAGGCCTTTGGGATTTGAAAGCTTTTCTAGAAATAAATGCCTTTTAGGTCTAAGTGCTTTTCACCAAAATGCTAGGAAGGGAAGATCATAGTAACAAGTCTTAGAACAGAGGGGATATTGTTTTGTTTGTTTTAATGAAATGCCTGCGACCTGCTACCCCAAGTTTTGTTTGTCAGCTTTCTGCTCAGCTGTTATTTTGATAAGGGACTTGAAAGTACATCCTTCCCTCGCGGTCATTAAAGTCTTAGCACTTGGGTCAGTTGTGGAAACACTTCTGTGCTACACAAAGTCTTCTAAACAAAACAAATAGTCCATGCCCTGGCTCCAGGCTGCGGACCGTGTCAAATTCATGGAACGTGGCATCGTGCTCTGACAAGGAGAGCAAGAGGTCAGGATCCACAAAACAGGCCGGATGAAATCACCATCTCCGTGCGGGGAGGTGGAGAGAGCAGAGCCCTCCCTGCCAGTCTGGCAACTCCAGCAAAGTCCTCAGGCTCATCCCACACACTCGGTGCTAGTCACTGCTGTGTGTTTACATGAGTAATGGAGCTGCCGGGGGAGGGGAGTTGTAAGCAGAGCGCTGAGCCTCGCAGCTCGCATTCGGAGGGAAGCTGACATCCACACCAAGTCGAGACTTCCAGGGATGTGGCCGGGGAGCAGTCACATGCTGTAGCTTTCATGAGCACAGGCATCAGTCAGGCAGATGTTTGTCGACTGGAATGGGTAATCGCTACTTTCTCTTTGCTTGATTTTTGTTTGTGAGCTTGTTTACCTTTGGTAATTCCAGGCTGGCTTTCTGGGATGGACTTTCAGACCAGCGTTTAGGGGAATGAGAGGAGAGAGCGGGTGTGGGAAGGGGATCCTAAGCCCTAAAGCCTCTTTTTAAACTTTTGCCTCTCTGATTTTAAAGGCAGTTCTGCTTTACTGAGCTTCCACCAACAGTAAAACTGTTATCCGGAGGAGAAAATCAAATTAGTAGGATTAATTGTGTTTGTAAAATGAGTACAGTGTAAAAATGTCCTAAAACCACTGGTTAACTGCCTAAGTAAGATTAACAACAATCAAGAAGGTTCATGTTGTTTAGATTTGACATTGTCATAATCACTCCTTAAGTAATAAAAAGTGTGGGTGCCTTGAAAGGTCTGAAGGAAATTGTTTAGGGTATAATTCATTAGCTTGGAGTCATTCTAGGGGTGGTTGGTTAGTTGGTTGTTTTTAATTTTGCTTGACTTGGGTGACTGATGAAGTTAAATGTGAAAGCTGATGCCGGATAGTCATAGCTCTCAATAAACAGCAGCCTTTTCCCCCTACTTTCTGTGTAGATCTTAAAAGGAACAAGCTCAGCATCAAGGATGAAATAGAACTTTGATTTGTATCTTGTCTTTTCAAAAGTGTAACCCCCATGGAATCAGGCTAACCCCAGTGTAATCTTTGGATGTTATATTAAATAAGCCTTAAGATCTTCATAAAAATATATTGAAAAGGAAAAGACAGCATGCTGATTTAAATGTATCTGTCAGATTTGTTGAGATTTGAAACTTGCTGGTTGCAGTATTGTTAGTAAATATATGTAATAATGTTTTCCAGCTTGCTGTTGTGAATGCCCCTCTCTCTATAGCTATCTCTCTACTTATCTGTATGGTAATTTGAGAGAATGCCCTTGTCTCTGAATATTTTGTAAAAGAGATGTTTTCAAACATTTCATTACTATGATACCATAAGGGCAGGCATGTCACTTAGGTTTCGGAAAGCAAGATACAAAACAAAAACCAAAGATTGAGCTCAAAGCCTGGCTCAGTTTTTCAGCACCAAATGCTTCTTGTCTAACAACGTGGAAGGACATTTTTCTTATCATGATCCTTTAGAGCTAAGAGCTTCGTGTTACTTCTATTAATTAGACATGTTAAAGCTAAATAGATTAGCTTTGGGAAACGTGTACAGAAATGTATACTCTACCAATATGCAAGCCTTCAGAGAGAGAAGCATGTAATAATGAGGGCTGCCTGCCACAGATCTGTACATTTCTCTGAACAATTAGAAGGGATCACTGTAGTGAGATTCTGGGTCTTTAATAAAGAAACCCATGCAAGTGAAAATGTATATCAATTGTTTTCCATTTGTTTTCAGCGCCAAATCTTAAAGGCAGACCACGCAAAAAGAAACCATGCCCACAAAGAAGAGATTCATTCAGTGGTGTTAAGGATTCCAACAACAATTCCGATGGCAAAGCCGTTGCCAAGGTACGGTCATTCACTCCACGGTATTCATTTCGTTGCATCTTTTTATTTTTGCTTTTTCTCTTTATCTCTCTGTGCCTGTGTCTTGGAGGCAGTTTTCAATTCAGCATCTGACTTTGGTATTCAGAGCTTTTGAAGCTCTATGCTGTGCCTGTTCCTGCCACCTCCCTTCCCCTGGTTGCCGTGGGCTGGGGGAGGTAGGCATTTTGATTAGTCAACAGAAAGACTTCCTACCTCCCAGTTTGGCCTGTTATGAGTAAAGGACAGATGATTAAGCACCCACGTCATTGAGGCTGAGATTTCATAGTGGGTGACACAATGACATAGTTTACTCTGCTTGTGTCAAAAATAGACCAGCTGAACCGTCCTCTTTCTGAATGTGTTCATCTAAATGTGTTTTGGAGATTAACAGAGGATGAAATTAGAAATAGCTAGAATTAATCTTTTTAGTTATGTATTTTTCAAAGTCACTTCTAATTTACATTAGACTAAAATTAAAGATACATAGCAAAATATTTAGATGTATACATATGCCCACAAGCATTTATATACTTTTAAAGATCTCTGTTAACATAGAATGAAAGTAAATTCTACGCTGTTGTTCAAGACCCAGGTCAATTTTTTACCTAAGCATTCTTTGGAATCTTGAAAGTGCATGCATGCCTGAAGTATTTTGCACGACAAAGGGTAAAGTATCACTTTATATTTTTAGACTTACCTTTCTGACTTTTGTGGGCTTGGGTCAGATTTCCATGGTTCTGTTTACTGCATTTAGGTGTTATTTTTGTGCTAAAGACAGCAATCGTCCCTTTAGGATTTTAGTTGACGAACAGATTTCAACTGACACCAGTTTCCAGATCAAATAACTAAACTTCTGAAAATGGGACCATTTTGATTAGTGGTGAATTTGGAAGAGTCTGATGTAGAAAAAAAAAAACATGAGTTAAGTTCTGTGTTGACAGTCTACTGTTTCTCTGCCATGTACTCTACCTCCTTCCCAGTGTAATGAAGTAAATCTTAGACTTTCACATTCTAAAAAATCTTATCTTTAAGCATCATTGTTTCATTAGGAAATTTTAAGGACTTTTTTGCTTAGAATTTCTTCATACTTCTAAGATTCCAAAGGGTTAAGAAGAGATCAACCAGTAGAAATGTGTATTTTCCAGTTTCTTGCTGAAAACAAATCTCTTTCCCTAAAGTTATTGTTGTTTTGCACATTTAACTTTCTGCGAATTAACTCCACATGGATGCCATGAATGACATTTTCTTGTAAGTTGGACACCTCAGCCCTAGAACTATCTACCTAGGACTTTGGTTTCCATCGTCTTGAAGGATGTCAGCAGGAACAGTTCATTCCCTACTATGTAGTTTGCAAGATCCTGCAGAATGGCGCAAGAAGGTTTCAAGACCATAACATTCAGCAGAGCTTGTACTGCCCATGCCTTCTGTTGGTGCCCAGCCCATCCTTCTTGGTTGACAGCATTTGTTTACTCCAGCATATTCTGTACCTGAGCCCGGCAGGATAAAGCTCCTTCCCATGCCACTTGGAATCACCACCAAGGTCTGCTTCTGAGAATTTTACAGAACTCATACAATTGATCTGAAAGAGCAGACCTCCAATGTTTCTTTCCATGGAAGGCAGCTCAGAACTCACTGTTGGGTTCACAAAGCCGAGAAGAACAAGAGCCTGCTATACAGATGGGCCATATTTGATGTTCACTGACTTCTTAACAAGAAGGATAGAAGTCAGTCCTGGGTTTTCTAAGTGACGCCTTTACTCCATCCCCGCAACAGTGCTGCCCGTCAGAATCTTTACAAAGAGATGGATCATTCTTCCACCGTTGGTGTTCAATGGTGAACAGATGAATGTCATGCTGCAGTCAGCTCCTAGGGACTGGTCTAATGGCTTGGCTCTTTTCAGAGTCTTGGATTACAGTCATGCCTTGGCTGCTTCCAGTGGGTCTGGCAAGACCACTTAAGCAAAAAGATCAGTAGGTATGAAGTGTGACGAGCTTGTCTGTTGACACCAACAGGCAGATGTAAAATCCCTACAGAATGAACAAGCCACATCTGGGATGAGGACAGTCATTAAAAAGCATGTGTGTCTTAACATGGTCTTTTCTCATGAAACACTGCAGTAGAGATTATGAGTCTGTGACCATCTAATCATCTGTTGAATTGAAAGCAGCATCTTAGAGGACAGTGAGCTGTTTGACTTTGTGACCAAGACCCATGTGACTGTTTCTTTTTAAAAGTGCCTCAAACAGACCATTTCTAACTAAGCACCAACTTCATGCAGCTCCACACAGCAAAGCTCTTAGAGTGGGACCCACTGGGTTTGTTGTGTTCATGACTGGAAAAATAAGTCAAGTGATTTGCCGGTCGCCATCAAAACGTTGCACTCCCTCAATGAGAACATGAAAACCAGCTTTGCAAGACCATGTTTTCCAACGGAGAGAGAATTACATGGCTCCCCAAAGACAGCAAGTGTCACGTGGGGAGGAAACTACCAGTTCTTTGAAGATCTCATGACTGTGTTCAGCCCAAATCCTGCCATTTTTTTCTGGAATAATCTTAAAGCAGTGAACCTGAGGCCCAGGCCTTTCATAGAGTGATCTATAACAGAAATCTTCATGGCATAGGACCCTAATAAAAGGCCTACATTGATAGAAGGCAAATTATTTTTAATATCCCGTATGCATTTTCTGAAGGGCAGAAGTGTATTACAGGTGGTTTATATTCTAAAAGGAACACAAAAAAGGAAACTGTGGTGGGAAGTGTGTTCATTTAAACCATAAACATACTTTCTATATTTCACAAATGTGATACTTTCATTATTTTCAATATTTTTCCTCTCATTTGGTCCTCAGAACTATTCCCAGGGATTATCATTTTTGCTTTACTAAGGTAGAAACTGAGGGTCACCTAGCAAGTTAGCAACCAAACCAAGATTAGAACTCTAGCTTTTTGTATTGCTGGTTCAGCACATCTTACTGCCCCAGTTGAAGGCTGGATTAGTTATAACTCAATCCCGTGGAAGGATGTGGTTAATATCAAATAGGTGGTGGATCATTGAAAACGTTAAATGTTGATTCTTTAATTAGCACCTCCTCAATCATTTTGGAAACCCCAAAGTACTTAGTGAACTCAACAGGTGTATGGTGTTCAGGTCAGGAAAAACAGATCTAGTAATTAACTGTCACCATCAAAAGGCTGGGCTTTCTTAGGTCAACATGAAGACTAGCTCCCATTTCCACTACCACCTGCACTGTAATAATTTAATAGATTGAAATGCTGAGAATGCTTTGGGTAAATGTAAAAACATACAGAAAGGAACTTGATTTAGTCCTACCCAGAATCAGAATAATACCCTAAAGAGCTCATTTATCTTAACTGAAAAAAAAAAATATCAAGCTAGAACAAGAAAAGAAGCTTCTGTTTACTTGTTCACTTCTTACTAAGTACCTGGCCTCCCCAGGAGCAGCATGCTGGCAAGCCCACTGAGATTCAGGACAGAGTTCAGTAGGCAGCAGCCTGGCTTCATTTGGAGCCTTTGCTATGTAGCAGGGAGTCTGGGTTACTTTGGACCTGGTTCATGCACCCCTCTGTGTCTTCTTTCTGTTTCTGAGTGTTTCTACACAGATGAGGAAGAGGGTTAAGCAGCTCTCTACACACCAAGGAGCTCAAACCTTATTCTCCTTTTAACAGTGGTTCTTCTGACCTAATAATATAGGTAGTTGGCCCATTATCACTGCAAATTTAAGACTCAGTCAGTTTTGTACACAAACCTGAGAGATCTACTCCTTTATGTTATAAAATTGGGGTTTGGAGTGGGGCAGACCTGAGTTCTAAACCCAGAGGTCTGCCCCTTCCAAACCATACATGACCTCACTAAGCTCTAGTTTCCTCAACTGTAAAATGTGGCTAAATATCTCCCTTTTACAATTCTCAGGAACATGAAGGTAGAGTATGTGAAGCCCACAGCACTGTATCTAGCTCATTGTAGGTGCTCAATTGAAAACTGATTTCCTTCCCCTTTGCTCAATATACAATAGGAGGAATGGAGCTCCTTGACACATTGGAAACCCCCTAGATTTGTCTTTTGCTTTTCATTTGATAAATCACATTTCTAAGTGGTAGGTTTCGTAATGCCTGGTAATAAGATAGGCTTTTTAATTAGAAGTTTGTTTTCATTACCAATTTAATATTTGTATTAAGAGTGTCAGAAAAGTATAACATTTAAAACCATAAGCCCTAAAGTAAGGCTGCCTGGGCTTAAATTCCAGATTCCCCACTTACTAACTAGGGCATGATCTTGTGATGTTGTACATGCTGCTCATCCTGTCTACCTCCGTTTCCTCATTTCTAATACGAAAATAATAACTACCTCATTCGGGTTTTAAGTTTGAAATAACACATAAACAGCGTTGAGAATGGAGCCTGGCTGCCCAGGAAACACTCAGGAAGGGGTGGGAGGCAATACAAATTAAAACTGGAGTGATGTTATGATTTCAAGAAGCCATTAAATTATAGATTTCATCAGAACTTTAGATCCAACAGCCTAAAATTTGGCAGTGAAAAATGATGACAACATAAAGTTTCACGGGATGTTCGCCTTCATATAATGTTAGAGAGTACAAAATCTACATGGGAAAATTGTTTTAGTCCCATTTCCATAGCCCCTTAAAAGTTAAAATCCTACCTAGAAGCCCCATTGAATCAGTTTCAGAGGAAGTTTTATCTTTGCAGGACCAGTCGAAAGATATTAAACTGTATGTGTTCACTTGAGAGAATAAGCAATGAAGAACTCCTGCAGAGAATGTACTTTCCTTTACTAAATAAGCATAGTCTTTTATGTTCTTAATGCTTAGGAAGGAGGAGCTGCAGGGAAAGAAAAAGGTTCGAAATCCTGTAATGGACAGCATTGTAGAATATGTGGGACATTTTTATTCGTAACATTTCCCCAGCACTTGCCCTCTTCTCTCCCGATGTCAGTTACGGAGATGTAAAGAATATTGGAATGTACACATTCCCCATGGGCACACTTGAACTCAGAGTCTGACCCTTTGTACTTCCCCCTTTTACAATTAAAATAGCTCAGCAACTTAGTGTTATATTTAACGACCATCAAAGTCCTCTTGTAGAACATGGCAGTGAGGAGGGAAAGTTAGGTTAGCCGCTCGATATGCCAAGTTCCCTGTCTGCCTACAGTGTGGAAGGAAGAACATCTGGAGACTTTACCGCCTTTTATTTTTTAATTATGGAGCTTTATACTCACTCTTCTTGGGTTTTTAGCTGACCTCTACTCTTTCTTTTGTGGCAAGTTAACATCTTATTCTTAGAGCTGACTGATAAAGCAAGAAGCCCTCATTAAACAGTGAGATCTTTTGTTTCCTACTGAGGGTGTACCCCCGCATCACTCTTGGGTGGCAAACAGCAGAGGCCTTGCTGGTATTGCTGATGCCAGCATCTGCTGGTATTGACTTGTTTTTCAAGGTTGCTGGAGAGAATAGCAACAAGAGTGGTTTACTACAAAGAAATAGACTTGCCTTTCATTTTGATACAAAGTATAAAATATGGTTCTATTTGTTAAGGAGGCAGGGTTTGTTCAAGGACATTAACTGATGCTTCTCCTTAAGAAAATAAAATGTATTGATATAGAGAGACAAAAGAATGTTTCTACCAGATGCAAAGGCTATCTCTCATTTCACATCAACATACTTGTCAGGAGTCTAAAAGAAGCTGGCATAGTTTGGCAAACTATGACCCACTGGCTGGCAATTTCTGTCAATAAAGTTTTATTGGAACACAGCCACACCCATTTGTTAACATATTGCTGATGCCTGCTGTCCTACTAGTGTTGAATAGTTGCAACAGAGACTGTATGACCCAGAAGCCTACAATATTTACGATGTGGCCCTTTACAGAAATTTGACATCCCCTGGCCTCAGACAATTCATCTTCAGTGATGCCTCTGAAAAGCTATTAAAAGCAGGGATAATTTACCGGTTCACCCTTAGCACTCACTGAAAAGTGTTGCTGGCTCTGTCACTAGCTATGTCTTGGTAAGCATCCTGGGGCTGTGCCTCGTCTGATGTGGTATATTTTCCCTTTTCCAGGTGAAATGTGAGGCCAGGTCAGCCTTGACCAAGCCGAAGAATAACCATAACTGTAAAAAAGTCTCAAATGAAGAAAAACCAAAGGTTGCCATTGGTGAAGAGTGCAGGGCAGATGAACAAGCCTTCTTGGTGGCACTTTATAAATACATGAAAGAAAGGAAAACGCCGATAGAACGAATACCCTATTTAGGTTTTAAACAGAGTGAGTATACTTGTTTTCGTTTCTGAATTATCAGAGCTGCTCAGATTCTTTGAATTGGAAAAAATAATTTTGACTCAGGATTATGTTGAAATCCTAATCTGGGGATAGTGCTCTCTGTTTATACTAAATCCATAAATGTTCCAGGCCAAGAATTTTTTCCCTGCCTTTTTCCGCTACATTGTTCCCTTCTGGGACAGTTGCAGTGAGATATTTATAGGCTTGAATCCACTGATTATGACTGGAAATAGACATGTTGAAAGTTTCTCATTTGCTGTTTTGTCAATCTTGAGTGTCTGTGACGCCTTTCTTGTGAGATAATAATATGACGTAGCTTTATCAGGCACAGATGTTGCCTGTGAAAAAAACAGCTTTTAAAAGGAGGACATTTAAAGATGGACAAAACAACCACAAAGGGAAAACACATTTCCTAAGCCCCAAATGTGTTAAAATATAACAAAAATCCAACTTCAGAGAAAACAAGAAATACACAAATTGGAACAGAGGGCCTAATTTTGAATTACTTTGACATGTACATTTAAATATAAGTGTCATTGTATATTTGCAAGGAGAACAGGAAACTCATAGCCAAACAGAATTCCAAATCAAAAGAGAAGAAATCCAGATCCTGCCTTGATTTTGCAACCGAATATATATTTTGCCTCTGTCTGGATTTAGTGGTGCACAAAGCGATGAGCCTCTGGCTTGAAATAGTATTTTCTCCAAATGTATCTTCGTAGATTAAAACCATGTGTCATTTTGATGAAGAATGTCAAAACTGTGTGTTTTACATAACAATTTACATACCTAATAGCAATTGGCACTGATTGCAGGAGAACACTCGCAGCCATTATAAACTTATATAACTACGAATGATTACAATGTTTGTCTGAAAACTGGTTGCTTGAAATAGAAGTAAAATTAATGTATTATGAACAGCTTTGTTGCATTATGCATTGGTTCAGATTAAATCAAGGCCGAGGCAGGGCTCTTGATAGCTCTGAAGTAGTGCAAGGTTCAATGAGGCTTTGCGAACATGTTGTGTCAAAGAGCCTTTAAAAATAAAAATCATTTTATTCTTCATTTCCCTTACCAAGGAATCACTTGAAGTTCAATTTTCCCCTCATGTAAAAAAATCAAATCCATAGCAGTCCCATTCCATGGTGTTTGGTATAAATGAACAGGGTTGCTAGCAATTTGGTATAGTTGTTTAACAGCATAAACATATACAAACTCTGCAAAGAGAAATCTGTTTGAAAAAAATATATTTGCAACATCACACAGGCCAGTTAGGGGACTAAGTGGGTTCATGATTCAATTCCTCTCTGAATGAATGTCTTCCTTCCCTTTTATCTGTTGTATCACTGTGGCCTCCACGTGAAATATTTGTTTTCCTACTCACTGCCAGCCACCACATGTTGGTGAAATACTGTATGAACCTTTAATATAGTGCTGCCATCAGACATTCTATTAAGAAGGTAATCGTATATTAAAGTGGCTGTTATTTATTGATTATGGAGAGTTCTTATATGAGAGAAGCTCTATATATTACTGTTTAATCAATGGCGTCTAAGGGTCGAACAAGACCAACCCCAGTTTTGAGAGCCCATGCTTTTTCCCAAAGACATCTAATTTAGCTTCTCTTGCTCTGCTGATGACAGTAGGACTAAAACTCTTGCCTTTATCCTAAAAGTAGAACCATTTTTGTAGCTTTATGACTGTTTCTTAAGAAATGTTTTAAGTGGTAATAATAGATTCTGTTGTCAAATGCCCTTTGGGCAAATTGTTTCCTAAGAACTTAGCTCTCTGGGGTACTTTAGTATTTCTTTTTTTCTCTTTCTCGTTGAAAAAAAAAATGTTTTAATTGACATTTCTTGGAAGTATGTTAATGCAATGCTTATCTAAATACTTATTGTCCCTCTAACAGTTAACCTTTGGACTATGTTTCAAGCTGCTCAAAAACTGGGAGGATATGAAACAGTAAGTGTTTAAGCAACTTAAATGAAATAATTTTGCAATCTAACTTTTCCCCTCTCTTTGACCAAAATGGAGAACATGCAAGGGCAAAACATCACTGACTGCCTTTTCAAATGGCTCTACACTTTTGGGGGTTTATTGGGCCGCTTTGGAAACAGTCCCAATTAGTTCCAGGTTTGGCAAAATTGTAAACTTGTCGTAAAAACTACAAGTGGAAAACATATGTAACTCTCCCCTGTCAGGGAAATTAGTTGGGTCTGTAATTTTTTCCCATGTTGAGAAAGGGCTATTATTGTACAACAAGCCAAGATTGCATAAAAGAAATTTCCCTTGGCAACATACCTGACATCTGTTCATGTCTAATATGGGAAATGTATTAAAGGCTTTCAAAAGTAATCAGTATTGGCCATTAAGGAATAGAATGCAGCAGAATCTCCTCTCATTCTAGGGCAAAGAAGCTTTATTAGACAAGGGTCAGTGCTGCATAAACAGGAAGTTATCAAACTTATTCGGAACAGGCTCTGACACTCTTTATCAGCTAATTCTAACTGACAGCAATGGGTTATTTTTAGCCCACAGGAAAATTTGATGGCCACGGATTTTTACAGCATGTATTTTGAACCAATGAAACATTACAGCAACAAACTGAGATTAAAATCTTTAAATAAGAAAGAGCTGCATAAATATAACCCACAGAGATGACATCTGTAATATAATCAATTGACATAGGAAGATGTTGTCATTGGGAATACTTTCTCCTCCACACAATGATCAGATTAAGTTGTGTAGTTTCTTCTTGCAATTGAATAAGAACTTATTTTTTCATTCCCTGAGAAGTAATCTGGGATATCTCTGTACCATAGTAAAATGACAGTAAGACACACAAAGTCAAGAAAATGAAATTCATTTTAGCCCAAACGTAATAACCAGTGCTTCTTGCCAGATAAAGCACATTGTTCCACAAACTAATATAATGGTTTGATGTGCGGGTCTTGGGATGGGGAAAGAGGACAAGCATTATGTGGTTCAGATAATCTGGTATTTTCTGTTGAGCTATCTGCTATGAATTCCGACTAAAAATTCTTTCATATGAATAATATGTGCTTGTAATATGTTTCATATATGGCGTATGTACACATGTTTATAAAGAAATATAGTCACATGGACTACATATAAAATGTGCATTTCATATTCATAAATTTACTTGAAATATTTATTTTATCAAGTGACCTATGTAAAAATAGTAATTTTTCACTTAGTGGAGTCTTTTGATAGGATCAGGATATGAACTCCTTGCCACTGTAGCTCATAGTTTATGGCAAAATCTTGAGCTAATTATAGCCCTCATTCATGTAAAAAAAAATGGTAACTTATTCAGGGTTAGTCTCATAAACGTAGAAGTCAACCCAATAGGCTAGACTTTCAAGTCTAGCTTTTAATGTTTAGAATAGGAATATACGTTTTTATATGAACCATGACTGCAGATAGTTATATGATATTGAACAATATTATGAAACGTCTTTTCACACTCTGGAACTTTTTGTTATTCACTGATAGGGAGAGTGCCAACAATTTCACAGAATCAGTTTTTCCTGCTTTTGTGTCTTCTGTATCTTCACAAAGATTTTTTTTCCATGCAACAGCAAGTTGATGTAGAATGTACAGAAGAAAGTTTAATAAATTTCAGGGCATTTGCAGTACTCTTTGAACAAATAGTATTTATCCTTTTGTTGGATGAATGAATGACCACACAATCAGCAAAACACCTGACCACATATTTACTGAGTACCTTATGTGTATGAGGCATTGTTTTAGACACTGTTAGATGCAAGGTTTCAGTCAGGCCAGTAATTTCAGTCCTTAAGTTGCTTACCATCCAAGAGAGCCAATAATGATCAAACAAGGTGGAAAAAGGTCAGTGCCCTACACAGGTAAAGTACTTACTCACGTAGAGATGAGAGAAGGAAGGCTTGATGGCTCTGAGGCCATTTGGGAAGAATTCTGGGGAATGGATAAAATTTAGACATGAATGATGGATTATGCCTTCCAGAAAGAGAGAATGAATCAAATAAGGGAAAATATATGGAGGTAGAATAAGGTTGGGCATGGAGAGTTTGAAAAACATAAAATAGAGTGATGAGGTGGCTGGGACAAGTGGCCCTGAAGGGAAGTTTCTAGAGAGAAGGATGGAGAGAAGATGGAACCAAGTGAGGAAAGTCCTCCGATGCTAGCTCCCTGATGTTAGGCCTTCAGATGCTAGGCCCTTTCATGCTGAGCCTCCAGATGCTATGCCCTCCCATGCCATGCCCCAAAGTTATTCATTAGGCTGTGGGAACTATGGAAAGTTGCCAGTTCCCCATCTCTGGTGATAAGAGTCGCCCCTCTTTCTGGTACTGTGTGGGCGCCTTCTCAATGGGAAATTTATGCCCTCCTTTTAGGCAGATAGGCAGATAAGGGGAGGGCAGAGAACTCTTCCTGCATCTGTTGGTTCTCTGTTGCCCTCATCTCAAAATAATCTTTATGCCAACGTGGCATAATTTAGGGGTGACATATTCTGATCCCCTTCACTGGGGCTGGGGAATATGGAGGATCAAATTGGCATCTGCTCTCCATCTGGTCATGAACAGAATTTTAAAAGGCATTTCTGCTTCATCCCTTCCTCATTTCCTTCCTTCCTTCTTCCTTTTTCTTTCTTTCTTTTTAAATGTTTCATGCTATAGATTGGCCCTGCAGATACTTCAGTTTGCCACCACTATTCTACATTTAAGCTTCTGAACCTCCTATAAGTACAGAATACATTTTTCTCTTGGCATATTTTGACTAATAAAACTGTGAGATGTTCAATGGGCATTGAATTTTGAAGTCAGTCCAGGAGATGTACAAATAATATCCAAAGTCTGAAGGCTTAAGCTGTCATCACAGAGTTACTAGAGGACACTTATCTTTGACATGATCTGATATCAGAAACGAGTGTAGACTTGTAGTCATTTAGAACTCAAAAGAGATCTTAGAGTCTTCTAGATCAGTGGCTCCTAAAAGCTACTCAAGAATAGGGCTCATGTTTTTAATGGGGAACTTTAAGTGGTTGTTTAGACCCCCACCCCAAGATATAAACTGTGGTGGGGCATGGGCCTGAGAAGCAGAGAATCCTTTTCTTTTAAGCTGCCCAGGTGATGTTAATTCAAATCCAGTGATAACAGTGATAAGTAACACTTAGCCAAGTGTTTCCCATGGCTCTTAGCTTCAGAGTGTGACCCCTATCTAAGTCAAGTATCAAAGATTTTTCTTCATGCCATTACTACAGAAACAGGGTAGAATACTCATATTCCTTCGGCTCAAGAGCAGCAGAGAGTTTCTGACAAGTATTTTTGCATTTGGTAAAATGGTAGTCTAAGTTGGAACTCAGTAAACTATTTTTGTTTTCAATGAGGGGAAGTGTAGAACTGTAGTACTCTCAAATTATTTTTTCTCAAATTGGCCTTTGTGCAAAAAAAAAAAAAAAAAAAAAAAAAGTATGCCTGCTGTGCCCCAGTTCATAGCCTCATTTTACAAGCGAGAAAACTGAGGCACTGGGAGATGAAATGAGTTGCATGGGATCATCATGGCTTTCTTCAAATTCTGACTCACTGAGAATTTGGTACACAATTGTCTCACCCTCTGTAGCGTTGCTGAAAGAGATTTATAAATGATTATTCTTTGTGGCTTTCCATTCCTAGCAATCACTAATCTAAAATGCCTCCTACATATTTGGGGCAATGTTTTGGGGAAAGGATCTGATAACCTGCCTTTTGTAGCATCTTTTAGTCTGTTTTGTAGCATCTTTTAGTCTCTTCTTTGTATTTAACATTTGTAGCTTCTTTTAGTCTGTTTTTTGTATCTAACATGAGCTTTACCAGATGTACTAATTACTAGCTGAGATTTTTATCTGACTCTTGAGAACAAAATGTGTGAATTCAGGAGATGAGTCAAGAAGTATGGATAATGTAAATATTCAATAATAGTAAAAAACTGCAAGTATAAAAGCTGTAGATGTATTGCTTCTGCGGTTAACTTGTGATTGGATAAAGACATCTCTCTGGAATCCCTTCTGGTTATAAAAAGAGGCCATCTTAATTGGCTTGTTTTTGTTTGTGGTTATAAACTATTCCAAACCTTCTGGTTTGAATTGCGGATTATGGATTATTTCATTTCAGTCCTCTACAACCATCAAATTGAATTAAAAAAAAAAAAAAGAGGAGCAGAAGTTTCATTGTAAGCCTTTATAGCATTTGACTAATGGCTATATGCAGTTCTCTCAGTCTCTTCTGCCTTTGCTGGAAATGTATAGAGTGTTTCTTCATCCTTAGGTTGAGAGAGCATAAATATATTGAATGGATTTGATTTCCTACAAAACAATATTCTGGCATTTTGATTAATTGACGAGGACCCTTCCTTTGCAATGTACCCAACTTTTCCTTCCAAACATTAGAATGTGGATCACCTACATTTGAAGAGGTAGAGCTGGATAAATCTTTGCTGATGAACTAAAAAGGCTTTCACTTCAGTGTCTGGTGAAGCAATTAATGCTGGAAGAGTAGCTTGGGGTATTACCAGGATGCAGCATATGGCGGTGGTTTGCTAAAGTGATTTCCATTTGGCTAACCACTTGATGGCAAGCCAGAGGCAGTATCTGGAGAGAAGGTAGAGTTGGGAAATGGGTCTTGAGTACATCTTGTCCTCAAGGCACAGGGTGATACACAGTGGTGCCTTCTAAGAATGTCAGTTAGCAACCCTTTCTCCTGCCACCAGTGAGACAGGGCCATTGTTCTTCATCTGGAAGAAGCCTCTTTCCTTGCTGAAAGGATTAGGCTTTGACATCAAATTCTGGCTTTGACATCATTTTTAAGACATCCTCTGAATCTAACCCTAGTTTTCTGAACAGGCAAAGCCTCTCGCTTAAATTCAAAATTCTCCAGGCCAAAGATGATGTCATGTAGTTTTGAAAGGCTCCAGTTCCTGGAGTACTACCAGGAAAAGAAAGTCATCTTCCTTGAATTCAGTCCACCCTCAAGGTGTCCTGAGAAAGAAGCTGTTTCTCAGAACAGCCCAGGCAACATTGCTTTCAGGCAAACTCTTCTGTTGACTTCGTATTTCCTACACATTCTTAAGCCACTGAAAGAGTTTAAGTCTGAAAGATTTCTGATACCTATTTCCTCACCAGGCTGCAAAAATACCAGAATTATTTCATTCCTGCAGCCTCAAAGATAGAGAAATCAAGGCTCCAAGAGCATGTCTTGAGCTAAAATAGTGATTTTCCACTTTTTTTAAGTGACAGGATATTTTCATCCAATAAAACTGTGGAAGGGACAGATTATTTTTCCACTCACCAGACCAGTCTTCTTGACCAGGTGGGCAGTGTGGAGAGTTACTTTCAGGCTACCTTTAAAACGCTACCTGGGTTCTAAAGACAATTTATTTTTTTTGTTGGTTTTTTGTTTGTTTTTGTTTTGTTTTGTTTGAGGCGGAGTCCCTCTCTGTGTTACCCAGGCTGGAGTGCAGTGGCATGATCTTGGCTCACTGCATCCTCCGCCTCCCATATTCCAGTGATTCTTCTGCCTCAGCCTCCTGAGTAGCTGGGATTACAGGCACCCACTGCCACGCCTGGCTAGTTTTTGTGTTTTTAGTAGAGACAAAGTTTCACCATGTTGGCCAGGCTGGTCTCGAACTCCTGACCTCAGATGATCCACCCGTCTCAGCCTCCCAAAGTGCTGGGATTACAGGCGTGAGTCACCATGCCCGTCCTCTAAAGACGGTTTGAAACCCACTATATTTGTAAGCAATGAAAATTTTATGAACATAGTAGGTGTGGAGTGCTTTTCACAGAGTCTCTTGGGTCTTACCTACACTAGGGAGAAATAACTTTCAAATGTCTTCAAAGTGAGATTAAATCTCACATGCACCTAGATTGGTTTGTTTTACCTGGGTGTAGTCTGCTCAGTTTTTCATCTTGCGTTATGGTTAATTGTGTGAAGTTATGCTTCCCACTAAATTATGAACCTTGAAAGCAGTAACATCTCTTTCTTTTCGTGACACCATCTCACACTCTACCCTCCCTCCCTTCCTTCCTTTCACTTCCATATCTCTGCACAGGCATAGTGCCCGAAAATGGTAAGCATTGGTGGATGGTGATGTGAATCTGTCATCTAATTGCGGACCTTGAAGAGGAGGCACAGCTCAAAAGAAATAACTGTGTGGATGAATTTGGCTATTTTCTTTAGGAAACAAAGAGCCAGGCCAGGCACGGTGGCTCACGCCTGTAATCCCAGCACTTTGGGAGGCCAAGATGGGCGGATCACGAGGTCAGGAGATCGAGACCATCCTGGCTAACACGGTGAAATCCCGTCTCTACTAAAAATACAAAAAAATTAGCCAGGCATGGTGGCAGTCACCTGTGGTCCCAGCTACTCAGGAGGCTGAGGCAGGAGGATAGCGTGAACCTGGAAGGCGGAGCTTGTAGTGAGCCGAGATCGCGCCACTGCACTCCAGCCTGGGCGACAGAGTGAGACTCTGTCTCAAAAAAAAAAAAAAAAAAAAGGAAACAAAGAGCCAGAAGTTCTCTGTTCCCCTAAAAAGCTAATATAATAGAAGGTCAGGTTGAAACACAAATTATAACCAGGAGGCCTGAGGCTTAGTGAGAGAGTTGATCAAACTAGCCCCTTGATTAGATCAAATTTTCCAGCTGATTGAGGCTGGGTACTAGACACTAGGAGGCAGACGTTGGTTTTATTCCAGATGGAATTTTAAAGCTTACCCACATCGAGAGAGGACATTGGACAACAGAATAAAAACTATAAGCAAGTACATAATTAGGCACAATTAAAGCATGTTAATACAGAAGGCGGATTTACATGAAGCCGGGAGATGTTTCCCTGCCCTGTTCTCTCTCCTTATTGGGCTCTGAGACCCATCATGTGTTTGGACAATGGGAGAATTTAGACATTTCTTCCTCTAGAGTCCATGGCTAGTGTTTGAATTACATCTAGAGACCAAAAAAACAGAGATGTGTGCCTAGGAGACCTGTGTACTTAACAGCATTTAACAGTTGTGAAGGGCACATTTTATGACTTTCCCATGGAAAGAAAATATCTCAAAATGGCCCAATTCATCCAGGCCATTCAGTGGAAGCTCAGTAAATAGAGGAACCACTTCCTCGAAGGGCCAGACCTGTCTTCACTCCAGATGATCCTCACTGGTAAAAACTGTATTTAAACACCAGAACTTACTAAGTGCTAGGGGGCTGACACAGACCCCTGGCCTACTGCACACAGCTTATTAATGCCCAGCGGTGCTTGATGTTGGCTTCCTGTGGCTACCGTTTCAAACCTAGTATGAGATAGATTATTTTTCCCTCCTGTGATAATGCATTATTTATTCCTAAAGGGTCTTTTCTTTTCTCTGATAGACAAGTGTATCATAGGGCATTCCCTCGTTTAGATGGTAGGATGGGGAGGGAGGCGTGGTCAGTTTCACACCCTAAATATCCCCGGCTTTCTTGCTCATCAGTTTTCACAATTTATATTATTTTATTGATATATGTGTTCACTCGTTGATTGTGGGTATCCCCTACTAGAATACAGTGGTCTTGCATGCTGGTCTGCTTTTCATTGTTGCATCCCAGCTGTAACATTTGTTAGCACAGTGCCTAATAAATGGGCGATGTCCAATAAATTTTTGGTGAATTAACGGATGAGTGACTGGATGGATTCTGATATAATTGAGACTTATTTGTGACTCGGTGGTGAACTTAATATAGAACTTCTTTTTTTTTTTTGAGACGGAGTTTTGCTCTTGTTGCCCAGGCTGGAGTGCAATGGCGCGATCTCAGCTCACCGCAACCTCTGCCTCCCGGTTCAAGCAATTCTCCTGCCTCAGCATCCCGAGTAGCTGGGATTACAGGCATGCGCCACCACCCCGGCTGATTTTGTATTTTTAGTAGAGACGGGGTTTCTCCATGTTGGTCAGGCTGGTCTTGAACTCCCAACCTCAGGTGATCCGCCCGCCTCGGCCTCCCAAAGTGCTGGGGTTATAGGCGTGAGCCACCATGCCCGGCCAGAACTTCTGTTCTAACTAGAGATACAAGTGGTTAGGGTGGACTTTATGCTTTGAGAGTAAAACCTCAGAGCACTGTTAATTCAACCCACTACCTTAAATTGATGCTGTCCTCTTAGCTAGATTTCCCCATTGGGAAAGACTCAAAGCTAAAGGTTGAGAACTCACAGCAGAAACAGTGATTCCCACAGTTACCTGCCTCATTTGAAGGAAAAGGCTCCCAGAGTTCTGTGTTACCAACTTGTTACAAGCATGGGCTATTCTCAGGTCATTCTGATGTGGAAGCTGCTTTATGCAGTGAAAAGAAGTCCACTCTTGAGACCAGAAGACAACCATATGGATCCTAGTTTTGGTACTCTGCTGCTGTGTGTCATTGGGCAAGTGTGCAGCCTCTCTGAATCTCCCTTCTTCTGTGAATGAGATTTCCTATAACCTGCCTCACAGGCTATGGGAGGATTATATGATGTCATGGATGCGAAAATCCTTTATAAAATAGACAGTGTACACAGGAGACACAAGGATGATCAGAGTGATGGTTTCTTAAGTGATTACAGGGCCACACACAGGCTGTTTTCTAACCCTGTTGTCACCCCCAGGGCCCACAGGTCTCATCTGAGTGAGGGGAATCTGGAGGTGTGTTTCAAGGGGTATTCTAGGGTCTTTGAGGAATCGTGTAGGCACTTGGAGGTATCCTGTTTCTTCTCCCTTGATATGTGGGCCTCAGATTAGCCCAAGATTATATCATTTAAAGGTTGGAGGCAGATTGTAACTAAATATAAAATAATTATCAAAATACATATTTTGAGTGTTTTGAAAGGGCGTTGAAACCATTTCTTGTAATCTAAAACAAACTGTAAATAAGGAGGATTTTATTTTCAGTTACACCTGCTAGTAGATGTAAGAGGTGGTTCTGTCTAGTGAGAACTATTGAAACCGATTGGTGCAAGAATGCTTCATGGGAAATTGAATGATGCACAGCTAACATTGTCTCGAGGTCCTATTTGGGCCTGTTGAGAAGGGTTTATGAAAATGAAGGGGTTCTTTCTATTTGAAATAGAAAAGGTACCATTTACCCCATAATATTTAACCAGCCACCTCCTCCTCCTCAGATTTACAATTACAGAGCCCCGGTTGCAAGTTGAGGTTTTTTAATTTTTTTTTTTTTCATTTGATTGCTGCCTTTAGCCCCTTGGTGAACTCCGCTGGCAGCCTCGTGGGTATTTTTCAAAAGAAGCCTCCTGCTTGACTGTATTAAATTCCACTGGCACCTTTGCCACGCCCTGTCCCCTACACATTCAAATAACAGAGTTTTCCCGTAACCCTGTTGAGAAATGTTCACGAGGGCCGCAGAACTTGTTCTGTCTTCCAAATTTCAAGGAAATACTAGACTTACTTGGATGTAGTAAATGACATGGTTTCCCCAAATTAATCATTTGCCAGATCTTGCATCTGTTATTTTGTAAAATCTTAATTTTTGTACAAAAATAAAATTAAAGGAAAAAATTAAACAAGACCATAGTGTGCAGCTCAGTATATTACAAGCTGTTTGTTTTTATTCACTCAACTCAATAATGTACGTAGCTAGCATTTTAACTGTGGAATATGTTAGTTTTCATATGATTTGATCAATATCCCATTTTCTTGACCTAAGTGAATAAAAATAAACAGCTTGCAACATATACAGTTTCAGATTTTGGTTTTGTTTTGGTGGTTAGAGAAGCTGGCATAAAAATATAGCCTGAAATGACTATAAATTCCACAACCAATTTGATCATTTAACTTAATCTGTGTAGTAATTTTATTTATTTTTTAAATTGGCAACACATCTCATGGATGGAAAATCAGAAGATACAAAAGCATGTTTGGTAAAAGACTCTTTTTTACCTCTATACCCGGTTCCCCATTTCCACATGCCTCAGGCAATGTTAATGTTGATTCATCTAAACTGTTGAACTAAGATATATTTCAGCTAAAACCTGATTTTATTTTGATGCTTTATCAAATGACTTAAAGGAACAGGGTATGAGTATGAGTCCTTGACAAACCTACATGAATATCCAGGGAGGTGTCTTAAATGAAACGCACTTAGGATGACAAAATACACATCCAAAAGTAGAATTCCATTTTTATTGTAAAGAAGAGTGCTGAAAGCGAGATCTCACTATGAAACCATAAATCACCCCATATACTCTTTTGGACTTCTCTGTTTCTGGGTTTCCAGAACAGACTGTTCTCTTCTGACTGTTGCATATGTATTGAAGCCTGGCACTATGAATCTCTTATGATGTAAGATTGAATTTCCCATTGCCATTTTTTCAGATAACAGCCCGCCGTCAGTGGAAACATATTTATGATGAATTAGGCGGTAATCCTGGGAGCACCAGCGCTGCCACTTGTACCCGCAGACATTATGAAAGGTAAGAAACCATTTCATGGAATTGCTTAGTTAAAAGTGTGTTAATTGAAAGGAGCTTCTGGTCAAGGATAAGACAGAGGAAGTCTAAATGACCTTTTGGGAAACTGAAAATTTCCCTCTGGCATTTTACTTTGCATACCGCCTTGTGATTTTTAGGGAACATGGCTTTCTCTTGTTACAGGGGCTAAAATTAGATGTTCTTTTAGTTTGGTTCTGTCATGTGACCACCTGCCTGACAATGCCTTTTTTTTTTTTCCCCACAAGCATAGATTACTCAGGATGTTCTCTTTAGGCTCTCTTAACATGAGAACCTTTAGCTTCTGAAAAATCTGCAATGCTACTCTGAGGTTGACATTGAAAAGTAAGCACTTCTCATAATATTAGCATTGAAAAGTAAGGATTTCTCATAGTAAGAGAAATGGCCCCAGATCAAATCTGTTGTTTTATTTCATCCTGGTATTTTTCTTCTACGGAATCTTCTTACCAAGCTCTGTGTGGCTTGGTTTTCTAACAATTTCAGCCTATTTCAGAAAGATGATGAGGATGCAAACAAGAAGTAATGCAAAATTAGCCTACTATGTTGCATCCACAGGAGTGGATTTCCCGTTTGCATTAGGACTCCATTATTCACACCGTTAAAGACCAGTTAGCAGATTAATGCATTATCCCTCTATGCTTCAAGCCCATACTTAATTTGTTTAGGTCATTACCAACTTCCTTATAACTGGCATTTCCCTTTGGGTCTTATACGTACATCCTCAGGCAATACCATTTAACTCATCAATTCTTAGTCCTTTTTTTCCAAGTTCAATTTTACTTTTATCTGTATTGCATTTAACTCAGCTTTAGTATGGCCGTTCAACAAGAATGTTTTTGTAATAATAAATTGAATTGGGTTTAGTACACCATGAAAAATTGCTACAAAGTATTCCCAAAGGATTGCCTTACTTGGCAGGGTTGTAATTCAGAAGGATTTTTAAAAATTGATAATAGATGTTCAAATTATTACTCTTTATAGCATTGTTTTTCAATACAACACATCAATTTTTAAAATATGTTATTTCTGTCAGTGTTTAATACAAAAACTCACCCATTCTCACTGTATGTATAAGGTACACCACTGATGTCCTAGTACAAAGTAGCACTGATATCTCAGGTGAGTGTTCCGAAAATAATGTCTAAGGAACCACAGGCTACTTGTTTTTGACTTATGAGTCAAGGCTTCATTCAGAACTTTTTTTTTTTTTTTTTTTTTTTTGAGACGGAGTCTTCCTCTGTCACCAGGCTACAGTGCAGTGGCATGATCTCGGCCCACTGCAACCTCTGCCTCCCAGGTTCAAGCGATTCTCCTGACTCAGTCTCCCAAGTAACTGGGACTACAGGCACGTGCTACCACGCCCAGCTAATTTTTGTATTTTTAGTAGAGACGGGGTTTCACCATGTTGGCCAGGATGGTCTCGATCTCTTGACCTCATGATCCACCCACTTCGGCCTCCCAAAGTGCTGGGATTACAGGCGTGAGCCACCACACCCAGCCAGAACATTTTTACTAGAAACTCTGTCCCTGTTTTCAAATAGATTCTGTTTTGAGAGTGGACATCCCTGTCCTTTATATGCAAATGCCCTCAACACCTGAACCATCAAACATAAAGGAGCAGATAGCAATTAAAGCTTGAAAAAGGAGTGTATCTCAGCTGTTAGCTCATCTAGTTAAAGAATGAAAACATCAATCAAATTAATTACAAAGTATCACATGGTAAAAAAAAAAAAAAGAGAGAAGGTTTGGCATGGAGAGAAGGACTCAACCCATAGTAGTGTGTGTGTGTGTGATTGAGCAGGTCTGTGAATAAAAGTAGGATTCTTCTGAAGATTGTGTACTTTTGATTATTTACTTCTTTCAGGAGATTCCTGAAAGCTTTCAATCACATTAGAAAATTTTAGTAGATATACCACAAACTTTAGCAATTAAGAAACATGATTAAAGATGTCTTAAAATTTTTCTCTTCTCTCCCTATTCTTGGGACCAGATTGGATATTCCATAAAGGTTTGCTTTCTCACTCGATTAAACTTTTTGAAGAGTGGTGTCACTTTTCCAAATCCAGAATTTGGTCAGTGTATGAGTCAGGGTGCAGTAAGGAAAATGGAAACCACACTGGGTATTCAACAAAGAGACTTCACCATAGGCAGTTGCTTAAACAGGGGTTGGTGTGAGGCACTAAGTTAACACGGGGGCAACAACTGTAAGTTCCCTAGGGTGACAGAACAGAGAAGAGAGGTTGGTTGTCACCACCCAGAAGTTTGGAGAATGTGCCTCAGAGCTGGGGTTCAGGTCCCTGGTAAGAAGGAGTCACCCAACCAGCACTGATGCTTCGGGAGCTCAGAGGTGGAGCACTGCAGAGCTGGGCTGAAACCTGAGGAGGCGGTGCTCCCTGGCTGCTGCCAGACCTCAGAGGACACGCGCTGAAACTGCTGGGGGACTGTTGAAACTAGAGGCTGCAACCCACTGCTGCTGTTAATGCATTGTGGAGTTGACACTTATGTGAACAAGTGAAATGGAAAGGAGATTCCTTTTCTCTCCCTGCCTCCCAGGACACACTGTTTGCAGAATAGTAACAGGAAGATAGCTGACAAAAGGGATGTGTAATTTACAGAATTCCAGTCCTAGCATCAGCAAGCAGAGTACAGAAGGGTGGATTTGGAGTTGAAAGACAATAGGCCATCCGCCAAGTGGGAACCCCATATGCAGAGCCCATTTTATGTGTGGCAACACCAAAAATTGGCAGTGTGGAGCCTCCAACTGTGTTGTTGGAGCATAGCTGTCCCAGGGTGATTAGCAAGGTCCTTTACCTTTCCTTGGTATTTCCTTTTTGCCATCTAGACTCCTCTCACATCCTTGTGATCAGATGCAACCGCTAACTACCAAAATTTGAAGATCATTGATTTTATTTACAACAGTGCCTCTCTCAATGTTCAATCAATCATTCTCCAAGAGGAATCACCCATAATCCTATGTGTTGTGGTGGGGAGAAAAAGCTAGGATTACCGTTCTAGATGTCTTCCTTTTAATTGGTTCTACCAAAGAAGGGCAGAGGACATGCACATATATCCAAGAAGAGACTGAAGCTCTGGGCTAAAACTTCATGATTATGGTGGATTTCATTCATTCTTGCTAGTCACAGGTTGCATGAACAGATAAAACAGAGATGACTGGATTGGTGAAGGAACACTGTTTTCAAGAAGGGTCAATGAGTTGAGAATGGTCAGGACTTTGTGGGCAAATATCTAGTCTGGAAATGCCCTTGGAATTTTGTAAAGCCTTCCAAACCAAATCAGGATGATGAGAGCTCTTCCTACTAGGCTGCGGGTTCTTCTGTTCTCATTCTTTTCACTCCGATAAAGAGAACTGCTCTTTTTCCTATTTCCCTGCCACCAGCTTTGCTTTCCTAGAAGATGAAGAAGTGAGTGATCTCTATGCATTATCCACTGATTTATTTTTCATGCACTGTGGTTCATGTTTCCAGTAAACGTTTTCATTTTACAACAAGAAAAATGTAGCCAGTTCCTCAGTAAAATGTTACTTGTATATTAGTTGAGCACTTTTGGTTTATTAATGAGTGCAATAATGAAAGTGTGGGTTGTTGAAAAGAATCAATGGGTGTTTTTATTTAAGGCAAAGCAGAAATGGTACAATGCTTGTGAATACATCATTGTCACTGAAGGCCTGACTCGTACAAACTTGCCTCTGATTGGTTTAAATCAAATAGGTCCAAGCACTTCATAAAAATGTCTTTGTCAGCCGGGTTTTGCTTCCAAATCTATTCATCTCTGTCAGTTTTTAATATTAGTACCAGGCTCCTGGCCATAGTCCATTAGTACTGTACTTAATTGCTCATGTTACAGATGATTACCAATATAAAAAGCATTAATGTTTTCCCATCGCAAGGCTGTTGCTATGTAGATGTCTCAAACTCAGCAAAGCTTATGAAATGTGGTTATTCTGGACATTTCTTGCTCAGGATTTATAGATGAAGTTACTGTAGCTTTTGATGCAAAGAAAAATACCCACCTCATTCTTTCTAAGTGGAACATTTTCTTTCTTGTCTAACTCTTTACTTAAAAGTAACCAGTTCACTTTATTTTTATCAGTAAAGGAACAAAAAGGAAAACGACTACTTTTATGGAATTCTCTTAGCTTGATTTTCTGGAATAGTAAATCACTTTAAAGGCTTTGTTTTCACATGCAGATTTCCCTTTTTAAAAAATGTTTTTAAAGTCCATGCAGGGGGAAAAAAATCTTTACTCAGAATGCTAGATTACTGGTTTTAATTTTCCTGAATAAATTACATGGTCTGTTTCTGTGGAGCACATGAAGTTGTTATTAGGGATTTTAAAAGGAGCATTAAAGCAAAAGTACTTTATGATGTGCATTTTTGAGTATTTAGAAAATCAAAATCATAAACAAATGTATTTGTTTGTGAGGGAAATTAGCAACTATTCTTCATCTTCTTGCACACATAATGCCTAATTTCAAATCCAACCTTTTGCTTTTACCATAAGCATTCCTTGGACAAGATTGTCACCCTGCATGGCTGAGGCAGCTTTCTTTGCAGGGACTTAAGGTGAGCTGTACCCAAGCCAGATGTACTTGGGCAGATACTGGGTGATAGCTGGAGCTTCTGCCTTTTTTCTCTGAAGGTATAAGGTAGAGTGTGGGAGGCTTCATGTTTTGAATAAGATAAGCATGTGCTTTAAGTTAAGGACCAAAAATATATCAGGTTCTAAGGAACCCACCTAATCATACCATGGATAAAGGCTGGGGAAGGAAAGGTGAGTTACAGTTCTGTGCACATCAAGGACATGATTCCATGTATTCTTGCTCATTTGGACACCCTTGGAGTTAATAGATACGCAATTCAGAAAGTCACAGGCCACATCTCAGAATTGTATATTTAAGAGGACCCCTAGCAACTCCCTAGACCAGTGCTACTCAAATGAGATTTTCTGACTTGTCCATGAACTGTTTTCTACTAGCCCATAACAAGCTAATAAGCACAGCAATTGCGAATAAGCATTGATACACTTACGCTGAAATTTGCCAGAATAACATTATGTCTGTTGAAGCTAATAAAAACTTGGGGCTTGTGTTTTGTATGCCTCCTTTTGAATTCCATTTTTCTAGTAATTCATTTTTATGGTTGTTTACAAAAGCATCAGTCAGCATCAGATGGGAAATTTAGAAAACTCGTCTTTCACCCAGGTCAGTGGAGAAGGTCCGCTCCTACATCTTGGCCACAAACTCAGATATTTATGGAGGCAGGTAGCAAAGATGAGTGCAGGGGCCACGGCTGGAAAGTGTGAAACTGGCACGCACAGCCCGGGCCAGAGAGCCCAAAGGGACCAGCCCACACTGTTGCTGTAGGTAGATGCCGTCTGTGCGCTTCCTGACCTTCTATGTTTTCAAGATATTTTTTTAATGTGAAATAACCTAACTTACAAACACTGGCTCCAATATTTAAAAAAATATTTTATATAAGCTAAATCAAACATGCCCAGGGGCAAAATATAGCCTACAGGATGCCAAGTTCCACAAAGACTGAAATATGCTTGACACTAGGCTCTCCAGCCTCTGATACAGCGCCCTGCAGTGGGAGGGCCTAGAGGAAGCTTCAGGGTTCCAGGCGCTCTTACTCTGCTCTACACACTCTTCCGTGTGCTGAGCAAAACACCCTCTGTGGCTTCCCATTGACCTTGCCTTGCCTTCGGAGGACGACTCGCCACATGTCTGCTCCCTTTGCTCTGATCAGCGTCCAGGAGCTTGTCAAAGCTCCTCTTTCACTTCAGGTCTTCCTGTTCCATTCAACCAAGCCTCAGAGCGTCAGTAATGGACCTTCACCAGCTCGGCTTGCTCTCATGCAGGCGCCTCCAGTTTGTGTCACTCAGAATACCCAAAGCTACTCCAGATGTGGCATGTAGTATTTCTCAGGATGCGGGCAGTGTCAGTCTATCAACACAGCCTAAGATTACATTTGGAATGGGCAAGAAGCCCTCTCCTACTGGCCTGTTGCATTTTCTTGGATAGGATAGATTTGCCATTTGATTAACTGTCTTTTTTATTTACTGCTGCCCTCAAAACCCAATCGGTGTTTTTTGGACATCTGCCATGTGCAGAGAGCACTCTCAGGGGTAATGAGAACATATAAAGCAAAGAGTTGAGAATTGGCTGGCAAACAATGAGGAGGTACCCTTGCCACCACATTCATAGCTGAGATTGCTAAAGGAACAGGATGCTGCTTCCGGTGAGCCCGGGTTCAGCCTCAGAATTCTTCTCAGTATGGCATCCCCAGGGAGCCACCACGACTCATTAGAACTGGAAGATGCCATGATCCTTGGTTTATCTAACCCATCACAAGATCTGAGTCAAAGGCCGTACACACATGGAAGAGAGTTATATCTATGTCTGTGGTGGGCATGGTGGCTCACGCCTATAATCCCAGCACTTTGGGAGGCCGAGGCGGGCAGATGACTTGAGACCCAGGAGTTCGAAACCAGCCTGGCCAACATGGTAAAACCCTGCCTCTACTAAAAAATACAACAATTAGCTGGGGCTGGTGGCACACACCTGTAATCCTGACTACTCAGATGTCTGAGGCACGAGAATCACGGGATGAATCACGGGATGGCTGAATATGGGAAGTGGAGGGTTGCAGTGAGCCGAGATCACGCCACCGCACTCCGGTCTGGGCTACAGAGCGAGACTCTGTCTCAAAAAAAAAAAAAAAAACTACATCTATAAAAACTAGTTTTATGTAATTAAAAAAAATAAGTTCAACAGGGATCAAAGAAGGAAGAGAGAAATTTCAACTGAAATGAGCAAAGTCCCCTCTGGAAAATGTGTATAAAAAGGTAGGGGCTGTCAGGAAAGTCCTAAGGCTGAATTTCCAAGTCACATACCCCAAAGGCAGGTAGTGTAGTTTATCCTCTCATGTCTATGAACTATTATCCTAAGGTGCGGTGGGTAGACTCTGCCCATCCTCATCCATGGTAAGGTTACCCAGTCAATGGACTTGCATTTCCTTTCCCAACACTGTCTTTCTCATGGCAGTCCTGACCTGTGGCCCCTATTGGGCTTACCTCTGCAACACGGCCACCCTGCCACTCTCATCTCCCTAAACCCACAGAGGGCATCCTAGCCCTATCAACAACCAGAAGCCCAGGAAACTGAAAACAAGTTGCCCAGAGTTAGGCTGACTGAGGTTGTACAGCTTCTCTTCCATCTACACTCCACCAAGCTTGTTCTTACAGGGCTCTGAGTCAGTTCAATGCAAACACCCTACACCCAGAGTAGCTTCATCTTGTCATCTGTAAAGAATTTCTCTCCAAAGGACAGTCAGGTAATTTCATACACAAGAGCCGCATAGTCTGTATCACTCAGCATGCCTAAAATGCTCTGATAACTTTCCAATGCCTGGATATTTCAAGAAACTTTTAGAAAGGAAAACAAAACTCTAGCCAGACCCTGGAGTAGAAAAACTGGTTTCTATTTTAAAAAAATAAACAACAGCCTTTGAAAAAAATCTCTATTTAAAAATTCTTAAATTTGCCTCTAAATGCAAGTTGTAATTAATAGAAGTTAGAGTTTACACTGTTGAGTGTAAAAACACCCTCAGGCACAAACTAATCAAGTGTGTATGTCATGCTGTAAACTACAGCGAGTTCTTTGTTTGACCCCCCCCAAAAAAAAAGCTTGCCAAACAGCAGTTTTTCTTTGTCGAGCTCCTTTATTGTCTCATTTTTGTTTTTATCCTACTTCCTCTGTCCCATCCTTTGAACCTAACTATAGTATTTAAGAAACCTTGCAGGTCCCATGTTTTATTGATAGTTTTCATCAAGCATGAATTTAAATTTGAGAATAGATTAGGTGTCTTAGCCCTTTTCTTTTTGATAAATAACAAAAGGTTTCTACTTGTGATTTTCTGTCCTCAGGGTTTTATCATTAAGATTAAATAACTGTACTCTCAAGCATGCCACTGCACAAACATCTTTTCAGTTATGTGAGTAACAGATGCCTTCACAAAGGAACTATTGAAAATTCAGAAAGCATGTTTCCAAAAAAGAAAAGGGAAAAAAAGTATCATATGACAGAAGAATGTAATTGTTTACCATTAAAGTATATTCTTAACTCTTCCACTGAAAACCTCTTGGAACATTTTGTTTTTGTGTAAGTTACTACAAAGTTTGACCAAAATAATAAATGTTGTGGGAGAACTGTTGAACATTTCAGAAGTTCTGGAACCAGTAGGATCTAACATGCATGGGGCTTAAATGCAATAGTTGTTTGCCTATTTTTATATTTTGACACTGGCTTCCATCATTTGTGGGGTACACATCACATTGAAAACACTGCCATGTTGGCTGGGCATAGTGGCTTACCCTGTAATCCCAGCACTTTGGGAGGCCGAGGTGGGTGGATTGCTTGTACCCAGGAGTTTGAGACCACCCTGGGCAACATGGTGATACCCTATCTCTACTAAAAATAAAAAAAATAGCCACGTGCAGTGACGCATACCTGTAGTCCCATCTATTCAGGGAGTTGAGGTGGGAAGATCATCTGAGTCCAGGAAGTTAAGGCTGCAGTAAGCCGTGATTGCATGAGACCCTGTCTCAAAACAAAACAGTATTGGGTTTATTATTCTTGAAATAATGTTCATCTGCCCTTGAAATGGATCCATACAACTCAATTCTGAAGTCATTGGGCTTTTTTCATTGAGAAGAGTCATTGCTGCAGTTGTTGCTGGCTGGCATTGTAGAGGGCTAGGCACCATGCATGGTCTGTGTTCACTGTAATAAGCATGCATTTTAATCCCTGGGACATAACATCAGCCTTCCTTAAGTCCATTCCAACTTTCTTCAATGTGGTTGTCATTTGAAAGGCATAGGAACAACATTAGTCTAGATGCTCTTACATGTGGCATGGAGACATCATAGAAAGCCCCAAAGGAGCTTTATTAGGGAGACCATGGGAAGCTTGGGCTTGGTAAGATTAAGTCCTAGAGGCTGGAATTCATGGAGGATATGATTCTCAAGTTTCTCTTACCATCCGATATTAAGTTGGGCATGATCCAACTAGTATCACTACCTTTTGAAGAGCTATGGCATGGTTATTGTAGCATATTGTAAGAGTAGTTGCCCAGTGCCCAAGCCATAGGGCTTCTTCTGATGTAGGAGGTTGACCCTTTGTGGAATGGCTACATATGTATTTTATAGGCCTGTTGCCTCTGAGAAAAGGAGAATGCTCACTCCAGTTTCTCAGGTAACTCCTTAGGAGCTAGGAATTCACTTAACCCAGGCAGGAGTGATCTTTCAGTATCTCCTCCGTGTTGGTATGTCTCCGTGTTGATACATCTGTGTATGAAGATGCACAGCCACCTTTTTGAGATGAAGATAGCTGGACTAGCAGAGGCAGGCAGTTTGGTGGTCGAACTCAAAATTTTGACACTAAATAGCTGTGTGCCATTGACTAGTCACTTAATCGTTTAGCTCTGAACCTCAGTTTTGTCATCCATAAAATGAGATAAAATAATATATCTGTAGATATTTCTTTCTGTAATGGTTGAAATTAAAGCATGCAGAGTGCCTGGTATTAATAAGAATGTAATGCGTGGTGGTGGCTGTTAATATTGTAATGCCTAATCAATATATATGAATGACCTGAATGAGGTTTCTCTACCTTCCCACCTTGCTTCTAACACAGTCCCCTGAAATCCATGTAACTCCAGTTCAGGAAAGCTGTCATCCTTGAGCTAACTCTCTCACACTGACACATCTTTATGGGAGCCGAGCCACCACCTTGCTGTGTCCAGTACCACGTACCTTTCTTTCTTCTCTTCATTTAGGGTCACACACACTCCGGGACCATGGAGGGAGGTATCAGAATTATCAGTGGGCCTAAGAAACAACTCTCCCACCCACTTCCAGGGGCAAATGGAGAGAGCATTAAAGCCTTCAAAAAGTTTTCTTGTCCATCTGCTGCCCATTGAGTAGGTAATGAAGCCCCTGTGAGCAGATCATTTTCCCAGAAAAGAGACCTTTTGTGGTGACAAATGGTTATATTTCATCGTTGTTAATAGTGGACTCCATACCTTTTAGGTGTCTTAGCATAGAATACAGGTGATGCTAGTTATACCTACCTCATTTTTAAAGTATGTAAGGCAGTTTGGCTTTGGTAGCTCTTGGGCAAACTGAGTCTTTCACACAGACTCTGTGTTGCACTCTGCCGCCATTTTGTTGGCTCAGATGGGCCCCGCTATAGGCTCGTTCTTCATGTCAGCGTGGCTTCTTACTCCGTGGTTTGGTGCCCCAGACTTTCAGTTCACATCCTTGCCTGTTGGGAGGTGACACTGGAGGCCTCTTTCTCACCTGTCTTGGTTATGGGGAGAGCTTGTCACACTCGGCACACTATTTTTTCTGCTCCACTCAAGTTCACACCATAAAATGGAGATCTTCTGTGGCTCACATCTCTCTCAGATGGAGCTTAGCTTTTACTGTGCTCAACCAGGGTTGTGCCCGCTGAGGAAACATTCTCATTTCTCTGCTCATTTACATAGCACATTTGTGTATTTGGCTGTTGATTTGGTTCCCTACCCCCAAAAGCTCTTCTTCCACTTTTATGGTCATGGTCTAGCACCTGAGAGGTGAACAGTATGTGAGATTAGAAAAACTCTCTATGCTTATTGGAACTGTAACAAGCATGTGTACCTCATCTTCAGAAAGGAAAAATATACCTTCTATTGGCTCCATATTTGGTGAAAGATTCCTTCCCATACTTCACAGTAAAGTTATATTTTAATTTCTGGCTGCAAAGGGAAATGTCTGGCCAAGCTGTAGAAATTTATCAAGGCTGGAATCAACTCAGAGGTGTAATGACTCCATTTGGGGTGAGATCAGGTCTGAAGTCCCAGTTGAACCAATATGTCATTTCGTTGTTACTACAAAAAAAAAGCCTAATAGTATTAGAATAGTAGTGCCTTTTTTTTTTCTTTTTTTGAGACAGAGTCTCACTCTGTCACCCAGGCTGGAGTGCAGTGGCATGATCTCGGCTCACTTCAGCTTCTGCCACTGGGGTTCAAGCAATTCTCCTGCCTCAGTTTCCCAAGTGGCTGGGATTACAGGCACGTACCACCATGCCTGGCTAATTATTGTATTTTTAGTAGAGATGGGCTGGTCTCGAACTCCTGACCCCAAGTGATCCGACTGCCTCCGCCTGCCAAAGTGCTGGGATTACAGGCGTGAGCTACCACACTTGGCCAGTAGTGGCATCTTTGACCTGACATGCACCAATGTTATTTCCCTCTGCCCCTAGAAAATATTCTGCTCCAAGGACACCAGCAAACCTTTAGGTCTGGAATTTCTCACTGATTTGATACCATAAAGTGCCTATGCAGTAACTGGGGTGACTTTGGGATTCAAATACAACCCTAAAAGTTCACCACTTCTTGCCCCCACTCTCTGGATTCAATCAGTTCCAGACATTATTGTAATACCATTTTTCAAGCTCTGTAAATAGATGGATTCTCGTTTTTCCTATTAAGCACTGTTTGCTAAATATTTTGGCCCAAAAGTTCAGTCATTCCATGCAAGCATTAATCAATACAGGAGACATTAGTGGTTACTGGTTCAGATGAGATTTGACATTATTTTTCCTCTGCTTCTGAGGAAGGGAGGGGAATGTTGTGTAATAAAGATGAAGGGTCTTTTCTTCTTTTGTACAAAATGCAAATGATGAGGACATGTGTGATACACACTTCTCTAATGCAAGGCTGCTGGTTTTTGTTGAGAAAGAGAGGCAAGGCCCTGGAGGATTTTAGACTTTGTAAATATAAAATTATCTGCCTTAGTGTTTAAAAAAATAATAAAAGGGAGAAAGAGTTGGCAGGTTGCCAGATTACTTACATTACAGTAATAGATTTGCTGACCCCTGACTTCTGCTGTAGAGAAATGTATTGAATTTTTCATAATATCAGATGAGGCAGATCTAAAAACCTAGTGTACTAAGCACCATTATTTAACTTGAGATTTAGCAAAGCCGAAATCTTTTCAAACCAGCAATTTCATGTATGATGATAATTTAGTGGCTCAGATGCTAACAAATCAAGGTTATAATGCTATTGACTTGTTAATTTTAACTTGGGTTGATTTTAAGTCTTTTTTTTTTTAAGAAAGAAGAATGAGGAGGGGAAAAAATCTTGCTTTTCACAGTGACTGAATTTAATAAGAATCTCCGTGATAGCAAAAGGCCCCCCTACTGTTTCTGCTTTGGGGTGGAAAATGTTATTCTTGTATTATTCCTAGGGAAAAATAAAATCTCATGCTGCTACAAATCTTATGCCTATGGAAAGATGTTATTTTTTAATACATAATGGCTTACCTATTTCAGATCCATTAATCGCATCGTAAATAAGCATTTTGCTAATCTGAAATGTGAAATCTGGATAATAATAAAGGCCCATTTATCTGTCCAGCTTTCAATCCCCAGACTAGATGTAGATCAGGAAGGGGAAAATCTCTGGATTTTCTAATGAATATATTGCTTCTCTTCCCCATTACTTCCACCCACCTAAAAGCCAGCCCCCATTCTTAGAGTTGCAGTCCATTGAAAATATTTCTCCTGTGTAATGAATTCTTGGGGGCTGGAGTGCATGTTTGCTTTTATCTGTACAGTTTAGAAACTGATAAAATCTTTGCTGTGCTACAAATATTTGAGAAATAATCAACCTCAAGGCGCAGGCATGGTGCATTTTACTAAATTCTTTATATAATACAAACCTACTCAGCTTTCTACATAGGGCAATGTTGACCTAATCTAAGGCTAACCTGTTTTTAATGGTACCACATGTACGTTGAACGTTTAAATGTTCAGAAACCTATAATAGCTTTTGTCCTCTTGTACTGTAAAAACTTCTAATAATCATATGATAAGATCATATCCTGTGGGGTAATTGTGTTGTACCATGACAGGATAACTGAAAAAACATTCAGTGAAAATTGCACCAAACGGAAATCACTATATGAAGCAGCGATTGTGTGCCGTGCGAGACCGTGCCCTGTTCTTCAAAGCTTAGCTGGTCATATTTCTACTTGCTTCCTTTTAGCTTCTGCCTTGCTTGTTTTATTTTAGGAGGCTTTTTTCCCCAAGCCACTATAATTATCTTTCAATGATTTAGAAGGGGGGGAAAAAACACTCGGTTGACCTTTACACACACACACACACTCTCTCACACACTCACACACTCTCATATACTCTCTCTGGAAGCCTTGAACAAGTAGGGCTTGTGTTTGGATTCAGTTTTACCTTAGTCATGCCTCTTTCCAGATACAAGAAACATTTAATTCCAGATTTCCTGCTTCTGGCTTTAGGCCTTTGACCAGCAAAGTGAAATGTATTTTTTACTGCTGTCAGCCAGCCAGCTGCTGAGTTGAGTGAAGGGGAGAAAAAAAAAAAAAAATGAAAGAAAAAATGAAAAAAAAAAAAAAGGAACCGAAATGAGAATGGTGCCCTACTTTGTGAACTTGCAAAATTAGAAAAGGAAATTAAAGTCTCCTTAGCACCCATCTAGAGAGCCAGGTTGGCCCAGGGCTCTCAGAACCCAGAGTGAGGGGTCCTTGGGCGTCCATGGGGTGTCTCTCCCACCCAATTCTCTGCTTTCCCTCCTCCTCCTTCCCACACTCAGAGGTAATGCTGTCATTCTTCTCAGTAAAGAGGGTCCCTCGTGGTGTCACCATCTCCATCAGAAAATGAAGCTGGGGGAAGGGTGGTACCAGCAAATTGCTATCATTGGAATACCCAGACTACAGTGTTCCTTGAGTTCCCATGGCAACAAAACAAAAGTAAAACAAACCTATCTGTCCCAACAATAAAATATGTTTCCATTAAAGTCAATTTAAAATATCTTTCCAGTTTAAAATATTCAATGCATTTTGCTCCCAGACAAAAATCCACAACCTGCCAATATTGAAGAGGATAAAGTCCCTGGCAGAACCAGGCAGAAAAAAGGAATTGGGGGGAATGTTGGGGACTTTACAGATGAGACAGAATAAATTCAAGTATGAACAGGATTGCTTTTTTCTCTTTGTGCTTAGTTATGCTTTTTATTATATAAACATTAACTGTAATATTACAGTGGGAAGCAGGTATTTGGCAGCCATATATTATTTTAGTAAGTCTACATAGGGAGGGCAGTTTCCAGTTTTAGCAGCTGTAACATGTTTAAACTCAGTTTGTAATGGGATCTGAAGATAACTATTCCCCATGGGCTCTGTTGATCTTCATGGCTGGCCAACTGCCAGATGTAGGGCTCCAAAGTATTATTCACGCCTCCTTGCTCATACCTTGTCCAAGCATGCTCAGTAAATGAATTTTGTTTCTAATATGCTATAAATTGGGATCTGATTTTCCCATAGTTTTATTGGTATTTTATTAAAGAGCAAAATATTAGGATCACAAATGTCCCCACATCCGTACTGTCAAACCTGAACAATCGTGTATGGTTAAGCAGTTGAGATCCAAATAACATAGATAGAAACCAATTTTAGGATAGCAAACCAATATCCAGACCAAGGAAGTTTTTGCCTGGGAATCTTAGTTTAAAAATAATCAGGATCCCCAATATTTGAACAGACTTATGATGTTTATAAGCCAAGTACATTTTCTTCATTGAGTCAACTTGTCTTATTTAAAACAAATTATGTTTGCTGTATTAAAGTTCATATTTTTAAGGCTGAGTCTTATATTAATCCCACAGTGAGTCATTAATCATACCAAATGCATTATAAAAACTTTAATCACTGAAGTTGAAACTGAGATTGTAATGCAATCCATCCCTTTTAATTACATCAGCTATTTTTCCCTTTCAGATAAAGAGCTACGTCGCAAAGGGAAAACAGATTAAAACTAGAGCTGTTTGATGTTTCTCTTTTTAGAGCAATTTTATGCAGTTTGTTTAAAAAGTTATATAATTTAAATGCTTGAAATTTTCAGGCCTCTGGTTTTTGTGGCTTGCATAGTCTGTCTGCCTTCCTTCTCGCTGGGGCGGTCTTTTACTTAGCACACTAAAACAGAACTCCTAGTGGAGTCCCCTACCCCACTCAGAGCTGTGGGATAAGACTAAACTGTCTCTTGGCCACGCTGTGCTTGCCTCTCATTGACCTTTTTATCTTAGATGTTTCATCTCTATCTTGACATGAATGAAAATAAAATGTTTTCAGATGGGCAGCACTAGGTTCAGATCTCACCTCTAACAAATGGTATGACTCAGGCAAATTGTTTAACCTTTATAGGCCTCAATTGCCTCATATGTTAAAAAAGAGAATAATAATAATACTCCATAGGGATATTGTGGAGTTTACATAAAATAATCTTTAAATGTACCTGGCACATGCTAGTACCTACTAGAATATAAGCTTCATGAGCTCAGAGGCTTTGAATGTTTGGTTCATGGCTGTGTCTCAGTGCCTAGAACACTGCCTATAGTATGTGCTCAATAAATAGTTGTTGATGGACTGGTAAAGCAGCTAGCATTATTGTTGCAGTTTTGTTAGCACTTAGCCAGGTGCCATGGGGAGTGATGGTGATATTGTTAATGTTGGATGCTTCCATTGGTATCTTGGTCTATAGACCCACAAAACCAAAAAGAGGTCTTGCTGAGAAGTATTAAGTTACCAGGTACTGATTTTGACCAAGGAAGCAGAACACTAAAGTGTAGAGTAAGTTTATAGAAGTATAGCACTGTCACTGGAGATGAAGTCATTTAATAATTTGCTTATATTGAGAAAAGAAAGTAAACCCCCATAGCATTGATGCTACTGGAATTACTCAACTGACCGATCATCTCTTCTGTTAACCTTTTAGATTAATCCTACCATATGAAAGATTTATTAAAGGAGAAGAAGATAAGCCCCTGCCTCCAATCAAACCTCGGAAACAGGAGAACAGTTCACAGGAAAATGAGAACAAAACAAAAGTATCTGGAACCAAACGCATCAAACATGAAATACCTAAAAGCAAGAAAGAAAAAGAAAATGCCCCAAAGCCCCAGGATGCAGCAGAGGTGAGTTGCTTTGCTCCATAGAAATACCTCTGGAAGACATGTGCTGCCTCGAGGTCCTTCTGGAGCCCTGAATCCACAGCTGTGTCCCTGCACAGTTGGATGGCTTGATGAAGAAACCAAGAAATCTAAGCTTCACAGTTCCCCACATAGTTCCCCAGTTCCTGAAAGCCTTTCAGCTTGCTCATGAGATGAAATCCAATGCCTAGTATTGAATGAGATAGCCCAGGAATAGAATCTAGAAAGATACAAACATCCTGTAGAAAACTGATAGCAAATGCTCAGGCTTCAAGAGAAAAGGGTCCAGAGCCACACTAACATCAAAGAATTTTACTGTGAAAACATGGCTTCTTGGCCGCTCCACAGCCCGTCTATCTGAGGTGCTGGTGCGACTTTAAAACATATTTTGGGGCTGGACATGGTGGCTCGCGCCTGTAATCCTAGCACTCTGGGAGGCCAAGGCAGGTGGATTGCTTGAGCCCAGGAATTCAAGAAGAGCGTGGGCAACATGGTGAGACCCAGTCTCTACAAACAAAGCTCACACCTGTAATCCCAGCACTTTGGGAGGCTGAGGCGGGCGGATCACAAGGTCAGGAGATGGAGACCATCCTGGCTAACACGGTGAAACCCCGTCTCTACTAAAAATACAAAAAATTAGCCAGGTGTGGTGGTGGGCGCCTGTAGTCCCGGCTACTTGGGAGGCCAAGGCAGGAGAATGGCATGAACCTGGGAGGCAGAGCTTGCAGTGAGCTGAGATCACGACAGCCTGGGTGACAGAGCAAGACTCCATCTCAAAAAAAAAAAAAAAAAAAAAATATCAGGCATGGTGGTGCCCCGCTGTGGTCCCAGCTACTCAAGAGGCTGAGGTGGGAGGATAACCAGAGCCCTGGGAGGTAAAGTCTGCAGTGAGCTGTGATTATACCACTGCACTCCTGCCTGGGTGACAGAGTGAAGCCGTGTCTCAAAAAAAATGCTTTGGAGGTCCAGGAAAGGGGACCTTGGAACTGTGGTGCTGTATCCTGCAAGACTCTCCTGAAAACTTTAGAGAAGTGTTTGTCTCCCATAATTGATTTCTGTGCAACAGCCATGGGTTGAGACCAATTTAAGAAAATCTTAAGTGTGGCCGGGCGCGGTGGCTCACGCCTGTAATCCCAGCATTTTGGGAGGCCGAGGCGGTGGATCACGAGGTCAGGAGATCGAGAGCATCCTGGCTAATACGGTAAAACCCCGTCTCTACTAAAAATACAAAAAATTAGCCAGGCGTGGTGGTGGGCACCTGTAGTCCCAGCTACTCAGGAGGCTGAGGCAGGAGAATGGCGTGAACCCAGGAGGCGGAGCTTGCAGTGAGCCGAGATCAGGCCACTGCACTCCAGCCTGGGTGACAGAGAGAGACTCTATCTCAAAAAAAAAAAAAAAAAAAAGGAAAAAAGATCTTAAGTGCATATTATTTATAGGGGAATTTTGAAATGGTTCCTATGAAACCATTATTATTTTTCATATTAACAGGTAGTTTCTGCACTTTTTAAGCCCCCAACAGCCTTTTGGTAGAAGCCATTACCCCCAGCATGTAGCCAGTCATGTAGGCTGATCTGGGCTCCATTTCAACATGAATAATAAAAAACGCTGCTGCCCATTAAAAAAAAAAAAAAACTGAGCAGCCACATTTGGAGACAGCATGTTCTAGGATTCAACCCCAGAGGGAATTTTGATGCTGATATTAAATACCCCCTAAAAAATCAGGTTTATAATGAACACATAAGAGGCTCCATAATTAAACACTGGTTTAAATTGCACATGTACAACACGCACCAACCTCCCATCTAGACATCAACTTACCCAGCTGACTCTTACATAAGAAAATAGTATTGATACCAAGATTAGAAATTTGTGGGTTTTTTGTTTTTATTAGGTTTCATAATTATTTTAAGCTCTAGTAACTAAAAAGGGGGAGGAGGAAGAAGATGATGCAGATTTTTTTTTTTTTTGAGACAGAGTCTCTCTCTGTCTCCCAGGCTAGAGTGCAGTGGTGCAATCTCGGTTCATTGCAACCTCCGCCTCCCAGGTTCAAGCAATTCTCCTGCCTCAGCCTCCCGAGTAGCTAGGACTACAGGCATGCACCACCACACCCGGTTAATATTTTTGTATCTTTAGTAGAGACAGGGTTTCACCATGTTGGTCAGGCTGGTCTTGAACTCCTGACCTCAAATGATCCTCCTGCCTTGGCCTCCCAACGTGCTGAGATTACAGGTGTGAGCCACCGTCCCTGGCCAGATGATGCAGATTTCTCAACATCTGCAAGCTTGCAACATAAATGGCCAAAAGCAAGGAAATTCCAAGTGCATGCTTACATTCCATTTTTCCTTGATACTTTTGGCCTGGTGATTTATTATAGGGTTTCAGATGAGTGTGTTCTATTAGCTGCCATATGTACACAAAACACCAGGGGACAAACTGAGGACCAAGGGGACAGCTGACCGTTGAATATCTCCAATTTGGGGATTAAGTTTGAAATGGTTGGTTTGTGAATGGTAGGAGGAATCTTTAGCCTATGCACTGAGCCTGTCAGCTTGGATGATGACCATGCCCAAGAGTGGAGCCTTACTCCCTGGAGTCCATAGAAACCCTGAAAGCTGTTAGGCTTTGTGTTTCCTGTAGGCTGCAACTGTTCCCTTCAGGGAGCTGTAAGTGTCTCAGGTTTTGAAAGTTGTCATGATGAGGTTATCTAAACCTCATGGAATCTTCCACCCTCTCCAAGGTTGACCTTATAATACGAATCACTTCTCACCTCCAACATAGAACCATGTTATTAGCCAGGTGTATTTTTTCTCATTAACTCTATTTGGGGTTTTTGGTTTGGATTTTATTGTTTTCATCGCTTTTAGTTTTTGGTGTTTTCAATATGAAGCGGTGAACTCAATGGAGATACAAAGGGTGAGAAATTCCCTCTAGTTGAATCCACTATATTCAAGTAATGGGATTGCAAGTTGCATGGTGGGAAGCTAACATTTAACATACTAAGCAGATCATAAAATGTCTTACTAGAAAAAAAGTCCTTTACTTTTTTCTGCCTAGCTTTCAAAGACTTCCTAAACCTGTTTTACAACCCGAAGCATGGGACTCTGATATAACTGCAGTTCTACATCATAGAAACTTCAATGAGACTGAGTATCCCTCATTGCCCTGCGTCAAACTATAGCCCCATAAGAAACTAACAATTAGATGCAATTTGCCTTTTTCCCTTGCCATACTCATTTGTCTTTATTTTTGTGTCATGTATAAGCTCAAGAGACCAATGTGATGATTATTAATGTAGAAGAAGTAATGATATTTGTACTGGAAAAGGCAGCTACTAGTACAAAAAATAAAAAGAAATAATGATGATAAGCAAAGTCTCTTAGGTATAACATGTCCCTAAAATTCAGGGTTTTTTTTTTAAAGGGATTTAAGGAAAAATACCTGTGAAATAGGTGTGATTTCTTAAAACTTTTGTTCCCACGTATTCCTAAACCAGCATCCTCAATCTTACCCAAAGATGCTAATTGGCAGACCCACCCTTCCTTCCTTCCTGCCTGCCTGCCTTCCTTCCTTCCTTTCTTCCTTCCTTCCTTCCCTCCCTCCTTCCTTCTTTTTCTTTTTTTTTTTTTTTTTTGTGAAAGTTACACTCTTGTTGCCCAAGCTATAGTGCAATGGCATGATCTCGGCTCACCGCATCCTCCACCTCTGGGGTTCAAGCGATTCTCCTGCCTCAGCCTCCTGAGTAGCTGGGATTACAGGCACCCACCACCACACCTGGCTAATTTTTGTTTTTTTACTAGAGATGAGGTTTTGCCATGTTGACCAGGCTGGTCTTGAACTCCTGACCTCAGGTGATCTGCCTGCCTCGGCCTCCCTAAGTGCTGAGATTACAGGCACATCTTTTCTTAACAGAGAAGAACAAAGTTCAAGGGATGAGATGGAAAAAGGAGGGGAAGAATACCAGCTCAGTACAACTGTTTTGTGACTGCTCTGCTAAGACATGTCAGGGCAGAATGACAGCAGTTTTGAAAGGGCTTGTCAGTCAGCTGGGTCATAGATGGAAAGTTAAAATGACCTCCTAAGGTCAAAGTTTATATGGCTGCATAATGCAGTAAATGAGTCGAATTGGTACCCACAACTTCTGTCAGTAGGGTCACATAAGGAGTGTGTCTGTCTCATTGACTATAATTTATTTCATTCAACAGCAAAGCTATATTTGCGGTGGCACTGACTGTCTGAATTTTGACAACTTCATTTTGGGCTTTAATAGAAATGTAGTTTGCTGCAACCTAGAAGGACTTAGTCTCCTCTGTCCCTCTGGTAGACAGGCTGCCAAGAAATCTTCATACTTTGTCAATATTTTAGCATTATCTGCATATCATCTGGCCCTGAGTAGAAATTATTAACACTTATGCATTGCTAATCTTCAGTGCATCATATTGAATACATTGGGAAGGGATTTGCCCTGTTAAGGAAAGCAGGGAGTTGCAATAGGTTTGTTGTTTGTCGTTAACATGGGGTTGGTTGGATTTTTGAAAGAGAAATGCTTTAAAAAAATCTTTCTCAGGAGTATCATAAAACACAACATGTAATTTAAAACCCATTTGGATAATTGACTGATTTGACAAGAAGACAACCTTAGAATTAAACTATATATTAGAATCAAGGAGTGATATGATTGTATACCATCAGTACATAATACTTTGCTATTTTGATAGGTATCTCATAAGGGACTGAAGCGAATATGCATATTTCCCCTAATGTTTCTGTAATTTAGATTTCTTTGTTTAGAGCCATGATTGGGGAGTAATAAAGCTTTACAGAAACTTCACGAGCTGATTGACAAGCCTGTTTTCAAGTAAAACTGCTGTGTGGAATATTTTATTTCATAGCAAAACATGTCTGTGTATTTGGTTTTCTTCTGACTGTCTTTTGAAATATGTTACCAGGTTTCATCAGAGCAAGAAAAAGAACAAGAGACTTTAATAAGCCAGAAAAGCATCCCTGAGCCTCTCCCAGCAGCAGACATGAAGAAAAAAATAGAAGGGTATCAGGAATTTTCAGCGAAGCCCCTGGCATCCAGAGTAGACCCAGAGAAGGACAACGAAACAGACCAAGGTTCCAACAGTGAGAAGGTGGCAGAGGAGGCGGGAGAGAAGGGGCCCACACCTCCACTCCCAAGTGCTCCTCTGGCCCCAGAAAAAGATTCAGCCTTGGTCCCTGGGGCCAGCAAACAGCCACTCACCTCTCCTAGTGCCCTGGTGGACTCAAAACAAGAATCCAAACTGTGCTGTTTTACAGAGAGCCCTGAAAGTGAACCCCAAGAAGCATCCTTCCCCAGCTTCCCCACCACACAGCCACCGCTGGCAAACCAGAATGAGACGGAGGATGACAAACTGCCCGCCATGGCAGATTACATTGCCAACTGCACCGTGAAGGTGGACCAGCTGGGCAGTGACGACATCCACAATGCGCTCAAGCAGACCCCAAAGGTCCTTGTGGTCCAGTCGTTTGACATGTTCAAAGACAAAGACCTGACTGGGCCCATGAACGAGAACCATGGACTTAATTACACGCCCCTGCTCTACTCTAGGGGCAACCCAGGCATCATGTCCCCACTGGCCAAGAAAAAGCTTTTGTCCCAAGTGAGTGGGGCCAGCCTCTCCAGCAGCTACCCTTATGGCTCCCCACCCCCTTTGATCAGCAAAAAGAAACTGATTGCTAGGGATGACTTGTGTTCCAGTTTGTCCCAGACCCACCATGGCCAAAGCACTGACCATATGGCGGTCAGCCGGCCATCAGTGATTCAGCACGTCCAGAGTTTCAGAAGCAAGCCCTCGGAAGAGAGAAAGACCATCAATGACATCTTTAAGCATGAGAAACTGAGTCGATCAGATCCCCACCGCTGCAGCTTCTCCAAGCATCACCTTAACCCCCTTGCTGACTCCTACGTCCTGAAGCAAGAAATTCAGGAGGGCAAGGATAAACTCTTAGAGAAAAGGGCCCTCCCCCATTCCCACATGCCTAGCTTCCTGGCTGACTTCTACTCGTCCCCTCATCTCCATAGCCTCTACAGACACACCGAGCACCATCTTCATAATGAACAGACATCCAAATACCCTTCCAGGGACATGTACAGGGAATCGGAAAACAGTTCTTTTCCTTCCCACAGACACCAAGAAAAGCTCCATGTAAATTATCTCACGTCCCTGCACCTGCAAGACAAAAAGTCGGCGGCAGCAGAAGCCCCTACGGATGATCAGCCTACAGATCTGAGCCTTCCCAAGAACCCGCACAAACCTACCGGCAAGGTCCTGGGCCTGGCTCATTCCACCACAGGGCCCCAGGAGAGCAAAGGCATCTCCCAGTTCCAGGTCTTAGGCAGCCAGAGTCGAGACTGTCACCCCAAAGCCTGTCGGGTATCACCCATGACCATGTCAGGCCCTAAAAAATACCCTGAATCGCTTTCAAGATCAGGAAAACCTCACCATGTGAGACTGGAGAATTTCAGGAAGATGGAAGGCATGGTCCACCCAATCCTGCACCGGAAAATGAGCCCGCAGAACATTGGGGCGGCGCGGCCGATCAAGCGCAGCCTGGAGGATTTGGACCTTGTGATTGCAGGGAAAAAGGCCCGGGCAGTGTCTCCCTTAGACCCATCCAAGGAGGTCTCTGGGAAGGAGAAGGCCTCTGAGCAGGAGAGTGAAGGCAGCAAAGCAGCGCACGGTGGGCATTCCGGGGGCGGATCAGAAGGCCACAAGCTTCCCCTCTCCTCCCCTATCTTCCCAGGTCTGTATTCCGGGAGCCTGTGTAACTCGGGCCTCAACTCCAGGCTCCCGGCTGGGTATTCTCATTCTCTGCAGTACTTGAAAAACCAGACTGTGCTTTCTCCACTCATGCAGCCCCTGGCTTTCCACTCGCTTGTGATGCAAAGAGGAATTTTTACATCACCGACAAATTCTCAGCAGCTGTACAGACACTTGGCTGCGGCTACACCTGTAGGAAGTTCATATGGGGACCTTTTGCATAACAGCATTTACCCTTTAGCTGCTATAAATCCTCAAGCTGCCTTTCCATCTTCCCAGCTGTCATCCGTGCACCCCAGTACAAAACTGTAGGCTCAGCTCTGCCCAGCAGTCCAAAGCGGCATGGCCAACAGAGCTTCACTCCTTACCCAGGAGTGCTGGCTTATAGAGTTAGAAGTCAGTATTTCTTCTAATCTGAGGCTATGATCAGTCCCAGCTGTAGGGGCCCAGAGGGGAGGTGAACATGCCTGATTTTTGTGGGACAACTCTAGCCCACAAACTGACTGGCTGGTGAGTCTTGACTCCCTTCCAACACAGATGCCCAGGCACCTCCAGATCATTCACTTCGCACGTGGGCCTTGTGAAGGGATTTGTGAATATCCAGGAAGAACTTAGAGGACCCCATCTGAGTTCGGATGGTCAGGAAACAATCTGGGCAAAAAAGAGGCAGGCATTTCAAAGGAAGGGGCAAGGAAGACTGGCAAACAGATGGCAAGGGATGCCCCTCTTTTTCATAAAACTCTCCAAGGTTCAATCAATGCAATGTATAGTGAAACTTCAATAGATCTTTCATTTTGACACTATTAAACAATCCAGAGAAGTAAACACTGTTAAATTGACTGTATATATTTGCTTCTTAAAACTACCTGTATCACTGTTTGCTCACCTAATTTATATACAGGTAGTTCCATTTTCTCCCAGTTCCTTCTCGTCTTTTTTTTTTTTTTTTTTTTTTTTTTTATTAAATGGTATTGCTTTTGTTTGCAGGTCTTTTTGTTTTTGTTTTGTTTTTGAGGCTGACTGACTGTCCTAGTTGTTGTGTGTTTGTAATTTTTCCACATCTTATTTTGAGCAGCTTTGGGTGGTAAAGTTATTGTTTACAAATTGAAGCAACTGATTCTAGTGGAACAAATGAAAAAGAAACAGTCAAGCACACAATAGTGCAAAGAACGTTCCTTTGTAGATCCGCAACTTAAGGATTTTGTTCCTCATAAATGGCATAGTTGAAAGAGCTTATACACTGCTTACCCAGCCAAATGCTTTGCTTTGAAGTATTGGGTTCTGTGAAAATATTGAGCATTGTACTTACCTTATCTAGGCTGTGAAACTGTCCTACATACCAGAGAATCATAAAAACAAAAACCTCACTGGCAGCAAGCTGCCGAATAACAACAGAGTCTAGAGGACATATTTGTGGGCTGCACAGATATTTTAGGAATTTCAGAAATTAGAACAGGAGCCAAAATGATTTACATTGGCGTTGGCACTGATTCCTTTAAATGGTCTGGGAAAGGGGGTTGGGAAGAGGATGGAGCTCAACTGGCCAGAAGAGGAGCAGCTGCAGTCCTGATAGCTTCTCTAGCCTCGGTCTTTTGAGTGATAAGTAGTCATGTTGTTTTCATCCAGTTGGTTTCTTGTCATTCCCAAGAAGAATCTCCCAGGCCACATCTTTGGGGATAACTGACATACTGGATTAGCCTTTTCAAAAGAAAAGTCATCCTATTTGGTTTTATGGGGTGTGAGTTTTGTGTGTACACACACAGAAACATGTAAGGTGGTTTGGGTCATGTTTTTAACCACCTGGCAATACAGTCCACTTTCTGGTTTCTTTTATTGTGGGAAGTAAATGGTCAAGCTGCTCAGGCAGTGAAAAGATGTGGAGAATGTCCGTTGTCATTCTTGCCACTGTATTCCATTTGCTACCGAGATATAACATTAAGGTGGACACATTTTCTAACTGTATTAATTAAAAGTCAATGGATACAGAGAGTGGATTTTCTCCCCAAGTCCCATCCCTGCTGAAGACCGCTTGGATGAACTCCCCAACCCACTGTGCCCCTCCCGCAACACTACCAGTAGACTTTAGAACCATAGTTAACTAAGTCTTTTACCTCTGAGATACTTAATTCTGGGAAAATTGGTGACAATTTTCAACTTCTAAATAGGTAACTCGACTGCAAAATAATCAAAACTGATAACAATGAAACTGCGGCTCTTAAACAAAGCCATGCATGCCGTGCATTTGTATTGAAATGTCTCCATGATATGAAGCCAAATATTCAATGTAACATACTTAATATCCAAAGGTGGAAACAAAAGAATGTAGAGATCCAGTGTTAAGAGTTCCATTTGCTTCAATTAATTATTTACCTTCCTGTGGAATAATATATATATATATATTTAATAGAACCATAGATAGACTAGTAGAATTTAGATTATAAATGTGTGAGTGCAGATTATCCTGCTATTGCACAAGCTAGAGGGGGGAAAAATCTCAATTCCAGCTGGCAAGATGCTAGCCAGGACACATATAAGAAAGTTGCACTAGATTGAATGGTCACAGAATCGGAGGACATGGAAGAAAAAGGAAACTTCGGTGGTTCTGCAGCAGACATGGGCTAGGTCATATGTGGTTTCTATGAGTTCGTGTCTCAAAAAAAAAAGGAGGGGGGGCATCTGTCCCCGGTGGAGCTCACCTATTTGGAATATGGGGCATTTGTTTTTTCCACTGCAATGATTTCAGTCTGGTTTCATCATGTTGGAATTCGATCACACCATTTTCAAACAATGTTAACATAGTCCAGCTTTTGTTTTTCTCATCTCTTCTGAGAGGAGACTCACTGTTTCTGTCTGAGGAAGCTCATACCCTCGGCAAAACATCAGGACAAATAAAGAGAAATGGGGGTACGCATTCCCAACAGAAGCAGTGTGTTATTTGTTTTAAAACTCTGAACAGAGATCTTGGAAATCTTTCAAAAAGACCATTGAATTCTTCATTGGCTGAGAACGACGTTTTAAAATGTCTTAAATAAGGCTTTGTTTGCATTGTTTGAGTTCAAGGGGCCTTATTATTGAATGGAATTGCACAAGCCTTTCTTTGTGCAATCAAACCATTGTTATTGGTAGTTCTGTAAAGGAAACTGTGGAATCGAATTGGCAGTGGAGTCATAAATCTATTTACTGAGTGTGGCTTCCAAGAAATGTTGCAATTCAAAATGCACTAAGTCTGTGATTTATTGGAGATTTGGAGATTCTAAATAATATTTTTAAAAAACTTCCATGCAACTTCTGGTTTAATGTTTGGCAACTCCACATGATAAAAAAATAAAAACAGCCCAACCGAGTTTCGGAATTAAGTATTCTTCTAGTAAGTGATTCAAACTTGTAATATTTGCCACAGGACTGACTTATTTATTTACTAGCTAGAAGCTCTTAAGTTCACTTGTTTATCAGGGCATATACAGAAGGGTTTGTTAAAACTCGATGTTAACTTTACAACTTTCTGACCTGGTGCATGAATTCTCAAGTACTGTATTTCACTGTGTTGGTGTGTCTGATGGAAATTTCGAGGTGGTCCCACAAAAATATTTTATGTAGTGTGCCTTCAAAGAGAACCATTTATTTCTCTTCACTTATCGTCCCACAAAGTCACATTTGGTGGTGGTCAGCCAAGTCGCATCTGGTCTAGTTTTACTCTTGTCCCAATTTTAAAGAGAAATGGGAATGAGTTTGCCCTGGTGAGACCCATACCATTGCAATGATTATCTTGAGCACTTAAAGTCCAGTGTTGGCTGTTAGTGTATTTGATATTCTGCCTGTCTCCTCATGGTTGAAATATGTCTGAAGAATAGCAGCATAATCTCTTGGCTGTTTATACTTTTTTAAACTTTCCTGTGTTGTAAATATTGTATACTTTTGGTGATTCCAGCTATGTAACCTCTATGCTCTGTAAGGTGATTATTTGTATATAGCAACATGGCCCAGTGATATTATATAGTTTCCCAATGGAGAGGTTATTGAGTAACCTTTGCATTAGTTTAAACACTACCAGAAGAATGCTGAGCCAACTATAAACACTCAATTTTGTATGTTTTCCAAATTGTACTTATTACTGCTTTTGATACTGTATTACGTGCCAATAGTTTCCCAATCACATAGCAGGCAAGAGATATTTTGTACTTTTTGATCCACTGTAATATTTAATAAAAAATGTTACTATCTGTTTCCTTTTGGGTGTGAGTAATCTGTCACTCTTCCTGAGGAGCCTGTGGCCTCCCCAGAAGACTTTCCACCCCATCTGTCCAAATTGAATGATAACAGTAATGATGGCAATGTCTGTAATTCACTAAGGACCTAGTGGGTGCCCATTTGGCAAATACCTCTTATCTTCACAACCTTATGTAAATATGGTTATACCTATTTTACTTATGAGAAAACTAAAGCTTAGAGAGGTAAATCAACTGGTCCAAGATCACCCAACAGATGGCAGAGTCAGGATTTGAAGCCAGGGCTCTCATCTATGTACTTCCTTTGTATACCATCCTCCTCCGCTGGTAGGATAATCAGAAAAGTTATTTATTTATTTATTTGTTTGTTTGTTTGTTTATTTATTTTGAGACAGAGTCTCACTCGGTCGCCCAGGCTGAGTGCAGTGGTGCGACCTCAACTCACTGCAACCTCCGCCTCCCAGGTTCAAGCGATTCTCCTGCCTCAGCCTCCTGAGTAGCTGGGATTACAGGTGCGTGCCACCACGCCCAGCTAATTTTTTAATTTTTAGTAGAGACGGGGTTTCACCATGTTGGTCACGCTAGTCTTGAACTACTGACCTCAGGATCCACCCGCCTCAGCCTCCCAAAGTGCTGGGATTACAGGCATGAGCCACTGTACCAGGCCAAGTTATTGTTTTTTATTCAGTCAACAAAGATTTACTCATGCCCCAATTGCCAGGCATAGTATTAGGAGCTGGGAATACAATGGTAAATAAAATATAAAATATTGTCTCTGGGAGCTTATAAATCTTATGGGAAAGAGAGTTCATCAAATAGTCATTCCTATAAATTCAAAACTTCAGTGTGACTGAGTTCCAGGAGAGGAGTTTGAGGAGTATAATGACACACAAAGAGGAGGTGGTGACTAAAGTGACTGGCTGAGTATGGGAGGGAAGGAATTGGGAGGAGGGTAGGTCAAGCACAGGGTACCACATGTGCAAAGGCCCTGAAGCAGGAACGAGTTTGGCTTATTAGAGGAATTGAGAAAAGCCTGTGGGGCTTGATTGCATTGTTGAAGGAGTGAGGTTAGAGAGCGTAGCAGGGGCCAGGCGGGTAGGTCCCAATAGACCAGATTGATTTGATCAATTTTCTCTTTATCCTAAGCAAGAAAGATTTGTCTTTTTCAATATCATCCTGTGGCTGTTGTGTGAGGGGAACTTAAGAGCAATCTAACATGAGTGAGGTGGTGGTCATTTCAATGGGGTGATGGAAGGTGAGAGTGGACACATTTCAGAGGTACTTAGAAGGAGGAATGAGCAAACATGGTGATTAATTAAATAGGGCAATTGATGGAAAGATACTCAGGAAGGGTTGAAAATCTGGGGAAACACTGCGTATTCTGAGGTCTGCATCTTTTAATCGTAGACCTGGTGGTGATGGACAAAGATTTCTGATCTTTTGTTCCCTTGACCTCTGCCCCGGCTTCCCTTGGCTTTGCTCAGCTTATCGTGAGTTGAAATGAGGCATTTACAAAGTAACACCCTATTTGTTCCCTTCTTATGAGTCCTAGAGAGGGAGGAGAGGTGTGGGGAACAGGACTTATGGTCAGGATGGCTTTGATAGACAGGAAAGAGTAAGCTGCTAGCAAGCATGTCACCACAACTCAGAGGAGAAAAGAAACATGTATTTTGGTAAAAGCCACGGGATCCTTTTCCTCATCGTTATTGACTCTCCAAAGGACCCTGCCCATTCACATCGGGGTCAGCAGGAGTTGCAGCAACATGTTAGGAGCCTCACCCTCTTCTTGCTGGCTGTCATTCTTTAGCTAATCCCGCACCCGACAAACAAACACAGGAGGAACCCCCAGCCCCATGGTCCCCTGGCCCTCATTCTGAGTCATGTGTATTTCACCATATCATGTGACTTGCTGTGAGTACATCAGAAGAACGTTCTTCCACCTGTGACACATTCAGCATTTGTAGATCTGATACTTGATTCCTACGCGATAGGAAACATTGTAAGTTATCCATTCTTGCCAGGCGCTGGCTGGCGGATACTATTTGGAGAAGAGGTGCTTTTGCTAAAGATGTCACTCATAGGGCAAAAGCAATGACAAGCCCAATGTCTATTCTAGGAAAGTGGCCAAAGTTGACAAATGTTTTAGGGCTGATAGTGACCAGGAAATAGGTGATATTTATATCAACAAGTATGTAAGTGGCAGAAGGTGGGAATGGGGTCAGAAGTGACCTCTGGCCAGGAACGATGTAATCCCAGCTACTCGGGAGGCTGAGGCAGGAGAATCGCTTGAATCAGGGAGGCGGAGGTTGCAGTGAGCCGAGATTACACCATTGCACTCCAGCCTGGGCTACCAGCGAAACTTCATCTCAAAAAAAAAAAAAAAAAAAAAAAAAAAAAGGAAGTGCAGCCTTCAAGATTGACCTAGGGAATATAATAAATCACATTAATTTGAGCTTCACTAATTCAGAATTCCTGAATTTTGGACTCTCCATGGTAATTCTCAGGGTAAATAACATTCCAAAGCACTTGTTTAACCTGCTCAGAAAAACATATTATTTTTATTCATGCTAGCCATAGCCACAGGCATTCAGCCTGCTTTAGTAAGAACTAGGTGTTCTGTTCCCTGAAGCACCTGTACAAGAACTACTAGTACTTTCGTGGTGGAACTACTAATACTTTAATTATCGGTGAAACTCCCTCTAGAACAGAGGTGTTCATTAGAATTTCCTGGGATGGTGGAACTGCTATAATTTAGAGTTGTCCAATATTGTAGCTAATAGCCAATGTGGCGACTGAACCCTTGCAATGTGCCCAGTGTGATGAAAACACTGACTCTATAATTCTACTTATTTTTTATTCATTTAAATTTCAATAGCCACATGTGGCTAGTTGTTACTCTATTGGACAGCACAGCTCTAGAAAGGCCAATTGGTCAATATGCGTATGTGGATAGACCCAATGACAGATAAGCCAATATCTGCACATAAACTTTAACCTAAACACTAAAGCAAACAACATTGTTCCTCTTTTTAGCAAAACTTTATCTATTGGGGTGACGATGGCTTTAATATTTTTCATTCAAAATTTATACATCATATAAATTTATACATCTTATGAAAATATTTAACCAGTTAAATGCTCAATAAACTAATCATTTAGAAAGCACTAAGATAAGTCTACATTTATGGTATCTTTTAACCCAGCCCTGCTGTTTATGTTAAATCTGATTGTGTGAGGCTTGAATGCAACTTCCCGAAAGTCTGTGAAATATTCGATGTGGTCATGTTCAAGCCCTCCTTCTTCACTCCATGGTAATTCAACATTTATCCATGGAGACTGGGAGGGAATTCAGTGTGAGGAACATGATGGCCAGGTAGGTAGAGGGGGACCTAGGGACCAAGTGTGGAAGAACACTTAACCAACATATTTTTAGTGTTTTGGTCCTAGTTCTTCAAACCTGGGTTTGTTCATTTATTTCTCCTTTACACATAATAACAACAACTAATGATATCAATGACAGCTCTATATGTGACAAACAATATTTTAAATGTTTGTTTGGTATTAATTTATTTGATCCTCGTAACATTCCATCATGCAGATACTATAATATATTCCCACCTTACAGTTGAGGAAGATAAGGAGTAACTGAGCTTTTGATGACCAATCAAAATAGGCAGTACCTGCCCATGGCATTAGAAGACTCTTTCCTGAAGTTTGTTCTTACTGTGCAATTTCTCTCTTTCTTTATACCCCACTCCAACCCTGAAATCCAAGAAATCAGCACAACCACTGAGTCAGAGTGCCCTAAGGTTTTTAAATAAATTAATGAGGGCAAAAAAAGAGAAGACATCAATAAACAGTACTAGGAAAGTAAAACGAAAACAATAGAGACTTTTAAAATTATTAGAGGATGGTGTTAAGTTTAAAAACTGGAAAAGTTAGATGAAAAACTGTTTCATAGAAAAATAGAAATTAACAAAATTTTCTCAAGGAGGAACATAAAAGTCATAACTAAGAGCTTGTTCAGTAGTCAAATATTTCCCCACAAAAAACACCAGGTCCAGATGGCTTTAAGAACTGTTTCAGAGAATTGAAAAAGAGGAAAATCTACACAATTCTTTTTATGAGTTTATTTTGACCTTATTATCAAAATTCAAAAAGGATAGTGAAAGAAAGAGAAAATACAGACCCACTGCACTTATAAACCAGATGCAGAAATCCTAAGAAAAATTTCAGCAAATTATAAAAGTTTATGCTTATACCTATTTACATCTATTTGCACACATACAGTGCATGTGTATATGTGTGTGTGTGCACATACAAATACAAAAATATAAAAATAAAATTTGAAAGTTATTGAAATATTACATTATAACAAAGAAATTTATTCTGAAAAGATAAAGATGGTGAAATATTAGAAATTTCATTCGTGAAATAATATATGAAGTCATGTAGGAAGAAAAGTTGGATCCAAACCTCAAACAATACACAGATGAATTACAAATGAATTAAAGATTTAAATGTACAAAATAAAATTATAATGAAAGACTTGAGGAGAACACGGGGTAATTGTTTTATAAACTTGGCATGGGAAAAGCCATCCTATGATTCAAAATTCAGAAACTATAAAACTATAAAAGATTGAGCTATAACTATAAAAGATTGAAAATTTATCTGAATAAACATAAAATTTCTATATGCCAAAAATAAGCAAATTTAAAATACAAATTTTACTTTGGGAATAAACTTCTGCAACTTATATCCCAAAAGGCTCATATCTCTAATATATAAATAGCCCTTAGAAATCAAGAAGAAAATGGGCAGTAAAATGTACAGCTCTTAAGTGTACAGTTCGGTGAATTTTGACAAATGTAACCATGACCAAGAAGAAACTATCGTACAATTCCATTTTGGCAGAACATTTTCTCATGACACTTTCTGGTCAGTTGGCCCACTCTGACCTAGAAGGCAATCACTATTCTGATTTCTATCAGCAAAGATTTGTTTGGCTTTTTTTTTTAGCATGCTTTTAAAACATTCAAAGCATTTAAAAGCATTTAGCGTGCTTTTAAAACACAAAGGTATTTACTATCACAGTTTTGCTTTTATTTAACATAGTGCGGTAGATTTTTTGCCGTATTATATGACCATAATAGGAAATGAAATGCATAAGGTTTGGAGTGGAAGAAAATCAGTTGATATTTTTCATAAACAATAAGACTGTTCATCTGGAAAATCTCAGAATTTGTAGGTAAATTATTACAGTGAGTGAGAGAGCTCAGCAAACTTGTTATATATGAGTTCTAAAAAAATCAAAGAAGTCCATAACATTTTTATCTACCAGTGACAATTGAAATGACAATTTTTGAAATGTCCATACCAATGAAAAGAAAAGGTACCTAGGAAGAAATCTAGCAAAACATTTGGAAAGCAACTTGGCAAAATCCAGTGTAGTGGCAAATGCACTTACTGTGTACTATAAACTTAGCAAGAACACTTTTAGATATTTCCTGAGAACCCTCACACTTGCGTTAGAAGGCCAAAGTATGGGGATGTTCATTGCAGCGTTGATTCTCATCACACCCAGGGAAATACACAGACAAAAAAACAACATAAAAGTTAGCCAGTGAAGAATAGATACGTAAATAAATGAAAAATATATGGCCCCTTGCCTCAAAGGACATGAGGCTAGAAGCAGTTCTTACAGCTGTGCACATGGATTGAAGGTGAGTACCTTTCTGCATTTTTTATGGCAAAATTGTGCAGATTTCAAGAACATCATGGGAATGATTTCCAAGCAGGGCTTCTAATCCATGTGTGGGCAGGATGCTGCTGTGCTTGGAGGAGCAAATAGGCCTGCCCAGAGTGGAAGCTCAGGACAGGGGAGGTGGGAGTCTGCAACATTTCTCCTGAGAAACTGAGGCTGCATAGTAATAGAACTGGTTTGCTTAGGCCCGAAATATTTACTTTCAATTCCTTTCCCAAATATTTGTGCATGCATGTGTGTATATGTGTGTGTGTGTGTGTGTGTGTATGTGTGTGTACACATATATATGTACAGATATATTCCCTGTTGCATTGTATATAGGTGTGGCATACACAAACACACACACACACACAGGTTCTGTGCTAAGTGTTTCTCTTTATAACAACTCTCTGGGGTTATGTTATTATACCTTCCTTACAAATGTAGACACTGAAGCTTAGACAGGTTAGATAACCCACCAAACATCACCTAGAACATTCATGGCAAAGCCAGAATTCAAGCCTAGACTCTAAGAACAGGTTTTAATACATCATCTCTTCTATTTCATAGAGGCCCCAAATAGGGAGGATGATTTGCTGTGTAGAAGAAAAATGTCCTGTTGACTCCTTGATCCTTGGGCACTGGGATCCTTCTGCTGCTCTCCCACTTTAACATAATGTCAAATTCCTGGAACGTGCTCTACCCATGTGTGTAAACTAAGTCATATTCATGAAGTCAAGCTCGCTTTAATTTGGAAAATTCTGCAAGGAAACCAAAAGGCAAATTATGTTTGTGGGCAATCGTCTTCACTAGATTGGGCATCTTCTTAAATCAGTGACTAGCTCAGATCTGGAGAATCAATATCTGGGATTGAAAAAATGGGCTTTTTTGAATGCTCTGATTTAGTGATCTGTAATAGTAATATCTGTTCATCTTTTATTGCAATACAAGCAAGGCACTGAGTTCTTCATACCCTTTATTTCATGTTTCTATTAAAACCCTTCACAGATGAGGAAATTGGGGCTTAGGCAAAGTAATTAACTTGCCTATAATTACTCCACTAGCAAGTGTCTGCGCTGTGATTATGAACACGGGGCATCTGGCTTCGGCATTCAGGTGCCCAGCCTCTACCCTGAACTGAAGCAGACAGAATTCCCCCCTTGGAATTGCACCTTTCCCACCACGCTCCTGGTGTGAGTTGAGGGGAGGTCTGCACACAGTCCCCTTGGGCTCTCTCCATCCCTCTTGGTGACTGCTCTTTTTCAGCATCTCTAGGTCTGTCATCCAAGCTTGGGAAGTTCATCTTTGTGAAGTGCATTTTTTATTCATCAAACATTCTTGTCATATTGCCACACAGAGTCTGCGGCGTGTTTGTGCTGGGCTGTTCCTTCTGCCGGCCCGTAGCCTACCCAGCTATTCCTAACTGTTCATCAGGACCTTGGCTCATGCAGGTGGCGTGGAGGAGCCCACAGACAAGTGTGAATGACGAGATTCTTTCACCCATCGCAAACTAGGGTCTGCTAATTCCCACAACAAATATTTGGGGGAAAAGTAAAACCTCGTTCTTAATTGCCTTGTCAGTTTGTTGGAAAGCTCAAGATGCAGGTGCCGGCAGATTCAGTGTTTGGTGAGTGTCTGCTTACTGGTTTGCAGATGCCCATCTTTTCCTTGTATCCTCACATGACAAATAAGACAGCTCATCTCTTTAGTCTCTCCTTGTAAGGCACTCATCCCACTCACGAGGGCTCTATCCCTGACCCCATCACCTCCCAAAGGCCCCTCTTCCAAACACCATTATATTGGGAATTAGATTTCAACGTAGGAATTTTGGGGGAATACAGACATTCAGCCCATAATAATAATATAAGGTCATTAAGAAGCTAATTCATCTTTTAAGTTAAAGATGAAGAGTTTAAATCTCTAGCCATTCACAAAGGCATGGAAACCCTGCTGTGTTTGTTAATCTACTCCACCATTAAAAAAAATTCATTTTAGATTTAAAATAATACAAACATAGTATGTAATAGAAGGCAAAATTCTTCTGAGTTTTAAGGTAAAACCAAAGACATAAAAAAATGTCAGGTTTGCAGCAGGCTGTTTTAGGCTATAATCCAACAAATACCCCTTGGTCATCTATACGTGCCAGGCGGTCTGGGAGCTCCAGTTACAGCACCAAGGAAGGCTGTGCCTCTCTTTCTCCTGGAGCTGGAAGTCTAGCAAGGAAGGCAGGTATGACAGCAGCACTTCTAAGTATGTTGGGTGTTACAAAAGACGACAGTCAAAGACCTTTAGGGAGGAGAGCAAAGGAAATGGTACCATCAACCAAGGCTCAGGGAAGGTCTCTTGAAGGAAGTGACTATTTTTTTTGAGACAGAGTCTCGCTCTGTCGCCCAGGCTGGAGTGCCGTGGTGTGATCTCGCCTCACTGCAACTTCCGCCTCCCAGGTTCAAGCAATTCCCTGCCGGGATTACAGGCACCCACCACCACGCCAGGCTAATTTTTGTATTTTTAGTAGAGACAGGTTTCACCATCTTGGCCAGGCTGGTCTTGAACTCCTAACCTCGTGAGTGGCCTGCCTCGGCCTCCCAAAGTGCTGGGATTACAGGCATGAGCCATCGCGCCTGGCTGAAGGAAGTAACCTTTAAGTGAAGGTCTGAGAAGTGATGAATAGAGAAATAAGATACATGAAATCTCACAAACAAGAAGGAGCACCGGGTGTTGTAGGAACTGAGAGAGAGGAAAGGCAGTGGTTGAGGTGGGGAAGCAGGACTTGTAGGGGAAGTACCCAAGTAGGAATGTACAGGCTCATTTACAACTGGAGCACAACCTCGCATAACACAGGCCTAGTCAAATATTAATCAATAAATGATCTGACAAATATTACACCTTATGGGATAATTTACATTCTGAAAGAGGATACCAGGCCCAGAAAACCTGGGAGAACCAACTGGAAAACAATAAAAAACAAGAAGAGAATTCAGAGAAGAGATGAGTTGCTAAGTAACTATTTAAAACCAGTAGGCTTTCCTAAACCGTAACTTGTTAGAGGTTATGGTAAAAGAAAAGATCTCATTTAAAATACAGCAACTGAAAAGAATCCTAAAGATCAATATAACAAGTAATTTGCAGGACTTTTATTAAAAACTCTTTGATAACCTATTGGCAGACCTAAAAATGACTTAACAAATGGAAAGACACACTATGGTCTTTGATAGAAAAATATCATTTCCTCCTAAGTTAATTTGTACATTTAATGAAATCCCAACTGAAATAGCAATTTTTAACTTAACAAAATAATATTAATGTTTGTTTGTAAAACTAATTATGAAGATGAGTCAGAAAAAGTGTTGAAAATGAAAAACAGTAAGAACTAGATGACTGATACTAAAACTATTTTAAAGCTCTAATAATTAAAATGGTTTGGCATTAGGGAAAAATAGATCAATGAATAAGAATGAAGAGTTCATAAATGAAACCAAAATCATACGGGAACTAAGATATGAAATGGCAACACTTTAAAACAGTGAGGAAAAGGCAATTAATCAGTAAACAGTGCTAGATCAATTGACTGGAGAAAAAAAATAAAGCTGGATCCTTACTTCAGTTATTTTAGTAACATCAATTCCAGATGGATCAAAAATTTAAATGTAGGGCCGGGAGCAGTGGCTCATGCCTGTAATCCCAACACTTTGGGAGGCCGAGGCGGGCAGATCACAAGGTCAGGAGATCGAGATCATCCTGCTAACACGGTGAAATCCCGTCTCTACCAAAAATACAAAAAAATTAGCCGGGCATGGTGGCAGGTGCCTGTTAGTCCCAGCTACTCAGGAGGCTGAGGCAGGAGAATTGCTTGAACTCCGGAGGCAGAGGTTGCAGTGAGCCGATATTGCACCACTGCCCTCCAGCCTGGGTGACAGAGCGAGACTCCGTCTCAAAAAAAAAAAAAATTAAATATAGAAAATGAGCTATAATGGTTCTAGGAAAATAAATGACTGTGTTTAAGCTCCTGGAATAGGAAAGGCCTTTCTAGGAAGGATTCAAAACCCAGAGACCATAAAGTTAAATTTGACTATATAAAAATTGTGATTTTTTTTTGGAGGGGTGGGTAAAAATATACCCTCAACTAAGAGAAGAAACGAGTGACAAGTTGGGAAAATATTTATAATGGATGTGACAGGAAAAGAGCTAATTGCTTTCATTTTCAAAAAGCTTTTGTAAATAAAATAGAAAACGAACAATCCAATAGGAAAAAAAAATTGACAAAGCTTATCAGTAGTTAATTACCAAAAAGTGAAAATAAGACATAGTAAGTATGAAAATATGCTCAATATTATTTGTAAGTAAAATAATGAAAATTAAACAGCAGCAACAGATTGTTTCTTAACTCATGTTATGAGAACCTACAGTGATGAGTCCTGTTCTGAGAAGGCTATTGACAGGCAAGCACTGTCAGACACTGATGTGGGGCAGGGGTGGTGGACTGGTTCATTTCTGGAAGGAAGCTTGACAAAGTCCATCTACTTTTAAAGGTACATATTATTTTACTCAGTAATATTTGCTTGCTAAGAATTTACCTATATAATTATCCCTGCACATGTTGGTCAAGAGATATGTACAGGTGTGTTCCCTGTGGCATTGTTTGTAACAGCAACAAGGAAAAGTAACCCATCAGTAAGGGATAGTTACATAGCCTATGGGGCTCCTCCTATCTGATAGATTATTATCAGCTGTGAAAAAGAATGAAGTAGCTTTCTGTATATCAGAGACAGGGAAAAAAGAGGTAGAGGACTGTGTGTACTGAATCATTCTTTTTATGTCAATTTTATAGGAATAGATGGACAGACAGACATGCACACTGGTCTAGAAATAAACACATTTTCTAAAAGCAATAAAAAATATTTTACAAGTGGCTACTTTTGGGCAGAGACAAAGAGCTGATGCATGAAGACTTTTATGTTTCATTTCATACTTTACTATTGGAAGTTTTAAAAATACATAGGTGAATTACTTTCATTCGTTAAAATATGGACATGGATTACCTGAGTAGTGAGATGATGAACTTTTTTTCTTCTTATTATTATTATTAATAGTATTATTATTATTATTATTATTATTACTATTTTGAGACAGGGTCCCACTGGAGTGCGGTGGCACAATCTCAGCTCACTGCAACCTCCACCTCCTGGGTTCAAGAGATTGTCCTGCCTCAGCCTCCCGAGTAGCTGGGATTACAGGTGTGTGCCACCACACCTAGCTAATTTTTATATTTTTAGAAGAGACGGGGGTTTCACCATGTTGGCCAGGCTGGTCTGGTCTCAAACTCCTGACCTCAAGTAATCCACCCGCCTTGGCCTCCCAAAGTGTTGGGATTAGAGCCGTGAGCCACCATACCCAGCCATTATTTTTTATTTTTATTTAATTAATTTATTTTGAGACAGGGTCTCACTCTGTCACCCAGGCTGGAGTGCAGTGGCACGATCATGGCTCACTGCAGCCTCAACTTCCCAGGCTCAAGGGATCTTCCCACCTCAGCCTCCAGCTGAGAACTACAGGTGCATACCACCACGCCTGGCTAATTTTTTGTATTTTTTTTTTAGAGCGGGGGTTTCACCATGTTGCCCAGTCTGGTCTCAAATTTCTGAGCTCAAGTGATTCACCTGCCTCAGCATCCCAAAGTGTTGGGATTACAGGCGTGAGCCACTGCACCCAGACTTTTTCTTCTTTAAATGTCTATAGTTTATAAAAAATAAAAGTAAAAAATAAAAATAAAAAATAAAATAAAATAAAAAGTGGGAGAGCCAGGCGTGGTTGCGCATACCTGTAGTTCCAGCTACAGAGGAGGCTAAGGCTTGTGGCCAGGAGTTTAAGACTGTAGTACATGCCTGTGAATAGCCACTGCACTCCAGCCTGGGCAACATAGCAAGATCCTGCCTCTAGAGAAAAAAAAAGTGTGGAAGAGGCAGCAATAAAGAAAAAGATACCAGATAATGTTTTGACCAAAAAGATTTAAGTTCAAATGGTGGCCTGTCCAACACTGCTAGGGTCCCAGGAAGAGCTATTTCTAGAGCAGGAGACTTTCCATCAGCTCACAGATCCCCCCACTTGCCACCCATAATAATGGTTCCCCCATATGTAGCCATCAGAGAGCTTGGCTTCAGCATCAAGAGAGTTAAAATGAATGAAAGGAAATCAGGCTTAAAAGAGAATGTCATTATGATTTGTGCAAGCATTTCCTCTCTATAGATAAAGTGGAGTGAGATGGCAAAAACAGATACAGGCTCACCTCATGCTTTTCCTCCCCTCTGCTTAGTTGGGCAGACTGAGATGGCTTATATCCCTCCTACCTTCTTATGAACCCTGCATGTCCCAGGGGCCTAACCATGCAGCAGCCTTCAGCTGCATGACTCCAGGACCTGCAGGACCCCAGGAATGTGTCCTATGATCCTGGCTGAGTTTTCTCCCATCTGTCACCCATCTCCTAAGCTCTTCCTCTCCCATGGCCTTCTTGGGAAGTTCTTTCCAGTCAATCTTTACTGGTCATTCCTTGAGGCCAGCTTAGCCTCAGGCAGGGTGCAAGAGATGGTAAAACCAGTTTCTACACTTACAGAACTGCTGGATGCTTCTGAAGAGTCTCAGAAAACAATTAGGCAGCCATGTGAAAGTAAAGAGGTAAAGAATTTCAGCCAAGTAAGATGAAGCAGGTGTTGTTGGTTGGCTGACCCAATCTCCAACTCATCTCTTCTTTATCCATACAGCAAGGGGCTCCCCCACAACACCATTTGGGCAAAGAAATAAAAGCAGAAGTATCTGTGAGACTCCTAAAAAAGACCTTTAAAAAGGACAAATCCAACTGGCATGTTCTTTTGGCCTTTTGCTCCTTCCCTGTTTTTCTTCTTTTGGGAATGTGGCCATGAGGCTGCAGGTGGAGTCGCCATCTTACAACCAGTGGCAACATGTCTGAGGGTGAAAGTAACATGCTAAGGAGGGCACAGTGGAACAGAGCAAAGCTGAGTCTCCCCTGACATCCCTGGGCCACTACACTAGGCCTGATGATGCTCATCTACATGTTTCATTATGTGAGAAAAATAAGCTTCCCATTTGTTTAAGGTGCTATTAATGGGATGTTCTGTCATTTGCAGCCAAATCTGCTATTAAATGGTTAACATGGTGTTAAGAGGAAGTGGCTCTGATATAACAGAAAGTGCATGGGCTTTGGAATTGCATGATTTGGCTTCAAATTCTAGTACTGTGACTTATATACCAGGGTAAGTTATCACTTAACTTTTCTGGGTCCTTGTCTCCATAAGTAAAAAAATAGGGCTAATAAAGCTACTCAAACAGATGTCTGCAGTATCCATAGAAAGGGGAAGTGAAAGTAACTGTATATAATAAGTTCCAGCTCAATAAATATCTGATACAACTTTGTTGAGAATGTGGAAGGACATTGAGGAAGTGAGGCTTAGCTGGAATACAAATAAAGCAAGAGGAGGCAAAATGTAATTCAGAAGAAGTAGAGTATGGGAAAAGATTGAGAAATTTCAACAAAAAGGTGTAGTAGGCAAATCATCTTGTCTCTTTAAATAGACCTGAAATCTAGTCTCCCATAGAAACCTCAGGCCGAATGCAACTGTGGCCCAGAAGAATGAGAGAAGAAGGTATCCTTTAGCCCAGGGCTGGAAACCCTCCAGAGAATTCCCAACACCAAAAAGGAAAGAAATATCCTCATTAACATTTCCCTTCTCGTCTTCCTTGTTCCTTTTTCTGCTTTTCCTCCCTCCCTTCCTTTTTTCCTTTTTCCTTCTTTCCTAGATCAAAATTATTTCAAAACCATGGAAGGCAGACACAGTTTGTTCTGACTCACAGTGGATAGAAGATAGGGCCTGGATTTTACACCTTCTAATCTATTTTAGACACAAAGAAAATTTCTGCATTCTCCTATTCCCTCCCGCAAAGAAAAGGCATCACAATGTAGCCCCTGGATGTCAAATAAAGAGTCAGGAGCCCTCGGTCCTGCTCTGTGTATGTTCTTGGATGGTCTCCTAACCTCCAAATTTCAATTTTCTCATTTATCAATTGGGAGTATGAGGAAGGGGGCGGGCAATAGGGGAGGAGCTACCTAGGTAAGCTCTCAAGTTCCTTAACTTCTATTTATTAGCTTCTTGCAGTCCCTGGGGCGATAAGAGAAGGTTAAATTTCTCATTAATCCTATAAATATCTATGGAGCACCAACCCTGTACCAGGAACTGGTTTAACCACCGGAAATACTACTATGAAAGAAATAGATGGCATCCTATATCTTGATGAAGGAGACAGAAAATAAACACACAAACAAAGAAATTGGACAATTTCAGAGAAGCAGTGAAGAAGAAAATACAACTAAGTGATGGAATAGACTGACTGGGAATGAGGGAGCTACTTGAAAAGAGATGGGTCAGGGAAAGTCCTCAATGCGATGTAAACTTTGTGCTTAGCTGAAATGAAGTGCCAGCCTTGCCCCTCTCCTGGCAGGACTCCGGCCTGATCTTTGGGTACTCAGACTCATTCTCAGTGCAAACTTGTTTCTTTGAGCCTCTTGGTTCCTGAACAATATCCCCAGTCTATGATCTTAATGGGCTCACACTATGGGTCTACATGGCCCATTGGAATATTCAAAGTGGGTACAGTCAATCCCCACAGTGGCCAAAGGAGAAAATAAGGAAGCCAGGAGCTGTGCAAGCCAGTCCAGGAAGACAGGCAGAATATAATGCATTTCTGTTTAATCTACTTTTTATCTCATCTTTTTGATTTTTTTAAGTGGGGATAGGGTTTTCTTTACAATGAATATGATATATTGCGTGCATAACAATAATAGTGTATACGTAACAGTGCTTGCTGGTACTTAGACATTGTTCAAAGTGCTCACATGTATGAACTCATTTAATTTTCATGACAACTTTATGAGGTACATACTGATATTTTCCCCATTTTACAGACGAAGGAACAGAGGCACTGCCAAGTAAGTGATTTGCCCAGCTTGTGAGTTGCAGAGCTGGGACTTGGAGCTAGGTAGTCTGATACCACAGTAACTTCTTTTAACCAATTATGCTGTGCACCTTCATGTATGAAATGTGTTTGTTTTAAAGGATATCTGTAGTTTACTGGAGATTCAAGTCCAAAATTTTTAGAACTCTTTTTTCAAAAATACTGGTGAGTGTGACAGTGTCCACAAAGTCAGACAGACCCAGGTTTCAATCCCTATTAAAAAAAAAATATTGGCCAGGCGCAGTGGCTCACACCTGTAATCCCAGCACTTTGGGAGGTCGAGGCGGGCAGATCATGAGGTCAGGAGATCGAGACCATCCTGGCTAACACGGTGAAACCCCATCTCTACTAAAAATACAAAAAATTAGCCGGGCGTGGTGGCGGTCGCCTGTAGTCCCAGCTACTCGGCAGGCTGAGGCAGGAGAATGGCGGGAACCTGGGAGGTGGAGGTTGCAGTGAGCCGAGATTGCGCCACTGCACTCCAGCCTGGGCGACAGAGCGAGACTCCATCTCAAAAAAATATATATATATATATATATATTCATGACATTTGTTAAAGACAGTAAGCCAGACTATTCAAGGGAGACTACTACAATGGAATTTTGCCAGGGGGGAGAGATTGGCCTCAACTCTGAATACAACAATGAAAAGTAGAGATTTATAGCCAAGGGGCAGGGTAGGGTCAGTGGATGGAAAATTACTAACAGTAAACATTTTATAAGGGTAAACAAGGGGTAAGGCAGATTCTGGCTAAACCTACTTGACAAGCTTCTTGCTGAAGGAAGGCCAGGGTGAAAAAATATCCAGAGATGGGGATGAGGAATTTCATCAGATATCAAGGGTGGGGGATATTTGCTAAACTGACCCAACAGGATTCTTACTAAAACTGGACTAAATAGGCCAAGGACAAAGCCTTCAGGGTGAGGCCTCATCAAAAAGATGACTCAGAGGAGCCTGATTAAAGTTTGGTTAAGGAGAGAATCTTGGTTATCCCCAACATTGTTGCCTCCTAGCTGTGTAAACTTGAGTGGGTTAACTAACCTCTCTGAGCTTCAGATTTCTCATCTTGAAAGTAGATATTATACTATCTCCCCTACACATTGTAAGGACTAAATGAAATAATGCTCAATAACTACAGGTTGAATGTCTCTAATCAAAAAACCTAAAATCCAAAATACTCCAAACTCCGAAACCTTTTGAACACTGACATGATACTCAAAGGAAATGCTCGTTGAAGTATTTCAGATTTCGAATTCTTTGGATTTGGGATGCAGAATCAGAACGTATATGTAATGTAAATATTCCAAAATCTGAAACATTTCTGGTCCCAAACATTTCAGATATGGGATACTCAACCTGTACTTAGCACATGGTCTGATCTAGTAAGCATTACCAATATCACTGTTAATGTGAAAGCTCTTGCCAGGGAATCAAGTCATTCCTGATGAAACCGAGCACTTGAAACTCTTAAATGCCACTGGTAAGAGTACAAGTTGACACAGCATTACTTCCGTGCAGTTTTGTGGTATCTATCAAAACATAAAACGTGGCACTGAGTCTCTGGATTCAACAATTTCTTTCTGGAAATGTATCTGAGGAAATAATAGCACAAGGGCACAAAGACATGTGTCTGAGGATTTCCAGTGCATCATTATTTAATATAAAAAACTTGGAAGATAACCTAAATGTCCAGCAGTAGGAGATTGGTTAAATACATGATGGTATTCATAAAATATATTCAATGATAAGTCAGTACAACAAAAATATATTAAGTGCAAAAAGAAGGTTACAAAATATTAGGTTAGTGCAAAAGTAAAAGCAACTGTGGTTCTTGCCATTAAAAGTAATTACCACAATTACTTTTGCATCAGCCTAATAATACAAGTAATATGTTCCCATTTTGTAAAAACAGAATAAACAATAAATGTAATTAATACAAAATGTCTGTGTTTTATGTATAGGCATATGAACATAAAGATAAACACCAAAATGTTACCAGCACAGATAGTCCCTCACTTACAATGATTTCATACAGGATTGTTTTTACTTTACGATGCTGCGAAAGTGATATACATTCAGTAGAAATCATACTTCAAGTACCCATATAACTATTCTGTTTTTCACTTTCAGTCAGTATTCAATACATGACATGGAATATTCACCACTTTATTATACAATAGGCTTTGTGTTTGATGATTTTGCCTGACTATAGGCTAAGGCAAGTGTTCTGAGCACCCTTAGGGTAGGCCAGGCTAAGCTATGATGTTTGGCAGGTTAGGCGTGTGTTTCAGCTCATTTTGTGTTGCTGCAACAAAATAACTGAGGCTGGGTAATTTTATTTAAAAAGAGGTTTATGGCCGGGTGCCATGGCTCATGCCTGTTAATCTCAGCACTTTGGGAGGCCAAGGCGGGCTGGATCACGTGAGGCCAGGAGTTCAAGACAAGCCTGGCCAACATGGTGAAACCCAATCTCTACTAAAAATTTAAAAATTAGCTGGGCATGGTGGCAGGCACCTATAATCCCAGCTACTCGAGAGGCTGAGGTATGAGAATCGCTTGAACCTGAGAGGCAGAGGTTGCAGTGAGCTGAGATTGCACCATTGCACCCCAGCCTGGGCACAAAAGTGAAACTCCGTCTCAACACAAATGAAAAATAAATAAAATAAAAAAATAAAAAGAGTTCACAATTTTAGTTCACAATTTAGTTCATAATTTTGGTGGCTGGAAGGTTCAACACTAGGCAGCTGCATCTGGTGAGGGCCTCAGGCTGCTTCAACTTATGGTGGGAAGAAGAAGTGGAGCAGGGATGTGCAAAGAGATCACAGAACAAGCGAGGAAGTGAAAGACAAAAATCAAGGAAGCCAGACTCTTAACAACCTGCTTTTGCTCTATGGGAACTAATCCATTCCCCCAGAGGGAGAACTCACTCACCCCCATAGGAGGGCATTCATCTATTCATGAGGGATCTGTCCCCGACCCTGCCCCATGACCAAACACCAGGATCCACCTGTATTTTTACTCATACTTACAATATTTCTTTTTTTTTTTTTTTTTTTTTTTTTTTTTTGAGACGGAGTTTTGCTCTTGTTGCCTAGGCTGGAGTGCAATGGCGTGTTGGCTCACTGCAACTTCTGCTTCCCAGGTTCATACGATTCTCATGTCTCAGCCTCCTGAGTAGCTGGGATTGCAGGCGTGCACCACCACGCCCAGATAATTTTTTGTCTTTTTAGTAGAGACAGAGTTTCACCATGTTGGTCAGGCTGGTCTTGAACTCCTGACTTCAGATGATTCACCCACCTCAGCCTCCAAAGTGATGGGATTACAGGCTTAAGCCACCGCACCCGGCCTTTACTTACAATATTTCTGTCTTTTTTTTTTTTTTTTTTTTTGTGAGACAGAGCCTCAATCTGTTGCCCAGGCTGGAGTACAGTGGTAGGAGCTCAGCTCACTGCAACCTCTGCCTCCTGGTTCAAGTGATTCTCGTGCCTCAGCCTCCCGAGTACCTGGGACTACAGGCGTGTACCACCATGTCTGGCTAATTTTTGTATTTTTAGTAGAGATGGGGTTTCACCATGTTGGTCAGGCTGGTCTTGAACTCCTGGACTCAAGTGATCCACCCACCTTAGCCTCCCAAAGCGCTGGAATTACATCCGTGAGCCACTGTGCCCGGAATTTACTTACAGTATTTCTAATTTTTGGTGGGTTTATCAGGACATAACTCCATTCTAAGTCAAAAAGCATCTGTATAGCTGTAACTGCCCCAGGTATGATAGGCATCTGTGCTTCTAAGTATTTCTGGCTATGCCTTTGAGGCATAGAGTAGAAGTTACACTTCCTAGCCCCTTTGTAGTTGGGCTGGACCATATGAGAGTGCTGGTAACATATGTCACTTCTGCGTCAAAATTTAATTGTTGGTGTGTGACTTTTCATAGCTCTCTTCTTTTCCCTTTGCCACAGCAACCAGTGGTGTTCCAAATGCTAGGTAGTAGCTCTGACTACCTGAGTCCCAGAGTAGGAAAGATGATGACATTGGAGCAGAGGTCCCAGCCAGCCTTCTGACATGATTATCATAGCTTGAGGAACAAAATATCAATGGGATTAAGCCACTGATATTGGGAATTGTCTGTTATTTCAGCAAAACCTAATCTGTACTTCTGATGATAGGGATTATGGCTGATTTTTATTTTCTTCTTTTACTTTAGTTATTGCAATTTCTGATTCTTTCCCTCTGGCGAAGCACAAAGTAGGGCAGGACTTATGGGTCATTCTGAAAGTCTTGTTAAGGGGATGTCTAGACTAGAAGAACTAGTTTGACTTCTCATCCAGACTGGCCATGGGCCTGTCCCCTGACACAGTGGGTGGTTTGTTGGGGAGACATGAGGAGAAAAGTAGTGTGAGGAGCCAGAAGGCAGAGCAAATTGCACATTGGCAGCCCTGGCTCATCAGAGGCCAGGCCTAGGATGTGAGGCTAGCGGCCTAAATGCCAGGTGTCAGGAACGCGAAGTGTTAGGTTAGTGCAAAAGTAATCGCGGTTTTTTCCATTACTTTCAATAGCAAAAACCGCAATTACTTTTGTACCAACCTAATAAATATATGAAAATTGGGGTCGGGGCATGTTTATCAGAAATGCTTAGTGTTACTGACAGCCTAGTCTGAAGTTTAGAGCCTCTCATCACAGAATACCAAGGCTCTCTCTCTCTCTCTTTTTTTTTTTGAGGTAGAGTCTCACTCTGTCACCCACGCTGGAGTGCAGTGGCACAATCTCAGCTCACTGCAACCTCTGCCTCCTGGGTTCAAGTGAATCTCCTGCCTCAGCCTCCTGAGTAGCTGAGATTACAGGTGCCTGCCACCATGCTCGGCTAATTTTTGTATTTTTAGTAGAGACAGGGTTTCACCATTGTTGGCCAGGCTGGTCTCGAACTCCTGACCTCAAGTGATCTGCCTGCCTTACCCTCCCAAAGTGCTGGGATTACAAGTGTGAGCCACCGTGCCCGGCCTCAGAATACTAAGGCTCTCTTATTTCTTCTCTCTACTTTCTGTCAGATCCATAGCCTGCTACTAGAACATTCCTTTTAAACAATAGATTGATGGTATTACTCCTCTGCTCAAAAATCTCCCTCTTGAAAAAAGGTAATGTCAATGGTCCTCTTATTGATTGATTTTTAAACAACCTTATAAAGAGTCTCTAAATAGCTCAGATTTTAAAAAAACATTATTTTTAGTTGGCATGTAATAATTGTAGACATTATGGGATAGAATGATATCTCAATACATGTATACAATGTGTAACGATTAAATCAGGGTACTTAGCATATGTGTCACCTTTTATCATTTGTTTGTGTTGGCAACATTCAAAATTCTCTCTTCCAGGCCAGGCGAGAGGCAGGCGCGGTGTCTCACACCTGTCTGGGTGGCGGTGTCTCACGCTTGTAATCCCAGCACTTTGGGAGGCTGAGGCAGGTGGATCACTTGAGGTCAAGAGTTTGAGCAAGCCTGGCCAACATGGTGAAACCCTGTCTCTACTAAAAATACAAACAAAAAAACACACACAAATAATTAGCCAGGTGTGGTGGTGCATGCCTGTAATCCCAGGCTACTCAGAAGGCTGAGGCAGGAGAATCACTTGAACCCGGGAGGTGGAGGCTGCCATGAGGCAAGATTGTGCCACTGCACTCCAAGCTGGGTGACAGAGTGAGTGAGACTCTGTCTCAAAAAGCAAAAAAAAAAAAAAAAGAAATTCTCTCTTCTAGCTATTGAAAAATATACAATAGATTATTCTTATCTATAGTCACCCTACAGTGCTATATAATACTAGAATTCATTCCTCCTATCTAGCTATAATTTTGTATCCATTAACAAACGCTTCCCTATCCTCTCCTCCCCACTATCTTTCCCAGCCTCTAATAACCACAGTTCTACTCTCTACTTCAATGTGCTCAAGTTTTGTCGCTCCCACATATGAGAGAGAACATGTGGTATTTATTTCTTTGGGCCTGACTTTGATGCATATGACAGGATCCCATCATTTTTAATGGCTGAATAATCCATTGTCTCTCTCTCTCTCTCTCTCTCTGTGTGTGTGTGTGTGTGTGTGTGTGTGTGTGTGTATAAATTTCTTTATCCATTCCATGTCTATATCCAGTATTGACATACACTTCGGTAGATTCCATATCTTGGCTATTGTGAATAGTGCTGCAATAAAAATAGGGGTGCATGGCCAGGCACAGTGGCTCACGCCTGTAATCCCAGCACTTTGGGAGGCCGAGGCGTGTGGATCACCTGAGCTCAGGAGTTCGAGACCAGCATGGCTAACATGGTGAAACCCTGTTTCTACTAAAAATACAAAAAAATTTAGCTGGGCACGGTGGCACGTGCCTGTAATCCCAGCTACTCAGGAGGCTGAGGCAGGAGAATCAATTGAACCTGGGAGGCAGAGGTTTCAGGGAGCTGAGATCGCACCACTGCACTCTTGGGAAACAAGAGCGAAACTCCATCTCTCAAAAAACAAACAAATAAATAAATAAATAAATAAATAGTGGGGCAGATATCTCTTCAATATACTGATTTCCCTTCCTTAAGATAAATATCCAACAGTGGGATCGTTGAATCATATGGTAGTTCTATTTTAGGTCTTTGAGGACTGTCCATACTCTTTTCCATAATGGCTATGCTAATTTACATTCCCACCAACAAAGTATAATAGTTCCCTTTTCTCTGCATCCTCACCAGCATTTGTTATTTTTTGTCTTTTCGATAATAGCTGTTCTAACTGGGGTGACAGGATATCTCATTGTGGTTTTAATTTGCTTTTCCCTGATAATTAGTGATGGTGAGCATTTTTTCATGTACATGTTGGCCATTTGTGTGTCTTCTATTGAGAAAAATCTATTCAGATCCTTTGCCAGTCTGATTATTTGTGGGGCTTTTGTTTTTGTTTGTTTGCTTGTTTTTGCTATTGTTTGCATTTCTTATATACTCAGGATATTGTCAGATGAACAGTTTGCAAATATTTTCTCCAATTCTGCAGGGTTTTGCTGCACTCTGTTGACTTTTTTTTTTTTTTTTTTTTTGCTGTGCAGAAACATTTTAGTTTGAAATAGCCCAATTTGTCTATTTTTGCTTTGATTACATGTGCTTTTGAAGTCTTACCCATAAAATGATGGCCCAGACCACTGCTTTGTAGCATTTTCCCAATGTTTTCTTAAAGTAGTTTTATAGTTTCAGGTCCTACACTTAGTATTTAATCCATTTTAGTAGTTTTTTAAAATATATATATGGTGAGAGATATAGGTCTAGTTGCATTGTTCTGCATGTGGATATCCAGTTTTCCCAATACCATTTATTGATGAGGTGGTTCTTTCCTAATGTATGTTTTTGGTACTTTTTGTTGAAAATCAGTTGACTATAAATATGTGAATTTGTTTCTGGGTTCCTATATTCTCCCGTTGGTTTTTGTGTCTGTTTTAATATCAATACCATGCTGTTTGGGTTACAATAGCTTGTAGTATATTTTGAAGTAGGGTAGTGTGATGTCTCTAGCTTTTTCTTTTATTTCTCTCTCTCTTTTTTTTTTTTTTTTTTTGGCTATTTGAGGTCTTTGGTGGTTCCATATAAATTTTAGGATTTTTTTTTCTATTTTTTTGAAGAATGTCATTGGTATTTTGATACAGATTGCATTAAATGTGTAGATTGCTTTGAGTAGTATGGCCATTATAGCAATATTAACTCTTTCAATTCATGAATATGGGATGTCTTTTCATTTTTTCTGTTCTCTTCAGTTTCTTTCATTGTGTTTTGCAGTTTTCATTGTAGAGATGTTTCACCTTCTTTGTTAAATTTATTCCTAGGTATTTTATTTTGTTTTTGTAGCTATCATAAATGGGATTGCTTTCTTGATTTCTTTTTCAGCTAATTCATTATTGGTATATAACAATTCTACTGATTTTTCTATGTTGATTTTGTATCCTGCAACTTTACTGAATTTGCTTATCTATTCTCAGATATTTTGGTGGAGTTTTTAAGATTTTCTCTATATAAGGTTATGTTGTCTGCAAATGTAGATGCCCTCCATTTCTCTCTTGCCTAATTGCTCTAGCTAGGCTTCCAATACTGTGTGTAATATGAGTGGTGAAAGTGGGCATCCTTGTGTTGTTCCAGTTCTTGGAGGAAAAGCTTTCAGCTTTTCTCTGTTTGGTGTGATGTTAGCTGAGGGTTTGTCATACATGACCTTTATTGTATTATGTTCCTTGTATAGTTAATTTGCTGAGAGTTCTTATCATGAAGGGATGTTGAATTTTATCAAATGCTTTTGCTGTGACTATTGAGATGATTGTATGGTTTTTGTTCTTCATTTTGTTGATGTGATGTATCACATGTACTGATTTGATTTGTATATGTTGAACCATCTTTGCATCCCTGAAATAAATCCCCCATGATCTTTTTGATGTTCTGTTGGATTTGGTTTGCTAGTATTTTGTTGAGGGATATCGGCCTATAGTTGTTGTTGTTATTGTTGTGTTCTTGTCTGGTTTGTCTGTGTTTTCATTTTGTTTTGTTTTTAGAGATGGGGGTCTTACTTTCTCTTCCGGGCTGGAATGCAGTGGTGCAATCACAGCTCACAGTATCCTCAAACTCCTGGGCTCAAAAGATCCTCCAACCTCCACCTCTCTAGTAGCTGGGACTACAAGCATGCACCACAGTGCCATGCACAACTGATTGTTTTTTTTTTTTGAGACACAGTCTCACTCTGTCACCAGGCTGGAGTTCAGTGGTGTGATCTCGGCTCACTGCAATCTCTGCCTCCTGGGTTCAAGCAATTCTCCTGCCTCAGCCTCCCGAGTAGCTGGGATTACAGGTGCACGCCACCACGCCCAGCTAATTTTTGTATTTTTAGTAGAGACGGGGTTTCACCATATTGGCCACGATGGTTTCGATATCCTGACCTCGTGATCCACCCTCCTAGGTCTCCCAAAGTGCTGAGATTACAGGCATAAGCCACCACGACCAACCAATTTTTAAAATTTTTTTGTAGAGATAGGGTTTCACCATCTTATCCAGATTGGTCTCAAAGTCCTGGGCTCAAGCAATCCTCCTGCCTTAGCTTCCCAAAGTGCTGGATAGGCATAAGCCACCACACCCGGCATGATTTTTATTTTTTAATTTGTAATTTTTATGGGTATATAGTAGGTGTATATATTTATGAGGTACATGAGATATTTTGATACAGGCATACAATATGTAATAATCACATGAGGGTATGTGGTGTATTCATCACCTCAAGCATTTATCATTTCTTTGTATTACAAACATTCCAGTTATACTGTTAGTAATTTTTAAATGAACAGTAAATTTTTGTTGACTGTGGTCACCCTGTTGTGCTATCAAATACAAGATCTTCTTGTCTGGTTTTGATATTATAGTAATGCTGGCTTTGTAGAATGAGTTAGGAAGAATTCTCTCCTCTTCAAATTTTTGGAGTAGTTTGAAAAGTACTGGTGCTAATTCTTCTTTGAAAGTTTCATAGAATTCAGCACAAAAGCCCATCCAATCCTGGGCTTTTCTTTGTTGTGAGACTTTTTATTACTAATTTGATCTTGTTACTTGTTTTTAGTCTCTTCAGGTTTTCTATTTCTTCATGGTTCAATCTTGGTAGGTTATATGTGTCCAGGAACTTACTCATTTCTTCTAGGTTTCCGGTTTGTGGGTGTATAGTTGTTCTTAGTAATCTCTGATGATCCTTTGTATTTCTGTGATAATGCCAGATATAATATCTGCTTCTTCATTTCTGAGTTTATTTATTTGGATCAGCTCTCTTTTCTTCTTAGTCTAACTAATAATTTGTCAATTTTGATTATCTTTTCAAAAAACCAATTTTTCATTTCTTGGATCTTTTGTCATTTTTTTTTCTCTACTTCATTTAATTCTGCTCTGATGTTTATTTATTTCCATCTATTAATTTTGAGTTTGGTTTGTTCTTGCTTTTCTAGTTCCTTTAGGTGTATCATTAGGTTGCTTATTTAAAATCTTTCTACTTTTTTGTTGTAGGCATTTATTGCTATACATTTCTCTCTTAGTACTGTTTTTGCTGTGTCCTATCAATTTTGGTGTGTTGTGTTTCTATTTTCATTTGTTTCAATAATTTTTTTATTTCTCGCTTAATTTCTTAATTGATTCATTCATTGTTCAAGAACATTTTGTTTAATTTCCAAGTATTTGTACAGTTTTCAGTTACACTTGTTATTTATTTTAGTTTTATTCCATTGTAGTTTGAGAAAGTACTTGATATAATTTATATTTCTAAATATTTGTTGAGACTTCTTTTTTGCCCTAATATACGGGCAATCCTGGAGAACGTTCCATGTACTGATGAGAAGAATGTGTATCCTGCAGCTGTTGGATGAAATGTTCTACAAATATCTGTTAGGTTCATTTGGTCTGTAGTGTAGTTTAATTCCAATGTTTCTTCTTTAATTTTCTGTCAAGATGATCTGTTTAACGATAAGAGGGGGATGCTAAAGTCCGCAGCCATTACTGTATTGTGGTCTAGCTCTTCTTTTAGTTCGAATGATATTTCCTTTATATATCTGAGTACTCTAGAACTGGATACATATATATTTACAATTGTTAGATCTTCCTGATGAATTGATCCTTTTATCATTATATAATGACTGTCTTTGTCTTTCTTTATGTTTTTTGACTTAAAGTCTCTTTTGTATTATATAGGCATAGCTACTCCTGCTCTCTTTTGGTTCCATTTCACATGGAATCCTTTTTACTTTCAGTCTATTTGTGCCTTTTTAAGTGATGTGAGTGTCTTCTAGGCAGCATATAGTTGGATCTTTTTTAAATCCATTCGTCCAGTCTATATTTTCAAATTGGGAAATTCAAACTATTTACATTCAAAGTTGTTACTGACAGGTGAGGACTTACTCTTGTCATTTGGTTAATTGTTTTCTGGTTGTTTTGCATATCTTTTGTTCCTTTATTTCTCTATCATTGTTTATCTTTGATGTTCAGTGTTTTTTTGTAGTTGTAATATTGATTCTTTCTCTTTTAGATTTGTGTATCTGTTCTACCAGTGAGTTTTATATTTTCATGGATTTACAAGATGCTAGACATCCTCCTTTCACTTCCAAATGTAGGACTGCCTTAAGCATTTCTTGTAGATATGGTCTAGTGGTGACAAATTTTTTCAGTTTTTGCTTGTCTGTGGAGAAACTTTATTTCTCCTTCATTTCTGAAGGCTAACTTTGGTGGATATAGTATTCTTGGCCACTGTTTTTTTTTCCTTTCATCTCTTTGAATATATAATCCCATTATCTCTTGGCTTGTAAAGTTTCTGCTGGGATACCTACTGATTGTCTAGTAGGTATTCTCTTATATGAGACTTGATGCTTTTCTCTTGCTGCTTTTAGAATTCTCTTTGACTTTTGACAGCTTAAGCAGAATGTGCCTCAGAGAGAAACTTTCTGGGTTGAATATATTTGAGGATTGTTGAACTTTCTGTATCTGGATGTAAAGTTCAACATCATTCTCAAGACTTGAAAAGTTTTCAGCTATTATTTTATTAAATAGGTTTTCTATGCCTTATCTCATCTCTTTTCCTTTTGGAACTCCCAAAATATGAATATTTGATTGCTTAATGGTGTGTCACATATTGTGTTGGCTTTCTTTAATTTTTTTTTGTCTGACTGGATTATTTCAAAAGACCTGTCTTCAGGTTTAGAAAGTCTTTCTAATTTCTAATTTCTAAAATTAGAAATAGTAGATATTTATTGTTGAAGTTCTCAATTGTATTTTTATTTTAGTAATTGAATTATTTATTTCCAGGATTTCTGTTTGGTTCTTTTTTATATCTATCTCTTTGTTCAATTTCTCATTCAGATTAAAATTTGTTTCCTAATTTCTTGAATTGCTTATCTGTTTTCTTGCAGAGTTTGCTTAAGACCATTGTTTTGAATTTCTTTTCGGGCATTTCAAGGGTTTCCTTTGCAGAGATGTTGTTACTGGAAAATTATTATGTTTCTTTGGAAGGGTAATATTTCTTTGCTTTTTCATGTTTCTTGTGTCCTTATGTCTATAACTGCAGATCTGGTGGAACAGTTGCTTCTTCCAATTTTATGGAGTAGCTTTTGTTTGTTTGTTTGTTTGCTTGTTTGTTTTTTTGAGACGGAGTCTCGCTCTGCCACCCAGGCTGGAGTGCAGTGGCACGATCTCTCAGTTCACTGCAACGTCTGCCTCGTGGGTTCAAGCGATTCTCCTGCCTCAGCCTCCCGAGCAGCTGGGATTACAGGCATGTGTTACCACGCCTGGCTAATATTTGTATTTTCAGTACAGACAGAGTTTTGCCATGTTGGCCTCAAACTCTTGACCTCAGGTGTTCCACATGCCTCGGCCTCCCAAAGTGCTGGGATTACAGGCATGAGCCATCACACCTGGCCTGTGGAGTAGCTTTCATAGGGGAAAACTTCTTCCTGTAGATACATCCTATGGTTTCAATTGGGTGGAGTGCTTTGGCTTTGGTTCTGGGTGAGCACAGTAGTGTAGTATCCATACGATTTCTTCAACTATAAGCAAAATCAACAGTTCTGCAAATCCCTCAGTGGCCTGGGCTTCAGTTGTTTGTGGAGGCTGCAGTGTAGCCTGGCTGGGGTCTGGGACACTGGTTAGGTCAGTCCTTAACTGTGAATAAGGACTGACCACATGTGAATAGCTCAGATTTATTTCCTCCTCCCTTTCCTTGGGCTCTTTTTCCTCTCAGGAATATTCCCCACTCCTCATTACACCACACTCCTCTCAGACCTACTCAGTCCTCAAGGTCCCAAATATGTCCCACTACCTGCAGGTAGCCTTCCCAGATGATCATAGTCCTGAGAAGAGCCCTCAGAAACCCCACAGCATTTACTTTGTCTCCAGTAACCTGGACTACACTTTCCACCTACCTCTTTTAATCTAATCCAACTGGCTGCTCTCCTAGAAGGCAGAGACCACGTCTTATGCATCTTTGTCCAAATGCCAGTTCTTCAGTAATTCAGATGAGAAGTTGCCCCGTAAACACAGGTTTCATTATCAAACCAGGGCTCCCTGTTCTGGCAGGGAGGTTAATGCCTACCTACCTCTGAGCCAACACTCCCAGCTCTGCATTTAGAAAACCCCCCCGAAAAGATACATTTTCTCTTGGCTTTCAGAGGAACTTGGGAGACACATGGAATTATCTCAGGCTCATTCTTTGTGTCTGTTCTTGAAAGCTGTTAGAAGGTCTGCTTAGATGGTACTGTGTGGAAATAAAATTTAAGCAAAAAAGTTATATATATATGGTATGCTTCACCCAGTATTTTACCCAAAGAATGATAACATGATATTTCAAAAATTAAGGAGAAGAAAAATTATATACAAAAACTCTTATTGCATTGGATTTTCCACAATATTTTTAAAACAACTATGAACTTTACCACCCCACAAGCAAACTCATTAGAATGGCTGTAATTAACAACAACAACATATATGAAAATAGCGAGTGTTGCTGAAAAATTGAACCCTTGTGCACTATGATATTTAATCCCCCACAAACCCATTAGAGTGGCTATTATTAAAAACAACAACATCAGAAGATAAGTGCTTGTAAAAAACTGGAACCGTGTGCATTGCTAGTGGGAATGGGAAATGGTGCTGCTGCTATAGAAAACAGGATATTGGTTTCTCAAAAAAATTAAACATAGAATTACCATATAATACAGTAATTTCATTTCTGAGTATAAATCCAAAAAAAAAAGTATAAGCAGCCGGGCGTGGTGGCTCACACCTGTAATCCCAGTACTTTGGGAGGCCGAGGCAGGTGGATCACGAGATGAGATAGAGACCATCCTGGCTAACATGGTGAAACCCCGTCTCTACTAAAAATACAAAGAATTAGCTGGGCGTGCTGGTGGGCTCCTGTAGTCCCAGCTACTCGGGAGGCTGAGGCAGGAGAATGGTGTGAACCCGGGTGGCGGAAGTTGCAGTGAGCTAAGATCGCGCCACCGCACTCAGCCTGGGCGACAGAGCGAGACTCGGTCTCAAAAAAAAAAAAAAAGCAAGAACTTGAGTCGTTGTTCATAACCACATTATTCACAACGACCAAAGGTGGAAGAAACTCAAGTATCCATCAATGGATGAATGGATAAACAAAATGTTGTATATATACACAATGGAATATTATACAACCTTAAAAACTTAAGGAAATTCTGACACATGTTACAACATGGATTAATTTTGAGGACATTATGCTAAGTGAAATAAGCTAAACACAAAAGAACAAATATTGTATGACTCCACTTATATGAAGGTATATATATTATATATATATACACTCTCATATATACACATATCTCTGTGTGTGTGTGTGTGTGTGTGTGATATTCAAAAGGAAGTAGAATGGTGGTTGTCAGGAGATGGAAGAAGCGAGATATGGGGAATTATTGTTTAGTAGCTACAGAGTTTCAGTTTGGGAAGCTGACAGTTTTCTAGAGATGAATGTTGGTGATGGAAGATGAAAAAGTACTGGAGATGGACAGTGGTGATGGTTCAGTTAATGTCACTGAAGTGCAGATGTAAAAATGATTAAAATGGTAATTTTTTAAAGTATATATTTTGCCACAACAAAACAAAACAAAATGAAGTTGGGCGTGCTGGCTCACACCTGTAATCCCAGCACTTTGGGAGGCTGAAGTGGGCGAATCACCTGAGGTCAGGAGTTCGAGACCAGCCTGGGCAACATCGTGAAACCCCTAAAAAAAAAAAAAAAAAAAAGTAAAATACAAAAATACAAATAAAAATACAAAAATTAGCCAGGCCTGGTTGTGGGCTCCTGTAATTCCAGCTACTTGGGAGCCTGAGGCAGGAGGATCATTTGAGCCCGGGAGGTGGAGGTTGCAGTGAGCAGAGATGGCATCACTACACTCCAGGCTGGGTGACACAGCAAGACTCCATCTCAAAAAAAAAAAAAAAAGCAGGTGATAAACTTTTAAAAATTCAATTAATTGCATATAAACAACTTCTTTTTTCACTGAATCTTTTCAGAAATGAAATACAAGATGAGAGGAATTTGCTTCCAAGTGAGAGAGCATAGACCTGTAACTTCTCTCCTTGCTGAGGGAAACTCTCATCTCCAAAACCCTCTTTCCCTCAGGAATTCGTTGGGTCTAATGTGGGCATAGCAGCTGTTGCCTTGGAACCTGAGGGTACGTACGTCTTTTAAACTTTGTGTTCTTTGTATTTTTAATGGAATAAACAGCATGTTAATTATCAATTTATTTTTATTTTTATTTTTTTGAGACAGGGTGTCCTTTGTCACCCAGGCTACAGTGTAGTGGCACCATCTTGGCTCACTGCAGCCTTGACCTCCTGGGCTCAAAGGATCATCCCCCGCTGCAACTCCCAAGTAGCTGGGACCACAGGCGCATGCCACTATGTCTCGTTAATTTTTGTATTTTCTGTAGAGACAGCATTTTGCCATGTTGCCCAGGCTGGTCTTGAACTCCTGGCCTCAAGTGATCCACCCACCTTGGCCTCCCAAAGTGCTGAGATTAGAGGCATGAGCCACTGAACCCAGCCTAATTATTAATTTAATAAGCATTTTTCTTGCAGGGTCCCAGAATGGCCAATCATGCCCTATACTTATAACTGTATACTACCATTCCCAAAGCTAATCAATACTAATTCTTCCTATTGAGACCAGATGCAGATTCAGACTCCTTGATAGATCTCTGTAACTGTAATAAAAGTAAATGGGTGTTAGCATGAGCCAAAATGCAGTTTTCTATCATTAGGACACCTCTCAAGGCTTCCAGGCAGCTGGCATCACATTCAAACCTAGATTTCGTATCAGGAGATGTGGCCTACTGGAGAAGGAGAGCTGAGTGCTGACTGCTGTGTCAGTAAGTAAGTGGTGATGTGTGGTCTCACAAGAATCCAAAGCCAGGCTTAGCCATGAGCCAGATCTTTAAGTAAGTGTCAGGTCCCAGGCAAGTTCCAGTGAATAAATGAAGATGTAAACCAAAATCAACATTAACCTGATTTTCCTCCTACAGTTTATGTAAGATTATATAATATAGTACTTGAGGAAGACAAGCAAAACCCCAAAGTGTCTGATGTGTGTTGGTGTAAGCCTTCATTGCTAACATTTTTCTTGGGTTAGAAGAACTCACAAGGCAGAAGGCTCTTTATGGATCTTCCTTCTCTAGTGCTACTGAATTCTTTTTCTTCCAATCTGGTTTGTAAGGCCACATCAGCTTTCTCCCTTCCTGCGTCTTTCCTAACTCTGAAACTTCTAGAAGGAAGCTCTCTTCCTTTTCCTTTGCTCACCTCTGCCTCTGTTTCTGCCCAGTTTCCCTGGCTCTAGTCCCTACTGCAGGAGCCTCTCAGGGTACACAAGCCTGTCTAGACATTGGCTCAGGAGGGCTCCTGGTACACACACAGGTCCCACTTCCTGACCCTTGAGCTTATCTGGCTTGGAACAAGAGAGTCAGTTTTAAAAAGATAATTCAAGGTCTTCCGTCTACTACTCTGTTGAGCACTTAAAATATATGATCCTATTTATCATCTTAATAATTCTGTGAGGTAGATATTATTATCTCTTTTTTTAAAATGAAGACACTGATCTTTAAATAAGTATATAACCCAAAGGCACACAGAAAGCAGTGGTAGAGCTCTGAAATCTGTGACCCTAACAAGACTGCCTCTGAACCCTTCAGCAGGATTATTGCCTGAATTCCCTTTGTGCCTTGGCCTGATTGGCTCCTGTGGTCCTTCAAAAGTCTCTGAGTTAAAGAAATAAAGGTATAATAATTAAGTTTCTGCCAGTGAAGCAGATATTTGGAGCCACACAATTCCTACCTAATTACAAGAGCTACTCTTAGAAAATACATGGACTCAGGTTTTCTCAGCTAGAACAGTACATGCTAGAGAGTTCTTCAGGAGACATTAAGGAACTGCAGCTGTGACGAAAATGCAAGGGACTCAGACTAGCTAAAACAATCTTAAAAAAAAAGAGCCAAGTTGGAGGACTCACACTTCCTAATTTCAAAACTTACTACAAAGCTACAGTGTCAAGAGAGTATGGTACTGGCATAAGGATAGACAAATAGATCGATGAAATAGAATTGAGAGTCCAGAAATAAACTCATACATTTACAGTCAATTGATTTTTTTTTTCTTGAGACAGAATCTCACTCTGTTGCTCAGGCTGGAGTGCAGTGGTGTGATCTTGGCTCACTGCAACCTCCACCCCCTGAGTTCAAGCAATTCTCTTGCTTCAGCCTCCCAAGTAGCTGGGATTACAGGCGCTTGCCACCATGCCTGGCTAATTTTTGCATTTTTAGTAGAGATGGAGTTTCACCATATTGATCAGTCTAGTCTTGAACTCCTGACCTCAAGTGACCCACCTGAGGTCTCAGCCTCCCAAAGTGCTGGGATTACAGGTACGAGCCACCACGCCAGGCTCAACTGATTTTTGACAAGGATACCAAAACTATTCAGTGGGGAAAACAACAGTCTTTTCAACAAATGATGCTAGGACAACTGAATATACACATGCAAAAGAATAAAGTTGAAGCCCTACCTCACACCATATACAAAAATTAACACAAAATAGATCAAAGACTTAAATGTAGAACTAAAACTATAAAACTCTTAGAAGAAAACATAAGATTCTACCAATAAAGTAAAACAACAACTCCAAGAATGGGGAAAAACATTGGCAAACCAAAATATTTGATAAGGGTCTAGGATCCAGAATATATAAAAAGCTCTGACAATTCAACAAAACAGAAAAATAACCCAATTTTTAAAAGGGCAAAGAATTTTAGCAGACATTTCTTCAAAGAAGATGTACAAATATATAATAATTATTTGAAAAATGCTTACCACCATTAGTCATTAAGTAAATGTAAATCAAAACCACAATGAGATACCTCTTCAACCTCCCCAGGATGGCTATAACTAAAAAAAAAAAAAAAGTAACAAGTGTTGACATAGGTGTGAAAAAATTAGAATCCTCTTACATTGCTGGTGGGAATGTCTAATGGTTCAGCCACTTTGGAAAACAGTCTGCCAATTCCTCTAAAGTTTAATCATAGAGTTACCATATAACCCAGCAATTCCACTCTTAGATATATATCCAAGAGCATTAAAAACAGGTGTTCAAACAAAAACTTGTACACAAATGTTCATAGCAGCATTATTTATAATGTTCATAGCAGCATTATTTATAATAGCCAAAAGGTGGAAATAGCTCAAAATTTGCATTAACTGATGAATACGTAAATATAATGTATATCTATACAATGGAATATTGTTCAGCCATAAAGAGGGTACATGCTACAACATTTAAGAACCTTAAAAACAATATGCTAATTAAAAGAAACCTGGCTCAAAAGTCCGTCTGTCAAATGATTTCATTTATATGAAATGTGCAGAATAGGCAAATCCACACAGAAAAAACTACTTAACTGATTGCCAGAGGCTAGTGGTAGGAGAAAATGGAAAGTAACTAGTAGAAGGTGTGGGTTTTCTTTTGGTGTAATGAAAAGATTCTGGAGTTATGTAGTGGTTGCTATGGTTTGAATGTGCTGCTCCAAAGTTCGTTAGAAATTTAATCTCCAATGTAACAGTATTTAGATGTGGGACCTTTAAGATGTAATTAGGTCATGAGGGCTCTGGCCTCACTAATAGATCATGAGAGTGGGCTAATTATTCCAAGAATGAGTTCCTGCTAAAAAGGATGAGTTCAGCCTGATTTCCACCCTGTCTTACACAGTCTCACCCTCTCTCACCATGTCATGCCTTCTGCCATGGTATGATGCAGCAAGAAGGCCCTCTCCAGATATGGCCCTTTGAACTTACTAGGCCCCAGAACTGTGAGGCAAATAAACTTCTATTCTTTATAAATTACTTAGTCTGTAGTAATATGTTACAGCAGCAGAATATGGACTAAGACAATGGTGATGGTTACATTAACTCTGTGAAAATACTAAAGACCACTGAATTGTACGATTTAAAATGGTGAGTTTTGTAGCATATGAATGATATTTGAACTTAAAAAGACCAATTGTAAAAATAATTTCTATTCAATGTCAAAGAAAACCAAAAAGGCAAAGGTCTAATATCTTTTAAAATTTATGTCTTTGTGGACAAGGAAAAAGGTTTTCCAATATTAAGATCACACCTAATGACTAAACTAGCAATGGTAATGAGTGCTAGGAAGTGCAAGAAACATTGTTTCCAAGGAACTCAATTGTCTTAGAGTTCCCCCAGAAATAGACCCTAAGACAAGCATTTAAGTGCAAAAAAAGTCTATTGGGAGGTGAAGGAAATACCAACAAGGGAGCAGGAAAGTGAGTCAGGGAAGGGAAGGCAGCCAATAAAATGTGCATTATCGAGCAAGTCACCACTGAGGGTAACTGGAGCTAGACTCTATTGGGGAACTCTGGGAGTCAGTGTAAAAATGTACTTTAGTCACGCTCACCCCTAGGTCAAGAAATTGAGATATTTATACTACAACGCTTGTCTTATTAATTGAGGCTTAGCTCCTCTAGCAGCAAGAGGAAGTCCTCAAGCAAAGAGAGGCAGATGCTGGTAGTTGGAGCTGGGCAGACTTGCACTGAAATGGAAAGGCCCTGACCATTCATATCTCTTAATTATAACTCTCTACAGATGGTTGTAGATTATGGATTTGGAAATAAAAAGACCTGGATTGGAGTTTTAGCTTCACTAGTTGGGGCAAGCCATTCAACTCCCTGGGGCTCATTTCTTTATATACAAAACATAGAAGAAAGGGAGTAAAACATATACTGCACAGGATTGTTGTAAGGATACAATGAAGTGATATATATGAGTGTTCCTTGCTATATAAAACGTAGTTACTAGGTTTTTTGTTTTTTATTTTATTTTTTAAGACATGTGGATGACAATATGCTGAATAAAGATTAAATTTATAGAACTGGAATGCAGTCATGCTAATTTTCTTAACTCTTGAACAATAAGCATCTATGTTCAGAATGATAACCCAGGGACTCTGCCAGATTGTATTGCTTTAAAGGAGGCTTGGTTTTGTTCATCCACCTTTGCAGTCAACATACAGACTATTGTCATAGAGACTGCTAAATGTTTACCACAATTTGTTTTCTCTTCTTCCTGGGCTCACAAATAGATGAATTCTCCAAGCCTCACTAATAATGAGGGAAAGCCATGTGACCGAGTCCTAGCCAATGGAAAGGAATGTGTTCTGTTCCCTCCCTTGGTCAGTCAAACCTCTCATAAGCCCTTTTAGGTGCTCTTCCCTCCCCTTGCGATTGGCAGAAATGGAGAAAATTGCCGGAGTGATTTTAGAAGCCACACGTGCTGAAGATGGCATAGCCTTTGTCAGCATAGGCCTCTGCTATGGTTTGGATTTATATCACCTCCCAAATCTCATGTCGAATCGTAATCCCCAGTGTTGGAGGAGGAGGCTGGTGGGAGATGATTGGATCATGGTGATAGATTTTCCCCTGGCTGTTCTTGTGATAGCGAGTGAGTTCTCGTGAGATCCGGTTGTTTAAAAGTGTGTAGCACCTCTGCCTTTTCTCCCTTCCTCCTTCTCTGGCCATGTAAGATGTGCCTGCTTCCCCTTCATTTTCCATCATGACTGTAAGTTTCCTAAGGTCTCTTCAGCCATGCTTACTGTACAGCCTGCCTAATTGTGAGTCGATTAAACCTGTTTTCTTATAAATTACCCAGTCTCAGGTAGTTCTTTATAGCAATGTGAGAACAGAGTAATACAGCCTTCAAATGACTTAATGGAGGAAGGATGGCCCACCACAATGGTCACCCTGTCAGTACAGTTACATGAGTAAGAATGCCTGACACTTCTATTGGGTTCAAGTCACTATACATTGTTGGGTTTGTTATAGCAGCTACCATTATCCTAACAATTAAACTCATATATATTAGAAAGATTTCTGCAAAGAGGGTTTTTGTTTAACCCTGGATTAATAAGTTTTTATTAAGTAGAACTGACTTTTTCAAACATTCTGATTAACTGTGGTTGTGTTTTGGAGGGAGTTATGACTTTTTGGGGCAGTGTGCTACATACTCAGTGTATTGTGAAGTCAACTCCAGGCTTTTTAAAGCTGTCTTCCAACTGGAAAATGCATCATATCCTTGGCTAGCCCTACAAAGACAGAGCAGGAAATCATGCCCCCACTACTTCAAGCACTTTCTACCTTGGAACCTGTACACACTTTCTACCTTGGAACCTGTACATTTAGGTGTCTCTTATATGATGGCAGGTAGGAGGTATTAGACACATCTTATATGAAAGACCATTAGGGGTGAGACAATCTATTTCTTCTTTCTTCCCATCTAATGAAAGTTCTACTGAGGGAAGCAGCTGACACTGTGTGCCTTTTTTTTTTTTTTTTTTGAGACAGCCCAGGCTAGAGTGCAGTGGCATGATCTTGGCTCACTGCAACCTCCACCTTCCAGGTTCAAGCAATTCTGCCTCAGCCTCCTGAGTAGCTGGGACTACAGGTGCCCGCCACCACGCCTAGCTAATTTTTGTATTTTTAGTAGAGATGGGGTTTCACCATATTGGCCAGGCTGGTCTCAAACTCCTGACTTTATGATCCGCCCACCTTGGCCTCCCAAAATGTGTCCTGCTTTTTAAAAATTTTGTTTACTTTTTCCTTACTTATAAAAAGAATAAACATCACATCTGTTCCAGTTTTCCACTGATGAATAACAAACCATCCCAAAATTAGTGGCATAAAACAACCATTTTGTTATGCTCATAGATTCTTTGGAATTCAGGCAGGGTGATACGGGAATGTCTTGTTTCTGCTCCAAGATATCTGGAACTTCAGGTAGAAAGACTGAACATCTGGGAGTTGGAACCATCTTCAGGTGGAAGCCTCTTCACTCACATGCTTGGCACCTGGGCCCAGATGACTGAAAGGCTGGGCTGTGTTGGGGCTGTTTACTGGAGACCCTGTCAATGTAGTTTGGGCTTTCTCACAGCATGGTAGGTAGTGTTAGGGTAGTTGAGGACTCCAAGAGTGAGTGGTTCCAGAGACCAAGGCAGATGGTGCAAGTGCTTTTATTAACCAGCATTAGCACTCACATAGAGTCATTTCCACAACACTCTTTGGTCAAAGCAGTCTCAAGACTAACCACATACAAAAAGAAGGGGCACAGATGCTTTCTGTAGCTGTGAAGAGTGTGACAGAATTTGCAACTACATTTTGAAACTGCTATAATCTCTAATCCCACCAACCAAATACAACTGCCATTAACATTGTGGTTTCTTTCTTATCAGTTTTTTTTATTATTATTATACTTTAAGTTTTGGGTACAGAACTTTGTACCCAATACTTTAAGTTTTGGGTTTGTTACATGGGTATACACATGCCATGGTGGTTTGCTGCACCCATCAACCCGTCATTTACATTAGGTATTTCTCCTAATGCTATCCCTCCCCTAGTCCCCCACCCCCCGATAGGCCCCAGTGTGTGATGTTCTCCTCCCTGTGTCCATATATTCTCATTGTTCAACTCCCACTTATGAGTGAGAACAGGTGGTGTTTGGTTTTCTGTTCCTGTGTTAGTTTGCTGAGAATGACGGTTTCCAGCTTCATCCATGTCCCTGCAAAGGACATGAATTCATCCTTTTTTTTATGGCTGCATAGTATTCCATGGTGTATATGTGCCACATTTTGTTTATCCAGTCTATCATTGATGGGCATTTGGGTTGGTTCCAAGTCTTTGCTATTGTGAATAGTGCTGCAATAAACATATGTGTGCACATGTCTTTGTAGTTGAATGATTTATAATCCTTTGGATATGTACCCGGTAATGGGATTGCTGGGTCAAGTGGTATTGCTGGTTCTAGATCCTTGAGGAATCGCCATACTGTCTTCCACAATGGTTGAACTAATTTACACTCCCAGCAACAGTGTAAAAGCATTCCTATTTTTCCACATCCTCTCCAGCATCTGTTGTTTTCTGACTTTTTAATGATCGCCATTCTAACTAGCATGAAATGGTATGTCATTGTGGTTTTGATTTGCATTTCTCTAATGACCAGTGATGATGAGCTTTTTTTCATATGTTTGTTGGCTGCATAAATGTCTTCTTTTGAGGAGTGTCTGTTCATATCCTTTGCCCACTTTTTGATGGGTTTTTTTTTTTTTATTGTAAAGTTGTTTAAGTCCCTTGTAGATTCTGGATATTAGCCCTTTGTCAGATGGATAGATGGAGAAAATTTTCCCTCATTCTCTAGGTTGCCTGTTCACTCTGATGATAGTTACCTTTGACTTTATAACTGGTATGAAAAGCTTTATTAGCTTGAGGTACAAGTACATTCAGGTTTAATTGTTTTTTTCTGTTAAAATTGAGGTATTGACAAAGCCTGGTGGCTCACTCCCATAATCCCAGCACTTTGGGAGGCAATTCTTTGTGAGAGAGTTGCTTCAGCCCAGGAGTTCAAGACCAACCTGGGCAACTTAGCAAGACCCTGTCTCCAAGAAAAATTTTTTAAAATTAGCTCGGCATGATGGCACATTCCTATAGTCCCAGCTACTTAGGAGGATGAGGTGGGAGGATGGCTTGAGCCCAGGGGGGTCGAAGCTGCAGAAGCTATGGTCATACCACTGCACTCCAGCCTGAGCAACATAGTGAGACCCTGTCTCTAAAAAAAAAAAGTGTAACTTATATATCATATAGTAGATAAATCTTTTTTTTTTTTGAGATGGATTCTGGCTCTGTCGCCCAGGCTAGAGTGCAGTGGCACAATCTCAGCTCACTGCAAGCTCCACCTGCTGGGTTCACGCCATCCTCCTGCCTCAGCCTCCCTAGTAGCTGGGACTACAGGCGCGTGCCACAACGCCCGGCTAATTTTTTGTATTTTTAGTAGAGACGGGGTTTCACCGTGTTAGCCAGGATGGTCTCGATCTCCTGACCTCGTGATCCACCCACCTCGGTATCCCAAAGTGCTGGGATTACAGGCGTGAGCCACCGCGCCCGGCCATAGTAGACAAATCTTAAGTGTAAGGCTGACAAATTTTTACATGTTTCTACAAACTTGAAACACACCCAAAATATATACAATGTTTTGTCACTAGAAGTTTCCCTCAGAGTCATTTCCTAGTCATCTCCCCTGTCCCAGAGCTAGTCACTCTTCTGACTCTTACTGTCACTGATTAGTTTTTCCTGTTCTTGAACTTCAAATATGAAATGAAAGTGTAGTACTATTTTATATCTACTTCTTTCTTTCAATATAATTCTTTAATATTTATCCATGGTGTTACATGTATCCATAGTTTGTTCTTTTTTATTGATGAACGATATTCTAGAATATGGAAATTGACCACACAAGATTTATCCATTCACCTCTTGATAGACGTTGGGTGATTTCTAGGTTTAGGCCATGATGAATATGAATAAAGTGCTACAAACATTTTTTTTTTTTTAAAGAGACAGGTTCTTGCTCTGTCATCCAGGCTGGAGTGCAGTGGTATGATCATGGCTCCGTAGTCTCAGACTCCTGGGTTCAAGCCATCCTTCCACCTCAGCCTCTCAAGTAGTTAGGGCTACAGATGTGAGCCACCATGCCAGCCAATTTTTTAAATTACTTTTTTGTAGAGAGAGGTTCTCTCTTTGTTGCCCACATTGGTTGCAAACTCCTAGCCTCATGTGATTCTCCCCCCTCAGCATTTCAAAGCACTGGGATTACAGGCGTGGGCTACCATACCTCGCCTAAATATTCTTTTTTTTTTTTTTTTTTTTTTTTGAGAAGGAATCTTGCTCTGTCGCCAGGCTGGAGTGCGGTGGTGCAATCTCGGCTCACTGCAACCTCTGCCTCCTGGGTTCAAGAGAGTCACCTGCCTCAGCCTCCTGAGTAGCTGGGACTACAGGCAAGCCACCATGCCCGGCTAAGTTTTTGTTTATTTATTTATTTATTTGAGACGGAGTCTCGCTCTGTCGCCCAGGCTGGAGTGCAGTGCTGTGATCTTGGCTCACTGCAAGCTCCACCTCCCGGGTTCACGCCATTTTTCTGCCTCAGCCTCCTGAGTAGCTGGGATTGCAGGTGCCAGCCACCTGGCCTGGCTAATTTTTTTTTTTTTTTTTGTATTTTTAGTGGAGACGGGGTTTCACCGTGTTAGTCAGGATGGTCTCGATCTCCTGACCTTGTGATCTGCCCGCCTTGGCCTCCCAAATTCCTGGGATTACAGGTGTGAGCCACGGTGCCCAGCCCAAACATTCTTTTATATGACTATTTGTGGACATATTTACTTAGTTCTTTTAGGTACATGTTTAGGAGTAGAATTTCTAGTTCATCGGGTAGATGTACATTTATCTTTAGTGGTTATTACCAAATGGTTTTATTAAGTGATAATCTCCATTCCCATCAATGTTTAAACATTCTAGATGTTTCACATCCTCAACAACATATGGTGTTTCCAGTTTTTATAATATTAGTCATTCTAATGGATATACACAAGCATTTTAGTGGGTTTTTAGTTTACATTTTCTTGAAGAATAATAATGTTGAGTACTTGTCCGTATGCTTATTAGTCATTTGGATATCCTCTTTTGTAAATTATCTGTTCAAATCTTTTGCTAGTTTTTCAGTATAATTTGGGGGTCTTCTTAATATTTTTAGAAAATCTTTATATAATCTGGATTCATATATTTACTTTCTTGATGAAGTCTTTTGATAAACATAAGTTCTTAATTTTAATCAATTCCAATTTATTAACATTTTATGATTAATACTTTTTGTGTCCTATTTAAAAATTCTTTGCCTACTCCTAGATCATTAACATGAATTCACATATTTTTCTTCTAGAAAATTTTAGCTTTAGCTCTATATCCATTTTGCATCAATTTTTGCACATGGCATGAATAATGAGTAAGAAACTTTAAAATATATATGAATATGTCTTCCAGCACCATTTATTAAAAAGGCCAACCCTTCTCCACTGAATAAAGGGGTACCTTTTCTATAAATCCAATGACTATATATGAGTGGGTCTATTTATGACCTCTCTATTATGTTCTATCACTTCACATCTAGCCTTGTACCAATATCACATTGCCATAATTACTGTAACTTTATAGTAATATTCTATGCAGAGAAGGAGGGCTGGAGATTGAGTTCAGTCACATGACCAGTGATTCAATCATCCATGCCCATATAGTGAAACCCAATAAAAACTCTGGACACGGAGCTTGAGTAAGCACTTTCCATCCCATTGATATGCTGGGTAGGTGATGTGTCCTGAGGATAAGGCGCTTCCTGACCTCACCCATATGCATCTTCATTTGGTTGTTCTTGGTTTGTATCCTTTATAATACAATTGTAATCAAAAGTAAAACACTTTCATGAGTTCAGTAAGTCATTCTTTTCGTTTGTTTGTTTTTGAGATGGAGTCTTAATCTTTCACCCAGGCTGGAGTGCAGTGGCATAATCCCGGCTCGCTGCAACCTCCGCCCCCGCAGGTTCAAGCGAGTCTCCTGCCCCAGCCTCCTGAGTAGCTGGGATTACAGGCGCCTGCCACCATGCCTGGCTAATTTTTGCATTTTTAGTGGAGACAGGGGGTTTCACCACCTTGGACAGACTGTTCTTGATCTCCTGACCTCATGATCCACCTGCCTTGGCCTCCCAAAGTGCTGGGATTACAGGCGTAAGCCACCACGCCTGGCTGAGTTCTGTAAGTCATTCTAGTGAATGATCAGGCCTAAGAGGATAGTGGGAACCCCAAATCTGTAGCCATTTGATCAGAAGTGTGGGTAGCCTGGAAACTGGGAGCTTGCAGCTAGTATCTGAAGTGAGAAGAGATTTGTGGAGGACTGAGCCCTTAACCTGTTAAGTCAGCATCAGAAATACATTGCAGGTGTGGACATATTAAGGACTGTAATGTCTCTTGAATAACTTACCCCTTTATCATTATGTCATGTTCCTCTTTATCGCTGATAATATTTCTTGCTTTTATGCATGATTTTTTCTGAAATTAATAATAGCTATTCTAGATTTATTTTGATTAGTGTTAGCATGCTCTTTCTCCATTCCTTTCTTTTTAATGTATCTGTATTTTTAAATTGAAAGTAGGATTATTTTTGTCAGCATATAGTTGGCTGTTAATTTTCTTATCCACTTAGAATCTCAGTCCTCTAATTGTGTATTTGGACCAATGATATTTAAAGTGATTATTGATGTAGTTGGATTAATACATACTATATTTGCCCTTGATTAACTGATCAATCGATTGATTTTTATCTTCCATTCTTTTTCTGCCTTCTCTTTTTTTTGTTTGTTTGTTGTTGTTGTTGTTGTTTGTTTTGTTTCTTGTGACAGGGTCTTGCTCTGTCACCCAGGCTGCAGTGGAGTAGTATGCTCTTGGCTTCCTACAGCCTCTACCTCTTGGGCTAAAGTCATCCTCCCACCTCCTCTTGAGTAGCTGAGACTACCAGTAGCATAGTCATGCCAGGCTAATTTTGTTTTTCTTTTTTGTAGAGATGAGGTCTCTCTATGTTGCCCAGGCTGGTCTCGAACTCCTGGGCTCAAGTGACTCTCCCACCTCAGCCTCCAAAAGTGCTGTGATTATAGATGTAACTACCCCACCCAGCCCTGCCTTCTCTGGTTTTAATTGCACATTTTATATCATTCCATTTTCTCTCCTGTCATAGCATATTAATTATATTTCTTCAAAAAATGTTTTTAGGTTGGGCATGGTGGCTCATGACTGTAATCCCAGCACTTTGGGAGGCCGGTGTAGGCGGATCATTTGAGGTCAGGAGTTCGAGACCAGCCTGGCCAACATGGTGAAGCCCTGCCTACACTAAAAATACAAAAATTAGCCAGGCATGGTGGCGGGTGCCTGTAATCCCAGCTACTTGGGAGGCTGAGGCAGAAGAATCACTTGAACTCAGGAGGCGGAGGCTGCAGACCACTGTACTCCAGCCTGGGTGACACAGCGAGACTCTGTCTCAAAAAAAAATTTTTTATAATTGTTAATGATTGCCCTAGAGTTTGCAATATACATTTTCAACTGAAGCCAGACAATTTTCAAATAACATAGTATTACTTCACAGACAGTTCAAGTACCTTATAACAGAATATTCCCATTTTAACCACAGCTGGTTAATTTTTGTATTTTTAGTACAGACAGGGTTTCACTATGTTGGCCAGGCTGGTCTCGAACTCCTGACCTTGTGATCCGTCCGCTTTGGCCTACCAAAGTGGTGAGATTACAGGCATGAGCCACTGCGCCCAGCCCTCTTGTTCTTTTTAGTGTCACTGTTGTTCATTTCACTTATCCATAAGGGATAATCACCCACTATGCTGTTGCCATTATTATTTTGAACATACTGTTATTCATTAGATAAATTAAGATCAAGAAAAAGAAAAGATATCATCTTCATTTATTCCCTCTCTAAAGCTCTTCCTTTCTTCATGCAGATCTGAGTTTTTTACCTGTATCATTTTTCTTCTCTCTGAAGAACTTCTTTTAACACTTCTTAGAAGTCAGGCCTACCGGTGACAAATTCTCTCAATTTTTATTTATGGGAGGAAGGCTTTATTACTCCTTCACTTTTTAAGGATTTTTTTTTTTTTAAGAGACAGAATCTTGCTCTGTTGCTCCAGCTTGGAGTGCAGTGGTGGTATCACAGCTCACTGCACTCTCAAATTTCTACGCTCAAACAATCCTTCCACCTCAGGCTCCTGAGTAGCTGGGACTACAGGCATGTGCCACAACACCCAGCTATTTTATTTTTATTTTTAGTAGAGACAAGGTCTCCCTATGTTGCCCGGGCTGGTCTTGAGCTCCTGGCCTAAGTGATCCTCCTGCCTCAACCTCCCCAAGCATTGGGATTACAGGCATGAGGCACCATGCCCAACCACATAATTTTATTGGGATATGAAATTCTAGGTTTTTGGTTCTATTTCAACACATTAATTTTCTTTAGCACACTCTTTTCTTGCTTGTATGATTTTTTTTTTTTTTTTTGAGATGCAGTCTCACTCTGTTGCCCAGGCTGGAGTGTAGTGGCGCAATCCCTGCTCACTGCAAGCTCCACCTCCCGGGTTCACACCATTCTCCTGCCTCAGCCTCCTGAGTAGCTGGGACTACAGGCACCCGCCACCACACCCAGCTCATTTTTTGTATTTTTAGTAGAGACGGAGTTTCACCTTGTTAACCAGGATGGTCTCTATCTCCTGACCTCGTGATCTGCCTGCCTCGGCCTCCCAAAATGCTAGGATTACAGGTGTGAGCCACCATGCCCTGCCTCTTGCTTGCATGATTTCTAAAGAGAAGTTGGATGTAATTCTTACCATTGTTTCTCTGTACATAAGCTCTATTTTTCTTCTCTGGCTTCTTTAAGGATTTTCTCTTGATCTTTGACTTTTGGTAGCTTGAATACGATATGCCTAGGTATAAATTCTTTTTTTCATTTTTCTTTTATTTATTTATTTATTTATTTGAGATGGAGTCTCGCTCTGTCGCCAGGCTGGAGTGCAGTGACGTGGTCTCGGCTCACTGCAATCACCACTTCCTGGGTTCATGCCATTCTCCTGCCTCAGCCTCCCGAGTAGCTGGGCTTACAGGTGCCTGCCACCTTGCCTGGCTAATTTTTTTGTATTTTTAGTAGAGACAGGGTTTCACCATCTTGGTCAGGCTGGTCTTGAACTCCTGACCTCATGATCTGCACGCCTCGGCCTCCCAAAGTGCTGGGATTACAGATGTGAGCCACCGTGCTCGGCCATGCTTAGGTATAAATTCTTCTAGTATTAATCCTGCCTGGTGTTCTCTGAGCTTCTTGGATCTATGGTTTGATGTCTGTTGTTAATTTTGAAAAATTCTTGCCATTATTATTTCAAATATTTCTTGTGATCCTGTCTCTCTTTGTTCTCTTTATTTATATTCTTACTACATATTAATCATTACATATTAATGATATTAATCATTTCTTATTTCTTGAATTCTGTCCTATTAAAAATTTTTTTCCTTGAATTTTAGTCTTCGAGGTTTCTTCTCCTTCCTCTCTCTCTCTCTCTCTTTCTCTCTCTCTCTTTCTCTCTCCTTCCTTCCTTCCTTCTTTGTTTGTTTGTTTCTTTCTTTCTTTTGACAAGGTGTCACTCTGTCACCCAGGTTGGAGTGCAGAGGCACAATCTCTGCTCACTGCAACCTCTGCCTTCTGGGTTCAAGTGATTCCTGTGCCTCAGCCTCCTGAGTAGCTGGGATTACAGGCATACGCCACCACACCTGGCTAATTTTTGTATTTTTAGTAGAGACAACATGGTTTCACCATGTTGGCCAGGCTGGTCTCAAACTCCTGGCCTCAACTGATCCACTCGCCATGGTCTCCCAAAGTGCTGGGATTATAGGTGTGAACCACCGTGCCTGGCCTAATTTTTGAGGATATTGACTTATCTTGAAGCTCACTGATTCTCTCCTTGGCCTTATCTACTCTATTGATGTGCCCGTCAAAGGCCTTCTTCATTTCTGTTACAGAATTTTTGATTTCTAGCATTTACTTTAGATTGTTAGATTGTTAGAGCTCTAGTCTTTCTGCTTGATAACATGATTTTTTTCTATTTTTTATTTTATTTATTTATTTATTTGTTTTTTGAGACAGAGTCTTGCTCTGTCGCCCAGGCTGGAGTGCAGTGGCACAATCTTGGCTCACTGAAAGCTCCGCCTCCTGAATTCACACCATTCTCCTCCCTCAGCCTCCCAAGTAGCTGAGACTATAGGCGCCCACCACAACACCCGGCTAATTTTTTTTGTATTTTTAGTAGAGACGGGGTTTCACTGTGTTAGCCAGGATAGTCTTGATCTCCTGATCTTGTGATCCACCTGCCTCGGCCTCCCAGTGCTGGGATTACAGTTGTGAGCCACCGCACCCAGCCACATGATTTTATAGCTAGAAAACCCCATAGTTTCTGCCCAAAAGCTCCTTGAACTGATAAACAACTTCAGCAAAGTTTCAGGATACAAAACCAATGTACAAAAATCAGTAGCATTCCCATAAACCAGAAAGCACCAAAACAACAGCCAAATCAGGAACACAATCCCATTCACAATTGCCATAAAAAGAATAAAATACCTAAAAATACACTAACCACATAGGAGAAAGACGTCTACAATGAGAATCACAAAACACTGTTCAAAGAAATCAGAGATGACACAAACAAATGGGAAAATAGTCCTTGCTCATGGATAGGAAGAATCAATATCATTAAAATGGCCATACTGCCTAAAGCAATTTAAAGATTCAATACTATTCCTGTCAAACTACCAATGACATTCTTCACAGAACTAGAAAAAATTATTTTAAAATTCATATGGAACCAAAAAAGATCCCAAATAGCCAAGGCCATCCTAAGCAAAAAGAAAAAAGCTGGAAGCATCACATTACCCTACTTAAAAACTATACTACAAGGCTATGGTAACTAAAACAGTGTGGTACTGGTACAGAAACTGACACACAGACCAATGGAACAGAATAGAGAGCCCAGGAATAAGGCTACGCACCTGCAAACACCTGATCATCGACAAAGGTGACAAAAACAAGCAATGATGAAAGGATTCCCTATACAATAAATGGAGCTGGGATAACTGGGTAACCATATGCAGAAGATTGAAACTGGACTCCTTCTTACGCCATATAAAAAAATCAACTCAAGGTGGATTAAAGACTTAAATTTAAAACCCAAAACTATAAAAACTCTGGAATATACCCTAGGAAATACCATGCTGGACACAGGAACTGACAAAGGTTTCATGATGAAGATGCTAAAAGCAATTGCAACAATAGCAAAAATTAGCAAGTGGGATCTAATTAAATAGAAGAATCTCTGCACAGCAAAAGAAACTACCAACAGAGTAAACAGGCAACCTACAGAATGGGAGAAAATTTTTGCAAACTGTGCATCTGACAAAAGTCTAATATCCATCTATAAGGAACTTAAACATATTTACAAGGAAAAAAACCAAGCAGCCCCATTAAAAAGTGGGCAAAGGACATGAACAGACACTTTTCAAAAGAAGACATACCTGTAGCCAACGTTCAACATCACTGATCGTTAGAAAAATGCAAATCAAAACCACAATAAGATACCATCACACACCAGTCAGAATGGCTACTATTAAAAAGTCAAAAAATAACAGATGCTGATAAGGTTATGGAGAAAAAGGAATGCTTATACACTGCTGTTGGGGGTGTTAATTAGTTCAACCATTGTGGAAACCAGTGTGGTGATTTCTCAAAGAACTAAATACAGAACTACCATTTGACCTAGCAATCCCATTACTGGGTGTATATCCAAAGGAATATAAATTGTTCTACCATAAAGACACATGTGTATGTTCATCATAGCACTATTCTCAATAGTAAAGACATGGAATCAACCTAAATGCCCATCAGTGGTAGACTGGGTAAAGAAAATGTGGTACACAAATACCATGGAATAATATGCAGTGACAAAAAAAATAGAACAAGATCATGTTCTTTGCAAGAATATGGATGGAGCTGGAGGCTATTATCCTTAGCAAACTAATGCAGGAACTGAAAACCAAGTAACGCATGTTCTCAATTAAAAGTGGGAGCTAAATGATGAGAACATATGAACACAAAGAGGGAAAGAACAGACACTGGGGCCCATCAGAAGGTGGAGGGTGGGGGGAAGGAGAGGATCAGAAAAAATAACTATTGGGCACTATGCTTAGTAGCTGGCTGACAAAATAATCTGTACACCAAACCCCTGTGACACAAGTTTACCTATATAACAAACCTGCACATGTACCCTAAACCTAAAAAGTTTTTTAAAAAAGAAATAAACACACCCAATTTTAGTTCTTACCAAAAAAGAAAAATCATTCTGCTTACATTGCCCATCTGTTCTTGTAGGTTGTCCATTTTTTTCTATTAGAGCTCTTAGTATATTAATTAAGAGTTATTTTAATTTCAAAATCTCTGCTGTATCTGAGTCTGGTTCTGAGGCTTGCTTTGTCCCATCAGACTGTGTTTTTTGTTGTCGTTGTTCATTTTGCCTTTGTGCATGCCTTGTAATTTTTAGTTGAAAGCCTGAAATGATTAGGTCAAAGGAACTGAGTTAAATAGGATTTTAGCATGAAGTTTCATGTTTGGCTACTTAGGTTGTGTTTACTTTTTGCTGCATCTGTGACATCAGGGGCAAAAGTTGCCTCTAGCATTCTTTTGTCTCGCCCGTTTTTTGAGTTTTCTTAGAGACCTATTAAATAGGGACTGAGACTTGCAGTTCTGTTAGCTGTAATCGTGCTATTATTCAGGAGCTGGACTGATATGGTGGTGAGGTGTGGACAGAGGAGACGTTTTCTATAATCCTACAGTGAGGTCTCAGTGTTTTAGAAATCCTGAATTGGGTATTCCCCTTCTTCCAGGTTGGTTAGGCTCTGGTTAAACTGCAGTATGTCAGGAACTTGGAAATTAGTTTCCCTTGAAGTTGGGCCTTGTTAAGGAGAAGAGAGAGCTCTCAGTGTTGTTCAAAAGGTTACTTTTCCCCTCCCTCTGCATAGGGGGATTTTTCTCCAGTCCTCACAATGAGAACCTGGAGAGAGTACTGGAGATAAACCTCTTCAATGTGTGAGAGGCTCCATAAAATCAGGTTCCCTTAGAGTTTTAAAATTCTCATGTTTGTCCACATGGAGCCTTCAGCAATTCATCCATATTAGCTTAAAACATTCCTATGGATATTAGATGTGGCGAAGGGCTTCTGCTCCATGTAAGCTGTGGTTTTCTGAATCCACCTGTTTGTCTCTGTAGTTTTCAGGGCAGCAGTTGCCCTGTAACCTCAATTCTCTGATGGATCTAGGAAGAATTATTGATTTTCAGTTAGTTCAGCTTTTTTCTTGTCATGAGGATAGGAGTGATGACTTCCAAGCTCTTTACATGTTGACAGACATCAGCAGTTTACCAGGTCTGTTTCTGATACTTAAATTAATATAGAGTCACTGTATGTCTATATGAGTAGGAAGTAGTGTCTTTATCTTGGAACCCCCTGGCTACACTGTCCTAGAACCAGAGCACTTAGTCTAGTCGGTGGAGTTTTCAGACATCCCTCTGGGAGGAATTGCAAAATCTGACCAGTCCACTAACAGATTTCCCTTTTTATCCCTAGTTGTTTCTGTTATTGCAATGACTACATTAGACTATGTCACCATGGAAAAGACATGGCCTTCCCAGCCAGATGCATCCTTGCCCACTACTTCCATAATGCCACACACAGTTCAGACTGCAGTAGATTTTTGAGGAAGGATGGCCTTGTTAGCTTAGTGTCATGCTTGTCTATGATGCTCCAACCTTGGGCTCCTGAGGTTATAATCCATCCTCATACATTCAGCCAGTGTCCCAAAGTGAACCCACCATGCTAGGTAGATGAATTAATAGGCGCATCTTCAAACTCCAATTCCCCTAAGTTAATGGTGAATTCCTTCTCACTTGACCTTCCTTTCTTGTAAGTAGGACTCACTCAGGACCACCTCAGTTCATCAGGCCTTCAAAAATGGGAGGGTTCCCACACTAGATCTATTTGATTTACCCACTGGTTGTTCAGAAACTAGTCCTATATGCCCAGGGGTATAGAGAGAGGTAACATTGTTAAGGCACCTGTGGGTCTTCAGTGGTGTCCCATGAAGCTGGAGCCACTTTGCTTGCATTTGCATGGAGGTTTCTACTGTCATATATTCAAGCTCAGATATGTCAGTGACTGAGACTTCACTTCCAGCATCCCCCAGCAAATGTGGTCCTTCACCAACGTAGAAAACCCAGCTAGCTCCCTTACCTCCGGTTGGACAACTGTGAGGTGTAACTAGCGCTCCAAAGTTTCTCTGTGGGAATGGCGGTGAAGCAACTTCATCTCCTTGTTCAGTTTCTTTCCTTTCCTTGTTCTGCTTTCTTCACCTGCTCACTGAACTCCCTTGGAAGCACTTCCCTAATCAATCGCTTCTCATGATCCTCATCTCGGGGTCTGCTCTTGGGGAACTCAACTCAAGAAACCATCTAATGAGGTCAAGGCAGTGAATGCCTTCTATTGTATGGATGTATGTATGTATGTATTTGAGATGGAGTCTCGCTCTGTTGTCCAGGCTGGAGTGCAGTGATGCTATCTCAGCTCACTGCAACCTCCGCCTCCTGGGTTCAAGTGATTCTCCTGCCTCAGCCTCCCGAGTTGCTGGGATTACAGGCATGTGCCACCATGCCCAGATAATTTTTGTATTTTTAGTAGAGATGGGGTTTCACCATGTTGGCCAGGCTGGTCTTGAACTCCTAACCTCAAGTGATCCACCTGCCTCAGCCTCCCAAAGTGCTGGGATTACAGGCATGAGCCACCACGCCCGGCCGGCAGTGAATGCCATCTAGTCTTACATTTTCATAGCCAAGAGGGTCCCTCAGTGTGCTCCAGAAGGATTTGTTTCCTCCAAGTGGAATGGCAAACACCGTTGAAATGGTAGCTACTCATACAAATAAATGAAATTCTCTATTTCTGCCCAAGAAAACTCTTTTCTATTGGTTGCTCCAATATTTTTACTTATTATTTTTCTTGTGATTATCCCTAAGAGGCTTGAAAATGGCCAAGGTCCACAGTCACCAAATAATTCACTTGACTGATCATCATATTCAGGAAACTTGCTTGAGTATTTACTCTGAAGTCAAAGACTTTCTGATGCCTCCTTTCCCAACCTCTCCTTTTTTTTTTCTCCTAGTGCCTTTATTCAGGTAAAACTGACACCCATATGTCCCCTGTCTTGCCCAGTCAAGGCCTATGCATGGAAATGATTAAACCAGTTAGTGGCGAAAGGCATGGTTTCTACTTTTCTTCACTTGGTAAGAGACGGTGGGGGAAGGTCAGGATAAGTAATGAAAAGCACTAGATGGTGCTCAAGACATTTCAGAGATCAGACAATCAGTATGAGGAGAATTCTGGAACACAGGGGCCTTTGAAGATACCCTCTGGCATTTGTCCCCAGTACACAGTTGCTGGTTGTAGGCTATTCCGTATTCACAGTTTGTAGATTAATCCTCGTGAGAGAGGGGTGTGCTGCCCCTTGTCCCCATCTCTGTACCTCACCTGGTGCTGGTGAGAGCTCAAGAATACAGGTTACTTGGGTTTCAGGTCAGCAACACAGGTGGCTACGGGAAGTCTACATGGTGTGGTGGGCGAGGCCTCAAGTTCAGCAGAAGACAAGCTTGATTCAAATCCTGGCTCTACACTTGTGAGCTATGTGGCTATAAGAAAATCACTGAACCTCTCTGTGGCTCCATTTCCCTGGATAGAAAATGAAGATAATGATAGTGACCTCCAAGAGTTGTTCTGAAGCATAGAAATGAGATCAAACATGTGCAATGGTTGGCACCAAGTAAATACCTGAGAAATAGCAATTCCTATCCTCCCATACAGCAAGGTTTAGTAAATGACACTAGGTTTATCTGAGTCATCATTCAGCTTTATAAAGACTGAACATGCCTCCCTCGCCCCACAATTAATCCCCCAAATTAACATTTTGGAACTTTGAAATCAGAAGGTAATTTTCATGTCACCTTGTCTAACCCACCCATTTTGCAGGTGATAAAATTGAGGCCTAGAGGATTCAGGGCTTTGTTCAAAGCCTGCTGTTTCTCCTCTATTACCCCTTGCCCTACACCTTGTTAATTATCACCTTTTTGAAGTCCATGTTTACAAATCCTGGTGAATGTTTAGCTATTTGCGCTTGCAGTATTATTTTGTGAGGTGTGGCCATGAGGGGTTATTTCAGGTCTTTCGCTATGGTCCCCCAAAAGGAAAATGCTGTCAATTCTTCAGAGCCCCCTAAGGGTGTCAAGTCAGTACTCGGCCACAGGCCATTGGTTCTAGATACTTCCTTCCTGAGAGAAGATTGTTCTCTCTGGACGCATTTGTCCTCTGGCCTAAATGCATTCTGCCATGGTCAAGGTGGTGAGGCTGGAGGAGAGAGTTTTACATAAGCTGGGACAGTCCAATCAGCTTCCTGGCCTTTAGTGGCTGCTGACTTTGCCAGACACTTGTGCTCTGGGGAGACAGCTCTCCCTCTGTCTAACCCCAGGCTCTGTTGCAAATTTAGAGATCCAGAGTTGGGTCTTCAAGGCCAGAGGCCTCCAGCAGCCTAGAGCTCTGCTTCCTCACCAGCCAGCTAGCCCATTTCTGCACCATAGCCTTTCCAGAGTGTGACAGGCCACCAGTGGTCTTGGGGACAAAAATTATGAAAACAGACCAACCAGAACATTGTCAGGAGCGTCCTGCAGCTTCCCAAAGAGTTGTTCTCGCAGTGTCAAATGCATTAAGTCCTACCAGGGAAAACAGGAGAGATGTGACTGAAATACTCTTGGCGCCTCCTCAACCCCAGAGTGCTTCACTGCACAGCCCCCACTTCAATGCCACCCTCAGCCCCCAGCTTCTAGGATACCCCTGGGAGAAGATATCAAAGTCTGAGTGATGGCAGGTGGGTGGATAGACACATCAGAATCTGGTTGGGTGTGGGGAACACAAGACAGGTTTGAAAAGTTCCCCAGCTTATTCTGACGAATTCTCCCTCTGTCTCGGTTTGCCAGACTTAGCAAATAAAAACACAGGACACTGGCCGGGTGCGGTGGGTCACACCTGTAATCCCAGCACTTTGGAAGGCTGACGCGGGCGGATTACCTGAGGTCAGGAGTTCCAGACCAGCCTGGTCAACATGGTGAAACCCCATCTCTACTAAAAATACAAAAATTAGCCAGGCATGGTGGCACACGCCTGTAATCCCAGCTACTTGGGAGGCTGAGGCAGGAGAATTGCTTGAGCCTAGCAGGCGGAGGTTGCAGTGAGCAGAGATCGTGCCACTGCACTCCAGCCTGGCCGACAGAGCAAGACTCTGTCTCAAAGAAAAACAAAAACAAACAAACAAAAGACAGGACACCTAGTTAATCTGAATTTAGATAAACAATGAATAGTTTTTAATTTAAATGTGTCCTATGTGATATTGGGAGAATACTTATACTAAAAAAAAACTGTTTATCTGAAACTCAGTTTTAACAGGGCATCATTGTATTTTATCTGGCAACTCTCCCACCTTCCCCACCCTCAAACAGGAAAGTGACATTTTAAAATACCATTCTAAAAAAAATACACTAACTGTCAAAAAGTAGAGAAGTATAAAAAATAAAAATAAAAACCAGGCATAATTTTACCATCCAGAGTTGTTAAGCACTGCTATCATTTTGGTCTATTCCTTGTCAGTCTGTGTGTGTCTGTCAGAGGTTTATTGTCAACCATGTATTTATTTATAAAATTTGGATTACACCAAACATAGTTTTATGTTATTCTTTTCCTCTATAAAATTATATATATAAAGACCAGTCACGGTGGCTCACACCTGTAATCCCAGCACTTTAGGAGGCCGAGGCGGGCGGATCACGAGGTCAGGAGATCGAGACTATCCTGGCTAACACCGTGAAACCCCATCTCTACTAAAAATACAAAAAATTAGCTGGGCGTGGTGGGCAGGCACCTGTAGTCCCAGCTACTCGAGAGGCTGAGGCAGGAGAATGGCATGAACCCAGGAGGTGGAGCTTGCAGTGAGCCAAGATTGCGCCACTGCACTCCAGCCTGGGCGACAGAGCGAGACTCCATCTCAAAAAAAAAATAATAAAAAAATTACATATGAAAATATATAACATATTTTCTTACATATAATGTATAACAAATTTTCTTATATATAATATATAGCATTAAACCTAAGAATATATGTTATATATATCTTTATGTCACATATCATTATATATATTTAATGTTACATATTTTCTTATGTCTTTAAATATCCTTTATGAGCATGTCTTTTTAAAATTTACTTTAAGTTCCCGGGACACATGTGCATGTTTGTCATATAGGTAAACTCATGTCATGGGGGTTTGGTGTACATATTATTTCATCACATAGATAATAAGCATACTACCTGATAGTTACTATTTCTGATCCTCTCCCTCCTCCTACCCTGTCCCTTCAAGTGGACCCAGTGTGTGTTCTTCTCCTCTCTGTGTTCATATGTTCTCATCATTTAGTTCCCACTTACAAGTGAAAACATGTGGTATTTGGTTTTCTGTTCCAGAGTTAGTTTGCGAAGGATAATGGACTCCAGCTCCATCCATGTTCCTGCAAAGGACATGATATCATTCTGTTTTTTGGTTGCTGCATAGTATTTCATGGTGTATAGGTATTTTCTTTATCCAGTCTATCACTGACGGACATTTAGGTTGATTCCATGTCTTTGCTATTGTGAATAGTGCTGCAATGAACATATACATGCATGTGTCTTTAGGGTAGAACAATTTATATGCCTTTGGTTATATACCCAATGATATGGTTTGGATCTGTGTCCCCACACAAATCTCATGTTGAATTGTAATCCCCAGTGTTGGAGATGGGGCCCAGTGGGAGGTGATTGCATCATGGGGGCGGATTTCCCCCTCGGTGCTGTTCTCCTGATAGAGAGTGAGTTCTCCTGAGTTCTGGTCATTTAAAAGTGTATGCACCTTCCCCCATCCCCTTCCTCCTGCTCTGGCCATGTGAAGTACTGGTTTTCCCCTTTGCCTTTGACCATGATTACAAGTTTCCTGAGGTGTCCCCAGAAGCTGAGCAGATCCCAGCATCATGCTTCCTGTACAGCCTATGAAACCATGAACTAATCAAACCCCTTTTCTTTATAAATTATCCACTCTCTGGTATCTCTTTGTAGCAGGGCAAGAATTGACTAATACACACAATTAATGAGATCACTGGGTCGAATGGTAACTCTGCTTTGGGTTCTCTGAGAAATCACCAAACTGCCTTCCACAATGGCTGAACTAATTTACATTCCCACCAGAATTGTGTAAGCATTCCCTGTTTTCTGCAACCTTGTCAGCATCTGGTTTTTTTTTTTTTTTGACTTTTTAATAATAGCCATTCTGACTGGTGTGAGATGGTATCTCATTTTGGTTTTGTATTGCATTTCTCTAATGATCAGTGATATGGAGCTTTTTTTCCATATGCTTGTTGTCTACATGTATGTTTTCTTTTGAAAAGTGTCTGTTCATGTCCTTTGCCCACTTTTCAATGGGGTTGTTTTTTTCTTGTAGATTTGTTTAAGTTCCTTATAGATGCTAGATGTTAGACCTTTGTCAAATGCATAATTTACAAATATTTTCTTTCATTCTGTAGACTGTCTGTTTATTTTGCCAGATCTGTTGATAGTTTCTTTTGCTATGCAGGCCTTCTGTTTAATTAGATCTCATTTGTCAATTTTTGCTTTTGTTGCCATTGCTTTTGGCATCTTCATCATGAAATCTTTGCCAGTTCCTATGTCTACCATGGTATTTCCTAGGCCATATTCCAGAGTTTTTATAGTTTTGGGTTTATATTTAAGTCTTTAATCCACCTTGAGTTGATTTTTGTATATGGTGTAAGGAAGGAGTCCGGTTTCAATCTTCTGCATATGGCTGGCCAGTTATCCCAGCATCATTTATTAAATAGGGAGTCCTTTCCCCATTGCTTGTTTTTGTCAGCTTTGTCAAAGATCAGATGGTTGCAGGTGTATGGCTTTATTTCTGGGCTCTCTATTCTGTTGCATTGGTCTGTGTGTCAGTTTCCGTACCAGTACCATGCTGTTTTGGTTACTGTAGCCCTGCACTACAGTTTGAGGTCGGGTAACATGATGCCTCCAGCTTTGTTCTTTTTGCTTAGGATTGCCTTGCCTATTTGGGCTCTTTTTTAGTTTCATATCAATTTCAAAATAGTTTTTTTCTAGTTCTTTGAAGAATGTCATTGGTAGTTTGATAGGAATAGCATTGAATCTGTAAATTTCTCTCGGCAGTATGGCCATTTTAACGATATTGATTCTTCCTATTCATAAGCAAGGAATGTTTTTCCATTTTCCTTAAAGAGATGTGTCATCTCTTTATGAGCAGGTCTTTTTAATGCCTAAAAATGCTCAATGTTATTTCAACTCAGACATGTAGGGGAATGAGAAGAACAGATTTGTTCAGACCCCTCAATTTTTGCAGATGGCAATTAGCAATCAGATGCTTGATATAGCAAACATCCAGCACCATGCTAGACCCATAGGAGGGGTTCATAAAACGCTTGTGGATTAAGTGAATAAAATATTCTCTCATTATAATGAGAGAATAAGTATTCATTATAAATGAGAGAATAAATTCCTTTAGACTCTGGGAGCACTCTAATCCAAACACAATATCCACATTTCCATTGTACAGGTTCCCGATGAAAGAAACAGGTGCTGTTTGGACTTCAGCAAGAAGTTGATAATGTAGCATTCTGACCTTTGATGTTGAATACAGGCAAAGTTGTGATTTTACTTTAAATTTCATAAATACTCAGCATCCATTTGGTGTCAGGCCCTATTGTAAGTACTCAACACAGAAATGAACAGGAGGAATGACATACACATGAAATTATATTTGTATGTGGTGATAATGAAGAAACAGATAATAAAAGAGTAATTAAATAAACATAATAATTTTATAGTGATGAATGAGAACTGAAACCATTATAAGCACACAGCTTACTGTACATCCTAACATGATCCAACTATTTGACTCAGCATTAACATGATTGCACAACTCCACAAAATGCTAGCCCTAAAATGATGAAGCTGCAAATAATGTTATTGTTTGTTTCAGGAAGTTCCTGGAAATGCATTTGTCTGACCAATAGACTCTTCACTAGTCCTCATCAGAGTAGCTGGCCCCTTCTCAGAACAACCCAAGGGGTTTGCATACCTGTCGAGGTGCTGTGTGAAAACCTCACTTCACTATATTCATCAGTCCCAAACTATTATATCACAACTTTGAACAATTCTAATTAGTCTCTACATTAAAAGACCCACCTAAACTAGTTCCTCAAAATCTTATCAATATTCCATCCTTGACCACCCCCTTCTAAGATGCTTCTAAGATTCCATCAAAGGAGCCGTATCTCTTACTGCACTGGGGAATAAACTTGACCTTGTGCAATCAGCAGGTTATTTCAGTAGGCTGTGTGCGATTCAGCAGTCAACATGAATGGTCTAAAGTCAAAGATGCAGAAACATTCAATCCACAGTGATGGAGGTGGGGCTGGTGGTGACAATACTTTCATGTGGATGAAACCTCTTAAAAATGGTTAACATTTGAGCTGAGACCTAAATGAAGAAAGGATCTGGTCTGGTCATATCCCGAGGACAAAAACTTACAGGTGTGAAAGTAACAAAAGGAAGATTGATAGTAAAGCAAAGGAGGTCAGAGAGGTAGGGGTGCATGGCAGATAGTGTAGTTCATTACAGGCCAATGTAAGGAATTTAAATTTTATGCTAAATATGATTTTTTACACTGGAGTATTTAAGCAAGAAAGTAACATCCCTTCATCTGTCCATCCAGTCAATGAATACTAATTGAGACCTTTCTCTTGCCTGGAATGTATGGGTATAAACTGCACTGCAGATTTAGCATTCTGGAGGAAATATAGACACAAATAGCCCCATGCAGAAGACCAATCCCAGTACATTGCAGGAAGTGTGGGAAGAAAGAATGACCACTAAGCTACATAGTCAGAACTGGCCCTTCCTTGTCATGGTTCAGCTCCTGCATATCCAGGGTTCAATGTGAGCAAAGTGTGCCTGGTAGTGGTTCCCAGTCGCTGAGGTCCATAGGGCACTACAGCACACCCAGGTTGTAAACTCCCCAGGAGCAGCGATCTGTATTATTTTTATCTAAGGGCCTCAGGACCAAGCACAGGGCATGGCATAGAGTAGGTGCTCAATACATGTTGGAATGGATATTCTGCTTTTTAGGTATTTATGCTATACCCAGTTCCAGAAAGTTTTAAAGTTGTGTACAGAGCTCCATACATTATTAAATAACAAAAATAAATGATGAAATGGATCAAGGGAATGGGAAGTTAGGGAAATAAGATAAAACCAGGGATAAAGTCAGTGGTTAAAAATCCTTAATGAGCAGTTTTGAGTAGAGGTGAACTACAAAGTCTTCTAGCAGCCAGTGAAAAGAGAGCAAAGGCCAGTTGCTGTATTCACAGAAACAAAATTAGGAGCAATAACAAGAAGCCAGCGCCTCAGGAAGAGCCTAGCTCTTTCTAATGTTGAATCAAAGACTTTTTTTATGGTCTTCATGAAGGGATTTTCTGTGAGACAGTAAATAACAACATCCTTAGAACAAATACAGTTGTGGGTTTCAAATGGACATTTCTTGAAAGACCCCCTGGGAGCATTACCCAGGCACATCTGAGCATAACTCCATCAAGGAGACTTGGCCAGGGAGGAGAGGGTAGAGCACACAATTCTGATCAACAGCTTGCTGGTGACTGTAATGTAGAATGGTAGAGAAACCTTGATGGGTGCTGGAGAGAGTGGAGGATTAAGCTGACTGACCCAGTGGTTACTGCACTTGCTGGAGGCAGGTGCATGTGTGCCTCTTACACACTTATGGCAGGGAGCAACTTGTAATGCGGGAAGTACCTTCTTCTTACAACCTGTATGGAGCATTCTTAGGCCCTCTTCCTAAAATTAGGGGGAGGGGCCTCCATAGAGGAGGGATTTGTGGAGAAGGGAATCTTCATGAAGTGCTATAGTAAACACTTCATATATTAACTCTGTGAAGAAAGCATCTCCTGGCAGGCAAGCTTACAAAATGTGTGCAGTTAGTGGCGGGGTCGTCCAGGGCCTGTCTGCGGCTCCATCAGGGTGCCCCATTTCCTGGCTCTTACGGGGGCCATAAAAGCCAGCTCCTGACTGATCGTTGACATACGAGGTGACAGGCAAGGAAATGGTTTCCTTTGGCCACATGTGTGTATCCTAATTTACAGCTCCTCTGGAATTAGCAAGGGCAGATGCTATTGAACAATTATGGACTTCCAATGGCTTCTTCATAAAGGAGAACACTTGGTTTTGAAAAGAAAATCATGGTGAATTCAATACAAAAAAGTAACATCTTTTTATCATTGTCGTTATTATTGAATATATGTAAGCACTCTTTAAATTAACTGGATTTTCTTTTGTTTTTGTTTGTTTGTTTGTTTTTTAGACAGAGTCTTGCTGTCACCCAGGCTGAAGGGCTGGAGTGCAATAGCGTGATCTCGGCTCACTGCAACCTCTGCCTCTGGGGTTCCAGCAATTCTTCCTGCCTCAGCCTCCCAAGTAGCTGGGATTACAGGCACCCACCACCACACCCAGCTAATTTTTCTGTATTTTTAGTAGAGACGGGGTTCCACCACGTTGGCCAGTCTGGTCTCAAACTCCTGACCTCAGGTGATCCACCCACCTTGGCCTCCTAAACTGCAGGGATAAAGACATGAGCCATCGCACCCAGCCAAGAGAGATTTATCTCTTGCCAAGCTCATTGTCTTGTTGGATCCTGACATCGCTCATAGATGGGAAAATGGAGGCCCAGTGAGGGTTAAGTGATGTCTCTTCAAGGCCACAAAAAGTTATTCCTAAATCCTAGTTTCCTAACTCCTAGTCAATAGCTCTTTACATGACATGATGTTGATGAAGCGTCCAGCCCAGTGCCTGGCACTAGCAGCAGAAGCCCAGTGATTATTCATTTACCCTGCTTCCAAACTTCCTCTTTTCTACTTTTCTACTAAAGAGATACTCATAGATTGAAGGATAAGGTGTAACTCCCCCCATCGGTCTACCTGCTTTTCCCACTTTGTGGAGATACGTGCTTTTCTTTGAGTCCCAAGTGGAATGCTCTAAACATGTGTTCTTAATAAAATACAGAGACCAACTAAAATGTAGAAGGTTGTCAAGTCTCAGATCCATAAGGTCGGCAAAAGAATCCCCTCTTAGCCTTCTAACTCAGGCTTGTCACTGAGTCTGTGACCCCAGACCTGTCCCCATGTCTTTCTTTTCCACATGGCTTTACGGTTACCACGCGTTTTGGGAGTGCTCACATTTGAACAGAGGGATAGGGAGAAATATCAAACAGGATGGAGCTATGAGCTTCCACAAGAAGAGTAGAAACAGAGGATGGGAGTGTCCGTGCAGACCACAGGTTGTACATTCTGGTGAAGGAGATGAGGCAAGAAAGAAGTCCATAAATTCTCAGACAATAAGGTCTGGGAAATAAATTCTTTGGATGACAATAGGGAGGTGGTGAAATTTATGAGTATGATTACATAGTGCTGGATTTGTACTGTTTAGACTGGAAAGTCAACAACAATACAGTGCTTGGGGTATTCTCCATATGATCATTTTCCTTCCATTAGGCATAGAATTTTAAAATTATTTCCAAAATACATTCTGACTTTGTATTATGTACATATTTGTTTCAGTGCGGGGGAGGGGGAGCAGGGGAGGAAGGATGATGCCCAGTGCCCACCAATACTGATCCTAAAGAGATTATTCTCTAAGTAAATGCCTTCCGAAGGCCTACCTGATGAATGAAAAGATGCACCTTAGGATGGGTTGCCGGATGTTACAACGGACTATGGAAGAAATATTAATAGTCTTTTTTTTTTTAATGGCAGAGGAAGAACTATGAATGGCTTAAGTCAAACAGGAAGGGGAAATAAATGCAAATTGCTAGTATCCCAAGTATAGGAAAAGAAGCTAAGGTACTTCCAAAGGATTTCAACATCAAGGGTTGAAACAAAAGCTTTGCCTTCTGCTAACCAGAACACTAATTAACCAGATCGGGCTTCTCCCTGACATTCATCTATTTGCAGACTCTGAATCCTTAGTCTCCTTTTATCCAGCAAGTTCCCCAACTATGATTACCTCCAATATATGAGCTCATTTCTCTGCACTTATTCCCAAATGGTTGACATCGATTTGCAACGTTAATGAAGTAAGTACCCAACTATCCTTGTTCATGAGCTATTAGCTCGGTATTGATTGTAGCCTTAATTGACAATTACTTGAATGGGCCAGGCTATACTGAGCTTTTATTAATTTTCCATTGTGATGCTCATTACTAAATTTCTTTGCAATTGTGTAATAATGTAAACTCCCATTGTGGCTAATTGAAGTGGAAAATTCCACTGGTCATTTCCCAAACCTATTTATCTTGGAAAATAAAGAATTTCGTATTGTTAAATTTGATATCAGGATTCTAGGTTTTGATTCTGTGGGAAGTGAATCGTGACTTTGGCTCTGAAAATAAATAGAATTTGCTAATTATTTTTCTTTCACTGCTATTTCAGAGGACATGTGGTATCCAGAGACTTGATTCTTCCCTCCCCTCCTAGACAAACAGTAAACTCCATGTTACTGTTAATTTTTATTCATTCTTCTGCCTCCCTTAAATTTTTTAAAAAATAATTAGAGGTGGAGAAAGGACAGAGAGAAAAGGAGATTATGCAGTTTTAGGGATTTTCATTTTCTTCAGCTAAGCCCTATAAATCAATTTTTTTCCATTCTTTCCAACAAACAAAAAAACTCTTCTGCTTTTAAACCTCCCTCAAATAATACACAAAATGTAGGAGAAATACCAAGACCCTGTTGGAAATAAAAGTCAGAGCTTTGTCACAGAAGAGCAGTTAGGAAGAGGAAGGACTTGCTTACCAGTACAGCTCCCAGAGACACATTGAGAAACCCCTGGCCTCTCACATCTAGACGTCAGAAATCAGAAACATCTCTGGCCCTCACCTCTTAGAGAGCTTCATGCTGACCACCCTTCATCACCCTAATTTGCCCTTTAGTGTCTCTGACCATGTTGGGATTGCCAACATGCACGTTAGGCTTAGTTACAGGCACACTCAGAAAAATGTAATGATAAGGCTCACGCCCTCTGCTCTGTGACTGAGATGAGCTGAGTTTGGGGCACATGATGGGAGAAAGTGATTTGGAAATATGACTTATGACTGAATAAGTCAGAGGAATGGATGTAATGTAATATATAACTGATTAAAGTTGGAGTTCACTTTGTTGTGAGCTACAAAAATGGAGCCACTCCTATGGTCTTCTGAGAGAACCACAAGTGTAACAGAAAGAGAGTTCAAAAGTGAATCCATCAAGGAACTGCTTAATTCTTAGTTTTGCTGCTCTAGAAATATAATCAGTGAATGTCCACAAAATTTTTGTGAAAAAACATTGATTGGCACCCAACAACTTGAACTTTCGATTAATAAGACTAGTGACCTTTTTGTTTTGTTTTGTTGACCGTCACACATGCCTTCTGAGCCTTATATTTGTCTTTTTTTTTCAGCTCCCCTTTACAATCAGTTTTTCCCACTTTATAAAATGCAGTAGATATGAAGATCGACTGCCCAGCCATCCCTCAACAAAGGACTTGCTGCCTGTAGTGGGGTAAATGATGACCCCAAAAAGATACATCCACCCTAAACCTCAGAATGTTACCTGAACGTAGCAAGTTTTCTTATCAGTGAGATGTTTTCAGAACATCTTCTTCAGAGAGATGTTCTGAAAGAAAAAAATTAACCAAGATCAGTTGACTTTGAGTACAATCATCTCCATCTGTGTGAAAGGCAATGCAGTGGGTGGAAAATGCTCTTCCCTGGGAATCAAAATTCTCATGAGTTAATGTCTCTAAACCTTATGATAAAATGAGGGGTTTGGCCCATATGACCTTAGGGGCTTTTGTTCTCTAAAATGCTGTGATTTGGTCTTGAGACACTGAGCTGCATGAGAGTAGAATAGTGGAAATGGTACTGGCCTGAGAGTTCAGAGCATGGCTTTGCATTTTCATTCTCCTGGCCAGCTATGTGGCCTTGGACAGGTCACTTCCCCTTCCTGGGCCTTCCTTTCCTCCTCTGCACCAATGAGTGTGACTGAGGCAGCTAACATGTCAGCATGGTGAGTAATGGCTCTTGGGATGGTCACTTTTATGTGTCAACCTGGCTATGCTATGGTACTCAGTTACGTAATTAAACAGTAATCTAGGTGTTGCCGGGAAGGCTATTTCGCAGATGTGGTTGACATCTATCATAAGTTGGCTTCAAGTAAAGGAGATTACCCTCAAAATTGGCCAGGCCTTGTCCAATCAGTTGGAAGTTCCTAAGAACACAAACTGTGGTTTGCAGAAGAAAAAATTCTGCCTTGAGTCTGCAGCATTAACTCCTGCCAGAGTTTCTGACTTGCCAGCCTGCCCTATGGATTTTGGACCTGCCAGCCCCCACAATTGTGTGAGCCAATTCCTTAAAATAAATCTCTTTATATAAATATATATCCTGTTGGTTCTGTTTCTCTAGAGAACCCTGACTGATACAGCCCTCTAAATGAGATGGTAAATCTGTGGTCATCAAAGGAAGATGCCTTTCTTCTACTTGCTGTGGTAGGAATAGTTTTAGAAACATTGCAAAGTGCAGGTTACCTCAGGGGCCATATTCAGCCCACAGACTTTTTTTTTTTCCTTCTGCCTACATTGTTTGTTTTGAACTAGCTAATATTTAAAAACAAGGAGATATTACTTAAATTATGAATTTCTAATTCTCTTCAATAATTAGAGACCTAGCAACCTAAGATCTCTATTCCTGCAAGGAAATAATCAGCTTGAACTAAATCCTCAAACTGGGTTACTTGTCACCCTAGGGTACACAAAGGCTTTCCAAGGAGTATCAATTTCCAGACGCTCGTCTTCCATATGTTCTCATTTCTAAAGCTGATCTGCTTGGCAACCTGCTTGCCTTCTGAGCCTCACATTTGTCCTGTTTTTCTCTCAGCTCCCCTTTCCAATCACTCTTTTCCTACCTGATAAAATATAGATATGAAGACAGGCTGCCCAGCTATCCCTTCAGCACAGGACTTGCTGCCTGTAGTGGGGCTAACGGTGACCCCCAAAAGATACGTCTACCTGAAACCTCAGGATGTTACCTTACATTGGAGTAAGGGTCTTTGCAGATGTAATTAAGGTAAAGATCTTGAGATGAGATTGTCCTGGATTAGGGTGGGCCCTAAATCCAATGATAAGGATCCTTATAAAAGACTGAAAAGGAGAAAGCAGACAGGGAGACACAGAGGGGAAGGCCATGTACAGACAGAGACAGAGACTGGAGGAACGCATGTGCATGCCAAGGGAATCCAGGGATGGCCAGGTGCCACAGAAGCTGAGAGAGGCATGGGATGCTTCTCCCTCAGAACCTCCAGGAGGAACCAGCCCTATATACACCTTGATTTTGGACTTCTGGTCTCCAGAATTGTGAGAGAATAAATTTCTGTTACTCTTAGTTACAAGTTTGTGGTAATTGGCTATGGCGGCCCTAGGAATCCAATCCACTGTCCATCTGTGGAGAGTGCAGCCAGCAGACAGCCCCCCAGCAGACAGACCCAGCTCTTTCAGGGTTGGCCTCAGCTGCAGGGATTACACCCATCCTGGTGACCAAGCCTCTAGTGGTATAAAGACCTGTCTCCAAGACAACTCTAATGGGCAGCACTCACTTCAGAGCTCCTAGCCAGGTTGGCCAAGGCTTCGCAGATTTCGTCTGTGCCCAGGCCTACTTCCTTTCACAGATACTGATCCCTGATAAACATCTTGCCCCATGTTCTGCTTCCTGAGATCCTAACCTGCCCTGCAAAGGAAATGCACACCTTTTGCCCATCTCAAATCCGACTGTGGCACACTGCCTCAGGGTGTTAGAACTTTCTCCATGACAATGAGGCAATTCAAAATATTCATATGGAAGTAACAAAACAGTTCCTATTCACATTTACTTATTTTTGTCAACCAGGTTTCTCAGCCTTTATAGCTATAAATGCCAAAAATAGGAACAGACTTGATGCTGAACCCTATCTCATTCTAGCATTAAATAATAGCCATCCATGCATACATGAACTAATTGGAACAAATAAAACCCCATGCATCTTATATAGCTATGCACTTTTAATAAATTTTTAATTTCATGTTTAATAATCATTCATAAAAATGTTTAAAGTATATTTATATTGTTTTGATCAATTTTTCCAGATGATAAATTTCCTGAACACCTATGGCCTTATGGTAGCAGGAAATAAAATTTCAGTTTGTATTTTTATTTATATTATCAAGAAGCCTGATAGGGTGATGCATAAAACACTTGAAAACAAACTTACCATATTAGAATGAAATTTTGTGGGGTAATAGAATTTAAAATATGAATTCAAGGAGAGAAAAGAAGTAAAATTTCTGTATGTCAAAAAGAACTTGTGTTTTTAATTTATAGTTGATGATATCAAATTGCTATGGGGTTTACATTTTACTAGAGGGATGTAAACTTTTATGTTTTTATTTATTTATGTATTTATTTTTTTTTGAGATGGAGTTTCGTTCTTGTCGCCCAGGCTGGAGTGCAATGGCACGATCTCGTCTCACTGCAACCTCACCTCTGCCTCCTGGGTTCAAGCGATTCTTCTGCCTCAAACTCCCGAGTAGCTGGGATTACAGGCCCCTGCCATTATTTTTGTATTTTTAGTAGAAACAGGGTTTCACCACGTTGGCCAGGCTGAACTCCTGACCTCAGGTGATCCGCCCGCCTCCGCCCCCCAAAGTGCTGGGATTACAGGCGTGAGCCACTGTGCCGGGCTTAAACTTGTATTTTAAAATGTTGCCATTTACCATACACCTCTAATTACCATCTTAAAAATAACTATTAAACTTATTATTAAAAAATTTAGATGTTAACTTAAAAATCTGATAAGGGTTACATAGTTTTGCAAAACATTTTTAGGAGGTTCATGAGCAAAAAGTTCGATGACCACTGATTTGTGTTGCCTGCTGGCCCCTGAGGGCTTTAGCTAAACTACTAAATACCTCTGTGCTAAAGCACATGTTAACACTTTAGTGCAGTTCTTGGGAGCTTTAATTTTTTCAATCATTTAAGATTCATGGCTGAAATACAGAAATGGGGAAGATTTTTCTAATTCCCACCAAGGTTATCTGAAGGCAAGGGCCACAGGAGAATGCTCTGAGGGGCAAGAGAAAGACACACTTACAAATTCCCCCAAAAGAATTTAAGAGAAGCTGCTCCTTCTGCACTCCCCCATGCCCTCCTGCCACTACCACCGGCTTTCTCTCTTTCCCCTCTCCTGTAGGCTCTATTAGGGGTGGAGGAGAATGAGACATCAGAGGAGAATGTATTCACTTTGCATATTGACGTGCCTTCCAAAACAATAATTATAACCAAAATAATGACTGCCATTTATTGAATGCTTACTTTGTGCCAGGTTAAAAAAAAGAATTCTCTTAACAGCTGGCATCAGGATTCTTCATAGGAAGGGAACTATGTTTGGGGAATCCCTTGAATAAGCCCTCTTAGGGACTGATTCTAACAATTATTCAGAAGATGAGTTAGAAAAGCAAGAAAATCCGGGGAAAAATTATGACAAATAACAGCCAATAACTTTATAAATGCCTGCTGTGTGGTAGGCACTGTTTTAAGCACTTTACATACAGAAATGCATTAAATCCTCACAATCACATTATTATTATCCCCATCTCAAAGATGGGACAACTGAGGTACAGAATGACTAAGCAAATTGTCTCAGTTCAAGTAAGTGGTAAACTGTCCCCTGGCCCCGGAGTCCAATGCTCTTATCTACTATGTAGTATCTAAGGTCTTAATAACAACTGTGCTGTGCTATGCTAGGATTTTAAAAAACCAAACAATAGTAATTAAACCAGTGTTATGCCTTTTCATCATACAGTAAGGAAATAGGAGAGAGACCAAAAGTAGACCCACATGTAGAAAATTAGCATATGATAATTAGGCATTTCAAATCAGTAGCAAAAATGAAAATAAATTTCTACTTTACACCTAAACTGAATTATATTCCAGATGGATCGAATGTATATAAATGTAAATGTATCAAAAATCTTAAGTACTAGGAGAAAATATTGGAATATTTTTGTAATTTTGGCATTTCCTTCTAGGCAGATGATGCCTGGAATTTTTATTTAAAAAAGAAGATTAGTATCTTTTTCTACATAAATATGAAAAATTGAAAAAACACTTTAATCTAAGCTGTAAGACAAATAATACTCTGAAAAAATATTGCAAATATATGATAAACAAAAAGACCAAACCTGATATATATATATATATAACATTTATTTAGTTTTGAGAAAGGGTCTCGCTTTTTCGCCCATGCTTGAGTGCAGTGGCATGATCTCGGCTCATTGCAACCTCCACCTCCCGGGTTCAAGCTATTCTCCTACCGCAGCCTCCCAAGTAGCTGGGATTACAGGCTTGTACCACCAAACCCAGCTAATTTTTGTATTTTTAATAGAGACGGGGTTTCACTGTGTTTGTCAGGCTGGTCTCGAACTCCTGACCTCAAATGATCCGCCCACCTTGGCCTCCCAAAGGGCTGGGATTACAGGCGTGAGCCACCATGCCTAGCCCTCATAATATATTTTTGAAATTTCTGTAAATTAACAAAAATGCCAAACTACCAATTAGAATAAGAAAAGAGATACAAATATGCAATTCACAGAAAAATAAATGCAAATGGAAATGAACAAATAAATCACTGCACAATCACACTCAAAGCCAAAGGTGTACAAATTAAAAAACAACGGCTAAAAAAATTAAACTCATAGAGATAGGAGTAGAAACATGGTTGCCAGAGACTAGGAAGGGTGGGACTCGGTAGGGATAAAGAGGGGATGGTTAATGGTATTAACCCAGCCTGGGCAACAGCGCGAGACTCCATCTCAAAAAAAAGAAAAATACAGTTAGATAGAATGAATAAGATATAGTATTCAATAGCACCATAGGGTGACTATAGTTAAGAATAATTTATTGTATATTTTAAAATGAGTAAAACAGTGGAATTGGAATGTTCCTAACACAAAGAAATGATACATGCCTAAGGTGATGGATACCCTAATTACCCTGATTTTTTGATCATTACGCATTGTATGCCTGTATCAAAACATGACATGTACCCCACAAATATGTACAACTATGTATCTATAACACTTCAAAAAATAGGGAATATCACATTTAAAGAAGAAATTAGCAAATATTAAAATGTTTGAAAAAATGTCAAGTGAGAAAACTCAAGATATTATTGGCATATGGATGGTAGTGTAAACGTTAAGCTTTTTGGGAGAGAACTCTGGCAGTAGCTATTCTAACAGCAAATGCATATTCCATTTGTTCTAGAAATTACAGGGGGAGTTATCATGTCCCCAATATTCAAGAACCTAGAACGAGTACACATTTCCCCGCTGGGTCAATTCTGCATGTCAGTCTGGTATTCAGACTCCACCATAACACAGGCCCACCTACTCGTTCAGTGCAACTTCCCCACACCAACCTGTCACCCCAAGCCTGTCAGGTCCCAAACAGCACACCTCCCACCCCCAGGCCTTTGCTCATGCTGTTTCATCTTCTCGAAGGACCTTCCCTCCTTGCTTTTCACGTCTCCCTACCTGCTTCAAGGCCCAGCCCAAGCTCCATCTCCACCAGGATGCCAGGTCCTTAGCACAGTCCCTGATATTAAGTAAGGACTCAATAAACGCAATATTTTGTTACTTTAATATTACTAACACTTACACATTTACTCTCTCAGGTTGCTCCCTAATTCTTTGGGGTATGTTTTCTTTACAATTAGGTTGAAAGTTTCTTGAAGACAAGAAATACTTTGGGCTTTCCATGTAAAGACAGTATAGTTTCCAGAGCTTTAACATCACACAGACCTTGGTTGTCCCTCGATCTGCCTTTTTCTTTCCTTTTTTTTTTTTTTTTTTTTGAGACGGAGTCTCGCTCTGTTGCCCAGGCTGGAGTGCAGTGGCGCGACCTCCGCTCACTGCAAGCTCCGCCTCCCAGGTTCACGCCATTCTCCTGTCTCAGCCTCCGGAGTAGCTGGGACTACAGGCGCCCGCCACCACGCCCGGCTAATTTTTTGTATTTTTAGTAAAGACGGGGGTTTCACCATATTAGCCAGGATGGTCTCGATCTCCTGACCTCGTGATCCGCCCGCCTTGGCCTCCCAAAGTGCTGGGATTACAGGCGTGAGCAACCATGCCGGGCCTGATATGCCTTTTTCTACTGATGGTTAGTTATTTCACCTGTAGGCACTAGCCCATAATACCTGCTAAATGCATTGTTACTAGGATGATTACAGCCGTTTACCTGCTCTCTGTATCATGGTTCCCCAGTCCCATCAATGCCAAAATAGAATCAAACTCATGGAAAGTATTCAGCAAACTCTTATTGGAAGTTGATCAGCTAGAGGTCCAAATTGTCACGCATTCTATCAAATACGCTTTAAATGACATTTTGTGTGTGTGGTGCACGTGTGTGTGTGTTTTCACTCATTCATTCATTCATTCATTCATTCATTTAACTAAGAAGAACTCTTCTTTGCCTTTAAGTGGGCTAGTGACTATTCTCAGTTTAGAACTAGCCAAAGAATCAATCTTGACCCAGTTGCTAGGAAACCCTGTCTTTGGAAAGAAGTTAAGAATCAATTTCCCCATGCTTTAAAGAACATGTATTTAAGTAAATTACTTCCTCAGAAATATTGATTCATTCCAAAAGCATTTAAATAATATGAAAAACAAGAGGGTTTTTATGTGGAAGCTGTATCTTGACAGTAAAGTAGATGTGCACTTAAGAAAATATATTTACACAGATAATCTACATCTTGTTCAAGAGAGAAAATAGACTTTAATGTAGTAATAGGACTATTTATGTAATGAACTCTCATGGGCTCTTGCATAAATCATGATTCCTGGGTTGTGTGAATGTTTTTATGTGCCTTTGTGAACTTTCATAAGACTTTGGTTATGTGATTATATCAAAGGCTGAATTTATATTAGCAAATGAAGCATTGTGAAGACATGAAGACATTTTCTAATGGAAACATCATAACCAGAAGCACATTTTCCCAAAAGATGTGTTTTGAAAAATGCTAAATCATTTTAATGGTCTCAATGTCTTGCAAAGGATTCTCTTGGTCAGCAGCTGGCTTCACATGCAATCTCGGACATCAGCAAGCCCTGCTCCAAAGAGGGATGCCAGCCAGCCTGTGAAATGTTTCTGCAAGAACTTTTGGCTGCCTTAACCGCCTAAAGCAAATGTTTGTTTGCTGCAGTACGAGAATCAAATGCTTTTGTGTGAAAACACTTGCTAGAGAAACAAATGTTTGTTTTGGTAATCGACATTTGGACTGTTGGAACATTACCACTTAAGATATTGGTTTGAGAAATATACATTTAATTTGGAAAGCACCAGTCAGGATCAAGCATGTAACACAAATCTAGGCTGTAAGGAAATGAGGTTGAAATTGGACCCAACATTTTCACTTCCCCTTGTCAGTTCTGACTAAGAAAATGGTTCCTTGATTTACATATTGCCTTATAATGTTACTGAGCAGCAGCATAAAAGAAAAAAAACTGATTTACTTCCTTCTGGAAGAGTATGACTTATAAATTATCAAAGAGAGCAGCAAGAGTGTATTTATCTAGTATTAATATTTAAATGCCATTTTCCTATTGAATGTACCACATGCTCCATATTAGTCTTTTAGATTAGACTTAGTACAAATTGATGTTTCCTAAATGGAAGATTTCTCCTTACAGTTCACTTTTGATTATCCATGCTAACTGGCAGGAGGAAAGGTACAGACACTCCAAAACAGCAGGAGATACAGAAATAAGCTTTGGCTTCTGAAAGCATTAAATTTTTTAGTAGCAAAAAGAAACTAATTACATTTTAAGGGAGAGAGATACAAGGAAGTTTGTGTGGCAAGAGTGTCATTTATACATTAAACATATTATATTTGGTCGTAGATAATCCATAATTAGGAAGTCAAAATATACTATACTGATGTCGAGGCTGATTGCTAGAGCAAAAAGGATTTTAATTTAAAAGTTTCTTTTTTTCTATACATTTTAAACTATATTTTTTGCTTGATGAAAGCCAGAAGCATATGTAAATGCATCTGATTTTTTTTTACCATTATGTTTGAGTTTTTCTCTTTCGTGAAAATAAATTGAGGATCTAGGTTCACCTGAAAATGTATGAGCTGAAACCTATAATCAAATCAATACATAAATAATAATACAATACAATTATAGCTTGAATTCTTTGTTGCTGGCCTTAGCCCTATTTGGTCTTTAGCTTAAAAGAGACTATATTTTGAAATGGAAAAGAGAGATCAGTTCAAAATAGCCAAATGTAAGAATTATTCATTAGAACATCGAGAAACATGACTTTGTATCCTGAATCCACCCACTACTGTTTCCATTTGTAAATTTCATTATTCTGTTAAAAAAGATAAGTGATATAATGCATGTATATTTGAAGTAGTACTTTGAACTCCCCAGAACTTAATAATTCAAAGTATTACAGTAAATTCTCATTTATTCTGAATCCAAACTACCAGAAAGCTGAAATAATGAGAATTTTTTGTACAATTTATAAAATGGTAATGTCCCTGGAGCATTACAAGATTCTAAATTCCTTTGAACAGTCACAGAAAGATTAAATTTTGTTCAGCATAATTTTCTGGTAAGAATGTTTGATAGAGTTCTAATTCTTTGAAGATAGTAATTAATCCATGTGTAGCCTATGGTAATTCTTTTTTAACTTCAATATAAAAATAGTATCTTTGCATTTCCAGAAAACCTTGGTCTTGTATTTCTAGCTGATAAGACCCTAAAATGTATGGCACATCATAAACCTTACAAAGGTTGAGAACAGATCACATATGTCCTACCTTACCATATTTTAGTTTATTTTTATGTTTTTTAGAGATAGGGTCATGCTCTGTTGCCCAGGCTGAAGCGCAGTGGCATGATAGCTCACTGCAGCCGCGACTGCCCGGGATCAAAGGATCCTCCTACCTCAGCTTCCCAAGTAGCTGAGATTAGAGATGAGTGCCACCAAGCCAGGCTATTTTTTTTTTTTCTGCTATGTGGCCAAGTCCGGTCTTAAACTCCTAGACTTAAGCGATCCTCCTGGCATGGTCTCCCAAAGGTCTGCGATTACGGGTGTGAGCAACGGCAGCAGGCAGGCAGGTGGTACCTAACTATAAGTGATTCAATGTGGTTGCAAGTAAAAGAAACCCACTCAAACTGGCTAAAGGAAAAGATAATATTTAGTAACGTGACACTGGGCTCTTTTATAGAACTCAAGCCCATCTTCAGGCATAAACTAGAACCAAAGAATGGAGATCTGGGAAACCCTAGAAATTTGTGCTTTTCTGTCTGTCTCTCATCTTTTCCCCTCTTCGTGTATCTGCTTTATTCTCTTCACAGTCTTCAAACCAACTTCCCCTCTTGTTCTCTCCACTACGTGGGAAGTTGGACCCTTTATGTAATTTACATCATACACTATGGGGTCAGGCTTTAGATAGACATTAACACGCTTTTGACCCTACTTGAATTGTAAGGGGAGAGTAAGATAGGCCCTGCTGGGGTCAAAATCCACACCCCATACCGCTACCCATTAACCCTTCTATCCCTCAATACACTGATCCAGGGAGGAGAGGAAGGATGATAGCCTAGGTAAAACAATAACCTAGGCTATCCTCCAATATCCTTCATGGATAGAGGGAGAAAGAGCAGTTATCAGAGAAAAGGAATCAGTGTGAGCTGAGAATCTACCAACAGTTCTCACACTTGTTTTTCTCGGAATCCCTTTATAGTCTTAAAAATTACTGAGGACCCTGAAAAGCATGGGGTTATAGTTACCAACATTTACCATATTAGAAATTAAAACTGAGAAATTTAAAACCATTTAATTTTAATCCATTAAAAATAATAAACCCATGATGTTAATACTGAGATAATTTTTTATTTTTTGAGATGGGGTCTCGCTCTGTCACCCAGTCTGGAGTGCAGTGGCGCGATCTCAGCTCATTGCAACACCAGGGTTCAAGCGATTCTCCTGCCTCAGCCTCCTGAGTAGCTGGGACTACAGGCACGCGCCACCATGTCTGGCTAATTTTTTGTATTTTTAGTAGAGACGGAGTTTCACCATGTTAGCCAGGATGGTCTTGACCTCCTGACCTCATGATCCGCCCACCTCGGCCTCCCAAATGCTGGGATTACAGGCGTGAGCCACTGCGCCTGGCTTGATATAAATTTTATTTAAAATAAATATATTTGGCTGGGTGTGATGGCTTATGCCTATAATCCCAGCACTTTGGGAGGCCGAGGTGGGTGGATCACCTAAGGTTAGGAGTTCGAGACCAACATGGCCAACATGGTGAAACCCTGTCTCTACTAAAAATACAAAAATTAGCAGGGTGTGGTGGTGCATGCCTGTAATCTCAGCTGCTTGGGAGGCTGAGGCAAGAGAATCACTTGAACCTAGGAGGCGGAGGTTGCAGTGAGCCTAGATCTTGCCACTGCACTCTAGAATGGGCAACAGAGCAAGACTCCGTTTCAGGAAAAAAATAAAAATAAAATATATATATATATATATATATATATATATATATATATATAATAAACATAAATATTTTCCAAAATAAAAAGAAATTAGTGAGAAAAGTAGCACTGTTTTACAGTTTTGCAAGTTTCTTTAATGAGTGGCTTGATAAGAAATAGCTGTACTCTCATATCTGCTTTTGCATTTACTCTGTTGTGATATGTTATTTTGGCTGAATATATTTAGAAAACTGGTTTTACACAGATATGCATTTGGGAAAGGGAGGAGTATTTTAGTAGCCTTTTCATATAATCATAGATATTCTTTTTTGTTACTATACCAAAGTCTGACAAATAATAGTTGTAATACAGAATCTGAGATCATATCAACTAACATTTTGTACTCTGTTACAGTAGTATCCATTGGTTTATCTTGCACTTTTATTCAGGCATGATCATGCACTGGCCATTTGGAAAATATTGGCTGACTGAGTTATAGAGATTTTCCAAATGTTGATACATTTTATTATGCGACGTAAAAAATCATATTTTCTAATATCACTATCAATTTATCAGAAGAGTTTTTAAGTATTAGGAAGCTGTCACATTCATGGTGACAGATACAAGTTTTCTAAAGTTCTAATTTTCACTTGAAAGAATACATTTTAGCATTGGCAACAAATACTGTCAATTTTATGTCTTATGACAGGCTGACTTCATTCATTTTTTAAAAAATGTCTGCCAAATATCCAAGTATAAATAGCCATAAGTTGTCTGTCAGTTGCACCTTCAAGTAAAAGTAAGTTTCTATTTTTTTTTTTAAAGGAGGTTAGTTGCGCTCACAACTCAGGCAACCACACAAGTGCTTCTCCTTGAAACAATTGTTCTTTGGTATGCAGAAGAAATACTTATGCATACTTCCTCTTTCACCACACAGAATATTAAAAACATGTAATCAAGGGTTACTGTTCAATAAAATTAATGATTTTTAACTGTTCCATCAAGGATATTAAATAAAACTGTCTTTTTCTTTCCCTTTGAGTGCACTTCAGTGAAGAATATGACTACTAATATAGCCTTGGCGTTTCTGCTAAGGCACCAAAAGTTTTATCCAATATAGCCTTTTTATCATCAGTGCAAATGTCAACATAATGAAGAATGCAAGTGACTTTTTTTTTTTTTTTGATACGGAGTCTCGCTCTGTCGCCCAGGTTGGGGTGCAGTGCCGCGATCTCCACTCACCGCAAGCTCCGCCTCCCGGGTTCACACCACTCTCCTGCCTCAGACTCCTGAGTAGCTGGGACTACAGGTGCCTGCCACCATGCCCGGATAATTTTTTGTATTTTTTAGTAGAGACGGGGTTTCAGCGTGTTAGCCAGGATGGTCTCGATCTCCTGACCTCGTGATCCACCCGCCTCGGCCTCCCAATCTTTTTAGTGCTTTTATAAAAATAGTTTTGCCCTCTCAGATCATCCAAAGGTGTCAGAGACACACCCCTTACCTGCCCCTACCACCAGAGATTTGTGGACCACGCTTTGATAACCACTGTTATATGCCAACCTGCTAAACATGGATTCACATTAACTGAAATCACTGAGCAATTTAGAGCAATTTATTATTTTGGTATATTATCTTCTTGACAAAAAAAGGAAATATACATCCATATTAAGTGGGAAAACATCACATTTTAAAAACGATAAATTATAACTTTTTAGTAATCAGTTCTAGGGGAGAATTAAAACACTCAGACTGGTAAAGTTGGTTAAAAAAAAAGCAAACAAACGAAAACAACCCTCAGAGCTGGTGGAGTTCAATGTTATACCCAGTGGAAGACTATTTAGAACAATAAATGCCGTGGTTTCTGTTTGATGGATTACTTTGCAGGAACTGAGAGGGCCATGCAATGAGCCATGTGGTATGGCAATTTTCCAAATCACATAAAATTAAAAATGCAAGGAAATCCTTAATGCTTAAGTTACCACAAACAGGTTTGTGAATTAAAACAATAACAATAAAAGCAATAACACAAAACTAAATTTTCAGAGGAGGCAGTTACCACATATAGTACTGATTTGTCATCACCAGTATAAACTTACTAACACTCAGAGATCCAGGGCTAAGGAAAGAGGAGTTTAATCCAAACTCAACCATTTACTAGCTGTGTAACCACGAGCAAGTGTCAGTATACCTGTTAGGTCTCAGTTTTCACATGTGTAAGATAGGAGTAACAGTCCATCCTCGTAGTATTGTTATATTACATGACCTGATGTATTTAAAGTGTTGAAAAGTACGTGGTACAGAGTAGACAGTAAAAATGTTCCTGTGAAAGTTTTAGGAGGTAGGTAGTAACACAATAGAGAAACCGCAAAGCTTATCTAACAAGATGGCCTTTACTGTACACCCTAAAGAAACCACTAAAACAACAGAGTTGGATCTTAAAAAGGCAATAAGGGTGATACATGAAATAATTTTAAAAGCCTAGTTAATCCAGAAAAAGGCAGAAAAAGAAGAACAATGAACTGATGGGACAAATAGAAAACAGCAAGATGATAGATTTAAACCTAATCACATCAATAATCACATTAAACATAAATGATCTAAACAGCTCAATTAAAAAGCAGAGACTGTCATATTAAAAAACAAGACCTTAGCTGTATAATGCCTACAAAAAACTTGCATTAAATACAAAGAACAAATGGGGTTAAATGTAAAAGGATGAAAAGAGATAACCATGGTATTACATGGAAAAGAAAGAAAAAGAAAGCTGGAGAGGCTATGTTAGTATCAGAGGAAGTAGTTCAGAGCAAAGAATAGTGCCAGGGAGAAAGAAGGTCATTTCATGATGATGAAGAGATTGGTCCATCAGGAGAACATAAAAATCCTAAATACTAATGAACTAGTAACAGATTTTCAAAAGACATTAAGTAAAAACAGATAGAACTGCAAGGAAAAATAAATCTATAATTCGAGGTGATTTTAATGCCTCTCTCTCAATAATAAACAGGTAGATAAAATTCAGTAGGTATATAGAAGACTTGAACAACACAATCTGTCAACTGAATTTAATTGATACTTAAAGAACACTCCACCTAATAACAGCAAATTAGACATTTTTTTCAAGTGCACATGAAATATTTACAAGGACAACCACGTTCTGGGCCATAAAACAGATCTGAATATTTTGAAAAGAATTCAAGCCACAGATAGTATGTTTTCTAACACAACAGTATTAAATTAGAAATCAATACCGGGAAGATCTTTAGAAAATCTACAAATATTTAGAAATTAAATAACACTCTTCTAAATAACTCATGATAAAAGAAGGGATGAAAGAAATTTTTCTTGATTTGCATTTCTCTGATGGCCAGTGATGATGAGCATTTTTCATGTGTCTTTTGGCTTCATAAATGTCTTCTTTTGAGAAGTGTCTGTTCATATGCTTTGCCCACTTTTTGATGGGGTTGTTTGTTTCTTGTAAATTTGTTTGAGTTCATTGTAGATTCTGGATATTAGCCCTTTGTCAGATGAGTAGATTGCAAAAATTTTCTCCCATTCTGTAGGTTGCCTGTTCACTCTGATGGTAGTTTCTTTTGCTGTGCAGAAGCTCTTTAGTTTAATTAGATCCCATTTGTCAATTTTGGCTTTTGTTGCCATTGCTTAACCCAAATGTCCAACAATGATAGACTGCATTAAGAAAATGTGGCACATATACACCATGGAATACTATGCAGCCATACAAAATGATGAGTTCATGTCCTTTGTAGGGACATGGATGAAGCTGGAAACCATCATTCTCAGCAAACTATCGCAAGGACAAAAAAACCAAACACCGCATGTTCTCACTCATAGGTGGGAATTGAACAATAAGAACACATGGACACAGGAAGGGGAACATCACACACTGGGGCCTGTTTTGGGGTGGGGTGAGCGGGGAGGGATAGCATTAGGAGATATACCTAATGTTAAATGACGAGTTAATGGGTGCAGCTCATCAACATGGCACATGTATACATATGTAACAAACCTGCACGTTGTGCACATGTACTCTAAAACTTAAAGTATAATGAAAAAAAAAAAGAAATTGGTTTTTTTTTTTTCACCATGGAGTGTCGCTCTGATGCCAGGCTGAAGTGCAGTGGCACAATCTCGGCTCACTGCCACCTCCGCCTCCTGGGTTCAAGTGATTCTCCTGCCTCAGCCTCCCAAGTAGCTAGGACTACAGGCTTGTGCCACCATGCCAAGCTAATTTTTGTATTTTTAGTAGAGACGGAGTTTCACCATGTTGGCCAGGATGGTCTCAATGTCTTGACCTCGTGATCTGCCCACCTAAGCCTCCTAAAGTGCTGGGATTGCCACCACGCCTGGCCGAAAGGAAAATTTAAAAGTGTTTTGAGGATACGTGCGGTGGCTCACGCCTGTAATCCCAGCACTTTAGGAGGCTGAGGTGAGTGGATCACTTGAGGTCAGGAGTTCAAGGCCAGCCTGGTCGACATGATGACTCCCCACCTCTACTAAAAATACAAAAATTAGCTGGGCGTGGTGGCATGTGCCTGTAATTCCAGCTACTCAGGAGGCCGAGGCAGGAGAATCGCTTGACCCTGGGAGGCAGAGGTTGCAGTGAGCCGAGATTGTGCCACTGCACTCCAGCCTGCGTGACAGAGTGAGATTCCATCTCAAAAAAACAAACAAAAAAACCCCAAAATGTGTTTTGAATGGAATAAAAATGAAAACACAGAGGAATAAAATTCGTAGGATGATGCTAAAGTTGAACACAGGAGAGAACTGATGCACTAAGTGCCTGTAGTAGGTAAGAAGAGCAGTCTCAAATCAGCTTCCATCTTAAAAAACTAGAAAACATAAAACAAATGAAATCCAATGTATACAGAAGAGAAAGCATAGAAAGCAAGTAGAAATCTGCGAACTTGAAAACAAAGAAATAAAGAAAGTTGATAAAATCAAAACTGATATTTTAGATCAATAAAATTAATAAACCTCTAGCCAGAATAGTCAGGAAAAAAATGAGAAGAAATTACCAATATAAGGATAGAGAGGTGACACTACAATAGTGTCTACAGATATTAAAAAGGTAATAAAGGAATATTACAAACAATGTTATGCTAGTAAATTTGAAAACCCAGAAGAGATGTATAAATTCCTTGGAAGATACAAACGGCTAAAGATTTCTCAAGAATAAATAGATAAACTAAATAGCTCTACACCTATTAAAGGAATTAAATTTTTTGTTTAAACTTTCAAAGAAAGAAAAATTCAGGCCCAGATGGCTTTACTAATGAATGCTATCAAACATTTAAAGAGAAAATAATACCAAGTTTAGGCAAGCTCTTCCAGGAAATTGAAGAGGATGAAATATTTTGCAACTCATTCTTTGAGGTCAGCATTAGCCTGATTCTGAAATCTGACAAAAACATACAAGAAAAGAAACTACAAACTCAAATCCCTCGTGAACATGTAAGCAAAAACGCTGAATAAAATTTTAGCAAATTGATTGTACCAATATATAGAAAGGATAATGATGAAGTGGTCATTTATCCCATGAATATAAGTTTAACTTTTTAAAATCACCATATATAAGTCACCAATGTAATTCACTACATTAGCAAACTAAAAAAGAAAAAACGTGATTATCTCAATAGATGCAGAAAACGCCATTGACAAAATATAACACTATTCCTGATAAAAATTCTCAGCAATCTAGGAATGCAAGAGAATTCCTTAACCTAATAAAGAACATCTATGAAAGATCTATAGATAACATCTCACTTAGTGATGAAGAACTGGATGTTCCTGCTAAGGTCAGAAATAATACAAGAATTTCTGCTCTCACCACTTCTATTCAGCATTATAGTGGAAGTTTTAATTAGTGCAGTAAGGCAAGAAAAAGAAAAAAAATAAATTCAGATTGCAATGAAAAAAAGTAAAACTGTATTTAGAGATGACATAATCATCTATGTTAAAATCCAATGGATTCCATAAAAAACCTATTGGGACTAATAAGTGAGCTTAGCAAGGTTGCATGATACAAGATTAATATACAAATATCTACTGCATTTCTATATGTTGGCAATGAAAGAAGATATTGAATTCAAAAATATGATTTACAATAGCACCACAAAAATGAACTAGTTAGGAATAAATTTGACAAATGATGTGCAAGATCTGTACCCTAATAACTATAAAATATTTCTGAGAGAAATTAAGGAAGACTTAAACAAATGGAAAAATATCCTGTGTTCCTTGGCCAGATGACAGTTAAGATATCAGTTTTGGCTGGGAATGGTGGCTCATGCCTGTAATCCCAGTAATTTGTGAGGCTGAGGCAGGAGGATCACTTGAGCCCAGAAGTTCGAGACCAGCCTGGGCAACACAGTGAGACCCCATCACTACAAAAAACCAAAAACTTAGCTAGGCGTGGTGGTGCATGCCTGTAGTCCCAGAGACTTGGGAGGTTAAGGAGGGAGGAAAACTTGAGACCAGGAGGTCAAGGCTGCAGTGAGCTGTGATTGTGTACTGCACCCCAGCCTGGGTTACAGAGTAAGACCCTGTCACAAAAAAAGAAAAAAAAAATGTAACTTTTCCCAAATGAATCTATAGATTAAATATAATCCCAGTCAAAATGACAGCAGGAGTTTTGTAGAAATCAACAAGACAATTCTAAAATTCATATGGAAATGCAAAGAATCTCAAATAGCCAAAACAATTTTGAAAAATGATAAAGTTTTAGAAACAATAACCTGGTTTTAACACTTATCAGAAAGCTGAAGTAATTAAGACAATGTAGTATTGGTGTAAAGATAGAACAACAAATCAATGGAACAAAATAGGGAGTGTCTGAATAAAAAAATTGCTCACAAATACATGAACAATTAACTCTACAAACTCTACAACTGTAAAGGCAATTCAGTGAAGAGAAAGTAGTCTTTTAAATAAAGGGTGCTAGAGTAATTGGATATTCATATGCAAAAAAATTAATCGATATATCACACCATATACAAAATAAACTATAAAACAGATCGCAGACCAAAACTGTACAATTTTTGGAAGTAAAAAATGTATGAGAAATATCAGTGACACTGGGTTAGGCAAACACTTCTTAGACATGACAACAAAAACATGGTTCGTAAAATAATAAAATAAAAACCAAGATTCTGATAAATCTGATCTCATCAGAATTAAAAGCACTGGTCAGAGAGTGAACAAATAAGCGAAAGTCTGGGAGGAAATACTTGCAAACCACATATCTGATAAAGGACATGAATCCAAAGTACACAAGTAACTTCTGAAACATAATGAGAAGAAAAAATCTAATTTTAAATGAGCAAAAGATTTGAACAGATATATAACCAAAGAAGATATACCGATGGGAAGAATGCACATGAAAAGATGTTCTACATATTTAATCACAAGGAAAATGGAAACTGAAACCTTTAGAAGATACTACTATCTACCAATTAGAATGGCTAAAATAAAAAAGTTGGCTACCACTATACATATATAGTGAAATTTTACATAAATGGATAATGGATGGTAGGAGCCAGGTGTTTCACTGTTCCAGTGAGAGGTTACAGATGATCAAGGGGAGGGGGCTAGACTGATCTTTGTGGTCACGGTTTAGAGTTGAAGACATCAGTTTAAACTCATGTTTAGCTTAATATAGATAGAAGTATTTATAGATATGAATATATACATTCATATATACACATATATTTTCTTCTGTCTGCAGAGGCTAGAAGCAATGAAATCCCAGTAAAAATGAGCACACTAAACTACAAGATCTTGGTTTCTAATACCATTCTTGAAATAAAATAAACTAGGGCTCTTTGGAGAAATGGCTGGTTCTAGGATTGGGGGAGGAAATATACAGGAGGAGCCTGGAGTATTTTGTTTTACCAAAAAGAAAAGAAGTGCTCAAATAAAAACACATTGATGGAGGCATGTCAAAGGAACAGAGGAGCCAACTGAAAGCTCCCACCAGCCTGACATGGTGTTTGTCAGCTTCTTCTATTCTGAAGCTACTGGGTTTTTTTCCTACCTTTTCATACTGTACTCTTTGAAAGGAAGTCACCAAGTGAAGCACTGGCTTAAGAAGTGAAGTTATGCTTCACCTCCTTGATAGTAGAGAATCTGCATATTTTGAATTCTTCTTTCCTATTATTTACCTATTCAACAATTTATATCAGTATGGATAAAAAATAGTTTTTTACATTCTGTGTTATCATCCAATAATACTTTATTTTGTTGCTCAAGTGTTTCCAGCTTTGGTTATTGAGGGTATTTTTTGGAGCAACAAGATATTCCAGGCTCATCATGTGCTGTCCCTATCCCAGAACCAGAATCAGTCAAGGATCTCTGGTTCCTTTTACTGGAGAATAGTATTTAGAACCAAGATCTGGGGGCTCAGTATGTTTATGGCTACTGGTATGTCATTATTTCTAGGCCTTCTCGATGGACAGAGCTAGGATAGATATGTAAAAAAAAAAATTAGCCCATAGTGATACTTCCAACTGTAACCCAACACTACAGTGTATGTTCTAGTCTTCCCCTTTCCATACATGCAAGTTCCATTACCAACAGTAAGAAACCTGGCTTCCACTATTCTCAATATATATACTCATTTATCAAGTCTAGATTGCACAAAAGATTGTTTCAGAGTTGCTAGTCCAGTCATTGCTATGGAATACAACAATGCAGCACTTAGAGATAAGGAGTTCACTTTCTGTAACAGAGGCAGTAGAGAAAGAAAGTTAAGAGCATAGCTGTGGAGTCAGAATTTGAATCTGTCATTTTCAAAGTGTTTGACTTTGGGCAAGTTACGTTGCCCCTCAAGTATCAGTTTCCTCATCTATAAAATGGGAATAATGATGATATCGACTTCACTGGGTTGTTGTGAAGATGAAATCGTCTATTGTATGGTGGCTGCTATATTTTGGATATTTGTTCCTCCAAATCTTATGTTGAAATTTGATCCCCAATGTTGGAGGCGGGCTTAATGGGAGGTGTTTGGGTCATGGGGGTGGGTCCCTCATGAATAGATTAATGTCCTCACCCCAGGGGTGTGTGAGTGAGTTCTGGCTTTATTAGTTCCTGCCAGAGATGGTTTTTTTTTTGTTTGTTTGTTTGTTTTTTTGTTTTTTGTTTTTTTTTTGAGATGGAGTCTTGCTGTGTCGCCCAGGCTGGAGTGCAGTGGCACTATCTCCACTCACTGCTACCTCCACCTCCCGGGTTCAAGCAGTTCTCCTGCCTCAGCCTCCCGAGTAGCTGGGATTACAGGTGCATGCCACCACGCCCTACTAATTTTTGTATTTTTAGTAGAGACGGGGTTTCACCATGTTGGCCATGATGGTCTCAATCTCCTTATCTTGTGATCCACCCGCCTCAGCCTCCCAAAGTGCTGGGATTACAGGCTTGAGCCACTGTGCCCAGCCCTTCCCACCTTGCACCTCCCCCAGTCCCTTGCTTCTGCTCTTGCTATGTGATCTCTGCTCACACTGTCTCCCCTTCAACTTCTGCCATGAGTGGAAGCAGTCCGAGGCCCTCACCAGATGCAGATGCTGGCACCATGCTTCTTGTACAGTCTGCAGAATTGTAAACCAAATAAAGCCCTTTTATTTAGAAATTACCCAGCCTCAGGTATTTATTTTTTTATTTTTGTTTTGTTTTATTTTTTGAGACAGAGTCTCACTGTGTCGCCCAGGCTGGAATACAGTGGTGCCATCTCTGCTCACTGCAACCTCCCCCTCCTGGATTCAAGAGATTCTTTTGCCTCAGCCTCCTGAGTAGCTGGGATTACAGGCATATGCCAGCACACCTGGCTAATTTTTGTATTTTTAGTAGAGACGGGGTTTTCCATGTTGGCTAGGTTGGTCTTGAACCTGTGACCTCAGGTGATCCACCTGTCTCAGCCTCCCCAAAGTGCTGGGATTACAGGCGTGAGCCACCATGCCTGGCCTGTGTAGTGTATAGTAACACTACACAGACTAACAAGAGTAGCTATAGTAAGCATTCAATAAGTAAAAGCTAATTGTTGTTGTAGATGCCTTTAGGAAACTCTCTTTAAGATACTATGTAGAGTGAAAAAAGAGAGAACAAAATAGAATGAATCTTAAGGCCTCAATCATGCCTAGACATTTTCTAACTACTACCAAAGGAACTGTTAACATCAGGGTAAAATGAAACTCTTTTCCTTCTACAACTTTCTGTGTTGTATAAAATTTTACCATGCGCCTGTGTTACTTTATACTTAAAAGGACAATGATTTGGCTTATTAAAAGGTTGATTTAATGTCTCAAAAAGAAAAGGTTTGAAGACAATGTCTGTGAAACTGGTTTTCCTGAGATATATTGCCAAATGTTCTCTGCATCCTGGCCAGCCTGGGAAGCTGGCCCTGCAAGGCAGCATGCCCATGGCCACTAATTTCTCTTATTACTGCCATAGTTAGGTTCCATATCCTATTTTTTCATGGCACTGGAAAGAAACATGGATCCACTAGTAATGTTCTCTTCATTATGTTCTCTCTCTCTTTCATTCATATATTCATTCATTCAACAGATGTTTACCAAGCACCTACCTCGTTCTGAGCACTACAGCAGGCACCAGGGATGCAGCAGGCAAAAAAATAAAACAAAAACGATAAAAAATCTTTATCCTCGTGGAGCTTGCATTATAGTATAGGAATATTTCAAGAATCTATTGCTGCTTAACGAACTATTCCAAAACATAGTGTCCTCAAACAACAACCTTTATTTCATCACAATTCTATGAGTCAGGAATTCAGGGCTCAGCTTGGCAGTTCTTCTGTTCCATCTAGTATTGACTGGATCTCTTCCTTGACTCCCTTCAGCTGATGGGTGATGTTGGCACAGACGGTTCCAGAAGGCTTTAGTCACATGTCCAGAGCTTTGGTACATGGCCTCTTCTTCACCTGGCTAGTTTGGGCCCCCTTACAGCATGGTGGTCTCAGGGCATTTGTTCTTCTAATATGGCTGTGAACTTCCAAGAGGAGGCACCCCAAGGATGGAAGGCAGAAGCCCAGATTCAAGTGAGGGCAAAATAGGCTCCATTTCTTGATGGAGAATGACAATGTCACATTAGAAAACAACATGTGGGATGAAAGTTAATGTTGTAGTCATCTTTAGAAACATAATCTACCTTAGAGAGACAGACAACTAAAAAGACAAATGAGTAAAAATGAATTTTAAGGAGAAAACAAAAGCAGGAAAGGGAATACAGAGTGAGTTTGGGGATGGAGTTGCAATTTTAAGAGGGGCTAGAGAAGGACTGATTGAGAAAGTTACATTTAAATTAAGACTTGAGGCCGGGCGTGGTGGCTCACGCCTGTAATCCCAGCACTTTGGGAGGCTGAGGAGGGCGGATCACGAGGTCAGGAGATCGAGACCATCCTGGCTAACACGGTGAAACCCCGTCTCTACTAAAAATACAAAAAATCAGCCGGGCACGGTGGTGGGCGCCTGTAATCCCAGCTACTTGGGAGGCTGAGGCAAAAGAATGGCGAGAACCTGGGAGGCGGAGCTTGCAGTGAGTGGGGATACCGCCACAGCAGTCTGGCCTGGGCGAAAGAGTGAGACTTCGTCTCAAAAAAAAAAAAAAAAAAAAAAAAAAAGACTTGAATGAAGTGATGATAGTTGGTGTAAGAGCATTCCAGGAAGAGGAAACAGCAAGTGCAAGGCCCTGAGGCAAGAGCATGCCAGGCATGTTCAGGACAGCGCAAAAGCCAGTATATGTGGAACAAAGAGAGTGAAGTTTCTCTAGAGTAGCAGGAGATTAAGTCATATAGGTAATGGGGTCAGCAGACTGTGGACAGTCTTTTACTTCAGCTTTTACTCTGAATTAACTGGGGAGCATTTGAATGTTTTTTGCGCATGGAAGGTATACGACCTGACTTGTGTTTTCACAGGATCCTTCTGTCTGCTATCCTGAGTATAGACAGTAGAAAGCTATGTAGTAGTAGGGAGACCAGTTAGAAGGCTATTGTAATAATTCAGGCAACAGATGCTAGTGGCTTGAGTTAGGGTGGAAGCAATGGAGATGGTGATAAGTGGTTGGATTCTGGAGATATTTTTAACATATACTCAATAAGATTTGCTGGTGAATTAGATAGATGGTGTTTTGGATAGAGAGGAACCAAAGATGACTTAAAGGTTTTGACCTGAGCAACTGGAAGGATCGAGTTGGTGTTTACTAGATGAATAAAACTGTGAGAAGGTCAGAATTGGAACAGAATAGCAGAAGATCTTTTTAAAGTTTGAAATGACTACTATGCTTCCAAGTGCAGCAATTTAATAGGAGCTGCAACACACAAGTTAAGTCCTCACTTAACGTCATCAGTAGGTACTTGGAAACTTCAGCTTTAAGGAAACACACAATGGAACCAAATTACTGCAGGCTAATTGATATAAACAAGAGCTAAGTTCCTATGGCATATTTCTGGTCACAAAAACATCACCAAACTTCTAAAGAGTAAAACACTTCTAATATTAAACACTGAAATAAATGCGAACTATATATACTTTTAAGAAAGATTAATAAAAACAAGATAATTATTACCCAATTATTCCAGATGAGGGTTGAGGGTGGCCAGAGTCCACCCCAGCAGCTCAGGGTGCAAAGCGGAAGCCACCCTGGCCAGGACGCCATACCCTAGCAGGGGGCACCTCACACACACACCCACACAGGCTGGGACAATGTAGACACACCAATTCACCTGACATGCACATCTTTGGGATGTGGGAGGAAACCAGAATACCCAGAGAAAACCCACACAGACATGGGGAGAACATGGGAACTCCACACAGACAGGGGCCCCGGGCAGAAATCAATTTTTTTCCAATCAACAGTATAATGAAATGACACTGAATGGAATGATGTTATTTGAGGACCAACTGTCATTGCGTGTATGTATACATGTACACATTTTTATTTTACTTTTTATTAAGTCTTTATTATGTTATTATTTATTTATTTCAATAGGTTTTTGGGGGACCACATGGTGTTTGGTTACATGAGTAAGTTCTTTAGTGGTGATTTCTGAGATTTTGGTGCACCCATCACCCACATGCACACATTTCTAAATGCATAAAAAATTTTTGGAAATATACATTAAAAATTATTAACAGTGGTTACCTCTGGGTAATAGGAATCTTTGGAAACTGGCACTGGAATGTTAGAGGAGGAAGTAATATATGTTTTTGTTTTTTGATACCTTTCTGTATCATGTATGTACGTATATATGTATTACTATGTTCTATGTTACTTTTATGATTAAAAATTACTTAAAATTCTTGTGGTTGGTGAAATGAACCAAGTCACTGCAAACAGAAGTCTTACTAGGAAAGTCCACATTGGATCAGGGGTTTATAAGGTCCTTTCAAGCTCTGACATTGATTTCTGCAACTGGGTGTTAACTGGTAAGTCTCCCCGTCATTTCCTCCATAGGCTTCTGTGAAATTTGGTGTGTGAACAGCCTCTCTAATTCATCTGCTTCATCTTGAAAACAGTACCAAGAGCTCTCGGTGCTTAAATACCTCACAGGAAATTTGAGGTTGGATGAGATAAGGTGTTCAAATACTTTGAGTTACCACAAACACAGGTGCTCATGTAGGCACAATATTATGAGTCCTGGAATATTAACAGACCTAGTAAAAAGAAGCTGTTTCTGCCTTTTGATCACATAGGCATTTTGATACTCATGAACTCCATTTAGTCTGCGGTGGAATGAGTGTTTCTCCACAAACAGTATTAATTTTAGCATTTTTGTTCATGCCTTCTGTCAAACAAGATTTCTTCAGCCTTTGATTTTTATCAAGATTCACTTTATTCTTCAAAGCATTTAATTCAAGGTTCACTCCATCAGTGGGTGGATTAGTTGAGTAACTGAAATACCAGTGTTGAATGCCATAGTAGTTATAATATTTCTCTTCACAGGAGATATATTTACCAAAGTCATGTACTAATGAACAATGAAGTGACTGTCCAAATAGCAGACACCTGGTAAACACTGAATGGAAAATAAACATGGACAGCTCTACAAAATGTTTACTCAATGACTCTTAAATATTCTTCTAAGGTCACTATTATGTGTCAGGTGCCGTACTGGGTGCTAGGAATACAGGAAGGAGACGCGTTGTCTTTTCCCTCATGAAGCTTACATTCTACTAGAGAAATGTCACATTGTATTTTAAATTTTTCACACTGGTTCTAATGAAGTATTTGAGAAGCTATGTGAAGAGGAATTTGGAAGTTGCTGGCAGTTTCTGGAGATTATGTAGTTGATTACTATTATTCTGAAAAACAAAAAAAATCACCTTTAGTCACCCACAGAGGTAAAGAGAAAACCAGAAAGTCACCACCAATCAGAATCACAAAAGGCAGTCAGTGGAAAAGATTGCAAGTTTCAGGAAAAATGAGTTGTCTTAATATGTAAAAAAGCCTTTCTTAGAACTGGAACTTACAAGAAATGGGCTGAAAATTCTAAAAGCAAACAACCTTAAAGAATAATGTCAAACAGAGGCTGGATATTCATGAATATGATTGGTTGGGAGCATGGCTTCCGCCTACAGAAAGAGGTTGAAGTAGATTACCTCTGAGGAGCCTTCCTAGTCTAATTGAATAAGTACTGCAGTTATGAAATTATATTTTCTCTAGAGAACCCTTTCTCAACAACCAAATAACCCAAGTCGCTAATATTCTATTTATATTTTATAATTTCTTAACCAAGATCTCAAATAAGAACTAAGTAAAGAAAAAAACAGGCCTTGTTAGTTACTGAAGAGTAAATAGAAGTATAGTTTTCACTAGACAGTCTTGCCTGAAGCTCAATTAGAAATCTTACCATTCACTGGTAAAACATCTGCCAAAGTTAACAGGTAAACCACTAATTGGTAAGCGGTCACTCCAGGGCCCCTGCCATCATCACCATCCCCAACTCCCAGGAAATCTTGCAAAAAATTTTCCCATTGTTCTGCCTCCCTTTTCTAACTAATTTGCCAGCCAAATTTCTGTTTTCAGTACTAACTTTAGATGACTCTCCTCTCATGACAGCTTGACTTGTCACTCCTTATTTCTATAATCTATCAAAAATAGGACCTCCACAGTTAAAAAAAAAAAAACCCTCATAATTTGTATGGCAGATCCTCCAAGTTGACTGGTACTCAGGCACCAAGTCAGTCCCAAACTAAGGAATATTGATTGCATCAGTTCTTCCAGCTTTGATTCAAAGATTGCTTTTGGCAGGCTGGGCACGGTGGCTCAGGCCTGTAATCCCAGTGCTTTGGGTGGCCGAAGTGGGCAGATCATGAGGTCAGGAGTTCGAGACCAGCCTGGCCAAGTTGGTGAAACCCCGTCTCTACTAAAAATACAAAAATTAGCTGGGTGTGGTGGCGGGCACCTGTAATCCCAGCTACTCAGGAGGCTGAGGCAGGAGAACCGCTTGAACCCGGGAGGTGGAGGTTGCAGTAGTGAATGGAGATCGTGCCACTGCACTCCAGCCTGGCAACAGAGCAAGACTCCGTCTCAAAAAAAAAAGATTGCTTTTAGCAAAGACATTGACTCAGTTTCAAATCATGGTGAGACATCAAAGGAAAAAATTCTTGGTTTGGTTCCTTTAGGAAGAGACCCGGTTAACCTGACATCTGAATTCATGGCACAGTTACATGTGACTGCTGACTCCTCACCTTGCAGCCACCCCAATTTGGGGAGTCTCCAAAACAGTATATCAGGTGCTTCTTGTGCCCAGAACAACCTCTGGGGTTGGGATAATAGTAATAGCCACAGTAGCTAACATGTATTGATTATTTGCTGTTTTCTTGGAATTTTACGGTTTTATATATAACCTCTTATTGAATTCTTGCAGTGGTCCTATGATTACCATTTTACAGGGCCTGGGCCTTAGAAGAGTTAAGTTGAACTGCCAAAGGCCAGTCGGTGAAAGTAGCAAGGCTAGGATTTGAACCCAGGACAGTGTGCTTTCAGCACTGCAATGGCTGGAGACTGTATGGTGTGGGCCGTGGGAGGGAGCTGGGCTATCGTGCCTTTGCCTTTGTTTGCTCCATGCCTTGGCTCCCCTGCCCTGGAGCTCTCAGTCTTGCATATTCTTAACGTATATGCTTTCATTTCATCTTGTTTTGTTTTACATTAGGGGCATTTTTTACAATTCAGCTAATGTTTCTACTTAATGCATTCAGAGAGTGAGAAGTTCCAAAAAAGTTTCCTTTCTGTATATGTAGTTAGGTTTTGCTAAAGAAAGGTGAGTTAAACTGGTGATTTACTAAAAATAAGATTGATGAGGGAACCTTATCTCGTTTTGAAGATGACAAATATGGAGACTTTTCAACCACGGAGGAAGACAGAACGCAGTAGCGGAATGAAAAGGAGATTAAAGCAATAAGGAAAGTAGCTTTCTGCCCCTTGACAGAAGACGTGTGTCCTATAGAGAAGCTTCTCAGAGTGCTGGGGTGGGGGTGGGGTAGAGGCATGGTGGGAGGCCAAGTGCTCCTCAACCCCTTCCCGCTCTCAAGTAGTTCCACTTGGCTCTGTCTTATGTATTAAAAGTCTACATAAACTATTGTTTGGAAATACAATTCTGCTGCTAAAAGTATGACATTGTACAATGGTTATTTTACTGCTGGTTACTGGTCAGAAAAACATTTTTTTTTTCTGACACTGGAACTAAACCCTATGAATAAATCCAACTAATTTCATCCTCCATCCTCAGATGCCCAGGCAACTAGCAGAGTCCTGTATATGATGAGGACTAGCAATAAGTTGGTTGAGTACATTTTTCCCAAAATATTTTATTAATAGTACAAGTTATTGATTGCGTCCCAGGAAGTTTATGGCAAAAAAATTAAACATACTATTTTCACTGGTGTTGATAAGACTTGTGGTTCATTTAGTCCAAAGCTTTCTGGGTTCTCCACCCTAAGCATTTTATTTTAGTAATTGATCTGGGTTGAAATCGGTCTAAAGTGGAATTATTATCTCCAAATTATTCCAAAGTTTTACTAAACTTAATTTCTTGGGCTGCTTTGCTGCCTAATACAACAAAGATGTTGAAGTATACCAGGCACACTATTCTGATTTCCCAGATAACCTTTGAGTGACTGATTCAGAGATGACGGCAGCTTTGTTCTTGTAAGTGACTATTTAAGGAACACTTTTGGCATCACAAATCACAAAAAAAAAAAAAAGAAAAAACATAGGGAAAAAGTTCAGTTGAATAGTCCTCAGAGGGAAGCAGAAATCAGGGACTCCATTCAAAGTCCTTGGACACATGTAAATGAGGTTTGCCTGAAGCCCCTAAAGTTTCCTCCCTTCAATCTGTTCACCCCTCTGTGTCACCCTTCAGAGCCCTCAGGCCTCTCCTTTCCTTTTGTGTACTGAAGAGAATTACACACATTCAGTCACCTTAAGATGTCACAGGTGGATGCAATTTAATGTGTCACCCTCCCCTTGCAAAAGAGCTGCTAGGCAAGAAAAATCAAGTCAATAGTGTCACATTAGTGACCTGGATATATGTGAACCACTTTTTTTTCCTTTTTAGAAATTTTTAAATCAAGTCAGGTGAGGTGTGATTCTCTCAGCATACTTATATTGACAAAGCATGCCTAAAAAACTGGCCTGTGCCCTCGGTGAACTTAACGTGTAGTGGTGGCATTTACAGGCTGCTTTTCTTCTTCTAGATACAATTTATGAGGATGCTCCCCAATACTATCTGTAGCTATCCCTGCCCCAACTACTCAGAGAGAATCTGTCAGAGATGTGATCTGAATCCACTAAAGCCCATATGGCAAATTTCTTCAGCATACCAGAAAAAAAGCAAACTTTAGACTGACATTCAAGGCCATCCATGATCTGACCACATCTGCCTTATTAACCTTATTTCTCAGTAATCCCTAACCATATACAAATGAAACAGTTTCAAGTTTTTAGGTAGACCCTATATTTTCATGCTTTTTAAGGTATCAATTACAATGGAAACAACCCCAAAACTTAGTGGTTAAAACAATATGCATTCATTTTCCTATTATCAGTTACTACAGGTCAAGAATTTAGGAGCGGCTTAGCCATGCGTTTCTGGCTTGGAATTTCTCAGAAGGTCGCAGTCATGCCTAGACTTGAGGGTCTGCTGTCAAGGTGTCTCACTAGTAAGTTGGGGCTGGTTATTGGTGAGAGGCCTCAGTTTCTTTCCACATGGATCTCTCCCGGGACTGTCTGAGTATAGCTACTGTCTTCCCCCTAAGTGAGTGATCCAAGAGAGGGAAACAGCAAGGGTGTGCTATCTTCTTATGACCTAGCCTCATGTGTCACAGAGTATCACTTCCATTATATTCTCTGAGTTAGAAATGAATCACTAAGTCCAGCCCACAATCAATAGGAGGAGAACTAAGCTCCACCTTTGAAGGGAAGAGTGTCAGAGAGTTCGTGAACGTATTCTAAATCACCATCCTGCTCTCACCCCTTTGCTCATTCTGTTCCTGCTGCTCAGAATGCTTTTTCCCATATCCGCGGAGCCCAATCAATCTTACGTCTTTCGAGACCCAGTTCAACTGTTACTTCCTCCAAAAATCCTTCCCAAATGTCTCCTAAGAGCTTTCCTTTCTTTTCATTCCCACTATATTTTCTATATATATATTTAAATTTTTTAAATTTTTTTATTTTTTTGAGACTGAGTCTCCCTCTGTCGCCCAGGCTGGAGTGCAGTGACGCGATCTTGGCTCACTGCAAGCTCCGCCTCCCGGGTTCACACCATTCTCTTGCCTCAGCCTCCTGAGTAGCTGGGACTACAGGCGCTTGCCACCACGCCTGGCTAATTTTTTGTATTTTTAGTAGAGACGGGGGATTCACCATGCTAGCCAGGATGATCTCGATCTCCTGACCTTGTGATCCGCCCACGTCGGCCTCCCAAAGTGCTGGGATTACAGGCGTGAGCCACTGCGCCCGGCCATATTTCCTACTTTTTTTTTTTTTTTTTTAACTACACTTGTTATTTTAGATGGTAATTATTTGGTATTCCAAGCCAGGGTTTGTCAACTCTGGCATTACCAATGCTTTGGGCTAGATAATTATTTGTTGTGGGGATCTTGTCCTGTGTATTACAGGATGTTTAGCAGCATCCCTGCTCTCTTCCCACCAAACACAAGCAGCAACTTCTGCCCCTAGTTGCAACGATAAAAAATGTCCTCAGACATAGTCAAATGTTTTGTAGTGGGCAAAAAAAATCACCCCTGGTTGAGATCATAGTTCTAGGCAATTATGTTCTGTGATTCATTTTGAATGTCCAACTCATGACTCTGAAAGGCCATTCTAACAAGCTAGGAGAGGAACAGACTGTATTCTTTCAATCTTGATGTTGCTGAGGACCCCTGAGTTTTCCTGTCAACCTTTCCTAGGCATTCTTCAGTCTTCTGAGTGATTCCAATAGCCTATCAATAAATTCACCCACCAGGTGCAGTGGCAAACGTCTGTAATCCCAGCACTTTGGAAGGCTGAGGCGGGCAGATCACCTGAGGTCAGGAGTTCAAGACCAGCCTGGCTAACATGGTGAAACCCCATCTCTACTAAAAATACAAAAATTAGCTGGGCATGGAGGCACATGCCTGTTGTCCCAGCTACTCGGGAGGCTGAGGGAGGAGAATGGCTTGAACCTGGCTTGAAGGGGAGGTTGCAGTGAGCCAAGATCACGCCACTGTAGTCCAGGCTGGGCAACAGAGATTTTTTTTTTTTCTTAAAATAAATAAATTCACCCACCTTTTTTTTTTTCTTCATTTTCAGCTTAAGTTAGTTTCTGTTGCCTTCTACCTAAAGAAATGTAATTAATGAAAACCAACTCATACTTCAAGGTCTGGTTCAAATACCACTTCTTCTAGTTGTCCCAGATGTCTCTGGATAGAATTTATCTTTTCCTCTCATTCATATTTTTTTTAGTGCTTTCTGCAGCCTGACAGTGGAGTCTATCTAGGTTTACATATGCTCAAATGTTCCTTCAACCCAGGGCCAAGCATTATGCACAGAATAATATAGGCTGGATCTAATTGCGAAGGAAATGGATTTTCATTTAGGGCTTTAATGCAAAGGAATACATCAAGTGACCACATTATTGGGGAAAAAAGAGTTTGGAGGCTAGTCTGGCAAACCTTGGTCTCAATGCTTTTTTGCTATTTCACGTTTATCAGAGGCTGTTGGTATACTGAGGATGAGAGCACTTTCTTCAATAACTGATTAGGTTCAAATCCTGTCTCCACTTACTGGGAGACTGTGAGCAAGTTACTTAATTGTTTTGTGCCTCCAATTACTAATCTGTAAAATGGGGATTGTTAAAATACTACCTCATGGGGTTAAAACATAAAACAGATAAACTTAGAGCTGCTTTGGCCGAATTAGGAGAGATCCAGAGACTCCCTCGCCTGGCATCACCCTACTGGTTGCCACCTCCAAAGGCATCAACTCAGGGACTTAGGGCTGTCTAGATCAATTTGAGACAAACACCAGTAGCCATCCCAGTTGTTAACTAGCCATGTTGTCTAGAACAAAGTATTTACTCACCTGTTTAATGTTAATAAGGAAGTTGAACAGGTGAGTAAATACCTTGTCCAAGACAACGTGGCTAGTTAATGGTAGCCAGGGGCTGAGTGCTCATTCTCCTAACTCCGTCAGCTCTAGTTCTGATGCCAACTATTCCAGCTTAACCCGTCTTACTTTCTTGAACTAGCATTCAAGGTCCTTTATGTGGTCCAGCATATCCCATCTCTCACCTACTGCCACATTTGCTTCAATCATGCCTACTTGTTTTACCTACAATTTACTTCACAATACGCTCATTCCATTTCTGCCCAGCCAACTGCCTTATCCATTCATTCCTTTCCACTTCTATGACTACTAACCTCCCTTTGAATGCTGCAAAATGAAACTCCTCCAGGAACCCATTGGATGAATTATCTTCTATTTTACTCATCCCTTCTAGATTTGAAAACCCTATTATTATTAATCCTTATATCTTTGCAAGATATTCATAGTATATACTTTTGCACTTCTTAACTCGTTAGTTTTTTGAGGCAGGGTCTCACTCTGCCCAGGCTGGAGTACAGTGACTCGATCACAGTTCATCGCAGCTGGAACTCTCGGCTCAAGTTACAAGTTATCCTCCCACCTCAGCTTCCCAAGTAGCTGGGACTGCAGGCATGTGCCACCACACATGGCTATGTTTTAATTATTATTATTTTTTGTAGAGACAAGGTTTCACTACATTGCCCAAGCTGCTCTTGAACTCCTGGGCTCCAGCAATCTGCCTGCCTTGGCTTCCCAAAGTACTGGGATTATAGGCATGAGCCACCGTGCCCAGCCTTAACTCAATCCGTCACAGATCTTTCACAGCACTTAAAATGAGATGCTAAATTGTGTAATACTGATTACTCTTTCATACTGCCCACAGTGTTTTATGTATTTTTTAATCTTTATAACCTAAGTTTCCCAGTGGCAGGTAGGGATTGCTTGTATCCAGACAGATTTATGTTAGATATATGGGAGGCAGGTCAAACCATGCTTCATCTCCATAGTCTCTAATGATTGGTTCTACTCACCGGAATTCACGTGAGCTTAAGAATAGGCTGTCTTTTAATTTATAAGCCCCAATAGTGCCAAATATAGAGTTCAAGAGACAATGAACAATAAGTATTTGGATACACTTTTAGGTATTTCCTAAACTTTTATGCACTGTGAGCCTAACATGTTCACATCAAGCAAGAAATGAAAATAGGAGAGGGGTTATAAGTGACTAAGTTACTGTGTGTGTGTTGGGTCTCTATCAGCTGTATCCTCTTCCCTCTTCATACACGTGTTACATACTATATGTCAACCTATAGAAACAAGGCAGGAACTTAAGTATTAGGTCCTAGACTATGTGTTACATGCATTACCTTATTTAATAAACACAACTATATTATAAGGTTTTTTTTTATCTTAAACATTAAAATAAAAAACCCAAATGAGGTTAAAAAAAAAAAGCCCCAAATCATATAGCTAAGTCATGACAGAGCTAGAATTTAACCCAAGTCTAACTCCAGAGTCCGTAGTCAACTACCATGCAGTATATGACCCAGAGCAAGTCTTCCACTCTTGTGTGTGTTAAGGGGGGCTACTGAGAGAATATGGTAATGATTAATTTATATAAAATATTTAACACAGTATAGTATCTTACACATATTACCCAATAAGCTGTACTCACTCTCATTACAGTATACTATGACAGGGTTAAATGTCAATAAAACATGCTTTCTGCCCTTGAAAAATCTGATAAGATGTGGTGGGTAGCCTGCTAAAATAGCACTCCAGTGGCTCTAATTCAATGGCTCTTTACCCATGAAGACGATGAGATATCACACCCATCATTACATTGCATGCAAAAGTGATTTCCGAATCAGCTGACCTGGAATTACTCAAAAGGGAAATTATCGTGGTGGGCATTCCTCATTTAATCATATGAGCCCTTTAAAAGCAAAGCACTTTCTTCAATTGGGAGCAGCTGAAATAGTCAGAGATTTGAAGCATGAGGGAGGCTTGATGCACTGTTGCTGACTTTGAAGACCGAAGGGGCTACTAGCAAGGGCCGGAGCACAGTTTCTAGGAGCTAAGAGTGACCCCTAGCCAACAGCTAGTCCTACAAGCACAGGAACTGAGAGTGAAGTACCTAGTAGGGCATGGCAGGTTGGAGCTGGGTTGTAATGGTTTCTGTAAACTATGGAAGGGGATTTGAAATTTTTATTCTGCTCCATTGGAAGCATATTTTAAAAGAATTTTTTAAAACTAACTGAAAATACCTGAAGAATCTAACACACTATGTGTATGAGTATGTATGTATGTATGTTATATCTATAGTATTATATTTTATATACATAAAACACACATTTTAATATTTGAGGTAAGTGAATAATTCCTCTTACTACTATTCTCCCTGTTAATATAAAATTATAAAATTGCTACAACTAATTCAGTTAAATGTTTATTAAGATTAAGTTCTACAAAAATGCATCCATTCATAATTTTGAGTAGATAAACAAAATATAAAAATATTTTTAAGCAAGACACCAAAAAGTATTCATTTTCAACAAAACAATTTATTTTGATATCTTGAACCATCTGACATAATTATGTATATACAAGATCTTTTCAATCTACCTCTCCTTTAGTAGTTACATTAAGAGATTACCATGTCTCAAGAGCAAACTGCTGGAATTTAAAACACAATTTTCCATAAGATCTGGAATGATCTTTTCTAATTATTAAACGTGTCAGCATTAGTATTTTCTCCCATACTCAGATAAAGAAAAATGTTTGTTAAAATTTCTGTAACTTTTTTTGTTGTTAATTGAATGTAAAGGTAGTTTGTTTCTCTAAGCACATTGATTAGTAGGCCTCTCTCTGTAAAGTATTTTTTTAATTTTAAATATTTCTGATCACACTACAGATTTAGAAATAAAATGCTGAAATAATCCAACTGAGCCAGGATTGCTCATTTCTCTCCCCCACTCTGAGGCGCTCTGCAGGAATAAAGTACTGAGGGAGGTACATTAAAATAAGGAGACTCCTTGTGGCTAGTAGCGACTGAATATCCTACGTACCTAATTTACTGCAGTGGCTTAAGCTCTGGGGAAATTCTGGATCACTAAACTAAAAGTAAGGTTATGTCAATGGATTTTTAAAAGAGTATACTTTAAGAAGGATTATATGTAAACATTTTAATAATGTTAATTATACCATGGCTTATCAGAATGTTAGTCTTATAATAATTAGCACCAGCTACTTGGTATGTCTTTTTCTGATTAAACTGATTCCACCACACTGTCTACTTCAATCAGTCTAGTCTAGAGGAGCACTTAAAGAGAAAAAGTTAGAAAACGTCTTCATGAATCAGTTCTTTTAATGTACAGAAGTTTCAATTACATGACTTGGGCTCGCTTACCAAATACCTTTGGTACTTTAAAAAATGTATGTCCATGATATAATACTTTTTAATCCAAAAGTCTGACCCATATTAAAAAATAAAAATTATAAACAAAGCCAATTACACAAGCATGTCAGAAAATCAACACACCCTAATATATTTTCAAATGATGACTTGTCTTTTAAAAACCCAAAGGTAACATCTTTCCCAGAGTTAACTAAGAACATCTATGATCCAGAATATGCAGATTTCATTTAACTATTAATAGCAATGAAGCAGTTGCACACAAACATGTAAACATATGTAAACATTTAAAAATAGTGATGCCTTTGAAATGTAAGGGGAAAATGTCAACTTTACATTATAATTTAAGACTAACAGTGAAGATGGCTACTAGAATATAAATGGTCATCAGTTAAAGTTTAATTACTATTCAATAATTCACTCTTTAACAAGAAAATGAGTTTTGATAAATTCAGACCACAGGGACAGATATTTTTCTTGCAGAGCAGTTCTTGCTCATGGTGCAATGCAGTACTCTGTCCATGTAGTATAGTTGTGCCTCATTCGTGGTAACACAGGTGATTACATTCAAATGGCATTTAACATAAATTGCACCAAACTGCCCTATAATTTCATTTTGGACTGAATTAATTAACTTCTCAGTAGGGGGCTGAGGTGCTGAACATAAGCCTAAAGAAATACTTGACTGCTTAACCTACCTTACGTGAGGTATCTCTAATTCAAGACAGCTTCCATTTTTAATAAATAGTAGCAGGTAAAATGCATTTAGTAAGATCCCAAAGGGTAAAGATAAGGCATTTATAATAAATGGATTTAGTTTTCCACATATATTCACATCCATTTAAAAGAAGTCAGGGGGCACTGCAGACAGTTAAGGAGGATTTAACAAAACTCAGCAAGAGTTGGCACGCCTGATATTTTTGAAAGACTATTTACCTTAGGAGGTGTGCATTTAGAATTTTAAAAATGCCTTCTTTGCCCTTGCAAGATATTAAAATACAAAAGTTACCACTTAGTAGCAATTAAAAATAATACTATCTTAATGCTGACTACGTAATTTATATCCCAGAGCTTGAAATGTAAAGGTAATTGTCTAAGACATTATCTTTAGATCATCAGAATTATCATATCATAAAATATCTATTCTGTTTCCCCAATTATATTATCAAGAGCTGACAGCTAACTCTTTGTTTCAAGTTTATAGTCTTCATATATCAAGAAACAAATTAAAAGGACAAACAAGGAATGTGAAAGCTCATAAAAAGCTGAAGCAGCTTTCATATTACATGGCATATTTATTTGTCATAAACTTCTGGTTTAAGAAATGAGAAAACAAACAATTCTTTTGAAACACTCTTTGACACAGTGCTTAACTATTTTTAGATTTTTTTTTTAAACTGTAAAGGAAGGGAGGAAGGAGAGACAGAAGGAAAGTGGGAAAAGGGGATGAGACAGAGAGAGAGGACAGGGGGCCAGAGAAAGAAACAAAGACAAAAAGGAAGGAAGGAGGGAAGGAGGGAAGGAGAGACGGACAGAGGGAATGAAGGAAGGAAGGAAGGAAGGAAGGAAGGAAGGAAGGAAGGAAGGAAGGAAGGAAGGAAGGAAGGAAACCAACTCTGTATTATAACTACACTCCTTAGGTAAGGGGTAAATTAGCATTTCAGGAGCTGAAGACACCAGACCCATTTCAAAGACTTGTAACATACAGTAAGCTGGGCCCCCCAGAAAGAGACCGAATAATTTGGTGGGGAGGGGGTGGTGGTCCTTGCTCAGGCTTTTAAATGGTTCTAGGTAAAAAGGGCTTCAGTCCTGTTTCAAAGTTCTACTCTGAGGGCACAACTGCTAGGTAATTTCTGTATGAATACTTTCTTTTTCTTATACACCTTAAGTCCTTCCTGCTGTTATCTGCATGAGGAAAAATGACAAGAATATAATCTGGAAGTTTTAATACTGATTTGTAATAAAGGAAGGCATCAACTAGGAAAAAAAAAAGAATGCTTAGATGCCAGCTTCAAAACAATTTTCCCTGCAGCATCTTCTAGCTCAATAATTTAGTGGCAATGACAGTCACAAATGCTGTCAAAAACAGCAATGAAGTTTTAAAAAATAACCCAAAAATTCAAACAATAATATCCTTTAGATTTTTAATGTCATTTATTGAAATGGCAATCATAACAGAAACTTATGAGAGCCTTCTAGTTAGAAAAAATAAGTTTACTTTTTAAGGTTTCCATACATGTGATGATCTCTACATGCTATCAAGCAGGCATATAGTACTTTCTTCTCACCAAAAACTCTGTCTGTCCTGATGTTACCAGTCACAAGAAACCTTTTGTTATCATTACTCCCTCAAGATTCAATTCTTACTAGGAGTCCTGGGCAAACACAAAAGTGTCCTGGCAGTTACATCATTCTCTATAAATGGAAAAGACCCCGCTATCTGAAAATAATGAAAGGCTCCATTTAAATTAATGTGGTTTTTTGGTCAAGTGTTCATTTTGTTTTGTAATAATGTAGTTCTGATCCAAATAGAGTTCTTGCTAGCTTTAAAAAGATCTCAAGAGATTATACACAGGGCAGCAATTTAATTCTTAAATTTTTATTTCTTGCAATGACATTTAGGGTTCAGTGTGATTTGAGATTTTTAGTGCTGTTGCTGACACCTTATGGAAACTGTTTTATTTGGAAATTCTAATTAGATTTTTAAAACTGTTCTGCTCTTGTTTACAAAAAGCATTATTATAAAAAATGGATTTTTTGTTCCTTTAAGGTATTTTTCTGCTATTTATTCCTCACTTGACTTTATAATCCTGTTTGGGTCACTATGATTAGTTGCTATGGAAATTACCTCCTATGGAAATGATTCCAATGTCACTGTTGTAAGAATATGACATTTAATGAAAAATACCACTAGCAGACATCAACTCTTACTAGGAAAAGGAAATCTAATTAAAATTTTAAAAAAGAATTCTGAAAATTATTTACCATGGCCAACTTTTCTGATATTTTTGAATCTCTCATCTTCTTTTTAAATAAGTATTAAATGAATTTTAAGGTGTTGATCAGCTACTCACTTCCCTAAATTCCAAAGTCACAATGGAAATTAGCACCACACACAGAAAATTGAATGTAAAGAGCATTTCATCTACCATTTCTCTAAACTAGTAAGTGTTATGCTTCATTTATGAAAGTTAATGTCAACAGTATTTCAGGGCTCATCAAGGAAACAAGTTTGAATAGCACATTACAAATTCCCTTTAAAGATGAAGAATTTAATATTCTAAAATTTATCCCAGGAATTTAAAAGGTCAGGCCTATAAACTAGTGAGTTAAACAATAGATGAGAGCCAGTGAACCATTAGATGAGAATTCCAGAATGCTAAGAAAATTTTCTTGGGTGGATTCTATAATTTGTGGTTTGAATAAAACCTTTGAAACATTCCATTAGTATTAAAATTCTCACAATGAGAATATGGTTCATATTTAACACATTTTAAATTACTAGACAGTCTCTCCCCAAAAGAAATTTTAATGCTTTATTCTGCCTAGGGCTTATTCACTGCCTGGTACTAATTCAGGAATAAATTAACCCTTCCAACAATTAGGATATTGTCTAGAAACTGCCTCTTGCACACTGCTGGAGAAATCACTTACATTCTGCAAATCAGGAGTAAAAGAGAAATCCACTTCTTCATTATAAAATGTTTTTCTATACCTAATAGCTTATTAATTATTGGTATAAATCACTATATTTACCTATATAATTACACATTATTCTATAATGCCTCTGAATTAAGCTTCACAGTTATAGATTTTGTTAAATGTTTTATCATTAAGAGTTTTCTATACTTGTGCCTGCAGCCATGATCTAGGGTCCAGAATGTCTTTGATGGATTTCTGCCTTGGAGCTGGCACTGGCTTGGCTTCAAAATTGGTTTTAGTGTCTGTGTGCTCACCATCACTTAATCTATTTCTCCTGGCAGGCAGAAGTTTTCGAGGAGCAGCCATTGGTTTCTGTAAGTGATGCATTAGAGTTGATAGTTTGGTATCCAAAGACGATGTCTGAGATACACTTGTTTTTCCCCAGTTGTCCTTAACCAATTGATCTGTGTTACTCTGTGATTTTAAGCTGAATGGAAGTTTATCAGAAGGAGGAAGGGGAGCTTGTCTCTTTTTCCCTTTTTCATCATGTAATGGCTCACTTGCAGGATACAGTACCTTTTTCTGGATGACCATTTGATGGTTACCATCAAAGAGTGTGGCCCAAGGAGGTGGTAAGGATTCTTCATGCTGACCAATAAGGAACTGCCCATTTGTCTCTTCAATTTTTTTTTGTATTATATCCGTTAAACTTTCAAGTTTCATAGGTGAATCAATGCCTATAATAATTTTAAGAAAAAAAAACATGAAAAAATTCAAAAGCAGTATGTACTTTATCTAAATAAGTTCTTTTCCAAACTAGTATGCTATATACAATGGTCATCAAAGACTATGATAAGGAAAACGTTCACTTGTAAAAATAACCACACCATCAGAACTAAAAAGATCATGCGCTGCACTAATCATACATTATATATGTAAACATACACATAATACATAGTATATAAAACATATATAACATACATATAATTTACATAATACATACACATGTATAAATATATTCCTATATAAATTAGCAAAATCCATCTTTCAAAGAAGTGGAGTTATATGAGTTTTCTAAAAAATTCTATAGATTAAGTATTTATGAGATAACATTTCCTGGATTTAAAACCTTATTCTGACTGCTAGGTAAGAGATTTCCTTTTTTACAAAAGCTAGATATATATTAGGATGACTGCATTTGGATGAGTATTCTTTCCTGTAGACCAGCAAAGTCTCTGTTAAAAGGGAAAATGCTTAAAACCAAAAACCCAGGAAAACAGAGTAAAGCCCTCATACCACTTTGGTAATAAGGGTGGTGGGTGAAACTTTCCTTGGCAAAAATAAAAGAACAGAGATAAATCTCTATTAAATAAATTACTGGTATTTTAAAATGTGTGAACCCAAATGTATCATTTTTAACCTGACATTTTAAAGTGAATGTAAGTACAGGTACATTAGTGGCAAATTAAACAGAATTTAGACTGACTTGCACTTGTTCACAACATTATTTACTGAGGCAACAGCACAAAAATAAACACCCTTCAAGGTGTGGGAAATTGAATATTAGTGGGTCTAGAAATTTAAAATTTTCCAAAGTATTAAACTTAACCAATTTCTTTTTTCTGGCTAGAGATGAAAGCTTCCATTCATTAGTATGCATCTATCAACACTACTTGGAAACAAATTTAATAAAATACAGAAAAAAAATTACTGAACATGATTACATTTTAGAATGTGCAAATGTTTATTTTCAGAATTTTCATCAGCTACTCAGCTAATATTTATTTTCAGTGCACCTTTACTCATTTTAAGCCTTAAATTTTTTGTCTGATCTTAAGCATTCAGACTATGAAAAAACGTGTATTCATTATTTTGTATTAATTCATCTATTAAACATGAGTTCCTTAGTCTATAATCAGTCTTTTTTCATTTATTTTGATTGTGCCCTGAAAATTTTAGCATTTTAATGTCAATAGAATAAGCTGCTTCAGTATGGACAATGTTGTTTTTGTTATCCTGCAGCTTAGAAAAGACAAACCCCACTTACTCATATCATGGTAGACTGAGGTTGCCTCTTTTGTCAAGAACAAAGGTGGTTTCCGTGGTGACATAATCTCAATTTTCATAAGTTCTTCACAACAGTGCTTCCATTGGCCTAAGACAGACAGAAAAAAGGTAGACTAGTTTAAAACATAAATGTGAAGATATATATTTCATTTTTAATAGATAGCAATACATTTTTGCTTTGAATAAAAATCAGTGAATTTATACATAAAGCACTGCGTTAAGGGAGGCTTGCAGAAAAACCTAATACTATCCATAATTTCAAAGTCCAGTTCTGAACATAAAAGTAATCTATTTAAAAAATAAAGTTTGGCCGGGCACGGTGGCTCATGCCTGTAATCCCAGCAAGTTGGAAGGCCTAGGTGGGCAGATCACCTGAGGTCAGGAGTCTTGACCAGCCTGGCCAACATGGGGAAACCCCTTCTCTACTAAAAATACAAAAATTAGCTGGGTATGGTGGCAGGTGGCTGTAGTCCCCGCTACTTGGGAGGCTGAGGCAGGAGGATCACTTGAACTTGGGAGGCAGAGGTTACAATGAGCCGAGATTGCACCACTGCACTCCAGACTGGGCAACAGAGAGAGACTCCGTCTCAAAAAAAAAAAAAAAAAAAAAAAAGAAAAAAGAAAAAGAAGTACTTCTATGCAAAGACATTAGGCTAAAATCTCTAGGCTATTAAATACTATCCTATTTCACTAAATGGTTAATAACTACTTTAAAATTTCTATTTATTGCAAAAGTTTGGGAAGGGTTTTCTTCTTTTGAATAGTAAACATTAAGTATTCAAGATGTTGAAAGGTTAAACAATCAACTGAAATATAGTTACCTAGAAGGAAATAGAAAAAAACATAAAGGAGTGAGGTTTTCAAAAATGGTTTTAACTATGAAAATTTTGATTAAGAAATAAAAATTATTTATTTAACAACTGTCCCTTTAAGATGATTATCATGCTTTTCAAAATCATTTAACTCTAGAAAAACACTGTATTTTCTTTTAGGTTTTAAAAGGTATATAAAAACCTATTATTATAAAGTCATATCACCCAATAAAATTCTGAGTCTAATTTGTTTTAGGAAGGACACATTAAATAAAGGCATTTGGAATAAGAAAAAAATAGTCTTGAATAAAATCTTTCAACTATTAAGTTAAAATTTGAGTGTGGACATTAATTTTTATTTTAATTATGTTTCACACTATTTTAATCTTAAATTTTTTAGATTTCTCCTGAGTGATGTCTAAAAATTTAATCTTTTCATACTTATTGTGCACCTGCATGCTGGATAGCAACTATGCTAGTTCCTACGTATCTGTATATTAATTTTATAAGAGTTAGTTACTGAGGTTCACCTTCTTATAGCCTATCTTATACCAATAGAAAAGTAAATGTAATACACTTATGTTGTATATCCGTATTTCATACCCAACTTGATTATTTTCTGTGACTTAAAAACTAAGGACACTTCATGTTTAGTAAAATTACTCATTTTTGTTGTTTGTAGTTGAATATACTCTCATAGTAATATGATAATATATGCATAAATTAAAAATCCACCACCATTAGTTAAGAAACATAAAAAAAGCCTTTCAGTATGTTTTATTATGATGCTAAGCACAGAATATGATAAAAATTTCAAAATAAGCCACACAGCAACTGATAAAGGGAATAAATTCTTGAGTACAAGGCTTCAAAGGTTGATCTCTAGAATGTACATCTAGTAGGATCTGAGATCTGATAACTTATTCCTCCCCACACTTCCTTTTATAGATAAATATATAAGAGCCAGTTTTTTTCTTCTTAGGGGCAGGAAAAAAACCCATATCTAATGGAAAAATAATGAAACACTTCAAACTGGCACACTTTTCTGTCACATTCTTAGAAAAACTATTATAAAGTACAGTATTTCCTCTATATCGATAAATGAAAGCATTTCATTGTTAAACTAGTAGCAGAATATGAGTTACAATGAAAACTGGAATATAATGCCACATTATTTCACGTGTTACTAAAGTCAGAGGTATAAACGTGTTCATGGGTCAAGACTTTACGACTGAAACATTTATTTTGCCAGCAAATAAATCTCTATGCATAGCTATACATGATAGCCAATATGCTAACATGAAAACAAGGGCGCAATATGAAATATTAAATGGGTATGTTTTGTTCACATAACAATTTATATATTGAAGATGTTTCCTAAAATACCATTTACTGTTATAGTGTTCCCAGTCAAAATAATTTTTTATGCTAAGCTCCTAATGTAACTCAATATTTATATTGTTAAATATTTTTTAAAAATTTAATGTTCCAAATCTACCTTAATTTTCTCTATCTTTGACCTACCATTCTCTGCTCCACTCCTATTGACCATCCAGAACATGGGTCACTCCTCTTTTACATGACTGTTAACTCACAAATGTTAAAAATAGCTATTACATCCCCCTTGCCCACCAACATCCACCCGAGGCTATTCTTCCCTGGGCTAAACAGATCTACTTCCGTAAGTGTTTCCTCCTGAGTTCTAATTATCTCACCTTCCTGGTTTTCTATTCTTAAATAGAGTCAAATAATTGAAATTTGCTCTCAATATTAAATTTCTCTTACTTTATTCTGCCCTGAATACCTATCCTGTACTTTGTTCTACATACCATACTTCAACCAGGATCACAAGAGGTTGCACCTGTCACTAGGAAAGTTAAAATTTTAAAGTACAAGTCAAATTTTTAGTATGGTATAAATACCTCCATCTTTGCTTCATATATCCATACACAATGAATTCTGAATTTTGAAGTATAAATGTAATAGAATTTGTACTTTAAAAATTACATAGGTTGGCAGTTTTTATGCAAAAAAGCATTAAATACCAAAAATGTAACCAGACCCGAGAACCAAGTTGTCATCACTTCCTTATTATGTTGACAGTACAAAAATGTCATGAGGTTCTTATTCTTTCAAATCTCCATTTCAGCATGATAAATTATTTCACATAATCTAGAGAATGAAAGCATGAGATGATCATCTAATAGTAGTTGATATCTAGACTACAAGATTCTGGTATTATCACCTTCATTTACCTCTCCTCCTGTTTTTATGCACATAACAATTATACAATAGCTGGGTGCGGTGGCTCACACCTGTAATCCCAGCACTTTGGGGGGCTGAGGTGGGCGGATCACCTGAGGTCTGGAGTTTGAGACCAGCCTGACCAACATGGAGAAATCCCGTCTCTACTAAAAATACAATATTAGTTGGGCGTGGTGGCACATGCCTGTAATCCCAGCTACTAGGGAGACTGAGGCAGGAGAATCACTTGAACCCGGGAGGCAGAGGTTGCGGTGAGCCAAGATTGCGCCATTGCACTCCAGCCTGGGCAAGAAGAGCGAAACTCCATCTCAAAAAATAAAAATAAAAATAAAACAAATAAAAATACCAAAATCATTTCTAAAAATAAGATAGTCATTTATAAGACGGATTCTCTAAGACAGAACATTTAGTAAAATGGTTAAAGTTTTAGCTATGATTAGCAAAAGCAAGGAAGTTCTTGTCTTTTAAGTTATACACCTGAGATCTGCTGAATTTTTTTTTTTTTTTTTTAAAGACAAGAGTCTTGCTCTATCGCCCAGGTTGGAGTATACAGGTGAGATCTTGGCTCACTGCAACCTCCACCTCCTGGCTTCAAGCAATTCTCCTGCCTCAGCCTCCCAAGTAGCTGGGACTACAGGCACGTGCCATCACGCCTGGCTAATTTTTGTATTTTTAGTAGATACGGGGTTTTACCATGTTGGTCAGGCTGGTCTCAAACTCCTGACTTCAGGTGATCCGCCTGCCTCGGCCTCCCAGAGTGCTGGGATTACAGGCGTGAGCCACCGTGCCTGGCCTGAAAATTTTAACTAAATAAATGTGGTACACGCTGATAAGCATGAAATGAATATTTGAACATTTATTGAGTGTCTAGGGATGATACTTAAGGAAAACAAGTCCTAAACAATACAAGAAGGCCATGGAGGGAACCCTCTAGTTCGATGCTGTGAAACAGAAACCTCTTCAGGCCTAAGTTTTCTCATCTTCAGAGCAAAGGGAAATAATTTCTACCTCGCAGGAGTGTTATGAGAAATAAATGAAATAATCTGTTATACGGGAAATAATCCATAAATTTAGATCCCTTTCTTGCCTCTTACCCAACTTCTAACTTGAGGGCTGCAAGTATTAACTCTTCCTCATAGTGCTCCAGAAAACAGAATTCCTAAAATGTCTGTCCCTAGGATTATTTCCATGAGTTGCAGAAATAATTTTCCTTTTTTGGAAATGTCTCAACTTTCTATGGAATAGGATTCAGTAGACAAAATACTGGTAGTATCTATCAGTAGGCTTTGTTTGATCAGAAACAGACATTATCAACATTCTACATTTTCAATATAATGATAATATGCTGTTTGACTTATTGTCAGTAAACACAAAGAACTGTTACGATTTCAGTATTTTCCTGTTGATAAAATTCCTCGAGAAATATTAGAACCTCATATATTTTATACACTAGAGCCCTATTACATTACCATACATTGTTTTTATGTCCATGTCATTGGACTGTATTATTGAGATGAGAAAATCCTATGTGTGTGGTTTAAAAAGAAACCTGTCTGGATGATGTCCAAGAAGATGATAACGAATCTGGAGTTAAGGGAAGGCTACAAAGTGAGACTCCTGAATGTTTCAATATTTTAGGATCATCATTATCCTGGAAAAGTTTTTTGTTCCTCAAATGGCTTCTTATCCCTTGGATCAAACACATTGCCTTCAACAGTTAAATCCTAACATTTTGAGAGAATATGGTCTGGTTGTTTTAGTGACCAGAGGGAGCTTCAAAAAGTAGGAGGTAGAGATGCTAGAATCCAAACGTATACTATACAATAGTCAGGCACTGGAAAGAGATTGACAGAAAGAAGCATCAGTGCATTGATGATATACTACCATTCTTTCAAGAACATAAAAAATTTTTGCTACAAACTCTAAGATTACAATTTTAAGATTGCTGTGCACATCCTTTTAGGCTACATAAATACACAACTAAAAAAATCCAAATATCTATTTACTAAGATCAAAGAAATGCTGCCAGAAGGCTTCCATCCACTTCTGAAGATCTTCTCTATTGTCAACTGCAAAAATCTGAGTTATAGCTTGTCCAGGAACAGGATTGATGACAGAGAAATTATGGATTCTTTTCTTGGCATCCTTATCCATTGCCCGGATTCTGGTTTCCTAAAAATTAAGAAAAAAATTGGGGTTTTGCATGAGAAAATTTCTGTAATGATCAAACAAATGTTTTATTGCTTAGCTACCATATTTATACCTGATGTAACCATAATCTTATTGCTGATCATTTGAAATTTAAAACATGTAATTTTGAGAATTTTTTATATTCAAACTCCAATCTAGGTTTTTAAAAAAGAATGCTTTATATAAAATACTGAATAATGTCTTAAATTATGCTATATATAGCACTTATGCTAAATTACATGAGATTAAAACATAACCCCTGTTTTGATCCATCTCAGTTTAAGTGGAAGTTTACTGTCTTTTATATACATCTTAAAATTTCCAATAAAACAAGTACAGCATGTCATAGCTGTAATGTGGATTACATGTTAACCATATTTCAAATTAATAAAACAGAAGAATCAGTAAAGTATCTTTCTTATTCTAATATTCATGCATAATATCTAGTGCTATCAGTTAAAGCAGTAAAACCGTAACTTAGTGTTTACTGTAGCAAAACAGGTTTTCCTCATTAACATTTATTTTGTACGTAACGTTCATTTACAAAGTTCATAGCTAAAGATCCATAAAATAATATAATCTTTAAAATGTTTAAATTATTTTTAAAGTGCTAAGTACAACACTACCACAAGGACAATGGTTTCATTCACGCTGATAGTCTAAACCTTTTTTCTGAGTGATACTAGAATGCTATTATGATGACACTTATTGATTCTATACTTAGAAGATTCTGAGAAGTCTATTCCCAAGTCACACACAGGCACAGCCATGCCACATGGTAAGCTGGCAACTACATGTGGCTTTGACCAAGGAATATTGGGGGATAAAGTCTGTACTAGAACTATCTATTACACAAAGATAGAGATTTGATGCCTAGATAATGACTCACTTACACTATTCTAGGGCAATGCTGTCCAGTATAAGTACAATGTGAGCCACATATGTAATTGAAAATTTTCTAAAAACCACAATAAGTAAAAAGAAACTCCTGAAATTAATTTAACGATGTATTTCATGTAACTCAGCATATCTGAAATATGTTGAAGGCTTTCATACTAAGCCTTCAAAATCCAGTTTGTATTTTACACTTACAGCACATCTCGATCTGGACCAGCCATATTGTAAGTGTCTAACAGTCACTCCAGGATAGTGGCTACTGCACTGTACATAGTGGTTCAAGAGAATCATGGTTAAGCCTACTGTAATGTGTGACAATAATATTTTGGCTGGTAGTAATAAAGGCTGATTAAGAATAGAAAGAAATTCTTCACTGAGTAAAGTGTGAAGAGAGGCTATACAGTCACACACCAAAACCCACATATACATACAATATGGATATTATGTAGTCATTACAGAAGTAGCAGGGTTAGGAAGAAAAGCTATCCATTCCCTGAAAAATGGATAAATACAGGCAGGTGAACACCATATATACTACACAAGGAATTCCCTTCTGAAGGAATAAATTCTTATTCAAACACCGCAGGGGAAAAATGTATGTTGTATAAAGCAGCAACATAACTTTGAACCTTTAGAGTATCACAAAATATAACAATCATTAACCATCTTAGAGACAGTCTATCCTGTCACAGTAGAAATCTAGGAATGTGAGTGTCTTTAGAGGACTGTAATCTTAATTTTATCATAATAGAGTATAAAATTATACATTATATATGTTACTTTTGACTATACGCCCAGTATCTTAATTTTATCATAATAGAGTCTTTTTACACTTCTATGTCTTGGTAATAAACTTTGTGAATTAGTTCTTTTAAGTAATTATTTTTATTATGTAACAAATTTTGCCCTAAATGGTATCCTTGGAGCTCAACGATGCACCTAATCATCCACTGTAAATATAAAGCTTATAATCACAAGCAGAGAATGACTTAAGCTCTAGGAAGAATCTTTGATATGCTACTCTTATCAGACTAATTGAAGGTTAAATCATAGTAGGGGAAAAACCCTCTATTGTGTTACAAAATAAAATAAAATAAAAAGTATTCTTGTTACTGAAATTGTGCTTCCCTCCACCAATTCCATTTTAATAAACATTTCTGACTACTTTTTGTATAAAGGATTAAAGTGGATTCAATCTTTAAATAAGGGAAATTTGATTTTTATAGATGAATTTGGATATTTTTACCAAGGTATCATTTCATATGAAACCACTACATAGAAAATCTGATGAACTCAATCATTTATATCCTTCTAAGAGAATATAATGCAAAAATATATAAATACTACTGTATATACTCCATTAATTCTGGTAGCCATAAATATCACTACATTTTTAAAACATCAGAGGTTTCTGAAAGGTGCAAATGAAATGCAGAATTTGAATTAACTTCTATATGTTATCATCCAAAATAATTTAATGGAAAACTTTTAATCAAAAAAATGCGTGTTGAAGAAAAAGTGATTAATACAAGTAAAGTTTCTTAGAGTGTCAGAAAGTTCATGCAAGCTGTTTTTTCACTGTGGAAAAATATCAACAATAGTTCTCACGTCTTCAATTCTCAAAAAAGGAAGTGATTAGAAAACACTAAGGTGAATTTTAGGACTGTTATTTATGGGCTTATGTGTTTATATAAGTGACTCCTCTTAGGGTATGAAAACAAGGAACTTGGTAATTCCCTGCCTCCCCCCCATATTTCTGCCACCTAAAATATTGCCTAGTACTCAGTAAATGGCTAAAAAATATTTAAAGAATAAACAAATGAAACAGGAAAAGAACAACTCAAATAATGATTAAAAAGTTTTGTATTGATAGACCCAGATCCTAGAAATAATCTCCAATCCAATTCTTTATGAGGAAACATGTTCTGTGAGAATTATTCTATTAAGCCCAGCGTTTCCTGTATTGTTTTTGCTAATCTCAAAACTTCAATTACCTAGGAGGTTTTATAGTCAACTTTTCTTGATTTGTAAATAGATTTGAGATTATTCACTGTGTAATTTTAATCTGTAGCTGGATTTGCTTTTCGTCAGTCTGCAATTTTTCACTCCATGAGATGGTGTTGTTACCTAGAGAATGCCAAGTGAAGTCAATAAAAACATAAACTGGGAAGTCAATTTTGTAATAAAATATAAACTCTAAAGTCACAGGAAAGTTTCATTTAGGTTTTTAAAAATTATTATTTTGAATTAAAACTGTACTTCCTCCTCTTCATTTCCATATACGTGGAAAATTACTAGATCAGGACTAGATTTATAAATTATATATGTTACTTTTGACTATACGACCATAAAAAATGCACCCAGATTATGGTCTCTAAATACTCTTTACTAAAAACATCAGAGCTTTTCAAATAAATGGCTGACTCTCAGCCTGGGCCAGGAAATGTATAAGATGATTCTGGAACATCTTGTCCTATCAGAAATCTAAGATTCCTAGGGTTATGTCAAAAGGATTCAAGAGTCAACTCGAAGGGGCTTCTACTAGTCAAACATTGGACATTGATTAGAACATTGACTAGAATAGCAATGGCAATGGACAGACACATGACATGTATTTAAATCCAAAAATTCAAAACGATATTTAAAAATGAACTCATTGGTCACCTGTGAAAGATGGTAGGAAACCATCTCATTGTTTTGGTAACTGACATATAAATGGGAAAAAACAAACAAGCAAACAAACAAACAAAAAAACAAAAAAAACCCCAAGCACTTTTCCTGTCTTCCCTATAAGAATTGTACTTCAGGGTAACCAAATAGCTGATGAAGTAGAGGCATTCCAGCTATAACGAATGTAAAAATACTACCAGTTTGTAATCCTTAATGAAATAAAGGATCTAAAACAATGCTCATCAGTGGTTGTTAAGATGAGTGGAAGACCTAGATATATGATATGCTTCTTGATGAAAGTATATGACCCTTCCTAAAATGTATTCTTACTAACCAACCAACAAATCTGAATATGATCCAAAAATATAAGAAAAAAGGCAGGCTGGGTGCGGTGGCTCATGCCAGTAATCCCAGCACTTTGGGAGGAAGAGGCAGGTGGATCACTTGAGGTCGGGAGTTCGAGACCAGCCTAACCAACGCGGAGAAACCCATCTCTACTAAAAATACAAAATTAGCTGGGCGTGGTGGCGCATGCCTGTAATCCCAGCTACCCGGGAGGCTGAGGCAGGAGAATCGCTTAAACTTGGGAGGCAGAGGTTGCAATAAGCCGAGATTGCTCCACTGCTCTCCAGCCTGGGCAACACGAGCGAAACTCCATCTCAAAAAAAAAGAAGAAGAAAAGAAAAATGGCAACCCAGGTATGCAACTAGAAAAATCCAGACTATGGAAAAACCCTGCAGGATAAAAGATCAATTTCTTCAGCAAATAAATTGTCTATGGTGTGTGTGTGTGTGTGTTTGAAGTGGGGAGTTAGAGGTGTGAGTGAGCATAAGCCAACATATTCATTATTATTATTATTATTGTTAAACTTTTAAGTTCAGGGGTACAAGTGCAGGTTTGTTACATAGGTAAACTTGTGTCATGGGGGTCTACTGTAAAGATTACTTAATCACCCAGGTATTAAGCCTAGTAACTATTAGTTATTTTTCCTGATCTCCCTCTTCCCACCCTCCACACTCTCCGATAGGCCTCAGAGTGTGTTGTTACCCTCTATATGTCCATGTGTTCTCATCATTTAGCTCTCACTTATAAGTGAGAAAATGTGGTATTTGGTTTTCTGTTCCTGTGTTAGTTTGCTAAGGATAATGTCCTCCAGCTCCATCTATGTCCTTGCAAAGGACATGATCTAGTTCATTTTTATGGCTGCAGAGCATTCCATGGTGTATGTGTACCACATTTTCTTGATCCAGCCCACCACTGATGGGCATTTAGGTTGATTCCATGTCTTTGCTACTGTGAATGGTGCTGCAATGAAAATATGTGTGCATGTGTCTTTATAATAGAATGATTTATATTCTTTTGGGTATATACCCAGTAATGGGATTGCTGGGTCGAATGGTATCTGTCTTTAGGTCTTTGAGGAATCAACACACTGTCTTTCACAATGGCTGAACTAATTTACACCCCCACCAACAATGTATGAGCATTCCTTTTTCTAAAGAGACTTAAAAGACCTAATCAATCAACCATAATATGTGGCCCTTATTTGGATCCTAACTCAAAAACTTACAAAAATTGAGACTAGGGATCTTAAAGACTGCCTGGATTTTTAACGATATATTAACTACATATAATTATATCTACATATGACAACTTATATATAAAACCATAAATTTTCTTAAGTGTGACAATTGGAATATTTACAAGTAAAATGATATGGTCTCTAGGATTTGCTTCAAAATATATCTAATGTGGGGGCAATGTGTGAGAGTACACATGGGTTCATTTATACTATTCTATGTATAAATTACCTTGAATTTTTTTCCAAAGAAAATAATTAAAAAATAAAATACAAACACAAAAACCAAAGTCAGTCTATTATTAATGCCTCTTTCTTGGCTGTAATGCAGATATCTCACATCTTCCTTACAAACATGCTGTAAAGATAAATGAGTTATTTGAAAAGTGCTTCGTCTGAAGTCCTGTTAATCAGCAATGAAGACAAAATGTTGGTGCTAAAAACAAGCTTTAGACTTTATATATACTCTAATGACAAAAAAGGATATCTTCATGTATACGACAAGGAATGTTTGAAATATGTAATGCATAGCTGTAAGTTAAACCAACCATGAGGTATGATTAGTATCAGTTTAATATAATTATTTTAAATTTATATTAATTAAATCAGATGTAAACTCCTACAGGAAAATGTTTGAAAAATTATTTTTGCTATATTTACTTTTAAAAATCTGAATAGTTGATATGATTAGATATTAAGGAAACTAATATAATTGGATTAAAATCCCATGTGCTTCATAATAATTTTGCTTTCTAGGTTCTATGATAAATATAATAGTTAAAAGTATTTTCAAAACAATTTATCCAAAGTCTACTACACTAAATAGTGTTATTGACTTGTTTAGTACAGATTTTATTAAAATGAATGATGTATATAATATTTAAAACAAGAAAAGGCTTGATCTCAAAGACTCACACTTTTTTTTAACCGTCACACCCCTCACCATATTGACAATGGATAAAGCTTTAGTTAACAAAATGCTTTCTATAATGTGTAGGAAATTCAGTTAAGTACCTGTTATTGAGAATGTCTTGCTCAAGAACATTCTTGTGAAGTTTTCTGAATTTGAAGCAATCACTTTGAAGTAAATCACCCTTTCAAATTTGGATTGACAATGGGAGGGGAATAGCTCTTAGGCTTTTCTTCCCTTAATGTGACTATTTCCACAGATGGCTCCCTATGAAAATTAATGAACTAACTTAGCCTTACAAGAAATGCCATTTAGAAGGACAAGAATTATAGCTTGAGAACAGATCCTGTGATCTAAATAACAGAACTATTATTTATATACCTTAGCAATTGTGAAATTTATGTTTTCAAATAATTTTTAAGTAGCATTAAGGAAAATTATTTTCATGAGAAAAGAAGAAAGACAATCAAAAGACAAAAAACTCTGATTTGTATTTAATGTTTAACATTATTAAGCTTAAAGATCTTAGAGACCATTAGAAATATACTAAAAACTAAAAGAGAAACACTATTCTTTTTTCTTGAGATGGAGTCTCACTCTGTCACCCAGGCTGGAGTGCAGTGGCACAATCTCGGCTCACTGCAACCTCCACCTCCCAAGTTCAAGCAATTATCCTGCCTTACTTAGCCTCCCGAGTAACTGGGACTACAGGCGTGTGCCCCCATGCCTGGCTAATTTTTTGTGTTTTTAGTAGAGATGAGGTTTCACCCTGTTATCCAGGATGGTCTTGATCTCCTGATCTCCTGATCCGCCCGTGCTGACCTCCCAAAGTGCTGGGATTACAGGCGTGAGCTACCGCACCCAGCCGAGGAACACTATTCTTAAAAGTTTTACTTGATCCTTACCTGCTGTATCAGAAAATACCAAACTGGTTTTTATCCTTTGTTTATTTAAGAATACATTGTTCGAGACCACCCTGGGCAACATGGTGAAACTCCATCTCTACTTAAAAAAAAAATATATATATATGGGGTAATTAAAACTTTTAGGTAAATAATAGTTATGGCCAGTAGCTAGCTGTTTTGTAGGCACTACCAACAGGGCACAGCGAAAACTTCAAAAATTAGCCGGGCATGGTGGTAGGTGCCTATAATCCCAGCTACTCAGGAGGCTGAGGCAGGAGAATAGCTGGAACCTGGGAGGTGGAGGTTGCAGTGAGCCAAGATGGCACCACTGCAATCCAGCCTGGGCAACAGAGTAAGACTCTGTCTCAAAAATAAATAAATAAATAAATAAATAGGAAAAAAAAAGAATATACTAAGAGACTGGGTATGGTGGCTCATACTTGCAATCCCAGCACTTTGGGAGGCTGAGGCAGGCAGAATTGCTTGAGCCGAGGAGTTTGAGACCAGCCTGGGTAACATGGTGAAACCCTGTCTCTACAAAAAATACAAAAATTAGCCAGGTGTGGTGGCACGTACCTGTAGTCCCAGCTACTAGGGAGGTTAAGGTGGGAGGATCCCTTGTGTCTGGGAGGTGGAGGCTGCAGTGAGCTGTGATGGCACCATTGCACTCCAGCCTGAGAGACAGGGCCAGACCCTGTCTCAAACAAACAAACAAACAAAAAACCAAAAAGAAAACGCTAATAGCATGTCTCCCTTACAAATCTGCAAGGTAAGAAAAACAATCAAAATATCTACATTAGATTTAAAAACCAAGTAATTTAAAACACTGAATAGATAAAAACCTATTAATTTATCACTATATGAGACAGTGAAGGTAGGGCAGGGAGGAAGATAACACTCATCTGCTACCCCTGGAGGGAGTAATATCAACTCCAATATATATTACCAATACCAATGCTATACCAATACATGACACCAACTTCTTACCCTGAAAATTGGCAATTAAGATACCAAGTATTTATCCTGCCTTTTCACAAGAGACTGTAATTCATCCCTAGTTGATAAGAAAAACTTCTTTACAAAAAGAATGCCAAAAGGAAGGACATATGTAGAAGGAAAGTAGTATGAGAAAATCACCCAGAATCTTCCGTGTAATAAGTGATTTAGGCAAAGACAATCACAGGTGGCTAAAACCATTATGTGAAAGATTGTTAGAAAACAAACACAGTCACACAGTGCCAAAGTGTCTCCTCACTGACTACTTGCTAATAGTAAAGAGGGAAGATTATGTTGGAGAGAGGGCATCACCAGTAGTGGCGACAACCTGACATCATGAGCCTCCTAACGGGAGGCTCTATAACGTACTTGTCTGATCGACCATAAAATATTCTAATAAAAATATTTTACATAAATACAATCAAGCCTCTAGACCTCATTTACAAATTAGAAGAATTGTCGAGGATGCATAATCCCTGAATAATCCTGGACTGAAGACCTGAGCTAAAAGGCCATTTTGGGAAAATGGGAAATCTGAATATGGACTGAATATTAGGTGACATAAGAGTTATTTTTAATTTTCTTAGCTGTGATAATGGTATTATGATTATGTATATATATGAAAGGTCCCTATTTTTATTAATAGGAGTTACATGTTGAAGTATTCAGGAATGAAGTATCATGATATCAAAGTCTTATGTTCAAATGGGTCATCAAAAAATATAGATTTAATCAAAGAGATAATGTAAATATGACAAAATGTTAACTGCTGAGTCTAGGTGGTATGTATATGGGCCATCAGTATGGTTTTTTTTGTTTCAACTTTTCTGTACATTTGAATCATTTTGTAAGTTAAGAAAAAACAAAAATTACTTTAAAAGGAAAAATAATTATATAACAGTCATGTTTTAGGAAGTAACAAATATATTTCTTGACTGGGATAGTGCTTGATTTTTTCAATAAGGAGATCAGTGAATTCACTATTAAGAGGGAAGTTTTCAGGTGAATGGAAAAATTCAAAGGAAGCCTGAAGTAGAAGAACTACAAAGAGAAAAAGGCTTCTAAAGAGAAAAACACAGGAAACCAACACTGGAGAAAATTAAGATGGCAATATTGCAAAGAAGGAAAACAGAATACTTTGTCACCAGTTTCATCTTTGAGATTAACAATTAAATTATATTTATTTATATTCTATAATAATAATAAATATATCTTTCCAACCTTAACTCTTATTTTATGTCTAATTTTAAAATGCTCTTTTGTACTTTAGACAGAAGTTATGTACAACGGAAGAGATAATTAAGTCACCAGTCCTCAAGGTCAAATGTAGCTCACATTGTCTTCAAGTATAAGGCTAAATCTATACAAATTACTAAATTAATAATTTTCCTGTGATATGTAATGGCCAATTGTGGAAGAAACACTGGAATTTGCAAGTCTGCTGACTTCAGTCATCTTACAATGCCACTGATTGACTACAAAATCTCATTAGTCACCTGGCCATCAGCCTTTATTACCACAAGGAAAAGTAAATCAATTAAAATAGGTCAATTCAGTCAGGCCATATAAACATTGTCACCACTTTTCTGGAATTAGATCCTTGTCATCAGACTGAAAATACAGACACACTGACTACAATAACACAGTTTTATTATAAATGTTCTCTTAAATTTAAATCGTAAAGTTTCCACACACATGCCTAAGCCATCGCCTATAAGTCTGCTGTGGTTTCATGCTCAGAACCTCATTTTATAGCTACTTTTTAACTTTCAAAATTGATTTACAGTGATATGAAGAGAGGAAAAAGTCTAATTTTGCCTTCCAAATCTGGTCTAGCAGTACGCCTATGAGGAAATAGCAAAAACAGTCCATGAATTTTTATCTATTTTTTCCTACTCATTAGGAAAAGGGTGAGCCATATAATTTTCCTTACTAGTTTGGAAAGTTCTATCTGATCTCTGAGACTATTTCTTCACTTGTAAAAGAAATAATATACCTGTAAAACAGGGCTGTCATCCCTGCTTTGCCTACCTTAAAGGACTGAGATATGGCGAGTTGAATTCCTTCGAGACTGTCTTCAAATAAAACTAATGACTTCAAAAATATCATTTGTTTAGATTACATTTTATTTTATGACTGAATATTCTATGGTATAAAATATAAGAAAAAAATTAGTAGGATTTCATTTTTACTCCTCAGCTATTTAGTAAAAGCCAAAGTAGACATAATCATATACACAGAACTTTTACCAAAATTATTTAAGCTGAATCTAGTGAAATAATTAGTTACATATAGATTTGGAGAGATTCTAAGAAGAAAACTGGCCTGGACTTTTAAAAAATGTCAATGTAATGAAAGGCATAAATAAATAAAGGCAGGAGGTGAAGGGCACAATTTAGATGAAAGGAATCAAAGGAAATGCTGACCAGATGCACTATAGGATCCTTGATGAGGTCCTGGATCAGACACTAAATAAAAATTAGAAATGATATTTTGGGGACAATTAGAGCAATTTCTTCTGTATATTAGATAATATTGTATCAACAATAAACATTTTGAGCATGACAATAATATTATGGTTATGAAAAAGTGTCCTTGGTTTTAGGAGAAATATGCTAACATATTCAGAGAAGAAATGTTACGTTGTTTGCAACTGATTTTAAAATGGTTCAGAAAAAAATTTTAACTAGAAAGAAAGCAAATGTGGCAAAATGTTAACAACAGCTGAAAAGTCTAGATGAATGGTATACAGGTGTTCATTATTCTGTTTCAATTTTTCCATCTGAAATTTTCAAAAGACTAAAGTATGAAAAAGCGACAGGAAATACAACACTGCATAAACCAAACAAAATAAAAAGTTGGCAAGTAATGAAAAAAGCATGTCAATTTTTCATTAATAAAATTATATATTTCAAAAACTTAATTTTCTAAGCCAAAATAGATTCATTATAATACTGATGTATTATGTCCTTGATTTGTCAAAACAAAACAGTTTAAACAAAACAGTTAAATTAGGTGAATTTATATAATAAAAGGTCTCACTAAAAGACTTTCTGTAAGTAAAAAGCAGTGTAATTTCTAAAAGTGGAATAGAAACAGACAAAAATGTTATTATTGGAAAAGATCATGAAACTAAACTCAAGTCTTTATAGATCAGTAGACTGGTACCCACGCGTTTTCAGGAATACAACTATTATATAAAAGGACGTACAACTTTACATTCTTCTTTAAAGGATAATTTCAAAGACAAGGAGAACAAATGTGATGGCTCATGTTTTATCACACACTTCAACTACACCAAAGACAAGCAAAGTAGAACAACTAGAAACAATTAGGGGCAGCCCACAGGCAAAAACCATGATATTTTGGTTTAGAAATGCAATTATTTTAGAGTAGGAATGCTCTAAAAAATGAGGAAAGAAAAATCCTCTAATCAACACTAGACTTGAATAACAGACAAAGCTAAATTTAAGACCGTGAGGTAGAAGAAACTAAGTTTGCCTTATATTGAAGTTTTCCTATAGGATTCTAGATGAAAAAATTGTAGCTAGATTTCAATAGTCTCCTTTGTAACAAACCAGTATATATATACTTGACAAATTTTCTAGGTAGTGTGGTACTACTTTTTAAATGCAGTATAAGCACTCAACTATTCTAAATGGACTGTCAGGCTTTTCTGTTCTGTCAGAAGACTGGACAATTGCCTATCAATCCCATAAGAAATCAGAAAGTATAGTCAAGAATGTCTTTTTATGGCTTCATTTGAATGCTAACTAGAAACAGCATCACTATAATAACATGAGCTAACAATTTATGTTTAATCTCTTAAGTAAATTCATAAAAAATTTAAATATACTGCTAATGTGGAGTTACATTCTCTGCCTTAAAACCTATTTACTGGTATAGATGTCCATTACTATGTTTTCTTAGGAAATATACATTTTCTTATAACAGATAAGCTCTAATAGAAAAACAGAAACAGATTAAATCATATTTATGAAGTAACCTGTTTTTACCAGTACTTCTCTTTTATTTATAAGACAACAACAATGTAAACTGCACAGACAAAAACAAACTTCCTAAGATGTATATTTTTTTCTCAAAATAGCATTTCCTTTACCTTGTTAATGGGTACTACCAAAGCTGGTTCCACTTTAGCTTCAATTTCCTCTGGACTGTAAAAACAATAGAGTTTACCTCCTCGCAAAACACAATACAACCTTCTCCAACTAATCAGACCTTCTACCATTTGCTGAAAAAAAAAAAAAAAAAATCAAGAGACTATCAATTTTAAGTTATTATCACTTTAAATACATCAAAATACTTATCAAGGTTAAATTAGTTATTTAGAATTTTTAAAATGTGATGGAATTATCCATTAATTTGATATACAAAAGGTTAATTGCCCCAAATCCAAGAGTATGTTAATATCAGAGAAGAAAAGTTTGGAATTCTTAAAGGCATTAAGTGAAATGGAGGCAACGATTACCACCTAACTTTTACACACATAAAACCATAGATCAATGGTGTTTTAGAAAAGCTAGTCGATTAAAAATTAGTGCTTAGAATTCTATAGCAATTCATCAAATGACTCAGGAAAATTATAAAAACAATTCTGTATGTTCAAAATATTATTTTCCCTTACTGTTCTCAGAGCATCGGAAAATGTCAACTACCCTTTAAGAATGCAAATTTTCTTTCCTCCTAATGGAATCTTTTAGAAAAAGCTATTGATTCATTGAAGTTCACAATTAATTATTTACTGAATATAAATAACTATGGTTATAAATAAATCAGCAGTAGGTGGCACAGAGGCAGGCAGCTTTGGAAGCTCAGAGTCCTAAACCGTGCCAAACGCTGTCTGCCAGAAAGACCTTTATGTGAAAGGTGTTGAGCAGCCCTCATCAGTTTCCACACGGAGCCCTCTGTTGCTGATTATCCTGTTGCTGCTATTAATGAAGCAGAGGAGCATGGAGAGGTAGCGCCTTAGCCATCAACATCGCAGTAGATCCCTCCCTACCTTGTCATTCTTTTCACCCCGCACCCCCTACAGTTTATATCTGATAACATTTAGAAAACTGACATTTAAAAAAAGACTTAAAAAATACTTCTCAATATCAGAAGGTGAAACAACTGCCTGTATATTAAGATTTAAAGTAGAGCTACAATTGTTGTAGGATATTTAAAGTCCTCTAACCTGCTGATTAAGAAATCCTGCAAATGCATCCTCAGCCATACAAGCTGGCTGGGCAACTAGTCGGCAGCACATGTTGCCATACAGGGGAAGCCAAAATGAAGACTCCTCTATTTAAAGGAGAAAGAAAAAAAAAAATCAAGTTATAAATATAAGTTTATTTAAGGTCATCATACATTTTGATTTTTCTCTTTTTACAATTTTGTTTTGCTTTGTACAGAACATATTTTAGAATTAGTTTCATGTAAAGATTCATCCTACCCAAATACCAGTGCCATATTAAGTGAGAAAATCAAATATGAGAATAGAAAGGACAGGATAATATTAAACTGACAGTTTATAGCATGCTATCACCTGAATAAAAATGAACTGTTTAGTCTCTTGTTTGATTTTAATTATTCAATGAAAGTTGTTCAGAGAATATAAGTGATCTCATTTAATATAAAAACATTCTAATAAAGTAATTTATGTTTGTCAAATTCTACTTTTTGTTCTGATTTTCATTATAATAATTAGAAAAGTGATCCTCTGAATAAAACATTATTTCACTTTGCGAGGCCGAGGCAGGCGGATCACTTGAGGTCAGGAGTTTGAGATCAGCCTGGCCAATATGGTGAAACCCTGTCTCTACTAAAAATACAAAAATTAGCTGGGCATGGTGGTGCATGCTTGTAGTCCCAGCTGCTTGGGAGGCTGAGGCCGAAGAATCGCTTGAGCCCAGGAGGCGGAGGTTGCAGTGAACTCAGACTGCACCACTGCACTTCAGCCTGGGCAACAAAGCAAGACTCCATCTCAAAAACAAAGCAAAACAAAAACAAAAAACATTATTTCAGAGAACTTAAGATAACTTCATCAACATTTTTGGCCCTTCCTCCTCCCCTTCTTTTGCTGAACAATTCAGTCATAAGCCATTAGATAGAGCCCCCAACATGAACATCTGTGCCAGGACTGGAGAAGGAGCTGTGGTGTGCTAGAAATGGATGATGGAGACAGGCAGAATGAGAATGGTGAGTAGCAGGGGCTGCCTGCAGGAGGTATCAGCACCTGAAGGGCCTGAGAGGGTGATGACACTGGGGCGCAGCCTAGATTTGGGACTCTGTCTTGAGCAAGCAGGGTAAAAGAGATATGCCTGGGAAGAGGAGCCTGACATCGAACATTAGAGCCCAATGAATGAAGAAGTAGCCCAGATTGAAGGACAATTAAAAAGCATGATAATTAAATGAAATGTATGATTCTGCATTGTATCCCTCTGCCATAAAGAACATTATTGTGACAATGGGCAACATCTTGAATGGACTCTGAGGATTATATGGTGGTAATGTATTAGTATTCATTTCTTGACTTCAAGAGTGATGATGATGTAGCTGAATGTCCTGATAGTAGGAAATATGTATTAATACATTTTGGGGTACAGACTATCATGTAAGCAACTTGCTGTCATAATTTTTTTGAGAAAAAAAAGATCTTGACATTTAAGCTGAGTGTGGTGGTGTCTGCCTGTAGTCCCAGCTACTCCAGAGGCCAAGGTGGGAGGAGTGCTTGCACCCAGGAGTTTGAGGCCAGACTAGGTAATATACCGATACCCATCTCTAATTAAAAAAAAAAAATCTTGACATTCAACTTGCAACTTTTCTGTAAGTTTGACATTGTTTAAAAAAGTTACTTCAAAAAACATTAAGATAGTCCTTTAATGAAGATACCTACCTGTGTACTACCTATCTATATGGAGGAAAGCATTAAATAATTTATTCTAGACATCAGAGTATAAATAAAAACCAAACATATGGCCCTTAGTTCACACTGGATCACATAAAAATGATTTTTAAAGTTTTGGCTGTGCCCTGTTGGTAGTGCCTACAAAATCGCTAGCTACTGGCCGTAACTATTATTCACCAAAAAGTTTTAATTACCCCAGAATTTTTTTTGTAAAAATAGTTAATATATACATGCAAGGCAGCAAAGGTTTGTAGTAAAACCAAAAAGTTTTAAATTTACCTACCCAAGATTCTACTATAGAATAGTACACAACAATGTTCTGAGACTATTCAAATCTTTTTCATTAATACATTTTAAAGCTGCTATATTTTAGAAATAAGGGGCTTAATCTGGGAAAAATAAATGCACGAGCATAATACATACAATTCCAAAATGCAAACACAAATAAACAAAAGTTATCTTTCCTAAAACAGGCAGCAAATGAAATGAAAATTCTGTAAAAGCATGTATTTCAGTAATACATCTGAAATCAACTTTGTGATTTGTAAATTTAGAAGTTTGAAAGCAAATTTCTTTATATAGGCAATCTCAGATTTATGAATAGCTTATGTTCTAAAAATCTGTAAGTTAGTTGAAAAGTACATCATAAAGAGTAAGAAACACGAAGGATACAATGAAAAAGACTAACATAGGTTTAACAGGCATGCAAAAAGAACAAAAGCTACACAACAGCAGAGGCAGTTTCAAACAGGTAGGAGAGATTTTGTCCAAACTGATGAAACATATCAACAATGTAAAGAAGCTCAAGAAACCCCAAGCAGCATAAATAAACTCTACACCTAATTATACCATGGTAAAATTTTAGAAAACCAAAGGCAAAAATAAATAAAAAGATTACACTCATAGTGGTGACATACTGGCAAATGATTTACAACATTTATAGTAAAATAATAAAAGCCAAAAATGTTGGAATTATATGTTCAATATTCAACAAGAAAAAATTAAAACTGCAGAATTAAGAAATATCTTCAATAATGAGGCAAAATAAAGCCATCTTCAGATAAACAAAAAGAACAAGAAGTCTGATATCAGCATAACTCACTAAAAGAAATTCTAAGGCTTATAATTCAAGCAGAGGGAAAAGTATCCCAGATGCAAGGCATAAGATACAAGTAGTGCACAGAAACATGTAGGTAAATCTAAATAAATATTAAATCTAAATAAGTACTAAAAAAAAAAAGAATTACAATATATAACAATAGCACATAGGTTAGGGAAAAGAGTTTAATTGTTCTAAAGTCCTTGCATTGTCTGAGAAAAGCACAAAACTATCTTTTAAGTTTAGTTTTTAATAAGTATGATTAATGAAATTTTTAGGGGTAAATTCTAAAAAATGAGAAAAAGGATGTATAACCTTAATTCAAACAAGGAAAAATTGCCTTAAAAGGCAAGAAAAAATAACCACGGAATAGGTGAGACAAACAGAAAACACAGGTTATCATAGATTTAAACCTAAATACACAGCTATTTGATATTAAATACGAAAGGACTAAAAGCTTCGGTAAAAAAAAGATTGTCAAATTAGAGAAAAATTAAAATCCAATATAATGCTGTTTGAAGAGGCATGTTTGTAACATAAAAATAAGTACAGTTTGAGGTAAAAGAAGAAAATACACAATTTAAACACATGCATCAAATAACAAAGGTTCAAATTATATACAGTAAAAATAGATATAACTATGGGTCGAAAAATCCACAATCACAGAAGGAGATTTTATCATACCTCTTGTAGTAATATGAAGTATATAGACTACAATCATTACTCCTAACAAATAATTAGCAAATATGGAACACACGGGTGAATAAAACTGACTAATCTATTACAAGAATGAGAATTAAAAAACAGAGATGGTACAGAAAGCAAATATCAGAATGGAAAAGAGGGAACAATGCTACAGAGGCTGCAGAAATTCAATAGATATAAGGACATTATAGAAAATTTAATGCCTATAAATCTCAAAGTTTAGATCAAATAGGTAGATATCTATAAAAACATAACTTATTGAAACTGACCCAAGAAATAGAAAAGCTGAAGAACCCTGTAACTATTAAGAATAATTAAATCAGTCTAAGAGATAAATGGAGACATATGTACAGCTAGGGTAACTGAGGGAAAGGAGGGGTAGTAACGTTCTATTTCTTGACATGTTCTATTTCTTGAGACAGGGTCTCACTCTGTAGCCCAGGCTGGCGAACAATGGTACAATCATACCTCACTGCAGCCTTGAACTTCTGGGGTCAGGCGATCCTCCTACCTCAGTATCCTGAGTAGCTGGGATTACATGCATGCACGACCATGGCCAGCTACTTTTTTTTTTTATTTTTGTAGAGATAGGGTCTCACTATGTTACCCAGGCAGGTCTCAAACTCCTGGGCTCATGTGATCCTCCCATCTCGTCCTCCCAAAGAACTGGGATTACAGGCATGAGCCACCACACCTAGCCTCATAATTATTTTTTAAACTACATATTTACATTTCATGAACTTTTCCCTATTTTTAACATAATTTCTCATTGTGAAACAAAAAAAATTGGTATAACATTATCAATCTTATCAGTACAGAGCCACAATCCTTACAACAGTAAGTATAATTAGGACTTTACCACATATTTTTATTTATTTTGCTTGGAGAAAATGAACAAAAGTAAATAACCCAAATCATACTTCCAAACTGCCTTACCAGCACTGCTCCATATTTTTTCATCACAAGTAAAATAACCTGGGAGAGTAGCAAGTGCTCATGCTAAGTTTTACAAATCTTCCTAATGACCTAAACCCCTTCTTCAGTTTCCTGTATCTTTATTTTGGATAAACTATAACTACCACTGCCATCCAAAGAGAAAAAGGTAAACTCTAAATACCACCGCCATCCAAAGAGAAAAAAGTTAAGATAATTTAACCCTTTCTCTTTCTTACATTCTCTGCTTCCTACTAACAGAAAAGCTGGCTTCCTTGATTTCAAATTTAAAAATAAGTCAGGTCTTTAATTTCCAGCTAGAAGAGTGGTAAAGTCATAAATTCCAAGTCAAAAACAAGGATTGAGCATACCTGAGACCCTTCTTTTCCCACTAAGCCTTGCAAGCAAATCTCAGTGTAGAGAAAGGAAAATAAACTTTTCTCCTTTGGGGAAGAGGGACAGATATATTTTAAAGAACCAACAGAATCACTCATGTCTCCATTATTTAAGCCGATATCCACTTGAGGGGAACATACTATAATTAGAAATATAGACAGAATATATGTAATAAGTAAAATATATACTGTACTTACCATTTCCATTAATAGACAGATTATGGGTCTTGAAACTATCCTCAGCACTTTCCAAGGTTAGGGTAGTGTGAGCTAGCAAATTATACTTTACACCACTAATAGTAAGAAAGAAGACATGTTTTAAGTATTTTTGTATTTCTACTACTACACAAAATATTTGTATGTTCAACAACAAATAATAAACAACCTGATTTAAAGATAAGCAAAGGACGTGAATAGACATTTCTCCAAAGAGAGGACAAGATCCAGCATTACATTCTGACACATTACATTTCTCCAAAGAGAGAAATGTCTATTTCTCTTTTGTTGACAAATGGTCAACAAAACATAAAAAGATGCTCAGTATCATCAGTCATTGGGGAAATGTAAATCAAAACCACAATGAGATATCAGTTCACACTCATTAAGATTAGTAAAACAAACAAAAAAACAGTAACACATGTTAGCTGGTATGTGGAGAAACTAAAACCTTTGTACATTGCTGGTCGGAATGTAAAATGATACCACCTCTGTGGAAAACATTTTGGTGGTTCCTCAAAAAATAAGAAATAAAATTACTGATCCAGCAATTCTACTCTGATATATACCCAAAAGAACTGAGAGCAGAGACTCAGATATTTGTACACCTAAGTTCACAGCAGCATTATTGACAATAGCCTAAAGGTAGAAGAAACCCAAGTGTCTATCCAGGGATGAAGGAATCAACAAAATGTGGGGTAGGTGTGTGTGTGTGTGTATATATACACATACATATGCATAATGGAATATTATTCAGCCTTAAAAAAGAAGAAAATTCTGACATACTACGACATGGATGAATCTTGAAGACATTATGCTAAGTGAAATAAGCCAGTCATAAAAGGACAAACACTATATATGATTTCACTTATAAGAGGTACCTAGAGTAGTGAAATTCATAGAGATGGAATCTAGAATGGTGGCTGCCAGGAGGATAGAAGGAGGAATTAGTGTTCAATAGGTACAGAATTTCAGCTTGAGAAGATGAAAAACTTCTGGAGATGGAGGGTGGTGATGCTTGTACAACATGAATGTACTTAATGCCTCTGAATGTATATTCAAGAATGCTTTACTACAAAAAAGAAAAAATTTAGATATAATAGATGACATTTTTCAACGATGCAAGTTATTAACTTAGCAAGTTTATCTCTATACTTTGTCAATAAAAATCTGCAAATTATTTGTTTTAATTCACACAAATGTTTCTCTGAAGGGTCCCCGTTCATTTAATAAATATTTACTGAACACTTAAAATGTGCCAAGTCCAATGCTAGGTGATGGGCATTCAATGGTAAACAAGATCCAGCATTACATTCTGATGCAGGCAGAATGAAAAAAAAAGTAGGCAGAGGAATAAACCAAATACCAGCATTTGCAAGTTGGAATGCAACTTTTTCTATGAAAGAAACAAAGGAGATGAGAAAACTGAGGACCTGTGGTAGGTAGGTGAACTGGGGAAGGACTTTCTGAGGAGTTAACAGTTATCCAGTCATAAAAGAATCTAGCCAAGCAAAGAATGCAGGAAAACATTCCAAGCAGAGTGAGTATCTGCAAAGGGAGGGCTGAAGGAAAACCAGTGTGGCTAGTGCACAGCAAGCAAGCAGCAAGCATGGTGCAACGCAAGGCTGGAAATACAGGGAGTGATGAGCTCACCTGGAGGCTCTGTGAGCCCTGGAAGAGGAGTGGATTTAATTCTAAGTGTAATAGGAAAGTTGATAAAAAGTGGAATGATAGGGTCTGATTTATATTAATTTCCCAGGGACAAAGGCTGTCTTTTTGACCAAACTCTAGCCATGATCCTCTGAGTCCTTTACTCAACTAGGCCTCAACCTTGGCCTCTAAGGACCTGAACAAACACTAGCATTGTTTCTAGCAGCTCTAACCTGCATCCCTAAGATGTCTTCTTAAAGTGCCTGCTTGAGAAAACTCGAGGCTGACAAAATAATTTATTGTTTGTTCCAACCAAGAGCTGAAAACAGGGCCTTTCAGTCTTTCAGTCTCTGTGAGAAGGTAGGAGACTAATTTTGATAAATACCAGCTAGAGCACCCAGGTGGGTTCCACATGGACCAATCCCCCCTTCCCACTATCTGGAACTTTTCACTTAGCTAACTCTGAGCCTCACTCAACCTCTCCCAGTTTCCTCACTTTCCTTTAAAATGACCAGTTGTCTCTACACAAATCAAAGTTGAGTGCAATTCATGTGTGACTCTTCTTATTGTAATAGCACATTACTGATTCAAATCTGTCCTTACCACTTTAGCATCCAACTTTTTTTATTTTTCACAGAATGAATCTCCTTCTTCTGGTTATCTACATCAGAGATTTGAGGGTTTTATCTATAGTGTGAGAACATGGATGACTTCATTACACTCATTCCATTTTTTTCATTATAGTTCCCTTTGTGGTACTTACGTTAAAATAGCACTCTTACCAAAATACCTAGAATTTCTCGTGATGAATTTCATATCCTGGCACTTCGTGGTGATAAAAAGTGAATTTATGTTCAGTAACAACTGTATTTTCTTTTCTTTTTTTTTTTTTTTGAGACGGAGTCTCACTCTGTCACCCAGGCTGGAGTGCAGTGGCACAATCTCGACTCACTGCAAGCTCCGCCTTCCGGGTTCATGCCATTCTCCTCCCTCAGCCTCCCGAGTAGCTGGGACTACAGGCGCCCGCCACCATGCCCAGCTTATTTTTCGTATTTTTAGTAGAGACGGGGTTTCACCGTGTTAGCCAGGAATGGTCTCGATCTCCTGACCTCATGATCCACCTGCCTTGGCCTCCCAAAGTGCTGGGATTACAGGTGTGAGCCACTGCGCCCGGCAACAACTGTATTTTCTATGCTAGCAATCCTAATTTTTTTCATGATTTTCTTGATTTTATTTTTTTTCCAAATCAGTAAAATCTCAAAACATCAACGAGTATATTAAAAGAGAGAGACAAAGAGAGATATAGAAGACAGTGATGTCTGATGGGAATTTATATTAATTATGCTAGGTGTTATGTTTCATAAACCTCCTTTGTTTCTTACTAAATCCTTAATAAAGTCTCTATTACAAAAATACATATGCATACACTTAGTAAGTATGCAATGTATGCATGCACTTCAATAAATAATAGCATACTTCATAGAATACTACTCCCTTGGAGAATGCCTCTTGGCTTTTACTATATAGTCATTACAGACCAAAGATAACTCTCTATACCCAGTGTTTCTGGTCAATGTTTATATAGGAAAATTTATGTTTCTGTCTCCAAATTTCAACATAACATTTTAAACAAAACAATGCATGAGTACATTTTCGAGTTACATTCTGAATTGGTATAATGTCAGACTCACACTTAGGCTTTTCAAAAGTTCACTATATATCAACAAATCTTAACTGCTGCTAGAACTAAGAGAGGGACAAGTGGCCATTCTCTGCTATTATTCATTTATTCTGAACAAGTTTCTACAGTGCCTTTCACAATAAGCTCTTATTTTTCCCTATTGTTCACATAATGAATCCCCAAAAAGTTGAAGTATTAAAGAAAACTGTGGAGAAAGAATCAAAGTAGGCTGGGCATGGTGGCTCACGCCTATAATGCCAGAACTTTGGGAGGGTGAGGCAGGAGAATTGCTTGAACCCGGGAGGCGGAGGCTGCAGTGAGCCAAGATCGTGCCACTGCACTCCAGCCTGAGTGACAGAATGAGACTGTCTCAAAAAAATAACTAGAAGGGGGTTTTAAATTGATAACACATTATAACGTTTCCCACTTAAAATAATGGGAAGTAGACTCACTGTGAGCACTTTAGGGCAGAATATGTTATTTTCAAGAAAAGATTATCGACAATAAGTGGGGTGCCTTCATTTGCCAGGCACTGTTCCAGGTGTTAAAACGACAACAATCAACGAAATAGGGGAGGAGAATGTATAAATATGTAAACATACATTTATATATTTATCTATTTTTCCTCTCTTATACAGGAAGAAAAATAGATAGAAAAATATATAATTGTATCAAGCCCATGAAGCTAAGTAAAGCATGGTGAAGGGATTAAGGTCAGGGGAGAGTGCTATTTCAGATGGCCAAAGGAGAAGAAGGCCTATCTGCAAAAGTAACACTTGAGTGAAGACCTGAAAGGAAGAAAGGAGCCACAAGAAGAACAGAAGGAAGAGTATTTCAGGCAGAGGACAATACATATAAAGGCTAAGGTGAGTACATGCTAGGTGTGTTTGACAAACAAGGAGGTCACTGTGACTGGAGTATAGTGAGGGAGGCAGAGTGATTTGAGATGTCCAAAAGGTAAGTAGGGGGCAGACAGACAGACAATACCACAGTCCTGGTGGGGCACGGTAAGGAACACTGGATTTGGAGTGAGATGTGCAGCAAATGGTAGGTTCCGAGCAGAGTCATGTGCTATGATCTGACTTGTATCAAAATTAAATGATTCCTCTGGCTGCTGTGTGGAGAACAGACTACAGAGGCCAGGAGTGAAAAATGAAGACACCAACTAAAAGGCTACTGCAACTGACCAGGCAAGAGCTGTTGCAGGCCTGGAATAGAACGGTGGTGGTGGGGTGGTGAGAAATGGTTGAGATTCCTGATATATTCTCTAAGTTTCAGTGCAAAGACAGGATGTGAAAGCAGGGAGAGAATTAAAGACATCTCCAAGGCTTCTGGTCCAAGCAACTAGAAAAATGGAATTGTTATGAACTGAAATGAGGCTGACTGAGAAACAGATAAAGGAGGTAAGAATTCAGTTTGGGGCAAATAAGTTTAAGACTGTTTTTGATATCTAGGTGCATTATTTGAGATTGTTTTCAGTATCTAGATGCATCCAGGCAACTGGATATATGAGTCTGGAGTTAGAAGAGAAATAGGTATTGGAGATATAAATTTGGGAGTTATCAGTATATACATGAAATTTAATGAAAGTTAGTTAGGTGAAGTCCAAGGACCAAATACTGGGACACAAGCACTCCATTAAATGAAGAGCAATGAACAAAGGAGACAAGCAATGAATAAATGGTTACTGAGGTGGAAGAAAAATCAAGAAAGTGGTATTCTAGACGCCATATAAAAATAGTATTTCAAGGAGAGTGATCAATTGTGTTAATACCAAAAGGTCCAGGAAGAGGAACTCCAATAACTGACAATCAAATGTGGCAACATTAGATCACTGTTGACCTTGACGAGACTAGTTTCTGTAGGATGGGATGGAGGTAACATGAGGTAAGCCAACTGAAATGGTTCAATAGAGAATGGCAGAAGAGGAAGTAGATAGGAATATAAAAAATTATTTTCCATGAAGGATAGTTATGAAATAAAAAATTATTTTCCATGAAGGATAGTTATGAAATTGAAGGTATTTCAGCATGTTTATAAGTATACAGAAATGATGCCGTACTAAAGTTGGTGATGTAGGATAGGTGGGGAGGAAACATGCAGGAGCCTACTGTGAGTAACTGAGAAGTGGGCTCTAGCGCACAAGTAGACAGGCCTTAGATGAGGTGAAGGTAGTTCACAAGAAAGGAAACAGCAAACACTGAGGCAGATGTGGGTAGGCTGGCAGATTTGGTGGATGGAGGATATTTTTCTCTTCCAATTACTTCAGTAATACCAATGACATATGAAACAAAGTTATCAGCTATGAATGAGGGGCAGAGAGAGGATATTGGCAGTTAGAGAGGAGAACATGTGAAATACTTACCTTGAAGAGAGGTAAAGTAGAAGACTATAGAAACAGTAGAATTGCTCGGTCATACTGGGAACCCACTTAAGGTTAGGGATTATGTATCTCAAGTGAGACCAGGAAGTATAACTGTTTTTCTCTTGCTTCTTCATCTATTCCTCATGAGTACGAGTGCAAAGGAACTAAAAGTAGGAGTTAACCAAGGTTGGAGTTTTTCCAAGGCAAGTATGACAAAAGAAGAGAGATGCTAGGAAAGGATAAAACAGTAAATTATGTATTCTAAGCTAAGTTGGAGTCAGAGTACTGAAGGGAAGAACCTGGAAATGTGGGATATGGTGGAGAGAGTGGGATACCTACTACAAAGATTACAGAGGACATGCAATTACTAGTAATGACAAGATCTAGAATACAATCACGGGGTAGATGGTTGAATTGAAAGAGGACAAGATTACTGGTGCAAGGTCATGAAACTGAGAGGTCAAGGTATTAGATGGGCTAATACTTGTATTATTCTTAACACACGTATGTTAAGTCTATCAAGAAAAATATCTGAAATGGTAGGATACAGAAATAAAGACAATGAAGACACTTTTGGGTTTTATTTTTAGGACTGACACTGTAATTTATTCTTATTGGCCACTAAAAACATTTGAGTAGTCTTCACTTTAGGAAGAGTCATTTCAATATACTGTAGAATGTTAAACACTATTAGTGTGCACAGGAAGAAACTATGTTATTCATTGCATCTGTACTGGGTGCACTGGAGAGATGGCATGTTTAGAAGGCAATTTGTGTGGCAGAATTGACTAAAATTATGTGATAACCAAACTATATGTTTAAATTTTTTTCTTGGGCCTTAAGAAATGATTGTGACTAAGACATCTTTTAACTACTTTAAGGTTAATATGTAAGATATTTACCTCTATTTCCAATGAATGACACATAACAATATGAAAAAAATTATTGATAGCCTCCTCTAAAAACAGTTAAACTATGATATAGCCCACTAACAGATAATGTGGCCATCAAAATAATTATGTAAAGACTCTGTAATAAATTCTGAAGAAAGTTGAATGTGCAGTATAATTATTGTCTAAATATCCCCCAAAGCTAGACATTTAAAAACCTGAAAGTAAAATATCAGCTTGAAATGATAAAAATTATTTGGTTTAGAAACTACGAGTAACTTTTTCCTTCTAGGTTCTATTTCCAAGTTTCTATTATTTTTCTTTTTTTCTTTTTCTTTTTGTATTTTGAGACGGAGTCTCTCTCTTGTTGCCCAGGTTGGTGTGCAATGGCTCAATCTCAGCTCACTGCAACCTCTGCCTCCTGCGTTCAAGCGATTCTCCTGCCTCAGCCTCCCAAGTAGCTAGGATTACAGGCGCTCACCACCACGCCTGGTTAATTTTTTGTATTTTTTTTTAGTAGAGACAGAGTTTCACCATGTTGGCCAGGCTGGTCTCAAACTCCTGACTTCAGGTGATCCACCCACCTCGGCCTCCCAAAGTGCTGAGATTACAGGCATGAGCAACTGCACTGGGCCTATTATTTTTCTAACCAAATGATTAATGTGGTTAAGTGGTAACAGGATGAAAACCACCCCTAGGAATCAACTGCATGCAAAGCATTGTCATACTTCATCTCTATGTGCAGTTTAAGGCACTTTGACAAGCAACATCTTTTTTAAGGTTCAAAAAAACTGCTCGAGGTAGGCAGGGCAGATATTTTGTTCCACATTTTCAGATGAAGAAACTGATGTTCAGAGAATGTAACTGACTTGCCTGTAGCTTGCAAGAGGTATACTGGAAAGAGAGCCCCAGTGTATCGTATTGGCTTTATAACTCACTGAGCCCCAGTGTATTATATTGGCTTTATAACTCATTAATAAATAGTTTAAGATACTTTTTCCTTTAAAACAAATAATGACTACATTTTACTAAACTGGAAGAATTTTGAGTGCAGGGACCTATTAACCTTTGAATTTACCAAATGACATAATTGCTGAATAATCATTTCTACAATGATTTAATTAATTATATATAATAGTTGAGTAACTTCTTAGTTATGTTTACAAACTGTATCATCTGTCACATCACCAAATCTTTAACAGTCTCGTTCCTCAAAACATAAATAATCCATGTATTCTGAACAAGTGTTTGGATGCATGTTTTATAACTTTAATCATATTTAAAATGTAGTATTATAAAATGTAGTATTAGTGGCTTATTTTTAAGAAACAATACATCTTTTGTCAAGTAAATAATCATGCTGAATTTTACCAGTTTTCACACGATGATTGCTTAAAATGATGTATATTTAAAGAATAATGTACTAAATAGTTATCAAGGAACATAAAATAGTTAATTCAGCTATTAGATGCACTGGGAAAATCTGGCTAAAGGAATTTTAGTAAGCTAAATTCCACAATAAAATGAATAGATGAATCTTATCAGGGAGCTTACTAAAAATTACCAAAAATGTTCACTGTCTTCTTTCAGATCAAACAATACTTTATGATATTTCAAGTTGCTTCATTTTTAAAACATGACTAACTACAATGCCAGTGCTTCCAAAACCAACAGTGACCTCACTTTTAAAACATTCTTGTCAGGATAACATTTTCTTTCTAAAACATCACACTCATTCCTTTTAGCCAACCCTAATTTTGAGTTCCCAAAAGTTTAATCAGCTACATTTTTTTTTCTATCAAATAGGGCAATTGTTACAACATTTTTTTGGAGGAAGGGGAATGTTATTAAAAAAAAATGGCTTAAATGGTAGTCTAAAAAATGCACTCTTGTCAGGAAGAACGGCTATATTTGGTCACATATCATATTACTAGGGAAAATTTTATCATTTTATATGTGTCCATTTTGGTTAAAGACTAAAAGCTGTATTAGAAATCTTCGCATTGACCTAGATCACTTAAATATACAAAATTGATCCCCTTATGCATCCTGATTTTTAAACTCCTACCATGGTGCTGAAGTGGTCAGTTAAGGAAGCATCAGGTAAGAGTAGTCCCGGGCTATGAGTTAACCTAGTAGACTCTGGGTTCACACTACAGTGTCAACAGAATGCTGGTATTACAAGGACATGATTTGTGAAATGTTGTAAAAGGTTTTATTGTATCTTTTGACCCACTTTAATGGTATCAAATAAACAAATGGCACGCAAGATTCAAGGGGGAAATGTTTATAAAGAAAATTCGTGTTTGAACTCAGAATAAACCAAATAGAATGAAAAATTCTGAACAGGAAAACAGACACTCCAAGATCTATATGGCTGTCTATTAAAAAGAACTTAATGCACAATAATTTATTCTCAAAAATTCCTCTAGGCTTCAAAAAGAAATATAGATTAAATATAATTTCTTTCTTTCTTTTTTTTTTTTTTTTTGAGACAGGGTCTCACTCTGTCATCCAGGCTGGAGTGCAGTGGCATGATCACAGCTCACTTTAGCCTCAACCTCCCAGGCTCAGGTGATCCTCCTACTTCAGCCTCCTGGGTAGTTGGGACTACAGCTGGGGCTGGGTTTTTGTATTTTTAGTAGAGAAGGGGTTTCACCATGGTGCCCAGGCTGGTCACGAACTCCTGGGCTCAAGCAATTTGCCTGCCTCGGCCTCCCAAAATGTTGGGATTACAGGTATGAGCCACTGCCCCCAGCCTTAAATATAGTTTCTAACATCATTTAAATGACCTCCTATAAAATTATAAATGTAGTTTAAATGAAAAAATGTGGCTACATTTTATAATCCTATGTCAAGTTTCTAAACTGTGAAGTTTTAGCATGAGTTTAAAAAAAAAAGCCCTAGAAAAAGCACTGGTCTGGGAACAGTAAAAATAGTAACCATAATGGTAACAGAGCTTACTACAAAATGCTTCCTTTATAAACCAAATCCATGAATTATCTTATTAAATCTCGTAATTATCCTATGGAGTTGAGATATTATTATGTATTATTATTACAGAAGGAAAAACAAAAACTCAGAGTAAATTAATCTCTCTTGGGTCACAGAAGTAATAAATTACAGAAATTAAAAATTGAGTATTCATGGACAAACAATGAAGTTTTAAACTGTTTAAGAAGCACATTCATTGTTTTTACATGCTGTAAAGGTGCATGAAACTCCAAAAATGTTTCTGAAAAGCTTTCTAAAAAGAAGTGATTGTGTATGAACATCTTTGCCTTTCATATGAGAAAGTGAGGGGAAAATGTAACTTTTCTACCATATAGTGTAGTTGGATAAAAGACACTACTGGTCCTGTCATTTTTAAAATAGGAGCTTTGCTACTTAAAAAATGTAAAACTTATTGAACTGGGTAATTATCTCTAAGATCTCTTTCTGCACTAAAACCTGCTTAAACCTGGAAATAGAATTGTTTATCTAATCATTAAAAAGAATTAATTCCACCACCTTATGACTGAATTAAAGTACCTTCCAGCAAATCCTTGATATAATATTAATGCAGAAAAGTTTTAAAGATGGTCTTAGATCTAAGAGAAGAAAATTAAAGGTCTCTTGCCTCCTTTTAAATGACATTTACATTGGAAAGACATCTTCTATGACTGTTTTTCAGAATGTAGACTGGGACTGATTCACGGGTCATGAAATCAATTTAATGATTTACAAACAGCATTAAAAAAAACTGAAAGCAAAAGAATAAGAAAATGCCTGATAATTATATTGTAAATAGTAAGGGTTAAGAATTACTTCATAAAATCTATCTGCTTACATAACTGTGCACTCAGTCACGATGTAAAATGTATTTTTTTAGCATGAGCATCAATCCAAAGAGATTGAAAGACACTATGCTAGAGTGCCAAAGTATATTTTGCATGTAATATATATCACATGAAAAGAGTAATTTCATTAAATTCTGATGACTGGCATTTCTAGGATCTATACCTAAAATATTTTGCTTTTTATAATTACAGTAAAATTACTGACATGCTGAAGAGCCAACTCGACGAAACATGCAAAGAAATTCTAGGAATGCAGCTTGATCAACAGTGTTCCAAAGAAACATCAACATAAAACTATTTGTGAAGAAACAAATACAATGTTTAAAGAAGGTATCTGAAGGAAACCACGCTCCTTGGAGAAATGGTGTTTCCAAGTCTTGGCAGAAAAATACAAGGTGAAAGGGGAACATCTTACTGTGTCAGAAAGCAAAAAAGCTATCAAAGATTAGGTTGTGTCAAAGGATGTAGAAGTCAGCTTAACGGTTTCCCACTGATCAAAGATGAACAACTTGGGCATCAAAGAGAATGGCAGATTGAAACACAAACATTATAAAAATTCAAGGCTGGGTGTGGTGGCCTCATACCTGTAATCCCAGCACTTTGGGAAGCTGAGGCAAGCGGATTGCTTGAGCCCATGAGGTTGAGATCAGCCTGAGCAATGTGGTGAAACCCTATCTCTACAAGAAAAATACAAAAATTAGCCACCAGGCATGGTAGCATGTGCCAGTAGTCCTAGCTACTCAGGAGGCTGAGGCTGCAGGGAGCTGAGAGCTCCACTGCACTCCAGACTGGGCAACAGATCCAGACTTGTCTTAAAAAAAAAAAAAGAAAAAGAAAAAGAAAAGAAAAGAAAATTCAAGAGTTCAAATAAAACAACACTGATCACCTCCATGATTGCTAGGGTTTCAACTTAATATTCTAAAATCTAGTAAACGGAAGAATCAGGCATTTTTTTCTTCTGTTTCCTCCACCAATGTTATTGTAGTTGTATCCAGAGAGTTTACAAGGACACGTTCTTTGCAAGAATTCCAGTTTGGAAGAAAAGAATGCAGGACAGATATACAAAGTCACCAAATTATAATCCATAATGAAATAATAAATGATTATCCTTGGCTGTTAAAAACCATAGATAAAAGACTGATAGAGAACTTTATATTGGATGGGTTAGGCTGGCAACACCTAACATTTTAACATCATCAATTTTAACATTACTGAAAGTGGGACAAAGCCTCCTACTAGAAGCTAGTAGGAAGTACATCTAATAATATGAATATTATTCCCCTAAAAGAGAACTGAATCTAATCAGTCCTCTAGATCTAACTGCGAGGTTATAGGAAATACAAGGGCCAGAAAAAAATGTAAAAAAAGACCACAAAGATGCAATCAACTAAATTCAAAATATGGAAAATTCTACAAGACCTAGTCTCTTCAATAAATAATGACAAGAAAAAAAGAGGACAGGAAATTGTAGTAGGCTAAAAGAAACTTAAAAGACTCACTTTAATGTAATATTGTAGACCTTGTTTGGATTCCGATTTGAACAAATCAAAACAGTATTTTTTCCAGAATTGGGCAATATGAATACAGACTGGATATTAATGACTTATTTTTTATTTAGTTAAGTATGATAATGATAATGTGGTTTTGTTAAAAAGAGATAAAATATTTTCTATAAGAATAAAGCATGACATACATACAGCAATTTAATTAGTAGATTAATATGTAAAGAAATACTTTGACATATACATAGTTCCTTTCCAACAACATTTCATTTTTTTGGTAGATACAAGCTGAGCATCTCTGCTCTGAAAATCTGAAATGCTCCAAAATCTGAAACTTTTTGAATGCCTATATGACACCACAAGTGGAAAATTCTACACCTGACTTCATGTGATGTTTGAAGTCAAAACTCAGTCAAAACTTTGTTTTATGAACAAAATTATTAAAAATATCATGGAAAATTACCTTCAGGCTATATGTATAAGGTGTGTGTGTGTGTGTGTGTGTGTATACATGTATGTATATAAAAATTAATGTAATGTTTAGTCCTGGGTGCCATCCCTAAGGTATCTAATTATGTATATACAAATATTCCAAAATCTGAAAAAGTCCAAATCTAAAACACTTCTGGTCTGAAGGCTTTCAGATAAGGGATATTCAACTTGTATTAGAATTCCAAATCACTAAAAACACTCTCACCCAACTTCCTACCTTTAAAGGAGGGTATTAAGGATACCTCAGTTGAGTAAATGTCAAACAACTAAGTTTTGTTTTTGTTTCCTGATGTTTTTCCATTTATAAAGTAAACATACACTTCACATATAATACTTTAAAATATCACAAATGTATAATTATGTCACCATAAATACAGTATTAAAAACTTACAAAACAGCAGAGCTGAGGAGCAAGCACATTTCATCATCCTCTTCTTGAAGCACTGAACTTATTTTCTTTCCTGTAGCTTTACTTATAGATGTCTTGAGTTTCTTAGCTAGCTTTTTTGGTGTGTTGGTTATAGAAGATTCTTCTGTACAGCAACTATACACTTCCACCTTTATCTGAAAGTCTGGCCCTGCTTCATTACTAAAAACAAGGGCATTCATAATGTTGGAAATTTAACTCAGTAGAAAATAAAATTATACCATTCTTTTATGTTTATGTAACATTTAAAATCAGCATTTAACATCAGGAAAATGCAAATTAAAACCACTATGAGATACTACTTCACACCCATAAGGATGGCTATTATCAAAAAGGCATGAGATAAATTGTTGACGAGGGTATGGAGAAAAGGGAACCCTAGTACACTGCTGGCGGAGTCATTATGGAAAGCAGTATAGAGGTTCCTAAAGAAATTAAAAGGGAAACTACTACATGATCCAGCAGTCCTTCTTCTGGGTTTATACTGGAAGGAGTAAAATCATTACCTTGTGAAGTTATCTGCACTCCCCTGTTCATTGCAGCATTATTCACAATAGCCAAGATATTGAAGAAACTATAAGAATGCAGCATTATTCACAATCGCCAAGGTATGTCCATCAATGGTAAAACAGATAAAGAAAATAAGCTACGTGTGTATACACACACACAACGGACAACCATTCTGCCTTAAAAAAGGAGATCTTGCCATTTGCTACAACACGGATGAACTTGGAGGATATTAAGTTAAATAAGCCAAGCATAGAAATGAAAATATTGTGTGTTCTCAATTATATGTGGAATATTAAAAAAAAAAGAGCTCAAAACCATAGAAATAGAGAAAAAAACAGTGGTTACCATGGGCAAGGACTGGGGGAGAGGAAATGGGGAGATATAGGTCAAAGGACACAAAATAGCAGATATGTAGGATGAATAAGTTTAGAGATATAATGTACTGTAAAAACATGAGGTGAATGTTAATCAAATCATGTTAGAGATTTTTGTTAAATAGATTTTAGCTGCTTTTGTCACAAAAAGTAACTATGTGAGATGATAGATGTTAATCTGTTTGATTATAGTAACATTTTACTATTTATATGTATCCTGTAACATCGTGTTATAAACCTCAAATATACACAATAAAATTTCTTTTTAAAATAAATAAAAGACTGCAGGGGAGCCAAGAGAAGATTGCAAAATCTCCTCAATAAGTGCAAGGTTTATGGGAAAAAAAATAAGAATTTGGAATAAGTTTATGTTAATGTATGTTAATGAGACAGAATCTCTCAGTGTTTATTTAGCATCTAAATGGCCTGAGAGAGTTACCGCAACTTTCACAGATATCAGCTTCAAAACTAGGGCAATCTTAACTCAATTTAACCAATATATACATAGGCATGTTAAAGAAAGCATAAAATACCCTGGTCATTTTGTTGCCAATACTATTTCTCCTTGTCATTCCTTTAATACATTTTTAAGGTATTTATATGTGTAATTTTCTGAAATGACTGTTCTTCCAAAAAAAATCTGCTAAACCTTTAGTTTTCATTTCTTCTTTATAAAGAGTCACTTATAGTGCACTCGTCACTGTGTCCCCTGACCCTCCCCCACTTTTGTACCTAATAACTATAAATAACATTTTACTATCTGGTTATACAGGGGAAAAATGTACTTCAAAGCATGAACTCCTTGAGAATGGGTGCTGTCTGGGTGATCTTTGTGTTCTTAATCTAGTATTGGCCTGGAATGTAGGAGGTATTAGATATATATTTATCAAATAAATACGCAAAATTCTGCAATTTTAGCAAATGTTAAGATTGGCTTTACCCTTTTTCAGACACAACGAACTACCTTTGAACTACCTTTAGCATTAAAGACTGTGGTGGTGTTACTAACAATAAAATATACTTAAGACTGCAAAAGAGGTCCATCAGCAGCAGATGTTACTTGCAGATGGAAGATCCATCAGTTTCAGAGATTTAAAAAATGGAGCACAGACTTTTAAAGATATAAATGGCCAATCTATAGTTTGAAAAAATCCCAGGAATAACTTCCAGCTATTTTTATAGTTTATTATTTGGCAACTTTTAAACATGCAGTATTCCTGGTAATGACTAACAAATGTCAATATTTAGAGAAAAACCAGAGATTCATAAATATTGAATACTTATTAAAAACAATCATCATAACAAAAAGCACATTTTTCAACATGTAGAACATTTGTCAGCAGTTATTTTTAGTACAATTTAAAATATTTACAGAATTCTCAAAAAATTATAAATCATGTGTTGTCTTCCTCAGTAACTTCTATTGTTCTTTCCCTGGAAAAAAAAGTCTGATTTTTGTCTCCATGATCAAAACAAACAATAGCAAAATGATGTGAAGAAAAGGGCCCATCAACTGGTAATTTTGGCAGAAAAAAAAGTTCACTAGCAATAGTTGATAATGGAAATAAATGTATTCAGATAACCAAGAAAAAAGTAATTTTTTTAGCCTCAATTATATAAGCATTTGGGGATATGTTTTGGATCCTAAATAAATTCCTTTGGTTCAATACAGCTTGTAAGAAGGCCTGAATTACTACTTATAACTCAGAACAATGCATTTTATTTTTCCAGGCTATACTATTACTATGAGACACTGGACCAGAAGCTACAAAATATGGTTTACTATAGGTTTTTTTAATGTTATGTGAGTGGCAAAACTAGGCCTCTAAAATCTCACCTGTCTAGCTCCATAGCTGAAAATGGCAAAAACCATGCACATGGATTTTTATATTAATAGTTAGTAGCTATTAACATTTAGATCTAAAGATCGTGTCTTTAAAAGTCTAAAATACAAATCCCACACTGATTTAGGCACATAGAACCTTTGAAGGAGGGCAGGAAAAACTATGTTAGTTAAAAATGATTTCTATGGCTACCCAAGGAGTTCCTTCTTGTTCTGTATTATGACCACAATAAAATGAGCCTGTAAAAGAGCAGGGACAATAAAAACAGCCCTGAGATCACCCATTTTTTTTTATTGCTTTGAAGTACATGAAAGAAGTGCACCATAAGAAAAAGAACACCCCAAAATTTCAAAGTGCTCTTCCTATATAGCATGTACTTCAGGACTATCTTGTAAATAAAGTTGCTATACTATTTTAGTATTTCTGCAACCAAATATCCTACATGAGATAAAAATCCTGTTTTATGCTTAAATTCTCTCTATATCAAATAACATTACAGGATATTCTGTTGTATGCATAGCTTTGTTAATAACTGAACTATATTTATTAACAATTTAAAAATGGGTCATATCTAATAAGTCAAATATTTACTGCTAATAGTAATTACAAGATTTCCATTTTTATTTCACATCAGAAAACTGCAGATAGAGAAATGGACTTCTTCTGAACAAAATGATTTTTAAAATCATATTAAACATTTAAAGATCACTTAAACATTTAAACATAAAATGAATCCAAAGAACCAATAATAAGAACTTTCTTTTAAAAAAGAAGAATTTTAAATTATTTTTATTCTCTGAAGATTAAAAAATACTTACAATATGGTTACATTTTCAAAACATATATCTGTGATTGTTTTATCCACATTCACCACATCAGTATCAAACACATTAGCTCCCATTTTGAATAAACAAAAAATGGCATAGCGTCGTGATCCTGGAGGAAAAATAACAACATATTAAGCAACAATCCATGTAATAAATCATTGTTAAAATCTACTTGAAAATAAATATTAGGTTAAATATTATTAATAGATTCTTTTCATACATTGTATACTGTAACCCTTAAGTCTTACAGTGACTGTTCTCCCAGTATATAGGAATACCTTACTCAACTAGAACACAATTAAACAAGGAAGCAAAAAATAAAGTTAAATATACAGGCCTCTCAGCAGCCTAAAGAAACCACCAAACTCATAAATTTTATTCCTATTAAACTTCTTAAGCTTTAATTAATAGTAAACTTTATATACACACATGCGCGGGCATGCAAGCGTGCACACACACACTACTACTACCGCTGTCATTTTGGTTTCCAAGTCTATTTAAGAAAAAGATGTTTTTTATTAGAAGAGGTTAAGAGTAGGCACATTAACGACAGCAAAATATTTTCCACCAAACTAACAGCAAGGGAGGAAACCACAAGAAAAAAAAAAACAAAACAATAAAATAGACATGAGAACACAAAAAACATAGCTGCTGGGCCTTTTGATTTGGTGATGTTTTAAAAAGTATTAGGTGATTAAAAGGCTAAATCCTCATTATTGAGAAAATGTAGCTCTTCAGAAAAACTTACTCTCTTTAGTAATCAGAAAGCTTTACTTAATTCCCACATGTATTCCTTTGTAAAGTAAATTATATTTCCTAATTGAATAATAAATACTAACCTGATTTTAAATTCTTCATATAAAACTAATTGTGCTTAATATGATTCAGTTTTTAAAGTACAAGGAACAAAGCTATCACAATAGACAAGAAAGATAAAGTATTATCATATCTTTCCTGCTTTGCCTCTAATAGCTAGAAATCATTCGAGGTTAATTTCCATGACCTAAGCAATACACGGATTTGTAAAGACTGTATAAAACCATAAAATATTGAAGGAAAAAAAATCAGATCAAGCTAAAAATCTTTCCCTATTTCATCCTGTTAAATAACCTGAAGTAATGAAATAAGGCAGAAAAATCTTCCAGATTCTGGTCAAATACAAGAAATGTTGGCTTTACCTTTATTCGCTAAACATTTTCTTTTGTTCCATATTTCCCTTCCCCCGTTCCCACTCTGAACCCGGTACTTACTGTCCTAGCACTGGTTCCTATCAACAACTAAAAGTACACTACATATGCACTATATTAATTAGTATCAAGTGACTGCAACATATTTATATTAAAAATCAGAAAACAGTTCAAGATGCTGCTTATTCTTTCAAATGACATCAATTTATTTCAGCAAGGAAGCAGTCTTTTTTCTCAATAATCAGATACACTACATACTAAAGAAAACATTTCAATTACAAATTAAAATCATACATACGTTCTTTATTGCTGAAGTGATCAGAGTCTTTCCACATTAGTGGTATTCGAATATCTATAAAGAAGGGAAAAAGAAATGACAAGTAATAATTTTGGTAAGTTTTATTCTTTACAGTGACCTGAACCTCTGCATTCCATAATAATTCTGACTACTATAGCTAAAATAAAGTGTTATTATTTAACAGCACATTTTCTAGACATTGTTTATAGTTTGTACTTTTAAAAAGTTAATCTGTCAAATTTTTGTGAGGTAAAAATATATTCTTCTTATAAAAATAACTGTTCTAACTCCATATATATCTGTTTCTTCCTTACTGATTAATTATGACATCTTTATCATATATGCCATTCTGAGTAAATGTCTGTTCCTTGGCTATACTTTTATGAATTTGAATCATTTATTAATTACTGTCTAGCTAAATACCAACACCATACTATTTTTCTTTTTTTTGTTTTTTGACAGGGTCTTGCTCTGTTGCTCAGGCTGGAGTGCAGTGGTGCCATCATGGCTCACTGCAGCCTTGAACTCTAGGGCTCAAGCAAACCTCCCACCTAAGCCTCCCATGTAGCTGAGATTACAGGTGTGTGCCATCTGTTGCCCAGGCTGGAGTGCAGTGGCACAATCTCAGCTCACTGCAACCTCCGCCTCCTGGGTTTAAGTGATTCTCCAGCCTCAGCCTCCCGAGTAGCTGGGACTACAGGCATGTGCCACCACGCCTGGCTAATTTTTTTCTATTTTTAGGAGAGATGGGGTTTTACCGTGTTAGCCAGGATGGTCTTGATCTCCTGACCTCGTGATCCGCCTGCCTAGGCCTCCCAAAGTGCTGGGATTACAGGCGTGAGCCACTGTGCCTGGCTGCCTAATTATTATACTTTTTTTTTTTTTTTTGTAGAGACAGAGTTCACTATGTTTGCTAGGCTGTTCTTCAACTTCTGGGCTCAAGCAATCTGCCCTCCTTGGCCTCCCCAAGTGCTGGGATTACAGGCATGAGCCACCATGCCTGGCAACACTATACTACTGTTAACTATTGTACCTTTATAATATACTTACTAATTTGTTAGATATATTTCTTTTTTGAAAACACCTTACTCTTACTTGCTAATTTCTTTATATAAATTTTAGAACAAATTTTGTCAAAATTTCCCTTTCCCAAGTGTTTTATTAGTATTCCATTATCCAAATTAATTTGGGAACTGATAACTTTATAATATTCTATCTTTACACAGAATAGCATAATAATTTGTCTTTACATTTTTATTAAGGTTATTCTTGAATAATTAATATTTTTGTTTTTTGGAGGTTTTCTTGTAAAGGGTATCTTTTTGCTATTATATTTTCTAATTAGTTATTGTTGATTTTAAGATAAACTACCACTTTTTGTATATTTATCTTGAATCCAGCCACTTTTACTGAATTCTTTATTCATTCAAATAGTGTTGCAGTAAATTCTCTTAAGTTTTGTAAGTCTACAATCTATTACCTTTTTTTTTTTGAGACAGCGTCTTGCTCTACCACCCAGGCTGGAGTGCAATCGTGCGATCTCACTGCAACCTCCATCCTCCCCTACCACCCCTGCCCCCGGGGTTCAAGTGATTCTCCTGCCTCAGCCTCTGGAGTAGCTGGGTTTACGGGCATGCACCACCACACCCGGCTAATTTTTTGATTTTCAGTAGAGACAAGGGGTTCACCATGTAGGCCAGGTTGGTCTCGAACTCCTGACCTCAAGTGATCTGCCTGCTTTGGCCTCTCAGTGTGCTGGGATTACAGGCATGAGCCACTGTGCTGGGCCTACAATCTATTATCTTCAAACAGTATTCAATTTATCTATTTATTTACTTTTTAAATTTTATTATTATTATACTTTAAGTTTTAGGGTACATGTGCACGACGTGCAGGTTTGTTACATATGTATACATGTGCCATGCTGGTATGCTGCACCCATTAACTCATCATTTAGCATTAGATATATCTCCTAATGCTATCCCTCCCCCCTCCCCCCACCCCACAACAGTCCCCAGTGTGTGATGTTCCCCTTCCTGTGTCCATGTGTTCTCATTGCTCAATTCCCACCTATGAATTTATTTTCAATAGTTTCATCTTTTATTCTTATTATTTTAGCTAGAACTTCTAAAATTGTTAAATTATATTGGCATAACAGACATTGTAATTTTGTTTTTGATTTTTATGAGAATGCTTTATTGTTTTGTAATTATGACTTGGCTGATATCCTGCCAAAAAGTCCACTTCTTCTTGCTTGACCACAGCTGCTGACTCATTTCATTTCACAACTGTACTTATTCACAGCTGTTCTTGCTCTGTTAGGATTAACAGAGCATTAACTATTTACACTATCATGGGAGGGACATGGATCCTGACTTCCTTTGCTGTACACCCACAACCTGTGGGTCAGCCTTCTTCTATCCCATGCCGAAGAGAGGAGGGTAGATATCAGCTCCACAAGAGGAGAAGCTGGATACCGATTTTCCAGGTAGTCTTGTGCTCTTCAGATAGCAATGGATTTGTAACCCATCAACTCTATTTCTGAATTCAGCTTCCAATGATAGAACTTCCTTCCAGATTCTTGCAAATGGCTCAGTTTCAGTTTACAGTACTCTAACTTTTGTCTTGTTTTATGTCTTCATTGCCATTTTAATGGTAAACTGGGAGAGTCATAATAAGACAGCTGACTTGATGCTATCAAGTCCCAGAAGTCTGTCTATCATTTTCAAAAGTGAAAACTAAGGTACTTGGTGAACTGATTTGGTTTATTCATTAAATTAGTAGTCGGTGACTAAGCTAATTACCACAATATAATTACGGTAAATACTACATTTACATATGGTAAATATTTGATGTTCAGCAGAAATAATAAATTTGTGATTTAGTTTCATAAAGACCTGGCCAGGGAGTGATGTAGCTGGAAACAGAAAACCCAGGTATTTTCTGGCTATCAATGTAATCTCAAAACATTATGACACTTTGTTGCAAATATTCATCTTTACCAAAACAAAGGTCACATTTTCATCCCAATATCAAGAAAAAATGGATTTATAAAGGTGAATTCATTTTTTATTTTGTTTTTACAAACACATACAAGATATAATTAAGTCTAGGCAAAGATGAAAAGACATTACGTAAGTATCCGATTTTCTCAGAGTTTCCGTTCCTTAATTTAAAATTATCTTTTGGAAAGAAGAAACACATGCAGAAATAAGTTCAATTTTTACACTTGAGTAATTGTGGGCAGGAAATAGTTTTTTATTTTATTTTAAATACTTTTACTTGAGCCTCCTTCTAAATGTACAGTTATTTCTAATATTATGAATTGCTACAATCAATAAACTGTTATGAAATGACAATAGATGTTGACTATCATGGCATTTGAGTGTTTAACAGCAACTTAACATATGTCATTTATATACTGAGTGACACTATATTAGAAGCAAGAAATGAAGGATATGTTTAGTTTTTATAAAATCTCAAAGATCTATAGTAATTTATTCACAAAAAATTTATTGCACATAATGAACAATACCACATAAAAATACATGTTTGATAGCAAAAGAATACAAGGATAAAACATGTTTTGTTTTGTATTATAAAGATAAAAACAAATATAAATAACTATAAAACAAGCAACAAATTTTTACATATTCCAGTTATTTTCTGAAGAATATTTTGCTTAGCTGAATGCAATTCTTCAGATTTTGGCCATTTACGTACTTTGTAAAATGTAGGTCTACCGTCCTGTGTGATAATTTTGTTTATCCAGAAAAATATTACTAGAAACAGTTCCTTAGGTGACAGTACCTCAAATGTAGCAGCAGGCTCTCTAGTACAAGACTTTTAGCCAATAACCTAGTGATTACTTAAGGACCAATGGAGGTATATACTATTGTTTCAAAAATGTACTGATAAGAAAATATTTGTAAAAGTGCATTATCTGACTAGTGTACACACGAGTCAGCCATGTATTCATTTCAATCTGTGGCATCTCCAAGCCATTGTCTTTAGCTTCCTGAACACTTTGGAGAAACTGAGACTGCACAGCATAAGTGCCATCTAGTGGTGAAGGGTCTCCTAACTGCATTAGGAATTGAGAGAAAGGAAACATCCTTTCTAGTTGGAACGGTAACAGAGATTATATTATATATAGATAAACAAACAGATATTTAAGAGAATGTAGTTATTTCACAAGCTAATTGGGTGTCAGAAGCATGGGTTATGTTGCCAGGACAAGGAGAGAAATGTCTGCTAAAGGCGACAGCTTATGTTTAGGAGTAATAGAAGATATGACTAGAAAAAAAATTGGGTCAAAATGGAAGACTGGAGAAAAATGTTTGGTCTTTACACTACAGGCAATGAAGAGCAGCCATCCATCCAAGAGTCACTGAGCAATTACTATGAGCCAAGCACCATGCTAGCTTCTGGGTGTAAAGTGATGACCAAAATAAACATGGTACCAAAACCTCATGGAACTTCTGACCTAGACAAAACATTAAAAACATTATTATAGCTTCTGAGCAGGAAAGGAACAGAGTCAAAAGACTTGGGTTTGGCCTAGCTCAGTCACTTAGCCTCTGAGTCTGTAGAAAATAACAATTACTCTACCTATTTTACAAGACTGCACTAGGGAGAAAACTGTAGAGTATGTAACATATGAAACAGTTTTCTTAAACTCTAAAGTTCTATATCAATGTAGCATATAATGCTAAAAACAGTGTTTTAGAACAAATATTCTGATAGAGGTATGAAAAACAAAATGAAGAGAATGGAGACAGGGCATAAAACAAAATCCACCATGTAGTTACGTTATAGAATTTATTCAGCAATATAAAAGATTCATTTATAGCATACCTGATATGGCAATCTTTCCTTTACATGCTGTTCGTTCTTTACTTTCAAATTTCACATCACTGTCAAAACAAAAAAACTTATGGAAAAAAGATCTTTTCTAATAAGCAATTATTTTAACAGTGTTTCACAAATGTCAAAATATTAAAAGCAAATGCATATCCGTGAATAATAATGACTTCCAGTTAATGTAAACTATTTGACTCAAACTTTAAGATGTTTAGTCAAGTTAGCAAGTTAAAAGAAATATCTGGAGCCACTCCCGATTTTTCATATAAACTTTATATTCCTTGATGACTGTATACTGGTTACTTTACAATGAAAGACTTTTGTGATCATTTATATCTGTAAACAAGATGTACAATATTTGTCCATGTCCCCAGAAGTATAATACCTTAGATCACAATTTCATATATTACATTTCTAACTTATCAGATACAGTGGCCTGGAAAAGTTAATGAACTTCCCAATCATGCAATTTACTGTCCAGGAGTATCTTATCCTTATAGAATCTGATAAATATCCAAAAAAGTACCCTCTGCTGTATAATCATATTTAATATCATATTTAATTTCCCCAAGATTCCAAAGAACTAAGTGTATGTTAAAATAATAAATTAACAAACTAAGATGAGAAACAGAGTAGCTCTGTAGACAGAATAAAATTTAGAGAGAAAAATATTACGATTCAAAGGAAATTCTGGGGATATAAGACACTTCCAAATCTGAAGTTGGAATATTTTATTACCATGAAAACTTTAAGAAGATAGAAACAATCCAATCTTTGACTATTTCCCTAATATCCTAAATATTACGATTCAAAGGAAATTCTGGGGATATAAGACACTTCCAAATCTGAAGTTGGAATATTTTATTACCATGAAAACTTTAAAAAGATAGAAACAATCCAATCTTTGACTATTTCCCTAATATCCTATTTTCCTAATAAACTGCATTTAGAGATTAGCATTCCATTTACAGGGCAATATTTCTAAGAGTATTCTTTGTATTTTTCATTCCTATTTAATTTGGTCAGCTAATTAACTACCAGCTAATTTAATTTGTTACTTCAAATAAGTGATAAGATGGAAATTTTCCATTTGGATATTGTTTGATTCTAAGAAGGCTTCTGGAGAAAGACTGATGGGAGTTTGAAATGGGACTTTATCTAAGTAATTTTTGGAAGAGGATGACAGCAACACACTGCTTTCAGTAGGTCTGTTAAAAAGACTGCCAATATATTCATTATAATGCATCCAAATTTGAAAACAAATATATCATCCTGCTTTTTTGCCCCTTTACTGGATGAAACTCATAAATATATAGGTGACATATATTTTGAATGAGCTAAAATAATTTACTGATGTAAAGTTCATACGTTTATATGAGATATTTACATAGTATTTATAGAATTATACATTAGGTATGACTAAAATAATGCAGTATATTTAAAGCCATATATTCTCAGAATTCTACCTAATTACTTTATGGCCATATCTGGTATTAAAACTAGGGAATTCACTCAGTGAAACATACAAATACTCATTGTTTATTTCAAAATAAAGTTTCATTGAATCATAAATTTTAAAAAGAGTGAAGTTCAACATTTTATATTAGTTTGTAATGTCAGAGAAGATTATCTTGCTTATTACTTCCTCACAGAATAAAAAGTTCAATTCAACAGTTCAATTGAACAGTTTATTATCTATTTTGGTGAAATAATATATTGAAAGGCCCACTAGAAATCAAACACAAATCTCAATTTCTTCAAACTTGTGCAAGAAATACAATACAAACATAATTGGTTGGCATTTGAAAGTAATATTTCTGAAAATGCCTATATGAGCAATGCATAATATAAATTCTTAAAATACTTATTTCAGTGAAAAAGTACAAGGAAGCTCAAATATAGTGAATAACTTAAGTATTATGGAATAGGTCACAGATTATTCTAAAGTTGAGATCCATTAGGTATTATTAAATTGGATTAAATTTGAGGCTTTGGCAGGCGAATGAAATTCTGAAATACTAGAACTACCAAAAGCAAACTTGCTGAATATTTACCAAGAAAAATTTCCCCCTTCCAAACTACTCAACTACCTGGCAGAGTATAGCTTTCTCCCCTGCAATTATAAATTATTTGCATAGGCATTTCCAGGACTGGTAAGCAAACTTAGTATACACAAATATTGTCAAACTATAATATAAATTCAATTAACCATATAATCTTAGAGAATTAAGTCTGTCTTTTAAAAAATGAGAGGAGAAAAACTGAAGTAATTCAGCCTCAATTTTCTGAAGCTTGAATTACTTTCAATTCAAATAACAAAACTGCTATTTAGGGTACTAAAATGTGATGTTTTTCTAATTAATCCAAATTGACAATGAAATTGTTAAACACTATCTGTCTAATAATGTGCTACTGTAGCTAACAGTTTGCTTAATATAAATACTTGTTCAAAAATCTGCAATATTAATTCTAATTCTGAATGCTAGAATTAGAGAGCCAGCCTGAGGAAATAGCAAATAACCACAAAATTACCAAAACAAAGCACAGCTAGATAATAGTGGACCTTATCCATATGAACCCAGTCTAGAGAATTATTTTGGCTGAGATTTGTAAATGCTAATTTAAAAGACAGAGATAAACATATAAAAGACAAACTTAATTTTTATTACTTATATTTCTGCCTGTAGGTAAATAAAATGACCAAAAGAGGGTGCCAATCTGCCACATTGTTGCTCAAAAATTTGTATTAAAATTGACTGAGTAAATACAGATTATCCTACCTTATATTGTTCCAAGCGGGAATTTAAAACAGCATTTCTTTGCCAAAATTAACAAGTTATAATGAGAAATAGCCCAATGATGAAAGCATTTTACATTTTCTTAACGAAGTACTAAAATAATTCTAAATGGGAGTCTATTATTTGAAAGCAGGTTATAAAATCCTTTACCTCTGATACAAATAAGTAAAAATTAAAACACTCAAACGTTTAGCATGAAATTTTAACCCATCCTAAAACTATGCTATAAAATTTATAGCTTCATAAATATCTTAAAAATAAAATCGGTAATGTCTTTAAATACAAGTTTTATTATAGAACTAAGAGTACACAATTTTCACTTCCAACCTATACGTTTTCTTTTTTGAGATACAGTACCTGAGCAATGAACAAAAACACTGGAGGATGAGAGAGTAGGATAATAATCATACAAAGCTCACAAAATTATTTTGGCAATATTAAAAATCACAATTATGTTGAATGACACACATAATTCAGTGCTATAAATGACACTGATTAGTATTGTTTTTACAAAGCCAAATAAAGCATTTCAGAAGTAGGTCAAGAAGAATGAACTGGGTTGAGCAGGGGTTGCGGGGTTGGGGGGTGGTGGGGGCAGTGGGAAGGGCACAGATGGAGGATATTGCTGAAATATAAGCTCCGTGTGTACTTTTTTTGTGCGTGGGGGTGGGGGTGGGGCGTCTACTTTGTTCAGTGCTCTATCACCAGTGCTTGGTATTCAGCTCAGTACATTCTAAAGAACTCAATGAATGTTTAGGGACTGTTAAATGAAATGAAGTAAGGATACGTTCATTTTGATGGAACAGGCAGTAGATAGGGATTCTAAAGTCTTAGAATTGGATTTTACTCATTATTAACTAATTACATAAGTGGGTTGCTATTAATCTTTTAACCTCAGCATCTTTATCTGTAAAGTGGCAAAAAGATTCACTATCTCACAGAGATACTAAATGAATTAATATTTTAAATGTATCCTATGTCATTCTTCAAAATGTTACACAAATACAAGGATTACTTTCTGAGTATTTATATTTTTGGCCTCAGTATTTAGGTTGGGGCTCACATAGAAGAGGCACTAAACCATTTGTTAAAGTGATCAGGGAATGACTTACCAGTTCCTGTAAAACAGTAGTAGCCATCTAAATCAGATTATTTTCACACATTCTACAAAAGCCTTCAGATCAACAAGGAAAGCAAATAAAATGACCTACAGTCCACACCAACAGCATAGCTAGAAAACAGAGACTTCTACAAATTTTAATTTACCGTAAATGGGGAAACTAACATCTGAAACCGTCAAAACCAGCTTGTAGAAGCCTTGCATATAAGAATGAGGTGGGCATTGCAAAACACAAGCAATATCAACTTGGGATTTCCCCTAGAAGAAGTGTGAATGGGTCTAAGACCTAGTGGATACCAGAGCACTGGTTCCAGGAGAGGTAAAAGAAAGGGCTCCAAAAGTACTTTGATTCAAAAGTTAAGTCCTGTAAGATACACAAGAATGAGTGAGGTGTCCTTTGGAGCCTTGGCTACGAAGAAAAAGAAGGAAGAAAGTAGACGAAGTTTAATATTCCAAGAAACACTAGTTTCAAACATTAGTATCAAAGAACAGAAAATTAACCAACCAGCATCCCAAAAGACATCATTTATTAAGGAAACTACTCTTCACAGTTCCAATAATAAAAAACATTCTTGAACTAAGAAACCAAATACAGTATTCTCTTCTTAGCCATGGTTTTGCTTTCCATGGTTTCAGTTGTCCAGAGTAAACTGCAGTCTGAAAATATTAAATGAAAAATTCCAGAAATAAATAATTCATAAGTTTTATTATTTTTATTTATTTTTGAGGAAGGGTCTCACTCTGTTGCCCAGGCTGAAGTGCAGTGGCATGATCTCGGCTCACTGCAACCTCCGCCTCCTGGGTTGAAGCAATCCTGCCACCTCAGCTTCCTGAGTAGCTGGGACTACAGGCACATGCCACCATGCCCAGCTAATGTTTATGTTATTTGGTAGAGACAGTGTTATACGATGTTGCCCAAGCTGGTCTCGAACTCCTGGATTCAAGTGATCCACCCACCTCGGCCTCCCAAAGGGCTGGGATTATAGTCATGAGCCACTGTGCCTGGCCTAACAATTCATAAGTTTTAAACTGCACACCATTCTGAGTAGTGTAATGAAACCTCACACTGCCCTGTGGGATGTGAATCATCCCTTTGTCCAGTGTATCCATGCTGTACACATCACCTGCTCATTAGTCACTTAGCTGCCATCTAGATTATCAGAGTAACTCTCAAGGTATCACAGTGCTTGTGCTCAAGGTCCACAGTAGCCTAATGCTATACCACAATGCCTATGACATTCATCTCATTTAAACTCATCACAAAAGCAATTTATCACCTCACATCATCACAAAAAGGGTAAATATTTTGAAAGAGGGAACACATTTGCATAGCTTTTATTACAGTATATTGTTATAATTGTTCTATTTTATTATTAGTTATTGTTGTTCATCTCTTACTGTGCCTAATTTACAAATTAAACTTTATCATAGGGGTGTATGTATAGGAAAAAACATAGTGTGCATAGGGCTTAGTATTATCTGTGGTTTCAGGAATCCAGGAAGGATGATGGAACATACCCCCTCAAGGGTAAGGTGTCCTGTGATCCCTTCTAGTAACCTCCCACCTGACTTCTAATCACTTGGCTCAGAAAAATCCTACATATTTCATTAGGGACAAAAATGGACTCCAATTACCCATAGAAAACTACTATAAATAAAAGTAGATAATCAAAACTCTTCATTTGATTAAAATCCTCTACCAACTCCACCTCCAAAAAATATAAAGTAACAAAAACCATAACACAATACTCCAAAATGAATTAAGTGCATTTATACAAATTATTGCAAATATGAAAGAAACCAGGAATCTAAAATCCAAAATTTGAGACTAGTAAAGAATAAACAATAGGCAGATATGCAAAGAGAGGAGAGAATGAGAGGAAAGAACAAGGAGAGAAACTGGAAAAATAAAATCATTTCTGAAATGAACATTAAAATATAAGGTGTCCAATGATAAATATATAGAAGCAAAAGTACACAAAGAGACATAGTAAATGGGAATGAAAAGAACCAAAAGAACAAAAATGAAATAAAGTATTAAAAAAGATCAGAAAGTGATAGACACAGAGGACAGGCAAAGAAGAGCCAACGTATATGTAATCAGAATTCTTAAACAGGAAAAACAAAACAATGAGATAGAAATAATATTTTTATATAATTCAGAAAGATGTTCTGAAAATAAAAAAGAACAATCTACATATCAAAAGAGCCCCAAAATGTGCCAAATGGTCAGCCTTACACACATTCCAGTAAAATAATCAGACTTTAAGATAAAGAAAAGTACTTTCAGTCTCCAGGCAAAAAGTCAAACTCATTTACAAAGGAAAGAAAATGAAAGATTAGATTTCTTAATAACAATACAATGGAGCAAAGTCTTCACAAAACTCAAGGAAAGAATGTGTTGGCTAAGGAATTTATAACTAGCAAAGTCACCCTAAAAGTAGAAACACTAAAGAAAAACACCTTAAACATGCAAGAAAGTGAAGGAAACCGTACTCATGTGGAAGAATCTTCTAGCTGATGAACTTCTTCCAAAAGGATGATTTTGGAAAGTACAACGGAAGAACAAGAAGTGAAAATTATACCTATTTAATTGCATATCAAAGACTAAAACAAAGGTGAAGATATGACTATAAGATTATTATGTAAATATTATCCATTCCACCAAAGTAGAAATAACACAACTTGAAAAAAAAAGTGGAGTAGGGGAAATACAATAAGCTCATTGATCTTGACATAGATAGTAGCTGGAAAAAAATGATATTACTAAAAGCAAAAAATCAAAATAGCAGAAGCCTGAGTTAGGCCATTCTTGCATTGCTATAAAGGAATACCTAAGGCTAGGTAAATTAAGAAGAGGTTTAGTTGGCTCGTGGAGCTAAGGGAAATACATAAAAAAACTTATAAGAACTAAGGGCATTATATAGTTATCGGTATATAAAGTTTTTTTATATAAAATTATAGTAACTACTATGACTTATAAAATGCTTCCAAAATTTAAGAAAACAGACCACATAGTAAAAGACTAATTATAATACACACAGTTAACATAATATAAAAGAATATTACAGTGGCTGAAACCAGATATATCAGTTATATCAGTAAATATAAAATGTCTTAATTTTCCCATTAAAAGGATTTCCAGATTGGCTTGTAATATAAAACCCAACTCTAGGATGAACACAAGAAACAAGTCTTCAAAGGTGAGTCAGAAAGGCTAAAAATAAGGAGATGGACAAAGATGTATGAAACAAATACAAATAAGAAAACAGAGGATGTGATTTTGTTACCAGGCAAAATTCAGGTTCAAAAACATTACCTGAGACAACAACAGAAGGACACTTTATAATGCAAAAGGCTGCAGCTAACAATGAATATATCGCAAGTACCGAATGTACCAAATGTTACAGAGCATCTTCCTAAAGCACAATGTACAGAAGATACAAGGATGAAGACAAGCTTTAATAATAAAAAATCTTAACCTATCTGTTTCAGTACAAGACAGTTCAATGGGTCAAAAAATAAGGAAGGTTACAGAAAACCTAACACAGTCATTAACACAGATCTTTCGAACTCCTTTGGCTAACTTTACACCCTTATAAAAAGAAATGTAACTTCAAAAGCCAATGTGACAGTCATGAAAACAGACCATATTAAGTCATAAAGAAAACCTCAACATGTTCCATAAAGTAGAAAAAATAAAAATTTATTTGATTAAAATGCAATTTTAATCAATTAAAATTCCTCTTTTGGTAATGGCAGAGTAGCTCATGCTGGAGAAATCTTCCCACAGAAAACAATAAAAAATATAGAAAAACTATTTTAAAAACATCTACCTGAAGTGACTGGCATGTGACCAAAACTATACAGAAATTTGAAAAGAATCAACACTGGAAAAAGTGATACAGTGGAAAAAAAATAATTGATACATGATGAATCTCAAAAGCATTATGCTGAAAGAAAGAAACCTCCACTGTATAGTTCTATTTATACTAAGTTCCAGAACAGGCAAAATTAACCTACAGTGGAAAAAAAAGTCAGAATAGTGGCTGATTCTTGGGGTGGGAACCGTGACAAGAGCTACTAATTGGAAACTGGGAAGGAGGACACAGAAACACTATCTATCCAAAAAAGTAATTAATTCAAAGAGAAAAAAAGCAAACAGAAACAAATAAGTCTGTTTATGATTTAATAACAAGACCATAAGAAAAAGTTCATTGATATGGTTTGGCTCTGTGTCCCACCCAAATCTCATGTTGAATTGTAATCCCCAGTGCTGGGGGAGAGACCTGGTGGGAGGTGATTGAATCATGGGGGCGGATTTCCCCCTTGCTATTCTCATGATAGTGAGTTCTCAAGAGATCTGGTTGTTTAAAAGTGTGTAGCATTTCCCCATTAGTTCGCTCGCTCTTCCGTCGCCATGTGAAGGAAATGCTTGCTTTCCCTTCACCCTTTTGCCATGACTGTAAGTTTCCTCAGGCCTCCAAGCCATGCTTCCTGTATAGCATGCAGAACTGTGAGTCAATTAAACCTCTTTTCTTCTTAAATTACCCAATCTCAGGTGGTCCTTTATAGCATTGTGAGAACAAAGTAATACAATTATTTCAAGTAATTTTTGAGTACTCTCCACCTATATCCACAGGGATGTACATATATGTGTATATATACGTATACACACACAAAGAACTGCAAAGAACTTATTTTAAATTGTGTCATAAAGAAATAAAATAGATTAGGCTGAACATGGTGGCTCACGCCTGTAATCCCAGTGTTTTGGGAGGCTGAGGTGGGAGGACTGCTTGAGGCCAGGAGTTCAAGATCAGCCTGGGCAAGATAGCAAGACCCTGTTTCTACAAAATAAAAAAATAAGCAAGCTGAGAGACAAAAAATAAATAAGTTAGCTGGGTGTGTTGGCATGAACCTGTAGTCCTAGGTACTTGGGAGGCTGAGGCAGGAAGATCACTTGAACCCAGAAGTTTGAGGCTACGGCAAGCTATCATTGTGTCACTGCACTCTAGCCTGGGAGACACAGTGAGACCCTGTCTCTAAAAAAATTAAAAAATAAAAATGAAATAAAATGGACTGGACAGAGGGATAAAACAAATATTAACTGTAGAACCTTAGTGGTAGGTATATGGGTATTCACTGTATAATTCTTTCAACTTTTCTGTATGTTGGAAAATTTTCATAATTTCTGTATGTTAAAAAAGAATTGTAAGGAAATCTTGAACTTGCCTAAGTAGGTTTATTGTCAGTAATAATATTGGTACTGTAATCAAAAACCTATAAATATTGATATAAACTCATGATTTTTTCATCTCTTTCATCACTATGTCCACTGAAAAAGCCTAGAAGCAGTGATACCCCAGGAACCGTGAGCATACCTAGTGCCCAGGTTTGGCATTCAAAATATGATTCACCAGTAAAGGGAGCCAGGTGTCAGAGAAATGGCTGACTCTAGGCATGGGGCAGGGAAAATATAAAGCAAGAATGGATCGTCTTTTTGTGTCAGGAAGCAAGAGATTCTTAGTGACTATAAATGATAATAAAACATTGAATAAAAATCCAGGAATGGAGAGACTAAAGAGAGGATTGTCCTTCTTTATAGAAGAGTATCAGCCAATAAGTGTAGAAGGAATACTAGAATTAGATAATCACAGTTTTACAAACCCCATTATAAATGTAATTGATTTAGGGAAGAATCATAAATGGATGATAAAGCCATTAAGTTAAAGCTCATTGGATAACAGAATAGTCACCCAATTCCAACACCCCACAGATTATTTATGAACTGCAAAGGGAAAACCATTTTATCATGAAGAAGAAAGCTGGCAACTGCCATCTAAAGCAAGGGTTTAAACTCAGCATTACCTGGTGGTAAGACCAGATATCATATTGCATCAATTGGGAGCATATAATGGTCCCCAGCCTCACCTAGAAAAAAATGTTTAACTTGAGTCTGATAAAGCCTTTAGACTCAATGTCCATCTATGGCAAAAACACAGAATATGAGAAAAGGTTCAATGATACTTCAGGGAAACAACCAGGCAAATGCAGAATGCAGGATACTTTAAAGGCTATATTTTTAAAATCTAGACTCTTTTTTTTTTTTTTGAGACAGGGTCTTACTCTGACGCCCAGGCTGGAGTGCAGTGGCATGATTGTCGCTCACTGCAATCTCAAGCTTCTGGATGCAAGTGATCCTCCTGCCTCAGCCTCTTGTGTAGCTGAGATCATAGGCACACACCATCACACCTGGCTAAATCTTTCTGTATTTTTTTGTAGAAACGAGGTCTTATTATGTTGCCCAGGCTGGTCTTGAACTCCTGGGCTACAGCCATCCTCCCACCTCAGCCTCCCAAAGTCTTGGGATTACAGGCGTGAGCCACCATTCCTTGCCGAGGCTCTTCTAAGTATAAATGACAAGGGGTTTTTAGAAATAGGCAGAGTAATTAAAAGAAACTGGAGTTATAACCAAATGTACTGCATAGATCTTGACTGAATTCTGGTTTGGGGGAAAAAAAGATAAACAGTTTTCTTCTGACAACTTGGTAAAATTGAATATGGACGGGATATTAGATTATTATGGAATTACTAATATTTTGTATATAATATTTTGATTATGTAGAAGAATGTTATTTTTAAAAGATCCATGCCAAATTATTGTGGTGTGTGTGCCATGTTGTCTGCAACTTATTTTTAAATGGTTCAACAACAAAAAAGAAAAATGTGTGCATGTATACACATGCTAGTATGTGTATTTGTGTATGCGTGTGTGTGTCTGTGTGTGTATAGAAAAAATGGTAGAGTAGATGAAGTGAATATATATAGCAAGCTATTAACTGGACAACCTAGGGGGAGAATATACATGATGTTGATTGTACTATTCTTGTAATTTTTACGTATGTAAATTTCATAATAAAAAGTTGATTAAAAAGCAAACATAGTTAGGAATAAATGACAATCTGGAACATGATGAACAGACACTTAGACCAACAAATGACAGTAAGAACCTAAGAACATAAAAGAAGGTGACAAAAAAAAAAGTAACTGGTATATAATTAACTCCTATTAAATTCTAAGCCCTATTTGCTCATCATACACATTAAGGGGATACAAGGCAAAACTTTATTTATGAAGCATACATTAAATTGTTCTTAAGTAAGTACACAACACTGTTGGTGTTCTGCGGGATATAAGGTAGAAAGAAGGAGAGAACCAAGAGTTACCTCAGCTATGAGTTGCCTCTAAGCTCCAGGCACCAAATCCTCACAGTAATCCTGTGAAATTAATGGTGATATCAATTCTATTTCACTGATAAGAAGAATCAGACATTGTCCCTGTTTCCAAAAGCTTATAATTTATGAAAAGATATGTTGCTTATAAATAGCTCTATTAGAATTTAGTATGTTATAGTGAGGTATTCATGATTTGGATGGTACTAGAAGTAAAAGGAGGTAAATAGTCATTTTTTGGGTCCTTACCATGGACATAAAGGAATAATTATTTTCTGAATACAATTATCAAGGAAACTTTGAGGCAGGTGTGGTGTCCCAGAACAAGTGGGTTTTATCAAGTGAGAATGAAAGATATGGCACTTCAGTGTAAGCAAACACACTGGAGATGTGAAAATCCAAGAACTATTTTCGGGATACCAATCAAGCATTTGGCTGCAATAAATTTGTAAAGCAGAAATTGAAAGATAAGAGTGCAAGGAGTTTGGGATCAGACCACAAGGATTCTGGAATGCCTATTTCAGTAAATGGAAACCAATAGCTATTTTTTGAAAGTAGACTGAAATAAACCATCTTTTAAGTAGCCATATCCAGCCACAGCATGCAGAAAAAAAGGTACAATGATAGTTTACTAGTCAAAAGTCCAGCAAATTAACAGACTGCTATAACCAAGCCACGATACCTCTAAATTGAGGCAGTAAGCAACCTATGCACCTCATCCTAACGACCTACTGCCTACCCAATCCAGAAAGGTTTTTACATCCTGACTCCATTGGGAACTGTACAGAAGCCTGGGTATTTTGGCTTGTTCAAGCATAAAGAACAGGCAATGTACTAGGTATTTCATACCCAAACACAACTTAGAAAAAAGTTTTTGTTATATTATTGGAACAGTATGGTAATAGAACATTTAACCAGTTGCCAATATTCTCAGGATTGTGTGGTTTTAAAAAAACAACAAATGATATTAGTGATTTCTTAACTGTGGTTCCTCATCTAAAGCAGAGTAACCATTGATTGAATTCTTCCAAGGGTGGTACAAAAGTAGCACTATTCTATATGCAGCAGTTAAGTCAATGCATACAATGAACTTCTTAGGACATTAGGACTTAATTCTTTCCTGGAACCCGAGTTTTAAAAGGCTTTAGAATGAAGTAAGATTATTTGACTTCTTAAATAATTTCACTGGATTGAGAAATAACTTAAAACTTCTTGCAGAATGATTATGTACAGAGAGCACTTTGAGTGAAGATCTATTAGAAAAGCCCTAAAGAAATCCACACACAGTTTTGATTTCCTCATTTCTCTAATAAAAGCTTACTTCTTTATATGATCATTTCTATGTCTGCCTATTCTTAAATATTTTCCCTAAAAACTGGTTATTTCAATTATTTACTCTCATCTTTTTAATACCCTGCTGCCAAATAACCTTCCCCAAATACTTGTTTTTATCATACTTCTTCCTTGCTTAAAATAAAATGATAAAACATAACAGGATATAGAATATTCAAGATTTTTTTAATTCCAGAATTCAATAATTAAGAGAAACAATGTTTTTATATGAATGATGAAGAAATATACATGTGTATATGTAACATAAAAGATATTTTCACGGGTAAGCAAATATATATATAAAGCCCTGTAATAGCTCACCATGGCAGCTTGGAGCAATAGTTAAAAAAAAGCACAGGTTCTTTTTTGGACGGAGTGGGAGATGGAGGTACATGGGTTTTTAAGTCACCTGGATTCATGACCTAGCCACAAAGGCACTGTGTATCCTTAAAGAGTTACAGCCTTTAAAAGAGGTTTATATCTGATATGGTTTGGCTGTCTCCCCACCCAAATCTCATCTTGAATTGCAGCTCCCATAATCCCCATGTGTCATGGGAGGGACCATCAGGAGGTAACTGAATCATAGGGGCAGGTTTTTCCTGCACTGTTCTCATGATAGTGAGTAAGTCTCCCAAGATCTGATGGTTTTATAAAGGGCAGTTCCCCTGCACATGATCTCTTGCCTGCTGACATGTAAGAGATGACTTTGCTTCTCCTTCGCCTTCTGCCATGACTATGAGGCCTCCCCAGTCATGTGAACCGTGAGTGCATTAAACCTCTTTTTCTTAATACTCAGTCTCGGGTATATCTGTATTAACAGTGTGAAAATGAACTAATACAATATCTTTCTCCATTTTTAATGTGATATTTGTGAACATCTTACACAATGCCTGGCACCTGGAAAGGCTGTTAATTAATACCAAAGAACTCTGTAGCATTCCAGGCTTTCTTGAATCTTGCTTCCTCCTTCCTTTTCATCTTTGCCTTGATCTTCAGACTCAACACAACAGATCTTTTCCCTGCTCCTGAATAATTCATATTTATTTTTCAAAGTAAATTTTTCTTTTGCTATTTCTTTTTGAGACAGAATCTCACTCTTTTGCGCTGGCTGGAGTGCTGTGGTGCAATCACAGCTCACTCCAGCCTTGATATCCCAAGCTTGAGCAATCCTCCCGCCTCAGTCTCTTGAGTAGCTGGGAGTACAGGCACATGCCACCATGCCTGGCTAATTTTTGTCTTTTTTGTAGAGACAGGTTTTTGCCATGTTGCCTAAGCTGATCTCGAACTCCTGAGCTCAAGCAATCTGACCACCTTGGCCTCTCAAACTGTTGAGATTACAGGTGTGAACCACTTCACCCGGCCTCTTTTGTAATTTTTCTCGGAATGCTGCCTTCCTCCTGCTCACCTACCTGGACTCTATCCATCCTTCACAATCTAGAAGATCCAAACCCAATTGTTCTATTAGATATTCGTCAATTCCACCATTTCACACTTATTGGATTCTTCTTTGAAAAAGTCTAGATTTAGTGTCTATACTTATTTTTTGACATCTTATCATAAAATTTAGAGAAGGTAGACTAGTGTTCTCATTAAAATGCTATTTGTTTTAACTCTGGCAGCAATATAAAACTGAGCATTTTTCCACCTTAAGGACTAACCAAACTAAGGTACAGACTGCTAAGTCTCTAAAGGCAAAATATTTGCTGAATATACAATATTGTCATATTTTGACAAATTCTGTTCTTTTAACATAGACACCCTAGCACAGGGCTTAATAAGTGTTCTGCAAGCGGTAGATATTCAGTATATCTGCATAATTTACATAACTTTCTTCAAGGAACTAAATCATTAATCTTCAAGTCATTTTTGTGTAATAACAAAGCAATTATAATTTCTAGTTATATCTGATCAGTCACCTCAGGTTATATCTTCACATACAAAATGAAGCTATAAACAAAGAATACATATAGACTATACAAGATTTTTTTAAATTCCAGCAATAATTAAGGGAAACACTGTTTTTACATGAATGATGAACAAATATATGTGTGTGTGTGTGTGTGTGTATAATGACAAAGATATTCTCATCTATCACAGATAATTAGTAAAGAAACTGAAAATCATACACATTTCCAGTTAGGGATCCTAATTTTTCCCCATCACTGCTATATAAATTGAACAGGCATTAGGCTTATTTAATAGTTTTTATACATCAGCAACTTCAGAAAAGCCACACTGCCGAATTTAAGAAACAGTCAATTCATAACTCATTATAAATATTTAAAGAGCATTAAATATGGAGGCAGATATGGTCCCAAAAATAATATTCCAGATATTGTGATAGATGACATAATATAATGTTTAGTCCCATACTTTCTAAAATCAGGGCTTCTCAAACTTTTCCATTGAAACTGCCCCTCTTGACAAAATATCCTAATAAAAAGGCTGAGAGGGAACATATATCCCCTATCCCCAGGAATAAGAAAGCAGAACCTCCAAATACTCCACTATTCTAAACTTCTCATGCTTAATCTTAAAAATTCATGCTCTAAGAAGACATGCCATATTTATTCTATGACTTTGCATCATGTACTCTCAGTGCTACAAGTTACCAACTTTGAGAAGCACTCACTTAAACCAATGTATGCCTATCTGAAAAACATTTTCCTACATTATGCTAATGGAACAATTTCATTGTATAATGCTGGAGGCATATAAGAATGAAAACTGACATTTGTTGAGTACTAAGTATGTAAAAGGCATTACATTAGGTTTTTGTATATATAAAATCTCAATTTTCAAAATGTAAATATTATCATGCCCACTGTAAGGAAGGAACTGAGGCACAAGGAGATTAAAATAGCTATCCCGGCAGGGCACAGTGGCTCATGCCTGTAATCCCAGCGCTCTGGGAGGCCGAGGTGGCCAAATCACGAGGTCAGGAGATTGAAACCATCCTGGCTAACATGGTGAAACCCCATCTCTACTAAAAATACAAATACAAAAAAAAAATCAGCTGGGTGTGGTGGCACACGCCTATAGTCCCAGTTACTCGGGAGGCTGAGGCAGGAGAATCGCTTGAACCCGGGAGGCAGAGGTTGCAGTGAGCTGAGATCACACCACTGCACTCCAGCCTGGGTGACAGAGCGAGACTCTGTCTTTAAAAAATAAATAAATAAATAAAAGCTATCCCATGGCAATATAGCTAATAAGGTTGGCTACTTTGTATCCAGGTCTCTATTACATTACATCCTCATCAAAATTTTACTTTTACAGAAATCTCAGACTCTGACTGGTGTTTTTAACTTACTTTTCAAGAATTTAATGATGCTATGCTGAGCCCAACAGTCACTATTGTCTAACAAGAAACTCTTCCCTTGTGTCAGAGCTGTGAATCAACAAAGGGGAATGTAAGACTGTTTTTATTTAAAATACACCAAAATCCAGCCTCTAAATTGAACCAATTCTTAGGTTCAAGTAAGATTTGGCATTGTAAAAAGTTAGGATATAAATTTCATATACAAATCATAGATCTAATCTAAAAGAACAGCATGAGATGACAGAACACATGAGCAGAAGTTATTAATACTTAGCAAATCTTAAATCTCATTAGCTTCCATCACTTGTTGCATGAATGTCCTTGAGGTTTTTTGCCTCTCTGGGACTTATGTTCACCATATCAAGAGATGGGCTAGCAGATTTTTAAGTTCCTTTCCATTCATAAGGTTTTATCTCTTTATAATTTTGCTGCTCACTCATCTCAATTTCTATACTTGAGTTTCCATGTCTCACAGCTAGTACCTTTATATTAGCATATTTCTAAGCAATTAATTTTCTTACTCTACATTTCTATCAATATTGGTACTTTCTTCTTAAAATGCTCCCTCAGTCATTGCTTCTGGATAATTTTCATTTTATAATTACATATTGAACACAACAGCCCAATAAAAGCTGCTGCCTAAGTTCACTCTGAGCTGTGTCGGCAAACTGTTTATGATGTCAGCTGCTACTTCAGTGTATTTGTTTTTTAAAACAGTTTGGTGATTTGACATTGGTACTTAAGCTTAAATTATACTGTGTTTTAAATTTACATATTTAAGTACATTAAAAGCCACAGGTAAACTATGTTACTAACCATCTTCCAGTCTGATTTGCAATCTGTTCTTCTAATTTCTGTAGCTCCGATGTATAGGCCATTAGTCGAGCATTGCACACCATGAGATTCTTAACTGCATGTAAAACTTGATCTTTCTGAGTGCTCAGAGAAAGGAGTTTCCATATTCCTTCTCGCATTCGAATTTCTAAGTCTATTTTTTCTTGAATGTTGCAGTCCTAAAAAAAAAATGCATCTTGAAAATATAGCAAAAACCCAAAATTACATCTTAACCCATAATAGATCGAAAATAGGTATCATAATTGTATACCATATTGAGAAAGCAACAAAGTTTTAATATATGTAGTGTAAAAATAGCTATTTTAAAATGCTCTTTGCAATTCTAAACTTCTTGCTTCATTAGGAAGTCTTTACAATCTAAAGAAACGGAATAAACGAACATAAACAAAGGTGAGAAACATTATGTGTTCTTATAACTATACGAAGTTTAATAGCATCCCTCCAAAATTTATGTCCATCCAGAACCTCAGAATGTAGCCTTATTTGGATACAGGGTTTTGCAGATGTAATTAGGTAAAATGAGAACATACTGGATTAGAGTGGGTCCTAAATCTAATGACTAGTGTCCTTAAAGAAAGGTCCCATGAAGACACAGTCACATACAGAGAGAATGACATGTGAAGACAGAGACTAATATGTCTATAAGCCAAAAAAATACCAAGGATTGATGGCAACAATCAGAAGCTGGAAAAGGCAAGAAAGGAATTCTTTCCTAGGGCCTGCAGAGGAGCATGACCCTGCCAATTCCTTGATTTCAGACGTCTGGCCTCCATAAGTTTGAGAATAAATTTCTCTTGTTTTCAGCCACTCAGTCTTGGTCATTTGTTATAGCAGCCTTAGAAAACATACAATAACTAATGTGAACAATATATCACACATATATATTATATACATTGTATTAAGAGATGGCAGTGTGGTTGATGACAGTGAATTAACCAAGAAAAACATTCTGAAAAAAGCAGATACTGAGTAAAGGAGCCAAGGTTTAGTAGCAGGGAGGAAACAGGCTATTTGTAACAGTAGGCAGTGTAAATACAATCTCAGAAGCAAGAGAGTGAAAGCGCTGTACACTGAAAATGTCAGAAGCCTTAGCTATCTGGAACAGAGCTTTAGAATACAATTCTGGACATACCATTTATTTTAGTTTTAGGGTTCACCATGAAACTACTAAGTATTTTATTGCTGAAAGTCTTTTATTCCATATAATTATCTTTTAATGGCCTGATTCTACATATAAGTTTCACACGCAACATTAAAATTCTACAAACTGAATGTACAGTTCTGATTTAATTCACAATGACTTTATAAAAATTATAAATCAAAGGTACTCTTTATTATATCACAAACATGTAATGTTTCTGGTATGTCTATTTCTAAAACATAAAGTGACCATCCTAGTTTCTATGGCAAAAAAATAAAGACTATAATTTACCTTCTGAATGGATCAAAATGTAAATTTAAAAATGTAAATGAAATCTAATACCAAAAGGTCTATACAACCTTTTCAAAAAGAAAAGATGAAAGTTAGGAGAGCTAATAGTTTTTGAAGACTACCCCAAAAGACAAACTACAGTAGATGATTTAACTTGACTATCCAAATCAATCAACTGTACTATTTACACACAGAAAACAGCTGTTTAATTACCTTCTGTAATTACATCATGTAATCACCACATAAAAACCTTCTCATATAGTGTTGTAACTCAAAACTGGTGTACTATATAAATGTAGTCATTTGCTGGTTTTCCTTCATTACACATGACTGAATTTCAACAACTCCATTTCATCTTTTTATGACTTACTAGCCCCAAAGTAAATTCTTCTTCAATGTAATTAGCAATTAATTATAAGAATTATCTATGTGACCCATATGTCTATAGAAATAAACTCTGGCAGACTGACTATATTGGGGAGTGCACATAGGGAGCAACCTAAAGCTGGGATGAATAGCTTTACCCCACAACTCAAATATAAACAAATACCATCTGGTGCCACTAAATTCAACTTTAGTTTTAAATGATACAATGAAACAGGCAGTTGAACTAGCACAGTGGTTCTCAAAGCTGGCTGCATATTAGAATCATCTGAGGCAGAGAGGAAGGGCCTTATAGAAGTACCTAAACCTGTGACCTACCCCAAACCAATCAGGCTCTCTGGAGGTGGGGCTTGAGCATTTTTTTTTTTTTTTACAGTTCCTCTGGTGATTCAATGGTCAGCTAGGGTAGAGAAGCACAGCTGGACTATTTGAAATTCCACAGCAATCTTGAAACTTGCAACAACCTTAAAGAACCAGCAGGTGGCTACAGCCACATTAAGGAATCAGTTTGTGTTTCTATCACATAAATGAAGAGTATCTTCTCACCATCACTTATAATGAAGACTCCATAAAACTATAGAAGCTTGGGAAATAGTAGAGAAAGAAAATGTAAAGTCAGGATTAAAAAAAAAATGTACGTGTAAAAAGTTTGAAGATGATGTAAGATTAAAGTACTATTTATTAAGGAAATGAGGTGTATCTAACAGATACTACTATTAAGATTTTTTCCTTTAGAGCAAGGGTCAGAAAACTATGGCCTGGCTGGGACCTGGTTTTGTAAATAAAGTTACACTGGAGCACAGACACACTCATTCATATTGTCTATGGCTCCTTTAAGCTACAAGGGCAGAGTTGAGCAACTTCAACAGAGACTGAGTGGCCTGCAAAGCTGAAAATACTTACTGTTTGCCCCTTTATAGAAATAGTTTACTGACCCATAATCCAGCCAAATTAACATACACAGTAAACTATAATCTTACCTCCCTCGCTGAGGCAGGTCTCAGGCAAATGTCAGTTAAGTGGATCCCAGAAGGCTAACATAAGCAGGATGAATTGTTAAGTGTACATATGGTTTTCAATGTATTCTGAGCTGTTGGTTTTTTTTTTTTTCTTAAGGCTACTGTTTTAGCCAGTTTTGTATTTCCCATGCAACTTCTTTTAGTACACATCTACATTTTACATGCAGAAAAAGCCTCTCTGGTTAAGCAGTGCTAGCTCTAGCAAGGAAGGGTTTATGGAACCAAAACTCTTTAGAGTTGTCTTTAGTTACTAAGGGTATACAATGCATCAGGGGTAAGGGTTCATGTCTAGTGCTATCCCCAGCAAGAATAATGATCATGTAATAAGGGTACCGATTGGGCATTCAATAGTGATGTTTATTAACCTCAAAGAAGATGAGTAGGGAATGGAAAATCATCAGTGTCGCTCCCTCAGCCATAATGGCTTGGCCAGGTAGAGTCAAGGCTGATTAGGACCAAAGACAAAAGCTGGTCTCTCTGTAACCATTCCTTTTAGGATTGTTTGAATGCCAGTCTCCAGGAACAGCAGAGAATGAGGTAAGGCCATCATACTCTTATTTCTTTTCCAATTTTCTGAGTAAGGGCTTGCCTCTAATCAAGTCAAACAGAAGCCTGTGTCACTGTCCTGACGCTATAAGTAGTTAAAGTCAGGCTGATAAAAATATATGGACAAGGCTATGAATGAAATAGGAGCATACCTTAAAAACAGAAATTTAGGTTAAGTAGGAAACAGAAACCTACTAGGTTTTAAGAGCTAGCCTAGCATGAAGGAAGTGCAAAGAAAATGGCTTTATTGTTGGTATTAAAAACTGACTAAAAAAACCTGAAGTTGAACTCCCGGTAAGACAACCGCAGTAATCAAGACAGAAACTATGATTCACCTAATGGATATAGTTAAGCCATGTTAACAAAGACCAAGGTGAAGAAGAAAAGAGTAAATACAGTACGTTCTCATTTTGCTAAAAGAAACTGTGTGGATTTTAAGAATTGTTTATGTACAGAAAAAAGTCTGGAAATTGTTAACAGCGGCCATTCTGGGGAATGGAACTGGAGACCGAATTCTTAAATTCATGTTTCTGTATATGTTGACTTTTCTGCAATGAGATAGTATTACTTTTTGAATTTTATTTTTATTAAGATGCCAAAAGCTTAAACATTTGTAAGAAAAGTAGGGGACTGCCCTAACCACTCAGATGAATAGGACAAAGGATAATAACAACAATAGTCATCTCTGAAGCACATCCTGAGTGCTAGGTGCTGTGATAAGTACTTTAGAGAGGTTCTCCAATTCCAACAGCTGTCTGGGATAGGCGGAATACCCAAGCTACAACGGTGGAAACTGAAACTTAGAAAACAGAGATAACTTATTCAAGGTTGCACAACAAGAAGAGTTTGGTTTGACCTGAATCTGACTCCAAAGCCAATACTCTATGCTGTGAGGAGTCGCAGAGGACTCCAGGGTTTCAGCAGAGGTGTTTGACCAGTGTGTGACCACCTCAAAATCTTTGGCCTTATCTCGATTACGTGGCAGCTTCATTCATGTATCAAAGGAAATACCAAATAAAAATTCAGTGTTAGTCAAGTATAAAATTATCTGACTCTCAATATTCCTGTTAGGTTGCAACCTACTACTATTTTGTGTTTTTTCTTCAAATCCAAACTGAGGAAGTAATTCCACATTTCAATCATTTTGATTTTGTCCTGCCTAAGAAATTAAGTATTGTATCTTCCCACATGTAAATAACCCAGGCTTTATGTATATTTAAACATTTATTTTCATTCCATGCAACTAAACTTCATGATTTTATCCTCTTGTCGCTTCTGTACCATTCCTATTCTTGCAGCCTGCAGCTCAATAAATACACCTGGACAGCTACACCTACACCTATATGATAGGTGCAAGAACATCAATAGAATGGCAATTCACTATAAATCAAGATTTTGTTAGCAATCAGGACAGCCAAAGTACATAACAGGACAGGACTGAAAAAAAGTACATCAAAATCTTTGAAATTTTTGAAAATGCTGGCATAAAACAGCATAAGTATTACTGATAAAGACACTGGACTTCTTTTGCATAATGAATCTTAATGTCTTGCTTTATTTTTCACAGTATTATTGAAAACTAATAATTTTGTGTCTGCTAAGGAAATCCCAGATTTTTAAACAAAGATATCAGGTGCCTCCATATGAATGAAATTGCAAATATTCTACCAATTTTGACCTACAAAACTGGCAATTTCATATGGCTTAACCTATTTCTGAAGTAGGTAAAAGAAGGTAGAGATTAAAATAGAAGTGAAGGTCCAGCTTAAAGACATCAGAGTTTTCTTTTAAGACCCTAAAGTTATGGTTAAGAGTGAAAAGTGGTAACATTTTAATAACTGATGCTGCCAAGAAATAATGTTGGTTTAGTAAAAAGTAAAATAAAAAGGTTTCTAACGCATTTTACATGGCTCAAAAGCAAACATCAAACTTCTATCCAATGTCACGTGTACTCCCTCTTTCCTTTCAAATGATTTGAGAAAGAACCCAGTATCAAACCTTCAACTTTTTCTAAAGTGCAGAGGTTGCTGTTTGCCTCTACTCCGCTCCGAACCCCCTCCCCCCAACCAGTTCTGTGTTGTGTGTAGACATCGCTCCATTACTGTGCTTCCCATTAAATCCGTAATAAGCCAGCTGTCCACTGGCCTCGCTGGGTTTCTTGGGAATCGAGGGGCTCCCATTTCCCCGGCATCACCTACACCTGCAAAAAGACAGGCGTCCAAAGCCTGGGGAGGGCAGCGGACAGGTGCGCCCGCAAACGCGCGCCTGGACCCCGGCACCGCCTTCCCAATCCGGACCTCAGCTGCCTGAGAAACTCGGGGGTTCCGATGTCCAGGCCCTTTAGAGCCCCAAGAGCGCAGTCTCCTAATCCCTCCCTTTGTTTCTGGCCACCGCTGAAATAGAGGAGCGGGGGAGAGGCTTTCCCGACTCCTCCACAAAGCAAATGCGCGAGGAACAGAACCCCGGCTCCCTCACCTTCCGCGGCAGGGTCCCTCCCGCAACTCACCTGCTGGGTGGGAAGCCCCGCCAGGCGGAGCGCAGGACCCCTCAGGCTCGGCCCCTCCATCTCCAACGCGAACTGTCCGGGCCGTCGCCACTCCTTCAAAGGGAAGATTTGAAAAGCCCGCCCCTGGCAGGAGCCGCAGAGGACGCCAACCGCCCGGCCGTACCAAGTCCCAGTCGCAGGGGCCGGGGGCGCAGGAGGAGCCGGGCCGAAGCGCACGCGCAGTGGGCGCGCCTTGCGCTCTGCAGCTCCCGCCGCCGGAAGTTGCCGAGACCCCAGGCTCTAGCGCGGCGGGGCGGGGGAGAGGGCGGCGGTGCCGGACTTAAGTCCCGGACAGGGATGTGGGCGGGCCTGGGACGGGAGTGGGAGGGGCCGCGGGGAAAGCTTCGGCGGCGGAGCGCACCTGTCCCAGCTCAGGTTTCTGGCTGGTGGTTTTCGTGGCACGCCCTTTGCACTGGGAGCTTTCTGCCCGCATCCCACCGAAGGCCTTCCAAAGTGATCGTAGCTGGACAGACTCGAGGCTGCAGTCCCTGTACTCCCAGACAACTCAGGAACCCACAGCGTCACTAAGAGCCCACGGTCTCGTTCCTAAAGAACCAATAACATTACTCTCAAACACAGCGCTCTCTGTTTCCTCTCACCTTTCCCAGCGTTGTCACCAGGGTCACCCAGATATCATGGTTTTATTCATCAGGTTCGTGAGATACTATGTCAGGCATTTCACAAGGTCTTGTCTTTGCCCCCAGTGTTTATAATCCCAGATGTTCCCCGCCAACTACTCTGTCCACTTACTTTGTTTTCTTGCGAAGGATTTCTTTCAGCTCTCTCGCCCTCTCTTTCCCTCTCCAACATCTAAGGTGATAGCAAAATGGGGTACTATTTCTCAAGAGCCTCATTTCTTGCTGCCCTAAAGATTAGCACAAAGACCCATTTTAATTCATGGATTTTGTTAATTATAAAGGGAAACATGGGATTTTTAAAAATCAAAATGAAAGCAGCAAAGATATCACACCCTTGAAAAGTCCTTAAAATTCATTGTCCCTAGTTTATCTTTATTTCCCCCTTGAAAAGGCAAGAGGAAGCCTCTTCTTGAAGAGTCTACCAAATCAACCCTCCAGCCCTCATCGCCTAGAAACCCTTGGGCATTTTTCCTCCATAAATAGGTGCCCATGTTTTTTCATTTGCCTGGGACAGACCCTGTCTGGGTCTGTTGTCCCAATGTTGCACCAATCTTGCACTTATCCCGTAGTGGATATTATGTGGTCATTTTAACTGCAAGACCCTTTTAAAAGCAGTTGGTTTGAGAATGTACTTTAAAAATATAATGGATACCCTTCCTCAAATAGGTAAAATGCCTCTTTAAGACCTTTTGGACTAGGTGATACTAGAAGCTTCCCAGTTGGGAATGATGGTCCCCTTGCATTATGAATGACCCATATCCTTACAACAATAAAATATGTGTTCAAAATTATCAACACGGAGCTCACCTCGTTTTCTACAAACACAGGTCTGAATTTCAGAATCATTATGTGCCCTTTCCTCCAATGCACATCTCTGTCTTATGCTACCACTTTGTGGTATAATTATCTCCTACTCAGTATGAGGCTGCATGAGCCTAGCTGTAGTACCTGACTCAAAAGAAAAACACACCGCGAGCCCATCATCAGACACATAGTACTTACAACACATACAGCTCTCAGTTGCAGATCAAAATACATGTAGAAGCCAGCACTTCATTAAAACAGAGGTGAGTCAACCAGTTTAGAATTGGACACTGATAGAGGAGTATTTGATGAGTTAAAACCAGATATTTAACTGGAGATACATTTATTTATGATACTAGAAGAAAGAGATTAGGCAAGATCATATTTAGTAATTATCTGTAGAATACAGTTGTTACAAGAGACCTTTCTCTTGGGAGAAGAAGTTATGATGTGGTCCTGTTTTTATTATACACCGGGAGAGGTCCCCAGGAATTGCTTAAGTACTTAATTATTATATGATGATTAAAATACCTTGGAGTAGGACTTATGTTTCCTTATTTATCCTCAAGTCCTTACTTGTTACTGCTAATTTCATCAGCCAGTTTTCTCTGGTGTATGTAATGCACATAAAATATACTCATCCATGGAAACTACAAAATTTAAAGAGTTCATATGCAGTGGCTTCATTAGCTTGAGGATTTCTCTATCAATCTATTTATTTTACAGTTCCCAGAAAGTGAGAAGTACTACGTTTTACCATCTCAAATATCTGAGAGAGAACATTTGGGCATCTCTTAACCCATCATCCCTGGGCTCTTACAGAAGGTCGATATCCACCGAACTGCCCAGATGTAGTAGCTTCAGCTAGAGGATGAGTGATGGAATTACTGTCCTACCAATATTACTTCTCACTATAAGGTCAATATTTAATACTAATTAAAAATATACGTATATTAGTTATCCCTAATATAGCAGATAGTATTATAATAAATTAAAAACTACAGAAGCCAATCTAGATAATACCAATAGATGCCAAAGTATATTTTTCTTCTCTTATTTTCTGTATTCTTGTTTTAAACTAAGAGGCTAAAGGAAAACACTGAACTTAAAATCAGCTCTCTGTTACACAACAGATCCATTATTTTGAAAAATGTGGTTTGACACAGAACAGATAACTTGTGATTTTGAATATCCTCCTAGCCTCTCTTATAAAAAAAAAGTCCTCTTAAAAATTCTCTTGGTGCTTTCTTTTACTCATCTGTTCATCTTGTAGATAATCTGTTTAGGTTGAACTGAATAAATTAAAGTTATATTTTGAATTATATATGGAAGAAACAGAGAGAAAGAAGGAACTGAGGTCAAGGTGCTAAGCAGAAGTGCAGCATTTTCTTAAATGAATGTCTATGAATAGCTGAAGCATCACATAATCAGAAGGAGGCTATGGAATGTGGAGTCTGAGGATTTATTAGCCCGATTACCTTGGGCAAGCCACTCAGTTTTCTTATCTATAAAACAAGTATATAATACCCATCTTGTTTTTTAAAGTTGTTGGGAGACTCAGATAAGATTTTTGAGAGTGCTTTGTAAACTGTCCCACAAAAACAGGAGTTGTTACTACTGTAGGAAGAAAACATGAGTACCGAAAGGCAACTGTAAAGTACCTATAGAACTATGAGAACTGAATGAGAAAAATGTATGTGAATTGGATATATTCAAGATATATCACCTACCACTGCTAAATAATATGCTATATATAAAGAACTCCTATAAATCAATAAAAATTCAACTGGAAAATGGTCAAAAGGTATGGTAGGCATATTATAGGAGAGTAAATCCAAGTGACAAATAAAATAGGAAAGGTTGCTTAACCTTATTATTAGTCTGTGAACTGCAGATTAAGATCCCAAAGAGATATTTTACAGTCACTAGATTGAGAAATATTAAGAAATCTGATAATACTAGGGGTTGGCAAAGATGCAGGTCCAAGAGATATTATATGCTGGTGGAGGAGATAGAAATATGTCCAATCACTTTGGAAAAAACAAATTTAGAACAGTCTTGTAAAGTTGAAAATGTGTTTACCTAGCAATTCTGCTCCTTGGTATGTATCCTGTGGGAAATTCTTGCAAATTTGTATAGGCAACATTGCTTATCATAGCAAAAGTATTTTTAAAATCCAAATGCTCATTTCAGGAGCATGGATTAATAAATTGTGGTGATTTACCCAGTAGAATGTCACGTATCTTTTAAAAAATAAGCCATAATTATGTTTAGTAACATACACATAACTAAATCTTAGAAATACTGAATGAAGAGAACTAGTTGCAGAAGAGTACGCAGAATATATAATATTTGTAAACTTGAATAACAAGAGACTCTAAACAACACATTGTTTAAGGAAACAGGTGTGTGATAAAAGTTTATTCTTAACAGTAAAGGAATGCTAAAAACAAAATTCAGGCTAATGGCCAGCTTTGGAAGGAAGGCAGGAGAACAGGATAGTCACAGAGCCTGCAGATATAGAGCTACTTACTTGTCATGTTTTAGTTCTTAAGTTGGGTGATGGGTTCACCAGTATTAATTGTAATGTTTACCTGGTAACTTACATATATAACATATATTTAGTATGCATCAAACTTTTCATAATAAGAAATTTTTAATATGTAAAAAGGTCCTTGTAAATGTTAAACAATAGTGATAACGTGTGGGTTTTTTATAAAACTAATAATACATATTATTATAATATAATAATACATGTTTTAAAACTAATCAAACATATTTTGGCTTACAGAATTTGACTTGACATTTGATCCATTACCTTTGTATTTTTATTATGTGAAAGCATGGAAAACACAGCTGTAATGCATTGGTACCTATAACCAGAAAAAAGATGCTGAAGAATTGGCTATGTAGATTTATTTGTGCACACTTAAGAACCACTGCTTGGGAGAAGTAAGGGGTAGGAGTCTGGCAGAATTTGCAAGGGATGAGAGCTCTTGTCAGCAGACGGGAACAAAATTAAGTGCAATTTAAGTTATTACTGTCAGTGTGACCTACATATTACATACAATCCTGAGGAAATTCAAGTGACATTATAATCAGAATGCTCTTTACTCACCAAGCAAATCAGTCACAGGAATTAGTTGTATAACTTGAATCGGTGGTTCTTAAATTGGGGGACACAAAGACTTTGCAAGGCCTGAGTATATGTAAAGGTCTGACTGTTTAAAGGAACGCATTGTTAAGATTTTCAACTTAGGTTCCCTCATTCTGAAATTGATTGGCCTAACAACTTACCTTGCTGTCTAGGCCTCCCCTTGGTCCCCCTTTCACAATCACCTTTTCCCATTTGACAAAAGAAAGCCATCACTTCCACCCATTGCATTGTCCTGGAATATAAAAACCATCTGGAGGTCAAAGGGACCGTTAAAATTATTGGTATTGGGCCGGGATTAGTGGCTCAGGCCTGTAATCCTGCACTTTGGGAGGCTGAGGGGATGGATCACCTGAGGTCAGGAGTTCAAGGCCAGCCTGGCCACCATGGTGAAATCCCATCTCCACTAAAAATACAAAAATTAGCTGGGTGCGGTGGCAGGTGCCTGTAATCCCAGCTACTCGGGAGGCTGAGGCATGAGAATTGCTTGAACCCGGGAGGTGGAGGTTGCAGTGAGCCAAGATCACGCCACTGCACTCCAGCCTGGGTGACAGAGTAAGACCCTATCTCAAATATACGTATATATATATATTGGTATTGATTCTACATTAAGTAATAGTTACCTATGAATACATAACTAATTGGAGGAAAAAGGGTTCATCCACCACATGATATGTGAAGATGTATAAAATTTCAATTTATATACATATGTTTGTTGCAGAGAAATATTATAAGATGAGCAGTAAAGACTTCTCTTGCATAAAAATATTTTATTTTAGCATAAAATTCTGTGGGGGAAGTGGAATAAAAATACAAGTTCAAGTAGGAAAAGAAATAATGTACAATTTCCAGCATAAAATTGCTTATATATTTTTTACATGGATACATGGATGATGCCGGATGGATATCAACTGTTAACATTTTAGATTCCACTGGATACATTTAATAAATAGAATTTTTGAAATTTGAAATTTTAATTATTTTCAATATACCCACAATTACATCCTTTGTAACTATTTAAATGTATGGTAAAACATGACAAATGCCACCTTAAAAATATGTAAAGGGTAAAAAGATTTTTAAAATTATTTTAAAATAATGAAATCATGTCATTTGTAGCAGCAACATGGATGGAACAGGAAGTCGTTCTGTTAAGTGAAATAAGCCAGTCACAGAAAGACAAATACTGCATGTTCTCATATGCTGGAGCTAAGAAACTATCTCATGGAGATATAGAGAGTAGAATGATAGCCAGGTGGGATGGCTCATTCCTGTAATCCCAGTGCTTTGGGAGGCTGAGACAGGAGAATCACTTGAGCCCAGGAGTTCCAGACCAGTTCTGACAACAAAACAAAACTCCGTCTCTAGAAAAAAAAAAAAAGTAAAGAAATTAGTTGGTTGTGATGGCACACACCTGTGGTCCCAGCTACTCAGCAGGCTGAGGTAGGAGGATTGCTTGAACCTGGGAGGTTGAGGCTGCAGTGAGCCATGATCATACGACTGCACTTCAGCCTGGGCCACAGAGTGAGACGTTGTGTCACAAAAGTATTTATATATATATAAAATATATATACATGAGACAGAGACAGAGACAGAAAGAGGGAGAGAGAGATATCAGAGGCTGGGAAGGATGTGAGGATAGAAAACAGTAGGAAGGGGGAATGAAAAGAGATTGGTGAATGGGTACAAAGATACAGTTAAACAGAAGAAATAAGTTCTAATGTTTGATAGCAGGCTAGGATGACTGTACTTAGTAATAATATTATGTATATTTCAAAGTAACTAGAAAAGAGGACTTGAAATGATACCAACACATAGAAATGATAATGCTCAGGTGATGGAGACCCCAAATACCCTGACTTGATTATTACAAATTCTATGCATATAGAAAATATTTACATGTACCTCATATATATGAAAATATTACATATGAATAGAAGAGAAAATATTTTAGGGGTATTTGCATAAAAATGTTTGAAAAGTGCTGATTTAATTATCTGATGGCACCCACAACAATACCCAGATGCATTGATATACAGCAGAAGGTCCACTTGCAGATGGAGCCAGACCTCCTTCCTCAAATTCCCCTCTGACCATTTCCTCCACAGTCTGCAATCCCTCATATTCTCTCACATGCCCCTCTAGTTTCCAAGCCAGTCTCAGCTCCTTTCTTAGGTAATTTTTTTTCTTTAGATGGATTAATATTATGAATTAGGCTAAGGACAGATTCCTCTTTTCCTGCTTTAGTTCTGGAAATGTTCTTTTTGTAGATATTTACTACCTTTTTCTCCTGAGGAGTATCTTGGCTATTATTGTGCTTTTGCTCTTTCACATGAAATTTTGATTCAGCTCCTCAAGTTTGAAGGAACAAAACAGAAGCGTGTTGGAGTTTTTGTATGAATTGCATTGAATTTAGAGAGAAATTGTTTATTTAGGATATTGGGTATTCCAATCCATGAACATCATGTATGTTGCAAATTTAGATTTTCATTTGAGGTCTTTTGATGAAGTTTTGCAGTTTTTTCCACATAGGCCTATGCATATCTTTAGTTCCATGTATTCTTGGGTTCCTTATATCTCTTCTTGCTATTGTAAATAATACTTAAAAAACATATCTTCTGTTTGTGGCTGGTGTATAGAAATAAAACTGATTTTTATCTGTTGGTCTTATATCCAAGTGCCTTGCTAAATTTGCTCATTATTTCTAATAAATCATCTATAGGTTTTTTAGGTATATTCTGTATGAAATCAAGTGTGAATAATAACACTTTTGTTTCTTTTCTGATTCTCATATTTCTTTTTACTTGACTTACTACATTGGCTAAGGCAGCCAATACAATATTAAATGGAGGTGGCATTCTTGTTTTATTCCTGATTTTAATCTTTATCTCACTAAGTACACATCGTTTACCTTGCAGCTTTGGGTTTAAGCCTTTCTTAATCTATTGCCTTTATCTCCTAACTTTTCTTTTATATTCTCTACTTTCTGGACTCTTCGTGCTGAATTCGGAGTATTTTTCCATCTTCTCATTTTTTTCTTTTATCTGTGTCCAATTTTCTCTTAAATCCACCCACTGAGTTTTTTATTTCAACCATTAATTTTTTCATTTATAACAGTGCTGTTGTAATGACTTTTACAAATCTCCCTGGTCATTTTGAATAATCTTTTGTTACCTGTTCATTTCTGTGATTCTTCTATTTTTTTAGGTCTTTTTCACAATTGTTCTACATTCTGTTTCTAATCATTATAATATTTGTAGTGCTTAAGGATATTAATTTGATGTTATTTCCACCGACATTTACTCACGTTGATTGATTTCCTTGAGATTTGTAATCATTGACTGGGTGTTCATTTTTACCTAATCCAAGCTTTCTTACAGGGGGGATTTACATATGCTTTTACTGGGAATCATAGGCTCTAGATGCCTGAGACCAGTTAACTCAGGTTTCTAAGCATAATATAAGAATCTCAGATGCAGGTCCTTCCACTTGCCATTGGCAGAGCAAAAACCATTTGTGTGTGTGCACATGCATTTGTGCACTAGTAACTTCCAACTGTGGTTTTCACTCAAGTTTTTTGATTGGTTGTTTTTGTTGTTACTCTATTTCTAGTTCCTTAAAGGTGTTTATTTTTTCCTGAGATCCCAGCAATGCTATAAAAGTTATATTTATGTGAAACATATCTATTTTACAAAAATTATTCATCAGTGAGAGGAAACATTATTCATAAAGTCCACTGAACCTGTAATACAGAAGTCCACAGAAGGCTAGGGGCGGTGGCTCACGCTTGTAATCCCAGCACTTTGGAGGCCGAGGCGGGCGGATCATGAGGTCAGGAGTTCAAGACCAGTCTGGCCAACATAGTGAAACCCCGTCTCTACTAAAAATACAAAAAATTAGCCAGGTGTGGTGGTGTGCACCTGTAATCCCAGTTACGCAGGAGGCTGAGGCAGGAGGATGGCATGAACCCGGGAGGCGGAGGTTGCAGTGAGCTGAGATCACACCATTGCACTCCAGCCTGGGTGACAGAGCGAGACTCTGCACTGCCCCCCGCCACCGCCCCCCAAAGAAAAGAAGTCCATAGAAACTGCTAATACAGAAATTCACAAGAAAGGATAGTTTAATACCAAAATATAATAAGTACATAATTATACATAAAATGTAAGAATAAAGAACTGTCCTTTAAATTGCACTCATTTGGTTTTAAGGGAAACTCACCACGTTATATTTTTCTCCTGCAGATGTAGCTGCCTAAAAAAGCTGGTCAGTGTCCCAACAGGGTCAGATTCCTTAATGGTCACTTTGAATATATTCCATTTTGAGGAAAATGGAAAAGGAAGAATTTTTCAGATGGTAGAACAAAGTGCTATGAAGAACAATGGACTGGGGAGTGTTCTCCAAGGTCTAATCAAGAAACCTTTCTTTCCCTTTGGGATAGAGGATCGTTAAAATTTCTACTTGCTGAGATTTCAGTTACTACAGACCAGCACTGCTGTGTCTCCCCTTCTTCTCCTTTCTAAATGGGAAGAGTTATATGGAGGTTATCCTGAACATGTATCCCCAGTATGTATTGGATGTATGTGGGGCAGATAACTTGCCCTTTTTGTTCAGAGGTTTCCGGTTCAAGAGGACTCCCATCCTCACATGAAGCACATTGCTCCCTGAGGTAAGGACTACAGTGTATTACCAAAGATCCTTCTTTTTGAGCTTGATGCCCTTACCACATGGGACTTTTGGGTTTTCTCCTTCCAGGAGTGCATATTTCCAACAGGAAAGAGAGTGGACTGAATACTTAGTGCCTAGGAAGACTATTGTAATCAGTGACACAACATAGTTCTGGTTCGGTTTACTTCCTCATAGGTTTGCCTGTTTGAGGTCAGCCTTGACCATGAGACTTGCTTTCTTTGCTGAACCATGAGCAGAAGGGTCTGTGAAGCAGCTGTAAGAGCAAGTGTTTGACTTGCTGTCATTTCTTCCCCCTCTGTCCCAGTGACAGGCAACTTTCCAGATTGTAGATGGTATAATATTGCATGGTTCAGAGTGAGATAACTAAAGAGAGCACCCACCTGTCTTGTGCTGAACACACATTAACAGCAATAAACATATCTTTGTTATTTTGAGCATTAAATAATCTTTGTTATTTTTAGCATTATTTTGAGCCTCTGAATCTGGGAATTGTTTGATGCTACAGTGTTACTTAGTTTGTTCTGGTTTGATGCAAGCACCAAACTGGAAGACAGAGGACTTAAATTATAGTCTCAGTCCTGCCATCTGATAGCCATTTGGCAAGTCACTTGACATCTGTAAAGCTGAGTTTCTTAATCTGTAATATACAACTAATAATCCTTCCTCTGTCTGCTTCATAGGCTTGTCTTGGGTATCCAGCGTATATGAAAGTATTTGAAAAATGTAGGGCATGTACAAATATCTGCCAGCAGTGTCATTAACATTGAATTGGTTTATTCCATCTGTGTAATGCCAATCCCCAAAAAGAAAACATTAGAGAAGTTATGAAAACTAAAGATTTAAATCAGATAACGGTGGAATGAAAGACTTGATAAGTTCAGCATGAAGTAGAGATATTTCCATCTAAAATATTTCAATGACTATGCACACCCTATTTTATAACCATAAATTTCTTTAAAGAGTCATTAATGTTTTTGAAATCCTATTGTAAGTTAAAAGTTATGACTAACAAAGCCAAAACCAAAGGTATTTTTAGAAGAAAAAAAGTTTATTTTGGACTTAGAAAATACTGTATTTTTCTTTTGTGTGATATCAAAGTGAAGCTTGATTGAGTTGGCTTGCTTACTACACATTCCAGAGTCAAATCTACTAAACTGCTATGTTTTCAAACTCCATCTGTCTTTCTCTCACCCCCAAATTCTGAGCACCTAGGGGTTGATCCTCGCCTTCCAGTGAAATCACCACATTAGAAAGAACAAATCATAGGCCGGGCGCGGGGGCTCATGCCTGTAATCCCAGCACTTTGGGAGGCCGAGGCGGGAGGATTACGAGGCAAGGAGATCGAGACCATCCTGGCTAACAAACATGGTGAAACCCCGTCTCTACTAAAAATAAAATTAGCCGGGCGTGGTGGCAGGCGCCTGTAGTCCCAGCTACTCGGGAGGCTGAGGCAGGAGAATGGTGTGAACCCGGGAGGCGGAGCTTGCAGTGAGCCGAGATCGCGCTACTGCACTCCAGCCTGGGCGACAGAGTTGAGACTTCCTCTCGAAAAAAAACAGAAGAAGAAAGAACAAATCATAGACTCTTGTAGCGTGCCCTTCCTATTATTTTCTGAAAACCTAAAGGCAGGAGAACATTCTATGATGACTTTCCAGAGTATGTGAGCCTGTTAGTAGTTCTGCATCGGTTGATGAAGAATATACACTGATCACTGAAGCTGTCAGTGAGAAGGAACTCTGCGCCTTACGGAATGTTGTTTTTGGCTTGCCATTTGCTGTTATGAATGTCCAGGCAGGTAGGGCAGGCCCCCACAGTGATGCTATGAAGTGCTACATTTACTGGTGCTATCACAGTAAAGATGATGATGTGTAATGAATAATTACACACGAAACTCTGAGTTCCTTCTCGTATTAGACACCTGGAATGAATTACTTATCTCTGTCCTTTCTAGTTTTGCATTGGGAGGCCTAAAATATTCGGGTTTCATTTTGAGCTGTACAAATTTTACTGATTATAGGTGTTAAATAATTTTTTTCTTTCTTTTTTTTTTTATATTTTATTTTTTGAGATGGAGTTTCACTTTTTTTTTGCCCAGGCTGGAGTGCAATGGCCAGATCTCGGCTCACTGAAACCTCCGCCTCCCAGATTCAGGTGATTCTCCTACCTCATCCTCCTGAGTAGCTGGGATTACAGGTGCCCGCCACTGCGCCCAGCTAATTTTTTTTTATTTTTAGTGGAGACAGGGTTTCACCTTGTTGGCCAGGCTGGTCTCGAGCTCCTGACCTCAGGCAATCCACCCGCCTCAGCCTCCCAAAGTGCTAGTGAGAGGTGACAGCGTGCTGGCAGTCCTCAGAGCCCTCGCTTGCTCTCAGCACCTCTCCTGCCTGGGCTCCCACTTTGGTGGCATTTGAGGAGCCCTTCAGCGCCCCCACTGCACTGTGGGAGCCCCTTTTTGGGCTGGCCAAGGCTGGAGCCCACTTCCTCAGCTTGCAGGGACGTGTGGAGGGAGAGGCACGAGCGGGAACCGGGGCTGCGTGCGGCGCTTGCGGGCCAGCTGGAGTTCCGGGTGGGCGTGGGCTTGGCGGGCCCCGCACTCGGAGCAGCCGGCCAGCCCTGCTGGCCCCGGGCAAAGAGGGACTTAGCACCCGGGACAGTGGCTGCGGAGGGTGTACTGGGTCCCCCAGCAGTGGCAGCCCACCGGCGCTGCACTCGATTTCTCACCCAGCCTTAGCTGCCTTCCCTCGGGGCAGGGCTCGGGACCTGCAGCCCGCCATGCCTGAGCCTCCCACCCACTCCATGGGCTCCTGTGCAGCCCGAGCCTCCCCAACGAGCACCACCCCCTGCTCCACCGCACCCAGTCCCATCGACCACCCAAGGGCTGGGGAATGTGAGCGCACGGCGCGGGACTGGCAGGCAGCTCCACCTGCAGCCCTGGTGTGGGATCCACTAGGTGAAGCCAGCTGGGCTCCTGAGTCTGGTGGGGACGTGGAGAGTCTTTATATCTAGCTCAGGGATTGTAAATACACCAATCAGCACCCTGTGTTTAGCTCAAGGTTTGTGAGTGCACCAATGGACACTCTGTATCTAGCTGCTCTGGTGAGGATGTGGAGAACCTTTATGTCTAGCTCAGGGCTTGTAAATACACCAGTGGACACTCTGTATCTAGCTGCTCTGGTGAGGACGTGGAGAACCTTTATGTCTAGCTCAGGGATTGTAAATACACCAATTGGCACTCTGTATCTAGCTCAAGGTTTGTAAACACACCAATCAGCACCCTGTGTTTAGCTCAAGGTTTGTGAATGCACATATCGACACTCTGTATCTAGCTGCTCTGGTGGGGCCTTGGAGAACCTGTGTGTCAAAACTCTGTATCTAACTAATCTGATGGGGACGTGGAGAACCTTTGTATCTAGCTCAGGGATTGTAAACGCACCAATCAGTGCCCTGACAAAACAGGCCACTCGGCTCTACCAATCAGCAGGATGTGGGTGGGGCCAGATAAGAGAATAAAAGCAGGCTGCCCTAGCCGGCATTGGCAACTCGCTCGGGTCACGTTCCTCGCGGTGGAAGCTTTGTTCTTTCGCTGTTTGCAATAAATCTTGCTACTGCTCACTCTTTGGGTCTACGCTGCTTTTATGAGCTGTAACACTAACCGCGAAGATCTGCAGTTTCACTCCTAAGCCCAGCGAGAGGAACGAACAACTCCGACGCGCTGCCTTAAGAGCTGTAACACTCACTGCCAAGGTCTGCAGCTTCCCTCGTGAGCCAGCGAGACGGCGAACCCACCAGAAGGAAGAAACTCCGGACACATCTGAACATCAGAAGGGACAGACTCCAGACGCGCCACCTTAAGAGCTGTAACACTCACCGCGAGGGTCCACGGCTTCATTCTTGAAGTCAGTGAGACCAAGAACCCACCAATTCCGGAGACACTAGGTTTACAGGCATGAGCCACTGCGACGAGCCTGGTGTTAAATAATTTCTAATGCTAAAGGAAAGCTTGCTTTTTGCTGGTCACTGTTCTAATTTTTTCCATCTATGAAATCCGCCATGAATATAATTTCATCAAACCATTTTTCTGTCACTTAGAAAACGCAATCATTCATTTCTGAAATACCCAATAAATTCTTTAGTTGAAATAGAGTGTAAAATAGCTTATACTATCAACAAAGAGTTTTTTGCCAGCCGTTACCCAAATAATGTGGCTCTCACTTTTTTTTTTTTTTTTTTTAAAGACAGGGTCTCACTCTGTCATCCAGGTTGGAGTGCAGTGGCATGATCATGGCTCACTGCAACCTTGACCTCTGGGGCTCTAGCAATCCCCCACACTCACCTCTTGAGGAGCTGGGACTACAAGTGTTTGCCACCACACACACCCGGCTGATTTTTTAACTTTTTTGTAGAGATAAGGGAGGTCTCACGTTTTCCAGACTGGTCTGGAACTCCTGGCTTCAAAGGATCCTCCCACCTCGGCCTCCCAAAGTGCTGGGATTAGAGGTGTGAGCCGCTGTGCCAGGCTGGCTTTAATTATTTCAAAGGACATTTGTGCATGTCAGAGAATGTATCATCACATATATGCCTTTATTTTTTGTGTCCTAACAATTTCTTCATCTTTTGGCGTTTCATTTCTTTGCTTTCATTTATATGAATTTGTTTCATTTATATGAATTCGTGGAAGTTTATTTAACAACATCACTCCTTTCTAGCATAGTATATAAATAAAAGATGAGATTTTATCTGCAGGTTCAATGTATGTTGCTTAATGTGTAGTTTTAAATATTTTGAAGAATTGTGTATATTAATCATGTACTTGATTCATATGTGAAAAGTGTTGAAGCAAAACATGCTTTTAAAATGTTGCTATGCCCAGAAACAACTACTACTTAATAAATATTAGAGGGTAGATATAGTGTAATTGTTATAAAATGTTATAAAAGTAACAAAATACTGTTTATTAAGTAGTAAAAGCACACTACTGGGGCATATTGACGATCTCTTCTAATAGAAAAGACCAGGTCATCTCACTTCTAAAAAATTTTCTCTTCAATGTCCAATATTACATTTTTCTCTATAGTTTTTATTTAACTGAATTCTACTTGGAATTTCTTTACTTAATAGTTTCTTATGTTCAAGCTCATTATAGAAATTATATACAAAATGATATATATTTTATTATCTAAAATAAAATTAGTTTCCCCTTTTCGGATATTACTTATTTATTTACTGAAACTAATTTTTTTTAATTACTGGTGTTTTAAATTCATAAAATTAATAAAATAAAAGGATGGTTAAAGAAATCATGATATTCATAAATCACTTTTTAACATAATGCTGTTTTAATAAGAATGAGTTTATAAATTGAAATTGTCTGTGGAAAGGAATAATACAATTCTTAAGATCCCTTAGTATATTTTACTGATTTTTTTTCTATTTCTTAATAAATCAATATGGGAAACAAAAGGAGAAACTAATGTTGTTTATCACCTTTCATTAGTCAAACAAAATATTTTCCCCTAAAAACTTTTAGGGAAAATTGCAAATTTAGGTTGTACTAGAAAATTCATTTTAATATAATGACTGGTTAGATTTGTTAAATAAATACAAGATTTTGCTATATATATTTTGAATATGAGAATGGTTTAGTAATTATTATCATGTACAAAGTGGATGTTATGCTGTTTTTCTAAGGTACAAAATAAAACCTACTGTGCAACAATTTTAGCATAAAAGATCTAGTTTGATGTCATTTCTTTATGGCTTAATTAGATCAGAATTTTAGGACTCATGGGAAAATGTATTACAGGACTTTCAAAGCAAAAAAGATTCAATCATAGTATTTATAAATTAGAACAAGCCTTGGAGAGTATTTACCTACTTCTATACCACACTTTTCTAGAAGAGAGTAGATATAATGTAATCATTATAAAATGTTATTTAAAATAACAAAATAATTTGCTATTTATTAAGTACCTTTAGTCTGCTGCAGGGGCATGGTGATAATCAACAAATAATTACAAAATATTTTTAGTAATGTGATAAATTGTTAGCTTCCACTTACTATGGTATTCCTGTAATTGTTGATGTATACTCTATGGCATCTTCAGGTACGATTTCTGTATCTGATAAAAGAACATTTCACAAAGTGGTTTTCTGATGTGGTGTTTTCCATGACAGCATTTATTAAAGGACATGAATTGGTTATTAATGGCTGCCGACCACTATATTTTTCCATTGTTTAAAAATGACTGCTCACAGTATTGGCAAAAACTTTGCCCAGGTACATTATGTCCTCAAGGCCCATCCCCTTATATTCCTCTCTCAACAGCAGCAACATTTGAAAGACTCTTGGTGCAGTTTGTCTTTCCAGCTGTGAGCCTAAAAGCTGTAAGTGCTATTGGAGGAACAGACAGTTAAATGGGAAGAAAAGAGACTGAGAAAGAAAGATGCCCAGTGCTGAGGATCCTGGTGTGCTACTTGTTTTTCTGCCTCCCATACCCAATTGTCACCATTTATATGAAATTCATTAACCAACTGGGAACTCAGTGGTCATGACAGCTGCAATGTCTTTTAAATAAAATGCTTCCTTGATGATGCCATGTCTGCAGTATGGTACAGCTGCACCCACCACAGAACAAATATATTCATTTGTCCACTGATAAAGTCATTTGTTTCTTCCTTGCAGTAGCAGCAATTTTTCTCTTCAAAAATAAAGCAAAATCTCTTAAGATACAGCTCTTGAACAATAGTCACATCTATCTCTTTAAAGCCAAGAGTCAGTCTCAATGTTGCTAAGTTCATTTTCAGCTTTCTTTAGAGGAAGGTTACTGTTAGTAGTATAACCAAACAAATGATATCATCTGCTGAATTGTGAGTCTTAAATTTTTCAAATGAAAAGTGCAATGAAAAGTCCTACCATCTCCATTCTCAGCCTCATACTTACATATACTTTGTAAAGTTCTATATGTTGAATTAAATAATTTCCATGATCACCATTATTTATTTCTGTGGCTGCATTGCATTGCAAACTTCAAATTAACAAGATTAATGCCAAAAGATGACACAACAGTAAGTGTTTGATACCATAGTCATCAATTTAAAAAATAAGACTACAAATCTGATTCTGTTATTATGATCATCATATTTATGCTTGTTTGAATAAAATTATTCATCCAGAATGTTAACAAGATATCTTTCATGTGTCATTAAAATAACTTATGTCAAATACTTGGCTAAATTGATTGAAGTACTTTCAGTATTAATAATTCCATACAAATGTCTAGCAAGAATAACCACTCAAAATTAATTAATGATCAATTATTATGGATTATTTATCTTGGCTCTCATTTGCTTTCCTAATAATCAACCTACTTTTTTTCTAAAATAGGTCAATATGAAATGAGTCCTAGTGATTTCACACTTCTATTTTTTAATAAATCAAAATGGTTAAAAGAATTAGTTATTCTCTTATAAGTTATTAATCTTTATGGATATTATAAATCATGTTTCCATCCCTTAAATTTGATATGCTCATTTTCTTTTTAATTATAATATACTAATATAATAGTACTGCAGTAATTTTATTAGTTCTAATACATTTTGTAAAAATGGATTTATTCTCAAATTAATCATATTTGACTTCATAGTACAAACATCCCTCTCATTATTACACTACTGGTTAGGAGAAGCTCTTTTTCAAGATGTTTAGCTAAAAGTATAGAAAGGGAACATTCATGTCTTTAACTTTGTAATCATTTTGTTCCTGATTTGGATCTTTGCGACTCAATATTAGGTACACAAATTTCTCATTGATTTAAGCAAGAATCCAAGAGATTAAGAATCAAACTCCTTGATTTTTATTTAGCAGAGGATATATGAGCAAGAGTCATATTATCTAGGAAGCTATAGTAAAGAATACAGATTTGAAATGTTGAGTATGGGCCAAGCGCAGTGGCTCATGCCTGTAATCCCAGAACTTTGGGAGGCCAATGCCAGAGGATTGCTTGAAGTCAGGGGTTCAAAACAAGCCTGGGCAACAAAGGGAAACCTTGTCTCTATGAAAATAAAGTAAAATAAAATGAATAAAAGGAATATGATTAAAACAATGTTGAGTATAAATTAAACCTTTGAATCTTAGGTGTATTGAAAAGATGCTGGGTTTCTGACAAAGGGTTAAGCTTCTTCCGTGGTTACTATATTTGAGAAAAGTCATTCCCCTTTTGCATTTGTAGAATTTAACACTTCATTTTGCAATTGTTAAGTCACAGGTGAATGTTAAAATGTCAAACAACTGAAAATAACTACAGAACAAAGATAAAGCAAAGTTATTATCCTGAAAATTCAATCCTTTTTTAAAAAATTCTGCCAGTCAATTCTTACTGTGCATCAGGAAGAATAGTTAATGGATGCTGATTTTAATACCTAGGTGATGGGTTGATCTGTGCAGCAAACCGCCATGGCACACGTTTACCTATGTAACAAACCTACAGATGTACCCCGGAACTTAAAATAAAATTCAAAAAAAAATTTAAAAAGTTTATCATGTAACTCAGTTGGACTCAATTCCTTTTTTACCTACATTACTAAAAAGTAGTATTTTTGTCCTAATGGTTTTGATTTCATAGCTTATGCAACCTCTCTTAAATTATTTCTATGGATCTTAGTAGAGATAAGCCAAAAGCATATCCACCTTCGAAGTATTTTCTTCACCTCTTAAATATTCTCATTTGAAAATGGAATTGGAGTCTATTCACTTAGGTAACTAAATCTTTTTAGTATGATATAAAGTATGAATTAGAGAATTTACATGTAATAACAATAGCAGAAACAGTTAATATTTAGTTTTTTTTTTATTTTGCTGTCATGGTGGTTAGATATGTTCTATCTAATTTAATCCTTACAACCCTGAGGCAGGTAAATACAGAAAAGGAAGCCACAAAGACTCAAAAGTTTAAAAAAACTTGCTCAACTCAAACAGCTGCAAGTGACCAACCTGGCTGGGACTTAAACCAGATCTGTTTGATTCTAGAACGTACTGCACTACCTTTTTAATTAATAGAATAGAATAAAATAGAATGGATTTCTTCTACCAGATTTTGTATTTCATCACTGGCAAGTTCTGCCTTCCACAAAACTCTTGGACACAATACAATTCAGCCAAGTTGTTTGCACCTTTATAACAAGGATAGCTTTTCCTCCAGTTTCCAACAACATGTTTCTTATTTCACAAGCATTTAGGTAATCTCTAAGAATATCACGGCTTTTCTCTACAGCTCTCCTCTTCTGAGCTCTCACCAGAATCACCTTTATGGTCCATTCATGGCAAGCCAGGCTTTTTCCAGCATGTACCTCCAAATTTTTCCAGCCTCTATTCATTACCCAGTTGCAAAGCTGCTTCCACATTTTTAGGTATTTGTTATATAGCAACAACCCACCTGTTGTTACCAATTTCTGTTTTAGTCTGTTCAGGTTGTAGGACAAAATATCTTAGACTGGGTAATTTATGAACAATATGAATTTAGCACTCCCAGTTCTAGAGACTGGGAAGTCCAAGATCAAGGTACTAGCAGGTTTGGTGTCTGGTGAGGATCTGTTTGTTCTTCGTAGATGGCACCTTCTATGTATCCTCACATGGCAGAAGGGGCAAGGCAGCTCCCTGCAACCTCTTTTATAATGACACTAACGTCATTCAGTAGGATACAGCCTGCATGACCTAATCACTTCCCCAAAGTTCCCATCTCTTAATGCTATCATACTGGATATTGGATATTAGGTTCCAACATGAATTTGGAGTGGAGGGTGGGAACACCAAGATTCAGACCATAGCTATTATGTTGCTCAAAGATAACAACAAAAAATTAATATTTGGATATTATGGTTGTAAGTTATAGTCATAAAGCACTTAAAACATTCAAAATTTTGGAGGGTTATAAAATGTTGAGAAAACTCAGATTCACATAAACTAGTTAAGACGAATTGTGTACTACTTTCCAACCACTCACCTTGCAATCTCAGGATGTTCTTTATTCAATTAAACAGTGATGACAGAAATAAACTTACTTCTTAGTCAGGAAAATTGAGTTAACCTGCATACATGGTAACAGGCAGGTAATTCTTCGAGCTGGGTTTTTTAAATGACGGTTTTTGTTTTGTTTTGTTTTGTTTTGTTTTTTTGAGACAGTCCACTCTGTTGCCCAGGCTGGAGTGCAGTGATGCAATCTCGGCTCACTGCAACCTCCGCCTCCTGGGTTCAAGCGATTCTCATGCCCCAGCCTCCCAAGTAGCCTGGGATTACAGGCGGGCACCACCACACCAGGCTAATTTTTGTATTTTTAGTAGAGATGGGATTTCGCCATGTTAGCCAGTCTGGTCTTGAACTCCTGGCCTCAAGTAATCCACCAGCCTCGGCCTTCCAAAGTGCTGGGATTATAGGCGAGAGCCATCGCTCCCAGCCTAAAATGACAGTTTTAAACATAATTAGAAAATATGTAAAAGGTGAAATGTGAATCAAATATTTGTGGAAGCCCAGGGTTGGTGGTGGGCACTACTAGAACACTGCTGCACTGGGCACCGTGCCATATTTTGCTGTCTACTTAATATAAGACAGCAATTTAGCAGCACTTTTTAAAGTTGATAAACAGAGTCAGCCAACTTAAGTTAAAACAAATGCATTGTGTTTTCCTTTGGGCAATTAACTTAGTAATTAATAAATCACTCTTTCTGAAAAAATTAAGCCATTAATATAGGGATAGTGTATGACCCTAAAATTATTTAAAAAGACATGTCTAAATATTTTTAAAATTTGTATTATGGCAAATGTAAAATATAATCCAAAGTAAAAAGACTGATTAAAATAAATTCTCATAAACCCATCATCTGGTTTCAAGACTGTGAACCCATAACCAATCTTGTTTTATCTAAATTACTCCCCTCCTCCCAGCCCAAGCCAAATTGATCCAAGCCATGGATCAATTTGAAGCAAATCTCAAACAGCATATCTTTTCTTCTCAAAGTATTTCATAGGTGTTCTAAAAGATGAAAGAGTTTTCTTTAAGAACATAACCATACTCCTATAATTCCAATATTCCTTACTGTCATCAAATATCCACTCAGTGTGTTCATAGTTCTCTTGTTGTTGCATAGTTTATAATACTTTGTTTGTATGAGCCAGGATCAAAATATGTTCCACACAGCCAGGGACAGTGCCTTATGTCTGTAATCCCAGCACTTTGGGAGGCCGAGGCGGGCAGAACACCTGAGGTCAGGAGTTCTAGATCAGCCTGGCCAACATGGTGAAACCCTGTCTCTACTTAAAATGCAAAAAATTAGCCAGGTGTGGTGGCACTTGCCTATAATCCCAGCTACTTGGGAGGCTGAGGTGGGAGAATAGCTGGAACCTGGGAGGCAGAGGTTGCAGTGAGTCGAGATCGCACCATTACACTCCAGCCTAGGAAGCAGAGCAGGACTCTGTTTCAAAAAAAGAAAAGAAAAAAGAAAAAGTGCACTAAAGAAATATATTTTTTACTGGAAGTAGGCTAGGTTTTTCTTCCATCTTTTGCTGAAGAGAAGAAAATGTCTTAGTTTCAATTCTCCCAATCAACTAAGTGCAGTTTTTATGTCTTTATCCTCTATAAATTATCTTTTTTGAAACAGTGAACGATGAAATGACATGCGTTTGGAGAATGTGTGGTGGATACAAGAGCATATTAATGTTAAACTCCAAAAATATTTTTATCTCAAAGATTGAAAACAAGATAAAGATGAAGGACTCTACAAAATAGTAAGTGATTTTATGTTGACATTGTACCAAAGCCCTGTTTGTGAGATAATGGCTCAATTATTCAGCATGAATGGCTCTGCTTAAAATGCATGATTATCTGGGTCAAGCTATATGAAAATAAAGAAGTCAAACTCATATTCTAAAACAAAAGAACTTTTCTAAATATTTACTTCTTTGGTAGTAGTACACTGATTTCTAAGAAATTTCCCTTAAAACATTTTATTATATTTATTTATTTATTGAGATAAAGTCTCACTCTGTTGTCCAGGCTAGAGTGCAGTGGCGTGATCTCAGCTCACTGCAACCTTCGCCTCCCAAGTTCCAGCGATTCTTCCTGCCTCAGCCTCCTGAGTAGCTGGGATTACAGGCATGCGTCACCATGCCTGGCTAATTTTTGTATTTTTAGTAGAGACGGGATTTCACCATGTTGGCCAGGCTGGTCTCAAACTCCTGACCTCAGGTGATTCACCTGCCTTGGCCTCCCAAAGTGCTGGGATTACAGGTGTAAGCCACCATGCCTGGCCCCTTAAAACATTTTAAAATTTTTAATAGAAGATACATTTTTTAAAATAAAATATTTTATTGTACACAATTGGTTGTGAGGGGTGGAAACCTGGCTCAAAGTGTCTTGAATAAGTGAACTACTTTTCTTTATGTACCAAAAAAATCCATTGAAAATCAATGTAATGGATCCTGCTAATGGTCGACTTCCCCTCCTACCACCTTTTTCCTTGCTGGAACAACCTGCCTCTCACTCTGGAGATGGAAAATGACAGATCTGCACTTTTCCAGCCTCCCTTGCAGCTAGGGTATGGATATGCGACCCAATCCTGGCCAAGGAAACATAAGAAGTCAATTTGGGACCCTTGGAAAAGACATTCCTACTTGATTAAAAGAGAAAGGCCTTAAGAAAATTCACTTTTCTTTCCTGTCTTTGGAGATGATTACATGAGGCTATGATGCTGCAGTAATTGGATAAGAGGTGTGTGCTGAAAGCCTTGATTTGTTCTACTGAATCAGTGCTGGAAAACCCTATCTGATGAACTCTTTGTTATATGAGCAAAATAAATGTTCACTTTTAATGGAATGTCTTGTTATTCGCAGCCAAATGAATTCTAATATTGTTGACTTGAGGCATAGCTAGGTTCAGAAGCTTAACGGATATTACCAAATCTTTTCTCTTCCTGTCAACTCTGTATTCCTCAGAGCTGGCTTCATTATTAGGCCCTAGTTAGTGGCCCCAGGCAGGTTCAAACTATTAATAATATCCTATTTACTGATATCAGTGTCAGCCTAAAGAGAGCTTCTTCCTCCAAAAATATTTCTAGAGCAGTTTTAGGATTTAGTCAGTTCATCCAATTTCAGTTCCATACTTGAGATCTTGAAACTATCCCTCTGGCCACATACACAAAATATAATGACTGGGTCTCCAGATCACTCCCAGAGCTAGAGGTGGGGGCCCATCCTACCCAAACCACACAGAGAGTGGAGTTATTTCCCAATGTCATTAACTGAAAAATGAAGGCAGATGCTCTGTAGATAAAACAAATCAGCAAACAAAGTCCCAGATGTTCAGTGCAATAATAAAAATAAACAAATAAATGTTTACGTTGCCTAAGTATAGGACACAGAGTGAAAAAAGCAGAATTGTGGTAGAGAGACATTGGTTCTGTTTACTGAGTCTTTTAAAGACATCCATCGTTAAACTCTAATGTATTCTGAGTATTAGGTAAGTGCTGCAGATACAGACATGAAAACACAGAGCACCTGCTCTTCTAGTCTAACAAGGGAGATAGAGGGAAATCCGTAATTACAATGCAGCAGATGAATGCATGTGCACTGTGTGTCGTGGTTTTGCAAAGGAAAGGAAGAAGAGGGGCATCTACCTCAGTCTAGGGGTGAGTGAAAGTTTTCATGAAACCTTCCAAGAGTGGGTGAGAGGACTACTGAGTTTTAGAAAGTTGTGTTAGTGAGGACACCATGAGCAAAATCAGATGGGCAGGTGAACTTTTGGTGTATTTGGCTAATTATCGGCTAATTCCAACTCTTGGACTTGAACAAGCTTTCTAGCCTCTCTGTTTTCTCATCAAAAATAAACAGGGCTGGGCACAATGGTTCACACCTGTAATCCCAGCACTCTGAGGGCCAACGTGGGAAGATTGCTAGAGGCCAAGAGTTTGAGACCAATCTGGACAACATACTGAGACCTTGTCTATACAAAACAAAATAAACAGTGGGTGGGTTGAGAAGTAAAGAAAGGGTAGTCAGGATTGGACTTTTAAATGTGTTCTAAGGTTTTTTTTATAGATTTAGAATCTGATTATTCTATTACAACTTCTTGTACTTCAGTCTAACCACTGAATAACAAAGTCATAATGTTTAAATCATGTTCCCTTAAAATTAACTCTCTTAAAGTTAATAGCCTATTTTCTAGAGATAACATTTTACTATTTTCCTCTCAGTGAGTTCTCCAGGAAGCTGCACTGTTAAAGTTAAAAGTTCAGTTGGTACTTTCTGAGTTGCTTTGTTCTGTTTTGTTTAGCTGACATATATTTTGATAACACTTAAGTCATCTTAAAGCTAAAATTATCTAGACCTGCCTTTGAAGCTTGGATCTTTGAGGCTTCAACAGCCCATTCACACTCAGTTACCCATATGTTGGAACATATATATATATATATATTATATATATATATATATATATAATATATATATATATATATGTATTTTTAAATAATTAAAATTTTATTTTAATAGCAAAAGTGCATTCTTTTTTAAAAATTGATTTTAAGTTCTGTGGTACATGTGCAGGCTTGTTACATAGGTAAACGTGTGCCATAGTGGTTTGCTGCACCTGTCAACCCATCACCTAGGTATTAGGCCCGGCAATTTATCCTGATGCTCTCCCCCACCCACCCCAGCCCTTCCCCGACAGGCCCCATTGTGTGTTGTTCCCCTCCCTGTGTCAATGTGTTCTCATTGGCTAGAACATATTTAATATAATTATTGTGAAAATCTGAATTACTGAGCCCCCATTGTAGCCCTCTATATACTACAGTAAAGTTCAGAAAGTGAAGAGGAAGAAAGGAAGGGAACAGAAATTCCCCAGGAAGGTTAAAATTGATGAGAGAAAATGTCTTCTGGGACAGATCCTATGGTGAAATGTGAAGAACATGAGTCAGGTTACTGTTCATCCTGAACTCGGCGCCTAATCACTTTTTCTCTTAATATCTTTTATTTAATGAATACTGATTTATTCTTCATCTTGACTTTTGACTTTGGCCATGCTATCAAATTACTTTTGCAAAATAACTCCCACCTTAAAAACTTCTATTATTCTAAAATCTGTCCTAATATTCACATTAACTTGGAATAAACCTATCTTGAACTTCCTCTTAGAAAACATCTTCCTCTGTAGGAATAAAAAAGATTCTAATCTTTTTCTTGACCCCCTCTTTTAAATAATCCAAAACAACATCAACGGCTATACAAAATTCTAATGTCTATTAAAGTCAACATTTGAACATAAGAGAGAAGTTAATATTTGTGGGATAAACATTAAAAGATTTCAGTCTTGAGGCTTAGGATTTTTTGTGTCTTGTATTTTTTATCAGATTCAAGAAATTATACTCAAGAAAGGAGGCAGTTATTATGCCTCTGTTATTCTTTCTGAAATTAGAATGGGAGAAATAGAATGAGCTTTAGAAGCATTTGAAACTATATAGAGTTATTCTGCTGTTATGGGACTGTTTATTTCAAAGTTTGACAGCAAATTGATAAGAAAACAACAATGTCATACATATTAACTGTGTGATACATTAATTTGAAAATATTCATTATGACAAGTAATGAGAGGAACGGAATGCTCCATTGGTTTAAGTGATCAGAAAACTCATTTGGAGGAATTATGTGCTTTCTCTGGGAATCCGACATAGGAAACTATGAGAAGGCACACACAGTTAGTTAAAGCAGGTCTTTGTATTTGCTCTTATTAGAAAGTTTCAACCTTTTGTAGATGAACTCAAGTGATTATTTTGGAAGACAGAGCGTTCTTAGGTTGGACTGAGTTAACTGGATATTCACCTTGCTTCAGTTAGTGATGTGGAACACCCAGGACAGGAAAAAGAGAAATTACTACAATTTAATATATATTGGGATAAAAGAGCTCACCTTGATTTATCACTCTGAACAAAAGGGGTCTTCCCTCCTTGGAATCCCACACTATTAAGGGAATTTCTGTTGAGAGTATCAATTCCAGACAGTGTTGCTCCAATCTGCTCATCACAGACTGTCTTGGCTGCAGCTCTATGCTGTTGGTGTGCATGGGCTGCACTTGGAAGGTAAAACCTTTAGGGTGGCCAGTTCTCATCATACAGGGCTCCCTTTGCTAACCCCTTGCAACCACAGACACACAAGTCTCTGAGTCTCTCAGGGAACTTTTTGGAGCTTTGGCCAAAACTATCATTGCAGTCATCTTTGACAGCACCAGCAGAATCAAACTTCTCTTTGGGGTGGCTCAAAACTTCTCACCTGCTTTTCTGCTTTTGACAAAAAGGCAACAATTAAAACAACCAAGCATCACTCGTCCTGAGGACTTGGCCCACTGTCTTCTTGTTCTGAGAATCAAGAAAGCAAGATATGGAAGGGATAAACACCATGAACAGGCGTCAATAGCCTGTGATTATAAAATGAAGGGCACTATAACTTTTAAAAGTTATTCTGTTTTTCATATGGGTAATACATGCATGTGATATGAAATTCAAAAGGCACTGAAAGGAATGTAGTGAAAATCTTCCTTCCACCTCATTTCCCAGATAGTTCCTTTCCCCAGAGAAAACCAATTTCACAGGTATTTTCTGTGTAGATAACTTTATATGTATATTATTCTTCCTCCTTTCTCTTCCTTCCTCCTCCTCCTCCATCTCTTCCTCTTCTTCCTCCAGCTCCTCCTTCTCCTCTTACTCTGCTTTCAATGACCTCATAGTAGTCAATTTTGTGGTGGTGGCATAATTTACTCAGTAGTCTCCCATTCATGAATATTCAGGCAGATAACACTTTTGACATAGGTGCAAAATAAATTCATTGATGAAAGGATAGTCTTTTCAACAAAAGGGGCTGCAGCAATTTGATCTATAGGCAAAAACAAAATAAAACAAAATCATGCAAAATAATTTTGACCTAAACCTCTCACTTTATTCAAAAATTAATTTTAAATGAATAATTTAACCTAACACTTTTAGAATGAAACGTAGGTTAACAATCTTCACGACTTGGGAGTAGGGAAAAAATATATATCTATATTTTATATATATACCTCAGGCATATATATGTGTGTGTGTATATATATATAGGTATATATGTGTATATATATATAGGTATATATACGTGTGTGTATATATATATATAGGTATATATATGTGTATATATATATATACCTCAGAAGTTGGTTTATCATGCTGTGGTGAGCCTGTCTTTCCATTTAATATATATATATATATATAAAATGGATTATATATATATATAATACCAAAAGCATAATTCATAAAGGAAATATTTATAAATGATTATTTATCAAAATTAAAAGATATTTTCTCTGTGAAGGACACTTAAGAGAATGAAAAGAGAAGTTAAAGAGTAAGATAAAATATTTTCAAATCGCATATTCTACAAAAAAGACCTGTATCCAGTATACATAAAATTCAACAATACGAAAGCAAACTCCCTAAGTTAAAAAATGAGCAAAAGACTTGACTAGACACTTCATCACAAAAAATATACAAAAGGCAAATATGCACATGAAAAGATGCTCAACATTGTTAGACACATAGGAAATGCCAATTAAAACAAATGAGATATCACTTTAAGGCTATTAGAAGTTTAAAAAAAGGTAATATCAAATGTTCTGCCACTGAAACTCTAAATGTTCTGCCACGGAAACTCTCAAACATTGCCAGTGTGAATACAGAATGGTACAACCACTGTGGAAAAGAGTTTGGCAGTTTCTCATAAAATTAAACATACATTTATGGTCCAGCAATCTCACTCCTAGGTATTTACCCAAGTGAAATGAAAACCTATGTTCCAGTAAAAATCTATATACAAATGTTTATAGCAGTTCTCTTCATAATAGCTAAAATTGGAAACCACCCAAAGGGTCAATAGGTAAACAAAACTGTGGTTCACCTTTCAAAAAGTGAATGTGTAAACAGGACAGTGGTACAAACATCCAATTGAATACTACTCAGTAACAAAAAGGAACCAAACTATTGATACACACAGCCGCTTGAGTGTATATCAAAGACATTGTGCTGAGTTAAAGAAGCCAATTTCAAAATGTTACATGCTATATGATTCCATGTAGATGATCTTTTTAAGAAGAAAGAGTTATGTCAATGGAGAACAGTCCAGTGTTTGCCAGGGGTTGGGGTTGAGGGAGAATATGACTACAAAGGGGTAGCATGAGACTTTTTTTTTGGTGTTGCGGGACTGTCTATATCCTGACTTTGGTGGTGGTGGTTATATGAATCTATATTTGTGTCAAAATTCACAGAACTATACTCTTTCAAAAAATCAATATTATCATGTTTATTTTTAAAAAATTAAAAACAAAATAGAAAAACCCTCCCAGCACTCCCTATGCTCCTAAAGAAATAAAAGAATAGTCAAGACAATTTTGAAAAGAAAGAACTTGGTGAAAGGTTCTATTTTGTTAGATATCAAGACTTATTGTAAAGTTATATTAATTAAAATGGTATGGTATTTTCACAAGATTAGACAGACCAATGAAATAGACTGAAGCCCAGAAATAGATCTATGCATAGACAGATATCTAATTTATGAAAAAGGTGGCATTACAGAGCAATGGACAAAGGATGGTCATTTAAATAGATGGTGCTGGGACAGCCTGAGTGCCTATACAGAAGAAAGATCAACTACAAGTTATATTGTAGGTCTAAATATGAAAGACAAAACAATAAAGCTTTTGGAAGACAATATGGAAGAATGTATTCATAGCCTCAGTGTGGGGAAATATCTATTTAAACAGAATAAAAATACAAATAAGGCTATTCATCACAGTTGTTTATATAATAAATAGAAATAATCCAAGTGTTCAATAATCATAAAGGCTTAAATTATGAATGGAATAAATATTACCATGTAAGTAATCTTTTAAAATAATATTTAATAATATGGCAAAATGTTTGCAATATAACATTAAGTGACAAAAGCATGAGCTAAACTATAAATATTTGTTACTAGAAACATATTAGAAAATAAATATACAAGATATTATCTCTGGTCTTTGAGTCAGATTCCTGACAGGATATGGTTAGCACACTCAGACTAGGTATTTTGAAAAGCATTTAATAAAGGAACATTTTACAAAGATGTGAGAAGGATTTAAAGAGAGAGATTGCCAGAACCCAAGTGGGTGGCTGTGTGCAGTGGGCTGTCTGACAGGAGCCCTTTCATAGACAGATGCAGTAGGGAGTGAACAAGGAGAGTAAATACCCCAGTCTCTCTCCTCCACCCCTCCACTCTCCTGCTGGTGCCTCCCATTGTCCAAGCCCAACTGGAAGGCACAAGGCAAGGAAGCTGGTTGATGCAGCCCCTACAGATCAGGCTCCGAGGGGACAACACAGGGTGAAGAAAGCAGGAGAGTGGATTTGCAGGGGCACATGGGCGGCATCCAGTATATCTGTATGGTGGGATTAGTGGTGATGATTTTTTTTTTTTCATTATAGGTTTTTTTTTTTCCTCCAAATTTCAAGAAAGAACATGCATTAAAGTGGGGAAAAAGTGTTATCAAACCCTAGACATATTATCTGAACATCTAAACATAGCATGTGTTAGGGGCTGGGGAGTATGTGCATGCAAGGGAGTGTACATATATCCCTTTATTGTAGAACCTGTCATTCATCTATATCTGACACTTTTCTGCCTGTATGATGGTTATTTACTGTCACTTCCCACCACAATGTAAACTCTCGGAAAGCAGGGGCCCCATGGATCTTGAACACCATCATCTCCACCTAGAGTGCCCACTCATAGGCACTCAATTCTTAGTTTAATGAATGTATGTCCACCACACATGTCCATGCATACATGCACCAAGCAGGGAACGGGGGATGAGAAGGCCATCTCCCTGTTAATTATTAATACCGAATGAGTACAAAACACCTTTAGGTCTGTTTTGAAATTCAGTGCTGAAATGATGATAAGTGGTTATTTAATCTTACATAAAATTTCAAAAGTAAAGTCCCACTTGCCAAGAGAAAATTGTTGGTTTTTACAGAGCATACTATTTCTTTTGAATATTAACTACGCAATTATACCTCAGAAGTTGGGTTGCCATGCTGTGGTGAGCCTGACTTTCCATTTAATATAAACGAACAGATGTTCCGTGCATGCTGGGGACAGGGGAATCTGTCCTCCTTTCTCTTGTTTCCCACCCACAACCCCGCTGACTGTTCTCCACATTGTGGGTACATCCACTCTTCGAATTATGCAACACAGAATCAGGAACCATGCTCCCAGTTTCTTGGCATTAGATCACCATTTTGCTTTAAAAAGAGAAGTTTTTGAGGTTAATCATAAAGGTAAATGAAAGTTTGGAACAACCCAGGGAGAAGGAGTGGAGGCTCAGGGATAAAGTTTAGAGGCAGAATACAATTTGTGAGAGTTAAAAGATAAATTTAGAATGTGTTATTTCGAATCTAATTACATTTCCAGCGGCAGTTGCTGACCAAGGACTAAAATCTTGATATCTTGATTCTAATCAGTAAATAAAGAGAATGAGAATTTATCTTCTAGGAATTCTACTTAAATAATTTTGAAATTATTTTGTTACTAAACGTTTTCTTGCATGTGCCTTCTAATATATTTTGTTTCAAGTCCATGCTATAAGCCATTATTAATGGTTTGCTTCTTAGGAATTTATGATCAAGACATACAGGAGAGCCCCTTATTTTTTGGGTTCCATCTTCCACATCTGGTGGGAATTGGGGTGTGGAAAAGGAACTGCCCACAGGGTAGCTCTGGGAAGTGGAAGCTTTCAGGGAGTCAACGCAGAGAAGGCTGACAGCTAAGAAGTGTCATGTACCTGGAAGGACCATCCAGTGCAGAAGGGGAGAGGACTAAGGTCACTAGTCCTGTTGAAGGGCAAAGGTGAAAAGATAGAGTGGCAATAATGTTGGTTACCAGGAAGTTTTCTAGATACTATAATTTTGGTTTTAGTTGTTTTAAAAATGGGGTGGAACCAACAGAATGTTTCTACTGTTTCAACTTCCCAAGTAAGAATGTTGTGGCAGCCACTACAAGCTACCTAGTCAGTAGCCATTCCCTCCTTCTCTTCCTTGCTAATAGTCAGACTTGTTCAGTTAGACAGGACAGATCCCTGACCATAGGAAAGATTGGCCTCTTCTTCAACCCTAAGGGTGAATCATGAGACTTTAGACTAGTGCGGTAATTCATTCATTTATTCAACAATTGTTAATTGAGTACTTACTATGAATCAGGCATAATTGTAATCATTAAGGATACAGCTCTGAATGAAACAGATAAAGTTCTTGCCCTCAAGGAGCTTATATTTTAGTGAGAGGAGATGAACGATAACTAAGTACATAAGCCAAGAGACTATGTCAGAAGGTGGGCTAGGGAGAACAATTAAGCAAGGTGAGCTAGGAAATGATGTATTGAGAGGTCAGGGATGGTGGTTCTTTTACATAGGATGGTTAGAGGGGACCCGTAGGAGAAGGGAGTGAGTCATGCCAGTATCTGGAGGCTGGAAGGCCTTGAGGAAAAGTCAGCCTGGGTGTGTTCAAAGACCAGCAAAGAAGCCAGGAGGTTTGGAACAGAGAGGGGGAAAACAGAAAGAGACCCAATCAGACAGGGAACACAGAAGATGAGTAGGAGGAGGTCAGATTGTGTAGGCCCACTACACTTTGGCTTTTACCCTACCTACAATGGGAAACTGCTGGAGGATTTGAAGACATGATTTGCAATTTGTTTTAAAAAGAGCTCTTTGGCCGTCATGATGTCCCCTGGTCAGTGATTGGTCTAAAGATTGTCATCTGACCCTGTTCTGTCCATTTACTGTGGAAGTCTTCTGTTGTCAAATTAAAACTAAACTAAACTAAACTAAACATTATGAATAGAAGGCACTTGCCTTTCCCTGCTTCTTTCTGTCTGGAGCTTTGATGTGATGCTTGGACTTGTAGCAGCTGTCTTGCTACCAAGAGGGAGAAAGGCATCGTGCTGTGGATGGTAGACTAGACATATAGATGGAGCCTGGGTCTTTGATAACATCACTGAACACTTATAGCAGCCCTTGATCTTCTACTTCCAAACTTTTTATTAGACCTATTTTAGCAGGTTGTTGTTCCTTGTAGTTGAATACATTCTAAACTGGAACTGACGTTGAAAAATAAAAATAAAAAAAAGTGACTATGCACACTTGAAATTATATTTAAGTACCAAAAGTGGAAGAGACATATTCTCAGAATAAAAGATACAAATATTTAAATGGAATCAGTTTAGTTTTATAAAAATCTCATAATCGTTTCCTAATTCTTCTCATATCCTCAGGGAGCACTGAAAAGCTTGCACAGACTAAGCTCTAAATCTTAAGGAAGGAGCAGCTGGACAGGTCAGCAAATCAGGTCCTTCAATGGTGGTTATGAACTAGACTCACTCTACTAGAGGGAGGGTAGCATTTCAGGTTGGGTGACCCTATGTTAAGGTTTTCTCAGGACAGTCCTGGTTTACACTTGCTGTCCTGTAGTATATCTTCTTTCACCATCAAGAATGTCTTGGTTTGGATAATAAGTTATAACATCACCCTACTTAAAGGTGTTACTGTACAATTATTGGTTTTCTTCATGTAAACATTTTCTTTTTTAGGAATTGTTTAGAAATTTATTCATTTCTCAAAAATCTTAGGGAGAGCTATACAAGAATCGATGATCCTCAGTAAAATTGGCAGGTTGCACTTGGTCTTTGTAAATGCTTAAGGCAACACACTTTACCAAAATAGTATGTGAACTCTAAGACATTTTTCATGCATCCCTTCCCAAATGTCACCTTGTAAAGGACACCAGCATGAACTTGATATGAATGCTGGAACTAAAGAGGTCATAAGCTGGTCTTGAAAATTCTTTGAATACATGTTCTATATTCCAAGCACAAAAACTGTATAGTCTGATTTGATTTCCACAATATCTCATAAGGTATGTAGAGAAGAAATTCTTATTCTCACTTTATAGACAAGAATATGAAAGTGGAGAGAAGTTCAGTGACTTTCACAAGAGAGTGTTACAATAACTTCTCAATCCTGTTTTAGGATCAGCCCAAATTGGACTTTAACTTCACTCTTCTTTCCACTACATCATGTAGTTTTTCACTTGCAGGTATTTTGGAGAATACTTTATTCAAGTGAGTGGAAAGGACTGAAATGAAGGGAAGGTGATATTGTTTGACTGTGTCCCACACAAATTTCATCTTTTATTGTGGTTCCCATAATCCCCACATGTTGTGGGAGGGACCCGGTGGGAGGTGGTTGAATCATGGGGGTGGCTACCCCCATGCTGCTATTCTCATGACAGTGAGTGAGTTCTCACAAGATCTGATGGTTTTATAAGGGGCTTTCCCACCTTTAGCTCAGCACTTCTCCTTCCTCCTGCCATGTGAAGAAGGACATGTTTGCTTCCCCTTCTGCCATGATTGTAAGTTTCCTGACACCTCCCCAGCCATGCTGAACTGTGAGTCAATTAAACCTCTTAATTACCCAGTCTCAGGAATGTCTCTATTAACAGCATGAGAATGGACTAATACAGAAGGTAACTGCAAGTAAGGAAAATAAAAACTTTTAAAGTAATGCTTCAGGGTTTTTTATCTTAAGATAATAGTTTTTATTTTGTTTGTGAAGGTTGCTTAGATTTATCTTACTAAAGTAATTGAGAGAAAAGCTTGGGAATGGTATCTAGTAACAACCTCTTAGATTTCTGCCATATTTTGTAGCTATATACTAAAATTTGATGTTTAAAAGATACATACTTACATTACACTTTAAAAGCACTTACCTTGAAAACACACACACACACACACACACCACACACCTCCTCCCCATATACACATGGAAGTAAATAAATAAAATGTTTCTGAAAATATGTACAAAAACTGAAAAGAGGCCGGGCACGGTGGCTCACGCCTGTAATGCCAGCTCTTAGGGAGGCCAAGGCGGGTGGATCACGAGGTCAGGAGATCGAGACCATGCTGGCTAACACGGTGAAACCCCGTCTCTACTATAAATACAAAAAATTAGCCGGGCAAGGTGGCGGGTGCCTGTAGTCCCAGCTACTCAGGAGGCTGAGGCAGGAGAATGGTGTGAACCCAGGAGGCAGAGCTTGCAGTGAGCCAAGACAGCACCACTGCACTCCAGCCTGGGCGACAGAGCGAGACTCCATCTCAAAAACAAAACAAAACAAAACAAAACAAACTGAAAAGAGAATTGCTTTGGAAATGGGCCCAGGTTTGGGGAAAAGTTATATTTTATATATTATTTGTATGAGTTTTGTATCACTGTACGTTTTACTTTCAAAATTAAATAAAAAGTTTAAGACAATTAAAGGAAGCATCTATGAATTAATAAGAATTCTAAACTTTATTTTTCCTATTTAGGAAGTCAATTGTGGAAGGAAATGTCATATTCAACATCTTAATGAGGTAAAAAGTGAATATTTGAGACTGAATGTCAGTGACTTGGCTCTGAGAATATGGTTAGTATACAGGGTAGAACCCTAGGGACTTGGTTCTGGTGCTGGCTGTGCCCTTTACTCAGTTCCCCCTCCTCCTGAGGAGAAATGTGCTCCCTAATACTATTGCAGCTTAGAGATGAAGGATGGAATGGATATGATTTCTGTAACATTCAACAAATACTCAAAAAATATTTAACAAATGCCCAGGAAGGAAACCAAAATATGCTACTCCAAAATATAGTTATTTTGCACATTTTGAGATGGATATTCAGATGAGTTGCACACAAAGAAACAGCTCTAAAAACAGTCCTTTGTAAGGCAGGTTTGCATCTGTAGAGAAAATCTATATTAGTGAAGTAAACAGCAGAGACAGAGGCTTTCTGCGGGGTTTTCTTATCCAGATCTAGGAAAGTTTAAATCGCAGAAAAAGAAGACTAAGTGTCTGACACTTTTAAAAGTTCCAACAGAGAAACTGCTATCACAGACTACCATCTATTCTTTCTGATGGCTGCTACCTGTGAGGTTTCATCTGCATACCATGACAGCTTTTGCTCACCACGCCTTTTCTCCCCTCTGCCTCCCATAACCTGCTACCAGCTTGTATTACTTCCTGTATTGGTATAAAAACTTCAATCATCTGGCTCTTCTTTGAGTCTCATATTTGAAATATTCCTGTGTCCATATGTGCATTAATAAATTTGTATGTCTTTTCTCCTGTTGATCTATTATCAATTCGCTTCAGTAGATTTTGACTTGAACCTTCAGAGGGAAAAATTTCAACTTCCCTATATCCACTATGTGTAGGGCACTGGGCTGGGCTCTGGGTAACACACACTGTCAGTTAAACCAACCTGCTCCCTACCCCTGTGGACTTACAGTCTAGTAGGAGAAACAGACAACAAATAAATATGCACATAGGTATGAAATTGCAAAGTGTAATAAATATTGTGAAGCAAATGAAAAAGGCACAGTGCTGGAGAATAAATGAATGTAAGAATGAACTAACACACTCTAACACATGTTTAATTCACCAGAGTAACCACACAACAAAACTGCTCAAAGCCTTTTTTTTTCTTTTTTTTCTCCTTCTGTGAAAGGAATAGGGTCGAGGAGTGAAAAGAAGACAGGATTCAGTCAGAAGAGCTGAGTTCTGGTTCCTCCACATAATACCATGGCTGTAGAAGTGACACATATTCTAAGCCTCAATTTTTTGGCTGACTTTCCTCATTCATAAGGTTGTTGTGAAAAACAAAGCAAAACTAATCAATATGAGTAAACTGCTATGAAACACTGTCTATTATATGTTTTCTTGATAAACATTTATTGAGTGCTGTCTTTCAGTTGGTCTCCTGTGTTAGTAGCTTGTCATACAGAGCTTCAAGAAGTCAAGCTTCAGGCCATAGTCACAAAGAATTCAGCTCTGATTTGGAGAGATAAATAAGTACTTAGGGTGAGGTTGTGTACTAACAAACCCACTGTAAAGTCAAAAAATTGTAAGCCAAACCGTCAAAAGTAAGAGACTGTATATGTAACTATGTGTGTGTGTGTTGTTGTTTTTAAGATGTGTTTTGGACAAACGAAAGTAAAATCTCATTTAAAAGATTGATTTTAAAAGCTTCCTCAAAGTTTTGTCAGTGCATTATTAGAGATCCAGCCCAATATTTGTCATCATTTGTATCTATTATTGCAGACAATGAGAATAAATGTTTACAAGGTGATGCAGCTATGCTATGTGAATCACCAAAGATTAAATAATCATCAGTATACATTTGTGTGACATATTTTTGCTTGTATTTTATAGATGTAAAAACAAATAATTCATCTATAATAAAAATGATTGGCTGGGCGCAGTGGCTCACGCCTGTAATCCCAGCCCTTTGGGAGGCCGATGTGGGCGGATCATGTGGTCCGGAGACCGAGACCATCCTGGCTAACATGGTGAAACCCCGTCTCTACTAAAAATACAAAAAATTAGCCGGGCGTGGTGACAGGTGCCTGTAGTCCCAGCTACTCGGAAGGCTGAGGCAGGAGAATGGGTGAACCCCAGAGGCGGAGCTTGCAGTGACCTGAGATCGCGCCACTGCACTCCAGCCTGGGAGACAGAGCAAGACTCCATCACAAAAAAAAAAAAAAAAAAAAAAAAAAAAAAAAAAAAAAAAAAAAAAATCGCACTTTCTAGAATTCTAGCTTGTTTGCAACACACTATTCCATGATGACAATGTCAGATAAATTAGCTTTCTCTATTAAAAAAGAAAAGCACTTTCTGGTTTAAATTATGGATTATGAAAAGTAAATGGTTTGTGGATAAACTGAAGATGCTTTTGCCAAAACTAGAATTTTTTAAAGAAGAAAATGATTTGGAAAGGTTGTTCCTACAGCTAGAATTTCTCAAGAGTTGAAGCAGAGCCTTTATATATTTAAATTAAAGTGAAAATAGAAAGTTTAAAATATCCCTCTTGCACCTTTAAAAATAAAGACTCCACTGTGTTCATTCAATCATTAGAGTCCTTTGGTTCACAAGTTCTACAAGTGATTTGTCTGAAGGGACTGAATTTTTGTAACTGAATTAATGACCTATTTTGATCAATTATCTCTATACCTAAAGAACCTCAGAAATTACCCACGTCAATATACTCTCTCAAGTGGCTTATTTTTCAAAACCTTTCTCACATTCCTACTTGTGTTTAGTTTGATCTTTAAATAGAATGTTATATAAAATGCTTCTTGAAAACTGTAGTGCTTGAAAAAAATTCATGGAATAATTAAAGCAATATTCTTAAACAAAATAAAATAACATGAAGAAGTGAGTAAACTTCTTTAAAAATCATTTTGGCTTTTTTGTAGCAATTTCAAAAGTCTATGTTACTGGTGCTCTTATAGAAACAGTACTACTCCACTTATTTGGTACCTAATTGTTCCTGCTTCTGGATTGTTATTGTTCCCTAGTTCCTTCCTATTCCTCTATCACAACTTAACTCCTGTGCTCTGCAAGAGACTAAATCATATGACTTTTGATGTTTTCTCTGTTGATAGTTCCTGTTAGGAATAAGATGGGGACAGAAGCTGAAGCTACTTACAGAAAGGAAACAAATGGATTATTGGTTGAAAATTATTACCTATCAAGTTATAACCCCAATCACATCGATGACCATGACCATCATGCTCAATACTGCACCTGGTGTGGAGACTGGCATGGTGTTCAATAAATATTGGTTGGATAAAATGACTCCTATCAGTCCTGAGTCTTGCTAATATGCATGACAAAGGCAGATTGTATAAACATGGCAAAATCACTGGAATATTAATCATAAGACCGAATTGGTCAACAATATAACACTGGACAAGATGCTTTGTTTATCAGGTCATGGCTTTTAAATTTTAAAATGAGTCTCTTGGACTGGAATACTACTTCAAAAATATTTTTATCTGTTTGTTTTTGTTTTAGTAAGGGGGCATTATATTAACAAGATATCTTACGTGGAATATCAGCATCTTTATACAACTATTAGAAGGAGAACACATTTGGTTTCAAACAAGATCAGAAACCCTCCTACTCTTTGTTGACTATCCTGCACTGCTTCCTCTCCTAGCATGAGTCTTCAGTGACCTTTTTTTGAACTCTCAAGCTCCAGAGAACACAGTTTGAAAGCCAATGGGCTTAGTTATTTTAAGATGCTTGTTTGAAAATTTTATGACCAACAAGAAAAGATGGCATAGTGAAGAAAAAACACACAGTTCTCAATGATAGTTGGAATCAGGCTCTACCCCTGAGCTATGGTTGGAATATGTTCCCAAAATTTATATATTGGAAACTTAATCTCCAATGCAGCAGTGTTAGGAGGTAATGGTTACCAGGAAGTGTTTACGTTATGAGGGCTGCATCCTCATGAATGGATTAATACTGTTATTAAAAAGGCTTCACGAGTGGGTTCACTCTCTCTTGCCTTTTGTCTTCTGCCATATGAAGATGTAGCAAGAAAGTCCTCACCAGACCAATTGCTGGTATCTTCCTCTTGGACTTCCCAGTATCCAGAAATATGAGATAGTAAGTTTCTGTTCTTTATGAATTACTCAGTCTCAGATATTCTGCTATAGCAGCACAAAATGGACTAAAACACCCTACATTACTCCGTGACTTTGTAAGTCATTTCTTGTCTGTCAGATAGAACTACCCTGCCTAATAGTGGTGTACTGATCAATGACTATATAACTTAGGAAGTAATTGTTCTGATTATTGCTAGAAAGCAAATTTCCTAAAACTTTTGTGGTTGAAATAGCACCTCAAGATTGTGTGGGTCAGGATTTCCAAAGCGTTTCCTTAGAGGAATTTTCTGTTTGCTTGAAGGTATTCAGCTGGAAAATGGGCTGGTTAGGATTGTCCACGTGAGTTTCACTCACATGTCTGTATTCTTGGCAGTGAAACAGGAAATTTACCCTGACTGCTTCGCGGGCAGGAACTAGAGTGCCGGCACTGGAGCTAGCTAGCTGCTTCAGCAACAGCAGGGGCAAACTTCACTCACTGGAACCTACTGTGCTCAACCCCTCGCGGGAAGGAGCATGTGGGTGCAGGAGCCGGGGCAACTGCTTCTGGGCACCAGCAGGAGCACAACTCCATGCGGGGCCTGCAGCAGCATCTAGTGGGGGGCACTCCCCCTTAAGCCCAAAAAGAAGTGTTACAGTCAGCAATCCTTTACCATTGCTGTCTGCAGACGGCTTATGTGTTAGCAGCTCAGTGTAGGGTCAGTGTGACACCTTTTGCATGCACCCTCTTGGCACCCAAGTTCTTGTCTAGCATTCAGGAGGAATTAGCTCACATAAGTGAGTTGAAGATGGTAAAGGTGGGGGATTTTATTGCTGGTGAAAGTGGCTCTCAGTGGGAAGGGGAGCTGAATAGGTGATGGAGCAGGAAGGTGATCTTCCCCTGGAGTCCAGTTGTCTAGGTTGGACTCCTCTCTGAAGCTACCCCGTCAAGCTGTCCCTCTGAAGTCAAATGCTTCTCTCCAACGTTCAAACATAGTCTCTGATGTCCAACTGTTTTTCCTCTTCTCTCTCTGCTGGCAGAGCCTAGGATTTTTATGGACACACAATGAGGGGTGGGGTGAGCCATGGGTGGTTTTGGAAATGTCAACATTTGAGTGGGAAAACAGGGATGTATGTTCTTACCTTGGGCTGTGGTTCCAGGCTTGAGGGTAGGGCCCTCGCTGGGGACCCATCCTCTTCTGCCCAGAATTTCCGTGCCTCTTGTCCCTATCATTAGGGATGGATGGATGACTGGAAGCCTGGACTCAGTCGAGACTGGCAACAGGAGTGCCTACCCCAGTTCTTTCCAGCATGACAGACTCAGGCCGAAGTCTCCAAGAATAATTTTCCAGCAAATGGGGCAGAAGCTGTATGGCCCTTTATGCCCCAGCTCTGGAAATCACTTAGCATTCCTTCTGCCATACTCTACTGGCCTAAGATTTCACAAGCTTGACAAGGTTCAAGAGGGAGGAATGGAGACCACACCTCTCAATGGGAAGAATGTCACAGAATTTGCAGCCATGTTTTAAAACTATCAAAGTTATTATAATCTTTAGAATCTGCCTCTTACTGCGTAAGTCAAGAAAAATTGATAAGAGTAATAGAATTCTCTCCACTGTCATAGGAAGAGAATATTGCAAGGGTCCACACTTTCTTGCAAATTTTATATTATGATTAAATGTACCATGCTGAACCAAATGCCAGGGGTCTCTTGAGTGCTATCCTTCAGGCAAGACTTTCACCTGTGCTATAGAATGTTTTTGGCAGAATTATTTGCCATCAGTATCCTTCAATATAAACAAGGCTTTTCTAGTAAGAAAGTGCTAACTCACTCAAGCATTGTTTAAAGCTGCTTTTGGGAATGACTCTTACAGTTCCTGGTATGTAGACTTTGTTATGCAACTAGAATCATTTGAATTTTTGTTCTTGCCTCCAGTTATACCAGAAACAAATAAGTTAAAATTCTAGAATGTTTGTTGTCTGGAGAAATATATTGAACACACTTTTGGACACAGCTTACTCTTTTAAAAAAATGTGCTATTATGTGGAAAGATAATTTAAAAGTGTTTAGGAGGCTAAGTTATATGTTGTCTTTGATACCGATAAAATGGACTTGGCTGGACTTTTCCTAAACAGATGAACGGTATCAAGGAGTCTCGTTCCACCACCGAAAGTCATTTTTTTTTTTACTTCTACTAATTCCACATATCTCCTGGAGAATTCTTCTCCTTGTGTGGAATATATAACTAAGAATTTTAAAAGATACATTAGGGAAAACAATATTGGGAATCAAATCAGAATACTTTGATGGAGAATTGCCATAGAATTTTTCGTAGAACTAAATATGAATTATTTTTCTTGTGTCTTGCACAAGACCACCTTATACCAAGTGGGTCTGCAGTCAATGACGATATAACCACCAAAATGTCTCTTTAGTCACCACAGCAGTCTCTAAAACTACCAGTACAGGTTAAGTCCTTTGTTTAAATTAAGGTAACTGGTCAATTAGAGTTCTTGCTACCCTTGGAGAGGTAACAATGAATAATTATCAGCAAGTGCTGCAGAGCTCAGTATTATTATCTGGGTAACTTGGCATCACTGAAGAGAAGGGAGGACAGTGTTCTGAGAGCTTGTAGCACAGGGAAGATAACCACAGCAAGGAGCACTGCTGGGATGACAGACCAGAGACACCACAACAGGGATCCTTGAACTCCAAGGGGTAGCAACAGGATATTGCAAGCAAGAGACACAGAGAGAAAAGCTGGGATGGAGAGCAAGATGGAAGGGTACACCATGATAAATCCTGCTTGTATTGTTTTGTATAAGGTCCAGCCTATCTCTATATGTGTCCAGTTTAGGAAAATAAAAGAACCTAGTCAACACCTTGGTTATGATTCACTCAGCCTCTCTATTTTTCAGCCTTACTAGGCAAACTATAGACAGGATTGTAAAGATTTGATGAAATGGTATACCTAGCAGTATCTGCCAAAAAAGAAACACTTCATAAGAAGTTCTTCAGTTCCCAGAAAGAAACAGATGGCACATTGCAATGAATTAATTTAAGAGTGTTTTGAAAAGGGACTTTTTATAAAAAAGACATGGATAGAATATAGTGAAAACTCAAGCTCAGTACAGCTGGCCACAATGACTACCTGAGGCCCACAGACGGAAGAAAAGGGGCAGTTGTGAGAACCTGGAGACAGAGAATAGTGTGAAGCGAGCTGCCTGACTGGAAGCCAGACAAAGCCAGTTTACAGCAACCCTGCAGTGGGGAGCTGATATGGTGTGGTTGTATCCCCATCCAGATCTCCTCTTGAGCTGTAGCTCCCATAATTCCCACAGGTAGCTCCCAGTGGGAGGGACCCAGTAGGAGATAATTGAATCACGTGGTAGTTTCTCCCATACTGTTCTTGTAAGTCTCATGAGATCTAATGGTTTTATTAGGGGAAACCCCTTTTGCTTGGTTCTCATTCTCTCTTGCTGCTGCCATGTAAGAAGTGCCTTTAGCCTTCTGCCATGATTGTGAGGCCTCCCCAGCCACGTGGAACTGTGAATCCGTTAAACCTCTTTTTCTTTATAAATTAGGCAGTCGCAGACATGTCTTTATCGGCAGCATGAAAATGGACTAATACAAGAGCTGGGGGAATAAACACTCCAACCTCTTCCTCCTCTCTCCTTTTAGCTCCCACTGGTTCTCTTCACTGACCACATCCAACTGGAGCTAAAGGGTAAGGAAGCCCACTCGTGGTATCCATATAGGTCAGCCTCCTAGGGGCACAAAATGGGGTGTGTGGAGATTGGATTTGGAGGGGCAAGTGGAAAAGGAAGCTAACACAGTATCCATAATAGTAACAATAATTACTATTTTTATTTTTATTATTCCAGCACCTGGCACCAGAATACTGAATGCTTAGCATAATGTCTGGAGCCTGGATGTGCAATAATAATCTGTTGAACGAATGAACAAATTCCTGTCCACGATTGCATCTGTAATGCAAAATGTTCACCACTTGCAGAGTCCAATTAACAAAAGCAAGAGCTAATACAAAGAAAGTGACTTTGTATTGCAAAGATAACTTATGGGAAGAAGTACAGGATTCCTGCCTTAAGGGTATTACTTTGCTTCTGGAGAGAATGTGGGTGCTTTTAAAGGGGGAGACCTGCACCGAGGTGGAAGTAAGCAGGTGCGGGGTCTGCATACTTACTTTGGTGACTTATCTACTGGGCAGTAATGTTAGCATCTTCATAGGCAGAAATAGGTTGTAAAGGTGGCTAAAAACTCTCATGGATATACTTTGGGTTATAAATTGACTGTTATTTGTCAAGGCAACCTTCTAGTGGGTGAGAGATCCGCTCTGGAGGTTCTAAGCACATAGATGAACTTGTCCTGTAGGAAGTGTCTGGTGAAGAGGAGGTAAAAGGCTATAATTGCATCTCTAAAGAGCTAAGTAGGAAGTGAAGAAAAGGAGGAAAGAGAAAATAAGGGAGAGAAAAATAATTAAACTATCTTGTAGAAAAATGAAGGTACTCAGTTAAATATCCATTAGACATTAAACCAGGTTGATATTAAAAGATGCCGAAGTATAAGTTGTTTAAAAAAACACAAGGGTTAGTTTCTACATAAAAGAAATCTGCCAGCTTGGTCAACATGGTGAAACCCTGTCTCTACAGAAAATACAAAGTTTAGCCAGGTGCACGCATATAGTCTCAACTACTTAGGAGGCTGAGTTGGGAGGATCTCCTAACCCAGGGGAGGTTGAGGCTGCAGTGAGCTGTGATTGTACCATTGCATTCCAGCATGGGTGACAGACTAAGACCCTGAAAAAAAAAAGAGAAAGAAAGAAAAATAAGAAAGAAAGAAAGAAAGAAAGAAAGAAACAAACAAACAAACAAACAAACAAGAAAGAAATCTGGAGGCAGACTTTCAGGACTGAAAACTGATACAGAGCATCCATTAAGTCATAAGGGACCCTGGTCCCTGGTTCTTTCCTTCTTTCTATTTCTCTGGGGTGGCTTTCAACCTTGAGGTCTTACAGTCCTTGAAGATGCATCTTATGATCCAAGATGGTTGTGTAAACCAAAAGGTATCTGAGACAGGTCTCAATCAATTTAGAAAGTTTATTCTGCCAAGATTAACGATTTGCCTGTGACACAGCCTCAGGAGGTCCTGACGACATGTGTCCGAGGTGGTCAGGGTACAGCTTGCTTTTATACATTCTAGGGAGACATAAGACATTGGTCAATATGTCTAAGATATACATTGGTTTCTGACAATTTGAGGTGGGGGCTTCCAGGTTATAAGTAGATACAAAACAAAAGGTTGTATTCTTTTGAGTCCTTGATCAGCCTTCCACTGAATGCACAATTTAGTCTGGCTCAGTGAATCTTCATTTTTACATAAACAAAAGGCAGAGGAAGCAATCAGATACACATTTGTCTCAGGTGAGCCTTGGAGAGATGACTTTGAGTTCTATCTGTCCTTTGTCCACAAGGAACTTCCTTGTGGGCAAATTGTGAGGGAGGTATATAGCTTTTTGTCTTTGTAGCTATCTTATAAAATGGAAAGCAGGTTTGTCTGACATAGTTCCCAGCTTGACTTTTCCCTTGGCCTAGTGATTTTGGGGTCCCAAGATTTATTTTCCTTTTACAGCTGCCAGATCTCCAGATATTGTATCCACATTTCAAGAAATGAGACAAAGAAAAGGGGAAGGAGAGTTAGCTTTCTCTGAGTTGTTCTACTGGAAGTCCCATATGACATTAACTCATATCTTTTTGGCCAGAATTTAGCCACATGGACATAATTATCCACAAAGGAGATGGGGAAGTGGTTTCTGTGTACATTGTTACCTTGAATAAAATCTGTTATTGCTATGGAGGAAGGTCAGCATTCTCTCGAACAGGCAGTATGGACTTCAAAGACTAAATTTTGAGACCTGAGAAAAGATAGTTATAGAGGAGCCACATAAGTTATCCCTTCTTACCTGTTTGCTAGACTGAGTCTGAACTAGCTGAATAAACTAGTGATCCAAGACAATTATCTGGTTATTAGAAGAAAAAGAAACCATCACTGAGCTATTGGTGGTGGTATCGATGAGAATTTTATCTTCCATTTAAAATTTTCTTCTTACTAGTTGTGAGCCCACAAACTAAACCCATCATGATGTTGAATTAAATCCCAGCTTGTTCCCCCAAAATAGTTCTAAAAATGGTCCTGAAACATCATTAAAACTGGGACTGAATTAAATTTTTTGTCTTCAAATATTTTAAAAATAAAATAAGAAAAAAATTTAGAAAAGTACAAAGGACAGTACATAAAACTCTCATGTTCCCACCAATGATAATAGAAAATTAGCATCTTGAAAGTATTTGCTCATTTTAAAAATAAAAATTATAAAACAAAGTCCTTCCCCTCTGGGCCAAACCCAAGTATGTAAAAAAAGTGGAGGGGAATGCTAAGGGCAGGGGCTTTGCCTAGTTTTACATTTGGATCTCTGGTTGGAGATAGCATTGCAAGTTTTCCGCATACCGTAGAAACCTGGGGACTGGCCACATCAGTGTGAACTTGGAGATTCTCTCCAACGTAGATACAAGGAGGACTCTGGTTTAGCTTTCCAGCGTTCTTCTAATTCTTATGTGCCAGGGCTTGGGCCAGGGGTTCCTATAACTGGGGGAAAGGAGAGTGGGGGTGGGTGGGCTTGAGTCACATCAGGAGATTGTTTAGTGGCAGTCAGCAGGCCTGGGCAGGATGATTGTATAGCAGAAGGTACGGGATGGGACTTAAAGCAGAGCCAGAGGGAGGATATAGAAGAGACCCAGGAGGTCTTGAGCATCAACAGGTGCTAAGATAAAGCCATGTCAGCCTGGTAGGACCACTTGGCCTGACTCCATTAAGAAAGGCCAGACAGCCAGGTGTGGTGGCTCATGTCTGTAAGCCCACCAATTAGGGAGGCCAAGGTAGAAGAACTGCCCAAGGTCAGAAGTTTGAGACCAGCCTGGGACACATAGTGAGACCCCATATCTAAAACAAGTAACAACTAGCCAGGTGTAGTGGTATACTCTTGTAGACCCAGCTACTTGGGAGGCTGAGGCAGGAGGATCTCTTGAGCTATGATCTTGCCTTTGTACTTCAGCCTGAGTGACAGAGAGAAACCTTGTTTCAAAAAAAAAAAAAAAAAAAAAAAAAGCCAGACAGTAAACTACGTATATCAGTTGCTAGCTTCAGCTACGGATGCTAGCAGGGAAAGCATGAAGCATGACCAGGTAGAGAAGAGAGGTCACCAGCAGGGATCAGAGTTCCCTTCACTCTACCATCATGAGATAACTTAATTTATTTCTAATCAGATGCTATATAGGGGGACTTAGGGTAAGTTTGAGGGACTGATGATTTTGCCCAGAGTCACACAAAAGATACTATTTAAATCACTCTCAGAAGAGATTATTATACTTGAAAATATGCTTCATTTTTATTTTTTTTGAGACAGAGTTTCACCTGTCACTCAGGCTGGAGTGCAGTGGCATGATCTCAGCTCACTGCAACCTCCACCTCTCGGGTTCAAGCGATTCTCCTGCCTCAGCCTCCCAAGTAGCTGGGACTACAGGCGTGCACCACCATGTCCAGCTAATTTTTTTGTATTTTTAGTAGAGACGGGGTTTCACCATGCTGGCCAGGCTGGTCTCAAACCTCTGACCTTGTGATCTGCCCACCTTGGCCTCCCAAAGTGCTAGGATTACAGTTGTGAGCCACCGTGCCCGGCCATGCTTCATTTTTATAGTAATATATTCATGTGGTCCATAAAGTGGAACAAAACAAAGACTTACAGGAAGAGTCTTTCTTCCCATCCACCTCATTACTAGTCCCCTAGTGCCATGCCTCCCAAAGGATGCCATTTTAATTGGCTTCTTGTGTATCTTTCCAGAGTTTCTTTATGCTATTACTAAAAAATGTGAGCATGTAATCTTATTCTTATTTTTTTCTTTTCTTAAGTAAATGGTAACATAAGTATTTTTGACCTTTTAAATATATTTCTATTTAAAATATATCACTGGGATTTCCATATCAGTATATAGTGTACTCATTATTTTGCTTGTTGATTTTCGGAAAGTAATTTCATTGTAAGGCTGCTTCATAATTTATTTAATTCTTTCCTTATCAACAGACAGAGATTAAGTTTTGCTGTTACAAATAATACTGTGATGAATAGCCTTACAAATATGTTATTTTCTGCACATGCAAGTATATATTTAACAATAACCTAGGGGGTTGAACTTTTTATTGATTGATTGATTGACTGAGACAAGGTCTCACTCTGTTGCCCAGTCTGGAGTGCAGTGGCATGATCCATGACTCACTGCGGCTTCAATCTCCCAGGCGCAAGGTATCCATCCTCTCGCCTCAGCCTCTCAAGTATTAATAGCTGGGACTACAGGCATGCACCATCACATCCAGCTAATTTTAAAAGTTTTTAGTAGAGACAAAGTCTCACTGTGTTGCCCAGGCTGATCTCAAACTCCTGGGCTCAAGTAATCCTCCCACCTCAGCCTCCCAAAGTACTGGGATTACAGGCATGAGCCACCATGCCCAGCCAAACTTTAAATAAATGTGTGAACTGAATGGAGACGTTTATGCCACAGAAGATTGGAACATTGCCAAGTCTAATTGTCCCAGGGAGCCAGTGGGAAGTGTCTTTTAGGTGATCAGATCAGTTAGTGGAGAAATAAAGAAGCCACCTAATCTTGGTACACTGAAAAATGCTATTGGCAATTATGTGACACTGTTTTATAACCATGCATATGTGTAAGCACACACTGAAAATATAAAATTGGGCTTGCAATCTACACAGTCTTTCATAACAGTTGCAATATGGAGACTCACTGAAGGCAGTCCATTCAAAGGGCTTACTGAAAGGATTTACAAGAAATGACAAGGACATGTCTTGGAAATCCAAGAACAGATCTCAGGTTAGGATAAGTCCCTTGGGGGAGCTGGGCTAGAGTGTGAGTCTGAAACTGAAGCAGCTCTCAACACCTCAGCAACAGGAGCTCCAAGTCCTCCCTGCGGACAACAAGGCTGGCTAGCCTCTATCTACTTCTTGCCCTGTTTCCTACAAGCTTTCTCTACTTATTCTTAATTTCTGCTCCCCCATACTTTCAGTTTACTACTTACAGTGGCTCCTCAAGCTTCAACTCTACCTTGTGACTTTATAACTGAGCCCTTACCCTTACTGTCTGATACATTCTGAGTTTTTAGTCTACATTTCAAACTTTGCCCTTTTCATTTTTCCATCATGTCCACATAGATAAGAGCTTTCTGGCAAGTCTACTGATTGGTTGCTTTTGGATCTGTTACTCACACCTGAGCCAATCAGCGATAGAGGAGGGAGGAGGGAGAAGCCAAGCGGTGAAATAAGGGCCCTGCTTCCAGAGTGGTGGGTAGGGCTGTTTCTCTGGAAATGTGGTGTAGTCAGGGCAGAAATATTAACATTTCCAACATACAGAATCATGGCAATAATTTTCCATGCCATTTAATATCCACACATGATTATAAAAAACTGCATAGTCATCTATCATATTTTATAGTTTATATTATGAATTCCCATTGCTACTTAAATTATCCTCCAAATTATTTTGATAATTTTCTGCATCTGTGGATTTGGATCAAAAATATTTGGAAAACCCAATAAACAATGACAATACAAAAATAAAAATAATACTATGTTTACATTTAACAATAATGAAAATAATATAAATTGTATAATATAAAGTTTTAACAACTATTTACATAGCATTTACATTGTATTAGGTGTTATAAGTAACCTAGATACGATTTAAAGTATACAGGAGGATGTTCATAGGTTATATGCAAACACTACACCATTTTATATCAAGGACTTAAGCATCCACAGATTTTAGTATCTGGGGATGAGGGGAGGATCAGAATCAATCTCCCAAGAATGCCGAGGGATGACAGTACCAATAACACTCCAACGAAAATCAAAGAAAAATATGTTTTAAGAGCTAAAGACAGGGCCAGCTTTGTGGGTGTGGACATATGCGGTCATACAGGGCAATTGTATTCAGAAAGGAAGGCCCCGTGTGTGGTTTAACATTCTGCTATAGCCGTCTTGAAATTCATTGTATCAGGTTAGGGCAAAAGTAATTGCAGTTTTGCCTTTTTTTTTTTTAAGTGATGGCAAAAACCTCAATTACTTTTGCACTAACCTAATAATTTTTGAACAAGGAGCCTCACACTTTTATTTTGTACATTTTATTTTATACCTTATTTTGTACAGAACCTGATCAATATGCATGTGTAGGAAGTTAGAATATTGATGTATTAACTAACTTGTTTATTCCCCCATCCTCCTTTGTCTCCTGTGACTCTCCTCAACTCCACTGGGGCAGCTCCTGGGAAGAAATGATAGAACAGAAGGGAAGAACGAGCAGGCAATTCTTTGTATTTGGCTTTAAAATAGGCCGTTGTAAACAATTGCCTTGAGAAAAAAAAAAAGTGTTTTGAGTTGCAAAAGCCTGGATTCTTAAGGCTCCAGAACAGAATAATAGTTTTAGAAGACAATGTTCTCAGTTCTAGAGTTTTTCCTCCCCTTTGAATGCAATCTCCTTAAGAAAGGAGAGTTGGTGATACATAGACACTGATGGTTCCCACAGAGAGACCCTATGCCTGGGTCCCCACTGCTGGGGCTGTTCCTTTGAGAAAGCTTTGGGGATCCAGCAGCAGGGAAGGTCTGTGCCTTGCTTCCAGTGTGGAGCTAGGAGAGGCAGCAAGCTTCACAGATGCCCGTTTGGCAGTATGGCGGGGAAGCAATGGCGTAGAAATGGTGAAAGGGGTGTCTGAACAGAGGAGCCTGAGACACCCTCACAAGGTCCCCAAAACCCAGACGGCTGGGGGAGCAGTAGGATGCTTTCTAGAGAGACCCAGCGATAGGCAAAGGCCATTGATAGAAAGCTGGACCCAAGAGGCTTTATAGTTAGGAATGAAAGGGCTCTGTGTGTACTCATGCCCTGAGGCTCGGTGAGACGGAGGGTATCCCAGAGGATGCCAGTGAGGTCAGACAAGCACCAGGGACCAGAGCCCTTCCCTGATGCCTTGGAACTGCCTAACCTCCCCAAATTAGGCCCAACCACGGGCAGGAACAGTACCCTTAATATTACGTATCAGAGTAATGAGATATGAACTAGAAATTGTCAGTTGCAAAAAAAAAAAATTGTTTTTAATTTAATAAACTTGCACCTGTGACCTGGGATTCTTACCTGTGACACATATTTTTCATGGGTGCTAATATTTGAACTCACATATCTCCTTAGAGCTCACCAAACACCTGAAAAAAAAATGTGACTTGAGAATAAACACTCCTCTGTTCTTTGAAGTGTTTTTACATTTCATTATTAGTTGAACTGGTGTCTGGCTCCTAAGATTCTTTGATAAACATCTCAGACATGGACATTATTAACATCACGTTCACAGTTTTAGTGGAGTGATTTCTCAGACTTGGCATATTTTAGTAGTGGAACCCTCTTTTCAAACAAAATATGAAGAACCCCAGTATACAGTTAGGACTGGTTCTCTGGTGAGAGATGAGAATCTGCTCCTTCCTCATGTCCCCTTTCACCCTCTAAGGAGACCCTGGAGACATCCTTTGTAACCCCGGTGGCTCATGCCCAAGCTTGGAAATCACCAAGTATTTAGACGGCTCCAGTCCTGATTGTCTTGGGAAGAATAAATGAAATGGTAACAGCTCACTTAGCTGGCCGGCCCTCGGCTCCCAAGTCCGTAAAATGAGCAGAATAGACAAGCCCAATGGTGTGATTGTCATGAGAATCTACTGAGTGGTTTTAAGGATGTCTTTGCTTGGCCCTCCAACTCTCTCCTCCCCATGCTGAGATTAGTCTGGGGTGGGGCCCAGGAATCTACATTTTCAAAAGGCTACCCCCAGACCCAGTTATTCCAGTATGCATCCAGGATGAGAATCTTGGAGGAAGATGAACTTTGAGGACTGCTATCAAAAATAAAATGCCAGGAATAGGAATTTGGGAGAAGAGACATCTCATATTTTAGCCAAATCTTTAAGTGACTGGAACAATTTCCTGGTTTACCTTAGTTTGATGATCCAATTGGAACAAACTCTAGAAGGCAGAAGGATTTTTGAGGACTCATAGGAAGTAGAAATAATACATTTCATTTTCAATTTCAGTGGTGTTAAATTAGACAGTGAAGCAGAACAAATTCTATTCTCCTAAGAATACAAGCATTTCTCTCTAGCAAAGAGTCCTTGAAATAGTTATTTGTCCTTGGCTCTTTGGAAAATCATGGCTCATTGCCAGATAGGTACAGAAAAATGGTAATTTTATTCATGTAAATGTCAATATTGCCTTCATTAGGTAAAAATGTTAAAATCAGTGTTTGAAAATTTTGGAGCCTAGTTACCATATAATTAAATTAAGTCTCAGCTACAATTTTGCCTTCTTTGAGAAGGGTATTACTCTATTTTTGTTAAATATTTAAAAATTAACCTATAAGGAAATGAAAATCATCATTTTAATCTTGTCTCATATTTGTTTAATAATCTCAAATGATTAATTTTCTAATTAAGGAAATGGAATTGATTTTGGAAAGTTATGTAGTATTCATGGTTGAAGTTTTCAATATTTCACTATGACATTTAGCCTAGCTTAATAGAAATTCTTCTGCAGTTTTCTAGCAGAGCTTTCCCAAAATGTGTCTTACCGCCACTGCAAGAGGTTAATAGCAGTCATATAGACAAAATATTTCTATACTGAAAGACGCTTGGGGAGCACACTATATATATATGAATTTAAATTTTAAATACCCTAATTAAAGTTCTTAGAAATTCCCTTTATAATAGATGATTTTACCTCGAGGCTATTTATAGACTTAGTATAAAAGGTAGAGACAGACTTTATTTAAGTCGTTACTTTCAGCCCCATCTCTGTTTACTCGGAGAACACAAGGAGGAGTGTCTTACTTATGCTTTCTGATTCTTGGGTTTGCGTATGGAGATATTGACAGGTAATTTGGTAACTCTAAGCAGCTCAAGTAGATCAAGGTCTAAGTAGTAAGGTTCCTCTCAGAATTCTGAGGGATATGCACATGGGAAAGACACAATTTTGGGGTGAGTTGTTGGAGATTTTTATCCCTTCATCAGAGTAAAGTCCTGCATGTGATGTAGTATCTGCACTATCCAATATTGTAGTCACTGGCCACATGTGGTTATTTAAATTTAAATGATAGTTAAGCAAAATTAAATACAATTAAAAATTCAGCTCCAAAGATACACTAGTCACATTTCAAGTACTCAGTAGCTACATATTTTTTTTCATCATCATAGAAAATTCCACTGGAAACACAGTTGTAAAATATCAGTCCTAGCTGTTGAAGTCTAACTCAGGATTAGAGTTTTGTACTGTCTCATTGGTCTGGGGCCTCTCCCATCCATCTACACTGAGCTCGTGTGTCTTGACAATTGGTTTTCATTCTACAATTCACGTGATTTTGTCTCTCAGTACTATTGTCAGCTCTACTTTAACATTTAGGTACTGTTACAATCCTTCCCTTTGTTATTTATTCAATTTTTCATGGTCTTGTGGGTTGGCTGGGCTCAGTTGGGGTTCTTCCTCTTCATATGATATTGGCTAGGATCCCTCATGTGATTACAATCTGCTGGGAGCTTGGCTTGGGCTGGAATGTCCAAGATGGCTTCTCGCACATGTTGGGCACTTCACCTAGGTTGGCTGCAAGCTGGATGGGCCTGTTTTTCTCTCTCTTACATTACGGCCAACCCCAGGTTTCACTCCATAATCAAGTAAAAGCAGAAGTTGCCAGATCTCTTAAGGGCTGGGCATTTGCACAGCACCACTTCCATCATATTCTATAAGTTGCTGCAAATCACAGTGTCAATGGGAGTTAAAAGGAGGTGAAATGGTCTTCACTGTTGATGGGAGGAGCAGCTTGCTGGTGTTGGGAAGGGATGGATTTTTGGTAGTCATCTTTGCAAGTTTCTATACTTTTTTGTAGTTTATCTAAACCCCCTTTTGTCATCATCTAAGACAGTTCTTAATGGTACATACTATAACTGTATAGTTAAATATATTCACTTAAATATATTTAACTATAGTTATATAGCAATAACCATTCACTCTATATATAGCAATAACAATTCACTCTATAATTTTTACACACAGTAATATATACTCATAAATAATATTGTCTACAGCATCTAGGAACCAGAGGTGGAATCATTATAAGCTGTTGAGGTAAGAAAGGTAGGGGAAGAAGAGTGTGAAATGAAGATTTTCCTTCAAACCTTTCTCTTCCATTTCTCTCTTGAAAAATTACAGTGCACATAAGTGTAGTAAAAATCTGAGCAGTTCTGCAGAAAAGATAATTTTTTTTCCAAAGGGAATTTGGGCTTGTCTTCATTCATATTTATCTGTCATGAAATGATTTCCCCATTTTGTTTTGAAATTCTTAAAAGAAATTATTAGGCAGGGAAGTCATAAGTAAAAGAATATGTGATGCTAAAACCCATTCATAATTTAAGCATGCAATTGAAAACCAAGATACCATATTTTACAAATTATATTATCCACAATTAGAACCCTGATATTGCCCAGGATAAAAATGTGTGTATGTGTGTGTGCATGCACATTTGTGTGTGTTGAGGGAGTGAGAGTAGTATAAACATGTAAGAATATAAATTTAAAGATATTTTCAGAAAATATTTTGACAATATTTACAAAATTGAAAAGGCATGTCATTTAAGTAAACAATTCCACTTTTGAGAGTTCACCATTATTCCAATAAATCCTTAGTGAACTTTCCCCTTTTTAAGGTACTCTATTTACTGATTTTGTGTGTGTGTGTCTTAAGGAAACACAGAAATACCAAAGTGTGAGATAACAATCATTCTCAAGTAAGTCACATCAAGATCTGCATGCTCCTTTCTGAAAAGAATGACTTCACATGATTGCTACAAACTGAACATGGAATGATTGCAGAGTTTATGGAAAATCTATATTCAAAAAACTATTCCAGCACGTTGTTTAATATCACTTTACCAAATTAGCAATAGGTACTTTCTCTTAGAACAGTTCTCAAAGGGGCACTCACAAAGATTTCCACCTTAATCAAAAGAGCCAGAACGTACTCTCCCTTTGAAGATGTCACTCACAGTAGGCAAAACCCCCCATGATCATGTTGGTAAAACATGGTGAGTCCAGAGAGCTCAGATGTTTGAAAGACTTCTGCTCACCAGCAATGAACAGAAGCCAATGTTATAACATCTGAATTCTGGATGATATTCACTTGAGTAGAGAATAAAGAGATTGTACAATACATTTTAAAAACTGGTTTCTTAGTCTCTTGGGTCCCTGAAATTTCTGTCCCATTACTTACTATAACCAAAATTTGCTTAAAGGGCTAATCCTTGATTTTGCAAGCACCTAATTCAATTTTTGTGTGCAATAAAAAAGGGAAATAACAAAACAGATGTTAAACTAACAAAGATTAAGAAAGACAAAGAAGGGCATTACATAGTGGTAAAGGGTTCAATTCAACAAGAAGATCTAACTATCCTAAATATATATGCACCCAACACAAAAGCACCCAGATTCATAAAGCAAGTTCTTAGAGACCTACAAAAAGACTTAGACTCCCACACAAGAATAGTGAGAAATTGCAAAACTCCACTGACAGTATTAGACAGGTCATCAAGGCAGAAAATTAACAAAAATATTCAGGACCTGAACTCAACATTGGACCAAATGGATCCGATAAACCTTTACAGAACTCTCCACCCAAAACAAACAGAATATACATTCTTCTCATCACCACATGTTCATACTCTAAAACTGACCACACAATCAGACATAAAATAATCCTCAGCAAATACAAAAGAATCAAAATTATACCAAATACAGTATCAGACCACAGCACAATAAAAATAGAAATCAAGACTTAAAAAATCACTCAAAACCATACAAATACATGCAAATTAAACAACTTGCTCCTGAATGCCTTTTGGGTAAATAATGAAATTAGGCAGAAATCAAGAAGTTCTTTGAAACTAATGTGAGCAAAAATAACAACATACTAGAATCTCTGGGACACAGCTAACGCAGTGTTAAGTGGGAAAATGTATAGCACTAAATGCCCGCATCAAAAAGTTAGAAAGATCTCAAATTAACAACCTAACATTACAATTAAAAGAACTAGAGAAGCAAGCGAAAACCACTGCAAAGGAAGCAGAAGACAAGAAGTAACCAAATTCAGAGCTGAACTGAAGGAGATTAAGACATGAAAAACCATTCAAAGGATCAATGAATCCAGGAGTTGGTTTTTTGAGAAAAATAATTAGGCCACAAACTAGACTAATAAAGAAGAAAAGAAAAGAGATCCAAATAAACACAATCAGAAATGATAAAGGGGATGTTACCGCTGATCCCACTGAAATACAAATAACCATCAGATAATATTAAAAACAGCTCCATGCACACAATCTAGAAAACATAGAAAAGATGGATAAATTCCTGGACACATACACCCTCTCAAGAAGAAATCAGGAAGAAATTGATTTGGACCAATAATGAGCTCCAAAATTGAATCAGTAATAAACAACCTACCCACCAAAAAAAGCCCAGGATCAGATGAATTTGCAGCCGAATTCTACCAGATGTACAAAGAAGAGCTGGTACTATTCTTACTGAAACTATTCCAAAAAACCAAAGAGGGACTCCTCCTCAATTCATTCTAGGAAGTCAGCATCATCTTGATATCAAAACCTGGCAGAGACACAACAAAAAAAGAGAACTTCAGGCCAATATCCTTGATGAACACTAATGTAAAAATTCTCAATAAAATACTTGCAAACTGAATCTAGCAGCACATCGAAAAGCTAACCTACCATGATCAAGTAGGCTTTATCCCTGGGATGCAAGGTTGGTTCAAACATATGCAAATCAATAAATGTGATTCATCACATATATAGAACTAAAGATAAAAATCACATAATTCTCTCAAAAAAGGCTTTCAATAAAATTCAACATTCTTTCATGTTAAAAATTATCAATAAGCTAGGTATAGAAGGAACATATCTCAAAATAATAAGAGCCATCTATGACAAACTCAAAGTCACCATCATACTTAATAGGTGAAAACTAGAAGCATTCCCCTTGAAAACTGGCACAAGACAAGAATGCCACCTCTCACCACTACTATTCAACATAGTACTGGAAGCCCTGGCTAGGTAAATCAGGCAAGAGAAAGAAATAAAGGACATCCAAATAAGAAGAAAGGAAGTCAACCTATCCCTGTTTGCAGATGACATGCTTCTATATCTAGAAAACCCTGTAGTCTCAGCCCGAAAGCTCCTTCAGCTGGTAAACAAGTTTGGCAAAGTTTTGGGATGCAAAATCAACATACAAAAATTGCTAGCATTCCTTTACACCAACACCAGCCAAGCCAAGAGCCAAATCAGGAATGTAATCTCATTCACAGTTGTTACAAAACAATAAAATACCTAGGAATACAGATAACCACGGAGGTGAAAGATCTCTACAATAAGAATTACAAAACATTGCTCAAATAAATCAGAGATGACACAAACAAGTGGAAAAACATTCCATGCTCATGAATTAGAAGACTCAATATCATTAAAATGGCCATACTGCCCAAAGGAATTTACAGATTCAATGCTATTCCTATCAAACTACCAATGATGTTCTTCACAGAACTAGAAAAAACTATCTTAAAATTTATATGGAACAAAAAAAGAGCCCAAATAGCCAAGGCAATCTCAAGTAAAAAGAACAAAGCTGGAGGCCTCACATTACTGGATTTAAAACTACACTACAGGGCTACAGTAACCAAAACAGCATGGTACTGGTACAAAAACAGACACATTGACCAATGGAACAGAATAGAGAGCCCAGAAATAAGGCCATACACCTACAGCCATCTGATCTTCAACAAAGCCGACAAAAACAAGCAATGGGGAAAGACTCCCTATTCAATACATGGCACTAGGATAACTGGCTAGCCATATGCAAAAGATTGAAACTGGACCCCTTCCTTACACCATGTACAAAAATCAACTCATGATGGATTAAAGACGTAAATGTAAAATCCAAGACTATAAAAACCCTGGAAGACAACCTAGGCAGTACCATTCTGGCCGTAGAAATGTGCAAAGACTTCATGACAAAGATGCCAAAAGCTATCTCAACAAAAGCAAAAATTGACAAATGAGTTCCAATTAAACTTAAGAACTTTTGCACAGCAAAGGAAACTGTTAACAGGCTAAACAGACAACCTACAGAATGGGATAAAATATTTGCAAACTGTGCATCTGACGAAGGTCTAATATCCAGAATCTATAAATAACTCAAATTTACAAGCAACAAACAACCTCATTAAAAAGTGGGTGAAAGACATGAACAGATACCTTTCAAAAGAAGACATACATGCACCCAAAAAGCATATGAAAACATGCTCAACATCACTGATAATTCAAGAAATGCAAATCAAAACCACAATGAGATACTATTTCATGCCAGTCAGAATGGCTATTATTAAAAAGTCAAAAGATAACAGATGCTGCTGAGGTTGCGGAGAACAGGGAACGTTTACATACTGTTGATGACAGCGTAAATTAGTTCAATCATTGTGGAAAGCAGTGTGGCAACTCCTCAAAGAGCTAAACACAGAACTACCATTTGACCTAGTAATCTTATTACTGACTATATACCCAAAGGAAGATAAATCGTTCTACCATAAAGGCATATGCACACATATGTTCACCGCAGCACTATTCACAATAGCAAAGACATGGAGTCAACCTAAATGCCCAGCAATGGTAGACAGGTTAAAGAAAATGTGGTATATATACACCGTGGAATACTAAGCAGCCATAAAACAGAATGAGATCATGCCCTTTGCAGGAACATGGATGGAGTTGGAGGCTATTATCTTTAGCAAACTAATGCAGGAACAGAAAACCAAATACCGTGTGTTCACACAAGTGGGAGCTAAATGATGAAAACACATGGGCACAGAGAGGGGAACAATAGACACTGGGGCCTATGGGAGTATGGAGGGTGGGAGGAGGGAGAGGAGCAGAAAAAAATAACTATTGGATACTAGGCTAGTACTTGGGTGACAAAATAATCTGTACAACAAAGCCACATAACACAAGTTTACCTAAATAATAAACCGGTCCATGTACCCCTGAACCTAAGGTAAAAGTTAAAAAATTAAATTTAATTTAAAAAGGGAAATAACCATAGTAGGGCTTGGTTACATGGATTGTGTAAATCCATACAAAGAAATATGAATAGGAGCTCCAGTAGTATAATCAGTTAGAGCTCAGTACTTATATGACAAAGAAATATGAATACATGTAGCCATTAAATTGAAACTATGGAACTATATATACTTGTACAGAAAGATATCCAAGATATGCTAAGTGAAAAAAGAAATGTGCAGAAGAGTATGCAAAATATGTATTCATCTGAGTAAACAGAAAATGTGTGTTTGTGTGTGTTTGAATATAAATAGAAGCTTTATAAAACAGCCTATGTAAGAAATCTAACAGTCATTTCTGGGAAGAATTTGGAATGGGAAAGGGGGAAATTTTTCTATACCTTTCTTATTATTTAAACTTAAAAAAACTACAAGAAGCATTATTTTTATACATTTTAAGAAACTAATGACAAAACAATTGGCAAAAAAGGGAAAAAATTGAAGATAATATGTTCTAAAACAACTCTATATGAATGTAGTTAAATGATCATTTTAATGTGAAACACATGGCAGTCAATGGCTTTATAATGCATGGGGAAGAATTACAGGGTTTGGAGCCAGACAGATCCAAGATTAAATCCCAATAGCGCAGCACTTAGTGTAAAGCTCTGGGCAGGTCATGTAAGCTTTCTGAAACCTACTTTTCACATGTGTCAAATAGATATAATCATACATTTCTTACAGGCTCATCATGAGAATGCTGATGATAGTAAAATACTTGGCTTACTGTGCACCTCACAGTGGATGTTCAATAAATTGTTGGCTGTACTCATTACACTATACAAGCTGTGTAGACTTGGGAAAGTTTCAGCATCTCTCAACTTCAGTTTCTGCATCAGATAGCAGAAAAAAATTAGTTTCTGTCATATTGACTGCAAGGAGTTGAGCTCAGGGAGTTAGCAAATGGTATTTTTCATGTGTCTCTCCAAATTTCCCAAAAACTATATGTGGAGGTAGTTTTAAACCCATGGAATAGAGGAAAACTATTTCTTTTCATTAAATCCCCTCCGTGATCAGCCTACAAAGGTCAATTCTAGTTGAATGCATTCCCAATGGCATTCTCCTTTATGGCTCGTTGCTCAAAACCTTAGTTGATTCTTATATTGAAGACTACCAACTCATGTCCCTGGGCAGTAATGACAATTGACGTCCTAGCAAATTTATTTTGATCAGAAACCACAACTCAGTCTTGCTACATTAAAAAAATAATAATTTGAATAAAAATTTTTATTATGGGTTTTCTAATTACACTCTATAAATATTTCCACAGATCTACAACTGTGTATACTAGATGCTTGTGTCCAAAAATATTGGTTGGTTCAAATATTTTTGTATAGTAATAGAAAAAAAAATAATCTGTTAGCAGTAAAAGGGACTCTATCTGTGCTTAATTAAGTCCTCTGAAAAATACCAGACCAGCTTTCCATGTGAAGCCAGTCAGCTTGGTTTATTTATCATGTATATTTTGTGAGTATGAAAAGGTATCTAGTATAAAAGTCTTAAAGGAAATATACTTCTCAGTCTTTTCAATTTACTCTATGAACAAATTGTGTAAAATATAATAAAATTTAACCATTAACTCTTTAGTCTGTGTTTCTAGTAGATATTATTAACACATTCAACAAATTTAATGATTACTTAATATCATCCTATTCAAAGCTTAGCCTATGTTCAAATGTCTCTGATGTTGTAAAACATATTGTTGAATCAGAGTCCAAACAAGATCTATGTGCTGTATTTGTATGTATGTGACATGTTTTTCAGGGGTACATGGAGCAAACAATTGATCACACATCTCTACAAATTTGACAGGATTAAAAACAAACAGAATATGCCTTTTGATCATAATGGGATTAAACTAGAAATCAATAATAAAAAGAAAACTAGAAAGCACCCCAAATCTTTGGAGATTAAGCAGATATATTTACATAGTTTATGAATCAAAGAAGAAGTCACAATTGTAGTATCTGGAATATAATAACCTGAATGTATAATTTAATAAACTGTGTAAATAGACAGAAAGATTCAATACTATAGCGATGTCAAGGATATGTATAGTTCCATCCAAAAATTTTATGTGAAGGAGCAATGACCTAAAATGAACCCAGATACAATTGTTTCACTTATTTTTTATTTTAGTAAAATATACGCAACAAAAAATTTACCATTTTAGCCATTTTAAAATTAACAATTCAGTTGCACTTATTGCATTCACAATGTTGACCAACCATCACAGTAGTTTGTTACTTCTTGTGGCTAAATGATATTCCATTGTAGGGCTATGCCATATTTGTTTGTCTACTCATCAGTTGCTGGGGTGTTACCACATTTTGGTTATTGTGAACAGTGTTGCCATGAAGATTCTGTACAAAGTTTTGTTTGAACACATGTTTTCAATTCTTCGTGGTATATATCTAGGAGTGAAACTGCTGGATCATGATAAGTCTATGTTTAACTTATTAAAGAACTGCCAAACTGTCTTCCACAGTGGCTGCACCATTTTACATTCCTACCAGCAACGTATGAAAGCTCTAGTTTCTGTATATTCTCATTAACACTTATTCTCTTTTAAAAAATATATAGTCATTCTAGTGTGTGTAAAGTGGTATCTCATTATCTCATTGTGTTTGTTATTTGCATTTCCCTAGTGACTAGTGATATTGAATATCTTTTCATGTGCTGTTGACCATTTGTATATCTTGTTTCACCATTTGTATACTTTGTAGAAACGTCTATTTAAGTTCTTTGCCTATTTTAAAAATTGGACTGTTCATCCTTTTGTTGCTGAGGTGTAAGAGTTCTTTATATATTCTGGATACTAGATTCTTATCAGAAGTATGAATTCAAATATTTTCTCCTATTTTGTGAGTTTGATTTTTATTCTCTGGATAGTGTCCTTGATGCACAGAAGTTTTAAATTTTGATGAAGTTCAATATATCTATATTTTTCTGTTATGGCTTGTGCTGTTGGTGTCATCACTAGGAAAGTATTTCCAAATCCAAGGTCATGAAGAATTACCCCTGTATTACTTTCCCAGGCTGCTGTAATGAGGTACCAAATTGGGTGGCTTAAACAAAATAAATTTATTGCCTCATGGTCCTGGAGGCTACGGATTCAAAGATGTCAGCATGGCCAGGCCATGCTCTTTCTGGCAGCTTAGGAGAAAATCCTTCCTTACCTCTACCAGCTTCTGGTGTTTGCTGGCAATTCTTGTCATTCCATGGCTTGCAGATGCATCACTTCAGTCATGTAGCCATCTTCTTTCTGTGTAGTCACATCATATTCTCTCTGTGCGTGCTTGTCTTTATGTCCACAATTTCCCTTTTTACAAAGATACCAGTCATATTGAATTAGGGCCCACCTTAATGACCTCATTTTAACTTGATTACCTTTGTAAAGATTCTATTTCTAAATAAGGTTATATTTTGAGGTATTTAGGGTTAGCATTTCTGTATGTTTTATGAGGGGCATAATTCAACCCACAACAACCCCTTTCTTGCAAGTTTTAGCTCTTGTATTTACGTCTTTGACCCATTTTGTGTTAATTTTTGTATATGGTGTGAGATGAGGGTCAAACTTCCTAGCACCATTTGCTGAATAAACTATTCTTTCCCCATTTAATGATTTGGGCACCTGTGTTGAAAATCCGCTGACCACAGATTTATGGGTTTATTTCTGACCTTTCAATTTATTCCAATGATCTGTATGTCTACTCTTATACTATACCATCTGACTTAATAACTGTAGCTTTGTAATATGTTTTGGAATTGGGAAGTGTGTCTTCCAACTTTGCTCTTTTTCAAAATTGTTTTAGCTATTGAGGGTGACTTGCAATACCATATGAATTTTAGAATCCACTTTTTCATTTCTGCAAAATAGGTTGTTGGGATTTTGATAGGGATTGAATTGACCCTGTAGATTACTTTGGGAAGTATTGCCATCTTAACAATATTAAGTCTTCTGACCTTAAACATTGGGTGTCTTTTACTTATTTGGGTCTTCTTCTTTCAGCAGTGTTTTGTAGTTTTCTAGGTGTAGGTTTTGCACCTTCTTGGTTAAATTTATTCTTAAGGATTTTATATTTTTTTAAATACTATTGTAAGATAATGCTGGACTCAGAATGAGGTGAGAATGTTATCTCCTCTTCTATTTTGTCAAAGAGTTTGAGGATTAGTGTCAATTTTTAAATAAAAATTTGGTAGAATTCATCAGTAAGTCAACCGCTCCTGAGCTTTTCTTACTGAGAAAATTTTTAAGTGTTTAATATTTGTTTGTTTTTCTGATTCAATCTTTTTACTTCTTATAAGTCTGTTCACATTTTTCCTTTCTGCTTGAGTCAGCTTTGGCAATTTGTACGTTTCCAGGAATTTGTTCATTTTATTTAAGTTACCTAATTTGTTGGCATACAATTGTTTATGGTATTCTCTTATAATCATGTTTATTTCTGTAATGTAATAGTAATAGTAATCCCCCCTTTCACTCAGATTCATGTGTTGAAGCCTTAACACTCAGTACCTCAGAATGTGACTATATTTGTAGACACGGCTTTTAAAGATGTGATTAAGTTAAAATGAGGCTTTTATGGTGTACCTAATCCAATCTGTCTGATGTCCTTATAAAAAGAGCAGATGAGGATACACAGAGAGAAATCAGGGATGCACATGTACAGAGACAACCATGGAAGAGGCAGCAAGATAGTGATCTCTTTCTGTAAACCAAGGAAAGAGGCCTCAGGAGAAACCAAGTCTGCTGACACCTGGGTCTTGAACTTCTAGTCTTTGAAACTCTGAGAAAATAAATTTTTATTGTTTAAACACCCATCTGTGTTTTTTTTTTATAGAAACCCTAGTAAACTAATACAGTAATGATCCACTTTCATGTCTGATTTTACTCATTTGAGTCTTCTTTCTTTCTTAGTCTAGCTAAAGTTTGTCAATTTTGTTGATCTTTACAGATAACAACTTTTGGTTTTGTTGATTCTACTATTTTTCTATCTCTTTTTAATTCATCTCCCTTCTAATCATTATTTATTTATTTCTGCTAGCTTTGAGCTTAGTTTGCTTTTTTTTTCTAGTTCTTCAAGATATAAAGTTAGGTTTTTGGTTGAAGATCTTTCTTATTTTTTAATGTAATTATTTACAGCTGTAAATTTTCCCCAAGTGCTGCTTTCTCTTCATGCCAAAAGTTTGAAAATTGTTCATTTTAATTTGTCTTAAAATACTTTCTCCTTTTCCCTGGTGAGTTCTTCTTTAACTCATTAGTGATTTAAGAGTATGTTGATTAACTTTTTTAAAATTTGAAATTAAATGACACTCTTAAACAACCAATAGATTAAAGAAGAAACCACTAGGAAAAAATAAAAAATACTTCAAGATACTGGAAATTTCCTTCTGTTATTTATTTCTAGTTTCACTCCATTGTGGTTACAGAACATACTTTGTATAATTTTAGTCTTCTTAAATTTACTGAGACTTGTTTGGTAGCCTAACATATGGTCTATTTTGGAGAATGATCACTTTGCAGCTGAGGAAAATGCGTATTCTACTGCTGTTGAGAGAAATGTTCTGTGTATATCTTAGATCTAAATGGTTTATATTGTTCAAATTTTCTATTTTCTTTTTTGTCTTCTGTCTACTTGTTCCATCCATTTTCAAAAGTGGGATATTTAAGTCTTTGACTATCACTATAAAACTATTTCTCCATTTAATTCTGTCACCTTTTATTTCATGTATGTTATGGTTCTACTGTTAGGTGTGTACACTACTTATTTAAAAAAACAAAAAATACATAAAATAAAAATATAGGTAATGTATTTATAATTGTTATATCACCTTGATGGAATGACTCATTCAAAATATATAATGTCCTTCTTAGTTTCTTATTATAATTTCCGTTTTAAAGCTTATTTTGTCTGATATAGCCATCTCTACTCTCTTTCTGTTACTATTTGCAGGTAATGGCTTTTTCCACCTCACAACTCAATCTTCGTCTTTCAATCTCATGCAAGTTTCTTGTGGACAGAATATAGCTAGATCATGTTTTTTTAAAAATCCATTATGCCGGTACCTGCCTTTTAATTGAAGTGCAATGCATTTACATTTAAAGTCATTATCAATAAGGAATGATACACTTCTGCCTTAATTTTTTTTCTGTTTGTTTTACGTCTTTTATGTTTTTCAGTCATGCCATTAATGTCTTCTCTCTGTTTAGTTTTCTTTTAGTGTACTATTTTGATTCACATCTTGCTTCCTTTTTTGAATATTTTTTAGTCATTTTCTTAGTGTTTAACCTGTGGATTATAAGTAATATCTTAAATTTATAAGATTCTAGTTGGAAGTAAAACGAATTTAACTTTGAAAGTATACAAGAATTCTGCTTGTAATATAACTTCGTTTCTCCCCTTTTATATTGTTATTGTTACAAATTACATCTTTATAAATTGCATACCAATTAACATAGAATTATAAATTTTTAAAATGCATTTTCTTTTAAATCATATAGAAAAAAGGATTAGTTACAATACTAAAATGCAATAATACTTGCATTTATATTTGTCTAAGTAGTTAATTTAACCAGCTTTTAAAAATTTATTTGTATGGCTTCAGTTTTCTGTCTAGTATGTTTTTATTTCTGCCTGAAGGACTCCATTTAGCATTTTTTGTTGGGTAAGTAGGTCTACTAGCAATAAACTTTGTCAGCTTTTGTTTATCTGGAAATACCTTAGTTTTTTCTTCATTTTTGAAGAATAGTTTTGGCAGATTCAGTTGGTAGTTTTTTGTTGTTGTTGTTGTTTGTTTTGTTTTAGGCACTTTAAATATGATGTTCCATTGCCTTCTGCCTTCTATGGTTTCTGACAAGAAATCAGTGGTTAATGTTATTGAAGATCTCTTTTGTATGGCAGGTCACTTCTCTCTTGCTACTTCCAGAAATCTCTTCTTGCCTTTGTCTTTTAACAGTTTGATTACAGTGTGTTTTGGTGTGTACCTCTTTGAGTGTATTCTACTTAGAGTTTATTGATCTGCTTGGATGCATAGATTAGTGTCTTTTATCAAATTTGGGAAGGTTTTGTCCATCATTTCTTTTAACATCATTTTTGTTCTGTTTTCATTCTTTCTTCTCTTTCTGGGACTTCCATAATGTGTATGTTCATATGCTTGATGGTGTCCCACAGGTCTCTTAGACTCTGTTCATTTTTTCTTTATTCTTTTTTATTTCTGCTTCTCAGACTGGATGATTTCAATTGACCTATCTCCAAGTTTGCTGGTTTGTTCTTTTGCCTACTCAAATCTGGCATTCAGCCTCTTTGTTAAATTTTTTATTGTTGTTATTGTACTTTGAAGCTCCAGAATGTCTATATGGGTCTTTATTTATAAGTTCTATTTGTTCATTAATATTCTTTAATTGGTGAGATATAATTTTCCTGGTTTCCTCTTTGCATGTTTTAAAGACAGTTGACTTAAAGTCGTTTTCTAGTCAGTCTAATAGCCAAACTTCTTCAGGGACAATTTTAGTCCATTTTTTTTTCATGGTAATGACTATAATTTCTTGTGTTCATGTGTGTGTGTATTTTTTGCATGCCTCATCATTTTTGTTGAAAATTAGGGATACATTTGGAATATTGTAATTTGATAACTCTGAAAATTGCATTTTCCCTTCTCCCAGAAATTTTTTGCTGGTGCTTTTTGTGGACTTTGGTTATTTGTACAGTGACTTTTCTAAACTACTTGCATAAAGTCTGTATTATTTGTTATATGTGGTATCTGAAGTCTCTGTTCCACTAGCCTAGTGGTAAGATAGTGATTTCACAGAGATTTCCTTAAATGCCCAGAGCCAAAACATCTTGCAGTCTTTGCAGCCGGACTCTGTGTGTGTGTGTGTGTTGAGGCATGATTTTAACACTTCGCTGGGCAGTTTGAAACTCTTCCTTTGTCTCACTTCCTTCATGTGAAGAACTGAAAGGCCATCCAGAGGACCTTCTGAGGTGTTTTCTGAGCATGCCCCCTATCTGGGACATGCATGTAGCCCTCTAGATTGCCAAATATAAGTAAAGGATTTTCAAAGCTCTTATTTCCCACAATATCTCACTTCCTAATCTTTCTCAAAGGCTTTTAAAAGTGTCTATTGTTTTAGTCAACTGGTACACTTAGACACTGCTGGTAGCAAGTAATTCATTTGCCTTGAAAGGTTTTTGTAAAGTCTCTCTACATAGCAGCTCCTATGTCTTAAAAGAGTTCCAAGTTAGATTAAAAATGGGGAAGCTCTTTGCATTAGTCCTTCAGGGAGTGACCAGACAGGTCCAAACAATTAACCATAAGTCTTTGAAAACAAGATCAGCTCTGCTCCCTCCAAAAGCTGTCATTTTCCAGATTACCAAGCTGGGAGAGAGAGTAATAGGACAAGGGTAAGTTAAAGCACCACAAATTTTTACTACCAAGTTTCAGTTTCCCTTTTCTTGATTGTATTTGCTTGGTTGCTATAAACCATTGACTGCTTTCCAAAGTTCTGATAAAATTGATTCTAACACTTTTTGCCAGTTTTTCAGTGCTTTTGTGAAGGGACAGGCTCTTGAAGTTCCCTTCTTTGCTGTTTTTCCTGCTATTTCTCAGACATGTTTTAAGAAATAGAAATATGGTGGACTTAATATAACAGTCATTAAAAGTTGTGAAGCTAGTATAATAACATAGTGTGGTTTGTTTTACAGTTAGTGAAGCTGATGAATAGACAAGAAGAGAAAGCACACAGATGGGCTTCAATGATATTATGTTCCTCTTTTTTAGTTTGGTTGATGGGTGCCAATTTTTACATATAGTCTTTTGAGAGCATCAAATATTACATAATAAAATGTGTTTAAAGTCTACTTAGACACTGGAAAATATATTACTAGATAACTATTGCATTGAAAATAAATTCAAAGCAAATTACAAACTATCTAGAAAGTAATACACTGCTGCAAAAGCTATACCAAAGAAGTTAAGCGTTAGTCTTAAACACTTCAATTATTAAAGAAGAAATAATAAAAAAGGAGGGAGTGTTTAGTATAAATCTTAAGAACATTGAAAAGGCTCAACAAAATAAACTAACAGAGCTAGAAAGATGAAATCTTAAGACAGAAAAGCAACAATTACTAAATGTAAAGCTAAAAAATCAAAAGATAAGAAAATCCAAGTGGAAAATATCACTAAAATTAAACTCCTATTTAGTTTTATTAAGAAAAAATAAATAGATAATGACAGATTTTCCTCAGTTCTAAGAAGGAAGCAAACAGGATTCTATGATGAAAAAATAACTTAGGTGAATGAATAAAGATAGCATGGTGGGAGGAAAGTTTCCCCAATCCAAGGATGAGAAAGACCTAGTCTAGATCTAGGACAATTGGAGGTGGTGATGAAAATATTTCTAGGATGTTCTTGAGTTCAGAAAGAGCATGGTGTGCTTAAAATTTTCCCTCACTTTTTATGTCTAGGACGCAGGAAACAAGGAGGTACAGATTATATGTAGTAGCACAACACCTGAATAAATGAATGACATCACAGAATCTGTCTTTTTTTGCAAATAGCCACAAAGTTGGAACAAGAAGAAAAATGAGACATATATATCAGAGAAGCCACAAACTAGATAATCAAGCTCTGGACTTTATCTGAACACCTATTCCAGAGGGAGATATTTTTTTCCCTCTCTTATAAGTTTTCAACTCAGGGAATTGTGCTTGGTTTGCTTATTTTATCATGCAACTTAATACATGTGTTAGTCACTTCCTGTGTGCTCAATCTACTATGGAGATAAATTAGATCCCCAACAACCAGGAAGTATATTAATAATCTCTGTGATGCTCTTATTCACCGTGCATGAGTGATTTGAATGTTAATTAGTATTTGTAAAGTAGGAAGAGGAACAGGAGTGAAGTGTTGGTTTATTTTCATTACCTGATAATAATGCGTCTATCACAACATTATTACATACATAAAGAATAATATCCTACTGCCCTGTCATCCTGGCAAGTTAATAAACATGAATCTTTATCTTATTGTATGGGGAAAGATTTTGAGCCGGTAAGATGAATTAATAAAATGGGATCTTCAAAGGGGATTCAAAATAATAATAAAATCTATATCTATAGTTGCAACATGTTTCCTAAATTTCAGACCCACATATTCAAAGGCTTATTCAATAGATTCTGATAGATATCTATAATGTAAACATATCCAAAATGTTAGAGATTATCTTACCCCCAAATTCAACAGGTACACCATGGAATTCTCCATCTTTTCCCCAAGTTATACTCTTCTGTATTTCCTATCTCCATATTCAGCACGAATATCTACTACCTCCCTAAGTCGGAAATCTGAGAGACATCTTATCCTTCCAACTCTTGTCACATCCACAACAAATATATCTCTATTTCCTATTGATTCTACTTTTTAAATTATACTTAAATCCTATAGCTTCTCCATCTCTACTGACAACATTTCAGTTCAGGCCCTCGTTAAACTTTTAGAATCCTGTAATAACCTCCTAATTTTCTCCTGACTCAACTCTTGTTGTTCTCCAATTTATTTACTATGCATTGGTCCCAAGTGATCCTTATAAAATGCAAATTTCCTTGCCTTTCTTCTCAGCTTAAAAGGCATCATTGTGCCCTATGGTATTTTTAAAAAGATTTAAATTTAAAAAATTTAAATTTTAAATCCAACATTTTTAGTTTGGTCCCAACAATTCTTCATGATCTGTTCTTTGCCTCTTTTTCATATGTGCCTGACACGATAGCCATGGTGAGCTACTTGGGCCTACCATATAGTTTCATTCCTCTGGGCCTTTACACATGCTGCTTGCCTGGGCATGCCTGCAGCAGACTAGAGGCCCACAGGCACTGGGACAATGGGGTGGAGCCACCAGGAATTCACACCTTATGCAGGGGAGGAAGCTGGCCTCTTCAGCTTCAGTATGGTGGCCCTGGTATTCAATGGGGGAGGTGGAAATCTGCTCTCAGGACCCCCTCTCTTCACTGAGAAGTTTCTTTTTGCTTAATAAATTCTGCTGTCCTCATCCTTCAATGTGTTCATGTGCCTAATTCTTCCTGGTCATGAGACGAGAACCCAGATTAGCTGAGCTAAGGAGCAAAAAATCCTGCATCATCACCAGGCAGCTGTCCACATAATTACTGCCCACATCCTAATGGGAGTAAAATATCCACACCTACCTGCAGAGCATACTGGAGAATGTACTTTATTCTGGGCAACCACATACCCAGCTAACAGATGATATTTCTGTTAATATGGAAGAAGAGAAGAATGGATATTGGGAGACAACAGTAAGTGTGTAGTAAAACCAATGAAATAATTTACTTATTGAAAGCAATATAAAAGCCTGGTTTAAAAGTTCAACAAATCAGGTCATGTCATGCCAATCCTCCTACTGCAACAACTGGAAAAGGCCAAATAAATTGCAAAAAATATATTTCTAAAAGTGTTAGCAAACTGTGGAAGCAGTGAGAACTGTATTAGTCTGCTTGGGCAACCGTAACAAAATACCATGGACTGGGGGATTTAAATAACAGAAATTTATTTTATCACAGTTCTGGAGGCTGAAAGTTGAAATCAGTGCCAGCATGGTCTGGTTCTGGTGAGAGCTCTCTTCCTGGCTTGCAGATGGCTACCTTCTCTTGCTATGTCCTCACATAGCCTTTCCTCAGTGTGTGCACATGATTAGAGAGAAAGCAGAACTTTCTAATGTCTCTTTTACAAAGGCACCAATCCTACCATGAGTCGTTACCCTGATGACCCCATTGAAACCCAACTACATCTGAAAAGCCCCATCTCCAAATACTATCACATGGGGGTTAGGGCTTCAGCATGGTAGTTCCAATTTCTCCACAAATTCACCAATATTTGGCATTAAAAATTTTAGCCATTGTAGTGGATTTGTAGTGGTATCTCCTTATGATTTTAATTTGCATTTACCTATTGACAAAAGGTAATATTTTTATGTGATTTTTAGCCAATCATGTATCTTCTTTTGTAAAGCATCTATTTCCATCTTTTCCCCATTTTTATGAGATTTTTACATGGATAAATAGATTATAATATTGTAAATAATAAGTAGATTAAAGTATAGATTATAATCTAAAATTTAATAATTATAATTATTATAATAGATTAAAAATTTAATCTAAATTATAGATTATCAAAGATTTATATTATATATTTATAATACAAAAAGAAAGTTTTAGCAATGCATGCATCTGACAAAAAGTTTGTGTCCAGAACATGTGAATATGTGTATATATATAAAAGTATATATGCATTATTAATGTATGTGTATACACACAGACACATGATACATATATGTATATTGTAATATACACACATGGATACACACACATATTCTGTACACAAACTTTTTGTTAGATGTATGTGATACAGACAGGAGGCAGAGAAACACTGGGTAGAAGAAGGTGAATCCCCAGCAAAGGCCCCACCCTCAAGCCTGGAAACACACAGCCCTAAATGGGAACAGACATTCCTGTTTTTGTACCCAACTCTTGCCTTTTGACCCTCCATGCCTGCTATCATGTACCCATATAAACCCCAAACCCCAGGATCTATGAGGAGACCAACAGAAGAGCAGAAGAGCAGCAGAGCAACATGGCAGAGAGGGAGAGAAGGAAAGGAGCATCTGAATATCAAGAGGAGTTTGGCTGGGGACGATCAGAGAGGAGTCAGCTGCAGGACAGCTGAACTCCAGGGTAAGATCATCTTCCCACTCCCACCCCTTTCCAGTTCCCCATCTATCTCACTGAGGGCCACTTCTACCACTCAATAAAATCCCCACACTTACCACTCATCAAGTCCATGTGACCTGATTCTTCCTGGATGCCAGAAAACGATCCGGGTACCAAGAGGGCAATGTGTAAAAGACTGTCACCCTGACACTCCACTGAGCTGGTTTAACATTTAGCCATACACAGATGGTAACTGCTAAAAGAGCATTAATCATAACATACTCCTAGATGCTACCATGGGGCAGGAGCCCAAAAGCGCTCACCCCAGCTCCTGCACCTGCCCATCTGTATGCTCCCCTTCCTGTAAGGTGTTTGAATGTGTGGTGGCAGAGCAAGCAAGCCACACTCTTGTCACAAGTCCCAAGAAGAGGTCAGGAAACTCTCCTGTTCCATATGCATTATTAATACTTTCTTTATTAATATAGTTTGCCTTTACAGTTTCTTAATGCCGTCCTTCAAGACTCAAATGTCTATTTTATTTTACTTTTATTTTTCAAATTTTTTAAATTATTATTTTTTTCAACTTTTATTTTAGATTAAGTGGGTACATGTGCAGCTTTTTTACTTGGGTATATGGTGTGATGCTGAGGTTTGGGATTTTTTAATGGTTAGTGATTTTTGTGTTTTAAGAAATCTTTGCCCACTCCAAGTTTGTGAATATTTTATCCAATATTATCTTCTAGAAGTTTTATGGTTTTAGCTTTTATATTTAGGTCTATAATCCACTACAAGTTAATTTTTTGTTTACAAGTTAACTTTTTTTCGTACAGCACGAGTTGTGTCAACTGTCAATTTTTATGTGAAAATACAATTGTTATCAGCAACATTTGGGGGAAAAAACTACCCTTTTCTATGTAGACTACTTTGTCATGTTTGTTGGCAGTTAATTCTATATATGTTTTGTTTTGAATTCTGCATGCTGCTTTATTGATCTTTAACACCAATACCACACTATATGTAGCTGTACTAGTCAGGGTTCTCCAGAGAAAAAAAAATCAATAGAAGATAGATAGATAGATAGATAGATAGATAGATAGATAGATAGATAGATATGTATTTTATATACATACATATGAATATATTTATTTTAAGAAATTAACTCATGTATTTATGAAAGCTGCCAAGTTCCAAGATCTACAGTTGTTAAGCTGGAAACCCAAGAGAGCCAATGGTGCAGTTCTAGTCCAAAGAACAGCAGGTTGAGACTCAAGAAAAGCTGATGTTTCAGTTCAAGTCTGAAGACAGGGAAAAAAATGATGTCCCAGTTCAAAGGCAGTCAGGAAAAAGGAATACCTCCTGATTCATTGTGAGTTAATTTTTATACATGGCATAAGGTAAGGGTCAAGTTTTTTTTTAAGTGAAAGCAAGTTTATTATGAAAGTAAAGGAATGAAAGAATGGCTACTCCATAAGAAGAGCAGTGGTGCACACCTAGTTGCCCATTTTTATGGTTATTTCTTGTTTATATGCTAAACAAAGGGTGGATTATTCATGAGTTTTCCAGGAAAGGGGTGGGCAATTCCTGGAACTGAGGGTTCCTCCCCATTTTAGAACATGTAGGGCAACCTCCTGACATTGCCATGGCATTTGTAAACTGCCGTGGTGCTGGCGGGAATGTAGCAGTGCAGACGACCAGAAGTCACTTTTGTCGCCATCTTGGTTTTGATGTTTTGGCTGGCTTCTTTACTGCAACCTGTTTTATCCACAAGATCTTTCTGACCTGCATCTTATGCCGCTCTCCTGTCTCATCCTGTGACTTAGAATGTCTTAACCTCCTGGGAATGCAGCCTAGTAGGTCTTAGCCTTATTTCACTTAGCCCCTGTGTGAAATGGAGTTGCTTTGATTCAAATGCCTCTGACAATTCCCCCCTCCCTATTATAAGAGAACACTTAATCCTAAGGGTTGTAGACAGATGAAGATCCATTTTCTGTAACTTCTTCAGGCTGAATAGGGGTGATAATATTCCAGCCTAACTATTGGGTCTTTTGCCTTCAGGGTAGAGAGGAGCTCATTCAGAAAGTGCTGGTATGGTGAGGGTTATTTGTAACTGAGTTCCAACAAAAGATGGTACCTGGAAGAGGAATAAGGGTTCAATTTAAGAAAACATTCAGCAAGCATATCCTGCATTCCTACACAAAGAGTACAACAGCAATATATTCCACAATAGTAAAGCAAAATAAGCAAAATCATCCCAAATAAACAAAATTAGAGGCTTTCCATGAACTGGGCAATTGTTGGAACCAAACTGATATGGGGTTGTTAGCTGATTCCAATATGTGCCCAGAATAAGAATATTGATCTGGATTTTATATTACCCATCCTTCTTAGTTCTTCTGAGCAGCAGCCAGAGATCACTGGTTGGTTAACAGAAATAAGAAGAGTCAGTCTAAATTGCAGAAAAAAATTCAAAAACAGTGAATGAGACTAGAATCTAGTAACAGTTGTACCATAGTTCTTGAAACAATTTTTTTCTCTCTCCAGTTTCCCATTTTTACTAAAGACAAATCACTGTAAGACTGATTTACTTTATTATACTTGGCCTGATTATTCATACAAAGTGCAGCAAGAATAATTATTTTTCACATAGGCTTTTTAAATTGGCTTTGATGGAACTCTGTTCTATAAGGAATCTCAGATAAGACTTTTTTCTGAAGCTGAGCCCAGCCATGGGTTTGTACACTCAAATATCTATTATTGGGTAAATTCCTTTCCTATTCAGGTCCCAAGATAACTTGGGGGCTCCTGGGACTGTTAAAAAGTGACATTCTTTACTCACAGGTTAGGAACCCTACACAGAGACTGTGTAGACAATGTATAAGGCCAGTGTTTCCAAGGGGCTTTTATTGGCTCTATAAGTCAAGTTTGATTCCTTAAAAGAAAGCACACCATTCCAGTAAAAGCCTTGGTAAAATAACCAGTTTTTCCAATTGTGTCCTGTTACAAATGAAAACAGATTCTTATTGCACTTATGCAAATAACTATGTTTCCATAAGTTAAGAATACTCACAAATAGTTTCCAAATTCTGGAGAAATCAGGTAGAGAGAAACAAACAGGCTCTGAATTTTGTTCACAGGAGTACACTTTACTCAGTTGTTAAAGGCTGTCAATAGCTCAAAAGAAAAGTTTTCCAGACTCTGAAAAACAAAACAAAGGATAAGCAAAATTTTAAGCAAAAAGTTAGAAAAGACTACTTCAATCTTCTATTAGTACAGTCCATTCAGTTAACTTCTGTTCTGCTTGATATTCAGGAACATTTCAGCTCTCCATGAGAGTCCTGAAAGCTTTTCCTCTATTCTGATGTCACAATCTCCAAAGTCATCAGAAATCTGCATTCAAAAACACCTGTCAAAGTCCTATAGCTGACTATAGACCACCTTTTAAAGAGGATCAAAACTAGACAATTGTTTGTTGATGACAAAAAGTCTTAGGACAGCCACTATTAAAGCCACAGTGACAAGGAAATTTTGGTTACTTCTATAGCATACAAAAATTTTACATAACAATTATAATTATTAATAACACACACTATATCAGGATTGTAGGAGTTTTCCATAATTTTGGAACACACATGATAACATATTTGTACAAATACAGCCCAAAGAAAGCCAAACACCATTTTATATTTGACAATGTTTCCTGTATGATTTGTATACCAAATAAGCCAAATTGCACCTTTATATTAGTGTACTATTAATGTTAAACACAATTCTTAATAAAACTTTACAGACAAATCCATCCAATTTTAATGTCTGACCATAAGGTAAGATTTTCATTAATCTTTTAAAAACTTTACAAATTTTTGCTAAAGAGCAAACTAGTGCTCTAAGAAAAATCTGTTGTGCTTTTATTTTAATGTTCAGTTTACAGAAAAACTAAATAACACTTCTTTAACTTTAGCTAATATGTTCACATACAGAATTTCTTTTACAAGATTAATTTTTCACAGACCTTCCACAACTTGTTTAAACCTTCAGCTTTATCCTATCTAACTTAAAACAATCCTTTAACCCTTTAGGCAAAAAAATTTACATTCTTATGACTTCTTACAATCTTTTACCAAAAACACATTTCACTTTTCTTACATGTAGAACTCTTTCTATGCCCCAAAGATTACTTAAGTCATGTGATCTAAAAGGCATAACAGTTTTTACTTTTCTGACAAATATTTGATTTAAGCACTTATTATTCTTATTTTTTTGAGACCAAGTCTCACCCTGTCGCCCAGGCTGGAGTGCAATGGTGCAATCTCAGCTCACTGCAGCCTCTGCCTCCCTGGTTCAAGCAATTCTCCTGCCACAGCCTCTGAGTAGCTGGGATTACAGGTGCCCACCACCACACCTGGCTAATTTTTGTATCTTTAGTAGAGACAGGGTTTCACCATGTTGGGCAGGCTAGTTTCAAATTCCTGACCTCAGGTGATCCACCTGCCTCAGCCTCTAAAAGTGCTGGGATTACAGGTGTGAGCCACCGTGCCTGGCCATTATTATTTTTTAAGCCAATTAATCAGAGCTTTTCCATATCACACATGCAACACATATGAATACACAGACAGATAGAAAAATATTCAGTAGTTGTAAGATTTTTCATTTGCAAGTTTCTAAGTTTCTCTTTAAAGCATGCAATTTCTAGGGCCTAATAAGCAGGCACAGCTGGAAGGCAAAACAGATCACAAAAAATTAAGGGTCCCATTTTTATAACAGATCCTGGATCCCCAAAAGAGGGAATTAGCCCATCTCCCATGGGAGTCTTATCTCTCAGTGAGGGAATATATCCATACCTTCCAGGCAGCCAGGAGCATGCTTCTCTCATCCAAGCATGCAAAGAGCCATGTATCCCCCCATAACTGCCATTAGCCATCCTTAAAAGTATATTTCCTACCTAGTTATTACACACCAAAGTTCTCTCATAATGTGAAGTAATTTCTGATACCCCTAAATGTTAAAAACATCAAATAATGCAATGCAAAACAGAAGAAAGTTTTAGATTTTGAGAGGGATCTATCCACTTTCAATTCCTAGGGTTTCATGAGGAAAACAGGTTTTCCCCAAGGAGTCCCACACTGTTTGAACATGAATATCCACTTTTAATTAAGCTGATTTTTAACCATAGCACTGGAAAAAAAAAAGTTCTTTTAAATTATCCAACTTTAGCCATGCCAAACGGCCAATATTTCCAGCTTTTGGACTTTACCAACGATAACCTCTCAGGTGCTTAGAGAAAGGAAAAATCAAGGTGGTTCATAGAGGGAGAGAATATCAAAAAAATGGTAAAGGTCACACAGATATCAAACCAGAAAAGGACTCATTCCCTAAGCTGGGAATTGAACCCAGGCTGCCATTGTAAAATGGCAAACCTTAACTGCTGAGCTACAGCATTGGGCAGTTTCCATTACCCTTCCTGGGAGGAGCCTAGAGGCAGCCAATTTTAAGCTTGCAATAGTTTTTAACTGCTTGAGATAATTTTTAGGGCTGACATGAATCCCCAATTCTTGTCCTCCAGATGTCAGAGACTAAGAGGAAGTACCACCATGTGGTTACAAGGTCAAGATCCCAATGACATTTTTCAACATGTGCTCTCTGGGCAAGATGGTCACCCTGAGTAACTGAAACAGTAGAAAAGAGAAAGGAGAGAAAGGGAGATAAACATTGCTGGTGGCAGGGTGGGGAAGGCAACGTGCTCAGGAAGGCCAGATAAAGACCCACCCACTGCAGCAACACTGAATCAAAAGTTCAGGCAGCTGCTTGTTGGTCATGAAGGGATCTTTTCCAGCAATCCTGTCATCTCTCAAGTTCCCCTCTTTTGGAAGGAAAAAGCGCCCCATGCCCCATGATCCTGTACTTGCCTAATCCTGTCATCCACAGCCATCAGCAAAGTGTGCAAGGCAGATCAATCCAAAGAAAATAGTGGTTAATATTCTACAAGGCCAAACTCCTTCTTAGCTGCAAGAGACTTTACTGAGAGGGACCTCCAACCCCCTAAATCTTAGGAAGGACTCTAACCTTCCTAATTTGGGCCTCAAACCCAAGTTCAGTCAAGTGTCCTTGTCTTTTATAAAGAAAGGCTTTTAACCCTCTCTGTCTTAGGAGAGACTCTAAATCCCCTAAGTTGGGCTTCTAACCCAATCCCATCATTTACCTGGGTATGCCACCACTTACCCAAAGTTGGCCAATCAGCGCAGCAGTCTATTTCCTCTGGGTTAGGGGTCTCCTCAGTATAGCCTCTTTGTGGTTTTCCCAAAAGATGTTGGAAAGGGGTCCCAATCCAGACCCCAATAGAGGGTTCTTGGATCTTATGCAAGAAAGAATTTGGGGTGAGTCCATACAGTAAAGTGAAAGCAAGTTTATTAAGAAAGTACAGGATCTGTTCCAAGTTTTTTGGACATAAAAAAAAAGAAAGTAGGCAGGGTGTGGTGGCTCACACCTGTAATCTCACCACTTTGGGAGGCTGAGGCGGGCAGATCACTTGAGGTCAGGAGTTCGAGACCAGCCTGGCGAACATGGTGAAACCGTGTCTCTACTGAAAATACAAAAATTAGCTGGACATGGTGGTGCGTGCCTGTAGTCCCAGCTACTTGGGAGGCTGAGGCTGGAGAATCACTTGAACCAGGAAGGTGGAGGTGGCAGTGAGCCAAGATCACGCCACTGCACTCCAGCCTGGGCAGCAGAGTGAGACCACAGACAGAGCAGTCAGGTTTTTTTTTTTTCCAAATTTTGGAATACAGTTGGAAATGCACCATTTTTGGAAAAAGGTACCATTTTCTAAGTAAATTACTTTGCCACTTTTGTTAAAGTCTTAGTTTATTTGTGTTGCTCTAAAGAAATACCTGAGGCTGGCATATATATATATATATATACTTATAAAAGCTGTATTTGGTTCAAGATTCTGATGGTTGGAAATTTCATGATTGGGTATCTGCATCTGGTAAGGGCCTCAGGCTTCTTCCACTCATGGCAGACAGCAAAAGGGATCTGATGTGTGCAGAAATCACACAGCAAAAGCAGAAGCAACAGTTGTGTACAGGGGTGTGGGGAAGCTCTTAATAACCAGCTTTTGTGGGAACTAAGAGAAAGAGAACTCTGGGCATTAATCTATTCATGAGAAACCTTCCCCTACGACCCAAACACCTCCCATTTGGCTTCTTCTCCTAATACCACCATACTAGGGACCAAATTTCACTATGGTTTGTTTTGGAACAAACAAACCATATAAAAACCATAGCAGGCCAGGTGCAGTGGCTCAGGCCTGTAATCCCAGCACTTTGGGAGACTGAGGCAGGCAGATCACTTGAGGTCAGGACTTTGAGACCAGCCTGGTCAACATGATGAAACCCCGTCTCTACTAAAAATAAAAAAAGTAGCTGGGCATGGTGGCAGATGCCTGTAATTCCAGCTGTTTGGGAGGCTGAGGCAGGAGAATTGCTTGAACCCACGAGGCAGAGGTTGCAGTGAGCTGAGATCTCACCACTGCCCTCCAGCCTGGGCAACAGAGCAAGACTCCATCTCAAAACAAACAAACAAACAAAACAAAACAACATAACATCTGACAAGCAACTCATCCTATGTATGTTCTGTTTTAGAACTCTACATTCTGTCTCATTACCACACCATATGTAGCTTTATAGCAAATCTTGAAATAAGCTAAAGTCTTTCAACTGAGTTCTTTTTCAAAATCATTGAACGATTCTAGGCCCATTGCATTTTCATACAAATGTTTCGGTCTGTCAATTTTTTATTGAATCTATGGATCAATTTGGAGAGAAATACCATCTTGACAATATTGAGCATTTCAATTCATGAACATGGTATGTTTCTCCACTGACTTACATTTTTCTTAATGTCTTCCAGCAATGCATTTTTAGTTTTCATTTTCTACACAGGTCTTGCTCAAGTTTATTAAACTTATCCTTAAACATTTCATGCTTTTTGATGCATTGTAAATGAGACTTAAAAAAAATCAGGATCTACTTTTGAAATGACAGAGTAAGGACCTATGAAAATCTGCTTCTCCATAAAAGCAATGAGAACACTAGCCAAAATTAACTTTTTCAGAACTCTGGAAATAAATTGAAAGCTTGCAACAATCTGAGAAGTGATTAGTCAAGGAAAACAGCTAAATTTCTATAAGAACGGTGAGCCACATGGCACTTTAACTTGCTTAATCTCATTATCCTCTCTCCAGTTTTCTTGTCATGGTCTTGGAGGCTAACAGCATTACAACTACATGATCAGCCACTGGAGGGGCAGTACGAGTTTGGAGCTCCTTGAAGCCCCATCTCTAGAGAATTTTCACTATTTGGCTTGTAGAGCAGCTTGCTAAAAAATTCAATTTTCAGGGCTTGTCTTTCTTTGATCCCACTCTGAAAACAGCCCTACCTTCAGACATTTGTTATAAACAGTGGCATTAAAAAAAAAAAAAATCTCAGCTGCCTGAGGCAGCATTACCAGCTGAAGCTAACAATAGGTTGGATAAGAGCTGAAAAGATAAAACCAGGGCATGAAATGTCCACAGGGGCCTTTGGAAATCAACTAGGAATCTAGTAGGTTGTGTACATGTCAAGGGTTGTGAGCATGTCCAGGACTGTGTGCATTCCCAGAAAAGATCCGAGAAGGCACTAAACTTTTACCTCTGGTTGATTTTGAGGCTCTGTGCTAGTAGGAAGTGAAGTGTTAGGCAGAGTTGTAAACTGTCTGCCAGAGCATTGAAGTCATGACTTATCGTGGTGAGTGCATCAGCGAAGGCTGTAAGCCTTATTGGTTCAAGGGATTTAAGAAAATCACTACCCAGTCATTAGCTGATCATTAAGCTAACTGAGCGGAGCCTTCAATGACTGCACATGGCAAAACATACAGTTTATGTAATTGGTATGGGAAAAATAACTAAAGAAACAGCAATGACAATGATTATTGTGGAAGGGAGGTATCTGACTTCAGGAATTGACACATAATATTACTCAAAATGGCCAGTTTTTAAGAAAAAGTTATGCAAATAAACAGGAAAATTGACCCGTATAGATGAAAAAGCAGTCATTAGAAACTACCCTTTAGGAACTCAGATGTCAAACTTATTAGATATATATTTAAATATCTATTATGTACGCAAAGAACTAAATAAAATTATGTCTACAGAGTAAAGGAAAATAAGAGAATGATGTGTCACCAAATAGAAAATATTGGTAAAGAGGTGAAATTTTACAAACAGAGCTAAGTAGAAATTCTGGAGTTAAAAAGTGCAATAACTGAAATGAAAACTTTACTAGAGGAACTTGAAAGCAGGTTTTAACTGGAAGAAGAAAGAATCAGCTGACTTGAAGACAGGTCAATTAAAATACTGAGAAACCAAAAGATTAAAACAATATAGAAAATAAAGAGCCTCTGAACTCTTTGCTCTGTGGAATACCATCAAGCATACCAACACACACATAGTGGGAGTCCCAGATGTGGGGAGTGGTAGAAAGAATACTTGAAGAAATAATGGCAAAAAAACTTCTCAAATTAAATTTAAAACATTAACTAGCATATGCATGATTCCCAACAAACTCCAAATAGGATAAATGCAAAAAACTCCACACCTAGACACATTATAGTCAATCTTCCATAAGATAAAGGCAAAGAGAGAACTTTAAAGGCAGCAAGAGAATATGACTCATCATGTAAGAAGGTTTTGAAAGGATCCCTCAGGGCTGAAGGGAGTGCTCAATGAAGAATGAATTTGGAATGGGAGTCTTACTGTAGAAGCTGGCATTCAATCCTCATTGAGGAAAATTGCCCACTGAATGGCAGAGAAGTTCACTGAGTTATCTGTATTAGAATTGGTCCACAATCCCTGGACAGAATCAAACAACCTTCCAGGATTCAGATGAGCAGAGGTTTGTGGACAGTCATGCAGAAGGAGTTGGGATGGCACTTCTAGCATGAGTATTTAAGTGCATTATATACATTGGAGGACCTCAGTGAGGTGGTCACCAGATTCATGCCAGAGCTGCAAGGTCACTGAGGCACTATGTGCCCTCTCTTGCAGCAGGGACAGTGTGCCACTAAGATGTTTCCTCACATATGCTCAGTTGACAGAAATATATTTTGCACACATATATTTTGCTGTACAAGAATAAGAAGAAATAAAACAGCAGCAAATTGGACCAGAAAGAGAAGCACTCTTGCAATTTCCTTCCAGCATCTAGCACTGACAAAACTTAATATTATGCTCACTATATAGGAGAAATAATTATAAAGAGTCCAGTTCATTATAACAGAGCACATAGTAAAGAATAAATTTGTTTTTGAGAGGCAATAAATTGATAACTTGTGCAATGATGATATATTGTGGTTTGATTTTCTTTGTGTTTCTTCTCTTGGGTTTATTGTCTTTATTTAATCTGATCCAAGCACACTCTGCACACAGATCTTGGATCTATGGATTTATAATTTTTATCAAATTTGGAACAATTTCAACCATCATTTTTTTTTTTTTTTTTTTTTTTTGAGATGGAGTTTCACTCTTGTCGCCCAGGCTGGAGTGCAATGGCGCAATGTCAGCTCACTGCAACCTCTGCCTCCTGGGTTTGAGCAATTCTCCTGCCTCAGCCTCCTGAGTAGCTGGGATTACAGGTGCCTGCCACCACACCTGGCTAATTTTTGTATTTTCAGTAGAGACAGGGTTTCACCATGTTGGCCTGGCTGGTCTTGAACTCCTGACCTCAGGTGATCTACTGGCCTCGTCCTCCCAAAGTGCTGGGATTACAGGCGAGAGCCACCATGCCCGGCCTCAACCGTTACTTTCTCAAGTGCCTCACTTTGTTTTCTCTTCTTCTTCTGGGATTCCAATTACATAAATGTTTGTCTGGTTGGTACTATTCCACAGATCACTGATATTCTGCTCATTCTTCTTCAATATTAATACTTTTCCCCCATCTATATATTTGTATATTTTCTATTGCTATGTCTTTAAGTTTACTGATCTATTTTTTACTGCAGTGTCTAATCAGCTAATAAGTTGAGTTTTTATTTTACATATGCATTTTTCAAGTCTAAAAATTAAATTTGGTTAATTTTTATAACTTCTGTTTCTCTCCTCATTATGTTCATATTTTAAGACCTTGAGCATATACTTTTAAGGTCTTAAGTTTTTAATCTGCTAATCTTATCATCTCTTTTTTCCAAATCTGTTTCTACTGACTGAATATTCCTTTAGTTATACACATTTTTCTGTTTCTTTGTATGTCTAGAAAGTGTTAAATTAATGCTGGATATTGTGATGTTAAATTGTCAAGTGTCTGGATTTTCTTGTCTTTCTTTAAAGTGTGTTGAATTTTACTTTGGCAGTTGGTTAAATTACTTGTACATTAGCTTGGTTGTTTTGATCTTTATTTAAAAATTGGTTACAGTGGGCTAGAGCAGCCTTTACTCTGGGGCTTATTTAGACCTACTACTAAGACATGATCATTTTAGGTTCTACATTTATTTTGGTGTCTTTCCACTCTAGATAATTGGAGTGAAAATATCTTCCAGCCTCACCTGAGGCAGGAGGATCACTTGAGTCCAGGAGTTCTTGGCTATAGCATTATGCAAGTTGAGCTTCTGCACTAAGTTTGGCATCAATATGGTGAACTCCCAGGAGTGGGGGACCACCAAGTTGCACAAGGTGAGATGAACCAGCCCAGGTTGGAAATGGAGTAGGTCAAAACTCCCAAGTTGATCAGTAGTGGGATGGTGCCTGTGAATAGCTACTGCACTCCAGCCTGAGCAACATAGCAAGATCCCATCTCTAAAAACGAGAAAAAAAATAAAGAAGTAAATGGATAGGTTTAATAGCAATTGAACAAACAGAATATGAGGATGGAGAACTCGAAAACAGATCAGTGGAAAATAACCACATTGAAGTAAATAGAGAAGAAATAATGGAGAAAATAAAGTAGACGTGAGAAATGCTCAAAACATCCAATGCATATAAATGGAAATAGAATCTGTGATGGTGTATTAGCTATTATTGCTTCATAATATATCACTCCAAAATGTAATGGCCTAAGTTGACAACAATAATGTATTATCTCTTATGGTTTCTGTGGAAACTGCAAGAATTTAAAAGTAGCTTGATTGAGTTATGGTTCAGGCTATTTTATAGAGTTGCAGTTAGATGTTGACTGAGCCTGCAGTCATTTAACAGTCTGAATTCAGCTGGAGCTCAAAGATTCACCTCCAAGGTTCTTAAGTCACTTGGCTAGTGTATTAATCCATTTTTATACTGCTGATAAAGACATACCTGAGACTGGGCAATTTACAAAAGAAAGAGGTTTAATTGGATTTACAGTTCCATGTGGCTGTGGAAGCCTCCCAATCACGGCAGAAGGCAAGGAGGAGCAAGTCATGTCTTACATGGATGGTAGCAGGCAGAGAGAGGGAGCTTGTGCAGGGGAACTCTTCTTTTTAAAACCATCAGATCTGGAAACTTATTCACTATCATGAGAACAGCATGGGAAAGACTTGCCCCCATGATTCAATTACCTCCCACTGGGTCCCTCCCACAACACGTGGGAACTCAAGACGAGATTTGGGTGGGGACACAGTCAAACCATATCATTCTACCCCTGGCCCCTCCCAAATCTCACATCCTCATCCTCACATTTCAAAACCAATCATGCCTTCCCAACAGTCCCCTAAAGTCTTAACTCATTTCAGCATTAACTCAGAAGTCTACAGTCCAAAGTCTCATCTGAGAAAAGGCAAGTCCCTTCCACCAATGAGCCTGTAAAATCAAAAGCAGGTTAGTTACTTTCTAGGTACGGGGGTGGGGGTACAGGCATTGGCCATTCCAAATGTGAGAAATTGGGCAAAACAAAGGGGCTACGGGCCCCATGCAAGTCTGAAATCCAGCAGGGGAGTAAAATCTTAAAGTTCCAAAATGATCTCCTTTGACTCCATGTCTCACATTAGGGTCACACTGATGCAAGAGGTGGTCTTGGGCAGCTCGGCTCCTGTGGCTTTGCAGGGTACAGCTTTCCTCCTGGCTGCTTTCACTGGCTGGTGTTGAGTGTCTGTGGCTTTTCCAGGCACACAGTGCAAGCTGTTGGTGGATCTACCATTCTGGGGTCTGGAGGGCCATGGTCCTCTTCTCACAGCTCTACTAGGTGGTGCCCCAGTAGGGACTCTGTGTTGGGGCTCCAACCCCACCTTTCCCTTCTGCACTGCCCTAGCAGACATTCTCCATGAGGGCCCCTCCCCTGCAGCAAATTTCTGCCTGGGGATCCAGGCATTCCCATACAGCCTCTGAAATCTAGGCAGAGGTTCCCAAACCTCAGTTCTTGACTTCTGTGTGCTCGCAGGCTCAACACCATATGGAAGCTGCCAAGACTTGGGGCTTGCACTCTCTGAAGCCACAACCCAAGCTCTATGTTGTCCCCTTTCAGCCACGGCTGGGGTGGCTGAGATGCAAGGCACCAAGTCCTTAGGCTGCACACAGCATGGGGACCCTGGGCCTGGCCCACAAAACCACATTTTCCTCCTAGTCCTCTGGGCCTGTGATGGGAAGAGCTGCTGTGAAGACCTCTGACATGTCCTGGAGACATTTTCTCCACTGTCTTGGAGATTAACATTAGGCTCCTAGTTACTTATGCACATTTCTCCAGCTAGTTGAATTTCTCCTCAGAAAATAGGATTTTCTTTTCTATTGCATTTTCAGGCTGCAAATTTTCCAAACTTTTATGCTCTGCTTCCCTTATAAAATTGAATACCTTTAATAGCACCCAAGTCACCTCTTGAATGCTTTGCTGCTTAGAAATTTCTTCCACCAAATACCCTAAACCATCTCTCTCAAGTTCAAAGTACCACAAATCTCTAGCATAGGGGCCAAATGCTGCCAGTCTCTTTGCTAAAATGTAACAAGAGTCACCTTAGGGGAAAGGCTTGCCCCTATGATTCAATTACCTCCCACTGGGTCCCTCCCACAACACTTGGGAATTCAAGATGAGATTTGGGTGGGGACAAGCTCCCAAACCATATCAGCTAGCAAGTTAATGCTAGCTATTGGTCCCTGTCCATGTGGGCCTTGGGATGGGCTTCCTTATGTGTCCTCATGACATGGCAGCTAGCTTCCACCATAGAGAGTGATGCAAGAAATTAAGAAAAATTTGCAATGTTTTTTATAGTTTAGCCTAAGAAACCATACACAATCAAAATCCAGTGTTCTATTGGCCATGTGAGTCAGCTTTGATTCCATGTGGGAGGGTGCTAACCAACAGCATGAATAACAAAGAGCAGTGTAAGCTGACTATGACAGTCTGCTCTTTGATCCTCAATGATTCATGTCCTTCCATCATGCAAAATAAACTCACTCCCTCTTAAGTATCTCAAAAGACTCATCATATAACAGCATTAGCCTAAAGCCCAGAATCTAATCATCAACAGCATTACCCTGAAATCCAGATGCAGTTGAAGCTCCTTGGTTGTTGTTCCTCAAGTGTAGCCTCTTAGAGTAGTTTCCCTTGATCTGAACACCTGTAAACAAAAGAGGCAAGTTTTATACTCCCAAATATCCAAATTACAATGGTGAGGCAGGCATAAGATAACCACTATGGCCCCCCATTAAAAATAGAGGAAATGAGAGGCAGACAGGGCTCACTGGCACATAGAAATACTGAAATTGACCTGGGCACATGTTGTCAATTCATTATTAAGACTCAAACCTATTACTGCCTAGAAATGATTCTCTATGGCACTTTAGGCCCACACTCTGGATTCTTGGTTCAGTTCCACCTCTAAATCATCTTTCCTATTCCACAAATGATAATATACATTTACAGCTGAGTAGTTTATCTCAGCCTTCTTTATGACACTAGAAATTTGGGGTCTAAAGACCTCTTACCATTTTGTACTGTCTTGGTACATTTTAGTTCATGTACTGTTAACATTAGCACAACTTTTTAAAATTTTGTGGGTCTCCTATGGATCTTATTAGCATTTACTCCATTAGAGATAAGCCACACTCACAAATGTCTATACTGGAAGCCCTCCTGAACCTTAGGCTTCCTCTGGGGCTATTGAAATAAACATCTCCAAGATGCTTAGAAGCCTCAACATTTAACAAAGATCTGCAAAGAGCATCCTTCAAATTCTTATAGGACTTTTTATCTTACTAAACAGTTCCCTGAGACATTGCTTTAGGTTTCTTTATACTCTGAACAAAAGATTTTACAGTCATACCATCTGCTTCATCTTTAGATCATATTTTTCCTCAGAGTGCCCTAGATTGATATATGCCTAAAAGTCATTTCTTAATTTTAGCATTGTTTGCCATCTGTAAATCTTGGAATAAGAAACAATTTTAATTTCAAACCCATCATGTTCTGCAATTTTAAATTCTTCACAGTTCTTCCTTTAGCTTTTCTTTCTGCTCTTGTATTTTACTATGAACAGCAAGTAGAAGACAGGCGATACATTTAACACTTTGTCTTGATATCCTCTTAGCGAATTCTTCCAGTTCATTGAGCATATTTAAAATTTTCCATTCTACCCCAGTCGACAATACAAATAAGCTTCCCATCAGTCAACAATATGTCCTCTTTTTTTCAGCTTGCAGTAACATTTTCTTTACTTTTATTTAATTTCCCACTTTATATCCTCATTGAACACCATGCAGTTTCCATTAAATGTCTCTAATGACATTTAGGTCCCACTAATAACTTCCTCATAGTCTTTTCCGCTCTTCTCAGCAAACTATCACCATATTTTTAGGTTTTTGTGATGGTGGCACCTCATTTTCGATGATCAAAACCTGTATTTATCTACTGTTGTGCAAAAAAAAAAAAAAGTCATCCCAAAGCCGATTGGATTAAAACAACAAAAGTAATTTTTTATTTCAATTGGTTTCTGTGGGTTAGGGATTCATTTTCAACATGGTTGGTACACTCTGGCTCAGGGTCTTACCTGAGATTGCAGCCAGATGTAGGCTAGAGCTGCAGTCATCTGAAGGCTTGACCGGGGCAGTGGATTCAGTTATAAAGGCTCTCTTACAAAGCCGGTAAGTTGATGCTGGCTATTTTATCCTTTCTATATTGGCCTCTGCATGGGGCTGTTTGAGTGTCCTCTCTATCTGGTGGCTCACTTCTCTCACAGTGAGAAATCCTAGAGAAAATGGGACACTGCAACATCATTTATGATCTTCAGAAGTTAAACACCACCACTTCTGTAGAATCTATATTTACACAAGTCCACTCTAATTCAATGTGAAAGGAACTATACAAGGTTATGAGTACAAAGAGATGAGGATCAATGGGGACAATATTAGGGGATGGGAAATACAGATAAGGGTTTGTATACAGAAATGTATTTGAACTTGTCAGCAGGAACAATACCTGTGAGGGAAAGAAGAAACCAGCATTAGACAGAAGGAACAGTTTAACAGTGACCCCAGCTAAACCCCTGGAGAACTCCAGAGCTGCAAAACTTTTCAGATGTGTCCTGAATTAAGGACAAATTTTATATACCTACATCAAGCAGTCACTGAATGTGAATTCTCCCTGGAGAGTTGCCCCAACCTTGAGCAAGCCATTATATTAATCCAATGGTGATTCTTAGGAAGTGAACAAGCTCTGGACTATCAGAATGCAATATTCTTGGCAAGAGAAGGAGTAAGTACTCAATACTTGAGAGTCTTTGTGGTTTACCACAGCAACCTCTACACGATGAAAGTTAGAAGAAAACCGATGAAAATTTATTTTAGTTTGGAAACTAAAATAAAATGGTTACTAATTTCAAATTCCATATTCAGTAAAAAAATATATTTTACCAATGACAGGAAAATATGCATATTTTCAGACAAACAAAATTAAGGGATTTTTTTATATAAGGTCCTCACTAAAAGTAAATTAAATAAATATCTTCAGCCAGAAAGAAAACATTCCCAAATAGAAAGATAAAAATCCAGGAAGGGAATAAAGAACACCAGAAAGAGGAACTAAATTGGTAAATATAAATGATAATTAATTATACAAAACAATAGTCATATGTGATCTGAGGCTTAAATTATATGTAGAACAATTTCACAAAAGTGGGAGATAGGTAATAGTAAAGGTAACAATTTGTAATAGTTTATTATAAGTCAAGGCTATATATTATGCATCTAGGAGAACTGCATAAATAGTTAATGACATATGCTTACAAGATAATAGAAAGTGTAAATGAAATAATCATTTAAAAAGTTTTAGTTCTTAAAAAGGAAAGAAAAATAGAAAAAGAAGTATAAAACATATGACCCCAATAGAAAATGGATAGCAACAATGTATATATAAACTCAATAATGTTCATAATTACATTAATTGTAAATGATCTAAATACACCGAGTAAAGTCTTATGTTGGTCAGATTGGATTGAACAACAACAACTATATTGTGATCACAAGAGTCATGCTTTAAATATAAAGACACAGAAAAGTAGACAATAAGAGAACCAAAAAAATGCCATATGTGATGGTTAATTTTAGGTAATTTCCCATCAACCTTAATTACAAGGCATGGTAGTACTAAGAGATGCCCTAAGGGATCTTCTGTATTCCAGGCATACTTTCTTTACTTCTAGTGTGGAGTAATAGTCCAATTTCTCCTTGGTAGTCTGGATCAATTACTCCAGACTACCACAATTCATAATTCCATAATTCCTTTCTTAGCCAGCTGACTCAGAGGCATCAGGAGCCCAAAGTGGCTGGGTGACAGTCTTAACTTCCAGTTTAATGGAATCATTGTGTCTCCCTGTGGCAGACTTCCTCCCTCTGGAAATAGAATCTGTAGGCCAGCAGAGCATAAAGTTGTGAGAACAGGAAATATGCAAAGGTGGCATATTCATCCCCATTCAATTCTCCTATTTGGCTTGTGTAAAGACAGATGGATTCTGGAGAATGACTGTGAATTATCATAAGCTTAGACAAGCAGTGACTTCAATTGCAGTTGCCCTACCAGATGTGGTTCCATTGCTTAAGCCAATTAACACTTCTCTTGGTAACAATAGTGTGCAGCTATTGATCTTGTAAATGCCTTTTTATCCATACCTGTCCATAAGGCTCATCAGAAGCAGTTTGCTTTCATCTGGCAAGGCCAGCAATACACCTTCACTGTCATACTATGGGGGTATATCTACTCTCTAGTCTTACGTCATAATTTAGTTGGCAAGGATCTTGGTTGCATTTCCTTTCCGCAAGATATCACACTGGTCCATTACATTGATGACATTATGCTGATTGGACCTAGTAGTGAGCATGAACTAGCAACTACTCTGGACTTACTTGTAAGACATTTGTGTGTCAGACCATGGGAAATTAATTCTACTAAAATTCAGGTGCCTTTTACTTCAGTGACATTTCTAGGGTCCAGTGGTGTGGGGCATGTCAAAATATCCCTTCTAAGGTGAAGGTTAAGTTCTTTCATCTGGCCCCTCCTAAAACCAAGAAAGAAGCACAATCCTAGTGGGCTTATTTGGATTTTGGAAGCAACACATTTCTCATTTGGATGTGTTATCCTGGCCCATCTATTGAGTGACTAAAAAAGCTGCAAGTTTTGAGTGGAACTCCAGGAGAAGGCTCTGCAGTCTCCTGGAGCAGCAGGAGCTCCAAGCTGCTATGCAAGCTGCTCTGCCACTTGGGCCATATGATCCAGTATATCCAATGGTATTTGAGGTGTCAGTGGCAGACAGGGATGCTGTTTCGAGCCTTTGGCAGACCCCTATAGGTAAATCGTAGTGGAGACTTTTAGTCATTTTGGAGCAAGCCCCTGGCATCATCCTAGATAACTACTCTCCTGTTGAGAGACAGCTCTTGGCCTGCCACTGTGCTTTAGAAGAAACTGAATGCTTGAACATGAGTTATAAAGTCACTACATGACCAGAGCTACCTATCTGGGTGTTATCTGACCCACCAAACCATAAAGTTAGGTGTGCACAGCAGCACTCTATCACCAAATTGAAGTCGTATATATTTGATGGGGCCTGAGCAGGTTCTGAAGGCACAAGTATGTTACATGAAGAAGTAGCCCAAAGGATCATGGTTTCTATTCATACTACACAGCTTTTTCTCTCCCAGCCTACACCCATGGCCTCCTGGGAAGTACCCTATGATCAGTTGACAGAGGAGGAGAAGACCAGGGCCTAGTTTATAGATGGTTATGCATGATATGCAGGTACCACCTGAAAAGGGACAGCTGTAGCATTACATCCCCTCTCTGGGACATCTCTGAAGAAAAGTGGTGAAGAAAATTCTTCTCAATGGGCAGAAACTTCACCTGATTGTACACTTTGTTTGAAAGTAGAAATGGCCATATGTGCAATTATATATTGACACACAGGCTGTAGCTAATGATTTTGCCAGATGGTCAGGGACTTGAAAGGAAGGGGATTGGAAAATTGGTGAAAAGTAATTTGGGGAAAACATATAGGGCTAGATCTGAGTGGGCAAAAGATGTGGAGATATTTGTGTCCTACGTGAATGCTCACCTTCTCAGCAGAGGACTTTAATCATCAGGTGAATAGGATGATCCATTCTGTGCATACTAGTCAATCTCTTTCCTCAGTCACTCCTGTTATAACACAGTGGGCCCATGAACAAAGTGGCCATGGTGGCAGGGATGGAGGTTATGCATGTGTATTAGTCTGTTCTCATGCTGCTAATAGAGACATACCAGAGACCGGGTAATTTATAAAGAAAAGAGGTTTAGTGGACTCATGGTTCTACATGGCTGGGGAGGCCTCATAATCATGGCAGAAGGCAAAGGAGAAGCAAAGGCACATCTGTCCTACGTGGCAGCAGGCAAGAGGGAGCATGTGCAGGAGAATTCCCCTTTATAAAACCATCAGATCTTGTTAGACTTATTCACTATCATGAGAACAGCATGGGGAAAACCCATCCCCATGATTCAATTACCTCCCACTGGGTCCCTCCCATGACATGTGAGGATTATTACAATTCAAGGTGAGATTTGGGTGGGGACAGAGAGCTAAACCATATCAGCATGGGTTCAACAAAGTGGACTTCCACTCACTAAGGCCAACTTGGCTATTGCCACCTCTGAGAGCTCAGTCTAACAGCAGAGACCAATACTGAGTCTTCAATATAGCATCATTTCCTGGGGTAATCAGTCAGCTCCCTGGTAGCAGGTTGATTACATTGAACTGCTTCCACCATGGAAGGGGCAGCATTGTGTGCTTGCTGGAATAGACAGTTACTCTGGATATGGATTTGCCTTGCCTGCACACAATGCTTCTGCTGAAACTACCATCTGTGAATGCCTTATCTATTGTTATGGTATTCCACAGAAAGAGCACTGCTTCTGATCAAGGAACTCACTTCATAGACAAAGAAATGCAGAAATGGGCTCATACTCATAGAACTCACTGTTCTCACCATGTTCCCCATCATCCTGAAGCAGCTGGCTTCACCCAGAACAGTAGGATGGCCTTTTGATGTCACAGTTACAGTACCAGCTAGGTTATAATAGTTGGCAGGGCTCAGGCAAGGTTCTCCAGAAGGGTGTGTATGCCCCAAGTAGCATTCACTATAGGGTACAGTTTCTCCACAGCCAGGATTCATGGGCCCAAGAATCAAGGGGTGAAAATGGGAATGGCACCACTTACCAATGCCCCCAGTGACCTAGTGGAAAAATATTTGCTCCCTGTTCCCATGACCTTATGCTCTGCTGGCCTACAGGTCTTAGTTCCAGAGAGAGGAATGCTGACACCAGGAGACACAACACTGACTTCAGTGAACTGGAAGTTTAGACTACCACCAAGCAACCTTGACCTCCTCATGACTGAGTCAACAGGCTAAAGGAGTTACAATGTTGACTAGAGGAATGATCCAGACTACCATGGGTAAATTGGTAGTCCTTACCTCTAGGAAGGTAAGGAAGGGTGGGATATAGGAGATCCTTTAGGGCATCTCTTATTATTATCATGCCCTGTGATTAAGGTCAATGGGAAATTACAGCAACCCAATACAGGCAGGACTATAAATGGTCCAGACCCTTCAGGAACAAAGGTTTGTGTCACCTCACCATGTAAATATCCACAAACAGCTGAGATACTTGCTGAAGGCAAAGAGAATACAGAATGGGTAGTAAAAGAAGGTAGTTATCGAAACCAGCTATGACCATGTGACCAGTTACAGGAACAAGGACTATAACTGTCATGAGTATTTTCTCCTTATTTTGTTAAGAATATCTTTGTGTATATTATGCATATATTAAGCAAATATGTTTTCACTCCTTTCTTATTCCTTTTTCATGTAACGTAAGATATATTAACTTTACATAAGTCTTTAAGTATTGTTAATTTTACATCATAGTATTTAAGTTACATCAGGAGAAAAGTAAACATCATCCAAGGACTTTACCTCCTCTCTGGGCAGGGATTAGTGCATTTATGGTTGTATATAGGATAATTTTATCATGTTAGGTGGAATTATTCCTTTTTATTATCTTTATTTGCAGGTTAAGTATAGTTCAAGGGTATGCATAAGGCTATCAAGTTAACAAAGGCTGGACTTGTCATGGTTCATTTTAGATGTCAACTTGACTGTATTAAGGAATACCTAGAGAACTGGTAAATCATCACTTCTGGGTGTGTCTGTGAGGGTGTTTCCAGAGGAGACTGCTGTGTGACTCAGTGGACTGAGTAGGGAAGATCTGCCCTCAAAGTGGCTGTGTGTATATGCACCATCCAATCAGCTGGCGGCCTAGATAGAACAAAAAAGGAAAGGACAGAATTTCCTCGATGTTTCTCCTGGAGCTGGGACACTCTCTTCCTCCTGCCCTTGGATATCAGAACTGCAGGCTCTCTGGCCTGAGGACTCCAAAACTTACATCAGCTGCTTGCTAGGTTCTCAGGCCTTTTGCCTTGGACTGAAAATTACACCATAAGCGTCCCTGGTTCTGAGGCTTCTGGACTTGGCTAGAGCCATGTTTCTGGCATCCCAGGGTCTCCAGCTTACAGACAGCCTGTCATGGAACTTCTCAGCTTCCATAATCATGTGAGCCAATTCCCCTAATAAATCCCCTTTCATATGTTTCTATGTATGTTCTATGGCACACAATGCTTCTGCCAAAACTATCATCCATGGACTTACTGAATGCCTTATCCACTGTTATAATATTCCACATCCCATTGCTTCTGATCAAGGAACTCACTTCACAGACAAAGAAGTACAAAAATGGGCTTATGCTCATGGACTTCACTGTTCTCACCATGTCTCCTATCATCCGGAAGGAGCTGGTTTCATAGAATGGTGGGATATCTCTCTAGAGAACCTTGACTAATACACCGTATAAACACAAAAGAAAAGGAAGATGGTGTGCCTATATAGACAGTTCTTGAAGATGATGGTTGAACTTATTATTTTTTTTTTACTTTACAATGGTGCAAAAGTTATATACATTCAGTAGAAACTGTATTTTGAATTTTGATGTTTTCCTGGGCTAGTGATAGGCAGTATGAAACCCTTGCGATGCTGGGCAGCAGCAGTGAGCTGCAGCTCCCAGTCAGCTATATGGTCACGAGAGTAGATAACCATACCCTACAGTGTACTGTGCTGCCAGATGATTTTGCCCAACTGCAGGCTAATGTAAGTGTTCTGAACATGTTTAAGGCAGGCCTGGCTAAGCCATGAAGTTCAGTAGGTTGGATGCATTAAATGCATTTTTGATTATCAAATCAAAATATCAATTTTCAAGTTAGAATGGGTTTCTCAGGATGTAACCTCATCCTATGTTGATGAACATCACCAAAATCAGACAGTCAATTTAATGCAAAAATAATTACTATGAAGATGGAAATTTCATAAACATAAAAGGGCCATTTTAGCAGGAGGCAAACACATCCCAAATCTGTATAAACTCCATAACAGAGGTTCAAATATTACTATGGTTGAAATGTTTATGTCCCCCCTAAAATTTATTTGTGGAAACCTAATCACAAATGTGATAGTCAGGGGTAGGGTCTTACGGAGGTGATTAGTTCATAAAAGCATTGCTCTCATGAATGAGATTAGTGCCCTTATAAAAGAGGCCCAGAGAGCCCCTTTGCCACTTCCATCACATGAGAACAGAGTGAAAAGGTGTTATTTATGAGGAAGTGGGCCCTTACCAGACACCAAATCTGTGAATGCCTTGATCTTAAACTTCCCATACTCCAGAACTATGAGAAACAAATTTGTTGTTAATAAGCTACCCACTTTATCGTATTTTGTTATGGCAGCCCAAACTAAGATAAATGTTAAAGCAAAAATTGGCTGAATTAAAGGAAGCTCATAAAATAGTCTAGAAAAAAATCTAGAAACATAAAACAACACAATTGAGCAATTTGGCTTTACAAAATACTGCATCAAACAATGAACCTTCTTCTCAAGTGCAAATGGATCTTTTGCCAAAATCATAATAAAAGGCTTAGCAAATTTGAAAAAATCAGAATCATTCACAGTGTGCTATCTTTCAAAAATAGAATCAAGGCAGAAAAAATAACAAAAAGTAACTAGAATGATGCCAACTGTTTGATAATTAAACAATAAACTTTCAAATAAACCATCGATAAATAAATCAAAATGGAAATTAGAAAAATTTTGACTAAATCATAATAAAGATACAACATATAAAAAATTATGGGACTCAGCTAAAGCTGTGCATAAGCAGAAATATATTGCTTTAAATGCATGTATTAGGAAAGAAGAAAGAAATTAATCATTTAACTTTCAATCTCAAGAAGCTAAAAAAAGAGAAATTAAATTTAAGGGCAGTAGAGAAAAAAATAAAGTTAAAGCAGAAATCAGTGAAAGGCAAAACAAACATATAATTAATAATATCAGCAATAGCGACAGTTGAATATTTGTAAAGATTAATAAAATGTATAAACCCAGAACAAGACTGCTTAAGAAAAAGGAGAGATGGCACAAACTACCATTATCAGGAATAAAAAAGGGATATTAATGCAGATCCAACAGAGAAAAGAAGGATAATAATATTTTAATTTAGTACCAATTAATTTGACAATTTGGGTGACACAAACAAATTCCCAGAAAAATACAACTTACCAAAACTGTGAGCAGTAGAAAATCTGAATAGCTCAATATCTATTAAAAATATTTAATCCACTATTTAACAATCTCCCCTAAGGAAAACTCTAGAGTCACATGACTTTACTGGTAAATTCTTGTGAAAATTTAAAGAAGTAATAACACAAATCTTGTGAAAACTCTTCCATAAAACAGACAGAGACAACTGTTTCTCTCATGTATCTTTTATGAGACTAGTACAACCACAATTCCAAAACCTGACAAGTATATTCTAAGAAAGAGAATTACAGGCAAATCTCACATAAACATAGTGTAAAAATCTTTATCAAACTATTAAACTACTGAATCTAGATATTTTATATGTGTGTGTGTGTGTGTGTGTGTGTATATTATATACATTGAACTTCCCTTTGGAACACAATATTGGTTTGACATTTAAAAATTAACACAATCACAGGCCGGGCACTGTGGCTCATGCCTGTAATCCCAGAACTTTGGGAGGCCGAGGCAGGCGGATCACGAGGTCAGGAGATTGAGACCATCCTGGCTAACACGGTGAAACCCTGTCTCTACTAAAAATACAACAAATTAGCCGGGCGTCGTGGCGGGCACCTGTAGTCCCAGCTACTGGGGAGGCTGAGGCAGGAGAATGGCCGGAACCTGGAAGGCGGAGCTTGAAGTGAGCCAAGAAGGCGCCACTGCACTCCAGCCTGGGCGACAGAGTGAGACTCTGTCTCAAAACGAAATAAAAATAAAATAAAATAATTAATACAATCACTTTAAAATAAAAAGGAGAAAAGTTATATGAATATCTTGATAGATGCAGAGAAATTATTTGACAAAATTTGCCCCTCCCTGTGCTTATATTTTGAAGAACTCTTGGCACACCAGGAATAAGAGGTACAACAAATAAAGAACATTATAAAAACCCAATAGCAAACATCATATACATGGTGAAATACTGAAAATGTTACTTCTAAGACTGTGAATGAGTCAAGGATGCCAGCTATTACTACTTACATTCAACATTTTTTTTTTTTGAGACAGAGTCTCTCTCTATCGCCCACGCTGCAGTGCAGTGGCGCCATGTCTGCTCACTGCAAGCTCCGCCTCCCGGGTTCATGCCATTCTCCTGCCTCAGCCTCCCCAGTAGCTAGTACTACAGGCACCCGCCACCGTGCCTGGCTAATTTTTTGTATTTTTAGTAGAGACGGGGTTTCACTGTGTTAGCCAGGATGGTCTCGATCTGCTGACCTCGTGATCTGTCCGCCTCGGCCTCCCAAAGTGCTGGGATTACAGGCGTGAGCCACCACGCCTGGCCTACATTCAACATTTTACTGGAGGTCCCAGCCATTGCAATATATTTTTTTAAAAAAATTAGGATTTGAAAGGAAGTAATAAAGCTGTCATTATTTGTAGATATAATTAGTATATGCTAAGAAAATTCAAAAGAATAAACTATTTGGTCTAATAATTGAATCTACAATGTTGCTTAATACAATTTTATTATTTAAAAATCACTTATATTTCTACATACCATCCACAAACAAATAGAAAATTATATTTTAAAACATGCTATTTATAATATCATCAAAATATAAACTACATAGGAACAATTCTAGCAAAAGATTTGCAATACCCCAACATTGAAAACTATAAAAATCCTTGAGGAAAAACTAAATAAACTTAGATATAAACTTTTAATATTTAGAAACTGAATACTGTAAAGCCATCAATTCTTCCCAAATCAATCTATAAACTCAACACTATCCCAGTCCAAACCCTACCAGGATTTTCTTTTCTTTTCTTTTTTGGCAGAAGTTGACAGACTGATTCTAAAATTTATATGGAAATTCAAAGGGCTAAGAGTATTCAAGGTAACTGAAGAGGAAGAGCAAAGCTGGATGATTTATTCTACCTGAGAACAAAACCCATCATAAAGCTAGCATTGAAGACCTCACAGTATTGGCACAAGGATTGATAAACTAACCAATGCCCTATATTAGAGAATGCGCACATGCATGGCCACCTAAGTCAAGATGAAGGCCACAATACAGTGGGTGAAAGAATCCTATTTTCCATAATCATTGATGGATTAATGAGATATATGAGAAAAATATATCCAGACCCCTTTCTATACCATTGCTCAAAATTCCATATGGATTGCAGATCTAAATATGAAAAATAAAACAATAAAGCTTTTAGAGGAGAACATAGGAAGACAACTTCATGACCTTGGAGTAGGTAAAGGTTTCTTAAACCTTTACCTAAAAGACATAAAAGGCACTAACCCTAAAGGGAGGATTCCCATACGTATATCTGACAAAGGACTCATATATAGAATACATAGAAAATGTTAATCAATAGAAATAATATAGGTGACAAGAGAAAAAATAAAGGATCTGAACAGACACTACAAGAGGATATGCAAACATCAAAAACACATGTGAAAAGTGACTTCCACTTCATTAGCCATCAAGAGCACGTAAATTAAACCACAGTGAGATACTACTGCTCACCTATAAAAATGCTAAATTAAAGTCAGAAAGTTTCAAGAGTTGGAGAGATTATGCAGCATTTGGAATTCTTATACATTGCTGGTAGGTTTGAAAATTGATATAACATTTTTGAATACTATTAGGCATTATCTGCCAAAATTAAACATATGCATATTTTATGAACTAGCAATTTCACTCCTGGGTATATACACCACAGAGATATGTACATATGCTCACCAAAAGACATATATTTGTGTGGAAATAAATGAAGATCATGCAAATAAGAAGAAGCAAAGGCTATTTACCCAGAGCTTGCTCTAGCAAGGGAGTCAGCCACCCTCATTTGTGTTTAGCTGAGACTCAAAGGCAGGCAGAGGACCAGGAAAGCTTCATAATGGAAAAAAGAGGATTCGACTATGCCCTGACTAGAGGTTGCTCAAATGGAGAAGCTGGAGGTGGGCTAAGTAGAAGTGAGGCATACTATTTGATCGTTTAGATGAGCATACTTGGCTTTCTCTGGTTGGTCCTAAGTTATAAATAGGGCAAAAAATTAGGGAAACTGATAGTTAAGGTCAACTTGTGGCCACTTTGGGGCCAATTACTACACAGGCTGTGATTTAGCATCCTGGAATGAGGGCTACCAATGTAGGTCAGGGTTCTGTTTTTATATAAGGTCTGGCAGTTATCTGTTTATATATTCAAAGACTCAATGGAATTTTCCTATAAATTTTTCACAATAATCCTAAACTGGAAACTACCCAAATTGTCATCATTAGCATCATGTATAAATAAATGGGACACATTCACACAATGAAATACTATACAGCAATGAGAATGAACAAACTACAACTACATACAACAATATGGATGAATCTCATAAACATAATGTTGAACAAAAGTCAGACACAAAGAGTACATACAATAGGATTCCATTTATTCAAAACACACAAAGGCAAGCCTAATCTACCCTAATTTACGCTATTAGAAGTCAGGATGATGGTACTTTTGAGGGGAAGGGTAAATACTTGATAGCAATACACAGGAGTGTTCTGGGAAACAGAAACTCGCTCTGTTTTTTGATCTGGATGCTGGTTACATGAGTGTGTCCAGTTGTAAAAGTTCACTGGGACTTATGAAAACTTTGTGTATGTATGTTAGTTTCCAATACAAATTTTAAAAGAATCTAACAACTCATTGGTAAAAATTACTCCAATTAACATTCAGGTATCTGCATTTGGGTATAATGTTAAAAATGATTCATATTATACTGTTGAGTTAGGAGTTTCACTAGGTTTTAATGTACACCATGTGTTTTCTTTATATACAGGAGAAAAGTCTATGTATATTTTATTTTCAAGTTCAGTTTCTCTTTCCTATAGTTACAAGGGCTCTCTTTTCACTCTCTGCTACTAAAAAAAATGTAATTCTCACCTAAAATAGTAGAATAAAAATGCCTATGTATTTTGGTCCCAGAAAATGGACCCTATTTTGACAGAGCATCAGTTCCATAATTTATTCTTCAAGTAATTATATAATTCAAACTAATTATTTAGCAATCTTCATATTTTAACTGTATCTTTTTTTCTGTATCTTTTATTCCATACCAACATGCTTTCTAGCTCTCCCACAACCACTTTGCTTAGGGGAGGTGTGCCAAAGATTTCTCTTCACATTATAAACTATCAAGAAAGGAAAGGGCTTTAAAATTCGTAAATGATAAGCACCGAAAACCTTCTGAACATCAGTCATTTATTGCATGTTCAACAATTAGTTTTTGAGGGTCCCCAAGATGCCAGGCAAGGATCTAGGCACTAAAGATACAACAGAGTAATGGCCAAGCACATAGGTTCTTAATTTAGGTAGGCAGCGTTCAAATCCTAGCTATATAACTCACTATCTTTTTAAAAATTACCTAATTGCTTTACTTCTCTATGACTCAGTTTACTCATTTATGAAAGAGGGATACAAGTAACACCTTTCTCCTAGCTTTATTAGGAAAGTTAAATGGCATATCATGTGAAAACCATTTAGAATCATCCTTTGCACACAATAAGGACTTAATACCTGTCAGTTGTTATTACAAGAGGAGATGACATTTGTTATGGTTTGGATATAGTTTGGCCCCAGCAAATGTTAAAATCTGATCCCTAGTGTCGGCGGTGGGGCCTACTGGGAGGTGTCTGGGTCATGGGGCAGATCTCTCATACCGACTTGGTGCCCTCCTTCAGAAAATGAGTGAGTTCTTACTCTATGAGTCTGGCACCTTCTCTGCCCCTCCAACCCGCCCATCATGTGATCTCTGCACACGTTGGTTCCTGTTCACTTCTGCCATGAGTGGAAGTAGCCCAAGTCCCTCCACAGAAGCAGATGTGCTCCTTGTACAGCCTGCAGAACCGTGAGCTAAATAAAACTCTTTTCTTTGTAAATTACCCAGCCTCAGGTATTCCTTTATAGCAACACAAATGGACTAACACAACACCTAACAATTTTGACCAATCACCTATTGACAAACTTCTCCACCATCACCATGACTGCCTTCCATGCCCTCTTCTCCAGCCATGCAATCCATCTAGCAAGGAAATGACAAATGAGAATTTTTTTTTGAAACAGTCTCACTCTGTCACCCAGGCTGGAGTGCAGTGGCACGATCTTGGCTCACCGCAACCTCCACCTCCCAGGCTCAAGTGATTCTCATGCCTCAGCCTCCTGAGTAGCTGGGACTACAGCTGTGTACCACCACGCCCCAGCTAATTTTTGTATGTTTAGTAGAGATGGAGATTCACCATGTTGGCCAGGCTGGTCTCGAATTCCTGGCCCCAAGTGATCCACCTGTCTCGGACTCCCAAAGTGCTGGGATTACAGGCGTGAGCCACGGTGTCCAGCCAGAAATGACAAATGCATTAACTGGACTAACAACTAGGATTGTGGTACTGGAAAGTCCTTAGTTCATTCCAGCTCCTGCTTTTTACAAACGAAGACATGAAGCCCAGAGATGTTGGCCAGCTTGAATAAAAACTCACACAACTAATTAGGGTATTAGATCTTGGGTCTGCACATTCTTAGTTCAGGCACTGGGCTGGAGAAACCTGCAAAGTAGAAAATTAGCCCATCCTCTCATTTGGTTCATGTTTGACCCCACCAAGGGAACAAGTAACACTGCTCTTCCTAGGTGGGGGGTTTAACCTTGCTGTAAGTTTTCTATTTTTAGCCCCTATAGAAGGCCTACTCCCTGCAGATTCACACTGGCTAACAGACTGCTGTGGGATCTAAGGCACTCTCCATGGTGTTGCTTTGTGCTTGCCATGACAACGAAATTTAATAGAAATAGAGTTTTCTAGTTGAGTATTCTGGTGAAGACTTTAAAGCCAGATTACAGCTCTGACTCTGAAGCTTAAATGATGCAAGTGATTTGTACTGGCACATAGTAGGCATACCATAATACCTGCTGAAAGTCAGAATGAATATATATATGCAATTAGTTGCATGAGGGAGCTGGAAAACCTAACAGCTGAGAACTGAGCTGTTACTTAAAGTCAATACTTAAGTCAGTGTGGAGCAAGTTTATCATATCCTCCTTGGGAAGTGGTGTAGCTCTGGATTTTCATAATTACCTGACACTCTGTGTGAGAAATCATTTGCCTGATTCCAAAGGACTGTGTCTGATCTTTAGGCCACTTATTAGCTCTGCAACCCAGGGGGTTCCTTCTGCACACAGATGTTTGCTGCAGACATGGAAAAAGTAGCAGGAATCTGCTCTGGGTTCCCCTTGCAGGCCCTTTATCTGGGGCAATTATTCAAATCTTAGAGGGTCTGTGTTCAGTCCCCATAAGGCTGCTTTTCAGCAAATGTAATCAACATATTTAATAAATGGATCAAAAAAATTTAAACAGCCTCTCTGGTTCAAACCTTTCAAACCTGTATTTGAAAGGCAGCCGTTCTGGCCACAAGGGGTGAATGTTATTTGATAAATGGAGAGGAAAGGGAGCTAAAAAATCTCCATTCAATTCCTAGGTCTTTCAGCAGAGATTCTCTAACTATCCCAGCCTGAAGGGCTCTTTGCTGTCTCAAGGAAATCTATATTCTATATTAATCATTTGACCTTCCTCCCCTTCTTCTTCACTTCCTTTCTGCCTCTTTCTCTGTCTCTTTTCCTACCTATTCTTCCATTCTGCCCACCTCTTTTCCTCTCCACCACCCTTCCTTTCACAGTCATGATGGAAAAAGCCCAGGCTTTTGGAGTCAGAATTAGCTTCAAATTCTTACTACCTCTCATGCTTTTTAGTGGCATGACCTTCAGCTGTATTCATCGCATCTCCAGCAGCATCCTCTCTTGTGCATAAACGGCTGCCAATGTCTGCCTCGTTGGTTACTGTAACAAAGGACTGTTTCTCAAACTTCAGTGGTCATGAGAGTCACCTGGGGAGATAGGTGAAAATGCAGATCTTCAAGATCCACACCTACAGATTTCAATTTATTAGGTCAAGGTTCCAGACATCTGCATTTTGACCAGCTCCACAGGCTCCACAGGTCCCACTTTGAGAAACACTGGATATGTGCCTAAACATTTAATATAGTAAGATCCATTGTAATTACTCTAAAGGTGAGAGCTATGATCATTAACAATTCAGCAAACATTTATTGAACATCTACTATGTGCCAGGCATGATGTCAGGCCCTATAGACACTTCCCATTTAATTCATTTTAACATATATTTAACTTCTCTATATATATATATGTCCCATATATATATATCTCATATATATGTCCCATATATATATATCTCATATATATGTCCCATATATATATATCTCATATATATGTCCCATATATATATATATCTCATATATATGTCCCATATATATATATCTCATATATATGTCCCATATATATATATCTCATATATATGTCCCATATATATATATCTCATATATATGTCCCATATATATATATCTCATATATATGTCCCATATATATATATCTCATATATATGTCCCATATATATATATCTCATATATATGTCCCATATATATATATCTCATATATATGTCCCATATATATATATCTCATATATATGTCCCATATATATATATCTCATATATATGTCCCATATATATATATATCTCATATATATGTCCCATATATATATCTCATATATATGTCCCATATATATCATATATATCCCATATATATCCCATATAGTATATATATCATATATATCATACATATATGATATATATGATATATATGATATATATCATATATATCATATATATCATACGTATCATATATATCATATATATCATACGTATCATATATATATCATATATATCATACGTATCATATATATATCATATATATGATACGTATCATATATATATCATATATATGATACGTATCATATATACATCATATACATCATATATATCATATATACATCATATATATCATATATACATCATATATATCATATATATCATATACATCATATATATCTCATATATACCATATATATCTCATATATACCATATATATGCTCATATACCATATATACCATATATACCATATATATCATATATATACCATATATATGCATATATATACCATATATATCATATATATCATATATATACCATATATATCATATATATCATATACACCATATATATCATATATACCATATACATCATATATATCATATATACCATATACATCATATACATCACATATACCATATACATCATATACATCACATATACCATATACATCATATACATCACATGATATATATATCATATATATCACATATGTGATATATATCATGTGATATATATCATATATATCACATATGTGATATATATCATGTGATATATATCATATATATCACATATGATATATATCATATGTGATATATATCATATATATCATATATATCACATATATATCATATATATCATATATATCACATATATTATATATCATCTATATGATATATCACATATATATCATATATATCATATATATCATATATATCATATATATATCATATATATGATATATCACATATATATCATATATATCATATATATCATATATATATCATATATCATATACATGATATATATATGATATATATATCATATATATATCATATATATCACGTATATGATATATATATCATATATATCATGTATATGATATATATATCATATATCTCATATATATATCATATATATGATATATATCTCATATCTATCATATATATGATATATATCTCATATATCTATCATATATATGATATATATCTCATATATCTATCATATATATATGCCTTGTTCTCATTCCACTAGTTGTAAGTGCCTGGAGGGCAGAGTAAAACAGCATAATGTGGCATAGAAAAACATCAGTGTTTGAAGACATGAACTCTAACCCTGATTTTATTCTTTATTACCTATATGACTTTAGGCAAGTCACTTTACTTCCTAGAACTTTATTTTCTTCATCAAAAACTGGAAAGCCAATGAGTACAGTGGTTAAAAGCCCAGGGTTTGCCATCCTGGCTGTAATGTGTTCTAGGTTTGTGATCTTGAGAAAGTTACTTAACTTCTTTGGGCCTGTTTCCTCCTATGTAGAAAGGGGATTTATTTCTTCAGCATTCATTCTTTTAACAAATATTTTTTGAGCACTTTGATCAGCACTGTGCTAAGTCCTGGGAATATACTGGAGAGTAAGACAGACAAGGACCCTGACTCACATAGCTTACAACTTAACAGTGGACATAAATATTAAACAGACAACTACATCCATAACCCAGCACATAGAATTATTGTGACAAATCCTGTCATAATAAATTTTCCTAGTACGCACTAACCTTGTCCAGGAGTGTCAGGGAAGACCTCCTCAGAGAGGGCATACTTGGGATGAGCTCTGAGGGATGAGTAGGCATTACCAGATAAAGAGGCCCTAGAGACGGGAAAAAGCAGGGCTCTTAAGTAAAGGGATGCCAAGGTGGCTAGAACTGAGTGTACAAGGTCCTCCCTACCTCACAGGTGTTCAAAGATTAAATGAGGTAATTGGTGGTATACACAAGTGACACTTTGAGAACCACTTAAGGTCCTAAATGCCTGTTGACCAAGTTGAATTTCCCACAATACTCAGCTTTAGGCCCTGCACAGAATAACCTCTCCATAATTATTTGATAATATTTTATATTTTTAGGGTGAGAAAAGGACTTTGAAAATCTCCATCCTCTCATTTAACAGGGGAGGAACTTAGGACCAAAAAAGAAGTAGCAGCTGTCTAAGAAATGGGAGGAGCTGGCTGGGCGCGGTAGCTCACGCCTGTGATCCCAGCACTTTGGGAGGCCGAGGCCGGTAGATCACCTGAGGTCAGGAGTTCAAGACCAGCCTGGCCAACACGGCAAAACCCCGTCTCTACTGAAAATACAAAAATTGGCCGGGTGGTGGCAGGGACCTGTAATCCCAGCTACTAGGGAGGCTGAGGCAGGAGAATCGCTTGAACCCAAGAGGCAGAGGTTGCAGTGAGCTGATATCGCGCCACTACAGCCTGGGAGACAGAGTGAGACTCCGTCTCAAAAAAAAAAAAAAAAAAAAAAAAGGGGCGGGGGGGAAGGGAGGACCAGAGCATGCTTTTGTTATGTTTTGCCATGAAGGCAGTGGGTGTAAGAGGTTAACCTGCAGGCACCTCACAAGATGACGGAGATAACTTGGCACTCCAATGAGTGTATCTTTCAGACTTTAAGATTTTGTACTAAATAAATTGATTCTTGGAATAGTCTTGAGAGCGAGTCAAAAAGTAACTTCAATGAGATATAATATTTTCAAAGCAAACACACCCCAGCACAATAGCCTATCTCCATTTACGTAGAAGTTAGTACATATTAATTCCTCTTCTCCTTCCTGCTTTTTAAATGTGTGTAGGCCCCTTTTTTATGGAATTAATAATAATTATAAATGAAGTAGCAACAACGATAACAGCTGACTTTATCAGTGTGTGTCCCTGTCAGGCAGGGTTTTTACCTCCATCATCATAGCACATTCGATCCACCGCTATATTAAGAGGTAGGTCTTGATTATCTTCATTTCATAGATGAGGAATTGAAGGAACAGAAAAGTCTAGTTACTTGACCCAGGCCCTAGAACCAGGATTTGAATCAAGTCTGATGCCAGAGCTTGGGATCTTCATTGCATTTGATGTGATAATTCATTTGTGAAAAAACAAAGCAATTCATTTGTTTTCATTTGTCAAAAACAAAACAAAATTTCAACTAAGATAACTGTTGAGCTCTTTACCGTTAAAATAAAATCGGGTGTTGAAATGAGTAACAGCAAGCCTTGAGAAAAGACACCCTGAGAAGTCAAGAGGATGCATTAACTGTCTACAGATGAACAGAATCTCTTCTCTTCTTTGAACAAGAAAACCCAGCAGTAACTTTTATCTAGGTTTCACATTTCAGGAGTTACAGTAGGGGTAAACCAAAACAGGTTAAAAAAAAAAAAAAAAAAAAAAAAAAGCAAAAGCCCAGCAAGCTGAGACATCAGAGTCCTTCAGAAGGAATGATTTGCCGTCTTCTCTTCAGGACATCCCCTCTTTAGGAGGACAAATTTTTTCTCCAGGGAAAGGGGCGTCCGCCTCAGAAATGGGGGTGTAGGTGAGGGATCTTGTTGCTTTAACTGTTTGTTCATTAATCCCTGCACTTTACTAGATTTAGTTCTGCCTGTTAACGTAGCCTCAGGACACTTGGCTAGGAAGGCTGGAGTGTACTCTCTGGGTTAGTTATTTTGGGACATTCTCGCCCTGCTGCTTGGGATGAAGAGGTCCTAATTAAATACCCGGACCTTCCAACGGGTAGATTTTCAAAGAAGATGCCCAGCTATGCTGCATCCTCATCCACACTCTCCCGCTCCCCCCAAACTAGTGCAAAAAAGCTTGCCAGGGCCTGCAGAAAGCGCCGCGACTGCGAGGCTGACACGCGTCTTTCCTTCCCTCCCCCGGGGAATGATCCCAGCATCTCTCGCAGTGATGTCAGTGTAATCCTGAGTCGGATCGGGCTCCCGGCTGGGTGGCGGGGGGGCAGATGATGCTCCCGCCAGCTGGGCAGAGCAAGGGTGTTCCCCGCGGAGGTGGCAGCCCTGGGCCGCGGCGTTCCGGAACCCCCGCACCCACGGCGCGGTGCCCCACGGTGCCCGCGAGCGCCGCCCCCGCTGGCTAGCCGCGCCTCGCTCCGCCCTGGACGCCGCCGGTCCCGGCGCGGAGGTGCGGCGGGGAGTGGGAGCCGGCCCGGCTCAGTCTGATTTACGGCTCTGCTGAAAACCGCTTCGCTCCCGCAGCATCAGCACCGGAGGCGGCGGCTGCAGCAGCAGCAGCAACAAGTCGGGTAAGAGGCGGCCGCCGGCCATCTGCGCCCGCGGCTCGGCGGAGGGGACCTGCCGGGGTGGCCGGGGCTGGGGAGGGGGTCCCCGAGCCCGCAGCATGGCGGGGAGTTGGGAGAGCCGGCTTCCCGGCCCCCACCAGCAGGAACTCATGTGCACACGAATCCACTCTGGCACCCGTGGGCTGGCACGCAGCGGAGAGGGGGCGGGGAGAGCTGGGACCCCGGGGCAGGGTCATTGCCAGCCTGCCCTTCTCTGGCAGAGTCACTTAGGGCTCTTCATCAGCCCAGTGGACTGGGTTTCCTCTGGGCCCATAAAAGCCTGCGTGCTCTGGAGTGTGTGATTACCCATTTCCCCATCCAAAATGCCACCCTTTTCCCATTGCCCCCTTAGAATCCTGACTTCCCCTTTCCTTACCTCTTGTCAGCGTCTTTGGCCCTATGCTGAGCCAGGGTTTGCATCTCGTTCCCAGAAAACCAGTGGTTAAACATCCCGGTGTACCCATCACAGGAAGAGGTTCCCCTCTCTGGGGGCCGGGGGCTTCACCTAGAAGCCTTGCCTGCCTCGCTGCCTGGGGACCATTTGCACCTCTGCTTTTGAAGAGGTTGAGGACACTTTTCACCCAAAGACCCCAGCTGGGCTCCCTCATTTCGGGTCCAATGCTTGTTACATTTAAGTAGAAACCTTTCATGGAGGAATAGAAGATATGCACTGCTTGCAGAATTGGGTTGCCAACAGTCATCTGTTGCTAGGGTGAAGATAATGCATTCCTACAAGGAAACCAGAACTTCCTGTTATTAAGAGAGTATGCTGATACCTACCTGGTTCACACACTGACCATCCCTAGAGGTTGTCATATAAAATAGCATCTGAGACAAGACAAATCCGTCCAGAACACTCTATTATAATAAAAATCTTGGCCATGGCCCCACTTATGCCAAATGGTATTTGACACATTGGGTCCCCAGGTTTCAGTGAAACTCACGTATGGGGTCTGTTATTGTTACGATTAGCACTTTGGTTTATGTCATCACAGCAATACCTGAAGGAAAAAAAGGCAAAAATTTCAGGGTGAAAAATTTTCAGCTGATTGCAGGCTTAATGCCACTGTGCATAGCTTGAGTAATCTTTCCTGTACTTGAGGATAGGTCCTGAGCTTGCTGTCTTAGGACCCATTTTGACAATTCATGTGAGTTTTCATATGTTCTTGTGTTCACGCATCTCGGATTGTATCCTTAAAATGGGGCACGGTTTTGCATTTAGTGTGCCAAATTCAGGAGGGGAGGAAACTTGAATTCCACTTCTGGATCTACCACTTTCCATCTGACCTTGGATTAATGGCTTTACTTCCTTGCTTCAGTGTTCTCTTCTGTGGAGAGGGAATGTTACCCACCTTTTTGATTCTAGGTAGGAGTTGGCAAACTTTTTCTGTAAAGGTAGTAAATATTTTAGCTTTTAGGAGCATAGAGTCTCTGTCTCAGTTACTCACCACTGCCATTGTGGTTTACAATAAATAATACAGAAATTGATACGGCAGCAGTAAATAATGCAGAAATTGATGTGGATGGATTTGGCCCATGGGCTGTAGGTTTTAAGTGCAACATAAAATATTATGTGCAAAAGTCACTTGAAACCAAAAAGCCTCTGCTGTCATGGAGATGAGCAGCAATCATTTTAGTAGTGTGTTTTTCAGCCGACTTGTAAACTACCTATTTCCCCCCTCCCAGGACTTTTAGAGTAATGCAACAGAAGGCTTTTGAGGAAAGCAGATATCCCTGGCAGGAGTCCTTTGAGAATGTTGCTGTGTGCCTGCCATTACGCTGCCCGAGGTGTGGAGACCATACCAGATTTAGAAGCTTGTCATCCTTGAGGGCCCATCTGGAGTTCAGTCACAGCTACGAAGAAAGAACCCTCTTGACAAAATGCAGTCTCTTTCCATCCCTCAAAGACACAGACCTAGTCACTTCCTCAGAACTCCTGAAACCGGGAAAATTGCAGAGCAGTGGCAACGTGGTAAAGCAGAAACCGAGCTATGTTAACTTGTACAGCATTTCACATGAACATTCCAAGGACAGGAAGCCATTTGAGGTGGTGGCAGAGAGGCCTGTGTCCTATGTGCAGACCTACACTGCCATGGACCTCCATGCAGACTCGCTGGATGGGACACGGTCGGGTCCTGGACTGCCCACCTCAGACACCAAAGCTTCTTTCGAGGCACATGTCAGAGAAAAATTCAATCGAATGGTTGAGGCTGTGGATAGGACCATTGAGAAGAGAATTGATAAACTCACCAAAGAGTTGGCCCAGAAAACTGCGGAACTGTTGGAAGTTCGGGCAGCTTTTGTGCAGCTGACTCAGAAAAAGCAGGAAGTTCAGAGACGAGAGCGGGCCTTAAACAGACAGGTGGACGTGGCCGTGGAAATGATAGCTGTACTGAGGCAACGCCTGACGGAATCTGAGGAGGAGCTTCTTAGGAAAGAAGAGTAAGTGTTGCTGACAGGGGATGCTAACCCCATTGCTTTAAGCAGCACCCCAATCGCCTTACAAGCAAATGCTAAGCAAGGTTGATTTTTGCTATTTGCAGGTGCCTTGACTGCATTTCTTATTGATATAGTTGAACCAGGAGGAACAAGGCTTTGATATCATTTACCCTCTGTGTGCACGGTCTGCAACCTAGCAGCATTAAAGTCAAATATCTAATTCCTTCTCAACTGGGAATTTGTAAACCACAGACTATGCTTTTAGAGAGAAGACTAGCACAGCCTAGCCATGGTGGGATCCATTCCTAGCACCAAATGGCGTGCAAGGGTGAGTTGAATGGGAAGGCAGAAAGGGTGAGCTAAGTGAGCTGTTCATTCTTGACAGTCTCCGTATTATAAAGTCAATGCAAGATGCTGTCTTAAGTTCAAAAACATTCCTCCAGTATAAATAAGTTTGGTTTATTTGCCATTTTGTATTATCTGCCCAGGTTAATTAAATGTTAGTAGCTGAGAATCCATTTAATTTAATTTATATTTGGGAGAAGCAGACATTAGGGCACCCAGAGGAAAGACTTTCTGATATTGCTATACTTCTATGATTTAAGTTTGAGACTTGACTTTTTGGCAAATGATGTATTTTTTTTTGTTATATTTAAGTTTTGCCCACTTGCAAAGAGTTGAGATTGGTTTTCACAAGTTATAGATCATAGAAGCTATTGCTTGAGAAATCATCATACTTAGAGAAGCATTTCTTTATCAGTAAGTATAGATTTAACCCAAACTAGAAAAGTGTACATTACAAGTCAGTGTATTTCCCAAATGCAGAATGTCAGATTTCATTTTAAATAGAGGTTTAGAAATTCATGGAATCAAAGGACATTAAAATTGATGGAGTAAAACATCCTAAAAGGTAGGTTTCCAAATAATTTGAGTTCTATTATAGAGATTGATTTAATTTCATCTTTTCTTTGCCCTCTGGCACTCTTCTATTTTGTGTTGTCTCTTAAAATGTAATAATTAGAACTTCCTGAGACACTCCATAGATTAAAGAGATCATTACTTGCTATCACTTAAATGCTTACGTTCTACCTTGAGGGGAAGCCTAGACATTTTTTGTTCAGGCGAGACATTTTTTAAATTACGTAGTTAGGATGGATTTGAATCAGCCTCTGACTTACTTTGCTCCTAGGGAAATAATCTCTAATGAAAAATGTTTCCCTTTTGGTTTCTGGTGTTTCCTGGTGGGAAGTTAGTGTCTAGACCCGTTAATGGCCACCAGAGTGACCCGCACTGTGCTGTTGAAAAAAGGGCAGATGTGGTTACTCTATGCGTAAAGAAAGGCCTAGAATTAAATTTGAACATTTTTGCTTCATTCAAGAGCAGTGAGTTTAAAAGGCAACAAAATTAATTTTTTGAACTTATTTATTTGTTGTATTTTACTAATTAATTACACGAGTAATAATGAACATGAGATCTGGGGTAGTAGTTGCCTGGAGTGATGGGTTCAAGAATGCTTAATTGTTAAAAATATCTGTCTAAATAAAAGTGGGCTATGCATGGGTCAGTTACATGTTATGGTTAATCCAAGGCTGCCACCTGAGCACCAACTGAAAAACTAAGACATGTTAAAACAGGAAAAACTTGAATAGGAGAGAATTATATGTGTAAAAGTAGCCTCTCCAATCCAAGCACATCCTATCCTGTCCTTCAGAGACAGCCACTGTTAAGTTCCGTAAATGTCCTTCCAGACCTTTCCTGTGTGCCTGCAATCGTACACACACAGATTCCATTTTTCTAAATGAAATTGTGACACATACTGTTCTGCCAATTGCACGCTGAATTGTTTTTGTTTTTAATATAATAGATTTCAGGCATCTTTTGTTTACTAAGTACAGAACTATACTACTCTTTTTGACTGTTGTGTAGTATTCCATGGTATGGATGCATCATGATGCATTTAACCAGTTTGTTATTGATGAATATATAGTTTTATTCCATTTTCCTAGTATTAGAAATAGTGCCTTGGTTATTATCCTTGTACATGTTTGTTCACATTTTTGTGAGTATGCCTGAGGATAAATTACGAGTTGATTTTTTTTTTTTTTTTGAGACAGAGTCTCACTTTGTCACCCAGGCTGGAGTGCAATGGCATGACGTCAGCTCACTGCAACCTCTGCCTCCTGGGTTCAAGCAATTCTCCTGCCTCAGCCTCCCAAGTAGCTGGGGTTACAGGCGCCCACCACTGCACCCAGCTATTTTTTTGTATTTTTAGTAGAGACGGGGTTTCGCCATGTTGGCCAGGCTGGTCTCGAACTTCTGACCTCAGATGATCTACTGGTCTTGGCCTCCCAAAGTGCTGGGATTATAGTTGTAAGCCACGGTACCCAGCCACAAGGTGATTTTTGTATGTCATTTCTGGACTAATAGAAAAAAGCAATGATATTTTAAAAAAAGAAAACAAAGTGTTTTAAATGAAAGCGCAGTGAAATTGCCTTAAACTTTTAAACATAAACAAAGTCTTTTTTTTTTTTAAACGTTCATTTGGGCCAGTCCCATCAGTTTCTGTATTCAGGCCTCAAATAATCACTCTTTCTGTACATAAAGTGGGACTGAAAGAGTCTTGTTTCCAGGGAGGACACTGGAGCTCTTGGTCTAAGAATGGGACTGTGGACAGCACCCTCAGTGTCTGCAGCGTCTGGCCTCCCCACCCCCGCACCCCTGCCCTCTGAATGGGGATGCAGAGGGAGCTGCCCACCTGTCACACTGTTAATACTGGGTTGATTTGACTGCATCTGCCTGGCTGGGTGGTGGGTGCATCTTCCATCCTAACCACCACCTCAGAGAGCTGTTGCTTCCACCAAAGAGTTGGCCTTTCAGATAAGGGAAGACCGTATTTTGCCAAGGACCATACCCGGAGTTGGGCTCCCCTGCCAAACACTTCCACATGAGCTCCCTAGGCCCATTTGTGAGAGAAAGTAGGTTGTTAACCATCTCATTCACAATTGACTTAAACTCTGGGGACCCTTTGAAACACGGATAGTAGATTTGGTTTAAAAAAAAGCAAACATCTATTATTTAAAATTCACATAAGCTTCTTTTGCTTATGGATCTTTTCCTTCAACTTTTAAAATCCTTTCTTTCAAGTTAAAATAAAAGACCCAAAGGCTGCTTCTGCCCTGAGGCCATCTATAGGCTGAATCAGCCAGACTGTAGAAGTTGTACATATACTCATAGCAGAGGAGGTTGTTTGAATTGAGAATACACTTGACTCTTGAATGACTCAGGTTTGAACTATGCAGTTCCACTTAAACGAAGAGGTTTTATTGTCTGTGCCATCAATGAGACAGCAAGACCAACCCTTCTGTTTCTCCTCCTCCTTTACAATGATCCATTTCCATTTAATGAGAAGTAAATATATTTTCCTTATGATTATCTTAATAACATTTTCTTTAGCTTACTTTAAGAATACAGATATGTAATACATGTAATATACAAAATCTGTGTTAATCATTTGTTTATGTTATCAGTAAGGCTTCTGGTTAGCAGTAGGCTATTAGGAGTTAAGTGTTTGGAGAGTCAAAAGTTATACTTGGATTTTCAACTGCATAGGAGATTGGTTCACCTAATCCCTGCATTGTTCAGGGGTCAACTATTTTGCACTTTTGTACTGGTCAGTCTCATTGTAAACCCGTAGAAGGTATCTGTAGGTTTTGGAGTGCAAACCCAAGAAAGAAGTTGCTCATTGTCTTGACAAAGTCAGTGTGATTTTAAAAGTTCTAGTGAAACAGGTATTTACTTATTGAAGAGTATTCAGAGCTGGTGGGTAGTGCTGTCTGTAATCAGGTAAATCAATCCTGGAAACCTTGCTTTAAGGTATCCCTTAACAAGAAAGGATGGACTTAGTAGCTAATTTGCTGGCTGAGTTGGTCCTGTGGGGTCTGGAAAATTTGAGTATAATAAAAGTAACACAAAATTTACATATACACTTTTCTGCAATATGTTTTGAAAAGTCCTGATTGAACATCTGTAATGTGCCCAGTGCTGTGTGAGGTGTGTGGGGGGGAACATAAAATGCTTGCTGTCTTTCCCTAAGGTGTTTGTGTTCTGTATAGGAAGAATAAGGGATACTCAGGAACATGCAAGGGGAGTTTTGAGAAGTGCCTCAATATAAGCCACAGTTTCAAGTTGGTAATACATTAGAGAACAGATTTTTATGTGTGGAGAGGCCACACTGAGGAAATGAGGAGGAAAGGCAGAATTTGCATTGATGGCCAGAAGAGAGTGACCTTGAAGGGGCGGCAGGGAGGGCTGCTAGAGATGGCCCCTGAGTAGACCAGGTGATTTCTGATTTGAGAACCAGAAGGTTGCCCCTGTTTCCTGCTGGATAACACACTCATTTTATACATGCAGAAAATAAGGCCTAGAGCAGGGGAATGACTTGCCCAAGGATAGAGATTTAGTAGCAACGCTGAACCTGGAATCCAATTTCCCTGTCTCTCTGCTGAGTGTTTTTTCCATTAGTTCACTGTGTCCCAGCCAGACTCCTGAAAATGTGATTTTTTTTTCCCCCAAAGCGTCAAGACTTATGTAATACTGAGTGTGGCCCATTTTGGATGGGCTTGCTTCTTTGCTATTTTGAGAGGGCTGCCATGGTGACATCATTTATTTTTCTGATGTGATTAAAGAAAATGTCAGCTGGCATCTGAGGTGTTGGGAGGCAGGGGAAGGGTGGCATCATCAGTGTGGTCATGATATTAAGCTTCCAGAACACCCAGCCCAGGGCTTTTCACTTGACTCTCAGATGTCCTTGCTTAATCGGGGTAGGGCTTTTGCCACTGCTAGGCTTTGATCACAATGAGAGGACTCTTTGTGATTCCATCTCTAATTTCCATCCTACTCCCTTGCAGGCAGTGACACGTAGAATCTGTTTCCCTTTGTCCTTCATCATTTGCCTCGTTCCAGCCTAAAGCCATGCAGAAGACAAATCTTTATTGAGTGTTTGCTGAGCAGCAGATACTGATCTAGGTTCCGACCATGGGATGGTAAACCAAAGGCATCCAGTTCCTGCCTTCATGGACTTTATAAACCAGAAGGGAAATTTGACATTAAACAGGTCATTAGGGTGTATGACAAATGAGACATAGAGGGGGTGGCCTGAGCTAGGTAATGCCCATTTAGGTTTTTTTCCAGAGCTGACCTTGGAATGCTGGCCTTTAAAAGGCAAATCTGATTTGGTAACTTGCTTTGCACAACCAAATCCTCTTGCTATTTAATTCATTCCCATTTTTTGATCAGCTAAAGCAGCGACTAAGCAATGTAGTGTCCAGACTGATTCATAGCTAGAAAGCAGGCCAAGAAAAAATCACATTGGATATAGAGGTCAGCGGGGTGGAGAAGGGTCTGTTTGCTCCACATTGTTGGTTCGTGCATATAAATGGGGTCCTCTCTTTTCAGGATGTGTTCCTTGCAGACTTAGAAACTCATATAGAATAAATGACGTGTCAAGCATATCCTCTCAGGGTTGGCACATGGTAAAATTCGGAAACCCAGGAAAGTTTTCAATTTCTATCTCTGCATATTCTCTTTTCTCCACTCCCCTGCCTCCTATCACATCCCCACTCTAGGCCCTTGGGACTCAGAATATAGTATTAGTCAACTTACAACCAATGAGAATAGTTTGATTTTCTCATTAGCGTTAAGGGCCAACAAGAGTAGAGATGGGCCATGCCTTAAGACGTGCAGTTGTTGCAGATTCAGGCCTGTGGTGCCGGAAAGAGAGCGCAGGAGCCGACTCCATGCTATGGGTTTGCAGCCAAGCTCCCTGTGCTCGGAGGTGGTCGACTCCTGCTTTGGGATTTGCCTTGTGGTTGACGTTATGGTCTGTCTGAGGTGCTCTGTGATCAATAGCTAGACTATTTTTAGCTGGAGGTATTTTTACCGTTTCATATTCCTCTGAAGAGGTTCATAAATCAGTCATGTAAAGTGAAATTTAAATAAGTTGGTAGAGCTTCGCCTTTGGGAGGAGAAGCTGATGTTAAAGTGTTTAAGAATAGAAGAGAGGCATCAGTTTTAGATCCCACCCCCTACTCCTGTAGGAGGTACCCGTAGGTTACTCATTGGTTTTATGCCCCAGTACTTGTCTGGAAAAAGGAAAAAAGAAACTTAAGGATCTCTGTGTTGGTTAATGATTTTCGAGTAGAGATATAGTTGCACATTTCATGCATTCAGCAGAAATGCATTAATCCTGTATTGTGTGCTGGGCTCAGGTTAGGTACAGGGGGTACTTGCAGACAGTGAAGGAGCACACAAGGTCCCTGAACTCACTGATTTTATGGTCAAATGGGGAAATGGCACACTGGTTCATTGTGATGTGCATGGTGATAAGGTACAAACTTCTGTGGAAAACACAGTAGGCCATGTCATGTACACCTGGGCATGTGTCTGAGAATACTCCCTGGCAAGAGAGTCTGAGGTTAGAGGAATAGTTAATTGATAATTAATTGTGGGGGCTTGGGAAGAGGAGGAGGAATGACCCTGGCAGAGGGAACAGCATATCCAAAAGTAAGTGTGGCTCAGTGCAAAAATGAAGGAAGTTAAAATAGACATAAGAAATGGTTTGTTGATAGTAGATTATAATACATGATAGGATCAACGTGTTGTCACTCATTAAAATGCATAGTTCAATGCCTGTGCAAAATTGCAGTGAGCACCACAGTGCGTGAACGCATATTTCCATTACTCTCTGCACATGCTTCTAGGGTGTATTGGTCACATGATAGCATGTCTTTGATTTTTCTGAATTAACCTGTCTTTAACCCATCTCAGAAGAAGTAACTGAGAGGATTCCATCTGTAAAAAATGAAATAATATTATCTATTTTTCAGACCATATGGTCATCCTGTAAATTAATGAACGCATGTGTGAATGGATATAACTGAAGGTTTGGCTCTCTGGAAAGGGCTTTTTCCCTCATTGCTCCTCTTCTACTGTGTTGGTTTCTGGATACCTATCCATCTGACAGATTTCCAGATCTGGAAATCATTCTGCATAATAATGAGCTTCAAGGTCAGTTTCTTATATTGTACTGGTATTTTTTTTTTTAGTGTCAAATATTGCTTTAAATAAGCATGTTTTCTACTGAAGCCTAAAACCTCTGATTTAATAATATTTGGCCTTTTTTTTTTTTTTTAAATAAAGAAGAAGTCGAAGATGGGGCCGGAAGTGGCTTAGAACCAGTTAAATTTCCCCAACACTGGTCTGCACCCACACCCTGATTGAGTTTCACTCAGGTTGGCCCTTATCTTCTCATCTGGCCTTCCAGCTTTCACACTGTATTCTGAGTCACAGGGTTGAGAACCAGAAATAAAACCACACAAGTCTTCTACTGTTCTGTCCGATAGCATCATATTATTCTTCTTCTTAGTCACTTTTAACTAGCTTTGTAATTACGTGTTTATTTCGGTATTTCCTTCTTTCATTGTTTGACTCTCTCACTACATGTATCCATTATATGCTAACGTAAATAACATATTTTTATGAAAAATAACTGTTTTCCCAAAAATAATTTAGTGAAAAGAGCGGTATTGTTTTAAAAGTTTATGTGTGGCTTCATAGAAGGCAGCTGGACTTTGGTAGTTCCACATTCAGTCTGTTGCAAATTTGTTGTTTTGGTTGAAACAGATGAAGAAAATCTAGTCTCCCACAGATACATAGTAGGAAATGGAGGGGTATTTTAATAGCCTTCTCAGATAATCATGGATATTTTGCTTTGATGCTGTGCCAAATGTGACAGTTGGTAGTTTCTTAAAGAGTCATTGCAATGTGGGATCTGAAACCATATCAGTGAACATTTTGTACTTTCTTACGTTGAAATCTATTGGTCTGTCTTGCACTTTGAATGGATATTTTATTGTTTGGAGTGTAATTATGAAAGAGGTTACAAATGCAATGTGTTTAACCCCTTTTCTTTTCCATTCAGAAAAACCCCAAGATTCTTTGGGGAAATAAGAGGTGGTTCTGGATATTCATCCAGACTGAACAGGATGTGAATGAACGGTGGATCTGAGATGTACACACATGATATTCCACAATTAGTCACTTGGTTTTGATCCCTTTTTCATCTAACAAAGATACCCTACACAATCTCAGTATGATGAACTTCTCCAGTCTTTCTCTTGTGTTTAACCTGTCTTTTAAAACAAAATCATAGGATACCATCAAGCTTGTTTTAACTGTTTTTTTCCACCCTAGTTGATGTAATACATCTACAAACTGAAATTAGGTTAGCAGTTTGTGCCAGGTTGGTTGAAAAATACAGAAGGTATTAACTTCTCAGCTTCAGGGCACAAGATAATTGGTTGAGAGAAGTTAGAAAAAAGATCCTTCTTTTCTGTGACATGGCATAACATTCCAGGAGCGTATTAAAATTAATATTAAAAATTAATATCAGCATTAATATTAATTTTTAAAAGTTTCATGTAGAAACAGTGGCAAAATATGTGATTGAAAAATACAGCCACAATCATAAAAGGTGTTGCATTCAAATTTGTTCTCTTGCTTTTGTGATGCTAATCCCCTGAGATTAAGCCATCAAATGTTGCTGTCTTCGCATATGCTAGACTGTATAGCATGAAAGCCCTGGAATGGTAAATGTGCACAGAGATAAATGACAGGAAAAAAATATACTGGATATTGACAGTAGTTGCTTCTGAGTGGTGGGATTTTGGGTCATTTTTAGTTTCTTCCTTGTCCTTTATAAACATTAATTACAACAAATACTTATTCAATATTGTGTGTCAAACACAAATGTGTTGAGTGCTGGACTTAGAACAGAGAACAAAAGCTGATTCTGTCCCTGCCCAGTTGAATCCTCCAAAAGGTCAATTTTTATATTTTCCTTAATATATGTGAACCATTTCCATAATAAGATGTAGGAAATATTGACCGAAATGAATTTTTAAAAATGGTACTTTTTTTTTTAACTTTTGGTTGTTTGCCCTGTAAGTACAGTTTGGAGACAGTTGCATCATTCAGTTATCCTAAATATCTCCCAGGAAATCTCTACAACAGGCTTGTAGAAATTTGGATTCTCAGACTCCAAATGAATTGAAGCCTTAATGTTGGAAATAAGAAGTAGTAACCATTTTCCTGTGGTGTATTTCCAGAATACTCCATCCCAAAGGACCTAAACCATAAGCAAGAACCATGAAAGGGCTGGGGATGCATTCACATGGGCCCGCCACTCGTTTGCTGCTAGTTAAAGTTTGTGGCTCATGTAGGAAGCAGATCAAAGTGAATGACGGTAGAGCTTAAAAATTGGCTTGTGTTCATGGCCTGAATAATGAAGACCTTGAAAAGTACACATCTTCTATTGAGGGCTAATATGGAAACATCTGGAAATAAACTTGAAACTTGACGATGAAAAAAATTCTTTTCCAGAAGGACTCTTATTTCTTGTGTGTGGATATTTCTTAGCTACTGAAAGATGATGGAATTATTATGGAATTAGGGTTTATGTTTGATCCTGGTTGGGAAACTAGAAAAAACAGGGGCTGGTATCACTAGCATTTCTTTGAGTGAATCATTATTAGAGCCAGCCTGTTGTCTGTTTTTATACATATGTAATTCCCAAAGTTTTGTAAGGATGTGTGATTCTATAGGAAGTGTCAGAAAAGTTTCAGTATGGCCATGTGTGGCGTAATGTATTTGTGAGAGAAAAATCATGACTAATTGTAAAAGTGGCACACTGACTATTAGTACAGAAGAAAAGAGCTGGAGGTCACTACCAGCTATTTTGCAAAGATCTTATGTAAAACTCTGACTTCCTGAGCTAGACTTCCCTGAAGTTCTACTCCCAAGAGAATTACAGAGCTCAGTGGAAAATAAAGATCAAGTGGAGGTTGAGAAGATGTAGAGAAGCCAATGAATTTAATTAACTGTCTAGAACAACTGAATGAGGTTGGATTAACAAAAATTAGCATTCACGAATCAAAATTGAAAGAGCCTGAAAGGACAGAAAGTAGAGTCTTTAGAATCTTGTGTAAGTTGAACATGGCAAAAACAGTGAGAGGCCATTCCTTGAAGACTGAGAGAGATTTTGGAGACATGTAAAGGAAATACTACCCAACGGACAGTAAAATTATGGAACTCATTAGCTCCCCTGGGACTTGCAGAACATACAAGGGTGATGACTAAAAGGATATTCATGGCTTCTTATTAAGTGAAGACAATAGGGTAGAGAGAACTCTGGCAATATACACCTATTCATAGTGGTGATTACTGGGTCCTTGGCCTAGGAAAGAGGGTTGGAGAGAGGGGAATTGAGAGTTGAGAGCAAGGTAGGAAAAGAAGGAAAACCGTGTATGTGTGCTTGGGTGGGTGTGTTTGGGGATGAGTTTGATGTTCATGAGGATGGCTACCAAGATAATGGTGGTGGTCTCAGGATAATGGAGTTTCAGGTGATCTTTCCTTTTTTATATTTCTAATGGGTTATTTGAATTTTTTAAATAAAGAGCTTATTTATAAATCAGAAAAAAATACTATTTTCATATTTCCATTAAAAATGAAAGCAAAATATAAGATGGTAATAAAGTTATTAGAATTTTTCTGGATTTGTAATCTACTTGTGAATTATGTAGATAAAGGAGTAGTTGAAGTATTTTGCTCAGCTTCTTAGGGGAGGGCAACCCATGCATTGCTTCTCTTATGTCAGCATTAGAATAGTTTTCCCGGTGGTCTTTGGGTTGACCTCGTGGTAGCTGTATGGGCTGTTTTGTTCTAAGCTCTAAGCTAAAAAATATACTGTTGGACAAGATGACTCATTTGATGTGCTGTTTTGGTGCTCAGCTCGGCCTCTTGCTCCTATACTTTCTCTCCCTGTAGAGTTTTCTCTCCCAATCGCCAGACTTTAAAAATCCAAGTCAGAGCTTGTCTTAAAAGCAATACATCCAATGGTTTCCCATCTCATTTGTAATAAAACCAGAAGTCTCACAGTGACCTGTGAGGTCCTACCTAGCTCCCTCCTCCATGTAGACCCCCTTGCTGTACCTCAGACCCATCTGCTGTCCCTGGTTTGCTCTTCCTAAACACCTGCATGGCTTCTTCCACAGGTCTCTGTTCAAATGTCACCCCATTCAAAAGGTCGTTTCTAACTTTGCTTTTTAAAATATTATTCACTCCTTTCCTTCCTCTGTCACTGTCCCCTTGCACCCAGTTTCAATTTTCTTAGCACTTATGACCATCTGACATATATTTATTTGTTTGTTTTATAGTGACTATCTTCCTCTATTAAAATACAGTCTGTAAATGTAATCACAAAGAGGTGATTACCTCTCTCGTCATTGCCATGGAGTACTGCCTAGGGTGTTAACTGACAAATAGTAGGCACTCAATAAATATGTGTTGAATGAGTGAATTCCTTGCCTTATATTTCCCTTTTGTGTTCTGACATTTTTGCCTTGCAGAGAAGTTGTCACATTCAACCATTTCCTGGAAGCGGCAGCTGAGAAGGAGGTTCAAGGGAAAGCCCGGCTCCAGGACTTTATTGAGAATCTGTTACAGCGGGTAGAACTGGCGGAGAAGCAGCTTGAGTACTATCAGAGCCAGCAGGCCTCTGGCTTTGTCCGTGATCTCAGCGGGCACGTGGTGAGTCACCCCGGGCCAGCCACCGAGTGTAAGATCCCTGTGGTTGGTGAGAATGGGCTGAGGACAGAGAAAAGGGAGCTGGGTGACTTGCAGGGACTCTCTAGACATCATTTGAGAGCACTGCCTGGGCCATGCCTGTATTGTGGAAATGTTACTGGGGAGTCCAGGACGCCTGGAAGTAAGGTAAATGCTGCATGTGCCGTTTTCAGTCGCTCTTCACCCTCCCACTCCACATCATGCTGAGTTGGTAGAAATATATATATTTTAAATTTGTAAAATAGAAGAGTTTGAAGTATCCAAAGAAATCATTCATTTCAATTTTGATGTTCAAGTAGCTCAGAAGTTATTATCATGTTTTGGAGGTCTTCAAGAGAATCTTACGAAATTCAGTAAAGTAAGATCAAACCACATACACATTTTTTTCCTTAATGGGGGGCAAGCACTGTTCAACAGTCTCTATAAGTTAAAATTCTTCATATAGATTTTCAAAAAGACTGAAAGATTCACAAGTGATAGTTCTAGGGTAGATTCCTGCATACAGTTTTGCATATAGTTTCAGGAGTTTAAGAAACGCCTAAAGCCCAGATGAGATCCCTGGATGTGGATAAAGATCCAGGTTCTCATAGGGGGCTTGATCAGGATTCCCTTGGTCTCGTTGGAGGGCGGAGGGAGGTACAAATAACCATACTCTAGGTCGATGGGGGGCGGGGGTGGGTGGTCATATTTGCCCTGTCTACGGTTTCCTACAACAAAACCAAGGAAATATTTTGGATACCCCAAAGCGGTTTATTTATAACATTTTCATTACTTATTGAACTTTATTTATGCTTACCTCCTTCCTAGCAGATTTAAAAATAGTTTTGTTTTTTTTTTTACTGCTTCCACCCCCGCAGCAAATGGGCTCTATTATAAGGAAAAGAAAATAGGCAACATTTATGCCGATCAAAAGATTAGCAAGGTTGCTATTGGTTGATTTAAAAGTTTACTTAGAGCTTTCTGGAAGCCAGGGTGAAAAGGCAACATGATTAAATAAGAAAACTAATTGTCCAGATGAAGGAATGAAATGAAAGGCAGGTGGATAAAAGAAGGAACAGCAGAGAGGAAGGGAGGAAGGACGGAAAGAAATGAAGAAATCCTACATGGTGCTTGTTGTAATCATGTACACTTGGCCTTAGCGCAGCTCAGTGATATAAGCCCCAGAACTTTCCAGAACAAAAAGAGACTGGAAGGAAGTGTGTTACATCTGTGAGGTTTCAGGTGCTATATTCAAAGAAGTCTCATCCATGTAACATATTTATTATTTTCTGGGTGGATGTCTGTGGTCTTCTACGTAAAATGCTTCTGAGGGGGAAGTCACACCACACTTTGATCCCTCTCCATCTCCTCCTTGGGAAACCATGAGCGTGTCCAGCCTTGACTAGCTGTGGCTGGAGGGACTATCTGAGCCTCTTTCTGCCGTCTTCTTTCATCCTGCCCTCTTAAGAGAGGGTTGGGGCATGAGGTTATGGTGCCCAGATGTGAGGTGAAAAGGCCTGAAAATGCCTGGCTTCCGGTTTATTCTTACTCTGCTTCTGACTGGGCAAGATAGTTAGTCTTCCTGGGCCTATATTTCTTCTGTAAAATGAAGGGGTTGGATTCAGTGCTTTCCAGGTTGTTTTGGCCTCTTAACTTGTGTGAGCATCACCTGACTTTGATGGTTAGGAATTCTAAAATTAAAATGTAACATTGACACTTTCATATTTAGAATTATAAGTCATCCAGAGCTAAGAAATGTATGAAATCTTCCGATACTCAGCCAAGAGGAATCTCAAAGAGAGAAAACAATGGAAGGCAAGGAGGAAGTAAGGAAGCCCATTCATTCTCTCTTTTAAAATTGTTTTTGCTCACCTTTTTTGCTTAGTTTATTTTTTTGGCTTGAAAGTTGAACATTTTTTAAAGAGACATAGCCAGTCATTATTTCTCATCATGCCAAATAATGTAATCAAAAGTTGGGTAGCATTTTGGCTCTTCTAGTTAGATATGTACATGCAAAATTATATCCAGTTGTGTCGCTTTACAATGTGACACATTCTGAGAAATGTGTGGTTGGGCAATTTTGTCATTGTATGAACATCATAGAGTGTATTTACACAAACCTACATGGTATAGCCCACCACATGCCTAGGGTATATGGTATATGGCCTATTACTCCCAGGCTATAAACCTGTACAGCATGTTACTGTACTGACTACTGTAGGTGATTGGAACACAATGATAAGTATTTATGTATCTAAACAGATAGAGAAGAAGAGAAGGTACAGTAAAAATATGATATTTAAAAAAGGTAAGAAATAGTATAGCTGTATAGGGCATTTACCATGAATGGAGCTTGCCGGATTGGAATTTGCTCTGGGTGAGTCAGTGAGTGTCTGGTGAGTGAATGTGACATTACTGTACACTACTGTAGACTTTATGAACACTGTACACTTAGGCTACACTAAATTTGTTTAAAACTTTTCTCTCAATAATAAATTAACCTTAGCTTACTATAACTTTTTTACCTTATAGACTTTTAAATTATTTTTTAACCTTTTGACTCTTTTGTAATAACAGCTTAAAACACAAACATTATATAGAAGTACAATAATATTTTCTTTTTTAAGTTTTTTAAATTTTTAATTTTTGATTTCCATTGGTTTTGGGGGAACAGGTGGTGTTTGGTTACATGAATAAGTTCTTTAGTGGTGATTACTGAGATTTTGGTGCACCCATCACCCAAGCAGTGTACACTGTACCCAGTTTGTAGTCTTTTATCTCTCACACCCCTCTCATCCTTTCCTCCTCCACCCCCTCCCCCGAGTCCTCAAAGTCCATTGTATCATTCTTAAGCCTTTGCATTCTCATAGCTTAGCTCCCACTTATGAGTGAGAACATACAATGTTTGGTTTTCCATTCCTGAGTTACCTCACTTAGAATAACGGTCTCCAGTTCCATCCACGTTGCTGAGAATGTCATTCTTTCTTTCCTTTTTATGGCTGAGTGGTATTCCACGGTATATATAAACCACAATTTCTTTATCCACTCGTTGATTAATGGGCATGGGCATTTGGGCTGGTTCAGTATTTTTTCAATTGCAAATTGTCCTGCTGTAAATGTGTATGCAATTATCTTTTTCATGTAATGACTTCTTTTCCTCTGGGTAGATACCCAGTAGTGGGATTACTGGATCAAATGGTAGTTCTACTTTTAGTTCTTTAAGAAATCTCCACACTGTTTTCCATAGTGGTTGTACTAGTTTACATTCCCACCAGCTGTATGAAAGTGTTCGTTCCCTTTTCGCCACATCTCTGCCAACATCTATTTAAAAACTTTTTCATTATGGCCATTCTTGCAGGAGCAAGGTGGTATCACATTGTGGTTTTGATTTGCATTTCCCTGATCATTAGTAATGTCGAGCATTTTTTCATATGTTTGTTGGCCATTTGTATATCTTCTTTTGAGAACTATCTATTCCTGTCCTTAGTCTACTTCTGATGGGATTGTTTTTTTCTTGCTAATTTGTTTGAGTTCCTTGTAGATTCTGGATATTAGTCCTTTATCAGATGTATAAATTACGAAGATTTTCTCCCACTCTGTGGGTTGTCTGTATACTCTGCTGATTATTTCTTTTGCTGTGCAGACTTAAGTTTAAGTCTCATCTATTTATCTTTGTTTTTGTTGCATTTGCTTTTGGGTTCTTGGTCATGAAGTCTTTGCCTAAGCCATTGTCTAGAAGGGCTTTTCTGATGTTATCTTCTAGAATTTGTATGGTTTCAGGTCTTAGATTTAAGACCTCGATCCATCTTGAGTTGATTTTAGTATAAGGTGAGAGATGAAGATCCAGTTTCATTCTTCTACACGTGGCTTGCCAATTATGCCAGCACCATTTGTTGAATAGGGTGGCCTTTCCCCACTTTATGTTTCTGTTTGCCTTGTCGAAGATCAGTTGGTTGTTAAGTATTTGGCTTTATTTCTGTGTTCTCTATTCTGTTCCATTGGTCTATGTGCCGTTTGTTTGTTTGTTTGTTTGTTTGTTTGTTTGTTTGTTTGTTTTTGAGACGGAGTCTTGCTCTGTTGCCAGGCTAGAGTGCAGTGGCGTGATCTCGGCTCACTGCAACCTCCACCTCTCGGGTTCAAGTGATTCTCCTGCCTCAGCCTCCTGAGTAGCTGGGATTACAGGCACCTGCCACCACACCCAGCTAATTTTTTGTATTTTTAATAGAGACGGGGTTTCACCACATTGACCAGGCGGGTCTGGAACTCCTGACCTCAGGTGATCCGCCCGCCTCGGCCTCCCAAAGTGCTGGGATTACAGGCGTGAGCCACCGCACCCGGCCCTATGTGCTTATTTTTATACCAGAGAAGTACAATAATATTCTCTTCATGTGCTTTATTCAATAAGCTTTTTTTCTATTTTTACATTTTTTAATTTTTCTGTTAAGCTTTTTTTTTTTTGGTTAAAATCTAAGACACAAATACACACAGAGCCAGGATTATCAATATTCCTGTTCGCATCTTTTCCCACTGGAAGGTCTTCAGAGGCTATAGCGCGTACTGAGCTGTCATCTCCTATGGTCACAACACCTTCTTTTGGAATACTTCCTGAAGGACCTGCCTGAGGCTGTTTTACAGATAACATTTTATTTTTATAGAACAGGTACAGTCTAAAATAGAAAGATTAAAAGTATAGTATAGTAAATACACAAACCGGTAGCCTAGTCGTTTATTGTCATTATCAGGTATTATGCTCTGTACATGATTATATGTGCTATACTTCTATGTGACTGGCAGCACAGTAGATTTGTTTACACCAGCATCACCACAAACAATTCATTGTGCTACAACATTATAACAGCTATGGTGTCACTTGGTGATAGGAACTTTTCAGCTTTGTTATAATGTTATGGGAACACCCTCGTATATGCAGTCTGTCGTTGACTGAAACATTGTTTTTTAGTACATGACTGTGTATATGTGTGTGCCACACACAAATGTACATATACATGTACATGCATGCATATACACACATAAATACATGCACAAAAATGTACACATCCATATATACATACACAAATGGTGGGAAATTAATAAATATTTATGTTTGTACCTTCTGTATTCCAAATATGATATGATCAACCTTCATGGACTTGCTCTACTGAAGGAAAAATTGACTAATTCAAATAAAGTACAGTTAGAATATAGCAAGAAATTTACAGACGAGAGCTGTGTATGAGTGGGGCATGATCAGGCTGTGGTGAGGGAACTGTATGAGGGTTGGAGGGAGGATACGTTGCCCTAGGAAGACCAAGAATGAGGTATGTGATTTCTGAAAGGATTAGGCAGATGTGGTTTCCCCTTGTTTCCTTGTATAGTACTCGAAATTCTGCTTTGAACCATAGTCAGACACATTATGACACAGTCTGCAGACCCTGTAGACCATTTTTCCTTATAACAGTGTGTTTCATTGTCATACAGGTTGAGTATACTTTATCCGAAATGCTTGGGACCAGAAATGTTTCAGATTTTAGATTTTTTTAGAATTTGAAATACTTGCATTCAGCTTACTGGTTCAGCATTCCTAATCCAAAATCAGAAATCCAAAATGCTCCAGTGTGAGTATCTCCCTGGAGGGTCATGTTGGCTCTCAAAAAGTTTCACATTTTGGAGCTTTCGGATTTTGGGTGTTTGGGTTAGGGATATTCAGGCTGCGGTAGTTAGCACTATGTAAAATTATATTCATTTGTTTAATCAGTAATTGTGTCCCCCTCCTCACTGAGAGCAGTTTCCTCAGTACCAGTAAGTTCTGCACCCCAGTAAATATGTGTTAAATGAATTACTGCTAGTCCTGATGTAGCAACCTGCAGGACATAAATGCAACACTTAAAATAAGATTATCCAAACTGTTCCATGACCTTCCATTTGAGCAGTTGTGTGAGTGATTTTGACAGATGGGATAGTAGGTCACTTTGTGTCTAATTCGGCACCATTTTTCAGAGCATAAAGATAAAATATCTGAGTAAGCATATTATATTTTTAGAAATCAGCCAGGTGAACAAGAACATAAATGCTCAAGGGAATTGAGGGAAAGATACAGATGCCAAAACATTATTTCAGCAAAGACACTAAATGGAAGGGGAAGGAAATTTTTCCATAGCACAGAAGATTCTTTAATGCTATAAGTCACCTTAGAAACAAGCAACTTACATATCAATCTAGGAATTTCACTGCTCTCTAGAGGTGGTAATGAGAAAAAGAGGGAAGAGAAGAGAGGGAGGGAACTAAGGTGGTTATAAGAAGGGAGATGAGGATCTACACTGCTTTTGTAGTGCAGCCTTAGTGGAGAGAGTGAGATCCGGGCTGGGGATGGTATTCCTCATTGTTCTAAAGGAGGGAGCTCAGGTATGCAAGCAAGAGGGAGAGAGTGGGGAGTAGAGTCAGAATCTTCTGCTTATTCTGCAGTGCACTGGGGCAAGAAGCTGTCCTCGGTGTGGCTGAGGCTTCAGAAGCGTGGATTTCTGGGCTCTCTGTATCTTCACTAAGCTGGGCCAAAGATATTATTCAAAACTTTCTTTGTTAAAAGCATCTGAGTTATTCTTTGTCTCTATAGCCACAGATACCCTGGGCAGATTTGGCACTTTGATGATATCCTGGGCACAGATTTGGCAGTTTGATGATATCAAAGACGTGGCTTCTTATTTTATAGGTGAATGTATATTACAGGCTGAGCATCCCTGTTCCAAAACTCTGACACTCTTTTTTTTTTTTTTCGAGGCGCTCTTGTTGCCCAGGCTGGAGTGCAATGGCATGATCATGGCTCACTGCAACCTCTGCCTCCCTGGTTCAAGCGATTCTCCTGCCTCAGCCTCCCGAGTGGCTGGGATTACAGGCACCCACCACCACACCCGGCTAATTTTTTTTTTTTTTTTTTTTTTTGTATTTTTAGTAGAGACGGGGGTTTCACCATATGGGCCAGGCTGGTCTCGAACTCCTGACTTCAGGTGATCTGCCCACGTCGGCCTCCTTTAGTGCTGGGATTGCAGGTGTGAGCCACTGCACCAGGCCAAATCTGACATTCTAAATGCTCCAAAATCCAAAACATTTTGAGTGCTCCAGGGTCATGCTCAAAGGAAATGCTCGTTGGAGCATTTTGGTTTTCATATTTCTGGATTAGGGTTGCTGAACTGGTAAGTAGAATGCAAATATTCTGAAATTCTAAATCTGAAGGACTTCTGGTCCCAAGCATTTTGGATAAGAGTTAGTCAAACCTGTACTTAGGTTGGCTTTTAGTACAAGGCTATTTATATTTTTCCAATCTGGGACCTTGATCAAAGGCTCTTTTGATCCTCATCTTAACATCCTCCTCTCCCTAATCAAAAAGAAGACAAAAGTGTTGGACTAGGAGAAAATGGAAGTAGGTAGATGGACTAAGTGGGAAAAGCTTTTCCATCTGCCTGACGCCAAAGGGGCCAGGAGGAACAGTGGCCTCTTGTGTTCATGGGGGGAGCAGAGGAAATTCTGTGGTGGCTGTGATGATAAGCCCTGGCCTCCACCCCAAACCTCATCATTTATAGGATCTTTGGAGGAATTCTAGTCCAGCCATTGATTCCACTTAATTTATTGTGTACATACTTCTTTGTTCTTATATGTATGTACATGAACACATAGTTTTTAAGAATACAGTACAGAGTGAAGCCTTGCTCAGGCTTGGAGTCTGCTAACTTGGATTTGAAGCCCAGCCCGAACACTGGTAAAGCACCGAGGCTTCAAATCAGTTACTTAACTCTGCTGCCTTAGCTTCCGTATCTCTAAAATTGGAATGATGATGCTTACCTCCTAGGGCTGCTGTGAGGGTTAATTCTGCCTGTTCTGTGGTCAGTTTTTGATCTGGTGTGTGACATCTAGACATGCACAATTTATAGTACCTTTATATGTGTGAGCTTCATGACCCATCTTTACTCATCTTTATCATGCATTTCCCTCTTGGTAAGACACAGTAAAGTCCTTTCATATCTTGAGGTCCCAGCAGGGCCCATTAGTGACATTCATAGTCACTAAGGTTGGAGTTCTAAAAACATTTTTGAAATCAGAGATCACTTTGAATATGTGATAACACTGTTAGTCTTTTTCTCAGGGACAGAAACATACACACACATGTATTTGTTCTCTCTCTCTCTCTCTCAATTTTGCATAAAATTCCAAAGAGCAGTATGTATACAAATGTATGCAACAAATCATTAAACTGCCACTTACATACATACAAACGGTAAAGTGAACACATTTTGTTATGCTCTAATAATTAAAAAAACAATAAGGAGAAAAGATTTAAAGGAAGAAAATCCTTGTTTATTTTTACAATTTATACATTGACTGAAGTTCACTGAAGGAGCCCAGCTGAGAAATACTTATTGGTGATGGTGGGGTAGAGAAAGTTGATGCCAGTGCCTTTGGTTCCCCAGAAGCTACCAGCCTGGCGTTTGCCGGAGCCATCTGTCCCACCTTCTTTGTATGTTGCATAATCTTTGGGACCTCATGTGATAACGGTGCCTTTTTCTGTTACACTTTACTAATCTGAAGCCAAACCTAGCCTGCATGAGCAGGCTCAAAATATTGCTGAGTTCTGATTGTGTCAAAAGACAGAACACAAGAATCCTATCTTGTCTCCTCATGACCTGAGCCTCCTTTTTTTTTTTTAAGGAACTTCCTTTGCGGCTTGCTGCAGACAGAAGAATGCAGGCAGTGATCCTGTTAGGCTGAGCTTGGGTTTTCAGATCATTTTAGTACAGCAGGGACATATATCTTGGCCACACTGGCCCAAATACCAAGGTGGCCTTTTCTCCATATTTTATTTGTCGTTTCTCTTCTTCTGTTGGTCTGCCTGCTAATGTGACACCACTTATTCTAGTGAAAACTACATGAGGAAGATCAGGATCAGGGGGATGGAAATACACTGCCTATACACTGGATGGTGACATCTCTATCACAAAATGATAATTATCAATTTATTCTGCAGATGAGAATATTCCAAGCCCAGCCACAAAAGTGCATGCAGATATTTTATTGCATGAGTTATTAGGAGTGGGAAATCATCTCAATGATAGACAGCCTCAGGGACATTTGTGGGGTTGTTCTTCATATTCTCTCATTTTAGGAATGATGTATTATAGGCAAGAAACCTTTTATGTCAGTGTTCCCCTTAGTTGATACATTGTGACTGGCCACAGCTATAGATTAGCTGCAAATACAGCCTGAATCAATCAAGAAATCATGGCAGATCATTTCAAGTTTTCAAATTTTATGTATTTATTTTATTTCAATGGTTTTGGGAGGAACAGGTGGTTTTTGGTTACATGAATAAATTCTTTAGTGGTGATTTCTTAGATTTTGGTGCACCCATCACGTGAGCAGTGTACATTATACCAATATGTTGTCTTTTATCCGTCACCCCACTCCTTGAATAACTAAAAGTAGAACTACTGTTCGATCCAGCAATCCCTCTACTGGGTATCTACCCAAAGGAAAAGAAGTAAATTATATGAGAAAGACACATGCACACACATGTTTATAGCAGCACAATTTGCAACTGCAAAAATATGGAATCAGCCTAAGTGCCCATCAACCAACGAGTGGATAAAGAAAATGTGGTATATGTGAACCATGGAATACTACTCAGCCATAAAATGGAATGAAATAATGGTCTTTGCAGCAACTTGGTTGGAGCTGGAGGCCATTATTCTAAGTGAAGTAACTCAGGAATGGAAAACCAAGTATCTTGTGTTCTCACTTGCAAGTGGGAACTAAGCTATGAGGATGCAAAGGCATTCCAGTACTTGGAAACATATTTCTTCAAATGTTGCTCTACTGGGGGGCTCTTTTGCGTGTTTGAGATTTTTGAGATCTGCTGACATAGACTTCTCAGAAATCTTAGAACAAGTGCCCACAGAGGCTCCTGGAGTAAGCAAGCAAAGGCTGAGCATGAGATGTTCTTGTTCACTGATGCAATGGATGGTGCTGCAGGTCGTGCTACCAGTAGCAGTCACTGACTCCCTTAATGGGAATGCAGTTTTTAGAAAGTATAAGAAATATTTTAAAAACCAAATCCAGTCCTCAAATGCAGTTAACATTTTTTCTTATTTGTTTTCCTTCAGCTTACAGACATCTCCTCAAATAGGAAGCCCAAATGCCTGTATGTATGTATTTTTATACTTGGGCCATTTGATAATGTTTGTATTGTATGTTTTCCTGTTGCATTTTATATGAGATCGTATCTATTTTATATGATATCTATATTATAAATGGCTTTGGGAGGCTTAAGTGAAAACTGACCTGCATGTGTATCTAACTTTGTGAAAAGTTGATGTGACCTTTCAATATCCTACTAGTCTATTAGTATATACCACTATGATGGCACTGGAGGAATATTTTTAGAGTATTATATAGTATAACTTTCTCTTATTGAGGTATAGTGTGGTCATAATAACTCTATAGTACTATTAATGTAGTTCATGTACTACATTGTTTATGTAAATTCATCCTGGCAGTCATATGCTTTACAACATCTATGCAGTGAATTTGTCTGAGTCTGCTAGTCGTCACTTAACAAGTCAAGAGACATGAGTTCTGGTCCCATCTTCTCCATAGACCAACTGTCTGTATTATTCGGGGTAGTCATTAACATTTTCTATACCTCAGTCTTATCACTGTAAATAGAACTAGTAATATCTCCCTGGGAATTTAGTACCATGTGATCTTTTCATGGCGACCACAGGAATTTTTGGAAGAAAAATACTCATATTATGATTTGCCTTTGTGGTAGCATTATCACCACTGTAGCATGTAGGAGAGATTGTGCCATGAGTAATTATTCTTTTAAGGTTTTAAAGAAATCTTTCTTTCTGCTCATCTCTTCTCCACTCCCCCCTCCAACCCTCTGTAGAAGCCGAGGGCACCCGCATTCGGTATGTAACCACCCTGATCTCAAGGCCCATTTCCACCCAAAGGGAAGGAACCACCTGAAAAAGGCCAAGGATGACAGAGCCAGCATGCAGCCTGCCAAGGCCATTCACGAACAGGCTGAGTCCTCAAGAGACCTCTGCAGACCTCCAAAGAAAGGGGAGCTCCTGGGGTTTGGCCGCAAAGGCAACATCAGGCCCAAAATGGCTAAAAAAAAGCCAACAGCCATTGTGAACATCATCTAAAAGGGTGGGTGGTGCTGGACCAATCATCGCTGGGCTTTGGGGAACGTTGTTCCAGGAGCCAACAGTAATGTCTTTCTGGAAACATTCCATAGTAAGACACATTGGAAAAGCCAAGGGCATAACACAGGCAAGCACCTCAATTAACCAGAGCTTAGCAAATGGGAATCTTAGTGAACCAGAATTTTATTATAACCCCCTTTTAGAAGCTTGCAAATTACAGAAAGAATAAAAAAATTAAATCAATCTTAAAGCTCTAACTTCTAAAGTAACTGGCCCAGTCTCCAGTAATCTTGGCATCTGGGCTTCTATGCAGTGGTCACTAATTTTCAGGACCAAGGCCACACAAAATGTCAGGCCTAGGGAGAAAATTCATCTGTGCCCACTGCTCTCCAAAGTGCGAGGCAAGGAATGGCAGTGTAAAGTTCTGTTAATAGCAGTAAAATGAAAATATTTGTGTTTGTGTATAACCTTCCCCTCAGCTAATTTGAAAGCCTCCAAAATAAGGATTCCCATTCCCCGAGTATTCTGGTTAATCAAGATTTCAATTTCTGGGTTGCTCAAGGGACTCGTTCAGTCAGACTTCAGTTCTCATTCCGACAGGGTGTCTTTCAGTTCGTTTGTTTGATTGAGGTTTTTTGGTGGCCTAGATGCATGTTTATTCAGATTTTGGTACACCTCTGCCGTCTTCTTTGGCTGAGTATTCTGCACCCACAGACCATGCTGCCAGCCTCTATCTTAATAGCTGCTTCTGTGGATATGGCTGGGGAGCGAAGTAAAATCCTCTTTTGATTAGCACCCAGCATGGGCTGGGTGGCTAGGTGGTTGGAATGACAGTGGACTGCACGCTTGGTGCATCGTGCATCGTGACCATCCTGGAAGCACTGCGGGTGTCGCCAAGCCCTTTCCTAAGACCTGCTTCCCGGCCAGTGTCAGTGGCCCTCTCTCTCTCTGCTATGGGCATGACTTTCTCTTCGCTGGCTTAACTTTTCCACTGGGTGGTTCACTTTGCCTCCTGCTGCTTCTGTGCCCTGTTAAGGGCTTCAGGTATCTTTCAACCAAGTATCTGGAGTGTTCACTCTATGTTGCATTCTAAAGTAATTTCTGAAATAAACAATGCATGTAGGAGCCAGAATCTGACACTGTCTTCCCCTCCTTCCCTCCCTAAAATGGCTTTAGTTTCCACAAAGAGCTGTTAAGAATTTCCTGCTGTATGATTTTCCTCAAGAATGAATTTCCATGTTATTTTTTCCTTAAATTTAGCAATATCATCAGGTCTCTTGCAGAGTTTACAAGTGCTGACATTCTTCTGAAAACAGGAATAATTTTGTCCACAAATATATACATATATACATATATATAACACATACAAAATATATATGTTAAGTATATTAATAATTTATTTTTAAATACTCATGGAGAAAGTGTGTGTTTGTGGTGGGTGGTTTTTAAACTATATATGTTTGTTCATGTAAACTGAATTCTCTTATTTAAAAAATCAAAACTGTAACGTAATTAACATTGGCAGAATTATGATTGTTACTGCAATAAGCATCAAATTAGCAGCGCATTAAAAATAGGAAATAAAGCAGTTGCTTAAAATGCCAGTCAATTGAAAAGTGTAACTTATCATTATACAAACATTCTGAACCTACCATAATGAAAATGTTCTTGAATCTTCACTTTGACTTTCAGTTTATGGGGGGGGTAGATCATTCATGTGATATATAAGCAGCTATCAAGTGGGCAAAAACATTGCTGTGAATAGCACTGTTTAGGCTAACATTGTAAAAATTGTAATGTTATAATTATTATTTATTTGGAGAATTAACTTCCCCCTCTAAAGTTATTTATTATTGATGCTTATACCATGATTGCACCTTAGCCTTTTACATACTAAAAACATGACTTGTTAGTTGTATTGCATGCTCTTTGTCCTGTAATGTGTGTGCAATGACAACTTGTTTCTGTTTTATTTAAAGTAACTGACATTTTGGATTTTCATCTAACATAGAGGGCATGGCAACTCTCTTTGACAGTGGTACCCCATGATCTTCAGAAAGTACCATAATGTCATCCTACTCTACATTTCACAAGACGAATTATTTTGAGATTTGTTTATTATATTAAAATGTTTTTTTACGTTCCCACTAAATTTTGACCCCATATAAAGAAATGTGTTATGTATGTTGTGCCTCCTTAGAGACATAAATTTAGTGTCAAAACATGGGAGATGGCTTACTCAGAAGCATACTCCACTTAACATACCATGGCCTGAGCTAAGTACCATGTCCTGTTTGTGTCTTATTTTTAAATATTTTCTTTGTCCACATGGGCCGTTGACCTTAGAGTTAAGGCGGTTGCTTTTTTGAAGAAATCACCAAAGTTTCTGGGAAACTATGTTCAAGGTTGAAATGGAGAGTAGATTTAATTTTATTTGTCTTGTAGGGAAGAAATCTTCCTTTGAACCGCTTTTCTTGCTTTTTCCCTTTTTCCCAAACTAGGTTACAGGTTCTTATCTGCAAGGTTCAAGTTGCTTAGACATTGTTTTCCAGTATTCTGCAGGGCCAGTCAGTTGTACAGAAGTTGGAATATTCTGTTCCAGAATTAAAGAAGTTTTTAGATTATGAAATATTATGATAATAAAGCTATATTTCTGACTAATGTGTTGATATGTTTTGTCTAGTTGGAGTGTTTTTTGGGGAGCCAAGTATGTTGATCCACTAACAGGAAACAAAATGGTCCTTCCTGAATAAGCTGTTCATCATACATATAATCACCAGGATCTTGTGTACCTATAGGTTTTCTTAACTTAGCTAGATCATTTTTGTTCATCATAATTCCTATATCTAAAAGTTATTTTTACATATGTTCACACTGAGACAGCTTCATTAAAAGCCCCATTTGGCACTTTTCCCCATCTTCCTCCACAACCATGAGTAATTTTCCTACACTGTATTTTTAAACTTGTCATCTCTTAGCAATTCATAAACAGATTTCACAGTATATATCCCAGCCTGTATATGCTATACATCCAAGACATTGCAAAGCCCAGAGAGTGATCAGAATAGATAACAGAGAGAAGTATGTGTCTGGTGGAATTAGCCATTGTTCTTTTAAGAACCATGAAATCAGGAAAATTTAGGGAACTCCATTTGTTTAGGAGCTGTGAGAGTTATTCAGGAGGTGACCTTAGTCTGCACTTACAGTTGACCCTTGAACAGTGCAAGGGTTAGGGACATCGACTCCTGCGTAATTCAAAATACATGAGTAACTTTTGACTGCTCAAAAACTTAACTACTGATAGCCTACTGTTGACCAGAAGCCCTACTGATAACATAGTTAACACATATTTTGTATGTTAAATGTATTATCTACCGTATTCTTACAATCAAACTAGAGAAAAGGACATGTTAGTAAGAAAATCATAAGGAAGAGAAGATACAGTTATATTCATTAAGTGGAAGTGGATCATCATAGAGGACTTCATCGTCATTGTCTTCACGTTGGGTGGGCTGAGGAGGAAGAGGAGGAGGAAGGGTTTGTCTTGCTACCTTTGGTGGCAGAAAAAATCAGGATGGAACTGGACCCGCCGGGTGCGGTGGCTCACGCCTGTAATCCCAGCACTTTGGGAGGCCGAGGCGGGCGGATCACGAGGTCAGGAGATCGAGACCATCCTGGCTAACATGGTGAAACCCCGTCTCTACTAAAAATACAAAAAATTAGCCGGGCGCAGTGGCGGGCGCCTGTAGTCCCAGCTACTCAGGAGGCTGAGGCAGGAGAATGGCGTGAACCCGGGAAGCGGAGCTTGCAGTGAGCTGAGATCGCGCCACTGCACTCCAGCCTGGGTGACAGAGTGAGACTCCATCTCAAAAAAAACAAAAACAACAGCAACAACAAAAAAAGAACTGGACCCACTCAGTTCAAACCTGTATCATTCAAGAGTCAACTGTAGTTATGTCAAGGTTAATGGGTTCCCCAGGTTATAGTGTTTTTGAGAAATAGCTGTGACATTCCTGATTATCTCAGTTTATTAGAAAACATAAATCCCAATATCTTGATTCTGCTCAATCTGGATCCTTCAGAAGTGAATTCCAGGGGTGGCATGCCTGCATGATCCCAAAAAGAAGCCCCGGAGCAATTTCAAATGTTTAAATGATGAAGAGCTTTAGAAATTGAATTCCTTTTTGTGGAATTAAGTAAATTTTTTCTTTTGTGTTCCTTTTTTTTGTTCATGTTCTGGGTCAGAACACAACTGAAATTTTCATTTAAGAAAAGAGTATTCGAACTATAGCCCTATGTTAAATTTACTCTGGATCTTCAGCTATTATTCCAGGATGGAAGAGTTTTTCCAGTAGAGGAACCTCACATATAGGCAGGCTAGATTCTCCTTCCCACCCTGTAATGGGGACACTGATACATTTTGCATATGTGGAGGTAGATGCCTAGGATGGTAAATGAGAACTTTGGTACCAATGTCCTGTGAGAAGAGGAGAGATTATTGCTGCCCTTAAGTATCTGAGGTGTTATCACATAGAAAAATACATATTTTGTGTGGCTGCAAAAGATATTACTGAGATCTGTGAGAGAAAGTTCTGAGGAAGCAGATGTCAAATTACTAAATGTAAAATTTCTAAGCACAACGGAATAGGTCACCTAGTTAAAAAGCGAGCTCCCTGTCTCTGAGCTACTATTTCCTTTGAGTACTACTTTTCTCTTAGCTACTCCTTTTCTCAGCCATTGTTCTTTTTAGAACCATGAAATCAGGAAAATTTAGGGGACTCCATTTGCTTAGGGGCTGTGAGAGTTATTTGAGAGGTGACCTTAGTCTGCCCTTATAGTTGACCCTTGAACATTGCAAGGGTTAGGGACACCGACTCCTGCGTAATTCAAAATCCATGAGTAACTTTTGATTGGGATTCTACATTGGGTTGGGAATTGGGCTGGGTTCTTCCAAAAATACTTGTAGTCTTGGGATTCTATTGTTTTATATATGTATTGATGTTACATTAATGTAAATGTTGGCCACATAAAACTTAGTGTCAACATGGTAACTTGATTTTGGAGATTTTATTTCACTGACTTGGGCTTTGCAAAGTTTGTAAATTTTGTAAAGTTACAAAGATAACACGCACCCATATTTATCCTTACAGAATCCTTTTGAAGCAAGTAGGGCTGAGGAGGTACAATTTTCTACTCTCAGCAGGTGGAGAAACAGCAGTTGGGGAAACAGGAGATGTACATCTTGTACTATTACCTCAGGATGATGTGCTTCTTGGAACGGAAGCATCTCACCTCCCTGAATGTGATTTCAGTGTTTAAAGAGAAGGTACATTTTTTGTTACAACATGGCTCCTGAATGCAAGCCAGGAACCTCATCTGGTGTTCAGTTAAATCAACAGCAGTTCTTTCCAGCACTGGAAGATAAATTGGCAATGTTGGACTTAGAGATGGTGTGTGTCATGTCAGGCTCCAGCATCGTGCCTTCTTCAGGCATTTTCCAGGTAGTTTTGATTATTCTTCAGCTTTTGCCTTTCTTATGAATATACTTAAGAAGGTGACATCATCACATTTTGCAATGAGAGGGGGGCTTATGATGGCTTGAAAGGGTTTCCAGGGCCCAGGAACGCCTCTGTGACAGAGCTTGAGTGAGAAAAAGGAATTGTCCTTCTACATCTCAGCCAATGCTCCTTCACCGTGTTCTGCCTCCTCATTGACAAAACTCCAAAAAATGATCCTATATGCATTTGTTGATTACATAAAAGTTCTCAGTGTCCTAAAATTCTGTTTAACATTTATGATTGGTTATTGCACCTATGCAAGCCACTATGGGAGTTATAGACGTTGCCACTCTGTAAGCTCAAGACCTCTGCCACCCTTTAGAGATGAGGACCCCAACTTGCCAAGGAATTTCGAAGTCTCAGATTGAAGTCTGTTAGATTTTAGTGCATATGTTTGTGGACATTTCACATTGGTTGTTTGCTGACTAACAAGTGGCATTGTTCACTTTGGTTGAGTATATCATACAGAAACAGAAAGATGGTTTTATATCTCAACCTCTCCTCTTTCCAAGCCCTAATTATTTGTTCAAGGGTGAACCCCACTTCCCCATTCTCAGGAATGTACTTTATTTTTATCTTTAAGTGTGCCTGTAGCTTGAAATTATAGCTAACACTTCTCATATAGTCCTAAACACAGAGATCTGGTAGAGGGAACCAAGATTCTTAAAGGGTAAGGGATACCCGAGGAGCTTAGAGTGGGTAAGGGCAAGAGGAGTGGACACACAGTTAGTTATTGGGACGAAGATCAAAGCATTGAATTTGCCCCGCATGCCCTGGCTCTGGCCTGTCTCTCCACTCCAGCCAGCACCAGACCTCTTGCTCCTTTCCAGCCACTGCCTTCCTTTCAGAGAGAGCAGAGCTCTCTCCATGCACTGCTTCCCTGACATGTGTCTTCTGCCTGGAATGGACTTCTCTTTCTTTTTCATCTAGTTAATTTCTGTTCAGCCTTCAGATTTGAGATCAATTGTCACTTCCAAGGCAGCTTCATAACTCTCAGAATACCATGTACCTATTCCTTGTAGGACTGATTCTAGGTGCCCCTTTATAATATTTAATGGTGTGATGACTTGACTCATATCTGCCTTCCCCACTGTTCTGTCATTTCCATAAAAAGGGGCCAAGTCTGTACCTTTTATCCCTAGTATGTCCCCAGTGCCAGATGCAGTACCCAGCATAGGGTGGGTCCTCAATAAGGTATTTGTGGAGTATGGGAACATCAGTGGCCTCAGATATGCTAAAAAAGAAAACTACAATGAGAAAATGGACTTTCTTCCAGCTGGGGAGGATCAAAGAGGAAGTAGTGTTTGCAGAATGAACAGGATTGGAGTTAGCAAAACAGCAGAGCATTTTAGGCAGTCTGAGTGTGGTCATGGAGGTAGAAAGCATAGGACAAGTGAACCCTGGGAAGTAACATAATTTTTCCTTGAATATCCATTTCTTGGCCAGTCTGTCTCCCATTTTAAGCGTAAGCCCCTCAGGTCTGCAGCTATCCTGTAGTGTTGTATCCCATTGTGAGAGAACTGTATCTACCCTGATGCTCCAGCACCTAGCACTGGGCCTGCCGCTGTGTAGAGATTCAGGAGATCCAGTGAGACAGCATCATTCCTGGAACCTGGGCAGGGGCTCACCTTGCCAGAGGGTCAAGTATCTCCAGCTCCAGGAAGAGAAAAACTACAACAGTATGGAACCAGGCAGAGCACTGGAGCACTCTGCTTCTGCTTCTAAGGGTCCTTCCAGCAAGGGCTGGAGCCCACAAACTGGCTGTCACTCCTCTTATTGAAGCCATTCCTACAAACTTTATAAAATTAATCAGAGAAGCATGGAGGGGAGAAACAAAAATAAACCAAGCTGGCAGCACTGTCAGTGTTTGTTATGAGGTCAGCTTGCCCTCTGACCTGCTTCCCCATAGTGGTTTGTGGCCTATTGCCCCAGAATCATGCAGACCCTGCTGTAAGACTATAGCTCCCCTGAACTGCTGTATAGATAAAAACTCAAACACTACAAAACATTAAGCTTTTCCTTTGAGATATTCCTTCAGGTCCTGTGTACCAGTGAAACTACTGACACCTGCTTGCCTGAAGGACCCCACAAGAAGCTGACTCACTAAAGAATGCGGTTCCCACATTCCCTTTACCCTTCTTAGGAAAACTTTTGACTTTTGACCCTCACTGTCCCTGATCCCCTTAAAAACACCAGCCCAGGAAAAATCAGGGAGATGGATTTGAGGGTCTCCTCTCCTCTCCTCTCCTCTCCTCTCCTCACTCGGTGCCCTGTGATTGTTAAAGTCTTTCTCTGCTGCAAACCCTGCTGTCTCAGTGTATTGAACTATTACTGTGTAGAAGGCATATGAACCTGTTGGTCCTAAAGCCTTATCAGTAGGTATTTTAATACTCTCCTTCTTTTAGCCTGCATCTATGGTAAGATAGAAAATACATGGTATTTCCTTCTGAATCCATGGTAGACATTGCTAATTGGCCAGGGTTATCTTTCCTGATGAACACAGACATAGCCTCAGAATCCTTCTTAACACAGCCTTAACCAGCTGTGGTAGGCAGAATGTCTACCTACCCAAACTTTTAACTTTGGAAGAATCCTTTAGATAATAACTATGTGTTGTTTAAGCCACTAAACTAGTGATAATTTGTTACAGCAGCCATAGAAAATGAGTATACCAGCTAGTCAGCATACAAATCACAATCTATTTGCCCTTCCTCAACAATGGTGCAGTTGAAAGGGCACTGATCTTGGCATCCTGCTTTACAACTTACATCTGCTTTGACTGTGGGTCCAGTTTCCTCATCTGGAAAATAGATAGAATGATGTCTTGCCTTGGCCATGTGGAAAGCACATGGGAACAACCATGAAGTCTTCTCTCTCCCCTAATAACTTTCTAATCAAGAACTTGAAAATAGAAAAACAAGATTCTTCCCTGTGTACTAAAACAAAGGGCAACGTTTAATGAACTCAAAGCAGAAAATCATTAAGTTACATTAAACAGTCTGAATGGTGGTAAAGAACTGACTATAACCTGTTTGAAGATATTAACCTATCTAATAGAAACAGATAGGTATTAACATATCTAAAGAAAGACATCAGGCTCTGCCACTTACTAGTTTTATTATCTTGAGCAACTTATTTAATCGATTAGAGCCTCATTGTCTCTCTTTGTATTCAGGATCATGGTGCAGATTCAATAAGATATCCATATAAGGTTTTTAGCATAATACCTGGCACAGAGTCAGTACTTAATATATTTGTTTATTTGAGACTATTGGCTAAACACGGAGACTTAGAAAAGAGAGTGTCAGAAAACAAATACTAACAGCATCTGTTGGGGGATATATGGGCCAGTAAATAAGATTCCCCTCCCAAGTTATGAATTAACCAATACTTATTAACACACAAGCCCAATGCCTAGAGACCAAAATATCAGAGCTACTGGCAAGACTAGATCGTAGAACAGCCTTTGGACTCATATCTTGATGCGTTGGTTTTGTACCTTCATGCAATTGCTTTGCTTTGCTTCTTAGCGTCCTATGTTTTTATTCCCCAGCAGGGTCAAGATAGCGTCTCTGATCTTCTTTTCTTGGTCTTACTTTCTCTACTCCAGCTGTAGTTGACATCTGCTCTTCTTTTTGGCTGTTCGGAATTCAAACCCCCTTCTTGTGACTGCAGGGAGATTCCTTCCCTAATGGGGTAGGGCCATCTCCTACTTAGAAGCTGAAAATGCCACATGCTCATTTTCCTAGCTTTTCCTGAAACTGTGACTTAGAATCTGCCTATCAGATATGTCCACCCCAAGCTTCGGTCCAAAGGAATTAACTTAAAGAGGTAGGATGTGTATAAAATCCTGTCTGGTGATGGAAGAGAGTGGAGGCAGCAGCTCCATCCAGTTGCCTGAGGTATTGGCAATGACAGTTCTGACAGCAGAATCCTAGTGTTTTCAGTAGACCAATTCAGTGGTATAATTTTGGCATTGTTCCTGGCTGGCTAGCACCTCCAGATCTGGTTCTCTGTCCTCCCCAGAGATAATGTGATGTAAGAATGCCATTTTAATAAACTCTTTTCTAACGAATCGCTAGAATCCGTCTCTGTTGCCTGCAACTAAGAACCCTGATGAATAGACCACAGCTGCTTCAAGTACTTGGGGAAGTGAGGAACCATTTCCCTTTAAGGGTCTGTAGTGCATTCCAGTTGGGCTGTAATGAAGTGGTCATTGACTCTGTGGCACAAAAGGGTTTTTTTGTATTCTTAGCCCATTTCCTTCTTGTGCTTCAGGGTCAGGTACAGAGTACTACATATGCCTAATAGGAGGGAGCTGTTCCTCAAACAGAATAATCAGTTTGGCTCAATAGCTTAAACAAGCCCTGATTTAAGGCCTCACCAGATGGATCTTGTCAGAATCACTAGAGTTAACTAGATATTCATCCATCCAACCAACCAACCAACCATTCACCAATATTTATTTGGGGTCCTGTATAAGCCAGTCATGCAACAGTGGGTACAGGAGATATAGCCTGCCAGATATATATGGGGGTAGCTGGTGAAGTTTTCTGAACCATCAGGGCCAATCCCATCTGAGCTATCAGGGCCAATTTCCTCTCTGTGATGGTGTCCACATTACCTTGACTGGCCCTAGTGCATTTATAGCCTTTTAGGATCACAGGATCTCAACAGAATCCCTGACTTAGTCATTCTCTGTCCCATGGCACTATGTATTTTTTCAACAGCACTGACTTCTATCTGAAATTATCTTATTTATTGGTTTACTTGTTTATTGTCTTTCCCTTCCTTTTGCCTCACGGGACTGCCTTGTTGGTTTTGTTCACTGACTGCTACTAAAATCCTGATTAACTAAGCCTTGTTCAAAGAACCAATAAATTGGTTCTGGAGAGAAAATTCTCTTGAGTTCTGATTTGGAGCAGGGCTAAGGGATAGCTACTGTTGACCAGGAGATTACAATGAAAAGACTTTGAGGAATTCCTGCAGTATGTAGAATGTATAGAGGAATCTCTCTCTCTCTCTTTTTTTGTCCTTCAGCTTTTAAGTTCTAGGGTACATGTGCAGGATTTGTTACACAGGTAAACATGTGCCATGGTGGTTTGCTGCACAGATCAACCCATCACCTTGGTATTATGCCCAGCATCCATTAGCTATTCTTCCTGATGCTCTCCCTCCCTCCCCATAGGCACCTGTGTGTGTAGTTCCCCACCCTATGTCTATGTGTTCATATTGTTCAGCTCCAACTTATAAGTGAGAACATGTGGTGTTTGGTTTTCTGTTCCTGCATTAGTTTGATGAGGATAATGGCTTCCAGCTCCATCCATGTCCCTGTAAAGGACATTATCTCATTCCTTTTTATGGCTGTATAGTATTCCATGGTATATATGTACCACATTTTCTTTATCCAGTCTATCACTGATGGGCATTTGGGTTAATTCCATGTCTTTGGTATTTTCATGTCAAATGGTATTTCTGCTTCTAGATCTTTGAGAAATGATCACACTGTCTTCCACAATGGTTGAAATAATTTACACTCCCACCAACGGTGTAAAAGTGTTCCATTTTCTCTACAACCTTGCCAGCATCTGTTGTTTCTGGACATTTTAATAATTGCCATTCTGACTAGCTTGAGACAGTGTATCATTGTGGTTTTGATTTGCATTTCTCTAATGATCAGTGATGTTAAACTTTGTTTCATATGTTTGTCAGCTGCATAAATGTCTTCTTTTGAGAAGTGTCTGTTCATGCCCTTTGCCCACTTTTTAGTGGGATTGTTTGTTTTTTATTATTGTAAATTTGTTTAAGTTCCTTGTGGACTCTGGATGTTAGACCTTTGTCAGAGGGATAGATTGCAAAAATTTTCTCCCGTTTTGTAAGTTGTCTGTTCACTCTGATGATAGTTTATTTTGCTGTGCAGAAGCTCTTTAGTTATCAGATTCCACATGTCAATTTTTGCTTTTGTTGCAATTGCTTTTGGTGTTTTCATCATGAAATCTGTGCCTGTGTCTATGTCCTAAATGGTATTGCCTAGATTTTCTCCTAGGGTTTTTATAGTTTTGGGTTTTACATTTAAGTTTTTAATCTGTCTTGAGTTAATTTTTGTATAAGGTGCAAGGAATTAATCCAGTTCCAGTTTTCTGCATGTGGCTAGCCAGTTCTTCTGGCACTATTTATTAAATAGGGAATCCTTTCCTCATTGCTTGTTTTTGTCAGGTTTGTTGAAGATTCAATGGTTGCAGCTGAGTAGTCTTATTTCTGAGTTCTCTATTCTGTTCCATTGGTCTATGTGTCTGTTTTTGTACCAGTACCATGCTGTTTTCATTACTGTAGCCATGTAGTACAGTTTGAAGTTGGGTAGCATGGTGACTCCAGCTTTGTTCTTTTTGCTTAGGATTGTCTTGGCTATTTGGGCTCTTTTTAGGTTTCATATGAATTTTAAAACTAATGAGAACAAAGAGACAATGTACCAGAATCTCTGGGATGCAGCTAAAGTAGTGTTAAGAGGTAAATTTATAGCACTAAATGCCCACATCAAAAAGCTAGAAAGATCTCAGATTAACAACCTAACACCATAATTAAAAGAACTAGAGAACCTAAACCAAACAAACCCCAAAACTAGCAGAAGACAAGAAAAAGAGAAAACTTCAAGCCAGTATCCCTGATGAACATTAATGCAAAAATCCTCAATAAAATACTGGCAAACCGAATCCAGCAACACATCAAAAAGCTTATCCATCACTATCAAATTGGCTTCTTCCCTGGGATGCAAGGTTGGTTCAATATATGCAAATCAATAAATGTAATTCATTACATAGGCAGAACTAAAGACAAATAACACAAGATTATCTCAATAGATGCAGAAAAGGCCTTCAATAAAATTCAACATTGCTTCATGTTAAAAACTCTAAATAAACTAGATATTGAAGGAACATACCTCAAAATAACAAGAACCATATATAACAAACCCACAGCCAATATCATACTGAATGGGCAAAAGCTGGAAGAATTCCCCTTGAAAACCAGCACAAGGCAAGTCTGTTGTTTCTTACCATTGCTATTCAACATGGTATTGGAAGTTCTGGCCAGGGCAATCAGGCAAGAGAAAGAAATAAAGGGTATTCAAATAGGGAGAGAGGAAGTCAAATTATCTATGTTTGCAGATGACATGATCTAGAAAATCCCATCATCTCAGCCCAAAATCTTCTCAAGCTAAAAAGCAACTTCAGCAAAGTCTCAGGATACAAAATCAATGTGCAAAAATTGTTAACATTCCAATACACCAACAACAGGCAAGCAGAGAGCCAAATCATGAATAACTCCCATTCACAATTGCTACAACAAGAATAGGAATACAGCTAACAAGAGAAGTGAAGGACCTCTTCAAGGAGAACTACAAACCACTGCTAAAGGAAATCAGAGAGGACACAAACAAATGGAAAAACATTCCATGCTCATGGATAGGAAGAATCAATATCATGAAAATGGTCATACTACCAAAAGTAATTTATAGATTCAATGCTATTCCCACAAAACTGCCATTGAGCCCCATCTGATCTGAATGCTCTTCCTTAAATGAAGGCAGTTCATAGCTGATGCTGGTCTTCCCAGGGATAGCATGGACTTTGACAGAGCAAGTTGGAAAGAGAGAAGGTTGGCTAATAGGCAACTCTCCCTCCTCAAGTGGTAACAAAAACTCCTCTGAGATTACTGTATAGCAATGGTTCTAAAACCCTGATGGGTATCACAGTTACCTCTGGAATTTAGTAAAAGTAAAAATACAAAGGCATCTGATGTTTTCTATTAGCTCTCCAACTAATTCTGATATACACCAAAGTCGTAAACTACTGCTCTATGATGTGGTTGTATTTCCCAAAGTGTGTTCCATGTATCACTAGTTCCTCCGACTCATACTAGTTAAATAAAGGAATTGTCAGGCTAAACATATTTCCCTACTGCAGACGGTTCAGCATTACGACAATGAAAATGTGCATTGTGAATCTTTTAGAGGAGAAAAAAAGTATGCAAATGCTCCCTAAACTTATTTGACCATGGAACTGTTTCTTCTAAGGGAACATGCATTAACGTCTTCTGCAAACACAGCAGTTACTGTTCAGAATAATATTATAGTAAACGCTTCAAAAATACAATCACTGAGCACCCCTCTGTCTTCTTAGGAAAACTTTTGACCCTCTGTCTTAAGGCAATTCACAACTGTCTGCCAGAGTGGTCAAATTTTAGATGATTTAGGGTGTACCTAACACCTCACTTTTAAAAATGTTCTGTAGTCCAGCAGTATCCAGCATCACTTGGAAGTTTGTTAGAAATGAGGAATACCAGGTCCCACCCTAGATCTATTGAATTGGAATCTGCATCTTAATAGGATTTTTGGATGGTTCCTTTGCATTCACCACGAGAAGCAGAGGTTTTTAACCAGAAATAAGAGGAGGAGCCATCCAATATACAAATATTGGCCCTCTCTTCACCATCCTCTATCAAAACTTCTGAATCATTCTTGTAAACAACGTGAAACAGAAATATGCCTGTAGATGACACTGATATACTCACTAGATCTTCCTTTCTTTGGTTCAGTTTTTCAAAGGCTGGGCTCCTGACTGAAAGAGTCACAGGTAGCAGTCCTCATAGATTCAGGATTACCAGCAAGAAGCAAACACTTCCTAAAACTTACAGTGTTTCTCAGCCAATAAATTATATATATTAGTTTATTGGATATAATAGAGAAGAAATGCTTTGTGACTCTAATTAGTGCAAAAATTGCTTAGGATTTTAATCATTGTTTTTAGGCTTCTTAGCACAAGTGAACTGTAAATGAAGCTCAAAATTATCCTATCTAGCTCTTTTTTTTTTCTTAGACAGAATCTCTTTCTGTCACCCAGGCTGGAATGCAATGGTGCAATCAGAGCTCACTGCAGCCTCAACCTCCTGGGCTCAGAGGATCCTCCCACCTCAGCCTCCCATGTAGCTAGGACCACAGTCATACCACCATATCTGACTAATTCTTTTTTTTTTTTAATTTTGTTTTAATTTTTATAGAGACACTATGTTGCCCAGACTGGTCTCAAACTCTTAGGCTTTAGCAATCTTCCCACTTTGGCCTCCCAAAGTGCTGGCAAGTGTGAGCCACTGTGTCTGGCCATCTATCTGGAGCTTTATTCTTACAAGTTTTCAGCTCCATTTCTGAAATACTCTGCCAATTGTACTACCTGGTGGATCATCCAGGTAATGCATCTTCTTTTTTTCTGTTCATATGGCATCTCCCTAGTTTCTAACCTTCTGCTACACACCCAAATTCTCCTCCTTGTCTTGCCTTTGGCTTTCAGCCGTTTTATTATGATGTGTTTAAGTGTGATTTTATTTGTATTCATAGTGCTTGTGGTTGCTTCTTGAATCTGTGGCTATTATCGTTTCAAATATTTCTTCTGTCTCATTCTTTCCTATCCTTTTGGGATACAGGCTATATGTATGCTATGCCTTTTCACTGTGTTCCACGTTTCTGGTGCTTTTTCTATATTTTCCATTCCTATTCTTTCTGTGCTTCAGTTTGAATATTTTCTATTGACCATTCTTCTGGTTTATTAATCCTGTCTTCTGTGTCTAATCACTGTCAAACTCATAATTTCAGATGTTACATTTTTAAAATCTAAAATTTTCGTCTGATTTGTTTTTAGAGATTACGGTTCTCTGAGAAATTCCTCATTTTAAAAAGTATTTTCCTTATTTTTTTGAACATATTAATTACAGTAAAAGTCTTTGCTAATTCCAATATCTAGGTTACCCGTGGCTCTATTTCTATTGCATGTTTTTTTTCCCTCTTGGTTTTCAGTAACATAGTCCTCACTCTCAGCATGTGGAAAATTTTTTTTTTAACCAAATGCTGATCACTGCATGTAAGAATTATATAGGCTCCAGATGACTTTTTCTTTCTCCCCAGTGTGTTCGCCCTTTCCACTACTGGGCAAACAAAATTAAGACTGATTATTTAAAGTGATTAGGGTTTGAACTGAGTTGAGGCTGATGTTTAGTTTTGGTAAGACTCAGTCTACCTCTTATTTGGTCCTGTTATTACGATATTGTTTCTTAGGGTTTTCAGCTGAATGCTTGGTGTGTTCATTGGGCTCTCTCTCTCTCTCTAGAAGAATCTAATCTTGATCTCATTAGCATTATGAAACAGTAAAAACTCTTCTGATTTTCAGGTTTTGGGCTTAGCTTGCAAGTTCTAAAATTTACTCTTATTTCTCTAGTACCATAAGTACATGAAAAGCATGCTACTTTGTGTTTCATATGTTTTCTGTTTAACTTTTCAATCTCCTGCCCTCACATCTTCTGAAATTGGCAGAGGTCTTGAAGGGTTGTGTGTTTGAGGCTCCTCATCTTCAATTCTCTACAGACCCTCAAGACCACATACTTTGCTGGTATTTAGTTTTAACAGCAGTCTGGGAAAGTCTTAAATTGCCAATTTGTTAAAATTTGCAAATGCCCCTAGGAAAAAGTGACTGCCTCTTACCAACTCACCTTTCTGAGGTTCTCTCCTGTTTAGAAAATTAGCCATTCTTGTCCTCTTTGGTTCAACAGCTATCTGATGTTTTTGAGAGTTAATCTATATTTTATTCCGTGTTTATAGTTTTCTTGAAGGAGGCATTGGTCAGCCACAAATTATTCCCCTTCTACTCAGAACTGGATGTTCCTATCTTGCTTCTTGGATTGACACTTCAGTCACATAATTTCCCTGGTTTTTCATTTTGATTTCACCTTTGCATTCTATTTCTTAGATTGCCCTCACCTCTGAGCTGTGCAAATCTCTTGATTCCTCCCTCAGCACAGGTCCTTACACAGGTCAAGTGTCTTAACTTCTACCTGGTCAGATAAAATATTACCAGAAAAAAAAAAACGATGAAACTAAAACTCAGCATAAGCTGAACACAAAGAAAGCCAAATGCAAGAAATAACTTGGTAAAAGAGTGATTTGTACCCAAGTTAATGTTCTCCTAACAAAAGAAAGGGAAGTGCTTTCTCTAGGTATTCATTCTCTGAAGAATGCTTTTCATGTGAAATGTTCCCATGTTTTCCTAATACTGAATCTCAAAACCAAATGTCTGATATCTCAAATGGATAGCCTATTTTTCGAATGTCTTGATGACAGAAAATGAGAAAAAAATGGATGGATTAAAGATGTTTGAAAGGTCATGGATCCTTTGCAGCTCAAAATAGCTTTTTCTATTCATGTTGAATCTTATTGAGGCGGAGAGAGTTGAGCAGACACATAATTGTAGAACATGAAGTTACAGGTTGAGCCTCCCTTTTCAGAAATGCTTGGGACTAGAAGTGTTTTGGATTTTGGTGTTTTTTGTTTGTTTGTTTGTTTTTACATTTTGGAATATTAGCCTTATACTTACTAGTTGGGCATCCCTAATCAGAAAACTTGAAATCCAAAATACTCCAGTGAGCATTTCATTTGAGTGTCATGTTGGCACTCAAGAAGTTTTAGATTTTGGAGTATTTCAGATTTTAGTATTTTGAATTTGGGATGCTTAACCTGTATTACTATAATTTAATGTACTTCTCCAAACTAATTAAAGGGCCCTTGAAGGCATGTTTCTCAGTAATTCACTAACCCAGAGAATTTCAGATTATTTGAGGTCTGATAGAGCTATTTTGTTAGCATAAGACTTACTGGAAATAGTATTAAAATATATATTCCTTTTCAAGAGAAATAACCTCAGAAAGTATACTTACTTTGTTTACCAATGACCACTTGTGTTGTTCCTAAAAATTTCCAACATTTGTCCTCAACGACTTGAATGTACTTGAACTAAACATGTGATTCTTTCTCCTTATTTTGTGTCATTATAACGTTTGCTCCTGCATCAGCCTAATGCTGATTATTACTGTGCATCTTGTCTGAAGTGTTTGGAGTAGACTACTTCAGTACTTTGTGCCCTAGCAGTCATTTTTTAAAATACTGGTAATGATCCCAGTGGATAAAACATTTAATAGTCTTTCATAAACAGAGCCTGCTATAAAAATGAACAAAATGTCCATTCTCATCAATTTGCTAATGCCGTGTTTGGTTCAGCTACAGTTCATTCCTGCAGGCTTTACCTCTAAAGGGTTGGCATAGAAAATGAGAAGAAATGAAAATCAGCTCATCTAAATAAAACCACTGGGACACTTGCTAATATTCCTCAGATCTCTTTCTCCAACTTAAGCTAGATGTGATTCAACATCCACGGCTCAAATTTTGTTGTTTTATTTTTGCCTTAGAAATGAACAGAACTTAGAGATCTTTAATCTCCTGTCTTTTTTTTTTTAATACTTGGGGAAACTAAAACATGTTCAATAGAGTGACATTCCAGGAATCACCTAGAGAGTAGCATGGAATACAGCCTGAGTCTCTTAATTTTCTCAAGTCTCTTAATTTCTTCAAGCTCCTTGACAACAAGTAACAAATTTGCTTTTCTTAAAAAGACTGACTTTTTGTGTGAAAGGGAAAGGGATATATATGAAAAAGGAAATACACATGTATTTACAAAAGGAAGCAATGAAGTGATAAACTAAAACCTAATAAAAATAGTTAATTCTAAAGGGAGTGAGAGAACAGGAAGGAGGGGACAAGAATGGAACTAAGACTTTAAATTACCTTGTTTTATGATTTTCATTTTGGACATAATAAACAATTTAAATGTAGAAAAATTGAAAATATAGAAAAATAATGACAAAAATGCACAAACAACTAAAGGAATAAAAAATAGAATCTAATATATTTACTATCAGGAATAATTTTAAGTGGTCTATCTTATAGTATTGATATTTGAACATCAAAATGAAAGTCTCAACCCTGGTCAATATTTCTTTTTTTGACATAAAAAAGCACATACATTTTGTCAATATTTATATGGTTTGGAGTTCACAAAAAATAGGCTGGTTAGAATTGAATAAGTTAGACGCAGGGGCTTATTTACCCTTCTAATGGATAAAAACAGGTTTGGAGTTTTTAAACAAAGTTTATAGGAGGCCATTGTGTGAAATGACCAAACCAGAATGGAGTTTCTGGAGCTAGGTGCCACATAATCTATCTTTAAAATGACTTCTCTTCAAAAAAAGAAGTGATGTGCAGCAACCAATCAGAAGGGGTGCCTGAGACAGCATAAGGATGTCTCCTCTCTGTTATAGCTTTAGGGAAATTAACTTTGAAATGATTCTAGAAAAAGTCAATTAGATGTTTATAATAAATTTTCGTAATAAAAAAAATCAGGCTTCAAGTGATTAGGCAGTATGAAAATACGTGGGCGAAGTAATGGAAGATGAGGGCTATTTTTATTAAAGTCTGTTTAAGCATATTCATCTTGGTATTGGCTCTGTCTTCAGTAAGAATAGTAGCTCTTCTCTCCCTAGTATAAAAGGGGCATCTTCCTCAAAGGGCAATCCATACCTTCCTTTTAGGCAGATAAAGCCTAGAAGAGTAGAGAGCTCTTCCTGCATCTGCTGAGTCTCAATTGCCTTTAGCTCAAAATAATCCTTATGCCAATGTGGTGTGATGACTTATTCTGAACTCTTTCAGTGCCAGCTCAGACAGGCAATAGAAACAAAGAACCTTAAGCACATAGCCAACAATCTTACTAATATTATACACGTCTGAAGAACATTATAAATATACCCTGGAAATTTATTGCCAATATCAACATTGACTTCAAGTTTGCTTTCCTCAAACAATGTGGTCAATATATCTAATGAAAGAAAATCTAAAAGTAAATGTGTGCATTCCGCTTTGATACAGTCTACTCCTGAAGATAGTGTAACATATGTTACATGGCCAATCTCCAGACCATGTTACTCTTAAAGATGGTACTATGTACTGGCTTTGATTTGGAGGCTATACAGTTGGATTAATCTTACTATGTTTGCAAACTTAGACAAGTTACTTAACTTCTCTGAGCTTCCATTTGCATATGTAAAAACTGCACATAATGATATTTATCAATCTAAAAGGAAGACGGAGGCTGAGGCAAAACATATAATTTAAAGGGTTTATTTGAGCCAAAGGGAGGACAGCTATCTAGAAGACTTAGATCCAAGTAACCTTGAATATAAGCTCCATTTGGCTTTTGTTACAAGCAGGTTTTTAAAGGAAAAAAAAAAAAAAAGGACGGGGTGGGCTTATACAAAGTCGTTTGTCAGGAATTCTCATTGGTTAACAGAGGTAACACTGATTAATGATTGGGTGCACATTGTTTAGCTATTGAGCGTGGATTTTAGTGTCTGATGTGACATTGTTCAGTTAATTTATAGCTATTTGCAGCAACAGCAAACAGTTTTGAAAGATGAATACATGGCTCAAAGCGGGGAGTAGGGTTTTTCTTGTGTTATTTATTGTTGTTTTTGCATGAACAAAAGGTCAGAATGTTAAGGTAGTCAAGTTCATCAATAGTTTTTTCCTTTATGCTTAGTGCTTTTTTGTTTTATTCCCTACCCAAGGTCATGGAAATATCCTCATATATTAATTAATGTTTTATCATTGAGTATGATCATTATTGTAAGTTTTTGGTATGTACACTTTTTAGGTTATTATAATTCCTATCAATTCCTGGTTTGCTAAGATATATCACAAAAAAATATATAAATTTAGAGAGATGTTTTCTCCTTTATTGAATGAGATTTTGTTTTATATTTCTCCTTTAAAATCTTAATGTATTAGGTTATGTTAATTTATTTTATAACATTAAATAAACCTGAGTTCTTGGAATAAATCATACTTAGTCATTACATATTACTTTTATATACATTATTGCATTTAGGTTGAAATTAATTGGCCTACAATTTTCCTTTTTTGTATTGACATTGTCTTATTTGGATATCAAAGTTAGACTAGAATTTACTATTTCTGAAGCAGTTTGTGCAAATTTGAAATTAACTCGTAATAAATATTTGTTAGAACATGCTTGTAAAAACATTTGGGACTTTGTTTTCTTTGAACCAGTGATTCAATTTTTTTGTTATTGTTCAGTTTGATGGAGCTTCCACCATCTTTGTAACACTGAGACTTAAGCTTAAATTTAAGTTTGTATTCTTGTAGGTAACTATGTCACAGAAAAAGACAAGAGAATTGCATGTAGGATTTTCTCTGTCTTAACTCAGAAATGATTCACATATTTTTTCACATTGTAATTGGCCCATATAACTGCAAAGAAGCTAAGAAATAAAGGAAAGTAAATAGAATACTTAGCAAGCTTTACTGTCTCTGGCAGCCTCTAAGTTCTTGGCCTGGACTACAGAAATAATACTTTGATTGATTGCAAGTTGGCAGTGAACTTGAAAATAAAGGGATGACCTGCCTTGATTTTCTGTCGTCTGGACATTCCACTGGTTTTGTATGCACCTAATGTCTTCTAGAATGGTTTCTGTTTTTCTTGTTTTCAGGCTTTTTTTTTTTATTGAGTCAGGCTCTGTCACTCTGTCACCTGGGCTGGAGTGCAGTGGCGCCATGCCAGCTCACTGCAACCTCCACCTCCCTGGCTCAAGTGATCCTCCCACCTCAGCCTCCTGAGTAGCTGAGACCAGAGGCACCTGTCACCACACCCGGCTAGTTTTTTATATTTTTGTAGAGATGGTTTTTTTTTTTTTTTAACTGAACACTGACTGATAAACCATTTTGTACCAGAAGAAGTCTGGAAAACAGACTTCAAAAGATAGAAATGTGGCCTACTTGGGTTTAGAGACATTGGCAACCGATAGTGGTAGCTCATTGCTTATACTGGAAAAATATGTATTTGTCTATTTTGATTTGATTGTTAATGTCTAAGTCATCAACAATCTTATTGTCATCACCAATTTTCTGAACTGAGCTAGTTCACAAATTGAACAGGTCTTGTGAATGTAGGAGAGTCTAGTCAACTTGATGAAAGATCGTACAACACTGGCACAATTATGTACTGCAAATCTGTTACCTGGCCTTTACCAAAAGAATCTGGGGCCATTTACAAGGGTGAATCCACAGTTGATAAAGTAAAATACCCAATCTTTTTAGGGATTACTTCTCATCAGCCTTGAGCTGATGCAAATTCCTCAGGACCATGAATCCTCTATACTCAGTTAAGCGGGTGGGCTTTAGAATTTGGGTGATAAAATGAAATGTTAACCCAAGTCCGTATCACGTAAAGCCAGGAACTCTGCAAAACCACAGTGTGCTAATCCCTGAAAGCATGGTTGAAATAGATTTAATTATGTACTGACAGCCTCCCGACATTGGCATACTCACTGTTGAAGTAAAGGCTTTAATGATAGAGATATGCAAGAAGTCCTTGGGATTTCTTTCTCCAAATAGTAAACAATAATTGATACTACATCCCTGAGGTAATTGAAAAGATCAGTGCCACCATCAAAATCTTGAAAGCTGCAGAGCTATTGATTTCTTTCAGGTCAGCATTAACTTATCTGTTTGCTCTATGCAGAATACAGATGAATCTGGAATAATGACAGCAGATTATTACAACTATAGTTGTTACAGATGTGAACTCCTTGCTGGATCTATAGCTGATACTCAGCTATTGATTTGGATAATGTTTTACCACTGTATTCTGAATAGCAAAAAAATATCAGAAGCAGCTTCCTCTTATCTGCAAGGTACTGCCATATATCTTCATTGTCTTAGTTCAGAGTTATGTTAGTATTCTGGTTTTCAGCAATAATCTAGTCCAGAGAAACCAAGTATTACCATTCTACAGGGCAGCATGTTGGTCCATTATATGGATGAGTCATGCTGAGTGGGCTGTGTGAGTAGGAAGGAACCAGTATTTTAGATGCCTTGATAACTGCATGCATGCCAGAGGTGGGAGAAACACCCCATGAAAATTCAAGGCATGTCATCTTGTTCATCTTGATGAAACTTCTAGGGTTGGGTAGACTGGGAAATGTGATATCTCATAAGAAAGAGAATATAAGTCGCTATGCCTTACACCCTCATCATTAAGGAGGCACAATATTTTGTGAACTTCTTTGGTTGTTAAAGGCAACATTCCCCACTTTTGAGTGTACTGCTCTGACTCATTTACCAGATGACAACCAGTAAATTTGCCAGTTTTGAATGGACCTAGACTAAAGGAGGCACTGCAGCTGGTCTGGACTGCTGTGAAAACCACTCCACTATTTAGACCTAATGACCAAGCAGACCCAATGATGCACAACATGTCTATGGCAGCTAGAGGTGCTGTACAAATGGAGCTGTGAGAAAACCCAGTAGGAGAAACAGTGCAGATACCTAGGGCTTTAGAGCGCGGCCATGCTCTATTCTGAAAATGATCATTTATTCAGTTTGGAAATAGTTCTTAATTCTCTACTGGGCCCTAGTAGAGACTGAATGCCATACCACCTAAGTAGCCCATCATGAGTTAGGTGTTATCTCATCCACCAAACCTTACAATTGGGTGTTCGTAGAGTACTCCATGATCACAAGAAAAGAAAACTGCATATGAGATGGAAATGAAGTTGATCTTGAAGACGAAACTAAGTTGTGTGAGTACCTGGCACAGACTCCCTTGGCACCTACTTTTGCTGTCTTGCCAACTTGTTCTCAACTCACACCTCTAGTCTCCTAAGAAATATCCCTGATGAGTTGTCTGAGGAAGGAAATATTTGGGCCTCTTTCATGGATGGTTTCACACAATGTGTTGGCACCAGCTAGGGGGAGACTTACTATAATGTTAAATGAATTTATAGTGGCAACTAACTTATATAATAGATACTCCATAAATGTTAGTCTTTCTTATCAATTTCCAAACTGTGTTCTGTAGCATGTCACTAAGTAAGATACTTGAAAAGAATTCCTGGTCTATACAACATTTTTAATAGAAACTTAAAAAAAAAACTCCAGGAGTTCTAAAGGAGTTAGTATAGTAAGATACATTTTGAATTTCAGCATTTCTCAAGCTTTAGGAGTTCTAAAGGAGTTGGTATACTAAGATACATTTTGAATTTCAGCATTTCTCAAGCTTATTTGACTCCAAGACTCCTACTTCATAGAGTATTTCACAGGATTAGTGCTTTTCAGAATCTACCTTGGGAATTTCAGCAATTCAGACTTGGACAGAATATTAGTTCTGATAACCAGGAATGATTTGGGTACATTCAATCATTCCAGTTTTTTCAGAATATTAGTTTTGATAGCCAGGAAGAAAAGTGTTAAATTTTTACACTAACTCTAGGATGTGACATGTGCTCATCTTGGCTATTCTAAATGACTAGAATTCTTAGTTCAAAAAGATATTTTAATAGAAAATCCTTGCTATGAGGGTAGCGTAGGTGACACTACCCAAAAGGAGCATGTAAATCAAATTTAATGATGATTTTTCCATTTTATAATAGGGATTAGGGTTACAAGGAGATCACAGCTCTCTGAATCCAATTAGGACTAATAAAATGCATGCTTTGAGCTTACAAATGAATTGATTTAGAGAGGAAATAATTATAATAATAAGCATGATATTTGGCACTATGATTACATATTAGGTTATTCAGATTATTAAAATCATTCTTATTTTCAAAACTGAATGTACATAGTTTTGCACAATGCAATGAAGTTTATGGAGTCTGAAGTATATTATACTTTCTTTTGAGACACTGATGGAAGGAAAGAATTGTAAACAAGATAAGGGCTCGAGGTTAGGATAAAGAAAAAAATTAGACCTTATTAGAGATAACTGTGTTATTAATGAACTTTTATAACAGACTATAGCAAATATTATCTGGGGAAAGAACAAAACATGATTGATCAGACCAAATTTCTGAGAACTCTATTAATTTGAGAAGCCTGTGAGTGAGTATGCTTATCCAATGAAGCTTAGTTTGATTTTGATCCCATTACTGCCCCCTTGCTATCAAATTTAACACTTAATGTTCTTTTTGTAAGTGATAGGAGATGAAGAGGTGGTAAGGTCCAAGAAAGTACACCTTTTTGCAGGCACCAGTACCATGTCCAGCTCTTCTCAACCAGGGTTTTAGGAGAGAATTGAAGCACGATGCTCTCAGGAATCTATTATAAGCAATGAATTAACTTCCCTCCTATGCATCTAAAGTGATACTAGCTATGTCTCATCCTTGGGATAATTGAGAAAATAGTCATTTGATAATTTTCTGTTGGCCTAGTTCTCTAGTGGAAACATTTTAAGCAGAGGCTATTTTGGACCACTGATCACAAAACACCTGTCAATGAGAGTTTTAAAAATTCTTGCATGCTGTCTTCACTGATTTGGATTCCATTGATCAGGAATGGGATTCAGCAGTATGTGTTATAAAAATCTCTCTAGATATTTCTGATATAACCAAAGTCTGGGAACGACCGCTCCAAATATAGAATACTGGTAGCCAAGATGCTTTATGAGACAAATGTTCCATGGCCTACAGTGCCCCAGTTGGGGACTTACAATGACATTGATGTATTAAAGAATCTCAATTGTCCTAGAGTTACTACACAGTTATCCCAGGTTTCTGAAACTTATTTCAAGATGGAAAACGTTTTTGCTGGATACCTGTAATTATCTTGTGGAACCAGAGTGCCACAGAAGCACTTTGGGAAATGAGGCTAGAGAATGGCTGTTGGCATCCGAGAATGCAGGCTTCAGCAGGGTCTTCTGCAGCCAATTTCCACACAACCTCCCTGCTCTGTCACCTTTAGAAACACATCCTTTTGGGTCTTAGAAGTTTTTCATTTCAAGAGTCCCTTGTTTTTCAAACAGTAAACTGACTTTGTTGATTACACCAAAATAAACTCCAGATGTATTAACATTTTAAATGTTACGTTTAAGTTCATAAAATTATAAGAAGAAAAAAATAAAGTTTTCTTCATTCATGGAGTGGAGATAACCTTCCTAGATAAGACACAGAGTCTAGAAGCCATTAAGAAAAGGTTGATAAATTTTATTACCTAAAATGTAATACTTCTGTATAGCAATTATGATTAAATATATGACATATATAAAAATACATAATCTCAATATAAACAAAATAACACAATGGTAAGCTGAGGAAAACATTTGTAATATATATGCTAGGCAAGGGATGATTTCTTTAACATGTGAAGGATTCCTAATCAGTAAGAAATGACAGGCAAGCTAAGAGCAAATATGCATATGAACCAACAGTTCACAGAGTAACAACTACAGATTCTCAATAATTACTTGAAAAGAGGGGGCCAGATATGGTCCAGTCAAGGACCTGTGTGATTACCATTCCCTCTGCCTAAACTGTCCCTTCCCCAGATTTTCTTTTGGCTCTCAGGCTGACCTGTGAAGCCTTTGGGTCAGTGTCACTTTCTCAGGAGGCCTTCCCTGCTTCACACTGCACACTCGGCATTCCCCATTTCCTTTCCTTGCTTTACTTCTCTTCATAGAATGTATCACCATCGGATGTACCATATATTTTCTTATTTATCTGGTTATTGTTCATTTATCACCATTAGAAGACAAGGTCTATGAAGGCAGGGAATATGGTGCTGACTGCTATAGCCTTCACACTTAGACCCATACCTGGCATATAGTAGGAATTTGACAAATATTTGCTGAATGAAAAAATGAATAAATAATAAGATGCTCAAGTTGGTCATAATTAAAGAAATGCAAGTCCAAACAACCATTTTGACTCAGTAATGATTGACAAACTTGTCAATAATCAGTCAAAATGTTTTAATCCCTCCCTATATGTTAAAGCCTATACTAGCGGTTTTATTTTTAGAACTCCAGAACCAAACTCTTCATCTTTGCCCCCACACCTGATTGTGTGATTCGCCTACTAGATTGATGATGTCACTGTCTTTCTAATCCTTGACTCCTCTTTCTTCCTTTTGGTTGACTCATCTGGATGACTGAAATAACTTCTTTGGTTCCCCTACCTACAGCTTTGATCAGTGCCATGCTAATCTGAAACATAGCTGAAACTAATCTGAATCATAGCTCTGCACCTGCCACTCCCCTGTCCAGAAGCCTCTGTGGTCTGTTCCTCACCATAGTTGTCTAGGTTTTCCATGATCCAGTCAAACCTCCCTGCAGGCTACCCTGCTAGATATGCACAGCCCAGTTCCAGAATCCTAAATATACCCAGAGCTTTGTTCCTTTGTAGTTGTTCTGTGTTCTTTAATGTGATGGTGCAGCTACAGGAGAGGCTCTGGAAACAAAGTTTATTATGCTCACAGGCCCTAAAAATAGGAGGCATGCTACATCACTCAAAGTCATTTGAGGAACACCAGGTTCTGGTCAAGAGGTAGAAGACAGGAGCAAGAGGAAGGCAGGCTAGAGCTTTTACTGGGGTTTCTGCGGGAAAGGCAAGGCTGGGCAGGGCAAACAGTTTAGGATTGGCGAGTTTGAATCATTTCATGGGGCTCTAAGCTATAGGGATGGTCCTTAGGTGCCTGATATCCAGCCCTGGGATGATTAAGTTAGAGGAATGTCACCTCCTGGGGTGTACTGGCCAGATAGAAGTGTGGCTCTAGATGATTAGTTTACACATCAAAGGTGAGCAACCCACTGAGAGCACTTTGCCAACTCTAAGAATTGGCTAGCTCTGGGAGGGGCAGAGTCTTCTCTCCAGCCAGCAAGGTTTGTAAAATGTCAAGACATCGTAATAACAGTCATGACCTTTCTGTCAATAATGGACCACATATATGACAATGGTCCCATAAGGTTATAATGGAGCATAAAAATTCCTATCGCTTAGTGAAGTTGTAGCTGTCCTAACATCCTAGCGCAACACGTTACTCACATGTTTGTGGTGATGGTTAATAAATGACTATATTACTGGCTTATGCTTTTTCTATACTATTTATCATTATTTTAGAGTGTACTCCTTCTACAGTCACATGACACATGATGATATTTTGGTCAACAATGGACCTCATCTATGATGGCGGTCCCATGAGATTATAATACCATATTTTTACTGTACCTTTAGTATGTTTAGATACACAAATACTTAGCATTGTGTTACAACCACCTACGGTATCCAGTATAGTAACATGCTGTACAGGTTTGCAGCATAGGAGCAATAGGCTATACCACATACCCTAGGAATGTAGCAGGCTATGCCAGCTAGGTGTGTGTGAGTACACTCTATTTTGTTAGCACAGCAACAAAATCACCTAAAGATGCATTTCTTGGAATGTATCCCTGTTGTTTAAGGATGCGTGACTTACACAGAAAAGGAAAAATATAAGCAATACAGTAGTTCTGTGTATGCTGTTGTAGAAAGAAAATCTTTTGCCAAATATACCCCTTAACACTTGGTCATTTCTCTTTTAGGTCTGCTTGGTACTTGCGTATTTGCATTGCTTCACGGTGTTACCCTGGAGGAATGTTGGCCTGCTAATCACCCCTTATGTTGCTAATGTCTTGAGTCTATGAAATAAGGACAGAAATGGCTGCTATCCCTGTGTTAACAGGCTTGTAGGTGCTAGAAGGCGACTCCTGCACTGGGGATCTTCTCTGTTTCTGTTGTTGCAGTAGGTGCCAGTGCTATAGATCACAACTGCTTGCCTCTTGCAGAAGTGTTCTGAGTTGCCAAGAAATTAGCCATGGGAAACTTGGACACAGAGGAAAATTCCATATTCACTTTATTTGAACATCACAGAAGCCAATATGATTGGAAAACCAAGAGTGGCGTAGGAACTTTGTAGCCTCAACCGCAGGTTTAGTTAGAGAACCAGTTTTTGTATCATTTTTTACCTTGCTTGCTATAGTGTTGATCCTACGTGATTAATTCCCTGCGTGTCAGGACACAAATATTATGATATTTACCTTAGAGTACTATTGTGAGGTTGGAAATATTAGATTTTTAAAAGACTTCTGGGATGTAGATGTGTACTCAAAACACATGCTGGACCTCATGCCCTATCTTTCCAGCCCAATATTAGAGAGGCCTTGATATGGTTTGGCTGTGTCTCCACCCAAATCTCATCTTGAATTGTAGTTCCCATAATCCCCACATGTTGTGGGAGGGACCTGGTGGGATGAAATTGAATCATGGGGGTCATTTCCCCCATGCTATTCTCATGATAGTGAGTGAGCTCTCACAAGATCTGATGGTTTTATAAGGGGCCTCCCCCTTCAGTTGGCTCTCAATCTTCTCCTTCCTGCTGCCATGTGAAGAAGGATGTGTTTGCTTCCCCTTCAGCCATGATTGTAAGTTTCCTGAGGCCTCCCCAGCCCTGTGGAACTGTGAGTCAATTAAACCTCTTTTCTTTAAAAATTAACCAGTCTTGGGCAGTTCTTTACAGCAGCATGAGAGCGGACTAATACAGGTCCATAGAGGAGCTCCTTCTAGGGCACACTGAGGCATCTAAGGCTGGAGGGGGGCATCTAGGGTTGGTGGGGTGAAACCCATTCAATTAACAACCCCATACTGAGTAAAAATCCCACTTGACACTGAACGTGGCTTGTCACTCTAGACTCCTTCCCTAGATATGTTCTTTTTCAGGGGCTCTCCCAGTGGTATGCTAGTAAATATTTAACAGCTCGCTTGGGAGAGGGGAGAAGTGGGGGTGATGTAGACTGATTTATAGCATTTACTGCTTTTCTTGGGATAAATGCTTACACTGTGGCCAATTTCAGGCTATCAGTGTGCAGTCACTAAACAGAGTTGGAATGAGAGGCACGCAGTAGGCACTCGCTAGCTGATGGGAGCTGGCTCTAGCACACCTCTGAGTTCTTCATCTCCTTGTGCCTTTGGCCTCTATCTCCAACTAGATAAGCCAATGTGTGCCAACGTTAGTTCTGGACAGGGTTTTAGTTCTCCATGGGAGCTTCCCAGCCTCCATTTAAACCAGGGATGCATAGAGAAAGAAGTGGGAATGGTTGTCATTGTTGCATCTTATGCATGTCTAATAGTGTATGCCCTAATCTCAGCCTTGACGTCTCAGAGATGTTCTGTTTCACATATTGTTGGTGTTGACTAAGTAATCACTGATTGCTGTTTGGCACTTGGCCTTGAGGATCTCAAAGTGGTTTTCATTATATTAAAAAACAGAATTACTATAAGCATAGCTGCAATTTAAAGAGGTTGTTTGCAATAAACTTCCTTCAGAATTGCGAAGACTTTACACAATGCTTAACTCTAAGCAGAACTAGATTTTGACCTTGAACATAGACTAGAAGATGAATAAATGTACTTAACTGTTATGTGAGATTGGGGGCAGGAGGAGTAGACTGTGTTTGCAATTATTGAGAGAGATGGTGTTGTTGCTGTAGGGGATGGATATCCTTACTTATCTTAGTTTTGCACAGTTCAATTTATTGGGAACATAGTACCACCAAATGTCATTTATTCTAACTTCTTGGGCAATTTCAGTAATTGAAACGTATTATTTAATAAGGGGAGAAATTAGCTTTTTTCCTTCTGATAGGTATTGGTTTATTATCTCTCTTTTGCCCATCAAAAACTAAGACAGACTGAAGCTAGATGTTTTGCCTACCACTAGGAGTCACAATTGGAAGTGGTGAAAAGTTAAAGCTCAGATCTTCTTGCACTAGCGTTACTCACCAAAGAAACTTATTCAGGTTCAATCCTAGCATAAAATTATCCCAAATACCAGAAACGGTGACAGTTAACATAAAAATAATAAAATTAGAATGATATTCTATATGCAGGGTTTATATGAATCTTGTCATTAACATTGTTAGTAACATTGTACTGGTCTATCATGTGAATGTACTATAATTGATCCAACTAATAATTTAACATAAGCATGATTTCACTATAATAATAAGAATTTGAAGAACATCCTTGTACCTAAATCTAACTCTTTGGTTATTTGCTTAGGATGTAATTACAGATACAAAGTTGTTAGATCAAAAAGTAAAGACATTTTTAAAGGTTCTAATTTTATAGACCTAAAATTGCTTTTGGAAAAGGTTTTTTTTTTTTTTTTTTTTTGGTTCACGCCATTCTCCTGCCTCAGCCTCCTGAGTAGCTGGGACTACAGGTGCCCGCCACCACGCCCGGCTAATTTTTTGTATTTTTAGTAGAGACGGGGTTTCACCATGTTAGCCAGGATGGTCTCGATCTCCTGACCTCGTGATCCACCCGCCTCGGCCTCCCAGAGTGCTGGGATTACAGGCGTGATGGAAAAGGTTTTATCACATTGAATTTCTATGAGATTCCCATCTTCCTAAAAAGGGGAGGGTGAAAACCTTCCTTATTTGAAGTTTAATAACATAATAAAAATAGAATGGAATGGACCCTTGTGAGGTTTTAAACTTAATCTGCCATAAAACTCCAACCCTGGAGAAAACAGGAAATGGTATTTTGGTGACAACTTTTGTAAACAATCATTCCTCAGCCATCATCAAAATGCAAGCTGCCAAAACAGGAAGGAGAAAGAGACGAAAGAGACATTGGCTATGTTTCCAGCCTATGCAAATGCTTAGCTAACCTGGATAGCTTGCTGGGTGGAATTTCTTTCGTTATTTTTCTTTCTGCTGAACACCAAACATAAGGTACCTGACAAACAAGATGTAATATGACAAATAAGGTGTGTCTTTAGGTGTATTCCTGAATGAGTGGCCATCACACCGATCTTCAAGGAGGTTGTAATAAGGATTAAGAATCTAATACTATCATTTTGTGGCTGTTTATATCTGTCATGCATGGTATAATTATAGTGTTTCCCTTTCAAATGGCTCTTAATGTGTTTAGCCAAAGGGGAAAACCAAAGCAGTTGGTAAAAGTCAAATGCTTCACCATCTGTCTCTATCACATTTCCCTGGTTGTAGTTCCAGCAGCCCTGCCTGGGAGGACTAACTTCTTTTTACAAATAGGTCAAATCTATTAATTTTGGCCAACAGCCCTAGAAGTAAAGAAACACAGTGGCTTTCTCCCCCCTGCTCTTTCTTCCTACTTAAGAAATTCTTATCAAATAATAATGCTAATAGTAAAAACAGTACTTCTCTTGAGGGTCCTTCCAGAATTGTCTATGCAGAAACAAAGTTATGTGTATATAAATATAAACACTTAACAAACTCACACAGAATCATCCTACATACATGCATCCTGTTCTTGTTTCGCTTCATATCATATCCTGAACATTTGCTTATATCAATAAGTAGAGATCTTTCCTCTTATTTTTTTAACAGCAACATAGTCTATGCTGTTAATAGTCTAATGCTGTTAATAGTCTAATGCATAGTCTAATGCATCTTTTTTGACCAGTCTCCTACTGATGGGTCTACCCTATTTTTGATGGTTCCAACCAATGCCACGATGCAGATCTCAGTATATTTCTGGGAGTGAATGTTTATGATGAGCCTCTAGGCAAAAGGGTTTGCACAACAAAATAATCTTTTGTTGACAAAGACAAAGCAAGACAGAGGATGAGCTTCTGGATATAAGAATAGGATAAGAATGGGTATTATTTTAAGAAAGATTTTCCTAAAAACAGCCATCTGATAAGTTCTCCAGTCTGCCATTTTAAGTAGAGAGGTTTAAATAGCATTTGGGTTTTTGTTTGTTTGTTTGTTTGCCTTTTTTTTTTTAAAGTACCCAATGCAAATAGAAACTCCAATAGTGATATTGAGATCCAAAACTGACAAAGGCAGGGTTTGGTATTGAAAGAAGAATGAGAGACCTGAGGTAACTTACAGTTGGTCACAAAAACATACTGTGAGCATGGGCAAATCACTTTTTGGGATCCCAGCTTTCACATCTGTAAAAATAAAGTGTTGGAAGATGTTTAAGCTATTTTTTAGTCTGGTTTACTGTGATTTGTCTGCCACTTGAGACTTCCAGCAGTATTGTTCATGAGTGGATGCAGGTTAAACCTGCAAGCCGTGGCCCTGTGAACATGGGCTCTGGAGGTGAGGGGTCCAGCCTTTGTCCGGATTAGCATTGCTGGGAGCTGAGGGGCAAATAAGATATTTTAGGAGAGCAGTTTTTAGGAGAGCAGTTTCTTGTTTCCCATATTGTCTCCATCATTTGGTCCCAGACATTTTACTCATGTGCTTCAGAAGTAATTTGAGCCAATACTTTGTTAATTCAACCCTGAATTCAATCTTCCATAGCAGGAAGCAACCTTAGGAATGACAGCAGGTCAGGGCTGCTCCTATAGTTTGAGGGACTTCTGTTTTTCTGTCTTGGAGTCTGATTTCCAGGAAGAATTTCACTGAAATGGGTACCTTAGTATTTACAAACCTAGCACAGATGGATTGACCATTGACATTTCCTGGGTTCTTTTTCTAAGCCCCTTACTTAAACAATTAATACCTTGAAATCTTTTAAAAGACCACTGCCTTTTAAGACCATTGTGAGTATATTAATACCTCCATATTTTCAGTTTAGCCTGATGTTGGGTAAAATGTAAATGCACAACAAATGATAGCAACTATTACCATTATTATAATGACAGAAGACGGGCAATTTTGCAAGAGCCAATTAGGATAAGTATCAGGCCCTAAAAGATTTCCAAATATATCAGTAAGATTGATGAAAATCAGGAAGAAGACCACTTCTTTATCTCAAATAATATGAAAAAGTTTCAGTCCCCAGAATATTCTCTTGAAAGCCCTAAAATGTACATGGAGATCTTTCCCAGTAAACCCAAATTAGGCATTAACTCCTCTCACTTTTCATTTATCATGAGATTTAACAAACTTAAGGATTTGTCCACAGCAAAACCACTCCACACTTTGGGTTTTCCCTAAAAACTCAGATTATCAGGGAAATCAAACCAAAAGGAACTTCAAATTCATCCTAGATCATGGACTGTTCCTTGTAGAACCTACTGCTTGATATGAAGTTTGATTTGGATTTGTTTGAACAGGAATAAAAACTGAGGTAAAGGAAAGGCTACAATAACTCCAATAGAAGTAATGAGTTACTAAACAGTTTAATGAGTTTTGGAGGCCCCTGAAATTTGGGTTCCTGAAATGAATTCTCTCAGACAGTAGACAAATGACTCACCAACTTTGGCCATCGAGGCGGGCTGAGTCATCTAAAGTCAGCTGAATCACCTGCTTTCAGCTCTGTTTTATAAGAATTGGGGCTGGCTGGATATTTCTGTCCCTCTGATTGCAAGTATTAAGCATTTAAAAAAACAGAGAATATGATGTCCTTCTTAGGAAAACCACACAAATTGCTCATGCACAGATGGACTGCATTAGTGAAAACAGATTAGTAATTGCTTTTAGTTCCTGATGATGAAAAAGTGGCTCTGAACACCTACCTCGCTGGATTCTTTACTCACCAGATAAACCAAGTGATACTTGATGACGATCCAGATTTGGATTTAAGAAGCAGAAGGTCAACTCCACAGAGCTCCAAGTCAGGTTGAGAGCATCCTGAGATGGCATCGGTAGAGCTTGCCTTTAAATCCTGGACCCCAATCCAGGCCAAACACACATTATGATTGGAGTTAAAAAAAATGTTTTCACAACAAGGAAATATTGAAATAAGTCAGCTAACATTTTCATTTGGAAATACAGAGGAAGTTAAGGCGTTTTGGGGGTGCTTAGTTTCCTTGTGTGTATTTTTATAGTTTTTTAGTGGGATGGAGATTTAGTGGAGGCAGGCTGGTACAAGGGAAAGAATCCAGGTCCAGGAACTGAAGATTCTTAGTGAGCTGTGTGACCCAGATGTACTTTCAGGGCTTTCTCAGACTTAGTTTCTTCTGCTAGTAAATGAAAATGTGTGTGTTAGTGTTTCCTAAACCTGCTTGAACATAAGGATCACCTGGGGCACGTGTTAAAAAAATCTGAATGCACTTGGCCTCACCCAAACCTGTCGGAATCCGAATCAGCAGGGTGAGGCCTGAGAATTGATATTTTAACCAGCACCTTGGGTGATTTTTTTGTTCAGACAAGTTTGGGAAACATTGAATTAGATAATCAGTAAGATATGCTTCGGGTCTAAGATTGCTCAGTGGTGCTTCAACACAGCAAACCTTATTTTTTTTTTCTCCCTGTAAATTGGAGAAACAACAATCAAATGAAAAACAAATCAACTGATGGGTGGAGAGGTTTTGGTGGGGCTAATGTGCAACTTTATCACAATGCTTACAAACGTTTGTGGGTATACTTAACCTCAGGTGCTCAAGGACTGTGTGTTGTCCCTGCTCTAAATTGATACTTCCTCTTAGGAAGGGCCTGAACAATTCATTCATCCTAGAATGAAGAGCCTTCTTGCATTTTCTCTCTGGCATATTAATATAATTAGATGTCGGTGGGACTGAGACTAGCAGGGAAAGCACTGAAAGCAGTCAATGACTTTACCTACTTGGAAGACTGCACGGAACCGGCTCCACTTGAAGTAGGAAAGCCTGCCTCAGAAGGACAGTGAAATAGGACATTTCTCCCCTAAGCAAGGAAGTATACTGGAAATCAGAACAAAATTAGTGTTGTCATTGCAGAGTGCAAGCTCTGGGCAGCCTCCTTAAGCTGTTTTAATCTCTTCTCACAAAGTCATCTGCTAACAAGGGACATTAGAATAACCTCATTCAGAAGAGTGAAAACTCATCAATCATACATTTCTTCTTTTAGTATTCAGTATTATTTATTGAGGAAACTTATTTATTCATGTCTTCAACATTACTTCTTGAATCCTCCCATGCATCAGACACTGTTTCAGACCCTCTGGATACAGCAATGAACAAGATGGGTTCCTGAATGCATGGAGCTTGAATTCCAGAAGCAGAGATAGACAATAAAATCTGACAAATAAATAAGACCATTTCAGAGGGTGGAAAGGGGTATTTTGGAAACTAAATAGAGAAACCAACTTAAAGAATGACTGGCTAATGACAGACTAAGAAAGATCTTAGTTTATAGGACTTGCTGAGATTTGGGAAGGACTATTTAGACATGATCTTCTTCACTCACAGATGAGCATGTGTCTCTGCATTGGTGGGTGAAATAATTGAGGTCCAGGGAGGATAAAGGACTGACGAAGGAAATGGCAAGACCAGCACCCAGGTCTAGCGTTTGGAGGTAAATTTTTTTCTGATAAACTTAACCTTCTGAATAATACTCCCAAGAAGAAGGTTTCATTTTTTGCCTCACACATGCCTGAGATATATTTATCTGAGTCCTTTTGTATTCAACACTAGCTCTGGTTTAAGTGATGAAAAAGGTTAGAGATCTGGAATAGTGCAAGGCTCTCCACCCTAAATGCTGCAGAATGTTAGTAGCCCATTTTCAGGAGATTAAAGGATAACACTCGGCCAATAATAGCAAGATACCATAGACTTTTAATATCATCTGACAAAGACTATGGAAAAATGGCTTGTTCCCAATCAAGGGAGATCTATAATGGCTTGATCATCAGAAATGAAAAATCAATCCCAATTCTCATCCATTCTTTTAGCTACCATGCATATTATTTTTACCATGGATATTTACAGCTACATTTCCATCCAGACTTCTGGCAATGCCTAAATTCTTCCATAACAAGAAAACAAACTCATTTCTTTTAAAAACCAGTCTCTTCCCCATAGGCAAAGTGGATAAACAGCCTACTCAAATTTGATGTCATTATCTGAAATATCTAGCAAAAGACTAGTTGTATAAAAAATGATATTTCAGCATTGGTGCAAAAGAAGGCTACCCATTCTGACAGTTCTGTGGTATTTTGTCCTTTTAACTTAATGCTTGGAATGTAGGATTTCACACCTGAGACTCTTCAAAATTTTTACTTCATGGGTATTTGGTTTTTTTTGTAATACCGTAATACTTTAAGACTGTTACTTTTCTTTCTTATTCAGCCTTACTGATGCACTGGTCTGAACGTCTTTGTGAGTTTCACTTATATATATATAAAGGAGCCACCACCATCTAATGTATTATAAAAGATACTATAATTAGCGTGTAACTGGCAATCCCACCAGGCAAGCAAGCAATTTTCCAGGCCATGGGAATTTTCTTCTAGACAAATAGGAAAGTTCCAACAGCCATATAAATTAAATAGGGTAAAAAGTTGGTTAACTGGTACTAAAGTAACTAGAACCCTTAATTAAACTAAGTGATTATTTTGGGGAAGTTAAAAGAGGGTACAGGGAATCATTCTTTATATTTAGGAGAAAAAAAAGCCACTGGCAAAAAAATAAATAACAATTGAGATTTAGTTACACAATAAAATTATAGAACATATCCAGATTTGTAATAACACATAAAAATATAATGCTAAAAAGGATAATTTTGATGCTTTACAAGACCTTAGTTGTTAATTAGGTTCATTATTTCATTAAGGCAGGAAGATTTTCACCAAGAAATTTTTATTCACTAAGAAATGAATATTTCCTGAAGCCTTTTGAATCTTGCCAGCACCCTTCATGACCAACATCATTGCACTTACTAAGTTCCTGCTTCTTGTTGAGCAGAGCCAATTAACTGAAAAAGCTAATGATGGAAGGACAACCAATTGGGATCTAGTAAGATCTAGCCCTGTAGCTGGTAACATTGTGCCAGGAATTTAATATGCCTGAGCAGGCTCATCTGTAAGATGGTTATGATAGTACTGTTTATATCATAAGTTGGTTAGGAGGGTTAAATGCCTAGCTCAATGCACCGTAAACAACGAGTGCTCCAAAAAATGTGGCTAGCACACACACACACCAAGCATTTCAAACAAGACCTATAAGCAGATGGACTTCTGACTATAAACTTTCTTATAAATTCCACATAAACTCTCTCTAGCTAAGAGGGAGAGTCAAATACCACATTTAAATGTATGTATGAGAAATGTATTCTCTGTTTCCAGTGATTTCAGAATCAGAGATCATTTTGGATGGTTTATTTTAAAGTCTTCCACAATCTATACCCATAGATACAAATATATGTGTCTGTGGGTGTTTTGGAAAATAGGATTGGGTGGAGGCAGGGAAATGTATGTGGTTGAATTCAGTTAAGCAACTGGCTGTTTTGCGACTAATGATTTGTAAGTAGCAGTTTGGCTGAATTTAACTTTTTTTGTCTTTAAAAAATGTAGTTTTCTGAAATTTATCTAAAAAAGTTGATCTATATCAAGCTTTAGGGTAACTTCGTCATGGTTTCCTTGCTTTCTGGAAATTCTACGCACGTCATAGAGTAAATGTCAAATTTTAAATAGGAAATCAATATTCTTCTCTAAGAGGCTTTGAGAATAAATAGCTATTTTAATTCTTTCTCAGGAAGGGATTTCATAAGGAATTGTAATGACGGAAGCAGACAAAGTTTAAAGCGAGTTTTTAGCAAGTTATTTACATCTCATGTTATGTTTTCCAGGCAGTTAACAAACAGCCAGATCATCAGAGTAAGGTGTAACTCATAAAGCTTTTTCCTTCTAAATTCACACATATACGTACGTGTGTGTGTGAATAGTATATGCAATTTAAAGGTTGTGAGATTGGTAGCAAATGCACTTTTCTGTAAATCTCCTGGCTTCTTTTCCTTCCTTTGACCAGAAACAAGCAGCCCTGATAATTATATTCTCTACCACTAGGGGGTGACAGCTGATAATCTATCCACATACTTTAAAGTAAGACAAACCACAGGCTTGATTATGTAGGTATTAATCTTTCTTTTATTGGTCGCCTGGTGAGATTTGGTTTGATGAGTTTTATTTGCTGAACACGCTCTACATCCAACATCATTCTTCTGTCGTGATGCATAGCATGGGCCTGTTGGAATAACAGCTGGTGCTGGACAGCTTTGTAGATTTCAAGTAACTGTGTATGGGAAATTAGTTAACAGATAGGAGCATTTATTCACTCATGCATTCATTTCATAAATATTGAGAGTCCACAGATCCTGTGACAAGGACTGAAGATACAATGGAGAACAGGAATATTATATCTGTTTTCATACAGTATTTTCTTGTTTTTGTTTTTGTTTTTTTTTTTTTGAGACAGAGTCTCACTCCATCACCCAGGCTGGAGTGCAATGGCTCTATCTCAGCTCACTGCAACCTCCGCCTCCCAGGCTCAAGCGATTCTCGTGCCTCAGCCTCCCTGGTAGCTGGGATTACAGGCGCAGCAACCATGCCAGGCTAATTTTTGTATTTTTAGTAGAGATGAGGTTTCGCCACATTGCCCAGGCTGGTCTCAAACTCCTGGCCTCAAGTGATACACCCGCGTTGGCCTCCCAAAATGCTGGGATTACAGGAATGAGCTACCATGCCCAGCCACATAGAGTTTTTATTGAAAGGGGAAAGACTACAAAAACCAGGTAAACAAACACATACATAAAGTAATTTTGAGTGTTAACAAGATAGATAAAGGAAAAAAACATGAAGGGCAGATACAGAATAACTGGCATTAAGGAAGAGATATAACATTAGATCAAGTCACTCCCTTATCTAAGGCCTTTGCTATTCTCTTATGTAAGCAGAAGATTCAGAGGCACACTGTGCCTTACTCCGGGTGCTTTCCACTTGAATAGATTCTGGCAAAATCCTCATAACTCAGCATTTCGGTGCCTTTGAAGCTTGCAATAGCTGATGAATGGTATCTAGCACCAGTATCCTTCCTCAGTATGCTTCTCACAGTACTTAGAAAGCTTTATTAAGGTAGGCATCAAGCAGAAAGAATTTGCCTGGTCTCTATTCCTTCTGCATTACAGCCTCACTAACTTGCAAGCATTTTGTCTAATTAGCTAGAGTGCTTCTTGAGAAATACACACACAAACACATTTCAAATAGAAAATAGTGCTCATTTAAGGTCATTTAGCATGGAAAATAAAATTATTCTAATGGTATGAATATCGGTAAGACTATCACCTTGCTGTTGTTGATACTACACTTATGGTTTCTGGTCAGTATAGATATTTTAATTCCATTTCCCACTTTCTTAGTTTTTCTCCCTTACTTGAAATCTCCTTCATCTTTACCAATTTAAATTCTTCTCATCTTTCAACTAATAATGGGTCTATTCTTTCTCTTCTCGGTCTCTGTCTTCCTCTCTCTCTTTACATTTTCCTCATGCCATGTGTATTCCTTCATTGTGTTTATTCCAGAAGCACTCACGTGATTGAGCAATTGATTAAATAATCTTTACTTAGAATTTTATGATTATTTCAACTCTAGCAAAAAAAAAAAAAAATGTTGACTCACTACCTAACAATGCCTCCCTTTCCCAGATTCTCTTGCAGCTAGGGATGGGATGTGTAGCTCGGTTTAGCCAATGAAGCATAGGGGAAATACACTGATATCTTCTGAGAAAGACATATTCTTTATAACAAAGATGGGAAAGCATATGTGCAAGCCCTCTAATAGCTGTGGCTCTTCCTTTGCCCTGACTTTGCATGAGGTTATAAAGGATTTAATGTCTGGATCTGCAAAATTATCTTGTGAACAAAATGGGAAACCCAAGGGACTCTTGAAGATGTCAACCCAGTGACCTTGACAATGTGGAGCTGGTAAATCAGCTCTGAAATGACCATCCTCCAGCTTCTTATATCTTCTATTACTTAATTTAATGTCTTTATTGTTTATGCCACTAATAATTTGGTGTACTGTTACTGAGAGCCAAACATATCCTAACTGACACAATCTAAATATTAAAATCCCTCAAAAATATCATCTCACTTTTAATTTTGATACTTCTTAGAACCTGGCCCAGTGCTTGAGACAGAGTGGTGGCTAAATAAACATGTGCAATCTGCATGTTTTTCCTTTGTCCTGTCCGCACTTTCTCCCGCACAAAATGGACTTCTTGAAATTAGTCTCATATGCTTATCTAAGAGACTGCTAAATTGGAATAAGGAACTTTGCCTATGGAGTCTGTTATACAAAATGCACGTATGTCAGAGGATACCTTAGGCTCATTTTGCCATGCAAATGCTAATAATTATAAGCTTTATGAATGCATAGTTTTATTTATTTATTTATTTATTTATTTATTTTTGTATCTCCTCTTCTTGTTTCTTTCTCTTTTTTTTTAAACTTTTATTTTAGGTTCGGGGGTACATGTGAAGGTTTGTTACATAGGTAAACTTGTGTTACTGGGTCACGGGATGGGGGGTTTTTTCTACATATTACTTTATCACCCAGGTATTAAGCCTAGTACCTAATAGTTATCTTTTCTGCTCCTCCCTCCTCCCAACCTCCACCCTCAAGCAGACTGCAATGTCTGTTGTTTCCTTCTTTGCATAAAAATTTACTTTTAGAGGGCAGAGGTTTTTCTTCTATCTTTATGTCTACCAGCACTGTGCCTTGTACAGAGTTTACAGACAATGGGTGAATAAGTAGGGGGAGAGAGAAGGGAAGAAAGTTAGAAGCAGCAAAATGCATTTAGCAAATTGACAGATATGAGATAGAGAATTGTAAGTTCCTTGAAATGAAAATACTGCCTTACTAATTGTGTATCTCTATAGTAGTGTTTGTAAAAGTGTCATCTCATTATTCAGAATCAGCTGGAGCTTTGCTGAAATCCGATTCCTGGTCCCTACCTTAAAACTACAGAAACAAAATGTCTGAAAGTACACCCAGGAATCACTTGTGATTTACTCACTTGTGAATTACTGCCTCAGTGCCTGGCAAAGTCCTTCCTACATATTAGATATTTAGTAAATAACAGAATGAATACATCATCCGATCTCTAAAGTCATTCCTTTAAAACCTAATGTCTTTATGTGATGAGGCAAATATTTCCCTCACAAAAGAGAAAAGGCCCTCTTCAAGTGGGCAAAATATTTTCCTTGATAACTAAGAAGACAAATAAATTATTTAAATATTCACTTACTCATAATTGATGATTATTATGAGTATTCTTTGTGCTTTATCTACATTGTTTGGTTGAATCCCCATAAAAAGTCCAAGAAGCAGATATTATTATTATCCCCATTTTATAGATAAGAAATGAATAACCAGTGAGGTTAAATTGCTTGGCTAAGGTCATACAGCCAGTATGTTGCAGAGCTGAGAGTCAAATCTAAGGATGTCTGATTCTAAAGTCCATACTTAGAACCATTCTACACCCATTGGCAGTTTCTTTTTGCTCCCAGGTCCCACGTTGTTCATGAAGCCTTCTTTGACTTTTTGCATCGATTTTATCTATACCATATATATTAGTTCTTTAAATAGCAAAATCCTAGAATGCTAGAGAAAGAAGAACACAGGGGCCATCTAGACCATTTTCTTTATTTTATAGATAAGAAAATTGAGGCTCAGAGACATGATCTTATTAGAAGTCATACAGACCTCAGTCATCCACACAGGGCAGAACCTTACTGATTCTTGGGGCCTGCTTCTAGAGTCTCTGGGTGCGTAAATCAGATGCAAGGGCCTGGTAATACAGCTCCATGGTTGTGTCCAGTCATCAGCCAAAGTTGGGAATCACATATTCTATATCACTTGGCATTTCATCTGTGTTGTCTTATCTCTCCAACCTTACTTTAATTGGAAGCTTGCTCTATATTTTGGGATCCCTACAATGTCCAGCAAATAACTGGACCTATTTTACATGTTTAATATATGCTTGTGAATTGAATCGAAGAAAGTTTGAGATACTGGATATTTCACTAGGAGGTGGCAGGGAAATGGATTATAGCAATTTAGTAAGGCCACATAACAGCAAATACTTCAGGTGGGAGGCAGAATAGATGGTGATTATAAGATTTGGCTTGTCTCGTTTGCTTCAGCTCATAATGATTCCGGAGCCCCGTCAATCAAAGATTTCAGATTGCAGAGTCTTGATTTCTGATTTTCTTTTGCCTTCCCAAGCTGGGTAGACATGCTTAGCAAACGTGATCCCCAGATGCTTGGGACATGTCTTACACTGCTATAAGCACACAGAACCAAACCCCAGTGACACTCTTGCCTTGGAGTGGCAGAGCCTTATATGGAAACAGAGTGTACTTTTCGTTTTACTGGGGGATCTTTAAATAGCAAGGAACAGCAACTCAAAGCTTTCCAAAGAGCTACTTAAAGTTATTTTTCTCCATGACAACAGCCTGGCAATAAGGATAGAATTTAAAGAGCCAGGATCCCAAGTCGAAAGAGAGAAGGAAAATTTCCCTGCTAAATTGAATGCTCAGAGATGAATCAAAGCCAGAGTGTAAATTCCATACATTGACTCACAACTATAGAACAGATGAGATGAGCAATCAAACTACATTCTTTAATTAACTGTATGCAAAATCGCGGATATTTAAAGGTGTTCACTTGGTGGTGGGTGGGGTGGAGGGAGATACTCACAGGCTTACGTTACAATTGCTGGTGCTGAAACGATGGCTTCATTTTCTTGCTTGTTACCTTTAGAAGTTTGGAGGGATGGATGTCATTTGGCTGCTTAAAGGTCAACTTCTAAATAATCCTCCTGGCCTTCTTCCTTTGCCTGCACCTAGCAGAAACACCTTTGCCCTGTCTCTTGAAATCCTACTCCTCCACATAGGCTATGGTGGACTCAACTCCTGGTTCTTCTTTTCCAACAAGGGAAAATATTCAGATGTCTTCTCAGGGAGTCCTCACATTGGCTTTTTATTTTTCTAATCTGAGAGGCTGGCTTTATCCCCAACATGGGGGGAATTTCTGAGATTTACCTTCCACTTCTGATCATCCCCAGGAATGAGGACGGACTTGCCCTGATAACTTCCTTACCCTCCACTCCTGACCAAGTTCTAGTCCACTGGAGCACCATTAGCTTTAGAATTGATCAACCCCAGAAACAGAACAGATTCAATTGTCCGTCGCATACAGGGATGCACTCAACAGTGCTCCCTGCAAGGGCTCAACCGGGCTTTGAATTCTGAATCACCGGACACTCTGTTTAGTGACACGTAGCTCTCTAGCTACAGTGGCAGTTTTTACCACTGACCAGTGCCCGTGATGACCTTTCATTTGGCAAACATTGAGTGCCCTTTATAAGTCAAGCACTAAGTACAGCACTGAAGCAGTGAATAAATCAGTTATCAGCTTCTTCCTTCTGAGGTGAAAGGGATTTTCCTGTAATGATTGGTTCTAGTTCTGCCCTTTGAAAGCATATAATTAGTTATTCCATTCCTTCAGAAAACTGGAGACAAACAGAGACCCTCAATGTCTGTTGTCACTCTGATCACTCCTTCTTTTGTGTATGCCCCAGTTGGTCAGTGACCCTTTCAAAGGAGACTGCTTAGAATTTTACCTTCCTTCTCGGGTTCCTCTGCCTTGTGTTTAGATGCTCTGGTTTTATTACAGTTCCCTGGTTCGGAGCAGTTACATGGCTTATCATGTTTCCAGAGCCTAGAGGTGCAAGCTTGCATATGTATATGTCTCTTGGGGAGAAGGAGTTAAAAACATTAACTTCAACCTGGGGAGTTGTTTTTCTTCTCCTGCTCTTTAACCAGAAAATAAATGTGATTGTAGCTTTGAAAACTGAAATGCTAGCTTTTAAACAACTGGCAAATAATAGCGTTCAAGATTTCAAGGGGAAAATGGGCTCCATAAAACTTCTGTGCTCAGAACCCCCACATTGTCCTTTTAGTTGGTAAATTGAGAATAAGTGGCAATGAGGAGGTAATCGCCTTTAACTGCATTTCACTGAGAACTAATGTCCCTGTGACCAGTAAATAATGTTAACTTAAAAAAAAATTAAGCCAGGCCTCTCCACTGTGACAACTTAAATATGCAATGATTACAGTCTTGAACTTTTGCCCCCATGGAGTACAGCTTGACTGTGAGGAAAGGGGTACATTCATCTGTTCCACCAAAGCATTCTCAATGCCATCCATGACAAAAGTTTTGGACTGATATTATCAAGGATTAGGCAATCCCTCTGCTCTTAGACTTGGCATCTTCTAGGGCTGAGAAGTGTCAGACTGACTCCAGGAAGCATCAGCCATTTCCTCTCACTCCAGGGACAGGAAGGACTGACTTATTCCCCTGCTGATTATTTTCTGCCCCCATTTCCCATCTTGTTCTGCTCCCCAGATGCATTCTCTGCTCTTCTCTGTGCCCTGGGAGGCTGATCCCTGCAGATACATCTCTTGGTGTGCTGGCTGATTTTGAGTTGAGTTTGGCCATTGAGAGGCCCCGGTAGGAGACAGGAGAGTGGGAAGAGAGGTCAGTGTATAACTTCTGAGCCCTCTGCTTCTGTAGTATGTCTCTAGAAGTAGCTGCGCTCAATTACTTCAAATTACAGCTTCTGCCAATTAGCTCCTTATCTATGGTTCTAGTTTTCAGTAGACTCTAGCAATTGTCTTGGCCCTGGGCCCCAGGGCTGGTAATGGCCCTAGGAGGCTGGTAATAGCCTCCTATTGTTGCTAGTCTCTGGATGCATCAACCACCCTAACTTTTCCTTAACCTGCCCTCTCCTCTGTCCTTACATCTTCTTCATTCAAATCACCTGGAATGAATTCTTTCCTGCATGGGCCCTGGCAGTTAAACTTCTGAATGTTCGAATCTCTTCTTGTAAGTCATGTAATGCCATGCCATCAACTCCAGGGAAGCCTTCTTACCTCTTTCAGGCAGATGCAGTCCCCAGTTCTTTTATTTTATTTTATTTTATTATTATTATACTTTAAGTTTTAGGATACATGGGCACATAGTGCAGGTCAGTTACATATGTATACATGTGCCATGCTGGTGTGCTGCACCCATTAACTCGTCAGTTAGTATTAGGTATATCTCCTAATGCTATCCCTCCCCCCTCTCCCCACCCCACAACAGTCCCCAGAGTGTGATGTTCCCCTTCCTGTGTCCATGTGATCTCATTGTTCAATTCCCACCTATGAGTGAGAACACGAGGTGTTTGGTTTTTTGTCCTTGCGATAGTTTACTGAGAATGATGATTTCCAATTTCATCCATGTCCCTACAAAGGACATGAACTCATCATTTTTTATGGCTGCATAGTATTCCATGGTGTATATGTGCCACATTTTCTTAATCCAGTCTATCATTGTTGGACATTTGGGTTGGTTCCAAGTCTTTGCTATTGTGAATAGTGCCACAATAAACATACATGTGCATGTGTCTTTATAGCAGCATGATTTATAGTCCTTTGGGTATATACCCAGTAATGGGATGGCTGGGTCAAATGGTATTTCTAGTTCTAGATCCCTGAGGAATCACCACACTGACTTCCACAATGGTTGAACTAGTTTACAGTCCCACCAACAGTGTAAAAGTGTTCCTATTTCTCCACATCCTCTCCAGCACCTGTTGTTTCCTGACTTTTTAATGATTGCCATTCTAAGCAGTCCCCAGTTCTAAGAGCAGGGGTGAGGCAGCCCCAACCAGGTCGCTCATCAGAATTGCATGGAGAGCTTTGAAAAAGATGCAGATCCTGAGATCCCACCTATTGAATGGCACTTTTCTAGAGTGAGGTTTTACAGTTTCTATTTTTAAAAAGATCTGAGCAAGAGGGCAAGGTGGTGATAATTGTGCAAGTTAGGTGCTGGATACGTGGGATTTGTTACACCATTTTCTCTACTTTTGTGTATGTTTGAAAGTTTTCGCTACAAAAAAGAATCATATTAAGATTCTAAGTTGAGAACCACTGATTCAAAGTGGAAATCTGATATTTGTTTTGCTCATCTCATTGTTCTTTTTCTTCATTGGCCTCGGTCAGACCATGGTAGGGTCCCCATATGTGTAAACAATTGGAACGAGGCAGAGATCCAGCATCTTCTATTGACTGTAGTCTTAGGCACCATGAACCCAGGAACTCTGGTCTTGTCTCATCGGATACCTTTATAGATTGGGTTGAGCTGATTTGGCCAAATCTATTGGTCTTTTTTGAGCAGTTCCCACTCACATAGACACAATTTGTGACCTTTAACCAAATTCTGTAAGTGTAAGGTTGGAAAACCCAAGTCACTGCACTCTGGGATGGCTCTCCTTCCCTTCTTTATGAGAAAGTTCTCAGGAGTCCCGCAGTTCTATTTGTACTGTACCAGAAAAGGACCCAGAGTTCCAAGTAGCAAATTCAGGTTTCCAGTCCCTGCTCCTGTGTGATCTTGGGAAGACAATTCCCTTTAGAATTTCTTCAATTTCATGTCATAGTAGTGAAAGCACCATCTCTGACTTTGAACCCGAGTTCTGCCACTTCCTAACCATGTGACTTGGGGCAGATTGTTCAACTTCTGTATGCCCCAATTTGTTCATGTGTAAAATGGAAATATTAATAGAAACCACATCATTAGGTAGTTGAGAATATTAAATGAGCTACTATATGTAAAGGGAATAGCATTGTGTGTGGTGTATCACAAGTTCTGGATACATGCTAGCTGATGTTATCATTATTGCTCCTTAAATTTATATTTATAACTTTGGAGAGCTAGGCAGAAGGAAACAGCAACAGTTTCAGATACAGAGCTTCCAGGGATTTTTTTTCTTTATCATAATATAATTTGAAAACTACTGCTGCAGCTATTGAAGAAATGAATGGCTATAAAATTTTGGGGGAAAAAATCCATTCAAAAAAGCCTGTGTGGTTGACTCTGTAGTTGCTGGTCGTTTTGTAGAGTTCTGGGATTTTGCCACCCTGGGTGAAACGGCTGGCTGGTCCTGAAACTGCTCTTTCCCTGCTCTGGCCTGGGACTGTCAGGAGCGGCTTGAGTTACTAGTTTTGATGTGTGGGAGGCGGTAGTGGAGGAAAGAATGGAGGAGCATCTAGGATGCTCCTGAATCAAGTGGGAAAAGACAAAAGGCTGAGATGGCCTTGGCTAATGTACACCCTTTCTCAGCCAATTTGAGGACACCCGGCTTCATTTAGCAAACCTGACCTCATGTTCCTGTCAATTAAAAACTATGCAAATGTGTTTTGAATTTTGTAGGCAAGGGTGTATTATCTCCTAATGCTGACTATTAAAATTCCTGATAAAAGCCAATATCCAAAAGTTGGATAGCAAGACAGAGAGTCAGAGAGAAAGAAATTTGGGCCTTTTAATAATTGAGTACAAAAATACATACATTAATACATAATTGTACTAAAGAACAAGTGCTTAAGCCCTCTCTTGGCAGGGAGGAAAAGATTAACCTCCCCTTTACATACAAGCTAACCTAATCTACTAAACTAAAAAATATATATATATTGTTTGTTTTTTATTGTGGAATCTGGGCTTCACAGGAGTGAGATGCTAAGTGACATAAACTGCTTCACTCTTAAACCAGGATCTAGCAAATGGTTGAAAGCTAGCCCATCTGTAAAGAAGTATGTCTTCACTCTGAAATACTGGTCACTCACACTCTGGCATATTCTGTTATTTCCTCCAATCCCTTGTGGCATGTATTTAAAAGTCACTGGCTGAGAAAAGTCGGATTCCATTGCTAGTTTTGATTTGAGAATGGCAAGGAGGGACCTCATCATAGTGCAGGACTCAGAACCTACCATTCACCCTGTTGTTCTGAAGACGGTCAAAGAGTCACATGCGGTGGCTGCCTACCTCCTGATGGTGTGCTCCAGTACTTGTCTGTGCTTTACCCCTTTCTTTGCGGGGAATCACGCTTCCCTGGAAACTCTTTTCTTTCTGCTCCCTCCTCTAACATGTGTCCTGAACAAGAGCTATGTGACAATGCCTTTCAGGTCGTGGTGGATGGTTTCATGGCAGGCAACTGATGGAAGCTGAGCAGTCAGTGTCTTAACCCTCACATTGGTTCAGCACTGGGTAAGGGACCCAAGCTACTTAAAGTACAATCTTTCCTTGGGATTAATTCCTGCCCCTAACCTTTTATTATGAAAATTTTCAAACATCACAAAGTTGAAAGAACTGTATCGTGAACACCCGCCACCCAAACTCTACCAGTAGCCATTAACATTTTATTACATTTGCTTTATCTCATATCTATCCATCTCACCAGCTATTAATTCAATTTCTTTTTGTTGCATTTAAAAGTGGATTGCAAATATTATACACATCTCCATAAATGTTTCAGCTTGTGTTCATTAAGTAAGATTCAGTATTTGTTTACAGTGGGCTTTCTTTTTGCTATAAAAATTACATACAATGAAATGCACATATCTTAAGGGTATATTTGCAGAGTTTTGGCAGTTGTACACACTCAGGATTTATTTTCATCAGGGGTGGAGACAGAGTCCCTTTCCCACCAGGAATGTGAGGCTCAAAAATGTGAGCCTAGAGTGGGGGACAGCTATGACTCCAACCTTCAGATTCTGAAAGCCAGCTAGGGATAAGAGAGCTGACATACCAATGTGGAGGCAGAGCTGAGAGATAAAAATAATGTCGAAAGTATTGCAGTCACTTTGGCCCTTTTTTTATTCAGTTTGTTAAATGCGCCTGTAAATTCCCATATTTGCTGAAATGATTTGGAGTGTTTTTTTACTTGCACCCAGAATCCTAACACATAAACGGTCCCCTTTAATTCTAATTAATGCATTATGTCTCTATTGCAGATATGGTGTCTATTATAGGTATCTACCAAGTGCAGAGGGCTTACGAAAGTCTAAGATTCCTTTCAAATCTAGGAGACTATGGATCTGGTAAGATGAAAGCATTGGTCTCACCTAGGTCCTAGCTATGGATCCATCATATATATGAAATAAACAATTTTGCACAGATACTAGCATCTTTATTCAAAGCATAATCTCCAACTTAAATAAAAGCAAAAGCAAAAAAAGAATAACCTCAATATTAAAAGTATAGTTATTAATATTAGAAGCAGGACCCTAATGGACTTATCGATTATTATTTCCAACTTTGAACATTATCCAGTTTTTGTGGCTTTAGCTAAATAATTACAGAAACAGAGGCAGTGTGTTTTCACTGTTAGAGATGAAATAGGTTGAAAAATGCCAAAATGGATCCAATGTGGAAAATGTTGAATCCATGTGTGAGAGAAGGGAAAAGAGAGGAAAGCTTTCAATTATTTGAGGGGGAGTAAAGGAAGTCTTTATTGCCCAAGAGAAATTTCTACTGTTAGATTTTTGGTTCTTGCTTATGATACTATTTATCAGTTGTGTTATTTTGGTATTGTATGGCCAATATTGATTTCCTTTTCTCTCTTTGTCTCAAACCAAAATAAAAGTCTCTCTTTGGTGATTTCTATAAAAGTCAGAATAGAGGTTGTTTTGGGGGGCAAGGGAAAGGCTTGTGATTAGAATGGGCTCATGGAGGGGTTCCAGTGTGGGTGTCCAAGTTCTGTTTCTTGACCTAATGGTGATTACAAGAGTGTTCACCTTATATTAAGCTATGCGCTTATTTTGCTGGGGTTCTATGTTTGTATTTTATATTTTACAATACAAATCTTACAATCTGGAGCAAATATGTAAAGATTGTTAAGATTTGATAAAGCTATGGGGTGGGTTTATTATGAGTGTATTTTTCTGTACCATTGGAACATTTTACAATATAATATTTGAATTAAAAAAATTCTTCTGTAAGCTCTAGCTTCTCTATAAAGGATGGACATTTTATATAGGCTCTCATTCTGAGATCTGTCCACACTGGCAGTAAATGACAATCATCTCAAAATTGTCACTATCATCTTTTTCTTTTGCACCTTCCCCTCAAAGTAGTTCCTCAATCTCCAAATCTTCCCAGTTGGTCAACTTTTTTGCACTAGTCTTAGCCTGGTTCATTTTTTTTTTTTTTTGTAGAACATTTGAACTGTACTGTACATTTGAACAATAAATCTTGACTGACCAGATCTACTCATTGCCAAAGTGAATGAGGCAACTAATGTAATTATTTGGGTAATTTATGTTAAAGATTTCCAGTTCAGATAATTCAAATGTAAGCACAGAAAAGAGTGTAGGCTGGGTGCAGTGACTCACACCTGCAATCTCAGCATTTTGGGAGGCTGAGGTGGAAGGATTGCTTGATCCAGGAGCTCAAGACCAGCCTGGGCAACATAGCAAGATCCCCAACTCCATTAAAAAAAAAATTTTAAGACTTAGTGGTGATTGTCTTGTATGACCTAATTGTTGCCTAATTCCTCATTTCGTTTGGATTTTCAGTTTCTTGGTATTACGTATAAGCAGGTAATTTGTAACAACGATAGCTAATAATGTTTAAGTGCTTGCTGTGTGCTAAGTACTGTGCAAAGCACTTTACAAACATCATTTCATTTAATCATTCCATACGTCGCGAAATAAGTACTATTATTGTCCCAAATTTAAAGATAAGAAGCCTGAGGCTTCTCAGGATGATTTTTCCAAGTCACACAGTTACCGTGTGAACTGAACTGTCAAAGAAGGCCCTGTACCTGGTTTAATGCTCTGAGGTCATTGTCTTGAGATTCTTAATAATTTTTGAACAAGGAGCCCTGTATTTTCATTTTACACTGAACTCAGCAAGTTATGCACTGTGAGGTAGAACAGGGCCAGAAACTCCAGAGGCATGCAGCTAACCCCTATTCCTTTCTGCTGCTTTATTCTTCTCCAAGTAAAGTTAGGAGAGGGAAAAAGCAAAGAAACAGAACAACCAAGACAGACAAAAACACCCAAACAAACAACTGAATAACAACAAAGAAACTAGAAACAGGTGACCAGCTGATATGGCATATGGATATAAGTAAAGACAGCAAGAAACAAATCTGTGAAGAATAATTTAAAAGTGTGTGTTTTGTGCTTAGATTAACATTTCCTGGATATTGTGCTTGGTAAATGAAATTAATATCTGAGACTTCCTCTAAATGAACCTATTCCCCTGACATAAAGTTTATTTTTTCTGTATTCATCACATATAGTTAAGACAAGAGTTATCTTTTCTGAAACCAACCGTTTTTGAACAAGAGCACAATCTGTAGATTTGCTTGTTGTTTTTTTACAACTGGGAATAGCTTCTCACTGCCTGGTGTTTAGACCTATAAATTCATCCACACATGCCCCAAATGAAACTACGTGCAGAAAACAGCAGAAAAACAATGGCTACAGAATGAGGAAGGCTGAGTTGTGAGCAAACTCGTGCGTGTGAGATGTAGGGAGGAGTTTGGTCACTTCTTTTGCCTGTGATTCCTTTATTTCCCACTTTTTCTGATATGAATCTTGATGCTCCTTTTTTCTGTGACTGCTTTGGGAGCTCCATTTTCCATCCTTCTTCAATTTTTGCCCTTGTTTTGCTTGTGGTGCCTGCCTGAGCTTGTTTCCTTGTTCAAGTTGCTCAATTTGAGCTGCTCGTTCATGGCTTGTCTGATGTGGCCTCCAGGGTCTTCATGGCTTGGCAGCGACAAAAAGCTTGGCTCTCACTCTTCCCTGGTGTGACTTGTTCTGTGGAGGGTGAGGGTTAGGGCTGGTGGTAGCAAAAAAGCAGAAACTGGTGCAGAGGTTCCAGTTCCTACTCAAGGCCCACTGAGGCATTCACCACCTGCCTCTGGAGAGCTTTGAGACTTAGATGACTTGAAAGTTTAAAATATTTTACCTTAGTTGTGACTTCTTCATCAGAAAGTCAAATCCCAGGAGAAAGAGCTTTCCTTGCCATGCAGGGGCTTGGCTACAGTTCACTAGTGGTTACCGACATTCCCTCTCTGGCCCCACCCAGCTCAATAATGCCCATCATTGTTTCCAAAAGGGCTTCCCCTGTGTCTGGTGCAGACCTGTAGAGGCAGCTCCACAGCAGCATCCAGCTGACGCCACAGCCTCCTCAGAGCTGGAGCATGCTTCCCAACCACCAACATTCCAAACTGGAGGATTGTCATGGGTAATGTGACAAGGAATTTTTTCCTGCTTCTGAATTCAGGATGGATATTAAATAATAAAAATAATACTTACCCAAAGCCCCCAAGGTTTGTTTGTAGGATCTTCACCACATACTTGTCAGAGAGACAGGATAAGAACCATTACTATTCCTATATTACCAGTGCAGAAACTGAATTTCGGGGAAGTTGTGATTCCCGAAGGTCTATCTAGGAGTTTAACTTAGATCTTTCTATGCCAAGAACAGTGTTTCTTCATTGCTGCATCACATTACCTGTGCCATGAAACAAATTTAGAGTAGAAGGAAGTTAATTAAGAAAGCTGGGTGTGGATTTCAGGGTGAAGATGGAAATACTATTATTATTAGTGACTCTAGGATGTGGATCTAAATTGTCAGCCTCTCCAGTGATGGCCAGGCATGGTCAGAACAGAGAGGAAAGGCCATTTCTGTATCAGGAATCAAGGAAATTGATGGGAAAGAAAAATGCTGACCCCTCTAGGAAAATTAACCACCCCCAGAATAATGACCGCACATTTTATGGTTAACTGGAGAACAGATCGTGTTCTCTAGAATCTTACACTGACCAAGGTTGAAAGAATCTTGAAGAGAATTTCTTGTTTCTCAAAGTGGAGTACACAGCAGTCTCTTGGGGTCCTTGAAGCTACATATTAAGTTATTGCACATCTATCTCCCTGGAGCAACAATTCTATCTGATAAAAATGAAAAAACAAAACTCATGTTACTATATTAAAAACCCCAACATCTTATGGAGAAGAAGGCAGTTTTGGCCTGAATCTGAGAGGAGGAAAAACTGCATGCCTGCAATGGATCTCTTTAGATCAATACACCCCAGGGTCCTAACTCTAGGAATAAGTTTTTATTCTCTTGTATCTTTGGGCTATTTCTGTGAAAAGTTTGAAAAGCACTGGTCATGTTAGTAGACAAGTAGAAATGAAGATATTAAATTATTCTCCTATGGTCACAGAAGGACTGGGCAGGCCCAAGGTCCCTTGAATCCTTCCTACTGCCACCTTCATTGTTCCATAAATATATTCTTTGCTGTGGAAAGGTTTGTAAAATGTAAGTGTATCTTCCTGGCTTAGGGAGATTTATTGGTAACATTTTTTTAAATAATAAAAATATTCAGTGTTTGTGAAACACTGAATTAGAAAAAACAAATAATGAAATAGAAATTTATCCAGCCTATTTGGTAGAATAGCTGGAATACAAGTACTAAAAAACTTGGAGTTTGTACATCTTTAAAAAATTTTTTAAATAAATTGATGAGGTACAAATTTAATTTTATTACATCCATAGATTTTGTAGTGGTAAAGTCAGGGCTTTTAGGGTATCCATCACCAAATAACGCACATTGTGCCCATTAAGTAATTTCTTACCATCCACATCCCTTTCACTCTCTCACCCTTATGAGTCGCCAGTGCCTATCATTCCCCACTCAATGTCCACGTGGACACATTATTTAGTTCCCACTTATAAGACAGAACAGGCTGTATTTGTCTTTCTGTTTCTGAGTTGTTTCACTTAAAATAATGGCCTCCAGTTCCATTCAAGCTGCAAAAGAGTGATGTCATTCTTTTTAATTGCTGCATAGTATTCCATTGTATATATGTACCACATTTTCCTTATCCAATCATCTGTTGATGGATGGACACTTAGATTAATTCCGTATCTTTGCTATTGTGAATAGTGCTTCAATAAATATGTGGGTGTAGGTACTTTTTTTAATATGTTGATTTCTTTTCCTTTGGGTAGATACCCAGCAGTGGGATTGCTGGATCAAATGGTAGTTCTATTTTTAGTTCTTTGAGAAACTGTACTCTTTGACAAAGAAATTCTACTTCTATAGATTTTTTTCTCCAAGGAAATAAATATGAAAGTATGTAGCCATAAAGATGTTCATTTCAAGATTGTTGAAAATAGTGAAAACTTGGAAACAATTTAAATGTCTAATATTTGGGATATGATTTAAGTAAGTTGTAATACATCTTTACCATAGAACACCATTGTAGCCTCACACCCCATTTAAATGATGCTGTGAAGGTTAAAAGAGTACGGATTCTAAAACTTGATTTCTTGGGTTTGCAGCCTGATTGTGAACTTACTACCTGTTAGATATTGGTAAAGTTTCTTAAATTGCCAGTGCCTCAGTTTCTTTTTTCATTTTTTCCTTTTTAAACGTATACCTTGCTGTTCATGTACAACTCAGTGTCTCAGCTTCTTCATGAAGATAATGATGTAGCATTACACCTTCCTCATAGGGAACTTACCAGGTACTTATCAAATATTAGCTATTGGTAGATAAGCAGTTACCAAGCAGGAAAGTCATGTATTACTTCTTATTAAATACAAATCATTGGTTAACAAAAGTCTGTACAATATGACAATGTATTGTATTTTAAAAGATCCTTTTAGAAGGTCTAGACCAGTAATTCCCAAACTGTGTGCCAAGGAATCCTGGGGCACTATGGTGAATTCACAGCAACACCCATCCCAATATATTCTAAAATTTCTAGGGAAACACAGTGACACCTTTGGACACTGGGAACTACATACTACCATTAAGGTGTTTGGACTAAACTACATAATAAACATAATTTATTTTGGTCTAAAATGCTAGACAAATTTACGGAAACACTGAGAGTGCCATGAACCAAGAAAGCTTGAGAACCTCTAATCTAGCTTGTGGACATATACCAAGGTGTTGATGTTACTGAGAGGTGGTATTACATGTGCTTCATGTTTTTTTTTCTTTGCTTCTGATTTATCTAGACTTTCTAATTTTCTGCAGTGAACATTTACTATCTTAATTAAAACAATTTCTTCCTGAATCCGTGCAACAACCATTTATTAAGCACTATTTGGTGTCAATTTCTGGGCTGGACACAGGAAGGCAAAGATGCCACACCCTCAAGGAGCGCATACTTGAGGGTGAGTCTGGAATGTAAACAAATAATTGCTGTTCAGTAGAACAGGCTCTGAGACAGTGGTGCTGATTGGAGTGGGAGCTCTGAGCTCTGCTTTTGGAGATTAGTGCAAAGTTAGGCACATCTTGTGGGATAAATGGGACTTCCAACTGGAAATGGAGAAGGGGTAGAAGAATGTTCCTCCTTGTGGTTTGTGGGTGGAGACTTGGATACATTTGGTGGGGGGTTAAAAGACTGGAAAGGCAGGCAAGGTTAGAATAAGAAGGCTTTGGTGGGGCATGCCTTGGACTGGGCAGTTAACTTGTAAAGGACAGAAAAACGCTGACAGGTTTTAAGCAGGGGAGTGTTATAAATGTTGTGCTGTGGAAGGATCACTCTGGCAGCACTGTGGAGACAGCACAGGGAGGCTGGGAGAGAGCTGGACAGGGAAGGGGACCAGCCAGGAGGATTTTGTAATAGCCCAGGAAAGAGGTCATGAAGCCCCAGTTGGCTAACAACAGATTATGTAATGGGCCCCTGTGGACTAAATCAGCAAAAGCAAATGATCCAGATGTAGAACACTGTTCATCTCAAAATATGTTGGTATCTTTAAAAGTAAAAACTTTTTTTTCTGGTGATAAAGATAATACATGTTCAATACAGAAATTTGGAAACTATAGAAATGTACAAAGAAGAAAATGAAAGCATCTATAATCCCATGAACTGGAGCTGAGATATATGTATATGTACATATACTGTATATGAGAGATAAAAATTAAATATTATATTTATATTTAAATACTGATTTATAAATCTCATATATACATAGTTTATTTAAACTATGTGCATATGGTAAAATAAAATTAACTTAGAGAAGGATAGAAAATAAAAAGTAAATATTGAATGTTTACCACATGCTGGGCACAAAATATAAGAACTTACATATATTTGGTTATTTAATTCTCACAGCAACCTTGTGAGAAAGGTCTGCATGTATTCTGCCATTTTACTGATAAGTGAATTGAAGTACAGAAAGATCAATGTGACTTACCCAAGGTTCAGTAACTTGTAAGTATCAGAGCTGGGATTTGAAAGGAAACTAAGCTGTTTTTCCTCCAGGGCCTGTACCATGAAATCGTGATGGGGCAATTTTGAATGATGTATTTAAACTTCTGTTGTTTGATTCATTGACTTTACACAGTGACTCCTGACACTCCACTACAGCGTTGTCCAACTAAACTTGCTGCGGTGATGGTGATGGACAGATTCAATATCTGTTCAATCTAGTACAGTAGCCACTAGCCACATGTAGCTAGCTGTTGAGCACTACAAATGCTGCTACTGTGAACAAGAGGCTGCATTTTAAATTTTAATTAATTTAAATTTAAATGACCAACTGCTGCTAGTGGCCACCCATGGGACACCACAGATCTCCATAAGATAAAAAAAAAAATGAACACCTCATCCCTTGGTCATATTCTCTGTCCCAGTAAAACCAACTTTATTTCTTATTTCAGTCCTTTCCCATGATCATCTCCATAAAACATGCCTATATTTATATTTCTTGATTTACTGAATTGAACATTATGTTGTCCATGCCGTGTAAGATGAGAAATTATTTTGTGTACGCCACTCCCCCACCCCTCTCTTCTCATTTTTATGAATTTATTTCTATCATTGGTTACCTGTATACTTTGGTATTAGTTAAGATTCTTCTGATTGCAAGTTGGATAGAAAAAGCCAAATCCATCTGATTTCAGCAATACAAAAGGAATTTACTGGCTCATATAAACAAGATCAGAGGCAGAACTGGCATTAGACCAGGCTAAATTGAGAGCTCAATGTGAGCGGGACTCGATTTCAGCTCAGCTGTCCTCAGTCTGCACACTTCATCTTCAAGTTCTATGTGGTGACCACAGCTGTAGCTCTGGTTTCATATCCTCTTAGATTCTAGACTAGCAGGAAAGTAAGCATCTGTCTTTCTTGTAATGCTATTTAGCTGTGACCACAATGATGCTCAGTTAAAACACACACACGTGCGCACACATGCACACACACACACACAAACTCAGTGATTACAACAATAAGCATTTACTTAACATGTGTATGTGTGGGTTGGCTGAGGTCAGATGATCTAGATTGGGCTTGTTGGGGGTTCTGCTGATCTTAGTAGGAGCTGCTCACACTTCTGAGCTCAGCTGGGGGTCAGCTAATTTAGGCTGGGCTTGTATGGACAGCTCTGCTGATCTTTCTTACGCTTCTGGGCTAGTGTAGCTCAGCCCTGTTCCATATGTCTCTTATCTTCTTTCCTGAGACCGGTGACCCATCCCAAGCATATTCTCATGGTGATGACAGAGGCACAAGAGTGCAAGACCAGCTGCACAAACATGTGTACCCTATGCTGTGTCATGTCTGCTAACATCTCATTAGCCAAAGAAAGTCACATGACTGTACCCCAAATCAACCGAATGGAGACGTACTCTCCTCCCATGAAAGTGAGAAGGAGGCAGAGAATATTTCTGCACAATAATTTTCTATACCACTTAAGCAGATGGGGTTGGCTTGCTCATTTCAAAACAAGTGATGTGGCCAAGGGCATAGGTTGTACACTTTGGCCTAGACCTAGGTCCCATATTCCATCATGGGTGTAGAATTACATTCACATTTGCCAAAGCATGTGAGCTAAGAGTGGAGAAGGAAGGCTTACTTCAAATGAAGGTTAGGGTTCTGCTAGCTACATATAGGGGAAATGGATGTGAGATGGCAAACCACAGTGACAATTATAACTTTAAACAATAGACTTACAGTTTTATTTCTTGAGTCTTTGGTGTTAGATAGTATCCTTTGACACCACATGTATAACAGTTCTCTTTCATGCCCCATTTCCACTCTGTCAACTCAATCATTCATGCTATTTGTTTATATTTATGAATGAAGGGCTAGGTAATTAACAACGGTGGCTAGGTGTCAGGTGCAGCTCCCTGCCACTGAGTAGGTGTGTCTCCTCAGTAAGCATATCTGAGGTTGGTGGCTGGCTGTGTACATGGGTGGGATGTGTCAACCACAAGCTTCCCTTTAGGATGCAAGTACAGAGAATCATGCAAATGACTTTCTTTTCACCTCAAAACACCAAAAACAGAGGGCTTCACTGTGGAATGCCAAATACCATACAACAAGCCTTAGCTCTCCCAGGGAGACATCTTATTTTCTTAATAGATCAGATCTTGGGGAGGGGACGAAGGTTTCTGAATCCCCTCTTGCTGCTCCATCTGTATGCATGGGAAAAGAGGAGAGAGATGACAAAAGTCAAACGGTGCAACCATTCTCTGGTCAACCTTCTGTTAATCACTTGGTTTTTGCTCCTCTTTCCATTCCTGAGTTCTGAATCTGTTCATGTCCAACGTGAAGATTCCCCAAGGCTTCTTTGGAAAGAACATTCCACCCTTTCTGCAGCCTCCTCCTGAGTATATCTGGGGTGCTGCTTTCTCTGCTCTGTTTCATCTATCCATACTATTCACTGTCTTTCCTTCTTCCAGAAAAGTATCAAAATGTCTGCTGATGGTTTCCTTTTTTGTCTTCAGCATGGTTATGAATTTATTTCCTTAACTGACTCTTCAGCAGAATTTTGAAAAGGAGTGTAGATAAATGCAAGCATCCAGTCCACCATCTTGAACACACACACACACACACACACACACACACATATATATATAATATTGTGTGGGTATATAAATGTGTGTGTATGTGGGTGCATGCACATGTGTTTTTTTTAAAACAACATTAGATTTTGCCAGTTACATTTTTGCTACTGGCTTAATTGAATACCCTTCTAGAAGAGTTTTGAAAGCTGTTTCTTAAAACCACTTGGGGAAAACAGGGATCTTCCTCTCACTTTATTATTATTTTTTAATAATATTAGCTGAGTTTTTGGTCTTTTTTCCTACCTGAATGAACAAACTTCAGAGATGATACGATCTGTTACACAGAAATCTGTTTAAGTTGTACTTAAAAACAAGAAAAGATATGTTGATTCTAACCTCTGGAGGTCAGCATTGGCTTTATCTATATTTTGGTTTTTTGTTGTTATTTGTTTTTAATACTGAACAATCCTAAACCCTACACCCTTATCAAACTAGAGCATTCACTTCAAATCCTGAGAGTAGCTGGTGAAGAATGGGCCTGGAATAAGAGTGGGTAAATGACCCATGAAAGAAATGACTATCTTATGTTGGATCTAAAACCTAACTAGTAAATATTTATTTGTTACTGTTAGTACTATGTATACATTTACTGTATGCCAATAGTATTCAAAATATATGGTTCTACTGAGGATGGCTAAAACACACATAGATGGAGGGAGAGCTTCTGCCTAGTGGGCTTCAAATTGAAAAGATGCACAGCATTGAGATAGACACTTTCCAGGAGAAAACCATGACTCACATGGGGATGACTTCAATGGCATCTGGTTTCCATCTTCTTTGTTTCTTCTCTTGGACTCCATTCAGAGGCACTTCCTTCCAGCTGGATCTTTTAATGGCATAATGTGAAAGCAAGATCCACAGAAGTGGGTTTACAGGAGGGACTTGAAGGAGAAAATGCAGATCATCAGGGGGAGACGATGGAAAATTACACCCAGATGGGAGGGAACAGAGAATGTACACACATCCAGACTAAAATATACCAATTAAAATATTTAGGGAAATGAAGAGTGGTGTATGATTTTTAATATAGGGTAACAAAACTCTGAATGCAATAAAAAGGCAAAGTGATATAGTCCTGATTGCAATTAGCACATTAATGCAATTTCTGTTTCTAGCCTGGGAAAATATGTCAGCTCTCTTTACTTAAATGAATGGAACATGGCACTGCTTGTAGTCTTGCTGTGACTTATTCAGTCTACACACTAGCTCCATTCATGATGGCAGTACCCTTCTTTTCCTTTCAGAGCTGGAAAGGTGCTGGCGAAGCTCGCCTGGTGTGCCAAAATGACCTGGAATTGGAGGTAAAGCCACCACCTGGGTGGGTGGGTTGGGCCTGGTTACAATAACCAGCAGCCCATCTGGGTCCATATGAGAGAGACTGGAAGGGGCGCAGCAGGCCATTGGTTTCTGTATGAAAACACACATTTTCACATTCTCCTTCTCCCAAGTCATCATTAGCAAGGAGGAAAGTCTGTTTCTTCCTTTAAAATGAGGGTCCATTATATTCTGTAGCTTTTCCCCCTATATATGATGTTCCTTTTAACTGAATAGTACCAGATTTGAGTGACTTGCCACTGGTCTTATTCTCTTCTCTACCTCCAAACAGCTCTTGAGAGGGGCCATATCACTGGGAGGTAAGTGGTGATGGCATGGAGGCTGTAACGATGGTTACAGTTCTTCTGTACATTGTGGCAGTCAGACCTGATCCGAACTGACAATAAGTCAAAAAATAATTATTGAGTACTTGTCCAAGTCCCTGCAGAGATATATATTAATGAGTAATTCTTCAGTCCCTCTTTTATGTGCCAGGGATGCATTCAAGACCCGCAGTGGATGCCTGAAGCTGTGGATAGTACTGAACTCTTACATGTTTTTTCTTATAAATACATACCTGTGATAAAGTTTAGTTTATAAATTAGGCACAGGAAGAGATGAACAACAATGGCTAATAATAAAATAGAACAATTACAACAATATAGTGTAATAAAAGTTATGTCAGCGTGGTCTCTCTCTCTCTCTTAAAATACCTTATTGTACTGTATTCATCTATTTTTGGGCCATGGTTGACCATGGGTAACTGAAACCTAGAAAAGCAAAACCTCAGATAAGTGGGGACTACTGTATAGAAAATGGTAATATGAGACAGATTGCTCTAAGCCCTAAGAGAGATACAAATCAGGCTAATGGGAACAATAGAGGTTAATTCTGATGTGGTGTTGGGAGACAGGAGTACATATCAGAAGACAAGAGTTGAAACGACAATGTGGAAATGTATGGGGAGGATTCTTCACTTCATTGGTTTGGCTAAATTCTGGGGCAGCATTGGCTTTACATATAGGCCAGGGGTCCACAAACTCAGATGCCCATAGGAGCCAGACAAGCCCCATATATATGTGAATCTGTCCAGGTGTGAAGCAATCGGGAGTGTTGGAACCTGTGAGAGAAGGAGGGTCACGCCCCCACAGAAAGATCTTCAATTTCATGTTAAAAATTCAAACAATTCATGCTGTTGTCTGCAGATCTTCTCCGTCCTACAAAGACTTCCCTGTGCCTCTACATTCAGACTCAACTCCTCCACCCCAGAGAGAGACCCAAGCTTCCTCTCAAACGCACAATCATATTTCCATAACTAACAGAATCTTCTAGGGCTGATCCTCCCAGAAATATGAGCGAGCAGGCCTTAAAGACAAGTACACATCTCCACTGTGGGAGATGGGATTCTTTAAAGGGCAGTTTAATCAGCTTTCGCAGGGCGTTCTATCACACGTGGGCCAAGAGCCTAGCGCTGGAGGAGCTGGTAAAGCTGGCTGAGTCTCCTGTGATTTTTCCAGGACTGCCCCCAGTCGGAGGGGGAGGAGGAGAGCTTCAACCAGAGCAGCTGTTTCACAGGTTGAGCTCCTGAGTAAAATCTTGTCTGAACAGGGAAAGGCCTCTGAGCATAGTTATGACACAGATGGGGAAACTCCATCCCTGCTCTTCAGATGGGGGCTTGGGTGGACGCCCTGCCTGGGCTTTCCTGACCGTGTTCCGCACGGAGCTTTTCCCCTTTGGCACACAGTGTATCCATCCCATCCCCCTCCCATTCCAATAAATACAAGGCCTTGGATGTAGCTGCTCAATAAGGACAACTTAGTAAAGTCACATCAGTCCTGATTAAATTCACAGCTTGCTGTAGAATTTTCCAGAATTGAAGAATGACAATCGCGGACTTCAATGTGCTCCACAAGTAGCAAATAGGATTAAAGAGAAAATAATAAATTCATACATAGTGAAGCTAAAGAACACAAAAGGGAAAAAAATCTTACAAAAAAATTAAATTAGAATTTAATCCCTGCCTAAAATATCTGCATTCTCTCCTTTAATCCCTTCGACAATAAGCAAACCTATCAACTTATATTAAAAATATAGAGGCTTTATATTAAATCAGAATGTTGTAAATTCTGCGGGCAAACAGGAATACTTTGGAATTCTCTCCCCATCCTTTTTTTTTACTACTAGTGATTTTAGACATTTGCAAATAGTCTTTTTTGGTTGTTGTTCCTTCCTTTGGTTTAACTCAGTGATTCTCAAACTCTGGCATGCATCGGAGTACTTTGTATAGGGCTGGACCTCCACCACCCAACCATGTATACAGGGGGAGTTACATGAGATTCTCACCTGATAACCAATTAGATGTTTCAGCCACTACCTCCCCTCCCACACACACACACACAGAGGAGGCTGACTGTGGTGAACTCAACTGTGTTTGCTCTCCTTATGTTTTACACTTTCTCTTCATATCAAATAGGTACTCAGACTTGTTCTTCCTTGCTTAAGGCAATAAAGGAGAAAGCCTAGAGAAAGCTTCTTTAGGCTGGAGAAGAAGAGACTGCCCTGTTGCTCCTGTGAGCTGTGGGAGCCAGGAACCGCTCCATAAGTGTACCCCTCAGAAGGGAGGAGGCTGTGTGTACTCCAAGGGAGGCTAGACCCTAAGGGTGGGTTTTCTCACCTCCTAGAGATCCCTGGCATCCCACATGTGGCCTGAAATAGCAGAGATGAGATCTAAGTGGGCCATGTAGACTGCGACAATTGCTACTTCAGCACTAACCAGTGTAGACAGATGACAAAATACTAGAGTAGTCTTCCCTCAACATTGCATAAGACCCTGTACTCTGTAAGACCCAGACTTTTGCAGAATCCTGGTGTGTGGGGGTGTGAGAGCAGCCCAAGCATGGCTGGATTAAATTTCCTGCCAGCTTGGTGGGCTGGTTACTCAGAATCCAAATTTAATTTGATGTAAGGAAATCTAAAAATTTTATGTTTCTTGAACACATGAATTTATAGACTGAGATTTACACCTATTTCAAATATTGAATGCCTTGCTAATGGGAAAGATTTGCTGACAGCTACAAGGGATCTATCTCTGCCAGCTTGGGATGGATATGTCCCATGAAAATACATTTCTGAAAGGTGAGCTCATGTCAGCAGTGGGAAGCCGTAAAGGTTGAACTATACCAGTAGTTCAGTTTCTCAGTTTTTCCAAGGCCTTGTTGTGGATCATTTAGCTAGTGCCCTGATCTATCCTTGCCAATACTTTTGAGGGTTAAAAAACAAACATCAAAGTGCACACATTGAAAAACAAACCAACAAACAGCTTCACTCTTAAAAATCACTTTATTAGGCTCAAGATGAGCTCCTGCGTGCAAAGCTCTCAACAGCTAGAAACTGTGGGGCAGGCAGCCGCCTACTTCCCATCCAAGTCATGGTGCTTAGGGTTCAACTTGAATGGCTAATTACTGGTCACCTCACCTTCTTGTCAAAGCCAAAAGATTATACTTAATGCACAACTTAAGCCGTCCCCTGGACCTCACTTATTTGGGCTGGCAATCACGTTTTCTGTTCCCCTCCCCACTTACCTTAAGTTTTAGTAATTGCCCTCTGGGCTCAAAAGAGCATCCCACTAAGCCATTGAAATGTTGAAAAGCTCCCTCACATGGGACATGTTTATCTGCACTCAGAAAAAGAGCCGGGACAAATATGTGCGGCTTTGGTACATGACAGGATGCAGATTTCTTGTGAGCAATTTCTTAACTTTCAGCTTAGTAATAACTATAATCAATGCAGTGCCTTTAGAGTTGGTTAGAAGTGTTGTTACACAGTAACTAGAAACTTTAAAGATGGTAAATAAATCATAATGGTGATATTTTCCACAGTGTAAACATAATGCCCAGTATCCCTTTGGGCTTTGCAAAATGCAGGAACACTTGCTCAATCCATCTTTCTAGGAATAAAGAAGAGAAAGCCCCTTTTCTAGCTCTTCTCTAGCCCTTCCTGCTGTGGGATTTCTAGTAGAAGGACTTGCTCAACTCTGGGTAGCTTTTTCAAGGTTGCATCCAATGATCTACTACCAACTAACAGGTCACCCCTCCAACGGATGAGAGACTCAAACTGTGCATTTTGGGATCACTTTAAAACACTGACACCAGCGGGATGTAGGTGTAGTCATCAAAATGGAGCCAGGTGGACATTATCAATAAAAAAACAAAAGTCTTTCAACTCCAATAGGCCTAATATTGAGCCTCACAACCCAGTCTTGAGCAATGAGAGCCTGGATAAGTAAATAACTTAAGAGATAAATACATGTGTAAGCCTCACCTGTAGGGTGAGCATTATAATGACTTTGGGACTCACCATATTCTTTTCTGTGTCAAGTTCCTATGCAATTCATTCTTCCTGCCTTGCTAATTCTTATTCATGCTTACTAGCTCATTGTAAATATGATTTTTCTCCAAAAACTTTCCTGCTATGATCTCCCATATATGTTAGCCCCCACTGCATGGTCTTCCTCTCAAAACACCCCATCCTATTTCTTCACAACACGTAAGAGGATTGTAACTAAATCATTTTCTCTGTAATTTGTCTCCATTGTTGGAATTTAAGATCCAGAGGGGCAAGGAGTGTTTCTTTTGCTTACTGTGGTATCCCAAGCGCCTTGTACACAGCCTTACTCATAGCAGATGTTCAGTAAATAGTTGTTGAATGAATGGATGGTTGCTCTGTCTGTTGAGGTTGGTGTAAGGATTGTGAGGCAATGCCTCTAACAGAATCTGCACATAGAAGCAGTCACATCAATCCATTTTAGCTTTATTCCTCCTTTCTTTCACTGGTGTTTGACAGATATATTCCTTTCCCCATTTTCTTCCACAAACTCCAGATTTTTTATTTCCTGGCAAAGAATAATAATTTTAGAGCTGGGGGTATAGGAGGATTATCACTTTATGGATCCTCATGTTAGGGACACAATACTCGAAGTCATAAGAGAAATTGTTAATTGTCAGAGTCACATAATCTATGTGATGGTGATGGTGATGGTGGCGGTGGCCCATCTGGAGTGGCCACTACAAGGATGCCAGCTATAGCAAGGGAGGCGCAGCCAGAGCTGTGCACTCTGCAGCACCAGCAGGGGCCGGAAGCAGGTGGTGCCAACAGGAGCCCTGCACCCTATCAAGTTGGTGGGATGGGAGCCTGTGCTCCCGGGTGCAGATGCAGCTGCCCAGCCACCCAGCTACAGCTCCAGATCCAAGCATCCCTTTGCTCTCAGGATCCCAGGAAGCCCCCTACCCCTGCAGGCTTGGAAGTGCCTGCTCCTGTTCCCTGGCCTTGTCCTGCTCCCGGAGCCCACTTCAGTGCAGAGCAAAGTTGTAGCTAAGCCTGGGTGCTGTCGCAACCTGGTCAGGTTGCACATGCTTGGAGCAGCGCTGACACACCAGTCGCCTCTCCAACTGCCTTGGCTTCCTCCAGGCTTTGGGCACTGACAAGTGTGAGAGGGAGGCCAGGGTACTGAGGGTGGCTTGGTGCAGGCCTGCAGGTGCCCTTTGATGTGGACAGCCTGGGCGCTGTGGATGGCACGTTGATGGTGGTGGGGGGCAGACAGGTTCCTAGGTGGGAAGGGGTGTGTCCCTAGTGAAAACCCACCTTCAAGCCAGGAATGCTCTGGAGGCTGGGCTGCCAGTTCCAGGTGGAGTCCATGACCCAGAGTGAGAACTCATGGTGTTTTTTCAGGCCCACCCATGGCTTCCCATGGACCAATCAGCATGCACTTTTTGAGCCCATAAAAACCCCAGACTCAGCTAGACTCAGACACTCACTGGGACAACCTGCCTGTGGATAGAGGCTACCCACTTTGGGTCTCCTGAGAGCTGTTCTGCAGCTCAGTAAAGCTCCTCTCTGCCTGGCTCACCCTCCAGTTATCCACATAACCTCATTCTTCCTGGATGTGGGACAAGAACTTGGGACCCACTGAATGATGGGAGTGAAAGGAGCTGTAACACGTTCCTGGCTGGCTTACTGAGCTGCAGGCAGTGACACACTCCCAGACTGTGGAAGTGAAGCATCGCAACCCTTCTTGGGGCCCAGACCCCAGGGTTCCCTGAGCCAGAGCTGTTGTAACACTACAGCCCTCCCATGCTTCACTTGCACCCAGAAGCCACCCCATGGGATGAGAAGCAGCAGTGGGGACAGGCCAGTCCAAGAGCTGTGGACCTGAGTGGGGCAGTGGGACTAACACAGCTGTAACACAAATAGGCTGAAACATATCCACCACTCTGTGCACACCCCTACTCACTGCACTGCGGGCGACAAGAAGGAGAGAAGAGTTGAAGCCCTTCTGGAAGCCCAGACCTTGGGGCTTCCCGAACCTGAGCTGTGACACACTGTAACACCCTCTTTGGGGTTCTGTAGTTCCTGGCATCTCCAAGCTTTCAGGTGCCACTGCATTCCCCTTGTCTGTCCAGACCCTGGTGCCTGCAGTGGCAGTCACTTGGGGCATGCAGCCTCACATGAAGCCAGTGCCTGTGCTGGCACCTGGAGCTGCCCACTCTGCTGCAGCAGCTGGTGTGCCTGGCTGTGCACAGCAGCGAGACCCTGCCCCTGCTCATGCATTCACACACCCCCTGCCACTCTGTGCCTGGCTTGTCCTTAGCAAGTATGGGATCTGGGCCAGTAGCACGGGCCGAGCACAGCCTGCTGGGCTGTGTGGGTGAGACAAGCCCAGCAGGAGTAAGCAAAACCCAAGCAGAGGCACTGCTGGCCATAGAGGTTTCTGGCTGGTGAAATGACACCCTAAGCATTCTGTGACAATGGTGCATTTGGTGCAAGGTCTCTAGCTTCTGCTTCTTTGTCTATAGCTCTAGCCTTTGTATTGCACTCAGTATATACTATAGTTTTTTTTTTTTCTTAATCACCAACATTTGCTAAAACTTTTGCCTAACCAGAGCATTCAACAGGTTACTTGAAATGCTAACCTTATAAGAGTCTGACCTGGCTGAGACTGTTTTTATTTTTTGGGACAGGGTCTCACTCTGTTGCCCAGGCTGGAGTATAGTGGTATGATCACGGCTCACTATAACTTTGACCTTCCAGGCTCAAGTGATTCTCTTGTCTCAGCCCCCTGAGTATCTGGGGCCACAGGTGCATGCCACCACACCTGGCTAATTTTTGTATTTTTTATAGAGATGGAGTTTTGTCTGGCTGAGACCATTAATGAGAAAAACATTTCCTACCAAAATTCAGCATACATTAACCATTTGCAAGTAAAATAACCTAAGAAATTTGCCTTCAACCTGAAAAAAGGGCAGATTTCATTTGCCATAGGCAAGGCAACTGGAATAAAATGTTAAATTTTTAATTTTTTTAAAATCCAAAGAGATATTAGATGTTTTCTTCTTTTGTTGTGTGATTTGTCAGAATTCATACTGTAAGGCTTTCAAATTAGTTCACTGCATGATTCAATGCTAAAAGTGGTCAAAATTGTAGATTTTTTTTTGTTCCAATACCCTTGATCTTTGACAGTTTATAGATAATTTGGAAGAAGTGAAAACTGGCTGTGAAGATTAGATTATTTTATCCAGTTAGAGGGCTGAGTAGCAGAAAGTTGTTGGAGGTCTTTATCAAATTCAGATCAAAGACTTCTGGGAATTAATGAGTATCTTGAGAGAAACAATCTGTTAGACCCCTCAGAGATGCAAGATTGTCTTTTTTGGCAGACACGTATTCATCTGAGCACATTGAATGAGAGCATTGCTCATTTGTTCAAGAGTGTACAGGTATATGATATGCGTACTACACATATGGGTTGAGGGATGATGACAAATCCAAGTTGGACTTATATTCCATTGTGACCTGGCCTGGACTTAATGGAATCAGAAACTCTGAAGAAGTGCAGAACTGTCTGAAACAATGAAGTCACCCTTTCAGAGGCAATTCACTCATTCGGATGCTATGAATCATGCTTCAAGCCTCTTTGCTTGCTTTTGATGCTTAAATAAGGAAAGTTCCTGAATGATCAAGTATCTATTGTAACTGTGGCACTCAGCTGCTCAGTCTTTGGGCAGTGTTTGCATTTGCATGGCTCTGTGACAAAACTTTCTATTTAATTCACACTGAGACCCATCATCAACAATATAAGCTCAGGAGCAGAATATACCCATTATTCTCAAAAAGATGAATTTTGCTAAATAGTGATATTTTCCCTGACTTCATCAACAAGAATTGGCTAGCCCTGGGCCAAAAATTGCACATTTTTATGTGAAGAAATTCAGGTAATGTACCTTTATGAGTCGCTTTAAGATTATTTATAAAATTCATTAAAAATAGCTTTTGTCATATGACTACAAAAGTAATAATTCTAAAAATTAGGAAAATATAAAAAAGCACAAAGAAAAAATATCCACCACCTTAGTATACAGTCATATACTATAATAACTTTGCATATATTTCCTATGTTTCTATACTTCCATAAATATACATGTGTGAGAACTTATATATGTATGTATGTATTATGAATATATATGAAGGGACATCAAAATGTTCATGGAAGATGCATATTATGAAACAACTATGCATGAATTTCAATTTTTTGCACCAAAATAAACTCATACTACTTGTTATAACATGGCTGAAACAGGATCTAGTTTGAGGCACTAAGAAAGCTTAGACATAAGTTTGTAAAGAGCCCCTATCAGAGCAACATGAATTCTGCTAAAATTGAAACAAGAACAAACATCAAATTTAGGGTGAAGCTGGGGTTGAAGAATGGTGAAATCACTGATGCTTTATGAAAAGTTTATGAGGACAATGCCCCCCCAGATTAGCAGTTTGCAAATGGATAACTTATTTTAAGAAGGATGAGATGATGTTGAAGATGAAGCCTTCAGCGGCAGACCATCCACATCAATTTGTGAGGAAAAAATTTATCTTGTTTGTGCCCTAATTGAAGAGGACTGATGATTAACAGCAGAAACAATAGCCAACACCATAGACATCTCAGTTCAGCTTACACAATTCTGACTGAAAAATTAAAGTTGAGAATATTTTCCACTTAATGGGTGCCAAAACCACTGTGCCCAGATCAACTGTAGAAAGGGCACACCTTTCAATGGGAATTGTAAGCAAGTGGGATCAAGATCCTGAAACACTTCTTTGAAGAATTATAAAAGAAGGTGAAACATAGCCTTACCAGTATGATTCTGAAGACAAAGCACAATCAAAGCAATGGCTACCAAGAGGTGGAAGCGACCCATTCACAGCAAAAGTGGACCAGTCAAGAGCAGAGTTCATGGCAACAGTTTTGTGGGATGCTCAAGGTATTTTGCTGTTGACTTTTGGGAGAGCCAAAGAATGATAACATCTGCCTATTATAGACTGTTTTGAGCACTTTAGTCAAACAAGGTTTTAGCAGAAAAATGTCTAGGAAAGCTTCACCAGAGTCCCTCTCCACCATGACAATGTTTCTACTCATTCCTCTCATCAAACAAGGGCAATTTTGTGAGAATTTTGATGAGAAATCACAACATATTCACCTTACAGTCCTGATTTGGCTTCTTCTGAATTGTTTTTCTTTAATAATCTTAAAAAAATCTGTAAAGGGCACCCATTTTACTTCAGTTAGTAATGTAAAAAAAGACTGCACTGACACAGTTAAATACCCTCAGTTTTTTAGCGATGGACTGAATGGCTGGTACCATGACTTACAAAAATGCCTTGAATTTGATGGAGCTTGTATTGAGAAATAAAGTTTATATTTTTTATTTATCTTTTAATTCCCTTTTTCTGTGAACTTTTTGAAGTCTCATTATACACGTATGTGTGTGTGTGTTAAAATGATACAACATATTGTTTTGTAAACTTGTACTTTATTATATAATATTAATAATAATGGTGATGATAAATACTATTACTGTGTGCCAGGAACTAGGCTAAGCACTTTATAGAAACTATCTCACTTAATATTTACAGTAACCCTGTGTGATACTATTGTCACCCTCATTTTACATGTGAGGAAACTGACACTTAGTGAGGTTAATTAACTGTCTGAAATCATAGAGGTAGCAACTGGTGAAGCCAGAACTGGAAATGATATCACATTTCAAAACCTGTCTCTTAACCATTATGTAATACCACTTGCCTTCTCAAGACATTAAATATTCTTCTATTGTCTTTTAATGTGTATATATTGTATCATAATATTGATGAAACTATTGCTATTATTAATATATGATAGTTCCAATTTCTAGTAGTATAAATAACAATGTGATGAGCATCCTTTTAGATAAATGTTTGCCTATAACTTTGGTTAGTTTCTCCTGAATACCGACCTAGATAGAAGGATTTGAGTAGCTTATTTGGGAGTGATCCAGGAAACATCAGTAAGGTAATAAGAAAGAGAAAGGAAGAAAGTCCTTGGAGGATTTGTTAATGAGCAAGCCACCACCATGGGCAACTGAGGCCCCATTCCATTATCACCCCTGGGAGTCTGTTCTGCACTCACAGTTGTCCCCATTGAGGGCGAGGAATCCTTAACTTCTATCATTGGTTGAGGACTGCTTCCAGGGCTGTTAACCCTTTGACTTCCAGCCAGCCTAATTCGTGATTTAGCACACTTCCTTATCCAGAAATGATCCCAGGCAGAAGTTGCCAGTGCTGGCAGTTGGAAACTACATTGCATGCATACACAGGATAAGGAGGGACACTGACAACCTCTGCTACAGCCTATGTCCTTGATGCTTTCTTTCTGGATAAATTTAGGTTAGATACAAATCTCAGATATAATAACTTTTGATTGCCAAATTGACCCACAGAAAGGTTGTTAGCAGTTTATACACACTTTCCATGTTATGACAGTGCTGGGGTTTGCTATGTTTAGATACTCATTGTGTATAAAAATGTATTTCATTTTGTATTTTCTTGATCAGTGTTGCAGTCAAACTTTAAAATATAAATATATACTTATTAGTAAAATTAGCTTGTGTGTGTGTGTGTTGCCTTTCGTTTATTTTGATTATTTTTTCCTGTTGGAGTGTTCATCCTTTTAATTTACTGTTTTTTAATGTGTTGCAAAAAATTTTTTCCTGGTTTATTCTTTGGCTTTTAATTTTTATAATTTCATTAACATGGAAGAGTTTTAACCTCTTATATACCTTCATCAGTTTCTTTCATAAACTTGGATTGTTCATGCATTTTTTTTTTTTACTTTAAAAATGTTTAAAACCTCTGGTAAATATGTCTGGTATTTAATTTACAGTTTGAGGTAAGGATCAAATAGGTAATCTAGGCCGGGTGCCGTGGCTCACTCCTGTAAGCCCAGCACTTTGGGAGGCCAAGGCGGGCGGATCACGAGGTCAGGAGATCGAGATCATCCTGGCTAACATGGTGAAACCCTGTCTCTACTAAAAATACAAAAAACTGGCCAGGTGTGATGGTAGGCACCTGTAGTCCCAGCTACTCAGGAGGCTGAGGCAGAAGAATGGTGTGAACCCGGGAGGCGGAGCTTGCAGTGAGCCGAGATTGTGCCACTGCATTCCAGCCTGGGCGACAGAGCAAGACTCTGTCTCAAAAAAAAAAAAAAAAAAATAGGTATTCTCTCTTTCTCATAATGATTTGAAATAGCATCATTTACTTAATTCTTATGAAACGGATCAATCTATTGAAAACAAAAACTGAGGGACCTCTTGATTGATTGACTTGTATTTCTTATATTTTCTGGCATCCATACTTGGAATAGCGAAAGGCAGTATGCCATAGTAACTGCTATTTTAAAAATTTTAAATTGTTGATATTCATATTAATTTATGATTATATGGCTTACTATTGCAAAATCCTGGCTACCTATACCGTACACCCACCATTGCTTATATTCTTGGCATGGATGTACAAAAAAATCTGCATGATTATTCTCTAATTTCCTGCATTTTTTTAACATTCCAGCCTACAAGTCACACTCATAACGTCATCTAGAAAGAAAACATTATTTTGAATTTTTATTGTAAACATAACTTGAACATGATTTTTAAATTACCTTGTCCGCAAGAGGCAGCACTCTATTCAGCAGGATACATTATTTGGTTATAAAGTAAAATTCTAAAAATTGTTACATGTTGAATCAGCCATCAGGGACTCCTTATGTTTCCACAAATGCAATTATCAGTAGCATAAGAATGGAAATTGCCTGTAAGTGTTCAAGCTTCAACAATCTGCCTTTTCTGATGGTGTAGTTACATGGGAGAAGTGAGCCAGAGCTGGGGTGCATAGCACAATACACAGCCTGCTACTTAGCTATCGGGCTCCCTGATTTAACATGCACCTGTCATAGATTACATTTACCGTTTTCCAAGTGGTGCCCTTCAAGCTGAGTCCATGTGGTGTCATCCCACTGTGTTAAAATGTCAAGGGGTTGCTTATCACAAATGCCTGAGAAAATTTGTTGTTCTAAGAAAAGAAGCCTCACAATGGCCTCCTGTCAATACTGTGTTGATGGAATAAATCTCCAGAAAGCGTTCCAATATCTTTCTGTAATCAGTTGAATTGTGACCCACTCCCAATTCCTATGTCAAGGTCCTAAACCTGAGTATGCAGATGGCATCTTTGCAGAAGTAATCCATTTAAAATGAGGTCATTAGAGTAGACCTTAACCCAATGTCACAGGTGTTCTTAAAAAGGGAGAAATTTGAACACAGGCAACACATAGAGGGAAGATAATGTGAAGAGATGTCATTATATACAAGCCAAGGAACACCTGATGATTGCAAAGTGAGGAGAGGGGCCTGTGACAGAGCCTTTCCTAGTGCTTTTAGAGTGACCATGGCTCTGTGGACACCTTAATCTTAGACTTCTAGACTCAAGAACTGTGAGACAATACGTTTCTATTGTTTAAGCCATTTGGTGTATGGTGCTTTGTGATGATGGCAGCCCTAGCAAACTAATATACTTTCCTTGCCTATTTTACATTTTTTGTACTCTCAAAGCATTCTGCCTACATTTCTAGAAGAAATTTATCACACTTTTTGAACTTTAGTCTTTCCTAATTGTTGATGAATGGGTAATATGGATATGGGGAAAATTCCAAGTATAGAATAGCACAAAAACAGACTTAGGGTGAAAACAGAGTCTCCTCAGCTGGTTGCCTAGTGCACTCTACCCCACCCCTCCAAGCTCCCTTCCAAGAGGCAACCACTGTGACCTGTATCTTATATTCTTAGTTTCATGATCATCTCCAATTTAGGTTTTTATTTCGTTTCATCGGCCATACGCCCCTTGGGGAAAGGGACCATTCATTCATTCTGTGTAATCTCAGCTCTCCATAAATGTGACTTTACAGAACTGTTTTCTGGGTAGATTCAGGCAGATGGATGCATAAAATTCAAGCTAGGTTTAAGGCTCCAATTCCTGGTAAAATCCAAACACTCTTGTTATTTAGTCATTTACACCTTTGTGGGTCGAGTGGGACCTGAGAGAATATTTTGCTTGGGGGTAGAGCAAGGAGACAGTAAGGAACCTGGGCAAAGTTGGGGAGATTAAGTGGAAAGAAAGTCATCAAACAGGAAGTAAAAACTTTGTTGATCTGACTTCTCCTTTGCTGTTCTTATAGTTCCCTAGTAATTGACTTTGAATAGGAGTAACCTAGCTCCTGTTTGTTAATCTGAGAGGCGCCTAGTATCCTGGTTATGAGTTTCGATTTGGGGGCCAGACTTCCTGTGTTTGTAATACTAGTTCTACTATTAGTTAGTTACGTGACATTGAACAAGTACTTCCACCTCTCTGTAATGAAGTTCTTCATCTGGGAAATGAAGAAGACAAATAGTGTCTTCTTCTTATAGTTGTTATAAGGATTAAGTGGGCTAAAGCTCTTAGAACCATGCCTGGCACATAGTAAATGCTGTGTTAGATGTGTTACTATTCACCTATAAATTGTCCCACTGGGGGTTTGTTAGTGTATCGATTAGAATGCTTTTCTGGCAGCAAGTTGAAGAAAACCAAACAAAGAGGAGCTCAAATAATAAAGATGTTCATTATTCACTCTAACAAGAACTCCAGAGGTTGGTATCAGGGTCGGTAATTCAGTGGCTGGTTGACAGCACCAAGGATGAAGGTTCCTTCTTTCTTTAGAACACCAAAGTTTGAGGGATGGGCACCCCAGCATGTTGGCTTTTGTCCTCAGTCTTCTCTCCTCAGGGTCAAGAATGTCTGTCACTCTTCCAGGAGGCACACATAGACATATTAACATTGAGAGAGGGAGTTAGAAAAGGGAGTATCCCCACCACCACCAGTCCCTTTGAAAGAACAAGTAGAGTGTTCCCAGAAATTGCCAGAAGTTTTCTCATGTTTCATTGGCTAGAATTAGACCACATGTCCATGCTTAACCAATTATTGGATGTGCAATAAGAACCCCATGATCATGGCTGGGGCCACCTTCCATGAAAGATATGGCCATCCAGAGCAGGGCACACAAAATCAGGACTCTCTTAGCCTAGAAAAACAGCAGTAGGTCAGCAACAGGTGTCTCCACCACACTTAGTTTGCCTTTTGATTTCTGGATGGAGTTGCTGAAATTTAAGTTTTCTTACTTGTTTATTCTGGTAAATTATTTTTGTTTTGTTTTGCCTTAATGTGTACCTTTGGCCTCAGATAAATTGTCATGGAAAGTAATACTCTTTGCCATTTCGTGTGTGTGTGTTTGAAAGAATGAGAGAGAGAGAGAGACTATTTCTGTGAGAGCCTATTTTTCTCTCCAGTTCCTCTAAGGAAACCACCATTCAATCTTCTTTACCCAGCTGTTCACATTTCCTAGGTAATCTCAACAGTGTTCATGGTCTCAACTACTGTCAATAAGCCAATGATTCTCCAATCTCATTGTCCACCTCAGATCTCTTCTGAGCTTCAGATATGCATATTCACCTTCTTGATGGCAGTCTTTATTTGCCCATCCTATAGGAATCACAAAGAAGCCCAAAACTAAACGTTTTCTCCCAAGTTGACATAACTAACCATCAAGGAGAATGGGGCCTTCTGGAGTTCACAGTGGAGTAGCTCCAGTTCACATGGTCTTGTCTCTGATTGTATGTTTCTGACATGCTTAATTTCTCTGGATCTTGTCCTGTCAATTTGACCAACTTTTCCTTTAACTGTCTCAATTTCCAACCCTACTTCTTTACTTTATGATCATCAAGTAAGCGGTTTCCTTTTGGACAATGCCTCTTGGGCTATGCACCTGACAAGAATGCATCTTGGCACAGTTGGAGCTCTCCAGCCTGCTGTCTTGTCCCTTATGAAATTCTCATGGCCACTCTGGCAAGACATGGCCTTTCTTCAGGCCACGGTCAGCTCCTTTCCCCTATTTCAACAATGGAGGGTTACAAGTTTGTCATCATCACTTAATTCCTCACAATGGACAAGTGGTCTATCAAATGGGACTGGGGAACAGAAGCCTTGTAATTGGGATGACTCAAATACAATAGAAAGACACTTTAAAGTCTGCAGTGGCATGTACCTATAGTCCCATCTACTCAGGTGCTCTGGTGGGAGGATTGTTTGAGCCCAGGAGTTCAAGGCTGAAGTGCACCATGATTGTGCCTATAAATGAACACTGCATTGGGCAACACAGGGAGACCCTGTCTCTAAATAAAATAAAATAAAATTAAATTAAAAAGACATTTAAAGATACTGTATAATTGTGACTGTTCACTATGAACTGGAATTAAAGAAAACCATACCATCTCATGCTACCTTGAAAGCAAATTACAAAACTTTGAGAGACTACAAGGCTCTCTCAGGTCAGGGTAGAAGAGAGGGAGCTTGCACTCTTTTCTCAAGCTCACCAAGCTGCGACCAGATCCGTGGCATAGAGCCCCATCTAGGAAATGCCCCACGTTCTTCAAATGGAAAAGTGGGAGTCACATTTCCTCCCAGTGAGTTCACTGGCCCCGAGGGCACCATGGCGGGATGAAGCCTTGTTTTGAGAAGAAGCTGGTTTTTCTGAGGCAGGCCCAATTAAGCCACCAGCTGTGATCAATTATCTAAAAAGCCAATCAGGTGCCGGCAGCTGGGTAGTGTGGGGGCTGGATTGGAATTTTCTAGAAAGTTAGCAGACTCTTGGCTGCCTAAAACTTCAATTTGATTTGTATTTATGAAGACCCTCTTAAAACACAGATGGATCTTATTGAATCTCCTGCATATGAGGGGTGTTAGGATACAGTGGAGGGAGCCAAGGTCAAGGTTTACTGTCTGATAAGTTATTAGAGACATATTAAAAAACCTTGGGTTTTCCTGTTCTATGTCTATTTTTTTGTGGGGAGGGGTAGGGTGGGGAAGGGTTTCTATGGCCCAGGGACCTACACCTACTGTGCTTTTTCCTCATGCAGGAGAAAAATCTTCTCTTAGAAAAGGACTTCCAAATAATTTAGTTATTTTTATGCAAGTATCTCTAGGGTTATATAGACTTGAGCTTCGCAGTGCTTTTCAAACTGTTCCTCAGAACCACCTAAGTTTGATAGAGTTTCTACAGAGCCTGATTTGGGAGGAAAAGTGTGCCACAGTTGGGATTCTAACTGATCTTTCCTCCCAGGTATTAAAAAAAAGTTTTATTTTTAAAGTTCTAAGTTAAGGAAGTGAAGGCTTCATTTGGGATAGCAGCCAACAATTAGATATTTTGGAGGGATGAGAAACTTTCATGTAGCTCTGAAATTTACTGTACATGTATTGCTCACTACATGACGTCCTAACTAAGGTCATATTTAAGGTTACAGCTAGAGGAAAAGATTGTTCTGCCACCTGATGCCAAAGAAGCTGTTAAGACTAAGATCTTGTGTTAGGAACTTCAATATAGGTTTCTCTAATTCTTCTTCCATAGAAGTTCTAGAGAAAAAAGTGAAATGCATAAGTCAAATGGTTAAGGAAGCAAATTAGACATTGAAGTGTTCTAAGAGCTTGATCTGAATTGTTTTTATAATTGAAGCAGCCTTATTCTATGTCATGAATGCTGTCTCTCATCACTGTTTGAATTTCAGAAAGCAGAAAAATACCATTTTAATGTTTCATGCTGTTAGGGCATTTGTACACTGGAACCCATTCATGTTTCCTGTTCTGTCTTATTAGTGGGCAATGTCCATCATATATTACTGAGAGAGAAAAAATAGTTGTATCTTAAAATTAGATTTACTATATTGTGATTAATTACTTTTGTCACCAGGAAGCATACAGGAAGTAGAAAATTCAGCATCTCGTTATTGAGTTCATTTTCTGTGCCAGATACCACGCCTGGCATGGGGGGGATTAAAAAGTGGAGCCAGACTCAGTCCCTGCACAGTGGCCCATAATCCAATGGAAGAGAAAGGACTGAATATAATTCTAAGAAAATTGCAAGTGGGTATATGAGGTGGGGAAAGCTAAATAATGAATGTGGCTGGGGTAGGTTTTGAGATGAAGCAGTGGAGAAAGAGAACACTAACTTAAATAAATGAAAAGAGACTGACATCTTAGAGGTATCCTGGTGAAATTTTGGAACACTAAAGATAAAACAATAATCCTAAACTTTTCTAGAGGAAAAAAAGAAAGGCAACTAGAAAGTCCAGGAAAAACTACATGCTAGATAAGAAAATCAGTTCAACTATGAAGCAAACAAATGTATCAAGATTTTGTGTCACTGAGGGTTTAGTGCTTCATCCTTTAGATATGTGGGATTATATCTCCTTCTTTATAGGTCCAGGCACATTACTTGGCATTATGGTGAATAATCTTTACATTATCTTAATATTATTAGCACCGTTTATTGCTGTGACTATCAGAATGAACTAGGTTATGCTGCATATGACCTCAAGTCTTAGTGGCTTCCAACATCAAAAGCTGATTTCTTCCTCATACTAAATGCCCATTACAGGTCAGCTGAAGCCCAGATGTATGTTTTCCTAATTTGGGGCCCAGGCTTTCACTTGAATGTTGTCAGTCTCATGGCAGAGAAAAGAGACATGGTGACCCATGTCTCTCAACACTTCTGTCCAGGAATAGCAAACATCACTTTCACCCACATTTCATTGGCCAAGGTACGTCACATGGCTACTCTTGAATTCAATGTGGGGTGGTGTTTATAATCTTACAACAGGTGGCACCACAGAGGTAGAAACAAAAATATTTGGTGAAAGGTAATACAAACTCTCACAGTCCACCTTTCTGGTATTCAGCTATTCACATCCTCCTTTTCCCACAAGCTGAACATACTCACCCCTTCTCCAAGAAAGACAACCAGAAGTCCTAAACAGTAATTTGGACTTCACCTTTACTGCTAAGGAAAAGGCCAGTCAGTATCTTCAGGTGATAGGAGACAGTCTCTGTATCAGGTATGGATACAGCTTTTCTTGATCCAAAGCTTCAGAAAGAAAAGGAGAAGCCATCTGCCTCTCACATACCCAATATACAGTGATGGCACAGGGACAAAGACCATAATAAACATGCCCATTTGGAAAGGTGAAAGGGGACTCACGACTGCCACCAGTCTCTGTTGATTCTGAAATCCCCCTAGGAGGATATTATCTCAGAGAGGGAAGGATTGCTTGATTAGGACATGGTTCTATTCCCTGGGCATAGCTCCCAGACATTTTCTCCCTTTAGCCCTTTGCTCTATCCTATGGGAAGTCTTACTTTTACATTATTGTCTTTGGCTACATCTCAAGAAAGAATTATAGAACATGATCTCCTTGGGGTCTAGAGAACTTTCTCCTCCTGCTTCAGCTCAAGCAGGAAGGATGGGGAAGAAGCAAGTGTCATTTTTTTGTTTGTTGTTTGTTTTTTTGAGACGGAGTCTCGCTCTGTCACCCAGGCTGGAGTGCAGTGGCACTATCTCCGCTCACTGCAAGCTCCGCCTCCTGGGTTCATGCCATTCTCCTGCCTCAGCCTCCCATGTAGCTGGGACTACAGACACCTGCCACTACACCCGGCTAATTTTTTTGTATTTTTAGTAGAGACGGGGTTTCACCATGTTAGCCAGGATGGTCTCGATCTCCTGACCTCGTGATCTGCCTGCCTCGGCCTCCCAAAGTGCTGGGCTTACAAGGGTGAGCCACCATGCCCTGCCACAAGTGTCGTTTTTTAAGTCTTAAACAATGTTTTAAAATTTAGGCTAGTAGTTCTATTGGTAGTACAATGCTTTAAAAAACTTAATTTCATATCTACTTGATTCTTATCAAAGAATTTCTATTCTGTTTTGAAATATGCCTCTCTAGACATGTTTAATTTCTAGTACCTTGCATCTATCAGACTTTCCAAGGAGACCAACACCCTTAATCTCTTCTCCCTGAGTCATTCTGTCCAATTAAAGGGATTTACTGAATGCTGTCTTACTAAGTTGAAAAGTTCCAATAAATGGCCTGCAGAAATTCCTTGATTTGATCCTTGCCATGAGGCTGAATTTTAGTAGAACTTTGTTGTTCAAAGACATATCCATATTCCTCCCACGTAGAAGAAAACCAGAACATTTTATAATTAGGAACATAATCTGTCATAATTACTCTTAATTTTAGAGTCAACATATAGAAAAAGCACAGAAGACAACTACAGTTATACTGTAGAATTGGAGCACTAAAAACACTAACCATATGAAAAGACGAACATAGCTGACAAAGGTAGGAAGATAAAAAGTGGTGTGTACAAACTACTTTCTTAAATAGAAATCTTGCCCCATACCTCTGGCTCATCAGGCTTTATCTTGCACTCATGGTGATTATATAACTTATCATCTGAACCAGGACACTCTTGAGAGTTGGTGCTATTAATAATTACTTCAGGAAATGGATAAAAACAGAGACTGTTCTATTCAAATCAGGATGTATAATTCCTTACCTGAACTGCCCACTCAGCACATGATCTCAATTACAGACATTGCTGGAATGGTGTGACTTCTCAGTTGTAGAAGACGCTCCTCGTGTCTATCATAGTTTGGCAGCACATAAGTGAAGAGTTGCCAGTACAATTGTTTGCCAGGACCCATGGTTGAAACCACTTCTTTTTTTGACTATTGTTGCTGGCACCTAGATACCACTGCAACTCTACTAACTTTCCTTTTGGCTTTTATGACTAGGAGTCTGCGATTGTGGAATAATGAACTTCGAATGATGTGATTCTGGATGAGGACTTGGATCAAGAGAATCGCAAATTAATTGTGCCAGAGAAGCTTTCATTCATTCAACAAATATTTATTAAGCATGTTTTACACTCCAGGAACTTTACAAGAAACTTGGGCTACTTGGTGACTTTACTCACCAGGAGTGGGTTCAGACTCCTGATGGATGAGCTCCAGGTCCTCCCTAACAAGACTGCAGACTTCCTGAGGGCACAGCCCACCCCTCATGCTTTGAGTTTCTCATATAACCCATCATAGCAAGTAGAAGATGCTTCAGAACATTTGTCCCTATGAGATAGAGTCATATTCTATTTAGCTTGGGACATGGCAGGTACTCAGTTGTTAAATAAAAAATAGTTATTGAGTAATTTATTTATTAAGTTCCATTCCCTTGGTGAAACAAAATCTGGTACTGCACTAAAAGTAAAACACTCAACTGTTTGAGGAAGTCCAGTTTAGCTCGTTTCAGAAGTATTTTTGCCAGAATACTGAAATTCTTTCATGAAGCAACACTATCTTGCTCTTCTCAGATTAGTGACCTTACAACATGAGATGAGGGTGAAGTATTTTTTTCTTTAAGGCATCTTTAGCACAGCCTTATTCAAAATGAAGCATATTCTGAGAGTTTCTCTTAGTCTTTTGAGATGTTGGTTGAAAATCCATCATGACTTCATTTGAAGTATTTATGAAATTGTCAGCTTGAGAAACACATCTGCTCATTTTTTTCACTGTGAAATTACTTCACTTAACAGAGGGGTGCAAATTTGGCAGTCCTGTCATGATTTAAATGGCCTGCGCCTCATTAGTGTTTCCAGCATTTATTTAATAAAATCAAATCAGAATAGCATTTAATTTAGTTTTAATAGGATAGTTAATGTTAACGAAATATCAATTGATTATTAAAATGAAGAGTGCTGAGGTATAACAGATATGTGAGATATAAATCTTGCTGCTATGTCATTAATTCAGAACTACATAAGCAATAAATGTCTAATTAGATTCTTAGTAGTGATGAGTTGTAAGCATTTATTGAGATTCGATAAGATTGATGTTACAGACTTGTGCTAAGGACCACAGCTTAATTAAGAAAAGAGGAACAAACCTTCGTTCCCATTTTCACCAGTCTTTGCCATTTTCTATTTCATATAATATTAAGCTGGAGGAGTGGTGGCAGAGAGAGGGGTGTGTGATCCAAGTACAGTACCTCAGGTAATCCCACAGTGGCCAATAACAAGAGTACAGGGCTGATTATTCTCTGATGAGCTTGGATTTTGGGACTTTGGATAAGGAACTCACTGATATCTTTTCTTTTTTCTTTTTCTTTTTTTGAGACAGAGTCTCACTCTGTCACCCAGGCTGGAGTGCAGTGGCGCAATCTCAGCTTACTGCACCTCCAACTCCTGAGTTCAAGTGATTCTCCTGCTGCAGCCTTCCAAGTAGCTGGGACCACAGGCATGCGCCACCACGCCCGGCTAAGTTTTGTATTTTTAGTAGAGTTGGGGTTTCACCATGTTGCCCAGGCTGGTCTCGAACTCCTGACCTCAGGTGATTGACCTGCCTTGGCCTCTCAAACTACTGGGATTACAGGCATGAACCACTGTGCTCAGCCAGGGACTCACTGATTTCTAATTTCCTTTTCCTATAGAGAAGTTTGGAGATTCAGCACGACATGGCAATATAGTCAGACCATTTCAGTAGCACAAGGTGAAAAGTGGCCCAGAACTAAATGGAGGAGAACAGGTCACTTACGTACTGTGATTTTAGGAGTTCTTGCTACCCCCAAAATATCTCTCCTACTTCCCTCTCATATCGCTTGAAAATCATTCAATTATTCCTTTGAGCTCAAGTTATTATTACCTCTTGATTCCTGGATTATACAAGATAGCCATGAAGTCTGGAAACACAGGTAATTTTATAAGATAAAAGGATAATTGATATAAAAAAGACATGATATGTTCAATGACATTACATGATAACACTTATTGTGTTGTCCCTTGGTAAAAATACATAGCTCAATGTGCTGTGCAGAATTGCAAGTAATGCATTTCATTGATGCAGTATTTCATCATTCCCCATATATGGGTATGTGACATATTGCCTTATTTGTGTCTCTGATTTTCAGTGAAGAAACCTGCATCATTAGCATACCCCAGAAGAAGTAATCAAGTAGGTTCAATCTGTAAGAAATGATTTATCTGTGCTGCCAGATCTTATGGCCACTCTGTATTTTAAGCTAGTATCCGTCAGTTCTCTAATATCATTTGGAAAATTAATCGAACTATTTACTTGTCATATGTCATGGAGATACTTTGACTTTGGAATTAAACACATGATTTTGAGGTTTGTGTTTTGTTCCTAACTATACGGACTTCTGCAACTTACTTAACTTCTCTGGGCATAATGATACTGGGTCCATGGTGTTATTGGGGGAATTAAATGAGATTTAAATGAGATCAGGTATTAAAAATGGCCAGCACAATATCTCCTACATTTTTCCAGATAAAATAGATGTTGGTGACATTTCTTCTTCCCTGTTCTCTTCTACCCCTTTCCCTACCTCTTATCTTATTTCATTACCTTTAATGTACTAACATTGCCCACTCTCTTTTCTTTTGGAGGGGACAGATGGAATGCTGATTCTTAGATGGGTGTGTGGCTTAGTTGCTGGAAACCTGAGGCAGGAAGTGGAGAAAGGGCAAAGAACCATAAAAGGGAAGGTGGTAGAATACTAACAACATAATTTCTTGCTGCTCACATTTTTGCCACAGGCCAATCCTGGCCTAGCTCAGCATCAAAAGCAATCCCAGCTATAGCTGTTGCAGGAACCAGGTTGCTCTGTTATAGAGGTTAAGTACCTTAGAGCAGCTCCTTTCTCTGCTGGAGCTCCCCTGGGGCTAGGCCACTGCCTACCTCAGTTGTGTATTCCTAGACTAGGCAACTCTGAAAGGAGACATCCCAATCTGCATGGGTGTAAACTCTGGTTTCTGGCTTATAATTGTGCCTAACTAATTTATTCACTCAATTATTCATTTGCAAACATCCCCTGGAAGCGTCCCTTAGTTCCATGACCTCTGCAAATCTCTATGGATAGAAAGATGATTCAGAGAGGTTCACAGCTAAACATAGATACCTGCTTGCAATGCCTTTTTACACTTGGAAAACCTGTACCTGTTACAATAGGAACCTTCCAAAGAAAGGAAATCATTAGAAGTCATTCAAATTTTTATCTACAAGGTCAAGCAGTAAATAAGAAATTTGACTTTTTTCCTAGAAAACTCGATATCAGAAGCTATGGGCATATATTTCCCCTATTTATTGCTTTCCTTGTTAGTAAGACTTGGGTACAGGAATCTGACTACGGGAAAGGGTCTTATATTCCAGGCTCCTTTCTTTGCTGTTATTTTGGTGGTTTCCTCTGTTATTTATAATCTCCACCAAAAGTTAAATAAAAGAAGAAAGATTAATCAGGCAGGTTTTATTTTATTTCTTCTATCAACAAGCAACTATTTTCCAAGTCTCTTACTATGCACTGAATATTGTTCTAAGCTCTGTAGGAGATAAATATTCCTTGTCTTCATGGAGCTTTCTCAGTCCAGCTAGAGAAACAAAACTCACTTATTTGAAAAAATGGAAACCAATTGTGGACTAGACTTTGTGGTCTAGTTAATATGAGATCAGAGATGAAAAGAATCACAGTGCACTACATTCTCCAGGCAACAGATTGAAAGAAGGAAAAGAAAGAGGAAATAACTAAGTTCTAGGAGTATCCTATTCCATTTCTGAAAATGTGATCATTCAATTAAGTTTCTGGGGCAAGTTTTATCCTCATTTTATCTGTGTAAAAACCAAGACACAGAAAGAACCTAGCCATATTTCTTTACCTCTCTACAGTCATATAGCAATTAGGTGTTGAAGTTGAATTTTATTCCAAGACCAGTTGATGTCAGGGTTCTTTCCCATAGATAATACTGACGTACCAATGGGTCTTGAGCCAGGTCTTGCCAGATGATATACAGGTATAGAGGAAGACCTGGATACAGGAAGAAGCAAACCCTTCAAGAAGCTCTGGGCATTTGAAGGCCAATGAGGGGTCTAATGAGATCAAAGTGGGCTGGGGATAGTGGGAGACAATATTTTCCTTTAAATTAACTGTATTCTTTGGCATTTTTTTTTCAGTAGAATGATTGATATTGAGTGAATAATGTTTAAGCTAAGCAATAAAAAATAAGTTTGGAACTCTAATGATTTTTATGATAAAGATCTAAAATATAGTTATCTTCTTTCTATACTGTATTTGTGTACAGGAAAAATAAATACATTTCTATTGCTACTCAACTTGGAGCATACAGTACTATGCAGCATAGCTCAAGTGAGTAGTTTATTTGCATACTGTATTAGTCTGTTCTCATGCTGCTAATAAAGACATAACTGAGACTTGGTAACTTACAAAGGAAAGAGGTGTAATTGACTCACAGTTCCACATGGTTGGGGAGGCTTCACAATCATGACAGAAGGCAAAGGAGGAGCAAAGTCGCATCTTATATGGCGGCAGGCAAGAGAGCATGTGCAGGGGAACTCCCCTTTATAAAACCATCAGATCTCATGAGACTTATTCAGTATCAGGAGAACAGCATGGGAAAAACCCACCCCCATGTTTCAATTACCTGCCACTTGGTCCTCCCATGATATGTGGGGATTATTACAATTCAAAGTGAGATTTGGGTGGGGACACAGAGCCAAACCATATCACATACTAACACCTGCAGTTTGGAATATTTTGTTACTGATGTGATTCATGAACAAACAGATGCATTCTGTGATCTGTGGATCTTTGAAAGCAAAGGAGTAGTTTGACAATCCACCATGACGATATATAAATCGTGAGCCTCCATACACCTAGTGACCTCAAAATACATAAAACAAAATTTGAAAGAATCACAAAGAGAAAGTAATTCAGAATCATAGTGAGAGATGTTAATATATTTCTCTCAGAAACTGGTAGATCAAGTAGAAAAAATAAACTAGTTAAAGTGTAGATTTGCATAGCATAACTTAAAAGCTTGATGTAGGCATGGAACCTTGTAGGCATGGAACCTTGTAGTCAAGAGTCCAAGATTGCATTCTTTTAAAGATCTAATTAAACACGTATAAAAACTGATCACACACTAGGGCAGGAGAAGAGGCAGAACAAATTCCAAAGATCTATTCGTATGAGCCATCTTATCTAATCACAGTGAAATAAATTAGAAACTACAAGAAAAAGACAATTGAAAACAACAACTCTTGTAATATCTTTGGGGCAATTGGGCATATGTCTAAAAACGTTAATTGCTGGGCCAGGCACGGTGGCTCATGCCTGTAATCCCAGCACTTTGGGAGGCTGAAGAGGGCGGATCATGAGGTCAGGCGTTTGAGACCAGCCTGGCCAACATGGTAAAACCCCCTCTCTACTAAAAATACAAAAATTAGCTGGGTGTGGTGTTGCGTGCTTGTAATCCCAGCTACTCAGGAGGCTGAGGCAGGAGAATTGCTTGAACCCGGGAGGCGGAGGTTGCAATGAGCTGAGATGGCACCAGCCTGGGCAAGAGAGTGAGACTCCATCTCAAAAAACAAACAAAAAACAGCAAACAAACAAACAACCTCTTAATTGTTAAGGAGGAAAAAATTTGGAGATTAAAACTATTCAGTACTAATGAAAACAGTACTGCATTTCAAAACATGAGCTAAAAGCAGAACTCAGTAGAAGATTTATAGCCTATAAATTAATTCTGTGTCAATAAGAAGTCAATGGAGTTTTCATGATACTTTAAAAATTATAAAGAAAAATTATAAAAAAAACTTTAAAAATTCATAAAGAAGTCAGAAAATAATCAAAAATAGCCAATAGCTAAAACTATTCTTAAAGGAGAATAAAGATTACAGACCTGTACTACGTGATATCCATATTAGTTATGAAGCCATAGTAGTAATAAAGGCAAGGTGGCAATGTGCAGGGATTGATAAACAGATTATCGGATCACAATCTAGAGCCTAGGAATGACATCAAGTGTACATGGGCTTTAGGTGCATAACAGAGGAGTCACTGTCAAATCTGAGGGATGGTGATATGGTTTGGATCTGTGTCCCTGCCCAAATCTCATGTAGAATTGTAATCCCCAGTTCTGGAGGTGGGGCCTGGTGGGAGGTGATTGGATCATGGAAGTATTTCTCATGAATGGTATAGCACCATCTCTTGGTGCTATTCTCATGACAGCAAGTGAGTTCTCATGATATCTGTTCATTTAAAAATGTGTAGCACCTCACTGACCCCAGTCTTGCTCCTGCTCCCACCATGTGAGATGCCTTGTTCTGCCTTTGCCTGCCACCATGATAGGAAGTTTCCTGAGGCTTCCCCAGGAGCTGAGCAGATACCAGTATTTAATTGGTTTGTAGTAGAACCTGCAGAACCACAAGCCAATTAAACCTCTTTTCTTTATAAATTATCCAGTCTCAGGAGGGTGGGTGGAGTCTCACTTTGTCACCTAGGATGGAGTGCAGTGGTACAACCTCAGCTCACTGCCTCCGCCTCTAAGGTTCAAGCGATTCTCCTGCCTCAGCCTCCCGAATAGCTGGGATTACAGGCGCCAGCCACCACACCCGGCTAATTTTTGTACTTTTTTTTAGTAGAGATGGCGTTTCACCATGCTGGCCAGGCTGGTCTCAAACTCCTGACCTCAAGTGATCAGCCCTCCTCAGCCTCCCAAAGTGCTGGGATTACAGGCGTGAGCCACTGCGTCCGGTCCTCAGGTATTTATATATATATATAGCAATGCAAGAATGACTTAATACAGATGGGATGAATTAATCAATTATTGCTGCAGAGGAAAAATTGTTTTTCATACAGAAAAAGTAAAATTAGATCAATGCCTCACATCATACATAAAAACAACCTCCCAATAGATTAAAACCATAATGTAAGAAAACCCTAAAAAGCATTAGAAGAAAATATTAGAGAACACTATGATCTCACAGTAAACAATGATTTCTTGAACAAGACAGCAAAAGCTTGTTTCAAAACAGAATAAATTATTAAATTTGATTACTCCAATTTTTAAAACATCACAATAACAAAATTCAAATATAAGTGACAATAGAAAGAACAGAGATGCCATATTTGTGACATACAAGCCAAACTATAGATTGTCGTGTAGAATATATATGTCAATTAAAAAGACAAAAAAATCTAAAAGAAAAACATCAAAGGGTATAAGCAGTCAATACTTGGGAAAGGAAATTTTAATAATCAAATTTTAAAAAACTAGCACACACACAGATGAGTGAGTATAGGTACAACTGCAGAAATCTGAGTATGACTGGATGATGCATAAATGTCAATATGCTGGATGTGGATTTTTATATTATAGTTTTGCAAACTATTACCATGCAGCAACCAGGCAAAATGAACAAGAGCTCTTGCTGTATTATTTTTTATAACTGCATATAAATCTATAATTATCTCAATTAAAATTTCAATTAAAAAATACAAAATGATGCTCAGCCTTACTGGTAATCAGGAGAATTCGATCTTAAACAGTGAGATACTATTTTACACTCAGAAATTTGGTAAAAATTAAGAATTGTGATCATAGCCATTGTTGGCAGGGATGTGAATATTCAAAGAAAAGGGAATTCTAGTAATTTGCTTGTGGGAGTGTAAATTGGAGAATAATTTTGCAATAGCTCTTAAAATTGGAAGTGTGCATACTCAACAAATTCAATTCTACGTGTATATCCTGAATATGTTACTTGACCGGTGCCCAAGGGGATGGGTAAAAGGATGTTACTGCAGTTGGTAATAATAAACAATTGAAAATAACTCAAATATCCATACGTAGAGTACTGGATAAGTAGATTATGGTATACAATGGAATATTAGACAACAATTAAAACGAATGACCTAGGTCTTTGTGTATCAATATGAATAGCATTTGAAGACATAATGCTGATTGAGAAAAATCAAACTGGAGTGTAACATACACTGTGAAACTATTCACTGTAAGTTACAAACATACAAAACAATTTTCTATATTGTTTATGGAACCATATGTGACAAGAGGTTAAAGTAAGACTCTTTCTGTTTCAGTTTATACTGGTACCCCAAGTGAAGAGACAAAAGTGCTCTTGTATTTTAAAAAGAGATACAAGGCTAGTGTTGCAGGACTTATAAAGGTGTGGTCTGAGGTTTACTCCTTAATTGCTCCTAACTGACCGTAACTCTACTCTTTTTTATTCTTTTTTATTTTTTTTGAGATGGAATCTCATTCCCTTGCCCAGGCTGGAGTGCAGTGGTGCCATCTCGGCTCACTGCAACCTCTGCCTCCTGGGTTCAAGCGATTCTCCTGCCTAAGCCTGCCGAGTAGCTGGGATTACAGGCGCCCACCACCACACAAAGCTATTTTTTTTTTTTGTATTTTTAGTAGATATGGGGTTTCACCATGTTAGCCAGGCTGGCCTCAAACTCCTGAGCTACAGGTGATCCACCCACCTTGGCCTCCCAAAGTGCTAGGATTACAGGTGTGAGCCACAGCACCTGGCCACAACTCTAGTCTTTAAATGAAGAGGGAGATGTCAAGAGTGATCTTGGAAATTAGAGAAAGAATTGCTTTGGAAGATGAATCTCTCCTGTCTCCATCATTTTGGGCACAGCGAGATGGGCACTCTTATCTCAAGTCGGACAAGAGGGGCTTCCCTGGGAGACTGTGTCCACAGTTTGTTGAACACAGTGGCCTGGTGCGGGGTGGAGCTTGAGCAATCTAAGATTGAGAAGGCATGGCTGGGGCTCAGTGTTCCAAGGGCCCTGCAAGGAAAGAGGCTGCACTGGGAATGACCTAGACCATCAGAGTCAGGGATGCAAGATATCCTGAATAATATCTTGGACAAAATAAACCATGAAGAAGAGCCTGCCGATCATACATTTGTTCATTCAACAAATACTAAGTGCCTATTATATGTCAAGCACTGTTTTAAGTATTCAAATCTGTAAATAAACAAGCCGTGATTCTCGTACTCATTGAGTTTACATTCCATTTGGAAGAAACAGATAAAAATGATAAGCATAATATATAATTGAACGATAGAATAGGATATGACAAGTATTATGGGAAAAACAGAGGCAAGGAAGGGGCACTGGAAGTTTTAGAGTGAGGTGGGTATGTAGGGTACAATTTTTAGAAAGGGCTTCACAGCAGGCCTCATTGAGCTGATAAGATCTGGGCAGATGTGGAGGAGGTAAGAGATTCAGACTTCCACATTTTGAACAAAGTCTTTTCTAGGAAGAGAGAATGCCAGTGCAAGTGCCCTAGAAGGGAGCATGTACAGCATGTTCAAGGTGCAGCAGAGCAGCTGGAGTGGAGTGAGCATGGGGTGAGAAATAAGAGATGAAGTCTGAGGTCAGGAAGGTAATGGGCTGTTAAAGTGAGGTGATCGCATAGGGCTTTATAGGCCCTTGTGTGTTCTTTGATTTTATTCTGAGTGAATACAGAAGCCCTGCAAAGCTCTGAGAAGAGGAGCCACTGTGACCTGCTTATGTTTTAATGAATCTCTAGCTGCTGTGTTGAGAATAGGCTGTTGAATGGCCAAGGGTGGGAAAAGGAAGACCCACTGGGAAACTGTGGCAGCAATCCAGGGAAGTGGTGATAGAGGTTTGGGCAAGGGCAGTAGAAGAGGAGATGGTGGGAAGCAGTCAGATTCTGGGATACATTTGAGGGTGAAACCAACAGTATTTCCCAGTGTATTGAACAATGTTAGAAGAAAAAGGGAATCAAGGATATCTCCAGGGCTTAGGGCCTGGGCACCTGAAAGAACAGTGCATTAGTGAGGCAGGAAGGGCTGCAGGTGGTCTGGAGGGCAAGACCAAGAGCTCAGTTTTGGGTGTGTTCATTTTGAGATATCCATGAGACATCAAGTGGTGATGCTGGATGTAGGAACCTGGAGTTCAGGAGGCAGATCTGGGCTGGGATTTCAATGTGGGAGTCATTGATGATGGTCATGTAAGGCCCCTGAGACTAGGATGAAATCATCAGAGAAATAAGAATTTTAAAGAATAAACTCCAGAGTCTTAAACACTGAGACATAAGGAACACAAGGGGGAACTAGGATATGAAATTAAGAGGGGATGATTAATGAGAGAGGATGAAAACCAAGGGAAGTGGTGACCTAGAGACCAAGTGAGGAGAGTGTATTCCAGGGGAGGATGCCTCTGGAATATCAGTGCCACGTGCTGCTGATAGGTCCAGTAGGCTGAAGCTGAGAATTGATAGTTGATGATCATATCAATTCCTGATTTTAAACACCACAATAAAATAAAAATAAGTGAAAAATTCCTTAACATAGTAAAATACATCTATAATGTCTATATCAGTATAAGTCCAAAGCCAGCATAAAATTATTATTTGCAGACAATATGATTGTTTACCTGAAAAACCCAAGACAATCAACCAATGCCCAGGCTGGAATGCAGTGAAGCAATCATAGCTCACTGCAGTCTGGAACTCCTGGGCTGAAGTGAGCCTCCCAAGTAGCTGAGATTACAGGTGTATACCACCATGGCAAGCTAATTTTATTTTTTCAGTAGAGATGGGGACTTATCGTGTTGCCCAGGCTGGTCTCAAACTCTTGGGCTCAAGCAAATTCCTGGTCTCAAGTGATCTTTCCAAAGTGTTGGATTACAGGTGTGAGCCACCACGCCTAATCTGAAAAATTTTAAAACACTAAGAGAACGCAGTTAAGTTTTTAGGCACAGTATTGATATACAGAAATCAGTAGTCTTTTGATATCTGAAACCTCATTGGAACATATAATGGCAAAAAGATCTCTTTTATAATAACAACTAAAAAGATAAAAGACCTGGGAAAAAACAGCACACACAAAAGTATAAAACTTACATAGGGAAAACTTTACAACACTATCAGAGGCCATAAAAGACCACCTTAACAAGTGGAAAACATGGTACATCCCTGAACAAGATTATACAGATGATAATTATCCATTAATCTAGATGCATACTGCAATCCTAATAAAAATACTAATAGTTTTTAATATATTTAAATTGTACAAACTTTTCTAATGTTCAGTGGATAGACAAGTTTGACAATAAAATAAAAAGACATCTTCATGGAAACAAAAAATATTCTAAAGAAAGAGAAAATATAAATGACAGATTGGGAAAAATTTTCAACTGATATAACTGAGGAGTAACTTTATTAATATACAAAGAGCTCCCACAAATAAATAAGCAAATCAACAACTCAATAAAAAATGGCAAAAGAAAATAAATGAGCAGGTAAAAGAAAATATAAATGTTTTAAAATGTATGAATTGATTCTCAATCTCACTACAAATAAAAAAATTGTAAAACTATAATGTAATATTGTTTTTCACTTATCATATGGGAAAAGATCAAAAAGTTTGATAACACCTTTGGCTAGTATCTAGGACGACAGGCATGCTCATACTTTGCTAATTGAAGTATAAACTGTTGCTACCTCTTGGAAGAGTGATTTGAGAATGCCTGGTTACAATTAAAGGGCCTCTAATGCTCTTTGATTTAGAAAATCCACTTCTAGGACTTTTCCTACAGATATACCTGCATTGGAGTGGTAACTATATATATATATATATATATATGTATGGGTATTTATTGCAGTATTTTGTTGTTGTTGTTGTTGTTTGTTTTTGTTTTTTAATCCTGCTTCTTTTGTATGCAGAACTATTTTGAATAGCAAGAGATTAAAAACTAATCACCTATAGAAAAGGGCCTGGTTGAGTAATATATATTACAACATGCAAGTAAGCATTACACAACTGTCTAAAACAATGAAGCAGTGTTATACACTGATATGGAAAGTTCTCCAAGATATGTTAAGTGAAAAACAAAAAAACCAAACAAACCAATGTGTAGAATGTGCTAATATTTGTTAAAGACACACATGTGTGATGTACTTTCCTGGAATAATGTAAAGGGTGGTTACCTCTTAGAATAGGAACTGGGTAGCTTAGGCAGACTTATTTTCAACCTATGTGCCTTTTGAATTTTATGCCAGATGCTTGATTTACTGATTTAAAAATACAAATAATTTTGAAAAAGTTAAAATAGATGTATGAAAAATTGATTAGAAAAGAGCAAGAAAATAAGCCTTTAGAGGTGTCATCAAGGTACTCTGCAGTGAATTCTGAAATGAAACAAATTAACAAATAAGTGAGACTCTATTTTAGCTCCTGCTGCAAATTCACTTGAAATCCACCAGATGGCACAAGAAAATGCGTTGTGAACAAACTTGGACAGGTTGGTGCAGGTAGCAAATGGGATTGGTGAGAAACTAGGACTCAGGAAAACAAAGGTTCTCTCCAGACTGATTCTAGGTGAGTGCATTCTAATTCCAGGCTAGCCATGGACATCAAGGGCATGATTTTGTCATGTCAGCCAGGTGATGCCAGGAATCACCAAGTAGTATCGACAATTATAAACATGGAATTATCTACATATCACAGCCTCTGCATGAATGGTTTATTGAACGCTCCCTTCCTCAACACAGAATTCTCTTTTTTTTTCTTCCCTCTTAATCCATACTTAATGCTTTATGAAAAGAGGTATTTGTTTCTTGGTAAGCCATGTTTCTTTAATTAAAGGAGGAGAGTTGGGAGAGATCCACTGGAAAAGGAGAAAATTCTGGTTTCACAATATGCACTATTTATGAGGGTGCTTTGCTGTTGAAACCTATTAAAGGCCAGCCCAGCCTAGTTTGCCTCTTGCCCTCCCAGGAGACAATTACTGTCCTGCATAACAATTTGAAGGAAATATCGGATGTGGTCGAAAGACCAGTTGTGGCCCTCTCTCTAGCAACCATTTCTGCTTAGATTTCTTAATTGTTTCCACCACTTCCTTTACTGGGCTTGTGGCCTTCTGTGTTCTGCAGGATTCTGAGCTTTCATAAAAGCCTCCCATTCTCTCTGGAACTCACATGTGCAAGCAGATACTTCCTGGATCCCAGAGCAGCAGCACCTTAGAGAAGCGGCTCCAGCCAAATTCATCTAGTGCACATGCACATGGGAGCCTTTGCAACGCCTGGGCTTCTTTTTGACCACGGGGAAGAAGGCCCAAGTGGTCCAAGCCACTCTCTTCCCTCCTTATTCAGCCTAGCTTTCCCTTCCTCCACTCCCAGAGTTCTGGTCTGTTCTTAGCCCCTACTGAGAGTGTCTTTGCCAATGACTTTCTCCTCTCACCTCCTTGTAGGTCTGTTTCAGGTGTGGCCTTCCGAAAGATTTTGCCAGGTAAGACAGGACTTCAAGGAAAGGAATAAGACAGGAAGATTCTTCAATGGTACAGTTTTTGCCATTGAAATGCCCAGGTAGAGAGATATGTAGGGAAACACTGAGGACTACTGGAGAAATGACCACCTTTTTTGCTAAAATGAGGGACTAGCTCTCTTATCAATCCTGCCTCTGACCTGTGGGCAAAACACTGGCACAGAGTTAGAGGCAGGCAGGGGTGTGGGACCAGGAGTCAGAGTAGCCTCATCTCAGCACTGTGACCTCCATTTAGGGAAAGACTGCACTTACTATCCAGAGCCTTCGTGTCCTCCTCTCTACAATGGGAATAGCAGTTATCAGTCAAGTCCACCTCAAAGAACAGTTGAGAAGAGGGATACATTCGTAATTTATGTAAAAGAATTTTGAGATTGGTGAGATGTTTTGCATCCATGGAATATTAATAAAACCACAGCAGAACTAGCTTATGTATTGGGAGGTATGTTGATAAGAAATTATGGCTGTGATGGGACCTAGGAAACACTGCCATGGTGTCTTTGGCTGAATGTGGGGCTTAATGCAGGTGAGGACATGTGCTGGGTAATTGAAGTCACTACAATTCTTCCAATATGGGCTAAATGCAAGGAAAGCTCCTCTGCCCTAGGTAAAGAGCTGGCTGCCTTTTAGGAAATTGAGGCTTTTTAGTGAAAATATCAAAGCTGGGTCCAGGAGCTCACACTTGTAATCCCAACACTCAAGTGAGATGGGAGGATCACTTGAGCCCAGGAATTTGAGACCAGACTGGGCAACAAATGGAGACACCATTTCTAAACAACAACAACAATAACAACAACAGCAAATTAGCCTGGTGTGGTGGCACATGCCTTTAGCCCCAGCTACTTGGGAGGCTGAGGTGGGGGGATTGCTTAATCCAAGGAGGTTGAGGCTGCAGTGAGTCATAATCATGACACTGCACTCCAGCCTGGGCAATAGTAAGTCTCTCTCTCTCTCTCTCTCTCTCTCTCTCTCTATATATATATATATATATATATATATATATGTTTGTGTGTGTGTGTGTGTATATGTGTGTATGTGTGTACATATATATTATTTGAAATGTTGACAGAAGCCTCACATCAGTCCTTCTTGTCAATGAATGATAAATCAAATTCAATACTTGTAATTCTCCATTTGTATCTTAATTCGGAGCATCTGCCAATTCTTATCCCATTCTTTGCTTTTCAAATAGACTTGCAAACGTGGTTGTTACCAAATCTGGAATTGCACACACAATTCTCCCTAAACCCCTTCTGCCAGATTACTGTTATGTAAACCACCTTCTTTATAGTCCTCCACAGTTTGCAATGGTATTTTACTTGATTTTTTTTTTCAGTGAGCTCCCCACCTTTAGTGCTACAAGTCATATGCTACATTTACATTTAAGCAGTGGTCCACTTATAGAGTATGAAGAACTTCCACAAATCACATTCATTACCCACAAAGCACTCTGTAATACAGATACCACTTCTCTTTCTTTTTTATTTTAAGTTCTGGGATACATGTGCAGAACATGCAGGTTTGTTACATAGGTATACATATGCCATGGTGATTTGCTGCATGTATCAACCCGTCATCTAGGTTTTAAGCTCCACATGCATTAGCTGTTTGTCCCAATGCTCTCCCTCCCCTTGCCCCCAACCCCTGACAGGCCCCGGTGTGTGATGTTCCCCTCCCTGTGTCCATGTGTTTTCATTGTTCAACTCCCACTTATGAGTGAGAACATGCGGTGTTTGGTTTTCTGTTCCTGGATACCACCTCTCTTTCACAGATGAAGAAACAGACTCAAAGGGATTTGCTGATTTGTCCAAAGATGTAGTTTGTCAATTCAAAGTAAGAATTAGGACTTAGCCCTATAAACTGTCCCTGTTTTAGCAGCACCATGTAAGAAGTCGCAACAGTGCAGGAAACATTGGAGTTTCATGATGCTGAATGAAAGAAACGACACGTGACATCTGTCATGGAGCATTTAGTCGTGACTCATTGGCTGCTCTATCCTGCTCCACCTATTTTCTAAAATGTGTTGGAATGTGTAGCCCCTGAGACTCCACAAAAAAAGAGGCTCCCTTGTCCAAATATATTTGGAAAATGTGGCATATTACACTCGCCCTCCTCTCCTACAATGTGCACATTAGCATCGTAAAGGCCCTGAGAAGTCCTCCACTAAAGAAATCTGTTTTACCTTGTTTGACCCTATATTTCCCAAGCTTATTTGGGCACAGACTTCTTTATATAACATCTATTAAATCTATTAAAATCCTGCAGAATTAGTGTGCCATGCAGGGAATACGCTTTTGGAGAAGTGTATAAAAATGATTTGAGGGAAGTTGAGAAAGTCAGAGAAGGTAATCAAAGGGGATTTAAACTAGTCAAGAAAAAGTGTATGAGAAAAACAGGCAGCACAGTTGAAGGATACCCCTCAGAAGTCTGTGAGCTGGATGCTGCTGCTGTGTGCCTCTGACAGCTCTTCATCCAGGCACTGACCCAGCTCTGGGCCTCAGCTTCCCCATCTCTAAACCGAAGGGGTTTGCCTGGGATTTCTCTAAAGCTATTTCCCTCCCAAATTGTCAGTTACATTTTCCCCAGGAGATCCTGAAACTAATTCCGTGAACATTTTTATTTGCAACCTTTTACTTTGATATAACTTGAAATTTAGAGAAACATTAGAAAAAGGACACATGAGGAATTTTCTTTCCTCCGATTCATCCGCTGTGTATATTTTGCCATATTTGCTTTCTAGTTCTCCCTCCATCTCCCTCTTTCTTTCTCCCTCCCACCGCCACTTTCTCCTATGCTCTCTCATATTCTTTTTCTCTGAACCACTTGAGACTAAGTTGGAGATATCATTCCCCTTTTACTCCAATACTTCAGGGTGAATTTTCTAAGAATTAGGACATTCTCTTATCTATCCACAGTATCATCATCAAAATCAGCTACTTAACTTTGATACAATACCATCATGTAATTCATAGTCAATAATGAAGTTTTATCTATTCTCTCAATATCTTTATAGCTACCATTCCTCCCCTAAACTTCATTAACTTTGTATAGAGGGCAAGGTTAAGTCAATGTTAAAATCATTTGGGAGGCCGAGGAGGGTGGATCACGAGGTCAGGCGTTCAAGACCAGCCTGGCCAACATTGTGAAACCCCGTATTTCCTGAAAATACAAAAAATTAGCTGGGTGTGGTGGTGGGCACCTGTAATCCCAGCTACTCGAGAGGCTGAGGCAGGAGAATGGCTTGAACCTGGGAGGCGGAGGTTGCAGTGAGCCGAGATTGCGCCATTGCACTCCAGACTGGGTGACAGTGTGAGACTCCATCTCAAAAAAAAAAAAAAATCATTTATCCACCTAAAATGAAATAAATGGAGCATCCCATTTCCCCTGTCCTCTTGTTTCAACACTGGATAAATGGGTGGAAGAGACAGATAGGAGAGGAGTGAAAGTTGTCTGAAAAGTATTAGGCAATAAATTTTGGACTTGGTATGTCTATTCAGCCATACAAGAACAAATGCCTCCGTGCATGTTAATTGTTTTACTGAAAGTCTTTGAGGTTTACAATGAGAAAAAAACTGATTTATTGTGAAAATCAGCACTTTCTGAAAAAAGAAATTTGGTCACTCCTCCTTCTTTTATTTATTCTCACTGTGCATATATATTTCCTTAACTAGATTATAAGTGCCTTTGAGTGATAGCTGGCTGATTCAGAGCACAGTGAAAGATCCGACTGGCTAGAGAAGCTTTATCAAAGAAAAGAGCAAGGGATGTGTTTGGAAAGGTAGGTTTGGCACAAACCTTGAATACTTAAATACATCGCTTAGGATTTAATTCTTTTCTTCTTTCCTAGAAAGAATTATTGCATCATAATCTTTCAGCAGTGGAGGGCAGATGAAAGAGAACAGACTTTGAAGTCCTAGGAATCAAATCTCAGCTTCACTGCTTATTAGCTGAGCATGTTCTTTAACCTCTCTGGATCTCACTGAAAAAATATGTATCTTAAGAAAGCGGACTGAGAGGTGGGCTTCAATGAGCTAACATGTATCAAGTGCTCATCCTTCCTCTTCCCACTTGCGTATATCTCATATCCTCAAATATTCTCATTTGTTAAACGCTGAAAGTCTAAAATCAACTTCTCACAAGAATTTAACATTTACCTGGGATCTACACATTTGGGAGAAGGAATCACAGAAATAGGAATATGGTGATGCTGCAAAACACCTTCATAAAGGGGGTTTGGACATTTCAGCCTGGATTGTATTGATTGCTTCCCTCTTACGTGTGTTTGGTTTGTCATCTTCACTCTTTTCTCCAGATTTCTCCATTCTGATTGGAAACCTCAAATACAACAATCTGGCTTTCACAATGAAGGTCCAACTGCAGGTGCTCAAAAAATGAAGCCCAGGGTCTCTTTCCTTCCTTGAGGAGGAAGGCAGTGTCAGCTGCTTGGAAGAAGTTGTTTGGAAAATGTGTACGTTTGTGTGGTTTGGAAACCTCCCTTTTCTTTCTCCAACTTTTGGAGAATTTTTGACTCTCCTTGGAGACCCATGTGGGAGGAAGGTTTTGGCTAAGTAAGGGTTCTGTGGGAGACCCTTCTTATCTGGAGCCAGTGCTGAGACTGGTGTCCAAAAGAGAGCACTATTTCAGGAGTCCCCAAACGTGCTGTGTATTTGGTTTTGGAAAATAATTTCCAAAAGGCACGTGTAGCCACTATTTGTATCCTTCTTTTAAAAAGCAAACAGCGAATGTGCAGCCAGCATTAGGCAACAAATGTCAAATATATTCAAGCCCATCGTCAGTAGGCAAAGATTAGTTGTTATAGAGAGAAGCCAATTGCTTTGAGCCATTATTTTGGCTTTGGGTGGGTGGTTAAATAAGAAAAGGAGGGGGGTTTAAGAACAAGATGAAACAAAAATGTTGAATGGAAACCATTTTCTTCTAAGGGGGCTGTCAAGCAAAGCAGTGATTCCCCTACAACCCCTCTTTCACCCAACCAAGTTTAGACTTGCTTGACACAATGACTGGCATTTCCGCTCTCAGGTAAGAATACTCCAAGTAAGAAGCTTGCTCGTGCAACTGTGTTTTTATGGACTTGTGTGATATGTCTGATGAATTGAGTTAATTCATTCATTAACTTAACTGGCAAGATTTAGTGGTTCACATTGAAAGCATGAATAACCATTTTGTTCCTTGAATGACTCTAGTTTAATGCCTCCTGATGTCAGTGTATTTTGCCCAGGGTAAAACTTGCTATATGAATTATTCACTGCTGGATGGAATGAATGGGGCCATGTTTGCCCACAGAATGTTAGCTGCAGTTATCTGATACGATGGGGCACAGTGGCTGCATACAAAGGACAATGGATAATTTAGAATGGGGTTTTAGGGCTCAGCCATTGCAATTAAGATCTTTGTAGACAGCGCAGCACCTTTTTGTCCTGTGCCACACATCATGAGAGCCTCAGTGAGCCAAGAAACTCTTGGTCTTTAAAAAGCAAAAAAGATCTAAGTGTGGTTCAGAAGTGGGCACTTTTGTCTTTGGTTAAACTTTTGGTGGGGGGGTGGAGGGCAGTGGGGGAGTAGAAATACATTTAAGAATTTAAAATAAAGAAAGAAATTAGTAATTTTTATCATTGTGGCTTCACTGATGTGAAATGAAATATTTTTGGTGAAGAAGAAGCAATGAGGAACCTTAACCTTCATTTAGAATCAAGGAGATGCAAGCCTTTCCATTTAGGAGCATTTGGGGTGAGTTATCTCCTTGGCTAGAGTGCCCAGCTTCACCACTGAAATGCCTCTCGTTTAATAAGAATGATTTATAATCTGGAGACACAGTTAATGCAATTTAGTGGGAGCTGATAAATGAATGACTGAGTTTACTTATACAAATAAATGGGGCATTAATCTTGACTTTGAATTTCCTCATTGGGTTTTCTTCATAGCCATTTATGATATTGTGAGTGACAAGAAGAAATGATTGGCAAGTTTTAATGGTTGGCAAAACTTTTCTAATTGTTTTTAAACTTTATAAACAAGACAAATAAGCCTTGAGATTGAAATATGGATTAAACTGCTCCATCCTTTTAGTGTTTACAGCTTAGTGGTAGACAGCTTGTTAACATTTGCATTCAAAAGGCACCATGAGGCACAGCTGAAATCCCAGCCCAGCTTTGAGTCTTTCTGTGGCAGATCTGGGCAATGCCACCAGGGTCTTGCTAGCATCTGTTTCCTAAATACAGATCCACTGGAGAAGTGCTCACCCCTAATTTACTCTGGCCAAGAGGTATGGTACAAACATGGCAACAGGTTCCTATTCCTTTTGTGGATGGAGAGTTACTTCTCAGAGAAGGGAGATCCCAGGCAAGGATGGCACCTGTGGTAGGCTGACTGCCCCTCACCCCCAAGACATCCATGTCTTAATTCCTGGAACCTGTGAATGTTACCTTGTATGTCAAAAGGGACTTGCAGATGTGAATAAGGATCTTGACATGGGGAGATTATCTTACATTACTTGGATGGGAACTAAATTTAATCACAAGGGTGCTTATGTAAGGGAGGCAAGAAGGTCAAAGGAACATTTAGGAAATGGGATGATGGAAGCTGGAGTGATGAAAAGACAGGCTCACAAGCCAAGGAATGCAGGCAGACTCCAGAATCCAGAAAAGCTAAAGAAACGGGCTCTCCCCAAAAGGATACAGAGAGAACCAGCTCTGCCAACCCTGATTCCACCCTGATTTTAGCCCAGTGAACTGATTTGGGACTGCGGCCTCCTGAACTGTAAGATAATGGATTGTGTTGTTGTAAGCTATTAACTTTGTGGTAATTTATTGGCAGCCTTTACAACAGCAGCAACAGGAAACTAATATGATATCCAAATGGTCCCTCCTTTGAGAGTATTATAAATATCTCGAAAAGATCTCTGTTTTCCTTGATCCTCACCCTCGCATAAGTTTCAAAGCCTAACGTCATGGTGTCATCTATAAAGTTGTTAGTTCACTGTAAAAGAACTGTTGAAATATAGACCATCATGTCACTTCCTCCGAATCAGAAGACTGTGTGTTGTGGAAATACTGTATGCAACAGGGAAGGCTATGTTTCCAAAGAGAAGTAAAGCCTTCCCCTTTGCATATGGTAAAGCTCAAGTAATTGTTGATACAAGGACAAATAAATGCATGGAGGAATGCAGGGGGAAAAACAGCCATTGAAAATCAACAAGTAACTCAACCGTTTCTGTTTAATATTAGATGAGTTTCAGTGTTAAAACTCATTGTAAGACATAATATTAACAAATGGGAAAATCAATGCTTGGCTTCTAAATTAGCCTTTGTTTTCATTTGGGTCTAATAAAAATGCTAAAGGAAAACCTGATTTAGTCTTCCAAAATAACTCTTTGAGTTTTTTTGGGATATGCCTGCAAAAGATACATTTTCTTTTTACTTATTTTCCCCTACATTGCTATCCACTAGAGCACATATCACTACAAAAACTCACTTTATGGGGGAAACATGTCAAGTTCATTACAATTTGATCCTGCTGGTCCCTTTAGGACAAGCTGAGACCAGTGTTGTGTTTTTGATTCTCAGCTACTTTCCCAGTGTCTTCATGTGGGGAGGGAGAGTTAGACAATTATTAAAAACTTGGAAGTGTCTTGAACTTTTATTGACAAATTCTGATCCTTTTCTGATCTTCATTCCCCTTCATTAATATATCTAGCATTTGACACAGCTGATCACTCTGTCCATCTCTCCTCTTTTACTGCTATAACTTTGTACTCACTTGGTTTCCCTTCTACCTGCCCAAGAGGTTATGCATCAACTCCTCTTCTCCAGCTTTTGTTCTACTTGTAAGCATCTCCCCAGTCTCAGTTCTTACTTCTTGCTCTCTTTCTTCTGTGGGCACTTCTATTTTGATGACAACTCAAGAGTCTTCTTTCTCCTGACCTCTATCATAGCACCCAAAAACAACCTCCAGGTAATGCTACTTGGGTAGTTCATCGCCTCTAATACATCTATAGCCTTGAACAGGGCTATGGCTTCTTCTGTCCCAGTGCCCTTGCACATGCTCTTCCCTCTGTCTGAAATTCTTCCTCCTCTTCTCTTTGCCTATCAGATGCCTACAGATCCCACTGTATATGTCCCTTCTTCATGGAAGCACTCCCTGACCACCCTGACTAGATCAGATTCACATTGTAGGATCTCTTAACACCTGGTGGGAAGAAAAAAAAATTAAAATCCCTTTTTGAGAAATAAAAATATGACACAAAAATTAGTACCCCTATAAGAAGGAAATCAATTCTGATTAAAGGGAAATTAGGAAGCACATCAATGGGAACTAAAAATATTTTGTTTTTCAGAAACTTTGCTATAAAATGCTGATAGGGAAACTGAATTACAACTTAGTGAACTAAACCAAGAGCCTTGTTTAGGTGACTCAGTGATTAAGCAAAAGTCCTGAGTATGACCAACTGTGATATGCTCTACTCTCTAGCACCCAAAGTTATTACACAACTTTGAGCTAGAACTTGTGTTTAACCATCTGACATTTAAACTGTGGTAACTGTGGAAAGCCATAAATCATGGCCAGTATAGAAGAGAATGACTGTTCATGAATTGTACCTGTTGTTAATCACTTTAGCCATAACCGAACTTAAAAAACAAACTCCCTTAGGTTTTAAAAATATTTTCTCTTCCATAGCCTACCTCTATATTCTGCCACATATCTAAAAAAATTCTATTGTGATATAATTCACATGCTGTACAATTCAATCATTGAAAGTGTACAATTCAATCTCTTTGAGTATACCCACAGAGTTGTGCACCCATCACCACAATCAATTTAGAACATCTTCGTTATCTACAAAAGAAACCCTACATCTCTTAGCTCTCACCCCCCAACACAAAATCTCCCCATACCCAGCCCTAATTGGCTTTCTGTCTTCATGGACTTGTTTACTCTGGGCATTTCATATAAATGGAATCATACGATATGTGCTGCTCTATAACTGATCTCTTTCACATAACATGATGTTCTCAAGATTCATGCATGTTATATCATAAATTGGTACTTCATTCTTTTTTTGTTTTTTTTTTTGAGATGAAGTTTTTCTCCTGTTGCCCAGGCTGAAGTGCAATGGCACAATCTCAGCTCACTGCAACCTCCACCTCCCGGGTTCAAGCAATTCTTCTGCCTCAGCCACCTGAGTAGCTGGGATTATAGGCGCACACCACCACGCCCAGCTAATTTTTTGTATTTTTAGTAGAGAAGGGGTTTCATTATGTTGGCCAGCCTGGTCTTGAACTCCTGACCTCAGGTGATCCACTCACTTCGACCTCCCAAAGTGCTGGAATTACAGGCCTGAGCCACCGCACCTGGCCTCTTCATTCGTTTTTTATGATACAATAATGTTTCACTGTACCACATTTTATTTATCCATTCATCAGTTGATGTCGTTGTGTTGCTTCCACTTTTTGGCTTTCGTGAATAATGCTGCTATGAATATAAAATGGTTTCTGAGGTTTGAAAGCTGCCTGTACCTTTTTCTCCTCTCTGTAGTTATTTAAAAATAAAAGGTAGCTTAGACATTTCTAAATCCGAAGCTGTAACACAAGTTCCATTTTTTGGCAACTGTACAAAATTTATTTCACCTGTTGTTAATGTTAACTATCTGTAGTTATCTACATGACATTGGTTTTCCCCCCATCTGTGAGCTCCACGAGGATAGCAATCATATTGAGTTTTCTTGTTGCTGAATCCCTGGCAACTTGTCCAGTGATTGGGGTGCATTAAATCTTTCTTGACTAATTTTGCCTAACCCCAATCTTAGATTGGCCTCTCAAATTCCCCATTTCCGTTAATGGTATTACTATGATCTCAATAACTTGAGATCAAATCAGTCATATTTGACTCTTCTCTTTTTCACTCCTTTTATATCTGATCAGTCAGCAGTTTTTTGAAACCCTGTTCGAAGCAGTTCTCAACACTTGTGCACCCATTCTTTCTCCTACACCACTCAATCTAGACCCTCACATGTGGCTGTCCTGCTTTCCTTCTCTCCTACTTCTAAGCTATTCTGTGGAGAGATGTCAAAGTAATCTTCACAAAAAATCTGATTGCATCACTTCACTTCCCTCTTTATTAGCTCCCAGTGGTTTCCAATTGGCCACCGATTAGAAGGCCTCGACTCAGAGTTGGAAGAATTTCATAATATGATTCCTGAAATCATGAGGCAAGTGCTACTTCAGTCTTTTCTAGTACTCTCTCCTCTTGATTATTAGAAGATAGGCTGTACCTCTCTGGTCTATTGGGTTGGACCCAGATTTTCAGATCAACTGCTTAACATTGTCAGGGAGGCAAATACTAGTAATTTGTAACATTTTTATGGCCAGCTCTCTTCTCATCAACCAGTGCCAAGACTGGTTCAAAGATTAGTGAATATTTGATTCACTAATGTCAAATCACTACATTCCAACCCAAAACATATTTACTTTGATATTTTAATCTCTTTCCAAAGGCCCTTACCCATAATAATATTCTGTAAGGAATTCCCTATATACCGGAACTTTCTGCTTTCCTATCATAGGGAACATCATAAATAGATCATTAATACATCTCCCACATTCTATTTCTTGTACAAGCTCATATCTTCCACGGTGCTTGCTATGGTGCCTTGTGTATGGTAAAAGTAAAGATACAGAGAAAGTCTAATTTTTTTTCTTAATGGAGAATTTCTCCCCCCCAACCCCCAAGCTAGAAATGTTTGCTTTTGTTATGTAAATAATTAGATCATCATTTACATTTGGAGTGACAGCCTCACTTCCAGTGGCATGTTGAGATAACCACAGATTGTTGCTTAAGGGACTTCCAGAGAGTTTTGGCCTGGTAAACTATCTTAGCTTTTTGCTTTATTTTGGAGTGTGCACCACTTTGGGGTCAAAGCTGAATTGTTTGGAACAATAGCGGAGATTCTGAGAATGGGTTCTGTTGGGGAAGGGGACAGCCAGTAGCTAGAATCTAAAAAAGGCTATGGGAGTAAATAAAAGGGTTCAAAGAGGATTTTATCGAGGTTTTTTTTTTTTTTTTTTTTTGCATGTAGTTTGCAGTTAAAACCCTCTTCCCTCTCCACAAAATTTTGTGTCATCTGCTCACAAATTTTAAAATAAAATCTACATTGCTTGCTAAGTCCTTGTGGGATGGTTTGCTATCTGGGGCTAAGATTTTGCTGAATTAGGCCCCAAGGTTGATGAAGATGACAAAAGAGACTGCCAGTGACAGGGCAGCTATGTAGGCTTTGCATACATTTTAGGTAAATATGTATTAAATGAATACGTTTTTCTTGTCTTCTTATGCAGATGATATTCCCCTTGCCTCTAGGTGATTTGTAGAGGAAGTATTCAATGGTGACTTCCTAATTAAGGAGGAATGTTCTGTTAATTCTAACTTGTCTTTAAAGGAGGAAGAAAAGGCACTTGCTGGGTATCCTCTTTGTAGCAGACTTTCACATTTAATCTCAGTGAATCCTTACAACCTTGAGAAGTAAATACCATTAGTATTATCCTGATGATAATTACCTTTTCTAAATGATTATTACTTTTTCTAAATGAAAAAACTAAGGCTCAATAAATTTAAATAACTTTCCCAGGTACATATCATCAGAAAATGATAGATTTGGGATTCAAACCCAGATCTGTTTGACCCCAAAGGCCTCTGTGAACTCTACTATGAACTTCCATTTGAGAGAGAGAGGGGGAGAGAGAGAGAGAGAGAGAGAGATAAATTGCTCAGAGAGAGAGAGAGATAAATTGCTCATTAAGATAAACTAATTTGGTTTTGTATTAAAAACAAGATCCTTGATGCTCTTGTTTGCCTTACTTTGTTTATGTTCCTACTGTATATTAATTGTCTGTCAGTGACTGGCACCCAGTGTCCTGGGTGAGCTTTGGTTGTTACAGATAATGTTTCTCAAAAGCCTGGCTGGATTTTACGTGATCACCTACCCCAGAAGATTATGAAGTAAATTAGAGCTGTTAAATAGATCTGTTAATTTGAGGAACCACCCCCAAACCCTCTATAATTTGTATGCCACAGACAGGTTGGTAGCTAGCATTTCTTCCTTTGCAATCACAAAGATAGAATCTTTTCCTTATTCTTGATTATTTCATTTTTGTCCATAGAGAGTTGAGGATAAAATCCTTCCCCATATTCTTTAACAACCAGCTGTCTTTAGATTCATTGAATGATAGCCTGCCTCAAAAGTTAGAGCTAGCCATAAAATTGTGCATATTGAATATGTTATGTCATTCGGTGGCAAATTACTGAGTTGTCTTTCAATGTAATCTTGAAATAGCAACAAGAAAAATATTTTTTTTTTCAACTCTCAATGATGAGGATGGCTTCCTTCTTCCAAGGTGGATTATCGGTTAAAAAGTCACAGGACTGCGAAATTGGGTACTTCTGGTTACAAAAGAAAGTCATCAGCCATTGGGACCATTCAATAATGCAACCGCAAGTCAAGGCTGTCATTAAGACCAGCCTACTGTAATTGTTCATTAGTGGTATCTAGTCAAGTAAAAATATCATCCTTAGAAGCCAATTACTACCAAAGCAGTGGTGGTTTTTGTGGTTGGTTTATTTGAAAATTATTCCTAGAGATCTTGAGAAAAGAATCAGACTTCTTCAGTAGTTAATGTGTTATTGATTCAATTCAGATTTAGCTTTCTTTTAAATATACAATGTATTAGAATGTGAATGGATACCTGCTGATTAGGTTGATCGGAGGAAAAAGAAAAAGTTACTTCCCAAGACAAATTGGTTAAGAAAAGCAAGTCAAGTCAATAAGCAGATTTGACTGGTTTGGGTGAGGTTCATTGTTTTACTGATTTTTACTGGCACATTCTTGCTTGTTACTGTTTAACAGTTCTTGTGTGGCTCTAGAAATATTACCATCTCTAGAATTGTGACAACCTCCCTTAGGTTTGCTCATTTGGGCTCCCAATTGCATTCAAGAAATGCTTAATAGGTACTCATTATAGGTGGGCCCTGCTTGGATAAAACTAGAGCTGCCATATTGTTTTACGAATGTAAAGCCAAGAGAGACTTTTCTTGTAGCGAAACTGAGAGGCCTTCCCCTTTTCAGCCATACCCACACACAGACTTGGGAATCAGTCACCTTCAAGAGATCTAATTGGGTTTTCATTAGACCCCTGCTTTCCAAAATTCAGCTAGAGCCCCTCTAACCCCAGACTTCTCGAGATTCATGCAAGATCCCTGGGGCTTGAATTTCTACCCTCCCTCTGGCTCCAAGTTCCTCTTTCTGTGAGTCTCTAACTTCCACTTAAGGCCCACCTTCTATTGTATTTCCCTTCTGTCAGCTAAGCCAGGCTCTGAACTGTCCAGATGTGAAATGTGGCCCCCTTTCTGTGCTTTCTTCCTCAAGCCCACTCATTCAAGGCATATGGTCGTTAACTGTTAACTATAGCTCTCCAATAAGTGGTAATTGACTGTCTAGGATACCGAGAATAAAAGCACATTCTAGCAAATGATTCCAGACCATGTAAAGATTTTTTAATTATCTTTTTTCTTTTTAAATTCCATTTTGTCTTTCTTTTTATATTTTAAGAAGCAGTTTCTGACAAGGAGTTTCCATAATTCAGTAATGACTTCCTTAGCCAGGTATAAATTTTATAGAGAGGTAATCTACATGGTATCTCATAGAGGCACTCAAATTTTTCTCAGTTGACAAATGAAATACATGGAAATAATCCATGGCAAAAAAAAATTTCTCAACACAAATTTGACTTATAGATAATGTATGATCAAGGTTAAGGATATGCTATTCTAATAAATATTACTCAATAAAAAATATTTCTAATGAAGTTGTGGGTAGCACATTATCCACTTTTCAAATGATTTGCTTTTATACGTTTCTATTTTTTGCACATTCCAGAAAGAGTCATTTTGATTTAATTGAAAGCAACTGTGAAAATCAAGTCAATTTAACATCATTTATAAAAATAATCTTTTAAAATGGGCTGAGTGATTGAAGGAAAATGCAGTTTTATTTCCCTTTTTTGGATCACTAAAACAAATTCATTATAACTTGCATAGATTAAATCATAGCTGAAGATTTAGCAGGGAATTGAGATTACTAGACAATGAAAACTCTTCTGTGGTCAAAGAATTTTTTTCAGAGCCACTTAGTTGAAATGCAGTATACATAAAAGCCTAGTGTATTTTGGCAACTCTTAACTCTGAGATTTACATCTTTTGCTATTCCACTTTAAAATTAAAATATTCAAAAATGTCTTTTATTCGCCTTTTCAGCCATTTAGTTTCATTCCTTACACTATGCCCTAGACATGGTGAACCTGATTGCCTGCAGAGTGAATTAACGAGTCTTTTATGTCAATGGGAGTTGATTAACATTTGTGACATTTTCAAATCAATCCTCCTATGTTCTCCAATTATGGCCTCATTGTGGTTAGGCACCATCCTAGGGGAAAGAAACAAAGGGTGGGTGGGAATCATCATACTTACAACTGACTTCAGAAAAGCAAATTAATAAAGGGAAGTGTCTCTAAATTATGTTTCCTGTTGTTGTTTGTTACAATAAATGCTGAATGCAAATGCATGTTCTTTAAGTGTCTTGGCTGTCCTTCAAAAATGTGAGTTATTTTGACAGAAGGCAAAAGTTCTTTCCTTCAACCTGTCTCCATAGTTAATTTAGATTAATTTGGTTGTTTTTTCAACATGTGGGCATTTCTAAACTTTAAAGTTAATAGTATTTACACAGCAAATGTACTAAACAATAACATTACAATATCACAAAAATGATATAAGATGATTTTAAATGAAAATATAAGATGATTTTAAATGAAGGTTATTTAAAGCTATAGCTGGTTTTTATACTACATAAATTAGGCTAAAATTTATATAACATATATTTGTATTTCAAACATAATATAATATATTCTATTGTGTATATAATTATATAATAATATATATTAGATGCATAATTATATAATTAACATAAATATATCTAAATATTAAATAATTAATGATATAATTATATATATCATTAAGACAAACCTTGGCACTAGTTTCTGGGTAACCCTGAATCAAACACTAACTTACCTGGCTCTTTATCTCTATTACTTAAGAAGTTTGGACTAGATATTCCAAAGTGCTTTGATTTGACAATTTATTATGGAAGAGACATTCCGATAATTATCAGTTGGATCTTTTTGTAGAAACATATTTTCCCTTCTCAGCCCCACTTTCTCTCACTTACTAGTTATTCTCACCAGGTAAGTCAGGACATGCTGATATTTTTGATAGTTTCACAGGAATTCCACCAAATTTTAATTGTGGTGTAAAAGTTGTTTTTGCTTCAACTGAGGATATGTATTATGTTTTATGATATGTTTGATGAAACATTGTCGGCAGTTCTTTCAAGAAGGTTAAGATATAATTTGCCAAAAATAAAGGGTAGAAGGAGAATCACTATGTCAAACCAGTGACTGCTGTCCAGTATGGCAGCCATTGGTCACATCAGCTATTGAGCACTTGAAATGTGGCTAATCCAAATTGAAATGTGCTGCACGTGAACAATTCATACCAAATGTTGAAGGCTTAATGCAAAAATAAAATGAAATATGTCAAGAATATTTTTATGTTGATTATATTTTGAAATGATAATATTTTTGGATATAGTATATTACATACAACATATTGTTAAATTAATTTCACCTTTTTCCCTTTTCCCTTTTTAAAAATGTGGCTACTAGAAAAGTTTAAATTCCATATGTGGTTTCCATTATATCTCTTGGACAGCAGTGCTGTAGAGTCACCTGTTTATTGGAACATGAAAGAATTGCCTTGTAATATATAAGAAAATATGATCAGGTCAACAGCGTTTCCAACAGCTGCATAATGCAAGGCGTAATTGAATAGAAATATAGATCTACTATAGCTGTGATTGTCTTAAAGTGAATTATGACTTGTTTAGTCTTTTTCTGAGCTTCTAACACCCTGTAATGTGTACCCTCCTACACCAGATACAGAGGGCCAAGAACAATGTCTCCTTCAGCTGTAGGTTAATGTTGAAACTCTGAATGTTCCTTCTAGTATCTTCAGGGACACGTTTGTCTCCGTGTCCCTGAAGATACTAGGGACACTCCAACATACGCCTAATTCCCAGGGTAGATAAGAGAAATGAGCAGGAAAAAAGCAGCCACTTTTCTTAAGATTGAATCTCTAACTTGGACCTCAGTTGTGTTTGTAACTCAGCCTCAGTCTCAGAGGACATCATTAGCTCTGCCTAGCTCTTCCCTTCTTCTCCCTACCCAGAAGCAAAGGAGATTTGCCTTCAGCTTGGCGTTTTCCATTGGTGTGCCTTTTTTGAATTTTTTCAGGAGTTAGCTACTAAGTACACTTCTGTGTGCATTTGGAGATGTATGGACAGAGAAGTGTGTTTTGAAGGGATAGAATTTGGAAGTGAGAGATGAAGGACCTGAGCATGTTCAAAATGCAGTTAACTCTTTGAGGGCCAGTGGTTCTTTTATGAAGGTCCCACTGTGCTCCAGTTCTTAGTCTTGCTTCTTCCCTCTCATTTGTTCTGTTCTGGAAAATTTCAAGCCCAAACATCTGTTTTGAAGTGCTATGCTCCTTTCTGGAAAACAGTATTTTTTATTAATTCCCAAGTTTGCTTGTTTCCGCCTTATCATCCCCAGATGTTTTGTCCCTCTCTCCATTTTTTCTCATTCTAGTAATTGTGCAAACCCAGGAATAGCTTCTGGCAGATTTTTTTCCCCCTTTTGGATCACCCTGCACAACTTTCACCCAGAATTCTATCTCTGCTCTTTGCCCATCTTTCAGTGGACTTTGGCCAAAGTCCATGAAGGATTTGGGAGGCTAGGGTAAGAAGGTGAGCAGTAATTTCTATTCTACAATAGATAAGGGTCTCCTTGTAACCATAGTATCTATGCACAGGTAGAGCTACAGAGAAGGGAAATATATTTCATGACCACAGAGAAAAGGTCTTTTGTTGCTGTTTTATTTGTCTGCTACTAAAAGATAAAGCAAGCATAAAAGTTTGCTTTTTTAAAAAAGAATAACATTTTATCCTTTTTATTTTTAAAGAAGAAAGGTAAGAGCATATAAGCCAGCCGTGATATTATAGGATAAGAGTCGAGAACAGTCTTTATATGTTATAAATATAATAATAACAGCACATCAAATCTAGCACATTACAGTTTTTGCAGAGTTTTCACCCACAGATATGGAAAGATGGAGGAGGTTGGGAGTCTGAGACCCTCCAAATGGAGTAGTTGAGTCCTGGAGTTAGTTTGGATGCAACTCTGAAAAAAAGCTTTGGAAATTTGGGCAAATCATTTTTCTTCTATATTCCCCTGTGACTTCATTCACACCTGGCAATGATTTTACATTATTTTGGTTTTCACAGAAATTGTATGCTCTTAGTGGCAAAATTTTATTTATTTCCATTTCATGGAAGAAGAAACAGACCTAGAGAGGTTCAGTTTTTTATCTAAGATCACACCACTGCTCGGTAATAGGCTAAGGGTCAGAGTTCAGGTCCTCCACTGAGGTTGAGTGGAGCCTTGGCTGTTGGTCAGCCATGGAGGCCGTTGGTTTCCAAGGACACCCCCAACCAGTGTTGTTCATTGCTTTCCGTTTAACTTTATGTGTGTGGGTATTGGGAAGCTGAGGCTAGACCTGTTGACTATGTTGCATGACTTTCTCCCATGCTCCAGTCCATGATGTGTTGAGGAAGACAGGGCACGTGTCTGTGAATGCAGAGCCAAACCGGGCCTCTGGGGGGTGAGGAGGCTGAGATGAACAAACTGCTTTGCCTTCCTCTTGGAGAGAAAGACAGATACCCTTTGGGCACCTGAGGCTGGTGCAGCTCTGTTCCCCTGGAAAAGATTCTGGAAGACAGGAAGAATCTCAGAAAGGGCCCTGTTATCTTCCAGTGTGAGTTTTCTGAATGTTGAAATGGAGAAAGGAAAGAAAGCAGAAAACCTATTATGTCTACAGAGATTTCGAATCTAAGCCTTCTCTGTGAAAAGTTGGCAAAACACGAGGATTGATTTGACTCTTACTAAGAAAAAAGATGAAGGTGCTGACATGACTGATGATAGGATTAGGGTTTTCATTCATTCATTCATTCATTTATTCATTCTTCTGTTTAACAAATGGTTGCTAAGTGTGCACTACAGGTAAGGCACTTGCATAGTGGGCAGTCTCATTCAGAGGCAGGATCTGTAGAAAGTAGGAGAGAGATTACAGTTAACCGGGAGAAACAGAGAGTTGAATACATATTAAGAGGAAACATAGTGAGATACCAGGCAGATCTGTGGAATGATTTACCCTCTTTTAACCACAAAAGCGAGGATAGCCAAGAAGTTGATCAGACACTGACTAAAAAGAGACACAGTTCTTGTTCAAGGCACTGTGTGGACTCCATTCCTGGTTTCCCTGGCCAAAGACCCCTTCTTATGGGAAAAGGCACATGCAAATTAGGTAAGCAGTGATAAGAGACAGAGTACGTGTGGTTTTGGTTCTCTCCACTGCAGAAGAAGGCCTAGAAGGCCTGGAGAGGAGTTTCTGAGGGTTTGTACCACAAAAGAATGACATCATGAATGGAAATATCAAAAGGTTAATTAGAGCCTGCCCACTTGAGAAAGAGAGACTGTTTACTGATTACAGCCTCCAACCAGTTGCTTATTAACCTCTTAGGTATCCCTGTCATCCCAATGCCCATCAGTCAAGCCCTTGATAATCTGAATTCTTCTAGAACCCCTTCCTTCCACCTTTCTGCCTTCCCTCTGCCCCTCTTTTGTGTGTGTACTCATTCACTCACTCACACATTTAATGAACTCGCTGTGTTGCAGGACCTATAACTCACTGCCCTCAGGATGATTTCCTCCCTGGTCAGTGTTGGGGGATAGAGGAGGCCCAGAGCTTCCTTACAACATATCCATGAGAACTTTATCAGGGAGAAACCAAGAGGACCAGCTTGACTCAATAGTTCTGAAACAGATCCTGTGAACATCAGACCAAAACTCATTTAAGTATTTCTGCATGTAATTTAAACCTCTTACTTTTAGTTCCAAGGATTCATAACAGTTGTTTAATTGCTGGAATGAGTTACCAGAGAAGAACATGGAGTGCCCATTCTTGGAGGCCTTCACAAAGAGAACAATCTACTGTCTGTTTTGTATGAGTTTCTTTTGCCTAAAGAGATCTTTCCCATTCTCTATTCTATAGCTTTTGGTTGTGCTAAAAGGGACAATTCTAATGGATATTAGTTTTTTAGTTACTTCTGGTTTGCTACTAAACTCTAATTTTGTCACCAGGGTAAAGGTTTTTCATGATCTTAATCAAAGAAGAGAAAACAGTCTCAAATGTGTTGTTTGAAAGAGAGGTGCCCAATACATTTTCATCTGAAGAGATTCCAGGAGACCCTCATTCTAAGAGATTGTAGAAGTTACAGAATAGGGTAAATTATGATGGCTCTTTTGGAACCATTGACAGGGAAAGGAATACATCAGCAATACATGAAAATGTGTCCTGATTAAACAGCCGACATAAAATATGAACTGTTCTTTCTTCCTCCATCTGATTCATGTTTACACTTCATATTCCCTGTTAATTTTTTACATTCACTGAGCTTTGAGCAATGAGTCACCATTTTAAGTGATAGTTCTTGCAGGCAGAATGAAAATTGCACTAATCCTAGAGATGTTCATCCCAGGTCCTCAATTGACAGTGAGGCAATGATCCTAGAGATGTTCATCCCAGGTCCTCAATTGACAGTGAGGCCATGTGAAATGAGAGTTCTAGGGGATACACCTGGGCTTTCTTTGCAACATGTTGATCCTCCAGATCAAGTTGTTCAGCAGTAGGTTGGGAATGCAACTGTAGATGTCAGAGGGGGCTGGGACTAGAAACAGAGATGCAAAGGGAGGTAATGATTTAAGATGTGGGTGTGGGCGAGATCATCAAGGGAAGCAGGCGCAGCAATGAGGAGGAGAGAGCCAAGGACAGGCTGTTGGAGAACACCTACTCATGGGCAGGAGGACCCAGAGTGCAAAGTTAGCAGAGTGGGAATACAGGAAGGAGCGTGAGCAAGAGGTCGCCATGTCATGGCCCTCAAGAGAGCAGAGAATCCCAAGGAAAGTATGGTCCACAGGGTAAAATGCAACAGAGACGTTTGGCAAAACAGTGGCAAAAAAAGTCATGGGATGGTGGTGGTTACAAGCCTCAGGTAGCTTCTGAGAAAGTGGCTGCAGTAGAGGCTTGAAATAGATAGAAACCACTCTGCAAGATGCTCAGGTGTCCATGAAGAATAATTCAGATTAATCTTCCGAGAAGCCTGATGGCGAAAGAAGGGGAGAGAGAGGAGGAGAGTTCGAGTGCACGTAAATGATTTTGCTTTTTAAGATTGGAGATTATCTGGGCAAGTATCAGGGTTAGGAGCCTCTGGAAAGAGAGACTGAGAAGCAGTTGATAAAGTACTGAAGGAGCTGGAAAGAACCGGATTCACAGCCTGAAGAGAAGCTAGCCTAGAAAGAAAATAGATATGGGTGAAGATAAGGGGATTTCAAAATACAAACACATCCTTATTGCATAAAATTCAAACAGCACCACGGCATGATGGCTAAGGCCATGGAACCTGGAGTCAGACTGCCAGGGTTCAAATGAGGATTTAGCCCCTAAGTAGTCTTTGTGACCCCCAGCATGTTATTTGATACTCTGTGCTCCTGTTTACCCATTTTAAAAATGCGGAAAATAAGGGTACCTACCTTATAAGACATATATACATCTTCTTATTCACATTGAATCTGGAATACTTGGTGACGTTTTGTCATCTTAAAACAACAGAATCTTGTTTCATCTTTTGAATGCAAGTCAAACAGCTCAGACTGAGTTGGTCCAGGTCACACTGAATCTGGAACTCACTCTAGTCTGTGCCTTTCCCCTAGCACTTGCAGCTGCCTCCCTCATGGCCGAGCTAATCAGTGGGTGATGAGTCAGACAAAAGAGACACCAAACAAACCCTCCTTCACAGTGTGGCAGGTGTGAAGGAAAAATAAACTGTAAACAAAGCTGTATTTATCTCACAACAATGCTCCTTGAAAGCACTGTCTTTACTTCCATAGAGAGATACTCCTAACACATTTTTCTACTGCTCAAGAACCTTCCATGGCTCCCCAGTGCCTATGGAATTACAATGGCAACATGCCCAGGCTGGGCTTTTCTTTTTGGCGACTAGTCCTGATGTTTTAGCTGAAACCATCTAAAATATGATTAGAATTCAAAATTAATTTTGTAATGGAGAGAGTCTGAAGGTTTCGTAAAGTTCCTGGAATATGCGAGTTTGGGCACTAACACTCTAAATATTTTAGCCCGATATTCAACTTCATCCATTATCTAGCATCAGTTTAGTATCCTAATATTATGTCCTATACTGTCTACTCAAATAGTGTTTCCAGTACACTACTGTCTTCATCGTCTCTTAAGCTGGTCTGGGCAGTCCCACCTCTGTCTTTGTCTTGTTGTTATCCTAACCAGGAATGCCTTTCCTCCATCTATCTGCCCACCTAACAACCACCCAAAATTGAAGCCTCATTTGAAATACCCCCTTTAACTGTGAAACATTTTCTGAAAACTATTGGCTAAAGGGAACTCTTTTCTTTACGCTGCTCCATTTACTAGTTGTCTTTTCTTTTTTTCCTTTGGATCTCTCATTTTATTTAATTTCTAACCCATTTTCATTGTGTAAAATTCATACAGTATAATAAAATCTCCCAGTACCACATTTTACTCTGAAAGAATTACTGTTACAGTTTTGATGTGTGTCTTTTCATGCTTTTTTTCTATGCACTTATGGACTTGTGAATATATAGATAAATATAGCTGTGTTTATTAGTTATTTTTTAATGTTTTATATTTTATTTCTTGATAGTAAATTCCTTGAGGGAAGTTTATGCATCTTTTATCTCTCACATTTGCAATAGAGTCTCTGAAAAATCAGCTGTTTCCTAAAACCAAATTAGGGCAAGATGGGATCTGCTATGTGCCGAAGTGGTGGTCAGAGAATAGCCTTCTTGGATTTGAACATGGGCTCTAAAGTGACTTTTACTTGAGTTCAAATACTAATGTGAATTCGAGCTCTAAATATTGAGCACTCATTTTGTACAACAACCATGAAAAGTGTTTCTTCATTCTGCAACTGGAAACACTGAGAAAAAGTGATTGAATAATTTGCCCAAATCCACTCACCTAGTATGTGGCAAAGTGAAAATTTGAACCAGATCTTGCTGGCTGTAAATTCTTTATTCTTTCCATTAGAGTATGCTACTTGGGAAACTGAAAGAATGAGCACAGTGAAGGCAAGATGGACATTGACTAGGCTGAATTCGTTTGTTGATTCAATTACATGATAGGTGTTGTGGTAATGCTGGAATAAAGACAAGTTAGAACTCTTTTTAACTTCCCAGGGAGGATGGGCTCAAGAATCAAATTAAGTGAATTTATCTTTAGATAAATTCATATCTTTAAAATTTCATGCATCTTTTCACTTTTTTTTTTTTTTTTTTTTTTTGATACGGAGTCTCGCTCTGTCGCCCAGGCCGGACTGCAGACTGCAGTGGCGCAATCTCGGCTCACTGCAAGCTGCGCTTCCCGGGTTCACGCCATTCTCCTGCCTCAGCCTCCCGAGTAGCTGGGACTACAGGCGCCCGCCACCGCGCTCGGCTAATTTTTTGTATTTTTAGTAGAGACGGGGTTTCACCTTGTTAGCCAGGATGGTCTCGATCTCCTGACCTCATGATCCACCTGCCTCGGCCTCCCAAAGTGCTGGGATTACAGGCGTGAGCCACCGCGCCCGGCCATCTTTTCACCTTTCTTATGTGTGTTGGCATTTTCGTTTTAACTGCTCTTGACCTCTAAATTTCACTGCCTGCCTGAGCCTTTGGTATTGCCTTTAAGAGTTCTTTTTGTTTTTTTGTTTGTTTGTTTTTCTTGAATTTTTATCCTACCCTACTACTAAAACTGTGGTACTGAACTAGTAATTCATAAAACAAGAGACTGAAAGGAAAATCAAGCTGATAGAAAATAAACAAGAAGATATCTAGGGGTAATTTCCCAGAAGTGATGCTGTCTGCAGATTTTTTTTTGTTTATGCAACCTAGATCATCAGGAAGGGCATGAGGATTACATTTTCCTCTCTACCTGCTTCTTTTGGATTGGATTTCTCTGGGTTTTATCCATTAGCCTACTGTCTTTTTTCATCCAATACATCCAATATTCTCTTCCTGGAGAAACTTAACCATGCCAAAAGCTGCAGCTAATATTCATATATTGTATCACTGACCCTCAAGACTCTAGGTTCTCTAGATTTTTCTTCTACCCTCAGGCCCACACAGCGAATGCTAACTTTGGATCCCTATCTATATTTCCTACAGGCATCACAGCCCCACCCTGCTTCCTCTTCCTCCCCTTGGCCCCATTCTCCATTTCATATTGCCAATGTTGATGACTGATACCTCTGCCCATCAAACTCTTAGATCAGAAACCTTACTCCCTTACTTTCCATTCAGTCTGTCATGAATCCCTATTGATTCAACCTTTCAAACAGTTCTTGAACTTTATCACCCCATTTCCATTGCTATGCCTTTAGAGAAGGCGCTCTTAATTCTTGCCAGGACAGTGTATGTCATGAGCCTTCTAACTGGTCTTTCTGCCTCAGGAGTGATCTGGTTCACAAGGTTGCTTAAAACCTTTCAAAGGAACCCAAGTTCTTGAAGTAAAAAGAGGGAAACTCTTTTAGGCGTGAGCCCTAATGCGTTTCTGGTGTGTTGTTATCCTAGCCAGTCATTTACCATGCCTCTGTGTGCTCAAGCCAAAAATGGATAAACATATTTCACCAAATCGAATGCACTATTGTTTCTAAGACACACCACTCTTTTATATTCCACAAAGGGAGGTCAGGGAGGGGGAGCACTGTCAGCTAAACTATGACTTGTCATCAATGAAAGATAGACCCTAACTTTACAAATGTTAACATGTGAAAGATTATGTGTCCTAGACACAATAAACTATGGTACTTGATGTTTCCCTCTGGCCTGTGCTCTCTTGTACATGTTATTCCCTTTGCCCAGAATGTCCTTTGCCCAGAATGACCTCACTAAAATCCCTTGAGTACCAGGCAAACTCCTGTTTCTCCTTCAAGATCTGCTTTCAATTTCTCCTTTTTCAGGAAGGCTTCCCTGACCAATCTTGATGGAGCTGAGAGTTCCTCATCTGATGCCCTCTGTGTAGTAAGCATGTGGCGATCATTATTTGTACCCAGCCGTCCATACCCTAAAGAGCAGAGACTGTGTCCTACTCATGGTGTTTCCTTGATGCCTAGCACAGTGCTGGGAGAGGGTGGGTATTTCATTGGTGTTTGGTTGATAATGAATGTTTCTCTGGCTCATACCCTCAGTTTGCCCTGAGCTTGCTTTCTAGATGTATGTTGGCTTGGATTGACCTACTTGGTGACCTTTGATTTGTCCCTGGCCAATGATTTTGTTTTGTCCCTGTATTCACTTAGCACAGATGACATGTTAAGGTTCATCACTGATTTAAGCAACTATATCCTAAGCTCCTTGAGTTATACATATCTTGGATTCCTTGCAGTGTTTAGCATGGGGCCCAGCACATACTGGACACTTAATAAATCTGTTTTGATTTTTCACCCAGCCCTTTACAACTGGGGCAGAATGTGCAAGCTGCTGAAAAACAGCCTCCGTCTTAGATTGAAGATTTTGGTTGCCATGGGATCTATTTTGTACAGAAATGCTTTTGGTAACGTTGGAACACTATTTGTTCAAATTACAGAACTGGTTACTCCTAAATCTCTTCTCCAGGGCTTAGTTTTTATTCTTTGTCCTGGTGAAAAAAATTGGTCATTAGAATATCTAGTTCAGTTAGCAAGAGCATTGCATGTGGCAAACTGCCAGGCTCATTCTAATAATTTTTCACTTTTTTGGTCAGTGTGGATAATATTTCACTCTTAGGCCCCAGGCACCTTTTTCCCTCCACGAGTAAACCCCATTAACCCGATTTCAGTCAAGCTTAGTCTGTTCATTTCATTTCATTGTGAATGTTCTTGTAAGGGTAATTTATGGTATTTTTAGATTTGTGAATTATTGTAAGCATAATGGGTATTTTCTGATAATTTTCACCATAACTGTTAATTTAGCTAATCACAAATTATTACTGGACAAAAAAGGAGTTAGGTAATTTTCCCTTTACCTGAGTCCAAAAGAAGGGAAAGTTTGATCAAGGCTATTGAGTCTATTGGTTCAAGACCATTTTGTGACTATTAACTTGTTGATTCAAGCTCCTTAGTCAGAATTTGGGGTGCTTCCAACAAACATGATTGTGTAGGGGTCACAATCAAGAGTAAATCTAGTTCATGACTATATAAATGATTTGCCTCACTCATCGTTGTCAAGTGATCATAGCAAATGTGGTAGCAGTCAGTATTTCATGATTAAGAATGCCTAATGGGAAGATTCACTAAAGCATATTTGAGACAGTCAGGAACATTACTGAAAGAGCATGACTAGAGACAATGGTTGTGTCCAAGTGCATATTGAGTTTTAGTGTGAAATGAACTCCCACTAGTGGCAAGCCAATCAGAACAGTATGTTTATTACACGTGGTTCAAGTCATGAGCCAACTTCTTTTAAATTGGTTTGAGACAAATGAGAATCTGTGAAAATAAATGTTTCCATGAAAGGTTCAGCCACCCCTCATTGTTGCTAGCAAATTTTGCAACAGTTTTGTTGCTTTGATGCCTCCAGCTGAAATGTCCACATTGGCCAAGGGTCTAATACTCCAGGTAAAACTGTGAAGTGAGTGAAGTTTGTCTTTGAATCCCTACCACTTACTCACCCTATACCATTTCCACCATTTGTGAATTCTTACTTACTATCCCCTTTTTATCTAAATCACAATCTCCTTCCTCCTGCCTTAGACAACCCTAAGTCTACAAATTTAGTACTTTTCAATTCTGGAGTTAAAAGTCTGAAATGAGTTTTCTATGATAAAATTAAGGTGTTGGCAGGGCTCTGTTCCTTCTGGAGGTTCTAAGGGAGTATCTGTTTCCTTGTCTTTTTCAGCTTCTAGAAGCCACCTGCATTACTTAGATATGGCCTCTTCCTCCATCTTTAAACCAGTAGCATCTTCAAATCTCTCTCTGACTCTTTAAGTAGTTACACTTCCTTCTCAGGCTCTGTCTCTCCTGTTTTCTTCTTATAAGTACTCTTGTGATTATATTTGACTCACAGATAATCCAGAATTGTCTTCTCATCTCAAATCTTTAACTTCTTCATATCTGCAAAGGTAACATATTCACAGGTTCTGAGAATAGGACATGGACATCTTTGGAGACCATTATTCTGCTAACCATACTAGTCATGTGAGCTCAGGAAAATTATTACATCTCTGTTTTTCATCTGCAAAATGATAGTATTAGGTTTCTCAAAATATTGTTATGAAAATATAATAAGATAACGCATATAGAGTACTAAACACAGTGCTGGTACTTTTGTAAGCACTTAACATTTTTTACTTTAAGAAATACGAGAGTGGGGAGGACAGAGTGGAATCTGTTAACAAGCAAAATGACTGTCACTGACTTAGGCAACTTCCACAACAACTCCGTTTGAACAAACTATAGAGAGCAAAGCTTAAAGAGAAAACACTAGTATTCACCTGTTGTCACAAACATCAGTATCTTTCACAAGTTTCATGTCTCTGTTCCCCCTAACACTGAAACTTGATTATAAGTACCCACTAAATGGAGAGGTAATAATTCTTAAGCTTGGAAAAAACATGAAAAGTCATCTGATTGGACACCTCCAGCAACCAACACTATCTCCTGCCTATAAGTGTCCATTCTGTCTTTAGACAGTATTATGGTTTGAATGTTTGTCCCCTCTAAAACTCATATTAAAAATTAATCCCCAATGTGGCAGTATTGAGAGGTGGTGCCTTTAAGAGGTGATTGAGTCAAGAGGGCTCTGCACTAATGAATAGATTAATCCATTTATGGATTACTGGATTAATAGTTTAACGGGTTAATGAATTACCACGGGACTGGGACTTCTAGCTTTGTAAGAAGAGGAAGAGAGACCCGAGCTAGCACACTCAGTCCCCTTGCTATGTGATGTTCTTTACCATCTCAGGACTCTGCACAGAGTCCCCAACAGCAAGAAGGCCCTCACCAGATACAGCCCCTTGACCTGGGACTTCTCAGCCTCCATAACCGTAAGAAATAAATGCCTTTTCTTTTCTTTTCTTTCCTTTTCTTTCTTTCTTTTTTTTTTGCATTTAAAAAAATTTCAATAGGTTTTTAGGGAACAAGTCGCGTTTGGTTACAAGAATAAGTTCTTTAGTGGTGATTTCTGAGATTTTGGTGCACCCATCACTGAAGCAGTGTGTACTGTACCCAGTGTGTAATCTTTTATGCCTCACTGCCTCCCACCCTTTCCCCCAAGCCCCTAAAGTCCATTGTATTATTCTTATGCCTTTGCATCTTCATAGCTTAGCTCCCACTTATGAGTGAGAAGATACAACATTTGGTTTTCCATTCCTGAGTTACTTCACTTAGAATAGTGGCCTACAATTCCATCAAGGTTGCTGCAAATGCCATTATTTCATTCCTTTTAATGGCTGAGTAGTATTCCATGATGTATATGTGTGTGTGTGTATGTGTGTATGTATCACTTTTTTATCCAATCATTGATTGATAGGCATTTGGGCTGGTTCCATATTTTTGCAATTGTAAATTGTGCTACCATAAACGTGTGTGCAAATATCTTTTTTTGGATAATGACTTCTTTTCCTCTGGGTACATACCCAGTAGTGGGACTGCTGGATCAAATGGTAGTTCTACTTTTAGTTGTTTAAGGAATCTCCACAGTGTTTTCCATCATGGTTTTACTAGTTTGCATTCCCACCAGCAGTGTAAAGGTGTTCCCTTTTCACCTCATCCACACCAACGTGTATTATTTTTTGACTTTTTACTAGTAGCCATTCTGACTGGTGTGAGATGATATCTCATTATGATTTTGGTTTGCATTTCCATGATCGGTAGTGATGCTGAGCATTTTTTTCATATAGTTTGTAGGCCATTTGTATATCTTCTTTAGAGAATTGTCTATCCATGTCCTTAGCCCACTTTTTGATGTGACTGTTTTTTTTTTTCTTGATGATTTGTTTGAGCTCCTTGTAGATTCTGGATATTAGTCCTTTGTTGGATGTATACATTGCGAACATTTTCTTATTGCGAAGATTTTCTCCCACTCTGTGGGTTGTCTGTTTACCCTGCTGATTGTTTCTTTTGCCATGCAGAAGCTTTTTAGTTTAATTAAGTCACATCTATTTATCTTTGTTTTTGTTGCATTTGCTTTGGGTTCTTGGTCATGAAGTCTTTGCCTAAGCCAATGTCCAGAAGGATTTTTTCTGACGTTATCTTCCAGAATTTTATGGTTTCAGGTATTAAATTTAATTACTTGATCCCTCTTGAGTTGATTTTTGTATTAGGTGAGAAGTGAGGATCCAGTTTCATTCTTCTACATGTGGCTCGCCAATTATCCCAGCACTCTTTGTTGAATAGGGTGTCCTTTCCCCACTTTATGTTTGAGTTATTTTGTCAAAGATCAGTTGGATGTAAGTATTTGGCTTTATTTCTGGGTTCTTTATTCTATGCCATTGGTTTATGTGCCTATTTTTATACCAGTACCATGCTGTTTTGGTGACTATGCCCTTATAGTATAGGTTGAAGTCAGATAATGTGATGCCTCCAGATTTGTTCTTTTTGCTTTGTCTTGCTTTCATTATGTGGGTTCTTTTTTGTTCCATATGAATTGTTTTTTCTAGTTCTGTGAAGAATGATGGTGGTATCTTGATGGGAATTGCATTGAATCTGTAGATTGCTTTTGTCAGTATGGTCATTGCACAATTTTGATTCTACCCATCCATGAGCATGGAGTGTGTTTCCATTTGTTTGTGTCATCTATGACTGATTTCAGCAGTGTTTTATAGTTTTCCTTGTAAAAGTCTTTCACCCTCTTGGTTAGGTGTCTTCTTAAGTATTTTATTTTATTTTATTTTTTGCAGCTCTTGTAAAAGAGGTTGATTTCTTGATTTGATTCTCAGCTTGGTGGCTGTTGGTGTATAGCAGAGCTACTGATTTGTCTACATTAATTTTGTATCCTAAAACTTTGCTGAATTCTTTTATCAGTTCTAGGAACTTTTTTGGAGGAGTCTTTAGGGTTTTCTAGGTACACAATCATATCATCAGCAAACAGTGACAGTTTGACTTCCTCTGTACCGATTTGGATGCCCTTTATTTTTTTCTCTTGTCTGATTGCTCTGGCTAGGACTCCCAGTACTATGTTGAATAGAAATTGTGAGATTGGGCATCCTTGTCTTGTTTCAGTCCTCAGGGGGAATGCTTTCAACTTTTCCCTATTCAGTATTATGTTGGCTGTGGATTTGTCATAGATGGCTTTTATTATAATACATTAAGGCATGTCCCATCTATGCTGATTTTGCTGAGGGTTTCAATCATAAATGGATGCTGGATTTTGTCAAATGCTTTTTTGTGTCTATTGAGATGATCATGTGATTTTTGTTTTTAATTCTGTTTATGTGGTGTGTGACATTTATTGACTTGCTTATGTTGAATCATCTCTGCATCCCTGGTATGAAACCCACTTGGTCATGGTGGATTATCTTTTTGATATGGTGTTGGATTCAGTTAGCTAGTATTTTGTTAAGGATTTTTGCATCTATATTCATCAGGGATATTGGTCTGTAGTTTTCTTCTTTTGTTACAGCCTTTCCTGGTTTTGGTATGAGGGTGATACTGGCTTCATAGAGTGATTTAGGGAGGATTTCTTCTTTCTCTATCTTGTGGAATAGTGTCAATAGGATTGGTACCAATTCTTCTTTGAATGTCTGATAGAATTCAGCCGTGAATCAGTCTGGGCCTGGACTTTCTTTGTTGGCAATTTTTTTTTAATTACCATTTCAATCTTGCTGCTTGTTATTGGTCTGTTCAGAGTTTCCATTTCTTCCTGATTTAATCTAGGAGTGCTGTATATTTTGCGGAATTTATCTATCTCCTCTAAGTTTTCCAGTTTGTGCACATAAAAGTCTTCACAGTAGCCCTGAATTATCTGTATTTCTGTGGTAATGGTTGGATTAATAATCTCTCCCATTTTGTTTCTAATTGAACTTATTTGGATCTTCTCTCTTTTTTTCTTGGTTAATCTCAGTAATGGTCTATCAATTTTATTTATCTTTTCAAAGAACCAGCTTTTTCTTTTTTCTTTTTTCTTTCTTTTTTTTTTGCGATGGAGTCTCACTCTGTTGCCCAGGCTGGGGTGCAGTGGCACGATCTTGGCTCACTGCAACCACCACCTCCTGAGTTCCAGTGATTCTCCTGCCTCACCCTCTCAAGTAGCTGAGATTACAGATGCCCACCACCACGCCTGGCTATTTTTTAATTTTTATTTTTAGTAGAGACAGGGTTTCACCATGTTCGCCAGGCTGGTTTCGAACTCCTGACCTCAAGTGATCCACCCACCTTGGCCTCTCAAAGTACTAGGATTACAGGCATGAGCCACTGCTCCCAGCCAAAGAACCAGCTTTTTGTTTCATTTATCTTTTTTTGTTTGTTTGTTTGATTCAATTTCGTTTAGTTTTGCAAAGATCTTGGTTATTTCTTTTGTTCCACTGGGTTTGGGTTTGGTTTATTCTTGTTTCTCTAGTTCCTTGAAGTGTATCCTTAGATTGTCTAATTGTGCTGTTTCAGACTTTTCAATGTAGGCATTCAAGACTATGAACTTTCCTCTTAGCACCACCTTTGCTGTATCTGAGTGGTTTTGATAGGTTGTGTCACTATTATCATTCAGTTAAAAAAAAGTTTTTAATGTTCTTCTTGACTTCATTGTTAACAGTAATTCAGGAGCATGTTATTTAATTTCCACGTATTTTCATGGTTTTGAGGGTTCCTTTTGGAGTTGATTTCCAGTTTTATTCTACTGTCATCTGAGACAGTACTTGATATAATTTTGATTTTCTTAAATTTATTGAGACTTGTTTTGTGGCCTATCATATGGTCTACCTTGGAGAATGTTCCATGTGCTGATGAATAGAATGTATATTCTGCAGTTGTTGGTTAGAATGTTCTGTAAATATCTGCTAAGTCCATTTGTTCTAGGGTATAGTTTATGCCCATCGTTTCTTTGTTGACTCTCCATCTTGATGACCTATCTAGTGATGTCAGTGGAGTATCGAAGTCCCCCACTGTTATTGTGTTGTGTCTATGTCATTTCTTAGGTCTAGTAGTAATTATTTTATAAATCTGGGAGCTCCAGTGTTAGGTACATATATATTTAGGACTGTGAAATTTTCCTGTTGGGCAAATCGTTTTATCATTATATAATGTCCCTTTTTGTCTGTTTTTTGTTTGTTTGTTTGTTTGTTTGTTTTGAGATAGAGTCTTGCTCTGTCACCCAGGCTGGAGTGCAATGGCATGATCTCGGCTCACTGCAAACTCTGCCTCCTGGGTTCAAGTGCTTCTTCTGCCTCAGCCTCCGGAGTGGCTGGTATTACAGGTGCATGCCACCATACCAGCTAATTTTTGTATTTTTGCAGAGACAGGGTTTCACCATGTTGGCCAGGCTGGTCTTGAACTCCTGACCTCAGGTGATCCTCCTGCCTCAGCCTCCCAACGTGCTAGGATTACAGGCATGAGCCACTGTGTCCAGCTCCTTTTTGTCTTTTTTAACTGCTGTTGCTTTACAGTTTGTTTTGTCTGACAAAAGAATAGCTACCCCTGCTTGTTTTTGGTGCCCATTTGCATGGAATATCTTGTTCTACCCCTTTACCTTAAGTTTATGTGAGTCCTTGTGTGTTATTTGAGTCTCTTGAAGACAGCAGATACTTAGTTGGTGTATTCTTATCCATTCTGCCATTCTGTATCTTTTAAGTAGAGCATTTAGGCCATTTACATTCAATGTTAATATTGAGATGTGAGATACTATTCTATCCATTGTGCTATTTGTTGCCTCAATACCTTGTTTTCTAAAATTTATTTATTATGTTTTTGCTTTATAGGTGCTGTGAGATTTATGCTTTAAGGAGGTTATATTTTGGTGTAGTTTGAGGATTTGTTTCAAGATTTAGAGCTCCTTTTAGCAGTTCTTGTAGTGCAGGCTTTATAGTGGTGAATTCTCTTAGTATTTGTTTGTCTAAAAAAAAACCTGTATCTTTTCTTCATTTATGAAGCTTAGTTTCACTGGTTACAAAATTCTTAGCTGATAATTGTTTTGTTTAAGGAGGCTAGAGATAGGGCCCCAATCCCTTCTAGCTTGTAGGGTTTCTGCTGAGAAATCTGCTGTTAATCTCATATGTTTTCCTTTATAGGTTACCTGGTGTTTTTGCCTCACAGCTCTTAAGATTTATTTCCTTCATCTTGACTTCAGATAACCTGATGACTATGTGCCTAGGCAATGATCTTTTTGTGATAAATTTCCCAGGTGTTTTTTTGAGCTTCTTGTATTTGGATGTCTAGGTCTCTGGCAAGGCTAGGAAAGTTTGCCTTGATTTTTCCCTCAAATATGTTTTCCAAACTTGTTAGATTTCTTCTTTCTAAGGAACACAAATTATTTTTAGGTTTAGTTACATAGTCCCAAACTTCTTGGAGGCTTTGTTCATTTTTTAAAAAATTCTATTTTCTTTGTCTTTGTTGGATTGGGTTAATTTGAAAACCTGTTTTTGAGCTCTGAAGTTCTTTCTTCTGCTTGTTCGATTCTGTTGCTGAGACTTCCCAGTGTATTTTGCATTTCTCTAAGTATGTCCTTCATTTCCAAAAATTGTGATTGTTTTCTATTTATGCTATTTCACCGAAGATTTTTCCCTTCTGTATTAGTCCATTTTCATACTGCTACGAAGAAATACCCAAGACTTGGTAATTTATAAAGAAAAAGAGGTTTTATGGACTCACAGTTCCACATGGCTGGGGAGGCCTCACAATCATGGCAGAAGGCAAAGGAAGAGCAAAGGCACATCTTACATGGCTGCAAGAAAGCATGTGCAGGGGAATTGCCCTTAATAAGACCATCAGATCTCATGAGACTTATTCACTATCATGAGAACAGCATGGGAAAAACTCTGCTCCCATGATTCAATTACCTCCCACTGTGTCCCTCCCATGACACATAGGGATTATGGGAGCTACAATTCAAGATGAGATTTGGGTGGGGACACAGCCAAACCATATCACCTTCATTTCCTGTATCATTGTTTTGGTTTCATTAAGTTGGACTTCATCTTTCTCTGGTGTCTCCTTAATTTGCTTAATAATCGACCTTCTGAATTTTTTTTCTGGCAATTCAGAGACTTCTTCTTGGTTTGGATCCATTGCTGGTGAGCTAGTGTGATCTTTTGGAGGTGTTAAAGAAACATGTTTTGTCATTTTACCAAAACTGTTTTTCTGATTCCTTCTCATTTGGACAGACTATGTCAGAGGGAAGATCTGGGACTCAAGAGCTGCTGTTCAGATTCTTTGTCCCAAGGGGTGCTCCCTTGATGTAGTGCTCTCCCCTTCCCCTAAGGATGTGGCTTCCTGAGAGCCAAACTGCAGTTATTTCTCTTCTGGATGTAGCCACTCAGTGGAGCTACTGGGTTCTGGGCTGGTACTGGGGAGTGTCTGACCAAAGTCCTGTGATGTGAACCATTTTCATGTCTACCATCTTCAGGTGTCTCAGTCTTGGATACCAGCACCTGTTTTGGTGGAGTTGGCAGGGGAGTGAAATGGATTCTGTGAGGGTCCTTAGTTGTAGTTTTGTCTATTGCACTAGTTTTGTATTTGTTGGCCTCCAGCCAGGAGGTGGCACTTTCAGGGGAGCATCAGTTGCCATAGTATAGGGAGGATCAAGGCAGTGGGTGGAGCCCTAGAGCTCCGAAGAGATTATGTCCTTTGTCTTTGGCTACAAGGGTGGGTAGAGAAAGACCATCAGGTCGGGGCAGGGTTAGGCCTGTCTGAGCTCAGGCTCTCCTTGGGTGGGGCTTGCTGCAGCTGCTGTGGGGTATGGGGATGTGGTTCTCAGGCCAGTGAAGTTATGTTCCCAGGGGGATTGTAGCTGCCTCTGATGTGTCATGCAGGTCACCAGGGAAGTCGGGGAAAGCTGGCAGTTACAGGCTTCACCTAGCTCCCATGCAGCCCAAGAGGCTGGTCTCACTCCCACCATGCCCCCACCAACAGCACTGAGTTTATTTCCAGGCAGCCAGTGAGCAGGGCTGAGAACTTGCCACAGGCTACTAGCCTTTTAGCTGAGAAAGCAAGCAGGGCTTTCAGGTCTTGTGCCTCCCTGCCTGCTGCGGCTTCTGTGCTGTGTATCCACTCCCGATTCACCTCCTCCCCCAGTTTCTATCGAGGAAATTTGTGTTCAGTTGAAATTGTTACAAAGTTCAGCTGGAAGTTTCTTTCTCCCTGTGGTCTTTTCCCAGTTCCTCTGGCAGCCCTTCCCAAGGATCTCTGTGAGACTAAGTCAGAAATGGCTTCCCTGGGGACCGAGAGAGCCCACAGGGCTCTTCCCACTACTTCTACCCTTGTATTTTGCTTAGCTCTCTAAATTTGTCTCAACTCTAGGTAAGATCAAATCCTTCTCCCATTATCTGGACCTTCAGTTTCCCCCGTGAAGGTGTGTGTTCAAGGGCAGACAATCCCCCTTTCACACTTTGGGCACTCACATTTTTTCAACCATCTTCTGGGGCCTGCAGGAGCAATCTGCTTCCTTCAAAGGGTCTGTGGATTCTCTAGGCTTTCCGGGTATGTTCCTGCAGTAGTTCTTGGAGTAAAAGTTTACAATGTGCATCTCCACAAGCTGCTCTGTCCATCTGAGTGGGAGCTGGAAGTTAGTCCTGCCTTCTATCCACCATTTTCCTGCTGTTCAAATAAATGCCTTTTCTTTATAAATTACCCGGTTTCAGGTATTTTGTTATAAGCAACAGAAAACAGACTAAGACAGACAGCTTTAACCATTACCAAGTTCTTCCTGCCATTAAGCTAAACTGATTCCTTGTAATGTCTTTCCTTTAGTTCTATTTGTGTCTGCTTGCTTATAATACATTTAGTGTTTCTTCTATTAAACAGTCCTTTAGCTATTTGAAGACAACTATGCTGTTTCCAGCCCTACTCTAGCCTCACTCCTAAACTTTCTCTTCTCTCGAATATTCAAAACCAGTTCCTCATACTGAACTTTAACAAAGATCAAGGTTCTGTTTGAGGCAGAAAAAAAAAAAAAAAGAACTGAAACAGTGACTCTTTTTTGTTTGACCACATCCTCTTGTTTATCTTGAAAATCAAGGTGGATAGACTATGAATGTGAGATGAAAAAAGCCAAAGAGGCTCTCTGTGTTACTATGATGACTACTCTGATCTGAGCCACTATTACTTCTTTCCTAGACTACTGCAATGTATTTCTAACTAATTACTAATTGCTATCTCTGACCTGTGTCCCTATCGTGAAGGTAAGAGTACTGACACACAGAGTCTCAATAGGTAATTTACTCAAGATAATGTCACATGTAAAAGAATTGACTCCAAGACTGTTTTCATCTATAGCCTGTAACAGAACTAATGATGGCCAATGAAATTATCACTTGGGTCTTGAATTTAATCTAGATGAGATGAAAATAGTGGCACTTTTGAAAATAATTTTAAAAGCATACTTAAGAGTTCTGGTTCCAAGGAAGATGGAGTAAGCACACTCCACCCCATCTCTCCTACTGAAGGCAGTTATAAATTCTGGACTGAATGCAAGGACCAGCTACTATGTGAAGTCTCTGAAAAATAAATGGTAGCATCCAGGTTGAGGAATAAGACTTGAATTCAAAGTCTGGTCAAATCATTTGTGAATTTACCGTGTTTTCCCTCCAGTATTACCTAGCCTAGACATGAAGGCAGCCTGCTATGGTTTGGATATTTGACCCCTCCAAACCTTATGTTGAAATTTGATTTCCAGTGTTGGAAGTAGGGCCTGATAGGAGGCATTTGAGTCATGGGGGCAGATCCCTCATGAATAGATTAATGTCTTCCCTGTGTAGACGGGTGAGTGACTTCTCAGTCTAATAATTTTCAGGAGAGCTGGTGGTTTAAAAGAGCCTGACATCCCTACCTCTTGCTTCTGCTCTCGCCATGTGATCTTTGCACACATCATTCACTTTGCCTTCTGCTCTAAGTGGAAGCAGCCTGAGACTTTTGCCAGATGCCCAACCTCCCAGCCAGCAGAATCATGAGCCAAATAAACTTTTTTTAAAAATAAATCACTCCATCTCAGACATTCCTTTATAGCAACACAAATAGACTAAGACACAGCCCAGCATCTGAAAGTGCACACTGGCTGCTGTCAGAAAGAGATTCAAGAGAAACTCTTCTGCTTTAAAGGACAAAGAAAGGGGGATGCATAGGGTAGAAAACAGTGGAGAATACTTTGGTATTTTTCCTTTTTCTACTACCCCAACCCCCAGGCATTATGGAAGTGGCAATTGTACAGTGATGACAGTGGTAGCTGAATAGATGCCTAAAATTCTGAAAGAGGGGAACCTTCCCCTGACCAGATGAGTATGGATCTAAGAGCATGGTGTGAATTCCCGTTGCTTTTTTTTTTTTTCTTCTCTGTCTTCATCACTTGACCTGGGACACAGATATTGTCACAAGAAGTGCCTTGCCGAGTAGAAAAAATAAAGCTTCAACTTCCTAGCTGGAGGCCCATGAAGGAGGTGCCAGGAAGCTAAAACATATCAATGAGATCACAGAGAGGTGGGAAGTCGAAAAGGCAATTCTATATTATTGTATCTGAATGCCTGAGATCACCATTGATGTGCCCGTGTATACATCTGAGCATACCATAGAGTTAAAAGACTTGGCCACAGGGTAGTACACATGGGGAACTGATCTGGATAACACAGGAAACATTTTAAAGTTAAAGTGATATTGAAAACATAGCTTATAGAAGGTAAGTCAGAACTTGTGGCCCAAACCTAGCCTAGACAACTGCCTGTTTAAACAAACAAAGAAAAATATTTCCCTTTGGATTGAAACTAGACTTAGAATCTCATAATATATTCTTCAAAACATCTAGGATTTAATCCAAAATTACTTATACAAAAATTCAAACAAGGCAAAAAATAAAATAAACAAACAAAAAAGGAAAATTCAACTCTCAAGGAAAAGATAATAACAAATGCCAACTCCAAGATGACAAAGATATTGGAATTATCTGTAAAATAAAGGGTAAACGTTCTTCAAACAAATGGAAAAGTGAAATATCTCAGCAAAAAAAATAGAAGATAGAAAGGAAAACCAAATAGAAATTTAAAAACTGAAAAATATACTGTCCAAACTAAAAAATTCACTGGATAGATCCAATAGCAGAACAGAGATAACAGAATAAAGAGTCAGTAAACTTAAAAATAGATTAATGGAAATTACACAAAATTTATTTATAATTATTAATATTATTAATAAATATTACACAAGAGGGAGAAAAAATTTTTTTAAATAAACAGAACCTTAGGGAGCTATGAGAAATACCAAAAGTTCTAACATCAATGTCATGTCATCAGTTTTACAAAGACACAACTAAGTGCGTGCGCCAGAAAAATCATTTAAAGTTACAATGGCTGAAAAGGTCCTAAATTTGGCAAAAAAAAAAAAAAAAAAAAACCATAATTTTTTATGTTCAAGAAGACTGGTGAATCCAAAATGGAATAAAACAAAAGAAATTCATGCCTAACACAGTATAATCAAACTGCTGAAAACTAAAGACAAAGAATAATCCTGAACAGCCAGATGAAAGCAATGTGCTTCATAAAGAGAAACAAGAAATCAAATATTTGTAAATTTGTTGTTAGAGTCCACCAAGGCTAGAAGCAAGTGATACAAGATTTTAAAGAGCTAAAAGAGGCCGGGCGCACGTGGCTCACGCCTGTAATCCCAGCACTTTGGGAGGCCAAGGAGGGCGGATCACGAGGTCAGGAGATGGAGACCATCCTGGCTAACACGGTGAAACTCCGTCTCTACTAAAAATACAAAAAAATTAGCCAGGCATGGCAGCGTGCACCTGTAGTCCCAGCTGCTGGGCGGGTCTGAGGCAGGAGAATGGCGTGAACCCGGGAGGCGGAGCTTGCAGTGAGCCCATATCGCGCCACTGCACTCCAGCCTGGGTGACAAAGCAAGACTCCATCAAAAAAAAAAAAAAAAAAAAGATCTAAAAGAAAGGAACAGCCAATTCAGAATTTATATCCACTGAAAATATTCCATATCCAGTGAATATGTTTCTTAGCTAAGAAAATTGTCACAAGCATAACTACTGTAAAAGAAATGCTAAAGGAAATTATTCAATGAAAAAAATTATATTAGAAGGAAACTTGGACATGGGGAATGAATGAAGGAATAATAACAGAAATGCAAAAAATTAGTAAACATAATAGGCTATTCTTTTTTTCTTAAGTTCTTTAAAATATAGATGATGATTGGAAACAAAAATTGCAGCCAAATATTTAATACATGTGAAAACTACATCACTAAAAAGGGGAGGTGAAAAGGTTTATTTCATGGTAAGTTTTCTATATTTCACTTATAGTGGCAAAATACTAATTCTAATTAGACTGAAAATTTAGTAGAGATTATATATATATAATATGTAATTTAAATATATGTATTTAATCCCTGAAGTTACCACACAAAAAATTTTTTTTACAAGGAGATATAGTCAAAAGCTTACTAGATAAATTATATCGGAAGTCTAAAAAAAAATTAAATATTCAAAGAAGGCAGGAGAGGGAAAAGGAAGAAACAACAAAAGAAAACAAAAACAAAAACAGAGAGAACAAACAGAAAACATTAGTAAAATGGTAGCCTTAATCTAAACATATTGAAAATTATATTAAATGGAAATGGTCTAAACATGTCAATTGAAGGATAGGGATTGTCAGAAAACAAAAAATAAAACCCAATTACATGTGGTCTATAAGAAACACACTTTAAATATAATGATATAGACAGGTTAAAAGTAAAAGGATGGTAAAGATATACCATGGAAACCCTAAACAAAACAAATGGGTGGCTATATTAATGTCACAGTAATTGTCGGAACAAGGAAAATCATCAGGGATAAAGAGCTACATTACATAATGATAAAGGGTCAATTCACCAAGAAGACATAACAATCCTGAATCTGCATGTACTTTACAGCAACACTTCAAAATATATGAAATAAAAACTGATAGAGCTGAAATGAGAAATGGAGACACTCACAGTTATGATTGCATATTTTAGCAAGCCTCCCTCAATAACAGAACAAGTAGAGAAAATTAAAAGGATTTACAATCGCTAAACAAAATACCATCTACCAACTGAAACTAACTGATATTTATAGGATACTCCATGCAATAATAGCAGAATACAAAATGTTTTCAAGCGCACATAAAACATTCACCAAGCTAGGTCATATCCTGAATAATAAAACAAACCTTAAAAAGTTGAAACATACTGGAATAATACAAATTATATAATTTCAACAAATAAATAACAGAAAGATAATTGAAAAATCTCCAAACAATTGGAAATTAAATAACATATTTCAGAATAGTCAATAGATTAAACATTTCTCAAGAGAAAATTAGAAAGCATTTTGAGTTGAATTAAGATAAAAATGGACAATTTAAAATATTGCGATTAGAGTAGAATTTATAACAGTAAATGTTTCTCTTATTTTAAAGTAAATGTTTCTATTATGATCAAAGTCATAATTCAATCATCTAAACTCCACCTTTAGAAACTAAAAAAAGAATAAAATAAACCCAAAGCAAGCAAAGAAAGAAAATAATAAAGATAAGAGCAGAAATCAAAAAAATTGAAACCAGAAACACAATAGAGAAAAATCAATCAAACAAAAAGTTGGTTCTTTGAGAAAAGATCAATAACATTGGTTTAGCCAGACCAAAAAGGAAAAAAGGAGAGAAGATGCAAATTATCAATATCAGGAATGAAAGAGGAGATATCGCTATTTAATATTCCAGATCCTGAGAACATTTAAAAAAAAAAAGAAAATACTATGAACAACTCTGTATACATAAATTTGACAACTTACATGAAATAGAACAAGTCTATGAAAGCTATAAACAACCAAAACACACTCTCAAATAGCTAACCTGAATAGTCCCTGCACCTATTAAGGAAATATGTAGTTGGAAAAAACAAAAACAAAAAACCTGTATGCTCAAATGGTTTCACTGATTTATTTTCCAAACACTAAAAAAAAAAAAAAAACCCACAAATTCTATATAATGTCTTCTAGAAAGCAAAAGAAAGAAATACTTGCCAATTCATTTTATAAAGCTAGTATTACCCTCATTCCCAAACTAGACAAAGACAGGACCAAAAAAGAAAGAAAAGACAAAAAGGAAAGAAAAGAAAAGAAAAGAGAACCACAGACCAATATTCTTCATACACTTATATATAAGAATACTTGTATCTATGAGTCTATGACATAAGAGATGTAAAAATACTCCACAAAATAATGATAAATATATATATATCTATATATAGATATAGATATAAATATCAACAATGATCCTTGTGGGATTTATCCCAGGAATGCAGAATTGGTTCAATATTCTAAAATCAATTACTATAATCCACCATGTTAACAAACCAAAGAAGAAAAACTTCCCATAATTATACAAGTTGATGCAGAAAAAAACATTTCACAAAACACAATATCTATTCACATTACAAACACTCAGCAAACTAGAAATAAAAGGGAACTTCTTTAACTACGTAAAGGGCATCTAAGAAAATCCTTAAGCTCAAGTTACACTTTATGGTGAGGAACTGAATCTTTTTCTCCACAATTGAGACCAAGGCAAGGATTATACTCTCACTAATCCTATTCATCATCATACTGGAAGTCCTAGCTAATGCAAAAAAGACAAGAACAAGAAATAAAGGGCCAGACATTGTGGTGTAATTCCAGCACGTTGGGAGGCTAAGGTAGAAGGATCAGTTGAGCCTAGGAGTTTGAGACCAGCCTGGGCAACATAGTGAGACCTCACCTCTACAAAAAAATGAAAAAAAAAAAGCTGGTCCTGGTGGCACAGGCCTGTAGTCCCAACTACTAAGGAGGCTGAGGCAGGAGGATAGCTTGAGCCCAGGAGGTCAAGGGCTGCAGTAAGCCATGATCATTGCACTCCAGTCTGGGTGATGAAGTGAGACCTAAAAAAAAAAGAAAGAAAGAAAGAAAAAAGAAAGACATACAGGTTGGGAAGGAAGAAATAAATATGTCTGATATTATATAGAAAATTGTCCATGTATGATTGTCTGTAGAGAAAATTCCATGGACTCCACATAAAAGTTTCTAGAACTAAGTAAATTTAGCAAGATTGCAGAATACAAAATCAACACAAAAATCAATCATATCTATGTGATATGAGCAAATCAAAACAGAAATCAACAAAATAATAGCAATTGCTATAGCTCCAAAACAAGTACTTAGCTATCAATCTACAAATTATGTGTGGCCTTAAATCTGCAAAATGCTGATGAAAGAAATCAAAGAAGACCTAAATGAAAAAGAGAGATTGGGTTTTCTTGGGTCTGTTGGGTCATTCTCAATGGGTTGAGAGACTCCAAGAGAATTAAGACGTTAATTTTCCCCAAATTGATCTATAGAATTAATGCAATTCCAGGCAGATTTTTTTGGTAAATATAGGAAAGGTGATCCTAAAATGTATATGGGAAAGGAAAGTTTTTAAGACTTATGATAAAGCTATAGTAATCAAGACATGTGGTATTGATGAACAGACAGACACATAAACCAATGGAATACAATAGACAGTTCAGGGAAAGATGCACACAAATATGACCAATTCATATTGGACCAAAGTGGAAATACAATTCAATGAAGAAAAAATTGTCTTTTCAACAAGTGATGATAGAACAATTAAAGACACATAAAAATTGACATAAACCTCACAACACACATACAAAAGTTATAAATGGATGATAAACAACATCGGCAAAGTTTTTAGGATACTAAATCAATGCACAAAACTCGGGAGCAATTCTATACACCAATAACATACAAGCTGAGGGCCAAATCAAGAACACAATTCCAATCACGACAGCCACAGTAAAAATAAAATACCTAGGAATACAACTAACCAAAGAGGTGAGATGTCTCTACAATGAGAATTACAAAACACTGCTGAAAGAAATTAGAGACAACACAAATAAATAGGAAAATATTCCATGCTCATGGAGAAGAAGAATCAATATCGTTAAAATGGCCATATGGCCTAATGCAATTTACAGATTCAGGGGTATTCCTAATCAAACTACCAACATTTTTCACGGAATTAGAAAAAACTATTATAAAATTTATGTGGAACCCAAAAAGAGCCTGAATAGCCAAAGAAATGCTAAGCAGAAAGAACAAAGCTGGAGGCATCATGTTACCTGATTTCAAACTATACTACAAGGCTGCAGTAACCAAAACGGCAGATTGTGGTACAAAAACAGACACATAAACCAATGAAACAGGTTAGAGAAGCTACAAATAAAACCACACATCTACAATCATCTGATTTTTGACAAAGTTGACAATAACAAGCAATGGGGCTGGGTGCCGTCACTCACACCTGTAATCCCAGCACTTTGGGAGGCCAAGGCAAGCACATTGCTTGAGCCCAGGAGTTCAAGATCAGCCTTAGCATCATGGCAAAACCCCGTCACTACAAAAGAAAAAAAAATACAAAAAGTTAGCAAGGTGTAATGGCATGTGCCTATGGTTCCAGCTACTCAGAAAGCTGAATCAGGAGGATCGCCTGAGCCCGAGAAGTTGAGGTTGTATTGAGTTATGATCATTCCACTGCACTCCAGCCTGGGTGATAGTAGAGGTGAGACCCTGTATCAAAAAACAAAACAAAAAATAAACAAACAAACAAACAAAAAATAAAACCCAAGCAATGGGGAAAAAAAAAATCTCCTATTCTATAAATGGTGCTGGGATAATTGGCTAGCCATATGCAGAATGTTGAAACTGAACCCCCTCTTTTCACCTTATACAAAAATCAACTCAAGTTGGATTAAAGACTTAAATATAAAACCTGAAACTACAAAAACCCTAGAAGAAAACCTAGGAAATACCATTCTGGGAATAGGCCCTGGCAAAAATTTCATGACAAAGTCTCCAAAAGCAATTGCAACAAAACTGAAAATTGACAAATGGAACCTAATTAAACTAAAGAGTTTCTGCACAGCAAAAAAAAGCTATCAACAGAGTAAAGAGACAACCTACAGAATGGGAGAAAATTTTCTCAAGCTCTGCATCCAAAAAAGGTTTAATATCCAGAATCTATAAGGAACTTAAATCAACAAGCATAAAACAAATAATCTTATTTAAAACTGGGCAAAAGACATGAACAGACATTTTTCAAAAGAAGACATACATATGGCTGACAAGCATATGAAAAATGATCAACATCACTAATCATCAGAGAAATGCAAATCAAAGTCATTATGAGATATCATCTCAAACCAGTCAGAATGCCTATTATTAAAAAGTCAAAAAAGATGCTGGTGAGGTTGCAGAGAAAAGGAAACACTTATATGCTGCTGGTAGGAATGTAAATCGGCTCAGTCACTGTGGAATGCAGTTCCACGATTTCTCAAAGAATGTAAAACAGAATTATCATTTGACCCAGCAATCCCATTATTGAGTATATATCCAAAGGAATATAAATTGATCTACCATTAAGACACATGCATGCATCTGTTTGACGCAGCACAATTCACAGTAGCAAAGACATGGATTCAACCTAGATGCTCATCAGCAGTGAACTGGATAAAAAAAAAAGTAGTACATATATACCATGGAATACTATGCAGCCATTAAATAGATTAAAATCATGTCCTTCGCAGCAATGCAAATGGAGCAGGAGGCCATTATCCCAAGCAAATTAGCACAGGAACAGAAAACCAAATACTGCATGTTCTCACTAAGTGGGAGCTAAACTTGGAGTACACATGGACACAACGAAGGGAACAACAGACACAGGGGTTTACTTGAGAGTGGAGGACAAAGGAGGGTGAGGATCCAAAAACTACCTGAGGACAAAATAATTTGTATACCAAACCCCAGGGACATGCAATTTACCCATGTAACAAACTCGCACATGTACTCCCTGAACCTAAAATAAAAGTTGGAGGGAAAAAAATGGATGATAAATTTTATATAAAGCTATAAAAATTGTGAAAGAAAACACAAGAGAATATTTATCAATAGCAATTACCACAGCTCCAAAAAATAAAATAAAATAAAATAAATACTTAGCTATAAATCTATAAATCTTGGGGTTAGGCAAAGCCTTCTTAGATGTGACACCAAAAACATGATCCATTTTTTTAAAAAAAGAATAAACTGGACTACATCAACATTAAAAACTTTTCCTCTGCAAAATACTAAAAGAGAATAATTATAGGCAAGTTATATATTAAGAGAAATATTTGTCACGTATATGACAAAGAACTTGTATATAAAGACTGTCAAAACTTAATAGTAAGAAAATAAGCTACCCAATTAAAAATAGGCAAAGAATTTGAACCACACTTAACCAAAGAGAATATACAGAAGGTAAATAAGCACAGGGAGAGATGCTGAACACCATTAGTTATTATGGAAATGCAAATTAAAGCCTTGATGATACCACCACAAACCTGTTAGAATGGCTGAAATAAAAAATATCGACAATACCAAATTCTGAGAATGATGCAAAGCAGCTGGAACTGTCATATATTAGTGAAAGGAATGAGAAATGTTATAGGCACTATGGAAAACAGCTTGCCAGTTTCTTATAAAATTAAACATATGCTTAACTTATGGCCCAGCAATCCCACTCCTAGGTATTTACCCTAGAAAAATGAAAACTATATTTCACACAAAAATCTGCATATGAATGTTTACAGTAGCTCTAGTCATAAGTACCAAAAACTGGAAACAGCTCAAATGCCTTGAAACAGGTCAATGGATAAACAAACTGTGGTACATCCAGATGATAAAATATTACCCAGCAATAGAAAGGAATGAATGCTTGATACTTGCAACAACATGCATCACTATCAAAGGCATCTTGCTGAATGAAAGAAATCAGTCTCACATACAAATGGCCAACAGATATATGAAAATGTGCTCAATATCACTAATCATCAGGGAAATACAAATTAAAGTCGCAATAGAATATCTCCTCACACCTGTTTGAATGGCTACTATCAAAAACGCAAGATAAGTTTTAGAGAGGATGTGGAGAAAAAGGAACCTTGCTACACTGTTGGTGTGAACGTAAATTAGTACAGCCATTATGGAAAAACAGCATAGAAGTTCCTCAAAAGATTAAAGATATAATTACCGTATGATCTCACCAGCAACCCCACTTCTGAGTATGTATCCAAAGGAATTGAAATCAGTATGTCAAAGCAGTATCTGCACTTCCATGTTTATTGCAGCGTTATTCACGATAGCCAAGATATGGAAGCAAACTGTGTCCACCAACAGATGAATGGATAAAGAAAATGTAGTTTATAATACACAATGAAATACTACTCAGCCTTAAAAAATAAGAAAATTCTGTCATCTGCAACAACATGGATGAACCTGGATGACATGTTAAGTGAGATAAGCCAGGCACAGAAAGACAAATACTGAATGACCTTATTTGTCTATGGAACCTAAAAAACTAAAACTCATAGAAGTAGCAAGTGGAATGGTGATTACCAGAGGCTGGTAGGCGGAAAGGGAAGGGTGAGGATAGGAAAGGGAAGATAATTGTCAAAGGGTACAAAGTTTCCGTTAGACCAGCAGGAATAAGTTTCAGGATCTATTGCACAGCATGGTGACTCATAGCTAATGATAAAGTTCATATATCTCAAAACTGCTGAAAGGGTTAATTTTAAATGTTTTCACCACGCAAAAAAATGATAAGTATATGAAATGATGAATAATGTTAATTAGCTAGATTTAATCACTCTACAATAATTCATGACATGGCATTGTACCTGGTCTATAATTATTATTTGTCAATTAAAAATAAAATAAAATGGTCAGGTGCGGTGGCTCACTCCTGTAATCCCAGCACTTTGGGAGGCTGAGGCGGGCAGATCACTTGACGTCAGGAGTTCAAGACCAGCCTGGCCAACATGGTGAAACTCTGTCTCTACTAAAAATACAAAAATTAGCCCAGCACGGTGGTGCACACCTGTAATCCCAGCTACTTGGGAAGCGGAAGCATGAGGATCGCTTGAACATGCGAGGCGGAGCTTGCAGTGAGCCAAGATCACTCCACTGCACTCCAGCCTGGGCGACAGAGGGAGACTCCGTTTCAAAAATAAATAAATAAATAAATAAATAAATAAATAAATAAATAAATGAAATAAAATACCACAAAACTTAAAAAAAAGGAATCAGTTTCAAATGGCTACCTACTATATGATTCCATTTGTATGACATCTGGAAAACACAAAACTACAGTGATGGAGAAAAGATCAATGGTTGTCAGAGGCTATGGACAGGAGGAGGATGTGTCTAAAAAAGGAGCAGCACAGGGAATTTTGGCAGTGATGGATCTGTTCTGTGTCCTGTTTGTGGTGAAGGTTTACATGAATCTATATATGTGTGTGTGTAAATATACATACATATATACACGTACATGTATATGTACATGTTTATACACATATATGTATATACACATATGTAGTTGTACATGTATATGCATACATATGTATATATAAATAATATACACATGCATATATGTGTATATACACATATGTGTATATATATGTAAACATATATAGCGTCTCTCTATATAACATATATAATCTATGTATGTGTTAACTCTACATCCAAAAAATCAATTTTATCGGATGTTAACTTTAAAAATAAAGAAAATAGAGCAAAAATTCATACTTAGTATTTCAAATATTTTTAAAGGAGGAAATATCACTCATGAAGAAAACAATACATTGTGAAACATAAAAACAGGCAGAACTGAAACAGTATCATGTGAGTGTGAGCTTTTTTTAGAAGAGAGTGATTAAGTAACTTGACAACAAGACACATATTTAATAAGAGACACTAGTGGGATTTGAATGCAAGTCCCCTGACTTGGACTACAGAAGAATTTTTACAGAAGTATCCCACAAAGCACCCGTGCTAAGTGGGAAAGAGCCCTGGATTCCAACTCAACATGCTTGCATTTGAATCTTGGCTCCACCCTGCCTTCTAGCTTTGAATCTGTTTCCTCTTCTGTAAAATGAGATCAATAGCAGAATCTACCTTATAAAATTTTGTCACGTGTATGTAAAATGCTTCATGTATCCCCGACATAGGAGTGTTCAAGAAATGGCAGCTATTTACCTCTTGCAGCCTTAGTTTCTCCCCTAGCAACATAGAAATGACACCTGCGTTGTGAGAGATTTAAAAAGCATGCTACAAATATGTTCTTTTGCTGGCATGTTAGTATTTGCACAAAGAACACAAGTCCTTGAGGTTTATATTTAGTTACAGAAATGGATGAAGTAAATTGAATTTAGGTATGTTTGATACAAAACACAGTCTTCCTTTCACTCCCACCCCACCTCCAGCTCCTTTCTCATTTTTGGCTGTGTAATGAATGCTCTCTGGGTACATGTCCATAACTATTTAAAAATATCTATCAAGATTTTCTTCATCGAGATTTTATATATATATATATGTGTGTGTGTGTGTGTGTGTGTGTGTGTGTGTGTGTATTATATATGTCTATGTATTCCTGTACAGCCTGCAGAACCATATGGATATGGTGTGGATCTGTGTCCCCACCCATATCTGATATTGAATTGTAATTTCCAGTGTTGGAGGTGAGGACTGGTGGGAGGTGATTGGACCACGGGGGAAGATTTCTTGTGAATGATTTAGCCCCATCATCTTTGTACTATCCTCATGATAGTGAGTGAGTTCCTGTGAGATGTGGTCATTTAAAAATGTGTAGCACTTTCCCCCTCACTCTGTCATTCCCGCTCTGCTCATGTGATGTGCCTGCTGTGGCCATATGATGTGCCTGCTCCCCCTTCGCCTTCTGCCATGATTGTCTAAGTTTCCTGAGGCCTCTCCAGAAGCCAGCAGATGCCAGCGTCATGCTTACAGTACAGCCTGCAGAACTATGAGCCAATTAAGCATCTTTTCTTTATAAATTACCCAGTCTCATGTATTTCTTTATAGCAATGCAAGCACAGACTAATACATATATAATCTGGGCTCAAAGACAAGAAAAAGTAATCAAGATAAGGAACAAGAGGAAGGCAGAGGGAAGCAAGAGGAGCAGAAAAAAAGCCTCCTAGAATAACTTTTCTGAGCAAAGCAACTCTGGTTAGCTTGTTGCTTTTATGCACTTGTGAAGCAGGAGCACACATTGCAAGCACCCTGATTATTATTATAAATATAGATCACCTCGATTACTGTAAGTGATGTTGCTTAATACAATGGATAGCAGCTTTTTAAAACAGGCAAAGCTCTTTTCCAAGTATTGACGTCAGCAGGACCTTGTAATTGTTCCTCTTATTGGTTCAACCGCCACTACAGCCACAGATGTCGCCAGCAAGCATGACAGGGACTGCCGCTTTCCACACTGCAACACAGACTCGAAGAAGCTGCCCTCTACTTGGGGTTGGTAGGGTTGGTAGCAACCTTTGCCTCTAGCTTATTAGCTGTGTGCATCATTTTCAGTTAGAGGTGTAAGATGGTTGGGAGAAGCGGATCAAGGTGTGCTTAGGTAGGAAATGTTTGTTTTATCTCTTTTCTCACTTGAGTTTACAAAATTCAGTGTTAGAATTCACCTCAGTTCACCTGTAAGGTAGGCATTGGTGCTCTCCTTATTCATAGGCAGAGGAAATGCCTGCCTGGTTTAATTCTTTAGGTGAGAATCTGCAAGCCCTTTTCTCCTACTCCAACTCATTCTCCCACCAGCCCTGACATGTTGCTAGAAATATCAGGATTATTAAATCTGGATTAATATTTTGGCTAGATTTAACTTTTTGGCCTTTTAGCAAAGAGCAGGACCTAGAGAAAAAGAGATCCAAGAAAGACAAGTTTTGGCAGGAACATTAAAGGTGAGATAGAAAAAGGGATTAGAAGCAGCAAAGAATGATGGGGTTCAGAGGTGTTCAGGGTGCTGGGCAGAGATGAGGAACATTCAGAAAGGAAGAGAACACAAATAAAAATGGAAGTTGCTAAACACGATTTTGCCCACTCCATCAGAAGAAACTTACCTAGATATCACTTCATACCTGTTAGGATGGCTTTCATCAAAAAGACAAAAGATAAGTGTTGGTGAATGTGGGAAGAAAGGAAACCCTAGCACACTGTTGGTGGGAATGTAGATTGATTCACCCACTGCAGAAAACAGCATGGAGTTTCCTAAAGAAATTAAAAATAGAGGTGGTGGACATGACCCAGCAATCCCTCTTCTGGGTATATACCCAAAGGAAATGAAATCACTACATCGTAAACATATCTGCACTCGCATATTTATGGCAGCCTTATTCACAGTAGCTAAGATATGGGAACAACTAAAGTGTCTGTCAATGTATGCATTAATAAAAAAATTGTGGTGTATTTATATACAATGGAATATTATTCAGCCTTAAAAAAGAAAGAGATCTTGCCATTTGTGACAACATGGATGAACCTAATTGACATTAGAAGTGAAATAAGCCAGGAACAGAAAGAAAAATACTGCATGACCTCCCTTATATGCGGAAACAACAAAAAAGAATTGAATACATTGAAATGGAGTAGAATAGTGGTTACCAGGGGTGAGGAAAGGGGAAGATGTAGGTCAGCAGGCACAAAGTTGCAGTTATGTAGGATGAATAGGTTTAGAGCTCTAAAGTACAACAGGAGAAGTATAGTTAATAATATTGTATTATATATGAGAAATTTGCTTGGAGAGTGGGCGTTAGGCACCCTTATCACACATATAAGAAAGATAACTGTATAAGATGATGGATATGTTCCTTTGCTTGATTGTAGTAATAGCTTTGCTATAGGTATATCAAAGCATCATACTGTACACCTTAAATACAGAAAATAAAAAGTAAATAAAAGAAGAAACTTACCTGGTCCTTCTAAGATTAAGTAATAAGAAAATGACTTGGTAGTTGGCTATTCTCTGTGTCCTATTTTATCACACTCTGAGTAATGTTTATTGAAGAGCGGGAAATACTAAACATGTTGGGTTTTAGAGATAAAATGAGATGTGTCATGACTTTGAAGTTGGTTGTCTTAATTTTGCCTTTATTCACCACAAGTAAGACTTGGAAAGCTGTGAAATCTTGGGGTTTTTTTCCCCCACTGGCTATGTTCCCATGTTCATAATAATGCTTCCGGAAAGACCAAACTCAAGTCATGTCCCGGATGTGACCAAGACTGGAATATTATCTAGGATCTGTATAAAACTCTCGTTTTCCGAGAGAATGTTTGCTAAAATAGCTCTTGTAACTCCCAAAAGTCTGACTGGTTTTCTCGCTGCATGTGAAGGCTGATTTGCTTTGACTGAGACCTGTATACATGTGCTCCGCCTATGGTAATTGGCCATGCCTTAGGGTTGGGGGTAGGGTGGGGGACAACGGTACGTGTAAAACAGAAATGACATCTTCATTTCCTGCAAAAGCCATTTGTGTAAACTGTGTAAACTCTGTGAACTTTGCTGAGTTTCAATAAATACTTTGAAATCTGAGATGACTGAGACTTCTTTCTGCCCTGTCTAGGGTAACAATAAACTTCCAGCAAATGTTGACTTCTGAGGAAGTAGCCACAGCCACCAGCTTCACCAAGAAAAGGAGGGGGAGAGTTTCTTCACATCAAAGAATGCTCTAAATGGATGCAGATAATTAACCATGTTATAAAGCCCCTGGTTGTGCCTGAGTTCTATTAATGGTTTGGGTAACAGTGTGAGCTCTGGGGTCAAAGAGCACTAGGTTTAAAGCCCATTGAGTATGGACAAGTTAGTAACTTCCTCTGTCTCTGTTTTCTCACATGTAAAATGGAGGTAACGATAACATGTGAAGCACTTCAACCAATTCGTAGAGCCCAGTAAGGGATAACAAAATGGCAGATACTAGTATCATTATTGTTGCTCTTCATGTCTGTTATCATCATCATAATTATAATTCCTTAAATGGATATCTTTTTTTCATCTGCTCCACAGATTTGGAGCCACTCCTCCCATCAGGCCAGGTGGATACACCTAAAATCGCACTCTTAACTGCTAGAGCCAAGATGGCAATTAGGTTGCAGCTCAGTGTTCCAACTCTGATTAGTTGATATTAGCTTCCTGGAAAGCTGGGTAGACCAGATTCTTAAGGCTGTTGTGAGATTAGCAGAGCATCATGATCGATTATCACTGTCTGCCATAAGCATGGGAGGGAAAAGGGAATACTCTGCTTATTTGCCAGCCCTGGCCTAGGAGCTGTGCACCATGCCTCAGATGCTTTCTGCCCCACTGAAACAGTGCAGAAAAGTACAAACATTCTCCTTTCTGGGTACCATAATTCTACCAATCCTGATGTTAAAAGAGATTCTTATTGGTAACAGGCTATAACCCAGTTCAAGACCAGACACTGAAAAATTGATGAGTTGTCCTTGTTTTTCTCTTTTTTCAATTTTGTTCAGGGCTTCATAGCTTCCTTCTGGGCAAACTATTTGGCTAGTAGACATGATTTGAGTAACACGGTGGTCTGCTTTTCTTCAATAATGATGATAATGGCATATATTTTCAGAGCACTTAATTTATAAAATGCTCTTACATCCATTAGGATACTTTATATTCAACTGTTTGGCATGCAGAAGGCACAAAAGGAAGTGAAGGCAAACTGGTGTGGGTATTTCTCAAGTCTCGTCTCAAGCTCATTGATGATTCTAGCACATATGTTTTGTTTCCAAAGTGCTGGCGTTTCACTTCCAGGGTAATGGTATCTGCCTCTTGCTGTGATCCTTCCTCTGGTTTCTTGACTCCTTAATTAATTTTCCTTTCATTTATAATTCTTCCTCATGTAATACATGTTTGCCTGTTGTTAAAATATTGCCCTCACATTGTGCAGCATGCCCCAGTATTTCCTCAATGAGTCACTTATGGATCTCAGGGCCAATTTTGTTCCCAAGACAAAATGCCAAGGCCAAGATGAGTTCCAGTTTTGTGCTAATGATTTCAAATTCTTAAGGCTTAGAAACCCCCCCAAGTGCCACACAGATACCAAAATGATTAAATGGTGGCCTCTGTAGAAGGCAGGCTCTCCATCCTTTGCTGAACCAAAGGGCTATTTTCCCGTTCTCTTAGATAGCTTCTACTTCAGAAGTATAATCTATTCTCTCCCACTCATCCAGTCTCAAGAGAATTGGAACTATTTTGCAATAAAAGATGTGTAAGGCTGACCCTCCCTGCCTACGCTGCTCTCTGCTTAAATGGGTTGAGTCAGTATTTCCTCTTTTTCTAATTCAGCAATGGGCCAGCTGGTTTTGTCTGATAGACTAAGACCCAATTAAATGACCTTCTTTCTAACCAGGAAAACAATAGAGGTAAGCAATTATTTAATTAATGGAATCAAAGAAGACTGTGAAACATATAAATTTAGATTCTAAAACTTATTTCTTTCAGAGCAATATTTTGGGAAATTTCCATAGGAGAGTGATTTGTTTCCATTGTGAAACTTTGAATTACATAACAGAAACTATGTCTTGCTTTCCATTGATTGTATGACAACCTAGAGGGATGAAAATTATTTAGATGAGGAAATAAAAAATATTATTTGTTGTTTTTGGTTTCAAAGCCCAACAAAAATCTATTTAGGCTGCATGACCTAAATAGTCTCTTACATAATTGTTTTCACTGTGTTAGGGTTTGGTATTATATCTGCAGTTTACATTAAAAGGTCCTACAAGAAACAACCATATGAAAACTAATTTTGCATTTAATTTGGGGATATGATTTAAATACAGTTTCCACCATAACTCAGTGTCTCTCTATGATGCCCCACCCAAGACATTTCTTAAAGAACTAAGTTTCACAAGAAACAGTGCCTCTCTTGAAGAACTATCAATTTTCTCCTCAAAGACAATGACAAATAATAACTAATTGAGTATCTCTTTTATGCAGTTGTTTTGCCTGTTAGGAAGTTCAAAGAAAGATGTGTGGTTCAACTTCAGTATGAAACTCTAAATATATTCTGGAGTTAGAAATGGCTCAAGCAATACAGACCTGTAGTATCTCATTCACAAGAAGGCTGGAGACAGGTGACTATTGGCACTGGTACTGCTGCTCATTGATGTTATCAAAACACAGGCCTTTTCCTTTTATTTTTCTGCTCTTCTGTCTTTGGCTGTTGTCTTCTTGGTCCAATGGTTGGTGCCTCATGTCACCTGATTGCAGCCACAGAAGCAAACCACATATCCACATTCAGGTCAGAAAGAAAGAGAAGGGGTGGGTCAGCAAGATCTCTTCTCCCTGTCCGTAAGAAAAGAACACAAAAGCTTTTCCAGAACTGATCTGCTTATATCTCACTGGCATCTCTGGATCACATGACTGCCCAACAAACTCAGAGTTATGTTAGCCAAAAAGAGGTGGAGAGTGCGTAGAAAATTAGTAACTATAACAACATATTTTCCGTGGTTCTCTTTTTATAAGCGTTCTTAAAGTCAGTCTTGAATCTAAGGAATTGAGAAAAGTTTAAGATATGGCCCTTGCTTTCTTTCTATAAGCCTTCAGTGGGGAGGCAATTCATTAACGGAAAATTAGATAATAATGAGACGATAATAACAAGTCAGTAATACATGAGGTACATAATGCAATTCATGATGAACTACCAAACAAATGGTCTAGATAGTCAATGTTGAAGGATCTCACTATGATTTGGGATGAATAGGATGGATTTCAAAGAATAAGAAGGGTTTGATATAAATCTTACAAAGGAATAAAAGACATAACTGAATCTCTTCTTTTGTCATTAAGCCCAGAGATACATGTATTCTGATATAATTTTCGTTTGAAAACACACCATCTTCTTCAATTTAGAGTCAACCTTGGACTTTTAGAGATTTGTTGAGGATCCATGGTCCTTTGGTCACCTGAAAATCAAAAGTCAAGCGATAATGTAAAATAGCATAAAAAGAAAAAGATAGGTAGCTAATGTAAAAAACTAATGAGTAAGTGTGTCTATGGAGTACAGGAATTGGAAGACTCTAGTAGAGGGAGGAGAGCAGGAAGTTTGAACTCTGAACATATGGAGAACAATTCCAGTTGACATTTACTAGTTGTGTAATCTTGGGCAAACTCTTTAACTTCTTCAGTCTTGGATTTTCTCATATGTAAAATGAAGATGATAATTTTCCTCACATTGATTTGTGGAGATTATATAAACTAATACTGTAGATAGTGCTGTGTAAACTTAATATTAAGGTACAAAGTATTATTTAAAAGTGATACTCATTTCAGTGATAATCTTCTTTATATAGATTTGATTACTATCACCGCATCAAAATGCCCATCCGATAACTAGGTTCTCCATTGATTTCACATCTAGTGTTGGGGACCAAAGCTAACAAGTCCACTTAGGCCAGGGTTAGTAACATACCTTGGTCTCTGACACCACAGGCAAGGATCAGGTGTTCTGGTTCTCCCAGGGGTTAGCTCCCTCCCCTCTAGGGTCAGTCAGCTTAGAGAAATTCTCAGCTCTCAGGATCAGTGGGGATAATTCCGGGTCTGCACATAATACTGGTTCAACTAGAAGTCATGCCCATGTTAAAAGTGGGTTGTTAATGGAGCAAGCTTTTACCTTTACATTTTGAAAAAACTTGACATCACATCAGTAAAAATGGAATGAACCTCTGAAGAAAGGTTATGGGATAAGAACAGCATACTGGTGTTCAACAGTAGTTCAATCTGTATCTACTAGATTTGTTCATGGAAAACTTAATTTTGGAAACAGTAGAGTGATGGGCACTCTGCAGCTGTCCTACCACTAGCCTCCTGAAATAATTAACAAAATGAGAAAATAACCCATTCATATATTTTAAAGAAACTCCCACATGGAGCACTAAGTACTAGACAGGTTGCAGAAATTTTCCTCTAATTCTAGTTCTGTAGATGTGCAGTAAGGGGAAGGATACACAAGCCAGTCTAAAATAGAACCCAGTGGGTCCCATCCATTCTATTTTGGGGAAATTCAGCAAAGTGCGTACTGGGCTTACAGAAGTGTTGTAATGAAAGTTATATGAAAACTTGCAGGTGCCCATTTATTGGACCCACCCTACTGGGTCCAGTAAAATAAATGTTAATTTTGCAGACAATGAGAGGTTGTAACTGAGCATATGCCTCACATAGTTGACTGGCTATTATACTCTTAGGGCACAGCGTCCAAAGAAATTCCAGACATGGTACTCACTCTCATTATTTTCTGTTGAGCTGATATTTAGCTGGAATAAAAGACTTTAAACAAATAGTCCAGATGGGTTACTGACGTTGACAACATAGAATAATCATTTCAATTTAAACCACTAGTTTCCTGGACATCCTAAAATTTCCAATTCTGTTGCTAGGAAAAGAAATGAAATTTTATGTTTACTGCATCGCTCTATGACACTCTTCATAAATTAATCATTCTCTAGGCACCTTGGGAGAATAAAATTAACATGTTTTTAGGTACTTACTAAGTGCCCAGATCTTACATATGGCATCTGACTTAATCCTCATAGCCAGTCCAAGGGTAGGTGTTGTTATCATGTTTTCCCAGATAAAGTGAAATCTGGGAAGGTTACCCATTTGACTCAAAATCACAAAGAGATAGCGTGGGGATTCTAAGGAGAACTTATCAATTGCACAATCTCCTATCTGCATTCATTTTGAAGATAATTATTCTTCCACTATAGCAGATTGTCTATGAGTAGACAATTAAGAATGCATATATATATATGTATATATATATAATGTATAAATACACACATTGCCTTCTTTTGACTGCAGTGTCTAAGAAATGGGGTTAGGAGGAATTGTGACAGATTGGATTTTCTAATTACCTGAGGGTTAATAGTCCTCTGAAAACTTTGTTGCAACTATTTCTGAAAGGAATCTACTCTGTCCATTGGCTTAGCAGAATACAGTGACTAAGACAATCTTTTCTCTGATTTTGTCATAGTGTTGACCAGATTTTTGCTCAAATGTCACCTAATCAGAAAGTCTTCCTGTGGCTGCGCTTGATAAAATAGCACCATCACCCCCACTCTCTCCTTGCATTGCTCTACTTTTCCCTTCACAGCACTTATCACTAACTGTTATATTACATATTTATTTACTTTCTGTCTACCCCCTCTCCCTTAGAATGTAAGCTCTATAAGAGAAGACTCTATTATATCCAGAGCTGTTTCTCTAGGGCCTAGAATGGTGCCTGGAATATAGTAGGCACTCAAACAATGTTTATTGAATGAATAAATCCAATTCATATTAGTTTTAACTATTTGGTCCTATTGCCACAAATACATAGGGCTGAATCTGGATGCGTGACACTCCTGTCACCTATTAATTGGTATGTGGAGGTGGAGTTATTGATGATAAAGCTTTTGCCATTTTATCCAGTTCTTCCTTATGCAAATAGGCATGGAGCTGTAATTTCAGTAAATTAAGGCTGCTGGTCAGTTGGAATTGGTCCATTTGGCTATCAGGGTTTCCTATAACTTGAGGAAAATGATTGGTTTCTTGTTTGCTGTTTCTTACATCATGCAATATTTTATCCTGAGCATACCCAATGTAAACACATTCACTCTTTAACAAAGGGCATAAACTTTGAACTACTCAATTCTAAAGAAAGCAGGTTCCAATCTTCTTAATGTACTCTACAAAGAAATTCCTGAAAGGGGAGTATCCTTGGAGACGGCATCCAATTGCTGTTTTCTCTCTCTCATTCTTTCTGAAAGGCTATTACCAGCACAATCACTACCCTGCTGTATGACCCTGGTTAAGTGTTGTTGTTTTTTTCTTGCTTATAAAAAGTAATCCACATGTTGATTTGTAGAAGATAGAATGAAGATGACTGAGTGATAAGAGATGGGCAAAAATCTCTTGTGAATAATACTAAAAATAGTTGGCAGCTTAAACCAGGACTTTCAATGATGAATTAAATAAACGGAGTGGTCATAGCAAAGATGCATGTGTGTTTTGAGTGCGAAATGGACCCCAACTGCTATGTAAAACCAAATTCTATCATTGCCTCCAGGTTGTAAGTCCAATGTATTTGAAAGCATGGACGAGCCTTCAGAGTGTTTGAACACCTTCATGAAAACCTTTCTGTGAGACACAACATCATCATGGGAGGGAGTTAAGTGGTGGCTAAGAGCCTGGGCTCTGCAACCAGACTGCTTGCACTTCAATCCTGGTCTGACATTTACTGGCTGGATGACTTTGGGCGAACTTTATTTTATAATAAAAGTCAGGTCATGGCTCTTGCTGCTCAAATCTCCATCCTGGCTCCCCAAGTCTTCAGCATGGTCTATATGGTTGTGTTCTGGCTCCACCTAGGACCTCCTTTCAGGTCACTCTCCCTCTTGCTTTCCGTGCTTCAGTCTCAGGGATCTTCCACTTCCAGCTGGGCACATTTCAGGGCTTATGCCCTTGCTGGCCCTTCACTTAGAATGCTCTTGCCCACATATTCTCATGGCCTGCTCTCTTGCTTCCTTAAGACCTCTGCTCAACTTTTACCTCCTCAACAATGTTTGGTCAGAATATCTTTCTAAAATAGCATCTCTCTGACACTCTCTACTTCCCACCCATCTTTACATAACACTTATTATCCCTGAGCTTGTATTATAAATGTAGATCTTTCTTGTCTGGGCTGCACCCCACCCATCCCGACCCCAAATATCAGCACCATGAAGTTATAGACATTGTTTTGTCCACTGTGGGAGTCCAAGGCCTTGAATAATGCCTAGCACACACTAGGTGCTCAGTAAATATTTGCTGAATGCAAGAATGGATACCTGACTTAAATTGTGTCTATCAGAGCTTCTTTCTCATTGATTTAAAATTGGGCCCCAAGAGACTAAGTCATCAGCACGTGCTATAACTGTAAAGTCCAATAGTTTCAAAAGCTGAGGCTCCAATGTTGGGAAAGCAATTACTGGTCAACCTTTAAACAAAGGAATAAGGTCAGGAAGAGATAGGGATAGAAAAGGAGATTTGGGGATGGCCCCATTTTCAGTATTCTTAATTCTTCTGATTCCCTTTGCTTAAGAGGCTTGAGTGGCTTTCTGTTTCTTGCAATCAAAGAATCCCTGACTAATACAGAGGTGAAGTGAATTGATCCTCCATAAGTTTTTGAGGTCCTAGAGGGCAGAGAAAATGCTGGTGTATCTTTTTATATTTCTGTCTCTAGAGTCTATCACATACATATTTCAAGTACATATTTGATGAATAATTAACAAAAAAGTTTTAATGTAGATGCAACGACCCCTATCTTACCCTCCTGAGGCAGCGTTTCTCTTTTGTCTTCTTTTATATGTGTTCCCATTATCCAGGTACTCTCAGTCCCTCACTGAACATTCTCCTCAGCATCCTCACAAGGGACTCAAAAACAGGTTATTCCATAACAAAGCTTCTCCACACTAGGCACATACCAAGTTCTGATGAAGAGGAAATGAAGTTTCAGGGTGTCCCAGGTCAAAATATGAATGTCCATTGCCCCAAAGGGAGAAGTTCTATTATCTTTAATACTGTGGTAGGTTTATGAATTTATATGTTCAAAGAGTTGACTGAATTATTTTGCAGTTATTTTTTAAATGGTCATACTGGTTTTAGTACCAACTGGTGAATTGAAAATTCTGCTCTTTGGTATCAAAAATAAATCATTTGACAGACAAAAATCAGGGCTTGAAACATTTAATTGCAGCAACAACCAACATTGTTCTTTTAGGTGATTTAATCCATACTTGAATCCCTGATTCCACCTCTTCATCGCATGTACACTAACTATAATCCCTTCCAAGACAGAATTTCATTTTGGTGGACTGTTGGCTTCATTAAGTGTCCTGAATGTAACCTGCCCCACTTCCCTTGAAGACCCCTTCTGCTGATAATCCCCTCTGTTTTATTTCATTTTATCACCCTATTGATTTAATAACGTTTCTACCAAAGATGAAATGTCTTTATCTTTGCGTTAATGCCTTTTCAATTCTTGTATGAGCTGCCATTTAAATCTCATTTATTACTTTTTGCATAAAATAACTATTCACAATGATTGTGAAATTAGTTATCCATACTTTGGGCTCTTATGCATTATTCCTTAATTTATCTCGCCTCCTCTCACCATCACCCCTTCTTCTGGGTTCACTGCAATTACTGACTAAGAAATCCTCATCTGAATTAAATAAAAAGGAGAAAATTGACATGGTCCCAGAGTCTTTTATACTCTAACAAATCATACTCACAATTTAGAATGCTATCTTATATTAGATTGATTTTCAGGGCCAGTTACCTACATTACCTGAAAACTAGGACAAGAACACACTAATTCAACCATTTGAAGACTGAATCTATTGTTTCCACTCGTTATCACTGTCAAGAACTGTTTGACCCAAGTTGGACTTAATTTGGTTGCAAAAGTGTCCAGACTTACAGTTTAAGGCAAAGGGGAAATTTCATCCAATTTCCAGGCAAAATGGACAAAAGCTCAAAGTAGTAATGTGCTGTGGATGAGACATGACTAATGGAAGGACATACAGCCACAGGAAATCCTAGGTTTGCTGTTCTCAAACCCAATCTTGTGACATCCTTCCAAACATATCCCCTCTCACCACCCGAGGAACCTGGGCATAGGTATAATTCCATTTCCTCTACTACTCTCCTGGTAGAAAAAGCCCAGGTTGAAATACTTTCTGCCTTTTTAGCCCAACAAACATGGAACATGAAGATGCTGTTCAGTTCTAGGCCAACATTCTTATGTTTAGAACTATCTTGTGCTCCATTGTGAATACGGGTGTGGACTGGACCTTCAGCATCTTATCTTTGTTCCATGCAGGCACTTTCAGTGATCCTTGGCAAGTTACCCATTCCTGCTGAATTCTGGGTGGTCAAGGGTCTGTAGAAGGTGTTTAGGATAGAACCCTTAAATGAAGTAAGATTCCTCATTTGGCTGGTGTGAGGTCTGATAGGAGGTTGAGGTGGTGTCTCCAATGTACCATTGTTTCATATTCTGTAGGACATCTGCAACATTATTAGCAAGGCATCCCATGAGCCTCTCAGCCAGGCCAATCAGCCCATCCATGGAATTTAAAAAATCAGGGCTGAGGAAAGAGGGCCAGACTCTTTCAGGTGGCAGGGGCTGTGAAAGGAGAGATTTGGACAGTATCAGTGGTCACGCCTCCTACCACAAATGAAAGGCTGGTTCACTGGGAGAAAAAACGATACTGACCCATAGAGACACCAGAGACAAGGAGGCAAAAAACCCAGGTACTGTTCAAATCCCTGGTTCCCATTGTTCCTGAAATCCAAAGGCACCTCTTCCACTTTCACAGTTTGATTATTCAACTATTTCTTTAATCAGATAAAACATGCCTATAAACCTTCCAATAAGCTCTTCCTTCCTGGCCTGGTCAGAGGTTGGGGTTCCACTCATTTGCCCCTAAAAGTCTTAATTGTACATATGTTCTTGGGAGTTCAAAAGCATATGTCAAATCAGTCCATCTTAACAGTATGTGGGACAAAGGAGTAGTTTGTAATTATTCCAGTTATAATTTTTTTTTCCAATCTGCCTACTGCAATTAAGAGAGGTATAGGCAGGAATCACAGGTTTTTTGGTTCTGTGTTAAAGGTTGGGGCACAATTTTCAGCAGGAAGTTGCTATATTAGCTCCCACACACACTGAACACTTGTTCATCAACACATTCTCCTGGCCTCCCTTTTACTGGCTGAATACAAATGGCCACTGGATGGAGGAAAATGGGCAGAGCCAAACCCAGGGAATCCCTGGCAACCTCTCCACCTTCTCTCCTTTTCTTCTCATGAGATTGCATTTTAAATATGACTTCTACCTTAAAATGTAAAACACACTTTCCCTAAATCCTTTAGAATATATGCCTCCTAATTTTATAAATTTAAGTCCCAGCGATAGTTGATGATGTTAAACCATTTCAGTTCTCCCTCCCCACATCTCTGGAACATTCCATAGGCCAGAATATTTCAGCTCTTGGCGTATCCATTTCTATTCCCTGTAACTTTCCAGTCTGTCTCGTGGGGCACCTAATGAAGACCCAGCTCTCACAAGTCTTTTGTTGAGTGAATCAACAATCCTGCAAGAGTGTTGAGATGTTGGGAGTGGATTAATCCTTCTCTTCCACTAGGTGGTGCTGATTGGCATGCCATCTGTCTTGGAGTGTTTTAAAAGCCTCAATCTGTCACCATCTGGTTGGCAGTAAGACCTGATGAAAGGCAGCAGGTCTATTTGCACAAGCCGGGAATTTCTGAGTCTCATCTTCAGCTTTTTTCTCTGTGCGGGCCTGAGCTAGCCCCTTCTTCATTTCCTTGTTTTTAAATAGGGCCTTTATGACCCTATAGACAGCCGTTTACCCAGCTGTCGAAGGATGTGAGATGTCCTTCTCTCTTGCTCTCTCTATCTCTCTTGATATGTCGCAGAGGCCCACTTTCCTGGGGTTTGGACTTTGGGGACACTGCTTAATAAGACTCAGATGGGAAAGGGGCTCTTTGGCTGAGAGAGGAAAGACATAGTCTTGGGCAACCAGTACTGGACATCCCACTATTGCCCTGAACTCTAGCCATTAGCATTTGATCCCATGGTATTGGTGACCCAGGGGCTTTACTTTTTGTCCTGCATCTGCATTTTAGATATGGCATTTACTTTCAAAATATGAGAAATACTTTCCTTGGAACCTTTAGAACACACAGAGGGACTTTTTGAAGAACTTACCTTTCGGCAGGACCATATCCAATACAGTAATCTTTCATTTATTAGGCATTATCAGAGAAAGAGGTGTTGCATATAAGCAAATTTTCCCGCAGGGCACAGTGGCTCACGCCTATAATCCCAGCACTTTTGGAGGCTGAGGCAGGTGGATCACCTGAGGTCGGGAGTTTGAGACCAGCCTGACCAATATGGAGAAACCCCATCTCTACTAAAAATAAAAAATTAGCCAGGCGTGATGGTGCATGCCTGTAATCCCAGCTACTCAGGAGGCTGAGGCAGGAGAATCGCTTGAACTCAGGAGGAGGAGGATGCAGTGAGCTGAGACTGCGCCATCGCACTCCAGCCTGAGCAACAAGAGCGAAACTCCATCTCAAAAAAAAAGTGACATTTTATTTCTTTTTATGCCAAATCTTTAAAAAGTTTTGCAGGATTAGAGTGGATAAAAATAGTACTGAAAAATATTGTGCATATTGTGCTTTCTTAAACATAATATGTTAAATTTAATTTAGCTTACATAATAAATTCTAATTATATATAGATATAGATATTTGTTGTTGTGGTTGTTGTTATTTTTGTTGTTCTAGGAACTGTTGATGTAATCTGGTATTCTTGCCCCCTAAAATTGCTAAATGCTTCTACCATCTTCCTTTCTTTCTAAGCACGCTCTACTCTTCTATTTTTCCAATTTATCATCAATGGCATATCTTACGCTGGATACCATATTGGCAGGCTGCATAATGTGTGTTAACATAGATGCTGAACTCCTCCACTGAAGTTGTGCATACTAATATCTTTGGACAAAGGAACCTGCTCCCTTCCTGCCTTCTGTATGGTCCTCCGCACTCCTGAAAACCCCAAAACCCAAGGACAGTTTCCTGGCCAATGGTCTAACAAGAGACCCTACTCTGGGCACAGTCACTCTCATAACACCTTCTTGCTATCCATACTCTATAACAGAAAACAAAAAGAGACACCAAGAAAATAACGTTAACATAATGAAATAAGGAGAGGAAATCTACAGAGGAAATCAGCCACAATGGCAAGCTGTTACCAAAAAATGAGAGACCAAAAAAGAGCAGACAGAATGGAAACCCAATTCAAACTGGCTTAAGCTCAAAAGTTCACGAAACAGAAAGACCTGCAAAATTGGCTACATGGGCTCAAACAGCCTTCAGGGCCTGAGAACTCTTCATCTCCTCTCTGATTTCCTCTGCCTTGGCTCCGCTCACAAACCTACGTTCCCCATCCAAGGCCTCCCCCAGATCCAGGATTATACCCTCCTAGCTTCCAGTCAAATGGGAAGAGAGCTTCTCTTTCCAACATCTCCTACGAAAAATGCAGAATTTCCTTTTATTAGCTAGGCTTTGGTCTCTTGTCTCCTGAAAGTCAATTATTGTGACTGAAAGGCAGCAATACATGGATTGGCCAGTTCTGATTGAAGTTACCTCCAGAGACAGAGGGATGAGTCAGATGACCAGAAACGCATAGACTTAGAATTTAGAGTTTGAGTACAGTCAGTTCCCTAAAGGATAAACCACTGTATTTTTACCAGAGTAAGTGTAGGTGGATGCTGGGGGAGGATAAACCCAACAGGTTTGTGCTAAAGAAGCTAATGGAGACCACTCCCAAGTGGACTTACATGGAGATCTCTGCCCCAACACTGAGTCACAACTGCGGCATTCAGGACACATGTCTCCACTACTCGCAGAAAGGGCTTTTGACTTGAACCATAGAAGACCACCTTATTTATTTATTTATTTATTTATTTATTTATTTATTTATTTGAGACTGGGTCTCACTCTGTTACCCAGGCTGGAGTGCCATGGTGCTCACTGGCTGGAGTGCCATGTGATCTTGGCTCACTGCAACCTCTGCCTCCCGGGTTCAAGAGATTCTCGTGCCTCAGCCTCCCAAGTAGCTGGGACAACAGTCACGCACCACAAAGCCCAGCTAATTTTTGTATTTTTAGTAGAGATGGGGTTTTTACCATGTAGGCCAGACTAGTCTTGAACTCCTGACTTTAAGTGATCTGCCTGCCTCAGCCTCCCAAAGTGCTGGGATTACAGGCGTGAGCCACCATGCCCAGCCTAGAAGACCACCTTTTTACAACTTCCAAAGTAATCATTCATCCATAAAATAATCACTAATAAATACGAAAACTACTATATATATATATAAAAAAAGAAGCTAACAGAGATGAGGGAGTCAAGAATAGATGCTAACTTATCAGCTCCTTTTGTGACTCAGAATACTTCTAACAACACAATCCTCTCCCTCCCATTGGGTGTCTTATCTACCACATGACCTTCATCATGAAGGTTCCCTTCTTACCCCATCTGCTCCCCAGCAAAATCAGGATGGGAGAGGTAGAAGGCAAGGCTGCTGTTGAACTCTCCATTAGCCAAACATCTCTGAATTCTCCAAGATCTTTTATCTTATTAGTCAGGCTCTCAATTACTTCAACTATTTTCTTTTATTTTCACAGGTCTGAAATAGGTCCAACATCATGGCTATTTTTCCAAGGACATAAATGTTACAAAAACGATCAAATATAGATCAATAGCTAGCCCTGTGTTGTCCTGATGGTTGACCATATGCTGTGGAATGAATGCATGTGTCCCTCCAAAATTCATATGTTGAAACTTAATCCCCAATATCTAATTCTCAATAAGATACTACTTGGAGGTAGAAAATTTGAAAGGTAATAGATCATGAACACAGAGCCCTCATGTATGGGATTAGTGCAATTATCAAAGAGACCCCAGACAGCTCTATTGCCCCTTCCACATGTGAAGACACAATAAGAAGACTGCTGTCTATGAACCAGGAAGACAGCCCTCATCAGACACCAAATCTGATGATGTCTTGATCTGGGACTTTCACCTTCCTGAATGATGGGAAATAAATGTTTGTTGTTTAAGCCACCCAGTCTGTAGTATTTTTGTTATAGCAGCCCGAATTAACTAAGACACACATCAAAAAGGACTACCTGTGTTGTAGATCCAGATCATCCTTCTTACCTACTTCTCCCACTGTTCAATTCTAAGTTTTGAAGCGTTCTCTAGAACCTTTCTTTCCCTCTCTTCCTTCCTTGCTTCTTTCCTCCCTCCCTTCCATCTTTCTGTCCTTCCTCAAAAACAGATTGAAATCTTACTATGGGCCAATCACTGAGGATATAACCATGAGGACCAAGGAGTTGATGCCTGACTGCCTGACCTTGCAGAGCTCACAGAGAGTGACATGGACAAATAAGCAGACAATTATAATACAGAGTGGTCAGTTCTAGCAGAGGAGTAGACATAGGCTGGCATGAATGACTATAAGGATAAGGGCCCTTCATTCAAACTGGGAAGTTCAGAGAAGGCACCCCAGTTACATTATATTGAAGCTGAGTTCTTAAAGATGAGAAGGAAATAGGCAAAGAAAATGTCCAAAGTGAGGAAGATGTCCCAGGTGGAGGGAGCTGTGAGGGCATGGCGGATTCAGAGGAATGCAAGTCCTTCAGTTTGGCTAGAATGGTGTGAGTGCAGCAGGAGAGGGGCGGGAGCAAAGGGGAGGGAAGAGATGAGGTGTCCAGATCTTAGACAAACCCATGCGTGTACTACCAGATCAAGTGAATGACTTGTTTTCCCACCTTCAGTGTTCTTTCCAGTCTTTTAATTTTATCAGTGAGAAAGGTTTATTTTAACAACTGTCAATTAAGCAATTATGCCAGTGGGCCAGTCTACCTCAGAAAACAATGTGTGCCACTTCGTACCTCTCTGATTGTTCTGGTTGTGCCATCTCCTCCTCTTTGTGGCCTGGCTACCTCCTTTCCTTGTCTTCACCACTGTTCTAAGTACCCTTCCTCCTTAATCCCCCCTATGCTGTGTTCCCACAGCAGCCAAGACAAACCTCCTTCATGGCATTTCTGCATCATGTTGAAATTCTGTCAGCCAGTGTGGCAGGCACCCTCTAAAATGACCCCAATGATCCCAGCCTCTTGGTATTCATGTCGTAGTAAAATTCCCTCTTCTTAAGTATCAGCTGAACCTAGCAACTCGCAAAAGTGGTGGGATGCCACTTTGGAGATTTGGTTATAAAAGGTGGTGGCCTCTGTCTCAGGCGCTCTCTGTTTCCTATCTCTTGAATCACCACCAACCATGTCATGAGGACACTCAAGCAGCCTACGAAAGGGCCCACATGGGAAGGCACTGTGTGAGTGGGCTTGGAAGCAGCTTCTCTAGCTCCAGTGGAGTCTTGGGAATAACGCAGCTTTGGCGGAAAGTTTGACTGCAACCTCCTGAGAGACCCTGAGTCAGAGGCACCCAGCTAAGCAGTTCCCAGGTTACTAGTCCACTGAAACTGTAGGATAATAAATGTTTGATGTTTGAAGCACTCAGTTTTAGGGTAACATTATGCAGCAACAGATAACAAACACAGCAAGTTTGTCTTCCCCACCAGACCCTGAGAGAGAACTGTCTTACTCATCTTGGGTGTCCCAGTGTCTGGCACTGTGACTGCCATAAAGTAGGTCTCTTATAACTCTGATGAAAGGAACAGAACCAAATTGCATTTTTCCTTGTAAACCCTGTCCTCCACATACATGCTGTGTGAATCCAGCCCCTTTTTTTTTCTTGGCCACAGAGAGAATTGGCTGGGTTCATTCCCATTACCACAAAGCCCTCAAGACACACTTGCTTTTGCCTGCTCCCCATAAAATGCCTCAGGTGATATACGGGCAGGAGGAAAAAGACCCTAACACATCTTTCAGACATTAAAGAGCAGAGATTCTTACCTCAGGTCCATGAGCACTGGTTTTAGGGGTGAGAGTACTACCTAGGGTTATATGCAAAAGTCTCCATGTTTGTACATGATTTTCAGGGAGAGGATTCACAACTTTACAAGTGCCTCAAAGAGATCATGATTAAAAGGGCTGAAAAGCCAGTGTTCCAGAGAGAGACAGAGGAAAGGAAAGAGATGCAATCTCTGATGAAAGATTTCTGTGTCTGACGGGGAGCCAAGGAATGAGGGTGATTCTGGTTGAGCTGGACTTGCATCATCTCACTTTCCCTGAAACCATTCCCAGCTAGGATTGAGATTCTAGAAAGTATACTAATGGATGATGTTTTTTTCTCTTCTTCTTCTTTCTTGTTCCTTCAATGGTGAAAAGAAGCCTTTTGCATGTTGATTGTATGCAATTAGTCCCTGCCTGTCTCTCAGCCCCATCCCCTCCCCAAGAGAATATTGAGCAATGTCCTGAGCAGGCGGGATGTGGATCTGGGCTGTGTCTGGCCTTCTCGGGAAGCAGGTGAACCTTGGCTTCATGTTCCCCTGTTTTTCTGTTCTCCCTTCTGAGCCTCCATCCTCTAAACATGTGTTTCCCTCCTCAGAACTGAGCCTGTGCCCCGTTCCTGTTATTCATTTTCATCCTTACCAAAGCATTAGTTAATAACTGAGGTGTTGGTTGTTATAGAAAGAAACTCATTGCATTTGACTGTCAGAGGAACTGATATTTCAATGCACTAGAGACTCCCAAATCAAACCACAAAGATGCCTGTTTATTCCTAAGGAGAAATGTATGTGCTAGCTGGGATCACAACAATAGGTCCTGACCTTCTGAGAATCACTTGGTCTCCCCTGGTCATTACATCTTTCTCTGTCAAGTAAGAGAACTGGATTAGATTTCCTCCAGTGTTCCTTCCAGTCTCAAAACTGATCAAAGGGTTGAAGGAGAATAAAAAAAGTTACTGAGAAGCAGACTTGGACTCAATGTTCAAATAAACTACCAGTAAGCAGAAATGTCCAAATACAGAATGGGAGGTAGTAAACACCCTCTCATGGAGATGTTGATTCAGAGGCCGGACAACCCATTGCAAAAGATATTATTAAAGGATATTAATCATTTATGTGTGTGTGTGTGTGTGNTNTGCACACACACATTCATTCATTCAACAAACACTTAGAGAGCCTCATGTATCTGCTAGGCACTGATGAGTCAGCATTGAAACATGACGTTGACAATTTCTGTCTTAGTAAATCTGCATTCTAGGATCAAGTAACATGCATGTATATACAGTGTAGGTATATACACAGTAGGAAGAGGTGGAGTCTCAGGCAAACTCGAGAGTATATGCCCTAACTAAAGGCATACAATGTTAAAATTATACCCATTTTGTGGGCCAGATAAGTCTGCAAGCTGAATTTGACATGGATCACAAAGTCGTGATCCATGGTCCAGATAATAATAAAGATTAATTGAGTGATCACTATGTGCCAGCCTGTTCTAGGTGCCTTACACATATTAAAACACTTATTCCTAGAATTAAAGCACTCTTATAGGGACAGTTATTTTCTCCATCTTATAGGTGAGAAAGCCATGGCAAAAAAGAGTTAAGTAAGGTGCCCAGGTCACCTGGCAAGCGGATCTGTGACTCCAAACCCACTTTTGAAACTCTATGTTGCCTCTACCTAGCTGATTCCTCTGGTTCTGAACTTTTTTGGTTATGCAGAATTGGTCTTATTTAATCAAATCAATGAAAGTGAGTGAGTTTTATTCATTTCTCTTTTACAACAACCTGCCTCGTACAGGTAAAAGTGAAGAATCAGACTTCATTTTAGGCTTGAACCAGAATGACTGCTGACATTTCATCCCAGCTACTCGGGAGGCTGAGACTGGAGAATCACTTGAACCTGGGAGGCAGAGGTTGCAGTGAGCTGAGATCATGCCACTGCACTCCAGCCTGGGCAACTGTATGAGACTCCGACTCAAAAAAAAAAAAAAATGTCTTCTCAAAAGTAGTAAGCCCCAGAAGATATCCGTGTCAGATTATGTCTGTCCCTGTGAAACAGCCAAAGACTGGGGTCAAGCAGGGAACAAATTATTTTCTCCTTTACATGTCAAGGGAGCAAGCATGTTATTCACCCTCTTACCTAACAAGCTTGTGCCTTGACCACAGAATGGTGAAATTTAAGAAGTGGAAGAGATCTAAACATCAAGTATAATACTTCTGCAGGTTCTTAATAGGATTTATAAGAAGGCAGTAGCTACATGGTCAAATAACTTCAGGAATTTCTGGGTTGAAAAAGAGTTAACCTAGTTTTGTTACATTTTAGCCTTCTTGGACTACTTACCTTATTTTTCATGGGACATCTCTTGGACTAGGAATGTTCTGGAGAATATATTTGGAAAACCTGGCCTGATCTTCCCATCTGATTTTCACACGTGAGGAATCTGAGGAGCTTGAGAAGATAAATGAGCCACTCAAGGTCACACAGCTGGTAAATAATAGTACTGATAAAAGGTCTTTGAGTTTTATGGTTGTGACAGCTTAGATATGAAAAGGGTCTTAAAGAACACCTAATTTAAGCAATTCACTTTGTTAGAAGAGGAAATACAACTCCAAAGAGGATAAGTTACTGTCCAAGGCTGTACAGGCAAAGTCTATATGGAGAATCTGATAGACTTTCTGGCTTCTCCTTGGAAGGAAACAAAGTGAAAATGAATTTAATTATGCTAGCCAGAAATGACTCTTAACCAATGTTTTCTAAGTATGCATAAGAACTTCTGCTAAATGCTATAAGACACTGACATGACAGACACTGAGATGCTGCTGTAGCCTCAGTAAGGTAGCAACTGGGAGGTGGCTGGTGACTTCACATTAGAACCACTGGGAGCTTTATCAATACTACTGATGACCTTGTCTGAGCCATACTCTACAGAAATGAAATCTATTGAGAAGTTGGAGGTGAGATGGGGCCCCAGTGTCTGTACTTTTCAAAAACTGCCTGGGTGATTCTAGTGCAGCCAGAGTGGAGAACCACTAGCCTAGAGCAAAACAAGATCCGGAGTCAGAGAGAAGAGAAAAAGATGGCAGCAGAGGCCTCAGGCCAAGGGGTGCCCAGATCACCAGCAGAGAGGAGGCAGTGGTGCTTATCTCCTTATTATGCGCACACACACACACACACACACACACACACACACACTCCTTTCATCTGTCTCCTCTATGGCTACAAGGGGAGAAATCCCTTGGTGGGAATAAGACCAGCATTAAGAAGAGATGGATAAAAAGATCATTGGCCAGCCCAGCCTTGGGCCTAGCTAAATCTTACCAGCATAGATTTGTAAAAAATTCTGTCAGCATGGCCCTGTGACTTTTTCTGAAATGCTCCCATACTCTGTGCTTGGAAGCAGAAAGAGTAGGCCTGTGGGTTATTTAGAGCTTTGGGCAGGCAGGATGGATACAAGCCTTCTTGCTAGCAGCAGAATTGACAGGTGAGAGAAGCTGGTTGATAGATTCCATGCAGATTGTCCTTGTTTCACAATTTCAGTGAACCAGTGATGACTATAAGGAGTAGACTCCACTGTGAGGGGGCACACCTTATTCTACCTGGAGTGAATTCCCTGCCCAGGATAGTGGTGCTTCACTCTGCCCATATCTATGCTTCTTAGATTCCTTTCAAATCTCCCTTAACATCATTTGGAAATAATTTGTATTTTCATTTTGGCTAAATTTTAGACATACAACCATCCCTCCAATTATTTCTGTAATAATGTCCTTCCTGTGCCTAGCGGAACTGCCAAATCCGGCCACAGCACAGCTGATTATGAACTTGTGACTCAGTGGCCGACATTTGAAGACAACCTTTAACTCCAATAAGAAGCCAGCAGCCAGCATCTTCTAGCAATTACTGTAATTTATGTATTCAAAAAACGAAACGGCAATGTTCAGGTTTCTCTAAGAGATTCTTGCCTTAACCACATGAGGACTGAGTCTCGTTTGTAGAAAAATGAGACTAGCTTCTTGTCCTTCACCTCTGACCACGGGGAGTCTCAGAATGAAGTGCTATCTGAGATTAAATTGTGGCTTTCTTTTGTTTAATTTTTAAAATTTTACTATCCCCCGCTCCAGCTGGAAACCGAGAGTTAGTATGCACAGTCTGCTTTCCAACTGAACTGCCTAATCCTCTATGACTCAGCTGTCCAGAGCCACAGCTGGCTTGGCATTGATTTTAAAAGCCTCTCTTTTCTGTCTCTGTCTCTCTCTCTCTCTCTCTCTCTCTCTCTCTCTCTCTCTCTCTCTCTCTCTCTCGTTGTTCTCTCTCCTTTCTGCTTTCCACTCTAAAGTCCCCTCCCCCTCTCCCTACCCCAAGCCAGTTCCACAGTGAATTGATTGCCAGATCTTTCCAATTGGCCATAAGCAGTGCCAGAGGGAAACTCCTAGTTCTCTGGCTACAGGCTTGGGCTGGGGAAGCAGCTCATAAGGTCAGTGTCCCAAACTCAAGCAGACAGCAGTACAAATAAACAGCCATGGGGAGACAGACACGGAGTCAGGAAAATCCCCTACATGACTAGACTATCAGTTTCAGCAATGCCGTGACTGGGAACATCAGGTTCAAGCCCATGACACTGAGGCCAAAGGGTTTGCCTTGGAATAAGCATTGTTCTCAAGCCCATTTCTCTCTAGCCAGAGGCCATATTTTGTTAAAGAAAAAAAATTCACCTGAAGGATGACTGGGAGTCAAAATTAAATAATTATAAAAAATGATACATTTTCAGGATTTGAGTTAATTGAGGTAGAAGGACAATCTAAATTAGTTAAGAACCTGAATTATGGAAGTTCTTGAAAGACAAGTGCCAGTGGGGAAGGGTCCTCTTGGTAGTGTTCTAGAAGAAAATTTGGTATTTGAAACCACACATGTCCATTTAAATGGACAAGAACCATGAGGTTCTTACCAGAGGCAGATTTATCATGAAACTAGTGAGGTTTATATTTCAAGACTCCCCTCTTAGATAGACACAGCTAAGGGGCACTAACATTGTGTTTACATGGTTATATGTTGTAAAATTTGCAAAAGTAAAATGTTTTAATATTCTTTTACTTAAAAAGGGATCCCCAACTTATACAAGCTTCAGACCCCTTGAATCCTGAACCCATATCAATTGGGAAAGGCATTTGGGGATAGATGGGGTGAGTGAAGGGGATTGCCTTTGGGGTCCACTTTTGTTCTTGTTTATTCGGATGAAAGGAGGAGGTACCCTAGTGTGGGGTCCAGCTTTTAATTCTCATTGGTGACTTAGGGCTCCCCTTCGTCCAGGCAGCCTCCCTCTTGCCCCTCAGAACAATCTAATGTGACCCTACAGACACCTCCTGTGATCATGGTTCTTATTTTAGAAGTAAATGTGAGCATACATGTGCCCAGCATAAAGAAAGCATTCTATAAAATGCTAGCTATGGTGGACAATTTTCCGTGCTCATAATGGTACTCCCTTTCTTTTGGGCATTTCTAGTGCAACTCACATCCTTGGCCATGACAATCATCTATGGTTGAATGTGTGACTCAAATCAGGCCTTTTAGAGTCTTTCCCCAGGTTATTCAACTGCAGCATGGGAAAGAGGGTCTCTTTTCTCTGTTCCCAAGGCTGTAAAGGCTATGAACCTATGGCTGGTAGCTGACAGGGATCCAGCCTTGTGGGAAAGCTGGTGTGCGAATGAATTCTAGAGAAAGTCAGTAGCCCTCCAGTGCCTGATTTCAGCACCCCATCCCATTTTCCTGTGGGTTTATAAGCCCACACAATTCCCCTTTCTTCTCAAGAAGGTTGCTGTCTCTTGTAACCTAACTTATCCTAATCCATTTTTAATCTGGAGTCACATGGTCATGAAAAAAATTCTTCCAGCTCTCTGTTTCTCTTCTATTGCAACGAAGTTTCCTGTTGAGCATACTCCCTGTACAATCATCTCCTACAGTGAAATTTCAATCGCTTTTATCAACACTCCTGACATCAGTGAATTACTAAACATCTTTCACTTTTGCAACTCAAACTATAGCACAAGTACCTATTGGGTCCAAGGCAACTGGCTCCCATCTGGACCAGGTAAACTACCTGGAATCTGACTGTGCTTCTACTGCAAAGTAAACAAAGGTACAACATCTCCAGGATCTATTACTGAAAAGTGTGAGGAACTGGTAGGTTGACCAATGATGGCCATAACTTCTGGAATATATTAGGCACTATGTATATGCTGGATTTAAGATTATCTGAGAGCTCAAAGCACATTTTTACGATCACAAGAGTTAAAACATAGACCTGGCTGTGTTGGGTGTAATAATTTTGGTCTCACTGACATTACTCCCTAAGAGATGACTGGCCCTATTAGGGACACCTTGGGATAGTCATTTCCTGTATGTATAGGGCTTTATGGCTAGAGGGCCTCTTAGCACCTGACGACTCTAATTTTGACCCAATAAGATGCAGTGTTTACAATGCATAAATGTATACCGCAGCTCAAATTGATGTAATCAACACTCTAATTAGTGTTGCTGAGAATAGGATCTTTCAATTAAACAGTTAAGAATGACTAGTAACTACTTCACAAATAATATTTGTAGTTGATTTATTAAATAATACTATTAAAGACTTAAAAACAGTCCTTTTCATAAGTGAGTTACCTACTCAATAACCCAACTATATTCAACTTGAAACCCAATTTTCATGAAAGTTTACTATCCAAGTTTTCATAAATTATATGCTAGAAAAATCCAAATTATAGGGCAAGTGGCAAATGGTAAGTTACCCTGAATAGAGTGTTGGGCTGGAATTCGGAAGTCCTAAGTTCTTGTCTTAACTCTGTCCCTAAATTACTGCAATTACTCTGAGCCTCAGTTTCTGCATCTGTAAAATGATAGGGCTGGACCATATCATAACTACAATTTATTGAGCTATTACTATGTGCAAGGACTTGTATGTGGAGCTTCATGTACATTATTTTATTATGCCACCATTTATTTCTTCCATTAGTTATTTTAGTACATGGTACTTTTTATGCTTTACTCTGTACAGAGCAGAAAACTGAGGCTCACAGAGACTAAGAAACTTTCCCAAGATCACACAGCTAGTAGGTGGCAGAGTAGAGATTCAAACTGGGTTAAACTAGGTTCAGAGCCCACACACTTAACTACTACTTGATTCTGTTATTTTTGGAGGATCTCAAGATTCTTCCAGCTACAACGTAATTTTCTTACATTTCTAAGTAGCAATCCATTTCAGGATTAATAGGGTTTCATTATTATCTTAGTATATTTGGACTGGTTTGTGACAGTTAATTTCCAGTTAATCCAATTACGATAAAAATGTGAGCTGAGACCCACAAATTTAATTATAACCAACTCAGAACTAATTTTCAGTAAAATTAAGAAATACCAGTCAGGAAAATACCAATGGCTGTTAGATTCTATAACTTATTCTGCAGCTTATTTTGACTACATTTTAGGAACAAACCCCATTTAGAAGATGAACTCTGTCCTGAAGGGGAAATTAACCACTCTTGACTCTTTCCCCATTAGTAAAATCCTAAAACAAATACGGATCTTTCCCGCTGGTTTCCAATCCCTTTACTCCACCCCAGTCACTACAAACACAGTCTGTCGGTGTGGTCTGACTGGTTGTTGTTGGTGGCAGTGACTTTAATCCTACCCCACCTCCTCCAAGAGGGAGCTTAGATGCCAAGGGTTTAGCTCTTGGAGTATTTCTCATGCTGTTTGAGGAACTGAGTGTTGGAGCTATAAAGAAATATAATATGTGGCCCATTGCCTTATAGATATCCCAACAGTGAGGGCACAAATGAAGCAGATAAAAACGCAGAAAACAGTAGAATAAAGGGTATGTTAAGAGCTCGGCTTCTATGGTAGACGTAGGGGAAGAAGCTATGATTGAGGGCTGGGTGGGAAAGAGAAAGAGAGAGATTGAGTTGAGGTATAGACAAGACTTGGATTGGCTGGGGAGAATGGGAAGGGGAAGGAGAGGAGGGGAATTCTGGGCAAGAATACCAGGATAGGGAACAAGGAAGGAATGAATGCAGTGTGCTATAGCACTGTGAAGAGAACTTCTGTGCTAGCAGACTTCTAACCAAAACCTCTAGTTAACAACTAGAAAATTCTGTCAGAAAAGGTCTTCACAGGCAAGGACTTCATCTCTTTCGCTTATCACCATGTCCTTGGTGTCTATAAAAATACTTAATACAGAGTAGGTAGCCAACACATATAATTCAATGCCTAAATGTTGTATTTCATGTAGACCTGTGGCTCTCAAAGTGTCGTCCCTGGACCAGCATTATCGACATCATGTGGGAACTTGCTAGAAATAAAAATTCTCAGGCCCCACTCCAGACCTACTGAATCAGAAACTCTAGAATTGGGCCCCGGAGTCCATAGTTTAACAAACTCTCCAGGTGATTCTGATGCACATTGAATTTATAAACCACACCGAGTGCTGTGGCTCGCATCTGTAATCCCAGCATTTTGGGAGGCCAAGGCGGATCACTAGAGGTCAGGAGTTTGAGACTAGCCTGGCCAACATGGTGAAAACCCATCTCTACTAAAAATAGAAAAATTAGCCAGGTGTGGTGGCACATGCCTATAGTCCCAGATTCTTGGGAGGCTGAGGTGGAAGGATCACCTGAGCCTGGGGAAGTTGAGGCTGCAGTGAACCATGATTGTGCCACTGCATTCCAGCCTGTATGACAAAGAGAGATCCGGCCTCAAAAACAAACAACAAGCAAACAACAACAACAAAAAAGTATGAACCTTGGATGTAGACCAAAGCCTGATTATGGCAATTTTCTTCCTGCCTCCAAAAGCTGTGATACTCTTCCTAGAGTGCTCTAAAAGGGAGAATAGGAATATTTATTCTTTAAATGCTGGCAAGTAACATCTGAAACACTTAAGCGCTGGTAGTGACATCTTTGCATTTTAAAGAACACAGTTGTCTAAATCCAAATAAGTAAAACTAGATTTATCCATTCATCAGGACTTAGAGTGTCTCTCACAGCAAGAGGAGGACCCCAGCCTCTGGGAAGATAATACTACCAAAAAACCAAAAGTGAATTTAAAAATATGAATTAAATGATGAAGTACTAGTTTAAGATGGCTGACTGACCCAAGCATTTTCCCTTCTAAAAGTCCAATAAAATAATAATAAAAGAACAACTCATAAGAGCAAAGAGAATGGAAAGGACACTAGAACCATTTCAATTAATGCCTGAAAAGTGGAAGAGAACAGAAAACGGTGGGACCTTCTTGGAACAACTTGAAGGAATGAGTGTTGCTGTTAGTAAATGCCTGATGCAGATTCCTGAGGAGCTGAGGCCTTAAGAGTAGCAAGTCTCCCTCTATTCCTGAAGTAAATAAGTGTTCTCCACGATATTTCATAAAACCAGAGAACTGGGCCTGGCGTGGTGGCTCACGCCTGTAATCCCAGCCCTTTGGGAGGCCAAGGTGGGTGGATGACCTGCAGTCAGGAGTTCAAGACCAGCCTGACCAACATGGTGAAACCCCGTCTCTACTAAAAAAAAAAACGCAAAAATTAGCTGGGTGTGGTGGCACACACCTGTAGTCCCAACTACTTGGGAGGCTGAGGAACGAGAATCGCTTTAAACCTGGAAGTGGAGGTTGCAGTGAGCCAAGAAAAACCTAGAGAACTGAAAGAGACATTGAAAATTGAAATTCTAAACTCCATATTGACCAAATAAGGAAACTGAGGCATAAGGAAGTTAACAGATGATTATCCCTGGTAACATACTGGTTACTAACAAACCTAAGAATCCACCGATCTTTCTCTGAGAGTGCCTTCTATCATATCCCATTGCCTATCTCAATTCACCAGGATTGCCAAAGCCTTCCATGATGAAGTGCCACATCACATGGATCTCTATCACACTGTTTCGTGAGATGTAGACAAGAATACTGAACTAGGTCATAACACTCATACGCCCCAGCTCTGAGCACATGTGATGTTGATCCATTAATCTGTATTGTGTTTGTGGTGGGATCTACAGTGTGTTGGGGGTGGGGCAAATGGAGATGAGGTTGTTAATTTGCATTTTCAAGTCTTTCTTTTTCATTTTAAAAATTATGTATGCTCATTAAATAAATTATCCCAGTAACTGTAGAGTATTATTTGATGTTTAAACATCCCTTGGAACTCACTACTATTCGTGCTTTGTTTAATATTCTATTTAATAGTCTTATGAATTTATCAAACAATCAGCATTTCTTTAATCATTAAACAATTAACATTCCTTTAAATATTTGTGCAAACCTTACAACTAAAAAAAATTAAAATATGGATCCATCAAATAAAAATTTCCCAAATATTTAAATATTGATTGCTAATGTAAATACTTCTAAATATTTTATTAAAACCACAATTTTACCATAACAAATTATCTTTAGCATTTAAACACTTAAAAAGAAGACACACAAATACACACTATTAAAGTGATGAAAAGCTGATTTGTACCCTGAAACTGAAACTAGTTCCCTAAATGTTAATGCCATAGACTTAAGTACCAGTAAGTTATTTACATTTCTTCTCAGGCTTGCCTTCCTTAAATGTCTGTAATTTCAGTATTCTTATACCTCATTAGACTGAAGGAAAAGGACCAGTCTCAAAAAGTGACAGTTATGGTACCTGGGTAATGAATGGATTGACATTTGATCTGCTGCAGTATCTAAGGTAGTCTTCATTTTCTCCTTTTTATGATAAAGTTTCATTTGTTACATCATGGCAGTTTTAACTTTCTGTCTTTCACACAGATTTAAATATTACAAACCTAGTGCTTTTCCAAAAATGATTTATTCTTTAGTTGGGCACAGCTGGTAGTAGCTAACACATTGACTTGCCATTTTGATACATTGATTCTGCCTATTAGCATTATGAAACAGTAATATAAATCTTACTGGTATTTTATTTAAAATGAAACTTATTGGTATTTTATGAAACCTAAGAGGGCTATCTAGAGCAGAACTTTGCAACCGGCATAATATGTAATTGCCCATTCCTATGTGTGAATGACACGGTGCCACCATATAGATCCCTTCTGCCCTGAGCTGCTTGGAGCCTGGAGTGTTCAGGAAATGTGGAAGAGGGGAGAGAGAGAAGGGGACATCAAAAGCAGCCTTATAGTGTGTCATGAATTAATGTTTTGTTGGATAAATATCATCATTTTCTCTGTGTGCCATGAAATGAAAGGTTTGGGAAGCACTGGTCAGGAGGATTCACCTCCAAAAGGGGAGACTGAGTCTGCCTAGTTGTTTCTCTTCTGTAGGACATAAGGCTTACTTGTCCTTTTGGAACACACTGTGGCATGTCCCTTCTACTTGATTATTTTGTGTGACCCCTCCTGATGGACTGCAGGACCCTGTTTTGCCAGTTTTAATTGGTGTTTCTTATTCTTCTTATAGTACATACCTATTTTCCTCAGAATTGCATACAATTCTATTTATTCTTTCCTCCTGAAACAGAAAATAACAGGTAGTGAACTGTAAATTATGGATTATTTCTTATTAAGAAGAGAAGCAAAATATTTGTATTTAATTATATACCCTTAATTTATAAAACCAAAAAGAAATTAAAACAGCCTATCATATTAACCCTCTTTGTATTACAATGATGTTTTGTTTTTATACACTTTATATCAACTTTACCTTTTTTGTGTCACTAGAAACTAATAATTTTTCCTAGAGAGTTGCAACTTACTTTGATGAAACATTGTGTTACTCATTTTATCTTATCTATTTTGTTGAGTTCAACCTAGTTAAGGGAAGCCTCTTTAAGTTGTCTCTTTTGCCTTTTGAACATTGCCTCTGTCATTTTATAAAAAGATGCATGCTGTCTCAGACTCATCCTGACATTTCCCTGACCCCACGACGTGGAATCAACTACCTTTTAAAGGCTCTTGGTGCCCTTTAGTGCAGAAAGTGAGAGAGAGTTTACATAGAATGTTGAACTTTAGTGTAGTATGTTTCTAAATGCTACTTTTCGTAGAGTATGTGGCTTTATCAATCCCTAATATTCCTTTCCACATTGACAAAAGCAGCAACAACAACAACATCCTATGATCCCATTATCCCCACCACCACCAAAAATTGATATTGTTTGTAGGTCCTGCAGGCTTTTTTTCTCGAACAAACCTTTGACTTAGTATGTTCATCTTTTAAATAGGGACGATTCTTCAATATAACAGGTAGTTGACAGGATTAAAGGAAATTTAAAAAGACCCTGAAAATGAAAACTATTTTTATTTTCTACTCCTACTGTATTCTACTCATACATGATCCTCTCAAGATTCCTAGGACACCCCTATGCTTCTCTATTTCCTTATCTTTGTTCTCCTGCTAACATGGCTTTTTAAAAATGTGTACCAGGCTTAGCTTAAAAGCAGCTTCCTTTGGGAGCAGTCTGAGGTGTTCAGGCAGAATGAGTCCTTTCTTTGCCGTGTTTCAGGAGTACCCCAGTGATTCTGCTTTTAAAATCATTGATTATGTGTATTTATTCACATGTCCATCTCTCCTAATAAGGTAAGTTTGTGGAGGGCAGAGATCATATTTTGTTCATCTTTAAATACAAAGAGCTGCACATACTACCTTGTGTGAAGTAAACAAGAGATGTTTACTGAATTGATTGTTGATTGGGTTAAATCACTCATTGATTGGGTTAGGTCACTGATTTTCTATTATCGTGCAATTAAACAAACCCAAAGAGTTATTGACAGGGAGGATGAATAATTATTTCTAACACTAGAATTACTCTGATATGATCAGGCTCCTAAAATTGAAGTGTATGCTTCTTAAACTGTGGAATGGAATCACCTAAGACAGGGATCCCCAACCCCTGGGCCATGGACCGGCACTGGTCTGTGGCCTGTTAGGAACCGGGCCGCACAGCAGGAGGTGAGTGGTGGGTGAGCTAGCATTACCACCTGAGCTCTGCCTCCTGTCATATCAGCGGCGGCATTAGATTTCCATAGGAGCTGGAACCCTATTGTGAACTGCTCGTGGGAGGGATCTGAGTTGTACCCTCCTTATGAGAATCTAACTAATGCCTGATGATCTGAGGTGAGATGTAACAGTTTCATCTTGAAACCATCTCCACTCCAACCCCCGTCCATGGGAAAAGTGTCTTCCGCAAAACCAGTCCCTGATGTCAAAAAGGTTGGGGACTGCTGACCTAAGAGACTTGTGAAAAATGCAGGTACCAGACTCCACCCTAGACCTAGTAGCCTGAATCTCTGGTGACAAGGCAGGCAATCTGCAGTTTTGACATTTTCTCAGGTGACTATTATACCCATCAATGTTTCAGAACCACTGCCTTGGGAAATCCTGGCTCTTACCACACCCAATGCAGAGATCAATCCTAATTCAGAGGTCCATGACCTTATGATAAGGTGTTTCTGATGCGAGGGTAGATACATCTCCCAGGATGAGAACCAAGGTGGGCATGATAAAGCTAGGAAGGAGGTCCTTTTTAATTCCTAGTACTATCTCATACTGACTAGTGAGCTTTTAGAATAAACCACTCATGGACCAATGATTCTGTCCATGCAACTGTTGTTTACTGACATGGATGTGGGCTTTGGCACCAGAGTGGGTGGATTTGATTTGGCTCCCAGAATTATCACATGCTGGCTGTATGACCAGACGCAGGTGAATAAGGGTCTCTGAGTTTCCATTTTTGTTTTCTCTAAAATGAAGATGTAAGAACCCCTTTCACTCACAAGATTATGGTAAAAACTGTGAGAGGCAATGACATATGTAAAAATGTTTTATTAAACCTCAAAATGGTCTCTGTTAATTATTTTCAGTGCATAGACCAACTTAAAAGGTTCACTTCTAGATCATGTGTTTGACAGCTCCCAGCTACTCATGGCTGATAAAGTGGACCCTGAGTGTCAACTTCACCATAGACACAAATGACATCTATGATGTGACTGGGGACAGACCCTGTTACTAGTCATGGAGCACGGTATGAGTAATCACTTGGTCCCTCAGGTGTTCAGCCATAAAATTAGAGTTGAGTTGTCCATTTACGTAGATGAAAATGCGCCATACAGCCCATGCCATGGATAACTATCATGTCCATGTAAGTCACTAACATTGCTCTGCTTTGAAGAGTATTAGAGCTCCTCTTTTGCTAAATGCCAGGGAAAATGTATCATTCAGTTCAGAAGTGGATATTGGGCACTTACGATATGTAAGGAGCTATATGGCTCAGAATAAACACTTTGAAAATTGAAATAAAGAAGGACATCTCATCTGTTGAATTAGAACTGACCATTTGTGATGGCTCAGATGCCGCCTTCTGCTGCAGAACGAGCTAAGGAACTACATTTTGCCTCACTTAGTCACCTTCGTTATTCCTTTCTGCAGGCTCCAGAGTCCCCAGAATTGCACCTGCACAGATAGCCACTCAATATTTGTTGAATTGAATGTATACTTCTTATCCAAAAGATCTTCATCTAAGACACCTTACACTGGTGAATGTGGTGGTTATAATGTAATACTTCTCTTTAAAACTCCAAGTTCCACAGATAGCTTAGACAGAATCTCTTATTTGGATGGGTCCTTGACAATCTAGCATTTTCCAAAATGCATTCCATGGAACACTAATCCTGTGAGATACTCCTTGAAAGGGAGGGTTCCATTGTCAAATAACTTTAGGAAACATTGCCCACCTCCTCTTGGGAGGTCTCAATGCAAAATGGCATATTAAAGCCTCTGAGAAGTCCTGCAGCAATCCCGTATTTTGTTTTTATTTTGAGAACCTGTTTTTAAAATTAATTGTTTTTAATTGACAAATAAAAATTACATATATTTATCATGTCCAACATGTGTTTTGAAATATGTGTAGTTTGTGAAATGGCTAAATTAGGCTAATTAACATATGCATTACCTCACATATTTATCATTTTTCTGTGGTTGTGAGAACTCTTAAAATGTACTCTCAGCAATTTTCAAGAACACAATACATTGTTGTAAACTATACTTGCCATGTTGAATGTTAGATCTCTTGAACCTGTTCCTTCTGTCTCACTGAAATGTTGATCCTTTGACCATCTCCCCAGTCTCCCCTTCCTTACCAGTTGCTGGTCACCTCTATTTGCTCTCTGCTTTTACGAGTTCGACTTCTTTAGATTCCACAAGAAAGTGGTATCGTGTGGTATCTGCCTTTCTGTGCCTGGCTTATTTCACCTAATATAATGTCCTCCAGGTTTGACAGCATGATAATATGTGACACAATTGGGTAAATTTTGCTCTTTCTTGTTATGTCAGCTTCCTACACCTCTGCTGGTGTGACACAGGCTGTGCCTCCTGTAAGGCAGCCATCCCCTTTTAGGCTTTTAGTTGCCACTTTCTGCCTGTGACATGTTTGTCTCTAGACAAACCTAACTCCCTGACTAATCTCATGGTGATACTGTGGCCTCTGGTTGCCCTTCAAGGTAAACATTAAAGGCATTTTTTTTTCTACAAATTAACTCATTTTTGAGTAGTCAATAAGTTCTAATGTTTCAAACATCAAGAGGTAAGAAAAGGTGTTCAAAGAGAAGTTTCCTTCCCACCTACCCCAGGTGTTCAGTTCCCACTTTTTATCACCAACACCACTAGAAGTAATTACTGCTTTTAATTTCTTCTTTAACCTTCCAGGCTTAGGCATATCCGTGCTGATATATATCACACACACATAAGTGGTGTCCATTCTCATTTACAGAAATAGTGCTTATTATATACATTTTTTTAAGAACAATAATTGTCATCGGCCTAAAAGATGTAAATTTCACAAAATTAGATTCTATTTCCTTAATTTCCTCATATGCAGAAATGAATAAAGATTTAAAAATATGTTTGTGGAAGGCTTTGAGCTTTGAGGTCTTGCATTTGGCAAACCAAGGTCTCCTATAGGACGAGAGGCCCCCAGCAGGACTAGTGGTATGTGTCAAGTTCTTGGATGAGCAAACCAAAGCACAAGGCCTCCTTTCAACCTTGCCATGGTAGAGGCATGGAGAGACCTCTGTGACTCCTCAATGCTTCACTGCTGATATGAAATATGCATTCTGCAAAAGCAAGCTTTAAACATAAAATAAGCCAGGTGCAGTGGCTCAGCACTGTAATCTCAGCACTTTGGGAGGAGGTCAGGAGTTTCAGACCAGCCTGGACAACATAGCAAGACCCCATTTCTAAAAAAAAAAAATTAAGAAATTGGCCACATGCAGTGGTGCACACCTGTAGTCCCAGCTACTTGGGAGGCTGAGGTGGAAGAATTGCTTGAGTCTGGGAGTTCAAGGCTGCAGTGATGGCACCATTGCACACCAGCGTGGTGGATGACAGAGCCACGAGACTCTGACTCTAAAAAAAAAACAAAAAAACCGGCTGGGCATGGTGGGCTCATGTCTGTAATCCCAGCAGTTTGGGAGGATGAGGCCGGTGGATCACTTGAGGTCAAGACTTCGAGACCAGCCTGGCCAACATGGTGAAACCCCGTCTCTACTAAAAATACAAAAGTTAGCCGTGCGCGATGGCAGGCACCTGTAATCCCAGCTACACAGGAGGCTGAGGCAGGAGAATCACTTGAACCTGGAAGGCGGAGGTTGCAGTAAGCAGAGATGGGCCATAGAGTGAGACTGAATCAAGAAGAACCCAAAAAACAAAAAAACCCCAAAACCCATACAATACAAAAGCATATTTGCCAAATAGAAAATGTCAGTGTCATTAGAAAGCTAATAAGTAGGAGCCTAGGGAGAGGGAAAAGATAGCTACAGATGTCGCACTGAGTGAAACTTTCTCAGCAACTGCTGCTTTTTTTCAATTTTAATACCACGGAAGCAGAGACTTTGACCTATCGTCAAGGCAGGATTGCAGAATGGTTCCGGGGATTTAAAGTCAGTCAGGATTGTTTTCATGTCTCAACTGTGCCACTTACTTTTTGTGTGCCCTTGGGCAAGTTACCTAATCTCTCTGTGCCTCAGTCTCATCAACTGTAAAACGGAAGCAATAGGAATACCTACCTCACTGGACTATTGTGAAGGTTATGGGAGATGGTGCTTATAAGGAGCCTAGCCAAGAACTTGACTCACATGGGTTAATATGTACTGAACAGAGGTAATTTTTAAGGGGATTTTGTTAGCCCATGCAAGTAACAATTCATTCGCTTGAAAGTTCAGACCGAGAGCAGATTGTTGAGTTTTTGGTTGTTGTTGATATTTGAGCTCTTCTTTTGCTACTGCCTTAGAAGGTCCTAATTCATCCAGTATATTTGGAGCTAATTGTATTCATTGCTAAACAACAATTTCAGTTCCAATGGGTGACAGAATCAAATTCTTTCACATTATCTTAGTCCCTGGAAATGGGTTAGTGGACCAGAGTCATCTTGTTAATTCGCAGAAATGGCCGAGAGAGGGATCCATTCCAAATCTTATCCATTAACTCCATGGAAACCGGACTGAATCCATGTTCTTTACATAGAGTGGAAATGATACTTGGGAAGTTCCACAGTCTGAAATCCAGCTCTATAATAAGAACCATGTTGCTGATGTCAGCAGCTAGGAAGCTGCAGGGTATTGAAAGTCTTTGGGACTCCAGCATCCACTCATATTTATAGCAATGTTGCTTTTTTACCCTTGAAATGACACATCGTCTTAGAATTTTAAAGAGTGTTTCAAATCTGAGCTGGCTGAGCCCATTTGCAAGCCCATGGAGGAGCTGTGCTATTGAAGAAGTAGCTGTCACCTTACAAATGAGGAATAGAGTTACATCAGAAACTACTCATCCACAAATTTCTTTAGAAGTAGGATCTTCAGACAGTTCTCAGACACTGGAGGAAGTCTAAGTCTTTGGAACCCACCACAGTATAAGTGAAGGAGACAAATTCTTTCACGTGTGGCCAGTGAAATAACAGCTAACTGAACTTGACAACATTTCAAAACATTCCCAGGAAATATGCAAGATATGGATGAGTAGCTACTAAATGTAGGTATACATGTCTCATTTTACATCCTTTGAGATAAATAGTATGAAAAAATAGTACTTAATATCTTTTTGGATGATTCTGTTCTGGAATCACCTAAATGACATGAAAATTGTCATCTGTTATGAATGAGAATAATAACCTCACGAAGTAATTTTTATCCTAAATTCAGATTCTGTCTGCTTTTCCCTCCCCTCTCTTTCCACATGCTGTAATGGGATAAATGATGTTTTCAATTAGGGAGGGATGGGAAAAATTAAGAAGCTTTAGGAAAAGTATATCCTGAATTTCCAAAAGCTGTCTAGGTCAGTCGAGAGTCTAGTCAGAAAGTGTATTCATCCTGCCTGGATATTTCCATTGACGGCGGAAGCGAGGCAGGGACAGCTGAAGATGATTACACTTGTGACCCTTTCCCAGGGAGATCCTAAAGTTGAAGGTACTTTGGAGGCTCGCAGCTTGTTACCATTTTGCCTTTATTTCTCTGTGTAAGCAGTCATGCTGAATGAATTTGTGATGCACTTAATAAACACTTGGGGGAATGATTTCTTGCTTCCTCGAGCCATGTTTTTAAATCTGGTCTACACCACCCTTCAAAATATGAAAGAAAAAAATATCCTTCATAAACCAAATGACTGTTTTTCTCAACATGGGTGAAGATTGTTTTCATTCTGTATGTGTTATGGAAAAGAATATGCAGGAGCAGGATGGCCACTAAATTCGGAGTCAGCCCTACCTGTAGGTGAGTGGGGGGTGGTTTGAGAAGTATAATAAAGTCTAGAAATGTAAGGTCATATTATTCCTTCTCTGTTTGGTGAGCCCATCAGACTCCATAATAGTCCTCGACTGGTGTCCCAAGAACACTGCTCCACAACTGAGAAAATACACTATCCAATCTCCTCAAGACTTGCTCAACTTAGACATGCATTCTTTCTCTTTCAAAACTTGTTGTGTAAAACTATATAATGACTGCATACTCTCTCTTACAAAAAACAAAACAGGGAACTTATATTCTGCTTATATTGAAGCTGAATGATTTGCTTCTCCCAGTCAGCTGAGCTCCTTCACTCAGGTGGGCTTCAGCCAACTTGGCCTGTATGCTCTTCAGGTGAAATGCCCAGATGGCTCAAATAACCAGCTTCAACCAGTTATCCCATGGTTTTGCATGCAGAGGCTTCACCTTAAGTAAATCCTATAGCATATTAGTTATAAAATTTTATTGATTTTTAGCAGAAAAATTTCTGAGAACACAATTTTAGTTTTCATAGAAGGGCAATGTGCAATGTTTTCCCAATGTTCTGTGTAATGCAGCTTAATCTAGATTATTCTGTTGACAGAGTATATTGTATGTAAAAGGAAGATAGGTTCAAGTTCAAGTTCAGAGTTGTTGGTTTTACAGTAGTATTCTATTATGTATTTATATGCTTCTAAATATCACTAATCTTAGAGCAAACCAATTGTTTAAGGATACTATAGCATTGCCAAATAGCCAAACAATGTTTCACTATCGGCTATAGCATCTGAACTTTCCTCCAGAAATTCACATACTTATTTTACTTAAGACAATGAGAAGGAAAAATTAGAATGTTCCAAAATCATAAGACTCCTTTTGTGGGGAATGCATTGCTGACTGTGTCTGCAATAAGACATTTGCAGACCTGGCTTTCCTGTGAAGGGAATTTTATTGGCTTCACAGATACCTGTGTCAGTGCTGCAGGAGAACATCATACAACATGCATGCTTCATGTGGCCATTTAAGCTTTATTTAAATAATCACAGTGAGGTGTTTTCAATTTAGCAACTGTAAAATGTATTACATATTTCCAGTTAGATAGGTTTTGGTTTTGAAAGATGCTTAATTCGTCTCCTAGAACTTATCACTTTAGGCTTTGCTTTCCTTTATCTCTCTTCTATTACTAAGAACTCTTTTATTTCCTTCTATCTGGGATCTTTTTTCTCCTATTACGGCTTTCCCTTTTACCTCCCTGTTAGCCTAGTTGTTCACTAGAATATTCCTCCAGTGTAGTTTTGTCCTAGTTGTACAGTATAGAGTAGCAGGGATGGTGGTGATATTAGTTGTACATAACAAAGAATAATTTGTAATAATAACATTAGGTTGGCGCCCTTACTTTAATGGCAAAACCTGCAATTATGTTTGCACCAACCGAATAATAGTAACAATAGCCCCCGTAGTGGAAATAGCTTGTATTTGTCTTCTAGGGACNAATAGGAAAGCAAATACAAGCTATTTCCACTACAGGGGCTATTACCCCATTTGGAGACTTGACATTCCCTTACTCTTAACCTACATGGACCCCAAACCCAGTCCTGACCAACTAGAGCATTCCATCCCCTGGCCACAGTGACTAATTCAGGGCTGGAAGTGTGATGCAAACAGGCAATGAAGCCCCATTCCAGGATCTTCAGAAAACTCTTGGGATCTCTTTCTCCTGTGGTTGCTCAGCTGGGAAGATGTCTCACCATTCATCTTGCCATCTCATGGGGATGGTCTGCCTGAAAATGAAACCAATCAGAGACTACAGAGCCAAGACTACAGAGCCAAGTGATTAGAGAGAACCCATAGTGAAGACCATGGATGAGCTCCTGGCCCAGATGCTGGGCCTTTTTTGCTTAAGTTAAGTTGAACTGGCTTCTGTCACTTGCCACTAGAGGAAACCTCACTGATAAAGAGTTAACTGTGTCATTTATTGAGCACTGCTTGTGTGCCAGGCACCAGAATAAGTATGTTAACAGACATAGTCTCATTTAATCCACACAACAGACCTGTATTTGCTGCAATTGTGCAGATGAGGAGACGGGGATTTGAAGAGGTTAAGTAATTCTGAGGCTATCCAGCTTGTACGGAACACTAGAGCCTCTGCACTGGTAATATTGATAAGGTTGAATTTAGCAACATGGGCTTGGGACATTAACTCAGAAATATTCAGGCTAGAGGGATGCCATTGGCTAGTCACTAGGGCCCTGAAAGCATCAATTTAGGCATCCTGGAGCATCCATCGTCTTTGTGGAGCTGGTTTTGGCAGAGCCGGCCATAGATGAAATCAAAGCCAGGCAGGATTTTGCTTATGTAGCCATGGGGCCAGTTAGATCCTGGAATTCTCCATGGGGAACAAGAGTGAGGACAGTCAGTTCCAAGACTTCTGTGAAAAGACAGTATGTATATCAGGCTACAAATAGTTCCTTCACTCCTGAGAGAATTAAGGGACCTCCTTAGGGTCTTGAGCTAAGCCCAAATTGAGTTAAATAACTGGCGAGAAGATGAGGCAGAGGTTCACCCTAGAGTCCATCCCAGCCAGCATTTGTGGCTTGCAATTGATTTGTCATGGTCTGGCCCAGGGCGAGGTGAGGTCATTGTTGTGAAGGTAAAAAATGATCCAAATGCATTCACCATGCCAGGCCTGGGCCTACTCGCCCTCATATCTATTCCTTGCCCTTCCTCTGCTCTGCCTTGCTGTGGGGCTGACCCCTGCAGGCTGCCTTCCCCAGGTTCCTGTGTGAGATGGCTTCTGCCTGGTGCAGTCAACAACAGGCACTGGTGAGGCATTGGCAGTGGGGAGTGAGGGTAAGTTTGGGTGTTTCTCCCTCTCATTCTCTGCCTCAAACTCATTCTCCAGCAACAGCTGGGTCTCCTCCATAGCTCCAGATTCCACAGATCAGACCCACCTTGGTTCCACCTCTGCCTCCTCACCCCAGCCTCAGTGCCTCTGGAAATGCTGCTTTCAACCTAGGAGCTATGGAGGGCCTCCTGCTGGTGCTCATCTCCGGGTCATTGGATTGTCCTTCCTTGGCATCTCAGCTCTTCTATCACCTCTGTAACTAATTTCTGTTGGAAATGCTTGTAGCATTTCTTGTTTTCTTGGTTTGCCAAAGGCTCAAAATGCAACCCCTTCTTGAGAGCAGCAACCCTACCTTTGAGCACGCTCCTGTAGTAGGTGCTTAAAAATAAGTAGGTTGCTTAGTTGGTTGATGGAACTTCTTGCCAGCCTAACCCATCCATTCGTATGTTCTGCTTTCACAGAACTGCTCAGTGGAATCAGAGATCCTGTTTTCAGCCTTCTTTTAGTGGGCTGGTCCTTTTGACTTCCTACTTACTCCTTTGCAGGCTGGTAGGAGCTGAGCAATAGGAGTCTTTCCTGAAAATCTTTCCATCTTCTCAGTAATCATATTAAGTATCTGATTTTGTGTAGGCTGGCCAGAGAAAACATACTTCCCTTTCCACTGAAGGCAAGGCATCTCATCATGACTCCTTGCTGCAATTGCTTTTTTTTTTTAATTTAAGAGACAAGTCTGATTTACACTGAAAATGGTGGTTGTGGTTTATGGACTTAGCATACTAATTCCCATTTAATGCAGCAAACTTCAGGGGTAGGTTTTCATCTGAATGGAGATGAGTCACCGTATTCTTCAACCATATATTGAAAAATACCCACCGTTAGTTAAAAAACATTTCTTTTAAGCCATTTCTTCAGAGTAAAGTCAACTTGAATTCCTTGTTTGTGTGCCTGAGAGGGTCAGGAAATTCATCTTTAGCCTCAGCCTTACACATCTGCCCACCCTAGCCTCCAGAACTCCACATTTCCTATCCAAATCTTTCTTGTTGGTTTATTTGAACATCCCTCAGGAAGGAACCCAGAAGGTTCCACTTGGGCATGTGGGGTCATCGGCGCAGCTGACTCGAGTTGGCTGAGCCAACAGTGCTACTTTGGTGGAGTGTTTTGTTGGCTGGATCATCTGCAACGGGGGTTGGCCAGCGCGGGAGAACTTGGGAGTGTCCACAGGAAGTGGATATTTCCTGACCAGCTCATCCCCTGCTGACTCTCCAGCATTTTCTTGTCTACAACTAAAACGTTTTGCCTTGTATGTTCCTGCCCAAGGCCTCTTGAGACAGTGGGTGGTTTTTTTTTCTTTTATTTTTCAACTTGTGCCAAATGTGTCAGGAGTTAAGTCCATAATGCATATATCTTGGCCCCACTCTTTTAGGAATGTGGCCTCTCTGTTTCTGACACATGCTGCTGCAGAGTAACCATATGTGTCTGAAAGCTCAACCCTTTAAACAATTTTGGCTTGGTGCTTCTGTAGAAATGACAGCCTCATTAAGAAGACAGTGATGAGATAGGCCTGATAAACTCTCCCCTTCCTGTGACCTAAATAAGAATACAAAGAGAGTGAGAGCCATCTAGATTGGATGTCCAAGAAGAGGAGTAAAAGGCAGCACCCTTTAGTCTCTTGCTTAGTACCCAGCACTGGTTTCCACTTCACTTCAGACTAGGCTGTCTAGATGGGGCCATGGGGCCACTACATCTGTCTAAAGAGGTTGTGCACTGCTCAGGAAGCACCATTCCCATGAACTCTGATGTTATACGGTGTGCAATCCACCCAACTGTGCATGGTGGCCTTGTTGTGAAAGTGAGACTTCCCTGGTTATCCTTGCTACATGTAGACCTAAAAGGTCTTCTCTCTCCAGCTTTCTCTTTGTGCAAACTTTTTCTTGACTTAAAAAAAGAGGGAGTGAGTCTTACCTCAGAAAGCTTTTATGAGACTGAATGAGCTGGCAAAAAAGGGACTTGTATTACTTGGGAAAAAAGTCTTCTCCAAAGACAATGTAGTATTATTTTTTAAAGTTGGCACTAACAAAATTACTCCCTGGGAATGAAAAATTTACCCATATGAGCTGAACTAACTTATTCCATGTGCTGGGATGACCACAGATATTAGCAAGGCCTAATGCGGCCTGGGGTCCCCAACAAAGAAGCTGACTTCAAATCAACCATGCTTTGGAAAGTTAGGGATTGTAAGTAGCCTTCAAATTATTATTACTACTTCTCTGTACTAATACAGTTCTTGAGTCAAGAATTGTAACATTCATTATTCTTTGAGTCATCCTCATCAGGAAAAAGAGGAAGCACTGGGGAAAATACTGTAGATTACAAGGGAAGATTGTCTTCAAGTTTCAGGTGGATTCAAAGAGAAGGGAAGGAGGAGCAGCTCAAAGAAAAGGAAACTCATGGAACCAGTGATGAAGCCAGAGATGGTTTTTCTGGGGAGGGGCAACCAGATTGGGCTTGAAGGGGGCAGGGTCTGAGAGCTTAGAAACAGACCCGATGGACGTGAGAAATTGCACAGACAAGGAAAAAGTTTGTTACATTAGTAGGATAAACAGTTGATTGGAATGGAGACTGTGCATTTGGGGAATGAGAGATAGTGGACTGGTGAGGTAGAATCATGATAGACCACAGACCACAGACCACAGAGGGCTATGAAAGCACTCTGGGGCCTGCCCAGTGCTCAGAACCCATGGAATGCAAACTTTCCATGGCCTTCAAACCAAGTATGTGGGGAAAACCCTGTTCTTTCACCCAGGTCACAGCCTTAGAGAATCTAAAACTTTTTTTCCCTGCACAGTCTGGTGCTTCTCTCTCTATATATAATTTCCCATGTGGGAACACACACTGCTTTGCCAAATAAATAGTCCCTTCCTATTCAGACTGGAATTTGTTTTCGAAAATATGTTTGTCTCCCAGCAAAGAAAACAAATAGACCATCCTAAGACTGGCATCCTTCAAATTAGGAACCAAAGCAAGTGGTTGTAAAGCAAAGTATTTGTCATTGATAATTCGCACTGACAGCAAAGTTTGTTTTTTTAAAGCTTAAGTCTTGAAACTCTTTTCAAGTGGTATTAAACATTTAGTCTGGACACAGACTTCCCCAAGACACAGGGGTTAATTTTCTGAATCATCACCTGACTCGGGAACTAGCCAGTGCACCATCAGTAGCCATTAGGCATTGACTTCATCATGACCAATCTATCTTGGAGCTGGACAGAAGCTCAGTTAACAAGACTTCCTTTTTTTAAATGCAATTTAGCAATTACCTTTCTTCTTTCACTTGAACTTTCTCTTTGAATCTTATTCCAATCCCAGCATATTGAAGTTATTCTTCTAAACTAACAAACGCAAACACAAATGAACCTAATAGCAAATCCCTTCCAAAGATGTTAGGAAACCAAGATTTTCTCCAACTCATGACTCCAGAAAGAGAGGAAGAGCGAATACAGCAAGCTGGAGAAATCACCCTCATGGAAGCCAGGAGATAGGGGGTCGATGCTACACAGACGAAAATAGTGCATAAGTGGCATTGGCTGGAAGAGAGAAAAGCCCACTAGGAGATAAGGCAATGAAGTTCAGAGAGGTGGGTCACAATCAGAGGGACAGAACCTAATGAATAGTCTTATCTTCCTGGAGATGAAACAGCTGTAGCCTTTGGGAAGGGAATGACATAGGAAAATGAGTGTCTGAGAAAACTTATTCCCAGAGAAGTGGGGAAGTTCAGGCTATGACTTCAAGAATTGGAGAGATTTCGAAGCCAGTATAACTGGGGATTAACCAAGGGCTCAAATCCAGTACTTGACAGCAAGCCAGACTGCGAAAGGCTCCTAACATTATCTAAAGGTCTCACAGCATTTTAGAACTAGAATGACCATACTGGAAAAAACTGTTCCACGGTATCAGTCAGCATTTGGGATTGCTTTATCCAATGTAAGTGATGGGACATTCACATCAGAGAAGCATATGTCTTCTCCCTGCCTCCCCCCAAAACTCTTCTTCTCTATCTTCCTGATGTCATATCCTGGCATCCTAACAGGGGTGGGGGGATTATATAACTGTCTGAAGTAGTGCAGAACATGAAACAATAAATAAGCTATGTAAATTGTAAAACATGAGTCATGATTCTCTTTGTTCTCTATCTTTATAAATGTATTTTTTTAATTACATATTTTTTCCTCATCATAGATGTCTAAAACCAAACCAAACCAAACAAACAAACAAAAAAATCTAAGTGCCCTCTCATGGAGAAACCTATTTTATTACATCAGATTATGCCTAGGCAACTGCTATTGAAATTACAGTGAACATTTTTTGAGAGTCCATTGTGTGTCAGGCACTCAAAACTACCTACTTCTATCCTTATTTTAGAGATGAGAAAACCAAAAATAGAGAGGTTAAGTGATTTATCCATCATTGCCCAGTTAGTAATTGTCAGAGCCAAGATTTGAATTTTCGGCTACTTGTATCCAAAGTCCATTCTTTTACCCATTACACTGTACCTTCTCTTGAGTCTTCCCTGAGAAGAGAACTCTCAAGGGACTCAGCTAAAGCAAGCCTGAAGTTGGCCACCCACCCTACTACCTGCCACTCTCCTGGCTGACACTCCTGTGTTACAAATGGAAACTTTCTACAAGTCTCTAGGTGTTACTAGGCTCTTTCTCTCCTCTGCTCACATCCTAGTCTTTAAAGAAAAAATCTTAAAGCTCCTAGGCCCAACCTACAACCCACTCTTGATAAGTAAAGAAAGATTAAAATATAAAATAGCAGCAGGGCCTAGGGAAGCCTGAAAAACTATTTGTACTCGTAATAACTCTGTAAAAGATCTATGTCCATGCCATTTTGAGGCACAAAGAATGAAACCAAAACTTTGATAGATATATAGATGACGAAATGGGCTGAGGTTAATCCCGAAATTAGGCATTTAAAAATCTTATGGGAGAAGTATTCTTCTGAGCCACTAGTCCTCAATCATGTATTTTAAGTACTTTCTTCCCTCCAAAGATTAGAGTTAATTTCTGGGGATAAATATATTGTTTAAATCAGACCTGTGCTATGTGATAGAGGTACAGTGACAAAAACAACATGCCCTTTACGAGCTTACAGATTGATTAAAGAAGAGAATGCAAGAATATAAAAGGTCGGCTCTAAGGTTTGCTTGAAAATAAATATTTTTATCAAATCATAAAATGATATGATCATTTCAATAGGTATAGGGAAAATATTCAATAAAAATTTATATCCATTTATATAAGAAACAAAATAAGAAATAACTCTTGAGAAACAGGAATGAAAAGAAACTTGCCTTATTTATAAGAAACAGCTACCAAATCCATCAAAAATCATATTTAATTCTGAAATTTTATAGACATTCTTATTTAGCTTAGCAATAAGAAAAGAATGCCTCCTACCACAGCTGCTCTTCAACATTGACTTAGCAGTCTTAACCAACACAAGAAAGTAAAAAAAGAAGTTGTAAAAGCAATGATAAGATTTGAAAGAAAGAGATTAACTGTCATTATTTATAGCCTATTTGATAATTTACATTAAAAAGTTGAATCAATGGACAAACTTTTGTAAATAATAAAAGAGTTCAGCAAGGTAATGGAATACAAAACCAAAACGAAAATTTAATAATAGTATTCAGCAGTTGTAAAGCAAGCACTTCATGCATTTCAAAGCACTCACGGATGTTTTCTCATTTACAAAAGCTCACAAAAATCCTGTGAGTTTAATACACCATCATCATTATCAGCAGCAGCAGTGCATTGACTTCATTTGACAAACGTGTATGCAAATCAGAGAAATTTCGTTTTTCTCTTTTTAAAAGCAGGGGTATCAATTAACACGTGGTGATATTCAAATGTTTTGTATTACCATTCTGAGTTTTGACAAACATATAATCATATAAGAGCCACCACAATCAAGATATGGAACAGATCCATCATGTCTAAATTAAGATCTTCTGATGCCTTTTTGTAGTCAGCTCCTGACCCGCTCCCCAAGCCCCTGATAACTACTAATAGATTCAATCCTACAGTTCTTTCTTTCCTTTAAAAAACAAAAAACTTTAGCCTGCATATAAATGAAATCAAACTGCATGTAGCCTTTTGTATTTGAATTTTTTGTTAGCATGATGCATTTGAGAATGATCTGTGTTATAGCATGTAACAGTGGCTAGTTTCTTTTTATTGCTAAAATTTATTTATTTGTTTGTTTGTTTATATCCATTGTGTGATGCCCTGAAGTATGTCTAACCATTCACCAGCTGAAGAACGTTGCACTGTTTCTAAATTTTGCTGATTATGAACAAAGCTACATAAACATTTGTATACATGTTTTTGTAGGAATACATATTTTCATTTCTGTTGAGTAAATGCCCAGGAGGGATTGCAGGGTCAAATAGTAAGTGTGTTCTTATCATTATAAAAAACAGCCAGTGTTTTCCAAAGTGATTGTACCATTCTCTGTTCCCACCAGGAATGTACGAAAGTTCAAGTTGCTTTGCATCTTTGCCAACACTTGGTATTGTCAGATTTTTTAACTTTAGCATCCAAATAGTTGCATATCTCATTGTGGTTTTAATTTTCACTTCCCTGATGACTAATGGTATTAAGCACATTTTCATGTGCATATTTGCCATATGTATAACTTGTTTGATGAAGAAAGAAGAGATGGTGGGAAAAATACCTGTTCAACTTTTTTTTTTTTTTGAGACGGAGTCTCGCTCTGTCGCCCAGGCTGGAGTGCAGTGGCGGGATCTCGGCTCACTGCAAGCTCCGCCTCCCGGGTTCACGCCATTCTCCTGCCTCAGCCTCCCAAGTAGCTGGGACTACAGGCGCCCGCCACTACGCCCGGCTAATTTTTTGTATTTTTAGTAGAGACGGGGTTTCACCATTTTAGCCGGGATGGTCTCGATCTCCTGACCTCGTGATCTGCCCGCCTCGGCCTCCCAAAGTGCTGGGATTACAGACCTGTTCAACTTTTAACCCATTTTTAAAAAGTGGGTTGTTTTCTTATTATCGAGTTGTAAGAGTTCTTTGTACATTCTGAATGCAAGTCCTTTATCAGATATATGTTTTATAAATATTTCTTCCAATCTGTGGTTTATGTTTTCATTCTGTTAACAGTGTCTTTTATAGAGCAAAAGCTTTTAATATTATGATGTCCAATTTATTATTTTTTCTTTTATGAATTGGGCTTTTGGTGTTGTATTAAAAAATCTTTTAATATAAGTCATGAAGATTTTTCTAAGAGTTTATGGCTGTTTCCTGATGAACCTAGCCCTAAAAATTAAATTCTCTGTGCCTTTGCTCATTATTCTGTTTCATCACATCATGATCCCAAAAGGTAAGTTTCAAAGGTTAAGGAATAAAAACATAATTACAATGTTGTTTACACAGGGCTATGCCATTTAGAAGTTAATTTTTCTCCATACTTCCCATATGTGTTGTTTTTGCCTCAACAACTAAAGTGAATTTCTTGAGAGCAGAACCAGATTTTATAATGACTAGCATGCCCAACACTGTTGGATTAGTGGAAGACATCCAACAGACCCAATCTTGCAGCAGACATCATTCACTGACTCAAGGAAACATTCTGGACTCCCCTCATTCTGCTAACCCAGAGATCCAGTTACTCCTTCAGCTGGATCAGAGGCTACACCAGGAGGCTGCTCTACTCTCTTGGATGGGGGCCACTATCTAAGGAGCCAGCATATTCCAGATGATGCTAAGCACTCACTAGTCACTTGCTCTCAAGTCAACGTATTCTTCACAGCAACAAGCAAAAAAGCAAATAGAAACAGATTTACAAAGAACTCTACGAACTTGAGACACTGGAAAAACAACACAAATTGTAAGGAAGCTAATACATCAGGTACACCTGGTAGAAATGAAAGGGGGGTAAATAAGAGTTTCCATGTAAGTATCATTGGAATACATGGCCAAATTGGAAGTTCAATAAATTATCCTAAAAGTATTCCATGAGTCACTGTTACAACTTGGATTAGAACTCAAAACTTCCTATTCTGAGCCTGATGACAAGTCATCAGAACCATGGACGTCTGCTCTGGGGCTCACAAATCCTTCTGTGACGCAACTGCTAAGGAAATGAGCTCTGACATTACACAGCTTGGGTGTGTTGGGCTGTTGTTATCTCACTCAGCAAAGAAAAGGTGAGCAAATATTGTCTTCATTTTCATTTAGGGAGAGAAGGCAGAAGGTAAATAATGTATAGTAATGGTGTCTTTGGCAGGGAGTGGGTAGGAAGAAGACACATCATCCTCTTGGGAAACATGGTATATCAAGACAATAAACTAGAGAAGACAGAATAGAACAAGTTTCCACATTTTAAAAAGAAACTAAACCATGGAAGAAAGGCAGAATTGGGAACCATTTTATTCAAAATGGGTTTTCCCATCTAGAATGGCTTTATATTTCATCAATGAGGGAGCATGGCTCTAAAATGCTTTAGAGAGGCAGGGGTTACTGAGAAGGGATTTCTAAATAGATACACACTTGTAAGAGTAAAGACTTCCTAAATAGATAGACACCTTACAAGATTAAATGTAAGGTATGTCATAGCTGACATTCTATTATTACTAAAATTGTTATGGTTTGTCATGTGAAAGTAAATTTTCAAACAGAATAGAATTGGAACCATAATGTTAACACACTGAGGAAGGAAATGAGAACTATGCACTCAATGTTATGCGGGTTAATGTTGGGATGACTCATATGGAAATTGTTTTGTAGTTTAGAAATGGCCAAATATCTGCAATTTTATATGGTTAAATCTAATTCTGAACCAGGGTTCAAGTTTAATGATCAGTTTTCTAGCTACGGTATATTTCTAGTTGATATTCATGTTCCTGACCGAAGCCCTTCCTGGTGGTTCCAATTGTGAGTGACTCACAGGGTACTTTCCCTCCAGTTCAGTTCAGGGTCTACAGTGGCCCCTTGTTCCCTCAACTGTCACTGTTATCCTCTTCAAATATTGACAACACAAGAATAGCCATGATGGCAGATGAAGTTAGCACCTCATCTAAACTGAGCTTCTTAAACATGTCCAGTGCTTCCTTGATTCTAAAGAGACTAAATATCATTATTTTTAGCTGTCAAATGTTTTCAGTTTGTTAAATAAGATATCTCCTCTGGAAGTAGCCAAAGAATAGAGACCGCAAAATGTATTTGTTATCTTCCATCTAAGCAGAGGTGTATGCATTAACTTCAGTTGATTCATTTAATATATTATTGAGCAACTATCACATGCCCAGGGCTGTACCTGACACTGTGGGGATTCCAACACTGTTCAATTTACATGCAGGTAGAGAAACAAGATATATATATCTACATGCACTAAATTACATGAGTAGAAACTTAACTAGGAATGCAATGCGTTTGAGAAGTCATGGTGTAATTATAGCTTAAATGCCAAGAGATTTGTGCAGATAGTGCTTTGAATTTATGAGGAGGATAGTTCTGGGACTAGAGAAGTCTAGAGGTAGAATTTTTGTAGGTTTTGAAGGAAGGGTAGCATTTAGAGAGAAGGAAACCAGAGAAAAGACAGTCTAGGTAGAAGCTACAAGATCAACAAAAGCATGGTGCCAGGATAGTTTGTGGGGATCATGAGTAAGAGTGCCTATTATTTATTCCATGTACACTCAGGTGTAATCCATCATGGAGCAGTCAAATATAAACCATGGCTATCTTTATTGTTAATTAATGGAAAAGCCCACAAACACAGAGAAAAGCAAATCTTTCTTTTTTCTTCTCTTCTCACCTCTTCTGCTCACATCTCCTCACTCTCCCTTGGAGCTGGGGCTGGGTGATGGGTATTTAAATTACACCACCTCAATATTTTTGTCAGTGATTCCAAGTGGAAGAGCAGAAGTGAAAACCAATGTTCAAACCAAATAACTGCCGTTTCTATCATCTTTCAAAAGTACAAGATTTTAAGTGTTTAAAATGTAGCATTCATGATAGACAATTACATTGGTAATTCTAACTTTTAACAGTTAAACATCTTAAATTTAACTGTTAATTTAACTTAAATAGTTTATTAACTGTAAACAGTTAAACTTTTAAATGCAAGGTACTAATATAATAGTTTCAAAGAAGGCTCTGAAGCACTAGGCCTATTATTACTTTGCCTTCATCTCAGAAGTTGTAGCCCTTGGTGGTTAGTGACTTCATGGGGAAAACTCTCTAGGGTATTTTTATTTTAAGAGAAGTCATGAAGGAGAGGACAAGGCTTTACCCAAAAGAGTTAATTTCTCATGGTGAAATTTTAAGCCTTGGGGGACCTAAGTGGGAGAGATGGTTTAGGACAAAGAAGTCTTTCAAATATCACTGTAGTTCAAATAACTACTTTTTGGCCCAGAAGTGAGGTTAATCCTACCAGTGATGATAATGGACAGACAGTGGCCCCTTCTCCTGCTTTCTCACACTTAAAAGAGCCGTGTGATATTGTTTGGCTGTGCCCCCACCCAAATCTCATCTTGAATTGTAGTTCCCATAATCCCCATGTGCCATGGGAGGGACCCGATGGGAGGTAATTGAACCATGGGGGCGGTTACCCTCATGCTGTTCTCATGATAGTGAGTGAGTTCTCATGAGATCTGATGGATTTATAAGGGGCTTTCCCCCACCTTCACTCGGTACTTCTCTCATTCTTCTCCTTCCTGCCACCAAGCGAAGAAGGATGTGTTTGCTTCCCCTTCTGCCATGATTGTAAGCTTTCTGAGACCTCCTCAGCCCTGCGGAACTGTGAGTCAATTAAACCTCTTTCCTTTATAAATTACCCAGTCTCAGGTATTTCTTCATAGCAGTGTGAGAGCGGACTAATATACAGTGCCATCCAGAACCTCCATTAGACTCTGCACAAGTTTGGTGGCTATTGAAATACTAGAATTCTGAGACCCAGATTCTTAGGGGAGAAAATCACTTGGTAGGTGAGAAAATCATAGTCACAGTTTAAGCATCACTTTATAATGACCAGTATCCATGAGTTGGATGCTGGGATGACATGGAAAGGCAGCATCCTGGTGCCACAGCCGCCCTCACACTAATGAGCATTCATCTGTGCACAGTGCAAGACTGTTTGCGCCAAGGCTATGATTAGATGAGTGGAACTTTTTCCTGTTCTCACAGAATTGTCCCAAACAGCAAGTGCTCAGTACCCCTCCTTCTAAAGACAGTGGCTTAAATTTGGAACCAGACACATCCCCTCCAGTTATTAAATATCCCTGGAAACAGCCCTTCTGTTATCAACTACACTCACACACACACACCCGACCCCTGCAGTCTGTTCCTTATGGGAAGAGTTGTAGGAAAGGGAGAGAGAATCAACAAGGGTCTGAGCTCAGCCCTGCAATAATCTGAGGGTTTTGCTACCAAAGCCTTGTAGGGGCAGCATCTATGTGAGAGGCCATTCCCTTGACTCCACTAGATTCACCTAAGGTGTTATTAGAGGACAGGAAATGGAATTAAAGAGACCACAATTAATTATGGTGATCAGAAAAAATACTATCATTTTATGTTAATCCATTATAAGAATTAAGATGGACCAATAAACTGGTTACAGTCATAAATCTGTCATTTCACATTTTTTTACATCCATATCATATACTATCTAAATAACACCCCTGAACCAATTCAAATGCAATTTTATATTTATTTACCTATTTTTTATTGAGGTAAGAACACTTAGCAAGTGATCTATCCTCTTAACAAACTTTTATGTGTATAATACTGTATTGTCAGCTATACCAAATGAAATTTTTGCTCAGAACAGTATGCAGTAACCTTTTTTTTTTTTTTTTTTTTTTTTTTTTTTTTTTTTTTGAGACAGAGTCTTACCACTCCGTCACCCAGGCTGGAGTGCAGTGGTGCCATCACAGCTTACTGCAGCCTGCACCCCTCTGGCTCAAGCAACTCTCTCACCTCAGCCCTCTGAGTAGCTGGGACTACAGGCATGCACCACCACACCCAGCTCATTTTTGTGTTTTTTGTAGAGACTGATTTTTGCCATGTTGCTCAGGCTGGTCTCGAACTCCTGGGCTCAAGTGATCCATCTGCTTTGGCCTACCAAAGGGCTGGGATTACAGACGTGAAACATCGCACCAGGCCAACATGCAGTAACCTCTTTAACATTAATCATTAGGGCCTCCCTGATCTCTTTCCCCTTAACAAAGCCTCTCCTGGGTTCCTTCATTTATACCTAGGTATAAATGACTTAAAAAGCTAATATTAATGCTTTGAGCATTCAGAGGATTGCAAAGATTCACTAGACCTGTCTAATTGCTTTGGAATCCCTAATTATAGGCACTTACTGACTTCCCCATGGTCATTTCCAACCTAGAGGGCAGTCAGCAAGTCTGAGTAATGCCTGTCAGAGCCACTGGGTGGCACTGGCAGGCTGAGATGTGGGCAAGAGGGAGGAAGAAAGAAAGGAAAGGAGGCCAGGAGAGAGTCAAGGAGGAAGAGGAGGCAAGAGAGGGAGAGAGATTTTTTTAAAACAAGGGAGAGAGAAAGAAAGCAGAGAAAGAAAGACTAGGCCGCAGGGAACTGCTTTGCATGGCCTTGTATAGCCTCTGTGGTTACCAGTGACACAGACCTACAGTTTAATTCAGTACTTCCCAGCTGGGAGCTGAGTGTGCCGTACTCATCTGCCTATTCCCACTACCTAGCAGGGTGCCTGGCTCTCGGCTGATGCTCTGGGTCTGTGGACTGATGGAATGAATGCTGCTGCCCCTCTAGGAAGCGGTCCTCAAATGGAAAGCTTGAGGCAGTGTGGTCTGAATGCTCCATCCTAATGTTTTGGGATGACTTAGTTGAAAATTCAAGAGGCAATGCCTTATGAGGAAGCAAGGTAGGAATATTGGCACACACAGAGGTTAAGATTTTCCAAGGGTCAATTCATTCTGTCAAGAACTAATAGTAAATATTTCAGTCTTAGCAAGTCACACAGCCTCTGTTACAACTACTGACAGAGAGCCACTGACAATATGTAAATGGTTGGTGTGGCCGTGTGCCAATAAAATTTTCAAAAACTGACAGTAGGTCAAATTTGGCCTGTGGATTGCTAACCCTCCGTGGCTTGAGTTCTAAGATAATCTTTCTGATTTCTCTCACCTTGCTCTTTCATCCTCTGATTCAATACCACTCTTTTGGTACACGACTATTTGCTTATTGGTTTCTCTCAGAATCTGTGTGGACTGCTTGATCTTGCACTGTAAACTCCTTGAGAAATTCTGAGTGCCCGTAGATGACTTCAAGCACCATCAGTATTCCTGTCTGATCATGTTCAAGTGCTGTCCAGGGAGTACTCATAGAGAAGGTCCTTAGCTTTGAGGGTCTCATTATATGTGTCTTCTGAAGATTCCACAAAGGCCTAGATTTAGCCACAAAGATGATTGATGCCAAGTTGTAGAACACGAAGTCTTGGGAAAATTATACAGTTCTGCATACAGTGAACTAGATTCATACCAGCTTGAGAAAGGTCAGTTCCAGCTCAAACCATGAAGTGGCTGAAATTTGTCTTTGGAGCCTTCCAGCCACACATCCTCCACTCCTTCTCCTCCAGTACTCAGTGACCTGTTTCCCTTACCCACTCTCACTCCCATCAGTGCCTTGCTTCTTCACTTTACTAAAATGAAAACGACTAATGGCAGATTAAAATCTGCCATCCCGTTGAGGTATGCTCACATTTTCATAAGGTTGAGAGCATTTTAAGAAAGGGACACAGGACTAATGATGGGATTTTGTACCTCCTGGTGGTGACTTTGACCTAAAAGTACATTCTACTTTAACCATGTCAGTAGGAAAATCCAGGAGAAGTATTGTGAGTAGGGCCACTGGGAACAGCCCCATGCCTCTGCACAATTCCATAGATTAGGACGTGAATGGTGCATTTTGGAGCTGTGCAACACAGCGGTGGCCCACGTAGTGGGTTCTCTTGTGTGTGTGTGTCAGTATCTAAGAGAGAGAGACTAGTGCTCTCAAGGAATAAGCAACTGAAATGTGGACTTATATTTTTGAGTTTTCTTTCTAGGACAATGAAGGAAATGGACATAGTTGATATTTTTGCATGACAAATAGAATTAAACAACCTGGAAGAGATGAAAATGTGTGTCCTTCAGAGAAAACGTTACTCACATAGGTGATCATGACTAGGTGTGTTAGAGGCCTCTTATGTGCTTCCAGATCTCTGTAGCAGCACCTCCAGATGCTACAGCAGAAACCAGTTTCTTTATGGTTTGGAGGAGCCTCCTGCAGGTGCAATGAGACAGCTCTATGGTGATACTTCTCAATGCCTCTTTGACCTCCAAGTGGAAGGTTCATTTCCGGACTCATATGTGGGTAACATGGAAATGTGGAGCCCCCTTTACCAATAGGGGATAGAATCCAATGGATAAATCTTCCTTCTGCCCTCCATGCAGATGGTTCTGGGACCATGTTTTATAAGACTTTTCATATGGCCCTGTGGGGAGCAAGCACCAGTCGCCCATACCAGGGTCCAGTTCTCAAAAGAATCCTGGTGTTGACTCTCCTCTTGTTCAGAGGCAAAGTTGCATGCTAGTTGAAACATTATACTCTTCAATCACAGTCCTCAGAGCACTTTCACTGTGTGCAAAGCATTTTTATATACAAGATCTCAAAGACAAAGTTAATCTGCGATGCCCTTCATTTCCCTTCTCAACTACTCACTCTCGACCTAGGTGTCAGCATCCTCTATTACTCCCGGGCACACTCCCACCGCCACCCACCCACCCCATGGCCAATTTCTCTGTTATGAACATGGACAGTTCCCACCCTACTCAATGCCTCTTTCCAGCTGGGATTGGCCCACTGGCAGCCCCCTACTAAGGGAATCAGATCAGTCCAAGGCAACATCTGGCCCAAGGGTGGCCCATGCATGGGCTAGTTATAGCTTGTTGTGTGGCCCATTAGGTGGCCAGGTGAGAAGGGCTTTCCCCAGCTGGGTTGATATCATTAGCTAGCATAAGTACTCTGGCAGGTTTTTGAAGGTATATTAAAGATTAGTTAGTAGATGGTGAGAGTGGAGCAGAGCAGATATGCAGACAGCAGCAGATTCAACATGAGAGGGAGACCGTGCAGGCCAGAGAGCTTGGGCCTGAGGCTTCTTTAGAGCAACACCAGCTTCTGAATCACTTTGAAACTCCTGGTTCAGTCTGTGTTTCCTTAGCGTAACTGCTCTACAATAGCTCCTTTTCCTTTTTATGGTGGACCAAGTGGTTGTCTCAGCTTTCTTATAACCAGAAAACCTTGAGAAGTTGGTGCCCTAGGCCCTACCTTCTCCCATCAAGACCCTATCTTCCTCCAGGCCAGTAATAAGCAATGATGTACTGCTAGGTGTCAGCCCTCCATAGACAGGGACTCTCTGGAGGTAGTGTCTTACCTCAAAGAGGTGATACAAAGGCCCGGGGGAAGGCCAGCAAGTGAGAGATTTGAGGGTTTAGTGAGGATAGTTCCAGTGCCCCTTAGATAGGGTCCATAGGTCCAGCCCTATGGGAAGAATTAGATTCTGGAGCAAATGATAGCATCTATTCACATCTGGCAATTCTTCTACTTTGGAATGTGCTTTCCACAGAGGGCTGAGTTTGTGGCTTCTCGGCAGTCTCGCCAGTGACTAACATCCATGGTATAGGGAGTCTACATCCTGAATTTTATGGGATTGTCCAGATTTTAAACTATGCCATTCCAGGGTTATTATAAATCATTTATTTATCCCAGAAGTTTCAATGTTTGGTAAATAGTTTCAAAATAATTCACACTAGTGGGCATTACAGTAAGGATGCACATGGATTTGAAAGATGGGATTGCTGCTGGCTGAAGAAATATTAATGATTCATTGAGACAACAGATTTGCCATGTGTCTGAAGCTGGCTAAATTCAATCTCCCACTTCATAATTTGAAATACATTCAAAAGCATTGGAGTTATTACAGAATTTTACTTTACTGTGAAAATGTATACAAAGCAAAGGAGAAAAAAAATAGAGCCTTAAAGAGATCTTGCAATAGGAAAATCCCTTTTAGAAGAAATGTGACAACTCGAAAGTAACATTTTGTGGCTGATATATTATATTTCATCAATTTTAAGATGGACATTTACTTAGAATTTTACATCTCTGAAATTCGGATGTATCTTTTTTCAATTGGTCATACTATATATTCTAATTGAAAACATTTTTTATTTCCTAGTCATATATAAATAATTGGTGCACTTTACAATTAATGGCATCTTAGATTCAATAATATACAGTAATAGTGTAGTAAATGTTGTTCAAAGTAGAAAATTGGACAATACTTCTTATATTAGATAAACACAAGCTGGATCTCAGCCCTATAGCTTTCAGTGTTAAATTGGAGAAATTTATTATAAATATGTCTTTAAATATTTATAAATGTCATATTTATTATAAATGTGTCTTTGAATACTTATAAATGTCTTTAAATTTAATTTATTTAAATATTTATTATAAATATGTCTTTAAATACAGTTTTTAGCAAATCATATATAATTCTGTAAAACACAGTTTAGATTCCAAGCATTTAGACTTCCCCTCTAATTTCCACCTTGCGAAACCTACTTTTTTATGAATATGAGTAATGAAAAGGTAATTATTTTCCAGAAGTTCAAGGTATTGGGCACAATATTATTACCTCACAATTATAATAGATTTGTTTACCATTAGTATAAAAAAGTTGCCTCAAAAAATAAACAGGTGCAGCAAACCACCATGGCACATGTATACCTATGTAAAAAACCTGCACATTCTGCACACATATCCTGGAACTTAAAGTAAAATAAAAAATAAATAAATAAAAACAAACAATAAAAAGTTGCTTCTATCATAGTAAGCTACATCATAACGGTAACACCAGAGAACTAGCATAAGAATAGACATATAGAACAACGGAAGAAAATTGATAATCCACAAACATATTCTTACGCTTATGGTCAACTGATTTTCAACAAAGGTGCTAAGGTAATTAAATGGGGTAAAGAATTGTCTTTTTAACAAATGGTGCAGGACAACTGGATATCCACATATACAAGGATGAATTTGGGCTCTAACTTCATGCCATATAAAAATATTACATCAAAATAGATCATATACCTAAATGTAAGAACAAAATGGCAAAATATTTAGAGGAATATCTTTATGATCTTGGGTTAGGAAAAGAGTTTTAAGATATAACACCAAAACCATGATCTATAAAAGAAAAAACTGGTGAACTGGACTTCATCAAAATTAAAAATTCTTGTGCTTCCAAAGACATCACTAAGAACATGGAAAAGACAATCCACAGACTAGGAGAAAACTTTGGCAAATAACATGCTGATAAGGTACTTGTGGCAGAATTTACAAAGAACTTTTACAATAAATAAGACAAAGACAACTCGATTAAAAAATAGACAAAAGTTTTAAATAGATCTTTCACCAAAAATATGCATATGGCAAACGAGCAAATGAAAAGAGACTGAACACATTTACTCATTAGGGAAATGAAAATTAAAACCACAGTGTGGTGGGATACCACCACATACCTAATAAAACAGGTTTTAGCAGTCCCTGAAAATACCAAGTGCTGTTGAGGATGCAGAACAACTGAACTCTCACAGCTTTTGCTGGTATGGCCAATCTGAAAAACAGTTCAGCAGTTTCAAAAATAAAGTTAAACATATGCTTATGGTTTGACCCAAATATCCCACTTCTAGGCAGGTACTGAAAACTTATGTTTGAACAAAAGCTCTATATAAAGGTTTATAGAGGCTTTGTTCATAATCACCAAAAGCTGGAAATAAGCCAAAGCTCATCAACTGACAAGTGAATAAATAAACTCTGGTGCATCCACACAATGAAACACTACCCAGTAATAAAAAGGAATTGACACTGTGACATGCTACAACATGGAGGAAACTCAAAGACACTGTGCTAAGTAAAGAAAAAGCAGATGCAATAGGCTATATATTATATAATTCCATTTATATAAAATGTTTAGAAAACGCAAATTTATGCACACAGAAAGTAGATTAGTGGTTGCCTGGGGCTGGGAGAAAGAGGGGAGGGTGACTGCAGATAGAAGCAAAGGATTTGTTTTGGGTGATGGAAATGTTCTAAAACTGGATGGTGGAGATGGGCGAACAACTCTGCAAATTTATTAAAAACCATTGAATTGCTCACTTGTAATAAGTGAATTTGATGGTATGTAAGTCATACTTCAACAAAGCTGTTTTTTAAAAAGTTTAACACTAAATTTAATGTGAAAGTTATTGACCTTGACATCCTGCCAGGTTAATGGTTGTTTTGTGGGGTTTTTTTTCTATTATGAGCAATAGGATATCTGTTGATAAGATTATTGGTATGGTCATATTACATTATTAATACAAACTTTGGAAATGAAAAACATATGCCTTCTAAGAATATTTTATGGAAATTACCAAATAACTGCCATATAAAATTAATGAGGATGGGTGCCAAAGGCATAAGCTTGCAAAAATCACATGAATAGCACATTTGAAGTTCTTCCAGCTGATGTGGAAATTGATGTTATAAAAACATTGAAACATTTTTATATTTACACATTGCTACTACAGACACTGAAATCATTTGTGACTTTTATCCAACTGCTTTGCAGACAAATTTGAATATTTTTGAATATAAGATTTCCAAGCTTAATGTGTATCCTTAAAGACTATCGATAATATTTCAACCTCTATAAGGCTAACTTTGTCAATTAAAAATGATAAATGGTTCTTAAGAAAATTTTCAGAAATCCTGAGATAATTTTCATTATTGTTGTATTGGTTAGGGTAAGTTAAGAGTTGTAACAAACAACTCCCAAATCTCAATGGCTAAGGACGGTAAGAGTTTATTTATTGCCTCATGTCATAGTTCAAGGAATGGAATTGCTGGGTCATATGGCAACTCTATTTTAACATTTTGAGGAGCTGCCAAACTGTTTTCAAAAGTGGTTGCATCATTTTCTAATCTTGCCAGCAATGTATGAGGATGCCAGAATCTCCACACTCTTACCAACACTTGTTATTATCTTTTTGACTTTAGCCACCCAAGTGGATATGAAGTAGTATTTCATTGTGGTTTTGAAATACATTTCTCTTAAGGCTAATGATGTTCAGCATCTTTCATATGCTGATTACCTACTTTTTATCTTCTTTGGAAATAATTTCTATTCAAGTCTGTTGTTCATTTTTGAATTCAGTTATTTTTCTTTTTACTGTTGTCTCAGTCTATTAGTGCTACTATAACAAAATACATAAGACTGGGTAATTTATAAAGAACAGAAATTTACTTCTCACAGTTCTGGAGGCTGGGAAGTCCAAGATCAAGGTGCCAGCAGGTTTGGTGCCTGGTGAGGGCCCATTCCTCATAGATGGCACCATCTAGGTAGAAAGATGCCATTAACACAGTAAAAAGGATGGAAAGACAAAAGGGGACAAACACTGTGTTCTCACATGGCAGAAGAGCAGAAGAAACAAATTTGCCTTCTCAAGCCCTTCTGTAAGGCACTAATCCATTCATATGGGCAGAACCCTCTTGACCTGATCACTTTGTAAAAGCCCTGTCTCTTCATATCACTACAACAGGAATAAGTGTCAACAAGAATTTAGGAAGGGACACACTCAAACCATAGCAATTGTTGAGTTATGAGACTTCACATCTCTGGATAAAAGTATCTTATCAAGTCTCTTAATTTGTAAACATTTTCTTTCACTCTCTGGTTGTTTTAATTTTGATGAAATGCAATATTTATCTTTTTCTTTTGTCATTATTACTTTTAGAAACCATTACCTAATGCAAGGTCACAAAGATTTGCTTTTATGTTTTCTTATAAGAGTTTTATAGTTTCAGCTATTATATTTAGGTCTACGATACATTTTAAGTTTATTTCTACATATTGTATAAGGTAGGGCTCCAACTTTGTTTGTTTTCATGTGGGTATATAGTTATCCCAGCATCATCTGTTGAAAAGACTTCTTTCTCCATTAAATTGTCTCAGAATCCTTGTCAAAAATCAATTGACCATGAGTGTAAGAGTTAGTTTCTGGATTCCTACTTCAATCCCACTGATCTATTTATCTGTACTCATGCCAGTACCACACTGTCTTGACTATCACAGGTTTTGAGTTTGGGAAGTGTGCATCCTCCAAGTTTGTTCGTTTCTTTTTCAACATTTTTTTGACTATTCTGCATCTTTACCACTAATTTTTATAACACAATTTTCAAAATTGAAGAGGGAATAGAGGGTGGGAAATAGAAAATGCTTGCATTGGAAGCCAAATGTGAGTATGTGTGCTGGTATAAGAATCTTTAAGACAGAAGCTTATTTTTGCTTTACAAAGTAAAAATTCTCTAAGAAATAGTTATTGGTAATAATTACCATGATATAAAATTTTACAAGGAAATTACATAAGAATAGTTTTAATGATGAAGACCTTAGGACATAAAACTTGCTAGTCTTCACCAATTATCTCTAATTTATTTGGATAGAAAAAGCTCTAAGTGGGATAATCGGGGGGAAAATTATTTTCTAATTTTTACAAACCTTTATAAAATCTGACTTTTAAAAGACAAGGTGGAAATCTCTACAGATCAGAAGATTGGTCCCTGGACTATTGGCATTCCTAAATTCCTGTCTGCTAAATCAGAAAATGTACATGCTTGTCCCTTCACTGCTGAATAAGGGAGATCGAGAAGCCACTGGTGACCTTTGAAACAGTGAAATATCACTTGGTTTTCCTAATGATTACTCAGAGATTTGTGAAAAAGTGATTGCAAACAACTGGGAACAAATAATAATGAGCAAGGTGGGAGGCTGCACTACCTGGAAGGAAGGGTACAGGTGGGCTTTAGAATCAGACTGCCATGAATTTTAAACGTGATTTTTTTTTATCTTTTTTTATTTTTATTTTTTTATTATACTTTAAGTTTTAGGGTACATGTGCACATTGTGCAGGTTAGTTACATATGTATACATGTGCCATGCCATGCTGGTGCGCTGCACCCACTAACTCGTCATCTAGCATTAGGTATATCTCCCAATGCTATCCCTCCTCCTTCCCCCCACCCCACCACAGTCCCCAGAGTGTGATATTCCCCTTCCTGTGTCCATGTGATCCATTGTTCAATTCCCACCTATGAGTGAGAATATGCGGTGTTTGGTTTTTTGTTCTTGCGACAGTTTACTGAGAATGATGATTTCCAATTTCATCCATGTCCCTACAAAGGACATGAACTCATCATTTTTTATGGCTGCATAGTATTCCATGGTGTATATGTGCCACATTTTCTTAATCCAGTCTATCATTGTTGGACATTTTGGTTGGTTCCAAGTCTTTGCTATTGTGAATAATGCCGCAATAAACATACGTGTGCATGTGTCTTTATAGCAACATGATTTATAGTCCTTTGGGTATATGCCCAGTAATGGGATGGCTGGGTCCAATGGTATTTCTAGTTCTAGATCCCTGAGGAATCACCACACTGACTTCCACAATGGTTGAACTAGTTTACAGTCACACCAACAGTGTAAAAGTGTTCCTATTTCTCCACATCCTCTCCAGCACCTGTTGTTTCCTGACTTTTTAATGTTTGCCATTCTAACTGGTGTGAGATGGTATCTCATTGTGGTTTTGATTTGCATTTCTCTGATGGCCAGTGATGATGAGCATTTTTTCATGTGTTTTTTGGCTGCATAAATGTCTTCTTTTGAGAAGTGTCTGTTCATGTCCTTCGCCCACTTTTTGATGGGGTTGTTTGTTTTTTTTCTTGTAAATTTGTTTGAGTTCATTGTAGATTCTGGATATTAGCCCTTTGTCAGATGAGTAGGTTGCGAAAATTTTCTCCCATTTTGTAGGTTGCCTGTTCACTCTGATGGCAGTTTCTTTTGCTGTGCAGAAGCTCTTTAGTTTAATTAGATCCCATTTGTCAATTTTGTCTTTTGTTGCCATTGCTTTTGGTGTTTTGGACATGAAGTCCTTGCCCATGCCTATGTCCTGAATGGTAAAGCCTAGGTTTTCTTCTAGGGTTTTTATGGTTTTACGTCTAACGTTTAAATCTTTAATCCATCTTGAATTGATTTTTGTATAAGGTGTAAGGAAGGGATCCAGTTTCAGCTTTCTACATATGGCTAGCCAGTTTTCCCAGCACCATTTATTAAATAGGGAATCCTTTCCCCATTGCTTGTTTTTCTCAGGTTTGTCAAAGATCAGATAGTTGTAGATATGCGGCGTTATTTCTGAGGGCTCTGTTCTGTTCCATTGATCTATATCTCTGTTTTGGTACCAGTACCATGCTGTTTTGGTTACTGTAGCCTTGTAGTATAGTTTGAAGTCAGGTAGCGTGATGCCTCCAGCTTTGTTCTTTTGGCTTAGGATTGACTTGGCAATGCGGGCTCTTTTTTGGTTCCATATGAACTTTAAAGTAGTTTTTTCCAATTCTGTGAAGAAAGTCATTGGTAGTTTGATGGGGATGGCATTGAATCTGTAAATTACCTTGGGCAGTATGGCCATTTTCATGATATTGATTCTTCCTACCCATGAGCATGGAATGTTCTTCCATTTGTTTGTATCCTCTTTTATTTCCTTGAGCAGTGGTTTGTAGTTCTCCTTGAAGAGGTCCTTCACATCCCTTGTAAGTTGGATTCCTAGGTATTTTATTCTCTTTGAAGTAATTGTGAATGGGAGTTCACTCATGATTTGGCTCTCTGTTTGTCTGTTATTGGTGTATAAGAATGCTTGTGATTTTTGTACATTGATTTTGTATCCTGAGACTTTGCTGAAGTTGCTTATCAGCTTAAGGAGATTTTGGGCTGAGACAATGGGGTTTTCTAGATATACAGTCATGTCGTCTGCAAACAGGGACAATTTGACTTCCTCTTTTCCTAATTGAATACCCTTTATTTCCTTCTCCTGCCTAATTGCCCTGGACAGAACTTCCAACACTATGTTGAATAGGAGTGGTGAGAGAGGGCATCCCTGTCTTGTGCCAGTTTTCAAAGGGAATGCTTCCAGTTTTTGCCCATTCAGTATGATATTGGCTGTGGGTTTCTTATAGATAGCTCTTATTATTTTGAAATACATCCCATCAATACCTAATTTATTGAGAGTTTTTAGCATGAAGGGTTGTTGAATTTTGTCAAAGGCTTTTTCTGCATCTATTGAGATAATCATGTGGTTTTTGTCTTTGGCTCTGTTTATATGCTGGATTACATTTATTGATTTGCGTATATTGAACCAGTCTTGCATCCCAGGGATGAAGCCCACTTGATCATGGTGGATAAGCTTTTTGATGAGCTGCTGGATTTGTTTTGCCAGTATTTTATTGAGGATTTTTGCATCAATGTTCATCAAGGATATTGGGCTAAAATTCTCTTTTTTGGTTGTGTCTCTGCCCAGCTTTGGTATCAGAATGATGCTGGCCTCATAAAATGAGTTAGGGAGGATTCCGTCTTTTTCTATTGATTGGAATAGTTTCAGAAGGAATGGTACCAGTTCCTCCTTGTACCTCTGGTAGAATTCAGCTGTGAATCCATCTGGTCCTGGACTCTTTTTGGTTGGTAAACTATTGATTATTGCCACAATTTCAGCTCCTGTTATTGGTCTATTCAGAGATTCAACTTCTTCCTGGTTTAGTCTTGGGAGGGTGTATGTGTCAAGGAATTTATCCATTTCTTCTAGATTTTCTAGTTTATTTGTGTAGAGGTGTTTGTAGTATTCTCTGATGGTAGTTTGTATTTCTGTGGGATTGGTGGTGATATCCCCTTTATCATTTTTTATTGCATCTATTTGATTCTTCTCTCTTTTTTTCTTTATTAGTCTTGCTAGTGGTCTATCAATTTTGTTGATCCTTTCAAAAAACCAGCTCCTGGATTCATTGATTTTTGAAGGGTTTTTTGTGTCTCTATTTCCTTCAGATCTGCTCTGATTTTAGTTATTTCTTGCCTTCTGCTAGCTTTTGAATGTGTTTGCTCTTGCTTTTGTAGTTCTTTTAATTGTGATGTTAGTGTGTCAATTTTGGATCTTTCCTGCTTTCTCTTGTGGGCATTTAGTGCTATAAATTTCCCTCTACACACTGCTTTGAATGCGTCCCAGAGATTCTGGTATGTTGTGTCTTTGTTCTCATTGGTTTCAAAGAACATCTTTATTTCTGCCTTCATTTCGTTATGTACCCAGTAGTCATTCAGGAGCAGGTTGTTCAGTTCCCATGTAGTTGAGCGGCTTTGAGTGAGATTCTTAATCCTGAGTTCTAGTTTGATTGCACTGTGGTCTGAGAGATAGTTTGTTATAATTTCTGTTCTTTTACATTTGCTGAGGAGAGCTTTACTTCCAACTATGTGGTCAATTTTGGAATAGGTGTTGTGTGGTGCTGAAAAAAATGTATATTCTGTTGATTTGGGGTGGAGAGTTCTGTAGATGTCTATTAGGTCTGCTTGGTGCAGAGCTGAGTTCAATTCCTGGGTATCCTTGTTGACTTTCTGTCTCGTTGATCTGTCTAATGTTGACAGTGGGGTGTTAAAGTCTCCCATTATTAATGTGTGGGAGTCTAAGTCTCTTTGTAGGTCACTCAGGACTTGCTTTATGAATCTGGGTGCTCCTGTATTGGGTGCATATATATTTAGGATAGTTAGCTCTTCTTGTTGAATTGATCCCTTTACCATTATGTAATGGCCTTGTCTCTTTTGATCTTTGTTGGGTTAAAGTCTGTTTTATCAGAGACTAGGATTGCAACCCCTGCCTTTTTTTGTTTTCCATTTGCTTGGTAGATCTTCCTCCATCCTTTTATTTTGAGCCTATGTGTGTCTCTGCACGTGAGATGGGTTTCCTGAATACAGCACACTGATGGGTCTTGACTCTTTATCCAGTTTGCCAGTCTGTGTCTTTTAATTGGAGAATTTAGTCCATTTACATTTAAAGTTAATATCATTATGTGTGAATTTGATCCTGTCATTATGATGTTAGCTGGTGATTTTGCTTGTTAGTTGATGCAGTTTCTTCCTAGTCTCGATGGTCTTTACATTTTGGCATGATTTTGCAGTGGCTGGTACTGGTTGTTCCTTTCCATGTTTAGCGCTTCCTTCAGGAGCTCTTTTACGGCAGGCCTGGTGGCGACAAAATCTCTCAGCATTTGCTTGTCTGTAAAGTATTTTATTTCTCCTTCACTTATGAAGCTTAGTTTGGCTGGATATGAGATTCTGGGTTGAAAATTCTTTTCTTTAAGAATGTTGAATATTGGCCCCCACTCTCTTCTGGCTTGTAGGGTTTCTGCCAAGAGATCCACTGTTAGTCTGATGGGCTTCCCTTTGAGGGTAACCCGACCTTTCTCTCTGGCTGCCCTTAACATTTTTTCCTTCATTTCAACTTTGGTGAATCTGACAATTATGTGTCTTGGAGTTGCTCTTCTTGAGGAGTATCTTTGTGGCATTCTCTGTATTTCCTGAATCTGAATGTTGGCCTGCCTTGCTAGATTGGGGAAGTTCTCCTGGATAATATCCTGCAGAGTGTTTTCCAACTTGGTTCCATTCTCCCCATCACTTTCAGGTACACCAATCAGACGTAGATTTGGTCTTTTCACATAGTCCCATATTTCTTGGAGGCTTTGCTCATTTCTTTTTATTCTTTTTTCTCTAAACTTCCCTTCTCGCTTCATTTCATTCATTTCATCTTCCATTGCTGATACCCTTTCTTCCAGTTGATCGCATCGTCTCCTGAGGCTTCTGCATTCTTCACGTAGTTCTCAAGCCTTGGTTTTCAGCTCCATCAGCTCCTTTAAGCACTTCTCCGTATTGGTTATTCTAGTTATACATTCTTCTAAATTTTTTTCAAAGTTTTCAACTTCGTTGCCTTTGGTTTGAATGTCCTCCCGTAGCTCAGAGTAATTTGATCGTCTGAAGCCTTCTTCTCTCAGCTCGTCAAAGTCATTCTCCATCCAGCTTTGTTCCGTTGCTGGTGAGGAACTGCGTTCCTTTGGAGGAGGAGAGGTGCTCTGCGTTTTAGAGTTTCCAGTTTTTCTGTTCTGTTTTTTCCCCATCTTTGTGGTTTTATCTGCTTTTGGTCTTTGATGATGGTGATGTACAGATGGGTTTTCGGTGTGGATGTCCTTTCTGTTAGTTTTCCTTCTAACAGACAGGACTCTCAGCTGCAGGTCTGTTGGAATACCCTGCCGTGTGAGGTGTCAGTGTGCCCCTGCTGGGGGGTGCCTCCCAGTTAGGCTGCTCGGGGGTCAGGGGTCAGGGACCCACTTGAGGAGGCAGTCTGCCCGTTCTCAGATCTCCAGCTGTGTGCTGGGAGAACCACTGCTCTCTTCAAAGCTGACAGGGACATTTAAGTCTGCGGAGGTTACTGCTGTCTTTTTGTTTGTCTGTGCCCTGCCCCCAGAGGTGGAGCCTACAGAGGCAGGCAGGCCTCCTTGAGCTGTGGTGGGCTCCACCCAGTTCGAGCTTCCCGGCTGCTTTGTTTACCTAAGGCGCCCCTCCCCCAGCCTCGCTGCAGCCTTGCAGTTTGATCTCAGACTGCTGTGCTAGCAATCAGCGAGATTCCGTGGGCGTAGGACCCTCCGAGCCACGTGTGGGATATAATCTCGTGGTGCGCCGTTTTTTTAAGCCGGTCTGAAAAGCGCAATATTCGGGTGGGAGTGACCCGATTTTCCAGGTGTGTCCGTCACCCCTTTCTTTGACTCGGAAAGGGAACTCCCTGACCCCTTGCGCTTCCCAGGTGAGGCAATGCCTCGCCCTGCTTCGGCTCGCGCACGGTGCGCGCACCCACTGACCTGGGCCCACTCTCTGGCACTCCCTAGTGAGATGAACCCGGTACCTCAGATGGAAATGCAGAAATCACCCGTCTTCTGCGTCGCTCACGCTGGGAGCTGTAGACCGGAGCTGTTCCTATTCGGCCATCTTGGCTCCTCCCCTAAACGTGAATTTCTTACTGGCTTTGTGATCTTTGGAAGGTTATTAAGCTTCAGTTTCATTATCTCTAGAAATTGGTAAATAGTTCTTGCAGGATTGCTCTGAAGATTAAGTGATTAAGTTAGGCAAGAGATGCAATATGAACATGCCTAGAAAAATACCTGCCACAGAGCAGGGCTTCAATCAATCTCAGCTATTTTTTTCTCCAATGCCTACAAGTGGACAAATGATGAAAAAGACTGAACAAATAATGTTAACTGAATTATTATGATAAATTTGATATTTCTTCCCATGAAATCTCACTGTTTTTAATAGAGAATATTCATCGAGTAAGATGCAATAAACATAATATATTATCTTTCAGAATAATTTTATACAAATAAACAAACCATTTAAAAAAAAGAAAAGAAAACCTCTTTCATCAGCTCAATTGTCCTAATTCCTGCTTAGGAAAATCATGTTTCTTTAACTCTTCAGGACTATGTGAATACCATATATTCAACAAGCAAGCTTCAAGTTCTCATGGGTAAGTGGGACAACCAGAAAACAGAAAGTTAAATGTGTACAAAAGTATGCATCCTGGTCGCCCATCTGAGGATAAGGATGTGGTCTCTGTGTCCAAGGTCAAGCCTACAGTGGAAGGCCAAATGTCCCAATTTAAAATTATAGTCCATATTGCACAAGGGAATCTGGATTTTGCTCACTGTTTCCTTGACATTACAACAGTATCTGGCACACAGCAAGTGCTCAATAAGTAATTGTTGGATGAGTGCATAAATGAGTGGACCACAGCAGGTATCATCCAGTACGGTAGTTTTCGAACATGTTTTTAGCTGTGGGCTCTTTGATCAAACAAAATATTCAGCTAGACACCCAATGTGATACAGATGCAAAAGGAACTTATCTTGTCCAGGTAAGACTGATAGGCCTGCACCCCAGGGACCCCTAGATTTTGCAGAGCATAGCTGGAAACCCCCAATCTCATTAAACCCCTCGTTTCAGAGATGGGAACAGAAAGGCCCAGAAATGAACAGGGCTTACCCAATGCTGCATAGTGGGGCCCAAAATTTTACTTTTGCGGTTGGGAGTCCCTATGCCAGTGGGGAAAAGAGCAAATTCTACTAAGTGTTTGCATCACCAGGAGGGTGTGTAGACACCTGCAGGTCATCCAGGTGGCTTCAGTGTAGAGCTGATATTGGTTGTTTATCCTGTTTTTAGAAATGCAACTTGTTCTATGGTGCAATAAGGAGCTTCAAGCTGTGTCACTGAGGACTCTTTAATGGCAAGGCTCTGTATTTTGGCTATAACCTTATGACTTCCCAACTCTCCACCCAGGAAATTGCTTCGCAATTTAGACATCCTAAAATTGTCTCCAAAAGAAAGTGAATATGGATTCTTTGGGGAACAATTGTGTCAGATCAGTGGATGAGAATTTAGGAGCTGACTTTGGGTCTGGATCTGATAACACTAGCATCCTTCCAGATCACAGAGTTTAGAGCATCCAGTCGAGAATACTAATTAGTGCTGAGTGTGGAAGACAGACTCAACAACCTGTGCTTTCTCCCTTGGACTTTCATGTTTGCTCAGGTCATGCCCTGTTTGCTCCTCCATCCTCTCACTCTTCCTCCTTAGATGCAGCAGACGGTCTGCACCACTGAGGGCCTTGTACCCAGCCCCTTCTCCTCCTCCTCCATCCAGTCAGCAGAGGGCTACCAGGCCCATAGGATGTGGCTCAGAAAGACCATCCCTTCTCCCTTTGCAGCCTCTGCCCTCGCCTCCAATTTATTCTCTGGCCCCTTATTTTCCATTATGCTGGAGACAGAGAAAAAGGGAATTAGATTCTCTCACAGATAGAAATTACAAAGTCAAAGAGCTGAGATAATGGGCAACTTAATGCTAGCCACCACAGCATTTCTCAATTGCACAGTCCTGGATAAAGTATGACTTCTTGATGCACATACAACAACAGCAATAACACTGTAAGTCAAGTTGTTTGAAGACGCCCACAAGGTACCTGGGAGAGGTCTACCAAGCTGGCAGATGCTCCAGGCAGTTTGGGGGCTGTTCCTCCAGTCGACCTAAAGAGGGAGCTGTTTCCTTAGAATGCCTGAGCGAGAGGCCCTGCCCGCCAGCCCGGGGGTTTGGGGATCACAGCAGCCACCTGCTTGTGCACCAGGCTGTCACTGAACAAATGCAAGTTGCACTTTTCTCATTTTTTAAAAAATTGTGTCTACTAAACTGACAAGAGTTCTAGTAGATCAAGTTCTGTTACCAATCAGGCTCAATGTCTTTATCTGTAAGTGGGAACAGGGGCACAGGTCCAGCAAATTTCACTGGGTGGTTAAGAAGCCTGGCTGTGCTTGGCATGGATGGGTATCATGTAATAATCAAGCGTGTTTGCAGTAGAGACTAAAAGATCAGTTTCGAACTGATACCTCACCACATGGCCTTGGCCAGGTTTCTAATCTCTCCACCCCTCAGGTTCTGCTTGTAATTTTGGGAAAAGAATAGCACTGAATTTACAGGACTGTTGTAAGGAATAAGTGAAAAATGTGTGCAATGGATTGGATGGGGCCAATACATAATAAGCTCTTAATAAATGGTAGCTTTAAAAAATATAGCTATTGAAGCAAAAATGTTTTCAGACCCTGTCTTATTACGCACAGGTGAGACGCATGCTCTACTTCCTGACTTGGTTCTCCCACACAAGAAAAGTCAAACAATATTCCAGAAGGGAGGAGTTGTGTTTCCAATCCAAATGGAAATATATTGCTTGGGCATGACTCTCCAGGGTGCTTCATTGAAGGGAAGGCGCCCAAGCCATGTGAATGTGAAAAGGAGAAGTTGACACCTCAGTTTACACATCTCAGAGGAATTCACGTGAATGTGTTTTCCCTACAGCAATAATCCTTCCTCCAATCTGTAACCAATATTCATCTACTCATTCAATAGACAGCCATGAAGCAATAACTTAATATGTGCACTAGTATAGTCTGTAGAGATAGAAAGATGAATAGGCCCCAATCCCTGACCTTAAATTAAAGGTTTACAGTCTAGTTGAGGGAGACAGGAAGACAAATGAATAAATAGTCACGATACAGAGCTGGTAAGCACAGGGTGCTGTGAGCATATGTAGAAGGGGCCCCTAACCTGGACTATAAAAAGGGGGTGGTCCAAGCCTTACTAGAAGAGATAATGGGCTGAATTTTAACAGGGAATGTAAATTTGACATTTGAAGTGGAAAGAAAGGATGTTTTAGGCACAAGTTCTTTATGTTTCCCCTCCACAATGCAAGAGAGTTACATTAGATGGTTTCTAAGATGGTTTTCTGGAGAGAGGGGAGTAGGAAGAAGGAGCTTCCCTGCAGTAAATTCTGCTTGTGGAACTCCCATTCCATGTGCACACAGCCATAGGAGAACATAGTATGCTGGGGAGCTGCTAGGTTGTAAGAGCAGGATTTAAAACAAGGGATCAAGCTGGATGGTCACATGGTCATTGGTGTTCAGAAAAATCCATCTGTGTGGAGAAAGGATTGAAGGGGTGGAAGCAAAGAAATAGGTGGGAAGGGCCGGGCACCATGGCTCACACCTGTAATCCCAGCACTTTGGGAGGCTGAGGCGGGTGGATCATGAGGTCAGGAGTTCGAAACCATCCTGGCCAACATGGTGAAACCCCATCTCTACTAAAAATACAAAAATTAGCTGGGTGTGGTGGTGCACGCTTGTAGTCCCAGCTACTTGGGAGGCTGAGGCAGGAGAATCGCTTGACCCCAGGAGGCAGAGGTTGCAGTGAGCCGAGATCGCACCACTGCACTCCAGCCTGGTGACAGAGCGAGACTCCATCTCAGAAAAAAAAAAAAGAAAAAAGAAATGGGTGGGAAGGCAGTTGGTTGGGGAAAATCATGAGGGCGTCAGGGTCAGAGGCAAAGGAGATGCAGAAGCAGGGGGGCGGCTGACTACAAAGGCGTGTAGGAGGTAGAGTTGACAGGACTTGGTGACTTGATTGAGAATGATAGGGAGAAGTCAAGAAGGGCCCCAAGGACCCTAGCTGGGCCCATGGGACCATCTCAGAGCCCTTTCACCTAGCATCTAATGCATATTCCCTTTATGCATATGGAATCTATGATCTTCATTTTTTCCAGAGCAAAACTTACAATCAGCTAGGGGAATCAAGACATGTTATCTTCATGCGTCCTCCATCTTTGTTTCTGGTTTATAGTGGTTCTGCTGTTGTTTCAGAAGGGAGGAAGGACTAGACCCTTGGAGTGACTGCTTGACAACTGAAACCTTCAGAAGGGGAGAGCACCCACCCCTGGAGTGGTGGCAGGCTTTTCCATTCATGACAGATGGGAGCATAAAGCAACAAGATGTTTCTCCACAAACCTTAAAAGTGAACATACCCTTTTGCCCAGAATTTCTACTTTTTTTGGAATTTAGACTACAGAAAAAAATAATTAAAATGTACAAGAATGATCCTAAAGATTTATTTCAGGGATGCTCACTGCAAAGTTGTTTATAATTGTGAAAAGCTGGAAACAAACATGACACACAGAAATAGCACCTGGCCTTAGAGGACCCAAGGCTGGGCCTGACTCCCTAGCTGAGGAGTCTCAATATAGGGTGTGGGACTGGGAAGGAGATGTCCCAAGAATGTAGCGAGGCTCCTAATGTCACGTAGTGACCAACATGTTCTTTTTGAATTGGGGATGGGGCGGGGGGAGATGGTTCAACTGTACACATCAAGAATGGACTCTTTTCCCTTTCTCTTAGCTCCTAAGCATTGCTAAGCTGAGTGGTCGCAGCTGGAATAAGTAAGCTCTGGCTGGAAACTCCCCCGAGGAATCTCTCCTCCCTGCTGTTCTTCCCCACCCCCAGAAAGCTTCGTTTCATGTCTAAAAGCTCAAAGATGTGCTGAGTCATACTGTACAAATAGCAGTGGACTAGGGAATTATAAAATGTCGCTTCCTTTCTTTCTTGGACATTTATTTATTGAGTACCTACTATGTGCCATGCCCTATGCTAAGCCCCAGAGAGAGAATGAAAAATGCAACATAATCCCTACATATGGTAGTTACTTTCTTACCCAATATCAATTCTCCCCTTCTTCCTAACAATCCAAATCCTGATTGTATTTGGAATTTCAATTCATTCAAGTCATCAAATATATCTCCCATTCTCTTTGCCACTAGGGATATCTATCCAGTCCCATTCTGACCAAAGAGAGAGAAGCAAGAGTCACTAAGTGCAGCTTCCAGGAAAGCTCTGTAGAAGGAGCAGGCTTCATTAGTGAATACCTTATTAACTTCCCTTTTTCCAGTCTGGAAGTTGGATATAGAGAAAGAACAGTCATTTTGTGACCACTGGGTGACAAGCATGAAGAAAACAGCCACAAATTAAAGAGAGCTGAGCAGAAATCTACATGGAAACAGGGGCCCTAATGATTAATCATATTATAGAGTTATCACGGCAACCTTGGCTATCTAAAAAAAATTAGTCCCCTAATTTGTCTAAGATATTGATCAACTGGGCTTTTGGTTACTTGCAGCTGAACACAATCCTAACTGCCACTTGACTACCCATGGCCTAGGGGAGTAAACAGATTTCTAAGATATGATGCCTTCCAGGTTGATAAGCAGTTATGTGAACAGAGCACAGAATGGATAGATCTGCTTTGATGGAGGAGAAACAACTGGTCAAAAAGGGTTTCGGAAAGGAAGAGATGCTTGAGTTGGGTCTTGGAGGATGAGTCATTCCCCAGCCACGAAGGAGTAGAAATGGCATCCAGGTTGACAGGACATACACGCAAAGACAAGAGAAGTGAAATAACGTGGCACACTCAATAATGTCGCTGAAATGACTTCATCTGACTGGGAAGAGGATGCTTGTGGGATGAGGTGGGGGATGACATCGAAGAGGGTAGAAGCCAGGTCATAAAAAGACTTGTGGGATCTTGGACAAGTCACAAAGCCAGTTCACCTCCAGTTTCCTCAGCTATAAAGAGAGGGGGTTCACTGAGAGGAGGGGGTAGCTCTGACCAGGGGGCTGCTCTGCAACCATCCCTTGCGGAACACTGGTTGGAGGCTCTGGCTCCTTTGCAAGACCCGGAAGTTTCCACAGGAAGTGCTGTCCTGCCTGGCCCGCCTCCCTTGGTTTCACACTGCATGGTGTAGTCCAAGGACTGCACTGGCATTTCAGTTTGAACACTAAGCGGTGACTCAGAACCAACAGAAGTGTGGACAACTGTTTACTAAGAAGGCAGCCTTTGGTGTGACAAATTAGAGTGGGCTGCTGGATTGTGCAGCACTCATGAGCTAGGCAGCTTGGAAATAGCACATACCATCGCATTGGGCAGTTGATTCATTTCTTGTCCTGTCTTGCCAGGCAGGGCATCACATGCCAACCCAGTCAGACCCACCATCTATATCCAGGCCAGGGGAAGTGTTCTTTTTTTCTTTTTCTTTTTCTGGATGATGCCTTAAGTACTCTGAGATTTGTACCAGCATCCCTTGTTTGTTTTTTAAAATAACTCTATTATCCAGGAATATGACACTTTCTACTATTCATATGTTTAGTTTCCTTAACCTCTTGGAGCCAAAAGATTGCAGTCTATAGAGAGGACCATAAAGTTTTAGAGTCATGAATTAGCTTCTAGATCATCAAGCAATGTCAGCACTTCAATTCGCAGAATATTAAAAACCAACAAATATATATGGATATGCTAGGTATAAGGAAGTGTGATGGGCTAGATACTGTAAGAGAACAGATAACAAGGAGGTGATTCCTGGCCTTAAGCTTAGACTAACCTTTAGAGGCTAGTTTAAGCTTACACTCTAGATTGCGAGGCCAGGAAAGCCACGTGGCAGACAGATCAGGATTTGAACTCTGGCTCTAGGGATGATGACAATGGGTGCAACTTGGACTCATTCTCTTAATCTTTTCCAGTTTCTCTTTACTCATCCACAAAACAGGGATAATAGTACCTGCCTCCCATGGCAGATGTGAGAATTAGAGATCATGTGTGTAACAGCTACAGTGTGCAGTGGAGAGTAGTTAGTTGCTCAGCAAATGATGGTTATTCCTATTATCATTAAGTTAGAAAGCTAAATAATTTGAAGCAATTATAAAAGATACGTTGAATGACAGTCCAAAATACTTGCTGAATTCATGGTTTGAAGTGTCAGGGACTTTCTTACCTATACATCTTTCCTGTGGTTCTCACTAGAGACCTGGGAAAAATAACCCCATTTGTAGATGAGAACACTGAGGATGGAGAGAATTGAAGTGGAAACATTTAATTTGGACATTTGGAAACATTCAGTAAGAGGTGGAGCCAGGATTTGATCCTATGTGCTTTCTGCACTGCAATAGCTTCTTGCCAGGAGACCTTCAGAAGCTTCAATTCAGAAGAGAGAGAATCATGAAGCTGAGGTGGGCTGGGAAGCTTCAGAGGAGGTAACGGCAGTTCATCTGAACCCATCATTTGCTCCACCAATAATTAATACCTACTATTTGCAAAGAATTGTTCTGAGCAAGACTGACAAGATCCCTGTCTTTGTGGGGCTTGTGCAAAGAGGAGGATTTGAAGGGCTAAGTGGAGAGGAAGAAGGGAAAGGATATTTCAGGTGTGGAGTGTGTATCTAGAATCATTTCCTTAAAGGAATCTGGCTCAACCTCAGGCACCTACAAAGCCACCTCCTTTCTGCCTCCAGTATTTCCTTCCTTCGCCTTCCTTCCTTCCTTCCTTCCTTCCTTCCTTCCTTCCTTCCTTCCTTCCTTCACTTTGTCACCCAAGCTAGAGGCCAGTGGGGTGATCTCGGCTCACTGCAACCTCCGCCTCCTGGGTTCAAGTGATTCTCCTGCCTCAGCCTCCCTAGTAGCTGGGATTACAGGCCTGCACCACCATGCCCGGCTAATTTTTGTATTTTTAGTAGAGGCATGATTTTGCCATGTTGGCCAGGGTGATCTCGAACTCCTGACCTCAAGTGATCTGCCCACTGCGGCCTCCCAAAGTGCTGGGATTACAGGCATGAGCCACCACGCCCGGCTAGCCTCCAGTATTTTCTTGTACTACTTCTCATATGCAGTTCCACCACTCCTTGCTTTGCTCGTTCTGATTTCCTGGCTCCCCCATAATATCCTCTTCCCCCTTGGCCACTCAGCCCTGCTCTGCCATGCCCATCTAGGCCATACTGTTCTAAAGACCGCATCTGTGAGAGGCCCTGAGGTAGCATGCTTTGTAAAACCCTTGTAGGAATTACCCCCAGCTGAGCTGCTCTCTATCCACCCATCTCCTTACAGGAGAAGAGCAATTAGATGTCGAAAATGCCAGAAGGATTGATTGACAATGACAGAACCCACATGTTGGAGTGAGAATTATCTAGATTTGTCTGCTGATTCACACACACACACACACACACACACACACACATCATTTGGCAATGTGTATGTATTAGATAAACCTTGATTTCCTCCATGAGAATGGAAGCTCCAAAAGCTGTGATTGTTATCTGTTTTGTTCACCAGAAGAGGATCCTGGCACAAAGTAGGCCCCAAGTATGTGCTGAGTGAATTAATCTTTGCAGGGCATGAGGAAGCCCCTCTTAGCAAGAGAGCTGCTGGGACTGAGATGCACTTTGATAAGCCTGCCACTGGGGTGGAAGGGAGCCTCCTGGGCTGGGTGCCAGCAGGTGCCCCAGTTCCAGAAGGTAGTAGGAAACCACTCTTCAGATAAGAGAAGGAGGATTTGGGTGTCACAGGAAGAAAACATCCAGGAGAGAGGAAGAAAGGAGAAGGTGAGAATTGGGCTGAGGTCTGTTTGGGGAAGAATCACAGGAAAAGAAGGCCTCACTGAAGGCCCTCAGAAAAGGGCTTGGGAGGAGAAGAAGTGTGTTCAACACACTTTACCCGGTTTCAAGTATTGTATGATAAGAACTTCCTCACCCAGCTTCCCTGCAGGACTATCAATAACCAGCCCCCCCACCCCCACCCCCGCCCCGCCCTGCAACACACATAGTATTTCTTAATACTTTAGTGCAGACAGAGTTTGAATTGGTGGAGAGCAGAGAAGAGCTTAGAGAGGAGGGCAGTGACAGCTGACAGCTTGTGGGTTCTGATACAAACTCATAGGTGCTCCTCTGTGGCCTGCCAGTGACCACCAGGCAGTGTTATGAACAGACGTTGCCACGGCCCAGCGTGGCTGTCCTTGCAGACTCTTTCCTGTATCCCACAGTGCTATTCCCGGTGCTGTTGGACTCGCACGGATGTTGTCCTTGTTTTAGGATCCTCCTTCCTATTTGAAGTCATTAGACTCAGTCTCTGCTAATGTGTTTGCTCTTAGGTGCCATGTGCTTATCAGTAGGATTTGAGGCTTAAATGATTTTTCAAATATGTTCCAAAACACACTGGCTGCTAGTCTATTATTTAACCCAGAAATGACTTCTCTGTCTAAGATGAACGCCCCATGGCTTCTTGCTAACTGTACTGCCTGCACCCTGCAATGATTGGAAAGCTAGAGCTTCTCCTTTTGGCAGATGGAGTCACTTCCTGATTGGGGTCCATTTGGAACTGAGATCCTCATCTTATAGCACCATAACTCTTCCTGCTTGAAGCCCTGAAATGTCTGTTTTTGCAGCAAAGTCGCACGAGAGTTTTCTTAACCATTCTAGTCCCAGTAACAAGGACGGCCTTCGGAACCTGCTTCAAACAATACCCGAAGATCCACCAGTGTGCCCTGGGGGCATTTCTGTGTGCCCTGGGACAGAACACCACGTGGTAAATGAATGGACTAGTTCAAGTTATAAACTTAAGTTTGATTCAAAGAGAAGCAAATCTTAAATTAATAGGCAATCTGAACTAGAAGTTCAATTATTCTCATCCCCCCCAATACACACATACATGAGCAGCACTGCTTTCATTCGTTCCTGTGAGCCTGGGGCATCATTGTCTGAGATGCTGTTGTGTACGTTTCCCAGACTGTGAGTCTCCGGATCTAGACTCCAAGCTGGCGGTGCCTGGGGGCCACATGGAGCCTTTTCAGAACCCATGCTCCAGACTCTTCTGCATGATATAATCCTGCAGTAAGGAGAGCAAAACCCCAGGGAAGCCACTCAGCTTTCCCAGTGTGGCTAAGTAAAATTCCATGCTGAAAAAATGGGGTGTCACCCACAGACAGACAACAGATGAGACCTCTGAGTGTATCCTTCCTGTGTTCAAACTTGTAAAAGCTTTTTTTTTCTTCCTTCTGGGAGTTATTTAAATGCATTTATTTTCCAAGTAGGCAGGGTCCAGCTGCCTCTTTTATTAGGCTAGACTATTGCATTGTCAGGGCAAAGGGTGAGCTTTTGCCTTGCAGAGTCTTAGTCATGTGCTGGCAGCTGGTGGAGATGCTTTGCACGCATGGGGAGTCCAGAGCATCAACTCAGGGTGAATTCAGGAAGTGCATTAATCTTCATTCCGGAGCTCCTGGAGTTTCCTGGACTTGCAGCCTCTGCAAAGCCCAAGGTGCACTGTCCATTCCCGTTGGTGGCCTTCAGTTGAAGTTCATCTAACCCCAGTGAGTTGTGTGTGTAAGGGACATTTTCAAAACCCACCTAAGCTCACTTAACTGCTAAGGAAACCTGGCCACTCCTTAGGCTGGTTTCTGAAGGGGGCTCCCTTCTTCTGCCTGAAGATATCAATCAGACCACCCTTTCTCTCCTACTGGAAAACATCTCATAGTTTTGGGTGCCTAGGTCTATTTTTTTTCCTCCCTCCCCTTAATTTAGGCCCCATTTCCCATTTCTGAGAACTTGAAAACCACGGTTCACTGTAACAACGCCAAATCATTACAAGACAACCACAGTCTTGGGTAGCCAGTTCTTCTAAAGTACTCAGGAACTCTTGAATAATGATAATATATTACATAATACTAATATGCATTGAACACATATCATGCATCAGGTATGAATATGTTATTTGATTTATCTCATTTAATTCTCACAAGTCACATAAGTTTAGTTGTTGCCTGATACTAAGAAAAGTTAAGTAGCTTGTTCACAGTCACATGGCTAGTAACTGATGGAGTTGGGGCTCTGACATCTGAATTCTCTGATTTTAGCTCCTAAGCCCTTGCTCCCATTTCTGGGAGATGGGCTGCTTCCACTACAGAATCTCTTTTACAGTTAAGGCAACTCAAGACAAATGACCTGCCTAATAGATGAGGTCAAAACTAGAGCCCAAGGCAGTGGTTCTCAACCATAGTTACTCATTAAAATCAGCTGGAGAGTTAAGAACAAAACAAAAACAATGCTGTGGCTGCATCCTTAACAATTCTGATTTAATTGATCTGGGGAGAAGTCCCATCATTCGTATTTTTAGAAAGCTTCTCAGGGGATTCTAACCTGTAGCCTGGTTTGAGAATCTCTGACACATTACCAACTCCCAGACTAAAGCTTAACCAACCAAAATGCTCCACTTCATCCCATGTTCCAGCCAGTTCAGCTGGGACATGCCCAGAGGCAGGCAGTTAGGTTGCCCTACCATGCCCCATTGAGAGCTGAGAAAGTCTGCCCACCTGTAAAATAGGGAGAATGAGATCTCACAGGACCACTGGTTACATATTGGGATGTACAATGCTTATCTTAACACAGAGTAAGTGCTCAGCAAATGGTAGTCATGGTGAAAACAGTTGTCATTGTTGTAGGGGCAGAAGTTTTCTGTACCTCATTCAGATCTCACAGCCCAAGGGCAGAACTTCATCAGCCATGGGCGCTTGGATCAAGTGCCATTACTGTGATCAAACACCAAGTCATTCAAGTCAGTCCTGGACACACACAAACATGCACATGCACTAGCATCTTCACACCTGTGTATGCATCCAGGAAGTAGCCCCTTCAGCAACATTCTGTGTGAAAAGCCATGATGACAAATGAATGAGGTATATCCTAGGGTTATCAGTGAAAATCATCATAGTTTGCACTGTCAGCCTGAGTGTGCAGAGGTCCACAGCAGGACTGCCCCACACAGGAAGAAGACACAGAGAGGAATCTCTTACTACTTGCTTGCCTAATCATTTCCACTTAACACACAGTGAAAGCAGAACTTCGTGACATGCTTGCCCTGTCTGGGCAAAGGTTCTGCTTTTTTAGGAAGATCTTGGAAAAAGAAAAAAAAAAACAAATAACAAAAAGTCCCCCAAAACTTGGCCATGAGTGGGGAAGAGCTTCTCAATCTTTCATTTATTCCACTAGCATCTGTAGTCAGTTTCTTCATCCTCGTGCCATGTATCCACGTGCCTGGCACTGTGCTGGGGACTGAGACCTGCGTACAAGTTATGTACTTGTGAGACTTATGTGACTTGTGAGAATTAAATGAGATAAATCAAATAACATATTCATACCTGATGCATGATATGTGTTCAATGCATATTAGTATTATGTAATATATTATTATTACTCAAGAGTTCCTGAGTACTTTAGAGATGTCACTGCCCTGGGGCAAAAACAGAGGTCAATAACCTCGGGGATAAAATAGAGGTATACAGGCAACCCAGTACTAGCAGTTAAGACCCTTTTTCTGGGACACATGAAAAGGTTCCCCATTCTGTCCGTCAGCACCCTGTTCCAGGAACCTCACGGTAATGTTGATATTCAGCCAGTATGCACCAGTATAGCCATAATGGTTATCAAGCTAACAAAATGCTTCTAAGTAGGTTGGTAAATTGCCATGCTCTGACCACGCCACATTACTACCCCAAAAATGCCACACCTAAAGGGTTAACCTGTGACGCACAGGGGGTCTCCAGGACAATGCTTTGATACCACTCCAGCTTTCTGATTGGTCAGTGCCTGTGCTAAGGGGGTTGCTAAGTATTCTGAACCTTACTCCTGCCTCTTGGTAAGGGGCAGCTCTAGAGTTCCTCTAGAGGTCTTGGGGCTGTAATTAATTTTCAAGGTAGAGACGGGAGACTGCATACGTACAGCCAGTTCATGGGGTCACTTAGATTGTCTATTTGTTATAGCTTAGGGGAACTGATGGCTATTTTAGGGAGCTAAAATCATTACCTCCACAAACCACTTCTTGGCAATGCTTCCACTTTAAATAGGAAAATTTAAGATGCCTATATTTCCCAGAAGACTCCCTCGTGAAGAAAAAAATACCCCAGTATCTGGAAATACAAACAAATGCATTAAGGTAACACTTGCCATTCAGAGTTACATTGTGTGTGAACTATTTTCCTCATTGGGAAACTTACCAGGAATGCATTCATTGACGAAATACGACACAGCCCCTATAGGTTGCACGTCAGAAAGTAGTTCTGATGATTGCCCCAAAAGGTAGGATGTTGAACCAGGAAGAACCCTGGACAGCTAGCATTGCCTATGGGGGTGCCCAAGGAATGACTATCTGGTGAAGAGCAGGCTCTTCCCCTGCTCTGTCCTGCATCATCCACTCCAACTGTGTCTCCAGGCTTCCTGCTAGATTTGACCAATGGGAGGAACTGGGAGGTGATGGGAGGATGGAAGTAAAGGAACAGCCAGGGTATTTCTCCTCCTTCCTCCCTGCCTCAGGCAGCAGGCCAGGCATCAGTCCATAACTTCTGTGGGACCAGCTCCCACAGGAGATACCAGTGGGCTTCCAGAATCCAGAGAGCGGCCCCTAAACTCCCACCATCCTGCTTCTCCTTTTCCCTTCCAGCCAGGAGTCCTGTGGCTTTCTGCTGTTGTTAATGTTGGGTTGCTTCCCTGGCCCCTGTTGGCTTTTCTGCATCCCCATGAGCTGTGCATCCAGTTCCCTGCATTAAATCCCCTCTGTTTTAAACACTCAGCATGGTTTCCATTTTCCCAGTCAGACACTGACTATCCACTAGATAACTCTGTGCTGTTTAGATGCTCCCCCCTCCCTAGGCCTCAATTTTTTGGTCTGTAAATGAGACTGGAGGAAGTACCTACCAGGCTATATTTCAGCATCATGGTATCAGGGGTGTGGGGACCTGCCTACGCAGAGACATGGAAGTCAACCTCTGAGGAGAAAAATGACCTTCCCACTTCAGGATGCTCCTGTAGGCAAGGGCCTCCTTTTGTTTATCCCAAAGTCGTTTTCATTTTGAACTGCAGCCTCAAATCCTTTTTTTGGGGGGGGGGGATAGGCAGGGTATAGGTAATAAAGAATAGTTTTTAATAATGCTATTTTAAAAGCAATAGATTCCTTGTTTCTTTCTTACCCATTTCATAATTTGGCATTTCCTTATCTTTTCCTTAGCTATGTGCTATAGGTTCAAATGGTTTTCTCTAAATAATCTGGCATTTGGTGATGAAGAATATTTGTGGTTGTATTACCTAGTTATTTTTGCTATTTATTTATTTGTTTTTAGATTTTTGGCCATATAAACCACCATCTTTCGGGGTTGAAAGATTCTCATTGTCTAGTTTTTCTGCAAGCCCCACCTGTGCCCTGGATCATTTTAGCCAGCTTTCTCTGGATTCTCGGAAATCCCTGGACGTCTTCCACGGCTACTGCAGGTGAATACTCGAGTGATGTGCATGGTCATGCGGCTTAAGTAAAGAGCTGTTTTGTTGGTTTCCTATTTTTCTTCTCCAATCACTATTTTGTACACAGCCCCTTATCTCCCCACCTGATCTCATTTTCCAGGCAGAGGTTCCACAGGGCTATAATCTGGCATGGAAGAGTCCCTATGGTCCTCGCTGGGCCCCTCTTGTACAATCCTGGTGGCAAGGCCCATGGGCTTCCTCAGCTGCCTCCTGAGCTTATGGGGAGACAAGACCTAAGCAACTAGAGAGCTGGAAACACGTGTTGTTCATAGCTAGATCCCTATCAGGAGCGATTCAGCAGGCAGTGATGGATCAGCTTCCTAGAACTGGACTCTGAGAGAAAGAACAGAGATGGCAGCAAATGTGGCCTCATAGAAGCCCCACAGCAGTGGAACAGGGGCAGATTTTAGAGTTAGATGTTGTTCCAACCACTGGTTCCACTGTATGCTCACTGTGCAAGCTCCTGTCATAATACTGATCGACAATATTGATTAAGCTCCAACTATGTGATATGTACTATGCAAAGTTTTCCTGGATGCATTTTCTTATTTAATTCATAAAGCCACATGGATTTACCAATGAGGAAACAGGCTGAGAGCAGTTAAGCAACTTGACCAATACTATGTAACTAGAAAGTGGTCTGCTTTTACAGTCTATGCTACTTTGAGAGCTAACTAAATTTTCCAGTCGTCAGTGACCTTGTCTTTCATATCACAATATTTGTGCCTATCTTATAGTATTATTTCTCCCTTCCCCCCTCTCTCCTTTCCATTTAACATTTGCTGAGCTTCCATTTTATCTATGCACCCAGTTACATCTGGGTAACAATAGGATTCATTAGTCAATGTTATATATATATATAATGTTATAATGACTATATATATAGTCAATGTTATATATATATACACACACACACATATATATTTTCAAATAATTCAATAAGTATGCAAAATTTACTTATGGAATGGAAGGTATTTTAGCAATCTGTCTTAGGTGGTACATGAGCCTGGATTCAAATGAGTCCTCAAAATGCACATAAAGAATTCATAACTGGCCAGGCATAGTGGCTCACGCCTATAATCCCAGCACTTTGGGTGGCCAAGCAGGAAAATCACTTGAGGTCAGGAGTTTGAGACCAGCCTGGTCAACATAGCAAAACTTTGTCTCTACAAAATAAATACAAATATTAGCCAGGTTGGTGACACATGCCTGTAGTCCCAAGTACTAGAGAAGTTAAGGCAGGAAAAATCACTTGAACCCAGGAGTTCGAGGCTGCAGTGAGCCATGATCACACCACTGCACTCCAGGCTGGTCAACACAGTAAGACAAGGCTCTCTAAAAAGAAACATAAAAATAAAATAAAATAAATAAAAAATAATTTATAACACTGTAAAACCATGGAGGCATATTGCCCCCATTTGCCCATGTGGAGCATGGAAGCAGCCAGCCACAGAAAAGGGTCCCAGCATGAGCCGAGAGCAACTCTCAGGGCACAAGAGGAGCCACATCTCTTCTGTCTTTTTCTACCCAAAGCTCTGATGGAGAACTATCTCAGAGCAGGCCCCAAGGCAGTGGGCTGGCACCTGGAAGTTATTTGGAGGCGGGGAGCCAGGCAAGATAGCAAGACAGCAGCAGTCCCATTCCATTTGAGAATTTAATACTCAAGGTTCCAACAACTCAGGAGCATGCTGAAGGATGTTTGAGCAAGCGTGGGGTGGGAAGATGCAGAGTGCAGGTAGCCGTATTTGCAAAGCCACATATTAGACTCACTTTCTCTTGAAGACAGGACTATCTCAGCATGAATGAGGTCTTCTCAGCTCCTGGTTGCCTATGAAGAGGAGCCCTGTAGAGATGTCAAGCCAAACTTAGCTTCTTTACGGGGAAAAAGCCATTGACGGTAAAAATGGGGGTACCTGAATGAGAGAACTTGAAACAGCAGTTTACATGGTGTGAATGGATACCTGGGCACTGGAAATGAGTCCGATAGTGACAGGGATGAAAGCAAGGGACCAGTACAAACATTCCTGAACTCGGCGCCCTGGGTTTCGCTGCCTTTCCAGTGCTCTTCCCACTGCTCTGAGGGAGAATGAGGGAATACCCGGGGGCTTTCAGGATGGCTGTGTCCCTGCTGGAGATTGTACATCTGGATCTACGGTCACCTTCCTCCAGAGCCCCAGGTCAGAGGAAAGCTTATTAAATATTAACAGTTCTTCTCCCCTGATCTCTGGAGGTACAGGGCCTCAAAGAAAAAGAACAATCACAGCTTTAGAAACACAACCAATTATATACTAATCTGTGGTCATTTTACATTCAATTTACAGTGTACGCTATTACCGTTGGCTTCCTTGTGCATTGTGTTGACATTATCTGTGACTTTGTTTGCTTTACACACAGCTCACAGCAGACAGGAATTGGAGGGAGAAGCCTTTTTAAAAAAATAAAATAAAACTTTAATGGGCCTCCAGAGCCAGTGGAAGCCAGGGAAAGACAGCATTTCAGGCATGCCATAATAATGTTTAGACTACTATTTTCTACCAGTCTGCAAAGTAAAGCTATCTTTCCCCAAGAGAGAATGGGGAGCCATGGAGAGTGGAGAGGAGACAAACTGAGAGAGAACAGAACAGAGAGAAAATGCAGAGAAGCGTTATTTAGGGAAATAGCCCTAGAAGAGCAAATGTGCTTGTGTTCAAATGAATGCCACCAAATGCCCCCTTCTCTAGGGAGACTTCCTGGATTCTCTGGGGTCACTGATCCCTTCTTTAAAGACCTATACCCCCCTCTATATGTCTGCAGTGTCTATTGCATTAAAATTTATCAGTTTCAACGTCTGTTTTTGCCTTTATATTCTGAATTTCCTAAGAATAGAAAAATGTATCTTCCCTATGTTAGTATTGCCAGTGCCTACCACTATTCCTGATACAAAGTAGGGCTTGTGCATTGATTGATGAGTGTGCTATTATTGTATGTAGAACCCTCTGTGAGTGAATAACCCTGAGCCAGTTCTGTAACCTGTTCATGTGCAGCGAGATGGGACAGCTGTCCTAGGGAAGTGAACAATCTCACCCAGTTTGACTTTTATTTTCTCTGAAGTTCTTATCTTTGTGATTTTAACTCCTATATTAACATATGTTAAAACTGTCCTACATCAGATTTACATTTTAAGGATCAGCGAAAAGGTATTAGCAAGTGTGCTCAAAGCATGGGGATTGTTTGCATCCTAATACTGAGTGAAGCACAGAAGCAGACCACCACGTTGCATCTGGAGGAGCATCATGTGTGCACACTCACACCTGCTAAAAACTCCCAAAATGAAAATGGTTGATGAGTTAGGATGGTGAGATTGCAATTGTAGTTTCTTTTCGCAGAAAAATTGCCTTTTTATGCTGTGTTTATTTAAAGATAAATGAATAAATATACAAACAAATATGAAATAGATACATTGGGAGGGAGGGGAAAAAAAACTGTGCTTCCATGTCCAAATTTGTTACCAAAAGAGCAAGTGGTGCTTTTTTATAGTTGCACAGAAAAGAACAGATTCTTTAGAACAGCACAGCACCAGGGTATGAGAATACTGAAGAGGAAAAGTATGAAATCTGTGCTATCCCTCCCTTTGGAGTTGTAAACTGGAGTTTGTTCTTGCCCTTTTAGCAAGTCGACTGTACCCTGGCCAACTCAGTATCAGGGAAAGGGCAAGAATTTTTTTAAATCCATTTCTGGTTGATGACATGCCCCTTAGTCACAGTCACCCCATCCCCCTCTCTCTCTTTCTCTCTCTCTCCCCCTCCCCCAACCCAGAAACAGCAAAATATGCTGTGTCCTGCATGGCCCCTGGGAACCTAGGCAGGGCAACAGTTTCATATAGGTTAGCCTGGTTCAGGGTGTGAATCTCGTTGAAGATCAAATGAACTCCATGAAACTCCTGTGGTTGCTAAGAGACATGATATCTTTAAATGTCAATTACCATTCCCCTCAAAATAGCTCAAAAATCATCCAGTGTTTGAGCTTTAAAAGTCCCATGATATGCCAGATTTAAAAGACATGGACTAAAATCCTGTCTTCATGATATGCTGGTTTTAAAAAGACATGAATTAAAATCCTGACTCGATCATTTTCCAGATGGGTGACCTTCGCTAAATTACCTCTCTCTGAGCCTCATTCTTCCTTCTCTGTTAAAAGGGAGTGGTGATAGGGAGCAATTTTTAAACTGCAAAACACTCTAACTGTATGAGTTTGAACTACTTAATTCACATCTGATATGAGAACATATGTGAGAGAGATTGAAAAAAGACATCAAAATATGAATTATTATCATAGGGTTCCCACCTCCTTTGCATGTATATTAAATTTACTATGTGTGAGGCAGATACTGAAATCTATGGGAGGTGAACAAGAGGTGATCTGACATCTTAGGATAATACTTAGGTTTTAAAAAGAAATTTGGGAATTATTTCTCAGTAATTCTTCACTTTACAAAATAATTAACCATGGTTTATTATTATTGTGTATCATTACACTTAATATTATTAAAGGCCCAGCTATCCCAGTTTGTTTTAAATGGGATTTAATTCACAAAACATTGTTTTGAGTCTAATTTGTAAAGGCACAGTTATTGTAGCAACCAGGTAGTTAAGTTTTCCAGTGTACACTGGTGAACAAGGCTTTGAAGTCCACATGAGAGAAAATTGCAATGAATCTCTCTATGGCCTGTACATGGGTGGCTCTACAGTGTAAACGCTGACACTGACAGTGGGGCCCAATCGTGTGCATGTAACTCTATGCGCTGGGCAAATGGATGAATCATTTCATTTGATCCTTTCCTCACTGCGCTTTCCCTGGATTGGTCCTCTAGGCTGTGTCTCTCACATATGCATTAGGGACCCTCTGAGGGCCTCCTGGCCTCTGCTCCTGGGGCCTCTGTCTTGGTTCCAGTGGGGTGCAGTAATGACACACTCTTTTGAATTCATACTTGAGTGAATCCTTGTAGTATTCCTCCTGCTCTTCCTGTCTGTGCTGTCCTTACTTCAAATAACTAAACAGCAGCTGCTTGGACTTTGGGATTAGACAACCACAGCTCAGATCCTGTCAGTGACTAATTATTCATCCAGGGATGCTGGACAAGGTTACTTCAACTCTCTGAGGCTTGATTGTCCTTATCATTAAGGGGGTATAATAGTATCTATTACATAATTTTTTATATTAAAAAGTTAGACCATTTAACATGGTGCCTAAGAGGTAGCAAGTTCTTGGTAAGTTATAAGCACTATTGCTTCTGCTGCTGCTGCTATTATTATTATTACTATGTACGGGATCAGCTTAAAAGAACCATGGATTAAGTAAATACCAGTCTGGTCCTGGTGCATGACTGTACTATAGGGCTTCGTGGCTAGAGGTTTTACATATGTCCACATACACATATATACAATGCTTTCAAGGGCACACGGAAATCATCTATACTTACATAGCAAACCTAAAGCTGGCCGGGCGCAGTGGCTCATGCCTGTAATACCAGCACTTTGGGAGGCCGAGGTGGGTGGATCACCTGCAGTCAGGAGTTCAAGACCAGCCTGACCAATATGGTGAAAACCCTTCTGTACTAAAATTACAAAAATTAGCCAGGCATGGTGGCGCACACCTGCAATCCCAGCTACTCAGGAGGCTGAGGCAGGAGAACCACTTGAACCCAGGAGGCAGAGGTTGCAGTGAGCCGAGATCGCGCCACTGCACTACTCCTGGGCAACAGAGCGAGACTCTGTTAAAAAAACAAAAAACATTCTAACTGGTGTGAGATGGTATCTCATTGTGGTTTTGATTTGCATTTCTCTGATGGCCAGTGATGGTGAGCATTTTTTCATGTGTTTTTTGGCTGCATAAATGTCTTCTTTTGAGAAGTGTCTGCTCATGTCCTTCGCCCACTTTTTGATGGGGTTGTTTGTTTTTTTCCTGTAAATTTGTTTGAGTTCATTGTAGATTCTGGATATTAGCCCTTTGTCAGATGAGTAGGTTGCGAAAATTTTCTCCCATTTTGTAGGTTGCCTGTTCACTCTGATGGTAGTTTCTTTTGCTGTGCAGAAGCTCTTTAGTTTAATTAGATCTTATTTGTCAATTTTGGCTTTTGTTGCCATTGCTTTTGGTGTTTTAGACATGAAGTCCTTGCCCATGCCTATGTCCTGAATCGTAATGCCTAGGTTTTCTTTTGGGTTTTTATGGTTTTAGGTCTAACATGTAAGTCTTTAATCCATCTTGAATTAATTTTTGTATAAGGTGTCAGGAAGGGATCCAGTTTCAGCTTTCTACATATGGCTAGCCAGTTTTCCCAGCACCATTTATTAAATAGGGAATCTTTTCCCCATTGCTTGTTTTTCTCAGGTTTGTCAAAGATCAGATAGTTGTAGATATGCAGCGTTATTTCTGAGGGCTCTGTTCTGTTCCATTGATCTATATCTCTGTTTTGGTACCAGTACCATGCTCTTTTGGTTACCGTAGCCTTGTAGTATAGTTTGAAGTCAGGTAGTGTGATGCCTCCAGCTTTGTTCTTTTGGCTTAGGATTGACTTGGCGTTGTGGGCTCTTTTCTGGTTCCATATGAACTTTAAAGTAGTTTTTTCCAATTCTGTGAAGAAAGTCATTGGTAGCTTGATGGGGATGGCATTGAATCTATAAATTACCTTGGGCAGTATGGCCATTTTCACGATATTGATTCTTCCTACCCATGAGTATGGAATGTTCTTCCATTTCTTTGTATCCTCTTTTATTTCATTGAGCAGTGGTTTGTAGTTCTCCTTGAAGAGGTCCTTCACATCCCTTGTAAGCTGGATTCCTAGGTATTTTATTCTCTTTGAAGCAATTGTGAATGGGAGTTCACTCATGATTTGGCTGTTTGTCTGTTATTGGTGTATAAGAATGCTTGTGATTTTTGTACATTGATTTTGTATCCTGAGAAAATGTGGCACATATACACCATGGAATATTATGCAGCCATAAAAAATGATGAGTTTATATCCTTTGTAGGGACATGGATGAAATTGGAAATCATCATTCTCAGTAAACTATCGCAAGGACAAAAAACCAAACACTGCATGTTCTCACTCATAGGTGGGAATTGAACAATGAGAACACATGGACACAGGAAGAGGAACATCACACTCTGGGGACTGTTGTGGGGTCGGGGGAGGGGGGAGGGATAGCATTAGGAGATATACCTAATGCTAAATGACAAGTTAATGGGTGCAACACACCAGCATTGCACATGTATACATATGTAACTAACCTGCACATTGTTCACAGGTACCCTAAAACTTAAAGTATTAAAAAAAAAAATCTACCAAAACAAGAAAAAATAAAATAAAATAAAATAAAAAAACAAAAAACCCTAAAGCTGTGCAATTAAATATTAATTTTTTTGACTTTGGAATGTCCTTTGTAATTTTTTTGTTTGTGGTAAATTTACCTTCAAACTTCACTTGGATTAATATGAAAGCAAAATGAGATGTGTATTTCCTAAATATGTATCAACAAAGCAAGAGAAAGAAAGTGGCTCCCAAGTAATTGAGAGACAAAGTGAAAAATGAAGTTGCATGTAATTTACATGCTTAGACTCAGTCCATATACGGATAATCAAAGGCAGCGAGGAGGAGAAGGAATATTGAGGAACCGCTAGTAATGCTTAAAAAAAAAACAAACAGGCCGGGCGCGGTGGCTCACGCCTGTAATCCCAGCACTTTGGGAGGCTGAGGCGGACGGATCACGAGGTCAGGAGATCGAGACCATCCTGGCTAACACAGTGAAACCCCGTCTCTACTAAAAAACACAAAAAATTAGCCGGGCGTGGTGGCGGGCGCCTGTAGTCCCAGCTACGCGGGAGGCTGAGGCAGGAGAATGGCGTGAACTCGGGAGGCGGAGCTTGCAGTGAGCCGAGATCGCGCCACTGCACTCCAGCCTGGGCGACAGAGCGAGACTCCGTCTCAAAAAAAAAAAAAAAAAAAAAGAATTTGAGTGAGAGATCAGGAGTTTTCCTGTGGTTGTAGAGAGAACCAAGAATGTTTGCCTGGAGAAGAGAAGACTTGGAAAGCCATGGTATCATTCTTCTAAAGTTTGAAGAGCCCTTGTGTAGAAGAGGAAGTTGACTCTCTTTTTTTCTCAAGGGATAAACAGGACCAATACATGAAAGCGAGAGAGAGAACAAGTTGGGCTCAACAGGAGGAAGGTCTTCTTAATTACTTGAGTGGCTCCCAAAATGGAATGGACTGACTGCTGGGTCCCTAGTTCTTGAAGGGTTCCAGCAGGAGCTGGGAGCCCATGTAAATACAATGGTATTGGGGGCAGGGAGAAATTGTTTGCAGTGCCTCTCTGATTCTCTTTAAGATTTAAACATTTTTTTACCAAGCTATAGAATTTCTATCCTTATTTTCCCTGAACATTAAAATAGACATAATGTCATTTACCACTCCCATCACATGGACTACTCCTTATTAAAATATTAAAGAAATGAAATTTGCACCTATGCTATATAGATAGATGGATAGATAGATAGAACCTTTGAATATTGAAGTTAAAGAAATATGGAGCAAACCTATTTGTTCTCAACTTTCTGAAATAACTTTAACATCAACTATGTAGGAGAAAAATCTCTAAATATATCTTTCAACTCTTTACCTTTTTTTTAAAATAATATGGACCCTCTCAAAGACATGATAGAAGTACTCAGTGTGAGTTATATGGGTCAAATCCTTCAGAAATCCTGATTTATAATAATGCATTATTAAAACTGATACTATCAAAACTTCTATTTTGAGGATCTGCATGTCATCTATGACCCTAACAGCCTCCTAAGAGATAGATATTCTTAGTATTCCCATTTTACAGAAGAGAAAATTGAGGTTCAAAGGGGTCAGGAAACTTGTTCAAGGCCACCCAGCTAAATGTAGAGCTGTCTGACTCCCCAGCCCCTGCTCTTTCCACTGTGTCATACTCTTGGCCACTTCCTGTCTTGCTTGAACAAACATAGTTCAGGCAAAACGTACAAGCAACGATGACGTGCCACTGTTACACCTCCCAATTAAAACCTATAATTTCCGAGTCTGAACTGGAAATCCTTTGGCTCTGTGCTTTTGTCTGGCCTGCTCAGGAAAATGTTTATTTTGAGATGTGCACCTCTCAGAGCGGTTGGATATTTTCGGTGGCCCATTCACACATGGGCCACATTGAACTGAAGGTATAGAGCAGTGGCTTCACCCCACAACTGCAACAGCCCCGGCCCTGCCCTGCTCCCGACTTGGGGTCTGTTTCAGTGAGGGTGTTAAGGCTATTAGTAGGTCCATGGAGACTATAAATAGAGCCCTGGGCTTCAGCCAGCTCAGTGTGTTTATGTTTTTGGGTTGCGCTGCAACTGTTGTTGGTAATTATAGACGCGTGGGTGTGCATGGGTGCTGATGAACAGTTCCTCCTCCTGGTTTCCTCTTTGCACAAGACCAACACTGGGGGTGTCTGAACTCACAATCCCATCATAAGGTCCCGTGTGTCCAGTCACTGCTGTATTTCCTGGCCAAACTGAAATGACCAGGGGGGCTGAAAGATGTCAAGGTATTCCATGTCATCATTAGGGTCACCACCTGTGTCGTCAACGCTTTCTTTAAAAGAAATAAAGTGACATCATGTTTCATAGTCTTTGCAGACAAATGAGAAAAGGATTTATGGGTCTAATTGAAATGATGATTCCTAAGGGAACCTAGTGGAATGAGGAGTACATCGAGTCCAGTAAATTGCCGTGATCTGTAATGTTAGCTCTGAAAGGGCTACATTCTCCTTTAGATGTCCCAAAGGTATGTGCAATCTTTCACCAGTGAAGAGGGTGGGGTCACCTCTTCCTGCTTTTCTTTTGAGTCTCTGGTGATCCAAGTGAAGGTGGTGGTCACAGCCTGAGGCTGCTCCCTGAGCTGACCATCGGCTACCAGAACAGTCAAGTATGTCCAATTCTAACCCATCTATTGAACTTGGGCTGTGCCAAAGAGACACCAGTAGAGTAGAAGTAGCTGATGGAAATCAGGAAAAAAATGCTGCCATCTTTTTTTTTTGAGACGGAGTCTCGCTCTGTCACCCAGGCTGGAGTGCAGTGGTGCGATCTCCGCTCACTGCAAGCTCCACCTCCTGGGTTCACGCCATTCTCCTGCCTTAGCTTTCCGAGTAGCTGGGACTACAGGCATCCGCCAGCACGTCTGGCTAATTTTTTTTTGTATTTTTAGTAGAGACGGGGTTTCACCGCATTAGCCAGGATGGTCTTGATCTCCTGACCTTGTGATCCGCCTGCCTCGGCCTCCCAAAGTGCTGGGATTATAGACGTGAGCCACTGCACCCCGCCAAATGCTGTCATCTTAAAGGTACACACTTGGGAGGACTTTCTTCTCCACTACCTAACCTTACCCTATGCCTTTGGGTGATGGTGGCAGAAAGTCAGCTGGTGGGAAAGAGAAAGTGGGAAGATTTAGGGGGTTGGTCCAATTCTATTTTACATGCCCCATCTTGTCCTACTATTGTCTTCACTTATTTAGTTCATCTGCCCTGATGACAGGCTAAGTAGGTTCAGACTGTTTAGCGGGCTGGAATAACACAGTACCTGGAGTCAAGAGAAAAATACCCAAGTGGTGGCCACCTAGGAAGTTTGACCAAAAAAAAATTTGGTGCCATTCCTCTTAACCCCAAATATGACCCCCTACGAACTGGCCCATTCAAAAGGATCAAGGAGTGGCAGATAATTCTTTACGTCCACAAGGCTGAGCACATGGTAGGTGTTCCTTAAATATTTGCTAAACTGATCTATTTGGAGTCCTTGATTTTCATGTGTTAACTCTCTTACAGCCCACACTTTCAATACTACAGATACTCCTGCCCCTAAATTATTTCATGCATACTGAGTTCAAGAGTTCATTCATTAGCTGACCGAAGAACACTGGGTGCTTTCCCATAAAGAGCTGCACAAAACTGTTCAGTTTAACAGCAGTACCATGTTGGTAATGGGAGATTCATGTAATTGTCTGAATATGTAATTGCATTTAACAAAAATGACTGGGAAACAGGGAAAGAAAGTGCTGGTATTAGTGAAAATAAGCAGAGAGGTCTCATCAATTTAATAAAATTAAGACAAAAATAGAAATCATCAAGTGTGCTATAAGTGGCAAGTCTTTAGCCTCAATTGGATGCTCAATGGAGGATGGTTGATTGTGTGTTCAATTATGAAGACAAAGAACAAATTAAAGAGCATGGTGAAATTCTGGAACTGTATTGTCAAATATAGTATCCAAAAGGCAAGCCGTAGTCAGCATTTCTATAACTATTTTTTAAATCTCTGGGAATCCTCCTACCCCTTAACTGAATAGGATCTGAGTCTTATTGCTTGATCTCCATACATTTGATTGTCATATGTTTTTAAGAATACATTATATATCAGAACAATATTCAAGATTCTTAAAGTCCTCTCCGTTTCCAAAAAAAAAAAAAATTGGGGGGAAGTAACACTTTAAGAGGAAGTAACAGCCAACTGAGAACAAAAGTCAAAGATTGTATCTTGGCTATAGCTTGTTACTTAACAATTAAAAGCACAGGTATAAAATTCAGACACAGCTAGATATGAATCCTGACTTTGCCATCACCTAGCAATGTATCTTGAACAAGTTACTTAATCTTTCAAACCTCAGTTTCTTCAGCTGTAAAATGGGGATAATAGTTGTCACCTACCCCATAGGGTGGCTGCAAAATGCAAGTAAGTGAATATATTCAGTATGCTTAGTGCTGTGCCTGGTACTTACTCTGGGCTTAAAATATAGAAGCCATTTTCTACGAAGGAAGAAGGATGCTGGAAGGAGAGATGGGAGGGACTGAACGTGGCCCCTGACAAGGGGCAAAGATAGATCCTGAACTCTATTAAAAACTCAATGAGGAAACACAAGTTCTATTACTACAGCTACTCCCTATCTACCCACTAGGTCATTCTGGCTTCTGCTGGTGTGAGTGGGAGTATGCTATTTATTCACCTAATGACTCCTTCCAAGTTAGAGAAGTTGGAAACCCTGACAACTGTTCCAACCATTAATTCTCTCATTTCACCACCTCTGCACACAGGAAGGTGTGTCTCCTGTATTACTGTCACATCTGCATTTTGACTTTTCAATCGTCTGAGGCTTCCAGCTCTTTGGAATCAGTGATTACAGCTTTGTGATTATACAATTAGAAGAGGCTAGGTTGAGGATACGCTGTTCAAAACAATAACGTGGCTGCCTCACATAGCGTGGTGGACACCTGGCACCACCACCTCCCAGGACACATGCTCACCACCCTGGGTCTCTGTGCTTGTTTCCCCTGACATGGCCAAGACTCTACCCCCATTTCCATTTTGACAGCTTTCTTGTCTAAGTTCTTCTTTAAAGGTTTATTAGGGTATCATGACATTGTTGATTGCTGTTTAGCATTGATTATTAGTATTAGCCCTGCTTATTGAAAAACTTTGAGAGAGTCTTATATTTCTAAGATTTCATCTAGACCTCAAATGCCCTTACGGTGTAAGCCCAGCTACAGCAGAGGTAGAATCTGAGCAGGGAGGGGAGAGTGGCTGCAAAATCTTGGAGGAAAATGAAAGGACAGAATACAATAAAAGAATACTCAAGACTGTAATGCCAAAGCCCTCAGCCCAGGGCCTGCAACACAGTGAGAAGTTCTCAGTAGTCAAAATCCACCTTTCTTGTCCTATGACACTACCCTGCCTTGTTTGGTTGTGAAATAACTTTCAGACAAAATCAGTAGTTCTAAATATTTTGGTGAAGCTCTTTCCTCCTTCTCCTGGGCAAGCCTTCCGCGTGCATTGCCTCCACTCACTCACCTCCCATTTCCACCTATGCTAATTTCACCTCCACACCCAGGGCCACACTGTGGCTTCACTGCATCAAGATCACCAAGTGCTCTATCCAGTGCATGCTTTTAGTCTTCGTCTCACTGGCCTCCCTGAAGCGTGTGACACTGTGGACCAGTCTTATCCTCTTGAAACCCTCTCTCCTGCCTTCCTTGACACAAATTTCTCCTCTTCTCCTTGGCAGTTGCCCTTTCTGGCTCTTCCATCTTTGCCCACAACTTTGAGTTGACGAATTGAGGGACTGTCCTTGACCTTCTGCCCTTCCCACAGGACAGGGCCTCCCCTGCCATGCTTTCAACAGCCACCTGCTCACCAATGGCTCTCATGTTTTTCTCCTCATCCCTGACCTATCTTTTGTGCGTCAAACCCACATAAGCAACTGCACATTGGGCCTCTCCACTTCGGTGTCCCACAAGCATCTCAAATTCAACATGCACAACACAGAATTAGTTGTCTTACACCCCTTTCGTTCCATGTCTTCTATAGTCACTCAAACCAGAATCCTGGGTGGCATCTTACATGTCTCGTTTTCCTTTAACTCTCAACCCTCTCCCTCTACTACCCAATCACCAAATCTTGGTAATTCTCTCCTTCTCTAATCCTTCCACTCTTCCACTCCCTTATTTGCAAACTTCACATCTTTCTTGAATTATTTTAACAGCCTCCCAACTACTTTTCTTGCCTTCTGTCTCAACCAGGCTTATTCTCCCCACAGATACTCAAGCGACCTTTTTAAAATGAAAGTCTAATAAGCCTCTGCCTTACTTAAAGTCTAGCCAGTAGCTTCCCATTGCCTATGTGGTAGAATAAAAACCCCATTGTAGGGCCTGCAGGGGGCTCTGTGATCTGCCTCCTATATTTCATCTCTGCTCTTCCCCCTTCCTTCTCTCCAACTTATACTCTGGCCATCAGAGTTCTAGAAGTTCCCCCAGAGCATCATGCTTTTCAATGTATTTGCAAAGGCAAAAAAAAAAAAATACACTTGCGTTTCATTCCCACCTAGACAGCGCCTACTTCTTCATGAAGGCCTAGTCCAAGCATTCTCTCTTTAGTCTTCTATAACTTTCCCCATCCCCCCAACTCCTCTCCCCTCCTTAGAGAACTGCCCACTTTCTCCGATCTGCCACAGTGTATATATCTTCGGAAGGCATCTACCACACTTATTTACATGTCTGTCTCTCTGCTAGACTGAAAACTCCTTCAGGGTGGGGATGATCTCTTAATAGTCTTTACTCTCACCCCTGTGCACAGATCCTGCCATAAAACAGTTAGAGAACATAGCACCCCACTCTCCATCAAATCAACCAGAACTGAAAGCTCAGGAAGCTGCGTTTGACGGCTTCACTTTTAGTTTCAGTTGCTCAGTCTGGGCAGCTCAGAGCAGCTTCCTGAGCCTCCACCAGTTCAGAAAGCATCCAATCTGCAGTGAAGTGTGCACTGTCATTTGTTGAGCAGGAGCTCACAGTGATCCTGCTGATAGGGAGGCCTTTGCCGCCTTTCGCCCAAACCCCATGCCCTCTGGACTATGCATCTTAAAGGTCATGGTCATGGGCGGTCCTTATCAATCAAAGCATCAGGCGGAGAAAAAAACCCCATTCTGGGATATGGTGAGACATGTCGGTTTCAAAACATTGCAGATTGTTAAATGAGTAATGTTAATGTGATCTCAGAATAGTAAATACAACCCCACAAGGAAAAGATATTAGCTGCATTATCTGGAAGGAAAACAAGAAAGGAAAGCAACATTTGGCTGCAAAAACTATGAAAGAGATGTCTGTATGGTGATTCAAGTTCTACTAGGGCAGGTAAATTGCATTTTTCTGATTGTCTGCCCACTCTCCTCCCCCCACCCCATGTGGGGACATGCACTCCCTCATTAAATCTCTTCTCTGGGGTAGGGTATGGGACTTGGGGGAAGTGAAGGGAAGCGGGGAGCATACACATAGAGGAAGAAAACAAAGGCCTTCATTTTCTAAAAATATCACTCACTATGATTGAGAAAGAGTTTCTCAAGAAATGCGAATGTCCTGCACAGGAAGTAACACTTCATCACACGGCTAATAATCAGCCACGTGCTTGTCAGGGTTAGGTTTTTCCCTTCTGTGGTGAAAAGGTGGCTCCAGGCAAGCCTGGATATCTTTCCCGCCAGCCTGATAGTTATTTAAACACATTCAGCTCTTATCTTCCAAAATGTGTGAGTGTGCTACTCCCATTACATCAAATTCATGTGGAAGACTCTCAGTGGCGGGGGATGGGGGAGTCTGCAATTTTAAAGGGTTTATGTGGGGCCAGACTACCGTTCCCCCACCCCAAATTGTCTTTTCCACACTGAAGCAGCTTGCAGGGGCCTGAATATTTATCCAGTTAAACAAAATGTACTTTCCTTCCACCCTCTAGCTCAGCAGATTTTGCCCCTTCTCTCTCTGAGGCCTGGTTCTTCCCCAGAATCCAGCATCATTAAGGTCCCTTATCCTTAAAGAAAAGAGTTAGGTCAGCGAATTCACTCCAAGATATTGGCAACTCACTATGTCCGCTAATTACATTTAAAGGAGAGAGAAGTACTTTACCCAAAGTAATGACTCTCTGATGGTGAAGTTTCTGGTCTTACCACGGGAGCCGGTGAGACTTTCCAGTGCCTCTCAAGTCTTACTACATTGGTGACCATCGATGATGTCTGACCCTCATGCCAGGGTCATAGCTCATTCCCTGATAAGGGTCTGGTTGCTTTCATCAGGATTATCAAGTTGCTTTTATGCAGTGCATTTTTTGTACAGCTTTTTTTCAGAAGCACTTGGTAGATAAATTAAATCCCAAGGGTCCTTGCCCCTTGCCCAAAGATCCTTAGCATACGCCTCTCCATCCAGAACTCCTTTGACAGAGAGGATCCAGGTTGAGGAGGGGTGAGGAGGTTTCCACCATGTGAGCTCTTAGGTGTGCCAGTCTTGAAGACTTAAATCATATGGTAATCCTACAACAGATACATGAAGCTCCTCATTCATTAATTTATTCGAGTATCACTTATTAAGCTTCCACTCTGTGCCAGCCATTGCTCCAGAGAGTCACCAAAGAACCAGACTGACAAAGTTTCTGCTCTGATGGAGCTGAAAGCTGGAAATTGGTTTAAACTATTTCTGTCTGTCTCCAGAAAGCAGAACTGGGACAAATGGGTAGGAGCCCCAGGGAAGCAGATTTCTGCTCTATACAATATATTATTACAACCAAATATGGAATGGTAATGAGCTCCCTGTCACTGGAGGGATCTGAGAAGAAGCTGCATGATGACTTCATGCATGGAGCTGGGCTGGATCTATTGTCTTTAACCATTTCTTCTAGCAGCAGGAATCTTTTCTTAAACAAAACCTTACCGGAAGTCCCAATACATAAAACAGAGTGCTGAAGTGATATGTACAGATCTGGCGTCACCCCCAACCTACTCACAGCCCCCCATCACCCCCTGCAACATATTCCTCTGTTCACCAAACCTTGGATATCCACAAACAACTGGATGCGATGATCATGAAGCTCCCAGCCTCCCCCACTGTCATGGGCATCTGTGAGTCTAAGTAGGATGGTGGATGATTTCTCACCACCATCTTCCCCTCTCTCTCTCTCTCTCTCTCCATTTCCACCTTTTCCTAGGAGAGAGTCTGATGAAGCCAGTAAAAAGGGTCAAAGGCTCTGGGAGCATAGTGGGACAATGAATGCTGTCTGAGAATGTCAATATGACCAAAGACATTGTTCCACTTGGGTGGACCTGAAAATCATAATGGGGCTCCAAAAAGAGCCCATTGCCTGGGATCCTGAACCGTAAGTTAAAGTTAAAGGTCGGGTCTGGCACGGTGGCTCACGCCTGTAATCCTAGCACTTTGGGAGGCCGAGGCAGGTGGATCTTGAGGTCAGGAGTTTGAGATCAGCCTGGCCAATATGGTGAAACCCCATCTCTACTAAAAAATACAAAAATTAGCTGGGCGTGGTGCAGTGCACCTGTAGTCCCAGCTACTTGGGAGGCTGAGGCAGGAGAATCGTTTGAACCCGGGAGGTGGAGGTTGCAGTGAGAGCCGAGATCAGGCCACTGACTCCAGCCTGGGTGACAGAGCAAGACTCCATTTCAAAAAAAGAAAAAAAAAAAGGTCAAAAAGGCCAAAAGGACCTTGGAAGGAGAGGACAAAAAACCAGAGAGAGAAGACACTTACAGGCAGCTCATTGAAACAAACAAACAAAGACTTCATTCGCACTATCCTCAGGAAAAGTTCCTGTGTATTCAGTACCTTCTAACATAAAGCTTACTTTCTAGTAATAGACCCTACTTAAACCCTTCCAGATGTAAGAGCTGATAGTAAGGGATTGCACATCATTCTCCAATCTGGAGCAGGAAGTTGGAGAAGCTGTCTGCCTTCAGGCTGTGTGCCTGGAAAGTCCCATCCCCATTTTGCACAGTGTGGGTGGAAAGGGAAGCCTTCAGCAGCTCAGAGGACCCTGGCTGGCAGCCACTCACTGACTTGGGACTGGTGATGGAGTGTGGGAGAGGGGAATCTGACAACTTGAAAAAGAGCCTGAAGTCTTCCTAAGCATAGAACTACCACACAGAGCCTCAAGCCTGCCCAATCACAACCTTGCCATCATCTCAGCTAGCATTTTCCTGACAGTTTCTGAAAAAATAATCAAAACTGGACTCACATCTTCTAGCCTCATAGCTAGAAGTGAGTAAGTCAGCTGAGCTTTGCTTAAACTCATGGTTTTCCAAGGTGTGTAACATACACAAAACAATTTGGCAGGGAGACATTAGTAGGTGCTACTCAATACATTTCTGAAGAGTAGCACTTAGGGAAACTCTGGTCTAAACAAAACTAAGCATGTTACTGTAGGGCTTTTCAGAGCCTTGAAAATGCTAATGTGAATTGTGACTCTCCAAGAAAGGAATACAGTCATATTTGTGAATTCTGCCTCTTGGATTCAACTAACCTTGGAAAAGAAAACCTCACAAAGTCACAAAAGCAAAACTTGAATTTGCTGTGAACCAAGTACTGCATAGAATCCTTGCAAATAAATTGGTGTGTAGGCATTGTATTAGGTATTATAAGCAATCTAGAGATGATTTAAAGTATATGAGAGAGGATGTGCATAGATTGAATGCAAATACTATGCCATTTTATATAAGGGACTTGAGCATTCTCAGGTTTTGGTATCTGCAGGGGACAGAGGGGTCCTGGAACCAGTCCTCCGTGGCTACCAAGAGATGACTGCATAGTATTCAGTATTTCCTAAGTTTATTTGAACTCTGAATGCTTTTTTTCACAGGGCAACTTAAAGTACTTCTTTTTCCTGAAACACAATTTGGAAAATACTGTCACAAAGCAAACATTAACCACATTATATAATTTTAGAGATTTATTTTTCATTAAGGTAAGCCAGTATTTCCAAAATACCGCAATGTCTTATCCACCATCTCGAGAGGTAAGACTTCATGTGGATGAACAGTCTGCATCACTGAGGCTTCGAACACCAAAACAATTAAACCATTCAACCTAAAAATCTTTCTAAAGTGTATTATACACATCTCTATTTTAATTGTTAAAAATAAAATTAAATATTTTTGAGTATAAAAGTAAATATATGCTTATTTTTCAAAGCTTAAAAAAATTGCAGAAGACTAAATAAGGCAAAAGCCCATAGTTCTGTTAACATTTATTGTAATTTATCTCATCTTATTTTGCATAAAATATTAATATATAAAATAACTGTCACAATTCACTTAATATTTTCTGTGTCATTAAACAGTCTTTGAAAATGTATCTTTTAATGGCTCTATGATAGTCTATAATGGAAATGCATTACATTTCATTTAATCACTTTTATTATGTTTTTATTATGAATAAGGATTAATATCTATTTATAGAAATCTTTGCCTCTATTTTGATTTTGTTTGAATGGAGGTACCTATAAGCAAAATCATATATATTATAAAATTGCCTTTCAGAGGATTTGTACCATCTATACACCCCCAGCATTCTCTAAGAATAATATTTTACCATCCTTACCAACATTAAATACTGTTATTTTTTAAAAATCTGTGTTAATTTGGTAAGTTAAAACTGCTATCTTATAACTGTTTGCACTTTTCATTACCAGTGAGTTTAAACATTTATAAATACTAATTTGACACTGATATTTTTCCTTCTATAATACATATCATACGACCATTTTCTCTCATGGCCTTAATATTTTACTCATTGACTTGGGTGAACTTTGTTAAGGTTATTGGATATCATGTTTGTGACAAATAATTTTCACAGCTTGCTGTTTACCTTTTAATTGGGTTCATGATTTTTAATATGTAAATCTTAACTTCTATTTATACACAAATATGGCTTTTTTCTTTATTTCTTCTTTTGCTTTTGTGCTTAGAAAATTATTTCCCTTTCAGAAGTCAGATGAATATTCACTAAATTTCCTCGATGTTTTATGGTTTTATTTTTAAAATCCTTTTTTAAAAAATATGGTGTGGTGCTTACTTTTTAAACTGAATAAAACGTTATCTTAATGACTCAGGATCACAATTTCGAATAGTGTTTAAAGTTTTGTAGCATTAAATAGAATGCTCCCAGGAGCCACTGAAGTGGATAGGGATACTTTTCCCCATTCTCTGTGATGTCAGACTTCTGTGATTCGTTAACTGGGTGGCTCGTTTTTGGTTTTGATCACTGTTTTTGACGTTAGGCTTCCAGCTCTCATTTCCCATTGCAGACAATCATCTGCCACTCACAGGGCTTCCTACTTTCAACAGCTCAAACACCAACTAGCCAAATTTGTGCTACTGTGCACAAGGTATATGTATAGTTGAGCCTGGGTGGGGAAGGCAGAAGAATAGCCCCCCCACCCCCCACCAAAGATGTTCATGTCCCAATCCCCAGACTCTCTGAATGCGTTTTGTTACATTTCAAGGGGAAATTAAGGTTACAGATGGAATTGAGGTCACAGATGTAATTAAAGTTGTTCATCAACTGCCCTAGATGTGGAGATTATTCCAGATTTCTAGGCAGGCCCAATATAATCACAAGGGTCCTTACAAGTGAAAGAGAAAAACAAGAGAGTCAATGTCAGAGCGATTTGACATGAGAAAGACTCGGGCAGCCATTGCTGTCTTTGAAGATGGAAGCCATCCATCTCTGGGAGGGGCTGCAGCCCAGGAATGGGGATAGCTGTTAGAAGCTGGAAAAGGTAAAACATTAGATTCTCCACACTAACACCTCCAGAAAGAAATGTAGCCTTGCTGATACCTTGGAGACTCATTTTAAACTTCTATTCTCCAAAACAGTGAGATAATAAATGTGTGTTGTTTTAAACTACTGAGTTCATGGTGATTTGTTACAGCAGCAAAAGGAAACTGACACACTGGGCCTAGAAGTCTGTTCAATAGAGAAAACTGCATGGCTTTTGTGCATGGCCTTGGTAACTGCTATTTTGTCTGCTCTGAGGTTTTGTTTCCTCCACCCCCCAGTTATTTCCATGGTTGCTGGAAATCTAACTTACATCTAGAGCAGAGCCTAAGCAGGACATTATTTTACAGGAATTGGCCCCTACAAGTCAAGTTGCAAACCCTGGGTCAAAGGGTGAAGTAGAAGGAAGCTGGAAACACATAGTATTTTAGAAGTTTTTCAGAGAAATCACAAGGCAGGAACTTCTGCTCAGTTTGGAAGAAAGAGCATTCCATCATGACCCTTGGACTGGGTGAGAGCATCATCCTTTAATTAATGTCTGCGCTGGGTCAGATAACCATCACTGTCTCCAGGTAAATTCCCTTCTGTCTCTAAATGAATGGGTAGTTCAAGGGCATGAGTCGCAAAGGATCCTCTCAGTGGAAAGAGTCTTCTGAGAGTAGGGTTGAGGGGGTTCAATGCTGATATGGATTTTGTGACACCAAAAGCCTTGGAGCCAGACCAAGCAGTAGAGCATGAGCTATTCCCATAAAAACTGGAGTAGTTCTTAAGAATAGTATGCAAATAATAAGAAAAGATCAGGAAGGGAGGTGCTAGCACTGGGCAGAGGGAACCTGCCTCCAAAATGCATCTGGACACTTGCCCAGTGGCTTGAGAGGAACCTGCACTTAGATAATTTTTGGTAGATGTTGGAGGGGAGTCTGAAGAGTGTGAGTTACTTATCTCTTTCTCTAATGCCTAACACGGTGCCTGGCATACAGTAAGTACTCAATCGATTCTTGTTATGAAAATGAACAAATGAATAAATTTAGCAACCCTTTGTCATCTTTAAAGCCCACTATGAGCTTAGTAACACAAATCACGCCTTAGTAAAAGTTTCCAACCCTAGCAGATAAGATTAACTTATACAGCCCTGGTTCAAGTTAACTTAGAAAACAAAAGGAGCAATGAGGAAGTATTTTATTAATGTATTAGAATTCTTTTGTTCCAAGGGAGGAAGAAACTGGCTATCTCTGAGTTTTAAGATTTGGGGTGATATTTGAGGAAGAAAAGCAAAGTAGTTAAAGATAAACAGAGAATAATAATTATAATCTTAATGCCATAATTTAATATGTAGTTTTAATAATTGAGTGTATGTATGGCATTTACAGAGCAGTGCCTGGTATAAACACACTCAATACATGGTGACTATCATTGTTATTCTTCAACATTTTTAATTGCTCTTCAATGATCAAAAAATAAAACTTGGCCGGGGGTGGTGGCTCATGCCTGTAGTCTCAGCACTTTGGGAGGCCAAGGTGGGCAGATCACCTGAGGTCAGGTGTTTGAGACAAGTCTGGCCAACATGGCAAAACCACATCTCTACTAAAAATATAAAAATTAGCCAGCATGGTGACGGACACCTGTAATCCTCATTACTTGGGAGACTGAGGCTGGAAAATCGCTTGAACCCAGGACACGGAGGTTGCAGTGAGCCAAGATCATGCCATTGCACTCCAGCCTGGGTGACAAGAGTGAAACTCCATCTCAAAAGTAAATAAACAAATAAATAAAATAAACAAAACTCAGAAAAATAATAACATAAAGTCATCATTTATGACAAGACCAAAGAATACATGGGTTTGTTAATTTATGAGAAAGGAAAGTAACTAATGGATGATGACAAGACTGACTCTTTATAGGTTTACAGTAGCATATACAAGACACACCGTTATGAAAATAAGAGCATAGATTTAAATATGTTTTCTTGGTGATGTTCATTACTTAAAGGATTACATAGTGAATCCTCTACTAAAGCAAAGAATAATCCTTCAAGGTGATATTAATGCTATAATTTTTGAATATGCTGATTTTTATACATAAAGCCTCATGCAAATAGGATATCTTAAGATAAACGAGCCAAGTGAGGGGTTCCATTCAGGGTCTAGAAACATAAGAACAAATATAACAAGGTCACATAGAGATCAGATATATTGAGTAGTGTTGATTAAGCCATCTCCTTAAGAGAATAAAATTTACTCTCAAAGTACTGGCTGGAGCATTTAGAGATTCATGGGGAACTGACAATCATTTTAGACCCATTTGCAGAGGACGACCCATTTGCAGTCATCAGGGAAGTGATGGGATGGATGGGTGTGGTTCTAAGGTTTCCAGTGTAGACTGGCTAAACCTCTACATGGAATATGAGTGACTGTGTAGTCTTTTCCTTTCTTGTTTATTAAAGAAACTTGGTAAATGTACAACTTTAAGACCAGCGCCTTCTTCCCTACAACCCACCCTCCAAGGTGCCTAGTATGCTGACAATCTGAACCCTTGTTCTTGACAGAAATGAAATGTCAAGACCCAAGTGATGCCATATGAGGCCCAAATTGGTTTTACGATTGACTGATGTGATCCATTTTTCAGCTCACATTTGTAGAAACCTACCAAGAAGACAGTAGATTCTTTTGTTTCTCAAGAAAGAAAAAAGAAAAGAAAAGAATAAAAGACTTTTGAGCCCTTAGAAAAGAACATATGGGCACAGGGAGGGGAACATCACACACCAGAGCCTGTCGTGGGGTTGGGGGCTAGGGGAGGGATAGCATTAGGAGAAATACCTAATGTAGATGACAGGTTGATGGGTGCAGCAAACCACCATGGCACGTGTATACCTATGTAACAAACCTGCACGCTCTGCACATGTATCCCAGAACTTAAAGTATAATAAAAAAAAATTTTTTAAACTGAATAAGATTTGAAACTCAAAACAATTGCTTATATAGAAAAAAAGAAAAGAAGTTGCTAATCCCTGGCATCTAGTATAGATTGGGTTCACTGACAAAGAATTATTACACTCATACACACTTTGTTTTTGATGGGGCTTCTAGAATGTTTAGAGAAAAGAAAAGCACAGACACTGTGCACCTTGATTTTGGCAAAGCATTTGACAAGGTTTATCACAGCGTCCTCATAGAAACTGTGGACTGGAGCATAGTACAGCTGATAGACTGTTCTTTGAATGGCCAAAGAACATGAGTCTGTGGGCTGACCAGCAGGAAGCCTCTCATATGAATGCTTCAGGACAACTTGACCTTGTCCTGCTGCAATCATTTTATCAAACATTCAGATGAAGCCTGGATTAGATTACCCAGCAGACTCACCACCACTGGGAAGAGTGATAATTTATAATCTCAGTTGCAATAAGGAGACAAGAACAAAAGATCCCCAGGGTGCATTAGTAGTTTAGACCCTACAGAGCCTACAAGTCCAAACCTGGCTGTACATCAGAAACACCTGAGACTCTGTTAGAAAACACAGATACTCAGGCCTTACCCTAGACTTACTCAACTAGAATTTCAGGAGGTAAAGCCCTGGCATTTGTATTTTTTAAATAAACTACTCAGGTGATCCACAGGTAATCAGCTCCATACCCTACTTGCAGAACCATTGTCCTAGTGGGATTTAGCAAAGAAGCTTTTCCAAGGTAATAATGATATGTTACCCAGTAGTATCATAGGTTTTCAAATTATGAAAAAATCCCTCCCTATACTCTGGCTCCATCCAACCTTGACTCTTCCTGATGGGGGTGGGCAAGGCAGGGTAGAGAAGGAGCACAGGGCTTTGATCAAGCATGCATAGGCTTTGATGTTAATCAAACTAGGACTTGAGCCTGGGTTCTGCAGCCTACCACCTGTGCAAGGGGGCTCTGTGCTTGCATTTCCTAAACTTAAAATGTGGGGATTTAATGAGATCACACAGGTAAAGGGTTTGCCTCGCACATAGGTGGCCAGTTGACACCAGCTATTACTATTAATAGGCTGTTCAGTCAACTCCCCATTCTGTGGATCTCAGGTCCATAGTATTAGCAGAACACACCTACCCAGAGAAGGAAAGAAACTATTATCTATAGGATATGAGCTATGTCCTGGCCACTAGGCCCCCCACAGATCTAATCTTATTTCCTTTAATTGTCACCCAAACCCTCAATTTTACAAATGAGGAAGCTAAGCCTCAGAGAGGTCAAATGACTTCCCCCGAGTCACCCAGCTATAAAGGGACAGATATACACCAAGAATTTGGCTAATAAACTTATGCTAAGGATTCCCCATGGCACTTTTTAAGTGGTTAATATATGGAGTGGAGAAAGCTTTGCCCTTTAAAAAAATCTAAAAAGAGACATTTTGAAACTGCGAGGGAGGGGAGAAGTCACACCACCTACACTCCCTGTTACCTGAACACTCAGCAGTTAGCCGAGGAAAAGCCCAAAGGGCAGCCATTGCATGCTGGTGCCCTCTCTTGCTATCTCATCACACACACACACACACACACACATACACACACACACACACACACACACTTCCCTGACCACCTTATTTAAAATTATAACTCCCCATGACACGCTTATTTCTTGGCCCTGCTTTCATTTTCTTCTTACAATCTCATCGCTGTCTCGCATTCTATCATTGTGGTTATTTATCTTGTTTACTGTGACTCCCCCCCCTCTAGAATGTTAGCTCCTTGAGGGAAAGAACAGAAAAGATGTTTGTTTATCTTATTTTCTCCTACATGCATACATCTGAAATAGCCTGGCACACCTTGGCATTCAATAAATATTTATGGCAGCAATGAATGGATGAACGAATAGAAAACATCTCAAAGGGTGTCAATCATAAATGATGAAAGTCATTAAATTTATTTAGATAGCTGCATGTTCTGTTTTTTTTATTATAAATATGTATTCTTTGCATCACAATAGTTTTTAAAATGGAACCTCAATTGTCCAGGTTATTACTGACTTGAAGCCAAATCAAATCAAAGGGCAAACAGCAACGGGCAATGACAGGACTAAGTTGATCTTCCAGAAGGCAAGTGTGCCGGGTACATTGCATAGGCCCCTCCAGATTCCCTCTCTGCCCTTTCTTACTATGCTTTGTGCCCTAGGACACCCATCTCTTTGAGCTGCATCAACAAGCTCCCTTGGCCTTTGGCTTCCAGTTGGGAAAAGAATGAGGTTGGGCTGTTTATTCCCCAGCTCTCACCTTTACTACTGGGTCCTGCAGATTGGCTGTGTCCCTATGGAAGGCCCCAGTGCCTGTCTGTCTGCCACCTTCTCTGCACTCCTGCTCTTTCAGGTTCTATAACAGCCCCCGTGCTTGTCTGTCTGGGCCTCAGGCAGTAACAGCTCTCCATTTTTGCACAACCTGGAGTACTTCACTCCCTTTGCTGGTCTTCCAAACTCTGCCCACACCTTTTAAAGTGTCTCTTTATTAAATTTCCCTCAGTGACCCAGTTGAGGATGTCACTAGTTTCTTTTTAGGTCTCTGGCTGTGCCAGTGTGGAAAGGAGAAATGTGTTTAAAGTTGGAAGACCTGCATTCTAATACCAGTTTCATGACTGACATTCTCAAGGCCAACCAGCTCTCTGGACTCAGTTTCTTCATCTGGAAACTAGGAAAATTGGGCAAGGCAACCTCTAATATCTTGTGATTTTTAAGAAGCCCTTTGCTCAGAGAACAAAGTAGTTACTTCCCCATTGGCCAGAAAGTATTAACTTGATCTAGATCCTGAAAAGGGCCCAGTCTTCCAGGAACTTACCACAGGGGCTGCTGCTGTACCACACACAATAAAGCGGAGCTTGCCTATATTAAAGCTGGCAAAACCCAGCTCAATCTTTGCCCTCACTTCAGCTGCAAATCAGTAAGTTCCTGGAAAATTGAAGTTATATTTTTAAAACTATTATAAAACAAATACATATTTATAATAGAAAAATCAGAACATGCAGCTATTTAAAGAGAGAATAATTACTTTCAACATTTATGTTTGATACCTTTCTAGACTTTTTCTATTCATTCATTCATTCCACAAGTATTTATTGAATGCTGATGCTTTATGTAATAGCATTTAGGTTTAGAATCAGTGTACTTCTGGTTGTATGAAGGATAGTTGTATTACGTTAGGTGTAATTATGACATTATTATTGTCTTTATTTGGAGATTAGTATGATTTCAGGAGATGTGTATGGGTGCCAAGTTGAAAAGGTGTGAACTTGTGATGGTTGATATTAGGTGTCAACTTGATTGACTGAAGGATGCCTAGATGACTGGTAAAGTGTTGTTTCTGGGTGTGTCTGTGAGGGTGTTGCCAGAGGAGACTAACATTTGAGTTGGTGGACTGGAAAAAGAAGACCCACCCTCATTGTGGGCGGGCACCATCCAACTGGCTGCCAGCGTGGCTAGAACAAAGCAGGTGGAAGAAGGTGGGATCACCTTGCTTGCCAAACCTTCTAGCTTCCTTCTTTTTCCAGTGCTGGATGCTCCCTTCTGCTCCTCCTACCCTTGGACATCAGACTCCATTTAGCCTTTGAACTCTGGGACTTGCACTAGTGGTTTGCCAGGAGGGGCTCTGGCCTTCAGCCACAGACTGAAGGCTGCACTGTCAGCTCCCCTGGTTCAGGCTCTTGGACTCGGACTGAGCCGCTACCGGCTTCTTTCATCTCCAGCTTGCAGACGGCCCATCATGGGGCTTTGCCTTGTAATTATGTGAGCCAATTCTTCCTAATAAACTCCCTTTTATATAAACACGTATCCTATTGGTTCTGTCCCTCTGGAGAACCCTGACTAATGGTAAGTATTTGTTGTTGCCAAACCAGAACCCTGGATGCCATCTCAATTCTCCACTTTGGTCAAGTATATTAAAAATATCTGAAGAATTATGTAATCTTTGCTCCTGCGTGTGCAGTTTGGACACAGGATACCTAAGTTCCTGGAAGGGTAAATTTTTTTTCAGTCTGTTAGGAACAAATCTAACCTTTCTGCCATTGACTTAGTTTCTCTGCCTTAGACATGGGCTCCAGCTTCTGGTGAGGAGGCTTTCCCTATTGCCAAACCAAAATGTCAACAATCAAAACAGATGGGAAATAAGGAGACCTTCCTGGGAAGTGGCTGTTGTTTAGCCAAGAAATATTGAAGCTTTTAGAGTAGTGTCTTTGAAAGTCAGAGCAGATTCAAGGCAGTGAATGCCTTCATCTGGCAAGACTGGAAGAATGGATCTGCCCAGGCAGACACAGTGACTGTTGTAGTGGTTACTCACACAGTTGTGGCAGGTCACGGCTGTCTGACTCTTCCTCCCGCTTCATCTCTTCCCATTCTCAAACCTGTGATGGAGGATTTTGTTTTGTTTTGAAAAAATACTACATCAGTGTTAATGCTCTCAGAGCACTAAATATCAGCAAGAAATGGATTTCTCCATTTTACAGACACTCTATTTTGAAAAATATTGAAGATCTAGTCTTACCTTCAAGAGACCAGTAAAGAGCCAGAATGGCCCCCTAAGATGAAATTACAATGATCACCTTGACTACCCAAGGCCTCCTTAGAAGGCCAAGGAACAGAAAGAGAGGGAGAGAGGAAGACCCCAGGAGAAGTGCAGTCCAAGGAGTCCTGCAAAGCAGACTGTGTGGACTGAAAGGCAACTTGCCCTATTTTGCACCGGACTCATCTGCAAAACGGGATGATGGTATCTTCCCCATAGGGCTTCTGTGAGTATTAAATGAGTTAATACATACAAAGTGCTTATGACAAGGCCTGGCACATAACAAACTGTCAATAAATGCCAGCTATTATCCTCCTCTCCTACTCCTCTTCCTCCTCTTCTACATCTTCCTCCTTCTCTTTGTCTTCACTCAAAGAACTTTCCTGGTCTGTCCTTAGGAATTCCATCTTTGTTCTGGTAATCAATGGAGCCTGTACACCCTTTCACATATTACAAGATATATTGATGGTGTTTTCACAGTAACTATTTTAGAGATATTTGCAAAATTATACTTGACCCTGAAAATAGCTTTGATTGGCAATGATGCCATCTCAGACATTCCCCTGTGCCAAATACTGCCACTGAGCAGAGAGCACAACATGGATCACGGTCAATTTGGTGACTCAAACGACAATTTAGGTTCTTACTATCATTCATCCCACAAATATTTATTGAATGCCTACCATGTTCCAAGCCATAGCAGGAACACCAGGATGAATCAGACAATGATTTTGTCTTAAAAGAAATTTTCATCCAAGGGCAAAGAAAAATCAGGTAGATATTTTAAAAATATAGACAGAAAGTGATATGGGGCACAAGAAAAACACACCTAGAAAGCTGTGCACCTCAGGTGACAAGAGAGAATGGTTTCTGCTGAGAACTCAAAAATAGAGACTGCAGTTCATACAAATGCAGATCACCGATGCCACCATCAGTAGTGAATTTTCTCAAGACAGTTACCTCGAACCCAGGTATTTGGTCTTTGTCTAGGGGTTTTCATTCACCAGAACTGTCATGCAGGCCAAGTTTGCCATGCTTTCTGCCTTTATATCAGCAGCTCCTCTCCCCCGCCCCCACCACAACCTTCACACACATTGCAGCAAGGCATCCAGTCCTGGATCGCAACTCATGCTCCTTAACATTCCTACCTCAGTCAAAATGTCCCATCATAGAGCCATTGTTCTACAGGGACCCCAGGTGGAAGTGGGCCAGTCTTCAAAGGAGAGATCACCAACAACATGTGCATAATATATTTGACATATGGGACCTCTGAAGTTATGTGGGTATTCATTCAGCCTATGTTTAAAGCTGTAGCCCAAAGCATTATAGACACTGAGTCAATGGTGATAACAAATCCAATAGGTTTTCACTAGCTCGATCACAACAAAACCTCAATAACTGGCTGGCAACTGCAAAGGTTAATGTGGCTACAGTTTAGTCATCCCATTGTAATCTCTGTGAACGGCACAGGCTGAAATTGTGCTGAATGCAGTTTGCTCACCAAAACTGGGAGGCCCTGCCTGAGAAAGCCATGGAGTTTGACAGCTGAACTTGGGCAAAAGAATAAATATTTTTAGATAAAACATATCACAAAGGAATAATGGTATTTGTTTCATGTTTTAAGCATGCCAATTGCAAAGATACATGCATGTGGCTTTGTAGATGTCTTTCTGAGTTGCATTTGTATCTTTGTCAATACAATATCATCTTACCTTGATACACCACTACATGTCTTGGCTATATGACATCAGTGTCTTGCACAATGGTATTGTGGAAAGGTCAATACTGTGCCAACCCACCTACAGCCTCTTCTGAGGGTACCCATCCTGCCCACACTTTCTGCTGAAGGGACAGGCCCAGGAAGCCATACTCAGTACCCAGTGCCCCACTTCCTCTATCCATAGATGATTGGCCCTGGCAGGGCACCTGAGCCAATGGCAGACAACCCATATGCTGAAGAGAGAGGTGCAGACTACTTTGAAAGATGGACTGGACCAATCAGATTCTCTCCTAGGGCCCTGAACTTGAAACAAACAAATAACCATCAGTTAGTACAGGGAGCAGAAGAAGACATGGCATTTGTTGCTTAAACATAGAAATCAAACATCCATGAACTCCTACTGTGGAAGACCTGGGAGCTTCCTTGAATCTAGAAGCATCTTCGAGTTCTGGATTCCTTAAGGCCAGGGTCTGATATGGCTCCTGCTCTTGGATTTACCATTTAAAAATAATGTAATGTAATGCAATATGTGAAATCCCTTTGTCTTGAGTTGGCTTGAATAGATTTCTGTTTCTTGCAACAAAAAATAAAAGCCAGATTAAAATCAGTGGGATATTAACACCTGGTCCCAACTGATCTCCTGGGCCATAAGGCCATCTGGAGAAATCACAAGAAGCAAGACAAACTGGCAATGTCTTAGCCATTACTGGGAAGGCAATAGAAACCAAAAAAAGAAAAAAGGGAACTGAAAACCTTTAAAGACGATTTGGAAAGTTTGTGTGCATGCACCTCCCTGTTGAGTGTGCAGTGACTTGTAGAGCCAGCACCGTGAACAGAGAAGATGGCCTGAGTTGTCGCTCATGAACGAAACCTAGCATTTGAATGCTCACACTTAAAATAGGCTATGAATGACTGCCGGTTATGAGACATGCTAGATGCACAGGAATCACAAGTGATCGAAGCCAATTCACAAGAAAAATCAGGATGATATTATTTGAAGCAGCCTCAAAAGCAGGTGCTAGGTTTAGGGTGTGTCTACATGGCCCTGGTTTTTATTTCCACTCAGCTTTGGAAACTAAATGACACTGCTGTCTATTTAAAACTGTGTCTTATATATGTTCATACAGAGTGTGTCTAAATAAAACATAATTTACAAACATCTCCACAATGGTAGCATTTCATGGCCAAAGATATTGCATGGCTTGGAGTTAAATACAATTTGGCCTCCATCTGTTCCAGTTGATTTAGAAATTGAATTATCATCACATTTGATCCCAGAAGACATCTTACAAGTTTAAAAACTCAAATTTGTAAATAGGAGGTTTCATGACTTAAATGGAATTTCCTGTGCCTCTGTTATGTAAATTACATCTTCTTGCTATAGGGAAGCAGTATGCTGAAGTGGGTAAGATATGGATGTTGGAGATAGTTGGGCTTGAGTTCAAATCCAGGCTCTGTGATTTATTAGTCATGTGGCCTTGAGAAAGTTACCCCTGCAGTTTCTTTATTTTTAAAGCTAGGATGATGATGATAATAGCACATACATTTCAGGATGTTGTAAAGATTAAATGGGTTAATAAACATACATGCTTAGAACAGTGCCTGGCTCATAGAAATACTCTACAAACGCTTGCCACTGTTATTGGTAATTCTTTCACTGAACGCACAGTCATTAAGCCAGTTCTTACTGAGTCCGTATGAGTACTGTGCTGGGTGTGCCCTTTTGTAATCCTGTTGAAAAAGCACAGCTCACAAGGAGAATAGGAATTCTCATTCTAAATTTATGGTTGCAGAAATGAAGCTTAGAAAGGAAGTTAACTAACTCTTTACAGCCTGCCTGGTTACTAAATCTCAGGGCTAGGATTAATAAATTCATTCATTTGCGCGTTCAACAATTTTTTTTTTTTCAAGACAGAGTCTCACTCTTGTCACCCAGACTGGAGTGCAGTGGCATGATCTTGGCTCACTGCAACCTCCACCTCCCGGGTTCAAGGAATTCTCCTGCCTCAGCCTCCTGAGTAGCTGGGATTACAGGCATGTGCCCGGCTAATTTTTGTATTTTTAGTAGAGACGTGGTTTCACCATGTTTGCCAGGCTGGTCTCAAATGCCTGACCTCAGGTGATCCGCCCACCTCGGCCTCCCAAAGTGCCGGGATTACAGGCGTGAGCCACTGCGCATGGATCAACATGTTGTTATTGAGCACTAGCTACTTATTATTCTAGGTGCTGGAATACAGAGAGGAACCAAACAGATAAAAATCCTTGCCTGCACGGAGCTTACCTTCAGCTAAGGGAGACAGTCAAAAACAAGGTAAGTCAGTATTATGCATAGGAGATTGTAAGGTGGAGTGCGCTAACAAGAAAACTAAGCTGGAAGGGGAGTGAGAATGTGTATGTGTGCATGTTGAGGGAGGTGGAGTTGACAATGCAATTGTTGCTAGAACAGATAACTAGGGAAGGTCTCACTCAGAAGAGGACATTTGAGGAAAGGCATGAGAGGAGTGGAAGCAAGCCATGGGAGTATCTGGGGGAAAGGTTTCAGGCAGCAGAAAGAGCACATGCAAAGGCCCTGAGGCAGGAGTGTGCCTTGCATATTCCAGGGACAGTAAAAAGCCAGTGTGCTGAGGCAGAAAAAGCAGAGAAAACAATGGGAGATGAGATTAAAGAGGTAAGGGATTGGCTGACATTGGTACTTACTGAAGAAAACCCCTCCCTATGTTCCTGTTAACTGGGGTTCTTCCACAAAGTCAACACATCTAAAGAAGCCACTGATGAAACAGGCTCCCCCTTGGAAAGACCATCTCACCTTCCAACCTCTCCATCCTGCAGAGAGGAAAACCCAAGTTTGGCGTTGGCAGTCAGGTAATTCATCAGATCTGGAAACCACCTCATCAGCATCCCCCTGGCCAACTGGAAGCAACCGTGACGTTGTGCTGAATACACTTGCAGAGTCGTGCTGTGGTCTCTCCGAGCTCATCACGGCACCTCCCTATGCAGGAGTTTCAATTCAAGGTCATTTTTGGTTCCTTTCAGTAGCAGACTCAGAACCAGACCTATTCAAGTGTCAGAACAGGGCAGACATATTAATAGCTAGACCCCAGTGGGAGTTCTATTTTCCATTTCCTCCTCCCCCATATTTATTTGTTTCTTCCTCTCCTCTGTGTGGTAAAGGTGATCTTGCATGATATTTTCAGATGAGGCTTAAAAAGGTGGAGTGGAGGATGGGAAGATGACACCCTGAATTGGAGCTCACTCTTTCTCAATCCCTCAGGCTGGAGTTGGGCTCCCTGGGTTCAAATCCCCATTCTATCACTTAGAAGCTGTGTGACCTCAGTCAGGATACTCAGCCTCTCTGAGCCTCAGTTTAAAATTTTGAATTGAGGCCAGGTACATTGGTTCATGCCTGTAATCCCAGCACTTTGGGAGGCCAAAGTGGGCAGATCACTTAAGGTCAGGAGTTCAGGATCAGCCTGACCAACATGGTGAAACCCCTTCTCTACTAAAAATACAAAAATTAGCTGGGTGTGGTGGCGCATACCTGTAGTCTCAGCTACTTGAGAGGCTGAGGTAGGAGAATCACTTGAACACAGTAGGCCGAGGTTGCAGTGAGCTGAGATTGCACCACTGCACTCCAGCCTGCGTGACAGAGCAGGATTCCATCTCAAAAATAAAATAAAATAAAGTAAAAATATAAAATTTTTAATTGGGGATGATGATGACATCTTCCTCAAAGACTTATCATGAGAATTCAATGTGGTCATTTAATTCTGTTTCAGGATTTAGCCAAATTTGGGTGCTATTTCCCTTTTGTGGAGGGACTTTTCATCACAATGAGAAGGACGTCTTAGGACTCCAGGACTTTGAGAGGTGGGTGTCCAAAACATGTGGTTGTCTCTGCATTTCCACTCAAAGCAGAATCCAGGTATTTTCCAGGTGCTTCCCTCTTTCTGCTGAAAGTTCACTTCATCTCCATCTGGGTGGTCCCAGCCTCCCAGGCTGGTAAGCCTCTTGAATTCTTAAGAGGAGACAGAGAGGTGGGCCCTCTGTGGTCTAGGGGAGAAGTGGCCCACTGCCTCAAATGGGAAACATGTTCTAACTGTATTTATTCCCTTGCCTGGGGCAAAAGCTGAAATTTTCTGGTCTCATGCAGGGAATTAAGGAAAATGTTTGTAAATTCTTTGGGAGAAACATGAAAACAACAAGCAAATATCCTTTCTAGAGAAGGAGATTTTTAGCACGTGAATTTGCAGATTATACACTTCTTCCTTCACTGTAGCTTATCTTTTGGGAAAAGGGCACCCAGAATTTGGTGAATGTTGTCTAATGGCCACAACTTATTAACCCTATGTGTTCCTGTAGACAGGGAAAAAAATTACTACACAGTTATGTCAGAAAGCCTCCCATGACAGGGATAGAGCAAACAGTCAATATTACTCCTGGCAATAAACCAATGAATAAATAATACATCAGGAATAGCTACAGCATTTCATAGAAACAGCCAAAGAAATTATCTTAAGATCATTGTAATTAGAAAAACATTCCCATGAAATGTGTCTGTAACTCAGTGATTTAAATGAATAGAATAATGTTTTCCTACTGGCTCAGATTACTACTTTAGACACAATTTATCGTGGTGTCTGATGAAGCTCCAATGGCAGGAGCCCTTCAGATTATGATTTTAAATTGTTCTGGCCTATTGATGGTGGCAGCAGCCCATCTGGAGCAGCCGCTGGGGGGATGCCAGCTGCAGCAGGGGAGGCGCAACCAGGGCTGCGTGCTCTGTGGAGCCACCCGGGGCCAGGAACACGTGGGAGTCCAGGTCCCCACCAAGTTGGTGGGGAGGGAGCCCTGCGCTCTCGGGTGCCCCTGCAGTGACCAGCCGCAGCTCTGGACCCAGGCATCCCTCTGCCCTTGGGGCCAGGAAGCCCCCCTTGCCCCTGCAGGCTAGGAAATGTCTGCTCCTGCTCCCTGGCCTCTCCCCACTCCCGGCGCCGGCTCTGATTTTGGAGCAAAGTTGTGTCCAAGCCCGTGCACTGTCACAACCTGGCCAAGGGTGCGGGTGCTCAGGGCAGCACTGACATGCCAGACCCGCAGCCCACCCCCTACCTCGGCCTCCTCCGGACTTTGGGCACCAACAGTGCCAGAGGGAGGCTGGGGGCGCTGAAGATGGCTCAGCGCAGGCCTGCACCCCTTGGCACAAACAGCCAAGGCGCCATGGACGGCATGTTGATGGTGAGAGGCAGGCAGGTTCCTGGCCAGAAAGGGGCAGGTCTCTAGTGAAACTCCACCTTCAAGCCAAGGACAGCCTGAATCCTGGGGACCAGGCTGCCAGTTCCGGGTGGAGTCCAAAGCCCAGAGTGAGAACTTATGGTGCTTTTTCCAGGCTTGCCCATGGCTGAGCATGAACCAATCAGCACACACTTCCCTGCTTCTGAGCCCATTAAAACGCTGGACTCAGCCAGACTCAGACAGAAGTCAGGACTAACAGCTGTGGGAAGGAGCTACCCACTTCCGGTATCCTTGACTCTTCAGGATTACCTGCCTGCAGGTACGAGCTACCCACCATGGGTCTCCTCTCCACTGAGAGCTGGACACTTGCCAGGACGACCTGTCTGTGGAAAGGAGTTACCCACTTTGTGTCTCCTGAGAGCTCCTCTGTTACTCAGTGAAGCTCCTCTCCACCTTGCTCGCCCTCCAGTTGTCCAGGCATTCCATTCTTCCTGGACGCAAGACAAAAACTTGGGACCTGCCAAATGGTGGGGCTGAAGGAGCTATAATACAAACAGGGGTAAAACACAAACCCCGCTCTCCATAATGAGAGAAGAGCTGTGACCCTTCAAGGAGTTCAGACCTGGGGGCTCCCCAGGCCAGCGTTGTGACACCTTCTTTAGGGCTCTGTGGTTCCTGGTGTCTCCAAGCTTCTGGGCACCACTGCGTTTCTCAGTGCCCACAATGGAAGCCGCTTGTAGTACGCCTGGTCCACCATCAGCCACGGACAGAGCCAGCACCTGGAGCTGGCCTCCCCACTGCAGCCAGCATGCCTGGCTGTGTGCAGTGGCCAGAAACCCTTCACACTCACACATCCCTCGCCACTCTGCACATGGCTCACCCTTGACAGGCATGGAATCTGGCCAGTAGCTAGAGCTGAATGCAGCCTGCTGGGTCAAGTGGGTGGAATGAGCCCAGCGGTCCCGAGGAAAACTTGGGCAAAGGTTCCACTGGCCACAGAGGTTTCCAGCTGGCAGAGTGACACCCTAAAGATCCTGTGACATTTTCCGGGACACTATCATGACCACAGACTCAGCATCAAACAGTTAAATGACCTTCACAGAAACCCATGAGATGAACTTAAAGAAAAGTCATATGAGGGATTCCTGCAGGTAAAAAGCCTGCCACAATGTAGATAACCACCTCTGCCTTATCACATTGGAAAATTATGGCTGAGCTATGCCAGGATTTTGTGAAGGCTGAGGCAGAAGACAAAAGAGCCTGGCTTAAAGATGTATAGACCCACCAATTCCACTCCTATTTCTAAACCCAAAGACATGTCCACCAAAAGACATACGTAAGTATGTCCATAATTGCCCAAACTTGAATCAACTGAATGTCCAGCAATAGTCAAATGGGGAAATTAAACATTCAATGAAGGACAACTCATCAACTCAATAATTTTTTTAAAAAACCAATTGCTACACACAGCAACTTGAATTAATCTCAAAACACGTTGAGCCAAAGAAGCCAGCCACCAAAATATATGCACTGTGTGATTCCACTGACATAAGATTTTGAGGCAGACAAAACTAATCCACAGAGAAGGAGATCAGAGTAGTGGTTACCTTATCTAGTGTGCAGGTAGGGGTTATGGAATTAGAAAGACACGAAATAGCCTACTGGATGCTGGACTGTTCTATATCTTGATTGGAATAATGATTCCATGGGTGTGTATGTATCAAAAACTCACCATCTGCACACTTAATATTTGTACGGTTTACTCTGTGCAAATTATGTCTCAATTTAAAAATGAAAAAGTAGGAAACAAAAAATTAATATAGAGGTAAACAGGATGTATGGTTTTCTGGGTGGCTTTTGTAAGACTCAAACTAAAGAACTGTGGCTCCTTTTTAAGGAGAAAATCTGAATCCCATACAGATAGACTTGTCCCAGGGTGACACCGTGTTTGTTCATCATAAACCGGCACTACTGAGACTTGTGCCGGGCAGTGGGCTGGCTGGTGGCAACACAATGGGAAAATGGGACTGTCGTGGACTCACTCTATAGGGGAAGCAACACTTCAGAAAGAAACAACACACACAATTCTATCACTTCGAAATGTGATAGAGACTATAAGAAGAAAAATATACAAGACATACACGAGGTCTTTTACAAGAAAGAACAAGAGGGAAGCCTACTTTTGTTTGGGAACTCAGGAAAGTCTCTGAAGAAATCACATTTGAATAAAGATGTGAAGGTTGGGTAGGAGTCAGCCAGCAGAATTAAGTGTAATGGAAAAACATGGAAGTGGAAGCATGTGTGTGTGTGTGCGTGTGTCTGTGTGTGAGTGAGACAGAGAGAGAGGAGCATGAGTAAAGGTCTTGAGCTGACTGCCCCAAGGAGCTGGGAGAATCCTAGTGTAAATAAAAGTTACTGAGTGGGAGGGTAGGAGGGAGAGAAGGCTAAGGGAGGAAGGTAGACAGGGGCCAAGCTATAGAGCACTTTCCGGGCCGTGATTAGGGTTTAGATGAATGCCAAGTATAATGGAAAGGGTCAGAGGGTTAAGTAAGATCTGATTTACATTTAAAAGAGATCACTGGCTTCCAAGAAGAGAATAAAGTAAAAAGAGATCAGAACAGTCAGAAGAACCAGATAAGACTATTGAAGTAATCCAGGAAGGAGAAGGCAACTTGAACTAAGATGGTGGCAATGGAAATGGAGAAAGGTGGATGGAAATAAGCTAGCTTTTCGAAACAAACTTACCACCTCTTCTGATAACCTAATCTCTCTTCTAAAACTAGTTATTAACTCTAACCTGTGCTCTCTCTCTCTCCCCCCCATCCTACTGAAACACATATGCACACACACAGCAGACCCTCACCCTCTCAGCCACTAGATCCCAACTGTGATGAGAAAGCAACAGCAATGATGCCCATGCAGGGCCTTGCTAGCAATTCCAAGGCATTATTTAGTTCAAGGAAAGGAAATCAGGAGTAAATGCTAACATTCATTCAGGGTCACCTATGTGCCAAGCATTGGGTTAGATATTTTCACATTTGTTGTCTTGGATATCAAATTGGATATTATTATCCTCACTTTAATAGGTGAGGAAATTGCAGCGTGAAGAGGTTAAATAATTATTTTATTGCAGCCTCATAGCTATTTTAAATGGCAGAAGTAGATTGATTTCAGAGCCATCTGATTCCAGACACCACATTCTTTCTACTACACTCTGCAAATGATTCTTTTATCAAAGGTGTATGGCTTTTTAATAACAAGACACCAAGAAGAGTAATCCACAGGGATGGCTTATTAATGGTGACATTTTAGATTTTCAAACACCTGGTCAAAGGCAGATACCTTTGAAGAGCAGTCTTCAGACGCTCTGGGACACAGCCCCTTAGGCAACCTCGTACTCTAGTCCACCTGTGATTAACTACAAGTCCACCTCCATGCACAGGTGCCCTGGATGCCAGTGATATCTGAGAACAACCACTAAAGGTCAAAGGTGGCTACACAACCTCAAAAAGTGGTGACATCAGAGCTGAGTTCAGCCCAGGTTTGCTGGGGCAGGTAGAGACTTGAATAATACTGAAGTGTCTTAAGTTGGTTTTCACCATAAGACAAATGGATCTAGCTCCTGCCTTGGAAAACAGCATAGCCTTGTGGGGAGGGAAAGGGTAAGAGTGAGAAGCTCGCCAATTCTAGGTTTTCCTCCTGCTTTAACAGTGACTTTGCCCAATTACCATAAACACATTTCTTTGAGGTGGCCACGTGACCAGAGACACCATATCCTGGGGACTCAGGGAAGAGGGATGAATCCACAAGGGTTCAATCAGAGAAGCAGGGCCACTCTGAGTGATACAGAACTAGGGATTTGTTATTAAGATGAGCACGATTGTGAGAGCTGGTGAAGGGGGTGATGGCAAACTTCTTCTGCACCTGGTGGGGGCCTAAAGCTGTTGTAGCTGGGCAGCTCTAGTAATCAGGAAAGAAGGCTGGATCTAATGTAAGGAGAGCAACATTAACTGGAAGCGTGAGAAAAACTAGAACTGTCACCAGTGGAGGGTGTCCAGGGTCTTGGCATCTTGAACGAAGAAAATGGACAAAATGCACAAACAAAGCAAGGAAAGAACGAAGCAACAAAAGCAATTTATTGAAAATGAAAGCACACTCACAAGGCGGGAGCCAGCCTGAGCAAGCAGCTCAAGAGCCTGGTTACAGATTTTTCTGGCCTTCAAATACCCTCTAGAGTTTTCTCATTGATTACCAGGTGTACACCCTATGTAAATGAAGTAGTGGCCTGCAACCAGTCTGATTTGTTGTAGAAAGTGACCAATCAGAGGCTGAAGTGAAGTTACAAAGTTACGCCCTATACAAATGAAGACTTGGCCCATGACCAGTCTGACTGGTTGCAGGAGGGGACTGATCAGAGCTATTTTCAATTTTTCACCTGCCACGCAGAAGGGCAGTTGGGGGCAGTGCAAAGGGAGTAGCCTCTGGTCCTTTTGTTACTTGGGCATGGAAAGCTGGGGTTTTCCTTTTGATTTAGTTCTAGGAAGTCGGCATGAATTGGCCTTCCATTCCCTGCCTTCAGACCCTATTCTCCTGCCTCAGAACAATGAGGGCAGAGTGGACCCCACGTATGCCTCTTATTGCCTCCAATTTTGACAATGTGGGCAACGTGCAGAAGCCAACACCTTCTCCATGAGACTGCACACACAGTAAGTTTGCAACTCAAGAATCTGAAGGAGGAGATTGGGTAGGAGCTGAAGGAGCTGCAGGCCCAGGCACTGCTCCATGGCAAGAGGATGAACCATTAGGTCAGCATGAGCTATGGGGCCTGCCTGACACCTACACCAATCCACAAAGAGTGGCTACCGCTTCCTTCCCTTCTGCCTTCCCAGTCTCATGCAAATTTCTCTTGTGGTCAGTCCTAGTCTACAACCACACAGGGAAGACAGTTCTGGGAAATATTTCCAACTTAGCTAAGTTGACACAGTACCAAGCCCCTTCAAGGGGAGACCTCTAGAGACAAATAATTACGTTAACTAAATATTTTATGGTATTGGTGGAGTGGAAAGAGAATTTCTATTCAAACCTATAGTGCGATCCTGGCCAGATCCTTTGACAAAAACAAACAAACAAACAAACAAAAACACTTGAGCCGGCCATGGTGGCACATGCTTGTAGTCCCAGCTACTCAGAAGGCTCAGGTGAGAAAATCACTTGAGCCTGGGAGTTCAAGGCTCTAATGAGCCATGATTGCACCACTGCACTCCAGCCTGGGTGACAGAGCAAGTCCCTGTCTCAAAAACAAAACAAAACACTTGAAATTCAAGTATGAAGTGGAGGAGAGCCAAAAATCAACTAATAAATTATTAGTGAGTGCTGATTATATGCAAAGCCAAGTCGTAGGCATCACTGTGAAGATACAGACAGCAGCAGGATAGGATTCCTGCCCTCACTGGAAGGAAGATAAGGTAGAAAAGTGCTACATATGCATTACACACTTAATACTCAACACTCCCGGGGGCTCCTGCAGGATACTTCCAAAGGCTGCCTGCTGATTGGTTGACAAAACAGACTTGAGCATTCTCAGACTCAGGTTCAAATTCAGCCTTGCCCCCCACTAGATTTATTTGCTTAGTCACTCTGAACTTCCATTTCCTGGTTCATAAAGTATAGTTAGTAATAATACTAATATAAGTTGGTTATAAAGGTGAAAAGAGATTTTGCATGTGAAGCACTGGCACACAGCAGGTATTCAATAAGTTGTAGATATTTTAATGTTGGTGATCATCATCCCTGTTCCTTTTTAGACCCAAAGCCTACCTGAGTAGATGCATGACTTTAGTGCCAGGGACCTATGAGCTTGCAAAATACATATATGTGTCCAATCTCTTAACGATCCGCAGTTTGGATAAGCTGATGTGTTTCCCATATTCATATATTCATTCGGTAAATAGTAAGGGCCTAATACTATGCAAGATACATGTGTTCAAACCATGTTCTAACAGCACAGCAATATAAGTCAGGGAGCTAAAAGCCTCAAATGGCTAACGCAAACAACATTCTTAGGAGCCGAAGATCAGTTCAGCAAATATGTCCTGGAACTTGAAAGAAAAGGAAGAGGGGTTGAAAGAAAAGATGCCTCACTGTCACTTATAGTGGTCAAGGAAGATTTCAGAGAGCAAGTGGCATTGGGGTTCAGCTTGGAAGAATAGGCAAGATTCACACCAGGAAGGAGGAGGGCAGCATTTCTGGGGCAGTAGAGGCTGGAAAGCCCATGATGTAGTCACAGGGGAGCGGGGAGAGCAGAGTGGGCTTGTCAGGTAGTAAGTAGGTTAAGAAGCAGACTGTGCAGGGCTTTGAATGCCAGGGTCATGAGTTCAGACTTTGTATGGTGGACAGCAGAGTCACTGAAGGTTTTCATAGAGAGAAGGGGCACAATGGAAGCCAAGTTTTAGGAAAACGAAGGTGGCAGAAGTCTATCGTCTGTATAGGATTGAGGAGAGACTGTAGGCAGGAAGGCTGACTGGACATCCTGTCACAGAAACTCAGAACTAGAAAGAGGTCCAGTAATGAGACACTGAGAGTGCAGGGAGGACTGCAGGGACTCGTGGGAAGGGAGAAAGCAATGTTCTTGATGCCTGCTTGCACCTAAGGAGTGACTAGAGGTATGAGAGATGATCCGGAATTCCATGACTGGGCAGCATGAACAGAAATAGGGAAGCCAGGGCTGGGGTGTGGAAAGAGAAAAGAGGCTGTGTTCCACATGGAGAGTCACTGAGGAGCCCTGAAGGCACAGGCAAGAGATGAGGGCAGAGGAAAGATCGGGGGTAACCTCCAGAGAAGGGCAGACTGAACTCGGAAAATGCCTGAATATAGGGAGGGACAGGAGGTACCAGAGAAAGAACAGAGGCCTGGCCTCCAGGGAAACCTAACGAAACCTTCCAATTGCTGATGGAAGACAGTGAAGACCTCCAATCCTTATAGTTCTTCCTGATCCACTGGTGCTTGTTTCTACAAGGGAAACATCACATTGCAGACCTGCTCAATGGCTAAAGAAAAGAGAAAACTCAGACCATTCCCAAAGAGAGAGAGTATTCCCTCAGAAAGAGTTGAGCTATTGCCCACATCATGGTCATGATGCTGCATGCGTCAGAGTCCCTCAAGAACCAGATGGTGCATTCAAAGTGTTGAAGAGTGATGATGCAGAGGCCGTTTGCAGAGTCAGGCACCAAGGACCAGCCACATTCATACACTGTCATCCTCCTCATCCTGAAGGGGAGCAGAGGGAATGGAGTTACTTGAAGCCTAGAGAGGGCCAAAGGGGTAGAACCAGATGCCCAATTGGAGTGGTGGCTATAGGAGAACATAGCTACTGCCCAGAAGAGCAAGACGAATAAATACCCCAATGTTTCTCTCCTCCCACCTCCCTATTTCCTATAAGCACTTCTCATTAGCCAAATGACCCAGAAGCCACAAGACAAGGAAGTCTAGCCAATGCAATCTGTAGTGCTCAGTCTCCCGAGGCACAGAGCAGGTCAGAAAGGTGCGGAGAATGGATCTTGGAGAGAAAATGGAGAATAATGAGAACATTGGCTCGTTTTCTTCCTTAGTTCAAAGTTCTACTTTGAGCAGAAGTAGACATGATTAATTTTTATTATAAATGATACACATTTGCATGATGTTTTATGATTTCTAAAGTATTTCATATAGATTCTCCTTTTTGAGCTACACAGTATCCCTATGAGGTAGAAAACACCATGTTATTTATGTCCATTAAACTCTGAAGTCCAGAGACATTAAATGACTTATTCAAAGTCACACAGTGAGTGAATTGTGAAGTCTGTGTTAGAAATAATGCCCTTTAATTCTTAACCCACTGCTCTTTCCCAGGTGTAAAATTAATCTACCTGGGAAGGTGCCCCTGCTATAAAAGACAATAGAACACAGCTGTCCAGAATGTGGCATGTCTTGTGGCCCTGGCCCAGTTGGGTGCATAGAGCTGTCCTGAGTTGTTTTCAATAAGCAAATATTCCTGACACTTCAATTATCCCAACCCAAACAATGAATACATTGTGCAAGAGGCTTCATAAATTTCATTCAGTTGGATGCAATGAGAATAATACAAGTCAAAGCTTTGTGTGTATTCCCTCGAAAAAAAAAAGAAAGAAAGAAAGAAAAAAGAAACCACCCAACAAAACAGAAATTGTTGTAAGGAAAACATCTAGGCTTCAAAAAAGAGGCAACACAGGCTCTGTGTTCATCTCTATCCCTGTATCTCTGCAGAGAAAGTGTCTCTACAAGTCAAAGCAGGAATATCAGCCTTCTTACACTAGGACAACTCCAAAATTGTGTGATTGGTAAGAATTTTTTTTAACTTTCCTATATTTGATGTCTTGTCCTCCTCATGTACACCCTCCTTGTCCACTTCCTCTACCCTACTGTCATGGGCTGAATTGCATCCCCCTCCCCACCGGCAAAAGATATTACTGAAATTCTAACTCCCAGTACCTCAGAATGTGGCCATCTTTGGAAATAGGGATGTTAAAAAAGTAATCAAGTTAATCTGAGGGTGTTACAATAGGCCCTAAGCCAATATGACTCGTATACTGTGAAAAGAGGAAGTTTGGACACAGAGACAGACACATAGAGGGAAGACATGCATGGAGACATGGAGAACACACCCATCAACCAGCCAAGGAATGCCTGAGGCTACCAGGAGCTCAGGGAGCCCTGGAACAGATCCTTCCCTGGAGCTTTCAGAGGGAGCATGCTCCTGTGGACACCTTGATCTTGGACTTCTGCTCTCCAAAACAGTGAGACAATAAACTTCTGTTGTTCTAAGCCACCCAATTTGTGGTACTTTGTTTACAGCAGCCCCTAGGAAATTAATACACCCACTAGATGTATGCACATTTATATCAAAGATATAGCCAGGAAAATTGTAGTTATTTTATTGGCAAAACTCAAGGTTTCATACAAAAATGTCCAGAGAAAGTGCTGGAAAAGGTTTATATAGATTATACATTGATCCTCTTTTCTAACTCTGTAGAATAGGAGTGGATTAAGTTTTGTGACAATATCTGACGCATTGCTACCAGAATTAATTATGACGCATTTGGTTCCAAGTAATAGTATATCCGTATTAAGATGGTTTAAACAATGAAAGCAACATCTTGGCTCCCACACCTGAAAGTGTAGATCTACTCTGGGCTTTAAGCATGATTTTATTAAGGCTCTAGATTCATTTCTCTGTAATTCTCTTTGCCTTGCCTCTTTTGTGTGTTGATTCCATCCTCAGGCTGGCTTCCCCCATGGTATCAAAATCACTGCAGTGGTTCCAGCATGCGTGTCTGAATCCAACACTTCCTGGAGAAAGAATGCTTTTATGCCCTAGATTCTTCAGCAACAGTCCCAGATGTGGTGCGGATTATTCCATTCCTAACCAATCCTAGGGGAAAGCCAAGTACTGATTGGCTATGCTTCACCTGTGTGGTCCAATCACTGTGGCAAGATGCTTGAATTTCCCTAATGGCTTGGACCATTCAGGACCTCCTGCTGGAGGTAGGGATGAGTGACCAGATATGCAGGATACCCCTGAATGGAAGATGATCACAATGAACATTGAGGAAGCACCACAATGCCCAGTTCAGAGCTAAACCCTCTGCATATTGCAAAGTCTAATCTTGTCAAGATCTGATTGTTAGAACATTAGCTTGAGCTAGACCCACCTGCTTAAATGTGGAATCTAGAATATGAAGATTTCATTTACTATCTGAGGAGGGCCTATAAGTTGAGGAGGTGAGATTATATTTATTTTATTTATCAAGCACTGTTCCAGTTACTATGGCTACATAAGAAGTTATCTCAAAATGTGGCATCTTAAAATAACAATCATTATTATCTCTCGAGGTTTCTGTGGATCAGGAATTCAGGTTGAGGGTAGTTGGGCAGATGTAGCTCAGGTTCTCTCTGGTGGTTGCAGTCATTAGGTGGCTAGTCATTAGTCATTAGTGGCTAGGGTCATATCAAAGGCATCATCACTAGATGTATACACATTTATACTCAAGGTGGCACTTCGCTGGGGAATTCAACAGCTGAGGCTTCTTGGACTTCTCTATTCCTACGTTGTCTCTTCATGTGATCTCTGCAGCATGGTGGCTTCAGGATAGAGATCCTCTCTCTCTCTCTCTCTGTGTGTGTGTGTGTGTGTTTTGTATCTATCTCTATCTCTATCTCTCTACACACACACACACACACACAGAGAGAGAGAGAGAGAGAGAGACAAAAGCAGGCCGGTCCTTATCACCTTCCATGACCTAGCTGTAGAAACCAGCAGCTTCACTTCTGCAACAAAGTGTGCATCAGGGAAGTCACAAAATCCCTCTGGGTCCAAGGGGAGAGGAAACAGACTCCACCCAGAATACAGAGTGGCAAGGTTCTAGCAGAGCATGTGGGACCAGAAAATTACTGTGTCCCCATATGAAAAATACAATCTGCCACACACACTTATAACATTTATATACGATAGACTGTTCCAAGTGTGTTACAACAACAAACTCATTTAATGGAATAGGGTACTAGACTTCCTTTTATAGATGGGAGATGCTGTGTGTGCCCCACCCACATCTTTTTGGCCCTCATCATTTCAGCACCTACCAGCTCATCTTCCAAATGCAAGATCTTGGCCCGAGAGCTTCCACTGGCCTCTGGAGCCTGGTGTGTTCTTGCACGCAGCAGGCCAGATGTTTTGGGGAATAGATTTCCTCTAGGAGCAGCTATCAACAAATAATTGGCAGGAGTTGATATATAAATGCCCTGGCTCCCTCGCCCTGTGGTGGCAGGATGGGATTTGATTCTGAGGCATGTGCTCTATGCTGGCTTCCACAGTCCCCCATGCAGTAAGCTTCAATGGTCCACGGTGGCAGCTTTCTTGACAATGCAACTCCATTGTCTGCCTTTCTTTCCCTGTCTTCTTCCTACCACCACACTAGTGTTTCCTGTCCCTCCCAAATAACCTACTCAGATTTGAACTTTTCTGGAGGAGCCCAAACCAAGACTTTTAACTTGCCCAAGATCACTCAGTTAGGAATTTGAACCCAGATTATAATTGTAGGTAGCTTTGAGAGGCACTTTCTTAGCACCTATTAAGTGACATTAGAGAAAAGGCAGTGCTGAAGAGCCCAGGAAAAGGAGGTAAAATACCTCCAGTCTAAACTTGGGATGTTCCAAAGTTACAACCACCAAACACTTATTGAGCTTATACTATGAGCCAGGCATTGGGCAACATGCTAGGCGACCTTGGCTCACTGATTCTGGGATGGATATAAAAATTCTTGGCCAAATTCTTCCTCTTAGCTGTGATGAAGAACATCATAAAACTTTTAGATGAGAAAGCCCTGCTCTAGTATAAGATTCATTTTGCTAACACTACTTCTGGGACTTCAGCTTGGGCCGCTGGGATGGGGCTAGAATGAGCGTATTAGTTGGGGCTGCCATAACCAAATACCATCGACTGAGTGGCTTAAACAACCGAGATTTATTCTCTCATGGTTCTGGAGCCTGGGAAGTTCAAGGTCAAGGTGCTGGCCAGTTCAGTTTCTGCTGAGAGCTCTCTTCTCAGCTTTCAGGAATCTGTATCTTTTCTGTGTCCTCACTTGATGGAGAGAGGTCTCCCTTCCTCTTTTTATAAGGACATGAATCACGTTGTATAAGGGCCCTACCTTATGACCTCACTTAACCTTAATTAGCTCTGTATAGGCCCTTGCTCCAAATACAGTCATATTGGGGGTTACGGCTTCAATATATGAATTTTGGGGGACACAATTCAATCCATAGCAGTCAAGTTCTAGTATAGTTTTCTGCAGGGGTTCACACCTTTTAAAGCATTTTAGTTTTATTTTATTTAGTTAGCAATCATTACCCACAGCAAGTCGAGGGTGGAAGCACTTTTGACCACAAAACATACTTTTAAAGTCTAAAGAGCATAAATATTGTGTGACTGGATGGGCCAGTGCCCTGTCTTAAGGAAGCCCTGCCAGGGCAATTCATGCTGCTCCATTCATGGGAGACTGCAGTCCCACATGTAAGTGCCTTCATTAAATCCTCTCCCACTTGTGCTCAAACTCAGGGGGTTTTTTGTTTTTTGTTTTTTATATTTTTTTCCTGAGAACATGCTGTCTCTTTCTCTCTCTGAACTTCTAGGTAATATCTGCATGATTAAAATAATCTAGATTAGAAGTGTGCTGCTTTAGCCAGATAGCTGGGTTTCACAGCAGCCAGCTGGGCCAGCCCAGTCTTGGGCTTTAAACAAGGAACTCCAGTTATTGAATCTAATCTTTCTCCCTTTTCTCTGTCTTCATAGGCAAATTGACAATCATCGATTTGTTGACTGAACACCTGTTAGGTGTAAGGCACGGTGTCATATGCTTTCCTTGGGGCTTGCCTTCAAGCAGCTAACAGAAATAAGAAGAAAACAGGTGAAAAAGACAGTGTGATAAGGCCATGGTGGTGGATTGTGGATGCCCTGCCCTGTATCCACTTGGGAGAGAGCCTCTACAACATGCTGGCAACTTCCCCCTCACTGATTCAAATGTTAATCTCCTTTGGCAACACCCTCACAGACACACCCAGGATCAATACGTTGTATCCTTTGATCCAATCAAGTTGCCACTCAGTATTAACCATGACACCTTCTAAGCCATCATCTCCTCCTAATCCTCCCATAACAATGGGTATAAGTTATGAAGGTGGGTTAGAAACTAGTGCCTATCCCTCACTAAGTTGCCAGATGGATTTAACAGCACCTCAAAGTCAACATGCCCCAAGTCAAAGTCTTCTTTACCCATGGAATAAGCTGGCTTGCTACTTCCCTACATCTCTGAAGGGCTCCACCATTCCTCTAGCAACCATGCTCTCAAAGCTCAGAGGGAGGAAAAGGAAATGGATCTAAATGGAATTCCAGGTCCCACGCTGGATATTTTCACACCTTACCTCATTTAATACAACAAGCAAGGAGGTAGACAATATTGTCTACCTTTGCAAATGAGGAAACAGAGGCTTAGAGAAGTTAAATAATTTGCCTGAGAATAAAGCTAAAAGTAGCTTTAAAATACTAGAGCTGGGATTGCAAGTTTGATGCAAAGTTTGTGCTCTCTTCATCCTTCACCAAGATCTTTCATTTTCCCTTTAAATATCTCTTATGTCTGCATTTCCCTTCCATTCCCATCACTAGCACTGTCCTCTAATGCCCCACCCAGTGGGGAAGTCTCCAATAGGTCCCCCTGCTTATAACAGCCAAGAGGGTAGCTATAAACTAGGTCCAATAACATGCTTCATGTGAGGGAACTGATGGACAGCTGTCTAATTCATAACCTCTGGCCTCAACGGAATTTACAGTTCAGAGTCCAAAATAGCAAGGAAGTGGTGGGAAGAAGGTGAGAGAAAAGGGTGGGAGGGTGAGAGAGGGGAGGGAGGGGAATAAGGTGTGGGCAGTAGAGGGAATCTGTCAGTCTCATGGTTTGCCCTAGGAAACCTTCTGCTCAGCCCCAGCCTGCTTCTGGGCACTCCTCCTCACCCCTCCTTGCTGTCCATATGGGTTCAATGTGAGTAACCACAATTGTAGAGTGTGGCCATCTTCTTCTGACATGGTCCTAAATAAACCTAACTGAGTAGCCAGAAGAATCACTTCTAAGGTAAACATCTGTAAACATTGGTTATATTTATTTTCAATATTACTGGTTAACATTGTGGAGCTATTACTGATGGGCCAGACTCTGTGCTAGGCACAGACTTTCTAGGGATTATTTCATTTAATTCTCATGGCAACCACCATGCATTTGCAGATAGGCAAGTCAGGCTCACAAAAATGTATGCAGAGCTTCAGGGTTGTGATGGGTAGAGCCAAACCCATCTGCCCAACCCAAGGGCCCGTGCGCTCCAACCCTGCATCGAACTGCCAACATAGTACACCTTTTAGAAAAAGATTCTTGTTGCAAAAGTACCATAGGCAGTGTGTGTGTAAGGTCATTGTAAAAGTGTAGATAAGCAAGAAAGTGTTATACCACCACTCAGAAGTAACCACTGTTAACATGTTGGCTTATCTGCTCTCAGGTGTTTCTGTGCCTGTACATACTATTCTTCTTGAATAAAAACAGGATTACACAGTGTATACAGTTTTGTAACTTTTGTTCATGAAGCAATATACTGTATAATGCATTTCTTTCTTTATCATGAGATAGTCTTCTATGATACAGGAGGTTTTGGAGGATTTCTTTATTCTTTTGAATGGATGCACCATAATTTATTTAACCAATTCTTTATTTTTAGACATTTTGGAATCTGGTTTTGTTTCATCCTTTTAGTTTTTCACTTTTTTTTATTATTATTATACTTTAAGTTTTAGGGTACATGTGCACAATGTGCAGGTAAGTTACATATGTATACATGTGCCATGCTGGTGTGCTGCACCCATTAACTCGTCAGTTAGCATTAGGTATATCTCCTAATGCTATCCCTCCCCCCTCCCCCCACCCCACAACAGTCCCCAGAGTGTGATGTTCCCCTTCCTGTGTCCATGTGTTCTCATTGTTCAATTCCCACCTATGAGTGAGAATATGCAGTGTTTGGCTTTTTGTTCTTGTGATAGTTTACTGAGAATGATGATTTCCAATTTCATCCATGTCCCTGCAAAGGACATGAACTCATCATTTTTTATGGCTGCATAGTATGCCATAGTGTATATGTGCCACATTTTCTTAATCCAGCCTATCATTGTTGGACATTTGGGTTGGTTCCAAGTCTCTGCTATTATGAATAGTGCCACAATAAACATACGTGTGCATGTGTCTTTATAGCAACATGATTTATAGTCCTTTGGGTATATACCCAGTAATGGGATGGCTGGGTCAAATGGTATTTCTAGTTCTAGATCCCTGAGGAATCGCCACACTGACTTCCACAATGGTTAAACTAGTTTACAGTCCCACCAACAGTGTAAAAGTGTTCCTATTTCTCCACATCCTCTCCAGCACCTGTTGTTTCCTGACTTTTTAATGATTGCCATTCTAACTGGTGTGAGATGGTATCTCATTGTGGTTTTGATTTGCATTTCTCTGATGGCCAGTGATGATGAGCATTTTTTCATGTGTTTTTTGGCTGCATAAATGTCTTCTTTTCAGAAGTGTCTGCTCATGTCCTTCGCCCACTTTTTGATGGGGTTGTTTGTTTTTTTCCTGTAAATTTGTTTGAGTTCATTGTAGATTCTGGATATTAGCCCTTTGTCAGATGAGTAGGTTGTGAAAATTTTCTCCCATTTTGTAGGTTGCCTGTTCACTCTGATGGTAGTTTCTTTTGCTGTGCAGAAGCTCTTTAATTTAATTAGATCCCATTTGTCAATTTTGGCTTTTGTTGCCATTGCTTTTAGTGTTTTAGACATGAAGTCCTTGCCCATGCCTATGTCCTGAATGGTACTGCCTAGGTTTTCTTCTAGGGTTTTTATGGTTTTAGGTCTAATGTTTAAGTCTTTAATCCATCTTGAATTAATTTTTGTATAAGGTGTAAGGAAGGGATCCAGTTTCAGCTTTCTACATATGGCTAGCCAGTTTTCCCAGCACCATTTATTAAATAGGGTATCTTTTCCCCATTGCTTGTTTTTCTCAGGTTTGTCAAAGATCAGATAGTTGTAGATATGTGGCGTTATTTCTGAGGGTTCTGTTTTCTTCCATTGATCTATATCTCTGTTTTGGTACCAGTACCATGCTGTTTTGGTTACTGTAGCCTTGTAGTATAGTTTGAAGTCAGGTAGCGTGATGCCTCCAGCTTTGTTCTTTTGGCTTAGGATTGACTTGGTGATGCGGGCTCTTTTCTGGTTCCGTATGAACTTTAAAGTAGTTTTTTCCAATTCTGTGAAGAAAGTCATTGGTAGCTTGATGGGGATGGCATTGAATCTATAAATTACCTTGGGCAGTATGGCCATTTTCACGATATTGATTCTTCCTACCCATGAGCATGGAATGTTCTTCCATTTCTTTGTATCCTCTTTTATTTCATTGAGCAGTAGTGTGTAGTTCTCCTTGAGGAGGTCCTTCACATCCCTTGTAAGTTGGATTCCTGGGTATTTTATTCTCTTTGAAGCAATTGTGAATGGGAGTTCACTCATGATTTGGCTCTCTGTTTGTCTGTTATTGGTGTATAAGAATGCTTGTGATTTTTGTACATTGATTTTGTATCCTGAGACTTTGCTGAAGTTGCTTATCAGCGTAAGGAGATTTTGGGCTGAGACAATGGGATTTTCTAGATATACAATCATGTCATCTGCAAACAAGGACAATTTGACTTCCTGTTTTCCTAATTGAATACCCTTTATTACCTTCTCCTGCCTAATTGCCCTGGCCAGAACACTATGTTGAATAGGAGTGGTGAGAGAGGGCATCCCTGTCTTGTGCCAGTTTTCAAAGGGAATGCTTCCAGTTTTTGCCCATTCAGTATGATATTGGCTGTGGGTTTGTCATAGACAGCTCTTATTATTTTGAGATACGTCCCATCAATACCTAATTTCTTGAGAGTTTTTAGCATGAAGGTTGTTGAATTCTGTCAAAGGCCTTTTCTGCATCTATTGAGATAATCATGTGGTTTTTGTTTTTGGTTCTGTTTATATGCTGGATTACATTTATTGATTTACGTATATTGAACCAGTCTTGCATCCCAGGGACGAAGCCCACTTGATCATGGTGGATAAGCTTTTTGATGTGCTGCTGGATTCGGTTTGCCAGTATTTTATTGAGGATTTTTGCATCAATATTCATCAAGGATATTGGTCGAAAATTCTCTTTTTTGGTTGTGTCTCTGCCAGGCTTTGGTATCAGGATGATGCTGGCCTCATAAAATGAGTTAGGGGGGATTCCCTCTTTTTCTATTGATTGGAATAGTTTCAGAAGGAATGGTACCAATTCCTCCTTGTACCTCTGGTAGAATTCGGCTGTGAATCCATCTGGTCCTGGACTCTTTTTGGTTGGTAAGCTATTGATTATTGACACAATTTCAGAGCCTGTTATTGGTCTATTCAGAGATTCAACTTCTTCCTGGTTTAGTCTTGGGAGGGTGTATGTGTCGAGGAATGTATCCATTTCTTCTAGATTTTCTAGTTTATTTGCGTAGAGGTGTTTGTAGTATTCTCTGATGGTAGTTTGTATTTCTGTGGGATCGGTGGTGATATCCCCTTGATCATTTTTTATTGCGTCTATTTGATTCTTCTCTCGTTTCTTCTTTATTAGTCTTGCTAGTGGTCTATCAATTTTGTTGATCCTTTCAAAAAACCAGCTCCTGGATTCATTAATTTTTTGAAGGTTTTTTTGTGTCTCTATTTCCTTCAGTTCTGCTCTGATTCTAGTTATTTCTTGCCTTCTGCTAGCTTTTGAATGTGTTTGCTCTTGCTTTTGTAGTTCTTTTAATTGTGATGTTAGTGTGTCAATTTTGGATCTTTCCTGCTTTCTCTTGTGGGCATTTAGTGCTATAAATTTCCCTCTACACACTGCTTTGAATGTGTCCCAGAGATTCTGGTATGTTGTGTCTTTTTTCTTGTTGGTTTCAAAAACCATCTTTATTTCTGCCTTCATTTTGTTATGTACCCAGTAGTCATTCAGGAGCAGGTTGTTCAGTTTCCATGTAGTTGAGTGGTTTTGAGTGAGTTTCTTAATCCTGAGTTCTAGTTTGATGGCACTGTGGTCTGAGAGACAGTTTGTTATAATTTCTGTTCTTTTACATTTGCTGAGGAGAGCTTTACTTCCAACTATGTGGTCAATTTTGGAATAGGTGTGGTGCAGTGCTGAAAAAAATGTATATTCTGTTGATTTGGGGTGGAGAGTTCTGTAGATGTCTATTAGGTCTGCTTGGTGCAGAGCTGAGTTCAATTCCTGGGTATCCTTGTTAACTTTCTGTCTCGTTGATCTGTCTAATGTTGACAGTGGGGTGTTAAATTCTCCCATTATTATTGTGTGGGAGTCTAAGTCTCTTTGTAGGTCACTCAGGACTTGCTTTATGAAACTGGGTGCTCCTGTATTGGGTGCATATATATTTAGGATAGTTAGCTCTTCTTGTTGAATTGATCCCTTTACCATTATGTAATGGCCTTCTTTGTCTCTTTTGATCTTTGTTGGTTTAAAGTCTGTTTTATCAGAGACTAAGATTGCAACCCCTGCCTTTTTTGTTTTCCATTTGCTTGGTAGATCTTCCTCCATCCTTTTATTTTGAGCCTATGTGTGTCTCTGCACATGAGATGGGTTTCCTGAATACAGCACACTGATGGGTCTTGACTCTTTATCCAATTTGCCAGTCTGTGTCTTTTAATTAGAGCATTTAGTCCATTTACATTTAAAGTTAATATTGTTATGTGTGAATTTGATCCTGTCATTTTGATGTTAGCTGGTTATTTTGCTCGTTAGTTGATGCAGTTTCTTCCTAGCCTTGATGGTCTTTACAATTTGGCATGATTTTGCAGTGGCTGGTATGGGTTGTTCCTTTCCATGTTTAGTGCTTCCTTCAGGAGCTCTTTTAAGGCAGGCCTGGTGGTGACAAAATCTCTCAGCATTTGCTTGTCTGTAAAGGATTTTATTTCTCCTTCACTTATGAAGCTTAGTTTGGCTGGACATGAAATTCTGGGTTGAAAATTCTTTTCTTTAAGAGTGTTGAATATTGGCCCTCACTCTCTTCTGGCTTGTAGAGTTTCTGCCGAGAGATCCGCTGTTAGTCTGATGGGCTTCCCTTTGTGGGTAACCCGACCTTTCTCTCTGGCTGCCCTTAACATTTTTTCCTTCATTTCAACTTTGGTGAATCTGACAATTATGTGTCTTGGAGTTGCTCTTCTCGAGGAGTATCTCTGTGGCATTCTCTGTATTTCCTGAATCTGAATGTTGGCCTGCCTTGCTAGATTGGGGAAGTTCTCTTGGATAATATCCTGCAGAGTGTTTTCCAACTTGGTTCCATTCTCCCCATCACTTTCAGGTACACCAATCAGACATAGATTTGGTCTTTTCACATAGTCCCATATTTCTTGGAGGCTTTGCTCATTTCTTTTTATTCTTTTTTCTCTAAACTTCCCTTCTCGCTTCATTTCAATCATTTCATCTTCCATCACTGATACCCTTTCTTCCAGTTGATCGCATCAGCTCCTGAGGCTTCTGCATTCTTCATGTAGTTCTCGAACCTTGGCTTTCAGCTCCATCAGCTCCTTTAAGCACTTCTCTGTATTGGTTATTCTAGTTATACATTTGTCTAAATTTTTTTCAAAGTTTTCAACTTCTTTGCCTTTGGTTTGAATTTCCTCCTGTAGCTCAGAGTAGTTTGACCGTCTGAAGCCTTCTTCTCTCAACTCGTCAAAGTCATTCTCCGTCCAGCTTTGTTCCGTTGCTGGTGAGGAACTGCATTCATTTGGAGGAGGAGAGGTGTTCGGCTTTTTAGAGTTTCCAGTTTTTCTGCTCTGTTTTTTCCCCGTCTTTGTGGTTTTATCTACTTTTGGTCTTTGATGATGGTGACATACAGATTGGTTTTTGGTGTGGATGTCCTTTCTGTTTGTTAGTTTTCCTTCTAACAGACAGGACCCTCAGCTGCAGGTCTGTTGGAGTTTGCTAGAGGTCCACTCCAGACGCTGTTTGCCTGGGTAACAGCAGCGGTGGCTGCAGAACAGCGGATTTTCATGAACCATGAATGCTGCTGTCTGATCGTTCCTCTGGAAGTTTTGTCTCAGAGGAGTACCCGGTTGTGTGAGGTGTCAGTCTGCCCCTACTGGGGGGTGCCTCCCAGTTAGGCTGCTCGGGGGTCAGGGGTCAGGGACCCACTTGAGGAGGCAGTCTGCCCGTTCTCAGATCTCCAGCTGCGTGCTGGGAGAACCACTGCTCTCTTCAAAGCTGTCAGACAGGGACATTTAAGTCTGCAGAGGTTACTGCTGTCTTTTTGTTTGTCTGTGCCCTGCCCCCAGAGGTGGAGCCTACAGAGGCAGGCAGGCCTCCTTGAGCTGTGGTGGGCTCCACCCAGTTCGAGCTTCCCAGCTGCTTTGTTTACCTAAGCAAGCCTGGGCAATGGTGGGCGCCCCTCCCCCAGCCTCGCTGCCGCCTTGCAGTTTGATCTCAGACTGCTGTGCTAGCAATCCGCGAGATTCCGTGGGCGTAGGACCCTCTGAGCCAGGTGCGGGATATAATCTCCTGGTGCACCATTTTTTAAGCCCATCAGAAAAGTGCAGTATTAGGGCGGAAGTGACCCGATTTTCCAGGTGCCGTCTGTCATCCCTTTCTTTGACTAGGAAAGGGAACTCCCTGACCCCTTGCGCCTCGTGAGTGAGGCAATGCCTCGTCCTGCTTCGGCTCACACATGGTGCGCTGCACCCACTGTCCTGCGCCCACTGTCTGGCACTCCCCAGTGAGATGAACCTGGTACCTCAGATGGAAACACAGAAATCACCCGTCTTCTGCGTCGCTCATGCTGGGAGCTGTAGACCGGAGCTGTTCCTATTTGGCCATCTTGGCTAAATCTCCAAGTATGAATTTTTATATGTTCCTTTGACTTTCCATATGTTGTGTGCTATGCAAAAATAAAGTATCTCAGATGGAAATGCAGAAATCACCCATCTTCTGCGTCACTCACGCTGGGAGCCGTAGACCAGAGCTGTTCCTGTTCGACCATCTTGGCTCCTCCCTCAGTTTTTCACTCTTGTAAATAATTCTATGGTGGAGGTCTATGTGGCTGAAGCTGTCCAGCCAAGCTCCTCACACCCTCTCAGGCCCTCCTCCAAATCCTTTGCCATGCTGCAACTGGCAGGCCCACGACCTTGGAACATGGGGTTCCTTTGTCTGAGTCCCCTCCTCTTGCTCCAGTCACCAGCTAACTCATGCTGTCTCTCAGGTCTCAGATGAAATGCAGCTTCCTCTAGGGAGTCCAGGCCTTTCCACTGTTTGTGCTTCTAGACCCTACTTTGTTCCTTCATTGCATTTAACATAATTATGATGAATTAATTGGCCATGTAATTACTTATCTAATGATGATGTTCCCTACTAGACTATTAGCTTCATGAGGGCAGTGTCTTTGACTCCATTTTTCACTATGCTATCCCCAGAACCTAGCCAGAGCACTTCGTAAGAGTTCCTAAAATCTTTTCCATAAGGTTTTCAATTTACTTTGTCTTGATCCATCAGAGGAATCACTATATATGGCAGCTATAGCCTTATGAAATAGATTTCTTAACTAATAAGGCTTGAGAGTCAAAATTTTTCCTTGATCCATGGGCTGCAGAATGGATGCTGTATTATCACAGATGAAAACAACATTCATCTCCTTGGACTTTTCCATCATAGCTGTTGGGTGACCAGGTGCATTGTCAATGAGCAGTAATATTTTGAAAGGAATCTTTATTTCTGAGCAGTAGGACTCAATAGTGGGCTTCAAATAGTCAGTAAACCATGCTGTAAACAGATGTGTCGTCATCCAGGTTTTGTTGTTCCATTTATAGAGCACAGGCAGAGTAGATTTAGTATAATTCTTAACAGTCCTAAAATTTTCGGAATGGTAAATAAGCTTTGCTTCAACTTAAAGTCACCAGCTACATTAGCCCCTAACAGGAGAGTCAACTTGTCCTTTGAAGCTTTGAAGCTAGGCATTGACTTATCCTTTGTAGCCATAACAGTCCTACTTGTCATCCTCTTCCAATCTAAGGCTATTTTGTGTACATTGAAAAGATGTTGGTAAGTGAAGCCACTTTTATTAATGATCTCAGCTAGCTCTTCTGGATAACTTCCTGCAGCTTCTATATCAGCACTTGTTGCTTCACCTTGCACATTTATGTTATGGAGGTGGCTTCTTTCCTTAAAACCTCATGAACCAACCTCTGCTGGCTTCCAACTCTTCTTCTGCAGCTTTCTTACCTCTCTCAGCCTTTGCAGAATTAAAGAGAGTTAGGACATTGCTCTGGATTAGGCTTTGGTTTAAGGAAATGTTGGGGCTGGTCTGATCTTCTATCCAGAGCATTAAAACTTTGTCCATATCAGCGATAAGGATGTCTTGCTTTCTTATCACTGAAATGTTCACTAGAGAAGAACTTTTAATTTCCTCCAAGAACTTTTCATTTGCATTGGTGACCTGGCTAACTGGCACAAGAGGCCTAGCTTTTTGTTTATCTTGGTTTTCAACATGCCTTCCTCACTAAGCTTAATCATTTCTAGCTTTTGATTTCAAGTGAGAGACACACATTTCCTTTCACTTCAACACTCAGAGGCTATTATATGGCTAGTAATTAGCCAAATTTCAATATTTTTGTGTTTCAGGAAATAGGGAGGCCCAAAGAGAGAAAGATAGGTAGGAAAACTGCCAGTCAGTGGAGCAGTCAGAACACGCACCATATTTATCGATTAAGTTCACCATTTTATATGGGCATGATTTGCAGTGATCCAAAGCACTTATAATAGTAACATAGTGATATAAAAGATCACTGATCACAGATCACCATAACATATAATAATAATAATGAAAAGTTTGAAGTGTTGTGAGAATTACCAAAATGTGACACAGAGACATGAAGTGAGCTCATGTAGTTGGAAAAAAATGATGCCAGTAGGCTTGCTTGTTGCAGGGTTGCCACAAATCTCCAATTTGTTAAAAAACACAATATCTATAAAGCACAGTAAGGCAAAGTGCAATAAAACAGGGTATGCCTGCATGTGAATCAGAGGTAGAAGATACTTGGCCGGTTGCAGTAGCTCACGCCTGTAATCCCAGCACTTTGGGAGGCCAAGGTGGGCAGATCACTTGAGGACAGGAGTTGCAGACCAGCCTGGAAAATGTGGTGAAACTTTGTCTCTACTAAAAATACAAAACTTAGCCAGGCATGGGTGGTGCAAACCTGTAATCCAAGCTACTCGGGAGACTGAGGTAGAATCACTCGAACCCAGAAGGTGGAGGTTGCAATAAGCCGAGATCGCACCAGTGCACTCCAGCCTGGGCAACACAGCGATACTGTCTCAAAAAACCCTAAAAAGCAAAACCAAAAACAAACAAAAAATAAGAGATGAAGATTCTATTTCCAAGGTTGCCGCAAACTTTGTGATCTTGGGCACAGAGAAGCTGTGAATTCTAAAGTCCCTTTGAATTCTAAATTCTGCAACTCTGTGCATTGGGCAGTGGACAGAATGTGAACTTTGACATCAGAAAAACCTACTTTCAAAAATGTGCCTCACTGCTTTCTAGCTGATGGGTCTTATAGTTAAACTTTCTGATTTTAATTTCCTCATCAATAAAATTGGGCTAATAATATCTTCCTTGCTGTATTAGTATGAGAATTAATGCTAACACGTTGGACAATTCTTGGCATCAATTAAGGACAGCACTGGTGGTTCCCATGCTGGCCCTGCTGGTGGCCCAGCAGCAACTTCCTTCCATTGCCCATGTAAGCCAGTCTCACTATAGGAAATCTACACACACATTCACCACCAAGTAATGCCTCAGACACCCTCACACTCTTGAACTTTCCTATGACTATGATACATGCTTTTCAATCTATCTTAAGGTGACCTTCACTTGCACGGAAAGTCTGAAAATGTACAGTCAGAGTTGCGTAACTGTGAGGTTGGCCTATAAAGGAAGGAGCTTTTCTCTTCTTCCTTTAATTTTTTTTTTTTCATTCACTTGAGGCATTCCCCTTGTGGGCGTGTGATCTCCCCAATGGCAGCAATAGCTCAGGCAGCCACAACCACAGCCCTCAGCCCGCTGCAAGTGAGAGCGCAGAGCACCTGGCCTCCTACAGCCCGGAGCTCCAGCAGTTCCATCTGCTGGCCGCCAGAGCAAAGGCTCAAGGACCTCTAGGCTTGCCCTGAACAATGCACAGGGGGCAGCTGTCACTCCCTGGAGCAAACTTACTCTGGGGGAACCTCTGGTCAAATTCCAACAGTTGAGAATTCCAGAGATGCCAGGAGAGCCGAAGCAGTCAAATGACCCTCCACTCATCAGCACACACACTTATCTGTGGTCCAGGTAGGAAAGTGAAATGTTATCATCTGAGTGCACATCATGACACAGGAACCAGAAGACCATTTCAGAAATAGATTGATTCAGTCTTGTTACTCTGTGCATATACATATAAAACAAGAGCCACAGAAACAGGCTGCTTTCTGCCTGGTAGTCTTTAACTCTGGTCACACTTTAACATCACCAGGAAAGAAAAATAGGCAAAAAGACATGGTCAAATCTTACAATAGCCAACCCTTACATCAAGTTTACCCTGTGTCAGGCACTATGTAAGTACTTAGACTGCAAAACCCCAAAGAGTAGCTAATGACACTATCCTCATGTTACACATGAGAAATGGGAGTACTGAAGGGTTAAATAACTTGCTCAAGATCACATAGCTCATGAGGGGCAAAGACAGAGTTTGAATCCACCTAACAGTCTGATTTCAGACATCAAGCTCTAAACCACTGTGTTTCACAAAAGAAAAATTACAAAGAACTGAAAAACATATGAAAAGATGCTTAACCTCACCAGGGACCAAGAGAAGGCGTGGCAAAAAAAGACATGCTCAAATACTTGTAGAGTGTACATCAGCCCTTTTAGAAAGGTGATTTGTGAGTGTCTACCAAATGTAAACTATGAATTCGCCCTGGTCCAGGATTCCACTTCCAGTAATCTATGCTGCTGGAATACTCAAAAGCTTTGTGTACAAGGATGCCCACAGATGGCAATATCTTTGCAAAACCCTCTAGCCATCTCTGTATGTGACTCATGGTAAAGTACCTGGCTCTTCTTAGGTGCTCCAGAACTGCTTGCAAGAATATGCAACCAATAAATATTTATTTATCTAAATAATGATGTGTTGTCCAAGTACTTCAGTAATGCTACTAACAATTCAATAGTGAAAGTGTGATCACACCAAGCTTGGCAAAACTAAAAGGAACCACAAAAAGGCTCTTCTGTTCCAGGCTCTGTGGGGGAGGAAGATGGCCCCACTTGCTGCATTATCTGGGTCCCCCACTGGGGGGTCTGATGGAGTGCAGCCAATGGATGACACCAGCAGATGAGAGGGTAGGAGTGAGAGATGGAGTGTTCAGTCTCTGAAGCCCTTGAGTGTGCCATCTTTATTTGCCAAGACCCTAAGTCATTTGGTCTCATACTTTCATCCAGTGTACATCTGTGGAGGACCTATGGGGGTTACAAGCATGAGGAAGTCAGTCCCTTCCACCTGTCAGCTCAGGGGAGCAGCTATTCCATGGGCCCATGCAGGACCTTTTCTTTCAAATTCAGTGGGGGCTTTGCTCTTTCCTAAGTGACAATGAATTCAGATGGCAACACTTGGTTAACTTAGTTTTTGTTCAGGTGTCTGTCTCAGATAAATCTAAACCCAGTTAAAACCTCTCTATCTCTAGAAATCTCTTAAGAACTTCATCTCACAGGGCAAGTGCAGTGAGTTCAAAGAGGCTAAGGGGGAGTGAAGTGGAAGCAAACCTGCTTCTCCTTGAGTGTCCCCACCTCAGGGAAGGATACTTCCAACCATCTGGTCCCAAAACTGGAGCCCCAGAATCTCTCACTTTACCTCTCTAAACCTCTCTCTGGTCTATCCCCTCCCATGCATCTTCATTTCTACCACCTTGGTCCAGGCTCTTACCTTTTCTTGTTTGCAGTGGTCATAAGGAGTGGACTGTGACCTCATCTCTGCATTCCAGTCTGGCACAGTGTCTGGCATAAAGTGGGCCCTCGGAAAAGGTTGGTTGCATGAATCAAAGCCTGTCACTGTAGCCTCCCACCTTCCTTCCTTCCCCAGTCTATTGCCCACCGGACATGGTGAGATCTTTCTAAATCAGAGATATAGTTACATCATTACTTAAAGTCCTTCAATGTTTCCACCATGGCTTTTAGCCAGGGCTTGCCAACCTTTGTCTATAAAGAAACAAATAGTAGATATTTCAGGCTTTGTGGGCCCTACAGTTAGTTTCTATTGCAACTACTCAACTCTGTTGTTATTGTGTGAAAGCAGCCGTAGATGGTATATAATCAATGAGCTCAGCTGTGTTCCAATAAAACTTGATTCACAAAAACAGGCAGCAGGCTGAATTGGCCCAAGGGCCACAGTTTGCCACTCCTGCTCTAACAAGTATGTCCAAGCCTGTTGATGTGGCATCACAACCTGGATTCAGCCAGCCTGAGTCCTGACACTCCTATTTCACACTTTGCTCACCATCAATGCCACTTTTCTTCCAACCCTTCCCATGTGCTGTGTATTTTCAGGTATCTGTGACTTTACATTTGCTGTTCTCTTCTAGAATCCCTTCCGTCATCTATATGCCTATGAAACATTTATCTTACAAAGCCCCTTGCTTTGAAGGCTTCCCAACTACTCCCCCACTCCTGCTCCCAGAGACTAACCTCACCCTCTTTTTGTTGCCTTTGCACCTGCTTCCATTATTAGAGTTCCACCTAACTCAATCTTGTCATTACTTGTTGACATGTCTGTATCCAATTATGGAAGGGACAGGCCTGTTACAGAGCTGCTTAGGAAATGTCTGCTGATTGAGTTGAGATCAAGGTGCCCAGTTCTTGCCTGTTGCCCAAACATAACTATTTAGTGCCCCTTTTCACTCTCAGAAGCAACCCTATGGAAATGATAAATTATGTAGTTGCCCTACCTTTCTGCACTTTTGTATGGGTGGCTACCTGCTTAGCCTATGTGTGGGATCACAAGAGAAGGGTTCAGGATCTCCCTTCCCAGTGTTTACTCCCTTTCCTGTGTCAGCCAGCAGATAGGTGTCCCTGGTCTCCCCAGGCCCAGCACAGAACAGCTGCAGGCCAGGGCAGAGAGGTTGCCAATGCAGGTCCAGTTTTCTGTCTCCACTCAGCCCAATGAGATAGAGTCAATCAAGACACTGAGCACAGTAAGACTTGCAAGGAGGGTACAATCCCATGGTGACCAGTTAACTCTGCCCTATTCTATGACCACAGGATAACTCTAACTAAAGCCAGGGCAGGGGGGAGAAAGCAACGGGACGCCATGATCAGTGCGGGAAATCCTCAAAGCCCAGGCCCAAAGAGGGTCGGGCCACTTGTGGGGCCTTTATGCACAGAGAGAAAGTATCTCATTAGAGTGACCGTCCCTCTTCAACAGTAATAAGAGTAGCTCCTGGAAAAGGTGCTCAGGAGAAAGAAAGAGAAACACCAAATGACTTTTTCCCCCTACGCCTCCTCCACTTGTTTGACAAGCAGCCTGGTTGCCCTAGCCTCTTTCCTGAACTTCCTCTCTCCACCCCCGCATTTCAGACATGTCCATCTCTGTTCCCTGGGCCCCTCACAGGAATACGAAATTGTTACCCAGAAGTGGGGCTGTATAAGAAGCCCTTGCTTCTTTGAAAGCAGTCCCAAATCCGGGAGTGGTTCCCATAACTCTTGCAGCTCAGAAGTCAGAGCAAAAGGCAACTGAATGCATTTGCCAAAAAAGTCTCTTTCTGCATGTGAATCCCGAGTGCTATCTATATGGCAATCTTCACAAAACCGCCCTCCTGAAAGGTCAGCCTTATTATTTTCAAGAGAATTGAGCTCATTCTGACCCCAGGGTTCTAACTCGTGACCTTGAATCTATGCTCCTGTCTTTTTGTTTAATAAGTCTTTTGAGTAGCTTTTGAATAATTCCCACCCCAACTCCAGCTGCATTTAATTCTCCCAAATAGACATGCATCCAGAATTGTGTATAAGGCAATGCCCTGCTTTAAAAAAAAAAAAAAGCCAATAAACAAAAATTCAAGCTTAGGAAACAAAGGAATCACTAGCAGACATTCAGAAGGATTCTTCGCATGATGAGGACTCAACCACAATTTCTTTACAAACTGAAAGTGCTCCTTCACAAATGAACACTTAAATTCAGGAGCACTTTCAGTTAAAGCAAAGGAGTTAAAGCAAAGACTTTGGGAGTCAGTATCAAATAAAGATCATCTCTCAAACTATAACAGAAGGAAAACAGGAATTAATTTATTTCAGACTTTTTAGAAACGCCCTCCTCTTTGACTTACATTACATAGAACACAGGTATATGCTTGATATAAAACCAAAAAATAAAATAAAGCTCAACACCAAACCATTTGGTGGCAAAAAGCTGTGCATTCTGAAACTTTAGCAAATTGGTGACTTATTGTCCACCATGCACAAAATACTCCATAAATTTAGAAGAGAGGACCTTACCTGAACAAGGCATGCTTCCCGCTTTCAGAGAGCTATCCATCTGGAGGAGAGACAAGAGAAATATATGAATAATTTACATAAAACCAAAAATGAGCTATGTGATCTTGGGCAATTTATGTAACCTCATTAAATCAGCTTTCTCATCTTTAAAATAAAAAGTACTATCACAGGATCTCCATGAGGATGAACTGAGATGATGCAAGTGAAGGGCATAGTACAGTGGAGGGAAGAGCTAGGACATCATTCCATATTAGCTGTACTGCTCTTAGTGGCTCTTATCATCATCTGTATTTCCCTTACATAGTCATTAGAGAAAGCGGAAAGAAGAGATTATTCTACTCAGTAGAATCAAGAAACAATGGATGGAGGAGGTAGAATCTGAGCTAGATCTTAGAGGATAGGTGGGATTTTGGGAGAGGAGATGGGGTTCAGGAGGGGTAGCCCGTGATAAGGATGTGAGTCAGGTTCAGCATGAGGAACAGTGGAGCCTAGGTCCTAGAGGCTGTGGACAGATTTGGCTGGCATGAAGGATATCTTTTTTTTTTTTTTTGAGACAGGGTCTTGCTCTGTTGCCCAGGCAGGAGTGCAGGGGCACAATCTTGGCTCACTGCAGCCTCGACCTCCCAGGCTCAAGCAATTCTCCCACCTCAGCTTCCCTAGTAGCTGGGACTACAGGCGGCCACCACCACACCTGGCTAATTTTTGTGTTTTTTATAGAGACAGGGTTTCACCATGTTGCCCTGGCTGGTTTTGAACTCCTGAGCACAAGCAATCTGCCTGTCTTGACCTCCCAAAGTGCTGGGATTACAGGTGTGAGCCACCACGCCTGGCTGGCATGAAGGATATCTAACAGGGAGAAAAAAAGAGGCAAGGCTGGAAACAGAGACTGAGATAAAATTTTGAAAGAAGTTTAACCTTCCCAAATGAGATATTTGAATGTTACCCTATTGGCAATAGGGAGCAGCCAAAGGTGTTTGAGGAGAGGAGTAATATGCTGTAAGTTATATTTCAGATACATTCTTCTGGTAGCAGTGTACCAAATGGACAGCAATAGAGAACCCAGCCAGGCTCTATTTTAATGGCCTGGGTAAGAGACAGTGAGGGCCTAAACAAGCCAAAAAGTCTATAGAAAACAAATGAACAGGATAGATGGCCAAAACACTTTGAAGGAAGATCAGCTGGCCTAATTCAAAGGAGAAGGAGAGAACTGAGTCCTCTTTTGGTGATTTAAAGACCTTTGAACTTGGGTACAGATACCATTTTAAAAGTTAGAAAATGCAAGAAAAGGAACCAGTTCAGGTACAGGAGAAAAACCATCTGTTGCTATAGTGTGTGAGGTTAAGGCTTCCACTGGCACAAGGCCTTGGATAGAAATGAATCCTTCTGTTTCCTCCTCTGTGAAATGGAGATATCTGGGTGTACTCCATAACTTCTACAGTTAGCCTTACTGATTTCTAAGTATGAGCTTCTCAGGGGCTAAAGTCTCTTTACTCATGATTCATGGTGATTTGGGGAGTGGATGTATGACTCACCCCTGTGTACTTATTTAGATACATTACTACTTACCCAGGCAGCCTTGAATAGACTTGCAAAGTCAAATATGGGCCCAATATTCTAATACCTGAAAAGAGAGATGGGTTTTGTCTGTTTTCTAAACATCAGTTCCTTTGGCATACAAAATTCCAATAGTAGTTATTGAAACCCTATAGTTTCTTGTCAACTTGGATGAAAATTATAGTACTTTATCAGTCAGGATACAGTCAGGAAAATAAACAATACTGGGTATTCTAACAGAGAAAATATAATATAGGGATTTGGTGAAATAGACAATGGAGGACTGAAAAAGCAAAATAAACACACTGAGCTAACACCAAGGTAGTAAGTTCAGGAAGTATCCACCACCACCCAGGAGAAGCAACAAGAAATTGGAGTTATCAGAACCTACAAGCTCAGTGGGGGGCCCTATGGAGCTGAGATGCCAGCCTCCATGGAAGCACTGCCCAGCTCATGCTGCTCTCTGAGGGCCCGCATTAAAGTTGGCTCTGCAAGTGCCAGAAGAAGGTGAACTGAACCTACTGCCACTGCTGGGGTGAAGGGCCATTGCTTGCAGAAGAAGAGCAAGTCCCCTGTCCCCTCTCCCTGTCCCCTCTTGTAATAACCTAACCTGAAGCCACTAACAAAGAAGAAATATAGTTTGCAGGCCAGGCACGGTGGCTCACACCTGTAATCCCAACACTTTTGGAGGCTGAGGGGACAAATCACAAGGTCAGGAGTTCAAGATCAGACTGGCCAACATAGTGAAACCCTGTCTCTACTAAAAATACAAAAAATTAGCCAGGCATGATGGCAGGTGCCTGTAGTCCCAGCTACTTGGGAGGCTGAGGCAGGAGAATCTCTTGAACCCAGGAAGCAGAGTTTGCAGTGAGCCACGATTGCACCATTGCACTCCAGCCCAGGTGACAGTGTGAGACTCTGTCTCAAAAAAATATATATATATAGTTTGCAGAGTCCCAGGATCACACAACAAAGAAAGCAGAGAAGGGTGGATTTGGAGCTGGAAACCAATAACTTAGTAACTGACATGAGGACTTTTACATAGCACATGACTTGAGAAATATCAGATTGCTAGGTTATTTTCTGAACAAGACACCACAAAATATAAAAACTCTTTCAGATAATGGAGTACAGACTAGAAATATTAAACTACTCTCCCATAAGCCTCAAAAGAAAAAAAGCAAATGGATACTTTGTGGTGTGAAAGTGCTTATGGTAATGTATAGAGATCAAGGTGGACATACCCTGACATGACCTGCCCCCTCAGAGATTTATACCCTCATCTAATCCCACCCCCTTGAGTGTAGCCAAGACCTGAGAATTGCTTTTAACCAATAGAATATGGCAAAGATAATGGGATATTGCTCCCTTGATTATGTTATAAAATTCAGTCTTAGCCAGCTGGAGTGAGAAAGAGTCTCCCGCCAGGCTTGAAGAAGCAAATATCCATGCTGGACTGGCCAGTGGCCTCTAGGACCTGAGAGTGGTTTCCAGCCAACTGCCAGTAAGAGGCAGGGGGCCTTGGTCATACAGCCTCAGGGAAATGAATTCTTCCAACAGTTTGAATGAGCTCAGAAGCAGATCCTCCCCTAGAGCCTCCAGATAAGATCACAGCCCAGGCCAACACCTGATGGCAGCCTCCTGAGCAAACTCTCAGCAAAAGGCCCAGCTAGCCTGTGCATAGACTCCTGACCCAGTGAAACTGTGGGATGGTAAACCAACATAGGAATAATGCTTATTTCTCTATTTTCCATCTATAGTCAACATTGACTTCTTATTGAGCATCTACCATGGGCTAGATACTTCTAGTCTTCAAGAAGCCAGTTTAGTAGGAAAAACAAACAAGTAACCAGAGCACTCCAGCCTAGTGTGATGTGTTCAGGATGTAGGTGAGCCCGGGGGACTGCAGGAGCCTGGAGGAGGGCAGCCTGGCCAGAGCAGGGGCCTGGGGGAGCCTTCAAAGGAGGAGGTCTTAGTTAAAGGAAGATTAACTAGTTAACTAGGGAAGGGGGCTTTAGGCAGAGGTCCAGATAATTAGATTGTTCTTGATTGCTGATCATTTTTCTCCAACTTCAGTATATGTAACAGAAATCAGAAAGAAAGAATTCAATACAAGTTCTTCCTTAAATTGTTTTTCTTCCATCAGATTTACACTCATATTACAGTATTCAATTGAAAATCCAAAATCCAGAAGAGCCTAAAAAAATGTGTGCTTGAGCTTAGATGTGTCTCCTGATAGAGATTAGATTAGTGATTGTTTGTCTTAATAAACGGCACTTCCTCTTGAAACTGTGCCCAAAACAACCTTAAAAAGTTCCGATTTCATGAAACGTGTCACTTCCTCTCCACTCACAGCCCCCATTTTCCTTCCTTCCCCTGGGTCTCACTTTTTTTTTTTTTTAATGTAATGCTTTCGTGTTTGTAATAATACCCCTCCTTGGCAGGCTATATGATATAACTCCCATTTTTCTGGGGAGAGTTTTGTGATGCAGCGAGTTTTGATCTCAGCCAAGGTCACAGAGAGGGTCAGAAACAACAGAGCCGAGATTCGATCCCTCACCCCAGGAGCCTCAGGAGGGGCCCCACAGCCGTTTTCTTGTCATCATCTGAACTTGGAACAGCCTCCCACCCACATCCAGCCTTCCCCGGCACCTCCTTCCCTTCCCATCGCTTCACAGAGCAGTTATTCAGGGTCTGCATGTATGAGCAGCTCAGCCATGTTGCATGACCTACTTTGGCATTTTCACACTGCTTGGAGAAACTTTAGGGCAAAACCATGATAGTGGAGAGAAGCCTCCCTCCCAGCCACACCTGGCTCAGTTTGGACCTGCTTGCCCTGAACAAAGGAACAGAGGACAGAGTGGATGAAAAGACAAAGGGGAGGAGTGAGGTGATCACAGCTGGCCTTCAGCAATGCCAAAGTGACCGGTGCAGGAAATCCTTGAATGTTTGGGCAGGGACATAAGGCACCTGTCTATTTCACATCTGCTAATCAATTCCTTATCAAGTCATCATGGAGCCTGTTTGGGGAAGAACCCTGTCTTCTGTGAGTTTTCTAAAGCACCCTGTCCTCTTCCCACAAGGGCAATATAATTAGTAACATCAAACACTGCAGGCTACCATCTCCTGTAAGGTGGGCTATGAACTTTTCAGAGGGCGTGAAGAGCTACCACTCCTATTTCAAATAAAGCTAATGCCAAAGAACCCACATTTAAAGCTCGAAAACAGCAGCTACGTACCCACCACCACCCACAGATCTAGTGATAGAGATTTTTTTTCTGGCTTGGCCTATTATTTATTTAGAATCAGAACTGATTTCTATCTGGATGATGTAGTCATTTAGGTTGACATCTGAAAGCATCCAACAATAGAGTCCCCTCCCTCTTAAGAAGAACCAGTGAGGTACTACAACAGTGACCTCTGTGGCTGAGGGTGGGATTGTGCCAAATCCAGGAAGGCTCATGCATTGACCATTAATCACCTACCTCCCCCAACCTTGCTGAGATCTTGCTCAGACCAGGAATCCCTAAATTGGAGGTTCCAAAACAGGGGCAGAAACAAAAGTGCTGGTTCCTTCCCAGGCAGCGAGGGCTCATTTCTGTTGGAGCCCTGGGCCTGGACACTCCTCCAGCCATTGGTATTGTCTTTGAAGCCAACTTTATGATTTCACACTTGGTCTGGTTTACCTTTTAATGTCCTAAGTGGAAATCTTGGGAAGAGTGATTGGAGGAGTACATGGGTAGAGGAAGAAGAAAATTGAAACTCTCTTTAAAAAAATACAATTGAATTAAGAATTTAGTATTACATTTTAACATAACAAGCACTAAGAGAAAAGTTTCCTTAAAGAATAGACTTTTGCTGTATGTCAATTAGTGCGCCCGTTCTTGTAGGTTTTCTCTGCTGCCTCAGAGCCAAATCTTCAGCCTCCCACACAGATCTGTGAAATCAATTGTCTTCCCCAAACATGTGGTAACCACAGAGAAGTAAAATTAATAAAACTGCTCCAAAAGATGATTTCTAAAGATGACATTCCTACTTTCGCTTTAAGCTTTCTTTCCTGAGGCCAAGTAGGGGCCTGAAGTGGGAACAGGAGGGGTTTGGTGAGAATTTGGGACCCGTTTTTTTAATATTTAAGTTTTAGAGTTTCAGTTTCACTTAGTTGTTTCGGGAGGGAAGGAGAGCAGGGAGAAGTTAAAGGTGTAAGGAGGAGGCCAAAAAAAAAAAAAAAAAGGTAAAGAAAAGCCAATCAAGTTAGGACTGTCACACCTGACAAACATGCATGTCATCCCAAGGCGGTCTGGGATCCACTCAACAACCCCACACACGCCTTCATTTGGTTGCCCGCCTCCCCCACCTGGGTTGAAGGCTACCACTGACGGTGGCATGTCTGACATACCGAACCTGCCACCCAGTGATGTTCCTCAGGAGCAGGCCCCACTCAGCCCAGCCCTGACAATGGTAGCTTAAGACAGGCAGAGGCCATCAGTCTCCATTACGAAGACAAGGTTTTCCTCCCATATTATCCTGTCTGTCATGTCCTCCTTAGACTCCAAAGGCACGGCTGTCTCATACATCATCATCATTTTCTCTCCACAAAGATGGAGAGCCCCAGGGAGGGGTCCTTTTTCTCAGCGTCCTGCCATGGATGGCCAAGGGCCTTCCCTCAGTGACAGAAGCAATGCTGAGCTGCCAGGGGAGACATTTGCATCCCTATTAGGCCCGGGGCTTTGAAGGTGGGGGAGGAGGGACCTGCCAGCCAGTTTGTAAATCAGAAGCTTAAACAAACTTCCACAGTCTCTGGAGGCCTGGAGAGCACTCCTGTGATACCAAGAGTGGAAGGAGAGGGAAAAAACAAAACAAAACAAAACAAAAACCTCAAACGTAGAGCTCCGGAACATACATGCGCTTAGTTTTGGCAGAGAAAAAGATACACTTAGTCTTGGCAGATACACAATCTTGTCACTGAAAATTGGAATATTGTTAATAGCAGTTATATTAAATTAAGCATTGGGTGCATAATTTTACTGAATTCTCACAACAGTATTGTTTTACATTTATAGGACATGTTTCAGGAGACAAAATTAAGGCTCACATGACTAGCCAGAATTAGAAGAAACCTATTTGTCTGACTCTAGGCTGGGCACAGTGGCTCATGCCTGTAATCCCAGCACTTTGGGAGGCTGAGGTGGGCGGATCACTTGAGGTCAGGAGTTTGAGACCAGCCTGGCCAACATCTCTACTAAAAATACAAAAACAAAACAAAAAAAAATTATCCAGGCCTGATAGTGTACCCTTGTAGTCCCAGCTACTCAGGAGGCTGAGGTGGGAGAATTGTTTGAATCCAGGGGGCAGAGGTTGCAGAGATTGTGCCACTGCACTCTAGCCTGGGTGACAAAGCAAGAAGAAAGAAAACAAGAAAGAAAGAAAGAAAGAAAGAAAGAAAGAAAGAAAGAAAGAAAGAAAGAAAGAAAGAAAGAAAGAAAGAAAGAAGGAAGGAAGGAAGGAAGGAAGGAAGGAAGGAAGGAAGAAAGAAAGAAAGAAAAGAAAGAAAGAAAGAGAGAAGGAGGGAGGGAGGGAGGGAAAGAAGGAAGGAAGGAAGGAAGGAAGGAAGGAAGGAAGGAAGGAAGGAAGGAAGGGAAGGAAGGAAAGAAAGAAACCTATTTGTCTGACTCTAGATCTTTATGCTGACTACCGAAATGTGTTAGTTGGTCAGATATAGAATACCCTAGAACTTTTGCATGTGTCCTAAGTGATCATGTTAATAGTTACTACTCATAAAGACCTTCTATATGTCGGGCCCTGTTCTAAACACTTTGCATCAATATTCTCTTTTAATCTGCACAGGGAATAGCATGCTGAGAGACAGGGGTTATTGTGATCATTATCTACATTTTACAGCTGGGGAGACTGAGGTTTAGAGAAATTAAGTAACTCACCAGGTCCTCACTAGCAGTTGGTGGAGTTAGGATTCAGACTCAGGAACTCCACCGACCACAAATAGCCAATATAATCACTGATTTGCTTGAGAAAGTCTATAGTAATCCCAGGAGAAAGGGCCCATCATGCAGTGAAGGAATGCAGTTTTCAACATTGGGTTCCTCACTGATGTTAATTTGGATGAAAGCAGCTGAAAATGAACCTCATGGGACTTCTCAAAGGAGCAAACTTGTCACCAAATCAGGGTGAGGAAGACCCAGGTCTTCCCTTGGGTTCGAGAGGGGAAGCTGATTAGCTTACGGTAGGTATGAATTCAGTTCTTTCTTGGAATCAGCTTGCGGAGTCACTGCTTGCTCTCTAGTGGTCACTGCCACTGGGGATGACCTATTAACAATCGGGCATGAGGAGCTACAGCTCTTAGCATGCCAGCGGGGTAACCTATTCTTTCTGCCCTTTCTTAGATAGAAGGAGGCACTAGCATTGTTCTGAGCCCCTAGAAATTTGACTAAGTAATCCTGCAGCATAGAATTTGACCCACTTGCTCAGGCAAGGGCTTCTATCATGCCCAGAGGTGAGGCAGCAGCAACAGAGGCTCAACCTAACTCAACATGGTTGTGGAAGACCCTGTTGGTTTCCTATCAGCCATCCCCTCTTCTTTCTGTTAATAGAATGCTGATATTGTTTAGCTGACCCTCCTTCTCACGATCTGATGTTTCACTGATGCCCATAATAGCTACTCCACTTACTTTGCCAGTTAGTAGCTAAGGAAAGGAAAAATGACATAATTCTAGCCAAACAATTGTGAAGGGATTTATGTGAGGGACTGGGGGCTCTGGAAAGGTTTCTGTATGGAACTCTTTTAAAAAGACACTTTGAGAAAGCAATGATCTTTTTCCTTCCATTGGATGTTGTCATGTGATGCCCAGAACTGCAGCAGCCATACTGCTACCTCAGTCTATCTCCCCTGAGACCAATTCAGCCACTCTGAGAAGAACAGATCAACATGATGGGAAGAACCTGAACTCTTGAAGGTATTGATAAGTCACCACATTAACCAACCCTGGACTTTTACTCCTTAGTAAAAGGACTTAGACTTTTGATTATGTAAGATATTGTTCTCATGTATCAACAGAGTCTGGTGCAGGAAATGCTGGTTAAATGTGATAAATAAGATAATTCACACAAAGCACTTTCAGCAGTGTCTACCATAGAGGAAACTTTAGTTATTATTCCATTCATCATACATGTGTAAAGCTCCCAGCTCTTTGTCTTCCCCTGCCCCTAGATTAGTGTTGAGACAATAATGAAGGCAACAGGCCTGTGTAACCCGTTTCAGTCTACAAGAAGTCTTGGAAATGTTCAACCTCAAAACATGTTAGTTGAACCATGGCAACAGTCCGGGTGGAATCTACACAAAGCAAAGTTCAGAGATTTGAGGTAAAACTACCACCTTATCTCGCCAGACTACAAAATCATAGAAACCCACAATTAAGGACATGATGTAGAGATCTGCTATGAATTTCCTGGTTTTGTTTATTCATTGAGTCAAAACTAAAAGTAATGTCTCTTCTCTTCCTTGTAAACCATACACTTTAGGAAGAAAAATCAATAATATTCCCAGCCAAGATGTGCATGTTATATCATAAATACAGTATTATAGACTCTTTGAATAGGGTGTGATTTATAGTTGGATTCTGGCAGCTGCTTTGAAGCCATACAATTTTTCACTTAAGGCTAATTAGAGGATTCTTAATTAGCAAATCTTTCATCCATTAGATTAGACAATAAAGATTTTTCAAAACTACTGTAATATTTAGTTCTCTTTTTCTCATCTTAACAAAACAGACTAGATATCTATCATTTATAAAAAATCTCTGTTCAAGCTTTATGAAGCTCATAGCCAGGAAATAGCCAAAAGAATCGAGAAATGTGAACTCTCATCCCACCCCGACCCTGCCTTCTTGGGACCTGGAGTAAGCCACGTTCTTTCAGGTCTCAGCTTTCTCATCTATGAAATGGAGAAGATTAATTAGATCAGGGTTTCTCAACCTTAGCCTCATACTTTGGAGAAAACAATTCTTTAGATGCCTAGCAGCATCCTCAGCCTCTATCCACTAGATACTAGTAGCACCCCTCCCCCGCCACACACACACACCAGTTGTGACCATCAAATATGTCTCTAAACATTGCTAAATGTCCCTGGGGGGGAAATCACCCCAGCTGAGAAACAATGAATTAGATCAGGAGTCATAAATGCCAACAAAGGTAAAGCTGTTTTACAAATGAGAGAAGTGGATCAGATAAATAAAGACAAATTCAAGAGCAAGTATCCTATCAAAAGGGGAAGACACTCTCCATCTCCAGTGAGTTCTTATTATGTCTCACAATTGTTCAATAGAAGGCATGAATCCCACAATTATGTGAAATCTCTTGGCTTTTTTTTTCTTTAATGTTGGCAAATCATTCCTTGTAGCAGTTAGGAAGGTGGGTTTTAGAGCTAGAATGTCTTATGTTCAAATCCCAGGTCTACCTCTTACTAACTTCAGTATCAGGCAAGTTCTTTCGAATCTCTATGCTGTGGTTTTCTTATAAAATAAAGAAAATAATAATATTACTTCATAAGATTATTGCCAAGTTTAAATGACACAGCACATGTAAAAGACCCAGAAAAATGCACATAGTAAGCTCTCAATAGATATTATCTATTATTATCCCTAAGATAAAGAAACACTGTAAACCAAACTAAACATAGGTCAGACTATAGGTCAAACTCAGTCTAGAGGCTACAGGTTTTCAACTCTGGCCTACAAGATTTCAAGGGTCTGTTTAGGTTTCCTAAGGTTATGTGATTCCATTTTATGAAAGCAAGGACACTGATTATTAAACTCTGATAAATTCCATACAGTTTAATTGAGGAGATAGAACTCTGACACTAGCAAAGCTCAGGTGGGCAGAACAGAATTCTAATTAAATGTCAAAATATGTGTTCTTAGAGGTCAGCAAGAGAAGATAAGGAGCCATTTCTGCTTTCCATTTAAGAAAAAAAGAAATAGTTCTCTTTTTTGAAGAAAGTACATGAAAAAAGAAGAGCATCAAATTTGGAATCTGCCATCTTCAACAGTATCCTCTTAACAGATGCCATGACAATACAGTGAGCTATTCTTGACTTTCTAGCTAAAATAAATCGTCAATTATAAGTTGGTATCATTAGCCCAATTGCTTTTCAGTGAGATGTCTGATACAGGCAATAATGGATTGGTTTCTCCAACCTAATCCTCCCACTGGAAACTAACATATCCACTGCTGATCAATACTTTGATTTGAGTTACTTATAACTCTGTCAGACATGAGTATCTGCTTCACTCCAGGGTAAAGAAATGAGATCATTTTGCAAAATTTAGGTCAGACATTAAATTGTCTCGGGTGAGTTGTTTTTGTGGTCTAGAGTCACATGACCAAATCAACACTGTAGAGGATTATCAGAAACTAAAAGGGGCAACCTGAATAAGTACCCATTGCCTTTATTAAAGCCACGTCATGGAGTATAATGAGGTACTAGTAGTCTGTGTGTTTGAATCATATTTCAGGGAAATGCTTTGCAAACATGACTTTTGTGCTTTAAATTAAAGTTCACACTGTTTGACCCATAACTCCTCTTCCAGGAATCTGTCCTAAGGAACTATTCAGAAGCTAAAACTAAAATGTATGCATAGATAGCCTATGCAATATTATTTATGATAGAAAAAGTAAGTACCAACCTAATGACCAATATTAGAAGAATATAAAATAAATTAAGAAATAACCCTATGATGGACTATTATGCAGCCAATTATAGATGGTATTTCAAAGAGTATTTCACTACCTGGAAACATATTTAATATATAATACTACGCAAAAAAGGTGATAAAAATTGCATATGTAATATGATACTAATTGTGTGTATATATGTATATGTAAAGATATTCTCCATCAAAATGTGAACTCTGGTTATTTTTGGGTGGGATCATAAGTAATCTTCATTTCTATCTATAAACCTCTCTGCATCCCTAAGTTGACACCAGGGTTGCCATATGCAATAGTGCATATTGTACACTGCAGAAGGGCATCAAGCCCATGGGGCACTCCAAGCCATGTACCCTGTTACTACTTCTGTTCAGAGAGGATGCTTTTTTCAATTTGTACATATGAGATACTGAAGCCCTGTTATATTTTTATAATTTAAAAACCCATAACATTAAAAAACCCCATCTTATCCAGGGGTAGGTAAGAGTTTATATGGGGCCTGAGGTTTAAACAACTGAGAGGACCCTCTTTGTGAAAAGAACAGAGTCTTTTAATTATAAAATAAGTCATAGAAGTAAATTTCAATTTAAAACGTGAAAAAAAAATCACAGAAACTTCCTGGAGACTTAGAGATTAAATTCTTTCTCTCTAGGTAAGTTACCAGAAATGCTTAAAGAAAAGTCCTTCCTGATTGCAACCTGGCTCCCCTCCCAATCAGAACACTCTACAACTCCCAGAAACTCCCAGCTATCCTGGGGGCCCATATAAGGAAATGACCCTGGAGGTTAAGCTTCATTAGTGCCACAGTAAATCTGGCTCTGATCTTTGGGGAAAGAAAAAATTATATCAACCCAGAGCCAAGTGCTATTTCACAGATAAATTTATGATTCCAAACCAAGTAGTCCAGAAAGTATCATAGCTGTCCAACACTACTAAAAGAACCATTTTATTTCAATTTAGCAAGGGCTTTCCATAAACACTCATTAATATAATTACTAAAATTCAGGACATTTCCTGCTGTATCCAAGGATACAGCTGTCTTCTGATATATATTAATTAGATGCTTAAAAGTTTTGTCATTTTAAAACAGAGTCAATCTCCGGCACCCTCCACCATACGTAGAGTTCTCCCCGTGCCAGGACAGCAAAGAAAACCTTCAACAGGTATTCATACCATCTTACTAGGCCAGAGAAATGGCCTAGGGTTTACAGCAGATCTGTCTCTAGTGAGCCATTGAGGATACTAAACTAGGCTCCTATGACAGAGAGGTAGGGGCAGAAGAGTGGTTCTTCAATTACAATGAAACAAAACAAAACAAAAAGCTAAACAACAATCAAAACAGACTTTCATATATATATACCACCAGTGAAAACTCAACCCCTAAGATATTCTCTAGATCAGTTTTTTTCAACATTTTTAGAGAGAGAATTTTTTCAAAGAAAAGCATACACTGAACTCCAATATATAAATGAATACTTGTTTTCAATCATGTTATCTCCAATGCAAAAAACGCTCAAAACTAAATCTATCTTGAATAAATCATCACAACAAGGTGTGCTATATGTTCATATTTCAACTGACTATATTAAACTATTTTAAAATTGACAATGGCATATGTATGCTCCCCAATTTTACATGTTGGACATACAAAGCCTAAATTGCCAAAAAAAAAAAAAAAATCACTGCAGAGTGATAATATTCTTATTTAGTGGCATCTATATAAAACATTCAAATTTGTGCACAAAATGGAAAAATACACCACAAATATGATTGAAAGACAAATGATATAATCTGGAGAGAAATATTCACAACACATATAACAAACAGCACATATAAAATTGAGATGCCAGAACTAGATAAGAGAATGAGGCAGAAGGACTATTTGGAGAGAGAATGGCTAAAACTTTTCCAAAACTGTTGAAAGATATCAACCCACAGACACAAGATTAGCAAACTCCAATCTAAAGACAAAGAAATCCACACTTAGGCATATGATAGTCAAGCTGCTAAAAGCAAATAAATAAAACAAAAGGAAAACAGAAACTCCTGAAAGAAGATAGGGGCTGGGAGGAGTGGGAGGGAGGACATATTTCATATAGGGAAAAAATGATAAGAGTGACAACTGACTTTTCACTGGAAATGGTGACCAGAAGACAATGGTATGACATCTTTGAGTTCTGAAAGGAAAAATCCTATCAACTCAGAATTTTATAGCTGGTTAATATATCCTACAATCTGACAGTGAATTAAAGACATTTTTAGACAGACAAAAGCTGAAAGATTTTTCTCTAGCAGAGTTGCAGTACATGAAGTACTAAGAGAAGTTTTGCAGGCTGAAGAGTAATTATATCAGATGAAAGCCTGGTTCTGCAGGAAGGAATGAAAAACTCCAAAGAGGGAAAATATGTCAGTAAATCAGACAATTTAAATCTTTTTTATATGTGTACATATAGGTATAATTTCCTTTAGAATACTTTAACCATTTAAAGGAAAAAATAATGATGACATATTTTACTTCTACCTAGCATAAGTAGAAGTAAAATAAATGGTAACAAGAACACATAGAATTAAAGGGTGTTAATTGGTAGTTTACTGTTCTAAGAAGACAATAGAGAGAATGAAAGCAAAGCAATATTTGAGGAAATTATTGCCAAGAACCTTCCAGAACCAAAGAAAGACAAGAACTCTCAGATTGAGTGAGTGCCACCACCACAACCCCTAAGTGTCCAAGTATCCAAAAGGATATTCTTTTAAACTCAACCTACAGACAGAGTGAAGTTTCAGAACCTCAAGAACACAGAGAAAATACTAAAAGTTACCTATGAAAAGACATATTACTGATAGAAGAACAAATTCAGACTAACATCTGATTTCTCAGTAGCAGTGCTAGATACAATGGAGCAGTGTGCCTATATTTCCCCACCAAATGGCTTTTTAAGAAAGAAAATAAATGAAAATATCCTCATATATTCAAGCCTCAGAAAGTTTAGCACCCACAGATGATTTTCTAAAGAAATACTACAAAATATATTTCATCCAAAGGACAATGAACACAAAAGAAAGGAGTGGGATGTAAGAAACACTTATAAACAAATAATACAGTAAATTAATTTTAAATAAGTATTTATTTTAAAGAACTAGCAATTTATTTATTTAAAAGGTCATAGTAATTTAGAAGTAGCATTCTGGATTATATGAACATTGAAAGTGTAGGAAAAGCAAAGAGAAGTAAAGGTTCTTGTCTTGGTCTAGAGAAGGGTATAGATTAATTAACACTTGTTTCTATTATAAAAAATATATGTCCCCATATGTATCATAAAAATTAAAATGTGGGGTGAAAAACTTAACCAATAGAAGAATGGAAATGGAGTATATAGCTTTAAACCAATAGAGGGAAAAATGAAACAAAGAGTACTTACTAATTTTATATGTTTGTAAATGCATATAAAATTACACAGAAGGAAAATACCACACTTGTCTGTATGTATGCCTGATGTGTATCTATGTGTGTGTCTGTGTGAAGCATTCTGTGTGTATCTGTGTGTGTGTGTTGTTTATGCCTGGGTAAAAATACTGTTGTCAACTATTTTTCTTCACGAAAATGGGATCAAACCATACTGTTTCAGTAAGCTGTCTGTTTCACACATCATGCCATAAATGCTACTATCAACCTAACCTGCCAAACAACCCTCAAGATGCAAGAAGTCAGGAAGCTTGATCATCCTAGGACCCACAGCTTACTATGGACAGTTCTGGGAAAATAGTGGAATGGAAAATTTGCCTCATTTGCCCCCAGGAACACATTGTAAGTGGGCTTCTAACACTGGGCACTAACCCAGAGCTCAGATACTATTAGTTCTAGCCCTTTCCTGGGGAGCAGACGATCTGGTGCAAGGAACAGAAGAAGGCTCAAGTTCTTAAATTCTTGCTCACGGAGCAGTACAGTCCAGTTGTTCTGATCATTTGCTCCAGAGATAGACTGCCTGGGTTCTAGTGCCAACTCCACCACTTCCTAGCTGTGTGGCTTTGGGCACGTTACTTAATCTTTTTGTGCCCCTATTTTCTTAACTGTAAAATGAGGATAATAATGGAGCCCCCTAATAAGGGTGTATTGAGGATTAAATGAGCTAATATATGTAAATCACTCAAATAATGCCTGGCACATAAAAAATAATTGATGTGATATCTAGGATTTAGGGAAAGTAGACAGAGGTATGAATAGAGCAAGACCACCCATGGGTTGATGTTCACTGCGGCTGGATGATGGGTACACGGGGCTTTATTTTAGGGTATGTTCAAAAGACCTTCTATAAATATTAACTGTTGATAGGAGCTACTAAAGCAGAAGCACAGCTTCACTGTGGTCACAATACTGTTATAAGAAAGATAAGGTGTTTCTTGAAAAGATCAACAAAATTGATAGACTGCTAACAAGACTAATAAAGAAGAAAAAAGAGAAGAATCAAATAGATGCAATAAAAAAATGATAAAGGGGATATCACCACCGATCCCACAGAAATACAAACTACCATCAGAGAATACTATAAGCAACTCTATGCAAATAAACTAGAAAATCTAGAAGAAATGGATAAATTCCTGGACACGTACACCCTCCCAAGACTAAACCAGGAAGAAGTTGAACCTCTGAATAGACCAATAACAGGCTCTGAAATTGAGGCAATAATTAGTAGCCTACCAACCAAAAAACATCCAGGACAAGATGGATTCACAGCTGAATTCTACCAGAGGTACAAAAAGGAGCTGGTACCATTCCTTCTGAAACTATTGCAATCAAGAGAAAAAGAGGGAATCCTCCCTAACTCATTTTATGAGGCCAACATCATCCTGATACCAAAGACCGGCAGAGACACAACAACAAAAAAGAGAATTTTAGACCAATAACCCTGATGAACATCAATGCGAAAATCCTCAATAAAATACTGGCAAACTGAATCCAGCAGCATATCAAAAAGCTTATCCACCACAATCAAGTCGGCTTCATCCCTGGAATGCAAGACTGTTTCAACATACACAAATCAATAAACATAATCCATCACATAAACAGAACCAATGACAAAAACCACATTATTATCTGAATAGATGCAGAAAAGGCCTTCAACAAAATTCAACAGCCATTCATGCTAAAACCTCTCAATGAACTAGGTATGTATAGAAAGTATCTTAAAATAATAAGAGCTATTTATGACAAACCCATAGCCAATATCATACTGAACGGGCAAAAACTGGAAGCATTCCCTTTGAAAACCAGCACAAGAGAGGGATGCCGTCTCTCACCACTCCTATTCAACATAGTGTTGGAAATTCTGGCAAGGGCAATCAGGCAAGAGAAAGAAATAAAGAGTATTCAATTAGGAAATGAGGAAGTCAAATTGTCCCTGTTTGCAGATGACATGACTGTATATTTAGAAAACCCCGTCGTCTCAGCCCAAAATATCCTTAAGCTGATAAGCAACTTCAGCAAAGTCTCAGGATACAAAATCAATGTGCAAAAATCACAAGCATTCCTATACACCATTAACAGACAAACAGAGAGCCAAATCATGAGTGAACTCCCATTCACAATTACTACAAAGAGAATAAAATACCTAGGAATCCAACTTACAAGGGATGTGAAGGACCTCTTCAAGGAGAACTACAAACCACTGCTCAACGAAATAAAAGAGGACACAAACAAATGGAAGAATATTCCATGCTCATGGATAGGAAGAATTAATATCATGAAAATGGCCATACTGCCCAAAGTAATTTATAGATTCAGTGCCATCCCCATCAAGCTACCAATGACTTTCTTCAAAGAATTGGAAGAAACTACTTTAAGTTCATATGGAACCAAAAAAGAGCCCACATTGCCAAAACAATCTTAAGCAAAAATATCAAAGCTGGAAGCATCACGCCACCTGACTTCAAACTATACTAAAAGGCTATAGTAACCAAAACAGCATGGTCCTGGTACCAAAACAGGCATATAGACCAATGGAACAGAACAGAGTCCTCAGAAATAACACCACACGTCTACGACCATCTGATCTTTGACAAGACAAAAACAAGAAATGGGAAAAGGATTCCCTATTTAATAAGTGATGCTGGGAAAACTGGCTAGCCATATGTAGAAAGCTGAAACTGGATCCCTTCCTTATACCTTATACAAAAATTAATTCAAGGTGGATTAAAGACTTAAATGTTAGACCTAAAACCATAAAATCCCTAGAAGAAAACCTAGGCAATACCATTCAGGACATAGGCATGGGCAAGGACTTCATGTCTAAAACACCAAAAGCAATGGCAACAAAAGCCAAAATTGACAAATGGGATCTAATTAAACTAAAGAGCTTCTGCATGGCAAAAGAAACTACCGTCAGAGTGAACAGGCAACCTACAGAATGGGAGAAAATTTGTGCAATCTACCCATCTGACAAAGGGCTAATATCCAGAATCTACGAAGAGCTCAAACAAATTTACAAGAAAAAAGCAAACAACCCCATCAAAAAGTGAGCAAAGTATATGAACAGACACTTCCCAGAAGAAGACATCTATGCAGCCAACAGACATGAAAAAATGCTCATCATCGCTGGTTATTAGAGAAATGCAAATCAAAACCACATTGAGATACCATCTCACGCCAGTTAGAATGGCGATCATTAAAAAGTCAGGAAACAACAGATGCTGGAGAGGGTGTGGAGAAATAGGAATGCTTTTACACTGTTGGTGGGAGTGTAAATTAGTTCAACCATTGTGGAAGACAGCGTGGGGATTCCTCCAGGATCTAGAACTAGAATTACCATTTGACCCAGCAATCCCATTACTGGGTGTATACCCAAAGGATTATAAATCATTCTGCTATAAAGACACATGCGCACGTGTGTGTATTGCAGCACTATTCACCATAGCAAAGACTTGGAACAAACCCAAATGTCCATCATTGATAGACTGGATTAAGAAACTGTGGCACACATACACCACGGAATACTATGCAGCCATAAAAAAGGATGAGTTCTTGTCTTTTGCAGGGACATAGATGAAGCTGGAAACCATCATTCTCAGAAAACTATCACAAGGACAGAAAACAAAACACCACATGTTCTCACTCATAGGTGGGAATTGAACAATGAGATCACTTGGACACAGGGCAGGGAACATCACACACTGGGGCCTGTCAGAGGGTGGGGAGCTGGAGGAGGGATAACATTAGGAGAAATACCTAATGTAAGTGATGAGTTGATGAGTGCAGCAAACCACCATGGCACATGTATACCTATGTATCAAACCTGCACGTTGTGCACATGTACCATAGAACTTAAAGTATAATTTTTTAAAAAAAGAAAGATAAGGTATTGGTATACAAAGTAGCTGTTAGACAATGATACAAATGTTATCTCTTCTTGCCAAATTGTGTGATCTTTGTCAAGGTATTAGCCCCTCCTGTTCCTCCGCCACCACCTAAATTTGTCTCAGGGATCCTCATGGATGTCTCCAATATTTTCATGAAAACATTAGCTTAAGTTTTTATAGCCTAGCCAAAAAGGAAGCAGGGAAGGGGAATGGGAGGGAGAAGAGCTAAACCACTGAAGTGAAGCTGCTATTAGTTGGCCTTACAAAACACACCTATATGTTGATTCTCTTCAGAGACTAGATTTGGGTGGAAAGAAAGGGAACATAATTTGAGTGGACAAAAAGGAAATGGGGCTGCAGGAAGGGAAGGGAGGGACCCAGGATGGGGCAGTAGACTTCTCTATCCAAATGGGCTTTGTGTCAGCCCTGAAGGGAGCACAAGACTGCAGGAAAGAGGAAAAGCACCTTCTTAGTCTTGTGTGCTACTCACGTAGTTCAGGACCAGCAGCACCAGTATCACCTGGGAACTTGTTAAAAACAGAGACGCGTTGTTCCACCCCAGATCTCTTGAGTCAGACTCTGTATTTTAACCAGGTGCCCAGGTGACTCTCATGCACAATGAAGTGTGAGATCTACCACCTAACCCAGGACCTAGAATGGCTGGCTCTTAATACATGTCTAGATAGATAGGTTTCTGGACGAATGGAGAAAAGCAGTGCAAACTTTGCTTTCAATCAGCCATCCTGCATTCATTCTGCATCCACAGGGTGTGTAGAATTGTCTAAGGCTGTGGTTCTTTGGTTCGCCCTCAGCTGTAAATTAGAATCACCTGGGGTGCTATTAACACCAGCTGAGCAATTCCCAGCTCCAGAGTTTCTGATTCAATTGGTCTGGGGTGGGCGCTAGTCTAAAGTGGTGTCAGCTGATTTCATTTTTGCAAGACAATCTGTACCAACTAAAAGGGCTGCCAGTGAGGATCCAGAGATGTGCCATTGAGTCTACCCTCGCTGAAGACACAGCCAGTGAATATTTCAGGAGTTAATGCCATACAGGAAATAAATATTTAGCCCCAATTTGTGTTGCCTTTCTTTCCTGTCAATGCTCCAGAATATATATATATATATACACACACACATATATATATATATACACACATATATATATATATGTGTATATATATATATAGCTCTTAGTGTGGGTGGTTGGAGGGATAGGAGGCTGGTGTTTCTGTGATGGGTGTTAAATTGTTTGACCTTTCTCCAAATAGATTAACCCATTGCCTGAGTCATGTTTCTACTCTATAGGCCCATTCTTCCCTAAACCCCTCCCGCAACACACACATATAGAGAGGCCCCAAATTACCATAGCAAGCCTAGGTAACTCAGCTTCAGTGTGCCTCTTTTCCTTGGCTTCCTGAGCTCAGAGAGGTTAAGGAGCAAAGCTGTCAACCAACCTTGAAGCCATGCCTTCGGTGGCTGTCCTTGAGTACTGCAGATGCATGGATTTTCATCAACCCCTTTCTGGTTGGGGATTACCTATTCCTGGACCACCCCACCAGTAAGGAAATGCACTTTAGCATAATTGGTCCAGCTGCATCTCTGAGCAGTATTCACCACCCAGAAAATTTAATAAAGTAAGTCATGTCCTCTTCTTCTCTCTTTGGAACTTCTCTTAATTAAAATTATGCCTACTGCAAGATAAGAACAATGGAGAGGTGAGATTTGGGCAGTGGCCCATCCTGTGCATCATTTTCTCATTAAAAACTTTTAGGGAAAAGCTCAAATGTCTTCACAATTCAGAATTCATTGAAGCAATTTGGACATCTCAATCTCCTTTCCTTTGCCTTCATGGGTATCATGCAGGGAGAAGAAAAATGAGAAAAATGAATGATGAGTGAATAAACAATGCTAAATCCAAGTTAAGAAGAAGGATATTTAAACATGAAAGGCACAAGTTGTGATGAAGGAACGTGTGTAGGTGAAATTAGCCCTGACTTCCAAGTGCTTTGATCAGTCTGAGGATTGGAAAACTTCTAAGGGCATGAAATACCTGTGCCAGAGTGGCGTCCTGGAAGGGAGACAGTGATTCAACTCCAGGCTGCCTGTCAGAGATGTTCCAGTCTCTCCTCACTTGTGATGCTTCTATAGAGTTTTCACATGAGAGCAGGCTGTCACCATTTGGGAAGAGAAGGCATCCTCTTGCTGACTCCTCCTCCCTTTGATGCCTGTAGAACTTGGCCATTAAAATCTGCCTTGGGCTAAAACTCAGCAGGCAAGTTTCCAGTCAGAGAACAGCTTTGACAAATTTTAATAAAATTTAATAAAACCTAGTTCTGATTGGCAATAGAGGATTTGAGTTAGGGAAAAGTTTACCTATGTATTTAGGTAGACATGTGGGATGGCCACACTTTCACTGTGGAATGCTACATAGTAGTAACTCTGGCCTGTTGGCATTTTGTTCACAACTGCTGGTGTCTTTGATCCAAGAATCACACGGGGAATTGGGAGTTTTCTTAGGCATTGTTAAGGCATTTATAATGTCCTAGGTTTGGGTGAATTTTGTAAACTTCAGTATTGTTCTGTACCAGCTAGCTAAAGAGGTTTAAAAGCTTTAAACAAAAATAAAGGGCAAAAGGTATTTCAAAGTGTTTATTTAAAGCGAGGCATTTGGTTGAGTTTGGTTTTAAATTAATAGAATAATTGCATTGTTTGGAAACACAAAAATGCTTTCTTTTAAAAACTTAACTTTGTTATATTTATCTGCTCTAGAAGATTCTTAGTAGTTAAAGAAGGTTGGCTTACTTCTGAATATGGGTGGCATGCATACCTCTATGCCTATCATAAAGAGATGTGGTTGTGGTTGTACTTCATTCAAAAACACAGAAAAAACATCAGAGTGCCTCAAAATAATCAATCCATTCAATGCCTTTTGCCACTCTCCTTCTACATGCCTACACCACACAGGGGATCTGCAAGTGGCAATCTTGCCACTTACGATTCGTTAGGAACTATAGCTATTCACAGTGTAGCTCCATCCATTTGTCCTAAATATGGACATGTCCCATCACCTTACAGAGAATAATTGAAAGCTTCTTCTCTAACAACTTAGCCTTACCGAAAAGCTTATCAAAAAGGTTATTACATAGAGAAACAACCAGTTGGCATATGCAATAAAGACCCTCCAAGTGCTTCCTTCAGGTATGCCTTATTGATAGATGTATTTTGTCGGCAAAGACTGAAAGGTCCCCACAAAAAAGTCTCATTTGTGCCCTGTTCTCCTTAGCCCAGTTGTTCATTTCATTAAGGTCATAGAGAGACATGTTCCGAGAATGCTATGCAAATTATCTAAAATTAGTGTAAGGCTATTTTCACCCTGCCAACCCCCTACTCTACTGATGCTAAATATATATTTATATATATACATATACAAAGCAGAGACTATAAGTAGCCTAGCTCCCATGAATGCCTGCAGCCTAATACCAGTGAAGAAAATATATTTGCTAAGTATTTGTCTTTTCATCTAGAACTATTCAAATGCCATTTGATCCTTTTGGAATCCAAACGGGTATAGTAACATTAAAGTTTATTTTCTTGCTTTTTAAAGCACAAAGGAGCCAAATCTATTGTCTTGATTGATCTGTGTTTTCTTGCTGCACCAGCAGATGAATTTTATGTATTTGTGTATTTTGATTCCATCTCTCCTGGTGTCATAGATACAGGAATATACTTAATCTCTGACATGCATTGCAATGCCAGAGCAACATGGTAGTGAAAGGCTTCCAGGACAAGTTCTCCTAAAAGCTCATCCTCACAGGTTAGCTCTTCTCCTTAAAAGTGTATACTAACTCCTAAGAGAAAATTTGTTTTTAATGGTTCCTGGGTTTTGTCTCTGGGAGACTGTTTTGCATGTAAATTCCTTTGGACCAGAGTCAGGAATATCCTTTCTGTGAGCCTTTTGGGTATATTTTCATGGCAGCCAGTTCATTCTGTGTTAACTAAAGTCTATCAGTTGGTTGATTTTTTTCCATCGTATCCTGAACCAGAAACCTCAAGATCTCACGTGCCCGTTAGTCCCTGCCCAAGACCCAAGGTCAGATGATTTCCCACAGAGCCAAATATAGAGAAAACAAAACAAAACTCACTGAGCCCTACTGTAGGAGGAAGAAGAGGAGTGTTCCACTTTCAGAGCAGCTTAAACTACAGCCTGTGTTCCCACGATGCAGGGAGTATCCCTCCACATTTTGTAAATGTTCCAAAGGGCCATGCCAGGTAATATTTTGCCATCAGGATGCTCAGCTTGTGGCCTACATTAGATAATGCATAATTCATTCTCTCAGATTGCTTTTGAGCTAGTTGAGAGAGTAAGATATAGACACATAAAATGATTAGTAAATTGTTGGCAAACAAGTGCTAATACAGATGTCTGGAGACTAGTTAATGAAATGCAACAAATCTGTGTTTCTAAAACCCCTCAGTTCGTAATGATTGGTCATGCTTTCATCTACCATAAACCCAGCATCTCTAGTAATAACCCTTGCTTCCAATTTTAATTCAGCAAGCCTAGTCATGGCTAATTTCTCATTAATCTCCTAGTCAATGAGATTCTGTTACAGAGGGGCTGAATGACTTTTTAAGATAGACTAGTGGGACCCCAAAAGATACTATGAGCCAACAGTACACTCTATATTCTAGTTGTTTCGACCTAGAGATGACTATTATGACTCAATAAATCTATTATTGGAAACAAAATATTTTTTAAAGTGACTTACTGTTGTAACTAAGCAAAACCCACAAATCCAAAAGTCCTGTGGCCATGGTATCACATGCGGTGAAACGTCAGCTATAGATGTCCACCAAAAAACAGTGTAATGTTCATTTGCACAGTCAAAACAAACTTTTATTAAATGCTTATCCCATGCCAAGACCAAAGTATACAAGATAAGTGAAAAAAATGGTTAAGAAACATACAAATGAACAAATCAATAAAATGGTGTGATAATTACTATTAGCAAAAGAATCTAGAAAGTACTAACAGAGTACTTATAGTAAAATGAAAGAGTTTTATAAGGAATCAGGAAAGGCACTCCAGAGAAGGTGACATTTGATATGGGCCTTAAAAGATGAATAGGAGTTCATGAGAAGTGGCAGCACAGCATATGTTCACAAACCACTATATCTACAGTATCCAATATGAAGTTTAGAAGTATGTGAACACATAACACTTCTAAGAGGAGCAATGAGTGGCTTGGCATGGCTGGAAATAAGGACACAGGGAGATTCTGAGGTTAAGAAAAGACTGTTTTAAGACTGTGAAGGGCCTTACGTGCTCTGCGAAAGAGCAAGTATGGGACTGCTAACTGCTTTTAAGCAGGAGGACGACATGATTAGTATGTAAAAGATATACAGAAGGAAAGATACGAGGTGGGAAGGGAAGGCCAGTATTCCAATAGCCAGAGAAAGAGGTAATAAGAACCTGAATTATTTATATCTTTATTTGTTTGTTGCCTGTTTTCCATCTTGTTTCAGAGGAAACTGAAGGCAGCATCTAAGAATGCATAAAATATGAAGTGGTATAAAATAAGTGTAAAACCAAAGAAGAATGAAAAACAACGATCAAATGGCTCCATTCGAGATGGGGCACAAATGAAGAGTTAAAAATAAACGTTCTACATATTGGTTAATGATTGCCCAAGAGAAGTATAACTCACTCTTCTCGGTATTAACCCAAAACAGGAACTTCTCCTAAGTGAAAGAAAGGCTCTGGAAAGTCATGAATAACACCCTCAAAAACTTCCTTCAGCTAGCTTTGCAGATCTGATTTGGTACAGGGTTAGATTTGATCTGGATGGGCCCTTAAAATCATCCTCCCTTCATGTTGTTTCTCAGGGCTGAGCACTTGATAAAAACTGGATGGTCCAAAGCTAGAAAGGGCCTCAACTAACAAGGATCTGAAGCTACTCTGTACTCTTATTGATCACAGGTCTTTTATCTTAGTAGATGATCAATTTAGAAACAGGACCAGTATCTCATGAAAGTTGAAGCTGGCACTCCATAAAAATGGGAATCTCAAGAGAAAACCTGTCCCCACTGGAAGTGAGTCAAGGGAGAATAGACAGGTAAGAAAGATCTTAAAGGCAGAGGTGATGAGGATGGAGAAGAGAAGATGTTTGAGAAATATTTCCAAGGCACAATTAATAGGGCTGTTCACAACTGGATGTGGAAAATGAGAGAAAGAGAAGGCAGAGTTGAAGTCGCACTCAAGTTCTTCACTTGGGCACTTGGATGAATGATAGTGATAGAAGAAAACAAATAAGAAAGAATGAGTAGGGTTTTTGGAAAAGATGATAGAATTCCATTTTGGTAATGTAATGTTTGAATGAAGGTGTTCCAGAAGCAATTAGAAATAAAAACCTAAAGCTCAAGCGAGAGGTCTGGACTAAAATTATAAATGGATAAATCACTGAATTCTTGGAACCAGACAAAGACCTAGTAATGAAAGAAATCACCCAGGAGAAACCTACAGCATGAAAGAAAAGAAGACAAGAGGAAAAGGGCAAGGGCAGAGGACTGAGGAAAGCACATTGGAGCAGAAACAATGAATATTGACAGGACAATAGGAAGTATTGAAAAGGATCAAGAAAATAATTCACAGGTTGAGAACTATGAAAAAGCAATATTGCAGAAGCCTATAGAGGAAGAGGAGAAGCAAATGGCCAATTGAGCTATCCCTACAAAGGTTTCAAGAGGGATGGGGACCCAAAAGATGCAACATGGCCTTCAGGAATCTTAATCATGATGGCTTCCATGGAAGTCATCTAAGATATTAACCCTGGTGGCCTAATACATGAATGCAAGTGGAAGGAGTAGAGAAGGTATGCATGGGCTACTCCTATAAGAAATCTGGCAATAAAAGCAAATATAGACAAGTGGGAATACAGCAAACTAAAAATTTTTTATATAGCAAACAAAACAGTCATCAGAATGTAAAATAAAGGCAACCATGGAATGGGGAAAAATATTTGTAACCCATATAGCTAATAAGGGGTTAATTTCTAAAATATATAAGGAACACCTACAACTCTATAGCAGAAAAACATATAACCCAATTTTTTTTTTTTTTTTTTTTTGAGACAGAGTCTCGCTCTGTCACCCAGGCTGGAGTGCAGTGGCGCGATCTCTGCTCACTGCAAGCTCCGCCTCCCGTATAACCCAATTTTAAAATGGGCAAAGGACTTGTATAGACTTTTCTTCAAAGACATACAAATGATTAACAGATATATTAAAAGATACTCAACATCATTAATTATCAGGGAAATGTAAATCAAAATTACAATGGGATATTGCCTCACCCTTGTTAGAACGGCTGTAATAAAAAAAAGTAACAAGTATTAGCAAGGATGTAGAGAAAAGGGAACTCTTGTACACTGTTCTGTACAATGTAAAATGTAAAATGGCCCAGCAGCTATGGAAAACAGTGTATGTAAAATGGCCCAGCAACTGTAGAAAACAGTATGGTGATTCCTCAAAAATTAAAAATACAACTACCATATGATCCAGCAGTCCCACTTCTGGGTATATATAAAAAAGAAATTGAAATCAGGTCCTCAAAGAGAGATCTGCACTCTCACATTCATGGTAGCATTATTTTCAATAGTCAAGATTTGGAAACAACCCAAATGTCCATCAACAGATGAATGGATTAAGAAAATGTAATATAGCTTGATGGGGATGGCATTGAATCATCAAGCTACCAATTACTTTCTTCACAGAATTGGAAAAAACTACTTTAAAGTTCATATGGAACCAAAAAAGAGCCCGCATTGCCAAGTCAATCCTAAGCCAAAAGAACAAAGCTGGAGGCATCACACTACCTGACTTCAAACTATACTACAAGGCTACAGTAACCAAAACAGCATGGTACTGGTACCAAAACAGAGATATAGATCAATGGAACAGATCAGAGCCCTCAGAAATAACGCCGCATATCTACGACTGTCTGATCTTTGACAAACCTGAGAAAAACAAGCAATGGGGAAAGGATTCCCTATTTAATAAATGGTGCTGGGAAAACTGGCTAGCCATATGTAGAAAGCTGAAACTGGATCCCTTCCTTACACCTTATACAAAAATCAATTCAAGATGGATTAAAGACTTAAACGTTAGACCTAAAACCATAAAAACCCTAGAAGAAAACCTAGGCATTACTATTCAGGACATAGGCATGGGCAAGGACTTCATGTCTAAAACACCAAAAGCAATGGCAGCAAAAGCCAAAATTGACAAATGGGATCTAATTAAATTAAAGAGCTTCTGCACAGCAAAAGAAACTACCATCAGAGTGAACAGGCAACCTACAAAATGGGAGAAAATTTTCGCAACCTACTCATCTGACAAAGAGCTAATATCCAGAATCTACAATGAGCTCAAACAAATTTACAAGAAAAAAACAAACAACCTCATCAAAAAGTGGGCAAAGGACATGAACAGACACTTCTCAAAAGAAGACATTTATGCAGCCAAAAAACACGTGAAAAAATGCTCACCATCACTGGCCATCAGAGAAATGCAAATCAAAACCACAATGAGATACCATCTCACACAAGTTAGAATGGCGATCATTAAAAAGTCAGGAAACAACAGGTGCTGGAGAGGATGTGGAGAAATAGGAACATTTTACACTGTTGGTGGGACTGTAAACTAGTTCAACCATTGTGGAAGTCAGTGTGGCGATTCCTCAGGGATCTAGAACTAGAAATACCATTGGACCCAGCCATCCCATTACTGGGTATATACCCAAAGGACTATAAATCATGCTGCTATAAAGACACATGCACACATATGTTTATTGTGGCACTATTCATAATAGCAGAGACTTGGAACCAACCCAAATGTCCAACAATGATAGGCTGGATTAAGAAAATGTGGCACATATACACTATGGAATACTATGCAGCCATAAAAATGATGAGTTCATATCCTTTGTAGGGACATGGATGAAATTGGAAATCATCATTCTCAGTAAACTATCGCAAGAACAAAAAACCAAACACCGCATATTCTCACTCATAGGTGGGAATTGAACAATGAGATCACATGGACACAGGAAGGGGAACATTACACTCTGGGGACTGTTGTGGGGTGGGGGGAGGGGGGAGGGATAGCATTGGGAGATATACCTAATGCTAGATGACGAGTTAGTGGGTGCAGCGCACCAGCATGGCACATGTATACATATGTAACTAACCTGCACATTGTGCACATGTACCCCAAAACTTAAAGAATAATAATAATAATAAAAAATAAAAAAAGAAAATGTAATATATACATACAATCAGAATTAAAATTAAACCGTGTATGAATATCTCAATAGACACAGAAAAAGCATTCAATAATATCCAACATAGCTTTGTGAAAAAAAATTCCTAACAAACCAGGCAGCGAAGGAACGTACCTCAAAATAATGAGTCATCTATGACAAGCCCACAACCAACATCATACTGGATGGGCAAAAGTTGGAAGCATTTCCCCTAAGAACTGAAGCAAGACAAGGATGCCCACTCTCACAACTCCTATTCAACATAGTACTGGAAGTCCTAGCCAGAGCAATCAAACAAGAGAAAGAAATAAAAGGCATCCAAATAACAAAAAAGAGAAAGTCAAATTATCTCTGTTCACTAACAATATGATTCTATACCTAGAAAACCCTAAAGAGTCCCCCAAAAGACTCCTAAGCCTTGTATAGACTTTAGTAAAGTTTCATGATACAGAATCAACATACAAAAATCAATAGCATTTCTATACACCAATAACATTCAAGCTGAGAACCAAATCAAAAACACAATCACATTGCAATAGACATACACACGCACACACATCTAGAAATATACCTAACCAAGGAGGTAAAAAACCTCTATAAGGAGAACTACAAGACATTAATGAAATAAATCATAGATGACACAATCATAGATGACACAAACAAATGGAAAAACACCCCATGCTCATGGGTGGGAAGAATCACTATCATTAAAATGTCCGTACCACTCAAAGCAATCTACAGATTCAAAGCAATTCCTATCAAATAATCAATGTCATTTTTCACAGAATTAGAAAAAAAATTCTAAAATTCACATGGAACCAAAAATGAACCCAAACAGCCAAAGCAATCCTAAGCAAAAAGAAAATATTGGAGGCATTACATTACCTTACTTCAAACTATACTATAAGGTTACAATAACCCAGTGTGCTACTGGTATAAAAATAGACAAATAAACCAATGGAACAGAATAGAAAACCCAGAAATAAAGCCACACACCTACAACCAACTGATCACTGACTAAAGTTGGCAAAAATAAACAATGGGGAAAGGACATTCTATTTAATAAATGGTGCTGGGAAAACTGGCTAACCATATGCAGAAGAATGAAATTGCACTCCTATCTCTCCTATCTCTCACCATTACAAAAATTAAGTCCAGATGGATTAAAGACTTAGATGTGAGATCTCAAACTAAAAAAAAATCTAGAAGAAAACCGAGGAAAAATTATTCTGGACATTAGCCTAGGCAAAGAATTTATGACTAAGTCCTCAAAGGCAAATGCAACCAAAACAAAGATTGACAAATTAGACTTAATCAAACTAAAAAGCTTCTGTGCAGCAAAAGAAACAATCAACAGAGTAAACAGACAACCTACAGAATGGGAGAAAATATTTGCACACTATGCATCTGACAAAGAACTAACATCCAGAATCTATACAGAACTTAAATCAACAAGAAAAAAAGCATTAAAAATGGGCAAAGAACATGAACAGATACTTCTCAAAGGAAAACATACAAGTGGCCAACAAACATGAAAAAATCCTCAACATCATTAATCATCAGAGAAATGCAAATTGAAACCACAATGAGATACTATCTCACACACCAGTCAGAATGACTATTATTATTACTAAAAAGAAAAAAAATAGATGTTGGTGAGAATGTGGAGAAAGGGACCACTTACACAGTATTGGTGGGAATATAAATTAGTTCAGCCCCTGTGGAAAAGCAATTTGGAGGTTTCTCAAAGAACTAAAAATAAAACTACCATTCAACTCAGCAATCCCATTCCTGGGTATCTACCCAAAGGAAAAGAAACCATTCTACCAGAAAGACACATGCACCCATATGTCCATCACAGCACTATTCACAATAGCAAAGACATGGAATTAACTTATGTGCCCATCAATGGTGGATAAGATAAAGAAAATGGGGTACAAATACACCATGGAATACTACACAGTCATAAAAAAAGAATGAAATCATGTCTTTGCAACAACATGGATAAAGCTGGAAGCCATTATCCTAAGTGAATTAACGCAGAAACAGAAAATCAAATGTCGCATGTTCTCATTTGTAAGTGAGAGCTAAACAATGGGTACACATGGACTTAAAGACAGAAACAATAGACACTGTGTACTGCAAAAGAGGGGAGGAAAGGAGCGGGGACAAGGTTTGAAAAATTACCTATTGGGTACCATGTCCACTATTTGGGTGATGGGTTCAACAGAAGCTCAAACCCCAGCATTATGCAATATATTCATGTAATAAACCTACAAATACCCCCTCAATCTAAAATTAAAATTAAAAAAGGAAAATGTGGTACATTCATACATATTACTCAGCCTTTCAAAAGAAGAAAATGCTGCCATTTACAACAAAATGAACGAACCTAGAGGACATTACGCTAAGTGAAATACGCTAGTTACAGAATGACAAATACTGCAAGATTCACCTTATATGAGGTATCTATCATGGTTAAATTCATAGAAGTAGAGAATACAATAGTGGCTACCAGGGGCTGCAGGATAGAGGAAATTGTTGTTCTATGGGTACAAATTTTCATTTATACTAGGTGAATAAATTCTGGAGATCTGCTGTACAAGATAGTGCCTATAGTTATCAATACTGTACTGTCCACTTCAGAATCTGTTAAGATGGTAGATCTCATGTTAAGTGTTCATACCACAAAACAAATAAACAAACAAAAACACAAAGGGATACAAAGAAACTTTTGGGAGGTGCTGGATATGTCTATTACAAAGAAACTTTTGGGAGGTGCTGGATATGTCTATTACCTTGACCACCACGATGGTTTCACGGGTGTTTACATATGTTCAAGTTCATCAGATTATCCACATTAAATCTGTGCTGTTCATTGTATATCAATTGTACCTCAATATAATTCTTGAATAAAAAAAAGAAATCTGACACTGAAATGAGGAATGATAAAAAGGCAGTAATTTGAAGAAGAGGTAGATTCAGGCAAACATTTTTTATTGGCAGATGTATTAAAACAGGTTACCAAGGTTACTCACAAATAAGTCTGTGAAATTCCTTCTTAAACCCAACTAGTATTTCTCTCTTCACAGGAAAGTAGCTCTGTGAGTTAGGAAAGCAAGAAGTAACAAACAACAGAGAGCCAAACTAATGTGCTGGCTTTGAGGAAGAGTGATTTATTTTCCTCACATGAGAAGATCCAGAGGTAGAAGCTGCGGGCTGGGGCAGTGGCTCAACAAAGGAGGGACCCAGACTCTTTCCATCCTTCTGGTCTGCCACCCTTAAAATGTAGTCATACTTGGTGCTTCATATCTGTCACCTCATAGTTACAAGATGATTGTGGCACCCTGAGGCGGCAATCATTGAAAGAAAAATGCCTTCTTGTGCAGAACGGAAAAGAAGTAGGAAAGGCAAATGGCAAAAGGAAAATGACTACTGAGTCTGTCCTTTCTCAGGAAAGGAAAAACTTCCTCAGAGACACCATTCAGATTGCTTCTACACATATTTCAGTGGACACAGTGATGCCCAAAAGCTACTGCTATCCAGAAAGTGACTAGGCAAAAGGGAGTTAGGAATGAGAATTGGGTCAACCTTCACCAACATTCAGAAGAGTGTTTGCCACCCTGGTATACAATGAAAAATAGATGAACTACAAAACTAGGGCAAAAAGTATAAATTCTTCCTGAAAAACAAACAAGCGTTATTGTCTTGCAATATACAAGGCACTTCCTCCATCTGCCTACTTAATGAAGAAAGTTCCCAGAGACAGAGTTGAGGAGAGCATGTTGGTCTGTTTTGTATTATTATAAAGGGATACCTGAGATAGTAATTTATAATAAATAAAAGAGGTTTATTTGGCTCGTGGTTTTGCAGACTATACAAGAAGCATAACACTGGCATCTGCATCTGGTGAGGGCCTCAGGCTGCTTCCACTCATGGCAGAAGGCAAAGGGAGAGCAGGGATGTCATATGGTGAGAGACAGAGCAAGAGAGATGCCAGGCACTTTTAAACAATGCTTTTAAACAACCAGCTCTCATGTGAACTCATTATTGTAGGGAGGGCACCAAGCTATTCATGAGGGATCCACTCCCATGACGCAAACACCTCCCACTAGGCCCACCTCCAACTTTGGGGATCACATTTCTACATAAGATTTGGAGGGGACAAACATCCAAACTCTATCAAAGAGTGCATGTTAAGAAGACAATTATCATTTCCTTGACTCAGGTAGATAAAAGATCATTATTCCACCACCCTCAGCTTGAAATTTTATGCCCTTAGACTGTACCTCCATTCTTCTACTTGTTGCAGACTTCTAAAGACCCGTGGTCACTGCCACTCTCATTTCTTAAAGACTTTATGTCCAGGCTTAATTACAATCATTGTCTTCATTATTACTCCTGACCTAATTCTTAGTGATTCCAGTATTCAAATAGATGACACTCCGAGAGGTCTTGGTTTCTTGACCTCCTTCCCTCCAGTGATCTTGTTCTCCACCCTACTTCAGCATCTCTTTCCTGTGGCCACACTTTAGACCTAGTCCTTACCAATAGCCATATCCCTTCCACAATTAACCATCTACTTTAACCATCTATTTTATCTTTTTGACCTCCATTTCCTATCTTTCCAACTGTTTCTCTCTAGTGCCTTGACTGAAAATTGTTCCACAGCAGTAGGACCTAAAATTCATTGGCTCTACCACCCTTTTACTCTCCCTAACATTTTCATGGCCTCATTCCTTTACCTTACTCACTTTGTTTAGTTTCACGGTTAATCAATTACTCGCTTGGGTCCACTTTCAGTTCTCTGTCGTCCCTTCATCTCGCTCAGATGACAAAGGCTAATTCTTATGGAATCCAACTCTCTATCTACTTCAGGCCTGTACCCAAAGAGTTGAACACAAGTGGATAAAAATACAACATCGTGAATAGATTCATCTAAAATATGTGACCACTAATCCCAATAAGGCCCCAAATGCTGCCTGGCAGTCCTACTGCATTTTGCTATTCCATTCACACTTCCATATACCTAGACAACCGTTTTTCCCCTTTTTCCCCTTCCCCAACCGTCTGACTTCTTTCCCTTATTCATTCTCACACTTAGTTGATGACTATACTTCTTATTCCTCTTGAGAAAACAGCAGCAATCAGAAGAGAAATTCTACAGGCTTCATCGCCACATCTACTCACAGTACTCACATACTCCACCTTCCTGCCTGTTCCTATAGGCAAACTCTTAAGGTTCCTGTTTAAGTTTAAGCCCTCTGCTCTTCCACTAGAAACCACCCACCTCTTGTCTACACAAAGACATCACTCAACAAGGCTCTGTCTCACTTGAATCATTCGTGTTTCCTCTTTTTAAAAATCATTTATATCAGCATTCAAAAGTGCTGATATTTCTCTCATCTTATCAAACTTTTTTGATTCCCATATTTCTCTCCAGCAATCATTCAAATTTTATGTTTCCCTTTGAGAAAACTTTCTGAAAGGACTTTCCTACTCCCAGTATCTCTAATTCTTCTGTCCTTATTCATTTTTAAACCTATTTCAATAAGACTTTTTCCCCAACCATTTGGCCAAAACTCTTCTAGATTACCAATGACTTCCAAGTTGCTAAATCTGTGGTCAACTCTCAGGCCTCATCATACATGACCTATAAGCGGCATGTAACAGAGACACACTCCTCCTCTTTGAAACACTTTCTTCCCTTGGCTTTAGGGACATCAAACCCTCCTGGGTTTCCTCCTAACTTACTGATTGCTCTCCTTGGCTGATTCTTTCTCCTCCTTATACAGATCCTAAGCATTAGGTTGCTCCAGGTCACAACCATCAAGACTCATCTCTGGCCAGACATGGTGGCTCACATCTGTAAATCCTAGCACTTTGGGAGACCACGGTGGGAGGATTGCTTGAGGCCAGGCATTTGAGACCATCCTGGGCAACATAGCAAGACTCCATCTCTACAGAATTTTAAAAATGAGCTGGGCATGGTGAGGTATGCCTGTAGTCCCAGCTACTCAGGAGGCTGAGGTGGGAGGATCACTTGAGCCCAGGAGTTGAAGGTTGCAGTGAGGAGCTAGAATCACAAATCTGTATGCCAGCCTAGGTAATTGAGTAAGATCTCATCTCAAAAACAAAAGCCAAAAAATCCTCATCTCTTCGTGTAACACTTTCCAGGATGACACTGTCATCCAGTCACATGGCCTCAATGCCAAGTATAGATTCGTGATTCCTAACTTTGTATTTCTAGCCAGGACATCTCCTCACCCCTTCAGGCTCCCCACACCTCCAGCTGCCTACATGACATTTCTGCCTGGGTATGTAATCATCATTTCAATTATAAGATGTCCAAACACTAAATCTGACCTTCCCCATCTCTCCTCCATGACCCCCTGCCTATATTCCTACCTCAGAGGAAAGCAACTCCAGGCTTCCAGTTGCTGAGTCCAAAAATCTCATAGTCATTCTTGCCTGACTCCTTTGCTCATATCCAATCTACCAGCAAATCCTGTTGGCTCTGCCTTTAAAACCTCTCTAGGATCTATCCACTTCCCACTGCCTTCACTGTTGCTACTCTGGTTCAAGCCACCATGATCTCTTGCCTGAATTCTTGGCATAGCCTCCTAACTGGACTTCCTGGTCCCACCCTTCTCGCTCTTTTGTATACTCAATGCAAAAGTCTAGGTGATCACGTCTATCCTCCCCAACAAATTATTATCTCACTCAGTGTAAAAGCCAAAATCCTGCAGGGACTTAAAGCCCCTACATCAAAAAGTATTTACCTGCATTGTGATCTGAACCTCTTGGGAAGACTGCTGAAGTCTATAGAGTCTTTCTCAGAATGCATAAAAGTAGATACATGGAATTAGAAAAGAAACCAACTATATTAAATACATTGAACAAAGATTAAGTAAATCCAAATTTGTGATTTATCGACACATGAGCTTCATTATTACACTAAATAACAATTCCTAGCAGACGCCAGGAGAGACCTTGATGTGAACAATCTGGTCCCCATCACCTCTCTGACCTCAGCTCCTACTACTCTGTTGTCCAGTCACTCGGCTCAGGCTACACTAGCTTCTCTGCTGGTCTACCAAGCATGCCTCAGTGACTTTGCAGGTGCTGCTCCACAAACATCTGCATAGATTATTACTGCATCTCCTTCATTTCTCTGATCAAATGTCACCATGCCTGTGATGCCTTCCCTGGCAACTTTCCTCTCTTACACAAACCTGCTACGACCTTGCCTGCTTTATTTTTCTTCTTAACATTTATGACCACCTACGAGATAGATAGATTGCAACTCCGCATACGACGCAATGGTACACCTTGAAATGATGTGGGGAGTTGCAATTCCCCAAATCTAGATAAATGAGAAATAGATGAGAGAGAAAGTCCTAGTAATTTTTTTGTCTACACAAACACAGTACAATTTCCATGAGGGTAAGGATTTTTATCAATTTTGTTTTTGTTTATTACTATGTTTCTAGCACCTAGAATAGTGACTGGCACATTATTGGTACTCAATAAACATTTATCAGAAGGACAAATAAATAAAATAAATTTCTCACATCCAGGTGAGTGACTGAGTGCTGGCTTCTTTCAAGACAGGCGGTGACCATGCTCAGGGAAGTGACTTCCAGTTTTGCACATGTTTTCAAGATCAAAATACCAACCATCATATAGTCCCCGAAATGAGATGGATTACTTTGGAAGCCTCGCCTGGTGGGGCAAGCACTAGACTGAGTCCTTGACTTGGATGTTTGAACATTTGACCACTTTTCTTTGTGCCCAAGGAGAATGGTCTGCTGACAACCATTCTTTCTCATGTCAGAGCCTTTTAAAACAAAGTTCCACTCCAGAGATCAAGTATGAAAGGATAGGGAAGAACACTCAGTGATAGATAAGATACTACAAAAGACTGTCAGAATCTTAGCAACAGAGTGAAATAGTGCTTGGGGTACTGTCAATGAACACAATCATGAAAGAGCACACCATTTTCTTAACCGGAGCACCGGCCAATCCATGTACAGCTGCACAACATATTTCTCCTCCGAAGATGCCAATTTCAAAATATCTCTATTGATCTCTATCTAACCCTGAAAACTAACGATCCCAAAGAGAAAAACTGACATTGAATCGCTCGAGAATTTCAAATAATAAAAATAAAATAAAGGGGTTGTGGCAAGGTCTGGACTTGATGGGTGCGGGTGTCACAATTTTAATCCATTGTGTCTAACATAGCCTATAGAATTATAATTAACGTTTTTTGTTTGTTTGTTTTAGTTCAGTGGGCATTTTATTTTTGTTTTACTTTGTGGTACTTCTATTTGAAGCCTCCATAGAATCACCGCTTTTTCAATATACTTGTTAGTGATTAAGGGATGAGGGGTCAGTGAATGAGAAAAATGGATGAATCTCCATCCATAGAATACTGTTTAGACTCAGAGGCATATTTTAGTGCAATAGGGGTGTGGGTCACTGGAAAAAGGACATAACTTCTACCAGGTGGCATTATAAAAATACAGGGTTATACTATCATTAAAGAAAAGACCCTTCTTTTTTTCTTTTTGCAAGCTCATATTCTTGCGAGAATGCAAGTTTCCCTTTTGTAATGTCTTTTGCCCCTACAAGATTCCCCTGGATACTTACTTTAATTTGATCCAGCACATAGTATGATGGGATTTACCCCAGATTCTACATTTTTCTAGGAATGTCTCTATAAAACTTCAGGCTCTGGGTGGGTCTTACACAGGTACATATATTACATAGGGTGTGAAATATCCTTTGAGACTCCTTCTTGCTCCCTCAGGTTACCTGACTTTCCCGTCAGCTCCCCATGCACAGGCCAAGCAGATGATACAGAAGTTACTGAAGAGAAAGGTACCACAGTCAGATCCACCTAATTCTTATCAAGTTGTAAAGAGGGCAGAATTTGCTTGGCAGCTCTTCCACTGGGGAAATAAAAGCACCTGGGAAGGGAGAGAAGTGTGGAAGGAGGACATTTGTGGAGCTCCAGACACCTAATGGTTCCCTCAGCACAACTTGCAATGGTATGCGGAGTTGCAATTCCTGGCCATTTTTTTTCTCTTGGTGAATTTGGGTGGTTTAAGTATTGGGACTGGAGCCAGTTATCCATCTGGGGTTTGCTGGGCAGCAGGATCTGCTGACCTGGCCTGGCACGAGCAGCACAGTGAATGGGTGAGAAGTTGGCAAGGATCACTATATATTTGCTGTAGAGCCAAGGTAGTGTCCATTGATCTAGACCAGGCTGGGTCAATGGAACCAGGAAAAGAGAAGCCACTTGTATACTTATATACTTACAAGTATTCATAACAGAAGGAATTTAGGGCAAGGAATTGGTTACATAAGTGATGAAGGAATCAAGAATCAAACAGGGGGTGGTGAGACAACCCAGAGATTAGCAAAGTAGAAATGAACACTAGCTCTACTAGACTGGAGAGACAAAGAATGGAGGTGGTGTTTTGGGGTGCAAGGGCCAGAGACCACAGAGGATCTGCTCAGTGGGAGCTAAAGCCACAGAGGACACCCTGTTGCTGCCAGTGTGATGCCACCTGCAGCTTTCAATCTCCTGCCAACCCTCTCATTTGCTGAACCTGGCCCTGGACCAAGAAGCCTGGAAGCCTGGGCTGACCTGGAAGCCTGGGCAACAAAACCTGTAGGAGTCAGCTCCTTGTGATAACAGAGCCTAGCAGGGGAAGGATGAGGAATGAGCCCAAGAGTAAAATGCCTGAGACTAGCACTTGATGGCTGAGTGGCAGAGGCCAGCAAGCCGTGGCCCAGTAGAAGTGTGGTGGGATCCCTGGAGGCTGTCATGCAAGGGTGAGGGAAAAGATGCAGTACCACCCAATAGGCAACTGGACACTCTCAGGCTGGAGTGTGTCAGTCAAGCAAACAATGATCCAACAAGTCCCATGAGACAGCAGCCACACATCCCGCCCAGGCTGTGGGAGCCACTTGCCAGGACAGTGGCATCACCAGTACCTGAGAGCAGACCAGCTAGAAACCAGTGGCTGGGCTTTGCTGAAGAATACTTTATTCCATCCCGGTTGATCAAGTTCATTTCCATTCATGCATCCTTACCTGTGGGAGCAGACACCTTCCCTCTTCCCTTCCCCTCCAGCAATAGAAAGGCACAGGCAACCCGAAGTCCCAGAGGGGGTAAGGGAAAACCTTTGAGAAGAGGGCAGAAACCATAAAACTAGTGTTTTTTGGACAGCAAATAATTATATCAATATCTAATTTGAATTGGATATTTATTTGATATTCAAGTATTTTAGACCACGAGTGATTTAAAAATTTTAGGATCAGATCTAATTTAATAGTTTGGATTAAATCAGGTGGGAAATGGGAACCTGTGAAAGAAACATAAATGCTTTTATAAAGAAAAGTAAGCATTTTATTCACATAGCTGAGAGTGACTACTCAATCATTCATAGTACACTAAATATACAGGACACCCTTAAACCACTAAGGAAAGACAGCTGGAAAATAAGGAATTTCCTCACTGTCAATATTGGCGGGTAAGGCCCAGGATGGTGACTTGCACCTGTAATTCCAGCTACTCCGAGGCTGAGGCAGAAGGATAGATAACTTGAGGCCAGGAGTTCGAGGCTGCCGTGAGTTATGATTGCACCACCGCACTCCAGACCTGGGGGTGGAGCCAGCTACAAGGTTGAGCCTGTGGGCGGGGCCAACCACTGGGGGCAGCTGATGAGGGAGGGGCCAATCTCTGGGTTGGGCCTCTGGGATGAAGTCAGTACCTGGGCAACAGAGCAAGACCCATCTCTGAAAAACAGTAAGTAAAAATACTGGTAGGTAAGACTGGAGAGCAGCATATGCAACAGGACAAACACGGACAGCTCTCTTTTCTTCTCTGTCAGTTGAGGAAGATCTCATGAAGGCAATGGATACTGAGGAGTTTTGATGATTAGAAATAATTACGTGGCAGGCTCGGGGAATGGAAATTCTGGGCAAATGTTTCTCCCTGAAGAAAGATCAAAGACAGTAGTGAGGATGAGTGGGTGAAGGCGGCTTGCAAGAGGTGTGCGGTGTATAACCTCTGGTCTCTCAGCTCCAAGCCCTGCCTTCTGTGCTCTGCTTGGTGATGCTGGAGCCGGGTTCTACAAACCATATTTCACCTTCGCAAGCTGGGTCTTGTCAGGTGCTGCTCATGGGGGGCGGGCAGAAGAGGAGATTGGAGGGGAAGGTGAAAGGACTTGCTCATTCCTGTTCTGCTTCTTGTTTCTATCGTTTCTTTTCTATGGCCTTCATCCCAGCTATAGTAGTTGGCTCCAGTTTCCAGAGTTTTGTCCGCACTCTCGAACTGCCCCAGAGGAACCTGCACCAGCTGGCCATGCCCCACCCATACACAGTGGTCTTGATCTTAGCTCTGTGTACCCCTTTCCCCAAGCTTCTAGGTTCCTGACCACTCCAACATCCTCCCTCTGTGCCTCTAGCTGCTTCCTGTAGTGAAGATTTATATGATACCTCCTGGGTGTATTTTCAGTCCTCCAAAACCTGTTTACCTAGCTCCTTATTAAACTGTTACTATTGAAATATCTTGCGTGATTTCTGTTTTCCTGACTGGACACTGACTGATACTGTCCTGCAGGAGATAGGAGAAAGGCACAAGGTTTAATTAAGATTTAAATGAAGATGAGAGAAGTGAGGTAATAGCCGAGATACCAAGATAAAAACAAAGGTAATACCAAGGTACAACCAAAGTATGATAAGATATGCTTCCACTACAGCCCAAAGTTGTGACTGTGTTCCCACAGTGAAAGCGAGGAAGTACTATGGTTGCCTTTAATTGGTGGCAAAACATCCGTACCTCAAATTTCAAAATACGTTACAAACATGCTTCTAAAGCAGGTTTACATTAGGGTGGAGAGGAATAAATCTTTTTGTGTGTCAAGCGCTCTTGTTGGATAACCTTATGCAGAAGTCAGGCCATTCATAAAAATCTTGAGATTTACTGTTGAGCCTGTCTAATGGAATTCCTGCAGATTGAACCCACAGGGAAAAGTGACACTATTCGGGGTCCCGATTTCTCATTAACATAGTCAGAGACCCCCTATGGAACACACTGGAATTCTTCCTAATTATGGGAAATGCCTTAGAAGTGTCCTAGAAGAGAAGACAGCCAGTAGGGAGGCTATTGCTTGTTGGAGACGATACTGAGCACCAAGGAGTGGTCTATCTTCTCAAGCACCATGGAAACCAGAAAGAGGTGTGGAGATGACTTTCCACGTGGGTTTAGAAGTGAGAGGTTCTTCAGTGATCTTAGTAAGTGTAGCCTCTGTAAAGCGGGGGTGGCAGAGGCTGGTGTGGACAGACTCTAGGAGTGAGTCAGGGCAGATTTTTGATGCATCATTTCACTAGTGCTTAGGAGTTGCTAGCAGGCAGGTGCAGAGCTGAGTGGTGTCTGCTAACGCCGACCTCCAGCACTCTGGTTGGCACTGATTGCTGTCTGAGCACAGCCTGGTGCATAAACTGGATCTAATAAAGCCTGGGGAATCATATTCTCCTCCACTCAAAATGCGTTTTCAAATAGACTGCAATAGATTTTGCCCTCAACTCCAGTAGCCCAAACCCAATAGATGATCCAAAAATGGTTAGTATTATTCTCCCTTTCCTACTACAAAATTTTAAAAATGCATCCTTTTGTCACAGAGGGAAGACTTTCCCCTCTGTCTCTCCTTTATGGAAGGGAGACGGATTGTGTCAGTTGTGTGTAATCTCACAGAGGATGGGAGGGAGGATGGAGCATGCTGGTCAGTCCCTGGAGCTCTGAGATTGAATAGAGCTTGAGTCCCAGCTGACTCACTTACTTGTTGTGGGCCCAGAAACTTAACTAACCTGCCTGACCTGCAGTCTCTTCATCTAGATTGTAAAGGAGATGACTGCATCTTTCCCAGTGAGCTGTTATTGGAAATAAATTAACCAAGTATCTAGTACCCAGCCTGGTACAGAGCAAGTCTACTGGTCAATATGAGATCGTGTTAGTTGGTTTTAGGGGCCTATCTAAAAGTCCTTAGGTTGCATAATTCTATCTGACAAAATTCCTTCAGAGAAAAATAACTATTTAAACTCTGTTTCATATGCTCTGGGGAGATTTGCAAAGAATTGGAAGATCTCTTATTTAAGGACAAACCTGCTGATTACATGTTGGTTTTTGCCTCCTCACATCCTTTCAACATGGTTAGAGCTGTATCTTCCTCTCGATGGATATCTGGGGTTAGAGGAATTTAAGAATCTCTGGGGCTAAGGAAAAGAAATAAAGGCAACATCTCAGACTGAAGGCTCAATTGCTCTGTTCCAGACCATATGTAGTGGGACCCTAGACTGCAAAGAGGTGTAATGCGCATCTGAGATTTTCCACTACAGCAACTCTTCCCCTTTCCTCCTGAAACAGCATTGATTTCTTGGGATTGTTCATTTGCTGGTTTGCGGTGATCTATCTTCCCTGACTCTCAGCCCCACAGGGTGTAAGAATCCACCCTGGAGTGTTTGTGACCTAAACTGATCCAATCATGGTGGAATTTCAGGGATTTAGCACATAATTCAGTAATTCTAGGTCAAAATGTTTGTTCTCTTTTGGTGAGTTTGGCCCTGTGATAAGATAAACCTGGAACTTCTGGGGCACATTGTGGAGCCTGGAAATGAATCCAACATAGGAGAAAGCAGAGTCAAGTGGAGATAAATTGGACTCCAAATTAAGTCAAAACCAAACCAGCATTTTGAGTTTTCAATGACCAGAGACGGTAAGTTCCCCATTACACTTAGGCCAGATCAAGCCTGGATTTTTGTCACTTATAATAGCAAAAATTGTGACTGATACTAGAGGCAACTCTAGAGAGTATTTGAACAAGTATTTACCAGAAGAGAGAAAATTCTGATTCTCCCTGAGCTGCTACAGAATTTATGATTGAGCACTTTCTTTCAGACACTGCTTTGTATGTATCTGCTGCCTTAGTCTGTTCAAGCTGCTGTAACAAAATACCATAAACTGGGTGGCTTACCAACTACAGAAATTTATTTCTCACAGTTCTTGAGGCTGGTAAGTCCAAGATCAAGGCACCAATAGATTTGATGTCCAATGAGGGTTCACTTGCTGATTCATAGATGACACCTCTGACTGTTTCCTCATGTGGTGGCAGGAGCTAGCTAGCTCTCTGAGATGAATCTCTTTTATAAGAGTACTAATTCCAATCATAAGAGCTCCACCCTCAAGACCTAATCACCTCCCAAAGGCCCCCTCTTCTAATACCATCACCTTCGGGATTACCATTTCAACATATAAATTTGGGGGCGACACAACTATTCAGACCATAGCATCTGCCAAAGAAAATCCCATTGACATCCTCCAACAGAGAAATTTAAAAGAAATCAGAATACTTTCGCTTAAATTCATAAGTGCCTTATGAACAATTTTAAATTCCCTGTAGGCTAAACTACGATGGTCATTTTTAAGATACATTCAATTAACAATAGTATAGGGTAGGATAATGAAAATCACAATAAAACCTTGTAACTACTGATATCCTACCAGGGGGTGTCAGAACACAAGAACTTTCAATGAGATGCCATATCTTTGAAGAAGAGAACCCTCCCCCCACTCCAGCGTTGAGCAATGCTTTCTCCTTCAGGAGCTATGTCTCCAGTGTTTTGTGGGCACCATGTGATGCCACTATGCAACCAAAAACTAGCTTCCTTAGTGGTGGCCCAGATGCTAATTTCTTTGAAGAGTGAATGAGTCATAATTTGTACCAGAGATGTTGCTGTAATTATAAAACAATGCAAGAGCCAGAACTTTTAATTGTTTTTACTTCAATAATAGACCTTGGGTTTCTTTGTGGGCTAGAAGCTAAGAAGATCAGCCAGCAGCAGGCTCAAAATCTGATGTCCTTGACTCTTTGTCATTTCCATTTCTGCCCTGAGGGCCAACAAGGTAAATTGTCTCTTTGTCTCCAGCTGCAGAGGGGTCTCTGGCAGATTCCTGCTGGGTTCCATGTGAAGCAGCATCGTACTGTTTTTTTCTCCTGAGCGCTGCATGTAACAGCTGTTCTGTAGAAGGACACAGAGGCCATCCAGTGAAAGAGGTTTAAATGATGCCAGTGGAATCCATCCATCTTCCCTGCAAGCCCAGCATTCCCAGGAATGTACCTTCTAACACACTTCTACCTGCCTGGTAACAGCATGGTGGGAAAATCCGTCTTCCTTTTCCTTCCTTCCTTCCTTCCTTCCTTCCTTCCTTCCTTCCTTCCTTCCTTCCTTCCTCCCTCCTTCCCTCCCTCCCTTCCTTCTCTCCTTCCCTTCTTCTTTCCTTTTTCTTTCTTTTTTAGCAGAGCCTCTAAAGGGCTTGGAATTCTTCCTTAAAGACTTCTGGCAGATAAATTAAAGAGATTTCCTTGACTTCTAGTTTCCACCATTGATTTTGTTGTTGCTGTTGCTGTATCAGCTAGGGCTTTGTAGTTTCAAGCTGCAGATACTGATCCTGGAAAACTTAAGCAAAAAGAAGAATTTATTGAAAAGAAGTAAGATAGCTGACAGAATTGAAGGAAAAACTAAAGAATCTGGCATGGAAAGAGAACCAGAGTAGATTTAAAAATCAGGTAGCAGCACCTATGAATAATCTTTTTAGGGCTCTGCAACAATCATTTTCCTTTTTTGCAATAACTTTGCTGAAAAGTCAAATTCCTGGAGAGAGAGTCTCATGGGACTAGATTGATTCAGCTGTCTCTGGCCCTTCAACTGCCTGGGGCTTGGCTTTCAGGCACCTTGATTGACAGATCCACCAAATCAGCTCCTAATAGAGGAGGGGGCGTTCCTGCAATGGTTTATCCACAAAAAAAAAAAAAAAAAAAAAAAGGGGAAAAATGGCATCAGGATGCTTTCTCTATCTGGAATACCCTTCTCCACTGCAGACCCTACTCAGCCTTTCAAATCCAGCTTGGACATCACCATGTCCAGGAATTGTTCCCTGAGCCAAACACATAACCTCACCAGTTGCTTAGTTAGGCATCCCACAGCCTCCTTGTTTCCTTCTCTTACTGCCTTTAAACAATGAAGTGTAATTATCTGAGTGTCTGACTTCCTTGAGGGAAGAAAGAATTTATTATTGAATATTATTCAATCTTCTATTCCTAGCACCTAGAATGTGCTCATCAGATGCTTCTTGAATGATCAGTTGGAAAGAAAAATGGATAGTAGTGAACAAGTTGGATCCTCCTCCATCCTCCCTCTGGCTGTCCCAGACAAAGTGAACATGTTTTCAACCTTATTTTCAACTATTTTGCTAATATGTACCCCAATAAGGTGAGAAAACCTCGAGTGTAGCCTTAATCTAGATGATGTCTGCTTTTAGTCTAGACTATGCCTTTGTGCAAATAGAAGAAGGCATCCACGCTACATGGTCAGATGAGAAATAGGTTCCTCCTTGGGCACCTAATTATAAGATACCATTTAGATAAAAATTAAATAATACACCAAACTTTATATTGTTAACATGATATATTAATATATTATGTATTTATATATATGTTGCTTATATATATGTATATTATATATATCTACATATTTTTTAAAACACATCAAAAGATGCCTGCTCTGGTTGGATGCAACTATGCAGACCTGTGCCAGGGGTATATCTTGGGGAGCAGAGCATGGACTGTGTTTCATGTCCCTGCACACCTTGGTCAGCATCTCTGTGAAGTGAAGGGACTACCCACGCACACATGGCCTCTCTGCCCTAGAAGAGCCCGGTCTGCAAAGAACAGAACTTGACATAAAGTCAAACTATGCATATCAAATCCATGAGGTACAGTAGGGAGTAAATAGACCCATAGGCATTATCTAATTGAAGAGTTAGTTCATTTGAAAAGATATTAGCAAGAAATAGAACCAGTTCTTTTCCATTTGTTTTTTTTAATTTTAAAACATCAAAACACAGAAAAGTACATGTATCTGCATATATGCCATCAACCACCTAGATTTAACAATAACATTTTATTACATTAGGTTCCAATCTTTTTTAAGTTCCCCTACACCAAATCACTGCCATCCCTGTCTCTTTCCTTCATCTCCAGATTGTCCTCGAGTGAGGACATGCCTGTCCAGCCCATGTTTGTTTGTGATACATTCACTATGTATTTTTATATAAACAACATGTGTCTTTAAAAATATATGATGTAGCTGTATATAACAAATATATAAGCAACATATATCATATATAAATATATAATGTATAAATATATCATGTTAACAATATAAAGTTTGGTGTGTTTTTTAAATTTTTATCTAAATGGTATTTTATAATTCAGATACTTGTATAGTTTGCTGTTTCTATTCTTATATTACCTTTCAGAGATCGATCCATACTGGTATATGTAGCTCTATCTCATTTACTTTAACTGCTGTATAGTACTGCATTACATGACTAATTCACAACTTGTCCATCTTTTCATTGATAGGCATTTAAATGATTTCCAGTTTTTGCCTTTACAAACAATGATGCAATGAACATATGTTCACCTGTCACTTTGTATACATGTGCAAGAGACTTTTAGCTTACATACCTAGAAGTAGAATGACTAAATCTTAGGATATATACATCTTCAACTTTGACAGATATTGCCAATGCACTCTCCAGCATAGACTCACCAACTTACACTCCCACCAGCAATGTATAAGAATATTTGTTTCCCTGCATCCTTGACAAACTTGGTTTTATCAGATATTATCATTTTTGCCAGCCTCAGGGGTTTGAAATCATATCACACTATGGTTTTGATTTGGATTTCACTTGATATTAATGAGACTGAGTTGTTTCTTTCTTTTTTCCATGACTGTCCAGTTCATATTAGTTGTCCATTTTTATTGGATTATCTTTTCCTATTAATTTGTAGGAATTTAAAACATACATCTGTATCAAGAATTTTTGCTATCTGTAGGCATTATAAGTATCTTCTTTCAGTCTGCAGCTTATATTTTAACTCTCTATTGTGTCTTTGTTGGCACACAAGTATAATATTTCAATATAAGTCTCTTCCTTTGGATGTATGCCTTTTGAGACATAGCTCTGATGTTTTAAAGTGCCCTATGTTTGCAACTCAAAGTTTTAAACTTTCCCTTTCATACTGAGGTCTTAATTCCATCTGTAATTTACCTGGGTATAGAGTATGACATAGGGATATTTCTTTTTTTCCATAGCTAATTATCCCAGCACTTGAGTAGTTCACTCTTTCTCTGCAGATTTGTGTTGCCATCTCTGTTATAAACCAAATTTCCATGTATTCATGGGTCTGTTTCTGGAACTTTTCCCTCTCAATTTGTCTCTCCCTATGCAAATACCAAACTCTTTAATTACTTTCAGAAGGCAGTTTTTACTGACACCTCACTATTTTCTGGGTGAGATGTGAATACCTCCAGGAAGGGTGATGCTCTAAATCAATGACAATGCCATGTGCATACTGTCCTTAGATTCCTTCCAATCTGTCAATCCACTGAGAGGAAATTTTGGTGGAGAAAATCCAAGGGAGATCCAGAGAACACAGGGCTCCAGGAAAGGGGAAAGGAGAGAGACTCAGAGAGAGGGTCTCTCAAGCAAGAAGCAAAACATAGCACCTCCAATTACTCAAACTTTTTCTAGGCTTTATCCTGAACATAGTTATATTTGCCCAGAAATAGCATATTTCAATATATAAATGTACCCCACAGCATTCTATAACACTTATCATAAAATCATAACCAGACCATAGCTAATATTTATTGGCACCTAGGCTAAACATTGATAGTAAATATGACTTTATTAAATCCCATAACGTGGGTAATTTCCCTGAAATATAGATGAGAAAATTGAAGCTCAGAGAAGCAGAGTGATTTGCCCAAGGTCACACAGCTAGTTAGTGGCAAAACCCAATCTACCTTCCTTGCTACTATATTCCACTGCCTCCATGTTGTAGAATGTACCACATTAGAGTGGGATTACCTGCTTTTGAAGGGAGAGAGTGAATCTTGTTTTACCATTACGTTCTCAACCCAAGCACTGTGTTAGTCACACAACAGGCTCTCAATCAATACTTGTAGACAAGAATGAATAGATGCATGTTAGCTGTGGAGTCTGTGGTTTCTGAGTCATGAAAGGTCTACGTGGTTTATTTAGTTGTTTGGGGGAGAACAGTCTTCACCTTACTTCCTCTGAAAGCCACGCCAAGCCTCTTTTCTTCTTACCCTCAGATAATGAGCTGAGTTACAAATACACAGCAAAGTCTTTCCACCTACACAGATCCTAGGAGTGTACAAATTGATTTGGGGGTGGGAGAACCAGGCACACAAAGGTCAGTGCCAGCAGCACTTCCAGCTTGGACATTTGTTTTCATCTTCTAGAAATAATATTCCCATTTCCCAGATGTTTCAGTGTCATCAGCTTTGTTTCTCAGCAGAGGCAACTGCAACTATTCCTCCTCATGAGGCTGCGTGCTAAATCTGAAAAGCGTTTGCAGCTCAGCCCCACAAAGATTGCTGCTGCAGTGGGGATTCCCAGCCAGCACAGAGCCCTTTGCTGTCGAGTGGATTTCCCCGACATAAGAAGTGAGTGGACCACTGGTCCCTGGGGGATTGTCAGCACCATAACTTCTTTGAAAAAAAAAGTATTTTGGGGTGGTGGGGTTGGGAGACAAGGATCTGTAAAGGGAGGCTATAGTGCATTGGGAACTGGTTTGGAAGACATGGCTCTCTCTTCTGCAGAACAGAATGGATTCATCAATGATGGCTTCACAGCAGTTAGGCCTCCATCACCAACCACCTTGGGTTAACTACTTTACCACCTCTGAATTGAGCTCAGCCTCAGAGCTTCTCAGGGCCCATGTGGGCTCCATTCCAGCAATAAGCATTTGGAAAGCTTCGCATCTGAGAAAGTGCCTCCCGTGAGTTATCTGTGCTAGGAACTCACATCTGCTGTCATTGTCATTCACTTGGATTCTGACATTGATCCAGAATTTCCTAGAAAACACTGTGCTTTCTGACTACTGCTGTGATCTGTGGCTCCCAGATCAGCTTTTACCACCAGCCCTTACCACACGCCTTGCTGTGGCTTCTTGCCTTGTCTCCATAAGCATTGCTCTCTGGAGCTGGCACATGACTTGGCAGGAAACCCCTGGCCTAGAAAAGTCTCCTTACTTTCAACACTCCATTCACTCATTCAACAAACATTTCCTAACACCTGCTATGTTCAGGCACTCGTCTAGGCATTGGGATACAACAATAAACAGGCAAAGTCTGTGCTCTCAAAGTCTTGCACTCTAGTGAAGAGGATAGAAAATCTGCACATAGATAAAGAGCTATTGAACATAATATTCTGTAGTAATGAGCAGCACCATGAAGCAAAAATAAACTAAGATTAGAGAATTGAGATTGGCCTGGGGAGGGGGTAGCACTTCAGAGAGAGGGGTCAATGAAGAAGATAACATTGAAAAAACCTGAACAGATGAGAGAGATTACTGGGGGAACATACCTGGTAAAAGGGCCGAGGGGGAAACGTGCTTGGCAAGATTAAGGACAAAAGTAGGTCAAGGTGCCTAGAAAAGAGAGAGAGAGAGAGAGAGAGAGAGAGAGAAACAGAGAAGGTATGAAAGGAAACAAGTGTATCATGATGTGCTCCTAATCAGCCAATCCTCTTAGCTCATGAGACCTCAGCCTAGATCCCCAAACCATCACCTGCCATCTTACCCAAATTATAGACACAAGCATAAAGAGAAATGGAAAGTTTCATGCATTTACCCTTTGCTAATCGATCCAATGACAGTAAACTCCAAGGAAGGCAGTACTAGGAATTCCTGAAGCCTATATGGGGCCAATGAACACTTAGAAATTAGATATGACTATGGAGTAAAGCAGAAAAAGGTCCCTTGGTAGTCCTGGCAAATACGTGGTACATGCGTCACCTCTCCCCACCTCCAAACCCAAGCTCACAAGCCCAGTGCCAATCAACAATGTCATTCTCATTCATTGAAATGGGATTAGTCATCCTGACAGATTATTGACATTCTGGCTCCAGAGTTACCTATAATGGTCTAGTTTCTTGAGATCAGACAACTATTAAGTATCTTTTGGCAACCTTCTGTGACAGCTTTCAGCCACGTTATAAATGAAGTAGCAAAGGAAATATGTTTATTAAGCTTTAACCTGAACCCTTTACATAGACTATAGTGTTATGTTTCAGCAAAGCTCATCTTTGATGACAGTTTTAATCACACTCAGGCCCGCTCAGGCATACAGTGCCTTCGACAGTCACCTACTCACCTCACTGTGCTGTGTTTGACACGTCTGCCATTTCTGAGTGATTCTGGATGTCTCACACTTTTGCTTACCTGCTTCCCAATCAGTACTCCAATTTTGCCATTCTTCCTGCACATGACACCAGGCAGTCAAACCATATATGTACTTAATTCTGCCAAGGATTTCTGTAATACTCTTAAGGTCTCGTGCTAATAATGGGAATTTCTGGAATTGTGACAGAACTTCTGGGAAGAAAGAGAGGAGGTCTGGGGGAGGAAGGGCTTTTAGCACTTTTGCAAGCATTATATCAGATAGGCAACCATCCAGGTAGGTTGCCATATATCATTGCTTGCCACAGAAAGCTAGTTCTTCTCTGCTTATGTCCAAAATAAAGGAAGTGAGTCTTGCCAAGAGCCATTTTTAACCATATCTGGGGCAGAAGAACATTAATGCACTATCTTGATGCTTTCAAAGCTCTTCTACTAATTCCACATGCATAATACCTCAGGGTCCAGGTGTCACTTGGGTGGACTTCATCCACACCAAGCTACAGGATGAAGAGGCTCAGAAGGGAAATTTCTTAATCGTGTATAGTACTCTAACCACATCCTGCCCAGAAAGGATGGGCTGAGCTGTAGGTCACTGTCCAATGCATCTAAATGCATAGACTATTTTTTTTGGTTGTTTATTTTATTTGGGGCTATGGACTTGGACTTTTGAGAAAATTCTCTGTCATCATTATCAACACAATCTTTCTTACACTTCAGGGAGTTTACTAACCCCACCCACACAAATAGAATGACTCATCCCAGAGGGGTCTGAGTTGGTGTCTGGAAAGACAGTGAGATTAAACAACTGCTTCAAAAAGCAATGTCTTAAATTGTCCTTGTAGCAATTGCCCATCGGAAGAAAGACCCAAAGAGAGGACATCCAGATACTATTTCATAGATATATTGGACATGTCCCAGCAGAAAACAATGGCATGCTCAAATTGTGTAATAGGAGGGTTTATGATAAAGAGACTCTTTTCAGAGAAGTGGTCAGGGTACAAGGGAAACCACCAGAAAAATCATGTAGCATTTAGTTCTGGCAATTGTGGTACTCCCCATACTTCTCCAGGCCTGAAAAGATGAGGGGAAGGAGCTATTTCCAAGGAGAGAGAGAATGGCGAGGAGAGGTCCCTGACAGGAGGAAGGAGCTATGACTCACAGTACTAGGACCCAGACAGTCTGCATTGCCCCCACAGGAAGGGAGTCAGGGGAATCGATACCCCAATTTCACTCTCATCTGCTCACCAGATCTCTTTCTGGTGCCTCCAACTGGCCAATTCCAACAGGAAGCCAAGGGCAAGGAAGCCCAGCAATGCAGCCAGTGGTCTGAGGGCAGAGCGCAGGGTGGTGAAGAGTGGACACTGGGTCTAGAGGGCTGGTCTGAAGACACACAGTAGATACGATACATGTGTGTATATTCAAGTGATTCAAGTCCAAGAAAAAGAAGACCTCTCTGTAAGGCTTCTTTAGCTAGAAAATTCTATAACTCTAAATATATTTACCTTTTTATTTCATTGCCTGTTTTTCTTTCTTTTATTTTCCTTTCTTTTATTTCCTTTCTTTTATTTTCTCTTTTTATTTCCCCTTGGACCACTCAAGTACTCCCTTAAAAGAATGTCTAAATCCAGGGTAGTAAATGGATTTTTCTCACACATGTCAATACCAAGCAATGGGTTGTACCTGACTATAAGGTAATGTTGAGGATTCGGGGGCCCCACTGGCTTCAACAGGAATGACTGCCATGTTGGTGATCAATGTCTGCCATGGACTCCGGAAGGGTGAGGGCCAGGGAAGTCCACAAATTAATATCTACATGATCCAAAGCAAAAGGAGGAATTAAGGTAATTATCTATGTCATCTGGCTAAAAATAAATTTAACAAAAATATTCTCTTTAAGTATGTATATGGGTATATGTTTATGTAAACTTCAACCTATTTACTTTCTCCAATACAAAAAAAAATTAAGATAAATATCGCATACATTATATCATGTCCATTTCTGGGAGCATGAATAAATTGTCTTGATACTTCTGATTTTATCCTACTGATGGTTTTCATGTTCACATGTACAAATGACATTGATGATGTTACAAAATGACTTGTTATTTTTATGTTTATGTTCTAGATCTGTGCTGTCCAGTATTGTAGCCATGAGTCATATGCAGCTATTTAAATTCAATTAGAATTAAATAAAATTTTAAAACTCAGCTCCTCAGTCACACACACACACACACACACACAAACACACACTTGAAGTGTTCAATAGCCACATGTAGAACAGTGCAAATATAGAGTAGTTCCATCATTGCAGAAAGTTCTATTGGAAGGTGTTGCTCTAGAACCCAAGGCTAATTCTTGGACACAGTGAAACTGATGTGTTTATAAACATCACTTAAGCTTTCAATAATCCTATTATGTACGAGGCAGCAAGCTAAGTCCTTTATAAACATTATCTCATTTAATCTTCACAACCACCCTATGAGGGAGAATTATTCCTGTCATATTACAGATAAGGCCTGGAAAGGTAAAGTAACTCATCCCATAACCACAAGGTAGTAATTAAAAGAGCTCAGATTCAAAACTAGATCTTTCTGACATTAAAGCTCATGCTCTTTACCATTATATCTGCACCTGTGAAAGAAATAACAACTCTATGGAATAATTCACTTAGTTTTGCGTTTAACACCTGAGACACCCTAGAGATATTAATAAAGTTGAAATGACAATTTATTTCCAAAACCAACATTTTTCCTTACATAATAGATTGTCATCTGTTGTTCATAATAAAGCTAAGTATGATATGTTCTTGAATTAACCTTGTTGCTATCTTTAGTATTGTGAATGTGAGTTAATAAGCAAATGAATAATTGTTGTAATACTCATCCCATCCGTCTTAGTCAGGGTCCCATTACAAAACAAATGGCACACTCAAACTGGGCAATTAAAGAGAGTTTAACTATGTGATTATTTATCAAGGTGTGGACAGTGTCCAGGAAAACCAGCAAGGAAAAGTGGATACTTAACGGCGAATAGGAGTGGGAGCCATTAGTACCTAAAGCCTACAGTAGGGGAAGAGCAAGGAAAAGAATACTTCCTAGAACCAGAAGGGGCAGCTGCATGGAGAAGGCATCTGATGGAAGCTGTGGCTTTTTGTAGAGGGACATAGTCAACTTATTGACTCAGCAAGGAGAGAGCCACTTCACTCACTTCCTACCCTCCCAGGTGAGGGCAAGTTTGTCCACTAAGACAGTCCATACAGTGCAGCCTCATGGGGTACCCAGCAAGATGCAGATGGGTGGAGAAGGCATCCAGGGGGACAAATAGAAGATGCCATGCACATTATCTATTAGAGTTATTTGGGAAAAGACAAAGGACAGCCATGCATGAGGTTAATATTAATAGGGATAAGGTTAACCAACACCAGACTTCTCTAAATCACAGAGTCACTTATGGCTAGTTAGATCCTCAAGGTAGAGGAGATGCCCAACCTCAGGGCCAGGCAGGCCATGGGTCTGCTTAGTCTGGAAGAGATTGGTTTTCATTAAATTTTAGTATACCAGTTCAAATAAGTAACTAAATATGGAACTTCCCTGTGGGATTTCCTTCAGGCCATGGCCAAGGATGTGGCAACTATATCATGGGATTAACCTGAAGCCAACAAGCACAGGCTTGATTGTAAAAGCTGCTAGGTTAGTGGTCCAAGAATTGACAGCTAGACTCACAGTATTGAGAACAAGGATCATGGGTAGTCTAAATCCCAGGGCCACTTTTACGGAACAGCAGAATTTAACTTTGGAGACTAATCTTTGAATCACTATCACGTGCCTACTACATCCCAGATACTTGCATTCCAATCACCAGCTCATCCCACGATTTCCAGGCACACCATTTTCTTTCCTGCAGTTAAGACTTGGAACATGATGATCCCTATGGCTGATTTCCCCTCCTTGGCTTGGTCTGATAAATTCCTACTCTAACTTCAAAACCCACCTTGGGTATCACATCCTCTGAGAAGCCTTTCCAATTTCTGTCACACAGACTAAAGGGCTCCCTCCCTGAGACCTCTGTGGCTCTTGACTCACCCTGCCATGATAGTGGGTATCAGAATAAAGTGAAATTAATCTATTCAGCTAGTGGGGAGCTAGTGCTTAGCCTGGAAGAGGTTGGTTTTCATTAAATTTTAGTACATAAGTATCTTTGAAAGGCACTGTATTGGGCATTGTGGGGGTGCGTGTGGGAGTGAGGAAAAAGGGAGATAATAAAGGGTAAATAAAATTACCCATCCCTGCCCTTAGAGACGGGGCTATAAGATAAAACGCAGAATGCCCAGTTACATTTGGATTTTAAATAAGCATACGAAAGATGCTCACATCATATGTCATCAGGGAAATGCAAATTATTAATAAAACAACAATGAGCTATCACTATACACCCACTAGAGTGGCCAAAGTCAAGAACACTGACAACATCAAATGCTGGTGAGGATGTGGAGCCACAAGAATATTCGTTCATCAGTGATGGGAATGAAAACTGATATGGCTCTGTGGAAGACAGTTTGTCAATTTCTTACCGAACTGAACATACTCTTACCATATGACCCAGCAATCAGGCTCCTTGCTATTTACCCAAATGAGTTGAAAACATGTCTGCACAAAAACCTGCACACAGATGTTTATAGCAGCTTTATTCATAATTGCCAAGCTTGGAAACAAACAATGGAACATTATTCAACTCTAAAAAGAAATAGCTAGCAAGCCATGAAAAGATGTGAAAGAAACTTAAATGCATATTACTAAGTGAAAGATGCCCATTTGAAAAAGTGGCATACTATATGAGTCCAACTATGTGACATTTTGGAACAGGCAAAATGGTGGCACCTTTTAAAAGATCTATGGTTTCCAGAGGTTGGAGGTGAGAGGAGATGGAGCATAGAGAAATTTTAGGACAGTGAAACGACTCTGTATGATACTATAGTGGTGGATACATTCCATACATTTATCCAAACCCATACAATGTACAACACCAAGAGTAAATATACCCTTAGGTTAACTATGGACTCTGGGTGATTGTGATATGTCAATGTAGGTTCCTCAATTGTAAGAAGAGTCCCACTCTGGTGGGGATGTTGATAATAGGGGAAGCTATGCCCCCTTATTATCTGGGGGTCAGGGGGCATCTGAGGTATCTCTGTACCTTCCTCTCAATTGTTTGTGAATCTAAAATTGCTCTTTAAAAATTTTTTAAAATCTCTTGAATTTCAGGTGGGCAACAGATAATTTTTAATATAACTTTTAAAAGTATATGCCATGCAGGCAGGGCATGGTGGCTTATACCTATAATCCCGGCACATTGGGAGGTCGAGGCTGGTGGATCACTTGAGGTCAGGAGTTTGACACCAGCCTGGCCAATGTGGTGAAACCCTGTATCCATAAAAAAATACAAAAATTAGCCAGGCATGCTGGCACATTCCTGTATTCCCAGCTACTCGGGAGGCTGAGGCAAGAGAATTGCTTGAACCCAGGAGGCAGAGGTTGCAGTGAGCTGATATGGTGCCACCGCACTCCAGCCTGGGTGACAGAGACCCTGTCTCAAATAAATAAATAATGTGTCATGCAAATAGACTCAAATATTCATGGGATATAGATAAACAAACAAAAACTTTTTAAAGTAAATACAGCTATGTTATAACTATTTTATTTTGATTTTTAAAAAATGAGTCTCTTGATTTAATCAGGGCTTTAGGATCATAGGATATTAGTCACTGTCATAATGATGCATTTATTCTGGGAAAAATTTAACTTTCTTTGTCTTCTTCAGAAACAGCTGCAAGAATGCCTAACATGAAAGTAGTGGCCATCTAGCACACCTTTACTAAAACTGGATTCCCTGGGGCAGACGAAGGTCCTCACTGTAGTTGACAGTACTAATAGACCTTCACATGTGCCGTTTCCAAGCATCATTGCCAGACTTTCTGCCACCACCAGTGTGCTTTTCTCCTCTAAATGCACCTCCAACCTCAGCCCCGCTCACTGGAATGTTGACATTTACAATGCCATAGTTTGAATTTCATCTAAAATTCAAATTTAACTGGCTGTATTTTAATTTGCTAAATCTGGTAACCTTGCTCAAAGGATTCATATTCTGGATTGCTGAAATAATATGTGAATACATGGGCCATTTGTGCTACCAGCCAGGGCATACTATGAGCACAAGAAAGGCACAGCCAGGGAGTGCTACGGGAAGCCCAGAGACAGCCCTCCCTTGCCTCTCAGTACAGAGGATTCCTGCCAATAAACATGGCTTCTCTCAGGCTACTCTGGCTTGCAGAAGCATGGTGCACTTGAAAGCACCCTGGAATTAAAAGAGAAGACCTGGGCTTAAGTCCTAGGCAGGCCACTTATCAGCTGTTTGACATTCAGACAATCACTTAATTTCTTTAAGTCTCATTTTTATTTCCCATACTGAAATGCTCATAAACAATTTTTTTAAAAGAGTGAGGAGTCCTTTTATGTACTTAAGGATTCACACAGGGCCTACCCTGAGAAAAATCAGAATCTTGCTCTAGCATCATCCATTGCCCTCCCTCTTCTGCCTCCATATTGCTAACAAACACTGGCCCCCAGACATGATCCAAACCATGACCCAAACCATCTAATGCTTATGCATTCTGTGTCTCAGCCCTCAGAATCTTCTATATCAGCGATCAGAAAGCTTTTACTGTAAAGGGCCCAATAGTAAATATTTTAGGCTTTGCAGACCATATAATTTATAAATTGTAAACTATTTTAGGGTTTGTGAGTTTCTGTTGCAACCACTCGACTCGTCCATTGCAGTGTGATGAAAGCCGCCATCGAAAAAATGTAAACGAATGAGTGTGGCTGTGTTCCAATACAATTGCATTTATAAACCCTGAATTATGATTTTACATAATTTTCTTGTGTTATGAAATATTATTTTTCTTTTGACTTCCAAAAAGCCTACAGAAATGCAAAAACCATTCTTAGCTCACGGGCAATAGAAAAACAGGCAGCAGGTTGGGTTTGGGCCTGGGCTGTGGGCTGTGGTCTGTTTACCCCTCTTCTTTAGGACTGGGTTGCTAATGTCTGATAAACTCTCCAACTTGGAAGGGTGGTCCATCTCCTACAATTGGTGACCTAGAACAGAGTTACAAAAAGAGCAGATCTGAGTTCTTATCCAGCCCTGGCCTCTGTCGTTAACTTACTATGCGAATCCAGGGAAATTATGTCACTACTTCCTGCCTCATCCTTCATCTGTTTAAAAAAAGACTGGGAGTGAGGGGGCATTATATTTAGCAAGCTGCTAAATAAAGTGATTGGGAAATACAAATGAGGAAAAGAGAGACATACTTAGCAGTGACGGTCCAAATGTTGAGTAACATTAAAAATCATACAGCAAGAGAAATAGAGGAATCAAATTGATTTTCTGAGAAAATTTCCACCACTGCTTTTTACTTCATGGAAAGCAAAGTAATGGGTGAGGTCATTTTTCCTTCACACACAATTCACTTTCATGAAGTTTGCCAAAAAGGGGAAGTTTCTCTCAATAGTGAAGTCCTGATGCCCGACTGAGCCCCAAGGGAGCATTTTTCCACAAAAGCTGTTTCTGTCCCTCTCTGGCCCCTCTCCTCTCTTCCTGCACCGCTTCCCACTCCATCTCAGACTACTGTCCGCAAATCCCACTTTTTCCAGTTATTGACTTCATCCCTTTCTCCTGTGGGATTATGGTGCTAACAAATACCAGGTATATTGCAGAGCCAGAAACCAACACAAAACTACAGGGCTTACCAATCGTTGTTTTGATGAGATGATATGAAGAAACTTTTAAAACTGAAACAAAACCCTTAAAACTTATGAAAATAAAACTTCCAGGTAAACAGTGACACAGAAAACTCAAGTATAGAAAAAAAGAAGGTGCATGTTTTAATAACATGGCTCTTTTGCTGGTGAGACATGGCAATCAACCTTAAATGACAAGCCTAGGGGGATTAGAAAAAGGGCCCTCCAGGTGACACAAGGGGAAAAGATCAGGTTTTGTTAGAAGTAGAAAGCATCCACCAGAACAGAATAATGATTAGAGATAATTACAGTCAATTACAAAGGTGCCAGAGTACTGGTGTCTACCCAGCAAGTTACAGTACAGTTGAACCTCATTTTTAATCACTTCGAATGTGCCACTTTTATTTCTTGGCTGATGAATCTTTCACAGACAATCTCAAGTGTATTTACAGAGCATTTTGGTTCAACCAAGGTCAAAGAAAGTAAGAGACACATTCTCCTTAGAGCCTCATTCTCTCTCAGATGCTTGAGTAAGTGGCTTAAGAGAAGCAACTTGGGGCCAGGCGCAGTGGCTCATGCCTGTAATCCCAGGACTTTGGGAGGCCGAAGTGGGTGAATCACTTGAGGCCAGGAGTTCGAGACCAGCCTGACCAACATGGTGAAACCTCATCTCTACTAAAAATACAAAAATTAGCCAGGCATGGTGGCATGCACATGTAGTCCCAGCTACCAGGGAGGCTGAGGCATGAGAATAGCTTGAACCCAGAAGGCGGAGGTTGCAGTGAGCTGACATCACTACTGCACTCCAGCTTGGGTGATAGAGTAACACTCTGTACCAAAAAAATAAAATAAAAAGGAAGCAACGTGGAGCACAAGGGGAATGCTAGAATTCAGGGCTTGGTCCTGCCTCTTTTGAGGCAGGTAAACACAAACACATTGACTTCTTTGAACCTCAGTTCTTTCATCTGTAGAATGAAGATAATGTCTTGTCCCACTTGCCACATATTCCATCAACTTCAAACAACTTGAAATATAAAAGGACTTTGCAAATTATAAAATATAGGAGTGCTCTTTATGATTACTATTGTGATTGAAGGAGGAACAGTCATTCAGGTCAACTGCTAAGCTATTGACCGGCTGCTTCAGTCACTTGAACAGATGACTTGTGAGGGTTAATAAGCACATGGCTTGGTCACCGCTTAGGCCTGGTGAGTCAGAGCCCCAAGCACGAGGGCCAGATCATGGGCTTCATGGGACCAGCTCATCTGACCTGGACAGCAGGAGCTTCAAAGCTAAAGAAATCTGGGATTGAATCCCATCTCTGTCCATTTCTCACTAGGCAAGTCCCTTATGGGTTGCTCCATCCCTGAAACTGAGAAAATAATACTACCTGGCAGAGTTGTTGTGAGGCTCAGAGATAACACACATAATCTCTGGTGCATAGCAGGTTTTTTCACAAGTAGGAACAAGTGTGGCTAAGGGAAGAGCTGATATCTCTGACCCTTACCAGCTATTCTGCAAATGCACATGGAGATGGCTTACGTGGACAATCCGCTCAGATTCATTCTTACTTCTTGGAAAAAAACCCAAAGACATGGCTTATGGTGATGAGATTTGCACCTACAAATGATAGCACATTATAAACCTACTATTTTCAGTTACTTTTCTTATTACAATATAGTTCCTGAGACACCAGAAAGGAATTTCTGATCATTTGACTTGAACTGGTCATAAGACTGCTCCTTAATCTTATTATTCCTGTGCTCAAAACTGCCAACCCTCCCCATCCCCCAACCCTGCCTCGGTCTACTGTAGTAAATCCTTTCCAAACTTCTACCTCACTTTGCCCCTGCATCAACCCAACATTCAAGCCAAACTGGACATCTCATTATTTACCAAAGTCACCCTCTTCCTGGAAAGCCTGACAGTGACTTAAACCAGGCATCCTGGAAAAAGACACTGAAATGCTGAGATTTGTGTGTAGGAGGCTTACGGGAAAAGCTCCGAGGAACACCTGTGAGGGGCAAGGACAGAGAGATTGGGCAAAGGGAGATGTTCAACCATGATTTGTCCACAGCTGAGGACTTAGCTCACACCACAAAAAGCTCTGGAGCTGAGATGACCCCTCAGAGTTGCCGTAAATTGTGTCAAGGAGCTGTGACCTCTACCTATTGACCAGTCTCTGGAGATGGGCTGCCCCCTGGGAGGGGACATAACTTTTGGATAAGGGCAGTGCTCAGAGAGGAAGTCAGCTGAGATCCATCAACAGCCAGACCTCCCTGGGGAATGTGTGTCTCCTCCTGAGGGGGCATCTGGGCCGCCGCCCACCACACTCACTATTCGACTGGCCAGCCCACAAGGCCCATCGTTGTCCCTGCCTCACTGTGAAGCCCACTCTGACCCTATTTCTCTCCCTGTTCATACATGAGATATGACCAACACACTTGCAAGACACTTCCAGGTGTCTCTTGGTGTCACCACTGAGTTCAGAGGTCACAAAGCTCAAAGCCTATATGTGGTGCCACTTCTCAAAATTCCAGTGAACGCAGAGAATGAGAAACTTATACCCCTCAAAAATATGCCGTGATGTGTAGTATTCTCATAGTAAAAATTTCCAAGATCTCAGCATATTTAAGTATACTGAATATTTCCTAGGGTGGTTCCTCATTTTGTTTATAGGAAAGAATATTTCATTGGTAATGGTACAACTCTATTCTTACACAATATCCATTGGGGTTTTCATTTCCTTTATTTGCTGAATAATTTTTCTTTATAAAGTATTCTGTTGAAAATGTAACAAGAAGTTCTACAGACTGAAAGGAAAATTCAGACTAGACAAGCAGAGTCAAATTAATAAGAAATCTTCCAAATTTTACCAAAGTATCAACCATAAAGAAAATATTATTGTAAAGCAAACCCGGTATTCAGCTTAAATACACCTGTCCAGCTCCCTTACAAACTGAAGAAATGAAGATTAGTGTCATCATTTCACATATTGAAATGATTTATTGGATCAAAAACACAAAAATTGGTGCTTTGAAATAAATAGATTGCATAAATTTTAAAAAATTGAGTGAATGAATGAAGTCATACGCTTTTACCAAAGGGGAGAGATTACTGGTATATAAAAGATATACATAATACTTACATATGCACATTTATAAAAATATATACATTAAATCATATTAGTTTATATACATTATATATGCTTATTTTATATGCATTTATATATAAAATGTGTGTGTACACATGTGTGCATTAGGTGAATACACACACATACATACACATATATCCCTAACAAATTATATATGGCTGTTGTCTTTCGGGAAATTGTACAACTTCACTGTGACAGACAATTGCAAAGTGAAAGGCTGAAGTTTCTCCAGCTCTAGTTCAACAGTATAGCTGTCTACACATCGTCCCTCCAATGCTTCCAATCTACAATGCAAGACCCTACACAGTACCACCCTTAGATCCAGGCCTATGACCTACCCTGCACACCTCAGGTTACCTGCACTTTGGATGTCTTGTGCAAATTTTTCCAAGTCTTCCTCAGGTGTCTGGGATCAGGCACCCCATCCCACACTGGGACTTGCATGAGCTCTGGCCCCCATTTCTCCTTTTCAGGATACTCTCCAACCCTCTGCCCCATTGTGGGGTTGACCACATACCCCAAGGAACCTCTCTGTGGTTATCCAGGCCTGTGATTAGGCCCTGTTCCAGGAGAGTGGCCTGGTAAACAGGTCACCCCTATGGACAAGTGTGGTGTTTATTTTGCAGGATCTCATAATGTTGTGCCAGAGTGGCAATGACATACTGATTTGGGGTGATTCACTCATGTTGGACACAGGATTATTCAGGGTTCTGCATTCACTGCCCATCCTGGACTTGAGTCTGGCTTTTGTGGACCTATCAGTGTTTCCACGGTGGTGCTGCCTCCGGTCTACAGAACCCCAGGCTGGTAGGGCAGTAGCAGGTGTCCTTCATCCTATGCCACTCCCACCCTAACTTCTGGCTCCACCCTTACAGGCTCCTTGCCACATGCCAGATGGTCAGGGGTGGCCTCACCCATCTCTGAGTTTTCTGGAGACTGTTGCTCCACAATGCAAGTGGCCATGGATCTTTACAATAGACGTTCCCTCATCTTATCAATGTGGACCTTGCATTTTCCCACATTGATCTTTTTGTGGGAATGAAACTACTCTTCTCACTAGGCCCATGGAAGGAGAACCCTAGGAATGCAATGAGTATAGCCCAAGGCATTCAAGAAAAGACACACTTGAAAGGCATGTTATTCTACATTTATACTATAAAGATGCAAATAATAAATTTAACATGACCAAAAAGTGAGTTATTGTTCCCATTTTTTTACATACTCTGAGTAAGGCTTGCATTTGTGATAATCATCTAAGAAGCATAGTAACAATCCTAGAGAGAGTCACTGGAGGCCAGTATTTACAGTGTGCACAAGGGAGGATGAGGTGCCATAAGTAATGGTATGACCAGCACTACATAAATGGTTATTAGGGATGTAAAGAGGCAAGAAAGTCTATCCATATTGCTCCCATACAAACAGGCTCCAAAGAGCTGTATGGGTATTATAATACTCTCACAGGCTCTGTGAGTATTATAACATACTTCTCACCTTTTTCCCATGGTGGGAGATTTGAAGTTAGCCAGAAATGGTGTATTTGACAACAAAGAACACAGAGAAGTGGTTTCTGAACCTGAATAGGAAGCAATGGTGCCTGGACACCATGAAGAATCTTTACATGCACTGACTGGACAATAAACAAATATGTAAGTATCACTTCTTCATCCATTATCCTAAATCTTCATTAATAAATGACTATACCTCACATGGGTCCTTGAATTTTATGTGCTTTAATCCAGTAGTTTATATAGATTGGGGTCCTGCAAAAAAAAAGAAAAAGAAAAAGAAAAAGAAATTTCCAGGGCCCTGTAAGTCTAGAGGTGGCCCTGATCCCATATGAGTTAGAAAAATCATCCTGAGACCCAGAGATACCAAATGAACAATGACTTTCACAAGTACTTTTTGAGTGCAGCAAGTTCTCTGAACATTTCCCAGGCTGTGATGAATATCATTATTGGATTTACTTGACGGTACTTTGTAGTAATCCAATGGAACATCTTCCAGTGGAATTTTTGGGACATACATTGACTTATTAAAATCAAAGTAGATCTTAAGAGGCCAATAAAACCAACTCCCTTGCCCCACGTAACTGATATTTCCCCATTTTCTCCATTTTTACCTCCTGTTTGTGATCCACTAAAGTGAAAAATTCTACAATTGTTTTAAATGTCAAATGGAAGTAATTTATATTTACAGATAATCTAGTATAGCACTAATCCAAGATGCTCACTAGAACTGGCCCAGCTGCTTCACCCAGCTGTCTCTCACCTTGAAGTAGTCAAAAACCCACATAGACCAATGAAAATGTTTCCTGTTTTTCATAACCTCCTGAGAAGGAGACTGCATTGTCTCAATTACCCACTTTAATGTTTAGCAATGTTTACACTGCTTCTATAGGAGGCACTCATTCTCCATCTGATGAACCCATCTCTGGATTCATGGTCCATGTCTCTGGGTCCCTAACCACCCAATGACCCCATCCTGTTTATCCAGGCAAAGGAGAATTTTTTGAGGGACAACTAACTTTTCCATGAAGACCTGCCTTAAATCTTTCCGAATTTACCTGCCACTCTTATATATGGACTCAAATTACTTATTTCTTAAAACTAAAAAATTCATTCCCAGAGATATTGGTAATCTCTTCCCTAGAAGAATATTTAACCTCCTTTGACTAACTCTATGTGGTAAGCTGTAAACATTAGTCCATTTTCTTTCTAGTTTTATTTGTTTTGGTTTTTATACTTCTTCCATTTTCTTTTTTTCCTATTTGAAATCAAGTACTCCTGATTTTAACTCATGTGAAAGAAACATATTATTCAGCCTCTTCTTTGTCAAGGGTTTGCTTGACAGTTTTCTCAATCCCTAAAAAGTAGAAAGGTCAATTTCTATCATGCCAGCTTGTAAGTGAGACTCTACTGTGGTAATACACCCCCATTGAGCCCTTCTTTCCACCCTCTAAAATTTCAAAAGAACATGTTTCCCCTCAGATCTCCTCTAGCAAATGCCTGATTGCTTTAGAGGCTTTGGGGCACATTTGACATCGAGATATGAGAAGTGAAAGCTCAAATGCAGTGATTCACATTTGTAGCAGTTATGAATTTTACATGTTAAAACAAAATGGAGCTCTTTTTAATTCACTGTAAATGAGCTTAAATTAGTTCACAAACTCATAGCGGAAAACTTAAGCTCGACAATCAAGGTAAACTTAGTCACTTCCGGTTTATGCCAGTCTCCTTGGGAGGGCATCACCAGTCATTTCAGAAGGCTCCCTTCTTTTTCTTTTTTCCTTATCCCCATGGGGAGATACAAGCTGCAGGAGGAGGCGTTTGAAACTTGCTGGCATCAGGCAATAGGCATCAGGCCAAGGTCATCAGTAGGTGTGATACTCAAAAGGTGTAACAAGCAGTTGGAACAGACACTGACTGGTATACGGTGGGGTCTTCCTGATTAGTGCCAGCTGATGGCAACCCTGCCTCCATCCACAATGGCTTCCAAAGGAGCATGTTCTTTGATCTTTGGGACCCTCACCAGGGCATCCAAGGCTGAACAATCTACTTCCTGCTCTGTTCTCAGGCTGCCGGTTTCAAAGATCACACAGTTGATTCCAGAAGCTTATAAGCTATTTGACATCTAAATAAGAGAAAGGAAAACTAGAATGCAACATGATTAACATTTATAGAAGTTATGGATTTATGTGTTAAAAAATGATAAACCCAAAAGGCCACTCTAATACTCATCTCAGGGGAATGGGAGATGTTTGGCTCTCTGGCATCTCCTGGGACTGCAGGCCTGTTGGGTACTGCTTCAGGCTTTCTCTGCCTAGACCTTCCTATTGCTGCTGCAGAGCCATGCTGGAATGGGAGACTTATCTACAATCATTGCTCCCTTTTCCTAAAGCTTCATCAGCAAGCAAGATACAAGGCAGCAAATGCATCCTATCCTATGCTATCATTAGGTTCCCCAAAGACTTGGCAGGAGGTGGATAGGCACAAAGCACTTTCTCTGGTTCCTCACCAGCCTCTGTCCTCAATTTCTTCTCCTGGCTGCCTTTTGCTTAAACCCCATCTCCCCATAGGCAGGAAAATACTCATGAGCCATTCCTTCCCAATCAGTGGTTTCCATGTGCCAAAAATTCCAGGGTCTTAAGCTTTTGGAGTTCAGGCTCTTGCACTAAAATTCTCAGCTTTCAAGAGTATTGTCTCTTTTAAGGCATTAAAAAATAAATTCAGAAACTCAATTGACTTTCTTATGAGTGATTTTAGCTTTCTCCTAAAGAAATAAATTCCACTGGCATAATGGGTGGAGGGTTGTAAAGAAGTAAGAAAATTGTGAAAAATAAAACAAATAGATATACAAAAAATCTCATTATCTCTAAACTGTATTGGTTGCATACATTTGGGGATAGTTTCTTTCAATATTTAAGACAGAGACCAGAGGCCCATAAAATAATTTATATTGATGAAAACCAGTCAATCCTTTTTGGCTGTTGTAATTAAAATGTACATATCAACAGTTAATAAATAAGATGTGATGAAGATATTTAAAATATAAAATGTCTTCATTTTAAAAATTCTACTCCATTTAATATACACTTGTTATATGACCTCAAGTCAAAAGAAATTCAAGATAGCACAATTATCCTTCCCTTTTTTTTTCCAAAGAAAATATTTCAAAAGACCACACTTCCCACATATGTGGCATCCTATTGTAAAGGCCTCCCATCTGTAGAAGGAAGGAGGTGACTTTAAGGACAGTTAAGATTTTCACACTGAATTTTAACAGCAAATGGCATTAGTCACCTCCCCCCTGGGATGCTGACAATTTGCTTCCTTGTTACACAGTTTAAAAGGAATACCTCCCATCTTGTTTTTTCCCCCAAAATCCAAAGACTAAACACACACACACACACACACACACACACACACACACACACACACACACACAGGTTGAGTATCCCTTATCCAAAATGCTTGGGACCAGAACAGTTTTGGATTTCAGATTTTTTTTTTTGTTGAGCACTCCTAATTCAAAAAAAGAACCACCAAAATCTGAAATGGTCCAATGAGCATTTCCTTTGAGCATCATGTCAACACTCAGTTTCAGATTTGGAAGCATTTCAAATTTTGAGTTTTGAGAGAGAGAGATATATATATACACACACACATTATATATATACATATATATAATGTATATATATTATATATGTTATATTATATAATATATTATTATATATTATAGTATATATTATTATATAATACATACATTTTAATCATATACAAGATATAAAAATACATCATTTATAATTTTGTATCTTTAATAAGAGAAATTTATATATAATCTATTGTATATATGATATATTTTATATAAAAATTCATATACATAAGATATAAAAACATATCTTATATATGAGTACATATGTTATTTATTTTTTATATATATGTATGTGTGTGTATATATATATATATATTCAGTTTCTGAGGGAATATGAAAAATTATGTTTAGGCCAGGCATGGTGGCCCACGCCTCTAATCCCAGCACTTTGGGAGGCCAAGGCAGTTGGATGGCCTGAGGTCAGGAGTTCAACAGCAGCCTGCCAACAAGGTGAAACCTCATCTCTACTAAAAATACAAAAATTAGCCGGGTGTGGTGGCGCACTCCTGTAGTCCCAGCTACTCAGGAGGCTGAGGCAGGAGAATCACTTGAACCTGTGAGGAGGAGATTGTGCCACCACACTCCAGCCTGGGTGACAGAGTGAGACTCCGTCTTTAAAAAAAAAAAAATGATGTATAGTCTCCTGGTAACAAAGGCATCAGCATCTCTATCAGTCTTATAGCCAGGTATATGCAACAGATCGTCCCAGAAGTAAGAGTGGAAACTGGACCCAAGGTGAGGAGGAGGAGGAGGAGGAGGAGGAAGGGCAGGCACTTATATTTGCACAGCATCTCAAAGAGTAAAATAAACTCTTCCTTTGATCTCATTTGACCCTGAAAACAACCTATGCAGTAAGTGAGGCAGACATTATCATCACCCTTATCTAATAGTTAATGAAACTGATGCTCAGAAAGATTGTGTCCCATGCAAGTTCCCATAGCTAATAAGTGAAAAGCTAGGACAACTACAAATCCAGATACTCTGATTCCAAATTCCACACTCTTTTTGTCAAAGCACAATAACATCTCCCATTAAATGAATATAGATTTGGGAGCTGTAACAATTCCCCTGTGAGAGTATTTCAATCTACCAAAAATTTGTCCGTTTTTACATATCTATTGAAGGCTATGGCAGAGACTGCTACTACTCACTTACATGCATATTTCTCCTCTTCTAGGAATTTCTAGAAATGTCTCTGCTTTCCTAGGTAAGACAATATGACTGAGTTATGCACAATGAATTGTGGGCAGAAACGAGGCATGCCACTTTCACGCCTTGTTTCTATGATCACCATCAGCCATGAGCTTTCTGTAATCCCATCTTTCTCTAATCCAGATCTAGAGAAGCCAGTGGAGAACACTAAATGGAAAGGATAAGGGTCCCTGAGTAACTGCATGGGGTAGCAGTAGCCTGTGACATGAGTGAAAAATAAAACTTGAAGGTGAAAGCCTCCAACATGTGGGGGCTCTTTCCTACAGCACTAGTAATTTATCCTAACCAATACAAAGAGCAAAGAAAAGATCATATTTTAGCATGCAGGATGCAGTGACACCAATATTTTAAATGATAAAGAGAGGATGGAGGAAATTGTCTTCAGTTTTTAGTGTTCTCTTATATTTGACACGAAAAATCTTAATGATTGGTTCAGGAGAGGTCCAAGATGGCGAGTCTGTCTCTCTCTCTCTCTCTCTCTGTCTCTCTCTTTCTCTCTCTCTCACACACACACACTGTCACACACACAGAGACAGACATTTTGCTTTGCTTTGTATCACATCAAATTGTTCTTGGATAAGGTGGAGTCAGGCTTTGAAAAGACATAAACATAATTTCAGGGGTCTTCTTGAAGAACACAAAATTACAAATAGAATTAGGCACAAAAGTAAGTATTTATTGGAAACTACAAAATAAATCACAACAAATTACAAATTTTAAATACCACAAATGTAACCAAATCCAAAAAGAGAACTTAATATTTTTCATTAATAAACTGCCTAAGTATATAATATTTATTTTTACTTTTTTGGCTGTATACTCTTTCATCACCCCTTTCTATGACAATGATTTTATAATTTTATAATAGAGAGCACAAAGATAAATACCTTTCTTCCAACATATTTCATCAATATTGTTCTTATTATTGATGGTAATGTCATGTGTACTTTTAGGATTATTGCCAACTTTGGGAAAATCTCAGTCAAGTTTCTGCCATATAAGAGCTGTAATATTTGGAAACATTGTACACAGACTAGCTTTCAACTCTGTATATTTCAATCCTTGTTTCTCCTCTTCAATTTATGTACTTCCAGTGCTGGAGACCATCAGATACACCAATATTAAGACAGAACCTCTGCCCTAAATCCTTGTGTTGTGATGCCAAGTGAGTTGGCACAGTGGAAAATAGAAATGTTCCTGGAAGACATACTGATATGGTTTGGCTCTGTGCCCCCACCCAAATCTCATCTCAAATTGTAATCCTTATAATCCACATGTATCAAGGGCAGGATCTGGTGGGAGGTGATTGGATCATGGGGGTGGTTTCTCCCATGCTGTTTGCATGATAGTGAGTGAATTCTCATGAATCTGATGGTTTTATCAGGGGCTCTTCCCTGTTCGCTCATTTGTTCTCTCTTGCCTGCTACCATGACTGTAAGTTTCCTGAGGTCTCCCCAATCATGAGGAACAGAGAATCAATGAAACCTCTTTCCCTTATACATAGTACTTTATGGGAGTGTGAGAATGGATTAATACACATACTTATGCCAGGATAACTTGCAATAACATAGAAGTGACTGAAAGCCATATAAATGTGTCCCTTTTAATCCATACAAGTCTATCCCCCATTGCACTTTCTCTAAGTCAGATCAAAACAACAAACAAATCTATGGCTGCCCCTGTAACACCTGACAGGAGGGGAATTACAACAAAGGAAAGTTAAAGAGAAAATAATGAACTTAATTGATTGCAGCAAAAATATCTAGAAATTTCCCTAGGATTGAATGTTTTAATAAAGTTTAGGCTGATGTCCAAAGCTAGCATGGTCCATGGCTTTTGGGGTTAAATGCTCCACTCCTAAATTGCAAACTTCATTCAGGAAATTATAAATTGGCTTCATGACCATTTTTGATGAAAACTAAACTTTTTTTAATGTTTTCATCAGATACAATATAATAAAATCTCTTTTGGAAATGGGTCCAATCATTTTCCCAGGTATCTCTCTCTCTCATTGTAACATAGACAGTCTAGAAAATAGCAGTTATATTGAATTTTGTGATCATCCCCAGAAGCTAAGACTGTGCACCAAGGTGCCTAAGGTACATTGTCTATTGGCACCTACAAGTTTCAAAGCAGGCACATTAGCTAAATTATGAAACGCTGGATTTTTAAACTACTTAAGAGTATTGTGAAATGGAAGAAGAGTTGAGATTATCCAGGTAGGTTAGAAACTGGGTGGAATTAATCTGGGAGAGCTCCTTAGGGGAGATGTGTAATTTGGGGCACTATAGAACAGTGGTTAAGCTCCATGGAGGCAGGGACTTTGTTTTGTTCATTGCCATCTTCAGTGCCCACAATACTGCTCAGTATACACCAAGTGCTCAACTTTGGCTTGGATGGAAGGAAGGAAGGAAGGAAGGAAGGAAGGAAGGAAGGAAGGGAGACAGGAAGAAGGGAAGCAGGAGAGAAGGAAGGAGGGAGGAGGGGAAGAAAGGAAGAATGGAAGTATGGAAGAAAGGAGAGAAGGAAGGAGGAAAATAGGGAAGGAAGGGAGGGAGGAAGCGAGAGAGGAGAGAAGGAGGGAAAAGGGAGAAACAGAGGGAGGGAGAGAGAGGAAAGAAAAAGAAAGAGGAAGGGAGGAAGGAAGGGAGGGAGGGAGGGAGGGAATTGGTTGGATGGAAGAAGGATGGTTGGCAGGAAGGAGGAAAGGAGGAAGAAAGGGAGGAGGGAAGGCAGGCCTTTGCACTAGGTAAGTGTGTTTCAGGTTCCTCACCTGTAAAATAAGGATAAAAATAGTCCCTCCCTCATAAAGTTGCAGTGATGATTAAATGAACTAATATACAAATAATTTATAAGAAGGTCTGGTACTCAATGACTTAGTTATTACAATGAATATTTGCCCTTCACTTAGTTCCATGGGGCTGTCATTCATAGCATCCAACAAGAGAGGATATTGTTACTGATTGGCACAGAGAGAAGGAAGCTGAATTAAGAATAATAGGAAGTCTGCCAAGGGGCCTGAAATCTCTATTCTGAAAATTCGTGAGAATTGGAAGATCTGGGATTTGATCTGCAGGCTGGAATGAAAAGAAGAGGGTGCCCTGCAATGTGGCAGGAAGACCCATCTCAAGCCCCAACTGGGTAAACGCAATCAATAACATCCTGTCAGGAACTTTTTGTGGTCTCATGTAAATTTAGGCTACCTGAATAAAAGATAAAAACTGTCATTTCCTCTATCATCATGTAGCGTGATGATTTATCTATGCCTTTGAAAGAACCAAACCAAACCAACTAATGCTTAAACGTTCCTGGTTATATGTGTCCATTGTGAAATATAAGAGAAGAATAGTGCAACATGGTGAGATATTTTAGGACATTTGCCTAGAGGAACACTAGAAGAAAATGAGGACTAATTAACTCAAGACAATGGGCAAGTCATTATAATTATTCCTAAGGCAGGCTAGAGGGAAAAAGTGTCATGGGTTGTTTAATCAACCCTGAACTGCGGGGGTGACTAGTTATAACTTAGGTGTTTTCCAATTAGCTAATACCAAACATTAATAAATGGCCAGCTGCATTCGTAACACAATGCTTCCATATACTTACAGAGAGTTAGTGTAGCATCCTCTTAAAAACTTTAAACTTGACTTGGGATGCTCTGAGAAAATTCTACTTCTCAAAAGTTGTTATATCTTGTTTATTTATCAAACCCATGATCTTCAAAGGCGTTTAGGGTCACAAAGGCAATGTGAAAAACCACTATGGCAGGAACCGAGGGTGATTTTCACATATAGGCAAGTCATTGTGCTCAATACATCCTTTAAAATGGGGACAAGGTTGAGGTCCAGACTTATGAACTGTGTTCCACATAAAAGACTAATTCACAACTTGTCTCCCACCATTTGCAATCTGATCTTGCTCTGAAGGGCAGGGAGTGTCATATTCAACACTATCCACATTGAAAGCCCCTGGTTAAAAGGATGTACAGCAGAGAGCTTGGTGTTTCAGATGATCCTGTGGAGAACTGTAAAAACAAACATCCTGCAGAATTACGAGGAGCAACGGCTTCCTCATTTGGGCTCAGCCTGAAGGCTCATCTCATCTCAAGGTCAGAACAAAGGTTGACCTCGTCTAGCACAGACCTTCAAGACCTAAGTCCTCCGGAACACATACACAGTCTTACTGTGACCAAGTGGAAGGGAAAGATCGATTTTGTTTGTCCTACGCCTCAGCCAATCTCTGAAAAATCTACACTTTGGCTCATTTGTATCAACAATGCTAAGCCCTGTTTTCTTTTCTTTTTCTTTTTTCTATTCTTTTTTTTTTTTTTTTTTTTTTTGAGGCAGTGTCTCACTCTGTCACCCAGGCTGGTATGCAGTGGTACGATCTTGGCTCACTGCAACCGCCACCTCCCAGGTTCAAGCGACTCTCCTTCTTCAACCTCCTGAGTAGCTGGGATTATAGGTGTGCACCCCCATGCACGGCTAATTCCTATTTTCAAAGGCATCTTTCTGGAGTAACTGGGTATTATTTTAGAAAAATCTTCACTTGTTTATCAGAGAGGTCAATATTCATTAAAGATCAAAGTAAAATCATATCCACTCAAACCCCATTAACTAACAAGGATGGGGCATAGAGAAAAGAACTTGATCCATGAAGTTAGATAGACCTTTAGTAAGATCTCAACTTATTAGCAACAGGACCTGGAATAAATGCCTTGACTTCTGAGGGTCTGAGTTTCTTCAACTATAAGTGGGACTGAGAAGCCTCACCTTAAGAGATAATTGTGAGAAACAACACATATCAAGGGTTTGGCACAGTGTCAAAAAATAGTAGGGGCACCATAGATACTCTTATGCTATTATTATTGTTATGATCAACATGAAGATTTTGTGATAATTCAACCAAGAAAACATTAGTAGATCTAAACTCCACTCTTGAAGACCCAAAACTTAGCTGTGTGACTGAGATCAATCAAGTTCGGTTTCCGCACCTTTAAATGAAAATTGTAGTTGGAATCGTAATATAGCATATACTCTCAATGGTGAAACACAAAAACATAAAATTTTTTACAGTTAAAAGCACTCTGTGGAGTGTTCTTTTTTTAATTTAATTTAATTATTTATTTTAAGTTTTGGGATATGTGTGCAGGATGTGCAGATTTGTTACATAGGTCAACGTGAACCGTGGTGGTTTGTGGCTCCTATCAACCCATCACTCAGGTATTAAGCCCCGTATGCATTAGCTCTTTATCCTGATGCTTTCCCTCCCCCGAACCCCCACCCCGACAGGCCCTGGCGTGTGTAGTTCCCCTCCCTGTGTCCATGTGTTCTGATTGTTCAGCTCCCACTTATGAATGAGAACATGTGGTGTTTGGTTTTCTGTTCCTGCATTAGTTTGCCAAGGATAATGGCTTCCAGCTCCTTCCATGTGCCTGCAAAGAACATGGTATCACTCCTTTTTTATGGCTACATAGTAGTCCATGGTGTATATGTACCTCATTTTCTTTATCCATTCTATCATTGATAGGCGTTTGCGGTTGATTCCATTTCTTTGCCATTGTGAATAGTGCTGCAATAAACATATGTGTGTGTGTATCTTTATAACAGAATGATTTATATTCCTTTGGGTATATACCCAGTAATGGGATTGCTGGGTCAAATAGTATTTCAAGTTCTAGATCCTTGAGGAATCTAATATTGTTATCATTGCTGGTACTGTCAGAATGGTCAAATACCCTCTGAGTTTGTGCTTCTGCTGCTTTTTCTGCATGTTTTCAGCCGAATGCACCAGAGTCTTAGATTCCATCAGCTAGAGACTACCAGCGTCATGGGGGCAAGACCAAACCGCTTTTGCTCCTCATTTGGTTAAAACATGGCATTTTTTCCAAGCTAAGATTTGACACTACTAAAAAGAATGCGGTAGGTGCTCTCGAGTGAAACGTCTGAAGCAATTTCTCCCCCTGGAAATGTCCAAGAGAAGTCCTCACTTATTGAGCCGAGCCCAGTTGTCAGGGATGCCTTCCTCCATCACCTATGTGGTCCTTCCCTTCTCAGTACTCCCCGAGCTTGCCTGTTGCCCTTTCTCCTGTTTCTGAGCCTTCTGGGTGTGTCTTGTCTCCAGTACTCTTCTTGAGGCCAGGGTCTGTATTTTCATGTTCCTTGAATCTTCTGTGTCACTTCCCACTCCTCTTCATGTGCTATTGGTTGATTAATTCTAACCTCTGATATATGCTTCTTTTTATCTACTCATCACCTGTCTAAACTTAGCAAAATTGTCCAGCAAAATAATGGAGGAGCCTGAGTTCCACCACCTGTTGAAAAGAATAACACTTCCTAATGATGAAAATAATGGCAATTATAATAACTCTTACTGAAAATTTACAATATCCCAGGCATTATACTAAGTGCTTTACTAACATGACTTCATTTCATCCTCCCAGCAACCTCATGAGGTAGCTATTGTTACCTCTCATTTTTAGAGAAAGAAACAGAAGCACAGAATAAAATAACTTACCCAAGCAATAGAGTAGTCTGTCTGTTTGTGGATTTGGAGCCAGGATCCTGACCCAAGTCCATACCACCTCAGTATCTATAACCCTCTGGTTTTTACTGCACCAAACCAAAGCTTTAAAATTTACTTTGGAACATCAAAGTCCTTGCATATAAACCTATTGCTAATTGGGAGATTTTGATTTGTGGATTTGTATATACATCTAATTAACCTTTCTCATTTTATGAACCAAACCCATCTGTAACATGCATTGCCTTTTAAAGAATGAAACTGTCCTAACTCATAAATATCCCGTTTCTTCAAATTGTACCGAGGACAGGGATTGCTTCTTGTTGACAGGGTCAACTTATCCATTAGGTACGGCAGATGCAGTGCTCACATTCCACAATACTTTTACAGCGCCCATGAAAAGTGTTTTAATTTCTTTTAAAATGAGAAGAAAAAAACGAGCTTTCAGGTGGAAGGAAATATTGTGACATATAACACGAACACATTTGTCTGTATATCAGTGTAGCCATAAAATAGAATTATGTATTTATTTATCTTTAGGAAGAAGAAGGCCTACCATGGCAAAAGTGCCTAGGACCCCTGAAGTCCTAGTGTGGCTCGGCCTGTTGCCCATGCAGGGTTTACCAGAGCTCTCTCTTCTGGTGGAACTTCTCATAACACCTTCCTTTGCTGCCCCTACTATCAGGTTTCTGCTGCTTTGTGACATCAGGCTCTTCCATGTGGATTTCAAGTCCAACAGGGAGGCCTGGCTGGAAAAAATCATGACAGCTGCTTTTTAGCATAAATAGCACACAGCGGAACCCTGGTGTTAAAGGGTGGTTTCCTTCTCCCTTTCCACATCATGAGGCAACATAGCTGGATGGCACATCTAGACCACTCACCACGTGAGGGTTTTCTGGCCACAGATAGTCTTGCCACAGGAAAATAGGCCACAACAAAAAGGATATTTCAGAGAGGAAATTTTTGAAATGGCAGGAAAAAAGGCATCTTAGCTGTTTAGCAAGAATGCTCTTAAGTTAGGGTTCTAAGAAATGCACCTGTCACCACCAATTATAATGACAGGCTCCCAGAAAGCCTGGAGGCCAAGGTCCTAGAAGGGAAGACTGTCCCCAGATGGAGACTGCTTTGTGTCACTTCTTTCCCTCCTCATGCCCGTAATCTTGAGCGCTTTTTAGCAAGCTCAGAGATTCCAAATGTCTACCGAAAATACTTACAAAGCTTGAGGCAAGTCTCGGGTTAACATGAGGACTCAGTGAGGGGATCAGTGTCATCTTGACCCCAGCTGGACTGGGAACTCACTGAGAGCTGTGGACTTTAACTTTTGTTTCGTTTGAACTTTAGCGACCTTTATCCCCAAGTCTGGCCTGTGAGTAATGAATACGAAGCCTTCCTTTCAGCCTCTTGGTTTAAAGAAAGAGGAAGGAAACAGTCCATTGTTTTTCTAACTTCGCAGTTTCCTAGTGTAAAATGGAAAATTAAGGATGGCCAGTGAAAGCGGCAGGCATCGCTATAGAAGGACATCCGGTGAGGCCCAGGCCTGCAACAGACGGGCATCTGTTCACCGTGGGGCAATGGGGGACGGGACCGAAAACAAGCCGAAGCAAGTTTCCTTAGCAAACGGACGTGAATACTCACTATGGCCAACTCTTTCCTCCAAAACCTAATGTACAGCCTGTCTATCCTGTGTCTGGAACCCAGGGAAAGGAAACCTCGTTAGATTTACAAAAGTGGGAAAATATACCAGAGCAGCAGTTTCCTCCAGCTCCAAGAGAGATTTTGTTGTACCCGGAAGGCTAAAAGGGACAAGAGTAACAACAAAAATATTTTTAATATTCTGTTCTGTTCATCCACTAATGTGGTCAAAAATAGCTCTCAAGTTTGTCCAGCACAATTCGACCTTCATAATTATGTGGGTGATTATGGGGCCCTATTAGAGCTTTCAAAACACTTTGTACATAAGGGGCCTTTAAACATTTTACTATAATAAAAACTAGCTCATAAAAATCCCACACATTTCACATAGGCCTTTGATAACCCATCACACAATAATGACCTTGAGTGACTAACAGCCTGTACTACATTCAAACAGGTAGCTTAGAGGTAAAAGGTTTTTTCTCTTATTATCTCTGTCTGGAGTCACCCGGGGGCTTAGAAAAAAAAAATACTAGCTTTGCCTTTAGAAGAGCAAATTCGATGAGTCATCAGAAACAACCTCTTTCTTCTTTGGCTGCTTCTTCTTGCAGGCACGTTTGTCAGAGTGGAAGGCATGGATCAGGGCACAGGTGACTTGGGCCCCAACCCCAGTCTGGTAGCCACCTGTCTGTGGAGTCTGAGGTCCCTTCCTCTCTCTGTGCCTTGGTTTCTCTTCTGTAAGGAGAGGGTTGGACTAGAATCAGTGGAGTTCTGTGCAAGCACTCTAGGGCCTTCAGTTTGGGGAAAACCAAGCAGGGAGGTGCTACCCACCTCCTCTCAATCAAAGCAGACCCCTCTATATTTTATAGACAGGTTTATGAATTATGTTTTATTTGGAAAAAAAGTTTGAAAGCCATTATATGAGATGATCTCTCTAGGGCACCTTTCAGATTGTGAATCTATGAGTGCCAGCAGCCAACCTTGGGTGAGCTGCCCTTCAGGTTAAACAATTGCTGGGGGGTTGGAGGGGTCTTTTCTAACCCATCAGTATCCATTAATGAATGAATAGGGATGATTTTATCCTATTTAGTAGAAAGTCGAGTTCTGAAGAAACAGGATACAGAAGAGGTAAATCTTGATATGGAAATCAAAGGAAAGAAGTGTGGAAAGATCAGAGGAGGCTGAGTGCACCATAGGGCCTTGCCTTAGGACAGCAGGCCTCAGTGGGCAGCTCAGCAGATGGTAATGGGTACCCAGGGACCCCAGAGAGGGCACTGGGCAACAGCCAGAACCACAAGCCTTCACTGACCACTGGCTCTCACACATGCCATCTTAGCCTTTACAAAGGACTAATCATGCCCCCATTTTCCAACTGCAGGAACTGAGGCTAAATCATGATCCAAGATCATCAGGTAATCAATTCCAGAGTCAGAATCCCAGCACAAGGGAAGGAGAGAGGTGCCAAAATAGGAGGGGAAAGAGAAGGGCAAGTTTTCAGGCCCTTGTTCTGACTTTGTTCCAGGTAGCTGGTAAGTTCTACAGTGAGTGAGTGAGTCAGTCAGTCAGTCAGTCAACTAACATTGCTCACATTTATACTGCAGGCTGGTGCTGGGAGAAAGGCAAAGAGGAACAATTCTTGGCCATTACCTTCCAGGAGCTGATGACTAGTATAAATGTGAATGAATCCTATTGTGGTAATTTAATGTTAATTAAAACTTCTTTCAAAGTTTCTGCATCGTAGGCTTACAAACATGGATAGAAAGTTTTGGTATATTTACTTTTATGCCAGTTACTTAAACAGCCGTAACAAACTCTGAGGGAGAAAGGGGGTGTGGGAGAAGGGGAGGAACTCATGAAGCAGGAATGGGAAATATAGAAGGTGCTTCTATTTTTCTTTTTAGAGTGATCGCCAATTTCTCTGAGTTTGTATGGCCACACAATATCTTCAACCAATTCTCAATTTCAGCCTTCCCTTTCTATGATTATTCAAAACACTACTGCATTACTTGTTATAAATTAAAACTCTCTGTTCTGATGTTTTTCTCTTCCATCGAGAAGTTCTCTATATCCTAATTCCCCTCTAAAGTCATAAAGCCACATTGAAAGTAAGCAATAAGCTACCATTTGCACTGTGGGCCAAGCTCTTTGCTTTGTGTGAGTTTCCACACTGACCTTCAAAACAACCCTGTGAGGTGGGCATGCTTGTTACAGACCTGACAAATAAGGAAAATGAGGAGTTTTTAGGGGCCAATACCTTACTCAAGCCCCACAGCCAGTATATAGTGGGAATAGGTAATTTGCCTTCGGCACCCATTTGCTTATCTCACCAGGAGCGTGCTAAGGGACACGCTCCTAAAAGTGGCTTGGGCATCTTAGACCTCAGCCCCCTATTCACCCACCATGTGGCTTAGGAGCAGAGACGGGGCCAGATACACAGGGCATTCTGGGGCACAGACAGACAGACACAGAGCACGGAGGCCGCCCACCCCTGAGAACAGACTGTGCGGCTGGAGGCACCCAGCCAGAGCTCATTGTCCTGGGACACTTATGAAAGAAGGTCTTAAAATAGCATTTGCCTATCTGGAGACACACAGATACCTTGTGTGACTAAGCTCTGGAACTCCATGAATACCACTGAAATCTACACTCTGGAAAATGCAGGGGAGTCAGGAGGTCTGTGTCCAGGCCTGGCTCTGTCTTCAACAAGCTCCATGACCTTAGCTAATAATAATGGTAGACAGAACCTAGGCAAGGAGTACAAACATGGGTGTCCAGTGCTGGGCTCAATGCTTCCCATTCATGCTCTCTTGCATTTACTCTTCCCTAAAACCACACAAAAAATAGGCATTATTATTATCCTGCATTTCAGAGATGGCAACTGACAAGTGAGTGACTTGTCTATTTATTACACACACAGGAAGCGGCAAAGTCAGGATTTATTCCAGCCATTTCCTTTTGCTGGGCCTCAGTTTATCCATCTATGCAATAAGAAGTCTGGAGCATCTCAAAAATCTATTTTTAAAAAATCTATTTCAGCTCTAAAATCTCAGCTCCTTCATTCTGTTGCAAAGTTCTGTTTGCACAGGCACAAATAGCCAGAGAAAGTGAGATATTTAATCATCATCATGAATTTGCAGAAAACCATTGTACCACTCTCCCTTTGCCTAACTTTGTTAGAACTGGCCAGAATGGACCAAACTCTAAGCAACACAGCTCTTTTTTTTCTGAAATTTCTAAACATTAGAGAGCGCTTGGCAAATTCACTATGAGATTAATCCCAATGGCAGAGGTGATAATGAGAAAAAGATTGATGTTTAAACATATCTCCTTTTCTTATAATAAAATAATGTGACTCTTGCCTCATCCTGGTGGGTTAGTGAATGATTTATATGAGGAAGTGGTTTGGAATTAAGACCAACTTCACCTTCTTTCCACAGTGCTGAGGTTAATACTGCCTCTGGCTCAAGTTCTAAATGAATTCACAATTTTATTTATTCATTTATTTATTTATTTGTTGTTATTATTATTATTATTATTATTTTGAGATGGTATCTCGCTCTGTTGCCCAGGTTGGAGTGCAGTGGCGCAGTCTCGGCTCATTGCCAAGATTACCCAGGAACTTGCTAAAAATGCTGCGTTCTGGGCCTATCCCCTGAGAATGATTTTGCAGGCTGGGATGGAGCCCCAGCAACTGCTTTCTTAACCCCCGTCCTCCACCCTGATCAAGCAAGGCTGAAATCTATGGTTTCTGGACCATACATTTGAGAAATGCAGTCTGATTTTCATATTAGACTCACTTACCCTCATTTTCCTCAAGAGAGATATGGACTGTCCTAGCCATTTTGGCCAGACACAAATCAGTCAGGTCAGGTTAGATGACCGATTCAATTGTGGTTTGTTTACTTTGTTGGGGAGGTTTTATTGTTTGTTTTTGTCAATTCAGATTTTAAAGCTGTTTAATTGTGGCATACAATTGATATCCAATAAACATACTTTCACACTGAACAAAATTGCTGTTTGACTTTTTTGTTACACAGCAAATAGACAGGTGTTTCATTGGATCAACAGCCTCTCTTACTTGTTTGGGGCCATTAGTCACTGCCTTCATCCTATTTCACATGATTTTTCAATAGCACTTTATCCTATCCCCTCAAAAAAGTTGAATTTGGAAGTACCACCCTAAGGCAACCATGTAATTTATCATCCAAAACAGGCCACCTGTGAGACTAAAAGGAAGTGCTATTAATAATTTCACTAGGGGCAGCCATGGACACATGGACATAGAGTGTGGAATGACAGACATTGGAAACTCGGAAGGGTGGGTGGGAGGCCAGAGGAGAGGGATGGGTACAACAGGTATCACAATTATTCAGGCAATACATACACCTAAAAGCCGGACTTCACCACTATGCAATGTACTTATGTAACAAAATGGCACTTGTAACCCTTAATTTTAATTATTTATTTATTTATTTATTGAGACAGAGTCTGGCTCCACTGCCCAGGCTGGAGTGAAGTGGCGTGATCTTGGCTCACTGCAACCTCTGCCTCCCAGGTTCAAGCGATTCTTCTGCGTCGGCCTCCAGAGTAGCTGGAACTACAGGCACCCACCACCATGCCCAGCTAATTTTTCCATTTTTAGTAGAGACGGGGTTTCACTTTGTGGGACCAGGCTGGTTTCAAACTCCTGGCCTCAAGTGATTGGCCCGCCTTGACCTCCCAAAGTGCTGAGATTACAGGCATGAGCCACTGTGCCCTGCCTTGCCCCTTAAATTTATACAAATAAAAAAAGCAAAATAAATAATTTCACTGGGACAACAGGTATAAACCAATAAACCAAGAGTATCAGGGAGAATCGAGAGATATGGTCACCTGAATTTTCACCAGTGTAGAAAAGAGACCACCAGGAAGCCACCTATTTGCCCAAGACTCCAAAGTGACCCCTCCCCTCACCCTCCCTCTGTGAAAGTCCACAGCCCAGGATCACATACTGCCTTGGGTTGCTTTCATCTTTCCATGAGACTTACAGCTGCCCAGCCCCTAAAATAGTTACCACTGCTGAAAAGGCAGGGGCCATGCCTCTCTTTTCATCTCCCTCCCACTTCCTGGCCTAGGTGCTCGGCAGGTACACCATCTGATGTGGAAGTGGGTTAGGTGGCAGAATCCACTGTTCATATGACATGACACTGCAGGGGTCTCTCACTCAACCTAGAGAGGAAAATCTTTTGAACTATGGAGCCACAGGGAAGCCTGGGTTTGTGCCCTAGCTGTGTGAACTCGAGGAAATCACTAAACCTCTCTGAGCCTTAGTTCTCTGAACAGTAAGGTTGATAATATTTATCTATAGTGTTTCTAGGAAGATAAAATGAGATAATATATGTAAACCGCCTAACAGGGCCTTATCAACTATTGATAACTCCCTCTCTCTCCTCTCTGCTAAACTGATTCTCCTGAAGAGAAATGAGCCAGAAAAACGCATCACTATTTACTATTATAAACAGTGATATATAACAAATTGCTACTGCTACTACTGCAAAACAAATTGCACCAAACCTAGCTGCATACACAACTATTTTATTATGCCCACTGATTCTGTGTGCCAAGGATTTAGAAAGGTCACAGTGAAGACAACTTGCTCTGTTCAGTGACACCTGAGATCTCAGCAGGAAGGACTTGAAGGCTTGAGGTGACTTGACCTCTGGGGGCAAGGATCACTCAGAGACACTTTTAACTCACGTTTCTGGTAGGTGTGGCCTGGATTTCCTCACAGCATGGAAACTCTGGACTTCCTACACAGTGATTAAGGGCTCCAAAGGTGAGTGTCTTAAGAGAGCCAGGAGAAACCTTCATGGCCTCTTACGACATAGCCTTGGAAGTTACCTGGTGTCACTTCCACCGCAGTCACAAGCCAGTCTGAGGTGAAAGTAGAGCCCACCTCTCAGCAGGAGGAGTGTCAGAAACAGGGTAAGAAGACTGTGAGATGGGAGATCTTGATTTGGTCATTTATGGAAAACAAAATTTGCCACATTTACCCTGTAAAGTAATCACAGAGATAAGGATGGATAAATTTAAAGCAAAAACAAAAACAGCAATGACCACACAAAACATTGCAAAATCCCAAAGTGCTCTGGAACTCTGGAACACATTAAACACATGAGCGGCCTCGGCTTTGGTGAAGCTGGCCATGCCCTGCCTTTGAAACACCAAGACTTGGCTTAGCAATGTAGTCCAGTTGTGCTCTACTTCTAGAAAAATTTTGTTGGTGAAAATTTAAACCTTAGGAAGCAAAGTTTCAGGAGATGGGCATTCGTACTTAGTGAGTTATTGAGTTTACTTGCATACCAAATAAGATGTTAGCATGGCAGTCAGGGCGTCTCGTAACCCAGACTCTATCCACATACCCATTTAATCTCCAGCTATACTGAATCCCCTGCCATTCCCAAACAGGCTTGTATTTTCTGCCATGGCATCTTTGAGCTATTTTCTTCTTTCTGGAATGTTCCTCCATCTATACCTACCTATCAAAACCCTATCTATCCTTCAACGTCCCCTCCTCTACAAAGACTTTCCCAGTTACCCTGAAGGTATCCTCTCCTTCAGAACTTCTAGAGACCTTTACTTACACACGTCCTTTATTTACACACGTCCTTTATTTATGCCACATTCCACCTCATGTAAACTTTGCCATTTCCCAAGACCGACCTCACTCTTCCACCTCAGTCTTCCCTATTTCCCCCCAAGCCCCACCCGTAACTGTTGCTAAGAAGAAAGAGAGATGAAAATTTTTCACCCATTTCAAAAGTAACTGGGTTTTCACCAGTTAAAGCAGAAAGTGTTGGCATCAAGAGGTGGCAAGAAGTCAAAGTACTAACAAGAAGTGGAGCTGCATCAGGCATGATTGCCCCTAGCCAAATGACTGCTCTCCCTGTCTCTCATGATTTCTTCTTCTCTTACTACTCCCCTTTTTTTTCTTGAGACACAGTCTTGATCTGTTGCCCAGGCTGGAGTACAACGGTGCAAACACTGCTCACTGCAGCCTCAACCTCCTGGGCTCAAGCAATCTTCCCACCTCAGCCTCCCAAGTAGCTGGGACCATAGGTGCACATCATCACGCCTGGTTAATTAAAAAAAAAATTTTTTTAATAGAGATGGGGTCTCACTATGTTGCCCAGGGTGGTCTCAAACTCCTGGCCTCAAGGGCTTCTCTTGCCTCAGCCTCCCAAAGTGCTAGAATTACAGGCATGAGCTACCGTGCCCAGCCACCACAGCACTTTATGACACTGCTACTACTACACACACCACAGCCACACACACACGCACACACACACACACTTAACTCAGCCATATGAAAGCATTATGAATCTCTATGAGGAGTGCTTTTTTTTCAACCACTGCAAAATAATTGTGTATCTCATAAATGTAGAGATCCATTTTTAATATGGAAACTTGTGAACTTACTGATTCTTTCCTATTGACAAAAACCTTCAATCCTTGGATTTCTATTTCTTCTCCAGACCACGCTCATCTAACTTCCCAAGCAACACTCCAGTACACACAAAATTACATTCTAAATTACATTGATTTTGACTTCATTTTAAGTTACATTGTATTTCTTTCTATTGAACCAAAGGGCAAATTTGAGCAACTAATCTCCTGCTAAATACAGCCATCAAAGAGGAGAACCCCCCACCCAGCGCACGCACGCACACACACACATACACACACACACACACACACACACTGCTCTTCATAATTTGAATCTAATCTGAGGAAGAAGAGCCCTCATCAAGTCGAGCACCAAAGCTCTCTGGCAAGATGCAATCTGACCTTAATGGCACAATTATGACTCTCCTGCACATCCTGTTACTTGTTTCCTTCAATCTTCATTACATTCATGACTTATTTCACATCTTCAATTTCAGCTAGTGCTTAATTGAGCTCCTAAAGTAGTTTAATTAGTTGCTGGTAAACATTTATGACTTAGGCCACAGATCCACTGTATGCTACAGCACCCACCAGAGTGGGGGCGAGGGGAGAAACGGGAGTCTCTGCTGTCCCTGTTTGTCCCATCGGCTAACTGGTAAGAGATCTTTATGTGTGTTCTCTTTCAAATGACAGCAACTGACTAATAGCTGATAACAATCCCTACTTTATCAAAGACAACACCATTATTTTCATATACTAACGCTATCAAAGAAAGTGCCGCCACTCAAGTAGACAGGCTGCTGCCTAGTTAGCAATGGGGCAGTCCAGAGGGGTCCCATCTCCTAATTAACCATCCGTCTAGGGACCTCAGCCTGTCTCCGCACTAATCTTTCAAGAGCTATCAAAACGAGCAAAGCAAGTAGTAGATATTTCAGCCCTTAGCTTTATGGGATATAATTCCTGTCTCATTGAATCATTCATTCAATAAATATTTCCTGAGTACCCACGCAACCCAACTGAGGACACCATAATCCAATAGTTCCCAGAATTTAGACTTAATAGATCAGTAAAATTTCAAAAATATTTGATGGGTTAACAAATGCTGCCAATTTTTACTTTTGTTGAGGGAGGCCAAGGCAAGATGAGCAATGGGTCTCCCCACTCAGAGAGTGGAACAGAACTGGCTAATGGTAGAGGAATGGCAGGAAAAAGGTAACTGTAAATAAGCAGACACATGTGCAGGATGAGAAACATGCAAAAAGTAAAAAACATTCTCTGGTCTCAAAGTTGAATGTGTTAAGAAGACTTGAAAATGGTAACAGAGGCATACCCATAGCCAAGTTAGTAAAGCTTGGAGGAGGGATAGCACCATAGCTGTAATATTAATAACTAGGCGGACTGTTTTTCCAGCTCCCTCCCTCCCCACCATATTTCCAGAGACAGGCCCACATCACCCTAGCAAAGGGCTCAGCCACCATCAGGGTCTAAAGCCAGCTATCTCATAGCCAGGGAAATCTTGCTGAGTCATCCTGGGCCCATCCAAGTCAGCTGTGACCCTGATTTTGGTTACTGGGCTTTCTTTGTGACCCAGCCTGTACCTTCTAGCCCAGTTTCTGTTAACTCTTTTCTTCTTTGACTCCTGGGGCCTTTTCTTGGCTTCTTTCCAGTAGCCCACCAGTCTTCTCCAGGATGGGAATTTTAACTCTTTAAGTCTCAGTCCTCATGCTGAGTCTCTGACACCTATAGCCAAGCATTCCCAGTAAGAGCTCCCACACAGATGAAACATTGACAATTGCTTATTCCCCCTCCTGCTGCTGGGAAGCCCCTGGTAGGCTTTCTCTGAACTTCCTGCCAGCCAGCCTCCCTGCCTGAACCTACAGGTATTGCTTGTTACCAGACTTTGCTGATGCTATTCCACCCACCAAAGAAAACTGGTTCCAAGGGAGCTGGCAACCCCAGAAATAGTGTTCAACATTCTGCTTGCATATATATGTGTGTTTGTAATTTCTAGAGAGAGCTCTTAGCACTTCTCAGCTTCTAAAAGAGTTCCATGACTCTGAAAAGGCAAACACAAAAACAAAACCCACTGCACTAGGGCCATTTCCTGACTGAGAAATCTGACTTTTGTATTCCAGGCTGGTATTTATTCTTATTTTATAACAAAGCCAGGCTTTAATGAGGGGAATGCATTTACAAAGGATCCCTAGTGTTTGCAGAAACCAGGATTTAAGTCCAGTTTTCCTATTTCCTTTCTAGTTCACCTCGGGCCTATGTGCGGTCTTCTATCAAACAACTTTTATATTTCCCTTTCTTGGTCATGCTACCCACTGGCATCTCTTTTTAACAAGATAATACAGTGCTTGGCACATTGTAAGCACTTAACACATGTCAGCTGTTGATATTATTTCTCTCAATGAAGTGGGACCTCTTAGTTTAGAAAAGTGAAAATTCATGTTTTCATGGCTCTTCTCCCTGGAAAACAATCAGTTTAATTCCTACACAAGTTCCTTTTCCTAAGAAAAGGCAGACTCCTCCACATGTGCCCTTAGTTTCTCTAAGCCTCAGAGAGATGCAGGATGACAGGAAAGTGCAGACCTGCCCCCAGACGATGTTTATGTCTCAATGGCCACGAATATGAAGAAGTATGGGTTTGATAGTCAATGCCTGTCCAAGGAAAACCGGGAGGTAGTTTGTACAGTCCGTGAGGGTACCCTGGGAGTTTTCCTTCATCATTTCATGTGGTCTCTCTGTCCCTCTCACTACTTTAGCAAGTAGCTAAAGTATTAGCTGGTAAATGAGGAGCTGAGAGCGATGAGGTCTGAGAATTCACTGGCACTTTCAAAGGGAACCCAGGTCTCAGCTGAGGTTTTCTGAGGTCACCAAGCTGCCTGCAGTGGCCAACTGCTGAAGAAGCCACCCACTGCCAAGGTGTCCCGAATGCTGGGCATCCCAGGTCTGGGATCTGATCCCTGGAGTATCTCAACGTCACTCCTGAAAACCAGCTGCACTCAGTGAGCTTTCCCCTGTGACCCTCCATGCCATCCTCTGGCTTCTCACAGGGTGAGCCTTGGCATAGCACTTCAGAAATATCTAAGACCTTAGATCTTATTCTTCTGCAGAGACCCTTGACTCAACATCATTCAAAATGTGTATATCTTGATTTTACAGCTCAATCAGAAGAGCTTCCCCTCATAATTTGATTTCTTCTTAATTTTTACCCAATTTCTTTATTTATATATATTCCCCCAAGATATCCGTCCCACTCCTATCTTGAATTAAGTCTGTCAATTAATTTTTGAAAGAGGCAGCAAAACTGACAGGATACAGAGGTGGTCCAGACAGCTCTTTTCTTGTGCAAAACTTTCATCGCAACTTGGAAATCTCAAAAAGAAAAATTATTAAGCAAGTTACCTTCTTGAGAATTTTAAACATGAGACATTCTTACTGTTTTCTGGAAATTGTTTAACCCCATGATGCAGTAACATATCTAACTTAATAAGTCTTTTGTATTTGATAACAACCATGGTATTTAGTCTTTGGTATTTAGTCCTCATTCAAAATGGAAACTGCCTTTATTTCAGAGCAATCAAATAAATCTAATTTAAATAGCAAAGCCTTTTGGAATACAGAGACTCACCTCTCAATGCAAAGAACAAATATTTGCATTACCTATTTATATTAAAATATGCAGAAATTTCCCAAGCATTCAGCCAACTTATAAATTTTTATAACTTCTTTGGATTGTTAACATTTTTTTTAACACACTGCATTATTTCAGCTTTGTGAAGGGCTCAATAACAATCTTTCTGGTCAGGAAAAAGGAAAGGACATTAGAATAAAGAATGCAGAATAAATAAAAACAAAACAGTACAGCCCGTACATCCACTCATACAAAGACAACTTTCATGGTGAGCTATAAGCAATTATAATAACACAATGCCTTCATGTTGATTTCAGCAGTGAAAAGAATTTCTCTAGTTATTGAAGACTTTCCTGGCTGAGTTTCAGAAAAAAAATATCTGATTCTATCCCAATCTGACTTCTGTGCAATGCAAGTCATGCACATTTTAAACGCTGATATATAATGCTGCCATTCTTCCACGAACTGTTAACAGCTGTAGAAACTATTATAGCCAGCTTCAAAACATGTCTGTGTAGTCAGTGCTCTCCAGACACTTAGCAATCCCAAAGCTATTCCTGGACTCACTCGGATTGCAGTGCGAACACAAAGTTTTGATTTATCTTGGTAATGAAACAACAAACTTCTGATCTTTCCTCTAAATGGCCATTCAGATTACATGAACAGCATGTGCTTCGGGGGAAAGTGGAGGGCAGAATTTACAGAAACAAAAAGGAAGCAAGAAAATAAATGAAGGGGCCACCCACAGTTACCTTAAGGAAAACCCACAGATGTCAGTACAAAGCACTGTACTGGAGTTCCATCTTGGGACCACAAAAGGCACTTGTGCTTGGAGAGAAAGAAAGAGCAGTGCAGGCTTTGGATGGGGAGGTGATCCAGCAAAAGCTTGTGCTGTGATCAGGGAGATGGGCAAAGCTGGTGGTGGACATTCACATGCCCAAGCTGCCACTCTGGCCATGAGCGAAGACGCATAAAAGCCATGAGATTCACATTTAAACTGAAAGTTCCACTTCAGTGAATGACAAAATCCCCTGAAATTGACAAACTCATGCAAGGGAATTTTTTAGTTGTAGCAATCCAACCACCCCCAAAAGCAAAATGTCCATGGGAGACCTTAAGCTACAAAGTTCCCTTATTCCATATTTGCCAGCTATAACTCAGCTAGTTAGCAGTGCTTCACTAAAATGCTGTATTTCAAGCTAACCATTACAAGATTTCACCTAATCCTGCATCTAAGTTGTTCATAAAAATGGAAAGATTGATACAGACCCAAAATTCAAAGACTGTCCACTCCTAATGATTAGTGATGTAACATGAAGAAATCTCTGTAAGATATTATAAGGCTTCTGTTTTCCAACTTAGAGACCAAGAAGGTGGTAAACTTGTACCTTCTTAAGATAAGCAATGTGCTTACTTCCCTCTCTTGCTGGCTTGGATAAAGAAGGAATGCCACTGTATTCATTCACTTCCCAGTCATTGAGACTGCTCTCCACACCGTGCAGTGCGGGAAGGAACACCAGAAGCCTAAAAGGTCCAGCCTCTATTCTGAAGGAGTTTCAAATCTAGTAGGAAAGAAAACACACATGGGTATAGGAAAATGGTAGAAAATGAAGTATATTCTGAATGGGTTAGAGTTGAAGGGCTGTCTAGCTGTGGTCAAGTTATTCAGTCTTTCTGAACTTAGAATCTAGGTATAACTGAAATGTTGGAGGAAGAGAGGTGCCAGGATAGCTGTAGTATCTACTTGAGATATTGTTCATTGCTTTTATATCAGTTTGTATGTATCAAGTTGCAGGTCATAGAATACCCAACTCCAGTCATTTAACAAAGAGGCCATTTAGTTATCTCACATAACCAGAGATTTGAAAGTAGGTAGTTCCCAATTTGGTCTCATGATTCAGGATCTTTTTATCTTTTGTGCCACCATTCTCTAACATGATTGTTTTTCCCCATGATTGCTGCCTCATGTTGTCGATGGGGCTGCTATAGCCCCTAAAATCACATTTACATTCATGGCGGGAAGAAGATGAAAAGGGAGGCCCAGTAAGCTTTCTTCTAACACTTGTCCCTGTTATCAAGAAAACAAAAGCTTTCACAGAAGCCCCATCCCCAAAGGTTTTCTGCTTATTAGCCAAAATTCTATTATATGACCACCACTAACAGCAAGAAAAACTGGGAATGTGTGCATCTGTGCATCTAAGCCTATCCTAGCACACATGCAGTCAGCACAATGCTGCCAGCAGTCAGTCCCAGCAGTCAGCACGATGTTGCCAGAAGAAATCAGGTTTCTGAAAATGGCAGCTAAGTAGTCAGTTAATAGTGTTTCCTGTATTCCCTTCTTTTTTGTTTTCTATCTTGATAAAAAAATAAAAACTTAAGATTTTCTTTTTGCTGTTACAAAGAAGCAGAAATATGACTTCTGTTTTTCATGCAGAGTACTTTTATCTTGTTTCCAGTGATGGTAGGGTATAAATCTCAGCATCATCTTCTCTTCCAGTGCCATAGAATCATTTCATTAAATGAAAAGGGATCTGTGGTATTGAAACATAAAGTACTTGGAGCAGACAGTATTGGTCGCCCACCTTACAGCCATTAGCCCCAGGTCTTCTTTAAAGTTAGCTGGACCCTGATCTTGATCACCTTCTGTATGACAATATGCTCAGTGAAGATGCCCCTTTAAAACTTCAGGGATGAGTTTTAATTAAACTAAATTAATCATAGTCACTCTATTTTCTAAATCAGAAATTGGTTGAGGAATGAGTATGCAACATAATTCTGGCCAATCATGAGGGGAAAGTCTGCTGAGGACCTTCTAGGAAAAACTTTCTTCTTTGATAAAGAGACAAATGGAGAAACTGTCCCTTTCTTCATCTCAAAGAAAATAAGTGAGGATGGGCCAGGCAGGGTGGCTCATGCCTGGAATCCCAGCACTTTGGGAGGCTGAGGCAGGCAGATCATGAGGTCAGGAGATCGAGACCATTCTGGCTAACATGGTGAAACCCTGTCACTACTAAAAATACAAAAAATTAGCCAGGCATGGTGGCGTGCACCTGTAGTCCCAGCTACTCAGGAGGCTGAGGCAGGAGAATGGTGTGAACCTGGGAGGCGGAGCTTGCAGTGAGCCGAGATCGCGCCACTGCGCACTCCAGCCTGGGCGACAGAGTGAGACTCTGTCTCAAAAGAAAAAAAAAAAAAGAAAATAAGTGAGGATGAGGATGAGATACCTGGAGCATTAGCAGCCATCTTGCAACCATGAGGGGAGAAACCTAAGACCAACATGTTAAGAATAGCAAACACAACCTGGGCCTTGATATAATTGTTGAACCACTGAATTAACCAATCCTGAAACTGCCCTACCTCTAGGCTTTTTATTAGGTGAGATAATAAATCCCTCCTTACTTCAGAAGCTTAGAGTTTGTTTTCTGTGTGCCCAAATCATCCTCATTGACATGGTACTATCCTAATTAGCATATCTCCCAGGCTCCATATTTTCATTAATAACCTTATTTCTCTAGCAGCAGCATCAAACTCTCATCAATGCTCAGCTATCTGCAGGATAATGTGCAGTGCTTTGATAAGCTCATGATGGCTTATCCTCATGCTCCATGCTGCCTCCTCAGCCTCAGCAGAACCAGATATTCTGAAGTCTACGTGGTCAGAAAACTCCACTTCAGTCATGGTTACAAAAGGCTCTGAGGCTCTTCAGGTTCACCACTGAAGGTTCTCTATTTCCCTTCAGCCACCCACAACCTGCCTACCCTGAAGCGTCTCACTGACTGACTCTAAGAGGGGGCCGCATACACTGCTCCTGAACACACAAGCAAAGGGGTGTTAGATGCTCGAAGGAGAAAGCCTATGGAAATAACAAAATCATTTGGCAGAGAAAAAGAGATCTATATATGACAAATTTGCTATAATTTGGGGCTTTTATTCTTATAAGTGAAGATATAACATGTCTTGTGCGCAAATTATATGGAAAGATGAAAAAGCTGTGAATACACAAAAATATATCCAGATAGAGATCTATTATAAATGAAAAATAGCATTTGGTCCTATTAAGTGGTTTATCATAAATTGTCTTTTCATAGAGAAGATTTAAAGTGTGGTTAAATGTCTAAAATGTCAACTGACACATATGCATGTATCTTTTTTTTCCCCAAAAACAAAGTTGTCATGCACGGCTGCACGCTTGTTATGGAAGAAAATTTTGCAAAATAAAATCATGTGTTGTCCTTACCCAGGACTCCCAGTGTTCAAACGCCACTCTGAGCGGGGCAGTGAGCTTGCAACTGATTCCCATGACTTCTCTGAATCTCATTTCGGGACCACTTTTTAAATGTTCACTCTCTCATTTTTACATGAGGACAGTACACTAAAGGGGCTCTAAATAAATACTATCTACCTTGGCATAAGAAAAATATACTGCAAACTTTTGTCCCAAGGTTTCATACCTACAGGGCCTTTGCAAGACAGCATCAAAAGGATTTAGGATCTGACTCCCAATTGAGTGAGGCCAACGACTTTATTTATATCTTCATGATATAATATTCCATGGGCTTCTTTTTTTTTTTAAGACAAAGTCTCTCTCTGTTAGCCAGGCTGGAGTGCAGTGGCACCATCTTAGCTCACTGCAACCTCTGCCTCCCGGGTTCAACCAATTCTCCTGCCTCAGCCTCCTGAGTAGCTGGGACTACAGGTGCGTGCCACCACGCCCAGCTAGTTTTTGTATTTTTAGTAGAGACGGGGTTTCGCCATGTTGGCCAGGCTGGTCTCGAACTCCTGACCTCAAGTGATCTAACTGTCTCAGCCTCCCAAAGTGCTGGGATTACAGGCGTGAGCCACTATGCCCGGCTAGTATTCCATGGACTTCTGAAACTAGTGATTTCTTATATTCACGTTTTAAAACTGTTTGTCTTAAACCAAAAACTTTGGACACTGAGTTTGTCAAAGATACTTAGAATCGAATAAGTAGGTTTTGAATATACAAAAATATATCCAGATATAGAGGTATTATAAATGGAAAGATAGTATTTGGTTCTATTAAGTGGTTTATCATAAATTATCTTTTCATAGAAAAGACTTAAATTGTGGACAGGCCAGGTTACCAAGAGAGCTGATTAGGTCCCATCTGTTCAGTGCCACCTTCAGATCCACAGGGTGGCTGAAGTCAGAGCCAATATAAATATAAAACAGAGGGAAAAAAAAAAAAAACTTGACTGGCTTCTAGTTAACAATGTTTTAACAACTGCTTTTTTCCTGAACAAATTAAAAAAAAAAAAAGTTCAGGTATTGTAGGTCAAGATGCTCTGGGAGGTTGATCGCAAAACACCACAGCTGGTCTTTACACAAATAGAACAAGACTTTTCCACCTAGAAAGGGGTCTAGGTAATACTTGGGGAAAGTATACATTTCCCCTAAGGATGCTGCTATTGCTTAAAACACTTGGAGAACTTCTCCTTCATAATTTCCTTTCAGAGCCTTAAGCACATTCTTTAGAATATTCTCAGTGGTGATGTACCTTTATAATTTAAATTTTTATTTCATTTAGGGGATGGGTGGGAAGATTTTAAAGGAAATGATGGGGAGATTTAAGTAGCCAACAATCTTTTGAAGGAAAACCCAATGAATAAAGTTGGTCAGTAAAAAAGGTTAGTGCTTTTTCACATCCATCTTATTCACCAAAAAGAACAGTTTTCAAATGGGAAAAGAAAGGCAGCTATCATTAAGAAGGCACTAAAATTTAAGACAGATTTTTTAATAATTGCTAATTTAAATGAGAAGAATTGCATCCCATGTGCCTCCCTGCAAAAGACAATGAAAACAAAAATGTTTCAGATGTAATCAGAGAACCATAGTCAGTGACATTTTAAAAATCAGGGAGAAAGACTAAGGATAGATCAAAGCCCCTAAGACTAAGATATAATCCTAAGACTAAGGATATTTCAGAGAGAAGGAACAGATTGGGAGAGGAAAAAATGGAATCCAGAAATTTCATGTTGTTTCTAGAAAAATTCTATGATAGGGTGTTAAAATATGACTCCAAATTATAGAATGCTAGATATAATTGAGTTCATAGTTTTCCAGATTTTTTTTTTAAATGGTGGGTAAAACAGACAAATTGACTTGCCTGAAGTGATAAAACTAAGCATCACAGGGAAATCCAAATAATCACCCAAGTTTACATCCTGATGCCTTCTTACAACACTTAAAAAATAAAATAATGATCACTAGAAAGAAGTGGGTTCAGAAAGAGACCAACAGAATCCACAAAGTCACAGCAAAGTCATCTTTAATAAGTGATTAAATAGGGAAACACCATAGAGTCAGTGTATCAGCATTCTAGCAAAGCATTTCATTCAGCATTGGGTGATATCCTTGCAGACAAGATGGGAAAATGCCACCAGGTGCTAGTAACAGCCAGGAGGATTTAGAATAGTTGGGTGGTTTAACAGTCATAGCAAACTTGTGGGTAGAGGCCACCTTCTGTGTGCAGCAAGGCTCTCATTGAAACATCTGTATTATGACTTTGGGGTAGAGATGGCAAGTATGTTTATCAAATCTATGTTATAATACTAAAAGAAAATTTGAAAAATTGACGTAGAATTCAACCACCACCATTATAAATTGTATATATACGCATATATATACACATACACATATGTAAACACATATATGTATAGATACATATACACACTCATATATGTATATGTGTATATAGGATGGAGGAAGCTGGCTTATAATGGTTCACATTAAAACAAATTTAAAAATAAACAACAGCAAATAATTCTTACTTGACCACAAATTCAATAGAAGCCACCAGGGCAGTATGGATACCAAAAAAAGCAAACAGTCTTAATCCGTATGAACAGATAGTGTCATTGTCCCCCCCACACTTTGGTGTAGGGGCTTCAGTGACTCCATCCAGAGGATTATGTTTCATTCCCAGCCCTAGGTTTCATGAAGAACCTCCACAAACTAAGTCAGCCCAGACAAGGGTGACCAGAACAATGAAAGCCAGAAACTTGAGAAGGGGAGAATCTGATATGCTTAGCTTGAGAAGAGAAAGCCTAGATGTTATAGGATGGTTGGTTGTCTTCAAATATTTGGAACAAGTCATGAGAAAGGGAGGGAAGGCATGTTGTATGTAAAAGGAAAGAACTCTGGCTGCATAATAGAAGAAGCCAGATTCATCTTCACATCAAGAACTTTCTTACCAGCCTTCCTGGCCAGCAAAAGGATGGATGGCTGCCTCGCCATGTGTGGTCAACAATGGGTGCTTCAGCACCACAAGGGCTCGAGGGAAGTTGGGTGACTATCGGTCAGGGAACCCCTGGGAGACATTCCTGCAGCTGGAATTAGAGGATAGATCAGATGCTTTCCAAGAGCCTTTTCCAAAGTTAGAGTTGGGTTTTGTTTCCAAGAGTTGTGACCATGAGGTTTTGAGAATGATTTTCTCTCACAGCTCATCTAGCATCTCTTTGGGTCATTTTCAAAATAGGCTAATCTTCTTCTTAAGATTTTTATTCATGAAATTCTCTTCCACAAATTAGAACTAACATCCTTTCCCATTTCCACAATGCCTCCTCCACTAATCCCATTAGCCTCTTTCTAGGATATAGAGATAACTGTAAACTTGGCCAGAGAGCCAGCTTCAGGTGTTATCTTCCTATATTTGTCTCCTTCCTGTTATTGTCTGTTTGTGGCTCTTTTAGATTCTGAATCTCCTTAATAAGCTGCTGGGTCTAAAATTGGCCCTTTGCCCAGAGTGGGGTTTCCCCAGCCTAGAGGTATGAAAAGACACTTCACACTCTGTGGCACGGGGGAAGTCCCAAGGCCCCCACAGAGCTAAACTATTTTATTTTAAATATTAAATAGAAAAGGAGCTTGATTAGTGGGTGTAGAAAAGAGGGGAATTTTCAGTTGTGAAATAGTGACTAGATTTTCAGTTGTGAAACAGTGACTATTTTAACAATAAAAGATCATGTCTCATCCTTGACTCACACATATACATCTGTTTGATCAATTTGCTCTTTTACCAACTCTCCAATATTCTACTAGCACCATCAGAATAAGCTGTTCAGCCTGTGCAACACAGAGAGACCTCATCTCCACAAAAACAAAAACAAAAACAAAAAACAACAAAAAAAAATTCGCCAGGTATGGTGGTGTGTGCCTGTAATCCCAGACACTCAGGAGGCTGAGGTGGGAGGATGGCTTGAGCCCAGGAGGTTGAGGGTGCAGTGAGCTATGATCGTGCCACTGCACTCCAGCCAGGGCTACATAGCGAGACTCCATCGTTAAAAAAAATAAAATTAAACAAATAAATAAATAAATAAATAAATAAGTAAAAGAAGCTGATCCAGAGGTACCAGAGTTACAACTAGATAACACGTTATCATCTGAACCAAACAGAAAATTTATGTTTACTTTTTGAAAATATTGAGAAAATCTCATTTGTAGTCAATGTCCAAGTGTTTCCCACATACCAAAGGCCTTAGACAAAGTTTTGTATAACTTTCATCCATTAACAACTCACTGGAAAATGCCAGCGAATTTGGGAGTAAATTCATTCACCTTCTATGGGTTAAAAATGGGACTCCTCAAGTCATCTGGACCCTTTAAAAAAATCTTCATAGCCTCCTTTAACAGACCAGTGGAGGAGAAAAAGCTGGGAGAGAGTCTATGTCTACTCAAGGCTATCACTACTGAGTCCAAGTGCATGGTAAAGATGAAAGAGAAACAGCTTGCATGGGTCTACTCATCCTATTAACCCACTGGGACAAAGATCTAGAGGCAGGTCACAGTGCTTAAAGACTAACAAAGGAAAGTTAAAGGAATTGGCAATGAGGAGATGGAGGAAGCAGGAGGTGGAAGACGTTCACTCTAAGCATCTGGATCCATAACTGGGCACTGAACTTTAAATTCCAAGCAAGGAGAAAGGAATGGGGTCCATACAGGTTAACCCTCAAAGGGCCCATAGCTTCCTCTTTGCTGTCCCATCCCCAGATTTGGAGCACGTGTGTAAATTGAGCCTACTGATATAACAATCTTGTCTGTCAGGGACCTCTCTGGTTCTTCCTATGTTATACCAGCAAGAAGGGATGGAGGGTTCTTTGAGGATGATCCACTGAGATGCTAATCCACAAAATAATAACCCCAGGAGATGGGTTAACAAAGAACAGAAGGTGTGAATCATCAATAAAAGTAAAAATTTATATTTAGTATACATTAAGAAGTATACCCCAAAACTAGTTTTTTTTAAGCTGCCAAGATTATTCCTGCCTGAGAACATCTGCCAGGAAAGTTCTACTCAGATCTTACCGTGGCCAACTCCTTGTTGCCCTTCAGGTTCCACTCAAGTGCTACAATCACAGAGAGGATTTCTTTGGTGTTCCAGACTAAAGCAGCCACCCAGTGGCTACTCTACTGTCCAGTTTATCGTTGTGTCACTCTTATTTTCCTCTCAGTACTTAGGGCTTTTTGCAAGATAATTATCTTCTTCCCTTGTTTCTTTTCTATTGTCTGCCCCTCCTTCTGGAATATGAACTCCATGCAGACAGGAATCTTGCTTGTCTTTTCACTGCTATATTCCTCACCCATAGGTACCATGGAATGCATGGAATGAGTGTTTAATACACATTTGTTGAATGAATGAATGACCAAATCAATGCTGGTAAGTTCTCAGTTCCTAATAATTCAGAACTAAGCAATTTTCTGGTTTTTAATTGAATATCTAACAGATTTTCTTGCGGGGAGAACTTCATTCCCCAATAATACCAGACAAATGGAGCATGTAAATAGGAAACCATATTGTCATTGAGATTTAAGCAATTTTACAAACAAAATTTCTTTCTAAGCACACGCTATTAGAGAAGACAGACTATGAATCACAATTGTAAAATAAAACTATCTATCACTTACTGTTTCTGACCCCTATACCACTACTCATCTTTCTCCTGACACCTAGGAAGCTGTTGTATGCAAAGGCCACCTCTTTATTTCACTGAGCATCTTTTTCACTTAGCTTCATTGTGTGAAATTATTTCTCTTTTATTCCTGCCCCAGAAATCTAAACAGAGTCCCAATCTTATATCCAGGAACAGCAGAAGACTGGTGCGATATAAAAGTATTACTCTCACTGGTGGCTGGCAAGATGGCCGAATAGGAACAGTTCTGGTCTGCAGCTTCCAGCGAGATCAACACAGAAGGTGAGTGATTTCTGCATTTCCAACTGAGGTACCCAGCTCATCTCATTGGGACTGGTTAGACAGTGAGTGCAGCCCACAGAGGGCAAGCCAAAGCAGGGTGGAATTTTGCCTTACCTAGGAAGTGCAAGGGGTTTGGGAACTCCCTCCCCTAGCCAAGGGAAGCTGTGAGGGACTGTGTCATGAGGAATGGTAGTCTGGCCCACATACTATGCTTTTCCCATGGTCTTTGCAACCTGTAGACCAGGAGATTCCCTCAGGTGCCTACACCACCAGGGCCCTGGGTTGCAAGCACAAAGCTGGGCAGCAGTTTGGGCAGACACCGAGCTAGCTGCAGGAGTTTTTTTTTTTTCATACTCCAGTGGCACCTGGAACACCAGTGAGACAGATCCGTTCATTCCCCTGGAAAGGGGGCTGAAGCCAGGGAGCCAAGTGGTCTAGTTCCGTGGATCCCACCTCCACAGAGCCCAGCAAGCTAAGATCCATTGGCTTGAAATTCTCACTGCCAGTACAGCAGTCTGAAGTTAACCTGGGATGCTCCAGCTTGGAGGGGGTAGGGTCATTCGCCATTACTGAGGGTTGAATAGGTGGTTTTCTCCCATAGTGTAAACAAAGCCCCTGGGAAGTTTGAACTGGGCGGAGCCCACCGCAGCTCAGCAAACCACTGTAGCCAGACTGCCTCTCTAGATTCCTCCTCTCTGGGCAGGGCATCTCTGAAAGAAAGGCAGCAGCCCCAGTCAGGAGCTTATAGATAAAACTCCCATCTCCCTGGGACAGAGCACCTACGGGAAGGGGTGGCTGTCGGTGCAGCTTCAGCAGACTTAAACGTTCCTGCCTGCTGGCTCTGAAGAGAGCAGTCAATCTCTCAGCACAGAGCTCCAGCTCTGCTAAGAGACAGAGTACCTCCTCAAGTGGATCCCTGACCCCCATGCCTCCTGACTGGGAGATACCTCCTAGCAGGGGTCAACAGACACCTCATACAGGAGAGCTCTGGCTGGCATCCGGCAGGTGCCCCTCTGGGACGAAGATTCCAGAGGAAGGAACAGGCAGCAATCTTTGCTGTTCTGCAGCCTCCGCTGGTAATACCCAGGCAAACAGGGTCTGGAGTGGACCTCCAGCAAACTCCAGCAAACCTGCAGGGAAGGGGTCTGACTATTAGAAGGAAAACCAACAAACAGAAAGGAATAGCATCAACATCAACAAAAAGGATGTCCACACAAATGCCCCATCTGAAGGTCACCAACATCAAAGACCAAAGGTAGACAAACCCACGAAGATCAGGAAAAACCAGCGCAAAAAGGCTGAAAATTTCAAAAACCAGAATGCCTCTTCTCCTCCAAAGGATCACAACTCCTTGCCAGCAAGGGAACAAAACTGGACTGAGAATGAGTTTGACGAACCGACAGAAGTAAGCTTCAGAAGGTGGGTAATAACAAACTCCTCCGAGCTAAAGGAATGTGTTCTAACCCAATGCAAGGAAGCTAAGAACCTTGAAAAAAGGTTAGAGGAATTGCTAACTAGAATAACCAGTTTATAGAAGAACATAAATGACCTGATGGAGCTGAAAAACACAGCATGAGAACTTTGTGAAGCATACAGAAGTATCAATAGCTGAATCAATCAAGCAGAAGAAAGGATATCAGAGACTGAAGATCAACTTAATGAAATAAAGCATGAAGACAAGGTTAGAGAAAAAAGAATGAAAAGAAATGAACAAAGCCTCCAAGAAATATGGGACTATGTGAAAAGACCAAACCTATGTTACATTGGTGTATCTGAAAGTGATAGGCAGAATGGAACCAAGCTGGAAAACACTCTTCACGATATTATCCAGGAGAACTTCCCCAACCTAGCAAGACAGGCCAACATTCATATTCAGGAAATACACAGAACACCACAAAGATACTCCTTAAGAAGAGCAACCCCAAGACACATAATCATCAGATTCTCCAAGGTTAAAATGAAGGAAAAAATATTAAGGGCAACCAGAGAGAAAGGTCAGGTTACCCACAAAGGGAAGCCTATCAGACTAACAGCTGATCTCTCTGCAGAAACCGTACAAGCCAGAAGAGAGTGGGGGCCAATATTCAACAATCTTAAAGAAAAGAATTTTCAACCCAGAATTTCATATCCAGCCAAATTAAGCTTCATAAGAGAAGGAGAAATAAAATCCTTTACGGACAAACAAATGCTGAAAGATTTTGTCACCACCAGGCCTGCCTTACAAGAGCTCCTAAAGGAAGCACTGAAAATGGAAAGGAAAAATCTGTACCAGCCACTGCAAAACATATCAAATTGTAAAGACCATCGACACTATGAAGAAACTGCATCAACTAGCAGGCAAAATAACCAGCCTGCATCAACTAGCAGGCAAAATAACCAGTCATAATGATGGGATCAAATTCACACATAACAATATTAACCTTAAATGTAAACGGGCTAAATGCTTCAATTAAACGACACAGACTGGCAAATTGGATAAAGAGTTAAGACCCATCGGTGTGCTGTATTCAGGGGACTCATCTCATGTGCAAAGACATACATAGGCTCAAAATAAAGGGATGGAGGAATATTTACCAAGCAAATGGAAAGAGAAAAAAAAAAGCAGGGGATGCAATCCTAGTCTCTGATAAAACAGATTTTAAACCAACAAAGATCAAAAAGAGACAAAGAAGGGTATTGCGTAATGGTAAAGAGATCAATGCAACAAGAAGAGCTAACTATTCTAAATATACACACACCCAATACAGGAGCACCCAGATTTATAAAGCAAGTTCTTAGAGACCTACAAAGAGGACTTCCACACAATAATAGTGGGAGACTTTAACACCCCACTGTCAATATTAGACAGATCAACGAGACAGAAAGTTAACAAGGATATTCAGGACTTGAACTCAGCTCTGGACCAAGTGCACCTAATAGACATCTACAGAACTTTCCACCCCAAATCAACAAAATATACATTCTTTTCAGCACCACATCACACTTATTCTAAAATTGACAACAAAGTTGGAAGTAAAACACTCCTCAGCAAATGCAAAAGGACAGAAATCATAACAAACAGTCTCTCAGACCACAGTGCAATCAAATTAGAGCTCAGGATTAAGAAACTCACTCAAATCCGCACAACTACATGGAAACTCAACAACCTACTCCTGAATGACTATTGGGTAAATAGCTAAATTAAGGCAGAAATAAATAAGTTAATTGAAACCAATGAGAACAAAGACACAATGTACCAGAATCTCTGAGACACAGCTAAAGCACTGTTTAGAGGCAAATTTATAGCACTAAATGCCCACAGGAGAAAGCGCAAAAGATCCTAAAACGGACACCCTAACATCAAAATTGAAAGAACTAGAGAAGCAAGAGCAAACAAATTCAAAAGCTAGCATAAGACAAGAAATAACTAAGATTAGAGCAGAACTGAAGGAGATAGAGACATGAAAAACCCTTCAAAAAATTAATGAATCCAGGAGCTGGTTTTTTGAAAAGATTAACAAAATAGATAGACTGCTAGCCAGAATAATAAGGAAGAAAAGAGAGAAGAATCAAATAGTCGCAATAAAAAATGAAAAAAGGGTCCAGGCATAGTGGCTCACACCACCCAGCACTTCGGGAGGCCGAAGCAGGTGGATCACCTGAGGTTGAGACCAGCCTGACCAACATGGAGAAACCCCGTCTCTACTAAAAACACAAAATTAGCCGTGCATGGTGGTGCATGCCTGTAATCCCAGCTACTCGAGAGGCTGAGGCAGGAGAATCACTTGAACCCAGGAGGCAGAGGTTGTGGTGAGCCGAGATCACGCCATGGTACTCCAGCCTGGGCAACAAGAGCGAAACTCTGTCTCAAAAAAAAAAAAAAAAAAAGATAAAGGGGCTATCACCACTGATCCCACAGAAATATAAACTACTATCAGAGAATACTATAAACACCTCTATATAAATAAATTAGAAAATCTAGAAGAAATGGATAAATTCCTGGACAAATACACCCTCCCAAGACTAAACCAGGAAGAAATCAAATCCCTGAATAGACCAATAACAAAGTCTGAAATTGAGGCAGTAATTAATAGCCTACCAACCAAAAAAGCCCAGGACCAGACGGATTCACAGCTGAATTCTACCAGAGGTACAAAGAGGAGCTGGTACCATTCCTTCTGAAATTATTCCAAACAATAGAAAAAGAAGGATTCCTCTTTAACTAATTTTATGAAGCCAGCATCATCCTGATGCCAAAAACCCGGCAGAGACACAACAAAAATAAGAAAATTTCAGGCCAATATCCCTGATGAACATCAATGTGAAAATGCTCAATAAAATACTGGCAAAATGAATCCAGCAGCACATCAAAAAGCTTATCCACCACGATCAAGTTGGCTTCATCCCTGGGATGCAAGTCTGGTTCAACATATGCAAATCAATAAAAGTAATCCATCACATAAACAGAACCAATGACAAAAACCATATGATCATCTCAATAGATGCAGAAAAGGCCTTTGATAAAATTCAACATCTCTTCATGCTAAAAACTCTCAATAAACTGTGTATTGATGGAATGTATCTCAAAATAATAAGAGCTATTTATGACAAACCCACAGCCAATATCACACTGAATAGGCAAAAGCTGGAAGCATTCCCTTTGAAAACTGGCACAAGAAAGGAATTCCTTCCCTCTCTCACCACTCCTATTCAAAATAGTATTGGAAATTCTGGCCAGGGCAATCAGGCAAGAGAAAGAAATAAAGGGTATTCAAATAGGAAGAGAGGAAGTCATATTGTCTCTGTTTGCACATGACATGATTGTATATTTAGAAAACCCTATCATCTCAGCCAAAAATCTCCTTAAGCTGATAAGCAATTTTAGCAAAGTCTCAGGATACAAAATCAATGTGAAAAATCACAAGCATTCTTATACACCAATAATAGACAGAGAGCCAAATCATGAGTGAGCTCCCATTCACAATTGCTACAAAGAGAATAAAATACCTAGGAATACAACAACTTACAAGGGATGTGAAGGACTTATTCAAGGAGAACTGCAAACCACTGCTCAAGGACATAAGAGAGGACACAAACAAATGGAAAAACATTCCGTGCTCATGGATTGGAAGGATCAATATCATGAAAATGGCCATACTGCCCAAAGTAATTTATAGATTCAGTGCTATCCCCATCAAGCTACCATTGACTTTCTTCACAGAATTGGAAAAAACTACTTTAAAGTTCATATGGAACCAAAAAAGAGCCCACATTGCCAAGACAATCCTAAGCAAAAAGAACAAAGGTGGAGGCATCATGCTACCTGACTTCAAACTATACTACAAGGTTACGGTAACCAAAACAGCATGGTACTGGTACCAAAACAGAGATATAGACCAATGGAACAGAACAGAGGCCTCAGAAATAACGCCACACATCTACAACCATCTAATCTTTGACAAACCTGACAAAAACAAGCAATGGGGAAAGGATTGCCTATTTAATAAATGGTGTTGGGAAAACTGGCTAGCCATATGCAGAAAACTGAAACTGGACCCCTTCCTTACACCTTATACAAAAATTAATTCAAGATGGATTAAAGACTTAAACATAAGACCTAAAACCATAAAAACCCTAGAAGAAAACCTAGGCAATACCATTCAGGACATAGGCATGGGCAAAGCCTTCATGACTAAAACACCGAAAGCAATGACAACAAAAGCCAAAATTGATGAATGGGATCTAATTAAACTAAAGAGCTTTTGCAAGGCAAAAGAAACTATCATCAGAGTGAACAGGCAACCTACAGAATGGGAGAAAATTTGTGCAATCTATCCATCTGACAAAGGGCTAATATCCGGAATCTACAAAGAACTTAAACAAATTTACAAGAAAAATACAAGCAACCCCATCAAAAAGTGTGTGAAGAATATGAACAGACACTTCTGAAACGAAGACATTCATGCAGCCAACAAATATATGAAAAAAAGCTCAGCATCACTGGTCATTGGAAAAACGCAAATCAAAACCACAATGAGATACCATCTCATGCCAGTTAGAATGGCAATCATTAAAAAGTCAGGAAACAACAGATGCTGAAGAGGATGTGAAGAAATAGGAATGCTTTTACACTGTTGGTGGGAGTGTAAATTACTTCAACCATTGTGGAAGACAGTGTGGCGATTCCTCAAGGATCTATAACGAGAAATACCATTTAACCCAGCAATCCCATTACTGGGTATATACTCAAAGGATTATAAATCATGCTGCTATAAAGACACATGCACACGTATGTTTATTGCAGCACTGTTCACAACAGCAAAGACTTGGAATCAACCCAAATGCCCACCAATGATAGACTGGATAAAGAAAATGTGGTACATATGCACCATGGAATACTATGCAGCCATAAAAAAGGATGAGTTCATGTCCTTTGCAGGGACATGGATGAAGCTGGAAACCATCATTCTCAGCAAACTAACACAGGAACAGAAAACTAAACACCACACGTTCTCACTCATAAGTGGGAGGTGAACAATGAGGACACATGGACACAGGGAGGGGAACATCACAAACAGGGGCCTGTTGAGGGGTGGGGGGCTAGGGGAGGGATAGCATTAGGAGAAATACCTAATGTAGAGGACGGGTTGATGGGTGCAGCAAACCACCATGGCAAGTATATAGCTATGTAACAAACCTGCAGGTTCTGCACATGTATCCCAGAACTTAAACTATAATAACAACAAAAACAAAGTATTACTCCAACCAACAGTATCCCTTGCTATATACCAAGGCAATTTTAACATGCTCAAATAGTCACCTGCTAAAATGTGAACATTCCACAACCAGTAAATTCCACAAAAATTTCAAAAAGATTTTTCTCTGCAGACAAAATAAACATTGCAGCATGAAATGTACTTTGTGAATTGAATAATTAGATGCCGGATACCAAAGGGCCAAGATAAAAATAGCGGCATCCACCAGGCTTCCTACATTCTTTATGATAGACTAAGCTGGCAGCCTGTACGGGACTGCACTAACATGAAAAATTTGTTGCCACTAATCCTGTTCCTGCAGGCAGAAAATTCTCTTTGTTTAGCTTCAGAGTGAGAAAACTCCACCATCACCTAAAGTCCATCTTGTACAGTTAAAAATAAAACTCGTCAAATAGGGATTTGCTGCATGACCCTGACCTGTGCACAGCTGCAGGCTTCTCCGGGCAGGAGAACAAATGTCTACATGGGAAGAGAATGCACACTCTGGCTGGATCAGGGGAGAGTAGACGCTCATGTGGGAAAGTTCAGGCAGGAATGCCTGAAGGTTGGAAATAATTCTATAAAGTAAATCACACCATACGCCTCTGTCGGCTACACAAATGCACCTGTGGCCAAACAGAACACCGTGTGGCTCTTCTGTCCATGCACAAGTAGAGAGACAAAGTCTGGGCCTTCACTTCTCTCCTGTCTCTTTCCCATCAATGTGCTCCCAATTCCTGCGTAGGGACTTGGTTCAAGCTGCGCATCCTCAGAGAGGCTTTTTCTAAACATCTTGCCTAGAGTGGCCTCTGGTGCATTTTGTAAGCCCAGGCTTGTATTTGTTAATAGGTAACAGGAGCTCCACAAATCCCCTTACCCTGCGTCTTGCTTCCTTCCAGCTCCTGTGTGTCCTGTCTGGAGGGAGATTCTAATCTCCCAGCAGCAGGGAGGCACATCTTCTGTTATTCCCACAGTTTAGTACAGCACTCCTATCAAACGGCTACGTAGTAAAATCTGATGAAGGACTTAGCAAATTACCTTCTCATAGGATTCATTCCTGAAAAAACAAGGCCTCCTTGCATGAGAAGTGGATCTTGGGGAACACTGAAATTGGGTGGGAGCGAGAAAAAGGATTAAACACAGGAGGTTAGAGAGGAAGAGGGAAGGAACGACTGGCCTTCCCCCAGAAGAGCTCAAGGAGGACCTCTGAACTGAATGCAGCATTTCAGGGTCGCGCAGAGGAGAGGAGGCACCGAGGCAATCCAGGAAGGAGCAAAGACTCGCGATCCGGAGAGAATGGTGGCACTGAATGCACAGTGAGGAGGGGGTTTCTGGAAGAAACGTGCCAAATGTTGAACAGAGAGTGAGGCAAAGTGAGCATCTCTGGGTGTGTGTGAGGGGGGCATTGAGATAGACGGAAAGTAAGATAGTGGAAGGGACCACAGTTGCAGCACAATCAAGGCTATTTGCTGACACTGAAGGAGAACTGTTAGGCAAGTTTCCCCGCGCTGCATTTTTGTCCTAAATGCCACCCCAGAGTGGTATCTTCCCAAACCACACCCAGCTCTGACGCATGACGGCTGACACCTGAGTTTCCAAGGTCTCGTGGTGATTAATATGCTCATTTCCATGGTGATATTTTTTGGATCTTCACCTAACTCTCCTTTAAGGGTAGAATAAGGACTAGTTAGATAATTCCCTCGAATTCCAAAGTTATTCCAAATTCTCAGGTAATCCAAGTTATCACAGCTGCACTCAATTCTCCCATCCACTGCTGGCTATTCCGGGAGCAGCCTTCCCTGATCACCTAGGAGGGACCCAGGATAGAGCCTGGCTTCACTGGGGGACCCCAAGGTACCAGCAGAAGATGTGAGAGGGAAGCAGTCTCCTTCCAGGACCTTTTCTCTGCTTCTGGTAAGGCCTGACACCTAGGCAGTCACATGCATGGGGCAAGAGTGCTCTCTGCTTAGACAGTCAGTGACTACAGCCAGGAGCTAGAGCATTTTGAGGGGCACCCCTCACCAGGGATGGGAGAGATGGGGAGGTGCCAGTGCCATCACCAATCACAAATTCTCAGATTGGTTAATTTCTTTGACAGTTCATTTTAATGCTTTGTACATGATGCTGAGACATCTAAAATAAGACAGCTTTTCTCTCCTCGTTTTTTATTAGGAGAAAAGGGGAAAGCAATCAGAATCCATTCTTCTCAGCACTTGGGCAAAGCACACATTAAAGCACCTCCACGTCAGATTCCCTTTCCTCCTCTGCAGTGCTGTCCGTACTTCTCCAAAACATTCCCCAACTATCATCCCTTCTAGGAATGTACTCCAGAATATGCCCTTGAAGAGGACAAAAGGCATAAGCCCCACAGTCACTAGCATGTGCTAACATACTCATGGGTTCTGTCATCCTGGGTTCATCCTGTTATCATCCTGGGTTCTGTCAAAAATACATTAAGTAGATGTAGTCTTCATCCTCAGGAAATGTATAAGCCAACACAGGAATATAGTTTTCAAGGTTTGCTCATCCCCCTGCCTCTCTGGTCCCTGCCCCTAGCGGTGAGGAAATGGCCCAGGTGGCTGTGCCTTGGCTTCCCACGCTCGGCCTGCGCTCCTAGGCTTTTGCCGCTTCACCTCTTTTTGGTTTGGTGACCATATTCTTCAACCCCAGTAAGACACTGGGATCTATTTTCATAGATCCCTATATGTATATTTTTTGGGGGACAGGGTCTCACCCTGTCGCCCAGGCTGCAGTAAAGTGGCATGATCATAGCTCACTGTAACCTCAAATTCCTGACCTCAAGCAGTCCTCCCATCTCAGCTTCCCAAAGTGCTGAGATTATAGGCATGAGCCACCACACCCAGTGATCCCTCTACTTTAAGAGGAAAACAGTCTAAAGCAAGTTATTAAAAGGTGAACACTCATATGGCCATCTGTATTAGTGTTCTATTGTGACTATTAGTAAGAATAAAATACTATCTTTATGTGAAAGCTTACAGGAAAATCTGAGTAGAGAAAAGAAAGGTAAAAACAAAATGCTAGATTGGGGAAGTTATGCCAAAAGGGACAACTGTGAAATCTGTCAGTCAAGTATAATATCATGACAACTGCTTACATGATACATGTAAGTCAAACTACAAAAGAGGAGCCACTTAGTCCAATTTGAGGCAAGGAACCTAAAAAAAAAAATATGAGGTTAATGCAGAATGTAAACTGCAGAATGTTATACTATTCAGCCTGAAAGTAAGAACTGGTGAAATAAACAAGAAAGAATATTTCATTTTATTAACACTAGGCGGGCACGGTGGCTCACGCCTGTAATCCCAGCACTTTGGGAGGCCAAGGTGGACGGATTGCTTGAGCTCAGGAGTTTTGAGACCAGCCTGGGCAACATGGCAAAACCCGTCTCTACAAAACATACAAAAATTAGCCAGTTGTGGTGGCGTATGCCCAGAGTCCCAGCTACTCGAGAGGCTGAGGCAGGAGAATGGCCCAAGCCCAGGAGGCAGAGTTTGCAGTGAGCTGAGATCACACCACTGCACTCCAGCCTGGGTGACTGCGTGGGACTCTGTCTCAAAAAAAAAAAATCATTTTACTTTTATGTTCAGTTGGACTTTTTGAAAATGGGCTATGTTAACTACTAGAAAGTATAAGATCAGTAACTAGTCGAGGAGTCTACAACTTCATATAGTAAGTGGCAAAATGTTTACATAAATAAATCAGGTTCTGCATGGGCCCCTGCAATGCAGATGCTTGTTGTCTAGTCCATCTGTGATCTGTGGTGTATTTTGGCTCCTTCGCTTTAGGAAGAAATTAAGAAATGAAGAAGCAAGTGACATTCGATGGGAAAAAAAAATAAACACAAACTATTCTTAGAGTTTGGTCATGGCCTGAGGGCCATGATACAGTAATTACATAAGAAAAGTCAATGAGAAAAAAACCCAGCATGAAAAACTGAAATCCCATAGCCTGAATGGAAGCCTAGTGTGGGGAACTGCTAAGGGATTTATGAAAATACCCTGGAACCCACTTCAGCATGTCGGCCATCAGATCGCCGTGTCTCTCCTATGTTTCAGAAAGTTCCTTTTTATGGAGCACTACTTCAGTGATTAGAAAGGTGTGTTTCCTAGTGAGGGGTGCTGAAAGGTCCAGGAAACAAACCATCTTCTAGGTCCAAAATTGCCAGTCACTAATGTGTTAGGAAACAAGGGAGGAAAAGCAGGCACCACACCTCTCAGGCCTCCCCGTTAGCACAGATGATAGACTTAGATACCTGTCCTTCTCTAGACTTTTATATTTTATTTACAGTAACTATCCAAAATTAACTTGGGACACCCAACATGAAGTGGCAAAGAAAGTGCAATAGACAACAACTACTACACCATCTATATAGTCTTCTTTACCTTTTTTAAAAATAGAGTTTATTTTAGAGCAGTTTTAGGCTCACAGAAAAACTGAGTGAAAGGTACAGAGATTTACCATATATCTCCAGCCCCCACACGTGCATAGCATCATCAACATCCCCACCAGAGTGGCATTTTGCTACAATTGATGAGCCTATATTGACATATCAGTATCACCCAGAGTCCATAGTTTATATCAGCATTCATTCTTGGTGTTGTACAGTCTATGAATCTGGACAAATGTTTACTGACATGTATCCACCATTATAGTATCACACTTAGTAGTTTCACTGCCCTGGAAACCACTGATCTTTTTACTGTCTCCATAGTTTTGCCTTTTCTGAATATCATATACTTGGAATTACACAGTATGCAGCCTTTTTAGATTGGGTTCTTTAATTTAGTAACATGGATTAAGTTTCCTCCATGTCTTTTCATGGCTTAGTAGCTCATTCCTTTTTATAACTGATTAATATTCCATTATCTGGATGTACCACCATTTATTTATCCTTTCATCTGTTGAAGAACATCTTGGCTACCTCTTCATTACTTTTTTTAAAAATAGGATTTAAAGATACGGTGAGGAGTGAAAAAAAACAAACAAAAACATGGCAAGAGCAACTCAGGCTACCCATCAAGAACTATAAAGAATCTCTTTAGTGCTTTCTACTTTCATCACTCCTTTTCCCAAGGTGATTGCTTCGTGTTCATCCGCCAACTCTTGATATGCAAGGTAATTTTCGCCAGGGTCTTCTTCCTGAAGGATCTTGTCATAAGTAGAACAGTATTATAAGTATATATTAATAACCTATATATACATATAGTTATATATTAATAACATGTTAGCTTTTAACTGAAAACTAAAGTTTCAGTTTTTGTGTAAAGAAATTCTCCTCTCAGGAATGTTTGCATTTTAACAGAAGGAACAAATTTCAGACTAGAAATTTCCAACACTATAGCAGCCTGTTTGGGAAAATCAAGTGGTATTTGGAAACACGAGTGTTTTTCTGGTGTCTCTCAAATTACTCCAAACTGGGATTCACCAAGGCTCTGATTTATTTATCTCTATTAAGACTTCACTTACTGCCTGGGCATAGTGGCTCATGCCTGTAATACCAGCACTTCGAGAGGCCAAGGCAGGTGGATCCCTTGAGCCCAGGAATGTGGGACCAGCTTGGGCAACATGGTGAAAGTCTGTCTCTACAAAAAAAAAAAAAAAAAAAATTAGCTGGGAGTGGTGGTGCATGCCTGTGGTCCCAGCTACTCTAGAGACTGTGGTGGGAGGATCCCTTGATCCCAGGAGGCAGTGGGTGGTGATCCCAGGAGGCAGATTGCAGTGAGTGGTGATCTTGCTACTGCATTCCAGCCTGGGCAACAGAGCAAAACCCTGACTCAAAAAACAAACAAAAAAAAGACTTAACTTACTAAAGTTAAGAATTTGGATCTAGACATCCAAATTCAACACTCTTTATTTGTTTAATATTTAAATGCTTTTAAAGGAAGAAGTTGCCAAGATCTTATCCTTTATAACTGATTCTCAACCGGGGTGATTTTGCCCCATATCCTGAGGACATTTGGGAACAGATGGACGTATTTACGGTTATCACAACAGGGTGGGGTATGGGAGTTAGTGCTACTGTCATCTAGTGGGTAAAGGCCAAGGATATTGACAAACATCCTACAATGCACAGGTCAGCCCCCCACTACAAATAATTAGCCAACCCAAAAGTCAATAGTACTGAAGTTGAGAAGCCCTTCTCTATGTGAGCTAACTGCACTAAAGTTGATACCTGGATAATATAAACATCAATGCCAGTGAAATTAGTGCCCAGCTTAAGAGTAAAACTGACCATAATTTATAAGGATCTGCACTATTTTCTTAACATTTCTGGAATATCTTATCCCTGGCTTTGATTTACTGAAATTACCTTTTCAAAAACACTCAACTGAATAAAATGAAGAGGGTTTATCTACTGTGTAGTTCATGCAAGTTTTTCTATTTTGGAAATGGAAGTAGTGATTAAAATTGGCATTTCTGAAACTCTAATTGCTAGTTGTTGCACTGCTAGGGGGGAAAAAAAAGAAAAATATTTCCAAGACCAGCCAGATGGGAAGTCTCAAGATAAGAAATTATAAGCCAGTGTTCATATTCCAACCAGAAGAAACATTCTGTTTATACATTTTAAAATTCTGCTTAAATAGTAAGCAATGCACTTCTTTAATGAATTCCTAAACAGCTATTAATTGGCTGACTAGTTTTCTAATACTGGGTTTAATCTCCCAAACCCTATTAGATTATTAATAAGTAGAACAGTCTGTATTAAAAAAAAACTCTGTATAATAACAGCTTTATAAATTTTAATGGGATTAGACTGGTTTCTGATATTGTAGGTGATATCTCTTTGTAGGTGTATAAACTGCCAGTAGAATCTCAAAATGTCCATTTTTCAAAACTCATTATGTTACCAGCAGTGAATCCGTACAAGTCTGAAGCAAACTTGATCCTTGACTCCTCAGAGAAAATAATTTGGCTGAGGAGCAGATGCAGGTTTAAGGCAGAGGGAAAGACCAAGGCAACTTTTAGAGTAGGAGTGAAAGTTTATTAAAAAAAAATTTAGAGTAGAAACAAAAAGAAGTAAAGGACCCTTGGAAGAGGGCCAAGCGAGTGACTTGAGAGATCCAAGTGCCCCATCTGGCTCTTGACCTGGAGTTTCATACATTGGCATGGTTCGGGGTTTTGGTTTCTTCTCGCTTGAGAAGAAAAGACTTCCCTTGGAGCAGGCTGTCTGCATGCATGGTGGCCTGCCAGCACTTGGGAAGGGCTGCATGCACAGCATGTTTACTGAATTTGTGCAAATGCTCATTTGAGGTGTTGTTCCCTTACTAGCTGACTGTTCCTAGAGGAAGGTCATATACCCATTAAACCACCATTTTGACTCTTAGTGCGCATCCTTGAGCCCACTTGCCCAACTCCTGAGATCTCATCAGGAAGCTGCTGATCACCAGATGTGGGTGTTTTCTTATCTATTGGGAGACTGCCCTTCCCTGGCACCAGCTGTGCCCAATTATTATTTTACAGAGATAGTTTAACAACCACCTGACCATCACCTGATGGTCGCCTGACATTCCTGGTGGGCAGGGCCCTTTCCTGCCCTGCTCATGTCTGCCTAACTACCTACTCCAACAATTTGTGATTGAAATATGATGAAGTCTTTCAGCTTACACATCCAGAACCAGAGCAACACAAATGTTTTCATGACATCAATACTCAGAGTCTTCGGAACACAATCTATATTTCTTTGGTAACTTCTGCTCTTCTGAAAGCTCTCTCTCCTCCCTTTGTCACTCCCTTTCCTCTCCTTCTTTTTCTCTTCTGCCATTCCCCTAAGAAACAGTAAATGGATGGAAAAGACTTGCAGTGGAGGTATGTGAGGAAAAGCCATAAAGGTTCCATCTGTCATCCATGAAACTAAAACTGCTCAAACAAGAAAAGACAGCCCAGCAAGGGCTTTCACTTACTGAAATTTATCTCAAATTTTCCAAACATAAGAATCTTTAAGCCACGAAGAAAGGCTTTTTTTTTTTTTTTTTTAACAGGGTCTTGCTTTTGGTAAATTTGTGTAACTGTTTTCTTTTATTCAAGTCTGCTGAAAGCTACTGAGTGAGAACTACAAATTGAGGTACATCTCTTGCTCGTTGCTTGGGTTTGACAAATAAAGCAATCATCAAAATCATGGAGTGTGCACTGTTTTTAAAAGCCCTATTTGCTTGACATAATATAGCAGCTGGATGGCTAGGCAAATAAATGGCATTACTTAACATAATCACTTAATGTTGTGCAACGAAATTCAGGTCTCATTGCTTTATTGCTTTCAAAGAGTTTAATGACAATGAAGTTGATTGTTAGTGTGAAGATATAAATTGTTCAGTAGTTAGAGTTGTTAATGGCAGCAAAGGAACACAAAAGAGGAAAAACAGGCTTTAGTAGCACAAATTCATTGCTAATTGCCTGTGCATTCATTATAGGCTGACCAGGGCTAATTATCTAATTAAACTAAAGCTCTGCTGCCTTAAAGAAATTTCTACGCACTGTGATGTTGGTTGTCAATTCCTCAGCATGTCCTGTTGAAATGTGTAGTTAACTCAAGTCATGTTTTGCTTTTCCCACTAGCAATACACGGCAGTCTTATTGCATGATAATTTGTGCTTAGAATGAAAAAAAAATTTTTTTCCTTAAAAAACACATTGTGGAAACTAAAAATAATGACAAACATTTTAAACAAGAGCTCCTGCTCATTTTACTCAATGATCTATATTCAGGAAAAGTCAATATAATCTACTTTAGAAAGGGAAAACACAGACATAAAAACAAGTCAAGTATCATTATATACATGCTACTGAGTGTTCTCTTCATGTTAAAAATACATTTAAAAGTGTCTTTTGTGATATCTGTGCAGATCATGGTATGAAATTAATCATTACAATCTTCAAAATTCATAGGTTTTTTTTTTTTAATGCTGGAAGGAAAGTGGTAAATCATCTAAACCAAATTCTTCAGTTTATAAATAAAGGAACTGAAGTTCCAAGAAGTGAAATGACTTGCCCCAAGTCACACAGCTGGTTGCTAGAACCAGGAGGAGAACTGGTGTCCTCGCAGTCCATTATTCTTTCCATGATAAGTCCTGCTGTTCCACTTTCAAATCGTACTGTTATTTCTCACACTTTCTTAAAATGCCAGAACAGAGCATCTATGTTATGTGGACAAGGTTATTTTTGTTTGTTTTTCCAAAAGAAGGCTTTGATTAGCAGCATTTCATCTCTCCAAGAAAACACATGTAATACTGCCCCTATTTATTTATTTCAAGTCAGTCAAATGCCCAGGAGTGTAATTTAAGGTGAATACTCAAGGGAGAAGCTTAAAAAAACAAACAAACAAACAAAAACAACAAAGTATCACTTGCCTTCTCCAACTAAAGAGAAAAAGATGATAAACTTACAGTGGATTTTATTAATCAGAGTGCTCAAACAATTTAATTGCATCCTGCTATTTTGTTCCTAAGGAATTTGATTCCAAACCAATGATCCATGACCATAAAGCAATATTTATTGGGTTGGTGCAAATATAATTATGGTTTAATGGCAAAAACCACAATAACTTTTGCACCCACCTAATACTAAGCATCCTGTGGGAAAAGCGTCTTCCAAGAAAGTACAATTTCATTCTAAAGAGTTTCCTCACCTTCATTTCCCTTAATCCTAGTATACAGCATCTCTTCCCCTGCAAGGACATAGAACTCTGGAACCCTATCCTGCCCCTTTCCCAGTCATTTTTCAGGCAGGCACCAGCAATGAACACACAGTTCTTTGCTGGCAAGTTAAGGAAGACAATTTTCCCTTTCACTGCCTCTTGAAGCTGAACATCAACTGTTTCACCACTTGTGATTCAAATCCATTAATTAAAATAAATATAAAGTAAAACTCTCTCAGCCAGGAGGAAGAGGACAGATGGGGAAGCGGAGGAGGTAGAGATAGCTGATGTCTTCTCAGAGGAAAAAAAAAGGAAAAGAAAAACAAGAAGCATGAAATGGGGCGGGGTGGGGGGAGTTAATTAAGAGAGGTAAAGTGTGTTTGAATTTAATTTACAGTTCACAACAATTTTAAGTCTCATAATAGTTGTATTGCTTAAATGAGAAGAGGAAAACCTCTCTAATACCAAATTGGTGGAGGGAGTGTTATAATCTTAAATCACCTCCAAAAATCATAATACGTGATCTCTGGCAGTTCTTCAGCCTGAGCTATAGCAAAATCGTCTCTTCATTAATAACTTGTGAAAGCCACACCTTCCCCCACCTCAACTATGCTCTGCATTCTACCAGTTTTTAATTCTTTTTTCCCTTGCCTCTCATTGCCTGAAATAAGGCATTGGCAAGTAAGAGGAAAAAAAGAATAAATTTAAGTCCTTCTCTATCCCAACCCAATATGCACCAGTCTATAGAATTACGATTAGAAAATTGTGTCTATGGCATGTATCACACAACACAACCTCTGCAATTTATTAGTGCAATGTGTGCACCTAAAGTCTCACCCAAACATGAAAAAGCCCTGAACTTAGCATATTTAGCTAAACAGCCCGTACTCCAAAGTGATATGATTTCAGACAACCACACAAATTTGAACTAGAGTAGGCAGAGTTACTTTATAAGATCTTAATGGAGATAGACACAGCTAAGAGGATTATAGTGTAATAATTTTAGGTAAATGAAAGAAAATACATATGTTTGGTTTTGTCTGAATCAGTCTTGTGATTGTCTCTGTCCTCCACATTGAGCTAATGAGATGCCAGAAGGAATCTTACAGATAGATCATCTCTCACAGAAACTGGGATCCAGCGAGGGTGGACTTGCTCGGTAACACACAGCTAGTCAGTGGCAAAGCCATGACACCAGCTCCTCTGACTTTGAAATTTTTATTTTTTTCTTACAACATGACATTCATTCATAATAAGGAATGAGAAATATACACTCATGTTTTTTAAAAACTGAAAGGAAAGCCACAATATGAATCCAAAATACTTCAAATATAATTATGAATTAGTCTGAAAATGGGGACATTTTAATCTATTTATTTACCATGTTCTATACTAATATAAAAGGCAGATATCGGAATAAGGTGGAAATGACTACTCGGGAAAAAATAAACCTTAGTTCCCACTTTAAAAACAAAAACAAAACAAAACTGCAGACTAGGAAGTCTGAGCATGTGAGAATACCATTATAATCTTTTGTACTCTTTCCACTGGATCTCAGTGTGACCAAAAGAAATGGGCAAATGAATTCTGAAGAAGATTTGAGTAAAAGCCAGAAGGTAATGTATCTTGTGAATTAAAGAAAATCAGTCCTCATAGAGTCAAGAGGTAGGGGAAGAAGAACGAAAGGCAAAAGCACAAGCCTAGTTCCCAAAGAATGAAGAGATCATAGAAATGAACAGGTGGAGTTAAATCCATATAGGCTGGGGGCTCTTCCAGCTCTCCTTGTTTCCTGGTTAATTAAGCAACTGTAAAGGAGGAGAAAAAAAAATCTCAGCTTTACTCATGGTTCTGTGTGCTTCCCTCATTCCTAAATTTAATAGATGTGGGTAGGAGGTGGGATTTAAGCTGTATCAGTCTTACCTATCACCACAAAGCTGTCAACCTGTGAAAGAAAAAACATGGAGAAAATACACTTTGAAATAGATTGCTGAAGCAATAGCTCATCAGCAAGCCCTGTCAGCTGTACCTTCAAACAGATTCTTATCCTTACACTAGTTCTCTTGTCTTTCTTCTGGATTACTGCCCCTCATTCAGGTTTCCCTGCTGTTACACTCGCCCCACCACCAACCTCTTAAAAATGTAAAACAGATCAAATCACTCCTCTGCCCAAAGCTCTCCAAAGACTTCTCACTGCATTTAGAATAAAATCCAACTCCCTACCACAGCCTACAACTCCCTATTACCCCCTCCCACAGCCTATAAGGCCTACATAACACAATCCCTACTGGCCTCTGCACCTGCATCTCCCTCCAGGAACCTGGAAGCTCACTACGCAGTCTTAACCCCGCAGGTCTTCATCTTCTCTCCTAATTATACCAAGTTCCTTTCTACGTGGTCAAAGTTGTGATAGTCAATACCCTGTTAATAATCTTAAGGATGTTTCCTGGTCTTGGAATGCTCTGACCCCAGATTTTTCCATGGCTAACTCCTTAACATTCAAAAATAGCTTAAATGTTAACATCTGGTCGCTCCTGATAACCCAATTTAAAGTAACATACCACACACAAATAAATATCACACCAGTCTATGACTGTGTTTTACTGTCTTCCTAAGTTATCTCTGTCTGAAAAGTATGTTGCTCATTTACTCGCGCTGTATAACGCTTCCATCCTCTCAAACATACACATTTACTCGCAGGTAAACTCCTTGGGAATTTGGACTTTGTCTTCCTTTGTTCCTTGCTGAATCCCCAAAGCCTAGAACAATGCCTGGTACTCAGTGGATACTGACTGTTTATCAAACGATTGATTTTGTCTATCCTAAACTTTCCCTAAACCTTGTCTCTGCCATGCATTTTCCTAGTATTTGTTCACTATCACTTCTCTTCCTGTCTGTTCCCTTTCAGAATTTCTTTTGGTCTCCATTTTGCTTATAACAACACTGAAGAATTACAGAATCAACAAGGATAAAAAAGAAGGATGTTAATGCTAATAGAAACCCACTCAGCCTATGCTACTGGCAGTGGGGCAGAAGGGCAAGTAAACTGCTTCTTAAGGGCAAAAGCCCATAGAGTCAATATCACCCATTAGTGCAGCTCTGAATGAAGGGCAACATCAAAAGGAATTATGGAGGTAGACTCTTTGTGACCTAAAAAAGTACCACATGCCCTGTAGACACTCAGCAGTTCTTACAAACTTTTTTTTGAGAGACAGTCTCACTCTGTTGCCTAGGCCTGGGTGAAGGGGTGCAATCATAGCTAACTGCAGCCTTGAACTCATCAGCTCAATCAATCCTCCTGCCTCAGCCTCCAGAATACACTACAGGCGTGTATCACCATGCTCAACTAATTTTTTAATTTTTTTTTTTGTAAAGATGGGGGTCTTGCTATGTTGCCTAGGCTGGCCTTGAACACCTGTCCTCAAGCGATCTTCCTGTCTTGGCCTCCCAAAGTGTTGGGATTACAGGCATGAGCCACCATACCATGCCTGCCTGGTTCTTAAAATTTTTAATGTGCAAAAGATTCAGATGCAGTAGGTTTTGACGTGATCTGGGAATCTGCACTTTTGACAGACACTCCCAAGTGATTCTGATACAGGCAGTCTTCGGAAACTTTGAACTCAGGCCAAAGGATGACTAGCAAATTACCAGGTAAATGGTTTAAGCAATAATCTTTTTTATCTCTACCCTGAAGCTGATTCTCAAAACAAGTCAAATTCCATTTCAATACTTGCTTAGTATTATTTAAATTCATTGGTCTTTAAGTACAACTTATAGCCATTTTAAACCTATAATAGCTACTGTCATGGGGCAGCTACTATGTTCTACATAGTGTCATCAGTGATTTACACAGGTATATTATCCCATTTTATAGATGAAAATTTTGAGCTTCAGTTAAGTAAGTGTGGACAACCATTAAGTGCAAGAGATCTGCATGTTAATATAGTCTGTGTTCCATGGAGTCTATACTTACCACTAATTATACCCTAATAGAAGTAAAACCAATAAATAAAAGTCCATATTTGTAAATAAAGGAAGGGGAAGAATTTTACTCTCAAATACTTCTCACTTTAGAAAAAAGACTGTATGAAATTTATTTATCAGCTTTGAAAGTACATTTAAATAACGTAACAATGGCATGGCAACCTCTAAAAATGAATCAGTCTTAACAATCCTTTCCTAAAGCAAATAACCACCCTCTTAACTAATGAAAGCTGGTTCACTATTTACAGCTCTACCAGTGGTTCTCAAACTGAGCTAATGATCAAGAATCGCTTGGACGAGCGCCGTGGCTCACGCCTGTAATCCCAGCACTTTGGGAGGCCGAGGGGGGCGGATCACGAGCTCAGGAGATCGAGACCATTCTGGCTAACATGGTGAAACCCCGTCTCTACTAAATATACAGAAAAAAAAATTAGGCGGGTGTGATGGCGGGCATCTGTAGTCCCAGCTACTCCGGAGGCTGAGGCAGGAGAATGGCGTGAACCCGGGAGGCGGAGCTTGCAGTGAGCCGAGATCGCACCAGTGCACTCCCGCCTGGGCAACAGACCCAGACTCCGTCTCAAAAAAAAAAATAATAATAATAATTGCTTGAGGAAGCATCTTAAATATAAATCATAGGGGCAACCCGCTGTGGTCCCCTTCCAAGCTGTGGAAGCTTTGTTATTTCGCTCTTCACGATAAACCTTGTTACCCCTCAAAACAAACAAACAAACAAACAAAAAAAAACCACACACAAAAAAATAGGCTTCACTCCAGTTCTTCTGAATCAAAATCTCTGAGGTGTGACCCCAAGATCTTTATTTTTTAAGCTCTCCAGGGGGTTCTGATGAGTAGGGTTCAGAACTTTTGTTCCCTTAACACCGGCATTCTACAAATGAATAAATTGAGGCCCTAAAAGGGTAGGATTTGCCTAACGACACACAGCTTGTAAGTACACACAGTAGGCTGGAACAACAATATCCTGACTCTCGTTTGGTGCTTTTACACCAATTCAAGCTGCTGTTTTTGGTAAGACTGTACTTATTTCTGCTCTGCTGCTCATGCTTTGCTGGGTACTTAGTATTCACTATCCTACAACTTATTCCCTCATCTGCAATCTGGGAATAATAATAGTGCCTGCCTCTTAAGAGTTGCTGCAAGGATTAAATAGTATAACATTCATTATATAATGCACTTAACACAGTGCCTGGCATATTGTGAGTACTCATTAGCCAGGTTATGTAATCCACTTTAAAAAGTATGCCTATTTTAACTGGAGAGGATTCACTGAACCACTCCAATTACAAAATGTACAAGAAACCCATGTTCAGCTTTGGAATCCAAAAAGACTTTAAACTCAGGGTTAAGTTTAAAGTCATAGTATCTAATGTCTTGCTTTTCTAGTCATTTACTTATGCCAAAAGTTAGTTCACGCCAAGGAGAAGGATGCCTCTGTGTAGTGAAACAATTTCACAATTACTGACTGAACTGACTGTTGCACACCACTATTTCTCCTAGGATGCCTCAGAACCATCTAGTAACTCCATCTCTGGGTGACGACAGGGAATCTGCATTTATAAAAGCCCGCTCCCCCTTCTCAGGCAAACCAAGATTTGATAACCACTAGTATGTTCAGAATCCACGACCACTGTAAATGGCCTCTCAAGTCTCTCCAGCAAAAAGCTATACTGCTCTGTAACCAGAAGAGCAGCGTCATCAGGTCCTGATGCAAACAACAGCTGGGCCCAGCTGGGCCCAGCTGGGCCGAGTAACCTTGATGATCACAGAGGACGGCCTGGACCCCCTCCCCTCCTAGGAAACACAAAATTATAAAAGCGCCCTCCTGCAATTCCCGTGGGAGACAGTGCTGCCTAGGCCGCTACGAGGAGCTAAGGCTGACTCAACAGCCTCCTTCCCAGGGGCAAGGCCAAAGGAAGGCGACCCTGCATGGCTAACCAGGCCCCAGCGCGGCGCCAGAAGGTTAACGACCCTCCCTGCCCCTTTCCTTATGAAGGCCAAGAGCCTCCACTACTCCGGGGGCCAGCTGACGGAAGTGCGTCACTCCACCCTGCGGGGAGTGCCGGGAGTTGTAGTCAAGTGGCTACTAATCTTCCACCCCGATTCATCTTTTCTAAAACAAGAAAAACACCTCTGCATCCTGAAAAAGATCGCTTTATGCCCAACATGTGTAATAGTTCCTCTATTTTCCAATCAACAAACTGAACTATCTCAGAGCTCAAGCGGAAGGCCGGACTACAAGTCCCGGCATGCTCCGCAGGGTCCCCGGGCGCCCGGCCACCGTCGTAGGTGCGGGCCGCATGAATGGAGCGCCGGGCGTAAGGCAAAGCCTGGCACCGTCTGCGCGGCCGCTATCTGCTCCCGGAGCGTGAGTGCGGGGTGTGGGGCGTGCGCGTGCGCGCTCAGAGGGGGCTCAAGGCGAGCGCGCCGGGCAGTTGCGGGCGCGTGGCTGCTGAGGTTGGCGGCGGTGCCGCGCGCCCGACGGGCCGGTGGTTGCGGGGCCTCCCGCCTCGACCCGGGCTGGGGGCAGCCGTGGCGGCCGCCGGGGACCGCAAGGGGCGGAGGAAAGGAGGGGGCCGGTCCCGGCACGCAGAGGAGCAGCCGACCATGCCCCGAGACAACATGGCCTCCTTGATCCAACGGATCGCCCGCCAGGCTTGCCTCACCTTCCGGGGCAGCGGGGGCGGCCGCGGCGCTTCCGATCGCGACGCGGCTTCTGGCCCGGAGGCGCCGATGCAGCCGGGCTTCCCCGAGAACCTGAGCAAGCTGAAGAGCCTCCTGACCCAGCTCCGCGCCGAGGACTTGAACATCGCCCCGCGCAAGGCCACACTGCAGCCGCTGCCGCCCAACCTGCCGCCAGTCACCTACATGCACATCTACGAGACGGACGGCTTCAGCCTGGGCGTGTTCCTGCTCAAGAGCGGCACGTCCATCCCGCTGCACGACCACCCGGGCATGCACGGCATGCTCAAGGTGCTGTACGGCACCGTGCGCATCAGCTGCATGGACAAGCTAGACGCGGGCGGCGGGCAACGGCCGCGGGCCTTGCCGCCCGAGCAGCAGTTCGAGCCGCCGCTGCAGCCCCGGGAGCGAGAAGCCGTGCGGCCGGGCGTGCTGCGTTCGCGGGCCGAGTACACCGAGGCCAGCGGCCCCTGCATCCTCACACCGCACCGGGACAACCTGCACCAGATCGACGCCGTGGAAGGGCCTGCCGCCTTCCTGGACATCCTGGCCCCGCCCTACGACCCGGACGATGGCCGGGACTGCCACTATTACCGGGTGCTGGAGCCGGTCAGGCCCAAGGAGGCCTCCAGCTCGGCCTGTGACCTGCCTCGAGAGGTGTGGCTCCTGGAGACCCCACAGGCCGATGACTTCTGGTGCGAGGGAGAACCCTATCCAGGTCCCAAGGTCTTCCCTTGAAGCCACTGGCGCCCAGGAGCGGTGGGCCGAAGACGTGCCCTACCCTACCACAAGGGCTGTGTCTCTACCCCCTAGCCTGGGCGTTGGATCTACTGGAATGAGCAGCAGCCGCTTCCTCGGCAGCCTTGGGAAGCACGGGCGACTGGACAGCAGCCGCCGGGCACGGTTATGGGGGCGGGGTGGGCGGGGAGGCTAGATTGTTTCCTGGTACTGTCACTGCCACTGGGGCTTTGATTTGGAGGAATGGGGCAGGGGACTATCTGAAGCGCTTCCATCCTAAAGCCATAATGAAAATATCTTCCTCTCTTCCCCATTCTATACAAAATACTAAGTGGTTTTCTTGCTCCCACTCCCTACCCCTTAGTTAAATAGGGTTTATTTTCCACTCATGCCCTTATGCCTTTTTTTCTTATAGTTTTTTAACTTATTGACTGTGCATGACCCAGTGGTTTGAATTGTTTTTAGTTCAAGTCATTGGTAAAAACTAGGTTTAAGGAGATGAGCTACTGTTTAAAGTGAGCTGGCCTGCCTAATTAATTCCTTGTGAAAACTAAATGATTTTTTCAGTTTGGGGATCATTCTCACAACATAACTATGCATGTAGAGGACAAGATTTATTTTCTTTCCTCCCTTTGCCCAGTAGCCACATCTGGTTTACTCAGGCAGCATCTACTAAGAAATTCAGCACCTGCATATCTCTGTGACATGGTCACTTAGAGCTTATCTTCCCTATGAATCTCCAGATCTGTGAGTCGAGCAGATTTCATGTTGCAGATTCACCTTTAATGCAAAGACTGTATTATCCTCACATGACTTTTTTTCTTGTCTTACTGTACCTTAAAAGGTGATAGAGTAATTCTGTATTTTCTAACGGGAAGATTCAAAGGAGCTGAATGTGTTATGCTTCCAAACAACTGAATGTAAAACACTCCTAGCCAGTTGTTGCATTCCCTATATTTATTTACTTCCAATATTTTACTGTAAAAGTAGGGAGAAATATTATGTTGATAGTTGTTTCATATTCTCTCAGGAACTTTAATGTTCCCGACTCGGGTGATTCCAGCTGTGTTGCTGGCAGTGTTGTCTCAACCCTCTCCCTAAAATGACTGAGCCCTGGGTTCATCTAATGTGGTTTTCCTTAGGAAGAGATAGAAGGCACAGAAGATCACAGCTAGAGAATTGAGAATTAACTATACTACTAGCCATTTTAGGGCACCAAAACTTGGGATTAAACACTTCCTACTTCCCACTCCCAACTCCTGAAATGAAGTCTTGCTATCTGTGACTAGTTTTATTTTTGTGCTTTTAATAGTCCGAGCAGTCTTACCTTGTTTACACATGTATTGACACCATTTGCTTCAGGCCATGGAGCACTGTTTCTCCCTTTTTACTATTTATAGGATTCCGTTTTTTCACAAGACTTTTAATAAAAAGAAATTGTAGAAATAAACACATTAAAATTTGCCCAGCTGTCGTCTAAGCCCTCTTGATTGACTTGCCCAAGTGGCAATAGAGTTCTAATATCTATAATAAAGGGAGATTTGCTATTATTAGTGGAATGTTGACCCCGTATGTAGAGAAACAGTACGTGCCTTTGCCTCTTTATGCACACAGAGACCCAGGGTGAGGGAGTATTTGTTCCCAGTTTTTAAGATAGTATAAAAAAGCAAATACTTGGTGAGTGATTTAAAAATAAAACCAAAACAAAACACAAAAAGATATTCCACAGGACATGCCACTTTATTATAAAACCTGACACAGGCATAGTACCAAGTATTTCCTGCATTGTTGCTAAAATTGTTTTATTGTAGCTCCACATTCTGGTGTAGTTTAAAATGCCTTTGGGGGCAGTTTGAAGCAGTTCTTCATGCCACTTAGTTTGAAAATAAAATTCTAGATATGCAAATGATTTTCTTAGAAAACTTCACAAAATAAAAGATCTTGTTTTTTTTTCCATAGCACAGTAATGAATGTGGTTATCAATCACATACTTTTTTGGATTATATTGTAGCAAAAAGTTGATTAGCTTACCAAGATTATTAATAGCAATGTATGTGTTATAATACAACTTAGTACATTAAAGCTACGAAAACTCATCCTGGCTGTAGGATAGTAATAAAGGAAGAATTATGACTTCATTATGAAAAAAAGAAGTTTTAAAGTTTTCAATTACGAGCAATTTGGAAGAAAAAACCTAAGGTGCTTTTCAAAAGAGTAACTGAAATTGTTGCAGGCCAAAACAGCAATATGATATCTCAGATTTAGTTCAATAAGAACAGTGAAACTTTTGGTTCACTAATAAATTCTGAGTAAATTAGTGGTGAAGACAAAATATAACTTGTTTTAGTGAGCCACTGAGGAAAGAATATGCTTATTACAAAGACAAAATGTGGTGCAGAAACTATCTTGCACCTGTGTGCATAAACTGTTAGTCGTGACTGACTTGGTGTGTTGCTATTGTGTTTCTATATACTCCGTCCAATATAGATAATGTTTTAATAACAACTGTGGGATAAAAGTTATCTTCCCCTTGGAAAGACTAATGAGCACAATGATATTAATCACTTTTATGGTGAATAATAAATGCAATAATTGCCTCATGGGTGAGAAATTGTCTGTCTAAATGCTTCTGAAGCTTTTAAAGTATCTGGTTCTGTCACTGGCCAGTTATATCAATGCAGAGTATTGTGTACCTACTTACTATTTTATGAGAATTGATTTTTACTAAGCCTGATTTGAATGGGTTGCATTTACACCAACTGCTATTTATTAATGAAAGTGGTAGCCTGCTTTTTAAGTAATATGTGTTTTGGCAACAGGAGAGGGTTTTCTGAGCTTTTAACACCAGTAACCCTGAACTTCTTCCAAAATCCACACCTTTTATTCCCCCTTTTCCTTGTCTCCTTCTAGGTGCCTCAGTCCTGGCATCTCGGGAGGACTCTGCCATTACTCATCTGTTACTGATTCTGAATCTTGTGCTCTAGCTCTACAGCCCAGTGAAGAAGCAATATATCTTTAATTCAGGGCTTGCCTCTTGCTTTCCAACTCTAACCTGAGAGCAGTGCTACTTTTGTAATTGCAGGTCTAAATAACTTAAGCGTATATACAGAAGCCAATCACTGATCACTTCCATTGCAATGAGGCATCTGTTGTCAAAGAAGGAAACCATTTGTCAAGTCCCTTATAGATATTGAATCTTCAAACCCAAATCTGGGGATGTTTACATTTCTGGATTAAAATCAGTGTACCTGTAATCCCAGCACTTTGGGAGGCTGAGGCAGGCAGATCACCTGAGGTCAGGAGTTCGAGACCGGCCTGGCCAACATGGCGAAACCCCATCTCTACTAAAAGTACAAAAATTAGTCGGGCATGGTAGTGGGCGCCTGTAATCCCAGCTACCTAGAAGGCTGAGGCAGGAGAATCGCTTGAATCCGGGAGGTGGAGGTTGCAGTTAGCCAAGATCATGCCACTGCACTCCAGCCTGGGTGACAAGAGCAAGACTGCATCTCAAAAAAGAAAGGAAAAAAAAATCAGTGTACTTATGGAAAATGAAGACATGTTTCAAATTGTTTAGAGATAATTCTTACTTGATTATTGCAAGACAGATAGGGAAAACCTTACCTGCTCTGATGTCTACAGTTTGATTACCATGAAAGGTTCACAGTATATACTGTAAGATTATGTTGTACTAAAATCTAGTGGCCTTCTGCAGATTTCTAAAGCCCAAGTAATATACACTTAAAAATAGTTTATTTCCTTGAGAGTGAGCTTTGAAACAGCCTGAAGGAAAACACATCTGAAGCTAATGTCTAATTGGACTATTTTGCTGTAACAGAAAAAAGCTTACTTTGTATTTAACCTAAGGAAAATAAGATAGTACTATACAAGAAAACAAAAATACTTTCATTCTGGAAGGAAAGAGTTTTAGGACTTATTTTCTTTCCTTATTTTTTGTTTTGTTTTCCTGTAGTATTTGTTTAGTTTTAGCTTCTGCTGGCAGCATTTTTGGGACTTGTGTTAATGCTGACCGCTCTTCCCCCTGCCCCCCCCCCACCGACACACACACACAAAAGTGGTTATTAAGTGGTTAAAATGTCACTGCAGCCATTTTTAATATATATGAAACAATTTGCCTTAATCTTATTAGCAGCTGGGATAATGAAATTAAATAGCCAGGTTTATGAAAACTTGTAAGCCTTGTGTAGGTATTATCAACCCATTTTTAATATGAATTGAAATATCTCAAAAGCACTACGAATCTTTAAGGAATTCTTCTCCAAAAGTGTATGTACAAGATTAGAAGAAGACATTTTTCTATGCTTTATTTCTTGAGCAATGTAAAAAATGAGACGTGCAAGAAGCACCCTGAACATTTTAAGCAGAGAGCAAAATCGGATTAAAGATACTGACCTCACATGTTGAAATCTACTAGTAAAAGCCACAAAGTTGGCTCTGAGAAAATGCTGAGATGTGGTGTTCCTTATGGTATGTGTGTTAATGCTACCTCACCAAGCCCACGTCAGGGTGAAAGTGATTATGTAACCAATTTTGCTGTCATCAAAATATCTTCTATTTTATTTTTGAGATGACTTTTAGTCTACTGCTTCGTAAGTAATTGTTAAGATTATCTTGATTGAAAATCCTCTAAAATTAGAATTTGGCAAGACAAATATATCTTACAAAATTTGGGTATATTTTAATATAATGAAATCTTGGTAGGAGGGAAGTATTCTTTAAAATCACGTAATTATCAAAATGTGGCATTGTCTTATACTTACCAAAGTTGGACAAGCAAGGATGATATTACGCCAACAAGCTGGGAAATAGGAACTAATGGGAAAACACCAGTCACTAAAAAAATATGAAACAAGTTCTGAAAACTCTTGTTTCGTAGTAATAGAATAGAGAGATTCGACATCCTTGAAATAGGGATGGAGAAGAGATACAGAAGAAAGGCATTCATTCCCTCCACAAATTGGATCTCAAATTCTAGTGCTGGTAAGGGCAAAAGGTGGTTTCCAGAGTAGCTGTAATCATCTGTTATTCTGAAATACAGGTTGAGTCTGAGGGAGTCTTAACAGTGCTGAAGGGCAAATAGTCAAAGGGATTTTCAGATGTCAGCTAAACAGTGGACGCTGCAGCAACATGTTACATTTGTGTAAGGATCCAGAAGTGGGTGAACTTAAATGATTTTTAGGCCCAGATTTTACAGTAAAGATGATAACTTCACAAAGGCATCGTCTGTTTACTTTGTGGCTAAATTAACTAATTTTTGGTGAATTTATATTTTAAAACCACTACAAAAGACTTGCAGTGAAATGAACCCTACAGTATATTCTTTGCAAACCTTTATCCAGTACCATGGAGGACTATATTGGCCTATTTAGTTTAGGTTATCTTTGAGATTTTCTTGAGGCACCTATCTTATCTAATGAGCTGAGTACTTTGATCGTCACTTCTAGACCCACCAAACCTTTGGCAGATCAATGATTCTATCAAATAGGGGTAATCAATTGGGAAGTGAAGGTTGGAGAGAAATGAGTCCTGGGGTAATTCCTTTGACAACCCATTCATGCTGTCATCAGCAGCGTCTGGGGGCATTTTCGATCTGAAGAGATGATAGTGCTTTTCAAAAAGTTTTCTGTGGTCATGAGACTAATCCTGGAAGCTGAAAGTCATTTCCAGCTTGACCACGCCACCACACTTTCCACAAAGCCACATCTCGTCTGAGTTCTAGACCCTGGTCAGGGTTCTGAAAGCGACTGTAAATGTGTTGTCTCCGAGTGGGCACTTGTTTGTAAGTATTTATTTTCCGGAGCCCACTCAGGAGCAGAGAGAAGCTATAGGCTGTTAGAGACAACGGAACAATGAGTCAAAACAACGCCTCCCCACTTTTACACTAATGCATGGGGGAAATCCCCAGAACACTAGTGTTTGATTATGAATGGAGCCTGCTTTGGGGTTGGTGTCCACAGGCTAGCAAAGAAGATCTGGAGACCATGGTTTGGTCAAAGCATTTTCACTGGTGCTTAGTGCTGTTTTTAAAAAATATTCCCACAGAGACTGAATGACTGTTTAATTCCCACCCAGTAAGTATTTCAGAAATGATTTCTGCAACAAAAATATTGTTGAAAAGTATTTATTTACACTATAGTCACAAACCATCCATTATCTGAACTTCAGTTAGTGGTTTTGCGTTAGAATAGATTTATTTTTTCACAACTATTAAGAGCTAATGACCAAACAAATCAGCTCCGGTAACATTATGTACATTCTTATCTGAAATTTGACTACAAAGGTAACACTTTTAAGTCACAAAACAAAGCATACAAAAATATACTTTCTAAAAAAAATTCCAAATATTAATAGGCAGAAATATACAGCCATACTAAACTCAGGGAGTGATTTTTTTTCTCCATAATAAGGCAACCCATTTACATGCAGACCTTGTAACATTGTCTACATCACACAAGGCACCAAGGACACTTCCAACACAATTGCATGCATCCTAGTTTCAGAGAATATATGTACATCCCCCTTAAATAAGTTAACCTCTGAGATCATAAATGCTTTACATTTTTTCCCAAAGATTCAGAATTTAGAGAACAGTGTACATCAAAAATACACAAAATCTGAGTGGATATACACTGAAAAAATAGCCTACATTTCTCAAACAACTCGAAAAGGAGCAGATATTGCTATGTTCCTCCCATCACATTGCACTTCTGTTCTCTGAGTTTATAATACATATTGCTTCAAGGGTTGAGACAACTAGATATGCTCTGATTCACCATTTTAGGGCCACAGAGTGTGGCATAAAGGCTATACTTCACTCACTGTACAATGTCCCCCAAATCAGTCCCAAGCCATAAAGTGCACATCAGTTTTGCTTGTCTTTTTGCTGTCCCCACTTGAAGGGATCAGCATCTCCCAACCTATTGTAGAAAACGTCTTAGATCAACTCTGACATCCAGGGTCAAAAACCTGTGATGGGTCAAAATAAGGGGAAGTGGGGTAGCAAAACCTAGTCAAACAACCCTTTAAAGCAGGGTCAGACCTCAGCCCTCTTGGCCAGGGGTCCCCACACCACCTCCTTCTGAGCCTCCCCTTTGCCTTGGGTTGATAGTCAACTCACCTAAGAGAGACTAGAATGGGCTAAGTTTTAGGAAGAACCTGCTTCTAGGTGGAAAGGGGGCAGTGCTAGCTCCACCAAAGCCCTTTGCCCAACAAAGGGAGAGAGGGACAGGAAAGGGTGGTAGTGTTTGTTGTGCAGCTCCAGTGGACAAAGGGCCTCCGGGACCTTTGGGAGCTGGTGTATCAGCCTGAGTCTCATCTCAAGGTGTCCGGGTCCGAGAGGAGCAAGGGGCGAGCGGCCCTCCGCCAAGACTGCTGCTGTTACTGCTGCACAGGGTACCCCCAGGCTGCACGCCCCCAGAGCAGGAGGCTGTAGAGGGGGCTGGCACCGATGCAGAGGGGGCACTGCTTTTCCGCTCTTTCTGTCTCAGGTGGATCTTGGTGTGGCGCTTCCTCTCATCACTCCGGGCAAACTTTCGGCCACAGTAGTCACAGGCGAAGGGCTTCTCACCGGTGTGGGTGCGGATATGGGTGGTGAGGTGGTCACTGCGGCTGAAGTTGCGCATGCAGATCCGACACTGGAAGGGCTTATGCCCAGTGTGGATTCGGATGTGCCGTGTCAGCTCGTCAGAGCGGGAGAACCGCCGGTCGCAGCCTTCTGCTGGGCACGGGTAGGGCCTCTCGTGCACCGGCGTCTTGCTGGGTCTGTTGGGGTACTTGCGAGGCCTCAGAATGGGCCGCAGTGGCAGGTGGTGTGGGTTATAGGCGGCGGCGGCGGCGGCTGCTGCTGCTGCTGAGCTGCTACCAGGCAGCCGGGGTCCCTCGCTGCCTCCACTGGCCCCTGGTCCGGTCACCCCAGCACTGGGGCCCCCCAGGGTAAAGTTACGGATTGTAGAGAGTGGAGTGAGTGGAGGGGGCACCCGCAGGGTGTCCAGTGGGCAGGGAAAGGGCTTACGGTCTGGGCCAGCTGTACCATGTAGGTCTCTCTGGCACTGAGATGGAAAGAATCCAGGATAGTCTGGGATCATTGGGAAGAGACCTGGGTCCGTGGCTGGCTTGGGGGATGGATAGGAAGGAGGTGGTGGGTAGGCCAGAGAGGAAGAGGTGGAGGTGGTGGCTGCTGACAGGAACGCAGAAGGGTCCTGGTAGAGGTCTCCTGCACAGCCAGAATAAGGAGGAGGAGGCGGTGGCGGAGAGTACAGGTGGTCCAGGTCAGGCTGGGTCTGGGACATGGTGCACACACCCAGGGGTCCTGTGGCCAGTGGGTTGGGGGAGGCAGAGGTGACGCTGGATGAGGCTGTGGTTGAAGCTGGGGAAGTGACCCCTTGCAAGATGCCTGCACTCACAATATTGATTATGCCTTCTGGGTAGCAGCTGGCACCAGGGTACTGAGGGTCAATGGAGAACTTGCCCATGTAAGTGAAGGTCTGGTTTCTAGGTGCAGAGACGGGAGCAAAGCTGCTGGGATATGGGAGATCCAACGACCTCTTCTCTCCAGTCATGTCAATGTTGATCATGCCATCTGGGGAGGGGAAAGGCAGAATGGAGGTGGAACAATGAAAATACAGCCAGGACTCCCTTCTCACCCCCGCTCACATAGGTCCATTTCCAAGGCCGAGAGTCTCAGCACTGTAGAGCTGTGGCAAAGTCCAAAAGGTGGGGAAATTGAGGCCCACAGACTGTAAGAAGAGGCCAGCCCAACTGTGGCAACCCATTGACAGTATGGAACTCAAGAACTACCTCCAAAAAAGCAGAATGAGCTTTTCCCAACTCCCCTCCACCCCCAGCCATCTGTGGCTCTAGTCCCCAATAAAAAACACCCAATAATAGCAACAACAATATTTTAAAAAGCCTCATCCGCCCGGAGCTTTTCTCCCTCTTTTTTGCCTGGGGGTTCCACGGCTGAGGCACCAAGACAAACACCACCCAAGAATCGACCTATCCCAGTCAGTGCCGTGATGGTGCCAAACCGAGAGGAGAGCCCGAGAAGGGGGTGGGTGATTTCCCGGCTGCTCCCCATCCCCGGCGCCTTGTGCCTTTTTCTCCCTCCCTCTCCCGCTGCGCTTCAGCCGAGGGCTGCTGGAGCGAATGGGGGATGTAGAGGAAGGAGTCCGTAGGTTTCCGTGCCCTCCCAATCTTCTCCGCCTTTCCCGACAGCCGCGCGTCCCCGCCTCAGCCCAAGGCCAGTGGCCCGGCCTCGAGGAAGGCGCGGGGGCCGCGAGAGACGACTTTCCACAGCATCGCCAAGGAAACCGGCGTCGCCGGTGCCCCCGCGGGCCTCCCTCGGCAGTCCGGGGGCTGCTTCCCGCCGTTGCGCGCCCTCCTCCACCACCCACTCGCTGCCTCCGCCGGCCGGAGCCCCCGCCTTACTAACCCCCTCAACTTCGCGGGCGGCGGGCAGGTGGGGGCGCGCCTCCAGGCCGCAAGAAGGGAGCGCTCCGAGATTTTCCCGGGGTCGGCTCTGCCCAGGAGGGAGCTACCGACGCTTTCCCCTGGCGCTTCTCCGCCGCTCGGCTCTCCAGGCGCGCAGCTCTCCCCGAGAGCCCCGAACTTTACCGTCACTTTGCCCCTGCCCCGGGAGAGGGGAGGTCGAAGTGCTGCCGGCCAGAGGGCCTACGCAAGCCTCGAAACCCGGGGGGACGCCTCTTCCACCCCCATCCCTGCGCTCGCCCGGGGCTGGGCGCGCCGGGGCGCACGCACGCCGGTTTGCTGGCGACCTGGCGCATCTGCCCGCGCGCCCTGGTCTCAGCTGTCGCAGGTTCCTCCTGCACCCACTTCCAGTCTTCAAAGCCAGTGCAGTCAGCACCGTCCACCTGGAGCCCCAATCCTCTCCTGCGATTCCCGCACACCCACTGCACCCCATCCACCACCTCCGGGCCGCGCAGGTCCGGGCCTGCGAAGACACGCGGCTTACCTCCGGCCACTCCGTTCATCTGGTCAAAGGGGCCTCCCAGTTCGGCATTGGGAAAGATGGTCACCGACGTGGCGGCGAGGTCCTCCACCGGGTAGATGTTGTCAGACAGCTGGTGCACAAAACCACTGAGAGTTACTGGGATTTTGTCTACGGCCTTGGCGGTCATCATTTGCTCCTCGCACAACCTGGAGACCCAACTCCCTCGCTACCTGGAGTGTCAGAAAAGCCGTTTTGGAGAGGGGTTGGACTGAGCCTGGGATGGTATCTCCTTTTGCCCTCCACACTTAAAAACAACCACCACACACACCAAGAAAAAAAAATCAACAGAAATAAAAGTAGCAAACAAGTTGCTGTTTTTTAAGAAATAAGAAAAATGTCTATTTGCCACTGACTCTCTCCTGTCTGTGTTCCGGCTGCTGGGAAGCCAGGAGTTGCTGGTGTAGTGTTATTATAACAGTCAGTGAGTCCCCTCGCCGAGCTATTAATCAATTGCTCCTCGCTCAGTTAGACGGAAAGTGTTGCTCTAAGTATTTATGGGCAGGTCTTCAATACCCGTGACGTCGCTGCCCATATATGGACTGAGGAACAGGGCTGGGCCAGGCGGCTTTTGCCGTCACATGGCTGATTTGCATACACGGGCTCGGCCGCGCGGACTCCGCCGGGCTCGCGACTTCCAGCTCGCAGGCGGCGGGGATCGCTGGGGTCCCGGGCGCGCGGCCCTAGCTGCAGCCTGGGTCCGGGGCGCAGGGATCGCGGGGGAGAGGGCGCGCCATGGACCCAGTCACAGCCACAGCAGGAGAGCGAGCTGCTCCAGGCTGCGGCTCAGCCTCCCGGGGCGGGGAGGAATTCCGGTTCTCTGGGACTTTCCAAAAAAGGCGAAGATCCGGTGCCGGCGGCTCCGCCTCCCTAGCCCTTGTTTGGGAGCCATTCCGGAAAATTAAACTTCGGAAAGAAACCGAGCGGAGCCGAGACACTACAGTCAAACCCCTACTCACTTTCTTGGCAGCTCAAAACCGCAAGCAAAAGGAGGCAGCGAAGAAAAAAAAAGCTACATGCATTCACGGAAGCTGACTGCTTTTTTCTGAATTACTTGGTGGAAAGAAGTGGCTGGTGATAAGAGTGAATGCGTATTGCTTTTTTGGAAAGTCTGTTCTATTTATACAGGAGCGAAAACGGAACAGGTTTGGGTTGTTTGTTTGTTTAAGTATTTTGGGCACCTTGGGACTGGGAGGGTAAACCCTAGGAGGAGCAGAATTACTGTGGGGAGCTTCGAGAGAAATCCTCAGCCGGAGACACCCTCCTTCCTCTGCCCGCGCGCTCCCCGCCCCCCTTCAGCTGCTGCGCGGAGCGGGCGCCCTTCCCGGCGCGTCTGGGCGGTCGGCTGCGTGGGGGCGTCCAGATGGAAGCTTGGACACTCACCCTGCCCCTCCAGACACACATACACACACACTCACACTCGCTCCACTTCCGCTACACACTCCCGCCCCCGCTGCCCTCTTCACACACCCGCTCACACACCTTACACTACACACCTCCCTGTTGACTGCGTCCGCGCGCCGTCGTTGCCAGCAGTGTCCCGGCGGCAGAGCGGGCTCCGGGCTCGCTGGACAGGAGGTTCTATGAAGACACTGGCCTAACCTTCACTACCGGTCCCTGCAGCCACAGAATCCCCCTGACCCCCATAGCCCAGGATCCAGGACCGCGCCCTGCCCGCACCCGAGCCAGAATACACGTACTAGAATAAATATTTTCTCTCCCTCCCCAAAAAACACCTCGGTGAGCCCAGCGCGGTCCTCAGTGACGGCCGAAAGCATCTCTAATCACTTTCAAGACGCCATCCCCATCCCCCAACCCACTCGTTTTACTTTGCGAGACCCCGGTAGAAACCCTTCTGTTTCGTTCCCAAAGCAATTTTTAAAAACTTTTCCAAAGTCCAAATAGCAGCAGGTTCTGGCTTGCTGGGCGCAAAGCTTCTACCTCCCAGTGCGCCCCAGCCCGCAATGGATAGCCGGGCCTGTCCGGGGCCCCACAGGAGGCTGGTCCCGGGTGCCCAAGTCCAGCGCACCGCCGCCTGCATGACTCATTCATGGTCGTTTGTGCAGGTTGCGAACTGCCCCAGAGCCCTTTCCCGCTCCAAAGCCGCGGAGGCCAGGGATAACGCGCAGGGTCAGCCTCGCAGGCCTGTCCTGTCCCTTTTTCACCCCGGGCCCGGAGCGGCCCTAGCTTAGTGTGGGCCGGGGCGGGCGGGAGCCACGGCGCCACGCCGTGGAGGAAGCGCGGCGCTGCAGGCGGGTCTTCAGCCGCTCACCTGCCTCGACCGCTGCAGCCGTGCGCCAGCTCTCGCCGGGCCCAGCGCACCGCGGTCAGGGCCCTGAGGCTGCCGGGAGCGGTCTCTCCCTCTGCTCTTCCACTGAAGCGCTGCTTCTCCCCCTCCCTCCAAAACAGCCGGTATCCAGCGGCCGGCCATCTCTCTGACTTAAGTCACCCAGAGCACATTTGGGAAAGTTTCTCGCTCGCGCTGTGCGCTTTTTTCCAATTGGGGATGAAAAGGACATGGAAAGAAATCGCAGCAAGGTTAGCACCCTAGTAGATACCCCACCCCAGCAAAAATGTGCAAAGTCCTATTTCTCAAGAAAGAAAGAAAGAAAAGAAAAGCAAGAAAAGATAGCTGCGTTCTTACCACGTGCGCCAGCCCACTCCGCCTGCGCTCTGGCGGGTCCCGCGGCCCCCGCGCTGACCATGGGCAAGACGACGCCTCGGAAGGGAGTCCGACTCGCATCTCGGGCCCTGAGTCCGAAAGAACGGGGGAAAGCCGAATTATGCAAATGCGGATCCCTGCGATGGGGCTCGGGTTACGGCCCCCGCCGGCCCCTTAGGTGAGGCACCCACCGGCAGCAAGCGCGGGCGAGGCGACTGCTCGCGCTTCGCTCCTCTCTGCGCACGTGGGCGGACCGGCAGGCGGGCGAGTTGCCCGGGCCGCCCCGCGACTGGCGCTGCTGCCAAACCCGCCGGCGGTCGCCGCGCGCCACCCCGAGGGGGAGCTCCTGGACGCCCGAGTGCCCGGCCAGCAGGGCGCGGAGGGCAGGACCGGGGCTGGGGGCGGGGCGGGGTGCCTGAGCGAGGGAAAACCGCGAGGTCTTCGGCTGCCACCTTTCCCGGAGGAGGATGCCAGTAGAAGGCGGGTGGAGGAGGGGGCCCCATCAAGGAGTCTTGAAAGCACATTAGAGTAAATGAGAGTGACTGACCCTCTGAAATTCTTGTGAGCTTTCCAAGGACTCACACCTCCCCCTAAGAGCTACGCTGCATCAGCCTGGGGTGCGCAGGGAATGGAGTGGGGGCGGGGACGGGCGGCAGCTGCGGGGAGGCCAGGGAATGCCTGGGGCCAGTCCTGGGAGGCCTTTATTGAACCTCCGCTGAAACAAGTCAGTAGATAACTCTCGTAACCTTTGTTTTTTTGAGTGTCTCTTGAAGTACCAACCCTTAAATATGGGTAGTGCAGATAATGGAACAGAATCAAGGCGCACCCTTTCAAGCCAGCCACCCTGTGGATAAGCTCAGAAAGCTAAAGTGGCTTGCCTAAAGTCACGTAGCTGGTAAGTGGTCGTGTCCAAACTTGCAGCTGGGTCTTCTGAATCCAAGTACAGCGCACAGTGGTCGCTACATCGTGCCCTCAGGAAAACCCAGGTCTGAAAAGTGAACACTTCTTTGAGGATTGGGAGCCTGACTCAGCCCACTAGGGAAGAATCAGGCCGCCTCCGCCAATTTCATCTCCTTTCTTTGCCATTTCTGAGGAGAGCAAAGCTGAGGTCAGGGCTTTCTACAGGCAAGGAGGAAGGGACTGTCATGGACACGCCCCCTGCCCACTGTAAAGGGAGAATTTGAGTTCTTGGGCTCTCCAGACCTAGACTGTGGATGGAATAGCCAGGCTGGCACAAAGCCAGCATACTAATAGGCGCTGTCATAAGAGAAGCTAGCCCCACAGTATCCTTCCTGGAGACAAGAAGAGGTGAGAAAAGAAAGAAGTGCGGACAAGTAAAAACTCCAAAGGGTTTACTGAGCAAGATACTGTGCTGGAGGTGGAGGGGTGTGGGGATGGAGAATGTGAGAGTTGAATACAAACATGTACCATGGTCCCTACTATTAAGCATTTGAACTTTTTTGTTTTGATTAAAAATCCAACAAAGAAACAACTTTCTTTAAAATAGACCTGTAAAAATGCCCGACTAAATGGGGCACTCCAAGATGTATCAGGGCTATTAAAAGAGTAGCAAACTCATGCCAGATTCCAATTTGCTTTGTCCAGATTCCAGAGCCAGAAAGTAAAATAACAACGATGCAGAGAAACCCTTTAGTAGGCTTGCTCCTGGGGTTGCGGGAGAGTGTTTAGGGTGACAAGCAGGGGTGGCAACCTGAGGGTCCTAGCTGGACCCCAGAGTCTCCTGAGTGATTTTCAGGTTTTTTTTTTTAACCCAGATTTGAAATTCTCATTTACAGTGTGGTGACAGGATCACCATCAGCCAAGAGGGATGTCACAAATAATTTGTTCATATTTGTGTTTTGATTTATTAACATTCTTGCACATCATTATAGGCTCTACCTATTGTAATGTCATTTTTGTTCCCTTCCATACTAATACTGTTACTGGAGTGGAAGACAAAAGAAGGTCAGAATTTGCCTTAACTGTGGACACTCATGAGGGTGGGGACCTCAAACTTGAATGGCATAGAACATGTGCACTTCGGTGAAAATCAGATCAATTGCCAACTCTGCCATCCACCTAAAGTGCCCCTGCATGCTGAAAAAAAGTGATAAATGGTTCTCTACGTTTCAGCATCTCACTACTAATCTGGTAATCCCAGAGGCTATAAACCAAGCCCAGGCTACGCCAATCAGAACTGTTGTGAAGCTTGAGGAAAGCATTGCTTTGCACCAGTCCAATGTACAACTTAAGTCACGTGTCATTGGCACAAATAATCTGGACAGGAGGAGATAAGAGCTCTATGATCTAATTTTGTAGAAGCAGCAGCACAAGCAGCAGCACTGGCCCAAGCAGTGGGTGCTCAGGTTCCCTTTAGATATTTCGTGTGCCTCTCTACCAGGTGTCCATCACTACACCAAACCCCAGGGATATAATGGTGCCTAAAATTAGGCCTGGTTCCCACCCCATGGAATTAGCATTGTGCATCACACAAATACATGACTATGAACAATGACAGTGTTTGATCCCAATGAAAGAAAATGACAAAGGACCCAGTTGAATCTAGGAGGTTGAGGAAGACTTCTCTAAGCAGAGATCTGAAGGATGTGCAAGGATTGGGGGAAGGTCAGTGGAGACAGCATTCCAGGGAGAAAGAACAGGTGTTGAAAGGTGCCAAGGTGGAGGGAAGCAAAGTTCATTTGAAGAATGGAGAAAGTCCATGGTTGGTGGAAACTTCTGAGGCCATCTCCATGTCTAGTGCACTGGGGCTGAAGGTAGCCAATACAGGCATCCTCCTTGGAGTGTCTCCGGAGAGATTTCATTCTCCAAGAGTCTTTCTTTGCTCTGCCATTTCTTTTTCTGGCTAATGACAGTGACATTAGAATTTTTACATTTGAAATTTTTTACCACTCAGCTTCTGCAGACAAATGAGAACATGCTGACAAGGTTTCAGCAAGGAGAACATACACAAAAATGCTTATTGATATTAGCATTGTGTCTTGGTGACAGTCGTAATGAAAAACATTTCTTAGTTGTCTATTTCTTAATAAGGAAATGACAGACTGTGTGAATTTTGTCCCATTTTAAATGAATAGAGTTTGTAAGTGCAGTTTTATCTAGTAGAAACACATCCTGACAAATCTACAGATCACTTTACCATTGCTGGCAAAAGACAAAAGGTAAATCAATGCATGGTATATCATGACTGTTTAAGACAAGGTACATACAAACCTGATGTCCACTTTAATAAGTGATAGGCTGTCAGTCTGATCATAAAGGCTCAAAGCATAATCTTCATCCAAAATCATGCCTTTTTATATTTTCTAATCTTTCAGCTTATACCTTTAATTTATTATCTCTAATTGTATAAAAAATAAAGTTTGCTATAACTGAGGAGCTTACAGATTTTTAGACACATATTACTAGCCTGCTTATATTACCAGGTTACGGGGAGCAATTTTTCTTCTTCCAAATGATGTCATACTTGTTGTAGAAGCTTTGCTTTTATACTGACAAAAGGACCAGGCCAGTCAGTGCATCCAGTTGTCAGAGCAGTTGCTTTGCAGCATTAAACCAAAAAAGAAAGCAAATTGTATATTTCAATCAGATAATCTTAATAAGAATGGTCACTATTTCTCATGATTACGGTTAAGATTATAGGCTCTGGAGGCCTATATGGCCTGGATTTAAATCCTGAGGTCCTGGGTTCAAACCCAAATCCTGACACTACCTGGCTATATGTACTTAAACATCTAGGTAGTCAAAAGTTCTGGCCAGACGCGATGGCTCATGACTGTAATCCTAGCCCTTTGAGAGGCTGAGGCAGGCAGATCATGAGGTCAAGAGATCGAGACCATCCTGGCCAACATGGTGAAACCCTGTCTCTACTAAAAACACAAAAATTAGCTGGGTGTGGTGGCACGCACCTGTAGTCTCAGCTACTCGGGAGGCTGAGGCAGGAGAATTGCTTGAACCTGGGAGGTGGAGGTTGCAGTGAGCCAAGATCACGCCACTGCACTCCAGCCTGGCAACAGAGTGAGACCCCATCTCAAAAAAAAAAAGGAAAAAAAATAACAAAAAAAAACTTCCATAACTTCTGTGTGCCTCTATTTCCTCCTATATAAAGTGGACAGAATGATTATAGAGTTATTTTAAGGATTAAATATAATAATATATGTAAAACCCATAGCATATTGTCAGTATATAATAACTATTCAGTAATTGTTAGCTATTAAATCATTACTATTATTGACTGTTCACTCTGCACCAGACACTTTACTATGTTCTAGGTTCATTGCTTCATTCCTCACAACCACCTTGAGAAACAGGTCTGTTTATTCTCATTTTACTGATGAGGGAACTAAAGCTCAGGGAAGATACACAGCTCACCCAAGTTCACACAGAACCAGAATATGAACTCTGTTCTCTCAATCACCAAAGCCCACATGTTTCAAGTACATTATATAATGTAGAACAACCCACAGCAGATAAAAGCAAGACAGTGGCCATACTTCAAACATTGATATATGAAGTATTTGTCGCTTTTTTCCAAAATTCTGAGCTTCAGCTTCCAAGAACATTGATAATATCATTACTGAGCAGGCGAAAAAGGAACCCAGAAGGCAGAGGTTATTGGCATGTAATTTAAAACAAGCTATACCTTTGTGGAAAATGTCATCTAAACTTGGAAAGCCAAGTTCCACATTAATAATAATCTAATTAATATATCATCTTTTTTTCCAGTGAGACCATAATGCATAATAATAGCACTGTTGTTCTTCCAAGGAGGTTTGGGAATATAGAACCAAAATATAAAATTTAGGAAGAATGGGTTAGCAAATTTCCTGCGAAATCTAGAGACAGTGCTCCATAAGGGGCATTCTTAGCCTTGTACAACCCATGTAGGAGCATGTCCCCGTGGGATCTTCTCACATATTCTCCATGCCATTACTTTTTCAACTTTATTATAAATCTCCTTAAGGCAGGGACATCAGAAATGTGTTCTCTGTTTATATTCCAATCAAGCAAAGTTCTGGATAGGAATCCAATATATGCCTTTCCAGTGACGAGAGGCATCTGAGATTTTTATACTATCTTGTCAGATAATTCCCAATTAATTCTACCCATCCCACTGCATGCTATGTCTAACAGTTTCTTAGGGAGATGTTGTATTCAGAACAAGGGCAAGGACCCTAGAAAGCATCCTCTGAAGGGTTTGTCCTCAGATATCCCCTTTTGCAGAGGTTTAAATCATTAAGGTCTGAGGGGCCACTCTCTGTCTTCAGGATAGTGAGTGCTACTGACATGGTAGCAGCCAGCAGTGAGCCATCCCCTCTCCTTCCTGACTCCTCTCCCACCTACTACTAGTCCCAGATGCAGGGCAATCCAGGTAGCCTGGGGAATGGAAAGGACTCAAGGCACAGAGTTTCAGTTCTGCCTCTGACAATGGCTGATGGTGCTATTTGGGGTAGGTGGTTGATGCTAGAAGGCACCACCTGTGCTTGCTGCAGTCACATCACTCAAACCTTTAGTGACAGCCTTGGGAGATAGGCTTTTCTTTCCCTGTATCCAGTGATGCTTCTTAACCTCATGCCACAAAGAGGTAGAGACATCACATCCCCTTGTGCCTGCCAGAATTTTAAGTAGCAGCCAAGGGGGCCATAATGTTTAGAAAAAGAGTTTTACATCTTCACTATTTTGAGTGAGAAAGGTGGAGGGAGCAGGGGAGAGGATTGGGCAGAAAGAAAATGCAAGAAGCTGGTGCTGGGTACAACACTGTGTACTGGAAATACCATGAGATTAGGAATTGGCCTTAATAGTTGCCTCTCCATCATAATAATGGTTGATATTTATTGAGCATTTCAGGATGCTAAACACTTTCATGACTGGGATGCTTTATCTGTTTTAATCTACCAATCACACTATGAAGCAGATATCATTATACTCAGGAAACTGAGTCACCAAAGCCCAAGTTGCAGAGCTGATTAAGTGGAAGTGCCAAGACGTGAACCCAAGTAGTCTGACTCCATTACTGGTGTTCCCAGTACCTACTCTAACCGGTGTAACTAGACAAGTGACTTAGCATCTCTGAGCCTCTGTTTCTTCATCTTGAAAATGAGACTGGGTATTCCTGCACTAAGTGCCATTGGCCAGAGCATTGCGAGACATCCAAGGAAGACCACATTCTGAAAAGCAGGACAATACTGCAAATATAATTGTTGTCTCCCAGGGCAATTGTTTGGGTTGCTGGGCCTTCAGAGGCAGGGCTGAATATAGATTGGGGTAGGTTGGGAGGCCAAGTTTATGATTCCAGGACAAGGCATCAACCATTGAACTCACTTGTGACTTGTTTGCTTGCTGACCAATCCTAAGGCCCTTTAAAGTGGCCTCTTTTCCTCTCCTCACAGTGCAGAGTGGTCCATATCTGTGTTTTCCTTCTCATGTGGAGATAGGGGAGTGGGGAAATGTCCCTTGGAGTCTTGGGGCCTTTGTAACTAGGCCTTGGTGGGTCTGCTTCTCCTGATACTAATAGCAGGCCCAGACACATGGTCATACTCCTTCTCGCATCCTCATAATTAACTAGATTGTGTGCTTCCCTCTAAGGGCTGTTGTGGTGCCAGTGTGCTCACTACTAACAGAACAATTTCAATCAATGGCCTTGTATGCTCAAAAGAGAGTCTCCCCAGAGACCTGGCAACCCCCAGCCTTTTGGAATTAGACAGATTGCTTTTTTAAAATACGATTATTCAGACAACAACCCATGAACACTTCAAAAAGAGGAAAACTGGAACAATTTATTACAGCCTTTCTTCCCTTTATTTGAATTTCATGAAACAAGCGGCACCAAAAACATGTCCAAAGTGACCATTTTCGTCCTCTCACCTGTTACTCAGAAATCCTAGAGATGGAAGGTGCTTTAACAAGGGAGCTTATTCCTCACTTTTCCTGTGTTTCAGGCTTTTTAAAATCACAGATTGCTCTCACAGAATAGCAAGTAGAGTGGACTGTTACCAGACAAATAGAAACTAGTATCTGGAAGCCCAATATGTATAAATATTAGGTAAAAGATGGGTGGGTGGCTGTAGTGGAACCTGAGTGGACTTGACTCCTTCCCCACTGTGCAAATTCCTGATGAAGAGGACTGAGACACTGTGATGGTTAATACTGAGTGTCAACTTGATTGGATGGAAGAATACAAAGTATTGATCCTGGGCGTGTCTCTGAGGGTGTTGCCAAAGGAGATTAACATTTGAGTCAGTGGGCTGGGAAAGGCAGACCCACCCTTAATCTGGGTGGGCACAGTCTAATCAGCTGCCAGCACAGCTAAAATATAAGCAGGCAGAAAAATGTGAAAAGAGAGACTGGCCTAGTCTCCCAACATACATCTTTCTCCCATGCTGGATGCTTCCTGCCCTAGAACATCAGACTCAGCTTTGGAACTCAGACTGGCTATCCTTGCTCCTCAGCCTGCAGACAGCCTATTGTGGGACCTTGTGATTGTGTGAGATAATACTTAATAAACTCCCCTTTATATATTTATCTATTCCATTAGTTCTGTCCTCTAGAGAACCCTGACTAATAACAGACAGCTTGTCCAAATTCCCTGGGATTTGAAGGCCACTGCTCTAACTTAGAGGCTCAGCCCACATTATGCTGAGCCAGGGGCTGTGGATAAGCAGGTAGGTGAACCAGAGGGTAACTTCTCTCACTTCCAAATGCCCAGACTAGCTCATAGTGTTCCTTTATCCATTCAGCAAATATTTATTAAGCACCTACTATATGCTAGGTATTATGCTAGATGCTTGGAATGCATCAGTGAACAAAACTCCCTGTCTTCATGGAGCTCACATCCTGAAAATTCTTATGAATTTAGTTCCAGGAACCAAAAAAGGGAACTAAGTTTGTAGTGTCTTCCTCTATCTTCAGCCAGAATCACATTTAAACCACCCACACTCAGGTATGAATCTCTCCTAAGGCCATCAGAGAAAGAATACCAAACTTGTTTTAGTAACTCATTCCAGTGTTTAATACGCTCACAAGACATTCTTCAGAGATAGAATACACCTTATTTTAGTAGGCATTTTGTTTTGTTTTTTCCTCAGGAAACCTGATAGAAGTTAGTCACAATGTTCTGGGTAAGAACCAGTCACAGGCTGGAATAGAGCCCTCAAACTTCTCTGTTTAACGTGGATAGAATCTCAGTTTCTATAGCCTGTCCCCAGGATTTTAATGTTTTGAGCCTTTCATCATCCACATCAACTCTCTGATGAATTTCCTCCACACTTCCCAGTGGTTGTAAAGCCCAGTAAGCCACTTTAGGTGCCACTCTACCCTTTCCAAGTCCCTTTCACTCACATTACTTCATATATAACCCTGTGATGTTGGCAAGGCCATGTTCACCTCTCCCACTGCCCAGAGAAGCCAAGTGAGCCCCAGAGGGGCCAAGTGACTTACCTAAGGTCACGTAGCTAGTAATGAGACAGAGGCAGCATTGCCAGCCGGGTCTCCAGGTGCTGAACTTCAGAGTTCTGTCTCATGGGAGCCTCAGCTACCAGTTGGGAAGGCCCAGGTATGTGAAAGCTTGTGCAATCCCTGAGACATTTTGATGGCTGGTGGCCAGTTAACATTTAGGTCATGTGTTTTCTTCCCCAGGTGTGTGCTGACCCTGTTCTGTACCCTGTGTCATATGACCCCTAAAGGTAAGGACTGGTAGCATAAAGTAAAATGATAACCACCATCAACCAGCCAGTTCCTGGCCTTCTAGGTCATCAGAGGCAGGTTGGGGCCCCACCAGCCCTAGGTCCATCCCCATTAGTACTCATTTGTCCCATTTCTGTGAGGTTGGCACTGACTCAGTGATTGCCACCCTCTGGGTTATCAGCCTGTGGTGCAACCAGAAGAGATTCTCATCTGTGTGAGGTGGCTCGAGTGTGGTTGGGTCTTGACTGGGGTGACCAGCCTGACCAGGTGGAGGAGATAGATTCATCCACATCATCAACAGAAGGCTTTGATGGCTTTGTTTTTTTCCAAACTTAGGTAACCTGTGCCACAGTATGCTCAAAAATGATCACCACATTATTTTCAGATGAAGCCATTTGTGTTTGTGGCTAAAATTTGGCCTCATCATAATTCACGTAATGGGTAACACTACACTGCCCTTTCAGTCTTGCCCAGAGGGTTGCAAGAGGGTCCTTAATATAATGAAAGGAATTGGTGTATAGTTACAGGAACTGGCCGGTAACTGTGCTGGGCCATCTTCTGACCTGACTCATTATAAGAATCCTAGTCCCAATAATCTATTGTAGAACAATAATAACAGCAAAGAAAATGCCCTTTAAGAAGCTAATTTTGAAATAATCTGGGTTCCCATTATAATTTTTTTAAAAATCCACTCCTTACCACAACCTGCAAGTCTCTACATCAGGGGTCCCCAACCCCCAGGGCTACAGACTGGCACCAGGAACTGTTAGGAAGTGGGCTGCACAGCAGGAGGTGGAGAGTGAGCATTACTACCTGAGCTCCACCTCCTGTCAGATCAGTGGCGGCATTAGATTCTCATAGGAGCATGAATCCTATTGTGAACTGTCCATGCAAAGGATCTAAGTTGTGTGCTCCTTATGAGAATCTAATAATGCCTGATGATCTGAGGTGCAAGAGTTTCATCCTGAAACCATCCCCCGACCATGTCTGTGGAAAATCTGTCTTCCACAAAACCAGTCCCTGGTGCCAAAAAACGTTGGGGACCACTGCTGTAGATGACCTGGCCTTGTCCTACTTCTCCAATTAACGTGTCTCTCCTCTCTCCCCACTGCTCACCATGCTCAAACATTCCATGCTCCTTCTCATCCTGTGCACCAGCTATTCCCCTTGTCTAGAATGACCCCTGCCCCCACCCTTTGGTCATCCTATGCCTAGTCCTTATTCAAATCTCAACACAAGCCTTCCCTTCCCAACCCTCCCCTCTGTTCCTTGGTCACCCTGACCATTACTGTGATTTATTTTCTTATATTAGGTATATTTTTAGTGAGTATAAGCTCCATGAAGGTAAGGGCAATGCCTATCTGGACGGTCACTGTATCCCCCCACCAACAACAGTGCTGGCACAGAGGAATGTGCAGTAAGCATTTATTGAATGGATGGGATGAATGAGCCAAGATCAGCCAGGTTTGGGATCCACTGCCTTATTACAACCTTTTGCCCTTCCTGAGTCTTAGCTGCCTAATCTGTAAAACAAGAGTATTAGCCTCCGTGGCAGCTAAGGCCCCATACAGCTTTGGCAATCTATAATTTTCTGGCCCTGAGGACCCATAGGGAGCCCAAGGGCTTCAGCCTCAACCATCACCCCAAACTGGACTATAATTTTGTAAATAAGGCAATATCACAAGTCCTGATAAAGGCAAAATATATCAGGCCCATTGAAGAGGTCTCCCTCCTGCCAAGAAAGAGTGGGGTTGTGCTTTTTCCTAGGAAGAGGCTGGATGATCCTTATAGGAATTGTTCCCCATGAAGTCTGTTTGATTGAATCCTGTTGACTTGCTCATGCCAAGGTATTTGCAAATGGATGGAACAAATGAATATTCTGATACATACATGAGCTGTGCTTAGAAGGAAGACTTAACTAAATCTGCAACTACTGGAGCCTCTTTTTAGCTTTTTATCTTTATAAATAAAGATAATTTATCCTTTTTCAATCTTCAGGCAAGTCCCTCAGACTTCATTAATTCTTTCAAATGGATATTCTGCTTAAAGTGACATAGAACATAATGGGAAGGAGACAGTTAATAAGAGGGAAAGAAATGGTTTTTCTACCTAATTAGAGAATAGAACCTTAAAGTAACTTGTATTCTTTGATCTAAGGCAGTTAGGACTGCATATTGCTTTTGAATGAATGCTGCTAAATTTCAGTAAGTAAATACCATTATTATCAACATTTGGCTTTGAATACCCTAATGGCACTCCTGTAGGCTTACTTTAATTTCAATGATGTATTTTAATTTTGGCTATAGAATAGAAACTACAGTTTATATAATTTTTAGAAAATCAAGAACAAGTTGGCTTAATTGGGGCTTGGTTATTTAAAACACACACACACAAATCAATAAATAGTGTGAAGAGAAAATAGTAATGCAAAGAAAGAAGTCACTTTCTTTATTGTCATAGTCCAAAAGTATCCGACCTATCAGGTGTAAATTGTAACTGACAGACACAAAAAGGCCATTTGTTAGAATTGTTGGGCCAATGCTGGCAAAATAAATGAGTAAGCATTTTTGAGACCTACTGAGTGCCAGGCCCTGGGTCAGAGGTTGTAGGAAATGAAAGATGAATGTGAGTCCATGTCTCTTGGAACCCATAGTCCAGAAAGAGGTAAGCTGGGTGCACCCATAAGTAGATTGCACAGAGGACGTGGTAAGTGTGATCAGACATGTTCAAAATGTTGTTACAGGTCCCAAAGAGGGGGACAACAGCTGCAAGTGTAGTAGTTGGGATCAAATAAGGTAAAGTACATGAAGGCCACTCATTTTTCAGACGTGAGTGTTTTCATGTCCTTCATAGCTCAGTAAACCTCTGTACACTATACCTAATACAATGGGATGGCTGTGGGAGATTATCAGTATGCACTAATCAATCAATCAATTGACTTGATTGATACTTAGTAAAAGATAAAGGGAACATATTACAAACACAGTCCTTAGCAACCGATAGGTAGAGTTAATGGATTCTGGGGTTTTACCTGAAGATTGATCAAAAGTTTGGCTACTATAGTTGTAGACCCATAAACATAAGTTCTGTAGGTATCTATCATTTTTAGTTTTCTGAGCTAAGATTATTGAAGCCAATCAAGGGAGGAAAACCCATGCATTTGTACAGCCTAATCAGAAATGAAGGAGGCTGAATTTAGCAGCAACTAAACTTTCTTTTTCCATCCAAATATTCTGAGAATCATGTCCCAGACATCTCACCAACAAGTGGTTGTGTGGCTCTGTCAGGGGAAGAAGCAGGCCCTGAATTGTGCTGGTGTGGTTTTACCTAATAGGTGGATAGAAAATAGAAGTTCAGCTTTGAAAAGTTCATAGGGCTGTCTGCTATGATGTGCAGGCCCCTAAAGACAGCATTTCCCCAGCCACCCTAAACCCTGATCACTGAACCCTCTACAGCTAATCTCACCACTGAACGGCCAGCTTTGCTCTGCATACACTGTGAGATCCCAGGCCCCACCAGGAACAAGCCATGGAGGAACAGCCAACCTGCTCATTTCAGTTTGTTGCCTCAGCCTGCATCTCCACAGGACTCCTGGATGAAATAGGAACTGCGAACACACTTGAGCTGCAGCCGCTGAATTTGGGGCATCTGGAGGAAGCCCATTTCAGGGCAAGACAGCCTCTTGCATTAGGCCAAGAGACCAGAGAAATCAGGAACTTGGGAGGCACGGGGACTTAGCATTCTACCCCACCCACTGCCTTTTATGCAGACTCTGACTCAATTAGAAGCCCAGGGAGGTATAGCAACAAAAATCTGAGGATAGGTAGATGTTAGGAAAGAAAGAAAACCTGTCTCTGGTCCTGGCTTTCAAATTCCCATTTGGAGTAAATTTTCAGAATGGAAATTGATTATTTAACTTCAATGAATTTTTTAAAAAAAGAATGGACTTTTTTTGGTTCTGTCTCAGTGATTTTAATTAATTTTCAGAGGTCTACAGCAATAACTGTTACCTAGAATGCTTTTATGGATAAAATGTGATGAGCTAGATAAAATTAAATGTTAATTGGCATAATTACCCAGTTAATATTTAAAGATTTGTTATCTGCATTCCTCTGCTTTTGCCTTATTGTGCTTTGCAGCTCAATATGAATTTTTTTTAGAAAAAGAATTTTCTCTTCATCTCCCACTGAGTTATTTTTCACTTTGGGTTTGCTGGTTATTAGTCAGAGACGATAATAATAATTTTTTCTTAAAGAGCAGGCTTGCAGCTGAGAATTTCCAAGCTGCAGTGAGTCACCTCTGGAGTAGTCAAGTCATTTATCTCCAAACCTCAGAGTCCAACGTTGTGCCAGGAAAGGGATTCAGGACTCCCCATCCTTGAAACCAAGCATCAATACCATGATTCCCTACCTCATGGCATAGCTGTCTGTAGCTAGTCAGTGTAAGCCACAGTAGTCCCACAAGCAAGCCTCCAAGACAGTCTCTAATTTTCATGTCTCTCAAACCAGTAGCTTTCATGTTCACCCTGCCTCAGCATCACTGCAGACACAAGGTCCCAAACCTATGTCACATTGTCAAACAGTGACAGAGACTCATTAATTGCACAGGACTACCTGTCCAGGTTCCTCTGCAGGAAGGGCCCAGTGTAAGGACCTGGACTATAAGGAGATCCAGCTTGTAGTCCTGTCAATGTTCTACCAATAATTTCAAATCATGGAATGTCAGTGTGGCTCAGTGTTAGGTCTCTCAAACTTCAGTCATTTTTATTTTATTTTGCACTAAAATTTACTTTGTATTTTTCTTTAAATTATTTATTTTCATAAGTAAATATATTTTAAAAGAAAACTTTATATTATTACCACAAAAGAGAAACCTGTATCATTTGGCATAAATAAAAAGGAATCATGAGAATGAATAATACATTAGGGTTTCCAGCCAATACAGGAAAATGGCTGTGAAAGTTCAGCTCCTGGAGGTAAAAAGGATTAAATGCGGAGAAAAGAAACTGGCTCACTGATTAAGACCATAGACTGAGGCAAGCTGTTCACTACCACTTCATATAAATGTGTGTGTGTGTATTATATATATGTGTGTGTATATATATTTGTGTATATATGTGTGTTTATATGTATGTGTATATATATGCATATATATGTAGGTGTATATATGTGTATATATGTGTGTATATATACATACATATGTATATGTGTGTATTTATATGTATATGTATATACACATACATATATGTATATGTGTATATGTGTACACATGTATATTCATATGTATGTATGTATGATGTATGTATGTACATATATGTGTATTATAAACATCCATATGTATGTTTTTATATATACATGTGTATATGTGTGTATGTATGTGTGTGTGTGTGTGTGTGTGTGTAAAAACAGCTGCTGACCCACTGTCTAAGTTTATGGCTTAAAGGAATGTGTAAAGATAGAATCAGCTTCAAGGCTAGGACCTTAGCCAACCACCAGTTAACTTGTTGCTCTGATTTGTGAATGACATAAAAATAGAAAAAGAGAAAATAGCTGATTAGAATCTTGGAAATAAAAAATATGCTAGTGGAAATAAAACAATTGAAAATAATAAAAATCTGGATTAGAGAGAGAGAGTCAGAGAGAGTATTATTAAATGGGAATATGGCATTAAGGAATTTACCAGAATGTAGCACAGACAGAAAAGATGAAGAGGAGATGGAAATGAAGGAGGAGACAAAACAAAAGCAAAAAGGAAGTTCACTTAAGAGACATGTGGATAGATTGAGAGTTTTCTCCAACTCTTTAAATAAGAGTTCCAGAAGCAAAAAAAAAAAATGGAGAGAATAATAGAGAAACATTATATGAAGAGTAATACTTGCAAATTTTATCAAGACAACCTGAGATCAAAGTTGATCAAAGGGTACACAGTTTCAGATAGACATAAGGAATAGGTTTTGAGATCTATTGCACAGCAGGGTGACCATGGTCAAAATAATGTATTGTGAAAAATTAGCCAGGCGTGGTGGCGTGCACCTGTTATCCCAGCTACTCAGGAGGCTGAGGCAGGAGAATTGCTTGAACCCGGGAGGCGGAGGTTGCAGTGAGTCAAGATCGCGCCACTGCACTCCAGCCTGGGAGACAGAGTGAGACTCCATCTCAATAATAATAATAATAGTAATAATCTATTGTGTATTTTGAAGTAACAAAGATAATGCATTTCAAATATCTCACCATAAAAAAATGATGGGTAAGAGAGGTGATAGATATGTTAATTAGCATGAATTAATCATTCCACATTGTTTGGCTATATTGAAACATCAGATTGTACCCCATAATGTGTACAATCATAAGTTGTCAACCAAAAACAATATTAATAATAAAAAGTGTATTGCGGAGCATACCTAGCATGCAGGTCTTGGTTTCTAATACCATTCTCCAATAAAAGGAACCAGGGCTCCTTTAAGAAAAGGCTGATTCTTAGACTGGGGCAGGAAATATACAAGATGAGCCAAAAGGAAAATAATACAATGATGGGGGTGAGCCAAATGATACAGGAACCAACTGAAAGCTACAAGAATTTGAACAAGAAAATAAATATAATTATATTGGGTTATAAGCCAAAGTAGGAAAATGTCCCTTAGTACATATTGATATAAATAAATGATTGAATAAATAAACAAATGGGGAGAATAGATATACTTAATATGCAGAAGAATTTCAAATAATTTATGTAGATACATTGCCCTTAAGAAGGTGGAGCATAATTCCTATTTAAGTGTGAGCTGCACATAGTGATTTTCTTCCAAACAGCACAGTATGGAAAGGGAGGGAAAAATGAGTAACTTTACACTGGAAAAACCTGATAAGCATTACCTCAAGTCAGGTGATCATGGCTAATATCGATAGTGATGTCATTTTCATAGTATGTACCCTTGATACGATGTGATGAGAATGGCACTTTACCCGTGTGATCTTCCTCCATAAAACACATTACCTTGATCTAACAATCAAGAAAACAACAGACAAATCCCTATTAATGTTCATTCTACAAAACACCTGACTAGTAATCTTCACAACTGTCAAGGTCATCAAAAATGAGAAAGCCTCAGAAACTGTCACAACCAATAAGAATCTAAAAAGATAGGACGACTAAATGTAATATGGTATCCCAGATAGGATCCCAGAACTGAGAAAAAAGACATTAGGGAGAAATTGAGAAAACATGAATAAAATATAGATTTTAGTTAATAATAATGTATCAACATTGGTTCACTAATGGGGACAAATGTACCATGCTAATGTAACATGTTAATAATAGAGAAAACTGGATGTGGGATATACAGGAATTCTGTACTATTTTCTCAATGTTTGTGTAAATCTAAAACTGGTCCAGAATTAAAAGTCTAATTATTTTAAAAGTGCATAAGAAGTGACCAAGTAGGATTAAAAAAGGCTCACTGTAATAAAACTGTAGAACATCAAAAATATCCTAAAAGCTATGAAAGTAAAAAGAACACCTACACCTATGACTTACAGTTAAATTTATTTTGATCAGCAGTAATAAAAGCTGGGCAACTATGAAGGTAAATCTCAAATGTGCTGATGAAAAATAAAATAAATGTCGACTTAAAATTTTATACCTACGTAAACTATTACTAGGGAAAGAAGACAAAATCAAGCCATTTTCAACATACTATTTATATACTATTTACATATCTTATGTAAAAAAACAATTCAAGACAGACAATTTTGAAGAATAATTTAGCTGCAGGACTAACACAGATATCAAGATTAATATAAATCTGCATATGTAAACAGTGGTATTGGTCCAAGCATAGGTAAACAGACCAATGGAACAGACTAGGATCTAAAAACAGACGCACCTATCTATGGTCATCTGAATTATGACAAATGTCCCACAGCAATATGAAGGAAAATAATGGACTTCAATCAGTAGTGGTAGATAATTAGCTAGCCATGTGTTACAATGGAATCTTGACCTTACCTCACACTATATACAAAATTCAATTCAAAATGAATCATAGGGCCAGGCGTGGTGGCTCACACCTGTAATCCCAACACTTTGGGAGGCCGAGGCGGGTGAATCACCTGAGGTCAGGAGTTCAAGACCAGCCGGGCCAACATGGTGAAACCCAGTCTCTACTAAAAATACAAAAAATTAGCTGGGTGTGGTGGCATGTGCCTGTAATCCCAGCTACTTGGGAGGCTGAAGCAAGAGAATCACTTGAACCCAGGAGGCAGAGGTTGCAGTGAGCCAAGAGAGCACCATTGCACTCCAGCCTGGGCAACAGAGCAAGACTCCATCTCAAGAAAAAAAAAAATGAATCATAGAACTAAATGTGAAAGGCAAAACAATAAAAATAAACAACTATTTTTATGATCTTGAGGTGGACACAAAATTCTTATAAAGCACATAAAAACACTAAACACGAAGGAAAATATTGTTCTTTAAATTATATTAAAATGAAAAACATATGTTTATTGAAAGATGCATTAAGAGAATGAAAAGTCATACCACATAGTGGGAGAAGATATTTGTCACACATATATCCAATAAAAGTCTTGTACCCAAAACACATTTTTAAAAAACTTCTGCAGAGCGCAGTGGCTCACGCCTGTAATCCCAGCACTTTGGGAGGCCGAGGTGGGCAGATCACGAGGTCAGGAGATCAAGACCATCCTGGCTAACACGGTGAAACCCCATCTCTACTAAAAATACAAAATATTAGTCGGGCATGGTGGCAGGTGCTTGTAGTCCCAGCTACAAGTCCCAGCTTGTAGTCCCAGGCTGAGGCAGGAGAATGGCGTGAACACAGGAGGCAGAGCTTGCAATGAGCCGAGATCGTGCCACTGCACTCCAGCCTGGGTGACAGAGCGAGACTTCGTTTCAAAACAAAAAACAAAACAAAACAAACAAATAAACAAAAACAACTTCTACAAATCAGTTTTTAAAAGACATGCAACCTGATTTTCAAATGGGCAAATAGTTGGGCAGGTATTCCATAAAAGAATGATGTTTATGCCCATAAACATTAAAAATATTTTTTAATATCAAAGTCATCAGGGAAATGCTAGTTAAAACTGCAGAGGGATACCACTACACATCTGCTAGAAGAGCTACCAATTTAAAAATGAAAAATATCAAGTATTGGTGAAGATACAGAGCAACTGGAACTCTTATGTAGTCCTGGGAGGAGGTTATATTGGTAACTGGTTAAATTGGAAAACTGGCAGTATCTTCTGCCACTGAAGATTTACCTAACTCAAAACTGGGCAGTCAAACTCCTAGATATTAAACCAACAGAAATAAATACACACCCCCCCACACACACACACAGATCTGTACTAAAATGAACATAGCAACATTCCTTATAAGAGCCAAAAAACAGGAAACAACCCAAATATCCATCAGAAAAAGAATAGATTAAAAAATTACATTTTATGCAGACGATAGACTACTACCCAGCAATTTAAAAAAAACTACTTGCAATGATGTGGATAAATCTTACAGACATAATGCTGAATAAAAGAAGACGGACCTATATGCATGCATGACCCCATTTATACAAATTTCAAAAACAGCCCAAATTCATCTATGGTGAATCTCAGCTCTGTCATTTTTTAGTAAGTTGCTCTCTGTGCCTCTGTTTCCTCATCTGTAAAATAAAGGCGATAATGGTGCCTACTTCTTAGGATTGTATGTAGAAAGATTATGCAACATGAGGTAACTAACAAACACGGTGCTTGGCCCATGGCATTATGTAGCTATTATTATTATTATTATTGCTGTTATTGGTATTGTCACGTTTAACCCTGAGGAAAAGAAAAGAAAAAACATGTATTGAATTCTCACTTGTCACTCTCTGTGTTACCTCTCAATTCTCACAGAAACTTCATGAGATGGGCATTATCATTCTCATTTTGCAGCTGAGAACAGCAAGGCTCAGATACATCATGGGCTGAATCCAGACATGAACCCAGGTCTGTCTCTACCATACTCTATGGGAATAGAGTATAAGTGTACATGGAGGGGGAGAGGGAGAGGTGATCACTTTGGACTGAAGAGGCTTCTAAGATAACTCAAAGGAAGATGCTTATCCCTGAGTCTCATACCCACCTAGACCTCAGGTAATTCCAAGTGAACATTATATGGAATTGCTGCAGAAGACATAAGATAATAAATAGTAATGGGGGGTTTTATTTAGGAATTAACATTTAGCTACTCTTCAAATTATAAACTGTGGAGATCTAAAAACATTTTTTAAGATATTAAATTCATTTGAATGCATTTAAATATTGAAGGGTTATGATTAATGAAAGTTCTAATAATTATTAATGTCCAGGTTTTTCCAACATCAAACCATCATTTAGGTTAGCGATTCCTATCTAGACTATAATAAACATTCATCCTGAAAACATCTGTTTTTATTCCACAAACCTAATATGTATTTGCCTAAAAAATTAACAAATAAAGGGCTGGGCGCGGTGGCTGACGCCTGTAATCCCAGCACTTTGGGAGGCCAAGGCCGGCGGATCATGAGGTCAACAGACAGAGACCATCCTGGTGAAACCCTGTCTCTACTGAAAATACAAAAAAATTAGCCAGGAGTGGTGGTGGGCGCCTGTAGTCCCAGCTACTCGGGAGGCTGAGGCAGGAGAATGGCGTGAACCCGGGAGGCGGGGTTTGCAGTGAGCCGAGATGGTGCCACTGCACTCCAGCCTGGGCAACAGAGCAAGACTGTCTCAAAAAAAAAAAAAAAAAAATTAACAAATGAAGTAAAAGATTAGCAATAATAATATAATAGTAAACATTTATTAAGCACTTAAAGTGTGCCAGACATCATTATAAGCAACCTACATACATCATTAGCTCATTTACTATCTCAACAATCTTATGAATTGTTATTATTGTTCCTATCTTGCCAATAGGAAACTGAGGTACAGAGATATTAGGCGTCAAAAGTTACATAGCCTGTAAGAGAAGATTCAGTGTGTGACCCCAGGCAGTCCAGTACCAGAACCTGCACTCCTGACTACCCTATGACAAGAATGCTTATCCAAAAGTGATTTAAAATAGAGGAAATCTAAAAACAACTTAAAGGTCCATAAATTAGGGTAAATTTCCAATATGGAATAGTTACATAACCACTAAAAACATGTTTTTCAGAAAAATTCAATGATATAGGAAATGTTTATGAAAATAAAAAACAGAAAGGTGAATATAATAATAAATGACATGGACTGAGTGATTACTATGTTTCAGGCTCTATTCTACATGATTTATAATGGACTATCTCAATTAATTATCACACTAACTTTGAGACAGGTACCATTTTCATCCCCATTTTACAAATGAGAAAAACTTCCAGGAGTTAAATAATTTTCTCAAAATACAGACCCTGGGATTCAAATGCAAATTGTCTGAAACTGGAAACAATGTTCTTAAATAGTACTCTACACAACTTCTACTTTATTCTCCTATAAAATTGAATGTAAATTACAAGCACCCATTAATTAATTCATTCAACAAATATTTATTGAACATTTCATATATCTCAGGTATACCTTAGCAATGGGACTACCGCAGTGAACAGGCAGATAAAGCTCCTCCATTATATTCTAGTGGGAAATTAAAACATCAAACCACTCATTATAATAAAGTTTAATGAGCACTATGACAAGGGCAACTAGTAGTCTAATTAATTCCTGGTATGACGAGTCCCTTCTAAATCCTATTATTTTTATATATTAGTCTGGGCAGGACACAGTTCAGATGATCAGTGAGCACTCCACACATCCACTGCATGAGAGAATCAATCTCTATTTGTTTCTTACTCAATGATTGCCGTAACCTGCCACCCAGGCCACAGACTGGACCAAGACTGGCCAAAAGTAGCTATCCTTATGCAATGATTGTCATGCCCTGGTATTCTGAGTGAGAATAAGAGGGAAAGAGAGGAGGGGGCTGAGGATTCAAGTAGGCACGTTCCAGATAAAAAGACTTGAAGGAAATCTACCATAATGCTATCTCCAGAAAACTTGATGGCTTATCTCCAGATAGACGGAGTTGAGTGATGTTATTTTCTCTGTGTACTTTTGTATTTTCCATATTTTCTACAGTGGATAATGCTTCATATGTATAGTTTTCAAAACTCTAGACCATTTGCACACTGATAGTAAATTGTAGAAAACATAAAATAATCAGTTAAAGAGATTTAGGACTTTTCTGACTATAGGAGCCAAAACGCTATATCAATTTTGTTTATTTGTTTGTTTTTTAATTGTGTAAAATACACATAACATAAAATGTACCACATTGCCAATTTTTAAGTGTATAGTTCTGTGGCAATAAGTATATTCACATTCTTGTGCAACCATCATCACCATCCATCTCCAGAACTCTTTTAATCTTGCAAAACTGAAACTCTATGATGATTGAAAAATACCTCCTCATTCCCCTCCCCACAGCCCCTGGCAACCACCATGCTACTTTCCATCTCTATGAATTTGAGCACTCTATGTTCCTCATGTAAGTGGCATGATACTTTCCTTTTGTGACTGGCTTATTTCACTTCCCATAATGTCCTAAAGGTTCATTCGTTGTCTCAGTCCATTCAGGCTGCTGAAACAGAATACCTCGAACTGGGTGGGTTATAAACAAAAGAAATTTATTTTCCACAGTTTTGGAGGCAAGAAGTTCAGGATCAGAGTGGCAACAGATTTGATGTCTGGTGAGGGACCATTTCCTGGTTCATAGAAGGCCATCTTTGAGCTATGTCCTCACATAGGAAAAGGTGCAAGAGAACTTTCTGGGGTCTCTTTTATAAGAACACTAATCCCATTCATAAGGGCTTGACCCTCATGACCTAATCACTTCTCAGAAGCCCCAACTCCTAATACCATCACATGGGAAGTTAGGATTTCAACATATGAATTTCAGAGGACACAAACATTTAGTCCCTAACATCAATGTTACACGTGTCAAAATTTCCTTTTTTTAAAGACTGAATAATATTCCACTGAATTTATATATAACATTTTGTTTATCTATTCATCTGTTGATGGACACTTGGATTGCTCCCACCTTTTGGCTATTATGAATAATGTTGCTGTGAACATGGGTGTGCAAATATGTCTTAGAGTCTCTACTTTCAATTATTTTGGGTATACGCCCCAAAGTGGAATTTTTGGATCATATGGTAATTCCACATTTAATTTTTTGAGGAACTGCCATACTGTTTTCCATAGAAACTGTATCATTTTACATTCCCACCAACAGTGCACAGTGTTCCAATTTCTCCATAGGCTCATCAACACTTGTTATTTTCGAATTTTTGATAATAGTCATCCTAATGAGTATGAGGTAGTATCTCCTTGTGGTCTTGATTTGCATTTCCCTAATGATTAGTGATGTTGAGCATCTTTTGGTGCGCTTATTGGCCATTTGTATATCTTCTTTGGAGGAACGTCTATTCAAGTCCTTTGCCCATTTGTTTGTTTTACTGCTGTTGAATTGTAGGAGTTCTTTACATATTCTGATATTAACCCTGTATCAGATATATTATTTGCAAATATTTTCTCCCATTCCATGGATTCTGTTTTTACTCCACTAATTGTGTTATACCCATTTTAAATTAGATATTTCCATTAGGGTGAGGACATGAAGAAAACTATGAGTCTTTTTTCCAGGCCAGCAATTTCTGCTGGGCCCAGTAAAGCAAGGATAGTCCCAAGTCTGTGGCCAGCCATTCAGAGGTATAGACCTGATGTTGTGACTTTTAAAATGAGGAAATATAGCAGAAGTAATGAAATCTCAGACCAGTCTTTGACATGTCTCTCCCCTGACTCCACATCCAGACAACTTGCCATGCCCTCCCAATTCTTTCTTCTCCAGTATGATCACATCCACTCCTCCTTCCCATCGTTCTTCTGCCACCCTTATTCAGACTTCTATGATTCTACTCTAACAGATTTTTTAAGTGCTTGCGGTTGTTCAGAATGCCATTGTGAAAAATAAAGGCTGCAAATGAAATGTCCTAGGTCCAGATAAAACTGAGAAATGATGGATTAATAAAAACGAAACACATTTTTATTGCAGGACTTCTCAGAGCCTATACTATGCTAAAGAGGATTACATATCTCAAAGTAGAGATGTGTAAAGGTTTTCTAAGGTTATTTAGCTGCTGAACACATTTAGCAAGGTGGGTGCGAGAACCACTGTTAACTTTTAATAGGACATGGAAAATGCTAAAATATGGCAATAATCTCTCTGCCTCCAGTGTCATAGTCCCCCAAACTTCTGGTCTCCCAGCTGAATTAATCTGCCTAAGATGCCACCCTGAGATATCTCTTATTGGCTACCAAGGGAAGTATATCAAAGGCTAATTGAGAAGTAGGTCTAACTTATCCTTTGAGAATGCTTGCTGACTACTCCCCCACACAAACTCTACACTTCCAGCAAACTGGACTGAGTGTCCTATCCAGAAAAGGTACAGCCTTTTTCATCTTCCTACAGGCAGAAGGAATCACTCCCTCATCCAGATTCCCTAACACCTTCCATTGCAAAATACCATCATTATCTGTATGTTGCATTGATCCTCATATTGGGGTTTTTTTTTTTGAAGGAAGGAGACTGTCCCTTTCTCATCTTTGAATTCTTTGTATTTCCTCTGTCTACCAAAAATAAACCTTAAAAAAATTACACAAGTAATAAATAAATACATGCTTGTAAAAATCCAAACACCACCAAAATACATAGAGGAAAAACAATCTATTCTCTACTCTTACCCTGTTCTAACAGGAAATTTCCATCAATAATTAACTGTGTATCTTTCAAACCCTTATTTACATTTAAGTGTATGTGTGTGTAAAATATACTTTTGATTATAATTTTATTTGTTAAGACACAAATGAAATTATGAATATATCTACTCTGCTATGACCTGCATTTTTCACTTTACCATATGTCTTGAAGATCTTTCTGTGTCATTACATATAGATCAAATGCAGTTCTAGTGGCTTCATGACATTCCATTTATGGAGGTACTATTCTATATTTAACTATTCTCCTTGACAATTTAGTTTGCTTCTTAATTTCACAATTAAAAATTAATGCTGCAATTAACATTCTTGTACATATATATTTATGTTCATTATATGAGTGATTGGATCTGTAAAATAAGGATATAATACTGGGCAAATGCTAAAAATGTAAAATTTTGATGTTAACAAATTTTCCACTAAAAAGCCAATAATAACAATAAGTGTGTGTTTAATGAATATGTTTCAAATTATAATGTTCTAAAGTGCTTATCTCTCTGGTCCAGTGCCCAGCACAGAACCACATACAAACAGACAGTCAATACATATTCCTGTTTAGCAACAGTAGTAATCATTTTTACAAATTCCTATCAGTTGAATACAAGATGGGTAATAATTTCTGTGAAAGTAATCTATGGGTCTTAGCTGGCCACAAGCTTAACATAAGGCAAGATAAAGTAGTACCTTAAAAACAAACAAAAAAACCCAAATATTTCGTTGCATAAATAGAAGCATAAGTTTTAGATCACAGGACCTAATAGTCAGTTCAATTCAACAAACAAATTGTATCCCACAGGCTCATACAAGTCAGACTACATATTTTTCAATGAGGGACACTGGTTACAAGGAGGTCACTGACAACCTGGGGTTTACTCAAGATGATAAAAGCTCTAATGCCATGTTACATGAGGCAGAATAGGAAAACTGGGATATTTAACCTAGAGAGGAGAAAACCTAGGCAGCCCATGATAGCCATCTTGAAACAACACAAAAGGCTGACGTGGAGAAAGAGGAAGCAGATATATTCTCTAAACCAGCACTAAAGGTGGACTTGTCAGGCAGAGAGATTTCAACCAGTATGAGCTGACCACTTGCTAACCACTTAGGTCATTCAACAATGAAATGAGCTGTCTCATGAGGTAATGGGGTTCCCACCCCTGAAGAGGTTACAGAAGAGGGGTGTGGACTTTTAAGGATCTTGCAAAGGCTCCCATGAAGGGTAAGGCATCTCCAGGTGTCCCATAAGCAGGGACAGAAACTATCTTCCTAAGGACAAAGGAATGAGCTCCTGGTCTATTTTCCATTTATTCCAGCACCTCAACCTGTAGGACCTTAAACAATTGTTTCCTAACATCCTGATCCCTGGTGGGAAAAGAGAGCCAAGATGACAGAATCCAAGGATGAAGAAAGCTCTGAAAAACGGAAGGGAAAGTTACAAAGAAGAAAAAACAAATAATACTGAAAACAAGCATTGTCTTTGCTCAGTTCTCTCATCTCTCTTTCCTCTGCTTCTTCTCAACCCTCAGGCTCCCCATAATCCTCCCTTCCACCATATCCCAGGACTTTCCTGCCCCAAAGGATAATGTCTGATAATTAACCCTAAACACAGGTGTAACAAACAGGATCAGTCTCAAGAGCTCATTTCCATCAATTGATAATGCCTGGCAAGAGCCCTGATTGGGAGGGATTCTGACGATGCATCTGGGCAATTGATTAGCACTGTCTGCTTTAAGCTGTGCAATAGGAAGTGGTGGCACACATGCCATAGAGTTGATAAGCTTGCACTAAGATGCACTAAGATGTTAGTATTTGCAAATCCCTAAGAAGGAATGAAACGTAAGTTTCACAAAACATCGTGGGAAGAGGGCAATGCTTAACCCCTAAAAGGGGGCTTAGTAATAAAGGAGATAGAAATCCCTGTGGCATTTTAGTGGAGGCCCCATCTGAAAGAATGAAGTACCTCCCAATATCCCTCTAATCCTACCAGAGAGGTGACCTCCAGTTCCATTCCCTGTTGGACAGGCTCTGGGGGCCAAAGAGAGAAGGTGGATGCAAACATCTTCTGTATCAAGTGTTTCTGACTTCAGTTCTGGAGATCAGGACAAATGGATTTTTGTCTAGAATTGACCACGCTCATCTCTCCCATTTCCCATGCCAAGTCCTGAACCAAGGAACTGAGTGGAGAAATGACTTCCCAAACTTTACACACTTTCCTCCAGCATTTGAATTCATGGCTACCTGTGCCCTGATCCTGCAAGGGCCACGAGCCTCTTTCAAGTGTCTCATTGCTCCTGGGCCAGACTCAGGTCGTCTGTCCCTCACCAGGTAACTCTGCCCACTCCCTGAGGCTCCCGCCTACCTCTCGGAGGCCTGTTCCAAGTATTATGGTGATGTCAGTGGCTTCTGGCTCCCTGCCTGAAGCCCACGCTTTCCTCTACAACAAAAATGCTTCAATTCTTCTGCCCTCATCGCCTTTTAAGTTGTCTCTCCTCAGCCTGCCACAAAGGGCTCTGTTCTCCCTTTGGTGTCTCCTCAGCACAGAGTCAAGACTGCTCCAGGGCAAGGGTTAAGGTTAGTGGGGGTGAGTGGGAGACACTCAGGGCCTCTCACACACACTTTTCACTGCATGTTGAGGAAACTGAGACCCAGAGAGGAAAAGGGACTCACTCAAGATGATGCAGAGATGATAGTGGAGATGAGGCAGGGACCTGGGTTTCCCCACATGCCATCTGGTCTTCCCACCCCATGAGCCTCTGTGTGGCAGCACAGGCCGGGACTGCTTAATTTGGTTATTACCTTATACTCTTTCAAAACAAAGCTCCCTCTCTGTCTCCCTTCTCTCCTCCTTTTCTTCCTCCTTCTCTCCTTCTTGTCCTTGTGTCTGGCTCTTCTCACACCTTTCTCTGTCTCTCATCAACATCTCTTTTCCCCTTCTCTCCACCTCAGTTCTTTTCTTCTCTTTCTCTTCCTTTCCCTCCCTTTTTCCTCTCTCTCTTTCCATCTGACAACAAATGAAGAAGAGCTGTTTCCTCCACAAAATTGGTGTCCTCCCTAAGCTTCAAAGGGGGCCTTGCACAGGACCAGAGGAGAAGAACTGGGGTAATCCCCTCTTGGTTAACAAACTGGGTCACACTCCTTCAGGCTCCATTCTTGGACCCCACAATCTGGGTATTCTATTTTCTTTCGAAAAGGGTGCAATTTTATTTTCCTTTATTTTTTGCTTGACTAGATATAGACACAATCATATCATGTAAAGGTGGAGTGTTCTGCTATTGATAAAGTGTTCCCCCTGTTGGATTTTGGGGGTCAGTGAGGAGGGGGGAATGGGGAGGAAGGGTGGAAGCCACCTGGAAAGTGAGCACTCACCGAGATGCCGACGTTATCTGATGAAGCAGGTCAGTGTGTTCTGCTTCAAACATTGTTAACAATGAGAGAGGAGTAGGAGTGCAGGTTTTGCAACCAGATACCTGCATAATGTGTAATAAATAGGGAACACAGATGAGATGGCCTTTTATTATTTTTCTAATCTATGCTGTCAGGTTTCACTTATGAAATGGGGGAGAGACAAAGCAGACATTTCTCTCCGGGGTCCTCAGCATGTTGCCCTTGGTGGGCCTGGGGCTACTCCTCCCCTGAGGACTCACAGTGTAGACTAGGCTTGGCCACTCGGGTGCTGAAAGATAATCTCTCCCAAACCCACAAGTGTTGGTCTTATGGAAAGAGCGCTATATGAAGAGTTAAGAAATGAGGAGTGTTTATCTCAACACAGCTTCATACCTGCTATGTGATCCTGAGTTAACAATTTGTCTTTCCAATGCCTGGATTTTCTCTTGCCTGGAATGAAGAAATTGAACTGGATGGGTGATTTTCAAATAGTACTCCATGCATTCCCAGGGATCACCATAACTATGTTTCAGGACATCTTCACCCAGAAAAATAGTGTCTGTCAAACAATGAATGTTGAAACTTCCAGAGAAGCCTGCCTGTTGCTTTTATTTGTTTAGTATGATGGAGTTCTAGGTAAGATTTAGTTAGAAAAAAGAGGTTTCCTAAAGTGTGAAAACCACTAAAGTAGATTATTCTTTTCCTTATACAGGGGCTATAGAGTGGTGCCCCAAATCTGGTCAACAAGATTCTCCTCTGGAAGCAAAGAAAGAAGTCAGCTCAAAAATGGCTCAGAGGAGAATTATGCAGTCATCTTCAAGACACCAGCTTGCCTTTAACCCAGCAGCACTTAGCCTGACCTGACTAAACATATCCACAGAAAGACAGGCTTGTCAGAAGAAATATCCATTACGTATGGAAGCACTGAAAAACGATGTTAGCAGTCACCAACCAAGCACTGCCCAGGGTGCCCAATCCTCTAGTCCTAGTGAACGTGTGTGTGTGTGTGTGTGTGTGTGTGTGTGTGTGTGCACATTTATAAGGCTCTCTTGGTGTGATGGTTTTACATGAGGGATGGCTCAAACATAGTATATATATATACACACCTTCTTCCCACTCTTACAGCCATGGCAGACATCACTAACCAACTGTCACTTTCCTACCAAGCCCAAATGTGGCCTCATACTTCTCAACACTACAGACAGCCCTGAACAATTGATAAGAGCACCTGTTAAATGAAGCCTACCTTTCATCCTTGCATTTAAACTTTTGAATCATGTAAGTAACTCCTTTTGTTTAGATCTCTGACTCACCAAGCATCTTTCTTATTATAACATATTTCCCATGAGGGTACAGAAACCAAATGGGCTTTTCAGAAGACAGGAGTGTCCAGTCCTCTTGAGAAACCAAATGGACTTTTCAGAAGACAGGAGTGTCCAGTCCTCTTGAATATTCTATTTTTCACTATATAGCAGCCTCATGAATTCAATTACTGCAAATCATTTCCTTTAAAACAAAAGTATCTTTCTTTCAGTATGAAAAATTAGGTATCTTGATAACTAAGGGTCCGATGATCAAACCCTGGACTCTGACAGATCCCTGGTTAGAGAACCTTCTGGACACCAGGTTTCTCCAGATAACTTACTCATAATCTCTGTGTAGCATGATAAAATTTTGTTCCTTTCAAACATCTCTATGATGATTCCAAGCAGAAGATTCTACAATTTAAGAGGTGTTTGCCATTTGCAGAGTAAGTTAAGGTCAGAGATTAACAGAGTGTCTGTCTAGTACTCATGAGAATATGTCCGGCCAACTTAATGGAAAAAGAGCAAGAGTATGGCAGTCTGGAAACAAACCCATCCCCCTGCTGCAGCCCTTATCTGTCAGACCCTGTTCAAATCTAAATCAAAATTGCATGTCAGCAAACACAAGGGTATCTAACCATGAAATGTCTTCTTTACTTGCTTGGTTTCTGTGATCATATTTGAGTGATAATTAGAAAATAATAATTAAATGCTTACCAAGTGAAGCCTTTTCAGAATGATACTGAAAATTGACCAGAATATCATTTGTCCTTCAATCAGTTTTCACCCTTGGCTTTGTCTGTTGAGTCAGTTAATTGGAGAACCACACTAAGGCCAAGGTTGGCTCAATCCCCATGTAAATGAGTTTCATAATGACAGTCTGTTCTTAAGGGGCTTAAATAAAAGGGTACACAGGATACACAATGCCTTGCCTTCTCCTAGAAAACTCAGACCTGGGTCCCACCTGTAGCAAATCTCACATTTTTGCACAGAAAGTCAGATCTAAAGCACATAAGTTTTCCTTGTGAAAATGCTTAAACACTCCCAAGATACAAGTCTTATGCTTGAATAATGAGACTATCCCCTCTGCCATGGGCTGAGTTGTGTCCCCTCAAAGTTCATATGTTGAAGTCCTCATCGTTAGTACCTCAGAATGTGATTATGTTTGGAGACAGATGTGGTTAAGTTAAAATGGGCCATTAGGGTGGGCCCTAATTCAGTATTGATCCAATACTGATACAATTCTGGTGTCCTTATAAAAGACAAAATTTGAACACACAGAGAGACACAAGGGATGCAAGCACACAGAGGAAAGATCATGTGAGGACACAGCAAGAAGGTGGCCATCTGCAAGCAAAGGAGAAAGGCCCAGGAGCTGACACCTGGATCATGGACTTCCAGCATCCAAAACTGTGAGAAACCAGACTTCTGTTATTTAAACCACCTAGTTTGTGGTATTTTGTTATGGTAGCCCAGCAATCTTGTTAAGGTGATTATACAAACCCCACAAAAAATTGTTACCTCTCCAAGTCCCCAGCTATGCCAATTGAATGCTCTGACCACTACATAGCACTTTCTGATTTGACTTTGCTCTTTGGGTCTAGAGACAATGGATTAAGAGCCTTAAATTTTGTAGTCCCTGACACCACCATTTTGTAACTCCTCCCCTATAGCCACACATCCATTCTTCTTGGAGGATGATCTATTGAGAATATAGCACTTTCCAGAAATGATAATTTAAAGTTCATCTGTGTGTCACATGGTGAGTAGGACAAACCAAACTCTACGCCAAGCAAGGATTATGCTACCTACAACGTAGGAGCTTCATTTGACTTCTTATAAAGGTTTCTCCCCCAATGAAATCATTGATTATTTCAAGAAAAAAAAGCAAATACCAAGTACCTGGCATATATCAGAGAAATATATCATTTTGAGATCAAGAATCTAAATTTTCTCTTTGGAAACTGTAGGAGAGGACAGAGACCACATCTTGCCCATCCTTGCAGTCTCAACTCTCGTGCTCTATGACTAGCATAGAGCTTTGCATGTAGAAGGTAACTTTTTTATTTGAATGTAGTGGATAAAGGAAAATGACAACTCTAAGAGAGTCTGGAAGGAGGATGGTGTCTGTTACAAATATGGATACAACAGCTATTTCAATCAAGCTGCGTGGCAGCACACCCACAGTGACATTCTGGAAGTAGAATCCAAATGCTTTTTTTGAACGTGGTATCTTGTGATTCTTCTTGGATAAGTATCCTATTATCAGGTTACGCCTGATCAAATTTACTCATGCAGCCTAGGTTTGTATATAACATTGTCTCTTCTCAACACTGAAGTCAAAGTAATGCTTTTTAACATATGGAATATAGTGTCACATCTTCACGCAAAACTCTGCAATTGCTCCCCATATCACTCAGGGTAAAGGCTTCCAGAACCCCCATGTTCTTCTTCCTCCTGTGTTCTACTTCTCACCCACTGGTTCACTCTCTCCAGCCTCCCTGGCCTCCTTGTTTGTCCTCAAACAAGACTGGCACATTCCCACCTTAGGGTCTTTGCACTCACCCTTCCCTCTTTCTGGGAACATTCCTCTCCAGATATCTGCTTGGCTAACTCCCTAACCTCCTTCAAGTCCTTTTCTAAATGTCACTGTCTCAGTGTGGCCCATCCTGAGTACACACTGGCATCTTCCTCCCTCATGCCAATTCAATCCCTAATTCCACCTTACCATGCTTTACTTTTCCTTTTTTTCACAGCACTTGTCATCTTCTAACATATTAAATCATCTACTGATTTATTATGTGTGTTGATTATTGCCTGTCTTCTCTCCACATAGAACAGAAGTCCACAGACTGGTACTGGTCAGTGGCCTGTTAGGAACAAGGCTACACAGCAGGAGGTGAGTGGCAGACAAGCAAGCGTTACTGCCTGAGCTCTGCCTCCTGTCAAATCAGCAGCAGCGTTAGATTCTCACAGGAGCATGAACCCTATTGTGAACTGTGCATGTGAGAGATCTAGGTTGCACGCTCCTTAGGAGAATCTGATGCCTGATGATCTGAAGGTGGAACAGTTTCATCCCAAAACCACCATCCCCAGCCCCCATCTGTGGAAAAATTGTCTTCCACAAAACCGGTCCCTCGTGCCAAAAATGTCGGGGACCGCTGACATAGAATGTACGCTCCATGAAGGCAAAGATGTTTGTTTTCTTCACTGATGTACCCCCATGCACCGAGAATGGTGGCTAGCACATAGTAGGTGCTTCATAGATATTTTTGAATGAACTAATAATATCTTATAGGAACTAGATGTTTATCTTCCCTAGGTTAAAATGACGAAGCTCAAGTTTACCCAACAGTGATTAAAAGCACACTAACATCTCTCATGGCCTTATTGCTATGCTGTGTAGAAATCTAGATGCAATGACAGATTTCTAGGACTAGTAACTCCAATATTTTATCAGAACACTTTATAATAAATAAATGCATCTCATGTTGTGGGCAGTGACCCCAAGATTATCAATGCCACCAGTGTAGTCACACTGGTGAAAAGTTTAGCCAAATGGTCGGGCATGTTGGCTCATGCCTGTAATCCCAGCACTTTGGGAGGCTGAAGCAGGTGGATCACTTGAGGTCAGGAGTTCGGGACCAGCCTGGCCAACATGGTGAAACCCTGTCTCTACTAAAAATACAAAAATTAGCCAGGTGTGGTGGTGCATGCCTGTAATCCCATCTACTTGGGAGGCTGAGGCAGGAGAATCACTTGAACCTGGGGGAGCGGAGGTGGCAGTGAGCTGAGATTGCGCCACTGCACTCCAGCCTCAGCAACAGAGCAAGACTCTGTCTCAAAAAACAAAACAAAACAAAACGAAAAAACACTTAGCCAAATAGATTGCTTAGTATCATAAAGTAAAAACAAATATGGAGTCGACCTTTTCCAAGTTTTGACTGTTCAAGGGATAGTCTGGGGTGACCTTAGCTATGACAAAAAAGAAAACCAGAACTTTTAGGGGCTTTTGAGATCCTGAAAGATCAAATGAGGAAATAGCTTTTTAACACACAGGACAGGAAACTTGTTGACTACCAGGCTATTTGGGGACAGACTTTCGGTAGAGATAACACCCAGATTTTCCTGGCTGCATCACTTCCTGGTTAATCTCATGGCATCTAATTCTTTGACCAGATTGTTCTTGCCAAGGCAAGGCTGAGACTTTAGACAACTCCCTTTGTCCTAGGGAAGAAGCAATTCCAACTGCAGCAATTCTTTTATGCCTTTATTCTCTGGGGAAGTGTAGAGACTGGTTCTCTCAGAAAAACCAACTAACCAACCAACTAAAAACAACAACAACAACAAAACCCATCCCTTAGGGGTATCTGATGATGTAAAGGTCATTGTTGCATTTTTCCCCCCAAACTCAAGCCATAGGGGAGTCAGGTATGGCAGAGCAAGAGAAACAAACCATTCAGTGGTACTAGGCCACAGCTGGTAGTTTATTATTACTTCACTGTCAAAGACACCCTTACATTGTCGATGAAGTATGTCATTCACCCTCAGAATATGCATAAGGAGAGAACGTTGCAAGCATTTGGCAAACAGAAAATTCCTCCCTTCTTCCTTCTCTCCCTCTGCCCCTTCCCTTCCTCCTTTCTTAAGAAGTCCTCACTAAGAGGTTGCTATTCCAGGCAGAGATACACAAACACCAGGTCTCTGACCTACAGAAGCTCCCCCTCTAGCAGATACAAATAACTCTATGACAGGGCAACAGATGCCAGGAAAGAGATGGGTGCAGAGTGCCTGGGAAGCACAGAGGACAAGAACATGAATTCTACCCAAGGAAGGCGCATCGACAAGTGCTTCCCATAGGAGGTGCTGTTTGAACTGTGTTTTAAAGTTAGGAGGCAGAGTTTGCCAGGCAGAAAAGAAATCAAAGCCACTTGATTTAAGTGGCTTATGCAGAAAGAAACCATTGAAATTGAGCTTTCTGTAGAGTGAGTCCATGGAGGATTGAAACAACTGGTCAACAAGGAAAGAAGTCAGCCAGAATGATTATTTGACCTTGGACAGATCAAAAAGGAAAATTGTTGGACTGACTTTTTTTTTTTTTTGCATATGTTGACAGATGGAGTCAAGTAGAATGGAAAAGTGATTTGGATAATGCAGTCAAACTCCAAATGATTCTTTTGGTCCTACCAACAGAACAATCAAGTTGTGAGATCTGTCTCCTGCCTTGTGTTTCCTATATGACATGTCTTCAGGAAGACAGTGGCCAGAGGATGGGCTCCAGGAACATGAGGTCTTCGGGTCTAGACACCAGTTGCTGAGTCCAGGAATGTTAGGGGTACCAGAACCTCATCACTTTCTCTATGAAACATATTCCAAGACCCAGGAGGAAGGGACCCTGAGTACATGAATTGTTTCTCCAAATAGGCAGAGAGCTCAAGAGAGAAGAGGTTGTCATTTAGTCTGATTATTTAGGGGATCATAGCAATTGAAAGGCAGAAATGACCTCAAATGCCATTCTAATCTGAGTTTTCATTTTACTCAGAGGAACCTGAGTCCCAGACACTTGCATGAGGTCCCATGAAGTCAGTGACAGAGATGAGACTAGAACAAAGTTATTTTCAGTTCTGAGGCACAGCTCTATTCAAGAAACTTCGCTTTACATTCTACCTCATGACTTTACTGCTATTCCTTTTTTTTTTTTTTTTTTTTTTTTGAGACAGAGTCTAGCTCTGTCACCCAGGCGCTGCAGTGCAGTGACACGATCTTGGCTCACTGCAACCTCCATCTCCTGGGTTCAAGTGCTTCTCCTGCCTCAGCCTCCTGAGTAGCTGGGATTACAGGTGTCCACCACTGTGCCCGGCAAATTTTTGTATTTTTAGTAGAGATGGGGTTTTGCCGTGTTGGCCAGGTTGGTCTCAAACTCCTGACCTCAGGTGATCCACCTGCCTTGGCCTCCCAAAATGCTGGGATTACAGGCGTGAGACACCGCACCCGGCCTGATATTCCATTTTCATGAGGAAAAGGAAGCAAGTGGGAATGAATTAAGATGAAACACCAGTATGTAGAGATGATATTCCAGTGAAGTCAGGATTTAAGGTGAAAACTCTGCCTGGTCAGGTTGATTCTTGGCAATATCTCAACTAGACACCATGCTGGAGACCAGCAGGGGCCCCCTCTCTGAGACAAATGCAACCAGCTTTCCTATCCAGTGTTGGGAAAATGCACTGCTTCTTTAGTTGAGCACAAAGTATTTGGCTTATACCTAGGGGCTGTGCTGGATAAAAAACACATATCTCATAAAATCACACCCAGGGTGGGTTGACTTCAGCTCTTGCAGGATTGAAAGCAGCAACCTCAGTTCCTCTGACCACACAGGAACCACAGTGCCCTCCTGCCCCTCTAGACAGTTCCACATTTTGCCTCAGTCAAATTTCACCTTTGCAAGATTTCCTGCAGAACCTCCCTAGAGTCAGTCTTTCCCCTCTCTGTGGCCTCATTACCCATAGTTTTAGATTCTGTTTCTAGTACTTCATCAAAGTATTTTAAAATATTTCCACATAATCAGAGCACTTAGAGTCATGTATATTTCCTTCTTTTTTGTCAAATATAGATCTTTATATTTTACAGCTTTATTGAGGTATAATTGACCAAAAAACTGTATAAATTTAAGCTGTGCATGTGACGTTTTGATGTACGTTGTGAAACAGTCACCACAATCAAGCTAATTAACACATCCGTCACTTCACATAGTCATCCTTGTGTGTGTTTGTGGAGAACACTTAAGATCGGTTCACTTAGCAAATTTCAAGTCTATAATACAGCGTTATTAACTATAGTCACCCTGCTGTACATTTGATCTTCAGAACTTTTCAGAGTCCTTTGTATTTCTAAAGCAGCCTTTGAATTTGGGAACGGAATAGAAACAGCATTGGACAGTAGTCAGAAGACTTGGATTCGAATGTGTATGGTTAGGGCCCAGATAAGAAACAGATGACATATTCAATGGAAACTAGTAAGTAAAAAGGGACTATGTAGCAAGGCATGAGCCAGGTTCAGCAGGCTGGAGTTAGCAACAACGGAAGCCTGGTCACTCCTGGGGTGAAAGGAACCACAGGATGGAGCTGCGGCTTTGGGTCGAAAAATGCAACCGCTACTGAATCACATCCCAGAAGGGAAGCTGTTGATGGAGTAAATACCCCAGCCTTGCCCTCTACTCATCCTCCAATCTCTTGCCTTTGCCTCCCACCCAGAAGGCTAGAGAACCTGATCCATGTAGTTTACAGAGCTGGCTGGCAAAGGGAGCCAGGCCAATAAAGATGATCCAGCACAGGCTGCAGCTGAATCACTTCAGACAAACCTCTCCACTCTCTGATCCTCAGGATTTGTATTAGTAAAAACAAGTGGGTTGATCATCAGGAAGTGTCTCTGCTGCCTTCCTGCCTAACGTCCAATGACGCTATGACTGTAGGTAAAATAATGCACACATATTGATTTTTTAGATTTCCAGGGGCAGATATTCTCAATAAACCAGGACATAACTGCTGCTGTTAAAATGCTTCTTGAAACAGAATATGTGGAAATAGAAAGTCATGTCTTTATAACATAATTCAATGCTTAATACATTTCTGAGAAAAACAAGCTAGTCATTATTCTTTACTTTAAAAAAAAGTTACTTTTTTCAGCCTTGTTTATGCAACATCCCAATGTATGTCTTGAAAAATTATTCAATTCTTTTTTTTTTTTTTTTTTTTTTTGATGGAGTCTCGCTCTGTCGCCAGGCTGGAGTGCAGTAGCACAATCTCGGCTCACTGCAAGCTCCACCTCCCGGGTTCAAGCAATTCTCCTGCCTCAGCCTCCTGAGTAGCTGGGACTACAGGGGCACACCACCACACCCAGTTAATTTTTGTAGTTTTAGTAGAGATTGGGTTTCACCATGTTGCCCAGGATGAGCTCAATCTCTTGACCACATGATCTGCCCACCTCAGCCTCCCATAGTGCTGGGATTACAGGCGTGAACCACCTTGCCTAGCCTATTCAATTCTTTTTTATGCCTAGGCCTTTGTTTAGACCCTTGGTCTCGAAATGACCTAGTCATCTTATCTAACCTATGTGGGGCTTCTTTTAATCATTTGTAATTTGAAAAAAGACAAAAGTCACCTGTCAAAGCATTCTTTGGTGCTGTGTGGGTCGGGAGGCACCCATTTCCAAATTCAGTAAGCAGGAACCCTCAAAGGTGGTGGAACTCTAAGAGGAATCTTAAGAAACCTTGGTGTCTCCCAACCAAGGGTCCCTCATTAGTAGCCTAGCTCTGGAAAGATGGGGACTGACCATCACAATTTTTCAGGTTTGTTTCTCTCTTACAACCAGTCTTCACAGAGCATGTTCTAGGCACCAGGAAATAGCAGTGAACAAGACAAGGTCACTGTTTCTAAAAGCAAAAGAATTATGATCTGGAATCATATAAATATGAAACATAAATATGTAAGTTATATTTATATAATGATAATTGTAAGCACAATGAAGAACATGAGACAAGTTAATGGGATACAATGATTGGGAGTCAGGGGGGAGAATGGGACCATTTGAGCCAGGATATAACAGGCTTGGGAAGAGGTTGACTTTTGATAGGAAACTTTAATTTCAAACACCTTATTCCATATTTTTGCATAGATATAAAATGCTCTAAAACTTCCAATATCTTGGAAGGTAGTGACTGAAAGGAGGAAATTAGTAATGTTCATTTTAAAGAATTAAGAAATCTAAGATGAAAAGCTACAAAAGAAGAAGGATCCCAGGCTGAAAAATTATTACAGTGACCTGCAATTGTCTGTGTAAAATGCCAGAAGGGTTTATTGTTGGGTCTGTGGGCACTTGGGGATGTGGGATGGGGGCAGGAAAGAAAGGGGCTAGACACATCTGAGTGAAGGAAAGACAGCGTTAAGATGTTGAGGAAGAAAGAGGAGCAGAAAGGGGTAAGCTGGGTTCTTCTGAGCATCAAGATGGATATTGGTCCAAGTGTTTAAGTCTGAAGCTAGGTGCATACTTCTAAGTGTGGAGTGATTTTCAGGCAAAGCTGATTCCTATGATATGCATTGATAATTATAGGGGCTATTTCTGCTCCTGCCAGTAGTTCAGAGATATTCAAAGGGTGCGTAAAATTATTTAAACTATTTTATTTTTGGGTCAAAATGATTGCAAAGCAGAGAAACGGTCGGGAAAAAATAAAACATTTACTGGGGTTTGCAAAAGGAATATTCACATAAATAAAGTGTCAATCCACATGTAGCACTTTGCTTCTTGTGTGGTAGGAAGTGAGAAAATGTCGAAGCCAAATCTGCTATCTTTTTGCGTTTTCAATGTAAGGAAACAGTCATTATCTGTCAGATCTGGATCTTCCATGATTCAATGATGAAATAGCCCATAAAAGGTGCTCAGAAAAGCAGTGGTAATTCCATATAACACCACAGAACACAATCATAACTTCATATCTTTAGACTACATCTCTGAGCAAGGTTCCACGGCATTTGAACTTACATTTTCATCAGCACAAACCACAGGTATAGTGTAAAAAAAAAAAAAACAAAAACAAATTTTAACTCACTCCGAGACCTCAAAAGATTTAACAAGAATTGGATAAAACCTTTGTGTCTCAGCACTATTACAGCTTCAGCTAACCACAAAAATAAAAAAGCTGTTCCTATATTAGTGAGTTATTTTAATGAGATTCCTGGAGATAATGTAAAAGTTCTTGAACTTGATGTCCTGCCAGGGGCAACAAGTGGCTATTTTACTTTCTCTACTCTGAGTGCAGCACCCTGGTTGATAAGATGATCAGCAGGTCAGCTGATAATATTAACTTCAGAGATGGAAAATCCTACCAGTTTAAAGACTTTTTTCAAGAAATTGATGACTAACTTCATCAAAACCTGATAAGAATTGATTCTAACAGTACACTCATATCAATGCTATAAATGAAACATCTGATGATTTTCCAGTTTTTGAGGAAAGTTGTTCCTGTAAAATATTTTTCTCTATATATGGTGTGAATAGGTCACTGCAATAATTTGGTGATTTGGTCAAAGGGCAATGCAAATAGCATTACCTTAAATTCAAGATATCTGAGACTGATGCCTCCTCTTGAAAGAAGACTAAACATGTTTCAAATAGTTTATTATTCTACAAACAGTTAAAACAAATTGATGGCCTCTTATCTAAATGAAGAAAAAGATAAAGATTTTAATTCAAGGCACTGGTTCTTGTTTTAAGCAAACTACTTCCACTATTTTACCTGATGCTCTTTCTAAAAGAAGGGGCAGAACATATCATCACTGAAGACCATGTGCTTTTCTAGCAGTATGCAAAAGTCATAAATAATTCTAAGTTTTCATTTTCATTTCAAACTATGAGAATTGTGAAAGAACATCATTAACAGTGGTTTTCACTCTGGTTTAGATCTATATCTAAACAGATGAGTTATATATAAAATTGTCTAAATCATGAAACTTTGGGAGAATGAAGTGCAAATAAGGCCTATCATTTATACTGGCTTCACTTAGGGAGAAATTATAAATAAAATCATACAGAAAAGCCATTAATTCCTTTCAAAGTTTTGTCCCTTCTTTATCATGCAATGACATTTTTAATAAACACCATGTCCTTAAATTATAGTTTAATGAGAACTTACTAGCCTAATGGGCAAAGAGAAAGGATACAAATGAGAAACAACTGGATATGATGAAAGATTGTTTTCCTCCTGTGTATCTTAGTATTCCAGTCTTATTTTAAAAGTGCAAATTCATCCTCTGCTAGGTACACCATGAAGGAGAGACAAATTTCAGCAAAGAACAATTTTAGAGACTGTGAACCCTCTTCAGGTTCAGTGAGCACTGAAACTGTAGACTCTCTCTTAGTATTCAAATTAAGTACTTAGAGACTTGGTAAGAGATGTTTGAGAAAATTAGGCAAAAATCAACAGTTATTGATGGAAGCTGAGTTCTTCAAAAAAATGCAAGGAAAATAAGTTACTCTCAGCATCATTATTGGATAAATGATTAAACTGAAGAAGTGAATATTGCATTGAAGCATATATATGTCATTTTCCTGACAGACTATGATTCATTGGGAAAAGGTTTTCTGTGGTTTTTTAATACAGTCAAGTTCATTATTAAAATTTTTTAATTAATAGACTTTTTTTAGAACTAGGTTAATAGAAAATTGAACAGATGAAGAGTTCTTATAAACTCTACTTCCTTTTATTGCATCTTATATTAGGGTGGTATATTTGTTAACATTAATGAGCCATTATTAGTGCATTATTACTAACTAAAAATCTATACTTTAGGACTCACTCCTTGTGTTATTAAGTTCCATGTGTTTTATTATAGATATTTTTACCAAATTTTGTATTTCTCTTCATTTTGTTCTTTTACATAAAGAATAATGAGTCATAAACAATGTATAGTGACATATAATGTAATATCTATACTTGGAAGCACTTTTAATATAAATAAATTCTAGGAAATAAAAGCCCTCATTTCCTAATTCAGAATAGGAAGACACTAAAGATACTAGGCATAAGAAAGAACCTGAGTAGTTCTGGGAAAACAGACTCCAGAATGTTAAGGACAGAAATTACTTAGACCTCAGAATCTTGAACACCAAAGCATCAAGCAATGTTAAATCTTAGCAGGGAGGTGCTTGCCTGGCCCTTTAAATGTAGCTGACGTCAGAGGGCCTGGCCACCAGAACCTCTGGCTGCCTGGCCTCTCCTGCCCACAATCCTGGTCCACAGCCCGGACTCTGGAGCCTCTCCCACCCTCCTCCAGGGACCGCCCTCAGCTCAGTCCTGTGCCTCTCTCTGTCTATTGCCTTTATGGTTTATTTTCCAGCCAGATCCCAACCACTTGGCTTTAACCCAGCAGAGATGGAGACGGAAAAGACACATTTCCTTCGTTCAAGGAATTCGCAGTGGACCTAATAGAAGGGGCTGTAAAGTGGTGTCCTATGAGCTGCCTCCAGCCTTCAGGTGTATTCAGTTTTGCAGCAGGATGTTGTCCCATGTGCTATTTTAAATTTGGATTTGGCTACCCACAGTTAAAAATTAGAAAATTTCACACACACACAAATCTTGCTCTCCAGCTTCTCTTGAAAAATCAGAAGCAATCTTGCAGTCATATTGCTAAGAATCAGCTGGAGATGAGTGGCAGCTGCCCTCCTTTTGGGCAGGATATTTGCCCCCTAGTTTGACATAGTCCCCATCTCTCCCTGCTATATTACACTCAGGCCACTTACCGCATTTACATTATTATCTACCTGGCCCTTGTAGACAGTTGATTTTACAATCCTTGGAGTGGCTGGCTGTTTTTGTGTTTCCAGTGGCCAAAGAAACCATAAAAAGCCTAAAATATAAACCTACACCAAGCCCTATTCTTCACCATCCATTGATGGAAGAAATAGATGTTCAAATATGACCACTCATGCTTTTGTGTGCCAAAAGAAACCCCAAAGCCACATGTTGCTACCTTGTAGTACTTCTTATTTAAAATACAAATATAGCACTTCTTATTTAAATATATATATCCTGCTGGTTGAATCAATTGCCCCTTTATGGAAAAGGAGCTCCTGACCACCAAGCCAAATTTATGGTCTGGAAGCATTACTCGGAGGATCTCCCAAACCTGGAGTTGATCAAGATGAACCACCATGCTTGAACTTGGAATACCTTATCACTTTATTTTATTTTATTTTTGAGACGGAGTCTCACTCTGTTGCCCAGGCTGGAGTGCAGTGGCGCAATCTCAGCTCACTGCAAGCTCTGCCTCCTAGGTTTAAGCGATCGTCCTGCCTCAGCCTCCCGAGTAGCTGGGACTACAGGCACCTGCCACCAAGCCCGGATAATTTTTGTATTTTTAGTAGAGACGGGGTTTCACCATATTGGTCAGGCTGCCTTATCACTTTAAGGAATCAATCATTTGTCCCAGAAATTTCACAAGCTCTCAACTCAAGGGCCTTCTTACGAATTCTGGTTTGTACTTTAAGAGGGTTTTCCTCATTGAAAGTTCTTATAAGCTACTTGGATAAGGAGTCATGACATCTCCTTGCCTCTCGGTTTTGCTGAAATACAGCAGAAAGCAGAAAAGTTTCTTCCCTAGACCTGCCCTCCTAACCTCTGCCGCTTTCTCCCATCATCTAGGAAGTACATGCTCCAATGCCCAGCTGGATCCCTGCAGAACTTAGACCTTACCAAAGGTGAAGGGGACCAGCTAGCTAAGGAGGCAGGGAGTACATTAAAAGCACCTAGAGAGAGATCCAGGTGAGCATGCCCAGGAGCAGCCTTCAATGAACACGCCTTTGTTACCTTTGTATTCCCGACGCCCAGAATGGTGCCTAGCATTTTATAGACTTCAGTAAGGATTTGTTGAATGAATGAAAGAATGAATGTATTTCCTATGCACGTCCTTGGCTTCTGTGGTTTTGCTGCTTTGCCTGCCCCAATCTTGGTCTTCCATTTAGGTACCTGGGACTGACTCAAACCTGACCTCCTGACTTTTTGGATCTGATATTTACTCTTTTCTTTACGACAATGGCTCATGAATACCTCTGTTTTCAATTTTTCTTAATGCTCTGTATTTCTTCAGGCAAATGAAAAGAGCCTTGGGAGTCCAAGTCGTTTGGCTCTGGTTCTATTGGTTGGGTGGTCCAAACTTGGGAAATAGGTATGATTTTTGCCATTAAGAATGTTAAAAGTTCTGGAGAGTCTTGCAGTAAAGAAAACTTGTTCAATATTATTTAAATGTAGCATTTCTCAACATTCTTTTGACTAAGGAGGCTCCCTTTTTCCCCACCACACAGTATCTATTGATACCAGGTGAAATTAGGATTCCAGGGAACAAACACACTTTGGGAATTGCTAGAGTAGAGACACTGGGGTCAGTCCCAGAACTAACATACTCTGCTAAAATTCAGTTGCATTAACTTTACTAAAGGGCCAGGACACCTTATCACCAACCAAATGGTATAAAATTGAGAGTAGTTCAAGTCTGAGAGCATTCTCTAAAAGGAAACTACTCATGTCACTCTTTGCCAACTTCCTTTTGTTGGTTCTATTTTATGGGTCTGTCATTTATCAGCAATTAATGAGAACAAGTGGAGTCAAAGCCTCTACCTTCCTTGCAGGGGCATCTAAGTTGGATTGGGGATGGGGGATGGGGGAGCCAGCTGCAGCTTTTTATCTTTTGGTGACAACAAGTAGTTGTATTCCTTCTTGTGCAGTCACCGGGTTCATGAATAGTGCCACAGTCTTTTAAAGCCAGGACTGCTCTTTTGATCTACAAGTTCATATGACTCCACCATGGGCAAGGCCTTCTGTCCCGTTCCACCCCCTCCCCCTTCCTGTGTTTGTCTCTGCCCTTGCAAGCATTTAGGCACTCAGCCAGAACGAGGAAGTGAGTTGCCCAATTCAGAGAAATAAAGGAAAACACCCCCCTCCTCAATTTGATGGTCAATAGCTGTGGGGAGATATAATAAACCTCTTCATTAAACGAATGCAGCTTTTAGATAAGTGAGGAATTATATCTCTAAAGCTATTCTTCAAAACTTGTGACAGTTCCACATGGTCAGGAGGCTGTCATGCTGCCATGGAGATGGAATTTAAGTATAGAATTTAAGGGACTTTAGCCTGCGTGGTTTTCTTCTTCCCAGCCCCACCTTGCAGTTTGGTGTTAAAAAAAAAAAAAAGAAAAAAGAAAAGAAAAAAGAAATGAAGCTGTAAACTAAATGCAACTTCTGATGTAAGAAGTTAAAGAACATGGATACTTTTTTAGAGTAATTTTTATTTTTTTTATTTTAGAATCTATACACGTTGAGTAATACTGATATGAATCAGCTTTGAGGAGGCTGCTAGGAAGACCCAGGCCTCCTGCCAGCCACAATAGCACAGGCGGGGAGGCACCATCACGGTGTCAGCTCTACCAAATGGAACAAGAGCTTTGATGTTTTCTGTCCAGAAACCTTTCTTCCTTCCTGTGCTTGGACATTCACTTGACTCTTTGCAGAGCAAGCCCTACCCAAAAGTAAAGGATGGTCAAATACATCACTTTCCAAATTCCATCCATTAGGGCCACTGTATAGGATTCAGGCACCATCTTCAGAAGATCCTAGATAGGATGTGGTTACCAAGATGGGATGTCCATTTGAACGAAGCCTTGCATTACTTTCCAGGTCTCCTGCTCTACTTTCTCTCCTTCCTTCTGCTCCATCCCTGCTGGCATCTTTGCAACTGTTCAAATGCTCCAGGCATGCACCCCAACTCAGGGTTTTTGCATTTGCTGTTCCCTCCAACTGGAACACTCTTCCCTGGTAAAGACATGGCTCACCCCCTCCTCTTTTTCAAATCTTTCTTCAAATGTCATTTTCTTAGTGAAGCTGTCCTAACCACCCTATTTAAGCAGCTTCCTCACCCAGCAATTCCTAGCCTCTTCCTTGTTTTATTTTACTCCACAACACTTACCACTGTCGAACATATCTTTTGCTTATTTATTTTATTGGTGGTTTGCTTCCACTCCTAGAATGCTGGTCTATGAGGGCAGGGATTCCGTCTGTTTGGTTTGCTGCAAGAATCTCAGCAGTAAAGAGTGCCTAGAACAGGGCCTGGCCTTGGTTGGCATTCAATGACTATTTGTTGAAGAGGAAAGTCATGACCGAACTGCTTAGCTAGCCACCATCTAACAGAGATCAGGGCCCTGGGGCAAGGGCCATAGGACTGGTAAATTCTTGACTGTGGCTTTAATGAATGGCTCCAGGAAAAGAATCTGCAAAATCAGAGGGCCCTGGGCAGGGAGTTGGCAAGCACAGGAGTGAAAGTGGTGCAAGTGCTCATTTCTCAAGTCTTAATAGTGATGCTGAGTGGTGTGTTAAGCACTCTTCCAAGCCTTCCTTCCTAAGGTCTCTGAGTCTCTTATTATAAGAAAATTGCAGCTGTATGAGTCTCTGAAAATAGCAGAGAATGTTAGTCCTGAGACAGACCCCAGAGCCTCCACCCTAGCAGTTCCTAAAATGTGTTTGTTCCCTGACATCCTAATTCCACCTGATGTCAATAGTTGCATCAGCACCCCTATTCCTCCAGGCATAGCCAGGGATGAATGGTTCCATAAAAACAGGTTTCATTTTGCTTAAACCCATGCATACATGAAGGAGACTCCCAAACATTCCCTCAAAACCAGCAACTCAGCCTTGGTTGGTGGCACCTCCCCTCTCTATCACATTAAGGTCATCTTTCAGTTCTCTCTCTGGCCCTCTATATCCAACTAGCTGCCGGGCTATGGCCACTGTATTTCCAAAATACCTCTTTCATCCTTTGCCTCTCTCCCATTCTCATCACCACAGCCCTCATCAGGCCTTCATTAGTCTTTGCCTGGCTATTGCAATAGCTGCCCAACTGGTTTCCTTTCTCTAATTTTTTCCTCCACCAACCCATGCTCTACCACAATAATATTCCCAAAGAACAAATTGGGTGTCACTCTTACTAATCTAACAAAATGCCAATGGCTCCCCATGACCCTTGAGATGGGTCATTTAATCTACCTTCCAGGCTTTCCATCCACTAGCTCCCTAAATGAGCCCTCCGCCATAGTCTTGTCTACGTGTGTGCTCAAGCTCTTCCTCTCTCCAAATAAAACATGTGTTTTCTATTCGTCACATCTTGGGTTTTTCCCTCCCCACCCTATCTTTCTCCCTTCTAACCATATGCCCTAATTTCTCCTCTGTACCTGTTGAAATCTTATCCAGAGATCCCTCAAGGGCCATTTACAGATTGATTCATTCACACAGTGAGTCAAGAGAGACTGGGGGAAGCTCAAACCTCTTTTTCCCACATCTGCCTTGTCAGAAGTGAGCTTTCTTCTATATATCTCCTGTGTATTTATCATATGTTACCTTGGTTAGGGCTACTGCTCTCATATACATCATTATGTCTCCAGCCAGTCTTTTCGTATGGTCCTTGAGGGCAGAGACTTTTGCACCTGTGTTTTATTCCCAGGGCACTTAACATGACAGCTTGTTCATAGCAGGTGCCACACCTATTTGGGGATGATCATAACATCTCGCGCATCCTCTAAGGGTCACTTTAATCCTCTCAAGGTTGCTTTGCCAATTGTAACTGGTGCGCCATCACCAGAAATATTTCCCTTTCCCACTTCCCACGGTCAGCAGGGCTCACAGTCCTCAAGGTAGCCAGTTGTTATTCAAAGCTGAGTGAGCTAGGAGCCCAGGGTGGAAAATAAATGTCACACAACTTCCTCCAAGATGAATTTTAAAAAGGAAATCATCAGGGTAAAAAGAACAGACTTGATTTACCAGTTGAGGCTGTTGTCCCAGGCACATAAGCATAATTTATCTCCCTGATGCCCTGCGGCACACACCTGGATGTCCTGAGTGCCACATGTTGTGGGCAGGCAGTTTGGTGGCAAATAAAACAAACCTGGAATTAGAGGGGTAGAGTGAGAGAATAAGGAGAAGGAGGAAAAATGGAAGGAGAGGAAGAAGGAAGAAAGGAAGTAAGGGAGGGAGGAAGGGAGGTAAGAAGGGAAAGGAAAGAAGAAAAGGGAAGAAAAGATAGGGAAAGGAAGGAAGGAAGGGAGGGAGGGAGGGAGGAAGGAAGGGAGGGAGGGAAGGAATTTAGTTTCATCCTGTTAGGTATGAACATTGTGAAAGGAAATAAGCAGAAAGATATCTGTAATATGCCATTGTGTGGCCTGTGCTGTTAGGTTTCATCCTGTCTCATTGTTATTGTCTGTGATTTTTTGGCTGTTCAGTGCACACCCCTCGTCCCCATCAGTACAGGCTTCCACCATTTACCAGTTTACATGTCCTTCTTCCTGGCTTTGACTGTGAACTCTTAGAGGGAGAAGCTTGTCCCTTTAACTCTGCATCCTTAGTACCGAGCATGGCATCCGGCATGCAGTGTGTTGATGGTGGAAAGTTGTGCTCCCCAAAATTCAGTGACTGGTTTGCCAACTTTGTGCTTTTTGTTCTAATCAAGTTCTACCACTTGCATGGTTATTGGCCTCTTTCAACTGATTCATGCTCTTTTCTTTTAACTTTGGGCCATTCTTTGCAGTCATATCTGTGAAGTCACACAGACTGAGGCAGGATATGTATTTCCTAATCTATATTAAAATAAATAGATAACCACTAAAATAAACAGTATTCATCCAGGTACCACCTACATCAACACCACTGTGGTAGGCAAATCACTTTGGGGAAACACTAATTATGCTTTGTTCCGAAAATTGAAACATAATCAAGTGCATCAATTCTGTAATTTAAGTCTTTTAGTAGGATTTCTGCAAACACAGTCAGCAATACTGTCTTTTCCCAGAAGAAAGTGGGCACTGTGGGTATAAATTTTTCTGTGTACCGGCCAGGCAAGGTGGCTCACGCTGGTAACCCCAGCACTTTGGGAGGCCGAGGTGGGTGGATCACGAGGTCAGGAGTTCAAGACCAGCCTGGCCAAGATGGTGAAACCCCGTCTCTACTAAAAATACAAAAAAATTAGCCAGGCGTGGTGGTGGGTGCCTGTAATCCCAGCCACTCGGGAGGCTGAGGTAAAGAATTGCTTGAACCTGGGAGGCGGAGGTTGCAGTGAGCCGAGATTGCGCCACTGCACTCCAGCCTGGGCGAAAGAGTGAGACTCATCTCAAAAATAAAGAAAGAAATTTTTCTGTGTACCAATTGTTTAATTGGTGAAGCACAATGTGAGCTGAGAGAAGGAAGGATGTTTTGTCATCTCCTCAGATATTTTAATTAAGTAGATTCTGAACTTGAGAAAGCATTTGGCCATTTTAGCAGTCAGTGGTAAAGATTTCCTCAAATCTTGACTGTCCCATCTTCCTCATCCCCTCACCCCTAATGTGTTCCCCAAGTCTGCATAGTCTACCTGGAAAAGGACTCTTAAAAATCCTCCAGAAGACAAATAGACAAACTGCACAAGCAGATGAATTCACAAAGAGGAAATGTAATTAGTCAGAAAAATATGGGAAAATATACAATCAAATGAATGCAGATTACAATTAGATATAATTTATCACTTTAAACCTTCTAAATAAGGGTAATATTTACTAATAAATAATGTGTAATGCAAGTCAAGGCAGGCTGAATTGATACTCTCAAACTTTGCATGTGGCTACCTGATGCATAGTGATTGTGAATTGTAAAAACATTTACAAAGTGTAATTTGGTAACATGAATCAAGGGTTCAAAAATTCCATGAGGCCTTACATCCAGTGGCAATTCTGTTTCTAGGAATCTAGTCTATGGAAATAATTAGATGTAGAAAGTATTATCAGCATGAAAATGTTTGTTACTGTATTACTTATGCTAGTGAAACCTAGGAACAACCAAATACCAACAATGAAGATACTAAGTGAGTAAATTTGCAATCTATATCCATTCAGTAGATAGGCATGCATATATTTAAAATTAGGCTTATGAAAACATTTTATGATGTGGCAAAATGCTTTGGGTATAAGATTTGAAACATTATGGATAATGATGATAAATATGTAAAAATATTTGCATGTAAGAAGAGTCTCAAGGAAATGGCCTTGTTCCCTGGCAAGGCCGTGTGGCATTATGGCTAAGTGCATGAACTCTGGCCTCAGATTTTCTGCTTTTGCAACTCATCTCTGCCACTTATTAGCTTTGTGACCTTGGGTGAGTTGCTTAATTTCTCCAAGACTTCATTTTTCTCATCTGTAAAGTGTAATAGCTCTCTGGCCATGTTGTGAGGATTAAGTAAGGTAGTTTATGCAAAATATTCAGCACACGGTTGGCACATAGTGACACTAAGTAGCTACTCATCAAGCAAATATTTATTAATCATAGACTATGTGCAAGTCACCTAATATGCTGGTAAACCATGGGAAAATTTCGTGTCTTCTGTTTTCTGCAATATGCTTATAACTATCTTTGTAAGGAAAGGAACTCCACTGTGCCTGCCTTGGTCAGCCACTCTGTCATCTCTCCCTTGGGCTACCCCAAGAGCCTGTTAATGGCTGTGACTGGCTTATCCCCTCTCACCCACTCCAAAATGAGGATTTGATCATGTCACAACCTTGCTTCTATAACTTCCCTGGTTCCCTGTGGCTTCCAAGGTAAAGCCCAATGTCTTTATCTGGAAATTTTCAAAATCTGGCCTCAACCTACTCTTAATTTCTTGCCATTTTCTATCTCTGCACTCTCTATTCTAAGCATTCTATCTCCCTATCCCAAACCTGGGCAGGAGAATCATTGTCAAAACCCTGGCTTTCATACAGCACAACACTGCTCTACTGAAATTTTAGCCTCATTTAAAATGATGATTCTTGGACCACACCCCCAAGGATGCATATTTAAAAGTCTGAAATGGAGGCTAGGAATCTGCTTCTTTAATAAGCATCCCGTGTGATTCTGAGATGAGGTTCAAGGATCCTCTGAGAAATAAGCCATTCTCTTCTCTGCCTAGTAGGTCTGTCCTCCTGCCTGATGGATACTTGTGCATTCTGCTAGGCAGCTGAAAGGTTGGCTATATTTTCCTGACTTCCTCAGGAAATGATGATCTCCCCTCTCTGTACTTCTGTGATATTCTCTCCAAACCTCTATGGAGGCGTTATTTCCTTGTGCTTTCTTTACTTACTTCTGCAGCTGTCTGAACTGCCCTGGGAGCTCCTAGACTTCAATAACTGGCACATAGTAGGCCCTTATAGATGTCTGGGGGGTGTATTCATGCATTCACTCATTGACATTAATCCTAGATGATTCCATCTGCCACGCTGAGCTCTAGTTCATCTGTAATTAGTGAGGCTGACCTTACTGACACTCATTATTGGCTCTGCTCATTTACCTCCTAGGCCATGCAAAGCCAGCTTACTTTCTCACAGGGACAATTTAGCAAGTAATCGGAACCCACATAGCTGGGATCTTCTGGCAGAGAGAAGAAATCCAAGCAAGACATCACCAGGTTGAACATGGATGGCATGCAGACTGCAGTGTGGAGGAGGTCAGCTCACCTTGGGGAGTCATGCTGTAGACAGGTCAACAGGGCACAGACCCAGGTGGGTGGTTGTCCTGTGACCAGATCCCAACAGACTCACCATCAGCTTGCCAGTTTAAATGCTAGGATAACAGAATAGTTACTCAAATGGGCCCTGAAAGTCAGAGTGCCTTGGTTGGAATTATAACTCTGCCAGGCATGTGGTGCTGGACATGTTTCATAACCTCTCTGTGCCTTGGTTTTCTCATCTGTGTGATGGGGACAATAAGCAACCTAACTCTTAGAGTTGTTGTGAAAAGCAAATAAACTAAAATATGTACAATATTTGGAATAACATTTGGTGCATATTAACTGCTCAATAAGTAGTGGTTATCATAATTAGATTCCCCAAGCTATACTATGCAGTCAATGCACATATTAGTTTAGAGTTTTTCCTCTGGCCTTTGCTTCAAACACATGCTGAAATTTTCTGTACTAATCTTTGTCCCTGCTTAACTCCAACCTTGGAGATTTGATTTTTATTGGGACAGCTTCAACTCCATAAAACTTGCAAAACCAAGGTAATATTAAGCTAAAAAGAGTCCCTAATTCATTTGTTGGATATAAGTTTGAAGTCAGAAAAATATGGCCAAAGAAAATATAAGAACTCTACATTTGTATAGAGGGGAAAATTAAGCATCCCAAAAATGACAGGATGAAAGAAGACTGAAAAAAATCTGATGAGAAACAAAACTCCATCTAGTCAAGATTGCAAGCAATATCTTGCATGAAAAGATACCTCCTGAATTTTATGCCTTTGAGAAAACTGAGGCATAAGGATGCGCTCAGTGTTGAGAGCCTATTATGGGCCAAGGGCAGAGGTCAGCATAAATTGCCTTTTTAATACTTATTCCCAATCCCTATGATTCTGATCTCACAGAGGGGAAACTACAGTGTTACATAACTAGTAACGTCAAAACTGGATTCCCACCCAGCTCTGAGATGGCTCCCAACCAACAGAGCTTTACATTTTAACCACACTGCTTTCTTGCTGCTCCTAATTATGCCTCTTATAAACTTTATTTATTTATTTATTTATTTATTTATTTATTTATTTATTTATTTATTTTTAGATGGAGTCTCGCTTGTCGCCCAGGCCGGAGTGCAATGGTGCAACCTTGGCTCACTGCAACCTCCGCCTTCCAGGTTCAAGTGATTCTCCTGCCTCAGCCTCCCAAGTAGCTGGGATTACAGCCACCATGCCCAGCTAATTTTCATATTTTTAGTGGAGACAGGGTTTCACCATGTTGTCCAGGCTGGTGTCGAACTGCTGACCTCAGGTGATCCACCTGCCTTGGCCTCCTGAAGTACTGGGATTACAGGCGTGAGCCACCATGCCCAGCTACCTCTTATAAACTTTTGAGTGAAATTTCATAGCCTGGAGCTTCAAAACAAGTATTTATTCAAGGCCAGTTTCCAGTCTTAGCTCTGTAGCCCCCAAAGCTGGGATGGAGGAAAAGCCTCCCATGATCCCCTGGTTGGAGTCTTAACTTCCAGCTCCTCAGAATGTGACCTTATTAGAAGATAGGTCGTTGTGAATGTAAGTAGTACAGTTAAGATGAGATGAGTTTCTACTGGACTAAGGGGTCCCTTAATGCAATATGATTGGTGTCCTTATAAGAAGAGGAGAAGGGATACCGAGCAGACACATGAGGAAAGGTGTCATGCGAGGCATTGAGATGCTGCAGCTGCAAGCCAAAAAAGGCTAGAAAGGGGCAAGGAAGGTGTCTCCCCTACAAGGAAGGTGTCTTCTCTACAAGGAAGGCCCTGATGACACCTTGACTTTGGACTTCTAGCCTCCCAATATGTGATACTTTGTCACAGCAGCTTTAAGAAACTAATGCACACCTACCCCACCCTGGAGTTGGGGGAAAACTGAAATAAACAGAGGATGTTCTTTTGTGGGCTCTCTGTTGTCACTGTGCTCATGTGATGATAGTCATGACAATGATACTATGGCAGACACTGTTGGTTCTTCCCCAGTTGCCATCCTTCCCCACTTTTGCTAACAGATCCCCTATTTGCTCAGATATTAACCTCTGCCTCCTTCATGGGTCCCTCTAGTTCTGTAAACACGTGGACTTTATGCATGTGGAAGGATGCTCTGATTGGACCCATCAAACTGAATTAGCTCCTTACAGCCTATCTTGTTGGCAGTATTTCAAAGCTCAAGAATCTGCTAGGTTTTGGCGTCCACATGCTAAGCCCGAAGGGGACTTCAGCATTCTGCTTTGTCAGCCTGAAAGGAAGGAGTAAGTGATTCATCCACCAACTCAAAAAAATTAATAGATTTGGTGGCTTATGCTGGTGTAATTACTAACACTTACTAACATCCCAACAATAGCATCACTGGTGAGTCTGTAGAGATGTGGTAGTCATCTCTCTGCTTCTCCTCTCCTTCTCCTCCCTCAAAACGACTAGTGGATGGGCACATGTGAAAATGTTCTTATTATTCAAATTGAACTTAATAATTTAATTTTTAATATTTTTACATACTTTATTTATATAAAGTTCA